>NC_000013.11:33408106-38408106 GCF_000001405.40 Homo sapiens | reverse complement strand
TATAGAAGCAATATTCATCTAACTATTTCACAGTTTTACAAGAAGTTAGTGACTGTGGGTGATTAAAGCCTCCAGCCACGTTATAGTTCCCAGGATCAGCAGCCACGGTGGCTCTTGTTCAGAAGCAGTACCTCCAGCAGCTTCCCAGGAATCACATAGACGATAAAAGAGTTACAGGTACCTGGACATTTGCCTTTAGAAAATGGATTATAGTTGTTTTAAAACAAGGAGAAGAGAGTGTAATGTTGAATCTGACCAGTTTTGCGGATATGGATGAACTGACCAAGGATTCTAATGTCAACATACTACTTTAAGGGGCCAGAAGGGATACTGAGGGTTTGCTCAAATGACTGGTTGAAACCTAGCTTGAACTGAAGACTATTAAATGAAGTTGACATGCCAGTACAGATAAGAATCTTAAGGATATAAAAATTTTAGAATAAGCTGCTTATCAAATTTCTAATTGGAAAGGTCCAGAGACTTGCTTCACTGAAGCATAGAGAAATACAGTAGTCTAAAAAGTACTAGCAATACAGGAAAGCCAGGTATTATAGTAATCGTTCTCTACATGAAGAGAGGCCAGTGGGAAACGCCTTCATAGACACAGGTTCTCTGATTTCAATGGGGATGATGAGATCCCCAAATGACTGAGGCTGGAGAGCAGGGATTAATCACTGGAGAAAAGATGAATTTGTTTATGTAAATGGGCAGCAGCCTCAGAGAAGTATCAGAATGATATGACCTACAAAGATCTTGGCGTTAGCTAACTGTTCAAATATCCCATAGGCTAAAATAGGTGGGTAGACTACTAATGTTTCATTTGATATGTAAAAGAAAAATAATTACTCGCTTTCAGGTGAAGGTACTTGACTTAAACTAACCGTAATTTAAAATCCCAGCTCCTAACCAAATTCTCAGACCTGCTTCAATTTGTAGACTCAGGACCCTGTTAATGGAGGAAAAAACAGAATGAGTTTTCTCTAGAAAGGACATTGAGACAATGCTCTAAGTATGCAACTGAACCTTCCTCCTGCAGCCACCTAACAGGGAAAATTTTTACTGGTGTAAGGAAAATATACAGATTTGTGGAAATTACTAGACACTGGCTCTACACTGACACTAGTTCCTGAGACCTAAGATGCCACTGTGGTCCATCAGTCAGAATGGTAGCTTATGGATGTCTGGAGCTTTAGCCTATGCAACTGCATCTTCAAATACAATCTAGAGTATATAGTTGGAATGTACACACTTAGAACTGGCAGAATCTCCAGGTGGTTTTCTGAAACACGCGGTGGGGTCTATTTTGTAGGAAGAATCAAGAAGCCTCTGAAACAACCACTCTCTATAAAACTAAACCAATCCTGTATACCTAGGTGAACCACAAAGTACTGAAAGGTGCAGGAGTAGTAGTATCCTCAGATTCTCTTTTTTTTATGCAAAGGACCAATGCATCATAATAACAGTAGACAATTGTAAATTTAATCAGGTGGTGACTCCAACAGCATTCATTGAGTTTTTACTGGAGAAAATCGGCACAGTTCCTGCTACCTGCTATGCAACTACTATTTTGACAAATTAATTTTCCCCTATTTTAATTAGAAAAACTACACCAGTAGTTTGTTTTGTTTTCATCTTACAGACATCTCAGTACACTTTTACTGCTTTAACTCAGAACTGTATCACTTCTTCTCTCTGCCTTAATACTGTACACAAGAATCTTTATTATTTTGTCATCCTAGTGGTCCACTGGTCACTGGTTATTGTCATGCTGACTATGTCTTGTGAGAAGGTTGTAGCAAACACTCTAGATGATTTGGTTAGACCTATCTCTGTCTGTCTCTCTCCTCTCCCTCTAACTGTCTACCAAAAGTAGGAAATAAATTTCAATCAAATTTAGTCTGCCACCTCAGTGAGATTCCTAAAAGTCCACAGTTTAGAGCATATATGTCTGGTATTCTTGGGGTCTAGTAGTCTAGTATAATACACATAGCCTAGGACATGTATGTCCAGTTCTCCTACATGAAGATCAAGTGACACTGTGTACAACCTGCCACCAAGAAAATGGCACAATAATTTCTGGGCCTCCTTGTATCCTTGAGACTAGACTTAAATGTGTCTCTCTGAGGCGTTTACCCATTGGAAGGCTGCCACTTTTGAGCAGACACCAAAATAAGAGATGGGTTCTAACAAGTCCAGGATATTCAATGCAAGCTATTCTGCTACGTAGGCCTCATGTTCCAGTAGATCCAAAGTTCTCAAAATGTCTTCCCCTCACCATGGCTGATTTTGCTATTGCCTTTGCTGAATGCTTAGTCAGACACCATAGTGAGCTCCCACTCTGACACAATTACCTAGGGATTCAGCCAACCACCTGCTAGCAGGCTAGGTGCAGTCAATCCCTTCTATCTTGGAATGGAAAATAATTCATCATCACTGGAATAAACACTTTGGATTTTATCCAAAACATGCCTTTAGCACTCTTATTTGTATCCTAACTGAATTCCTTATTCATTTTTATATTATCTCACATAACATTGCTTTTAATCAAAGAACTCATTTTATAGAAAAAGAAGAAAATAGGCTCACTCCCAAGGGATTCATTGGCTTTACTATGTACTCCATCATTCAAAAACGTCTTATCTACTAGGATGGTGGAATGGTTATGGCAAATTCTGCTTGGCCAGCTGACAAGACATTCCAGGGCTGAGATCCTATCTTATATGGTGTATATATGCTTTAAACTAGTGACTAATACATTGTACTATTTCTCTCATATTCAGAATACCTGGGCCCAGGAATCAAGGTACAGAAATAGAGTGACTCCTCTCTTCATTAATCCTAATACCAAGATTAAAAAAGAATTTATTCTTGCCCCCACCTCAGCTTTAAGCTTGGCTAGTATTGAGGTCTTAGTTCTCAAGAAAGGAATGCTTCCACCCAGAACAAAATGATGGCTTCAGAGAACTTAAAGTTGAGACAGACACTTGAATATTTTTCAATTTTCATGCCAGTGACCCAATAAGCAAAAAGAAAAAAAAAAGAAAAGAAGTCTAGTATGCAATGATCAATCTCAAACATCAGTAGGAAATGGGTTTACTGTTACAGAATGAGAGAAGTGAGGACTATGTCAGGAGTGCCTGGTAGCACTTTGGTGTCCAGTAGTAAAGTTAACAGGAGATTATAGCACATCAAAAAAGGCATTGCCTTTAATAACTCAATGCTTCAAAAATGACGCTTTAGCTCAGGCTATCTGGTAAATAATTCTGATCAGCTGACAGGATGGCTGAGGCAAGAGACAAATTGAGTGGAAACAAAACAGACATTAATATTAATCATAACCTTGCAGCCACTTACACTTAGAGAAGTGAAGATTTAGCCTTTATGCATATTTCCTCACTTGTGATGCCTATTATTTGTATGTGTTTACTAATATTTTCTCCCTCTCTACCTCCTCCTTATTGATAGTGATTAGGTTATAGAATCTGAAGGCAATTGATAGAACTAAAAATGGAAAAATTACTCAGATGAGAATATTGTGACTGGTAAGCCTTTTTCTTGCCATCTCTCTTTTTGGAAAAAGATGATTTTTAAAAAATCTTATCAGGACTAGTTGTGTGATGAGGTCATTGAAATTGTTGCTGTTCAGAAGTTAAATATAGGTAGAAAGAAGTATGCTTGTGGATGCTGAGTAAACAAAGGGGTGGACTGTTCCACATATGGTCTCTGGCGACTCAGTTCCATTTTTCTTGTTTTCTTTTGTATTTCAAGGGGCTAGAAGTCTGAAAAAAACAATACCAAGTATTTCAAGGCAACTGGATTATGATTAGGTTTTACAAGTGAGGGTCATAGCTAAGGGATTAAAATATGGGGGAAATAAAGGAAAAGTAGAAGGCCACTAAAAGTGACCACGGTCTCCAGACAACTCCAGCAACTTCAATGTGTGCAGTGATGGCTTCTGCTCAGGTGCAGCAATTGGTGTCTCCAGTAGCCTCAGCAATTACACTTTCAGTAACTTCAGCAGCAGCAGCAATAGCAATAGCAGCAGCAGCAACAGCAGCCGATGGCTCCTGCTGAGCATCAGAACCTCCAGCAGCTCAACAGAGCGTGTGGGCTCCTGAGCTTCAGCTTATGGCTTCAGAAGGAACCTCCTGACCACTGAGGAACATCTTTCTTTTGTACTTTCAGTCCCTCCTACACCTAACTTTCTGATTCCCATTCCATCACTTTCTTCTTTATTTGTCTTCAAGTTACCACATCACCTTTGTTTCCAGTTCCCAGAATTAATCCCTTGAAGTATCTAAGTGAATCCTTTCTCCTTGACTGAATATTGATTGATATTTACAGTTTCTAACTGCAATAGAGGGTGAATTGTTCCACAGAGACGTAGAGTGGGCAATCTAATATGCCATTCTGTAGAGTTAGGGGGACTCTCTTTAGACAGATTGTGTATGTTGGGCTCTTAGCAAGTTGGTAGGTGAGCTTTCTAATCATTATCCCCAAAGCAGCTTCTAATTACCACATAACATTAAAGGAACCCTTAAAACAAAGAATGTTCCATATTCTCTGATTTGCATGGGACCTGAGGGCCTCATGAGAAAGAATGTGAATCCTTTCAGAACGTAGAGTTCAGACAAATATTTATCAACTCACATCCAACCAACCTGAACTGCCCTAGTTCCCTGCCTTACGTCTTGGTTCCATCTGTGATTACACCCCTGTCACTTGTTCTGTCAACCAAACTGACTTGTCTGCTTTTCCTCAACCCTTCACAAGCCCTGTCTGAGATGTGGGCTGAGATTTGGACTTATTACCTGGATTTTACATGTAACCACTTATCCTGAGGATTTATGAAAATGATAGGACTTCCTATTAATCACAGATGTGAGTTTCAGTGCATTGAGATTTGATGAATTAGTGTTAATAGTTGATGCGAGCACTACTGTACTTAGATCTGATGGCTTCGAAAATATTCAACTAACATCTCTACAAGACCACAGCATACTTTAGCCACCTCCAATGATCGCACTTCATACTGTCAATCACAGTTTCTCATAATTTATTGTTTATTTTACCACCTTATTGTACCTTTTGATATCATGCACAGAAAATCTACCTATTTTATTCTCACTGAATAGGTGTTCTTTTACAGGAACTAAACTATATTATAGAGTCAAATTTTAACCAAATGTTTTTGAAGTTTCCATTTTCTTTATCATGCATAATACAACAGGAAGCTTTTATCTCAAAGACGCTTTCAGAGCTAATAGTTTTCATCCATTTGTGGCACTTCCTAAGAAATGACTTTTCTTTGAAGCCTCACAACATCAGCTGTCTAAATGAGAAGTAATTGGAGTCTTTAAAATTTATTTATTTGATCAAAAATGTCTCATGCAAAAAAGTTGTCGTACACTAATGTCAAAAATGACTGTAGATACCATCTGTGTGTGTATTTCATTTGATTTTGACTTTCAATAAATCAAGCCTCAATTTTATAAAAAAGCCAAACACAAAAAATACAGTGGCCCAAACAAATCAATTTTTTTGTACTAGAAATCTGTTGCTTTTAACACTACTTGAACAACATGTGCCATTCACTAAGACTAGAATTTGTGTGTTTCCTTTTTTTTTCAGGTAAGAGGTTATATAGAGACTAAGATAGAAGCATATAAAATTAATCCAAGTATACACACATATGAATCATTTAAAACATTTCTTCTATCTTATTTCTATGATGTGCTCTGAGTATGACTTAATAAGTGAAAATGCTTCTTCAAATATAACTATTTAGATAAATCATGGTAAACTGGATATACTGGTAGTTCTATGACTCTATCCAAATAGTGTGTGGCTACATAATATTGTTGTACATATTCATGGAATACCTTTTTTTTTTTTTTTTTCAGATGGAGTCTCGCTCTGTCTCCCAGGGCTGGAGTACAGTGGGGCAATCTCTGCTCACTGCAACCTCCGCCTCCTGGGTTCAAGCTATTCTCCTGCCTCAGCCTCCTGAGTAGCTGGGATTACAGGCATCCACCAACATGCCCAGCTAATTTTTGTATTTTTAGTAGAGACGGGGTTTCACCATCTTGGCCAGGCTGGTCTTGAACTCCTGACCTCGTGATCCACCCACCTCGGCCTCCCAAAGTGCTGGGATTACAGGCGTAAGCCACCACACCTGGCAAGATACCTTTTCTTAAGAGTTGTAACCATGGTGGGGTCATTGCAGGTAAAACATCTTATTAAGTGGCCTCATGGATTTCTTGCTGAGAAAATTGAAATATGTAGAGAGTAGCAGAATGACAAATGAAATGATGACTAGTGGATGTATCAGAAATGCAACTAAGAGATATGCGTCAGGGTTCAATGTGGCATAGCTGTTGCATGCTGGAAAAAAATAGCAGTAGATAGGTCCATGTTGGGAGGTGACTTCTTAATCTGGAAATTGCTACATAAAGGAGAGATTGAGTCTAACTGAACCAAAAATATTAGATTAGATTAGAATGTAAAAAATAAATCAAATATCCAGATGTTTAATTTGCTTGAAACTTTGCAATTTCTGGCTGTTTGGTCTTATGTAGAGTCACAGATTAAACATCTGGATAAATTGTGCACTGTTTGTCTTTTCATGCAAGTAATTTGGTGTCATGCCAGAGATGTGGGAATGCTATAAACATCATCTTTCTCTTCCACAGGGTGAACAATCACAACACAATTTCAAAGGAGGGAAGTTTTCCCTTAAATAACTATGCTGTATTATAGTGGTCTTAAAGTGCAGTCCCAGACCAGTGCCATCAACATCACCTGGAAATTTGTAAAAAAAAAGCACATTTCAAGTCTCATTCTAGATTGGCTGAATCAGAAACTGTGGGGGTAGGGACCAGTCATCTGTGTTTTAACAAGCTCGCTAGGTGAATCAAACGCATCCTAAATTATAAGGACCACTGCTGTAATTAAAAAGTCTAACCTGAAGGATCTGCTTCTCATCTTCAGATTAATTGTTTTTACAGCTCTCTGAACTGAGATAAATAATTCACTTATTTCCACTTTTACATCTCCAGATATAGACATAGAGAGTTTTTAGCCATTTTAAACCTCTATAATAATAGCAATATAATAAAGCATTTGTTCTCCTTTCCTTTCATCAAGCTTTTAATTTTCTTCAAATTTTTTTGGTTTTATTTTCCCACAACTTCTGGACATTTGGGAGATCCAGGTCTAAAAGCATAATTCTGATGTAGGCCATTTCTATAGAAAGGTGCTGAAATTCTGTCAAAACATACTTCTATTTTGAGTCAATCATTGAGCATACTTTTGCATCAATATTAATATCAATATTTGATTTATCTTAAGATGAAAACGCTCAGGAAATCAACTCTCTCCTAAAGAAAATTGGGAGTTCCAATAAGCCCCAATCTCGGCTACGTTATTTATATTTTCTATGGTTGGTCTCAAAGGATGGCCATGCCAACTGCAAGATGTAAAATTTTCTGTTGCTTTAAAAAGATAGACATATTCATCCTTCATGGTCCCTTCAAATGGTGTTTATTCATTTTTTGAAAAGAAATGAGTCTCTTGATCTAAAATCTTGCAAGGAGTAGAGGAAGATACACGTATTTCACAACTAATTATTAATGTATTCAGTTCTTTCTTAACAAGAAAACAGAAATATAGTAAGACTTCATAGCACTCAAGAAAATAATTTTGAACTTTAACTGCATAGACAGAATCTTTGTACACACAAATCTTTCATAGTAGCAGAACTATCAGTATTGTTTCTTCAAAGATTCTATCTAAACAATCTGACAAAATGACAGCAAGCAGGAGCAGTCTCATGACAGATACTATTACAGCTCAAAATGGTGAAAGCAAAGTTATGTATCAGCCTATTTCCTTTTAATTACATGGCAGGAACTGTAATTAGACCATAGAGACAAAGAACAAGAAAGACCAGGCTCAGGTCCTGGTTTCATTACTTACTAGACATAAGATGCTAGGTGTAGCGGAAACTGGAAGGTGATACATTATATAGATTCACTCCTTTTTTCATAGTAATAGAATCCCTCATTTTCAGCTATACACATGGCTGCTGAGAACAAAAAAATTTCCTAGACGCCTTTACAGCCAGGCGTGGCCATGCCACTAAATGACCTTGTCGGAAGGAGAGTGTGATTTCCAGAAACTACTCTTCCCTTTCTTTTTCCTTCTAACAAAATGTGATCATAATTGCCAGAGCTTCAGCAGCCCTCTTTGACCAAGTGATAAACTTGAGATTGAAAGTGTATATTGCAGGGCAGTAAAATAGAAGGAGCCTGAATTCCTCACTAGTGAAACACTATACCAGCCTTGAACTTGAGAGAAAAATAAACGCAAGGGCTTAGGAAAAACAGCTTGTTTAAGTCAAAGTGTTTATGGTTTTTCTTGGAGCCAATCCTAATCTCAACTAATAAATGACACATAATTTTTAATCACTTTGAGCCTTAGCACTCTTCAAATGTAAATATCTCGTTCACAAGGCAATTACTGGTATTTTTAAGATAAGACATGTAGAAGTACTCCAAAGTAATATATAATGTAAGTTATTAATATAAATTATGCAATAATTCATAGTCGCAATCTGATTGCAGTAAAAAATCAGAAAGACTGATGTTTTCTCAATGTTGATTTTTATTTTCCCAAGCCCAAACACACTTAAACATTTTTTGGCCAATTGTTAGCATGGTTTAGAAAAAGCCACACTAAACCACAGTCTTTGCATGTAATGAAGATTTTTCAACATCTCAATTGATAGTTTTCATCAACTATTGCGTAAGGGTAGGTCCTGAATATTTCCTAAAGTTCATTTTTCAGAAAACTTCTTCAGAAATATTTCAAAATGTAGTTAAGATAACCTTTAGTGGCTTTGTTGATGTCCTTTTATGTCAAAGCTATTGACTCACAACAAATGCCCTTAATCATTTTGGGACAAGGATGTTTTATGCTATAACTCAGAGCACTGGGGTTTCAGTTACACACTGCTCCATGGGCTTGAGAAGACTCAGAGTTCATCAGGGAGGAAAACCCTGGACTGAGTCAGAGCTACTCTTGTGGTCCTGATCCTGATCCTCACCAAAACAATGCTTCCAGTTAGACTGTTTTCATGAAACATACGGTTTTCATGAAACAGGATGTTGTGGGCTGAAAAGCTTCTTGTGAAATCCGTGAAGCTCTCAGTAGTCAATAAAAAAGCTCATAAACACTTGTGATGTTCATCAGAGAAATTAATTTTGATTTAATTGTAATCTAACACCAAAAAAATGGTCCCAGTAATTGAATATGTAAAATACTTGGCATTCATGTCCTGTGATTTACATCGCTGTGTTCAGTTAGATCACGAGCACATAATGTACTTGTGTGGAAAGAGGAAGAAGACTTTCAATGAGTTATGATCTAAGATTATACTCTATTTTTTATGAAGGAAGCTTTAATTTGATAATTGTGCATTTTGTTTTGGCTGTATCATTTTTGAAGATACATTTATTGTTTTGTAGAGGATTTATAAGAGAATTTTGTTGGATTAAATGCTATAAAAAGTTTTTCTCGAAATGAGGATGTATATGTATTCAAGTATATTTTATATCAAGTATTATTTACATATATTTTATTTTAAAAGGAATTTAGTTATTCAAGTTTCTTCTTTATTTTTAGCTGCCAGGAAACTCAGAAATTAGCTTTAATTCAAAACTGAAAATTCATTTCATGTTTCTAACAATATCAAATTTTTTGTTACTTTAAATTGAATCTACTACCTTTTATCCTTATGGTATCGTTTCATACTTTAATTTTATATGCCTTCTAGATACAAATAGAGTGGTGATGAAAATTGTTTAAATGGCCAAAGTGGATTGAATAAGGATGCCATATGCTGATTATTGAATATTATGGAACATGAAAAAAAAGTTGACAAGAAAAAGTCAGAGACCACTGAGATTTAGTTGCTTCTGAGATTGAAAGGAATATAGATCTGGAAAAAAAAGAATTAAGTTCCTAGAAGCATTCAAATATAAGATTGTTTTGGTCTTACATGGATAATTCAAATACAATATATAATGCTGACCATGGAGAAGAAAAAAGAGAACTGATAAATGCTGACATATTTTCAATTAATTGAGTGACCCTAGGGAAGCCAGTTAAACTATTGGGGCCCCTAGATAATTTATGATGATTTCCTCACCATCAAAATTTTATAACTCTATGATCCTACACATTCTCTAACTCCATGACATAGTAAACTTTTAATTCTGTATTGTAACAAAATTCTAAAACACATGATACAGCAAACGAAAACTCCATAATACAATAAGCTCCTATAATTCCATGATAGAATTCTAACTTATTATAGATTTTTTTTAGGATGGAGTCTTGCTCTGTCATACAGGCTGGAGTGGCAATATCTCGACTTACTGTAGCCTCTGCCTCCTGGGTTCAAGTGGTTCTCATGCCTCAGCCTCCGGAGTAGCTGGGATTACAGTTGCCTGCCACTATGCCTGGCTAATTTTTTTTTTTTTTTTTTTTTTTTTGTATTTTCAGTAGAGACAGAGTTTCACCATGCTGGCCAGGCTGGTCTCGAACTCTTGACCTCAAGTGATCGTGATCTGTCCACATTGGCCTCGCAAAGTACTGGGATTACAGGCGTGAGCCACTGTGCCCAGCCTAGAAGTCTAACTTCTATAACTCCATGATACACCAAAATTTTAAAATTCTGTGATATAACAGCAATTACATATAAGTCCAGCCATAGCAAATGTTAATATTTCATTCCTGGAAAGATTTTTTTTCTCCTAATGAAGTTTACAGAACAAGCTGCTGCCTCACTAGTTTTTTGGATAATTTCTGTTCATTGCTTTTGTTCATGGAAAAAATGAAAAATATTTTTCCATGTAGAAAAAATAATTGGATATGGTTATTCTCCAGTTTGATCACTACTTGAAAATAATAGTTAATTAATCAAATTGTCCAAAATTGAACAGCAGGAACAATTATTAGTCAGCTTGGACCAATCTAGTTTTCTATTTTTGTCTCCTGAAAGGTTGTACATACAGTCATTTTTACAACAGTTGCATAATAATCTTCTCTTTGGATAGTGGTAAATGAAATTTTATGTGTAATAAATTTATATTCATTTTTACAGGGCAGAAAAATGAAAAAAGTATACACCGAAAAAACCTGACTATAATAGAGTTCATTTTAAACATTTAGGTTGAACTTTTTAGATGAAGGCTTAGACTCAAATTTAGGTTAACCTTCTCAATTTATTTCCCCTAATTGCTTCAACTCATACTCTTTCCTCCATTTTTTTTTAAGTTTGTTTCCTTTAGAATTGAATCTACTGTGTTTGCCCTCTAATTACACCCCAAATGCATCTCAGGGCTTGTCCTAGTATCATCATTTAATGAAAAGGCTTTAAAAAATAAAATGGACCCTTGTTTTATGCATTCATTTATCATGAGCTGATTTCATAAGCATTTACTAAACCTTGCTAGGCATTCAGAATACGTGTGATGACAATATATGTGATAAAAATTGTGAGCACGTTTTCCAAGTTTATAATGTTAAAGGCTTTATACCTTAGAAAATATTTAATTAATATAAACAGGTTTATCTTTAACTTATATATGAAAAACAAGAATACATAGATCATAGTCTCAAAAAATGACTTAGCAAATAGAAAAGTGTTATGTCCTAGTAGGGATGAAATATTGGTAGAAAAGAAGTTAGTTATATAATAATTGGGAATAATTTTTTTTTTTTTTTTTTTTTTTTTTGAGACGGAGTCTCGCTCTGTCGCCCAGGCTGGAGTGCAGTGGCGGGATCTCGGCTCACTGCAAGCTCCGCCTCCCGGGTTCACGCCATTCTCCTGCCTCAGCCTCCCAAGTAGCTGGGACTACAGGCGCCCGCCACTACGCCCGGCTAATTTTTTGTATTTTTTAGTAGAGACGGGGTTTCACCGTTTTAGCCGGGATGGTCTCGATCTCCTGACCTCGTGATCCGCCCGCCTCGGCCTCCCAAAGTGCTGGGATTACAGGCGTGAGCCACCGCGCCCGGCCGGGAATAATTTTTTTATCGATGAGATGAAGGTATAGAATAATCAACTAAAAGAAAAATATAATAAAATATTATATAGATTTATATGAAAATGTTATTTGGCAAATTTCCCATCTAGGGGTTCTATATATAAAGAAAAAAACATGAAGTCTTTAGTTCTTAGATGTCCTCTTTGTTCCTCCATATCTTTGTTAATGAGAAAAAAAAACAGAAAAGACAGAAAAAAAGGTTAATTGTAATAAATAAATCTTTCTCATAGTATTGTGCTTAGCCTCAAACCTACAGTCCCCAAAAGGCAGACTCTCTGAGGCTCTGCACCTTTGTTTTGCCCAGTACATTGCTTCTCCCTCAAGTATACCTTCTCTTAAGGTCCCATGACTCACCTTCAGTCAGGACAGCTCACTCATGCGCAAGTCTAGACCTTAGTTGGGCACATTTAAACAGGCAGAAATCAGAGGTCGCATGTAAATTCTGTTTCTTTTCATTTACGTGCTCAATGGATTTGAGTCCTGGCTTACTTATTTGTGAAATGTAAATAGGAATAGTGTTGTTGTGAGGATTAAGTGAAATGAACTGTGATGAACTGTGGAAAGATACTTTGAAAGATCAAAAGTGAGCCAATAAAACTTAAGGTAGTGCTGCTATCAGATCATCAACTCCTAAGAGCTAGGGTCTATGTTTTGTTCAGTGTTTCCTTTATCCACCATGGTGTCAGTACAATGCCTGGCCCAACATAAATCATAGAAATTTCCTGAGAGAATTAATGACCTTCACAAATACCATGCATTTCTCCATCAAAAGCTTTAGCCAAGATAGATTACATCTTGTTGTGGTGCCATAAAACCCCAAAGTCTCAATAGTTAACTCAATGTAAATCTATTTAATCCTAAGGCAAAGCCTCAATGACTCAAAGCCTCAAACCCCAGTGACTCAAAGGCAGGCATTCTCCTTAGAGTTAAAAATCTATGCTGTTTACAGCTGATGAAGTTTCCATGTAACATAGGCCCCTACATAAACAAACAAACAAAAAGAAAACTGGGAATCAGGAGGGCTTTTTCTGTGTGTCAGAAGTGACATATCACTTCTACTCACATTCCACAAACTATAGCTAAATAAACAGACACACCAACTGGCTGGGAGTGAAGTCACCTACCTGCCAAGAGAGAGCACTCACATGGGTGAATAATTAGAAACGCCACCCTGTTAGGCATGGTGTCCATGACAGTTCACTAGGAGTCTTTGAAAGAAAACACAGAGTTGTGAGTTCGGTCTCATTCTAATTAACCTTAGTTTACTACTGAATGACTATTTTGTTGCTTGTCATATTTCTACCATAACTGATAGTGTATATTTTCTAGCATCCTCATAATAGAGGATAACATTTCCAAAAAATTCAAATAAGGGAAAGTAAAAGAAATCAAACATTTACTTAGCCAGAGACATTTTTTTTAAATACCAAAAGTTTAATGTGTGATTTAAAGGTTTTATGGGAGTAGAGATAATGAGGGAATGGAAGATGTTTATATGTCTTGGAATGAAAATATAAATTTCCAGTTTTTTATTGGTTTTACAAAGTAATAAAAATAAAGTCCTTGATCATTTTATTGGGTTAAAGTGGGGCAGAGTAAATGACAGGGCAAAAACAAACCTAACTTCTACTGAGCACCTTTCCAGTTACTTCCATGTATACTGGTCCATGCTTGGTGTTATTTTTTTTAATTTTATTTTGCTAAGAAAAAACCAAATAAAAATCGAGTATTTAAATCCAAGTATGTTTGTCTTTCAATTATGCAATATTCCTTCTCCATAGAAGGGTCTACAGTGACATCTTTAGCCTGAAAAAGGAGACTCATCTGGTTAAAAAAAAAAAAATGTTCCCAGAGTTTTGAAGACAGCTGTCATAGCTGTCCAAAAATCAAGGATATAATCAAATACAGACATCTTGGATCAATAGTACTTAATAGAACTATAAAGAAGAAATCAATGTTTGGAAATGAAAACAATTCTTTACAAAGGAAATTTTATTTTTATGTACACATAAAAATACGTGTGCCAATAATGGAAAGTCAAGGTAAACAAATTTATCAACACACACAAAGCCCATAATGGTCTGACAATCTTCCTTTAGTAAAAAGACAAATCCATCACAATCAATCAATAAAATCTGTAAGAGGAATAAGTGACTCACAGTAGTGCCAAATTGTGACTGCATCTGTCAGGCACAACTGAATAAAAATGTGCCTTCATTCAAAGCTGGGGCTGCAATTAGATATCCTCTCCTTTTATTACAAATCATTATCTGAGTGGGCCAAACTGGGTTATGTTTTACTTTCCACTTTTCTTAATAATTGTTTGCTTATTAGTCCCAAGATTTAGTCTCTAATGTAGTGAATTCATTTGAGAATTAAATGTACAAAGAGAATATATAGCTAAAACTATTCAAAGACTTCCAATATGTTGATAGGCAGAAATATGTTTCTGATATGTATATGTACATATGTGTACATGTACATATATCTTACATCACAATATATCAATTACCTTTCAGAATCACAGATTCAATAGTACCCAAAGTTATCTCCTGTCTGAAGTACTAAACAGCCTTGGCAGCATGAGATCATTTTAAAGGTTAAAGTTTTATACCTTAATTCTTCATTTAACACTATGGAAAATGTTTTCTAGGGACAAATAATTCCTAACTTCATAAATTCTCAACATATTCTCTTGAACTTTGGCCAAGACTAAGGTGATATTTTTACTCCTGTTGGCATTCTATAAGCAACTGGCAGAAGAAATATTTTTCTTACAAATATACAAAAATTAACTCAAGATAGATTATAGACTTAAGTGTAAAATCCAAAATATAAAAACCCTGAAAGACACCCTAGGCAATACCATTCTGGACATAGGCATGGGCAAAGATTTCATAATGAAGATGCCAAAAGCAACAAAAGCAATTGCAACAAAAGCAAAAATTGACAAATGGGATCTAATTAAAATAAAAAGCTTCTGGGAAAAGATGATGGACAGAAGACAGGGCTAACATGCAGCTCCCATTTGGATGGATAGAACAGCATGTGGAGACTCACACCATGTACTTTTGATCCAGGAACCACTGCAGAAGTGTACCAGAAAAAAAAAACAAAAGAAAATCACAGATCATTTAAAAGAAGCAGCAGGCTATTGCAACTTCCCTGAGATGGGTGAAAAACTGTGAGTTCCCAAAGTGTGAGAGGGGGAAAAGCTGCCTCTAAACACACATCCCCACTGGGGAATCTGAAAATTCAGATTATGGGAGAAGGATTTAACCTTACCTAGAGCTGAAATGGATTTAATGGGAAATATAAAAGCAGAAGCAGCAGTGGGAAGAGGCTTGTCAGCACTCCCATTCTCCAGCTGTAGCCCAAGGAAGCCATCCCTGAGTATATCTCACAGGTGCCCTCGGGGAAGGCAATCAGTGGAATTTGGAAGGGTCACAAGGTGAAAGAAGCTTCCAACTGAACTTTCTAATAATTTTGACTGGGCATAAACTCCCTTGAGCAGAACTCGGCAGGGAATGGGAACTGCTGCAGAAAGGAGAGCAGAAGATGGCTGACAGCGTGGGCAGATGGGAACAGGGCATGGCCTGAAAGTGGTTGCTTGCTTTCTCAGCCAGGAAACTTATAGCCTGGGGCTAGGTCTGAGTCCTTCACCATAGGCTGCCTGGAGATAAATTCAGTGCTGTTCATGGGACCAGTGAGACTGACCATGCCAACTATGTAGGAGCTGGGTGAGACCTATTGATACCAGCTTTCCTCCACTTTCCTGGTGACAGAGGCAGCCATAATTTCCCCTGGAATATAACCCCATTGGCCTGAGAACCACCCCCACATCCCCTACAGTGGTGGCAGCAAGCCCCACACAAGAAGAGTCTGAGCTCAGAACTGCCTAATCCTGCCCCAACCTGATGATATTACTCTACCCACCCCAGTAGCTAATAACAAAAGGCATAAAATCTTGGAAATTTTATGACCTTGCCCATGGCCTGAGAAACCCTAATGCTTATCCTGGCCAACTTAGGGCAAGCTTATATCCCTCTTAGGCTATGGCAGCTGGTGGTCTTCCAAAAGTGTTATCTCCTGGCTGGAGGCCAACTCAGGACTTCACAGGAACTGATGACAGAACAACCCTGCTCCAAGGAAGGAGAAAACAACAGCTAATTCCACTATCTGCAACATCCTGTCTAACCCATGGTCCTGAGTCTGTCTGCATGACAACTTCACTGCTAGCATAACCAGCATTCGAGTAAGCCAGCACACTAAACATATCTACAACCAAGGACTCTCACACAGTCTACTTCACTCTGCTGCCACCTCCACCAGAGCAGGTGCTAGTATTCATCGCTGGAAGACCTGAAGACAAATAGCATAACAGGACTCTTTGCAGACATACTCTAGCACCAGCCAGAGCCTGGTAGCCCTTCTGGGCTAGACCCAGAAGAGCGATAACAGTCACTGCAGTCTGGCTCACAGTAAGCCCCATCCCTAGGGGAAGGGGGAGTGCACCACATCAAAGGATTACCCCATGGGACAAAAGAATCTCAAAAGACCATAAAAGCTCCCCAGCAATGGATCTAAAGCAAGAAGAAATTTCTGAATTACCAGATAAAGAATTCAGAAGGTTGATTATTAAGCTACTCAAGGAGATACCAGAGACAGGTGAAAACCAACTTAAAGAAATGAAAGAAAAAATACAGGATACAGATGAAAAATTCTCCAGAGTAATAGATACTATAAAGAAAAACAATCACAACTTCTGAAAGTGAAAGACACACTAAGAGAAATACAAAATGCATTGGAAAGTTTCAACAATAGACTAGAACACATAGAAGAAATAACTATAGAGCTCAATGACAAGGCTTTTAAATTAACCCAGTCAGACAAAAACAAAGAAAAAATAATCAAAAAAATGAACAAAAACTCCAAGAAATTTGAGATTATTTTAACTGGCCAAACCTAAGAATAATTGGTATTCCTGAGAAAAAGGAAATCTAAAAGATTGGAAAACATATTTGAGGGAATAATTGAGGAAAACTTCCCTGACCTCTGTAGAGACCTAGACATCCAAATAAAAGAAGCTCAAAAAACACCTGGGAAATTCATTGCAAAAAGATAATCACCCAGGCACATAGTCATCATGTCATCTAAAGTCAAGACAAAGGTAATAATCTTAACAGCAGTAAGGCAAAAGCATCAGAAAATCTGTAAAGGAAAATCTATCAGATTAACAGCAGATTTCTCAGCAGAAACCCTACAAGCCAGAAAGGTTTGAGTTCTTATCTTTAGAATCCTTAAACAATATAATTGCCAGCCAGTGGTTTTTTACCAGTGAAACTAAGCTTCATAAATGGAGGAAAGATAAAGCTTTTTTTCAGAGAAACAAATTCTGAGAGAATTTACTACTACCATGCCAGTGCTACAAAAAATGCTAACAGGAGTTCTAAATCTCAAAAAAACCCTCAAAATACACCAAAATAGAGCCTCTTTCAAGCATAAAACAATAACACAGTGAAATAAAACACAAGATATTCAGGCAACAACTAGCAAAATGAATAAAACAGTACCTCACATCTTACTACTAATGTGAATTTAAATAGTCTAAGTGCTCCACTTAAAAATACATGATGGCAGAATGGATAAAAATCCACCAACCAAGTATCTGCTGTCTTCAAGAGATTCACCTAAGGCGTAAGAACTCACATAAACTCAAGGTAAAGGCATGAAAAAGGTATTCTATGATAAGTGAGCAGGAGTACCTATTCTTATATCAGACAAAACAGACTTTAAAGCAACAACAGTTAAAAAAGACAAAGAGGAAAATTATATAATAAAAGGCCTTGTCCAACAGGAAAAATCACAATCCTAAATATATATATATATTTATATACATGTGTGATATATATATACACACACACATATATATATATATATATATATATATACACCTAACATGGGAGATCCCAAAATCATAATGCAATTACTACTAGCCATAAGAAATAAGATAGATGGCAATACAATAATAGTGGGGGACTTCAATATTCTACTGACAGCACTAGGCAGGTCATCAAGACAGAAAGTCAACAAAGAAACAATGGACTCAAACTGTGCCCTAGAACAAATGGACATAAGGTTATTTGCAGAACATTCTACCCAACAACTGCAGAATATACATTATTTTCATCAGCACATGGAACATTCTCAAACATAGACCATATGATAGGCCACAAAGCAAGTCTCAAGAAATGTAAGAAAATCAAAATTATATCAAGTACCCTCTCAGACCACAGTGGAATAATACTGGAAATAACTCCAACAGGAACCCTCAAAACTATACAAATACATGGAAATTAAATAATCTGCTTCTGAATGATCTTTGGGACAACAATGAAATCAAGATGGAAATTTAAAAAATTCTTTGAACTGAACAATAACAGTGACTACTTATCAAAACCTCTGAGACACAGCAAAAGTGGTGCTAAGAAGAAAGTCCATAGCATTAAATGCCTACATCAAAAAGTCTGAAAGAGCACAAATAGAAACTTTCTGTTTCTTAATTTTTTTATCGCAGACTGTGAATAAATATAATATCCTCTCTAACATGAAGAGTTAGTGAAATAAGACACACTATAAATAATAAATCACAACCAGTATCAATTTTACTAGTAATTCAAAATGCAGAGGCAATAGCAAGACTAGATAAGCATTCTTTCCATGAAGATGTCTGAGACTGTCAAGGCAGAATCTCACATGTCCTTTGTCTTCTATGTAACAATGCCTTCTGGTTCAGACTAAACATATTAGTTGTTATACAAAACTTGAAGAAAAACATGTATTAAACAGTAGGAGCCATTTGGTTATAAAATACCTCCTTTTTATGCCCTATTAATAAGATAGCTTATAAATACCAATACATCCTTAAAATAAGCAACCCAAACTGACCAAGTATACCCTGCTAAAAAACATTTCACAAATAAGGACTCGTTTCTCCTTGCTAATAAATAGCATTTGTGTGTTTATCACAGATGTTTGGTTACTAACATGTTTGCAAGAAATTGTGACTTGGTTAGTTTTTTCTTTCCTAGGCATCCCCGCTGAGGGGAAAAAATAGGTCACAAGCTGGCTGATAGGGCTCTAATTCCCACTCCCCATTTGTGTTTTTAAAGATTAAATGAGTTAAATACATACGATGCATTTAAAGCAGCCTCTGCCACATAAGTACTCAAAGATGTTATTTAATGTTAATTACGAGTCTGATGTTTGTATTTGCATGTAACGGAAGGTAATTTAAAGTTTAAGCAGGGGTGTCATTTTTTACCTCGTGAATGCTGAGGAACAAGCAGAGGAATCTGATCGGCAAACAGAAGAGAAAGAGAATAAAATGAACAGAAAAAGAAAGGAAGCCCATGTGGTCACCAGTAAGCAAAGGACAGAAAGGGAAACTGTTCTGAGTCTAAGATGCTTCTTAGTTATTAGCTGAAGTTTACATGAGACTGCTATTGGCTTCAAGAGTAATCACTGGATCTCTTCATAAATCTTATTTGACTAGTACAGATGGATTTCTATTCCTTCAAACAAAAGAGACTTGGGTGAAAATCTGGTTGCCTTGTCCTGGACACTCAACAGCCTACAGTGATTCAGTAACAGCACTACAGACTCAGCTGAAGTGGAGAAAGAGTGCCCTCTCTTACAGCTAACAAGCATACTGAACTATCTCATACAAAGATAATCAGATCAGCCCTTTCGCCTTGGTTGGGAGCACATTAAGTTTAGGTATAAAGTACAAAGTAGCCCCCAGTTTCTGTAAAATTCAAACTTCTCAGTTTGTTCAGTTGACTATTTAAGTAATACTTCTTATCCAACTGATTAAATCAATTTATCCATGTAATTTCAATTAGACTTTTAGTCAAATCCTATAATTACCTCATCAGTAAACAAAGAAGTGAAAAATGAACTGAGATCAATCAATGGAGAAAGGGCAATCTTTTCAACAAATGCTGTTGAGAAAACTGGATATCTACATGCAAAAGAATGAAGTTGAGGCTGGGCGCGGTGGCTCATGCCTGTAATCCCAGCACTTTGGGAGGCTGAGGGGGGCGGATCACTTGAGGTCGGGAGTTCAAGACCAGCCTGGCCAACATGGTGAAACCCTCATCTCTACTAAAAATGCAAAAATTAGCCGGGCATGGTGGTGCATGCCTGTAATCCCAGCTACTCGGTAGGCCGAGGCAGGAGAATCTCTTGAACCCGGGAGGCGGAGGTTGCAGTGAGCCGAGATTGTGCCATTGCACTCCAGCCTGAGCAACAGGATGAAACTCTGTCTCGATAAATAAATAAATAACATAAAAAAGAATGAAGTTGGATCTTACCCATACCTTACGCCATATATAAAACCCAACTCAAAATGAATCAAAGACTTAAAGGTAAGACTTTAAACTATTAAATTATCTTAGAACAAAACATAAGGGAAAAGAAAAGCTTTATGACACTGGATTTGGCAATGATTTCTTGGATATGACATCAAAGCACAGGCCACAAAAGTAGAAATAAACAAAAGAGACTACATCAAAATTTAAAACTGTTGTGCATCAAGGAACACAATCAACAGAGTGAAAATGTAACTTACGGGATGGGAGAAAATAATTGCAAATCATTTCCCTGATAAGGGGTTAATATCCAGAATGTATAAATAATTCCTACAACTCAACAACAACAATAATGAATAACCTAATTAAAAAATGGGCAAAAATCTTGAATAGACATTTCTCTAGATAATACATGTAAGTGACCAAAAAGCATGTGAAAAGATGTTGACATCACTAATCCCTAGGAAAATGAAGATACCACAATGAGATATCATTTCACACCCATTAGGGTAGCTAGTATTTAAAAAAAAAAAAGAAAATAACAGATGTTCACAAGGGTATGAAGAAAGTGTGCACTGTTGGTGAGCATGTAAAATGGTGTAGCCAATATGAAAAACATTATGGGGGCACCTCATACAATTAGAAATAGAATTACCATATGGTCTAGCAATTCCACTTCTTAAATCCAAATAAACTAAAAGGTGAATTTCAAGAGATATTTGTACACCCAGAGTCACAGCAGCATTATTCACAATAGCCAATAGGTACAAGTAACCAAATGTTCATTGATAGATGAATAAATAAATTAAATGTGGTATATACACACAATAGAATATTGTTCAGCTTTAAAAGGGAAGGAAGTCGGACACATGCTACAACATGTCCTCAAGGTTGAGGACATTATGCTAAGTTAAATAAACCAGTCCCAGTAAAACAATACTTATGATTCCATTTATATGAGATACTAGAGTAGTCCAATGGATACAGACAGAAAGTAGAATAGTGATTGTGACACCACTCCAAGGAATGCAGTGATGAGGAATTGTTTAATGGGTACACAGTCTCAGTTTTGCAAGATGAAAAAGTTCTGTAGATTCATTGCACAATGGTGTGAATACACTTAACACTACTGAACTGTAGACTTAATGGCTAAGATGGCAAAATTTATGTTATGTATTTTATCACAATTACAAATAAACAATGCTTTAAGTAAAATGAAATATCTTACCTCTCAAATTATCAGAGTTTAAATTATAGCATTAAATATATTAAAACATCCTGATTATATGTAAATATAATGTTTTATATATATACTGTGTATTTTATTTATATGACACATAAAATGCATGAATATAATAGCAAACATCTTCAGAAGAATTGTCTTCATTACTGTCTCCACCTCTTTCCCGTTTGTCCTTTCTGCAGTCTTTCCTAGTCAGCCTGTCAGTCCACAACTTCACTGAAACTACTCTTAAACTCGACATCAAATTCTATGTTGCTAAGTTCAATTTGAGTTCAATTTCTAATCTTTGTTCTAGATCTTGCAGGAGGATTTGACATAAATGATCATTTCCTGGCTGAAAAACGTCTTCAATTTTCTATTTGTATTCCCTACTCTTTCTGTTTTCCTTCTACTGAATTGACAATATTTTCTCAGTCTCATTTTCTAGTTACTCTTCACCTTTTCCAATTTGAAATGTTGGATTACTACAGGACATAATTCTTGGAACATATTTTTGTTTTCTCCTCACTCTCTAGGTGTATTTATTCCATTCTTTGGCTCTAAATCCCATTTGTGTGCATGTGATTTCTCCGTTTATATCTCCAGACCATACTTCCTCTCTGAACTTCAGACTTGTATATCTCACTGCTTACTCCACATCCCAATTTGGATGTCAAGTATGCAATTCAAGACCAACACGTCGAAAACAAAACTTTTGCTATCCACTTTCTCCAACCACTTACCTCACTAAGAAATGAAAACACCATTCAGGCAGTTGCTTGAGTCAAGAACCTAGAAGTCATCATTGATTCATCTCTTTTTCTCAGCAGATTCTGCTGGTTCTATATTTAAAGTACATTTAGAGTAAAATTACTTCTCATCACTTTTATTTCTGGTACAAGCAACTGTATTTTGCCTGCACTGATGCAAGACCCTCCAAACTGGTATTATTTTCTTTCTTCTCTTTCCTGCCTACAGTTTAATCTTCACCCAGCAACCAGCATACTCTTTAACAACGGAAATCAGATCACATTACTCTCTCGCTAAATCTTCCCAGTAACCCCCCTGTAACACTAGAACAAAAGCCACAGAACTCAATAAATCTGCTGTGATATGCCTGGACCTAATTTTCCCTCGCTCTTGTCCTCACGTCCTCCACTCCGATCTCAGTGTGCTTTTGCGATTCTAGCATGTCAAATTTTTCTGTCTCCTGAGATTTGAACCTGTGTTTCCCTCTGCCTGTCATGTTGTCCCTATGATGTAAATGGGTTGTTCCTTCATCTTATTCATCTTTCTGCTCAAATGACACCTCCTCAAGAGGTTATCTCTGACCACCTTAATTAATACCATCCTTCTCATCACTTATGAGCTTCCCATCCTGCTGTACTGTTGGCTTGTAGCACCTATCACCTCCTGAGATGATTTTATGTAATTTTTTTGTTATTTTTATTTGTTACGTGCTCTATTAAAATCCAAGGTCAGAGACATGTTTATTCACCAGTGTTTCTTCAATGCCAAGAACAGAACTCAGACTGTAGAAGTGTGCAATAAATATTTGTTAAACAAATGAATAAACACCAATTTTATGCAAACAAGTATTAAAAGTTTGAAAAGAAAAACGAAACAACAAAACAACTTTGTTCTATACACATTCAATGCTTTTAAAAATTGCTATAACAATGTGCTGGTACATAATAAAAATAATCACTTGTTTAAAGACAAACACATCTAGAAGTAGCTTAACTAACACAGTGAAAAATACTGATTTGTCACCCAGCAAGCACCTAAAACATTAGAATATGTTTAAGGCAGTAAAAAAAAGAATCTATGGCATTTTTCTTCTGAATAAATACTTACAGGTAATATATTAAATATTTAGGATATCCAAAATCTTAATGTTTTTCTCAACAATATTCCTTCGGCTTTGAATATTTGATAACAGTAACTCTTTTTTTTTGAGCTAGCAAACATTTGCTTTTAATTAGTACACAATAAAACTCAAACCATAGTGTTTACATTTTTAACATATTTCACATTTCTTGCTAAAGTTTGAACAGCTCTTTGCAGATCAAAGTCTTTTTTTCATCTAGTTTTATAATGAGCACAGTAACTCTTTAAATTAACGGATAAACACACACACATAAGTGGAATGCATTCTTTTTATAAAAAATTCGAATAATATTAAAATTAAAATCACTTTACCAGTGTTAAGACTAAAGTACCCATATATATATATAATATTTATCATGTAATATTTGCTTTATGTCCTATTTTAACTTAATATTATATTATGAATATTTTTCATCTCATTTTAAAATAGTATGCTTTCATAACTGAATATCTATTACTAAACATTTTGGTTATTTCCTTTGTGTTTTCTTCTTTGCTTTTGTAAATAATAGTGGGATAACTTTTGCACAGAAACATTTATGCACACCTCTGATTACTTCCATTGAATAAATTCCTAGAAATGGGGATAGTGCGTAAAAGAAGATATTTAAGACTTTTGATAATATGGCCCTATAATCCTCCAGAAAGACTGCATCATTTTACATTTACTTGGGTCCTGTATGAGTGTGTCTGTTTCTGGCATCTTTTGCCAACTCTGAATATCATTTTTTAATTCTAATCTTTGATACTTTGATGGATAAAATAGCATCTTATTGTATTATTTTGTATCTCTAGTAAGTTTTGAATGTCTAGTTTTCTTAACTTTTAAATTAAAAATTAGGAAATAAAATACAATTTCATTTTATGAAAATGAAATAAAATACAATTTCATTTTATGAAAATGAAATAAAATACAATTTCATTTTATGAAAATGAAATAAAATACAATTTCATTTTATGAAAATGAAATAATATACAATTTCATTTTATGAAAATGAAATAAAATGAAATTTCATTTTATGAAACTGAAATAAAATGAAATTTCATTTAATGAAACTGAAATAAAATGAAATTTCATTTAATGAAACTGAAATAAAATGAAATTTCATTTAATGAAACTGAAAATGAAATTTCATTTTATGAAACTGAAATAAAATGAAATTTCATTTAATGAAACTGAAATAAAATGAAATTTCATTTTATGAAACTGAAATAAAATGAAATTTCATTTTATGAAACTGAAATAAAATTTCAGAACCTTCTTAATTTATTATGCCAAGGTGAAAAGTTAAGCCCTGGAAACTGAGTCACATAGCACCACTGCTTTTCTTTCTGTCATGCATGACTATTGCTTCTTAACCTTTGTGTTGAGATAGTATATGTTAAACAGACTCCCTACTCTTCATTCATATCTAGACTAAATGACATTGGAGATAGAGCCTCTTGTGATTGTTACCTCTTTACCATTAAGCAATCCCCTTTGTAGCCAATCGAATCTTATGTCTGCGTGTTAGCTTTTGTGTAAAAAATGTGTTATAATAATATACATTCTTTGGGGTATATTGGTCCCAGATGGCTATCCTTACATTTTGCACTGGATCCTATGCCTTTTGATTATTTTAGGTTGACACTAGTGAGTTTGAAATTTTGAAAAAAGGGTTTAGATACTCTTATATGCCATCTTAATTTCTTTTTTATGAATTCATATTTATCAATGAGTATTTTTCTTTTCTTATTGAATTTCAAAGACCTTTCTATATTAACACTGCATATTAGGACTTAAAACAGTATCAGGCACATACACGCATTAAAAACAACCTTTTGTCTTTGCTTGAGAGAAATTTCTGGAGCAGCAAAGGAAGATGAGCAGAAATAGCTCCTCCAAATTAGTTATAAAAGTTGGGATTGATTTGATCAAAAACAATTCAACACATTTTGATCATTTCCTGTGTGCCAAGCATCACACTGGAGACAAAGTGAAAATATATAGACCATGTACTGTGGTCACACACAGTACACTAGAGGACACATGTGCATAAAAGTTAAGCAGGAAAAATGTGCTAAAGCGTGACACATTTACCTGCTGCATGGCTTCCCTGGGGAGGTGAAGGGAACCTGTGTTGTTACTGAATTCCTTTCTAATCCTATTTTTCCCTGAATATGTACACACATGCAGATGCACACAGGTCACACCGACACACAAAGAGTACGCACATGTGCACAGACCCACACACTCCCCAATATATCCTTTTTACAGATGTCTTTCTTCCGATTGTCTACAGAAAAGGTTGCTTGGCAGGAAAAGTTGGAAACACAGGGTCAGACGGGTCTGTTAGAAACATTATTTCCTTCATACATACCCTTTCGAATTTAATTTTTGGAGACATCGTTCATGCAAATGCAGCACTTTACCTCCCAAGTTCTATCTGGCCCCCTGCCATGTTAATCACACAGGAACACAGGCCAAATTCAACTGTTGGCTAATCATTCCACATCCCACTGATTTCCATGAAACTTCCAAGGAAGTGAACTAAGGGCAGAGCTTGGCTGGCTAGCTTGCAGATTAAAAAATAATCAAAACAAAGCTTGTTTCAGGCAACATAATAACACAGCAGTCTTTCTTTCAAAATAAGAAAGAAAACATTTAAATACTTTCTAGACATATAATAAAATATTCATTTAGTGTCCAAAAAATAAGCAGCAATTATCCCAAGAAAAGGTATAGATACCTTCTATTCTGACATTGTCCGGCCTTTTAGTTCTCTTATTTGTACAGATAATGAAATATACTAATAGAATTTAAGTAACACAGTAATAAAAAGCAACACTGAGATTGAATCCAAATTTTAAGATCCCTAGCCCAGCACTCATCTCAGCATATGATGCTGCCACAGCATTTGAGTGTAGGAACTATAGGTTTGATTTGCAATCTACTCATCCAAGACAAGGCATACGGGCTGTATGGGGAATAATAAGGCCTTTATGAAAGAAGCTTCCCACAGCATTTGATCCTCTTGCCCTCCTGCCTTCTGCCATGTGAGGGCACAGAAACAAGGTGCCATGTTGGAAGCATGGAGCAGCCTTCACTAGACAACAATGCCGGTGTCTTGATCTGGGACTTCCCAGGCTCCAAAACTCTGAGAAACACATTTCTATTCTCTATAAATGACCCAGGCTGTAGTATTTTGTTACAGTAGTGCTGACAGACTACGTTATCATCGTCCTCAAAAACATCTGTCACTCTGGGCTACCACAGCCTTCTGACAGCTTTCACTGTTGTTGTGCTCATCCTCTGATCTTCTTCAGCTAGTTCCCAAGGAAAGTTTTTTAAAAACTCATACTTGACTAAGTCACCTTTTACTTAAAACCTGCTACCTACGAGATAGAGTTCAAGCTATTTCTCATGGCTCTTCTGTGATCTTTCTCCACCTACTCTCCAGCCTCATTCTCCATCCCGATTGTCCATCCCA
The DNA here is from genome assembly GCF_000001405.40 of Homo sapiens. Taxonomy (NCBI): domain Eukaryota; kingdom Metazoa; phylum Chordata; class Mammalia; order Primates; family Hominidae; genus Homo; species Homo sapiens. Next base: position 38,381,042 of record NC_000013.11, on the reverse strand, counting down.
TCCTTGCCTCATCCTCGACACACCAGGTTTAGTTCCTCCTTTTAGGAGGCTCCACATATCCCCTTTAGCTGGGCTAGGTACTCACCTAACCCACCTTTGGACTTCCATGTATGTTACTCCATTATTATACTTAACGGATTTTACAAATATTTTCTAAAGAATCAAAGTTTTATTCGTGTGCTTATAATAAGCACTTGAGACATGTTTGTTGGGTAAGGCCATTGCATTTAGTGGTTAAAAGCTTCAGACCCTGGAGCTAGACTCTCTGGGTTTGAGTCACAGCTCTGATACTTGTGAAAGTTATTCAACTTCTCTGTTCCCCAGGTTTTCCATCTATTAAATAGGAATAATAATACTCTATAGGATTGTTTGGAGGGTTGAATGAGTTAAAACACACATAAAGTGCTTAAAACAGTAGATAACATATATATGCTATATAAATATTTTCTATTATAGTTGTGAAGGAAAGAACATTAAATATGTACTGTCAAATAATACCTACTCTCAAGGAACATAAAATAACTAGAAAGTCAAATTTTGTATGTAAAAGAAAAAGATAACAATTAAATTCAAAATACGTTAACATGAAACATACAGATTAATAGGCAAGAAGGGTTTCTGAAATTTTTAAGAGGAGCAGACGATTTCAGGCTCAGGGGTTAGGAGCATCACACTTCAATGGAGGTAGTAGGGCTTGAGAGATTAGGGTCAGTGTTCTCAGCAGGGGCTCTATGGGCACCTGGCACAGAGCAATTCTCTGTGGTGTGGAGTTGCCCATACAGCACAACATTGCACACTGCTGAGCAGCCTTAGCCCCTGGGTGCTTCCTGCTAGCATAGCACCCCCATCATGGCAATGGTAGATGCCATACACATTTCCAAACATCTCCTAGGAGAATGGTAGTACATTTGGTGAAGAACGTCTTGCACATGAAGAAGAGTATAAATGGGCTTTCCAGACGGGAAGAATAGCATGACCAAAGCCTGGCTATAAGAACATCCATAAATTGCTTATAGATAAAGGTGTAGGTAGACAGAGGCATAGCAGAGACATAATTCCAGCCTGAGCAACATAGCGAGATCCTGTCTTCAACCAGCCAACCAACCAACAAATAAATAAAATTAACCAAGCATGGTGGTGCACACCTATAGTCCCAACTACTTGGGACACTGAGGCAGGAGGATCACTTGAATCCAGGAGTTTGAGACTACAGTGAGCTATGATGGTGCCACTGCACTCCAGCCTAGGTGACAGAGTGAGACCCTGTCTCTAAAAAAAACTTTAAAAATTAAAAAAAAATGAAAAAGAAGACTTAAAGGACCAGAAACTGAAGAATCCTGATGCTATAGATGGAATGTCTGTATTCCCCCAAAATTCATGTGTTGGAATCCCCCAGTGAGATGATGTTAGGAGATGGGGCCTTTTGGAGGCAACTAGGTCGTGAGAATAGGGTCTTCATGAAGGGGATTAGTGCTCTTATGAAAATAGAGACAGCAGCTTGCTCTCATTCTCTCTGCTCCCCTCCACGTGAGAACACTTGCTAAGAAGATGGCCACTGGCAAACCAGGTGTGGGCCCTTACCAGAACCCAATCTGCTGGCACCTTGACCTGAGACTTCTCAGCCTCCCAAACCATGAGAAACAAATGTTTGTGGTTTAAGCCACCCAGTCCGTAGTATTTTGTTACAGCAGCCCAAGCCCATCGTATTTTGTTACAGCAGCCCATAGTATTTTGTTACAGCGGCCCAATACACATACTAAGGCATATGATGAGAAGGTAAGAAATGAGTTTGGCATGCTCTGAGCATTCTTTCCCTATGCCTCAGTTTCTGGAACTGAGAGGAAGAAATATAAGCTTTGGAGTCAAACAAACATGGGTTTGAATCTACTTCTACCATTTATTTCTATATGTCATTTCTTAACTCTCAACATCTACAAAATCAAAATATTATATTAATAGATTATCATCAAGAATAAAGCGGTATGTTCAATAAAGAGCTTAGCAAAGTACCTAAAACATGTGACTTGCACCAAAAATGTGAGTTTACTTGGTGAAGTCCCCTTCTGTTCTGCCATCACTGTAGGTTAATAACTTGCACCTGAATAACTTTCCACTTGATTTTATTTTTAATTCTGACTAAACACATCTAATTATCAAGTTTAGAGATTGGGAAAGAAATGTATTTTGTACAGAGTGTCTGGAACAAATTATAGTTTCGAGATTCAGTGGCAGATTCCTAGGGGGACTGCTCTTAAGGGGGCCACCTGAGACTGGTTTATTTAGAATCCTTAAACAAAGCATCAGGAAGAGACAATTATCTTGTGCCTTCAATCAAGGAAGAGGAAGAAAGCACTTACTTTGGTAGACAGGATGGATATTCTTTTTTATATATGGCCTATGATACCTTTTTAAAATTTTTACTTTAAAAAAAGCTTTTGGAGACAGATTTTTAAATCTTCTATTTTGAGGTCTCTTCAACAGGCAGAAATGTACCTATAATTGGCTCTGCTGCTTCCATTTCCCATTTTCCTCTATGTTAATAGCTTCTTCCTGCTTACACTTTGTTCTTTTAGAAGGTATTTTAGGTGCCCACACTTTTCTGTATCAAAAGGATTATTGAATGCTGAGCAGAACTCTTTGTATCTTTGTTAAGTAGTGTAGGCAATGGAAAGCAATATGGCTACTAGAAATAAGTAAGCAAGCAACTTCAATTGTTTGAATGGTGTGTTTGTGTACATAGAACATACATGGCTAAGAAATCTCCAGAGCACAACCTTTCAGCCTCTGTTGGAAACTTGAGCTGATGACTGGGGACTAATCAATATGATGTATGCATTACTACCCCAAACTTTCATTCTTTTCAACTGCTTATCCTTAGGATATTGCTTTACTCTTTAATGTTTCCAGGGAGTGATCCACAAAAAGTGAAACTCAGAGTGCCATTTGTGCTTGGCGACACTAGGCAATGGATTGTTTTGAGAGGCTAAGTGAAATTTGGAGATAAATGATGCATTTCATTTTCCCCTCTATTTATTCCAATCCATTCAATGAACCGTTTTAAAATTATAGCACTTTATTCATAAATTTCTGATGGAATTTGTGTGTTGTAATATGCATGCAAAAATTTTGAGGACACATTTTTTAATCCATGTATTTAATGTATAGCCTTATCTGGAAAGCTGCAGTTGATAAATAGCATGAGTTAGCCTGTTATAGACTGAATTACTCCTCTCTTCCCTCAAAAACAATGTAATCTTATTTGGAGATAGGGTCTTTATAGAGGTAATGGAGTTAAAATAAGGTTTTTAGGGTGTGTCCTAATCTAATATGACTGATGTCTTTATAAAAGGAGGAAATTTGGACACAGAGACAGAGTTAGAGAAAATATAATGTGGGGATACACAGGGAAGAGGACCATAAACCAAAAAGGGAGTCTGGAACAGATCCTTCCTTGACAGCCATCAGAAAGAATCAGCCTTGTTGACACCTTGATTTTGGATGTCCAGCCTCCAGAACTGGGAGACAATAAGATTCTGTTCCTTAAGGCACCCAGTTTCTGATAGTTTGTTATGGTAGCCCCCGCCATACATCGGCTTACATTTTAAAATTATTTTTTTCTTCAGACATTAAATTATTCTATTGATGCTAACTTCATCACTCTAAATACTTAATGCAAAAGCAGTATCAGTTGAAAAATTAATTCAGACACCGTTATTCTACTTATAGCTTATTTTCAGTGAAGTCTCTACAGAGGATAATTGTTTTGCCAGCATCTGCACCTGTTACTACTGATACTATACTATACTATGTTAAGTATCTCCCTAATATGCTTCTTTAGTTTCCACCAGAAAGCATTGAACAAATCAGGTCCTTAATGTCAGATTTCTTCCTGCTTTTTGCATAAGACAAAACAGTTATGCCAAATTAAATTGATTTCTAAACACTCTCTGAAACATACCTACACCAATGTATGCAATGTATGCGCCTCTCTTGCCACTTCATACCCTAAAATATGTACCATGACTTAACATTTCTATTACCCACAGGATTCCTGATTCCTGACCCATTCTCCAATTTAGAGTTTTTAGTTCCGTCTTAATTTCTGAATTCTAAGCTCTTCCTATTTTTTTTCTCTTTCTGTAATAGTTTCCTCCTTTCCATCTGAGTACCTGTTATCTCTTTTTCTTGACTTGCTGCACTGGCTAGAAATTATAGTGCTATATCGAATAGGAATGGGGAAAGCAAACATCCTTCCTAGCATTAGGCAGAAAGCATCTGGTTTCTTATTACCAAGTACATGTCAACTGTAGAGTTTTTGTGGTTACTCAATATCAAGTTGAGGAAGTTCTCCTTTATTCCTAGTTTGCTGGGAGTTTTTAACATGAATGGGTGTTGTATTTTGTCAAATATTTTCATGTGTCAATTGATATGATTATATGATTCTTTTTTAGTCTGCTGTGATTACATTGATTTTCAAATGTTGAACCAGTGTTACATACATGCAATAAATCCCACTTGGTCATGGTATGTAATTTTATTTATATGTTGCTGGATATAATTTGCTAAATTTTGTTGAGGAGTGTGTGCACCTAAGTTCCTAGGTGATATTGGTCTGTAGCTTTCCTTTGTGTATGTGCTATATTTGGTTTTGGTATCAGAGATAACAGTTTCCTTTAAGATGTGTGTATTTCTGTTTCTAAAAATGTGTTAAGATGAGGGCCTGAATAATTCATTCGTCTTTTTCCCTTCTTTGGAGAATAAAAACTACCCTCAGTCTCTTGCCTATAATCTTCAGAGATTCAGCCTTGACCCTTGCAGCTTACCAGGTCTACCCAGTTAGAATGCGATTTCATAATTAATTGGTGCTCAAAAATGTCTCTTAAAAGTCTCATCCCCTTTCACCTAAAGAGTTTATCAGTACATTCTTTTCCATCATAAACAGTATTGTCTTGTAGTAGAGGCCCAGTAACTACAATGTCCTCTCTCTGATTATATTATACATGCAAACTAACATCACTTTGTCAACATAAAAATATAGAGAAGACCAGGCATGGTGGCTCATGTCTGTAATCTCAGAACTTTGGAAGGACAAGGCTAGAGGATTGGTTGAGGCCAGGATTTCAAGACGAGCCTGGGCAATGCAGTGAGACCTTTTGTCTACAGAGAAATAAAAACAAACAAATATGAAATTAGCCCTTCTATTCACTACAAATATAAAATTTTTAAAATAAAGAGATGAATTACTGAATTTTTTAAGTTCCAGAAATGTAAAAAATTAGCACAGTGCGCACAAAAAAAAACCTCATTTATTGAATGATTGAATGAAAATCAGTAATTAAGTTTGGTAAAAAATAAACATACCTCTGTTCTAAATTAAGAAAATGCCATAGTTGGTTTTTTTTCCCCCTCCAGTTTATGTAATCACCTGACAGCTTCTTCCTGCCTGTTGTGCAGACAAAATCAATTCACTGAGACCATGGCATTGCAGTAGAGAAAGAGTTTAACTGATGTGAGGCCACTGCATGTGCAAGAACTGGAGTTATAACTCAAATCAATCTCCGTAAAGGCTTGGAGCTTAGGGTTTTCATAGACAATTTGGTGGGCAGGAGGTTAGAAGATAGATGCTGCTGATTGGTGGAGATGAAATTACAGATGTGTGGAAAATGGTCCTCCTGTTCTGAGCCTGCCTCTGGAGGTGGGTAGCGCACAGGATCAGTTGAGTCATGAATCAGGAATCCAGGTGCAGTCATTCTGCAAGAGAGCTCAAAAAAACAAAAAACAAAACAAACAAACAAACAAAAATCTTTGTTTCTACAATAGTGATGTTATCTACAGGAGCAATTGGGAAAGTCACAATTCTTGTGACTTCTAGTCACATGAGCCCTGAACCTATCTTATTCAAATTCAGTCCCCTTTCATAATCCTAACCTTATGTCCTTGCATTACTTTTACAAAGGTAGTTTAGTTTTGAAAAGGGCTATTATCATCTTTGCTTTAAGGTTAAACTATAAACCAAATTTCTCCCAAAGTTACCTTGACCTACATCCAGGATTGACCAAGGACGGCTTGGAGGTCAGAAGCAACGTGGACTCAACTATGTTAGATTTCTCTTACTGCCATAATTTTGCAAAGGTGGTTTAAATCCCACACATGTTATATACATAGACCTACTATTTAGAAGAGCTGGAAACATGTTTAGTTTGTAATCAACAAAGAAGTAGGAATTTTTTATTACTTTTTTTTTCCAGTTAGGTAAACATTTTTTGTTTTTCTGTGTTCTACAGCTACGTCGTAGGTCATATCCCCTGGATCTTTAGGATTTTAATTCCGCTAAGATTGCCCTTTACTCTTGTCCTGCATCATGCTGGGAGGGATAGTGGAAAGCACTGACTTTTGTGTTAGAGAAACATGGATTAAAATCCTTGTGTCATTTTTTATTAGCTCTGGGACGAGAGTCAGATCATTGATCCTGTCTGACCCTCAATCCCTCATATATTAAACTGAAAAACGTATGTATACCTAGAGTCAGGTTTTTTGTGAAGATTAAATGAGATGATGCATTTAATATGTAAGAGAATATTAACATGGCAACTTTTTCAAGACTTTAAGTACACAGATATTATCAAGCTGAAAATTTTCAAAATAAACAGTCCAAAACAAGTTTCATGAATGAGTTGATCACTGATGGCATTCAATGGTGATGATTGGAGTTGGTGAATCAAGGGATGGCATTTGTGAAAAGGCTTTCTTTGGGAAGAGCTAGTCTAAGGGTCTCATTCTACCACCACCATCAAAAAAAGCTATAGGAGCTCTTCCCCTCACCTCCATATAGTGAACAGAGCTTTGGAACCTCTCAGGAAGTCTAACCTGTGATTCCTGCAATGTGATGCACACAGTGAATGTGTGTTTAGCTTCTGCATTGAGAAATCTAAATGGCTAAAGATAAACTGCTAGTTGCTGACAAGCCAAATATAAGGGGATTTTGTTAGGTGAAAGCGTGCAATTAAATACTGTGAAATGAGTTTCCTAAATATTGAGATAATGAGTTTCCCAGCCTGGGTAACATGATGAGACTCCCTTCTATCCCCTCTACAAAACGTAAGAAAATACCTGGGTGTGATGGCACATGTCTGTAGTTTTAGCTGCTCAAGAGGCTAAGGCAAGAGGATCACTTGAGCCCAGAAGTCTGAAGGTACAGTGAGCCATGATCTTGCCAATGCACTCTATCCTGGGTGACAGGGTAAGACCCTGTCTCAAAAACTTAGAGGCAGAGTTACCTTAGATTAATTGAAGGGTGTTCAGAAAATTCAGGGAAAATGCATAGTATGAAAAAACTATTCATGGATTTCAATTTTTTGCACCAAAATAAAACTGTACTAACTTGTTATAACATGTCTGACATGATCTACTCTGAGGCATTAAGAATAAGACATCGGTTTGAAAAGAGCCCCTATAAAAGCAACATGAATTTTGTTAAAATGGAAGCAAGAAGAAACATCAAATTGATGGTGAAGCTTGGGTGGAAGAATGGTGAAATCACTGATCCTTTACAAAAAGTTTATGAGGACAATGTTCCAAATAAACTAATAGTTTACAAATGGATAACTTGTTTTAACAAGGGAGGAGACAACGCTGAAGATGAAGCCTGCAATGGCAGACCATCCACATTAATTTGTGAGAAATAAACTAATCTTGTTAATGCCTTAATTGAAAAAGGACTGACATTAACAGCAGAAACAATAGCCAACACCAAAAACATCTCCATTAGTTCAGCTTACAACATTCTGACTGGCAAATTAAAGTTGAGCAAACTTTTCACTCAGTGGGTGCAAAAACAGTTTCTCCCAGATCGGCTGCAGATAAGATCAGAGCTTTCAACAGAAACTGTAAACAAGTTGGATAAAGATCCTGAAGCATTTCTTTGAAGAATTTTAACAGGAGAAGAAACATAGCTTTACCAGTACAATCCAGAATACAAAGCATAGTAAAAACAACAGCTACCAAGAGGTGGAAGTGGTCCAGTCAAAACACAAATGGACTGGTCAATAGCAAAGGTCGCGGCAACAGGTTTTCGTGATGCCCGGGGCGTTTCACTTGTTGATTTTCTGAAGAGCTAAAGAATGATAACATCTGCTTATTATGAGAATGTTTTTTAAAAGTTAGCCAAAGTGTTAGCAAAAAAATAACTGGGAAAGTTTCTCCAGAGAATCTTTCTCCACCAGGACAGTGTTGCTGCTGATGACTCTTTTATTATTATTTTTTATTTCCATAGCTTATTGGGGAACAGATGGTGTTTGGTTATATGACTAAGTTCTTTAGTAGTGATTTGTGAGATTTTGGTGCACCCATCACCCAAGCAGTATACACTGCACCCAATTTGTAGTCTTTTATCCCTCACCCCCTTCCCACCCTTTCCCCTGGGTCCCCAAAGTCCATTGTGCCGTTCTTATGCCTTTGCATCCTCATAGCTTATCTCCCACTTATGAGTGAGAACATACTATGTTTGATTTTCCATTCCTGAGATACTTCACTTATGATAATAATATCCAGTCTCATCCACGTTGCTGCAAATGCCATTAATTCATTCCTTTTTATGGCTGAGTAGTATTCCATTGTATACATATACCATAGTTTCTTTATCCAATCATGGATGGACATTTGAGTTGGTTCCATATTTTTGCAATTGCAAATTGTGCTGCTATAAACAAGTGTGTGCAAGTATCTTTTTTGTATAATGACTGCTTTACCTCTAGGTAGATACCCAGTAGTGGGGTTGCTGGATCAAATGGTATTTCTACTTTTAGTTCTTTAAGAAATCTCCACACTGTTTTCCATAGTGGTTTTATTAGTTTACATTCCCACCAGCAGTGTAGAAGTGTTCCCTGTTCACCACATCCATGCCAACATCAATTATTTTTTGATTTTTCGATTATGGCCATTCTTAAAGGAGTAAGGTGGTATCACATTATGGTTTTGATTTGAATTTCTCTGATCACTAGTGATGTTGAGCATTTTTTAATAGTTTGTTGGCCATTTGTTTATCTTCTTTTGAGAATTGTCTATTCATGTCCTTAGCCTACTTTTTGATATGATTGCTTTTTTTCTTCCTAATTTGTTTGAGTTCATTATAGATTCTGGATATTAGTCCTTTGTCAGATATATAGTTTGTGAAGATTTTCTCCCGCTTTGTGGGGTTGTCTGTTTACTCTGCTCACTGTTTTTTTTTTTTTTTTTTTTTTTTGCCATGCAAAAGCCCTCTAGTTTAATTAAGTCCCAGCTATTTATCTTTGTTTTTATTGCATTTGCTTTTGGGTTCTTGGTCATGAAATTCTTGCCTAAGCCAATGTCTAGAAGGGTTTTTCCAAATTTACCTTCTAGACTTTTGATAGTTTCAGGTCTTAGATTTGAGTCCTTCATCCATCTTGAGTTGATTTTTTAATAAGATGAGAGATGATGATCCACTTTTATTTTCCTACATGCGGCTTGCCAATTATCCCAGCACCATTTGTTGAATAGGGTGTCCTTTCCCCAGTTTATTTTTTTGTTAGCTTTGTCAAAGATCAGTTAACCGTAAGTATTTGGGTTTATTTCTGCATTCTCTATTCTGTTCCATTGGTCTATGTGCCTATTTTTATACCAGTACCATGCTGTTTTGGTGACTATAGCCTTAAATGAAATAACCAAGATCAGAGCAGAACTAAATGAAATTGAAACAAACAAACAAAACAATGCAAAAAAATAAAAGAAACAAAAAGCTGGTTCTTTGAAAAGATAAACAAAATTGATAAACCATTAGCAAGATCAACCAAGAAAAGAGAAAAAATTCAAATAACCTCAGTTAGAAACGAAATGGGAGATATTACAACTGACACCGCAGAAATACAAAAGATCATTCAAGGCTACTATAAACACCTTTACATGCATAAACTAGAAAACAGAAGAGATGGATAAATTTCTGGAAAGATACAACCCTCCTAGTTTAAATCAGGAAGAATTAGATACCAAAACAGACCAATAACAAGTAGCAAAATTGAAATGGTAATTAAAAAAAAAAGTCCAGAACCAGATGGATTCACAGCTGAATTCTAACAGACATTCAAAGAATAATTGGTACTAATTCTGTTGACACTATTTCACAAGATCGGGAAAGAGGGAATCCTCCCTAAATCATTCTATGAAGCCAGTATCACCCTAATACTAAAACTAGGATATGACATAACCAACCAACCAAACAAATGAAAAACTACAGACCAATATCCCTCATGAACATAGATGCAAAAATCCTTAACAAAATTACTAGCTAACTGGATCCAACAACATATCCAAAAGATAATCCACCATGATCAAGTGGGTTTCATACCAGGGATGCAGGGACGGTTTAACATACACAACTCAATAAATTTGATACAACACATAAACATAATTAAAAACAAAAATCACATGATCATCTCAATAGATGCAGAGAAAGCATTTGACAAAATCCAGCTTCCCTTTATAATAAAAATTCTCAGCAAAATCATTATACAAGGGATATACTTCAATGTAATAAAAGCCGTCTATGACAAACCCACAGCCAACATAATACTGAATGGGGAAAAGTTGAAAGCATTCCCTCTGAGAACTGGAATAAGACAAGGATGCCCATTCTCACCAGTTCTCTTCAACATAGTACTGGAAGTCCCACCCAGAGCAGTAAGAAAAGAGAAAGAAATAAAGGGCATCCAAATTGGTAAAGAGGAAGTCAAACTGTCGCTGTTTGCTGATGATATGATTGTAAACCTAGAAAACTCTAAAGACTTCTCCAAAAAGCTCTTAGAACTGATAAAAGAATTCAACAAAAGTTTCCGGATACAAAATTAATGTACACAAACTCTCCTATACACTAACAGGGACCAAGCTGAGAATCAAATCAAGAACTCAACCCCTTTTTTGATAGCTGAAAAAAAAAAAAAGAAAAATTTAGGAATATACCTAACCAAGAGGCTGAAAGACCTCTACAAGGAAAACTACAAAACAGTGCTGAAAGAAATCATAGACAACACAAACAAATGGGAAACACATCCCATGCTCATGGATGGGTAGAAACAATATTGTGAAAATGACCATACTGCCAAAAGCAATCTACAAATTCAATGCAATTCCCATCAAAATACTACCATCGTTCTTCACAGAACTAGAAAAAACAATTCTAAAATTCATGTGGAACCAAAAAAGAGCCCACATAGCCAAAGCAAGACTAAGCAAAAAGAAGAAATCTGGCTGCTGCTGACTCTCATCAAACAAGGGAAATTTTGCTAGAGTTTGGGTGGGAAATCACTAGGCATTCACCTTACAGTCCTGATTGGGTCCTTCTTTTTGTTTCCTAATCTTAAAAAAATCTTTAAAGGGCACTTATTTGTTTTTTCTTCAACCAATAAAAAAGACTACATTGACATGGCTACATTTCCAGGACCCTCAGTTCTTCAGGGATAAACTAAATGGCTGGTCTCATCACTTATAAACATGTCTTGAACTTGACAGATTCTATTAAGTAATAGAATTTACTTTTAAAAAATCTTTTAATTCCATTTTTTTTCCACAAGATATTTGAAGTCTCCTCATATGTGCATGGGCCAACTGAAGTTTTTCTATAAGGCAGCTTACCTTTTCTCTTCCTACTATCTGGAGTACTGTTCTTCCACACAATTACATAAGGGTATTCCTTATCATCTTATCCAAAATAGCACTTATTCCTTATCACCTTAACTGAAATGCTGTGCTTTGACTTAAAAAAATAGCACTTGACATATTTGCTTATTGATTTACTGGCTTTCTCCCCCGTTATGCTATCAGCTCCATGCACTTTGTCTAGTTATCAGTAAGAGTAGTGGATAAAAATAAAGTGCTTACTGATTAAATTCATGCTTACTAAATTCATGAATGTCTTTCCATATGCCTTCCCTTAATGTTCCTGCTAAAATCACCCCCCCCACTGTGAAGTCATCTATAACAGCACTACAACAGTCAACCATTGCTATAGCACTCATTATCTGACACATTCATTTGGCACTAACTACATAACCCTCAAAAATTAATTATAACCCATTTTAACCCAAGAGATAAAATAGTTTAAAATGGTGATGATGTTAATTACCCTTGGAACATCGCCCTATATATTTCATTGGCACATCAAATTCTGGCAACTGCTCCAGAACTATAATTGTATCTAGAGGAAGGATCTACTAATTATAGGTTTATTCAAGTCTTGTTGCATTTGACAATATGGAAAACATTCCTTTTTATTCTAGGATACTCCTCAATCCCTATGTTTGGAAGGGTCAATATAAACTCACTATTAAATAGTATAGTCAAGTAAAATAGGAGATGATGTTTGGGACTGTTTGAAATTAGCAAAAGCATTAGTTAGGGTTAAAAAATATCTCACACTCAAAAAGGAAAGAGATGTAAGGTCTGTCTAGGTAGACTGAGGACAAGGAGAGGCAACAAAGCTAAATGCTGATTTGACCAATTGCAAAGAATGCTTCAAAATGGAGCAAAGAAACTGCATTTTAGGAAAATCTTTAGGGGACTCCCAGCTTTTCAGAACAAAGCCATGTTTTTTGGTGACAGTGTGGGTGGAGATAGAAGGTATATAATGAAGGTAAAATGTACAGTTGACCCTTGAACAAAACAGGTTTGAACCACATGGGTCCATTTATACATGGATTTTCTTCTGCCTCTGCTAACCCGTCCTCTTCTTCAGACTACTCAATGTGAAGACAAAGATGAAGACCTTTATGATGATGCACGTCCACTTAATGAATACTATATTTTCTTTTCCTTAAAATTTTCTTTCCTGTAGCTTAAAGATACAGTATATAACCTATGAAATATGTGTTGTTTATGTTATTGCTAAGGCTTCTGGTCAACAGTAGGCTATTAGTAAAATTTTTGGAGAGTCAAAAGTTATATGCAGATTTTTGACTGTGCAAAGGGTCAAGGCCTTGAACCTCCACATTCTTTAAGGGTCAACTCTAGAAAGTATAGAAGGTAAGGAATAATAGATTGGAATTTTACATTTATTTATTTGTTTACAGCAAGAGGATGGCATCCTTAGAATCTGGTTCATTTTATTGAAGTTCCTGTGAAATACTATTTTTTTAATGGTTTCAGAAATACAATCTTACTAGGAAATAATAGGGAGATGGATTACACTTTAGAAAATAACTTCCCAAATGCAAGGTTCTATGAATACAGGTATTACCCTTTCATAGGTATCAAGGTACTGGCTTAATTTAAAAATTAAATAAAAATATTTGGAACATAATTATTTCCATGTTGGGAAGCAACTGCAATTAAGCCTTTAGCAATTTTTATTGAAGGGAGTCTGTCACTTCTTTTGCTCTCTACTCCAACCCATACAGCAGGATTATGAAAGTTCTAGATTAAATTTTGCGTGTATGTGGAATTGACAGCAATACACCAGATCTGTCATAGTGACTACAGCTCCCTGAAGCCTTCATTTTTTATTGCTTTGAGAAACAAATAAGGTATTTCCTTACTGAAGGATATAGTTCCCCACAAGAACAATGTGACCTCTCTACAGTCCTTTTGGTTAATTTCCCTATGTGACTCATTTAATTACTCATTCATTGTCTCTTATGTTTCATTTCTACGTAATGTGCACATCTACAGATAATTCAGAAAGTCCTAATCCATCCATCCGTTTATCTAAAAAATCAGAGAAGCTAGTATCTCCACTAGAGACTTGTCAAAATGTCTGTGGCACTGACAACAAAAATTAGTTTATTTCTAACACAGCTCATCAGTTGTAAATTGTGCATTTAAGAATTAATTTATTAAATCCAAGTGTTACTCAGCCAAACAAATATTGACATGATGTATCATCACAATATGCTCTCAATAACAGCTTTTACACTGCTAACAAGTTTTGCCAAAAAATGAGAGATTTATGCCAAAAACTGGCTCTCTGAATTTGTCTGCCAACCTTAGCCAGTGTTTTGCATCTAGTAACAAAATTACATCCTCTATGTAGCAAAGCAGATAATAGGGCCATACATCTACTTTTAAAATGTTCACCATTCTCTTTGTTGCTATAAATGTGTATATTTACTGAAAAGGAGTCTATAAGTGCAGTGTTTGTGTGGATTGCTGAATGTTAAACTTTGCAAGCAAAGTGAGATCACAGAAATATTAAATAGCAATCTATGAGGCTCATTCCAGATGTGCTCATTTTATTTTGAAAAAGTATTTCAATACAATTCTAGGCAAACTGATGATAAATACATGATACACATTGTGGACTTTATAATCATACAGACCTAGGAGTCAATCTCACCGTAACCTTAAACATATTAACTGAAGTCTCAGCTTCCTGAACAGTAAAGTGAAGAAATTAACACTGGCATTTGTGAAGGGATTAAGGATTAAATGAGTCAATGTCTGTAAAGTGCCTCACACTGTGCCCAGCATATAAAAAGGGATTCGTTACACATCTTCATGTCCATGATTACTAGACCAGGTAATTTTGGTGTTTTTGAAATGTATAAATTTGGGAAAGTCCAAGAAATGGGAATGAATGGATGTTAATCATGTTTCGTCTCCAGTATTTAACAATATGCAGCATATAGCTAATAATGTTTGTTTAAAAATAAGAGAATGTTTTACAATTAAAAAAAGTAGTTAATTTAAGTAAATTTCTGCTACAAGAAACAGTGGGCAACATGGGTATACCGGTTAACCAAATAATCTGGTGAAAAGCAGTTACTTTATGTATGAGACACAGTTCTAATTTTCAAAATATTCTTTTATGTAGTTTTTCAATTATAAAGTACTTTTTGTTTATGGGCAAAGCGATTTGGAAACCTAGTTTCAGTCATGGTCTTAGACTTTTATAAAATTTATATTTTAGAGACAAGTAATTCTGTATTTAGTAATTGCTAGAATGGAGGAATATACAAAATGTAAAATTGCTTAGACAGTTAATACCTACTGCTTTGGAGGAGGGAGGAAAGGCTCAATGGCTTTTGATCTTAAAGAATAAATCCTAGGTTTTCCAGGCAGACAAATGGGGTAAGTAAAGAAATGAAAGCATAAGAACATGGCACATCACAGATAACTAAACATTATTTGTGGTTCAGTGTAGCTGCGGTGTAAATTAGGGAAGGAAACTGTAAGGAAGAGAGTAGTAGTAGCAGATGACTCTAACACAGACCAGTTCATGAAGGGCCTCGTATGTCACAGACAGTGTAGATTTTTTATTCAGTAGGATTTTGATTAATGAAATGGCATAAAAAAACTCATTACAGCAAGTGTGAAAGAGGAAATGAAGAGACTAGAGGCTCTTAGTATAAACGAGAAGATGAGGGCTTTTGTTACAGTGGGGATGGCTGAGATATTCTGTTAACAACATCAAGAGAATTTTGTGATTGTCTTGATACATCAAGAAAGGAAAATCAGGAGTAACAGATTTGACGGTAAGAGAACCTTAGTCAATTTGAAGGATATGGTTAATAGGTTGGATAGATTGAACTTTTCAAGAGTATTTATTTCAATTAATGGTTTAATGGCCTAGTTTGAGTAATGATTTACCCATCACCAGCACTAACCAATAGAGGGCACTTCCAGAATTTCTGTATTAAAGAAGTTTATGGGCAGCAATCTAGTAGAAAAAGTGGGCTATTAGGAGACTAACCTTGCAGCTTCACTTGCAAAATACACTAAAATTAAAAAACACAATGTCTGATAGGCTAATGAATATGGCGGCATAGTCCCTACTCCCACTACTGGTTGGTTTATAATTAATATCCTAGAATTTTATCATATTTATACCATATATACACCACGTATTAAAAAAGTAAGGCCATTCATTATCATTACACACAGTCAGTACTCTGACATGGAATTTAAGCCTTACATATTTTCTTACTTTTAATCTGCGATTCAATACGCATCTAGTATATCACAGAAAATATATACTAAAAATTTCTCCGTATAATGTGCAGAGTTTGGGTCAAATCATGGGTTTAAATTTCAAATCTCAACTTAAGCCTCTTTCTTTTTCTATAAAAGGGGAAAATAACCTGGAATTGTTATAAAGAATGGGTAAATAAAAATGAAATTATCCGTCAAAATATTTGACACACAGTAGATGTTCAACAGATTTCTTTAGGATGAATTACATATATAAATCATTATTTTTTGTGTGGTTTTATAAATGGCCTCAGGAACACTATCAGTTAACTTAGAATCACTCCATTAAAGTATAACAATGCTTCCAATTCAGGAATACTTCAAGGTCCTCGCGTAAAAAACATCTTTTTACGCGAAGATATTAAGTTTTAATATCTTAATATTGGAGTAGAGGAATTAAATAGGATTGCATTTTCTTCCCACTAACGTTTCTTTTGAACAGCTAGTTCTAAGAAAAACTTATCTAAAGAATGTTTGACTTGAAAAACTTTTTTTTTAAAATTTTTTTAGTATTTATTGATCATTCTTGGGTGTTTCTCGGGAGAGGGGGATTTGGCAGGGTCATAGGACAATAGTGGAGGGAAGGTCAGCAGATAAACATGTGAACAAAGGTCTCTGGTTTTCCTAGGCAGAGGGCTCTGCCGCCTTTCGCAGTGTTTGTGTCCCTGGGTACTTGAGATTAGGGAGTGGTGATGACTCTTAACGAGTATGCTGCTTCCAAGCATCTGTTTAACAAAGCACATCTTGCACCGCCCTTAATCCATTTAACCCTTAGTGGACACAGCACATGTTTCAGAGAGCAGGGGGTTGGGGGTAAGGTTATAGATTAACAGCATCCCAAGGCAGAAGAATTTTTCTTAGTACAGAACAAAATGGAGTCTCCTATGTCTACTTCTTTCTACACATAGTAACAATCTGATCTCTCTTTCTTTTCCCCACATTTCCCCCTTTTCTATTCGACAATACCGCCATCGTCATCATGGCCCGTTCTCAATGAGCTGTTGGGTACACCTCCCAGACGGGGTGGCGGCCGGGCAGAGGGGCTCCTCACTTCCCAGACTGGGCGGCCGGGCAGAGGCGCCCCCCACCTCCCAGACGGGGCAGCGGCCGGGCGGGGGCTGCCCCCCACCTCCCAGACGGGGCGGCTGGCCGGGCGGGGGCTGCCCCCCACCTCCCGGAGAAAAACTTCAAAGGTTGTGCAGTGAGTGAGACTGTTAGCTAGCACCTTCACCTCAGGCTACTTACCAAGCATTGGAAAGTGCACTGTCCAAGATTCCAGAACATATTCTACTTACTTTGACCCCTTAGACCTCATTCTGTTCTTCTACAAAGTGAAAAGGTGGCCTTCTCATTAATTCTCAAACCACCTGCATGGCAGAAATCACCAGAACTCCTGTTTACAGAGGATCTTTATATATTATTACAGATGTAATAAATCAGAATTCAAGGAGTGGTTTCCAAAAATCTGTATTTTTAATTTCCTAGGCGACTCTGTTATCACCCAGGTTTGGAACCTACCAACCTAGCCAGTTACAATAACCCCATTTTCTTCTCAACTTTTTTTTTTTTTTTTTCCGTCTGTAAAATGGACAGGCATTTGCAAGTACTGTTATGTATCACTGAATCACAGGAACAAATTCTGAGAAATGCTTCCTTAGGCAATTTTGTCACTATGTGAACATCAGAATGTACTTGTACAAACCTAGTTGATGTCACCTACTACAAACTTAGGCTATTTGGTATGGCCTATTGCTCCTAGGCTACAAACCTGTAGAGCATGTTACTGTACCTAATACTGTAAACAACTGTAAAATGATGGTAAGTACTTGTGTATCCAAACATAGATAAAGCACAGTAAAAATATAGTAATATGGGACCACGGTCATATATGCGGTCTGTTGTTGGACGAAACATCACTACTATGTCTGTGGCAGATGACTATAAACTAATTTCTCTGACTTATGGTCATTAATCATCTTTGCCCTTTTTTTCTTTACTACATGTATTATATACTGACTCAAAAGGTGTGCTGATTAAGAGCTCTAATAATAAGAACAGACAATATGGTTTACAATATAACAACATGTATTTTCATTAGATATTAATTATAAACCAATAACGCATGTAAACTGAATACAATACTTCAAATCATTCTGCACAAAGAAATTACAGATCACATTTTTTTAATAACAAAATGTCTACTTGTTTAATAAAATGTTTTTAGGAACTTACAATGTTCAAAACCAAAGAATAAAAATATTAAATATATCACTTTATGGCACAGGACAACATA
This sequence comes from Homo sapiens, assembly GCF_000001405.40. NCBI lineage: Eukaryota > Metazoa > Chordata > Mammalia > Primates > Hominidae > Homo > Homo sapiens. The sequence goes on along the minus strand of NC_000013.11, from coordinate 38,362,777 downwards.
AATTTATTTTTGTAACACAGCAGGCAAATTTTTGTGCTAGAAACAGGATGGAGAAAAATCTAAATTAAAGCAAAAAGTCAGGAAATGGGTGTTCATAAATTCCTGCTTAACTAAGACTCAACATTTATTGTAAGAAACGGGGCCTCTGAACATCAGATTTTGTTTATAAAAATAAAAACTTCCTCCCTGTCTCTGCTAAAAATACAAAAATTAGCTGGGCGTGGTGGTGCATGCCTGTAGTCCCAGCTACTCGTGAGGCTGAGGCAGGAGAAGCCTGGCGACAGAGAGTCTGCCTCAAAAAAAAAAAAACAAAACAAATAAATAAAAATAAAAACTTCCTCAAACATCAGATTTTTTCACCTCAGCAAATACTTTTTCCTTTGATAATTCATAATCCTGCTGTTCATTTGTCACATTTATGAATATCTGGTAATTTCATAAACAACTACCAATGGTACACTTCAAATGCTGATTCTGTTGAATCTTCTTATTTTTTTTCCCCCAATGAACTTAGGGCCTATGATAGAGAAGATACTGAAACATGCTAAGATAATAATTGGTCTTAGAAAGACTTTACAGCAAGTATTTAATGAAAGCCACTACATTTCCAGCTCTAAAAAGAGCCAGACACAATCCCTGCTTCCAGAGTTCACCATTCAGAATACAGGAGGTCAAGCACTGATTCTGAATCATTAATGGGCTTTGATTTCGTCTTTCAAGATTTGCATAGATACTGATTTCTTCCGGAAGGGCAAATAAAATCTTCCCTTACACACATCATTCTTTGGATTCTCATAAGGGGTATTTTGAAGTCTGTATGTTGACAAGGCCAGTAGATACTTTGTTTTCTCTAACTGCCTTCTTCTACTTAAGACTATGTCAAGTATTTTGTTTTCCCTTTCAGTTCTCCCCAACATACACCTTCTGCAGTTTTGTCTATCCAGTCCGCTTTTCTGTAACACTTTGCTACCCCCTTCTGTTCCCCTTCACTGTTTCCTCTGTTGCTTTCCTCCTTAATAGAAGCCTGGTGATCTGGGCTTCCCCATCTTTCCTTTCCTGGCTTCTTATTCACATGGGTGACTGATCTTAGCACTTCCTTAAAAGTTGGGTTTTCAATAAATATAACTCATCAGCACTTCCGATCTGTATTTCCTTGAGCTTTTTTTTGATCTTCAGATCTGTGCAATAATACTCTGTTCCTGAATGCTATTTAGAAATACTATCCTCAAAACACCAGTGGTTTCTTGAAGCTACTTGTTTTAAATGTTGTATCAAAAGAGATTGATAAAGGAATGTATAACTCAGCAAAGGATGCTTCTACTGTAAATTCCCACCATTAAAAGTACTGGATTCTATAGGTCCACCATTAAAAGCTGGTATGGGACACCAATTTATACACATAAGGGTTAGATTAAAATTTTAATTTTTTGGTTGATATTAAACTGAAATTTATATAACTGAGGTCTGAATCTTAAAAAAAGTAAATGATAAAAATTTAATATAGTTAACTGTTCACTGATATGTCTATTCACTTCATCACAACCTATATATTTAATTAAAAATCAAATTATGAGTCTGCAAATCAGATGCTATCAAGCAAATTGCCATCCAGGGTCCATAATTCTTTTTATATTTTTATCTCAGATGAATATATACGATTCAGTAAATTTTAATGTTCCAAATTGTTCTAAAAAAAAAAATTATCAAAAGCTTCCAGTTAACAGTTGGCTAATTCATTTGCCCCCAACGAACTACCTGTTTGTGTTGTGAGGTAGCATCAAAGACTATGATCTTCTGTGACAGTAGTAGCCTTAATTCATACGCATTCCCTCTTCATAGGAAGAGTATGGACAACAAAAAGGGACAGATGAGTCACCTTTCATTAATCATTGACTCCTGGTGTTTTCATAGTATGTTAAATGCCTGATTTCAATTTTACAACAACAAAAAATACCAATATTTATTCTGAAAGGCAATCGTATGTTCCAAGTAGCAGATATTAACAACTTCCAACACGATCTCTAGGAATAATCCGCAGTTCTGAACCATGTTTTAGAAAAACATTTCCTATACAAACAAACAAAACATAAAGTTAGATATCTAAAAATCAAGTTATCTTAATATTCTGACAATTATTAAATATAATAAATGATTTAGTAAACAGTAAAATGGGTACAAAAGCTCAAGCATCATGAGACCCCAATTCCAAGCTTTTTAAGTCTTGTTCCTATTCTCCTATCTTCACAATCCAACATACGCTTAAAATTTAAAATAACACCAGCCATGAAAACTCTGACGAATACTTTCATCAAGTAACTGTGAATAATTTAATCATGAATACTTCCTTCAATACACAATAATATATCTAAGGACAGGAAAAAAAATGTAAATTACTACAAGTGACAAAAATTTAGATACCCTGACATATTTGGGGTCAATTGCCTGATGAGATTTTCTTCATATCAAGGATATGCACATTCAATTTTTAAAGATAATAAAACAAGCAGTATGTTAGAGTTAGCAGTAATTCAAACTACTGTAAAATATTGAAAGTTTCTCGATTAAGAAAAAAAGAAACCTTTGTCTACTAAGTTTAAAGGCATCCATACAATAAAGTGCCTCACGATTTTCAATAAACCTTTTTAATAAAATTATATATTAACAACTACTGAAGTAACAAAAATTTGCAATTTTAAATCACTTCATTTTCTTTATGGCTGAATTTCAACTGCAAGGCCTGTGAAAACAACATAATTTTGTTACAATAAAGAAATACTTTAGAATATAATTTAAAAATAACTACTGCTCTAGAATGAGGTTACATTAAAGCATGCCTAATTTTAAAACTTTAGATTATAAGCCTAAGAGATTACATTTTAAAAATATAAAACTAATTTTAAAAAAGTTTTAGACTTCTTTTTATAAAGTATGAGACTACTTTTACCCTGTCTCCTGGTCAGGACACCAATATATCACCTGTATAAATTTAACAGTTTGAAGATCTGAATGTAGACTCAGCCCCTTGAAATGTAAATGACTATATTTAAAAAAAATAATAGCACTTAATGAATGCTTTCTATAAATAATCCAAGCTATGAAGCACTTTACAGTCACTATCTCACAACTACCTTAAGAGGTAGGTCAAAAAATACTCCAATTAGAAAGCAATCTTATCTACAGACTTTTTGTTATATATAATAAATACTCTTAATGCTTAAGCCACTATTAGGTTTTCTGTTACTTGTAGCCAAAAACATCTACAATCAATATACACAATGAAACAACTTATTACTCAGACACACAGGTAAAGACTGGTATATAATCCCTAAAAAACAGCTCCATTATGTTAAAATACTGTCAAGTGTAATTAGAATAGCTTAACTATTCAGTGTCAATTGACATATATAACCCCACCCACTCCTCTATGAGTTTTCAAATACTCACCAGCAGTCTGTGCAGGATTTATTCCTATTCCATCTAGAAAATAAGTTGTAAAATCACATACATTATTTCTAAAGCTAAAATGGTTAAATAGTAGCAAGGAAAGAGATTTGCCAAAATAGTGCTGTTGTGTATATAGACATAAGCCAAACACTTTAAATCCAAGAACACGAGTGACAATCTTTCAGGTAAATTATCTGTTGAAATCTACTATTATTCTGCATTCATACACATTGCTGGGTTAGACAAAAACGTCTGTCAATGCAATGATCCTGGTAAGTTCTATGGAATATAGGTTATTAATTCTATTTTGCCATATAGAATTAAAAATAATGTTTGTCCTTTCTTCCAAAAAACTAAAAAGCCCCTTAGGTATGCCATGAATCATCTTCGTATTGTTCTAGGTCATAATATCTTAAGGCTGGGAGAGCTCACAAAGTCATTTAGTTCAACACGTTACTAAGTTATGACCTAAAACTTTCCAGGTAGTAAGCCAGCTTTTTTCCAACAGAGAAACACTTCAATGTGACAGAATGCAGAATATTTTAGAGTGAGAAATTCTACCTTATCTAAGTTACATCACGCACATTAAGCCCATCTCCTGTCCAAACTGCACTTGGGCAACGCATCAGCACTCATCAATACTGCATTGTATACTTGAAACACAGTTAAGCCCTCCCTGCAATCTTTACTCCTCATCTTATTATTTCACTATTTTCTCACAAGACTAATTCCATCATCATTGATTATCAGTGTTCCAAGATATTAAGATTTTTAATTATATACCTAAAACGGAATAAAATTCTCATTATTGCAAGCCTACAAGAAACAATTTTCTATCAGGAAAGGTATAGCAAAGATACATTCCTGCTTAACTTTCTATATTCTAAAGCATTTACCAAACAACTTTACTTAATAAAAAAAAAAACTTGCTAAATAAAGTTATTTTCAGTTATAATCTGGCATGAACTGGTAAGGACAAAAGATATTATAAAGTGCTATACTATATCAAAAGCTATATACAAAGAAATGAAAGGAGCTAATTATTAACAATAACCCTGACTTAGTGTTTACCAGTAAGTATATCATTTATGTTGATATACATATACTTGGGGCTTTTTGTATTTAATTTTAATTAATTTGGTTCCTTTTACACCATTTCTATAAATTTGAGGTAATACATAATTTTATAGTGAATTCTTACCATTGGTAATAATTGCACTTGTTGCAGCAGGAACTTTAAACTAAATAGAAGGAAAAAAAAATATATATATATATACACACACACACACACACACAAAACTATAAGATAATTAGCAAGAATGGGGTACAAATACCAATTCTATAATTCTAAAGTAGGATTAATCTTTTAGAATAAGTGAAACTATCAAGGAAAGTACAGCTGACCCTTGAATGACATATGCAGATTTTCTTCTGCCTCCGCTACTCCTGAGACAGCAAGACCAACCCTTCCTCTTCCTTCTCCTCAGTATATTCAACACAAGACAAGGATTAAGACCTTTCCCATGGTCCACTTCCACTTAATGAATAGTAAATATACTTTCTGTTATGATTTTCTTAGTATTTTTTCTTTAACGTTATTGTAAGAATACAGTATATAATACACATAACAAAATACATATTAATCGCCTGTCTGTGTTATCAGTAAGGCTTCCAGTCAACAGTAGGCTATTAGTAAAGTTTTTGAGAAATAAAAAAGTTTTATGCAGATTTTCAACTGCACAGGGGGTTGGAACCCCTAACTCCCACGTTATTCAAGGGTCAACTGGACTATATCATATGCTTTATCTGTAAAAAAAAAACCCTGTATTATAAACAGTGCTTTTGATTGTATTTAGGACACCATTAATTATAAAAGTGTACCTTATATTATACATTACAAAAATGAAAAACCACTGTCAATTTATGCCCAGATCAATGTTTACTCTTTAGGACTTATCCATCAATTTTGTCATTTATAATTCTCTTGAACAGCAAAAAGTACATGCAAAATAAACTGATGAGATTATTCCTAAAATTTCTCCATAGAAATTGCAAGATCTGAACAGATGCTCTCTGTGTTTAATGGGAGGTGCCTACCGAAGATTTTCAGGTAACAACCAAGGCTTGTATTCCTTACATTCCTCTGTAATGATTTGCTGATTTAAAGCTCAAGGATTGCAATAGTCCAATTATGTCATTAGGAAATAATAATTAAGTGTAGATGATGTTACCTAGACAATTAAGTGAAAGCCATTTGGCCAACAGTGATAGCAAGCCTCCCCTGATCTATTTCAGAGATGTTTAAAAAGATGTGTTTTTTAAATCAATGAAATGTGGTATGGAATTTATTGGTAGCTAAAAGGTAGATTCCATCTCTTAAAGAGACCAGCAGTTGCCAAAGTGTGTTTATGTCTTCACAGTTTATGCATTTATCCAACAAATTTAAGCATGTTTGTGCTATGGACTAACTTTATAGATATTATAGTTGAGTTTTGTGATCAAGTTTGGAAAACACATTTAACTAGTGGTCTTCTCAAAAGCCTTTAATATACTCCTAACAGAAATGAAGTGTTTCTCGTATTTTTTGACCAGTAATCCCTGTTCTTCATGAAGTTTTTTTTTTTTTTTTTTTGGTGGTACTAATTTGTGTGTGGTTCTAGTTGTCTGGGAAACACTACTCTAGGCATCTATAATCATTACATATACATAGTTGAGAAAAACTAAAAGCTTATTTTAAATTAGAAATTGAAGAATCAACTTTTAAAATAAGGCCTTAAACATACCTGAGAACAATTATTTGTTATAGTATTATGTACAAATTAATAATAAACACATTTTAATCTCAATGTGGTACACTCTTGTGTCCTTTTAAAGATTTTAAAATTTTTAAAGAATTTCAAAGTGTACTTAAGTAAACTTAAAAATGCATCACAAATATTTTGCACAGGCTGTAATCTCAATAAGAATTTGATCAAACACTCAAATGAACTATATAGGCCTCTCAGATTTCCAAAGCTAGAGTACTACAAAGTTTTTAGTTACCCTACTGATTGAGTCTTTTACATCATGCCCATTTTAAGATAATCTATGTATTTTCTTAGTCACATCCATGTAGTAGCAACCTATAACTTTAAAAACCAAAAGCAATTGCTGACACAGTTTTCCCTTTAGGCAGAATGTGGAAGAAATGGTTAAACCATGAGGAGGCATCACTGGTGATGTAAAATGTAGAATCTATTCCTTTTTGTCCTACAGTACTGACAGGTTTTCTACTGAATGCAAAGTATTCTTTTATGGTCTTCTGTTTTCATTTATTTTCCTCCTCCGATCCCCCATAATTCTTATAATTTAGGGCTCTTTGCAGGTTTCAACAATTCATTACTTACCCCAGTCATGTGCTGGGAAATTTTATTATTGCTTACTAAGGCAATTTTACGAGGGATTTAAATCCAGACTCTTGCTTTCTTGAGTCAACTTTTGTTCTCACTGAATGATTCTACAATGTTATCTTGTGAAAGCCCCTCTCACAACGATCTGAAAGTCATATCCTTTCTAAATATGTAACACCTATGATTCATAATAGTGATCCTTTTCCACTTAATGAATAGTAAATATACTTTCTCTTATGGTTTTCTTAATATTTTCTTTTCTGTAGCTTACTCTACTGTAAGCTTTACTTATAAACTACCTTAATCAATATATATGGTTGTGTGGTGTTTCTTATTCACTACTGTATGTTAAGATTTTCTTCTATTTTAATTAGAAAACCAAGATCACAAAAAATGCCTTTGCATTATAAAGGACACACAATGAGTAACTAAAAAATATAACAAATATTAAATAAAGCTTATATAGATCTACTTCTTAAATCTGGAATTTGTGGATTCTGTTATGCCCCAGACTAGAATATTTCTTGCAAGTAATCTGTGCAGCAAAAAGTAATGACAATGCTATACTCAGATTTGTGTCCCATCTCATTTTACTTATTCTTTCTGCATGAAGAATCTATCAGACACAAAACAAATGCTACTAGTTGGCAGTTTAATTCTGAATGAGTGACAAATAATGTTAGTGATTCCTGACAATACAAGGAGCTTTGAGCACTGATGGATTGGCTGACTTGCCATAAATCAGTGAAGTACAGGGCAGGATTGTGTGTTAAGCTATTTTTTATTAATGTAGTTAAGAAAATTATTTTTCTGTGACTATAAACTTTTCAAAAGATTCTGAACCAAAACGTTTTGATTTGGGTTACAACGTACCTGTTTAGCACTTTTAACTTCAACAGAAAATTTCAGGAAATAATGTTTTTACTCGAAATCACTTGATCAGAGAGGAAGGACAGGTATTAACTACTTCCATTTTGCAGAATAAAAAAGAGGGATTTGCATCATGTCACATAGCTAACTAATGACGCACCTACAACAGGAACCCTAAGTCTCCGAAGTCACATTTGGGTGCCATTTCTAACAGATCAAGCTACTTTTTCAAGTGTCATGTCCAAAAAGTTGCATTATAGATATTTCTAATAATTTTGGATGAAAAAAATTGTTTCTTATGAAACAGAAAATTCAAACATGTTTTAAAAAACTAGAAACTTTTCAAAACAACAAATTTTACTGACAGTCCACATGCTCATATAGAAAATTTGAAAACTATGATAAAGATTCTATGAAATTGCAATTTTGGAATCAAGACTAGTAAAATATGAGTATATAGAATATAATGTGATATAATGTTGCATTTTAAAAAACATTTAAAAATCAGCACCTTTTTAGTTTTCATAAAAATTCTCATAAAAATTCATTAAATTCTTATAATTTTCAATGGTTGCATTAATCAGATATGTCAATTTGTTTAACTCATGCTTCTTATATCTGAAAGTAAGTCTTAACTATCATCCTACTTTTTGATAACATAAACCTAGTAATGAAGCCACATGGAAATGATGGGTCAAAGTGCATGCAACTCTTAAAGACATTTGAAGCATATTGGCAAACCGCATTCCATAAAGGTTGTTCCAACTTCTGTACTTACTTCTTCTGCTGCAAACTTTAAGACTGCTGTGAAAGGTGTACTTTCAGGAACACTGAGTCTGCAAGAAGAATTTTAAAACAGTTTCTTTTAAAGTCACCATTTTCTAAAAAAGCCCCTTTGTTCCTTATTTCCACTACTGTAGCCAATCTGGACAAAGCTGTCTTTTCAGTTTCAAAGTTAGTGATTTTGATTGCATACTACATTCTTTAACTCAAAATAATAATAATAATAATAACAACCCAAACAGCAAATAGCCTTAGAGCTGGGATGGTGCCCGAGCTCCACTTGAGAATTAACCTTTAAGGTGTAGATTTATATATTTCTAACACTTTCATACATGTAAGTCTAGCATATGAACTGCTGTTTGTTTCTAGAGATGGATTTCAAAAAGGTGAAGCTCTCCTTGGTCTTCAGTCCACTTTACCTCCCATCTAAATATCTATGCACTTGACCCAGTAATGTTATCATTTTCATTATAAGTAGAAGGCTACTTGGGAAGCATCACTGGATCATAAAGCTTTTGATGAACCTTCTGTGTACTCTTAATAATCATGTTCAAAATTAGTAGACCAAATTAATGAAAATGCATGAAGTTCATTATGTCAAAATGCCAATAATGAAGTGATTTTTCTACCATCATTTAAAGTGGGCTAAGTAAAATGTGAAATAACATTTTGGAGAGGGATGAGTGATTTTGTTAACTGACTCATATAACGGCAAGTATTTTAAAGATCATGAATAAATATATTTTTTTTTTCTTAATGACTTAGTCCCAGGGTCAATCTGTATGAACTTTCCAATAAAAAAAATCAAAACAGAAATTTACTTTATACCTTAAGAAAACACTTTAAGACACAGTAAGAGGTTTTTAAAACTTCTTTTAAAAAATAAGATCCCTAAGGTAACATAAATTACAATGAGTGAAAACAGAAAACAATCTTTCAAAGCAGAGGAGACTTACAAGCTAACATTTCTCACTGAAACTTCTCTATTTGTCCACCATATTATTGTATTGTTCTTAAGTGTCTCAATACCAGCTACCATTATTCTCATGTATATGCCCAGGCTCCTCACTCAGTCTACAGATCTCTGACTATAAGAATCATTATAACAGGAACAGCATATGGTACCAGTTTTCAGTAATAGAAATGTGAATAGATTTCTTGGCTGCCCTCATTCCACAACTCCAAAATACTATTAAAGGATGAAAATGGGTATCATTTTTACCCTTTCTTTACTAATGTTTTTGGGGGGTGGAAAAAAATAAAAACATATAAAGGATAGCCATTTGTTTAAAAACTAACGAACTGGCAATGTCATAGTTTACAAACTAGGCAACAGTATTTTACAAAGTATTTTTGCAGTGTATATGTAGTTAAGAATCTGAGATTCATTTTCCTAAAACTCTGCATCAATTGGAGAACTTCTAAACCCTTGGAGTTCAATTCACTTTTAAATCGGAGACTTGGAAATGTCCTTACAATATACCTAGATGTCATACTGATGCTCATTAAAATAAGTTTCTATCTGTATATTAAGTTGGTGAGTGTCCACAGACAAGCCAATAAAAACAAATCAAAAATGAAAACATCTTTTAATGCAAGTTCTAACTGGCAGAAAATTAGAAAAAATGAGAGTTACAGTGACTCCACAGATCTTATCTAGATTTAAAGTTGTATTTGCCAGTCATTTCATAAAATCGGTACTTAAATTATCCCAGTGTTTTGAATAAATTTACATTAATGAGAATTTTTGAAGTAAATTACTGGCATCATTTGTTTTTTAAATAAATATATAAACAAAATAATAACATAAATTGGTAAGAATTATTATAAAGACTAAGTCCACAGGTAACTCAAGAAGGGCGAGATTAACTCTGTGGACAATTAGAAAAATCTTTGGCCAGAAGGGGTGGCTCACGCCTATAATCCCAGAACTTTGGGAGGCCGAGGTGGGCAGATCACGAGGTCAGGAGATGGAAACCATCCTGGCTAACACAGTGACACCCCGTCTCTACTAAAAATACAAAAAATTAGCTGGGCAAGGTGGCACACACCTGTGGTCCCAGCTATTTGGGAGGCTGAGGAAGGAGAAGAACTGGGAAGGCGGGCGTTGCAGTGAGCCAAGATCGTGCCACTGCACTCCAACCTGGGCAACAGAGCGAGACTTTGTTTCACAAAAAAAAAAAAAAAAAGAAAGAAAGAAAAAAAAACAAACTTCATAGAGGTGAGATTTTTATTACTATAAAATATGTTGTGATCATGAGACTGCATTCTAAGCACAGAAAAGAACATGTGTAAAGGAAGCAAAGATTAAAAGGGCAAGCTTGTCAAGTACCCAAGTACTAGTTACCATGTACTTTGAAAAGAAAATATAGCACAGATACCCTTGTACACACATTTACACGTTATGTGAATTTTCCACACACACATCCTTATACACATACACACACAACTACACACGCACACATACATACTAAACAACAGTTGTACCTACTAAATTCATTCAGTCACCACATATTAACTGAACTGGTACAATGTTCCAGGCTCTTAATGTTATTGTCCTACTCTATCATTTTCTTCCTTCCTTCTCACGCTCTCTTTCGAGTACATTTGCATATTGATGAGAATAATCCAGTAGAAAGGGAAAAACCAATCATGAGGAGAGAGGGGGCACTGGACTCCATCTACTTTAACCTTGACAAGACTGAAATAGATGGGAACTATAGCTCAAGTGGTTTTTCATAGGAGTGAAGTCATTTTTTCCATTCTAACAGGATGGGAAATTAACGGATTTATCCATGTAGTGGTAGGTTTACATTGGTGTAAAGATGATAGAATTTCCCTCTGATGGCTTGATAGCAAGGGAGACAGCAGCTGTGGAAAGTTTGAAATTTTTAAACAATCTTTTCTGAGAATAAGGAGGAAAATGAGCAAACTTGAAGAATGTATTAAGTACTAGGTACTATTAATTGTAGTCATGAATTTAATGTAAACCCTCCAGTCTGTTATTTTCTCCAGGGGCAGTCAGCTATGTACAGATAATACAAACAGCTGGTTTCAGAGTTGGTGTTTCACTAACCAAAATATGCTGAGAGGAGAGACAGGGCCACCAGAGTTGAGGGTGTTTGCATGAGAATGATTTAAAGGTGGACCAATGGACTCTTAACTATATAAGGAGTAAGGTAAGGAATAGAAGTGGGGATAGCTACAGATAAAAAATCACTGTGATTAATGGATTAAATGAAACGTTGTAGATGAGAAATTATAGTAAATCATGTAGGAGAGAATGTATTTATCCATAAGAGTGCCTGTAAACGACATCTCAGAGATGGAGCAATTATTGGAATCTTAAGGTTCTAGGCTGCAACCATGAACACCTGAGATAAAGTGTAACAGGGATATTTTGGAGATGAAAAGATCAAGGGAGGAAAAGGCTGAGAGGTTGTACGGATCATGGATTGGTAAATCATTGAAATTTATCAGTCAGCTAGGTAGGCCAAGGTACTAATTAATTATGCAAAAAATTCTATTGTAATCCTGTTCTTTGCTACATTTCATGCTACTTCCAACTGCAATAACCTCAAGAGTGTTTACTTAAAATCTATCACTCAACTGCGAAGGATAAGTAAAGGCCCCACATGGATAAACTATCCCCTATCTGCATTTCCCATTCCTACCAAATACTCTATTAAATCCCAGCATAGGAAGGGTGTGATCTGAGTCTCATTACTTTGTGATGCCCGACTGCTGAGTTACTCATACACAACGAAACTCAGAAGCCGCGGAATAACAAATGTTCAAGTAATTTCAAAGTCTTGACTATCAAGATGGAATGTCTTCCTTAACTTCCTCAACCAGCTGGCCAAAGCGGTGAAACGCTTTTCTAATATCCAGCAGATGGGGACTGTTTAAGAATCCCAACAAATTACCAGAACCTGGTCCACCTGTCCTCCCGCGCCACCTGCCCACCAAATGAATTCCGAGGGGAGGTCACTAATCAGAAACACACCCACACCCTCGTGACGGGGCCAAGCTGCCAAGCTGACACTTAGCGAGCAAGTACGGACCTCTCCTCGCAGGCTCCGGTGGGAAAGGCTCCTGGAAGGGCGCGAGCCAGGAAAGTAGATGAAGTGAAGAGATGAAGACTGCGTGGGGTAGTTGTTGGAAAAGCTCGGATCATCCCCAACCCAGCCCCGTCTTGTCCGGCCCCAAAAGGCCCATCTCGGCCGAGCTACTCACACTTTGTACGGCAGCCGTGGGTCCGACGTCAGCGTGATCTTAAAGGAAACCTTCGACCTGAGGAAAAGAGCGGGAGAGAGTCAGGGTCGGGCAGCTGGACCAGGAATTATGGCAGTCGGTAAGCAAACACTTACATGGTGGTGCCGGAATGAATCCAGAACACACGACAACTCCGCGGGGGTAGCACGACTTCCTCTAGTGTGCTGGGGACCGCCCCGCTCCACTCACGTCCACGTCTCCCTCTGCAATCTGGGGACCTCCGAAGTTGTTGCTATCCAACGCACTGCCTGAAAATTGGCCCTAAGAGCTCATGCTAGATGGCGCTTTTAAATTACAAATATCTTGTGCTTTTGCGTTTATATATCTAAGAAAAAAGTATGGATTATATTTATAAGATATCTTTCTAACTTTGGTAATTTGCTACCATATTTTTAGTCAGGCAGAATAAGCGTGGGCATAGAGCGTAGGACCCTAGGTTCCAGTTGGCAGGTTGGGGCGGAAGTAAGGGTATGGGGTAGTCGGATGAAGAGCGAGATGGACTTGGGGCGAAGCTCGGGGCGAGGCCGGGGGCGGGGCTGGGGCGGACGCGCTCTAAAGTTTCTAAGGCAACCTGAGCGCGGAAAAGCTTAATTGGTGCTCCAGAAGCAGGAATTGTAACACTGCTTTATCATTAGTTTTCTTCCGTCTTTCCAGCAAACCAATCCTGTTATATCCTTTACATTTCTCATAGTTTCTCCTTCACGCTTTACTTTCCGATACTGATTTATAACTATTGAATTTCGGTTAAGTAAGAGAGCTATCAAGTACGAATTATCTATGCCAAGACTCCCGCTGGGGTGGGTGAGAAAAAATGAGGTTTCTACGTTTGGGGAACGTGGCGTCTAGTTGGGAAGACACATCTATGAACAGGAGATTTCAGTAATTTGTTATATGGTCTAATTAAACCAGTGCGCTGAGTTGCTAATCACTGACCACATTTATTCAATTTAACAACCAACTTTGAACCCTTTCTATTTGCCCGGCGCTAAGCTAAACTCTGGGGAATCCAAGATGAGTAAGGCAGGTAGGCGTCAACTCTCTAGGATCTAACATCCTGTGTAGTGATGACGGAAGAAAATTGTCCTCTAAACTTTATTACAGATCTAAACCTCTGTGTTTGGAAAATATGCGTCTGTCTCACAATGACTGAAATGCCCTTTTAAAACATTAGCATGAATAGACAAAGGAGGAAGCAGGTAGGCATTAAAATAATGGGGCAATCTAGTTGATCTTTAGAATATGCATCAGATTCTTAAGGAGAGATACTTAAGAGAGGAACCAGGAAGGAACTGTAGTAGGGATAATGGAGATCAAATTCATCTTTACAATAATTTTGCAGCCAACTGATCTTCTATGGTGACATTTCCCAGTGGAGAGAGTTCTGGTTCTGAGTAGGCAAGTAAGACTCCAACATTCTCATGACAGCCATCCTCACTTTTTAAAATAATGGTCTTACCATATATGTAGATGAAGCCAAATATTGATTGACAGATACAGGGATCAACAGTTACAGCCTTAATAGCTGAAACTATTCAATTAGTGGGTGTGACTAAAACTTGTGAGAATAGTAATAAGGATAAAACTGTGATTGTGTCTACCTATTGTCAGCTAGCCAAATAATAATGAAAGAGATGAGTGTACATATTTACAGTCTATAAGACTACATATAATATATTTTGAAACAAAATTTGCATCCTGCTATTTATAGTTTGGTTTCTGCTCATGAATCAAAACGTGGCAAAATCCTAAAGAGAAAAATGGATATTAATCAGAGAGCTTTTATTGTATGTATAAAAAGTGGTGAAAACAGAATTCAGTCCCACAGTGTGACTTTAGTACTCAGATTCTGCTGCTTCAGAAAATACATTTGTATAATATATCAAAATAACATCTCTTGAGATATTAAAAAGCAGCTGTTTCTAAATATTTAGAATTCTTTTTCACCTCAGTCCCCAACTCTGCTTCTCATGTTTGTCTCCTCAGAGTCACAGCATGATTTCTGCAGCCTCCTGAGTTTTATTTTGCTTAGGACAAGAAAGAAATTATAAATGGATTTATTTATAATCAATTTTTTTAACTTTGTGAAGGGATTTGCAATTGGAAAATTTTATAGCAAAACAAGGACCTTCTCTTTTACTGAAAAGTTAAAATGTTGAAGTACGTTTAATGGCTGTAATCAGAAGCAAACTCTGGAGCAAATTTTTGGAGATAATTGGCAATGGAACATTTTAAGACAACAAATAGCATAAATGGCCTAATGTGTTTTGGAAAAGATCCAATTAGTATCATGTAGAGGCAGAAATGACTGTAGAAGTGCACAGTGTGACCATGTTAGACCTCATTAAATGTCAATGAAGCATACCAATATTCTATTTGCAAATGCATATAAATTTCCCATTATTAGAAGAAAGCCAGAAGGAAATTAAATTTACATAAGGACTAAAAAGATTTGCTTCCATAGTCATAGAAATTCTTCTGACTAGTTATTTTTATAGCCAACTTTATTTTTTATATTCCTCTGGATGCCAAAAAAAATTCTTTCATTTTCACCATAATTTGATTGTATTTACGATTATGACTAGAACCATCTGATAGTCAAATTATGTAATCTTGAAACATCTGCACCTGAATAAATCTTAAGGTGTTCTATTCCAAATACTTTATATTACAGGGAACAAATTATAGACTGATCAATTAATAATTGACTGGTATTTTAATAGTACTTTAATTTGTTCATTTTTTTCTATTGCCTTTTCTCCCCTCAAAATCCACTAAAAGGCATTGATATAATTGAAGCAATGATAATAATGACTCAAAATTCATTAAGATTTATTTTTGGCTGGTATTAACCACTTTGTACAAATCAATGACAAAATATAGACTTTAAACTTTGATGCCTTGGCTATAAGTCATAATTTAGTGACAAGAAGCCTTATACAAAGAGGAGAGAGTGGATTTGGTTACAGAAGTACTTGGGAATATGTAAATGCTGTGTTATTTTTCAAGGTAAGGACTAGAAGGTTAGAGAATATTTACATTCCTTTGAGTCAAAAAGAACAATGAAACCCAGGTGAGATCGGAGCCTAGCAAGTCCAGGCAAGCCCTTACAGAAGACTATAGCTCTAAATGTGCTACATTTGATTGTTACAGTTACATATTTTTCCCAAATATTTTCTAAAATTCAGTGAGAAAAAGAAATGACTTTTCTACGAAGCTCATTGACTACAATGTTTCTAAATTTGAGGCTTAATCACAAAACGTGGAATATTTTAACCACAGAATTTGTAAAATATCTTTATTACAAAATGGCATTTTGAACTGTGAAAAACAGGAATTTAACAGTCTGGTATAATTAAATTTTCTCTCTAAATATTGTGCGAATTCTTCATTTAATGGAAACATTACTTTTAGAAAAACTGAAGTAGCCTCTGACAAATCCATTTCAACCATGAGTTTTTTTTTTCCACATTTACATATTTTTATCCTTCCACCAGCTAAATGAGGTAAATATTAATGTTCTATTTTTACTTTTCTCTATTAACTTAAGGTTTTCTGATTCAAGTTGAGATTTTTAGATCCATTTGTAGTTTCTCCCCACATGACTCTTCTTGCAGTTTTATGTAGAATACAGGCTTCAGAGGACTGTGACGTCTGGTCCTTTGTCATCATCTCTCCATATTCTCAGTGATATTTGTGTCCACTCCAAACATCTGAGACACATGACATCTCATTTTTGTCTGGTGATATCACTCCTTTTTGTGTGCTGGCAAGACGACTTTAGGACTGTTTGTTGTCTCTAAGGGATGTAAGAAAAGTGCCCTCTTGTACCACCCTGTGGCTATAGGGAACCCAGAAGAGCTCAGACATCTTTGACTAAAGATAACATGTTTTCTCCCTAGAATGAAGGGAACTTTGTTGTCTTCCTGGGCTTCAATGGGAGCAGGAACTGGGCATCTTTTCTCTGATTCTGAAATTCCCTAGAGATTGTTTCCCTAGGGATGAAGGAATAGGGCCATATTTCGGGGAGACCTTACAATGTTTATCATTTTCTTCTCCTCCTTTCTCCAGCCCAGAGTATTTTTTTATAGACTTTATTTTTTAGAGCAGTTTTAGGTTCACAGCAAAATTGAGCAGATAAAGATACTTCCTATCCCTATATATTCATAGCCTCTCACATTTTCAACATCCTTCAGCAGAGTGGTACGTTTATTACGGATGATGAGCCCACATTGACACATCATTATCACCCAGAGCCCATAGTTCACATTAGGGTTAACTCTTGGTGTTGTACATTTTATGGGTTTAGACAAATATACATTGACATGTATCTACCATTATAGTATCATACAGAATAGTCCACTGCCCTGAAAGTTCTGTGCTCCACCTATTCACCCTCCCTCCTGCTTAGCCCCTGACAACCACTGATCTTTTTACTGTCTCTGTGGTTATGCCTTTTCCAGAATGTTGTAGAATCATACAGTATGTAGTCTTTTCAGATTGGCGTCTTTCACTCAGTAATATGCATTTAGGTGCCTGCATGTTTTTTCATGGCTTGATCACTTATTTATTTTAAGTGCTGAATAATAGTCAATTGTCTAGATGAACCACAGTTTATTGACCCATTTACCCACTAAGGGACATCTTTGCTGCTTCCAAGTTTAGGCAATTATGAATATAACTACCACAGGGAAGTTAGTCTATCTTTATTGCTGAGATGGGCTCAGGGATATTCCCATGCTTTCTCTAAGGTATAATTTAAAACTATATGCAGTCAGGTTTTTTCCATTAGTTTTTGCTATATTCTTCACTGGTATAGGAAGAATAAAACATTTGTGACTTGTTAGTGAACTTTGGCAAAAATAGTTCTCACTTCAGAAGTGTCCTGTAATTAATCCCCTGAAGAATGGCAACTTGTGCATTGAAGACATGTGATACTTTGGGGATGAGGATGGTAGTGGAAGTTCTCATTTCTTTCTAAAGTTCTTAGAGTCTTAATTTATGGATTTATTTTCCCATCTACCTATGGAAGAGTTATTTTATAAGTAAAACATTTTGTAGCAGACATCAAATTGTCTGCTACAGAAGTAAATGGCATATAAATCCACATAGTGAGTCTGTGAAAGCTTCTCTCTTTTAAAGTTCTATTCTTAATAAAGTCAAATAATGATTAAGGATGTTTAAGATATAGAATTACACTGACATAAGAAAATAAAAATGGCAGTTAAAATAATTAAAAAAACAAAAAATGCAAATGTGAATAAACATGTTATTTAGAAAAGAAACCAGTTTATTTTAAAAATAAAATAAATTATGCTTATAAAAATAAGATGAAAAGAACGGTGACATAATTGATATAAATATAGAGTTAAAAAATAGAGGAGTGGAAAATATACTTCAAACTGAAGCATGTTGCCTCCAAATGATAATATAAAATGGTTACTGACTAAAAAAAAGTCATTTCCACACTTACTGAAAAATTTTCACTTAAATTTTTTGCAAACTGAACTTAGTAGTCACATCAGAGTAAAGCATGTAATTTAAAGAGAATAACATTATCTTCTTAGCTTCTTATTTTACTGTTCTGTAATATTGTATTTTGTGAATTCTTGTATGAGATTTGTATCTAAATAATATTTTACTTTTTTTTTTTTAGTTTCCCTAATGGAATTATGCAATGCTCATTTTCCCTATAATTTTTTTATTGTTATTTTTTGAGGCAGCATCTAGATCCCTACAATGTTTAATTTTGTATGTTTTGCCCTAGGAATTAACAAGGTCATCTAGTAGTCATTCTTCTTTGAGGCACTTAGAAAGTATTAAAGCCAATGTGACAATGAATTATTTAAAAATTGCATCATAACTTGCCATATTATGAATTGGGATATATTCTAGATTACCATTTAAATATTAATATTATTTTCAACTTAATACTGCTGTTCTTAGATATACAAAACATTTTTTATATTTCTTCATCATGACCAACCACAGTAGAAACAGCCATGATAACATGGCTGTTGGTTGTCTCTAAGGGATGTAAGAAATTTATATAGCATTTCGTTCTTTTTGAAGTGCTATTACATTCACTAACTTACTTTTTTCCTATAATAAAATACAAAGCATTCGGGATGGGTACTGTTACTTCTTTTAAAAATCAGAAAATGAACAAAAGTGGATTATGTTTTGTAGGCCTAAGGTTTTACATACGGTTTGTGAGAGAATAATGAAGAAGCACAGTTGCTGATGATTCTTTACAAAACTTACCTAATTTGATTGCATATGAGCTTATTTTTACTAGTATTTTTTTACAATACAAATAGTTGAATTTATAAACTCATTCAGTGTGCTTCTCAATGAGTTCTTACTCAATTTTGATTTTGCAGCACTCAGAACAAATATCTGGCATATAGCATGTACTAAAATAGTATTTATTGAGTGAATTAATGTTAACTTAAAAATACTGTAGATTGGTAATGCTTTCCAATTGCAGTAATGTTTTTACATTTCATTAACTGCAGTCATAAATGCTCTTAGTGCAGTAGATTATATTTTTTGACTCTTGAATTGTTCTTGTTTTAAGGCTTATCTATTCAAAGGATAATACAATTCAGTCAATTCACTGCTACTGGTGAAAGCAGAGGTTTGAAAGGCTAATTAAAGATTCTTATTAAATATGGTTAAATAAAGAAGCCAATCAAATAAAAATATGTGAATATCCTCACATGTTCCTTCACCATTACTTTATGTGACATGTGACATTCTGAATCAGATACCCTAAATTAGAAATCTCATTATTGACTCTTTCAGATTGTATACCTCTTGGGATGAAGGATTGCTTATTGACATCAACCTTCCTTGTAGCGTCCATGGTGGTGGTGGCTTGCAAAGTGGAGGTTGTGAGCTGATGGCCGGTGGTCCTGGGAGTTTTTGGGTTGGGCTCTGTAGTGCAGCCAAGTGAATGTTATGTTTGGTAGAGACAGAAATGGTTCAGCAGCTTTTGTCCTAGTCATACTTTTATGTTTTCTGTTGGTCCCCTGCAGTCATTCCAGTTTATATTCTTTGGTGTAAATGATGTGATTTTGGGATAGCAGTTTTGTTGCAATTCCATTAGCCAAAAGAACCACATGAATACTTATATTGTTTAGTAGGCTTTAAAGTTATAATTCATAAAGTAGAGATTTTGAAGATCTAAATACTTATGTGATAACCTTACCCATGGCTTAAGAGTTATATCATGAAGGAGAATTGATAGAAAGGTTTGGCTTGAAAGAACTATTTTTAGATATTAACATGATCTGATCTAGATCATTCTAAAATTATTAATTGGTACAGAATTTAAATGTTTCCAGTAACGGCTTGGAAATCTTACAAAGGGAATCAACTGTCTGCTGTGACTACATCCCATGCAATTCTGCATGCCTTTTTAACAGCTCTGTTCGCCTCAGTTTGGTTAATTCTATCCAAAATCTCTAGCAATTCCTTTAAATTCTTCCTCTTTTTCCTGCATTCACAGCCACTTTTATCTTGATTTCTGAAATGCTGAAATAGATTCTGTCCTACACAAGGTTTTAAATTTTTTTCCTTAGTTGTTTAAAGGTGAATTTATGGTGGTAAGTGAATGGGTCTCAAATTTGGAATTGGTAAGAATTTCTTCCCAAAGCTATCAGAGTATTAACAGAGAGGTGGAACTTTTTTCCTCTTCTTCCTTAAACAATAAGTAGGAATACAATCTACTTCATTTATAGGAGAATAAAATGCTGGTTCTTATATGTGCTACTTATTTTGTAGTTACTAAATAAACTTTACTAATGAAGTTTCACTTTTACTGCCATTAAAAACTATCATCTCCTGAGAGATTTAGTATATCCTGGCCTTTTATTTAACAATTTTTATTTATTATCTTTGGGCCTTTTAAAGTTTGGTGTTTATAAACACCAAACTTCTATAAATATTACAAAAATATATGCCTTTCTAAGAAATATTTGCATAATTTAATGTTTCTCCTGCTCATTTCCAGGTCTCTTCAACTGGAATGCTCATGAGTATAATCATGCTAGCTTTTCATTTTACTTTTCTCTAGTGTTAATATTAAGTCAAAGACTTAATTTATATCTAATATATCTTTATCATAGCATAAAATTCAAACTGTTCTTAGTATATTAAAAATTTTTCTTATGGGAGGCATAGTAAATAGTGTTTTGTTTATAACCAAGTAATGTTGGAGAAAAAACTATTAGATGCTAATTATTATAATCTAAGCTTACTTCTGTTTTCCATCTTTTTGGAATATTTCTTAATCACCAAGTTATGTCTCAAGAGCTAATAAATACACCTTTCTATTTCTACTTCTCTTAATCATATTTTTTATTTGCTATGTTCTGTGATGTTTGGGTATCTTAAAAAGCTTGCTGGCCTTGGAAAGGCTTCTTCTCCCAGGGCTAGCCAATTCTGAGATAGCAAAAGGCTCAGCTGGGAGAATGTGGTTCATATACAAACCAACCGATCTCCAGGAGTCTATATCCCCAACCACATCCTTATCTAATCTCACACACCAAACCAACACATTTTCCCTGCCCTAAAACAATCCTGGCACCAAGCAACTAGAGTCCCCACTCTAGCCCAAAGCACACCAGAGTTACTCAAACTAGCGAGCCCTGAACAGTCTGCCCTGCCCTACCCCGCTCCCCACTTGCCTTCCTGTAGAAATTCCAATATAGGCTCTTGCCTAAGCTTTCCCCTAGGTTAGCTTCTGCCTCTGCTTCTGTCTCCTGTCTCAAACCTGGTGTTTTCCATGTGCCCAGCATGCCCCTTTGTCTTGGGAAATGTAATTAATAAAACTCTTCTTTCAATAACATTAGCTCCTCTGTGTCATGACTGTCACCACTATACATTAAAATCCTCAGGGTGCAATAATTGGGACACTATTTGCTAAATGAGTAAGCTTATATTGTTTTTAGTAAAGGAATAACATAAATGATTATATGGTAAGATTTTCAAAATGGATTTCTGGGTTAAGATTGTATAATGCTAGCAGTTTCTAATGCAGCCTCTCTAAATTTCCTCTTAAAATACTGATGAAGGCAATAAAAGCATGAACAATGACTACATAGCAGTTCCACTGGACACCAGTTTAACAATCAACACCTTACACCCTACTTAAGACAGTTTCTTTGATGACAGAGCTGGTGGGACTGCAGCGATAAACACAATCTACTACATGTGCATGCTGTACATCTAAGCCAAGACACATAAAAAGAATCAGTAGGATGGGTGCTTAGCTTACTCCTCTCACTCTCTCTTAGTTGGTTAAGAAATTAAGTTGGTCCTCTGCTCTTAGCTGGTCAAGATTTGTGTCAACTGGAAAAATGGGAATCTGCCCACTCTGCTGCAAAGGTACTGTGCTTTCTAAGATGGGATTTTCTTTCTGATAACACAGAACCCACACATTTCCTCTCCCATCCCCAGCCTTAGGCTAGTCTCTCTTACATCTCTCTCCTTTCTGATTTGAAAGGTATTGGCCTCTTTTTCTTACCTCTCTAAAATTGTTAGCCTGATCCTAGAATGGATTTAGACTTTCACAGGGGATATAGATTCATTGTTTCTGGGTAGATTTTGTTTTCAGTCCTGTAGTACAAACCACTCCCAGGACAAAAGAGCAGAGTTTCTTATTTATCTTCTTAGGAAGGAGGGAAATTACAGGGGAAAAAAGAAAAAAAACTTAAAAACAACTAATAACCTATCCTGCTCCAAACATAGAAGCATAATTAAAATTTATAAATACTGGGACACATTTCCCACTTAAGAAAGTCTAACTGCCCAAGTCACCAGAGTCATTTGAATATCTTTTGATAGAAAATTATTGTTGGAAGGCTGTATCA
This sequence comes from Homo sapiens, assembly GCF_000001405.40. NCBI lineage: Eukaryota > Metazoa > Chordata > Mammalia > Primates > Hominidae > Homo > Homo sapiens. The sequence continues at coordinate 38,340,141 of NC_000013.11, read as the reverse complement.
AGATCTTGGATTGTGGCCGGGTGCAGTGGCTCATGCCTGCAATCCCAGCACTTTGGGAGGCTGAGGCGGATGAATCACTTGAGGTCAGGATTTCGGGACCAGACTGGCCAAAATGGTGAAAACCCATCTTTACTAAAAAAAAAATAAAAAATTAGCCAGGCATGGTGGCCATGCACCTGTAATCCCAGCTACTTGGGAGGCTGAGGCAGGAGAATTGCTTGAACCCGGAAGCTCTGCAGTGAGCTGAGATCGCTCCACTACACTCCAGCCTGGGCAACAAAGCAAGACTCTGTCTCAAAGAAAAAAATATATATATCTTGGATTGAGTATATGCCCAAAGCTTTGTTTTCCAACATGCCTATTAAATAACAATATATATAAAAATTTATATGTATATTTATACCTATTCATTCATAAAAATAAAAATATGTGTAAATATACATATATATAAAAATATGTGTAAATATACATATATTTATATAAAATATGTGTAAATATACATGTTTATACATATATTTACTTACATGTATTTATATATCAATATATGTATGTTTACACACTTGCATACACATATATTACATATATATTTTGCAATGTTTGCACATTATTATATACTTTTTAAAATATGTTTACATGTTTAAACATACAGACACATAAACACCATCCTGGAAAACAAGCAGTGCTGTCCTCAGAGTACAATTAAAATCTCAAAAAGTCTCTGAATGGGAGAAAGGATCAAAGCCTTGACAGAATCCATGGTTCAAAATGTGTCCATTGAAATACTGTTGTGAAAGGGGATGCTTTTTCCAAGGCTGGGGCATGCAATAAGCATAAATGGAGTGGAGTCCCGTGGTAAGTGATAGAGTCAGTGATGGGGGAACTACTAAAGGAGCGTCAGATAATAACACCTCCCTCTTCCTAACGAGAGTTGAAACTGGGCTGTTAGGATAAACTAGAGGTCATTGACTTAAGGACTAGGAATACCAAACAGTAATGTAGACACCCCATACTCAGAAGACCTGTTGTAGGTGCACCTAATCTGTTACATCCCATCACAACCTGCAAATCACTGGAGAAAGGCGGTAGCAAATAGATAAAGCACACACAAACAACCAAAAAAAAAAAAAAAAATCCTAATACATACAACCAAGAATCACCAAAGACCTAAAAGAGAGACATCAAACTCAGCAACCAAAGAAATGGAACTTGAATTACAAAAAATTTACATTACTCACATGGTCCAGAATTCTCTTCTAGACCATAGGACTCCTAAGTTAGGTAAAAACAAATCTGGTTTGGAAAAATGGTTATTAATTCAGGACACAATCAAAATTGCAAGGAAGCAAGCTACCATTAGTGAAAGTCAATAGTACCAAGCAAACCTAGTTACCAAAGAATTTGAAAAGTTAGACTAAACAAACAAAAATCATTCTAACTCTAAAGAGCAACACATTTTGAAAAATAATAAATTCTGACAATAAAAAGCATAGCGATTAAATTAAAACTTTAAATGACAAAAAGAAACACTTTAATAAAGTGAGTTGAAAAAGTCATTAGTAAGCTAGAACTTATATTTCTGAGCATAATGCGTAACAGTTACCAGATCTACTCACCTGAATTGAACAACTATAAAACTAGATAAAATATATGAAGCAACGACTTTCAGATATTGGGACATAGGAAAAAACTGAGAGAAGAAAAACAAACCGGTGAGTTCTATAATTGCTGTAGCTTATAGCTTATAGGCCATAGCATGTGGAGAGGAACCTGAGCACAGCCCAGCAGCCTCAGTGAGCTCAGAAGACAGAATCCCTAAGATCCACATAAGGTCTTTCAGTGGGTACTGACCTGCACATGCCTGAGAGGAAATTCCTCAAGGCTGAGAGGTTGGAAGTAGACAGCAGTAAGCCTGAGCAATGGCCAGCACTCACAGAGAGCTGGAAATAATGTGTGTTCCCAGCCATCAAGTGGAAAGACCTCCTAATACACAGGCCATCAAGTTGAATCTTCTGAAGGATTAGGCCTTAGTAGTTTTAAATTAACTATAGACTAACTGGTGTGCTTTACCCACATCATCAAGTCTTAAGAGCAAAGTTAAAAAGGAACAAACTGATGCCAAGTTACTTAACTTGAAATGTCATGACAGCATCCGACAGTATCTCAAGGCATAAACAAAGTTCAGCACCCAAAATGTTCAGCATCCAGTAAAAACTTATTAGGCATTCAAGAAATAGGTGAAAAATCAGTCAATAAAAACAGAACAAAATGACAGAGATAATAGAAATGGCAGATGATGATCTTAAAAAGCTACTGAAATTATCTTCATAAGTACAAGATAGAAGAAAACTTGAACATGATGAGAAGAGAAATGGAATATGTAAGACCCAAGTGAAATGTCTAGATGAAAACAATATTTAAAAAAATCTTATTGGTTGTGATTAATTGATTCCACATTGTAGAATATTTAGCAGTAAAACTGTCCAGAATGAAGCCCCCCAAAAAGAACAGGACATCAATGACCTATGGGAAAATATCATTCATACACACACACACACACACACACACACACACACACATACACACACACACACACACACATATATATATAATCAATAGGGGAATATCAGAAACACATTTGAAGAAATAATGGCTGAAAAACTTCCTAATTTGATAAAAATTAGAAGTCCAGAAATCCAAGAAATTCAACCACCCAAGTAAAAGATAAAAAAAAAAAAAAAAAAACTTCAACCAGGTACATACAAATTAAATTGCTCAAAACCACTAATAAAGAAGAAGAATCTTAAAGGTAGACTGAAAAAACCAGCAGATAGTATGTACAAAATAACAAGAAGAATGAAACAGCAGACTTCTTGTCGGAAAGCTTGCTGGTCAAAAAATAATTGAGTGGCAACTTTAATGTACTAGAAGATAAAAAGTATCTAGAATTCTACACCAAGAAAAACTTGTGTTTCAAAAATAAAGGTAAAAAGTTTTTCAGAAAAAGAAGCTGGGAAAATTTATGGCCTATAGTACTGCATTATAAGAAATATTAAAGGACTTTATTAATATCAGATACCAGAATGAAATATGCCTCTACACATAGGAATAAAAAGTGCCAAACATAGTGGCTACATGTATAAATATAGAAGATAGTTTTGCCTAATTTTAAAAAACACTTAAAAGGTAATTTACTGTTTAAAGATAAAAAAAGTAATACAAATGTGTGGTGTTTATAATAGGCATAGAAACAAACCATCTGACATCAATAGGAGAGAAGACAGGTCAGAAATGGGAGTATAAGATTTTACGGCTCTTTTAATGTGAGTGAATGATATAATATTTGAAATTACCTTGTGATAAGTGAAAGAGATATAACCTCTGTAGCAGTCACTAAAACATAAAGAATAATAGCTAATAAAAATGGAGAAAAAATGTAATGTAAAAAATTCAATCAGTCCCAAAGGAGGCAGAAAAAGAACAAAAAAAGAACAGGAAGGATACATGGAAAGCCAATAATAACGTGGTAGATTTAAGCCCAAATGTGTAGATACTTCTTTTAAATGTGAATGTTCTACACACATCAATAACAATGCAGAGATTAAGATAGGCCTCCACTTAGAATAAAATGGGAAAACATTAGATAAAGGTAGGGAAACCTGCTTAAGAGAGTATATGTTTCTTCATGAAAGGAATTCATATGTAAGTCTATATACATCTAACATAATGCCATTTAACTCATGAATATAGTTTAAGCTTTAATTCGGAAGGAATTTATTCAAATGCTAGATAATGAGAAATCCGAAAATTTGGAAAGAGTGCAGTTGTTGTTTTGATTTTCAGCATCATAATCTGTTAAGTTTTGGGTGATGATTATTTTTATAATTTTAGATTTTGCCTGTAGCTAAGCAGGAGAAAAAAGACAGTTCGTCTGTTCCATTATTGGGAAACTTTCCAGATATGTTGAATTCTCGAGTCCAGTCTCTTAACTGAAAATAGCTTCTAAAGTTGGTATTTTATTTGGACTATTGTGCCTCTCTTGACCAGCTGCTTGGCAGCTAGTAGGTGATAGAGTCAAAGACTTTCCAAAAGTTGTTTTTTTTTTTTTTTTGGTAGCAAAATAAACACATTTAAACATTGGGTAAACAGGATAGTTTAGACTGAATATAAATGACACAAAATGAATTTTAACTGATTTTATGTCCTGGGAGCTATGGAAGGATGGTCTAGCAGTCTGAGATTAGGAATGTAAGCCAAAACTATTAAAATTCTCTGGCTATGAATACATTGATTACTTTGCCTTCTAACATTTTCTTATTTGCATTTTTAACTTTTCATCTTTCCTGAATGTCAGAAAATTCTAATTTTAGCTTTTCTTTTCTCAAAATTTTAATAAAATTTCTCTCCATTTTGGAATTTAAAAATAACTCCCAATGTTCAGAGAAATAAGACTACAATCACGATTTGTTCATAACCTTTAGTAAACTAACTTTAATTAGGAACGATCATATTGACTTTTTACATATTTATAAGTATATTTAATGTTCCCTGCCAGCCATTAAATAGGTACTGGTAATCACACATTGAAGAAGCTTGGTTTCTGCTATCATAGATAATATACATCAGTAGCTTCCGTAGGCCAATGTAACTTACTATTGTCATAGGCAAATGAGCCTTTGCAGTTTTTAAAATGCTTTTGTTTGAGTCATTTTTTGACATGTAAATTTTACCAGAAGGTTACTGTTCCCAGACCAAACTTAGGGTCGGGGTGCTTATTCTCGCAGCCCAATAACAAGATGCAGATGAACTGAGGAGGAAGAGAGTTTTTATTTCTGTAACTGGTTACAGGGAGAAGGCCTGGAAATTATCGCCAGACCAACTCAAAATTAAAAGTTTCCGTGAGCTTATATACCTTCTAAGCTATATGTCTATGCGTAAGTATGCATTCATCTAAAGATATAAGTGATTAACTTCCTTTATTCTGTAACTAAGATCTGAGTCCTAAAGCCATTCATCTGGATCCTCAGTAAATTTAGTTAATCTAAATGGGTCCAGGTGCTGGGGTGATTACCCTTATCTTGTCTTCTGCTAAACCATGGAGGTTTGGGGAGTTTCTTCGGACTCCCAGTAAAACTTGTCTAATCCTAAACAGGTCCTGTCAAGAAGTCCTTCTTTATCTTGTCATGCTTTAAGGCCCAGGAAAGACCTGGGCAAAACTCTTGGTGGGCTTTTGTTACATTTCAGCCTTTGCAAAAGGGCACTGGCTCTGTCAGCTTTTAATATTTAACTTAACCACCAAGTCAGTGCTGAAACAGTTGTTACGGAGGCCTGTGTTAGTGAGACCTGGCCTGCTGCAATACCTTTATGCTTTTAATTTTAAGAAACTATATTATTCTGTTATTCATACTTGAGTTAATTAGAGCAAGATCATACTGAGTTAATTATCACAAGATTTTTGGATAAAACAACCTCTAAAAATATATGTGCTATTCAACTTTGGGTGAGCAAACAATTTTCTGCAACAAACATCCTAACACAATTATTTCCTGTAATAAATATTTTTAGTTACAAGTTTTAAGTGGCAAGAAGCATTTTGGATTTCTTAGTAAGCAGACTTACACATGTGGGCTTCCAATATATATTTATATATGCGTATTACATCTCTCTCTCTCTCTCTCTCTATATATATATATATCTTCTACTTTGCTAAGAAAAAAATTTTAAAAAATTAATTCTGTAAGCATGTCTCAGTTTTCATAGCATTGATTTAAAGAAGTCTCAAAATTAAATAGAGTTTTGAAAGCTAATTAATCAAGTGAAGTCAAGTTGCTGGAAGAGTAAGTTTCAGTACATCTTTTTAAAATATTTCAGCTGTGAAGCTTTCCTTTCTGTGTGAATTATTTGTATTCAATGCAAAATGATAGCAATGAAAGAAGAACATTTATACTATTAAAAAGATAACATTTATATTATTAAAAGCTTTCACTCAGGTGTTTATGGACACCTGACATGTAACCTTTTAATCTCCAAATTTAAGCAAACTGTTTGGAATAATAAAGTATAAAAAAGTAAATAGTCACACTTCGTAAAACCCATGCCTGATTGTATTTGGTCATATTATAAATGATATCATCAGTGTCGTTATTTCTTTTTTTGTTCATCAAAAACTTACAAGAAGCTAGAAAACCTTCTAATGTTTTTAAGATGGCTTCTGTGGCTTTTCATGTGTCTCCTTGGCAATTTAATTAAAATGTTTCTGAAAAATTCAGATTACAAAAGGAAAAAATAAACATAACAGTGGGTGTTGATTGTTCTTTACCTGAGAGAGAGTAATCATTGAGGATATGATACAAAAATACAGATTTAACATAACATTTATCATAACTGATATGGAATGATGAACTTACCTTTTTTCCAACTGCTAATAAGGCATAATGCTTATCTTCTAATAACATTATTTTTATTTTCTTAGTAAATGAGAAATTGTGGCTTGCAGTTTCTGGCTTCAGTTTAATGCCTAGCTAAGACCGAGCTAGAGAATATAGAGTCTATAAATTTCTTTTCCACACTTTAGTAAATAAGACTACAGTTTCCAGACCCAGGCAACTAGTTTTCAAGTCCTGCCATTAGCATGAGGCTTTTACAACTTACTGGCAATCGCACAAAACCTGTCTAAGAATAATGTTTTTAAATGTTTGAATAAAGTACATAGATTACAAAAAGAATAAAGATATAGAATATTTCCATCACTCCAGAAACTTCCTTTGTGTTCTTTTCCAGGCAATTCATCGTACCCATGAGCAACCATTTACCTGATTTCTTTTACCATGACTTAGCTTTGTCTATTGTAAAGCTTCATATAATTGAAATAATACAGTAAACTATCTTTTGTGTCTGGCTTTTATTCAGTGTGATGATTATGTTATTGCATTTTAGGAACATATTGCTGAGTAGTATTCGATTGTGTAAATATACATAATTTGTTTATTCTCTTGTTATGGACATTTGGGTTACTTCGAGTTTATTTATAGCCTTATAAATAAGGCTGATATTAACATTTTTGTAGAAGTAATTTTGGTGACATATATTTTCTATATCCTGAATAAATGCTTTTTTTTTTTTTTTTTTTTGAGACAGAGTCTCTCTGTGTCACCCATGCTAGAGTGCAGTGGTGCCATCTTGGCTCACTGCAACCTCTGCCTCCCAGGTTCAAGTGATCCTCCTACCTTAGCCTCCCGAGTAGCTGGGATTACAGGCATGTGCCACCATGCCTGGCTAACTTTTGCATATTTAGTAGGGACGATGTTTCCTCATGTTGGCCAGGCTGGTCTCAAACTTCTGGCCTCAAGTGATCTGCCCGCCTTGGCCTCCCAAAGTGCTGAGATTACAGGTATGAGCCGCTGTGCCCGTCCTGAATAAATTTTTAGTAGAGGAATTGCTGGGTAGTTGTACATTTGACTTTAAAAGAAACTGTGACAGAGATTTCCAAAGTCGTGGTACTATTTTTCAGTCCCATCAGCAATGTCTGAAGTTCTAATCGTTCCCTTCCTTTGTAAACAATGTTGTCATTTTAAAAATAGCCATTCTACTGGTTGTGTAGTAGTAACTCATGGTGGTTTTAATTTGCATTTCCAGGATGCCTTATAATATTGAGCACTTTTTTCATGTGCTTGTTGGTCAATTACATATCCACTTTTGGGAAATGTCCATTCAAATCTTTTGCCTATTTTCTTATTGTGTTATTTGTATTTTTATTATTGAGTTGTAAGAATTCCACAGATATATGTCTTACAAATATTTTCTTATACTTTTGGATTGCTTATTCATTTTTTAAGTCTTTAAGAGCATATATCTTTTATAAAGTCCATTTTTTCTTTTCTTATGATTAGTCCTTTTTTAAAATCTAGTATAAGAAATCTTTACATAGTCCAAGGTCACAAATATGCTCTCTTATATTTCCTCTTAGAAGCCTAATAGTTTTAGCTTTTACATTTTGGCCTGTAATCAATCTCAGGGTCACTTTTGTGGGTGGTGTAAGGCTAGGGTTGAAGTTAATGTTTTTCTCAAAGAGGGATCTAATTGTTCTAGCACCATTTTTAAAAATGAACAAAAAGAAAAAATATCATTCTTTCCCCATTGTATTATGTTGGCAACATGGTCAAAGACCAATTTACTGTACATGTATAGTTCTACTTGTAGACTCTCTATCCTATTCCTTTTTGCTGTATATATCCCTATGCCAGTGATACACTGTCTTGATTATTATAGTCTTGATTATTATAGCTTTACAGTAATTCCAAATATGAAGTGTTATAAGTACTGCAGCTTTCTTCTTTTTATTTTTCAAGATTGCTTTGCCTATTCTAAGTCTTGATTCTGTCCATGTGCATTTTAACATCGACTTGGAAATTTCAACAAATATCCAACTGGCATTTTCAGTGGGATTGTGTAGTCTTTAGAGGGATGTAGGAGAAGAAATTGTATCTTAATAATACTGAGTTAGGTCAGGAATGGTGACTCACACCTTTTATCCCAGCATTTTGGGAGGCTGAGGCAGGAGGATCACTTGAGCCCAGGAGTTCGAGACCAGTCTGGGTGGGATGGGGAGGCCCTGTCTTTACAAAAATTTTAAAAATTAGCCAGGTATGGTGGTGTGTGCCTGTAGTCCCAGTTATTTGGGAGGTTGAGGCAGGAGAATTCTTTTAGCCCAGGAATTTGAGGCTGCAGTGAGTTATGATGATGCCACTGCACTCCAGCCTGGGTGACAGAGTGATACCCTGCCTCAAAATAAATAAATAAACAATAATACTGCACCTTCCAGTCCATGAACTTGGTACATTTATCCATGTATTATATTTAAATATTTTAGAGTTTCAGAATATTTTATAGTTTTTATTATGACGATCTTTCATCTTTTTGTTAAATGTATTTCTAAATATTTTGCTTTTGATATTATTTTATATTTTATTATTTAACTTTAATTTTCAAATGTTGCCAGGATATAAGAATATAATTGCTTTTTGTATATTGAGTCTGTATACCATGATTTAGCTGAATTTAGATATTAGTTTTATGGGGTTTTTTTTTGGTAGATTCTTTGGGATTTTTATATAAACATTATGTTCTTGGGGAAAAATAATTTTACTTCTTACTTTATGTTCTATGTGCCTTTTATTTCTTTTTCGTTATTTTTATTCCTTTCCTGAAATTCAATCTTTTTCTTTATTGTACTAAGACCTCCTATTTAATATTAAATAAAAGTGTCGATGGTGGACCTTATCACCTTGTTCCCAATTTTCGGGGAAAAACATTCAGTATTTCACCATTGATTTTGATATTAGTTATAAATATTTTGCAGATACGTTTTATCAGATTGATAACGTTCCCTTCTATTCTCATTTAAAAATTTCTAGTTTGCTGAGAGTGTTTTTTCTGAATAGATGTTGATTTTAGTCAAATGTTTTTTCTTCCTCCATTGAACTGATTAGATAATTTTTCCTTTTAATTCTATAAACATAGCGAATTATATTAATTTTTCAATATTAAATCAGTATCTAATTCCTGGGAAAACCTACAGTTGGTCATGATGTAACATTCATTTTGTGTTTTGCCGAATTCAATTTAGTAACATTTTCTAGAGGATAATTTTGTCTTTGTTCATAAAGTATATTGGTCAGTAACATCTCTTTCCTATAATGTTCTTGTTAGATTTTGGTAGCAGGGTTATTTTGGCAACATAAAACAAGTTGAGAAGTGAGTATGAACGTAAACACTGAGGTGATTTTGACAAAGCAACACGTATGTCATATTGGACATCTAATTCAATTTGATTTTGCATTTTAATGGTTATATTGAATATCTCAATTTTCTGTGGTATATATATGCAATGGAATACTATTCACCCATAAAAATAATAAAATCATGTCTTTTGCAGCAACAGGCATTGGAGTTCATTCCATTGGAGTGAAACTCATTATCTTAAGTGAAATAAGCCAGATACAGAAAGACAAGTATTCCATGTTTTCACTCATAGGTGAGTGCTTACAAAGGTGTACACATGGACGTAGATCATGGAATGATAGACACTGGAGACTCAGAAGGGTGGGAGGGGTGGGTGATGAGAAATTACTTAATGCGTACAATCTAATGGAGACCCTAAATCCCTGACTTGACGAGTACATATGTAACAAAATTGCCCTTATACCCCATAAATTTATATAAACAATAGAGAAAGAAAATCCCAATTTTCAAAAGTATGTTAAGAAGACTGTTTTGTGTTAGGGAATGAAGACTTTTTTATAGTTAGAAAGTAATCTGTTTTCTAATAAAAATATACTTGAAATCTGTCTGAAACATGGTGATTTACCTAAAAGCATGCCTTGGATTGCCTTTTCATATGGAAGCCCTAATATGTAAGCTTTCTGAAAAGAATAATATTTGATTGATAAGAGGCTAGACAATGAGAGGATTTGATGACACAGGAGATCATGGACTTTGTAGCTGTGAACCCAGAACCCATCCCAGTGTACTTCACATTCCAGCACCTGCGCTACCAAGTAGATCAGGAGCTAGCATTTTGGGTTCCCTAATTCACATTGTCTTGTAGCAAATATATATCTAGGCCTTTTCTGATCGAAAATGGATATTTAGGAACCTGGAAAGTCAGAATATTAATAATAAGGGATAAATAAATAGGCAATATGTAAAACTATATATATATAGTTATATATATAGTTATATATATAGTTATATATATAGTTTTATATATAGTTATATATATAGTTTTATATATAGTTATATATATAGTTTTATATATAGTTATATATAGTTTTATATATAGTTATATATATAGTTTTATATATATAGTTTTATATATATATATATATCAGAAGTGTAGACAGTATAGAAGCAAGCCAATTTGAATTTGTGAATGAAGACAGCATAGTGAGATTCTGTATCACTTAATGATGGAAAATGTTTCGTTCTTCTTTACTGCACTCTGAATAAATCATACATGATTCATGAATAGGACCAGTATTTGAAGTTTTCAAAAACTGAGAAAAAAGGAACAAGAGAAACGATCATGTAATTTAATTATTGATATTCAATCTTTTAATTATTTTATTCATAAAAAAGACAATATTTGAACACCTGCTATGAGCCAGTTTCTGTGCTGGTATTTTTAAAACACACACACATACACAAACAGAAACAAAAACAAAATTCTATTTTAGGTTTCTGTGAAGGAAGCTCTTGAGCAAACTTACTACGTAGCATTTCTACATTCAGAATAGGATCCAGTAAAAGAGCTTTATAAGAGATAAGGGTGGACATAACTATAAAGGTTTGATGTGGAAGCTTATGTCCACAAGCTTTAATCACTTTATCATTATACTGAAATGTAGGACTTTTATTAACTATTCAATTTAATATAATTGTATTTTATATAGTACAAACTTAAAAATATATATTCATATAGTTTGCACTTTCAGATCATACACAAAAAAAAGTTAAAACAAACACCTGTTTGTAGCATCGTGCTGGGCATTGGAGTGAAAACTATGACATATTAAATAAAAATTTCTAGCATTAAAACACTAGTTAAAGACTCAAAAAATACACATTGAACATACACTAGAACACGGCTCCTTAAATGATGTACTGGTTGTCATAGTTTGATATTATAAAGTATCTCACATCTTTTCTCTCTTCCTGAATTTTCTTTTCTATTCACATTTACTTGTGAAATTGTTTCCATGAATCAGATTGAGACAGGTGATTGTCACTCTGAAAAGAGTTCTAGTACTTTCTATCAGAAGTTACCACCTTGAGATACAGCATTTCAAAACAACATAAATGTGAGGACATAGATCTCTTTCATTCTTGCACTTATATTCTCTTTTTTTTCTATTCTCTATCCCCAGCCTTAAAATGTGCTCAGATCATTTTAGTTCTTGAAATTGCTTTGTTCTTAGGAAAACAAAGAGTGTTCTTAAAAAAATCTCCGTAACATGCTGGCACTTGCTTTCCCCTTATAATTTCTTCCACTTACTGCCCAAAGTCTTTAGAGTACTGTATATTTAATGCTTTCATTTTTCTACCCTCATTCATTCATTGACACGTGTGAATTTTGTTCCAGCCGTTTTGTTTAAACTCTTCTCTTGAATTACAATGATCTATTTTATTTATGACTTCAGTAACAAGTGACAGAAATCATATTCACTCTGTAGAAAGTGGATTAAAAGCAAAAAATGAAAAAAAGAAAGAAATAGAGATCAGGAAAGAAGGAAGGAAAGAGAAAGAAAGAAAGAAGGAGAGAGAGAGAGAGAAAGCTAGCCAGTTGCAAAACTGAAGAGTACTTTGGGATTAAAATGTATTCTCTCTCACATGGTCTTTCTTCATGCTGTGGCAGAGTGTCTCCTAACATATCGCAATTTCCTTGCCACTTTCAAATAGAAGAGAATAAAAAACCATCATTCCTGATAGCTACTGCAATAATATGCAGGATACGTGGTTCAACTCAGGTTGTGTACTTGTTTCTGAATAAATCACTGTGGACAGGGTCACACCTTTAGGACTGAAATCTGAGATGAAGTAAATCTTACTTTAACCACATAGGCTGATCAGAATTACTTTAGAACGTGGGAGCTGTAGCTCACCAAAGAAGCCAATTTATAATGGTGGAAAATTTGATGTCTCATATTCCTAAGAGCCAAGCTAATAGCTTCCTCATAGCCTCACCTCCTATCTCTGTCCAATATTCACACCATTGACCAAATTTACCTTTCTGAAACATTTTCTTGTTGTTTTCTGTGAGAAACTGATTTTTAGGGTTGTTACTGTCTCTTGACTGCTCCATTTTTTTCTTTTTCTAAGAGTCTTTCCTTGTATGCTCTATATATTTTTTGACCTATATTTTCTCTTTCTTTCTCTTTCTTTTTCTTTTTTTTTTTTTTTTTTTTTTTTTTTGAGATGGAGTCTCTCTCTGTCCCCCAGGGATGGAGTGCAGTGGTGTGATCTCAGCAACTTCTGCTTCCAGGGTTCAAGCAATCCTCCTGCCTCAGCCTCCCTATTAGCTGGGATTACCGGCACTCGCCACAACTCCCGGCTAATTTTTGTAGTTTTAGTAGACATGGGGTTTCACCATGTTGGCCAGGCTGGTCTGAAACTCCTGACTTCAAGTGATCCGCCCCTCTTGGCCTCCCAAAGTGCTGGGATTACAGGCGTGAGCCACCGCACCAGGTCTTTTGTCTCTTTATCTAATCCCAGCTACTCAGGAGGCTGAGGCAGGAGAATTGCTTGAACCTGGGAGGTGGAGGTTGCAGTGAGCCAAGATAGTGCCACAGTACTCCAGCTTGGGCGACTGAGCCAAGACTCTGTCTCAAAAATAAATAAATAAATAAATAAATAAATAAATAAATAAATGGAGCTTATCTACCCCACATATCTATTATCAACTCAATGCGACTTCACTGGCAAATTTTAGCACTTCTTTATTTACCAAGAGCTAGACCTCTTCATTTAAAAGTCTAGTAGGCTCGTCAAACCTAGAATGACTAAAGCAAAATTCGGCATCTTCCTCCCCTAATGTCTGTCTGTCTCCTCTCTGTTTTCTTATTTCATTGAGTAAAATTTCCTAACACTCAGTAAGAAACTTTCAAGCCATTTTAGGAATGTTCCTCCTTTATTTTGTAGGCATTAGCATTCACTTCCACATCTGGTACAGCGGAGAAAGATTAATTTTGCCTGGAAAAGATATATGAGCTTTGTCATAGAATAATAAATACTTCTTAAAACATATGAAAGTCAAATGTGACATGCAGACTGGGAAGCTGAAAGATATTCTGAGAAAACTAATCAGCATGAATAAAGAGGTTGAATTATTTGTTATGTTAAAAAAATCACTTCATGTGACTGAGGCATAGGCTGCATGTGGTTGAGGAGACTTGCAGGTAATAATTACTCTCAGTTTTTGTTTTTCTGAGAAAGTATGTCTTCTTCATTTCACTGATTTCTAGATGGTTGAATTGTATAGAATTCTAGATTGTTGGTCTTTTTCAACACTTTTAAAATTTTTAATACAATATTCTTTTGTAAAAAATAAACAGGGTTGGTTGGTTGGTTGGTTGGTTTTACAACTGGGCAACTAGCCTATGTTGCCCAGACTAGTCTTGAACTCCTGGACTCAAGCAATCTTCCTGCCTCGGCCTTCCAAAGTGCTGAGATTAGAGGTGTGGGCTACCGTGCCTGGTCAATTTTAACACTTTTAGTATTTCACTCCATTCTCTTCCAACTTCTCAGATCCCTTTTGTTCTTGAAATTGTTTGTTGGTATGGTTTCTAAGGAGAAGTTGGTAGTAATTCTTATCTTGTTCTTCCACAGGTGAAGTATTTTTTCCCCTTTGGTTTCTTTCAATATTTTACCTTGCCTTTGGCTTTCTGCAGTTTAAATATGATATGTGTTGGTGTTGTTTTTAATTTGTTTTGTGTTTATCCAGATTGCTGTTTTCTGAGTTTCTTAGACCTGTGGTTTGATGTCTGTCATTAATGTTGGAAAATTCACGGCCATCATTACTTCAAGTATTTTCACTGCTTTATGTTCTCTTTCTTCTTCTGGTATCCTGGTATTCCAATTACTTATCTGGTATACCTTTTGAAATAGTCCCACACATCTTTGATGATCTGATTTTTGTTTTTGTTTTCATTATTTTTTCCCCCTCTTTGCATTTCGGCATGGAAGGTTTCTATTGATCTGTCTTCAAGTTTATGAATTCTTTCCTCATCTGTGTTGAATCTACTATGAAGCCCATCAAATCATTTCTTGTATCTGTTACAATGTTTTTTATTTTGGCCATTTCCTTTTTGCATTGTTTTGTTTGCTTGCTTTTTAGAGTTTCCATCTCTTTGCTTATTTTACCCATCTGTTCTTATAGGTTGTCTACTTTTTCTACTCTATTTCTTAACATATTAATCATAGTTATTTTACATTTTCTGTTTGAGAATTCCAGTATCTGTGCTATATCTGAGTCTGGGTGTGATTTTTTTGTGTTTGTTTCTTTAGCTTGTATTTTTTGTTGCCTTTTGACATGTCTTGTATTTTTTTTTGTGGAACGCTGGATATGTGGTGTTGACTATTAAGAACTGAGATAAACAGGTCTTTTAGTGTGAGGATTTATGTTATTCTTGTTAAGAGTTGGCTGTTTGTTTTTCATGTTTGCTGTAAATAGGTGCTGTAATGTGGCTGTAGTTGCCATAGGTTTCCAGTTCCTCTGTTCTCCTTGCTTTTGTCTTCTATCCTGACTTTGGGCTTTCCTAAGCACTCCTTCTCAGAGAGAGTCTCTCACGCAGTTCTCTCAGCTGTTATCCGCTGTTACTATACTGGATCCCTGGTGGCCTGGTGGTAAGATGTGGGGAATAGAAGTAGTCTAATCTTATAATCAAATATAAGTCTTTTAGTGGGTCTGTTTATCAGGGCCAACCAAACCCTGTGATGTTTATAAGTGTTTCTCTGGTGGTATAGGTGTTTCCGGCTGCAGTGCTTCTAATATATTTTCTTGAAACCCTGACCCTAGACTGTATCTCTCACTTACGTGAGACAGAAAAGCTAGAAGGAGCTGGAGTGTGATGAATTTTTTTCCTCCAGCTAGAACAGGGTCTGGCAAAATGTTTTCCCCTTGAGAGTAGGTGTTCGTTATGAAGTAGGCGCTGGGAGTGTATATAACAATGATTACACTTCTCCTCCCCTTGCCAGAGATAATCATGGATTTTGTATCAGTTCTTCATCATGAAATTTTGATTCCTAGAAGTAAAGGCTATAAAATTATAGGACACCCCTATCAATGTGTCCCCCAGAAGTTTCTCACTCTCAAACTAGTCTATACCCAGTCTCCAGCAATTCGTCTAAATTACCACTTAAGGAATTCTATCAGTTTATTGTGCCAGCAGCTTCTGCTCTAGTAGGCCTTATGTATGATTCTCTGGATGTGTTTGTCTTTCTTAAATTTTGGTGGAGCAATTTGTCCTGCAATCTCAGTTCTCTGATGGGTCAAAAAAGATGGTTGATTTTAAGCCTGCCCAGCCTTTTCCTGTTGCATGGATGGGAATTATGCTTTCAAGCCTTTTTTATGTAGAAGATGAAACTGGAAGTCAGTAATTTAATTTGACATTTTTGATGATCAAGGCCAGGAGAAACACTTTCTAACTCCTTTGCACCATTTGTGTGCCTATAATATATTATTAAAAGAGGACCTGTCTTAGATCTCCTCTACCTAGAGTAGTAGTTGACCTATGTTTTGGTGATTCATATGTACTGTATTTTTTCTTTTAGATACTTTCTAAGAAATGAAACTAAGGGAAAAATTTGTCATAGGATGCTCATAAAAAGAGAAATAAGAAGTGTTTTTAGGAGATATTTCCTAAATCTACACGATTTATAAAATAAATCTACATAATAAGTTCCTACTCAGTTAATACCATTTCTATATAATTAATATAATCTGAGTATTGCTTTCTATAAATCCTAACGCCATATAAAAAGAAAACACCAGAAACTTAGAGTGGATGAATGTGCATCAGAATCACCTACAGATCTTGTTCATTCCAGAGTGGATTCTCAGGCCAAGTTCCCAGAGATTCTGACTCAGTAAATTGGGATAAACTAGAGAATCTGCCTCTTTATTTGAGAAGCACTCTATATGAATATAATACAGGTGAACCACTCTTTAAGAAGTTGTACCCTAGAGAAAGGGATTCCTATATGTTCTTGTCTGTTGTCTCATTTGGGTTTTAGACATATGTTGGATTAGGGTTGATTCATACTTGAGTTTTATAACAGGAATGTGAATTTCCAATATTCTATGCTGTTGGTTACATAACCATATACTTCTGAGACAAGAAATATGGAAGGCAGAGCATTTCTCTTGTGGTGAATGTTGCAGAGCCTGAATGTGTGAGCAATTGGAGGATCCTCCCACTTCTGCAAGGAGGTGGGTCAAAAGAAGGCTTGATACAATCAAGGCACATTTTTTTCCCTTTAAAATTTCCCTTATATTTGTATTTGTGAGCTCATTTAAAATATGCAATGTCTGCACTATCTTATGTGTTTCCTAAGATAAATGACTTTGTCCTGAAACATCATAAGGGTACTTTTGTCTTTAATATAAATTGCTTTGCTTGAGGCCTAATAAAACTAAAAAAGAAATGAAAATGTAGGCATAGAAGGGAATTCATTATTATAAATTCAGTTCTCATAAAGAATTGATGTTACAAAAGTTGAGCTAATGGAGGAAAGCCTCTTTTTATGGGGAATGGATTTTACATTGAAATTGTAGGAGGCAGTATGTTTTCATGGGAAAAAAAGCATGGGCTGTAGAGTTACACAGTCACACATATAAATCTTGACTCTGTTAATTAAGGCATTAGCTGCTTAGTGTTTTGTGTCTTAATGTCTTTGCGCTTCATTTTGTCATTTTTACATAGAGAGATAATAATGTACTTCACAGGGCACTGTGAGGATTAGTATTTTTATTAACAAAGAAGGAAAGAAAGATGGGAAAAGAGATAGAAAGACACTGGGGGAGAGAGAAAGGCTTTCTTCTCCATCATCCATTTCCCTGTCTCCTTTAAATAGTATGGTGATCTTTGGGACTAGGCACGAAAGGAAAAATATTTAAAAAAATAAAAATTAAATAGTATGCTGACCTTTTCTATTTTTTATTTAAAAGCAAAAATATAATCTTTAAAAATATAATTTAGATATTGTCAAAAATGAAGTATAGTATTAGGTTGGTGCAAAAGTAATTGCAATTTTGCCATCACTTTAAATGACAAAAACTGAGATTACTTTTGCACCAGCCTAATAGTGTCTCATGGAAAAAATCTATAACTATGCAAGATTTATGAAACAATTCTCCATATCATACAAGAGCCAATGAGTCCTATTTCTATTAGGAAAAAAAAATACTAGTAATAAACTTCTACAGTTGAAGTCAGAATACTGGACTTCTTTTTTAGAGATGAACATCTTAAATTACAAGCTGACATTCCTATGAATGGTATTACCTTGAGGAGGTCTCTCATGTTGATGAGGTCTCTTATGCTCTAATTGTTCGGTTGTATGACAGACCCATAAGAAGTGAACAATAATTTTAGGTTAAGAAATCATCTACCTTATTTTGACATTATTTTCCAGATTTTATATATGAGATAACTAAAACTCAGAGGAATTTAATGACTCATCAAAACTTCAGAGGAGATGACAAAAACTAGAAAGGTTTTTTTTTTTTTTTGCGCAGTGCTTAGGCATGCAAATCAGCAGCATGGTATCGTATAAAAAGCATTGTTTTAGAACCAGATAGTACTAGTGAAAAATTTCAGTTCCTTCATTTCTTAGCTGTGAAGTCTTATACAAGTTAGACTCCTTGAATCTCAATTTCCTCACCTTTAAAATAGTAAAAAAGCATACCTAGCTCGTGACTTTTGGCCGAGGTTGAAAGTAATTTACATTAATTATCTGACATGTAGAGAGTGTTTAATAACTTGTTGCTGTACTCGTCGGAGTCAAAGAAGCTACATGTAACATCAGATTAAATGTCTTCCTGCTTGGCTGGAAGGATGGCTCATTGCCTTAGCAAGAATTTGCTTTCAAATAAGAGCATCTAGTCAAACTTGCTTCAGAAAATATTAAAGCTATCTAAAAGATGCTGAGATGTCTTCTGGAACATGATGCTTCCAGTGAGACAGAATTTTTACTGCTTTATTGCCTAGGAGTGTGCTTGGTATATTTAAATAATGCTCAATAATTGTTGTTAACTAAATATGGGTCTACAATAGTATTTTTCAACTTTTTTTTCATTATCATCCTCCTAAGGAGCCATGTTAGATGTCCTTTCCTAATTATCTCTCTCCTTATGAAACTAAATACTGATAAATATGATTTTTTTTCAGGTAGGCTTGAGCTTTGGAGTGCCAAAATTATTGCAAAATTTAAGATTTTATTGCCGTCTCCCTTCCAAGAACCAATTGTTCCTTTGGAAGTGATATTACCACTGTTGAGAATTCATGGGCCAGAGGGACTAAAAGAAGAAATAAAAGAGCACTCTCTTTCTCTCCTCTCTCTCTCAATAGCCTTTAATTCCTAGTTTTCTCTAAACAACTATTTATTTATTTATTTATTTATTTATTGAGACAGGGTCTTACTCTGTTGCCCAGTCTGGAGTGCAGTGGTGCAATCTTGGCTCACTGTGACCTCCGCCTCCTGGGTTCAAGCAATTCACAGTGTAATCACAAGTATTAATAGCAGAATAGACCAAGAGGAGGAAAGAACCTTGGAGCTTGAAGACTCTCTTTTTAAAATAAGACAGGCAGACAAGAATAGAGAAAAAAATAAAAATGAATGAACAAAACCTCTGAGAAATATGGGATTATGTAAAGATACTGAGTCTACAACTTATTGGTGTACCTGAAAGAGATGAGGAGAATAAAACCAATTTGGAAAACATACTTCAGAATATCATCCTGGAGAACTTCCCCAAGCTAGCAAGACAGGCCAACGTTCAAATTCGGGAAATCCAGAGAACCCCAGTAAGATGCTGCATGAGAAGATCCTCCCCAAGAGACATAATTATCAGATTTTCCAAGGTTGAAATGAAAGAAAAAATGTTGGATAGAAAGAATAAATATTATAAAAATGGTCATACTTCCCAAAGCAATTCATAGAGTCGATGCTATTCCCATTAAACTACCACTGGCATTCTTCACAGAATTAGAAAAAGCTATTTTAAAAGTCGTGTGGAACTAAAAAGAGCTCGAATAGCGAAGACAATCCTAAGCAAAAAGAACAAAGCTATGTGGGAAAGAGAGTTTCTGGGGTGCCAGTTGAGTTGGTCTTCCCTGTGTGAGACAACCATGGGAAGCCATGGGCGGCCTCTGAGGAGAAAAGTCTCCTTATTGCCTTCATGTCTTTACACCCCCAGAGCATAACCGCTCAGCGGCATACCACAGGTTGCTCAGGGAGACGACACTCCCTTGAAGCAGTGGAGTATAATCAAACATCTTGGCTCCTCCTGAATCCCGCTCCTACCCATTTCAGTCCCGATAAGTTAAAACTCTTAAGTAGTTTAGACACACGCCTTTGCTCAAGGAAATTCACAGAAACCACCACTGCTATACATCTTAACCGAATGACTCACGAGTTCTCCTTCACTGATTAATCCTTTTCCTTATCCCCTCCCATCTGCCCTAAGAACAAAGAGCTTGTAAACCAACAAATTGGGTGGACCCAAGAGTTCTGGGCAGTGAGCAAGCCTCTGATGCTCTGGTCCCCTGGACCCGCCTTTTAAATGCTTGTTCTGTCTCTTTCTAACTCCCCTGTCTCCACCGGACTCGGGGTACCCGCTGGGTGGTGTGGGGCTGGTTTCCCCAACAAGCTGACCATCCTGGCCAACACGGTGAAACACCATCTCTATTAAAAATACAAAAATTAGCCGGGCGTGGTGGCGCGTGCCTGTAATCCCAGCTACTTGGGGGGCTGAGGCGGGAGAAGGCTGAGGCGGGAGAATTGCTTGAACCCAGGAGACGGAAGTTGCAGTGAGTTCAGATCACGCCACTGCACTCCGGTCTGGTGACATGGAGAGATTCCATTTCAAAAAATAAAAAAATAACAAAGCTGGAGACATCGCTCCACCTGACTTCAAACTATACTACAAGGCAGCAGTAACCAAAACAGCATTGTACTGGTACGAGAACAGACAAATAGACAAATGGAATGGAATGGTGAACCCAGAAATAATACCGTACACCTACAACCACCTGATCTTTGACAAACCTGGCAAAAAGAAGCAATGGGGAAAACATTCCCTATTTAATAAATGATGCTGGGAGTACTAGCTAGTCATATGCAGAAAATTGAAACTGAACCTTTTCCTCAGATCATACACAAAAATCAACTGAATATTGATTAAATATTTAAATGTAGAGCACATAACTATAAAACCCTTAGAAGAAAACCTAGGAAATACCACTCAGGACATAGGCACAGACAAAGATTCCATGAACAAGTTGACAAAAGCAATTGCACAAAAGCAAAAACTGACAAATGGGATCTAGTTAAACTAAACAACTTCTGCACACACACCAAAAAACAATCAACAGAGTAAGCAGCCTACAGAATGAGAGAAAATTTTTGCAATCTATGCATCTGACAAAGGTCTAATATCCAGAATCTATAAGAAACTTGAACAAATTTTCTAGAAATAAACAACCCCATTAAAAAGTGGGCAAAGGACATGAGCATAAATTTCTCAAAAGAAGACATACATGCAGCCAACAAACATGAAAAAAAGCTAAACATCACTGACCATCAGAGAAGTGCATATCAAAACCACCGTGAGATACCATCTCACACCAGTCAGAATGGCTATTACTAAAAAGGCAAAAAACAACAGATGCAATAAATACATTCAATTGAATTAAGAAGCAAAACGGAGGAGTTATTCAAGGTACATTTACTACTTCCTATTGTCTGTTCTATCAAATGGAGAAAAAGGAATGCTTTTACACTGTTGGAGTGTAAATTAATTCAACCATTGTGGAAGACAATGTGGCGATTCCTCAAAGACCTAAAGACAGGAATGCCATTGGTCCCAGCAATGAGATTGCTGGGTATATACCCAAAATAATATAAATTGTTCTGTTTTAAATGTACGCGCACATGTATGTTCATAGCAGCACTATTCACAATAGTGAAGATATGGATTCAACCTAAATGCCCATCAATGATACACTGGATAAAAATAGTGGTACATATATACCATGGAATGCAGCCATAAAAAGGAACGAGATTATGTTCTTTGCAGGGACATGGATGGAGCTGGAGACCATTATCCTTAGCAAGTTAACACAGGAACGGAAAAACAAATACTGTAAGTTCTCACTTATAAGTGGGAGCCGAATGATGAGAACACATGGATACCTGGGAGAGCACAACACACACTGAGGGCTGTTGGAGCGGGGGGTGGGTTGGGAGGAGAAAGAGCACCAGCAAGAATAGCTAATGAATGCTGGGGTTAATACCTGTTTGATGGGTTGATCTGTGCAGCAAACCACCATGGCACACATTTACCTATGTACCAAACCTACACATCCTGCACATGTACCCCTGAAATTAAAATAAAAGTTGGAAATAAATTTAAAAACTGTTACTTTACTCACTTGGCCACAAAATTATTGATTCTGCTTATGGATTCCTGCTATTGTGACCAAAATTGATCAAGTAATGATTACCTTCCCTTAGAAACGGATATAGAATCTCTCCAAGATGATTCTACCACTTGACTTCCGGTTATTGTAATTTGGATAGGTGCCTTCCTTTTCTTCCCCTCCCTCCCCTTTTACATGTCACAATAGCTTAGGTTTGTATCACAGATGACTTTGGTTGACTTGAAGTCTAAAGTAGGTATCTACATACTCCCATCTGAGATATTTTGGCTACAGTTGAATTGTAACTTATTTTGGTTTTCAGCTTCTAATTTATACCATAATTTTGTTTTAAATGACTTGTTACCAAGGAATATTTCTGACTAGTAGCTATTAATTTTCTATTCAAATTTTATAATAGGATATCAACAGACTAGGAGATAAATTTTGTTTTGTTTGATTCTATGTATTTGTTGGAATGATTGTTTCTAAATGCCTTTGTTGATCATAAAGTTAAATGATTAAGAAAAGCCACTCAGGGATAGTTTTTTTAAAAAGCTACTAAAATTACTGTTGCTTTATTTCATCATGCTTTCCTTTTCTTGTTCAGTAGAAAACACTGAATATTAGAAAAGGAGTAAATAACGTATTTTTTGACTCTAAATCATGCTTGCAAAATGTATTTATTTAAGGAGAGAAAGGTAAAGATTTTGACCATAAGTCTTTCTCTGGACTTCAAGGTTGAGTTTTTTTCTATATAAGCAGTAATAAAATGACCATTGAAAATTTTCAAAGCAAAAGAACTGATGGTAAAATGAAATGAAATTGTTTCTGAATGAAAATCTAAATCTGGTTAAACTTGAGAATATATATTTGTTGAAGACTTCTTTTTCACCTCCACTGAATCCCTGGTTCCTACCTAGAGTAATGCTTTGCTCATAGGATAAATGAAGTAAATATTCATTGAATGAATAAATGACCAGGCTCATCACATAACAAAACAATTATTATACTCAAATATTAAAGTCAATAAATACAATGAATTGCATTAAGAAGCAAAACAGAGGAGTTATTCTGGATACGTTTACCTACTTCCTATTGTCTATTCTATCAAACTCATCTGTATTTAGACAGTTGTTGCTTAAAGATTAGTAACAAGTACATTGCAAATCAAAAACCTGTTTGGTAATGTGGATAATTTTTAGCAACATTTTTGCTTCTGTTATTATTTTACTAACGTGGGCAACAGCAAAGACATTTAAAATGAGAAGGTTTTGTCATTACAAGCTCTTTGATGAAAGAATAAAAGGGATACACTTGTAGATGTCATTTGCTTTCAAAACAATGATTCCCTGTTTTTAACTAGGATAAGATATACCTCAAGCTGACTTCATGTTGCATTATCTTTCCATTTATTTACAATATTAGAATAAGAAACTCTAGGCATTTGGAGGGTATTATAACTATTCACTGTTATTTAGTTTCTTTCTACTTCCAAGTATTTGGGAGGGAGAGGGGGTTCAAATTTCCTTGTCTGTGAGGCTATGTTACTAGCACTGGCCAAGACATGATAGTGTAATTTAAATATGTCACTTCCAGATGGAAACATTAAGTGGGTGTAAATTTATCCATACTCTTCATGCAGTCATGATAACCACTGCATTGCAAATGCTGGAAGCTCCCTCTCCCTGGATTGAGGATGGAAGAAGCAGAGACTTGCAGTGAAACTATAAGGATATAGGGTAAACATATGAATTTATTGGTTCAAACTCTGTAATTTGAGAATTGTTTGTTAATGCAGCATAAAACAGCCTATTCTGACCAACAGATAATAACGGTTGCTTTAGTTTACTCTCCCCTTGCCAAGTCCTACATGATAATCTTAGTAGATGCAAATAAAGATTTTGACTGAATCAGAATACCTCTTCATGATAAAAAGTAACATAGAGCAGATGGTACCAACATAAAACAAGTAATATGATGGTAGACTTAACT
The DNA here is from genome assembly GCF_000001405.40 of Homo sapiens. NCBI lineage: Eukaryota > Metazoa > Chordata > Mammalia > Primates > Hominidae > Homo > Homo sapiens. Next base: position 38,315,956 of record NC_000013.11, on the reverse strand, counting down.
CCAAATGCATTAGTGATATTCTTAAATATGAATAAATTACATACTTCAATTTAAGGATAAAAATTCTCAGGCAGGACAAAAATCAAACACCCAACATACACCAATTACTAAAGGAACACCTTAACTTTAAGCATACCTAAATATAGAAAGTAAGTGATTTGGAAAGTATAGTCTATGAAAATTGGGAAAAGGGAATGTGAGGCAAAAAATCATTATAGATAGGTAAAGATGGATAGCCAAATTACCTGCACTGAGGGAAAAAATTGACAAATACAAAATTATAATACACATGTCTGAGTAATTAACATTAATAGAAAGTAAAAAATAAGAAGTGACATAGAAAATTTGAAGATCATAATGAACAAAATTGACTTTCTGATATATACAAAACAATATACCCAACAATTTCAAAATGTGCATTCTTCTCTAGTGGCACATAGGACACTTAAAAACATTGACTATAGGATGAGCCCTCAAAAATCTCAAAATTTGTGAATGTAGGTTGATTTGATTGTAACAAGCGTACCACTGTGGTGTGGAATATTGAGAATGAGGGGGGTTGTACATGTGTAGGGGCAAGGACTACATGGGAACTCTCTCTCCTCTTAATTTTTCTGTGAACATAAAACTGCTCTAAAAATAATGTATTTTCAAGAAAAGTTATTTAGAAAATAAAACAGGATATTTTATCTGCTCACAGTGCAGTTGACCTAGAAATAAATAACAAAACCCCCCCAAACTAAAAAATTTCCGAATGTTTGAACATCAAGTAATACACTTCTCAATAAACTTTAATTAGGATGTTAGAAAACAGTAGATATTCAAAAACGTTTTGAGCTGGATAATAAAAATATGGCATATGAAATATACAAAGCACAGCTAAAACCATGCTTAAACAAAGGGTTATAGCATTACATGTGTATGTGAGAAAAGAAGAAAATTTGAAAAGTATTCATCCAAGTGGCCATCTTAAGCAGTTTGAATAAGAACAGCAAATCACACCCAGTGAGAGTATAATAGAAGGAAAAAAATAAAGAGAAGAGCAGAAATTAATGAAAAAGCAACGTACAAATCTAGAAGTTGGTTCTTTGAAAAAACATAAATTAAAAAAAAATTAATACATATTATCTGTGTATATTACATATTTTCAGTGTATATGTGATAATTTGATACATTCATATAATCAAGGTAATTGGGATACCTATCACCTATCTTTACTCTAGAAACATTGGAAATATTTTCTAGCTATTTTGAAATGTATAGTTGGTTAATGTTAACTACAGTCATTAAATTGATAATTGAACATGAGGTCCTTCTGACAATACTAATTAATAAATAAAATAGAAAAAGGGAACAGCAGGCAGGTCTCGGTGTAATGTCTGTATTCCCAGCACTTTGGAAGGCCTAGGTGGGCAGATGGCTTGAGCCCAGGAGTTTGAGACCAGCCTGAGAAACATGGCAAAATCCCATCTCTACAAAAAATATAAAAAGTTAGCCAGGCATGGTGGTGCCCACCTGTGGTCCCAGCTACTCAGGAGGCTGAGCGGGGAGGAATGCTTGAGCCTGGGAGGTGGAGGTTGCAGTGAGCCAAGATTGCACCACTGCACTTCCAGCCTGGGCAATAGAGCCGGACTTTGTCTCAAAACAAAAAAAAAAAAAAAAAAGAAAGAAAAGAAAAAGGTGTTAACAAGTAACTAAAACAAGATTTAATAAAAAGCTATCACTGTAGACATTATGGAAAAGTGAGCAAGAGTTTTGTACAAGTTCTTTACAAAAGGGAATAACCAGATTCTAATAAGCCTGTGGAAAAGTGTGCACATTTTAGGAAAACAGTGCTGTATTACTGTACACACTCCATTAAGACATATACAAAAAGGATTAAGCATAGTATAGTATGTGTTGTCAAGGACGAGGAAAAACTGGAACTCTCATAAACTGCTAGAATGAGTAAAAATTGATACAATAATTGTGGAAAACTCTTTAACCAGGTGTTCTAAATTTTAAAATATGCATACTCTATAATCAGTAATGCTACTACTGGGTATATATCTTATAAAAGTGTGTTCACATGTGCACCAAAAGACATTAAAGAATGCTTTTAGTGGCATTATTTACAACAGCAACAAACCGGAATAACCTAAATATGAATCTGCAGTAAAATGGCAAAAATACTATGATACATGTATTCAATAGAGTATTATGTAGCAGTAAAAAATACACTGCAATGGTTTGCTATGCCACAATGAATCTCACAACATAATGGCAAGTGAAAGAAACCTGAGAAAGAAGACATTCTGTACAATTTTTTTATATAAAACTCAAAACCAGGCAACTCGAATCTCTGTTGTTTTGGTTTAATAAGTTGTTAATGTTGGGAAAGACTGCAAATATAATAACTGAAAGAGGGCAGAAGTGGAGTTAAGAAGTACAGTTAAGATGTATACACTTCTATTTGTATGTTTAAATATATATATATAAACAGTAAAAATAAGTATATTCCTATGTTAGTAATTCTAATTTGACAGGATTTGAAAATCAGAAATAATAGTTTAATTTTCACTAAATGCTTTTTGACATTTATTTTCTATATACAGTATATTATATTTTCTTTATCACTAAAAACATTTGGAATCTTGTAAAAATTTCAATTCTACAGTAATTATCCTTATGTTTTTATAAGTATATATGTTAAATTTTTAACATCAAGAATGAAGCAATATCTAGTCTTTTCATTTGTAAGGTAATAATATTTTCATTTTTTATCTCTTCTTTGATTTTAGGATTTGCTTATACAATCTGATGTTTTAAACACATTTTTATAATCTTATTTCATATTAATATTGCTTCATTTAAGGCTTATGTGCATTTACATTTATTCTAAAATCACAATTACATTGGTGATTTAGGTCTAACTATGTACTAAATTGAGTTCATTGTACACTTAATCCTTTATTTCATAAGTTCTTCCTTTATATATTGGAGCTTTTCTTCTGACCAGTGTAACTTCCCTTGTATTTTGAGCTTTTACATTTTTTTTTTCTGTAATTTAGGATAGACTCTTGTCTCTTAACAATATACAGAGCAATTTGGTTTTGTTTCATGTATGTAGTTTTCTAAGTTTTATGGATGAGAAAAATAGGACCTGCTTGGTTTCTGTTTCTCATAATCCTTAGTGCTCAATCCCTGGACGCTTGTAGAATTTTTTTCGTCTTTGATGTTAAAAATCTGCCTCCATTTTGAATTTCAATTCACCTATTCTATGCTTAGATTTTTATTACTATATATTTTTTACTTATTTACTTTTTTCAGCCTCTTATCTAATTCTCTTTTGATTCCATTCTATTGTCTTCATATCGCATCTGTAATTGGTCAGTTCATAGAAATAGTTTTCTTCCTCTTTTTCAGAATAATTGTCAGAGACTTTGTGAAATTATGTTTCCTGTTGTGGACTTTAAACATTTTGTTTGCAAAGTTCCAATCCTCTTATATAAAAAAGGTTTTGTATAGTCCTTTTGTATTTTTAATTCATTCAATAATTTTTTCAAAGGCTCAAAAATGACTTGATAACACTGTGCTAGTTGATTGTGATACATTAATGAAAATGACATTATCTTTTACCAAAACTTGAATAAGGGAATGTTCTTTCCAAAATGCTCTTTGCTTGTAAACAAATGAGTATTTTTACCTTGATTGCCATAAGTGTTTATTTTAATTGTATTTGAATATTTCTTCTTTTAGATCTTAAACAAAAATGATTATGTGCATATCCCCTAGTAAATATCTTGGTGTCTACTATTTCTTTAACTAGCATTGTTTTTTGTTCAGCTCTCACTCTTTTCTCACTCTAAGAAAGAATCAAATCTGTATCTGTTCAAGTATATTCTAGGAATCGGGCACCAAGACAGAGGTGCAAGTTCAAGAGATTTCTTGAGGGTAATGCCTATGAAAGGTAATGGGCAGAGAGAGCAGGAGTAGGGCTAGGAAAGTCTTTAGTAGGTAATGCAAGTTGGACACCCATGAAGATAGATAGAAAGAAGGAGGGTTGGGTAGAAAGAAACTCACATTGCAGCCCATCTAGGAACTCTGATGCGAAGTCCATTTTTCAGCATGAGGCAGAAAAGGCAAACTGTGAAACCTCCACTGTGCTCAGTCTTTGTCTGGGATCTTCCAGAAAGAGCATAGGCTCTGCCCAAATGCTGTGATGGATCCCAAAGACACTCCAGCTAGATAGAGGCTGTCAGTTAACTGTACTCCTTGTGGCAGATTCTTTTTTTTTTTTTTTTTTTTTGTGAGACAGAGTCTCGCTTTGTTGTCCAGGCTGGAGTGCAGTGGCGTGATCTCGGCTCACTGCAAGCTCCGCCTCCCGGGTTCACGCCATTCTCCTGCCTCAGCCTCCCCAGTAGCTGGGACTACAGGCGCCCACCACCACACCTGGCTAATTTTTTTTGTATTTTTAGTAGAGACAGGGTTTCACTGTGTTAGCCAGGATGGTCTCGATCTCCTCACCTCATGATCCGCCCACCTCCGCCTCTCAAAGTGCTGGGATTACAGGCGTGAGCCGCCGCGCCCGGCCAGATTCTTTTTTGGAATGGAGAGAACTGAGTGGCATTTTTACATGGTTGCCACAGTCCACCCCTTGTACTACGCAGATGTGCTGATCCATACACATTCAGGAAACAGCTCTGCCATGGCTCCTGTGGGCTTTCTTAGAGAAGGAATACTTAGAAGAGGAAGGTTTTTGGGGATGGACAATAATCCCTGCTGCTTTAGTTAGTCTCAGGGTCATAAATGGTACTTAATATCTCCCTCCTCCACTGTCCTTCCCGACTACCCTAAGATATTGCTTCTATAAGTCTTGGTGGCATACCCAGTGATATGACTCTAACTCTCATTCCTGCGATATTGATCTGCTGGTAAGCACACTCTCAGGCCAATGTTGTTGCACTTGTCCACTAAAAGTCACATGTAGGCAAGGGAGAAGTTCTACACACATTTCCCCCTTCCCCTATTTTGTGACATTTATCTTACCTTTTGTTGATCATCATCAATTAACTCTGCCTGATGGTGACTCTTATTCTTACATGGTTTTCCTGAACCCAAAAAAGTTTAAAATGACCTTGTAGCAGCCAAAGCTTTCAGTTCAATAAAACCCTTGCTGCTACCTTTGAGGAGTGGACTTCTAATTCTGGAGATCTCAAGGTTATAAATAGATTACTCAAAGTCTCCCAGGTAAGTCATGGGGAGAAATGGTAAAAAGGGCTACCATTGCATCCTCCTTTTGTCCCCAGACTCATCTCTTCTTCCTAATGGGGACACAGAATTATAGGGAGATTATTGATTGAGTATACTGCAACCTGGGGGACAGCTCCCAAACGTTTCCAAGTATTGCCTCCATTATGCACTGAATATTTGTGTCCCCCTAAATTCATATGTTGAAACTGTATACCCTAATGTGATCATATTAGGAGATGGAGTCTTTGGTAGGTAATTAGGATTAGATAAAGTCATGAGGGTGAAGTCCTCTTGAATGGGATTTGTGTACTTACAAGAGTCCTAAGAAAGCTGGCACTTTGATCTTCCCAATATCCAGCATTGTAAAAAATAAATGTTTTGTGTTTAAGCCACCCAGCTCATGACATTTTGTTATAGCAGCCTGAGCTGACTAAGAGTCACCAGCTGACACTTCATCTACACCCTCAGCAAGCCATTTCTTTTCTACCAGACTGAGAGCTTCTGGTTGGTGTTGTATATAATCATAGGGCCACTCCCACGGTCCCTTCACTGTAGAGTAGTTTGCTTGGTTTGATGCTGTATTGTGTGGGTGATATGGTTTGGATCTGTGTCTCTGCCCAAATCTCATGTCAAATTGTAATCCCCAATGTTGGGGGTGGGGCCTGGTGGGAGGTGATTGGATCATGGGGGTATATCCTTCCATGAATAGTTTAGCGCCATCCCTTTGGTGCTGTTCTAATAGATTTCTCATGAGATCTGGTCATTTAAAAGTGTATGCCACCTCTCCCTTCACCCGCTCTTCCTTCTACTCCAGCAGTGTAAGGAGTACCTGCTTCCCCTTTACCTTCAGCCATGATTGTAAGATTCCTGAGGCCTCCCTAGAAGCAGAAGCCACTATGCTTCCTGTATAGCCTATAGAACAGTGAGCCAATTAAACCTCTCTTGTTTATAAATTATCCTGTCTCAGATATTTGTTTATAGCAATGTGAGAACACAGTAATATTGTGGGATTCCATGCCTGTGTATCAGGCACTTAATAAGACCCTGCAGAGTGATGCTATCTCTGTTTGCAGATAGGAGACTCATACCTAGGATGGGGTTCTTTTCATGTTTGAATGAATCACTGGCCCTTTCAGTATGGAAGAGACATAATGTAGTCATCTTGTCATCAAGCTTATTGGTATCTTGATGACTACCTCCCTATCAGAGGCTTAGCATTGTACATTCAGGGGCAGGAATAACAAGACTGGGTTTAGAAAATCTATTCTATTGAGCCCATGCACAGTCCTTGACTCTGCCACCAAACCTATCTCAATCATGTGCCCATAATGCTAGTTCTAGGGTGGTTGATAATGAAGGCTAGCTAACATCAGCTGACCCAATTATTTTCTGTAGTTGATAGTTTAGTGCCTGTACTATGGTAAGTAATTTATGGTGGTCATTAACATGTGACATGAAAATCATCACATATTGTGTCCACATCCAGTAATCTAGCAAGATACCTCTATTTCATTTTTCTTTTAGGTCTCTGACCAGCTGCCATTGCCTAAAAGTCCAAATAAATTTCACCTTAAGCCATTTCTTCCACAGAAGTGATCCACACAAAGTAGACCCAGAGGCATTACATAAAACCTCAACCATTGGGAAGATTTTCCCTCACTACTGTCTTTCAAGGCTACCCGCTGGTGTAGTTTTAATATAGTCACTATCCATTTTTAGTTTGTGTCCACATACCAATCTGACTCATTTGTAAATCAGGTTTGGCCTCATTCTTTGTCTTCAAGGAAAAATTGTTCACATGAGACTTTTCGTATAACCATAACTGTGAGGTTGTGCAATCATTGTGGGTGATATGGGGATTTAGCTTACCTACTCAGGCAGCTTAGTCATATACTCTGATGCTATTAGGATTCTATCCTTTATATACCATTTCTATCTTATGATGGGCCACTGCCAGTTCTACCCAACTTTATGACTTCATGGTTTGCTAAAACTCAGCTCAAAAGGCAATGCATTGTCACCTGGTGTCTCTTAGTTAAGTGTTACATCTGTATTAGGACCCAGTAGCATATCAGGATCTGATTCTTCAATAATGTATACATTTCTGCTCCAGAGAGCATGCCCTTGCTTCAGAACTAAGGACCTTGTGATGATTTTCCTAATGGGGCTTCCTATAAACTCCATATTCTATCTTTTCTACCATCTAGCTCTCAGTATTCAAGGGTTTGATGGTTTTTAGGGTCAAAGAGGCAGGGTACCTGCACCATAGCCTGGAATTGTGGCTGGGCCTTTTCCTGCTCCAAGTTCCACTCAAAATTAGCAGTGTGTCATGTATATGGACTAGAATAATATTACTAAACATGAAATGTGTTGTGTCCAAAACCTACAAAACCCAAATAGGTTTAGTAGATGTTGGGATTTCTTTTATTTGCCTTTCTTTGTTTCTTTTCTGTTTTGGGGGTAGGATTTGGGGCAGGTAATGAAAGATGCAACTTATCTTTTATTTGAGGGAAGATGTTCTACTGGAATGCCACTGACCAGTGGAAACCTAATAACTTTGCTAAATGGCAGGTCTTTGAATCTTCATAGCATTTATTTTCCACCGTTTGGATATAAGGCGTCCAACATGCTGACCAACATGATGTCATTGAAGTAATAGATCAGTGTGATGTTCTGTGGACTATCCAGATCACCCACATCTTTTTAGACTATATCATGACAGAAGGTAGCAGAGTTAAGATCCATAGGGTTAATAGATATTGTTGTCAACTTCATGTTACAGCAAATTATTTTTCTTTTTTAATGAGGTTAAAAAAGTACATTCACCAAAAGCTGCATACCATGTACTTGAGGCCCTACTTAATTTGTTTCAATGTGATCTTTTATTTTAGAAAATTATGTTACACCATATATATATTAGAAGAGTAATGTGATCTACATAGTCATGTGACCATCCAGTCCAGAAGCTTTAGATTGGCAAAGGAACCTTTCCCTGTACACACTTTAGATCCTTAAGGGTCGTCCTAATTTTACCATCTTCCCCTAAATGTGGTATCTTGGCTTGCATGGGGAAAGGTGACTCCTTTTCAGAGGTTTCTTCTTTACCTTTTTTACAATCATATCTGTTAAAACATAGGCCAAAGATCCAAATAAACGAGTTTCTCCAACTGGATGAGTAGCCCTCAAACTAAGTGGACCCAGGCTCTATTTATTATCTGGACCTCACATACCCCATTCTAATGTGGGTGCCATAATGATTCTTTGGATGTTCAGGTATCAATGTCAACTAAGGTATTAGGTCCAACAGTCCTTGAAATCTCTGGGCTAGTGGTTCTCCAAGTGTTTCTAGGGTCTGTAAAACAACAACAACAACAATAACAACAACAACAAACTATTTGCACAATAATATGAAGGTATTTCTTGCCTAAAGGAGTAGTGTATACCTGAAAAATACAGCTAATTTTAGAATGGAATAAGTGAATAATGGATGCTGAGTAAGTAAATAAAAATATATGCTCTGATCTCTGTCCTTTTTGTACATGCCGAGGAAACTTTCTGGAATGATATTAACAAAAGTTATTTTGGGGTCATGGTATTTATAAATTTTTTTCTTTTTTCTGTGTATAATACAATTGCAATATTTCTTCAATTTCTCATATTGCACTTACGAGAAACAGTATTTTATCTCTGAAGATTTGTTGGGAAGAACACTGCTTTTCATATACCTGTAAGTCCAAAGAGTAATAAAGCCACACTATGAGAGTACCAATCAAAGGAGACTTTTTCTCTTCTTTTCCTCTAGTCTATTTTAACCTAAAACCAGAGGGCCCAGAAGGCAGCCTGAGATTGGGGGTTGGGAGTGGGAGAGGAGCTCCTATAGAGGAAATAGAGAAAAGCCTATTCTATACCTCTTTCCAATGCAGGTTTCCAACTAGGATAAGATCTGAAGAGGAGAAAGAGTTTAATTTCTACTCTTAGTATTTTATTAGACTGGGTAGACAGTTACCAAAGTGACACTGATATAAGATTAAATAATTGAAGGAGTTTTCTTACTCAATAGTCATGTGATCTACTTGAGGTGTCAAGGACATGGAAAAAAACAGGTATGACCAGGTACTAGGGGAAAAAATGAAAGGGTTGATTTTTTACTATAACTTTGTAAATTGCTACTCTTTCAATGCAATAGTTACATTTGTGAAAGGGTAAAAATCAAGAATGAGCCTAGATGGTGGTGCAATTTACAAATAGGAAGGGTATAGAAGGACCAGTTTTAGAGAAGTAAAGGCTTACTTTTGAATATGTTAAGTTTGAAATACCTGCCAGAAATTTAAGTAAAAATATAATATAGGCAATTAATTGCATGAATTTAGAGCTCAAAAGAGTGGACAAGGTTGGAGGTCAATATGAAATAGCATTGAAGCCAGTGTGTGGATTTGCTTAGTTAGAACAAGAGTGAGGATTGAGTGAAGAGGACTGATGTAGTTTGTTGTCCCTGCCTAAATCTCTTGTTTAAATGTAATCTCCAATGTTGGAGGTGGGGCCTGGTGGGAGGTGATTGGCTCATGGTGGTGGAGCCCTCATGATTGGTTTATTACCATCCTTTCAGTACTGTTTTCATTATAGTAAGTGAGTTCTCATGAAATCTGGTTGTGTAAAAGTGTGTGGCACCTCCCTGCTCTCTCTCATGCTGCTGCTGCTGCCATGTGAAAGACCTGCTTCTCCTTCACCTTCCACCATGATTTTAACCTTCCTGAAGCATCCCCAGAAGCAGATCCCGTGTCATGCTTCCTATACAGCTTACAAAACCATGAGCCAGATAAACCTCTTTTCTTTATAAATTACCCAGTATCAGGTATTTCTTTATAGCAATGCCAGAACAACCTAATGCATCAGCTTAGACCAAAGCAATGAAACCTCCCATTTAGAAATCAGAGAAGAAACAAAAGAAGCTGACTTAAGACACTGAGAAGAGATCTTCAGAGAGACAGTAGGATAATGAGTAAAGTTGGATATTACGTGTCAATAGAAAGGCAGAAAAATATTGATAAATATGTCAAGAGTTGCCAAGAAGGGAAGAAGAAATTTGTGAATGGTTCACTAGTTGCAACACAAAGATCATTAATGAAGCTAACAAGAGATGTTTAGGTGGAATGATGGGAACAGGATTCAGGTTGGAGAAGTCTGAAGAGCAAGTGAGATACGAGAAAAGGAAGAAAAAGCAGTAGAATGTGAAGCCAACTGGAGAAGCTTGCCTGTGAAGAGGTCTAGAGGTATGGTAATAACTAGAAAGATATATGAGTTTGTGAATTTTGTTTAAGGAAGGGAAATAACATAGCATATTTAAATATGCTGTTATTTAGGGATGAAGTAAAGTGGGAGAGTTTAAAGAAGAAAGAGGCTGGGTGTGGTGTCTCATGCCTGTAATCCCAGCACTTTGGGAGGTCGAGGTAGGAGGATCACCTGAGGTTGGGAGTTCAAGACCAGCCTGATCAACGTGGAGAAACCCCGTCACTACTAAAAATACAAAAATTAGCCAGGTGTTGTGGTGCATGCCTGTGATCTCAGCTACTCGGGAGGCTGAGGCAGGAGAATCACTTGAACCTGGGAGGCAGAGGTTTCGGTGAGCTGAGATTGCGCCATTGCACTCCAGCCTGGGCAACAAGAGTGAAACTCCATCTCAAAAAAAAAAAAAAAAAAAAGAAGAAGAAGAAGAAGCGAGAAAGAAAAGGTATAGCTTAAAGTGGCTTTTGAGCAGGCATGAGTTTATGGAACCAAGGATTCCTGTGAAGACATTTTCTTTTGATAAAAGAATATTGATAAGAATATTATACCAAATTGAACAAAAGTAGCCACAGTATGAAGGATTCAGTACATGGCCAAATAACTTATTTCAAAATAGTTTAGAGTTATATTCCTTGAAGACAGAGGTTGGATGGGGATTAAATTTTGTAAAGACGCCAATGGCTGTTAAACAAAAGAGCTGAGATGGATGTGCTCTTGAATTAAAAATAAAAATATTTTAAATATACTATTACATCATAAACATTCTATGTCTCTACTTTTCCATCTAGAAGCAAGAATTCCTTAGTACTTTCCGAGCATCTACTGTGTAGACTATCTTGTGTTATGACCAATTGCTTATATTTATTTACACTTATAGTAATCATATAACAGAACTATTATTCTTTTCAATTTACAGAATAAAAACATGAGGTTCAGAAACATTAAGCTACCCAAGGTCACAGGACTAAAAGGGGACCCAAAAGGAACTAAAAATTCACATATGCATGATTCCAGTTTCCCTTCCACATTACAGGAATTTTGGAAAACATAAATATACCATGATCAGTAAACTGCCTTTTTCAGAATAAAATCCCATGATATGTTTAGAGTAATTTTTAAAAATATGGAAATAGCACAGCTATCATGTATATCTTCAAAATTTATGTAACTGGAGACAGGAGTAAAAAAATCATCTGCAAATATTCAGTATTTCTCACAAAATTTGCATTGATGCATTTTTTCTTTTCCAGTGCCATTTCTCCTCCTAGTCACAGCCATCTGGTTTCCTTCCACATCTTGCTATCTCAGTAAAGCTAAAGGAACAAACTGATCTGCCGGGAGCAAATCAGTTTCTCATTATCTTTAATGTGGGAAGATGAGACTACTGACAGTGATCACAGTCTTTGTCTACTGGTATGGTTGAAAACTCATGTTTACGTAACAGAAAATGTTTTCATGTAGAAGAGAAGCAATGGGCACTCACAACTATGGGATGCTGTGTCTTAACATGGAAACTGATTCATCTCAACAAATAAGCATAGCATTTCTCTATTTATAGGGCTAGCATGCCTCTTTCTGAGAATGTGGAAGAATTTGGAAAAAGTGCACATTAAAAAAATTTTTCAGAGTACTTGAAAAAATCTGACAGAATGAAAAGGTAGGAAAATAAAAGCAAGGAGGGCAAAAACAAAGAAGTACAGTATACAAGGATAAAGAGATGAGCCCCACTCATCATTCATTCATTCATTCATTCCTACATTCATTCAGTCCTTACTATACCAAACACTGTTTGAGATACTGTTGCTAGACTAGTGAATAAAAGAGATAAGGTTATTATTCTTATAGAGTACACATACTGGATGAAGAGAGAATAAAATAAAAAAATGAAAAGACACTAGTGGTAAGTATTGTATGGAGAGTAAAAAGGGGTGTTATGATTGAATGTGATTGGGTGGGTTCTTTATTTTGGTGGTGAGGAACGGTTTCTCTTAGGAGGTAACATTTAGATAAAGAATAGATTGATAGGAATAATCCAGGTATACACAAATGATATAGAAGAATGTTTCAGGCAGACGGAGGAGCCAGTGCAAAATTCTGAACAAATATTTGAGCTTGATTAGGTAGAGAGTGATGGTGCCCATAGCCTTGCAGATAGTGGGTAGGGGGGATGAGATAGAGTTAGAAACACTGGAAGAGACCAGATCTCATGGGATTCTGTAGGACAAGGTAAGATGTCAACTTCGTAGTCTCTGTTCATAACAAACATGGGGATGGTTTTCAGTAAAACAGGGAAGTCACCTGATATACTTTGGGAACTCTATGGATGATAGGTTATTGGGAAGCAGGAATGTAAGCAAAAAGAACTGTAATAGTTTTGCTCACTTACGTGTCTTATATAGTGGCTTTGTATGTAAGTTTTACATATAAATTCTTTTAAAGGCTATACCGCCAAAAAAAAAAAAAAAAAAAAACAGTTGAAAAGGCATAATTCTGATCTATGTCAGCTTTAAAAAAAGTTACCAAAAACATTGATCAGTTTACCCGCATATATGCTGGCATGTATTCCCATACGTTGTCTTAGTTGTTTTCTGCAGCAGATAAGTAGATATTTGCTAAGTTGTTCTACAGTTCTCATACTTTTATTACTGTTGCTCTTCACATCTTCAATTCATTGTATTTCTTACATTCATTGTAAATTTTCATTTGTTCCTTTGCCTGAGGCTGTTAATGTTTTTGGTGATATAATTTTAAGATGTCAGCTTTCTTTCTGTTCCTTTCTGTGCAGTACATACTATATAGCCTCAGGAAATGGTGCCCAGCTGTAAAAAGGGATAGGCTGTTACATTTTTGTAATTCTCAGTGAGGCTTTCTATTTTATAAGAATGTCTACTGAGAAATGTCTTTGTTTAAGACACATGGACACCTGGAGTCTTAAAAAACAACTTAAATTTGCAAACTAGAACTAGACAAATATGTGTTGGATATTGTTACAGTTATATAAAATTGTTAAAAATAAAAGATATTGTAAAACTTTTCTTTTACCTTTATCCTTGACAATCAGCACGCATGTAATCATTGCCTACTAGAATAAGCTGATATTTACTAAATGCCCACTATATGCCAGGCACTATTTTATAAACATTATCTCATTTCATTTTCCCAGCAATTTGTTTCTAACCACTATTCTAAGCCCTATGTGCTAATTATGTGCTAGATGCTTTAAGACATTGAATTAATATATGAAGTTGTTAGCCTTAATGAGGTCATACTCTGTGAAGCAGACATATTACATTGCAATGTGGCAAATGCTGTATAATAGCTCTGTAGTGAGGATCTAGGTTTGAATTGAATATGTTCCATTGCTACTTCAGGAATGTTTGGAAAAACAGAACTAACCTGACAATATGGATGAGAGATTTGGGGTTTGGCCCTAGGGAGGACAGAAACATTTGTGTATAGATGTTTATAGGAATAAATGGAGCATTACACTGGGATGGCCTGGTTTGTGTTCTCTATCAAACCTTATGAATTGATGTGAGTCTTATGAAGTTGTGTGTGATCTGCAGAAGGAAAAAAATCTCTGCACTAACAAGGGACTTGATGAGACACAACGACCAAAAAAGGAGGTTCTGGGGGTCAAATGGCAAAGATAGCTGAACACACAAAGTCAGTTGGTACCCAACACCCTGTGCTAAAGACTGACATTAAGAATTGGAGAAAATATTTCTTGAAGGACTTAGTATAAGGCAGCACAACTATATCTGTTACACCTTTTCCCCATTCTTTATTAGAGGATTAGAGAAGGAAGGGAAAATGTTGAATCATCCATACGCTATATGGAAAAAACGGTGCTTGTGGTCATAAATGTTAAGAAACTTTCCCTTTATTTCCCTGTAGAGAAGAAAGGGAAGGACGACTGTTGCCTGTCAAAGCATTCTACCACCCCTCTCAAGAAAAGTTAACATAGAAAGCTTCCAGTTAATCATTCATGGATTTGGGAGAGTTTATATGAACACCTGCAGGTCCACTCTGGAGTTAACCACCAGAACAGAGGTTGCTTCTAGGAGTGACAACTATTCCAGGTAGAAGACGGAAGTGAAATAAAGAAATTTGGTAATATCTAATTGGGGAATATAATGCCTAAACAACCTGAGAAAGCATGTAGATGATGAAAATAGAGGACTTTTCCAGCAGTGAGAACAGAATGAGTAAAGTAGTGACAATATCAAGGAGGTACTTTTTAGAAAATTATAGTGGTTCATACCAGAGAAGAGGGTAAGTGGCAAATGAAAGGCTGGACATGTGGAGAATGGCAACTGATAGGCCTTCTATGCTGTGTCAAAGATTTTGAATTTTATCATATAGAATAGTCTCCCTATAGATTTACTTCCTTATGATTACTCTGGCAGAAGTTTTGAGAGTAGTTTAACCTAGGAACTCTTAACCTGGTGTCTGATAACTGGTATAAGGCATAACGATGGGGCTCATGGATACATAATCCTTTCAAAATTGTAGGCAAAATTTTCCATGTTGAGTGCATATGTACATTTTTGCTGGGAAAGCATCCATTACTCTCAGAGCAGTTCTATGATTCCAATAAAGGTCTAGACCCATATGTTGGGAGTTAAAGAGATCAGAGACCAGTTAGGTGGCTGTCACTGTAATCAAGGAAATAAATGACCAGGGCCTAAACAAACAAAAACAAACAAAAAAAAATAAGGACAGAAAAAGAACATAAGAACATAGGAAGCACATTTTGGAGAAGAGAGAGTTGGAAAGAAGCAGGTAAGAAATACTGGCTTTGACAGGCTGATTTGAAATTCTTTGAGATCTGCCATTGCAATAGGCAGTGGGCCCTTGTTTATATCCCTCTGCAGTCTTTTAGAAACAGCTGGACTGGGACAACATGGTTTGGATTTTGGAGAATACACATAGCAAATGAAACCATGAAGTTCGGCATGCAAAAATAAGTGGTATAAATTATTTGACATTATATCCTGTGCTGTTTGTTAGCCAACTACATTGTGTTCTTCTTGCCTCTTAATAGTTGGTCATATTCCATGCCTTCTTTTCTTCCTTCTTTTATTGCTTTCCCTTTTCTGCTATGAAAATTCTTACTTTTATTTCAGGTTTCAACTTAAGACTTATTTCCTTTATTGATGTTCCTTTCTTTTGTTGTTGGTAAAGTCTGAATAAAGTACACTTTATTTTCTGGAGTGCCTTGGGATTTATTTCTTAGCTTCTTACTTTGACAATAGCTTTACTTTCTCACATTTACATTTGACATGCAAAACTAAGCATGAATTTCTCTAAGTACTCATCCTTTAGTGATTTAGGAGATAGTTTAGTTTTCCCAGAGTTTGAATATGCAGAAAATTATTTGCCACAGTTTTGGATATCTATGAGTAAGTTTTGGGAGCCCATATAATACAGATTTATTATTTATTAATTTTGTTCATTATTATACCCTGACAACATCAAACTCACACTGCCAGTAAATTTAAACAAAGGACATGAAGGGAGAAAGCACACACATGAACTAAGGTTCAAGGACTCACTTTCTTTCCATTGTGAATTTTATAATTAACTGGGTGTTACCCTTATTTTCTTAGTTCAACATGACTGGGATTTTGTTAACAATTGTACTGAGGGTGTAGGTCAAATTAGGGAGTTTTGCTAGCTTATTATGTCTTACAATCCATAAATATGGAATGTCTTGCCATTTATGTAGGTCTTTCAACATATAATTAATTTTTCAATATATTTCTTTCAACAATGGTTTGCAGATTTCAGTGCACAAATCTTGTACTTCATTTGTCCAGTTTGTTTCTAAAGTATTTTTGATACTATAGTAAATTGAATTGTTTTAATTTCATTTTAGGATTGTTTTTTGCTAGTATATAGAAATACAGTTGATTTTTAAAATATTGCTCTTGCGATGTAGCTGAACTTGTTTATTAGCTCTACTATTTTTTGTATGCGTGCATTTCTTAGGGATTTCAATGTGTAAGATTATACTTGAGAATAGAGACAGTATTATTCTTCATATCAAATTTAAATGTTTTAAAATTTATTTTTCTTCCCTAATTTTTCTATCTAGAACTTTAAGTACAATGTTGATTAGAAGTGGTTAGAACAGACATCCTTGTCTTGTTGCTAATTTTAAGAGGAGGGTTTTCAGTCTCATTATAAAGTATGATGATAACAATGGGTTTTGCATAGACATCCTTCAGCAGATTGAGGAAGTTCCTTCATATTTCTAGTATTTAAATTGTTTGTTATCATGAAAATGTGTTGCATTTTGTTAAATGATTTTTCCGAGTCTATTAAGATGATAATATGGATTATGTTCTTATATTAATATGGTTTATACTTTAATTGGTTTTCGCACTTTGAAACAACTACACATACTTTAGAAAAATCCTACTTGGTTATATCCTTGGTGCATAATTCTTTTTATATGTTGCTGAATAGGGATTTTTTAGTATTTAGTTCAATGTTTTAGTATCTGTATTTGCAAATATTGAATACTATTGTTTTATTTTCTCTTGAAGCCTTTGTCTGGTTTTAGCATCAGGGTAACACTAGCTTCATCAAATGTTTTAGAAACTGTTTCCAGTTTTTCTTTTGTTTTTTTGAAAAGCTCATGAAAGATTGGTGTTAAATATTTTGAAAACTTGTTAATACTCACTGGTAAAGCTATCTGATCTTGGATTTTTCTTTGTGGGAATTTTTTTTTTGATTACTAATTCAATCTTTTTACTTGTTTACTTGTTATATATCTATTCAGAGTATTTATTTCTTCTTGAGTAACTTTATGTAGTTTACCTTTCTAGGAATTTGTCTGTTTCCTCTAGGTTATCTCATTTGTTGGCACATGGTTTTTTATATTACTTTATAATCCTTTTATGTATGTTAGATTGGCAGTAATATCCCTTCCTCTCTATAATTCGTGATTTTAGCAATTTGAGTCTTTTTTTTTTGGTAAGTCTAGCTACAGGATGAACTTTTCAAAGAACCAAGTTTTGGCTTTCTTAATTTTTTTCTATATGTTTTTCTATTCTCCATTTTATTTATTTCTGCTCTAATCTTACTTCTTTTTAAAATAGTCATTTACAGCTATAACTTCTGAAAGCATTGCTTCAGCCTCATCCCAATATTTTGAGTATGTTTTATTTACCTTTTCATTCATCTCAAAGTATTTTCTCATTTCTTTTGTGATATGTCTTTGAACCATTTGTTGTTTAGTAGTGTATTGTTTAATTTCCACATTCTTGTGATATTTCAAATTTTCTTCAGTTATTTTTTCTATTTGTATTCTATTATAGGTCAGAGAACATATTTTGTATGATTTCAATGATTTTAAATTCATCAAGACTTGTTTTATGGTTTATAATATAGACTATCCTGGAGAGTGTTTCTTGTGCACTTGAGTGGAATGTATATAATCTTCTGGGTTGGTAGCAGTGTTTTACAGATTTCTGTTATGTCTACTTGGTTTATAGCATTGTTGAAGTCTTTTCCTTATTTATCTCTGTCTATATGCATAATTCATATCCATAATGATTCTAAATTCATCAAGACTTGTTTTATGGTTTATAATATAGACTATCCTAGAGAAAGTTTCTTGTGCACTTGAATGGAATGTGTATAATCTTCTGTTTTGGTAGCTGTGTTTTACAGATTTCTGTTACATGTAGTTGGTTTACAGCATTGTTGAAGTCTCCTTTTTTCTTGTTTATCTCTGTCTGTATGGTCTGTATCCATTACAGGAAGTGAGTATTGTAATCTTCAACTATTATTATGGAATTATCTATTTCTCCTTATATTCTGTCAGTTTTTACTTCATTATTTAGTGAATATATGTTTACACTTATTATCTCCTCATGGTGGATTAACCCATTTATCATTATAAAATGTCCTTCCTGTAGAAACAGTTTTTTAATTGAAGTCTATTTTGTCTGATATTAGTATAGCCATTCCAGCTCTCTTGGTTACTGTTTACGTGGTATATCATTTTCTACCCTTTCGACCTATTTGTCTCTTTGAATCTAAATTGTATCTCTTACAGCCACCATATGGTTATGCTATTATTTTTTATCCATTCTGCTAACCTCTGCCTTTTGATTAGAATGTTTTGCACTTATTACTTTATAAATTTACTAAGGTACAATAGACAAATAACAGTTGTATATATTTGAGGTATACAACTTGATGTTTTGAGATATCTATATATATACACACATGCACACATATGATGAAATGATTACCACAATCAAGTTAATTAGCATATTCATCACAGTTACCTTTTTGTGTGTATGTGATGAGAACATTTAAAATGGACTCTTAGCAAATTTCAAGTATCCAATGCAATTTTATTAACTCTAGCTGCCATATGTATGTTAGATCTCCAGAAATTATTCATCCTGCAAAACTGAACATTTGTACCTTTGACCAACATCTTTCCATTTCCCTCACCTCCAGCCCTGGCAGCCATCATTCTGCTCTGCTTCTAAATATTAGATGTTTTTAGATTCTACACATATGTGAGACCGTAGAGAATTTGTTTTTCTGTGCGTGGCTTTTATCACTTAGCTTAATGTCCTCCAGGTTCATCCGTGTTGTTGTAAATAACAGGATTTCCTAATTTTTGAAGGGTAAATAGTATTCTGTTATGTGTGGTTGTGTGTGTGTATAATATTTATGCATTCATTTCTTGATGGACACTTAAGTTGATTCCATATCTTGGCTGTTGTGAATAATGTTGTTATGAACATGGAAATGCAGATATCTCTTTAACATACTTATTTCACTACATTTGGATAGGTATTCAGAAGTGGGATTGCTGGATCATGTGTTAGTTCTATTTTTAGGTTTTTGAGGGACCTCCATACTGTTTTCCATAACGACTGTACTAATTCAAATTCACACCAACATGTACAAAGTTTCCCTTTTCTCTACATTTTCACCAATATTTATCTTTTGTCTTTTTTGATATACCCATTCTAATAAGTATCCTTGTGGTTTTAATTTACATTTCCCTGATGATTAGTAATGTTAACCATTTTTTTCATATACATGTTAGTCATTCATATATCTTCTTTTGAGAAATGTCTGTTCAGGTCCTTTGCCCATTTTTCAATTAGATTATTTGTTTTCTTGCTGTTAAGTTATTAGAATTTTTTATATATTTCGGATAGTAACCCCTGATAAGATTATGATTTGCAATTTTTTTCTCATTTTCTAAGTTGCTTCTTCATTTTATATATTTTTTTCTTTGCCGTACAGAACTTTTTTATATGATGGAAAACCATTTGTATCCTAAAACTGTATTAGATTTATTAGTACTAACTGTTTTTTGGGTGAAGTGTTTAGGACTTGTTTTCTGTATATAAAATTATGTCATATACAAAGAGATGATTTTACTTTGTTTTCTGATTTGGATACCTTTTATTTCTCTTTCTTACCAAATTAGTCTGGCCAGAACTTCTAGTACAATACTGCATAGAAGCAGCCAGAGTCAGCATCTTTGTCTTTTTCCTGATCTTAGAGGAAAAACTTTCAGGTTTTTACTATCGAATATAAAATTACATGTCTGTTTGTTGTATATGGCTTCTATTATGTTGAGGTATATTTCTTCTGTATCTAATTTACTGAGTTTTTATCGTGAAAGGATCTTGAATTCTGTTGAATGTTTTTTCTGCATCTATTGAGATGATTATATGATTGTGTTCACTCATTGTGTCATTGTGCACCACCTTTATTGATTTATGTATGTTAAAACCACTCTTGCTTCCCAGGGATAATTTTCACTTGATCATAGTGTATGATCCTTTTAATGTGCTGCTGAATTTGGTTTGTTAGTCTTTTTTTTTTTTTTTTGAAGATTTTTGCATCCGTATTCATCAGGGATACTGTCTTGTAATTTTTTTTTATTGCAGTGTTTGCTTGGCTTTGGTATCAGAGTAATGCTGGACTCATAAAATGAGTTGGGAAGTGTTCCTTCCTCTCCAATTTTTAAAAGAGTTTGAAGGACTGGAATCAATTATTTAAATATTTGGTAGAATTAGCCTATAAAGGGATCAGTTCCTGGGATTTTCTTTGTTGAGAAGTTTTTGATTACCGATTCAGTCTCCTTACTCATTATCAGTCTATTCAGATTTTCCATTTCTTCATGATTCAGTCTTAGTTGGTTTCTAGGAATTTATCCATTTCTCCTACATGATCCAATTTGTTGTCATATAATTGTTCATAGTAATCTCATAATACTTGGTATTTCTGTGGTGTCAGTTGTAATGTCTTTCATAATTTTATTTCAGTTCCCTTTCTTTTTTTATTAGTCAAGGTAAAGGTTTGCCTACTTTATTTTCTAAAAACCAACTCCTAGTTTCATTGATCTTTTCTGTTATTTTTCTAGTCACTACTTCATTATTTCTGCTCTGATATTTATTATTTCTTTCCTTCTGCTACCTTTGGGCTTAGTTTGTTCTTCTTTTTCTATTTCCTTGAGATGTAAAGTTAGGTTGTTTTTTGAGATCTCTTTTCTTTTTATATCTAGACATTTGTCACTATAATCTTTCCTTTTATAACTTCTATTTCTGCATCTCGCATTTTAGTGTGTTGTAGTTTTCTGATCCTTTGCCTCAAGATATCCATCTCCTTCCCTCCCTCCCTCCCTCCCTTCCTTTCCTTTCTTACAAATTGGTTCTTCAGAAGCCTGCTATTTAATTTCCATATATTTGTGAATTTTTCAAAATTCTTCCACTTGTTGACTTCTGGTTTTATACCATTTCGGTTAGGAAAGATACTTGATACAATTTTAAATTTGTCAACATTTGTTTAGTGTTCTGAAATATTTATCCTGAATGTTATTTGTGCATTTGAAAAGATTGTTCCTTCTGCAGCTGTTGGGTGGAATTTCTATATATGTTTAGTTTCATTTGTTCCTTAGTGTTGTTCAAGTCCACTGTTTTCTTATTAATTTTCTACAGGGATGATTTATTGATTTGTTGAAAGTACAGTATTAAAGTTCCCTTGCTATTGTACTTCTGTCCGTTTCTTTCTTATGTTCTGTCAATATTTGCTTTATATATTTAGGTGCTCTAACAGTGGGTGCAGGGATAATTGAACCCCTTTTCATTATAGAGACCTCCTTTGTCTCTCATTACAGTTTTTGATTTAAGGTCTATTTTGTCTGATATACACAAAGCCACCGCTGTTCTCTTTTGGTAACCATTTGCACAGATTTTTTTTTTTTTTTTTTTTAACAGAGTCTAACTCTGTTGCCCTGGCTGGAGTGCAGTGGTGCCATTATAGCTCACTGCAGCCTTGAGCTCCTGGGCTCAAGCAATCCTATTTCAGCCTCCCAAGTAGGTGGGCCCACAGGTGCTCACCACCACACCTGGACAATTTATTTTTTATGTATTTGGTAGAGATGAGGTATTGCTATGTTACCCAGTCTGGTCTTGAACTCCTGGGCACAAGCAATCCTTGCACTGGATGACAGAGCAAGACTCCGTCTCAAAATAATAATAATAATGATAATAATAACAATAATAATAATTTTATTTTTTAACTTTTATGCTGGATTAAAAAATTTACTCACTGCTCTTACAGTATTAGATTATGCTAAATTTGACTATATGCTTAAGCTTACCTTTACAGTGAGATTTTTACTTTCATAAATTTTCATGCTTTTAGTTAGCATCAACTTGATAAGCTCCCTTTAGCATTTCTTTGGAAGGCTAGTCTAATGGTGATGGACTTCCTCAGTTTTCTATGTCTGAAAAAATTTTGATCTCACCTTCATTTTTGAAGGACAATTTTACCAGCTATAATATTTTTAGTTGAAGTTTTTTTTCTTTTTAGCACTTTGAATATGTCATCTTACTCTCTTCTAGCTCTTCTACTTTGGTGTTTTGTTTTTGTTTTGTTTTGTCAACACTTTAAATATTTTATTTCACTCTCCCCTTACTTCCATAGGTACAGAAAAGTAAGATATATGATTATCTTTTCTCCTCCATATATCAGGTGTTTTATTCCTCAGCCTCTTTGAAGTTATTTTATTTATCTTCAACTTTATGAAGTTTGAATGTTAAATGCCTAGGTAGAGTTTTATGACATTCATCCTGATGGGTTTTCTCTGAAATTTCTGGATTTGTGGTTTGATATCTCCTGTCTACTTGGGGAAATGCTCAGCCATTTTTGCCTCAGATATTGCTCCTATTCCTTTCACTCTTTGTTCTGTTTCTGGTATTCCCATTATGCCAGTTACACCTCTTGCAGTTGTCCCACAATTCTCGGATATTCTATTTTGTTGGGTTTTTTTTTTCTGAATTTTTAAAATATTTGCTTTTAAGTTCTGCAAGTTTCTTTTTATTATTATTATACTTTAAGTTTTAGGTTACATGTGCACAATGTGCAGGTTAGTTACATATGTATACATGTGCCATGCTGGCGTGCTGCACCCATTAACTCCTCATTTAGAATTAGGTATATCTCCTAATGCTATCCGTCCCCCCTCCCCCCACCCCACAACAGTCCCCAGAGTGTGATGTTCCCCTTCCTGTGTCCATGTGTTCTCATTGTTCAATTCCCACCTATGAGTGAGAATATGCGGTGTTTGGTTTTTTGTCCTTGCAATAGTTTACTGAGAATGGTGATTTCCAATTTCATCCATGTCCCTACAAAGGACATGAACTCATCATTTTTTATGGCTGCATAGTATTCCATGGTGTATATGTGCCACATTTTCTCAATCCAGTCTATCATTGTTGGACATTTGGGTTGGTTCCAAGTCTTTGCTATTGTGAATAGTGCCGCAATAAACATATGTGTGCATGTGTCTTTATAGCAGCATGATTTATAGTCCTTTGGGTATATACCCAGTAATGGGATGGCTGGGTCAAATGGTGTTTCTAATTCTAGATCCCTGAGGAATCGCCACACTGACCTCCACAATGGTTGAACTAGTTTACAGTCCCACCAACAGTGTAAAAGTGTTCCTATTTCTCCACATCCTCTCCAGCACCTGTTGTTTCCTGACTTTTTAATGATTGCCATTCTAACTGGTGTGAGATGATATCTCATTGTGGTTTTGATTTGCATTTCTCTGATGGCCAGTGATGATGAGCATTTTTTCATGTGTCTGTTGGCTGCAGAAATGTCTTCTTTTGAGAAGTGTGTGTTCATATCCTTTGCCCACTTTTTGATGGGGTTGTTTTTTTCTTGTAAATTTGTTTGAGTTCATTGTAGATTCTGGATATTAGCCCTTTGTCAGATGAGTAGGTTGCGAAAATTTTCTCCCATTTTGTAGGTTGCCTGTTCACTCTGATGGTAGTTTCTTTTGCTGTGCAGAAGCTCTTTAGTTTAATGAGATTCCATTTGTCAATTTTGGCTTTTGTTGCCATTGCTTTTGGTGTTTTAGACATGAAGTCCTTGCCCATGCCTCTGTCCTGAATGGTAATGCCTAGGTTTTCTTCTAGGGTTTTTATGGTTTTAGGTCTAACATTGAAGTCTTTAATCCATCTTGAATTAATTTTTGTATAAGGTGTAAGGAAGGGATCCAGTTTCAGCTTTCTACATATGGCTAGCCAGTTTTTCCAGCACCATTTATTAAATAGGGAATCCTTTCCCCATTGCTTGTTTTTGTCAAGTTTGTCAAAGATCAGATAGTTGTAGATATGCGGCATTATTTCTGAGGGCTCTGTTCTGTCCCATTGATCTATATCTCTTTTTTGGTACCAGTACCATGCTGTTTTGCTTACTGTAGCCTTGTAATATAGTTTGAAGTCAGGTAGCAGGATGCTTCCAGCTTTGTTCTTTTGGCTTAGGATTGAGTTGGCGATGCGGGCTCTTTTTTGCTTCCGTATGAACTTTCAAGTAGCTTTTTCCAATTCTGTGAAGAAAGTCATTAGTAGCTTGATGGGGATGGCATTGAATCTATAAATTACCTTGGGCAGTATGGCCATTTTCATGATATTGATTCTTCCTACCCATGAGCATGGAATGTTCTTCCATTTGTTTGTATCCTCTTTTATTTCATTGAGCAGTGGTTTGTAGTTCTCCTTGAAGAGGTCCTTCATGTCCCTTGTAAGTTGGATTCCTAAGTATTTTATTGTCTTTGAAGCAATTGTGAATGGGAGTTCCCTCATGATTTGGCTCTCTGTTTGTCTGTTATTGGTGTATAAGAATGCTTGTGAATTTTGTACATTGATTTTATATCCTGAGACTTTGCTGAAGTTGCTTATTAGCATAAGGAGATTTTGGGCTGAGACAATGGGGTTTTCTAGCTATATAATCATGTCGCCTACAAACAGGGACAATTTGACTTCCTCTTTTCCTAATTGAATACCCTTTATTTCCTTCTCCTGCCTAATTGTCCTGGCCAGAACTTCCAACACTATGTTGAATAGGAGTGGTGAGAGAGGGCATCCCTGTCTTGTGCCAGTTTTCAAAGGGAATGCTTCCAGTTTTTGCCCATTCAGTATGATATTGGCTGTGGGGTTGTCATAGATAGCTCTTATTATTTTGAAATACGTCCCATCAATACCTAATTTATTGACAGTTTTTAGCATGAAGGGTTGTTGAATTTTGTCAAAGGCCTTTTCTTCATCTATTGAGATAATCATGTGGTTTTTGCCATTGGTTCTGTTTATATGCTGGATTACATTTATTGATTTGCGTATATTGAACCAGCCTTGCATCCCAGGGATGAAGCCCACTCGATCATGGTGGATAAGCTTTTTGATGTGCTGCTGGATTCGGTTTGCCAGTATTTTACTGAGGATTTTTGCATCAATGTTCATCAAGGATATTGGTCTAAAATTCTCTTTTTTGGTTGTGTCTCTGCCCGGCTTTGGTATCAGGATGATGCTGGCCTCATAAAATGAGTTAGGGAGGATTCCCTCTTTTTCTATTGATTGGAATAGTTTCAGAAGGAATGGTACCAGTTCCTCCTTGTACCTCTGGTAGAATTCGGCTGTGATTCCATCTGGTCCTGGACTCTTTTTGGTTGGTAAGCGATTGATTATTGCCACAATTTCAGATCCTGCTATTGGTCTATTCAGAGATTCAACTTCTTCCTGGTTTAGTCTTGGGAGAGTGTGTGTGTCAACGAATTTATCCATTTCTTCTAGATATTCTAGTTTATTTGCATAGAGGTGTTTGTAGTATTCTCTGATGGTAGTTTGTATTTCTGTGGGATCAGTGGTGATATCCCCTTTATCATTTTTTATTGTGTCTATTTGATTCTTCTCTCTTTTTTTCTTTATTAGTCTTCCTAGTGGTCTACCAATTTTGTTGACCCTTTCAAAAAACCAGCTCCTGGATTCATTAATTTTTGAAGGGTTTTTTTTTGTCTCTATTTCCTTCAGTTCTGCTGTAATTTTAGTTATTTCTTGCCTTCTGCTAGCTTTTGAATGTGTTTGCTCTTGCTTTTCTAGTTCTTTTAATTGTGATGTTAGGTTGTCAATTTTGGATCTTTCCTGCTTTCTCTTGTGGGCATTTAGTGCTATAAATTTCCCTCTACACACTGCTTTGAATGTGTCCCAGAGATTCTGGTATGTTGTGTCTTTGTTCTCGTTGGTTTCAAAGAACATCTTTATTTCTGCCTTCATTTCGTTATGTACCCAGTAGTCATTCAGGAGCAGGTTGTTCAGTTTCCATGTAGTTGAGTGGTTTTGAGTGAGTTTCTTAATCCTGAGTTCTAGTTTGATTGCACTGTGGTCTGAGAGACAGTTTGTTATAATTTCTGTTCTTTTACATTTGCTGAGGAGAGCTTTACTTCCAAGTATGTGGTCAATTTTGGAATAGGTGTGGGGTGGTGCTGAAAAAAATGTATATTCTGTTGATTTGGGGTGGAGAGTTCTGTAGATATCTGTTAGGTCCACTTTGTGCAGAGCTGAGTTCAATTCTGGGTATCCTTGTTAACTTTCTGTCTCGTTGATCTCTCTAATGTTGACAGTGGGGTGTTAAAGTCTCCCATTATTATTGTGTGAGAGTCTAAGTCTCTTACCTGCAGCTGAGGGTCCTGTCTGTTAGAAGGAAAACTAACAAACAGAAAGGACATCCACACCAAAAACCCATCTGTACATCACCATCATCAAAGACCAAAAGTAGATAAAACCACAAAGATGGGGAAAAAACAGAGCAGAAAAACTAGAAACTCTAAAAAGCAGAGGGCCTCTCCTCCTCCAAAGGAACACAGTTCCTCACCAGCAACGGAACAAAGCTGGACGGAGAATGACTTTGACAAGTTGAGAGAAGGAGGCTTCAGACGATCAAACTACTCCAAGCTACAGAAGGAAATTCAAACCAAAGGCAAAGAAGTTGAAAACTTTGAAAAAATTTAGACGAATGTATAACTAGAATAGCCAATACAGAGAAGCGCTTAAAGGAGCTGATGGAGCTGAAATTCGGCTGTGAATCCAATTTCGAGAACTACATGAAGAATGCAGAAGCCTCAGGAGCCGATGAGATCAACTGGAAGAACGGGTATCAGTGATGGAAGATGAAATGAATGAAATGAAGCGAGAAGGGAAGTTTAGAGAAAAAAGAATAAAAAGAAATGAACAAAGCCTGCAAGAAATATGGGACTATGTGAAAAGACCAAATCTGCTTCTGATTGGTCTACCTGAAAGTGATGGGAAGAATGGAACCAAGTTGGAAAACACTCTGCAGGATATT
This sequence comes from Homo sapiens, assembly GCF_000001405.40. Taxonomy (NCBI): domain Eukaryota; kingdom Metazoa; phylum Chordata; class Mammalia; order Primates; family Hominidae; genus Homo; species Homo sapiens. The sequence continues at coordinate 38,288,755 of NC_000013.11, read as the reverse complement.
ATCCAGGAGAACTTCCCCAATCTAGCAAGGCAGGCCAACATTCAGATTCAGGAAATACAGAGAATGCCACAAAGATACTCCTCGAGAAGAGCAACTCCAAGACACAAAATTGTCAGATTCACCAAAGTTGAAATGATGGAAAAAATGTTAAGGGCAGCCAGAGAGAAAGGTCGGGTTACCCACACAGGGAAGCCCATCAGACTAACAGCGGATCTCTCGGCCGAAACTCTATAAGCCAGAAGAGAGTGGGGGCCAATATTCAACATTCTTAAAGAAAAGAATTTTCAACCCAGAATTTCATATCCAGTCAAACTAAGCTTCATAAGTGAAGGAGAAATAAAATCCTGTACAGACAAGCAAATGCTGAGAGATTTTGTCACCACCAGGCCTGCCCTAAAAGAGCTCCTGAGGGAAGCACTAAACATGGAAAGGAACAACCGGTACCAGCTGCTGCAAAATCATGCCAAAATGTAAAGACCATCGAGACTAGGAAGAAACTGCATCAACTAACGAGAAAAATAACCAGCTAACATCATAATGACAGGATCAAATTCACACATAACAATATTAACTTTAAAGGTAAATGGACTAAATGCTCCAATTAAAAGACACAGACTGACAAGTTGGATAAAGAGTCAAGACCCATCAGTGTGCTGTATTCAGGTAACCCGTCTCAGGTGCAGAGACACAGAGGCTCAAAATAAAAGGATGGAGGAAGATCTACCAAGCAAATGGAAAACAAAAAAAAGGCAGGTGTTGCAATCCTAGTCTCTGATAAAACAGACTTTAAACCAACAAAGATCAAAAGAGACAAAGAAGGCCATTACATAATGGTAAAGGGATCAATTCAACAAGAAGAGCTGACTGTCCTAAATATATATGCACCCAATACAGGAGCACCCAGATTCATAAAGCAAGTCCTAAGTTCTGCAAGTTTCTATTGTCATATACTCACGCTCAGAGAGTCTTTCCTCAACCATGTGTAGTCTACTAGTGAGCCCATCTTAGGCAATTTTCCTTTCTCTTAGAGTTTTTCTGATCTCTAGCATTCCTTTTTGATTCTTTCTTAGAATTTACATTGCTGTGTTTAGATTATTGATTTCTTCTTGCCTGTTGTCTACTTTTTTCACAAAAGCCCTTAACATACCAAACATATTTTATAAAAGTAATTCCTAGTCTGATAATTCCAACATTTCTGCCATACTGACTCTGGTTGTGATTCTTGTTCAGTCTTTTCAAACTGTATATTTTGCCTTGAAAATTTTTGTTAAAAGAATTGATGTACTAGGTAAAAGGAACTGTAGTAAATAGACCTTCAGTGATATAAGGATAAGTGGTGGGTATGGAAGGGAAAGCTATCATTAATCTTACTGTTTGTTCAGTTTTTTGGTGAAGTCTGTGTCCCTGGACTGCAAACATTTCTGGTGCTTTTTAGTCGCTCCCCTGCACTTAAGTGGAACAGGAAGGCTTGAGGGGGCTATAGGTGGGTATTTCCTTTCCCCCATGCGGAAAGCTATCGTCACCTGGAGTGGGCTAGGTTAGGGTAGCCAGGTAGGTTAGGCTAAAATAGTCTCTCCAGAGGGCGAGTCTTGTTAAGTAGGACAGAATGCTCTGGCATATTTTAAAATGGTTCCTTCTCTCCTCCCCTTGCTAAAAGCATGAGCAGATTTTTCTCTCATTCTTATTTGTGAGGACCTGATAGAGTCCTGGAAGTACAACTCACAAAGGCGTAAGAATTGTCTCATGACTGGTTCCCTGGAGTTTTATCTCTGAAGCTTGTACACACTGAGCTTTTAATAATTTGTCAATTACAGTTCAAGTTTTCCTACCCCTCCACAGGTTCCCTTGGAGTTCCCTGCTGGTGGGTTTCTGCTCTGTTAAGTTACAATTCTCTGCATCTGATTATCTGTTTATTCGATTTTGGGGCAGAAGTTGGCCCTATGATCTCATTACTCTGAAGGATCTAAAAAGATTTCTTGGTTTTTCAGTTTGTTCAGCTTTGTGCTTTTTATAATAATGGGAGTAAAGACTTCAAACTCCTTAAATGCCAACCCAGAAACTGGATGTCTCCTGTTTTTTTTTGTTCTGGCATACTTCTCCCTTGTCTTAAACTTCTACCGTCCTTTAAACCTAACGAAACCATTGATCCTATTACCTTATACTCTGATCCTTTTGATACGTGCTTTGTCTTCTGTGTTCAACTCAAAACACACAATTGTAATACTCATTTCATTGCATTCATGTTAACTCCCTTCGTCCTTTTCTTCTTTCTTTATATTTGCTTGACAAAAACCACAACTCTAGTTAAAAGCAAATGTCTGCCTACTTCACATTTGTATACATGCAACTGAATGTGGCTGAAGGAAAATACACAACCACAATGAACATACTCAGTTTTAATTAATCACTATAAACCTCTAACAGGTTCTTTAAGTCCCAGGCAATTGTTTCCCATTCTCTGGTTCATTGACTGTCCATCTTTTTTTGGAGAACTATTTTACAGTCACCCTTCATATTTCTTGTACCTTGTCTTAGTCAATTTGGGCTGCTGTAACAAATTACCATAAACTGGGTAGCTTAAACAACAAATATGATTTCTCACAGTTCTGGAGGCTGGTAAGTCCAAGACCAAGGTGCTGGCAGATCAAGTGTTTGGTGAGGGCCCACTTCCTGATTTACAGATAGCTATCTTCCTCATTGTATCCTGACATGACAAGAGCAGAGAGACAAAAAGTAAACTCTCTCATATCTTTTTATAGGGGCACAAAATCCATTCACAAGGACTCCACTCTATTGATCTAATTATTTCCAAGAAGCCCTCCTTCTAATACCATCACATTAGGTGTTAAAATTTCAACATCTGGGCTGGGCACGGTGGCTAATGCCTGTAATCCCAGCACTTTAGGAGGCCGAGGCGGACAGATCATGAGGTCAAGAGATGGAGACCATCCTGACCAACGTGGTGAAACTCCGTCTCTACTAAAAGTACAAAAAATTAGCTAGGCATGGTGGCATGTGCCTGTATTCCCAACTACTCAGGAGGCTGAGGCAGGAGAATTGCTTCAACTCGGGAGGTGGAGGTTGCAGTGAGCCAAGATCACGCCACTGCACTCCAGCCTGGTGACAGAACGAGACTCTGTCTAAAAAAAAAAAAAAAAAAAAATTCAACATCTGAATTTTGGGAGGACACAAACATTCAGACCATAGCATATCTCCTTCCCAGTGCTCTCTCTAAGCTGATGACCTAGTTTCTTACTTCACTCAGAAAATATAAATGATCAGAAGAGCACATCCACGTGCCAGCATTTGAACACATACTCTGCCTTCCTACCTATTATACTGTAGGTGAAAATACTTATGCTTTTATTTAAAACCAATCCTGCACTTGTGCACTGGGATCTAATTCCCTATTATCCTAGCACATCAGTCCAGCAATTTCCCCCTTTGCTCCTAATATTAATATTAACTCTCTAATATTGGATTAGTCCCGTTAGTTTAAAAACACACTATTGTTGCTGCATGTTAAAAAGAACGTTCTGTTGACCTTACTATTTATGTTAGTTATTTCCTCTTAAGCTACAATCATCCAGGTTTTCTGTTCCTAAAACATAACGAATAAATCTTTAACTTAGGGATTTTGCACTGATTATTCTTCTATGACTTTCCTTCCTCTACATTAAAAATATATTTGACTCTTTCTTACCATCTAGATCTCAATCTAAAGATCATATCAGTAGAAAGGTGAATCATAACTTTCCAATTTAAAGTAGCATCTCTGTTAATCTAACACAAATCTCGTTTTATTTACCTTGGTTTATTCAGGACATTTTTCACGATCTCAAATGTTGATTGTGTATTCATGTGTTGAACTGTCTTTTCCTTGTATAACATAAATTCCACCTGAGTAGACATCTTGTCTTTCTGTCCTCTGCTATGTGTCCACGACAGTGTCTCTCAACTGTTTAATTATACCTATATGGCATTTTTAAGATATTTTTCCTTCATAAACCTCACCCCATAAAATTTAATTACCACACATATATTAATGGCTTTTTAGAGGGTTACAAATCATGTAATACCAATGGAGTTTTCATTGTGCTGCTTCTCTGTCCCCCAGGATCAATTTTGCCTGCTTGGAGTCAATATTGCCCCTGTTGAGCATGTGTAGTCTAGAAGAATATCTGATATGTCCTTAGTGCTAAATTTATTTATATATATATATATGGACCATATATAATATATTTTATAGTTCATAGTTTATGTACATAAGTTATAGGTGTGTATATGAGTATTAATCTATTATATCTAATGTATGTATAATGATATATTACATATATAATTTATATATTTTATATGCATAAATTGGACACTAAAGACAGGTAAGGCATTCTTCTAGACTACATATGCTCAATGTATATACACACACACATTTGGGAAGAAAATCCTCATTAAAAGCAAGTATACAATATGTAGAGGTTTATTCATTAAAGAATTATTCAACAATTACTGTGTATTAAAGTATCAGAGTGTGATGTCAGAAATGCAAATACTGTTGGAGAAATGTACCCAAAGAACTTAAAATTTTATGAGAGAGTGATGCATATGAAACTAATTATAGTATAAGGTAGGATGAACTAAATGTGCAACAGAGACTTAAACAGTTCTGTGGGACTAGGGGAAGAAGTAATTGACTCTGAAGGATAAGGAAAATCTAAAGGAGGGAAAGGCAGATGAATAGGATTCCAATAGACAAAAAAAGGGGGCATTTTTTGGAGAAGGTGGAGTCTTGAGGTCCTTAGACACTGGTTTGAGAAACTGCACAGCAAATTATCCTGGGAAAGAGAAGGGGCACTTTGTATGAGAGGGCTAGAATCTTCCTTTGAATGTTATTCAGTTGGCATTAGTGAGTTTTTGAAAGTTAAACCACACAGATTCAAACAATTTGAAAAAGAAATGATCACTCTAGTTTTTGTAGCCTCTTTTAGAATAAAAAAAATCTTGCTATTTAGCATTTCATATTTAGGCTTTCACATTGCCAGCAGATTAATTTACCTAAAATGCACATCCAACCATGCCAGTTTTCTGTTTAAAAGCATTCAATGACTTTATAGCACATGCCAGATGAAGTATTAGTTCCTGAGTTGAGAAGAGGTTTTTGCTCTCCATGATCAGTCACTTTCATACAGCCTATTGAACCTTATTGCATCATTCCATGCCTCCAAGTCTTCACCAGGAAATACTAATTTCTTGCAATTTGCAACATGGAGCTCGCTAATTCCTATCTAATTTTCCAGATATGATGGCTCTGGTAAGTTCTATTTTATGCAGAAAATCAATATTACCTTTTGGTCAAGTCTTTAATATAATTATTTTCCAAATAGTCACTTTTCTAGCTAGAGGATCTTTTATAACTGTATCTGAAATTTGGAGTTGAGACTAATGCTTATTCTGTTATTTAGATTAAGGCTAAGTCTAAGCCATTTGGATATCTTCTTTTGTGAAGGTTCTTTCAAGTCTTTTGCCAATGTTTCAAATTGTGTTTATGCCGTCTCCTTATTGCTTTTCTTTACTGCATGTATTTTTTTTTCTTCAACTTTTATTTTAAGTTCCAGGTTATATCTATGCAGGATGTGAAGGTTTGTTACATAGGTAAATGTGTGCCAGGGTTGTTTGCTGCACAGATCAACCCATCACCTAGGTAATCAGCCCAGCATCCATTAGCCATTCCTCCAGATGCATGTGTGTTTTTTATTGTATGATTTCCTGAGTGTTCTTTATATGGTTTTATTGTTTTCATTTCTTTGAGTTGGATTTGCTGCTCTCTTATCTTGATTATTGAAATGGAAGCTATAACATTGTCAGTGCTTCTTTTTTTATAAAACATCGTTTCTTTTTGAGTACTCTTTTAGGTATATTACACAATATTTCATTTGTTATATTTTTATCATTCAATTAAAATATTTTTACATTCTACTGAGATTATTTTTTAACCCACACTTTATGTGGAAGGGTATCATTTAAACTTATTTAGGAATTTTCTTTTTTTGACTTTTATTTAAAGTTCAGAGTTACAACTGTAGGTTTGTTACATAGGTAAACTTTTGTCATGGGGGTTTATTGTGCAAATTATTTCACCACCCAGGTATTAAGCCTAGTACCCATTAGTTATTTTTCCTGACTGCCTCCCTCCTCCCACCCTCCACCTTCTGAAAGGCCCCAGTGTGTGTTGTTCCCCTGTATGTGTCCGTGTGTTCTCATTACTTAGCTCCCACTTATGATTGAGAATTTGTGATATTTAGTTTTCTGTTCCTGTGTTAGTTTGCTGTGGATAATGGCCTTCAGCTACATCCATGTTCCTGCAAAAAACAAGATCTCATTCTTTTCTATGGCTGCATAGTATTCTGTGGTATATATGTACCACATTTTCTTTTTTAAACTTTTTTAAAATTATACTTTAAATTCTAGGATACATGTGCAGAACGTGCAGGTTTGTTACATAGGTATACATGTGCCATGGTGGTTTGCTGCACCCATCAACCCGTGACCTATATTAGGTATTTCTCCTAATGCTATCCCTCCCCTAGCAATCCAACCCTTGAAAGACTCCAGTGTGTGATGTTCCCCTCCCTGTGCCCATGTGTTCTCATTGTTCAACTCCCACTTATGAGTGAGAACATGCAGTGTTTGGTTTTCAGTTCTTGTGTTAGTTTGCTGAGAATGATGGTTTCCAGCTTCATCCATGTCCCTACAAAGGACATGAACTCATCTTTTTTTATGGCTGCATAGTATTCCATGGTGTATATATACCATATTTTCTTTATTCAGTCTATCATTGATGGGCATTTGGGTTGGTTCCAAGTCTTTGCTATTTTGAACAGTGTCGCAATAAACATATGTGTGCAAGTGTCTTTACAGTAGAATGATTTATAATACTTTGGGTATATATCCAGTAATGGGATTGCTGGATCAAATGGTATTTCTGGTTCTAGATCCTTGAGGAATCACCACACTGTCTTCCACAATAGTTGAGTGAATTCACAATCCCAACAACAGTCTAAAAGCGTTCCTATTTCTCCGCATCCTCTCCAGCATCAGTTGTTTCCTGACTTTTTAATGATCACCATTCTAACTAGCATGAGATGATGTCTCATTGTGGTTTTGATTTGCATTTCTCTAATGACCAGTGATGATGAGCTTTTTTTCATATGTTTGTTGGCTGCATAAATGTCTTCTTTTTAGAAGTGTCTGTTAATATGCTTTGCCCACTTTTTGATGGGTTGTTTTTTTCTTGTAAATTTAAGTTCTTTGTAGATTCTGGATACTGGTCCTTTGTCAGATGGATAGATTGCAAAAATTTTCTGCCCTTCTGTAGGTTGCCTGTTCACTCTGATGATAGTTTCTTTTGCTGAGCAGAAACTCTTTAGTTTAATTAGATCCCATTTGTCAATTTTGGCTTTTGTTGCCATTGCTTTTGGTGTTTTAGTCATGAAGTCTTTCCCCATGCCTATGTCCTGAATGATATTGCCTATGTTTCTTCTAGAGTTTTTATGGTTTAGCTCTTACATTTAATTCTTTAACCCATCTTGAGTTAATTTTTGTGTAAGTTGTAAGGAAGGGGTCCAGTTTCAGTTTTCTGCATATGGCTAGCCAATTTTCCCAACACCATTTGTTAAATAGGGAATCCTTTCCCCATTGCTTGTTTTTGTCAGGTTTGTCAAAGATAAGATGGTTGTAGATGTGTGGTGTTATTTCTGAGGCCTCTGTTCTGTTTCATTGGTTTATATATCTATTTTGGTACCAGAACCATGCTGTTTTGGTTACTGTAGTCTTGTAGTATAGTTTGAAGTCAGGTAGCATGATGCCTCCAGCTTTGTTCTCTTTGCTTAGGATTGTCTTGGCTATGCAGCCTCTTTTTTGGTTCCATATGTCATTTAAATTAGTTTTTATTAATTCTGTGAGGAAAGTCAATGGTAGCTTGATGAGGATAGCACTGGATCTATAAATTACTTTGGACAATATGATTATTTTCATGATACTGGTTCTCCCTACCCATGAGCATGGAAGGTTTTTCAATTTGTTTGTGTCCTCTCTTATTTCCTTGAGCAGTGTTTTGTAGTTCTCCTTGAAGAGGTCCTTCATGTCCCTTGTGAGTTCTGTCTCAGGTATTTTATTCTTTTTGTAGCAATTGTGAATGGGAGTTCACTCATGATTTGGCTCTCTGTTTGTCTATTATTGGTATATAGGAATGCTTGTGATTTTTGCACATTGATTTTGTATCCTGAGACTTTGCTGAAACTGCTTATCAGCTTAAGGAGTTTTGGGGCTGAGACAATAGGATTTTCTAAATATACAATCATGTCATCTGCAAACAGAGACAATATGACTTCCTCTCTTCCTATTTGAACACGCTTTATTTCCTTCTCTTGCCTGACTGCCCTGGCCAGAACTTCCAATACTATGTTGAATAGGAGTTGTGAGAGAGGGCATCCTTGTCTTGTGCCGGTTTTCAAAGGGAATGCTTCCAGTTTTTGCCCATTTCGTATGATATTGGCTATGGGTTTGCCATAAGTGGCTCTTATTATTTTGAGATATGTTCCATCAATACCTAGTTTATTGAGAGTTTTTATCATGGAGGGCTGTTGAATTTTGTTGAAGGCCTTTTCTACATCAATTGAGATAATCATGTGGTTTTTGTCATTGGCTCTGTTTATGTGATGGATTACATTTATTGATTTGTGTATGTTGAAGCAGCCTTGCATCCCAGGGATAAAGCCGACTTGATTGTGGTGGATAAGCCTTTTTTTTTTTGAGATGGAGTCTCACTTTGTCGCCCAGGCTGGAGTGCAGTGATGCGATCTCCGCTCACTGCAACCTCCACCTCCCAGGTTCACGCCATTCTCCTGCCTCAGCCTCTTGAGTAGCTGGGACTACAGGCACCTGCCACCACGTCCAGCTAATTTTTTGTATTTTTAGTAGAGATGGGGTTTCCCTGTGTTAGCCAAGATGGTCTGGATCTCCTGACCTCATGATCCACCCACCTTGGCCTCCCAAAGTGCTAGGATTACAGGCGTGAGCCACCGCACCCGGCCGTGGATAAGCTTTTTGATTTGCTCCTGGATTCGATTTGCCAGAATTTTATTGAGGATTTTTGCATCGATGTTCATCAGGGATATTGGCCTGAAATTTTCTTTTTTTGTTGTGTCTCTGCCAGGTTTTGGTATCAGGAAGATGCTGGCCTCATAAAATGAGTTAAGGAGGATTCCCTCTTTTTATATTATTTGGAATAGTTTCAGAAGGAATGGTACCAGCTCCTCTTTGTACCTCTAGTAGAATTCGGCTATGAATCTGTCTGGTCCTGGACTTTTTTTGGTTGGTAGGCTATTAATTACTGGTTCAATTTTAGAACTTGTTATTGTTCTATTCAGGGATTAGACTTCTTCATGATTTACACTTGGGAGGGTGTATGTGACCAGGAATTTATCAATTTCTTCTTGATTTTCTAGTTTATTTGCATAGAGGTGTTTATAGTATTATCTGATGGCAGTTTTTATTTCTGTGGGATCAGAGGTGATATCCCCTTTATCGTTTTTTTATTGCATCTATTTGATCCTTCTCTCTTCTTTACTAGTCTGGCTAGCAACCTATCTATTTTGTTGATCTTTTCAAAAAACCAGCTCCTGTATTCATTGATTTTTTTGAAGGGTTTTTCACGTCTCTATCTCCTTCAGTTCTCCTCTGATCTTAATTATTTCTTGTCTTCTGCTAGGTTTTGAATTTGTTTGCTCTTGCTTCTCTATTTCTTTTAATTGTGATATTAGACTATTTTCTTTATTCAGTCTTCTCTATTCAATACATGGTGCTGGGATACCTGGCTAGCCGTATGTAGAAGATTAAAACTAGACTGCTTCCTTATTACCATATATAAAAATTAACTCAGGATGGATTAAAGACTTAACTCTAAATCCCCAAACTATAAAAATCCTGAAAGACAGCCTAGGCAATACCATTGTGGATGTAGGCATGGGCAAATATTTTATCACAAAGACACCAAAAGCATTTGCAACTAAAGCGAAAATGGACAAATGAGATTTAATTAAGCTAAGCTTCTACATAGAAAAAAAAAACACAATCAATAGAGTAGAGAGACAACCTACAGAATGGGTGAAAATCATTGCAAACTATGCATCCAACAAAGGTCTAATACGCAGCATCCATAAGGAACTTAAACAAATTTACAAGAAAAAAATCCAAACAACCCTATTAAAAAGTGGGCAAAGGACATGAACAGACACTTTTCAAAAGAAGACATACATATAGCCAACAACCATATATAAAAAAAAAAGCTCAACATCACTGATCATTAGAGGAATGCAAACAAAAACCATAATAAGACATCATCTCACACCAGTCAGACTGGCTATTATAAAAACGTCAAAAAATAACAGATGCTGGCGATGTTGTGGAGAAAAAGGAACATGTATACACTTTTGGTGGGAGTTTTTAGGAAATTTCTAGTTGTGTTTATGTTCTTGACTTCTAGGTTAATTTTGCTATAGTCAGAGATTTCAATTGTTTGAAATTTGTTTAGTCTTGCCATATTCCTCAGCTTATGATCTATGTTGGTGTATGCTCCATGTGTTCTTGAAATGCATACCTTGAAGTTATTGAACTATAACTCTGAAGCTCTATAAATGTCTATTTGCTCACATAATTGTGTTATTAATAGTGTGGTTAATGTTGGTAATAACACTACTAGTGTTATTAATATTATCAATAGTGTAGATGTGTTAATACTAATAACAATGCTATTAATAGTATATATGTATAGTATCTCTTTGCTCTCTCTGTTACTGTGAGATGCATGTTTTAAAAATCCTATCGTAAGGCCAGGTGTGATGGTTCACGCCTGTAATCCCGGCACTTTGGGAGGCTGAGGCAGGCAGATCACCTGAGGTTGGGAGTTCGAGACCAACCTGATGAACACAGAGAAACCCGTCTCTTCTAAAAATACAAAATTAGCTGGGTGTGGTGGTGCATGCCTGTAATCCCGGCTACTCAGGAGGCTGAGGCAGGAGAATCACTTGAACCAGGGAAGCAGAGGTTATGGTGAGCCAAGATCATGCCATTGCACTCCAGCCTGGGCAACAAGAGCAAAACTCCATCTCAAAAACAAAACAAAACAAAACATCCTATTATAATTGTGAATGTGTCTATTTTCTCTTTATTTCTGTGAATTTTTGCTTTATACATTGGAAACTGTTATTAGGTGCATACACCTTTAGCATTGTTATGCCTTTTTATATAATTGATATGTTTATTATTATGATATTTTATCCCATATATTCAAGTAATATTTCTTGCTTCAATATCTATTGTCTGATATGAATAAAGTCATATCAGCTTTCTTTTGGCTAGTGCTCAAATAGTATTCTTTTTCCATCCTCTGTTATATTCAAAGTATTTTCCACCTTATATGTAGAGTTAATGTCTTGAAATCAGAATATAGTTGGTACTTGCTTTGTTGTTGTGATTACCTTTGCTTATCATTTGGAGTGCTTGATCCATTTACATATAATTTCTGATAAATTTGATCTTAATTCTGAATATTTGGGTTTTAATCCTTCTTTCTGTTCTCTGTTCTTATGTTCTACCCTAAATCACTTCTTTATGATTTCTCAAGAATTTCTATTTTACTAATTTTAACTTATATTTTATATTAGTTTTTATTTTATTTTTTTTCTTATATTGGTTACTTTATAGATTTGGCAAACATCGTATTGTAATATAGATAAAATCTATGTTTTTCTCACATATTGATCAATGCAAACCTTTTACAAACATTATAAAATCTTTTAAAATGCTGTTATTTTGTGGAGCTAAAAAGTAAATATTCTTATATTTTTATCTTACAGGTACATTTTATTCTGTTTTGCAGTTTTATGCTTTCATCTGAAATCATTTTCATTAAGCCTGAAGAATTTTCTAAAGTATTTCCAAAAGTCTATACCAAATAAATTATGTTCGTGTTAGATTTATCTATGTAGAAACAACTATATTTCTGTTTAATTGTTTGAGAATATTTTCACTTGGTATTATACTATATGGTAGTCATTTTTATTTGTTTGTTGTTTTTCTTTTATTTCTGTTCAAATATCTGCTTATTTTTATTCAAAGTCAGCCATAAGCTTTACTGCTGCTTCTTTGAAGGTAAATTGTATTTTTTTTCTGTGGTTGCAAATAAAATTTTCTCTTTGGTTTTAAGTGGCTTTACTCTGATGTACTTCATTGTATTTTCTGGGTTCATTAAGATTTTTGAACCCATTTATTTACATTTTTAATAAATTTTAGGTAATTATTGATCACTACATAGTATTGCTTCTGCTCCATTTTTTCTTGACTTTCCTTCTGAAATTCCATTTATATCTATATTAGGCTTTTTAAATATGTCTCACAAAACTTTTGCCTGTATTCTGCCATTGTTTACATTTTTTCTCTATTCTTCAGTTTTTATCTTTGGAATAAAAGATAAAATAACTGGATTTCAATTTTACTTATTCTGTGTTATGCTGTGTCTATCGCCTGTTTCAATTTTAAATATTTATTATTTTATATTGTAAATTTTATATTGTAAATTTGATACTGTTTTCTGGATCACTACTTTTTGTTTATCCTGCTTTTAAATGAATTTATTTCACCTTTTCCTCTATTTTCTGTCTTTTTAAATTTTACTTTAAGTTCTGGGATACATGTGCAGAATGTGCAGGTTTGTTACATTGGTATACACGTGCCGTGGTGGTTTGCTGCACCTATCAACCTGTCATCTAGGTTTTAAGCCCCACATGCATTAGGTATTTGTTATAATGCTCTCCCTCCCCTTACTCCCCACACCCCGACAGGCCCTGGTGTGTGATGTTCCCTTCCCTGTGTCCATGTGTTCTCATTGTTCAACTCCCACCTTTAAGTGAGAACATGTGGTGTTTGGTTTTCTGTTCCTGTGTTAGTTTGCTGAGAATGACGGTTTCCAGCTTCACCCATGTCCCTGCAAGGGACATGATCTCATTCTTTTTTATGGCTATATGGTATTCCATGGTGTATATGTGCCATATTTTCTTTATCCAGTCTATCACTGATGGACGTTTGGGTTGGTTCCAAGTCTTTGCTATTGTAAAAAGTGCTTCAAAAACATGTACATGTGTCTTTATAGTAGAAAGATTTATAATCCTTTGGGTACATGTCCAGTAAAGACATTGCCGGGTCAAATGGTATATCTGGTTCTACATCCTTGAGGAATCCCCACACTGTTTTCCACAATGGTTGAACTAATTTACACTCTCACCAACAGTGTGAGAGCATTCATATTTCTCCACAGCCTCACCAGCATCTGTTGTTTCTTTACTTTTTAACAATCACCATTCTAACTGGTGTGAGATGGTATCTCATTGTGGTTTTGATTTGCATTTCTCTAATGATCCGTGATGCTGAGATTTTTTTATATGTTTATTGGCCATATAAATGTCTTCCTTTGAGAATTATCTCTTCATACCCTTCACTCATTTTGGATGGGTTTTTTTTTCTTGTAAGTTTGTTTAATTTCCTTGTAAATCCTTGTTAAACCTTTGTCAGATGGGTAGCTTGCAAAATTTTTCTCCTATTTTGTAGGTTGCGTTTTCACTCTGATGATACTTCCTTTTGTTGTGCAGAAGCTCTTTAGTTTGATTAAATCCCATTTGTCAATTTTGGCTTTTGTTGCAATAGTTTTTGGTGTTTTAGTCATGAAGCCTTTGCCCATGCCTATGTCCTGAATGATATTGCCTAGGTTTCCTTCTAGGGTTTTTATGATTTTGGGTTTTACATTTAAGTCTTTAATCCATCTTGAGTTAATTTTTCCATAAAGTGTTAAGGAAGGGGTCTAGTTTCAGTTTTCTGCATATGGCTAGCCAATTTTTCCAGCACCATTTATTAAATAAGGAATCCTTTCCCTATTGCTTGTTTATGTCAGGTTTGTTGAATATCAGATGGTTGTAGATGTGTGATGTTATTTCCAGGGCTCTGTTCTATGTGCCTATTTTTGTACCAGTACCATTCTGTTTTTGTTATTGTAGCCTTGTAGTACAGTTTGAAGTCAGGTAGCGCGATGCCTCCAGCTTTGTTCTTTTTGCTTAGGATTGTCTTGGCTATACAGGCTCTTTTGTTTTATTCCATATGAAATTTAAAATGTTTTTTTTTCTAATTCTGTGAAGAAAATCATTTGTAGCTTGATGGGGATAGCATTGAATCTATAATGCTATGGGCATTGTCACAATATTGATTCTTCCTATCCATGATCATGGAATGTTTTTCCATTTGTTTGTGTCCTCTCTTATTTCCTTGAAGCAGTGGTCTGTAGTTGTCCTTAAAGAGGTCCTCCACATCCCTTGTAAGTTGTATCCTAGGTATTTTATTCATTTTGTAGCAATTGTGAATGGAAGTTCACTCATGATTGTCTCTCTGCTTGTCTATTTTTGATGTACAGGAATGCTTCTGAGTTTTGCACATTGATTTTGTATCCTGAGACTTTGCTGAAGTTGCTTATCAGCTTAAGGAGTTTGGGGGCTGAGACGATGGAGTTTTCTAAATATACAATCACATCATCTGCAAACAGAGACAATTTGACTTTCTGTCTTCCTCTTTGAATACCCTTTATTTCTTTCTCTTGCCTAATTGCCCTGGCCAGAACTTCCAATATTATGTTGAATAGGAGTTGTGAGAGAGGGCATCCTTGTCTTATGCCAGTTTTCAAAGGGAATGCTTCCAGCTTTTGTCCATTCAATATGATATTGGCTATGGGTTTGTCATAAAGAGCTCTTATTATTTTGAGATATGCTCCATCAGTAGTTAGTTTATTGAGAGTTTTTAGCATGAAAGGATGTTGAATTTTGTTGAAGGCCTTTTCTGCATCAATTGAGATAATCATGTGGTTTTTGTCATTAACTCTGTTTATGTGATGGATTACATTTATTGATTTTTGTATATTGAACCAGCCTTGGATTCCATGAATAAAGCCAACTTGATTGTGGTGGATAAGCTTTTTGATGTGCTGCTGGATTTGGTTTGCCAATATTTTGTTGAGAATTTTTGCATTGATGTTCATCAGGGATATTGGCCTGAATTTTTTTGTTGTTGTTGTTGTGTCTCTGCCCGGTTTTGGTATCAGGATGATTCTGTCCTCCTAAAATGAGTTAGGGAGGAGTCCTTCTTTTTCTATTGTTTGGAATAGTTTCGGAAGGAATGGTACCAGCTCCTCTTTGTACCTCTGGTACAATTTGGCTCTGAATCAGTCTGGTCCTGGACTTTATTTAGTTGGTAGGCTATTAATTACTTGCTCAATTTTAGAACTTGTTATTGGTTCAGGGATTTGACTTCTTCCTGGTTTAGTCTTGGGAGGGTGTATTTGTCCTGGAATTTATCCATTTCTTCTCGATTTTCTAGTTTATTTGCATAGAAGTGTTTATAATATTCTATGACGGCAGTTTTTATTTCTTTGGGATCAGTGGTGATATCCCCTTTATCATTTTTTATTGTGTCTATTTGATTCTTCTCTCTTTTCTTCTTTATTAGTACAGCTAGTGGTCCAGCTATTTTGTTAATCTTTCACAAAACCAGCTTCTGGATTCATTGATTTTTTTGAAGGGTTTTTCATGTCTATCTCCTTCAGTTCTGCTCTGATCTTAGTTATTTCTTGTCTTTTGCTAGCTTTTGAATGTGTTTGCTCTTACTTCTCTAGTTCTTTGAATTGTGATGTTAGGGTGTTGATTTTAGATCTTTCCAGGCTTCTGTTGTGGGCATTTAGTGCTCTAAATTTCCCTTAACACTGCTTTAGCTGTGTCCCAGAGATTCTGGTATGTTGTCTTTTTGTTCTTATTGGTTTCATAGAATTTCTTTATTTCTGCCTTAATTTCATTATTTACCCAGTAGTCATTCAGGAGCAGGTTGTTCAATTTCCATGTAGTTGTGCAGTTTTGTGTTTCTTAATCTTGAGTTCTAATTTGATTGCACTGTGGTCTAAGAGACCGTTTGTTATGATTTGACTTCTTTTGTATTTGCTGAGGAGTGTTTTACTTCCAATTATGTGGTCAGTTTTAGAATACATGCTATGTGGCCCTGAGAAGAATGTATATTCTGTTGATTTGGCATGGAGAGTTCTATACATGTCTATTAGATCCACTTGGTCCAGAGCTGAGTTCAAGTCCTGAATATCCTTGTTGATTTTCTGCCTCATTAATGTCTAATATTGACAGTGGGGTGTTAAAGACTCCCACTATTATTGCGTGGGAGCCTAAGTCTCTTTGTAGGTCTCTAATAACTTATTTTATGAATCTGGGTGCTCCTGTATTGGGTACACATATATTTAGGATAGTTAGCTCTTCTTGTTGCATTGATCCCTTTACCATTATGTAATGCCCTGCTTTGTCTTTTTTGAGCTTTGTTGGTTTAATGTCTGTTTTATCAGAGACTAGGATTGCAACCCCTGCTTTTTTTTTTTTGCCTTCCATTTGCTTGGTAAATATTCCTCCATCCCTTTATTTTGAGCCTATATGTGTCTTTGCACATGAGATTTTAGTTATTTTTAAAGTCCTGTTTTTTAACATTTGTTATTCTTTGAATCTGCTTCTGTTTTCTCTTCGTCTCTCATTCTGCCCTTTCACTTGCTGGCCCCACCCTCTGCCCCACCACACACAGATTCTCCTTGACTTAACAATGAGGTTATGTCCCAATACACCATCATGAGTTGGAAATATCTTAAGTTGAACATGCATTTAATATACTTAGTCTACTGAATATAATAGCTTAGCCTAGCCCACCTTCAACATGGTCAGAACACGTGCAGGAGCCTAAAGCTGGGCAAAATCATTTGGCAACACAGCACACTACAGAGTATTGGTGGTTTACCCTTGTGATTGTGTGGCTGCCTGGGAGCTACAACTTGCTGCTACCCGGCATCACAAGAGAGTATTGTACTGTATATTGCTAGCCCAAAAAATGATTAAAATTACAATTTGAAGTATGATTTCTACTGAATGTGTATCATTATTGCATCCTAAAATTGAAAAATTTGTAAGTCAAACCATCATAAGTTGGCCAGGATGGTCTTGATCTCCTGACCTCGTGATCCACCCGCCTTGGCCTCCTGAAGTGTTGGGATTACAGGCGTGAGCCACCGCGCCTGGCCAAGTCAATATATATATTTTACTCTATGCCTCACACATTGTTTAAGAAAACATAGAAATAGAAATTAATGTTATTTTTTCCTCAGAGATAATTCATACTTTATGATGTAGATATGATAATGTTGTGATTATCTCAGCACCATCATAATTGAGCTGAGTCAGGGATAGGTGGCAGCTTTAGTTAGATTCATGTGACACATTTCTCAGATCCCTCCCCTCCTCATCAAAAATTTCTCTCCTAAATACAAATTGTCAAGCAAGATTGTCAGTAATTCCACTGTTTTTTTCTGCAGAGTTCCAGCTTGGGCATGGCTCACATTAGCTTGTTATAAAAACCAATCATTGTCTAATTCTTTTACTCTGAAAATTGTAACTTTCGGATGTTTTAAGCTTAACTCTTAAGCCACTCACACATGTGAATTCAAAATTTTATAAGTGTCTTAAGAGAAAGAATTATTGCAGTTTCCTCTAGTGTGAATTTGTCTGACTCAGACTATGTTGCCAGAAGATCCACTTTTTTTGGCCATCGGATCTGAAAGATGTCATGTTGTTAGAGATATCTGTGGTAGATAAAGGAAAGCTACAGTATCTCTAGAAAGACCTAGATGACAGATGCAGTGCAGACAACTAGAATCATAGAAAAAGCTCATGCCTGTAGACTGTGGGGGCCTTGACCCTTGCCTTTCAGCCCTTCACTCGCAGTCTCCTGTGCCACCTCAAAATCAGCAAATGTCCTAGTTTGTAATATAGAAAATCTATTTGAGCATTCTCTGGGTTTCAGGGCCAATGGTTGTCGGATACTCAGCTGGTTTATGTTCTTTTTAGAGTATGTTTACCAGGGATATTGGCCTGAACTTTTCCTTTTTGGTAATGTCTGTGCCATGTTTTGGTATCAGGATGATGCTGGCCTCATAAAATAATTTAGGGAGGAGTCCTTCCTTTTTAATTGTTTGGAATAGTTTCAGAAGAAATGGTACTAGCTTTTCTTTCTTCCTCTGGTAGAATTCAGCTGTAAATCCAACTGCACGTGGGCTTTTTTTGGTTGGTAGGCTATGTATTACTGCCTCAAATTCACAACTTGTTGTTAGTCTATTCAGGGATTCAAGTTCTTCCTGGTTCCATCTTGGGAGGGTGTATGTGTCCAGGAATGTATCTATTTCTTCTAGATTTTCCAGTTTACTTGTATAGAGGTGTTTATAGTATTATCTGATGGTTGTTTTTATTTCTGTGGGGTCAGTGGTGGTATCCCCCTTATTATTTCTTATTGTGTTTATTTGAATTGTCTCTCTTTTCTTTTTAAGCCTCACTTAATGGTCTATTTATTTTATCAATTTATTGAAAAAAACCAGCTCCTATATTTGTTGATTTTTTGAAGGGCTTTTTATGTCTCTGTCTCCTTCAGTTCTGCTCTGAGGTTTGTTATTTATTGTCTTCTGCTAGCTCTGAGGTTTGTTTGTTCTTGGTTTTCTAGTTCTTTTAGTTATGATGTTAGGGTGTCAATTTGAGCTCTTTCTAGCTTTTTGATGTGAGCATTTAGTGCAGTAAATCTCCCTCATAACACTGCTTTAGCTGCATTCCAGAGATTCTGATACATTGTCTCTTTGTTCTCACTGGTTTAACAGAACTTCTTGATTTCTGCCTTACTTTAATTATTTACACAGGAGTCATTCAGGTGCAGGTTTTTCAATTTCCATGTAGTTGTGTGGTTTTGAGTGAGCTTTTTAATCTTCACTTCTGATTTGATTGTGCTATGGTCTGAGAGACTGTCTGTTATGAATTCAGTTCTTTTGCATTTTCTGAGGAGTGTTTTACTTTCAATTATGTAATCAATTTTAGAGTGCCATGTGGTGCTGAAAAAAATGTATATTCTTTTGGTTTTGGGTGGTGAGTTCTTTAGACATCTATCAGGTCCACTTGGCCTAGAGCTGAGTTCAAGTCCTGAATATCTTTGTTAATTTTCTGTCTTGATGATCTGTCTAATACTAACAGTGAGGAATTAAAGTCTCCCACTATTATTTTGTGGGGGTTTAGGTCTCTTTGTAGGTCTCCAAGAACTTGCTTTATGAATCTGGGTGCTCCTGTATTGGGTGCATATATATTTAGGATAGTTAGCTCTTCTTGTTGAATTGAACCCTTTAACATTATGTAATGACGTTCTTTGTCTTTTTTGACCTTTGTTGGTTTAAAGTCTGTTTTGGCAGAAACTTGGATTGCAACTCCTGCTTTTCTCTGCTTTCCATTTACTTGGTAAATTTCCCTCTGCCCCTTTATTTTGTGTCTATGTGTGTCTTTGTACATGAAATGTGTCTCTTAAATACAGCACACCGATGGGTCTTGTCTTTGTATCCAGCTTGCCATTCTGTGTCTTTTAATTGGGGCATTTAGCCCATTTACATTTAAGGTTAATATTGTTAGGT
The DNA here is from genome assembly GCF_000001405.40 of Homo sapiens. Taxonomy (NCBI): domain Eukaryota; kingdom Metazoa; phylum Chordata; class Mammalia; order Primates; family Hominidae; genus Homo; species Homo sapiens. The sequence goes on along the minus strand of NC_000013.11, from coordinate 38,269,131 downwards.
GTGAATTTGATCCTGTCATCATGATGCTAGCTGGTTATTTTGCAGACTTGTTGATGTAGTTTCTTCATAGTGTCATTGGTCTGTGTACTTCAGCGTTTTTTTCTTATTTATTTATTCATTTTTATATATTTTAAGTTCTGGGGTACAAGTGCATAATGTGAAGGTTTGTTACATAGGTATACATGTGCCATGGTGGTTTGCTGCACCCATCAACCTGTCACCTACGTTAGATATTTCTCCTAATGTTATCCCTCTCCTAGCCCCCGACCCCCTGACAGGCCCTGGTGTGTGACGGTCCCCCCTCCCTGTGTCTGTGTGTTCTCATTATTCAACTCCCACTTGTGAGTGAGAACATGCAGTGTTTGGTTTTCTGTTCTTGTGATATTTGCTGAGAATGATGGTTTCCAGCTTCATCCATGTCCCTCCAAAGGACATGAACTCATCCTTTTTTATGGCTGCATGGTATTCCATGGTGTATATGTGCCACATTTTCTTTAGTCTATCATTGATGGACATTTGGATTGGTTCCAAGTCTTTGCTATTGTGAATAGTGCCGCAATAAACATATGTGTGCATGTGTCTTTATCATAGAATGATTTGTAATCTTTGGGGTACATACCCAGTAATGGGATTGCTGGATCACATGGTATTTCCAGTTCTAGATCCTTGTGGAATCACCACGCTGTCTTCCACAATGGTTGAACTAATTTACAGTCCCACCAACGGTGTAAAAGCGTCCCTATTTCTCCACATCCTCTCCAGCATCTGTTGTTTCCTGACTTTTTAATGATCACCATTCTAACTGGCGTGAGACCATATCTCATTGTGGTTTTGATTTGCATTTCTCTAATGACCAGTGATGAGCATTTTTTCATATGTCTGTTGGGTGCATAAATGTCTTCTTTTTAGAACTGTCTGTTCATATCTTCGCCCACTTTTTGATGGGGTTGTTTTTTTTTTTTCTTGTAAATTTTTTTAAGTTCTTTGTAGATTCTGGATATTAGCCCTTTGTCAGATGGATAGATTGCAAAAATTTTCTCCCATTCTATAGGTTGCCTGTTCACCCTGATGATAGTTTCTTTGGCTGTGCAGAAACTCTTTAGTTTCATTAGATCCCACTTGTCAATCTTGGCTTTTGTTGCCATTGCTTTTGGTGTTTTAGACAGGAAGTCTTTGCCCATGCCTATGTCCTGAATGGTATTGCCCAGGTTTTCTTCTAGGATTTTTATGGTCCTGGGTCTTATGTTTAATTCTTTGATCCATCTTGAGTTGATTTTTGTATAAGATGTAAGGAAGGGGTCCAGTTTCAGTTTTCTGCATATGGCTAGCCAATTTTCCCAACACCATTTATTAAATCTTTTCCCTATTGCTTTTTTTGGTCAGGTTTGTCAAAATCAGATGGTTGTAGACGTTTGGTGTTATTTCTGAGGCCTCTGTTCTGTTCCATTGGTCTATATCTCTGTTTTGGTACTAGTACCATGCTCTTTTGGTTACTGTAGCCTTGTAGTATAATTTGAAGTCAGGTAGAGTGATACCTCCAGCTTTGTTCTTCTTGCCCAGGATTGTCTTGGCTATGCGGGCTCTTTTTTGGTTTCATATGAAGTTTAAAGTAGTTTTTTCCAATTCTGTGAAGAAAGTGGTAGCTTGCATTGAATCTATAAATTACCTTGGGAAGTATGGCCATTTTCACAATATTGATTCTTCCTATCCATGAGCATGGAATGTTTTTCCATTTGTTTGTGTCCTCTCTTATTTCCTCGAGCAGAGATGGTTTATAGTTCTCTTTGAAAAGGTCCTTCACATCCCTAGTTAGTTGTGTTCCTAGGTATTTTATTCTCTTTGTAGCAATTGTGAACAGCATTCCTATTCAACATAGTATTGGAAGTTCTGGCCAGGGCAATCAGGCAAGAGAAAGAAATAAAGTGTATTCAAATAGGAAGAGAGGAAGTCAAACTGTCTCTGTTTGCAGATGACATGATTGTATCTTTAGAAAACCCCATCGTCTCAGCCCAAAAATTCCTTAAGCTGATAAGCAACTTCAGCAAAGTCTCAGGATACAAAATCAATGTGCAAAAATCACAAGCATTCTGATACACCAATAACAGACAGAGAGCCAAATCATGAGTGAACTTCAGTGTGTTTTTGTAGTGGCTGGTTATGGTTTTTTCTATCCATGCTTAGTGCTTCCTTCAGGAGCTCTTGCAAGGCAGGCCTGGTGGTGACAAAATCCCTCGGCATTTGCTTGTCCGAAAAAGATTTTATTTCTCATTCGCTTATGAAGCTTAGTTTGGCTGGATATGAAATTCTGGCTTGAATTTTTTTTTTAAAGAATGTTGAATATCAGCCCACTATCTCTTTGATGTGTAGGGTTTCTGCTGAAAGGTCTGCTGTTGGGCTGATGAACTTCTCTTTGTAGGTTACCTTGCCTTCTCTCTGGCTGCCGTTAACATTTTTTGCTTCATTTCAACCTTGAAGAACCTCATGATTATGTGTCTTCGGGTAGAACTTTTCATGGAATATCTTATTGCAGTTCTCTGGATATTCTGAATTTGAATATTGGCCTGTCTTGCTAGGTTAGGGAAGTTTTCCTGGATGATATCCTGAAGAGTGTTTTCCACCTTGGTTCCATTCTCCCCATTTCTTTCAGGTACTTCAATCATTTTGAGGTTCAGCCTCTTTACATAGTCCCATAGTTCTCGGAGGTTTTGTTCATTCCTTTTCATTCTTTTTTCTCTAATCTTGTCTGCCTGCCTTATTTCAGCAAGATAGTCTTCAAGCTCTGATATTCTCTTTTCTGCTTGTTTGATTCAGCTATTGATACTTGCGTTTGCATCATGAAGTTCCCGTGCTGTGTTTTTCAGCTCCATCAGATCATTTATGTTCCTCTCTAAACTGATTATTCTAGTTAACAGCTCCCATAATGCTTTTTTTATGGTTCTTAGCTTCTTTGCATTGGATTAGAACATAATTCTTTAGCTCAGTTATTTCCCACTTTCTGAAGCCTACTTCTTTTTTATTTTTATTTTTCTATTGAGACAGAGTCTCACTCTGTTGCCTAGGCTGGAGTGCAGTGGCGTGATCTCGGCTCACCGCAACCTCCACCTCCCAGGTTCAAGTGATTTTCCTGCCTCAGTCTCCTGAGTAGCTGGGATTACAGGCACCCACCACCACACCCGGCTAATTTGTGTATTCTTAGTAAAGATGAGGTTTTGCCATGTTGGCCAGACTGGTCTCGAACCCCTGACCTCAGGTGATCCACCCGCCTCAGCCTCCCAAAGTGCAAGGATTACAGGTGTGAGTCACCATGCCCAGCCTCTGAAGCCTACTTCTATCACTTCATCCAACTCAGCTTCAGCCCCATTCTGTGCCCTTGCTGGAGAAGTGTTATGATCATTTGGAGCAGAAGAGGCATTCTGGTTTTTGGGATTTTCAGCACTTTTGTGTTGGTTTTTCTCCATCTTCATGGATTTATCTTCCTTTGATCTTTGAGGCTGATGACCTTTGAATGGGGATTTTGTGGAGTCTTTTTTGTTGGTGTTGTTTTTGTTGTTGCTTTCTGTTTGTTTTTCTTCTGTCAGTACCCTTGTCTGCAGGTCTGCTGCAGTTTGGTAGGGGTCTACTCCACACCTTGTTCGCCTGGATCTCACCAGTGGGGGCTGCACAACAGCAAAGACTGCTGCCTGCTCCTTCCTCTGGAAGCTTCCTCCCAGAAGGGCACCAACCTGCTGCCAGCTGGAGCTCTCCTGTATGAAGTGTCTGACGAGGTCTCACCCAGTCACAAGGCACGGGGTCAGGGACCTGCTTGAAGAGGCAGCCTGTTCCTTAGTGGAGCTGGTGTGCTGGGCTGGGGAAATCCCCCTAATTGGGATCAGCTGATCTCTTCAGAGCTGGCAGGCAGGCTGAACCTGAGATGGTGGCTGCCCATGCCCCAAGGTGCTCTGTCCCAGGGAGGTGAGAGTTCTGTCTGTTAGCTCCTGACTAGAGCTGCTGAAATTCATGCAGGGATGCCCTGTCTGGTGAGGAAGATCTAAAGAAGCTGTCTGGCCAAGATCTGCCATAGCTGCTTTGCTGCGCTGTGGGGAATTCTGCCCAGTCCAAACTTCCCAGTCTCTTTAGCACTGTCAGGGGAAAACCACCTACTAGAGCTGCAGTAAGGGCAGTCACCACTTCCCCCAGGAACTCGGTTCTTCCAGGCAGACTTCAGACTGCTGTGCTGCCAGTGGGAATTTCAAGCCAGTGGTTCATAGTTTGCTGGGCTCTGTGGGAGTGGGACCCACAGACCAAGACCACTTGGCTCCCTGGCTTTAGCCCCCTTTCCATGGGACTGAATGATTCTCCTGTCTCACCGGAGTTCCACGCATGACTGGAGTATGTAAACACTCCCGCAGCTCAGTGCCTGCCTGAACAGCTGCCTAATTTTGTGCTTGAGATCCAGCACCCTGGTGGTGTAGACTCGGGAGGGAATCTCCTGATTTGATCAGCGGATTGCAAAAATCCATGGGGAAAAGCATTGCACCCCTAGTGGGTAGCACAGTCCCTCACCACTTCCCTTGGCTGGACTGGGATGGGGGGTCCCCCTGCCCTGTGCAGCTCCCAGGTGAAGTGCCGCCCCACCCTGCTTCTCCTCACTCTCTGTGGGTTGTGCCCACCTCCTAGTCAGTCCAAGTGAGATGAACTTGGTACACAGTTGGAAATGCAGAAATCCCTCACCTTCCGCATTAGTCTGTCTGGGAGCTGCAGATCAGAGCTGTTTCTGTTTGGCTATCTTGGGGATCCCTCCCAACCATGTGCCATTTTCAAGATTTTGATGATGAGAAATAAAGCCAAAGTTAACCTTTTTATATATCAGGTTTAATTTTCAAATATAAATATTTTATATTTTTAAATTTGGAATTATTTTGTTTGTAGTCTCAATACACTACATTTTCTCTAATACCCTTAGGGTGCTAATTCGTGAATGCATAATAGATAATATCTTTCTCTTATACAACTTTGTGTAGTCATACAAGTGAAATAACTTCAGGGTATAGTAAATTAATTAATCTAACTTACAACAGAGTGCTAATTTAATAATTTTGCTCAGATTGAAGACACAGAATGCAAATCTTCCATGCTTCAGTGTGTGTGACAATGCTGTCCTTAGGAATCCTGTTAAATTATGTGAGAACTCCTGCCAGAGAAAGAAAAGTGAATAAATAAGACTAAACTAGATAAACTGAAAATTGGTAGTTTAAAAAGCTAGTTATTGGTTCACTGGAACTAGACTGATAACCAGAAAGTGACATATAACTTGCTTTGTGACGATTTAGTTAAGAAGAATACATGTCTAGTGTTTCTTAAAGTGGATGAGCACTTCATCCTAAATTAAGAATAATGAATTCCTTGGGTAATTCACATTTATGAAAGAACTGGAATGAAGAATAGAAACTAGAATTATATGCAAAAGTAACAATATCTATCAGATCTCTGAAATGGACATTGTATCTGAAGTATGCAGCATTTTTTATAAGAAGGAATGAGAGGCATCAGATGAGTGACAGAATACGTACACCTCTGATGCTGAAGATTTATTCTCAGAATCCTGTCACTATTAATGCCATTGTACTAACTTTAGAGAGTATTTTTACATTTTTCTAAATATAAGCCAATATTTATGATAATTATCAAGGCTATTATTTTTAATATATTGATGCTTATGGAATAAAGTTTCATTTTATTGATCATTTAACTTATTTCAAAATGTCAACTTTTATTTTAGATACAGGGGGTACATTTGGAGATTTGTTACATGGGGATATTGCATGATGCTGAGGTTATGGTACAGATTCTGTCACCCTGGTAGTGAGCATAGTACTCAATAGGTAGTTTTTCAACCCATATCCCCTTTCCCTGCTCTAGTAGTCCACAGTGTCTGTTGTTCCCCTCTCTGTGTTCATGTGTGCTCAATGTTTAGCTCCCACTTATAACTGAGAACATATGATATTTGATTTTCTGTTCCCCTGTTAATTTGCTTAGGATTATGGCCTTTCACAGTATCCATGTTGCTGCAAAGGACATGATTCCATTCTTTTTTATCACTATCTAGTATTCCATGGTGTATATGTACCATATTTTCTTGTTCCAATCCACTATTTATGGGCACCTGGGTTGATTTGATGCCTTTGCTATTGTGAATATTTTACTAATGAACATATGTGAATGTGTCTTTTTGGTAGAAAGACTTATTTTCCTTTGAGTATATAACCAGTAATGGAATTGCTGAGTTGAATGGTAGTTCTGTTTTAAGTTTTTTGAGAAATCTTCAGACTGATTACCACAATGGCTGAACTAATTTACATTCCCACCAGCAGTATATAAGCAGTCCCTTTTCTCTGCAGCCTCACCAGCATCTTTTTTTTTAACTTTTTAATAATAGCCAACTTTATAAGGACCTGGTCAAATTGTTTATTTCATGATAATTATGGTCAATTTTAGTTACAATTCAAAATTTAAGGAAAAGATATTCTACTTTTGGTAGAAGGTAATGTACAATCCATTCTGCTAAAAACAATTATAAAAGCTGGGAATATGTATTTCAAAAAATAACTGCTTTCAGTCCCTGGGGAGCAAGCAACAGAAGTAGAATTTGAGGGCCTGGAGTCTTTGGGAGATGTAAGCTCAGTATGTAATTTCTAAATTCATTTCCTTAGAGTGATTTGTAGTTTGTCCCTTGGGAAAAGAAAAACTCAGTAGTAATCAGCAGCCCTGCTGAGCAGAGGAGAAAGAGGATCATATTGGATGGATAAAAATGACTAATTCTGAAATAATTTGGAAAAGGTTTTCTAGAGTAAGAAATATTTGAGCCAGTTCTTGAAAAGTGATTTCATATCTCCTCTCAACTAAAAATCATTTCAAGATAAACAAAAAACAGAATCTGCTTAGAAAGGTATTATATATCCTGAGTTGTATGATCATTTTTGGTGATACAAAACTATAGTAAATATGATATATCAGAACTTTTAAATTTTTGCAGTAATGTAGATGGTGGTTGGTTTTATCCCCAGGAATTTTATCTAGAAGTTGCTTATAATGTAATTAGTACTTAAATTTTTAAAATATACATGACAATATTTGGAAGAATCTGAGCCACCACTACTTATTATATCCTTGCATTTAACTCTTCTTTTTTTTTTGGAGATGGTGTCTCACTCTGTCACCCAGGCTGGAGTGCAGTGGTGCGATCTCGGCTCACTGCAACCTCTACCTTCCAGGTTTAAGTGATTCTCCCACCTCGGCCTCCTGAGTAGCTGGGATTACAAGCGCTTACCACCATGCCTAGCTAATTTTTGTATTTTTCGTAGAGGCAAGGTTTCTCCATATTGGCCAGGCTGGTCTTGAACTCCTGGTCTCAAGTGGTCTCCCCACTTTGCCTCCGAAAGTGTTGGGATTACAGGTGTGAGCCACTGCACCCAGCCACATTTAACTCTTGCTATGGGCTCATTTCAGAATCTTGACCAGCATGCTAGAACTTACGGTTTTTATCATGGTAACTCCATCAATCTTCTGGCTTCTGAACTATCCTATATCCCCCATGGCTCCTGACCATATTTCTATTATGTGCAAATAACCAAATATCAGCAGGCTTTTATGTATATATATTTTAGATCCTTCAAAACATAAGTCATCATAATCATCCACAGACATCTACTAGAGCTATTTATAAGTAAGGCTATGTGCTATGGGTTGGGAACACTGAGAGTATGAGAATATGGTACAGTCCCTAATTGTAAGGGATTTAGAATGTAGTTGAGTAGATAGGATATTTACATTAAGAATATCAACCTACATTTAAAAAGCAAATATGTGGCCATTTTGTGACAAACATAGAGTAGACACTAAGTGTCTTGGAAATTAGGAAAGTGTCAACCCGTGAAATCTGGGGAAATAAGAAAAGATCTCTGGCAAAATTAGACAGATAGGATTTAGAAAGAAGAAGGACTCCAGACTTTCCTGGCAAGAAAACTGTTTTGAGTAGAGGAAGAATGCGGTTCGCATGTTCAAGGAACCATGAATAGACATGTTTGGCAACAATAGAGAATCTGTTTTAAAAAAAGTACATTAACACTAAAAAGTTAGGTACAGTCCATTTTGTGGAAGACTTTGAATTTTATCTCATGCATAATAGAGACAAACAGAAGCTTCGGAGCAGGATGATGACGCATGAAATGTAAAACGTGGGATGGATTGAAAGAGGCGTTTGGATGCAGGATCCTAGATAGCAATAGAAGGTGAAAAGACTAGGGTATTGTCTAGAGAACAAACAGGAAGTCATTGTGAGAGACATTACAGAGATTCAGCAGATTCCTATTCCTGGGTCTTTCCTCCTTCACTTTATTTCTGTCTAAAATGTGGAAATTATTGGACCTGTTTACTCAGAGCCTGCTTTCTCTTCTTTTCTAATATATTTATGATAATATGATATATTCAGTAATATGCTTCTTTTCACAAGGCAAAATGATTGACTTTTTTTTTTTTTTTTGAGACAGAGTCTCTTTTTGTCGCCCAGGCTGGAGTGCAGCAGTGTGATCTCAGCTCACTGCAAACTCCGCCTCTTGGGTTCAAGTGATTCTCCTGCCTCAGCCTCCGGAGTAGCTGGGACTACAGGCGCATGCCACCACACCTGGCTATGTTTTTTTTTTTGTTTTTTTTTTTTTGTTTTTTTTTTTTTTTTAGTAGAGACGAGATTATTTCACCATGTTGGCCTGATTGGTCTCGAATTCCTGACCTCAGGTGATCTGCCTGCCTCGGCCTCCCAAAGTACTGGGATTACAGACGTGAGCCACCGTGCACGGCTAGTGATTAATTTCTTATAGGCCAAGTTCTACATTTCACTTTCCTCAAAAAAACCTTTTCTGATTGTGGCAGGCAGGGCAATGGGAACAAATACGTCCGTGTCAAAATCCCTAGTACCTGTAAATATGTGACCTTTTATTGAAAATGAGACTTTGCAGATGTGAGTGAGTTAAAAATCTTAGCATAAGATTATCCTGGATGATGAGGTTGGGCCCAATATAATCACATGAGTCCTTTAAGTGTAAAAAAGTGAGGCAGAAGACAGAGAATCAGAGTAAGATAGGGTGAGAAAGACTGGATCAGCCATTGCTGGCTTTGAAGGTGGAAGGGGGCCTTGAATCCAATAATACAGGCTGTCTCTAAAAGCAGGAAAAGGGAACATAAAGGACTGTCCTCTAAACCTACAGAATAGAGACAGCAGCACTGTGTACAACTTAATTTTAGCCCAGTGAGATCCATTTTGAACTTCTAACCTCCAGAACTGCAAGATAATAAATTTCTGTTGTTTTAAGTCACCATATTTGTGGTAATTTGTTATAGTAGCAATAGGAAACTAATACAATGACTGTTCTCTCTGGTCATTGAAACATGCGTACAGTTTTCATTATTATTAATTTTTAATTTGAGTATATTTCTATAAATAGATAACAGGCTCTTTAAAGCTAATATCCTGTCACAAAGACCTGGACAATAGTGATAATTATTTTTTATTTTTTATTTTTATTTTTGGAGATGGAGTCTCTCTCTGTCACCCAGGCTGGAGTGCAGTGGCACAATCTCGGCTCACTACAACCTCCACCTCCCTGCTTCAAGAGATTCTCCTGCCTCAGCCTCCTGAGTAGCTGCGACTACAGGCATGTGTCACCACTCCTGGCTAATTTTTTGTACTTTTAGTAGAGATGGGGTCTCACCATGTTGGCCAGGCTGGTCTTGAACTCCTGACCTCAGGTGATCCACCTGCACTGGCCTCCCACAGTGCTGGGATTACAGGCATGAGCCACCATGCCCATCCAATAGTGATAATTCTAAATTAGTAATATATGCCCTTGAGCAAGTTACTTAACCTCTTGCAGTTTCAATTTTCTCACTGAAAATGACAACTATAAAACTTAAGGTTGGAAAACTTTGTAAGGATTAGCAATAATAAATTCTTTCCAGGCAAAATACTCACTTACAGAATAAACATATTTATTTGAATACATCTATTAATATTAAATTACTTATACTATTAAGTAAAGTATGTAATATTTTAACTGAGAAATGAAAATTTTGCAAATTGATGTCTAAAACATATGTAAAGATCCCAAGTATCTCTAAATACTAATTATGATATAAAGCATTCAATCTACCCATTATCTATCTTCCATGTATTGTCTGTAAAGCTGATATGGTTTTGTACTAGCCCTCCATCACTGGGATACAAGAGGTTATTGGGGATAAGGTGGAAATTAGAACTGAATTATGGAAAGGGAGAGAGTGCGTTACATATATCTCAACATTTACAGGTACAGTACACTTGTGGTTATTTTCTGTCACTATTCCCCTGCCCTTTATTGATTGCTACCGTATGTTCTTACTGGTCTTTGCATGTGAATTTCTGTCTGTTAATAGATATACTACTTGTATAGATGCTATGCTATGTATACCAATAGATATACAGAAAGAGCTTTGGGTTCATAATTAAAACAGGATTTGAATTTTGACTCATACTTTCTGGATATATAAATTTAGGTTATTTACTTATGCATAAAAATGAGAGCATTTACTAAATAAGCAGACTGTCTGTGCAAGTGTCTCCGTAACACCAAGCCTAGTACATAGAATGTGCCCAGAAACTCTATTTGTTTTTTGAGGGTTGGGCATTATACTTCGATTCCTCACTGTCCCTTCTTGAGACAAGCACCAAGAAACTCTAAATAAATATTTGTTGCAATTGAGGATTATTTGTCTAATTAAGATAAAATAAGTCAAATAAATTACCACTGGTTATATTTTAACATTAAGAAAGAAATACTGGAGAGTCCATATACTGTCAGCACTTGATTATGATATATTACAGGTCAGAAATACGTTATAATTCTAATATATTGTGCTTTTTCTAAAAATGTGCTTCAACAAAGGGAATTTACATATGACCTAGAAATACAGTGTTTGGTAAACCTATTTCTTCACTTTATCTTTAAAAGGAATTGCATAGACTAAATATTAGAAAAAATGCAACTTTAAATGTAGAAGCAGAGAGATTGAAGCATTTAATTTCAAAACATGTTTCGAGGCTGCATTACAATTCCACCCCTATTACCTCCCCAATCTAAACCATCCTGTGATAGTCTTGCTAGCTTAAAACTAAAGCTCTTTACTGTTAACCTCAGTTCCATGTTAAAAAATTTCCAGTGACTTTTCATTACCTATGGAGTAAAAATTAAACTTCTCTGCTAGGCACTCAACACCTTACACATTTATACCCCTAACAATCTTCCTAGCCATATCCATTACTCTTCCACTATGAAATGTACGCACTATTATATGTACTCTATGCAGCAGCAAAACAACCTCTTCTTTTGCCCCAATTCAGAACTTTCTGTCTCTGATGTAGCTCTTCCCAATTGAAATACTTACTTCTTTCCTTCCTAAAAATCAATGTATTCATAAAGATTACAAGTTGCATTTCTTCTCTGAAGTCTTTCCTGATTGCTTTCAGATGGGATTTACAGATCTTTGGTAGTTTCCCAATTAATCTATGTATCTGTCTTGTAAAAGTTGTCATATTCTGTCTTATTTTGTGTGTTAGTAATTTTATCTCACACCTCCTCCTTTCCCCATTCCCTCCGACATAGTTCAGCATTCACTTCAAAAGCTTGAGGTGAAGGATTTATTTTTGTATCTCCTTTAGTACACGGTACAGCACTTTGTTCATAGACATAGCCTGATAATTCATTTAATGATAGAGTATTTTAACCATTCACTATATAAACAAGAAAGTAGATGTTAGGATGAAGACTCATAAGTTTACAAGTCATTGCTCTGGCTAGATCTCCTTCATTGAGCCATCACACTCACCCTCCATTACTGTAGTGATGGCTGTCAAGGATTCACAGCTACTCTCTCCTCAAGATAATTGCTGTGGAATAAATAGGAGTTCCTGCTTATGAGGGTACTGCCCTTCCTCATGCAGCCCTCAGGCAATGGCTGACTGACTTGGATGCCAGTGGCTCAAAGTGGGGCAAATTTCTTGGTGCAACTCATTGTCCAGAGTTCTCTGTGGGCCTAGTCTGCAGGATGGCTCCAGGTTCAGATGACACTTTTGCTTAGCTCTCTGTCCTAGCCTACTTTCTTCACATTCTTCAGAGAGTGTTTCCTCAATAAATTACATACATCTGACTTCCTCTATCAGGTTCTTAGATAATTCAGGCTAAAACAATGTTGCATTTTTCTTTTAAGAGGTCATACTCCAATGAAGAATGTAGATGAGCAAAATTATACATTATTACAAAGTGACAAGAGCTTCCATGAAGTATAGAAACCATGTATGGTTTCATCAAGTAGGACAACCACCTGTCTATGTATTTTGGGATGTCACAGAAAGCTTCTCTGATTAGTGATTTTTAGAGAGATTATTGAAGGGATGTGAAGAGTATGCCCAGTAAAGCCACAGAAAAGGAAATATAAGAGTACCCTGAATCTGGAAAATCTGATTTCTGATATGAGTTGACTCATCTTTGTGTTTCGGTCTCTGAGTTTCTTTTATAAGGGCCTTAATCCCATCAGAAGAGCTTCACTCTCATGACCTAATCATCTTTGAAAAGGTTCCACCTCCAAAAGTGATCACATTGGGATTAGGTTTCAACATATGAATTTTGAACAGACACAAACATTCAGTCTACAGCACACATAAAAAAATAACTATTGTTTATAACTCTACTAAACATTGAACTGAGATTTTGTATAAATTGACGCATTTTGTAATTTAAATAGTGCTATTTCTATTTACAGATGAAAGAAGCTTGGGAATACTGAGAAATTTGACAAAGTCCACCCAACTCTTAAACTGGAAACCAGGATTTGAACCCTAATATATGTTACTTCAAGCCTATCTGATTCCAAATCCAAATTTTTTACCATTACATATTTCACTTGTGCTAGATAGGCACAGTTCTTCAAGGCACACAAACACATCATAATACAATATTACAATATTATTAGAAAAAATTTCATGAAATTTCAGTACAGAAAGTGATTAGTTCTGTGTGTCACAAAGAATCAGGAATCATTAAGAACTTTTTCACATCTAAAACGTTTACTTCAACTACTGATTGTGGTACCAGAAACCACACCATCAGTGATTGCCTCCTTTGGACTTAAAAGCCTTTCTGATTTTTTAGGGTGCACTTTTCATAAGGGATACTTTCAACCATAATCATTTCAATTTAGTGAGAATAAATTGAGCTCTGCCTGAGAACAAGTCATTTGTGTGTATGTGAAGAATGCCAGGATAAATGCCCCAGGGCAAGTGGGACTAGAGATAATTGGGGAGAGCTTTTAAAAAGGAAAGGCAGAGGCTATACAAAATTTACTTTGCTTCCTTCAAAGTTTGCCATAAGCTTTACTGTAGTATTGTTGGACTATGGCAACTCTCATACATGCTCTGATCCTAAAAGTAGCTCTAGGTTTCCACTGATGAAGGTTAGGGTATATTTAAAGATGCTAAATCACCAAGAAATATTTACTCTGACTCTGGGCAGTGTCTTCTTTGTGAATGTGAATGAGAAGGTGAGGTCACGTAGAAATTTTGCATTCTTTCTATAAAGACTAGCGTAACCCGAAAGACAGCTTTTAAAAACATTGCCTTATTTTAAATGTAAATTGTATTTTCTGTTTGGAAGCATTCTGTTAAAAACACTAAAGGCAGTCTAGTCCTAAATCTACCTCATAGCTAATGCAAATCAGAGTTTAACCTCTATCTTATCTAAATTCCATGTTGATAAAAAGAGATTTGGGGGTACTGAAATATATGCTGTGATCTGAATATTGTTAAAAGTCCTAATATCTTTATAAGGCTAGTATGACCCACGTTGGCAGTCTGCTCTCAAGGGTACAAAAATCTGTTCTCCGAGTATGACTTAGAGCTATTTGTATGAGCCAAAGGAAAACATCCCCTTAGCCATCTGAAGGTTCACTGAAACTCAATTGATAAAAGACAGATTAATAGAAGAAAAGGCATACAAAATTTATTAACAGGCACATGTGTTCATGGGCATAATATAAGATATAAAAACTCAAAGAACGGCCAGATGGTTGATGCTTTTATATCATTTAAGGTTAGAGAAAGAATAAGGGCTTGGAGCTTGGCAAGACAGGGTGTGATAGGGAGAAAGAAAGGCATGTGGCAAAGGTGGTCTTGTTATACAGATGAAACCTCACAGGTAGCAGCTCTCAGAAAAAATAGATAGGAACCTGTGGTTGTGTTCATATTTCCTAGATCTAGATAAGGGGGAAGACCTCAGAGAAAGCCTGGCTATTTATTTCACTAAAGTAGATTTTTCTCCACAGATGCAAATCTCCTCCACAAAAGGCAGCTTTTCAGGGCTATTTTTGCCTGCAGGCCCTCCAAATAGCCATCTTGGAAGTATGTCAAAGAAGTATATTTTGGGGTGAAATATTTTGGGTTTTCTGTATATGAAAACTTCAACATGCTGAGCATCTTCAAAACATTTAAAACATTTAAAAATTAAGGTAAGAAAATAAAAAATAAAAAGGAAACATTAGTTTTCGTCCTTCCTCACTAGTTGACAGAATTCTATGAATTTTCAAGGCCGTCATTACAAATCAACACTTCTATGAAGCATTCATAGCCCTTCACACAGATAGGATTAATCATTCCCTTAGTTGCTATAACTTACTGTTTATGACTCTATAATGATGCTCTTCAATGTAGTATAACAATTTGGGCAAGTACCAATGTTTAGGAATCTATCTGTGCATGTGCTTAATGTTTCTTACTCTATTATAGTGATTTGTGTATATATGAGTCTCCCCCACCAGATTGTCATTTGCTGAAGGGCAAGAAATAGGAAAAGTAGCCTAATTTGTTACTATATCATTGTGCCTAATATGTGTAAACAGTAAACATCTTTAAACAGATTGATCCCTTGAATATACATTATTTTTTAAAAAGTATTTGTATTGACTCCCTGATTTTCTACAGGATAAAGTTTAGCATTCAAGGAATTTAATATAGCCAAAGTCATTCTAGGGTTGGAGATATGGTTCTAGAAGTTCTGTCAAACAAAAATAGTCAAAAGGGTCAGAATCTAGTTTAAAGATAGTTTATTAAACACAAAGTTTGAGAATATCTGCCAAGGAAGCACAGATTCCAAAGAATGAAAATCAGTGCTCCTAAGTGTAGGAGTTTGGGGTCGTTTATATAGATAAGGTTTGGGAAGCTTAACTGAATTTTGGCATTTTTCTATATAAGGCATAATACATAGTTACAGTAATCTATTAGTCAGAGTGGTCTTTTTTTTTATTTTGGGAAAGGTATATTTAACATTCCACAGTGAAGATATAACCATCATGGGGTCTTTTGTGCTATCAGTCTGAGTTAGGTACAGGACAGTAAAGGAGACAGTTAATCTATAACAAATATTAGTGATTGAAAGGGGAGGATGTCTGGTCTCTGGTCTCTCACTTACAGAACAAGCATGAAGAGTAGGGGAGCCAATCTATATTCTAAGAAACAGAAGTTACAACTACATGTGACGTGGCTGAGATCACAGTCACATCTCTCTCAAGGCTTAAAGTGTTTGGAAGTTTTTAACAACTTTTAAAGTTTATTTGTTTTTAATTTCCCAAGTCAAAGCTCAATAATTTTGACTTCTTTTATGTTCAAGAGTTTAGTCCCACATCACTAGGAGGGCTCATTCCTAAAAATATATTGTCCTGTAATCAGGGGGAATTAAGCTATAAAATAGAGTACAGACCAAATTTAAGACAACATAAAGAAAGTGAATTTGTGGCTTAAAACAGGCTAAACAGCTACATCTTCAATTAATGCAATTCTTTGAGCAACCATTATTTTAGTTTTTTTGGTCATGCATTTATTTACTCCATTGCAAAGAGATGTTGCAGCAAAAATGAAGACAAAAACAATAAAACACAATAAATGATTATAATTCCTAGAGTAAGTAACAGTTTTTGCCACCAAGTTCCCCAAGATCCAAACCATCTTCTTAGCCAATTGTTTAGAAAGGGTGTTGGATTCAAAAGGTTATTTATTTGGGTTTTCATATTAGCCATTGGTTTAATAATATTATCTGATTTATCTGGTATATAGACATAGCACTCAGTTTTAATGATCATGCAAGTTTCCCCTTGGGCTGCTATATGTCTGAAGCCAGATGTTCTATAATATAGCTTTTTCTCATAAGATAACTTTATTGTTTAATAACAAAATACCCATGTAGCTATCATTTGTGTGTAATTGGTTAGGGCTTCTTTATGCTAAATGACATTATCAATACCCATTTGTAGTATGAAGATGGAAGCTGAATGATCATACCAATGAAATGTAGAATTAACCCGATGAGATTGTGAATGAGGAAAATTTGCAGATGTTGACAGGGTATGATCTATGCAACCTTGTGTCTAACATAACCCAAAGAACATCATCCTAACCATCCTGGTGGTAACCATGGTCATACATTAGTGCTGCATAGCCAAGACATTTTATTTGGAGCTAACCAATAAAAACCCAGTTATTGTGACCATTCGGTAGCATGCCAATTAGTACTTTGTCATATAATGATGGGGATACACTGTTCTTTGGGTATCCATCCCATATCTCTGGTGCTATTGAATGGGGTATCCTCAGTATGATTTATCTGTTCCCAACATAGATGGGCAAGCTGACTAAATTAGCCAAAGGAGTGGGTAAGTCAGATAAAACTGTCCCAAATTTGTGTTATGCCATCCTGAAATTGAGTTGTCTTATCTCTCAGTTGGGACAGTGTCATTGTTTCATTCCTCATTTGGGGCACTTCCAGTGTTACAATTAATGAACTGGGGGCTTTTTGTTTTTCTGTTTTTTTTTTTTTCTCAAAACTCTTTTTCTATGCTTTTTGCTTTGTAAAGCAATATTAATAGGCCAGTGATGCACACCTTGCTTAGTCATACTAGTGCTAAGTACTGATGATTGTTCTTGAGAAATGTGGATATATTTCTGATATTCTATCCAATCTTGTCCTTGGAGAGGAAATACCACCAGGGTAGGCCAGAACCATCAGAAACAGGCAGGAGACTACATACCCAACAAATGTTTCTTGTTTTTTGTAATCTATTACCATAGTCCTGAGCCCATTGCAAGAAGAGGTTTGCTATATGGTCCACAGATGGTGATAGTAGCAACAAAATATAAGAATTTGAGATGAAAAGAAAGAAATTTAGTGGAAATTTATAAAGGAAGACCTTCCTCAAGTATTAATTATTACTAATGTAAAGTGTTCATTTGGATACAGGCCTGGTCTTATGACTTCGGAAGTCCGGTTACCTCAGATGCCACCTTCTTTTGATCTTTGTTGGTTATGGAGAATTTCAATTGTAGATCACCAGTTTGACATGAAGTCTAAATTGGCAAAGCCAAAGTAGCTTTCTTTGAGTGAGTGATGTATATCTAGGAGACAATTCCATTTAGTTTAGTGGCACAAGTGTTACTTGGGAGCACCTGATAAGGTCCCTTTCACCTTGATTGGAGAGAGTCCTTTAAAAGATGCCATTTCTAATAGACAAAATCTTCTAGCTAAAGTCTGTGGTCCTTGAGTTTTTGTTTTTTTTTTTGTCTTCCAGGAACTCGCTGTGGAAAGTCTTTTACTGAATTACAGTTTTTATAAGGCCACTAAACTAATACAACATGTCCCTTTTTAATATCATAGATTCACTGTTTCTTAGAGACAATTTCATAGGTCTGTATGGTACAATTTCAAATGGAGACAGTTGGTATTTACTAAAAGGGGTTAATCTTAGGTTGAACAAAACTGATGGAAGAGCCTTTGACCAAGTATTTTAAAAACCTCAGTTAATTTTACCAAACTGAGTTTTGATTACTCTGTTTATTCTTTCCACTAACCCATAAGACTGGGGGTGACAGGCATAATGGAGATGTTGGATAGTGGGCCAAATTTTGCATACTGACAAGATTATTTGTCCAGTGAAATGAGTATCTCTGTTGTTATAAAGTTCTAGAGAAACTTTCCAAGTTAGAATAATTTTCTCTAAAATAATTTTACTTACAGCTAAGGCTGGTCTTCTGCATGGAAATTCTCTATTAAGTAACAGAACATACAAACCATCACTAGAACATACTTGGATACAGCAAGGTTGAGCTTTTAAGGAGAAGTTTGGAATCCAATTTCTGCAGTATCCTGCCAACTCCAAAATCCTCTCAGTTGTTTGCTAGTTTTTGGGGTAGGGAAGGTGAATATTCTTTCTATTCCATTTAGATTGATAAAAAGTCCTTCCTTTGGTATTGTATTACCTAAATATCTTAATTGTTTTTGAGAGAACTGAAGTTTTTCTTTTGAGAACTTGTGTCATTTTGAAGCTAATCGTTGTAGCAAATAAATGTCATCCTCTTTGAAGGCTTGTTTATTCCCTGAGAAGAGAAGTAAAACATCTACATACTGCATCAAAGTGGATTTCTTAGGGGTGTCAGCATGTGAAAGGCCTGCTTTTAATATTTGTAAAAAATAAGTTGGGCTGTCAGTATTTCCCTGAGGCATGACTGTCCATGTGTATTGTTTGTCTTCCCAAGTAAAGGCAAAGAGAAATTGTCTATTTTTATCTACACGAATACTAAAGAATGCACTCCATAGGTCTGTTATAGTAAACATCTCACCTTCAGTTGGGACAACAGTTGACAACACATGGGGGTTTCATACCACTAGACATCAAGGAATAACTATATTACTAATTGCCCTCAAATCCTGTACAAATCTCTGTTATCTACAATTTGGTTTTCTTATGAGGAGGATTGGAGTATTACATGGCCTTGTATAAGGAACAATCAAGCCTCTTTTTTTATCCAAAATTATAGGCCTTATTCCTTTTGAGGCCTCTAATCTTAGAAAGTATTGCTCAAGATTTGAAAGAGATTTTGATGGATTATTTAAATATAACTTGGTGTGGTCAAGATAATTTTCCCAATATTGGTGGAAGATTTTGACCATGACTAATCAGGTACTATATTTAACCACTCTTGCAATTCATTCTTTAACAATTTTATTTCCTCCATGACAATACGAATTGCAATTTGTGAATTAAAAGAATCAAATTTTTAAAAAGTTTTTGATCCTAATAATTCTATTTTATCTTTTAATTATAAATACATTTCCCATTTTGAGAGAAAGAGATGTGGATATTGTATAATTATAAAAAGGCTTTCCCTATCAAATGAATAGAGGCTGAGGGAACCAAAAGGAAAACATGTGTTCCTTGGAGAGGACCTAACTGTAAAACAATAGGTTTAGATTTATATACTGACATAGGAGTATTTGTTATACCTACCATTTGTATTGTTTTCTCACTCTGAGGAATGGGAACCTTACAATAAAGTGGGATTTACCACTGATAATGTAGCTTCAGTGTCAATAAGAGCATATGTTTGCTCTTCATTTAAATTAATTTTCATTTCCCTTTCAAGTTCTCAGAGTATCTCTATTATTCTTTTACTTTGGCCTCCAACTGTTCTTTACATTTTAATTTTCTACAATTCTTTTTAAATGCCCAGGCCTTTTGCAGTAATTGCAAAGTGGGAGATTGGGTTGGTTTTAGAACTTATTAGGATGTTTAGGGCTTACAAATGGGTGGGCCAATTGTTTTAGTGGTAAGCTCATGATCTTATTTGATTTCCTTTCTGTTTAGTTTTCGTTTTTCTTTTTCTTGCTTGGTTAGAGTACAGGACATTGATCAGCAAAATTGACTAGATCATGAGCTTAAGAGGTAGCTCAGCTGAGGCTCTGTCTCTTAATTATTCTCAAACTAATCTACTTAAAATTCCTAATCTAATCTACTTAAAAAGTTTGAGTTAAGGAGAGTGTAATTTTAGTGATTAGCATACCTTTCTTCTAATAGACCTGAATATTGTTTAAATAATTTTTCAAATCTTTCACAGTGTGACATTACAGGCTTATCAAGATCGTGTTAGCATTGTTGTGTTTTATTCTAATCACTGGTCTTTGGAAAACTAAGGGGATAACATCTAGTAAAGATTGGGGAGTATTGTGGGCCCATTCACAATCTGGTTCAGAAAATTCATGGAAGTCCTCCATAACATTCCTGCAGTTTGCTTTTTCTATCCAATCCTTGGTTTTGTTGTCTGACATTAACACGTGAACCAATTGATAAAAATCAGAGAATTTGGGGTAACAAGTTTGAATGTCAGATTTGAATTCTCTAGAAAATCCAATAAGGTTCTAAAAAGGATCCAAGAATTCTTTAATTATGCCTTTGGGTTCTACTTTTAGCCATAGTTGATAAACCAAGGTAAGTTCTCCTCTACTGGACACGGGATGTTCCTGAAATGGAGCCAGAACAGCAGAAGAAGGAGGAGGAGAAAGGGGAGGTAGATGCAGACAAGGAAATTCTAACAGAAGAGAAGGAGAAGACAAAGAAGGAGGAGGAATTTTGGCAGCCTTTTTCGATTCAGAAGTTGTTTCAGACAATCTTTTCCTCTTGCAAAGAAATGGCTTTATCAGAACCTCTTTTAAATGCTTTCAAGTATCATTGAAAATAGCTCCTCCAGTTATCTTCTTTTATTTTAGAGCTGTTTTTTTCTCATTGAGCACACAGATAAACTAATTCACTTATTTAAAAGTACCCCTTTGTGGCCAATGTAATTTGGGGTCTTTGAAATTTATATGAGACCATTTTTCTGGTCTTACATGCATGACAAGGTGCCATGATTATTTAACAGAAATTCAGCTGGTGTTTCCAATGATAGCTCCCTCCTTAAGGAGGAAGATTCAGTTTTAGAAGTATGATTTCCCATAATTTAGACTTTCCTTTTGAATGACCAAAAAGATCTAATGGGAGTTGCTTTGGAATAAGTGTGCTGCTTATCAGAATAACTGCTCCTTATTTTACCTTTGAGTAAGTTCTTCCTTTTTATGTGTCTTGATGGTCCCAGGAAACTTGGATGCTTAAGGTACCAGGTGATCAGCCTTTAGTTGTGCCTACCAGATTAAGCAAGGTTTCCTGTTCTTCTTAATGGACTCCTTGTAAGACCATTTCATTGTGAGTGATAAGCTCCAACACTTCCATAAGACCTTAGTCACTTACGGTGGCTTTCAGCTGGGAAGAATTGTCTCTTATCTTCAGAACTTATCCTTATAGAAAACCTCTTATTATTTTGGACACTTAAAAAGAAAGTTTAGGTTTGTCAGTTGAACTGAGCTTCAGAATGTAGCCAATTTAAAAGATTACTCATCTTTGTTTAAGCCACAAAGATTCACTCCCTCTTTTCAGAGAGAAACTGTTTTGTTTCCCTGACCAAAATTTCAAATGTGAGAAAAGGTTTAAAAACTCTATGGAGTGATTCCAAACAAAACCTTAACATCAGAGAAAAGGGAAAATCACAAATCCTCAATTAGCAGAATCTCTAGAGAACAGCAAATGAAGCTACTACCTTGTAGTAGTGCTTCAATTCCAACTCCATTGAGTTAGAAATGTGTGTAGTTTGAGTAATGTCCGAATCCTCAGCTAAGCCTGGGAGGATTGGGATTTGAGAGGGGTCTTCCCAAAGATCTCTGTTGACCCCAGCAAGGTTGGACAAACAGAAGTTATTTATGCTGCTACCAAGTCTCTGGCTGTTGGCAAAGTAACAAGGATTACCAGACGTTCATGTCAGGTCCCTTTGGTTGCCAAAATGTCAGCCTTAAATAATAAGATTCAGGGCGTATGATTACCTATGGAGTTCATTTGACCACAAATCTTGAGGCTGGCCATCCAGAAACACTGCCTCCAAATGAATGAGGTACGCATTTCAAAGTGGAGAAGTGAAGGTTTCACTTATACAAACAGATACAGAGCTGTTTCAGCAGGATTACATTTTCCATACAGGACCAGGGTATATGCCACAGTGATTTGATTAATTACAGATTGCTACATTGCAAGGAAGATTACTACTTTGTGAAGAAGGGCAATGATCTGGGGAGGTCTTATCTCTGGTGGCTCTTGGCCTTCCTAATTTACAGGGACCATAAAGGTAGACATTGAAGTCACATGCCATGTGACTCAGGCTAAATAACTATACTCCTCTCAAGGCTCAAATTAATTTAAAGTTCCAACAGCTTTAAGTTTGAATTATTTTAAATTTGAATTATTTAATTATATGAATTTTATATATATACTGATATATAAGTGATTAAAAAATATTGTATGTCTGTGTATACATATATAGTGAGAGAAAGAGACATATAACTATGTCTATATCTGTACATTTATGTCACACGTATGTATATATACACAAAATATTAGCAGTGATGTCTGTTTGGTGGCATTATTTATAATTTTTATTTTATTTCTTTTTATACATTTCATTATCTGATTTTTATATAATGAACATTTGTTCTTATGTAATAAAGTCATTAAAATTAATTATGTTTAAAAAAGAACAGAAAACTTTGAAATGCATAAACCGTTTACTGAACTGTATCAAAATATTTAACAGTGGTAGAAATCTGTATAACTTCATTTGTATGTTTATCTTTTGGTTTGATATTTCTATATAGTATGGAATACTGTTATATATCATTTAAAATACCTTGAAAATTAGCACATAGTACTTAAAATATAGCATTTATTCAGCATCACTTAAAATATATATAGCTTAAAAATCAAAGAAAATGACAAAATGTTGGTGAAACTGTGTTGTAAGTTATAGATAATTTTCTCATCTTAATATCCATTTTCAAAATATTCTAAGACTACTTAGGTAGTATTATAAAAATATTCAAAAACAGAAAATTACTATTGATCTGGATATTATCACCCCTGTACAATTCTCATTTTTGTTTTTCATTAGGTATCATAAGTGATAGTGAAAACTTGTTTTTGAGATATTTATACATTTCAAATTTTTTGATTTCAATTCTTCATCAGCCCTGCAATTTTCTGTACAGTAAGGGTATTCTAGCCTCGACTACTGTCATTTTTTCAACAGCTGGGTCCATTCTTTTGAATATCTAATGTTCTTCACATTTACTAAGAATTATAAAATTTATTTTTCATGAACAATTCATAGTTCAAATCTTTTGTGACTTTTGACTTAGCTCTTCCAAAATGCAAGTCTTTAGAGAGCATTGGAACAGTGATCTCATTAATTTCTACCACATCCCTGAGAGGTAAATGGCAAGCCTGACCTGACAGATGGATTGGGGGCATTTTTATTAAGTGCATGGCAGACACCAAGGAAGGTGGCCAGCACTTAGCAAGACGAAATTAAAAATTAGAAGAAACTTTAGAGCAGTGACTAGGTGTTACAGAATAGAATTTGAGACAGATTACTTCTCTGCAATAATTTACCAAGAATAAATGTGAACTGCAAATTAGGAACAAAAATAAAATGAGAATTGGAAGTTGTAAGTAAAGACAAAAAAAGCCATACACACTATATTGTAAAAAATACATACAGATATCTAATTTTCATGAAAAAATAGCTTTCCCAATATATTCAGTGTCCCATTCTCCCTGAAATACATTTTTTAGTTTGTCTCCAACCTGAGAAAAACAAGGAAAAGTCCAAACACAGACAAAGAAACATTTCTGATGTAGGAAAAATGCTGAAGTACAGGATATTTTAGAGGAGATTAAAATGCTTCGTGCTGATTTTGGATGGCAGACAAATGTTGATATTTATAATAAATTTTAAGTATGAGAAAGATTGTAAAAATGGAGACTTTATAATTTTATCCTTCACAAAGGTCAAATAAATGTAAATAACTTTAAAGGGCAACTGGAGTTATTCAAGATAGATGGGAGAGCTTTTAAATATTACTAAGTGAATGATGATATAAAAGCTCAGGAGAGCTGGGAGGAGAATTTATTTATTTATCATTTCTTTATTATTTTTACTATTGTGGTAAGATATACATAACATGAAATTCACTACATTAAAATTTTTTTAGTGGTTTATAATTCTGTGGCGTTAATTACATTCACAATATTGTGTAACCATCACCCACTAACTACTTCTAAAAATTTTTTCATTACCCCAAACAGAAACTCTGTAACCATTAAGTAATAACTTATCATATATATCCTGACCCCTAAATCTCTGGTAATAATTTTTTTTTTTTTGAGATAGAGTCTTACTCTGTCACCCAGACTGGAGTGCAGTGGCACAATCTCGGCTCACTGCAACCTCCACCTCCTGGGTTCCAGCGATTCTCCTGCCTCAGCCTCCCGAGTAGCTGGATTACAGGTGCCAGCCATCACACCCAGCTATTTTTATTAGAGATGGGGTTTCACCATGTTGACCAGGCTGGTCTCGAACTCCTGACCTCATGATCCGCCCACCTCAGCCTCCCAAAGTGCTGGGATTACAGGCGTGAGCCACCACACCCGGCCATCCCCGATAATTTCTAATGTATATTCTGTCTCTATAAATTTGTCTGTTCTAGATACGTCATGTAAGTGAAATCATACAATATTTGTCTTTTCCTGTCTGGCTTATTTCACTTAGCATAATCTCTTTGAGGCTCTACTATGTTGTAGCATGTATTAGAACCTCACTTGTTTTTATTGCTGAATAATATTCCATTGTATGTATGTGCCACATTTTATTTACTCATTCAACTGTTGAAGAACAATTGGGTTGTTTCCAACATTTGGCTATTGTGAATAATGCTGCTATGAACATTGGTGTACGAGTTAAGTTTTTCAATTTCTGCTTGCAATTCTTTTGGGTACATACCTAGAAGTGGAATTACTGGATTATATAGCAATTCTGTGTTTAGCTTTGTGAGGAACTGTTAAACTGTTTTTCATAGTGGCATACCATTTTATGTTCCCATCAGCAATTACATAGTTAAAATTTTTCTACATCTTCAACCACATTTTGTATTTTGTTTTTATTTATATTTTAATTTAATATTTTTCTTGATAGTAGCCATTATAATGGGGGTAAAGTGATATCTCACTGTGGTTCTGAGTTGGCATTTTCCTAACGATTAGTGACGTTGAGCATTTCTTTGTGTGTTTATCGGTAGTTTGTACATCTTATTTGTCTGTTTAAATCCTTTACCACTTTTTAATTGGATTGTTGTTGTTGTTGTTGAGTTGTGAAAGTTCTTTATATATTCTGGGTATTAATGCCTTTCCAGGGGCTTTTCTTACAGTAAGATGCATTCTGATAATAATAAAATATAAAAGCTGAAGAAATAATAAGCTTTTAAAAATAGCTTTTTTGAGATATAATTTAAGTACCATAAAATTCACCTATTTAAAGTGTAAAATTAAATGATTTTTAGCATATTCACAGAGTTATGCAACCATCACCACAATGTGATATTAGGACATTTTTGTCAGCCCCTAAAGAAAACTCACTCCCATTAGTAGCCACCCATTATACCCTCTCCTCAGCCTTAGGGAACCACTAATCTATTTTCTGTCTTTAGATTTTCTTCTGTTGGACATTTTACATAAATATAATCATAAAATATGTGGTATTTGGTGACTAGCTTTTTTATTTTTTCTGGCTTTTTTTTTTTTTTTAATAGAGATGGGGTCTCGCTGTGTTGCCCAAGCTGATCTCAGACTCCTGGGGTTACAGATGTGGGTGACTGCACCCAGCTGACTAGCTTCTTTGGAGTTTCATCCATATTGTAACGTGTATCAGTACTTTTTTATAGTAGAAGAATATTGCATTCTATGGATATACTATGCCACATTTGTTTACTCATTCATCGATTGATAAGCATTTGAGTTGTTTTATTATGATGATGATTCTTTTTAATGCTCACATGGGCTTTCGTGTACAAGTTTTTGCATGGACTTATTTTTCATTTCTCCTGTGTATGTACCTATCAGTGAAATTGCCAGGTCATAGAATAACTTGATGTCAAAATTATGGAAAATTGTTTTCTAAAGTGATTGCACCATTTTACATTTCCACAAGCAGTATATGAGAGTGTTCTCCACAGCCTCATCTAGACTTGGTACTGTCTGACTTATTAATATTAGCCTTTCTACTGGGGATGAAGTGACATCTCATTTTGGTTTAGATTTACATTTCCTGAATGAATTGATGTTGTCCATATTTTAATGTGCTTCTAGGCCACATTTTGGTGGTTTTTTTTTTTTTTTAGAGCGAGAGATGTGGGTTAGCCATGTTGCTGCTCAGGCTGACCTCAAGCTCTTGGTCTCAAGTGATCCTCCCACCTGGGCTTCCCAGAGTGCTGAGATAACAGGTGTGAGACATTGGGCCAGGCCTCTTGGCTACTTATATCTTTTTTGGATAACTGTCTATCCGAATCCTTTGCCTGTTTTATAGTTGGGGTATTTTTGTTTTTTATTGTTGTTAAGTGTTATTTATATGTTTTAAATAAAAATTCCTTATCTGTTTTATAATATGGGCTTTTACATTTAGATTGTTGATCCATTTTTAGTTAATATTCGGACATAGTGTGAGACAGAGGTCCAGAATAACCATTTTCATGTGTTTATCTAATTTTCCCAATACTATTTATTGACAAGATAATTTTTCCCCACAGAATGGTCTTGGTATTCTTGTCAGAAATCAATCAACTATCAATATATGTTTTTCCCCTACTTTTAATGTTATTCCATTGATCCATATGTTGATATTAATCTCAATTGCATTGTTTTAATTAGTGTATCTTTATAGTAAGATTAAGTGTAACTCTTTCAAATTTGTTTTCCTTTTTCAAGATTGTTTAGAAATCAATCAGTAGTTGAGAACCCATATGAATTTTATAATAAACTTTTTCATTTCTGCAAAAATAAGTCATTGTGATTTTGATAAGGATTTCACTAAATTTTTTGATCATTTTGGGTAGCACTGCCATCTTAAAAATATTTATTTTAATCCATGAACATGGGATGTCTTTTCATTTATTTATATCTTGTTTAATTTCTTGCAGCAGTATTTTAAAGATTTTGGTACACAAATCCTCTTAATGCAGTGTATTGTTTTGACTGATTTCTGTAAGTTTAACCATCCTTGCTTTCCTGAAATAAATTCTACCTGGTCATGGTGTATAGTGCTTTCAATATGCTGTAGAACTTAGTTTGCTAGTATTTTGTTGAAGATTTTTGTATCTATGTTCATAAAGGATATATTGGTCAATAGCTTTCTCTTTTTATAGTCTTTAATAGTTTTGCTATCAGGATAATCCTGGGCTTATAGCATGAGTTCAGTTAGAAAGCGCTTCCAGCCAAGCACAGTGCCTCAAGCCTGTAATCCCAGCACTTTGGGAGGCTGAGGTAGAAGATTCCTTCAAGCCCAGGAGTTCGAGACCAGCCTGGTCAACATACTGAGACCCTATCTCTACAAGAAAGTTAATAAAAACGTTAGTCAGATTGTCTCTGTCACCCAGGCTGGAGGTCAGTGGCATTATCATAGCTCACTGCAGCCTCTCCCTCCTAGGCTCAAGTGATTTTTCTCAGATGAGCTGCCTGAGTAGCTGGGACTACAGGCATGCACCAAGATGCCCAGCTAATTTCTTTTTAATCAAATTTGAGAAATTTTCATCCATATTTTTTTCAAATGTGATTCTGTATTTTTACCTTATTCTCTTTTTTTTTGGACTCATGTAATGTGTACATTGGGATGCTTAATGATATCTCACATGTCTCTGAGGCTCTGCGTCCTTTTCTTCTTCGGTTTTATCTTTGTTCTGCAGACCATTCTCAACTAACCCAGCTTCAAGTTCATTGGTTGTTTATTCTCCCAATGCAGACTGCTGTTAAATCCTGCTAGTGAATGTTTCACTTTAGATACTGCATTTTTCAACATTACAATTGTTCTTTGGTTATTTTTTATATTTTCTTTATCTTTATTGATATTATTTGCTTGGTGAGACATCGTTGTTATATTTCTCCTTACTTTTTTAGATATCATTTTTTAATCTCTTTAATCGCTGATTTAAAAGTCGTTGTTTAGTAAGCCTAACACCTGGGACCCCTTAGGAATGGCTCCTATTGGTTGCTGTTTTTTAACTTGTGTATTGGCAACATTTTTCTTTTCCTGCCTCATATATTTATTGTTGTTACTAAAAACCGGACATTTTAGGTACTATACGGTGGAAATCCTATACATCAGATTTCCTCAATTCTTTATAGTTTATTGCTATTGATTTTTTTTCTTGTCATTGTTTTTGTTGCTACTGTTTCTTTGCTTGATACTTTCCTAGGCTAATCCTGTAAAGTCCTATATTCCTTGTATGGTGAAGCTGCTGAAGTATCTGTTCAATTATTTTAGTGATCCTCTAGTGAGATGGTCAGACATTTCATTAGATTCTTTGAGGCATTAAAGCCTTAACCTCCCTTGTTGAGGGAATTCTGTATGTCTGTGTTGGGACATACCTTCTATAATGAAGCAGTTCCAAATTCTGACTTAGTCTTTTTTGCCTGCCTCTGCAAAGTCTCCATTTTAGCCAGCAATAATAGATTCAGGCCTTCCCTTTTTGGTATGTACACATCCCTGCAAGTGTGTGCTGTCTTCTGGAACACTAGAAACATGTCAGAACTTTTCAAAGACTCTCATGGACTTCTTTTTCCACAGATCTTCCTTTTATGTCTTGTCCATGCTCTTGTTTGTATCAACTCATTTTCAGCTTTAGGAAGTTGTGATGTTGAACAACTGCCTTTGAATCTTTCATCAAATTCCCTGAGAATAGGGTTTCCCCACAGATCAAGCTCCAAATCAGGTCAAATAATAACATACCTCTTGCAAATGAAGCTTTCCTAAGGAGCTGTGAGACTGATCAAATAATAAAAATACTCTGGGAATAGGCCTTCTTTAGGAGGTCCAAACTCATCTACTCCTTCTTGTGCCTATAATACTACTGTTTTTCAGATTATTGTTTGCAATCTTTTTTTTTTCTTTTTTTTTTTTAAATTAGCAGCCACCAGTTTTCAAGGCAACTATAGAATTAGGGAGTTGGGAATGGGAATAGATCAAATCTGAACATCATAAACTCTGCTGTTCTTACCTTGGTTCAGCAACTTTTCTTGAATAAATATCCCTGAGGTTGTTGCAAGCCATTGGTTAATTTCAAGGGTTTCAAAAAGTTATTTTTGACCATCACCAGTGTTCTTGTTGATTTTATGTAAGGACTTATTTGCAGCATTTCTTACTCTGCCTTTCTGAATGTACATAATTGGTTTTTGACAGCCTTTCAAGGCCTGTTAAGACTCAGTAAACTATTAAACACATACTCCCATGGCTTACAGAAGAAAGAATCAAATGGAATTTTTTTAGTTAGAAAGTACAGTTGCAGAATTAGTTTTGCTCAATATGGTCTGTCTACCAGTTTGGCAAATTTTGAGGTATTATAAAAATTGGCTTTTTCCCAGTAACTAAAAAAAAAAAAAAATGTCTTTGATATTTCCCCACGAAGTTCACATGGGGTCCCAAGGAACAACTCCTTGAATATGTAGCATTTTAAATAAGTAGCATCTGTAGTAGTCAAGAACATGGACTCTGGAGTCCAACTGTGTAGATTCAAATCCTGGCTCTGGTGCATGCTAGCAGTTTGTCCTCAGCCAAAGCACTTAACATCTCTGTGCCTGGGTATTTTTGTATGTAAAATTCATATAATAGCCATATCTCCTTTATCATGTTTTTAAAAGAATTAAATAGGCCAGTATTTTCAATATACCTAAAATATTGTCTAGCTTATATACAAACTGCATAAGCATCTTTTACCTGAAACTTAAAATAATGCTATATGTGATTCATAAACTACACACATGGATTTCTTTCTTTCTTTTTTTTTTTTTTTTGTTGTTGTTTTTGTTGAGATAGAGCCTTGCTCTGTTGCCAGGCTGGAGTGAAGTGGCGCCATCTCGGCTCACTGCAACCTCTGCCTCCTGGGTTCAAGCGATTCTCCTGCCTCAGCCTCCAGAGTAGCTGGGACTACAGGCGCCCGCCTCCACGCCCAGCTAATTTTTGTATTTTTAGTAGAGATGGGGTTTCACCATGTTGGCCAGGATGGTCTTGAACTCTTGACCTCATGATCCACCCGCCGGCCTCCCAAAGTGCTGCGATTACAGGTGTGAGCCACTGCGCCCAGCCTGCACAAGGATTTCTATGGTTTGCCAGAAGCAGACAAAACTCTTTCACCTGTTTGTCATTCTTTTACTTCCAATGACAAGGAAGATGTGAACTCACCATGTTTTTGTTGTTGTTGTTGTTGTTGTTGTTTCTGTTTGTTTGTTTTTTGAGACAGAGTCTCTGTCGCCCAGGCTGGAGTGCAGTGGCATGATGTCGGCTCACTGCAGCCTCTGCCTCCCGGGTTCAAGCGATTCTCCTGCCTCAACTTCCCGAGGACCTGGGACTACAGGTGTGAGCCACCGCGCCCAGCTGTGAACTCACCTTTTTAAAACTATTTCAGATCATTAAGTGGCTTAAACTAAATAAAAAATTAGGAAGACAATTATATATCCCTTCTGAGACAGAAGGAAGGTGCTCAAATCTCTGTTTTGGCTTGATCCTGGAATTTGAGTTTCTCTTTCTGTGCTTGGTGCCACAAATTTAAAAGAACTATCAAATATACTTCATGAAAGCAAGAATCTCACTGTCTCCATCAATGCTATATATTAGCACCTAGAGTAGTACATGAAACACATATTTTATCAATTAACACATATTTCAAATGAAATAATGATTCAAATTAAATAAGTTAGCTAAAATAGTTCCATTAGCAGACATACAATTGTCTGATTTTAGCCATGTTTGACTCATTGAACTAAAAGATAAAATTATACAGTCAGGTTTATAATGAGCAATGGAAGAAGCCAAAATTATGTTAGACAGGCTAAAAAATCAGAGACTCATCATTTTGCCCACAAAATTTTGCACCTTAAGTTTCAGCAAAGTATAATTTCTATAGACTCCTCAGTAATAGTCATAGTTAAAGCATAGAAAAGTTAGTAAAGTGTACAAAAACCTCAAATAACTTCCACTCTGTTTATTTCCTTCTCTTTTAATTATAGGAATTTTGCAAATGTCAAGCCAGATGGGTCTTATACTTTTTAAAAAATGGTGTCTTAGAAAAGTATGTAATTAGTTTGTAAGCAGTATTTTCTTTCAATTACTCTTTTCATTTACAGAGCAAAAGCTAGGGGGACATTTTTAATTTTTCTTTATCGCATGTACTCAGTTTTGGAAGGAAGCTTCATTTTCTAACTTATTAAAAACTGCCTCATTTTCCTATTATATTTTAAGAAATCAATCAGTTTGTTAAAAATATAGCAGTATAGAATAAAATTTGTATTAGGTTTATATTACCTATTATTTTAAGAATAAAAATGGAACTTAAACACTTTTAAACATGTTTGCATGTACTTTCTACTCCAAAATAATACCAAAAGTTACACTGCTAGTGAGAATTTTTAGAGATATACTGAATTATCAGTAATATTTAATTTCTTGATGCTCAGTGTGAACTTTTTTTTTTGAAACGGAGTTTCGCTCTTGTTGCCCAGGCTGGAGTGCAATGGCGTGATCTCAACTCACTGCAACCTCTGCCTCCCAGGTTCAAGCAATTCTCCTACCTCAACCTCCCGAGCAGCTGGGATTACAGGCATGCGCCATCACACGCAGCTAAATTTTTGTATTTTTAGTACAGATGGGGTTTCTCCACGTTGGTCAGGCTGGTCTTGAACTCCCGACCTCAGGTGATCCGCCCTCCTCGGCCTCCCAAAGTGCTGGGATTATAGGCATGGGTCACCACGCCCAGCCTCAGTGTGAACTTTTAAAGAAAAAATTATGACAAAATTAGTAAATATATTCCAAACAATTTATTATTTTGTGACCAAGGTTAAGAAATCCTTTGACATTATTTTTAGCTTTAAAATTTTTTTATATTTGTAAAGTAACTGTAATTTTTTCCCTTATTTCCTTTTATTTCTCTATGATTTTTCATTTAGAATTAAGGATAAACAAAAACCAGTTTTATGGATTAACAATACAAAGACTTTTGCTTTATTAATCTTTTATTATGGAAAATGGTGAGAAATGTACATTTAAGTATATAATTAATTAGGGAATGAAAGACAAATTTTATTTACACCATTTCTGTATCACCCTCTAGCCTTTTTTAATGCTTACAGGTATATTTTGTTTTATTATATTTTGTTTTATTTTATTTCATGTTTTTTAGGTTTGATTATCAGATTACTTTTTTAAATACTTTTTTTCTTCAACTTTTACTTTAAGTTCAGGGGTACATGTGCAGGATATGCAGGTTTGTTACATAGGTAAATGTGTGCCATGGTGGTTTGCTGAATAAATCATACCATCACTTAGGTATTAAGCCCAGAATCCATTAGCTATTCTTCCTCGTGCTCTCCCTCCTTGCACCCTCCACTACCAACAGGCCCCAGTGTGTGTTGTTCCCCACCATGTGTTCTTATAATTCAGCTACCACCTATAAGTGAGAACATGTGGTGTTTGGTGTTCTGTTCCTGTGTTACTTTGCTGAGGATAATGGCTTCCAACTCCATCCATGTCCCTGCAAAGAACATGATCTCATTCCTTTTTATGGCTGCATAGTATTCTATGGTATATGTAACACATTTTCTTTATCCAGTCTGTCACTGATGGACATTTAGCTTGATTCCATGTCTTTGCTATTGTGAATAGTGCTGCAATGAACAGATACATGAATGTACCTTTAGAAAAGAATGATTTATATTCCACTGGGTATATACCCAGTAATAGGATTGCTGAGTCAAATGGTATTTCTGCCTCCAGGACTTTGAGGAATCCCCACACTGTCTTCCACAATGGTTGAACTAACTGACACTCCAACCAACAGGGTAAAACTGTTCCTTTTTCTCTGCAACCTTGCCAGCATCTGTTGTTTTTTGACTTTTTAATCATAGCCATTCTGACTGGCATGAGATGGTATTTCATTGTGATTTCTATTTGCATTTCTCTAATGATCAGTGATGTTGAGTTTTCTCCATATGCTTCTTGGCCACTTGTATATCTTCTCTTGAGAAGTGTCTCTTCATGTCCTTTGCTCAATTTTAATAGGGTTGTTTGTTTTTTCTTTAAGTTTCTAATTTCTTGTAGACTCTGAATATTAGACCTTTGTCAGATAGATTGCAAAAAATTTCTCCCATTCTGTAGGTTGTCTGTTCACTCTGATGATAGTTTCTTTTTCTGTGCAGAAGCTCTTTAGTTTAGTTAGATCCCATTTGACAATTTTTGCTTTTGTTGCAATTGCTTTTGGCATTTTCATCATGAAACCTTTGCCCATCCCTATGTCTTGAATGGTATTGCCTAAATTTTCCTCTAGGGTTTTTATAGTTTTGGGGTTTACATTAAAGTCTTTAATCAATTTTGAGTTGATTTTTGTATGCGGTGTAAGGAAGGAGTTGAGTTTCAATTTTCTGCTTATAGCTAGCTAGTTCTCCCAGCACCATTTATTAAATAGACAATCCATTCCCCATTACTTGTTTTCGTCACATTTATCAAAGATTAGATGGTTGTAGATGTGTGGTCTTATTTCTGGGTCCTCTGTTCTGTCCCATTGGTCTATGTGTCTCTTTTTGTACAGTATCATGCTGTTTCTGTTACTGTAGCCTCATAATATAGTTTGAAGTCAGGTAGCATGATGCTTCCAGCTTTTTCTTTTTCCTTAGGATTGTCTTGGCTCTTTTTGGTTCTGCATAAATTTTAAAGTAGTGTTTTTCTAATTCTGTGGAGAATGTAAATGGTAGTTTAATGGGAATAGCATTGAATCTATAAGTTGCTTTGGGCAGTATGAACATTTTCACGACATTGATTCCTCCTATCTGTGAGCAAGGATGTTTTTTCATCTGTTTGTGTCGTCTCTTATTTTCTTGAACAGTGGTTTATAGTTCTTCTTGAAGAGGTCCTTCACTTCCCTTGTTAGCTGTATTCCTAGGTATTTTATTTTCTTTGTAGCAATTGTGAATGGGAGTTCATTCATGATTTGGCTCTTTGTCTATTGTTGGTATATAGGAATGCTTGTGATTTTTGCACACTGATTTTGTATCCTGAGCCTTTGTTGAAGTTGCTTATCAGCTTAAGAAGTTTTTGGGCTGAGACGATGGGATTTTCTAGATATAGGATCATGTCAAGTGCAAACAGTTTGACTTCCTCTCTTCATATTTGAATACCTTTTATTTCTTTCTCTTGCCTGATTGCCCGGACCAGAACTTCCAATACTATGTTAAATAAGAGTGGTGAGGGAAGGCGACCTTGTCTTGTGCCAGTTTTCAAGGGGAATACGTCTAGCTTTTGCAAATTCAGTATGATACTGACTGTGGTTCTGTCATAAATGGCTCTTATTATTTTGAAGTTTGTTCCACTAATACCTAGTTTTTTAAGAGTTTTTAACATAAAGAGATCTTGAATTTTATTGAAGGCCTTTTCTGCATCTATAATCATGTGGTTTTTGAGTTTAGTTCTGTTTATGTGATGAATCACATTTATTGATTTTTGTATGTTGAACCAGCCTTGTATCCCAGAAATGAAGCTTACTTGATCATAGTGGATAAGCTTTTTGATGTGCTGCTGGATTCAGTTTGCCAGTATTTTGTTGAGGATTATTGGCCTGAAATTTTTTTGTTGTTGTTGTGTCTCTGCCAGTTTTTGGAATCAGGATGATGCTGTCCCCATAGAATGAGTTAGAGTCCGTCTTTTTCAGTTTTTTGGAACAATTTCAGCAGGATTTGTACCAGCTTTTCTTTGTACCTCTGGTAGAATTCAGCTGTGAATATGTCTGGTCCTGGGCTTTTTTTGCTTGGTAGGCTATTTATTACTGCCTCAATTTCAGAACTCATTATTGGTCTATTCGGGGATTCTATTTCTTCCTGGTTCAGTCTTGGGAGCCTGTATCTGTCCAAGAATGTATCCATTTCTTCTAGATTTTCTATTTTATGAGCATAGAGGTGTTTATAGTAGTCCCTGATGGTTGTTTGTATTTCTGTGGGGTCAATGGTGATATCCCCCTTATCATATCTAATAGTGTTTATTTGAATCTTCTCTCTGTTCTTCTTTATTAATCTAGCTAGCACTCTATTTTATTAATGTGTTCAAAAAATGTGCTCCTGAATTAGTTGATTTTTTTAAGGGTTTTTCTTTTTTCTATCTCCTTCAGTTTCATTCTAATCTTGGTTATTTCTTGTCTTCTGCTAGCTCTGGGGTTTGTTTTCTCTTAGCTCTCTAGTTTTTTTTTTGTTGTGATGTTAGGCTGTTAACTCGAGATCTTTCTAGCTATTTGGTGTGGGCATTTAGTGCTATAAATTTCCCTCTTAACACTGCTTTAGCTGTGTCCCAGAGATTCTGGTATACTGTCTCTTTCTTCCTATTAGTTTCAAATAATTTCATTATTTACCCAAGAGTCATTCAGGGGCAGGTTATTCCATTTCCATGTAGTTGTATGGTTTTGACTGAATTTCTCAATCTTGGGTTTCAATTTGATGATGCTGCAATCCAAGAGACTATTTGTTATGATTTCAGTTCTTTTGCATTTGCCGATGAGTATTTTACTCCTAATTATGTGATCAATATTAGAGTAAGTGCCATATGGCAATGAGAAGAATGTATATTCTGCTGTTTTGAGTATAGAGTTATGTAGATATCTATCAGATCCACTTGCTCCAGAGCTGAGTTCAAATCCTAAATATCTTTGTTAGTTTTCTGTTTTGATGATCTAAGATTGTCAGTGGGATGTTAAAGTCACCCACTAATATTACGCTGGAGTCTAAGTCTCTTTGTAGGTCTCTAAGAACTTGCTTTATGAATCTGGGTGCCCCTGTATTGGGTGCATGTATATTTAAGATAGTTCGCTCTTCTTGTTGAATTGAACCTTTTACCATTAAGTAATGTCCTTTGTGTTTTTTGACCTTTGTTGGTTTAAAGTCTGTTTTGTTAGAAACCAGTATTGCAACTCCTGCTTTTTTCTGTTTTCCATTTGCTTGGTAAATTTTCCTCCATCCCTTTAATTTTGAGCCTATATGTGTCTTTGCACATGAGATGGGTTTCTTAAAGGTTAGTATTGTTAAGTGTGAATTTGATTCTGTTATCATGATGCTAGTTGGTTATTTTGTAGACTTGTTTATGTGATTGCTTCATAGTGTCACTGGTCTGTGTACTTCAGTGTGTTTTTGCAGTGGCTGGTATCAGTTTTTCCTTTCATGCTTAGTGCTACCTTCAGGAACTCTTGCAAGGCAGGTGGTGATGAATTCCCTTAGCATTTGCTTGTCTGAAAAGGATCTTATTTCTTCTTCACTTATGAAGCTTAATTTGGCCACATATAAAATTCCGGTTTGGAAATTCTTTTATTTAAGAATGTTGAATATTGTCCTCCAATCTCTTCTGGCTTGTCAAATTTCTGCTGAGAAGTCTGCAGTTAGTCTGATGGGCTTGCCTTTGTAGGTGACCTGGCCTTTGTCTCTGGCTGCCCTTAATATTTTTTCTATTTTGACTTTGGAGAATCTGATGAATAATTATATGTCTTGGGGTTGATCTTCTTATGGAGTGTCTTTCTGGGGTTCTCTGAAATTCCTGAATTTGAATGTTGGCCTGTCTTGCTAGCTTGGGGAAGTTCTCCTGGATGATATCCTGAAGTATGTTTTCCAACTTGGTTTCATTCTCCCCATCTCATTCAGGAACCCAAATGAGTTGTAGGTTCAGTCTCTTTATATAATCTCATAATTCTTGGAGGTTTCGTTTATTCCTTTTCATTCTTTTTTTCCCTATTCTTGTCTGCTTGTCTTATTTCAGACAGATCATCTTCGAGCTCTGATATTCTTTGCTTTCCTTGGTCTGTTCTGCTATTGATACTTGTGATTGCATTGTGAGGTTCTTGTGTTGTTTTTCAGCTCCATTAGGTTAGTTATGTTCTTCTCTAAACTGGCTATTCTGCCTATCAGCTCCTGTATTGTTTTACCATGATTCTTACCTTCTTTGCATTGGGTTACAACATGCTCCTTTAGCTCAGTGGAGTTCGTTATTACTTTCCTTCTTAAACTTACTTCTGTCAATTCAGCCATCTCAGCCTCAGTTCCGTGCCCTTGCTGGAGAGGTGTTGTGGTCATTTGAAGGATAAGAGGTACTCTGGTTTTTTGAGTCTTCAGTGTTTTTGCATTGATTATTTTTCATCTTTGTGGGGATTATCTACTTTCAATCTTTGAGGTTTGACCATTGAATGGGGTTTTTGCCAGGTATTTCTTAATGTTGTTGTTCTTGTTGTTTTCTGCTTGTTTGTTTTCCTTTTAACAGTCAGGACACTCTTCAGTAGGGCTGCTGTGGTTTTCCTGGGGTCTACTCCAGACCCTAGTTGCCTCGGGTTTTCCTGCACCTGGAGGTATCACCAGTGAAGGCTGCAAAACAGCAAATATGGCAGCCAGCTCCTTTCTCTGGAAGCTCTGTACCAGGGTGGTACTGACTCATTGCCAGCCTGAACATGCTTGTAGGAGGTGGCTGGAGGCCCCTTTTGGGAGGTCTCATCCAGTCAGGAGGAATGGGATCAGGGACCCTCTTAAAGAAGTAGTCTGGCTGCTTTTTGGTAGAGTAGGTATACTGCATTGCGGGGAGCCCTTCCTCATCTGGTCCAAAGAATCCTGGTTAAATTTGCTGAAGCCCAGGCAGGGAGGTCCTCCCTAGTGAGGAGGAATGGATCAGGATCCCACTTAAATAAGCAGTCTGACCACAATCTGCCAAGGCAGCTGTGCTTTGTTGTGGAAGACCCTTCCTCATCTGGACTGTTGGATTCTCCAAAGCTGGCAGGATGAAAAGGCTGAGTCTACTGAATAGCAGAGGTGATGGCCACCCCTCCCCCCAGGAGCTCTCTGTCTCAGGTAGACTTCAGCCTGTTGCCATTGGCTGGCTGGAATTCCAAGCCAGTGGATCTTAACTTGCGAGGTGCTGTGGATGTGGGACCTGGAGAATGATGCTGCTTGGCTCACTGGATTCGGCCCTTTCCTTGGGATATGTACAAATGGATCTCCTGCCTTGCTGGAGATACTGGAGCCAGCGTATGTAAAATTCCTGGGTCTCTGTGTGTGCCTGAGTGGTTACTCTGCAAAACTCCACACAGCTCTGTGTATCAAACCTAAGGCCTTTGTGGCATGGGCTCACAAGGGAATATCCTGATCCATGGGTTGCAAAGATTCATGGGAGAAGCATGGTTTCCCAGGCGGAGTGGCACAATCTCTCACCACTTCCCTTGGCTAAAGCTGGAGGTTCATTTGGCTCCACACCACTCACAGGTGGGCTGTTGCCCGACCCTGCTTTGCTTCATTCTCTGTGGGTGGAGTAAATTGCCTAGTCAGTTCCAATGTGAGAACCGGGGTATTTCGGTTGAAGGTGTTGAATTCATTCACCCTTCCATTCCTCTTTATGAGTTCCGTGAACTGTGGCTGCTTCTAATTGGCCATCTTGGCCCCTCCCTCCAGCTTCAAACGTTTTAAACATGTGTGATGGTGTCTTTGCTTTCCAAAGTGATATAGACAGTTTTCTCTGTGATCTGTATTTTTAAATTCAAATCAAAAAATATTGTCTAACATGAAGTTATAAAAATTGTCTCAGATTTTCCCTTAAAATTGTTGACAATTTGATTTTAAACCTAATAACATTATGCATTTGGAACAGATTTTTTATTAATAACATGAACTAACTTATCTATTTGTCTATCAATGATAACTCCCCATGCTTTGTTAATAAGCAGATAACCTTTCTGCTGATTTGTACACCGGTTACATACACTATTTTGACATATTTTTCTGAATCGAATAAGATTTATTTATTTATTTTAACTTTTAGGTTTGGGAGTATATGTGCAGGTTTGTTTGTAGGTTGACTTGTGTCCTAGGGGTTTAGTGTACAGATTATTCTATCCGGGTAATAAGCATAGTAGCCAACTTGTATTTTTTCTGATCCTCTCCTTCCTCCCATCCTATACCCTCTTCAAGAAGGCCCTAGTGTCTTTTATTCCCCGCTTTATGTCAATGTGTTATCGTTATTTAGTTCCCACTTGTAAGTGAGAACACCTGGTATTTGGTTTTCTGTTTCTGCATTAGTTTGCTAAGGATGTTGGCCTCCAGCTCCATCCGTGTTGCTGCAAAGAACATGATCTCATTCTTTTCATGGCTGCATAGTTTTCCATGGTGTATATGGACCACGTTTTCTTTATGCTGTCTACCACTGATGAGTATTCAGGTTAATATTCTGACATATTTTGAAAGAGGGTCTCTTTATAAGCTCCTTCTTTGTTTTTTTCTCCTGTAACATTAGCTCTTTGGTCTTAAGATTTATTACTAGATTTCTAACAAGTTTTGTTACTATTATCAATTTAATAAATTATTGTTTCTCATTGATTGTTGTTGATATAAAGGAACACTATTGATTTCAGTGTAAACATTTCATTGTGTAGCAACCTCATGTCTAGCAAATGTGTATCCTAAAATTTGTCATAAATTCTACAGATTTTTGTTTTAAGCCTGCTGGATTTTCTTTGGGAAGAGTAGTAGTATTTTGAAATAAGGATAGTTTATGCTTCTCTCACACTTTTGAATTTTTTCTTACCTTTTATGTCACTTAATATATTAGCTAGGATTTTTAGAACAAGTTTAAACTGAAACTGTGATGGTTACTATGCTTAATGTTTTTGTAGGCATTTCATAAATATTAGGCAAGGAGATTATTTAGTACTCCTGATTTGTTCAAACTCATTTGTTAAACCATAATGAGTGATTGTTATCATCAAATATTTATCTGCATCTATTTACAAAATATTGTAGCCTTTGTTCTCTGCTAATCTCATGTGTCTAATAATTTTATAATTAAAATACTTAGACAATTCTTGATAACTATGATTATATAGAAAAAAACACTTTTTTTCTTATTCATATTCAATGCAGGATATTTCTGTGACCAGATATGTAGGTATTTTCCCTCACATGGACCAATTTTATGACACCAGATGCCCTGCAATTTAACTGAGTTCTGACACTCTCTCTTTTGAGATAGCCTCAGATCTCACAGGTTAAGGCTTCAGCCCTACAAGATTGCCCCCAACTTCAGATGCCAATCACAAGTTCAGTTTGTTACTTGTGTTTCTGAATGAATGGGCATAAATCAGAGGTTTTCACAGTCCCCTCTTCAGGTTTAATCATTGGCTAGAGTGGCTCACAGAACTCAGAAAAGTGCTTTACTTACTATTACCCATATATTATAAAAGAATACAACTTAGGGGACAGCCATATGGAAAAGAAGCATAGATCAGGTAGGAAGAAAGGAACACAGAGCTTCCATGCCCTTTCTGGGTGCACCATCTTCTATGTATTTAGTGACCCAGAAGCTTCACAAAACCTGTTATTTTAGGGCAGTTTGGAAGCTTTATTATGTAGGCATACTTGATTGATTAAATAATTGGCTACTGATGATCAACTCACTGTTAGCCCATCTCCTTTCTACAAAGACCTGGTCGGTACTGAAGGTTTCAGTTATCTAGTTGCATAGTTGATTTCTCTGGCAACCAAGCCCCTGCAACCTGTGATTATCTAGGGAATTTCCAAATATCACCTCATTAACACAAACTCAGATGTGGCTGAACGGGCATCTTATGAATAATGAAAAATGATCCTTTCACCTGTGTTGCTTCTGTCACTTAGGAAATTACAAAATAACCAGCTAGCATCAAGATAACAGGATCAAAACCACACATAACAATACTAACCTTAAATGAAAATGTGCTAAATGCCCTGATTAAAAGACACAGAATGGCAAGCTGGATAAAGAGCCAACACCCATTGTTACGCTATCTTTAAGAGATCCATCTCAAGTGCAAAGACACACATAGGCTCAAAATAAAGTGATAGAGGAAAATTTACCAAGCAAATTGAAAACAGAAAAAAGCAGGCGTTGCAATCCCAGTTTCTGACAAAACAGACTTTAAACAAACAAACAAATTATTTTCTTTTTTTTTTTTTTTTGACAGATTGATGTCAGAGTGGGATTCAAAGTAGAACTTCAGTGACTCCAAGGAGCACCAAGTCACCAAAAGGTACTCATTAGGGTTCACTGTTCCCATTTATCGCTCACAGAAACTGAGGTAATGGGTGAGTTCTCTCCTGGATTTGAGCTCCATTAATTTGTGTTTTGAGCTGTTTGACTTTATTTGATCAATATTTACTGGACTTGGTTCAGGAATGAACTGGATTCAAGAACTAACTAGATTGGATCCAGTTAGAGGCTTCAGGTATGTCCAATTTGAGAATGAGTTCCTTGAAATCTAAAGATTCTGGGATGCCACTTTCTGGGACATTGGATAACTTTATATACAAAAATTATAGGCCAGAACCTGTGTATTTCTGGAAAAAATGAGTTAACCTTAACAAGGACAACTTAGAATTATAGCAGCTAGTGGCCTCAGTGGGGAAATTTTACCTAGATAAAATGGTTCATTTGCAAAGTACAAAAAAAAAGGAAGTATCCACAATTACAAAAAAAGCTAAAGAATACATTTTTAACTGGTATGCAGAGATAACTAAAAGATTAAGTGAATCAAAAATTGCCTATTTAAAAGACTTCTTACAGAAAACAAATTTTAAAAACTATTTTTCACAAATATTCATGAAATCTTTACCCATTTGAATATGAAATCTTATTTCACTAGCCAGAAAAACAATTTGGATCAAGATAATCTTTTATAAATTAGCAACTTGTATTATTGTAATTGGCACATGGCTAAAACATTAGAGTGAAAGCTATAAGATCTGTTTCTATCTATTTGTTCATATACATCTGTATGTATGATATGTATGTGTGTTTGTCTTCTGATGATACTGCAAGATTTAATTGTAAAAGAGCTTTACTTAATTGACTTCATGAAAAATAAGTGCTTATATAAATAAAACATTCTCTTGGAAAAGTTATAACTAATACAAGTAATTTTAAGTTCATATGAGCTGAGTAATGTTTGGTAAATAAGAATATTACTGAGTTGATTAAAACCGGCATGTCTTCAGAGTTTTCAGCAGTATATAATACACATGCATAACTTTTCCTACCTAGGTTAATTGGCAAAATAAGCATATTATCTCTATATTATGAAATTTGTCAACAAGAAAAAGAAGGTGATGACCAGCTACTTAGTATCTGATTTTTATAAGAAATCCAAACATAATTGCTAAAAGTGAGTTAAAGAGATTTAATATTCCCATGTAAAACATGTCTTTTCTATATCAGAAGGTTTTAACATTCTTATCAAGAATGAAAAGCAGATGCTGAGGGAAATCTTTACAAACAAAATTTTAATTCTCAGTCCTAGCCAAAACCAGCAAATCAACAAGCAAACCAAAAGCACATAAGAGGATAGAGATGAAATTTTGCCTCATCATCAGTTCCTTATTACAGAGAGACTAGAAATTTTTGGAACCATTAGTAAATAGGTTATTTGCTACATGACAAGCTGCACCATGAAAAAGTACATGTTTCTAGAAATAATTATTCATATATTTGCCAATCTAGAGGTTGTTGGTATGACAGAGAGTTCCCAATTGCTTGCTTCCTTGTGTTTCCTGGAAAGTAAGGTCACTAAGAGATATGAATTCTAACTACTATATGTACCTAAAATTACTAGAAAGGATAAGGAAAACAATTCTATACATGAATATACAAGAAAGCTAAGATGTGTTCATAGTAAGGACAAGCTGTAAAGCATAGGATGTTTTGTTTTGGTAAGAAAAAAAAGAGTAATTTTTATTCTAAAATAGAATGGCATGTTGTTCCAAAATGAGAAGAGAAAAACACATAGGACAAAAACTGAATGGATGGGAAAGTTGTAGAAGGTATATAGAAGATCAATCTTGTGAATGAAGTTTTATGCATGATCAAGCTGGCTTCTAAAAAATGAACATCAATATTAAAAGTATACTTATGCAAAACTAGAATCTGATCCTCTGTATTAAAACAACAAGGCTTCTTAGAGTATTGGTCTACCCTTAATAGAAAATTGTAAAAGGTCTTTACTTTCTAGATAATTGACCTAGAAAACAGAGATTTTATGTTTTATCAAGTTAACTTCCTGTGTTTCTTGTTGTTTTTATTATATTTTTGTTCACTTTAAAAAGCTGAGTCCTCCTTATTAAAAGAGCTAAGTTTTCTACAACTATATAACTTTATTTCCCTTTGAAGACTTTTAATGACCTTGGTTAAATTAATTAATACTGTTTACAGTGACCTGGGATTCTATTTTGTCAAGTGTTTTAAATGTTTGATATTTTTGATAAACTTTCCAAAAATCAAATTATAAATTAGGTATTTTTCTTGACCTCAAATTAACTTTAGGATGTTTTAGATGGGCTTTTTGATATATTTCCTTATAAAAAGAGAGATATTAAACTAATTGGGCTTATTTGATTTATTAAATTATATGGGAAACATTGTTAATTAATGAGTAATGCTAAATCTTTAAGTTATATTTGTTTGGATGTGTTATTAATATGTGTTTCAGAAATTGTAAGAAATTCTTAGAAATCTAATAGTCCTGGTGTAACACTATCAGTCATAATTCCAGTGATTATCTTAAGAGGTTGTATGCAGCAGAAATAACCATACTTCCTTGTCAGGTGCATCATTGTAATAATAATATTAAACTCTCATCTGATCTTAAATTATAGCTATTTTAAGTGTTGTCATTAACTGATGCTTATTTGCTTATTTGCTTATTCTAATACTTTTCTGAGCAGCTATAAGCCTAAAGTGCTTTATCTTCAAAAAGATTCGTGGAAGGAATGATGACAAGTACAAGTATCTGATAACTTTAAGGTCTTATCATTATATTGAGTAAGAATTTCTAGATCTCTAAAGAGAAAACTGATTATTCATAAAATTGCTAACCCAACGTCAAGCAGAATAAGAATTAATGAAATAGCTAAGAAATAATTTCACAGATTTTCATAAGTCAGCCACTACTGAAATTGTTGTTATGAAATTTGAATGAGGTCCATAAGAATGCATCAAACCAAATTACTTATAATAACATTATAACAAACTGTGCTATACATCTGAAATGGAGAAACAAAACTGGTGTTTAAGAGGACGTAATTCTAATGTTAAACATGGATTCATGGAGAGCAGGAATGTCTATTTTATCCTTCCTGAATTCTTAAACTTTCTAGTAACAAATGCTCTGCACTCAGTGACTCATCATGGTAGAGATACAATGACCTAAATTATGGAAAAACTGGTGGACTGTTCTAAGTTTACAAAAATAATTTATCACCAAAGTTTGGATTATCAAACCAATAATTCTGGTAAAACAACAAACATCTCAGGTAATATATTTCCAGTACTTGCTGGGTT
The DNA here is from genome assembly GCF_000001405.40 of Homo sapiens. Classification (NCBI taxonomy): domain Eukaryota; kingdom Metazoa; phylum Chordata; class Mammalia; order Primates; family Hominidae; genus Homo; species Homo sapiens. The sequence goes on along the minus strand of NC_000013.11, from coordinate 38,224,715 downwards.
ATTTGAATACTTACAGATGGATTTTATTAAACTGCCATCGTTTATGCATGTTTTCTGCTTGTATAGAAGCCTTCCCATGCAAAAGGATGATGCTATAATAATAGCTAAAAGGTTATCAGAAAACATCCTTCCCTTGAGGGGCATAGTTTCCTAATGAAGTCTCCAGTGATGGAGTTTCTTGTTTCACTAGAAAAGTTGTAAAATAGTTAAATAAGGTACTATAAATGCAAGGGCATTAGGCAAAGTTAACTGAATTGATTGACTTGCCTTGGGTAAAGGTATTGCTCATTGACAGCAATCAGATCCACTCTCACTGGAAAACATAGGTTCACCATTTCTGAAATAGTTACTGGAAGGCCTCTGCCCCTAATCATAGAACCTTACGTGTCTCCCCCTCTTAAAACCTCCGCCATGATTCAATAGTTCAAAGCTTTAATGCATTACACTAAAGCATATTTCCACCAAGTAAAATAAGCTCTTTGTGACCCACCTACTGATGACAACCAGATCTAAAACCCAGATATTAGAACTTTTGGAAACAACACCAGATAAAGACTGCTCCTGAATTCTGTGTGAAGAGACCGTATCAAGTCCTTCTCTGCAGCAAAACTTTAGGGCCTGGAGACTTGGATCTGCATCTCTGAACTCAAAATAACTGTTCCAGACTCCTAAATGGTATGCCTATTGGATACCCTAAAGTAAGACTGACCAGGAAAGTTTTTCCTCAAAAGCAGATGGCATCCTAGGCATTGACAACTTTCCCAAGATCACAGATCGAGACTTCTCTTCCATCGTGGAAATCATACCTTTATTCCTTCTTTCCCTGTTTTCTATTGTCCTAATCCCTTCTCTTTCCTTACAAGAAAATCCATGGGACTATAACTTGTGCATGGCTTTAGCTAAGACTTATACTCTAACAGTAAACTGGAGACTTTGTTGACTTTGTGGGTTAATGCCCCCAAATCAGGAAAAAATTTACTAATGAATGCCATTACCTCTCTGTGTTCCCAATGAGAGTCACCCTGAATCCACAAAAGCAGAGTGGAAAGTTATCCTTGATATTCTAGATATCGTTGCTAATTGTCTTTTTAAATTCACTGAAAGTCATACCCTTACCTTCCCAATTAATATTCTAATTGCCATCAAACATAGAAAACCTGCACAAATGATGCCAGCAAAATGTATATTGTCTTCCAGACATCATGTAATCAAGATTTGAAGATTACCTATGAGATTAGGCATAACTGGTTGTATAATGTTACTTATTTAAATCTAGTAAGGTCTCTAGATAAGGCTATTCACCCTTCCACTCTGCTACAAAGAGACCACAAAAAAGTAAGTTCCCACTGGACCTTGTTTAGAAGCTATGCGGACTTATGGATGGATGAATTTAACTGACCTCTGTTCAGACCCCACTAGATGGCCCTCTTTTCCAGCTCTCAGGGGCCTATATCAAGTCTGTAGAGAATCTGCTCATTCTTTTATGCCTCTTCACTGGCTTGGATCTTCCTATTTGACCTGGCTCACTCCTGCCTTCTGAATAGCTTTCTCTGAAAGTCTTAATAATACCTCTGATCATCAGAGGTGAAAGTGGTCAATAACCAAAATTAGTATAAACCTTGAAATAGATTAAGATAAGTTAGTGTCCACTGAGTAAAGATTTCAGTGGAGATTCTGGGGGCTCACTCTTGGTGAAAGTGAGGTGATGGCTGCAATGGAATTTCAAACTAATCTATAAATTGGGAAAAATCTTGGATTTCATAGCAAATCAGATCTTCCAGGGTTCAGATGGGTAGAAGCCCCTCTCTGAAAGGTGAATGAGAACATTGGTGCCAACAAAATCACTTAATAGAACATCATACCGCTTTAGATATCTTCTATGCCCATGTTGGGGTTTTGTGTATGGTTTTGAACAAAACTGAATTTGCACTTACCTTTTCCTTGATTTTACTACTACCAGAAGTTTTATTTCAAAGGTGGTTGCTACTGCTATTTCTCTAAATACTGTCACCAAATACACCAAATACATCAAGGAAATTTCTCAGGGGAAAGAAACACATGATGTGTTTATGAGAGCTGATGACAGCTATCTTGCAAGCATCCTAAATAGTGAATGGCAAGGTTGGCCCTTCCAAAGTTTTTAAATTTTCATCCCTTTTAATGGGTCTCCAGATTACTATGTGTTACCAGGCTAATGACAAAAAAAAATGGTACCTTTTAAAATCTTAAAATCAGGTCATTTTACAGCAAAGTATAGTCCTTAATTGCCATCAGGCCCCAAACAAAGAGTATAATCAATTGGACGTATATATTATTGAACTATCTTTATTTTCTAAATTTTGAATCACTTTTTTTTTTTCAGTTTGGGTCATGGAGACTGTTGTAAGGGATGCACTTTAGTTTCTGGGTATTATCTTCTAGATAATACTCATGATAATAGTCTCCCTGATGTGTCATATCCTCTCAAGAATCCTAAATGCTTGTACACAGCCATCCTTTGCACATCAAAAGGTCTCATTATGGTTAGAATAAAGCATAAAATATCATTTAACTAATTTGCCATTGTGAATTTCATACTGAGATTAAACAAGTTAATTATGATAGTGACAGAAAGTGATGTCAGTGCCCAAGGTTTTGGTTAATCTTGCAAAATTGAGAGGCTGCCTAAAAGGGGGGAAAGCATGAAAGTTGTTTGACTAAAGTTTGGCTTAATGCTGCCTCCATTTGTAGTGAACTGTAGCCTAACTTAATAGGTAAACATACTGGAACCTAACTTGAGAGTAACAAGCGACTGAGTCTCAGTCAGTCATAGCAGCTGAACTTTCAGCCAATCACAGGCTGCAAAATTCTCAGACATGTCCACATTAAGTAAATGCTAAGCTGTGACAAATCAGGCTACTTCTGTATACCACTTCCTTTTTCTTTTCTTTTTAAAAAATTTTTAAAAAAATTTTTACTCTAAGTTCTGGGATGCATATGCAGAATGTGCAGGTTTGTTACACAAATATACATGTGCCATGGTGGTTTGCTGCACCTATCAACCCGTCGTCTCGGTTTTAAGCCCCATATGCATTAGGTATTTGACCTGATGCTCTCTCTCCGCTTGCCCCCCACCTCCCTACGGGCCAGGGTGTGTGTTGTTCCCCTCCCTGTGTCCATGAGTTCTCATCAACCCAAATGCTCATCAATAATAGACTGGATAAAGAAAATGTGGCACATATACCCCATGGAATACTATGCAGCCATATAAAAGAATGAGATCATGTCCTTTGCAGAGACATGGATGAAGCTGGAAGCCATCATTCTCAGCAAACTAACACAAGAACAGAAAACCAAACACTGAGTGTTCTCACTCATAAGTGGGAGTTGAACAATGAGCCACTTCCTTTTTCTGACTATAAATACTGCCTGCCCACTTTGCTGAGTAAGCTCTCTGGACCTTTACTGATTTAGTGTGCTATCCAACTCATTGATCATCTCTTTGCTCATATAAACTCTGCTAAATTTAATTTGTCTAAAGTTTTTCTTTTAACGCCTGCCTGCATGGGGCAGGCCATGAGACCCATTAGCTTCTCTGCCATCACTGAAAGAAGATAACTAATTTTGGAGCAAAGACCAATGGCCAGGAATGATGCTGCTCAAAGTTATTATCTCAGATAGGGGTACACATGGAGGGCTAGAAAATCTTTATTCTGAGGTTGTGATTGAGACAAGGAGTTCCTGGCCAGTTTTGCAGGTATGTGTACAAAATACCAGCATGAACTGAAAGGGAAGACTTAAAAATGATCTGAATTTTTAATGTGCTCTCCTACCAACATACAGATCAACAGAAGGAATAAATCGTGTCTTGTGTTGGTTGAGCATACCCTCTATAGCGTCATTGGATGACATTGGAAGCACAGCAGTGACCTCTAAGAACCCAGGTCTAAAAATAAAAACAAGAATATATACATAAATTGAGCAGAGATAATATTAGTGGCTGCATACCACAGTGGAAACAGATTTCAAGGAATTAATCTAGGCAAATAATAAAACAAAAAACAAGAAAACATAAAAACTAAAAAGCAAAAAAGAAAAACAAAAACAGGAACAACAATCTTTATGAGAAAAGATTAGAAACTGGAATTGCAAGAGTATAATGTTTAAAATATCTAGTTTTTAACAAAACCAAAAAGAGATGCAAAAAAAAACACACAGAAAAGTGTGAACAATATCAAAAGAAAAAAGTCAATTAAAAAAAATTTTTTACACTGTCATGAGAAAGTAGAAAAAGTCAATATAAACTACATTTTAATGTTCTATTTAAAGATGTTAGATTTAGTAGGAAAAGAGCTTAAAATGGCTGTTTTAAACATGTTCAAAGAAATAAAAGAATCATGCTTAAAGAATTAAAGAAAAACAAGATAACAATAAATGGAGATTCACATGTAGCAGATAAGCATTATGTAAGAGAAAAAATGAAAATGTCAGATTTGAAAATTACAATAACCAAAATAAAATATTCACTAGAGGAATTCAGTGCAGCTTTGATTTGGGGAAAGAAAAGAGTAAAATTATTCAGTCAAAAGAACTAAATGAAAACTATTAAAGAACAATAAACAGAGTCTCAAAGATCTTTGAGATAACATTAAACTTGCCAACACATGTGTAATGAGATACTCAAAAGAAGAGAGAATGAAAAAATATTTGAGGAGTGATGGATGAAGACTTTCCAAAGTTCATGGAAGCATCAATTTACGTATCCACAAAGCGTTAAGAAACCCAAGTAGATTATACGCAAAGACATGTACACCTAGATATATTACAATCATTCTGTTGAAATCCAAAGACAGAAAACTTAAAAGCAGCAAAAAAAAAAAAAAAAAGTATCATGACATACAGGCAAGCGTCAATATGATTAGTGCCTGACTTCTCATCAGTAACAATGGAGGCCAAAAGCCAGTGACATGACATAATCAAAGTGCTGAAAGAAAAAAAAACTGCATGTTTGATCATCTCTGATATGCATGTTCTAATTCTTGGATCCTTGTGTTTAATGTTATATGACAAAACATAACTAAAAGTACAAATTAAGTTTATCAGCTGGCCTTAAAATAGTGAAATTATCTTGGATTTAAACAGTGAGCTTATGTAACCGCTAGGGTCCTTAAAAGTGGAAAAGATGGCCGGGTGTGGTGGCTCACGCCTGTAATCTCAGCACTTTGGGATGCTGAGGTGGGCAGATTATGAGGTCAGGAGTTCAAGACCAGCCTGGCCAACATAGTGAAACCTTGTCTCTACTAAAAATACAAAAATTAGCTGGGCATGGAGGCACGTGCCTGTAGTCCCAACTACTCAGGAGGCTGAGGCAGGAGAATCGCTTGAGCCTGGGAGATGGAGGTTGTGGTGAGCCAATCATGCCACTGCACTCCAGCCTGGGCAACAGCGTGAGACTCCATCTCAAAAAAAATGAATAAATAAAAATAAAAATAAAAGTGGAAAAGATGACAGAAATTAAGGTCAGAACAATGTGGTCTTGGAAAAAGTCACCTGGCAGTTTTGGCTTAGAAGATGGAGAAAGGGGAAAATAAGCCAAGGGCTGTAGGAGCTGGAATGGGCATAAAAATAGATTGTTTGCTAGAGCCTGCAGAAGGAACTTGGCCCTGCTGACAACCTTGATTTTAGGCCAATGAGACCTGTATGAAACTTCTTACCTATACAACTGTAAGATAATACATTTATGTAGCTTCAAATCACTAAATTTGTGGTAATTTGTTACATTAACAAGAGAAAATTATTATAACCTGTGTTATGGACTGAATGTGTGCCTCCAAAATTCATATGTTGAAATTCTAACCCCAATGTGATGGTATAAAGAGGTGGGATCTTTAGGAGGAGATTATGTCATGAAAGTGAAACCCTTGTAAATGGGATTGGTGCCCTTATAAAAGAGATCCCAGAGAGCTCTTTCAGCCCTACTGCCCTGTGAGGACACAGTGAGAAGAGGGTTGTTTATGAGCCAGGTAGGGAGCCCACACCAGGCACCAAATATGCCAGTGTTTTGACCTTAGACTTATCAGCCTCTAGAATTGTAAGAACTAAGTGTTTGTTGTTGATGTTTTCCACTCTGATATTTTTGTTATAGCAACCTAAATGAACCTAGGCAATCTATCAGTCAAGACTTCCCTACTCAACAAAAATGTCCTTCGAGAATGACACCAATTTAATAAAGGGTGATGGAACAATTGGATATCCATATGGAAAAAGACCCCTATACAAAAATTAACTCAGAATGGATCATAGACTTAAAAGTAAATGATATTACTTTTAGAAGATAATATAGGAGAAAATCTTCAACATTTTGCATTAGGCAAATATTTTTTAGATATAAATCTATATGCATGGGCCATAAAAATAAATAAATTGAATCTTACAAAAAGTCAACACTTTTGTCCTTCAAAAGACACTGCTAACAAAACAAAAAATTAAGGAACAGGCTGGGAAAAAATATTTGTAAAATTCATATCTGAGAAAAATATTCATATCCAGAATATACAAAGAAACTTACACTTCAAAATAAGCTTCAAGAAATTTCAAAATATGGAAACAACTCAATCAAAAAATGGGCGGTGAATTCGTATAGACATATCACCAAAGCAGATAGATGAGTAGCTAATGGGCATGTGAAAATACGCTGATCTTTATTAGTCACTGGGAATGTGCAAGTTGGAACCACACCAGAATGCTATTTTATACCCACTTGAATGATGTTAATTAAAAAAAACATTATCACAACTATTTGTGGGGATGTGGAGAAGTGAAAATCTTCATACACTTCTGGTAGAAAAGTGGACAGACATGCACACTTTAGAAATTTGTTTGACATTTTTCATAGAGAGCTAAAAACAAATTTATCATATAACCCAGCAATGTCACTCCTGGGTGTGTTTAGTCAGGAGAAATTAAAATATATACCCACATAAAGATTTGTGTACAAATGTTCTCAATAGCATTGCTAATGGTGAGAAAGGATCCCAATCCTAGCTGTCATTTACCGTTGGGTTGATGGACAGAGTATCGGTATCTCTGCAGTACTAATGCTCAGCAGGGTGCAAAACAAATTGCTGGTGTGTATATAACACAGATAAAGCTCACAAGCATTATGCTTGGTGGAGGAGACCAGAGGACAATTGTAGAATTCCTTTTTCATAAAATGTGTAGATGAAATTCTATGGAGATGGAGAGTGAATTAGTGTTTAGCTTGGGTTGAGAAGTGAGGTAATTAAGGAACACAATAGATCTTATTGGGGTGGTGAAAATGTTCTAAAATTGTTTTATGGTAATAGTTGTATAACAATGTAGATTTACATTAAATACTTTAAGTTGTGCAATTGTAATGGTTGAATTATATGATAAGCAAAATACACCTTCATAATTTTGTTTTTAATGAAGGCAAATGAAGATATTCCCAGAAAAAACAGAACTAGAAGGATCTGTTGCTAGGGACACACCTTTAAAAATGTACTAAAAGATCTTCCGATTGAAAGGGAACAACTCTAGCTGGTGACTAAAACATGCAGAGGGAAATGAAGACTACCCTAAATAGTAAACTTGGATGCAAATATAAAAAACTATATAAATCTATTTGTCTTTTTTTCTTTAAACTACCTTAAAAACATGAAATTGCATAAAACAATAATTATGGCCCTGTGTTACTGGACTTATTTATTTATTTATTTTGAGACATGGCCTCACTCTACAATGGTGCAATATCAACTCACTACAACCTAGAACTCCTGGGCTCAAGCAATCATTCTGCCTCAACCTCCCTAGTTGCTGGGACTACAGATATGTGCTACCATGCCCAGCTTATTTTTTTTAATTTTTGAAGAGAAAGGATATCACCATGTTGCCCAGGATGGCCTTGAACTCTTGGCCATAAGCGATCCTTCTACCTTGACCTCCCAAAGTGCTGGCATGAGTCACTGCACCCAGCCTGGACTTATATATAGATGTCCTATATGTAACAATAATAGCATATAGAATAGAGGAGGAAATGATGCTGCAGTTATATATTTTAGTGGAGTTAATGTAGTATTATTCTGAAGCAGATTATGATAAATTAAGATGCACATTTTAATCCTTACAGCAACTACTGAGAAAATAATTTGGAAATATATAGTTAATACATAAGCCAAAAAATGAGCAAAGGAATGAAAACGAACACTATAAAATATGCACTTAGCATGCAACAAGGCAGTCAAGGAGGAGCAGTGGAACACAAAGACAGAATAGTGCCCTAAACATATGCAAATAAAAGTCCATTGCAGTGCTGTACCAGCCAAACCAAAGTCATCTTCAAGTCTAATCCAGTTTAAGAAAAGTTTGGATTAGGATCCTAACTCCATCACTTTCTAGCTGCATTGCCTTAGGCAAACTACGTATTTTCCCAGTGTTCCATTTGTTTAATAGGGTTGATAATAGCTTCTTTATGGAACCATTGAGATGATTATATGTAATTAAAATTTAAAGAGAATGTAAAGTGTTAACACTCTGCCTAATATTTTATAGATTCTTATTAAGCAGAAGCTACAATAATGTTCACTATAATGATGAATGCCACTATTGGTGGTTGTTTTGTTGTTATTGTATTATTGTTGCTATTTTACAGTCAAATTCCTGATTTACTATTCCTAAAAGCATCTGTCCCAACACAGAGGAAGGGGAAAGAGTTAGCCTGCTCTGATTGATTCTGTATTGGTATGAATAAGATCCACAGTTCTTCATAATATGAATGTTTCTTACCATTCCACAGCAGTTTTGAGTATGGGACATTAACATTTTGTGTGATGTGGAGGATTGTTTCAAGTAGGTGCTCTATACATATAATAATGTTTTGCATGGTAACTCTGATCCCTCATTGACTGCATATGACTCTAGGAAGTATTACAAAATCTCTTATTACATGAGGATTTGAAAGGGGTATCAACTGTTCTACCCAAGGTATTAGTTTATAAAGACCTTCATGATAATTCTTATACTCATAAACAATCAAAATAATAGACAAGATTCTATAAACTGTACTCTCCCAGAAAGCATAAACTTACTTGTGGTAAAAATATGATTAAGTGCTTAACAAACACCTGTTTTATTTAAGCAATAACAAATGCATGTACATCCACCACTTGTTTGTAGAACACATTTATTTATTTAGCGGAATTGCCAACTGGGGGGAAATTGCATCTAAACACCACTTAACAAATATCCTTGTTCTCTAAATTTCCATAAGAAAGATGTTAATGAGAGTTTGTTCATTACAAAACCTTGCAGCTGAATTATCTGGGCAATAAAAGGGAAATGGCATGGATCATGAAAGGGATCATGTCACAGTGACCAAACTGAAAGCCCTTGACAATTTCCCACTCTGATGTCCAGATGTCAGATAGTCTTCTGGGTCCTGGATGCCTCCAGCAAAGGGTGTCCGTAAAACACTCTAACGTTCATAGTGGATGGCTGACTCGTCAGGTGGGCAGTCATCATGGACAACCAAGCTGCTGTATATGAAGATTGACACATCTACTAAGTGCAGCGGGCCTTCTTCTGGGTATGGTGATGATCAGTTAGTTAAACATTACTGTTAATTAAATGGTCCTCTCTTCAGTTGTTCATCTGGTACAAAATTTCACACTGTAAAATAATCGTGACATTTTCTTTGTTATGACCATATGCGAAAACCCTTCACTTACCAGATAATTCAGCTGTGAGGCACTGCTATAAATTTACTATCATTAAGATTCCTCTTTTTTTTAATGATACTTTAAATTCTAGGGTACATGTGCACAACATGCAGGTTTGTTACATATGTATACATGTGCCATGTTGGTGTGCTGCACCCATTAACTCATCATTTACATTAGGTGTATCTCCTAATGCTTTCCCTCCCACCTCTCCCCACACCACGACAGGTCCCCGTGTGTGATGTTCCCCTTCCTGTGTCCAGGTGTTCTCGTTGTTCAATTCCCACCTATGAGTGAGAACATGCAGTGTTTGGTTTTTTGTCCTTGTGATAGTTTGCTGAGAATGATGGTTTCCAGCTTCATCATGTCCCTACAAAGGACATGAACTCATCCTTTTTTATGGCTTCATAGTATTCCATGGTGTATATGTGCCACATTTTCTTAATCCAGTCTATCATTGTTGGACATTTGGGTTGGTTCCAAGTCTTTGCCAGAGCAAAGATTCCTCTTAGTACCATTCAAAAGGTCCCAAATGGGGCTGATCTCCAGAATCATCAGTGGAGTTTTTGAAAATACCAAATCTTGGGCACTGCTTCAGACATACTTAATTCCTTTGGAGAGGCTCTCAGGAAAAGGTATTTTATGATGATCAATAGAATTTGTCAAAATATACTACAGAGAAAAAAAAACTCTCTATAGCCTGTAATTTTGATATATTGTTTCATTGATACTTGGAAGAAAATTCCATTGCCTAAGATTTGCTTGTTATCTGAGCCCTGACAATGTACTTGTTTGGAATAATTCAGGGAGAAAAGTTGAGCAGAGCAGGTAAAAGACCCTTAAAGGGAATAAATTTGAGCCTTCCACTTGTACAGACATTTCATAAGTGTTAATTAACTCTGTAATGATTATTGGGCCTCAACATCCACATTGTTGGAGGCAGGTGTCCATTCTACACAAGGGGTCGTACTTACACTTTTAGTTGCCTGTTGCAACAAGAAGTTTCAAACTGTTTTCTGCCAGTGGCTGCAAGTCTACATGAGTGCCTCAGAGCCACAGCTAACGTTGAGAAGTGTCACATAGATGGGAAACTGAGCCCACAACTGAGCCCACTGCCCACAACTTAATCCAGAGACAATCTATTCTTACCAGATTTTATGTTAGGAAAGTTTTAAAAATAAGTATTTGAAAACAATGTTCTAGAACAATTAGCCTCCAGAGTCTTTACCTAATCAGACTCCCAAGAAGTGTACATTCCTACCTTACTTAAAAAGATTGGAAAGCTCTATTACCTAATCTTTATGTCATTCAATTTGTCTAGCTACACTTTTTCCCTGGGTGATCTTAACCATTCTCTGGCTTAAATCATATTACCTATATAGACTCAATATGTTGATGACTTTCAAATTTATATGAGTAATGCAGGCCACTTCACTGAGCACCAGGTCATCCTACTGCCTATTCATAATCTTCTCTTGGATGGCTAATATGTTAGTCAGAGTTCTCTAGAGAGACAGAACTAACAGGATAAATGTATATATGAAGAGGAGCTTATTAAGGAGTATTGACTCACACGATCACAAAATAAAGTCCCACAATAGGCCATCTGCAAGCTGAGGAGCAAGGAAGCCAGTCCAAGTCCCAAAACTTCAAAAGTAGGGAAGCTGACAGTGCAGCCTTCAGTCTGTGGCTGAAGTCCTGAGAGCCCCTGCAAATCACTGGTGTAAGTCCAAGAGTCCAAAAGCAGAAGAACTTAGAGTCTGATGTTCTAGGGCAGGAAGCATCCAGCACAGAAAGAAAGATATAGACTGGAAGACAGCAAGTCTGCTTATTCAACTTTCTTCTGCCTGTTTTATTGTAGCCACACTGGCAGCTGATTAGATGGTGCCTGCCCAGATTGAGGGTGGGTCTGCCTATCCCAGTCCACTGACTCAAATGTTAATCTCCTTTAGCAACACCCTCACAGACACACCTAGGATTAATACTTTTCATCCTTCAATCCAATCAAGTTGATACTCGATATTAACCATCACAGCGATAACTGCCTCACAATATCTTTATCTTTCTCCATCTTATGTAACACATCCAAAGAGAGCAACTCTTCTCCACAGAGTAGCCCAAGTAGTATTTCAAAAGGGAAACCAAATTGTGTCATTGCTCTACTTAAAACTTTCTAATATCATAACACTTAGAATAAGTTCAAACTCTACTTGTAATCTACAGACATGTAAGGTATGCATGAATCCTTCCTGCAGGGGTGTTTTGCTGGTCAATATGCTATTTCTTGGTTTTAGACCCACTCTTCTATATTCTGCCTTATAAAGCTGGGGATAGGACTATGCTAATTACATTACTAGTTTGCTGGCTGGACTGGTGGTTTCGTAGAGTAGTCATTTAAGACACCATTATGACAAAAGTTGGGTAACAGTACTGTTGTGGGAAGTCAGAGACCCCGAACGGAGGGATAGCTGGAGCCACGGCAAAGGAACATAAATCTTGAAGATTTCTTGGACATTTATCACTTCCCTAATAATACTCTTATAATTTCTTACGCCTGTCTTACTTTAATCTCTTAATCCCGTTATCTTCCTAAGCTGAGGATGTATGTCACCTCAGGTCCACTGTGATGATTGCATTAAGTATAAAAATTGATTGTAAAACATGTGTGTTTCAACAATAGGAAATCAGTGCACCTTGAAAAAGAACAGAATAACAGCAATTTTAGGGAACAAGGGAAGACAACCATAAGGTCTGACTGCCTGCGGGGTCAGGCAGAATAGAGCCATATTTTTCTTCTTGCAGAGAGCCTATAAACGGACGTGCAAGTAAGAGAGATATCGCTAAATTCTTTTCCTAGCAAGGAATATTAAGACCCTAGGAAAAGAATTGCATTCCTGGGGGAAAGTCTATAAATGGCCACTCTGGGAGTGTCTGTCTTATGCGGTTAAGGACTGAAATACACCCTGGTCTCCTGCAATACCCTCAGACTTATTAGGGTGGGGAAAATAACCGCTCCCTGGTAAATTTGAGGTCAGAGTGGTTCTCTGCTCTCAAACCCTGTTTTCTGTTGTTTAAGATCTTTATCAAGACAATACGTGCACAGCTGAACATAGATCCTTATCAGGAGTTTTTGATTTGCCCTTTGCCTTGTGATCTTTACTTTGCCCTTTGCCTTGTGATCTTTATTGGCCTCAGAAACATGTGATCTTTGTTCTCCTTTTTGCCCTTTGAAGCATGTGATCTTTGTGACCTACTCCTTGTTTGTCCACCCCCTCCCCTTTTGAAATCCTTAATAAAACTTGCTGGTTTTGCAGCTCAGGTGGGCATCACAGACCTACCAATATGTGATGTCACCCCTGGCGGCCCAGTTGTAAAATTCCTCTCCTTGTACTCTTTCTCTTTATTTTTCAGATCGGCCAACACTTAGGGAAAATAGAAAGAACCTACATTGAAATATTGGGGGCAAGTTCCCCAGATATCTGGTGCATGGGCCAGGGACAATGATTTCTGTCATGTACAGTGCAATTTACAAACCTCCTACAGCACTCATTTTCAAACTGCTTTCTGAGGATGCCTTCCTGTCTGTGTAAGCACCTTAGTAGCTACAACAATGGTAAAGGGAGTAACCAACAGATGGGGCTTTATGAGTCTACAGAGAAGATTTGTTCTTACTTTAAAAGTGACCAATTTATTTCTCCCATTGCCAGAATATGGAAAGGGAAATGGAAGGGTTGACCCTTATTAATCTCCCTAACAACCCATTCACAGAATTTTTTGGTTTCTGTTTCCACAGCTTTGAAAGCTGTTGATTTGCAGGTTCTACTTGCCAACAGAGGAGTATTTCCATCAAGGAACCCAACAGTGATTCCATTGAATTGGAAATTGAGATTGCTTCCTAGCCGTTTGGTTCTCCACATGACAATGAGCCAATATATAAAGAAGAGGGTTAACATACTGGTTGAGGTGACTGATTCTAATTACCAAGGAGAAATTGAGCTGCTTTTAAGTAATGTGGAATAGAATAGAGGACCTACGTATTCTCTGGGGTGGGTGCCTTTTGCTACTTCTTGTTTGGTAGCAATCATAAAAGGTATAATCATTGTGGCCTCAGACAATTCGAAAATGAAGGTTTGAGTCACTTCACAAGATAAAGAATCTTGGGAAAAGCTGAGGTCCCCACTGAGGTAAAGAAATCACGGAATGGGTAGTACAGATGGAAGTAGGAAGTAGAAATTGAAACTATTCATCTCAGAGACTCATCATTAGTTATAGGAATGAAGGCAGTATCAGTTATGAGTAGATTCTTCTATTATTAGGTATGTACTTTTGTTTTTATTAATGAATATGACATTTCTTTTCTTTCCCTTCTGCCATTTATTATCATAAATAGGGTTGTTCTAGTGGTTAACATTATAACATTGTGTTTAGTTTCAGAACATTCAGATGGGACTGTTACTGAATTTGGGGAATAATTCACACCTTCCAGACACATACCCTGTGACTATCATCTAGCAATGAATGAAATGACCTGGGACTTTGGGTCTCCCCCTTAGGAGGAGAGGATGAGTATGTCTTAATGTGTTCAAAGAATAATTATTAGGAGAAATTGTTGGTTGAAAGTATAAATTTTTTACTGTCATATGGACCTTTGGATATATTTAGATGGGATACTGATTAGCCAAATAGGTGGACTCTACTGCTTACCAAGCTATTGTCTCAGCTATACACCTGCCTTCCCCAGGTTGGGTGCTCCAGAAGCAGACACTGAGACTGAGTGTAACAAGCAGGGCATATTAGAAACACTGGTAGAAGGACAGGTGGAAGGTAGGACTGGTATGAGGGAGAATTGGGCTGCAATAATTGTAACACAGAAATGATAAAACTCTGCCTAGTGCCCTGTGGAGCTGTAGGTTGTATAGAGCTCATTACAGTTGTCTCACAGTAAGCCAAAATGGTGGAGCCTTTATAAGCTGAGGAACAGTCATCAGATATGGGCTATCCAGGAATGACCATGTTCTTCGGTGAAGCAGCTTTCAGCAGCCATGTTCCGCTCTGAAGGAACTACAGATGAGACTGCTCATAACACTCCCAGCTTCTGATCTGAGCAGTGTGGCCACATCACCCTCCTCTACCTTTATACTCAGTTTGTGAAGCTTGGGCTAGAAAACCGTATGTTTTGCCTTGTCATATGGTTTCCTATTATGTTCTCATGAAGAAGAGTACTAGAGGGAGACTATAAGAGAGAAGGAACTTATGCGTTTCTTATGCCTTTCTTTCTTTCTTCTTTTTTTTTTTTTTTTTTTTTTTTGAGATGGGTTCTCACCCTGTTGCCCAGGCTGGAGTGCAATGGCATGATCTCGGCTCATTGCAACCTCCGCCTCCTGGGTTCAAGCGATTCTCCTGCCTCGGCCTCCCAAGTAGCTGGGATTACAGGCGCATGCCACCACACCTGGCTAATTTTTTATGTGTGTTTTAGTAGAGACGGGGTTTCACCATGTTGGTCAGGATGGTCTTGATCTCCTCATGATATGCCTGAATCGGCCTCCCAAAGTGCTGGGATTACAGGTGTGAGCCACTGCGCCCAGCCCTCTTAGGCCTTTCTTTTTTCTTTCTTTCTTTTTCTTTCTTTTTTTTTTTTTTGAGATAGAGTCTCACTTTGTCACCCAGGCTGGAGTGCAGTGGCACAATCTCAGCTCACTGCAAGCTCTAACTCCGAGGTTCACGCCATTTTCCTGCCTCAGCCTCCCGAGTAGCTGGGACCATAGGGGCCTGCCACCACGCCTGGCTAATTATTTTTTTGTATTTTTAGTACAGATGGGGTTTCACCGTGTTAGCCAGGATGGTCTCAATCTCCTGACCTCGTGATCCACCTGCCTCGGTCTTCCAAAGTGCTGGGATTACAGGCGTGAGCCACTGCACCTGGCCCTCTTATGCCTTTCTTATTGTGCTTACTGTTTTCAGCAAATTTAGTGCCATCTAGTCAAACTTTGCCTCAGCAAATCAAGCTGTGTCGTGGTAGAGGAATTGTAGGTATAATTAATAGGTTTATAATATGAAGCAGAGAAATGCAAATATTTTCAGTCTAGCTGCTAGCAATTACTAATTATAAAAAGGTAGTAACAAAGTTTCAGTAAAAGCTTATAAAACTATTTCAAGACTTTTAATACTAATCCTGTGTGAAAGAATAATATAAAGACCTAAGTCAGTTAATATCTCAAATCAAGAGAAATCCTTGGACATGTTAGATTACTTTACTCATTTTTGTTTGAAAGACAACTACATTATTTCTCCTTGATTTTTATCTCTGACTGGAATATAATAAAAGCATAACATTAAGCTTATGTGAGATGAGTTAATTTTCTCATAAAAAGCTTAACTAATTTTAACTTCAAATTTTCCCTATACTAGTTTAGTGGTCAGGTATGTTATTATTACTTCCATTAAATGTAACTGATGTCACTTGTTGATTACCTCTAATATTTCAAAATTAATTAAGAGTCTTAGAAATTGTTTTATGCTGGCGTTAAGTAACACAGTTTGCTTTAAATTAATTTATAAAATACAGAAATAATCTGATAATGAAGGAAATATATGTGCTTACCTCCAAAGACAATTAATAATTACATTGAATTTATTTTGCAATTTAATAATATATTTAATTATCAATTAACCAATTTATTACTTAATTTCCTGTGGCATAAAATTATCAAAATCTATGACAAGCAGTGAAGGATATTTCTATTTCATTATGTACTATTTTTTGTGCCACTTTGTTCAGAGAACTGTTGTACTATCTGTAATTCTCAAGTTAGTAGGTCATAATTATGCAAACCAGAACAAATTCTTTAAATAATATGCTCTTCCAGCTGATCGCTCTAATTTTGTTAAAAGAATCATATGGCAAACCAGAGATACTCCAATTTAGACAGCAAAGAAATAAAATGCTCAGAATAATTTCCCACTTGAGCACTATGGTGGACAGCCTTTAAGGTGGTCCACTTGAGTCTTACCTTCCAGTAGCCAAGCTTCTATGAGATGCTTTCCTCTTGTGTGTGGGTGGGACCTTTGACTTCTTCATAAGAAGTAGATTGTGGCAAAGGTAATGGAATGTGTATGATTAAGTGTGCTTGAATATATATAGTGCTTAACTTGCTAGAGTTGCGCGCTCTCTCTCTCCTCGTTTGCTCTCTCTCTCTCTCTCTCTCTCTCTCTCTCTCTCTCTCCTTTGCTCTCTCTCTCTCTCCTTTGCTGGCTTTGAAGAATCAAGCTTGCATAAATCCTATAAATATCCACAAGGAAATAAATTGTACAAATAACGAGAGGGAACTGGGAAACAGATCTTTCCCCAGTTGAGCCTGTAATGAAATCTCAGCCTGGCTGGCATTTTGATTCCAGCCTTCTCAATCACAGGAGTCATCAGATACAGATGACTTGCACCTAGACTCAGTCCACAGAAACTGTGAGATAATAAATATGTTTTGTTTTAAGTCACTAAGTTTGTGGTAATTTGTTATTTCAGCATAGAAAATAATATAAGCATTATATAAGTGATCTTCATAGACTATGCCTTGAGACTTCTCACAAGCTTAATATATCATCGGGGCATTTACAGATGATGACTCTAGAAACTGAGATTTAAATCAGTACTTTTTGCAATAGGTTAAACGGAGACATCACAACTCATTTAACTAAGGACTCTAAATTTGAATTTTACTAATTCTAATAATATTTATAAATAAGTCAATTTCTTAATAGTCTTGCTGGGGGAATCTAGGATTATTATACAACAAATAGGAATGATAGCAATTGATGTTAGGAACATAACTATCTGGGATGATGGCCAGATATTATATTGAGTGTTTTCACAACCTTTTTTAAAAAATTATTTTACATAGGTTCAGTACCAATCAGTCTTCTTTTCTGCCAGGATATAAATGGGCAAAACAACTCTACAACCAAGGCAATATTAGCTATGTTATATTTAAAAATATCTTATTTAATTGGGTATAATTGTCCTGCTGTTGGGAAACAGGTGTCATACTTCGAATGTGGCAATGATGACTATGACACAACAGTCTGTTAGTATCACAGTGCTTATGAAGTCACAGCAATTTTGGTGGTGAATTCTGTGACCTTAGAGAAATGAGGAATACCTGCACATTATTGGTACTGCAGACAAAATCTCATGGAGATAAATTTTCTGTTCTTATTTCTTATCTCCAGATCTTGATGCATTACCAAAGAGAGGTATAATAAAACTCTGAAACATTACAGGCCAGAGAGAAAGCAACCTGTGTTTCTTATGTTTAATCTTCAGATTGTAGTTAACATTATTGCTTTAGCATTTGTGCCACTCTATATGACTTTTAATTAACCCTACAACGAAGTATGAATGTATTTATTATACTTTTTGATAGGCCTAAGTAGATATTTCAAAATATAAACAATATAAGTGCTCAACTTCATAGATTCACAATAAATATTGTCATTTAAAGTTATTTGACTTGGAATTTATCTGAAAAGTCTTTCCTAAAATTGAAATATTAGTTAAAGAAATACAATCATTGAATATACAAATGTTGCTTTTAATCACGTTTGCTATTTTATTATAATTTCACTGTCTGTAAGAATGTTAGTAAGCTTTTTACTAAGCAACACATTCGATGCATTTCTTAACACAAAATTCTAATGAGAATGATCAACAGTGGGGAATGGAGAAAAGTTATATTACGTGTTTCACAACATTCCGAAAGATACTGAAGAGGTGTTAGTTGATCTTTATTTGATAAATATTTCTATTAACTGACCTTCCTTTGATACATTTGGCACCTTTGGGCTTATTGACTCTTTAATACATTGAGTAACATCTAAAATTGAGAAGCTTATTATGTGCTTCTCAACCATGTTACTCATTGTTTCTGATTCCTTTCAGCTCTGTATGTCAGAGATTATTAGGAAGGTATTTTTGTTGCTTTTAATTTTTATCAGGGGGTGGTATCTGTAAATTAAAAGAATCACCAAATATTATAAATAAATTGCACAGATATCCGAACATAACAAGGTTAATTATTTGCTTTTCAAGAAAATATTTTTAATGTAAATTTTATTTATTTGTTTACATTTTATTTTAAATTTTTATGGGTACATAGCAGGTGTATATACTCATGGGGTCAAGAAAATGTTTTTTAAAAATTTCTTGAAAGTATTCAGCAAGAAAAACATTCATATCCAAACACATAAGCAAAAACCAAGTTTTTCTTTGTAAACTTAAAGAAATGAATACACTCCTAGGATTTCTGAGGGAAAAATATAGTCAACATAAAAATTCATAGCTAGGTAATAATCTAATTCATGTTGAAGTTGAATGGAAAATTATCAGATATCCAGCAGCCTTTCTGCATATGTACTTTGTTGAAAATGTGTTACTTAAAGAAGTACTCTAGCCAACCAAAAATTCTCAAAAAAATTCAATACGAATAGGAAATGTTACTTTAACAAATGGAAGTGATAAAGCAAACCAGGAAAACATGGTGTTAAGTCTAACTTACTATTACTAATATGATTATTTAAATGTTAAAATATAAAACAATTCCTTACAAAATAATGCATATAAAGTGAAATTATGCCAGGGCTGAATCGATTAATAGCTTATGTATATAAAATTCAGAAATTGTGTGGAGGAAATATGGCAAAAATATCTTAATGAAAGTTAACTAAAAATACATCTTTATTTTATCAAAATAAATATGAAATAAACATGATAAAGAATAAAATTCAAAATAAGTATGGTAAATCCTAAATATTTTATATGGTTTAGAAATAAATAAGTGAAATATCTAAAAAGTAACAAAGAACATTAGTTGAATATTTACAGAAGAAACAATAATGGAGTTGGATATAAAGAAATGTTCACTAAGATTTACAGAGAATTATAAAATCAGAATATAAATTGGCTTTTGCCTAAAAAAGTTGTTTTTATTTATTTTTATTATGTTTCTTTTTCTTCACAGTAGCAGTTCCCACTATAAAAAAGTTGTTTTTTTAAAAACTATTATTTAAAAACTATATTCAGTAATGATATTGTCATGTCTCAGCCAGGAAACCCTTCCCATAGACAACAATTATAAAATCTAAGCAAAATATTTACTGTAAAACTATTTGAAGACACTGGCTGATAAGTGACTAAAGCTGGAATAAACTGCAGGAAAGATTACTCCCAAAAGGCAGCAGCTGTGAGAGGTAAGAATTGCAAGTTCCTGGTTATGAAAAATATTAGAGCATTCCCCATATTTTCTGTTTCCAGTAGCAGAGAACAGCAGCATTACTGAATTGAGGTAGTGGAGAACTGAGAATGTCTTCAGCAGAGATGAAATCAGGGTAGGCTCATGGAAGTGAGAGAGCCACAGAAAGAATAAGACATAAAATTGACTCTGGATCCATTTTGTAAGCAGCCTTTTATTTTTTTTCTCTATATGTAATCAGACAGTCTTACTCCTTTAATTGAGATAGTTCATTTACATTTATTATAATTAAAAATGTATTTTGGTTAAAAACTACCATTCTATAATTTGTTTGCAATTAACCTGCATGTTTTATGGCACTTTCCTTTCCTTTTGTAGCTTTTGTATTAATAAAATCTTTCTATTTAACCTCTGCTATATAGACCTTTTACATAATGCTATCATATGACCTTGCTGAATACACACACCACACACACACACACATACACACAAACACTCTTTAACTGTACTTTCAGAAGTTACTGATGAGATTAAAACATGTATTCTTGACTTATACAGTCTAACTAAAATAATTACTTTTACAACTTCCCCACTAATGTTAGGACATAAGAATAACTTCATTTATCCCTTCCAGACTTATTTTTGTCATGCATATTAATTCCAAAATATTTTAACTTTTATGACATTATCATTTTATATTTATCTATATTTGCCAACATATTTGTCTTTTCCAGTACTCTTCATTCCTTTCTGCAATACTGTTTGTGACTGAAATCATTTTTCTTCAGTCTGAAAAAAGTCCTTACAGGATTGTTTTCATAATTATATGCTGGCAATAAGTTTATGTTTGATTAAGATAAATATTTTTGCTTTCATGTATGGAGCACACTTTTGGTAGATAATGAATTATAGATTGGCAGTTACTCTCTTTCAGCACTTTCATAGTATTATTTGCTTTCTGTCTTTGATCATTGGTGTTTGAAATCATTTCAGTCTCACTGTTGCTTTTTTTTAAAAGTGATGTATATTTTTCCAAGAATTTTAAAAGTTTTTTTTTCTCCTTCTCATTTTCTTAAATAATTTAACTGTGACTTACCTAGGTGGGCTATCTTTATATTTATTTGATTTGGCATTTCTAGAGCTTCCTCAAATAAATGGTTGATTTATTTCAACCATTTAAGAAAATTTCTAGCCGTTATTATTCCACTGATTGCTTTTGTCCCCTTTTCTTGCTCCTCTCCATATGGTACTCCCATTGCATGTGCGTTAGAATTTTTAACTGGATTCTATACATCCTTTCTGCATTTTTCATCATTTTCATCCTTTACTCACATTGTACTTCAATTTTGACATTTTCTATAAACTGTTTTTCAGTTACTAATTTTGTCTTCTTTCATACCTAATTTCTAATCATCTATTGAACTCATGTATGACTTAACTTGAAATGTGCTATATATTTCTAAAACTGCCTATTGATTCTTCTTACAAGTTTACTTCTCTGGTGAAAGCCTCTATTTTTTTCATCAATTTGTCCTATCACCCCCATAATTGTATTAAAATTTTAATCATGTTAATCAATCATAAAATACCAATTTTAAATACCTTATCTACTAACTTCAAGATCTTGATCAACTCTGGATCTAACTCTATTTTACGTCTTTTTTTTTTTTTCTGGTTTCTGTTATATGATGGTCCTGTTTCCTGGAATGCTTGGTAATTGTTTATTGACTGCTTGACATAGTGAGTAAGAATTGTAGAGAGACTTTATAATTTTAGCTTCCACCGAAGAGATGATTCATCCATTCCACAACTTGGCAGATATACAGGGGTAAAGGGAGGCTAATTAACTTCATCTCATCAGGGCTGAGCTGCGTCTACACTGGGCTGTGGTTTGAGTAAGGCTCTGGCCACGTACACCTTGCTCTTGGCCCTAGAGTTCAGCAGCTAACTCTTCCTTGATTTTTATCTTTACCAAGTACTCCCAGGAAAGAGATTGACTACAGAGTGTCAACTTAGCTCTCCCTAAACGATTTTCAATCCTATCTTTCTGTGTTATTTGTCCCCCCTTACTGGTAAATCTTTGTTTTTCACATAGGAATTCTGTAAGAAATATGCTGATATGTTCACCACATGCTTTCAGGTCAATCTCTTGGCTTTCCATTTCATGCCACTTCAAATGTGGACAGACAAATGTCTTGAAAAGAACACCAACTATTGAAGCCCCTCAAGTCTCAATACTTTCTTCCTTCACTTTCCTACTGCCCCTTGTAGCTACCAAGGGCTTTGCTGGCATCCTGCTCCCCGGGAGTAGCCCTCTCCCATAAGCCCAGATTCTCACTACCCAAGGCTTGTGACTTCAGAAGAAAAGCAATCACAGATGATCACCTCACCTCTGAGAGGTTCTATCTACTCAAAAATTTTAGTGCCTGTAGTTATCGTTGCTCCTGAAGCACCCTGATTCCTCTAAACATATTTTTAAAACAAATTTTTATGAACTTTTCTAGTTTTTTATAGCAACATTGTTCTGCCACAAATTGCCCCATCCTACCCAGATACAGAAGTCTCTCAATTATGTTTTAAAGTTTCATAAATGAAATATAAGTATATTAATATTTTACAACTATAAATACAGTAAGGATAAGGAAATAAAATTATCACACAGAATAAATTTGATTTTGAAGTGTGAGAATAAAAAAATGATTTCATATGAGATTATGACATATGGATAGATGTGGCAGAAGGAGAAACAGGCATAAGGAACTAGTATCTAGAAACCCTTAAAATACATAAGGCATTGTTACTATCCTACAAATGTTATAAGCATTATCTCTAATAATTAATATATACTCTGATTATCCTCAAAACAAACATCCCATAATAAAGGAAAATGTATTTTTGTCGCCTTTGAAGATTTTTTCTTAAGGGAGTCTGCTCACACATTGGGCTGTGGGGCACAGATACAAACCACATCTTTTATATTTTCACGAGTTACTCATGATTATCAAGTTGGGATTAGAATTGTCCGGAGATGACACATTCTATGCCAAAAGAATATTCTTTTGCAATATTTTAGGACTTTCTTCAGAAAACTCCTTTCACATTTCAATAAAGAAGAGAATGTGAAAAGGGGCAAACTTGCAATGTTTTTTCTTAGGCATATATACGTAAAGTTTTCATGTATTTTATATTTTTAGTACGTGCATAAAAGACAATAGGGAAATCTAAGAAACACACATCACACATTTAATTTACAGTAACTGCTCCGCTCTGTTTTTGTCTTTTTTTGTGCTCACCTTTTTTGAATTGTCTTCATAGATTCTCTCACAAAGTCACTTTACTTTCTTTTGCACCAATTAATTATCTTCAAGATTCCCACCAAAGATGGGAACCAGCAAGAATGCTTCCTGGAACTAAACCAGCGAGAGTGCTTCCTGAAACTTGAAAGAAGTTTTACGCATGTTTTAAAGCAATGTAGACATTTCTACAAATATTCCCATCCATGTTACAGTATATAAACCAGATTCAAAGCACAATGAAAGAGTTTTTGTTTAAGCATAAATGTCTTTCTTGTAACATGAGTAATTGAGGGTCATATCCGAGTACAGCCCCATATGAAGAATTGAAAAAAAAATAATAAACTCTCATTTGTAAGTTGGCATAAACTGGGAAATAAGTTGGTGAATATAAGAATGTGTCAAATTATTCTTTTAGTTCTGTGATTCTGATAGTTTTAGAATTCTGGGAGCAGAAGGAATAAATTTTTCTCAGTCCATTTAATGTGTGTTGGGGTTATGAGCAGAGAGCCTGCCTTCCATTATCAAGGCAGACTCCCATGGAATTCTTTATGCTTTTTTTTTCATGGAATATGGATTTGAGGGAAATTTTGAATGGTGCATTGCAGATGAACAAATGTTGTTTGTGGTTGAATGTTACATTACAGATGACAAAACAAAATTACACTTATTTTAATATGTGCATACAGATTGTCTATTTTTAGACACCAGGAGATTGGGGAAGAAATAAGGATATAAAATAAAAAGTGAAATCAATGATAAAAATATTTATTGATGTATTTTAAAGTTTCGGTGGGATGATTTTTCAAAAATATATAAATTACCAAATTGTCAAAATTAACAGAAAATCTGACATTCATACCTAAAAGAGATGTTTAGAAACTTTATAAACAACTAACACACAGGGATCAAATCATAGTTATAATTCGAAAAAAATATTTAAGGAGGAGGGAAATGACGCAAACCCCAATGTCATTAATATTGAACTTCATTCACTACAAAAGGTGGGTAAATGGTTATTTCTTCTCATCTAGTGTCTTCCTGCACTAAAGTTACTTTGTTCCCTTCCCCTTCCCCTTCCGCTTCCCCTTCCCCTTCCCTTCCCTTCCCTTTCGATGGAGTCTCACTCTGTTGCCCAGGCTGGAGTGTGGTAGCACTATCTCGGCTCACTGCAGCCTCCACCTTCCGGGTTCAAGCGAGTCCCCTGTCTCAGCCTCCAGAGTAGCTGGGATTACAGGCGTGCACCACCACACCCAGCTAATTTTTGTATTTTAGTAGAGACAGGGTTTCACCATGTTGGCCAGGCTGGTCTCGAACTCCTGACCTCAGATAATCCACCCGCCTCGGCCACCCAAAGTGCTGGGATTACAGGCATGAGCCACCACGCCTAGCCTAAAGTTACTTTTCTTACATTCTGTCTTTTTAAATTTTTTGCACTTTTATTACTTTTTTAAACTAATAGCTGCTTTCATGTAGTTTGACAATTGTATTATATTTTGAGCTGTTATATATATTTCTCTTCTGGAAAATGGGGAATCATACACATCCTTCCCTCATATCTTCCTAAAGCAGCTATGAGTCTAAACCCATTTTGTAGTGCTGGTGATCTTAAAATATATTTAAGGGATGTATAACACACTATGTAATATCTATGATGGTAAAACCTGAAGAAAACTAGAACTTATTTTATTTGTAACTGGTCTAAAATGTTAAATAAAACATGAATGAGAAAGGTACAGTACATCAAGAAGTTAGATTAGAAAAAAAAAAGTTTAGTTGAACTGAAGAATTAATTACAGCTTTCTTCTCATTCCAGATCCACAGTCTTCAGGTGCTGCACAGCAGCAGAGTAATTGATCTTTTTAACGCTAGTTCATCCTCTCAGACACTTTAGCCCCTTTGAGGTACCCTGTAAAATACTGAGGTATATGAAAGAATATTTCTTTTTAAGTACTACTTAGATTTTATTTCTTCCTAAATTTCTTTCCTAACTACTTTTATCAGATGGATTATAAACACTTTCTACTGAAAATCACCTGGAAACTTGAGATAGATAGCTGTGCCACATTAACTGATAGTACTCAATCACGCCCACCTCTCCTGAGGTGACATTTTCTATATTGATAGAAATCAATCACGCCCACCTCTCCTGGCTGTGACATTTTCTATAACTAATCTAAAAGACTTCCTGTTGTCTACTACCTTTAATTAAGTTATCTATCACAGGCAACCTTTTGCATACTAATCACTTTTTTGTTAATACTGTATCTTTTTGTAATGTTTTTGAAGACATTTTAAGAAACAGTAATCCAAATTTAAGCTAAAATTCCAAAGCATGTATTACTTCCAATGAATATAATTCAACAGGGGTATGAATTGATGGAGAGAAAATCTTCCACTTGGCCTCAGTATTAAGGCTTGGGTTCTTGCCCTTGTTTGTAAGCCTACTTAAATTTCTGCTTCCAGTCCTGTTCAGTACCCCATAAAGGACTTTTGTATGAATGAGAAAAAAAACCACTGCTTCTGGCAACTGCAACGTAATGGGCATGTAGCTTGACAAACACATCACAGGCTACATTTCAGACTCCACTTACCCTCTCCATCAGGCACCATCCTGCAGGGCACACTCTGAACAATTGTATGCAGTGAACTTATTTGGAACCAATGACATGCTCATCTGATAAAAAGCACAACAGTTAACGTAGTTACAGGTGAGAACTCAAGCAGCTTCACTCCTTCAAGTGCTGGTTCTTCTGCCTCAGAATTTCCTTAGCTTTCCTTAATTCAAAGTATAATTAATTAGATATAATAGGACAGATTCTCCTTAGGCATCAGTGTCCACATAACCAAACTAAGAAATACATCTGAATATGGACATCTGATGAGGCCACTTGAGAAGCTGATCCCTAGATACAGTCCCTGGACCTCTGATTTTCCTGTGAGATCCCAGCACTCTCTCCTTGCATCCCCAGGCCTCCATCATACAGGGTAGAGGTGCAGGATGGAACAGCCCAGTGGTCCTATAACTTCCAGCTAAATAGAGAAGACTGTCCTGAATGGCCCACCATTCTCTGAGATTCTAACTGCATTGGTCTCATCAGAGTTCACATGGATATTTACCTTAGGCAGCACAGTATTTCCAAGACTTCCAGAGGATCCATCTGTATGTGGACTCTTATTCTTTCCTACCTTATTAAAACCCTTCCCCTGTGTCATCTCAAACTTCAGTTTTGTCACCCTAAAACTCTCCTACATCCCCAAACCCTTCCATAAGTGTTTTCTTTATTTTGAAAACCTCCTGCCCCACAGATGAGTGTACTTTCCCTTCACACTCTTCAAGTCGAGATTTGTTTATGATTTTTCACTTTATGTACCTCAAGGCCTTGATGAGGTTATATACACCCTATTTATTTCATGTGACTTGACACTCTATTTATTAAATGTGACTTTATTCTTTCTCATACTGCCCCTTCAAGTCCATTCTCTCAAGTTGTTCTTGCCTGTGTCTTGGTAAAAATCACAGGACCCATAGATTTTCCTGGTGATTCTCAGTTACTTTTAGGTAATACAGTGCCCATTGTAGTTTAATGATCACGTAAGTGTAAAACTTCCCCACCTTCCTGGTTTGTGACTACAAACTGTAGGTGAAAGGGAGCTATAGTTGGCTTCTTCATTATTCTTGCACCAACTCTGTCACTGCATGTCACCACCTGCTGCTTGGGGCCTCTCCAGGGTTCTAGTGGAAGAAAGGAGAAGTGATAAGGGAAAGAAAAGCTGTTACTTGTCTGGTGCATGTATAATCTAGCATGTTGCATTCTGTCCGTCAGGTGACACAACTCCCACCCTTTCTCCTGTGGGAGCTTTGGTGGGTTCTCAGGAGACGATTCCTGGGTATCTCTCAATTATGTTATTTTCAACCTGGGAAATTCTGCATCTGACTGGCCTTGCATAGCTCTGGTTTACCGCGCCCCCCCCGCACCCCCACCCCCCACCGCCGCCTTGTTTTTCTTAAATATTTGCATCTTCTTGGTCATTTCACATTTCCAGGTAGGCCTCTTGAATGAAGCTTTCTCAAGACTACTTAATTTTGGTTCTTGGATAAGAGCCATGTCTGGCCACAGGAAATATCCGTATATTCTGGCACCTTAAAGTCTTAGACTAGGCTTATCAGTAGCCCTGTTTGCCCAGGAGACTTACCCAGTTTCATAGCTGAAAGTCCCATGTCCTGGAAACTCCCTCAGCCCTGGGAAAACCAAACCTCTTGGTCATTGTGCCTTGAGGTACAGAAAAATCCTCCCTTCTCTGATGCCTGTAGGGCCAGCTACAACCAAGCCATCTCACATTTACATTCTAATAGGTAGGAGGCAGATACCTGTTCTTATAATATTCAAAGCCTAAAGACTAATGCTAAGCTCCCTCCAAGCTGTTCTTTCTGAAGATGTTTCATTTGACTCAATGAAGAGGAGGCATCCACTTCTTCCCCTCACCATGGAAGTGGGGGACAGAACACTCAGCTCATGAAGCAAAGGTCTCCAGGAGAGCAGATGATGGGCTAATGCTAGTGCAACCTGTTTCTCAGTCTCACAGATATCCTGTATACCTGGTCTGGCACCTTGCTTTAGAATATGGGATTACTTGAACCAGTTGTGGTGTTGCTGACTTTTGAGATCTTTACCAAGATGCTGAGTCAATAAGAATAATATTTAATATTATATTTCTAGACCTAAACATGAAGTTAGTGTTCTCTGTTCCTTTAAGTCTATCTCTTCTTCCTTCAAGATTAACAGTGACTTCGAAATGTCTGACATCAGATTAGCCACTTGATAATCTCCTTTGTTGCTTTTAAAAATGGCTACCAAGTCTTAGGTAGTCATTACAAGAGTTTCCCTATCCCAAAATCATTTTTAAATGTTTATTTTTATGTTATTATCTAGTATGTGTTGAATTCAGAAAAATATATGGTCCTCACATATTGCTCCTCCTGTATTCTTTTTCATTTAAGTACAAGATTTATTTTTTTTCAAAAAACAATTATAGTTTATTCTTAATAGTAAGGTGTAAATATATGTCGAGTTTATTTTCGAGAATGCTAAGCTTGACCAAAAGGATATTTGCAACAGATTTGAATTTTCAGCTCAGGCAGCTAGGCACATTCAATAGTTTTTAACACAAGCATCCGACCATTCCATTTTAAACTCCCCAGTCAGAAGCCTGTCAATGACTCATCTCTATTTTCTCACAAAGATACATATGTATGCACACACACAAACACACACACATTCATAAACACTCTGAATAATCTGAATATAATGAGTTTGTTGTGAATTTAGAACAGATTTATTTTCTTTTTATGCATTCCCTTTCTGATCACTCTACTTCCATCTCAGGGGAAGAAGACATCTTTAAAGCAAATCCTATGTCCATCGTGAATCATAAGAAGACAGCAATATTCAGTAGGAATTCTCAACCATTCAGACACTCTTCAAAAACCTCCAGACAATACAATGATAATTTTTAGGCTTGGGTTAAATAATCATCTGCTATCTGCCATTAGATACCTATTGCATAAAAATTTCTTATTCTCCTTTGTTACCAAAAAACAGACATCGTTAATTACGGAGCTGAAACCCAATGCAGGTAGTTATGGTGCTTCTTTGAGAGGTAGTCTTATAGCAAAAATACAGCTCATTCAGGAGAAAAACATATAAATGAATTCACTTTGAAGGTCATATAATGATATCTAAAGAATGTGCTGGTAAATACATTCATTTACCCAAATGTATCATTTTGCTTCAATTATAATTATATGTGAAAGGCACATTAACTGGTGTTAAAAGCTGAGAAATATAATAAAAATCACTAAAACACATGAGAAATTTATGACACCAAAGATTCAAATAATTTACAAGTCCTGAGAAGTCATTGGTAGCTACTGTCACCTCCATGCTCCAAATGGTTAAGGATCACACAATTTAAATTTATGTGTGGAATCTCAACTCTACCATATTACAATTGCGTGGATTTTGGCAAATCAGTCCCAATGACTAACAGACTTCCCACTTCTTAACATTAAGAAATGTTTTTAGTGAAGCTGTTTTTTAAAAATACAGTGTAGTGACAATGATTTGGGGGGCTGAGAGAAACATTGCACTAACAGTATATAGTGAATAATTGCGTATATTTTTAGCCAGTCTTACCTGTAAAGTATCTCTTAGTATGTGAAGCTAATTAATGCAAATATGATACATGTGAACCTTCTCTCAGGTGTAGCTATAGAAAGATAACAAGTGACAGTCACTGAAGTACTTTCTCAAGAACCTCTAGCATAACTTAACCAGCACTTTACTTTGGGTGAGATGATATAGAAAAATACAAATGGCTAAATTTTTACAACTGCCAAGGCATATATTTGTAAAACTTCCAAATATTGAAGACAAAAGAAGCTATAAGTCAGAGGAAAAACAGGTCACACAAAAATGGTTAGGTGCCCAGATGACTGGCTACTTTTAATAGAAGCACTGAGAGCTTGAAGACAGGGGAGACATGGTTTCAAAAATCCGAGGTTAAAAACATTTCCAACCTAGAGTACTATACTAAGCTAATATTAGTCAAGAATGAGGATAGAAAGATGACACACACACACACACACACACATATATATAGTCTCAGAAATTTAACTTTTTATACATTCCTTCTGTGTTCTGCCATAATAAGGAAGTCAATTACTAGGTTGGTACAAAAGTAATTGCTTTTTTTGCCACTGAAAGTAATGGCAAAACTGCAATAACTTTTACACCAACATAATAAAAAGAGAAATATAAGCTACACCAAACAGGGGATACAAACAAACGTTATGGATAAGGTGAAGGGATATCCCAGGGAAGCAAATATACATCTATCTCACAGAGTAACCAGACAAAACTGGAATATGTCAGAACCTCTGGGAGGGATGATTCCAAAAAGAAGACATTGATGCAATACCTACTGCATTTGCATGGCTTTAAAGCAAATTTAGATAATTATTGGAAAGCCAGTGTTTGAAGTAACAAGAAATATTTAGTATACTGAACAAATGAAAAAAAGAAAACCATGGATACTATTAGACCTGGGGAACAACAGACAAAAGATTTGTGCAAGAAAGGAAAACTAGTCATGGTGCAAAATATTGTTCAGTTGTGCATAGCATGTGTAATTTTAATAATACAACCACAGAAAACTGATATAACCAAACTTACCATATAAAAATATTGAGAAGGTAAAAAAAAATAAATGTATTTGGTGTGTGTATGATATTAGATTAGGGGTTGATATTGGGAGATCAGTAGAAAATGTCTAGTATTAAAAAACCAGGAATTAGTAATATAAATGAGCTTAGTAGAGATGTGGAAGTAAATATCTAAAGAATAAGTTAAAGAGTTTCAAGTAGTTGCTTTTAGTGAGGAATCTGAGGGAAAGGGAAGACAAGGAACTTTTCCTTATTTCCTAGTTGATCCTTTTCCGTTCTGTATCCTTCCTGTCCTCCTCAGGCTTTCTGGAAGGCTGCCCTCTATGGTTTACAACACCCAGACTCCTTTGCCCTCTGACTTGCAGCTGGGTTTGTCCAATGGGATGTACTAGGAGGATATTTAAATATTAAAGTGCAGGAGGAGAGGGAGATAAAAGTATTTGCCTTTATCCCTCCTATTTTCTGACTCTCTATTGCACTAACAAGAGTCCCCCTTCCAGGCTTGACCTCTCACCTTAACAGAACTAATGAATGTATTTGCCTTTATCCCTCCTATTTTCTGACTCTCTATTGCACTAACAAGAGTCCCCCTTCCAGGCTTGACCTCTCACCTTAACAGAACTAATGAATAATTTCAAAATTTAAATAGAAATAGTCAGTTGTATAACCTATGTTTAATTTTTCATTTTAAGCACCGTAAAATCTTAACCATTGACATATTAGGCAGTTTACAGTTAAAATATATTTTGAATAAATGCATGTATACTTGCCTAATGCAATAGATACAAGCTTGAATATTTGTTCCAGAGAATTGAGACTTGGTCTATTCCTGGGAGCTCATTTTTAGACTTGCCTCTGTGCTTTGGTGGTGCAGGGAGACATGAGCATGGCTGAGGATTCTGTCAAGATTGCTGAAATCAGACACTACTTGAAGATATTAAGGGACTTTATATTGTAAAACCCTGGAATCCTTCCCAGTCCACCCTCAACTGACTGGAGTGCACCCATGCACCCTAATATGTGCACACACACACATACACAGACCTGGGAAAAAATGAGAGAACCTACCTACACCAAAAAAAAAAAAAAAAAAAAAAATACAGCCAAGGACATGGACTATGCCTCAGGTACTGCAAAACGTAGAGGGAACAGACACTGATAATGTGACAATTTACATTTTTCAATATTAAAGAAGAAAACTCGAGGCTTTGTATAATATTCTTAAGGAATTATTGTGAATATATAATATATGTGAGCAACTACAGTAGCCTTATCAGTAAACCTACCTTTAGCTGAACTTAATGATGATGAAAGTACAGTGCTGACCTGTCTACCTATACAAGCACTTATTGGTAATTTGAGAAAATGCAAATTCAAATGTCTACTACTGGGCCACTGGCAAAAACAGCTACAAGAGGCTGCCATAATAATCTCTGAAAGCAGTAGTTTACAAGAACAGGTCAGGATGAGGTCAGGGAAGGAGGGCGGCAATGATGATCATAGTTGATAAATACTGACACTGTCTTCATTCCATACATTGTATTGTACACATTTAGTCTACCCTGAGTAGTGATCCTCAACCTGCTTCTTCATCTTTTTCTCCAAACACCAATCTAAGAGCATATGGACAACCTATTTGTATGTTTCTGTTTGAAAAATGTCTATAATGTAAATTGGTTAATCTGTCTTTATTGTCCTTCCAAATCAGCTCGCTGTGCTTTAAGATCCACATCTTATTCTATTATCTGATATACATAGAAAACTACTTCTAAAAATAATTTCTGTAACTTGCATGGTTCCTCAGATGCTGAATAATAAAACAAGACTAATTTTCATATTTTATGTCTTAATGTCTCATTATAGTTAATAATATTTGGGAAAATGTATAAACTGGGGAAGAGTTCAATTTAGGAAATACACTATGTCTTAATAAAGCCACAAGATAAATTGTGACTTTGCATTATCTCTTTTTCTACTCACTGTGCTCACCCTTTTTAAGAACTCAAACTGGCTGGTTTTTATACTACTTTTCAATCTCATGCAACAGATACACACTGATTACTTAGCGTTTCCCAGGCACAATGTTAAGGAACTCTCATTGAGTTGACCCCATGTCATCTGACCTCAAGGCCAGTGCTTAATCAACCACCATTCACCACCTCCATTCTAAAGGACTTGTGATTAGTTGCTCAAGACATTTCATCATTCTGAAGGTGAAATAAAAAGTAGTCCTTTATTCTATGATTTAATACAGAATATACTTATCTTCTTTACATGAAGTCATGTATTCTCCTTAATGAGAAACAGGTGGCAGAAATACAATGTTATAATTGAGAAACAGGTGGCAGAAATACAATGTTATAATTGAGAAACAGATGGCTCCTGTAGTAGGCAAATTAATGACCTCCCAAAGATATTTAAGCCCTGCCAGGCTTAGTGGCTCATGCCTCTAATCCCAGCATTTTTGGAGACTGAGGCAGGCAGATCCTTTGAGGTCAGGAGTTCGAGACCAGCCTGACCAACATGGTGAAACCCCGTCTCTACTGAAAATACAAAAAAAAGCTGGACACGGTGAGGCACGCCTATAATCCCAGCTACCTGGAACGCTGAGACAGGAGAATCACTTGAACCCAGGAGGTGAGGTTGCAGTGAGCGGAGATCGTGCCACCGCACTCCAGCCTGGGTGACAGAGGAAGACTTTGTCTAAAAAAAAAAGATATTCAAGCCCTAATCCCCAGAACCTGTGAACACGTTACCCTATGTGGCAAAGGAAACTGTACAGATGTGATTAAATTAAGGCTCCTGCAATAGGGAGATTATCCTGGATCATCCAGATGGGCCCAGTGTAATCAGCAGAGTTCTTACAAGAGGGAGCAGGGGATGTGATGACAGAAGAAGAGGTTGAGTGATGTAGCCATGAGCCTAGAAATGGGGGCCGACTCTGGAAGCTGGAAAACACATGAAATAAATTGATTCTTCTCTAGCACCTGCAGCAGGAACACAGTTTTGTCACAGCTTGATTGTGACACTTTGTACTTCTGACCTCTGAAAATGTAGGAAAATAAATGTGTTATTTTAAGCCACTGAGTTTGTGGTAATTTTGTTACAGCAGCAGTGGGAAATTAATGCAATTTCTTTTTAGTTCGCCAAGCACAAATCGCCTTACATGTGACTTGCCAGATTATGAGGGCACAGTGCAAACAAAACACAGTCTACTTTTTATCCACTAGGTGCATATATGTTTACTCTTTGTCTTTTAGTCTTACTTACTGATGTGTATGTCATTCATAGACTTCTAAAGCAATCTTTCATTTCTTTCTCAACTGTAGTTGGCCTTCTGTATCCATGAGTTCCATATGAGTGGATTCAACCAACTGTAGATTGTAAGTATTCAAAAATTGTTTTTCACAAAGTTCCAAAGGAACACAGCAGGTGCATCACACATAAATTTTATTCTATCTGCTTTTTCAGCACTCCAGGAACCAATTAAAGCCAGACAGATGTTAAGTGAAAACTAAACCATTTTGTTAAACATGAAAAGGAGTTAGAGTAATACAGCATATATAGAGTATAACTTATATGATAAATATTGTAGGATATAGTATGTATATGTAGTGCATTTTTACATATATGGTGTAAAGGTAAACTATTTCATAATGGTAGACTCTAGTCCTTCCCATTCTAAAAATAAAACTTCTCTAAGAGTTTTATTATTTTCTTCATTTAAATTTCTAGAAAGAAAACTTATGTCAGCCTTTTCATTAATATATGGAAGGATAGATATAATTTTTACTTCTTTTCGTTCATCTTTCTATAGGTAGCCACTGTTTCAAGTTATAGTCTTTCTAATTTTTCTTAAACACTATCTGGTTTTCCTTCAAATGCATTTTATATAAATGATCTTATCCAAATATGTATATACCATAAACTGTACATAGTTAAAATGTACAATTGGACAAGTTTTGACATGTTGCTAAGTCAGCAACCATCATGAAAATGAACATAACCTTCTGCCCCCTCAAAATTTCTCCTGCCCTTGTGTAATTCCCCTCAGGTACCCCCTACCTTCATCTGTAGACAACCATTGAACTGGTTTCTGTCACTTTAGATTAATTTACATTTTCTAGAATTGTATATAAATGTCGTACCATATGTTCACATTTTAATCTTGCTCTTTCCTTCAGTACATTTTTTTGGGATTTATCCTTGCTGCATGTATCAAGAGTTCATTTATTTTTAATGCTAAATAAGATTCCATTCTATGAATGTATCATAATTACTTTTTCAATTCACTTGTTGATGAACATTTGGATTATCTCTAGTTTTTGGCTATTACAAATTAATCTGCTGTAAACATTCAGGTAATATGTTTATATGGGTATATGTTTTCATTTCTCTTGGGTAAATACCTATGGGTGGTATGATCATCATATACTAGGTGGAGAAAACTTTTATTCTTTTCATTTGGAGACAAGGTCTGGCTCTGTTGCCCAGACTAGAGTGCAGTGGCTTGATCTTGGCTTACTGCAACCTCCAACTCCCAGCCTCAAGCCATCCTCCCACTTCAGCCTCCCAAGTAGCCAGGACTAGAGGTGTGACCACAATGCCCAGTTAATTTCTGTATTTTTGGTAGAGATAGGGTTTTGCCATGTTACCAAGGCTGGTCTGGATCTGAGCTCAAGCGATCCGCCCCACCTTGGCCTCCCAAAGTGCTGGGATTATAGGCTTGAACCACTGTACCTAGTCCTGCCAAACTTTTAAAAACATAATTGTATTAATACTATTTTTCATTCTCACCAATAATTATACAAGTTCTAGTTGTTTCTCATTCTCTCCAAAACTCGGTATGATCTGCCATTATATTGGTTGTATACTGACATCTAATTTTATTTTGCATTTTCCTAATGACTATGAGGTTCAATATCTTTTTATCAGATTGTCATCCACTTATATTCTGTTAATGAGGGCTCTGTTCAAATACTTTGCCCATTTAAAAAAATGAACTGCTGATATTGTCTCTTATTGAGTTTTGAGAAGTATTAGACAATTGCTATTTCTTTTTACTGAAATATGTGATAGAATTAATCAGTGAAGCCATATGGGCCTGGAGTTTTCTTTGTGGGGAGGTTTTTAACTAAAATTCAATTTCTTGAATAGATATAGAACTTTTCTTGCTATCTTTTTCTTTTTAGGTGAACTTTAATAGACTGTGTGTTTCAAGGAATTTTTCCCACTTTATAAATGCTATAGAATTTATTGGCATTAAGTTGTTAATAATATTGCTTATTTTCCTTTAATTATCTGTGGCTTCTGGAGCGGTGACACTTCTCTTACTACATATAATATTGGCAATTTGTGTCTTCTCTTTTGTTCTTGGTTAGTTTGACTATTTTATTAATTTCCTGATACTCTCCAGTCAAGTGTGGATTTCTCTTACTATGTGATGTCAGTAAGTGTTCAAGTTAATATTATTTCTTATTGTTTCTAACTCATTGAGTTAGAATAGCATATTTTAGCTCATTATGTTATGAATAATATACACTCTACTATATTTTTCTATATGTAAATACCAATATCTGAATTTTCTAGTATAGTGGTGCATATTATAGAAAGAGGGGCTCTTTGAGTAAAAAAATATGGATTTGAATCCTGAATAATATCCATTATGATTTCCAGTTATCTCATGTGTGAATGAAGATAATAATACTTATCTTTTAGTCACTGGGAAGACTAAATGAGGCAAACTACATAAAGCATAGTAATTGACACATAAAACATCAATCAGTATATAATATTATTTGATTTTAATTAATCTACACTATTGTATTGTTTCTGATTAAAATTCAATGAATAAATATTTATTAATCTCCTAATATGATTTTTTCAGACAGCATGTTATGTTTTTGCATTCAGAATTATAAAAACAATATTCTTGCCTCTTAAATTAGACTTTATCAGAATTCCATTCAAATGGTCAGAGCAAAAAAATATCAATTATACAGTATTTGAAAAACAGACTTTTTGCATTAATATAGAAGTTTGCATGGCTTTGCCTTTAGAAAGAAAAACATTATGGCTCTATTTTCCCCCTTCTTGAAGTGCCTTGCCAATCACATGGCACAGTGATATCAGATAGCAATGGCAGATGTCATTACGAGGACAGCAGACACAGTAAAAACTAGATTACTTCACAGGACATAATATGCTTTCTTCAGGAATAAAGAAAATCATGCAATGGAAGAGAACCTAGAGTAGAAACAGAATATTGCAAAGATCACAAAATATTCAAGTGTACTTCTTTTTTCTTTAGTGACAGAAATATTTTAATATTACTCAGGCTGGTCTTGAACTCCTGGGCTCCAGCCATTCTCCATCCTCAGCCTCCTAAGTAGCCGAATTACAGGCACATGACACCACGCCTGGCTCCAGCATACTTTTTGAGTGCATATATGACCCATAGGAACGCTAAGAAATAGTTTGCTGTATTTGTTTTAAAGAAATTAGAGGTCCTTCAATGGTGGTTGGGGTCTGAAGGTAGTGAACTAACATGTGGAAGTTAGAATCCTGCATTTGTATCAACAGAATCACGGTAATATGATTTCACAAAAAGACCAACCATAAATATGATGTCAAACATTTTCTTAGAGAAACTATTATGGTATCGGTTAAAACACACACAATTAGAGACTTTGACTATTTTTAAATCTAACAAGCCAACGTCACATGTTTAAATAATACTTGCTGATGATACTTAGAATTCCTGCTCCAGCACCAATCTCTCTTCTCTCACTTGGCCTTCATACTGCATATTCAACTGCCTTCTAATCTAGTGGTCAACAGATACCTAAAAATCAACATGTCTAATTTAGAAACAAATTTTGGGTCTTTTTTGTTCTTGTGCCCAAATTTTTCCATTTCATTCTTCTCCATTTTGGTAAATAACACACTGAGATTCAGGCCAAAAATCCCTACTCATCTTTGATTTCATCTTTCATTCTTTTTTTCCCCTTCCTCCCTTTCTTCCTTGCTTCCTTCCTACCTTCCTACTTTCCTGCCCTCCTGCCTTTCTTCCTTCCTTTTTTCCTTTTCTTTCTTGCTATATTCTAGAAAACATAGCAATGCCTAGAATGTAGTAATAGCTCAATACATATTTATTAACTGATTGGATGAATGAATACATAATTGATAATAATTAGAAAAATGAACTATTGCACTGTGAGCTTCCTCTGGATAGATATTATATCAGGGTTCTGTGGGAAGCAAATGTTGAGAACCAGTTGGAAATGCAACATTTTTATTGGGTAGGTAGGGGAACTGATGGAAATACCTGTGAAAGAGGGAAGAGAAGGAAGCCAGATTGATTAAGGAAAGCCTTCAGACCACAATGCAAATGTGACAGCTGAGAAAACAAAGGGGGCAGGAAGTCGAATTTTCTGGGGAGACCTTCAGACTGCAAAATAGATTTGACAAGATCTTGGGTAGCCAAGAGGAGAACTTCAGAATAAAGATTATTCATTATAGGACTTCTCT
Source organism: Homo sapiens (assembly GCF_000001405.40). Classification (NCBI taxonomy): domain Eukaryota; kingdom Metazoa; phylum Chordata; class Mammalia; order Primates; family Hominidae; genus Homo; species Homo sapiens. The sequence continues at coordinate 38,186,710 of NC_000013.11, read as the reverse complement.
ATTGGGCAGAAATGGCCAGGCCCTAGCAGCTCTACCATGCTCAGTCGTTGGTTCAGAACTGTCCAGAAAAAGTGCAGCCTCCATTCAAATTTTGTGGCAGAACCGAATGGTGCTACTGCTGGAAGCACATAAGTATCTGTTGTCTTCACAGTTACACAAGCATGATCTTGAAAGAGCTCTGAGAAAAGAACCTCTAAAGCTTATCTGTGTGTGTCTCTCTCTCTCTGTGTGTGTGTGTTGTTTGTTTGTTTTTTGAGACGGAGTCTGGCTGTCTCCCAGGCTGGAATGCAGGGGCGCGATCTCAGCTCACTGCAAGCTCCGCCTCCCGGGTTCACGCCATTCTCCTGCCTCAGCCTCCCGAGTAGCTGGGACTACAGACGCCCACAACGCCTTGCTAATTTTTTGTATTTTTAGTAGAGACGGGGTTTCACCTTTACCTTGTTAACCAGGATGGTCTCGATCTGCTGACCTCGTGATATGCCCGCCTCGGCCTTCCGAAGTGCTGGGATTACAGGCGTGAGCCACCGCGCCCAGCCATGTGTATATATATTTTCTAATTCATTGATAACATACTCATATAAAGTACACATATATTAAACTTATAGCAACTCAGGGAAATTTTACAATGTAATCACATTATGTAATCACCACCAAGGTAAAAATATAGACAATTACAAGGAAACTCAAAAGCCTCTACCCTGCCCAATTTCAGTTATTAATCCCCAAAGGTAACCAGCATAAATTAGTTTTGTTTGCTTGTGAAATGTTATTAATGAAATGGTACTGTATATGCTTCTTTGTGCCTACTTTAATTCATTTACATTTACATCGATAAAACTCACAAATGTGGTCATCTGTGACAGTAATTCCTTAACTATAATTGTTGAAAAATAAAGATATCACCATGTATCTATAAGTGCATGTCTATTTATGAAAAGAAAGGCAAGATATGCCAGCTCTCTGAAGCTTAAACTTCCTTACTCTTATTTCATAAATTTTCCTACTATATTTTGCATTCACTTTGGAAAAAATAACAACAAACATCTTTCTCAATTGTTTACTTTTTTAATAGATGTTCAAAATTGATAGTGCAATTGCTCTCATCATTATGATGCATCAGAACAGAAGAGCAGCTTTTTAAAAATATAACGTAACAGTCACTTCCCTCAGAATTACAGATTCAGTAGGTCTAAAGTGTAATTTGTAATTTGCAAATCACTTTTTAAAAATAAGTAGTTCAAGGGATTCTCTGGCTGTGGCTCAAACACTGTCTCCCAACCACTCCTATAATCAAGTACTCTACCTTCCGGAAAATGAAAACCCACTCCATTTTTTTTTATACTTGTAAGAAATATACTTTCTGTGGGATTTGTTTTCATCTTTCCCCATACCAAAATATAGGAAAGTATAGAAACAAAGAGGAATTGATATTCCCTTCAGGTTGACTAAACTTTAGATAGTTATTTTTTCTGACTATAGGCCCCTAATTTATCTTTTCTCAGAGCTTTTACTTTGGGAAACTTGCAATTGCAAATCCAATTATTTCTTTGCCTTTTTGAGATGTTAAGTTTCTTCTCATCTCTTGCCAGTTTTACAGTCCAGAGATGTCTTTCTCAAGTACCTGGAAGCCAGCTCTTTGAAATGTAACATCAAGAATACAGTGCTCCATTATGGAAAACAGTATGGAAGTTCCTCAAAAATTTAAACATAGAACTACCATCTGACTCAGCAATCCCATTTCTGGGTACATATCCAGAGGAAATAAAATCATATTCCCAAAAAATAGTTGCACTCCCATGTACATTGCACCATTATTCACATAGCCAAGATAAAGAACAGCCTAACAGGTGAATGGATTAAATAATGTGAGATGTATATGTGTGTGTGTATATATATATATATATATGTATATATATATATATAATCCCATGTGTGAAAACAATGTATAGATATATGGCTATTTGGATATGTATGTGCGTGTGTGTGTGTGTGTATATATATATATACACATACGCAATGGAATATTATTCCATCTTTTTTAAAAAAGGATATCTTTTCATTTGTAACAACAAGGATGAGCCTGGAGAACGTTGTGTTAAGGGAAATAAGCCAGGCATAGAAAGACAAATACTGCATAATCAAACTTATATGTAGAATCTTTAAAAAAGTCCAACTCCTAGTAACAGAGAGTAGAATGGTGGTTACTAGGGGCTGGATATAGTGAAAAAGGAAGATATTGGTTAAAACGTACAACCTTTCAGTTATACAGTGAGTATGTTCTGGAGACTTAATATACAGCATGGTGGCTACACTTAAGGATAATGTATTGTCATTAATGTAATGTAATGTCTTGAAATTTGCTGACAGAACGGATCGCAAGTGTTCTCACTACAAAAAAGGCAATTATGCGAGATGATGGGTATGTTAATTAGCTTGACTGTGGGAATCATTTCACAATGTATACATTTATCAAAACATGAAATTGCCTATCTTAAATAAATAAATATATATAATTTGTCAATCATACCTCAATAAAGCTAAAAAGAAGAAAAAAGAAAAAAATAGCACTCCTATCTCCCAAGCTCTGTGGGAGTGTAAGAAGTTACCTTAGATAAATCCAATTAGCATACACAGATGGCCTAAATACATTGACCAACTTCACTCCTAATGTCCTCCAGTACTTTCCACTAGCTCAGCCCAGCAAATAAAAATTTCCCTGCTTTGCTTTAGCTGAGTTTAATCTCTCTTCCTTACTGCAATAGTCTTAACCCCTGTGGCAATTGTCCTGAATAGAGTCTTTTCTTGCCTGATTAATTCTGTTCAGTGCAATTCCTCTTTGGTAGAGCACTAAGGGAAGATTTCTATATTTTTCCCAAATTTGTAGAATGGGAATTTATGTTGGATACTTTTTTCCAAACTGCTACAATTTTGTGAAGCTCATAGAGCTTTCAACTTGGCTTTGAGAAAGAAGAAATTTCATTTCATTTTTTAAATGTAATAACTAGAAAAGAGAGAGGGACAAGGACCAGGTGAGTGATCCTGTCTGATTTATGCACTAGTTATAGAAAAGTTTCTCATGGAGCATGAAACTGAAGATGTTAATGGGAAAATAACGAATAAATGGCTTTGGGAAATAATTAGCAAAAAGTAGGAAGGGTAATGAAGAACCTATTGTAGTTGTCCAGACTTAATGCATAATCATCACCTACTTCCCCTGCGAGGAGAAAGCCAGCGCTAATCTCTGTTGGAGGTAATTAGCTTAGGTAGAAACATTAAGGGCAGTTACATTTTTTAAATTATGAAGTTTAAATCTTACTGTATGAAATTGTCTTGATTGTTTTGGAAATACAGGACTTTTATATGTCATTTACAGAACTTAGTCAAGTAATTACTCTCAGAAAGAATAATTTTACAAGAAAAAAATGCATAAATTATCATGAGTCAGAAAACATCACCATCGGAGGTGGTAAGATTAATATTTGCATATAAACCTTCTTTCTTCTCTATTTCTGGCATTATATGTGCTCTTACTATATAATATTAGCCTTATTAATTTAAAATGTTTTGAGAAATTTCTCTCCTTATTCTATTAGCATTTTGTTCTGGATAATCCCAAATGAAATATTCCTTTATTTAAAGTCTCATTTCCTCTTACAGAATCAATACTCCAATTTCTGAAAACGTGATGGTACAGAATATCCTTGCTAACATAATGATAATGTCATGTATCAATGAGATTTAAGAGTTCATAGGGTATGCCACAGCTCAATGGAATTGATTATTTTTGTTTTAGAAAGGCTTTTTTTTCTTTTCACCAGTGTGTATGTGGTTCATAAGTGGCAAAACCAGGACTAAAACACTCACTGTTTGGTATAATTATGTATTATATCCATCACTCATTTTCCCATTTATTAAACATAGAATGTTTGTTTCAATTTTAAGTTCTGAACTGTCCCAGTCCTACTAAAATCTTCCATTTCTCCAAGAAATGCTGGTTCTTTTTATTGAAGGGCAGTATTGGAAACCAAGTACTGGGCATGGATACGCTCATTGCTATTGTGATGTTATCACTTCCAGACTATTTCAACAGAGAGAGCTGGAAAATGTATATGCATAGAACCTGCTTATGTATACATGTCTATATTCTGTATCTGACTATCAGTATTTATCTTAAATTAAACAATAGTTAATATTGATGTCTCAAACTCCAATCCAGCACAGCATGGTCTATTCTAACCTCTCCCTCTTGCTTATCTCTAACCTCCTGCTCCAGGATGAAAACCTGTCCACTATCCACTTATTTATTTGTCAATCTTGTATGTATGTACAGTGGTTTCAGAAGAGTTAACCCTTATCCCTGTGAGAAACAACTTTAACAACTATAGTGTTTGTGTCAGTTTCTTTTTATCTTATTGTATATCATCAGTTCTGAAGTTGCTTAGATCAGTACCTCCTTTCTTCTCACCCACTTCAGTGAGGCTGTCCCATACTTGTAATACAGCTAGATCGTTTCAGCAAAATCTTCATTTTTTTCTCCCATATTATTTTTTAAATGTGCACATATTGTCTCATTTTTTGTGATTTAAAATTATTTGAGTGTGAAACATGGGAAAGTAAATATTTTTGAAGCTGTCAATTAAGTCTGGAAATAAAAGCATATACAAACTTTTGTGCATATATGAAATGATAATGGGATTGCAAGCTCTGTGAGGGCCAAGATCTACCTTCTTTATCTTTGGAGTTCTGCACCTCATATATTTTCTGGCTTATGGTAGTGCTGAGAGATCTGTTACTTACATGCGTTTCTTGATGTCAGACTTTTATATCACTCTTCCTTTATATCACTCTTCCTCACCTAGATAATTTGAGATTGTACAGATAGGGCTGTGGTGCACACATTGCTAAAAATATGTCTTTTCCGATAATCTTATTTTATATTGCAAATTCTAAATTATTTTGTAAATTTGGGCTTAATTTTAAAATTTTGGGCTTATAAGTTTGAGGATACCTATCCTTTTCCTTTACCCATATTAAATTCTTTGGTGTTCATCTTTCTAATGTAGAAGTTTTATTGTTTCTTTTAACTTTTTATTTATAAATTTCCCCCATTATCTTCAGAATTAGGTTCTCCTAGTCATTTATTCTATTCTTAGAGAGATTAAGTGGTTACCACGTAGGGCAAAATTGCTTTCAGCTGAAAAATACTTCAAGCAGAAACTTAGGAGTAAAAATTCCCCAATGCTACTCTATCTTGCCTCCAGGCCTACTGTAATTTCCATCATACTCATAATAATGGCAATGGTGTTAACACTATTCTTTATGATTTACAAAGCACAGTACAATTTCATTTCATCATCACAATAAATCTACAAATAAGTATCACATTCGTTTTGTAGTTGAGTTTCAAAGAAGTGAAAAAATTTGTTCACAATCATAATGCTCACCATGCTCTAAAATATGAACAGGTTTTAAAAATCTCTTAACTATGTACTCTATTTTCTTAAATGTTGACATAATTTGAAACAAAGAATGTGGCAGTAATATAAAAATGCATATATCCATATGTATGTTTGTATCTGCAAAAATATAGTTTTCCTGAACCTTTTCAGAGTAAGTTGCAGACTTGATGCCCCTCTACCAATCATATTTCAGTGTGCATTTCCCCAAAATAAGTACATTCTCTTATATAACTGTAGTACAAAAGGGAGAAATTAACATGGATACAATGCTATTTTCTAATCCACAGATTTAATGCAGATTTTTCTAACAGTTCTTCTGTTCTTTTGTTGACACCATTTCCTTCATCTGGCGAAGTAGGACCTTCCAATAAGCTACTTTTAGTTTCCCTTTCATTTTTGTTTCATCTATGGTCTCTCTAGGATGATTTCAGGGTTAGGTTCATGAATTTTCCTGTATGCCTGTATGTTTTCTGACCAGGAACTCAGTTCTCTCCCTTGTCTTCCTTTCCTAATATGTCTGTCTCTTTGAAGTTGTGCATGCTTTCTCCTTTTCACATTCTAATACTCAGCCTAACTTCATCTAGATGTGCGGATTTCTAGAGGACAATGTGAGCAGGGCTGTGATGAACTCTCCAGCTTATTAATTGTCTATTGTCTTCTTCTAAGTATGTATCTGAAATTTAAATTGCCTATCTGTACTCAGTTAGTATCTGTTTATATTGTTTCCTTCTGTGAATCTCTGACCACCTCTTCCATTTTTTCTTGCCATGTTAAACTTACTATTTGCATAGAGACTAGACTCATATGTTTAGCCAGAAGTATTTTTTTCCATCTGTCTACAAATTCTGTTTAAATCCCTCATTATCAAGCTGCCTATCTTTGGAACAATACTTTTCCCATACAAATGACATAGCTTATTGGCACGGGATAAAATGTATCAGTCTGGTACCTTGAGTCATAATTTGAAATGCACATGTTTAAAATTCCATTTTCTTGCCCAATATTTTTATTCCCATATATTCTTTTCTCTTCCAAGGTTCCAACTGCCAGTGAGAACAATGACTAAACACCACCTGTGCATACTTGTCTTTATTAATTGCCAAAGACTTTATAATCCCTAAAAAAATCTTTTATTACTCACTCAAATCTTCAGGATGGCAAGTAATTGATAAAATTGAAAAATATCAAAAGTGTCTATATACCTAGAAAGACTACAAACCTATGGATTGACTATTTAGGATCTTCATTCATTCGCACATGTGTTCAAGAAATATTTGAATTCTTGAACCCAGATAACTGCCTGATAATTTGAAAAGTACAATACAGGGCTAAATAGGACAACTCTCTGGCCTCATTAAGCTCATATTACAGTCAGAGTTTCAGATAATAAAGAAATAAGAAAACAAGTAAGTATAGAGGATGACATATACAACAACTGAGATCAACACCATGGCAAGGTAGTAAGTGACTTGTGGGGAAAGCCTCTTTAGGTAGTGCAGGCTAGGTGGTTCTTTCTGATCTGATAAACATTAGAAACAAATATCTCAAAGGAAAAATTCAGGTAGGGAGGAATAAAAAGCAAGTCTGCTGTTTTCAAATATGGAACTGCATAGATGTATAGGTATGGTGATTGAATGAGATTAAGTCATGTGTGTCTCTTAATAGCAGTATGAGGATAGTAGTGAAGGTATTTTAGATAGACTGTGAAGCTTATATTCCTACTAGTGACTGGATAAAGAGAGATATGAGACAATTAGGAACTTGTTCAGATGACAAACTCTCAGAATAAGATCAATGTGATATTCCTGAATAATTTGATCAATCATATGGGGTTTCTGGATAATTTCTTCCTCTTCATGGTCCAGTGATAGTGTGGGGGTTGCTATGTTGTTTGCTGTACAAAAAGAAATTGACTATCAAAAATAAATTGCCTATTACAAATACATGGTATTGTTAGAGTTGGTATCTAGCCAGACATGAGCAGGGCAGAAGATCCCCCACCCCCACCCGAAATGTCAGGCAACCATCAGGTGATGGTTAGGCAGTTGTTAAAATGTCTCTCTAAAATAATAATTGATTACAGTCTATGCCAGGGAAAGGCAGTCTCTCAACAGATAGATGGTGATCAGCATCTTCCTAATAAGGTCCCAGGAGCTGAGTGAGTGGCTCAAGCATGTGCCCTAACAGGCAAAATGGAGTGTAACTAGAATGTGACCTTCCTCTAGAAACATTGTACAGGTAAGGGAAAAACACCTCAAGTGAGCATGCGCACAACAACTCCAGTAAACACCTGGTGCATGCAGCCCCTCCCAAGTGCTGGCAGGCCACTGTGCATGTGGGCAGCCCTCATCAAAGGAAGAAGTAATGCAACCCCAGAAACATGCCAATGTATAAGACCCCAAGTCAAAGATAACACCATACACTTGAATCTCTCAAGTTGTCTGCTTGGCCCTCTTCCAAGTGTAATTTACTTCCTTTCATTCCTGCTCTAAAAATTTTAATAAGCTTCCATTTCTGCTCTAAAACTTGCCCTGGTGTCTTCTTTCTCTCTCTCTCTCTCTCTCCCCCACACACCCCTTTCCCTCTCTCCCTCTCACTTTATGCCTCTCAGTTGAACTCTTCCTCCTGAGGCAGGAATTAAGGCTGCTGTAGACCCGTGTGGATTCACCGCTGCTTACGGTTTCTCATCCACAATTGTCTAGGGAGTTTCTTTGTCATTCCAATGGTCTAAAAAGACTTGCATTTTCCTAAGTGGAGTCTAGTGTTCACTTTCCACAAGTCTCCAGTCCTGCTCCGTGTCTTCTCTTCTTTTCTCTTATTATTTCTCTTGACTCAGGTTTGTATTCTTTTCCTCTACTTACCAGCTTCATGATTATTTCAAAGGTATTCAACATTTTTGTGCCTCAGCTTCCTCAACTGTAGAAACATTATTGATACTGTCTTTTAGGGCTGTAGTCTGGGGTTGCTCAGATAATATTTGTAAAGCAATTAACACAATTCCTAAAAACTATTAAATGTTAATATGTTAGCTATTATTTTTATTATGAGAATCTTGTGCTTTCTCAATTTCTTCCACCACCTCTGCCCTCAGCATTTTCTACATTCTCATTTTAGTATATATTATCCAATTTGCTATACTGGATAATTGATCAGGTTTATTACAGTTTTTCAGTTTTTTAGCTTTTTAAAATTGTGTTTTCACTTTATATTGAAATATACATTTAAAGAGTGCGCACAATCTGAACCAACTGATTAATTTTTCACACAGTGAAATCATATAAACATCACCCATGCCAAGAACTAGAATATCTATATTTTTTAACTTTTATTTTAGGTTCAGGAGTACATGTGCAGGTTTATTATATAGGTAAGCTCATGCCACGTCACAGGGGTTTGTTGTACAGATTATTTCACCACCCAGGTACTAAGCATAGTACCCTATACTTATTTTTTCTAATCTTCTCCCTCCTCCTACCCTGAACCCTCAAGGAGGTCCTAGTGTCTGCTGTTCCCGTTTTTATGTTCATGTGAAGAACTAGAATATTAAGAGTATCTCAGATGTCTCACTTTTGGCCCTTCTTAGTCACTACCTCTGCACAAAGGGAGCAACAATTCTAACATTTATAGCCATAGGTCAGGTTTTCCTGTTACTGAATTTTATATAAATAAATTTGAACAGCATTTGCTCCTTTGCAGCTGGCCTTTTGCTCAACCTTGTATTAAAAATATTATTTCATACTGTTTGCATGCAGTGGTAATTTGTTAGTTATCTGTTCTGTAAAGCAGAAGTGAGCAAATTACTGCCCAAGGGTCAATCCTGGCCCACTGCCTACTTTTGTAAATATAGTGATTCCCCCTTTTTCTGTAATTTTGCTTTCCATGGTTTCAGTTACCTGCAATCAACCTGGGTTTAAAATATTCAATGGGAAATTCCAGAAATAAAAGAGTTCTATGTTTTCAATTGCACAGCATTCTGAGTAGCATGACTGAATCTTGTGCTCTCAGATCCCATCCTGCTGGGGACTTGAATCTTCCCTCTGTGCAGAGGATCTACACTATCTATGCACCTGCTCCTTAGTGATTTAGGAGCCCTCTCAGTTATTAGATCGACTGTCACAGTATTGCAGTGCTTGTGTTCAGGGAATCCTTAATTTACTTCATAATGGCCCCAAAGCAAAAGACTAATGTATTAGTCAGGGTTCTCCAGAGGGACAGAACAAATAGGATATATGTATATATAGAAGGGAGTTTATTAGGGACAGTTGACCCACATGATTAAAAGGCAAAGTCCCACAATAGGTCATCTGCAAGCTAGGGTAAAAGAGAAGATGCTAGTGGCTCAGTCCACATCTGAAAGCCTCAAAACAAGGGAAGCTGATGGTGCAGCTTTCAGTCTGTGGCTGAAGGCCCAAAAGTCCCCAGGAAGCCACTGGTGCAAGTCCCAGAGTGCAAAGGCTGAATAGCCTGGAGTCTGATGTCCAAGGACAGGAGGAGCAGGAGCAAGCATCCAGCACTGGAAGAAGAAAGAGAGCCAGAAGACTCAGCAAGTAAACTTATCCCACCTTCTTCCCCCTGCTTTGTTGTAGTTGCGCTGGCAGCCAAGTGGATGGTGCCCACTCACACGGAGGGCAAGTCTTCCTCTCCTAGTCCACTGACTCAAATGTTAGTCTCCTCCAGCAGACCCTCGCAGACACACCCAGAAACAATACTTTACTAGCCATCTCGGCATCCTTCAATTCAGTAAAGCTGACACCGAATATTAACCATCACAAGTAGTGTTGCTGACAGTTCAGATATGCCAAAGAGAAGCCATAAAGTGCTTTCTTTAAGTGAAAAGGTGAAAGTTCTTGACTTCATAAGGAAATAAAAAAGTTGTATGCTGAGGTTGCTAAGATCTATAGTAAGAATGAATCTTCTATCTATTAAATTGTGAAGAAGGCAACAGAAATTTGTGCTAGTGAAACTGCCTTTGCAAAAATTATAGCTGAAAAAAATTCTGACAGTGAAAGAGATCTGATCTAACCAATTCTGTCTGTCTTCTAACCTCCAAGCTGCCTTTGTTCATTCCTGGGTGTAGGGTGAACAAACTTTGCGAGGAATTTAGTTTGTAGTTTAACTTTGAAATAAAGATGATAACAGCCCTTCCCCCAAGCAAACCCCCTCTTTGCTGAGAGACAGCCTTTGTAAAACCAACAAATTATCCACAAGATTAGAAATTGTGGCTCAGGAGTCATGCAATCAGAGGCCACAAAATTACTAACCTCCCCAGTTGCTCCTATAGATAATAACATTATTATAAAACTTAAGATTGCTGTTTGAGGTACTTTTCAGAACCTGCATTCTGATGGATCAGCTGGAGCTACCCAGCCCTGTAAACTGGTTTATCTGTTCTTGTGGTCCCCACCTAGGACTGACTCAGCACAAGGGGACAGCTTTGATTCCCTATGATTTTATCACCAATCCAACCAATCAGCAATCCCCATTCCCTAGCCCACTGCCTGCCAAATGATCTTTAAAAACCCCAACCTCCAAATTTGGGGGGAGGCTGTTTTGAGTAATAATAAAACTCTGGTATCCCATTTAGCTGGCTCTGCCTGCATTAAATTCTTTCTCTATTGCACTTCTCCTGTCTTGATAAATCAGTTCAATCTGGGCAGCAGGCAAGACCAACCCATTGGGCAGTTACACCAGTTTTGCTGTCACACCTTAAACTGCCAAAGTTGTAGCCACAGTGTATGAGAAGTGCTTAGTTAAGATGGAAAAGGTATTAAATTTGTGGGCAGAAGACATGAACAGAAATGCATTCTGATTGACTTCAATTGGGTTCAGTACTCCATGGCTTTAGGTACCCACCAGGGGTATTACATCATATCCCCCTAAGATAAGGGGGAACTAGTGTACAGTTTTATTTCAACATAGCCACTTCAACATACACACTACTTGTGTATACATTGTCTGTGGCTGCTCTCTTGCTACAATGGTAGAGTTGTGTAGTTGTGATAGACACTATCACCTGCAAAGCCTAAAATATTTACCATCTGGCCCTTTTTATAAAAAGTTTGCTGACCCACCCCTTAGTTCAAGGTGGGCTCAGCCCAGACTTCTGTGTTCTTAAGACAAGAAATGTTAACAGGGGGTATTCATCCCAGGCCCTAGAGCCAGAGGACATAAATTCAAGTCAAACTCTGCAATTAACCATAAGAGTGTGGAAAAGCTACCTAACATGCATATAGCTTAGTGTGTTTTTGTTGCTGAAAAATAGTGATGATCATTGTACCTTTCACATATGGTATATGTGAAGAGTTGTAAGGCTTAGATGTGATTTTGCATGTTCATCACATTTAGTGTGTCACAGTAGCTGTGAGACCCAGAATAGATTTATTATTATTATTTTAAAAATAAAATTTTGTTTTGTGTATTTAAGGTATACAACATGATTTTATGTGGTACATGTGTATAATAAAATAGTTACAATAGTGAAACAAATTAACATATCCAGAGCAGATTTCTTAAGCTCTCCATGCCACACTATCCTCATGTATAAAATGGAGAAAATTACAGTTGCTACCTCTAGGGATTTTTGTGATGACTGATGAATTAAAGAAGTAAAGCATTGAGAAAAATGTCTGCTGAGTACAGGAATTTAGTAAGCACTAGTCGTTGCTGTCATGATCATTGACATTTTCATCAGAATTGTTACTAACATTTAATCAAATAAAAAGCAACTATAAAAACAAAATATAAAGAAAATGACTAGAAAATTTGACAGAATTTGATCACAAAGTCTGAAAAGATTTCTCCTGAGTACCAAATGTGTCAAATTTATTTGCTTTATAAATTATCATCTGCTTCCATTGGAACATAATTTTTTAAAAAAATTCTCTGATGGTTCCATTTCAGGAAAGAAATGTTTAATGTTTATTTCTAATGCTAATATAAAAATAAATTAAAAGAATTTAAAGCTACTTATTATATTCAGCAATGTTTAGAAGAAAAAATGTATATACTTTGTTCTTCTGTACAATGGTTTGTCCTCAAGTAAGAAAAATATTTAAAAACTCTATCCTAAATCCTGTAGTGGCTCCATATTTCACTCCATGTAACATTCAAAGTTCTTAAGATAACCTACAGTACCCCATGTAAGCATCTCCCATTACCTCCGTGAACTCTTCCCACAACTTTCAGACCCTGCATAAGGTCGCTTATTACCTCTTGGAACCCCCACGTACACTCCTCTCCAGCTACCTGTGACTTCTCAATGTTCCTGGAATATCATTGCCTTGGGGCCTGTGGTAGGCAGACTTATAAAATGCCTCCCCAAAATATCTCACCCTGATCCCAGGACTGATTATGATGAGAGATCACACCCATGAACATGTGTCATTACCTGGAAAAAATGGATCTTGCCGATGTAACTGAGGCTAATCAGTTGACTTTGAATTAATTAAAAAGAAGATTATACTAGTGGATCTAACCTTATTACAGGAGCTCTTTGACGGTAGAGAGTCTTCTCTGGATGGTAGCAGAAAAGGAAGCCAGGGAGATCTGAAGCATGAGAGGGGTTTGTCATGGGAAAGATTCTCTGCCACTGGAATGGAATGGGCTGCCTGGAAGAACTGAGAGTGACTTCTGGGAGCTGATTGTGTTCCCCTGCTGGCCTCCAACAGGAAGGTGCTGACTTACACCTGCAACCACAAGAAACTGAACTTTACCAATGACCTGAATGAGCTGGGAAGTAGATTCTTCCTCAGGTCCTCCAGATAGCCTACTCTGCCCAAAACCTTGCTTTTGGCCTGGTGAAACTCTAAACAGAGAACCCAGTCACATCTACCCAGACCTCTGAGCTACACAAGTGTGAGATAAGAAATGGGTGTTGTTTTAACTTACTGTTTGTGGTGATTTATTATGAAATAATAGAATACTTGCTTGGCCTGTTTTTTATAGCTGGATAGCTGGAAGGATTTCTCTTTGATATCCATTTGGCTAATTCTCTTGCTCCTTGAAATCTTGACTCCAATGTTTTCTCCTTGAGAGGCCTACGGTGGTAACATTATTTAATATTTTAATATGCCCCATTCCACCCTAGCACTTGATCTGTCTGCTACCCTGCTTTACTGGCCCAGTTTTTTTTCCCACATAGACTCTTATTACATATAACATTAATATACAGATATACTCTGGCATAATATAATGTATTTCTTCAATTTGTTGTTCTCTCTCACCACCTGCCACAAGAATAAAAACAAGGCCGCTTTCTGTTGTATAACAAATGCCAAGTGCATGAAAAGGGCCTGGCCCACTGTGGGCATCTAATAAAAAAATTGTTGAATAATTAAATGAATGAATGAATGAATTAATGAATGAATAAAAAGTTTACACAGAATGTTGGACTGTGGTTTGCAGTGAAATAGGAGGTTCACAAACATACAAATAAACATAATTAAAAGTCCAAGTTACTATAACAATACTTTGTTTCCCTTTTGTAATGCTGTGCAGAAAATGTCTGCTATCACACAGAATGTTATTTAGTCTTATGGAGGAGATTAAATTTTGAAATGATGTTTAAATAAAGAGCAGAGATCAGATGATTCATTCAAAACTACAGAGAAAAACAACTTCAAAAATGCTTCCAAGAAAAATATTTTCAAAGTAATCTCTTAGAATCTCTGAAAGAAAATGAACAAAATGTAAAGAGACAGTGTCCTCAGCAAAAAGCCATAAATAATGGGAAGACTGTGTATGGCAATGTCTGAATCAGACTTCAGGAGTTAAATCAAACTTACAGATTAAATCAGACTTAAAGAATATAAAATAAAGAGAGAGGAAAAGAACAAGGAATTGCATCTTTCTGCATAGCCTCATGATTTTTAAGTGATAAAATTCACAATTAAGAGATAAAGAAATACCATTTGACCCAGCCATCCCATTACTTGGTATATACCCAAAGGATTATAAATCATGCTGCTATAAAAACACATGCACATGTAAGTTTATTGCGGCACTATTCACAATAGCAAAGACTTGGAACCAACCCAGATGTCCAACAGTGATAGACTGGATTAAGAAAATGTGGCACATATACACCATGGAATACTATGCAGCCATAAAAAATGATGAGTTCATGTCCTTTGTAGGGACATGGATGAAGCTGGAAACCATCATTCTCAGTAAACTATCGCAAGGACAAAAAACCAAACACCGCATGTTCTCACTCATAGGTGGGCATTGAACAATGAGAACACATGGACACAGGAAGGGGAACATCACACACAGGGGCCTGTTGTGGGGTGGGGGGAGGGGGGAGGGATAGCATTTGGAGATATACCTAATGTTAAATGACGATTTACTGGGTGCAGCACACCAACATGGCACATGTATACATATGTAACTAACCTGCACATTGTGCACATGTACCCTAAAACTTAAAGTATAATAAAAAAAGATAAACATTTGTACATGCTAATTTCAATACGCAAAGTGAAAATCATGGAAGCCTAAAATATGCAATGTAAACATTTGGGTTAATAGTGAGAAGAAAGCTTAGCATTACCAGTTGCATTAAATTCTTTTTTGCTGGAGGTATGTTGGCAACTTTGACATGAAGGCAACCTGGGAATGGGAAAGCAGGGAATGCAGACAAGGTGATGATGAAGCTGTATCCCAGCTCTGGCACTGGAGGCAGAGATGGATAAAATGTGTACACATTGGAATAGCCTTCATTATAGTGAGGTATTAAACCTACATGTGGCAAGTAAGAGTCTATTTATTTGTTTTCTTTCTTTATAGTCTTATTTGTTAATATTAAAGCCATTTTAGTTGTGCTTTGAAAACCCATGAGAGAGCATTTCTTTCTATACTGTACCAGAGTGTGAAAATGGAATAACTCAGTGTGAAGGTAACACTGTTAATCTGAGTGAGGGAACCAAATGGGAAAAAGATCAAAGAGAAACAGAATCAGAGCAGATTAATGAACTGATCTCATCCTCCTCCAACTTCTTCTTACCAGGCTGAAATGTTGGAGCTCTGGGTTTTGTTTAATAAAGAAGGTTTCTCTTATATCTAACATAGCTTTAGGATGAGAACCCTGGTTAGAACCCCAGTTAAAAGGTAGACTCTTTCCTAGCCCTGACGTGTCAATCATTTGTGAAATCATGTCTAAGTTTCCAGCTCCAGTGATGTTATTAGCCACCTTTCAGTGTATCATCTTTTATGGGTAAATCAGGATCTCATCAACTGTTCTACACCAATGAATAATCTCCTACCAGTTTCTGCCTACCATCCCCTCCTGATCTGTCCTGAGTATTAGAAATGGACCACATGTCCGAAAGAATTTTGACTTAGTTTTTAAAGCTAAGAATATAACTTTTAAATTCTTATGCCATTTTTTAGTGAGCAAAACTAAAAATGCAGCCAACCAGAGCATTCCAAAACATTATAGAGCCCATCCATAGATATCATTTTAGCCTGTGAAGTGTGAAACTGTTTCTGGGAATAAGGAGAATAAAATTCTAACAAATGGCAGAAATATTAAAAAAAAATCAACATAGTAAATGACATTAAGAAAAAGACTTATTTCATCAATTAAAACCCTTGAGGGCATATCAGAAATAATAGAAATACAGGCATTTGTAAGTAAAGAACAATGTTGCCCTGGAAATCTATGCAAATTAGAACTTTTTGGAGGAAACAAGAAAGAAACACTTCATCTAACAGCAACAAATAGAATACAAGATAAATTTCAGTTGATATTAAGATTAATTAAAGCAGTGTATATATATATATATACTACTGTTATATATATACACTACTTTAATTAAATATATATTATATATATATTATATATATATATAAAATATATATAACATATAGGAATAGGCGTAGGCTAGAAATGTGAAAATGAATGGTCACTTATAGAATTCATCCATAATCCACAAATACCAACGTTCTGACGGCCTATATGCCACAAAATATAACAAATATGGCAAAACTGACACTTTTTTAAATAAACCACTGTAAATGGCAAATCTTCTGCCAACTACTTAGAATGATCACAGGTTAGCAGGCATTGGACATGATATATCATTGTTACTTATTCATCTATTAGCTTAGTTATTGTTTTACTCTCTTTAATTTGGTCTGACAAGGAGATGAATACATTGGAGAAAAATACATAAATGAGTAGCAACTTATTATTTAAGTAACTGTAGACCCAAAAATCAATCAGAAAGTTCTTGGCTCTGAAAAATGTTTATTTCAAGAATTCAGGGCTACAGACACTTTCCAGTAGATACAAAATAAATTAGATAAAGATGTGTAAGTATTTTAAAAGCCCTTTAAAAAATAAAAATAGGAACTAAGATGAGGTTATATTATGAAAATTAATTTTTTTAATCAGCCCTCCTTTTGGGTTAATAATCTCTGCTATACTCAAACTTCAGCTGAGATTTTAAGCTCAGTTAAAATTAAAAAATAAAGCAACTTACAAATGGTAGGAAAACTTTGAGGCATTTGTATTGGCCTTGTCCCACTCCTTCACTGACTTAGGGGCCTGTGTTTCCAAGGTGGGATCCTGGTCCCAGGTTCTGGAGGGAGTAAAGTGGATATTATTCACAAATAATTGGTTATATGTTTATCACTTGTCTAGGGGCTACCAGAACTACTGATGCAAGGTTCATATCTCCATTTCACCTAACACTGAATTCAGAATAGAAAAGAGATGAATATTACTCAAAAGTATTATAAAGCTAATGAAAAACCCACAGTCACTTGGGGCAAAAGATTATGGCTGAGATACACAATAAATGATCCATGCCAAGGAAGAATGCTGGGGGCAAATTTTTTGGGAAATCAGGACATTCAAAAATACGTATGTATAGTAGGGAATTTAGAAGCCATATATATTCCCATAACAGACTTGAAAAGACCCTATGCTTTCACCTATGGCTTATCTCTTGGCTCAGTATGGCTCAGTACAAACCATTGTTGAAGAAGTACCCAAGCTTAGGGCTAATTTGCAAAGAATGGGAGAAATGATTTTGCGACAGCTGGATTTTCATATGCAAAAGTGTGGATTTCGGCCCCTGCCTCATGCCATATAATAAAATTAATCCAATATGAATCAATGACCTCAATATAATACCTAAAATCCTAAAACTCTAGAAGGAAACATAGGTATAAATCTTCATAACTGTGAGTTTACAATGGATTCTTGTATATGGCATCAAAATCGTGAGCAATAAAACAAAACAAGCAAACAAAAAATAGATAAATTAGACCTCATTAAAATTACAAAGTTTTGCACATCATAGGATATGATCAAGAAAGTGAGAAGAAAACCCACAGAATGGTAGAAAATATTTGCAAATCATATATCTAATAAGAGTTTGATATCCAGAACATACAAAGAACTCCTAACTCAACAACAACAACAAAAACCCAGCTTTAAAAATGGGCAAAATACTTGAATAGACATTTCTCCGAAGAAGATGCACAAATTACTTGCTAATAAGCACATGAAAAGTTTACTAACATCACTGGTAATGAGGGAAATGCAAATCAAAACCATAATGAGATACTCCTCTACACTCATTAGGATGGCTATTATCCAAAAAATGGAAAATAACAAATATCCAGGATGTGCAGAAATGGAAACCCATGTGAACTGCTGGTGGGAATATAAAATGGTGTAGCCACTATTGAAAGGAGGTTAGTGGCTTCTCAGTGGGCTAAATATAGAATTACTGAATGGTCCAGAATTCTACAAGGCATATACCCAAAGCAATTGGAAGCAGGGACTCAAACAGAGCAATGTCCCTTTCAGCATTATCCACAATAAATAGCCAAAAGATAGAAATATTGAAGGTGCCCATCAACAGTTAAATGGATTAAAAAAAGTGTAGGTGTGCGCATGCGTGTGTATACATATACATACAGTGAAATATTATTCAGCCATATAATGAAATGAATTTCTAATACATATTTCAACATGGATGAAACTTAAAAACATGCCTAGTGATTTAATCAGATGCAAAAGAAAGAATACTGCATGATTTCATTTATATGAGATATTAAGAATAAGCAAATGTATAGAGATAGAAGTTAGATTAGAGGTTACCAAGGATCAGGGGAGGAAATAATGGAGAGTTATTGCTTAATGACCTCAGAGTTTCTATTTGGAGTGATGAAAACGTTTTGGAAATAGATAGGGGTGATGTTTGCACAACATTGTGAATATAATTATACTAAATTGTACACTTAGATATAGTTGAAATGACAAATTTGGTGTCATATATTTTTACCACAATATTAAAAACTCAATGAGAATTTACATGGTTGTGAATAAGTGAAGCAGTAACAGTAATTAAAAGACACAAACCAAGGCTTTCAAATTTTTTTTATCTTAAATATAATTGTCATTTGAAAATTTCATTCACCAAAATGTAAAAATTGTCAGCTACCCTGTAAAAAATTCATAGAATTTTAAAATTTGAAAATGTATTCCACAATTTTTACATATAGAAACTGAAACCCAGAGAGGTAAAAAACATGCTTAAAACCACATACACATTAGAGACCAAACCACAATTAGAGTTTCTTTTGCAGTTTTCTTCCTCTTTTCATTTAGCTGTTACTCCTTAAGTACTGTCAGTTTTTGGAGGATACAGCATTTTACCTGCATTTTTCATCACTGCCAGTTAAGAATCTTGCACAGCTCCTGGTACTCAGTAAATTTTTGATAAACTTTCCTTGAATGAATGAAGAAATCACCATTTGGTTATTTTGTACTTTTTTGCTGGTTTAGTAACATTGTGGCTCAAGAACAGAAGAATAATGACCCAGCTTAAATCAGACCAGATTTCAGCCACCTGAAACTCCTCAGGTCAAGCCATTACAAGAGAGAGGAAAGGAGTTTGCATTCACACTCTGGCAATGAACTGGCTCTGTAAGAACAGAATAAATAGAACCATCTCAAATGATGATCAGAAGAATTACCGTAACTGAATGAAAGAAGGAAGTAGATAAGGTGTTCTGAATATACAATTATGTTTCTTATAGTATTTTCCATCTAATAAATAACACAACAATGTTGTCAAAACATATAATACATTGTAAAATAATCTTAAAATTGTCTTTCAAATTTATTTAAGACATTCTAATCAGAATAATCAATAAGGTAAATCTTGTTGCTGTTTTTCTTTTAATAAGCTGCCAAAAATCAACAAGAAAGAAATTTTTTATGTTCTTGAAAGTGTTACTTCAGTTGTGTTTCTTGGTTATAAAAATTTAAGACAAGCAGAAACTTCTTGTGTTGGAGAAATTATATAGTAGAAATGTTAGTTTGGCTTATGGAAAGTTTCTCTAGCCCCTGAAAAGAATTTGGGGGAGTGTAAGGAGCCATGTGCATTCTGGGAAGGAAGGGTCCCAGATATCCAATGCCTTTCCTCCCAAGTTTGAAAGTTAAGTAAAACTGTGGGAGTGAATTGCTATCTTCATAAACAAAGTTTCCTAGCTTAAAAGACTACAAAGAGGAATTAATTCACCATGATAGGAGAGAACCCCTACCTTTGGGATCTGGATCTAACACAAAGACCATCAGGAGGGATTGTCCTGACCAGGCTTACAACCAGATTTGCAGCCTTTTGCAGACCCATCTCCCTGGCATGTGGTAGTGCTTTGGGACCCGTCAGGTAAGTGTGAGGTAAATTAGACAAATCTTGGAGCTTAGCCGCAATTGGAAATCATCTGCGTATTACCTGAGCACAGCCACTATCATTATATTATGTAGGGCTGATGTTTTATATTACTCACTGTGGCAATAATTGATTAAAAAATGCCAGTGGGCTGATGGGACAGTCTAGTTCACTTGCTCCACTTTACTACCAGAAACATGACTGAAGTCCTTCGAATAAGTGTAAGTGAGTAAGTGCCTGTGGTATGTACACAACTAAAGAAAAGGGGGAGATAGCCTCATGGGGAAAGCTTGGGCTTTTTCCTTCCTTTTTTTTTTTTAAGCTGATGAAAGCATCAGTGATTAATTGGACAGATGAACAAAGTATGGGCATCCTTGCACACAGGATTGGTTGGGCTGTCCCATTACATTACCACCATTAAGCACAAACCTATGAGAGCACTCTCCTGATTTTTTGCTATTGTCCATTTTAAAATTAGATCTCTAAACTTAATTGATAAAATAAGATGTCCAATTTCTCTTAAATTAAGGTAAATAGATTAAATTTCTACACTTAAAGTAACACATCTAAAGACATCATAAATAGTAAAAGGAAAATAGAAAACTGGATATATTAATTTAAAAGATCACTATAAAAATTCAATATATGGAAAATGCACTATCTGGTTATTAAGTGAAGTAATTAAAATCAAACAATACTGAGATACCCTTTTGTACATATCAAGTTGGCTAAGATTTATTAGATAAATTCTTGAGACATTGAGATAGGCACTCTTATCTACTGATGGTTAAATGAAAATCGGTCCATCCTGTAGGAAAGAAAGAAAAAAATGAACATATACATATTTTAAGAGTTCATACTCTTTAATCCTAGAATTCTCACAGGTAAATATATATTTGTACTGAAAGTTTATACAAATATGTTTAATAAATCTCTACCACATAAGCAAAAATTAATAAACACAAAGAAAAACAATTTAGCAGTCCAATAATAGGGATTGCTTAAATCAAGCACCATGAACATATAACTTGGAAATTCATATAGCACTAAAAGGAGCATGTAACTTGGAGAATTATGTAGCAGCATTGCTTTAGTTTTTCAAATAGTATCCAGATTTAAGTGAATTGAAAAGAAACTGATTGCTCTTCTTTACCAAAATTAAAACTCTTGCAAGGGCATCTTGTGACACTAACTACTTGGAGCAGTTATTCTTTTCCAGTAGCTCACCAAATGGGTCCAGAGCTATGCATTTGGAGTTCGTGATAATGTCACCACTGGTTTTTATAAGAAATTTGTGTTGCCGCATGTTTCTTGCGGCAACACAAATTTGCTGCAAATTTGTTTTTGCGTTGATCATGGGGCTCTCGTTCTGAAATTGTATACCAACCAGATAAGCATATCCTGAAAGAGTGGGAGGAGGGCATGCTTTTAGTTTTTGGAAGATTCATTGATTTCTCAGCAAGAGAGATAGTGCCTCCAGCAATAGCCATGGAGAAACTATGCTGCGAGTATTCACAGTTCTTCACCGTAGCACCTCCCCACTTCCCATTCCTTGGATTTTCTTTTTTGCTTTTATTTTACCTATTGCTACTAAAAAAAGCTTTAGATCATAGGCAATAAACATACCTTTCACAACTGAATTTGTATTATATTTGATATACATGACTATTAAATATATATGTTTAGTGAAATGCTTTATGAGAAAATACAAATTAAAATCTCAGATATAAGAGGCTGGTCAGTCATTGTACACATACATACGTGTGTGCACACACACATGTTAAGAAGATATTATTTAAAGCTAGAAAATTGCTTAAGAGATTTTAATCAGTGACAAATACCATGAAGATATCCTTTTTCACTTCGTCATCAATGTATATTAGAAAACATGCATAATAAAGGCCAGCCAGTATAACTCATTGATCTTGTATCCCCAACAAAGGCTAACAGATGCTTGCAAATTCAATAATCTGTGTGGTCATTTTCACTTAAGGTGCTTGCTGTAAATATAATTGTCAATCCGTCTATATCTATCTATCTATCTATCTATCTATCTATCTATCTATCTATCTATCTATCTACAGAATTGTGCACTTTAGCATATCTCAAATTATGCTGGTGACAACTTTAAGAGTTTATTTTGCTTCTCAGACAGTTGTCCTATAAATAATGGTGCAATCTGCTGTAGTGTAATCTATATTATTGGCAGAATTCTTCATGTTTGTGCATCAAGTATCAGCAAAAATACATTCCACATTTTCATATTGAGTAAAACATTAACCTTTGAATCTCTTAGGATGCACTTTATAAATATAAGCAGAAATAAAAAAGAAATATTCACAGGTTTTACATATAGACAAAATGGGGCTCACTAGTACTTCAAAATTAAAAGCACTAGATCATAGACTTAAAGACATATGGCACCATTATTTAGTCCTTGTCAAAATTTTCAATTAAATTATTGTAAAAGTAATATATATTCTGTCACAAGAACTATGAGTTTTGCCTTAACAACCTTCTTTTTATTGTTTTGACAAAATTTGCCATTGCTTTAATTTGTCTTTATTTGCGTAAGTCTCTAAGCCCACCCTTTTTAAAATTATAGATGTCAAAACCTCTTTAGTTTTAAATAATAAAAAAATGCATATTGAATTTGGTGTTATTTTTGGTTATTAATTTCATAAGTTACAGGGAGCAGAGGTAAAATGTATTTTAAAACTAAAATATGAAATACAAGTTAGAATAGTTGGTGAATTTTAGGAAGCAAAGGCCCAGTACATAAGCATTTTATTCTAATTGTATTGTGTAGAATTTTTAATCAATAATGGGGATAATTACTCCAAATGGAGCTGTATGTGCTATCCAAGGTAGTTAATATTTTACCATTTTGTATTTTTTCCTTTTTTTATTATACTTTAAGTTTGTATTTTTTTAATTAATAAGAATTAATGTTTACCACCACCAAAACACACACGCACACACACACACAAACACACACACACACACACACACCATATAGATAAATCCAAAACAGTCAGTCCAACTCTTTTTCCCTAATGCTCAATTCCATGGATTCCCAGGAGTCCATGGAATTTAATTTAATACATCAATCATACAATCTGCAAAGATCAAATCAGTGTAATTGGGATATTCATCACCTTAAATGTTTATATTTTCTTTATGCTAGAAACATCAGAATTGTTCTCTTCTAACTATTTTGAAATATGCTATAGATTTTTATAAACTATAACCATCCTACTGATCTATTAAGCTCTGGATTTTATTTCTTCTATCAAACTGTATATTTGTAATATTTTTATATTAATTGACCCCATTTCATTTCTTCCTCTTATTTTTAAACTCATATTGTTTTATATTAATTAATGAATTTATTATCATCTAAAAATTTTTTGAGATGTAATTTTTATCTTCATTTTCTAGATTAAAAATTTGATATTTGGAGTAATTAAATATTTTTTCAAGTCATGCAGCTAGTAAGTAGCAAACTAAGATCAAGTTCTGACATATTGTTCCAAAAACCCCTTATCTTCCATTATGTTATATTCTCTGAACGATACTCTCATTCACTCTAGAAGAAGCAACTATCCATGCCAAGTAGTTTGCAGAGAGAACGAACATTGTTCTCACTCCCAAGTTAGCTGGTAATTGATGTCTGAAATTCCTTTATCAGAGAAATCATATATTTTTTTAAAGATGTGGGCCTTGCTATGTTCTTCAGCCTGATTGGATTTTTTAACCTCTTGAAGGCAGGATTTATGTGATATTATTATAAAATCATCTATTATTATAAAATCATAAGAAACAGTACTGCCTGCCTAATAGTTGGCCAAATAATGTATGCTGAAACAATTACTTCTTGAAAATGCTTCATATGCAAATGTGCAAAAGGTAGCATATAGGCTTAAATGACCAACTAATCAACAATTCCTATCTGACCCTTTCCTAAAGGTAGAGATAAGAACGAGTTGCAGAAGGGTGATGGTTGTGATATTGAAGCCCCTTACAGGAAGAGAAAGGATGAAGAATCGAAGACATCACAGAGAAACTTGGCCTCATTTCCACATTTCCAATAGACCCTGATTAAAAAATTGGCTAAAGACTAGACTTAAAATACAGCTAGCAGCTGGTCATCATCACTGCAAAATAAACTTATTTGGAAAGACACATGCTGAAACACAGCAATCAATTACTTTGCATTTAGGAGTAAATTACAATCATTAGGACTAGTAATTTTTAACATGTGGAGTACTAAGGATGTTGAGTTTTACCCCCCACTACAGAGAGAAGGGATGTTATTAAAATAATAAATTTGCCAATTATTGTTCTTATCTATATGGGGGTCTATCAATGAGGTGTTTAGAATTCAAAACAATGCTCATAATACTAAAGTTTCTCCCTGGCCATTGGTAGCCAATTCTACCTATCCAAATGCACAATCGCTAAGGAGGTGTCACTCTTCAACTCTAAGTGTAAGCTCACAGATAAAGCACCAAAGCAAGGCTTTTCCACTTTGTCAAAAAAGTTTCTCTAAGGTGTGTATAAGTGCTGTTTTAAAATGCTATATATTTTCACCTTTTTTGTGTGAGTAGTTCTTTGTCATTTTTAGGGTTAACATAAGGAATTCTATAAAAAGGACTCACTTGGTACTAGAAGCACTCATGTATTAGGGTTCTCTAGAGTGACAGAAAAATAGGATATATATATATGTATATCCTATATTACGTATATATATATATATATATCCTATATTACATATGTGTGTGTATATATATATATGGAGTTTATTAGGTGTTATTAACTCATGTGATCACAAGGTCCTACAATAGGCTGTCTACAAGCTGAGGAGCCAGAAAGCCAGTCTGAGTCCCAAAGCTGAACAACCTGGAGTCCTGTGTTGGAGGGCAGGAAGCATCCAGTGCTGGAGAAAGATGTAGGCTAGGAGGCTAGGCCAGTCTCACCTTTTCATGTTTTTCTGCCTGTTTTATATACTGGCCATGCTGGCAACTGATTAGATGGTGCCCACCCAGATTAAGGGTGAGTCTGCCTTTCCCAGCCCACTGACTCAAATGTTAATCTCCTTTGGAAACACCCTCACAGATATACCCAGGATCAATACTTTGCATCCTTCAATCCAATCAAGTTGACAGTATTAACCATCACAACCCACATTTGAAAAGAAATAAATCAATATTTTGAAAGGCAAAAAAGAGTGGGCAGATACGTAAGAAAAAAGTAGGGGTTTTAAATAAAAAAGGAAGAAAAAATTTAGAAGTGATTAGAAGTGATGAGAGGCAAGGATGGAGGAGGAAAAAAGAATCATATTGAAAATTATAAGTAAATGGAAAAAGAAAATTATTAGTCTAAGAGATGGCTGTGAAATTTTGCCACCAATTGCTTCAAATGTCACTTAGTAGCACTAAAGCACTTGGAAGTGTTCAAGTTGCTGTAGGGGCAAATGAGATACATCTGAGTAAACAAAGTAAATTGATAAAAGAAAAGCTTGTCCTGTAATCCCAGCACTTTGAGAGGCCAAGGTGGGCAGATCAAGAGGTCAAGAGATTGAGACCAGCCTGACCAACATGGTGAAACCCCATCTCTACTAAAAATACAAAAATTAGTTGGGCGTTGTGGCATATGCCTATAATCCCAGCTACTCAGGAGGATGAGGCAGGAGAATCACTTGAACTATGGGGGCAGAGGTTGCAGTGAGCCAAGGTCGTGCCATTACATTCCAGCTTGGGCAACAGAGTGGACGTCATCTCAAAAATAAATAAATAAACAAACAAAAATTAAAAGCTTGTTTGTGTAAGTTTGGCATCTGCATGATTCCGCAGCTGTTTTTTTTTTTTTTTTTTTTGTCTTGTTCACAGTGACGGTAACACTTCAGCAGTTACTTGCTGAAGCCTAGCTTCACTAGGCAAGATCATGACAGATGATGAAGTACAGAAAAGTATTCACAAAGCAATTTATACTGAAGAACGTTTAGGCAGTTATATGTTGCAAAGAGGGAAAAAAAACAAGATTAAGGACAAAGTAAAACTGAGTGGTAAAGCTAAGCCGAATAATTGCATGTGGCATATTGGAGATTTTGTTATATTTGGGTCCACACAGGTGTATGGAAGGTGACAACGTGCCAGCCAAAGAAGAATGCTCAATGAGCACCATCCAACCGGAGCAAGGATGTGGCAGGCTCTGGGTACAGACAGATGGAAGTCTCTGGCAAGCTCTTTGTATTTTTCTCACTCTGTGGATAAATACAGGCACTCACAGATATCATTGTAAATTTCAGTTGCTATTTCTAGGGAGCCCAATGTTGTGTGCAGTATTATAAGGAGAATGGTGGCTTTTGTGTGAAGATTTACCTCACTGCATTGTCATCCTCTGATGATACCCCCAGAAAATACATCCCAGAGTTCAAGGAACAGAAAGACACACTGACCAAGTAGAGATTTTCAAATAACATAGACTAGTAACTCAATTAAAAACACACAGTGGAGGGTCAAGGGAAAAAATAAAGGTAAAATAACCCACTTAGGATAGATTACAAGGAAGACAGAAAAGACATACTGAGTCCCTAGATATGTTCTATCAGAGAGACACAGTTAGAAGTACACCTGGCCAAGCTGTAGTTCATCATTTAACCTGAAGAGCAGCTGTAGATTTTATTTATGTCTCTTGGGAAACCACAGGTAGGGTCAGAAGGGTTTCACAAATGGTTGGTCAATTTAAGAACTCATAAATATTGTGTGCCTTCATAAGCCTCATGAATTTGTTATGTATCAGGAGTATTATATGCCGCAGGTATATGCAGTGTGTTATGAATATTAAGTGCCACTTGATCTTTCTGTCTTTATGTTTGGTGCATACCTGTTTTACTTATGTTATCTATTCCTAACCCACAATATAGTTTACTGATTTACTTAATATTTTCGTGAATTCTGTCTATGCCTCACAAGCTACTTGTTTCCACATCTAATTTATCTCATTTGTCTCTTTTTCCTATTTCCTATAGCAGAATTGAATCATCTTAAATAATAAAGGAAATTCACATTACATTAAAAGTGAGAGAGGACTTGCTAGGGAGAAGGGAAATGTAAAAGCTGGGAGAATTGGGTCAGTGATAGTTCAGACGACATTATAATTTAACATAGTTGTAGTGAATGTTGGGAGATAATGAAAAAAGATAACACAGATAGTGAGTCCACATCTGTTTTACAAGGTTGATGATTAGTGCTTTCTTTCTTATTAGAAACAGGAGTGTCTGCTACAAACAGGAATGCCTGCTACCCTGTTTCTACCTTAGAATATGGGATGCACTCTTAAAAGGTCCAGAGTGAGATAACTATCTTCTGTCTTTAGGTCTAATTATCACCTTTTCCTTAAGCATTGCCTCCCTTAGGAACAGCCTCTTCACAGCATGTTGGATGGAGAAGATATTCACTCCTCAGGATAGACTCCATTTTCTACTCAAAGTCCCAGCAACACAATTACCACAAAGCAAGTAAATCTTTCCATTCTGATTAAATGATACTTATATAAGGATACATCTTAAAACAAGGTGAATATACAATGAAATTTCTATTCTTTAAAGCTATCTCTCCTCTAGTGGGAGATGAATTTATATTTGTGTGATGTTTCCTGCAGCTCCCGTTGTCGCAGTCCCCATTTCTCATTCCCTATCTTTTCTGTCTGTTCATCTGCCACACACCACTTTCCGACAAAGACACAGTGTTCCAGGAAATTAAAATATGTTTTACTAAGAAAGAACAAAGTCAGTATAGATGTAATGGAGCCTATCTACACACAAATCAATTTGCTTTACAAAATAGAAAATTATTTTTTAAGTCTTAAAACATCCAAATTCATGCTGGGAAAACTGGCTAGCAATAAGCAGAAGACTGAAACTGGACCCCTATCTCTCACAAAAAAATGACTCAAGATGAATTAAAGACTTAAATATAAGACCTCAAACTATAAAAATCCTGGAAGACAACCTAAGAAATACTCTTCTGGACATTGGCCTAGAATTTATGACTAAGACCTCAAAAGCAAAAGCAAAATCAACGAAAATAAAAATTGACAATTGGTACCTAATTAAACTATAGAAATTTTGCACAGCCATAATAAACTATCAAAATTGTAAACAGCCTACAAAATGGAAGAAAATATTTGTAAACTATGCATCCAACAGAAGACTAATATCCATAATCTATAAGCAACTTAAACAAATCAACAACAACAAAAACAAATGACCCTATTAAAATGTGGACGAAGGACATGAACAGACTTCTCAGAAGAAGACATACATGTGGCCAACAAACATGAAAAGAGAAATGCTTAACACCACTAACTGTCAGAGAAATGCAGACTGAAGCCACAATGAGATATCATCTCACACCAGTCAGAATGACTATTAAAAAGTCATAAAATAACATGTTGGTGAGGACTCAGAGAAATGGGAACACTGACACACTGTTGGTGGGAATGTAAATTAGTTCAGCCCCTATGGAAAGGAGCTTGGAGATTCCTCAAATAACAACAAAAATAAGACTACCATTCGACCCAGCAATCCCACTACTGGGTATCTACCAAAAGGAAAAAAAAATGTTCTACCAAAAAGATACCTGTACTCACTTGTATTTTGGTATTGTTAACGATTGACAATACCAAAACCAACCTGGATTCCCATCAATGTGGATTGGATAAAGAAAATGTGGTACATATTAACAAGGAAATATTACACAGCCATGAAAACAAATGAGATTATGTCCTTTGCAGCAACGTTGATACAGCTGCAGGTCATTATCCTAAGTGAATTAACACAGAAACAGAGAATCAAATACCACATGTTCTCACTTATAAGTGGAAGCTAAACAATGATTACACACACATAAGGATGGAAACAGTAGACACTGGGGACTCCAAGGAAGGGGAGACTGGGAGCAAGGGCTGAAAAACTGCCCAAGGGTACTGTGTTTGCTATTTGGGTGATGGGTTTGATGGAATCCCAAATATCACCATTACACATTACATCCATTTGACAAACCTGCACATGTACCCCTGAATCTAAAATTTAATGAACAAAATAAAAGTTTTAACCTGAAAAAAATACTGGATTCAGACTACAAAATGATGTGCTAATGTGATAACATAAATGTAAAACTAAAGTATTCTGCTACTTCACAAAATCAAATTTTAATTTAAATGTGAATTGAATTTTCCACCATGAGCAAAGTCGTAAAAAAACCTCAAGATAGGAAGATAATGATTTCACAAATCTTATTTCTTAAATTGTTTGGTATTGCTGCCTGTAGCTGCCACCTCTCTTCTTGTATAGATCCTTGAGATCTTAAGTACCCCTTGAGCCAAGATGTAGCTCATTTACTGTGTTGCTGAAGTTTTGATGGTTGTATAAAATACTCCATATGATGCTTTTCTAACACTGGAGACTGGGCGGAAGAACTATTTGGAGGTTCAAACCTGGCTAAGCAAGATTTTAAGAATAAACTAAGACTTGCAGAGTATTTGTTTTTTAATAATAACTGTGATTTATTGGACAGCTACTCTAAGTGCTAGACATTGTCTCAAGCTCTTTAAATGTATAATATCTGTATTATTACTGGTTTTATACAAACAAAGAATCTGAGGATTGGAAAAGATGTGGTACTGTACAGAGTCATTC
The DNA here is from genome assembly GCF_000001405.40 of Homo sapiens. Taxonomy (NCBI): domain Eukaryota; kingdom Metazoa; phylum Chordata; class Mammalia; order Primates; family Hominidae; genus Homo; species Homo sapiens. Next base: position 38,156,858 of record NC_000013.11, on the reverse strand, counting down.
AGCAGGCATCAAGATTTAGACTCAGGTTTATCTGATTCAAAGATAGTTTTCTTTCCACTGGATCATTATGCATCAATAGGCAGAAGGGAGTCTTTGAATGTTTTGGAACATAAAAATGGAATAAACAGAAAGGTGCTTCAGTTAGATATGTGGGGTGACCCTCAGGGACATTATTTAAGATAGGGCTCCTGTTAAGAGGAAATGGCAAAAATAATAGAAGTTTGAACAAAGCTTATAGTAGTGGAATAGGAAAGTAATTGGAGTGTAGTAAAAGCAATTCTGTGAAAAAAATGCATGAAAAACTTTTATCCTCCTATGTATCCCCTGAATCTAGCACAGTGCCTGCCTTTCTGTAGGGGTTCAACATTTGCTCACTGAACAAAAGGAAATCCATGGATGAGCTATTGGTCACCAAGGAAAAGCAGCAGGTACTCTCAAGCAATGGGATCATGAGTGGGATAACTTTTTAAAACAAGGACCTAACTCAAACGAATTGGAAAGGAAATGATGACAGGCATTCAGAGATGAAGGTGTTGGAAAATAATAACTGTGGCTGTAATAAGGGGAACAGTTGTATAAATGTGAGAAATAAATGGAAAATGAATGATTGCCACATAGCCAGCTTTTCCCATTAGCACAAACATAGCTCAAAGTATCTTATTCAACTACTCATGTAACACCTGACTACTCAGATTACACAATAATCAAAACGTGTTTAAAGGAGTATTTTATAGTTTATAAGGCACATTCATGAAAGGTTCATGATGTAAAAATTGAGACAAAATTTTTAAAGATAGCTAGAGCAGATGAAGAAGGCAATTTTAGTGCCATTTTATAGATGAAATATAGGAGGATGAATGATAATTTCAAAACACAGCTGGCTCACAGGTAGTACCAGAACTTTTCATTATTTTTTATAATCTATACTATTTAATTATATTAGCAGTCACACATTTTGTACAATAAAATTCACTAATTTGAAGAGTCCAATTTGGTGAATTTTGACAAATATATTGTGACAGTGTAACCACAACCACAAATAAATCATAGAATATTTCCATCACCCTGAAAAGCTCCCTTATGTCCATTTGTGGTCAATCTGCTGCACCTATCCTTATGACGGCAGTGGCTGCTCCAGAGAGATTGTCGCTGCCATCATGCTGGCTACACCAGGGAGGCACAGCTGGGGCTGCACACTCCATGGAGCCAGTGGGAGCCCCATCCCTACCATGTTGGGGTGGGAGCTCCCCAGGAGCAGTTGCAGCTGCCCAAACCGCAGCTGCAGACCCAGGCCTCCCACTCCATGGAGTAGGTAGAAGCCTAAAACTAATTCATAGTTTTAAGTTTAAGTTGTAGATCTATGATTCTTTTGGCACAAATTTTTGTTTATGTTGTGAAATAAGTGATAGTATTTATTTTTTCACCTGTAAAAATTTTCCCACAGAATTTGTCAAAGACTATTCTGTCTTCATGTAATTACCTGGACAACTTAGTGAAAATCAGTTGACCACATAAGTAAAAAATCTCTTTCTAAACTCTGTTTTATTCTATTTACCTAAAGTTAATCTGTATGCCAATACCACATCATGTTGCTTAATGTAGTTTCATAATTACTCTTAAAGGTACAGTAAACTGGCCAGGTGTGGTGGTTCATGTCTGTAATCCCAGCACTTAGGGAGGCCAAGGTGGGTGGATCACTTGAGGCCAGGAGTTCAAGATCAGCCTGGCCAACATGGTGAAACCTCATCTCTACTAAAAATACAAAAATTTTCTAGGTGTGGTGGCACATGCCTGTAGTCCCAGCTACTTCGGAGGGTGAGGCACAAGAATCGCTTGAACCCAGGAGGCAGATGTGCAGTGAACTGAGATAGCACCACTGTACTTGGCAACAGAGCAAGACTCCATCTAAAATACAGTAAATGCTTCAATTTTTGTTTTTACCTTTTTATTTTATTTCATTTTGGCAACTCTTTGTCATTCCCATTTTCACCTAAGTTTTAAAACAATATTGTTAATTTCTTCAAAAGTATCTCTGCTGTTTTTATTTAAATTTCATAAATCCACAGATTACTCTGGACAAATTGACATGTTGATAGTATTGAGTCTTCTACTAATGAACATAGTATATATTTAGTTTATATTTTATTTGTCTCATATGGTTTGGTTGTGTCCCCACCCAAATCTCATCTTGAATTCCCACATGTTGTGGGAGGAACCTGGTGGGAGGTAATTGAATCATGGGGGCAGGTCTTTCACAGGCTCTTCTCATGATAGTGGATAAGTCTTATGAGATCCGATGGTGTTAAAAATGGGAGATTCCCTGCACAAGCTTTCTCTTTGCCTGCTGCCATCCATGTAAGATGTGACTTGTTCCTCCTTGCCTTCTGCCATGACTGTAAGGCCTCCCAAGCCACATGGAACTGTAATCCATTAAACTGTTTTTCTATATAAATTACCCAGTCTGATATACTTTCATGAAGCTTTATCAGCAGCATGAAAATGGACTAATGCAGTAAGTTGGTACCAGTTGAGTGAGGCACTGCTGAAAAGATACCCAAAAATGTGGAAGCGACTTTGAAACTGGGTAACAGGCAGAGGTTAGAACAGTTTGGAGGGCTCAGAAGAAGACATGAAAATGTAAAATTTGGAACTTCCTAGACACTTGTTGAATGGCTTTGCACAAAATGTTGATAGTGATATAGACAATAACATTAAGGTTGAGGTGGTCTCAGACAGAAGTGAGAAACTTGTTGGGAATTGGAGCAAAGGTGACTCATGTTATATTTTAGCAAAGAAACTGGAAGCATTTTGCCCCTGACCTAGAGATCTGTGGAACATTGAACTTGAGAGAGATGATTTAGGATATCTGGTGGAAGAAATTTCTAAGCAGCAAAGCATTCAAGAGGTGACTTGAGTGCTGTTAAAGGCATTCAGTTTTAAAAGAAAAACAGAGCATACAAACTTGAAAAATTTGCAGCCTGACAATGCGATAAAAAAAGAAATCCCATTTTCTGAGGAGAAATTCAAGCTGGCTGCAGAAATTTGCATAAGTAATGAGGAGCCAAATGTTAATCACCAAGACATTGAGGAAAATGTCTCCAGGGAATGTCAGAGGCCTTTGTAGCAGCCCCTCCCATCACAGGCCTTGAGGTTTAAGAGGAAAAAGTGGTTTCATGTGCTGGGCCCAGGGTCTCTCTGCTGTGTGCAGTTTAGGGACTTGGTGACCTGCATCCCAGCTGCTCCAGCCATGACTAAAAGGGGGGAAGGTACAGATTGGGCTGTTGCTTCAGAGGGTGCAAGCCCCAAGCCTTGGCAGCTTCCACATGGCGTTGAGCCTTTGAGTGCACAGAAGTCAAGAATTGAGGTTTGGGAACCTCTTCCTAGATTTCAGAGGATGTATGGAAATGCCTGGATGTCCAGGCAGAAGTTTACTGTAGGGGTGGGGTCCTCCATGGAGAACATCTGCTAGGGCAGTGTAGAAGGGAAATGTGGGGTGGGAGCCCCCACAGAGAGTCCATACTGGGGCCACCGAGTGGAGCTGTGAGAAGAAGTCCACCATCCTACAGACCCCAGAATGGTAGATCCACTGACAGTTTGCACTGTGCACCTGGAAAAGCTGCAGACACTCAATGCCAGCCCATGAAAGCAGCCAGGAGGGAGACTGTACCCTGCAAAACCACAGGGTGGGGAGCTGCCCAAGACCATGGGAACCCACCTCTTGCATCAGCATGATCTGGATGTGAGACATGGAGTCGAAGGATATCATTTTGGAGCTTTAAGATTTGACTGCCTTGCTCGATTTTGGACTTGCATGGGGCCTCTAGCCACTTTGTTTTGGCCAATTTCTCCCATTTGAAAAGGCTGCATTTACCCAATGCAAGTACCTCCATTGTCTCTAGAAAGTAACTAATTTGCTTTTTATTGTACAGGCTCATAGGAAGAAGGGTCTTGCCTTGTCTCAGATGAGACTCAGGACTGGGGACTTTTTAGTTAATGCTGAAAGGAGTTAAGAATTTGGGGGACTGTTGGGAAGGCATGATTGGTTTTGAAATGTGAGGACATGAGATTTGGGAGGAGACAGGGGCAGAATGATATGGTTTGGCTGTGTCTCCACCGAAATCTCATCTTGAATTCCCATGTGTTATTGGAGGAACCTGATGGGAAGTAATTGAATCATGGGGGTTGGTCTTTCCAATGCTGTTCTTGTGATAGTGAATAAGTCTCATGTGATCTAACGGTTTTATAAGGGGGAGTTTCCCTGCAAAAGTTCTCTATGTGTCTGCTGCCATCCATGTAAGAAGTGCCTTTGCTCCTCCTTGCCTTTCACCATGATTGTGAAGCCTCCCCAGACACGTGGAACTGTAAGTCCATTAAACCCTTTTTCCTGTATAAATTACCCAGTCTCAGGCATGTCTCTATTTTTTTATTTTTATGTATTTATTTATTTTGAGACAGAGTTTCACTCTTGTAGCCCAGGCTGGAGAACAATGGCATGATCTTGGCTCATTGCAACCACCGCCTCCCAGGTTCAAGCAATTCTGCCTCTGCCTCCCAAGTAGCTGGGACCACATGTGCCCACCACCACACCTGGCTAATTTTTGTATTTTTATTAGAGATGGGATTTCACCATGTTGGCCAGGGTGGTTTTGAACTCCTGACCTCAGGTGATAGATTCACCTTGGCCTCCCAAACTGCTGGGATTATAGGCATGAACCACCACAACTGGCCTTGGGTATGTCTTTATCAGCAGCATGAAAACAGACTAATACTTTGTCCAAATGAAACTGTATAGTTTTTGCTGTACAGATCTTGAATATACTGTTTGAAAATTATTCCTGTGTTATGATTTTAATGAAAATTTTCCTGTGTTATGATCTTTATTCCTGTGTTATGATTTTAACAATGTGGCTACAGGCCCCATGCAAATCCAAAATTCAACAGGGCAGTCAAATCTTAAAGCTCCAAAATGATATTCTTTGACTGCATGTTTCACATCCAGATCACACTAATGCAAAAACTTCAGTTTCAAAATATTGATTGCTGGTATATAGGAATACAGTAAATTTTTAAAAATATCCATTATATCCTACTGCTTTTCTAAGTTCATACATCAAATTTAGCAGTTTGTTTTGGTTTTACTGTTTTAATATTTTAAAAATAGACTTTATTTTTTAAAGCAGTTTTAGGTTTACTGAAAAATTGTAGAGAAAGTACAGTCCCCATTTACCCCTTTTTCCTTAACACATGCACACAGTTTCTTCTAGTATTGCAATCTTGCATTGCTGCAGTACATTCACTTCCATTGTTGAACCAATACTGAAACATTATCATTAACTCAATTCCACAGTTTATGTTACAATTTCTTTGTATTATATAGTTCTATGGATTTTTCACACATGACAATATTATCACGCAGAATAGTTTCACTTTCCTAAAAATTCCCTGCTCCCCTATTCATTCTTCCTTCTCTCTCATCAATCACTGGCAATCACTAATCTTTTTACTGTCTATGGTTTTGCCTTTTCCAAAATGTCATATAGTTGGAATGATATGGTGTGTTGCCTTTTCAGATTGGTTTCTTTCACTTAGCAGTATGCATTTAAGGTTTCTCTACATCTTTTCATGCCTTTATAGCTCATTGCCTTTTAGTGCTGTGTACATCCCTGTCTGGATGTACTATGGTTTATTCATCTATTCACCAAGGACTTCTTGGTTGCTTCCAAGTTTGGTAACTATGAATAAAGTTGCTATAAACATCCGTGTGCAGATTTTTATGTGGACATAAATTTCCAACACATTTTGATAAATACCAAGAAGCATGATTGCTGGATCACATAAAAATATGTTTAGTTTTGTCATAAACTGCCAAACTGTCTTCCACAGCAGCTGTACCATTTTGCATTCCCACCAGCAATGAGTGAGAGTTCCCGTTGCCCCACATCTTTACCAGCATTTGGTGTTGTCTAGGTGCTGTTGACCGAATTGTGCTCCCCTAAGATTCATGTGTTGAAGTTCTAACAACCAGTACCTCAGAATCTGACTGTTTTTGGAGGTGGGGTCTTTAAAAAGGTAATTAGAATAAAATGAGGTAATTAGAGTGGACTGTAATTCAATATGGTGTCCTTATAAGGAGAGAAGATCAGAATACAGACACAGAAGGAATACTGTGAGAAGACACAAGGAGAAGGTAAACATCTATAAGCCAAAGAGAGAAGCCGCAAAAGAAACTAACCCTGCTGACACCTTATCTTGGACATCTAGTCTTCAGAAGTATGAGAAAATAAATTTCTTGTTTTTGAGCCATCCATAATTTGTTATGGCAGCCCTAGCAAACTAACACACAGGGTTTTGAGTTTTAGCCATTATAATAGGTGTTTAGTGGTATCTCATTGTTGTTTTAATTTGCAATCCCCTAATGATATATAATATTGAGTATCTTTTTATATGTTTGTCATCAGTGTATCTTCTTTGGTGAGGTGTCCAGATCTTTTGTCTATTTTTTAATTGAGTTGCTTATTTGTTTACTGTTGAGTTTCAGGAGTTATTTGTATATGTTTGATACATGTTCTTTATCAGATATATGCATATTTACCCCCCAGTCTGTGAATTTTCCATTAAAGCAATGTTTTTCTGAGCATTCTAGCCAGGGCTCCTTGCATAATGTGGTCTGTCTACTCTGGCTGGTAGGAATTCAACTTACTTCAATCTTATTTGAGGTCTAATTAATTATCCAGTTTTCTGCTTGTTGTTGATTATTTCCTATATCCTGTGAAATTTTATCCCACATATGTGCATCTCAGCATTCAGCCAAAGAATTGTTGGAATGAATAACTGCAGAAAGCTAGAGCTCTCTCTTCCTGTGGAATGGCTCCCTCCTCTCGGGTGCACTGTCACACGAATTCTAGCTGCCACATTCTACCTGGACTGCCATTTTTGTCTCTTCAACTCAGTGCAACCACAGTCTTTGTTTGAGGTCTGCTTTCCTATATTGAAACCTAAAAACTGAACTCACAGAGCTCATTTTTCTTGTTTTTCTTCCTTCAGAGTCTACAGCACTGCATGGTGTGTTTTCCAACATCTGAAAATACTTCTTTTCACATGTATCTTGTCCATGTTTTTGATGTTTATAGTGGGAGTGAGATCTTATGTAACCTTTCATAGGTCATAATGGAAATCCCGTCTAGTCATTTTGAGATACTTTCAATGCTAAAGGAGCAACCTGTTTGTCAATTTCTTTATAGGCATACAACCTTTTATTTTGACCTCAATTTTTGTACATTTTTAAAATTGATATTACCTTGAGATAAGTTAAATAGCATCAATCCTCTTTTACACTTTCAGAAACAAACATTTTAGAAATAAAAAAGAGATAATATTCACTTCTTTCAGACTTTTACATAATTATAAATCCAAAAATAGTGTGAGTTTCACACAGGAAGAACCAAGATATAATATTTTAGAGTGTCAGACTTTGCCATGGTGGTGCATCCAGTACAAATTGTCTGTTAAATAATCATGAAAGGAGAGAGGGAAAGAGTAAGGAGAGAGGGAGAGAGAAAGAGAAGGAAAGAGAGAGAGGGAGGCTGGGAGGGAGGGAGACAGAGAGAAAGAGAGAGAGAGAGGAAGAGAGAGAGACTTAGAAAGAACAAAATTGCAAGAACACTGTAATCCAAACATCACTAAAGAACATATAATAATATATAAGGGAACAATATACTATCTGTGCTATGGGCAACATTTATGGAAAACAAATGAGAAATGGGGATTGAAAGAGAATTCATTAAATAACCATTGTATTAATTTAATTTCTGAGCCAATTAATGAATATAAATAAAATAGAAGATATGTGGAAATATAATTACATTTTCATTACTCAGGAAGTGCCAAATTAAGGCAGTTCTTTTATTTGCAGGCAAATGGATTTCCTAATATAGAAACCGAAAAGTATATAGACCTATTCTCCAAATCATTTGTAGAGTTGGACCACTGTATGACAACCTGTCTTTACAAACAAATGGCTTAAAAGGAGTGGGGCAGAAAGTGTACTCTTTTCAGTACACCCCAGCTCCCATGAGTGATCAGACTCAAAGGAGCTTGGCTACACATGTAAGTTTCTCCTTATAAGTTCTCAGTCCATCTCTAGGGGAGAAGAAATGCTGAAGAACACTCAGTGCCTTTATATTGATGACAATAATGGTACTCCTCGAAATAATGGAGATGTCAGAAGCATTTGCGATAGGTGTTTCACCCTTTTCTAAGTACAACATGGATTTGCTTTTTCTGATTGCAAGACTACCCCTGTAATGTCAAATGATAACAATGTTTGACTATGTATATGTTTAACTATGTGTATGTTTAACTATGTTGAAGGACAAAAGCTCAGTGTCTACAGAGCAGGCTACATGGAATGGAATTGTTTAAAGAGGATAGGAAATTGTTTAAAGATTGTGAAAAGATGCCCACTTGGGAATTCGGTTCATATTTATTCTCTCGAGCACTGTGGAGAGATAGAACATGGAGACACGGATGCTTGAGATGCCAATTAGCAGGCTATGGTAGCAATCTCAGTTACCTACATGGAGGAAGTGGTGGTGTATTTGAGACACATACAACTGGATATGTCACTGTGGAGGTGGGAGGGACTTCTTTCATCTAAATTTTAATGAAATTGCTATGTTCCAAACCACATCACAAATTAACTGAAAAGTTTAAATCCTGCCCACGGATTTCACCTGAGTCTCTGTTTAGCATGAGTAAAAAGGAGTCTTACCACTACTTACCCTATACTGCCTATTTGTTCATTATTTAATTTTCTGTTTCACATAATTCTGCATCATCTGTATAATGTTAACATTTAATCCCGAACATAATCCAACACATGTCATGTCATTGAAAATAATATCATGACCCTGGTACACAGTATTTAAAACAATTATGACCTTCAGGTAAACAAAACAGGAATTTAACATCATTATTCTGTTTTTGTTGTTTAAATTATATTAAAATTGTGTGCATTTATTTTCTTAGAACACTCCATAGACCTATTTTCATAGGAACACATAGTTAAGTCCTTTCTTGTTATGTGGAAAATTCCTTAGTCATTGTCAGAGAAAGAAATAATTCACCAAGAAATCATGAAACTAACAGACTATTTTATCATTTTAGAGAGAAAATATCACACCATTAGTTTGAATGGTGAGTAATGGTGGGAGGTATAGTTATGAAAGTGTTCTATTTGTCATAGTTCACTCCAATTCTGACTGCATATACCCTTTCAAGTTTCTAATCATAGTTGATCTTTGTTTGTTTTTTAGGGAAAAAAAATGTAGAGAAATGGTGAGGAATTGCATTGTTAGAGTCTGTATAAAAAAATGTCTCAAGAGAAGAAAATCTGATATTATCTAAAGAAAGCTCTGTGACTTTGGGGGATTCTTTGATGATTATACATTTCGAAAGAAGAAAAAAAAAAGGAGAAGGCGCTCACACATAAATACAAATTTAAGAGTTGCATGAAACTGTAACAGTGCCAAGAAGGCTAATAAAAAATAATCTGAGCCTTGGAAAATATGTGAGGAACAATAAAAAGAACACTTTTACTAGGTTCAAAAGCAGGAAGAGGAACAAGGAAGAGAGAGTTCCATTCCTTGCAACAGATGGTATAATGTTAACAGAACAACTTAACTGCTGTTTTGCTTTTGTCCTATTCATGCAGGGAGTTTGTCTCACTGAAACTGTTAAAGGAAGATAAGATGCTGTTTAAGTCCCAATGTAGCTGAGGAAGTAACGAGAGAGCTCTCAATGCCAGCACCTCCACCTCAGAGATCTCCAGGCCAAACGCCCCAGTACAGAAGGAAAGAACGGCTAGAATCCAGTTTGGCAATTGCTGAAAACCATGAAGAATAAGATAGATGACTAGGATCCATGGAAATAATTCACTTTTTTAAAAAAGGTAAAACACATGTGGGAGAACTTGATGTCAGCTACTTAGATTGTTTCAGAGTTGCCCTTGGAAAAGAGTAAAGCACATACTAAGGGCCAGTATGAATATTCAACATACTGTTGGAAGTTCTGGCCAGGGCAATTAGGCAGGAGAAGGAAATAAAGGGTATTCAATTAGGAAAAGAGGAAATCAAATTGTCCCTGTTTGCAGATGACATGATTGTATATCTAGAAAACCCCATTGTCTCAGCCCAAAATCTCCTTAAGCTGATAAGCAACTTCAGCAAAGTCTCAGGATACAAAATCAATGTACAAAAATCACAAGCCTTCTTATACACCAATAACAGGCAAACAGAGAGCCAAATCGTGAGTGAACTCCCATTCACAATAGCTTCAAAGAGAATAAAATACCTACGAATCCAACTTACAAGGGACGTGAAGGACCTCTTCAAGGAGAACTATAAACCACTGCTCAATGAAATCAGAGGATACAAACAAATGGAAGAACATTCCATGCTCATGGGTAAGAAGAATCAATATCATGAAAATGGCCATACTGCCCAAGGTAATTTATAGATTCAATGCCATCCCCATCAAGCTACCAATGACTTTCTTCACAGAATTGGAAAAAACTACTTGAAAGTTCATATGGAACCAAAAAAGAGCCCGCATCACCAAGTCAATCCTAAGCCAATCCTAAGCCAAAAGAACAAAGCTGGAGGCATCACGCTATCTGACTTCAAACTGTACTACAAGGCTACAGTAACCAAAACAGCATGGTACTGGTACCAAAACAGAGATATAGGTCAATGGAACAGAACAGAGCCCTCAGAAATAACGCCGCATATCTACAACTATCTGATCTTTGACAAACCTGAGAAAAACAAGCAATGGGGAAAGGATTCCCTATTTAATAAATGGTGATGGGAAAACTGGCTAGCCATATGTAGAAAGCTGAAACTGGATCCCTTCCTTACACCTGATACAAAAATCAATTCAAGATGGATTAAAGACTTCAACGTCAGACCTAAAACCATAAAAACCCTGAAAGAAAACCTAGGCATTACCATTTAGGACATAGGCATGGGCAAGGACTTCATGTCTAAAACACCAAAAGCAATGGCAACAAAAGCCAAAATTGACAAATGGGATCTCATTAAACTAAACAGTTTCTTCACAGCAAAAGAAACTACCATCAGAGTGAACAGGCAACCTACAAAATGGGAGAAAATTTTCGCAACCTACTCATCTGACAAAGGGCTAATATCCAGAATCTACAATGAACTCCAACAAATTTACAAGAAAAAAACAAACAACCCCATCAAAAAGTGGGTGAAGGACATGAACAGACACTTCTCAAAAGAAGACATTTATGCAGCCAAAAAACACATGAAAAAATGCTCACCATCACTAGCCATCAGAGAAATGCAAATCAAAACCACAATGAGATACCATCTCATGCCAGTTAGAATGGTAATCATTAAAAAGTCAGGAAACAACAGATGCTGGAGAGGATGTGGAGAAATAGGAACACTTTTACACTGTTGGTGGGACTGTAAACTAGTTCAACCATTGTGGAAGTCAGTGTGGCGATTCCTCAGGGATCTAGAACTAGAAATACCATTTGACCCAGCCATCCCATTCCTGGGTATATACCCAAAGGACTATAAATCATGCTGCTATAAAAACACATGCACACATATGTTTATTGTGGCACTATTCACAATAGCAAAGACTTGGAACCAACCCAAATGTCCAACAATGATAGACTGGATTAAGAAAATGTGGCACATATACCCCATGGAATACTATGCAACCGTAAAAAATGATGAGTTCATGTCCTTTGTAGGGACATGGATGAAACTGGAAATCATCATTCTCAGGAAACTATTGCAAGGACAAAAAACCAAACACCGCATATTCTCACTCATAGGTGGGAATTGAACAATGAGAACACATGGACACAGGAAGGGGAATATCACACTCTGGGGACTGTTGTGGGGTGGGGGGAGGGGGGAGGGATAGCATTAGGAGATATACCTAATGCTAAATGACGAGTTAATGGGTGCAGCACACCAGCATGGCACATGTATACATATGTAACTAACCTGCACATTGTGCACATGTACCCTAAAACTTAAAGTATAATAATAATAAATAAATAAATAAATAAAAAGCAGAACAAAAGATAGCCCATATGTGTGAAAAAAATAAAAAAATTTTAAAAAAACGGCAAAAACAAAAAAGCAAACTATGGTATAGAGTATAACTTCCTTTTTCTCAATAAAATAGGGGAATGCATTTTTTTTACTATACATCACCTTCTGGAAAAGCATCTTTCACTCTGCATATTTATGAGATTCATCCTTGTTTTTTGACTTATCAGTAGCTCATTCCTTTTTATTACTGAGTCATATTTCAGTGTGAATGCACCACAGTTTATTGCTCTCTGTAGAAACTTGGACAGTTTTCAGTTTTTCATTACAAAGAATAAAGCTTTCATGAATATTCTTATTACAAACTTTTTTTGTGCATAGTTTTCCAATTTCTTGAGTAAATTTCTAGGCAGGAAACTCCTTGGTTACAGTGAAAATATTTGGTATATATGATTTTATATATCAAATGTAAAATCCCAAGCCTCTTCTTCAAAGTGAAGGAAAATATTGTATGGTACATTCCCACACAGCATACATTAGAGTTCCCCTGACCCCATGTTCTCGCTAGTGTTTGGTTTTTCCAATTTTTAAAGTTTTAGCCATTCAGGTGTGTGTAGTATAGGTATTGATTGTAAAAATCCATATTAAAATGTCTTAAAACATCACGGACATATAGTCATAGAACAATCTGGTGAATAATAAATGATTGAATAATTGTTTCCTGGGAATCAATGCATCGCCTTTGAGTCTCTTAGTCTGTCAATCAACTGCATGACCATGCAAGTTAGGCAAGTTATGCAGTCTTGGTTTCCTTTTTGGTGAAATAGCTTAATAATAGATCTGTCTCATAGGTTTGTACTAAAGATGGAATGAAAATACCTATAAGTGAATTAAAAAGGTTAGAGTCTTAAAAAGTTCAATTTGAGTCTCAGGGACCCCTTTAGTACACACTGCCTTAAATTGGAGTGGGTTCTTCAGCAGCAAACAGTTGGTAAGTATTTCTCTGGAGACATTTACTGTATGCTACCCCAGAATTCCAGAAGACCCTGTACTTAACTATATTAATCAGCATTTTTATTATTGCCTGAATGAAAATAGAAGTAACGTTAATGAAATCTCTAAATCTGATAGGAGAGTTAATATTTGGTGTCAGAATTTAGTTGTAAAATCTTTAAACAGATTAAAATATGCCATAATCTAATAGAAATAATTATTTTTTAAAAGCAAGCAAACAAAAATTCACTGGACTTACAGGGTCTTGCTACACTTAAAAAATAATTGTAAGGAAAAAATTGGTTGATTATAGCATTACAACCCTAAGTACAGAAAAAAATAATATCTGTAACTGTTTATAGCATTATATATTCATATTTTAACATAGTATTGTGTTTACTTTTGTTAATCATGTTTTAAGGAGGATCTTGAAACAAAATGTATGTTCAAAAGAGAATAAGATGCAGTTATCTTTTAATTTGAGAAACAGTTGATGAGATTTAGTAGAAGATGGTGACATTGATGTTTTGTCTTTTAGGCCAAAAGATAAAAACAAGCAAGAAAGCAAACAAATAAAAGTAACAACAAAATTTAAGAACCCCTTGCATGGAAGGATGCTTATTTCCTCTGGACTGAAAGGTATGACTTATATCTAAAGTACGTACATTTGGGGGAAGGTGATTTTAGCTAAATGTGGGAGACATTGAACTTTCTTTTCCTTCTCTCCTAGAATCCCATTTCTTTTTATTTTAGGGCACTTGCCAAATTCTGTTGTAATGTTGACTTTACTGTCTGTCAACCTGAGTGTGAGCTACTTGAGACCATAGCGCTGAACCTTGAAGGAGTCATGGGCACTGGCACCCCACACAGTTGAAAATTTGTGTATCACTTTTGACTCCCCCCAGGCTTAATTAATAGACTACTGTTGACTGGAAGTCTGATCAATAACACAAACAGTCAATTAACATATATTTAGTTAGCGTATTATATGTAGTACAACTGTATTCTCACAGTGGTAGGCTAGAGAAAAGAAAGTGTTGTTAAGAAAATCATAAGAAAGAGGAAATATATTTACTATTCATTAAGTGGAAAAGGAGTATCACAAAAGGTCTTTATTCTTATCCTCTTCACATTGAGTAGGCTGAGGAGGAGGAGAAAGAGGAGAGGTTGGTCTTGCTGTCTCAGGGGTGACAGAGGAAAAAGAGGTGGAGGAGGTAGAAGAAGAGGCAGGAGAGATAGGCACACTAGGTGTAACTTTTATTGAACAAAATCTGGCTATAAGTGGATCCACACAGTTCAAACCCATGTTGTTCAAGAGTCAGCTATATTTTATTGTCTTGTTAATCCTTCACAATTATCACAGAGCCAGGTACACATACTTGAGAGATGTGTGTTAAATTGAGTATAATAGGTTATTTAATAAATAAAGACATCCAAGAACATGACTAGATGCATTTGCAAGGATATTGCCCCGAGATCCTGCAATTATCACACAACTATGAAGGCAAATAATGTAGATAATTTAGAAGTAATTTATTTTTGTTTTAGTTGGGAGTTCTAGAGATCTCTAAAGCCAAGTCTTCATGTCAATTCCATGAAGATTCATGAATCAGATGCAATAAGTTTGTTTCATTATGAATTCTTCATATGTGGATAAATTTTTATGGATTCATTAGAATTTAAAAAAAAAACCCATGCACACACACACACAAAACAAATAAAAAGCAAAACAACTAAGAATATCAGTAGTACCTCTTGAAGTAAGGCCAGAATCTATGACTAACTTGGCACATGAAGTATTTAATATCCTGGAAGTGATATTAGATTTTACTGGGGTGTGAATCACTCATTTTGTTTTTCTAGAATGTCAGTTTCTGCTATTTTTCTGAAAACCATATGTCATTATGAAAAGAATCATACTTCAAGTTTAAGGTGCTTTCAGTACTGAATATGATTCAGTATTGTTAACTTTTTGTGATTTAAAACCATAATATTCATCTCCATTACTTAAAAACATTTTGTTTGAGTATGAATAGAGATATTAAATGAGGCTCACCAAGATCCCATTTAATACTGGCAGAAATTTTCGCTGTGACATTTTGCAGATAAGAGCTTGTGATTCAAGAGACAAAAGGAATCTTTAGCTTTTTCACTTTAATTCTGGCTGGCATATTCTAACCCCTTTTATTTTCTAATGTCAGTTTTCTGAAATATATAAATGGATCCTCTATATATTGAAAATTATGCACTAGTTTTCATTGGTATAATTTCAGATTACATGTATGTTACTTCTATTATTTTATTTAAGTGTTCTTTCTTTTCTGTTGTTTTTGCCACAGTTTATGTTTTTCCCTTAGAGGTTTGGGTCACTGTTTTAAATATTTATATTTTCAACAAAGATATCTTATGAATAAATTAATCAAGTGATTGATAACACCAACACCAGTTGTTCCCACATACTAAAAATACTTCTAATAAAAATTATTTCAAAAATAAATATGAGTTACTTACAAAAAGAAAGAAATTTTTTATGGAATCTAAAGATATTGAGTTTTTTTAAATGAAGACAATTGGAAGTCCTAGCTAGAGCAATCAGGCCAGAGAAAGAAATAAAAGGCATCCAAATAGGAAATGAAGGATCAAACTATCTCTCATCACTGATGATACGATTGTATACCTAGAAAAGCCTAAAGACTCCACCCAAAGGCTCCTAAAGCTGATAAATGACTTCAGTGAAGTTTCAGGATACAAAATCAGTGTACAAAAATCAATAGCATTTCTCTACACCAATGATGTTCAAGCCAAGAGCCAATTCAAGAATGCAATCTCATTCACAATAGCTGCACACATGAAAATAAACCTAGGAATACAGCTAATCAAGGAAGAGAAAGATTTCTACAAGGAGAATTAGGAAACACTGTTAAAAGAAATCAGAGACAACACAAATGAAAAAACATTCCATGCTTATGGACTAGAAGAATCACTGTTGTTAAAATGGCCTTACTGCCCAAAGTAATCTACAGATTCAGTGCTATTCCTATCAAAGTACCAATAATATTTTTCACAGAATTAGAAAAAAAATTCTAAAATTCATATAGAATGAAAAAAGAGCTCAAACAGCCAAAGGAGTCCTAAGCAAAAAGAGCAAAGCTGGAGGCATCACACTACCTGAATACAAACTACACCATAAGGGTACAGTAGCCAAAACGGTATGATACTGACACAAAAACAGACACATAGACCAATGGAGCAGAATAGAGAACAAGAAATAAAGCTGCACCTCTACAGCCATCTAATCTTCAACAAAGTTGACAAAAATATGCAATGGAGAAAGGAATTTCTATTCAATAAAATGGTGCTGGTATAGCTGGTTAGCGATGTACAGAAAAATGAAACTGGACCCATACCCTTCAACATATAAAAAATTAATTCGAGGTGGAATAAATAATTAAATGTAAGATTTCAAACTATAAGAATCCTAGAGGAAAGCCTGGGAAACACCATTTTGGTTACCAACCTTGGGAAAGAACTTATAACTAAGTCCTCAAAAGCAATTGCAACAAAAACAAAAATTGACCAGTGAGACCTAATTAAGCGAAAGCACTTCTGCACAGTGAAAGAAGCTAACAACAGGGTAAACGAACAACCTACAGATTTGGAGAAAATATTTGCAAAGCTATGCACCTAACAAAGGTCTAATATCTAGAATCTATAAAGAACTTAAACAATGGAACAACCAAAACACAAATAACTTAAAAATGGGCAAAGGATATAAATAGATACTTCTCAAAAGAAGACATACATATGGCCAACAAATATATGAAGAAATGCTCAACATCACTAATCATCAGAGAAATTCATATTTAAAAAAATGAGATAGTATCTCACATCAATTACACCAATTAGAATGGCTATTATTAAAAAGCCAAAAAATAACAAATGTTGGTGAGGCTGTGGAGAAAAGGAACACTTATATACTACTGGCGTGTATTTAAATTAGTTCAGCCAATTTGCCATTCTGTGTCTTTTAATTTAGCACATAACAGAACCAAAGACAAAAACCACATGATTATCTCAATAGATGCAGAAAAGGCCTTCGACAAAATTCAACTGCCCTTCATTCTAAAAACTCTCAATAAATTAGGTATTGATGGGACGTATCTCAAAACAATAAGAGCTATTTGTGACAAACCCATAGCCAATATCATACTGAATGGGCAAAAACTGGAAGCATTCCCTTTGAAAACTGGCATAAGACAGGGATGCCCTCTCTCACCACTCCTATTCAACATAGTGTTGGAAGTTCTGACCAGGGCAATCATGCAGGAGAAAGAAATACAGGGTATTCAATTAGGAAAAGAGGAAGTCAAATTGTCCCTGTTTGCAGATGACATGATTGTATATTTAGAAAACCCCATTGTCTCAGCCCAAAATCTCCTTAAGCTGATAAGCAACTTCAGCAAAGTCTCAGGATACAAAATCAATGTGCAAAAATCACAAGCATTCCTATACACCAAGAACAGACAAACAGAGAGCCAAATCATGAGTGAACTCCCATTCACAATTGCTTCAAAGAGAATAAAATACCTAGGAATCCAACTTACAAGGGATGTGAAGGACCTCTTCGAGGAGAACTACAAACCACTGCTGAATGAAATAAGAGAGGACACAAACAAATGGAAGAACATTCCATGCTCATGGATAGGAAGAATCAATATCATGAAAATGGCCATACTGCCCAAGGTAATTTATAGATTCAATGCCATCCCCATCAAGCTACCAATGACTTTCTTCACAGAATTGGAAAAAACTACTTGAAAGTTCATATGGAACCAAAAAAGAGACTGCATTGCCGAGACAGTTCTAAGCCAAAAGAACAAAGCTGGAGGTATCATGCTGCCTGACTTCAAACTATACTACAAGGCTACAGTAATCAAAACAGCATGGTGCTGGTACCAAAACAGAGATATAGACCAATGGAACAGAACAGAGCCCTCAGAAATAATGCCACACATCTACAACCATCTGATCTTTGGCAAGCCTGACAAAAACAAGAAATGGGGAAAGAATTCCCTATTTAATAAATGGTGATGGGAAAACTGGCTAGCCATATGTAGAAAGCTGAAACTGGATTCCTTCCTTACACCTTATACAAAAATTAATTCAAGATGGATTAAAGACTTCAATGTTAGACCTAAAACCATAAAAACCCTAGAAGAAAACCTAGGCAATACCATTCAGGACAGAGGCATGGGCAAGGACTTCATGTCTAAAACACCAAAAACAATGGGAACAAAAGCCAAAATTGACAAATGGGATCTCATTAAACTAAAGAACTTCTGCACAGCAAAAGAAACTACCATCAGAGTGAACAGGCAACCTACAAAATGGGAGAAAATTTTTGCAATCTACCCATCTGACAAAGGGCTAATATCCAGAATGTACAAAGAACTTAAACAAATTTACAAGAAAAAATCAAACAACCCCCATCAAAAAGTGGGCAAAGGATATGAACAGACACTTCCCAAAAGAAGACATTTATGCAGCCAACAGATATATGAAAAAATGCTCACCATCACTGGCCATCAGAGAAATGCAAATCAAAACTGCAATGAGATACCATCTGACACCAGTTAGAATGGTGATCATTAAAAAGTCAGGAAACAACAGGTGCTGGAGAAATAGGAACACTTTTACACTGTTGGTGGGACTGTAAACTAGTTCAACCATTGTGGAAGACAGTGTGGAGATTCCTCAAAGATCTAGAACTAGAAATACCATTTGACCCAGCCATCCCATTACTGGGTATATACCCAAAGGACTATAAATCATGCTGCTATAAAGACACATGCACACATATGTTTATTGTGGCACTATTCACAATAGCAAAGACTTGGAACCAACCCAAATGTCCATCAATGATAGACTGGATTAAGAAAATGTGGCACATATACACCATGGAATACTATGCAGCCATAAAAAAGGATGAGTTCATGTCCTTTGTAGGGACGTGGATGAGGCTGAACACCATCATTCTGAGCAAACTATTGCACGGACAGAAAACCAAACACTGCATGTTCTCACTCATAGGTGGGAATTGAACAATGAGAACACTTGGACACAGGAAGGGGAACATCACACACTGGGGTCTGTCGTGGGGTGGGGGGAGTGGGGATGGATAGCATTAGGAGATATACCTAATGTAAATGATGAGTTAATGGGTGCAGCACACCAACATGGCACATGTATTTATATGTAACAAACCTGCACATTGTAAACATGTACCCTAGAAGTTAAAGTATAAAAATAAATAAATAAAATAAATTAGATCAGCCACTGTGGAAAGCAGTTTGGAGATTTCTCAAAGAAATTTAAACTACCATTCAACCTAGCAATGCCATTACTAGTATATATCCAAAAGAAAATAAATTGTTCTACCAAAAGACACATGCACACATATGTTCATTGCAGTACTATTCAAAATAGCATAGGCATGGAATTAACCTAGGTTCCCATCAACAGTGGATTCAATAAATAAAATGTGATACATAATACATCATGGGATACCATGCAGCCATAAAAGGGAATCAAATCATGCTCCTTGCAGCAATATGGATGCAGCGGGATTCCATTATCCTAAGCAAATTAATGCAGGAAGAGAAAACCAAATACCACTTGTTCCAACTTATAAGTGGGAGCTAAACATTGGGCACTCATTATATAAAGATGGCAACAATAAACACTGGGAAGTACTAGACGGGGTCAAGGATTGAGAAACTAACTATTGGATATTATGCTCACTACCTGGGTGATGGGATCATTTGTATGTCAAACCTCAGTCCCACACAACATACCCATGTAACAAATCTGCACATGTACCTCCAAATCTAAAATAAAAATCAAAATTGTAAAAAAACAAAGACAATTATTGTTTTGCTTTGAAGAGTTGATTTATAAATAATTTTTTTTTTTTTTTTTTTTTTGATACGGAGTCTCGCTCTTTCGCCCAGGCCGGAGTGCAGTGGCGCTATCTCGGCTCACTGCAAGCTCCTCCTCCTGGGTTCACGCCCTTCTCCTGCCTCAGCCTCCCGAGTAGCTGGGATTGCAGGCGCCCGCCACCATGCCCGGCTAATCTTTTATATTTTTAGTAGAGACAGGGTTTCAACGTGTTAGCCAGGATGGTCTCGATCTCCTGACCTCGTGATCCACCTGCCTAGGCCTCCGGAAGTGCTGGGATTACAGGCGTGAGCCACTGTGCCCGGCCGATTTATAAGTAATTTTAAAATCAGAAAAAAAGAAACAGCAGATAGAAAAGAGCAACATTATTTTAAGTTCAAAAAATTAAAAAAGCAGAAGAGATAAAACAAAGCAGTATCTCATACCAAAAGTAAAGATTATATCATTGAAATGTAATAAGACCATGCCTTACAAGTATTTCAGGAGCAAGAAGAATCTGGGGTCCAGACTGTCTAGCTAGCAGCAGATGGGAGACTTACACCCACTTCAACCTGGGCATAACTTTTTCTCTGCTGTGCATTTAGCAAAATATAAACCTTTATTTGCTACCTCAAAGGCTTTTTTCTTATAAGGCCTGGTATGCATTTCAGATTGTTTTTTTGGGGGGGCAATATTAGGTGTGTTACTCAGGAGGATTTACGGTGGTCAGTTTCACAGAATGTCTGGTCCTAAATTTTAAAATGTGTAAAAAAAAAAAAAATTACTGTAACTCACAGCTAGGGAGAACAGATATCCCAAGTTTGCCAGGAAATTCTGGTTTATACCTTGTGTTCAAGCACAATTATTAATAACTGCTGCATTTCACTTCCAACTGTGTCCCAGCTGAATGAAAATCCATCGTCACCCCATTTACAGATTACCAGTTGGGTTTTAATTAAGCCATTACCAACCAATCTGTAGCTCGGAGCTCCACTCCTCAAAGAGTAGTACTTGGACTAATCTAACACCCTGCGCATTCCATGGTAGCTTGTTAGAATTGCAGGCCTCACTCCAGATTTACTGAGTCAGAATATGCATTTTAATAATATCCCCAGGTGATTCACACATATAATAAAATTTAAGAAACACTAACCTATAAAAACAGATCAACTTAACATTTGTTTTAGGACAGTTCGTTCTTTGAAAAAGAGTATAAACACCTATACACAAAATATCAAGCAAAACAAAGAAAGCTGAAAAAAGCAAAGGAAAAAAAAGTCAATCTTTTTTCCCATTCTCATTTGCAATTAGATTGCTTTGTTCATTTTCCATTAGATTGTTAATTAACATAGCATTTTAAGAACTTTTATCTTTATACATTTAATTTTTAAAATTTTATGTTATTTAACATTGCATCTATCAAAAATGTAACCAAAACTTATGTATATAGTTTAAACAGACAACTATGAAGCTAATATCTATTTTTACCCTAGTCAAGGCTAGAAAGAGAATATGATTAGCATTTATGATGTACCCCAAGTTCCCTCCAAATGTTTCTATCTTTAATGTAGCTGCTATCCAAACTTGCAAAAATTATTTTCTCATTTTTCTTCATAGTTTTAACAAATGTATATGGATTCCCAAATTATACAATTTAATTTGCCATTTTAAAATTTATGTGAATGAGATAACACTGCTCATATGTAGGATTTTATTATTTGTTTTTGCTTATTCAACGTTATGTTTGTGAATTGACACAAGGTGCTATAAGTGATTATGATGTATTTTTTTATTGCAATATAATTTTCTATTATATGAAAATGTAAAAGCTAATGCATTTATTCTATTATTTATAGATTTGTTGGTCATTTTTCTGTTTTCGTTTAGTGACTAAAAACAAATAAGCATTCTATACATGTATGAAAGTGCAATATAGATCCAGGAATTAAATCGTTAATTTATAGTATATGTGTGTCCTTAGCTTTATTAAGTAATGACAATCTATTCTTCAGAGTGTTTATAAAAATTTACCCTCCCACCATTAGCGTTCTTATGTTTATTTCCATGCTTGCCAATTTTGCTAATTGGCAAGCATGGAAATAATTTTTTAATTTTTTATCAGTCTATCAGTCTATTTAAATTTTTATCAGTCTATCAGATGTGTTTTAAATTCTCATAACCATGAAAAATTAGGCATGTTGATGGTGTTTTCTTTGGAGGTTTGAGCATCTGAATATTCTTTTGTAAGCCAAATAGTCATGTTAGTTTAGTTATCTTGTCTTTTCACTTTCTTCAGGGTATGTGTGATGATCATAAATCTCTCCTTTTGATGTAGTTGAATTTATTATTATTTTTCTTTTATATTAGCATTTATTCTGTTGTTTAAGAAAACTTACCCTATTTTGAAATCACAAATCTATTTTATTATATTTATTTTTTATAAATCTTTACAGTTTTGCCTTCTAGATTTCAGTCTTCAAGCCACAGGAATTATTTTTAATATAGAATCACGTATAGATCTTCAATTTTCTTAATACTACTTATTTGATGTATGTTGCTCAGCTTTTCATATCAAATATCAAAATATGAATCAATATGTTTGGGTCTATTACATTTCATTAGATATTTGCCTGTATTGTTGGTAATGCTAAACTTTCTTTGTTACTATAAATATATAAAGTAAACACTGTAATGATTTATGAACCAAACTGATTTGATGGAGTTGAAAAACTCACTGTAAGAATTTCATAATGCAATCAGAAGTATCAATAGCAGAATAGACCAAGCTGAGGACAGAATCTCAGAGCTCAAATACCAGTTCTTTGAATCAACTCAGTGAGACAAAAATAATGAAAAGAGAATTTTAAAAAGTGAACAAAACCTCTGAGAAATAGGGGATTATGTAAAGAGACCAAACATATGATACGTTGATATCCCTGAAAGAGAAGGAGAGAGGGCAAGCAACTTAGAAAACATACTTTAGAATATTGTCCAGGAAAACTTCTCCAACCTCACTACACAGGTCAACATTCAAATTCAAGAAATTCAGAGAATCCCAGTGAGATAATACAAGATGACCATCCCCAAGACACATAATCATCACATTCTCCAAGGTCAATGTGAAAGAAAAAGTATTAAAGAAAGACAGCTAGAAAGAAGGGTGGGTCACCTATGTAGAGAACCCCATCAGGCTAATAGGAAACCTTTCAGCAGAAACCCTACAATCCAGGAAGGAATCGGCAGGGGGGGTGCTATATTCAGCATCCTTAAAGAAAAGAAATTCTAATCAAGAATTTCATATCCAGCAAAAATAAGCTTAATAAGTGAAGAAATAAGATCCTTTTAGACAAGCAAATGCTAAAGAAATTTACTGCTACAAGACGTGCCTTAAAAGAGGGCCTTAAAGGAGTGCTAACCATGGAAATGAAAGACCGTTACTGGCCACCATAAAAACACACTTAAATATATAGATTATCAATACTATAAAGCAAATACACAACCAAATTTATGTAACAACCAGGTAACAACACTATGACAGAATAAAATCCACATATGTCAATATTATCCTTGAACGTAATCTGGTTAAATGACCCATTTAAAAGGCACTGAATGGCAAGTTGGATTAAAAAAAGCACGATCCAACTGTATGCTGTCTTCAAGAGACTCGTCTCACATGCAATGACATCTATAGGCTCAAAGTCAAGGGATGGAGAAAAATCTCCTAAGCAAATGAAACACAAAAAAAGCATGGGTTGCTCTTCTAATCTCAGAGAAAACAGATTTTAAACCAAAAATGATCAAAAAGGACAAAGAAAGGCACTACATAATCATAACAATTTCATTTTTATAAGAAGACTTAAGTCTCCTAAATATGTATGCACCTAACACTAGAGCACCTAAATTCATAAAAAAGCTCTTAGAGACCTACAAAGAGACTTAGTTAACCACAGATTAATAGTGAGAAATGTCAACATCCCACTGAAAGTATTAGACAGATCATCAGTGCAGAAAACTAACAAAAATATTCAGGACCTAAATATAATATTGATACTGGTATATATACAATCCTAAGCCACGGGCTTAGTCCATGGGCTGTTAGGAACCAGGACACACAGCAGGAGGTGAGCAGCAGGCAAGCAAGTATTACTGCCTGAACCCTACCTTCTGTCAGATCATAGGCAGCATTAGATTCTCACAGGAGCATTAACCCTATTATGAACTGTGCATGCGAGGGATCTAGGTTGCATGCTCCTTATGAGAACATAATACCTCTGAAACCATCTCCCCTACCACAAGTTTGTGCAAAAATTGTCTTCCATGAAACCAGTCCCTGTTGTACAAAAGGTTGGGGACCACTGATCTACAGAACATTTCACCCAACAACAACAGAATTTTTTTCATCTGCACATGGCACATACTCTAAAATCAACCATATGCTTGGTCATAAAACAATATCCAGCAAATAAAAAAAAATCATAACAACCACACTGTCAGACCACAGCACATTAAAAATAGATGTCAATACTAAAAAGACGTCACAAACCAATTACATGGAAATTAACTAATCTGCACCTGAATGACTTGAGTAAACAATGAAATTAAGGCAGAAATCAAGAAATTCACTGAAATTAATGAAAATAAAAATACAACATACTAGAATCTCTGTGGCTTTCCTCAACTGACTTTATTACAATGCTTGTTCTTTTCTATAAATTAAGACAGTTTGAACGTTGGCCTTTGGTGTAAACAAGAAAAAATGGAATGACTCCAAGAAAATCCAGTCATTTCTTACACAGTATATCTTTCCATTCTGTCTCTGTTTAGTCAAATGTCAAGTTTAGGTCCCAAATATCTTTGTCTTTGTTAGTATTCTGCCTCGATGATCTGTCTAATACTGTATAATACAGCTAAAGTAGTAGTGAGGAAAGTTTGTAGCACTTAATGCTCAATCAAAAAGTTTGAAAGATCACCAATTAATAACCTAACATCACACCTGGGTGAACTAGAAAAACAAGCACAAACCAATCCCAAAGTTAGCAGAAGAAGTGAAATAGTTAAACTGGATGAAGCTGAGATAGAAAACCATAAAAAAGATAAATAGAAACAGAATTTTGTACTTTGAAAGAGTAAATAAGATTAATGAACTGTTAGCTAGACTAATAAAAAAAGAACATCATAATTAAAAAATCAGAAATAATAAAGGAGACATTACACTGACCCCACAGAAAAACAAAAACCCTCAGAGAATATCACAAACACTTCTATGCACACATACTAGAAAACCTAGAAGAAATGGATACATTCCTGGAAATATACAACCTCCCAAGATTGAACCAAAAAGAAATTGAAACCCTGATCAGGCCAATAATGCACTCTGAAATTAAATCGGTAATAAAATTTTTCTAACAATCAGAAAAATCCCTGGACCAGAAGGATTCACTGCCAAATTCTACCAAATATAAAAAGAAGAG
This sequence comes from Homo sapiens, assembly GCF_000001405.40. Taxonomy (NCBI): domain Eukaryota; kingdom Metazoa; phylum Chordata; class Mammalia; order Primates; family Hominidae; genus Homo; species Homo sapiens. The sequence goes on along the minus strand of NC_000013.11, from coordinate 38,131,363 downwards.
CTGGTACCAATCCCACTGAAACCATTTCAAAAAATTGAGGAGGAGTGACTCTTCCCTTACTCATTATATGAGGCCAGAATCATTCTGATACCAAAACCTGACAGGAACAATAGAAAAGGAGAACTTCAGGCCAATATCCATGATGAACATAGACACAAAAATCCTCAGCAAAATAACAGCAAGCTGAATCCAGCAGCATATGAAGAAGCAAATCCATCATGATGAAGTAGAGTTTATTCCTGGATAGCAAGTTTGATTCAATATACACAAATGAATAAGTGTAATTTATCACATAAACAGAACTAAAAACAAAAACCATGTGATCATCCCAATAGATGTAGAGAAGGTTATTGACAAAATTCAACATCCCATCATGTGAAAAACCCTCAACAAGCTAGGCATCAAAGTAATATACCCCCAAATAAGGAATCACTTATGACAAACCCACAGCCATCATCATACTAAACAGGCAAAAGCTAGTACTTATCTTGAGAACTGAAACAAAACAAGGTTGCCTACTATCACCACTCCTATTCAACATAGTATGGGAAGTCTTACCCAGAACAATCAGGCAAGAGAAGGAAATAAAAGGCATCCAAATAAAAGACAGGAAGTTTAAATATCTCTGTTTGCAGATGATATGATTCTATACCTAGAAAACCCCATAGTATCTGGCCAAAGGCTCCTAGATCTGACAAACAACTTCAGCAAAGTTTCAGGATACAAAATCAATGTACAAAAATCAGTAGCATTTGTATACATCAATAATGTCCAAGCTGAGAGCCAAATCAAGAATGTAATCACATTGACAATAGCCACACACAAAAATCCCTAGGAATACAGCTAACCAGGGAGATGAAAGACCTCTACAATGAGAATCAGAAAACACTGCTCAAAAAACCAGAGATGATACAAACAAATAGCAAAACATTCTATACTCATGACCGGAAGAATCAATACTGTTAAAATGGCCATACTGCACAAACCAATTTATACATTGTATTAGTCCGTTTTCACTCTGCTAATAAAAATATACTCAAGACTGGGTAATTAATTCAGGAAAGAAGTTTAATGGATTCACAGTTCCACATGGCTTGGGAGGCCTCACAATCATGGCAGAAGGCAAGGAGGAGCAAGTCATGTCTTATATGGATGGCAGCAGGCAAAGAGAGAGCTTGTGCAGGAAAACTCCCCCTTATAAAACCATCAGATCTCATGAGACTTATTCACTATCATGAGAACAGCATGGGAAAGACCCACCCCCATGATTCAGTTACCTCCCACCAGGTCCTCCCACAACACATGGGAATTGTGGGAGCTACAATTCAAGATGAGATTTGGGTGGGGACACAGCCAAACCATAACACACATTCAATGCTTTTTTTTTTTTTTTTATTGACAGAATCTCACTCTGTTGCCCAGTAGGCTGGATGGAGTGCAGTGGCGATCTCAGCTCACTGCAAGCTCTGCCTCCCGGGTTCAAGCTATTCTCCTGCCTCAGCCTCCTGAGTAGCTGGGACTACAGGTGCCCGCCACCAGGCCCGGCTAATTTTTTGTATTTTTAGTAGAGACGGGGTTTCGCTGTGTTAACCAGGATGGTCTCGATCTCCTGACCTCGTGAGCCACCTGCCTCGGCCTCCCAAAGTGCTGGGATTACAGGCTCAATGCTATTTTTATCAAACTACCAATGACATTTTTACCAATTTTTAACATACTATTCTTACATTTATATGAAATCAGAAAAGAGCCCTCACAGTCAAAAGAATCCTAAGTAAAAAGAACAAAAACAGAGGCATCACGTTACCCAATTTCAAACAATACTACAAGGCTTCAGTAACCAAAACAGCATGATACTTGTCCAAAAACAGAAACATAGACCAATGGAACTGGTTAGAGAACCCAGAAAGAATGCAGCCTACCTGTAACCATCTGTTCTTTGACAAAGTTGACAAAACAAGCAATGAGGAAAGAGCTTCCTATTCAATAAATGGTGCTGGAATAACTGGCTAGACCTATGCAGTGGATTGAAACTAGACCTCCTTTTTCACCACCTACAAAAATCAACTCAAAATAGATGAAAGCCTTAAATGTAAAACTGAAAAATATAAAAGCCCTAGATAAAAACCTAGAAAATACCATTCTGGACATAGGCCCTGGCAAAAATTTCATGACAAAGACTCCAAAAGCATTTGCAAAAACAAAACAAAACAAAAACAAACAAAAAACCCAAAAAACAAAAAACAGTGATACCTACTTAAACTAAAGTGCTTCTGCAGACCAAAGGAAATGATCAACAAAGAAAACAGACAACCTACAGAATAGGAGAAAATATTTGCTAACTATGCATCTGGCAAAGGTGTAATATTCCAGAATCGATAAAGAACTTAAACAAATTAAAATGCAATACACAGACATGGACAGAGAGTTTTCAAAAGAACACATATATGCAGCCAAACAGTATATGCTCAACATCACTAATCATTAGAGAAATGTAAATCAAAACCAAAATGAGATACCATCTCACACTAGTTAGAATAGCTATTGTTAAAAAGTCAAAAAATAATAGATTCTGGCGAAGCTGTGGATAAAAGAGAATGCTCCTATGATGCAGGTAGGAATGTAAATTCGTTCAGCCACAGTGAAAAGCAGCATGGAGATTTATCAAAGAACTTAAAACAGAGCTACTATTTGACCCAATGATCCTATTACTGAGTATATACCCAAAGAAATATTAATTGTTCTACCACAAAGACACATATATGCATATGTTCATTGCAGCACAATTCTCATAGGAAAGACATAAAATCAACCCAATCAACCCAGATGTCCACTAATGGTGGACTGGATAATGAAAATGTGGTACCTATACACCATAGAATACTACACAGCCATAGAAAAGAATAAAATCACGTCCTTTGTGGCAATACTGATGGATCCGGAGGCCATTATCCTATGTGAATTAATGCAGAAACAGAAAACCAAATACCGCATGCTCTCTCTTAGAAGTAGGAGCTAAAAACTGAGCACACATGGACACAAAGTAGAGAACAATAGATGCCAGAGCCTACTTGAGAGTGGAGTGTGGGAGGAGAGTGAGGATGGAAAAACTACTCATCAGGTCCTATGCTTATTACCTGGGCGAGGAAATAATCTGTACAGCAAACCCCCACAATACATAATTTACCCATATAACAAGCCTGCACATGTACCTCCTGCACCTAAAATAAAAGTTGGGGGGAAAAAAAGAGGATATAAGAGTTTCCAAAAATAAATTGAAAACATTAATAGTTTTTCTAATCTTTGCATTTGTTTATGTTTGTATTTATTCTTCCAGCTGATTGGTGGGTAGAGAGTTCTTTGGGGGCAGACCTTTGACTACTGCTTTAATTTCTTTTATGAATGTAGGATTATTTGAGTATTCCATTGCTTGAGTCATTTTTAGTAAGTTCTATTTTTTTCTATGCATTTTCTAATATTTTTCTTAAAATATTTTGGAATATAAAATTATTTATTATCTCATAATATTACTTGTATTTATGTGCTCCCTTGTTATTCCTGTTATAATTTGTTGGACATTTTTTGCCCCCTCCTCATTAGTCAGTAGAAGATTTGTCAGCTTTATTAATCTTCTCAGATAACTAACTTTGAAGTTTTTCCTCCTCTTTTTTAGGTGGATACTTAGCTTCTTCATCAGCCTTTGTTATTTTATTTTCTGATATAGATTATATTAGTTTCTTAGAGCTCCACAACAAAGTACTACAAACTGGGTGGCTTAAAAAAAAAAACAGCATATATGTATCCTCTCACAATTCTGGAGGCTGGAGTTGAATGCTGAGTTCAAGGTGTCAATAGGGTCATGCTCCCACTGTAGGTTTTTTGGAAGAATTCTCCCTTGTCTCTTACATGTTCTGGTGGGTGTAGGCAATATTGGCGCTCTTTGGCTTAAAAATGTATCACTTCCATATCTTCCTGTATCTTCACAAGGCCTTTCCCCACCTGTGTGGGTCCGTATGTGTGTCCAAATTACCTATTATAAGGACAGCAGTCATTGTATTAGGGCCCATCTCAATACAATATAATTTAACTACATCTGCAAGACCTAATTTCCCTCTTCCTAGAAGCAGAGTGTTTCTATATTACAAAACATTTTCTAATTAATAAAGAAAAACATTAATCTCCCATGTTAAATTAGTCATTGTTCAAATCTTGGGACAATTTCTTTTTGTATTTTCATTATATATTCACCTAATGTAATACATGTAGCATAGGTATATTTATAATATATATACATATTTTTATCCCATTCTTCTTTTTATAAATAATTCTTCTTTCATTAACTATAGTAACAAGTTTTTTGTTTACAGATTTAAAACAAAACCACTATTCTATTTTTTAGAAATATCTAAAGTCTGTGACATGTATCAGAATAACTGTGTATCAAAAAATGTGTCTCTATTGTTATATAATTGACAGTATGTCAATAATTCTCAAAAAGTGATTAAAATCTTTATTTGTAAAAGTTACATCAAGTAAAAGATAAAACTTATTTAAAGATGAAAAAGCAATTAAATTGTCAAATAATTATATCTATAGGAAATTACTGTCTTTCAACTAGTAGGAAATTCCAGAGACTCATAATGATCAATAAACCATTTATCCAGTCCTCCAATTATGGATTTAAAAAATGGTTTTTCACATCTATTACAAACTTCCAAGTCCATTAAATTCCTCCTCACATCTATTACAAACTTCCAAGTCCATTATATTCCTCCCAAGTACAATTTATTGGCTGTGTAACCTATGTAGTATGTTCACCAAAATGTTTTTAATTTGCTTCTGTATACACATTTAAATCATATCTTTAGCCTGGCTGTAGTCAAGGGAGGTTATTTGACTAGTACTTGTCAACAGAATGTGTGTGTAATTATTGTATGTTACATGTACACTTACCCTCTAAAGACCCCTAAGTAACTTTTGGTACATTTTCTCTTTCATCAATACAATTGGATGTAAAGGATTTCAGTATTTTCAGAACACATGATGATGGGATTCCAAATTCCTGTGTTAAAAGTAGGATATCTGGCCTAAGGAACTGTTCAAACTGCTCCAATCTGAAATGTGAGTCAGATATAAACCATTACTGAGATAAACTGCTGAAATTTCAATATTTTCAATATGTAATGGCTGCCATAGTATAGACTGTGCTATCATGATCTACACGGTAATTGCTACCTTGACTTGCGACACTACTATAGGAAAATAAAAAGAGTGAAATAGGTAGCACTTGCTACAGATAATATATAGGATAAAATATATACCTGAGTTACTTGGAGGCAGCAAACAAAGACATATAGCAGCAAAGATAGATGAATATCCAGGTTATATAGTGGCAAAACACTGAATATAGTTTTCATCTCCTATATCTTGAAATGTAGATAATGTGCTTATTATATTTATAGCTCTAGGGGAATAATTTGGAAAATGGTACCATAATAGTGTGGATTGCTTACTGTTGGCTGTGTTTGGCAATGTATTGCAAGAAAGAGAAAATGGATTTGGTAAAGAATTGGCTGGTTGAAATAAGAAATGAAAGGGAATGAAGAGAGCCCAGAAACCCAGGGTTCTGCAGACTTTGAAAAATAGATTACATTTATCTCAAAGAAGTAAAATATGGATTTTAAAATGGCCTTGAATGTCGAGGGCTAATAAAAATGCTTGGCTGAATAAAGTCACTCAGAACAAATATCAGATTAAAAGGGCAGCCCCTGTAGCTGTTGTTCCAGATCACCTTACAGTAGCCACTATTAAGTTTTAAGAGTGAGCTGTGTACTTAAGAGCTTAGAAATAAGAAACACAAACTAAATTGATTATTTAATTGAATAATTGATGATCATCTTGCCTCATCCAGTAATAAATTCCCACCTGTCAGCATTTAGAACTGGTCTTACTCTCCAATTTCTGGTTCTGACGCCTACTGGTGTTAATTCATTACTTCAGCTGACATTTTACTGATTACAAAATTAGCTCATGACAGATCTTGGCAACTCTCGGGACCACAGGTGGGCTGTGATTGAGACAACAAACCCCAAAGGCCACATGTTGTAGGAGAAATCCGGTTTCACCTTGGTTCATATTTCAATGCTTTCTATCACCAACTGGAACAAATTTAGTGAACTGAGGAGGCTTTATTGACCAATCCGGCAGAGCCAAACTTTCCATGTCTCAGTCTGACACTTGCTCATGGCCCAGAGTCCACAGTGTTCCATCAGATCTGTGATCCTGTTCTTAGCCTTGCTGCCCCTGTTTGTTGCTGTTGTTTTACATAATTCATTTCCATAATTATAATACAGCTGTCTACATTCTTTTACTGGCTCTTGCTCATTGTTTTTCATTATCATGTATCCCATTCTATTTTATGAGAGCTTACTTTGTAACAGGCATCTTAGAAAAAGACAGTAGTTTTGTTTTTTGTTTTTGTAGAATTTGAAATAGATCAAGTCCTTGCTCAGGAGCATCAGGTACAATGGAGGATGAGAAGGAGTGGCAAAACTTAATGCTGAAGAAGTATGTGAGAGTGTCCAGGCTGAATGATGAGAGACTCCCCTTCACACCCACAATGCCCTCCCCAAATCACCTCTAGATATATGGCCTATTCCCTCAGACATACTATGAGACGATTCTTCCCTAGATAGTGACCAAAGGAAGAGAATAATAGGTAAATACTGACAGAAGCTGTACTTTTTCAGAGGCTCCTGGCTAATTATCCTGTGGTACAATCCACTAGGAACCCACAGTTGTCCATGGTATTCTACACAGAATTTTTTTAGGCCTTACACTTATGTATAAATGGATAGCCAAGAAATCAAAGATATATGAGGAAAGATTCCAACATCAAAGATAAAGAACAAACAAATAACAACAAACAAAGAAGGAGGGCAAGGAAATAAAGCTAATGGAGGAAACAGAGGGAAAGATAAAGCTATAATTTATGAAAAATTTAAAAAGAGGCCAAGCCAAAGTGACAATAAAAAAGAAAGAAAGAGAGAAGAAGAAAAAAAGAAAGAAAGAAAGAGGATAAGAAAAATTTGGTACATATACACCATGGAATACTATGCAGTCATAAGAAAGGAATGAGATCATGTCCTTTGCAGGGACATGGATGGAGCTGGAAGCCATTATCCTCAGCAAACTAACACCAGAACAGAAAACCAAACGCCACATGTTTTCACTTATAAGTGGGAACTGAACAATAAGCACACATGGACACAGGGAGGGGAACAACACACACTGGGGCCTGTTAGGGGAGGGAGAGCCTCAGGATAAACAGCTAAAGTATATGGGGCTTAATACCTAGGTGATGGATTGATAGGTGCAACCAACCACCATGGCACAAGTTTACCTATGTAACAAACCCGCACACATTGCACATGTATCCCAGAACTTAATATAAAATAAAATTTAAAAAAAGAAAAAGAGTCGGGGTACAGTGGCTCATTCCTATAATCCCATTGCTTTGGAAGGCAAAGGCAGAAGAATTGCCTGAGGCCTGGAGTTTGAGACCAGCCTGGGCAATATAGCAAGACCCCCATCTTTATAAAGAAAAAAATTAGCCAGGCATGGTGGCAGGTGCTTGTAAGTCCTAACTAATTAGGAAGCTGAGTGGGGAGGATCACTTGAGGCTTGGAGTTCAGGGTTACAGTGAGCTACGGTCTCACCACTGCACACCAGCCCGGGTGACTTAACAAGCCCTGTCTCAAAAAAAAAAAAAAGATGTAAAAAACTACATCTGAAATTCTGACAAAAACGAACAAGCGAAATGGACAAAAGGGTTAAGTGGTAATGTGAAGCTAAGTCCTGGAAAGCAAATTCAAATGACAAAGAGATGAATAGTAAGAGTTGTAAAAATCAAAGGTTCAATCTAAGATGTCCAACATCTGAAAAGAAAACACCACTTATAGGCTAGAATAGGTGAAATACATGCGGTGACATCATTTTTAAAATCTTATGAATATTTCTCAAAAGGCAGAATACAGATTTCCAAACAGAAAAGCTTACACAGTTTCCAGCATAGCAAATTAAAAAAAAATCACCAAGCCATAAGTTATAAAATCTCAACATGTTCAAGATAAATGGCAAATCATACAAATTCCAGAAAGGTCAAAGGAATTACTCCTATATACAGGTATTTGAATGCCAGTGAACTTTTCAAGAACAGCATTGGACTAGTTAGAAAACAGTAAGACTTTCAAGTTCTTGATGAAAGATGTAGAATTCTATATCCAGCCACGCTATGAGACTTGTAGTAAAGTATTTTCGGATGCATGTCCTTAAAAATATGCCCTCCATGCTCTCTTTCTCCAGCAGCTTCTGTATGACATTCACCACAAAAAAAAATGAGTGAAAAAGGAGAAAAATATACATGAAGAGACATATTTAGAAAACACAAAATCCAACACAAGAGTAAATTCCTTGAAAACTGGTGAGGGACAAATGGTTCCAGGAAATCAGCTGTATAGGAGGCACTTAGAAATTTGCAAAGGTTAGCACAAGATGATAAAAGGCTGCAGGAGGGATATCTCAAAGAAAATGAAAATGGATTTTGTAGATTACCTGACATATGGAGATCTTAGGAATATTTTACAATTTTGCACAGGAATAGTTTTTATTATAAATACAGAAAATCCAGCAATAAAAAATGGGGCAATTAGAAACAGCAAAAAATAATAAAACTTTTATAAAGGAAGCATATGTGGACTATATGTTTAACTGTAAATTATGTACACTCAGCTCTTTGTATTTGCGGGTTCTGTATCTGCAAATTCAACTGACTATAGATCAAAAAGACTTGAATAAAGAATAGCACACCAAAAAAATAATAAAAATAAAAAATACAGTACAGCTATTCACATAGCATTTACATTGTGTTAGGTATTATGAATAATCTAGAGATGATTTAAAGTATACAGGAGGATATACACAGATTATATGCAAATACTATACCATTTTATATAAGTGACTTGAGCATCCACAGACTTAGGTATCCATTGGGGTTATAGAACAAATTCCCCATGGATACTAAGGGAAGATGGGAAGATACACACACACACACACACACACACACACACACACACACACACATACATACATATACATGTATATATGAACACATAGAATATCAAAATTGTGACATAATATTGGGAGAGAAGGAAGGCTTTTTGTGGAGGAGACTGAGTAGTATAACGTGGTAAATTTCACACTTGATCTTAGCCGTAAGGTCAAGAAGCAATAAAGTCCTAAATTTTTATTTCAATATTAGAACTAAGCAGATAATGTTTAAGATAGAAAATTGGGAAACAGGTTTATGAGCATATTATTTACACTTATGGAGGTAAATTCAGGGCAAAAAATGAAAACATAGAAAGACCTTTTTTGGGGGGAATCTGGATGGAGTTTAGAACAGTTAATATTCATCATAAAACATGTATGTTTGCTTTTTAACCAATATACATGATTAATTTGAAAACAAATAATAAGTAAATAAAATAAACACAAAGTGAAAGAATTTTGCATTTTCCTGAGATTGCAAGAAGTTTCTGCTGAATAAATTCTGGTGGGTTAGTCAAGGTTATGTTGCAAGGGAAGTTGAAGAATGAGTGGGGGCTTGAGTTTTGGCCTTGTCTTAAGGGGGATTTAAAGTTACTGAATAATATCAATGTAAACCATAATTAAATGTGCATTTTAAAAAGGTCTGTGTGTCATCCTATGGAAAATACTTTGTTCACTTTTTCCATCTAAGGCTGTAAGGACCTTGTTTTGACAGCTATTTGGACTGTTTACCTTTTAGTCCAGCCCTATTTGCTTTTGCCTCATTCTGACGCACTTACCTCCCCAGATACCCACCCAGTCACACTAGAGCTGAAGCCTTGCTAACTTGCACAAATACTGGGAAACCTTCAGTCTGCCTAAATCCAGGGACTCGGCAAACTTATTCTGTGAAGGGCCGGACAGTAAACAACTTTGTCGTGTGTGTCCATGTATGTATGTGTGTGTACAGTTGACTCTTTAACAATGTGGGGGTTAGGGGTACAGATCTCCCAGGCAGTAGAAAATTTGTGTATAACTTTTGATTCCCCACTTAACTACTAATAGCTTACTGTTTACCAGGAGGCTTACTGATAACATAAACATTCAATTAACATGTATTTTGTTTATTATATGTATATACCATATTCTTATAATGAAGTAAGCTACAGAAAATAAAATTTTCTCTATTAAAAATCATAAGGAAGAAAAATATTTACTTTTCATTAAGTGGAAGTGGATTATTCCAAAGGTCTTCATCTTGATGTCTTCATGTTGAGCAGGCTGAAGAGGAGTAGGAAGAGGTGTTGGTTTCACTGTCTCAGGGGTGGCAGAGGCAGAAGAAAGTCCACATATAAGTGGACCCATGCAGTTAAAACCAAGTTGTTCAAAGGTCAATTGGTCAACTGAATGGATAGATAGATAGATAGATAGACAGATAGATAGATAGATAGATACACACACACACAGGTACACACATATATAATTATTTTGGGCCCACAATCCTTTAAAAATCATTCTTAGTTCACTGGCCATACAGAAAAAAGCAACATGAAAACAACATTCATTTAGCCCTTGGGTCATAGGTTGAAAATCCCTGATCTAACTCATGCTTTATCATAGACCTTTAAGGAAATTTAACATTGATTTCATTTGTGCTATTTATAAATACATCATATATTGTAATGTTTTCACATCACATTGCCTTTTTGAAATTTTCAGTCTCCCTATTAATCATCTAGATAAAGCGTAGACCCCTTATTGGTGGCTTCAAAGCACTTTGTTAACCAGTTTCACTTTCCCCACTATTAATTTCTTAACTATGCCTTTTCCCAGACATTCAACAAAGCAGCTCAATATGCCATAAACCATCTACATGGAATCACTCAAAGTATGTGTCACAGTATAGATCCCTAGGCCCAGTTAAGCACATTAAAGAGAACTGTGGGCTCCATAAATGGTTATTTTTAAGAAGCTAAGTGATTCTAATACGCTTTCTGTTCTGAAAGCACTGTATCCTATCAATGCGCTTACCTCACACAAGCTTCTGAAGGACAATAGCCTTCACTGCAGACTTCCCTGTAAGAGTCCCAACTCCTGGAGCAGCTTCACTCTTGATATTTGCCACAGGCCTCGCTAACATAATTCTGTCCCCATTAGTATGGAGCAACTTGCAGATATACAACGTTGCATCTCCTCTCACCATCTGACTCTTTTGTATGTGTATGTTATTGTGTTTTTTTATGTAAAGGGAGTTCCAGGCCCATGTGCGGAAATAAGCCTCGTTGCAAATTATTCCATAATTAGGGATGGCTTCTACCCAAATATAGAAGAAAACCTGCTTCGAAATAACAATATAAAAAGAAATCTGTCTAATTCTGACAAAATGTTAGACTAGGTTGGCCAGAATCCTTATCCATCCAAACAATAAAAGATTCTGGGAAAAAATAATTATATCATTTTCGATAATTGTCCAAGCTTGCAATAAAGGAAAGGAAACCTGTAGGGTCTAAAAATGAAGAGGAATATTGTGATTCACAGCAGTAGGAACAGGAGCTGCTGATGGTCATGGCAGGCCTGGAGGATCATCAGGCCACCGTGAGAAGGGGAGCTGGAAGAGGAAATCATCACAAACCTGGAAATGCGAAGATTACAACCCCAGAGAGAGGAGACTAACAAATTCCACCTGTTTGTTCAGTGACATAGCAGTAAATTTGCCTCCTTCCAGTCCTAGCCAAGAATTATATTTTTCTGTGAAAAACATAACTTTTAATCTACAATCTAATTCTAAATTTGAGATCATAATTTATGCTACCATACAATGTAGGAAAATCTAAACTGAGAAACACAACATATAAATCCCTGATTTGGTTTGGATCTGTGTCCCCACTCAAATCTCATGTTCAACTGTAGTCCTCAATATTGTCCTGTTGGGAGGAGATTGGATCATGGAAGTGGATTCTTCATGAATGGTTTAGCACCTTCCCTTTGGTGCTGTTCTCATGATACATTTCTCACAAGATATAGTTGTTTAAACATGTGTGGCATCTACCCCCACTTCCTCCTGTTGCAGCCATGTGAGACATGCCTGCTTCCCCTTTGCCTTCTGCCAAAATTGTAAGTTTCCTAAGGCCTCCCCAGCCATGCTTCTTGTACAGCCTGTGGAACCCTGAGGCAATTAAACCTCTTTTCTTTATAAATTATGCAGTATCAGGTAGTTCTTTATAGCAGTGCAAGAATGGACTAATACAATCCGCTAAATATATAACAAAGCAATAAAAAAAAAAGACAGATAAAAATCACTCAAAAGTTACAGGATTTCTTTGGAGTAGTTGGATAACCTTCGGAAAATTACCCAAATTCCAACATAGAGAGATGAGGAGATGAGGGAAAACACAAATAATTAAAGGAAAATGTACCTATAAAAGAATTTTCAGAAAAAAAAGAAATAATAGAACCATGAATCTTAAAATTTAAAAGCATTCCATGTCTCATGTTTTGAGCAGATCAAAAAATGCCATAATTAATTATAATAAAAATGTAAAACACTAAAGACAAATGAAGTAACCCTAAAAACCCCCAGAAAGAGAGACTACATACAAAACAATAGTAATTAGATTGATGAAAGTCTTCTTAATTGCAGCAGAAGAGGCAAGAAAAACATAAAGTAATATTTTCAATGTTGTGGTAGAGAGTAACTAAACTATCATCGAATGGGAGTGAAATATAGAAAATTTTGATGAATGAATCAGAGATTGAAAAAGAAATCAAAATATGTGTTATTCTGTGAATGAGGTTTCAAGTATGTACTTCAGGAAGAAGAGAAGAAGAAAGTTGAACTCAGAACACTAAGATACAAGAAAAAATACTATCTATGTTATATATATATAAACACACGTATATACACATACACATGCATATATAGAAAAGTGTTTAAACAATAGTTTATATATATATGAATACTATTGTTTATATATGTATGTGTACATATATATATACACATATACACACTAATTTGAGGAGCATTGAAAACTGGCTAGTATAAGAAAATAATAACTTAATTGATAGTAAGATAATTTTTAATCTTTCTTTACATTTTTATTTATTATTATTATACTTTAAGTTTTAGGGTACATGTGCACAGTGTGCAGGTTAGTTACGTATGTATACATGTGCCATGCTGGTGTGCTGCACCCACTAACTCGTCATTTAGCATTAGGTATATCTCCCAATGTTATCCCTCCCCCCTCCCCCCACCCCACAACATTCCCCAGAGTGTGATGTTCCCCTTCCTGTGTCCATGTGTTCTCATTGTTCAATTCCCACCTATGAGTGAGAATATGCAGTGTTTGGTTTTTTGTCCTTGCAATAGTTTACTGAGAGTGATGATTTCCAATTTCATCCATGTCCCTACAAAGGACATGAACTCATCATTTTTTATGGCTGCATAGTATTCCATGGGGTATATGTGCCACATTTTCTTAATCCAGTCTATCATTGTTGGACATTTGGGTTGGTTCCAAGTCTTTGCTATTGTGAATAATGCCGCAATAAACATACGTGTGCATGTGTTTTTATAGCAGCATGATTTATAGTCCTTTGGGTATATACCCAGGAATGGGATGGCTGGGTCAAATGGTATTTCTAGTTCTAGATCCCTGAGGAATCGTCACACTGACTTCCACAATGGTTGAACTAGTTTACAGTCCCACCAACAGTGTAAAAGTGTTCCTATTTCTCCACATCCTCTCCAGCACCTGTTGTTTCCTGACTTTTTAATGATTGTCATTCTAACTGGTGTGAGATGATATCTCATTGTGGTTTGATTTGCATTTCTCTGATGGCCAGTGATGGTGAGCATTTTTTCATGTGTTTTTTGGCTGCATAAATGTCTTCTTTTGAGAAGTGTCTGTTCATGTCCTTCACCCACTTTTTGATGGGGTTGTTTTTTTCTTGTAAATTTGTTTGAGTTCATTGTAGATTCTGGATATTAGCCCTTTGTCAGATGAGTAGGTTGCGAAAATTTTCTCCCATTTTGTAGGTTGCCTGTTCACTCTGATGGTAGTTTCTTTTGCTGTGCAGAAGCTCTTTAGTTTAATGAGATTCCATTTGTCAATTTTGGCTTTTGTTGCCATTGCTTTTGGTGTTTTAGACATGAAGTCCTTGCCCATGCCTCTGTCCTGAATGGTAATGCCTAGGTTTTCTTCTAGGGTTTTTATGGTTTTAGGTCTAACATTGAAGTTTTTAATCCATCTTGAATTGATTTTTGTATAAGGTGTAAGGAAGGGATCCAGTTTCAGCTTTCTACATATGGCTAGCCAGTTTTCCAAGCACCATTTATTAAATAGGGAATCCTTTCCCCATTGCTTGTTTTTCTAAGGTTTGTCAAAGATCAGATAGTTGTAGATATGCGGCATTATTTCTGAGGGCTCTGTTCTGTTCCATTGGTCTGTATCTCTGTTTTGGTACCAGTACCATGCTGTTTTGGTTACAGTAGCCTTGTAGTATAGTTTGAAGTCAGGTAGTGTGATGCCTCCAGCTTTGTTCTTTTGGCTTAGGATTGACTTGGCAATGCAGTCTCTTTTTTGGTTCCATATGAACTTTCAAGTAGTTTTTTCCAATTCTGTGAAGAAAGTCATTGTTAGCTTGATGGGGATGGCATTGAATCTGTAAATTACCTTGGGCAGTATGGCCATTTTCACGATATTGATTCTTCCTACCCATGAGCATGGAATGTTCTTCCATTTGTTTGTATCCTCTTTTAATTCCTTGATCAGTGGTTTGTAGTTCTCCTTGAAGAGGTCCTTCACATCCCTTGTAAGTTGGATTCCTAGGTATTTTATTCTCTTTGAAGCAATTGTGAATGGGAGTTCACTCATGATTTGGCTCTCTGTTTGTCTGTTCTTGGTGTATAAGAATGCTTGTGATTTTTGTACATTGATTTTGTATCCTGAGACTTTGCTGAAGTTGCTTATCAGCTTAAGGAGATTTTGGGCTGAGACAATGGGGTTTTCTAGCTATACAATCATGTCCTCTGCAAACAGGGACAATTTGACTTCCTCTTTTCCTAATTGAATACCCTTTATTTCCTTCTCCTGCCTAATTGCCCTGGCCAGAACTTCCAACACTATGTTGAATAGGAGTGGTGAGAGAGGGCATCCCTGTCTTGTGCCAGTTTTCAAAGGGAATGCTTCCAGTTTTTGCCCATTCAGTATGATATTGGCTATGGGTTTGTCATAGATAGCTCTTATTATTTTGAAATACATCCCATCAATACCTAATTTATTGAGAGTTTTTAGCATGAAGGGTTGTTGAATTTTGTCGAAGGCCTTTTCTGCATCTGTTGAGATAATCATGTGGTTTTTGTCTTTGGTTCTGTTTATATGCTGGATTACACTCATTGATTTGCGTATATTGAACCAGCCTTGCATCCCAGGGATGAAGCCCACTTGATCATGGTGGATAAGCTTTTTGATGTGCTGCTGGATTCGGTTTGCCAGTATTTTATTGAGGGTTTTTGCATCAATGTTCATCAAGGATATTGGTCTAAAATTCTCTTTTTTGGTTGTGTCTCTGCCCGGCTTTGGTATCAGGATGATGCTGCCCTCATAAAATGAGTTAGGGAGGATTCCCTCTTTTTCTATTGATTAGAATAGTTTCAGAAGGAATGGTACCAGTTCCTCCTTGTACCTCTGGTAGAATTCGGCTGTGATTCCATCTGGTCCTGGACTCTTTTTGGTTGGTAAGCTATTGATTATTGCCACAATTTCAGATCCTGTTATTGGTCTATTCAGAGATTCAACTTCTTCCTGGTTTAGTCTTGGGAGAGTGTATGTGTCGAGGAATTTATCCATTTCTTCTAGATTTTCTAGTTTATTTGTGTAGAGGTGTTTGTAGTATTCTCTGATGGTAGTTTGTATTTCTGTGGGATTGGTGGTGCTATCCCCTTTAACATTTTTTATTGCATCTATTTGATTCTTCTCTCTTTTTTGCTTTATAAGTCTTGCTAGCGGTCTATCAATTTTGTTGATCCTTTCAAAAAACCAGCTCCTGGATTCATTAATTTTTTGAAGGGTTTTTTGTGTCTCTATTTCCTTCAGTTCTGCTCTGATTTTAGTTATTTCTTGCCTTCTGATAGCTTTTGAATGTGTTTGCTCTTGCTTTTCTAGTTCCTTTAATTGTGATGTTAGGTTGTCAATTTTGGATCTTTCCTGCTTTCTCTTGTGGGCATTCAGTGCTAGAAATTTCCCTCTACACACTGCTTTGAATGTGTCCCAGAGATTCTGGTAAATTGTGTCTTTGTTCTTGTTGGTTTCAAAGAACATCTTTATTTCTGCCTTCATTTCATTATGTACCCAGTAGTCATTCGGGAGCAGGTTGTTCAGTTTCCATGTAGTTGAGCAGTTTTGAGTGAGATTCTGAATCCTGAGTTCTAGTTTGATTGCACTGTGGTCTGAGAGATAGTTTGTTATAATTTCTGTTCTTTTACATTGGCTGAGGAGAGCTTTACTTCCAAGTATGTGGTCAATTTCGGAATGGGTGTGGAGTGGTGCTGAAAAAAATGTATATTCTGTTGATTTGGGGTGGAGAGTTCTGTAGATGTCTATTAAGTCTGCTTGGTGGAGAGCTGAGTTCAATTCCTGGGTATCCTTGTTGACTTTCTGTCTCGTTGATCTGTCTAATGTTGACAGTGGGGTGTTAAAGTCTCCCATTATTAATGTGTGGGAGTCTAAGTCTCTTTGTAGGTCACTGAGGACTTGCTTTATGAATGTGGGTGCTCCTGTATTGGGTGCATATATATTTAGGATAGTTAGCTCTTCTTGTTGAATTGATCCCTTTACCATTATGTAATGGCCTTCTTTGTCTCTTTTGATCTTTGTTGGTTTAAAGTCTGTTTTATCAGAGACTAGGTTTGCAACCCCTGCCTTTTTTTGTTTTCCATTTGCTTGGTAGATCTTCCTCCATCCTTTTATTTTGAGCCTATGTGTGTCTCTGCATGTGAGATGGGTTTCCTGAATACAGCACACTGATGGGTCTTGACTCTTTATCGAATTTGCCAATCTGTGTCTTTTAATTGGAGCATTTAGTCCATTTACATTTAAAGTTAATATTGTTATGTGTGAATTTGATCCTGTCATTATGATGTTAGCTGGTGATTTTGCTCGTTAGTTGATGCAGTTTCTTCCTAGTCTCGATGGTCTTTACATTTTGGCATGATTTTGCAGCGGCTGGTACCGGTTGTTCCTTTCCATGTTTAGTGCTTCCTTCAGGAGCTCTTTTAGGGCAGGCCTGGTGGTGACAAAATCTCTCAGCATTTGCTTGTCTGTAAAGGAGTTTATTTCTCCTTCACTTATGGAGTTTATTTCTCCTTCACTTATGAAGCTTAGTTTGGCTGGATATGAAATTCTGGGTTGAAAATTCTTGTCTTTAAGAATGTTGAATATTGACCCCCACTCTCTTCTGGCTTGTAGAGTTTTGGCCGAGAGATCTGCTGTTAGTCTGATGGGCTTCCCTTTGTGGGTAACCCGACCTTTCTCTCTGGCTGCCCTTAACATTTTTTCCTTTATTTCAACTTTGGTGAATCTGACAATTTTGTGTCTTGGAGTTGCTCTTCTCGAGGAATATCTTTGTGGCGTTCTCTGTATTTCCTGAATCTGAACGTTGGCCTGCCTTGCTAGATTGGGGAAGTTCTCCTGGATAATATCCTGCAGAGTGTTTTCCAACTTGGTTCCATTCTCCCCGTCACTTTCAGGTACACCAATCAGATGTAGATTTGGTCTTTTCACATAGTCCCATATTTCTTGGAGGCTTTGCTCATTTCTTTTTATTCTTTTTTCTCTAAACTTCCCTTCTCGCTTCATTTCATTCATTTCATCTTCCATCGCTGATACCCTTTCTTCCAGTTGATCGCATCGGCTCCTGAGGCTTCTGCATTCTTCATGTAGTTCTCCAGCCTTGGTTTTCAGCTCCATCAGCTCCTTTAAGCACTTCTCTTTATTGGTTATTCTAGTTATATATTCTTCTAAATTTTTTTCAAGTTTTCAACTTCTTTGCCTTTGGTTTGAATGTCCTCCCATAGCTCGGAGTAATTTGATCATCTGAAGCCTTCTTCTCTCAGCTCATCAAAGTCATTCTCCATCCAGCTGTGTTCCGTTGCTGGTGAGGAACTGTGTTCCTTTGGAGGAGGAGAGCCCTCGGCTTTTTAGAGTTTCTAGTTTTTCTGCTCTGTTTTTTCCCCATCTTTGTGGTTTTATCTACTTTTGGTCTTTGATGTTGGTGATGTACAGATGGGTTTCTGGTGTGGAAGTCCTTTCTGTTTGTTAGTTTCCCTTCTAAGAGACAGGACCCTTAGCTGCAGGTCTGTTGGAATACCCAGCTGGCCGTGTGAGATGTCAGTCTGCCCCTGCTGGGGGGTGCCTCCCAGTTAGGCTGCTTGGGGGTCAGGGGTCAGGGACCCACTTGAGGAGGCAGTCTGCCGGTTCTCAGATCTCCCGCTGCATGCTGGGAGAACCACTGCTCTCTTCAAAGCTGTCAGACAGGGACATTTAAGTCTGCAGAGGTTACTGCTGTCTTTTTGTTTGTCTGTGCCCTGCCCCCAGAGGTGGAACCTTCAGAGGCAGGCAGGCCTCCTTGAGCTGTGGTGGGCTCCACCCAGTTCGAACTTCCGGGCTGCTTTGTTTACCTAAGCAAGCCTGGATAATGGCGGGCACCCCTTCCCCAGTCTCGCTGCCACCTTGCAGTTTGATCTCAGACTGCTGTGCTAGCAATCAGTGAGACTCTGTAGGACCCTCTGAGCCATGTACGGGATATAATCTCCTGGTGCGCCGTTTTTTAAGCCTGTTCGGAAAAGTGCAGGATTTGGGTGGGAGTGACCCGATTTTCCAGGTGCCGTCTGTCACCCCTTTCTTTGACTAGGAAAGGGAACTCCCTCACCCCTTGCACTTCCCAAGTGAGGCAATGCCTCACCCTGCTTCGGCTCATGCACGGTGCGCGCACCCACAGACCTGCGCCCACTGTCTGGCACTCCCTAGTGAGATGAACCCGGTACCTCAGATGGAAATGCAGAAATCACCCGTCTTCTGTGTCGCTCACTCTGGGAGCTGTAGACTGGAGCTGTTCCTATTCGGCCATCTTGGCTCCTCCCCCTCAATTTTTAATCTTAAATACTGGTGTGATATTCATATTATTTAATAACTAGTGTGAAATTTTAAACTAATTTAAAGTTAAAATATAAATTGAAATTTAAAATATATATTACTTTCCATTCTGTGACTAATACATTATTCAAATTTGCTTACCAAGTGGTACAATTTATAATACAAATCTTTTATTAATAATTCAAAACATTTCCAAATCATTTGCTAAATTTTAGAAATTATTGCTATGACTTATTTGAAGAATATTTTGTTTGCTGAATATGGCTTCGATTTGCACCACGATTTTTAGGTAACAACAGTGACCTCTTACTGACCTCCCACCAATTACATTGGTAGTTGTTACATAATAGTTTTAAGAAAAAAAATTATCTTAAAATCAATGACATTGTTGATGCTGTTTTCTCCTCTCTCTGCTTTTGGCAAACTACAAAGAAAAATAAAGTCCTAAACAAACTCAGAAAGGAACAAGACATTACTTATAAAACAATAATTCAACAGATGGAAGTCTTCATCAGTTTTATAACACTTATAATACTGTCAGAGAACTTTATATAATCGTATCTCCATTTTTGACCAAGTCATGAAAATCATGGGTTGGACTTCCATTTAGTTCTGCAGACCAGATGACATGTGGTATAGGCGGATAATTAAGAAAATGGGCACACTGGGCTGCTAATTACACCTCTACCATGGAAATGTGAAATGATCCCAAACTGTTTCAGTTTCTTCACTTGAAAATGGAGATGATGATGAAAATCATATAATTCTAACAAGTTAGTATGCATTAACAATTATGCCTCACACAGGACAAATGTCATATAAATATTAGTTCTATTTGTAGTAATGGAAATGAGGTTAATATTCATGATGGATGAATATTTCAGGGTTTTTCATGAACCAGTGCAATTAAATGGAGGTAAAATGTAACAGGAAGCTACATCTTTCCTGTTTGAGGCCCCAAACCACCGCAAATTGTCCTTTGGTTCCTGTGGTCTCCCTCTTGTTGCTGGCATGCTTGCTATGCCAGTGGACACCATAGTGCCTGACCAGAGACAGCAATGATTCTTTAATATCAGCCATGGTCTGTCTTTGTCTCTCCCAGAGTCTCTCAGAACCAGACAAGTTGTGGAGCCAGATAGGCATTTGTTCCCCAGTGGTGCCAGCTCTGCTGCCAATGTGCCTTGTCCTGTCCTGACTGGGCTCACTCTGACTACGTAGACTTATGAACGTGCAGGATCACCGGTGAAGTGACTGGTGCTGGGACATAACCCTGGCTTTTGGGGACCAGATGTGTCCCGTGCTTGGGGAATTAAAATGGTAATGTCTAGGAAGCAAGAATTTCAAGGTGCTGACTGTGAAGGCACTGAACAATCAGAATGAATTGGCTTTGGAAGGAAATAGATCTGAAAGCAGTGCAATGCTGAGCCAAAAGAAAAATTCTGGCTGCTACCTACTCTTCTCAAACTATCCTCTATATTTTAAACCGAGTGGAAAAGAGCTAATAAAATAAAGCTCTATAATGAAAACAGATGACTATATATTATTCTTTCTGTTGCATAATCTGTTCTGCATGCCATTGTCCAGCCTCATAAACTCACCTGACAGGTGATCGGTGAACTGAGAACTTTAGGTTGATTGGATATGACTGTTCCTGCTGCAGCATCTTAAAACAAGCAAAGCAAAAGTAGACTTTTAATTCAATATTTTGTTATATTGTTGATAGGAATTATTTGCATTCATGTTTTTCCTTCTAACTCTACTTTAGGTTAAGGGAGTATGTGTTCAGGTTTGTAACATGAGTAAATAACATGTCGTGGAGATTTGATATACAGATTATTTCATCAGACGGGTAATGAGCATAGTACTCAAGAGGTAGTTTCTCAGTCCTCACCCTTCTCCCGCTCTTTACCCTCAAGTAGACCCTACTGCCTATTGCCCTGTTCTTTGTGTACATATGTACTCAATGTTTAGCTCCCACTTGTAAGTGGGAACATGTGGTATTTGGTTTTCTGTTCCTGTGTCAGTTTCCTTAGGATAATAGTCTCCAGCTGCATCCATGTTGTTGTAAAGAACATGATCTTGTTCTTCTTTATGGCGGTGTCGTATGCCAGGCTGTATATGCACTACTTTTTTTTTTTTTATTTTCTAGTCCAGCATGATGGGCATCTAGGTTGATTCTATGTATTTGGTATTGTGAATAGTGCTGTAGTGAACATACATGCTCATGTGTCTTTATGGTAGAATGATTTATATTCCTTTGGGTATATACCCAGTAATGGAACTGCTGGGTTGAATGGTAATTCTGTTTTAAGTTCTTTGAGAAATCCAAACCTTCCACAGTGGCTGAACTAATTTACATTCCCACTAACAGTGTATAAGCATTGCTTTTTCTCCACAATCTTGCCAGCATTTGCTATTTTTTTACTTACAGTCATTCTGACAGTTGTGAGGTGGTATTTCATTGTGGTTTTGATTTGTATTTATATAATGATTAGTGATATTGAACTTTTTTCATATGTTTGTTGGTTGCTTTTATATCTATCTTCTTTTGAGAAGTGTCTGCTCATGTCCTTTATCCATTTTTTAACAAGGGTTTTTTTTTTTGGCTTGTAAATGTGTTTAAGTTTGTTGTAGATTCTGGATATTAGACCTTTTTTAAATGCAAATATTTTCAGTTCAAATACCTTGCAAATATTTTCTCCATTCTGTAGGTTTTCCATTTACTCTGTTGATAGTTTCTTTTGCTGTGCAGAAGTGCTTTAGTTCAATTAGGTCTCACCTGTCAATTTTTGTTTTTGTTGCTTTTGGAGTCTTTTTCATGAAATATTTGTCAGAGCCTATGTCCATAATAGTATTTCATAGGTTTTCTTCTAGAATGTTTATAGTTTTAGGTTTCACATTTAAGTCTTTAATCCATCTTGAGTTGATTTTTGTATATGGTGAAAGAAGGGGTCCACTTTCAATCTTCTGCATATGTCTAGCCAGTTATTCCAGCACCATTTATTGAATAGGGAGCCCTTTCCCCATTGCTTGTTATTATCAACTTTGTTGAAGATCAGATGGTTATAGTTGTGTGGCTTTATTTCTAAGTTCGCTAACCAGTTCTGTTGGTCTATATGTCTGTTTTTTGTACCAGTACCATGCTGTTTTGATTACTAAAGCCTTGTAGTACAGTTTGAACTCAGGTAGTAATGTGGTTTAGATCTGTGTCCCTGGCAAAATCTCTTGCTGAATGTAGCCCCCAGTGTTGAAAGTGGGGCCTGGTGGGAGGTGATTGAATCATAGGGGCATTTTTTTTTTTTCATGAATGGTTTAGCATCATCCTCTTGGTGTTGTTCTCATGGCAGTGAGTAAGTTCTTGTGAGATCCAGTTGTTTAAAAGTGTGTAGCACTTCCTTCCTCACTCTCCCTCTTGCTCCTGCTCCAACCATGTGATGTGTCTGCTCCCCCTTTGCCTTGTGCCTTGATTGTAAGTTTCCTGACGCCACTTCAGGAGCTGAGCAAATGTCAGCATCACGTATCCTATTCAGCCAGTGGAACCATGAGCCAATTAAACCTCTTTTCTTTGTAAATTACCCAGTCTCAGGTATTTCCTTATAGCAATGTGAGAATGGACTCATACAAGTAGTGTCATACCTCTGGCTTTGTTCTTTTTACTTGGGAATTCTTTGGCTATGCAGGCTCGTTTTTGGTTTCCCATGAATTTTAGAATAAAGTTTTCTAAATCTGTGAAAACATGGTTGGTAGTATGATAGAAATAGCATTGAATCTCTAAATCTCTTTGGGCAATATGACCACTTTAACAATATTGATTCTTCTAATCCATGAGCATGAAATGTTTTTCCATTTGTTTGTGATGTGTCTGATTTCTTTCAGTAGTGCTTTGTAATTCTCATTGTAGAGATCTTTCACCTCCGTAGTTACTTGTATTTCCAAGTATTTGATTCTTTTTTCGTGGCTATTGTCAATGAGACTGTGTACTTGATTTTTTTTCTCAGTTTGAGTGTTACTGGTTTATAGAAATGATACTGATTTTAATACATTTATTTTGTGTTCTGAAACGTTGCTAAAGTTTTTTATTAGGTGGAGGAGCCTTTCAGCAGACTATGAGGTTCTCTAGGTATCGAATTATATCTTCTGAGAAGGCAGACAGTTGACTTCCTGTCTTCCTATTTGGTTTCCTTGTATTTCTTCTCTTGCCTGATTGCTCTGGCTAGGACTTCGAAAATGATGTTTAGTAAGAGTGATGAGAATGGGCATTCTAGACATATTCTGGTTCTCAAGGGGAATGTTTCCAGTTTTTGTCCATTCAGTATGAGGTTTGCCATAAATGGCTCTTATTATTTTGAGGTATATTCCTCTAATATTTAGTTTACTGAAGGTTTCTAACATGATGGGATATTGAATTTTATCAGAAGACTTTTCTGTCTATTGAGATAAGCATGTGGTTTTTTGTTTTCGTTCTGTTTATGTAACGAGTCACATTTATTGATTTGTGTATATAGAACCAACCTTTCCACCCAAGAATAAAGCCTACTTCATCATGGAAATAGCATTTTGATGTGCTGTCAGGTCCAGTTTGCTAATATTTTGTTGAGGATTTTTACATCTATGTTCTTCAGGGATATTGGCCTAAATTTTTCTTTATTCTGTCTGTGCCAGGTTTTGGTATCACAGTGATGCTGACCTCATAGAATTAGTTAAGGAGGAGTCCTTCTTCCTCTATTTATGGGAGTAGTTTTAGTAGTATTGTTACCAGCTCTTCTTTATACATCTAGTGGAATTTAGCTGCAAATCCATCTGGTTCAGGGCTTTTTCTGGTTGACAGATTTTTGTATTGCTGATTGAATTTTGGGAGTCATTATTGGTCTGTTTAGGGATTCAATTTCTTCCTGGTCCAATCTTGGGAAATTGTATGTTTCCAGGAATTCATTTATTTCTTCCAGGTTCTCTAGTTTGTGTGCATAGAGGTATTTATAATAGTTCTGAGAGTTTTTTTTTTAATTTTCTGTGGAGTCAGTGGTGATGTCCACTTGTCATTTCTGATTGTGTTCAATTTTCTCTCTTTTTTTTCTTTATTAGTCTAGTTAGTTGTATATCAATCTTTTGTATTCTTTTGAAGAACACGCTTTTGGTTTTATTTATCTTTTATATGTTTTTTCATGCCTCCATTTTGTTCAGTTCAGCTCTGATTTTGGGTATTTCTTTTCTTCTGCTACCTTATTGGTCGGTTTGCTCTTGTTTTCATAGTTCCCCTAGGTGTGATGTTAAGTTGTTAATTTGTGATCTTTCTAACTTTTTGATGTGAATATTTAATGCTATAAACTTTCCCCTTAACACTGTTTTAGCTATGCCCCAGAGATTCTGGTATGTTTTATCTTTGTTTTCGTTAGTTTTAAAGAATTTCTTGATTTCTGCCTTAATTTCACTGTTTACCCAAGAGCCATTCAAGAGCATATTGTTTAATTTCTATGTCATTGTATGGTTTTGAGAGATCTTATTTGTATTGATTTCTATTTTAATTACACTGTGATCTGAGAGTATGGTTGGTGTGATTTTGATTTTGTGAATTTGTTGAGAATTGCTTTATGGCCAAGCATGTGGTGAATTTTAGAGTATGTGCCATGTGCAGATGAGAATAATGGATATTCTGGTTTTGTTTAGTGAATTCTGTACATGTTTGTTTAATCATTTTAGTCAGATGTTCCTGTTTAGATCCCAGATATCTTGGTTAGTTTTCTGCCTCATTGATCTATCTAACACTATTAGTAGGGTATTTAAGTCTTCCACTATTATTATGTGGTTATCTAAGTGTATTTATAGGTCTCTAGAAACTTGTTTTATGAATATGGATGTTCCAGTGTTGGGTACATATACATTTAGAATAATTAAGTCTTCTTGTTAAATTTAAGCCTTTATTCAAAAAGAAAAGCATTGTTGATTTAAAGTCTGTTTTGTCTGAAATAAGGATAGCAACCTGCTCTTTTTTTAGCCTTTGCTTTGAGCCTATGAGTATCATTGCATGTGAGATGGGTATCTTGAAGATAGCATACCATTGGGTTTTGCTTCTTTATCCAATGTGTCAGTCTGTATCTTTCAAATGGGCTGTTTATCTCATTTATGTTCAAGTTTATACTGATGTGTGCATATTTGACCTTGTCATTATGTTGTTAGCTGGTTGTTATGTAGACTTGTTTATATGGTTGCTTCATAATGTCAATGGTCTATGTACTAAATTGTATTTTTGTCATGGCTGGCTACTGTCCCTTGTTTCCGTGTCTACCATTCTCTTAAGGACATCTTCTAAAGCAGGTCTGGTGGTAACAAATTCTGTTAGTATTTGCTTCTCTGAAAACTATTTTATGAAGCTTATTTTGGCTGGATATGAAATTCTTGGTTGAAATTTATTTTCTTTCAGGATGCTGAACATAGGCAATCATTCTCTTCTGGCTTGTAGGCTGTCCACTGAAAGGTCCACTGTTAGCCTGATGGGGTTCCCTTTGAAGAGAACCTTTCCCCTTCTCTCTAGCTACCTTAAATATTTTTTTCTTACTCACTGACCTTTAAGAATCTGATGACTATTTGCCTTGGGAATGGTCATTTTGTATAGTGTCTCCCAGAGCTTTGCTGAATTTCTTGAATTTGAATGTTGACCTCTCTAGTGAGTTTGGGGAAATTTTCTTGAACAATATCCTCAAATATTTTTTCCAAGTTGCTTGCTCTCTCCCCTCTTTCAGGGATGCCACTGAGTTGTAGGTTTTGTTTCTTTACATAATCTCATATTTCTTGAAGGTTTTCTTAATTCTTTTTAAATTTTTTTCTTTATTTTGGTCTGACTGAGTTGATTCAAAGAACTGATCTTTGAGTTCTGAGATTCTTTCCTCAGCTTGGTCTATTATGATTTTATACTTATAAGTATTATGAAATTCTTGTAGTGAGTTTTCAGCTCTATCAGATCAGTTTAGGTTCTTTCTTAAAAATGGCTATTTTGTCTTTCAGCTCTTATATTGTTTTCCTGGCTTCCTTTGATTTCTTGGATTGGGTTTTAAGTTTCTCCTGAATCTTGATGATCTTCATTTCTATTCAGATTCTGAATGTTCTGTCTGTCATTTCAGTGTGGTTGAGAACTATTTCTGGGGAAGTAGCACAATGATTTGGAGGTAAGAAGACACTCTGGTTTTTTAAGTTGCCAGAGTTCTTGCACTGGTTCTTTCTCATCTGTGTGGGCTAATGATCCTGTAATCTTTCAAGTTGCTATACTTTGGATGGGGCTTATTGGTTTTATATTCTGTGATGCCCTTGTGTATTTGATGTGGTATAAATTGGATTCAGTTGACTGGATTCATTTCTGGACAATTTCACAGGGGGCTAAGGCTCAGATCGGCACTCTTGGGCTGCATGCTCTAACCCTGGGGGACTGGGACCAGGCCCACAGCTTTGTTCTTTGGCTCCTCAAGGATCCTGTTTCACTGGAGGGGCTGAGGTATTCCCAGTCCACTGGTAACAACCCTCTTAAGGGGGCGTGCTGGCAAAAGTACTTCACTGGGGAAGTGGCAGTGAGCTTCATGCTTTCAATCACCAACGAAGTGGTACAAGAAGGCTGTGAGCAAAAGCACACTGGCGAAGCAGTGTGGGCTGCTGTCAGCAGGTGCATGCTGGGAGTGGCCCATCTGCAGAAGCTCTCTGATGATTTGGTGGTATCTGCCAGTGAAGATATGGCAGTGACCACTGGGAAATGCCACAGTTGGAGATCTCAGACTGCACTACTGGGAGAGGCCAGCAGACAGGGGGCTCTCAGATCAGACTGTCCCCATCCCATGAGCAGACAGTCCTGTTCCACCCATGTCTAATAGTCAACAAAGGCCCAAGCCACCTAGAGGAGCATGGTGAACCTTGGGGTATGGATGTCCCCAGCCATGTGCCACTGCTGCCATTTCCATGCCAAACCCTGTAGGCTCTACACCACTTAGAGTCCTGTCCCTGCCAACTCTCTAAGCAGCTCTCTGCCAACTCAAATGTCCACAGGGGTCATCAGTTCCCCTTCAGCTAGGATTCCAGAGGTCTGTGGTGATATTTGGCCACTCATGCCTATTTGACTCATGCTTTCCCTAGGAGCTGCCCAGGACAAGAAGTACATCCTGGCACTCAGCAATATTGTGCAGCATTCCCAGCCTCCTCCCCTTTCAGGGTAGGATCTGTGGCCTTCCTCTATTTATTCCCAATGGCTTCCTTCTGAAAATCTGCTTGGAGTGTGCCAGTCTTCATGGTCTGGTCTCTCAATAGGTTGGAGAAGCTATTCTTGGCAGCATGCAGTCAGCCATCTTGGCTCTTGTCCCAGTATTAATTTCTATTGTAAAAAATATTTCATGAAGTGTTATTTTTTTCTTTATCACTGATTTTGCTGGATTATGTGACATGTCTCACCTAAATCCTGGCTATGTCTGGAAGTCTGGACAGGTAGAAGTTCCAGGAAAGAGATCTGGATGGCTGGTGACTTGCAGGATCACTGAAGGGTAGCAGCTTAGGATAGTGGCCTTTGATGTACATGAATATAAATGTATATTTTGACAACTGCTATGACCTCATGTATGCACAAGCAAAATTATAAAAATGTCCAATTCAAAAAATTAGAAAAAGCCTAGCAGATTAAGCCTGAAGTATAAGAATGGTAATAATACACAAATGTAAACAAGTAACATAGGTACAATAAAGATAAAGAAAATCCAAAATCAGTTCCTTAAGAACTCCTAAAATAGACATATCTAAGATTTAATTAACACAACTTCAAACTTCTTATATAAAATACTAGTAAGTTGACTTCAGTAAAAATGTGTGTGTTTATATGTGATACATTCCGACCACATACAATTATCCCTCAAAATACAAAAATGTAAAGATGATTTGACTTTTTAAAATGTTTTGACATAATTTACTATAATGATGGAACAAAATAGAGTAATTCATCCTTTAGAGAGTTGTCTCAAAAATATAATGAGATTTTTAATCTATCAGAATTAATAATAGAATCTAGCAATGCAATTTATTGTTAGAAATCATTACTGTTATAAATACTAGTTTTATATTTTTAAATTACAAATACATTTTACAGATTGTGAAAATATATGTTGCAAATATTTAAATATTGTATTCATTTTTAAAGCCCCTTCCCCATGATATTTTGTTTATAACTATTATCGCTCTTCTTATTACAATATAGTTTATCAGTTTACAAATATTTCTTCCTACAGTATTACATGCTCATTGAAACCAGGGAAAATGTAAAATTTATCGTTATGTCTGCTGAGTCAGTTTTGTTTCCAATGTATTCTAAATGTTCAATCAATGTTTCCTAAATGGAAATAAAATAGGAAACATACAGTAGTTCTGGAGTAAATGAAATGTCCTTCAATAAAATAAATAAAATCTTATTCCTAGATTTGACACTTAGCTTGAATCTTGACTGTTGATGGAGTGGACCCACAGAGGAAGCAGACGTAGAGTAATAGATTTTGATGGAGAAGAAGAGAGGGTGAAACAATGGTGTTGATTCTATTGACTGCTAGAACAGGGAACTCTCCACTAAAAGAATGCAGAAATGGAATAGACAGTAGCCAAGAAAAATACCATTTGTATCACAGTTTAAACTACAATGTAGCCTGTTGGTTCCAGGACAAAGCTATTGAAGGATAACTGTTACTTTGCTTTTGCCTCCTTGGAGTTGATCTCAAAGGAAAAATGCTAATAAATGGGTACCACTTTTAATATCAGTGAATCATTCAGTATTAATCATAGCCACAGAAAAATCAGTTATGTCTAAGGACACAGTCACATTAATTTGATAGCCAGCAATTGCTTTTTATATAAGGTAACATTAAATATGAGAAGTCACATAAGTGAAATCAAAAGGAAATGAAGCAATTTTTGAAAAAGACTATGACCCAATAGTGAACTAAAACTAATGAAGAGAAAGTAGAAGGGTTTTTTCCAGAATAAATCTGATAAAATGATTATGCTGTGAATTTTCCCTATTTTCCCATTTTATAGTGATTTTTAGCTTATGTGACATCAGCCCAGCACCAAATGTTCTCTGACACACTAAGGATTTTCTTGCCACAACATTAGACTTTTCGAAGCCTAAGAACAATGAAGGCTTATGAATGACTTTGTCACTACTCTTTACCACACAATAATATCCTTCCCTTCTTTTAAAATTTGTCTCAAACCTCTTTATTTTATGAAGGTTTCCATAATTGATTCCATAATCTCCCAGATTTTTCATCTTTATGACAAAACTTCTATCACTTTAGCCCTAAATTATCTACTTTTATATATCTCAGTCACTTTGTACTTACATGTAGGTTTCTTTTTCTGGCTTTCCCACTGTGTGATAGGGATTAAAACTTGTGTTTCCTTTAATAATGAGATACTAAATTAGAAAAGAACAATACCTAACAATACCCTAACAGCCTAAGCAACTGCTCTTACCATTTCTCTTATTCTGTGTCTCATCTATATGAACATCAGAGATACAGCTATCCACTATCTTCTTCTCACTTAAGCACTTTGATCTGCTGTTAAATAGTCTGAATTTGTAATATGATATTTAACAGATGCATCAGTATATTTTGGATGTTTGTACCCTCCAAATCTCATATTGACATGTAATCCCCAATGTTGAAAGTGCAGCCTAGTGGGAGGTGATTGGATCATGGGGGCAATTCCTCATGAATGGCTTTGTGTTCTCTCAGTGGTAATAAGTTCATAGTAATGAGTGCACCCAAGATCTGTTTGTTAAAAAGAGTCTGGGACCTCTCTCACTCTCTCTTGCCCCCTCTCTCACCGTATAATACAATGGCTCCTCTCTGCCTTCCACCATGGGTAAAAGTTTCCTGAGGCCTCACTGGAAGCAGAGCTGGCACCACGTTTCTTGTACAGCCCACAGAACTGTGAGCCAAATAAACCTCTTTTCTTTATAAATTACCCAGCCTCAGGTATTCTTTTATAGCAATACAAAATGGAAACAATGGAAATAACAAATTTCTAGAATCTTCAAGTCAATATCCCAAAAGGCTAGAATCAGAGGAGAATTGATGGTAAAAAGAAGCAAAAGGTGTAAGGAATCAGCACTGAATATACATTTGATATGCCAGTTTCTATTATAGGTGTTTTACAGATAGGATACCAGTTATATCATTGCAACAATCCCACTCAGTGAGCATTGTTGCTCACATTTTATACATGAAGCTGTGAATACAAGTGGCCAAGTGTTTTGGACAGAGTCAGGCTGCTTATAGCTGGTAGAGCCAGGAATTGCACCCACTATCATGTAGTTAGACTAAAAATGCTCATTTCCTTTCAAAACACTGTGTATCTCACAAAGAGAAATTCTGAATTTGTATTGTAACTGAGAGAATATAATTGAGACTTTTGGAAGAGAGAGAATTAAAAATTAAGCTTTGGGGTTTTGTTTGTAGTTATAAATACCACTTTCAGATTGTTTTTCACTATATATTTCCTACTCAAAGATTTGTTAAAATATTTACTTTATGAAACACATACACAATTCTTCCATTGGTAAGATTTTTATTTTTGTGTCATTCCTGGTTTACATTTTCATGAAAATATATTTAATTCAAAACAAATATTGCTGTAAACCTGCATCATAATTAATAACTAATTTTCTTTACAGACTGTCATAATTTTAGAATCTGGCTTGATTTTCACTTGTTTTGCTCTTCCTTTTGCAAGTCACCAGAAAAAAACACAGAAAATCAAATTGAATCAACATTGCTTTTATGTCTGCCACATTAACTACACTACAACTTTTTGAAGAGAACTCAGCAAAAAGATAACATGAAGATTAACACCAGAGCATTACATACAGAAGATAGATCTTAGAGCCAACAGGCAACATTTGTTATTTCCATAAATACTTACATTTATCTAAATTCTAGAAAGAAAAAATGCAAATTAATGCAATAACTCTTGTCTCTTAGGAAGATATTTTCAAATGTGTTGTTACACTATCATTTATTCAGTGCCATAAATAAACTTCAGTGTTAACAAGCATAAATTAAATCAAGGTCTCTGACCCAGGATCTAGCTATCAAATAAAACTGTAACAAATCATAAAATGTAATCACATCTAAACTCTTCATTGTTATAGGAGTAAATGAAGTGGAGTAAATTAAGAACAATGTGATTTATGTTTTCATTAAACAGAACACTGGGGCAATTTGAGACAGTACTTTAGATAACTTTTTAATAGATTGTTAAATTTCATGACTGAAAAGAAATTGGAGATTATCTAATCTAATATCCCTGTTTTTTTTGTGACTGTTGTTTTTACAGATGAGGAAAATAATGTCTGGAGAAGTTTATTAGTTGCCTGAAGTTACAAAGATTTTTCTGTTAGGGATAGTACTATAATAAAAATGAGACCTTTTTTTCATTATATATATTTCCTTCATTAAATATATATAATATGCATTATGTAATGCATATTAAGGAAAATAGAAGTATCTCTATAATTTTTAGTTATGATATGTTCTATCTTTTTTTGTTTTTAAATTATGAGGAAAAAATAGGCTAAAATTAAAGTAAAAGTTACTCTGACCTTTGGTGCTGAGCCATACCTCAACGAGGATATCACTGTAAGGCTGGAGTATAGATTAGGAATAAATGAGGCCAAATTTAACCAGAGTTTTCCTGGAATATTTTGTATATTTCTCAACCAAGGGAAAGGAGGACAATATCAAAATTAGGAAACCACATTGACAAGTCACTGGTGTTTGGAAAAACTGGAGAGAGTTGACATAAATATGACTGGAGAGTAGATTTGGCTCAAGTAGTAAGGCTGGTATGGTAGGAAACTAACACAGTTATCTGCCTTACCTCAAATGTGTCTCCCTCATTTATTAATCAATAAGATTTACAGCAAACCTAAATATTTGTCACTGGTAAATAGAGTGAAAGACTGATATGGTTTGGATATTTGTCCCCTCATGATCCCGTGTTGAAATGCAGTCGCCAATGTTGGAAGTGGGGATGTGATTAGATTATGGGGATGGATCCCTCATGAATGGTTTAGCATCATTCCCATGGTGATAACTGAGTTCTTGCTCAGTTAGTTCAGGCAAGATCCGGTTGTTTAAAAGTGCATGGCATCTCCCTGCTCTCTCTCTTGCTCCAGCTTTTGCCACATGATACACTGGCTCCCTCTTTGCCTTCCACCATGATTGTAAGCTTCCTAAGGCCTCAGGAGAAGCAGACACCAAAAGCATGCTTCCTGTAGAGACTGAAGAACCAATTAAACCCCTTTTATTTTAAAATTATTCAGTCTCAAGTATTTTTTTAAAAGCAACACAAAATCAGCCTAGTGCAGACTGAGACAGGAGTTTCTGTCTTCCTCCAAAATATAAATAAAGACTACAGCAACTACTATTACAATTAATAGTATAGCAGTAATAATACAAGTAATATTAGATCAACACAAGGCTGCAAACTTGGAGCTTTCCTAAGGAGTTCTTATTTCCACAGTAGTCTTTTCAACATGTTTTTGACCATGGCTGCCTCTACCCATGTTTTCTAAGAACCAATGCATTAATTTCATTCCTCAAAAATTCTGTGTTTTTTATTTTCCTATATTTATATTCTTTCTTTTTATTTTTTAATAGTATTTTATGAAAATTATCTTTATTTTTTAAAATAGACACATTTATATGTCTGACATTGTTCTAGGCCCTTCATAAATATTTAAACTATAATTTATGTAATAACACTATAAAATAGGTCCCTACTATTATTCTCATTTTGCAAGTGAGAAAAAAAAAGCATCCTGGAGATATAAAGAAATTTTTTCATGGTCATCTAACTGGTGAGTGAGACCATTGATATTTTAACCTAGGTTTAAAGTCATAGAAAACTCACCAAAAGCACAACTTACGAAGCCAGACTGGTTTCCTATTCTATAACTGATATAACTATTCTATAACTGATACATCATTCCTATTCTATAACTGAGATATCTTTCTATTCCATAACTATTCTATATTCTATAACTCTTCTATAACTGATATGTCTTTTCTATTCTTTAACTGATATATCTTTCCTAGTTTCTCATGAAAAAAATTAAAAAGCACAAGACTTATGAAAAAAATTAATATATATGATTTTAAGAGGGGTCCTTTGAGGGTTAAAAGTGGAACTTGTCAATTGAGAAAAATGATGAGACAAGTCTTAATCATTTTAGGAGGTTTACTTGCCAAAGTTAAGGATGCACTCCCTCCAGACAGGTCTATGCCTTTCTCCGAAGATGATTTTGAGGGCTCCAAATTTAAAGGGGAAAGGGCAAGATATTGAGAACTACACAATTTTCATGTAAGAGGGGGGAAGAAAAAAATAGTCATTCATGCCTTTGTCTGGCTTAGTGAATCTGAATTTTTTTACATATAATGATGTATTAGGGTTCTCTAGAGGGACAGAACTAATATATAAAATACTACTCAATAAACTCCCATGTATATGGAGTTTAAGTTAAGTTTTATATATATATGGGAGTTTATTAAGTAGTATTAACTCACACGATCACAAGGTCCCACAATAGGCCATCTGCAAGCTGAGGACCAAGGACACCAGTCTGAGTCCCAAAGCTGAAGAACTTGGAGTCCAATATTCGGAAGCAGGAAGCATCCAGCACAAGAGAAAAATGTAGGCTGGGAGGCTAAGACAGACTAGCCTTTTCACATTTTCCTGCCTGTTTTATATTCTGGCCACCCTGGCAGCTGATTAGATTGTGCCCACCCAGATTAAGGATGGGTCTGCCTTTCCCAGCCTGCTGACTGAAAGGTTAATCTCCTTTGGCAACACCCTCACAGACACACCTAGAATCAATATTTTGCATCCTTCAATCCAATCAAGTTGATACTCAGTATTAACTATGACAAATGACATAGACAAATGGGGCAGTCGAAAAATGTGGGGAATGTGTATTTTACATAAGACAACATAAGACAAAATGGGGTAGGGGAACAATCGGATATGCATTTGTGTCAGGTGGGCAGAGGGGTGACTGCACCTGTAAAGATAAGCTATAAATTTACATGGCCATGGTGAAATTTTAACAGAATACCTTAGAGTAAAGATCTTGCAGCTCACTAAAAATTTGCTTGTGGGCAAAACATGGGGGAGGCATGGAGCTTTTCATCTTGTAGCCATCTTATTTAGAAACAAAAAAGGAGGAGTTAGGTTTGTGTGACCCAGTTCCCAGCTTGACTTTTCCCTTCGGCTTAATGAATTTGGGGTGCTAAGATTTAATTTTCTTTCACAAACTCTAGATTATGTAATTAGTTCAGGAACACTGCATTTGATTGTTGCATGAGGATGCCAGAAGAGTAGATCATGCAGAAAATTGAATTTTACCATTTATTATGATAATTCTTTTATGAAAAGGCTAAATAAATTTCTTGATCTATTAGAGGAACTTGATGGGATAGGTTCATTCTTCAAGTTTGGGAATAAGAGTAGAGGAGAGCTACACTGTTTTGCAAAATAGAGAGAAAAATGTGTAGTTTCATGGGATATATAAGAGTGAACGATGGAGTGAAGAGATGAGCCAGCAAGTTTGTTGGAGTCTAGTTCTGTTTGATGTAAAGACCAAAAGAGCCTGGGAGCAGTGGCTCATGCCTGTAAACCCAACACTTTGGGAGGCCTTGGCGGGCCAATCACTTGAGGTCAGAAGTTCGAGACCAGCCTGGCTCTCTACTAAAAACAAAAAAAATTAGCCCGGTGTGGTGGCACATGCCTGTAGTCCCAGCTACTCGGGAGGCTGAGGCAGAAGAATTGCTTGAACCCAGGAGGCGGAGGTTGCAGTGAGCTGATCACCACTGCACTTCAGCCTGGGTAACAGAGGGAGACTCCACATAAAAAAAAAAAAAAAAAAAAAGAGGAGCCCAAGTGTTAAGGTGTTAAGGTGGAAGAGTAGCAATGTCAAATAGGTTATATTGGACTGAAGGTTCTTTTCCATTCAATGTGCTGTGTGACTTCCTCCAGGAAACTCCAGCTTTTGTATTAGTGAGTACTCTTGCATGAGAGCTTTCTGTGTGCAGGTGTTTACCCTTGAAGGAGCTTTGTTGCACATCTGCATGCTTGGGGACAGAGAGAAACTACTCTCAACTGGAGTTCAGGGGTCTCAAGGACTGTGAGAATGTGATTACGTGGAATCCTTTGCTGGCTTTTGGGCTTCCACAGGGAGTAGAATTGGAGTTTGTGCCATTCTGTCTCTATCTTGGGGGTGAAGCAGATTCTTAGGTTTTTTGTTCATAGTGTTCCTGATTCAGTTGAACTAAAAATCCACCTTCTAAAGGACAAAAATTACAGTTTCCACAAGACTGTTTAAAATATTGTACTACATGGCTGTCACTCAGTCATTCATTGACCTATTAAGTCAGGGAATGTATGAGAACATTGACTATATATAACAATCAGTAAATTTATCAACTAGAATCCTGTTGTCATGTTTGTTCTAGAGAAAAATTATGTATATTGTGTATAAAATTTTATCTTGGTTAAAATTATTTGTAGCTATAGTTAAGTAAAAAAAATGCACTCTTATTTCTGGGTTTCTGGATATATATTCTAATTAATCATATTTTATATTTCCCAGTATAATTTTTATGATCTGGCATAAAACATCACTCAAGTTTTCATATGAGTAAAGTCTTGAATTTAGAAATTATGATAGTTTATTATGCATGCCATCCAATTCCTGCTGTAAGCATTTGATAACAAATGGATTAATAATCTTTATCTAGATATCATTTATCTTTGTGTCAGATCATAACTTATTGTTGTATATTTTTATCTTAAATATTTACTATCTGTCCTTTGCAAACAGGGTCCCATTTAAATTCCATCAGTGTGAGTGATGAAAATTTTGAAAGGCAGACAAAGAGAACCTGTTATAGGCTATAGGCATGTACATGGGCTTTGGCAATGAAAGGATTTGCCAATAGTTTCTAGGCATTATTCTCTGAATGGCCTGCAGTTGAGATGATCTGCATTTGTCTCCTACCATTTTCTTCTCTCCTGAATTTTGTATCATTCCTTTCAGTGGTAATGTAAGCCTCTATTTTCTTGCTTCTATTATCTAAGGTAGTTCCTTCTCCTGACCAAACCCAAATTGACACAGTCTGCTTTACCTTGGCCCTAGCCATTCAATACTCACTCATTATTTCTCTATTTACATCATCAGTTAAGTATAATTTTTCATATCCTCTATTTCTTAGCAAACGGCATAAGGAAATAATTATTTCTTCGGAGCAACTATTACAAGTTCTCTGTGGTTTGAATTACTCTTAATATATAAAATATAATTTTGTTTCTCTCCCCTTAAGACTTAATACTTGGATATTTTCTTCTCCCCACCCCCCAAATCCCCAATTATGCCAAAACATTTGTCACTATAAACGTGAACATCTTTCTTTATGATCAGATATCTCCTGCAAGATAACGAACTGTGTAGTAAATATATTTTTTACAAATATCTCATGATTTGAACATGTTAAATTATCAATGCTAAATCAATTTTCTTTCGGATTTAAATTTAAAATGACACTAGCATTTCTAATCATTTTAAATCAGGCTCTGATGGCATTTGAATCAACCTTTTAAAAAACAAAGCAGGTTTTTAATAAAGCATAAAGCCATGGGGTTTTGCATTGCTTAATGAACTATAGCACTTTCTAATCAGATAATTACATGCTTATACAGAGGTCAGAATAAATAAGTTTATATATGTTTACCAAACTGTGACAGTATCAATCTGTAGCAGTAGTTGATTATACACATTCAAATAAATTTTAATAATAATTGAAAAAATATTACAGCCTTTTAGAGCAAAAAAAGATATAAAATATATGATCCAAATTCATTTTTTGACAAATACGTAATATGTCATTTGGAAAAACTACATTATTACCACTAAATACTGTTGGCCCTGTTTATAATTAAAAAATGATCTTTCCCTCAGAAAGTTTTGTTATCTTCTTCTGCTGCACTCTCTATATAATTAGTGCCTGAACACAAAAAATATCCTGAAAATTCATACATATGCCAATGAAATAATAAAAGAAGACATATATATTAAATATATTAACTTTGATCTACTGTAGATTTTCCTTGGTAAATATTAAATCAAGTTTAGCCTAAAGCTATCTTCTTACATATTTTAAGTTCAGCCTAAAAGTTTCTCTGTATATCGTCAACTATAACTGAAACGGAGTTGTACACAAACTGTAGTCTACTCTTGTGCCAATTACCAAGTTTTGGCCAAAGGTGGCCAACTGTTCAAACTGTGTTCAAATAAGGAAAATGCCAGGCTGTAACCAATTCGGCTGTTTCCTTACCTCACTACCATTGTCTGTATGTCTCTATCCTTTTTCTGCCCATAAATCTTCTACCACATGGCCATGCTGGAGTCTCGGAACCTACTTTGGCTCAGGAGGCTGCCCAATTCATGAATTGTTCTTTGCTCAATTAAACTCTGTTATTAATTCAGCTAATGTTTTTATTTTAACAGATGGCATCAGAAGTGGGATCTAAAGTAAAGCTTCTAACAATCCCCATGAGCACTGAGTGACCAAGCAAGGTACACGCCAGGCCTGTTCTGTCTGTTGCTCTCACAGAGGAGCTGGGGATCGTGGTAAGTTTTCTTTTGGATTCTGAAGCTCCACAGATTTGTGTTTTGAGCTCTCTGAGTTTCCTTGAGCGAATGTATGATCCAAACTGGGTTTGGAACTCATAAGAGAAATTGGACTGGGTCCACAATTGAATTAGATCTGATAATTAACTGGCTTGAATCCAGTTAGAGATCTCTTATATCTGATTGGGTCAGAAAGAAATAGGTAGTAAATGCCAATATTGCAGGGGGTGTAAAATTTGGCTTTTGTAAACTCACAGGGATTTTTGTGTTCTATGCCTTTGTTTCATTTTAGGTGGAGAAAAAAATCATTAGCTAAGTTGATCAAAAGAAACTGAGAGCCAAAGCCAATATTTCAGGTAGAAATAGGATCCTTAATTACTTAAGAACTGAGTTCCTTCTGGCTTATACATGCATAAATATTAGATCCTGGAAGCAGCAATGTCTTACAGACATGGCAGAATCTTACTAAAAATAAGTTACAGTAGAATCTTCCAAATAAACAACACTGCAGCAGAAACTTCTAAAAAGATTTCAATGTTTTTATTTAAAGAATTTGTAAAAGGCAAATAAAAAGCTTACGTGACTGATAGATAAGAAAAATTAAATCTGCTAACCCTTTGTCTTAGTTACCAACCCATCTCAAGGGTGGAAAAAAAGCTATCCTAGATAAGTTGTTTATAAAAGGTAGACCCTAAGGTAAAATAGGCTTGCTTTGTTTTTCAGATCTACCCATGCTGAATCCAGGCATACAGAATGCTTTCTGGCCTTATTCCTTAATAGACTCCAACCTTAACTCAAGTAATTTTAGGTAAAAAAAACAGTAGCTAAGTTAAAAAGAACACCCTATTGAACTAAAATATACCTTTCTGAAATTTAATTGGCTATCTTAAAACTCTTTTATAAATAAAATTTATATCTATGAAGGAAATCTCCAATTTTAAGGATGTCTGCCTATGTGTGTTCGAAACTCTTACCATCTTTTAAATTTACATAATAAGTCATACCTTTGTTTAAGGTGCTTTTCTGGCCATCCTGTCTTAAGTGAACTTTTATTTAAGCAGATTTTTTTCCTTAGTTTGAGAAAATGATGATACAATATTTAGGCCTAAAATCTTAGCTCTGTGCTTATGAAATTTAAATTTTTCTGTTCCACCTAAGAGTTGTCCCTTTAGAAATTCAAATTTCTTGCCTAGTACACAATTGCTTAGGGTAATGAAACAGGTAATTGGATGATTGGAAGGCTCAATGGGGAAAAGAAAAGCTATTTAAAAGCCAGCAAATGAAAATCCTTTATGAAAGCTATATGATCTGTTTCTGTGTGTTTGTATCTGTATATGTGTATGTGATATTTGGTAAATAAAGCTAGCTTTTAAACTGTTGGTAAAATGTAAGTGGTTTCAAAATTATCAAGTTGAATATAATTAGATATATGCTTGATTTAACTGTGAGCTTATGTCTTTGATTTAGAGTCTCTGGATCCATGGGTCTGGATAGGTGGCAATGATAAAGTCTGGAGACATGTTTTTAGTGCCTATATCAGGGGCTGCAAGCCAGAATCAAGCTCAATGTGGTCCCTTCTTCCTCTGTTTTCCCTTTTTTGCCTCATAGATATTTTTGGAAGGGTTGGTTTCTCCAGGTATGGTCTTAACAACTGTTTCCTCTCCTGATGGACTCAGACAAGCCTTGACCTTCCTAGTCCTCATGTATGTCACATGGCTACTTGGGACCTAGAATGACTGGGGGAAGTCATTGGGGAGGCTACCTGTGTCATAGTATCAAAGTTCTTTTCAGTAATTTAAAATCTTAGAATCATATTTTTTTAAATTCAGTAACAGATAATCATAAAATGTCTGAGTCATCTGTAAGCTAATATACTGAGATATTAATTAATAAATATACATTTAAGTCTCTATACCTTGACATGTTATTTTTATGTGGTAGGTATTGATATAGGAGTTAAGAAGGAATTACTTAGGCAGACAGCAAGGCCATGGGAGTTCTCAGTAGGGCTTTTCTTTTTAATGAAAAGCAGCTTCAAATTATTTTCTTTTCTAATGAAAAGCAGCCTGTAAAATTGAGCTGCAGACATAGATGCCAGCAGTTGTGCCAATCATGTTAAAGATGGTGGCTCCATCTTCCCTTCTCTTTGTCAGCCATGTGTACAGTGAGAAGCAGACAAGATGGCTCCGATCAACTGGAAAGCCCATTTGCACCATTTGCATAATTAGATTATGGTTGGGCCACCAGTTTCCCCTCCTCCACCCTCTCCTCTGCCCACTATGTAGATGTCATACCTGATTGAACCAATCTGTGAGCCCTATGTAAATCAGACACTGAATTCTCCAGCCTGCCTATAACGTCTGCTGCAGTCTGCTGCCCCTCCTCTTTTCAGATGTCTCTCTCTCTCTCTCTCTCCTCCTCTCTCTCTCTCTCTCTCTCCTCTGTCCTCTCTCCTCTCTCTCACTAGGAGCTGCTCT
Organism: Homo sapiens; assembly: GCF_000001405.40. NCBI lineage: Eukaryota > Metazoa > Chordata > Mammalia > Primates > Hominidae > Homo > Homo sapiens. The sequence continues at coordinate 38,090,948 of NC_000013.11, read as the reverse complement.
CCTCTCTCCTTTCTGCTGTCTATTGAACTTTCTACTCCTTAACCCACCCACATGTGTCCATGTCCTGAACTCTTTCTCAGCACATGGCAATGAACCCCAGGATATATACCCCAGACAACCGTAGCTGCTTCAGTATAGAAAAGCTAAGTATGTTTAGACTGTTAATAAACAATAATTTGGATAACCATCTTTCTAAAAACTTATAAAATATTTTTTATCTACAAATACTGATATAAAACAGTTCAAAATTACTTTCCAGGCTTATCACTGGAAATTAGGGTTACTAAGGGTTAAAAACTACTAGATATGAGATAATTCTTTTTTCAGAGTGTATAAGCAAAGCAAAATATGTGTTTGATGAGGAAAGTTATAAAGGCATAAAAATGTGTGTTAAAAATTGTGTTTGGTTTGAAGTTACTTAAAGATTTCAAATTGAAGGAATAAAAAACAGATAAAACAAGATGAATGTAGAAAGTTGGGGAAAATGTAAAATAAAAGATTTACAGAAATGTGTGGTTAAAAAATGATAGATTTGATAAATGTTATTTATGAGGTTTTGTTAAAATCAGTTTTCATATTGATAATACACTGATAGGTTTTCCCTTTTTAACAAGAATTTTGTGTAGTATTAACATGCCAGTATAATATTTTCATTCACCTTTTCAGTAAACTGAGGAAAAGAAAGAGTAAATAAGAACAGAGAGATTCTGTCTCATGCTGTCTTGTCTTTTGATTGTTTAGAAAACTGAGTCCCCTTGATCAAAGACAAACAGGTTTTGTTTTTAAAAATCTTTTAATTATTACTTTGGTAAATGAATCACTGTGGTCTTATGGTGACCTCTGATCCTATTTTGGTCAAGTGCTCTAAACCTTTGACATATTTGACAGGCTTCGCAAAATCAAATTTCAACTTCAAAATTGCGTCTTTTTTTACCTCTCACTTTGGGGTGCTCCAGAGGCCACCTGAAGCATCCAAAGGAGAAGTAAATGGGATTATTTTACATGTTATGTTACAAGGGAAGGATTGTCAAATAAGAAATAATATTTAACCTTCTTCAGGTTACATTTTAATGAATGTTATTTATATGTGTTCCAAAATTGTATGGGATTTCTAAAATTCTAATGTGTATAATATTTTGTTATTGTAGACCAGAGAAATAACCAAATTTCCTAGTCAATTGTGTCATTAACCATGACTATTCAAAGCCATTTTCACAGTTAATTGCTTCTGAAGCAGTTTCTGAAAACTTCACAAGTATATAAAATCCTAGAATATGTTGTTTTGCAGGAGGTTCATGACAGGATGAAAAGAAACCTGAGAAGCACTCTTGAAGAGAGGTTTCTGAATAACTTTCGAATCATATCATTTGGACTGGGTAAGAAATCTCTGAAACTTTAATAAAAAGACTGACTGGTTTATCTAAATCAGCCAGTACTGAAGTTGCTCAGATATACAATTTGAATAAACTTCATTGTCTAGGTAAAATTACCCATGATAACCCATCATTTATCAGTGCTGTGCACTTAAATTGGAGAAACAACTGGTATTCAAGAGGACATAATTTGAATAAGCATGAACTCTTGGAGAACTAGGGCAGCAGGCTTGTCCTCTTGAGTCCTTAAAGCTTTTGTTATTAAATGGTCTACATTCCATGACTCATCATGGAAAAGATAAAATGATCCCGATAAATGTATGTGTGTGTGTGTGTGTGTGTGTGTGTGTGTGTGTGTGTATATATATATATATATATATATATATATATATATATGGACTTCTAACTTGCTAAAATAGTTTATGACCAAAATGTTTGGTTTGTTAAACTCACATTCCTGGGAAGACATTCAAAACTTCAGGTACATTTCACTACCTGATGGGCCATTTAAACATTTATAGAAGGATTTAATCACTTGTCATCTCAATGCATGTTTTCTAGTTATACAAAAGTTTCTCATGTAAGAAGTCTGATGTTATAACAGTAGCTCATTATGCCACAGTATATTTTCACAAAGTAAAGAAAATTCTTCATGGTTCACTGACTGGGGACAATCAACCTCTTCACAATCTAGAACCCAAAGATTCTAGATTGTGATCCAAGAGCATCAGAGAAAAACTGCCCTTGCCATCCACATTGTAGCATAACTTTGGGACCTTGAACCTAAGGTTCATAATCTCACAACTCAGAAGCATCCCTCAATACTCTTGGAACTGTACGCCCTTTGAAACCCTTAAAATAAAACTAGGCAGAGAAGTTTCTACCCAGAAGAAGATGGCATCCTTGATGTGGACAGCTTTATCCCAAGATCACGGATCAAGACTTTTCTACTATCACGAGACTCTTATCTTTCAATTTTTTTCTTTGCTTATGCCTCTTTGAATAATAGAAGTAAAAAGGGGGTCTGTTGTGTGGACTCATGGAATATACTTTGTGAAAAATTTTGCAGCCAGCCTTATACATGGATAAGCTTATGCCTTGATAGATGGAAGATGAAGACCCAATGTAAGTTAGAAATTTTACTGGTACATATGTTGCCTCATAATCAGTCAGAAACAGAACATTGGTCCACTCCTCTTAACCTACATCATGGGTTGCAGAGAACATTGCCAGGAGGCCTCCACTCTTTTAGAAGGGTCACATTTGTTAGGTCCTTTTTTCCACAATTTCTTTTTTGAGTGTTCTCAACAATATATATTTTATAAATTTCCTGAACACATAAAAATATCTATGAATTATAATTTTGTTATCCAAGGTAAACATTTTGGAAAGTAAGATTGAAGAAAAAAAATATATATATATAATAAAATAGTTATTTTTCACTGAAGATTTTAAAATTTCTTCTTCTCAAACCCAGCAACTCATCAAAGTAATATTTTTTGTAATTGTCATTATTTCTACCTAATTTATCTTATCCACACACTAATTTTATAGTTAAAATGTCAAAACTGACAAAAATGTATGACAAAATTAATATTAGCCAAATTTACTCTGGAAAATAATTATGTTTCCCACTCTGTCTCTGCAAAATTTCTTCTGCATTTAATATGCTTTAAACGGATTCAGTTTGAATGCCTCCCCCATGAATAATTGCTATTCTACTCTGCTAGAATTAATACTTTTTTTCCTGATATTTTTCCACCATGGAACATGGTTGACATCTTTAGGTCACCTCTATATTCTCTATTCCCTCTTTTTCGGTTTTTTAATTCTTTACCAGACTATAGAATACTTTTGAGAGAAAAAAAAAGAACAAAAAAAAACAAAAAACCTTATTTCTGGGCTCTCTACTCTGTTCCACTGGTCTATGTGTCTGTTTTTGTATCAGTACCATGCTGTTTTGGTTAATGTAGCCTTATAATATAGTTTTGTCACAGTATTCTTCAGGTTTCTCTTCACTAGCTGGGAACCTCTGTGTCTGGTGGCTGCTGGCCCCTCTGCTTGAGTTTTGCTTGTACCTGCTCATTCCACCCACTCAGCCTGGCAGGCTGTGGTTGGTTTGCACTACCTACTGGCCTGGATTCCACACATGCTAAGGGCAAGACAGGCATGGAGTGGCAAGGGGTGTATGAACAAGTGAGTACGGGGGCCAGTTGCTGTGCACAGCAAAGCATGCTGGCTGCTGTGGTGGGGTGGGCAGCTCCAGGTGCTGGCACAGGCACTGTGAGAGGCTGTGGCTTCATGCAAGGCTTCGTATGAGGCTGTGGCTGGACCAGACATGACACAAGTGGCTTCCACTGCAGGCACCAGTGTCTGCACAGGAAGACTGCAGTGGCACCCAAAAGCTTGAAGACACCAGGAACCACAGAGCCCCAGAGAGGTTGTTGCAGCACGTCCCAGTCTTGGCTCAGGGAGCCCCGAGGTCTGGGCTCCCAGAAGGGCTGCAGCTCTTTGCTCCTTCTTGTTGTCAGCAGTGTGGCAAGCAAGGGAGCGAGTTTCAGGGGGGCATGTTTCAGCCCATTTGTGTTACACCTCTTCTAGTCCCACTGCCCTACTCTAGCCTGCAGTTTCTGGGTTGGCCTGGCCCCACCACTGCTTCCCATCACATGGGGCGGTCACCAAGTACCAGCAGAAGGCAGGAAGGCTGTACTGTTACAGCAGCTCTGGCTCAGGGAATCCTGAGGTCTGGGCCCCCAGAAGGGTTGCCACTCTTCACTCCCACAGTCCAGGAGTGTGTCACTGCCCGTGCCTCAGTGAGCTGGCCAGAAACATTTTACATCTCCTTTTGCTCCTGCTGTTCAGCGGGTCCAGAGTTCTTGTCCTGTGTCCAGGAAGAATGAGGTTACACAGACTACTGGAGGGTGAGCAAGGTGGAGAGGAGCTTCATTCAGTGACAGACCAGCTCACAGCAGAGAGGAGACCCAAAGTGGGTAACTCCTATCCACAGGCAGATCATTCTGATGAGTGTAGAGAATACCCAAAATGGGTAGCTCGCATCTGCAGGCAGGCAGTTCTGACAGGTGTCGGACTCTGGCTGAGTTTGGGGTTTTTATGGGCTCAGAATGGAGAAAGTGCATGCTGATTGGTCCATGGGTGGCCATGGGCAGGCCTGGAAAAAGCACCATCCAGTTGGATAAAAGGCATCAAGGAAGTTCTCAGTCCATGTTGCAGACTCCACCTAGAAATGGCAGCCAGCCCCCAGGCTTCAGGCCATTCTTGGGTTGAAAGTGGGGTTTCACCTGCGACCCACCCCCTTCGCGCCCAGGAGTCTCCTGCTGCCATCAACATGCTGTCCATGGCACCCAGACTGTCTGCCATTAAGGGGTGCCTGCAGGCCCTCATTGAGCCACCCTCAGCCCCCTGGCCTCCTTCTCATGCTCATTAGCACCCAAAGTCCAGAGGGGCTGAGGTAGCAGGGGTCAAATGTGTCAGCACCTCCCCAGGTGCACACACACACAGCCAGATCATGACAGTTCCCAGGCTTGGCCACAACTTTCCTCCACACTGGAGTGGGCTCTGGGAGTGGGGAGAGGCCAGGGAACAAGAGTAGGCACTTTGGAGCCTTCAGGGGGAGGGGGCTTTCTGGGCCCATGAGAGCACAGGGATGCCTGGGTCTGGAGCCTTGGCTGGGTAGCTGCAGTTGCACCCAGGAGCATGGGGCTCCCACCTGCCAACTTGGTAGGGCACAGGGATCCTGCTAAGATCATCTGTTCCTGGCCCTCACTGGTTCTGTGGAGCACACAGCCCCAGCTGTGCCTTCCATGCTGCAGCTAGTGTCTTCACAGTGGCCACTCAAGATGGGCCGCTGCCACCATCAGTTTGAAGTCAGGTAATGTGAAGCCTCCAGCTTTGTTCTTTTTGCTTAGGATTGCCTTGGCCGTTTGGGCTCTGATATGGTTTGGCTGTGTCCTCACCCAAATCTCATCTTGAATTCTCACATGTTGTGGGAGGGATCTGTGGGAGGTAATTGAATAATGGGGGCAGGTCTTTCACATGCTATACTCGTGATAGTGAATAAGTCTCACGAGATCTGATGGTTTTATAAGGGGGAGTTCCCTGCACAAACCCTCTTCTCTGGTCCGGCGCCATGTGAGACATGTCTTCTACCTTCCGCCATGATTGTGAGGCCTCCCCAGCCACGTGGAAATTTGAAGTTCATTAAAACTCTTTCTTTTGTAAAATGCCCAGTCTCAGGTATGTGTTTATCAGCAACATGAAAACTGACTAATACAGGCTTTTTTTTTTTTTTGGTTCCACATGAATTTTGGTTTCATAGGATTTTCTAGTTCTGTGAAGAATGTCTTTGGTAGTTTATTAGTGAATAGCATTGCATCTGTAGTATGTCTGTTTTTTGTGTTTTTTTTTTTTTTTTTTTTTTTTTTTTCTGAGATGGAGTCTTGCTCTGTCCCCCAGGCTGGAGTGCAGTGGCACTATCTCGGCTCACTGCAAGCTCCACCTCCCAGGTTCACGCCATTCTCCTGCCTGAGCCTCCGGAGTAGCTGGGACTACAGGCACCTGCCACCACACCCGGCTAATGTTTTTGTATTTTTAGTAGAGACAGGGTTTCACTGTGTTAGGCAGGATGGTCTCAATCTCCTGACCTCATCATCCGCCCGCCTCGGCCTCCCGATTCTTCCTATCCATGACAATGGAATGTTTTTCCATTTGTTTGTGTCATCTCTGGTTCTCCTGAGCAGTATTTTGTAATTCTCATTAGAGAGCATGAATGATCTGATTTCTCTGCATCCTAACCAGAATTTTGTGTTGTCATTATTATACATTTTGACTGGAGCATAGTAATATTTCATTGTGATTTTGATTCACATTTCCCTAGTGGCTAATAACATTAGCTATCTCAAATATCTTTTTAGGTACTTATTGCCATGTGCATTTTTTTGGTGAATTGTCTCTTCATGTTTCTTGCTTATTTTCTTATTGGACTATTCAAGTTGTAAGATTTTAAAAATATATACTAGATACTAATCTTTTATTGGATATATGGTTTACAAATATTTTGTACTCCATATACCTCATGTCTTCATCCCTTTAGCAGACTCTTTCACAGAGCAAAGGTTTTTAATTTGAATTGAGTCTATTTAAAAAAACGTGGATTATGCTTTCAGTGTCACAGCTAAGAATTATTCGCCTAGCCCTAGAGCCCAGCGATTCTCTTGTACCTATTTTCTGAGTTTTACAGTTTTACATTTTACATATAAGTTGGTGATCCGTTTTGTGTTAATTTTTATATGAGGTGTGATATTCTTTTTAAATTTTAATTACTGATATGCTACAGCTTTAGTCTACCACTTCAGTATTTTTTTTCTATTTGTTTTTCTTTCAATGTCTTCTTTTTTCCATATCCTTGTGGGTTACTTGTACATATTTTTTTAACTCCAGTTTTACTTATTGATACTGTTTTTGAATGCATCTCTTTGTATAACTTGGATATAGGTCTCTCTCTATATATATTATATATATATATTATTGTATACAGGTTGCGCTCTCTCTGTGTGTGTGTGTGTGTGTGTGTGTGTGTGTGTGTGTGTATTTTACCAGTTTCAGTGAAGTATAGAACACTTATCTCCCTTTTTCCTTTACTATATCCCATTTAAAATACAGTTATCTTAAGTATTTCTTTTACACACATTTAGAACCTTTAAAGACAACATTATAATTTTTGCTTCAACAGTAATATAATTGAGAAAACTCAAGAGGAGAGATAAAGCTATTGTATTTGCCATATTTTTACTTACCATGTTTTTTCTTTCTTCCAGATATTCTGGGGTTTCATATTTTATCATTTTATTTCTATTATAGACATTTAGCTATTCTTTTAGGATAGATTTTTTGAAGGTAAATATTACTAGCTATCCTTTATAAAAGAATACCTTTACTTTTTTTTCCAAAAGGACATATTCACAGCATATAGGATTTTGAATTGGCAGGTCTTTTATTTCAGTACTTGAAAATACAATTCCACTTCTATCTACAACAATTTGAGGCAGAATCCACTGTCACTTGATTTATTTTTCTCTGATAGCTAATGTGTCATTTTTTGGCTACTTTCAAGTTTTTTTATTGGTTTTATTTTCAGAAGATTAATTATTTTGTGTCTTAGTATGAATTTGGGAGGTTTATCCTATTGGGAGTTTGTTCAGTTTCTTGAAATTATAAATTTATTTATCTTAACAATTGAAATATTTCTCTTCATTTTTTAAAGTACTTTTTCAGTCCCATCTTCTGTTTTGTCTCTGTCTGTGACTCTGATGACATGAGTGTTATGTCTTTTATTATAGTCCCACAGATTACTGAGGCTCTGTTAATTTTTAAATTTTAGTCTGTTTTTGTTGTGATATCCAGACTATGTAATTTTTATTGTTTAATCATCTAGGTCACTGATTCTTTTTTTGTGTGTGTAGCCTCCATTCTGCTTTTGGGTTCATCTACTGAGTTTTTATTTCAATTATTATATTTTTCAGATCTAATATATTCATTTGGTCCTCCTTTATAACTTTCATTTTTTTCTTTAGTGTTTTCATTTCTTTGCTGAGTATCTTTGTTGTAAGTGTGTTTATAATTGCTAATTGAAGCATTTATATAATCACTGCTGTAAAATTTTGATATTTCTGTTATCTCAGTGTTGATATCTATTGACTTTCATTCAGTTTGAGATTTTTCTGTTCCTTTTTGGGGGGATGTATCCATTCCCTTAAGCATTTATTCTTTCAATTACAAATAATCCAATTATACTCTTAAAGTTATTTTAAAATGTAGAATAAAGTCATTATTGACTATGGTCTTCCAGTTGTACTATCAATCAGTGGGTCTTATTCATTCTTTTTAACTATTTTGTTTTGTACCCATTAACCATCCCCACCTTCCCACTAGGCCCCTACTATCTTTCCCAGCCTCTGATAACCATCCTTCCAACTCTCTATGTTCATGAGTTTAGTTGTTTCGATTTTTAGATCCTACCAATAAGTGAGAACATGTGATAATATTCTTTCTGTGTCTGGCTTATTTTCCTTAATATAATAATCTCCAGTTCCATCAATGTTGCTGCAAATGATTGGATCTTATTCTTTTTTATGGCTATATAATACTCCATTGTGTATATGTACCACATTTTTTATCCCTTCATCTGATAATGAAAGCTTAGGTTGCTACCAAATATTAACTATTGTAAACCATGCTGCAACAAACTGGAAAGCAGATATCTCTTTAATATACTGATTTCCTTTCTTTTGCATATATTCCCAGCAGAATGATTGCTAGATTGTATAGTAGCTCAATTTTTAGTTTTTTGAAAAACCTCCAAACTGTTTCCCATAGTGGTTGTACCAATTTACATTCCAACAATATATGGGGGTTCCCTTTTTTCCACATCCTTGCCAGCATTTATTATTGCCCATCTTTTGGACATAAACCATTTTAACTGGGGTCAGATGATATTTCATTGTAGTTTTGATTTGCATTTCTCTGATGATCAATGATGTTGAGTACCTTTTCATATGCCTGTTTGCCATTTGTAGATCTTTTTCTCAGAAATGTCTATTCAAACCTTTTCCCCAATTTTTTTTATCAGATTATTAGATTTTTTTCCCATATAATTGTTTGAGCCTCTTATATATGCTGGTTACTTATCCTTTGTCAGATGGGTAGTTTGCAAATATTTTCCTCCATCCTGTGGGTTGTCTCTCCACTTTGTTGACTGTATCCTTGCTGTTCAGGGGCTTTTTAACTTGATGTGATCCCATTTGTTCATTTTTGCTTTGGCTGCCTGTGTTTGTAGGGTATTCCCAAGGAAATGTTTTTGAAGAACATCTAAAAAGCATCCAGGTCAATGTCCTGGATATTTTCCCCCAATGTTTTCTTGTAGTAGTTTCATAGTTTGAGGTCTTAGATTTAAGTTTTTATTCAATTTTGGTTTGATTTTTGTATATGTTTGGGTTTGATTTTTGTATATGTCTAGTTTTATTCTTCATATGGATGTCCAGCTCTTCCAGCACCATTTATTTAAGAGATTTAAGAGAGTCTTTTCTTGGGCATATGTTCTTGGCACCTTTGTCACAAATGAGTTCACTATAGGTGTGTGGATTTGTTTCTGTGTTCTATATTCTGTTCCATTAGTCTGCTTTTATACCAGTACCATGCTGTTTTGGTTACAAAAGCTCTGTAGTATAATGTAAAGTCAGGGAATGTGACTCCTTCAGTTTTATACTTTTTGTTTGAGATAGCCTTGGGTATTCTGGATTTGTGTGGCTAATATAAATATAATTGCTTTTTAAATTTTTTATATTGTTAACTGTTGCCATATAGAAATGCTACTAATTTTTGTACATTGATTTTGTGCCCTGCAACTTTACTAATTTTTTTATCAGTTCTAATAGCTTTTTATTGGATCATTAGGTTTTTCCAATTACATGATTATATCATCTGCAAACAAGAATAATTGGACATTTTTCTTTCAAATTTGGATGATGTTTATATCTTTCTCTTGTCTGATTGCTCATACTAGGGCTTCCAGTGCTATGCTGAATAACAGTGGTGACAATGGCAGATCTTAGAAGAAAGGCTTTTGAATTTTTCCCATTCAGTATGATATTATGTGGTTTTTATTATGTTGAAGTATGTTTTTCTATCCCCATTTTTTAAGGGATTTTATCATGAAGGGGTGTTGGATTTTATTCATTGCTTTTTTAGCATGAATGAAATAATCATATGGTTTTTATTCTTCATTCTGCTGATATGATGTATCACACTGATTGATTTCTATTTGTTGAACCATCCTTATATCACAGGGAGTAAATCTTACTTGGTCATAATGAATGACCTTTCTAATGTATTGTTGAATTCAGTTTGCTACTATTTGGTTGAGGATTTTTGCATTAAGATTTATCAAAACTATTGGCCTGTAGTTTCATTTTTTTCTTTATTTTGATTTTTATTTTAAGTTCTGGGGTATATGCGCAAGATGTACAGGTTTGTTACATAGGTAAACGTGTGACATTACTGGTTTGCTGCACCTATCAACCCATCACCTAGATATTAAGCCCACCATTCATTGTCTATTTTTCCTAATGCAATCCCTCCTCTCATCCCATCCCCCAACAGGCCCCAGTATGTGTTTTTCCCCTCGCTGTGTCCATGTGTTCCCATTGTTCAGCTCCCACTTATAAGTGAGAACCTGCTGTGTTTGGTTTTCTATTCTTGTGTCAGTTTGCTGAAGTTTTCCTTTTTCTGATGTGTCTTTGCCTTGTTTTGGTATCAGGGTAACACAGGCCTCATAATGAGTTTGGAAGTATTCTCTCCTCCTCTATTTTCTGGAATACCTTGAGTAGCACTGGTATTAGTTCTTCTTCAAACGTTTGGTACAATTCAGTGGTGAAGCCATCGGGTCCCAGGCTTTCCTTTACTGGGAGACTTTTTTACTACAGCTGCGATCACATTACTTGCTATTTGTCTATTTAGGTTTTTAATTTCTTCATGGTTCAATCTTAGTAGGTTGTATGTGTCCAGGAATTTGTGAATTTCTTCTAGATTTTCCAATGTATTGGCATGTAGTTGCTCATACTAACCACTAATGATCTTTTGAAATTTTGTAGTATCAGTTGTAATGTCTCCTTTATCATTTTCAATTTATTTGGATCATCTCTCTTTTTCTTAGTCTGGCTAAGGGTTTGTCAATTTTGCTCAACTTTTCAAAAAAGTATTTTTTAAATTTTAATTTGATTTATTTCTGCTGCGATCTTTATTATTTCTTTTACTAATTTGGGGTTTAGTTTGCTCTTGCTTTTCTAATTCTTTAATATGAATCATTGGATTGTTCATTTGAAATTTTTCCTTATTTTTAATGTAGACACTAATAGTTACAAACTTCCCTGTTAGTGCTGCTTTTGTTGTATTCCATAGGTTGTTAGATTGTGTTTCTATTATCATTTTCTTCATAATGTTTTTAAATTTTATTTTTAATTTCTTTATTGACCCACTGGTCACTCAGGAGCATGTTACTTAATTTCTATGTGTTTGTATAGTTTCCAAAATCCTTCTTGTTATGAATTTCTAGTTTTATTCCATTGTGGTCAGAGAAGATGTTTGATATTATTTCAATTTTTATATGTTTTAAGACTTGTTTTGTGACCTAACAGGTAGTCTGTCTGTTAGAATGATCCATGTGCTGAGGAAAAGCATGTCAAATGAAATGTTCTGTAAATATTTATTAGATCCATTTGGTCTACGGTGCAGATTAAGTCTGATGTTTCTTTGTTGATTTTCTATCTGGAAGATCTGTCCAATGCTGAAAGTGGGGTGTTGAAGTCTCCAGCTACTATTGTTTTCGGTCCTATCTCTCTGTTTAGCTCTAATACTATTTTCTTTATATATGTAGGTGCTCCAGTGTTGGGTGCATATATATTTAAAATTGTTATATCTTCTTACTAAGTTATCCCCTTTATTATTATATTGTGACCTTTTTTGTCTCTTACAGTTTTTATCTTGAAAATTATTTTGTCTGCTATAAGTATAGTGACTTCTGCTCTTGTTCAGTTTCCATTGTCATGAAATCTTTTTTTTTATTTCTCTATTTTCAGTTTAGTGTGTCATTATAGGTGAAGTGTGTTTCTTGTAGGCAACAGATCAATAGGTCTTGCTTTTCATTTATTCAGCCAGTCTATGCCTTTGATCGGAGAGTTCAGTCCATTTACATTCAATATTATTATTGATAAGTAGAGACTTACTTCTGCCTTTTTGTTACTTGTATTCTGGTTGTTTTATAAGTTTTTTACTTTTTTCTTTCTTTCCTCTAGTGAACATAATTTTTCTCTAGGGATGTAATTTTAGTTTCTTGCTTTTTATTTTTTGTGTCTCTATTGTATGTTTTTTGGTTTGACGGTACTGTGAGGCTTGCAAATACTACGTTATAATCCATTTTGTTAACCTGATAACAACTTAGCACTGTTTGCATAAAGAAACAAAGAAACAAGCCAAAAAAAATCCCTAATAAGAATTCTGCATCTTAATTTCATCCCTTTGCTTTTTAACTGTTTGTTGTTTCTTTATATTTTACTGTACTGACCATATCTTGCAAATTTGTTACAATTATTATTTTCAATTGGTTCATCATTTAGTCTGTCTACTTAGGATAAGGATAAAACTACAGTTCCAATGTTATAATATTCTGTGTTTTCCTGCATACTTGCTATTAACAGTAAGTTTTGTACCTTCAGGTGATTACTTACTGCTCATTAATGTCCTTTTCTTTCTGATGGAAGTACTCCCTTTACTATTTCTTGTTGAAAAGGTGTGGTGTTGATGAAAACTCTCAGCTTTTGTTTGTGTGGAAAAGTCTTTATTTCTCCTTCATGTTTGAGGGATATTTTTGCCAGATATACTCTTCTAGGATAATAGTTTTTTCCTTCAGCGCTTCAAGTATGTCATGCCACTGTCTCTTGGCCTGTAAGGTTTCCACTGAAAAGTCTGGTGCCAGATGCATGGGAGTTCCATTGTATGATATTTGTTACTTTCCTCCTGCTGCTTTTAGAACCCATTCTTTATCTTTGACTTTGGGTGTTTTATTATTAAATGCCTTGAGGTGGTCTTCATTGGGTTAAATATTCTGGTGTTCTATAACCTTCTTGTACTTGCATATTGGCATCTTTCTTTAGGTTTGGCGCATCCTTTGTTATTATCCCTTTGAATAAACTTTCCATCCATCTCTCTTTCTCCACCTCCTCTCTGATGCCGATAACTCTTAGATTTGCCCTTTTGAGGCTATTTTCTAGATCCATTAGGTGTGCTTCATTGTTTTTTATTTTTTTTCTTTTGTCTCCTATTACTGTTCATATTCAAATAATCTTTCTTGAAGTTCACTAATCCTTTCTTCTGCTCAATCAATTCTACTATTAAAAGACTGTGGAGCATTCTTCAGTATACCAATTACATTTTTCAGCTCCAGAATTTCTGATTGATTCTTTTTAATTATTTTGATTCTTATATTAAATTTATCTGATAGAATTCTGAATTCCTTCTTTTTGTTATATTGAATTTCTTTGAGTTTCCTCAATACAGCTATTTTTAATTCTCTTTCAGAAAGGTGACATATCTCTGTTTCTCCAGGATTGGTCTCTGGTGCCTCCTTAAGTTCATTTGGTGAAGTTAGGTTTTTCTGGATGGTGTTGATGCTAGTACATGTTCTTTGATGTCTGGGCATTGAAGAGTTAGGTATTTATTGTAGTCATCACTGTCTGCACTTACTTGTAGCCATCCTTCATAGGAAGGCTTTCCAGATATTTGAAAGCACTTGGGTGTTGTAATCCAAGCTGTATTTGCTTCAGGGGGCACCAAAGCCCAGTCATGCTGTGGCTTCTTCAGACTCATAGAGGTACTGCGTTGATAGTATTGGACAAGATCTGGGAGAATTCTCTGGATTACCAGGCAGAGACTCTTATTCTCTTCCTTTACTTTCTCACAAACAAATAGAGTCTCTCTCTCTCTGTTCTGAGCTACCTAATGCTGGGAGTAGAGTAACACAGCCCTCTGTGATGAGGTTTGTGGGAACTCAAGTTCAGACTGCTGGGATAAGTGATTTCCCCTGGCTAGGGCTGGTTTAAATACTCGCACCATGGGTGGGCATCAGCTGAGATTGGTCTGATTTTCCTTTCTTTCTTACAGGACAGCACTGAGTTCAATGCCTCACAACTGGTGTGTTCTCCCTCCCTCCTCAGTGTCCAAAGCCATTCTTTGCACCATGCTGCTGCTACTGGGGGTGGGAGAGGGGTGGTATCAGAGATTCAGGACTGTTTTCTCTATCTCTTCAGTGGCTCTTCTTGTGATATAACTTTCTATGACACCATTCTTGCATATAAAGCTGGGGATGCCACCTTGTTACCACCAGCTAGAGGTAGAAATCCATCTTCCCCACTGGCTGCTGCAATCACATGAAGGGGAGTGGGTGGGTGTAGGAGTTCCTACTCACCATAAAGCCTCCACTAACAGTGTGGTTGGGGTGACCTCTTTACTGTTAGTGGTGAAAATATTAACTCTCCACCTGGCCTGTGCTGTCAGCACCCTTTCAGAAAGAGGTGAGAGATTCTCATTGCTGCTGGGTGAAGGTAGAAGCTCATGTCAGTTGTGTCAACTAATACGGGGAATGGGGTTGCTGACTCACTATTGGCCAGTAGCAATGTACGTCCTGGCTTTCTACTTGGCTTTCTCTGAGAATCTTCTGTTGGGGTTAGAGCACCTTGTCACAGCCTCTAAACTGTAGCTGTGTAACCTCCCCATGCAACCTTTAGCAGTGTAGGTAGGGATGGGGTAGGCTCATGTTTTTCTTTCTGTGGCATCAGGCTGTAGTAGTGAGGTTATTGACTAAAAGTCTGTGGCCTTAATAACCTGCCATTTCTCTAGAGAAAGCAGGGATTTTTGTCTTCTTGTCTTTGCCTGTTGGTGTTTCTGGGCTGCCAGTTTTTTTGACTCCAAGTTTGGTATATATGAATCAAAAATAAATCCTAGAGAATTCACCACGGTATAGTGTCTTGGGCCTTGAGGTCCATAGCCAGTCTACCTTCTTCTGCTTACCTGTAGGAGCCTTCTTATGTTGGTTTTGTATGTGATCAAAGGGGAGGCTGAGGCAGGTGGATCACCCGAGGTCGGGAGTTTGAGAGCAGCCTGGCCAACATGGAGAAACCCCATCTCTATTAAAAATACAAAATTAGCCAGGCATGGTGGCTCATGCCTGTAGTCCCAGCTACTCAGGAGGATGAGGCAGGGGAATCGCTTGAACCCAGGAGGCAGAGATTGCAGTGAGCCGAGATCGCTCCATTGCACTCCAGCCTGGGCAACAAGAGCAAAACTCTGAAAAAAAAAAAAAAAAAAAAAGAAGGAAAGGAAGGATGTTATCAACTTGACCATTTCTATGAAAACTCATCCACTGGGGACCCTCCAGAACAGTGAATATGCACCCTAGAGTTGTATCTTTGAAAAGTTTATGGATGTTTCATTCATTCACCATTTCTCATTCTTCATGAATCCCAGTGCTGGGATTACAGGCATGAGCCACCATGCCTGGCCGATAGCATATTCTTTAAATGCTTTAAGTGCTTTTGCTTTTTCCCTTTCTTCCGCTGTCTGCTCACTTAATGTTACTTCTTAAAATGCATCACAAATAAACCACCTGTAGTCAAATCTTTGTCTCAGACTTTGTTTTGAGAAACCAAAATGTTTAGATACAATCATCTTATTCATATATTTCATTTCACATATGAAGTATTTGTAAACCAAAATATTTCTGTTTATCTTCAGTGATAAAGTCATTCATACTAGGACAGCTTCAGGTGTAGTAGCTGTAACAGTTTGTACAAGAAATAATTATATGGTCAAATATCTTGAATATCATCATGCATTTTGCTAAAGCATAAAGAACATGAGTTCCAGGTAAATACTGTAGTGACAGTCTTTTCTGTACTTCCTTGCCATTTGAATTCCTGTCAATAAATGTGACAGCAAGGATAAAATTCATAAAAAAATTTAGCCACAGTTTCCGACGTGACAGAAGAAATGATGTGTAAGTTACCTTTATGTCCACAAAAACCAGCAAAGTGTCCAGCAGAAACATTGATTCTTAATAAGTGTCTGCTATTGGATATTTTAAATCATGTTTACTAGGTGGCAGCATTAATAGAGATTTAAATCACATCCGAGTTAATCATTTCATCTGTCTTGCATGTTGTAGTTCATTAAGTGATTATAATACTCATTCTGCAGTTCTTATGTATCCTTTTTTTCCTCTGAATTTAAAAGCATTTGTTTCCACTAATAATTATTAATATATTATGGGCAGCAAATATAGCAACCTTAATAGAACTGATCATCTTTATGCCCGTTTTATGTCACCCATTCTCTACTCAACAGTAGCCAGAATTTTAGTTTATCTGAAAGGTCTGACTTGTGAATTAACAATTCAGATTTTCTTCCCTGGATGATCCACATCCCTGGTTACCATGATTTTTGGGGGTAAAATTTCTCAATTTTCTATTTATACTTTTCAGTGGTCATGTAAGAAGCAAGACTCACCCCAATGAATACTTCGCATTCCAGAATACTCAGCCTTGTCCCATTATCGAACTGTAAACTTACGCCCCCATACTGAGTAAATTATTTATTCCAGTAAAATAACTCATTTATTTTCCTACCAGCCTATTAACATGGGAAGACCCAGATATAGCAACTGCAGCTTTATGTTTAGTGAAACATTATGTCATCTCGTGGTATTATCTCCCACCAGGAGCCAGAAACTCAAAGCCAGAAGGGCATTAAGTTGTGGAGACAAGAAGCATATATTAGCCACATATGTCAATGGAAATCTTTCTGAGAAGGGCAATTTCTTGGAATTCCAGCAACCAGGAATGCAGCATTATATGATGTCTCTTGGTTCCAAGTATAGGTTACATTTTGCAGAATAATGGCTAACTACCAGAGTGTCATTTCCTAGCTCTTAAGCTGAGACTTCAAGGATCCATGTCCATAATCTATCAGGGGAATCTCACCCTTTAAGTTAAGATGTGCAATCAATGCAAAATATCATGTAATGAATAATATTTCCTGTCTGTAGCAAGGAGACATTTTAAATGTTAATTTTAAAGTGGCTACTGAATATGTTCAGGAACACCAAATTTCCAGTGCTAATGAATTGCCTGGTGCAGCAAACTGTGATAGAATGCCAAAATGTATCTCAATATTAATTGCACATAGTAAAAATATCAACGTGATGCTACAGGGATAAAGAAAATTGCAGGAATATGTCATAAGTATGAGATGTACAAGACTTCCATATTAATTTCTCAAGCATACCTGTGAATATTAGGATCTGTATATTTCTCTTAACTGAAAATCTGTGATACCATCAATTATTAATATAAATGGAACAAACTATTGCCATTTATTAGGAGAAAATATATACTGTAAACTGAAAGCTGAAACAGGACTAGATAATATATCCTGAGAATAGGATCCAGAAGTTGCATTATTCACCTATCAGACGGCAACAAGGATCCCAATGCTAGTCATAATCGTGGGTCCTAAGAACCCCTGAAAAGCTGGATTTACTAACATTTTCATATGTGGTAGATGGGAATGGGGTTATATGGAAGATGACACCCTGGATTCTGCAATTGGCAAGTATTTAAAGTGTATGGGAGAAATGGTAATAGACTTATATGTTTGATTTAGGTACATGGAAAAAAATTAGATAACAATGCAGAACATTGGAAATGACTGTAGAGGTAGACAGAATTTCTCTAGCTTCTGTTTTCTTGACACATTTTTCAAATATGAGAAAACAGCAAGTGGATGAACTTCTGTCTGAAGTACTCTGACAGAAGCCTTCTTCTAGAGGGCATAGACAATACCAGAGCTTTTGTTATTTTCACAGGAGTGGAGCCAGAGAAATTGGGTCTCTAGAGGTTAGGATTCTAATGTGAAGAGATGTGTGGATAAATGACCTCAACACATGTATGAAAATGCAAGTTTTATTTATTTGCCTAGGTATGATGAGACCAAAAGACCAGGAGACAACTGCCAAAGGTTATTATAACTCCAGATCCAAAGGGAAAGGGACACATGACACTATGGGGGAGACACATGGAAAAGCACCAAGGTTGGTCAGGAGGAAGATGGACTGTGCTGAAAATGCAGGCAAGAGCTTTTATTGTGGTTTTTGCAGGAAGAAATGGGCAAGGTAGTGTAAGCAGGCTTAGAATTGGCTAGTTTGAGCAATTTTGGCAGGCTCCATTGTGTAGGAGCTCTTCCTAGTTGTCTGGTATCTGGCTCTGGGGTAATTAGGGCAAGGAAATCATGGCCCAGACTGTGAGAGCATGATTTTAAAATGTGGTTGGGGATATGGGTTCTGGGTTAGTTTAGTTTGCCTTTGAAAAGCATGTTTGCATGTGAGTTCTTTGTATCTTTGGGAATTGATAAATCTTGGGAGAAGCAGTCTGTCCAGGATCAGCAAGACCCTAATATGTGAAAACATTAAAAATACAAAAAATTTACAAAGCATAATTAGTGTGACTCACAGTTGGTTTTCCCTTCTTTTTTTTTTGCCATTATTTGAAATATAGGGTGGGATTCTAAGAATCTAAGTAGATAATCTTCTTAATTTCAGTTAATAGTTGTTTTTAATAGAAGATTAAATGAAATAGAAGTGTTGACTAATTGATTAATAAACTGGAAGACAAGAAAGTCAAAAAAATCCAGAATCCTTGTAGAGAAAAATTCCATAGATTGTTTAGAACAGAGTGTAAGAGCTTATATAAGATACAATGAGAAAATTTAATATATGTTAATTAAGTTCTAAAATGAGAAAAGAGGAAAATAATATGACAGAAGAAATACGGAAAGTCACCAAATATTCTCCAAAGCTGAAGAAAGTTATTAAAGTACAGATTTGAGAACTTCAATAAACCTTAGTTGGAATATGCACAAAGTAAACCACACTAAGGCGTATCAGGATAAACACAACCAACAACTTAAAGCAAAAGCAACAGCCAGAAAAAAAAATCATTTCCTTCAAAGCAACAATAATAATGACAAACTCATTTTTTTTTTTTTTGAGACAGAGTTTTCCTCTTGTTGCCCAGGTTGGCGTGCACTGACGTGATCTTAGCTTGCTGCAACCTCCACCTCCCAAGTTTAAGCATTTCTTCTGCCTCAGCCTCCCAAGTAGCTGGGATTACAGGCACCCGCCATCACACCGGGCTAATTAGGTATTTTTAGTAGAGACGGGGTTTCACCATGTTGGTCATACTGAGCTCAAACTCCTGACCTCAGGTGAGCCACATACCTCGGCCTCCCAAAGTACTGGGATTACAGGCTTGAGCCGCTGCACCTGGCCACAACAAATAAATTTTTAATAGCAGTAATGAAAGCTCAAAATTAATGGAACAAGATCTTTATTTATTTTTATTTTTTAATTTTTTTTATTTTTTTGTATTTTTATTTTTATTTTTTTATTATTATTATACTTTAAGTTTTAGGGTACATGTGCACAATGTGCAGGTTAGTTACATATGTATACATGTGCCATGCTGGTGTGCTGCACCCATTAACGTGACATTTAGCATTAGGTATATCTCCTAATGCTATCCCTCCCCCGACCCCACAACAGTCCCCGGAGTGTGATGTTCGCCTTCCTGTGTCCGTGTGTTCTCATTGTTCAATTCCCACCTATGAGTGAGAACATGCTGTGTTTGGTTTTTTGTCCCTGCAATAGTTTACTTAGAATGATGATTTCCAATTTCATCCATGTCCCTACAAAGGACATGAACTCATCATTTTTTATGGCTGCATAGTATTCCATGGTGTATATGTGCCACATTTTCTTAATCCAGTCTATCATTGTTGGACATTTGTATTGCTATTGTGAATAATGCCGCAATAAACATACGTGTACATGTGTCTTTATAGCAGCATGATTTATAGTCCTTTGGGTATATACCCAGTAATGGGATGGCTGGGTCAAATGGTATTTCTAGTTCTAGATCCCTGAGGAATCGTCACACTGACTTCCACAATGGTTGAACTAGTTTACAGTCCCACCAACAGTGTAAAAGTGTTCCTATTTCTCCACATCCTCTCCAGCACCTGTTGTTTCCTGACTTTTTAATGATTGCCATTCTAACTGGTGTGAGATGCTATCTCATTGCGGTTTTGATTTGCATTTCTCTGATGGCCGGTGAGGGTGAGCATTTTTTCATGTGTTTTTTGGCTGCATAAATGTCTTCTTTTGAGAAGTGTCTCTTCATGTCCTTCACCCACTTTTTGATGGGGTTGTTTGTTTTTTTCTTGTAAATTTGTTTGAGTTCATTGTAGATTCTGGATATTAGCCCTTTATCAGATGAGTAGGTTGTGAAAATTTTCTCCCATTTTGTAGGTTGCCTGTTCACTCTGATGGTAGTTTCTTTTGCTGTGCAGAAGCTCTTTAGTTTAATGAGATCCCATTTGTCAATTTTGGCTTTTGTTGCATTGATTTTGGTGTTTTAGACATGAAGTCCTTGCCCATGCTATGTCCTGAATGGTAATGCCTAGGTTTTCTTCTAGGGTTTTTATGGTTTTAGGTCTAACATTTAAGTCTTTAATCCATCTTGAATTAATTTTTGTATAAGGTGTAAGGAAGGGATCCAGTTTCAGCTTTCTACATATGGCTAGCCAGTTTTCCAAGCACCATTTATTAAATAGGGAATCCTTTCCCCATTTCTTGTTTTTGTCAGGTTTGTCAAAGATCAGATGGTTGTAGATATGCGGCATTATTTCTGAGGGCTCTGTTCTTTTCCATCAGTCTATATATCTATTTTGGTACCAGTACCATGCTGTTTTGGTTACTGTAGCCTTGTAGTACAGTTTGAAGTCAGGTAGCGTGATGCCTCTTTGTTCTTTTGGCTTAGGATTGACTTGGCAATGTGGGCTCTTTTTTTGGTTCCATATGAACTTTAAAGTAGTTTTTTCCAATTCTGTGAAGAAAGTCATTGGTAGCTTGATGGGGATGGCATTGAATCTATAAATTACCTTGGGCAGTATGGCCATTTTCACGATATTGATTCTTCCTACCCATGAGCATGGAATGTTCTTCCATTTGTTTGTATCCTCTTTTATTTCATTGAGCAGTGGTTTGTAGTTCTCCTTGAAGAGGTCCTTCATGTCCCTTGTAAGTTGGATTCCTAGGTATTTTATTCTCTTTGAAGCAATTGTGAATGGGAGTTCACTCATGATTTGGCTCTCTGTTTGTCTGTTATTGGAGTATAAGAATGCTTGTGATTTTTGTACATTGATTTTGTATCCTGAGACTTTGCTGGAGTTGCTTATCAGCTTAAGGAGATTTTGGGCTGAGACAATTGGGTTTTCTAGATATACAATAATGTCGTCTGCAAACAGGGACAATTTGACTTCCTCTTTTCCTAATTGAATACCCTTTATTTCCTTCTCCTGCCTAATTGCCCTGGCCAGAACTTCCAACACTGTATTGAATAGGAGTGGTGAGAGAGGGCATCCCTGTCTTGTGCCAGTTTTCAAAGGGAATGCTTCCAGTTTTTGCCCATTCAGTATGATATTGGCTGTGGGGTTGTCATAGATAGCTCTTATTATTTTGAGATATGTCCATTCAATACCTAATTTATTGAGAGTTTTTAGCATGAAGGGTTGTTGAATTGTGTCAAAGGCCTTTTCTGCGTCTATTGAGATAATCATGTGGTTTTTGTCTTTGGTTCTGTTTATATGCTGGATTACACTCATTGATTTGTGTATATTGAACCAGCCTTGCATCCCAGGGATGAAGCCCACTTGATCATGGTGGATAAGCTTTTTGATGTGCTTCTGGATTCAGTTTGCCAGTATTTTACTGAGGATTTTTGCATCAATGTTCATCAAGGATATTGGTCTAAAATTCTCTTTTTTGGTTGTGTCTCTGCCCGGCTTTGATATCAGGATGATGCTGGCCTCATAAAATGAGTTAGGGAGGATTCCCTCTTTTTCTATTGATTGGAATAGTTTCAGAAGGAATGGTACCAGTTCCTCCTTGTACCTCTGGTAGAATTCGGCTGTGAATCCATCTGGTCCTGGACTCTTTTTGGTTGGTAAGCGATTGATTATTGCCACAATTTCAGATCCTGCTATTGGTCTATTCAGAGATTCAACTTCTTCCTGGTTTAGTCTTGGGAGAGTGTGTGTGTCAACGAATTTATCCATTTCTTCTAGATATTCTAGTTTATTTGCATAGAGGTGTTTGTAGTATTCTCTGATGGTAGTTTGTATTTCTGTGGGATCAGTGGTGATATCCCCTTTATCATTTTTTATTGTGTCTATTTGATTCTTCTCTCTTTTTTTCTTTATTAGTCTTGCTAGTGGTCTATCAATTTTGTTGATCCTTTCAAAAAACCAGCTCCTGGATTCATTAATTTTTTGAAGGGTTTTTTGTGTCTCTATTTCCTTCAGTTCTGCTCTGATTTTAGTTATTTCTTGCCTTCTGCTAGCTTTTGAATGTGTTTGCTCTTGCTTTTCTAGTTCTTTTATTTGTGATGTTAGGGTGTCAATTTTGGATCTTTCCTGCTTTCTCTTGTGGGCATTTAGTGCTATAAATTTCCCTCTACACACTGCTTTGAACGCGTCCCAGAGATTCTGGTATGTTGTGTCTTTGTTCTCATTGGTTTCAAAGAAAATCTTTATTTCTGCCTTCATTTCGTTATGTACCCAGTAGTCATTCAGGAGCAGGTTGTTCAGTTTCCATGCAGTTGAGCGGTTTGAGTGAGTTTCTTAATCCTGAGTTCTAGTTTGATTGCACTGTGGTCTGAGAGACAGTTTGTTATAATTTCTGTTCTTTTACATTTGCTGAGGAGAGCTTTACTTTCAAGTATGTGGTCAATTTTGGAATAGGTCTGGTGTGGTGCTGAAAGAATGTGTATTCTGTTGATTTGGGGTGGAGAGTTCTGTAGATGTCTATTAGGTCTGCTTGGTGCAAAGCTGAGTTCAATTCCTGGGTATCCTTGTTAACTTTCTGTCTCGTTGATCTGTCTAATGTTGACGGACGGGTGTTAAAGTCTCCCATTATTATTGTGTGGGAGTCTAAGTCTCTTTGTAGGTCACTGAGGACTTGCTTTATGAATCTGGGTGCTCCTGTATTGGGTGCATATATATTTAGGACAGTTAGCTCTTCTTGTTGAATTGACCCCTTTTCCATTATGTAATGGCCTTCTTTGTCTCTTTTGATCTTTGTTGGTTTAAAGTCTGTTTTATGAGAGACTAGGATTGCAACCCCTGCCTTTTTTTGTTTTCCATTTGCTTGGTAGATCTTCCTCCATCCTTTTATTTTGAGCCTATGTGTGTCTCTGCACATGAGATGGCTTTCCTGAATACAGCACACTGATGGGTCTTGACTCTTTATCGAATTTGCCAGTCTGTGTCTTTTAATTGGAGGATTTAGTCCATTTACATTTAAAGTTAATATTGTTATGTGTGAATTTGATCCTGTCATTATGATGTTAGCTGGTTATTTTGCTCGTTAGTTGATGCAGTTTCTTCCTAGTCTCGATGGTCTTTACATTTTGGCATGATTTTGCAGCAGCTGGTACCAGTTGTTCCTTTCCATGTTTAGTGCTTCCCTGAGGAGCTCTTTTAGGGCAGGCCTGGTGGTGCCAAAATCTCTCAGCATTTGCTTGTCTGTAAAGTATTTTATTTCTCCTTCACTTACAAAGCTTAGTTTGGCTGGATATGAAATTCTGGGTTGAAAATTCTTGTCTTTAAGAATGTTGAATATTGGCCCCCACTCTCTTCTGGCTTGTAGAGTTTCAGCCAAGAGATCCGCTGCTAGTCTGATGGGCTTCCCTTTGTAGGTAACCCGACCTTTCTCTCTGGCTGCCCTTAACATTTTTTTCCTTTATTTCAACTTTGGTGAATCTGACAATTATGTGTCTTGGAGTTGCTCTTCTCGAGGGGTATCTTTGTGGCGGTCTCTGTATTTCCTGAATCTGAATGTTGGCCTGCCTTGCTAGATTGGGGAAGTTCTCCTGGATATTATCCTGCAGAGTGTTTTCCAACTTGGTTCCATTCTCCCCGTCACTTTCAGGTATTGCAGTCAGACGTAGATTTGGTGTTTTCACATAGTCCCATATTTGTTGGAGGCTTTGTTCATTTCTTTTTATTCTTTTTTCTCTAAACTTCCCTTCTCACTTCATTTCATTCATTTCATCTTGCATCACTGATACTCTTTCTTCCAGTTGATCGCATCGGCTCCTGAGGCTTCTGCATTCTTCACATAGTTCTCGAGCCTTGGCTTTTAGCTCCATCAGCTCCTTTAAGCACTTCTCTGTATTGGTTATTCTAGTGATACATTCGTCTTAATTTTTTTCATAGTTTTCAACATCTTTGCCTTTGGTTTGAATTTCCTCCTGTAGCTCGGAGTAGTTTGATCGTCTGAAGCCTTCTTCTCTCAACTCGTCAAAGTCATTCTCCGTCCAGCTTTGTTCCATTGCTGTTGAGGAACTGCATTCCTTTGGAGGAGGAGAGGCGCTCTGCTTTTTACAGTTTCCAGTTTTTCTGCTCTGTTTTTTCCCCATCTTTGTGGTTTTATCTACTTTTGTGGTTTTATCTACTTTGATGATGGTGATGTACAGATGGGTTTTTGGTGTGGATGTCCTTTCTGTTTGTTAGTTTTCCTTCTAACAGAAAGGACCCTCAGCTGCAGGTCTGTTGGAGTTTGCTAGAGGTCCACTCCAGACCCTGTTTGCCTGGGTATCAGCAGCAGTGTCTGCAGAACAGCAGATTTTCGTGAACTGCGAATGCTGCTGTCTGATCGTTACTCTGGAAGTGTTGTCTCAGAGGAGTACCCGGCCCTGTGAGGTGTCAGTCTGCCCCTACTGGGGTGTGCCTCCCAGTTAGGCTGCTCAGGGGTCAGGGGTCAGGGACCCACTTGAGGAGGCAGTCTGCCTGTTCTCAGATCTCCAGCTGCGTGCTGGGAGAACCACTGCTCTCTTCAAAGCTGTCAGACAGGGACATTTAAGTCTGCAGAGGTTACTGCTGTCTTTTTGTTTGTCTGTGCCCTGCCGCCCAGTGGTGGAGCCTACAGAGGCAGGCAGGCCTCCTTGAGCTGTGGTGGGCTCCACCCAGCTTGAGCTTCCCGGCTGCTTTGTTTACCTAAGCAAGCCTGGGCAATGGCAGGCACCCCTCCCCCAGCCTCGCTGCCGCCTTGCAGTTTGATCTCAGACTGCTGTGCTAGCAATCAGTGAGACTACGTGGGTGTAGGACCCTCCGAGCCAGGTGCGGGATATAATCTCCTGGTGCACCGTTTTTTAAGCCCGTTGGCAAAGCGCTGTATTCGGGTGGGAGTGACCCGATTTTCCAAGTGCCATCTGTCACCCCTTTCTTTGACTAGGAAAGGGAACTCCCTGACCCCTTGCGCTTCCTGAGTGAGGCAATGCCTCACCCTGCTTCAGCTCATGCACAGTGCGCTGCACCCACTGTCCTGCGCCCACTGTCTGGCAGTTCCTAGTAAGATGAACCTGGTACCACAGATGGAAATGCAGAAATCACCCGTCTTCTGCGTCGCTCACTCTGGGAGCTGTAGACCGGAGCTGTTCCTATTCAGCCATCTTGGCTCCTCTCCCTGCTCATCGGAACAAGATCTTTAAAGGGCTTGGAGAAAAAAATTGACAACAAAAACAAAGAATTCATTGCTAATACACCAATACTAAAAGAAATACTAAAATGATTCTTTGGAAAAAAGAAAAAGTATTTTAGATAAACCCATCAAATATCCAAAAGGTTAAATATGTGGATAAAATTAAGTAAATATCAATTCAAAAGAATAGTTATAATTATAATAAGAATGAATGCCTTTGGCTTTAAATATTTACATATGATTAAAATGCAGAGTAATGACACAAGAGAAAGCATTAAGAATTCTAAGGTTATAGAAAAATCAAGGAGTTGTTGAAGTAAAGATTTCTATTAGGTTCTAATTATTCAGGAATATGTGATGCAATATCATCTATTTCAACTTCTGGGCTATAAAAAGTGCAGGAATGTTTAATCAACATATTAATAGAGGAAGGAAATAAATATATTTGATTAAATCAAAAGAGGATATGAAAAGAGACAAAATACATATATAGCAGATGTATCAAATAGAAAACAAATAGATAAGAGATATAACCACAATATTGAACTCATTTCAAATGGAAATAGACAAAATACTTTAAAACAAATATTGCTAAACTGGTTAAGTCTAACAACTATGCTCTAAAACATTAGACGTTAGGGATTTGACTGAATTAAACATTCAATAACAACCATTTGTGTTACAAGAAATAATGAAAATGAAGCTATAAACAAACCAGGAATAGGCACTTCATTAATGTGAATAGGATTATGTACAAAAATTATTCAGAAATCATTATTCTTGATGAATTAGTAAGAGCACTTCCCTGAAGATAGGGAATGAGGAAAGGCTGTAATTGTCTTCATTTCACATTTCAATGGACAGCCTTGTCAGAACAATATGATGGTGAAAATGTTAAATTTATAATGACTAGAATGTAAGAAAATAAATTGGCATTATTCACAGAAGGTTGGTGGTGTGTGTAGTAATCCAAAAAATTTTATGGATAAACTGTTAGAGATAATAAATTTTCATTATAACATGATTACAATTAGAAATGTAGTATATCTGAAAAAAATTTAAAATTACAATTGGTATAACTTATGCTTGCACCAATAAGCATAAGCAGCTAGGAATAAATTTAATAAGTGATGAGTGAGACCTCTCTATTAAAATAATGCAAAAGAAGTACTACCTAATAGAGGGCTACATCATGTTCATTGTTTGGAAGATTCAACTTTTTTTGAGAGTTAGTTGTTCTTGTTCTGTTGCCTAGGCTGAAGTGCAGAGGCATTGTCATGGCTCACTGCAGCCTCCCCCTTCTGGGCTCAAGTTATCCTCCCACCCGGGCCTCCCAAGTAACTAGGACTATAGGTGTGTGCCACCATGCCCAGCTATTTTTTTTTTTTTGGTAGAGACAGGATCTCACTATATTGCCCAGGCTGGTCTCAAATTCCTGGCCTCCCACCTTGGCCTCACAAAGTGCTGGGATCATAGGCATGAGCCACCAAGCCCAGCAGGATTCAACATTTTTAATGTGTTGCTGCTTCCAAAATCCTTCCATGCATTTAATGCACTTACAATTAGATTTATAGCATGTGTTCTTTGGCTGGAAATGACAAATGGATATTAAAAATCATATGCAAATTTAAAGGCAAGAATAGTTATGACAATGATAAAGAAGAATGAATCTGCAGGCATTACAATACAGATACAAGATTTTTAAAGCTATAGTTGTTAATATAATGTGGTAACGCAAACTAGATATGCTACCACATGGAACATAATAATATCTAGAAACAGACCCTTTAAATACAGTTAGTTTATGATAGAAGTGATACGTACAAAGGAGATACATAAGTACAAAGGAGATAGCATGATATTTTCAATTAATGATGCTGTGGAAATTTGATATTTAAATGGAAGTACAATGTAGTTTTTATATATGTATGTGTGTGTACATAGATGAATGCCTCTTTTACAGTCATGCCATACACAAAAATCAATTTAGGATGAACTATAGATCTAAATACAAAATGTAAGTCTACCGTTTCTTGAAGATAACATAGACACACTTCATGCCATTGAGGGAGACAATAATTTCTTAAATACTATAAAAAGTACTACCTAGAAGTGAAAAAATGATAAACTGGAAAATATTGAGTTTTTTTCCCTTAAAACAAATCATTACATGAGTGAATAAAAAGCTATTATGTGGGAGAAGATATTTTCAAGGTATACACATGAAAAAAGACAGATAATATAGGATAGATAGATATATAGACAGACAGCAAAACAGACAGATACATACTTCCTAGGGAGACAGATTCCTATACATAAAAAATATTCCCTGGAGATAATTTTGTCCCTACTTTTTCACACAGTCTTTCCTGATGTGTTCTATGTGATTAATAACATATTCTTTTGTTTGATTTTTTCCCATCATTAAATGGCAGCACACTAAAAAAAAAAAATGTAGAGACAGACAAGCCAATAGAAACATGAACAAAAATGTAATCAGGCACTACACAAAAGGAAATGCCTAACTGGCCAATAATAAATGAAGTTTCTCAACATTTTCAGTGGGGGAAATGAGAATATATATGTGCCTCTCCCCAAGAAAAATAAAACCAGTCAATAGGCAAAGTATATTAAAACTGTGAATTCATTTCTTAAGATCGGTGGAATCCTTTATCACAGAGCAATAAATTGCCCTTTGGTGAGTACTAAATGATAGTGGGTTTATGCAGAAGCTAATTTAGATAATTAATTCTACCACATAAGTGTTAGATACACACTTTTTTGGCACAGAGCAATAGACAAATACATATTATTCTGTAAAATTCATTTTATAACCCATCTTAATCAAGTTCTGTGTGCTACTATAAGATGCAATAGCATTAGAGCAGATTTTGGCATCTGAGAACCAATTATTTATGTGATTAAACAACCTTAAAACTCCCAGAGCATTTTAATAATCAAGAATGTTTTGTAAAACATTAGCATAATAAAAATGATCTTAGTGAAAAATACTAATATGAGAATGTAATGGATGCAAGACACTGTTCTAAGAGCTTTACAGGTATTAATTTATTTAATACAATCATACTATGAAGTTGGTCACATTACATTTTCTGTTTTACAGATAACAGTGTTGAGGCAGAGAAGTTTCATAATCTGCCTAAGATCATTGCATTTACAAGTGACGAACCCACTGCACAAATTTTGGCAGTATGTTTTTCATTAATTAGCATTTACTATCTGCATTTTAGAGTTAATTCTGTTTTATTGTTCTGTATTTATTTTCTCATCTTATTTCATCTGCAGTCTGTTCACTAATATACCATGAATTTTAAATATTAATAGTGAAATTAACAATGACTGGTAGTTTAAATTTTGGCTCACTGAAAATGAAATTGAAAATGACTTTGTGTAACTTTTTGTATTTTTGAATATTTTATACCTTCACTAAAGTAATGCAAATTCCACAAGCAGTAGAATAACACCTCACAAATCTTTCTGCTACATATACAACAAACAGAGAATTTATTAAAGTTTCTTACATTTTACCATTGCCAAATAAAAGCTGTTTGTAACAGGTTCACGTAATCTCATTAATTTTTAGACTCCAGTGGGAATAAAATTTGCAGATCATTAAATTTTTACTTCTTTTCTCTGAAATATCTCTAAATTGTTGTTTCTTTGTCTGTGGAAAGTAATAATATTATTTCACATTTTCACATAATATTTACAAAAATGCTACATTTTATAGCTATTCTCTCGATATGCCTGAATTTTAACCAAGAAAACAGTTTCTGAAGATTTCATTACCTCAAAAATATTTGACAGGCTTGCTCTTTATGATAAGTAGAATGATGAAGATGATGATAATTTTATTAACCAAAACTATTTTTTTTTTTTTGCAGATGACAGAAACTTCATCTGCATTGGCTTCGGCAAAGCAGAAATTTATTAGCTTACAAGGTAAATGGGGGAATTAAGTAACCAAATTTTGGGAAGAGTAAGGATGCAGCTAAGCCTTAGCATCAATGGGACAAGAATTTCAGACACCACAGGAATCTACCTCTATCATCTACCTGTCTTTGATATTGTTTAGAAATCTCTAATTCTGGCATGTGTTTTGCACATATTAAGGATCATATAACTAAGAACTCTCAGACCTCATGACTCACAGCATTTGCTACTTCGGAAGCACCCCTATTTCAGTTTTAAAATACTCAGAAAATCTATATGATGTTCCTACCTGGGTCTGCTGCTCGGCTTTGGGCAATGAGCTCACGTAATGGTGTCATGTGTGAAAATGGGACAGCCCATGAGAACCATAGGACTGGAATGATATAATAAGGAATGTCTAGGCTGGGCACAGTGGCTCATGCCTGTAATCCCAGCAGTTTGGGAGGCCAAGGCGAGCAGATCACCTGAGGTCAGGAGTTTCAGACCAGCCTGACCAACATGGTAAAACCCCGTCTCTACTAAAAATACAAAAAATTGGCCGGGCGTGGTAGCTCATGCCTGTAATCCCAGCTACTCAGGAGGCTGAGGCAGGAGAATCTCTTGAACCCATTTTGAAATCAGCCATTTCTGCAAGGCTGCCTGCTCCTTTTAGTAGAGGATGGTATTTAGATACCAATACCCAGAAACTAGATGTGCTCAGTGCTTCTATGGCCTCCCAATAGACGGAACTGAGAAATATGTACAAATAGCTAGATATGCAGATATACAGTTTGATTCTTACTGCTCTTGGGTGTTGTATTTGTGAATCCACTTCCTTGCTAAAATTTATTTGAAACCCCAAAATCAATACTCATGATGCTTTTGCTTTATTCATGGACGTGCTCAAAGTGACAAAAAATTTGAGACACCCCATGATGGTGTTCCCAGTTGAGATCAACTAAGGCAATTTTCTCCCTTCTTGTTTCCATACTATAAACAAGTGTCCCCTTTGTGATCTGTTTAGTGCTACATTTTTCACATCTTGATTTTTTGGTGATTTTGCTATTTAAAATGGACCCCCAGGGTAGTGCTGAAGTGCTGTCTAATGTTCTTAAACGCAAGAAGCCTGTGATATGACTTACAGAGAAAACGTGTTAGATAAACTCCATTCAGGTACGAGCTATAGTGCTGTTGTTGACTATGAATCAACAATATATATTCAATAAAGTGTCTTTAAGCAGAAAGACACCTAAAACAAGGTTATGTAATGATCAGCTGACAAAAACGTGACCAGAGCCTCACAGGAACCTAACTCTATATTTTCCCTAAAAACAATGGTTTTAGTTTCTGCTAATTCCATTTTCACAGCAACTTTTATAGAACATAATACTTCAAATAATAAAAGTCTATTATGTATATACTTTTATACACATACATATATAACCATTTCTATTTGTCTGTGTGTATTCGTGTCTGTGTATGTATACATAAAGCTCATGAGTTCATATCAATATTTATAATTTCAATGGAACACATTGGGGTTCTTTTCAACCATCTTTCTTTGCCATAATTATGAATCTATTCTCAGACAACAATGATAAACCTGATTCCCACACCATCAATATACTTACAATAAGTACAAAGTACAAGTATACATTGTGAATACTTATGTATACTCACAAATATTTTGGCATCTCTTTGGCCATACCCTTCACAGGCCCCATCTTGTCCATGCACCTGTCTGCTTCCTTGGCTTCAGAGCATTGCCTCCAAGTCCTCTACAGCACAACTTTCCCTTCAGCATCCAACCTTATGATGTACTGGGATATTGTGTTGCCCCTCTCCCCTCTCTACCTGTGCTGGGCTTTAAGGCTGACACACCTATAAACCCCAGGAGTGGAGGGAAGGTAAGAAGGAAAAGGGTGATGTTAAAAAAAAAAAAGATTGAAAAGGAGATAAGATGACAAGAACATGCAGTGAATATTTATGGCATGTTTACCTCTAAGGGAACATAATTTCACAAAGTTTCTGTTACAAACAACAAATGTATTTAATCTGTCAGTTATAAAGATACTAACATATATGAAAATTTGGACGCAATGTCAAAAGGTAGAGTGTATATTGAAGGGTAAAAATATAGAATGCAGGCAATTGTACACATATGCTAGTTAAGCTCCCTGTAAGTGCTATATATAGGACTGTAGTGACATATGAGGCAACCGCCAGACCTAAGACTTAGTTGCTTACTTCAATGGATCATAATATGTTAATCAAATATTGATTTTTAGTAATTATTTGAAATTTGGATTAAAATATTTATCTAAGTAAAGTCTCATAGATAGATGTTAAAGCAAAGAAAAAACACTACATAAAACATATAATTGTGCAGGTGAGAAAACTGCACATGTGTAATACATAAACCTGCCAAACATGTGAATTAGGTAGCAGACTTTACAAAACTGCTACAAATTAGAGGTGGCTAATACTTTAACATATCTTTAATTACTTTATATTGTATTAATAAATAGTGAAAAAGAGAAATTTTAAAATAACCTATCTTGTTTCTTACATTATTTAAAACCATTATATTATTACAAATCAGGTAACGTAAGTGCTGGAAGTCCAATTAATATGTGTGTTTCTAATTGTCTTCATTAATTAAATGTTTGAAGTCAAATGCATATATACAGCCAAATCCAGAGATTCTTAGAAAATTAAAAGCTTAGTGATCTAGTAATTTTGATGGATAAATCAATTGCATAGACGGGAAAATGAAGCCTTAAGGCAGCTCTTGAAAAAATGCAAGGCAAACAAGCAAACGAACGCCTTTTTATTCATACAGGTGTGTGTGTGTGTGTGTTTGATTGATTTTACCTCCTTGATTTTTTTTCAAGGCCTTGGCTAAGTATAAACCAACATATGTATACATGCCTTCTTTTTTATAGTAGAAATACACCTGCATTTTCATGAATCATACAAAATGTTGAGACACAAGAAAGAAATTGTGAAAAAGAGTGATAATACAGTGGATTCATTAAATGAAATTCCGGGCATTTATTTCAAAATGGCATTGAGATCAAGTGCATATTCTGCCATAATTTGAAATTTTTTATTTCGCATGTCATAATTTTAAAAATAATGTGACATATTAGTATTCATATTTTCTCAGGATATATGACCTATAGTGAAAAATTAAACTTGGAGTTAAAAAATTATTTGGAAAAAATAAAGCACTTAGTGAAAGATTAATATTCATTCATATAAAACATCTAAAATCTCAGCATATTTTCAAATAATTCTACTCTACATAATGCTAGAAGAAAGTGACATCATTTTAAGGATAGGGAAAAATCTTTACCTTTCATAGTTAGAATACATTGAGTTTCTGTTCTTTGGAAAAACTTCTCATATTTAGCATGCTGGTAGTACTAGTGTTAATATTAACAGAAATTATAAAAGTAGCAGAAATTAATGAGCACTTACCATGTTCTAAGCACTTTGCTAAGTACTTTATATTATTACCTCATTTGATCCTCATGATAACATTAAATGGATCTTATAACTGCTCCCATTTTACAGATGAGGCAATCGGAACAGCAGGGTTGAATTGACTTGTCCAACATGCTAGCATGTGGTGGAAGTCTGGTTTCAAACCCATTAAATAGGACTCAAGAGTCTGTGTAGGATGCCATTCTGCCATTCCTTCTCTTCATATCATTGAAATGTATGATGAATTATAATCATTTAAAATAAACATGTAACCTACTTTATTTCATGCATATTTTCTTAAAATGTTAAATAATTTTTTTCACAAACTCTATTACATTTTTGGTACACTAGGAATGCAGGATGGCTAATGAAGCAATGATAAAGTCTCTCCGAAAAGGGTAGATTTTTCCTTTATGAGTTATACTTTTTGAGTTGATATCTAGAGGATCTGTTTAAAGCAAAACATGTCAAAGACCATGATAAAACTCACAAGATAGTCATATCAATACACTAATAGCTACTCAGAGCCCTCACTGTTTAAAAGAAAATGAAAAGAGTGATGCACTTAGCTCATGTTGGTGCTTTAGCTGGACTTGAAATGCAATAGAACAACAAAGCTTTATTACTAAAGTGAAAAGATTTGAGGCTATCTCAAAAAATCCTGGAGAATATTTAAAATGTCAAGATTTTGTGATCATAAAGACATTACTGTTGACTTATAAAGTTGGGCAATTGTGTCCAAACTATTACCCACCCTCACCTCTGGTAGTTTCTACAGTCATTTGGTAGGAACCCCACAGCTTTTAACAGGCAAGACTTTCTTTGAGAAATATCAGTTTTACATTTTCTTCTTAGACAAATACTTAAAAAGTAGAAAGAAGGAAACCTACAGAAGGCTGGAAATTTTATATGTTTATATATTTGGTTTTTATAAAACAAATTATTTGATAGGTTTAAAAAAGCCCTGAATCTCAGATAGATTACATAGCTTTGCCAATGTCATACACCTAAATAAGAAGAAAGGAGATTCTAGCTTCAGAACCCAAGCTTCCTTCAATGAACTGCAAACTGCCAATAAACTAATGAAGGATCTCCGTAAGTAGATTTTCTCTTGCATTATATATTATATATCTAATGGCTGATTGGTGGGTAGAACAGTGTAGGGAAGTTGCAAACATTCCACAGAAGGTCGTCAGACTATCAGTAGTTTTGAGGGGCAGAATAAGGAAAACATAGGGCTTTGTAGGTATAAAAGCAGGATTTCCTAAGTATAGACATAGCTGTAGGGAGTTGCTTCCACTGTCTACAGGATTCAGTTCAACTTTGAGCTGGCTGACTTATGTATATGAAAATGTTTATTCACCAACATGAGCATGCTATGCCTTCTTTCCTCTGTGAGTTATCCTTTGTGTTTTTATTCTATAATTAGAAATTGATTTTTTTTCCTGGAAGAATCATTTGAAAAAAGCTTTTCTTTATGTATATATTTACAAACTAATCTAGAGAGAGGTATTTCTAAAAATGCATCAAAAATTAATAACACCTACTACAAATCATATGTGTCAAGGGGTAGGCACAACTTCTTATGGATAGGTAAAGAAATACATGGAATAGGCCCGATGCGGTGGCTCATGCCTGTAATCCCAACACTTTGGGAGGCCAAGGTGGGCGGATCATGAGTTCAGGAGATTGAGACGATCCTAGCTAACACAGTGAAATCCCATTTGTACTAAAAATACAAAAAATTAGCCGGGCGTGGTGGCATGCACCTTTAGTCCCCACTACTTGAGAGGCTGAGGCAGGAGAATCGCTTGAACCTGGGAGGCAGGGGTTGCAGTGAGCAGAGATCGCATCACTGCACTCCAGCCTGGGTGACAGAGTGAGACTCCATCTCAAAAAAAAAAAAAAAAAAAAATACATGAAATAATCACACTGTTAAGTTTTCTAATTTGCAATGGGTATAAAATACATGAGGATATAAAATGTACTCTTAAGTTCATTCTTAGGCATTAAAGAAAATGCCAACTCCTTTATAAGAAACTACACATTTGTCATAATAAGTATTTTTATAATAGCTTTTAATAAAATATGTATCCAGTAACAATTATTATCATCATGATAATAGTAATAAGAATAAGAAAAAAAGAACATTGATTGGGTGACTAGTATGGCTGGACTTATAACTTAATAGATTACTTCATTTAACAGTCATTCCAGATACCTGTGAATAATCAAAGATACCTAATAAGACAATTCCAAGAAAATGTGATCCTACCAATAACCCACAACCCCCCACTTCCCACTCAAGTGGCAGCCAGAGAAGACAATGGTGTTCTATGAGCATATCTTCCCACCTACCCACACCCAGGCCTCTGCTGGATGGCTCAATTGTGGATTTGTGACTCAATGACATTCAGTCAAACACTAGCCAGTCACCAGTGATGCTACATTTTGCTAAAATATAAGCTGGAATAGTGACATTTATTTGTCTCGAAAATTGTTGAACCATAAACTATTAAGAGAGAAAAAGAGTTCATACTGAGATCAGTAGCTCAACAGTCATGAGAAAAACTGGAAAACCTATGTTATGTTGTATATAATCCAAAGCAAGGTAAAAGTTTAAACTAGCAGTGAATAAGAGTTATAGGATGGATAAAGAGTAAATGAGAAAAACAGTTGGAAATAGACGAAAAAAGAGAATATACACAAAGAATAATCAAATCCCAAAAGTAAACGTCTCACATAAGCCTAATAGTTCATGACTCAAAGTTGCCTTGGGTTAAGAGTGAGCCTCTTGCTCATCCTGGCAACTGAAGATAACTGAAATTGAAATTTCCTCACAGGGATCTTGTGCTTTTATTGTCCCTTTATTATGAAATGATTATTTTAAAAGACAACTCCATCCCTACTCTGCTGTAAGGAATAGATAGTTTTACTTTACAAAAAAGAAATAATAATTCAGAGTGTAAACAAAGTTTTCCAAGGTCATGTAGAGTGTCTATTGCCCTCCATAATTCTGCACACTAACCTACTACACCCTATTGTTTTCCTATTATCAACTTTTCTTACTCTTTTTTGAAACATTGATTTAGATAGCTGGAAATGAATTATAGTTTTTCAACAAAATGTTACTTAAATTTAATTAATCAACCATTGCTTATAGACAAAAAGAAGTATAAGTGCTTGTTGAAAGGGCACACAATTTTAGCTGAATTATTATATTGTATTAATTTCACATAGTATATTTAACAAGGATATCTCAATGACAATGCTGCTAAGCATAAGTAAAATGTATAGATATTTTTATACTTACAGGTGATAAAGCAGAAGTAGTTAAATCCTAGTGTGAAGGGCTCATTTAGATATGTCTTTGTATTAAGAGAATGATGAACCTCTAAGATTGGAACTAATCCAAAGCCACCTCTAAGAGTGGAGCTAATCCACTGAAGCCTAGACCAGAAGGATTTCACGGTAAAACATGATATTGTTGTAATTATAGTTTCTCAACTTGGGCACTATTAACATTTCGGACCAGTAACACTTTGTTGAGGGAAGCTGTCCTGTGCATTGTAGAATGCTTAGCAGAATTCCTGGCCTCTACACATTTGATTCCGGTAACAATATCCTAGGGGTAAAATTGCTCCTGGTTTAAAACCACTCTATCTGATGTGTTTTCATACCAATATACCCTGTGCATTTGCATGAGTCCTAGAAAGAGAAGAGTATGCAAGTTAAAACTAATAGCTCTGTTTTCATTTTTTTTAAAGGGAGAGTGGATTGTCATTGAGACATATGTTCTGCTTACGTGGAGAGTAACTTGAGCAACGTTACCCACCTCTATGTGGAAACACAGGTTTATTTAGTATGTTGAAATTCCAGACATAACTATCTGTTCAGTAGCAGTGGTTCCTATAAGACAACAACTTCACTGTTCATTTTGTGCTAGTAGAATGGAACTTCACGGACCTTGGAGAAGCATACTCCAAACACTACAAATGATGGTTATACTTTGGAGAGATGCTAAGACAGCAGATGCTAAAATCCAGATACCTTTTGTGAATATGAGGCATATCTACTGGGAACACATCATAATAATCTGTTGAGGTAAACATTAAAGATGGTGGCAATAAGCAGTTGGAGAAAAAGAAAAATATCAACATGCAAGGCACCATTGTTTTCTTGCTTCTTAATTGTAACTTTTTATTTTTTGTGTATATGGCTATCACAGAGATTTAAAAATTAATCATTGAAAATCATTAATAGAATCGACCTGTGAGCATCAACACAGAAATGGATAAAGAAAATGTGTTATATACACAGTGGGATACCATTAAGCCTAAAAATGAAGGAAATCTTGTTATTCACAGCAACATGGGTGAGCCTGGGGGGGCATTATGTTCAGTGAAATAAGTCAGGCACAGAAAGATAAATATCACCTGTTCTCACTTATATGTGAGAGCTTAAAGAAGCTCAGCTTATAAAAGTAGAGGGTAGAATTGTTTAGTATTAGAGGCTTGGAATGGTAGGGAGGAGAAGATAGCTAGAAGTTGGTTAACAGACACAAAATTGTCTAGATGGAGAGAAAGTTCCAGTGTGCCATAGCACTGTAGGGTGACTATAGTTAACCATAATCTACCATATTTTCCAATAGCAGGAAGAGAGAACTTTGAATGTTTGAAGTGCTGGACATTCTTACTACTCTGAGTTGATTATTACACATTGCACACATGCATCAAAACATCACTCTGTATCCTACAAATATGTACAATATTACGTGTTAACTCAAAATAAGAAAAAATGAAATCTTGATTTATTATTATCTAATTTCAGTATTTTACCACTTTCCCCCAAATGCAAAAGCAATTTAGTACTATTTTTCAGCATCCCATTGTCTTGTATTTTACTATACATTTTATGAATCTGATACTACATGTATTTTTTCCCTAGTATTGATTTACATATACCTACACACATCCGTACTTTCACCTGGGATTCCTTTGTTTTAGTCCTTTAGTATTCACTTTAGAGAAGATCTGCAAGTTGTGAATTCCCTTAGCATATGATTGTCTCTATTATATGCTAAAAGAATATGATAGAATAAATAAAAGAATATGTTTTTCATTTTGAAGGATATTTTCACAGAGTATAGATTTTGAGGGGTTTATATTTACTTTTAATATTTTAAAGATATCATTCACTTATCTTCCAGCTTCCATCGTTTTTGACAAAAATTTAAACATCAGTCTTGATTTTCCTTTGAAGATACTATGATTTTCTAACTGCTTTAAAATGTTTCCCTTTGTCTTTGATATTCAGCAATTTGACTAGGACATATCTAGATGTGGTCATCTTTATATGTGTCCAAATGAGTTTCGCTGCGCTTTATAAACATGAATTGATAATTTTATCTGATTTGAAAAATTCTAGACAAATACTTTATCAAATATTGTTCCTATTCCATGCTCGTCTCTCTTTCTGAGCAATAACTATAATTCAAACTATTTTATCATGTTCCAAATATCTCTTACTTTATGTTACTGTTTTCTTCCCTGCTTCGGTATGTAAAATTTTTATTGACTTATCTTTGGGGTCACTAATTCTTTATTCTGTTGTACCTAATTTTTAATATTAAAAATTTTTAATTTTAATTTTAATATTAAATTAGTATTAAAATTTTAATATTATTTTAATGTTATTTTTATTAAATAATATTAATATTTTAATGTTATTTTTATTAAATAATATTAATATTTTAATGTTATTTTTATTAAATAATATTAATATTTTAATGTTATTTTTATTAAATAATATTATTTTAATGCTATTTTTATTAAATATTAATATTTTAATGTTATTTTTATTAAATATTTAATATTTTAATATTTTAAATTTTATAATATATAAGTGGAGTTATTTTGAATACTTTTTATTTCAGTTCCATTAACTAGATTATCTCTTGATCTCCTTTATAGTTTTTCTCTAAACTTTAGTTACCTACTTTCAGGATTATTTTAAACTTTTATTTTAGGTTCAAGGGTACATGAACAGGTTTGTTATCTAGGTAAATAGCATGTCATGAAGTTTTGAGGTATAGATTATTTTGTCACCCAGGTAATAAGCATAGTACCCAATAGGCAGTTTTTCAATCCTTTCCCCACTCTCACTGTCGTCACTTAAGTAGGCCTTGGTGTCTAACATTCTCTTCCTTGTGTCCATGTGTTCTGAATGGTTAGCTTCCATTTATAAATGAGAACGTGGTATTTTGTTCTCTGTTTCTACTTTAGTTTGCTTAAGATAATGGTCTCCTGCAGCATACATGTTTCTGAAAAAGACATGATTTCATGCTTTTTTATAACTGCATACTATTCCATGGTGTATATTTATCACTTTTTCTTTATCCAGTGCACTATTAATGGTCATCTAGGTTGATTCCATGTCTTTGCAATTGTAATTAGTGCTGCAGTGAACTTATGCATAAATGTGTCTTTATGGTGGAATGATTTATATTCCTTTCAGTACATACCCAATAATGGAATTGTTGGATCAACTGGTCATTCATTCTGTGTTAAGTTCTTTGAGAGATCTCTGAACTGCTTTCTGCAATGGCTAAACTAATTTATGTTCCCAGCAACAGTGTGTAAGTGCTCCCTTTTCTCCACAACCTTAGCTGCAACTGTTATTTTTTGACTTTTTAATAATAGTCCTTCTGACAGGTGTGAGATGGTATCTCACTGTGGTTTTGATTTGCATTTCTCTAATGATTAGTGACATTAAGAATTTTTTATATGCTTGTTGGTCACATGTATGTCTTCTTTTGAGTAGTGTCTTTGCCCACTCTTTAATGGGGTTGTTTTTTGCTTGTTAATTTGTTTAAGTTTCTTATTGATTCTAGATATTACACCTTTTTTGAATGCATAGTTTGCAAATATTTTTCACCATTCTACAGGTTGTGTGTTTACTCTATGTATTTGTCTATCCTTGTGTTGCTATAAAGAACTACCTGAGACTGAGTAATTTATAAAGAAAAGAGGTTTAATTGACTTATAGTTCTGCAGGCTGTACAGGAAACATGGCTGGGGAGGTCTCAGGAAACTTACAATCATGGTGGAAAGTGAAGAGGAAGAAGACACATCTTACATGACAGAAGCAGGAAGAAGAGAGTGAAGGGGTAAGTGCCACACACTTTTAAACCACCAGATCTCATAAGAACTCACTGTCATGAGAACAGCAAGGGGGATGTTTGCCCCTATGATCCAATCACCTCCCACCAGGCCCCTCCTCCAACACTGAGAAAACTATAATTTGACATGAGAATTGGGTGGGGACACAGAGTCAAATCATATCATTCTGTTGGTAGTTTCTTTTGCTGTGCTGAAACTCTTTAATTAGGTCTCATGTGTCCGTTTTTTGTTGTTGTTTTTACAATTGCTTTTTGTATCTTTGTCATGAAATCTTTGCTAGGGCCTATGCCCAGAATGCTATTTCCTAGATTATCTTCCAGCATCTTAATAGTCTTATGTTTTACATTTAAGTCTTCAATCCATCTTGAATTGATTTGTGTATATGGTGTAAGGAAGGGATCCAGTTTCAATCTTCTGCATATGGCTAGTCAGTTATCCCACACCATTTATCGCATAGGGACTCCGTTCCCCATTGCTTGTTTTTGTCAGCTTTGTCAAAGGTAATCTAAATGGTTGTAGGCGTGTGGCATTATTTCTGAGCTCTCTATTCTGTTCCATTGATTTACATTTCTATTTTTGTACCAAACCCATGATGTTTGGTTACTGTAGCCTTGTAGTATAGTTTAAAGTTGGGTAACAGGATGCTTCTAGCATTTTTCTTTTTGCTTACTATTGCCTGCTATTTGGGATCTTTTTTGGTTCTACATGAATTTTAAAATAGTTTTTTTTTTCTAGTTCTGTGAAAAATGTCATTAGTAGTTTGATAGGAAAAGCATTGAGTCTGTAAATTGCTCTGGACATTATGGCCATTTTAACAATATTGATGCTTCTTATCCATAAGCATGGGGGGATTTTCCATTTGTTTGCATCATCTCTGATTTATTTGAGCAGTGTTTTGTAATTCTCATTGTAAACACGTTTCACCTCCCTGCGTAGCTATATTCCTGGGTATTTTATTGTTTTTATGGCCATTGTGAATGCGATTGTGTTCTTGATTTGGCTCTCAGCTTGGATATTGTTGCTATATAGGAATGCTACTTTTTGAACACTAATTTTGAATTCTGAAACATTGCTGAAATTGTTTATCAAATCAAGGAGGTTTTGGGTAGGGACTATTTGGTTTTCTAGGTATAGAATCATATCGTCTGCAAAAGGGGATTATTTGACTTTCTATTATCCCATTTGGATGCTTTTTTTTCTTTTCTTTTGGCCAATTATTCTGCTTAGGACTTCCAGTAGTATGTTTAATAAAAATAATAAGAGAGGGCATTCTTGTCTTGTTTTAGTTTTCAAGCGGAATGCTTCCAGCTTTTGCCCATTCTGGATGATGTTGGCTGTGAATTTTTCATAAATGGCTCTTATTATTTGAGTATGTGCCTTTGATGCTTACTTTGTTGAGAGTTTTTAACATGAAGGGACATTGAATTTTATCAAAAGCCCTTTCTGCATCTATTGAGATGATCATGTGATTTTTGTTTCTAGTTTTGTTTATATAATGAATTACATTGATTGATTTGCCTCTATGGAACCAATTCTTGCCTCCCAAGAATAAAGCTTAAGAGATTGTGGTCATTTAGCTTTTCAATGTGCTGCTGAATTCAGTTTGCTAATATTTTGTTGAGGATTTTTACATCTTTGTTCATCAGGAATATTGGCTTGTAGTTTTCTTTATTGTTGTTTGTCTGCCAAGTTTTGGTATCAGAAGGATGCTGGGCTCATAGAATGAATTAGAGAGGAATTCTTCCTCCTAAATGTTTTGGAATATTCACAGTAGGGATTATACCAGGTCTTCTTAATATGTCTGGTAGAATTCATCTGTGAATCCATCTGGTCCTGGGATTTTTCTGGTTGGTAGGCTTTTTATTACTGATTAAATTTCAGAACTCATTATTGGTCTGTTCAGGGTTTTAATTTCTTCTTGGTGCAATATTGGGAGGTTGTATGTTTTCAGGAATTTATCAGTTTCTTCTAGGTTTTCTATGTCGTGTGCATTTAGGTGTTCACAGTAGTTTCTAGGGGCTTTTTGTATTTTTGTAGGGTTAGTGGTAGTGTTCACCTTTGTCATTTCTGATTTTGTTTATTTGGATCTTCCCCCTTTTTTCTTTATTATTCTGACTAGGGGTCTATCTATCTAATCTATTCCTTCAAAGGATCAATTCTTATATTTGTTGAACTTTTGTACAGTTTTCTGCTTCTCAATATCCTTCCATTCAGCTTTGATTTTTGTTAATCCTTGTCTTCTGCTAGCTTTGAGGTTGCTTGCTCTGATTTCTCTAGTTCTTCTAAGTGTGCTGTGAGATTATTAATTGGAGGTCTTTCTAACTTTTTGATGTGGCATTTAGCAGTATAAACACCCCTCTTAATGCTGTTTTTACTGTGTCTCAGAGATTCTGGTATGTTGTATCTTTATTCTTCTTAACTTCAAAAAATTTCTTGATTTCTGCTTTGACTTTATTGTTTATACAAAGGTCATTCAAAAGCAGGGCTTTTAAAAATTTCCATGTAATTTTATGGTTTTGAGGGTTTTTTAAGTAATAATTTCTATTTTTATTGTGCTGTGGTTTGAGAGTGTGATTTGTATGATTTTGTTTTTGTTTGTTTGTTTTTGATTTCCTGAGGATTATTTTATGGCTAATTGTGTTTTCTCTTTTGCAGTGTGTGCTCTGTGCAGATGAGTAGAATA
This sequence comes from Homo sapiens, assembly GCF_000001405.40. NCBI lineage: Eukaryota > Metazoa > Chordata > Mammalia > Primates > Hominidae > Homo > Homo sapiens. Next base: position 38,048,072 of record NC_000013.11, on the reverse strand, counting down.
TATATTCTGGTGTTGTTTGGTGGAGAGTTCTACAGATGTGTATTGAGTCCATTTGGTCAATGTTGAGTTTGAATCCTGGATATTTTTGTGAGTTTTCTGCCTCAGTGATCTGTGTAATATACTGTCTGTGGGGTGTTGAAGTCTACTACTATTATTGTCCAGTTATCTACATCTCTTCATAGGTCTCTAAGAACTTGCTTTATGAATCTGGATTCTCCTGTGTTGGATGCATATATATTTACAATAGTAACATCTTTCTGTTGTATTGAACCCTTTACTATTCTGTAATGTCTTCCTTTGTCTTTCTTGATCATTGTTGGTTTAAAGTCTGTTTTGACTGAAATTCGACTGTCAACCCCAGCTATTTTCTGTTTTCCATTGGCTTGGTAGATTTTTCTTCATCCCTTTACTTTAAGCCTATGGATCCATGTGAGATATGTCTGTTGAAGACAGCATACAGTTGGATCATGCTTTTTTTTTTTTTTTTTTTTTTTTTTTTTAGGCTGAAGCGCAGTGGCATGATCTCAGCTCACTGCAACCTCTGCCTCCTGGGTTCAACTGATCCGCCCGCCTCAGCCTCCCTAGTACCTGGGACTATAGATGAGCACCACCATGTCCAGGGCTAATTTTTGTATTTTAATAGAGATGGGGTTTCACCATGTTGGCCAGACTGGTCTTGAATTCTTGATTCACCTGTGTCAGCTTCCCAAAGTGCTGAGATTACAGGCATGAGTCACCTGCCTGGCCAGGGTCTTGCTCTTTATCCAACTTGCCACTCTGTGACTTTTCATTGGGGCACTTAGCCCCTTCACTTTCAAGGTTAATATTGGTATTTGCTGATTTGATCCTGTCATTGTGCTGTTAGCTGGTTATTATGCAGCTTTATTTGTGTGGTTGCTTTACAGTGTCAATGGTCTACGTTTTTAGTGTGCTTTTGCAGTGGTCAGTAACAGTCTTTCTGTTCTATATTTGGCACTTGCTTCAGGATCTCTTATAGAGCATGTCTGGTGGTACTGAATTCCCTTAGCATTTGCTTGTCTGAATAGGATCTTATTTCTCCTTCGCTAATGAAACTAAGTTTGGCTAGATATGAGATTCTTGGTTGAAATTTCTTTTCCTTAATAATGCTGAATACACACTCCTAATCTCTTCTGGCTTGTGGGATTTCTGCTGAATGATCTGCTGTTAGCCTAATGAGGTTTCCTTTGTAGGTGATCTGCCTCTTCTCTCTAGCTTCCTTTAACATTTTTTCTTTTGTTTTGGCCTTGAAGAATCTGACGACCATGTGGCTCGTGGATGGTCTTCTTATATAGAATCTCACAGGGATTTTCTGCATTTCCTGATTTTGAATGTTGTTCTCCATAGCGATGTTGGGGAAGTCTTCATAGATGATATCCTGAAATATGTTTTCCAAGTTGCTTGCTTTCTCCTCCTCTCTTTCAAGGATGCCAGTGAGTCATAGATTTGGTCTCTACATAATCCCATATTTCTCGGAGGTTTTGTTCATTCTTCTTTATTCTTATTTTTGTCTGACTGAGTTCAGAGATGTTGCCTGTGAGCTCTGAGATTCTTTCTTCAGCTTGGTCTATTCTGCTGTTAATACTTGCAATTACATTAAGGAATTCTTTAGTGTGTTTTTTAGCTCTATCAGATCAGTTTGGTTCTTTCTTATAATGGCCATTTTGTCTTTCAACTCCTGTATTGTTTTATTGTAATTGTTAGATTCCTTGGATTGGGTTTTGACTTTCTCCTGAATCTTGATGACCTTTATTCCTATCCATATTTTGAATTCTCTCTCTGTCATTTCCACCCTTTCTGCCTGGTTAAGAACCCTTCCTTGGGAACTAGTACAGTTATTTGGAGGAAAGAAAACACTGTAGTTTAGTTGTTAGAGCTCTTGCACCAGTTTTTTCTCATCTGTGTGGGCTGATGCTCCTTTAACTGTGGTGTAATTGAGTGCAGACTCCTTTTTTGAATGTTTTTTGAGGGCCGAGGTTTTGTGCAGGGTCTTTGTTGTTGAAATCTTGTCGTTGTTTTCACAGAGGGGGGTATATTAGCAAGCATTTTTGGAGTTGGAGTTTGGGCTATGATCCAGTAGATGGCACTGAAGTGTAATGGCCAGTAGGTGGGCTCTTGCTCCACCACGTGGCTCCTCTGTATTTCTTCATGATTGCAGCCATGCTCCCTCTCAGTGCTCTGAAAGTGTGGGCTCCCTTTCCCACTCCAGTGCTGGCTTAAGGTCTGGCCTTGGCACTCCTGGGCTGCACACTGCTGCTAGGGGCGAGCTAAGGCTTTATTTTCCCTCCCCAGCTTGAAGGCAACAGGGGAAGGGACCTTGGCAGTTGCTGTGGCAGAGGGCCTTTCACTTGTCTCTTGGGGCTCCACCCTAGAGAAATGCAGAGCCACTACTAATTGGAGAGATGGGCTTGGGATTGGGGCAGCTACATTGTGAACCCATGCCTGGAGGCCCTGCCTGGTGATGCGCAAGGGTGGCAGGGGTCTCACAGAGGAGACAGACTGGCCTCCTCTCCTTAGGGCAGCTGTCACTTCCTGGACATGTGGGTTAAGCACTCAAGGTCTCTGCCCCTTCCCCAGTCCAAGGGCAGCAAGGCAGTACCGCTGCAGTGGCAGTGGGAGAGGTGCTTTCCGTTGTCCCTGGGAGCCCTACTTCAGAGAAACGCAAGCCATTGCTACTGAGAATGTTCAGCCAGTGGGTGGGGTGGCTACGCTGCTAGCCCAAGCTGGAGGCTTCACTTGATGAAAAGTAGGAGGTCAAGGGCTCACCAGGAGGAACAACTGGGCTCCTCTCCATATCATGACTGTGTTGTGCTAGGAGTGTGAGTGAAGACCTCAGGCTGTTTGTTCTTTCCCCAGTCTGAGTGCAGTAAGGGCAGAACTGCTGCCATGACAGTGACAGAGGGGATGTCAATTGCTTCTGGGAGGCCCACCTCAGGAAAATATAGAGCCAATAGCAGTGGGAATTCTCATCCGGGGGTAGGACAGCTGCTCTGCTGTCCCCAACTAGGGGCCTTGCCTGGTGAACAGTGGTGAGTGGGGGCTTACGGGGAAGAGAGACTGGGCTCTTCTCCATATGGTGGCGATGGTGTGCTGGAGGGGCCAGTGTAAGGACCAAGTCCTTCGTTCTTTCCCCAGCCTGAAGGTAGTAAGGGCCATACCACTGCAGCTGCAATAGCAGAAGGCTTATGGATTGTCTTTTGGATTTTTCTCCTCAGAGAAACACAGAGCCATCACTGACAAAGCGTTCATGTGGGGGCGGGTTGGTTGTGCTGGGGGCCAAGGTCAAGAGGTGCTGCCCAGTGAAGAGTAGCAGGGGTGAGGACCCATGTGGAAAAGAGTCTGGCTGCTTTTCTGCAAGTCTGTACACTGTGCTGGGGGTCTATGTTAGTCCCCAATCACTGTGCTCACTCCCAAGACTGAGGGCAACAGGAGTGAGGGCTGTGGAGCAGCAAAAACAGCAGCCTGCCCATCCCCTCCAGGAGTTCCATGCCAGGGAAGTACAGATCTGTTCCTCAAGAGCCCAGGTGGGACTTTTGTGACCATGCTAGGATCCCAGGCCAGTCTGGCAACGGGCTGTGTAGAAGAGCCCCACAGTCCACCCACTGCTTAGCCCCATGGATTGTGTTCCTATTCTGAGGACATGCAAGAGAGCCTGTCCTCCCCCATTGCCGCAGCTGCAGCCATTGGTACCAGGGTGCCTGGGGATGAAAAGCTCCAAGGATTTCATGAGTGCCTGAGTGGCAGTTCTGCCCACACTCCATGTAGCTGTCTATGTCAGTCCAGAGGCCCTGGTGGGGCACGGGTGTCATGGGGGATCGCCTGGGCCCAGGGTTGCAAAGGTCTGTGGCAGAAATGTGACTCCCTGGGGACTCTCACTTACTAACCATGGTGAGGGCCATCTCCCGGCTCTATGCCACTTCTGGGTGAATGATTGTCCTGTCTCATTCTTCTGTTTTCTGTGTATTGTTTCCTTGATGAATCCCAATGTGTCCACCTGGATGGTCCACTCACCACTCTTTCTTCTCTTTGTGAGAGCAGCACACACCAGCTGCTTCTAGTCAGTCACCTTGAAAGGAGCTCATCTTTATTTATTTTTTTATATGCCTACGGTGGAAGATGTGGAAGATACATTAAAGATTATCTGAATTGTACTATCTTCCCTCAAAGATTGTTAATTATTCTCTGGCAAGTCCTTAAATTCAGGCACATCTTTTATTTATTTATGTATTTATTTTTTTAGACAAGGTCTTGTTCTGTCACCCAGGCTGGAGTGCAGTGGTGTGATCACTGCTCACTGCAGTCTTGACCTCCCAGGCTCAATGGTCCTCCTGCCTCTCAGCCTCCTGAGTAGCTGAGGCTACAGGCTCACACACCACCCCACTAATTACTGTATTTTTTGCAGAGATGATGTTTTGCCATGTTGCCCACCCTGGTCTCGAACTCCTGGACTGAAATGATCTGCCCACCTCAGCCTCCCAAAGTGCTGGGATTGCAGGTGTGAGCCATTGCATCCAGCCAGGTGCATCTTAATTTTTTCAAGGGTTAGTTTCAGGCTTTTTAAAGGTACATTATTTCAGCTTTCCTCTTACACCTAGAAGAGACATGACCCTTACTCCTAGGAACTAGGTCTGACCCTTACTCCTAGGAACTAGGTCTTACCCTTACAATGTGTTTCTACTGGAATCTCTAGCTAAATCTCACTATTCATCAAATTGTCTCCACTACAGCTGGAACCAGTGTCATCTTCTATCTATCTTCCTAATACTGTGTAGCCTCTGTGATTTCTTCCATGATCTCCAGCTTCTAGCTGCTATTCTATGCTTGGCCTTCTAGAATCTCTTCTTATGTATACAAATCTCAGCAGTTGGCCAAAAACCCAAGAAAAATTTTGGGGACACTTTATGGCTCCTTCTTTGTGGAATCCTGCCTCTTGATTCAACCATGTCAACCCCGTTAAGCTCTAATCTCTGTCTCCCCTGCCTAGTGAAATTGACATTCATCTTGGGTTCTATGTAGCAGCTTAGTAATTGGTAAATGCTCTTGGGGGAAAGCTATGTGTGATCTTAACTTTCTGTGTTTCCTGCTTTCAAAGACCGTAATCCACATTGGTTGCCTTCCAATGCCTGCAGTCATTGTACATATTTTAGCTGTTATATCATTAAGGAAAATCTTATATCCAAGCCATTTACTTTAACTGACACTATTTAAAATCTTAATCTAATATGGTTTGAAAAAATATGGTGTTTGCATGTTCTCACTCATAAGTGGGAGTTGAACAATGAGAACACATGGACACAGGGTGGGGAACATCACACACCAGAGCCTGTCAGGGGGTCAGGGACTAGGGGAGGGAGAGCATTAGGAGAAATACCTAATGTAGATGATGGGTTGATGGGTGCAGCAAACCATCATGGCACGTGTATATGTATGTAACAAACCTGCATGTTCTGCACATGTATCCCAGAACTTAAAGTATAATGATATGTGTGTGTATGTGTATATATATATGTGTATATATATATGTGTATATATATGTGTGTGTATATATATATATGTGTGTGTGTGTGTGTGTGTATATATATATATATATATATATTCCTAGAAAAAAATGGTGATCAAGGGAAATGGATAAATACAAAAAATAAAAAAGCACACAATATGTAATGCTAATAAAACATTCTTTGGCATATGACTTGGGCTTTTAATATATTCAATCCAATCTCCAGTTTTTATATCTTGAGAATTATATGAGAGATTAAAATTCAGAACTATGGCTCTAAGGTCATATAAATCTTTAATAAAATTAAATAATATCTAGTAGATTATACTTATTAAACTATACATGCCTCTCACTAATACTGTATCAGAGAAAGACTTTAAAGTAAAATAGATTTTTAAAAAGTAACCATCTTTGTATTAGGCTACTGAGAACATGAATTGCTGTCTTTTTCTCCTCTAAGGCATGCATCCATCGACCCAGAATTTTTACTCTCATGACTCAGTACTATCAGACATTACCTTACAACACTCTGATGAAGAAATATAAAATGTGTTTCTATTTTGAAGGGAGAAAAGGAAACTCAAAGGAGCTAGTTTGCTTGTGTATAATATCATATCTAGTTAGTTAGTAATGAATAAAATACTATGTATGTTTTTAAATTTTCATTATAGCACTCTTTTTAATAGGCAAACTGCTTATATTTAGCAGATGTTTTGTGTCTGTGTCTGTGTTTGTGGTGTGTGTGTGTGAAAGAGAGATAGAGAGAGACACACAAACCACACAGAGACATTAAGGTGGGGAATACAAGGCTTTATGATTAACCAGCTAACGTGAGAAAATTATTATCTAAGCAGAAGATCCCCAAAGATTACTATTAAACTAGGTTTTATAGGAGACGTTCTTTTGAATCTCTGGCCCCCAATTTAAGCAGGAGTTCCAGAATGCTGCTTCAGGAATCTTCCATAAGAAGAAAGCCTGTAGTTAGTTATAAGGGACTGAGGCTTGTTTTTAATAAATGGAGTTACCTCCTCAATTATGAACTAGTTTTCTTTTTTTTTCATTTTTTCTTTGCAGTATTGCAAACTTTGTATTTTATCCTAATGACAAGAATATCTTGAATAAGATATTTTTTGACTCGTTTTTTTTTCTCCTGGAGGCATAAATGAGCTAGAAAATAATCTAAACTCAGGCTTCAGACTGATAATTCAAAACCTAAATTTCCTAACCCTTAATTTTAAATTGGGACTTTTCAGCATGAAGATTATTGGATATGTACTATATCAGTGTGCTTTAAGGTGGAGATAGTGATAGGGCAAATTTAAATTTGTCTAAAGCTTAATTTACAAACAAAAATATATTTTTGGATTGAATTTAAAGATTCCTTTAAAATATGCATGTCTTCTCTCCCTTTTCCACCACCTGAAATTATAGATTCTCTTTATAGCAGTAGAGAACATGAGGCAGTACAAAACACATCAGTCTGTGTGTGCATAATCACACGCACATTTATTTTTTCCTTTCTATGTTGGTGAGTTGAAACAATCCTGCTGCTATGTCTCCTGGAGAAGACTGCTGTATTTTTTGGTGGGGGCTTACAAAATGAAGAGATTTCAATGTTCAAAAATTGGCTTTGCAGCTGTGGCATGCCACCTTTTATAAACAAGGAAAAAAATAGCTGCTTTTTATTTTTCTGGAAGGAAAATGCCACCTGTCATAGAGTTCTGTAGCCCCTGTTCATATTTTAACAAATAATTTTCATTTAGTTTTCCCTTTCCTAATGAAAGGTCTAAAGTTATTGAAAATGTAAGTAGTGCAGTAGGAAATAAAAGGAAGCTTAATTGTAAGAAACTACAAAAGGATATTTTAAGAAAAGTACAAAGCCTCCAAGAAATGAGGGACTATGTGAAAAGACCAAATCTACGTCTGATTGGTGTACCTGAAAGTGACAGGGAGAATGGAACCAAGTTGGAAAACACTCTGCAGGATATTATCCAGGAGAACTTCCCCAATCTAGCAAGGCAGGCCAACATTCAAATTCAGGAAATACAGAGAATGCCACAGAGATACTCCTTGAGAAGAGCAACTCCAAGACACATAATTGTCAGATTCACCAAAGTTGAAATGAAGGAAAAAATGTTAAGGGCAGCCAGAGAGAAAGGTCCGATTATCCACAAAGGGAAGCCCATCAGACTAACAGCTGATCTCTCGGCAGAAACTCTACAAGCCAGAAGAGAGTGGGGGCCAGTATTCAACATTCTTAAAGAAAAGAATTTTCAACCCAGAATTTCATATCCAGCCAAACTAAGCTTCATAAGCAAAGGAGAAACAAAATCCTTTACAAACAAGCAAATGCTGAGAGATTTTGTCACCACCAGGCCTGCCCTAAAAGAGCTCTTGAAGGAAGCACTAAACATGGAAAGGAACAACCAGTACCAGCCACAGCAAAAACATGCCAAACTGTAAAGACCATCGAGGCTAGGAAGAAACTGTATCAACTAAGGAGCAAAATAACCAGCTAACATCATAATGACGGGATCACAGTCATAACAATATTAACCTTAAATGTAAATGGGCTAAATGCTCCAATTAAAAGACACAGACTGGCAAATTGGATAAAGAGTCAAGACCCATCAGTGTGCTGTATTCAGGAGACCCATCTCATGTGCAGAGACACACATAGGCTCAAAATAAAAGGATGGAGGAAGATTTACCAAGGAAATGAAAAACAAAAAAAGGCAGGGGTTGCAATCCTAGTCTCTGATAAAACAGACTTTAAACCAACAAAGATCAAAAGAGACAAAGAAGGCCATTACATAATGGTAAAGAGATCAAGTCAACAAGAAGAGCTAACTATCCTAAATATATATGCACCCAATACAGGAGCACCCAGATTCATAAAGCAAGTCCTGAGTGACCTACAAAGAGACTTAGACTCTAAGGAATCCAACTTACAAGGGATGTGAAGGACCTCTTCAAGGAGAACTACAAACCACTGCTCAATGAAATAAAAGAGGATACAAACAAATGGAAGAACATTCCATGCTCATGGGTAGGAGGAATCAATATCGTAAAAATGGCCATACTGCCCAAGGTAATCTACAGATTCAATGCCATCCCTATCAAGCTAACAATGACTTTCTTCACAGAATTGAAAAAACTACTTTAAAGTTCATATGGAACCAAAAAAGAGCCCGCATTGCCAAGTCAATCCTAAGCCAAAAGAACAAAGCTGGAGGCATCATGCTACCTGACTTCAAACTATACTACAAGGCTACAGTAACCAAAACAGCATGGTACTGGTACCAAAACAGAGATATAGACCAATGGAATAGAACAGAGCCCTCGGAAATAATGTTACATATCTACAACCATCTGATCTTTGACAAACCTGACAAAAAACGAGAAATGGGGAAAGGATTCCCTATTTAATAAATGGTTCTGGGAAAACTGGCTAGCAATATGTAGAAAGCTGAAACTGGATCCCTTCCTTACACCTTATACAAAAATTAATTCAAGATGGATTAAAGACTTAAATGTTAGACCTAAAACCATAAAAACCCTAGAAGAAAACCTAAGCAATACCATTCAGAACATAGGCGTGGGCAAGGACTTCATGTCTAAAACACCAAAAGCAATGGCAACAAAAGCCAAAATTGACAAATGGGATCTAATTAAACTAAAGAGCTTCTGCACAGCAAAAGAAACTACCATCAGAGTGAACAGGCAACCTACAAAATGGGAGAAAATTTTTGCAATCTACTCATCTGACAAAGGGCTAATATCCAGAATCTACAATGAACTCCAACAAATTTACAAGAAAAAAACAACCCCATCAAAAAGTGGGAGAAGGATATGAACAGACACTTCTCAAAAGAAGACATTTATGCAGCCAAAAGACACATGAAAAAATGCTCATCATCACTGGCCATCAGAGAAATGCATATCAAAACCACAATGAGATACCATCTCATACCAGTTAGAATGGCGATCATTAAAAAGTCAGGAAACAACAGGTGCTGGAGAGGATGTGGAGAAATAGGAAATTTTACACTGTTGGTGGGACTGTAAACTAGTTCAACAATTGTGGAAGTCAGTGTGGCGATCCCTCAGGGATCTAGAACTTGAAATACCATTTGACCCAGCAATCCCGTTACTGGGTATATACCCAAAGGATTATAAATCATGCTGCTATAAAGACACATGCACACGTATGTTTATTGCGGCACTATTCACAATAGCAAAGACTTGGAACCAACCCAAATGTCCAACAATGATTGATAGACTGGATTAAGAAAATGTGGCACATATACACCATGGAATACTATGCAGCCATAAAAAATGATGAGTTCATGTCCTTTGTAGGGACATGGATGAAGCTGGAAACCATTATTCTCAGCAAACTATCGCAAGGACAAAAAACCAAACACTGCATGTTCTCACTCATAGGTGGGAATTGAACAATGAGAACATATGGACACAGGAAGGGGAACATCACACACCGGGGCCTGTTGTGGGGTGGGGGGCAGGGGGAGGGATAGCATTAGGAGATATACCTAATGTTAAATGATGAGTTAATGGGTGCAGCACACCAACATGGCACATGTATACATATGTAACAAACCTGCACGTTGTGCACATGTACCCTAAAACTTAAAGTATAATAAAAAAAAGAGAAGTATTTACATTGAATAATCAGAATTTTACAGGCAGGATGAATATTGAAATTTGTCTAATTTTCTCATTTTACACATAATGAAACTGAGGTTTTTATTAGTTCAACATTACACAGCTAAGTAGTGATAAAATCAAAGCTAAGACTCATTTCTACTAACCTCATTGACATTTTTCTTTACTTTAAATATCAAATCAGTATAAAAGGGTCATGTCCCAATCTCTTTCATTTTAATAAATGAAATCGCTTTCTCTTACCTATAAAATATCTTTGAACATTTTGCTATATTAATCAATTATATTGTGTTTTATTCTGATAGATTTTAGTTACTTGTCTGTAATAAACTAAGCATTTCACAAATACATTCTATACAAATATATTAGAAACTGTAAAAGGACAGAGTCATGTTTGCCTTTTATTTTAATCTATTATATAATCAATATGTGCCAAAGGAACTAGGACACAGAACATGCACATTAAATATATGTTAAATATAAATGTATTTAATAATTAAATATATCCTAAATTCTGGTGAAAACCTAACTAAAACATGCAAACTGACTTACAAAGGCTTATGCTTCATTGAGGGAGACAAAACAATTAAAAATTAAATATCACACAAGATTTTATAAAACTATTTATAAACAGACCATTTATGTGAAAGTTGCAATAATACTGAGTTGAAGGAGATTTTCCAAATATCTACCTGTAACCATAATTTTATATTCTTATGAATGAACTATTATTTAATAGTTCCAGTTACACTTGACTGCATAATACATTTTACATTTTTTTAGTTCTTTCAAAACTAATTTAAGTGTTATCTGAAGTTATGACTGTTAAAAATGTTTCAAGGGAGTATATAATGTTTTTGCAATATGGCATAGTTTTGATTCACATGAAATTGATGAATAATCAATGAATAAATACACATATCCAAGTGGCTTCTGGGAACTCATACAGAGAAATTCTGTTAATATACTAAAGTTGATCATATGTGGTGGACAACTGGAAAGGAGGAGTTAGAGTGATTTCGGCTTAGATTTTGGCAACTCTAGATGTTAACATGCGGATCAGATTTGACTGAGGTATCTATGTTGGCTTCACATTAATTCTTAAATAATAGATCTATCACCTAAAGGATATGAAATGCCCATCATTTAAATCTGGTCATATGCCACATTCTCTATGATGTATCACACTTCTTGAAGTGATCTTAGTAACCATCAAGTTAACTCTACTAATTGTCCATCTGCATAGACTGAGGGAGAGAGGTGAAGGAATTTGCCAAAGATAAATATAAAGTCAATACAAATAGTGAGCAGCAAGGCCAGGATAAAAACGCAAATCTACTCTATCTCAGATGAATATTGTTGTTTCTAAGTCATGTTGTCTAACTTGGAGTTACTGGATTGACTCAGAAACATAATGATTCAAATTAAGTTGAATAGCCATGATAGTGAAGATAAGTTCCTTGGATGATTGGTAGTACTACATATGTATGTGTATATATATATGTACATATATGTATACTACATATGTGTATATATATGTACATATATGTATACTACATATACTATTACTACTACATGTACTATATATTGGTAGTACTATATATGTCTGTGTGTGTAGTACTACCAATCATCCATGGAACTTTATATATATATATATATATATATATATATATATATATATATATAGTTCTGTGTGTGTGTGAACTACATATATATATAGACACATACATATAAAGTGTGTGTGTGTAATATATAAAGTTCTATGTGTGTGAACTATATATATTACACACACTTTATATATATGTATGTATGTATATATGTATGTATATATGTATATACATATATACACGTGTATATATATACATACATACACGTGTATGTGTGTATGTATATATGTATATATATAAAATATGTGTGTGTTATATATATATATTTCATATACTTCATATATATATATAAAGTATCTGTGTGTGTAATATATACGCACATACTTTTTCCTCCCCATCTCTGATTTGAGTGTGTGTGTATGTGTGTGTGTATATATATATATTTATTATTTGAGTATATATAGTGTGCATATATACACACACAGCTTATTGAGATATAATCCACATACCATACAGTTCATATATTTAAATGGTACTATTCAGTAGTTTTTAGTATCTATAACTTTTATTGTTTTATTTATTTACTTTTTTGAGATGGAGTCTCACTCTGTCACCCAGGCTGGAGTGCAGTGGCATGATCTCAGCTCACTGCAGCCTGTGACTCGTGGGTTCAAGCGATTCTCCTGCCTCAACCTCTCAAGTAGCTGGGAAATACAGGCATGTGCAGCCACACCTGGCTAATTTTTTTTTTTTTTTTTTTTTTTGGTAGATACAGGCATTTCACCGTGTTGCCCAGGCTGGTCTCGAACTCCTGAGCTCGAACGCCTGCCTCGGCCTCCCAGAGTGCTAGGATTGCAGGTGCGAGTATATTCTCAGAGGTGTACAAACAGAATCAAAATCAAAATCAATTTTAGCACATTTCATCACCCAAAAAATAAACCTTCTACCCATTAGCAGTGACTCCCCACTTAACACTCAACATCAGCCCCAGCCCTAGGCAAGAGCAAATCTACTTCCTGTCTTATATTTTTCCTTTCTGGATATTTCATATGAGTAGAATCTTACAATATATGCTCTTTTGCGACTGGCTTCTTTCACTTAGCATAATGTTTTCAAGCTTCATCTATCTTGTAACATGCATGCGTACTTCATTTCCTTTTATTGAATAATATTCCATTGTATGGGTAGACCACATTTTTAATCAGTTGTTCAGTTGATAAATATCTGAGTTGTTTCCATTTTTTGACTATTATAAGTAATGCTGTTTTGAATATTTATACACAAGTTTTTGTGAGAACTTGTGTTTCTATTCCTATTGAGAATATTTAGAAGTGGAATGACTGATATATAAGGTAACTGTATTTTTAATTTTTGCAGAATTGCCAGACTTTTCCAAAGTGATTGAATCATTTTATATTCCCACCAGCAGTATATGAGAGTTCCAATTTTGTTCACCATCTCCAACACATTGATTGTTATTTGTCCTTTTGATTATAGCCATTCTAGTATGCGCAAAGTGGTATCTCACTGTGGTTTTATGTTACTCTGATGACTCCTATTGTGGAGCACTTTTTTATTTGCTTTCTGACTGTTTGTATATCTCATTGAGGAAATATTTATTCAGATATTTTGCCTATTTTAAAATTTGATTATATATCTACTTTTTTATTGAGTTGTAAGTTGCTTATATATTCTAGATACAAGTCCCTTATCAGATATAGGATTTGCAAATATTTTCTCCCATTCTCTTGTGTTTTTCCCTTTTGGGATGGTGTCCTTTGGAGCACAAGATGACACCTACTTTTACAAGTTGCATTTTATACATGATCTATGTATGAATATAAGACGCTAAGGGAGTGAAATAGACTGCATTTCTCCTATAGGATTGAGAGCTGAGAACTAAGAATTTCATGGCATTCAAGTCAGAACACAAAAGTTAATAGTCATTCATCACAGAACATGGATGTAATAACCTTCAAAATTAATATAGTATAATCCATTATGGCTGAAGTGTAGAATAATATTTCAAACCTAAAAATGTATGTATATGTTTATGATTAATATATGATACAGTAAATATATATGTGTGTGTATATATATGCATACACACATACACACACACAAACACATGAGTTGACCATAGACCCACATAGTATTAATTGAGAATTAGCTGACACAAAGAGACAAAGGACAAAAAACACACAGCAAGAAGCCTTAAATGTCTCTGCTAGAGATACTCTCACTAGGTGTCTTTGTCAAGACCAACACAATTTTATGAAGTCAAGAAAGCTATTTACTAAAAATTAAACTGGATTTATTTGCTTGTTTTCTAGGTTTAAGTAACACCTTTTCTTTTCCAGCTCTGATTTATTTGAGTGCAAATACTTCAGTATTCAATTTGAAGGGGTGGAAATAAACCAGGAAAGAATAAGTAGCAAGAACACCTTGATTTCTTATCCTTTTAAGGTGTCTTTATTCTCTTAGCTTTATTATTATTAGAGGCATGTGGATCTAAAATTACCTAACAATGTAGTTAGGTTCCAGCTAATTGTCAGATACTACTACCTTGAATTAATTGCTTCTAATATTGATTGATATTCAGCTTAGAGAAAGAAATATGTAAAGAAGTATATGTTGTCCATTATTTTTCTCATATATTATAAAATATATAATTTGATTAACTCCTACTAACCAAGATCAGGTTATCCAGACTATAATTCATTGGCAGGCACATTTTTTTTAACTGAATTGTATCTTTGAAGTATCCTGCCTACATTGAGGGTTACTATAAGACAGGCCTAATATATGTGTCTGTATGTGTTCTGGAAAGACCTTTAAGTAGGGATGTGCTAGTCAACATTTGACAACTAGCTTTCTAGGGGACAAAAATCCCTTCTATGCAGCATTTGCCAATCCCCATGGTGTAAATTCTTCCACGCTGGCTAATTTCAAGATATCAATGTGACCTCACTGGACTCAAGGTTGAGAAGACATGCCCACAAATGTATCACATTGCATGGTTTAAGCTAGAGCGAATCAGCTCCTGAATATCACTGCCTGCAGAATGAGCATACTTCTCTAGAATGATGGCTTCTTTTACCTTGTGGATAACAGCGACTTGCATCCTGGATCAAATTTTATTTATCGTATTTGTGCTACAAAGCTTAGAGCCAAACTGAAAGCTAATTTAAAGTAATATATGTATGTTTTCGTGTTTTTGTTGCCTCATTTCTAGATCTATTTGATCTTAACTCAATCCTTGTTTTATTTTTTTAGTTTTGTTTTGTTTTCAGAGATAGGGTCTCACTCTGTAGCCCAAGCTGGAGTATAGTACCATGATCATGTCTCACTGCAGCTTCAAACTCCTGGGCTTGAGCAATCCTCCTCCCTCAGCCTCCCCAGTAGCTGGGAGTATAGATGTGCCCCACCATGCCTGGCCTTGTTTTTATTTCTTTTATTCCTATTCTTAAAGTTCATTCCATCCTTTAAAATTTATAAGCTATATCAATTATTTTCTAGAAAGAGTCATAATAGACTTAAATAAATGAATAATCCTTGGACAGCTTCAGACACAGAGTGGGAATTAAAAACGAATTACTAAAATATCTTATGGCGGCCGGGCGCGGTGGCTCACGCCTGTAATCCCAGCACTTTGGGAGGCCGAGGCGGGCGGATCACGAGGTCAGGAGATCGAGACCACGGTGAAACCCCGTCTCTACTAAAAATACAAAAAATTAGCCGGGCGCAGTGGCGGGCGCCTGTAGTCCCAGCTACTCGGGAGGCTGAGGCAGGAGAATGGCGTGAACCCGGGAGGCGGAGCTTGCAGTGAGCGGAGATCGCGCCACAGCACTCCCGCCTGGGCGACAGAATGAGACTCCGTCTCAAAAAAAAAATATATATATATATATATATATCTTATGGCTAAAAGTGAAAGAAAAAGGGGTTGCATATTAACTCCACTTCCATCTGGGCAGGAGCAATTTGCTTCCCTCTCTGGCCCTCAGTATTCTTACCTATGTAATTAGGTATATCAGGAAAAGCTCTAATACTATTCAAATTATCCATAATTTTGTCACTTCAAAAGCCACTGGTTCATTGTAAAACTACATTGCATTGATATTTAGCACAGTTTAAATAAACTATGTAGTTTCATGCTATGTTCAAATGATTTTAATGTACTCAATTTTAACTTTTGCAGACTGCTATTGGCTCACTGGTGTTGACAGGCAAACTTGTAGCTACATGTTATTAGCTCTTTATAAAATGACATTTCATCTGTAGGCAGAGTAAAAAATTTTGAATTTTATGCATGAAAAGACTGATAGCTGGCACAATTATTAATTTCTGCAGGCTTCCTGTTGGTGGTATATGATTTGGAAAAGACATTTGCATTTACAGTCTAATACAAAAATGATTCTATCCTGTCAGTTAATTTTGGAAAGCAAAATACTTTAAGCAACTCTACTTTAATAGTCCTAGTTCCCAGGGATATGTTAGCAATTCATATGAGCAGATGGCTATGGCCTGGTAGAAAGTGTTCTGGGACTGTCAGAACTTGTACTTGAATTACAGCTATGCTTTACTAACCACTTGACCTTAGAGAAGGTATGAAATAATCTAAGCCTTAATTTTGTGTTGTAAAATGGGCAAATCCATTCAATTTTCAGGACTGATTTGGAGATCAAATGAATTAATAGAGTTAATATTCTTAGCATAGTTCTAACTTGGCAAATGCAGATATTTGTGACAATCCCCTCCCTGGTCTTTTCATATGTTCTTTAGTGCAGAATTGCTCAGTCATATTCAAGGGTTTGTTTTAAATCAAATGGCAAGGAAATCAATTGTTTCTTCCCAAATTCCTTAGTGCATGACTTATCTCACTAGAACAAATTTAGGTAAAATATTCCAGTGATAGGTATCTCAATGAGGAAAAAACATCAAATAATTGTTATAACAGGCAAGGCCTACAAGTATTCTGAATTAAAAAGGTTGATTAGTTCTGTTTTTTTCTACTGCTTAACTACATGAAAATCACATTTTTAATAATCTCACTTCTGGGAAATATAGTGATGTACTTCAAAATTTGGAAATAATTACCTTACATTCTGATTCCATATTGTAAGAAGACATAAAATAGATGTTCTTAGAAGTCAGATACAAGGAAAAAGGAAGGAAAGAAAATCCTTTATAAATTTTTATGAATCATATGTTCAAAATAAATCTTACTGTGGAAGATATTTTCATCACCTTATTTTAAAAATGTGTTGAAGAAGGAAAGTGAACTTGTGATAATATCATTTAAATGCATTTATGGGGCATAAAATAAGCCTAATAAGAAACTAAAGTTACTGGATTTTTACTTTTAATTAGAAGCAGTTGAATTTAAATTCCAGATAAAGAAAGCATAAGCAGTGCAATGTTTGTCAGCTAAAAGACCATAATAACTAAGTTTGAAATTGATTTCTCATCTGTCTGTTTCAAAACATACAACATAGAAATTACCATGAACTATATAATGTATGTGTCGGGGGTGGAGGTGGGACTCTGGGAAAAGGGTGGACCGTGGAATAATATTAAAACACAACAGGGCCAGGCGCAGTGGCTCACGCCTGTAATCCCAGCACTCTGGGAGGCCGAGGCGGGCAGATCACCTGGGGTAGGGAGTTTGAGATGAGCCTGACCAACATGGAGCAATCTCGTCTCTACTAAAAATACAAAATTAGCCAGGCCTGGTGGCACATGCCTGTAATCCCAGCTACTCAGAGGGCTGGGGCAGGAGAATCACTTGAACCTGGGAGGTGAAGGTTGCAGTGCACTCCAGCCTGGGCAACAAGAGTGAAATTTCATCTCAAAACCAAAACAAAACAAAAACCACAATAAAGTATCTTTTTATAAATATAAGTAAAATCTAGGAATATAGAGGGCTAATTACCAACTTTATCTTGCAGTATATTGTATGTTAGCTTATAAGACAATATTTACATATGGACTTTACAGCTCATAATTATTATTACTACTAGTATATTTATAGTAACATCTATAAATTATTAATGCAGAATAGATTCTGTTTTAAAACTCTCAATAGCCATTATGTCTGTTTCCATATACATATTCATATATTTGATCTCTGATTTTCAACCTGAGTGTTTCAATACCCTTCAATGTGTAGAGAAAGGAATAAAATTGCTCCCATCTCTCCCATGTTCTTAAGTTTACTTGAGCCTCTGGCCAGATACCAGTCTACCGGTACTTTAGGTTATGGGGTGCCTGGGGTATTACCTGGTTTATTTCAACTAAGAACACATATCATGCTGTATCTCCCACGTACCCAGGAATGCAGCTGGAAATGCTATGGGAATGCAGGGGAACTATATGTTCCCCTGTGGGTCTCTGCATCCTTCCCCTCTACCCTTTCAGAATTGTGTGAACTGAGCAGCTTTGCTCCTGGGACTAATAACTACTCTGACTGATATTTAATTTGTTGTTTTCTTCTAAGGTAATTACACCAGTACATAGTAGTTACTGTCACCTAAATTTTTTTTTAAAAGATTGGAGAAGACAGCACCTTACTTTTCTTGTCTCTGTGACAACGTCTGTAAGATCCATTTGCAAGCTGTACAAAGACAAAAAGATATCATTATTAAATGTTTATACCATATAGTCCAACATTTGTATGTAACTTTAGGTACAAATATGTTTATTATTTGATGAGCTTGTCTCAGTGCCAGCTGTCACTAAAAGAAGGAGAAAAGAGGAAATAGTGGGTAGGATACAATTGAGGGCTTCACATTTAACGATTATTCCCATCTGCTTTCAGAACAACTTTTCTCAAAGAGAATGTGGAGACTAGAAAATAACTGGCAAATTTATTCTTGTAAAATAATTTCTTTTTTTGTTTATTTTGTCTGTTTGATCACAAACAAGAGCATGGCATGTGAAATACTTTCTACCAGTGGTTACATAATTAAATAGTCAGCTATTGAAAAAAGTATGAAATATTGATTTGAAAGACACTTTTCACCAAGCACTGTTCTAGACATTAGAAAGATGGTAAAAAATAATGTAGATACATGTTCTGCTTTCATGGAGTTAACATTCTCATGGGATATACAGCTATGCAGCTGAACTTTGGATTGCGATGAACCTTCTACAGTATGCCCCATGCTGAATTTAAGTACTTTTGACCTGACCAGTATGTTTGGTTAAAACTCTGTGATATGGTTTGGATTCAAGTCTCCACTCAAATCTCATGTCAAATTTTAATCCTCAATGTTGGAGGAAGGGCCTGGTGGGAGGTGACTGGATCATGGGGGTGGATTTCCCCATTGCTGTCCTGTGATAGTGACTGAGTTCTCAAGAGATCTGGCTGTTTAAAAGTGTGTCTCTCTCTTTCTCCTGATACTGCCATATAAGACATGCCTCCTTCCTGTTCGCTTTCCCCATGGTTGTAAGAACTGATGGCAATCCTACTCAAAGTATTTGGAAAAATAGAGGAGGAAGGAATACCTCCAAATTCATTCTATAAGGCCAGTATTATCCTGATACCAAAAGTAGACAAACATGAAGAAGGAAAACTACAGGCAAATATATCTGATAAGTACTGATGCAAAAATCCTCAACAAAATACTAGCAAACTGAATTCATAAACATATTAGAAAGGTCATTTACCATGACCAAGTGGGATTTATATCTATGATACAAGGATGGTTCAACATACATAAATCAATCAATGTGATACATCATATCACCAGAATGAAGGATAAAAACCATATGATTATTTCAATTGGTGCTGAAATAACATTGGATAAAATTCAATATCTCAAAAACTGGGTATAAAAGGAAAATATTTCAACATAATAAAATCCACTTACGACAGACCCACAGCTGGCATCATACTGAATGGAAAGAAACTGAAAGCCTTTCTTCTAAGATCTGGAACATGACAAAGATGCCCACTTTTAACTGTTATTCAACATAGTACTGGAATTTCTATTTAGAGGAATCAGACAAGAGAAAGAAATAAAGACATCCAAACTGAAAAGGAAGAAGTCAAATTACCCTTGTTTGGAAATGATATGATCTTATATTTGGAAAAACCTAAAGACTTCATAAGAAAATATTGGAGCTGATAAACATATTCAGTAAATTTGCAGGATACAAAATCAACATATACAAATCAGTAGCATTTCTGTATGCCAACAGTGATCTGAAAAAGAAATAAAAAACATAATCCTATTTACAATAGCCATAATTAAAATTAAATACCTAGAAGTCATTTAAAACAAAGGGTGAAAGATCTCTGTAATGAAAACTATAAAACAGTGATGAAAGAAATTGAAGAGGACACCAAAAAATTAACAGAGATTCCATGTTCATGGATTAGCAGTCTACCAAAGCAGTCTAAAGATTTAATTCAATCCCTATCAAAATACCAATGGCATTCTTCACAGAAATAGAAAAAAAATCCTAAAATGTATATGGAATCCCAAATTCTCAAATGGCCAATGCTATCCTAAGCAAAAAGAACAAAACTAGAGGAGTCACATTACCTGATTTCAACTTATACTACAGAGCTATAGTAAACAGAACAGCATGATACTGGCATAAAAACAGAAACACAGACCAATGGAACAGATAGAGAACCCAGAAACAAATCCACACACCTACCATAAACTCATTTTTGACAGGAGTACCAAGAACATACACTGGGAAAAAGACAGTCTTTTCAATAAATGGTGCTGGGAAAACTTGATATCCATAAGAAAAAGAATGACACTAGATCCCTATCCCTCACCATGTACAAAAATCAAATCAAAATGAATTGAAAACTTAAACCTAAGACCTCAAACTATGAAGCTACTACAAGAAAACATTGGGAGGGTCAGGCATGGAGGCTCCTGCCTGCAGTTCCAGCACTTTGGGAGGCAGAGGCAGAATTCCTTGAACCTAGGAGTTCAAGATCAGCCTGGGCAATGTGGTGAGATTTGGTCTCTACAAAAAATACAAAAATTAGTTGGGCATGATGGCATGTGACTGTAGTCCCAGCTACTCAGAAGGCTGAGGAGGGAGGGTTGCTTCAGCCTGGGAGGTCAATGCTGCGGTGAGCTATGATCCTGCCACTGCACTCCTGCCTGGGCAACAGAGCAAGACCTTCACAAGAAATATTAAAAAAAAAAAGAAAGAGAGAGAGAAAGGAAACATTGAGGAAAGTTTCCAGGACATTTGTCTGGGCAAACATTTCTTGAGCAATACCCCACGAGCACAGGGAACCAAAGGAAAAATAAACAGATGGGATCACATCAAGTTGAAAAGCTTCTGCACAGCAAAGGATACAATCAACAAAGTGAAGAAACAACCCACAGAATGGAAGAAAATATTCGCAAACTACCCATCTGACAAGGGATTAATAACCAGGGTATATAAAGAGCTCAAACAATGCTATAGGTAAACATCTAATAATTAGATAAAACATGGGCAAAAGATTCAAATAGACATTTCTTAGAAGAACACACACAAATGACAAACAGGCATATGAAAAGGTGCTCAACCTCACTAGTCATCAGAGAAATTCAATCACAACTACAATGAGATATCTGACCCCAGTTAAAATGACTTATATCCAAAAGATGAGCCAAGACAAATGCGGGCAAGGATGGAGAGAAAAGGGAACCCCCATACACTGTTGGTGGGAATGTAAATTAAAACAACCACTACGGAGAACAGTTTGGAGGTTCCTCAAAAAACTAAATATAGAGCTGCCATATGATCCAACAATCCCACTGCTGGGTATATACCCAAAAGAAAAATCAGTATATCACAGAGGTATCTGCACTCCCATGTTTGTTGTAGCACTGTTTATAATAGCTAAGATTTGGAAGCAACCTAAGTGTCCATCAACAGATGAACATATAAAGAAAATGTGGTAAATATACACAATGGAGGACTAGTTCACCGCAAAAAAAGAATGAGATCCAGTCATTTGTAACAACATGAATGTAACTAGATGTTAAATGAAATAAGCCAGGCACAGAAAGACAAACATCACATGTTCTCACTTATTTTGGGATGTAAAAATCAAAGCAATTGAACCCAGGGACATAAAGAGTAGAAGGATGCTGTCCAGAGGCTGAGAAGGATAGTAGGGGGTTTGGGAGGTGGTAGGGATGGTTGATGGATACAAAAAAAAAAAAAAACAGAAAGAATGAGTGAAACCTAAGATTTGATAGCAAAACAGGATGACTGTAGTCAATAATAAACTATATATTAAAAAATAACTAAAAGAGTTTAATTGGATTGTTTGTAATGCAAAGGATAAATGCTTGAAGGGATGGGTACTCATTTTCCATGATGTGATTATGACACATTGCATACCTGTATCAAAATATCTCATGTATCCCATAAATATATATGCTTACTATGGACACACAAAAATTAAAAATAAAAGAAATCTTAAAGTGCATACAACAGTATCTGACACATATCAAACAAGTTGTAAATTCTAGCTATTGTTTTTGCTGTTATTTCTTTAAAGTATAATGATTATAGATTTCTATCTATTTTCTTCTGTTAATAGATAAATAAGGTATAGTTTATGGTAAGTAAGAGAGACATGGATTTATATATTTATATCATCTCATGCAATATGGCATTCTGAAAATGTAGTATTAAAATGTATTGGCAGATAATCTACCTGGGCCTCATATTTATTATTATTAGATAGATAATAGTATTCATTAAGCAAGAGAAAACAACCATGATGGAAAACAATTACAGATAATGAGATGATTAAGGACATATTTATTTTGCGCCACCTGAGGCACTGTAGAGTTTTAATAGTTGGATAGTGGGTCTTGAACTTAGGAGAAAAAGACTTAAGGTGTAAGATTAGAAATACTAGCTCTACCCTTTGCCAATTGTTTGATCTAGAACATGATTATTCATTTCTGAATCTCAGTTTTATACTCTTAAAAATAAATGGAACAGATAACTAATGAGATACTATATGTGAAGTTGGCTAGCACTGCACCTGAGGTTTTAGTTATATCCTTTGTCTTTCTTTCCATTTCATTCCTCCTCTTCTCTTTCCCATACCATATAGTGTAACCATCATTGGTGTTAGAGACAAAAATAATTTCTTTTAAATCCTGATTCCATCACTTATTAATAATGTGACCTTTACTTAAACTCCAGGAAATTTTGTTTTATCATCAACTATAAAGTAAGCATGCAACCATGTGTTGGTTTTGCCAGGATTAAGTAAAGATTTAATTATTGTTTAGTATTTATTACTATGATTTTAATAATATGCCAGGAAAATACAAGGTGATTGTACAATGGTAACTTTCATTTTTTTTCTTTTTATCATTTCTATTTTCTATATGTATTTTTTCTTATTTATTTTTAAATAAGAAATATTTTAAAATGTATTTTTAATTGTATTTAAGAAATATTTTAAAATGCATTTTACTTTTTTAAATATTTGAGAAAATGTAAAATACATACACTTCAGGATTCTACATAAGATCTTGATTTTAGTGTTTGTCTGTTATATACTTTTGTGTGGGCTTTCTATTATTGATGCTGGCAAAGCTTGTCCAAATGTGGCTTTCTACTAGTAAATGAAGGCAACATAAAGTGTTATGCATGACTCACTTGGCTGACACACTTTCTTATTTGTTTGAATAAAAAGAAAAACCCTTCAGCGAGATTAAAATGTTGATTAGAGTGAAATCTAAGGATTTCTGAATTCCAAATTTATGTGATCCTTTCTTCTAATCCTTTCTTTAACTGCCTCCAAGCTTTGAACACCATAAAATGTACTTTAAAAAGCGAACAATACCAAATAATTATTTTATTTTAATATTGATGAATAATGATATTTCTAATATCATATAAATCAGAAAAATTAGTTTTTTTAATTCAACAACTCATTCTGTTAAGCTTGCTATTTTTTTCTTCACCTATAAAGCATGAATAATATCCTCCCTTGGTTACCTCTTTGGATTAGTGGAATGATGAAATAATCCATATATAATTTTAAAACCCATAAATTAGTAAGTTATTGCTAGTAATACTCCAAGAAAATATGAAAATAGAAGCAATTAACACATTAAAAGTTAACAAGTTATTCTGTTGTATAGCTGACAAATATCTGCTGCTATTAAATAATGAATATGATGCAGCAGAGTTTTTAATGCTTTTTTTAACCCTAAAAGTAAATTTTCTAGAAAAAATACCAGCTATGTGAGTTTTAGAATATTAAAGATATTCTTGGAAGAGGAAATGTGAATGCTTGTTGAAAAATAAGATTGTTGGCAGTTCGTTGTCAAAAAAGCTTAAAATTCCAAAGTGTCTACCAGTTGTATAGTACTAAAATAAACCTATCCTTGTTTTTTTCAAAATTTTATCAATAACCATGCAGCTGGGAACTGCACAAGCTAAATTAAATCAACATATTGGAAGAAAAGGAGTTGATGATGACAGTAATCACTGAGTATTTAAGTGATGTAAAGGCTGAGAAGCAAATAAAAGAGTGGGGGGACGGGAGAGATAAAATAAATCATA
Source organism: Homo sapiens (assembly GCF_000001405.40). Lineage (NCBI taxonomy): Eukaryota > Metazoa > Chordata > Mammalia > Primates > Hominidae > Homo > Homo sapiens. Next base: position 38,023,697 of record NC_000013.11, on the reverse strand, counting down.
AACAGCAGATAGTTTATAACTAGGGCAAGCCAGTAGCTTTAATGAACATTTTCCATAAAATAGCATGACAAATGATGCTTAAAATATTGTGCATACAATTAATTATGCAGCTTCTCTTTTTTACCCAGTGGATAACATACTGAATTTATAATTTTATTATTTCAAACTAATAGGTTTTGTACATAATTATGACAAATACCTTTAAGGTTTTTATGAGATGTCAGTACTAGTTATGATTAAGAGCTATAAAATGACTGCAATATAGGTTGGTTTCAAGTGTAATTTCTAAACTAGCCAATGTTTTCAAGAATAATTTATTATTAAATTCTAAGGCAATTACTTATTAACCATTAAAAATAAAAAATAAATTATATATTCAACTCAGGAAGCTAGAGAAAAGTGTTTTTTTTTTTTTTTTTTTTGAGACGAGTCTCATTCTGTCACTCAGGCTGGAGTGCACTGGTACAATCTCGGCTCACTTTAATCTCCACCTCCCAGGTTCAAGAGATTCTTCTGCCTCAGCCTCTCGAGTAGCTGGGACTACAGATGTGTGCCACCACACCCAGCTAATTTTTGTGTTTGTAGTAGAGACAGGGTTTTACTATGGTGGCCAGGCTGGTCTCAAACTCCTGACCTCAAGTGATCTGCCTGCCTCAGCCTCTCAAAGTGCTGGTATTACAGGCGTGAGCCACTGCGGCTGGTGGAGAAAAGATTTTTTAATTAAGAAATTTAATATCAAAAGTAAACAAGATATTTCTAAATAATATATAAGGAAATAAGTGAAGCAGAAGAGAAACTAGAAAATATTTTTAATTAAATAATATTAAAAATGTAGTCTCAAACTTTCTAAGGTACAACAAAGCAGTGCTTTGTAATAAATGTAGATAGATTTAAACACTCAAATGCAAAGCAAACCCTAAATACATAGAAAAAATAAAATAAGAATAAAGAAAATTAAGAAATGTGGTTCCATGAAAGAACAATAAAATTGATAAGCTCATAGCTGGATAGATCACAAATTACCAGTTTTATTAATGAAAGGAAGGAACATTATAAAAAATAGCACAGGCATTAAAATGATTATTAAAAAATTTGAAAAATAATTTTTGGACAATGAATTTAACAACTTAGATGAAAAAAATTCTTAAAAACACAACATGCAAAACTGACACAATATTAGTGAGAAAATGAAAGTATCCCTGTGTCTCTTAAGGAAATTGAATGTGTTACAAAGTCCTTTCAATAAAGTAAACTTGAGAGGGGAGGCGCTTCAAGATGGCTGACTACAGACATCTGGTAGTAGCCTCCTCTGCAAAGACAAACCAAATAATTAATAGATAATAACACTTTGAATACACCACCTAAAAAAAATGCTGGAATTCAACAAAGGAATGACAGGAAACACCTAAGGTGAAAAAGGAAAGGGAAATAAGCCAGTCTACTCCAGCTGTATTGGCTGGGAGACTGAAAAGACTCACCAGTGTGCAGAAAGGGTAAATGAGTGACTCCCACAGCAGTCTACATTCCCACCACAGACCCCTGCAATCCAAGCCATGGAAGAGCTCCTCAACTTATGATCCACATAGGTTTTGAAACTAAGACGGAGCACTGCCTGAAGACTGAGCAACAGCATTACTCCAGAGAAGGAGCACACGTTCTTTCGAAATAATTGAATTAGACAAATATTAAGAGGAATAAAAAAGGAGGAACAGTGTCTATGTGACATAAGGAACAACATAAAGTAACCAAATATTTAAATTTTCAGAGTCCCAGAAGGCAGAAAGGAAACAAACGTTGGAGAAAACATTAATTTTAACATTTCTCAAGTCTAACAAGAGATTTAGACATTCAGATACAGGAAGCTCAGAGATCCCCAAACTGATATAATATAAAAAGTTGTTCTTTACAGCACATTGTAGTCAAACTATCAAAAGTGAAAGACAAAGTGAGAATTCTTTTGTAAATTCTACAAGAAAAACTATATAGTCACTTATAATGGAACCCCCATCAGACTAAGTGAGTTTCTCAGTAGAAAATTTATAGGCCACGGGAGAATTAAATAATATATTCAAAGTGCTGAAAGAAGAAAACTGCCAGCAAGGGATACTATACCCAGCAAAGCTACTTTTTATAAATGAAGGACAAATAAAGTTTTTCTCTGACAAGCAAAAGCTGAAGTAATTCATCACCACTAGACTGGACCCACAAGAAATGCTTGAGGGATCTGTACATGTGGAATTAAAAGGAGTATGTCTGTATCACAAAAACACATAAAAGTATAAAACCCCACTGGTAGAAAAAAAGACACAAATGAGGAAGATAAAGGTCTCAAATGTTACCAGCACAGAAAAACACCACACCAAAAAAATAAACAATAAAAAAGAAATGAACAAAAGGACAACCAGGGGTGAAGAAAACAACCAGGTATCAATTAATGAAATGGTAAGAATAAGCCCTCACATATCAATAAGAACCTTGAATGTAAATGGATTAAACTGCCCACTTCGAAGATATAGACTGGCTGAATGGATAAAAGAAAATAATATGACCCAACTATATGCTGCCTATAAGACACTCATCGTGGCTGCAAAGACACATGTAGAATAAAATTAAAGGAATGGAAAAAGATATTCCATGCTAAGAGAAACCAAAAGTGAGTAGGAGTAGCTACACTTATATCAGATAAAACAGACTTTAAGTCAAAAACAGTAAAAAGAGACAAAGAAGGTCATATATAATGTTAGACATCAGTTCAGCAAGAGGATACAATTCTAACCATACATGAACCCAACACTGGAGCACCCAGATATGTAAAGCAAATATTAGATCCAAAGGGAGTGATAGACTCTTGTACTATATGTATTTGGGGGCTTCACCACACAACTCTCAGCGTTAGACAGATCATTTAGACAGAAAATTAACAAAGAAATATTGGATTTAAACTGCCCCAAAGGACCTAACAGGTACAGAGCACTTCATTTAACAGCTACATAATACATGTTCCATCACATGGAACATTCTTCAGATAGTTTACATTTTAGAAGACAAAACAAGTCTCAACAAGTTTTTAAAAATCAAAATCACAAGTTCTTTTCAGACCGCAATATAATAAAACATCCATAATAAGAGGACATCAATAACAAGACATCAGTAACAAGGGAAACTTTGGAAACTATACGAATATATGGAAATTAAATAACATCTTCCTATATGATCATTGGGTCAAGGAAGAAATTAAGGAGAAAATTTTTAAAACATTTTTGAAACAAATGAAAACCAAAATACAACATACCAAACCCAATGGGATACAGCAAAAAGCAGCATTTAAAGTAATGCTTATAGCAATAAATGCCTACATCGAAAAAGTAGAAACATTTTACATAATCTTACAGTTCTTCTCAAGAAACTACAAAACAAGAAAAAAACAAAGCCAAAGTTAAAAGAAGGAAAGAAATAATAAAGACCAGAGCAGAACTAAATGCAATAGAGACTAAGAAGCAACACAAATTATCAACAAATGAAAATTTGGGGTTTTTAAAAAAATTACATAAAGTCGATAAACTGCTAGCTATACTAACCAAAAATAAAGACTCAAACAATATCAGAAATGAAAAATGAGACATTATAACTGATGCCACAGAAATACAAAAGATTATCAGGGACTATTATGAACAACTACACACTAATAAACTGAAAAAACTACAGGAAATTGATAAATTCCTGGATATATACAACCTACCAAGATTAAAGCAAGAAGAAACAGAAAACCTGAACCGAATTATGAGTAATGATATTGAATCAGCTATAAAAGTGTCCCGACAAATAAAAGTCCAGGATCGAATGGCTGCCAAATTCTACCAGACTTTCAAAGAAAAACTAACACCAATTCTCCTCAAAGTATTTTTGAAAACATATGGAGGATGGAATTCTCCCTAACTTATTCTAAGAGGCCAGCATTACCCTGATACCAAAACCAGACAAAAATACAACAACAACAAAAATTACAGGCTAATATTCCTGATCAATATAGACACGAAAATCCTCAATAAAATATGAGAAAGCCAAATCCAGCAGCACATCAAATAGATAGCACAGTATGATCACGTAGAATTTATCCCAGGGATACAAGGATGATTCGACCTATGCAAATCAATAAACATGATACGTCACAACAACAGAATGAAGGACATAAATCATATGAACATATCAACATGCCCAAAGAAAGCATTTGACAAAATTCAACATCCTTTCACATTAAAAACTATCAAGAAACTAGAAGAAACATACTTCAACATAATTAAGGCTATATATGATAAATCCACTGCTAACATCATATCGAATGGGGAAAAGCTGAAAGTCTCTTTTTCTATTTATTTATTTATTTATTTATTTATTTATTTATTTTTTGAGACAGAGTCTCGCTCTGTCGCCCAGGCTGGAGTGCAGTCGTGCGATCTCGGCTCACTGCAAACTCCGCCTCCCGGGTTCATGCCATTCTCCTGCCTCAGCCTCCTGAGTAGCTGGGACTACAGGCGCCCGCCACCACGCCTGGCTAATTTTTTGTATTTTGTAGTAGAGATGGGGTTTCACCGTGTTAGCCAGGATGGTCTTGATCTCCTGACCTCGTGATCTGCCCTCCTGGGCCTCCCAAAGTGCTGGGATTACAGGCATGAGCCACCGCGCCCGGTCAGCTGAAAGTCTCTCATTTCAGAACTCAGACAACATAAAGATGTCCATTTTCACCACTTCTACTCAACACAGCACTGAAAATCCTAGCTTGAGCAATCAGGCAAGAAAATAAAAGGCATCTGAATTGGAAGATGGGAAGTCAAATTGTCCCTTTTTGCAGGTGACAAAAATCTCATATCTAGAAAAATCTAAAGACTCCACCAAAAAACTCCTAGATTTGACAAACAAATTTGGTAAGGTTTCATGATACAAAAATCAACATAGAAAACTCAGTACTGTTTCTCATAGAAGGGAGCAACTCACACTGGGGCCTGTCAGAGGGTGAAGGGTGGGAGGAAGGAGAGGATCAGGAAAAATAACTAATGGATACTAGGCTTAATACCTGGATAATGAAATAATCTGTACAAAAAACTCCCATGACACAAGTTTACCTATGCAACAAACCTGCATATATACCCTTGAACTTAAAAGCTAAAAATAAAATAAAGAAGAAGCTTAAAAAACAAAATTTAGTATTGTTTCTATATACCTTAATGAAATAGCTGAGAAAAAATATCAAGAAAGCAATTCCATTTACAATCGACACACATATACAAATACCTAGGAATAAATTTAACTAAAGAGGTGAAAGGTCTCTACAAGAAAAACAGCAAAAGTCTGAAAAATAAAAATAGTTGAAGAGGACACAAATGGAAAGACACCCTGTACTCATGGATCAGAGGAATTAACGTTATTAAAATGGCAATAATAACAATGAAAACTACAGATTTAGTACACTCCCTATCAAAATACCAATGTCATTTTTTCCCAGAAATAGAACTATCTTGAAATTTGTATGGAACCAAAACGGGTCCAAATAGCCAAAGAAATCCTGACCAAAAAGAACAAAGCTGGAAGGATCTCACTGACTTCAAAATATATTACAGATCTATAGTAACCAAAAAAGCTTAGTGTTCACATAAAAACAGACACATAGAACAATGTAACAGAATAGAGAAACCAAAAATAAATTCACATATTTACAGTGAACTGATTTTTGACAAAGGTGCCAAAAACATGCGGTGCAGAAAGGATACCCTCTTCAGTAAATGTGGGAAAATCAGATATCCACATGCAGAAGAAAGAAATTAGACCCTTATATCTCACTATATGCAAAAATCAACTCAAGATGGATTAAAGACTTAAACATAAGATCTGAATTATATAAAACCACTAGAGGAAATAAGATAAAACACTTTATGACATTGGTCTAGGCAAAGATTCTATGGCTAAAACATCAAAAGTACAGGCGAAAATTCAAAATTATACAAATATACAGATTAAAGTAAAAAAAACTTCTACACAGCTAAGAAAGCAACCAACAGAGTGGAGAGACAACCTGTTGAATGGGAGAAAATATTTGCAAACTATTCATCCAACAAAGGACTAATATTCAGAATAAAAAGGGACCCAACAACTCAACAGAAAAAAGAAGTTATCTCATCAGAAATGGGTAAAGAACATGAACAGGCATTTCTTAAAAGAAGACATACAAATGGCCAACAGGTATATAAAAAATGTTCAACATCAGTAATTATTAGGGAAATGCAAATCAAAACCACAATAAGAAATTGTATTATCCCAGTTAGAATGGCTATTACGTAAAAGACAAATATAACAGATGCCAGTGAGAATGTGCAGAAAAAGGAACTCTTATAAACTGTTGGTGGGAATGTAAATTAGTACATTCACTAAGGAAAGCAGTAGGCAGATTTCTCAAAAACTATTCATAGAACTTTCATATAATCCAGCAATCCTGCTATTGGGTATTTATCCAAAAAAGAGTAATGAATATGTCAAAAAGATAACTCCATCCTCATGTTTATTGCAGCACAATTCATAATAGCAAATATATAGATTCAACCCAAGTGTTGAAGAAAGTGTGGTATATACACACAGTGTCCACAAAAAAGACTAAAATTATGTCATTTGCAGCAACATGAATGAAACTGGAAGTCATTATGTTAGGTGAAATAAGCCAGGTATAGAAAAACAAATATCACATATTCTCACTCATATATAGGAGCTAGAAAAAGTTGATCTTATAAAGGTAGATAGTAAAATAATAGATACTAGAGGTTGACCAGGATGTGTGAGTTTGTGGAGTGGAGGTGAAGAGAGGTTGGTTAATGGGTAACAAGCATACAGTTAGATAAAATATATTTTAATGTTCAGTATCAGAGGAGGGGACTATAGTTAACACCTATGGATTGTGTATTTTAAAATAGCTAAAAGAGAGGACTTGAAATGTTCCCAACATGTGGAAATGATATTCGAGGTGATGAATACCCTAAGGACCGTGACTTGATCATTACACATTATATATGCATGTAACAAAATATCACATGTACCTCATAAATCTGTGCAAATATTATGTAGCAATGAAAAACTAAAACATATATATTTGAAAACATAAAATTAAAATAAAGCAGATGTCATGTCCTTACGGCTTCAATGATATCTCTGCCAAACATTCAAGAAGAAAATACCAATATCACATGAACTATTCCAAGAAGCAGGAGAGGAAGGAGCCCTCCTAAAATCATTTTATGAAATCAGCATCACTCTAATAGAGGTTGAGTATCCTAATTTGAAAATCCAAACTCCAAAATTCTCCAAAATTTTAATCTTTTTGAGCACCAACATGATGCTCAAAGGAGCTGTTCTTTGGAACATTTTGGATTTCAGATTTTTGGATTAAGGATGCTTAACCTAAGGATAATGCAAATATTCAAAAATCTGTAAAAATTTGAAAGTCAAAACACTTCTGGTTGCAAGCATTTCAGAGTAGGGATACTCAACCTGTACCAAAATATAACAAAGATGTAGTTTAAAATATACACCAATATCTCTAAATTAATATAGATACAAAATTATTTAGCAGGTACTAGCCAACAAATACAGTAGTATTAAAAAGTTTAGTATACTGTGAACAATCAACATTAATCTGAGTAATTTGGGATTGGTTTTACATTTGAAAATGAACCATTGCATTTTACCATAAAAAGAGAATAAAAGACAAAAACTGTTCTCATTTCAATAGATGCTAAAAAAGCATATAACAAAATTTAACAGATAAAAAACTCTCAGCAAACTAAAGAATATAAGGAGACTTCCTCAACCTAATAAAAGGCAGCTACAAAAGGCCTACAGCTAAATAATAAATATTTGAATATTGAAAAAGGAAGTGATGTACATTTCTACCACTTCTATTCTGCACTGCACTGGAGCTCTTCTCCAATGAAATCAGGAAAGGAAAACAATGAAAACAGATAGATAGATTTAAAAACAATAAAGATATAAAAGGAAGAAGTAAACCATTTATATTTGCAAACGTCATGATTAGTTACATAGCAAATCCTGAGGAATCTACAACAAAACTATGGAACTAATATATTTATTTAATGAGGTTGCATGATACAAGGTTAATATATACCACCAGCAAACAAAATGAAGAAAAACAATGCCATTTAAAATACTGTCCTTACACATAAAATGTCTTTGAATAAATTTAATAGATATGCAAAACTTCTGCATTAAAACATACAAAACATTGCTGCACTAAATTAAAGACCATCTATGTAAATATCTAAAGAATGAGTTTTACAAGATTCACGGGTTGGAAGACTCAGTATTGGTAAAACATCAACTTTACACAAACTGATCCATATATTCAATACAAATTCAATGTAAATCCAAATGCTAGAAGAGTTTTTATAGACATTGACAAGCTAAATCTATGCTTTATGTGGAAATGCGAGATCTAAAATAACCAAAGCTATCTTGAAAAATAAACCAAAGTTGGAAGATTACCTCATGACATCATGAGGTAATATAAAGCTACACTAATTAAGACAGTGCAGTAGTGGCATAAGTATTGGCACAAAAGTTTGATGTAACAAAATAGAAAGTTAAAACATACATACGCATTTATATACTGTCATACATAAATATTTATATAGTATCATTTGACTTATGAACAGACAATCAAATTAAAGGGAGAAAGAAAAGGTTTTTCTTTCAACACGTTGTGCTATAGAAAAATGTATATTCATGGTGAAAAAAAGAAAAAGAGAAGTCTGACCCTTACCTTACATTAAGCAAAACAATTGTTTAGATATAGAATGTAGACTAAAAGATAAAAGAAGTGAGTATAGGACTTTTAGAGAAAAGAAGAAGGAAATATTTTTTATGACTTGGGAGACAAGCTTTTTCACCAATTCACAGAGAGCAATAACTTTTGAATAATATATATAACAATAAATCAGACTTTGTCAAAAAAAAGTACTCATTAAAAATATCAGAAAATCAATGTGTAAGTGCCGGAGAGCAAAGAAAACAATCAGCAGAGTGAAGAGACAACCTACAGAACAGGAAAAATATTTACAAACATACATCTGATAAGGGATTAATATCCAAAATATATAAAGAACTCAACTGCATTGTAAGAGTAAAAAGAAGCCACTTAAAAAAACAGGTGAAGGACCTGAACACATATTTCTCAAAAAAAAGCCATACAAATAGCCAAGAGATATATGAAAAAAGGTTCAACATCATTGGTCATCAGGGAAACACAAATTAAGACAACAATGAGATATTTCATACCTGTTGAAATGGCTTTGATCAAAAACAAAAGACAAGTGTTTTTGAGGATGTAGATAAAATAGAACACTTATGCCCTGTTGGTAGAAATGAAAATTACTATAGGTATTAATAAAAATAGTATGGAAGTTCCTTGAAAAATTAAAAATAGAATTACCCTATGATCCAGCAATCCCGCTACTGGGTATATATACAAAGGAAACGAAATCACTATGTCAAAGGAATCTGCCCTCTGGTGTTGATTTCAGCATTATTCACAACAGCTAAGATATGGAACCAACCTAAGTGTCCATCAACAGATGAATGAATAAAGAAAATATATATTTACACAATGGAATACTATTCAGCCCTAAGAAAGAAGGAAATTCTGTCACTTGTAACAACATGGATAAGCCTGGAGAACATTATGTTAAGTGAAATAAGACAAACACAGGAAGACAAATACAGTATGGCATATTCTCACTTATGTATGAAATCTAAAAATGCTGAACTCATAGAAGCAGAGAGTGGTGGTTACCAGGTGCCGGAAGTGGGGTGGGAGTTAAGGAAGATTGGTCAAAGGATAAAACATTTCAGTTAGACAGAAGGACTAAGTTCAAGAGATCTATTTTACAACATGATGACTGTAGTTAATAACAATGTATTGTATACTTGAAAGCTGTTTAAGAGAGTAGATTTTAAGTGTTCTCACCACACAAAAAAATAAGTATTCAAGGTGATGCATATATTAATTAGCTTGATTTAGCCATTCCACAATGTATCCATATTTCAAAACATCATGTTGTACACAATAAATATATACAACTTTTATTTGTCAATTAAAAAATTAATATTTTTTAAAATTAGTCAGCTGTGCTGGTACATACCTGTAGTCCGAGCTACTGAGGAGACTGAGGCAGGAGAATCACTTGAGCCCAGGAAGTCAAGGCAGCAGTGAGCTGTGATCTTACCACTGCACTCCAACCTGGGGTATAGAGCGAGACCTTGTCTCAAAGAAAGTATTAATTAATTAATTATAAAAGAAAACAAATGTGCAAGCCACAGCTGGAAAAAACATTCACAAAGCAAGTATATGACCAAAATCTTGTCTCCAGAATTTATAAGGAGCTCTACAACTCAATAATAACACAAACCACTGAACTGAAAAAAAAATAGCGCGCAAAAGATTTGATAGGCACTTAAAAAAAGAGCAAGAGTAGTAGAAAGAGACAGATATGAGTTCACAGAAAGCACAGGAAAAATAATATTATTTTATAAAGTAAAACTACAATGTGATACTACACAATGTATCTCATACCATATATAAGAAATAATTCCAATAGACCTATTGTAAGGGCCTAACTGTAAATCTTGTAGAAGAAAACATAGGAGACCGTCTTATGACATTGGGTTTGGCAAAGAGAATTTAAATAGGACACAAAAAGAAAAACTTTAAAAGGAAGCATTTAGTAAATTGGATTTCATCAAAATAAACTCTTTGAGTCTTCCGCAGTCACTATTACGAAATACAAACAGCAAGCCACACCAGGAGTAAATACTCCTAAAATCTATGCCTGACAATGGGGCTTGTATTTAGAACATAAAATGAGCTCTCACAATTCAGTAAAAAGAAGGCAACCCATTAAAGAGAATATATGAATCATTTCCCCACTCAAAATCAAATATTATGATATTTAATACAAAATTGGCAGAGGTTAAGAAAATGAATAAGCAATTCATAAAAATCAGAAAGCTTTTTTATTAGCTTTCTGTTGTTTGGTGGATGCAACGATCATCACAGTTCTCTATGGTTCCTAATTATTCTTGTATTTTCATCTAATCAATAAACTGTTTCTTTCAAAATAACATTCTTTTGGTCATTTCTGCACATCTCTTTTATTCATCAGCTGTTTTTAAAAGATTGCTGGTACCTTTTTACTGTCGATACTCTATGCATTACCTATCCCTCTGAGTTGAGAGGTGTAGGTAAAAGGTGGAGTATTCTCTGTAGTTTGAAAAGTTATTTTGCCAAGAAGCCCCTTCCCTGAATCACCTGACTGTGGGCTCAGTGCATGCTGGGCTGTGTGTGGCCAGGCGCGTGGGCAGCACAGAGTGACATGGGCAGACTGCCTGTAAGCAGACACTGTGGTCAAAATAAAAAGGACTGAAATTCAGACATGAACACTTTATGCATCTTGGACACAAATACACACTCTGCAAAAAGAGAAGGAATATTTTATATTTCGAAAAGTCACAAAGAACAAAGTAATCCCCTTTTCTCTTTCAAATCAGCAGTTTTTTCCAACTAACATTTCCTCTGGGAAATGGTAGGGGGCCTTTTAATTCATAACTATTTTATTTCAAGTTCATTACTTATTTTTAAATTCATTTATAATTAATTATTTTTCTTTTATCTTTTATATTTTTTCCAAAATTCTCAAGTTTTTTTCTGTATTCACTCATATTGATTTTTTATACATTTTTAACTCTTATATTTGATTTCATTTTGCATAAGCATTGGCTCAAGGATCTTTATTTGAAGAAGTTTTCATCATATTTTCATCAGAAAATATTTAATCTTATCTCTATGTGTACCAAATAACATTTTAATTTAATTCTTAGATATTTTAATTCTTAGATAATTTAATTCTTAGATAGAGGTCTTCTAACCTTGTGGATACTACAAATTAGAACCTCAAGTGATATAGACCTTCATTGCAAAATCTTAGGAGAGACTATTTTAAGCCACAACTTGGAGCTAAAACATAGATACACAATTTTTATTTTGGGGTTTTCTGCTCACAGTTGCATTTTCATTCCTTTACACGCAATCTTTCTTTGAAGAAACAATCCTTCATTATTTAATCTAATGAATTATTTGTAAGAGATTAAACACTTATTCTTATGTTTTTTTAAAAAAGGGTTTTTTTTTGTCCTAACAGTATGTTGATTTTTAAATTTCTTTTGTTTCTTAGTTTTCTTAATATTGTGTTTGGCAAGACATTTAAAATTATAATATTTTTTATAATTTATCTAGAAACTAGATGTTTTCAAGCATAATATTCTGAAAGCAGAAGTCAGTTAGGTCATATTGTCATTATTTGAGATTTTTGATAAGATACCACAATTTAGTTATAAATTTGAATTAATATTTGACATTGTTTTCTGTCCTGAAGATTTTTAAAGAGAAGCAACTATTATTATAAGTGGTGCAGTCTTCCCTTTAAAACCAATTTTTATATAAAACTGACATTATTCATCTAAGACTGAACCAAGTAAGGCTGTCTTTCTATCCTGCAACCATTGAAAGGTACAGCACTGACATTTAATAGGAAATATTCAGTCATTTGTTTTACAGAAAGACATTGGGCTTCTCTATGATATTGAAATGAATGTGAAAAGTACGGCAAAAGCATGCTTTAAGTAGGAAATTGAGAGATAAATTATTTTCTTTCAAACATTCCCACTAATTGGGGCTCAAATGAGGCTATGGGAGAGGCAAACATTTTCTAAAGTAGGGTAGAAAGAAGGAGAAATGAGAATTTTCATTTTATGTGTAACCGACTAAAAAAATAGCTTAAAGATGGAGATTAGAAACTACAGCTGGGTAAAATAAAAAAAATTTTAGATATCTTCTAAAATATATTCAAATTTTAATTTGAGTAGAAATGTATTCAAGTTAAAGGAAAATAATCGACTACCATTTTAAGCATCTTCATTTTTTATTTTGTTCTGCTGACTTATAACTAAGAGCTGCCTTAGCAGACTGAAATTTGTGTTATGTCATTCATAAACGAACGCATTCTGAGTGTGCATCACACTTTTTACATTTGTTTAGTTTTGTTTTATTTTGAGACACAGTCTCACTCTGTCACCCAGGCTGGAGTGCAATGGCATGATCTCGGCACACTGCAACCTCCGCCTCCTGGGTTCAAGTGATTCTTCTGCCTCAGCCTCCCAAGTAGCTGGGATAACAGGAGCCCACCACTGTGCCCAGCTAATTTTTGTATTTTATTTTTTAGTAGAGACGGGGTTTCACCATGTTCACCAGGCTGGTCTCAAACACCTGACCTCAAGTGATTCAACCGCCTCTGCCTCCCAGGGTGCTGGGATTGCATCTGACATTCTCAAATAATCTCTTGTTTCATTTTGTGGAACTCTATGTTCCACAAATGTGGAGTGCCAGGCCCACACTTTTAAAATTTTAAATGTTACTTTCTCAATTCTTGTATCACCATTTTCTAAGAAAAACTATATTTTTTATATTATGTGTGATTTACAGATATTTTTCTCTGTCACGGTGAAAAACCTAAAAGACAATTTTCATTTTAATATTAACTTTCTAGTTTTTGTCTGAAATTGCTTTTGATGAGGAATCACTCTGAAGAGCTATTAAATAATGGATTAACATTTAATGCAGTATCTGATTATTGAGAAAACACAGTTGAATTTCTTCATTTTATGCATGAAGTATTGACAACTACAGCCCATGCTGAGTGCAACTGATTTCAGTGGCAAAACCTCAGCAAAAGATTGTACTGCAGCTATATTGCCTGCCAATAGTGATATGTTTCACAACTATTTGTGCTGAGACTTGGTATTTTCTCATAGACATTTCCTACTGTCTTATCGTTTGCTCATTTTCAGCTATAAAATATTGATTATGTAATCAAAAATACAGTTTTGATTATTTTCAGGGCTACTGACACACACCTTTAAGGAAGTTGGAGATACAGTGGTGAATATTGCTAGCAAAATCCCAGTGCCCATAAATGCAACTTATGTAGACTATGCCTGAGAATATGGGTTTCTAGCTTAGATTTTAAAGAAGCTTCATTATATGCTTGAATTTAAACATCCCTGAAAACAATTGGGTAAGTATATTTAGTTGTTTTAAAATTAAAAGAAACAATTTCAAGGTTTTACTATTTATTTTTTCTTTAAAAATTCACCTTTTCAGTGTCTAAGTAGATTTTAAAAGTCATTTGGATTCAGGAATTAAATCCAGTATTAATTCATATGATGTGGACATCCATGAAACTTCCTCAGTATAATTGAACACAGATTTTTGAAGATCATGGATATAGAATACCTGTGAATTACGTCAACTCATCCAACTTTTCCATCTTTTGATTGACCCAGAATAATGTTGAAATATATACAGTTGAATAATTGTGTATGTGTGTCTGTGTGAACATACTCAAGTAAATGCTTTATAAATATAACTGTGTGATCTTACACAGTTCTTACACACACACAGCTGTATTTATAAGGTATTTGCTTATGTTCATGGTATATAGGTATGTAAATATGCACATACATGAAATATTGTTCATGAGGGAATCATAAGTAAAAATTATTGAGAGCAATTTACTAGTAACAGAGAAGCTATTCTAAAATTTCAGAAAGAGCATTTTTAAAAATTTACCAAGGTAAAACATAATTAATAATTAAATTTGAGTTCAGAACCAGCCATGGGCAGAGCTGGTTTCCAAACCGAGCTTACAGAAGATTATGTCCTAGAAGCACAGGCAATACAAAGGCAGCTGGCACATCGCCAATATTGTATTGCAGAATGTAGAAAGCTCTGTTCCTTGTTATATTGAAGTCATCAGTCCTGCTCTATTTGTCTGAAAAAGTAAACATTCTCTAGACGAAGAAACCACCATCCAGAATCCCATATACTGTGCCCAGCTTTTAATCTTAAATTTTGAGCCATGCCAAGAAAAAAGCCCCTAACCCACTGATTAATAAGTAAACTTAGCAGAGTTGCTGAATACAAGGTCAGCATACAAAATTCAATTGTAATTCCACATGCTAGCAGAATAGAGAACACAAATTTTACAAGGGATTGATTTTTGTTAGTATCAAAAGAACTTTGGTACCTAGCAATAATTCTAAAAACAGTTGTACAAGAACTCTAAAATGAAAACTCCAAAACATTATTTAGGAAATCAAAAAGATTTCAGAGAATGGAAGGATAGATACTGTTAATAAATTCCAAGACTCAATAATTTAAAGACATACTTTTCCCAGATTAATCTATGGAATCGGTGCAAAACTCTATCAAAATGTGAACAAATTTGTACTATTTGTGTGGGGGTGTGGGTGTATAAACTCACTGGCTGCTTAAAATTAATTTGGGAAAATCACAAAAGGCTAAATAGAATCAAGAAAATCTTAAAGAAGAGTAAAGCTAGGGAAATTTTACAATAGATTTCTGGAAAAATAACCTACAGTAATTAAGACAATGCCATATGGACAAGTAAACTAATGGAATGAAGTCAAATGTGCAGTCCCGCCCATACGGGGTAATTTGATTGGTGAGAAATGTCATACCACAATACTGTGAGGAAAGGGACAGTTTTACAAATAAATGTGCTGGGGCAACTAGGTAGCCATATAGATAAAATTTTATCTTGCCTTCAAGCACAGATCATTCACAAAAATCAATTCTAGATTGACTGCAGATCTTATTATAAAAGGTAACTATATAAAACTGTGGGAAAAATAGGAAATATTTTATATTATTGAGGTAAGCAAAGATTTCTTAAATAGGACACTAAAATTGCTAACAGTGATGGTAAAATTCAATAAATTGATAAAACTATTAAAGTTAAGAACCTATGTTTATCAAACAAATATTGTAAAGACATTGAACAAACAAGAATGTGGGAAGCTGTCTGTCGAACGTATATCTAACAAAGTCCCATATCCAGAATATATAAATATCTACACATCATTCTTTTTACTTTTTAAATTTTTTCTTTAATTGTTTGAGACTGGGTCTCTCTCTGTCATTCAGGCTGGAGTGCAGTGGTACAATCATAGCTCACTGCAGCCTCGAACTCCTGGGGCTCAAGCAATCCTCCTGCCTGAGACTCCTAATATGTGGGGCTACAGGTTTGCACCACCACACCTGTCTTAACACATTTCATTTTTTTGTAGAGATGAGGTCTCACTATGTTGCCCAGGCTGGTCTCAAACTCCTGGGCTCAAGTTATTTCCCACCCCAGCCTCCCAAAATGCTGGGAGTATAAGCATGAGCCATTGCACCTGGCCAATATATGCAAATCAATAACATAAAGATTAACAGAGCAATAGAAAAAAATAGACAAAAGACATACAGTGACATTTTACAATGTCATCAGGTTAATAAACATATGAAATCTGTTTAAGGAATCGAGTTGCATGGGGAAATGCAAGCTAAAACCACAATTACTACCACCACACCAGAGTGGTAGTAGTAATTGTTTCTACTAATTACTAATTAGTAATTCTAATTCTTTAGCTACCAGAATGGCTGAAATAAAAAAGATAATGCCGAGTGTTAGCAAGGATGTAGCACTCTCAGACACAAATAAGAGTGAATGGTAACCACTTTTCAAAATTGTTTACCAATATCTAACATAGCCAAATTATGCATACTTAGTGTCTCAGCCATTCCTCTCATATATCTATATCTATATCTTTATATATATTCCAATATACATATGTACATATGATCATTAACAGACATGTACAAGGACGTTCATAGCAGTGTTAATAACAAATGTGTTGAAACATTAAGATAAAAATATCACTACCTATAAAAATGGATAACTCTCAAAATATAATTTCTAATGAAAATATTCAGGTATAAATGAGTATGTATAGTACATAATTCTATTAATAAAAATACCATTAAGAGGACAAATACATCTGTGGAGTAAGGCATCATAATAGTTATTACCTTTGTGAAGAAACAGTGACTGGGAAGTTGGCTTTTTGAATATTGGTAATGACCTATTTCTTATATCAGTGCTGATCACTCAATGTATTTCAATTTGTGAAAATAAAGTTGTATACTTCTGATTTGTGTACTTTGGGTCTATGTATTCTAGTTCAATAAAACATTTAAATGATAAGATTAAAAAATGGATTTAGACTATTATCACACATATCTGACCAAGAAAAAGTCATTTCTACCTCAAAAAGCAAATATATTAAGAATATTGTGCTACATCAAAAAGCTAGAGAGATCTCAAATGGACACCCTAACATCACAACTAAAAGAACTAGAGAACCAAGAGATACACATCCTAAAATTAGCAGAAGAGAAGAAATAACCAAGATCGGAGTAGAACTGAAGGAGATGGAGACATGAAAATCCCCTCAAAAAAGATAAATGAATCCAGGAGCAGGTTTTTGAAAAATATAATAAAGTAGGTAGACTACTGGCTAGACTAATACAGAAGAAGAAAGAGAAGAATTAAATAGACACAGTAAAAAAATGATAAAGGGGATATCACCGCTGACCCCACAGAAATACAAACAACCATCCGAGAGTACTATAAACACCTCTATGCAAATAAACTAGAAAATCTAGAAGAAATGGACAAATTCCTGGACACATATAGCCTCCCAAGACTGAACCAGGAAGAAGTCAAATCCCTGAATAGACCAATAACAAGTTCTGAAATTGAGGCACTAATTGTTGGTGGGAAAGTAAATTAGTTCCACCATTGTGGAAGACAGTGTGGCGATTTCTCAAAGATGGTAGAATAAGAAATACCATTTGACCCAGCAATCCCATTTCTGTGTACAGAACCAAAGAAAGATATATTGTTCTATTATAAACATGCATGCCCATTCGTGTATGTTGATTGCAGCACTATTCATAATAGCAAAGATATGGAATCAACCCAAATGCCCATTAATGATAGACTGGATAAAGAAAACGTGGTCCATATACAACATGGAATACTTTGCAGCCATAAAATGGAATGAGATTATGTCCTTTGCAAGGACGTGGATGGAGCTGGAGGCCATTATACTTAGCAAACTAATGTATAGTTTTCTGGAACAGAAAAGCAAATACCGCATGTTCTCACTTATAAGTGGGAGCTGAATAATGAGAACACATGGACACAGCGACGGGAATGATACACCCTGGGGCCTGTCATGGGGGTTGGTGGGGAGAGAGAGTATCAGGATAAATGGCTATTGCATATGGGGATTAATACCTAGGTTGGGTTGATAGGTGCCACAAACCACCATGGCACACATTTACCTATGTAACAAATGTGCACGTCCTTCACATGTATCCCAGAACTTAAAATGAAATTAAATTTAATTTTTTAAAAGAATATTGTGCTAATAAATACAAGTGACTCATTTTTAGTAAAAAAAATTCGAACATGACATATATCTACAAAGTGTTATTATGTATGCACATTTTCTAAAATTGGGCACAAACTTCATATTTGATAATGAGGTTTTTTTGTCCTAAATGTGTACATATAATGAATAATAACGTCCTCATTTATTTCCCTATATAAGAGACAATGCTTTGCTCAATTGTCTTATAAGAAGGCATGCATTTTTTTTTTTCTTTTTCTGGAGACGGAGTCTTGCTCTGTCGTCCAGGCTGGAGTGCAGTGGCGCGATCTCGGCTCACTGCAAGCTCCGCCTCCCGGGTTCACGCCATTCTCCTGCCTCAGCCTCCCGAGTAGCTGGGACTACAGGCGCCCCCCACCAAGCCCAGCTACTTTTATATATATATATATATATATATATTTTTAGTAGAGATGGGGTTTCACCGTGTTAGCCAGGATGGTCTTGATCTCCTGACCTCGTGATCCACCCGCCTCGGCCTCCCAAAGTGCTGGGATTACAGGCGTGAGCCACCGCGCCCGGCCAGAAGGCACGCATTTTTAAGTCTTTAGTAAAATGGTTGTAGTTAGTAGTACCTTCAAATCATCTTCTAGCGCAGAATGATGTACTTTCAAGCAAAATCACACAGGCTACTTGGCTTCTGCAGCAACTCACAAACGTAGGGACCATGAATAAACTTTATGATTTTTAATATTTATTTTAGTATAGATGATATATTGTCCAATGCTTTCTATTATCCAGTTCTTAAAATAATTTTATGCACACTAACAGTACACATTCTTTGATTTATAAGAATATAAATAATGAATTATTTTAACAGCATAAAAATAAGAGCAAGACAATTACCTCAGATGCTCAATTCTCTAGTTTACATTTTTGGAGCACTCTCAACATTGTCATTCAGCAGAGAAATCATCTTCCTTTCAATCTCATTACCATGAGAATGAAATGTTAGGGCATTATTGACAAAATATGAAGTTGCATTTGAAGGTTTTAAACATAGGTAAATGACATGATTAGAGCTGGAGAAAACTAGCTTGGCATTAGATTGTAGGTTGGATTAGAGAAGAAAAGTGGAAGTTGGAAGGCCAGATAAGATATAATTAGTAAAGCCTAAGCAAGAAGTAAATATAACTTGGTGTAGGCTGTTGTCAGTAAAAATAGAAAGCAGAAGTAAAAATGAACAATAATGATACAATATAGTCAGCAAATATGAAAACTGATTGGATTTGAAAATTAGGCAGAAAGATACATATGAGATTTTGTGTGTGAGGGTCTTCAATTTACTATCATATGCCATGTGTGGATTTGAAGTCTACTTAAATATTTCCATTCTTTTTTTATAAGCTCACACAATAAACCACTTCATCCCTGTAAATCATCTAATATTTGATCATATTTCCCAATACCTGAGGCACCTCTACACAGAGCTTAAATCAGGGTAGGAGAGAGTAAGGTGCCAGAAAGTCTTCTACTAAAGCAATGTTGAAGAGAGAGAGAAGATGAGAAAAAGAGAGAGAGAAGTTTGAAGGTGGGAAAGTTCCGTCACATTAACTGACAATTCATGGTCTCTCCACTCTTCATGCCTATACTTACAGTGTCTCAGGGTACAAAGTACCAGGGAAGCAGGAGCTGCCACCAATACTGGTCCTTGTGCTAAAGAAGAGACCATTGACTATGTTGATCTGCAGCCTTTTCCCAGCCCTCTGGGCACTTAGAGGCAATATACAGAGCACAGGAGGAATGCTTGCTGGAAGCTGTGTTGAATGCATAAGGAATTATCCCTGTCCTCAAAAATCCTCTTTCCCTCCTTTTGACAAATCAAGATTTTGAGCTCTAATAACATAACATAAATTATTTTTATATTGAATCTGACATTTGATGTTGAAAGGCACAAAAATGTATGATTCAGAGAACAGATCTTGTGAGATTCAAAATCAGAATGTGTGTCTGTGATAAGTAAAATGTTAACCCAGGTGCCAGCCTGAAATATATTGTTAATTGAGCACTTGAATAATTTTTTATGAATAAAACCAAAGTTCATTTTTATAATGACATAATTTCAGTAAAATTGTGACACTGGGGGAGTGAAGCCAGAGTTCAAGGGATTTGGGGGAAATTATACTCTGCACCAAACGGTATTTTTAAGAGCATGTAAAATTCATGGCAGTAGTTTCATCAATAAGTATAATTTTTACATAAAGTTTTGGACAAAGGCTATGCTCTAATAAGTCTGCAAAGAGGTGATTTGCTTAATACTCAAAGTGCAATACCCTGTGCAGCACCGCACTTCTTAGAGAACATAAATCAGTCGCTTTGGATTATAAAATCGTTACGGTATAGGGAGTTCTCAGTTGTCCCGAAGCCATTCAATGCAAAGCAAATATTCAGTGTTTGCATGATAGTTTCCTCATTTCCTTGTGTCAGGTTCCTGACAGGAAGATTTATACGCATGCACTGTTTGGCTTGTACATGTAAACGCAACAATTTCCTTATTTGCCTGTAGTTTGATTAGCCTTATGCCAGAAAAAAAAAATTAACAAAAGAAACCTTATGACCTGTTGGTACTAGGCTTGCTACTCATGGTCTAAATGTTGATAAAATTTGAACCTAATAAAAGTTTACAATCTTGTTGTCAAAAAAATCATAAACTGGAAACTAGGAGAAAATATGAGTGTATATATGTGTATATCTATGTCCAATAAAATTTTAGCATGTAGAATATAAAGAGTTGCTAAAAATAGATAACACAATGTGAAGCAGTCCAGTGGAAAAGTAGGCCAAACACATGACAAAAGAAGGTAGGGGGCGAGATGAAGGAAAGGTGGTTAAAGGGTTCAAAAACACATTTAAATAGCAGGAATACATTTTAGTATTTGACAGAACAATAGGGAAATTATAGTTAATAATAATTTATTGTATATTTCAAAATAACTAGAAGAGAATTGTAATATTCCCAACACAAAGAGAAGATATATATTTGAGGTGATGGTTATCCCATTTACCCAGATTTTAGCATTATACATTGTATACATGTTTCAAAATATCACACGTATCCCCAAAATATGTACAACTATTATTTATCATTAAAAAATACAAAAAATATAATACAAACACATGACAAAAGAAGAGAAAGTAAGGTCAATTAGCATATGAAAAGCTGCCAAAAATCAATGTTAATCTGAGAAATATAAATTAAAATAGCCAGAAATAATTTTTTACATTCTAGGTTTTCAAAATTAAGAAGTCAAATAATACAACCATGATCTCCTTTATATCTTGTAAGAATGTAAATTGATTGTAACCATTTTTGGAAACAATCTAGCACAATCTCATAAAGCTAAATATTTGTATACCCCTTTACCCAGTAATTTCAGTAAAATTGTGACGTTCATAGACCTATATCCAAACTCTTGTCTATGTGCACCATGTAGAATAGCATATTTTCATACAAAACAAAACAATAAAGCAAAACTAAAAGCAATTCAAGTTCATAAAGTGTGGTATATTAACACAATAAAACATCATTCAACAAGGAAATTAGTTGCATAGAGCAACATGAATAGATTTTGAAAGCATAGCATCATTAATTAAGATTTGGAAGCATAAATTAAGTAAGCAGTCAGACCCACAAGACTATCTACAATATGTTATCTTTTATTCACTAATTTAACGAGAAATTGATGGGTTCATGTCCTTTGCAGGGACTTGGATGAAGCTGGAAACCATCATTCTCAGCAAACTAACACAGGAACAGAAAACCAAACACCACATGTTCTCACTCATAAGTGGGAGTTGAACAAGGAGAACACATGGACACAGAGAGGGGAACATCACACACTGGGGCCTGCTGGGGGATGGGGGGCTAGGGGAGGGATAGCATTAAGAGAAATACCTAATGTAAATAATGGATTTATGGGTGCAGCAAACCACCATGGCACGTGTATACCTGTGTGACAAACCTGCACGTTCTGCACATGTATCCCAGAACTTGTTATTTTAAAAAACACATATATATATACACAATGGGACTTCAAAATTTCATTAAAAATAGAATTAAAGGATAAGAATAAAAATATAAACTTATTTCTTAACATAACCTCCATCAAGTTCAAGATGCTTTTGTAAGAGATAACACCAGCCATTCAGTCCATCCCTAAAGAACTGAGGGTCCTGGGACTTTAACCAGAACAACAACTGATTTAACAACTTTCTTATATTATTATTTTTATGTTATTAACTGAAGAAAAATGGGTGTATCCTTTAAACATTTTTTTAAGATTAGAAAACAAAAACAAGTTAGAAGAAGCCCAATCAGGGCTGGAAAGGTGGATGCCTAATAATTTGTTGAAACTCACACAATTGCCCTAGTTTGATGAAAGAAATGTGCAGGAAACTTGTCATGGTAGAGAAGGACTCTGTATTGCCTCTTTCCTGGGTGTTTTTGCTAAAGCTTTGGCTAACTTTCTCAAAACATTATCACAATAAGCAGATGTTACTAGTCTTTGGCTCTCCAGGGAGTTAGCAAGAAAAATGCCTTAAGCGTCCCCAAAATCTGTTGCCATGACCTTTGCTCTTGACCAGTCTGCTTTTGTTTTGACTGGACCACTTTCACCTCTTGGTAGCTATTGCTTTGATTGTTTCTTTGTCTTTAGGATCATACTGGTGAAACCACGTTTTATCTCCTATTATAATTCTTTGAAGAAATGCTACAGGATCTTGATCTTGCTTGTTTAAACTTTTTATTGAAAGCTCTGATCTTGTCTGCCGCTGATTGGGGCACAACAGTTTTGGCACCTATCAAGTGGAAAGTTTGCTCAGCTTTAATTTTTCATTAAGAGTTATGTGAGTTGAACCAATTGAGATGTCTATGGCGTGGGCTATTGTTTGTGCTGTTAATCATTGGTCCTCTTCAGTTAGCGCATGAACAAGATGAACAACAAATTGATGTGGATGGTCTGCTACTGCAAGCTTCATCTCCAACAGTGTCTCATCGCTTCTTAAAATGAGGTATTCCTTTGTAAGATGTTGATGTTGGCGAGACATTCTCTCCATAAACTTTTCATAAAGCATCAATGAGTTCACCTTTCTTCCTCCCAAGCTTCACTATAAAATTAATCTTTGTTCTTGCTTCAGTTTTAACGCAAGTCATTTTGCTCTGATAGGAGCTCTTTTCAAATTGATATGTTATTCTTAAGTTATGATATTTAAGCATGTTACAACAAGTTAGTAGGAGTTTATTTTGATGCAAAAAATAAATTCATGCAAGTTTTTTATAATATACATTTTCATAAACGTTTTGAAGAACACTCATACATAATAAAATACATAAAATACATAGGGACATAAGGAGAAAGACAGCAGCAATAGGTAATGTAAGTTATTGATTATATTTTAGTTCATGGACTGGAAAGTAGGTTCATGGTTGCTTATCATTATAGTTTGTCGATCATATTAATATTACTTATATCTATCTGTATTTGTCCAACACATTAAAATTTGATAAAACAAAACTAGAGAAAAGTTTAAACAGCTATGTATAACAATTTTTTAAAAAATAATGAGACAATATACATATGCTTAATCAGATAGTTTATTTTACGTGTTTGAGAAAGAAGATACTTCATATTATTTTTCAGCAGATATAGTTCACCTTTTCCTATGATTTTTCCTTAAGCAAATGGCAAACAAGAAGGCTTTTATTGTAGAGTTAAAGTTCAATACATATGACATAATCGTTTGTTGATAATATGCTATTATTAGTAGTGTTAATATGTTATTAACACACTACTACTAGTAATTGTAAATAGTATGTTATTAATAGTATGTCATTTACTAGTATGTTGAAAAATAAGCAGTATAGTGTTTGTTGAGCAGAGCAAAATATAGTTGAATATTTTTTCCTTGTATCTGACATGGAGTGTATGTGAGTGTATATATTAGAGAAAAGTGAGGCACATTTTTGTGAGGGTAAAGCCTATGTTTACATGAAGATTTTTATAAATCCAGTGAATATAGTTTAAAATGTAAAAACTGAAAGTTATCTATAGTCATTTAGATTTTCAGACGTTTTTAAATCATCTCATAAGAGATTAATAAAAGTTCTATTTTGTGCATCCCAGTGAGGCTTGAAAATGAATACTGTTTCTGTGACACTGTTGGTTTCTTCATCATGTTTCCATACCATTTGCAAATGAATTGGTTTTCTTGTGAAATTTTAGTTGTCACTTTTCTGTAGGAAATCTTCACTATTTCCAAAACAGCCAAGCTTTTTAGAGATGTGTATTAGATACACCATAACTTTAACTAATTAAAGACTGTTACTTTGACAGTTTTAAATAAAGATGAACAATTCTGCTAGAAAGGATGTGAATCCTGAAAGAGCCAGTTCTTCAAGATGGATCCTGAGTGGCTAACTGGGCCTAAATTCAAAATAGAGCCAAGCACCCAGTTGCTGACTATAAGGATCACACACATATTCTGCATTTCTGGAAAACCCAGACACTCCTATAATTTTTGGACTTTCATAACTGTCTGTAGCTGTTCAGGTTAAAACCCCATTTTGCTTCCTGGACCTAACCAATAGACTGTGAGCTGCATCGGTCAATAACAATTAACAAGTTTGCATGCCTCATTTGTATAAGCAGACCAGAGTGGGAACCTGAATGGGGATTCTCTGTGAAAAAAGAGCGATCTCTGTTGTCTCCAACACACCTTCGCTTTGTAAGGAAGGCAACATCTCCCCTGTTTGCAAACCACTCACTGGAATCGTCTCCTTTGTTTTTTTAAAAAGAAAATTCTTTTCAGTGGATTTGTTAACAAGTGGTTTAAAAGTTCTATCTGTGGCTAATGGAGCTAATAACATGATTAAAAAAGAACAAGTCCAGCAGCATACAAAAGCTTTTAAATTACCCATATTACAAGACAAGTATTAGAGTATTTTAGAGATGAAAGAGCACTTAGAGGCAATCTCCAAGTAATCCATTCAAGTAAGAGATTCTGTATGCAATATCAGGCAAAGTTATCAATCTGCCAAACTAAATTAATGTCTTTTGTCCAGTTTACACACGTCTTTTTCTTAAATGTAGTAATGTATGAACCAAGTAATTAAAATTAAATTTGTATTTACAATGTTCACATTAAATATGGCTTCAAATTTAATATTATTCACCATAAGACAAAATTCAAATATACTAAAAGATGTATCTAAATTGCACTTACATCTTTGTTTGGAATCACTATGCTGCAAGGCAAGTAGTTATTAGTTATAAATAATATATAGTTTTGTAACTCACCAGAATCAGCTTTGTTTCTATACAGCCAACCAGATGTTAGTGATTTTTGTCTTCTTGTTTTCTTCATGTTTCTATGTTTTTTCATATGTTCATGGCACATTATCAAGGATAATAGGAAACATCTCCCTGGTTAAAAACAAAACAAAACAAAACAAAACAAAACAAAACAAAACAAAACATGTCTTAGAAACAGCCAGAAGGTGGGCTCTGTACAATAATTAGACACACCCACAAAAATGTAAATAGAATTGCCTGATAAAATTATATTGAAAATAAAACCAAAATTTGAACATGACACTCAATTAACTGATATTAATAATTCATATTTGATCCTACAACACAGTAAATCTTTAATAGTGCCTAGCACATATTAAAGCCAAAACTTATTAGATAACTAAATAACTAAATATCTATTCTTAATATTATTTTTGCACTTTTGCTTTTGAAAGTTGAAGAAAGTTTGATTTAGAACTCTGAGGAAGAAAAAGAAGGTACCTTTAAATAAGAATATAATTAAAGAAGGATGCTCCTAAATCAAACTTAGCAAATTTGCATAGCGAGCCAAGTAAACCTGCAGATGGAGCATTTTAGGCATACCTTATTATGCGCAAAACTAGCAATTCCAAATTCCAGAAGTCTATGCTATTGTCATAAATTATTTATAATCCATTATTACAATCTCAAAATCACTTTCCATGACAGATTCTCAAATCCTGTAATTCCCACTTCTTGGAATCACTCAAACAGAAAAAACAAAACACAAAAAGCAAGTGTGTGTGTGTGTGTGTGTGTGTGTGTGTGTATACAATTGAAGTAAACTAAGTAAAGTATCCATCAGAGGAGAAATTTTTCAGTAATTTATGTTAAATTTATAGTAGAGTAAAACACGTATATTAAAAATAGCTATGTAATGTAACACATGTTACCTGATAAAATGTCTATGATGCATTCAGGGAAAACACAGTATTTCAATTAATCCAATAAAAATGATTGAATAAAAAGAATATGTCCGTATCTGTGTGTGTGCATATGTGAGTATACACATGCACATGTGTGTGACAGAGGAGACAAAGGAAAGTAAATATTGTATTTGAAAAGCAATATAAAATATTAATGTCCCAATTTTTTCTTGAAAAATCTGTCTTATTTTTTGGTTCCAAAATAGTCATATGTAGAATGTCCTATGATTTAATTTGCAAGAAGAGTATTCGAAAGAGTATTTTGTAATATTTTCCCCTTTAAGTTCTAATTGTAAAGATGCTCTGCTAAGTATTCAGCAAAACAGGTTTAAACAATGTAATCTGTACTCCTCTAGTTGCACAGAATTTAAAATTCACAATGTTCCAGAGCTGATTAATTACATATAAATCGTATTTTTCTTTGTGCAACTCAATAGATAATTAGACTTAATTGTCTTGTGAATGAATAGGAGTTGTATGTCAGAGAATAGAAGTTGCTATTATATAAAATTAAGAGTTTAGGCCGGGCGCGTTGGCTCACGCCTGTAATCCCAGCACTTTGGGAGGCCGAGGCGGGTGGATCATGAGGTCAGGAGATCGAGACCATCCTGGCTAACAAGGTGAAACCCCGTCTCTACTAAAAATACAAAAAATTAGCCGGGCGCGGTGGCAGGCGCCTGTAGTCCCAGCTACTCGGGAGGCTGAGGCAGGAGAATGGCGTGAACCCCGGAAGCGGAGCTTGCAGTGAGCCGAGATTGCGCCACTGCAGTCCGCAGTCCGGCCTGGGCGACAGAGCGAGACTCCGTCTCAAAAAAAAAAAATAAATAAATAAAAAATAAAATTAAGAGTTTAAAAAGCCTTCAAAAATAATTTTAAAACAATATTTGACTTATAAAGAATCCTAATTTGCCAGAAGATTTTGTCCACATTTAATAATAATACACAGCTGCTCTTTAATTTGATGTCTTTTAAATGCTCTTATGCTGGAAAAACAGAGAAATCTACATAATGTAAATGCATTTACTTAACTTCTCTATCTCACCACTCAGCCCAGAAAAAACTTTGTTTATTGACTGTATATAATAAATTTTATCAATACTTTGTCTTTTAATGTTTTAGTTTACTAAAATTATCTATGTCCTTTAGGCTATCCATGCTTCTAATATCTTCTAATATTTTCTAGATCTATAGACAGGTTTTCTTTAGATGTTTTAAGATTTTGTGACCCTTTGCAGTCAATTTCAGATAAGTTGGGTCTCTTCCATTCATGCAATATTAAGGATTAGTTTTTCTGCTTCAGAGCAGTACTATGAACTAACCACTATTTATCCTTGAAATGCTCACCTACAGCTCACCTTTAACTTTAGCTGCTAATTTGGTAGTGGCTGATGAGGGTGAAGTAGAAGGGAAAGTAATTATTTTCACCTGTAAAAAAAAAAAAATTGGCAAACACCTAATATATTTTGGACTTTGAATTAAACTGTTAAACCTGAATTAGAAAGAGGAAGCAAACTCATTATAGAATTAATATCTTCCCTCAAATTGCCAGTGATTATAGCAAATGCATCTTTCCCATTGAAGCTTTTCACATGCAAGTTTGGACAGGGTAATAACTGTCCCATTATCCCATTGTCTTTATAAAATATATGCAGCCTGCTACCTAGGAAACTTGAGTGTAGGAGGAGCTGTTCTGAGAGACTGCACATGGCTCCAGTTGCCAAGGAAACTCATGCCTTTTCTCCCTGTAAATGCACAGAGCAGCTTCCTTATTAGGATTGGGTTAACAATCTTCTTAAAGGAAAAGCTGAGTGGAGAAGGTAGTAAGTTCTTTTCATGCATACAATCTGAATTGTAAACTCTGTATAAGCTGTGGCGAATTGTTTTTAGCAAGTAAGCTTCAGTAATGACAGTAAAAACGTGTGGATTATCACATACTGTTTTATCTGACAGAATTGAAAATATTAGAAAATGAAAAAACTTGATATTAAATAAAAACAGACCATTTGCTTATTAAAAAAATAGATTTTCAGACTAATAAATGACATATACTGACAATGTATGGTATGTATCCAAATGTAAATGAGTTTTTAATTTGCACTTTTAGAATGACTCTACATAAAAAAAATTTTCCTAAAATACTTTCATATCAAGCTATTCTAATTAATTATCTAAATTAATCCTCTTTCTTTATATCACTCTGTTATTATTGCGCTAAAAAGCACCTATTTCTCCTCACTCACCACCACCACTCTGCAGAAATGCTTCGATAACTCACAGTCTTTCACTAGATGAGAACTGTGTCCAGGGTACTGGCCCCTTATCTCACTTGGGCTTATGCTAAAGATGTAAAATGTGGTATAGATGCCCAAGCCTTAATGCTTCAAGGTGCAGAACTTTTAGCCGATGCTGTAGCCATTACAATGGGGTCAAAGGGAAGAGCAGTGATTATTCAACAGAGCTGTGGAGATCCCAAAGTAACAAAAGATGGTGTGACTGTTGAAAAATCTATTGACTTAAAGGATGAATATAACAGTATTGGAGTTAAACTTGTTCAAGATGTTGCCAATAACACGAGTGAAGAGGCTGGGGATGACACTACCACTGTACTGTTCTGGCATGCTCTATTGCCAAGGATGGCTTCAAGAAGATTAGTAAAGGTGCTAATCTATTGGAAATGGGGAGAGGTGTGATGCTAGCTGTTTATGCTGTAATTGCTGAACTTGAAAAGCAGTCTAAACCTGTGACCACCCCTGAAGAAATTGCTCAGGTTGCTACAATTTCTACAAATGGAGACAGACTGTAGAGAGGTTGCCATCACAGTAAGGAAGGAAAAAACACTGAATGATGAATTAGACATTATTGAAGACCTGAAGTTTGATTGAGGATATATTTCTCCATACTTTATTAATATACCAGAAGGCTAGAAATGTGAATTCCAGGATGCCCATGTTCTAATGAGTGAATAGAAAATTTCTAGTGTCCAGTCCATTGTACCTGCTCTTGAAGTTGCCAATGCTCACCATAAAACTTTGGTCATAATTGTTGAAGATATTGATGGAGAAGCTCTAAGTACATTCGTTTTGAATAGGCTAAAAGTTGGTCTTCACATTATAGCAGTCAAAGCTCCAGGATTTGATGAACAATTGAAAGAACCAGCTTAAAGATTTGGCTATTGCTACTGGTGGTGCAGTGTTTGGAGATGAGGGCTTGGCCCTAAATCTTGAATATGTGCAGCCTCGTGACTTAGGTAAAGTTGGAGAGGTCATTGTGACTAAAGATTATGCTATGCTCTTAAAAGGAAAAGGTGACAAGTCTCAAATTGAAAAAAAAATATTCAAGAAATCATGGAGCAGTTAGATGTCACAATTAGTGATACGAAAAGGAAAAACTGATAGAATGGCTGGAAAACTTTTCAGATGGAGTAGCTGTGCTGAAGGTTGGTGGGACAAGTGATGTCAAAGTGAATGAAAAGAAAGACAGAGTTACAGATCCCTTAATGCAATAACTGCTGTTGAAGAAGGCATTGTTCTGGGAAGGGGCTGTGCCCTGCTTCAATACGTTCCAGCCTTGTACTCATTGACTCCAGCTAGTGAAGATCAAAACATTGGTATAGAAATTAAAAGAATATTCAAAATTGCTGCAATGACAATTGCTAAAAATGCAGGTATTGAAGGATCTTTTATAGTCAAGAAAATTACGCAAAGTTCTATAGAAGTTGGTTATGATGCTATGGTCAGAGATTTTGTGAATATGGTGGGAAAAGGAATCATTGATCCAACAAAGTTTCTGAAAACTGTTTTATTGGATGCTTTTGGGTGGCCTCTCTGTTAACTACAGCAGAAATTTTAGTCACAAAAATTCCTGAAGAAGAGAAGGACCCTGGAATGGGTGCAATATGTAGAATGAGAGGTGGTATGAGAGGTGGCATGTTCTAATTCCTAGAATACTGCTTTACCTATATTAATGAACTGTGACAGAAGCTCAGTGCAGTGTTCCTCACCAATAGCTTTAGAGAAGTCAGTTGGAGAAAATGACTGAAGAAAAGGCTGGCTGATATTTAAGAAACCACTATAACCATTACTGGTTTCAGTTGACAAAATACATAATGGCTTACTCCTGTCATTGTCCAGGCCTACAGATAATTTATTTTGTATTTTTTAATAAAAGACATTTGTACACTCCTAATATTGGGTGCAAAGCCATGTACCAATATATTGCTTTCAACTTAAATCCCTGAGGCATTTTTACTACTATTCTGTTAAAATTTTAGTGCTTGCCACCACCAGATGAGAATTTAAGCAGTCTCTCTGTGGAGATTAATTGTGTACAAAGTAGAGAAATATCCAATTATGTGACAATTTTTGTATAATAAAAACTATTTTAAAGTTAAAAAATCACCTATTTCATATTCGAACAGTCTATTTTTTGTGCTTCTGAAACTAAAATTCTCTAAAGTATAAAATCTCAAATTATATCTTCTAAATGTTTCCTCAGTATGATCTGTTACCACTTGTAGTTATTTATTAAGTCCATCATTTATCAACTATGTAAAACAACTTTAGGTAAAATCTAATAATCTTTTTCAAAAGATCCTTAAAAAATCATGTACTATGGAAAGAAAAAGGAAGTGGGAATATTTCCAGGCAAGAAGGCTATTTCTTAGAAATTTGAGCTGTATCTTCTATGTTAATAACAATATTAAAATTCATATGGAACAAAAAAGACTCCCAGTAGCCAAAACAATCTTGAGCAAAAAGAAAAAGCTAGAGGCATCACACTACCTGACTGCAAAGTATACTACAAAACTGTAATAACTAAATCGGGCTGGCACTGCCATAAAAACAGACTCATAGACCAATGAAATAGAATAGAGCCTGGAAATAAATCCACGTATTTACAGCCAACTGATTTTGTAAAATAAATGTGACAAGAACACACATTGGGGAAAATACAGTCTCTTCAATAAATAGTGCTGTGAAACTGGATATCTATAGACAGAAGAATGAAGCCAGACCGTCATTGCTCGCCTTATATAAAAATCAACTCAAAATGAATTCAAGACTTAAATATGAGAACCAAAACTATAAAATTACTAGAAAAAGACACAGGGGAAATGCTTCATGACAATAATGTGGGTAAAAACCTTTTGGATAAGACCTCAAAAGCATAAGCAACAAAAGCAAAAATAGACAAATGTGATTATATCAAACTAAAAAGCCTCTGCACAGCAAAAAAATAAAAAAAAAATCCTAGGAGTGAAGAGAAAACCTACAGAATGGGAGAAAATATTTGCAAATGATTCATCAAAATAGGAGTTAATATATACAATATATAAGGAACTGAAACAACTTGATACCAAAAACATAAAAATAATTTTATTTAAATATGGGCAAAAGATCTGAATAGACACTTCTCCAAAAAAGGCATACAAATAGCTAGTGGGCATATGACAAAATGCTCAACCTCACTAATCATCAGGGAGAGGTGAATCAAAACCACAATGCAATATTACCTTACTTCAGTTAGAATGGCTATTATCAAAAAGACAAAAAATAAAATGCTTATGAGGATAGGGAGAAAAGAAGACTCATATATAATATTTGTGGAAATGTAAATGTAGTAAAGCCATTATGGAAAAAAGTATAGAAGTTTCTCAAAAAAATAAAAACAGAACTGCCATATGATCCAGCAATTCCACTACTGAGCATATAGCCAAAGGAATGGAAATCAATATGTCAAAAAGATATGTGTACTCTTATGTTTATTGCAGCACTATTCCTAATAGACAAGAGATGGAATCAACCTAAGTGTCCATCAATGGATGAATGGATTAGAAAATATGATATAAATACACAATGGAATACTATTCAGCTCTAAAAAAGACTTAAATTCTGTCATTTGAAGCAACATGGATAAACCTGGAGGGCATGATGTTCAGTGAAATAAGCCAGTCACAAAAAGACAAAACTACATGATATCACTCATACCCGGAATTTTTGAAAGCTGATTTCATAGAAGTACATAGTAGAATAGTGATTACCAGAGGATGGGGAAGGGAGGAGAAAGTGAAAGATAGGGAGAGGTTGGTCAGTGGCTACCAAGTTACAATTAGATAGGGAAAATAATTTCTGGTGTTCTATTACATAGCAGCATGATTGTGGCTAATAACCATGTATTGTATATTTCAAGATAGCTACAAAAGAGGTTTTTGAAAGTTATTATTACAAAAAAATGATAAAGGTTTGTGATGATGGATATACTAACTACTCTTATTTGATTGTTATCAATGTAAGCATGTGTTGAAACGTCACACTATAACCCATAAACATGTACAACTATCATGCATCAATTGTAAATAATTTTTAAGTTAGGTATCCAACCTAAATGCAGACAGAGAAACACACAAGTATTTTATTGCAAAATAAGTGGAAAAGTTTGTTTCCTCTAGAGAAATAATTTATAAAGAGTTATAATTCTTTGTATATTCTATTGAATAGTGAAGGTGTGTGAAAGCAGGCGTTCTCATGTATTATGGATAGAGTAAATACTGGCAATATAATTCTAAGGAAGTTTCTTTAAAAAAAACCTACCAACTATATTTACAAAGATAAGAATCACACTTTGCCAAAAATATCTAAATTTTAAGACTTGATTATTGACGAAGTTGTGATAAGTGTATGTGGAAAATAGAGTACTATGCTCATATATAGTCATTAAAACTAATCATAGTGAGAATATGTAATCACATAAAATATGTTCATTCTAGATTTTGAAGTGGAAAATGAAAAATCACACAAAAGGTATAAACAATTTAACATAATACTGGAAGTACATACATCTACGTGTTAAGAGTAGATGGTTGGTGTATTACTTTTTTCTTGCTCTTGTCCAATCCTGCCAAGTTGTTTGCATTGAGTATTTATTAGATTTGTATTTAGAAAATGTTTTAAAGTTTTAGAAAGAATAAAGTTTAAATGACATAGGGGATACATGTAATGCCAAAGGAAAGCAAGTTTGCACATAATATATAGATACAAATATCACAATGACAACAAAAATAGGTACGTTTAGCTCATTATTAGGAAGCTCAGTATTTTAAAATAAATTTAAAGATTTTGTGCTGGTTAGTTTGAGGTGTCAACTTGACTCTATTAAGGAATATCTAGAAACCCTATAATACGTTACTTTTGGGTGTGTCTGTGAGGGCTTTTGCAGAGATTAGCATGTGAGTCTGAGTGGACTACGTGGGGAAAAGCAGCCCTCAAAGTAGATGGGCACCATCACAGAAACTGAGGAAAGGCAACCATGTTGAACTATCTGCTAGAGCTAGGATACACTCTTTCTCTCTTGTCCTTGAACAACAACTTGAAGTTTCCTGGCCTTCAGACTTCAGGGCTTACACACACCAGCTTATTCTCAGGCCTTTGACCTCAAACTGAGGATTAACCATCAGCTTTTCTGGTTCTGAGGCCTTCAGACTTGGACTGATCCGCACTAATGGCATATCAGGGTCTCCCTGCTTGCAGATGGCTTGTCATGAGACGCCTCAGCCTCCATAATCTCAAAAACTAATCAATAAGTACACTCTTTATCTATCTGTGTGTCTGTGTGTCTGTCTGTCTATCTATCTATCTATCTATCTATCTTCTATCTACCTAGCATCTGTGTGTGCTTGTGTGTGTGTGTGTGTGTGTGTGTGTGTGTGTGTATCTCAGTTCTTTCTCTCTGGAGAATCTTAATATAAATATTAATCTCGGCTGGGCACGGTGACACATGCCTGGAATTCCAGCACTTTGGGAGGCCAAGGCAGGCAGAGTTCAAGAGGCAGAGTTCAAGGTCAGGAGTTCGAGACCAGCCTGGCCAATGTGGCAAAACCCTGTCTCTACTGACAATACAAAAATTAGCTGGGCATGGTGGTGGGTGACTGTGATCCCAGCTACTCAGGAGGCTGAGGCAGGAGAATCGCTTGAACCTGGGAGGCGGAGTTTGCAGTGAGCCAAGATCGTGCCACTGCACTCCAGCCTGGGTGACAGAATGAGACTTTGTCCCAAATAAAATAAAATAACCTTGGTAACTAATCAGTAAAATCCAAATTGCAACATGATAATTTTTATTTTTTGTCACATTAGCAATAGTTTAAAAATTGATCATTGTCAATGCTT
This sequence comes from Homo sapiens, assembly GCF_000001405.40. Taxonomy (NCBI): domain Eukaryota; kingdom Metazoa; phylum Chordata; class Mammalia; order Primates; family Hominidae; genus Homo; species Homo sapiens. The sequence continues at coordinate 37,988,816 of NC_000013.11, read as the reverse complement.
ATTGGGAAAATATACTCTCTACTATAAATGGGATTAAAACTGGTATAATTTATTTGAAATAAAATGATGGTATTTATTACAATTAAAAATGTGTATATGCTTTGAGGAATTTACTTTAGGCTTCTCGATATTTGAATGGGCTTCTTCATAGTGGAGAACCCAGAGTCTCTACTCCTGCAGAGAAGTTTCAGTGAAGCAGTTGTCCCTTCTTAAAATTCAAGAACAGTGGCTGGGCGCGGTGACTGATGCCTGTAATCCCAGCACTTTGGGAGGCCGAGGCAGGCGGATCACGAGGTCAGGAGATGAAGACCCTCCTGGCTAACACAATGAAACCCCGTCTCTACCGAAAATACAAAAAAATTAGCCGGGTGTGGTGGTGGGTGCTTGTAGTCCCAGCTACTCGGGAGGCTGAGGCAGGAGAATGGCGTGAACCCAGGAGGTGGAGATTGTAGTGGGCTGAGATTGCGCCACTGTACTCCAGCCTGGGTGACAGAGCAAGACTCCATCTTAAAAAAAAAGAAAAAAAAAAAAATTCAAGAGCAGTATGATTGAGCCTTAGCCAGTCTGAAACTCCTATCCAGGAATCTGAATCCTGAGAGAATTGACACAACATGTAAGGATGGCGAGAGGTCATTTGCAATGGCAGTAATGGGTTTAAAAGTCCAGTGCTATAGCCAAGATTGTTCATTGTCATTTAGCCCTAATATTCATAACATTTTACATTCAGCATGATAATGAAATGCATATCATTTAAGTCTCAAAAGATGCACACACCTGTGATGGGACATTAGCTGTTCCTTGCCTTTTCTAATTTTCTGACTTTTCTGTGCTTGGTTCTTTAAAATTCCTGATAATGCTCGAACCACATAGCAGACTTCTGATAAAGTATTTTTCTGGTGAAGTTAGCTAAATTGGTATCTGTTATTGGTAAAAAGATTTATGATTAGGGCAATGCACCTTCCTGTGGACCAGAAATCTTACATCTACTAATCTAGTACATCAAGATACTTCAGCAAATGTGCAAAAACCTAAGTACTAGGAAATTCAATGCTGTATTGCTTATAATCAAGATAATATGAGACAGCCTCCACAGGATAACTGCAAGATATAATAGATGACAGCATCTTTATACAATGAAATGTTATACAAATATTAGAAATACATTCATTTATGTATATTTATATATTATTTGTGATATTAAAAAGTTGCAAATTAGAGTGCACATGACCTAATTTTATTTTTAAAAGGAAGAAAAAATCTACAAATATGTTGACATGTGTATGACTGTTTAGAAAAAAGTGATGTATATGGATATTTAAGAAAAAGGCATAGGAAGGTATCAGTGATGTACTAATTTATTAAAAGTGACTATTTCCTTCACCTATATATGAAAAAATAGCAGTGCTTTTAAAAATGAGAAAGTGATTTTACTTTTAGGAAAAATAAGAATGACCAATCAATACTAGTGTTTTTTATTCTTCACTGATTAGGCCAATATATTTCTGTTCTAAGTAAAATATTCTAAGAAGGATGTAGCTAAATTAAAGCACAAGACAACTAGATGTTGAAGGGTGTAGAACCATGCCATACAAAAAAAGAGGCAACCTAATCATAACCATTTAACTGAAAACATGAAAGTATATAAAATTTTGTGGGTATTTTTCCTCCAAATATTTGAAACTGACATTATGTAGATGACATAATACACATTTGTTGTAGCAACCACTTTGATGTACTACACAGACCATACTTCAAGAATGAAAGATGTATTCCCTCAGCTGCTGAGACTGCTGTAGGCAAACAGTCTTTAGCTGTCAGCTCTTTGAAATTGTCTCAATGGAGAAAACCACCTACCCCAAGATAAATTCCTTTCCCAAACAGCCCACATTTACTAACCAACTAATCATCACTGGCGCAGAGGTCAGCTCTGTCTATTTTATGTAGATTTTCCTAACAAGAATCTAGGACAATCATCATTCCACAATTTTCACTAGAATTGTTTATGATATACACCAGCGATCCTCAACCCTTTTGGCACCAGGGACCAGTTTCATGGAAGACAATTTTCCATGGACCCAGGGGATGGGGGAATGATTTTGGGATGATTCAAGCATATTACATTTGTTGGGCACTTTATTTCTATTATTATTATATTGTAATATGTAATGAGATAATTATACAATTCACGATAATGTTGAATCAATGAAAGCCCTGAGCTTATTTTTCTGCAACTAGATGGTCCTATCTGGGGATGATAGGGGACAGTGACACATCATCAGGCATTAGATCCTCATAAGAGGTGTGCAGCCTAAATCCCTCACATGCACAGTTCACAATAGCGCTCACGCTCCTCTGAGAATCTAATACCACCACAGATCTGACAAGAGGCGGAGCTCAGGAAGTAATGTGAACAATGAGGAGCTGTCACATGCAGATAGAGGTTTGCTTGCTCACTCACCTGCTGCTCATCTCCTGGTGTGCAGCCCAGTTTCTAACAGGCCATGGACCATGTATATTAGATAGTGAATATTGGGGACGCCAGATATATACCATCTGCAACTATATTATTAGGAGTATCTTCATTTTAATTACTGAAATATGTGTCCTACTTGCTTTTATGCTGCTCATACACCTAATTATCTAAACATAGATACCCCGAAAGTATTTATGGAATAGACTAAAAGAAACTAAGAAAAGTTTAGAAAAAAAAATTTTATAACAAAAAAAGAAACATAACTAGTGTTGAAGAAAATTAGTTTTCTCCAGTTATAAATTTTCACAAAATCAAAAAGAATGGATTTACATGAGTAGTTGACACACAGGTGTTTATGTTGTTACTTGTAGCAAAATATTTTTTTCTGTAAGTCTGTGTCTACTCTTTGAGAGGTTAAATTGATAGTTTTTTTTAAAGTTTCTTTTTATTTCTCATAGCTCATATACATAGATATCTTTTTTTCACTTTACTGTTGTTAAACTTTTATTCACTTACTAAGAAGTATGGAATAGTAATTCTAATGAGCTCCCAAACTGAATTTCACAAGTACGGAATGGAGGACACCTGGTTTAACAACCTAAACAACCCTTTTGTAAGTTAGTAATAGTCTCCTACTCTGGGAGATACAATTCTAAAATGCACCATTCCACACCCCACAAGATGCCCACTGCTTGACGTGCATATACTGTGTAATCATCTCCCCTTGAATGTGAATGAGGCCTGTGTGTGTGCTGAGACACCACTCCAGGGATTAAGTTACTAATCATCGGACTTGGAGGTAGTCATAATGGAGACCTAATCTTATCTAACTTATATCTTCTGATACCCTTCAAGTTGTTGGCAGAACTTCCTTCCTGCTATTTATGGGATTAATGTTCCCATTTTCTTGGTAACTGCCCACGATGGGTCTCTCTTAGCTTCTAGAGAGTGTCTGAAATTCTCTGTTACGTAGCACTATCCACAACATGGCAGCTTTCGTTTTTTAAGACCAGAAGGAAAGCATTCTTCTGGTTTTTGTAAAGGGCTAATTTTGCCTTCCTTCCTTCCTTTCCTTCTTCCCTTCCTGCCTGCCTGCCTGCCTGCCTGCCTGCCTGCCTGCCTGCCTGCCTGCCTTCCTTCCTTCCTTCCTTCCTTCCTTCCTTCCCACTCTATCTCTTTTTTCTGTTTCTTTTGGTTAAGCACATTTGGCACATTATACAGCATATGAGCTCATCAAATTTTCTTCGATTATGCATGCTATATATTTCTAGGTAATTTATTTTAAACTTTAAAAAATTTTTAAAATTATTTTAGACTTGCACAAAGTTGCAAAAATGGTCCAGTGAGCCCCAATTTACCATTCATCCAGTGTATTTCAAAGACACATGGTCTCTTACATGCCAGATATTATCAATCAAGTAATTTTTTAATTTTATGTTTATAAAGTTTATGATAGGTAAATAAATAGGTAGGTAGATAGATATGAACATGACACAAAAAGCTGCATAATTCTAAAGAAATTTTCAATGTTACCCCTTTATAGACATGACATTCTCCCCAACCTAAAGCCCTGACAACCTCTGGCCTATTCCCTATCACTGTGAATTGAACATTTTAGAATGCTATATAAATAGAATCTTACTGATATGGTTTGACTCTGTGTACCCACCCAAATTTCATGTAGAATTATAATTCCCACATGTTGGGGAAGGGACCTGATGGGAGATGATTGGATAATGGGGGCAGTTCCTAATGGTTTAGCACCACGCCCCCTAGTGTTGTCTCGTGATAGATTTCTTGTGAGATGTGGTTGTTTAAAAGTGCGTAGCCCCTCCCCATTTGCTCTCGATCTCTCCTGCAGCCATGTGAAAAAGGGTGCTTGCTTCCGCTTCACCTTCTGCCGTGATTGTAAGTTTCCTGAGGCTTCCCTAGACATGCAGAACTGTAAGTCAATTACTCTCTTTTCTTCATAAATTACACAGTTTCAGGTAGTTCTTTATAGAAAATGAAAATTGACTAACATAGTATTTAAAAAAATTTTAGTCATTCTAATAACTGTATAGTCTTATCCTATTGTGGCTTTAATTTGAATTTCCTTAATGGCGAAGAATGTCGAATATGTTTTTATGTAGTTATTGCCATTTGTATACCTTTTGTATACCTTCTTTAGTAAGGTGTTCTATTTTCTAGAAGATTATTTTCTTACTTTTGAGTTCTACGACTTATATAATATTGATCAATTCCTCAAAATCCACAAACTAAACTCACTCAAGATGAAATAGACAATATAAATACAGCTACAACTTTTGAATTCATGGTCAAATATAATTCATGACCAAAGAAATTGAGTTCGTGGTTTACAACTTTCTGAAAAAACTGTCTTTAGATCTAGATGATTTCATGTGTGAATCCTGCCATGTATTTAAGTAGAAATAACATTTATCCTACACAGTCTCTTCCAAAAAAAAAACAGAAGAGGAGAAAACACTTTCCAATTCATTTATGGGACCAGTTAACCTTGATATCAAAACCAAAGTCAGTACCAAAATAAGCACAAGACCCTCATGAACATCTATGAGAAACAGGCCATCAATGAGAAACAGATACCACATCTATCTGTGCCTTGATCTCGGACTTCTCACCTTCCAGAAATTTAAGAAATGCATTTTGCTTTTATATAAATTATCCAGTCTCCGTATTTTGTTATAGTAGCAGAAATGGAATAAGACAATAATTACATTTTAAATTTGTTACATTTTCATGGTTTTTGTCATACTTTTTATCTTTTTATTCATTATCATCATAGTTTAAATCTTAGAAAATATTAATAACAGCAGCTTTAGGAATTATAGTTTTCTTGTGCTAATTCTAATACCTGAGTGATCTAAGGTTTGATTATAGTAGTCCTCCCTTATTAGCAGAGTTTAGGTTCCAAGACCTCCAGTGGATAACTGAAACCGTGGATACTACCATACCATACATACACTACGTTTTTTTCTAAGCATACATACCTATAACGAAGTTAATTTTATAAATTAGGAAACAGTAAGAAGTTAACAAAAATAACTAATAATAAAATAGAATTATAAACATATATTGTAATCAAAGTTATATGAATATGGTCCCTCTCTTTTCTCTCAAAATATCTTATTGTACTGTAACTGAAGCTGCAGAAATCAAAACTGTGGATAAAGGAGGACTACTCTATGTGCTGCTATTTCTTTCAACCATGGATTACATGTTCAATTTTTTTTTGCACATTTAATAATTGTATAAGCTGAACATTGTGTGTGATAATTGTAGAAAGTGTAGTTAATGTAAAATTCCTTTAAAGAGTGTTATTTTTTCTTTTAACTAATAAATTGCTGATGGATTATTTAAGTGCAGTCAGACATTGCAGTGGTTTGAATGTGTCACTCAAAAGGTATGTGTTGGAAACTTAATTTGTAATGCAAAAATTTTGGGAGATGGATTCTAATGAAAGGTGATTCATCCATGGGGGCTCTGCCCTCAAGAATGGATTAATGCCATTACTGAGGGAGTGGGATTTTTATTAGGTTGGTGCAAAAGTAATTGTGGTTTTTTCCATTACTTTCAATTTGTCTCTCTCGCCCTCTCTTTTTCTTCCTGCCATATGATGACAGAGCAAGAAGGCCCTTGACAGATACCAGCTCCTTGATTTAGGACTTTCTGGCCTTCAGCACCATAAGCCAATTGATTTCTCCTCATTATAAAATATCCAGTTTGTGGTATTCTATCATAGTAGCACAAAGCAGACTGGGAAAGATATGAATTTATTTGTTGTTAGGGCATATTTATTTTGCTTTTCAACTTAGTCCTATGGCTTGGCCCTTACTCTTGGATGTGGTTTTTACTAAAACATATAGTCTTTCTGGGGTCTCAATTGAAGTCCAATATGCTGAATAATTTCTTTTTATTCTGGATGAATTGTAATTCCAGTGTCCCTCACCCTGCTGGCCTTTCACTGTTCATCTCTCTGTCCCACAGCAACAATTCTCTGTCAGAAACCACAGTGCTTTGCTCTTTGCCTTTTCAAGCCTATCCATTGACAAAGGACTGAGTAACTTCCATACAGACTTTTAGGTGGCCTTTCCCTCAACAGTTTCCCCTTCTCAGATACTTTGTCTTATAAATCCCTGTGGCCTCCATAGCCTGCAAATCTGGACTTTGACTTTGGGTTTGGTTCCATCTTGCTGCTCTACTCCCTGCAGTAAATCACCCTTAGGCAGAAAACTAGGGCAACTGTAGGGCAGTCTGGGAGCTCACCTTTTTGTTTTTCTTTTCCTCAAGGATAATGGTCCTAAACTGCCTCTTTTTCAGTGTCAAAATAATGACACAGTATTTCATCAAATTTTATAGGTGTTTTTGTTGGGAGGCCAAGTCCTATACCAGTTATTCTTTGCAAGCAGAAATATATTTTTCTTGTTTTCAAGGTAAGAACATTTAAATTAGGAAAGGCTAAGTTATTTGCTTATTGTGACAAAGTAAGTGATAAAAATAAATTTTAACCTAGGTCTTCAGATTTGATAACTATGGTGTTACTACTGCATTAGAGCTGTTGCAAAAATGAATAGCACTAGAGAAATATTAATTGGCGTTTCCTAGCTCAAAGTTTTACAAACTTTTCATTTCATGGTATAATAAACTTGTAGATACTGTATAGAAAATGACTTATGGGTAACAGCTGTTTATTTATTCCTAAATATTAAACACATAATATAACAATAATGATTACTACTGGCATTATTGTCCATAAAAGGCCATAAAATCACATAAATGGTATAAGCAAACATACTATTTCATAACAAATAAAAATTCCATCAAGTAAATACAATTTTATAAAAGACTAATGTCAATGTACTTTTTCTCCATTGGCCATAGTAGAGTCAACTTCAATGTGGACCGAAGCCTGTCTGAAGACAGATATTTGGAAATGATTGATAGTATTTAAACAAATATTATTACAGCATTTTTTGTGTGTCTGGTAGGATTCTCAGTGCCTACAGTTATTAATGAATTTAAACATTATAACTACGTTAAGAATCAGGTCCTGTCATATTCCCCATTTACAGATTATCAATCTGATGCAAGAAAAAAATGAAATAACTTGCCCAAAGTCACACAACTAATAAGTGGCAGATTAAGGACCGACATCTAGAGAATTGGGATCTTAAACTTTGCTCCTTTTCTCTGATTATTCCTTTTGAAAATAGGAATCTGAGTTAACAGTAGATATAGGCTATGAATAATGTTTCAGAAGCTATTTTTCTAATTTAATCTTTGAATGGATATGCATTTTCCCACAACGTGTTATTGTGGTAAAAGAGAAATATTGTATTATAATTTTTCAATTCTTGAAATTGTATCTCAGGTAAAATAAGAATGCACTGTGTAGAATGGGAAAATGGCATTTTTTTCTAGTTCTGCATTTCTAGTCATAAATGAAGGTTAATATTTGCGAGCAGATGGGAGATTACATCATTAAAACAGATAATGTTCCCTGCAAATGAATAGAATTTAAAAGGTTAAATTTTCAGTTCAGTTTAGTCCTAAAAATGTAACCCTTTAAAAAAAATTTAATCTGTATAAATTCTTGGTGCAAAGAAGAGTTTAAAATAGCTCCCTGAACGAAGTCATGCATCCAAAAGAATGATGATGTAGCGCTCAAATGCAAATAGAAAGTATTGATTTAGGGTAGCAGCTTCTGTGTAAGAAGGGAAGAAATAAATGTTATTCTTCCAATTTTTATTTCTTGAGAAAATTAAAATGCATTTTCTAATTAAAATGTATTCATTAATAAACATTCAATAATTTAGAGAACAGTGGGAGAATAAGCATATGTTCCCCTTTGTCATTGAAAATTATGAGCATTAAAATTAGGAGAAAAGAATAATTTACAGAAAGATAAATCAGACTATCTAGGTTTTTATGCCTCATTAATATCTCTCATCTTTTAGGAGGAAGACATTTAGGTAATCTAAATGAACTTAAATGGATGGAAATGACTTATTTGCTCAGATGTTGGTGGAAAACTTTTATTTGCTTAAAATCTAGATTGGAAGGAACCAAAAATGATTAGATTTTGCTGTACATTATTTTTCGTAAAAAAAACAAAACAAAAAGTTTGCATGATATCAGAATTTTTCTTTTTCTATGCTGACTATAGGAAAACTGGCAAAATAAAATCAGTAAACAAATGGCTATTCTCCAAATATATTTAATAGCAGAAAACTATCAGAATGGCTCTAATCCAAATTCCACAGCAAGAAAATGCTATGGAATTTTTTTTCCTAAATAAAACCTGTATTAGAACTGCTCTGTGCAACTTCTTTGAGTTACTAATTTTCACCTTTTATATCTAGTCCTTCAGAACTCAGCCTACTATATTTTCTGGGTTCCCTGCTTTTTCAGATCAATTATTAAATATCACACCCTATATGTTTGTTTGTTTGATTGTTTTGAGATGGGGTTTTGTTCTTGTCAGCCAGGCTGGAATGCAATGGCATGAGCTCTGCTCACTGCAGCCTCCATCTCCCAGGTTCAAGCTATTCTCCTGCCTCAGCCTACCAAGTAGCTGGGATTACAGGCATGTGCCACCACACCTGGCTCATTTTTGTATTTTTAGTAGAGATGAGGTTTCACCATGTTGGTCAGACTGGTCTCAAACTTCTGATCTCAAGTGATCCACCTGCCTCCACCTCCCAAAGTGCTGGGATTACAGGAATGAGCCACCGCACCTGGTCACATCCTGTATCTTTGAATTGCAATGTTTAAAATTTGCATTCAACACAATTATTGATATGGTTCTACCTTTATTTCTTATGCTGTTTTTTCAAAATCCTGTTCCTTTTCTGCATTCTTTTGCATTATTAGAACATCTTAGTATTCTATTTAAATTTATTAGCTTTTTGTCTCTTTTTGTATTATTTTTGATGGTTACTTCAGAGTTTATAATTTATATATATTTTACTCCAAACTGTTTAGATCATAATTCCCCTAAATGTAATATGTTACTTATTTGTTCTGGCTGCTCTCAAGATATTGATGCTAATTATGATATATCTGGACTTTGTTTTCTCTGAGTTTATCATATTTGGGGTTTGCTGAGCTTCTTGAATCTGAAAATTTGAGTATTAACTAACCTGGGAATATTTTGGTCATTATTTCCTTAAACAGCTCTAAAAACTGTGAACAAAATACAAAATTCATAAAACAACTCCCTAAACACTCTGGAAAGTTCGTACTACCAGAGATATCATAGAAAAGCCAAAGACTGAAGAATGAACAATATAGGAGTGAATGTCCTTTATTTCCTTCTACTTTTATCTCCTACCTTTGACCATAGGTGACCTCCATGTAGAAACGCTCATCAGGTCCTTTCCTTTTCCTTTTCCTTTCCCTTCCCTTTCCTTTCTCCCTTCCTTTCCTTTCTCCTTTTCTTTCCTTTCTCTTTTTCTTTCGTTTCTCCTTTCCTTTCCTTTCTCCTTTCTCCTCTCCTCTCCCTTTCCCTTTTCCTTTTCCTCCCCTCCTCTCCTCTTCTCTTCTCTTCTTTTCTTTTTCTAGAGACAGGGTCTTCCTGTGTTTCCCAGGCTGAAGTGCAGTGGCTATTTAGAGGCACAATCATAGCCTCTAACTCCTGGCCTCAAGCAATCCTCCTGCCTCAGCCTCCTAAGTAGCTGGGGCTACAGACACACACCATCATGCCTGATTGCTCTTCAATTTTTATTATGTTTACTTGATTAATTCTTCCACTTTCTATTTCTGTGTTGAAAAATTCTATATTTTCATGCATTGAAATAGAGTTTACTTTTATCTAATGACATGAGGATATAACGGTTGCTGTAAAGTTTAAATAATTTTAAACCTTAATGATTATAGCACTTGGATAATTTTAGCTTTAGAAGCTCTTGACTGTCTTTCCCCTTGGGAACCAGTCATATCTTCCTAGTTGTTTTTGTATTAACTAATTTTGGATGGTATCCTGGATATTTTGGACATTATATTGTAAGACTCTGCATCCCATTAATATACTTTGGAAGAGGTTGTGTTTGTTGCTATTGTTGTTCCAGTAGACAATCAATCCATTCATGTTCAGAATACAAATTCTGTCTTGTCTTCTGTGTACAGTAGTTCTAATTTGAATTCAGTTTTCAAACTTTTGGTGTTACTTCGGTTCTGTTCCACACATACACAGCACATGAGTCAGCTTGGGTCTTGTGTTAGTTCATACACAGAGTTAGGAGATCCTCTTCTCTAGTTTTTCCCTTTACAAGAATTTCCCTACACTTTCTCTTTCTGGCTATGAAAAGGAATATCAGGGCCACCAGTGGAGAAACATGTCAAGAGAAAGAGCAGAGTTAAAAAATTGATGATCATTCCCTCCCTCTTTAGACCTCATGTCTTCTTTTCCTGATTCTTCAGGCCAGAAATATTCTTTTCACTCTCAGGGTTTTGGCTTTTTTGCCACCACACCACTGCATGGAGAACGTAAAAATAAATGCATATAAGAAAATATAAACAAAGATTCATTTCACACTCTTATATTCACAAGGCTGCATTTTCTTGGTCTTATGGCCAAAAAGACAGTATTTCTCTTGTAGGATTTATGTTCTGAACCTGATGAGCGTTTCTACACGGAGGTCATCTATGGTCAAAGATGGGAGATAAAAGTAGAAGGAAATAAAGGATATTCACTCCTATATTGTTCATTCTTCAATCTTTGGCTTTTCTATGATATCCCTGCTATTATGAACTTTCCAGAGTGTTTAGGGAGTTGTTTTATGAATTTTGTGTTCTCTTCATGGTTTTTAGAGATGAGGAAATACGTTTTAGTGTACTGATTCCGTCTTAATTGTTACTATAAGTCCATAGTTGGTTTTAAGCCTGTTTAACTACTCACTGAAGTGAAAATTTACTTTAATAAACATGTTTCTGAAAGTCAACCAGTCAGAGACAGCATCATATCTTTTAAGTGAGCCAATCAGCCACCAACTAACTTTGGAAAACACTGCTTGATCAAACCATATTGGAATCTGAATCAAAAGAAAATATATATGCAGATGTATATTGTGTAAATATACATTGTATATGGATACATATATACACATATGTTTTTATATACATTTTTAAAGTACTTTTCCAAAATATTAAAATTTCAGGATTTTAGGTTTTATTTTAGGTTCCGAAGATACATGTGCAGGTTTGCTATATGGGTAAATTGCATGTTGCTGAGGGTTGATGTACAAATGATCTCATTAACCAGGTAGACAGCAGGGTACCAGATAGGTAATTTTTCGAACTTTGACCCCCTCCCACCTTTCCCCCTCTAGTAGCCCCCAGTGACTGTTGTTCCTATCTTTATGTCCTTGTATTCAATGTTTAGCTCCTAATTATAAGTGAGAACAAAATATGCAGAATTGTGTTATCTGTTCCTGCATTAAATTGCTTAGAATAATGGCCTCTAGCTTCATCTGTGTTGTTGCAAAGAGCATGATTTTGTTGTTTCATGACTGTTTATTATTCCATGATGTATATGTAGCACATTTTCTTTATCTGGTCCACTGTTGATGGGCATCTAGACCTTTGCTATCGTGAATAGTGCCATGATTAAACATAAGAGTACATGCATCTTTTTGGTAGAACAATTTATTTGCCTTTGGTTATATACACAGTAATGAGACTGCTGGGCTCTATGGTAGTTCTGTTTTAAGTTCTTTGAGAAATCTCAAATGTTGTAATGCAGTGTATGACTACACTTTTTTTGACAATTATAATCTGAGACTGTGTCCTCCATCCATATCACTATTCTATATATTAATTAACATGTCTTCCAAATGTTTTCTACTATATTTGTGTTGGAATTGCTATAATTTTGTTTTCAACTCAATTTTTTAAAATTTTCTCTTTATAAAATAATATTCTTATTATTTTTCCATATGAGAAAAAACAAGCCCCAAACATAGGGATGGAATATAGGTGAGTAACAGAATTCGACTTACTTTTAGGTTGTTGAAATTGTAATATAAATTTTATAGGAAAAAAATAGACAATGCTGCTATATTTAGGGGAACTGAGAGAAAATGAGGAATCAGCTAGTGTGGAATGTTAAGCAATTAGGGGGAGAAACTGAGGCCTATAAGTATTTGAGTATTCTCAGCAATGGCTTACGATATTTTTACAATGTCACCATTCAACTATTCCTCAGCATATTGCAATCACTTCCTTATTTCTTAAAGATGGTGAATGGTGAGGGTAATTACCAATAGGCAATTATCCTTAAGTGAACATTTCCAAGTGTATAATTAGTTGAGAGGGCAATTTCCATTCCATTTGGGTTAATTTAGATAGTTGATTTTTACTGGAAGGGAAGATTTATTTTTTAAAAAGCAACTATTTAACAGCAGGCATGCCAGTCATTTTTTATAAATGTCGCTTGCAATCCTAAATGCAAGCTCTAAAAGCTCTAAAAAGAAGTATTCTTACTTGGACGGAAAGTTCACAGCAAGAAAATTCACATTAAAGGCAAGTAAACATTGTGAAGTACAATTTAGACATTTATTAAATGTACATTCTGGAATTCTGAGAGAACACTTCTAATTTTCATAAAGGAATACACTGGTTTAATATAAGAAGCCATATCAAAATGTATATGCTTAGACAATAGGATCTTTCCTCATAAGAATTAAATGACTTATAAGTAAAATGTATACCCTCTTCCTTTTAAAAGTACATAGTGTAATGAGGAAGAGTGAAATAAATTGACTTATTCAACACAGTGTATTATACTGATGACTTCAGTAGTTAAGAAATGCATGAAGGTACTAGTAACAAAAATCAGAAATAATATTAAATTTTATTTTTCTCTCAATTAAATCCAAATGTTCAAAGGCAAATAGTCTAGGGCTGGTATGACCAAACTGGCTTTTTGTGGTTTTTGCTTCTTATCTTGAGAAAATGGTTTTAATTCTGAAGTCATCTTATAGTTCAAGATGGCATTTGAAACCCCAGCCATCTATTTTGGGAAGCAAGAGAATGAAGAGGGGGAAGACAGAAAGAGAACTTTCTTTTAAAATGAATTTCTCCAGGAATCACATTCAACAATTTCTTCTTACATCTCATTGACTAGATATAGTCTTATAATCACACCTGTCTACAAAAAGGCTGGAAATCAAGGCTTTGAACTGGAAATATTTCTTTCTAAATAAATTGGTGTTCCATTGCTTGAAAAAAATGAGTACGGATATTGAGTTAGCAAAATTATAATGATAATAACAACCAGCAGTCTCTGCCACAATAAGAATGAGGTGAGTGTGAAATCCTTCAATTATTCATTCATTCATTCATTAATCATTCTGTCTTTTCAAAAATACTTATTAACTGTCAATTACATACCAAAGACTATGCTAGAATGGAAACACACAAATACCACCAAAAAAATGTATAACGTAGTTATCAGGATAAATGAACACATAGATAACTACAATAAAATGCGGAATCATGTCTGTGATATAGATTAGGACAGGTTGCTGCATTCATTTGTTCACTAATTTCATCATCTCAAAATATCTATGAATTGCTAGGAAGGTTAGGGCAATGTAACCATGTAACTGTAAAACCACCAAAATTTGTGCTGCAAAATCTAAGGACATTCTATTTACTTTAGAGTAAACTCAAGGAATCTATTATTAGTTATAAGGCAGAGATATTGCTGTTCTCCTGATGCTCTTTCTCATAATTAAAATCCACTTATGTGACTCTAATAGCTTTTCTCAGTCCTCTGAGCTCAAGCTAAGCCACCATATCCCCTGTGACCTGCACATACACATCCAGATGGCCGGTTCCTGCCTTAACTGATGACATTCCACCACAAAAAAAGAAATGAAAATGGCCTGTTCCTGCCTTAACTGATGGCATTATCTTGTGAGGCATCTCACCAATTTCAAATCCGGTAAGCAGCCTCTTTTTACTTTCTTCTCCAACTTCCCTCACTATCCCTCAACCTCTTTCTCCTTTCAATCTTGGCGCCACACTTCAATCTCTCCCTTCTCTTAATTTCAATTCCTTTCATTTTCTGGTAGAGACAAAGGAGACACATTTTATCCGTGGACCCAAAACTCCGGCGCCAGTCACGGACTAGGGATGCCTCTCTGATTATTCACCCAGGTTTCAGAGGTGTCAGCCCACACAGGGACACCTGCCTTTGTCCTTCACCCTTAGCGGCAAGTCCTGCTTTTCTGGGGGAGGGGCAAGAACCCCAACCCCTTCTCTCCATATGTCTACCCCTTCTCCGCTTTTCTGAGGGAGGGGCAAGAACCCCTCAACCCCTTCTCCTTCACCCTTAGCGGCAAGTCCCGCTTTTCTGGGAGAGGGGCAAGAACCCCTCAACCCCTTCTCCTTCACCCTTAGTGGCAAGTCCCGCTTTCTGGGGGAGGGGCAGGAACCCTGACCTCTTATTTCTGCACCCCGATCCCTTATTTCCACACCCCGACCACTTATCTCTGTGCCCTGATCCCTTATTTCCATGCCCCAACCCCTTATCTCTGCACCCCAACCCCGTATTTCCATGCCCCAACCCCTTCTCTGCTTTTCTGGAGGGCAAGAACCCCCCAACCCTTCTCTGTGTCTCTACTCTCTTTTCTCTGGGCTTGCCTTCTTCACTATGGACAAGCTTCCACCTTCCATTCCTCCTTCTCCCTTGGCCTGTGTTCTTAAGAACTTAAAACCTCTTCAACTCTCACCTTCCCTAAAATCTAAGCACCTTATTTTCTTCTGCAATGCCGCTTGACCCCAATACAAACTTGACAGTAGTTCCAAATAGCCGGAAAATGGCACTTTCAATTTTTCCATCCTACAAGATCTAAATAATTCTTCTCGTAAAATGGGCAAATGGTCTGAGGTGCCTGACGTCTAGGCATTCTTTTACACATCAGTCCCTGCTTAGTCTCTGTTCCCAATGCAACTCGTCCCAAATCTTCCTTCTTTCCCTCCCACCTGTCCCCTCAGTCCCAACCCCAAGTGTCGCTGAGTCTTTCTAATCTTCCTTTTCTACAGACCCATCTGACCTCTCCCCACCTCGCCGGGCTGAGCTAGGTCCCAATTCTTCCTCAGCCTCTGCTCCTCCACCCTATAATCCTTTTATCACCTCCCCTCCTCACACCCAGTCCAGCTTACAGTTTCGTTCCGTGACTAGCCCTCCCCCACCTGCCCAGCAATTTATTCTTAAAAAGGTGGCTGGAGCAAAAGGCATAGTCAAGGTTAATGCTCCTTTTTCTTTATCCCAAATCAGATAGCGTTTAGGCTCTTTTTCATCAAACATAAAAATTCAGCCCAGTTCATGGCTCGTTTGGCAGCAACCCTGAGATGCTTTACACCCCTAGACCCTAAAAGGTCAAAAGGCCGTCTTATTCTCAATATACATTTTATTACCCTATGTGCTCCCGACATTAAATAGAACTCCAAAAATTAAATTCTGGCCCTCAAACCCCACAACAGAACTTAATTAACCTCGCCTTCAAGGTGTACAATAGTAGAGTAGAGGCAGCCAAGTAGCAACATATTTCTGAGTTGCAATTCCTTGCCTCCACTGAGACAAACCCCAGCCACATCTCCAGCACACAAGAACTTCCAAATGCCTAAACCGCAGTGGCCAGGCATTCCTCCAGAACTACCTCCCCCAGGAGCTTGCTACAAGTGCCAGAAATCTGGCCACCAGGCCAACGATTGCCTGCAGCCTGGGATTCCTCCTAAGCCGTGTCTCATCTGTGTGGGACCCCACTGGAAATCAGACTGTTCAACTCACCTGGCAGCCACTCCCAGAGCCCCTGGAACTCTGGCCCAAGGCTCTCTGACTGACTCCTTCCCAGATCTTCTCGGCTTAGCGGCTGAAGACTGACACTGCCCGATCGCCTCAGAAGCCCCCTAGACCATCACGGATGCCGAGCTTTAGGTAACTCTCACAGTGGAAGGTAAGCCCGTCCCCTTTTTAGTCAATACGGAGGCTACTCACTCCACATTACCCTCTTTTCAAGGGCCTGTTTCCTGTGCCTCCATAACTGTTGTGGGTATTGACGGCCAGGCTTCTAAACCTCTTAAAACTCCCCAACTCTGGTGCCAACTTAGACAATACTCTTTTAAGCACTCCTTTTAGTTATCTCCACCTGCCCAGTTCCCTTATTAGGCCGAGACACTTTAACTAAATTATCTGCTTCCCTGACTATTCCTGGATTACAGCTGCATCTCATTGCCACCCTTCTTCCCAATCCAAAGCCTCCTTTGCGTCCTCCTCTTGTATCCCCCCACCTTAACCCATAAGTATAGGATACCTCTACTCCCTCCTTGGTGACCGATCACGCACCCCTTACCATCTCATTAAAACCTAATCACCCTTACCCCACTCAATGCCAATATCCCATCCCGCAGCGCACTTTAAAAAGATTAAAGCCTGTTATCACTCGCCTGCTACAGCATGGCCTTTTAAAGCCTATAAACTCTCCTTACAACTCCCCCATTTTACCTGCCCTAGAACCAGACAAGTCTTACAGGTTAGTTCAGGATCTGAACCTTATCAACCAAATTGTTTTGCCTACCCACCCCATGGTGCCAAACCCATATACTCTCCTATCCTCAATACCTGCCTCTACAACCCATTATTCTGTTCTAGATCTCAAACATGCTTTCTTTACTATCCCTTTGCACCCTTCATCCCAGCCTCTCTTCACTTTCACTTGGACTGACCCTGACACCCATCAAGCTCAGCAAATTACCTAGGCTGTACTGCCGCAAAGCTTCACAGACAGCCCCCATTACTTCAATCAAGCCCAAATTTCTTCCTCATCTGTTACCTATCTCGGCATAATTCTCATAAAAACACACGTGCTCTCCCTGCTGATCGTGTCCGACTAATCTCCCAAACCTCAATCCCTTCTACAAAACAACAACTCCTTTCCTTGCTAGGCACGGTTAGATACTTTCGACTTTAGATATCTGGTTTTGCCATCCTAACAAAACCATTATGTAAACTCACAAAAGGAAACCTAGCTGACCCCATAGATCCTAAATCCTTTCCCCACTCCTCTTTCCGTTCCTTGAAGACAGCTTTAGAGACTGCCCCCACCCTAGCTCTCCTTGATTCATCCCAACCCTTTTCATTACACACAGCCTAAGTGCAGGGAATTCTTACACAAGGACCAGGATCGCGTCCTGTAGCCTTTTTATCCAAACAACTTGACCTTACTGTTTTAGGCTGGCCATCACGTCTCCGTGCAGCGGCTGCTGCCGCCCTAATACTTTTAGAGGCCCTTAAGATCACAAACTATGCTCAACTCACTCTCTACAGCTCTCATAATTTACACAATCTATTTTCTTCCTCACACCTGACGCATATACTTTCTGCTGCCTGGCTCCTTCAGCTGTACTCACTCTTTGTTGAGTCTCCCACAATTACCATTGTTCCTGGCCCGGACTTCAGTCCAGCCTCCCACATTATTCCTGATACCACACCTGACCCTCATGACTGCATCTCTCTGATCCACCTGACATTCACCCCATTTCCCCACATTTCCTTCTTCCCTGTTTCTCACCCTGATCACACTTGGTTTATTGATGGCAGTTCCATCAGGCCTAATCGCCACACACCAGCAAAGGCAGGCTATGCTATAGCACAAGCCACTAGCCCGCCTCTTACAACCTCTCATTTCCTTTCCATTGTGGAAATCTATCCTCAAGGAAATAACTTCTCAGTGTTCCATCTGCTATTCTACTACTCCTCAGGGATTATTCAGGCCCCCTCCCTTCCCTACACATCAAGCTCAGGGATTTGCCCCCGCCCAGGACTGGCAAATTAGCTTTACTCAACATGCCCCCAGTCAGGAAACTAAAATACCTCTTGGTCTAGGTAGACACTTTCACTGGATAGGTAGAGGCCTTTCCCACAGGGTCTAAGAAGGCCACCACGGTCATTTCTTCCCTTCTGTTAGACATAATTCCTCAGTTTGGCCTTCCCACCTCTGTACAGTCCAATAGCAGACCAGCCTTTATTAGTCAAATCAGCCAAGCAGTTTTTCAGGCTCCTGGTATTCAGTGACACCTTTATATCCCTTACAGTCCTTAGTCTTCAGGAAAGGTAGAAGGGACTAATGGTCTTTTAAAAACACACCTCACCAAGCTCAGCCACCAACTTAAAAAGGACTGGACAATACTTTTACCTCTTTCTTTTCTCAGAATTCAGGCCTGTCCTCAGAATGCTACAGGGTACAGCCCATTTGAGCTCCTGTATAGACGCTCCTTTTTATTAAGCCCCAGTCTCATTCCAGACACCAGACCAACTTAGACTGTGCCCCCAAAAAATTGTCATGCCTGCTATCTTCTGTCTAGTCATACTCCTATTCACTGTTCTCAACTGCTCATACATGTCCTGCTCTTGTTTACACTGCTGGTTTACACTGTTTCTCCAAGCCATCACAGCTGGTATCTCCTGGTGCTATCCCCAAACTGCCACTGTTAATTCTTGAAGTAAATAAATAATCTTTGCTGGTAGGACTATGCTGAATCTCCTTAGGCACTCTCTAATTAAATGTCCTAGGTCCTCCCAATTCTTAGACCTGTAATACCTGTTTTTCTCCTTCTCTTATTCCATTTAGATTTTCAATTCATACAAAACTGTATCCAGGCCATCACCAATAATTCTAAATGACAAATGTTTCTTCTAACAGTCCCACAATATCACCCCTTACCACAAAATCTTCCTTCAGCTTAATCTCTCCCACTCTAGGTTCCCACGCCGCCCCTAATCCCGCTCGAAGCAGCCCTGAGAAACATCGCCCATTATCTCTCCATACCATCGCCCAAAATTTTCGCTGTCCCAACACTTTACCACTATTTCGTTTTATTTTTCTTATTAGTATAAGAAGACAGGAATGTCAGGCCTCTGAGCCCAAGCTAAGCCATCATATCCCCTGTGACCTGCACATACACATCCACATGGCCGGTTCCTGCCTTAACTGATGACATTCCACCACAAAAGAAGTGAAAATGGCCTGTTCCTGCCTTAACTGTTGACATTATCTTGTGAAATTCCTTCTCCTAGCTCATCCTGGCTCAAAAGCTCCCCTACTGAGCACCTTGTGACCCCTACTCCTGCCCGCCAGAGAACAACCCCCCTTTTTCCTTTACCTACCCAAATCCTATAAAACAGCCCCACCCTTATCTCCCTTCACTGACTTTCTTTTCGGACTCAGCCCACCTGCACCCAGGTGAAATAAACAGCTTTATTGCTCACACAAAGCCTGTTTGGTGGTCTCTTCACACGGACATGCATGAAAGCTTTCCATATTTGTGTTCCAAAGAATCACATTCAGAGACTCTCTTATTACCATAAGAAATAGATAAGCGCATGTATTTTTTTTTTCTAAACTCTGATATAGTCTTCTTTTCAGGCCAGTCATAAGTTTGCCTTGTTTAATGGACTCATTCAAACATAGTAGTTACATCTACTTAGTTTTATGCATTTTTGTATTTAAATATTTTTATATATGCTATCAATTTTCTTTAAATAAGTAATGCTTTCATTTAATTTGCTTACTAAGGTTATTTTTTAACAAGATTAAATTAACAAAACGCTTTTATCTTGTCAACATTTCTAACAAATTTCTTTAGTTCACTTAAGTCAATTTTAACAATTCTAGGGGCTAATTTTATTTAAAATGATTATTTAACATGAGTGTTTAATTTCAGTGTTAAATCTACATGTAAAGTGTTGAATTCACAGGAAACAAAACATATTCCTTGGTGTCAAAGATCATATAATCTAGTATTTAAGGATTCAAGTATTCAAATAGATAATTATTAAAAGTAAAAATTTATCGAAGCTTTGAATGTTGTGCTATGGAGCTAACAAATGGAACGGTACCATCTGCTAAAAATGAATCAGCAAAACAAAATATATATATAAAAAAAACAAGTAAAAATCTGAGAAGGCTTCAGAACAGAGGTGAAGTTTAAGTTTTATCTATAAATACCGTAATGGTGAACATGTAACTCTAGACATTTGCCAAAACCTATAAAACTTAAAAGCACAAATAATGGATCTTAATATAAGTCAATTTAAAAAATCATTTGGGAGATCAAGGATGCCTAGGTGAAATCCAGAATGTGATGAAATAAACTAACTGTATTGCAAATGTATGAAACCACCTCACTGGTCATAGGGGAAAAAGGTGCTGACTTAAGTCACTTTGGAAGTAAGTGAAGTCTAAGACTAAAGGCAAAAGAAATGGAATATAAGCACTGTACTCTAGTTGTTTCTCATGGAGATAAGTGTTAACTCTTCTGCAAATGCTGTTTATGTGTACAGGACTTTAAAAATTAAGTAAATGGCTGGTTAATGGTGGGAGGCAGGTTTCTCACTGTTGGAGTGAGAGGTTACAGATAAGCAAGGAAAGAAAGGAGGCTAGAATAATCCATCTCATAATGGATTAGGGTTGGCTAATGCATTTAATATAGACACAGATATTACATATGGAAATATTAATAAATATGTATATACTGAATTAGTATATGTGATAAATAGAATAATGACCTCCCAAAGACATACTAATTCCTCAGAACCTGTGAATATGTTATATTACATAGTAAGGGGAGATTTAAGTTGCAGATGGAATTAAGATTGCTAATCAGTTATCCATAAAATAGGATTATTCTGGATTATCGGGGGGGGGGTGTAATCACAGGGGTCCTTTGAGTAAAAGGAAAGACAGGAGAGTCAGTGTCAGAATGATGTAATGTTAGAAAGACTGACCTGCCAGTGCTGGCTGTGAAGATGTAAGGGGGCCACAAGCCAAGGAATGAAGGCAGCCTCTAGAAACTAGAAAAGGCAAGGAAAAAAGAAAGGATAAAAGGAAGGAAGGAAGGAAGGAAGGAAGGAAGGAAGGAAGGAAGGAAGGAAGGAAGGAAGGAAGGAAGAAAAAAAAAAAAAAGAGCAAGAAAATGAATTACCCTGTAGAGCCTCTAAAAAGGAATGCACTCCTGCTGACATCTTGATTTCAGCTCACTGAGGCTCATTTTGAACTTTTGACTTCTAAAACAATAAGTCTCTATTGTTTACAGCCACTAAGCTTATGGTAAATTGTTACAGCAGAAATCGAAGATTAATTGGGTATACATACATATTTTCTTGTTGTGATAGCCAAAATGGTCTGGAAGCAATCACAACCCACTAGCAATGAGCATATCTAGTGCCCATATTTGGTTTCTAATACTGTTCTCCTGTTAAAGGATACAGGGCTCTTTGAAGGAATGCCTGGTTCTAGGACAGGTCAGAAAACATACCAAATGAGCGCAAAGCATTTTAGAGCAGCAGAAAATAAAGAAGTGTTCTAACAAAATAAAAAGACTCCACAACGATAGGGGTATGACAAAGAGACACAAGATCCAACTGAAAGAGTTCCCAGTGGTCAAGTGGAACAATATGAACAACAAAATCACAATAATCATGTATTGAATTATAACAAAATATAAAATAAATATCTATAAGTTCATATTGATAAATAAATGATTGTATAAACATGTAAATGGGGGAAGGGAGACAAATGTTCTGGGCATAGAATTCCAAATAATTATTATGTAGAAACTCCATCATCCAAGCAGTAGAGCATTCTCTTCACTCCTTAAGTGTGGAATGTATATAGTGACTTTCTGCCTAGTACAGTATGGAAGCGGTGTGTGTGTGTGCAGTAACTTTACAGTGAAGAAACACAACATCAGCCAGGTGACCAAGGTTTACATCATCATTGATAAGTCATTTTGATAGCATATACCTTGATATGATGCAATGGGAATGCATTTTACTTATGTGGTCATGCTCCACTTAACTCATAACCTCAGTCTAATCATGAGAAAAATATTTGAAAAATCCCCACTGAGGGAGGTACTACAAAATACCTAATCAGTGCACTCCAAAATCATCAAGGTCATAAAAAAAAAGCAAACACTGCAGAGACAAAGAAGACATGATGACTTAATGTAATGTTGTGCCCTTGGTGGGATCCTGGAACTGAAAAAGGACATTAGATAAAAACTGAAGAAATAGGAATACAGTATGAACTTTAATTGGTAATAATGTATCAAAATCAGTTCATTAATTATTACAAATGTACCATACTAATGTAATGTTTTAACAATATGGAAAACTGGATGTGGGGTATGTAGAAACATTGTATTATATTTGTAATTTTCTGTAACCTAAAATTATTCTAAAACAAGGATACCTAATGCATGTGGGGCTTGAAACCTGGATGATGGGTTGATGGGTGCAGCAAACCATCATGGCTCGTGTATACCTATGTAACAAACCTGCAAGTTCTGCACATGTATCCCAGAACTTAAAGAAAAAAAAAAGTGTAATTAGTAAACCTGGAAATAAAAGAGAAAACAAACATACATTTTAGGCAAAGGATACACTATTCACAATGTGGTAAGGACACGTATTTAGTTAACACAGAAAATGTTTGTATGAATACTATATAGACTGCTTAAAGTTTTGTTTGAGTAGATAAGGCCAGAAAGAAATAGGTGTGGCTTGATTTTGAAAAGACTTAGATCAGCTTTAATTGTAGAAAACCAACTCAGGCTGTTAAAAAAGATGTCACATAATGAAACTTACACTTGAGAAAAAGGTATGCTTATGGTAAT
The DNA here is from genome assembly GCF_000001405.40 of Homo sapiens. Taxonomy (NCBI): domain Eukaryota; kingdom Metazoa; phylum Chordata; class Mammalia; order Primates; family Hominidae; genus Homo; species Homo sapiens. The sequence goes on along the minus strand of NC_000013.11, from coordinate 37,965,637 downwards.
GCGAAGGATGAGCCTAAAAGAAAAAAATGGATAATGAGAGAAGGGAAACAGAACAACTGTTTATCAATGTCACAGGACTATTTCCATTACAGCCTGGGAAAGACATAGTAAGAGCCCAAGCCAATCAAGCAGTATAAGGTGAGAGACTGATAGGGACACAGGTACTGCAAATGTAAAAGCTAGGCATTTTAAAGTCTCATCATTATGCAGCCAAATCCAGCTGTGTTTGAAAATATTAGAGCCGGAGTTCCCAGTTTGGGATGTGCATCAGGATCATCTGGCGAACTTGTTCACAGTTGAATTTCAGGTTCTATTCAAACAAAACAGTTTGTGGAATGATGGAGGTAGGGCAAAGGAAATATGAAGATTTTTTAACATATGCTTTAGATAATTCAGAATTAAAAATTAAATATACAAATATTCCAACTTGAGAACTATGTCATTATTTGTTTGCTTCTAACTCAAACAAAAAAAAATGGCAAAATATTGGGTAAAGGCATACAACCCGATTTAAACTCTTTTTTAGCATTTCTTCATTTTTTAAAAATTTCCTTTAAAATAGGAAATGTAATTTATGTAATTATTACCTAATATTTCACTCTAGAAAAATTAGTCAAATTCTTCAACTTATAAGTTATTTTGTGTCGGTTGTAGTAAAATGATAATATGCATAATGTGTGTTTTTATATATAGTATGTCACATTTCATAGGATGAAAATGGAATGAAGTGGATACATTCATATTGACTCATGTAAGCCCCAAATCAAAAGACAATGTTTTGTTTAAAACAATGGATGTGTTTGCATTTTAAATGTAAGGACATTTGAAGTGGTTTTTAAAAGCTAATGTTCTGAGATAGCTCATTTGTACTTTGTTAATGTACAACACTAATGACATCTGAAATTTTGAATGCATTAAAATGTGGTTGACTATTTCCCTATGCACATATTTCAGCTCTGAAATTTAATTGAAGCTCAATAATGTATGATATTTGTCTTTTTTCAGTTATTCTATTATGCAGAACTAATGTGAAGACAGATCAAAGTTGTGTATTTGAACATGACTTCTTGTATTTGAAAGTAGAATTATATTGTGTTTATGATAGGAAAGGCTTTCTAAATTGAATAACATTTAGAAAAAAAGCAAGATTTGTATTCTTTAAAATTGAGCTCTGTGAAAATCTCATTCAAAAGGAAAAAAAAGCACTTTACATGTACTGTTAGAAGCAAAGAGCAAGATGGGAGCTTAGAAATCATCCATTCAACTCCTACATTTTTACAAATAAGGCTATTACATTGTAGATGAGTTGTGTATCTTTCTAAAAATACTGATCCTGTTAGTGATAGAATAAATGTGATCTAAATTCCTGTAAGATAGGCTAACAAAGCTTCTCCCAGGTTAGGAAGGAAGCAGATAAAGAGAAAAAAATTCAAATATTTACTTTTTCATTTTAAAAAAATCTGCTAGGCACATTCTCATCTATGAGAGTTGGGACACTGTCCGCTTGCCTAAGCTGAAACTTTATTTACTGTAATATACTTCCCTTTATAGTTCTGAGTCAGAGTTGGCTAAAAGAGATGTGTTGGGGATAAGTGAAGCAGGAGTCATTCTCTGAAGGTTGCAGAGACTAACAGATGCAGAGTTTTGGTGGCTTTCAGATTGCCTATACTCTCCTCTGCTTCACATCCATCTATTTTTCCTAGCCACTGGTAATGATGACTAACCATAGCCCCAATATGTGCTTAATGAAGAAACACAGAAAAGAGAGCATTTGAGCACCAAATTTATATGGTGGGAGCTTTTGATTGGGCAAGTGTAACATTGACTTATACATTTAGTTTTGGACTGTATACGTTTGTTTTCTGTATTTCATATTACTATCTACTTTTGAACACTTTCTGAATGTTGGTTGTTTACTTGTTGCCAGAGGAGTAGAGTCAAACTTCTGTTATGTCTCTCAGGTAGAACTATAGGCCACGAGAACACTTTATTTATTTATTTTTTGTTGTCTTGGTATTATAAGACTTTACTTTCATTCAGGGCCAAGGCTAGTTTGATCCCTCTACTTAACCTTTGTATACTTTCTGGTTCTCTTCCCTACATCAGGTGTTACTCAGACCTGTCAATCCTGGAGGTCTAGTTTCCAATTTTACCCTCTAAAAGTTCATAAACTTTATCAGCAAGAAAGAGAAATAGGGACTATCTCACCCAACATTGGAGATGCTATGTCCACTGAAATCTATTATCTACTTTTTCATAGTAGTGAAATCATATAGCAGGGGATGTGGCTATACTACATCCTTCAGTATCTCCTGCAATTGATTTTGGTCATAGGACTAAGCCATTTCCAACTAAGCTATATTCCAATGTGAGTATAGGGATGGGTGCCATCTTTGGGGCAAGGTAAAAGCATGAGTGTGCCTAGGCCAGACATCCCTCTGCCTTCTCTCCTGACTGACGTTATGACTACCACAGCATCTCTAGAAGCCATGCATAGGGGATAACAATTCCAGCAACACTTTGGGTCCCTGAATTACTATGTGGAACCCACCCTCCTCAAACACTCATCTCAGACTTTTAGGAGAAAGAACAATCAACTTCAATATTATTTGAGACACTTTTTTTTGAGAACTCTGTTATACAAGCTTAGCATATCTTAACAAAATTAGGATATAAAGCTTCCATCTGGATATATGACAGCAGGAATACTAAAGGAAATTTATAATTATTCTGAAGGTCCAAAATATTATTAAAGAAATCTTATAGTAGTGAAGCCCTAATTTGAGGAATTATGCTTGCATAGAAACAAAGTTCTTAAGAAATACAAATTTCAGAATGTTTTAGATTAGGAATCAACAAATTATATACAGTCTGCAGACCAGTTCAGACCTGCTACATATTTTAGTAAATAAAATTTTATTGGAACACAGCTATATAAGTTCATTTACATATGATTTATGGTTACTTTCACACTGCAGTGTCAGAGATGAATAACTGCTACAGAAACTGGATGGTATACAAAGCCCAAAATTTGTACCATGTGGCTCTTTATGAAAATATTTGCTGCCTCCTGCCTTCAGTGAACAGAGAATTTTGCCCCAAACCGGTTTGTCTCTGAATAGAAGAGAATAAACAGTAGAAGTAAGAAGGGAATACTTAAAGGTGTTTTTTAATGAAGATTCAAGGTTTTAAAGGCCAAGCTAGAGCTGCATGAAAGGGCAAAAAGGGAAATATATACCATAATCTTATTAACTTAAACATGACACTAGTCTGGGTGACAATTCTTTGGATATGATCCCAAAGCACAGGCAACAAAACAAAAATAGACAAGTGGGATTGTATCAAACTAAAAAGCTTCTGCATAGCACAGGAAACAACCAAGTGAAGAGACAACTCTCAGAATGGAAGAAAATATTTGTAAACCATATGTCTGATGAGGGGTTAATATTTGAAATATATAAAGAAGTCAAACAACTCAATAGCGAGAGAATAAATAACTTGATTTTAAAGTAGGCAAAGGATCTGGACAACAGATAGTCCTCAAAAGAAGACATACAGATGGTCAACAAGTATATGGAAAAAAATGCTCAGCATCACTAATCATTAGAGAAATGCAAATTAAAATCACAATGCGATATCACCTCACACCTGTAAAAATATGAAAAATAATAAGTGTTGGAGAGGACTTAGAGAAAATAAAACTCTTGTACATTATTAGTAGTAAAGTAAATTTGTATAGCAATTATGGAAAACAGTATAGAGGTTCCTCGAAAAACTAAAATCAGAAATATCATATAATTCAGTAATCTCTCCTGGGTATCTATCCAAAGGAATTAAAATCAATATGTTAAAAGGATATCTGAACTCCCATGTTCATTGCAGCGTTACTCATAATAGCCAAGATATGGAAACAACCTAAATGTCCATTAATGGATGAATGAATAAATAAAATGTGGTATATATACACAATGGAATACTATTCAGTCTTAAAAAAAAAAAAGAAAATTCCGTCATTTGGGACAATGTGGATGAATCTGGAGGACTTTATGCTAAGTAAAATAAGCCAGGTACAGAAACACAAATACTGCATGATCTCACTTACATGTGGAATCTAAAAATGTTAAACCCTTTTTTTTTTTTTTTTTTTTTTTTTGAGACGGAGTCTCGCTGTTGCCCAGGCTGGAGTGCAGTGGCAAGATCTCGGCTCACTGCAGGCTCCGCCCCCCGGGTTCACACCATTCTCCTGCCTCAGCCTCCCGAGTAGCTGGGATTACAGGCGCCCACCACCTCTCCTGGCTAATTTTTTGTATTTTTAGTAGAGACGGGGTTTCACTGTGTTAGCCAGGATGGTCTCGATCTCCTGACCTCATGATCCGCCCGCCTTGGCCTCCTAAAGTGCTGGGATTACAGGCGTCAGCCACCGCGCCCAGCCTAAACTCTTAAAAGTAGAGAGTAAAATGGTGGTTACCAGAGGCTGGGGTAGGGCGTTACAGAGAGAAAGAGAAGGGGAGATTGGTTGGTTGAAGGGTGCAGTTTCAAATAGACAGACGTAAGTTTTGAGATCTATTGCACAGCAGGGTAAAAAAGAAAAAGATAATAAAGATAGCACTAGACAATGATGACGCCAATTTAGTGGTTTCCAGGATCGGGCAAGTTGTTGCAGCCCCAAAAAACCTAGAACAACACAGAAAATATTTTAAGAAGAATAAAATTACTTCCTTGGACAAAGGCAAAATCCATAAAACTTTTGAAAACCTCTGTAAAGATAAGAGGCTCCATAGTAAGAGCAAATGGAAAAAACATACATGACAATTGAATAAATACATAGATAGAAATAGAAGATATGGATGTATGTGCATATATAATATGCATATCTATCTATCTCTACTCATCTATAATTCCTAAATGTACCCACTAAAAGGACCTAGTAGCAATGAAAACAGGTAGCACCAGATAATTTTTCCAACTGCTACTCTTTGCTAAATGGAACCAGGGTTCCTTGGAGAAAATGCTGCCTCTAGTGTTAGAGCTGAGAAAATAAATGTAAAATAAACCTGAAAATCTCGCCATGCCAGAAAGTAAGCAAGTGATCTAAGAATATTGGAAACATGAAAAATGAATGGCAGTCAGCTTGAAGGGATTCCTAATCTCCAAACATGAAATGATTTGCATATTAAAATAAGTAATTATAATAACAAGTTATAACCAATTGTAAAGAATCCTTGAGCCAAATCTCACTTACATACATAAAGTCATAACTTTATTAATAAAAATTTATATAAAGAAAGAAATAAGGGAAACCTCTTTCTTATACCCACTTTCCAAGCAATAAATGAAGAAATCATAATGTTAAAAAGCAATAGTAATCACTGATTTAAGAAATAATCATCAATGAATGATAAATCTACTTGAAAATCTAATGAAAACTAGGATATTTCCATAGGCTTAATTTATATCCATGCAAAATATTTATTAATTACAAAGATAAAAATAGTAGCTATAACTTGTCAGGAACCATTTTACTAATTGTTCAAAGTTAACATTCCAAATAATAGAGGAAATCATTATATGCATTCTAATATAATTCAGTGAGAAAGACATAGCATCACCATTGTGGTATCTTGATAAAATAATTTTTAAGCTGTAACCATGAGGAAATATCAGATGCATTCAAATGAAAGGACATGTTTCACAATAATTTGCCAATACATTAAAAACTCAAGTTATAAAAGACAAAAGAAGGTAAGAAACTATTTCCTATTAAAGGAGATTGACAAGGCATAACAACAAACTTTAAATCCCAGTACATATAGAATAACAGGGACTAAATTTACTCTCCCACTTGAAACACCTAATGAGAGATAAAATTTAAGAAATACTGGCACTCAAGATGTTGAATAAAGAAGGACATTGCTCCATGAGAGAAGAGAAACCAACAAGGAAAGGCTTTTGACCGACCGGTGTACTGTACAGAGAAAATTTCTGGGTTGCAGCACAGAGAGGGAGCTTCCTGGAAAAGTTCAGCAATCGTCCTAACCGAGAAGACAAAATGGGGTTCTGGTCAGGGCCAGATAGTGAGTTTGCAGGGCAGATTACCAGAGAAGACACAGCTGCACATAAAGATAATTCCACAGATCTGCATAAGGTTCCTCCCGCCCCACAAGTATTCAGTTGAGTACTCATCAGCACATGCTCATGAGGAAATTATCCAAGAATGAAGAAAGAACCACCTAAAAGGATTAGTAACCAAGATACCCACAAGATTGGAAATAATATCTGTTCCCAATAGCCAGAACTCAGTAGTCATTGGTTAGATTACTAAGGAGGGTCTTGCTCAGTAGTGAGAAAAATTTAAACCTAGACTAAATACAGCTCTATTCCTGCTAAAAAATAATAAAGAAACAAGACAAAACAAAACAAAACAAAACAAAAAAACCGAAAACTACGCTGTTTCCAAGTAGCTTAAGCAAGTCCCAAACAAAGATCAAGAAAATTTATAGTCATGCAAATCTATTCAGCACACAGCAAGGTAAACATTTTTCAAATCTGCATCACATCAGAAATTAATAGGTTGTCAAATAAGCAGAGAAATGACAAAGCTCGTATTGAAGAAAAAAATCGGTCAATCAATAGTAATCAAAAAAGGATACACCTGAGAGAATTAGTAGGCAAAAGCATTAAGATAGATATTGTAAATATGTTCCATATGTTTAAGTAGCTAGAAAAAGATTGAACATGTTCAGTAGAGAAATGAAAAATATTTCAGAGATGCACATAGAACTTCTAGAAAGGAACACTACAATATTTGAGATTAAAAATTAGATTGGATTAGCTTAATGGCATTAGAGGTTACAGAATAAAATATTAGTGAGTGTGAATATATAGTAATAGAAACTAAACTGAGACCTCAACAAAAAGAGACTATCAAAATAATAAATAAACAGGCCATCAGTGAAAGATAGAGTAATTGCAAGTAGCTAAATATAGGTTTATTTGGAGTCTTAGAAGATAAGGAGAAAAAAGGGGGCACTAGAAAGGTATTTTTATAATGGTGGAAAATGCTCTATTTGAAGAAAATAATAAACCCACAGCTCCAAAGAATCAGCAAACCTGAAAAATAAGAAATAGAAAGAAAAGTATACGAATGAACGTCATAATCATATTACTTAAAACCAGTGATAAAGTGAAGATACACCAGTATCTTAAGTGAAGTCAGAATAAAAAATATATATTACATGCAAAGGAACAGAGATAAAGATCATAGCAGATTTCTTATTGGAAACAATGGAAACTAGAATAAATGGAGTAACAACTATAAGATATTGAAAATATGTTTCAAAAATGAAGATTAAAATGCCAACATTTTCAGCCATGCAGTTCATCAGCAGCATAGTTGCATTAGAATAACTATTAAAATATTTCTTCAAACAAATTTTAAGAAACAGAACTTTTAAATTTAATACAAGCAAATTTTAAAACCTTGTTTTTTCCGGGTTGTGCTTTTTGTGTGTTGTTTAATAAGTTTTACGTACCATAAGTTTAAGAAGACTCGAACTGTATAGTCTTCTTTAACACCTTTTCTTTAATTTACTTAAAATTCCTTCTGGTTATAATGTGAAATGGATTCAATTACATTTTTCCTAAAGGATAACAGATTTTCCTAAAGATCAACAGCATTTGTTGAATAGCTCATCTGTTATCTAGTGATTTTCAATACCGTCTCTGGTATAGATCAAATATCCATTTATGCATGGAATTGTCTCTTACATTTTAATTTCCCTCACTTTTCTATATGTCGTTCTCCATACTTAACTGTCATAGCTTTGTAACTTCTAATAACTAATGGGGTAAATGCCTTATTATTCTTATCTGACGGTAAATATATCTTGATCCTTCTTACAAGTTTAGAATCAACTCTATGTGTATGACGAAAAAAAATGTCGATACCTTGATTTGAATTTCAAAGCTTTTTAAAAGAAAAATAAAAAATAAATGCAATTTTTAGAAAATTTCTGATGGCAATATTTAAATATTAGAAACATCCTTTAGTAATATAAATCACAAAAGGCAAAGTCATTCTTACTTACATATGCATTTAAAATAGCCTAATAGAATAATTAATAAATATAATGGCTTTAAATAGCTCTGATTAATTTCTTTAATAATCATGAGCCCATTAACACAATAAAAAACAAAGTGAAAATGAAATACGTTTTGTTATAGGTGCCTAATACAAAACAGATAGCAGCAGCAGTTTATTCGATAAATTTGAAAGGTGTTTCTCTGATGATGTGTTTTACTTGAACCATAGCATACGTATAGAAAAGTACAGAAACAAAAACGTATAGCTTAATGATTTAGCAAAAGCGAAATACCACGTAATCACAAAACAAGTTAAAAAAAATAGAATTTTATTAGGACCCCAAAAGTCCTCATTATGCATTCTCCCATCCAAAAATAGTCATTATCCTGAATTTATGGTAATTACTTTATTTGCATTTTTCCATTCATGCAAGAATTTCTAAGTGCAATAGTTTAGTCCTGCCAGTTTGGGTAATTTTTATAACTGAAATCATATAGTATGCGTTGTTTTGTTTTCAGCTTCTTTTGCCCAACAATATGTGAGCTTTACAAATATGGTTGACTGCAACTGTAGCTAGTTCATTTTCATTGATGTGTAGGTTTTTATTTGTGAATATATCATAATTTATTTTCATCATAATGTTAATGGACATTTGAATATTTTTCAGTTTGAGGCTACTACAAATAATGCTAAAATAAATATGTTTGAACCGTCCTCTTGATGATATTTGTGCTCATTGATAAACATGCACACCTTTGAGTGGAATTGCTGAGTAAACAGGTATGTATATCCAGATTTCTAAAATGGCATCCTTACAAGCCAAGTAGATGAGTCATTACTTGTACAAGTCATTACTTGTACTGTAATGTACCTGTAATGTACAAGTCATGACTTGTACATTAATGGACAAGCCAAGTACATTAAACTAAGATATAGCAGCATGGAAATAATTCTGTAGGAAAATGTACATGTTAGTTCCCTTGGATCTTACAAATGTCATCTTTTTAGCATAATCAAACAATGTAATAAAATATAAATTTGAATTAAGTTAATCTTTTTATAGATTGATACATTTGGAATTTAAGGAAAGCTGGGTGAAACTACCATTACAGTTTGCAGAATAACTTATGTAGTATTCTAAAGCAGCTCCTCAGAAAGATGCCTTCCCACCACTCTTCTGCAGTTTTTACACAGGAACTTGCTTTGTTGCTTTCATAAAGCATTCAGAGTACTATTTATAGAATTTTTCCAATTTATTTGGCAGAGTCTCCCATATATATGTCATATTATCCACTCTCCTGAACAGTCAGCATCTCCCACTGCCCTCCTCCTCACCTTGATCTAAAATCAAGACAATATAATAACAGAAACAGCGGAAGAGAAATTGCAAACATTTTAAATGCAGATTACATATTAAGGTGAAATGTCTTATATAGGTTAAATTGTCTACTATTGTGTACCTTATGAAATAAAATCACTTAAGATAAAGTTTAGATGGAAAGAAGGTTCTATATCTTTCTTTTCTGATCCAATTATTGTTTCCTATAGTGGCAATTAGCATTCACTGACTATTTACTGTGTGCCAAATGTCACACTTAATGCTCTTTATAATTTAAACCTCACAATGTCCTTATGAGATTGCTATTGTTTTAATTACTCCTTTCCTTGATAAGGGAATAGGCTTACAAGGAGACTTGCCCAAATTGATGTAAAATTTGTGTTTTTAGCCAAAATATTGCCGTTCTAGTAAGTGCTTTCAGCATTCAATTTAGTAGCTGTCTCTCGGACTTGATGATTTGCAAAATGATCCCGAATAATGGCTTAGTGTTTGATTATTTCACCTGCCAAGTATTTCCACCAATAATATTTTTTGTTAAATGATGTAATTCACTGCTAGGGAAAATACTCTGCCCAGGTTGGTAGTGGGGAGTCTTCATGCTATGAGAATCTATGGATGGGGGCAGAGTATGAATGAGGTGAGAGGAATACAGGTATAATTTGATAAAAGAACTAAAGGATATATTCTGAAATATCCTACAATAAGTATATTCCCCCTACTTTAATACTCATTCCCCCAGCAGATTAAAATCCTAGCCACACCAATAATTCATCTCCATGTATTTCTATTGTTACTTGTTCCTGTCACCATCTTACCTATCTCTGTACTTTCTGACTCTCTTGCCTCCCAGAAGCAAAAAATACACCTATCTCTTTAGCAGAATCTCTATTCCAATTTTGACTTCTGCAAGCACAGTTCACAGGGACCCCAGATAAACCTCTGGGTAACAAGATGGATCAGCCTTGTGGGTGTCCTTCCATATAGATGCAACTCTGTTCTGATGGAGGGGTGAATAGTCTAGCAAAGTTTTGAAGCCCAAATATTGGTATCAGAAGAGCTGCAATAAATATTAGACCCAAAAGAAATGTAGAGTATGAGAACATAGAAGATACAATAAGAAATCTCAGAATACACAGAAGAGGCCAGAAAAGAAATCATTACCTGTAAACATGCTACATACATTGGTAAATTAACTTCACAATTATGATAAAAATCTCACAAGACTCTATTCTATAGCATACTATTAAATAATTCACTACAGGTGAAATTATGAAGAAAAGATCTACTGGACTTTCTTATCTTTTCTTTTCCTTTTTTTTTTTTTTTTTTTTTTTTGAGATGCAGTCTCGCTCTGTCACCCAGGCTGGAATGCAATGGCGCAATCTCAGCTCACTGCAACCTCCGCCTCCTGAGTTCAAGCGATTCTCTCACCTCAGCCTCCCGGGTAGCTGGGATTACAGGCATATGCCATCACGCCCAGCTAACTTTTGTATTTTTGTAAAGATGGGGTTTCACAATGTTGGTCAGGATGGTCCTGAACTCCTGAACTCAGGTGATCCACCCACCTCGGCCTCCCAAAGACATGGGATTACAGGCGTGAGCCACCGCACCCAGCCTCTATTTTTTTTCTTTTCTGAGTAGATACTGTAGGAAGTTTATTGTCAGTAAAGTTTGGACCAGCCAAAAGAATAGCAAATTTAGAGTGGAATTAATTTCTTAAGGAGAATATACCTGGGTTCTTATATAACTAAGTAATTGTTGGTGTGCACAAGGCAGCATACCATAGAGGTGACACACCTGCATTCAGGCACACTTGGCTGAAATCCAGATCGTATCATTAATAGTCATAAGCCCTTGAATGAATTACTTAACCATTGGGAGCCTCAGTCACCACACCTTTAAACTGGGTACTGTAAGAATACTGACCTTTGTGAGACTAGAAAGTAACATATGAAGGAGTTTAGCATAGCATCTGACATATGATAAGAGATCAATAAAATTGGAGCTATCATTTTAACTTAGGTAGTATATGTGACAAACAGCTGTGGCTTATTCTGTGTAATCATAGCAAAACACATGGGCCCACTTTTTGCAATATGAAAAGATTGGATAATAGATGTTAGAAAGCTTCAAGGTCAATAAGCCTTTAATAGCCACTCTATGCTACTGATTCCTTTTATTAGAAATAAAATCACTTATGGATAGGAATTTGAAATGTATCAAATGGCCTGAAATCAGCAATGATTCATTTTTTTTTTTGAGTAAGGCTGAATAGTTTATAATTAGCAGTTACTAAGTTAACAACTCATTACATTTAAGGACCTCAGGGGAAATTAACTATTTCAAACTGGGAAAGAGCCATAAACTCCTGGAGAGAGAGAAAAAATAAAATTAAAGTTAAGCAATTACAAAAAGAGTTTTTCATTTTCAATCTTATGTTTCTGGACTATGCAATCTGTTTACATTATTGGATTTGCATTAATTAAATTCACAGATAAGTCACCCTGAGAAGCTCACTGAATTATTTTTACTGTAAAATGCATAGAAACCTTGAAGTCTTATTGCCAAGAAAAACCACCATTTTCTGTTAAATGTGACCTTAATAATTATTTTCATTCCCCCTTAAACACTAAACATTTAAACACTTGAATACTATAATTGAAAGTCCAGGAAAATAGACATATGAGATTTGAGTCCATCTTAAACTAATCCATAAACTGAGGGTAAGCTGGACACCTCACAACATTTGATTTGATTAAAAACAATGAAGTGTGTTTGTATATTTGAGGTTTTTTAAAATAAATGGATAAGTATATTATGAAAACATACTTTTAATTCCTACCTTATCTCTACTAATGATGGAGATCCCCATAAAGCCAAGTTCATGCTCTTTTTTTTAAGTATTATAAGGTATCTTCTTTTTTATTTACTAATTTTCCATCTAAGTTCTACTATATCTATTTTATTTTATTTTATTTTATTTTATTTTATTTTATTTTAAGGATACATATGCAGGATGTGCAGGTTTGTTACTTAGGTAAATGTGTGCCATGGTGGTCTACTGCACTTATCAACCCATCACCTAGGTATTAACCCCAGCATGCATCCCATCCCCGGCCCCACCCCTGACAGGCCCCAGCTATATTGTTCCCCTCCCTGTGTCCATGTGTTCTCATTGTTCAGCTCCCACTTATAAGTGAAAACATGTGGTGTTTGGTTTTCTGTTCCTGTGTTTGCTGAGGTCAGTGACATCCAGCTCCATCCATGTCCCTGCAAGTGACATGATCGCCACAATCAAGTCCCTTATACAATACGCAAATATGCAATATGCAAATCAAAAAACATAATGCATCACATAAACAAAACTAAAGACAAAAACCACGATTATCTCAATAAATGCGGAAAAGGCCTTTGATAAAATTCAACACCCTTTCATGTTAAAAACTCAATAAACTAGGTATTGAAGGAACATATCTCAAAATAATTACAGCCATTTATGAAAAACCCACAGCCAATATCATACTGAATGGGCAAAAGCTGGAAGCATTTCCTCTGAAAACTGGCACAAGACAAGGATGCCCTCTTTCATCACTCCTATTCAACATAGTATTGGAAGTTCTGGCTGGGGCAATCAGGCAAGAGAAGGAAATAGAGTGTATTCAAATTATTCAAATAGGAAGAGAGGAACTCAAACTGTCTCTGTTTGCAGATGACATGATCCTGTATCTAGAAAACCCCATAATCTCAGCCCAAAACCTTCTTAAGCTGATAAGTAACTTCAGCAAAGTCTCAGAATACAAAATCAATATGCAAAAATCAAAAGCATTCCTATACACCAACAATAGACAGGCAGAGAGCCAAATCATGAATGAACTCCAATCCACAATTGCTACAAGGAGAATAAAATACCTAGAAATACAGCTAACATAACAAGGGAAGTGAAGGACCTCTTCAAGGAGAACTACAAATCACTGCCTAAGGAAATCAGAGAGGACAGAAACAAATGGAAAAACATTCCATGCTCATGAATAGGAAGAATCAACATCATGAAAATGGCCAAATTGCCCAATGTAGTTTATAGATTCAATGCTATTCCCATTAAACTACCATTAACATTCTTTGCAAAATTAGAATAAAAATACTTAAAGTAGTCATTTTAAAAATTCATATGGAACCAAAAATGAGCCATCACAGCCAACACAATCCTAAGCAAAAAGAACAAAGCTGGAGGCATCACACTACCTGACTTCAAACTATACTACATGGCTACAGTAACCAAAGCAGCATGGTACTAGTACAAAAACAGACATATCGACCGATCAAACAGAACAGAGAACCCAGAAATAAGACTGTACATCTACTACCATCTGATCTTTGACCAATCTGGCTGAAACAAAAAATGGGAAAAGGATTTCCTATTTAATAAATGGTGCTGGGAGAACTGGCTTCCCATATGCAGAAAAGTGAAACTGGACCCCTTTGTTACACCTTATACAAAAATTAACTCAAGATGGATTAAAGACTTAAATGTAAAACCCCAAACTATAAAAAACCTATAAGAAAATCTAGGCAATACCATTCAGGACATAGGCATTGAAAACGATTTCATGACGAAAACATCAAAAGCAATAGCAACAAATGCAAAAAATTGACAAATGGCATCTAATTAAACTAAAGAGTTTCTGTACAGCAAAAGAAACTATCAACAGTATGAACAGACAACCTACAGAATGGGAGAAAATTTTTGCCGTCTATCCATCTGACAAAGGGCTAATATCCAGAATCTACAAGGATCTTAAATTTACAAGAAAAAAACAACCTCGTTAAAAAGTGGGCAAAGGACACAAATAGACACTTCTCAAAAGAAGATATACATGCAGCCAACAAACATGACAAAAGGCTCAACATCACTGATCTCTAGAGAAATGCATATCAAAACCACAATGAGATACCATCTCATCCCAGTCAGAACGGCAATTATTAAAAAGTCAAGAAACAACAGACTCTGGTGAGGTTGTGGAGAAACAGGAATGCTTTTACACTGTTGGTGGGAATGTAAATGAGTTCAACCATGGTGGAAGACAGTGTGGTGATTCCTCGAAGACCTGGAACCAGAAATATTACCATTTTACCCAGCAATCCCATTACTGGGTATATACTCAAAGGAATATAAATTATTCTGTTATAACAATATATGCATGTGTATGTTCATTGCAGCACTATTCACAATAGCAAAGATATGGAATCAACCCAAATGCCCATCAATGACAGACTGGATAAAGAAAATGTGGCACATGTACACCACGGAATATCATGCTCTTTTAGTCAGAACTTAGAATGTTCTTCTGTCAGTAAGGAGTTTCAGAAGAGAATTGAATAAAGTGACTTAAAGAATACAACAAGGCTAGAAAAGCACTTGACTTATATTGCAAATCTCAAAGTCAGAATTTTCTAGTTCATAATTAGATTAGATTTACACACTTCAACTGTAAAGCTCCCAAGGAGAATGGAGAAGCCTGCTGATCTTGAATGTCCACTCCATTGTGTAACTTTTATTTTATAAATACCTCATATTTTATGACATATGTACCTAAACATCGACTTTTGCCTATCCCATCAATTTGAAGGCATTAATTTTAAGGCATCTCTTATCAAATTATCATTTAAAACCTTACAATTTAAAAATAATTATACTTTTCAGCAGTCTTTTAAATCTACATTGCTGTGAATATGACATCTATTCTGAGGGTCTTTGGAAATTTTGGGAAGGAGGCCTTTGAGATAAAGTTACGGTTTGAATGTTCTTTTCTTACAAGTTATTATCTCTTAAGGCTACCATACTTTGAATGTCTCAAAGTAGATTATAAAGAATTTCAGGACTAAAAAAATACCCATTAGGTTATATAATTCCTAATTTATTTTCAAGGCTGAGTGGTTAACAACTAAATTTTATGAGGCCAAAGTTCTATTTGACTTGATCACTAGCATATCTGCAGCCTTTGCCCAGAACAAAGTCTTCACTACATACCTGCTGAATGAAGAAATGGCATCTGCAAGCACAACTTAAAACACACTTGATCTGATTTATTTAGTGATGTGCATAAACACAAATGACAAACGAATTTTAGTAAATTAGTATAATTAATATTTTATGAGTCTGTATCCATTTGTCTACATAGTCCTAGTTCTTAATACCTAAAAGTGGATTAAGTGAAAATGTCTACACCAAGACAATTCAAGCACATCAGTTCTATGTTGCAAAGAATCCAGGGATACCTAAAGGAATCTCAGAACAGATTCTTGCACACCTTTGTCTGTGTGTCTTTTAACCCATTTCTCTTCCTAAGGCAAGATTATGGACAGAAAAAAACTTTGGTTTACATAGAGTCTCACAAGTATTATGTACTCCATCTATATATGATTGATGGATGGATGGATTGATGAGATGGTTTCCTTGTCTATAAACTCCTTCCCCAGTTTTCTGGAATCTCAAAGACTCACTTGACTTAAGAATATTAACTGGTCCTAGAGGTTATTTGAGGGAAAGAGGTGCCCTTCATAAAAATCTCCAGGGATTCTAATTCACAAAAACTATGGGAACAAAGAAAGAAGGAATAAAAATCATATGTAGTAAGATTTCATTGAAATTTCAACCACTTCTAATCAAAAGATGCGTACATTTTTAAACTCTTCTCTCTCCTGTCCTCTCCTGAACCAGGATGACGTGACTCCAGGATGTATTGGTTTATCTGTGCACTTTCAAAATATACTTGTTTACTTGAAACACAGGGGGCAAAGCAGAGGGCATATTTCTTGTAATGTAAGAATATTGTATGGTGCGTTAGAAAGTTCTGTATTTGGGTCTTGCAGGCAAATTGAGCTTTTGGGAAGAAGCCAAAATCCACTGCAGATCTGTTATATTTCTGAGAAAAAAAGAAAAGAATAGCTATCTCCAAGAGGCTGATCCCAGGTTCCACTAGGAGGCCAAGGTGACAGGTGAAGCTCTTCATCGTGTGACAGGAGCAGGCAAAGGCCCTGCAGAAAGTGCAGAGAGCCAGAGAGGTTGTGGAGATGTGGCAGCTAACTCAGCTGTATTTGCAATGCCCATTGAAAGGCATGATAAGACAACAAAATAGAAAAATATCATAATCTACAGCAGTACAATTAACTTTAGTAAATCATTTTACTCTGTCTAGAGAGACCCACATCTAAAATGGTTACAAACAAATGAAAGCACCTGAGTTTACTTTTTCTAATCTTTGCATCAGAGTAACATAGATTGGGAGGAGATACATTGAAAGTGTATTTTGAGCTGCTTTATTCTGATATTTTGTTTCATTTTGTTTTGATTTGTTTAATTTTGTTTCATTTTAATTTGTTTGTTAATTTTAATACTGAAAAGCTGTTAGAGGTGAGAAAAACTAGGAACTAATACTCAGAAAGAGCATCCATGAAAACTTTACAATTATGCAAGATCGGCCAGGTGTGGTGTCTTACGCCTGTAATCCCAGCACTTTGGGAGGCCAAGGTGAGTGGATCACCTGAGGTCAGGAGTTCGAGACCAGCTTTACCAATATGGTGAAACCCTGTCTCTACTAAAAATACAAAAATCAGCCGGGCAGGTTGGTGTGTGCTCGGGAGGCTGAGACAGGAGAATTGCTTGAACCCGGGAGTCGGAGGTTGTAATGAGCCGAGATCGTGCCACTGCACTCCAGCCTGGGTGACAGAGTGAGACTCTGTCTAAAACAAAACAACAACAACAACAACAAACAATTATACTAGATCACTTCTACTCCCCATCCTCCTTTCCTTAGAGCCAGTTGGCATCTGAATTCCATGAGGCCTGACTTGTTCACTCCTTTTTGTTTAACTGCATGTTATCTTGGGGTTGTGGAAGGGAACTCTGAAATGAATTTTAGTGTACAGAATGTTGAATAATAAACATTCTTGGTATCAACACCTATGTAAGAGAAGGGAAGTGGGAAGGAAAGGGAAGTAAAGAACAATGGAAACACTTGGTAGAAACTGATTTATTTGTGAGCATTTGTAGGGCATTCCTGGGGTCCCCACAAATTTCAAAGTTTGAAGTACTTTGTGAATTGGTGTAGATAAGAGCTGGGGATATTAGTATTATTGTTTAATTGTACTGGTGTATACCCAAATCCTGAAGAGAATGCGTGAAGAAAGATACGGTATTGACTTCAGCTTCAAAATATACTTCGAATCTAACCAAGTCTTATCTTCACTGCTGTCATCCCATCTCAGACACCTATGGTCCAAACCCTAGAATATTATAATTAGCTTGTTAGCTTGTCGCTTTGTTTCTACTCCTGCTCCCATGGAGTCTATTGTCCAGGCAAAAGTAGAATATGCCTTCTCAAATATAAATAAGAAAATATACTTCTTCCAATGGCTTCTCATCACACATAAAATGAATGTAAACTCTTAACTACCCCTGTTTATCTTTCTGACTTCATTTCCTACTGCCTCTGTCTATCACTGTGCCGCAGTTTTGTAAATCTCCCCACCATTTGTAACAGGCAAGATGGATTAGCACTCAGCACACATCCAGCTCTCCTTAACCATGACTTAGCATCAGCTTCATGACTGGCTAGAAGCAGTGGTTGTGGTGATGATCTCATCTCTAACTACCAGCAGGGTTTCACCTATGACTACTCTGTATCTCCCATTTATCAATGAGATTATTTGTTGACATCCTGTTGTTCCTCCAGCAGTGTGTAAGAGATATAATGCAGGTATATTAACTTGCCATTAAATCATATATAGCAATATGATAAAAAATATCCACCACACTATATGCATATTAACCAACACTCAATTTATATTGTTTTAATAAAGAAGAGCAAGGACACAAGACTTGACTCAGAAGCCTTGTAAATATAAGCTGATATCACCTCTATAAGAACCATGGAATACTATGCAGCCATAAAAAATGATGAGTTCATGTCCTTTGTAGGGACATGGATGAAGCTGGAAACCATCATTCTCAGCAAACTATCACAAGGACAAAAAACCAAACACCACATGTTCTCACTCGTAGGTGGAAATTGAACAATGAGAACACATGGACACAGGAAGGGGAACATCACACACCAGGGCCTGTTGTGAGGTCAGGGGAGGGGGGAGGGATAGCATTTGGAGATATACCTAATGTTAAATGACGAGTTATTGGGTGCAGCACACCAACATGGCACATGTATACATATGTAACATGTATACATATGTAACTAACCTGCACGTTGTGCATATGTACCCTTAAACTTAAAGTATAATAATAAAAAAAAAGAACATTGAGGTAGACACCCTGAAATAAAAGGGGATGCCATGGAAAGAAACAAACCTTATCCAAGACAAAACCATGCATATTTTATTTCAAATTAAGAATAATTAAAGGGAGCTTTATTGATAGACATTTGTTTTGTGGGCAAACATCAAACCTATTATAATAATGAGAAATTCACATATCTACACACCTAACATTTTTATTCTGTCTTCTCTCATCATAGAGTCCAGATGTCCCAAGAATAAAATTCTGAAAATTTAAGAGAAAATTCTGAAAATAACCCCAAAATTTGGTTTGCTTTGCTGCTCAAAGTTTTGCATGTTCAGTTTTATTATTAGGCTTCCAAATGTCTAATGATTTCTCTCTGACATACTAACACTTTTGTAATCAAATCCACCAGCATATTTCTCACTTTATGCTGCCACTAAAAGCTGACAGTGAAGAAACCTTGGCATGAAGGCTGCTGAGAAGAGCTTAATTTGAGGGGCCAGGTACTGGGAATGATGACTAGATGCCTTCACTGACATAATGATAACGCTCTCAACAAACAACATGGCCCTCCCCAGCCACACACAAGCACAGAGGTAGATCCAGAGAACCAGAGAAAAGCAGGCTCTCCTTGGGGCCATTGCCTTGTATTTAATGACTTTAATGCATGGAAATTTAGATAGCAGAACTCTAAATGCTGACAGTAATGGCAAGGAAAGAAATCTACAAGGAGACACTTTGTTACTTTCAATACGTAAGGCCTGCAGAGTTAGCCCTGGGTACTTTAAAGATGAATGTGGGCGCTGGAGGCACAACACACCTGCTGACTGTACTCATTTATATTTGCTGTTTGACATATTTGAGCTATTTGACTCCAAAGCTCTATTTACATTTTCCAATGCCTGTGAACTGACAGGCGATGTTTTGGAAATACTTAAAATATTTTTAATCAATTTCCTGAAAAATTATTGTACATGAGCACATAAATCAAAAAGAAGAACTTGTTTCTCAAAGGGCAATGTCTATGAGACTTAGCATCTGACATATCCAAGGCTATTCATTTTAATATTTGAGGAAACTTGGCTGGATTCCTTCTTTCATATGACTGCCAGAATTTCTAGTCAATAAATAATCTAATAAACTCAAGGACTAACAGGCAGAAAAAAGGGTAAAGTGAAATATACCATTGACAGAATAGACACATGGTGAGTGACTTAATTTCTTCCTAAACTGAAGAATGTGACCACTGTTCAAGTTAGAAGGAGAAGTTGTGTGTATTTATTTTTTAAATTATATGTCACATATATAACTCTTGTACACGTGACAAAGTTCTATGCTTTCAAAGCCCCATGAAGACACTTTATTTGTATTTAGAATGAAATGACTAAGAAACAATCTATAATCATGTTTTTTTTTTTAAACTATAAAGTCATAGAACTAGCTGGCATCAAATACTTACCAGGAAGTAGACGTTCTCTCTACTTCCATGGACTAATTATGTGCAATTCTCCTTCATTTTCCCCATGATTAATAACACCCAAAATAAAGCAGGGCCGCATTTAGGCAAGTCTCATTTGAGGTGATGCATTTTAAAGTAAACATCCATCTCATTTCAAAACTTTAAATAATAATTAGGGAAGATATTTCATGAAGTGTCTTAAATAAGCAGCAGAGGGGGCAAGTGTGGAGAGAATTACATTCAACGTTTAAACATCTAGAAAAACTCACTAAAAAAAAAATCCTCTAAGCAACCTTTTGTTTTGTTTTGTTTTGTTTTGTTAAGATACAGGGTCTCAGTCTGTGGCCCAGGTTAAACTGCAATGGCGCAATCATGGCTCACTGCAGCCTCACCCTTCTGGGCTCAAGCAGTCCTTCCATCGCAGCCTCAGCTTCTCCCGTAGCTGGAACTGCAGGCGCAAACCACCAAGCGCAGCCTCCAAGCAACTGTTTTTTTCACCAGAAAGCACTGGCCTTCCTCCAAATTCTTTCCCTGAATTTCCCTTTCCGTGAAACAACACCTGGACCCTGCCATCCCTCTTCCTGATTTCCAGGCCTGCGAAATTTTCTAGTAGTTACTTAGTGACCATTCTCATAATGAACACTTCGGCTTTTCCTTTTGACATCTTAAACTCTGCACGTTGACCCATTCAGAAACCTGGAAAACTCAGTGGAACTAGGCAGAGGGGAGACGAAGTCTGCGTTAGACCCCTATCCAGCTTCTATGGCACAGCTATTCTTTTTATCTCCTGGCCACAGAAACAAAGGCTTGGAAATTAGTCAGACAAGGGCTCTAATCTTCATTCTGCTGCAACTGCCTAACTTGTTCAATTTAGTCTTTTGGAGACTGTTTTAATCTGTAAAACAAATGGCAGCAAATATAACATTAAACACATCCCAGGTTATTTAAATCTCTCAATATATGCTTTGTTTTCTTCAGAAACAAACATACTCTTCTTACCGATTTGCACTCAGCTATAAAAATTTTAGTTAAGGGAAATCTCGAGATAAACCATTTGTATGAATAACTGCTACTCTTGTAGTGATGTAAAGTCAGCTTGCATTAACCTTCAAAGCAGGCTTTGAAATTGACTACCTTTGGAAATACCCATGGACTTTGTGATGTAGTACCTCGGACACTCCTTAAACCTCTATCTTCTCATCTTTCACAGGCTATAAAAGGGGATGCTATTGGCTCGAGAAAGTAAAATTGGTTTCATAAAAGGTGGTGTGCCCTGAGGTAAAACAGTTGAGGAACTGGAAAAGCTAATAGTCTCTGAGGATTATTTTAAAACTTCCTCAACTAGAACTCAGCAAATGCTTACCGCATAACAGTGTTGCCAACCGTGTGTTAGGAGATGATGCAAAGACTCTGTCTCAGCCTGTCATGTACTGGAGCCAATAGTTACATATTCAGAAATTATATTATTGATAAATCTTTGAAAACTTGAAATCAGGCAATGGCAGAAACTCTAATAGCAATGAAATGGGGAATGGCACAAATCAGAACTCCCACACTCCAGAGCTGTCTTATCAGTACACTACTGGTTCAGCCCTCAAGAATCTTAGTCTTGTGGATGGCCCAATAGACTCAGTTAAATTCAGTATCATTTCAATTTCAATAGGACAAATATAAGATAAGGAACCCACTAGGGGAGCATAAAGATGAGGTAAATTTAGGGGTTGTTTTACCCTTTGACATCAATACCTATTTCTGACTCTTACGTTGACAATTTTTGAAAACCAAATGCTCCTGGAAATTTCTGTTATTCCACTTTGGTGTGTGGTAGGGAAATGTGACTTAAAGCTGTACAGCAACCCTTAGACAAAATAAGAGAGAACTCCTTTCTTTAATTGAATGTTTCTCCTTTAGTGTGACCTAAAAAATAGGTTTTCTTCATATGTTTTATTTTTAATGGAAAATAGATTTATCACTCCCAATGCTACAATGAGGTGTTATAATGTGAAGCTGGCTGTTAGTATGCACACTTGAACTTACACATCCTGTTGAATTTTGTCCCATGAAATATGAGTAGCTCTCGAATCCTGTGTGTATTTACTCAAAATGGCAGATTCTACTTGCTGTCAGTGTGGATAACCTACCTTTTCTCCCATCACCATTTTATTCCCTTTTACCAGCACAGAGCAACTCCAGTCTTCACTCTAGCCCTAGATCCCCCTTCTCATCTTGATTTAGAATGGATTATCTTGGTGCAGAAGAGGGATGCCTTCAAAGAAAGAATGGTGGCAAAGGGCACAAAGGAAGGATCCCTTCCCTCTGCTCTGCCTTATTGTGTGTCAATCACTGCCTTGCTGTGAACCCTGCTTTGACTTACTTAGGCTGTGCTGAGACCTGTGATGAGAACTGTTCAGCAAGGAAGATACAAAGAGAAGATAACTCTTCCCTGGGCCAGAGTTGTTAGGAAATGTGTACTCAGGTTCCTGCCATCTTATTTATTTCTTGCATGTAGTGTACTGGGAAATATTGTTAGACATAGTTGCTAAGTTCTGGAATCCTACCTATTTCAAGAAGTTAATTAATTAATTAGGCTTAGTTGGCCAAGGAACCAAACTACTGTATATGTTTCTGATGAATGCAGAGTTTGTTTGTACAGGGGATTGGTACTTAGATGGGAGACTGGCTCACAGCATTTGGGAATTTTTTTTTTACATGTATTCCAAAAAATATATTATTTCTCATAACATGTTCCCCATGTCTCCTTTGGAATGCCCCTGAATCTGTCTTAAACCTCATGAGAACATTAGCTTCATTGCTTCACTCACGCTTCATTTTGTAAAACACACACACACACACACACACACAATACACATAAACACACACTGTATTCACCAGTTTCATCATGTTATTTGTTCATCTTTAACTCTCTGAAAAAAGCATATCTATTCTCAAAGGGTGAAAATGTGCACTGCTTAACTGTATGCATTTTAAGGGCAGAGACGATTTGTTATTTGGTTTTGGTATCCACGATGTCTAGTATTTAGCATTCTTAATAACATGTATAGGAGGAAGGAAGGAAGGAAGGAAGAGAGGAAGGGAGGGAGGAAGGGAGGAACAGAGGGAGGGGCTACACAATTCTTTATTTTAAAAAGGAATTAGATATTGCTTTGGTTGAGCGCTTTCTCATTCTGACTGATCATGTCAAACACCTAGGAAATTTTTTAAATTTCTAAATTTCACTTCCAACCCACCAAAATAATCATAAGTATACATCATATATTCTATAAGAGTTGTTTATTCTGCATGCAAGAACCTCTTTTCAGGTCCCAGGTATACTTTGGCGAAAAAGGCAAAACCCTAGCTGTCAAGGAGCTTATGTTTTCTTGAGAGGCTATTTTTAATAGGACAGCCAGAGAAGGTCTTGTTGAGATGACTGTTAAGCAGATACTGGAATGAAATCAATAAAGCATCCCTGTCAATACATTCTAAAATATCCTCCTAATTCTTGTAGAAAAAAAATGGCTTCTCTGAAAGAATTTGATAAAACATATTTTTGTAGGATATAGTTTTGTTGTTAAGATATGTTTGTGAAAACTGTATGAACCATTTGAACAGAAGCAATTTGATTTATTGTAGATAAATGTATACTCCGTGACAAGGCCACTTTAAAAGTAAAGATTATCTTTAAAAACCCATTGAAAAAGAAATATACAAGTCCCTAGACTTTCAACCTAACTACTATTTCTATGATTAAAATGATAACATAAAAATAGCTCAAGCTCTAAAATTATATTGTATAAAATTATGGATGCATAAGAATCAGTTTCCTCTGAGCTTTGATAATTACATTTTAAATAGAGTACTGACATGCTGTAATTATAATATTAAAATACTAAGATAATCAAAAGCTCAAAGGGGTACTCTGGGCTTCTGAAAGATTTTGTAAATGTCATTAAAACTTTGACTTTATTTCCATTATATCATAGGAAGATTATTATTATTCGTGTGTTTCTGTTCACATCTAACTGGAAATCTTTTTCACACAGAAAATTATTGCCATTGTATCTGTCTAATAGCATTGATTTAAAAATTATAATTTCATACAATGCCAATTTTTAATTCCAGCAGATTAAAAGGTCTCTTTAGTTTGACTCTTTCTTCTTTTTCATTCTCTCTTCTAAATTCATTCAAATCTCTCTTTCCTCCTCCTTTTGTTTATATTCCTCTCCTCCCCTATATCCTCTGGGGTTTTGTTCCACTAAATGCATCTTTCTCTTGAAGTTCTGATCTCTTTTTTTCACATTGGATTTCTTTCTTTCTTTCTAGTGAAGGTTGGTGTATTGTATGTTAGAAAATCCGAAAGAGGTCGAAAGCAATTGAAGAGAGAACCGCAATAGCTCCAGGGTCCTGGCAACCATGAGTGTTGAGACTTTTACTTACTTACATCTCTGGTTTTCCCCATATGTGCACCAGATCCATTGGGCTGAGTTACTTATATTGACCCCTGTGCATGATAAACTTGTATTACTGGCCCATGTGGAGCCGCTGTCTTGTTTTTGTTTTATATTTTCTTTCATTAGTTTTTCTTTGCCTTGTCCTTACTTATTTCGGTTTCCCTTTCACCTCATGGATTCATGCTCTAATGTGCTTGGAATAGTCCTTATGTATACATGAATTTTTAGAAATATATAGTATTGTTTTAATTTCCATAATAATCATGCCTAACATTTTCATAACTTTTAAAATTGAATCATAATACTCATACAGACTTACGGGGTATATAGTTATATTTTGATACATGCATACAATGTGTATTAATCAAATCAGGGTATTTTATATGACCTCAAACATTTATCATTTCTTTGTGTTGGGAACATTTCAAATGTTCTCTTCTGGCTATTTTGAAATAGATGTTAAATTCTTGTTAATTATAGTCACCCACCATGTTATTAAACGCTAGAACTTATCCCTTCTATCTCACTGTGTTACATTGGATATCTTCTTTTAAAGTACATATGTCAATTATCTTAATATTAATATTAGTTAATATTGAAAATAAGATAAAAGTGTAACATTCCTAAGGAAACCACAGCTGGTTAGATTATTATTACACCTCTTTTCATCATGCCATTAAACTTTTTGGAAGGACCGGGGGCACCTTATGCTTATTACTGCTTATTTCCCATTCTACCTTCGGTCTTGATTCTATTTCCTATTTTGACCAAAAGGTCATCTAATAGGTTATCAGTGTCCTGAGTCACTAAGCACCTATGGGCCGTATCTCTGGCAATGTACTTCTTGAACTCTTTGCATGTTTTAACATTATAGGTACCTTGTTCTTGAATTTTCCTTCCATAATAAGTAGCAAGTAAATTTCTTGCTTCATTTCCTATCCCTCTTCTCCCTCTCAGTCTTCTTTACCATTCTCTTTTCATCAATCATAAGTTCCATTTCTTTATCCATTTTAATATGGGTTTCTCCTAGTTTTTATTCTTAGCTTCTCTTCAACTGCTAGTACCTCAATTTCACTTAATAATTTCACTCATTCAGCTGTAAAAGTGTATTCATTATTATTATTATTAAAGTGTTATTACTACTATTTGATAATAAATGTGTTTCTTACCCTCAGTTTCGGTTAAGTGTGTATGGAGATGAGGATTAGAGCAGATAGAAATATATATTTATTGTTTCTAATGCTGTGCCATCAGTTTAATACTGTGTTCAAGGAAAAATATGATGGTTGTATCAAGGAAAAATGATTAAATATCCTTCTGTCAATTGAACTGCCCAAATAAAAATACCATCAATCTGGATGGTGAAGAACAAATGGAACATTTATCAAGGCATAGAAAGAACAATCACTCTAGACAGAAGAAATAATCTATGTAAAATTTAAACAATGAACTTCAGGATAATAATGCTTCAATTTACTTTTATGATCCTGTTTCTCTCCTATACTTCAGCCTTGCCTTTCTACCTATCTAATAGACTTCTCCATGAGGACAGCCAGGCAGACCCTCAAAATAAATACCTTGTCTGCCATTTCTCTCACCTGTACATATGCTTTCTACCTCAGTTAATGACCTCATTCTCCCAGCCATCTAATGATTTTTGGAAATAGCTTTAACTTCCTTTATCTCACCCACTCTATTCAGTAACTTACCCAGTATTATGAAATTTTCAGTCTTAATGTTTTTTGCATCCATTTTTTTCTTTCAGATTGTATCTGTTAACTCATTTACTCATTAATTCATTAATCGCTTTCTGGGAGCCTTCTAGAATACTACCACTGTAGCTTCCCAAAACCACAGTGATGAACCAACCAAGCGAAATCCCTACTCACATGACTTTACATTTCATAATAATAAAGTGAACAAATACAAATAGTGTGTAATTTTTCTGTATATGTTATGTGCAGAAATACCACTTCTTCAGAGTGGCTTGCTTAGAAATGTTGTCCAGAGAAAGCAGATGATAAAGAACAGAAAGAGAATCAGTTAAGAAACTGTGGCAGCTGATACATGGGCACACGTCCCGGTAAAAATCTCTCAGTAGCTATATGTATGTAGCATTGTGCTAGCGCCTGGGCATGCCACGATGTGCTATCACAAATCAATGGTAAATATGTCTCTTCTCCCCATTCTTCCTATTATCCAGTTTTCCCTTACTATTGTCAACTCCACAAACTCTGAAGAAGGCTTGAAATTTAGCAGATGCTGAGGAAGTAGATGACATTTTTACACTCTCTTAAAAAATTGTTAAATTTATGATTTCTTTGATAATATGAGGATAAAATGCAAGATGAAAATATTTCATTATTTGATGGAAACGTTACATATCATAGATGTTTATTAAAATATTTTCAACACAAGATTCAAAGTTCTGAAAGACCAGTCTGGCTTGCAAACACTGAGAAAAATTTTCATTAAAAGAATTCTGACAAGTGATCCCACAAAATTACCAGTGACCCTAAACTTCACAAAATAGCTGTTTAGAACTTGCTACAAAGGAACATCCAGTTTTGGCAATGTAAATAAGCCGAGATACCTTAACCATGGGAAACTACCATTTTAAGATGAATTATAAATTAAGAGTTCAACTTTCTTCCACATTATCTCTGAAGTACAAATCATGGAGGCACAGGAGAAGACAATTAACAGGTTTAATAGAGTAAGAACTTTGGTAATGAATGTTTTATTTAGAGGTAAACAAATCAATTTTATATGTAAGAAAGGCTATTGCTTGTTTTTCATTTATTTGTTTGCCTCCTTAATTTTATGCTCAACCTCACCTATAAAAGGCACCAAATTAATGTTTTTACCAATAGGACCTCATCAGTGTCATAAAGACATTGTACTGTATTTACTGTGATTATTTGGCTCTCATATAATTTACTCTGGTATAAATCACAAAATGCAGTCTCTTCAGAAGCAATCATTTGCCTAAATGGTACTATTTCTTTACAATATTTTTTATTTACAAGTAATAATCTTATTTAAATTTGATTTACTAGTTTTAGTAAAAGAAAAAAAGGAGAGGAGTAATACTGAGTTTCATTAACTTTCTTTTTTTCTTTTGAGACAGAGTCTCACTGTTGCCCAGGCTGGAATATAGTGGTACGATCTCAGCTCCCTGCAACCTCCACCTGCTGGGTTCAAGCGATTTCTCTGCCTCAGCCTCCTGAGTAGCTGGGACTATGGGCCTGCACCCCAACGCCTGGCTAATTTTGGTATTTTTAGTAGAGACAGGGTTTTGCCACGTTGGCCAGGCTGGTCTCAAACCCCTGACTTGAGGTGATCTGCCTGCCTTGGCCTTTCAAAGTGCTGGGATTACAGGCATGAGCCACCACACCTGTTTCATCAACTCTAAAGTATAGAAGTGGTGTTTGTATAAGAAACACCAGGATTTAGGGACTTAAAAGTACGCTAGCTTCTATCTAGCCCCTCTCCATTTCTGTCCCTTCTTCACTGGGCATTGGCAATAGTATCTTCTCCACACAGCTTTATACCATAAGTTTAGAACATGGCTGTAGGCTGTGCTAGGTCTGCATCATCCTAGATAAACATCGATATACTTTCTACTCTCCCTACAGGTATCAGAGGGGTGGCTTACAGGATAGGTTCCATTACAGAGTTAGTATGGAAAATCTAGAGAAGGATTCTGATTGGCCTGGATCCAATCATACTATACACTCTTGTATTGAGAGGAGCAGGATATTCTTGAGTCCTAAGTTAGTGGTGGTGGTGAAATGCTATAATTTGCATACAGAGCTACAAAGGAGTTTTGTAGGGATGGATAGGTGTGCTGGCGGAGCGGGCTGCAGGAACAGAGCAAATAACATATTGTCTGTAATGCAATTTGAAAATATTAGAGTATCTATGCTTTTAACGTTATTGAATAAATTCATATTCTCATATCATGTAAATTCCTTGTTTTGAAATTTAAAGTATTCTACACAAGTACAGAAGGGAGACCCTCTAATATTTGAAAATCCTATCCTCATTGCTATTGTTTTGATCTTGCCATTAAGTGCTACCACATGTGCAGGGCTCTATTTTCGTCTCTTACCACAAGTATAAACCTATTATCCTTCGCATAATTTAGAATATAAAAGAGAAAGAAAGAATTCACCTTTGACATATATGCCCCAATTTCTAGTCTTGTTATTTCTCAAATTTCATTGAAGCTGGGCCTCATCTTGACCATTGGGATTTCCTTTAATTATTATTATTTTCAGCTTTAGCTACTTTCCTGTACTCTACTTGTTACAAACATTGTTCTCTGACACCTATATAATTTTTACAGCCTTTTTGAGAGCCATTTTGTTCCACTTGGGATTTAAATTTATGCTTGGTAAGACTATGTTATCCATCAGATCTTTCTGTGACTCAGACTCCCAAAACTGTTTTCTTCTCAGAAGAATTGTTCTGCTAGTGTCCAGTCCTCTCATCATATAAGATCTCGGCACATTATTGTAAACACCTCTCCTGACCTTTTAAAATGGAGTCAGACAGCCAAAGAGAGCAAATGAATAAGCATTGGGAAAGAGCCTAAATCTAGAATTCAACCTTAGCATCCTCCTCCTTGCCCATTCCAACTATTGGGTCTGCTTTTCATTTGTCCAGTCTTTCATTTGTGGACTCATATTCCAGTTACTGATACCCGTCTCAGATCCAGTTACTGATATCCATCTCAGATCCTCACCCTCGTGCTGGCAACCAATGATGCCGTTTCTCTGTGTCCCTGATTTTTGTTGGTCTCACTCCCTCCTCAGACCCCTCTTAAAGATTTATTTGTTCACTTTCTCTGTTTCACCTCAGCTCTACTTCCAGCTAGGAGACGGTGCTCACTCTGCTCACCCAAATTAAATCCAACCCAGCCAGACCAGCCACGGTCTTTCTGTCACAGTCTTAAACAGAATCAGTATGAATTTTTGCTGGTGTTAGCATTGTCACCTTACGGGTTATAATTTTCTAAGGCTTTCTGTGAGGACTAATCAGTATAGCTACCAAAATCTTAGAAAACTACAGACCTCATGATGACTATCACTATCATGGAAATAGGAGCTATGATGTCCCAAGTCCATTTCGATGAGTACATTTTACAAAAATGTATATAGAGAAAATAAACCCCTTCTCCACATGTGTAATATTAAAAAATTCCTTCCCATTTCAGTTTCTTCCTCTCTCCATAACAACCTTTATATTCTATAATGTATTGTAGAATTTTTAATGGAAAAGATGAAGAGAGTATACTTGTATATCTGGCCTTTAGTTCAATTGTGGTGATGGACAAAGGAATTCTTGGCACCTTGACAGCTATATTGTTTACAGGTAAGAGAAATGTTGAACTTACATACCTTTAATGCAAAGACCATGTTAAAGGATCTGAACTCTAATCATCAAAAGACACTCTAAAATCATTCATAAGAAAATTCAGGTTATCTTTGGAAGATACTCTCAGTGGGTAAAATATATAAAATGTTAGAAAGCTTTAAGAGGATTTAAGGAGAAAAAGGTAAGAGGAGTTCAGATTCAGCTGAGTGTGGAATATCTCACAGCTTTAAAACGTTTGCCTTAAGCTCAGGACAAATACAACTCAGTCCAATTCCAAATCAGCATCTTCCATTTAAGGTTTTCTCAGCATAATGCCGTGTCTTCATCTGGCCAAGGGCCTTTCCAGAAGAACAAGTAGTGATAGGGACAGGAGATAGATAAATTCCAGGCAGAAAACGGCAGGTCCCTGGTGAAAACCCCACCCTCAAGCTGAAAAGCCTGAAACTGCAGCCCAAAGCGAGAATTTGTATCCCTGTTTTCCCACCTGAGTGTTGCCTTTCCCTAAATCACCCATGCCCGCCCCCCCACCATCCACCGCCTGCACCCCAACCCCCCCCCCACCGCCCCCACTCCCCAACCTGTGCCTATAAATACCTCATACTCAGTTGGAGAGGAGCAGAGACTACGGCTGGATGTCAAAGAGAAGTGGCTTGGCTTCAGAGGGACAGCTTGACAGTATAACTTTGGAGAAGAATCCAGCTGCCGTAGATGGCCAGACTTCAGGTACCTACCCACCTTATCCGCTTTTCAGCTTTCCATTACCTTTTCAGCTCCCAGTGACAGCCGCTTTCATTGGCAATAAAATCCTCAACATTTACCATCCTTCAGTTTGTTGGTGCGACCTCATTTTTCCTGTGTGCCGAACAGGAGCTCAGGAGCCACGAGTGCAGATACAAAAGGCTGTTACACTGGCCCTTTGCCCTTGCTGGCACAGGGCAGCCGACTCATGAGAAAAGGCAAAGGGCCCACTGAGCTGTTAACACTTAAGCCATCCGCGGTCAGCAGAGCTAAAAGAGCACTGTAAAAAACGCCCTTTGGGGTTTTGGGGATCGCAGGCACCATCCCCCGCCCCCGAAAGTGCCGCGGGGCCTGCAGGGAGTTCGCTGGCTGGTTCCAGCGCCCCTGTACTCCAGTTCCCGTCTTGTTTGCTTGTGTGCTCCCTCCTGTGAGGAGTTGAGAGCAATGGGCTTGGTAAAGGAGGCACACCTGTCACGAATCCCGTGAATGAGTCAGAGAAACATCCTGCTTCAGTGTCAGGGCCTGAGTGTGGGCATCTCAGGACCTTCTCCATTCTCCTTGTGCTGCAAGCTGCTGCCTCCAGTGTCCTGGTCTCCAGATGGAAGAATGCATGTGGCAATTCCTGTAACTATTTCTGGCTGAAGAAAGACATCTATGAAGTCAGGAAGCTCAGCCTAAGGGTACTCCAAAACTGCCCTTTCCTAGGGATTCCAGATCCCACATCCATCTTTTTGGAGCTGGGAATAAGTATTTTCACCTGGGCATCTGGGAGGGCAGATACTGTACAGGTGGCTGAAGGTACAACCACCCCTAAATTACTAATCCAGAAAAGATCATTAGAGATTACTTAGAGAAAGTCCTTATTTTACAGATGAAGCAACTGAAGCCAAAAGTAGTAAAATGATTTATTCTCAGCAATGTAGTAAGTTAGTGACATGATGGAACTCTACTCTTCAGAGCTTGTTCCACTGGATCACACTGCCTGCTCTATTTTTTCTTTTAAATGATCAGAGCAGATTTGTTTCTAAAATAAAACTCTTCCACTAGCAGACATTTTAAGAACATGAAAACATTTAAATAATAAAATATTACTAAAGCCCTCAGTAATGTGGCCTTATTTACACAAGAACAATAGCCAGTGAAGGGTAATCATCTCCCACTGCACTATGTTCATAACTTTATTAGAGCATTTGTCATGCTCTATATAATAATCATTCTCCATGCCAGTTTTGCTGCATGTTAATGTTAGTTTATCAGGGATGTGCCTTATTCATGGATAACTCAATAATGTCCAACAGAAAAACAGGTGCATGTGAGCAGTTCAATACATGTATGGCACATAAATGAATGAATGGATACCTATATAAATACATGGAAAATTTGAGGAAGAAAGTTGCATAAGGAGATGGAATCATGCTATAAGGAGCAGATATAACCAGGACTGGATTGACGTGGGCTTGATATTTGAGTAAGGAATAGAATTGTGAGTTTATAATGGTCTTGCATGACCATGCAAAATTGTATAACCTATGAATTCAATAATCTGTTCTCACAGCTTGATGTGCAGCCAATAAAGTTACCTATACCATGAGTTCCTTTCCAATACTGTAGGAAAACAACAGTTTTTATTTTCCATGTCTCCCCAATAATCATTCAAGTGTCAGCTAAGTACAAGATTGTGTGTTTTTATTTTTTAATGTGAATGGGCACAGAAGACATGAACAAACTAAAGATTGTGATAAATTTCAGGATGACAGAAGTCTACTGTGGTATGATTTATGGATTACTGTGGTGGAGAAAGTCACAGATATCATAAGGAGAGAGGTCTTGTGGGGAGGTTGGGGTCATTTTTCCCAGTCTTGTCCTTAGATTCAGAAGATTTATTTAAAGAGTGAGTTTTGGGAGTAAGGTAGTAATGGAAGTGACTGATTGAACTACTGTCTGTCACATCCTTCAAACCACTCCTCAAATCAACAAATACACATTACATATATCAACTTTTGATTTCAGCCAAAAGTAGAGAAAATCTTCTACAAAAATGCAGTGGTCTTTTGGAAGTAGATAAATCTTTCAGAGTGGGTTTTGGTGTCCTAGAATAGGGTCCTCCTCTGTGGCACTAGTGGTGGTATGGGGTGTGACTGCTGGCTGTTATCCCCTACCCTCATGCTTAGAGCTTGGGGTATATGTACCTTCTTCTTCATGCAGAGGCAAGGAAGAGCAGGAGAAAAAGGGCAAAACAAAACACAGCTATCCATGGGATTACCGTTTTGATATTAACTAAGAGGTGGAAAAAATTCTCAGCATGAAAGCGTGTGACCAAGTTACTCAACCTATAGCAAACAATGATAATTTAGGGAATAAAATAGAACTTAAATAAATCTTTATTAGTGTTCTATGACAGACTCAAGATTCTCTTACACTAATATAAGAACAACTTACATTGAGAAAGGAGCAATGCAGGGACTTCATGGTATTGAAATTAGTCAACATAATTAAAAATCAAAAGAAAGTAAGAAAAAAGATTAGAATTTTCTTAGAACATGGTTAAAAAAAGAGATATGAAAAATTTTGAGAAAAAAAAAGCAAAGAGAACCAGTCCAAAGGACTAATATCTCTCTACTAGTACTTCCACAAAAAGAGGACAAAAAATTATAGGGAGATTAATTGTAGAACACAAACAAAAATATGCTTTTTAGACTGAACAGAACCATTGAATACTGAGGATTTACTTAATGATTATAATGTACATTATTTGTTTGATGTTGATGCTAAAAACCAAGACTTTACCACTACACAACATATGCAACAAAATTGCACTTGTACCCCTTACATTTATACAAATTTAAAAAAATGAAAAACAGCTGATACATGATGTTGAAATAAAATTTCAAAATACTATGTATGACATTGCCATTTACTTACCAAATCTGAAAACAGAACGAAGTAGACACTGTCATTTACTTATCTCTCCTTACTGAGAAGAATCTGAATTTGTTCATATATCTAATGGGAAGCAATATCTTAAGACAAGTTCAGTGACCTTTCAACCACAGGAGATAAGCCTTTTACTTGTTTAATGATGGAATGAAGATGTTTGCCCATTATGACCAATTAAATGAAAAGGGAGAAGTTGGCTACAGGAGATTCTGTGGGAAATATTTTTTTTTCTGACTAAGAGAAAGAGAGAGGGGAAGAAGAGGAGAAAGAGAAAGAGAATGAAGAGGGTGAAGACTAAGAGGGAGGAGAAAGAGGAGAAGGAGGAAGAATATGGATATAGCCTAGAGGATCTGAGAAAAGCTAGCTCCAAACGCTCAAATCAACCCCAGAAGCATCTATGTTTATATTTTGTTTTATGTGAAACATATAAAGGCCTTTTACGTTAATTAAATCTTGCATCCTTTAGTTGCATATAAAAAGAACCTAATTACTACAACCAAGGCTAAAGAGAAGCTCCAAAAGTTTTGAAGCTGGTGGGGGGGATGACCCCAAAGAAATTAGAATGAGATTAACCTGATACCTTTTTTCGGGATCAATGGGTACTTAATGACAAAGAAATATTATCTCAAAAGTTTTGTGATAAACAGTTTCGAAACTGGGATTCTATAATCTATTAAACGATCAAATATAAAGCTATGCAAAATTTTTCTCTCTTATACATTTTTCTTGAAGTAATTATACAATACTCTGTATCAGCAAAATGAAAAAGGAATCTAAGAAATGAAGATGACAAATCTAAGCAAATTGGAGAGAAGTAAGAGGAAAAAAAAAGATCCCAAATGACAGCTGTGCAGCAGTCATAATAAGCAATCTGTACAAAACTGACCTTTTATCAAGAAGCTGCATAATCCTAGTGCTGTGATTTAAAAAGCATGCATTTCTTCCTTCAATGAGATAAAGATAAGCAATTAAAAATTCCAGAAATAGCAAAATGTATAAGAAAATATGGTCCAAATAGCAAGCAACGTGGCATGATTTTTATTCAATGATCGAGTTCAAGAAAATGAATTTTATTGAATCTTGGTGGTTTTAAGATCCTCCTTTGAACAGCATAGAACTTATTACCTGGTGTTACTTTAAAAAGCTCCTGTTGGTTTTCAGTTTTCAGAAGAAATGGTTTCTCAAACTTAGCACTATCGGCATTCTTTGAAATGGGGGAATATCCAGTGTGATATTTGACAGCATCCCTGGCCTCTAGCAGCTAGATGTTTTTAGCACTCTAGTTGCAACGATCTCAAATGTCTCCAGTCATTGCCAAATATCCCTTTGCAGTGGGGACTTGGGAATCAGAATTGCTCCCAATGGAGAGTGATTACTACAGGAAAAAAAGGACATCTTTTTTTAAATGTAAAAAAGACAATATAAATGTTCTAAATTTTGAGTACATAAAAGTAGGGTCACAGATGAGAGAAGATGAGTGATGACGTGTGAGCAAAGAAGTAGATGGAAATAAAGGATATATTGTTTCTTCTTATGTGGAAGGAAGATGAGGAACTAAAGTTCTTGAACTGATATAAATATCAAGGTAATTCTTAAATTTCTAGACAATCATCAACAGACTAAAAACAACTACGTAAAGTTTAAAAAGTCATTGGGGGAAGGAGGTATGATTTCAGGATATGACGTGGGTAAAGTATTTTTCATAATAGATAATAACAAATATAGGTGAAGATTTTAAAATCAAGAAGTAACCGTTTGTGCATATAATGTAATTTCTACCCAACACACTAAATGCAAAAAGTCAAGTAAGTTTTCTCTAAAGAAGGAAAGCTTTGACTTTCTGCTTTTTTGCTGTCTATATTTATGTATGTATTTATATATGCCATTATGATAATGGCATATATCTTCTAAACAATATGTTTTATTTGCCTTTAAATATATCTCAGTATCTATCTTACTCAAATGACTTCCAGGAATTAACTATTATAGTTTTCATGGTAAAGACAGTGTTAACAGCCATGAACAGTATACTTTTCAGATCAATTTCTGGCACTTTTCCCTTTCCAAATTACCTGGGCAATATTTTTCCAAAACTTTTATTGGACATTGTGATTTAATTTCTTGCCTGTTTGACCCGGCTAATGTGTGAACCCTTTTTCTACCATTCAGCCTGGCTTGACTTCCTATCAACCAATTTCCAGGTGTGCATGAGATAACCAAAGCTTGGGGCACTGAAGAGCTCTTAGGGAACCCTGCATGTTCATTTGGCCCTCATATTAGGGGTCAGCAGTTCAGTTCAGAGTGAACAGGATCTGAGAGCTCAAATGAATAGGATACAGCAATAGTCCTTAGGCGGTCATTCTCTAATCTTTGCTGGCAGAGCCTTTACAGACCGCTAGGAGAGTTAATTATGCAAATTAAATTGGTTGAATCTATTTATAGCATGGCAGAACTGGACAGAGCCCTGGGCATAAACATTTGCCTGGCGTCCCCTCCCGCAAGCAACTTGACACCACTACAGACCCTCTGTGATCTGGATATGTTTGTCCTGTAATTAATGAAGGACAAGAAAGTTTATCTGGAATATGAATCACAGATAACTTAAAACACTAGACAGAATCAAAAAGCAGTGAACCTTCTGTGTAATATTTAATGTTCGGTGAATGCCAGAAATATTTCTGAAGCTCTGAAATACTTTCATAAAATATATATACACATAAATGCATGCACAAACACAAAACACAAACACAAACTCACATCTGAGCTCATTAAATACAATTCAAAATATATACATATATTTGTATATGTACATGAACATGTATGCATATGTATATATGTTCTGTAAGCATTTATGATATATGTGTATGTAGAGAAAGAGACAGACCACACATTGTTGGTGCTAGTATAAATTTTTCAGTTATAATGTCTCTAAATTCTTTTTTTGGTGCATAATATTATATCTGTACATATTTTGAGGTACGTATGATAATTTAACACATCCATATAAATTTTAAAGATTGAATCAGTATAACTGGGATGCTCATTACCTTAAATATTTGTCTTTTCTTTATGCTAGAAACATTTGAATTGTTCTCTTCTAGCTATTTTAATATATACACTAGATTACTGCAAACTATAGTCACCCTACTGATCTATCAAACACAGGGTCTTATGTCTTCTATCTAACTGTATATTTATACCCATTTATCAAACTCTCTTCATCCCCCCTCCCAGTGCTAGCATAAATTGATCAACATATCTAGAAAGTGGCATGAAGTCATTCAGAGACTTTTTAAATGCTTATTTATTTTGGTAGTGTGTTCACACTTCTAGAACTCTATCTTAGAGAAACAGATGATCTACAAGGTAGTTATGCATCAATATCCATCATAATCCTATTTAAAAATTTCAATGTAAATGCCCATAATTGGAAAAAGGATAAAGAAGTCATAGTACATCCATAAACATAATAGAATGTAGGGTGTGTGTGTATGTGTGTGTGTGTGATCATGTGGGAAAGTTTTATAGCATATATTAAATAAAAGGTTATAGGAATATTAATTCTCATATATCCCCAGTACACGCATCCACATGTACATACACACAACACATAAATGGGGGAAAAGAATCTTCTTTAAATATTAGCAGTAGATTAATGGTTGCTTTTATTTTCCTACAATTACTTGTGTCTCAATTATTATACAATAAGCATATATCACTGTGTAATCAGAAAAACAACCATTATTTATAAAATAAGACTAAAAACCTAGTATCTTTCTGAAGTATTTGGGGTTTTTTGGATTGTTGGCTTGCTTGTTTCCAACATGAAATATCTTTTAAAGAAGGGTAAAATGGGAAATGTTTCCTTTGAGCTAAGAATGCACATATTAAAGTAAATAAAAGCATGAAGTTTTGAATAGCTATTGGCATTATTTTAGCAATTTAATCATCTTATTTTTTTAGCCAGTTATTTTTTCCTTTGAGATGGCTCAGAAATTAAATGACCTTTCTAACTAAACATACTCAGATATAATCACAGGTAATGATGATATTATGTAAGCTCAGTATCTACAGTATACCTTAAAACGTGCATTCTCTCAACTAGCAATTTTCCCAATCAGCTTTTCATTTTACTGTGCCACAGTCCTTTAAAACCCCAATCATGGAGGTGGCTCTGGAGAAAAAAACTGTTCTGTTTGAACTCAGTAGGTAATGAATGTTCAAGGACTGAATGTGCTTTTTGCTCTCGGGAGCTCAGTGTGATTTCACTGTTTTGCAGTCATTTTCTTCAATTCGATGCAAATACTTGTAATTTCCCCCAGAAATAAATGCTATTAAATACCCTATTTCTCTCTTATATGTCAGAAATATTATATCCCACAATACGCTGTATTTTTGTCAAAATTAAACATCTACATTCTAAGTCACAGATAGGCCCCAGATAACCAAAGTTGTCAGCTAGGAATAAATAAAA
This sequence comes from Homo sapiens, assembly GCF_000001405.40. Taxonomy (NCBI): domain Eukaryota; kingdom Metazoa; phylum Chordata; class Mammalia; order Primates; family Hominidae; genus Homo; species Homo sapiens. Next base: position 37,927,482 of record NC_000013.11, on the reverse strand, counting down.
CTTCCAGCATGCTGCAGGTAAATTAGTAATGACAAGTAGACATTTTTGTATGACAGCTACCATCCCCTTTCATCTCCACTGCTGTACCTGGCTGTTTTAATTTTTTATGTAAATAAATAGCTTACCAGTTATCACCAGAAGGAATCTAATGAAAACAAGTAATATGATCACTTTCTAAATTTTAATCTTGTGTAATTTGTGACAGCTTGTTCTAACCACATATGTGAAGGTAGAAAATACAGCTTCATCTGTAAAGGACTATTGCTCGGATTTCCTCTATTTCAGATTGAGTGAAAATTGCACAGTGATTACAGGAGGCCCTTGAAAATGCCTTGGGATTTTTTTATAGAGTATGAATCTATATTAGTTTAGGTGTTAACTGAATTAATACGTAGAGAAAGTCAAGAAACAACAGATTGAGAAACTGGTCCTAAATTAGAAATAATTACTTTTATAGTTATTTTAAAGTTCTTATTAATCTTCAGAAATGAATGTAGTGTGACATTCTGAGCTTAGGAACGATCATACACGTTTATACACATAACACATACAGGACTGGCAGCTCCAAGGTGAATGATCTTTCTAGGATCCCATCAACCAATGTATAGTAGATTTAGGAATGGCAATCTAGTTAGGAAGTTCCATATCCCAGATAATAAAACCACTATGTTGTTCATACTCCTCATTTCAAGAGACAATACGAATGAATTAAGAAAGACTTTTTCTTAAATGTCACTTTGATAAAACAACTTTAAATGCTTTGCAAATGTTAACTCGTTTAATTTTCATAACAACTTCCTATTAAAGAGGAGGAAACCAAGACATAAGAAGTTTAATAACTTAGGTGGTGTCAGGGACAATTAGAAAATAGCAAAGCTGGAGTTCAAAACCAGGCAATCTAGGTCCACAGAATCTAGCCATTCTCCCCACCTCTGTACCATGCCATGTCCTTCACACTGCCTGATGGTTTTTACATAGTTTCAGGGAGCCCAGCAGATGCCATCTCTGATTCTGTCATGGAATATCGCTTTCATTTGCTTTATATAATGGCTTCATTATATAAAGCACATACAATGATTAAAACATTGAAAATCATTATTTTACAAATTTATTTCTTTTTGAGAAACCCCAAACCCTACATTGCACGCATTAATTTGCACTCTAGCTAGCTATTTATAAGTACTACTAAATACAGGCTTTTGGCTGACTCTAGGAAAAGGGTAGGAGTGACGAATAGTGGAGGGATCCAAAATACCTTTTCATGATAGAATGCTCTTTTGTCCTTTAGATTGTTTTCGCAATTTTTTTATAGTGGTGTGGTTGAGGTATTTAGGGTTAGGAGGACTAAGGGAAGTTGGAAGACATTTGTATTTACTGGCTTTGCAGCCAAATGTCAAGCACTAGGTGTTGAGTCTGTGCAATGTCTCCCAACTGACGCCGACATGAATTTCCATGAAGATAAAACAGGAAGGAGAGGCTGTGTACACTTCATCCTTTTACGTCTGCTCTTGGATTTTCATTTTCACTACTTAATTTCTTTAGGTTTTGGTAGACTACCCATGTTTTACTTTTTGGCTGAATATAGAACTTTCTTAATCTATAGAGTATGTGGATTCAAAGAAAATGTATCTAATGTTTCTGATGTACACAGAAATATTTACATAAAATCTAGCTCTAGACACTTGTGAGGCTTCCCAGTAAGATTTTACCTTAATATATGACATTCTTCATCTAACAACCAGGCCTGAAAGTGGTTCATTTATATTATCATAGTATACGCTGTGTTGGGCATACTACAGAGTTGTCCAAATGGTTGTACAGAGAATGAGTGTTAATTTCGGTAAGAAAAAAAAAAGTTGTTTCAAAATAGCCTGTTTTGTAATTGCATACAAACAGAACTGCAGACTCATTTTCAAGATGTAATACTTTTTTTCTGTCACCAGAATTTCTTAAATAAACCACTAATTTAATATGCAGTTCAAGTTCAAATTATTTATTTTATAGCTAGATAACATAATGTTTCTCTTACAGTGCCCAATTTACTTCTGAAGAATAGATTGCCAGCTAATTTTTATTCCCATCAAGTCTAAAATTTACAAGGATGTTTATAGTTTTGAATCAGTGCTATTCTATCCAGGTTTGTATTTCTGAAAGGATGTTAGTAAAAGAGATCATTGCAAGTTCTTGAGACTACTCCACTATGCCAAATGTCAAAAACATATTGTTCTCTAATTACAGGTAATAACTATTTGGTAAGTAACAAACACATGAATAACCAAGTTAATATGCAATAAAAATATGACCCAGAAAAGAATAGAAGGTTATCACAGAAAAGTATGAATTCAATATTATATTTACAAAACTTAAATTAACAATAAGCTAGTAAATAACATGTACAAAGATAATGCGTGCAGCTGCTTACAGAGATTGCTTATTAAATGTTGAAAATGAAAGTAAGAAATCTTATTTCACTTGAAGTACCAATATATCCATCAGGTACAGAAGGGAAGAATGCCATGAACCACTGCCTAACTATATAAACTTAAACAAAACATAGCTATAGCAAAAGTTAAAGCCCAAGATAGGTAGCTCCTTCTTTCATAGTACTCACTGTCCTTCTGTGAATAGAATTTACCACTGGCAAAGGAAGAACATGCCAGCCACATGTTTCTTAAGCCACAAAACAATTGAAAAGAATCTTAAAATACAGCGGTTACCATTGTCATCCAATGTGTACTTTTGTTGAAAATATTTTTAGCCTACATAGCTTATTATAGCAAGTGCTACAATTAGGATAGCATTAAAATAATAGCTATCTATTTGTGGGAATTGTGTAATGATGCTCAAACTACTAGAACGTGATAACAGTCCTACTGGCTCTTGACCAAGATAGATCATAATATATACTGATAACTGAATACGACCATCTTGGTTTTCCCTGCATTGTGTATTTAAATGCTCAGAGAGAGCAAATAATCATCTCTCTGGCACCACTGGCTAATAAAGTCTTAAACTTAAGCAAGTTTCCCAGATAAGCCATGTATAATTCTTCAAGCCCTGATACTTGTCTGTTTAAAAATTACATTCACTTTTATTAAAATTTTCTCAGGTACATTTCATATTTTCATGAAATTTTTATTATCATATTGTTTCATATTATAGTCACACTTTTGGAAACTACTTATTTGGGGTAAAATAAAAACATTTCAGCCAGACTCTAAGGGCTTCAGTGTATTATAGCATTATAATTAAAATAGTTGGTAATATGATAACTTTGAATTATCAAGAAAATATTAAATTACAACATATGTGATCTTGTTAAGGAGCCATATAGTATGTAATTCATATTAGAAAGGCAAATATGCTTTCAGTAGCCTTTCTGATTTTTTTCTTTCTGCTGGTGGGTATTCAGTCATCACTGCTCCCTGCTGACAGAGCCCCGATATCCAATAGGTCCTCCCATTGTTCTAATCTTCAACTTCAACTCTTCCATGGGTCTAATATAAGACAATTAAAGTTGTTCTAAAAATCTTTCCTATGGAGTAAGTTATACAAACCAGAAAACACTAATTTTGCTTCCATTTTCAGTGGTCTTCTTGTTCCTTTTGGCATGTTAGGAACGGCTGGAAGGCCGAGGTGAGAGGAAGCCTGCACAATTAGGATCACAATTATGAATCCAGGTCATGGTAATGCTTCTGCTTCAGATACTAAGCTAGCTATATAATTAAAGAGGCACTGTACAAGCCAATGAGGATATATGTACAAGGATATATCTAAAAATGTTGATTCTGAGAAGTGTAAATTTGTAGATTGACATGATTATAAGTAAGTTTAAGAGTCAGGATGAGAATTAAAACAGGATTAAAGGACTGTCTAAGTACTTGAATGGCCAGATCAACTGTTCCAGGTCCCTTATATAGCAGAGCCAAGAGTCATTTTGAGAACTTAAATAGAAGCCCTAATTTGCAAAACAAACTATACTACAATTCTCAAAACTTACTATACCATAACATGCACAAAACCATAATAGGCAACAAAATTATCTAAGCTCAGACAGTTTTAACCACAGCTCACACTTTCAGATTCATGTTTTCCAAGATAAGACCAGAGGCAAACCCTGAATGATCTCATGTGCTCCAAAGTAAGACTACTGACTATTCCAACAGCTCACTGAGTTTACAAATTCTGACTTTCATGCCTAGACAGCACTTACTAGTTTCCATTCTGCAAAAGCTTCTGTAATTAATCCCAATTCCCAAACCTTAGGAAGATCCTTTTCTAACTTCCTCTTTTGAGATATATTGACTTCATCAAGATGATGTTCTTCTTACTTATACAGATTTACAGATTTCAGATTTGTGTGATCAGCAGGTCCTTTGGTAGCCTCTAAGGTCTTCGACTCTTCATTCGTTTATTTCTTTATTTAACTCTGTTGTATGAGATAAAGACTGAAAACGACTGTTGGATATAGCCACATAGATCTGATAAAGAAAGTTGACAAGCAGTTTCATTGACTAATGGGGAAATAGCCTCATTTTAACAGACTGAAGAGAGAATAAATAGTGAGAAATTGGAGAAATTGACCACAAATTATTTCAAAAGCTTTGCTACAAAATGAAGTAAAAAAAAAAAAAAATAAACAGAGAGAACTTGGTGGGGATGTAATTTAGCATGTTAGTGTTGTGACAGGAACAATTTAAAAAGAGAAAACAGTAATGCATGGGAGAAAAGGGAAAATCTGAGAAGCAAAGTACTTGAGAAGTTGAGAGAGACAAAGGTCAAATTGAGGTGCTACCGTTACAAAGGAGTATGAATTGTTCCCAGAATATATGGTTGTAAGTGTAGACAGGTTGGTTGCTTTGGTGCATTACTAAAGCAAGAAGTTTCTCTTCCAGAATTTTTTTCTGATTTGTAATATAAATAAAAATTTGTGAGTAAGAAAGGGAGGAAAAATAACTAGAAACAGAATGATGTAGTGGAAAGACTGGGGTTAGAAATTTAGGTTCAAAGCAGTATATCAAGGACATACCTGTACTCCTTGTTCATGTTTATTGCAGCACTATTCACAATAGCAAAGATACAGAATCAACCTAAATGTCCATCAACAGACTAATGGATAAAGAAAATGTACTATATATACACAATGTAATATTATTCAGCCATAAAAAAAATAAAATCCTTTCATTTGCAACAACATGGATGGGACCGGAGGTCATTATGTTAAGTGAAATAAGCCAACCACAGAAAGACAAATATGACTTGTTTTCACTCATATGTGGGAGCTAAAAAAGTTGATGTTGTGGACATAGAGAGTAGAATAACAGATACTAGAGGCTGGGAAACAGGGGTGGGAAGGAGAATGAAGAGAAGTAAATACAAACACACACGTAGATAAAAAGAATAAGTTCTAGTGTTCCACAGCAGAGTAGAATGACTATAGTTAACAATGTTGTATCGTATATTTCAAAGTAGCTGGAAGAAGGCTGGATGTGGTGCCTCACGCCTATAATCCCAGCACTTTGGGAGGCCGAGGTGGGCAGATCACTTGAGGTCAGCAGTTTGAGACAGCCTGGCAAACATAGTGAAACCCATCTCTATTAAAAATACAAGAATTAGGTGGATGTGGTGGACACCTCCTGTAATCCCAGCTACTCAGGAGGCTGAGGCAGGAGAATCGCTTGAACCCAGGAGGCAGAGGTTGCAGTGAGCCGAGATCTAGCCACCGCACTCCAGCCTGGGCAATAGAGTAGGACTCTGCCTCAAAGAAAAAAAAACGTAGCTAGAAGAGAGGACTAGAATTGTTCTCCACACATAGAAATCATAGATACTCAAAGTATCTATTGTTTTGAACAATACCCTGAATCAAATAAATACCTTGACTTTATCATTATACAGTCTATACATAGAACAAAATAGCACATGTACTCCAGAAATGTGTAAAAGATTATGTCAATTTAAAAAACTTTAGGTTCAAGCATCTCCTTTAATACTCAGTGGCTTCAAAAATATATAATCTTTCTAAATTTTAATTTCTCTCTACATAAAATGGAAATAATATTAATATCCATCCTAACTATTCTATCACCATAGTGTGCTACACTTCCTCTTTGCACATCATCTTCTATTTTACTTACCTCTTGGTTTTCTAATTTACTATTAATATATCTAACTCTCCACAATATACTCATTCTTGGAGAGTGATATTATGTGTGGATTATAACCATTTTCCTTTTAATTCTGAGCACTAACATATTAGCACACAGCTGATATCTAATAAATTTTAGTTGACTAATATTAGCAAAATGTATATAATATTTACCTTGTGCCAGGCACTGTTCAAAACATTATATATATATATATATATACGTGTGTGTGTGTGTGTGTGTGTATCACATGTACTCCATAAATGTGTAAAATATTATATTAATTTAAAATATATATATTATATATGTACGTATTCATGCCTCAAAACAAACCTATTGAGCAAGAACTATAAGCATCTTCACTTTAGAAGGAAGAGAACTGGCCGAGCCTGGTGGCTCACATCTGTAATCCCAGCACTTCGAGAGACCAAGACGGGCAGATCATTTGAGGTCAGGAGTTCAAAACCAGCCTGGCTGGTGAAACCCTGTCTCTACTAAAAATACAAAAGTTAGCCAGGCATGGTGATAGGTGCCTGTAATCCCAGCTACTCGGAAGGCTGAGGCAGGAGAATCACTTGAGCCCAGGAGGCAGAGGTTGCAGTGAGCAGAGATCGCACATTGCCCTCCAGCCTGGGCAATACAGCGAGACTCCATCTCATAAAATAAATAAATAAATAAAAGAACTGAGGCAAGAGAAAAGAGTAGTGTGAAAATGTGATATACATATATATACACTGGAATACTACTCGGCCACAAGAAGAATAAAATCATGTCTTTTGCAATAACATAGATGGAACTAGAGGACAGTATGTTAAGTGAAATAACTTAGAAACAGAAAGTTGAGTACCATATATTCTCACCTACAAGTGAGAGCTAAATAATGTGTACATATGGACATCGAGTGTGGAATAATAGACATTGGAGACTTGGAAGGGTGGGAGGGTGGAAGGGAGTGAGGGAGGAGAAATTACAATGTACATTTTTCAGGTGATGGGTACACTAAAAGCCCCGACCTCACCACTATGCAATATATCCATGGGACAAAACTGCACTGCCTTCCCAATTCACTTCTTATTTTGGAAAAAAAAAAAGTAGAGAAAATGATTGTTTTCAATCGTAGAACAGAAAGCAGGCAAAAACTTTACAAAGTTTTAATTTTAGTGTACATGGGGTGGGACATTCTCCTCTTCCTAGTCACTCAGGGACCTAGGCAGATGGAGGATCCACCTTGAGCCAAGCTTCCAGGATGACCACGGCAGGAAATGTGAGTAATCATGCACAGTCTCTCAAATGTGAAGCACCGCACCTCTGTTCACATTTCTTCAGCAAAATCAAATTATATTTTAAAAGGAAGTGAAAGAGCATACGTCTCCCATGTGCCAGGCTGGAGAAGCTGCAGAATATTCGCAAACAGCTGTAAGGACTACAACACCGGGACTGTAACCTGGCTCCAAACCACACAGCTGGCACCCCCTGTCCCACTTGGACTCCAGCATGTCTTTCCCTGATGCTCTGATTATACAAAACCAAGGGAGAGATGACAGCCTGTGGCTTTACCTTCCAAATATTATTTTCTTCATTGGAAAAATCTTAAAACATTTTTCATTTATTTGTTGTAGCTAATATATTTTAGCCCAGTGTTTTTAAAACTGTGGATTCAGCAATAAATAAGATTGAATCCCTGCCTGGTGAGCTTGAAAACTTAGAGGAAGAACACATATTTAACTAATAATTAGATTGAGGAGTCAAAACGTTATCATGGATGAGAGCCTCGCATGTTGGCTGTCACTGCCGCTCTCAGTATCTCTGCACCAGTATCCCTCTAGCCTCCTTTGTGTAGTTTATAATTACTCCTAAGCAACTATGAAATTGAACATCACGTTAAATTTTTATAATGAATCTATAGCTCCTTCAGCTGTGAATGAAAACCTGAGGACCTCCTTGTGCATAAATTTAAACATTCCTTTTTTTTTTTCTTACTTTCTACTTCTTGGTCAATTTTTAGAAGGGCAACGCTACAGAAAAGGGATCTCCCTCAAGAAAGAATTCAGGGCGAGTCCATAAAGTAAAGTGAAAGCAAGTTTATCAGGAAAGCAAAGGAATAAAAGAATGGCTACTCCATAGACAGAGCAGCCCCAAGGGCTGCTGGTTCCCCATTTTTATGGTTATTTCTTGATGATATGCTAAACAAAGGTGGATCATATAGGGTAACTTTCTGATGTTGCCATGGCATTTGTAAAGTGTCATGGCACTGGTGGGGAGTGTAGCAGTGAGGACAACCAGAGGTCACTTTCGTGGCTGTCTTGGCTTTGGTGGATTTTAGCTGGCTTCTTTACTGCAACCTGTTTTATCAGCAAGGTTTTTATGACTTGTATTTTGTGCCGACCTCCTATCTCATCCTGTGACTTAGAGTATCTTAACTACCTGGGAATGCAGCCCAGTAGGTTTCAGCCTGATTTTACCCAGCTCCTACTCAAGGTGGAGTTGTTCTGGTTCACATGCCTCTGACAGCAATATCGTTAATAAAATTTTCTCTGTATAAGAGAAGTATTCGTATTCTGTTTAAATTGTGTCTATTCACTTATGCTTTGTCTATGGAGAATAAAATGCAGACTTGAGGACAAATTAGTTGATTCGATGTTCATAACCAATGGAGTTCATTTATGTCCTAGGACAAAAATGTTTTACTCACATTTTCCACGTTGATTTTCTGCACTGAACAAAGGAGATAACCAAGACATCTCTTTAATTGGTGACAGATGTCTATGCAGTCAGAAATTCATTTAATTCACCAGTTACTGCTGTCAAAGAATATATGTCCAAAAAAAAAGAGGTAAAGCAAGCATTCTGCAGATATTTTTCAGTCATTGCCTGGGTGATTTTCCTTCTCAGCTAATGTGCTATTTATAGTGAGATGAAATTATTCAGTGTCGGTGGTCTGCATTTTCAAACCAGCACTGTTTCTTGCATTAGAAATGGATTGATCCCTTCTCATTGTTTGCTTTCTTCCCCCACCAACCACAGGTTGTGTGGGGGGTAATGTTTTAATCCTGCTAATGTTCTCTTTCAAAAGCAAATTAGTCTCAGTTCAAAAGAAAAAAAACATAAAAGTGAAAGAACTAGAGGCATGGCAGAGGCTTTTACATTTTGATTATACAACAGTTATCAAGTCCAAAATTCCCCTGTGCTTATCCTCATCAGGCTCCTCCTTGCTCCAGTGACCCCTGGAACTGCACTCAGGGTGCCTGAACTGTCTCTGCACTTTTTCTTAACCTTCTTAGAACCCATTCTCTCAAACCAGACTCGGGGGGAAAGGTAATGATATAAGAATTTCTGGAAAACAGATGGCCACAGCATTGGATACAAATTTACAAAATATCACTCCTATTATTCCTTTTTTATATAGCAAGTTTATAAAACAAACCACGGCAACATTTTCAGTAGTGTCTCTGAATGACCATGACACATGACAAGCTCATGAACTCTTAAATGAGTTTTAAATGATGGTGGTGGTAAGGAATTTAGGAGGACTAGGATGACGGTAGTGAAGAAAAAGAGAGTGTAACACCATCAATACTGACCTGACTTATTCATTTATTTGGTTGAACAGTCAATAATTCATTTAAAGAACAATGGATGAAGACATTAGATGCTGGGTGTTCAGTCTAGATTCCTTAACTTTCTCCTTTAACCTATCATCAATACACTTTATTATACAAACTCTATTCACATTATCAAAAGTGATTTGCTATGTGAAGTATATTAATGGATTACAGAAAGTGAAAAGAGATTTTTCTCTCTGTTGAGATTCAAAAGAGAAAAATTAGCTTGCTAGTCTACTTGAAGCTATCCTGGAAATGATAAATGGACTGAATAATAATTCTATATAACTCCTTGTGTTGTTATTCCATGATTTTAAGATAAACATTTTATTTTGTGATACTTGTAGGTTCACATACAGTTGTAAAAAATAATACATTGATAATCAGTTTACAGCGTGACAGTGTGAGGAACTTCCCTGACCTGCTTCCCAGTGAAACTGGTGAAAATCAATTGGAAAAACAACCGTTTTAAAGCTCTTGAAATGGACTTAAGGGCAAACTGCAAATCCAAAAAAAAAAAAAACAAAAGAAAGAAAGAAAAAGAAACTCCATTGGAGAAAATCTATGAAAAGTATTTCAAAAAGGCAAAAGTCTGTGGTATTTGAACAAAGACCACTCCTGCCCTTTCCTTTCCAGTTCAGTGTGACTGAAGCAACCAAGAACACAGGACTCACTAGCCCCTCCAGCTTTCAGTGCTGTGAAATATCTGCCTCTGGCTATCATCTCAAGAGGAATAGGACTTTCACATTTCTCATCCTGCCTTCAACTACTTGTTGCTCCAGCTAATGAAGTCAAAAGTTGAGGGCTGTCTTCTTCCATCCAGCTCCCGTTTGTGAAATGGAGGCTCTGTCTGGTGTCATACACCTTCAGAACACTGGGATCTGAATTAACATTGTCTCAGTTTGGCATGTGGAAGTTCCACACTAAAGGAGGCAACTCAGAGACCTCCGGGTGCTGCCTCTCTCAACATTGAGTGCTGAACCCTTTGAATAGGGGTATCACTCAGACAACACTTGCTATTGTCTTCCCCACCAGCCCCAGAGCCAGCTCATAGATTTTTGCTTTGGGAAAGAAGAAGGTCCTAAAATGGATACCTCTGAATCTCTTCCCCAAGGAAATTACTTTATTTGCAGTAGAGCATGAAGTTTAAACCTAGGAACACACATACAAAAAAGAAACAGTGGAGGTTATAGTGAAAGACAAAAGGAAGGAGATTGGTGGATTTAAAGAAGATATATCTTAGACTATAAGTGGACTATTTGCAAAGGAGCCCTTCTGGGGTCACAACAAATATCAAACACTGACCTTAGAAACAGTTCCTTCAAAGTAGCCACAATTTGATAGGATTTGTTTGTAGAGCTACTCAGGCTTCATGGAATTGTTGAAAATAATACAGCAATCAGCAAGCAATTAGTGGAGTTAAAAAGCTGAATGTAGCTATGAAAAGAGAATAAGAGAGCCTTACCAATGCTATTGTCTTCCCATAGAAACTGTTGACCCACTAAGAATAGTGTCTACCTAAGCAACAACATCAGTGGCCAAACACTGTGTGTATGTTGGGCAGTGGTTGGGGAGGGGGTGGGAAGATACTTTACTAAAATGATCCAGCTGTCACTAAATAAATAAACAAGCAAATGACAGTAACAATTCCTGTAAGAGAGGGAGAAGTAACCATAGTTGCTACAAATATATTGTCTAAGAAGTCTTAGAAAATTATGAGGCATAAAGCAAAATGAAAATATAACCTGTATGCCAGAAGAAGAAAAAATATTAAAAATCAGGCAACAGAAATTGCCTGTGAACATGACCAGATATCAGATTTAACAGAAAAGGACATAAAAATTGCCAATATAAATATGTTTACAGACCTAAAGGAAAGCATAATTAAAGAATAAAAAGAAATGATGATGACAATGCCACATCAAATAGAGAATATCAATAAAGGAATAAACATGATCAAAAAGAACCAAATGAAAATTCTGAAGTTAAAAAATATAATAAATTTAAAAATTACTACTAGATTGAGATCAACAGTAGATGTGAACTAACAGAAGAAAGAATTAACAACTTGAAGGTAGGCACACAGAGATTTTGCAAGCTGAAGGACAGAGAGAAAAATGAATGATGAAAAAGGAACACAGTCTCAGATAACTACGGAACACCAACATACACATAATAGTAAGAAAGAAAGAAGTAGGAAAAATATTTCGAGAAATAATGACTGAAACACTCCTGTATTTATAAAAAAAAAAAGAGTAAGCATCCAGAACACCATAAACTACAAGTGTGATAAATATGAGAGATCTACAATCAGAAAAATAGTAGTCAAAATTTTGATTATCAAAGATGAGAAATTCTTGAATGAAGCAAGAGAAAAATGACTCATACCTTACTGAGAGGGGAAAGGAAGAAACGAGTCAGGCAGGCAGTTAGGGTGGATCCTTGGAAGAATTCTTTCAAACCAAAGAATAGCCAACAGGCACAGATAAGGTAACTTGCACAGGGGGGTTTGCCTAGGATATGCCCACAGCCACAATATAAAAAAGGCTACACAAGTGATTTGCCCAGACATGCCCACTATGGAAAATTCCGTCCCCTGACACATGCACATTAAGAGGAACAAGGCAACATGGAGTAGCTCAAGCTAAGGGCCCACATATTCATTAGGAGGATGGAGTGGAGCTATAAGAAATTTGCACCTTATGCAAATGAGATGCCCAGGCTTCATCCATTTCCTGTAAAAGCTTTGCATTCAACTGTAAAGCAGCAACCCTCTTTCAGGGCCCCCTCTTCACCACAGGGAGCTTTTTTCTTTCACTTATTAAATTTTTGCTCCAGCCTCACCCTTTGTGTTCATGCTCCTTAATACTCTTGGTTGTGAGACAAAGAACTCCTGGTGATATCACACAATAAAAGACTGCTACATTGTGGTGCATTGGCAAGTCTGTAACATTACAAGGGAATCTCAGTAAGATTAACATCTAGCTTCTCAGAAGAAACAATGAAGGCCAGAAGGCAGGAGGATAACATATCAAAAGTGCTCAAATAAAGAAACTTTCCATGAAGAATCCTATATCCAGCAAAGCTTTCTTTTAAAAATGCAGACAGAAAAAAGGCTTTTCCAAATAAACAAAAACTGAGAGAATTGGTTGCTAGAAGATCTACCTTATGAGAAATACTAAAGGAAATTCTATAGGCTGAAAGTATCTGGCCCTGGTCCCAGATGGTAATCTGAATCCAAATGAAAAAATAAAGAATACTGGAAAAGGTAATTATGTAATTATAAAAGAGAGTAGAAATGTACATTTTTCCTCTCTTCATAACAGATTTTAAGAAGCAATTGTAGGTGAGGTGCAGTGGCTCACGCCTGTAATCCCAGCACTTTGGGAGGCCAAGGCAGGTGGATCACTAGAGGTCAAGAGTTTGAGACCAGCGTGACCAACATGGTGAAACACAGTCTCTACTAAAAATACAAAAGTTAGCTAGACGTTGTGGCACACACTTACTCAGGAGGCTAAGGTGGAAGAATTGGTTGAACCCAGAAGGCGAAGATTGCAATAAGCCAAAATCATGCCACTGCACTCAGCCTGGGTGACAGAGAAAGATTCCATCTCAAAAATAATATATGTATATGAGGTATTACTGAGTCCACAACATGTGAAAATGTAACATATGCATAATATTTGCCCCGAACAGCACAATAGATGTGAAAGGGTGTATTGGGCTAAGGAAATGACTGTAGGTGGTAAGTAATAATTATAATAATTTATTACTGAATTTATAACATTTATATATATAATATATATAGCATGTCACAAAAACTGTGGGGAGGGGAACAGAGCTATATAGGAGTAATGCTTCTATATATCATGGGATATAAACTAATATAAATCTGAAGCTAATTTTAATAAGCTAAAGTGTATACATTTATAAATATACATGCATAAAATGTAGAGTAACTCAAAATTTATAGTTAAAACATCATTATAAAATTAAAATGGTATATTAGGGAATATAGACTTAATGAATTAAAAAGAATAAGATGGGTAACAGAGGAAGAAAAAAGACATGAAAAATATAGGGAACAGAAAGGTAAAATGGCAGGTGTAAATCCAAATATATCAGTAATAACATTAAATGTGAAAAGGTTAACAGTCCCAGCCAAAAGGCAGAAACTTCCTAAGTGGTTTAGGAAAAAAAATAATCCAACTATATGCCTTATACAGGGAACATACTTTAGATAGAAAAAATATAAATTGAATGAAAGCAAAAGTATAGAATAATAATACAGTATGTAAAAAGCAACTACAAAAAATGGGAGTGTCTGTACTAATTTATACAAAATGGACTTTAAAACAAAAAATGTTCCTAGAGATAATGAGGGATATTTTATGATTATGAAAGAGTCAATCTATCAGAAAGATATAACAATTATACACATATATGTGCCTAAAAGCAAAGCATATAATACATGAAATAAAACTAATATAGGGGAGAAATTGGCAATTCCACAATAGTAGTTGGAGATTTTAATGCTGCATTGTCAATAGTAGAACAATAGAGAGAAGATAAGCAAGAAAACGATTCTTGAGCAACTCTATAAAACACCAAATTATATAACTTAGATGAAATGGACAAAATCCTACAGGCACAAACTACTGACTGCCTTAAAAAGAAATAAATACTCTGAATAGAGCTGTAACAAGTGAAGAGATTAAAATAGTAATTTAAAAAACTCACTAAGAAAAGCCTAATTCAGAGATCTTCATGAATAAATTCTACCAAGCATTTGAAATAATTAACACCAAATTTTCTCAAACTTTTCCTAAAAACAGAAGAGGAAAAAACACCTTAATTTATTTTATGAGATCAGTATTACTCTGTTACCAAAACCAGACAACACATCACAGTAAGAGAAAACTACAAACCAATATATCTTATGAATATGTACACAAAAATCCTCAACAAAATACTAGCAATCTAAATCCAATGACATATAAAAATAATTGTACAACATGACTAGGCTATGAAGTCAAATTTATCTAATATCAGTACTACCACTCCTGCTTGTTTTGACTAATGTTTGCATGCTATATCTTTTTCCTTTTCAATGTACCTTTATATTTGAGGTGAGTTTCTTGCAGACAACATAGAGTTTGGGGCTTTTAAAAATCCATTCTCCCAATCACTATATTTTAATATATGTATAAACTATTTATATAATATACTTTTTGATATAGGGCTTAAGTCTTCCATTTTATTTTTTGTCTTCTGTTTGTTTTCTTGTTTTGTTGTTGTTGTTGTTGTTGTCATCTCCCTGTTTTCCTTTCTCTACTTTCCTGTGTGTTTCTTGAAGATATTGTAGAATGCCATTTTGAGTTATCAAAAGTGTTTTTGAGTGTATGTTTTTGTCTAGTTTTTTTGGAGGGGGGGCATTTAGAACCAAGTCAGACTATATTATATATTTTTTTTGCTTCAAACATCAAAAATTATTTAGAAAATTCAGGAAGAGAAAAATTATACTGTATTTACCCATATTTTTACTATTTCTGTTGTTCTTTCTTTCCAATGTTCAAAGAATCTTTATGGTGTCCTTTTTGTTTAGAGGAGTTCCATTAACTAATCTTTTAGAGTAGATATGTTGGTGATAAGTTTTTCTTCATTTCTTTTCATCTGAGCATATCTTAACTTTTCCTTTATTCCTCAAGGATACAAGGGAAGGTGGAACAACCTTGGTAACTGCCTAGTAGTGATAGGGGTTCAGTTCCTCCACCCAGCATCCCCTAGTACTCAAAGATGATCTTATTACTGGTTGGATGTAGAGGTTTGGGGGAGTACCTTATTATCTCTTGGTGATGGTGAAAGCCTCATATTTCTGGCATCGCCACAGCCAAATATGGAGGGTGGTACCTTTTACAGCAGAGTAAGAGAATGGAAGTCCAGGCTTCCCTCCATGTGGTATCAACTGACAAAAGGATATCCTGGAAAGTTACTGCCATCCAGGGATGAAAGACCTTTCCCTTGCTCAGCAACAGGTATACTGGAGTGCCTTGGTACAGCTTCACTACGCTAGGAATCTAAGCTCCCCACTCGGCTTTTGCTGGCAGTGTTGGTAGTAAGGCTAGTTTTTCCCAAGATATTTGACTGAAGTAGAGTAGTTATCGTCTAAACGTTTTCTGTTTCGTTAGGCTACCCCTTTCCTGGTCCTTTTGCTAGAGGGAGCAGGCTTGTGTTAGGACTATTTTTGTCTGTACCTGTTGGCTTTTTCAGATTGCTGGCTTCTTCAGCTCCAAGTCTGGAATATATAAGACAAGAGGTAAACCCAAAAAACTCACAGTCATTTTATTCCTTGAGTACTGAAGTCCCTAGCTGATCTACCATATTCTTTCATCATCTTCTTACGTTTATTTTTCTTAATGTCCAGGTTTTTTAGTTATGCTTAGTGGAAGCAGAAGTCTACTTTATACTTTGTAAAAAAAATCACTTTACTACCTTGCTTAAATACCCTTAATGTCTTTAGAGTTTTCTTAAAATAAAGTCCAATGAAGTTGAATGATTTCTAGATCTGGCCATTACTTAATTTTACAGTCACATTTCTTCACTGTACCCTTTTATATTCTATGCTCCAAGTAACACTGTGCTCTCTTTTTCCCTTAGGCTGGTTCCTCTCTCTGAAATGTTTCTCTTACCCACTCTTAACCTGAAGATTATCTTTCTGGTTTCTGCTTAGTCACAGATCTTCCTTGACACATCAACCCAACCCCTCCAGCAAGCTTCCATAACGTCCTGTTCTTACTTTTCTCAAAGGCCTTTGCACTTACTGTGTTCCCTATTCAAAGTACTCTTTCCATAGCATTCTTGTTTGTGTCATTCAAGGATCAGCTAAAAAATAACCTTTTAGTGAGTTCTTGTCTGAATTTTAAAACTAACACAGACACCCAAACAGCCAGTTGTTAGTACATCAAACCAGTTTTTTACCTTAGTTAAAAAACCTAAAATTTTTAGATTTTATTTTATTATTGAAGACTACCTGAGGCACTGTTGACCTCAGTCTCTAGAATGTCAATTGCGTGAGGAAAGAGTCCATTATGTTCATTTCTGTGTTTCTAGTGACTATAAAAATGCTTGGCTCTCCATAGTAGACACATTTTTATTTATTAATGTCATATTAACTGACTTTTCATTATATGATAGGTGCTTGGGATGTATCAGTTAACAAAAACAGACAAATCTACCTGCTAATGTTGAGTTTACAGTCTGATTTTATATTTGAAGATGTTATATTCATAACATTCTTACATTTTACTATGAGAAGTAAGTAAATTATATTGTATATTAAACGATGGTAAATGCTTTGCAAAAAGTAGAGCAGATGACGTCAGGTGATATTAAAGATGGAGAATGTCTGTTTGTGCTGCTATAACAAAATATCACAGACTTGGTAAATTATAAATAATATAAATTTATTTCTCACAGTTCTGGAGGCTGGAAGGCCCAAGATCAAGATGCCAGCAGGTTCAGTTGTCTGGTGAGCACTGTTCTTTGCTTGCATCCAAGATGGCACCTCATTTCTGCAGCCTTCAAGGGAACAAACGTTGTATCTTCACATGGCAGAAGGGACAGAAAGGAGTACTTACTCCCTTATGCCCGTTATAAGGGCATTAATCCCATTCAAGAGGATTCTGCCCTCATGACTTATTCACTTCCTAAAGCCTCACCTCAATATTAACACACTGGCCATTAAGATTCTACAGATGAATTTTGGGGAACACATTCAGACTATAATAGAGAGCAATGTTTAATAAAAATATTTTCATTTAACTTTGTCACTTAAAGTATTTCATTCCAACAAAATAATTTAACCATCCAGAGTTGAATAAATGTAGACTAATTAATAATGTGAAACATCTTTTATTTGTATTTGATACAGATTTATTTTTCAACTTATTTAAATAAATTCTATTATAATTGTTTCCAAATTCCTTTTCCATTTATAAATAACTTCTCATATCGGTTCAAAATAAATCAATTTGATTTAATTGGCTATATAACACACTAAGACACTAATATTGACTCTTTGAACAATAATCATAATATCCAGAAAAACTATTTTCCAATATAAATACCTTATTATATTCTATTAAATTATTTTTTTCTTCTGTTATTATTCAATTCTCATCTCAGTGAGAGAATCTGACAGCATAGGTCAGAAACAATTACTCAAGAAACCTGACTTCATTTTTTTTTAATTATGAAAGTGAAAAATAAAAACACAAAGAAAAATTATCATTTGGGCACAGATGTCTCAGTCCTTTTTTCTTATATGATTACAGAGGCAGAGAAAAAAAAGATACGACACAGGAATTTTTAAATAATTGCTATGTAGATTTTAAAAAGTGCTTCTGTGGAAATTATCAGATTATTGGTATTAAATTATAAAAATCAGTGGTAAAGTTCTTTAACAGAAGCTGAGAAGAAACCACTGAAGGAACTTCCAAAAGGAATAGTGTTGGCCCAGGAGCATCTGGAAAAGCTCTTAAAACAATAAATTTTTTCATAAGACATAGGACTATGTTAAAACTTATAGTAATGCAGTAATCTAAAAATGTGGATACAATTGAGGAGACTCTGGGAGTAATCATAAAGGCAGAATATAAAATTTAATCTAGAAACCTTAATAATGATAGGATCAAGAGCCACAAGAATCATGAACTGTTATGATAAGAGGTAATCTAGGAAAGATATTGTGAAACTTCAAAATTATGATTAGTGTAAGCAGCAAATCAGCAATTGGCACCTTTCTTTAAAGCCATGTCCTTTAAAAAGGGACAATGAAGGGGGGATCTATTATTATAAAAAAAATTGCATGAATTAACAGTAACATTATATTTCAGTAAACATGTAGCTGCTAAAATCATAAATATATAGGAGAAAATAAAAAAGCAATAAGTAAACAAATGCACCACAGAAGTAACATTTTTATCAATGGGAAACTAGAATGAAGAAAAGACTGACTTTGAGATTGCCTTTGTTTCTAAACTTTATGTACAAATAAAAATAACTCACAAATTCAATCGATGTACGCCCAGTGGTTAATAAAACATACTGAGTTTATTCTATTTCCTAAGGCAATACAAACTGATTGTAGAACTTTTGAAAAAATATAAATGGCATGAAAAAGTTATCCCATCAAGCAGAATTAACAACTTTTCATATTAAGATTGGATTATGTTTACTGTATTAGTTTCCTATTGCTACTATAAAAAGTTACCACAAACTTAGTGACTTAAAACAACACAAATTTACTCCCTTATAGTTCTGGGGGTCAGAAGTCTGAAATCAGTTTCACTGGGCAAAAGTCAAGGTGTCAGTTTGGCTGGGTCCTTCTAGAGGCCCCAAGGGGTGAATCCATTTACTTACTTTTTTCAGCTTCTCGTAGATGCCCGTATTCCTTGACTGTGGCCCCCTTTTCACCTTCAAAGCATATCACCCCAATTTCCACTTCTGCCAACACATCACCTTCTTCTGACTCTGACCCTTCATGAGTCCTTCTTATAAAGATCTTTATAATTATATTGAGCCCATCTCAATAATCCAAGATAATCTTTCTATCTCAAAATCCTTCATTTGATCACAGTTATAACATCCTTTTTGCCATGTAAGGTAACCAGGGATTAGAACGTGGTCATATTTGAGGGCCATATCCAGCCTACCTCACTGACAATAATACTCTATAATATTTTACCTTGTAATGATATATCAGGAATGGTGAATTCCAGAAAATTTTATCTGCCAACAAAATAACACTAAGAACCATTAATATCCAAGAAATGAAGACATGCTTATATGTTTACTATAGTACTTGCATTTCTGAAAGAAGTAGGCAGATAATAAGTAACAGCTAAGAGGCTTTGTAAAGCCTTTTCAACCTGGGAAGTTTGCTCCATTTCTGTCATTTTTCAGTCTTGTACCTTTGTGTGTGTGTGTGTGTGTGTGTGTGTGTGTGTGTGTGTGTGTGCAAATTCTTTTACTATTCTTTTAATGAATTCAGTGTTACTGAATTTGTAGTGGGCATTTTGTTTTCTTAAGTATTTTAGAGAGAAAGTACGAGTGTTTGCTTCAGGGATCATTTGCTAAATGATAATTTACCCCGTATTTTTCAACTCCTAAATAATTGGGTTTGTTCTGACCTCTATAGTTTGAAAATTATTTCCTTTAAGAGCAATGTTGAAAAAAATGGTAGCTGTGCATTATCATCTTTCCTTTTTGTCATTAACTTATACTAGTTTGCTTAAGCAGTGGACATATCACAACCCAGTTTGTTTCTTTTCTGTTTGTTTTGTTTTTCTCCAAATACAACTGAAGACAGCTTTTGATTTTTACAAATCCTCAGGAGCCAAAATGCCAATGACTATACCTAAAAGGTCATAATCCATATCTACCTGTAAACAGAGCAGATAACTAAAGTGAATCTGTGGCTGTAGCCTTCTTCATAGTCCTTTGTTATATGTTTTAATTTGCTATTACTTTTAATATAATTAATATTGACTACTTAGTAATTGCTTGGAGCATTGCCATGTTTTGTGGAGTCTATAAAATTAACTCTACTTCCCACAAATCCTTTTGAAACTCATGCTTATCAGAGCTCTCCTTTTGCTGACATAATGGATTTATGTGTGTACGTATTTATGTTTATTTACTGAACACAATATACATCTTTTGAGCCTTATGACTGGGAGTTCTTACATTTCTTTTTTCTTAAATTCTTGTTGGGTGATATTATTTAGAGCCTGGCCATGAGCTTATTATATTTTCCAATAGCATATTTTTAAAGCCTTTTTTTATGAGGATTAGCCTCTATATATAACATTGCTTTCTCTTTCTAATTCTACTAACAAGATGGCACAGTCATTCCACTTGACCATCATGAACCTAAAAAAATACAAGCCTGTCTGTTTATTTATTTTTTCTGATTTGTGTGAGAAAAATTACCAAGACAAGTTCACAATTAATCAAATGTTTTCTTTTTAGTGGAATGACCTTTCCAACCGATGTGCAAATTTTCGAAAGTCAAAACAAAGCCTGATATGCTCCTTAAGGAGGTCAATTATAGTCTAAACCAGGGTGCTTCCTTCAAAGTTTTTATTTGGATCAACGGTCTATAGAACACTTCCATTATAATATTGATACCAAATCCCTTCCCCCAACTAGTCCTTTCCTTTTGAGTTCTGATGTTGAAATTGTAACTTGGAATCCAAGAGTCCATAAATATGTATGTTCTCCTTAAATACAGTATCCCTGGAAGCTCAATGCTCATCTGCATCTTCCTTCTGCTTGTCATGAGTTATCTTGTTGCTCTACTGAATTGTTGAGACCCCCTCTTATTTGCAAAATCTAGACTCTTACTTGATTTTGGATGTATTCTAGTTTGTGATCATTCCTTGCTCCATTCCTGCCACTGCTTGATCCAGGTTTCAAAGAATGATAGAATATGAGATTTCATTGGAACCAGGAATTATCAGATGCAACCGCAGTAGCCCATGCAAACTGTTTCCAATGTTTAGAAAAAAAAATCTTATAACACAAACAATTTTAACATAGAGCTAAGATTCTAAATGCTTTCATAATCAGAAAAATTTCCCTGCCTCACAGCCCAAAGAAATAGTGTAGAAATGGCTTATAAAAAGATGAGGAGTGGGTGATTCCATTGAAACCTTCCTCTCTTGTTCGTCTTAACTGCTTGCTTCTGACACTTTCTTTTGATGCCAACCACTGCTGCAGAAGGCAACAGTCAACTCCAGAAATATCCTGTGGTCTGAATTCCATCCAAAAGCAGACTTTGCCACTTCCTTTCTTTAAGTTTGTAGTGGGAAAAACTATTATTTCACATTTTTATGCTGAACTCTAAGCAATAAGAAATGACCAGCCTGAGTAGAATTGCTCCCTGCATATATGTCTTTGACTTTATCTCTTACTACTTTTCTTTCTCATGCGTTGCACCCTAGACGCATTGCCCTTCTTTTTTTCACTCAAATATTCAGAATTTTTTTCCTGGCTTAGAGCATTTGTTCTAATTCTTCCTGTTTCTGGAGTGCAATGCCTGTTTCATACTATTATACAGGCTCAAACTCACATCTTCAGACAGGCCTTCTCAGGCGTACCCTGTCTAAAGTAGTCTTTCACCACCTTGGTGACCCCCAATTTCAAGGCCCATTGTTAAAATAATTTTAAGCCTGTGTTTGCTTGCATATTCTGTCTATGGCTGTGAGCAAGTAAGTGCAATGAAGGCATGAATCTTATCTGGTTTGTCTAACATTTTTGACTGTAGTGCTAGAATAGCACTTGGTACAAAGTTACCTACTCAGTAAATGTTTGTAGAAGAAATTTGTAGCCACCAGCCCATACAGGACCATAAACAGGTATGAAGGTCTTTCATATAAATTTTTAATGCCATTGGTTTTCTTTCTTGCCAAAGTATAAATTGTAGGAATGTTTTTCATCATTTCTCCCTCAAAAACAAAAAGTATGAGATTTATGTGGTGGGTTGCCTGTGTGTTTCTTTCATTTTGTTTTACTTATCACAGTTTCTTCTGAGAAAAGAGCAAATTTCCTTCTACCATGCTGTCCATGTTTGATCTGACTCTATTATTTCAAGTCTTCACTGTTTAATTTCTTTTTCCTAAGGCAACAGGCTATCTGCTGGATCCAGTAACAATAATATCAGCTGTGACTTCTTTTTGTTTAAGCACACTGAGTGCACACCAGGTTTATAGCACGAACTTCAAATGTTACAGCTGGAGCTCAAAATGTTGATTTAATTGAGTCTCAGTGCTATGTGCTGGGAAGCCAATGCCTACAGATATAAGTGTTAGTGTCTGCTGTACCAAGAGGCAGGATACTACCCAAGGTCATGGAAAAGAGATGCCCTGCAGTGAATTGCTAATTGATGGTTTGCGTTCAGCTACACTATTAATTTGTTCTTTAGGAGTCCAAAAAAGAGCAGAATTCAGACATATGAAGATTTCCTAGGCTCAGCAACAAGGACCTCATCTTGTGGTTTGGAAGAAAATGGAATTGTTAAGAGAAACGAAGCAAAGTCTTAGTTATTGCATTTTTTAAAAGCATTTTATTCTTCTATGAATAAATTTTAATTATGAATTTAAGCCTTCATAATTAAAAATCAGTGCTAACACACTTATTTGTCTTACATAACCCACATTTGCCTATTTATTTATTTATTTATTTATTTATTTATTTTGAGGCGGAGTTTCGCTCTTGTTGCCCAGGCTGGAGTGCAGTGGCGCACTCTTGGCTCACGCAACTTCTGCCTCCAAGTTCAAGTGATTCTCCTGCCTCAGCCTCCCGAGTAGCTGGGTTTACAGGCATGTGCCACCACGCCTGGCTAATTTTGTATTTTTAGTAGAGACGGGGTTTCTCCATGTTGGTCAGGCTGGTCTCGAACTCCCAATCTCTGGTGATCTGCCCACCTCAGCCTCCCAAAGTGCTGGGATTACAGGCGTGAGCCACCGCACTCAGCCCACATTTGCCTATTTAACCCACATTTAAACTAATCCAGGTAGGGTGTCATCTTCCCACAGAACTCCTTCTACATCAACGTTCATTTCTACTCAGATGCCCATATATTGCCCTAATACCTACTCTTTTCTACAGCAACGCTTGTTGGCATAATGCTCCCATGGGATGCTTATACATTACAGATAATAATCAAAAAGCTAAAAGTGGCACTCTTATATTAATGACAGATTATTATTAAATATGTTACGATTTCCATAAAGCTTAAGGGCATTTTGGCAAAGACATTTAATGTGTCTTAATTCAAACCCTTAATCACTGTGACCATATAAGACTGGTCGGGAAGATGCTCTGGAGAAGAAAGACATTCCTCTCCTACTCCTCAAGTCACACAATGGCAGGATCATCAGCATTTTACTAAATTACTTGAAGAGAACAGGGAACCCTATCATTACTTAATTTTAAATATTTCACATATTGACGTAATATCTAGCACACTCTCTCTCCCTACCTCCCACTATCCACTTTACAAGTAGCAGTTAAGTAATATTAAAAATATACTCACACCATATCAAGTTTCCTACAGTCTTTCTTCATGACTTTCCTTCTGCCCATAAATCACTTTGTATACCCTTTCCAAGGCCCTTTCTTTTGGATCCACTCAGTTTAACAGCTGAGTCATCTCATCCAGGTCTTCTCCTTCAGGTGTCCTATGTCAAACTGCACAGATATTGACCATAACAGTTATCAGGTTGATTAAAATGATGCCTTTACACATCTTTACACAAGACGGGAAGCAATTGCATACGAGAGTATCCTTACTTTATCCATTGCTATAGCCTTTACAATTTGAAGAGCGTTGGGCAGATATAGTCTGTAGATATTTTTGAAACGTCTTTGGGTTTGTCCCATTTGGGGTTTGCTCAGCTTCTTGAATCTGTAGGTTTTGGGGATCCCCCACCCTGCAAATTTGGTGATATTTTAGCTCTTATTTCTTCAAGTGAACTTGAAATCCCACCCTGTTGGTTTTCTCCTTCTAAGACTCTGATGACGTGTATGTTAGCCTGTAGGTGTAGTCTCACGGGTCCCCAAGATTTTCGTTTCTGCTCTGTCTTTTCTCTGTTGCTCAAGTTGGGTAATTTCTATTTTTCTTTTTCTTTCTTTCTTTTTCTTTTTCTTTTTTTTTCTGAGATGGAGTCCCACTCTTTCAGCCAGGCTGGAGTGCAGTGGTGCCAGTCTTGGCCCACTGCAACCTCTGCTTCCCAGGTTCAAGCGATTCTTGTGCCTCAGCCTCCTGAGTAACTGAAATTACAGGCGTGTGCCGCTATGTCCAGCTAATTTTTGTATTTGTAGTAGAGACGGTATTTCACCATGTTGGCCAGGCTGTTCTCAAACTCTTGACCTCAAGTGATCTGCCCATCTCAGCTTCCCAAAGTGCCAGGATTACAGGTGTGAGCCACCAGGCCAGGCCAACTTCTATTTTTTTTTTTTTTTTGAAGTACAATAAGTACGATTTATTTCTTTTCTCTTTTTTTTGTATTTTTAAATTATACTTTAAGTTCTAGGGTATATGTGCAGAATGTGCAGGTTTCTTACGTAGGTATACATGTGACATGGTGGTTTGCTACACCCATCAAATTGTCATTTACATTAGGTGTTTCTCCTAATGCTATCCCTTCCCCAGCCCCCCACCCCACAACAGGCCCCGGTGTGTGATGTTCCCTACCCTGTGTCCAAGTGTTCTCACTGTTCAATTCTCACATATGAGTGAGAGCATGCAGTGTTTGATTTTCTGTCTTTGTGATAGTTTGCTCAGAATGATAGTTTCCAGTTTCATCCATGTCCCTGCAAAGGACATGAATTCATCCTTTTTTATGGCTGCATAGTATGCCATGGTGTATATGTGCCATATTTTCTTAATCCAGTCTATCACTGATGGACATTTCGGTTGGTTCCAAGTCTTTGCAATCATGAATAGTGCCACAATAAACATACATGTGCATGTGTCTTTATAGTAGCATGATTTATAATCCTTTGGGTATATATCTAGTAATGGGATCTCTGGGTCAAATAGTGTTTCTAGTTCTAGATCCTTGAGGAATCACCACACTGTCTTCCACAATGGTTGAACTAATTTACAATCCCACTAACAGTGTAAAAGCATTCCTATTTCTCCACATCCTCTCCAGCATCTGTTGTTTCCGGACTTTTTAATGATCACTATTCTAACAGGTGTGAGATGGTATCTCATTGTGGTTTTGATTTGCATTTCTCTGATGACCAGTGATGATGAGCATTTTTTCATGTGTCTGTTGGCTGCAGAAATGTCTTCTTTTGAGAAATGTCTATTCACATACTTTGCCCACTTTTTGTTGGGGTTGTTTGTTTTTTTCTTGTAAATTTGTTTAAGTTCTTTGTAGATTCTGGATATTAGGCCTCTGTCAGATGAGTAGATTGTGAAAATTTTCTCCCATTCTGTAGGTTGCCTGTTCACTCTGGTGGTAGTTTCTTTCACTATGCAGAAGCTCTTTAGTTTAATTAGATCCCATTTGTCAATTTTGGCTTTTGTTGCCATTGCTTTTGATGTTTTAGTCATGAAGTCCTTGCCCATGCCTATGTCCTGAATGGTATTGCCTTGGTTTTCTTCTAGGGTTGTTATGGTTTTAGGTCTAACATTTAAGTCTTTAATCCATCTTGAATTAATTTTTGTATAAGGTGTAAGGAAGAGATCCAGTTTCAGCTTTCTACATATGGCTAGCCAGTTTTCCTAGCACCATTTATTAAATAGGGAATCCTTTCCCCATTTCTTGTTTTTGTCAGGTTTGTCAAAGATCACATGGTTGTAGATGTGTGGTGTTATTTCTGAGATCTCTGTTCTGATCCATTGGTCTATATATCTATTTTGGTACCAGTACCGTGCTGTTTTGGTTACTGTAGCCTTGTAGTATAGTTCAAAGCCAGGTAGCGTGATGCCTCCAGCTTTGTTCTTTTTGCATAGGATTGCCTTGGCAATGTGGGCTCTTTTTTAGTTCCATATGAACTTTAAAGTAGTTTTTTCCAATTCTGTGAAGAAAGTCATTGGTAGCTTGATGGGAATGGCATTGAAGCTATAAATTACCTTGGGTAGTATGGCCATTTTCATGATATTGATTCTTCCTATCCATGAGCATGGAATGTTCTTCCATCTGTTTGTGTCCTCTTTTATTTCCTTGAGCAGTGGCTATAGTTCTCCATGAAGAGGTCCTTCACATCCCTTCTAAGTTGGATTCCTAGGTATTTTATTCTCTTTGTGGCAATTGTGAATGGGAGTTAACTCATGATTTGGCTCTGTGTTTGTCTATTATTGGTGTATAGGAATGCTTGTGATTTTTGCACATTGACTTTGTATCCTGAGACTTTGCTGAAGTTGCTTATCAGCTTAAGGAGATTTCAGGCTGAGATGATGGAGTTTTCTAAATATACAATCATGTCATCTGCAAACAGAGACAATTTGACTTCCTCTTTTCCAAATTGAATACCCTTTATTTCTTTCTCTTGCCTGATTGCCCTGGCCAGAACTTCCAACACTATGTTGAATAGGAGTGGTGAGACATGATATATGTGTGCCAATGGTGACAATAACAGCCAGCTCTTTTCTAGATAGAAGTCCTTTTGGACATAGTTTTATACTTGTGTGTAAAGTATAAATAAGTTATCATAAAGTAATAAGCATTTATCATGGCTGTATTAATTACTAGTGTACAAAAAGTGCTGCAGAAATAGTTTAGATAACAATATGTTTCTTGGAGGGGATTAAATGTTCCTTCAGCAAATGTGTTCACTTTCTAAATTGGTTAGTAAACTGTTTTATAGATACCAAGGTATACTTAATGCTGGTCATGGATTAGAGGGTCAAAATTGATAAGTTTGAAAAATTAAAAGACAAAAACAAATAAGGAAATCATGATGTTTTATCGTGGTGATTGTTTCTGGACTAACAGTGGTGAGAGAGGGCATCCCTGTCTTGTGCCAGTTTTCAAAGGAAATGCTTCCAGTTTGTGCCCATTCAATGATATTGGCTGTGGGTTTGTCATAAATAGCTCTTATTATTTTGAGATACGTTCCATCAATACCTAGTTTTTGAGAGGTTTGAGCATGAAGGGCTGTTGAATTTTGTCAGAGGCCTTTTCTGCCTCTATTGAGATCATCATGTGGTTTCTGTCTTCGGTTCTGTTTATGTGATGGATTACCCTGGTGGGAGGAGTCATCACCGTGGTACAGCCCCAAAGGGCAAAAGTCTAGGCTGTCTGCTCAGTCAGTGCTGACATTGTGGAGGAAGTGCTGCAGGTTTTTTCATTGGCAAATATTTGAAGCAGAAGGTTAATGTCTAAAAGTTTTATGTGTTGCTAGGCTACTTTTTCCTGGTCCTTTATCTAGAGACAGCGGAATTTTATTGATTTTGTTGTTGTTGTTAGATCTGCATCCATTGGCCTTTTTGGGTTTCTGGCTTCTTCTGCCCCAAGTGTGGGATATAAGAGGCAAAAATAAAACCCAAGGAAATGACCACTATGTTGTTTCACAGATCCTGTAACCACGGACCACTCTAGCTTTTTCCATTTTCTTATGTTTGTTTAAATATAATATCCATGGATTTTAGTTGTTCTGAATGGGAAAAATAGAGAAAAGTATGTCTCCTTTATGTTCCCAGAAGCAGGCTTTCCTGGTTTTTACAAATAAATGAAACACTTTAATTCTCAATATTACTAAAGTTTTAGATTATAATTTATTAAAAAATACCTGTTAATTTTTATTTCCCTCTGCATTTATAATGACAATAAGAAAGTTTTTAATGTACTGACAACAATTTTTAAAGGTCAGGGGACATTAATGATAATTAAGAGTGCTTTGCAGGGTGTTAGCATACAAAGACATTTTTACGGTTCCACATAACATTGCAAAATGAGTACTGCCAGTGTATATTGCTGGAATAAAATTTGCCTGAAATCAATCAATCAATTTTTTAAAATTTATGTTACCTTCTTATATACTTCTCATTTACACAATAATAAAGAATTGAAATTATTTCAGGGAAAATTATTCACACTTGGATTAAGTAACTCAAAAGTCAAATTAAGTTGTCCTGACATGAGTCTTTGAATAATTCCTTGTGATGTTGAAATCTTATTTCTCAAGTTTTCTGCATTTTCTTGCAAATAGTTTTGCAAGAAACAATTACTTAGATGACAAGAATTACTCATTATTTGGTAGAAATCAATTTGCACTCCTTACATTTCATAAGGAGATGCTTCAGACAGCCAAAAATACTAAATATGAATAGTTAAAGCTATTCCTGAAGTTGACTATTTTCTGAAGAAAACATTTTTATCAGCATATAATCTAAAATATCAAATACAATAATTCTGAAGTCATAATTTCCCGATTTTCCTGTCTACATTTACAAATTAACTTTATTTTCAATTTTATTTTGCAGTCTCAGACTGAATGTCCTCATCATGGATGAATTTATAATTTTAATGAGTTTTTCCCATAAATGCAAATTATAATGTTTTGTACTTCCTCTGGCCTGTAGTAAATAATTACTTTAGGAAAAGGAAAACAAAAAAAACAGGAAAAGAAAACATGATTGAGAAGTTAATCAGATGGATGGCTTAGAAGTGTTTTTATTTCGGGACAGAGGTTATACAGTAACAAGATCCAGTGTGACATATTAATACTTTTCTAGGAGGTGGGTTGGAAGAACAGGCTTAGGTACAGAAGAGTGAATGACCCTATACTAGGGGGGGAATGGGTTTGCATGAGTGGAGTGAAAGTAAAAATGATGGAATGGAATTAGTAATAATTATTAATCCATTTAATTCTCTCAAGATCACATGACGTAGGTACCACAGATGCTTTTGCAGTTGAGGAAACCTAGTCATGCAAAGGTCAAGCAAATTGCCAAAAAACATTCATTTAGTAAGGAGGGAAATCTAGATTTGAACAGAAACCTCTCAATTACAGTCCTTATGCTCAACTGCCTGATTTTCTGTGTTAAATTATATCTCTCTAACATCTTGCTGCAGGTTACACACCTAGTAGGTGACAGAGCAGGGGTTTAAATCAAAGCTGTCTGACTGAAGGGTCCATGCTACCAACATTTACATTGTTTGTTGCTGAAGTAGATATTATTCTACAATTTATTAGACATTATAGAATTTTCTAACAAATAAATATGAGGAATGATTTGAATATGGCAATTTTTTAAAAGTCTAACATTTTGGATTTTCAAAATTATGCACTAAGTGGCTCTTAGAACATATATTTGCCTGGGTGTGGTGCCTCATATCTGTAATGCCAGCGCTTTGGGAGGCCGAGGTGGGCAGGAGAATTGCTTGAACTCGGGAGGCGGAGGTTGCAGTGAGCCGAGATCTTGCCATTGCACTCCAGCCTGGGTGACAGAGTGGGACTCTGTCTCAATAAATAAATAAATAAATACAAACACGTATGTTCCACTAATTTGGTAGTCACAATATATCTACATGTCATAGATTTAGTTTTAATTGTGTACAGAATTAAGCAGGGTCTTCAGTTAATTAGAGAAAAGAAGTGTAACAATCTCATTGTTATCTTAATCCTGGACTAATATGAGTTTTTGCATGTGATGCTAATTTCACCTAGAAGGTACATTTTTAAAGGAATAAATGTGTTTCCTAGATCTAATAATGAACCGACCTCATTTTATGGCAGTCACTTAAGTTGATGAAAAGCTTATTCATGAGAAAGCGACATGGTCTGTTGCTTTAAAACTGATTGAGGAAAGATGGCTGTTTAGGCTTTAAGTGGCCTACAGCTCCTTCCTGGAGCATGCTACCACTCAAGCTCTTTAAACTTGCATGACCAGATTGTAACTCACATATCAAGTGCCCCTGAAGATCCCCTAATGCCTGCTTGCTTCCCTGGGTACCAGGAGAATCGCAGTGAGTCCAGTCTTCAGAATTTGGTCTTGCTTTGTTGTTCCCTAGTGGGAGTCATGTCATTATTTCTGTGCAAACTCTAGTCAAAAACAAAATGCATCACATTTAGTACATTTCCCTGATGTCTCATCATGAAATTTTCATTCCTAAAGAAATTAGAATATCTTGTAACTTCTTTTACTCAAGTATATCTTATAATCTATGACAGTAAAGATAGAGAGGCATGTCCACAGGTCCCTGCTGAACTCCCTCAAAAGGCTTCTTAAAAAATAATTTTTATAAAGCAGGGTTTTGAAAGTTAATCTTTAAAAGTCCTCATTTGTCTTTATCTCAGAATGAGATGTGAATTTGCAGTTGCTTTGCGGCACTGAGATTTACTTACAAGCCTGCATGCCAGCAAAAGTTACTATGAATGATTTATCTGTTGTTTACTCATTACAAAATATGATTTACATCACCTAAAATATTTATTATATTATATGTATATTAAAGAATTTAAGCTTGGCAATGCATTTGGGGAATTCGTTAAATAATATGTATTTTGAAAATTTTGTTCTATGAGATAAAATGATCCTCAGGATTTAGTTAAACATGAGATCTCTTAGTCCATTTGGGCTGCTGTAACAGAACCATAGACTGGGTATCTTATAAACAACAGAAATTTATTTCTTACAGTTCCGGAGGCCGGGAAGTCCAAAAGCAAGACAGCTTTCAGATTTGATGTCTA
Organism: Homo sapiens; assembly: GCF_000001405.40. Taxonomy (NCBI): domain Eukaryota; kingdom Metazoa; phylum Chordata; class Mammalia; order Primates; family Hominidae; genus Homo; species Homo sapiens. Next base: position 37,896,524 of record NC_000013.11, on the reverse strand, counting down.
GTGAAGACCCACTTCCTAGCTCATAGACAGCTGTCTTCTTGCTATAACCTCACAAATCAGAAAAGAGGGAGGGAGTTCTCTAGGGTCTCTTTTTTAAGGGCACCAATCTCATCATGACTTAATCACCTCCCAAAAGTCCCCACCTCCTCATACCATCACATACAAGTTTTGGGGGCACATAAATATTTCATCTACAGCACTTATTTTGTAACTTAAGTTTAGAATAGGTAGTTCACTCAGGGATTCAAAGATCAAAAAGTACAAAAAGAGAAATTATGAAACGCTTTTTCCCATCCTTAACCCCAAGCGTCCAGTCCTTACATTGCCCCCAACCCAAACACATGTAACAACTGCTCTTGGTCTTTCTGTGTTCTTGAAGTTTATCTTGTAGTATTTCAGGGTTTCTCTATGCATATTCCCCCAAATATGGTTACATAGCTTCTCATGTTTTCCTCTTTCATATCTAACAATTTTCTTCCTATAGGTTTTGGTAATTTCTTTTCAGTTTATTCCTATTCTATCCTTTTCATTAATGTTTAAAATGAGTTTCCTCTTCCGTCATATCTTCTACTCAGATGTTATTTTATACATGAATGCTGCTCATTTCTGTACATCAATTCCATACCTTACTAATTCAATTCTGTTTTTTAAAATAGTTCTTTTAAGTGATTTTCTTTACTGTTCCTTGTACAATGACCATATCCTATACAAACAACATTTTGCCTTTTTAAAATTCTCTATACCCTTAATTTTTTCTTCTGCCAAATAGCACTGTTATCAATATCTATAAAACATGAAATAGTGAGATTCTGATCTTGTTGCTTATTTAAGTGTAACTATAATGTTTCTCTTAAAAACATAATTCTAGAACTTGGGGTGACTCTGGTGTGTTTTTATCATGTTTAGGTGTTACTTTTTGAAGTATGAGTATTTTATTTTTTCAAATGTTTTTAAATTCATAGGTCTATTAATATAGTGAATTAGTTTATTATGTTTTCTAATATTAAATAATTCATACGATACTAGAATAAACCCTATTTTATAACTTAAATTTTGTCCCTCCAAATTCCTATGTTGATGTCCTAACTTCCAGTACCTCTGACTGTGACATAATTTGGAAATAGGGTCATTTCATATATAATTAGTTAATATAAGGTCATACAGTAAGTAGGGTGAACCCCTAATCCAATGTGACTGGTGTCCTTATAAAAAGGGGAAATTTGAACACAGATATTCCCAAAGAGAGAGCAGCATGTGAAAGTAAAGTCAGAGATTAGAGTCATGCATTGACAAACCAAAGGAGGCCACAGATTGTCAGCAACCCACCGGAAGCTAGGACAGAGGCATAGAGTAGATTCTCCATGAGAGCTTCAGAAGGAACCCACCTTTGTCACACCTTGATCTCAAACTTCTAACCTCTAAAGCCATAAGACCATAAATTTCTGTTGATTAAGCCACTCAGTTTCTGATACTTTGTTATAGCAGTCTTAGGAAACTAACATTCAATAATTGATTATTGTATGATTAGTACGGTATTTGGATTATGTTGCCTGATATTTTATTTAGGAGTTTTCATCAATATTCTTGCACACATTTAGTGTGCTATTTGCTTGATTTATTTTGCTGTTTTTCGCTTCACAATCTCACTATATCCTGGTGTATATGTGTCCCGTGGTACCTTTTCATTTCTGCCTCCTCTGGGTCAATGCTGTGTCCATTCTCCCCAGAGCAGCTTCTGTGCTGGTCTTTGCCATGTTGGCCATCGTATGTCACAGAAGATATTTATCTCCTAGATTTGCTGAATAGTGAGGTTTTTTAAATATTAATTTAAAAGAAATGATATCTGAGAGAAAGAGGAAATTGCCGCCTTATATAGTCATTTTCATTCTGGTAATACTGGCCCAAACTTTTAAGCTTTTAGAATAATTTTTTTCCTGATAGAAAAAAACTTCCTAATCTCCATATGTACCACATAATTATGCTAGTGGGCCATATAACATGATAGCTAACAGTGTAGACCCTAATGTCAAATTGCCTTGATTCTATCGTTTATGTGTCTTGTGACTTTGAACAAGTTATTTAAGCTCTCTTAACAAATTTTCTCCTTCTAAGGAAAAAAAAAAAGTTTCCCCATCTGACAAATGGGCATGATCACCTACACTCTTCATCAGATAGTTGTGAGGAACAAAGTACATAAGGTGGGTGAGAAGTTTAGAATAGTGCCTGGCCAAAGGTGTGTGCTTCATAATTAATACTTGTCATTGTCATCCTTTGTCTGTGTTACTGTGTTATGGGACGGGTTACTGCTCCTGGAGCTTACTATGCTCTCATGTCACAAGAGAAGACTGGGATCTGGTGTGCATGGGACCTGGGCATGTTTCTGAAATTTCTAAACCTTTTTCTTGATCTTTAAAGTAGAGTCAGATGACTGACATGAGGGCTCAATTAAGAAACTGACTTGGGTATGTTGCATATAGGGGTGCTCCATTTACTTTCATTATTATGATGATTCATTATAATTTTATGTTGATTACTCTGCATGGAATACTTATATAGTTGCAACATTTTTACTTTTCAGGACCCAACTCAAATAGCACCTTCAATGTGAAACCCACTTTTATACAGAGTCACAATGTGCCACAGTAGTGGTCTCTTGGTATTTCAGCTGCATCACTGTTAATAGCATACTGAGTTGTCCATATGACTGCCCTTCCCACCAAAAAGTACATTGCTTGTGGGACAGGGCTAAGCTTACTGGATCAATTTCCGCGATCAGTTTTGAATGAGTGAAGCAGGGTGATAGCAACCTAGAGTTGCATTATATTCAATGTTGTTTGAAAGCTTGTTTTTTTTAGCTTCAGTTTAAAAAAATTTAAACAGAAAACATGTTTGCTATCAAGTCCACAGAATCTGTTAGGGAGGGCCAGTGAGTGGAAGTTTGTAAACTAAACAAAAATTAAATAGTTGCTAAGATTTATGTTACATATTTTATGACCATGGCAAAACATTGCATAAAACATTGGGTGAGTCTATTTTCCTGAAAGTTGTACTCAAATAGTAAATGTAACAGATTAAGTATTCCTCATATAACACTTTTAGTGGTTCTTCAATGTAGATGGCAAGTTGATGGCCAAGTTTTCAAAACACAGTCTGGCCTAGTTATAATGTGTAAAACAGCCAAATAGGAAAAATAAAATCTCCAAGGCAGTTTTTCTCAGTTTGTTCTATGAAAAACCATGATCTTGTGATTTCTTCAGTAGAACAGGTGGTCTTTGGAGGTTAACAACACACATTTATGTGTTAATTATAGCGTGAAGCCCTGACATAATGCAACTGGTCTAATTTTGTTTAACTTAAAATTTTCCAGACTTGTTTAACTATGAAACTTATTTTCCTGGTGGCACCTCATATTGTCCCACAGAAGTAGAATTTTAGGAAAATCACTTTGGGAAACATTCTACAGTGGGGTTGATTACAGCATCTTGACACTAGGAGCACCACAGCTTGATGATGGTTGCAAGCAAGATCTACCCAGTTCATTTATTTTTCTTTTATAAAGATAATATGAAGGATCAGTAGAGAACTCTTAAATTCACAATATGTAATAAACTACCCCAAACCAGTACATAAGTAGTGAACTGAAGCATTTATACACACACCGGCATATAAATGCTGTGTACATGAGAATAGGCAACATGGCGAAACAAAGAATACGAAACATTGGCCGGGCATGGTGGTATGCACCTGTGGTCCCAGCTACTCAGGAGGCTGAGGTGGAAGGATTGCTTGAGCCTAAAAGAGGGAGGTTGCAGCGAACCAAGATCATGCCACTGCAACTCCAGCCTGGATAACAGAGCCAGAGCCTGTCTTAAAAATAAATAAATAAATAAACTATACCCATGCAACAAGTATATGCACAGGCATATACAAAGCTTCAAAAACTACACATAATTACTCTTACTTCTGATTTTTCCTCACCATACAGATGGTTTTTCAACACCTCCCCCTATTAGGAAAACAGACTGTTCTTATCCTTTTGAGGTTATTCTTTTTGTAGGCAGCAGTGTAGTGAAAACTTCCTGAAGCCAGACTTTCTGAATTAAAATTCCAGCTCTGACAATTGCATGTTGTATGACCTCAGACCAGTCACTGTGCCTGAAGTCTCTGATCTAATGTAATAGTGCTTATAACAGAGATTTTTTGACAGATTTGGATACATTTACATTTATAATTTCACATGGCACGTAGTAAGTGTTATAAGAGTTTGCTGTTATTATTTTCTTTCTCTATAGTTTGCTTGTATATCGTCTGCTAGTCACCTTCAGTATCATCCATACAGGATTTGCTCTTCCTTCTTATCAAGATTTTTACTTTATTTGTAGAAAATTATCAGTATCTCCTTGGAATTGTTAATTTAATGCCTGCTATGTACCAGTCACTATGGTTAGTTCTTGGGATACACATTATGGTGAACATAAATGACCTTAAAAGAATGTGCAGTCTGGCAAAGGATACAAACAGGCACACAGATAACTGTCTTATGAAAGTCTTCATCAACGATGTGTATAGCTCTGGCCATCCATGTTCTTCATTAAATACTGGACAAATCAATGTATTTCTAAAAACACAGGAGTTTCGCTCTCTTTCATCTGCAAATTCCTTGCTGCCACAGCCTATTTCCTGAGAATGCCCTTGCAGAGGGGATGACATATGTAAACTGACTTAGTTTTGGAGAAGTACAGCTTCCAGGTTGTCATATCTGAAAAGGTCTTTCCACCTCTGAAGGAACTGTCACTTTGCTGGCTACTCCATGAAGTGTAGCAGAATGAGGTTTTATGATAAAAAGGATTTTAACCATTTGATGCCCACATAGTAATAGACATTACTGGCACATGGAGTATTCAGTAGTGCACCTTACATTTTGTCTTTATGGACTCCTTTCTGTGCCTCAATAACAGCACACCAGCCTATCTATTATATCTTAAAATTGAATAATCTTTAAAAACCTCTATTTTTTTATTTTCCTAGTTGGTGACTGCATTATTCTGCTTTCCATTTTATGTTTTTATCCCCACTAGGATATGGGTAAACCTAAATTTCTTTCTTTTTACTAAATCACTCAGAATAAAAGTAAAACCTGGTTTAAAATGAGATCTACATCCACTGGAATAAGGTAGCCCTTACATCTTTAAACGGGAAAAAAAACCTCATAGCTTTCCTATTAAATAGCATTAGGGCAAAGAAAAATACGTTGATTATCATCTCCACGATTCAAATGCAAATTTCCAAATGTAAAAAATGTCTTGCTTCTTTTTTGGTGATTAGTGGGAAATTAAATTCTGAAACTGGGGCAGGGGAAGGCATGTTTTTATATTCATAGGAGACAGCAATTTTTCCAGCAGAGAAGCAGAAGACAACAACTGCAACGAAGGTGCTACTACCACAATCAGGTAGTTCAAAGCTGCCATGACAGAGGAGCACTTAGAATGTTCCTGTGGTCCAAAGGCATGTTTTAGGCGTATATTCATAGAAAGGAAAACATGGCTCGGGGGCTAAAAATTGAGGCTGTGAGGTTAAGACGTCTGTGCAAAATAATGACGATGAAACAGATGCTGATTGACCAGGTTTGTTAATTTTACAAAGGAAAATTGGACATCAAGTAAAATATTGACCAGGATCACCAACTTCCTTTGTATTTATCTTTACCTTTTGTGAGGGATTCACTTGTAGGTTCATTGTTTGATGAGGGACAACTCAGTGAGAGTTTCATTTGGGAATATGAAATTATAGAACAAGGGAGAGACTGTGGCAGAAAGAGGTGTTTATGCACAGATTTGGGAACCATATGCTTGTTGGTGATAGATGAAGAATGCTATTCTCCAAGGAGTGAAGACATTGCGAGCTAAACCTTCAGAAACTGATGATGATCAAGGAAAAGAAAAGATAAATAAAAGAAGAAATCAGCAGAAGACAGATTTTTTTATTAGTTCTGTTTCTGCTCTTAATTTAGGATGTACATGAAAATAAGTCTTTTTGGTTTGTCATATAATTCTTCTCTAGTATGCTTCTATTAGTTAGTGTCTTGAATAATCTAGCACAATAGAACTACATAAACTAATTTCCTAATTATTTTACCACTTAACAAACCTGGGTAGAGACTTGTGGAATGTGCTAAAAGACATACATTTTTCTTAGCATTACTTTGTATAGAATTATGTTTTCAATTGAGTTAATTAGCTTTTATGATTGGAAAGAAACTTGAATTAAATATGTCTTTAAACACTTTTTATAAAGCTATATATTCAGGAAGTTCTCTATAATCTATGGTACAAAAGAAAAGCTCATTTGCTTCTATGTTAATTTAGTGGTGTAAACTATAAGCTGGGAAATTTAAAAAGACTCAACTGAATGAATACCCCAGGGTTTCTTTTAAATGTACATAAGTACACAATAAATCTTGACCATCTAAATGTTCTGACGTTTTTATTCAAAATAGTTTGCTGTAAGTCTTACGTTACGAAGCTTACTTATAGTGAGTTAGATAATCTCAAGACAATTATACTGGTCCAATTACTGCTGTGTGTATTGCTTCTGAATTGTTATTTAGAGACTGGCGATCAGACAAGGACCATTGCTTTATATGACAAGAACTAAGCCATTATCCAATAAAAATTTATCTCCTTATTTCCTATTTACTTTGCCTAGAATTGTTATTTATACCAAACCACTCTTCTCTTTTTTGAGTGTAAATGTAATTAGGTGACTATTAAAATATATAAAGAAGGGTTCATAGGTCTATTTATCTTAGCTGAAAATTCAGATCTATAAACTAGGAAGAAAGACAATTCGAAAATTCAGAGAGTAAATGATGTATACTACTGGACAAAGCAAAGTTAGGCTGGGCATGTGGCTATCACCAGCCCAGAAAGCTGTTTCACAATGAAAAGATTATTTAAGCTTTTGGTTTCTGTTTTTGAAAAATAACCACTTTTCTTTTATCCACCGTATAGAACTATAGCAATTATTTTAAGTGAAAAAATGAGTGACAGTCTGTAAAACAGACAAGGAAAAACAACCTTGAGTGGATCCATCTTACAAATTCTCCATGTATCCTTTGCGCAACACTCCATAGGAAGCCCAGTGGAGATACAGAGTTAAATGAAATAGTCCTTACTGTTAGACTTAAAAATCGAAACCAAAATTTAATTTGAGTCACACAGAGAGCAAAAACACTGACTCATTGGTCCAGGACAAACTTAGATTATGTTTCTTGTCCCTGCTTTGTTATTAGGACCACCCCCATTACACTCTCTCCTGTGTCCTGGTTTGGCTGGTTTGGCTGATAAATCAGGTGGCCACCCAAACACTTCTATGGCAATGGGGAATGCCTCTCAGGCTCCTTCCTTTCCCCAGCAAATGCTTCTGCTGATTATCTTCTAGATTATCTTCTAGATAAGATTTGCAAACCTGGGTGCGCACTGGCATCATCTACTGAGGTTTTGTGCTCAGACTCCAGCAACCAAGATTCCCATTGAATTGGTTGTAGGTGGGGACTTGTGAGAAGTGACTTTTTTCTTCTTCTTATGTTAAGCTCAGCAAGTGATTCAGATGTGCAGTCAGGACTGAGATCCACTCTTTGTGTTGAAGTAGCCCAGACAGATGGACAAGCAGAAGCTTCAGAATTAGAAAATCTGTACCAAGCACTAAGAGCTTCCACTGGGCTGCTCTGTGGCTTCAAGCTGATTCTGGAACTCTGAGCCTCAGTTGTCTGAACTGTCTGTAAAGTGAGAATGGGAGTATCCCTCCTCAGGACTATTCTTAGGTTTAAAGTAATGTGTGTATGATTGATGGGAAATAGGAGACATCAGTAAATCCCAGAACCATCCCAGATGGGAGCCTGGCCCCGTGCAGGAAAGGGGTAAAGCTCCTGTGGTCACAGAGTACTTCCAGAAGTGTGACTCCCATGTCCCTAATATGCAAAAAAAAAAAAGTCTTCTTTTTCCTGTACGATGACTTTTCTTGATATTCTTGACCTGGAAAGTGAGTTTGCATATATCTGACTGCCTCAGTTATTCAGGACTTCAGAGGAAAGGGAGTGTATTAGTCTGTTCTCATGCTGCTAATACAGACATACCAAAGACTGGTAATTTATAAAGGAAAGAATTCTAATGGACTCACAGTTCCACATGGCTTAGGAGGCCTCACAATCATGGCAGAAGATGAAGGAAGAACAAAGGGACATCTTACATGGTGGCAGGCAAGAGAGAGCTTGAGTACAGGAACTCCCGTTTATAAAACCATCAGATCTTGTGAGACTCATTCACTATCACAAGAATGGCACAGGAAAGACCTGCCCCTGTGATTCAATTACTCCCCACTGGGTCCCTCCTGCGACACATGGGAATTATGGGAGCTACAATTCAAGTTGAGATTTGGATGGGGACACAACCAAACCATATCAAGGAGATTTATTTAGGTTTTCCAGATATAAAGACTAGTAGAATTAGCATCACTTATCAACAATTGCTGAGGATGAGTGCATGATTAGATGTTAAGAGAAATTTTATCACTAACAAGTGGTGTAACTTAGAGACATTTAACTCTTCTCTGTCTGAGTTTCCTCATCAAACTTAGAGCCATATATTTTTTTTCCTTCTGGTGCTATATTTAAGTTTTTCTGTGTATTCATTGCTATGAACTAAGAAGAAAAATAGGACATAATACCCTCTGCAGACAAGAAATTTAAAACTAAAAAACCTTAAGTAGTTATAACAATAGGTAAAATAACAATAGTAGTAATAGAAATATACTCTAGAAGGATTAACAACATAGAATTGGTCTTTAGGGAAAATGACAAGTCCACACTGGTTTGGATGGATTTCCAGTTTCAGCTACTGGATGAGCTACAATCACTTATTTCGACATTTATTGTGATTTTGGGGGTATACTTTGTTGCCTATGGCAATTTGCTTTAGTCTTTAGACTATCAAACAAGTAACTCGCTGCAGAGTATAGAAAATTCATTTGCTGTTACCCAGTGTAGACAATTTCTTATTCATCGAAATTCCACCTATCTTGTTTTTAAAAGTCTTCTCTTTCTTGATTAACTTATACAAGGGTTTCACAAACAAGCTGCATTTGAGAAAGTAATATGGTGAGAGATAATTCATCTAGAATGACTCATTTTAGAAATATAACCTTAGGATCATATTAGCATGCTTCCTCATTTAATCACATTTTGTCTTTTACCTGTTGATATTGTACTTCGGGACATTTAGAGGGGACTAGAAGGGAGACTGAAAAGATGAAGAACATTAAATCCAGAATAGGGAATCTGATGAGGGGAATCCCTGTTAGAAACCTTGTCCCACACTTCCTCTCCCACTGTTCTGTGCTGTTTCCACACAATCAGATTGAAAAAGCAAAACAATCGCCTCTTCTCGAAAGTGTAGAGCACATAAACAGGAAGGAGAGCCAAGCTGACGCAAAGGCTGCTGTTTATTGCAGTTCTGTTTTATTGCAGTTATTAAACCATTAACAATTAGATAAATATTATAAGTGAAATATCATTCCTAAGTGTCACAGCTATCATTTACTCTAGGTTCACAAAATAGACTAATATTTCATTTATTGCATACATCTAGAAACATACCACAAACAACTATCCATTTTATTCACTTTTGACAGTGAACCTAATAGAAACCATTAGTAACAGTAACAACAAAAATTCTTGTTGAAATAAATAGAAGAATCCTTTTATAGTCTATAATAAATGTCACTAAATGGTGGGGATCAGAATACAAAAGGAAACGAATGAAAAAGCCAGGCTTTCTTAAGAGTCATAAAAGTGGGTCTCAAAGGCTCATTTTCTTAAAAGACATAAAGAGATCAAAACATCCAAAAAATAAAAATTATTGAGAAAAATATATTGTAGGCTTGTTGATTTTAAAAGATGGGCAGGATTATGAAAAGAATGAAATTATTTGGGGGGAAACTGGGCTTCACTTCTGCAAAAGATACTATAGATAGTTATTCTGTATGGAAGGGCTTTCTATTGCAAAGAATAACCGTTCTTCAAAAGCCTATCTATACCAAACCATGAAGCATTCTCACCAGGGTGGCCAGTAGCATCTCAGCAATCAATTCGTTCTTTCTTCGTCCTCCACAGCTCCTCCATTTTGAGCTCAGTATCGTGTCATAATGGGCTGAGGTAGGCTTTACAGTTTAGTTCAGAACAACTAGATACTCCTTCCCTCCTGCAAATTATATTGATTTTCTCAGAAAATATGTGAGAAAAAGTTTATCTCCATTTGGCTGATAAATGGACTGACATTGAGACAGAATAAATCACTCCTCCAACATCCATGCCAAAATGTACTAGAAGTGACAGTAGAACTGATATACTAATGGGTTTAGAGTCCTCATACGCCTTCTATTCCCTCTTTTTGTTCCTTGGTTAATCAGCACCCTATTTCTTTCAAGTGGTGAGACCCAACTCACAGTGGTTTAACAGAGGACAAAACCGAAATAAATCAACCAACACAAGGGCAATGCATTGAATTACCATCCCCGGAGAAAGGGCAGATGTGGAGCGGCTCTCAGGCTCAGCTGGTTCCAGGAACTCAGCTCCTGTCTCCAGCTCTCTCTTACTCTTCATCTTGATCTCTATCATACGTCTCTACCTCTGTTCATCTCTCTCCATCTCTTCTTCTTTGTATGCTGTTCCCAGTCTCTTCACTGATTATGGAGACAATTTCTTCTACTAAAGGGTCCATTGTTTTCTCTATAAAGTAGGAAATAGGGCTATCTGCAGCTTTAAGTGTAAATAATCTGAACCTGGAAGCTTCGAAGGACAGGGAGGTCACTTTTATGACCTATAAATCACAGGGAACAACTTTCCCAACTTGGGTCAGGGGTTACCTACTATTCTCTGTGTTGATACTCGTGGGTTTGGGTGAGTTTCTAGAGCTTGAAATGGGGAAGGGTGGCTTTCTTTGTAAGAAAAAGATAAATTGAGAAGGTAGAAAGAACAGTTGTTGACCTCAGCCCTTGATTTTCTTTTTAACTTAGTGATTTTAAACACTAAAACTAAAGACAGAATTTGTTTTTAAAAGTGACTGTTAGATATACTTTCTAAGCCCAAGAACCATGTTCTTGTTTTTCACTGGCACAATCAAATATATAGCAATAATCCAGAGAATGCAGTAAAATAAATGTACCGAATGGCATCCCACTCCACAATAAAACTAGAGTTTTGCTGAAACTCTGCCAAGTAGGAATTCTTCTTTACCGCTGTATAGCAATTTTATTTTCCAGACCTGTGTCCAGAATGCAAAAATTATTTACCAGAGGTTGAAATTCCTACTATAAAAAGGGAACATTTGGTTACTTGCAGTAAGTACAGGAGTAGGAGTGAGTGGAGAGTGATGTACCTACCGTTTCAGATAAAGAGGTTTGGTTAATGACGATATTAACCACTTTTTTTGCTCATTATCCCATTTATTCATCATTCCCATTCCTCATTCCCATTGTACCCTCTGTCCTTTTCTATTTCCCTGGATATATTTTTTCTCCGCTCACCAAATATTCTGTTCTTTTCTTTATCCTATGACATCTAAATTCCTTTACCCAGCTCATGTGCTTATCCTGGCTAAGTGACAATCAAGAAAGTCTGTGCCACTATGGATGATGTCATAGACTTTCACTGGAATGGAAATCTAGATTTCAAAAGAAAGCTTTATAATTATCAGACTTCTAAGAAGGAACAAAAGTGTATGTTGAAAAATGCATGTAGAAAAATGCTGATTTGTTGTATTTTTTTGTTTTGATACTTTTGACATTGAAAGGGGCTATTTAAAACAAGGAAAACAAGTAATGAAATAATTTTGGAAAACAGTAAAAGTCTGGACACTGTAGAGAAGGATCAAGCCTAGTGTTTTCTTAAAGGGAAAAGAACAGAAGTTAATAGACATGTCTCCTGCAGGAGAACCTCAACCGTATGTACTCATGAATCACCATGCTGATTCAAAAATAGAATAGATCGTGTTTGTCATAAATGGAAAACAACAAATGTAATAAGGAAAATGTAATTTTGTAAATAAGCAAATTAGTATCACTGAATTGTTTGTTAGTCGCATGTATTATTCTATAAAGCCAATGTTTCTCTCTTAAAATATTTCTAAAAGCCACTGGTAGTGGTGGGGGAAGTAGGCAGGCAGGGAGCAACTTATAATTATCCCAGGGAGCATACTAGATTCCTTTCATTTTTCTGGTTCTTATTCAAAATACACTCTTATTAAGGGGGTCATGATAATCCACCCTGGCTGCAGAATGGTTCTCTGTATCTCAGCAACATCCAACTTTCTCTTAATTGTGTTTTTTGATCTAGTATTCCCCAACAATAACTCACCAACTTAGTCTATTTGTTGCTACTTTTGCTCATGTATGCCCTTCCATTCAACATTTGCCAGCTGCTTTGTTTTTTTCAGTTACAGCAATGGCATCTGGGCCAACAAGTTTAATAATATAATCCTTAATGAGTGATTTCTTCTCAGTTTCTTCCCGGTAAAATCTAGAGATAAGGTTAATATTATAGAGCTGTTTCTAGCTGATAGATTATTCCAACTTAGTAATCTTAGTAATGTCTATCACTTTTTTTATGCCAGTGTGGAAAAATGGTGTTGGGACATAAAGATGGAAATTCGTGCCTTTTCTCCATAGCATCACATATGTCCATTGAGTCAATTATCATACTAGGCATTTCCACTACTTTCTTTCAGTGTTGGTTCACAATAAGGAACATTTTCTGTGGCCATTAATATTTTCTTATGTTTAACTCTGAAAATTAATAAGCAATTGACCTCAATAATAATGGCATGGATTGAACTTCTGAAATTAGAAAATTGTGACCTATTACTCTAGAACTTTCTTAAAAGAGAGCCAGGTATACAAAAATGTGCTTTTTATAAACAATGCAAAATAGTATCCCCAAATACTGTCTCTTTATAAACAGTGCTAAAGATTTTAAAATAAAATTACTTAGTTATAAAATCAAAATAATGTTAGTTCTTAAAACTAAATTGATTTACTCTTGATCATTCTCTTTTTTTCTGCCTTTTGGGGTTTAATTTGTGCTAAGTGATTAAATAGTAATCTCTCTTTTCTTGATATCAGTTATAATTTACAATGTTTTTTAACAGTTTCCACTTTCAAGAACATCTTAACATTTAGTGTAAAAATAAACAGATTTTTATATCTGTATTTTGTAATCCGATTCAGTAACTTTCCATTAGAAATTACTTTGCTTGACTAATGTGTATGTGTGTGTGTGTGTGTGTGTGTGTGTATTTCCAAATAACTCCTCAAATATTGCAATTTCAGTGAAGACAATTGAAAGCATTATATCTGACACTTCAGCAAATTCTCAATATTAAAAGCATTTTAATAGCATTAGTTTCCATATTTTCATGTTATCTATGAAAAGACAGCTCAGAGCTGAGAAAGAAAGAAGTTTTAGGTCACACTGGAAAGAGGCACTGAAAATTATTGAAACAGAAGAAAGGGGTTCTGGAATTTGGTACAGAGTGCAAGTTACATGCCCCATACGAAGTCATTAATAGCTGAGTGATTGCACCACACAGCTGGTATGCTAGATACTAATGTCACATTTACATGGATTGTTCTATTTGGAGCTGTTGAGGTTTGTTGCTTTTAGTCCTCAGGGCTAGCAATTTCGCCTAATCTTTTCTTACTTCAGTCTGTAACCTAATGAAGCACATATGCTTTCCACCTGAGAAATTGGAGGGCTCCATGAAGTAGGTACATATAACTTCCCTTCATTTCACAGCCTTTATAGCCTTGATCTCTATATAAACCATTGCTAGGTTTAATCACCTGCTCTCTTCCCTCATATAATTGATTTAAAAGATGTTTATAAATATTTGCCTACTGTGAATCCTTAAATATAAATCTTATGCTTCCTTTTCTTGTTGTCATGAATAAGAATTAATTAGTACTACTATAGGAGATATCTCATCTGAAAAAAACAAGCTTTTATCCACAAGTAGGGATTTTAGTATAAAAGCCTTTTAAGTTAGTTTTACTACAAATAATTTGAAAACTTTGAAATAAAATTTGATACAGTAAAAAAATCATGTGTTTAAATGAGATGTAAACATTTTAATGTAATATAGCTATGACATAATACATTAATGTATATCTTATAAGAATGTTTCACTTAAATAATCAAAATTTTGTTAGATGCTATTACTCCCAAGTTGTAGATGAGAAACCCAAGGGGGAGTAAATTTAGCAAACAGAACACTACCATATAGGTTTACTATACATGCCATAAACCAGACTTTGTCCATGCCAACTGACTTTATGGAAATAAACCCTTGGTGTCTTGATGATCATATTTTTTTCGGTTATTTAACAGACATTGGCACCCTGTTGAAAATCAACTGTTTTCCTGAAAGTCAAAACATCTCATCAGGTAAAGTAATCGTAACATCCTTATGCATAATGACATTAAATCCATCTCCAGAAAGACACAATTTCTCCTTTTGGAGATCAACTCTTTTGGCTATTCAAACATGTACTCCACCTCCTTCCAAACAGAACCAGCAAATTCTGCCTTTTAATGTATATAACCAAATTTATATTTTCTCATAAAAGGAAAAGATGCTTCAAAAGAAACACATACAAAAATATAACATTTTTCTTTCTAGAGAAGCTGAGGTGCTTTATTACATTGTGCTATGTCAAAAATTTACATCTTGGCAACAAGTAATTCCCTGATGGCACCAGGCTGTGACAAGACATGGCAGAGGTAATGTTTATTACAGCCAACTTGAACTTAACTCAAGGGACTTCTTGTTGAAAAGTGACACCATTGATCTGGAACCACTGTTACAGGGCCAAAGAATAAAAAAAAATGCATTAATTCATTGAGAAATGAGAATAGATTTTATCTGTTATATTCTTAAAGAGTTTCAGAGAGCTGGACTTACTAGGCAGGAGTAACTAATTCTAGGATACATACAGAGCAGGCATTTTCCTTCATCCTGTTCTCCCCGTCCTCTCTCTCTCTCTCCTTTTCTTTTTTCATAAGAACCAGGACTATTTGTTGCTGTATTTTCTATATTTTCTCCAAAATGAATATGAAAACTGGTGCAATCAGAATAACTCAAACTACCACTAAAAAGCACAACTTTGGCATTTAACCACTTTCATGTAACCCAACTAAATCTTTGTTTTGTTCCCATTAGTATCCCTAAATTACAACTCAGAAAAGATATAAATTTGTCAGTCAGAGTTCTTAAGTAGCTTTTTATATCATACAATGGAGGTACTATGCTCTGAATATGTCCCCCAGAATTCATGTGTTGAAAATGTAATCCCCAATGCCACAGTGTTGGAAAGTGGGACCTCATGGGAGGTGTTTAGCTGATGAAAGCTGTGCCCTGAATGGATTAATGTTGCAGGGTTCAAGTCACCACCTTGGAAGCAGAAACTCCAGGTTGTAACCTTCTAGCATCTAAATCTTGGATTTCCCAGCCTCCAGAGCTGTGAGAAATATATTTTCGTTATTTATATGTCACTCAGTATCAGGTATTCTGTTATGGCTGCACGAAACAAAGACGAGTGAGATTGGAGATTTTCTTAATAACCTCATTTTGATGAAAAATAGTGAAAAGTAACATTTAGCAGATGAAAATTCATCTTAAATAATCTCAATCAATGCAGCTCATGAATGCTGTAGAACTCACCAAGTTAAAGAGTCATCAGTGAGACCAGGCATGGTGGCTCATGCTTGCAATCCCAATACTTTGTAAGGCCAAGGTGGGAGGATTGCTTAAGCCCAAGAGTTTGAGACGAGCCTAGGTGACAAAGTACACCCCATCTCTACAAAAATTTAAGAAAGAATTAGCGAGGTGTGCTGGTGTGTACCTGTGGTCATAGCTACTTGGGAGGCTGAGGCAGGAGGATCACTTGATTCTCGGAGTTTGAGGCTGCAGTGAGACATGATCATGCCCCTGCACTGAAGGTTGGGTGACAGAATAAGTCCCTGTCTCAAGAAACAAAGAAATAAAAACAAATAGAAAACCAGAAGAAAAGGAGTTATCAGTGAAACAAAAAGACAAGAAATACAATACAGATGTGGTACTTATTTCTAGGAATATGGCTCATAATTTAAGTGCTCGATAACATTGTAAGTGTTAGCCTTGCATAATTAAAAAGCCTAATATATTTTTGTTTGTTTTGTGGAGATTAAGAGTATGGGATAAAAAGAATAAGAGAAAAAATCTTCCAATGCTATGTGATGGATTCTTGAGGCATAAGATAGACCTATTAATGATGGCATTATACACAGAATGCGTCGTGTTCAAAAATATATCTCCAAGAGTATGAATAAAAATAAAAATAAGGTTTTCTGTAAGCTATTTGATGATTCAAATAAAGGTTCCAATGACAACCAAGAAACTTATTTTGAAATTGCAAGTGAAGAGTTTGAAACAAGTTATTTCACAAAATATGAGACCAGAAGAAAGTGGCATTTCTAAATATTTTATATTATATGATTTGTAAATTTATTGACAGGTAAATTTATAAATTGAATATCATAAGTGAATACTTTTCAATTTTATCTATGTGGTTTACATTCTAGTTGACCAAAACAATTATTTTCTAACAGAAAAATCGAGTTTCAGATTGTATTTAAGATTGTGCACATGTACCCTAGAACTTAAAGTATAATAAAAAAAAAAATATATATATATATAAAATTGTCATGTATTTGGATCTCTATAATATTCTGGTCATATGTTTTTGAATACCTTTTTTTGCTAAATTGAGTTGGTAGACTGAGAATAATACTTGCTATAGTAGATATTCTTTTATAAATGAAAGACTAAATTTAAAGAACAATTAATTAAAATTCTTAAGCTGATGTAATTAGCAAGATTTGAATTTAGCACTACTGGCTTTAGCGTTCATGTAAAATAATTAATACATGTTTTCTTGACTTCTTGAAAAATTAACATCTATTGAGATGGTAAAACAATGACAAAATATGAACTCAGTAAATATCAAATGGATGGAAAAAGCTAAGCCTATTACATGGAAATTCAGAAGCAAAAGAAGCTATTTTAGTTTGGGGTCTGCCAACATGAACTAAATACATGGAGAGACAAATCTCCAAGCAAAGGGTTTAATTGGAATAATATATAAAAATTGCAATTCGGGACATACACACACAGAGACCAGAGTGGCTGCTGATGTGTCTGAAGAACAAAGGTAAATGCTGGCTTTTTATAGGAGAGGAGCGGATGGTTGTGCAAGCTAAGTTGTTTTGACAGAAAGTTTATTGGTGCCAGTAGTGTCTGGCAGGAGGTAGAGAGTTCTAATTGGTGAGTGGCAGCAGTTACTAGGTAAAACTTGCAATCTGAAAGTCATAGCAGGCCATTGTGATTTCCGATTGGGCTTGCATGACAGCTGCTGGAGTAGGTATTTGTACTTCAGTGCTTTTCCCTATGCCCCCACAACTCTATTTTAGTTGAGTAGGAGAAAAAAAATGATTCCATTTTGTATAATCAGTTTTCAAGGCTGTCAACAAAGATGTAAGAGGTCCAACTGTCCTGATTTACCCAGGACCCAGAAGTTTCCCCCATGCAGAAATTTCAGCCCTAACACCAGGAATCTGTTGGGAAAACTGGGATGAGATGTTGACTCTACAAAGAGGTGGAATCTTCATAATAATCATCATACAGCAGGGTGATGATTAAGTCAACAAGAATTTGAACATCTTTTTAAGGGAAAGAGCAGAGAAGTCTGTGTTGTAATTGGGATACTGAGAAGAGGATTTCATTCTTTGATGGTGTGTGTAATTGTCAGGAGGAATTTCATTGCTTTTGGGTCAGAAAGAATAAAACAACTGAGGACACTTAGATTTCACCATGGGAAGCAGGGTTGATACACACACATAAATAACACACATTATCGGGCCAGATACCAGGGTTGGCTTTAATGACAAATATTTGATGATTGCTTTAGAAACACTGTGAGCAGTTAACCTCCATAGCGTTATCATATGTTACAGAGAAATACTTAAATGTCCCTTTTATAAATAGAGCTTTTATTTTGCTTTGATTGGTTTTCTCTATTTTTAAAAAAAACATTTATGTTCACAGGAAAACTATACCAGTTGGGCTTATACATTGTGCTGTGGATATTGTCCTTTCAGAAGCTCTTAAAGCAAGTTTCCTGCACTGAGAAGAAGGAATAAAATTTATCTTTATTGAACTCTTATATTGTGTTTTATAAATACTACCAAGTGCAATGCTCATAACAATGAAAGAAATAAAATACTATAAATATGTCAATTTGCTAAACTAAGAATCTGAGTCACAGAATGGTTAAGTTACTCTTGCCCAAGGCCATTTTCATAGAAAGGGGTAAAGACAGGATTTGAACCCAGCTATTCCAATTATAGAGACCACGAATGTGGACACCATATAATGTCAAGTACCTGGGGAAAAAATGAATTAATTTAAAACACTACATGAGAAATAACTAGTAAAAGATATGGAAGTGTGTTACTTCTGAGGACAAATGTATATCTGTGTGTTAAAACCTCAAAATTATTTCTTGAATTAATTAAAAATTCAAAGCTCATTCTATGACATGATTTTCCCTGGTTGTGTGCTGCTGCCTACACAGTGGGAGAAGGCTTTCCAGGATAGTTTGGAAGAATAGACAATCCAGACAATCCAGGGCTGAATTGCTCTTGCAGCTCTGAGCTCTTTAAATTTGCTCTTTTCTCTGCTTAAATTCATGGATAAATTGCAGATCTCTATTCTACTTTGTTCTGCACTGATACATTGCAAAGATTCAACCAAAATAAGCTGTAACCTTCTTGAATAGACCACATTTTTATTAACATTTTGGGAAACATCCTTACCCTCTGTGAAAAATCAGAGTATGAACATATTTTGATGTAAAAGTAAAAATCAAAGGAACATATAGTCTTACCTTTATTTACACAGATTTCTATACCAATCCTATGAAGAAGGTACTATTATTATATTTTCCATTTTAGAAATGAATAAATTGAGGTATAGGGATAAAGCTTTGTGGCCAAAACCATATACCCCCAATAAGTGGCAAAAGTTGAATTCAAACCTAGGAAGTCTGGCTGTAGAATTTTTGTCCTTATCACTCTACTATAGTGCCCCATATCAGCTACTTTGAAAGTCATTTGATCAGTCAGATTTCATTTCCTGAAATACCATTTTATTTGATACTGTATGTAGATGAGAATCATTTCATTTAACATTTATTTATTTCCTTAGAAACTTATATAATCATTGTTTAAAAAATGCAGACCCAGATAAATAAAGACCTGCAATTGGTAAGAAGAAGGACTTTCTCTAAATAATAACATTATGCTTTTTTCTTTTTTGAGAATGGCCTGATTTTAAAAATTAGGTAACATGTTCCAGCCTAAAATGGCATCTGACTAGCAGCAGTTTTTCAAGTCCTCTTAAATTTCCACAAAATTCATGTCAGAAAAAAAGAGATTTCATAAAAAATGTTGCTATTTTGTAGATGTAACTGTTGCTGTATCACCAGAATATAGAAGGATTTCCACTAAGTTCAAATATAATGCAACATGGATTGTAAAATAAAATTGATGTTACACTAGTGGATTGCTTTAGGAATCACGCAAACCTGTCCTCCTATAATCAATAGGAAGGTCTGGTGACCATCTTCATTATCTACTTCCTTTTTCAAAATTAGTATGCGTCTACATTAGTATATATTCAAATCCACTGGGAAAGTGGTCTTCTGCACGTATACTAATTCTACCTTTAGAGGCAACTGAATATCTTTCTTTGGTCTTCTGATGGTACTTACTTCCACTTTAGATCTAGGAAGATATCACAACTTGTGGAAGACAGTAGTTAAAAGAAAGTAAATTGTATGCTATGAAATGTCTCCAGGTTGGAATGGAGAAGATATATGTTAAGATAAGTAGTCTGTATTCGGCATAGAAGTCTTCCTGTTGTACCTGACTGAGTTAGAGAAAATGCCACACTTTGAGACGAATTAAGAGTCAGTTTATTTAGCCGGCGGCCAAGAGATGGCTAATGCTCAAAGTTCTCTCGGCCCAGAAGAAGGGGCTAGATTTTCTTTTATACTTTGGTTTAGAATGGGGAAGGGGGGTCTAGTTAAAACAATTTTACAGAAGTAAAGTAGGCAAAAAAGTTAAAAGGATAAATGGTTACAGGAAAGTAAACAGTTCCAGGTGCAGGGGCTTTAAGACTATTACAAGGTGATAGACGCAGGGCTTTGTGCGTTATCAATCAGATGAATTCCTGGGAACTGCGGATATTGCTCACCACAGTATTTTATAAGTTAATTGCATTCTTGGATGTGCTGGGAGTCAGCTTGCATAAGTTAAGTCCTTGAGGAAGGGGCTGCCAGTGAAAGAGCCAAGATGGAGTCTGTCTGGCTCTCTTAGCGAAGGGAGGGTCAACTCAGGCGAAAACAAGGCTAGGTGATTAAAAGAAAGGGAGAGTTTGAGAACAGGGTTAGTAAAAACAAGGTTGGCCATTATATTCCTATAGCATGGATCACGAGAATGGGGTGAGTGGGTAAACAATTTTTCTATCCTGGGGCCAGCAGACCCTCATTCAACGTTAAGTACATATAATACTGACAGCAGGTAACATTTATTGAGCATAAATATGTGCTCATCCTTGTTGCAAGCACTTTACATGCATTAGCTCATTTCATCTTTGCAATAATGGCTCTCACTAGCTGTATCCAGTTAGACATTGGGAATTGACAAAGGTGCTGCCCAACCCCAGCCTTCCAGCTGTAGTGATTAGTAACTGGCCAACACCTAAAAGGACAGAGAAGGAAACAAATGCAATTTGGGGCCAATTCATAAAAATAAAGGAAGGTATCAGAGGTAAAGAATAGATAGCTTGCAAAGAGGCATTGGCAGAAGAATGTGGTTTATAATAAAGACATGATATCATCAATCAGTATGAAAATGAAGAATTAATTCATTATTTTCCAGTTGTAATAAACCGTACTGGTTTCCTATTTTGTAAAAGAGAAACAGTTAGATCATCACTAAATAATGCATGCTTAAGTTAGTTCCAAATATGTTGGAATTATATCTAATAATAATAATGAGGCAAAACTTACACATTGCGTATTTTGTTTTAATCACTTTTGTAAATGCTTTACCTACAAAAATGCTTTGGTCCTCATAACAAGCCTATGAGGTAGGAACAATTACTTCACTCTTTTACAGATGAGAAAACCAAGTCATGTGGAAGTTCAGTGATATTATCCAAGGTCACACAGCTTTTAAGTGTTCTTATAGCCATCTCAGACTTAATATGTCCGCACGTGAATTCCTAATCTTCTCCCTAAAACCAGTCCTAACTCCTATCTTCTCCATCTTACAATATCCTTTACTCAGAATCATCTGCGTGCTCAAGCCAAAAATCTCATAGCTATGCTTAACTCTTCTTATAGCCTGCATACAAACATTTTGGAAAATTCGGTTCAATCTATCTTCAGACTAGATCTTCAATCCACCTCTACTTTGCACAAATTGGTCAACACCGTATTTCCTGGTTTGTTTCAGTAGGTTCTTAACTGTTCTCCCTGCTTCCACCTTTGCTTCCCCAAGTCTATCCTCACTATAGCGGCAAGAAAAATACTTTACAACATAAATCAGCTCAGCCTACTCCTCAACCTGGAACACTGTTCACCAGGGAATCCCTACAGCCAGTTCTCTAACCTACAGATTGTTACTTAAATGTCTCCAGATTAAAGAAGACTCCCCTGACAACTGGTTAAAATTGCAACCCACCACCAATATCTGTCACCATCAGCATTTTTAGTCCCCATATCCTGTTCTTTTTTTTTTTTTTTTTTTTTTTTTTGGGACAAAGTCTCGCTATGTCGCCCAGGCTGGAGTACAGCGGCGCAATCTCGGCTCAGTGCAAGCTTCACCTCCCGGGTTCATGCCATTCTCCTGCCTCAGCCTCCAGAGTAGCTGGGATTACAGGCGCCCGCCACCACGCCCGGCTAATTTTTCTGTATTTTTAGTAGAGACAGGGTTTCACGGTGTTAGCCAGGATGTTCTCGATTCCTGACCTCGTGATCCACCCACCTAGGCCTCCCAAAGTGCTGGATTACAGGCTTGAGCCACCGTGCCCAGCCCCCATACCCTGTTCTTTTAATTGCCTTCTAATATAGTATGTAATTAACTTATTTAATATATTTATTATTTTTGTCTGTCCTCTTCAAAATATCAGTTCAGCAACGGCAGTATCTTATCTGTTTTGCTCACAGATGTATGGGAAGCACCTAGTACAATGCTTTGCACTCCATAAAATATTTAAACATAGACTCTGTAAATATTCGTTGAATGAATGTTGAGACTGGGATTTTAAATTTAGATAACATGATTCCAGGGTCTATGAAGTTAATGACTAAGCAATTGCCTTAAACATGAAATCATTTTTTAAAAGCTTGAAAAAATAAGTGAATATGAGAGGAAAAAGATATTAGGAGCATTAAAGCACTAAAATAAATTATCAGGGAAAATTTGATAGTTTAATGTTTGTAAGAATGAAACATCTTTAAAATAAATAACATTACCTCCAAATTTAACAAAGAATTAAAAACTGAGAAATATCTTCCATAAATATGGGAATGTACTAATGTTCAAATATTAAGAGTTATTATAAACCAAATGGGGGAATAGCAACAAAACCCCGTAAGTATTGAAAAAGTATGTAAACTCACAAAAAGAAACAAGTAGCAAAGTACACAAAATATAAAAGTCACCGTTTCTAGTTAACACAACTCATTGAGATACCATTTTCTTTCAAGTAGGAAATCAGTCAAAATAAAAAAAGAAAAGAAGAAAAAGGACCTTAAGGATGCCCCGTATTGATGAGGGTTCAATGCAACAAGCTCCCTTATAACATACAGCATGTACTTTAAAATATTTCTGCATCATGACACAGGGCTGTATTACTAGGAATCTATTCTGAGGACATAATTAGAGATACAGACAAAAATGCTTGTGTAACGGCTTTCAACAAAAGTATACCAGTAGGGAATAATAGTATAAAAACAATTACACTTTCAAGACCTGAAAAATACTTAAGTATTTCATAGAAATAAGTAGTGATTCATTAAAATTAACATTTTTGAATAACATTTTGATAACTTAGAAAATGTTAATTTTTTTAAAAAATAGGCAGGTAAAAGCTGTGTGTATAGCATGGCCATGTAGGTTAGATTGAAGCCTCATTACATTGATGACAGAACAGAGGATTCTAAAACCTGGAGCAGGAGCCAAATCCAAAAGTTAAGCTGAGGTGGAGCCCCTTCAGTGAGTTTGGGTGAGCCCTTGTGCAGTAGGAGGTAAAGGCCTGGTCACAAAGGTGGAAGACAGGTCACATGGGCATCAAAGACAATGATAACCTATTTCTTAATTTATCTTAGCATCAGAAAGGCCAATATCATATACTTCATGATGGCATCATACACAGATGCATTACTGGCACATAAAAATGCTGATGGTGACACATGTGCATGAATAAATTCTCCAAATACTTGTCTCTGTGACTTTGTCTCTATGTCTGAGGTATAACAGCTTTGAAACAGTGTTTCATACATGTTACATGTCAGCTCCTAAACAGAACAATAACCTTTAGGAGTAAAGTGAAAATTGTATTCCTAAAACAATTGTGATCCCAATTCTACAATATACTTTAGCTATAAATAGACATTACAGAGAATTGTTTTACTGCTATCATTTCTTGGGTCACTTGTCTCTTGCTAATTTGGAAACATGAGTGCTTTCTTGTTCTGTTTAATAAGGTACTAAAATAAATTCTAGATAGCATATAACATTTTATTGTAAATTTCTTTGACTTCAATGAATTGCATTTTATGTGGAGTGCAGGTTCGTAGAATGCTGCCAAACTCATATGTTTAAATTGTTAAAAATAAACTCTTTGGATTGCTAATGACTGTAGTATATGCAATTCACCAGATTGTTTAAACAGATTTCAAATAATTTTCCTGTAATTGCTAATCATTTTGTAGGAGACCTGAGACCAGCAATCAATAATCACATGAAACTGTTGAAAAGGAGGCTCAGTGATCAATACAAATTCTTCTTTCCGTGGGAATACAGCCTGCTCAGATGGTTGACATATATAGTGCTCTCCTTGGTGTTCTCTTCTGTTATGTATTTATTGCAGTTTCATAGGCACCTTTTTATGGAAAGAAATAACAAATTAGAAAAAATTGGTATAATATCTCTTTGCTGACATCATGACAGAGATAACATTTGCTACAAAGAACAAATCCTTAGAGGGCAGGAGCATCTAACTTGGTACAGATGCTAAGGTTGCAAAGTAAAGTTCATCACTTCTAAACAATGGACAAGTTTGTCACTGATCAGCTTTTCTCTTGCATGTATTTTAATATGCATTATAAAGACCTATACTCATTTCAGTATGTGGAATTCTATCTACCACGGGTTGATCTCAAAGATATAAACTCAAACACAGTATGTAGAATTTTGTTTTTCAGGCTAAGAAGAAACATTGTCAATAAATGTCACAAAAATACTTACAGTTCCATTAAATAAAATAGATTTCCATATATATGTTTACAGTCTCCCCTCCCTTGTTAGAAAGTGGACTTGAATTTATTATAAAGTTATTACCTTGTCTACTGATAGATACATTTTGCATATTTTTAAAAGCCTTCATTTAATGTTAAGAAAAGTAAAGAACTGTTTAAACATGTCAATATATTCTTCTTGTAGTAAAGAGTAAAAAGAGATTCAAGGAAGGAGAAAAGCCTTTTGTCGTTCTCTCCTTTGTTTACTGCAGTAGCATTGTAGAAACCAGGTTTATCTCAATGTATCTTAGTATTTTGGGAAGGACTTAGTATCTCAGAAATTTAGAATAGGGGTCTAGCTGAGCTGGGAACAAACCCATAGAGGAGCAGTTAGGCAGGGAGAAAGATAAATTAACAAATAAGAAAAGTGACTTAAAAAAAAAAAGCAGCATGCACAGTTACCCCAGCGTGATCTCTGGTAATATCCTCTTTACTCATGTGAAAACTATTTACAAAAACCTCAACTCATGTGAACTCTGAAGTGGGTAGGAAAGATAAAAAAGGAAATTCTTTAATTTTGTGCTTTAGAGTCTGAATATGGATGCCAGTTTGTCAGTTTATATTCCTTGGGAATATTCCATGGGAAGAAACTGGTCCGCCTTGCAGTCGGCACAGCACAGCTTCCCAGGTGTAACAACTTGGTTGGGATAGGAGAAAACGGTTGCTCCTAAGCTTTTGCGCAGACTGGAAGCTGAATCAGGCGTCTGCTGGGATACAATCAGAGACCAGCAGCTAACCTCAGGGCTTTCAGAAAATAACGGCAATCAGGTAGAAACAGAGTCTCGAGGAGGGTAATTGCCAGCTAGGATTCCTCAAGGGCTCCACTCTCTATCTTACACGTGAACTCTATCTTTCTCTGGGTCATGGGGTCACAACCAATTAAGACTTTCCGAGTGACAAGCTGGGAATCACCGTGTTGCAGTTACAGCAAGTGTTATTGCCAACTTTGCCAATAGTGTGTGTGTGGTTTGTGTGTGTGTGTATTCCTCTCTGTACTTTAATCTTATTTTCATATGTGAACACTAAAGAGATTGGACAAGAGATAACGTTTATCTTGAAATCTCACTCTCAGTAAGATGGTACCAGTATCGCACACACACACACTCGCACACACGCACATCACCTGCAGCCGCAGAACCTTGCACCCTTGGGCTGGCTCGCGTCTTAGGGTTTTGGTATATTTGGTGGAAACTTGCTGATTTCCTATGCCTTTTGGAAAGACCAAGCTGGATGAGGGTGGTTGGAACGCTGTGGCTCATCATTTATTCATTGCGACTGTTTTGATTGTTGACACTAGTGGCAAGCCGCATCCTCCAGCTCTTGCAAGGGAAGTCTGACACCTTGAGGACAGGAGAGGGGGTGCCAGTCGCCCAGAGAAGCGGGAGTGGGAGAAGCTTTGAGAGTTGCAGGGGACTACTTTTTTCCGGTCGGGCGGCGGGCCTCATGGGTGCTTGTTTACCGGGCTGGGAGCAGGGCATTCAAAAGCTGGGTGTCGGAGCGCACTGAAGTCCAACACGCCTGCAGAGACCGCCCTAAGCCTGGAGGTGTGTCTGGCTTGCATCCAGAACCACAGGGTGGATTCTCGCCACCGACTTGGCTGGATGACGGCTGGCTGGTGGTGAGCTCCCCTGCCCACTGGCTGACCTCAAGCAGTTGGCCCCGGTAGGTGGAGGCTATTCGAGGGGGACAAGCTGGGGACGCAGCGTCAGCTCCTGCCAGCGCGCGGGTCTCCTCCACCTCCAAGCAGTGTGGTGCGTGGGACGCGCATCTTCCCGGACTATCCCTTTCCAGCGCGGTCTGTGCGGACCCCGAGCCCGGCAGCCACCAGGGACGGAGGGCGGGGTGCCTTTCTCTGGGCTCATCCGCTGTCAGCCGTGGGAACTCTTAACTTTATCCAGAGGGATCTGTGCAGGCGGGGGTGGGAGAGGTTCTCCTCCCCTGGCGGTTACCTCCCCCTCCCGGGCCGCCCCTCCCCCGCCTCCCATGGCTTCGCTTTCAGAGCATCCTCACTCCGCCCAGTTCGGTGCCAGCTGCGTGGGCTCCAGCTTCGATCGTTTTCCTTGGAATGCTCCAAAACTCAGCAGCGACTAAGGGAATTCCATTGGAATTTGCCGGGCGTGCTCTCACCCCGCACGGCACCCGCGCCGTCAGTCCTCGGATCCCATCACTTCAGCCCGAAGATTGCAACTTTGCAGGTAAAGAGGATGTCGCCTCGGGGCTCCGTTCGACCGGAGCTACACCTCGCCTTCTTTCTGGGATCTCGGTTAAGTTTCCTAAGCTGCCTGGGAAGCCGGCTCTCTTCTGGGAGGCGGACATCCCTGCGGGGTTAGGAGTTCAAAAGGTTCTGGCTATGTGGTTTCTCTTCAAGGCTCAGGAAAAAAACCTGTGAAGCTTTCGGTGCTTGACTCGGGCTGAGCAGGAGTTTGGGGGTGCTCCTCAGTCTTCCGCCGCACTCGGCTTTAAAGCAGGGGAGAGGGCGAGGAGTGAACCCCCGGTGTGACTTATATGGTAAACAAAGGAGCTGCAGCCACGCCGTGGTGCTGGGGAATGTGGCCGTTTTTAGCCTTTTATGCATTTGGGGAAAATGGAGATCTCGGGGGCATCTGGGTGCATATAAGTGAGGCCTTAGCTCTCCGGCACTTAAAGTAGGGTAACGAAGGAAGGAGAGTGATCAATGTTCTACCGATCGATTACATTCTGCGTCGTTTTCATTCTCTGTCAAGAAACAGAAACACTTTTATCCGTGTTGCCCGACCCAGGCTAGTGATTCCTAGTTCGCCTGGCAACCGAGATTCCAATGAAGCCAATGAAGCCAATGACCCGGTTTGCTACTTGGTTAAATCACTGGGATTCACTGCACAACTTGTTGTTCCAGCTGTGAAGTCAGCTGTCTTTTGCGACTAGAGACAAGAGAATACTGGAAAG
This sequence comes from Homo sapiens, assembly GCF_000001405.40. Lineage (NCBI taxonomy): Eukaryota > Metazoa > Chordata > Mammalia > Primates > Hominidae > Homo > Homo sapiens. The sequence goes on along the minus strand of NC_000013.11, from coordinate 37,868,864 downwards.
GCATCGAGGGTTTAGGAGAGCTGAGGAAAGGGATCTCTTATCTTGTCTGCCTGCATTCACTATGGTGTATCCACTATGGTGTATCCCTGTTCACATGGCTTCTTAGAGAGGCCCTTCCCAGTGAAATTCCATAGCTATAAAATGCAGCAAGTTGCTTAAGGAGTAAGCACCAAGCCAAAGGAGTAGGAAGAGACAGAAGGAAGCTTTAGTTGTTTTATTAAAAAAAAAAATAGACAGACTTGTAAAACTTTTTCAGTTTTAATAAAACACCGCCTCTCAGAGCTCATATAATTTCTGCCTTTCCTTTCACAGTACATAATCACAGCACAAAGAATATTACAAATTCTTTAAGCAAAAGGTTTACTGGAGGGTTTTTTGGTTTGGGGTGTTTTTGGTAAAACTCTAAATTAGACATTGAGAGTAAGAGTGGGTGGAGATGTTAAAATGTTGAAATCTTCATCATTGTGTTGGGTTTGCTATTTAAAGTTACATTTGTAGCGCCTACTTTCTTATTCACCTGGACACTATTGTCCAGAAAACATCCTCCTTAAATGTTTAAGGGGGGAAAAAAAACAATAAGATCAATTTCAATTTACTTGCTCACTGGTCATTCTGAAAGATATATGAGTTGGAATAGATTTTCATTACTTATAACCTTTAAAATTTTGTAATGGTTATATTATTTATTTTTCTGTTGCACTTATTTCCAAAAGGTCAAGATAAAACTGCATTAAAAAGTCTATGACAGAGTTAAAGTTCTCTTTGAATTTTATAGCTATTTTAATTATTAGACCAGTAAGAGACCAAATAACTTTTCATATAAAATAACCTTAATCGATTCATACTGTGTATTAATAGGAAATAACAGAAGCAATCTTTATATTCTTTCTCATTAGAGGAAATTTTAATGTCTTATTCTATACACACATTTCAAACTAACTTTCTAACTTATGCTCCATGGAGAACTACAGCCATCTATAGGACTGAAAAGTTACCTGTTTCAACATCCTCATTTAGGAATCCAAAGCTAAATAAATATTAAAAAACAACAACTTATGTTTATAAACTATTACATCATTTTAATTGGTAAGGAATCTGGAAGTTAGATTGGCTATTTTTCAATATTTGGATGGCTGTGTCTATCAATATTTTTGTGAACTAGATGTTGTTATAAACTTCACTGTAATAACTAAGCTTAGAAAAATTGCTGTTTCTGAACTGTAGATGAAAGATAGAAACAATGACAATCATTATTTTTAATTTTTCTTTTATGATTTCAAAGTTATAAACATCTGATCATCTAGTCAAATGCTATCAGCATACCCTGTGATAAAGACAATTACATTTGTATTGAAATATAATAACCCCCTTTAAGATGCACTGATTTTAACCCCACTGAATTAAAACTACTTTTAAGTGTATATTTTTGGAAATAGTCTGTTTTATTTTTATACCTGCATGTTTAATTGCCAGGATTATTTATAGCAATTCAGATGATCAGCATTATATTTAGCAGCTGAAAACTGAAATAATTTCTCTTTTCTGATCGATGCATATATTGGAACAAAAATAAAAATATGCACACATTTGTTCAATAGTAAGTATTGTAACTATCAGTGCTTAAAGTTAGTATAGATATATAAGTAAAGATAGATATATGAGAAATACTAAGCAGTAGCTAGAACTATAAAATTAGGGACTGAATATTTTATGAAAATATGATTGTTGTATTTTTGAAAATAATGTCAGGTAAAGGGAAAATACAATAAACTATTAAATTTTCCTTTTTCCAAAACCATCATTGCCATATAGCTTATGAAATCAAATTCTAATGTGCACTTTGACTTTAGAAATTGAATTGCCTAGACTCAATTGGAACCAGTGTTATTGACCTCTTTAATGCCTATGGAAACCCCACCATGATTATTTGGTTCTCATTAAAAATGAGGTTGAGGAGACAGCTCAAAATAAAAACTTTGCCTTTTCACCTAATTTATACCCTATACCCGCCCCCCCCCACAAAAAATAAACATTAAAACTGGTTCGACTCAACCCAAATTTAATTGGGAATTTGTTTCTATCTAGTTATAATGAAGAGTTGATTTAGAACTATCTCACTACTCATGTTTTCTATTTCTCACCCTTCCAGAGGCATTGACCCCGCAATATTTTAAGAGATTTGAGAATATTTTGATCAGGGATATAATATCATGGCTGTGTCTTTTTAATCAGCACAAATATAGACCTAATTTTTGAGAACATTAGTATTACCAAAATAACTTTATGATGCAAAAAATGCATTTAGGGAAAGACACCATTTGTTTGGGAAACTGAAAATTAAAGGCATGCGCATTGAAAATGTATTAATTCAAAACCTTGTGGTTTCATGAACTATTTAGCAAATTAAGTGCTGTATTTAAATGTTTAAAAAATATAAGTGACCCTCCTGAAAGTTGTTTAATTTTAATAGAATAAGAAAGAAATAGTTTCAGAACTTGATCTACTATTGTAACTAAACTGTATGTAATATCCTATTAATATTAGTGTATGTTTTATCTCTCTTTTTAAAAATATAGCAGTGTCATAGAATAATGACTTCTTGAGAGACACTAAGTGACACATGGACACAGTGTTACATATAAAATTAGAAATGTTAATTAAAACATTAATTTAAAAATATGCCTTGATAGCTTTATCTAGCACACTGCATTCTTTTTGAGAAATGACAGTGAAATTAAATGAATCAGATATTCATTAATTATATTCTGTCTGTGGTTTGCTGTTAGATTTTGAAATATGTTGAAAAATTACTTCAAGCAAATACTATCAAGAGTTCAAATTTACCTGAAACAGGACCTATTGTGAAAAAAGAAAAGAGGGAAAATGGGCCAATATTTATGAGAATTTAATGTACACTTGGCACTATGTGAGAAACTTTGAAAAAGAAAGCTATTTTTCATTGTTATCTTAACATCTACCTTGAAACTGAAGTATTATCACATTTTAACAACCTGAGAAAGATGAAATTTATGAAAATCACAAAATTGCTTTGTGGGAAGGCAGGATTTGAAGTATATCAAATTTTACTATCAGGTACTACGTCTACCTGATGGTAAAGACTACACTCTTTTTACTTAATTCCTGTGGTTTCTAAAATACAATCAATAATCTTTTAACAAGTTTCATAAATTCATTTTTTCAGCTATTTGTTTCTTGAATTTTAAAAATATTATAACATTGGAATATAAACAACTGTCCCCATCATGGGGATAGAATTTGAAACAATAGTCTGTTAAAGTTCCATCAGTTTTGAAGCAGAGCAAGAGATAAGCTACTTATCTTGAGCAGGATGATCTCAAAATGACTTCCTTTCTTATTCTTAAATATAAATCTAATACATGTAAAAAGAAAAAAAAAGTTTGTTTTTATGAACAAAGTTCAAGATTATAATTTTTTAGAAATACTCATGAGCTTATAATTTATAAATAAAAAGTTATCATGCTAACCTTTTGACCATCTGTAAGCTGGTAATAAAATGTCTTTATTAAAAAAAAGGTCATGCTAGGCCATGTTAGGTTTATACTACATCTTATCAATGTTATGTAAAATTTCTAGACAAGTGTATTTGTTTTAGTTTTCCCTGAAATTTTAATTTTCCAATTATTTTAATGTCCCTTGGTATTTGAGAGGAGCTCTCATTCATGCATCCCAAAAGACATCGATTAGCTGAATTTGTCATGATATTTACTAAACATATATATGCATTTGCGCTGACAGGATTGTGTCCAAAACCTATTGACATTGAGGTTGAAGGAATACTTTCTTTGAATATATGTACTACCATTACAAAAGTTATCACTAAAATCTTATCCATTCAGTAGATATTTGTTGAATATTAGTAAATGAATAATTGAATCAATAGATGAATGGCACATGCGTAAGCTTTTCATTTTTGTTGCATTTCCTGGCAAAGCTCCCTCTGTCTAGAATAACTTCTACCTTTTTGTTTCTGTAAAAATATTCTGCAGGCACTAAAGCCTAGTTAGTGCCTAGTTAGTGCCTAGTTTGTGCCTAGTTAAATCCAATATGACCGTATCCTTGAAAGTTTCCTTCATTTCTCCAGATGTCCCAAGTATAAATACAAGCAAAGAGCTTGTTATATTCTGTCTTGCAGGCTGGCAAAGATCTGTCTCCAGATCTAGACAGTAAACTTTTTAAAGAAAACCGGAGGATTTTCAAAACTGTGTGAGTTTGTAACTGAATTAGAGTGCCATAAATACTATGCTTCATAATTGACATAATTAATGTATTTTATACTTTCATAATATTGTACTTGGCTAAACTTTTAGCATATTTTTATATAATGATGCCAATTGTGATAATGTTGCACTTATACAATATATTGAGTACCATATTATTTCTTATGTTACAAAAATAATTTACCCACCATTATTCAATAAACTTAACTTTCAGTCAGCTACTTACTCTATAATGCTCATTTTTATAGGATTTATATAACCAGTTATTAATGTGTTTCAGTTTAAGTGGTACTGTGCCAGAATTCTTAAAGGAGGGCTTTTGTTCCATTACACTATGAGAGGAGTAGTTAGAGTTGAAAGAGGACAGATACAAGTGTTTCTCAGGAATGCTTACTGAACTAAAGAAAGCCAGAGACTTCTTTGGAGTGATATTTGGAAAGTAAGTTGAGAGTGCATTTCAAAGACTTGACAATACATGATGTTCCATTGTGGGTGGCATGAGGGATTTGTTTTAAATTATTTTCATTCTACTTCATTGACAATAGAGTTTTTACAAATCAGATTATGAAAAGTGTTCAGATACTCTGCCACATTTTTAATGCATTTCATCTCTAAATGATAGTGGAGAAGTAACACAATTTGCATACCGGGATCATAGTTCATAACACATTGTAATTTTTATTTTCACAGAATTAGTATAATAGTGCTGACTATGTGCTTTTTGAATAGATGAGTGAAATAAATGAATGCATAGATGATTGAATTGGTCTGTCATCAGCTGCTATGCTCAACCTCTTTAACACACTGTTCATTCAAGTAGCTGATCATACACCAATATGAATCTCCAAAAACACAATGGAGGGATGAGAGGACAGGCATAGTGTACATGGAGTGAAGAACAGAGAATCTATCATGATTTATGTACAATCATCTCCATCATTTATGACAGCATGAGTTTCTTTTTATGTAAAGATCCCTTTCATTCTAAGGTAAAGTGAAGCTGCATGCCCTGAATCACACTGAGGTCACACTTTAAATGAATGCTCTTTTGTGGTAGTTGCAGTTTGACAAGCAGAGTTGGGTCTTCTTTAATTTTATCTAGAGCCCAATATGTACAGGAATATAATATATATGTGTATACAACATACATATAAGTATATATGTGTAAACACACAAACATATATGTAATAACAGTAAATAACAAGTAATAAAGAGTGGGAGACTGCTTGAGTGTGAGACACAAATTATTATCAAATAGTATAGAGTAACCCATAAAGGACCACAGTATTTGTTTTTGAATATGTCAGTGTCCCTATAAAATGGTTAGATTTGCAATGAATGACTTGGAAGATCATCTTATTTAAAAGTATGTTTGTAAGTAGGCCCCCTAAATCTTTCTATATGATCATGCAGTCATACATCAAATACGTCCTGAGAAAGGCATCATTAGGCAATTTCATCATTGCACGAACATCATGGAGTGTACTTACACAAACCTAGATGGTAGAGCTTACTACATACCTAGGCTATATGGAATAGCCTATTTCTCCTAGGCTACAAACCTGTGTAGCATGCTACTGTAGTGAATACTGTGGGCAATTGTAAATATACAATGGTAGGTATTTGTGTATTTAAACATAGAAAAAGTACAGTAAAAATACAGTATTATAATCTTATGGGCCCACCGTCATGTATATAGTTCATTGTTGCCCAAAATGTTGTTATGTGATGCGTGACTGTGTATTTCTCTGTCTACACATACGCACACATACACACACACACGAGCACACACTTTACTGAGGTCTTAATACATAACAGTCACTCTGCTAGATTCTGAGGATACAGAGATGAACAAGACATATTTTCCTTTTTCTTTAATATTTTAAGCAAAGTTTGTTCATAAGCCTCTTATCACACTCCAGTGTCCTGTATTATCTAAAACATATTTGGCAACCTTATTTTCTCCTGATCCTTTCCCATGACAACTCTGAACTCATTAAATAAATAACATAAATTATATTACAATGAGTAGAGTCTATACTTGACATTTAAAAGACAAAACAAAACAAAACAAAAACTTTGGGCCATGGTGGAATCAATCTAAATATATCCTTTTTGCCACTAATTACTGTTTTCCGTAAGAGTAGGACTTAAGTTTTTTTACTGTAAATCCGTGTTAAATTTAAATAGCATTATTGACACTATTAAAAACAGTGTTTTCCTTTTATACATAGATATTACCAAATTACCATTCACAGGCTATGTATTGTAAGAGGTAAGTTGTTTTCCAAAGTCTGGTTGGATTTTTGGTGTTACAGTCACATGTTACCCTACCCCACATGGAACCAATGAAGCAAACCTAAGAAGGCACTTTTATAGTTAGGGATATAATGACCTGGATTCTCACCACCCTACCCCTTTCTCTAGAGACAGTAGAGACCTTGGCTTAAGAGATTCTTAGAAGGTCAGATCAAATTTAGAGAAATCTAGGAGTACTCAGGGCCCACTGTTAGTGTTTTCTTGTGGGCTCCTCTGTCTACAGCTACGTCTATCGAAAGCCTAGAAATAGACTACCTTTCTCATGGCCTTTAATCTTGAAAATGAAGAAGGGACTGGACTAGATACATTCCTCCTTTTTAAAAAAAACCATTATTGGAACCTGCATTCCTAGGTCTACCAATGGTACCAGAATGTTTTGCTTTCTGAGGGTTATCATGCAAAATAATTAGAGTGCCTACCTCTAAGCATCTGAGAGCCTCTAAAATAAAGGATAAAGAACATTTAAAGATATGTCCCTCTGCATGTGCTGTATAAAAAGAGATGCTGGCACTGGGGAAAGCGTTATTTGCTTATCTGGTTCATTTTAACCTCACAGCTTAACATTTTGATTTGTAATGTGCAAGCTACTTGGAGCTGAACTGCACATTTTTATTTAGCACTCCAGCACGTTCTTGGAACAAAGTGAACCAGCAAATGATTTTGCCCTTTCATGAATAAAAGAAGCTTTAATAAATAACATTTCATTATAACAGTATTTATGATAAATATTTTTCCATCATATAAAAATGTCAACAATTTTAACCTGAAGAATAAGAACTGCTTTGCATTCTATTGTATTTAGCAATGAACCACTAAAACCAGAACTTAAAGCAGAACTTGCTGGTATACTTAAGTACTTTCTTATCAGTTACTACATTGCTGTAATTGAAATATTGTATATAATTAAAAAATGAAAATTGCCCATTTTTAGATTAATAGTTAATGGCAATAATTATTGGCAACATCAAATGCAGAAGATCTGTTTTTAAATTAAACATTTTAGCCTCTGATTTTTTTAAAAATGTAAATATCTACAAAGTAAATATACAACCCAATTGAGAAAAAGTAAACAAATTGAACACTTGCAATGATCAATTTTTGAATAACTTAGTATATCTGAAGCATATAACCTAAATCATTTCAGTTTATCTAAATGAAGTTTTTTAAAAGATAATCTACTTTCTTATAATGCTTCTGGTTTTGAGAGTCACAATGAGATCTTTTCATCTTTGATATATAAAAGGATTATTGTCAAATATTTAATGTGATTAATGAGACTCTACTCATAAAATACACTGGAATTCAATTTATTTTAGAAGTGTTTCAGGTTCTGCCTGAAATTCATCTGGATTACTTTAAATATAATGAAATAGATACATAAGTAAACCGAAGACAGCGACTGCTCAAAGCGTTTCACATACCCTTTGTTTCTTCAATATTATACTCTGCTAGCACTCCATCAGTCCTACAAATGGGAATTTTCAATTGTCTAATTGGATCTAGGATTGGAGGCTTATGACAGAGGAGCTGCCGTATATGAATTCACATTCCCTGCTGCCTCAACCATAGTAGGGTACTTCCATATGTAGGTGGTGCATATGGTGAAAATCCATATTTATGCACATTTATAAAATTGTGGTAAGATTATGTTTTCATAGTGAGATGGAATTATAACCTTGATTGAATTATGCCTTCTGATGAAATCCAATTACTGATTTATTTGTTCTCCATAGGTTGGACATAGACATTTCTTCCTAGTCTATGTAAGAAAATTTTATATGAAGAAAGGCTTAAACAAAAAGGTTTTAAGAAAGGAGATTTCAGGTTATTACATTGTTCCTTTGTGTACAGAAAAGGCACATTGAATTTAGTCTGTTGTGCTTCAGAAAAATGATCTATTGTTCTCTCTATGGCATTATGAAGATAATATCATTACATGATTCGTGGTGGGTTTGAGTGTTTTACACTAAAATGAGTGCTCAATATAATCCTAAAGAAAAATATTAAAAATATTCACCATATGAATATTTTCAAATGTCCTGTCTAAAATAACAAAATACTTGATATATTACTGATGTTGTTAATCATTGTTAATAGTTTATTTTAAAAACAGTTTAACATTTTAATTTTAATTTATGCAATAAGTACTTTCAGTTCATTTTCCTAAACTCTTACCAGTATGGTATTTTGAAAGTGTTTGCTAGTTACCAGAAATATAAGTGTAACACAAAACAATGCAAAATATTTATCCATATGTTTGATGAGCTATTTTTGTCTTCTTACCCTAAAGTAAGTTGAAATACATCGGAGGATGGTATGTTTATCTTTTAAAATATATAATTTCTATGCACCAACACATGTGCATGGAGGTGGGGGTGGGGAGCCTGAGCTGGATAGATGATTTTTTATTTTTTCAGAAGTAATGATTAGTATGTTTTATTTTCTATTTTAGTTTTATTTTTAATTTTTATAATCACAGATATCACAGATGTTTTTCTAGATGACATCTATTCCTTCTAGTACCAACATGTATCTTGACAGATTAAGAGTTCTCTTTAGTACACATTTCATTGTATGTTGACTATGAATTTTTTATTTTTGTGTGATTGAAATGTTTTTGTTTTAACCTCACTTTTAAAGTTACTTTCATTAGCTAGAGTATTCTAGGTTGGAAATTCATTTCATTTCGGTACTTTCAAAATGCTGTTAAATTGACTTTCAACTTCTACCATTTCTGTTGAAAAGTCAGCTGTGAGTCTGATGATGCTCTTTGAGGTTAATGTGTGTTTTCTTTTTGCTGTTTTTATGTTTTCTCTTACTCTTTTATTATCAGCAGTCATCCAATTATGTGTCTAGATGGTGTCCTTTTATTTCTACTGTTTGACATTTGGACCATTTTCAAAGCATGGCTTCCTGTCTTTCATTACTTTCAGAAAAATTTTGGTCACTATCTCTTTAGATATAGCTTTGACCTTCATTTTTTCCTTCTTAAGACCTCCAAATAAAGATGTATGTAGCTTTTCACACTATGTCATGTTCTAGTAAACTGTACTTTTTCTTTTAATGCTTTTTCCATTTATTTTTGTTCTCTGTGTTGTAATCTGTATATTTTATTTACAGCTCTCTTCCCATTTATGAATCCTCTTTTTTCACCATGTCCTATCTGTAAACTGATTTATTTATTCATTTTGTATATTTTTTATTTTTAATTTTTTGTGTACATAGTAGGTGTATGTATTTATGGGGTACAAGAGATATTTTGATGCAGGCACGCAGTCAGTAATAATCACATCATGGAAAATGGGGTATCTGTTCACTTGACCATTTATCTTTTATGTTACAAACCATCCATTTATGCCCTTTTAGTTATTTTTAAATGTAAAGTTAAATGAGTTTGACTTTAGTCACAGTTGTGATATCAAATACTACATATTATTCATTCTTTCAAACTATTTTTTGTGCTCATTAACTGTCCCCACTCCCTCTCAACCCCCATTACCCATACCAGCCTCTGGTAATCATCCTTCTACTCTTTATCTCCATGTGTTCAATTGTTTTGATTTTTATATCCCACAAATAAGTAAGAACATATAATACTTGTCTTTCTGTGCTGTCTCTCTGTGTGTTCACTTAACATAATACCTCCAGTTCCATCCATGTTGTTGTAAGTAACAGGATCTCATTCTTTTTTATAGCTGAATAGTACTTCATTGTTTATATGTACCACATTTTCTTTATCCATTCATCTGTTGACGGATACTTAGGTTGCTTACAAATTTTGACTATTGTGAAAAGTACTAAGACAAACATGGGAGTGTAGATATCCCTTCGATATACTGATACGTTTTATTTTGGGTATATACCCTGCAGTGGGATTGCTGGAATTGCTGGATCATACAGCAGCTCCATTTTTAGTTGTTTGAGGCATCTCCAAACTGTTTTTCATTGTGGTTGTATTAATGTACATTCCCACCCACAATGTATGAGGGTTCCCCTTTCTCCATATCTTCTCTAGCATTTGTTATTGTCTGCCTTTTGAATAGAAGCCATTTTAACTGGGGTGAGGAGATATCTCATTGTAGTTTTGATTTGCATTTCTCTTATGGTCAATAATGTTGGGCACCTTCTTGTGTGCCTATTTTCCATTTGTATGTCTTCTTCTGAGAAATATCTATTCAAATCTTTTGCCTGTTTTTGATCAGATTATTAGATTTTTACCTATAGAGTTGTTTGAACTTCTTATATATACTAATTATTGAACCCTTGTCAGATGGGTAGTTTGAAGATATTTTCTCCCATTCTATGGGTTGCCTTTTTACTTTGTTGATTGTTTCTTTTGCTGTGCAGAAACTTTTTAACTTGATGTGATCCCATTTGTCCATTTCTGCTTTGGTTGTCTATGCTTGCGGGGTATTACTCAAAACCTTTTTTCCCAGACCAGTGTTCTGAAGCGTTTCTCCAAAGTTTTCTTGCAGTGGTTTTATAGTTTGAGGTCTCAGATTTAAATTTTTAAGCCACTTTGATTTGATTTTTGTATATGATGAGATTTAAAGATCTAGTTTCATTATTCTGCATATGGATATCCAGTTTCCCAGTATCATTATTGAAAAGACTGTCCTTTCTCCAGTGTGTGTTTTTGGCATCTTTGTTAGAAATTAGTTCACTGTGGGTGTGTAGATTTGTTACTGTGATCTCTATTCTATTCCATTTGTTTAAGTGTCTGTTTTTATGCCAAAATCATGTTGTTTTGGTTACTATAGCATTATAGTATAATTCAAAGTCAGTAATATGATTCCTCCAGTTCTGTTATTTTTGCTTAGGATAGCTTTGGCGATTCTGGGTCTTTGTGGTTGCATATACATTTTAGAATATTTTTTCAGTTTCTGTGAAGAATGTCATTGGTATTTTGAAAGAGATTGCATTGAATTTTTAGATTTCTTTGGGTAGTATGAACATTTTACCAGTATTGATTCTTCCAATCCATGAAAATGAAATATCTGTCCATTTTTGGTGTCCTTTTTAATTTTTTTCATCAGTGTTTTATAGTCTAAATTGTAGAGATCTTTCATTTCCTTGGTTATTTCATAGGTATTTATTTTTATGTGTGGCTATTGTAAATGGGATTACTTTTTATTTCTTTGTCAGATTGTTTACTGTTGGCATATAGAAATGCTACCAATTTTTGTACATTAATTTTGTATCTTGCAAGTTTATTGAATTTGTTTATCAATTCTAATAGTTTTATGGTGGAATCTTTAGGTACTATGTTGAATAAGAGTTATGAAAGCGGGCATCCTTGTCATGTTCCAGATCTTAGTAGAAACACTTTCAATTCTTCCCCATTTCTATGATACTAGATGTGGGTTTGTCATATATTGCTTTTATCATGTGAAGGTATATTGTTTCTATATGCAGTTTTTTGAGAGTTTTTATCATGAAGGATGTTGAATTTTATTAAATACTTTTTCAGAATCAATTGAAGTGATCATATGGTTTTTACCCTTTAGCATGGTTTAACCCTTTAGTTTATATGATGTATCACACTGATTGATTTGTGTATGTTGAACCATCCTTGCATTGCAGGGATAAATCCAACATGGTCATGATGAATGACCTTTCTAATGTATCATTTAATTCAGTTTGCTCATATTTTGTTGGGGATTTTTGTCTCAATATTCATCAGAGATATTGGCCTGCAGTTTTCTTTTTTTTTAATGTGTCTTTGTCTGGTCTTGGTATCAGGGTAATACTAGCCTTGTAGAATGAGTTTGGAGTTATTCCCTCCTCCTCAGTTTTTTGGAATAGTCTGAGTAGTATGGGTATCAGTTCTTCTTTAAATGTTTGGTAGAATTCAACAGCGAAGGCATCAGATCCTGGGCTTTTTTTTTTTTTTTTTACTAGGAGACTTTATTATTACAGCTTTGATCTCATTACTTATTATTGGTATAGTCAGGTTTTGGATTTGTTCATGGTTCAATTTTAGTAGGTTATATGTGTCCAGGAATTTGTCCATTTCTTCTAGATTTTAGAATTTATTGGCATGTAGTTGCTCATAACAGCCACTGATGATCCTTGGGATTTCTGCAATATCAATTGTAATGTCTTCTTTTCCATTTCTAAATACATTTATTTGGATCTTCTCTCTTAGTCAGGCCAGAGGTTTGTCAGTTTTGTATATCTTTTCAAAAAACAAACTTTTTGTTTCATTGATCTTTTGTATTTTTCTCTTAATTTCAATTTCATTTATCTTGTCTGATCTTTATTATTTCTTTTTTTCTACTAATTTTGGGTTTAGCTTGCTATTGCTTTTCTAGTTCTGTAAGAAGCATCCTTAAATCATTTATTTGAAGTTTTTCCTCTTTCTGATGTAGGCACTTACAGCTATAAACTTTCCTCTTAGTACTGCTTTAGCTGTATCCCATATGTTTTGGTATATTGTGTTTCCATTGTAATTTGTCTCAAGATATCTTTCAATTTCCTTCTTAATTACTTTATTGATGCACTGGTCATTGAGGAGCATATTATTTAATTTCCATGTGTTTGAATAGTTTCCAAAATTCCTCCTGTTATTGATTTGTAGTTTTATTCCATTGTGATGAAAGAAGATGCTTGCTATTACCTCAATTTTTTGAATGTTTTAAGACTTGTTTTGTGACTTAACTTATGGCCTGTTCCTGAGAATGATCCATGGGCTGAAGCAAGGAATGTATATTCTGCAGATTTTGGGTAAAATGTTCTATAAATATCTATTAAGCCTATTTGTCCTATAGCACAAGTTAAGTCTGATGTTTCTTTGTTGATATTCTGTCTGGGAGGTCTGTCCAGTGCCAAAAGTGGGATGTTGAAATCTCCAGCTGTGATTGTATTGAGGTCTATCTATCTCTTTAATAACATATGTTTTTCTATCTGGGTGCTTTAGAATTAGGTGCATATATATATATATATATATCTACATTGTATATATCTACATGTGTATATATATATATATATCTACATTGTATCCTGTTGCTGGATTGACTCCTTTGATATTATATAGTGACCTTCTTTATCTCTTCTTACAGTTTTTGTCTTGAAATCTATTTTGTTAGATATATGTGTAGCTACTCCTGCTTGCTTTTTTAAAATTTCCATTGGCATGTAATATCTTTTTCCAACCCTTTATTTTCAGTCTATGTGTATCTTTATAGTAGTGTGTTTCTTGTAGGCAAATAGAACATGGGGCTTTATTTTTTTATCCATTCAGCCATACTGTGTCTTTTGATTGAAAAGCTTATTCTATTTACATTCAAGGTTGTTATTGATAAATAGAGACTTACTCTACAGCCATGTGACCCTGAATTCACCCAATCTCATCTGATCTTGGAAGCTAAACAGGGTCAGGCTTGGTTAATACTTGGATGGGAGACTTACTCCTACCATTTTGTTGTTTTCTGATTGCTTTGTGGCCTTCTCTTCCTTTTTTACTGTCTTCTTTCCATGAAGGTAGTTTTCTATGGTGTTATGATTTAAGTTTTTGGTTTGTATTTTCAGGGTATCTGTTGTGTGATTTTCAATTCGAAGTTACCATGAGGCTTGCAAATATTATCTTATAATCTGGTATTTTAAATTGATGACAATACTGATTGCATAAACAAACACACAAAAGGAAAATTAATAAAAACTCCACACTTAGCTTTATTCCTCTGCTTTTTAACTTTCTATTGTTTCCCTTTATGTCATATTATACTGTCTACATAACAATTGCAGTGTTATGGTATTCTGTGTTTTACTGTGTGCTTACTATTACCAGTGAGTTTTTATCTTTAGATGATTCTTTTCTTGATCATCAACACCATTTTCTTTTAGATTGAAGAACTTTCTTTAACATTTCTTGTAGAACAGGTCTGGTATTGATGAAATCCCTCAGCTTTTGTTTGTCTGGGAAAGTCTTTACTTATCCTTCATGTTTGAAGGATAGTTTTGCTGGATATACTATTCTAGGATAATTTTATTTTTCGTTCGGCACTGTAAATATGTCATGCCACTCTCTCAGCCTGTAAGGTTTTCACTGAAAAGTCTGCTGCCAGACATACTGGGACTCACATGTATGTTATTTGTTTCTTTTCTCTTGCTGCTTTTAGGATAATTTCTTTATCCTTGACCTTTGGGAATTCAATATTAAATGTTTCAAGGTAGTTGTCTTTGGCTTAAATCTGCTAGGTGTTCTATAACCTTTTACTTGAATGTTGATATCTTTCTCTAGGATTGGGAAATTCTTGGATATTACCCCTTTGAATATACTTTCTATCCCTATCTCTTTCTCTACTTCCTCTTTAAGGCCAATATCCATTAGATTTACCCTTTTGAGGCTATTTTTTACATCTTATAAGCATACTTCATTTTTTTATTATTTTTTCTTCTGTCTCCTTTGACTGTGTATTTTCAAATAGCCTGTCTTTAACCTCACCAATTCTTCTGCTTGAGCAATTCTGCTATTAAGTTACTCTGATGCATTCTTCAACATGTGAATTACATTTTTCAACTCTAGAATTTCTGCTTGATTCTTTTCAGTTATTTTAATCTCTTTGTTAAATTTATATGATTGGATTCTGAACTCCTTCCCTGTGTTATCTGCAATTTCTTTGAGTTTCCTTAAAACAGCTATTTTGAGTTCTCTGTATGAAAGGTCACATGTCTCTGTTTCTCCAAGATTGGTCCCCAGTGACTTATTTATTTCATTTGTTGAAGTCATATATTTTCCTGCATATTCTTGATGCTTATAGGTGTTCTTTGCTGTCTGACCATTGAACAGTTAGGTGTTTATTGTAGTCTTCACAGTCCAGACTTGTTTTTGCCTATCCTTCTTGAGAAGGCTTTCCAGCTATTCACAGGGACTTGGGCCGCAAGCCCAATATCACTGAAATTTTTGCAGACTTGTAGGGGTCCTGCCTTGGTGGTCTTTAATAAGATCTGTAGTAATTCTCTGGATTACCAGGAAGAGACTGTTATTCATTTACCTCACTTTCAGGTAAACAAATAAGAGTCTCTTTCTTTCTGGGCTGACCCAGCTGGAACTAAGGGTATGGTTATGCAGGCACTTCTGTGGCCAGCAGCACTAGACTTTGTTGGGACTGACCTAAAGCCAGCACAGCACTGGGTCTTGCCCAAGGCCTGCTGTAACTGCCACCTGGCTACCACCTATGTTCACTCAAAGTCCTAGGCCTCCGCAATCGGCAGGCCAGGTTTTTATTCTTTTCCCCAGGGCAGTGAGATTCCCCAGGCTCTCGGTGACTCCAGAGATGGTTTCTGAAAGTCAGGGATTAGAGTCAAAAGTCTTAGGAATTTGCCTGATGTTCCATTCTACTGCAGCTAAGGTGAAAGTCAGACCACAATAGGAAGTCCTTCCCACTCTTCCTTCTCCTTTTCACAGGCAAAGGAGCTTCATCTGGTGGGCATCACCACCACTGGCCCATGGTGGAGTTCTGCCAGGCCACTGCTAGTGTTCACTTAATGCCCAAGAGTTCTTCAGACAGCTTGTGGTAAACGCTGCACAGCCTGGGACTCACCCTTCAAGGTAGCGGGCTCCCTTCTGGCCCAGGACAGGCCTAGAAATGCTAGGAGCCCGGGCCTGGACTCAGGGACCCCAAGTGCCTGCTTATTGCTCTGCCCCACTGTGTGCAAGCTGGTACCTAAGGTGCAAGAAAATTTCCCCTTTACTTTTCCCTCTGCTTTTCTCAAATGGAAGTCTTTTATAATAGCCACCATTGCTGGGAATCTTCTGGGTCACATCTGAAGCCAGCATGTCTCAGGGCCCAAGGCCCATTGTGTACTCTCTGGGGATCGTTGCAGGTTATTCAGTGCCCAAGAGCTCTTTAGACAGCAGGTGATGAATCTTGCCAGAACTGGATTGTTTCATAAAAGCAATGGATTTCCTTTTGGCCCAGAGTGTGTCTAGAAATGTTATCTGGAGCTAGGGCCTTGAATGCCTCTGCCCAGTACCCTCTCCTACTGTGGCTGAGTAGGTATCCACAATACAAGACAGAGTCGTCTTTACTCTTTACTCTCCACCCCCTAAGCAGAAGGAAGGGGACACTTTTGTTCCTGTGAGTTGCACTGCCTTGGGTTGGGGGAGGATGGCATAAGCTCTTCTTCAGCTGCCCCAGCTGATGTCTCCCCAGGTCACATGTCACCTTAGTCCTCTGGTTCTGAGTCCAGCCTAGCACTAGGAATTGTAGTCCTTGCATTCTAGACTGCCTTTCACATTTACCTAGGACCCCAGAGCACTTTGGCCCATGATGGCAAGACTTGTCCAGAAACTTGAGTTCTGACCACTGGGATAGGCAATTCCCACCTGGCTAGGTCTAGTTCAAATGCTCCCTCTGTGCACAGGCACTGGCTGAGTCCAGCAAGGCTTACTCTCCACTATTGCAGGGCAGCACTGAGTTCAAAGTAATGTCCACCTGTTGCTGTGCTCTCCCTCCTCCAAGTGCACAGACTTTCCTCATGTTTAGCCACTGCCATAGGATAGGGGAGGGGTGGTATCAGCAATTAAGACTGTCTCTCAGACCCTCCTCAATGCCTCTTTCAATGATATAACATTAAAACCAGGTACTGTGATTGCTCACCTGATTTTTGTGTCTTGTGATGGTACTTTTCTGTGTGCAGATAATTGTTATAATTTGGTGTTAGGAATATGAATGGTGTAGGCTTCTATTCCATCACCTTACTCCACCCTCTTAAACCAATTTATTGAATTAATAATTTCAGTTATTGAAATTTCCACTTCTAGTATTTCCATTTGATTTATTTTCTTATATTTTAGGTCTCATAAAATTTTTAAAATTTCTCATCTAATTTCTCAATATTCTTGAATATCATATTTAGTAGAAAGTCTGAGGCTGATAACTCCAATAACAGGGTTATGTGCTGGTCTGTTTGTTAAGAATTTTTAAATTAAAATGTCTCATACTTTTTTATTTAAAAGTGAAAAATGTGTATCAAGAATTGTAGAAGTTTTGTTATCTTCCTTTAGAGAGGATACATCCTGTCTACTGGAAAGCAAATAGGGTAAGAGTAAATCATCTAATCCAATCACAGGCTGGAATGACTGGAGACTAATTTTAAAATTTTACAAGACTCTATGTATTCCTTGTATGACCCTGTTCCTATGTTGTAGGACCTGTGGGGCCTGTGGGCCTTGACTTTTTAATAAGGTCTTTTCTTCCTGCAGAGTCCAGAATAATAAATTTTATCTTCTCATTTGTGTGTGTGAGATTGCTGAATATTCTGCCCTAATTTTCAGCAGCTTTCTGATAAGCATTTTACTTCTCTCTCTGCAAACAATAAGATTTTAACAAATGCCTTGGTGTGGCACATACTTTTATCTGTATGCCTTTTCACCAGGACGTGGGAATTACGTGTTCTTGTTGCCTTGACAAATGCCTTGAGAGCAAATATGGCTTGTACAAGGTCAATTCATTTCTGTGTGGTTTCCCTCTATCTGGGATGTTGGCTCCACAAGTCCTAGCTAGCTCTGCAACTCTTCTTTAAGAAAAGTTAATTTATTTTCATATTTATTTATATTTACTCAGCTTGTCTAATTGTTTTCAGAAGGAGTGTTAATTCACTACATATAATTTAATCACAGTCAAAAGCATAAGCTCTTCTTTTATATCTTAATTTTTATGTTGAAACATTTAGTCAAAATGTTTAAAAGAAAAAAATTATATTCTTATGGCACAGTAGAGATATATAATTGTACCCATAGAGAGATGAATATAGCAAAACAAAAATGTTTTAGAATCTTTAGCCAGTGCTTTTTTATTGTCACAGAAGTAATATTATTCTTGCCAAATTACCATCTTTCACATCAGGAATTAAACAACCATTTAAATCTATTTTGTATAAAATAACAAATTGTAGATAAAACTATTAATCTGGCACAAATTACTTGTAACTGAGTTCCAACTAAGAGCTCTTTCTTATTTAATAGCAAAAACATTATTAACTGAACAAGAAGTAGAGGCAGTAGCAATTTGACCTCTGCTTCATTGAGGTGACATTTTTCAGGCCTATGGTTTTCTGAGTAATCCCCATTTCTATTATTTCATGTCCATTATAAAAGGATTGGAAGGTGCTACAGCTCACTACTGCATGTGTTACAGTTTTCACTGTTTTCACTAAAATTGCCTATAAATCTTGATAGAATATATTTTATTAAAGATGCTCTGCAGATGTGGGAAACACTGTATTAGACCAGATCACATGATTTTAAGATATCATTCAAAACTGCCTGTGAGACATTGTTTCTGATTTAACCATCAGTATTGTTGCAGCTTATGGTTAATATATCGGGTAGTTTTCATATAATCCAAATTAGACACTATTTACTCTGTGAGATGTGGATTATTTGTCTTCTGTGTTGTTTCTAATGTGCACTGTAATTTTAATCTGTGCCAGATGATGCAGGAGTGAATGAGAGAAATGCCATCTTCCCAACACCGATGACCATGATTGGCTCCCAACACAGCACGGTCTCAGCTCCAGCCTGATCAAGTAAAAGTTAGGTTGTCAGTGCTGAACATTCTGAGGCTGGAGAATCCAAGTTTGTGTTTTTTGTTTTTGTTTTTGTTTTCCACAATCCCTTCCAGTTTAAGATCTGTTTTAGGCACAATGAGATCCTGTTGGACGGTCTGAGTGAAAATTCATTTAGGTTTGTTCAGAAGTTAGCGTGGATTTAGATAAAATTCTAGACTCAGTGGCTGCTTGGTCATGTCCAAGAAGGGAGGTTTCCATTTGTATTTTGGGCTGACATCCTTAATCTGTCCCTCAACCCAAAGTCTGATGACTTGGTTTTGACTTTGTTCCTCAACACTACATCTACCACCATGGGAAGGAGTTTATTGCATGGTCAAAAACAAGCTTCAGGAGAACGCACCTCACAGCCAGTCATCCTTTCCATTGGAATATCTTAGTCACAAGCACCTAGATTCATCCAAGTTGTTTTTTTGTATCAATAACTTATTATTGTTTATTGCTCAGTAGTATTTGATGGTATAGATGAATCACAGTTTCCATGTCAGTTGGGACAATGACATAATAAGCTAGATGGCATAGTAATCCAGAATCACATTTCACCTCTGAGATACCCTTCTATGAAGGGCGTGAGCCTCCATGGATGCATACCCAGCCTCCTTCCCAGGAAGCTCATAGATTTCATCTGACTGTGGGAATCTAGGTCCTGGCAATGGGCTGTAGTGGGACCTCAGCAAGTCTCTTGTCACATCTGGAGAAAAAGATAATCAAGCCTGCTTAACAGCTGTAGGGTACCATCTGCAGGACTTTAGGCATATTATCTATACTCAAGATAGTTTTGAAGGAAGAGAAGATGTTGAGAATCTCTTAAACTCAGCCCCAAAAGATCACCTCATTTCTACTTCATAGACCTACAAAAGCATGTTAGTTCTTAATTCTTTCAAACTTCAGTGCTTTCTTTACTCCCCACATACCTTTTATATTTGACAGAAAGGCATTATTCCACTTTTTCTTCATGAGTACTGATGACCAGGACCACCTTCTCACAGATTTCCCTGGTCTGCTTGAAGTTGTTCTTGATAATAATTTCAGTAACCTTTTGATCATCTCCTAACTAGGCTTGCGTTTCTCCAGATGATGGGATGAGGGTGTGTGTGTGTCATATTGGAGAGACCTACTTTGCTCCGATTCTGGTCTTCTCAGTGGAAACTTCAAGCTCACTTCTGTCTGCAACTTGATTTTCCCTCTATCTATGTGCTCTTACAAGCATCAAAAATGATTATGAATGAAGAAATAAGTCAGGAATCGGAATTCCTTCCCCTCCAGTTTTCCTTCACTGCCTGCTATCTCTTTTTGTCATAATGTTCTATGGATGGTGCTGTGATAGCAGTTGGTATACAATGGTTTTTATATTAAAGTTTTTTGATGGACAAAAAGATATACTGTACATTTTTACTATTGATATTATTTTTGATTGATAAATCATAATTTTATGCATTTAAGATATTTAATGTGATGTCTTGATATATGTATACAATGTATAATGTCTATGTTAAACTAATTAATATATTAATCACCTTATTTATCTATTTTCTTTATGGTGAAACATTTGAAATGTACTCTATTACAGATGCTCCTCAGCTTATGATGGGCTTATGTCCTGACAAACTCATTTAAGTTGAAAATATTGTAAATCTAAAAGGCAAACTCATGTAAAGTTGAAAAATCATAACTTGAACCATTGTAAGTT
The DNA here is from genome assembly GCF_000001405.40 of Homo sapiens. Lineage (NCBI taxonomy): Eukaryota > Metazoa > Chordata > Mammalia > Primates > Hominidae > Homo > Homo sapiens. The sequence goes on along the minus strand of NC_000013.11, from coordinate 37,848,023 downwards.
GTAGGCCATCTGTACTTTGAAATGTAGCATACATTATTATTAAGTATAATCACTCTTATGTGCAATAGATCCCAAAACCTTATCTCCTATCTATCTGAAACTTTGTACTGTTTGGTCACCACCTCCCCATTTCCTTCAGCTTCCCTGCTTATCCTCTGGTAACCATCATTCTACTCTATTTCTGTGAGTTCAACTTTATGAGTCCACTGTATATATTTGTGGACTTCATAAGGTCCACTTTATCCATCTATAAATGAGATCGTACAGTATTTGTCTTTCTTTGCTTGGCTTATTTCACTTAGCATAATGTTCTCCATGTTGTTGCAAATCTCCACTTCCCCTTTTTAAATATTTATTTTATTTTCATTAATCATTGAGGCAGAATTGTACATATTCATGGGGTGCATTGTGATGTTCTGATACATCTATAAATTTTATAATGATCAAATTAGGGAAATTAGGATATTCATCAACTTAGGACTGCCTTTGCTCCATTCCATAGGTTTAGCATGTTGTGTTTCCATTTTAATTTGTCTCAAGGTATTTTTAAATTTCCTTTTTGATTTACACTATGACCTGTTGGTTATTTAGGAGCATGTTGTCCAATTTCCACATGCTTGTGTATTTTCCTAGATTTTTTCCTATTATTGATTTCTAATTTTATATCATTGTGCTCTGAAAAACCGCTTGATATGATTTCAGTTCTCTTAAATTTGTTAAGATTTGTTTTGTGGCATAATATGTGATCTATCCTGGAGAATGTTCCATATGCACTTGAGAAGAATGTGAATCCTGTTGCTGTTGAGTAGAATATTGTAGATATTTCTGTCAGGTACGTGTGATCTAAAGTATAATTCAAGTCCATGTTCCCTTATTTATTTTCTGTCTAGATGCTCTATTTTTAAAAGTGGAGTATCGAGGCCCCCTATTATTATAGTATCTTTCTTTAGATAATTTAATAATTGCTTTATGTATTTATGTTCTCAGATGTTGGGTGCATATATATTTACAATTGTTATCTCTTCTTGGTGAATCAATTCCTTTATTATTATGTAATAACCTTTTTGTCTTTTAAAAATAACATTTGACTTAAAGTCTATTTTGTCTAAGTGTAACTACTCTTATTCTCTTAATTTCCATTTGTGGGAAATACTTTTTTCCAATCATTTCACTTTTAATCTGTGTGTATCTGTACTAGTAAAGTGAGTCTCTTATAAGAAAATATGGTTGGATCTTGTTTTTTAATCCATTCAGCCAATCTATGTCTTTTTATTGAAGAATTTAATCCATTTACACTTGAGGTAATTACTGGTACATAAAAACTTGTTGCTGGCATTTTTTAATTTGTTTTTTGATTATTTTATATGTTTTTTTTTCTTCCTCTCTTTCTGTCTTCATTTGTGGTTTGATGGTTTTCTGTGGCGGTATGCTTTGAACCCTTTCTTTGCATATTTTGTGCAACTACTGGGGGTTTTTGCTAAGTGGGTTACCAGGAAATATCCTGTAACAGACTACTTTAAGCTGGTAACAACTTGCTTTTAATTCCATATAAAGACTCTACACTTTCACAACCCCACACATACTTTTTATTAATTTAATGCCAAAATTTACATTCATTTTTGTAATTTGTATTTCTTAGCAATTTATTGTTGCTGCAATTATTTTTAATAATTTTGTCTTTTAATTCTCCTAGTAGAGATAAAGTTGCTTTACACACCACCCTTACAATATTAGAGAATTCTGAGTATGACCACATATTACTTCTACCATTGGGATTTATTTTTAATTTTAAAATGTTATTTTAATTATTCATTAGTAGCCTTTCATCTCACCTTAAAGAACTACTTTTAGCAATTCCTATAAATCACGCCTAGTGGTGATGTATGCTCTTAGCTTTTGTTTGTCTGGGAAAGTTTTTATTTCTTTCTCATTTCTGAAACATAGCTTTATTTGGTAAAGTATTCTTGGTTGGCCATTTCTTTTTATTCCTTCAGCACTATTAATATAGAATTTGCCTCTCTTCTGGCCTGAAGTGTTTCTGCTGACAAATCTGCCAAAAGCCATATTGTGCCTCCACTGAATGTGATGTTTCTTATCTTTTGCTGCTTTCAGTATTATTTCTTTGTATTTGATTTTTGATAATTTGATTATAATGTATCTTGGTGATGTCCTCTATGGGTTGAATTTGATTGGCAACCTGTGACTGAGATGCCTGTACCTGGATGTTGTTGTCTTTCCCCAGATTTGGGATATTTTTAGCTATTATTTTCTCAAATATGCTTTCTAGGCTTTTTTCTCTTTCTTTTTCTTCATGAATTCCTACTATGCAAAAGTTAGTTTGCTTTATGGTGTTCCATAATTCCTATAGACCCTCTTCATTCTTTTTCATTCTTATTTATTTATTTATTTATTTTTGCTCCTCTGATCGATTGGATAATTTCAAATGTCCTCTGAGCTCACTGATCTACTTGATCAAGTCTGCTATTGAAACTTTCTATTTAATTTTTTAGTTCACTTTTTGTATTCTTTAGCTCCAGAATTTATGGCTTCATAATTTTTTATTATTTATGTTTCTTTGCAAGCTTCTCATTTTGTTTATAACTTTTTCCCAAATTTTACTTGATTTTCTATCTATATTTTCTTGGAATTTCCTGAACTTCTTTGAGTAGTGTTCTGAATTTTTTGTTAGTCATTTTATAGATCTCCATTTCTTCTGGGTCCATCAGTAGAGCTTTATTAACTTCTTTTGGTGGTGCCATATTTCCCTAATTTTTCATCATCCTCATGTACTTACATTAATGCCTCCACATTTGAGGAGATGGCTATTTCTTCTAGCCTAGTCTAGCTTAAAAATTCTAGATGAGACAGCTTGTAGCGACCCCAAACAGACCTTAAGGTTGGGTTCTCTAATTAGACTGGGTGGATTCTTGTGCTCTGAATTTGAATGGTATTTCTAACTGTTCTCCATGGTTCAGTGAGGCTACTATCTGGACTCTGCCATCAAGTAGAGCTGCTGGCTGGGCTCTGCAGTCATCTCTGATCAGACAGGTTTGCAGGTTGTCTTCCATGGCTGGGTGGCACTGCTATTTGAAATCTGCAGTTGGGAAGGGCCATTTGCTGGGATCCAAGGCTGGTGAAGTACCTAGGATTGCTGCTTGGTCACAGAAGTAGGCAGAGCCAGAGGCTATGCTTTACAGATGTGCATGGACTTAGACTTGCCTGCTGGCTTAATGTGAGCTGAAGAAGAGTATCACGGTTTTGTGGAGTTACTGGTTTACATGCAGTTGCTGGTTTTTGGCAGTACTAGATGATCTATTCACGGGTACTCACTGACCTGCATTTGCCTCTCACCTAGAAAAAGCTTAACGAGAGCATCTGGGCTGGGTGGAAAAGCTGGCTAGGGATTCAAGCCTGAAAGATCCATGAACTGGCGTGGAGCAGTGGCTCACACCTGTAATCCCAGCACTTTGGGAGGCTGAGACAGGTGAATCGCCTGAGGTCAGGAGTTCGAGACCAGCCTGACCAACATGGCAAAACCCTGCCTATACTAAACATACAAAAATTAGCTGGGCATGGTGGTGCATGCCTGTAATCCCAGCTACTTGGGAGGCTGAGGCAGGATAATTGCTTGAACCTGGGAGATGGAGGTTGCAGTGAGCCGAGATTGTGCCATTGCACTCCAGCCTGGGCAACAAGAGTGAAACTCTGTCTCAAAAAATAAAGAAAGAAAAAAAAAAAGAAAGACCTGTGAACCATGTTTCCTGTAGTGTGATGCTGTCAGCTAGTCTCTCTGGTTTGACACCATTATCAGCCCAAATATAGAGTAACTACCAAGGTCTGCAAGCTGGTCACTATTAGCTCTATCTCTGTTCTTTGTTTCTAACTAAACTCAGGTAATCTAGCCATGCTGGCATTTCCAATGTTTCCCATGGGATGAGACAGATATCAGTCTCCTGAAAGGGTTCCAAAATTGTAGGGAAACTTAATGTTTGCTTCCAACTTATTTTTCCTACTGTAGAAACTGTGGGTTCAGGAAAAATCTTAGTGTGTGTTCCTGTGCCAGCTTGGGAGAGGGGTGGCACAATCAAGGAGAATCATTCATCTTACCATTGGGATCAAAATTTTCTCAGTGCTTTGGTCCAAAGAAAGGAGTGTCCTTGACTCACTTCCAAGGTGTGGGATATTCAGAATTATCTTCTTGCCTGCGGATAGTTGCTGGTTAGATTTCTGTGGTAGGTAGGAGAGAGTGAAGCTGGAGAACTCCTATTCTGCTGTCTTGCTAACACACTACTCTGTGTGTGCATGTGTGTATGTGTGCGTGTGTGTGTGTGTGTGTGTGTGTCACCAAACATCAGTTGAAGACATAGTTCTGTAACACTATACCTGGACACCCTCAGGACTGAAATCATTTTTGTGCCATTAAGCAGTTGATATATTAACACTACTGGGTTCAATTTTCTTGAGTATTTTGTAAAGAATCACATACTAAATGTAATATCTTTTCTGCAAACCTTCTTCTAGTCTCTAGTTTTGTGTTACTGCATTGAAACTTAAAGTCACATTACAATCCCCAAAATACATAATTGTCATGCTAAGTTGCTAACTGACTTTTAATGATTCTGTAATTCCAAATAGCTAAAAGCATGTGAAGTTTAAGGAGCTCCAATAATGGCTATAACTAGGTTTTCCAACTTTCTTCTGAAAATGGTAGCAAAGTAACAAAGTTAACATTTGATGAGTGACTAGTCTGTGGTTGGCCCTATGCTGAATGATTTACTTGCATTATTTTATATTATTACCCTCATAAAACATCATCATTCCTACTATACAGATGACAAAACTAGTTCTAGAATGGTTAAATAACTTTCTAAGGTCACACAATTAGTATGTAGTACAACCATAAATTCAACCCAAACTTCACAAATTCCAAAGCCAAGTTTATTAACCATTGTGCTATAATGCAAGTTTGAAGTCTGGAACATCTTCATGTACTCATATTAATCACTGAGCAGCCTTTGTTTTTCTTATCAGCCTTAGCAGGTATGATATCTTGTTTCCAAGCTTTTAAAAGCTTTATAGCATTTGCTAAAGTGTTCATTTTTGAAGGACTAGATTTAATTACAGCTGTACAGCGTCTAGGAAAATATAGCATCCTTACTCTTTTCGTTCCATTTCTCATCCTTATTTATCAATGTCTGGTTTCAAAAAGCTCTATGACCTGAATATTTCCCTCTAAAAATTTATATGCTGAAATCTTAACCCTGAAAGTGATGGTATTAGGAGGTGAGGCCTTTGGAAAGTTATTGGGTCATGAGGGGTCTACCCTTATGTGATTAGTGCCATTACAAAAGTTCCCTAGAGAGCTACCTGCTCCTTTCACCATGTGGGAACACAGCAAGAAGGTGCCATCTATGAACTAGAAAGTTGGGCCTCACCAGACTTGCCGCTACCTTAATCTTGAACTTCCCAGCTTTCATAGCTATGAGATAAAAATTTTGTGCCTTATAAGCCACTCAGTCTATAGTACCTATTTCAATACAACAGCTACAGAAACAAAGATAGGAAGAATCACCAACTCTTTCTTTTTCTTTTTAAGAATATTTGAATTGTGTTTATTCTAAGATCTGCCCCCGATTTATACTTTTCCTTTTCCTTTTTTTTTTTTTTTTTTTTTTTTTTTGGCTAGACGCTATCATTAATTGCTAGAAACCACTAATGTGTTTTCCATCTGTATAAGGTTTTTTTTTTTTTTTTGAGATTGAGTCTTGCTCTGTTGCCTAGGCTGGAGTGCAGTGGCGAGATCTCCACTAACTGCAACCTCTGCCTCCTGGGTTCATGCATTTCTCCTGCATCAGCCTCCCGAGTATCTGGGATTACAGGTGTATGCCACCACACCCAGCTAATTTTTGTATTTTTAGTGGTGATGGGGTTTCACCGTGTTGGCCAGGCTGGTCTCAAACCCCTGACCTCAAGTGATCCACCCACCTTGGCCTCCCAAAGTGCTGGGGTTACAGGCATGAGCCACTGTGCCTGGCCATAAGTTTTCTTTTTCTTTTTGAGACTGTAATATAAATAAAATTTTATGATTTTAAGATGTCTGTTTGAATGTAAGTCTTCATTTATCTGGGATACCTGTCCAGAGTATAATTTAATTGTTGAGTCACATGATAGTGGCATGCTTCATTTTTAAAGAAACTGTTTTTTAGAGCAGTTAGTTGTAACATTTTGCATACCTGCTAACAATGCATGAATGATTTAGTCTGTTCACCTCCTCACCAGCATTTAGTGTCATTACTATATCTTATTTTAGCCATTTTTATAGTAGTGATATCTCATTGTGGCATTATTTTGTATTTCTACAATGGCTAATGATGTTAAACATCTTTTCATGTGCTTATTTGTCATCTATAGATCACCTTTCAGTAAAGCTTCTCTTTCTGTTTTTTGAATATTTTCTAATTGTTTTTATTTAGTGTTAAAGTTTTATATTTCTTTATGCATCCTAGATATTAGCTATTTATTAGATATGGGATTTGTACATGTTTTCAAGTCTGTAGCTTGTCATTTCATCCTCTTAACTAGAAATGTTTAAATTTTAATGAAATCTAACATTGATATTTGTTCTTTTACACCACTTTTATTTTTAAAAAGGAAAAGGTAAGGAACCGAGAAAACAAGGATTTACCCAAATTTTTGCAGGAAAGAAAATCAGGTTTTTGCTTCATTAATTGCTTATAGTGAGGTGTTCAATAGATGGGTATGCCAACCATCTTTTCCCTATTAGCTTATCCCTAGACTATTCTTATTTCTGTTGATATACAGATTTAGCATAAAATATTTTCTTGTATAATCTTGATTAAATCCTTACTTGCTCATTGTGATCCTCTGTAAATCACCTGTTATTATTATAAACAAGCACAATTTCAACTACTTTTAAATTTTATTTTATATTATTACAAAAGTATTGAGAATGCATCAGTTTTAACCAATAATATAAAATTTTTGGCTTTGTGCTGATTAGAATTAGGTGGGTTTGTGTTGAATTCTATATTCAAAGTGAATTAATTACTTGAATAGCAAAAATAATACCATTAGGAATGACACTGAATTTGTAGAGAAGGAAATTGATTCCTAGACCAGAACTTGGCTCTGCAATGAACAATATTAATATGGTTATTTTAGTGTAATAAAATTTATTGTTTTCCGATGATAGACTCAAATCAACAAAAGATGGAAGGCCAACTTTTGGTGGCTGAACATGCTGGGAATGTTATAAACTTGAAAATGTAAAAATAAATTTATAGTTCACTAATGTTAGAAAGTAGCTGTTAAAATGAGACTAGAACATTAAACAGGAATTTATTAATCTTTTTAAATAATAATATTATAACATATATAACAGTTTGGAACATATAAAACTGCCTATATTTGATAATTTTGCCTATAAAAATGTTGACTTCATATGATTAAAGTTAATACTAAAATAATTATCAACATTAGAGGGAGGAGATAGAGAATGATGAGAAGGGATGGTATAAGTGAATGAAGTCTTCATGATTCTGGCAGGACATTGATATAAAAGGGTCTAAGGAATCATATTAAAAGAGTTTTCCTACAAAGATTATCCTTTATAGTTATTACATTTATTATACCAATTAAATTCAGTTTGTAACTGTCTAAATACTTTTAAACAAACTCTTTCAAACACATCTTTGAATAATAATTGTACTAAAGATTTTTCATTTTTTTATTACCCTCCTCATTTGCAGCATTGCCTTTCTACAGCCCATTGGCTGAAAAACCTAGAAAGTTGTGCCAGATACCTAACAAGAGAAACACTAAAGAAGGAGAATTAAATAATTGATGTGATTTATTCTGTAATCAACCTCTATTATATTCAATTTGATATATCTTCCTGGAGTTTCCACTGACATAACCAGTAAACAAATTTTCAGAGGAAAACACAAAAAATGCATATTATTTTCTGCTTGCAAAAATTCTGTTTAGAGTAAAATTTGTGTCTGAAAATTAATTATTGATGATCCAATAAAAGGATCATGTTTCAGACCCAAATGTGATTGTTTTTACAGTAAATTATGGCAGGAGGATAGAATACTTGGTTGATGGAATATTAGGGTTAACAGCATTTGAGAAAAATAATAGCATGATAATTTTTCTGTGACAGACACTTTCACAATGTCTTTCATTTGACTTGTCTGAAGCCACCCCAATTTTTCTAGGGGAGTTGATTAAAAGCCTCAGATTTGATGCTACATAGATTCCAGTTTGAATCTTGATCCTCATATTCAGGAGCTGAGTAACCTAGTATAAGTTACCTAATATCTGTAATCCCCAGGTTTCTCATCTATAAACTGAAACTAAGAATATCTATCTGACAGTGCAGTTGGTAAGATATAGAAAATAAATCACAATGCTTGGTACATAATGATCCCTCATTAAATGACAGGATAATATCTAATGATTTATTATTGAAACCGAATTATTAAAATTGAGTTAAAGCTCTCAGGTGGTTTCCAAATTGATTGACTGTAACTTTTTCATTGATATCATGTTCTCTTTAATGACTAGAGACATAGATTAACCCTGGATGTGCCTGTATTATAAAACAAGTAATGTCCTTGACTCTGACGATGGTATCTAAGCTTTAAAGAAAGAGATGTAATTAGAGTGCAAATTTGGAGGCCAGGAACTCATCACCTTTACTATAGTCCTTACTACCTGGTTTTCGGTAGAGCAAGGACTCCACAAAGGGGGAGAACAGAGGAAAAGCAGGCACATGATGGCTCTAGGAGGGAATGCGAATAGCTACAAGGTATCAAGGCATCCTGTTGGTAGAAATCCCTGGGAATTCCTCTTGGTACTGCCCTAGCAGTAATAAAATATCAATACTACTACTTGTCAATATTGATGGAGCATATACTATGTAGTCACTACGTTGAAATCTTTCTGAATATTATTTAATTCTCAGACTAACTTTATAAGATATATATAAGAGCATGATATCAGATGTACCAGAGTCCATCTCAGCTCTATCTCTTAGTAGCTGTGTCACCTTGGTAGATTATGTAACTCCTTGAGGACTCTTTTCTTCTTCTGTAAATGGGGAACTTTTCTTGATAATTATAATCGTGGACAGAAGTACTGAGGCTTAAGAAAGACTCAAGACCTCCCAGCAAAGCAAGTATATGCAAATGTAGAATATGGTTTTAGGTGTATATATATTCTTAACTTTCCTTTAATGCTTCTCTCTATACAAGAGTAAGAATATACCTAAAATATGGTACATAGAGAAGTGAATATTGTGTATATATTGATTAGAGTCAGGGCAAGTAAAAGGTAAATTTAGTACAATGGAATCATTTTGATACTTTTGATTTTAAAATAGGTAAAAGTTCTAAATTTTTACTTACTAAAAAAGAAATCATCTGAGTTATTTCATTCAAATGACATATTTTAGTAATTATTAAGTGCAAGACAGTATTTATATGGACTGTGTGAACAAGATCACTTATGAAAAAAAAATATCCTGTGGTCGACTTTAACTCTGCCTTTGTGACTTGTACTTCAGTGTGTCTGTTTTTATAAAAAGGTCTAGAATCAAAATCTGTTACTGTCAAACTAGAGTTCATCAGATTGCTAGGCTATGCCCCAAAGTGTTGGATTAGTGGGTGAGAGGTAGAGCATGTGAATTTGCATTCCTAATAAGTTCCCAGGTGACACAGATACTGCTGATCTGGAGACCACACACTAAGAACAGCTGGCTCAGATCAATGGTTCTCTATTTTAATGTTGCAGTATTTCCATGTGGTTGGATAAGAAGTTTGGAATATGTGTTAGTCCATTTTCACACTGCTGGTAAAGACATATCTGAGACTGGGCAATTTACAAAAGAAGTAGGTTTAATGGACTTACGGTTCCATGTGGCTGGGGAAGCCTCAAAATCATGGTGGAAGGCAAGGAGGAACAAGTCACGTCTTACATGGATGGCATCAGGCAAAGAGAGAGAATTCACTCAGGGAAACTCCTCCTTCTGAAACCATCAGCCCTCGTGAGACTTATCCACTGTCACAAGAATAGCATGGGAAAAATTTGCCCCCATGATTCAATTATCTCCCACTGGGTCCCTCCCACAACATGTGGGAATTCAAGATGAGATTTGAGTGGGGACACAGCCAAACCATATCATGCCACCCCTGGCTCGTCCCACATCTTATGACCTCACATTTCAAAACCAATCATGCCTTCCCAACAGTCCCCCAAAATCTTAACTCATTTCAGCATTAACTCAAAAGTCCACAGTGCAAAGTCTCATCCAAGATAAGACAAGTCCCTTCCACCTATGAGCCTGTAAAATCAAAAGCAGCTTAGTTATTTCCTAAATACAGTGGGAGTACAGACACTGGGTAAATACAGCCATTCCAAATGGGAGAAGTTGGCCAAAAAGAGGCTACAGGCCCCATGCAAGTCTGAAATCCAGTGGAGCAGTCAAATCTTAAAGCTCCAAAATGATCTCCTTTGACTCCAAGTCTCACATCCAGGTCATGCTGAGGTAAGAGGTGGGTTCCCATGGTCTTGGGCAGCCAAGCCTTTGCAGGGCACAGCTTCCCTCCTGGCTGCTTTCATGGGCTGGCATTGAGTATCCACAGCTTTTCCAGGCACATGGTGCAAGCTGTTGGTGGATACACCATTCTAGGGTCTGGAGGAAGGTGGCCCTCTTCTCACAGATCCACTAGGTGGTGCCCTGGTAGGGACTCTGTGTGGGGGATCTCACCCTACATTTTCCTTTTGCACTGCCCTAGCAGAGGTTCTCTATGAGGGCCCTGCCCCTGTAACAAACTTCTGCCTGGGCATCTGGGTGTTTCTATACATCTTCTGAAATCTAGGTGGAGATTTCCAAACCCCAATTCTTGACTTCTGTGCACTGGAAAGCTCAACACCATGTGGGAGCTGCCAAGGCTTGAGGCTTGCACCCTGTGAAGCCATGGCCTGAGCTCTATGTTGGCCCCATTCAGTCATGGCTGGAGTGGCTGGAACTAAAGTCACCAAGTCCCTAGGCTGCACACAGCACAGCGACTCTGGGCCTGGCCCATTAAACCACTTTTTCCTCCTAGGTCTCTGGGCCTGTGATGGGAGGGGCTGCCATGAAGACCTCTCACATGTGCTGGAGACATTTTCCGCATTGTCTTGGGGATTAACATTTGGCTCCTTGTTACTTATGCAAATTTCTGTAGCCAGCTTGAATTCCTCCCCAAACAATGGGATTTTCTTTTCTAACACATTGTCAGGCTACACATTTTCCAAACTTTTAGGCTCCATTTTCCTTTTAAAACTGAATGCCTTTAACAGCACCCAGTGCTTTGCTGCTTAGAAATTTCTTCCAGCAGATACCCTAAATCATCTCTCTCAAGTTCAAAGTTCCATAAATCTCTAGGGCAGGGGCTAAATGCCACCAGTCTCTTTGCTAAAACATAACAACGGTCACCTTTACTCCAGTTCCCAAAAATTTTCTCATCTCCATCTGAAACCACCTCAACCTGGATTTCATTGTCCATATCACTATCAGCATTTTGGGCAAAGCCATTCAACGAGCCTCTAGGGAGTTCCAAACTTTCCCATATTTTCCTGTATTCTGAGCCCCCCAAACTGTCCCAACCTCTTCCTGTTACCCAGTTCCAAAGTTGCTTCCACATTTTCAAGTACGTTTTCAGCAGTGTCTCATTCTTGGTACCAACTTACTGTATTATTTTGTTTTCATGCTGCTGATAAAAATATACCCGAGACTGGGCAATTTACAAAAGAAAGAGGTTTAATGGACTTACAGTTCCACATGGCTGGGGAAGCCTCACAATCAGGCAGAAGGCAAGGAGGAGGAAGTCACATCTTACATGGATGGCAGCAGGCAAAGAGAGAGAACTCGTGCAGGAGAACTCCTCTTTATGAAACCATCAGATCTCTTGAGACTTATTCACTATCATGAGAACAGCATGGGAAAGACTTGCCCCCATGATTCAATTACCTCCCACTGGGACCCTCCCACAATATGCAGGAATTTAAGATGAGATTTGTGTGGGGGCAGAGCCAAACCATTTCAGTACAAATAATTCATTATTAAATATAAACTAGAAATTTTGAGAAAAGAAGTAATTAAATGTTAGAGCATATTTGTATTTACCCTTGTTATATTGTTCCTGATGTATTAACCAATATATTGGGAATTGTGCATACGAGTATGCTGTACATACTAATGTCATGCACCTTATGTGTTGAATCTAAAAATAAGCTTGAGAATAGCTAGGATACAAAACATTTGTTATCTTCCTCTTTTTTTGGCTACTCACTTATACCTTTTATCTTTCTTTGTCACTGTCATGTCAAAGTTTCCAGTGACTTCTGCTACGTCACTGTCTGCACACGTCTTCCTTTCTCTACTACTCCTGTCAGTATCTTGGGTGTTCTCAGTAGCTAGTAAGACAGAGAAGGAGGAAAGACATGTGACAGGATATGCAAGAATAAAGAAACCCATGGTGTTTGTACAGCATCATAAAGATGCAAGAGCAAGAAAGATGCAAGTAGCAAGATGTTGGACAAGAGTGCAGGTAAAGCGTGTTGCCTTTAGCAGAAACAAGCATACATGAACCATTAATACCAGAGAGAGAAATGGCTGTGAATGGAGGACACTGGACATTCATAGGTCATATTTTACAATGAACGCCCTCAGAAGGAGGAAGTAGTAATTTTTTGAAGGCATGAAGTTAAAATGAAAAGTTATTAAGAGCCACCGAAGAGAATGAAACAGTCAGCCGACTGAAGCAAGTAAAACTGACTACCAACTTTGAAAGGATAATTGTTGCTAGAAAACAGGTTTCATATTGGCAAACATTCCAATGTGCTTTTATTTTGTTTTGTTTTGTTTTTCTTCCATCGACAATATGCAGGATTTAAAAAAAAAATTAAAAAAAAAAACAGGCTGGGCCTGCTGGTGGTTCATGCCTGTAATCCCAGCACTTTGGGAGGCCAATACAGGCAGATCACTTGAGGCCAGGAGTTCAAGACCAGCCTGGCCAACTTGGTGAAAACCCATCTCTACTCAAAATACAAAAGTTAGCCAGGCATGGTGGCACATGCCTGTACCCCCAGTTACTTGGGAGGCTGAGGCAGGAGACTCAAGAATCACTTGAACCCAGGAGGCAGAGATTACAGTGAGCCGAGATTGTGCTGCTGCACTCCAGCCTGGGGTGACAGAGCGAGACTCTGTCTCAAAAAAATGTAATAAATAAATAAATAAATGGAGAGTGAGATAAACTCAAGATTGATCCAAGTATGTTGGAGAAACCAGAGTGCATCTCATTTACTGTACTCATCTAAAGGTTCTGTCATGGAAACTATGTCAATGAGAAAACATAACACAATAAGTATGGCAAGAACATATTCTTGCATGTCAGAATTTAGTTGGGAATTTATGAGGAAAGTAATCTTTTTCAATGTGACAAGTGTTTGTGGTTTAGAGTTCATAGAAAATAATTTTGAAATAGCTTGATCATTTTTGACCCACTTTCAGTAATATAATTCACACGTAAACAAAAACCCAGTGGGCAAAGTTTTGATTCTTTAATGTATTAAGTAGGAACTTTCCTTAACTAAAAACATAAAATAGTCAAAATCAATTGAAAGTACATGTGACTTAAAGTATTCAAAAACAACACATAATTTAGGTTAGGAAACAATTAGAATTTGGAAGGATGCATAAGAGTGAAAAAATTAAATGTTTTGTCAATATTGTACTCAGAGTCTTGAAAAGAAGATAGCTATGTAGAACATTTATAAACAGTGTTTATGTTTTAAGTGAAATATGTGCCGAAATTTATGTAATATCTGGGACAGATAGACTATTGGCATGAACTCATATTGCAGTTTCTGAATATGTCACCTGATGAACTAAATTTATGTGAAAAATGCAAATATAGCATGAAGATAAATAGTATTCCAATGAATAAAAAATATTAAGGTATCATGATTTATTAGCTCAGTTATAGAAAATGCAAGTATAACCGCTACACTTGATAGCAGTTTCTTGTTTGAAGATAAAACTGTACTGTCAGACTACTCTTCTTAGCTAAAATACAAAGACAATAAAAAAATTTAAAAACTATATCCTCCATTTTTTTGTTAAAATTAGAAAACAGCTAAGATCCTGGAAAGCCAAATGGGTGGATGGTTTTGTGAAGGCTGAATGAAGACTGAGTAGGATGCATTGAGAAAAGGCCCCACAACCACAGATCTCCTAAGAGTCCAGCTAAATTATTCTTCTGACAGTTGAGGCGCAAAACCCCGAGATGCCAGAAATATCTTACTTCTTACCATAAAATTAGGTTTGCAGGTGCATCTGCAGGTGGCAGCTGATGTTCTAGACCCAAAGGCAAGGCTAAGTAAAGAACCACTCACAGGAAGCACAGTCTGTCTCTTTGACAGAGCAGGAGGAGAGTATCTTTTCATTTTTAAGATCGTCAGCTGCCCATCTTCACTAGTAGGAAAGACGTTAACAGCTAAGTGAATTAATGGGCAAAACTCTGTATCCTAAGAATATGCCCAGATGGTTGTGAAAGTCGTTGTGGTACTTTTCAATCAGGTGAATGCCGTATCAAATAGCTTGTCCAAGCAAAACTTCTTTTAGATAATTTTTTTTTCTATAACTGAGCTCATAAATCATGAGTTCAATGATGAGTTAAGAAAGAAAAAGTACAGAAGCTTTAGAAATATAATGCAGGAAAATAATCAGAAAAAATTGGCAGAAAATAAAATAGGAGATGAAGAATGCATGCCAGAAACATAGAATGAGAAGCAGAAGAAAATGGCATTTTACTATGAATTTTTAAAAATCTCTGTGAAGCAAAAGCACCAAATCAATAATGAAGGAGCTTAGGAAGAGATAAACAAGAAAAAAGAACTATGAACTGGCAGAGTGCAGCAAGGAAATGAAATAAATAAAATGAATCCAGGAAAAGAGAGAAATTATAAGAAGCAGGACTCGATACTGCTGAAAACAAAGTAATAGACATAGTAGGATAAATAAAAACACATCTAACATGAAAATAGTTTAGCATAAAGTTTTTAAAGGGTTTAGAGGTTAATCAATAGATACATACTGTAGTTTTCTATTGACTAGAGTTAGCATGGTGTGCCCTTTCCACCTTTTTACTTTTAACTGTTATCTTTACATTTAAAGCATATATTTTGTAAACAGTATATAGTTTGATCTTATTTTTTATTCAATATAAACATCTCTATCTTTTCCTTGGGTGTTTATAATTTTAAATTTTTGTAATTATTGATTTTAATATGTCCTGTTCGTTAGATTTAATTGAATCATCTAACTATTCGATTCCTATTTGTTTCATGTGTTCTTTATTTACTTGTTTTGGTCTTCTTTCAGATAAATTGAGTTTTTGTTGTTGTTGTTGTTGTTTTTGACGGAGTCTTGCTCTGTCACCTAGGCTGGAGTGCAGTGGCATGATCTCAGCTCACTGCAACCTCTGTCTCCCGGGTTCAAGAGATTCTACTGCCTCAGCCTCCTGAGTAGCTGGGGCTACAGGTGCACCGCCCAGCTAATTTTCTTTTTTATTTTTAGTAGAGTCAGGGTTTCACCATGTTGGTCAGGCTGGTCTTAAACTCCTGACCTCAAATGATCTGCCCGCCTCAGCCTCCCAAAGTGCTGGGATTACAGGCTACAGCGCGTGGCCAAATTGAGTATTTTTTAGTGATCTAATTTTCTCTCATTTGTTGGCTTAAAAACAACAATATCGTGTCATTTAAAAAATTATTTTACTGTAATTTACAAATAATGATTGCATATATTTGTGGGGTACAATGTAATGTTGTGTTACAAATATACCTTGCGGAATGTTTGAGCAGGCTAATCAATATATTTATTACCTCACCTACTTATCATTTCTTTTTGGTAAGACCATTTAAAATATATTCTTTTATTGATTTTGAAATATACAACACATTGTAAAATATAGTCAACATGTTATGCAATAGATCACTATAATCTATTCCTCCTGCCTTAACTGAAACCTTGAATCCTTTAGGTAACATCTCCCCTTTCCCCACTCCACCCTCCTGCCAGACTCTGGTAACCACCATTCTACTCTCTACTTCTCTGAGCTTGACTTTTTCAGGTTCCAGCTATAAGTCAGATCATGCAAGTATTTGTCTCTCTGTGCTCGGATTATTTCATTTAGCATAATGTCCTTCATATACATCTATGTTGTCACAAATGACAAGATTTACCTTTTTATAATGCTGAATGGTATTCTATTGTGTATGTATACAGCATTTTTTTCTTTATCCATTCATCCATTTATATACACTTAGGTTGATTCCATACCTTGACTATTGTGAATAATTCTGTAATGAACATGGGAAGGCAGGTGTCTCCTTGAAATACTGATTTCAGTTCCTTTGAGTGTATACCCAGGAGCAGTACTGCTGGATCTTATGGTGATTCCATTTTGTTTTTTCGAACCTCCATACTATATTCCAAAATGACTGTACCTATTTATATTCCCAACAACAGCGTATGAGGATTTCCTTTTCTCTACATCCTTGCCAATACTAGTTATCTTTCATCATTTTGATAATTGATATTCTAACAGATGGGAGGTGATACCTCATTGTAATTTTAATTTGCATTTCCCTGATATTAGTGATATTGAGCATTTTTCATACATCTACTGTTTATTTGTATGTCTTCTTTTGAGAAATGTCTATTCAAGCCTTTTGCCCAATTTTTATTAGGGTTGTTTGTTTTCCTATTATTGAATGTCTGGGCAATGATTTCTTGAATATGACCCCAAAAGCACAGGCAACAAAAGCAAAAATAGATGCATCAAATGTGAAAAAAAAATTCTTCTGTACAGCAAAAGAAACAACTAACAGAGCGAAGAGACAAGGCAAAATTGGGAGAAAATATTTGCAAATCTTATATCTAATAAGAGAAGAACATCTAAAATAGATAAGAAACTCAAACTATGATTTCATTTTTAAATTTTTACTTTAGTTTATATACTTTAACTTTTCACAGTCTGCCTTCATATGATATGATACTACTTCCTATATAGTAAAAGAAAGTTAAAACATTACGCTTACTTTTCTCCCCTTCTACACTTTATACTATTATATTATATATATATATATATACAAAAAATATATACTATATATTATATAAATGTTATTTATACCACCATAGATTTTTAAAATTATTTTTGCTTAAGCAGACTTTTTTTTTTTTAAAACGGAATTTCGCTCTGGTTGTCCTGGCTGGAATGCAATGGCATGATCTCGGCTCACTGCCACCTCTGCCTCCCAGGTTCAAGTGATTCTTGTGCCTCAGCCTCCTGAGTATCTGGGATTACAGGCATGCACCACCATGCCAGGCTAATTTTGTATTTTTAGTAGAGACGGGGTTTCACCATGTTGGTCAGGCTGGTCTTGATTGAACTCCTGACCTTAGGTTATCCGCCTGCCTCAGCCT
The DNA here is from genome assembly GCF_000001405.40 of Homo sapiens. Lineage (NCBI taxonomy): Eukaryota > Metazoa > Chordata > Mammalia > Primates > Hominidae > Homo > Homo sapiens. Next base: position 37,830,469 of record NC_000013.11, on the reverse strand, counting down.
CCCAAAATGCTGGGATTACAGGCGTCAGCCATCATGTCCAGCAAGCAATTCTCTTTAAAAAGAATTTAAATAATATTAAATAATAAATAATAACAACATGTTTATATTCATTCATGTACTTAACCATTTTAATGTTTTATTTATTTTTTCCTATAGATACATATTTCTGTGTGTTTTCTTTTTCTGTGTAAAAAACTTCCTTTAATATTTTTAATGGTGCAGCCAGCTGGAGGGAAATTTTACCACATTTATGTGCTGAAGCATGCTTATCTCAACTTTTTAAAAAATTAACATATCATTTTTAAATGATCAAAATATAATTCACATACCATAAGACTCACCCTTTTAAAATACACAATTTAATAGTTTTTAATATAGTCATCATGTTGCACAGACCTCTAATTTCAGAGCATTTTTGTCACCACAAGAAGAAACCCCATAGTCATTAGCAGTCACTCCCAATTCTTACCCACTGCACTCAGCCCCATCCAACCCCTGGCAATCACTGATCTACTTTCTTTTCCCATGGATTTACCTATTTTGTGTATTTCATATAAATGGAATAACATAACATGTGGTCTTTTGTGTCTGACTTCCCTAACTTAGAATAATGTCTTCAAGGTTCATCTGTGTTGTAGTACGAACTAGTGCTTCAAATTTTTATTGCTGAATGACAGTCTATTATATATATATATTTGATTTTACCATTCATCTGTTGATGGACTTTATGTTGGTTCCAACTTTTGGCTATTATGAACAGTGCTACTATAAACATTCACGTACAAATTTCTGTGTGACATATATTTTCATTTAATTTGAGTGTATATCTAGAAGTAGAATTGCTGGGTCATGTGGTAATTCTATGTTTAATTTTTTTGAGGAACCACTGAAGTGTTTCCCAAAGTGGCTGATCCAACTGGTTTTATTGGTTCCCAATCCAACCAGCAATGCACAAAGATTCCCATTTCGCCTCGTCCTTACCAACACTTGCTATTTTCTGGGTTGTTTTCTTTTTGTTTTTGTTTTAATTGAAGCTATCCCAGTGGGTGCAAAGTGGTATCTCATTGTGGTTTTGATTTATATTTCACTAATGACTTATGATATGGAGCATGTTTGCATGTGCTTAATAGCCATTTATAATCTTTAGAGAAATGTCTGTTTATATTCTTTGCACATTTTTTAAAAAATCTGAATATTTGCCTTTTTATATTTGAGGCTTAGTTGTTCTTTTTATATTCTGGACACAAGACCTTTGGTAGACATGATTTGCAAATTATTTTTCATTCTGTGTGTTGTCTTTTACTTTCTTGATAGTGTCCTTTTAAGGAAAAGCGTTTTAATTTTGATAACATCCAGCTTATCTATTTTTTCTTTGGTTGCTTGTGATTTATTGTCATATGTAAGAAATCATGGCAAAATCCAAGGTCTTCGGGATTTATACCTATGTTTTCAATAAGAATTGTATAGTTTTTAGCTCTTTTTAAATTTTTTTCTTAACTTTTATTTTAGTTTCAGGGGTACATGTGCAGATTGTTTATATAGGTAATTGTGTGTTGTGTGAGTCTGATGTACAGGTAATAAGCACAGCACCTGATAGGTAGTTTTTCAATCCTCACCCTAGTCCCACCAAACACCATCAAGTAGGCCCCAGTGTCTGTTTTTCCCTTCTTTGTTTCTGTATGTACTCCATGCTTAGCTCCCACTTACAAGGGAGAAGATGTGGTATTTGGTTTTCTGTTCCTGTGTTAGTTTGCTTAGGATAATGGCCTCCAGGCCTAACCATGTTGCTGCAAAGAACATAATCTCATTCTTTTTCATAGATATGTAGTATTCCATGGTGAATATGTACCACATTTTCTTTATCCAATCTATCATTATTGGGCATTTGTGTTGATTTCATGTTTTTGCTATTATGAATAGTGGTGTGATGAACATACACATGCATGTCTTTATGGTAGAATAATTTATATTCCTTTGGGTGTATGCCCAATAATGGAATGGGTGTGTTAAATGGTATTTTGATTTTAAGTTCTTTGAAAAATCTCCAAACTGCTTTCCACAATGCCGGAACTAATTATCATTCCAAACAACACCGTATAAGCATTCCCTTTTCTCCACAACCTCGCCAGCATCTGTTATTTTTTGGCTTTTTAAAAATAACCATTCTGGAGGGGGAGGAGCCAAGATGGCCGAATAGGAACAGCTCCGGTCTACAGCTCCCAGCGTGAGCAACGCAGAAGACGGGTGATTTCTGCATTTCCATCTGAGGTACCGGGTTCATCTCACTAGGGAGTGCCAGACAGTGGGTGCAGGTCAGTGGGTGCTCGCACCATGCGCCAGCCGAAGCAGGGCGAGGCATTGCCTCACTCGGGAAGCTCAAGGGGTCAGGGAGTTCCCTTTCCTAGTCAAAGAAAGGGGTGACGGACGGCACCTGGAAAATCGGGTCACTCCCACCCGAGTACTGCACTTTTCCGACGGGCTTAAAAAACGGCCCACCACGAGATTATATCCCGCACCTGGCTCGGAGGGTCCTACGCCCATGGAGTCTCGCTGATTGCTAGCACAGCAGTCTGAGATCAAACTGCAAGGCAGCAGCGAGGCTAGGGGAGGGGCACCCGCCATTGCCCAGGCTTGCTTAGGTAAACAAAGCAGCTGGGAAGCTGGAACTGGGTGGAGCCCACCACAGCTCAAGGAGGCCTGCCTGCCTCTGTAGGCTCCACCTCTGGGGGCAGGGCACAGACAAACAAAAAGACAGCAGTAACCTCTGCAGACTTAAATGTCCCTGTCTGACAGCTTTGAAGAGAGCAGTGGTTCTCCCAGTACGCAGCTGGAGATCTGAGAATGGGCAGACTGCCTCCTCAAGTGGGTCCCTGACCCCTGACCCCCGAGCAGCCTAACTGGGAGGCACCCCCCAGCAGGGGCACACTGACACCTCACACCGCAGGGTACTCCAACAGACCTGCAGCTGAGGGTCCTGTCTGTTAGAAGGAAAACTAACAAACAGAAAGGACACCCACACCAAAAACCCATCTGTACATCACCATCATCAAAGACCAAAAGTAGATAAAACCACAAGATAGGGAAAAAACAGAGCAGAAAAACTGGAAACTCTAAAAAGCAGAGCGCCTCTCCACCTCGAAAGGAATGCAGTTCCTCACCAGCAATGGAACAAAGCTGGATGGAGAATGACTTTGATGAGCTGAGAGAAGAAGGCTTCAGACGATCAAATTCCTCTGAGCTATGGGAGGACATTGAAACCAAAGTCAAAGAAGTTGAGAACTTTGAAAAAAAATTAGAAGAATGTATAACTAGAATAACCAATACAGAGAAGTGTTTAAAGGAGGTGATGGAGCTGAAAACCAAGGCTGGAGAACTACGTGAAGAATGCAGAAGCCTCAGGAGCCGATGCGATCAACTGGAAGAAAGGGTATCAGCAATGGAAGATGAAACGAATGAAATGAAGTGAGAAGGGAAGTTTAGAGAAAAAAGAATAAAAAGAAACAAGCAAAGCCTCCAAGAAATATGGGACTATGTGAAAAGACCAAATCTACGTCTGATTGGTGTACCTGAAAGTGGTGGAGAGAATGGAACCAAGTTGGAAAACACTCTGCAAGATATTATCCAGGAGAACTTCCCCAATCTAGCAAGGCAGGGCAACATTCAGATTCAGGAAATACAGAGAATGCCACAAAGATACTCCTCGAGAAGAGCAACTCCAAGACACATAATTGTCAGATTCAGTAAAGTTGAATGAAGGAAAAAATGTTAAGGGCAGCCAGAGAGAAAGGTCGGGTTACCCTCAAAGGGAAGCCCATCAGACTAACAGCGGATCTCTTGGCAGAAACCCTATAAGCCAGAAGAGAGTGGGGACCAATATTCAACATTCTTAAAGAGAAGAATTTTCAACCCAGAATTTCATATCCAGCCAAACTAAGCTTCATAAGTGAAGGAGAAATAAAATCCTTTACAGACAAGCAAATGCTGAGAGATTTTGTCACCACCAGGCCTGCCCTAAAAGAGCTCCTGAAGGAAGCGCTAAACATGGAAAGGAACAACCGGTACCAGCCGCTGCAAAATCATGCCAAAATGTAAAGACCATCGAGACTAGGAAGAAACTGCATCAACTAACGAGCAAAATCACCAGCTAACATCATAATGACAGGATCAAATTCACACATAACAATATTAACTTTAAATGTAAATGGACTAAATGCTCCAATTAAAAGACACAGACTGGCAAATTGGATAAAGAGTCAAGACCCATCAGTGTGCTGTATTCAGGAAACCCATCTCATGTGCAGAGACACACATAGGCTCAAAATAAAAGGATGGAGGAAGATCTACCAAGCAAACGGAAAACAAAAAAAGGCAGGGGTTGCAATCCTAGTCTCTGATAAAACAGACTTTAAGCCAACAAAGATCAAAAGAGACAAAGAAGGCCATTACATAATGGTAAAGGGATCAATTCAACAAGAAGAGCTAACTATCCTAAATATATATGCACCCAATACAGGAGCACCCAGATTCATAAAGCAAGTCCTGAGTGACCTACAAAGAGACTTTGACTCCCACACATTAATAATGGGAGACTTTAACACCCCACTGTCAACATTAGACAGATCAATGAGACAGAAAGTCAACAAGGATACCCAGGAATTAAACTCAGCTCTGCACCAAGTGGACCTAATAGACATCTACAGAACTCTCCACCCCAAATCAACAGAATATACATTTTTTTCAGCACCACACCACACCTATTCCAAAATTGACCACATACTTGGAAGTAAAGCTCTCCTCAGCAAATGTAAAAGAACAGAAATTATAACAAACTATCTCTCAGACCACAGTGCAATCAAACTAGAACTCAGGATTAAGAATCTCACTCAAAACCGCTGGACTACATGGAAACTGAACAACCTGCTCCTGAATGACTACTGGGTACATAACAAAATGAAGGCAGAAATAAAGATGTTCTTTGAAACCAATGAGAACAAAGACACAATATAACAGAATCTCTGGAACACATTCAAAGCAGTGTGTAGAGGGAAATTTATAGCACTAAATGCCCACAAGAGAAAGCAGGAAAGATCCAAAATTGACACCCTAACATCACAATTAAAAGAACTAGAAAAGCAAGAGCAAACACATTCAAAAGCTAGCAGAAGGCAAGAAATAACTAAAATCAGAGCAGACCTGAAGGAAATAGAGACACAAAAAACCCTTCAAAAAATTAATGAATCCAGGAGCTGGTTTTTTGAAAGGATCAACAAAATAGATAGACCACTAGCAAGACTACTAAAGAAAAAAAGAGAGAAGAATCAAATAGATGCAATAAAAAATGATAAAGGGGATATCACCACTGATCCCACAGAAATACAAACTACCATCAGAGAATACTACAAACACCTCTATGCAAATAAACTAGAAAATCTAGAAGAAATGGATAAATTCCCCGACACATACACTCTCCCAAGACTAAACCAGGAAGAAGTTGAATCTCTGAATAGACCAATAACAGGATCAGAAATTGTGGCAATAATCAATAGCTTACCAACCAAAAAGAGTCCAGGACCAGATGGATTCACAGCCGAATTCTGCCAGAGGTACAAGGAGGAACTGGTACCATTCCTTCTGAAACTATTCCAATCAATAGAAAAAGAGGGAATCCTCCCTAACTCATTTTATGAGGCCAGCATCATTCTGATACCAAAGCCTGGCAGAGACACAACCAAAAAGAGAATTTTAGACCAATATCCTCGATGAACATTGATGCAAAAATCCTCAATAAAATAATGGCAAACCGAATCCAGCAGCACATCAAAAAGCTTATCCACCATGGTCAAGTGGGCTTCATCCCTGGGATGCAAGGCTGGTTCAATATACGCAAATCAATAAATGTAATCCAGCATATAAACAGAACCAAAGACAAAAACCACATGATTATCTCAATAGATTCAGAAAAGGCCTTTGACAAAATTCAACAACCCTTCATGCTAAAAACTCTCAATAAATTAGGTATTGATGGGAAGTATTTCAAAACAATAAGAGCTATCTATGACAAACCCACAGCCAATATCATACTGAATGGGCAAAAACTGGAAGCATTCCCTTTGAAAACTGGCACAAGACAGGGATGCCCTCTCTCACCACTCCTATTCAACATAGTGTTGGAAGTTCTGGCCAGGGCAATTAGGCAGGAGAAGGAAATAAAGGGTATTCAATTAGGAAAAGAGGAAGTCAAATTGTCCCTGTTTGCAGATGACATGATTTTATATCTAGAAAACCCCATTGTCTCAGCCCAAAATCTCCTTAAGCTGATAAGCAACTTCAGCAAAGTCTCAGGATACAAAATCAATGTACAAAAATCACAAGCATTCTTATACACCAACAACAGACAAACAGAGAGCCAAATCATGAGGGAACTCCCATTCACAATTGCTTCAAAGAGAATAAAATACCTAGGAATCCAACTTACAAACGATGTGAAGGACCTCTTCAAGGAGAACTACAAACCACTGCTCAATGAAATAAAAGAGGATACAAACAAATGGAAGAACATTCCATGCTCATGAGTAGGAAGAATCAATATCATGAAAATGGCCATACTGCCCAAGGTAATTTACAGATTCAATGCCATCCCCATCAAGCTACCAATGACTTTCTTCACAGAATTGGAAAAAAACTACTTTAAAGTTCATATGGAACAAAAAAGAGCCCGCATCGCCAAGTCAATCCTAAGCCAAAAGAACAAAGCTGGAGGCATCACACTACCTGACTTCAAACTATACTACAAGGCTACAGTAACCAAAACAGCATGGTACTGGTACCAAAACAGAGATATAGATCAATGGAACAGAACAGAGCCCTCAGAAATAACGCCACATATCTACAAGTATTTGATCTTTGACAAACCTGAGAAAAACAAGCAATGGGGAAAGGATTCCCTATTTAATAAATGGTGCTGGGAAAACTGGCTAGCCATATGTAGAAAGCTGAAACTGGATCCCTTCCTTACACCTTATACAAAAATCAATTCAAGATGGATTAAAGACTTCAACGTTAGACCTAAAACCATAAAAACCCTAGAAGAAAACCTAGGCATTACCATTCAGGACATAGGCATGGGCAAGGACTTCATATCTAAAACACCAAAAGCAATGGCAACAAAAGCCAAAAATGACAAATGGGATCTAATTAAACTAAAGAGCTTCTGCACAGCAAAAGAAACTACCATCAGAGTGAACAGGCAACCTACAAAATGGGAGAAAATTTTCGCAACCTACTCATCTGACAAAGGGCTAATATCCAGAATCTACAATGAACTCCAACAAATTTACAAGAAAAAAACAAACAACCCCATCAAAAAGTGGGTGAAGGATATGAACAGACACTTCTCAAAAGAAGACATTTATGCAGCCAAAAAACACATGAAAAAATGCTCATCATCACTGGCCATCAGAGAAATGCAAATCAAAACCACAATGAGATACCATCTCACACCAGTTAGAATGGCAATCATTAAAAAGTCAGGAAACAACAGGTGCTGGAGAGGATGTGGAGAAATAGGAACACTTTTACACTGTTGGTGGGACTGTAAACTAGTTCAACAATTGTGGAAGTCAGTGTGGCGATTCCTCAGGGATCTAGAACTAGAAATACCATTTGACCCAGCCATCCCATTACTGGGTATATACCCAAAGTACTATAAATCATGCTGCTATAAAGACACATGCACACGTATGTTCATTGCGGCATTATTCACAATAGCAAAGACTTGGAACCAACCCAAATGTCCAACAATGATAGACTGGATGAAGAAAATGTGGCACATATACACCATGGAATACTATGCAGCCATAAAAAATGATGAGTTCATGTCCTTTGTAGGGACATGGATGAAATTGGAAATCATCATTCTTAGTAAACTATCACAAGAACAAAAAACCAAACACCGCATATTCTCACTCATAGATGGGAATCAAACAATGAGATCACATGGACACAGGAGGGGGAACATCACACTGTGGGGACTGTTGTGGGGTGGGGGGGGAGGGATAGCATTAGGAGATATACCTAATGCTAGATGACGAGTTAGTGGGTGCAGCGCACCAGCATGGCACATGTATACATATGTAACTAACCTGCACATTGTGCACATGTACCCTAAAACTTAAAGTATAATAATAAAAAAAAAACCATTCTGATTAATTTGAGATGGTATCTCATTGTGGTTTTGATTTGCATTTCTCTAATAATCTGTGATGTTGAGCCTTCTTTCACATGCCTATTGGCTTTGTGTATGTCTTCTTTGGAAAAGTGTCTGTTCATGTCCACTTTTTAATGGGGTTGTTTGTTTATTTCTTATAAATTTAAGTTACTTATATATTCTGGATATTAGACCTTTGTCAAATGCATTTTTTTCAAATATTTTCCCCATTCTGTAGGTTGTCTGTTTAATCTGTTAATAGTTTCTTTTCCTGTGTGAAGTTCTTTGGTTTAATTAGGTTTCATTTGTCAATTTTGTTTTTATTGTAATTGCTTTTGGCATCTTCATCACGAAATCTTTGCCAGGGCCTGTGTCTGGAATGGTATTTCCTAGGTTATCTTCCAGGATTTTTACAGTTTTGGGTTTTACATTTAAGTCTTTAATCTATCTTGAGCTGATTTTTGTATATTGTGTAAGGAAAGACCCAGTTTCAATCTTCCACGTATGACTAGCCAGTTATCCCAGCATCATTTATTGAATAGAGAGACCTTTCCCCATTGCTTGCTGTTGTTAACTTTATCAATGACCAGATGAATGTAGGCATGTGGCTTTATTTCTAGGCTTTCTATTTTGTTCCATTGCTCTATGTGTCTCTTTTTCTACCAGTTCAATGCTGTTTCAGTTACTGTAGCCTTGTAGTATAGTTTGAAGTCAAGCAATGTGATGCCTTCAGTTTTGTTCTTTTTGCTTAGGATTTCCTTGGCTATTTGGACTCTTCTTTGGTTCTATATGAATTTTAAAATAGTTTTTCTAATTCTTTGAAGAATGTCATTGGTAATTTGATAGGAATAGCATTGAATCTATAAATTGCTTTGGGCAGTATCCTATTTTAACAATATTGATTATTCCTATTCATGAACTTGGACTATTTTTCCATTCATTTGTGTCATCTCTGATTTCTTTGAGCAGTGTTTTGTAATTCTTATTGTAGAGATCTTTCACCTCCCTGGTCAGCTGTATTCCTAGGTATTTGTGTGTGTGTGTGTGTGTGTGTGTGTGTGTGTGTGTGTGTGGCTATTGTGAATGTGATTTCATTCATGATTTGGCTTTCAGTTTGGATGTTGCTTGTGTATAGGAATGCTATTGGTTTTTGTACAATAATTTAATATCCCAAAACTTTGCTGAAGTTGTTTATCAGATCAAGGAGCTTTTGTGCAGAGACTATGGGGCTTTCTACATATAGAATCATGTAATCTGCAAACAGAAATAGTTTGACTTTATCTTTTCCTATTTGGATTCATTTTATTTCTTTCTGTTGCCTGATTGCTTGGGCTAGGTCTTCCAGTACTATCTTCAGTAGGAGTGGTGAGAGAGGACATCCTTGTTTTGTTGCAGTTTTTAAGGGGAATGCTTCTAGCTTTTGCCCATTCAGTATAATGTTTGCTGTGAGTCTTTTTAGATGGCTGTTATTATTTTGAAGTATGTTCCTTCAATGCCTAGTTTGTTGAGGGTTCTGACTATGAAAGATGTTGAATTTCTTTGAAAGCCTTTTCTTCATCTATGGAGATAATCATGTGATTTTTATTTTTAGTTCCATTTATGTGGTGAAACACATTTGTTGATTTGAGCATGTTGAACCAATCTTGCATTGCAGGGATAAAGCCTACTTGATCATTTTGGATTTACGTTTTTATGTGCTGCTGGATTCAGTTGGCTAGTATTTGTTGACAATTTTTGCATCTATATTTGACAAGGATATTGAACTGAAGTTTTATTTTTTGGTTGTGTCTCCGTAAGGTTTGGGTGTCAGGAGGATTCTGGCGTCATAGAATGAGTAAGGGGGAGTCTCCTCTTCAATTATTGGGAATAGTTTTAGTAGGAATGGTACTATTTCTTTATATCTCTGGTAGAATTTCACTGTGAATTCATCATATCCTAGACATGTTCTGGTTGGTAGGATTTTTATTACTGATTCAATTTCCAAACTTGTTATTGGTCTGTTCAGGAATTCCATATCCTCCTGGTTCAATCTTGGGAGGTTGCGTGTTTCCAGGAATGTATCCATTTCTTCTAGGGTTTCTAGTTTGTATGCATAAAGCTGTTTAAAATAGACTCTAAGGAATTTTTTGTATTTCTGTGAGGTTGGTGGTAATATATCCTTTGTCATTTCTGATTGAGTTTATTTGGATCTTCTCTCTTTTATATCTTTGTCTAGCTAGTAGTCTATCAATCTTATTTTTTCTTTAAAAAACAAACTCCTGGATTTGTTGATCTTTTGTGTGGTTTTTTACATCTCAATTTCCTTTGGTTCATCTCTGATTTTGGTTGTTTATTGCCTTCTACTAGATTTGGGGTTGGCTGGCCCTTGTTTTTTTAGTTCCTCTAGGTGTGATGTTAGGTTGTTAATTTGACATCTTTTTTTGTTTTTTTTTTTAACTTTCATTTTAAGTTCAGAGGTACATGTGCAGGTTTACTATATAGGTAAATTTGTGTAATGAGGGTTCGTTGTACAGATTATTTTGTCACCCAAGTATTAAGCCTAGTACCCATTCATTGTTTTCCTGATCCTCTCCCTCTTCCAATCTTCCCCAATTTGATAGGTCTTAGTATGTGTTGTTCCCCTCTATGTGCCCATGTGTTCTTATCATTTGGCTCCCACTTATAAATGAGAACATGCAAAATTTGATTTCCTGTTCCTGCGTTAGTTTGCTAAAGATAATGGCCTCCAGCCCCATCCATGTCCCTGCAAGGGACATGATCTTGTTCTTTTCATGGCTACATAGTATTCCATGGTGTATCACATTTTCTTTATTTGGTCTATCATTGATGGGCATTTATGTTGATGCCATGTCTTTCCTATTATACATAGTGCTACAATAAACATACACATTCATGTGTCTTTTATTAGAATAATATGTATTCCTTTGAGTATATACCCAGTAATGGGATTGTTGGGTCAAATGGTGTTTCTGTCTTTAGATCTTTGAGAAATAGCCACACTGCTTTCCACAATGCATGAACTAATTTGCACTCCAACCAACAGTATATAAGCATTTCTTTTTCTCTACAACCTCACCAGCATCTGTAATTTTTTTGCTTTTTAATAATAGCCATTCTGATGGTGTAAGATGGTATCTCATTGTAGTTTTCATTTGCATGTCTCTAATGATCAGTGATATTAAGCTTTTTTTCATATGCCTCCTGGCCACAATTATGTCTTTTTTGAAAAGTGTCTGTTCATAACCTTTTCCTATTATTAATGGTTTTTAAAAATTTTTTTTCATATGCTTGTTGGCCACATGTATTTTTTTTAATTGTACTTTAAGTTTTGGGATATATATGCAGAACGTGCAGGTTTGTTACATAGGTATACGCGTGCCATGGTGGTTTGCTGCACCTATCAACCCATCATCTACATTAGGTATTTCTCCTAATGCTATCTCTTCAATGGCCCCCAATCCCCTGACAGGCCCTGGTATGTGATGTTCCCCTCCCTGTGTCCATGTGTTCTCATTGTTCAACTCCCACTTATGAGTGAGAACAAACAATGTTTGGTTTTCTGTTCCTGCATTAGTTTACTGAGAATGATGGTTTCCAGCTTCATCCATGTCCCTGCAAAGAACATGAACTCACCCCTTTTTATGGCTGCATAGTATTCCATGGTGTATATGTGCCATATTTTCTTTATCCAGTCTATCATTGATGAGCATTTGGGTTGGTTCCAAGTATTTGCTATTGTGAATAGTGCTGCAATAAACATACATGTGCATGTATCTTTATAGTAGTATGATTTATAATCCTTTGGGTGTATACCCAGTAATGGGATTGCGGGGTCAAATGGTATTTCTGGTTCTAGATCTTTGAGGAATCATCACACTGTCTTCCCCAATGGTTGAACTAATTTACACTCCCACCAACAGTGTAAAAGCATTCCTATTTCTCCACATCCTCTCCAGCATCTGTCATTTCCTGACTTTTTAATGATTGCCATTCTAACTGGTGTGAGATGGTATCTCATTGTAATTTTGATTTGCATTTTTTTAAAGTGCCTGTTTACATCCTTTGTGCACTTTTGGGGTTTTTATTTTTTTTCTTGAAATTTATTTAAGTTTCTTACAGATGCTGGATACTAGACTTTGTCTAGTATTCTCCCATTCTGTAGGCTGTCTGTTCACGCTATTAATCATTTTCTTTGCTATGCAAAAGCGCTTTAGTTTAATTAGGTCCCATTTGTCCATTTTTGCTTTTGTTGCAGTTGCTTTTGACATCTTCATCATAAAATCTTTGTACGTTCCTGTGTCCTAAATAGTATTACCTAGGTTGTCTTCCAGGGTTTTTACAGTTTTGATTATTACATTTAAGCCTTTAATTCATCATGAGTTGATTTTTCTATATGGTGTAAGGAAGGGGTCCAATGTCAATCTTCTGCATATGGCTAGCCTATTATCCTAGTGCCATTTATCAAATAGGACATTGTTCCCAATTGCATGTTTTTGTCTGATTTGTCAAAGATTGAATAGTTGTAGGTGTGCAGCCTTTTTTTTTGGTTCTTTATTCTGTTCCATTGTTCTATGTGTCTGCTTTTGTAGCAGTACTATGCTGTTTTGATTACCGTAACCCTGTAATATAGTTTGAAGTTAGGTAGCATGATGCCTCCTGCTTTGTTTGTTTGTTTGTTTGTTTTCCTTAGTATTGCCTTGGTTATTCATGCTCTTTTTTGGTCCCATGTAAATTTTAAAATAGTTCTCTCTACTACCCTGAAGAATCTCAATGGTAGTATAATAGGAATAGCATTGAATCTATAACTTGCTTTGGGCAATATCACCATTTTTAGGATATTGATTCTTCCTATCCATGAACATGGAATGTTTTTCCATTTGTTTGTGTCATCTGTGATTCCTTTGAGCTTTGTGCTTTGTAGCTCTCCTTGTAGAGGTCTTTCACCTCCATGGTTAGCTATATTCCTAGATATTTTATTCTTTTTGTGGCAATTGTGAATGGGATTACATTCCTGATTTTGCTCTCAGCTTGACTGTTGTTTGTTTATGGGAATGTTAGCAAATTTTGCCCATTGATTTTGTATCCTGAGACTTTGCGGAAGTTGTGTATCAGCTTAAGAAGCTTTTGTGCTGAGACTATGGAGTTTTCTAGTTAAAGGCTTATGTTGTCTGCAAACAGGGATAGTTTGACTTCCTCTCTTCCTATTTGGATGCCTTTTATTTCTTTCTCTTGCCTGATTGCTCTGTCCAGGATTTCCAATACTGTGTTGAATAAGAGTGGTGAGAGAAGGCATCCTTGTCTTGTGCTGGTTTTCAAGGGGCATGTTTCCAGCTTGTGCCATTTAGTAATATGTGGGTTATGGGTTTGTCAGAGATGGCTCTTTAATTTCGAGGTATTTTCCTTCAATATCTAGTTTATTGAGCATATTTAATATGAATGAGTGTTTAATTGTATTGAAAGCCTTTTCTGTGTCTATTGAGATAATTATGTGGTTTTTGTCTTTAGTTCTGTTTATGTGATGGATCATATTTATTGATTTGCATATGTACCAATCTTGCATCCTAGGGATAAAGCCTACTTGATCATGGTGGATTAGCTTTTTTTATGTGCTACTTTATTCTGTTTGTGACTATTTTCTTGAGGATTTTTGCATCAATGTTCTTCAAGGATATTGGCCTGAAATTGTTGTTGCTGTATTTCTGCCAGATTTTGGTATCAGGATGATGCTGGCCTCATTGAATGAGTTAGGGAGGAGTCTTTTCTCCTCAAATATTTGGAATAGTTTCAGCAGAAATGGCAGCATATGTGCCATGTCACGATGAGAAGAATGTATATCCTGTTGTTTTGGCTGGAGAGTTCTGTAGATATCTATCAGGTCCACTTGAATCAGTGCTGAGTTTGGGTCCTGAATATCTTTGTTAATTTTCTGCCTCAGTGATCTGTCTAATATTGTCAGTGTGTGTATCTAAGTCTCTTTGAAGGTCTCCAAGAACTTGCTTTATGAGTCTGGGTGCTCCTGTGTTGTGTGACTATTTAGGATAGTTAGCTCTTTTTGTTGACTTGAATCCTTTACTATTATATAATGCCCTTCCATGAATTCGACATATTTCTAACGTTTTGATGTGTGCTTTTAGTGCTGTAAATGTCTCTCTTAACAGTGTTTTATCTGTGTCCCAGAAATTCTGATATGTTGTATTTTGTTCTCATTAATTTCAAAGAATTTCTTGATTTCTGCCTTAATTTTACTGTTTATCCAAAAGTCATTCTTGAGTAGGTTGTTTAACTTGTATGTAATTGTATGATTTTATTACTATTGTTTTATATTTTTATTGTGCTGTGTTCTGAGAGTGTGTTTGGTATGATTTGATTTTTTTTTAATTTACTGAGATTGTTTCAGGTACAATTGGATTGTCAGTTTTAGAGTATGTATCACATGCATATGAGAAGAATGTATATTCTTTTGTTTTAGGGTAGAAAGTTCTGTAGATGTTTGTCAGGCCTGTTTGATCAACTGTCAAGTTCAGGTTCTGAATATCTTTGTTAGTTTTGTGCCTCAATGACCTGTCTAATACTGCCAGTGGGGTCTTGAAGTCTTCCACTTTTATTGCGTGGTTATCTAAGTCTCTTTGTAGGTTTCTAAGAACTCGTTTTATGAATCTGAGTGCCTCTTGTTAGGTGCATATATATTTAGAATAGTTAGGTCTTCTTATTGAATACATCCTTTACTATCATGTAATGCCCTTCTTTGTCTTTTTTGATCACTGTCGTTTAAAGTCTGTTTTGTCTGAAATTGAACTATCAATCCTTGCTTTTTTCAGTTTTCTGTTTGTTTGGTAGATTTTTCTCCATCTCTTTACTTAGAACCTATGGGTGTCATTGCATGTGAGATGGGTATCTTGTAGACAGCATACAGCTGGGTCTTTCTTCTTTATCTAACTTACCCCTCTTTGCCTTTTGAGTGAGACATTTAGCCTATTTAGTTTCAAGGTTAATATTGATATGTGCAGGTTTGATTGTATCAGTGTGTCATTAGCTAGTTATTATGTATAGTTTGAGCTCTTAACATTTAGATCTTTGATCCTTTTTGAATTGAATTTTCCATATTGTATGAAGTTTGGGTCCAACTTCATTCTTTTTCATGTTGATATATAGTCATCTCAGCACTGTTTATTGAAAGATCTTTTTTCCATTAAATTTTTCTTGACACCTTTGTAAAAAAAATCAACTGATCATAAGCATAAGGGTTTATTTTCTGACCCTCAAATCAATTTTATTGACCTTTATGTCTAATATTCCAGCACTACACATTCTTGATTACTGTAGTTTCTTAGTAAGTTTAGAAATCAGATAATGCAAGTCCTCCAAATTTTTTTCTGTTTTATCAGATTGTTTTGGCTTGTCTGGTTCCCTTGGATTAACTATACATTTGAGAATCAGCTTGTCAATTTCTTTTAAAAAGTAAGTTGGAATTTTGATAAGGATGGCATTAAATTTATAGATCAATTTGATGATTAGTGTCATTTTTACATTAAGATTTCCAATACATGAATACAAAATGCCATTCCATTTATTTG
Source organism: Homo sapiens (assembly GCF_000001405.40). Lineage (NCBI taxonomy): Eukaryota > Metazoa > Chordata > Mammalia > Primates > Hominidae > Homo > Homo sapiens. Next base: position 37,814,689 of record NC_000013.11, on the reverse strand, counting down.
ATCTCCTATAATTTCCTTCAATGACATTCTGCAGTTTTTGTGTACAAGTCATTCACTACAAGTGAAAGAATGCAAGACTACAAGTCTTTCACTTAAACATATACCTAAATATTTTAATCTTTTTGATGTTGTTTTACATGGAACTGTTTCTATAGTTTTGTTTTGGAATTATTCCTTATTTTATAAACATATAATTAATTTTATGTTCATGTTATATCCTATAAATTTACTGAATCCATTCATTAGTCTTTAATAGAATTTTTATGGATTACTTATTTTTGAAGATCATGTCATCTTGAAATAGATATAGTTATATTCATTTCTTTTCTACTTTGATACCTTTTTTTTCCCTTACCTAATTGCCCTGGTCAAAACCTCTAGTATATTGTTGACAAGAAATGGTGAGAGTGGGCATCTTTGTCTTGTTCACCATCTCAGGGATGAAATGCTCAGTATTTTCCAGTAAGTATGATTTTAGCTGTGTGTTTTCCTAGATGTCCTTTACAAGATTGAGGAAATCCCATTTGATTCCTAGATTTTGAGGATTTCTATAGTGAAATGATGTTGAATTTCTTTGAGAAATGTTGTTTCTGTGTCTATTGTTGTGATGATGTGGGTTTTTTTATTGTATTGATTTGTTGTATTATATTGGTTTTTCATCTGTTGAACTAAATTTGCAATCTAGAGTAACTCCACTAGGTCATAATATACAGTCATTTTTTAATACTGCTGGATTTGGTGTCTTTTTATTATCCTTAGGACTTTTTTTATTTCTATTCATAGATATACTGGCTTGTAGATTTTTCTTGTAATGTCTTTGTATTTGGTGTCAGGATAATTCTGCCTTCATAGAATGAGTTGTAAAGTGTTCCTTCTGTTTTTTGCTAGAGTTTGTGAATGATTGAAACATTTGGTAGAATTTATCTATGAAGACTTTTCTTGGTGAAGTTATTTTAAAAAATAATTTACTAATTTGATCTCTTTGTTACAAGTCTATGAAGAATTTCTATTTCTTCTTCAGTCTGTTTGGTAGCTTGTTTATTCCTAAAAATTTGTCTACTCATCTAGTTCATCTAATTTGTTGGCATACAGTTGTACACTTTTAATGTTTTTTAATTCTGTAACATCAGTAGTAGTGTTCCCTGTTTAAGTCTTAATTTTCATAATTTGCATCTTCTCTTTTTTTTCCCCTTGGTCTGTTTAGCTAAAGTTTCATCAGTTATATGGATTGCTTAAAATAATTGGTTTTGTTGATTCTTCCTATTGTTTCTCTGTTCTCTATTTTACTTATATCCACTGTAATATATATTATTTCTTCTGCTTGCTTTGATTTAATATTTTTACATTTATAATTTCTTAAGATAGAAGTTTATGATATTAATTTAAGATATATATCAAACAGGCATTCACAAATATAAATTTCCTTGTAAGCACTGCTTTTACATCCCATGAATTTTGGTATGCTATATTTTCACTTGTATTTATCTCATAAAATTAACTAATTTCTCTTATGATTTCTTCTTTGATTTATTGATTATTTTAGAGAATATCATTTAATTTCTAACTATTTGTGACTTTCCCAGATTTCTTCTTGTTATTGATTTATAATTTTATGCCTTTGTGGTTGGTTAGCCTTTGTTTGGAAAGATATTTTGGGTGGGTATAAAATTCTAGATTGACTTTTTTTTCAATATTTTAGAGTTGCTGTTCCACTGCTTTTTTCACTAGTGTTTTTCCAATGAGAAGTTAGTTGTCGTTGCTTATCTTTGTTTCTCTTTACGTGGCATGTCATTTTTTGTTTTCCAAGGGAAGGAGCAATTGTTGGCTGATTTAAGATTTGTTTCTTTGTCTATGATTTTAAGAAATTTGATTATCACATGACTTGCTGTAGTTTTCTTTATGTTTCTCGTGCTTGGGATTTATTAAACTTCTTGTATTTGTTAGTTAACAATTATTATCAAATTTGGAAAACATCTTTTTCATTATTTTTCAAATATTTTTAACCTTCTCTCTCTCAAGAGGCACTAATTAAATATATATTAGGGTGACTGACTGTGTTCCACAGCTTAATAATGCTCTTTTAATTTTTTCTCTTCATGTGTTCCATTTGGATACTTTCTATTGCTATGTCTTTAGGCTCAGTAATCTTTTTGGCAATATCTAATCTGCCATTGAGCATATCCAATGATCCAATATATTTTACTTCTCACATACTGTAGTTATCATTAATAAACTTTTAAGAACTGTCATAATGTAGCTTTTCTTGCTAATTTTAATATCTTTGTGAGTTCTAGGTGAGTTTAGATTCATTAAATTTTCTCCTCATAATGGTTTGTATTTTTTTTCATACTTATATGCTTGATAGTCTTTGATTAGATGATAGATACTATAAATTTTACTTTGTTGAGTGCTAGAAATGTTTGCATTTTTATAAATAATCTTGAGTTATGTTCTATCGCTCAGTTAATTTACTTGAAGCAATTAGATCTCCTGGTTTTTTTTTTTTTTTTTTTGATAGAGTCTCAGTCTGTTGCCTAGGCTGGAGTACAGTGGTGCTGTGTCAGCTCACTGCAACCTCTGCCTCCTGGGTTCAAGCAATGCTCCTGCCTCAGCCTCCCAAGTAGTTGGGACTACAGGTCCCAACTACAACTCCCAAGCACCATCACACCTGGATATTTTTTGTATTTTTAGTAGAGACGGTGTTTTGCCATGTTGGCCTGGCTGGTCTTGACCTCCTCACCTCAACTGATCTTCCTGCCTTGGCCTCCCAAAATGTTGGGATTACAGGCGTGAGCCACCACACCTGGCCAGGGTCTTGAATTAAATATTTATTTTCAGAACTAGAGCAGCAGTTTTTCCACAGCTAAGTATTTCTTACCACCAAAGCAGGACCCTCTGTGTAGTCTACCTAAAAGCTTCATAAATTATTTGGTTTTTCCGTTTTGGAAAGTGGGAATAGACTGTCCCTGACCCTGTGTATGTGCTAAGCATTCTTCCCTGTTATCTTCACAGATGATTTTCCCCTGGCCTCTGGTAATTCCTTATATGTATGTGGTAATGAGTACTCTGCTGAATACTAGACGAGAACATTCTAAGAATGTCTGAACCTTTGCACACTTCTCTCCTCTCTGGTACTTTGTCCTGTGAAGTCTAGCTGTGTTGCCTCTCCCCAGATTCTTAGTTCTGTATCCCCAAGTGAGGGAGTTTGAAAGGCTCCACCTGAATTTTCCCTCCCTGTATCACAACCTGCAAACTCTCTCAAGGCAGTATTTGGGATAATCATGTCTGTCTTTTTCCCTCTGTTGCTCAGGATCACTGTCCTGGGCTGATAATGTCCAGTGACTTTAAATCTGTTGTTTCATTTATTTTCCTATTTGTTGTTGTTTTTGTTATTTTAAGTGGGAGTGTATTCTCTTGGCTGGAATCATAGTTCTACAAACATATATTGATTTGTATTTTGGCATATGTTGCCAATTTTGTTATTGAGATTTTTGTTGTTATAAAATAGAGTTTTGATTTTATTATTAGCTTCTAAGATATCTTATTAAACCAAATAGTTAAATATCTATTAATAATTCAGTGCAACTAAAAAACTTTGTCACAGTAATGTAAGTAGAATAGATATAGGAATTTTAGATGACATTAACAATGTATTTGAAAGAAGATCTGGGAATATTAAATCTATTGTGCCTAAGAAAGCATGCGATTATAATAGTGTGAAAAAAGAGGAATGAGATAATATGTAGAATATTTTCAATAGAACATGTGCTATAACTAAAATACATAGAGTACAAAAAATTTCGAGATCAGTTTGTTGGAGAGATAAACTAGAGTAATATGTTTATGCTTTTTATAAAAACAACCAAGGTATATATTCATAGGCAAGTAAGATGGGTATAAGAAATAGGAATTAATTAAATATGTATGAATGTAAAAAATTTGAAAAGATATGGAAATATTACCAAAGAGCATCCCACAAATCAAAAGTATAAAGTTTAATTCATTTGTATGAGGATTTTAATTTTCAATTGTTGTCACTTATTCTTTAAAATCATTTGTTAACTAACTTCACAGTTCAAGATTTAGAGCAGAAAGTTGTCTTATGGAGCAACATATATATTTGTGTTTAACAAGAGTGAACTCTTCCATCCTGCCACACATGAGAATTTTGATTAAACCTTTGAACGATGGGTGTCTAATTGTTTTGATCTATAGCTGTTATCAGTTTTTAAATAGGTTATAATATAATATTTAGTATAGTATCAAGACAGTGAGAGATTTATCTTTTATGTCATAATGATATATGCCTATTAGCAATATGAAAAATCTACCAATTCTAAAATATCTTTAAAAACATTATAGAAAAGGATTATTAAAATACACAACTTCAATATAATTTTGGCTGTGTAATGGGAATAATAATAATCAAATAACATTGTATCTTAATTTATGAAATGTTTTTAAAGCATTTGGTTTTATCAAAATAGACTCAGGTGTAATAATATGGAATTCTGTATTTTTAACTTATCAAAGCAGAAATACTTCTAGCATGATTTAAATTTTACAAACCATCATTGTAAAATCCAGAATGAACATACTATTAACCTCAAGTAATTAATTGGATTTGTTTCTATTGTGCCATGTTTCCTTTGCAAGTCATGTCAAGAGACTGATAAGAAAACTCTTGAATTCATATGAATTCCAAAAGTTGTTAATTAATGCCCAATCATAGTCATTTTTTAGTTGTAAATCTAGAAGCCCTTGCTCAGAAATTGATATAGCCCTGAATATAAGGGCTGGAAGGTTTAGAACGAAAGGCCTGAATCTGATATACCAGGGTGAACCTTCAGAGTCTAACTTCATTCAGGCTATATAATAACATCAGTGCTCTAGGTTCTCATTTTCATTCCAGATTCATAGTGGACCCACAGTTCTGAATTTTTATTCATGAGTTTGGAGCCACAGGATCCTGCCTACATCTTTGTAATTGCTTTTATTTAGAGTTGTACTTACCTTTTGTTACCTTAATCTTTTAATGAGGTTCTGTTCAAATTATGAATTGGATCAGCATATAACCCCTGTCTTGAACATTCTGTGTCTACACTCTCTTGAGACATGTTATTTTTCCTGTCATCTTATGCCTGCAGTTTGAGATAGGTGGAATTACTCTGGTAGTATATTTTTTTAATAGCTTATAAGTCAGTTATTTAAAAAAAAAAAAACACAAAACCCGGGGACTTTGTTATGAAGGAAGCCTTTTGGTAATGATTTCCATCAAAATAAGATATCCAAAAGAGTCACTGCAAAAAAGTAAAACAACAACAACAACTACGGGATAAGGATATAAAATTAGAAAAGTAACAACTTAGGGAAAGAAAGTTTTCTATTTCTATTAGCTGTGTTAAGGACTCTAAACTCTTTATTTTGCTTATTCTAATTTTGATATTCACTGAAGTCAGTAAGGGTACACTCTCAACCTTCCAAGGATTGGAAGAGCATCCTACATTGACCTAATTTCCAACCCTACACACTGCTGGTGTGATTCTATTAGTTTACCACTTAGAGTTTGAGGAAAGTTGTCATTAAAATATTAAAACTTTTGCCAAAGATTCCTATTATATTTATTTAGTTGCATTTGGATAAACCTGTTTGCTGGTAACAGAAACAAATTATATAAATTGTAACACAGAAGTCAATCCCCTTTTGAAAGAAAAACTGAATGATATCCTTTTGTGAGTCTTACCACTATGATGTAGGAATTTCATGCCACTTAGATGGCGGTTTCAGGGGGCTTTCAGGCGGTTTCTCTATTGTACATACGGTGAGATGGAAGTTAGCATGCTGGGTATTTATTAAGGAATGCCTTTGGAATCTACATCTGTGGAAGGGAGAGAAAGGTAACAGGACTGGTAAGAGCAAGAGATTGAATTCTTGGTGATCATGATCCCAGAATAGAGTAACCTTGGCTGATCTCATACCATGCTTAGGTGCTAGCAGAGCCCTTTGTATTTCCCTTACTTGGAGCACAATGACTGGACTTTATATTCCTGCATCAACTAGTCATCGGATGTGCCCTACCCCAACTGGTGTAGCTTTGGATGGAGTTCCTGTAGTTCTACAAGACAATACCTGAAGGACTGGCAACTGAAGGATGTCTCTTGTCTGCACTCCTAATAGTTGAAGCAATCAAGTGTTTATGGAAGGGGGAGCTGGGTGGTACATCACAGTTCCATCAAAATGTATTTCCCAAACTTTTAGCTACAATTCTAAGGAGGTCTCCAGAATTACTTAATCATTAACGTGGGATACCCCTCTTTTTTCTACATTAGCCATTGCAGTAGGTACCACATCATCTACTCCCCCAAATTTAAAAATAAACATATACTAATGTACTTTTCTGAAACAGACCTGCCAAGACTATCATTTTCTTTTCAATTTCATTCCTTTTCAACTTCACTAAAGACCTTCTAAAGAACCATGGCTTTTTTTTGCTTCAGTGAACCATTTGAACATATCATAGGATAATAATTGGAAGCATACCTTTGAATGCACAGGCCATTATTTCCTTCATAGTTATGTTCATTTCTTTCTTTAAATTCTGAAGAAAGAGAGCAGGATCTTAGAAAAGTTCTGCTAAATAAGATATAGGAAAACAAAGGAAATAAATGTGAGAGGAACAAGGCCTTTTAGTACCTGTCAGACTGAAAGAGGTCCATAACTAGGAATGTCTGACATCTCCTATGACCACAAGGGTGTCAGAACCTGCTTTTGAAAATAAGTAAAATCACACTTAAAATTAACAATTTGCAAACCTAAATTTATATCTTTAATGGAAGATCTCAAAATATGACTACAGAGGATTTTCATTAATCACCTTTGGCTCGGTGCTTTTGTCTACTGTAAAACAATTTGTCATTTATTTCATCAGAATTGACACAAATTCTGGAAGGATGGAAACATTTTTAAGTCTGTGTTAGTTTCTCTTTGGAGAAACATGTCAGTGCAGTGGACTTCCATAGGTTAATTTATTCCCTTTATGCTTTAGAGTGGGTCCAGAGCACAGCCTTTTCTATAGCGAGGTGGAGGTGACAGAGGAACAGGAATTGAATGCCTTGCCCTCAACGAGTTTGTAATGTTTCATACTGCTGATTTATTTCTGTTAAAAAGATACTAAAATTCATGATTATGATTATGACCCAGATGTAATATGCTGGGGCTCTTGATTTTCAACTAAATTAAGCAACAATACTATTAATATCATTGTTTATTATTATTACTTTGCTGACAGGGACAGAGGCTAAAAGTGAATTCTGACACTTGTAAATATCCATATTTTAGGATACTGTTTAATTATGATCTATTTCTAATCCAAATGCTCCAGTGGAATGTTTGAATAAGAATCAGCAGCTCTTTATGGATATAAAGATCTAGTTATGAGCATTGATTGCAAGCAAGGGTTTTGAGGCCTGGTAAGAACTATTATATCATATCATAAACATATATGAGAGAGAAGAGAGAGAAAAAGAAATGTGTGCATCTGGCTCAATTTGAAGTCCTTATCAAATATAGAGAGAGGGCAGGGAAAGAAGTTGGCCATATAGTAAGTTCAATTTTTTAAGATGCCCCAGAAATCATTTTTCTATGTATTGATTCAAGCAATTTTCTAAAGATTTCTTCATGGACAGTATAATAGTTGGAGTTTTCATTAGACAGTTCTCTGGGAATAGAGATTAAAGTCCAGCCCTCTTGAAGAATAAAGTAGTAAATCTGAGTCACAGGAGGCTAACAGTGCAATACAGAGGCCAGGAGACAGCGCCCACTGTGGAGCAGTGTGTGAAGAGGCACTACAGCTTATGTTTGGACGTGACACTAGTAGAATGTGATCTTTCTTCCCCTCCTCCAATTATTCAGGTAAAACTGGAAGAGCAATAATTGTAATTATCCTGTTGACCTCTCAGTTTTGCTTCGAAGACTACTCAACCTAACTTAATTATGTTTACTTCCAAGCACAAAATCTTTCATGCCCCAACTTGAGGTCTTAATAAGGACAAAAGGAATATTTTTTCAGGTGCACTAATGTCATTGCAGTTGTCCATGGAGTTAGTGATTATTTGAGTTCTACATGCCCAGCATATATGGTTGCAACTGTATTTCTGGGCTTCTGTGGTATCGATAAGGGTTTGGTGAGATGCTAAAAGGTCCTTGGGAAATAGTAACATCAACAACAGCAAATGCATTTTAGCTAAGTTTTTCTTTTGTCTTTACCTAGACTCAGTAATTACCTTGTTCTGTACAGTACTATCAAGAGGCTACCTTTTTATTTGTTCCAAAATAGATATTAACAGATGGAACTCACACTGTGTAAAATAATTCTATTGACAATAGTTCGATGTATCAAAGATGAAGGTAAAGAAAAAAAGTGCACTGATGAACTCTGAGAGGTGATATTGTTAATTGTTTGATAGTCTTATATACTAGCAACTTTGTATGACTGACACCTCTGGTACTTTCTCCCGAATATTCCTGTATTTTGTTTTGAGAAGGTCTTTTGTCCAGAAAACATGTCCCTTGGGTTTGTAGCTGAACTCATCAAACTCAATAAAGGCATGCTTCTTTCTATTGAAATTCCTTTTCCCCAATGTTATGCTATGAACTTACTCCTCTTTCTCTGGGTTTATTTTGTTCTTACTTTATCCTGATTTTAATGACATCTCTGATTCTTCCCAATTCTGTTTAGAAACACATTACCTTAATCTCAAGAAAAATGTGTTTCTTTTTTTTCTCAATAAGACATTGTATAAACAGTGGAATTTTTCACAAGTAAAGACATCAAGAAAAACTCTTTACATAGAAACTAATTGAAATATTTTATCCTAAGGGAATTTTAGTTGACATTAGATCAGTTAATATTACTGACTTGCTATCATGATGTTCATTGTAAAATCTAAAGTACAAGGCCCTTGACAATAAATTTTAAGTCATAGGTTTTATAATTATGGGTGTATTTAGTAATGTCCAGAGTAGTTTACATCCAAGACAAAAAAGCATATTCTTCCAAATAGTGTGAAACATACCCTACAAAAGAAGAAAACCTCAGAGTCAGATAACATCAAGAGAAGAGTCCCTGTCCAATCAGGCACAAAGACATTGGGCCTTCTGAAGTCATTCTATGTGTTAGCATTCTTACTGTAAGTGGAAAAGAAAACATGGACTTATATCATGGAAAAGAAAATTATGAACTTATATTTAAAAGAGTAGGTTACTAATTCAAGACTTCCCCAGTGAAGGCATCACAGAAAGGAGACAGGGTATATATACAATGTGGAAACAGCAGTAAAGACATACTTTCTTTACTGTATAAGCAGTCATGTAATTTGTCATTGATAGAAATAAGTTGTCTGTGGCGTATTTGCATTGCAAAAATTCATATCATTAAATTATACACCATCCCAAAATAATAGATACTGCCTGTAAAACAGAAAGTATTCCTCTCTAATATTCATTACCTTATATAAAAAAATAGTATAAAACATTTTCAGCAGGAGATATGTTGGGAATCTGAGTTCTTTCACACAAAGAGAATTCCAAGGAGGTTAAAGAAAGAGGTCAATGTGTTACCTTCCACATCTGAAATTTTATCACCGATTTATGACATATTTATAATAATCTATGCCATATAAAAATAAAATATCAACCATTTGAGAATATCATGGCAATTTTGTTAATTAAGTATTAGATATAATTAACTTCTCATTCACAGTTTGTGAATACAATTATTAGTTGTTAAGACACATCCTTATGGAAATATTTTAATTATCTTTTATGTGTCTTTAAGTGTGGGATTACTTGGACATATTACTCCCCAATCTTTCCTCACCTCCAAAATGGATATCCTATACTTCCTCCTGGTGTTATAAGAAACAGTCACACATTTGAAAACACTTTAAAACAGTAACGCATTATGTACATGTTAGAATTATGTATGCATTTGTTATTGACCTTGTCTGTGATTAGCTTCTTAAAATTACCAAATTAATCTTATTTACTTCTAAGTACTTAAAAACACTTTGTTGTTATTATAGATTCACAAAGTGAGACATGAAAATAATACTTTCCAATCTATAAAATACAATAAAAACCTTTGTAGTTGAAACTATTTCTCTATAAAAGTAACACCTCTTTATAAATCAGTCATAATTTCTGTTTTTCTTCTTTTTATAAGAGCTGATATCCTCTTTCCATAGTTCTTCTCATTTCAGATTAAAAATCAAAACAGGGCAGGAAGGAAGCATGTGGAGTCTGGCGCCAGATTGCCTTGGTTCATATCACTTACTAGTTGTCTGACTTCAGGAAAATATCTTACTCTGTCAGTGCTTCAGTTTCCTCATCTATAAAGTACTTACAATAATGTTATGTCCTCCTGGAGCTGTGAGAATAAAATGAGATAACATAGACGAAGAACATGGCAGTGTGCCTAGGACATACCACCTACCCAGGGAATGTCAGCTTTCATTACGCTGATCCTTCTCTGGAAGTTTTGAACCAATTCCCATCTCCAATATTGTGCCTACTGTCTAACATATAAAGCGTTACTTAAAGATCCGGACCATCAAAAGACTTATTATCTGTATTTAACCTTCCAGACAGTTTTGATTTTGTGGCTTCTAGGCTGTCATCCTCCAGAGCCACAATTCAATTAGGTAGAAAATCTTAAATCTAACATTAACAGGGTGTATATATTGAGGGACTTTTTAATGCCTCACAATATACATACTCAGGTATTTCTCCCAGTGCTCCAGCAACACTGATCTTTATTCTGAACCTAGAATGGATCAAGCCAAGTTCCTTCCAGCCTTGGAGCCTTGGCTCTGCCTCTTTCCTTTGCCTGCATTGCTGTTCCTTCACATCTTTTCATGGCTCACTCATTTCAGCATTCAGATCCCTGTTAACCAGCCCCCTACCTCCAACACATTAATGGATCTTCATAGTTATCTATTTAAATTTCTTCTGTTTTTATGTCCCATCATGAGCTATTAATATAAGTTTAATAAAAGCAGTGGCCATATCTGACTTAGTCCCTAACTACAGCATTCTCAGTATACTACAGTGTCTGATATCTACTAACTATTCAATACATATTTATTGAATGGAGAAATGAAAACATGAATTGTTTATATGTTTACTCTTCACCCTGTAGTGATAGACTGGAGTTTTAAATATCAGAATGATTTTGTGTGTGTAAGGATGTGTGTGTGCACAAATAGATGGGAAAAAAAATAATGTGTCTCTATATGTGGGTGAGTTTACATGTATGTTTTTCTTAGCTCAGCCACTGTCTGCCTAGTCAGTGACATTCCAGTAGTAGCAAGCACACTTAGTATCCAGATATTGATTCCTAAACACCATGCTTCATTAAAAGGAAATTTGGCTCCCTTGAAAAAAGATTGCTTCCAGGGCTGGAGCAGGGAAAATGCAAGATGAGCCTGAAGCCTCTTGTAGTGACAGAAAGTGAATAAGTTCTCAATAAAATAAAAAATAAAAAGGATGAAAGCATGTCAAAAGAACACTCGTGCCAACCTGAAAAAGCTCCCAATGGACAAAGATGAGACAGTTTGGGCAATAAAAGAAACAATAATAGTATCAGGTTATAACTCAAAAATAAAATAAATATATATAAGTCCATAATGACATAAATAAATGATATGGATAAATAAATAAATGGACATAGAAGGGGACAATTTTTCCTTAAGAAATCAAAGTAATAATTGTAGAAGGAATGAGGGAAATAGAAAATCACCCTTAGAATACAACAGTAAGAAATGCTGCAGGCAAGATCCCCTGATGTATACCGAAATCAGTGGGCAAAACTGTAAGGAGAAAAAGGACTATTTATATCTTCCCAAAACATTTATTAATTATTTTGGTGGTTCTGACATATGTCTAAAAACTTTTTAATAAATTTCTCACTAGTAAGTTAGTTAATTTCTCTCATCTTGAGTATGAGCTGGACTTACTGACTTGCTTCTATTAGATAGAAGACCATGAACAAAGCTGGCAGACATGACCTTAACCAAGTGATCAAGGTTAATATCACCAGTATTAAGTCATGTTGGTATCATGCAGCAATACACTGAAATGGCCACATCACTTCTGTGGGACTGTCTCCAAATCCATAACCTCAGTTTAATCATGAGAAAAGTCAGGCAGACCTAAGTTGAGGGACATTCTATAGAATATCTGACCAGTAATCCTCAAAAGTACCAAGGTCATCAAAGACGAGGAACAACTCCGACATTGTCACAAAATTGGAGAATATTAAGGAGACATGATGACTAATGCAATGTGGTATCCTGAGATGGATCCTGAAAGAGAATAAAAATATTAGACAAAAATAAGGTGAAATCCTAATCAAGTCTGTGGTTCAGTTAGCAGTATTTACCAAAACTAATTTCCTAATTTTTTTAAAGAAACATGTTTATGTAAGATACTAGCATTAGCAGAAGCTAAAAGGCATAAGGAAACTCTCTGTATGGTTTTTGCAACAGTTCTGTAAGTTTGAAATCATTTTAAAATAAAAAGTTAAAGAAAACAGTGAAAGTATTTTAAACCCAGTTTCTAGTACAGATTAAGCATTCAACAAAGCTTTTTAAAATTAATTAGTGTGTTTGATAGTATTTTTTTACATAACTATAGAATTATCTTCATTGATTTATATGTAAGTCTAGAACTTCCCTCTAGTCAAACCATCTCCATTAAGTGTGCATGCAGTTTTCAAGGTTCTATTCTTTTGTTGATTCTCTCTTCCAAAAATGACCTTCGATTTTTGTTCCCTAGCTACATATTTTTCATCCTTCAAAATCCAGCTCAAATGTTACCTATCTGTGAGCCTTTTTGAGTGTCTATAAATCTTTCTAAATATCCTTACTTTAGTATTGATGATATTATGCTCGATGTCTTCTATGCCTTCCTTGCAACCTGAAAATAGGAACATTTCAGAAGGAAAAGCAGTATCTCTACAATTCGTAATACCCACTTAGTGCCCAAAGACAGTAGACATTCAATAAAGTGTTCATAGATTAATAAATGACAGAATGAATTACTAATTATTCTGTTTTAAGTATTTGGCTTGGTCATCATATTCAGTTATGTGATATTAGAATAAAAGATTTATAACCTTTTTTTATTTCTTAACTCTCCCAAACCCATAACAAAGGTTTATTTCATATATGCAAGCGACTGCCCTCACACCCAATTTAAACAGTTTGTTTAATGCTGCACAGTTATGATTCCCAGCTGTACCTAGAGTAGAGTGAAGAAGTGGAGTGAAGGATGATGCAGGAGAACATTGTTTATTTCATTCATTCTGGCTGTTTTGTGAGTAATGTTACACTGTCTTTCAAGATCACTTACATAGATTCTCTGCCAGAGGAGAGGGATGCTGACTTTTAAAAATATTTGCCATAATGAAATTATCTTCCTTATTTAGGAAAAACAATTTTAGAAAACTTTTATGTTACATTCCACAGTAACAATAAAATATGTTCACATTTTGGACATATTTTTTTATTTATGGCAAAAATAAGATGTAGACTGACTTCATGCTTTGATAAATATTCATTCAAATATTTCCTGTCAAAAGAAGCACAACAAAATGCTTGATTATTTTAAAATTAATGCCTTACAATTGTCTAGGTGATTTGTTAGTATTTATTACTCTTCATAAATTTGAAATATCGAAAATGTTTATTTTCTTTAAAATATTTTACTGATTTTCAGCTTAAAAACCGAAACCATTAAATATAAGGGAAATACTCTTGTGGGACTTTTTACTTGAAATATTTACTATAATAAAATTCATATTAATTTGTATCATAAAGTCTATAGCATCAATATTGTATTCATAATTTTATGGTTTATATCAGTTTATATTTTAGCTATTATTTTTATTTAGTGTCCTGTTAGTCCTATTCTATTCATATGATTGGTGATTGGTAAAAATGCATTTCTATACACATGTATATATTTTATCTTTAGTAGCTCATACAGCTATCTACATATACCTATATATTACATTTGGAGAATATTTCTAGTATCAGTAATACATTCATATTTTCATTAATTTTATAAAAAATCATACTTTTTCAATTTTATAAAACTAAAGCTGAAACAACTAAATACTAAATGCATACTATGGGAGTAGATTATTAGAAATTAGTCCTCTTGTAAACTATGAACCTAGCTGATCACTACCTCTCCAATAGTTTGGAAACTAATTTTATAAAATAAATGTAGATATTTCTTGCATTAACAATAAAACCGTCAGTCAGATGCAGTGGTGTGCACCTTTATTTCTAGCTACTCAGGAGGCTGAGGCAGGAGGATCACTTGAGCCCAGGAGTTCAAGACTGTGGAGGACCATGATTAATCATGTGAATAGCCACTGCACTCTAGCCTGGACAACATAGTAAGACCTATCTCTAAATAAATAAATAATACTGTCAATAATCATTACATTTTAATTATATCTGCCACAGAATATGTGCCAGTTTACATTCATCTAAATCACTTGACTTAAACAACATTTTAACAAATTATTCATATGCGCTTATATCTGGAAATGCACTGAGAGGTAATCAAAGTATCACCATTGATTGAATACCTATATATTAGCCACTTTGTAGATATTATATCGCATTTGCACTGCAACAACCCCGCCTATGGACATAATTATCTACTTTGACACACAGAGAGAGACTTAGAGGAAATGACCAGCCTAGGCTAAGTAGCAGAAGATTTCAAAAACACAATAATTTTGGCTCCAAAACCAACACATTTTTTCATTGTCAGTTTTGATGCTAGGAATGGTAAACATTTAGTATTGTATCCTTACATAGTATAAAATCACCTGAAGTCTTCAGATCGAACCTTCTTGGGTTGTGCATTTAGTTTTTGGATTACAATGTGATTGCAGTAAACCCCTGAACTTCCAAAATTACAGGAGTCAAAAGTCAGGGCTTTTAAAATAAAATAGTATTTGCTTTATGTCTTCTAGGACACAAACACCATGGTCCATTTAACAAATTGCATCTTAATTCTTTCACACAAGATTCTGAGATAGTCAGTGTTATCCCTTTTTTACATATGAGAAATCAGCTCTGAGTTAAGTAATTCTGCCCAAACCACAAAGGTATCAAAGTTGGGGTTCAAATAAGTTTTTGCTGACTACAAGTCTTGTGTTCCTTAAAAATAAAAAATGTAGACAGTCAAGAGGGTTTCTAGAATTTGACAAAAGAAGAGGCAGTAGAAGGAACAGAAAACAAAAAAAGAATTATCTAGTAGAAAAATCAGATCAGTCTTGAGGAAATTAGTAACGGGCAAGTTGGGCTCTACATGCATTGCTAGAGGCTAAGGGCACAGCATTGACCAGGTGTTGGTGTTAAAGATTACTTCCCTTTAGGCCGGGCGCAGTGGCTCACGCCTGTAATCCCAGCACTTTGGGAGGCCAAGGTGGGTGGATCATGAGGTCAGGAGATCGAGACCAACCTGGCTAGCACAGTGAAACCCTGTCTCTACTAAAAATACAAAAAAAAATTAGCTGGGCAAGGCGGTGGGCACCTTTAGTCCCAGCTACTTGGGAGGCTGAGGCAGGAGAATGGCGTGAACCCAGGAGGCAGAGGTTGCAGTGAGCGGAGATCACGCCACTGTATTCCAGCCTGGGCAACAGAGCCAGACTCTGTCTCAAAAAAAAAAAAAAAAGATTACCTCCCTTTATTGAGATGGTCTCTCACTATAATCACTCATTACAAAATACTAAAGAAGATAGCTATTAAAAATAATGTTTCACTAAAATATATTTCTAGTATAATATTTGTTACCTTCAGGACATAGAAAATAGATATAGAAAATGTGGAATTTGCATAACAATCATGATTTTACTTCCAAACACTTATATAGTTGGTTTCAGCAGGTTGTAATGAGAATACGTAATGAGATCTGGTTTAAAGTAAGAAAATAAAATATTTATAGACATCTCAGTGTCTGATACTATGTAGACAAAATATTTGATTGATATTTGGAAGTATTTTTTTCACTTTTCATCTAAATGTTCCATCATTGCATACCATGAGCCTATGAGGTTTTTAGTATCATGACACTTTGAGATTCTAATTTTGAATGGAAACTGGAAAACTCACTTGTAAAATATCAACCGTCAGCTTCCCCTGAGGAATAAATAATTTTATGATAATTTTGATGAATCAGTAATTGTTTATGAAGTTAATAAACCATTTTTTTTCTGAAGTGGTGTAGGATAATAACTGTTAGAGTAGATTTGGGTAATTTAATTCCTCAATTTTTAAGAAGGCAGCTGGATCATCAAGAAGCAGAGAAATAGCCGAGCTCTAGGAGCCAGAGTGAGAAAGGATGATTCTACTATGTAGTTCATAGCTCTTTCTTATATCTTAAATCAACACTTTAAATTACTTTATGCCACCTCCTAGAATGAGAGGAAACTTGAATTAAAGAACATACTTTCATTTAGTTAAAGCTTAAATGAAGATTTGATGGAAAATACACTATGCTATTTATGTGAATAATCTTATCATATCTGCTAAACACCCCAAGGCCTAGAGGTAATTGAATTTTAGAAAAATGCTAACGTGTCTGCTGATAAAAACTGCTTTAAGTGTAGTCTTCACTATCTAAGTGCCAATATGCTAAAGAAATAAACCTCTGGGATGAGTATTTAAGAGTCATAATGCAGCTTTATGTCATTAAAAAATGATCACAATGTCATAGGGTTGATGACTGTGCAGAATAACAAAATTCTCTAGACGGCAATCCATCATAAACTTGGAAAATAACCGAGTAACTTGTCAAAATTCCTTTGCCCAAAAAGTCTAGTCTTTTAAGTTGCTACGGTAATTACTACATTTGTTGGAGGTATTTAGGAGATGACAAATTCCTTGTGCATAATGAACCTTTATAAAGAGTATTCTAAGCATTCTAATTTTTTTAAGTTGCCTTTGATTTGCATAACTGATGTCTGAGTTCAGTGTAGAAATAAACTTGACTGGTAAATTCAAAGGACATGAGAAGACTGAGGAAAAAATTAAAAGTTCAAGACAAAAGGAAAGAATTGCCTTTTATAATATTTATATCTTCTACTTTTTTCGCTACTGTTTTCAGGATGTTAAATACTTAGTCTGAATTGCTATTCAGAGAACAGCAAAGGGAGTGAGAATCGTCATGTAGAACAATCCCACTGAGTTTAAACCTCCTGGTTTTAATTTATCATTGGGAATGAAACCATATTTAATTATTTATCATTGCGACATGTCATATGAGCAAAGGAATAAATTGTGCTACCATTTCTTAGTTGCATCCATAGTCAGTTGAACTAGATTCATTCACTGTCTGTAACTGGGGAGTTGTGGTGAGAACAGATTAGATACCTCTAACATGCCATGAGTCTATTTTATTTTATTTTTATTTTTAATTAATTTATTTTTTAAGACAGGTCTTGCTGTGTCACCCAGGCTGGAGTGCAGTGGTACGATCACAGCTTACTGTAGTCTGGACCTCCTGGGCTAAAGCAATCCTCCTGTGTCAGTCTCTCGAAGTGCTGGGATTACAAGCGTGAGCCACCATGCCCAGCTAATTCTTACTTGTATTTTATTTTATTTTACTTTACTTTACTTTACTTTACTTTACTTTACTTTATTTTATTTTATTTTATTTTATTTTATTTTATTTTATTTTTGTAGAGAGGAGTTTTGCTATGTTGTCCAGACTGGTCTCGAACTCCTGGGCTCAAGGAATCCTATTGCCTTGGCCTCTCAAAGTACTGGGATTACAGGCATGAGCCACTGACCCAGCCCTTAAGTCTTTTTTAGACACAAGTGAGCAGACAATTATGAGCCTGGAAATATTCCTTAATGAGGAGGAGAGCCAATGGGACAGTGACAAATAGGGCTAAGTCCATTACCTTGAGTATTACAGATCAACACTGCAGCCAGGATTCAATTTTCAAACAAGCTTCAGATCTGAGGTACTAATATTTAGGGGAGCTCCAGGAGTATTGGTGAGGACTCAAAAGAACTCCCTGAGAGCTGGTGATGAGAAAACAGGTTCAGAATCAGAAGACCCACTGCATGGGTGATCCCATCACTAGAGAATTGCAGAACATAATAAAAACCTAGCCACTGGGAAACTGAATGGCCATTCAGTAACAGAATAAAAGTCTAAATGTGTAATACAGGGTAATAAGGAAAACTGAGCATCAGGTAGCGAACATATTTACAAAGCCCACATGACCTTCGTCAAATAAATTAACCTCTGTATTCATTGCATGGGACACTAATAATAGTACTTACCCAAGAAGGTTTTCCTGAAGATTCATTGAGTTCATACAGGTGAAACTTAGAACAGTCCTTGTAAGTTTTCCGGAATTTTTGTTGTTGTTGTTGCTATTGTTATTATGTTGTTCTTGTTACAGGTGCCTGAAGTTAAAGTTGAGTCTTAAACTCTGGTTGTTTAAGCAATAAAGGCAAGAACAAAATTCTGAGACCAGCCTCACTCAGGAGCATCTCTGCTAGAACTCTTGCTCCTGCCTGCCATGACCAAAAATCGTCAGGAAATGTGGGGTCGAATTTAGCCTGAAGGTTTTTACCACATCTGACCCTGATTTCTCACTGAAACCATCAGCATTTTCATTGCTAATATTTTGCTGCATCTTCTGGATGCAACATTTAGTAGCTGTATGACCGTGAGGGAGTTATTAAACTTATCTGAGCCACAGAAATGTATTGCCTTCTCCTGTGACTTTGAATAGTGCTTTCATATTCCCAAATGTCTATAATCAGTAGAAAGTTCACCATTTGGTAAAAATAATAAGAGTCACTAAGTAAATTAGAAGAGGATTAAATGAAGTAACAAAAATTTTGAAAAGGTACAGCAGCAAAGTTGTTGTGTAATGGTAGGACTGGTTATGAAAAACAAAGGCAGTTATTTTAGGAGCAGAAACTAGCATAAAATGGGAATCTCTTTTGCATCTCCATTACTTTAAGAATCCTGCTTCCTCCTCCTAGAATTCCTTGCTTCTGTATAGTCATTGGGAAAATATCTGCTTATAGTTAAATACTTAGGTGAAGCTCCACCTCCTCCAGCAAGCATTTCTTACCCCCCTGATAGAGCTTGCTGCTTTCTCCTCTGAATCCTCCAAAAACATTGCTCATGTCTAAACTGAAGACCTTGCCACAAAGTGTCTACCATTGACTGTCAACAAGGCTCCTCCTCCACCTCATAATGTCCTCTCTTTGGTCAGGGTTTGGTGGTGGTGGTTGTCTTAACAGCTTTATTTGAGGTATAATTTACATATACACAAAATTTACCTGTTGGGATTGTATTTTATGTGACTTTACATCCTCAGCCTGCAAAATCATCCTGATCCAACACAGAATATGCCAGAACAAACCATTTTTGATGAATTATTTTATAACAAAGAAAAATACATGTGTGAATTTGTAAAACTGTATTCCTAGTAAGAAATTCTAAATCCAGCTTAATTGAACATATGTGTTTAATTCTTTTAAAAAATACATATTATCTAAAGAAAGATCATATTTTATATAACAGTAGTTATTTTTAGAAGTAAAAAATAGCCAAATTAATTGCATCTTATAAAACATGTTTAGACTGAAGGCTACATTAGAAAATTCTAACTGTATGATGTTCAAAAACTTCTTTTTTTAGTTATCATAAAATAAATACATTTGAAACTATGTCTCTTAATTGTGTTTATCTGAACAGTTACAGAATTCTGGAGATAGTTTCTTTGGAAACCTCATGGTATATACTGATGGGACACCCAGTCTATGAGGAAGAGCAGAAAAATCATGTATCAAAGCAGAACAATAGTACTTTTTTAATTAAGTAAAAAGTTATAGCTTGATTGAAGCATGGAGATCATTTAATATAACTAATGGAAAAGTAAAAGAGTGACAAAGTTAGTAAAGTGTTCAAGGTCACATGGTTTGTTGGCAGCGACAATGTTAAAAGCAGAGACGAATAGAATCACAGTGTTAATATTCACTGAAGATTATCCAGTTTAGCTACCCATCTGGTTATTGAATCCTCTCTCCCACATTCCTTTCAAGTTGTTGCTTCTATGTTTGAATACTGCCGGTAACAGGGAGTCATCTAGCCTCTGAGATAAAGTATTTAATCTTTGGATAAGTATTATACTATTAAAAGTTCACCTTTTGTTGAGAAGCAAGCTTTTCTTTGTAATTTCTACCTACTAGTCTTGATGTTAGCTTTCGAAGTCATCAAAAACAAGTCAAATATCTTTTAAATCGGAGAGACTTTGCTAGTTATTAAGGACAGATGATTGTTCCTTTTAACAAAATAAACTTTTATTTTGTGATGAATGTTTATTTTTTATCAAGATATATTATGTTCTCATTATTAAACAACAAAAAAAACCACCAATTACCCATATGTAACCTTTCTTAATTATAACTGTAGTTACCTCCTTTTTAGTGTAAGTTTTTTCATTGTTACAGATGCATTCTTACATTTAAAATTTTAACCATGACTACCACTTATCATAGTATGATTATTTTCCTGTGACAGTAAAATGCAATATGCATTATTTTAATACCTGAACATTTTTGTTAAATAAATATTCAGAACTTCATTGAATTACTTGACCATTATTAGCTTTTGAGTCTCTCTATTTTTTCCCAACAATTAATAGCAGAATTGTGTTTACTTTTATGCACATATTACCTGCCTTTTACCACACAACTCTAGCGTAAGTTCCTGGAAGGAGGTATTTCTAGGGTGAACAACTTGAACCTTTCAAAAGAGTGATACGCATATTTCCAATTTCCCTTCAGTTTAAGCCACCACCAGCAATTTATGAAGAAATTCCTTAACTGCATCATTTCTAGTATTGGGTTTTCTTTTGTCTGTAATCTGATCACATGGCACACAATAACTTTTATCTTATTGGTAGATTTCTAAGCTTTTAGAGGTCAGCAAAGTTGAATGCTTTGTCAAACATTTTCTACTTATATTTCCTTTTCTCCAAAGGGACTGTTCATTATACTCTTGGAATCTTAGTGGTTTTTCTTTTCTACTTAATAAACTCTTCTTTGTCATATGTATTTTGAATAATTTCCCTAGTTATTTTGTATTTTAATTTTGTGTGTTAGGTTGTAGTACTAAGCCCTGTTGTGGGGTAGGGGGAGGGGGGAGGGATAGCATTAGGAGATATACCTAATGTTAAATGACGAGTTAATAGGTGCAGCACACCAACATGGCACATGTATATATATGTAACAAACCTGCACATTGTGCACGTGTACCCTAAAACTTAAAGTATAATTTAAAAAAAGAATTTTTAAATGCTATGTATGCACAGGGTGCCTTCCACAGTCATTTCTCCAGTTTTTACTCTTCTCCATCAAAAGGATAGACTAATATTTATTTATATTTTCCTATCATTTTACGTGCTTTAATATTTAACTTTAAAATCTATTTAGAAAACATTCTCATGGTGCTACAAAATATTATTTTCAAAACTTCTAACCAGACGTCTCAACGTCACTTATTATTTTTCCATTCCTGACTCTAATTTGTCACGCTTCCCTGTTAATACACTACTCTGCAGTTTGTGTCTAATTACTTCTCTCGTCTCTGGCTTTTTCCCTCACACAGACACACAACACTACCACCACCACTGCAACAACAGCAAAAACAACGGCAATGCCTAAGCCACATAGTTTCTTTTCTTACATTTGCAATAATCTCCTAATTGGTATCAGTGATTTTATTAAAATAGAAGGATCACATATTTATCAAAAATTCTATATATGCATCCAAATTTAAGCATTTTGTCTTTTTTTTTGTTTGCACATCCACGTACACACACACACACACACACACACACACACACACACAAATTTAGAAGCCAGAGGTCAGTTACGGGCCACAGGATCTGATTGTGGTGGGAAACACTGAACATATTTTGCTGTTAAATAAGTCATTTGTGAAACAGGTGATTTTCCTTTCTTTGTCTAATCTTGTTAATGCTTATTTGTAAAATGTATTGCCACCCTCACCCACATTTCTTCTTAATATTGTTTTTCTTATGACAAGTTATGCCTTCATTGTAAACAAGACAAGTAGTGAGTCTTTAACACAGTGAAAGAAGTACAAGTGTTTCTGATGTAGTAATAACATTTATGCACGCGTTCTTGTTTTTACATCGTATATACATCTAAATATATTCCTAAAAACCTTCTAATTCTACAAATTATGCCAAATAATAGGGGCTAGGGGAAATAAGGATTAGAGCAAGATTACTCAAAATATGTTAAATCAGAGCACTAGTAAAAACATTAATAAACTAAAAAATGTGACATTTAAATTCCCATGAATATTGTGCTAGCATCAGAGTCTGTCATTATGGCATCTTAATCTTAGGGGTTAATATGTTAATGTGTCCACTTTCCTTGTAAACCCTTGATGAAACTCACTGGTTTATTGGCAGATGGTCTCTTAGTTTCCATGCTTGTATAATTGCTAATTAATCAGCAGTGAGAGTGATCTTTAAAATCAGAAATCAGATTATGTTATTACCTCACACAAAGCCCTTCTGTAACTTCCTATTATGCCTAGAATGAATTTCAAAGTCCTTGTCCTGAATCCTTTGGCTACAGTCTAGCTCTGCAGACTCATCTCTTCCGCTTTTTCCTTTAGTCATCG
This sequence comes from Homo sapiens, assembly GCF_000001405.40. NCBI lineage: Eukaryota > Metazoa > Chordata > Mammalia > Primates > Hominidae > Homo > Homo sapiens. The sequence continues at coordinate 37,791,916 of NC_000013.11, read as the reverse complement.
CACTCCTGCCAACTGGCCCTCTGTCATTCCCTAGATTGCATCCTGTTCCTCCTGCCTCAAAATTTTCTGGTTCCTTTAACATCATGATTTTTTCTGCACCTTTTCACATAGCTAGCATTTTATCATTTCTCATGTTTCAGGGAGACTATCCCTGTTCATCTGACCTCATGCAGGTCTTCATCTCTTCTCCTCCTGCAAATTTCTCCATCTCATCTTAAAACTTGTTTCCCTCATAGGATTTATAGAAATTTATAATTATTATGTTTGCTAATTTTCATTGGTTCCTTCCACTGGATCATAAACTCTGTGAGTGCAGGACATTGGTACTCATTCACCATGGTATTGCCAATGTTTGAAACACAAATCTTGACATACAGATATGTTCATTAAACATTTTACTCTATTACCCTTTCCTGAGCACCATGTATATTTCAGTGAGCAAAACAGACAAAAAAATCTCTTGACTATTTAAATAAGAGAAAACTTTTTCGTTTATCCTTTTTTTTTTTTTTTTTTTTATTGAGACAGAGTCTTGCTGTGTTGCCCAGGCTGGAGTGTAGTGGCACGATATCGGCTCACTGCAACCTCCACCTCCCAGGTTCAAGCGATTCTCCTGCCTCAGCCTCCCAAGTAGCTGGGACTACAGGTGCATGCCACTATGCCCGGCTAATTTTTTTTCATATTTTTAGTAGAGACAGGGTTTCACTATTTTGGCCAGGCTGGTCTTGAACTCCTGACCTTGTGATCTGCCCACCTAGGCCTCCCAAAGTGCTGGGATTACAGGTGTGAGCCACCATGACAGGCCTGTTTCATCTTCATACTTTCCTTATAGTGTACTTCTATGTCTAAACATGGTCTATAAGTAAAAAACTGAGGTCATATGCACTAGACTAATGTTATTCCTTCCTGCATTTAAATAATTTTAATAAGATATAAAATTACAGCTTCTGTTTTTTCTTCCCTATTTTTAAAGCAATACCTCTTTATATTATTGCCTCCAAATTTACTGTTATGAGGTATGATGTTAACCTGATTCTTTATATATTGAACTCACCAAATATGTCACCATACAAACTCCTACTAAAGCAAAGCTAAGTTCAATAGAACTTGCAACGGTAAAGAAGAGTGTCACCTGGACTGAATTTTACCATGTCACCAAAGGGGGGAGGATAATATACCGAGTTTTCTGGCCTGTGCTCAGTTGGTTTCAGGTTGATCTTTCAAGGCGGGAAAATGATTAGGATGAGGCAATTTTTGTGACCTAATAGTTTATGATTGGTGGATTTAGCAAAAAGAGACTTCTGAAGAGAGTCCTGATAAGTAACCTTATTTAATAAGGGAGCTGCTTGCCCAGGTAGGCAAATATTATCTCAGCTAAACAGACATGCAGAAATTTATTGATGTAAATAGTGATTATTTATATGCAAATAGTGGTTATTGGTTTACAATCTTATCTTTTCTGAGCAAAACTTTTAGGGAATAAACAACTAATTAATGTTGACATAGCTATTAATAAGTTGTGTGGTTGCAGTCTCATGGGGGATGTGCTATTTTCCCTCCTCCTTTAGAATATTTTCTGTCCCTAAGGGAGTTATTCTTACATGTCCAGTGTGACACTGTGAATTCTTTCTGATGTCTTATGCATCTTTTTATAACTATTAAAGTTGTTGGTCATTACTAATAAAAATAGTCCTTATACTCTATTATTTCATTTTTACTTTCTGCAACTACTATTTTATAGATATTGGCCCTTGTGTTTCTATTCTCTATTTCTATTAACTTTTATATTTTACAAACTGAGAGAGTTTCATGACCAGTTCACTGGTTAATTCTAGTGTTGTTCTACCAGCATCTGTGATTATTCTTAATGTTTTCTTATTCCTAAGTTTTTCTCCTATCCCTTTTTATAATTTTGTAGAGATTAATATGCATGTTTTATTCTCCTGTTATCTGGTACACTAATTCTACTTCTTCTGTTATAAGATACTCAAATTGCTTTCTAAGATGTCTTAATTTTTTCCCTCTGTGTTTATATTCCCCTGTAAACATCAGCAAATTACTAAAGTCTTGTGCCATTCTGAAGATTTTAGGAAGTAAAGATGAGAAACATGTTTCTGAGCCATGAGCTAGCCATGTGTTGATTTATACATTACAGTTATATTTCCTCATACAGCTGCCAAAAGCTTAGTAGTAAAGATGTGCAGAAAAGAAAAACAGGCAAAAAAAAAAAAGAAATAAAGTATTTTGCACAGGTGATTTGATAGCTTAACAGCTATTGACTGGAATTGCTAAAACAATTTTAGGCAAGTGGTTAAGACAATTTGACCCTATTTATTTAATCTAAAATGGCAGAGTAAAACTCTAAGAGTATAATCATTAATTCCTTGATTCACCTACAAATTTTGAATGCTGATGCAGAACTGTTTACTTCACAATCTCTTATATACACACCAGTAAGAAATGTTCTAAATCTAAGAGATCCACAGGGTTTATAAAGATGCATAAAAAAGGCTACATAACTGTGCATTGAGAGGAAGAAAAGAAACATCATCAGGGGCTATGATGCTTCAGAAAGATTTTAAAACCCGGCAGGAGTTGCTAAGTGCCCAAGGGAAGGAAAAGCACTCAGACTGTAAAGAGCAGTATAAGAGGCTTAGAGTTACAGTAGCCAAGTAGTTTGGTATTTTGGGCAGTGTAAAATAAACTTGCCTGGGACAGTCTTGGAAGCCAGATCATGGAGTAATCAGTATTCCATAATAAGTTTGTGTTTTACCTGTGAATGGTTATCAGCCTTTTAGAGACTATCAGTAAGAAAGTGATTTGATGAGATTTGCGTCTTAGAAAGATTAGGTATGTGGCACTGGGGAGGATAAACAGGAAGTATGCATGACTAAAATCAGTAACATCGTTTGGAAAGATATTGCTGTAGCTCGTGTAAAAGATGATGAACATCAACATTTTAGTGAGGGAATGCTACTGAGCCGTTGAAATCTTCCCAGTAAGACATAGAAATGATTGTTAATATTATTTAACTATAGTTAATTTACATTTAAATAGGCACATGTGACTAATGGCTACCATCTTGGATAGCAGAAGTCCAGATCTTAAGGGAGATGTGTGGTCTGGCAACGTAGATTTTATAGGATATTTTAAAACATATGTATGTTTTTCAGGGAACATTTTAAACAGCAAGTGATGATAAGAATAGGGAGAGTGATAGATAAAGGAAAGAGCCACAAGCAGGACCCTGGTCATATCAATATTTCAGCTTTAGACTGAAGAAAAGGAGTCTGTGGAAACCACTGAGAGAAGGGTCATGTTGAGGTAGGAGGTGGAGCATTAGGGAAGACTGGCAGGGAGCCCAAGGCAGGACCAGTTTCATTTCAGCAGGCTTGTCACCAGAACCTACTGAAAACTCGTAAGACTTGAAAAGAGCCAAATGTATTTGGCAACTAGGAGGACATGATTAAGAAAAATAAAATTTATCCATGATGAGGATAAACACCATGTTAGAGAGAATAAATGAGTAAATGGAAGATGAGCTTAAAGTTTATAAAATACAGAAAATCTGAGCTAGGACAGAAAGAATTACCAAAGATAATTACAATTTAAAAATAACAATGAGAATTAAGTAGATTTGTGACATGAAGGGAAGAAGGTTTGCAGAAAGGCTTTAGGTATGAAAGAGAGTGAAGGTTGGTATGAAATATTAGAGAAATGGGAATGGATGAAAGCTCAGACAGCAAGATTAGTAGCTAGAATGAGGAAAGAACATCTTTTCTTTTGAAATCAGAGGGAAAGAGTAATAGATTGATGCGTATTTTCTAACTCTCAGGGTGGAGTTTCAAACTTTGACTATTACACATTATTTTCTAAAAGATATGTTTTCTCAATCCCATGAGGTAAAAATCCAGCACAATAACATTGTTTGCCCTGCCTATACCATTCCCCTCGATATGTGTGTTTTAAAAATGGGAATATACCATTGCAAAGAAGATGAGAAAATAAAATTAAAAGGAAATTAAAATGGAGATAGCGCTTAGTTTTTTATGTGGTACTTGTTCAATCTAAGGGGCTTGAATTTTGAAAATAAGTATAATCTTGATTTCCATCTTTAAAATCCTAGGATAAAATGTCAAAATATTTTAGTAAAGTAGTTTTTGTTGTTGTTGTTGAGTAATGTAATCTTATCTTCATGGTTTACAGAAATGTCCCTACAACTTCTCAAAGAAATTTAGTAGTTCATTGCACTTTGACATCATGAAAACAAGAGAAAATTCATGTTAATTTTTGACTGGACTAAGTCACAAAACAGTTCAGTCATATGCAATATTTTTTATGTAACACTTGCAGCTACTGAAACGTATGTATTGTTTCTTGCCTAAGGAAATTAGAAAAAGATCTGGAATTCAGAGTGATAGCAAAAATCAGACCATTATGCTTTTATGTGGAGTATATGTTATGTGAAAGATTATTGAGATAATATATTAGAACAATATCAAGAAAAAATTCTAATCGGATTGCGTGTGAATGCACTATTTGGGGAAAAGTTATTTCATATTAGATTCCAGACAAAGTACAAATGCAACTTACATATGTGTGATAGTATCTTAATAACAAATAGGAGTTGTTTCTTACTGTGTCATGAGATTACATCCGTAAACATGTATCTTTTCACAGTCAACTAGGGAAGAAAATAAAATGTTGTTCAGGGAAATTCATTTCCTCTTTAGTAATACATACTAAAGAATGGAGATCTCTCTATATTAAATATTCCTTTCCTTTGTGTTCCTTGGAACTCAAATTCACTGTTCTTTCCACTATATAACTAAACTTATCCTTTAGGCAATATGCCTTCAGATACATATAAATATCTAAAATTTTTGGTTGTATATCTTTATGTTGCTTAGAAAACTGTAGTTTTCATACTTAGTGACGATTTTAATTTCTCTTTGGATCAATGTCAAGTTGTAGCTCTCTCTACCTTCTTGTTTCTTTTTAATCCTCAACACATTTAGGGGAAATAATTTTTATTTTTCATAAAAAATAACATCTCAGAAGTTGAATTATTTCCCCATCACTCCTCATCTCTTCCAAATCTTCTAAATATAATTTGACCAATCAGTCATTCCACTTCTGGTGTTATACAGGAGACATTGAAATGAAAGCATTCTTAAAATTCTGCAGTCTCATGGGGGAAGAAATCATTTCCCCTCCAAAGTTTATTCTAAAAGTGGAGGACCAGGAGCAATGTTTTATTTTGACATTATAGGTCAACATATTTGCAATACTGGGTCTCCTGTTCTTTAATAGCCTTTCTATCCAGTAGCAATTCCATAGATGATAAGTGTGTCAGCTCAGAGATTTCATCAGCCTTATCAGTGCCTGCTACTTGCTATTGCATTTATGTAGCACAGTTTTAAAATGTTAAACTTTATTGTTTTTGTCCTCCAGTTAGTATCCCCGCATCTCAAGTAATCAAGGACAAGCCCATGTGCTGAAAAATTATATGATCTTCCTTACTCCCTTATGTTAAGGTTTTAGCCATCAAAGTTGTTCTCTCTCTCTCTCTTTCTTCTCTACGTGTGTGTGTGTGTGTGTGTGTGTGTGTGTGTGTGTGTGTGTGTCTTTCTCCCTGTGAGTGTTTTTAGATTCCATTGTAAATATTTAAATTTTATTTATTAAATCTATTTACATTTTAAACATATTTAAAATCTGTCTAGACTTCCTAACATAAATTCTTATATACTTATTTCAAATCCAAGAGATTGAAAGAGGTCATAAAAGTTAACAAAAGATCTTTCTCAGCACCAATGCTTTCATTCTTAACTTCTCAGCCATTCCTTGGTAAGTGTTGATTTCATCACTTTGTGGATAGAGAAATAGATTACCTAATGCAAATATCCCTTACCTCCTCCATCTCTTAATTACAGTGCTGACTAAAATATGTCTCTTTTTTTGTGTAGTGTAACTCTTTTTAAAATGAACTTCTGTGGTTTACATTTGTGGAAGTTATCTGGATTAAATGAAATAGATATTAGTAAGCTTAATTTATTTTTATCTTCCCTCTTCCTCAAAGTTCTCCAGTAGCTTCTGTTTTGTCCACTAATCCCTATTGTCACTGACGTTCTGTACTTTGACAATGAGAAATAAAATGCTGTTCTCTACCTAATTCTTTATTTGATAGTATTATTAATAAAATTAACTAAATGAAAAAATAAAATAAATTAGTTTTTTCATTCTCTATCGTGAGTCTTAACCTTGATTGAATCATAATTCACCTGCAGAACTGATGTGTGCATGCATGTGTGTAAGTGCGTGTGTATTTTCATTTTAGCCTGTATTTTGGGTGAGCTACATTCAAACACCAGTCTCAAGCTAAAAATATTATTGGTAGGAAAACTTAAATTCAACTCTAAAATAAAAATTCATGTATTTTTCCAAGAATCATGGATAAGAAAGAACTGAGATAATAAAGGGTATGCATAATGCTGAAATTGAATATAAATACCAGTCATTATTATTATGAAACTTTTGGATGTCAGTCCTGATAAAATTACACTGTGAAGGTCATGGCATTGATCCCACACACTGTTATAGACTCTGACCTGGGAATGAGAAAAAAGGTGCCAAGGAAGGGAGTGTCAACCACCTTTCCAAGGCCAACATTGAATTGGCATCACTGATGCAAAAAATGGGGGCAATCAGGATCAGATAACTACAATGACATAGATAGAATCATAATCATCTTGCTTTAACTCAAGTTTTAGTGATATTGGGGGAATATTAAATTCTCCTTGATATTCTATAATATAAATGCTATTCCTGTTATTCTAGAGTGAGTTAAAGCATCCCCACAATACTAAAGTTATAATCAGCCCTCAAGCAAGTAAGTAATTTGCACGTCTAAAATTAATACATATTGAACACTCACTTTTTGCTTAGTCTGTGAAGGTAGCTTTACAAAATACTATGTTTAATATGCCAGAGAGATACCAGTTGTGAAATAATAGTTTTTCATATTAGCTCTTAAACACCTAGATACTTTAGAAATCATGATGAATTATCTGGATGTCAAAGGGTAAAAATTAATTCCTTGATAATTAAAATAATAAATTGAGGTAATATGCAAACAATGTAAAATTTCCCAAAATAAAAATATTATTAAATATAATCATATTTGTTAATGTAATTTATGTTTAATCTATGGTTAAAACATTATACAAATCAAATTCATTTACTCATAAAATGATTAGGGTTGAAAAGATCATTTAAAAAGAATATGCATGTTTAAGTACCTAGAACACCCTATTCATTTTAATTTTGCAGAGCAAACATATCCAAATAAATATGTGAGTTCAATTTCAATAACATAGAAAAGTAAAATAGGTTAGATAATAAGTATGCAAGAGGAACTAACAGCAACAAAGAAATCATACTCAAGATGTAATACTTTTTTTCTATGAATCTCTATCACTAGGACGATACCAGATCAATATAGCTTCCAGTACCTTTGTGAATTTATTGTAAGATGAGCTTTCATTTACTTGAATTAATTTTCTCATATTCAACTATATCCTTACTTTAACTTCTAAATAAAAAAATTATAATGAATACATTCCTGCCTTGTGGTTTATTGTTATTTTTTAAAGGCAGTAGAATGAAGAAAATAACATTTTTATAATAAATTCTCTCTCCATTTAATCCTTTCCAAATCTTCTTCTGGAAATTGAATTGCTTAGACTCATCTTGATGATTAATATTCTCAGTACATGTCTTTCCCCCTCAATGAACTCACAGAGAGAAAAAAATATAATTATGTTCATTGGGCTCAGTATATTTTATTGACATTAATGTTGTTAATTTACATTAACTTTGATGTCACTACTTACTAGCATTAAGTATAGAGGGCAGGGCACAGTGGCTCATGCCTGTAATTCCGGCACTTTGGGAGGCCAAGGCAGGTGGATCTCTTGAGCCCAGGAGTTCGAGACCAGCCTGGGCAACATGGCAAAACCCTGTCTCTACCAAAAAAAACAAAACAAAACAAAACAAAACAAAAAACAAATATATGACAAATTAACAATATTTTGCAAACATAATGGTATTACATAATCTCAATAGCGTTTCCACAATTAGAAAAATTGACAATGAATTATATATTTGAATATCCTTGGTCTAGTTTTGAGATCTCAAAAATATGGCCTCTGATACTCAAAGTGATTGAAAACTATATATAATTACGATAAACTTTGTAAATAATTTCCAAAACTATAAATGCATTCTCTGATAAAATTCACTTTCAGAGTAACTTTTTAAATAGTTTACCAAATGTTAATCTCTTTTTATTTATTTTAAAAGAAAACTTTGTTTCCACATAATTGAACAACTATTTAGTATTTATATTGTTGAAGAAAAAAAAAAACCTTAACTCTTAATAGTTACTAATAATGGTATTGTTGTTATTGATATCACTGTGAGTTGGAGAAGTATGATGCTTAACAATTTTAAAAGCATATTAACACTAATCTTTGTGTTTTTTGTTTCTACTTTCAGAGACGAAGAAATAGCATGGCATGAAACATGGCTCAGTTCTATTACAAAAGAAATGTTAATGCTCCCTATAGAGACCGCATCCCTCTAAGGATAGTAAGAGCAGAATCAGAACTCTCGCCATCAGAAAAAGCCTACTTGAATGCTGTGGAAAAGGGAGATTATGCCAGTGTCAAGAAATCCCTAGAGGAAGCTGAAATTTATTTTAAAATCAATATTAATTGCATTGATCCTCTCGGAAGAACTGCTCTCCTCATTGCAATTGAAAATGAGAACTTGGAGCTCATCGAACTACTCTTAAGCTTTAATGTCTATGTTGGAGATGCTCTATTACATGCTATCAGAAAAGAAGTCGTCGGAGCTGTTGAGCTGTTATTGAACCACAAAAAACCTAGTGGAGAAAAACAGGTACCTGCAAAAATACAGTTTTTAATTTATTTTACCTGCAGAAGGTTTTTTGTTTTTTCTTTTCTTTCTTTTTTTTTTTTTAGATTTTCAAATGCCCTGAAAATTTAAGAAATATAAGCTTCAAAATCTGAACTATATTATAACAGAAAACTACTATTAGGTACACCCTTCATGTCCTATGATAGTTACGTCCACTTGCATTTCCTGCCCTGGAAAATCATAAGTAATTGTGAAAGCTAAAGCAAAATAAAGTAATTTAAGTAGACTGCTCATAAATTGGAAACATTTCTATGTAATGCTCAACATAGGTTGCTCGTAACTTTATGTGTATGTGTGGGTGTTTTTCCTCTTGCCTTTCATTTTCTTAATTCTACCTTATCAGAGGGTGAATTATTTTGTTATTTTCCTATTTAACCTGCTTGCCTGTTCTGGGCTTCTGCAGCTTACTGCAAAAGTGAGTTGCACCATCTAATTTTGATATTATCCTTTAACAAACTCTAGTAGATTCTTTTAAATTGAGACTTAAAGAAAGAAACAAAAAGGATTACTATGAGATAGCTGAACTCTGACTGTGGGCTTAACTACATCAACTTTACTGATGGTGCAAATGTAGCTATACCTTATAGGTATCAACAGAAAATAAACTAAAATGGCACACAATTATAAATACAATGTGTGTTTTTCTCTTTCTCTCTGTCTTTTTCCACTAAGGAAGTGGAGACATCATAGACAGGAATGAATAAGGAGTCTGTTTTTGTCTGTCTGGACTCTTCCCTTTGTAACTGCCTTGTGTCTGAATTATCTATTTGATCCTTTTTCCTTTCACACTGTACTCGTCACTTCCTTGCATCAAGGCTAATTGACTAACTGCAAAGACACTGCAGATTCTGCAGCGGTTCAAAAATCTGTCTTTTAAAGTAAAATCTTATAAAATGGATGTTATTTTAGCTCTAGCAAATTCTAGCCTATTTGATAATATACACATCTCGGTCTCTGCAAACGCTAGACTGTTAGGAGGTGTGACATTTTTTTTACAAGCAAGCTCTCTTTGCTTTCCTAGAGGACTTTTATCAGAATCTTTGCCATTATTAGGAAAAGAACTTTATAGCTGAGTGTCCCTGTCTGCTGGGAAAAGCCTGTGTTTTTATGGTCCCTTTTTTATGTTTCATCCCCATTCAACCCTTCCCCTTACTTGAACTAAGACTTTGATAAAACAGCACTCCACAGCAACAATACTTTTCTGCTTGTTGCTTTGCTGGCATTTTGTTGTTTCTTTCATAAACGGTTGTTTGTGGATTACTCTCATTATATTGGTAAAAGTTTACTGCTACAAAAATTTGCTTGTTTCTTGTATTCTTTCAAACGTGAACAAGCCTTGATTGGGGTAGACAACTAATAGTAATATCCAAAGACACATTTCATGTTATATACCAGTCTTTCACCACTAAGGAGATACAGAACACAGACAGGAATGAGTAAGAGTCTGTTTTTAATCTGTGTAAGTTTAGGTGCTACTACTTAAGTCTCCTTGTGGTACTGAAATTCTTTCCACAGCTGTACCTCTCAAGTATTTGCATTTTCTAATAGCAATGATATTATATTGTACACTCTCTTATTTTATGTCTATATAGGCAACCATAAGACAGATGTTTTGGCTGTGATGTAAATCATTTTAGATTGCAGCAAGACTATAGAATGAAACTGCCATGGAACATGTTTTTGATGTTTATTACTAAAGAACCTTCTTAGTTCTATTTTCTAGAGAACACTGGCCATAAATTTCAGTGTCTCTTTAGTCAATGACATTTGTACTGACCAGAATAATTTTGTGTCTGGAGAAGATGTCTGCTATTATGAGAGTGTTTGTTGGAAGATGTTCAACTTCTGAACTAAACTCTAGCCTCACAAGTAGGTCCTGGCTCCTTATAGGCATTTGATCTGGATCCTGATTATTAATAAAAGGCAGTCAAGGTTTGCCATCTGCCAGGAGTCTGAAATTTCCCAGGCCATGTGTTTCTGGAAGATTTCTCTTATATCAGTCTGCTGGCCAAGAATTCCTTTTCTATTTGTACATTCTAGAATTCCTCTTCAGTGAAGGCACCGAGAATAAACAAAAATTGTATTATTTTGTTTGAACTTTATAATTTTGAAAGAGTAATTTCAATCTCCCTCAGAATTCTTGGTATCTTGCACAATGAAAACTGAAGTTTCAGCAACATGAAACGTGCATAGCACACAAAGATGGCCTCAGTGCTTGGGCCGTATCAAATCCCATTAGAGCCTGGCTGTTTATTTGTGATTTTCTTTGGTAATTCATTTCCTAAGGAAGGTCAACATCTTTTGGAATGACAGTTTTCATAAATCACTGTGTTGTAAGTAGCAAATATGTCCTTGATAGGACTTTTTTCTCTCATAAGGTGTAATTCCTCATTCTTGTGATCATTGAAAGCCATTTGTGTTTTATTTTAATTCACCTAATTTTCATACTCATGGTATGCCCAAAGATTCTGGGACACGTCATCATTCATTTTATTGAGGTCATTGAGGCCAAATGATAAAACCTGAAAACAACAATATCCAACTGAACAAAATAAATGTAACATCCTAAAATGAGTTAAGAAAGAGGTTCTAATAAAAAGAAAAAAAATCCAAATCTGATTTTTAGAACACTTAGTAGTTTTTAAATGTGAGAAATGCATATTCAAAATATACTCTTTCAGAAATTTGTCACATATTAACTTATTTCTCTGGAAAAAGAAAGATTTCATAGTCATCCTCAGGTCATGGGAGCTGTGAGATTTCAGATGAATTTGTCTACACTTAAAGGCTTTCACAGGGGAACAATTTCCAGATGCCTGCTCTGCCAGGCCTCGTCCTGGGCCCTGAGGAGGAGACACCGTTCCTTTTCTCGAGAGTCCTAAGGTCCGATTGTGAATACAGAAAAGAAAAGTATCATGGGAATATGAATAAAGGCTGTCAGAACTGAAGAGATGAAAATGAATCCTCAGAAAATGATGAAGTTAAATCATCTGGATTTGGCAAACACAAAATGTTAGTGGGTAGAGGGCTGGAGAAGGGCTTGAAGGAAAAAGGGGAAGAATGTTGATAGGTTTATACCTTGAAAAAATTAACACCATTAACTGAGATAAAGCCTATAAGAAAAGACTTATGAGACCAAATTGGACATGCGTAGTTTTTTGATTTGTTAGTATTAATACCTAGGAGTTAGTTAGAAATGTTGGATTTAAGAATGGGGTCTGGGATTGTTATGTAGATGATAAGGAGGACATTGAAGCAAATAAAATCACCTTATCTTCCTGCAGTTCTGACATTGGTTTTCTTTTTGACCTTATACATGTTTTACAGATTTGTGATTTTTAGTATATTAAATGATTTTCTCAATGCAGCATGTAATGAAAAGATGCAGGTCTTTCCAGATAAATAGATGGGTATAGATCATTAAATATTTTCTTTCATATTTAAGGTAGTCCTTCATAAATCAGGGTATTGAATTTAGTTGGGTTTTTTTTTTTAATGAGAAGAGTAATAGCTTATTTCTTTCCCATAGGAGACAGCACAGAGAGCCTCTGATTCTCTACACTAAGCAGGAATCATTGCACTGATAGTCTCTGATGAATTTACTGAACTTGGCTTTAACCTTCTTGATACCTTATTTCTCTAGAGGGAATAACTGAGAATGACTTCTTAACCCTCATTTCAGTCCATTGATTGGTAACTTGACTTTTCATTATTTTTAGCAGAGCTTAGATGTCTTCTAAGTCCAGATTTAATTTCAGTTTCAGCTGCTTCAGTAAATGTTTATCAGAAGCAGACCTTGCTTTTCAATTTTTTTGTTAGATCAGTGGTTGTCAATCTTTAGCATCGTCACTGGAAAGGCTTGTTACAACACAGACTACTAGGACCTACCTGCAGAGGTTCTGACACAGCAGGTCTGAAGTGAGGCCTTGGGATTTGTATTTCTAGTGAGTACCCCAGGTAATGCTAATGCTGCCAGTCTAGCAACAGTGCTTTGAGAACCACTGATTCAGAGGATGTTGCAGGTTGTAGAGAACCTACAGCTGTATATTTTATGTTAGATGTCTCATACTATACTATGCTAACCTGGTTTTCAGGAAATTTTGACTCATTCCCTTAAGTACTAGCTGTTAAGTGGTATTTAATATATGAGAGTTTCCCAATTTCAGTAACATCCTTATTATGTATTCCCACTTTGGAAAAAAAGACTTTGCTATACATTATAAACAGTGAAGATTCCAGAGTGATTAGCTGAAGAAATTTTGGTTTTAAAGTTCTACTAAAAATAATGCAGGGTATTTTATAATTGGGAGGATTCTTGGAGATCAACCTAATCAATCACCTCATTTTACAAAGGAGGGACAGGAAAGGGGACTCAATTGTGCAGTGGGTTGGCCAGACTGAAAAGACCTATAAATTAATAGCTAGCAACCAACCTTGATATAGTCTGGATAATAATAAAAATTGTATGACAAAAAATAACAACAATATTAATACTAGATGATATTCACTGAGTTTGTCACCATGCCAGTAACTGTGATTAGAATTTTACTTGTTTTATCTCACTTAATCTTTATATTATCCTATGAAAGTAGGTCCTATTGCTATCTCCACTTACAAATGGGGAAATGAAAGTATTAAAAGGCTTAAGTGACGTAATAATATGTCCCAGATCACAAAGCAAGGAAATACCAGTGCTGGAACTCAAGAGTCTCTGAAGACATATGCTGGTCTGGCTTTAGCCACTGCATCGATTTGAATGGGTGTCATTTAAATCATTAATTACTTATTTGAATTCAGGATATGAATTAGACAAATTTTAAGAAGTCTCTGGATGTACACATTCAGACTGTCTCTATCATGAATATTATAATGCCATTTATAATTTTGTTGCCCAATAAATATTAATTGTGACCCCAGACACTCCTTACCATGGTGTTGCACTAAGAAATAACAAAGTCATTAGAAGCTGTGAAGTGCTGGGAAAGAGCACAGAGTGAAGTGAAGTGACAGCAATGCTGGCTTCCAGTCCAGTTCACCACTTACTAATTGGACAAGTGTCTGAATCTCTCTGAGCCTTGGTTTTTTCTTGGCTGTTAATCAGGCCTGTGGTCTGAATCTTACCTACTTCTCAAAGTCTAGTGATGTTCAAATTCTGTAAAAGTGTTTTTATAAGGTATCATGTAATAATAGTGTTGGCATTATTACTGTGTTATGCCATTATCTCTGTCTTCCTATTGACAAACAAATGTACAAATAACACAAATATGTGAAAAGATTAAGCATCAGCAATTTACCCTCTAGAGTTCAAGACCTCTTTTTTCATTTGAAAAATGCCACCATTGTTGATATGGTGTGGCTCTGTGTCCCCACCCAAATCTCATGTTGAATTTAATCCCCAATATTAGAGGTGGGAGCTGGTGAAAAGTGATTGAATCATGGGGTGATTTCTAATGGTTTAGTACCATCTCCCTAGTGCTGTCCTGTGATAGACTTCTCACAAGATCTGGTTGTTTGAAAGTGTGTAGTAGCTCCCCCTTCACTCTCTTTCTCTCTCCCGCTGCCGTGTGAAGACATGCTTGCTTCCCCTTCACTCTTCTGCCATGATTGTAAGTTTTCTGAGCCCTCCCAGCCATGCCTCCTGTATAGCCTGTGGAACTGTGAGTCAATTAAACCTCTCTTCCTTATAAATTACCCAGTCTCAGGTAGTTCTTTATATCAATGTGAGAATGGACTAATACAATTGGAAACAGAAACCCAATTCAGGGAGAGCAAAAGAAAGTATATTTCAGTTTACTTATTTTCTTTCCACCTCAGTGCATATAGGAGATTTTTTTTGACATATGTAGTTTCAGTAGATTTGTTAATACAATTGTGTCTTTAGAAACATTGCCTGTTATGTGATCAGAAAATCAAACAGTCTGAAGTAAGATATTGGTACTAGCATGTTAATGCAAATATATAACCCAAAATATACACTGCTGAATAAAAATATAGAAGATTCTTAGTCGATATGGATTCCAGTAAATATATTACTGTCTACTGGACATAGAAATATGTTCTTTAGACAAATCTAAATTTTTTGGAATGAATCCACTTACTGGCTGTTTCAAGATTCAGTTACCCTGAAAAACTTCACTTTTAACTCTTGTATTCATTGGGTTTTCCACATTGGGCTTTGGAACAAGTCTGCAATCGCATGAACTTTATATGGTAATTATTAAATGACATTGTATACCAAGACAGTCTATAAACTAACTCATAGAGCCACCCTCTAAAGAATGAAAACATTTTAACTTCTTTGTGGTTAACCCAATTGAAATTACTCCTTTCTATTTGTTTTTATTATACCCTGTTTGAGGTCAAATCCTGGATATTGACAGTAAGTGAGCCTCAAGTGAGCCTCAATATATGTGTAACCATAACTTAGGTAACATCAAAATTCAGAGAGAGAGAGAGCTAAAGAGAGCAAAAGAATAAGAGTTATAGTATAGTATTAAAGACGCTCATTTCTCCCCATAAAATACTTATCCCATATTGAGACATAGCTAGATGAGTTATCAATTATGTTTCTTTATATATCGATTTATCAATAGGAAAGTTTCTTAGACTATTTTCTTATTCTGCCGTTAAGATTAAAAAGCTGAAAAGGATCCCCAAATTTGATATTTTCAATGTAGTCAATATAAACAAATACTTTGAATGTCTAAAAATTAAATTGAATCTTATTAGTCCACAGCAGGGAGTTTAAAGGCTGTTACAGAATAGAGCATAGATTGTGTTTAGTCAGCTGGCAAATGGCAGTCATAAGAGACCTGAAAAATTCTCTCCTGAAAGAAAGAATTCTTAAAAGATGGATCATGCTGCACTATTAGTATGATAAAGTGGTTTAAGCTACTTGGCTATTCTGACTCATATATTAATACATCATTTAACCTCCTTAGTCTCATTGACATGGTTTTTGTCTTGAAGACCAGCAAATTATAGGTAAATAATCGCTTTGAAACATGTTCTGTTGCTTTTTCCTCTCAGCACAACATACTATAAAAGCAAAAATATTAGATATATTTGGAACACACAGGAGTGAAAGGCATTTACCACTCTCAAAAAAAAAATCAGATAACACAAAACAAAAAAGCCACAAGTAATAAAACAAACCTCTAAGTGTTTAGGGATTTTTATTCCACAATATGAAAATACAGGATGAGGCTCTTCTTCTCTATGTTTAGGTAGAGAAACTGAGTCATGTAGTCTCTTTAGGTTGGCAGGAGTGAGAGAGAGAGAAAATGTTTAGAGAGAGAGTTTAGAGAGAGAAATATTTAGATATTAATCTTGTCTTATAATCTCAGAAAAATTATTTAGTCCTTTGAGCCTTGACTTTATCATCATGGATGCTGGGCTAATACCTAGGTGATGGGGTGATCTGTGTAGCAAACCACCGTGACACACGTTTACCTGTGTAACAAACCTGCACATGTACCCTTTAACTTAAAAGTTGGAAATTAAAAAAAAACAAATAAATAAAATAAATAGCAAAAAAATCTAAACAAAAGAAAAAGAAGGGGATTACGGCTGCCAGTCACCAGGTTCTATGCCTAGCATTGAAAGAGCATGGTAAATAGAAAACTCTGATACCATTTGAAAGTGATTATATTCTTACCCTAAAGCACTTTATATTATTATATTTGATTAAATTAATAATGCATGTGTGCATTGAAGAGGCTAAATATTCCTCAAAGCAAATACCCTGTGAAGTTTTAGTGCTAGTATAAAGAATGAGTTTACATTAAAATAAGAAAGAGACAAATGAATCTTTCATACGTGGGTTTTGTCGAAAAGATTTTGTGGGGTCATTTTATTAGAGCCCTCTAATCCATTATTAACATGATTAAATCTAAAGTTAATAGCATTATGTTTCAGTGAGCAGTATATTAATTGAATTTCATTAACCATAATACTGAAATATTAATCATTTAGGAATAATAGTAAGTCATATAAACACTGTAATTACTTGAATACATAACATGTTAATATAATTGGGAATTATGAAAATACATATTATGATTAGAAGGCTCAGTAACTGTTTTCAACATACCCTTTCTTTCTGCCTGCTATATTCACTTATTCCCTGATTACAGGCAAAATGAGTATCATTTTGTTATCAAAACACAAGCAAACAAGGATACAGGTAATGCAGAATTTTAAATGTTCTTTTTCTCATAGAGTAGAACGACACACACTGGGAAATATCGAAAAGTAGAGGGTGAGAGGAGGGACAGGATCAGGGAAAATAACCAATAGGTACTTGGTGTAATACATGGGTAATAAAATAATCTGCACAATAAACTCCCATGACACAAGTTTACCTATGTAATTATCTCCACTTGTACCCCAGAACATAAAAGTTTAAAAAATAAATAAATAAATGTTCTTTTCAAGAATGAGTTCTTCAAGCACCTAAAAAGAGTGTTCTTATTTTCATTATCACAATTTATGTTTTATACACTCGTTTTTTAATCAATTTCTAAATATGTCAAAGTTCCAAGTCTCTATTGTTTGAGTCATTTATTAGAATCCTTTGACAATAATTTTGTACTGTAAGCTTTGAGTATGTGAGAACTGACTTACAGAATACAGCTTTCTGAAGGAATGCTAAAACCCACCCAGAAGGAGTGGGTAAGAGAAATTTATAGTTGTAAATTTGTCAACTGGATGTATAATCTCTCTTCCCTTAAAAAAGGTGATAATACGTAAGTGGAGTGGGCTTAACTTTGCCTAATACTCATCTCCTTAATTGCAACATCCCTTTTTGATTTCTGGAGTCCCTGAGGGAAATTATATACATTCATTTGACTTGGAGATATAAGTTTAATCACTAAGCAACACTAGTACCATTATATATAAATGTGAATTTTTGACACATTAATATTTGGATGAGTAAAGTAAAAATTAGAAATAATTACACATTTATTTGGACTTTATATGTTATGTATTTCCCACTCTCCAAAATATCAGAGAATTCTCAATTAGCAATATATTGAATAATTTTCTTCAAAACATAATACATAATTTCAAAAAGCAAACAGACCAAAGTGAATTGTAAATATATTTCAATATTTTACCCTAGTCACCTTAGGTCACAATAATAAAAATTGCTACCAAAAAATTCAGTATTACAATTTATCAAGCATTCTCTTAAGATCATTCTAGATTGTTATCTTATTTAAACCTCATAACAACCCTTGTGGTAAGTTCTTTCATTATTGTCATTTTAAAAAGAGAGGTGGACTTCCCCAATGCCACTATAAGTAACTAAGTACTTCAACTGCCATTTTTCTCCCTCCAGCACCATGTGGGTACTGCTAAGGAGTTGCAGAGTTCATTCTTGTTGACCCTAGTAGCAGCCTTCGAATCTTTGTTGAACACTTGTTTAAGCAGTCACTACTAAGTAACAGGGGTTCAGTAAGTGAGGAATAAATGCATGTGCATGAGTGGGGAATACAGAAAATGTTTTCTTTGACTGTTTGGTATGTATTTTCACATTTATTTGGTAGATTCCTTCCACGTATATTGAACTGTTATGGATAAAAAAATTGCGGCTCAGAGAGATTAACTTGCTCAAGTGAGATTTGAGTGTAGGTTTCTCTGTTTTCCTGGCTTTTATTCTTATTTTGCCAAATTGCCTGGATATTTTGACCCTGACATGTCTAGAAACCTAAGCTCTTTTGAACAGGTCTAGAAGTAAAACTTGGCCACCAAGCAGTATAGAGAGTTCTTTCCATGCTTTTGATGGAGCAAGTGTCCTGAAATTCCTTCAGCCAGAGGCCCCTGACTGAATCTTTGCCCCTGACTGAAGCTTGAGTGCATTAAGTTACTGATTTAACAAAACTGGTTATCTGATTTTCTCAATTCCTCTTAGATTGTTGTAGGAAGAGACTGGCAGTAATAAGGGAGACACTGCTGGCACATTGAGAAATTTCTGGGAAGGGGGAGGCGAGAACAGCACATTCACGAGAGTGTAGGAGATTTAATGTCAAGCAATGCACATTTCAATATTACCCTGTTGGGCGGCCTGATGCAGCAAGTTGACAGACTCTGGGAGGGGCCCATTTCTAAACTGAAACCTGACAGCTGAGACTCTGCAGAAATAGATCCCGCCATCCATGTTGGAGGCAGTTATTTGGCAGATAACGTGAACCCTTTTTTGATATAAATTATAAAATATGACGTGATATGATATAAATGATGAAGTTAAACGTCCCTCTTCTTTACTACCATTATAATCATATCCTATACGCCTCCTCATACTCTTAGAATATTATGTTGAAAATATGTTTTACTTTCCTCCACTTTGTGAGCTTCACAATACCAGAGGGTATGTGTATATATGCATATACATACACAAATATATTTATATATATATACACATGCAGACACACATGAATATGTATGTATCTTACTGATTTATCCATCTGCAATGACATAGACTTGATTTATAGTAAAATTGCAATTCTTCATTTCCCTCCCTCTCCTCTCTTTAACGTTTGTTCATTGGGGTAGTCCTCTTAGGCTTTGCTTGGGCATGCTTTCCCCCAACTCTTTTTGACATTTGTTTATTGGGGTGGTCCTCTTAGGCTTTGTTTGGACATATTTTCCCTCCCACTCTTAGGTAATAGATGTAGTAGCCCCAATTCAAAGTTTTATCTTTTCCTTTCCATACACTAACTGTGTGTGTGAGAGAGAAAGATTTGGGAAGTGAAGAGAATCCAGTGAGAAGTTTAGGGGAAATGAGAATCCGTCAAGCATAGAGTTTCCAATTGCTGTTGTAGCTTTCAGGAAGTCCATGGTCCTGGTAAACCTCTCAGGCTTGATTTGACGTGCCTGGGCAGACAGTAATTTCTCTCTCCTCCTTGGGAACACAGCTGCCCCCTAGTCCAACTTCAGTTGTCTACAAAGAAATCCTCCTCACAAGTCCACCCTTACCTCTATTGTCTCCATGCTATATACTCTTGAAGCATTGTGAACTCTGGAATCTGTCATCAATTGTATCTGGTACCTGTAAAAATTTCAACTTTCATACTCTGTTATCTATATAAGGAGCTCTCACCTCTTTAACAAATGTTGGATTCCTTTTTTTCTTCTACATATACCCAACAGATTTCCTAATACATGGTATGTGCTCAGTAAATGTTGGCTAAATTTAATAACAAGGACTCGAGACTCCACAAAGACTTGCTGATGGTCTATTATTAATTTTTCTATTTCTTAGGTTATAAAATGAATCTTACCAATCAAAACTTGTTCTTTATATCTGCTTTCTTTCTGTAGCTCACACACACACACACACACACACACACACACTCATGCACACTATACCTTCATAAAAATAATGAAAAAATGAACTGCTTTTCTTAAAATCATAGATAGTTTCTTAGGTTTGGAGGAGATTCTAAAGGTTATCTGGAACAATCACACATACAGTGTCTATTATTCATGCTCAGCATTCTTGATATATTAATAGAATCACTCTCTTCTGCTCCCTCTTCAATTTTGCTATAGCAGAGCAGCAAGGGAACAACCTAAGATGAGAGAAGTAGGAAAGTGAGGACAAGGGTTTTGGTTAGCAAAGTTTCAATAAAGGATCATGTATTTTCTCATTTCTTCTTATAACTTTAAAATTTCCTTGGTTGCCTACTGTGATCAAAATCTTGTTAAAACATACTTACAAATGAGCTCCTGACCTCAAGGAATCTAATTAGCAATCAACTGCAGTTTTAGGGTAAATATAAGTAATTATGCTTAACATGCACCCTCACTTTTTTCTGTTTTCTATACAATATTGGTTTCCCAATTGTATTCACATCTATCTTTTGTGAGAGTAGGCTAATAGCACCTAATACCTAATAAATAGCCATATCAAATTTTGTAAGACACAGAAATTAAAGTAATTCAACATCAATAAAAGAAGATATAGACAAGTACCATTGTGTTTCTGTGAAGATGGTAAAATTGTATTAAAAATAAACTATTTCGTGGTTTGGGGAAAAGTGTAGTAGATTGTCATATTAGGCGGATAGTCCATTGCAGAATACGATACACGCTTCATCCTGAATGGAATCAATACGAAATATTTTATTATGCACATATATAACTATTAATTCTATCAATAAAATGCTTAAACTTTAAAAATGTGTATTCGATAAATTAATGTTAAATGTTGCTAATTCATATTTCTCTTGCATACTTTATCCTAGAACATCTGAACTCATTAATCCTTTATCATCTGAAGAGCTTTTGATTCCCCTGACCTCAACTTAAATTACCAGCCTTAAGAAAGTATAGATCTAGCTTATTCCATTTGGTGCTTTT
This sequence comes from Homo sapiens, assembly GCF_000001405.40. Lineage (NCBI taxonomy): Eukaryota > Metazoa > Chordata > Mammalia > Primates > Hominidae > Homo > Homo sapiens. The sequence goes on along the minus strand of NC_000013.11, from coordinate 37,770,550 downwards.
ATGCTAAATTTAATGCTTGGCTTGGTGGTAATATGCATTAAATCAAGGGTTTCAGAAGCACCTGTTTTGGATGAATTTTCTCTTTACTGTATCATGTTCTATTTATTCCCAACTTAGTCTGCCTGATTCTCTCAATCAAAAAGCAGAATCAATGTCTAACCTTAAAATCAGAGATAATTAAAGTGCATTTTGACATCACCTTTAATGTGATGTCACCCCATTCTCCTAATACAAAGTAACTCCTGGAGTCATCACCTTTTACAGATATGTGGAAAGTGAAGCTTAGAGAAGTTGAGGAAATTTACCAAGGACTACTGAGATTATTAGTCCTTGAGTCAGGCCTGAAATTCAGTCATATTTATCATATAAATTTTCAGTCATATTTGTCATATTTATCACTTTAGCCTCAATCATAAAGACTTTATGAAACAGGAAAAAATATAAATAAAACTAAATATTTTGAGGTTTGTTTTATATAAAAGGAAATATTTCAGGGTTGAAAATGATCAGGTTTGGAATCTAGAAAAATATGGATTCAAATCCTGGCTCCACGACTTACTATTTGTGTAACCTATTTAACCTGAAACAGAAAATGGCTATATTCCACAATTATTGTGAGTATTAGAAATTAGAAAAAATTCATGTAAAGTGCCTAGTATATTTAGATCTGGTTTAATGTTATTATCGTCATGATTATTAATTTCAGAACGAAGTACACCAGTTTGATCTATGTCTAAAGATTCACATTTGTGTCATGCTTTCAGGTTGTTAGGATCAGACTTAAAATATGCTGATGCAGAATATAAGAGACAAACTTGTTGCATTCTGGTGATGAAATCTCTGAGGATAGGCTTCTAGATACCTGCATAGTGGTTAGGAGGGTGTAAATCTGTGAATGATTCCCTGGAGCCAGGAAGCATGACCCTGAGCTAAAAGTTGTCTAAAAGTCAGGAAAAAGGAAATGCACCAGGATTATAAGACAGCAAAGTTTGAATAAACATAATCTAAACATATTATAAATCACCAAACAAAATGTAGCCTTTCTCTGAATAGAGAAAGAGAAGGAAAAAATCATGATAAAGGGAAATAATCAGAGTTAATCCCATAGAATAATATACAGGTTCCCTTAGGGATATTTTAGGAAGGATGTTTTCACCAAAGACAGAGCATTGAAATTCAGTATTGTCAATGTAAGTGTGGGATCGATGTTCACCTGTTGTCCTATCTTTTTTTAATAAATGAGGTAAAGCAGATAGCTTCCTTTGACCACAGTTAAGGAAAAGACTGCCACCTGGTGAATATTTGAGGCTTTCAAAAATATATGTATAGTTTCAAACATCTGGCTGGCAAAAACTTAAAAGTAATAAAAAATATTTTAAATTATTTTTCTTTACTTTTCAGTGGATTATAGTTTTTTCACTATGCAACACTAGCAGAGGTTTCGTTAAAATGCTATCAATAAAATTACAAGTTTCCATGAATTTTTGCACCATTTTATTAACTGCATCTTTTATAGGTCACTTAATTCATATTAAAAGTTACCCAAAAAATGTGAACCACCATGATCTATATTTCTTTGGGTTTCTTTTTGCTTAATTGTCTAGCAAAATGAATTTTAAAATTACATTGTAGGATGAAAATAATACTAATCAATTCCACTCACTGTATACCTGATCCAAAAAGCAGAAAGTAGGCAAAGGTTGTTTTTCAATGTACTGGCACTCTACTGGGAGTCTTTGCTTCTTCCTAGGATTTAGCTCCTTCAGTATATTTTCTGTGGGGCATGAGAGGTGAGAAATCAGTCCCTAATTTTTTTTCTTCTAGTAAAATGTTGCCCCCGACCACCTATCCTGATGTGTGTGTGTGTGTGTGTGTGTGCGTGTGTGTTCGTATGTGTGTATTTGCACATTAAAATAGAAGTTAAGAAGTCTCTTAATGTCTTAGCTGGTTGCTACAGAACTTGTAAATTGCTAAAATATTTCATTCTTGACTCTAAACACTTGAGTTCAATAGAGAAAAAAGTCCTTTTTCTTTCTCCTCCCATGAATTTATCAACATCAGTTCAAAAATCTGTATGATATTTTCTTTAGTTGTGAAAAAGGAAAGCCATCATTCCATCAGGAAGAGTAAGAATGTCCCTCCAACAGTTTTCTTTTGCCTGGAAAGCCCTGCTACATGGTAACATGGCTCTCCGCGTGTCTTTTTTAATTCCCTTCACACTGTCAATTCCTAGAATTTTTCCAAGTGTTATTTCTGTTATTTTTGTGCAATCTCAGAAGAGAAGAAATTTTTAAGACAATTTATTTTGGTAGCATTCCTTAGTTTTATAGCCATATTTTTAAACCTGAAGACTAAGTTTTTGTGGCTGCACCTTCCCTGAGATGCTTACCGATCAATACATCATGTGATATTGGTAGTTCACATTATTATCCTCATTTACCTTAATTTGTTAATTCTTCTTTATGGAGTTTTTCTCACTTTAGTTTGTTCCCTCCTATGATTACTTATATCTAAAATAATAAAACTCTTATTAGCTCTTGATGTTGCATTTGGGTCTTTTGAAATAAAACTATTTTTCAGTCCATTGAACTGTGATGGTCTTTTTAGATACTATTTATTTGCAAACTTAAGAATACCAGTCTATTCATTAGGCATAAATTACACTGTAAACAAAATCTTAGTCTTTTCTGTTTTCTTCCACTAGCTACATAATTCTATGTACATCCTAGGTACTAAGTAATAGTTTTGGGAGTGGAAAGGTAGATGGATGAATATGGTAGATTTAAAAAACCTTATAATTATTCATGAAAGTAAAATCTGGCAAAGTACAATCTGGCAAGATTAAGTCAAACATCAAAGGTCTTACAGGCTTTAGTTAAGGTAACAATTCTGATTTGGATCACTTCCAGAATGAAACCAAGATTATTAACACCTTTGTTAAGAAATTATGTGGGAATATATATATTTTTCTTCAATTTGACCTCTACTACAAGACAATGCTGCCTAATATTTTAAGTGGAGTACGGGGTTCTGAGGAGCCTTCCACACCTCGAAAAGTTAGTCCCATGTATAGCATGCAGTCTTCTTTGCAGAGATTGCAATATTCTATACAAGTCTGTATTTGCTAAAAATATATGTATATAAAGACTTGCTCCCAATTTTCTCTACAAAATACAGATATCTGTGTATATATAGATATATATATATATATATGCTGAATCTATATCTCTGGGGAGTGTGTTTTAGAGTGAATTTTATTTTCTCCTTTTTTCTTTTGACATTTTAAAAATCTTTAAGCAATAGAATATACAGCTTTTTTAGCAGGATAAAGTCAGTGCTGTCTCAAGGACTATACTGCTTGGACATACCACAAAAACAAAAGGCAATGAATGAGAAGGAAATTATTAAATACACTGGCAGTTTAAACATAAATATAGATATGTTTCTCAGAAAATCATTAATTATGCAGTGTTCAACTAAAGAGTCATAAAATGTAGAAATCTTACACCCACTCAATAGACTAGTTCTTTCAGTATTCATAATCTAAAATTTTATCTAATATTCTGAAATTTACTTTCTCATTAATAGAAAAATAAAAACAATCACAACCATTTTCTGTATCTTTATTTTTAATATCATTAGAGTAAAATTACTTTCTCCTCCTTACATTTATAAATCACTCTGCCACTGCCTAAGCACTTTCATCATATTAAGGTCACTTAGTCCTGTGAGTAGACAGTCAGTGACGTTTTCTCTAAAAGTGAAGCTAGCGAATGATGTGGTCAAGGCCATGTGGCTAGTTCGTGGATGAACCAAGATCATCTAATTCCTCAGTTTTATCTCAATTCCTTTTGAAATAAAAGACCCAGCCACATGTCTACTGTTAGCCAATCATAATAGCCAGGCATTCAGACTTCCTACCCTACACATGTATCTCTGACTTTGCTATTCCTCATTCATGAATCATTCTAGTTCCCATCCTAGCATTTTGGACCAGCACATTTTTTCACCAGGATATATTATCCATGTATTTCCTCTGCATTTCTTACTCCCAAAAAGGATCCATAGGAAGTTTTTGATTATTTTCTAAAATAATCAAATTTGGGAAAATCCCTGAGAGCCAATTTTCCCGGTTTAGCATAGATTTGTTTTTAAAAGTTTGCGTTAATTTCGTTGCAACAGTCTATTACCATAAAGAATTGCTGAGGCCTCATTCTCTATACATCCACATGCTCCATATTCTGCGTGTTCTACATTCAAAGTGGGTTAAGATGTGAGGATCCATGTAAATCTTTCCTACTTTCCTGCTGCATCCAATTTAGAGAATTCTCTTGTAATGTATTGTCAACAATTCTAGGAGTCTCAGGCCATTTGAAAATTACAGGAAAGCTTGATAGTATTTGTTTAAAATTAACATATACTAAGATGTATTTCACTGCATGTAGGCTTCATTAGAACCTTCAATCATAGGACTTAATTATATCAACTTTCATTCATTAATGTAAATCTACATTAATTCATGTGCTGCATGCTTTAAACAAACCTAATGAAGAAAAATGGAAAGTGGAAAAAAAATGATTCATCTTGGTGTGGTTTTAATCTCTAAAGGACTTGTTTTTATTTCAAAGTAAACTATGGAATTATTTGAGTACATGTTCGTTTGTGCATTTAAAAAAACATCAAATATATCTAGAAAAGAGAAATTTACAAAGCATATGATAAAATTAATCAAAATAATTCTATTTAACACTGAACAATAAATCAGCAAAAGACAATAAAGCACTTATGCAATCTTCTATATTTAATACAGATCAACAAACGCCCTTCATTTATATTGGAACTGAATCCTTTTGGAAAGCAATTTAGCAATGTTTAGTGAAAGGAAAACCAAAGAAAAAATTTATTCATATTCATACACTCATTCTCTCATACAGTCAAAATACAGGAGATTTTAATATACACTCTAAAATTCTAGGTGGTAACTAGCTAAATTACTGTGTATTTTAATTAAAATATTGTGTAACTATTATAATGATGTTCAAAAGACTTTAAAATCTATCAGGGGAGAAATACATGTCAAATAACAGCTGAATTCCACATGGATTAAAAGAGATCACACTGTAATCAATTTAACATATTGATGAACATTAAATCTTTTGCCAGTGTTACTGGTTTGGTTGCACATGAACAAGACTATAAAGCTTAAAGTAAGCAGATATTTAGCCTATTAAAAAACCCTGTGGACATGCTTTTAAGCCTAGTGTTCATTCTCATAGGTTGGTGCCCTATTTTAATGAATTAATACCTGGTCTACACTGAACAATATTGGGGGAAAAGACACTGATAGATTTGATAATCAAGATGAAAGTAATATTAACAATCTTTATAGTAAAACTCCACACAGAAATTAGAACCTGGCTAAAATATTTGAAATGAATATGATAGATCAAAAATATTAACATATTTAAGACATAATAAAAAATAGATAAGCCCTACCATTCAAGGAACATACTATTTCAATCTTTCACAAATATTTATAATGTTATAAATATGCCTTACCATCAAAGCCTGAAGAGGACAACATGAGAAAGAAAAAAAATATGCTCATCTCACTCAAAAATATAAGTGTAAAAATCTTAAGCAAAAATTAGAAAAATATAGTAATTTATTTCACTGCCTTAACAGATAAAGGTGAAAGAAACACATGATTCTCACTAGATGCAAAAAAAAAAAAAAAGCATTTGATAAAATTTATATCTATCAATGATAGGGGAAAACAAAACAAAACAAAAAAAACTTTAGCAAACCAAGAATGGAATAGACAAAAGATATTCCTTAACTTGATTAAAAGAATGTAACAAAAAATCTACAGTTTATATCATTCTGAAAAGTGAAATATTAAAAACATTCATGTTAATATCCGTAAAATGAGCTTTCTCATTATTACTTTTTATGCAACTCTACCGGAGGCCCTGGTTTGAACAAAACCAAACAAACAAAAAAGATATGAAGACTGAAAAAGCTTAAAAGTATGTTCAGATAATTTGTCTACATAAAAACAAAACATCATCTACAAATTATTGTAACCAATATGAAAGTTTATGAGTCATAACATAAAATATTAATATATAAAATTCAAATGAATTTTAGACACTAATCAAAGTTGGTCTATACATTATAAACACTAGCATCAGGAAATTATAATTTAAAATTATATACAAATGTATAATTATAGAAAAATGTATATAATATATACTTATAAAAAGAGAGTATTTCAACAGTAACAAACATTTGAGTTGTCTAACTGAACATTGTGTGGGAGTTTCAAGAGGAAAAATAGAAAACTTTATTGAAAGCCCCTTCATTTCTAGCTGAAATCTGAGTCTCCCTTGCAGGCATCCGTCACACCACTGGGCCTTGTTCATACTCAGCTGTTGCTTCTTTTTAATGTCTCCACCCCAGTAGTAATATTCTATGGAATCTCATTGCTTGGGGATTTTAGCATCAGATTTACTGTCATGCTCCTCAACAATGGTGTTATCCAGATTCTCTGGCTGTACACCTGGACAATGCTAGAATTACACTGGCCTCCTTAACCTACTTTCCTTCTTCCCAGACATTTATCTTTAACTTCATCATGCGTTAGTCACCTCCTACTATGGCCATACTTGGATTCGGTGTTATCATTAACTGTTCTACCTCCAACGTCAAAATTTCTTCCCTGCTCACTCTATCTAGCACCCACGCATACTCCAATATGTTCTGACCCTCATCCTTTGTGATGTTACTTCCCTGATTTAAAATTCAATGGTTCATCCTTGTGGTTTCCCACCTGAAGACAAGTTTGCCTCACTCATTTTGTAATATTATCTGGTAAAATTACATTTTTGGTTTAGTCCAATCTCTGCCTATTGTATGCTTGTACTCAGGTGGCCAGAGAGGGCTGAGGAAAGCATATAACCATTTCAGCTAGTTTTACTCTAAAGGCATGACCACTAATTTCAAGTGGGTGCTCAGTGGTGCCCAGCAATCTTACTACATTTCCTGGGTACCCTTCCACTTGCCTAGGGGATTCATTCATTTTTTTTCTATCTATCTTTTCTTCAACAAGCTCCCCAATTCTTTTCTCCTCTTCCTCAGGTGATGCCTCGTTTTCTATTTTACTAAGAAAATAGAACCAATCAGGGGAAAACTCCCATATGCTTCCACCACCATAGCTACCAACCTGCCTCAATATATGCCTTAGTACTTCCGGATTTCACACTCTCCTTCTTTTTTGCCTACTTTACCATCTATTTTCTCAATATCTTTTACTGGTCCTTCCTCATCTTCTCCATCTCTAAATTTCGAAATGTCAGACAGTTCAAATTTTCAACAAACAACATTTTATTTAAATGTCATTTAGTAGATTCCCCTTCAGTGTAATATATATACGTATATATTATATAGGTTTTTTTTAACCATTCATTAGCCTTTACTATTGCACAAAAATCCTGTTCAAGGCCAAATTTTACCCTTGCATTACTTTATTAATGTTAATCCAAATTTATTTAAATGAAACCTTATAAAGGATTCCATCTAATCTTAACCAATTTGACCATAAGGTGAAATCTTTACAAATCCTTTATAACCCCTTTTGCTAAAGGGCAGATTAGTGTCTTTTTTTTATTTTATTTTATTATTATTATACTTTAAGTTTTAGGGTACATGTGCACAATGTGCAGGTTAGTTACATATGTATACATGTGCCATGCTGGTGTGCTGCACCCATTAACTCATCATTTAGCATTAGGTATATCTCCTAATGCTATCCCTCCCCCCTCCCCCCACCCCACAACAGTCCCCAGAGTGTGATGTTCCCCTTCCTGTGTCCATGTGTTCTCATTGTTCAATTCCCACATGTGAGTGAGAATATGCGGTGTTTGGTTTTTTGTTCTTGCTATAGTTTACTGAGAATGATGATTTCCAATTTCATCCATGTCCATACAAAGGACATGAACTCATCATTTTTTATGGCTGCATAGTATTCCATGGTGTATATGTGCCACATTTTCTTAATCCAGTCTATCATTGTTGGACATTTGGGTTGGTTCCAAGTCTTCGCTATTGTGAATAGTGCCGCAATAAACATACGTGTGCATGTGTCTTTATAGCAGCATGATTTATAGTCCTTTGGGTATATAACCAGTAACGGGATGGCTGGGTCAAATGGTATTTCTAGTTCTAGATCCCTGAGGAATCGCCACACTGACTTCCACAATGGTTGAACAAAAAGTCAGGAAACAACAGGTGCTGGAGAGGATGTGGAGAAATAGGAACACTTTTACACTGTTGGTGGGACTGTAAACTAGTTCAACCATTGTAGAAGTCAGTATTATATAGTTTTGAAAAAGAAAAGTGAAGTCTGTCAACTAAACAATCTAAGAGTTAGTGATAATAACCCTCAAGTTCCTTTAGTGATTCATCCTAGTCCAACCTGCTGGTGATTTAAAGTTGCTATTTGTTTGATGTCTCCTTAAGAGTTGTAATATATTTCTCCAGTATTTACCTAAAATACAAATAATATTTAATTGTTATTCCTGATGTATATATAGCAGTACACAATAAAGAAGCAGATGCCATTTCAGGAGATACACAGCTTAAATTTTCAGCAACAAAAAGCATGCATTCTAAACCTTGACATCTACACTTACAAAATCGGCCCGCCAGGAAATTATTGTTCTACCTTTCAGATGAATCAAGCACTATAATTGGGACTGTGTTTATGTGAGGAGAAACAAATGAATCTGGTCAAACTGAACAAGACAGTTTTCTGGTCTTGCTCCTAACAATCCTAGTACTGTCACATAACACTAGTACCTCCATGTTATTTAGTGATTTATAGATTACAACATGCTTTCACATTTAATCTTCACCACAGCCCTATGGGAACTAACTTTGAGAAGGCTTTGATATATGTTTCTTCAGTTCTTGTTCCTTAATGAGAAATATTTTGAATAAATGACTACATTTGGAAATGAGAAAATAAAAAAGTGGGGAAGTTAACTGGCTTTGTCACAGCTAGAAATGGTTGAGGCAGGATTTAACGGACATTTTCCTACTCTCGCTACCTGAGCTGTTCCCACGATGTCGCAACTGCCTTACCTAGAAGACATAACATCTATTGGTGAAGAATTTAGACTCTGGAGTCAGGCTGCATGGATTTCTGTATGACCATGAGGAAGTTACTGAACTTCTCTGAGGCCTGTCATTCTCTTTTGTATAAAAAGGGTAATAATAATAGTACATGTAAACATTATTTTGAGGATTGACTGAGATGAGGTATAACAAGCTCCCCACACAGGGCATGGCACATGGCAAGTGTTTCATACAGGTTAGCTATTGCTTATGTTATCATCATTAGACTCCAAGTATATTTGCACTTACAACATCAATTAATTGAAGTAGTTTTAGCCAGATCCTTGTTCATTTGTATCAACACGTGTCCTTTTTCTAAGATAAATCTGTCATTCAATCATAGGATTGTATTTACTGTGTGCCCTATATACCTTTTCAAGTCAACTCTATAAGTCTTTGCTGGTATTTTTAATTCAAAGTAGACAGAAAATAGGCTTCCAATAAAGAATAGTCTGTGCAATTTCAAATGAATATTTGCTTTACAGGAAGTAAAAGTAGTTATTGATATTAAGTTATCATTATTTATACTGGATGCATCACTAACTAAAGCAGGATGTCTAATTGTTTGGCTTCCTTTGACCACATTGGAAGAAGAATGTCTTGGGCCACATATAAAATACACTAACACTCACAATAGCTGATGAGATTATTTTTAATTGCAAAAAAATCTCATAATGTTTTAGGAAAGTTTGCGAATTTGTGTTGGGCTGCATTCAAAGCTGTCCTGGGCCACATACAGCCTGTGGGCCATGGACTTGTACTAAAGCTTGGGTAAAGTTAGATGTATCTTGTAATAAGAGCCTTTGATGGGAAATAAGGGAATCTGCAATTGTGGAGTATGCACTCATCCTCCTTACTATTCTTAGAAACTCCTTTTCTGAAAATGGGTTCCTCTTGACTTGTAGGAAAGTTATAATAACTTCCCTTCCCCCTTCCTCCATTAAAGGCAAAAAAGCAGCCCAATGACAGTTCAATTTTACAAAAGGACGTTATAAAAATTATAATACTTAAGATGGGTTCTGAGTGGCAGAACTGGATAGGTGAGAGGGAAAAGGCAAACACCAATTTAAAAAGCTGTATGGAAAGTTTAATGGTGAAATGCTCAGACCATGGGAAGCATACTGAAGTGTAGTGCACAGTAGATTTTAATATAGAGATTGACCTAATTATAGAGGATTTTGCACATCAAATAAAGTAGTTCAGATAGAGATAATACTAAGGACAATGTCTGATAGAAAGTAGAATCTCAACTAATGTTTAAAGAGCCTAAAATAAGGAATCTTTATATAAATAATTATTCTACAACTCTCTAGCATGACAAAATGAAACTTCAGGAGCATCTCTCTGGAATGATACATACAACATTACTGCTAATTCAAATATTCAATGGCATCACAATATTTCACACAAGAATATGTTTCTACAATTTGTTCAAACTTTTCTCTTTTGAAAAACATTGAGGTGATGTCCAAATTTCCATCAGGACACAAATTGATGAAATAAATATAAGAAATATTCTCATTGTCCCTGCTTTTCTGTAGGAAGCATTTCCTGAGGTAAGACTTCTCGAAATTTGTATAAATACTGCATACTCTCCCATAAAGCTGTAATAATTTTATCCCTCTAGCTTTCAATGAATGGGGGAGCCTGTCTCCATAGCTTTTCAAACTTGACCATATGATGGACAAATATTTGTATTTCATTATTGTTTTTATTTGTTTTTCCTTGACTATTGAGAAAAATCATCATTTCTTATATTTCTGGCCCTTTGATTTTCTTCTTCTGTAAAATATCTGCTTATAACTGTTGATCCATTGGATTGCTTATAAGATTTTTTATTTACATTTTTTCTGTGTGTGATGTTAAGTATGTCTCATATGTTGCAAATGCATTTTATTGTAGTTTAGTAGCTTATTTTTTTAACTTTATGTATGTATGGTATCCTTGGCCATTCCACTCAAGAATTGTATAACAAAATATGTGGTTTTTCATTCTGTGTTTACAATCTTGCTTTAAGAGCTCTCAATCTCAGGGCAGACAATCTCAGGGCAGACAAAAAAAATTTTGTTGCCTTTTGTTTTTTACATTTAAATATTTACCCCATCTCAAATTTGTTGTTATGACAGGAGATGAATAGCCTAACTTTGCTTGGGTAGAAGATTGTTTTAGTGCCAGTTAGTAAATGAACTGCTTTTTCAAATAAATAAAAATTTAACTTTTCACATATAAACTTTAAATACATAATCAAAAGTAATTCTGGTCAAAATTCTGTTCAAGTGATTCATATCTCTCACTATATTCTTGAATTATAGTCTCAATTTTATAATTTTTTAGCCATTCTTGGATATATATTCCTTCATATCAATTAATATAACAATGTTATTAAGTTATAAATAAAACAATATAAACAAAAATATTCTAATGAAATGGTACTAAATGCATATATTTATTGTAAGAAAAATCAACATAATTCTGATATGAAGTCTTCTTTTCCACTAACGGAATAATTTTTCTATATTTCTGATTTTATTTTATGCCCTATAAGGTTTTATTTTTTCTATAATCTATTCACACTTATTATATCCATTGTCACTTAATAATGTCCAACTTTTTTCTTTCTGTATGTAATCAGCTCTGTTAATAACTTGTATTACTAATGTTAAGAAAAGTATAGATTTTTGTACTGCATACACATGTCGAATTAAGCTTTATTAATACTTCTAAACTTGAAGTCTCTTAGTTTTTCAAAATATATGACCATGTAATTTGCCAAACAGGAACAGGTTGTCTTGTTTCTTAATATTTTATTTTCTAATCTTATTGCATTATATAGAAACTCCAAAATAATGATGAGTAAGATAATAAGAATAAACATTTCCATCTTATTTCTAATTTTAATGAAAAAAGTTTTCACTCTTTATTGTGAGTTTTGCTACTGGTTTTGGTAAATAATCCTTATCATTTCTAGGAATAGTGATGAAATTCTTCAAACTCTGTTTCACATACAATATCATCACATTGAAAAATATTATTTACCATAATGAATGATAGCTAAAAATATCATAATTCCTTTGATACACTGTTGGATTCAACATACTAACAATTATTTTAGTGGTGTCCTTACCAGAAAATTTTACATTTTATTTTCTTTTTTGTTTGATCTTTGTTTATGTAGAATAGGATTTCTTACTTTGTTAGCAAACAAGCCTTTTGTTTATTACTCATTTAAAATACAAAACTAAAGCAGAGAACTGCAACAAATAAAAGTTGTTATATATACAATGATTTTAAAATAATATGGAAGCCAAAAGTCAGTAACTTACGTGAATACGCCAATTACCCCTAACTGAAATATACAGGCCCACATGTCAAGTAAATTAAGGAAGATCTATGTTGTACCTAAGAGACTCAGTAAAATAAAGTGCTATTTTTTAGAAAATTTCCAACCTTGAACCCTACCCACCAATTTGGGATTTCCCCAGAATATATTTAATCATACATAATTGTTTTCATTACTTTAACCAAATACCTGGTGAATACTATCAGTGCACAGACTCATCATTTGCTTAGAATAAGAAATTTCTCTGGTTGTTTATGCCTCACTTTTGACTTTTCTCCAGGTGTTCTTTATCTTTCAGTAACTTTTATTTACATTTTAGATCTTCTGGATCTTTCCCCAGATCTCCAGAATTTTTCTGCATGAAGTAAATATTTGTGTGTGTGTGTGTGTGTTGTGATTTATTTCTTCAACCTGATACTCTAGGACATCTATGATAATAGAACATTCTGGTTTCTTAATAAATATAAATGTAATTTTTTAAAAATTTCAAATATCATACATTCCTTTCCAGAAAGTCCTCCGAATTTTCCAATTACTTCTCCTAAAAAACAACTATCTGCTTTGTGCTTTCCAGTTAAAAATTGTATTTGTCTTCCAAGTCTAATTTACTTAGACTTAAGAGCTTCTTAACTTAGGGATGTGCTAGATAGAATTCAAAGATGTCTGTGAACTAAGATGGGAAAAATTATATCTTTAGTTTTACTGACTTCTAAATGGAATATGTAATTTCCTTCAATTATGAATGTAGGCCAAAAGTCAGTTTCCATAGCAGTGACTGTGTCTTTGTCAATAGTAGAAATCATAGATATTTTCCTATCGTATCACTATTACACTATATATCTGATATATGTTTATTATTTCAAAAGTAGTCTAATTATCTTCCAGTGTAACTTTTTATTTAATGTACTAATAGGCATTCATGTTACCACATTGCATATTTTTTAATGTATTTTACATATATTTAAATATATTTTTATGTATAATACTATGGATTTTGTTTAGAAATAGTATTCTTTCTGAATTAGGGTCCACAGGATGCTTCAGATCTCCAAAGAAATCCATGGCACACAAAAATTTAAAATCTCCTGATTTAGAGCCATATGTATGTAATCGTGCCGAATTTCTTTTAAGGTGTTTATTATAATTATTTTCTGGATCAATGTTTCATCAGACATCAAATCAAACTATTAGTGTATTTAGGCCAGTCACGGTGGCTCACGCCTGTAATCCCAGCACTTTGGGAGGCTGAGGCGGGTAGGTCTCCTGAGTTCAGGAGTTCAAGACCAGCCTGGCCAACATGGTGAAACCCCATATCTGCTAAGAATCCAAAAAATTAAGCCAGGTGTGGTGGTGCCTGCCTGTAATCCCAGCTACTCGGGAGGCTGAGGCAGGAGAATCGATTGAACCTGGGAGGCGGAGATTGCAGTGAGCCAAGATCATGCCATTACACTCCAACCTGGGTGACAGGGCAAGACTCTACCTCAGAAAAAAAAAAAAAGAAAAAAAAAAGCTATTAGTGTATTTAAAGTTGCAACCACTCTGAAGAAGTAAAAAGCACAAGTCTTTTCTCTTATCCACCAGTCTTCATAAACATTCTGGTAAATTATTAGCCCTAGGCTTAGACTAACAAATAATTTTTTGTCTGTATAAGTGCAAATTTGAATTCTGTTTAGTCTTTTAAAGCAGAAGTTTGAGCCTAAAATAATACTTTCGAGTTTGTTTAGATAAGATTGTAACCTAACTTATTCATCCATCCATCCATTCATCCATTCATCTATAGATTTCTTCATTCATATGACAACCACTTGCTTTTGTATAAGTAGTTTGTGTTCATGTGTGTGTATGTATGTGTGTGTGCACACATGTACATACATATACACACATATGTATATAAATTTAGGTTCTAAATTACTGTTGTCAAATAAATTTTTAAATATAACTCTATATAAAATTTTAAATATAACTAAGTTGAAATTTCTTGTGTTGATTTGAATTAGAAATCAAACAGTCTCTGTGTATGAAAGAGATAAATTTTATACTTATAATCCTGAGGGGTTTTTTTAAGTGTTGCTTTTGACTATGTTAGAGTAAAACAATGATGCTAAACACAAGGGGAAGCTAAAGAACTTAGCACATTTTTATTGAAGCCCTTGAAAAAACAAACACCTTTTTCATAAAGTTTCTATTATTTTACTATCAACCAGAACTTTAAAAAGGCATTTGAGTCACAGAAGTTTCGTGTTACAAGGGATATTCCTTTGCATATAACAAATGCCCCTTACTATCTTTAAGAGACTTTCACAAGATTATATAGCTAATTAAACATAGAGCCAGGTGGGTGCAGTGGCTCACGCCTGTAATCCCAGCACATTGGGAGGCTGAGGTAGGAGGATCATTTGAGCCTAGGAGTTTAAGACCAGCCTGGCCAATATAGTGAGATGCTGTCCCTACAAAAATATGATCTAGGCGTGGTGGTGCTATGCTTGTAGTCCGGCTACTTGGGAGGCTGAGGGGAGGTGGGATCACTTGAGCCTAGGAGTTTGAGACCAGCCTGGGCAATACAGTGAGACCCTGTCTCTACTAAAAATAAAAAAATAAAAAATAAAAAAATTATCCAGGTATGGTGGTGCTATGCCTGTAGTCCCAATTATTTGGGAGGCTGAGGGAGAGGATTGTTTGAGCCCAGGAAGGAGGTGATTGGTGTTCATGTCACTTTAGTTCAGCCTAGGCCACAGAGTGAGACCCTATTTCTTCTTTTTTTTTTTTTAAAGAGCCAGGTTAGGACATGTATCCATTTATTCTTAAAATCTAGTGTATGCCAAACAGTATTATGTCAGTAAATTGTTTTTACTCAATATAACTATTTTATAAAAACTGAATTTAATAGAATGAATACCCTTAAATTGTATGAATGTCACTTCAGAATGTATTTCTCTCCAAAAAATTTGACTTCAGTATTAATAATGGTTCAAACATGTATATTTTAGTGACAGAGATAAATTTCTATGAGGTTTTTGCCATTACTTTTAACGGCAAAAAACACAATTACTTTTGCACTAACTTAATACATTTGGGTAAAACATCAGGCTCTGGATTTTAAAATAGGTGCTTCACATTGGTGCTGAGTCACTTCAAGGTGAAATATGTAGATACATTTTAAGAATAGCAATCAGTTATAAGTTAATGGTTGCTTGTATATGTCAATAACATTTAATGCTGTGTGTTATCAAAATAATTCAGTTATTAATGTAACTAATCTTGCAGTAAAATTGAGAAAAATATTGAAGAGATACATTTATAAAGTTTGGACAGAATAAAAGCCAAAGCAACCTTATGGTTAGTTACACAATACAAAAAACAGGGGGATTTATTTGGTTTAATTTCAGGGTCTTCTTTTAATTGCCTCTTCTACTTTTGTTTTGGATTGCTGAGTGAAATTTGTGATTCAATAACTTGGAATTTATTTTTAAAAAGTAGTTTGTTTGGAGTATGTGGTTTGCTTCTTAGCAATGTGAGTATATAATTTAATGCCAATATGTTTTCCTGGGTGTAATGCCTTTATGTCTATAGATTTTACTTGAGCAAAATAAGTAAAACACAGTGTGATTTTCATCTGCAGGGTTATGTCCTTAAATATGCTAGATGGAAAACTTTATAAATTTGAGAAGAAAAGTTAATGGAAAAGTAGTAGTTATTGAGTGCCTACAATGACCTATTTATTTTATGTGTTAGGAAAATGTCCTCTTCACTTGTAACAATGGAACCACAAAAGGAAGGAGGAAGAGTTGCGTATGGGAGACATTGAATAAAGCAAAGGAGAGGGATTGAGATATAAAATAGACTGCGTTGAGAACGAAGCGTGAAAAGGGGCAGCAAGCCCATTTTCTGGGTTTTCTAAATGTTTGTGAGGTCAAATGACTTATATTTTAGACTTCCTTAAATTATTGAAACAGGTAGTAAAGTTGATAATTAACTGATAATTGCCTCAGCTGCAGTCAACCAGAGTCCCTGAGTCATAGCTTTTCGCTGCCCTCTCCATAGCTTCAGTATCGCCCATTCTCCATAGCGGGGGTGCTTTGAGGTGGCAGGCTCGGCTTCCCTGGAAAACCAGTAAGAAAAGCCTCTTTATCAACCCTTACTCATAGTCAGCTGAAAGACAGAAGAGAGAGGGAAGGGCCATTGGCCCTAATTGGATGCAAGGGTTCTCTGAAAGTGCCTTTCCAGTGCTAGAACGTGCAAATTTGCATTAGCAGCTTCTGCAATGCACTTGTGTTCACCTTTCCATCCCAGACAAGTGAACATTAGGGAAACAGAAATCTGAATTCAGAGGACTCTCAGGGCATCATCTGGATGAGATCTCTTCTTCTCTGATATGTTTGCTTTAAATTAATTCTACCTCATGTTTCTGTGTTCTCTTTCTTTCTTTCTCTCTCTCTCTCTCTCTCTCTCTCTCTCTCTTTCTCTCTCTCTCTCTTTCTTTCTCTGTCTCTCATCTTTCCTGTCTGGCAGGGTGCAATCATATCCTTTCCTTTTCCATGGCTACAAGTCTAATCCAAAATGTAATAGCTATCAGCCTTCTTTACCTGCCTCCAACCATTTCAATTTTAATGTATTCTTCAAAATATACTAGAATAATGTTACTACTTAGAAATTATTCCATTATTCTCCTGGCTAAATTCTTCTATAATGTCACCAATATTTATAAAATAATGCTATTCAAAAGCATCTCTAATCTTGCCCTAATCTACATTGAAGCATTTTAAAATTATTTAGCTTTCTTGACTTATACTATACTCTAAAGAAAGTATTTTTATAAATGTATCTCTCATGTCTTCTCTTTGATGCTGTCATTTTCTTATAACTGTTTTACATTGCTAGTTCCAACCAGTGTAAATATAA
Source organism: Homo sapiens (assembly GCF_000001405.40). Lineage (NCBI taxonomy): Eukaryota > Metazoa > Chordata > Mammalia > Primates > Hominidae > Homo > Homo sapiens. The sequence continues at coordinate 37,753,134 of NC_000013.11, read as the reverse complement.
ACACCTCCTCAAATCCTTTTCTGATTAAAAAAATCTCTAAATTAATTTCCCCTTTGTTTTATTCATACTCTTCTTAGAGCATTTACTGAGTTCTTACATTAAAATCATTTCTATAGTATTATACTGTGTGTGTGTGTGTGTGCGTGTGTGTGTGTGTGGAGGGAGAAAGAGAGGAATTTTCTGCTATGCTTCTAGAGGACAAAACACCTTTTTCCACCCAGCACATTGCCTTGCACATTGCTCATGTATAGTAATTATTTGTTGATTAAATGAAAGCCATTAAAGTGACTTGATTTATTGTTATAAGATTTAGTGAAGTTATCTTCTTTATTTTTTTTGTTTGTTTGAGCACCTGCGAATCTGTAATCCTAGGACATAACATCTGAAATAAGCTAAATGTACCAGCCATCTAGGGAAAAGGGGAATTTAAGTCTCTGTATACCCCAAAGACCATTTGTGTACAAATGAAAGGCTGTAACATTAGGACATTCTGAAAGAAGAGCTAGGAAAACTTAGCAAAGAAAAAGGGTGTGGGAGGGGGAGGGGGGCAGAAGTGGTATTTTGGTCTTTCTAGAGAGAGATTAGGTCCTGAGAGCAAAATCTTGAGGGGGTCACTTTAGCTTGCATTGTTTCACTATCTGTGACCGGCTCTTCCTTGTCGTCTGAGATTGACTCAGTCTCTAGTTGGAAGGCTTGGAACTCTGATTTAATGGCTTCGCCCTACAGAAATGGCAGTCACCTGTGTGCAGAATAAATCGATGTGTCATGTGTGGAATACCAACTATCCGCTAGGCACTTTGCCAAGTAGAAAAAGAATGGCAGCCGAATGTTCTAACGCTTCCAAAAGAACAGTTTGCATCTGCAGTTTTCTGCTCCAAGTATGTCAATTATTCGCTTCTTGCTAAGGAAAGTAAAATGTTGCACAGTACCGTATTCTTGTTAATACTGAACAAAAAAATTATAGTTAGCAAATAATTTTTATGTTCTAGGGCTCATAGCAGATTTTACAGTTATTATTGTATTCTAACTCTACCAGTCATATATATATATATATATATAGTTTTCTGCTTTATCAGGTTTTGGTATCAATGTGAAGCTTTCTGCTATATATAGCAGAAAAACTACCCTGAGATTTTGGAAAGTACTTGGCAAATTTTTAGAACTGAAAGTTTCAGATTAAAATTTGGTTATCATCTGATGTGACGCTGCAAATATTCATTTCTTATTTTTCTGTGTATTTCTCATGATAACTACCATGATGTTGGATTTGAAGTAAATGAACATTTGATTCACTTTGCTTGGGAGATACAGGAAATCTGTGCTCCAGTTTTCTGTCAAATACACAGTCATCTCTGTGAGGATATGAATTGCTTTATCTTCATTTTTCTTAATTCTCTACATCTAATGCAGTGCCAGACAATAGACTCAGTAAATATTTGTTGATTCAATATATGAATAAATTATTGAATCAATCAAAGTAATTATAAGCCGTTTTAAGAAAGGGAATTGCCTGAAGCTGTTGCTATATTAGAAAAATCGCATTTGCAGTAGTGGAGGGAAAGAACTGAAGATCCCGAAGACCCGTCCTTTTCTTTAGAATGGCTTACATTTTATATTAATAATTTTCTAGTAACCATAGGGTCCCCTTTTCCTTTATTAAAGCTTCTATTCTATTAGCTGGTTAACCATACAGTCTTTTGTCAGACCCTTCTCTCTCTTTCTTTCTCTCTCTCTCTCTCATTCTTTTCTCATTTCAAAACAAAAATAAAAGGTACATTTTCCTACATTTGTGTATATTTTGAATAGCATCTTCGAAAGTAAAAGCAAAAGAAGCAGGATTGGGAAGCGGAAGCCGTTAGACCCTGATGCAGAGCTGATGAATGTTCCCGCCACTGTAAACAGGAGCTCCGGAGGATACGGCTGCCTAGCAAGCCATGTCGTATGCTGAGTAGAAATAGCTGGGCCCTGTCCATCCTCTCTGCTTGCTCTTCCATTGTCCTGCATTTTAAAACTGAGGAAGAACCTGAACCGGTTAGCAGGTGGAGGCTGCTGGTAGACTACACTCTTGGTAGCCGGACAGCAAGTCCATTCTTGAAGGGGTTATGAATGCCACATCTCCATTTTCTATAGGAAGAAAGCATTCTTATTCTTTTAACGAAGAAAACTTCACATTGATACCAGAATCTGATAAAGACAGCACAGTGAAGATTAGAAATCCATCTCCCGTAGGAAAATCGATTCCAAAATATTTCTCATAAGTGGGAGTTGAACAATGAGAACACGTGGACACAGGGAGGGGTACATCACACACCGGGGCCTGTCGGAGGGTTGGGGGCTAGGGGAGGGATAGCATTAGGAAAAATACTTAATGTAGATGACGGGTTGATGGGTGCAGCAAACCACCATGGCACGTGTATACCTATGTAACAAACCTGCACATTCTGCACATGTACTCCAGAACTTAAAGTACAATAATAATTTTTTTAAAAATTGCCAAAGTAAAAACATTATGCATTTGACCACGTGGAATTCATTTCAGGAAAGTCAGAATGTTTCAATATTCCGAAACTTATTAATATAATTTGCCATACTTTTAGGACTAAGGAGGATAATTATATGATTATATCCATTGAAACAGAAAAGGCATTAGACAAAATTCAACACTCATTTTTGATAATAAATAAAAAAGTTATTTGCAAATGGCATAAATATAATAAATAAAACCAACGTAATTGCAGTGGGCAGACAAGTTGGTATCAGTGCTTAAGAAAACTGTGTGACACAAAAACTCTGTACCTAGAAACAAAATCAACATACATGTACGTTATTCCTTCATGTTCAAAACAGAAATAAAATCTTCATAAGAGCAATATTCTTAATGGCCCCAGACTGGAAACCATAAAAATGTCATTAACAATGAAATGAAATAAAATAGAAATTGAAATATTTCGCAGAATTGAAGCAACAGTTTTTGCTACTAACAAAGGAATATATTTCAAAGAGCTAAAGTTGAACAAAGAAAGCTAGACATAAAGAGTACATATTTTGTGATTCTATTTATATAAAATTTTCAAAGTGTGTGAAAGTTACTTATACTGATAACCATTAAATCTGTGAGTATATCTGAGAAAAGTAATAACTGAGAAGAGTAACAAGTGGGAGGCTTGTGAGGTGCAGGCACTCTCAGGTTTTAATCTGGGTTGTGTTACCTAAGCATGTTCAGATTTTTAAAAGTCATCAAGCTGTATATTAATATTTATGCATTTTACTATATGTATGTTATACTTTAATAACAAGTATAAAACGAATAGTGATAGCAATGAATCACAATATATTAAATAAAAGAAAGAATTCATGGGGTCATAGCAATATCCAACAACAAAAAGGAGAAGATGGAGAACTTTCATACACAGAAGAATGCAATATAATAAATGTAGAAGTGATGAGAGAATAAGAAAACCTCAGACTTTCAAAAACCATGTAATAATTGATGTAGGCATATAGTTAGTACTCCGTAACAGGCAATTATTTTCTTAAAACACTTTTGTTCTGTTTTTATTGTCTTCATGCAATCGGAGAGGACCCAAACCTGTCCCCTGAGACCTAGATAAACACTAATATTTTGCCTGCCTGGCTGAGTCAGGGTCCCAGCAGAGTCCCCCACGGAGTCCAGCTAAGACAATCAGTTCCTGATGTCTAACAATCTATGACCAGCTGGGTGCCAGGCAATTAATGGTAAAGACAACATATAATGTTAAATTTCGAATACATTTTAGAGTAAGAGTAAGCTCTAAAATAATTATAATTATGTAATTTAAAAATAGTTATTTACTGTATTAGTCCGTTTTCACTGTTCTATAAAGACACTACCTGAGACTGGGTAATTTATAAAGGAAAGAGGCTTAATTGACTCACAGTTCCATATAGCTGGGGAGCCCTCAAGAAACTTATAATCGTGGCAGAAGGCAAAATGGAAGCAAGGCACATCTTACATGGCAGCAGGAGAGAGAGAGAGCAAGAAAGGGGAAGTGCCAGACACTTATCAAACAGCCAGATATTGTGAGAACTCTCTATTACAAGAACAGCATGGGAGAAACCATCCCCATGATCCAGTCGCTGCTCACCAACTATATCCCTGTATACATGAGGAGTACAATTCAAGATGAGATTTGGGTGAGGACACAAAGCCAAACCATATCATTACTGACCAACCAATTGACCATTCAACAAACCAGTGCAATGGTTTATTGAGTATTAAAACTCAAACAGCAGATTTATTCTTGGTATATTCTCACATATTTTAATAAACTTACTGTATCTCTCTTTAATACTTTTACACTGTTATTTTTTGAAAAAAATGTATGCTATTCAGTATGGATATACTATACTTATTTTTAAAATAAAATTTTCTGCAATATTCTACAAAGATATATTTTATGGTTAATGAATTTGAAATTCTTAATGAGATTTGGGTGGAGACATAAAGCCAAGCCATATCATTACTGACCAATCAATTGACCATTCAACAAACCAATGCAATGGTTTATTGAGTATTAAAACTCAAACAGCAGATTTATTCTTGGTATATTCTCACATATTTTAATAAACTTACTATATCTCTCTTTAATACTTTCACACTGTTATTTTTTTGAAAAAAAATGTATGCCATTCTGTATGGATATATTATACTTATTTTTAAAATAAAATTTTCTGCAATATTCTATAAAGATATATTTTATGGTTAATAAATTTGAAATTCTTAACAGCTTAAAAAGCATAGAAATCCAAGATGAAATTGTACTGAATCCAGAAATTGCCTTCAAATTACATGTCACTTAAACATACATCTAATATAGGAAATTATTTAGTTACATTGTTTTGTCTTCCCTCATTGTCTGCCACAGAAAACACTAAAAGTACAGTAGTCTCCTCATATCCAAGGTTTTGCTTTCATCAGTTTCAGTTACCAATGCTTAACTGTGGTCCAAAAACATTAAATTGAAAATTCCAGAAATAATACATAAGTTGTAAATTTTGCACCATTCTGAACAGCACGATGAAATCTCACGTTGTCCCACTCCATCTCACCTGGGACGTAAATTCTCACTTTGTCAGGCAAATGCACACTGAAACCATTTCCCAAACCTTAGTCACTTAAGAGCCATCTTGGTTATCAGATTTACTGACACGAGATTGCAGTACTTGTGACCAAGGAAACTTTATTTACCTTCACAGTGGCCTCAAAGTGCACAAAAGTAAAACACTATCTTAACAGGCAGTGTGGTCACCCTAGTACTCATAAGCACATTTCAAAAAGTGTTTATTACCATCTTCACTATTAAATAATTGCATACCTCTGTAAAGGATATTTTAAATCGATAATTTCATTCCTATTATCTTTAGTGTTTCTCATGAAACCAATGGATATCCTATATGGCCAGATGACTTTAAAATGTGTGTAATTGTCCACATATAAAAATGTACCTATATTTAAAAGTAGCATTAATGAAGTGTCATCATGAGTGTCGTTTTTCTCCATATGGTTTTCCTCTGATCCTTTTGTGGTTTCCTTCATTTTTCCAGCAGCATATTTCAATGTGACGTGAGTCATCATTTTTTTTTGCCATGCCTGTTTAACTGCCCTTATGTAGCATTAACTTTTCATAAATGCCTCTATGGCTTTGTGCCAGCAAAAATAAATAAACTAAAAGTGCTAAAGCAACATAGTGCAGTGCAATTCACTCAGGGTTGGGTGTCAGACAGGTGAACCTGTGTTTATTATATAAGGTCTTTAAAGTATGTGGAAATTGCAGATCAGATTGTAGACCTTCCACTTACTCACTGAGGAACTACATCCATAAAATGTGAATAATAAAGGGTGAGGGTTAATGTACCTGGCAGATGCTTACTAAATGGCGGCTATTATTATTTTCATCATTACCATCCCTAGAGTATAACCCAAAGGAAATCGTGCATAAACACATTGGTGACCTGATTCAGTGGAATTCACACTGCTGACTCGACTCAATGCTTGCTTATTTCTAATAAAACAGTAATGCTAGTTATGGAGCACCTCTTGTCATCTGGAAAATATACCAGAAAAGCACAGATGAAAAGAGGAAGCATGAGGCCAGCCCACTTATTTTTGCTGCCACATTTAGTCACTAGGCTGAATGATAGGAAAGCAGAAGCTAAAACACAGTAAAAACAAACAAAAGACAAAACCTAATTGAGGAATTAAAGGACTTCTACTGCAGAGAAAGAGCTTGGGTTTAAAACAAATCATTAGCTGTTTTTGAGTGTATTTCTTGATTATTTTGGACCTCAACATCTCTGAGAAAGCAAAGAAAATAGTGTCAGCTGGAAAATAAGTTGGGCTTATTTAAAAGAAATAAAGACATTCATCAAGTAAAGAGTTTCCATAACCACCTATTTTAAGATGCTGTAAAATGTCATAATTCAGATTAAAAAAAGAATAATGCATCATATTGGAAAGTTTTTTTTTCCAATTTTGTCTGGTCTTTTTGTAGGGGAAAAGACCATATCTCTCCTACAAAAAAAAAAAAACCCGGCCAAGGACATATAAACCCTGTTCCATATTGCTATAGCATGGTGTATGAAATTCACAGACTTGAACAAAAGAATAAATATTCATCACCTCTGCCTTTTTTTTTTTTAGGTGCCTCCTATACTCCTTGATAAGCAGTTCTCTGAATTCACTCCAGACATTACACCAATCATTTTGGCAGCCCATACAAATAATTATGAGATAATAAAACTCTTGGTTCAGAAAGGAGTCTCAGTGCCTCGACCCCACGAGGTCCGCTGTAACTGTGTGGAATGCGTGTCCAGTTCAGATGTGGACAGCCTCCGTCACTCACGCTCCAGACTCAACATCTACAAGGCCTTGGCCAGTCCCTCTCTCATTGCACTGTCAAGCGAAGATCCTTTTCTCACAGCCTTTCAGTTAAGTTGGGAACTTCAGGAACTGAGCAAGGTGGAAAATGAATTCAAGTCGGAGTATGAAGAGCTGTCACGGCAGTGCAAACAATTTGCTAAGGACCTACTGGATCAGACGAGAAGTTCCAGAGAACTGGAAATCATTCTTAATTACCGAGATGACAATAGTCTCATAGAAGAACAAAGTGGAAATGATCTTGCAAGACTAAAATTGGCCATTAAGTACCGTCAAAAAGAGGTGAGTGTTGCCAGACTTGATCCATCAAAATGCCATAGAGTTTAATCACAGTGAAGCAAACTGCTACTCACAAAATTAGTTTTGGGTTTTAGAGCATTTTCTATTCAGCTGTAAGTGGATGACATTTATTGTCTACCGGATTAATAATTATGAATCACATTGAAGAGTGGTAATAAATGGTTTAATAATTGATGTTTTTGGCCTCTGTCTTAAAATGTACACATTGACTGTGGTATAATGGAAAAACTAATGAATTTTAGTATGTCCAGACTGAGATTTCTGGCTCTGCTATTTATAAGTCTTGTAACTTTAGGGGGTCACAGATAGATTTCCTTAAGCTTCAGTATTCTCACCTGCTGAATGGATTTAATATTTGAAATTATATATATATATATATACGTATATATACATATATACGTATATATATACATATATACGTATATATAAGTGTGTGTGTGTGTGTATATATATATATATATATATATATATATATATATATACGCATATATATATATAAATAATCAGCCTTCTGTATCTGCAGGTTCCGCATCCTTGGATTCAACCAAATGTGGATGGAAAATGCAGCATTCATAGGATGTGGAACATTCAGATATGGAAGGCTGATTTTTTCCTATCCATGGGTCCCGTAGGGCCAACTGCTGCAGGGCTAGAGCAGCCATGGATTTTGGTATCCACATGAGGTCCTGGAACCAATCCCCCACAGATGCTTGGGGACAACTGTATATATAGACAACATTTTCCTCACAGGTTTTTAGGAAGTGTAAAATATGTGGATGTGTGAAGACTCTTAGTAAATTATATGGTATTGTTTTATTTATATCAGTAAATACTTATTATAAAGTGTTAATAAAATAAAAGACTTTAGTACAATAGCAGATGTAAGTACTAAAACTTTTCTCATATCTTGCTCATTTTTTTGATTTGTCAGGAATAAGAAACCAAGTAAGTTCATCGCAAGGGAGTAATAAATTTCTTGTAAAATTTCCATATATTAAAAATGCTGTATTAAATAACAGAATCTCATACTTCTTACCCTTAATCAGCCAGCATAATTGCTTTGTGTTTGAGTGAGTTCTCAAAAGACTGTTTACATCTATCTGAAGAAAATATTGGTTCTCTGTTCACTCTTAAATGATAGTAATTATCTATTCCAGAACAATACTTGGAAATGCTATGTAAGATGAAAAGAGAAAGAGAAAAAGTGAAAGACTTCTGAATTGTAAAATGTACTCAGTTTCTTTTGAATTTGGCCTTAATGATCCCATATAAGCCCTGGCTGCTTTGTCTGTTGCTACTCACTAAATACTCAAGGTTCAAGATACCTGAACTTGCTTTCTCAATTTTTTCCTCTAGTTGTGTGATTAGTTAAGCTAATCTGGTTGTCATGGAAGCCTGAAACAAGGTGAAATGAACTTTTCCCTTAATACTGAAGTGAACAGCTTCTTTTGTGTCCATTCCCTCTAACTCTAAAATCACATTTGCTATTTTGAGTCCTTGTCAGCAGTATTAACTCATTTTCTTAGGTTTTTATGTTTTGGACTCAGAGATCTAATATTTTAAAGAAACTAGAGTAATTTTACTACACAATGATAAGATACATTGATGAAAGATGTTCAAAGTGGTAAATGGGAAGATAAGAAGTCATTGCAGGCTTTAGACTTGAAAGATATTGAAATATTGATATGGCCTAAATCTTCTTAAAGATCCATATTAGCACAGTAGTATGCTTTGCTTTCTTTAGTTTTTCTTTGGAGAAGGGGGTTTAAAGAATCGACACGATGATTGCAAAGATTTTCTCTTATGCCATAGCTGTTCACTGTTAATATTATCCTACAAATGTTGAATGGAGTAAAGTTCCCAAGATGTACAATTCATGAAATGAAACAGAGAATGCAGAAGCAGCCTGCTCTGCTCACCTGTTGCTCTTTAGGTCTCTCTGCAGCCAGTGAATGAACTCAGATTTATTTTTTGCCTGCACTCATTTTGGTCATGGCATTGAAGCTGATTTAACGTCATCTTTGGCCACAATAACTTTTGTGAAAGCCTGGGAACAAAGTACTCATAAACTCCTTTACCATATCCTCATAACAGAATGCTGTCAATGATATTGCATTAACTGAAGCTGCCAAATTCCTGTCAAAGAGTTGTTCGAGATAGAAATTGTAATTTGAATTTCTTGCATATTTATATTTATATTTTTACCTGCAAAGTAATTAATACACTTTGGTCATGCATTAATTTCCTTAATAACTGTTTCAACATATATTTCATAGAACACATTCCAGGAAATGCACGGGGCACTTGGGATTCCCAGGTGTCAGGTCTCTGCTCTCATAGAGCTTATAGCCTATTAGGAGAGACAATGAAACATTGAATATATATTCTCCATTTTGTTCCTGAACCACTAAAAATGTTCTTCCTTACTGAACGTGTTTTCTTTGCTTATGTTCTTCTGTATATGTTATAAATATAAAAAGTGGTTTCAATGTCAAAACCTATGAAAAAGCCATAACTCTAATCCCATCTTCAGTATCTAAGAAGCAAAGCAATGGAAGGCATTTAATAATTTCCAACACTTCTCTCAAGATGTTTGTATTCTTGCTAATATGAAGTTATGGAAGGGTGATAAAGCCTAATAATACAAGATAAAACATAACAAAAAACATATAGCATGTAACAAAAAAATAAGAATTGGTGCTATTTTTTAAAAGACACTTTTCTTGTAGATATGGGGTCTTGCTATGTTGCCCAGGCTGATCTCAAACTCCTGGGTTCAAGCAATCCTCCCCAAAAGATACAATTTTAAAAGACATTGTATTGGGATTTTTTTCCTTTCAAAATGTTTTGAGATTTCAATGGAGAAAAAAATGAAAACGAAATTCTTACAGAGTTGTTCTGGAGTATCTTGCATTTACTATCAAAGAGAATATTTTTCTCTGATTGAAGATTTTCCCAAAGCAAAATAACATTGGATAACTGATAGCATTATTTAAAAAATTCAGGAATAACATTTTACTTTCATATATACCTTTTAAAATCATAAGTTGTGTTTTACCGCATGTATTCTTAGGTTATTCAGAAATTATTAAATTCAAATATTAAAGGTTTTCTAGTAAGATCATGTGCCTTAAAGAAAATTCTGCTTTAGCATGTCTTGCTTCATATCTTTCTTACCAAAAGTTTTCCTTGGTTTGGTCTAAATAAGTCTGAGATTTATCTTTAGTCCATCTCTCAGGATTTGGAATGCTTTCTCATTAACCTTCATTCACATAGCTAAGTCCTGCACACTCTTTAAAGGTCATCTCACGTCTTGTCTCACCGCAGGAGCATTCTATGAAGCAAACCCCTCCATAGACTCTCTTGGATAAATGTCCTCATTATACACACCCTATATTGCATTGTGTTATTACTTTTCCATCTCCTCCTCTAGGCAGTGTCAGGAACACATCCATCTTACTCACCAGTCATACTGTAGCCCCTGACATACAGAAGGTGCTCAGTAATGAATGCACCTGAATGAAGTCACAGATGCTCTTAGATCTGGATGGTTCCCTGCATGTTTCTTTGCCTGAATAAATTGCACTATTTGGGTTAATCTCCTAATAACAGATTCCTTATGAATCAACATATTAAAACAATTAATGTTGGCAGGATTTGATTGCAGACTTGTTCTGGTACTTCTCTAATCTCATCCAAAGAGAAAGCTCTGTGTTAATTTCATGCCATAGATATTTTTACATTTTCATTTTATATATTCTTTCTAAGCAGCAGCATCATAGAAAGAAGAATTGTATTACTTCTATTAATTCTAGGCTAATGATGCTGCAATTGTACTGATCATATATTAGCAGAACAAACATCTTCTATCAATTCAAATGAATGTATTTTAGCAACTGGGTTAAGTTGTTTACATGGTTTATTATATTAAACCTCCAAATACACTTCTGAAGTATGAACTATTTGTTGCTGTTTTTTTTTTTTCATGAAAAAATCGGAGTCACAGAGGGTTATATAATGTGCAGTGTTACTCTGTTAAATATTGGGGCCAGATTGCAAATCCAGATCTTAACTACAAAAACTTGGCTCTAACCATCACACCATATTGCCTCCACCCAGACATCATCCTGCTGAACACTGGGTAAACCTGAGAAAACTGACGCTGCTAGCCTAGTTTTGTTGAGCACATGAATTTATTTCATGACTCAGCTCGCCCGTAATGAAAGCCTTGCATTTTGACATGAAGTTTTCTTTGCTTTCACGTTGTGATGAAGCACTTGATTTCTCCAAAGAGTGTGAAGCCTACTTTCCCTTTCTTTCTTACTCCACTTTTACGTTTCTGTGTCAAACAATAATCTTTCAAGTACCATTCTGCGATGGGACAGGTTTAAGGTTTAAGGTTGCTCCCTTGACCAAGCACTCCCATCCCGATGCCAATCATCTAAATGAATAATAACAAAGGAAACTGGAAACAAAAAGCATGTAGTCATACCCTTAAAACTGATTCTTGCCCTGTGTGTAACATAAAGGCGAGGACGACTGAGGACATGTCTTAGACAAAAAACTTGTCCCTTGGTTTCTGGCATGATTTTTGCAGATGCAGAGTCTGTGGCAGTTAAAATTACTTCCATGTAGTCATTCCTCTTGCCTAATATTTGTAAGATTACTAAATGTGAATTGGAAGCTTAATACATTTCTTAACTATTTTTTACAGCAAAGACCTTCCGTAGTTTTTGTTACATGATTGACAATATTGTGAAGTAAGTAATTAAAAGGTAGAGTAGCCTAGATGTCAAATAAAAATAAAAAGCAAGGAAATAGATTATTTGTCTAAAAACATTACAATTCAAACTCTCTATAGCTTTTCAATATATTTAATTTGCCTTTCCCTTTCATGAAGGTATTTCAGCAGCTTTGCAACATTAGCTTAAATTTTGGAACTAATTTGGGTTTCGTCCTACACATTAATGGGATTGTTAAAGGAGAAAAATCAACATTTGAACAGCCCGCTGCTCATGACCTCCTAACCTTCTGTTTATCCAGTCTTGGGGGAATGGAGAAAATGTGAAGAGATTCATGTCAATCAGACACTATCCATGGCATGGTAAACTAAATTGATTCAAAATGTTCCACAATTACAGCTCTTTAAAGCTCTCTTAATCTCAAGATTGTTGGTTCTGTTTCTTGATTTATTTCAAACCCCTTGATATGGAAGCAAGAAACAAGACTGCTGTGAGCAAGGAGACAGGGGAGGTGGGGAGAATGTAGGGACAGAGGAAACACATAGGGTGTAGCCTTAGTACAACCAAGGGACACCTCGGGTGAGAGTTACAGTGCATAGCAAGAGTGCTAAAGCAGTTAAATAACAAATAGAGCAGACACTGTGGATTGTGTCTTCTTAAAACTGCCTAGAACCCTACTTGTCTGTATATCATGGCCTTTATTTTATAAACTCTTTTTTGATAAGTGTATCACTCCAACAGGTTTTTAATTCAAATGTTATTTGAAAAAGGCAATAAATAATCATTTAAATCCAATCTTACTACAATATGAACTTCATGTTAAAAATCAATCAACAAACAAATTAAAAACACCACTCATGTTCTTGATTTACCTGATATCTGCATATCTGAGATCTATAGCAAGATGCCATTTTGTGCTTCTGTTAGTAGTTGAGGGACAGTAACATCTCTCTCTACATATTTTTTATTCTGAAATTACTAACCCTCAAGGTTGTACCCTACCCATCTTTAAAAAAAATCACACAGGTAAGTTAATGATAATGTTGCATCCTTGCTGTCTCATAAGGACCTTGGGTTGGTGTTGGGAAACAATGACTTTCTCCTCTTAGATCCAGTGGATTTTGGTGTCTGGTCAGCAGCCATGCTAGACCTTTGCACTTGCTACAAATTTGACGGCATAGCTGACCATTGTTAACCACTGACTGTCTTAGAATCTTTTGTTTTTCTCCATTACTCTTCTTTAATCTGGGATGTCTAAAATATACCTTTCCTATTTTATTATGCCTGTAAATGACATACCGGAGTATATAATTTGGGGAAAAATATTTCATGCTATGAAAATTTTTAAAAAATAAGTTTGAAAATCTCATGCTGGCCAGCTGCAGTGGCTCACACCTGTAATCCCAGCACTTTGGGAGGCCGAGGCAGGCAGGTCACAAGGTCAGGAGTTTGAGAGCAGCCTGTCCAACAAAGCGAAACCCTGTCTCTACTAAAAATACAAAAATTAGCTGGGCATGGTGGTGGGTGCCTGTAATCCCAGTTACTCAGGAGGCTGAGGCAGGAGAATTGCTTGAACCCAGGAAGCGGAGGTGGCAGTGAGCCGAGATCATACCACTGTACTCCAGCCTGGGCAACAGAAAGAGACTCCATCTCAAAAAAAAAAAAAAAAAAATCTCATGCTTTGGAGACTTTTTCTCATGGACATCAAATAACTCTTAGAGAAGGAGAGCAAAGAGATTACTGAGAGAAACATGAGAGAAAACACCATAGTCCTTATGGTGTTCCCCGTCATAACTGAGTCATTTATGTAAGTAAAGTTGGTAATGCCTTTTCCTTAGTTTGGTTTTCTTATTTAACACACTGGGTTATCTGAATGAGATTCAATTACCATGTCCTTTTCCCTTATGCTTCTTCTATGTTTAAACTGCTTTGAAAAGATTCATGTCCTCCAATGTCCCCTCAAATACCACTTTCTCTGAAAAACCTTCCCTTATATTATACCCAGGTTAAAATTAGTTATTGTTTTCTCTTTTGTATGGTAGAAACATTCCTTTATTGCAAATGTCGGTTTTTCTTTTCATTATTTGTTTTCACATTTTGCTTCTCCAGTTGAACACCTTGCCTCTAATATTAACCTCCTCCAAAACATTACTCACAACACTACTAAAGGTTTTTTGTTTTGTTTTATTTTTTGGAAAGGCAGATCTAGGAAAAACTTTCCCAGTTATACAATTGAAAATCCCAAGCCCGGGGAAACCCTCAGTTTGGGTCATCATAAATCTGAGCACAACTGTTAAGCATTGTAATGTCTATCACATAAAGTCCAACTGCCACAACAGTCTTATGTGGATTCTGCCTAAATTTTCAGTTTTACCTTTCTTAATGCCCACCGTCACTGCTTAGAGTCTGTATTTCAGCCAGGTGGGAACATTCATAACATTGTTGCAATATTTCCCCTTCTAGGCCTTTATATCAGGCATCTCTTGACGTTGGCCCTATTCCTTTGTTCATCTATTGCAATGGGTTTTATCTGGATCATATTAGAATCACCTGGGAAGTTTGTAAACACTACATTGCTGCATATATCCCACTTTCAAACTAGTTAAATCAGAACATCTGGGATGTTCACCACATCTTTGAAACTTTTTAAGTTTCAAACTCTCCAGAAAATTCTAATGTGCAATCAAGGCTGAGCACTACTTAAAATTATCGGTTAGGGTTTCACCTGTGACTTCAAGCTTCTGTAGATTTCCTTGACTCTCTCAGGGAGAGAAGACAATGGGTCCCAAATGTATCTGATTATCAAACTCGCCTGGACAGCTTTTAAACATAGCACTTTGCATGAAGAAATTTGGCTTCAATAAGTCCTTGCATTCATGACATCCCATGAAACTTATTTCAAATTTTTCCCATCTTTCTCCATGCCTCACTATCCACCCTGCCATTTCCTTATTCTATTATGGCTTCCCAGAACCAGAAGCCATCCTCTCTACCTACTGTACATCCTGCTCATTTCTCAGGACTCTCAGAGCTTTTATTTCTTTATTTCCCCTATCTTCAAAACAGAAGAGTCTGGTAGGAAATCAATATCCTATTTAAAATGGAGGAGTAGACCTGGGGAATGGAAAGACAACCAGGCAAGGAATTATCGATGGCTGTTGATCAGCACATAGAAGGAAAGGGATCATGCATTAACATTTTCCCTGCCCTGGAATAAGTAGCTTAGGGCATAGAGAAAGAAAACCTTTCCATTCCTAATACATATACCATAGACATATCTTCTTCCATGTAAATTTCTGATCATCTAAGGGTATAAGAACTGTGGGGAAAATGTTTTATTGGTATCAAGTAACTCATCTCTCTACCATTGAAATAAAATATTATATTAAAAGTAAAAGAACAAATTGGTTGTGGTGGCTCCTTCTTGAAATCACAACACTTTGGGAGGCCGAGGCAAGGCAGATCACTTGAGCCTTGGAGTTGGAGACCAGCTTGGGCAACATAGCAAAATTCTGTCTCTACAAAGAAAAGAAAATTTAGCTGGGCATGGTGGCATGTGCCTGTAGTCCCAGCTACTTGTGAAGCTGAGGTGGGAGGGTCACCTGAAGCCAGGCAGGTTGAGGCTGCAGTGAGCCAAGATTGTACCAGTGCATTCCAGCCTGCGGAACAGAATGAGACCCTGTCAAATTAATAAAATAAAATAGAATAAATAAATAAGTAAATAAGGTCTATGAATTGGATATAGTGCTCTTTTCTGCCCCTAACCAAGGATGTAGTGTTGGACAACTTATCCTTTGCATTTCTATTTTCTCTTCTCTAAAATATGTTGCCTTGTGAAGATGAAATGTAATAATGCAAGTACAGAACTTAGCATATTTCCTGGCATATTTGCTCATGAAAGAGTGGCTATCTATTATTATCAGCTATTATTATTATTATTATTATTATTACTATTTTTTGTCTGTTCCTGGGTCCCCAATATAAAAGGATAAGCATATGCAGAAAAATACAAGATTCCACTATATACTATGCAGCAGAAAGTGTAGGAAGTGTTAGCTTCATCATTTAACATTTTAATACTTGTTATAAACACTCATCTGTTTCTTGTGGGTTACATTACTATTTTGAATATCAAAAAGAAGTTGGCTGGGCGTGCTGGCTTACATCTGTAATCCCAGCACTTTGGGAGGCCAAGGCAGGCAGATCGCTTGAGTTCAGGAGTTTGAGACCAGCCTGGGCAACACGGTGCAACCTTGTCTCTACAAAAAAAAAAAAAAAAAATTAGCCAGGCATAGTGGTGTGTGTCTGTACTCGCAGCTACTTGGGAGCCTGAGATGGGAGGATCAATTGAGCCCAGGAGGTTGAGGCTGCAGTGAGCCATGATTGCGCCAGTACACTTCAGCCTGGGTGACAGAGTGAGACCCTGTCTCAAAAAGAAAAAGAAAAAAGTTTGTTTTTCTTAAGTCTATTGGTATAATCAGTACTCCAAACTATTTATATTAAGATATATATTGTCACCAAAAAAGTATAATATATACATTCATCCCAGCCCCTAATAACTCTTCCCATTATAGGCTTTCAAAACAACTTACATTGTATAGTACATACTTGGTATTAACTTGCCCATCTGAATTGCATTTTAAAATATATTTTAGGCGTTGGTTATGTATGCCCTTTGAACCTGACTGCTACACCTCAGAATCTTAGCTATACTCATAGAAAGGATTTTCATACGTGAGACTACACTGAGCGATGTGAATTGTGAAATCTGTAGAAAAAAGATATAAGGCAGAATTCCTGTAGCTAAGTTTTCTCTCCTGCTGTTCTGTAGAGCATGCTCAATGACCGATTGCTGAGCATCTGCCTCTCTTTTCTCCATGGTTGTGCACACACTTGCTGTTGCTAGGCAGAGGCAATATGGATCACAGAATCCCTAATGCTCTACCCCAGCCCCCTCCTAGGGACCAAACCTTTCAGTGCCTGCCACTCTGTAATGGCAGAAGCAAATGCCTATTCAGTACTTTTCAGACTGGCTCAGGAACCTATGACAAGTCATTAGGCATTTAATTTAACACTAGGCTTTTAGACCCTGGAATTCAATCCCCATGAGTTTCTTTACAGCTAATTAAGTTACATGTAATAACTGTCTTCTAATTCCTAACTGAAAGTGTTTTTTTCCCCCACAGTTAAATTTGAAATTGTGTGTGTCCAAAACATCGTATAAATTTGTCCTTTTAAACAACACTGTTCAAGAAGTAACAAGTGTGTCTTATAAAACATAAAACAGCAAATTGTAGTTTCAAATTAGATATAAAAACTTGTATTTGATACTGCTTTAAATAAATATTTTTAAATTTTATTTTCAAGGAAGTGTACTCTTCTAATTCACCTGAGAAAATGTACATAAGCAGCTCTTTATGATGCAGCTTTCATTTGGCAAAAACAAGAATCAAAAACATTAGGCTAATGATAATATCTTTGATAAACTACATTGTGTATTGGATACCTTCCCTTGGCCCTCAAATGAATTGTTTTTCAGCATAAAACGGGTACTTCTGACTCTGATGATTGACAAGAAAGTGCTAGCAATAAGATCATCAGGTTTCCATTATTCAGATACAATCATGTAGTTTGTCAATGATGGAGAAGGCTTTCTCTTGTTTCTGTTGTACAAATGTTCACATTTATACTTCAAGGTTATTTTCTCTTAGGCCATTATTTAGTGACTGATATTTTCTCTGTCATTCATCACAAAACACCAGAATTGCCAGCTTTTAGAGTTGCGGCCTTAACAGCTTATTCCATTCAATATATTTCCTGGAAAAATACAGAAAGCCAATAGATTGTCTTTTGGAAGTTTATGAAACTGAAACGTTATAGTTCGCAAGAAACTTTTGTTGATTTTGAGATATAAACTTCTGCTTGAGTTCTCATAAATTATGCATGTGAGAGGGAATGTTTTTACTTATTCCTCACCCTGTTAGACATAGTCATAATTTTTCTAAATAGAGGTTAATTATTTTATGTTTGAATTTTTAGAAACAAAAGACACACAGTAAAACTCTCTAGGATTGATAATGCCTGTGCTATAATTTGGCAGTTCATGATGCTGAAGCTGAATTGTGAAGCTGTGTGTTTACAAATGGCTTCTAGGTGGCATAGAACAGGGAAAGCGATCACATAGCTCTGTGGTTTTTGTTTCACACCCTATTCCCTTTCTCCTTTGGAGTGTTAGGGAACACGGAGTGGCATGCCCTCTGCATGCACAGAAGGAGCAAACTAAGCCCATCCTCCATGGTTCCTTGCTAGCTCCCTTCTTGTCTGTAAATGCTTGCTGGAAAAAAAAATTCTACACAACACTGATACAGTGTTAAATGATGGACATTGTTGTTATTTTTCTCCATGCCCTTATCTATGAACAGTGATTTTCCCAGGCAGCTCCGGGACATGTAGCCCTGAAACCTCTTTTTACCCTTTTCTTGATTCTCCTCTTTTTATCTTATTAATTGCCAATTAATAACTGTACTTATTCCTGGGGCACATAGTGATGTTTTGATACATAGAATGTATAGTGATCAGCTCAGGCTAATTAGCATATCCATCATCTCAAACACGTGGTCCTTCTCTTTGACCACTGGGGTGAAGCTGGAAATCTTGCTGGCAGCTAAGACAGAGAGCACATGAGGAGGCTAGCAGAGGGGATTGGAGCTCCCACCACAGAGATCTTCTCTCTGTCTCTAAACGCAATTCCATAAAAGGTGAATTTTTGGTGCCAAAGACTAAGAATGGCAAAATGAGAACACAGCAAGCCCTAGGCCAAGTTCAAATTTCTTTCAGAAGTTTCCTAAAACCTGGAATTTTGCTCTTGCTTAGATAATAAAATGAGATTTCCAAGAGCCACCTTATTGAAGCCCAGGAAAATATTTCTAACTTTGAGATTTTATGGGAGACTTTCCTAAAAATAAAACACCTTAATTGAGTTTCAGTGGAAAAATAGGATTTATTCAGACAAAGAAGTTAGAAAAGGTATATGGGGAAGAAATACTCTGTGCAGATTCATGGAGGCAAAGAAGAGCATGGAACATGGAGGCACATTCAGTGACCTTTCTGTCCTCATTCCAAACCCGTGGCCTCTACCCTCATTTTATCTCTGCTGGGCAAGTGTGAATGGCTCCTCTGTTGGGTCTCAGCTCATATTATCACCTTCTCAGTGAAGACTTCCAGAACACTTGATCTCATTGGTATCCTTTTCTCCTACCTATTATTCCCTTTTATATCACAATTTTATTATCTTTGCAACCTTTATAAAAATCCAAAATAATTTTATTTGTGTGTTTATTTATTGTCTATCGTCCTCCACCCGTATCTAAGTGTCACCTTATCTGATTTGATTATTAGTGCAGTTTCAATCCCTGAAACAGTGCTTAGAATATAGTAAGTGCAAAATAAATGATCATAAATCCGGGTGGGCAGAAGCTGAAATTAGGAAAAAACACAAAGACTAGGTCATAAAGACCTAGGATCGTCAATACCAAGGAACCTAGTTGTTATAAAATGCTGTGATATTTAATCATGATTAAATATGTAGATCAATATTATCTTTATTATTTTTTGAAACTCCTATTCTTCAAAGAAGAACTCATTGTCTTTCTCTTTAAGTCTGGTCCTTCTATCATCTCTGTTAAAGTAGGAGGCACTCCCGGTTATTCATGTTAGAAATCTGAGTCATCCTTGATTATTTTATATCCATCATCTCCAAAAGCTTGATGGGATAGATTAGAGATAAATGCAAATTGAGAGGTGCTGGCTAATTTCCCTTCTCTTGAATCAGAGCCTGCCTTGGCTACCTGCATGACCCATAGAATGCAACAGAAGTGACTTTATTCTTAGGCTCGCTGTGTTTTGGGACTGGGTCTCACTCTGTCATGCAAGCTGGAGCGCATTGGTGCTGTCTTGGTTCATTACAACCTCTGTCTCCTGGGCTCAAGTGATCTTCCCACCTCAGCCTCCCAGGTAGCTGGAACCACAGGTACATGCAACCACACGGGGCTAATTTTTGAATCTTTTGTAAAGACAAGGTTTTGCCATGTTGCCCAGGCTGGCCTGAAACTCCTGAGCTCAAGCAATCCACCCACCTTGGCATCCCAAAATGTTGGGATTACAGGATTGCTTTGATTATTTGGGCATTTTGTTTTGTTTTGTTTTGTTTTTCATTTCCTATGAATTTTACAATTGCTTTTTCTAATTTTGTGAAAAATGACATTGGTAGTTGAATCCGTAGTTGCTTCAGGCAGTAAGATCATTTTTAATTATATTAATTTTGATCTGTGAGCATGGCACGTTTCTCCATTTGTTTATGTCATCTACTATTTCTTTCATCAGTGCTTGGTAGTTTTCCTTGTAAAGATCTTTCACCTCCATGGTTAAATATATTCTTAGGTATTTTTTCTTGTACCTTTTGTAAATGAAATTGCCTTCTTGATTTTGTTCTCAGCTAGATTGTTATCAGCATGTAGAAGCGCTACTGATTTTTGTACATTGGCTTTGTATATACTGAAACTTTGTTGAATTCATTTATTCAAATCTAAGAGTTTTTTGTGAAGCCTTTATGGTTTTCTAGCTGTAAGACATGTCGTCGTTGAACAGGGTTAATTTTACTTCTTCTTTTCCAGTTTGGATACTTTTTATTTTTTTCTTTTGCCTAATTGCTCTTACTAGTACTTCCAGTACTGTGTTGAATAGGAGGGGTAAAAGTGGCACCCTTGTCTTGTTTTAGTTCTTAACAGGAATGCTGTCAACTTTTCCCAACTTATTATCTCATTGTTTCATTGGTTTGAAATAAAACAATTACCTCTGACTAGATCCTACTCTTTCTTCATGATGTTAAAACTGGGTCTTAATAAATTTCCCCTCATTTATCAGGTTAGACTGGTTCTCTCTCTTCTATATATAGAGCATGTACATTTACCACATTATGTTATAATTAATTGTTTTAGGTCTCTCCCCTTCATGAGACTCTGAGCTCCTTGAATCCAAGAACTGAAATCTTTATTTATTTTGCTATCTTTAGCAACTACAATGGCACTGGTACATTAGGTATGAGCTCAATACATGTTTGTGGAATTAATGCTACATTGTTTTTTCTTCAAGTCAAACAACCCATTTGTATAATACCTTGATGGCAGTTCTTCTAAGAGATTTTATGTTGAGGAATAACTTGACCATTGGTGAGGAA
The DNA here is from genome assembly GCF_000001405.40 of Homo sapiens. Classification (NCBI taxonomy): domain Eukaryota; kingdom Metazoa; phylum Chordata; class Mammalia; order Primates; family Hominidae; genus Homo; species Homo sapiens. The sequence continues at coordinate 37,731,941 of NC_000013.11, read as the reverse complement.
AAAATAACAAAGCTTCACATATAATTTTTGTTGACTGCCTTCTATGCATACAATGAAGGTAAATGCTATATGGGGAAAGAAAAAAGAAATAGTAGCTAGCTCCTTTGGAGGTGGGGAAAGGGACGTACTACTTCGATAATATTTAGGCAAACATATACAAAATAAAATCATTTTGTTTGATTTTAACTATTTTAATGAAAGGAATATTTGACATAAAACTTGATAAAACAATTTAAATAATATTGATTGATTGCATTTCATTTTTATCTCTTATACAGTTTGACATTCATCTGGTCCAACAAATATTTCCAAAAATATTATTCACATAGCACTGATTGTGTGATTAAAGTTCAAATGCCTAGGAAGCTGTACTAGTTATTAAAATATAATAGATATTGTTGTATTGAAGCATTTTAATTTTTTTAATGTATTTTTTCATCTTTTATCATTTTGGTTTTACTTATGTTTTATCATTTCTTCATTGACTATTGTTGCCAATATGTCTCTGTCTAGCACTTTAAACTCTAGAGGAAGAGTTTTAATTTTCACAGCTTCTTGTGTTAAGAAAAAATTATTAATATCTCAGGAAATAAAAGCAGCATCAGTCTTTGATGCCTCTGTGTGCTGACTGTGTGAATTGAGTGTTTTAGAATCTTGGCCATCCGTTTTCAGAAAAGACAATGAATGAATATGTAAGAAAGTCTGTCATCCAAGGAGATTGGGGATAAAATTAGTGCTAATAATAGATTATTTCGAACAGCTAAATTGTAAGTGCCAACATTTTCTTGCTTGTAATGTAATAAATTCTGATGAAAATCATTTGGCTAAAAATCTAACATGTTGTGTATTATCTCATTTTTATACAAAATATAATATATAGAATTTTTTTTCTTAATAACTCAGAACTTCAGAATAGACCCCAGTTATTATACTTTGACATCTGGTTGTAAGTTTAGGATTTTTAAACACTCATATTAATAGCATTTTTGGCCTGTATGAAAATTATGGCAGAAATCTTTTTATAGTTTTGAAGTCTTGTCCCTCACTATTTGCCTCTACTTGCTAATGTCAAAGAAGCTGCCATTTTATAGGTACTTATTCTGATCAATTTTCGACTGGGCAACCTGAAAACTACTCCAGGCTGAAGTGTGGGAAAATCAAAGTAAAAATTCTCTAAGTAAGAATGTGGGAATTCGTTTAGAAATACAATGCATATTTAATGCCTGAATACTGTGGCGTTTATTTTAATATCTTGGAGACCTTGTTTTACTTTCTTAAGCTTCAGAGAGATCAAGGTTGCCTACCAACTTATATGTGAGTATTTAAAATGAATCTGTGTGTGTGTGTGTATGTGTGTACAAAGAGCTTTGATAATATAAATGGAAATGTTCAGACTCTTGAAAATTAAAGTATAATTAATATAAACAATGAAGAACTACTTCTCTGGAGTTATAGGAAATTTACAGAAAAGACAGTTAATTTAACCAAACATTTAATTTTTTTGGAAATTATCAACATAGGAATTCATGAGGGAAGTGCTGCTAACATTTACTGAATAATTTAATTATAAACAAAACATAACAGCAGGGTTTTCAAGCTCTTGAAAAAGTATTATTATGTGATACTTATCATATATAAAAGAAAATACGTGATATATATATATGTAAGTAATAAAGCATAATAATAAACAACCTCCCCATCCCTGAAACTACCTCCTGAGGTAAAAATATACTAATGTGTTTTTTAAAATAGGCCTAATCTGCTACATTTTTAGAGATCCATTGCATTTTCAAAATATAAGACCTTTCTCACTTTAATGTTTTCGCTGGAAACCTGAATAGTCACAGGGGATTAGCCAGCTGTCTTTCTCTGTCGTAGTCTTTCTGAGTGGCCAGCCTCTGACTACTGTGCTTTGTTTTGTTCTGTTTTTAATTTTTCTATTCTGGTGAAATACAAATATAAAATTTACTATCTTAACCATTTTGTGTGTGTAGTTGAGTGGCATTAATTGCATTCATACCGTGCAACCATCACTACGATCCACTCTAGAACTGCTTCCATCTTCCAAAACTGGAAGGAAGGGGAAATGAGGAGTTAGTGTTTAATGAATATAGATATTCAGTCTCTGGCATCCACCATTCCAGTTTCTGCCTTTATAATTTTGACTAATTACCTCATAAAAATGGAATTATATATTTGCCTTTGTCTGATTGGCTTATTTCACTTAGCCTAATGTCCTCAAAGTTCATCTGTGTTGTTACAAATGCCAGATTTTTCCTTCCTTTTTAATGCTAAACAATATTCCATTGTATGTATTTACCACATTTGCCTATCCAGTCATCCACTGAAGGACACTTGGGTTGGTTACTTCCATATTTCAGCTATGGTGATCGTACTGCTATAGAAATGAGAATACAAATATTCTTCAACACCCTACTTTCAATTCTTTTGGGCATACCCCCAGAAGTGGAACTTCTGAATCATATAGTAATTGTATTTTTTTTAATTTTTGAGAAACCTCCACAAGTGTTTTTCACAGTGGCTTTACCATTTTACATTCCCACCAACACTGCATGAGGGTACCCATTTCTCCACATCCTCACCTACAATTGTTATCATCTGTTTTTGTAAACAGTGGCCATCCTAACGAGTGTGAGGGTGCATCTCATTGTAGTTTTGATATGCATTTCCCTCATGAGCAATGATGTCGAGCCTCTTTGCAAGTGCTTATTGGCTGTTGGTATATCTTCTTTGGAAAAACATCTACACAGGTTCTTTGCCCATTTTCTTTTTTCACCTGTGTGTTTGGTGTTAGATCTAAAAATTATTGCCAAGTCCAATATCGTGAAGTTTATGTTCTACTTATTTTTCTAAGAGTTGGAGAGTTTTAGGTCTATGTTTAGGTCTTTGATTCATTTTGAGTTAATTTTTGGTATGGCAAGGGTCCAACTTCATTCTTATTTATGTGTATATTCAGTTTTCCCAGCACCATTTGTTGAAAAAACTTTCTTTTCCCCTATTGAATGGTCTTGGCACCATCATCAGAAACAATTTGATCACATATGTGAGGGCTCATTTCTAGGCTCTCAACTATTTCACTGGTGATTATGTCTGGTTTTTTTTGCCAGTGCTAATGTTTTCATTACAGTAACTTAGCAATAAGTTTTGAAATCAGGAAGTATGAGACCTCAAGCTTTGTTCTTCTTTATCAAGATTATTTTGGCTCTCAGGGTCCCTTGAGATTCCATATGGATTTTAGGATAGATTTTCTATTTCTACAAAAAATATCACTGGGCTTTGTATAGGGATTGTGTTGAGTCTGTAAATTGCTTTGGGTAGTATTGACCTCTTAATACTATTAAGTCTTCCAATCCATGAATGTGGGACATCTTTCAATTTATGCATGTCTTCTTTAATTTCCTCCACCAATGTTTCATAGTTTTCATTGTATAGGTTTTTACATCCATGGTTAAGGTAATTCCTACATATTTTATACTTTTTGATTTTTTTATAAATTGAATTTCCTTAATTTCCTTTTAAAATTACTCTTTGATTATATATAGAAATGTAACTTATTTTTGTGAGTTGACTTTGTACTCTGCTACCTTGCTGATTTTGTTTATTAATTCTAACTATTCTTTTGTGGAATCTTCAGGGTTTTCTGCATATAAGACTACAACATATGTAAACAGATAATTTTACTTTTTTCTTCCTGGTGTTGACTTTTTTTTTTCTTTTTCACATAATTGCTCTGTCTAGAACTTCCAATACTATGTTGAATAGAAGCAGTGACAGCAGGCACCTCGCTTTGTTCCTAATCTTAGAGAAAAAGCTTTTAGTCTTTCACCATTGAGTATGATGTCCATTGTTGATTTTTCATATGTGGATTTACTTTGTTGCAAGAATTTCCTTCCATGCCTAATTTGCTGAGTGTTTTTATCATGAAAGGGTATTGAATTTTGTCAAATAATTTTCCTGAATCAATTGAGAAAATAGTATGATTTTTTAAATTCATTCAGTTAATATAGTATATTACATTGATTGATTTTATATGTTGAAAAATCAGCCCATTCCAAAAATAAATGCCATTTGATAATGATAGTCTTGGTAGGTTTTGTGTTTCCAAAAATTTGCTCATTTTATTTAAGTTATCCAATCTGTTGGCATGTGACTGTTCATATTCCTCTCCTATAATCCTTTTTCTTTCTTTAGAATTAGTAGTAGTGTTTTCATTTCTGATTTTAGTAAATTGAGTCTTCTCTATTTATTTTAGTCAGTCTCACTGAAAGTTTGTCAATTTTATTGATCATTTTGAAGAACCAGCTTTTTGGTCTCATTGATTGTCTCTGTTTTCTATTCTCTATTTTGTTTATCTCTGCTTTCATCTTATTTCCTTTCTTCTGTTAGCTTTGTGCTTGTCTTTTCCAATTTATTAAGTTGTAAAAATAAACTTTCAACTTGAGATCTTTCTGTTCTTTAATGTAAGTATTTATAGGCATAAATTTCCCCCTTAGCTCTGCTATCCTTGTGTCTCATAAATTTTGGTATGTTGTATTTTTATTTTCATTAATATTTATTTTCTAATTTTTCTTGTCTTTCTTCTTTGATCCGTTGGTTAAAAGTACGTTGTTTAATTTTCACAAATTTGTGATTTTTCCATTTTGCTTTTCATATTGACTTCCAACTTCATCCTCTTGTGTTCAGAAAAGATACTTTGTATGATATCAATATTTTTAAATTTATTAAGAATTAATTTGTGACCTAACACGTGGTCTACCCTGAAAATGTCCCATGTTCACTGGAGAAAAATGTGTATTCTGTTATTGTTGGGTAGAGTGCTCTGCATATGTCTGTTAGATCTAATTGGCTTATTGTGTTGCCCAGGTCCTCTATTTCATTACTTAAAGGAAGATTATTCTGTCTGCTCTTGAGAGAGGGTATTGAAGTCTCTAAATATTATTGTAGAATTTTTTACTTCTACCTGGAATTCTGTCAAAATTGATATATTTTCATGAACTATCATCAGGTGTGTCAATGTTTATAATAATTATATCTTCTTGTAATAAACCTTTTATTAATATATAATGTTCTTTTTTCACCTTTTTTATTTAAAATCTATTTTGTCTGATATTAGTATTGCCACTCTTTCTCCCTTTTGTTACTATTTTCATGTCATTGCCTTTTTTATTCTTTCACTTTCAAACTATTTACGTGTTTGAATTTAAGGTGAGTCTCTTGTAGAAAGCATATAGTTGAGCCATGTCTTATTCATTCCGTCAATTCCTGTCCGTTGAGTTGGAGAGTTTCATTCATTTACATTTAAAGTTATTGCTAATAAAGGATACTTACTTCTGTCATTTTGCCATTTGTTTTTGTTTACTTCCTGCATTACTATCTTCTTTCATGTATAGCTGTTTTTTGTAATTACCTTCTCATTTTCTTTTGTGTATATTCCATAGCTATTTTCTTTGTGGTTACCATGGGGATTACATTTAATGTTCTAATGTTATAACTTTCTAATTTAAATTCATACCATCTTAACTTCAATAACACACAAAAATACAGTTTCTTTTTAGCTCCATCTCCATGCTTTTCAGTGGTTGATATCACAAAATTATCTTTATACATTATATATGAAATATAATCTAATGATTTTTAAAATGCATTTGTCTCTTAAATTATGTAGAAAACAAAATGTGGAATTGTAAAACAAAGTAATAATAATACTAACTTTTTTTTTTGGGGGGGGACGGTGTCTCACTCTGTCGCCCAGGCTGGAGTGCAGTGGTACGATCTCGGCTCACTGCAACCTCCGCCTCCTGGGTTCAAGTGATTCTCCTACCTCAGCCTTCCGAGTAGCTGGGACAACAGGTGCCCACCACCAAGCCTGGTGAATTTTTATATTTTTAGTAGAGAAGGGGTTTCACCATATTGGCCATGCTGGTCTCCAACTCCTGACCTTGTGATCCGCCTGCCTCAGCCTCCCAAAGTGCTGGAATTACAGGTGTGAGCTGCCAATACTAACTTTTTAGTTATCTACATACTCACTTTTGCTGTGATCTTTATTTTCTCATACAGCTTTGTGCTACTGTCTAATGTCCTTTCATTTCAAACTGCAGAACTCAATTTAGCATTTCTTGCAGAGCTGGTCTAGAATGTATTTCTCCCTCACTTTGGAAGTACAGTTTTGCCAGATATAGGAATCTTTTTTATCCAAACTGCTTTCTTGAGGTATGATTGACATGGACAAAGCTATATATACTTAATGTATATAACTCAATGATTGTTGGTTGAGTTTTTTATTTCAGCTCCAGAATTTCTTTTTTGTTTCTTTTTTAATTTTGTAGTACATTAACTATATCAGCTTACTGCCTTCTGGTATCTAAAGTTTCTGATGAGAAATCTGTTGATAATCTTATTCAGGATTCCTTGTATGTAATGAGTGTCTTCTTTCATACTGCTTTCAAGATTCTCTCTTTGCCTTTGTCTTTTGATAATTGTATTATAATGTGTCTTGGTGTGGATCTCTTTGAGATTATAATACTTGGAGCTCATTGAGCTTCTTAGATGTTTATAGTCATGCTTTTCATCAAATTTGGGGAAATGTTGGCCATTATTTCCTCAAATATTCTCTCTGCCTCTTTCTCTCTTCTTCTGAGCCTCCACAATGTATATATTGGTCCACTTGATGGTGTCTCACAGGTTCTTTAGACTCTGTTCATCTTCTTTCATTTTTTCCCTCTGTTCCTCAAACTAGACAATTTCAATTGTCTTATCTTCAAGTTCACTAATTTTTTCTTCAGTCCGCCCAAATCTGCTTTCGAATCGACTGTTTTTTCACTTCAGCTCTAGAATTTATTTTTTGTTTCTTTTTTTAAAAAATTCTTTATTGATACTTCCTTTCTGTTCATACATAGTTTTTGTGATTTCTCCTTTAGTTCTTTAAGCACCTTCAAGACAGATGTTTTAAAGTCTTTGTTTAAAGTCTTTGTTATCAAGTATTTCTCAGAAACAACTTCTATTGATTTACAGTTAACGTTTTCTCCATCTATAATTCATTCATTCAGGCATTCACCAATTCAGCCTTTCAAGTACTCATTAAATAACAAATTATTTAACAAGAGATTATTGACTGCTTCCTATATTCTAGAGATTCTCAAATTAACTTGTTTGAAAAAGTGAAGCCACAGTTGGAATCTTGGGCCTTGCCAAAAAGATGTGAAAGGACCTTTTGGAACAAATAGACCAACACTTTTTACTCACAATAATGTTACCAACTACTTAGATTGTTTTACCTAATATCCTTATTATGGATGTGGAAGATTAAAGCAAACAAAAAAAACCGCTTATATAGTGTCTTTCTGATTTCAGGAAATATTTGCTAATCCTTCTTCCCTAGAACTTCATAATTATAATAACAATTCATCATAATATGATAATGTAAATAATTTAGAATTACAGAATACCTAACTACAAGCTCAATATACACAATTAAAATGATTTAAAGGCATGAAATAATAAAAGTTATAGACCCTTTTTACCATTTCTAATTCATTGCTCAAAGTTGGGAATTATTGTTGAATGTATTAGGGGAAATAGTCCCAGATGTTTTCCTGTGTACATCTCCAAAACCAGATATCTGCATCCACGTGCACACAAAACATACCTACACACTTATGGGCCTACACATTCACTGACACACCCACAGTTTTAAATTGTATATATAAATGGGATTATGTTATGTGTATGGCTGTGTTATTTATTTTTTCCTTTGAAAAATATGTCTTAGAGATTTTTAAAATATCAATAATTACATATTTACTTTATTATTTTGAAGTGATATATGGAATTCATAAATAATGAATGAATCATTATTTATAAAATTAATCCCTAATTTGCGGACATTTAAGTTTTCCCAATTTTTCCTATCATAAATGAGGCTTCAGTTAACTTTCTTGTAAAAGAATCTTTGCATTTATAAGCCAGTTTGTCTGCAGGATAGATTTTTAGAAAGGAATAGTTCCATCAATATAGGTATGTTTTATAAAATTTTATAGTTCTAATTTTTTCCGTATTAAAAAGATAACAGCCAGGTGTGGTGGCTCACACCTGTAATCCCAGTGCTTTGGGAGCCCGAGACAGGAGGATCACTTGAGTTTAGGAGTTCAAGACCAGCCTGGGCAACACAGCAAGACCTCATCTTCTCTACAAAGGAATTTTTAAAAATTAGCTGGGCATCGTAGTGTGTGCCTGTAGTTCCAGCTACTCAGAAGGCTGAGGCAGAGGATTGCTTAAGCTCAAGAAGTCAAAGCTGCAGTGAGCTGTGATAGCACCACTGTACTCCATCTGGGCAACAGAGTGACTCTGTCAAAAAAACAAAACAAAAAAACAATAATTTGCATCTCCACCAACAGTGGGTATCAATAGTATCAATTTTTCTTCACATCTGTCAGCATAGTACCATTCTTTTTAAATTTTACCAATCTAATAAGGGGAACAAAATATTAGCTTAATGAATAACATATATATTTTTTTCATTAGCCATTTGGAGTTTTGCGTTTTTTGTATGATTATATCTTGTCTATTTTTCTATTGGATTAGGTGTTTATTCTCATTGTTTTGTAGACAACCCTTATAGAGTATGAATATCAATGCTTTGTTTACATATTGTAGATTTTTTGTATGTTTTTTGTCTGGGCGTACAACATTTTACACTTTTCTGTGTTAATCATATGCTTTTGTTATTTTAAAATATCTCCCTTTTTTATAAAGGGCCTCCCTAAGGACAAGATTATAAAGATGTTCTCCTATATTTCCCCATGTGTGTGCATGTGTGCATTTGCGTGTTTATATGTTTGAAGAGAGAGAGAATCTGGCCACTGTGTATTTTTATGGGACTCATTTGGTACTAACTCAGTGTCGTAGCTCCCATTAAGTACTAGTCAACACTTCCTCCCCACCCGCTGTATGAGCTATCCCTTCTGTGTACACCTATATTACCTTGTGCTTATCCTTGTGATTCCCCATCCAAATATTTCACATATACTGATTTGGATTTTTACTCCCTCAGTGTGAGATTCTCGAGTATTGGGATTCTATCTTAGTCATGTTCATCTTTTTTTTTTCATGCAATAATTGCAATAATAGTAAGTGTTTATTTACTAATTAACATTAGAGCTGATAAAAATAAAATTGAAACAATAGTTGTTACTTGATCTTAATTAATGTATTTATCGCTTATGTGTAGAAATAAACTACATATTTTGAAACCTAAATGCTACTTCCCTATTTCCTTGGTTACTTTCTGAAACAAATAGAAACATCTTGTGTATGAAAACATTATAGAAAACAAGGTATTTGATGGCCCTGAGAGTTAAAACTTAAAAATAATCCAAGTGTTTGTTCTTCTAGTGTGATGTTAAAAAGACTGACCATTCAACAACTGTTTGGATTAAGTGGACCTTTCAAATACCTCATAAGGGATGTTTACCAGTACGGAGTCAGTGAGCACAAGAAATTTGAATGCTCTGATTACATCCAATTTAACCTAATCAAGCCTTTTTTGCCCTGCCAAATTATGTAATTAATCGAGCCAGTGGTGGAAGAAGGTTATTTTAAAAACTTTTCATATGTGATTGATTTGACTCCAGTGTGTCCAAGCATTGAACACCCAGGCTGATTGGGCTGATGTGGCTAGATAGTCGGGGAAGAGTAAAATATAATAGAGAGAATCCCAACAGCAAAACTCACCTGGGTCTAAATCACTTATCTGAGAGTTACTACTGTGTAACTTTAAACAAAGTATTTAACCTTCCTCAGTCTCTAGTTCCTTACCTGTGAAATAGACATTTTATTCTTACCTTTTACATATCTCCATATACTCCTTCTGAAATTGTTATATCAAAGAAGTTAATCCATAATCTTCTACAATATCTGAATAAATGCTAATAATGGTAATTCTTGAATAAGATTTTTTGTGCCTGAGGAGGGATGAATTAAAATAGGCCACAGGTGTGGTGGCTCACACCTGTCATCTCAGCATTTTGGGAGGCCAAGGTGGGAGGATCACATGAGCCCAGGATTTCAAGACCAGTCTGAGTAGCATAGCGAAACTCCATGTGTATACCCATAAAAATATTTTTAAAGTAAAAAAATAAATAAAATCGCCTATAAATCACCTTACTCTTACAGTAGGAGATTGAAATATAAAATGAGAAAATAAAATTTATTTAAATAAAATTCACTGGAAAAGTCTGTATTCTAAGTTATTTATAAATGAATCAGTTTAAAGATAAAGTTAAACAATCTTCGAACATTTAGTTTCACTTTTCAAAGGCAAAATTACAAGGTTTGCAATGTTCAGCCAAATCTACCTATCTGATTGGCTCCTCATTCTAAACTGCTTTATAATGTTCATGGATACATAGTAGGGCCAAGAGCAATGGGTAGAAACACCTTTGCAATATTCTACTAAAAATGGCATAGTATAAACCCTAAGATAGCCTCTTTGAAAGCCCTAAATTTTAACATTAGTGCTGAAATATATTTTGAATGCCACTTCACAACATCCCTTGGGAATAATTTTATTAACAATCTTTTGCATTTCAATAAATGACTTACTGGACAAGTGTTTTGAAATTAAAAATATAATAAATAATAAAATAAATTGAGCTTACTACTATATTTGCTAACTTTTCCAAGACATTATTGAAGGAAATAAAGAAACTAGAGGGTTTCTTTTTTCAATGTTCTTTAGCAGTGGACAACTATTTTCTAAATAAGCACTTATGAAAAATGGGAAGATGCAGCCTGTAAATGAACAAGGTCCTTCTCCTTTCTTTTCTAACTATTCATAGGCTGACTTTTGGGAAGCTTTGTGTATAGTCTGTGAGGTTATGAAGAAGCAGCTATTTGTTTGGAATGTGTCTCCTAATAGTTCTTTTCTTCAAATTCTTCCAAGTACTCATAATAAATATTTTGCCAGGCAGTGGCAAACATTTTTACACCAGCCTATGAGTCTGTTGTGTAAATCACTGACACACCATGTGTTTAGAGATTAGACTGCACCAATTGTTAAGTTGCATAAATATCCTGAGCTGTGTCTCTGTATATTATTAAATAAGTGTATCCCTAAAGAATTGAAAATGAAGTATATTCAGAATGTACCCAAGTGAAACTCCTGTTAACAAAATAGGAAATAGGTGTTCAAATGAAAAATGAAAAATAAATATACTCCTGAGTAAAACTTGTATAACAGTACAAGTGCAAAAGATTAGTTTTGCCAATATTTAGGTGTATCTGTCATTATCTGAGGTATTGAGAAATAAATATTTATTTGTAAAACACTTAAATACTGATTATTTTAGTATAAAATAAAATGACTATTTAAATCCATCCTCACTAGATAATTCAGAACACCAGAAACACAGAAAAGTTCAGAACGCAGAAAAAATGATTCTAGGAAAAAGCAAAATAATACTACTACTACTAATAATAACCTCATTGCTCGGTTTCTCATGTCCAAAACAACGGACAGACTTAGGCGTCCCATTACTAGGAATGGCAAGTATCTGGCATTCTCTTTCGTTCTAGGATCTGCCCTAGATAGCTATACCTTTTCACCTTATATTTTAGTGGTTGCTTTCAGAATTTCAATGTATACATTAATTAGTTTTCTCTTGCTGCTGTAACAGATTTTTGCATAGTGGCTCAAAGCAACACAACTTTATTATTTTATAGGGCAATATGTCAAAAATACGATGCAAGTCTCACTGAGCTAAAATTGAGATCTTGGCGTGGTTGCATTCCTTCTGGAAGCTCAGAGGATAATCATTTTCCTTGATCTTCCCATCTTTTCCTCTTCCTCCATCTTTAAAGCCAGCAATAGTAGCAGGTTGAGTCCTTCTCAGCAGCATCACCTTAGCCTCCTGCTGCCTCCTTCTTCCATCTTTTAAGAACACTTCTGACTACACCGAGCCCACTTAGATAATCCAGAATAATTTTTCTGTTAGAAATGTTTTAACATTTCTAAAACAGAATAATGTTTTAACATTAAAACATATTTTAATGTTAGCTGATTAGCAACCTTAATTCCATCTGCAACCTTCATTCCTGCTTGCCATGTAACATAGCATATCCACATGGACATCTTTGGAGGGAGGGCATTATTCTGTCTGCCACAATACCCTCAATTTTTCACAATCTACTTGGAGTTTATATTGTATACCTCATGCAATATGTAGAAGCTTTGCCACAGAAAAGGCCCATTTACCCCACATTGCTGTTCTTTATGCTGTAGTTGACATATACATTCCATACATTATAAACATCACAAGACAGTGTCTTAATTTTTGCTTTACACATTGGTATGCTTATTTTTCAAATAATAGAAAAAATGATCTTTTATATACCTATTTGCCTTTTCTAATGTTCTTCATTCCTTACTGATTTGAGTTTTTTTTCCAGTATCATTTCCTTTAAACCAGAAGAATCCTCTTTAGCATGTCTTGTAGTACATGTCTGTTGGCAACAAATATTTTTAGTGTTCTTTTATCTCATAATGTCTTTGTTTTACCTTCATTTTTTTCTTTTTATAAGACATGGTCTCACTCTGTCACCCAGGCTGGAGTGCAGTGGCATGATCCCGGCTCACTGCAGCCTCAACCTCCCAGACTCAGGTGATTCTCCCACCTCAGCCTCCAACGTAGCTGAGACTATAGGCATGTACCACTTATCTCCATTCTTGAAGAATGTTTTCATTCAGTATAAAATTCTGGATTGACAGTTTTTTGTCTTTCGTAGTCAGCATTTTAAAGATACTGCCCCATTCCCTTCTGGGCTCTATATTTCTGATGAAATGTCAGCAATAATTTTAATTGGTGTTCTCCTGCATATAATATGCCATTTTTCTCAGACTGCTTTTAAGATTTTTTTTTCTTTTTTGTTGTTTTAGAAGTTTGACTATAATGTGTTGTGGCATAGTTTTCTTCATTGTTATTCTGTTTGAGGTTTTCCTGAGCTTCTTGATTCCGTAAATTTATGTATTTCAACAATTTGGAGGAAACTTTATGCCATTATCTCCTCAAATATTCTTTTCCTGACTCATTCTCTTTCTGTTATTCTTCTGAGACTTCAAATACACCTTTTGATATTATCCCATGGATACTTAAGGTTCTATTAGCTTATTTTAATATTTCCTTCTCTTTTTTCCTTAGATTGGATAATTTCTCTTGATTTGTGTTTGGCTTGTCTTACTCTTTCCTCTGTCATATCTATTCTGCTGTTAAGCTCATTCAGTAATATTTTTATATTTTAGGTATTTTATTTTCAGTTCTGAACTTTCCACTTTGCTGTTTTATAATTTCTATTTCTCTGCTGAGATTTCTTATGTTTTCATTTATTATTACCATATTTTTTCATTTGCCATCTTGAGCTTAGTTATAATAACTAAAGTCTATGTCTGCTAAATCCATTATCTGGGTCATCTCAGGGTCAGTCTTCATTGATTGTCTTTTCTCTTGAGAATGGATCACATTTTCCTGCTTCTTTCTAGAAGGAGAAATTTTGCATTGTATCTTGGATGCTGTAAGTTGTTGTGGAGACTCTAGATTCTGTTATAATCATTTCAAGTTTTGTCTGTTTGTGTGTATGTGCGTGTGTGCGTTTTGTAGTTTAAAGTCAGTATACTTAAAATCTCAGTTCAGTACTTCTCTAAATCCCCTTTACCTAGACTGTCTGCAGTCTGCCCTACGTATGCATGGCTCAGGATTCTGCAGAGAATTTGGGAATCTTTTTTCTGACTCCCTCTTTTATGGAATTCTCTCTTCATTTTCTAGCAGTTGTGGTTGCCCTGAATACTGTCATATATTTTTGTAGGCCATTATTATTCATATTTTCAGAGTTCTTGCCACTCCACAATGTACCACAGTGGTAGCCTGCCCTCAGGCTACTAGCTATATACAAGCAAACAAATAAGTAAATAAGAAACTCATTGGCCTGGTCCTTTCTTCCAAGTTTTTACTGTCTTCCAGAATCTGCCTGTTTTTATTCATTTTTATAATTAAAGGTTAGTTTTTCATTGTGTTTTCTTCAAAGTTATAGCTGTTCTTTTCGGGGGGGTTGGTCTATATGTTAGTTCCCTAGGGCTTCCATAAGAAGGTACCCCTTACTGGGTAGCTTAAGCAACAGAAATTTATTTTCTCACAACTCTAGAGGCTAGAAGACTGAGAGCAACACATAGAGAGGGTTGGATTTTCCTGAGACCTCTCTCCTTGGCTTGAATATAACTCTCTTCTTTCTGCATTTACACCTGGTCTTCCCTCTATATTTCATTTTAACTTAATTACCTCTTTAAAGACTTTATCTCTAAATACTGTCACACTCTAAGGTTCTGGGGTTAGGACTTCAACATACTAATCTTGGGTAGAGGACACAATTGAGACCATAACAGCTCATAAAGAAATGTTTCAGCCACACCACAGCTGACAGAGATTCAGACAGGCTACTCCCTTTCAGTATACATTCTAGACCCACGTTGCTAATAAACTCATGTTGGTGTGTAAAATACAACCTATGTCCATTCCTCTTCCTACTATTAAGTAGCCAATAGCATTTAAAATGTAGACTTAAAATCTGTATGTTTCTAATGTAGAAATAGTCCTCTATTCTAAAACTATTTTCTGATATCGTCATCTATTAGCTGTTCACTCTGTGAAAAGCTTCAGTATAAATCTCTAAATCAATATAATTCACTGAGAATTATATCATTAAATTTTTGAAAATTGTTCTTGAAACTGATTTTCTCCCTTATAACTCCCTGTAAAATGTTGTGAATATGAAGTATTGTCATGGAAATAAGTTACTATCTTCTGGGCAGCCTCACTTCTGATGTTTTTGTTTTCCACCTACTTGTGTTATTACACACTTACTCTAGGTCGCCAGATCAAAGAGTGTGCGTTTGGTTATATAAACATGTATTCAGTCTATGATATTTTACCACCGTCCCCACCAGACTTCTCTCTTAGTCTCCTATATCAAACATGATAAAAAAACACTTTAAGAACTCAGACGTACACAAGAGAAGCAGCTATGAGGAAAATAAACTCACAAAGGACAATTTAAAAATAAAAATGTTTTTTTCCAGCTTCCTAGTTTAAAAATACCATGCTCGTTGAGACTTGTAACGATTAAAAATAGCCCTTGAGTAGAGAGAGTGCGTGGTTTTTTTTAAGATCTGTTTATCTGAAATTTTATGTTAAAAATATTTAAGAATCAACATTCATATTTTAGCAGTAATGTCTTTTATGTCCTCAGAATGACCTCCCCTCCCACCACATACACAAAGTACTAACCACTTCCTCAAGATACTATGTAGGTTCAGAGTTCAACTTTATTTTGAAAAAGAATAACTCAGCCTAGAAGTTTTCTTATACAAAACTTGACTAGATACTCAAAGCCAGTGCTCTCTTCATGAGCTACCCCGTATTGGCAAATGTATGGTAAAGAAACCTTTGCTAATGAACAGTTGGTATGAAATAGAAGTGCAAATTCAAGTGAGTAGTTTTAAAATTAATGTACTTATAATTTTAGGATTCAAAATTCTCCTCTAACAGAAGGTACCTCATCTTTAATGAATTTATTCGTCTCCTTACTTGTAATTCCCGTATATTTTAGTACTTAGAATTTTTTTGTACCTTGAAGGGTAAGGTGATTGCCAAAGCATTATTCCATCTAAGAAACTATGCAGGAAGTCACACCAACAACACATAACAAATTAAGATATGTTTTAAACAATATTTTCTCTTGGCTTTTGATTTGCAGCAAGGAGAAAAAAAAGTTTTCATGTTTCTCTTAGTCTGTAAAAATACAAACACTCAAAAACAACATATTACATTCTAACAAAGTTTTATCAGGTCTTGAGGCTCTTAAAAAGGACATGCAAAATGCCTATGTGTACGCCTTGGCTCCTAAAATGGAGTGGGGCACTGAGGCACATTCCCACGGTTCCTCTGAGTCACTTCGCTGTATCTGTCATAGGTTGGCAGGGATAATTCCTAGCAAGCAATTCAAACCTCCATATACAGTTACAAGAGGAGAGAGATAGACAATTTTTAATATAGGCCAATTCTGGATAATGACCAAGATCACATTTCAACTGGTAGATTTCGCAAGTGTCTTATCTGACAAAACAGCCTATGATGTTATGATCTAGTGAGTAATAATTCCTTATGAGGTCGGATGCGGTGTCCAGAAAAAGCAACATATGATTAAAGTTTGTGAACCCACTTATCTCACTGTAGTTGCAAGTAGATACAGCAATATTTCAAATTGTTTTAAGCTGTGTAATGTCCTCAATGCAAATATGTGCATTGGGATGGGACGGCAGGAAGAAGGAAAGAACTAATAATATTTTTGCACCTGGTACTGTAATAAGCTCTTCACATCCTTTATCTCATTTGATTCTTCCCCAAAAGGCAACTATTTTTATAATCTGCATTTTAAAGACAGATCTTTCTGGCTCTGGAGTCTGGACACTTCATATAATACATGCTTTTTCTGTAAAATAGAAAATTCTCTTATTCATTTACTACCATTCAACCTATGCAAAGATGCATTACTTTGTTGATTTCCTTGATTTCCTACAGGTCTATATGTTGACATAGAGATATGCATATCTGGCCTGCAAATGGCATTGTGCTCTTGGCTTTGGCAATATCACGTGGCTCATACTATACCTTCCAGCCATATCCAGCCTAAGATACAAGGAATAAGAAAGGTGGACAAGTCTGGAAGGTGGTCCTAGACAAGTGCTTTCAGCTCTCTTTAGACCATGAAACTCCTGCAAATTATTGGGATCACTCTGAACTATTCTAGGAGAGGTGCAATAAGTATCTCATTGCTTTCATCAATTTATTTATGCACACACATATGCATACATGCCTTTATTCTTCATTAAACAAATATTGTTTGTGTACCTATACGTATTAGGAATTGTTAGGCTTTGGTAATGCTGAGGTGAATAAGTAGAGTTCTTGCCCTTGTGTAACTAGCAGTCTAGTGGGAGAGATTATAAAAAATAATGGCTCAAATTAAAGTACTAGTGCAGTCTTTGAAAAGCATTATGAAGAAGGATATATGGAGCAATGTAACAATGCCAGAGGGAATCTGAACTGACTGAATAGGAGGAAAAAAGAAGTAAAGGAGCGGTGAGGGATTACAAATAGTAGACAAAGGGAGCATCATGTGGGGTGATACTTTGATGGCAGAAATCAGTGTGGCTGGAGCACAGAGAGCAAGGCTAGTGGGTGAGCTAACCCTAAAGAGTAGTAGGCAGAGGTGAGATTGGGCGTGTCCTCTTTAAGAATTTTAGTTTTTATCCTAAATGCTAAAAGCAGCTTTTAAAAGATTTTATGCAGCTATGTGTCATGATTAAATGTGTGATTTTGAAAAGATCAGTTTAGATGTTGTGTTTAGAATAGAGTGGGGCAAGTAACTGAAATATGTCAGATAAGAAATAGGCCCAGCACAGTGGCTTACGCCTGTAATCCCAGCGCTTTGGGAGGCCAAGGTGGATGGATCACCTGAGGTCAGGAGTTCGAGACCAGTCTTGTGAACGTGGTGAAACCCTGTCTCTACTGAAAATACAAAAATTAGCCGGGCATGGTGGCACATGACTGTAGTCCCAGCCGCTCAGGAGGCTGAGGCAGGAGAATCGTTTGAACCCAGGAGGCAGAGGTTGCAGTGAGCCAAGATCACACCACTGCACTCCAGCCTGGGCGACAGAGTAAGACAAAAAAAAGAGAGAGAAAAGAAAGGAAAGAGAGAGAGCGAAAGAGAAAAAAAAGAAAAGAAAAGAAAGGGAGAAAGGGAGGGAGGGAAGGAAGGAAGGAGGGAAGGAAGGAAGGAAGCAAGCTTGGGTGCAGTAATAAAAGCAGAGAGAGAAATGGAGGATTCAGGAAAAGTCGTGGAGTAAAGGAAGGGAATGCATAGGGATAAACCTAGGCAATTCCTATATAAAAGTTGAAATAGAAACAAAGAATGCACAGATTCCTCCTAAAAATATAGCCACTTCTTGGTCACTATGTGTATGACCTCTTCTTCCTGGACTCACCTCTCTTATAGCAGAGAACATTGATTTATTAATCCTTAGGATCAGTAAGTGATTCCTCTACTTGACCCTCTAGAATAAAAACTAAACTGCAAAACAAAACATCCATGGGTTTTTTGAGGGAGGTGGGAGTCCACCTTCTCCTTTTCTTTTCCATTATGTATGTTCAGATCACTATACCTGATCCTATGTAAAATTACTCTTCTTCCTCAGTTTTTTAAGACTGAAACGTTCTTTTAGTCCCTTTATAAAACACCAAGTAAGACATGGAAGACAGACAGTGGAAACAGCTATCTTTCTTTGAAGGGACTATGTTGGTTATTCAGATAATGAGAAACTGTCTACAACAATCCCAGGGACTCCATAAGATTAAAAGAAAGAAAAGAAAAGTTGTTAAATAAAGAGCCAGTACTTTATAACTGAAAGTTTAGCTTTTATTTCAGGCAATCTTTAGAGGTTGATTAAACCAGGATTACTTGTTTAATGCCTTTTATTATCTAGATAAAAGAATGTAAAATGGTACGTGGTCATGTAAGTAATACAGTTCCTTTGCAAATTCTGTAACTACTGACTTGGAATTGTAGTTATATAATCTTTAAATCATTTTGGGGTTGACTTAATCCCAAAACTCTTCTCCCTCACCCAGGAAGGCCCAATCAATACCACATCTATAAGGAGCTAACTCTGCTTCTGCTGCTAGTTTTGTGTCCCTGGAAATTCACCTGGCTTCCATGGTCGTCAGATTCCTGGTTGAAAAAACAAAAGGTTGAAAAATGAAATGCTTGATGATTTTTGAAGTGCCTTATACCTCTAACTTTCTAAGAACAACAAATCTTAGTTAGCCTGACATAGAGGGTGCTTGTGTGAGCATGCATGTGTTTTGTCTGTTCAACTTTTTTCAGTCATGTGCATCTTCAATGTTGGAAGTAAACCTCATGCATTTCTTTCTCTTTTGAGGAACAAATACAAATGCACAATAAGCAACTCATTTGCAGTGTTAAGATCTCAGGCACATGAGATATTTGCTAATATGCAGGTTGTATCTTTGGCCCCCCTGACATCTATTTCAGCCTCTCACCCTTCTCTAGACATGCTTTTTCCAGGTCATTAAGTTTTACAAAGCTCCTTTGGCAGAACCTCTCTCAAGCCAATCCATTAGTGAAATGCTCCCACATAAAAACTGACCAATTCTCCCATGCTCTTGAGGATAATATTAGCAAGGGGCAAAGTAATCTGATTTCCTATTCAAAAATATGCTATACAGAAACGTTACTGACTGATAAGCTGAACTACTTCAGTCCTATCTACTTTTCAAGATAGGAACTATTAACACCAGTGATCGCTCACTGATAGCGTGACAATGAAAAAATGCATGGGACTAGGTATCATTGCCTAGGCAGGGCTATCTGCTTCCAAAGTCCATCCTAGGAACAGAAATCGGTGACTGGACATCCCATTTCTAAAGTCTTGGAGATCTCCGTTATTGAATCTTCTTTTAGCACTATAAAAGGGGCTCTATAAGTGGGAGAGAGGAATGCAAATCCCCTGTACTATGTAGCATTGGGTAATAGTGAAAAGCAGTGTGGGGATCATCAGTTGACTGCCCACTTGTCAATCTTTGGAGAGAAAGGCAATCAAGGACATAACCACAATCCCTATCTTCTGGAATAGACCTGTTGAGGGTTCTTTTGAAATTTCTAAAGATATCCATCATCTATGACTTTAACAACACTTGGACTGCCTTTTCCAATATCGTAGCCACTAGCCACATGAGGCATTTAAGCACTCAAAATATAGTTTGTCAAAATGGAAATATGCTGAAAGCGTAAAATGCACACGAGATTTCAAAGGCTTGGTACAAAAAAGAAAGGAAAAGAATGCAAAATATCTCATTAATAAATGTTTATATTGCTTATATCCTACTATGAAATAATTTTAGATATGTTAAATGCCATTATTAAAATTAATTATTAAAATTAATTTTACCTATTTCTACTTTCTTTTCTGAAATATGTCTATTAGAACATTTTAAATTGCAAATATGGCTCACGTTTTATTTTGGGGGACAGCACTGTACCAGACTTATACATTAAATGTCTATAGTTTACTGGTCAAGGCAAACAAGCCAAGTATTAAAATAAAAAATTATGTAAAGAAATATAGAAAGATATTCACTTTAAATCTCTTTACAGATTACTGTATTTTTTTCTTAGATATCTTTGCTATATCTTACAGAGACTTATATCTTGAATGGTAGTGAAAATAATTAAAGTGAACTTCAAATTTATTCACATTTTGGTGATTCATTTATTCTGGGAGCACAGGGAATAAAACTTTAAATGTAACAGAATTCAGGAATCTTTAAACTGGAATCATGGATTTGTTTATTCCATTATTAATTAATAAATTACTTCACATTGAATACAGTTAAGATCTAATTGTCACAATATTTGTATCATACTTAACAATTTTCAAAGTACTATCATTGCTTATACCATAAACCCTTAGAAAATGTTGCAGAGAAGTTCTGTTTGAAATAACCATTTCTATGATCATCTATTTAATATGATGTTAAAATAATTCATGGAATATATTATCTTTAAACTCTGTTCCAAAAAGTTATTTGTGAATTTGTACAATGCAAACAAAAGGAAGCTTCAAAATGGGCAGCAATAATAGACCTCTAGTATAAAAACACAAATATTTTAAGCAAAAGGTATGTAGTACTATTTTATCTAAACACATTCTGCGTGACCTTTTAGATCATTGACTTAAGAATTAATATATTCACAACAGTAGACTTTGTTTTGTGGTTACTTTGTGAAGAAGATTTTTTAATGAAGTTTCATTTTAAAGTACAAAATCAGCCTTTGCCTGGTATAAGAGAGAATAACTAATTACAAATTATACAGCATCATATAGGCCCCAGAAGCTTATTTCTCAATTACCTTCATATAAAAGCAATAGTCTATCTTTCCATTCAAAAAATAATTGCTTTCATTCACTTTTTTCCCTTTCCTAATTGAAAATCTGTAACTGATAAAATCCATGGCCAGATATCTCTAGTCATACAGATTTTATACCTTAGAGACAAGACAGATTCAAGACCCATAAAGAAGATCATCAGCTAACATTTTTTTGAACAGAATAAGGGACAAATAATGTGTTTGGAAGTAGAAAGTATGTATTTAGTAATGTATTTTGCCAGGAAACAGTCATGTGTTACTTTATATTAATATTCCTAAGCTGTGTCTTTCTCTTTGATGTGAAAACCAATAATTTCCATACCAAACTTACAAAATGCATTCAACCATAGCTGAAAAATAGGAATGAGATAATCTCATGAAGTACTTTTTCTGTGTGGTGTAGGTAATAACACCCTCTTAAAATCTGAAAAATTTAAATAAACAACTCTTTTTAAAAGGAAGGAGTAGCAACCAAAAATAAATAAATAAACAAAGTTTTGTGCATTCCTCTATTTACTTTATCCTTCAAACTCTGTGTATTAAAACAGAGCCACAGCCAACATTTATTTTGTTTATACTTCAAGTCTTATGCTTAAGCCGGGGATCATTGATTAATCTCTTAATGTTTACCTAAACCAAGAGAGTAGAAGTCTGACAATCCATTAAGGGTTAGAAATTAGTAATTAATTTGCAGCAGAATTAAAGCAAACAGTTCTTTTTCTATATTTCATGATCATGTTTATTTGCTGAGAAAATAATATTCTTCCTAATGCTTCAGATAGACTATTTAAGCCAGTACTATAATGTGCTGTATATCTTTGACTTCTTTGACAAAGAATATCTTATTGCTTATTTGTCTTTCTTTTGTCATCTGTCCTATGTATAGGCACAGCCTCTCCTTCCATGATATGCAGCAATCTTAAAGCCATAAAATAACACAGGCACAATTTTGATAACAGTAGGTAAAATTTGTTTCTCTGCTGTTACTATTCATATGTTTATTCATTTATTCTAAAAAAATTTTCAAAAATATTCCTTGTACCAGAAATTCTGAATGGAATTTTAGATGCAGAGATAAATAATATCAAATTGGTATGCGAGTTTGCAGAGATAAATATGTAAATAGCTATAATGTTTTATATTATAGTTGATCCCATGATACATGCACATATAAAGAAAACCCATCACTGTGAAGGGTGTTTCAGGAAGGCTTTTTCAGAATGAGAGCCACTGGACAGAGAATAAAGTAGAGTGGTGATTGGACTGGTTAAATAAGGAAGAGAAAGTGTTGGGGAAAAGGGACTACTGGAGTTTTGAATGTGTGCATGAAGGAGGAAAGGTGAGTAATGAAAGAGGATGTGATTTATCATTCCCTATTTGTTTCAAATATAAAATTGTGCCCTTCCCATTAAATTAGTCATTCTACAATTATTGTTGATTATCAGTACTGTTATTGTTAAATATTAATTCTGTACTCTTCACTATTACAGCAAAATATTTTATGCTTGGTTAATATCCTTCCAATGTGAATTACACTTCCTCATGATGTTTTGGATTTTCTTAAAATCCAGGTATTGAACAGAAATCTGAATGCTGACAACATTTAGTACCAGAAGTTATCATTACCTCTTAGATAATGAGTTCCCATTCCTCAACTCAAAACATATTCTCAGTCTAAATACCAGACTATTTTTAAGGCTGATACTGCAGTGATATAGTGAAGAACTGCCTTAAATGTGACTCCTCAAGTTCATCCCCAGTGTTTTTCTGCCTCCACACTCTCCTAGGGTGGAAAACTTTGTCTTCTACTTAGCTTCAGTTAGAGGTGGATATTTCCTTCTCTGGGAAGACCTATAAATTGTACAGATATGACAGAAGATTATTGTGGTAAAAATAAAATAAAGAGAGTATGTAAATCTCAGGCAAGTATGTCATAAATGATCCTCTAGTCCTTTCTAAATGAGAAACCCATCTTCAACCTGCCGAGAAGGTAGAGATTAGTTAGATGTTGTTTATGTATACGGAGAAGGAAAAAGGAAGTATCTGACACTTTCTGGAACTTTTACTTTTTACTTTCAACTAGTGGAATACATGACTTACTAGAAATTAAGATTTTTAACTTAAATTATATATATACATATATAGTTATATATGTATATATAAACTATATATATAATTTAAGAATATGTGTGTGTATGTGTGTGTGTATATATATACATAATTTTAGACCATTGCCCACTGTTCTTAAATTCTAAGGGTAGATATGAAAACATTCCCTATTGTGACTTTTGAATTCCTTTGCGATCAGGGAACTAGGTGCCTACAGAAATGTCCAAGAATATATATCATTGTCTTCCTGAAATTAGGGAAGGAAAAAATGTTCACATTGTCTTCAACTTTCAACAATGTTTTGGGTAAAGTAAATTTATCCTGACAGAAATATAAGTAAATATTTTGACTACATTTAGCATATGTATGATGCACCAAAAATTGCATTGTAAAGTTTGGAGGTGGTTAAATAGTTACTCACATTTGGCAATAATATGTCTAGATGAAATGAAGCAGATAGGTTCTGCTTGCTATCAAATGGACTTTCCAGCACTAGAGAAGAGCTTAGCAAGAAATTCTTGAGCATTTTTAAATCTCCTTATAGCTTTTACTTATTTCCACAGAAAATCTAGCTACAAAAAGAAAAGAGGCACTTTGTTTAATTAGGATTATGTTTATTATTGCTAAGATTTTAATTCTATTTACTATCAAGTATGGAGGCCTATTTTCTGTTTGAACCAAGAAATACAATCTCTATTTTAGGAGAGAAAGAGTGCTGGCGTTGAAGCTGGAAGACATGAGGACTGTTAACTTTTCCTCCTCCCCCAGTCAGTAAAGGTCAGGAGACTCAGATCAAAGAGGTCCAAGAAGATGTCCAAAGTGAAAAGGCACAGTTCCTTCAGTTTTGGGACCTACATCTCTGGCTTTCACTGTCTTTTATCATTTCTTAAGTGAAAATGAAAGAGTAAGATGAATCAGTTAGCTGTAATTTTGTACGAATTCTTTCATCTCCTAATCACACCATTCCTAGCTAATATAAGGAGTTCTAGAAGCATAGTCTTGGTTCCACTGCAAAGAAAGTAGATATGAAATTTTGGGTATCCCAGAATTGCAAGAGGATTAAGAGTCACTGGATTACTGTCTATAGGACTGCCTGAATCATATTGCAGTAGTTATGGTGGTGGTAGGAAGGAGTTGGAATGGATATTAGTACTGACATAGGAAACTGTAAAACTGAACTTTTTCTATATAAGAGGCTTATTTTTAGAATTTGCCTTGGACTTTGTAATCAGATTGTATATACGTAACTAACTACTAAACACTCTGTTCATGTCTTGTGACTGTGACATTTAAAGATAATTATTGAAAGCCTTTTAGAGACAGTCCCTAAATTACAAACAGATTGTATTACAGAAGTTTATAACTTAGTGAAATGGAGTTTGAGGGTATATTTACATCTTGGAACAGAGTGATACTGAATATTGAAGTTTCCTACTCAAAACATACAAGTTGCTTTAGTCTATTCATATATGTTCTATGGTATATGTTCATGACAGCACAAGAGAATAAAACTTTGAATCTACTTTTGCAATGTTTCAAATTTTATATGAGTAGTGAATAATACTCGATAGAGACTAAGGATTATAAAAATGATAGTTCTTATATGTGTATTTTTAACATCAATATTTTCCTGCACAAGTCGAATGTTGATATTTCTTCCCAATGTTTAGACATCATTAATAGAATTATTCAAGGACACAGATTCTTTAATATTGGCTTGTCCTTTTTTTAGAAACTTCATTTTTTCATTAGACATGCATATGTCTGTTTACACAAGAAAAGCAAGGTGAGGAAAAATATCATTATTATATTTTAAATAGTATCAAGAGAATTGAAGAATATTGAATACCAGATTTGCCACTTCTGGGTCTTGCCCTTCTTTCATCAGTTCCTGTAGAATAAAAACACGTTACTCTGAAATGTATTTCCTTGATGACTATTTAAAATATTCTGACTTTCTGCTCCTTGTAAAGATGTACTTTCCAAGAAAAACTTGATTTCAGCAAACTATCGCAAGAACAAACAAACCAAACACCGCATGTTCTCACTCATAGGTGGGAATTGAACAATGAGAACACATGGACACAGGAAGGGGAACATCGCACACCGGGGCCTGTTGTGGGGTGGGGGTAGGGGGGAGGGGTAGCATTAGGAGATATACCTGATGCTAAATGATGAGTTAATGGGTGCAGCACACCAACATGGCACATGTATACATATGTAACAAACCTGCACATTGTGCACATGTACCCTAAAACTTAAAAGTATAATAATAAAAAAGAATAGCTTCTAAGCACTGACTTCTAACCTGGACTGAGGCAGCCTTCTTACCCTACCCTCAAGCAACCCAGTGATCTCCTGGGAAGCTGCCTAGACTATTTCACATTATGTTAAGAAGAGGCAGAGGAAGCTAATTATATGTGTAACTTCTAGAAATAGGCACAAGAATATAAAGCGTCCTTGTTGTTGAGGTTACTGACTTCAACCAGGGTTTTCTGTGGAACTTACATGAGCAGTTAATGCCTGACTAAATAAACCCATAAGCCTTCTGCTATGTTCAGCGGTTAATCCAATTGAGTAAATAGCCATTGACATCTCAGTGCCAGGCACTAGTGCTAGGGATTAAGTGATGAAAAGTGACAGACCTTCTTCAAATATCTCATTATAATTCCTAATTATAATGCTGGAGATATAGGGGATAGGTGCAATTGTAAATGTATGTTTAAGGTACAAAAACAGTACTTAGAACAATTAACTCTGGAAGTAATGAGGGGAATCTGAAGCGGAGTTGAAAGACCAATAGGAACTCATCATGAAAAATCAGGAGATGGTTAATTCCAGGCAAATGTATCAGTATACTATACACAAACCTGTAACGGTGAGGAAGGCCCAGGCATGGTTAAAGCACTTTGAGTGGTTTGTATGCCTGAAGTGTAACCGTGCAGGGCTAAGGGAAGGCAGAGAAAGTGTCGTACAGGAGCTATCTGGGGCTCTTTCCTGAGGACTATGAAATAGTTCAGAGTTTTAAATGAGAAAGATGCAGGTAAATATGCATGCTGGAAGGCCTACCATCTCAGCAGAATGGTCCATGGGTTAGAAGGAGAGGAACTCAAAGACTGATTTGAGTTAGGCCTAGAGTCATGCATACGATTTTCTTTTTGTAAAAGAGGTTCATTTCTTTTTTTAATTAAATAAAAACTGCATATATTTATTGATTACAATATAATATTTTGAAATGTGCATACATTATGCAATGGCTAAATTGAGCTAATTAACATATGCGTTACTTCATTTCCTTATCTTTTTTTGTGGTGATAACACTTAAAATATACTCTCAATGATCTTCAAGAATATAATACATTGTTATTAGCTATAGTCACCACATTATACAAAAAATGTCTTAAACTTATCTAACTGAAATGATGCGCCCTTTGACCAACATCTTCCTCAACTCCACCCCCACCATCCGGCCCCTGGTAATCATCATTCTACTCTCTGCATCTGTGAATTCAAACTTTTAAGATTCCACATATCAGTGAGATCATGCTGTAATTGCATTGCTATGTCTGGCTTATTTCACTTAACATAATGCCCTTCCGTTTCATCCATGTTGTCTCCAATGACAGAAATTCCATCTTTTCATAAAGCTTAATAATATTCTAGTGTATATCTATACCACAGCTTCTTTATCCTTTGATACATTGATAGACAGTTAGGTTGATTCCATATCTTGATTATTGTGAATACTGCTGCAAAAAACACAGAAGTGCAGATATCTCTTGGACATAATGATTTCACTTCTTATAGATATATGCCTAGTAGTGGGATTGCTGGACCATATGGTAGTTCTATTTTTACTTTTTTAAGACCCTCCATACTATTTTCCATAATGAATGTACTCATTTAAATTCCCATGCATCTGATGTTTTATTATGATGATATGCCATGATAATTAAGGGGGAATATTGAGACAAAATAAGGAGATGAACACAAGAGAAAGTAAAGAGGCTGACTTGATAATATTGGCAACAAATTGGAGGTTGATAATCCTCAATGTGCTTTTCATACCAGCAAAATAGGAACAGACTTGTTTTATTTATTTATTTATTTATTTATTTTTACTTAGAGACAGAGTCTTGCTCTGTTGCCCAGGCTGGAGGGCAGTGGCACGATCTCACCTCACTGCAACCTCTGCCTCCTGGGTTCAAGCAATTTCTGGCTACTTTTTGTATTTTTAGTAGAGATGGGGTCTCACCATATTGGCCAGGCTGGTCTCAAACTCCTGACCTTAAGTGATCTGCCTGCCTTGGCTTCCCAAAGTGCTGGGATTACAGGCATGAGCCACCATGCTCAGCCAGACTTATTTTATAGCAACTTTATTGAAGGAAAATTGACATACAATTAACTGCCCATATTTAAAGTGAGTACTTTGGTAAGTTTTTGTAAAATGTATACACCTGTGAAAACATAAACAAATTAAGATAGAGAACACATCCATCACCATCACAGGTTACCTTCTGCTCTTTTATAATTCTTCCTTGCACCCTCCCCATTCCCCCGTAGGCAACTGTTGATCTGCTGCCTGTCACTAGATTAGTTTTTATTTTCTAGAGTTTATATAAATGGGATTATACAGTATGTGTTCTTTTTTTCCTTTGGCTTCTTTCATTCTGCATAATTTAAAAAATATTCAACCATGTGTGTATATCAATACAACAGTTCATTCCTTTTCATTGCTGACTAATCTTCCATTATATGAATATACCATATTTTGCTTATCCAGTCCTGGGTTGGTGGACATTTGGCTTGTTCCAGTTTGAGGCTATTACAAAAAAGCTACTATGATATTTGTAGTCAAGTGTTTTTATGTATATAAATTTTTATTTTCTATTTTCTTTTTTATTTTCTATTTTATTTTGGATAAATGCCTAGAGTAAGAATGGATGTATCATTGGTAGATGTATATTTAATTTAAAAACAAACCAAACCAAACTGCAAACTCTTTTTAAAAAGCTATTTATATTTTGTTGTTCAATGTATGAAAGTTTAAGTGTCTGCAAACATGTATCAACATATGTTTTAATTAGATATTTTTTTTAATTTTAGTCATTCTAATAGGTATGCAGTGATACTTCATTGTGACTTTGATTTGCATTTCCCTAATGTGCAACAGATGTTGGGCATCTTTTCATGTGTTTATTTGCCATCTATATATCTTTTGATGCTGTCTCTTCAAATTTTAGTCCCCATTTTTTATTTGAGTTTTTTGTTTCCTCATTATTATATTTGGTTAATTATACTTGGTCAGGGAGAAGGTGAGTTACAAAACACTGGTTTTTTTTGGTGGTAGGAACTCTCTAAATCTTAAATTATGCTATGAATGGATGGAGAAGAGTTCATGTTGCATCTAGGTAGACGTTGTACCACTTATCAACACAATAAACATAGATGGGTAAACAGTGTTATGGTCCAAAATGTTAATTAAATTGTGAACTTATTGAATTTTATGTACCTGTGTGGCTTTCAAGTGGCAATTTTCCTAAAGAGGAGCTATGTGGATAATTCAACCTTAGGAACGTGATGAAACCAAGCGCAACTATACTAGTCAAACTTTTTCTTATATTGGAGAGTCCTAGCACATACAACTACCACCTTTCAGATGCTTTCTCTCAGATAATCCTTATACATGTATTTTCTCCTGCATCCCTGGAATTCTTTACTAAGGGTACAGTGCTGGACTACATTAAAGCTTTATGACCCTTCTTTTTTCCAACCTTCAATTTTTTTTCATCCCATTGCATAAAAAGCCCTATCTTCACTAGATGACAACTATGTACTAGTTGCTTAATTCCTCTTTTGTCTAAGCAATGTAATGTTTTATTCCAGCTAAAATATGCAAGTCTTCAGAAAGCTCTTAGGAAGATTTAATTGTAACAGAAGACTGATATGGGAGATGGTTTTATATATATGACCTTTTTCAGACCTTCGAAAATCGCATTATGTATATAGCTGACTGCCTATGTGTAGGGTCCCCTCATTTCATAAGGTTATTGATATTTTTCTCTTCCTTGTTTCTTTTATTTATTGCCATTTATTATCAATCCTTGTGACAAAATAAGAAAATTTTAAAATATGATATAAGAGGTAGAGGAAAACTGTATAGTTGGAAGACAGGGATCTAATGCCACAATTCACCACTGTGATATTTCTTCAATTTTTCCAGAACATTAATTTAGGCTAACAATCATATTTAATAAAACAGTGTTATAAACAAAGTTATCTGGTTTTTAAAATTATTTATGATCTTGAAATATATTTGGAATATTTGAAATATCAATTTTTATGTAAACTATAGAGTCAAAAACTATATACTAGACAACTACTAGAAAATGAGTAACTATGGATGTTATGGTTTAAATTGTATCTGGCAAAAAGACATGCTAATGTCCAAACCCCAAGTGCCTGCCTCAGAACGTGACTTTATTTGGAAACAGATCATTGCACAATAAATTACTGAAGATGAGGTCATTCTGGAGTGGGACAGACTCTTACTCCAATATGACTGGTTATCTTATAAAAAGAGAGAAGATGATGTGAAATGAGGCATACAGGGAGAATGCCACGTGATGGCAGAGGCAGAGATTGGAATGACACAGCTGTCAGGCCAAGGAATGCCTTGAATTCACAGTCGCTTACCAGAAGGTTGCTAAAGTCAAGGAAAGATTCTACCCAGAGTCTCAGAGAAAGCATGGCGCTGCCAACACTCTGGTTTTAGAATTCACATTTTCAGAACTATGAGAAAAAAAAAATATGTTGTTTTAAGCCACCTAATTTATGGTACTTTTTATGGCAGCCCTTAGGAACTAACACAATGAGCAAATAAATTTTAACAAAATCTCAATACCATATGGAGATATAGTTTATGTATAAAACATTTCAATATCCACAATAATAGCAGTACCTTGGGTCAGAAAATAATCAGTGAAGTCCTTATTCATACGCAGATTCTTTGGGTTGCAGTTTGAGTTTCTTTGAACTATTGATGGTTATAGGTCTGTTTTCAGTGACTAATATGCTCACGTACAGTAGTTTGTTCCTTATTTTCAGGTCATCCTTCACCCTGCCTCATGATTTGTCCTTACTTACTGGGATGTGCATTTTCTCAGGAAGCTAGCATGAAGGGCCACAGAGACCAGGATGGGAACAAGCAACACTTGCACGTGTGGCAAGTGGAAATGCTGGAAATGACAATGATGACGGAGAGGAAATGATACATGCCTCATTTTTAGGAACATAACTTAGGCTGTTTAAAAAAAGAATGAGAGAGGGAAGCTGATTACTCAATAATCCTTGTAAAAAATAAAAGACCTAGATGAGAGAGATGGCAGAGGAGCTGGAGAGATGGTGCAGCCGGGGAGGAACATCCCAGATGTTTGATCAGCAGGAATCATTGACAATTAGATGAGCCAATAAAGAATAAAAAATAAAATTACGCCAAAGAATAATTTCCATTCAACAGATACTTTACTCTTTATTCCTGTCTGCTTTGTGAAAATGATATCAAAGACTGACAGAATTATAGGGAACTATAACTCTTTTTGTCCCTTTTTCTCTTTTTTGGCTCTTTTATGTGTTGTTTTTGTGCAGTTGCCAGCTCTGTTGCCATACAAGTTGGAGCAAATAGCACAACCTGAGAGGTCGGTGACTGTGTTGCCTCTGCTGTTTCCAAAACACATAACTTTTTCTCTGTATATTATAGACTAATTTAATTCCAACCTCAATTAACAGATCATTAAAAAACAGAGTATTATTATTGTTATCTTTTTTAAGCCCAGAAAATCTGTCAGCCAAGATAGTCAGCAGAGCTTTTGTCAGGGAGACAGAAAAGAGATTAGAGAGCATAAAAGGAAGTGATCTTATTCTCAACCTTAAGGCTACAGTTTAAAAATTCTGCTTATAGGACCTAACACATTTGAAACAAATATAACCCTTCACATATATTATTTATATGTATAAATTAGATGGGTAGAGAAACAACTCCATTCTGTGATATCAACTTTTGATTCTGGAAAGAAGCTATGAAATGAGTTTCCTATTTTCTAAGGTCTGGAACAATTTAATTTTTTCTAAAACTATAGGTCTTGATATTATGTTAAAAGGAATAGAGAAGGGAAAAGCAAAGTGCGCTTATATCATTTTATTTCATAAGAACAACTAATATTCATTCCCATTCTGTCTCTTTTTTCCTTTCTGAATTCTTGACCTACTGGGAGATAGTAGAGCAGTGTTCATTCTTCAGTAGGAGTCTCTCCAGGAGACTTTGATTAAAAGTGAAACACCCATTCTGAACATGCCACTCCTCTGTGTGGAAAATGTCAGTGGCTCATTAGAGACTGGAGAACCAGCCCATTCATGGAAGGCCAGGATCTGAGCCTTCCTCACTGCTTTCCATCCACCATTTTCATCTATTACTCACCTACATGATTCAAAAGTCAAATGGTGCTTTCTTCAATACTGTATAATTTTCTGCCTCCACACCTCTATTCAAGTTTTAAGAAAGCATCTAGGTAGCTACCTAGAAATAACTAGCATTTTTAATCTATTTTCCATAATAGTTTGGAACAATGTATATGTGCTCTGAGAAGGGTATTGGTGAATAGAGGTAGACTTTGTACCAACTGCTACCCTTTGTGATTTTCAAAGAACGAACATTATTTATTGACTCGACCTTCCTACCACCTAAATTGGGTTTTGTTTGCTTGCTGTTTTGTTTGCTAAGTTCAACGTTGGGTTCATCACCCACACACATGCTTTATTTCCTTTGCCTTTCTCATTTTCAGCTTTCCATTACTGCTCACTCATTGTCTCAGATCAGTTGCCAAACCAATTTTAAATGTAGACTCAGGAATGGTTTCAGAAGTTTAATCAGCCTCTGCCTCACCAACACTATCATCATATGAAATTTAGTTATTGTCTTCCCTTCTGGTTATGTGACATCAAATGTCATGCCCCTGTAATATGCATTTAGCTCTTCCTTGAATCCTGATCTGCAAATCTGAATTTAACATGTATATTTAAGAAAACACTTAGGTGATTTTATGACTGGGTACGAAATTTTTGAACTTGACACTTGTTGGGCAAGAGAGTCTGCAGAGAATAGAATCTGTAGTTTATCAATTAGTCTTCTTCATTATTCTCAAGCATTTTAGCCAATGTTTCTCAGATTTGATTAAATCTCTATTGATTTTTTGCCTTTTAACAAGGCTGAAAAACTTAATTGGGCAACTAGTTATCTTATTGGTATTCCCTTATGCTTCAGTTATTATTATCTTCTGAATGTAATTTCCTTGCATAAATCTTTTAATTATTATTATTATGCTGAAAGTGAACACATATTACATACTTGTGTATATATGTCTATAAGTGATTGTATATGTATATGCACATACGTGTATATACATATATCCTTGTGTGTGTAAACCTGTGTTTATATGCAATAATGGTGATACCTAATATTTATTGAACATATACTATGACCTAGGAACTCATACTTTTCACATATTAATTCATCTAATTTTTCAATAACCCTATGAGATAAGTATTTCTACTATCCCCATTTTACAAATTGGGAAAAAGACACAATAAGAATTTAATAATTTATTAATACTCACACAATCAGGAAGCAGCAGATCCAAGATTCAAATCCCAATGGGATTTCTCTAAGGCTTATGTGCTCTTAATCCCTACAATATCCAAATATATAATACAAAGTACGGTAAATTTGCCATATAACTTTGGAGTCATGATGAAGGCATATGGTGGTGCATAGGGTAAATATCTGTGAGAAACTAGGTATAGGTATTTTCTTCCTTTTTTATCCAGGATCTTTATCACCTACTCATGTTTCTCATGCCCACTGAATCCCAGTCTGTTTAACACTGGTTTAAGTCCCCTATTGGCATCGTGCTTAATGGTGAATTAGCCAGCTAGCATCCTTTGCCTGCGATTACACTGTGTTCGGCTTTTCCACTTGCACAAGAGTTCAGTGATTTGGTGGAGATTATTGTTGAGATTTTTGTGTTTATTCCCGTAATTAGATATTATACTAAAACTACACCATAGAATATCTGCTTGTGTGACTTCTATGCAATTCCTTTTAAAGGAATCTTTACTGAGCTAAATTTGCTTGTTGATAACCTTAATAAGAAGGTTGACTTTAAATGAGGAAAGCAAAAAATAGGAAAATAGAAAACATTAGAAAAACTAGAAGACTGTCCCACATTATTCAAAGGTATTTCTGTAAGGCAGTGGTTATTAAAAGTTAGTCCTCCCAGCACTTTGTGAGGCTGAGGCAGGCGGATCACGAGGTCAGGAGATCGAGACCATCCTGGCTCACACAGTGAAACCCTGACTCTACTAAAAATACAAAAAATTAGTTGGGTGTGGTGGCGGGCACCTGTAGTCCCAGCTACCTCGGGAGGCTGAGACAGGAGAATGGCAAGAACCCGGGAGGCAGAGCTTGCAATGAGCTGAGATTGCGCTGCTGCACTCCAGCCTGGGCAACAGAGTGAGATTCCCACTCAAAAAAAAAAAGGTTAGTCCTTGGAGTAACCTTGAGAACTGGGCAAAAATGCAGAGTTTAGGGCCTCACCTTGTACCTACTGAATCAGATACTGGGGTGGGGCTCATGTGTTTTAACAGCCTCCAGGTGATCCTGCTGCTTGCTCAATTTTGAGAACCACCACTGTATGGCTTGTCCCTATCACTCAAGAACTCATGCACGCTCACACACATACACATATACCCACACAGACATTCCCAGAGTTTCAAGGTCAGCTGTATATTTCTTACTTTATAGACATTGGAATATATATTTACACTGAATTAAAACTACTCTTTGTATATTTATCAGATACAATGGAGCTATAGGTAATTTCGTTAGACATCAAATCCTTTAAACCAGCGTTTATCAAGTTTTAACATTCATAGGAATCATGCTATGCAGATTTTTATTCAGCAGATTTGAAGTGGGGCCTGATATTCTCCATCTCTAACAGCCTTCCTGTTGATTTCAATGTTACTGGACTCAGCCCACAATTTGAGTTGCAACAATTTAGACTCAAGCATGTCCTCAACAAACATTTTCATACATATCCCAAAATATGGCCACAGTTTTCCTTTACATTTCATCTCTACTATAACTACAATTGGTTACAACCTTCTAGCACAAGAGATTTCTCATCTGAGCACACTTATCTCTATCCCTGTGTTTTTAACATGAAATTCTTTTAATCTAACATAAAACACATTCACTTACGAAGCTGTCACTGTCGAAATCTATCTGTTATTTCAGGCTTAACTAACAAATTCCACTTCCTTTCTTAAATTTTCAGTTTATTTCATGTCGGACATACTCTTATATACCCTATACCTCTTTTTAACAAGTTATCTAATGCTCTGTATGAAGTTATCCAGTTACATAATTAGTCCCAATGTATTTTGAGTTCCCAGAAGACAGATTTATGTGGTTCTTACAGATCATGGCACTCCCCTCACTTATCTAGCCACTGTCTGACTCACATATGATGCTGAATGCTATTGGCTTAATTAGTGTTTCACCTGCCCTGGAAAGGCAGGTGAAAATAATGTTTTGATTAATGAAGTAGGTGGGTCTGATTAATCATGTGATATGACTATGCTCAGAGGGGCCAGAAGAATTGTTTAATGAAGAGCACGACCAGAGGTATCACCAGGAAGCAGAGAGAGACAGAGACATTTAAAAGCCATTAGTGACCATGAGGGATGTAGGAGATGAAATAAAAGATTTAAAAAAAAAAAAAAAAAGATGTTTCAGCTATGGAAAAAGTTAATTCCCTGAAGTTCTTCTGCCTGTAAATAATCCTTAGACCCTGCTATCGACATTATAAAATGAGTTTTTGAAAAGTATTCTGGACAGAGGAAATAACTCCTCCCCCATACAGATTATTTTTGAATTGCTGAAGAATACACAGTAATACCCAGAGCATACTGGTATGTATATGAATTTGTGGTCCTTTTAGAGCAAAGGAATCAGATTGCCCTTATGTAAATCACTATGATACAGCCAATCCAAAGTTTCAACTCTCTTTATAATCACCCGGCAGTCAGCTGAGACTTCCTTGTGACTCTCTGACGCAGTCAAGATAGATAAAGTAGCCAGGACGGTTGTTCCTAGAATTTGGATTTTCTTCCTATAGAGAATGACTACAGTCTGAACTTTGGGTACAATTTTTCAAACTAGAAAAATAAGTTGAAAAACTGAAAAGATGAAGACAGTAAATCTGATTCAAAGTTATTTTTGATTTATTTGTTTTATATATTTTAAATTATTTTCTGCTTACTTTGTCCATGTACAATTAATGTTTTAGTTCACTTTTCTAGATAGTTGATATGGTTTGGCTGTGTCCCCACCCAAATCTCATCTTGAATTGTAGCTCCCATAATTCCCACATGTTGTGGGAGAGACCCGGTGGGAGATAATTGAATCATGGGGGCAGGTCTTTCCCATGCTGTTTTCATGATGGTGAATAAGTCTCATGAGATCTGATGGTTTTAAAAAGGGGAGTTTCCCTGCACAAGCGCTCTTCTTTTGTCTGCCATCATGTGAGATGTGCCTCTTACCTACCACCACAACTGTGAGACCTCCCCAGCCACATGGGACTGTGAGTCCATTAAACCTCTTCTGTAAAGTGCCCAGTTTCGGGTATGTCTTTATCAGCGGTATAAAAACTGACTAATACAATGTAGTGAAGTTTCTTGTTTATTTGGTTTTGTTTTGTTTTTATATACTTTCCAGATTTAGCCTCCTTTTTGTAATTCTTTTCTTTGTTGCCATTGTGGCTTGGAGTTTTCATGTTTCGAGTAGTTAATTTTAAATCATTGATACTGGATCTCTCTTATTCTATTTGTAAAAATGAGATTAGATTCAATAGTTTTCATAGTGTCTTCAATATTTGGAATCCCATGACTCAGTGATTCTATAAATAATAATGAGATCAGACTTTTCAAACTTTTTAAAGTTTATTGAAAGAGATGGGACATCTTTAAAATTGTTTTCACAGCGTCTTTTATAAGTGCACAGCACAAATGTGAATTTGAAAGTTTTAGTGTTTTAATATGAATTTTAATGGGATGGCAGGAGTTGTGCTAGAATTGGCCAACAACTCTAGAGAAAGAACGGCTGTAATGAATTGTGTCTAAAAACAAACCTCGCTTCTCCCAGTCCTGGAATGGTGCGGAAGATGGTAGTTCCTCCTATGACTCATGGTGCAGTAGAAAGATGGAGTAGGAGGGGGGCTGTAGGCTCCCAGCACACTGCAGGCAATGTGATGGTCCACCTGGAGAGGGCATTGCTGGAATGTACTGGTGGCCACTGTCAAAGAATCAGGTGGCCCCTCACTGAGGGTGTCCTTCAGAGGGAGTTGGAGTAAAGCTGAGCATTACTCCAAGTAATCTAAGTAAACAGTGAGGGAGGCAACAGAGAGAAAAAGACACAGGGAGAGGAAGGGAGTGAGGGTGGGAGGAAGGAAGGAAGGAAAGAAGGGAAGAAGGAAGAGAGGGAGGTAGTCAGGCAGGGAGGGAAAGAGAGGCAAGAGATAATTGAAGTGATTTAATCTATGTTACAAATTAAAGACTGAAAAATCCCATAATATAAAATTTTAATTATTTCAATCCTTAATTTGATAACTGATTTAACCACCGAACCCATTTTTGCATGGAAAATCTATTAATTACTGGGATACAATTTAGGGAATGCTGGTGTAGACAAGTAAAGAGCATGTTTGGTCGAAAGGAGACATGAAATTACCACGAGAATATGTGGATTTACAATGATTCTCAGAATACTTTTTGGGTTATTTCAATCCTATGATTGGATCAAATACATAGCCAAATAACATCCACATTTGGGGAACTTTGTGTATTACACACACTCACTCCTGCTCTTCTTAGTCCTCTCCATAATTTTTACTTCTGCAAAAACCTCCCTGTGTCTGTGTTTAACGTAAAATTACGTATACTGTTCATTTACTAAGCACAGGTATATACTTTCAATAACTAAAGAAAGAAAAAGTACTTTTAAGAAAAAAAATAAATAAAAAATCATGGCTAACCTAGCACTTTGCAATGGCAACTTTTCTATGAGGATTAAATTCCTTGCTTTTTTTTAGGTAATTTTACAGAGTATATATGTGTGTATCCAGCAACAAAAATATTAATTCAAACAAACCTTAAATTCTCCTAAGAAAGTTCTTTGATTGTCCTCAGGTGCCCCATGCTGTAGTGAGATTTGACCAGGAAGAACAGAGTTTGAATCCAAGACCTCACTTAGACTGTAGTGAACAAAGTACATAACTTTCTTTTACTCGTTCTGCATGCACGGAATGAGTTACTTAGTACTTAGTCCCTTACAGTGTTTTGTCAATGTGTGACTACTGATAAGATGATGGCAACTGCTTGTTATATCTTGCATTTCCCATAGGTTTTCTTAACTCTCTTTTATCAAGACTTTTCAGCTGTCCTAAAGTTTAATACTATTAAAAATATTTTATTCCATGGGGAATTAAAAAAAGGAAAATAGTAGACTATGATTTCTTTATCAAATTCTGATGGGAAGGATTATACGGGGAAAAAATAAAACTCTTAAAGAGAACAGTGCTTGTTAATGATCTAAACCACTGTTTATCAATACTCTACAGTTATATAAGCAAAAACTCTATTTTGACTTTCAAATACCTGGCTTTGTCTAGAATAAAATTTAGCTTGACTGTTCATGGAGCTTGAAATTTCCTTAAGTAAGTGCCGTACAAGATAATGAGGATAGTCCCCCCTACCCCAGCCTTAAAACCATACTATTTTATCTGGTTTTATCTGTATTTACTGAACCCATTATTATAAACTTAATTCAATTGTTTGCATATTTATTTGCCCACTATATATATTGATGAGTAGATATGCAAGACAAGATGAAGAGAAACAGTTGCATGAAAAACCATTGTTCATCTAATCCAAATGGTTGAACACCTCAACTATTGGATTACTCTTTGAATGTCACCTCATCTCTTTCTTCATCCCCAAACACAGCATCCTTTCTGCATATCCAGAGACTGCTTGCTTGCTTACCATCAGAAAAAAGAAAGGAAAAAGTCTTGCTTCAAGGACAGCCATATGGCTTAGAACTAAAGAAGAAAGATGGGAAATGTGGAGTTGGGTGGAGAGTCCTGTAAAAGGAACAAGCACTAAGTTTGCTTATAGAGTAAGCCTATTTTATGATGTCAACAGAACTTCTCCAAGTCTCTTACAAGGAACTTACACTTCTCCTTCAATCAGAACTGTCCATAGGGCATCGTTTAATCCCACTGTACACTTTCTCACCAGGTTATGCTCTTGTTCTCCCAAGGTATCTTGCCGTGGATTACCCTCATCTTCTTTTTCTACTTATACAAATATGTCCCGGTGGAAGCATTCTTGAACTGTTCCATCTGAAAGATACAATTTTCTCTTAATTCATATATTGCTTAACTGACAATCCCAATGAGAAAGGTTGAGAAAAAAAATCTGAGAAATACTGAGAAAAAAAGAGATATTGAGAAAAAAATCCTGGACCAGATATTCAAACATCTCATAATTTGATAGATATGTAACCTTAACATACAGTAAGTAGTGTCCATGCTACATCACAAAAATGTTGTCAGGATAGAATGATGCCATGTCTGTGAAATGTTTTGTATAAGGCAATTAGGTATACTTAGGTAAGGTGTTTGCATTGTTTATACCGAATTAAGCTATGATGATTAACATTCTGGTGAATACTACTTTCTTTCATCTGTTTTTCATATTGCCTCAACCCAATTAAAAGTATATTTAGCTTGTACCTCATAAAGAAAAGTTCATTTGCTTTTCCTGATGATGAAAGTAATAAATATCTATTATAGAAAATTGTTAAAAGTACACACAAATATAAAAATAAAAATTAAGTGTAATGTTGTAACCAAGAGATAACAACTATATCAAAAAAGAGCCACACTTATATATTCTTATATATGTGTATATAGGTGTGTATCTTTATAAACTGCTTTGTTCACTTATCAGCGTATCTTTTGCATATTCGTATTCCCCAGTTCTATTTTTGCTTCCTCAAGTGCAGCCACAGTATTTTGACTTCAGTTATGTCTCACTAAGCATGTCATACTGTGCCTTGGGTAGAATAAATATTCAATACATTGGCTTTATTCACAGAATGACTTAAAGCCTTTTGATTGTTTAAATGTAAAATTATGTGAAACAGAATTTCTGTCTTTAAAGATCACAATTGTGTTCTTATTGATGAATTGAGGCCACTCCATGTAACTGTGACTTATTTTTCCTTTTCCTTTCCCTTCTGTTTAGTTTGTTGCCCAGCCCAATTGTCAACAGCTGCTGGCATCTCGCTGGTACGATGAGTTTCCAGGCTGGAGGAGAAGACACTGGGCAGTGAAGATGGTGACATGTTTCATAATAGGACTTCTTTTTCCTGTCTTCTCTGTGTGCTACCTGATAGCTCCCAAAAGCCCACTTGGACTGTTCATCAGGAAGCCATTTATCAAGTTTATCTGCCACACAGCCTCCTATTTGACTTTTTTGTTCCTGCTGCTGCTTGCCTCTCAGCACATCGACAGGTCAGACTTGAACAGGCAAGGTCCACCACCAACCATCGTCGAGTGGATGATATTACCGTGGGTCCTGGGTAAATGTGTTACTATAGAAAATATAATAAAAACATGTTACTGCCACGGAATTTCGTTGCTCAGAAAATATTCATTAATGTTTGGGACCTAGGAATGTTTAGAATAGGTTCTGACTATTGTAGCTCCAAGAACCTCACCCCCAAAGCCAAACAACTATTTTACAAGCTGCGGTGGACCCGCTTACAAAATCAGCTTAAGAAACGTAACCTTAAATTTTAGAATTACAGATTTTAATGACTTCATATTCCACGACTGACCCTCTGAGTTTTTTGTTTATTAAAACTTTTCAACATATCTCATTGACTATATGTAAATAATCATTCTAATATTCCTAATAGATAAGTCTTCTAAAAGTACATGCAGATTACTCTGAAGAATTAGTGATTCTATACATAAAGTAACTGAAACCTTTTGAAAAAATCAATCCATTCAAATTTATCTTTGAAATCTATATTAATTTAAAATAACAGGAAATTAAACAACAGGATATCCGCCACTCTCTTTTTGTTCTTGTCATAGAAAGTTGTATTGGGTCTGAAGCAAATCACTGTGAAGTAGAAAACCTTAAAGTAGCTAGTGAAAATCTTGTTTTCCCGCCGGGTGCAGTGGCTCATGCCTGTAATCCCAGCACTTTGGGAGGCCGAGGCGGGCGGATCACGAGGTCAGGAGATCGTAGCCATCCTAGCTAACACGGTGAAACCCCGTCTCTACTAAAAATTCAAAAAGAAATTAGCCGGGCGTGGTGGCGGGCGCCTGTAGTCCCAGCTACTCGGGAGGCTGAGGCAGGAGAATGACGTGAACCCGGGAGGCGGAGCTTGCAGTGATCCCAGATCACGCCACTGTAGTCCAGCCTGGGCGACAGAGTGAGACTCTGTCTCAAAAAAAAAGAAAGGAAAAAAATGTAGCTAGTGAAAACCTTGTTTTCCTTTCTCCTTGTTATTATAGCCATGGTTAAAATTTGCATTTTAATTATCCTTTTCTCTATCATACTATGGTTTGCTGAGAAATCACATTTTCTCAATTTAGCTCATTATTTTAAACCTCTCTGCTATAATATCTATCTCATCATTTGGCTATTAGAAAATATGTGACAAATTTCATGATTCAAAATCTCAGAATATCAGTTTGGGTTAACTCTCAAAACTGCTGAAGAAACTAAAATGACATCAAGGCAGAAAAAAAAAAGACAGCCTATTTGAGATAAATATGTTTTTCAGTTTTAAAAATTATAAAAACCATACTTTAAGTATTGTCAATAAGAAAAGTTAATAGGGACAAGATTTGATGTTTTACTTATATAACTAAACAAAATCCTCAGGTGAACTTTAAAATAGAGTAGGTTCTCATTAATCTAAAGTGGGTAAAATGTGATCTTGTTTAAATTAGAAAAAAGGGTCAGGCCGGGCAGGACACAGTGACTCATGCCTGTAATCCCAGCACTTTGGGAAGCCAAAGCGGGCGGATCGCTTGAGATCAGGAGTTGGAGTATCACCCATCTCTACTAAAAATGTGAAAATTAGCTGGGCATGGTGGCCACAGCCTGTAATCCCAGCTACCTGGGATGCTGAGGCAGGAGAATAGTTTGAGCCTGGGAGGCAGAGGTTGCGGTGAACCAAGATTACACCACTGCACTCCAGCCTGGGTGACAAAGTGAGACTCTGCCTCAAAAAATGAAAGAAAAGAAGAAAAATTAAAAAGGCTCACATAATCTATAAGTGTCCGAAGTGTCCTTTGGAATAAAATAATTTTCACATTGCAGTTGGTATTAAAGGTAAAATAACCCCCCCTGTTTCATTTAAATTAAATATATCTCATTAAGAATGTTTTTAAAGGAATTTTCTTCTTAGAAAATGTCTTTGGAACAATTCTTACAGAAGAGTTTAGGATGTTACATTTTCCATAATGGCTAACTTATATTGAATGTCTAAAAATTCTAGTTTCCCAAACGCAGAACATTTCATTTTGAAAAATACTATAGATACAATAAAATGTAAGCAGATAGAGTAGTCCTAATCTTTCCTTGATACCATCAATGAAAATGTGTCAAATACTTTCCAGGCAGAATGCACAGTGAAGGATGATAGTGATACAAAAGTAAGGCAACAAAGAGCCCTTCTGCTAATGAAGCTTAAATTTTACTGGGATAAATGGGTAATAAACAAATAGATTTGTGATATAATGTCATAAAATGGTAAATAATATTTAAAAAATAGGAGGTCCAACCTTCTAATTACTTGTCCAGTGAAAACAGTCATTGGCTGCCTGCTACACACCAAGCTTCTAACAGAATATTTCATGGAAGTTGGCTGGAAGAAACTAGACCCAACCACAGCTAAATGATTACATGAGGTATAGATTTATTTGTGAGTATTATAATTCCAGCTTAGAAAAATATCTGCTATAGGCAACATTGTCTCAAGATTTCCTGACTGTAGGGAGTTAATTTTTCTGAGAATTTTAGGATGAAAAGAGATTTCCTAGAATTAAAAAATGCGTGCAAATGATCATCTTGCTGAAATAATGGGGCATGAGGAAAAATGTTTATATATCAAAGAGATCTGTCAAACCATTATATTGTTCACCAAGTCTGGTGAATTGTGAGTGCCTCATATCCGAGACTGAGTTCTCAGTGCCTTGCTAGATCCATGATTATAAGGGGTGTGTGCTATGTTGTTGGGCTGTTCTGCAAAAGGCACTGGACTTAAATCCATGCCCAGGTTCTACCACTAGGAGACTATTAAATTATGGGTGGTCACAAGCTCTCAGGATTTTCAGTGTCTTCATCTACAAAATGAAAGATTTAGAGTGAATGACATCTAAAGTCCCCCTGTATCCTATCATCCTGTCTGCTAAGCTACCATTATTAAGGCAGAGAAAACTGATCCTTTCGGGGGAGGTATAGTGTTGAAGGGGAGAGCCAGGCTAAAGACATCAGAGTAGGAATGCGTTAATCTTTAACCAGAAGCGTAATATATATAAAAA
The DNA here is from genome assembly GCF_000001405.40 of Homo sapiens. NCBI lineage: Eukaryota > Metazoa > Chordata > Mammalia > Primates > Hominidae > Homo > Homo sapiens. Next base: position 37,689,015 of record NC_000013.11, on the reverse strand, counting down.
TGCACAGTCTGATTTGATGACTATATTAATGAATCCTCTATTCTCTTGTCCTGTCCTGCTGTCTGATAAAGTAAGTGGCCATGAGTCCCTTAGCAGAACATTTCATAGTTCATTGTTTGCAAGGTTCTAGATTTATAACATCAAGACTGAATGACTTACGGAAATGATGTGGCTTATAAGTGTGTCCCCTCATCATGTTAATTGTCTCAGTGGTAGACTGGAACTCTGTTTATGGTTTTTTCTCAAGTCTTCTTGAACTGACTTAGATTTTCAAACCAGATCACCTCTGTGAGCTGCTTGTTGTATAAAGTAATACTTTTTTATTTGTACTAAATTCACTTTTCTTCCGTTTTCAAAAGATCTTCCTCGCATTCATAATTTCTTGATGTATGAGAAATGATCACTTTATACCTCTCATTTGTTTATCCTAGCAAAACACTTTTGACTTATTTGTTTTATATATTTATATCATAAATGTCCATGTTTATCTAGGTAGGAAAGTTCTCTAACTTTAAAGCCTAACCTTTCAAACCAATTTCTTTTTCTTCTTAAGAATTATGGTTTTGCTTGGGAATTTCCATTATTTTATATATCTTGCAGTGTTTCAGCAATAAGAACTGTATTCAGCCTCATAGAACCAGTTGTCTTGTGTTTCAGTACAATGGCAGAATAAGGTTTCTGTTATTTCAGTATCTTTCTTGTTGAAGTTCAACATTGTTGACTATTTAAATCTATTGTGTTTTACATCTTTAGAAAGCAGTTCATAATCGCTCTTCTATCCCTCTGCCACGGTGTCAGCAATAAGTTGGAACTCACCGCCCAACAAAGCTTTCAGAATTATTTTTACTTCAGACTTGCTTGTATTTGAAGGTTATCGACTTTTCCTTTCTGCCATCAAACAGCCTCAAGAGATCTTCTTGCACATATTTGCTGTCAGGATGAACTTTATTATATAAGAAAGAAAGCCAAAAAGCTTTACAGGGACCAAACTTATGATGCTTGTCATTGTGATACAGTTCTAACTAATGCAGAAAACTAATCATGGATAATTCTGTTAGAACTCTCAATAGATGAGTAAATTCCAGACAGATGGACACCAATATCCTTCTCAGGCTGTCAAATTACCCACTTAAACTAGAGTAAAAAGTAAAACAGTTGTTTGATCAAGCATTCCTATGGGCCTGATAACAGAGCTATACTTTTCGGGTGTCTGGAGAAAAAGTTTCATTGGAAAGACTGAATGATGGATTAGAAAGAGCTCGAGGCTAGAAGATCAGAGACTTGGGTACTTTTACGTTCTCCATGACTCTGAGGCTCTTAACTTATTTAGGGTTTGATTTTTAATATACTGGGAATATGCAATGAATAGAATATGATAAATTTATTTTTATTAAAAAATTACATGAAAACTAGAGCATGTTATATGTGTAATGTGCATTATGAGAATTCATCAAAATTATGGCAAGAGTTTTATCTCAAAGAGAGGCATTTGTTTCTGAAGATAATACGTAGTAAGATATGGGAAAAACAAACTTTTGAATGCTGGTTGTCAGGCCTTCCTGAAACCCAGTTTGAATTTTCCCTCAGAATTCATTCTAACTCCGATTGTAACAAACAAATTTTGCTATAAATTATCCCTTTGCACAAAAAAGTATGGACATCTGTAAAATTTCCAGATGTAGACTTATGTAATTAGCTTAGTAAAATAAATTATAAAATGGATAACACTTTTCATGAAAGAAGTAGAACTTTGGGCTGGGTGTGGTGGCTCACACCTATAATCCCAGCACTTTGGGAGGCTGAGGTGGGTGGATCACGAGGTCAGGGGTTCGAGACCATACTGGCCAACATAGTGAAACCCTGTCTCTACTAAAAATACAAAAATCAGCCAGGCATGGTGGCAGGCACATGTAGTCCCAGCTACTCGGGAGGCTGAGACAGGAGAATCGCTTGAACCTGGGAGGCAGAGGTTGCAGTGAGCCGAGATTGTGCCACTGCACTCCAGTGTAGGTGACAGAGCAAGACTCCATCTCAAAAAAAAAAGAAAAGAAAAGAAAGAAAGAACTTTAATGAAGGCTATCATATGAATACAGCAGGAAATACTTTGCTCCTATGAGAAAACAAAATGGCTGCTGAAGCGACGTGACATTGTGAGCATGCCCCAGATTATGCCACAATTAAACAGTATGCAAATCTATGCACACTGAGCATGAGGAGAAAGGTGAACTGAGGAAAAGATGTAACATAGGAGGAGGTCTAAGCTCTGTTAAAAATAGCTTCTATTGAATTCCTAGGCATAAAGTAAGAATTGCTCATAATAGCCAGATTATGCAACTTGCCTATAACACTTTATTTAGCAAATTTTTAAACAAGATTGGTTTCTCATTTCCATAATTTATTTTACATTTTTATGTTTTAAAAGGTGGATATTAACAAATCTGAACATTTCAACAAGGCCTACCAAATTGAAGATGTAGAATGAAAAGTTGGTGATAACATTTTCATCTAGATAAATATTCATAGAGTCAAATAATACTATATGGATGTATATATATGTATATATATGTGTGTGTATACACACACACACACACACGTATACGTATAACCAGTTATGGTTTTTACACATATATGTATAATCAGTTATGTGTATATAGGTACATACAGACACATATATACACATACATATATATGTATGTATACATATAGACACATATACACACGTGTGTATATATACGTGTGTGTGCGTATATATATAATTCTTCCTGTCTTGTGACCATTTTTTCATCTTTTGTCTAAAGTCATTAAGATCAAATGGCTTCATATTTTCAGCCTCACCGCTGAATTTCCCATCCCCTCAAGCAGCTCCAAACAATATTCTCACAATTATAAGAAATATTCGTATTACTTTCCCCAGCTCCTCCCTTGTCGTGGTGCTCAAATAATCTTAGCAAACTAGCTTCAGACACACACAGACCCTCAAACACAAGCTGCAGACTACCCATTTATTAATTTAAAATGGATATTTTAATTTTTGAGGAAATCAGATAGTACAGTGCGACATATGACCCTCATTTTACTATTTATCAGTGGGAAAAAATATTTTAACATCATCTTCATGGAATTATAAAGACTAATGCAGTAATATCTCAAACAATGAGATATTAATGAAGATTTCAGTTATTGTGTGTGCCCCTATTAATGCTGAACACATGATTTCTTTATTGGAGGGAAATGAACTCTTTTTAGGCCATGACAGTGCAATATAAATTTGATACACAAAAATTGAAATTTACAGGCCTTCAGAGAATGTTTGAAAACATGGTTTAGATGGTTCAAGGGAAGAGGGGAAAAGACAGGAAAAGAGGAGTAGATACCAAGAAAGAAAGAGTCAAAGTTAAAAAAAAAAATGAGATTCTTGAATTAGTCTTCATTAGCACAGAGTAACAATAGTAGTAGTAGTAATCGTAGTAATAATAGTAGAAACTGAAAAAATTAGGCACTGTGCTGAGTAATTTAAATGCATTCTTTTGTTCGAACTTCACAGTAACTCTGTTCCACTTAATCATAATAAATGATGTTAATGTCTCATTTCACAGAGAGGAAACAGGCTTAGAGAATTTACATTCCTTGCAGGGATCAAGGGATCAAGGAGCTAACAAGTGATACTAGATTCAAATTCCAGTCAATGTAAGTCTAGATCTAGATTCTTTATCCTTTCTGAGACACTCACCCAAAAGTGTGAGAGGTAGAATTTGAAAAGGCAAAAACAGCTCAGAACGTGTGTCCGTACTTAAGACTTCTTCGCTTCTATTTGCCGGCTTAGATTTTTACACAGGTGAAATTTGAATGGACCATGTTTCTGCTTCATTAAAGGTGTAATGCTCTTTAAGATGCACATTTGATATGATTTACTATTGAATATTATGTTTACCAACATACCAAACTCACCACTACCACCACCCTCACATCACCACCAGTATCATCACTGCCTTTTTTCTAATCTAAAACATATTATGTGTGACTTTCTAGCACTAAAAGAAGCAATCCATTCCAAGAAAGAAAGAATAAGTCCTTTGATATGACCTAGAGATGTTTCCTTTTTTGCTTTCCATGTATTAGTTGCTATGTTCTAAAGTTAAATTTATTTTCTTCAAGGACATTATTATTTTTTAAATTTCTGTGTGTGTGTGTGTGTGTGTGTGTGTGTGTGTGTGTGTGTGTAAGGGGTACTCAGGAAAATCGAAAGAAATAAATATATTTCTTTGTGCATATTTATTTTTAAAATGTTCAGAAGTTTGTATTAAGTGGAAGGTGGTAATTTTCATAGTGAAAATATTAATATTCACTTATTCGAAACTATATATTAGGCAACTTCTGCTGCTTATTGAAAAGGTAATGAACAAGGAATTGGAGAAATATTTATTCCTTGTCTTCCTATCTACATAAGCATTCTACTTCTTAGTTTTCATGGAAAATTTTAAATTAAATTAGAATCCTATAAAAAGAATGCTCCTACACTGATAAAATGTCTCACTTGATTTTTAAGTAACTATTTTTAGGTGATAAGCTATCAGATGATCTGGAATTCTAAAGTTCTACACTTCACTCTTACTCTGAAACTAACATGGCATCCTTTCTTGGTAAACTTAAAAATGTGTACTTCCTTAATTATATATTCCTAGTTTTTTTTCTCAAAATGTTAAAATAATGGTGTCAAAACCCATAGTGGTTTAAGCATTTTTAGATGCCTTCCAACTAAGAATATTTAACATTCACTGTCTCTTTATGTCAGTGTTTTTTGAAGTATGGTCTGCTGACTAAAATTATGGTTACTGTAGATTCTTATGACAAATTCAGATTATGGTTGGCTGATTTAGAAATTCCAAAAGTATTTTAAACATTAAAGACTGAGAAACAATTCTGGAAGTCAAATTTCATAATCATATAATGGTTTTATTAAGGATCTTCAACATATTTGAATCTAGACATGAAATGGTTTTACTTCTTTCTATCACTCTCCTTGGCCACCTTATATCAAATATCCTTTCCTTGTTCCCGAATGATATCACTATCGGTTATCATAAATTTTCTGAAATTTCAAGTTATTTAAAAGTAGGCTATGTTCAGTTTAAAACTCAAATTTTATAAGCTTAAAGATCTTCTCTTCCCAATAAAGGCCTGACCCATGGCTTGAAGGATCTGGAATTGTCCATCTCTTACACATCCTTTAACTCCAACACTGGAATTCAAGGTGGGATATAGGCTCTTCATGCTTCCTCACTCCTGTTGCTTTAGGGACGATGGGGAATGGGAGAAGCTAAATGTCCTGACTTACCTGGCACCCTGGTCAGAGCTCTTTCTTGGTTGGTTGTCCTGCCTCTCTGGCTATTACTGAGCCACCTGTGTGATGCTGACCCTCCTGAGGGGTGCACGGCTGTTCTTTGAGAGCCCTGTTGTGCCTCCACACTGCATAGTTCTCTGAGTCAGAGATTCAACTCTTCCAGGAGTCTTCCAGTCCCTCCACTCCTGTAACCAGCAGTCAATCCCTAACGAGGTCCTGGAACCCTAACAAATCCCTCTTGAGTCCTGGCAAGAAGGCTCAAACCCAGCCTTTTCTTCTAATATGCACTTACCTCACAACAGCATCACAGAACCTTACCACATTAAAAGACAGAAGGCCAGACTGCCATGGGCTACCCTATGGCCAAACCTCACTGTTTTCCATTTTCTGTGATGAGCTGAACCCAGGGGGAGATGAGCAAGCCACCTGCCCAAACAGATGCCCCAGCAGGGGTGAGGTAGTAGTTCCTCCTTGTAGAAACTCCCAGACTTTATGAGGGATTTTCTTGGAGTCTCCCTTAGACTTGACTTAGGGAGGCAGTAGTATTGGTGAGGAAACACCCTTACCTGTCCTTCTGGTATTCCCTTTTAGCACAAAAACTGCACTGTCCTGGCTGGGCTGCCGACGCCTGTAATCCAAGCTCCCTCCTTGGAAGGCCAAGGTGGGGAGATTGCTTGATGCCAGGAGTTCAAGACCAGCCTGGCCAACATAGAGAGATTTCTTTTCTACCAAAAAAAAAAAAAAAAAAAAAAGATAGCTGGGCATGGTAACATGTGCCTCTAGTCCTTGCTCCTCTACCCAGGAGGCTGAGGTGGGAGCATTGCATGAGCTCAGGAGTTTGAGGATGCAGTGAGATATAATGCACCACTACACTGCAGCCTGGGAAACAGGGTGAGACTCTGTCTCTAAAAAATAACAACAACGACAAAAACAAAACAGAAACCTTGCACTCCCTGACCTCATGGCTCTCTCGCTATCTGTCTCCCCAGGTCTACCTCTGTTACAGATTACGGAAGGAGAGGGCTAGGTGGTTGGGAACAGATAGGGTCCTGATGCCTCCTAGTAGGCCCTGGAAGGAAAAGTTTGGCTACAATTTTCTGTAAACTCTTTTCAGAACATGGATGCTTGGGGTCCTTGTCCTCATCTTTGTTTGAGTTTTAAGTATACTGCTGAGAACAGGAGCTGCCCCTTAACTGAGTGCCTCTTAGAGGTCCAGAACAAGTGGGTTTCTACTGAATAAAAGACTTCCTTTAAATTTATCTTTGAACAGAAGCAGATTTTTGATGAGAGACTACTTTTATATTCCCTGATTTGAAAATCAAAAAACAAAACAATACAAAACTCCAGCAGGGAGGAAATTTTTGTGTTCTTTTATCTTCATTGATTTGATACCACAACATAAAGCTCAGTGTTCTGTGAAGAGACTTCCAAGGTCAGGCCCCCGACAGCTTTGCGGCTTAAATAAGAGACCCCTGGAGGTTGCCATAGGTGAAAAGGTGACTTGCTTTTTGTTTGGGGTTGTTTACTATTGGTGTAAGTACGGACAGTAAGAAAGGGAATGACAGGAGATCTATTTGCAGAGTTACACATTTGTCACATGTAATTGGTGCTGTTAAATGTGGCATCTGAGCATTGCCTACCCCATCACATCCTCACAGCCAGCTTCGCAGGACATAATAGAACATTCAAATAGCCCTGAGTGAAAACTGTTATGGGAAAGGTAGAAAAAAATAGTAAAAACTTCCAGACATCTACAAATATTTTTAAAAGGAAGTTCTCTGACTCATTTGCACTGTGATCTTTCCTTTGTTGGTCCCCACAGTCTTGACATCAATGCTTGTAATTAGGCCTCCATCACGACTCTGAGAAATCATGTCTTCTGTTTATAAACAGCAAAGAGCAATTTCGAAATGTTCCCATTGCGGGAACAGGATAAACATTTTGTGACAGAAGCTGTCTTAATCTTTGTTCTCTTCAGGCTTTTTAGTTACCATGGATAATTTACTAGCTGAATTCGTTTTTTATTTAGTTAATAGCACCCTCTGGTTTTTCTAAAGGCTTGTTTCTTCAAAAATTCAGTAAATGTTGCCAGAATAAATGAAACTGGCCATTTCGCTACCATGCTTATAACAAACATAAATCCACAGTCATCTGACAGGTATGTGGTGACTAGAACTATAAAAAGTGATATTCAATCTGGAACAATAACAAAAAAAAAAGATACCAACACATTACCACATTAGCCAACAGACATTGATTGGCAATCTTATCTATAGCTCAAGTTTAAACAAAATGATGACATGAGTTTCCAGTTTTATCAGGATCTCTGTTTTTCCCACACATTTGTGCCTTTCAAAGGTCAGAAGTGAAGTAAGATTTTGGGTGGTCAAGAAAATCAGATTTAATGTCTCCTCCTTGATCTCCAGAGGAATTGTAATATATCAGCATTGTGAGTTTTGCTTAGAGGTCATCTAGTCTAAACTTACAGTTGAAGTTTCATCTCCTTTAACCCATCGGACGAGAACAGAGTCTGCTCAGCTATGAAGGAAGTCGAAATAAAATGTTGACTTGTACTGAGCTCATAACTTCTTCTTTATACCTCCTTCCCAAAGCCTTTCTTCCTTTATGTAAATCCTCACAAAATATTTGAATTTCGCTATTTCGATGACTGTTAATAATCACATTTGACTTTCCAGTTTAGTAGCAGCAGGTATAAAGATAATAAAGTTTATCTGTCAGACATAATGAAATATAAATGCTCTGGTTAGCAAGTACTTTAAAATATATTTTATTTCATGATACATACAAATCTGAAAGCAACCGAATTATAAATTCATTAAGTTGGAATGAACTTTAAAGATTACGTAGATCAGTCTCCACTCGCTGCTAGAATTTCTCTGGCTTAAAGACAGCCTCTGGATTGGAATCTCTATGTCACAGGGTAATCCATTCCAGTTTTAGAGCAACTCTAATTGCCAGAATATTCTTCCTTACATTTGGCAAGAAGCTGCCTTTCTATGCTTTTCTTATCAAAGATCCAATTTCTGCTTTGTGGGGCAGACCAGAGCAAGTCTGTGCCCTCTTGTACAGGGCAGTTTTTCATCTCTCATGGCAGCGATTGTGATGACTGCTTTTGGTAAAATTGTCACAATCCTAATAGGAAGAAGCAATCGTTGGCAATTTATGCAGTTAGGATAAAATCATACTTTGTAAAAGCCATGTAATCCAAACCTCTGTTTTTTGAAGTGAACGGAAACCTAGAGAGGCTAAGCTAAGATTCTAAAGCTGATTGCTCGTTGAGTTGAGCCTGGCCGCTTGATCACCTAACGTAGACTAGCTCTTATCACTATGCCTTCTGGTGAAAAATTAACTTGAAATGCATTTGCTAAATCAATGATTGCATGCACATATCTAATATCTGGGAATTGGCAGTGTCAAGCAAGACAAAACAAATAAGCAACATTGTACCAAGCTCATAACTTCTTCTTTATACCTCCTTCCCAAAGTCCTCATTCTGTCTTCTGAAGCACATAACTCTGTGCCTTGTAAACTCTCAGGAATAAGAAAATGTTGTCCAAGTGCACTGCATTTAGGAGATTCTGATCCAGTCGTGCTTTCTTCATTAACTGGTGGCATCACATTCTTGTTTACGCTGCCTCTTTGGGCCTTAGTTTTCTCATGCAGGCTGTGGTTGTCTATTGAATTCTGCGTCTGTAGCCAGGTTAGTAGGAGAAAGCACCATAGGTATGGAAAAAAATGTGTGCCAAGCATTTTTTCGCACTGGATATTTTAAATTCTAAGTTTCCCACCAGCTCTAAAATGCAGTGCAGGCATCATATCTTACTTAGTTCTGATATACTCCTTTCTCCAATATGGAGGTAGTAAATATTATTATCATTTTCCCAATTATGTCCCAATTCTATCTGACCTCTCATGAGAGATTTATTTATGAAAGATGACTAAAACGGGAAACTAGGATGTAAATGCCGAATTTAGAATAAAGCAGTTGTCTACAGCCAACTTTAAAAATACACTATAATTAATTTATCTGAAATCAGCTCTCATGTGAGTTATAAATTTGAATATAACAAAATATAAAAACAAAACTTTATCAATAATTTTAAATAGTCATTGTTTATTTTCACTAATTAATGATAGACCATCATGTCTACTATGCTTTTATTTCATTCAACATTTTATTATGAAAAATTTCAAACATACAGAAAATGTAAAAAATTTATAGTTACTCATATATTACCTGTAATCAATGTATTACCATAATATTTTTAATTATTTTTTCTATCACTGTATTCATTCCTCAATATCAATTTTGTAATTTTGGCTACATTCAAATTAAGTTATAACACTAACTTTTTGGAGTTGAATGCAGAGATATAAAATGTTAAAACGCATACAGTCATGTAATAACCACCACAGGAGGCAGCAAACTACGGCCCTGATATCAGATTGTTTGCCAGTTTTTTTAATAGTTTCATTGGAACACATTCATGCCCATTTATTGCAAAGCCTAAATTATTTGTTCTCTGGCCCTTTACAGAAAAGTAGTTATAAATTTTTATAAATGCCCTTGATCAAATTAATAAATTTCCCTTTTATTCACACTTTACTGAAAGTTTTTATCATGAATGCATGTTAAATTTTGTCAAATGTTTATACTGCATCTATTGAAATGATCACATTTTTTCAAAAAGCTGTTGATGGGATAAATTATGCTGATTGATTTTTAAATATTGAAACAACCTTTCATTACCTGGAAAAACATTACTTGGCCATGATTTATTATTATTTTTATATATTGCTAACTTTTATTCACTACTATTTATTGAGGATTTTTGTGCATATTTATAAGGGCTATTGGTGTGTAGTTTTAAAGAGTTTTGTCTGATTGTTTATCAGTGTAATACTTGCCTCTTAAATGTTTCTTACTGTTGTTATCTTTGCAAGAGTGTGATTAGCACTAGTATTATTTTTTCTTGAAATGTTTGGGTGAATGCACCATGAAATCAACTGGACCTGAATTTTTTTGTTGTTGGAAGGATATTAACTACCAGTTCATTTCCTTTAATAACTATAGGACTATTCAGGTTGCTTTATGTCCTCTTGAGTGAGTTTTAAAGTTTATGTCTCAGGGAAAAAAGCTCATTTAAGTTGTGAAATGTATGAGCATCCAGGTATTCATTCTAGTTGCTTATTATTCTTATAATATCTATAAGATCTATATTGATGTTCCTTCTTTAATTTCTGATATTGATTATTTATATCATCTTTTTTTGTTAATCATTCTGGCTAGCGTTTTATCAATTTTATTGACCACTTAAGAAAACTAGATTTTGTTTTCATTGATTTATCTTTCATTTTATGTTTCAGATTTTATTGATTTTTGTTACCTTTGTTATTTTCTTCTTTCTGCTTGTTTTGGTTTAAACTTGCTCTTCTTTTTATACTGTCTTAATTGAAGGTGAAATCACTGAGATGAACCCCTCATTCTTTTTTGATAAAGCATTCAGAGCTGTATATTTCCTCTAAGCACTACTCTAGATGCCTCACAAAGAGTTTTTGGTTGTATCTTCATTTTCAATCATTTCAAAATATTTTTAACTCTTCTCATGTATTCCTATTTGAGCCGAAAGATAATAGAACTGTATTGTTTAGTTGAAAAATATTTGGGGATTTTCTAGGTACATTTAATTATTGATTGGTTGTTTATTTGTGTTGTAGTCATAGAACTTACTTAGTATGATTTCAACCTAAATAAATGTGCTGAGGTTTGTTTCATGGTCCACACTATGGCCTATCTTGGTGAATGTTCCATGTGCACGAGCAAGAAATGTGTATTCTGCTGTTCTCATGTTGTTGGTAGTGTTGTTCAGGTCTTCTATATCATTACTAAATTTCTGTCTACTGGTTCTGTTGGTTACAGAGAGAGGAATGCTGAAACCTCCACTTATAATTCTACTTTTCTTTGTTTCTTGTTTCAGTTTTAATAGTTATGACATCTTGTATTATAGGGTTCTTTTGTTAACTGCAAGCACACATAGAATTTTTATATCTTCTCAGCAAATTCGCCTTTTTATCTTTATGTTATATCCCTCTATATACCTAGTAACATTGCTTCTTCTGAAATACATCTACTTTTATATTAATGTAGCCACGGGAGCTTTCTTTTCATTATTGTTTTATGTTATATTTTTATTTTTCCTTTACTTCTATGGATGAATTGTGATAGAGTTATGCCTGTACTTTTTTCATATATGATCATCTCTTTATTTTCATTAGTGTGTTTAGATCATACATTTCATTGAGTATAATTATGATATGGGTAAACTGGAAACCTACCCCCATTGCTATCTGTTCTTCGTTGCGTTTTTCCTTTTATGCCTGTTATTGGATTAAATATTTGTATAACCCTAATTATTTACATGTATAGCTCTCTACTCATATATTTTAAAATATTTAAAAGGATGCCATAGTATTTACAATATAAAATATTAATTTATTACATTCTAACTTCAAAAATATTATTCTGCTTTATGTGTAGTATAAGAACCTTATGACGGGAGGCTTGTAATTCTCATCTTCTGTGCTAATGTCATTATACCTTTTACTTTTACCTATGTTGACAATTACAATATATTGCTACAGTTTTTACTTAGGCAGTCAATTATATGTTAGAAAACTTTTAAATAAAAATAAATATATGTATTTTATATGTATAACATATATATATATACACACACATTTCTGGACATAAATCTTCATTTTTAAAAATAAATCTAACTTTCTGTCCAATATTATACACCTTCTGCCTTAAAAATATCCTTTTAGTATGTCTTTTAGTGTAGATCTGACAGGAATAAATCGTCTCAGATTTTGATTGAAGAAAAAGTCTTTAGTAAGTATTTCTTAGAGCTATTTGTGTTGTATATAGAATCCTGGGTTAACTCTTATTCTTTTTCTTTCAGCACTTTAAAGATGTTACTCCAGGCCGGGCGCGGTGGCTCCTGCCTGTAATCCCAGCACTTTGGGAGGCCGAGGCGGGCGGATCACGAGGTTAGGAGATCGAGACCATCCTGGCCAACATGATGACACCCCGTCTCTACTAAAATACAAAAAATTAGCCGGATGGGGTAGTGCGTGCCTGTAGTCCCAGCTACTAGGGAGGCTGAGGCAGGGAAATCGCTTTAACCCAGGAGGCGGAGATTGTAGTGGGCGGAGATTGCGCTACTGCACTCCAGCCTGGCAACAAAGTGAGACTCCAACTAAAAAAAAAAAAAAGATGTTACTCCATTGCCTTGTATATATTTTTTACACCCAGAAGTTTGCTGTCAGTCTTACTTTTCTTCCTTTGTATGCAAAATGTCTCTCTTTTTTCCTTTTTTTTTTTTTCTTGGCTGCTTTCGGTATTTTTTCTTTATCTTTTGTTTTTGACGGTTTGAATATGATGCATCACGGTTTGGTGTGTGTGGGTACGTATGTGTACGTGTGTTTTGGAAAGTTATTCATTCCACCTATGCAGAAGACTAGCCACAGACGTACACAGCCTTTATGCCTGAAAGTGTACATGCCTCTTCTCTTCTAAGTTAGTGTAGAGGTTTGAGGCAATAAGTCAGGAGCTGAGTTGGGTTTGGGTTTTGTTGTTGCCACCGTCAGTTTCAGTGCATCATATGCCACAGCTTAGGGTGGAAAAGAAGATTATTCTCAGTGTTCCTTCTCCACCTACAGCTTTTGATCTTCCCTGTACATCTATGCCTCAGAGGCCCTTCCTCCAGTGGTTGTCAATTGCTGATTGTTCCCTGGTGTTTGTTGGCCTCGTGATGGAGGGCAGGAAAACTCTCTGATGTCCTCATCCAGGGTCAGACTTAGGCAGGCCTATATCTGACTGCTAGGGATGGAACTTTCTCCATGATCGATGCCCTCCTTTTCATGGCAAACATGGCAGCTTATGTACAGGAAAGTTTTTCCTGTCCCTGCTCTAATGGTATTGCTGTAAACCTGAGGCTCAGGAGTGCTTTCTGTCTCTTCCACAAGGCTAAAGTGTTTTGCTCCTTAGGTGAGAGGAGCCTGGAGAGGACACTGTGCCTCTCCCACAGAAGCAGCCTCTTTTCTCCCCAGGCTTGAACTATAATATTTCTCTTGAGCTGTGGATAGGGTCCATGAAGAAGAGCATGCAAGAGGGTAGAAATTTTCCTTGTAACTGTGGCTCCCAGGGATTCTAGTCTCTCCTGCTACCTCACAGTCAGCCGAGTCTCTTGGATGGTGCCAGTGTCTCTTCCTTGCATACTCTGCCGCAGGTGAGCTAAGTCTCACAACATGGTTGCTTTAGAGGAACGTGCATATATTTTAAAGTTTAGATTCCTTGATTTCTCGTCTCTCTGATGCATGCTTGGAAAATTATGATTTTTATAGTTAATTTCACTTTTTCTTGAGTCAGTGTAGGGATAATACTTTTCCAACTTTCTACATCCTAGGAAGATCTTCAACTCTAAATTTCATGTTTCAGAGTATTATCCTAAAAAATTCTCACTGTTTGCTTGTGTTAATGTAGTTATGACATCATATTTACCCTTTTAATATTTACTGAATCTAGATATTTTGACATCTCTCTCATCATTAGGCTCTAAATACGAAATTATAAAATTTTAATAAGATAATGGAAATAAAATAATAACCTACACTAATATTTTGTAAGTACTTCATAGAATTTGAAAATAAAGCATTTCCTATTAAAAATTAAAAATACATTTTTTCTGGATATAAAGTATTTTAATGAATTATCATGAATGCTATAACCATCATTTCTCAAGATTGAAGTCCGGTCTCTGAAGGCACTAACTGCTTAAAGAAACACAACAAGATACTCCACTAATTGTCTGAAACCAGTTATGATTGCTAGATACACTGATTTTCATGATCTTTGAGTAATTTTGACTTGGGAGAAAAATATATGTCAAGACATTTGCTTTTAAGAAAATGTTATTTTCCAAGGGAAATATATAGTTATAAAGGAGCTACAGTATAATTTAAAAACTACTTATCCTTATGAATTTATCGAATGGATAAAAGAAAGTGAGGCTGTCCTAACAACATCTTCCAGAATTAGCTTAGTATCTGAAAGTCTTAAAGTATGGCTGGGACTCAGTGTTATTACCTGTAAAAAATAGATGTTGCATTTAGTGTAACAATGTGGTCTCTTGTAGCTTCGAGATCTATAATTGTTAAATTGTATATTGCTTTTTTAGTGATTCTATTGAAATCATACTTACAATGAATCTTTCTATAATTGCAGGCTTCATATGGGGAGAAATTAAACAGATGTGGGATGGCGGACTTCAGGACTACATCCATGATTGGTGGAATCTAATGGACTTTGTAATGAACTCCTTATATTTAGCAACAATCTCCTTGAAAATTGTTGCATTTGTAAAGGTAACTATTATTTATGTTGTTGGTAAAGCATATGTTCTGATTATTAATGATATACTTTCAACTGATATTAATTTTATTAATAAAGTTACCTAGAGCTTTTTCCGGATGTCGTATTCATCAGCTCATGGTTTTATTGATAGATATATAGGGATAAAAATACATAAATAAATGCATAGCCTTTAATCACAAAACAAGTTTTTATAAGTAGAAGTTATCACCCAATTCCCTTGCATCTACTAAGTAGAATGATGTCTCAAAACTATTCACAGTAACTGCTCTAGTTTCTAATCCTTTCTATTTCTAATGAAATTGTGCTTCAAACACTGTTTAAATTTTGGCAACCCAAATCTATTTTCTTCAGTTATAACTAATAGATAAAATTTCATAGACAGATCAAAATATTACTCTTTCAAAGCATTGAAATTATTATTTCAGTATAAACTAATACAATTTGATATAATTAGAGCAGAATATAATTTCTTTCTCCTCATCCCATTCAACATGACAGTGCCTGAAATCTCACACACTCATTACTCCCCCAGATTTTGTACACCATCAATCTTATCCCAACCTCATAATTTGCATAAAACATTTTTGTTCTGTCATGACAATTGGGATTATTTTGTACTTTGTTGGGTTTCTTTCAACCCAGAGGATTATCTTCTCTCCTTCACTGATTTTCCTTTTCCCCCTTTCCTTTTCTCTTTAAAAAAATAAAAGTTTCAAAATAACTAGTTAATTGGTAAAAAAAAAAAAATAAAGAATATCTAATTGGGTGTGACATAAATAATGCATTCAATTTAATAATCTGAACTAGAAAATTCTAACATGTAGATAAACTTTTATTCATTTAGCCTAGTTCTTAAAATAATGCCTTCTGCTTCTGTGGGCAACCTTCAGGTATGACAGAAGCAAAATTGTCTGAAGTTGGATGCAGCCATAGAAAAGGATGAGTTCATGTCCTTTGTAGGGACATGGATGAAGCTGGAAACCATCATTCTGAGCAAACTATTGCAAGGACAGAAAACCAAACACCGCATGTTCTCACTCATAGGTGGGAATTGAACAATGAGAACACGTGGACACAGGGTGGGGAACATCACACACTGGGGCCTGTCGCGGGGTGGGGGGAGGGGGGAGGGATAGCACTAGGAGATATACCTCATGTAAATGATGAGTTAACGGGTGCAGCACACCAACACAGCACATGTATACCTATGTAACAAACCTGCACGTTGTGCACATGTACCCTAGAACTTAAAGTATAATAATAAAAAAAATTGTCTGAAGTTGGAAAGGCCATAGTTTTCTGTTAAAATGCTACCAGTGCTCACCGAAATACTAGGGGAAAGCAATTTCTATCAATTTTATGGAAAGCAAGTATATTTCAAAATGAAAA
Source organism: Homo sapiens (assembly GCF_000001405.40). Classification (NCBI taxonomy): domain Eukaryota; kingdom Metazoa; phylum Chordata; class Mammalia; order Primates; family Hominidae; genus Homo; species Homo sapiens. The sequence goes on along the minus strand of NC_000013.11, from coordinate 37,672,828 downwards.
CATAATTTGGTAATTTTATTAATGCATTGAGGTTAATGACCTTGAAAAGTTTAAGACAGCAGAAGGTACTCTTTTAACCAAAGGAGATTATGCATTTCTGTAAGAGGTAGGCAGTCTGTGATTAAGCGCCTAGCTCTCCAGTCCCCTTCTTCTGTCATGATTCTTAGATGTATACATAAAATTGTTTAGACCTACTTCTAAAAGTAATATATGTAGTTTTTTGTGGTTTTGTGCTGTCATGAAATTCTGGGATTATATCACAATACCAGTTCTTCTCAAATTTCTAAGTGGATAGGAATCATAAGGAGGGCTTGCCAAAACTCAGGTTCATTTTCTCCATCACCAGATTTAAGTTACATGTACTAAGACAAAGTCCAAATTTGCATTTCTAACAAACTCCCAGTTGATACTGATACAGTTGACCTAAGGAAGACACTGTGAAGAACATTGCATTGTATAGACCTGTTCTACAGCTCAGAGAACTGTGAGATTGGGTCCCAAAGAAACTGCTGTTATACATCTATTTAGACAATATTTAAACTAAGCTATATCATGTTTGTATTTATTACATTTGTGTGATGTTTATGTATAGTACATGTATTTTTTCATATATAAGAACTCTGGTACGTAGTGAGTATGCTTACATAGATTAATGGATATTTGTGGATGTTTTGCCTCAAGACTTTTAGATGTGGGATTTTAATTTAGTTAAAAAGTTGTAAATTCTACACTGGCAAAATCTATTTTACCATTAAAATCTAAACATTGTTCTTCATGTTTAGAATTAAACTCACTCACCCCAGTGATGAAAAGGAGGGGGCAGAGGGAGAAACGGTATGTGGAGCAGTACACAGTAATTACTGCAGATGAAGATGACCTAAGGAATGTGAAGTCTTCAAAAAATACATAGTTTGTTAATATATGGTCATAGGAGTTCAGCTACAATTGGAAATATAAACTACAACATGTCCTTTCTGAAGGATTTGCATTTAGCACAATGTATGTTTTTGAGTTGGGTTCATGTATTCATTGGCATGCACTGTGGAGTCACATTTTTGGTGCTCCTTTCCTCCATCACTTACTAGTTGGGTGACCTTGAGCCTGTTTCTTCACCTCTATTTGTCTCATCCATAAAATAAGAAAAATAATAATTTCTACCTTATGCTGTTGGCATGAGAAGTAAATGAGTTGATGTATTTAAAGTGCCTATTACAGAATAAGCACACTAAATTAGTTTTTTCTTTTTTTTTTTACTTTTGTCTTTGCTTTCTTTCTCATGTACTATGAGTCTACTAGACTTGCCTTTTGTAAGATCTTTAATGTGTCTCCTCATTTGTTTTATTTTAGTTTTAAAAGAGTTTGAGCTCTAGGTCCACACTTGCCTTCACCATGTTCAATCTGTATGGTATGGGACAAGTTATTGAATGTAGGTCTCAATTTTATTATCTGTAAGTTGATGATAATAATCAAAAGAGTACTCACTCTGGGGGCCTGTGATGTCACTCTGATTTTCTGATTTGTCCTTCCTTACCTTACATTTGTTCTATCATTCAATTTTTTTCAGGCTAATTTGTAATAACTTATAAATTATTATTTTAAGAGCAGGTAGGTAATTTGCATGAAAAAATAGAGGCTGATGTAGATAAAGCAAACAGCTATTATGTGAATCAAGAAGCTAATCAAATCAATAAGCATTTATTGGAGCACACTAAGAAACAGCTTTTGATCTGGTTGCTGAAAATGCAAATCTGCCCAAGAGGTAGCTCTTGCCTTCAAGTGGGTCACGGTCAGGTAGATGAAAGAGAAATGCATGTAAACAAGGATCTTACAATGTAATAAGGTCTATAAGAGGGGCTACTGTAACATGAGAGAAGGAACTGAACTTTTCTGTAATGACATGGAATTATACAGAGGACAGTACAAGTGGATATCTATCATGATCATGAACATGCATGAGCATTCAAGACAGAAAAGGCACAATATGCAAAAGTCAGAGTGTTTAACAAGCAGAGTTCACTATCTATTTTGGATGATCCTAAAAATGTGGGCAGGGAGAAGGTGAGAAGGACTTTCCACATCTTGCTATCGGGCTTTTATTTTACCCTATAAATTATAAGGATCCATTTAGGTCATTTATGCAGGGAATGGTTCAAATGATGATGATTGCCTGAAATAGAGCAGTGAACATAGGAGAAGATGATAGAAGATTGGACTTGAACAAATTTAGGTAGTAACATCTGGAAGATATGTGATTTAGTAATTATGAAATATGAGGTAGATTAAATCATGCTAATAATTCTCCGTAGTAAATAATAGATTCACCTCTTTTGCTTCAGACGGGATTACCGGTGTTATGACTAGGACCTCTGCTAGGATTGTATAGGTTCTACCTCCTATCTGAGGATTCCTGAACAGGAACAAAGTCCATTCATAGGTCCTTTTGGTTAAGTCATGGAACTGGACCAAAAAAAACTGTATCATCCTACAAAAAAAGAAAATCTTGTTATAATTGTTCTTTTCAGAAAAAGAACCTTTTAGAAACATCTGTCATAGGGGCCAGCCTTGTTTAATTTCTCCATTGTATTAGTCACCTCGGCTTGTCACAATAGAATACCATAGATTGGGTGGCTTAAACAACAGAAATTTATTTCTTGCAGTTACAGAGGCTGGAAGCCTGAGATCAAGGTTCCAGCATGGTTGGTTTCTGGTGAGGTCTCTCTCACTGACTTATAGAAGGTTGGTCACATTCACCTGGTGGGGGTGGGGCATAAGGGGTTGGGAGAGAATGCAAACTTTGGTGTGTCTCCTTATAAGGACACTAATCTCATCATGAAAGCCCACCCTCATGACCTCATATAAACCTAATTACCTCCCAAAAATACCATCTCCAAATACCATCACACTGGGGGGCTCAATCTGGGGAGATGCAATTCAGTTCATGACATTCATACTTTTGAAATCCATCTACTTGCAAGAAAGATCTTTATTTAAAATGCACACAAAACAGCCCTTCTAACCAAGGCCATGGAATTGCTGTGACTATGACTTATATCACTTCCTACCTATGTGATTTGGAGCAAGTTACTGAACCTGTGCCTCAAATTTCTCTGCTGTAAAACAATAATAACAATCAAACATAATAGAATGTTTCTGAAGATTAAATCAATAAACATTTAATTCCATAGAATAGAACCTAATATAAAAACGCAGTATTTGCTCTCAATTTTTATATACAATGCAACAGTATTATAATGTGCAAAGACAGAGCATAAAAATATGTATGACTTCAAGATTATCCATTTTACATGCAAAGTTTTGTGGTGTTTTCTTGAGTATCTTGATTTATTAGCATTTAAAGCTCATGGGTTATAAACTTTTAAAAAATTGCTCCTAACCCTCTAGAGGAAAGTTTGTCAATCATTTTCTCTTTTCACTGTGTATGAAGTATTAGTTAATCTGGAGTTTGTTGATGCCTGGGGACCACAGTTATAAAACGTTACTTCAGTTTCATTAGGGCTGGTTTATTTCTAAATATTATCCAGCCCCTTTTCTGTATGTAACACTTCTCATATTTATCTTCAACAGTTTGGCAGAAATGATTAGATTTTAATTCCTTTTTCGCTGTGTAATTTAAATAATATTTTCAAAAATCAAAATTTTTATTAATAAGAAGATTTGTTTTAACCATCATTGTGGCTTTTCTTTATAGCACCATTCTTCTAAATAGTTCTAACTGCATGTCTCATAGATCCCATTTCTTATTAACTAGAAAAGGGCCAAGTGTTTTTCCTATTTTATAAATGATGTAACTTTAGTCTGCTCCCCAAAGTGTGGGATTGTCTAAGGTATTCTTTAGTTTTATGGCAGAAAGCTATAAAGATTTGAATCTTAGTTGTTTAATCAGAATTATGTACTTGAAGAGAAAATAATATGCCAGTATAAACACTGGTCTTTTTGGTCTTTCACTACTTAATTATCTGATAAATTTCTAGAAAGGGAAAAGATTTCACCATGTAAAGCACACATTAAAACCAATATATGTTTCTTATTTAATCTCACTGACCAATATTTTTATTTCATATTAATTTAATTTTTACTCATTTCTATTTATTACTTGACATTCACAAGTATGCATCAGAGACTACAGAGGATATAAAGATAGCCTAACATATTTTCCTACATTCAATAAACTTCTGATCCAATATTATGATTCAGTTCATCTTTCTCTCTTAACACTGCTGCTAAACTCTTCATGACTTGGCTCCAACTCATCTCATCCTCTCATACTCATCTCACTGTTCCCAAATCCTCTGTGTTACATCTGTGTCAAGATACATTTATAAAAATGATCCATATTCTCTAACCACTTTGTTTTTTAATATGTCTATAATTCTTCTCCCCAGAGTGCTTTTTGAGTTCCTATCATATATAAAGCACTCTACTAGATGTCCAGCACCTAAAAATGCCTTAGACAAAGCTCCCTGCATAAGAATCTGACAAGTAATCCAAAAGTACCTCTCTATTATATAGGTCTGCAAAATAAGCAATTCTCTTTCAAAGGAATCTGAATAGAAATAAAGGCTTGGGGAAAAACCAAACTAGGGTACATACAGACTGAAAACAAATAATTGAGAGAAGGAGGAATACAGGAATTAATGATCCTAGAAAACCTATGTGTGTTTAAAGTAGTTCTTGATTTCTTCCTAAAGGATTACTTTACAACACGGAGCTGTCAGCTCTGATCAGCAGGATCCTAATGTCCATGCATCTGCAGTCGGGGTAAAGGATTAGCATGGCTTGATTAATGTATGACTTCACCATGTTGTAAACCCGTATGGCATCTTCCTTGATCAGTACCATGAACCCCGAAGACAGTGCCTGACACAGAGCAGGCACACTCATGTATACTTGATGAATGAATAACAAAATAATTGGAATTTAAATTCATTCTAGAGAAATGGTACAATGTTCATGGAAAAGCATTTTGGTAAGAATGTGTGACTAATTTGAGGAATTACCAGTAGTGAAAGTTTGAGCCAAAACATTAGGTGTCTAATTAGAGCCAAATGGCAGTTAAATCTTTAAAAGGAGTCAGAACATAGAGGCTTTATGTAGCAAGTTGAAAAATCAGAAGGTCATCTCAAGGACAATGTTGTGATTGAAGAACATTAAATAATATGTGACATGGGCTGGTTGGGTTCTTTAAAAGATTCTGGAGGAGGGCTGGGTGCCGTGGCTAATGCCTGTAATCCCAGCACTTTGTGAGGCCCAGGCGGGCAGACCACCTGAGATCAGGAGTTCAAGACCAGCCTGGCCAATTGTGGTGAAAGCCCGTCTCTACTAAAAATGTAAAAATTAGCTGGGCATGGTGGTGGGTGCCTGTAATCCCAGCTACTCAGGAGGCTGAGGTAGGAGAAGTGCTTGAACCCAAGAGATGGAGGTTGCAGTGAGCCGAGATTGCGGCACTGTACTCCAGCCTGGGCGACAGAGCAAGACTACGTCTCAAAAAACAAGATTCCTGAGGAGATACATAGATGATGGAGGACATAAGACTTAAGGCAGGGAGAGCAGTGAGGAAGGTGCTGCAGTTATATCTGAGAAATAAGAGGTACTATTTTAAAACAGTGAGGGTAGTGATGAAGAGAAGGAAGCAACCTACATAAGATTTGGGTTTAGATGCTGGGATTTTAGACAAAAAGATTCTAGGAGGAACCTCAAATTCTGACTTGGTGACCTGTTGCCATTCATAAGATCAGAAGGGGTAAATGGAGAAAGAGTTTCAGGATGCAAAGGTGGTGAGTTACACTTTCGATCTGTGAGTTTGAGATGCCTGTGAGACATCCCAGTGGAAAAGTCAACCAGACAGTACAATGCAGAATAGGGCTGTTAGGTGAGAAGTCTCAGCTGGAGATGTATAGTTGAGAATAGTCATTGAGAGTTGAAATCCTGGAAAACACCCAGGGAGAATTGGTAGAATGAGAAGAGAGGAAGCTTGAAAAATGAACTCAACTTTTAAGGGGCAGGTGAGATTGAGGAACTTCCCAAGGAGACTGAGAAGAGGCCACTCAAAGACAAACATGCGAAGATGAAAAGGGAAGGTAGGTTTTGTAAATTGCTCCTAAATAGCAGAGGCAAAGAAATTTTTTAAAATTCAAATTAATATTTTAATTCCTAAGAATAGGTGTGGAAAATTCATCGACTGATTGAAGAATTAAAATTATTCGCTACAAATTCAAAGAATATTACAATTTGTAATTATAAAAATCACTTTGTTAAATGATGACTATAGTTAAAAACTTAAGAAAATATCTATGTGAAGGATGGGATAAAAATTCAGCAAAATTTAAGAAGAATAAAATCAAGAGATAATTACTTCATATTTATATCTCTTAATCCGTGACAGGAAATGAGGTTTTTTGGATCAGAGAACAGACAAATTATTTACTTACATAGCAAACTTAGCACTGGTTCCCCATGCCCCAGTCCCCAGTGGGGGACCTAATAGCCAGATGTACCCTGTGTATACAGGGGTTTGTACCACAGGAGAGGAGCTTGGAAAATATGTGTCTCAGAACTCATACCGTGCAGCTGAGCCAGCTGCCTGTCTTTCCCCTGGAGAAGAAAAGAGAAAGACTTCAACTTTCTAAAGTAAATAAATTGTCTCTGGGGAGACAAAGGTCCCTAGGTTTATTATTCTGAGAGTGTAAGCACAATAGCTTCTGGGAAGAAGATCCTAAGTTTCTCAGGAGGTCTCCATCTTTAACTTCCAATGGTTGTTTCCCATTCAAACATCCTTTAACCCAGATGCCAGCAATGTTTTGCCTAAAGCCTTGACCTTGCATAAAGTGAATATATTCATGCAGCATTTTTTCCTGGCCATGACTAGAAGTGCTAGACTCTGAAATCAGCTTAAATAATCACACTGGGGCAGAATCTGTAAAAATGGAAAACCTTCCTCTTATGTATTTTTTTTTTTTTTTTTTTTTTTGTCTCAGCTGAGATAATTTACCAAGAAGGGCTCTTTTCAGAGTAGGTCCATAATAGAACTTGACCTAGTCATAATGTGATGATGGATCCACATCCAGCTGACCTGGATGTTAAACCTAAAGCAATGCATAGCATCTTTCCTAGATTTGAAGGATTTTTAAAGCTTTGACAATACATCATCTCTCACCATTCCTAGCCTCAGAAGCCCCAGACAGAATTAATCACTTCCTCTTCCCTATTCCCACCCCACTTTGTGTTAATCTCTTAGAGCATTTTTATTGTAATTAGTTGTGCCTGTCTGCCTCACCGGGCTATGAATACTTGACAGGAGAAAATATTTCTTGAGCACCCACGATATTCAGGGCATTTTGCTAAATGTTCTAAGAAGTTCAAGAAAATGATTGCATTATTAAGAATACTTCTTGTTTCATTTTTTGTGTATTTTAAAATATAGTCCTGAGCTATATTAGGTTAAATGAAGAGGAATTTAATTAGCTACCAACATAGGGGGATATTTCTCAAGTATAAATATTTATGAGCTAATTGTATCGCTGATAGAATTAGCTATCAATTATAGGGGGACAGCTATCAATAGTTACGGACTTAAATATGTGTGTCTTTTAAGAGAGAAGTGAGGAAAGGAAGGACAATGTGATCTTGGTCTTTGAAGGAAAAGGTGGCATCATACATAGCGAGACTAAGAGCAGAGAATTAGGTAATGTTTAGTATCCAAGTTTCACTCTGACACTTGTCATAATGAAAGAGAAAAACATCTTAACTTTTTTTTTTATATCTTCAGTAATTAGCTATTTTATGCGGAAGCTATGTGTGGGAATGTTCAAGAACATTTATCAAGATTTAAAGATAGAAAATAATTTTCTTCTAGTTCAAACTTGATTGTTTTACACTGCCAGTCAAGCAAGAGTCTGAGTGTTGAATAAGATCAGGAGCCTATAATACATTGTCTCCCCAGAGAGATTAAAAAATACTATCTATTAGTTTCAAGGAGAATTAATTGATTCACATTTGTAAAGCTCTTGGATGTAAAATGTGCTATAAAAAGAATAAAAAACATTATGTGGGACTCAGACAGAGTAGCACTAACTTTCTTTTCATTGGAAAAACATCTTGGTTGTCTAGATATATTTTTCAGTGATGTGTATGAAGCAAATAATTCAATTTATTATTCAGTTCTAATACAGATTTAATTACAGATTTTCATACTGCAATATCTAAAAGAGCATATTTGACCCTTTTTTTTTCTTTTGAGATGGAGTTTCACTCTTATTGCCCAGGATGGAGTGCAATGGCGTGATCTCAGCTCACCACAACCTCAGTCTCCCAAGTTCAAGTGATTCTCCTGCCTCAGCCTCCCTAATAGCTGGGATTACAGGTGCCCGCCACCACACCTGGCTATTTTTTGTATTTTTAGTAGAGACGGGGTTTCTCCATGTTGGTCAGGCTGGTCGCGAACTCCCAACCTCAGGTAATTCGCCAGCTTCGGCCTCCCAAAGTGCTGGGATTACAGGCATCAGCCACCGCGCCAGGCCTTGACCCTTTTTTAAAAGGGATACAAATTTACCTCGATAGTACACAGTTAAATTTTATTTTGCTTTTTATATGTTTTAATAGCAGGATAATTCAAATCTGACATTTTAATTAACCTGCTTACTTTTTAAATAATTGCTGGTCAAAGTTTACAGTAGCAATTTTTTTCTCAAATCATGTATTTTACCTACTTAAGGAGCATTCAGATAAATGTTATATTTCCTGCATATTAAATGTAAAAAGTTAGCAATTCAGCAACTGCCGGGACGATTTGTAAGTTAGGTTGTATTTACATTTAGGACATAGCAGAGAGGAAGCACTGATGGTTTTTGCCCATATTGGTCATTTCTGTTTCCATAGCAACAGACCACTACTTCTACTCATTTATATGTAATTTGTATCCTACATGTGTTCCTCTAGAATTGGCAAGTGTGTTCAAAAATCGAAAACAAAGTCATCAATTATTTTGTTCAAAATTTAATAGTTTTCCTTCTGGGTCTGACCTTGATCTATTTATATGCGTGTGTTTGTTTTACTTTCCCTTTGTTTCTCTGTTTTTTCCAGTACAGTGCCCTTAATCCACGAGAATCATGGGACATGTGGCATCCCACTCTGGTGGCAGAGGCTTTATTTGCTATTGCAAACATCTTCAGTTCTCTGCGTCTGATCTCACTGTTTACTGCAAATTCTCACCTGGGACCTCTGCAAATATCTCTGGGAAGAATGCTCCTGGACATTTTGAAGTTTCTATTCATATACTGCCTTGTGTTGCTAGCATTTGCAAATGGCCTAAATCAATTGTACTTCTATTATGAAGAAACGAAAGGGTTAACCTGCAAAGGCATAAGATGTGAAAAGCAGAATAATGCATTTTCAACGTAAGTCTAATAGACATTTCTACTGGTAATGTTGTACAGCATTTAGAGTGCACCACATCACAAACTTGAAAAACCTATGACAAATGGTTGTAAAGAAAATGGGGAACTAAAATTGTGCTTAATGCAGAAAACAGAATTAACATGGCTTTGAATAGAAATGAAAACTTCCGACAGGAAAAAGAATACCTGACACATTTATTTTAAATTTTAGTAAAATCATCTTTTCTTCTAAATGACTTCATGAAAAAGAAAGCAATAGATACTATTTTTTTGATGTAGAATTTAAAAAGGTAGCCTATATACTACAAAAGCTTACAAGTACATTAAAAGATAGAACATGTGTAAAACCACTCATGTTGGAAAATTCAAGTAGATTTCAATATTTCCTCATGTGTTTTCCAGGTACTAAAGTCCGTTTATGTATCTCTTTCATTCTCTAGTTTCCTACACAAAAACTTAACCATCTAAAAATAGTGCAAATGGAAATCTAAGACTAATCTAGCCATTACTGTCATGCACACAAAACTCTCTGTGCCCTTATGGCTGGATGAGCAATAGACAGTGTCTATTGTCAGCTCTCTCAGTTATTCTCATAATGGGCTTTGCTAACAGCACACAGCTTCATGGGCACTGTGTCTGATGGTCACACAGCTCTCATAGGCTATTCCTCTATATATCTGTCCCATTTCCTTCCCACTGTGACAAACAGACGGTTAACCAGTAGCTGAATTAATAAGTGAAGTGATTTTCCTCCATACAGTAACCACGTTTGAAGACACAGTCATTTTGTAGGTGACTTTAAAAGTCATACCTTATTCATGAGCCATCATAGAATCTTGTATACTATAAGAGAGGATGGTAATTTCTCAAGTAACAAAAAAGTCAATAATATCACATGAACAAAATCACTTACAGCTAAAATGCTCTTGTTGGTCTAATTCTACATCTGTTTTATCTTAGCTCCAATATTTAAAACTTCATTTTAGTTATTCATCATCTTTTTATTTGCACATAATTTTTAAATGTCAGCCATTGATACCTCATTTTTTTCAGAAATAGATTTGATACATCCATGGATCTTAAAGAAAACATAATTTTTTTTTTTTAAGGCAGAGTTTTGCTCAGTCGCCCAGGCTGGAGTGCAGTGGTGTGATCTTGGCTCACTGCAACCTCTGCCTCCAGGGTTCAAGTGATTCTCCTGCTTCAGCCTCCCGAGTAGCTGGGGCTACAGGCACCCACCACCACGCCCGGCTAATTTTTGTATTTTTAGTAGAGATAGGGTTTCAACATGTTGGCCAGGCTGAGTCTTGAACTCCTAACCTCAAGGGATCTACCCACCACAGCCTCCCAAAGTGTTGGGATTACAGGCATGAGCCACTTCGCCGGCCTTCCAGCTCCTTCTTGATCCTGTATTCCTAAGCAGCAGTTTCTTGGCCTGACCGGTTCACTCAGTCTTGACATCTTCCCACTGCTCTCTTCTGACCCTGGGCAGGAGGAATTCAATGAAATCCCTTGCAAAAACATCCTCATAACTAGCATGGCCTAGGATGGCATCTCAATTTTGATATCTGAACTTCTCTTCCTCCCCCGCCCACCCCCTACCCTCTGGCTCCCGTCTTATTTGTGGTTCTTGACTTGCAACTTGGCCAGGGAAACGGATTAGAGATTTACAATGGTCAGACCCCACCAACCTCTTCCTTCATAAATGAGAGTTCTGCTCTAACAATCTTTGTCTGTCTGCCAGCTGGTCTCCTGGATTTCTGATGGAGAACCCTTGTGAATGCTCTTTCACAACTTTCTTCTTACTTTATGCTGCATAACCTGGTGCAAACTGCTTGCCAAGACCACCCCATCTGTTCCTGTTGCCATATCCTTCTGACTTCCTCCTTTGCCTTCCAGAAAGAACTTCCACGTAGCATTTAAAACTGTGTTAACTCCCAGGTCCTCTTTATTTCAGGGAAAAGCTCTGGTTCCCAGACCCAACCCTTCTCACCTATCTGATTCCTCTGCAATCAATAGGTTATACATAACACTGTCATGATTTATGATCCCCTAAAATTCCTAGGAATTTCTTTGTCCCTATATTGGTTTCTTTGTAAGTAATAACATATTACAAACTAATTATAACATAAATCAAAGGAGATTAAGGCCAGACAAGCATGATGTAAAATGCTTAATATAAATTTTATTCCAAAATCAAATATACTGGATTATTGGGATTATGTATTACTTTCGTTTGTCTCTACCAGTGATTTCCTCTATTGTCATGAAAAGCAACATATAATTACATATCTTAAATACTATAGGCCTATATCATTCAACCCAAATAAATCAGTTATTGCACTTGAATTATTTTTTCTAAATAATATAAATGTGCAAGCCACAAATTATTTTTTGCTTCAAGATATTGAAAAACTAAAGTATATATCAATAGCCCTTAACATTAGGAAGCAGGAGGTCCTAGGCTTAAGTCACCTGTCTCTTGATGACTCTGTTTAAGCAAAACGGACACCAGTCATTGTCACAGGGTATATAGTGATACCCTTGGGGCCCCTGCTCTACATCTTACTTCTGTGCTTTCTTTGGTTTTTAATTTTCTTTTTGTAATTCTGTACATTTCATAAATTCAGGCTCTTTTTTACTGCCCACTATTTCCGAGACCTTATTCTATGTGAAGGTTAAAAATACACTAATTCATATAAAGTACCTAACACAGTTCATGTCATAGAATGTCATCAAAAATGGTAGCTACTCTTATTATCTTCATGATTGGCAATGGTAGAGGATTATCTCTCACATATCTCTCATAAGGTTTCATCTCTATTATTCCTTCCACTCAGTTTCAAACTTTGTTAAAATTTTGAACCCAATATTTCCCATTAGCTACCACTCCTGTTTCATTCCTTTCATCCAAGTAAACCTAAAAGAAGCCTATACAAGATATCTTATTTTCTCACCTCTCACTCAAACTTCATCCAATTATAATTTGGCTTCTGCTTCCATCATTCCACTAAAACTGCTCTAAAAATTATCACCTGGAGCCTTCTTATCACCATTAACTATGGATATTTATCTGCTCACATTTTACTTAATGTGTCTGCTTCATTTGACCCTGTTTAACACTTCCATTTCTGGAAATCTTGCCCCTTTTAACTTCTATATTATTACCTTTTTCACTTCAAATCTTACTTCTCTAGCCTTTCTCACTTTACTCTAACCCTAACCTTAAGTATACTCTGATAATTTTTTATTTTCATTACTGCTTTTAAATAGTGGTATGTCTTAGCATGCTAACCTGAGACCCTTTTAACAGTACCCCTATGAAAACTCATCTGTGCTTTTGGAATTGGCTCTATATGTCTAAGTCATGACTTCCATATTTATATTACTAGCACCAATTTCTATCCTCGGGTTGCACAATATATTCAGCTGTCTAGTGGACACCTCTCTCTACATGCCTCCTGAAGACTTAAATTCAATCAAAGGGAATTTATCAGAGTCTCTCTAAAACATATTCTTCCTCCTGCTTAATTCCTTTTCTTAGTCAACATCACCACAATCCACCCAGAAACTTACATCAAAAACATTTATCTTATTCTAGATCCTACCTTCTTCTCATCCCTTCCATGTGTAGTCGGTCAATAAATATCTGTTCCTGCTCCTATTATCTTGGCACTGTCTTCCCCTTGCTCTCCACTGATGCCCAAATCTAAGTACCCCTGCCCCTGGTCTCTGCCTTGTTTCTTATGTCTTCCATTTTGCTTCCTGAATTATATTTCTAAACTAATATCTGAGGCTACCCTGTTTAAAGTGCCAAAATGGTTTCCCATTTCTTACAGGATACTGCCACATTCTTTAGCTTGACATTTTAGATCATTCATTGATCTGCTTGTCCCCTGCCTCCTGTCTTAGTCCATTTTTGTTGCAATGAAGAAATATCTGAGACTAGGTAATTTATAAAGAAAAGAGGTTTATTTGGTTTATGGTTCTGCACACTCTATAAGAAGCACAGCATCAACATCTGCTTCTGGTGAGGGCCTCAGGAAGCTTCCATTCATGGCAAAAGAGTGAAGGGAAGCAGGCATCACAGGGGGAAAGAGGAAGGAAGCGAGGGAGGGAGGTGCAGGGGTCCTTTCAACAATCAGCTCTTGTGAGAACTGATAGTGTGAGAACTCACTAATTACTCCTAGGATGACACTAAGCCTTTTGTGAGCAACCCACAATCCACCCTCATCACTCAAACACATCCCTCTAAGCCCCACTTTCAACATCAGGGATTACATTTCAACATGCTATTTGAAAGAGACGAACATCCTCTGTATCACTTCCTTTTCTTGTCTCATCTTTCAATCCCCCATTAACACTTTACTCTTCAATATTTCCTGATGGATTATAAATACAAATCCCCAAATACGTTATTTTCTTCTCTTATTCGAGAATGGCCTTATTCTGCCCTTCCATGTGGCAATTTTTTTTTCCAAATCCTACCTCAGATATACCTTTTGCAGGAGGCCTTTTCTGGTCTTCTCCCTGACTGAATGCCCAGTGTCAGGCTGTGATCCATGTCTTCTATGCATCTTCATGCCGTTTCCCACCAGTGAATACATACTTCCTCCTGCTCCTTTCCAGGTTATTTTCTCATTACCCTGAGAAGAACTACATGTTACCAAAAAACACAAAATATTTAGTTGTTGAAACTATTCTATGTGCAATTTTAAGCTATTAGCCCCTGGTAAGGTACTTTCTTATGAAGAGAGGGGCACAGGCTTTGTGACAGGTATTGTCTCATTAAGCAAAGCCCTTTTATATTTGTTGGAGCTGTATTCCTAATGGTTGTAACTGGCCAGTTGGAGTCATACATTATTTTAATATTTCATTTTTGCTTATAAACTAAAGATAAAATATTCAGATGAATTTTTTATTAATTTATGTTTGCTCATTGTTTTAGTCCCATGGGATAGAGGAAAATTTCAACAATGGAATACATTACTTTTTTACACGTTCAATTCTTCTGGCTGTAAATATATAATCAGGGAAACAAGCTAATTGTATAAAGCATATGTTGAGCAATATATTCAAAGCAAGAGATAAAATGCTATCATTAGGAAGGCAGGACCTAAGTCCACCCATACAGACTGTTAGGATTTAGTCTTCAACCCAAGTTTTATACTAAATGTCACTTAATTAAATTGTAGCATTATCTTGGAGAGTTTTCAGTTCATATCTTACCACAGAACAAGAAAAATATTAGTCACGTAAAGGCATTCTGAGATGTGATACTTTAAGTAATGATCCTTCAATGTATGGGCAATGTTGGTCTCAATAGATTTGGGAATTACTAATGACAAAAACATTTCTGAAAGCAGTGGCTTTGAAATGTTAACTTAGACTGATTTTTTAAAAATCCACCTGTTATCTGAACAATTCATTGAGAAACACTAAGGCCAGGGTCTTAATTCCTCTGAGAAATAAATATATTTTAGTTAAGTGGAACTAGTCTTTAAATCTCACCACTGACTTATTCCACTAAAAGAAGGAAAATAAAAGAAAGAAATAATCTATAAGTAATCATGAAATGTCACTTTATTTAGAATTTTCCCCTTTAAATTTTTTTAAACATCAATAAATATTTTGCAAAAGTATTTATTAATGTTTCCTAAAATTAGTAGTTACTATGTAGACAGGAGCAAATGTGTACTATTCAAAATAATAAGTGGTTTATTCTGCATCATTGTTTTTATTTGAAAAAGAACCTGTAATGGGGTTTATGTGGTAACATTTTACACTATATATTGTATAACTTATAATATTTAACTTACAACTTTCCTTAAATTGCTATTCATGTCAGGAAAACCAGCTGATTTTTATGTGTATACTCACAGTGAGAACATAAACTATTTGGAAAGAAAGAATACAATTCTTTCACATTAAATCCAAAGGACACTATGATTAATTTTAGAAGTTGTCTTTAAAGTTACTAAAAATAAAGAATTCATGGCCATGGGCCAAATTTACTTTTTCCTGAGAAATTTTCAAAGAGTAGCTTTAGTGGCCTTTGTCTAGGGCCAATGAGTCAGATTGAATTCTCTCTATTATTGTTGGAATCTGGCACCTGGGTTTTCCTCTAAGAATATGTGATCACCTCCTCGTAGAATGCACAGCATTCCATTTAAGAATCACAGTCTGGCTAAAGTTGATCAGATCAGTGCCCTTTCTCCTTCACAATAATCTGTTGTTCCGTCATTTTACAGGTCTAGAAAATAAATAGTTAAATTTTCTGTCTTAAAATTAGTTGCTCAATTAAAAATATGAAATTTTTTACCTTTTTAAAAAAGCAATTTCCATCCTGAATGCCAATTAGGCATATTTAGCTGGAATCTCCTGGTTATATGCACTAGAATTCACAGCTTATTTCAAGTAACAGGCATTTAGTTATAAAAAAACATGCAAAGAATTATAGCCCTTCAGTCTTCTGAGTAAGGGTTTATCTTTGCAAGGGCAGAACCTAGAGCAAGCCCCAGCTTTGGGAAGAGCCGGAGTTGACGTAGTGCTGGGCCATGGGATTGTTACTCTGTGTGTCAGCATTAAAATGAGTCAGCTACTTCATCCTTATTCCGAGTTTACTTATTGCCTGGCTTATTCATCCTCAATTCTCTGCTTCTTAGTTTGTGCTGTCTCAAACCTTTGGCATCCCGTCATTCCAGTGACTCTGACTCCACATCATAACCCCTGTCATCCCAACCCCTTTGGGCAATTATCTTGATATTTTTAAGGCAAACTTCTCTAGAGGGGAATTCTGATCTTTTTTGCCTTAATGCATGCCACAGGCCACTGGCCTTATATGAATTTTCTCTCCTTGGGTCACTTGACCATGATTGACTTAGTCCATGGAGGTATTGGGTGAGAAGCTCCAGAGTCTTACACAAGGACTACCTTTCCATAAAAGGGCATACAGGGGACAATGCCACTGGGGCTGGGAGTTGCCAGAAGCCATAATTGACTTGGTTCTGCAACACCATTCCAATCTAATGCTAATCTCCCAATAGACAGAAATCCTACCTCCTTAGTCATCATGCCGTGTATGAGAAGGTTTTCATTTTATTTTTGTAATTTAAATATAGTCTCATTTTAACGATTTACCAAGAAGTATGAAATCTCTATCATCGTTTTATTACACTATATTAATGTATTATTATGGTCCCTTTGAAACAAACAATTCTCCATTTGAGTTCAGATAGTCCTCAGCTTATTTCATTTTTTGGAGTAAGTTAAAGGGACATTATTTTCAATAAAATAGCCAGAGTTCATTCATTGGCTAGAATAAATAAAATGTTCCTTGAAATACCAAAAAAACCAAAAACCCATCAAATTTTATTACGTAAGCATTCTGAGACTCTTTACCATCTTACAAGATGCATTATGTCCAATTTTAGTTGTAAACATAGAAATCTGTAGTAATTATAATGTTCTCAATTCTCCTACAACCAAAGCAAAATCAGTAAAAGAGCAAACTTTTTAAAGCCTAAAATTTGGGATCTATCATTTATTAGTGATGACTTAGTGCCCTAGGACAGAGATTGACAAATGTTCTATGAAAAGGAGCAGATAGTAAATATTTTAGGTTTTCTGAGCCATATGTTCTCTGCTATAACTACTTTCTTCTGCCATTGTAGCACAAAAGAAGCTATAGAAAATGCATAAATGAATGAGAATGGATGTGTTTCAATAAAATTTTATTTATGGATATAGAGATGTGAATTTTACATAATTTTCATGTCATAAAATATCACTCTTTTGATTTTTTTCCCAACCATTTTAGAAAGTGAAAACCATTCTTAACTCAGTACCCATGCCACATTTGCCTCTCTCTGCCCTAGGAAACTAAATTTAGCTTTCAAAGCTCTTGGGAAATTTAAGTACACCATTTCTACTAGTTTGAGGAAAACAGTTTTATTTCACTCTTTTTATCGTTTAATTTTATAATTGTCCTAAAAGGTTATTTTACTGTTGATATTAATGTTTAAGTTAATTATATATATATATATATATAATCATGCCAAGCTTTATTGTTTTATCCCATGTATAATGATTCCATTAATATAGCTATTAGTATCATTTTATCTTTATTACAGGTTATTTGAGACACTGCAGTCCCTGTTTTGGTCAATATTTGGGCTCATCAATTTATATGTGACCAATGTCAAAGCACAGCATGAATTTACTGAGTTTGTTGGTGCCACCATGTTTGGGACATACAATGTCATCTCTCTGGTTGTTCTACTCAACATGTTAATAGCTATGATGAATAATTCTTACCAACTGATTGCTGTAAGTTGACCAGCTTTATTTTAATTCAATGTTTCCTCTAGAATGTGTTGTTCTTAGCTATACTCCATCTTCTTATCATCGTAAATAAAATCTATAATTAGCTATTGATTAGACAGATAAGAATTATAAATGGTTAATTTGAAATTTCTGAGCAGTAGCACACTATATGTAGCTATAAATTAATCTGATTTTGTCATGTTACACATGATTACAAAGATAAACCAAATCCATTTTGCCAGGCAGCCATTGGCTATGGGAAGTAGTAGCTGAGGTCTGACTAATAAACAAGCAGCTCATCTCTGCGCCGTGTACAATAGGTTTTGCCTCCTGTCGGTCCATTTAACCTACCACTCTCATATAAGCGAAGTCATCCCTACAGGGGAAGATACAAAAGATAACCCAGAGAGGAGTCTGGGAAGGGGAGAAGCCACAGGATTTTCAATTTCTTAAAGCTCAGGGAAAGCAATGTATTAAGAGAAGTAATATTAACTTCTGTAGGATAATACACGATACAATACATGTTTTTTTGAAACTCTGGAATCTAAACAACGTAGCACAAGTTATTTATTTATTCATTCAATACATAATTACTGGGTACATACTGTGTTTTCCAGTACTGTTCTGGGCACCAGAAATACAGCAATGCACAAGAAAGACAAAGTTGAACTTATCTGCTTGAACTTATATACTAGTGATATACGTCTAGGACCACTAGCAATAGCAGCAAAACAGAACTCTTAGTGGAATGAAATATAGTTAAGTCTTTCATATTTATACCTTAGACAAGTAGCATTTTATAATCGTAATTATAGTTTTCCCATTTTCTTCATAAATAATTACATTCCATTACACCTTTGAATCTATGGTTAAATCTCTGAAGTGTTATTACTGTTTTTTTGTCAAGCAAAACTCTGAATTTTACTTCAACCATCCTTAGGGAGGCAATTTTTCTCATAAGACACTCATCACTGATGAAAAACTGCATAGAACATGAGAATAGATGGTTTTTATTTATTGATTCACAGACTAAAGTATTCCAAATGCATAAAAAATTCCTCTGGAAATAGGTAGGTCCTAGGATTTGGAGGTTAATACCCGAATTTGTGGATACTTTGAATTTCATTTAAGCATCTTACGATCTGAAATTTTTATAAATAGACTCTAAATTTTTGTGTCAGAAGTTCTATATTCTCCTAATCAACATATTTCCAAAATGTGCGTTCTGTTTTCCAGAACGTCAGCAACAACAACAAATTAGAAGGCCTTTAATTATCAAGCTAGATACAAGGAAGCTGCCAGCAATTTGGATCTTTTAAAACATTAAATGTCCCAATTTCATCAAGGAGAAAACACTATTTAAGAATATTATGACATTTTCTTATTGCTTCTTTGTGAGGTGTGCTTTTCTAGGTAACTTCATTACAGAGATAAGAATCATCTTCAACTCTCTATTTAGACTTAGCCCAAACCCTAAGACTATGGAGAACCAAAGAGTCACTGAGAACCTGAGACAGGTGTGATTCCCAGGACTCCATGCATGAAGTCTCCTTGGGGGCACGAACATGCCAAGCATTTGCTTACACCTGTCCCAGAATAGCAGAATTTTCTCTTTTTCTTTCTTCCTTCCTTCCTTCCTTTCTTTTTCTTTCTTTCTTCTTTCTTCTTTCTTTCTTTCTTCCTCTTTCTTTCTTTTTCTTGTTAACTGTAACTCAGAGCCATCGGTAAACCATGAAAAAGAGGAAAATTTAACTGTTGAAAGGCAGAAGCACTTATGTAGGCCCCAACTAAAGACTGCTTTCCATTCACTCATTTGTTAATTGATTGAATATTTATTGTGCACCTACTATATGCCATAAACATGCTTAATTTTCGGGATACAAAGAATTAAAAAGTCCCTGTTTTCAACAAAAAAATGATATAGTAGAGATAAAAAGCAATAAATAATTTCAATATTGAGAAAAGAAATTTGAGGATGTCATGAAAGTATGGAAGAGGGGACCTTGACTGGGGTTGGAGATAGGAGGCAGCTCAGGACTGATGGGAGGCAGAACAGGCTTCTAAGGAGAGAGGATTCTTAAGCCAAGTTTCAAATGTTGACTAGGAGTTAGAAGGTGAGTAGTGGAAGGTGGATCTAGTCATCACCAGCTTAGAGCTTTTTATCTCCAGATTTTCTAAGCACCATAGACTATGTTATAGACCCTCTTAAAATCCTAAATCATGAACAAAGAAACCACTTGCTTAGTGATTGCAATAAGATAACATAATTTCTGACTCACCGAGAGTCAGAGAATCAGAAGGAGCTATCCACAGGCCAATGCTTTATCTAAGTGATTGCCTTTTTATTTCCTTGAGCCAAATCTGCTGAGTCCCATTCTCCATGCCTGCAGGAAACAATATGTACAATTCTCTTCACCAATGCAGCATAATCAGCCAGAACCTATAAACTTGTCTAGAAAGAAAGAGAAAGGAAAGGAGGGAGAAATAAGAAAGGAAAGGAAGAGGAGGGAAAAAGGGAGGGAAACTGCAGCTTCTGTGTTCCGATTTATGTGGATCAATCCATATTACCAAACATTTGCTTAGCAGCAATAAGGCCATGCATTCTCTAGGTATGGCGATTCTTGTTCAAAGCACAGTCTGTCCAATATCTGGATTAAACCCATGTTGCGCAGAATAAAAAAGTATGCATAACTTATTCATCCGCACACAGCAATTTAGGAATATCAAAATGAAGCCTAGTTGAAGATTATTCTCCTACTCTAAAATATGAGTTCGTGTTTATGATATTAACTGGTTACAATGAACTATTCTGAATTCTTAAAATGAATGTATGCCCAGTCTCTACCACCTCCTACTTCTCAGATTTTCTGCTTAAATCAGATTTATGGCTAAATTAAGAAGAGACTGGCTGTCCCAAATCTAATTGCCACAAATGTACCAAAGTTTCCTCAGGAGGTTAATAAAGTGGAGTGAGTAATACATGATGAAGGGGATAGCCTCAGGATTGTGGGCAACCACTGGCCATACTCCTCTTTGGTGAAATCTGTACAAAGTTAGGTCAAGATTCAATGGTGTGTCAGAGAGGCCCAATTCTACATTTGTTAATGGAACTTCTTTCTGAGTTTATCTCTATTGGCCGAAGGTGGGCAATAATATTCACATGAAAACATATCCAATAAGACTTTTCCTGGCAACATTGAAGGCTAAGCCATGAGCATCTGTGGAGGTAGCATTAATCTAAGCAGGAATACAAGGCTTTGGTTAAGACAGAAAGTCTATTTCTGGCCTGAATCAAATGAAACTGCACTAACATGAGTCTACAGTGCAGAAGATGCAGGCTAATCTTCAAGTCATAACTAATTACTGCAGTCTTTTTAACATGGAATTATTTTAGATGTCTGTTTCACTGAAGAAGGAAGGATGAGAAGTGACACGAGAGCTGTGACTACCCTAGGTTAAGCCACCCTCTGAAATGTTTAGATGACTGTCTCTGGGAGTCAGTGGTGGTTTTAGAAGCAATTTAATTAATGTTCCAAGAGCCGCTTGAAGTCAGGTTACAGGATCTCTGTGAGATTTATGGTACCTTGTTAATTAAGGAACCTATCATCAGTTGTCATGTTCTCCTGTTCAGGACCATGCAGATATAGAATGGAAATTTGCACGAACAAAGCTTTGGATGAGTTATTTTGAAGAAGGAGGTACTCTGCCTACTCCCTTCAATGTCATCCCGAGCCCCAAGTCTCTCTGGTACCTGATCAAATGGATCTGGACACACTTGTGCAAGAAAAAGATGAGAAGAAAGCCAGAAAGTTTTGGAACAATAGGGGTAAGAACACAGCATGTTAGTATTACTCTTTTTTTAAATTGTGTATTTGAATATATTTGTATTCTTTATTGTACATGTTCAGGTCTTTAGCCTTTTTGTTCTTACTGATTGCATGTCATGAACATTTATAACACATCTCCCATGACTAAGGCAGTGTCTGA
Organism: Homo sapiens; assembly: GCF_000001405.40. NCBI lineage: Eukaryota > Metazoa > Chordata > Mammalia > Primates > Hominidae > Homo > Homo sapiens. Next base: position 37,651,103 of record NC_000013.11, on the reverse strand, counting down.
TTAACTAGGATTTCTTCACAAGTGAATTTCCTGCATCGAGGGCAGTCACTACTATTTTAATAGAAGTCCCGCTCTTCACACAGCCCTCCTTGAGTTCTGCTAGTCAAGGCTGGGGAACTAGCATACTCTGTCTTAATACCTTGACTTCTAGGTCTTTTCAGAATGTGACAGCAGGTTATTTGTGGCATTTCTTCCTCATTGTCTGTTTCCCCCTCTGGATCGTATGCTCCATGAGGGAAGGGCACGTGCTTTGGTGACCTCAAATTCTTCATGCCTAACAAAGTCCCTGCACAAAGCATTTTATGCTTGATAAGAATTCTCAATTAAATGATTGACTGAATATTATAACTTAAATATGCTGTGCCAACTGTTAAGTGTGATTCCAGAATATGTGTAATTACTCAACATGTTGCATCTACTCCCTATCATATTAGATGCCAAGAATTTAGGCATCTAAATATATATATATGTGTGTGTGTGTGTGTGTGTGTATAGAGAGAGAGAGAGAGAGACAGAGAGAGACAGAAGAGAGAGAGAGAAAGGTGAGGGGGCGGGGACTGCCCAGAGCCATGCTCCTGGTAAACTGGAAGATGGTATTTCCCTTTCATCATTTTGGAAATCAGGGTTTCAAGCAATTCCAGCAGAAGATACACCACGTGAAGCTTTTGGTGCAGCCATACCATTGACATAAGACAAATCATTCTTCACGCCTTCCTCACTTTGTGTTCTAATTTTGAAAGTTCTCATAGTAATGTTTTGGAAATTAACACTCATATTCATTAGTCACTTGGATCTTCTCAGTAAAATTGCTTTGGAAGTATTTTTAAATGTTATCATATTAGGATTAGCAAGTAATATTAGAGATTAATTAAAAATAAAAAAATATTAATTTGTTTTCAATTTTATTTTACATGGTTTGTGACTGCGATGCCCTAAGAGATCCTTACCACTCTAACTTCATTGCCCACCAGGCATTGTCATCAGCACCAAATGGAGCTTTCTCCTACTGGCAGTGGCATTGATTTTCCTCTCATCTCAGTAACAACTCTAATTCCAAAGAGAAATTGACTGGCAAGTGAATGTTACAAAGAGGTGATTAGGAGATGCAGTTCTATTCTTTCCCATAAACTATTACCCATAGATTTGGGGGACTACAGTTTGAGAATGTATCTGACCTTAGAAACCAAAGTCAGATTACAACAAAGCCTTATCCTGCCATCCTCATACTAATTTATGAACTTTATCACTGACCTTAGAAGGGAGTGAAATTATTTTACTCCAGATATTTGACTTTTGTGTTAAAAGTTTTAGAATAAATGTAATAGCTTAGTTCTTTGTTGTTGTTTTTTTTTTTTTTTTTTTTTTTTTTTTTGAGACGGAGTCTCGCTCAGTTGCCCAGGCTGAAGTGCAGTGGCATGATCGCGACTCTGCAAGCTCCGCCTTCCGGGTTCACGCCATTCTCCTGCCTCAGCCTCCCGAGTAGCTGGGACTACAGGCGCCTGCCACCACTCTCGGCTAATTTTTTGTATTTTTAGTAGAGACGGGGTTTCATCATGTTAGCCAGGTTGGTCTCGATCTCCTGACCTCGTAATCTGCCCACCTCAGCCTCCCAAAGTGCTGGGATTACAGGCGTGAGCCACCGCGCCCGGCCAATAGCTTAGATTTAATAAGCAATTACTGCATGTGTCCCCCTTGCCGTAACTGAACTAGAATTTGAGGAGTGGGAAGAGGTACGAAGGCATGGGTTCCATCTTTGAGGGCACCAATTTTAATGAGAGAGATACAGAAATAAAAACAGATATGTTATGTAGTATATTTAACATTATAATACAGTCACATGAAAGAGGTTATGGGAAAAATGCAAGAAATAATTAATGCTTCCCTTGAGGTAAACAGGACAAGATTTCAAGGAAGCCAGACTTCAGCTTACTCCTTTCCAGATCAAATATACTTATCCTTTATACCATCTCATTCTTAAATTTATAAGCATTTTTAATTGATCTCTGATAAGATAGTGATGATTAATGCTGTCATAATATACTACCTTTCATAAGAGTATTTTGATTTAGAAAGAGCTTCTGGGCCAAAAAAAAAAAATACCTACTCACCAAAGAAATATGTATTTCATATTTTAATTTTAGGCAATGGCAGAGAGAATCTTGGTTTTTAAGATAACAGGAAACTTGTAACAAAACACAGGGTCCTGCTCTGATGTTTTAAGAGATCCATCTGTACTGCCAACAAAAAGAATGGAGAACCAGACCAAAAACTTGGCTTCCAACCCTCCCTCCTATCCTCTCACTGTTGACTCATGGGTAGGATTATGTTGCCATCATTTTTTAGAAGCAAAGAGGAGCTCTCAGTCAATTGGCTTTTCTATTAAAGTAGTGATTCATTCTCAGAGTTAAACAGTTTTATTTGCTATATATTACTGGTCTCAAAAGGAACCCACACATTTCTTTTATGTGTTTATATTTGAATTTTTTGCTCCAAGCTGATGCACAGCAAGGTAATTTGAAACTAATCAGAATCTCAAACCATTCCTTTTTTTTTTTTAACCATTAATATTTTACTAACATTCAACAATGGCTATTTGGATGCTTTGGGAATTTATGCCAAACTAAAAAATATTCTGAGTTTTGTCTGTCTTTTCCACCAATCTAGAGCCCTGGGCAAGCACCAGCCCAATCAATATCAATGCTGTCTAAATTTACTCTTTCTCCATACTGCATTTCCAAAATGAAAAGGACATATTGTTTTCAGATGCCTACTCTTAGTTGAGCTTTATACATTTTTTGTTTATATGAAAATAAATGATAGGTATAATTTATAAGGAAGTTCTTGCTTATAAAAGTATAAGAAACGCTGGGTGCGGCGGCTCACACCTGTAATCCCAGCACTTTGGGAGGCCTAGGTGGGTGGATCACAAGGTCAAGAGATAGAGACCATCCTGGCCAACACGGTGAAACCCTGTCTCTACCAAAAATACAAAAATTAGCTGCGCGTGGTGGCACGTGCCTGTAGTCCCAGCTACTCAGGAGGCTGAGGAAGAAGAATCGCTTGAACCCGGGAGGCAGAGGTTGCAGTGAGCCGAGATCGCACCACTGCACTCCAGCCTGGTGACAGAGCGAGACTCCATCTCAATAAATAAATAAATAAATAAATGTATAAGATAAATGAGATATAAATTAAGATGGTTGTATTATTAAAAGAGGGGTTAACTGAGAAAGTAATATCAAAAGTAATTAATTTTTCTGTGAATTTATTTCAACTTGGTTAATCCTCCTGATAGTTTATTATGTGGACATACAAAGACAATGAGATACACAAACAACTATTAATTAAAAGGTGACATTTAAGGAACAGTGACACTCACTTTGTGAAACTAGCACATGGCTTAGAATATACCATTATACCCCAAAGGGATCTTAGATATCATTTAGCTCAACCATTTCTTTTAAAAGATAACCTGTTTACTTTGCCCATTGTCTCATGCTCTCTTAGAGACAGAGCAGGGGGAAATTGCTGGGTCTTCCATTGTTTCCCAGTTCAAACTGCTTTCCATCACCCTCTCTTATTTCCCTGAGAAGTCTGGTGAACATGCAGCAACACCTTCCCTGTTGTGTCTTTTGATTGTTCTCAGCAGCCTTTGCAGATCCTATCATTGTTTTCAGCTGCCTCTTAGACTCCTGTGTCCCGAATCCCTTGTTTACCAGGCTGGTTTACCTTCTGCCCTTATCCTCAACTTGCTTATCTTTATGCTGCATTTTTGAAGCAGAAAATTCAAGCTACACTGGAAGTGACTTCATTCTTTGAAGTATTTTTCTGTAACCTTCCCATTTGTAGTTCACTTACTGACACTCGTCACCCAGCCTTTGAGTAAATGTCACCCTGCTGCTCATTCCATTCACGTTCCCAGGAAATGCCTGGGAAACCAGTACTCTTCAGGGTTGCTACATTGGCCACTCTCTAGGAGCCCATTATTGATGATCTTATCGTGCTATTTATGGCTTCCCAGTAATACTGATACAACTAGCTCTGAAAACTCATTAATTCGTATTTCTTTGTAACTCTGGACTTCATTTAATGGTTGATTGGGAGTTCCAGGTAAATTAATCTTTCACTTGACTGCTTTATGGGAGAAAGCATAAATGAAGCAGAAATGCTGTATTATTGAGCACAACATTTGTGATAGAAAGCAAACCCATTATTGAGAGATGCTTCCTCTCTGGGCTATTATAAAAATCCCACGAAAAAGGCAGCCTATCCAAATAAGAAACATACTCTTAACTTGTGTTTTTGACATTGCTTCCTGTCAAATGTTTTGTTTAACCTCATTTTATCAGCAAATACCCTTCTTATCATTACAGCATTTGTTCTCAAATATTTTAGCATACAAGAATTGTCAGGAGTCTCCATTTTAACAAGCATTTCCAGTTTACAACTTTAACTAGACATTTCTATTCAAGACAGCATTGGTATCTACCACAATTTTTTTGAAGTTTTTTAATCTTTAATTCGTGTGAGTACATAGTAGATCTGAGCTTTTTAAGCTAAAACGAAGCCAGGCTTCATGCTGTTGCTCAAAAGGTCCCGATCCATTTAATTCAAGTACGAAGATGCTATTATAATACAATACTTCCCCAAAGCATTTCATTAATGTGAGACATATTTAATGTCACAGACTAGGTTTCTAAATGAAATGTTTACATTTATATGTTACCATACCGAACCAAAAAAAAATACTAGTTCTTTTGATAAAATCATAAAAAATGTTTTTAACTTCCTTAGTTTTATGTTTTCCGCTTTTTGGTTTTCTCTCAAGCACATGGTGAGAAGAACAGGAGGCAGGATGGTCTCTGGAAGATCACTCTGAGCATCACACAGCTCTGAGATACAGGTGGAATATTCAAGCCTGACTAGCTGCCCCAGAAATATGCCCAGTTAAGTCACTACAAATGAAATTAGAAACTGTGAATAGATTAGCAACAGCTATCATCACTAAAGAAAAAATGCTCATAGTACATGCCTCTCAGACTTCATTTATAGTGGCGATTTGTCAAAATGTATCGCTCCCTAATCTTTAGGACGCTTAGTAGGCCTAATGACAAATCTTACAGATATGACAGTTTTCATCCGTGAGTGTCTCCGGATTCCTAAATTACTGCTGCAAGATTTGTTGGCAGGGCCTTTTGATGAAACTTTATTTCCCCAGCGGGGATATATAGAAATTAATTGCTTGATATTCTTGGTATTTCAAGAGTGAGTTCCTGAATATTTGGTTTGACAATACAACATTCAGGCATTTCACGTGAATTATTTTGATATGCTTAGAAAATGTGTTCATGAAAAGCAGTAAGCAGATGTATGCTATAAGGGTGCAGAAAGACTGTTTATAGAGAACAATATGTAGATCCATCTGCAAAGAAGCCAAACTGCAATTTTTTTGTAAAGGGATCACATCCCGGAATGCCCTCTTGCCTTTTTAGTTTTCGTGAAAGGAGAAGAACACAGCAAGCTGCATGGCTTAAGGAATTCAAGGAGCAAAGCAAAGACTAAAAGGCATAATTCATGGGCTTAAAATTCACTGCTAGACCAAAACCAGAGTGGAAATGAGAGAAAACGGCATTGAAAATTGACAGCAGGGACTAGCTACATGAAATGAGCGTGACATTCCACATAGTGGACCTGGAGAGAACCGGAGATAAGAGTGACAAAATGTCACAGCTCACTCTCCAGAGACCTCTCTTTTCTAGCTGCAAAATCTTCCCTGCTCTAAAGAAACCTGAAACTTCTATTGAAATTCCGGAGTTTCCTTGCAGCAGCAGCAGTTTCTCACTAGATGGTCTTTCTCTTTAACATGAGTTCTCTGATCCAAACGCTGCCATTGTCCTGCCCTAACAAATTAGGAGGAACCTGCAAACTGTGAATTATGCTAATGTGGCAACAGGTATGCCCTCATCTTCTCCTTGAAAGCTACTTTGCCAAGGAATATTCCACACACAGTCTAGTGACTTCTGATGTAGTTTGCGAAGAAAAGTGCCAACCTAAGGAGAACTTCTTCCAAAATATTTTTCCTAGACACTCAGTTAAGGAAGAAAAGCCCTTGATTTGTCACAAAATCCATTTTTTCTGTCTTAAACACAACTCACAACCAATCTAGTTTAACAAAAAAAAAAGCTGCAAAATGCAAGTTCCAGAAATTTCTTTCTTTTTTTTTTTTTTTTTTTTGAGATGGAGTCTCGCTCTGTTGCCCAGGCTGGAGTGCAGTGGCGCGATCTGCACTCACCACAGGCTCCACCTCCCGGGTTCACGCCATTCTCCCACCTTAGCCTCCTGAGTAGCTGGGACTACAGGCGCTTGCCACCACACCTGGCAAATTTTTTTGTGTATTTTTAGTAGAGACGGAGTTTCACCGTGTTAGCCAGGATGGTCTTGAGCTCCTGACCTCGTGATCCACCCTCTTCGGCCTCCCAGAGTGCTGGAATTACAGGCGTGAACCACCGCGCCCGGCCACAAGTTCCAGAAATTTCTATGTGATATTGTACACTTGAGCTCATTCACTGAGAAATCCTTTATTCCTAACACAGGTCTACCATGCTATAATTCTACCTAAGTTATTATTTTTAGTAAAATTAAAAAACACAGTTAATGCAGATTACTCTGTCAAAGTTTAACATGCAAATGGCTTGAAAGAAAATTAAATACCCATTTTCTTAGGTATTAAAGCTAAATACCCACTTAGGTATTTTTAAATGAAATGGCTTTCATTATATTACTTTGAATCACAAATTGTTCATTTCTCCTGTTCTCGGTCATTTCCAGTGATAATTATAAGAAAAAGATATCTTCTCTTAAGGTAACAAATCCCTTTGAAGTTCAGCTGATCTTTACTCAACAAAAAAGGATATGAATGTCCTAAATATAACTGATGGTAGTTCTATTGTGTAATATTCAATGGTGTCACTAATTGCCAAAAATTATTGTGATGTTTATTGCAAAGAGTACATATATTATGAGTTGAATTGTATGCCCCTTCAAAAAAGATAGGTTGAAGTCCTAATCCCCTATACATAGATTGTGACCTTATTTGGAAATAGGATCATTGCAGACATACTTAGTTAAGGCGAGATTATACTAGAATAGGGTCCTTGTAAGAACATGGCCATGTGAAGACCGAGACCCAAGAAAAACACCATATGAGATTGCAGATGGGCACCTGCAAGCCAAAGAACTCCAAGAATTAACAGCCACCACCAGAAGCTAGGAAGTCTCATTCCCACTTGGTGCTACTGCTAAATGACTATCAATGAAATTACACTTTCATCACATGTCACTCAACTAGTCAAAATCCCCAGGTGCCTAGTAACCACTGGATTCATGTGCCATCTGAAATTCTACATTAAGAGTCCACGCTAATTTCCCACTACAATCTAATCTGTATATTCCCAGTAGCAAAGACTTTGCAACTATCCTGCCAGAAGTCTCCATAATGTGCCTCTCACTTTCTAACCCTAGCATATTTGCTCATCCTACTCCAATCATCTAGAACACCTGTGCACCTCCCCTTGTCCTAATCCTGTGATTCCTTCATGACCCATCTAATACTGCATTCTCTATAAGAGGGCTGTTACGGCTTCTTTCCTTCACACAGTATTACCTCCTTCTCCCCTGTACTCAAATATCACACTTACAGCACTTCCCGTGTTTTCTTTTGTATTTGCCTTCATGTGTAGTCTTTCATGATCTTGGCAATCCACCTTTTGGACTATCAGCCATTTAAGGGCAAAAGTGTGCTTTATTCATCTCTGGTTTCTTGCACTCCACTGCCATACACATGTAGTCATTTAATAAATATACCTTAAATTAGCCCTACAAGTTAAGAGAGTTCTAATTCCAAAATGGAGCCTTGAGACAAGCTGGCTTTACTCCCTGCCATGGAAAACCAAACCCAAATATACAGTGCCAGGATTATCACCAGAAATATCCCAGGACTCAGATAGGAGGCAAAGCCCATCTAGGGGTCACAGAGAAATGAAAAACTCCTAGCACATGGTAAAAGAATCGTATTTCTGGCCAGGCACTGTGGCTCACACCTGTAATCTCAGCACTTTGGGAGATTGAGGCAGGCAGATCTCAAGGTCAGGAGTTCGAGATCAGCCTGACCAACATGGTGAAACCCCCGTCTCTATTAAAAATACAAAAGTTAGCCAGGCGTGGTGCCATGCACCTGTAATCCTAGCTACTCAGGAGGCTGAGGCAGGGGAATGGCTTGAATCTGGGAGACAGAGGTTGCAGTGTGCCGAGATCATTGCACTCCACACTGGTGACAGAGTGAGATTCTATCTCAAAAAAAAAAAAAAAAAAGAAAAAGAAAGAATCATATTTCCATATCCAGGATGCCCTTCTCTTCAATCTGCCTGGCACCAAGAGTGTAAATAATTTCTCCCAACTCAAGGTTCCTACACTGAAAAAACTGAGATCTGAGGTAGACAACCAGCTTTCCCAATATCTTGCATTCCCTAGAAGTAGGCTTCTCCTTGCCTCAACCCATGAAAATCATCCTGAGTCCCTGAAGAGAAATATCCCTGAGCTCAGCCAGAGACAAAGGCAAAGATGGAACTCCCATCCCCAGGCCTGGAGACTCTGCTCTGTAACTCGACCAAATGAGATGCCAAATCAGAGTGGCTTCTCAGTAGCGACATGTTGTAGGAGGTACATTCCACAGCTCCACTAGGCTGGAACCCCTAGCCAGCCTTCTCTTTTGCTATGACCTCTGAATTTTCCTCAGAGTTTCTATATCAACGCTCACATATGGCTGTCTCATTAGGGTCATAGCAAAAATTCAATGTCATGCCGAAAAGTTCATAAAACTTTTGGGCTCCTCCAAAGATGACTGCCTACAGAGTCTGGGTCACATCTATCCAAATTTACCAGAAGTATTCTCTTACTCTATCACTTACATGCAAGTTTCCTACCTCTAAACCTCTCTACTGCCAAAGCTGAAGGCATCTAACGATTTAGCTGAAGGAAATGCTCCACAAGCATGAATTACCATCAAAATCATGCAAAGGGACACAGTTAAATGTAAGTATATTATTTTACTTTCTCAGAGGTAATCATAATATGTGTCCTACTATGCACAAGCTTTGAGAATCAGATTTTTAAAAGGCTATTAAGTCACATTATCAATCAAAAAGGAAAAAAATGCAAAGAGGACAAGAACTAACATTAGTTAGCAACAGATGCCATAAATCTCTTAGCTCATTTAATCTTCAGAATTACCCATGGAGTTTATCTTCACCCTGCAAAATAAAAAATCAGGGAAGAGGTAGGGTGTCAGAGTTAAACTCCCTGACTAGGCACAGTCAGCTTCAAACCCAGGTGTAACCCCTGGGACCATATTCTTAATATCACACCACACTTTCTCCTAGAAAGTAGGAACTGGAAGGGCATAATGGTGATCACTAAACAGCCTATTCTGTCATGCTAATCAGGGAAACAGAGATTAAACAGATGAGAGCTCTATCAGCCGCATAATTTAGCATTAATTATTTGGTGAGCGCACTGCATTCATTTTGAGTTTTAGGTTCAGAAGACAGTTAACCTCATCCATTCTTTTTTTCTAGCTAGAATGTTGAAGTTCATTGCCTGATAAAATTTTGTGAAACTAAAAAATAGTTTTGTGGTATTACCACATAATTGTGGAATATAATTGGTTGGCAAAAACAATGAATCGCATTAACTTAGTCTTAAACCTGGACTATATAAACTGAATAACGCCTGAAAGGTACCATAGTGAACATTTTTAGTGTTCCTCTCTCTTTTTGACAATCCATTTTGATTTTTTAAGTTTTTTCCCAAGAAAATTAACCTAGAATTACCATTTAAAATGTAGTCTTTGACCTTTTTATATTTGTATTAAAATTTTTTGACGTTGGATGAGTAAGATTCTACTGAAGGAAAGACAGTTTGTACTCATTTTAATACTAAAATGTATCATGATAATTTTCACTTATTACTCATAATTTTCTGATTCTGTCATCCTCAATTGTAGTTTGATGTTAAAGAAATTTAAAGTTAAATCCTGACTTCTAATTGCTCTCTGTTGAAAATTTCCTCATTGGATTTTAGAAGGATAGGATTCTAAAACACAGTAGTGAAATGTTATAGAATCCCAAAACAATAAAAATTAAGTAGACTAAATTCTTTCTATATTAAATTAAGAGTTTCTAGCTACTTAAATAATGAAAATCAGATCTCTGTTATAATATTTATGGTGAGAATGTTAAAGAAATTGATGTACGACTCACTTTAGTATTTTAGTTTAAGTAAATTTAAGGAGATCTAGAAGACTGTGTGTTTCCTTTTAGAAGTGCAGTTTGTCTTAGGTTTCAGCTGAGCTATGTCTCAATATGAGTCAGACACCTCCATCTGGTGGCCCAGCCGTAAAATTCCCATGCCATACTTTTTCAAGCTGCTCTCTACATTTGTGTTGTTTCAAATTTCTGAGTTTTTAAATTAATAACTTAATCCTATTTTAAATGTTTTTCTCAAAATGTATTTCTCATGCAAAAGTGAATGATAGTCAAAATAATTAGTGACCTTTAGGAACCTAAGCATTGTCTCATCTGTTTCTACAAGTCACTACTAATCATGAAAGACAGATGCATCCTTATGGCCAGTGAAAATAGCATTTTCTTCTATTTCTCTGAAGAGAAGAAAAGAGTTTCTTTTAAATTGTTTAATATTTAAATTATCATTTCACAGTGATGTAGGCACAGCTCTTTTCAATATTCTGTTTTATCAGCCTATGATTATTTATTAAGGAACAAGAGCAAAAGCCTCATTTTAAAACCAAGGTATATCATCCCTTTTGCTTTCTCACAATTTACCAAATTAATTCTTTTATTATAGAGATATTTTTATTTTATATTATTTTGCCCAATATTCTTCCTGAAGAATCAGTGCTGATGTTTATTCAACATACATAAAATTGGGATTATGTAGGGTTTTTTTCTAATATCTTTAGAATACTTGAGAATCTGCAAATATATAACTTTAATGTCATTTATTATTTCACTCAACTCATAATGGGATTTTTTCAATCATTAAACAATCCATCTCTCTATTCTACAATCCCAAATCACTGCCCTGTGCTTACCCCACCTCTGCTCTCAAACCATTCTGATGCCTTCAAAATATGAGCTGGGACTCACATTTAATTTTTTAAATGAGTTAATAAATGCTGTGTTTCAACAGAATCCTTTATTTATTTATTCCGTTAAATCCAGCCATCTATTTAAACAGGAATCTCCTCTTACTGTATATATGATTGATATTATATATATATATATATGATTGGAGAGTTCAGTGACTAATGAGGCTTCTGATTACCTGGTACATAACATAACTAACTTCTTAATCTTGCCATGTTAATATTTATGAAAACTTTTAAATTTTTATTTGATATGTCCTATCTCTTTCTCTTAGCATCATTCCGTCAATGTTGAGTGCATATTAACTGTAATTAACTAATTTTCCTTCATCCTGTGTCCTGTATGAGAACAACAGTTCTGTCATTGTTAACTTATTCTGTGTTTCAAATGTCATATAGATTATACACTCTTGTTCACTCATTCTTTTGATTCATGTGCAGCACTCTTTAGCCATTGTCCATTGACTAGTAAAACTCCCACTTTGAAGAAATAAGAATAAAAACATTATCGATTAAAAAAATAAATTATTTTTTAGAATAGTAATATAACAGTATAACCAGAAAGGAATGTCCTTTTCCTTTTCAGAGGCGAGCTGCTGATAACTTGAGAAGACATCACCAATACCAAGTAAGTTGTCCTTGTACTATGTCTTGAAATTTTCACTAAAATAAAATGCAGTCCCCCCTTCAGAACTGACTCAGGAGGAAATTTATTTACTCATTGAGTATCAATACTCTTGTTCTAAAATGCCTCAGGAAGTTATGAGGAACCTGGTGAAGCGATACGTTGCTGCAATGATTAGAGATGCTAAAACTGAAGAAGGCCTGACCGAAGAGAACTTTAAGGTAACCATTTTCATCTTCATCACAAGAGGCAGATTGTGCAGAATATGGATCCAGATAGAGCACATTTAAAATCAGAGCTGGAAATGCAGCTGTGTGTTCCAGCAAGCCTGTGTGGCTTCTGATTTTTCAGCTGAAACCCTACAGAACTGTAAAAAGAAAAGAAAAGCAAGTGGTGAAATTTCTTCTCAAAATAAATTGTTTTCAAACATACAGAGAAAAGCCTAGTGCTTAATGGCATTCTGACTTACCTGATCCCAGAGTGAGCTTCTGTTTCTGAAATTTCAGCCTGATTTTTAAATCCGAAACATTTACTAACTAACACACTGACAACAAAAACTTTGTGTGTTCTGAAAAACTTTGATAGCAGTGAATTTAAGGTTTGCATTTAATTGTAACTAATACACTTATAAACTTTCTCCTTGATAGTTTTTAAATTGTGTAAGAGGAAATAAGTAAAATGTGTGAAATATTATATGCTTGAATCACATGTTTAAAATAATTTAGTTTAAAATTATTGAGTGATTGTTTAGAGATTTTGGAAGAATGATTAAGGTCAATAAGATCTTACAGGCCAAAACAAACAAACAAATTTAAAAAAATCTATAGGAGATATTTAACATAGAAAATAGCAGGTTTGAACATGAGAATGAAGTAGTGAATTAGGTAAGAAGATAGAGAAATTACAAAACTTAAAGTGCAGGTGGAAAACTAGCTAGAAGCCCAGATTTTCTTCACAGCCATAAAGTTCAAATTGTAATATTAAATGATTCATGTTGCTTTAGGAGATAGGTTGGGGCAGGAAGCCACCAAGAAGGTTGCCATCAGGGTAAGAGTGAGAATTCAGTTGTCCCAAAAGACAAGGGAAAAGGATGAGTCTAAGAAATGCTGTTAGATCCGAAGAAATTCCCAGGATGTAGAGGCTGACCCAGATGTAGGGGGAAGGTCCTCTTTAAGACAGTAAACAACTGCAAGTAACTACCAACTCTTAAATTAGTCTCCACTTAATTTTCAGACATCCCTTTGGACAGAAAAATGGGCCAATATTAAAAATCTTATAAAATACACCCCAGAGACAGTGAGGTAACTTGGCAGCAGATGAATAATTTGGAGAGAAACTGTAGTCCCAGGGAAACCCAATATACTCAGCTGCACGTTGGTGGCAAAGATAACTCACGTTTCTTTTTGCATCAGCCTTAGGAAGTGTCCTTCCCAATTCCAATAAGGAAATTAGTCGACATCAAAATGACATCAAGTATCCGTGAGAGAACTGGGAATTCTAAATAGAACCACAGTAGAGTAGAATCCTTGTTTTTAAAAAGGAGTGAAAACATTTCTGACCCATATATGAGACGAGAAAATGATGTTTCCAAATGTTTAAGTCATAACCGAATTTTTCATTTTAAATTCTACGTAGGAACTAAAGCAAGACATTTCTAGTTTCCGCTTTGAAGTCCTGGGATTACTAAGAGGAAGCAAACTTTCCACAATACAATCTGCGAATGCCTCGAAGGAGTCTTCAAATTCGGCAGACTCAGATGAAAAGAGTGATAGCGAAGGTAATAGCAAGGACAAGAAAAAGAATTTCAGCCTTTTTGATTTAACCACCCTGATTCATCCGAGATCAGCAGCAATTGCCTCTGAAAGACATAACATAAGCAATGGCTCTGCCCTGGTGGTTCAGGAGCCGCCCAGGGAGAAGCAGAGAAAAGTGAATTTTGTGACCGATATCAAAAACTTTGGGTTATTTCATAGACGATCAAAACAAAATGCTGCTGAGCAAAATGCAAACCAAATCTTCTCTGTTTCAGAAGAAGTTGCTCGTCAACAGGCTGCAGGACCACTTGAGAGAAATATTCAACTGGAATCTCGAGGATTAGCTTCACGGGGTGACCTGAGCATTCCCGGTCTCAGTGAACAATGTGTGTTAGTAGACCATAGAGAAAGGAATACGGACACACTGGGGTTACAGGTAGGAAAGAGAGTGTGTCCATTCAAGTCAGAGAAGGTGGTGGTGGAGGACACGGTTCCTATAATACCAAAGGAGAAACATGCAAAAGAAGAGGACTCTAGTATAGACTATGATCTAAACCTCCCAGACACAGTCACCCACGAAGATTACGTGACCACAAGATTGTGATACTTGAAGGAGGAAGCGTTTACCATACACATACGTATTTTCCGTAGTGCTCTGGGTGGGGGAAAATGTTTAAATTGTATTAGCAAATGCTAACTTACACTTTATAGCGTTTATCAGCTGTGGCATATTACCTGTAACATGTTTAAATAAGGCAAAGGCAATCAAAAACCTTTTTGTTTTGTAGCCTGCTTTTGCTTTCACAATTTGTCTTACAATTGTTTTTGTTAATAAATAAATGCACCTTGTATTCTTGTACTGTTGCAATAACCCACAGAAACATTTTAGCTATCTTTTTCAATTAAAACAAATGCAATTTATTTCATGTGGTAGTTGACTCCTAAAATAGATATTTTTATATTCAAAAACCAATGTGGCTGAAATATTATAGCTTTTCATAATTTTTTAGGGTCTTTAGAGAGGGTTACTCACCAAGGACTTTTCACCTAGTCCTACAGTTTGGCTTTAAAACACAAATATTACCAAATTATTTCTTAACGACATGTAAATAATTATTGTACACAAAGCAAACAAGTCTTCTTCTCATGGAGTCATATCTAAACTCCCTCAAATTCAGAAAAACTTTGTAGTGTTTTAGGTTGTTCCAGGGTTTCCTTTCAGTAAGTAAAAGAAGTGTTTGTCTTAATACATTTTGATGACTGATGATTTTTAACGACATTTTGTCAGGAAAAAAACTCGCCCCTCCAGTTTTTTTAATTACCTATTTCAGATTCAACTGCTTATCAGTATAAATATGAGTCTTTATGAATAACTGAATTTCAAAAATATGGCAAGATTTCTGTTATAAAAAAATAATAAACCATAATATTGTAAGTATCTTAAACAAGCAAGATGATTACATACTAATAATATCCAAATGAAAATGAATTTATTCTAACAATCTAAATCTAAGTAAAGTTGAATTCCAGTATTTTCAATCAACGCAATATTGTAATCAATTCAAAAGAAGTACAAAAAAACTAGCAGTCTCCTCTTTTCACCAGTAATCTTTATATATTTCTTTAAAATTAAATCACTCAAAAATCATTATTAATTTTATCAGCAGATATAGATATATAGTTTTGCCTATAGGAAAAACATTCTTATTTCTTGTTTTTCTTTCTATTGTTTGCAAGGTAATTTAGCTTATAACAATTCACTGAACTATTACAAGGAAAGTGTTCGCAACTTACATAAAATTGATACTAGAAACTTAAAGCTTAAATTTTACATTGCTTGTGTCTATTTAAGCCACTACGGGAAGTTTCTTCACCACATAAAATTAGCATTTATTTCAAATCAATAGAAAAATGCTAAGTTCATTTTATTTCAAAAATTACTCTGCGAACCTCAGAAATTGCATGTGATTTATCATTGGCCCCAAACTGAATAATGTTATGGCACTCAGTTTCTCATTACCAAACATCAAAAATAAGGAATAACAGCAATAACAATGCCAGCCTCTGTTCTATTCCTATACACCTGTTAACATTTATGTACTGCTCTTTACAGCCCTCTGAAGTAGCTCCTGTTTTTATCCCCATTTCACATATGATGAAACTGAGACCAGCACTAACTGGCTAAGGTAATACAGCTCATGATGGAGCTGTGATGTGTCCATCAGAGCCATTCCCTTCACCACTGCATTGTAACTGCCTTTCAGAACATAAAAAGAGCAAGTTATAAAACATGCATATACAGGGGTTACAATTGCCACTTCTGAAGTCCTATACCTTGAGAGAGAATGAGTTTGGTATGCTTCATAAGAGTCCCTTCTTCTAAAGCAAGAGAAGTGTGCAAAATATAAAATGTGCTGTATTTGATTCTTTAGACTAAATTACATTAAAGTTAGTAGATTTTAAAAACATATTTATTATGTGATCTCAGAACTCAATTTGAAATACTAGATTTTAATTTTCAGAAAAGCCAGGAGCACTAAGCCCCTGTTCACTCCTAAACCTGGTTTTTGGGAATTTAGGAATGGGCCAGATAGATTTGGAGAAACACAAGCCTAAATGAATGCATTTACTGTTTCAAGAACACCTTTATCTCAAGTATATTAGGACTCAGAGCAAATCCTGGGGCTACTGAAATACTCATTTTTTTCTAAATCATACCTACAGTAGTAGAGAAATTGTAGGCCTATTGTTAATATTTGGGATATTTTCTATTAATTTCTTTTTGCCTCTCTTGTGCGTTGTTGTTTTATTTTGTTTTTTCCCAAAGTAAGGACACTATACATAACCATTTTACATACTTTACCAGAATTTAATTTCAAATTCTCTCTGTTCCGTCAAGCAACACCAATAACAGTACAAGCAACAAAACCTTTTTTCCCCCAGTAGCTTATTTATATCAGGGGTTAAGGTGCTGACATTTTATAGGGGGACATGATGGTAATAGAGGAATGTATTTGGAGCAAGTAAGACCCTCCTTTTCAGTGCCCTAGAAAGGATGATTCTAACAACCCCCAGATGTTGCTGACAGATGTGTTTATGAGTATGAACAAAGTGCTGGATATTATTAGTACCCGATGTTACTAATATCACTAGAATTGAATGCTATTCTAAATACGTAGTGACATTATGTAGCATTAATGAAGATGAGGAGTAGGGATAAAATAAGAAAAGTCAAACAACAGCAGGATAGCAAGCAAAGAAATACTGTTTCTTTGAGGTTTGTAAGTGCGTACTTCAGGGTGTTCGTTTCTATTCATATTTCTATCCACAGAAATTTCTAAATGCTACAGAGAACTTTGAAATTACCTTCATTTACATAAATAATGTTTCTCATTTTTCGTACTCTCTTAATCTTAAAAAATCTGTTTTTCTTAAATTTTGTGTCTGAGTTAGGTGAAGGAGTGTGTTGAAAATTCAGTTTAATAGACTAGCAGGTAAGTTTAAAACACTTTGTTTATCACAATTGTATTTTGGAAGTCCCATTTATAAGAAAGTATGCTATAAAGATGTACCTCATTATTCGTAATAAAGGTTTTCCTTAAAATTTCTGTGCAAATAAATCTATATTAACTTCAGTAAGGAAATTGGCTATATTTTTTAAAATGGGGTGAATTATTTTATAAAATCATGAGTAATTTTTCAAAGTGCTAAACATCCTCAAAATGTATCTGTTTCATGAATTGAATATTTGTATATCAAATTTTCTTAAATTAGTTACTCTATTTACTGGATGGCAATTAAACTAATGCAAAAACATACTCACTTTCTTGCCTTGACGTAGACAGCAACTTGAAATACTTTAGTGATGAAACAAATTGATGAAAAGTCAAGGATAGTAGACTCACCATGCTGTTCTCAAAGAAGCAAAGTCAATTTTCTAGCAAAGGTGGAGGAAACATAAGTAACAATAGCATAAGAATATATTCTTCTAACATTCAATAATCCTTAATAACTCTGGGATTTAGCTGAGTAAATGACTATCCAGTCTCACAGCTCTTTATTGAAGAGAGGCCACCAAGTTTTGAAATCTGTCCATTCTTAGTCCTCATGCATTGTATTTTTAGCTGTCTTCTATGGTGTATACAGCTGCCTTCCATGCTCAGTGTCCTTAAAACTCAACCTAGTAAGAACCATCCATTGTGGCCCTGTAAATATGCTTACAATATATTTTTCTTTCTCTGTATTATCTGAAATTCTGACTTAAAACTAACCATAGAATTTAGAAATTTAATATTACTGGCATTCCTCTTAACTTCAAAACCATTATTCTGATTTTACAATGTCTGAAAAGACATTTTATTTATACAGTGTTATCACATGCCTTTTTTAATTTGAATTTTAGAATCATGTTAAATAAGTTCACTGTAGATAACTGGGGAAAGTAAAGCCCAGGGAATTTATGGAAATTATCTAAATTTACCCATGTGTTTGGTGGTCAAGTTGGGGCTTAAACAAAAACCTCCTCATCTAGATATTTGGATGAGGCATCACATTATAAATGCCTTGACCACTGACTTTTTATTTGGGGAACATTTTGTCTTCTTTGCCCTTGTAGAAAATATAGTTGTCCAAACATTCAAGTTAAAATTCAGAATTAATACCATATTATCTTTTGTTTTTCTACAAAGTTGTGTTAAGAGAATTTTTAAAAAGCTGGTTTCTTACTGTTTTCAGAAAATACACTGTTCATTTTCACTGGAAGTGTAGATTTTATGATAACCTGTATGCATACTGGTAATAATAAAATGTATTAAATTATATCAAAGCTTCTCAACTGAAAAACATTAGAGATGGACAATGTACAGTTGAACTAAGATTGGGACAATGGGACCAAGCCTGGATACAGTCACACCGTTACTAGGCTGACAGTGAAGACGTCTCTGCAAGTCAAATTCACCAGTAGCAAAACCGTTAATTTCCTCTAGAGCTGCACTGTTCAGTAACGTAGCTCCTATACTCATACGGCTATTAATCACTTGTAAGTGTGACAAGTCTGAATTAAGATGTGCTGTAAGTGTGAAACACACACCAGATTTCTAGGACAGTATGAAAATAATGTAAACTAGCTCATAAATATTTTATGTTGGCTACATATTGAACTGATAGTATTTATGAAGTATTGATTTAAAATATACTAAGTAAATGAGTTTGATGTTTCTTTTTCCTTTTACAATGTGGCTACTAGAAAACTGAAAAATACGTATGTGGCTTGCATTTGTGCCTTGCAATACATTTCTATTGGACAGTGCTGCTCAGGAACATTTGTATTTGTTTCAGTCAGCTCATGTATCTCCATCATCTGAATTGCAAAGGTAGAAAATTCTATCTTTAATTACTCAAAAAAGTTTTGTGTAGCTCTATTAAAGTTTGCAGTCTCTCCTTGATTCCTAATCTCCTAATGGACTCACTGGTAATAATTTGCTGTTTTTCCCTGTTTTTCCTTTGCCTTTGCAAATGTATTAATATATAAATATACATGCAGCTATATAGGTTATGGTTTTGTTATCATTTTTATCAAGAATTTCATCACACTATACCTATAACTTAGCAAATGTTTTTATCTAACAGTGTATCACGGAAACCTTTTCTAAAATAATTAAATATAGTGGAGCCATTTGAATCTATTTAAATAAATTCCTTGACTAGTTATTTTACCTAGTGAAATATTATCGCATGCTATTTTTAAAACCATGATAGAAGAGCTACTTATTGGAGAAAACACAAGGTTTTGTTTGTTTCTTTGTTTGTCTTTTGAGACAGAGTCTCTCTCTGTTGCCCAGGCTGGAGTCTAGTGGCACAATCTCAGCTCACTGCAACCTCTGTCTCCTGGGTTCAAGCAATTCTCCTGCCTTAGCCTCCTGAGTAGCTGGGATTACAGGAGCTTGCCACACATCTGGCTAATTTTTGTATTTTTAGTAGAGAGGGGATTTCACCATGTTAGCCAGGCTGGTCTTGAACTCCTGACCTCGTGATCTGCCCGCCTCAGCCTCCCAAAGTGCTGGGATTACAGGTCTGAGCCACCGCACCCAGCCCACAAGGTTTTTAAGTGATGAGAAATGCCTGATAGACAACAAGGTGTGTCTGAAAGGCAAATAAGCTCATTTGTCTCTTTCGTTTACAATCTTGCAGGGCTGGGTTTCTGGTACCAGCATCGCTTCTCAGCTTCATTCTCTCACACACTATACTTCAGCCATTCTAAACTTCTTTCAGCTCCTTGCGAGTTAGTATTGTTCTTTTCTCTAACATTTGCAAACATTGTTTTTCCATGCTTGAGTAAGAATTGTACCAAAATTTTATTACTTTAAATAATTTTAATAAAGGATTTTAATTAATTCTAATCGACTTATTTTATGATTTCCTTTAGATCTAATCAAATTTTTTTACCAAATTTCTTTTTTTTTTTTTTTTTTTTTTTTTTTTAAGAAAACCTTTTCCTGAGGCTGCACATAAAGAGCCACGTTACCTCTCTGGAAACGAAGTGTGATCCACATTGACATGCTTTCAGGGCACCAATGTACTTTGAGAGGTTTAATCACACCCAGCAGACAACTCACTGTGCTGTCTTGGCATTCAGAATGCAAAATGCCCTGTACTTTGGGGGAAGGCAGGAAACTGATATTTTTTTTCATAGCTGCTGTGGAGTGACTGCAAGTCAGGCCCTTCATCTCTTTAGACCTCAGTTGCTGATATTTGAAATTTCTGGATGAAAATGTCTTATGTATCTCAAAAACATGAAACTATACTAAGTCATCTTTCTAAAGTTAGAAGTACCAAATATGAAATTAGAAAAAAAGGTTTTTTAGATTATCATAGATTCATATTCAATTGTAAGAAATAACGCAAGCATATCTCATGTACCATCTACCCATTTTCCCCCAATGGAAACATCTTTCAAACTGTAATGCAAATATTGCAGGATTTTGACATGTGTTTCATTATCCACTGATCTTATGCTGATTTCCAAAGATTTACATGTACTTACTTGTGTGTGTGTGTGTGCGTGTGTGTATTTGTGTTTAGTTCTATACAGTTTTACCACACATACAGGTCTGTGTATCCACAACCATAGACAAAATACAGAAAATTTCCGTCACCACAAGAATCCTGGAATTGTTCTTTTACAGGAATACCTCAGAAATATTGTAGGTTCAGTTCCAGACCACTGCAATAAAGCAAATATCACAATAAAGCAAGTTTCACAAACTTTTTCATTTCCCAGTGCATATAAAAGTTACATTTATACTATACTGTAGTCCATTAAGTATGTGATAGCACTGTTTCTAAAAAGCAATGTACATATCAAAAGCAATGTACATATCTTAACTAAAAAGGATTTGTTGCTAAAAATTTCAAACAATAACCTGAACCTTCAGTGAGCTGTGATCGTTTTGCTGGTGAAGGGCCTTGTCTCTATGTTGATGGCTGCTGATTTATCAGAGTGGTTGTGGCTGACTTTTGGGGTTGCTGTGGCAATTTTTTCACATAATACAACATTGAAGTTCGGTGCATTCATTGACTCTTCCTTTCACAAAAAAGTTTTCTTTGTAGCATCTGATGCTGTTTGATAGCATTTTACTCATAGAACTTCTTTCACAATTGGAGTCAGTCATTTCAAAAACCTACGCAGCTTCAGCAACTAAGTTTAAATAATCATCTAAATCCTTTGTAGTTATTTTAACAATCCTCACAGCATCTTCACCAGGAGTAGATTCTGTCTAAAAAAAAAAAAAAGTCACATCTTTCCTCATCCGTCAGAAGTAATTCCTCATCTGTATTAGTTTTATCATGAGATTACAGCAATTCAATTATATCTTCAGGCTCCACTTCCAATTCTAATTCTTTTGCTATTTCTACCCCATCTTCAGTGACTTCCTCCACTAAAATATTAAAACTTTCAAAGTCATCCATGAAAGCTGGAATCAGCTGTGTCCAAAAACTGGTTCATGTTGATACTTTGACCTCTCCTCATGAATCACAAGTGTTATTAATGATATCTACAATGGTAAATTCTTTCCAGAAATATTTCAACATACTTCACCCAGATCCATCAGAGGAATCACTATCTATGGCAGCTACAGCCTAACAAAATGTATTTTTTAAATAGTATGACTAGAAAGTCAAAAATTGTCCTTGATCCATGGGCTGTAGAATGGATGTAGTGTTAGCCCACATAGAAACATCTCTTCGTATCTCTCCATCAGAGTTCTTAGGTGACCAGGCCCACTGTAAATGAACAGTAGTATTTTAAAAAATGAAAGAAAACTCTTGTTCTGAGCAGCAGTTCTCAACAGTGGGCTTAAAATATTCAGTAAACCGTGCAGTAAACAGATGTGCTGTCATCTTAGCTTTGTTGTACCATCAATTGAGCATAGGCAGAGTAGATTTAGCATAGCTCTTAAGGGCCCTAGGATTTTCGGAATGGTAAATGAGCACTGGCTTCAGTCAATAGCTGCATTATACCCTAACAAGAGAATCAGCCTATTCTTTGAAGCTTTGAAGCCAACCATTGACTTCTCCGCTCTAGCTAGAAAGTCCTAGACAGTATCTTCTTCCAGTAGACGAGTAGAAGGCTGTTTTGTCTTCTGGACACTTCACTGCATCTTCTACATTAGCACTTGCTGCTTTACTGTCCACTTTTATGTTATGAAGATTGCTTATTTTCTAAACCTTGTGAAACAATCTCTGCCAGCTCCAAACTTTTATTTTCCAGCTTCCTCACCTATCTCAGTCATCATAGAATTGAAGAGAGTTAGGGTTTTCCTCTGGATTAGACTTTGGCTTAAGGGTACATTGTGGCTGGTTTGATCTTCTATCCAGACCACTCAAACTTTCTTCATATTAGCAATAAGGCTGTTCTGCTTTAACATTTGTGTGTTCACTGGAGTCAAACTTTTAATTTCCTTCAAGAACTTTGTCTTTACATTCACAATTTGGCTGTTTGGCGTGAGAGGCCTAGCTTTCACCCTATCTTGATTTTAACAAGTTTTCCTCACTAAACTTCATTATATCTATAGCTTTTCATTTCAAGTGAGAGATATGCAGCTCTTTCTTTCACTTGCACACTTAGAAGACCTTGCAAGTTTATTAATTGGCCTATTTTCAATATAGTTGTGTCCAGGGCATAGGGAGGCCAAAGGAAAGGAAGAGAGATGGGTAATATTCAGTCGGTGGAACTGTCAGAACAGAAAACATTTATGAATTCAGTTGACCATCTTAAATGGGCACAGTTTGTGTTGCCCCCAAACAATGACAATAGTAATGTCAAGGATCACAGGTCACTGTAACAGATATAATAATAATGAAAAAGTTTACAATATTGTGGAATTACCAAAATGTGACACAAAGGCACAAAGTGAACACATACTGTTAAAAAGATGGCATCCATAGACTCGCAGGTTCCATTTGTAAAACAATGCAATATCTGTGAAGCACAATGGAGAAAAGTGCAGTAAAACAAGGTATACCTGTATAATACTTCCATTTCCTCTCCTCCACCCCCACACCCATCCCTAACCCCTGACAACCACTAATTTGTTATCCATTTTTTATCATTTTGTCATTTCAAGTCAAAACATTATCAGTGTTATATAAATGGAATTATGTAGCATATAACCTTTGAAGGTTAGGGCTTTTCACTCAGCATAATTCTCTGAAAATTTATTCAAGTTGTTTGTTTATGTCTATCAAATTTTGATTCTTTTTTATTGCTCAGTTAAATTCCCTGGTGTGGATATAACAACATTTGTTTAGCACTTCACCCATGGAAGGATAGCTAGGCTGTTCCCAGTGTTTGGCTAATACAAATAAAAATGCTATGAACATTTATGTACAGGTTCTGGTGTGAACATAATTTTTATTTGTCTGGGATAGACGCCCGGAACTACAATTGCTAGGTAGTATGGCAGTTGCATACTTAGTTTTATAAACGACATGTCAGTGTACTGTACCTTTTACACACTCGCCAACAATATATGAGTGATTCTGTTTCTCTTTTTTTGCTAGCATTTTATGTGGGTAACAATTTGTATTTTACTTGTTCTGATTTCTATGTAACAATATCTCATTGTGATATTAATTTGGATTTTCCTAATGGATAATGATTTTAAACACCATTTATTGTGTTTACTCCCCATCTGTATGCCATCATGGTGACATGTCTGCTCATGTCATTTGTACATTTTCTAATTAGACTGTTTGTATGTTTGTTTTTATTGTTGACTTTTTGAGTGTCCTTTTTATATTCGAGATACCAGTCATCTGTCGGATGTGTTTTGCAAATATTTTCTCCCAGTCTGTAACTTGTCTTTTCATCTTCTTGACAGAGTTTTCAACAAAGCATGATTTTAAGATTTTAAGTCCAATTTTTCCATCTTACTTTGTATGAAAATTTGAAGAGCACTTTGCCTAGATCATGAGGATTTCATTCTATGTGTTTTTTTCTAAAGGTTGTATTCTTTTGTGTTTTATATATAATCATACTGTCTTTCCCATTTTTTCAAGTACATTAAGTAGCATACCATATTAGTTCATTTTGCATTGCTATAAAGGAATACCTTAGGCTGGGTAATTTATAAAGAAAAGAGGTTTGGCTCAGGGTTCTGCAGGCTGCGCAAGCATGGTGCTGGCATCTGACCAGCTTCTGTTGAACAAGAAGCTTTTATTCTTGGCAGAAGGCAAAGAGGTATCAGGTGTGTCCCATAGTGAGAGAGAGCACAAGAGAGAATTGCTATACTCTTTTAAACAACCAACTGTCACGTGAACTCATTACAATGGGGAGGGCACCAAGCCACTCATGAGGGAACTGTCCCAATGACCCAAACACCTCTCACTAAGCCCCAGCTCCATCATTGGGATCACAATTAAACATAAGATTTGGAGGAGACAAATAAGTAAACCATATCACATACATACAGATTTACAGAAGAAAAGTAAACTTCAGGAATAGAATCACACATGTAACGTAGAGGAAATGATGAGGGGAATGCTGACTGGCAAACATGCAGTTATTAATAGCAGTGAAATGGGGAGACAACACGAAAGAAAAATTATTTTTATGAGATAAAAACTAACCCAGTTACCCTGAAGTTGTAGCCAGACTTTTCTGAAGTTTGAAAAAAAATAAAACTCAAGTAATTTTTCAATTCTATTACATTTCTCACAACTTCTTGAACCAGATGGAGAAGCAATAAAGATGAGAAAAATTGCTCTGATGAGACTGGAAACCAGAAATAAACAAATAAATTAAAAAAGTTCAAATGCAAGCCACTTCATGAAATTCAATGGCTGTTTGAAAAAGCATGAGATTGCAGAAATATGGCATGACACCCTGTGTTTTAAAGAATATTCACTAAATTTGAAGCTTGTTAGTAGCTACCATTGAAACCACCAATCATGTATTCCGCTTTAGCTTTGACAGTGAATAATGACAACAAAAGAAAATAACCTGGGTAAAAAAAATTAATGTAATTCATTAGTATAAACTAAATCATATTAGAATAATGAAATTATAATTTTATGAGACTGTGTATAAACCATTAAACA
Source organism: Homo sapiens (assembly GCF_000001405.40). Taxonomy (NCBI): domain Eukaryota; kingdom Metazoa; phylum Chordata; class Mammalia; order Primates; family Hominidae; genus Homo; species Homo sapiens. Next base: position 37,625,905 of record NC_000013.11, on the reverse strand, counting down.
TTACAATTTAGTGTCCAGCAAAAATATAGCCATTTAATGATAAAGAGTGTGGCATGAAATTCCCATGTTAATTAAAATCATTTGTGAGGCTTGCATTAGAAGGATAATTATTTTTAATAAATAACCATAAAAATATAGACTAGAGTTTTGGCTAAGTCATTATGATATATAATACCATAATATTTTTATTCTCTGATGAAAATACAGCAAGCAATTAAATTGCTTAATCAATGGAAACAATTGGAATTCTTCTCTTATAAAATTTGAAGTTGCCACTTTTTACAAAACTCAAAGTTGGAAATTGTAATTTAATGTATGAGATAATCTGGATCTCTAATTTGGCTTTCACTTTCTATTATTTTCCATTTTTCCCCCAAATCAGAGTTTTGACTCTGTGTCAAAAAATGGAAGTAAAAAGATGAAGAATGCTTTCTATAGGAACTCACAATGTCAAGTCAGGAAAAATCTCACTTATGTTTTACATTGTAAGATCAGAAACATAGTGTTAGTCTCTGTATAGATGGTGCTTAACAGTCAGGGTTTGCAGACCACTTTTTTTTTTCTCCATCATTCATTAATGTGAAAAGAGATTACTTTTTTAAATTAGGTATGTATTTTCATTTTCTTTCAGACAGAAATATAGTAAGAAATACAGAAAAGGCACCATTTTTCATCTGACACATAGAATAAATTTATTAAATTGATGATATATTGATTATTTAGCGCCTTCATATTTTTACTCACCCACATGGTAAATTGCTGTTTGAAATAATTATTACCTCCTTTATTAACATTGATTAAGCATACACTTTGTGACACACATTGTAATACTTGCTGAGGATAAAATAATAAAACAAAAAGTTATTGAACTAAAAGTTCAATCCTATGGAAATAACAATTAAGTGTGATAACTATGGTGTCCCCGGGGAGAATCTAGGAGGGGAATCTAACCCAGTATTAGGAACAGAGAATAAGGGATGTCTGTGTTATTTCCTAAAGATAAGTAATAGTCATTCGGTAGTTGATCTTTATCCTGGGAATAATTGGGTGTCATTAAATAATTTATTACAGGAGTTTGTCATGACAAAATTCTATTTAACTACAGACAGAATGAGATGAGGAAATAATCCTCACATTTGCATGTCAAAATGAAAGAGAAGTGAGTTCTTTTAATTCTGAAAAGGAGCTTTTTGGGGATTTCACTCAATGGTGTGGAATAACCTGATTTCCAGTCTGTAGATGATAAATGGGGAATAAATTTTTCTAAAGCAAAACAAGTGACTACAATTCTAACAAGTTTTATATGTTATGTTTAAAAACTAAGTATGTTTTATACTCAATTGTAGTGAATTTTCTGGCCATTCTTAAGCATCTAAAGATTAAACATCATTTTAAACAGCTTCATTGAGATATAATCCACATACTATACAATTTCCCTACTTAAAGTGTATAATTCAATGGTTTTAGTATATTCATAGATATATGTAATCATCACCACAGTCCATTTTACATTTTCATTGCCTCAAAAAGAAACCCTGTACTTTTCATCTATCACCACCCTGTGCTCCCACTCCCACCCACCTCCATCCCCAAGAAAACACTAACTTTTCTGTCTCTATAGATTTCCTGTTCTGAATTTTTATATGAATAGAATCATATATGTGGTATTTTGTGACTGGCTTCTTTCAGAACATAATGTTTTCAAGTTTCATTCATGTCGTAACCTGTATTAGTATTTCCTTTCTCTTTATGTCCAAGTAATATTCCATTTATGGATTTATTACCCATTTCAGCACAGCATAATGTATACACAAACTTCCCAGGGGTTCTTTTTTTTCTTTTTTTTTTTTGGGTGAGACAGACTCTCGCTGTTTCGTCCAGGCGGGAGTGAAGTGGTGCGATCTCAACTCACTGTAAACTCTGCCCCTGGGTTCAAGCGATTCTCCTGCCTCAGCCTCCTGAGTAGCTGGGATTACAGGCACCCACCACCATGCCTGGATAATTTTTGTATTTTTAGTAGAGATGTGGTTTCGCCATGTTGGCCAGGCTGGTCTCGAACTCCTGACCTCAGATGAGAAGAAACTTTTAAACTGTTTTGGATTTTCTGTATATATATGCTCTAGGTTGTTATACATTAAGTAACCAATATAAGATACCTCACTTATAAATATCTACTGATAATTTCACTGATTAATGAGCAATGAGGCATAGGAAGTAGATTTAAATACGTGTTGCTATTTTTCTTATTCATAATTTTAATCTACTTAGTCATGGATTTTTTTTTACTGACATGGAACTATGCCCCCAAATTTCACCAGCTTTTAAAATCAATGCACTTCATCACTCTTATATGTGACAGTAGAAAGAACAAATGTAGCCACTTTGGAGGATTCGTGTTCAAATTACTTCCTTAAACTAGACCATAGCCAGACTAATTGGTTACATTAGTTGAAAGCGTGAGAGGAAAAGGCAAAGATGGGCTGGCCTGTGTGGAAAAACTAGGTTCATGATATTTGAAGATTAAGATTTCACTATGGATGAGAAAAAAAAAATTGAGTAGGAAGATGGTAATGAGCACAACTCTACATCCACAACCATTAGGGGAAAAAGGATAAGAATTGAGCTCCTGACAAGGCCTTACTCATTTTTTTTTTTCTTTTTTGAGATGGACTCTCCCTCTGTCACCAGGCTGAAGTACAGTGGTGTGATCTCAGCTCACTGTAACCTCCGCCTCCCGGGTTCAAGCAATTCTCCCGCCTCAGCCTCCTGAGTAGCTGGGACTACAGGCACGCACCACCATGCCCAGCTAATTTTTGTATTTTTAGTAGAGAGGGGATTTCACTATGTTGACCAGGATGGTCTCAATCTCCTGACCTTGTGATCCACCAGCCTTGGCCTCCCAAAGTGCTGGGGCCACAGGTGTGACCCACTGCACCCGGCCTCATTTGCTGTTTCTTGTCCCTATCAACAGCAATTTAAAGATAAATAAATGTTTTTGAAGAAGTCAGGCTAATCATGGATACAAATATTCCAAATACGTATAATCTCACTAAATTGGGAAGGAACTTGGCTGTAATCATGTTTAATGAGTGAAACTAGCCAAAGGCATCCCTAAGCCCAAATATTTTGGCCAGAATTTTTTGCTTTGACTATTGGACTTGGAAGCAAAAACTTCAATTTCTATCTTTATCCTAATGTCTCTACTGGCTCATTTATATAATGGGAAAATAGCTACTTACTATTCTGGACCAAGAAGCTCAGTTATCATTATGATTTAAAACATGAAGAAATAAAATTATTGTGTTAAGTATAAAGAATTATGTGTGCATGATTTTTTTTCATTATATTAGGATAACACTAAGGAATGCCAAAGATTTTAGGATTAAGTCATATATGAGTTTCTTCTCATACAACTGGGATCACATAAAATGGCAAGTCACCTTAAAGAAGCTGGAGGAGCCACAGGCTCAATCTGGCCTAATGTGTCAATGTAGCTAAACAATGAAAGTCTGTCAGGATGGAGGGATAACCACAATTGGTAAAAATGCCATTAGAAAAAGGGAAAGGAATGTTAGAGAAGCCGATGGCATTGTCCACTCAAATACTTCCTTGGAAGCATTCTTAGCCAATAGACTTAAATCATTCAGGTCCTATGGTTGTAGCTGACGCAGTTGTGGAAATAAATGAAGATATATTAGCTGGATGCCACTGATACCATGACTAAAAACTAATTTTCTGATTCTAAGTACCGATTATAGCCTTACTCATGGAACAAATGCACTGGTGATGTTGAACATGTAGTCTGGTTTGTGTGCTAGCAATAACTAGGGAAATAAGAAGTGGTCATCCTGACTGCAGAAAACAGCCTCCTGCATTTAACAAACTTGAGTCTGTAAGAGATGAGGCCATACTACAGATGCTGACAAAGTTAGATTTCAGAGCCTGCAGGCAAAGAGCCAGACCCTGAATTAAGGGTCATTCATCAAGGGAGGCCAGCTTGTGAGACCTCCTGGCATGCAACCAGCTGGTATTTCTCAACCAGTACACATGTGTGCATCCCTAGGCAAGTTTGCTAGTCTAAGAGCCACAGATATTAGTATTATTGCCAAATCTCATTGTACACATTATATTGCAGACCTACCAAAGTTTATTATCTCAGTCCATTTTATGCTACTTATAGTAGAATACCTGAAACTGTGTAATTTATAAGTAAAATGAATTTATTTCTTACAATTATGGAAGCTGAGAAGTCCAAGGTCAAGGGGTTGCATCTGGCGAGAGCCTTTTTGCTGGTGGGGATTCTGAGACAGCGCAAGGTATCACATGGTGAGAGGGCTGTGTGTGCTAGCTCAGGTTGCTCTCCCCCTTCTTATGTAGCCACCAGTTTCATTCCCATGATAACCCATTAACCTATTGATTCATAAATGGATTAACCCATTCATGAGGGCAAAGTCCTCATGATCCAATCACCTCTTAAGGGCCCCATCCCTAAATACTGCCACACGTGGGATTAAGTTTCAACATGAGTCTTTGGAGAGGACTGTCAGTTCAAGTAGTTACTAAACACACACAAAATTAAGAGGATCACAAATAATATCAAGTAAGCTTATATACAATTCTGAAGTTTACATGTGCCAATTAAACTTATGTATATCCTAGTGCTTGATTTGAAAGACCAACTCAAGCTGATGGTTAGCTAAGAAAAATGGAGAAGTCAAGTAGAATACTCAGGTCTGTAGCCTGGGTGGATGTGTAGTTCAAGGAATAAACAATGTGAAAGGAAATAACCAAACAATCTAGGTAACTGTAGCCAGTGAGATAGTAGAAAATATTGAAATGCAAGAAAGAAAACTCTCTCAAGAGAAAGTAGCTTACATTGACAGAGCTTCAAGAGGTCAAATAATATAAAGATAGAATTTCTTGGGGAACAGCAGAAATAAAGAAGAACAACATAGATTAGAGTAAGTTAACATTAGATTTACAGGGTAGAAGAGCAATACGGTGAAAGGCATATTGAAAATATAAAAAGATTCAGCTTCCATCTTCCTGCTCTCCAGATACGTGGAATCTGGACAATAAACCACAACCACAAGTCAGGGCTACATGGGGAGGTGGTTTTCTCAGGAGAGAACCAAGGTTTCAGGTATGGAAAACTGTTCAAAATTATTTTCAAAGTAGAAGGTGATTATTTAAAACTAATAGTTTTTACCATGAAATAAGCAAATAAATAGTTGTTCCAGAATTTAAAATGGAAAGATTTTGAAAAGAAATCATAGGAGAGGGCCGGCACGGTGCCTCATGCCTATAATCCCAGCACTTTGGGAGACTGAGGTGGGCAGATCATGAGGTCAAGAGTTCAGGACCAGCCTGGCCAACCATGGTAAAACCCTGTCTCTACTAAAAATATAAAAATTAGCCAGGCATGGTGGTGGGTGCCTGTAATCCCAGCTGTCTGGGAGGCTAAGACATGAGAATAGCTTGAACTCGGGAAGCAGAGGTTGAAGTGAGCCAAGATCACGCAATCGCACTCTAGCCTGGGACAGAGCGAGATTCCGTCTCAGAAAAAAAAAAAAAAAGAAAGAAAGAAATCACAGGAAAAATAGATGACTGGAAAAATAACATTAAGGGTAATTAACCATATAACAAAGATATAAAACAGAGTAGTCTGGTGTGTTTCAAGGTTTACCAAAATACTTGGTTTGTCACATTCTTGGTGCACTTGGGGAGAAAGTGGAAACATTATTTTTATTACTTTTCTGTCTGGGAAAAATCAATCTCAATTTTGATTGTGTTTCCGAGGGAATCTTAACCCAGGTGAGATGGCATGTGATGGGTTTTTAATTAGAGATTATGATTCTAACCAGGAGTCCTAAGTAGCGATAGATTTATTCATTTGTTGAATAAAAACAGTAAGTGAAATCAACAGTAGCTTGAGAATTATTGCTTAAAACTAAGAAAGAAAAAATCGAGATTTGCTAAAGTATGACAAAAGTTTATTCAGGAGAAGATAAGGAATCCACTGTAATTTTTATACAAGGTTGTTTTTTTTTTTTTTTTTTTTTTTTTTTTTTTTTTTTTGAGACGGAGTCTCGCTCTGTCACCCAGGCTGGAGTGCAGTGGCGGGATCTCGGCTCACTGCAAGCTCCGCCTCCCGGGTTCACGCCATTCTCCTGCCTCAGCCTCCCAAGTAGCTGGGACTACAGGCGCCCGCCACTAAGCCCGGCTAATTTTTTGTATTTTTAGTAGAGACGGGGTTTCACCATTTTAGCCGGGATGGTCTCGATCTCCTGACCTCGTGATCCGCCCGCCTCGGCCTCCCAAAGTGCTGGGATTACAGGCGTGAGCCACCGCGCCCGGCCTACAAGGTTGTTAAAGGTAATTTCCAGCTCTCAATTTTTATGACAGTATTTAAAAATCATCAGACTATCTAACATTTTTCTTAACCAGAAACTTATGTGTTGCTTCTCTGTGTATTTTCTGCCTCTCTCTCTGAAATATTCTCTAGAAGGGCAGGAGATTTACCCATCTTGTTTATGATTATATTTGCAGTGTCTATAAAAGTCCTGGGGTTTTAGTGTATACCTAACAAATATTTTTGAATAAAGTTTTTGAAATTTTTCTCATACTACCATTTCACCTGCCATTCTGATTTCCTCTATCAAGTCAAAGAAATAGGAATAATAAAATGTCTATAAACTCAGTGGTTACCTAAAATTATAAATTTCATAGAAAATTTAACAAAGAAGTACTTTTTTGAACATTCATTTGAGAGATTTTCAGACATATTTTATTTAATGTAACTCATAAAGTTTATTAATAGTTTACAGTTTCACAGTTTTCTCAGTGAAGAAAAAAGATTGAGAAAAGTTAGTATTATACCCAAAGTCAAATGACATGTTTGTGGAATGTGATAGATTTTAACATTAAGTATCTCACTTCAAAAGGAAGGAGGAAAAGAAGATAAAAGTCAAAAGGTAATGGGGGGTAGGAGGATGAAGACAGAAGAAAAATTAACTCCTCTTAGAATAAACACTTTACCTCAGCATAATTTTCATAAGAATTCAATCTGATAAACTTCATTCCCATTTCACTTAAAAGAGAGTTTACGTAATTTCTGCAAGTGACTCACAGCTAAAAGCTAGTGGAGCTGGCATTTGAACTTGGATATTTTAAATTCTGAAGCTCATGTTGTTTTGGTTATATCATAGTCTTTGACAGTAAGAGAGAAAAGAAAGGCAGAATACACTGAGCTTCATTTATAATGCAAGCTGACTTTCTGAACAATCTATTTGGGCTGGTTCTTTCAGTCATGGTAAATTGAGAGATACGGTGTTCTTTCTTTTTTACAGATCCTCATGTTTCAGCTAGCTGGAGTTACATTGTTTGCACTTACCTATTATATTATACTAAAAATAAAATTACGAGGAAATTAGAAATACTAAGCTATTGTCTCTTAAACATACAATTACTATCATAATTAATTGTTTCCTCTCACATTAGAGAACCTGTCAGAGAACCATTGTTTGTTTATAAAAACAAACAAAAAAGATTTTTCTTTTATTGCTTTCTGCCTTTACAGAGCATCTACGTGTACAGACACCATAAAAGTCTAAAGAAATCCATCCTGAAATTAGCTTAGGTAGTTATCTACGAAATAAAACTGGAATATGATGTGACAGTATGTGCATTTTTTATTAAAGATGTTTTTGAATCTTGTGTTTTCAGCTGATAAAGGCAGAACAGTCTTAACCAGCTGTGCCTACCCTAATTTTTCACATCTGTCTGTCTGTCTTTCTTATCTGTGCTGTATTCCATTGATTCATGTCCCCACCAACAATAATCATTGTAGACTCTGATAAAGGTTTCTATCATTTGATTATTGGGTCAGTGATGTATATAATTGCATCAAGTAAAAAGTCAAAAACTATGGAAGCCAAAATTAGCTTTGCGTGCAGGGAAAAAAGAAGCAATTACAGCAATATAGAGTCAAAGCAGATTCTATTGTCATAATGTGATGTTTTACAAAGGTTAGTTGCATACAGTTTAGCTGAGAGCAAACATAAATGTTGTTTTTCCAAGTACCACATTTTTAAGATTTGCTATGAAATTTTTGATACACAGTCCTTTGCCTGCCTCTAAAATAAGATGAATATTGTATCTTGCAACATCCTGGGATGGGTGATTTTAGCTGTTGAACAGAATTGGCTATTGGCTGGTAAAAAGAGAACAAATAGGGACACTACTCTCTGCTGTTATCCTCTCACCCACGTGGGTCACTAGTTCTCAGGAGCAATGCTGGCTTTTTCCTCGTATCAGAATGCTCTTTTGACTTGACTCAAGTAGAAAAATAATGGCAATTGACACAGTTTTAACTCTTCTAGCATAAGCTATTGCAACAGCAATCTATTTATTTCCAACCTCTCACCCTCTGTTAAGAAGCAGATGACATCTGTGAAGGAATTGCTCTACAGAAGAGACCAGGAGACTTGAAAAAATGTGAGGAATGCAAGTTCCAAGCCCTTTACTCATGAGTATAGGAGGAAGAATTATGAGTTTCAATCAGGAACAGAGTGGCAGAAGGATAACTTCAAACTGATTTTGACCTTTGAAAACATAGCTATGTGTGAGTTTGTGCACTGGTGCGTGTGAGACTATGTCATAGGCAGGAAGTAACCACAGTCTGGTTCCAAATCCAGAGGCAACTATCTAAGGTATTTTTTCCCAATGGGGGAAATTTCTACGTTGGCAACTATATTAGTCCATTTTCACACTACTGTAAAGAACTGCCTGAGACTAGGAAATTTATAAAGGGAAGAGGTTTAATTGACTGACAGTTCAGCATGGCTGGGAGACCTCAGGAAACTTACAATCATGGCAGAAGACAAAGCAGAACCAAGGCACCTTCTTTACAAGGTGGCAGGTAGGAGAAGTGCTGAGCAAAAGGGGAACAGCACTTTATAAAACCATCAGATCTCCTGAGAACTCAGTCACTATCAGGAGAACAGCATGGGGGAAAATGCCCCCAATGGTCCAATTACTTCCACCTGGTCTCTCCTTTGACACATGGGGATTATAAGGATTATGAGGATTATAATTTATGATGAGATTTGAGTGGGGATACAAAGCCTAACCACATCAACAACAAACTCAGCTGATAGTATAAACATACTCTAATGCACTTAAGAGTTTCTACTCTCCCTGTTTATTAATTCCCTATAGCAGACATTAACACTAAATATAAGAAAAGCTACAAAATATTATTCAGGTACTGTAGATTTTTTACAAATACTGACTCTAATACTTTCTAAATAATATGTTATTATTCCCATCATAAAGATGATGAAACTGATTTTCACAATGGTTAAAAAGTTGCCAACATCACAGAGCCAGTAGAACTATGCGGAGACACAAATTCTTTGTTTCAATAACAAATGCTTGAATGTTATAGAAGAAGATCACATACTGTATGCTATTAAAAACAAACTCTTTGCCATTTTTCTTCTACATATTTCATGCTTTGAGTTTTTCAGTTCTGCCCTCTTCTGTCCATGATTGTTCATGAGAACCCAGGGTTTACATTTGAGAATGCCCCTATTGAAAGGAATCTCAGAAATGTATAAATGATTAGATGATTCTTCTTCCACTGCAGCTTCAGTGGAGACAGGCCACTTTCACTCTTACAACTAGTTCAATGAATCTCACCTAATAGATGCTAAGTCAATATCAATCTTGTTTGTTCCTCCCATATGGAGACTTCTGTGAAACTGCTTAGCTAGTAACTTTCTGTTTGTTTTCTGTTATCATAAAACTTGTTCCCTGCATCAGAAATTGTTTCTTTAACCCAGAGAGAAGTAATAGTGATAAATTTTAGAATTTATCATCTCTAAAAATGCTGTCATCATAATTGATTATCTTACTTAATATATTATTATGCAGTCATAATATTTTAATTGGTATACATCTAAAAGGCATAATCATTTATAAAAATATTTATCCAAAAATAACCATTGGTACTTTCATCTTGTACCATCATGAATGAAGATATAAACAATTTTTTACATTCCTTATTCAGAGGAATATTTGAGAGTTGTTATTTTATTTAAATTAACAGTGTGTTATAAACATAGAATTTCAAGTTGGAGGGCATCTTTAAAATAATCTATTCTAGCAGTCTAATTTCAAATGAGGTTCAGTGAAGTAAAACTATATTTAAAAGGCTGCATCGCAAGTTAGAGATAAAAGCAACACAGGAATCTAAACTTCTGGATTCCTAAGCCAGCATCACAAGTTATATCACAGCACCAGCCTTGAGGAATTGTGCTACTGAATGGCATCTACTACTGATTAAATGCTATATTTTAGAGAATCCTCTATAGGCCTATCATACTACATGAGATTTAATTGGCATTCTTCAGAACATGATGTCATCCTGTGGTAGGGCAACACCTTTTAGCTGTATTTAAACCATGTGTATAGACTATGTAGTGGTATAATAGGCACGGCATTCATGCCAAGTCAAGTTCAGAGAGTTTGAAAGTGAATTTGTAATAATAATTTATAGTATTCAGTCTCTTCGTAGAACTTCTTCAGGGTGCTACTAAGCACTAGTGACTGTAATAAAAAATTGAGCTGAATTTGTCACAATTCAGTTGTTAAAGACTTATTTTGACTAAGGTAATGCACTGTAAGAGGTCCTAAGAGTTTAGTTTTACTTCACAATTCATCACATAGGATTTGCTGTAACTTACTTTCACCAAGAGTTTAGTTGCCTTATCAATAAAATGTAGTTAATGAAATGAAATTAAGTGTTTCACAGTGCGTTGAGATACAAAAAACTATAATAAACAAACCTGGGCTAGTGGCTCTCTTACCTAAACTCAACTTACAGATGCCACATAAGCAAGAGAGAGGTTGAAGGATGCTAGAATGTAGTGCATGCACACACACACACACACACACACGATCCTTGGAGAAAAAAATGCGTTTACTTTTAAGTGGAGGATTGGGGACATAATGGTAGTTCAGGACATTATAGAAAGAGCACAGGATACAGAACAGATTTCTAGCCATCTATCACTAAGGGATCGGATATCTACAATGTTCCGAAAGCATATATTTGGATGTTATGCAGCAGTCTGACATATTAAACAATCTGCATATAGCTACATGGATAAATTTTAATGTGTAATATTGAGTAAAATATGCATTATCTATAGCAAAATATTATTTGTGTAAACTCATAATATGCACACAGAAAAATACATTTTTTTCTACCACACACATGTATTTACAATCAACTGAGTTTCTATAGGAAGAAGAGAAACGCCTTGTGCAGTGAGTTTTATAGAAAAAAGAAAATAATAATGAAATAGAACAAGTGAGGAGGCTTAACTTTTCTATACTGATAATATTCCATGAACTAAAGAATATCATTACCTCCCATCCACAAATTCCACTAAGAAAAAGGAAGGAGGGGCAGGAAAAAGAGTAGGAAAGGAGGACGTGCTGCTCAAAATTAGGTTATTCCTCACCTGTCTTCACTATTGCTATAGAAGAGTATCCCAGGACAGCTCCATAGTAACCATTCCAATGATGCATGGGACCTCTAGCGAGTAAAAGTTGTCATTTTATTTTATTGATATCTGAATTCACATGTATACATAAACACACCTGTACATATTTGTATGTATATTTGTATACAAAAATTTCACTCATGTCTTTACAATCTGCTTCGATAATAAAGGTGTTATTAAAAAATGGTGAGTGGTCTATTTTCGATATCTGACCTCTAACAGCTTTCAAGCCCCACTCCTTTTCCTCTCTCACCTCACATCTAGACAAGCCATTAGGAAAGCCCACACACACTCCCTTTTTCAGCACTGGTGGGAAGCTCAAACCAAGCAAACCCACACTCTTGTGCAAGACCCCTCACCTAGACCAAGGACTTTAACTCCTATAAAAGCCTAAGTCAGTCCCTCTCCTCCTGATCTGTCAAGCCACATTTGAACCTTCCTGGGAGCCCATCCTGCTCTCTAGAGAAGGCGTTATTAAGAGAGTAGTAAATCTCTAGACTTTCTTTACATATGCCTGGCATCATCAGTCTTGAAATTCATTCCAAATTTTGAGGAGTGGAGTTGATCCTCCTCCTTTGCAGAAAAACCACAAATCAAAAGGGAAAATAAAATAAACACAGAAACTAATTTCCATTCTCCTCATCATTCACATCATAACGCTGGCCTGAGAAGCCAGCACATAGATAAAAGAAAGTTGCTAAACAGATATGCATTGATTACTCTTTATCCTTCTGCTTGAAATCGGCATTAAATCTAAGGGCAACAGAAAAACCTTTTTATGATTTTATCTCTACTTCATTTTGAATAAAATAAAAATAGCACTTAAGCAAAATAAGTCTTTTCTAAGCCTCAGGGAATATATTACTATGGTAACATGATCCCCAACAGGAATAGCAACACTGATCTTGACATAGTCATAGGATTACTTTTCTCTCTATAAGCCCCAGTAGCATATAGATAAGATGTGCAAAGACTATAAGCAGAAACCCTAAGCTATAATTTCGCGCAACCTCATAATGAAGTTATGTAAAGGTTTACCCTTGAAGTCACTATGCAAAAGAATCCAAAACTCCTTTTTGGACAGTGCATTTGTACATGGTAATAAGGGTACAAAGCCATAGTTGCTTTTTCAGGACATATCAGCAGAACTGAAACTCTGTAAGATGCTCTTTACTTTTGTCGGTAGCAACTTTCTGTGTCTTCTGGCAGCCAAACATAAACAATCAAAAAACAAAAATAACAACAAAAGATCTTGCACCTTTCTAGAGAAAATACTAAAAAGGGATTTTGAAAGTTCAATTTAAGGCCAGGTATAATGGCTCACACCTGTAATCCCAGCACTATAGGAGGCCAAGGCAGGTGGATCATTTGAGGCCAAGAGTTTGATATATGGAAAGTTATTGTATATCATCCTTATACATTTGAGTAATATTTTAGATATGTCCTTTTTCATTTTAATTTAGAGAAGTTCCATTATCTCCCCAGAGTTCATTTTCTGAATAGTTTGAGCAGGTACCTCTACATGGTTTTCTCCCCACAGAGGTGTCTTAATCCTATAACTTTATATTTCCTTCCTCTCTCCGCTTTGTAGTTTAAAACACAGTTTTGCACACAGCCCACTCCATCTTCAACAAAAAATAACTCTGGGTGTTAGCACTGTTATTTTTGGTGTTATCGTACAACAGTTTCTTGAGGTCAATCATTATTCCTATAAAGACTGAAAAGTGGGTATTGCTTAGTGACTTTTAAAGGCCTAACTTGACATAAATCAATACAAATTTTGTAATTTCTATAGTGATACTCAGTTCTGTCAACTTTGACAAGATATGAGATTTATTCCATTTGGACATTTACTTAAAACCTCTCTCCTCCTTCATAAATAAGTCTTAAAACATGTCTGAGGAATTGAACGGACAGATATTGTTAGCTGATTATTCAGCTAAGGAAATTGAGGCAAGGGGAAGTCAAGCTATTTCCCAATGATCTCACAGCTGATGACTGGAAAGTTCAGGGTTCAGCCCAAGCCGTCTGATTGCCAAAGTAACAGCCTCTTTAAAATATACAGCACTGTCTCTCTCTTGGCCTCATGTCTTTAATTGTTAATTTTTTTAAGTCTTTTTACTTTTGCTAAGATCCAAACTTCCCTTTAAACGTTAATGGGAATGTATAAGTATCTGTGAAAGAATGATCAGATAGAAAGATCATAGAGAAAAATGAAAGAAGAGAATTAAGGATAAAATAATCTTTGCTAAGGGAAAGACCCCATGGTACAAACTTTAAAACAAGTTTGCTCAGGGTTTTCCGTAGCTTTTTCTAGCAGAATCTGATCTCAGACAGGAGGACCATAAACTCATTTTAACCTTAAAAAATAAACAGCTGATGACAGATTAAAGAGTTACTACTACTTTTCAGGAAAGGTGTACCTTAACAGATGAAATTCTTTAAAATAATGTCTTCCATAGAGTGGAATTTCAGCCATCATCAAGTAGTTGGAAGATGTTAGAAGGATGAAGAAGAGTGTCTCTGCTGGTCTCTGAGAATCTACTCAGTAGGAATTTTTCAACCCAGGCTTTTACCCTTTCTATGCTGTAGATTTGATGACTTGGAGGAACACCATTCCATAGGCTAACTCCAAACATTGTCCATCTCACTTTCATACGTTTCAGTTGTGTGAAATTAGAAAACACTGCTTGAATTGAAAAAAAAAAAGATCCTAAGAATAATCTAATCTAATTGCTTCATTTTGAATTAACCTTTAAAAACACAGTCTTTATCTTGAGTTCTAAATATTTTATCTCCTCCGGAGATTTTTACGTGCTAAAAAAAAAACAGTAGCTGAAAGCATTTGTTTGGAGAAATGAATAGAAATAAGTGAAAAGAAACAACAAACTCCAACTGATACACTTTTTGTCATGATTACCTAAACCAATGGTTCCAAGTCCTGTCTGGTTTTTGTTTCCTGGGGAAGTACTGATTTTTTTCTTGATTGATGGCCTTGCATGGCTATCTGTATTTTTAAAAGCTCTTTCCGACCATCCTAATGTGCAGTTAGATTTGACAACCAGTGATGTAGACAATTCCTATAACAATACATTAGAGTCCAAATTAGCTGGATGATGGTAAAAAACATTTTCTTCCCTATGTAAGTATAAAGTCCCTACAATTATTAAGTTTAATCAATAGTAAACATCCATTAATCCTACATCATTTGTGATGTCTGTAATTTTACTTTTACTTATAGTCATCAATTCTAAATATTGTGATTAATGGTGGTTTGTCTTTGAAACTGTTTAAGAAAAGGAATAAGCAGTATTTTATAAACACCTACTATTAGATGGGTGTGGTGGCTCTCACCTGTAATCCCAGCACTTTGGGAAAGGCATACTGAAAGTATAAAAAGATTCAGCTTCCATCCTCCCCTCTTGCTCTCCAGATACATGGAATCTGGACAGTAAACCACAACCACAAGTCAGGGCTACATGGAGACGTGGTTTTCTCAGGAGAGAACCAAGGTTTCAGGTATGGAAAACTGTTCATAATTATTTTCAAAGTAGAAGGTGATTATTTAAAACTAATACTTTTTACCATGAAATAAGTAAATAAATAGTTGTTCCAGAATTTAAAATGGAAGGATTTTGAAAATAAATCACAGGAGAGGCCGAGCACGGTGCCACATGCCTATAATCCCAGCACTTTAGGAGGCTGAGGCGGGCAGATCACGAGGTCAGGAGATCAAGACCATCCTGGCCAACATGGTGAAACCCCGTCTCTACTAAAATACAAAAAAATTAGCCAGGTGTTGTGACGCGTGCCTATAGTCCCAGCTACTCAGGAGGCTGAGGCAGGGGAATTGCTTGAACACAGGAGGCAGAGGTTGCAGTGAGCCAAGATTGCACCACTGCACTCCAGCCTGGGCGACAGAGCAAGACTCCATCTCAAAAAACAAAAAACAAACAAAATAAAAAACAAAAAAACCTACTATTTACCATTTCTGTGCTTTCCACTCTTACTAGTAAGTCCAGATTTCCTGTTGTCATTTTGCTGAGTCTGAAGAATTTCCGTTAGTCACTAATGATGCATTCTCTCAGTTTTTATTTATTTTTGCTTCATCTAATTTTTAGAAGAATCTTTTCTATTCAAGAAAAATTCTAGGTTGACTCTTTTACTTATCAGTAGTTATTATAGATGTTGGAAGAGCCACTGACATGTACACAACAGAATTTATTAGTGATAATTCCTATGTAATTAATTATTTACTCCATCTTTTCATATCAAATTTTCTCTAGTTTAGGCTGTTTGATTTTTCTGATTGTCAATGGCCTTTTTGAGTTCCACATCAGGGCATGGACATGGACAAATTAAATTAGTATACTTGGTGTCATGGTTAATTTTCCCAGCCCTCAGACTTAAAGTGAGTGCTCTAGTTTTGGTTTTTGTAAGACCAGGGAATGAAGTTCTTTTCCTTTTTTTTTTCCCCATGGCGATTTAGATCAAAACAAAGAAAACTGGGTCCCTATGTCTTTTTGAGTGTGGTTGATATTCAAATTGAAAGTCGACTCTTAGTTTAGTCCCTCAAATTGCTTTCACAACTGGCTCTGGTTTTAAATCACCTGAAACTTAAAAAACAATCTCCAGCCGCTTTTACATGAATACCCATTTCACAAGAAAAAGTCACATCTCTGTAAATTCCTTGACCTGTACACACCCTGTCAGGGCCTTGAAAAGCCTGTAAATGCCATTGTAGTATCACTATTATTTTTCTCTGAGAAATTACAGAGTACAAAAGCCCCAAGGTTTGAAGCCAGGGAAATGTATTTGTAATTTTCATGACATCAGTTTATGTAATAGTTCCAAGAATCTCCACAAGTCCCAATCAAGATAAATATGAAGAGATCCATATCTCAGCACACCACAGACAAACTGCCCAAACCAGAGATGGAAAAGAAATCCATAGGAATAAAGATACATTGTATTCAGAGGAAAATGACAAGAGAGTCAACTTTTATCAGAAACATTGCAATCCAGAAAATAAAAGAAAAAAACTTATAATAACTGCCAACAAGAAAAAGTCAACCTAGAATTTTCTTGAATAGAAAATATTCTTCTAAAAATTAGATGAAACAAAAATAAGTAAAAGCTGAGAAAATGTGTCACTAGAAACTCTCTTTGTAAGAAATGCAAAAGGAAATTCTTCAAGCTGAGCAAAATGATACCAAGAAATCTGGATCTACTAGAAGGAATGGAAAGCACACAAATGGTAAGTGGCGTTTATAAATATTACTTATCCCTTTTCTTAAATAGTTTAACTGACAATTAACTTAAACATTATCAATCACAATATTTTGAGTTCACAGTTGCAAAAAGAAGTTGCAACCACTAGAGGTCAGACATTTAAATCTGCAATGTGATACTTCATATTACTAAATGCTAAAATCATCCAGTTTTTCTAAATTATTTTCTAATATTTTCTAAATTTTCTTTATTACTAAAAGTCCTTTCTTCTCTAAGAGCTCAAAGAATGTCCTGCCTTGGTAGATAGATATTTTACCCTGTATTTAATTGAACACAAAATCCCAAAGGGAAATGTAATCCAGGAATACAGAAAGATGGAACACCATCAGCAGGGTGATTTTCTGATGATTTTCTAAAAATAAAATATAAATAAGGTAACCATTTGATGTATAGCAGTTGGCATATTTCACAGTACTTTCACATACATGATCTAGTTTAACCACAGGTTAGAGAACTCTGTAAGCATTTCTAGGTCTACCAGGAGTCTTGGGGTTTGAACACCATTTCCCAATGGACACAATTTTTTTTATTTTTCTTATTACACTTTAAGTTCTGGGACACACGCGCAGAACATGCAGGTTTGTTACATAGGTATACATGTGCTGTGGTGGTTTGCTGCACCCATCAACCCATCATCTACATTAGGTATTTCTCCTAATATTATCCCTCCCCTTGCCCCTCAACCCCCGACAGGGCCCAGTGTGTGATGTTCCCCTCCCTGTGCCCATATGTTCTTATTGTTCAACTTCCACTTATGAATGAGAACATGCGGTGTTTGGTTTTCTGCTCCTGTGTAAGTTTGCTGAGAATGATGGCGTCCAGCTTCATCCATGTCCCTGCAAAAGACACGAACTTTTTCTTTTTATGGCTGCATAGTATTCCATGGTGCATATGTGCCACATTTCCTTTATTCAGTCTAATATTGATGGGCATTTGGGTTGGTTCCAAGTCTTTGCTATTGTGAATAGTGCTGCAATAAACATATGTGTGCATGTGTCTTTATAGTAGAATGATTTATAATCCTTTGAGTATATACCCAGTAATGGGATGGCTGGGTCAAATGCTATTTCTAGTTCTAGATCTTTGAGGAATTTCCACACTGTCTTCCACAATGGTTGAACTAATTTACACTCCCACCAAAAGTGTAAAAGCGTTCCTATGTCTCCACATCCTCTCCAGCACCTGTTGTTTCCTGACTTTTTAACAATCGCCATTCTAACTGGCCTGAGATGGTATCTCATTGTGGTTTTGATTTGCGTTTCTCTAATGAGCAGTGATGATGGGCTTTTTTTCATATGTTTGTTGGCCGCATAAATGTCTTCTTTTGAAAAGTGTCTGTTCATATCCTTCACCCACTTTTTGATGGGGTTGTTTGTTTTTTTCTTGTTAATTTGTTTAAGTTCCTTGTAGGTTCTAAATATTAGCCCTTTGTCAGATGGATAGATGGCAAAACTTTTTTCCCATTCTGTAGGTTGCCTGTTCACTCTGATGATAGTTTCTTTTGCTGTGCAGAAGCTCTTTAGTTTAATTAGATCCCATTTGTCAATTTTGGCTTTTGTTGCCATTGCTTTTGGTGCTTTAGTCATGAGGTCTTTGCCCATATCTATGTCCTGAATGGTATTGCCTAGGTTTTCTTCCATGGTTTTTATGACTTTAGGTCTTACATTTAAGTCTTTAATCCATCTTGAGTTAATTTTTGTATAAGGTGTAAGGAAGGTTCCAGTTTCTGTTTTCTGCATATGGCTAGCCAGTTTTTCCCAACACCATTTATTAAATAGGGAATCCTTTCCCCATTGCTTGTTTTTGTCAGGTTTGTCAAAGATCAGGTGGATGTAAATGTGTGCTGTTATTTCTGAGGTCTCTGTTCTGTTCCATTGGTCTATATGTCTGTTTTGGTACAATTGCTATGCTGTTTTGGTTACTGTAGCCTTGTAGTATAGTTTGAAGTCAGGTAGCGTGATGCTTCCAGCTTTGTTCTTTTTTGCTTAGGATTGTCTTGGCTATACAGGCTCTTTTTTGGTTCCATATGAAATTTAAGGTAGTTTCTTTCTAATTCTGTGAAGAAAGTCAATGGTAGCTTGATGGAGATAGCATTGAATCTAGAAATTACTTTGGGCGGTATGGCCATATTCACAATATTGATTCTTCCTATCCATGAGCATGGAATGTTTTTCAATTTGTTTGTGTCCTCTCTTATTTCCTTGAGCAGTGTTTCGTAGTTCTCCTTGAAGAGGTCCTTCACATTCCTTGTAAGTTGTATTCCTGGGTATTTTATTCTGTTTGTAGCAATTGTGAATGGGAGTTTGTTCATGATTTGGCTCTCTGTTTGTCTATTATTGGTGTATAGAAATGCTTGTGATTTTTTCACATTGATTTTGTATCCTGAGACTTTGCTGAAGTTGCTTATCAGCTTGAGGAGTTTTTGGGCTGAGACGATGGGGTTTTCTAAATATACAGTCATGTCACCTGCAAATAGAGATAATTTGACTTCCTCTCTTCCTATTTGAATACCTTTATTTCTTTCTCTTGCCTCATTGTCCTGGCCACAACTTCCAATACTATGTTGAATAGGAGTGAAGAGAGAGGGTATCCTTGTCTTGTGCCTGTTTTCAAAGGGAATGCTTCCAACTTTTGCCCATTCAATATGATATTGGCTGTGGGTTTGTCATAAACAGCTCTCATTATTTTGAGATATGTCCCATCAATACCTAGTTTATTGAGTGTTTTTAGAATGAAGAGGTGTTGAATTTTATCGAAGGCCTCTTCTGCATCTATTGAGATAATCATGTGGTTTTTGTCATTGGTTCTGTTTATGTGATGGATTACATTTATTGATTTGCATATTTTGAACCAGCCTTACACCCAAGGGGTGAAGCCAACTTGGTCATAATGGATAAGCTTTTTAATGTGCTGCTGGATTCGGTTTGCCGGTATTTTATTGAGGATTTTCACATCGATCATCAGGGATACTCCTGAAATTTTCTTTTTTTGTTGCGTTTCTGCCAAGTTTTGGTATCAGGATGATGCTGGTCTCATAAAATGGTTAGGGAGGAGGCCCTCTTTTTCTATTGCTTGGAATAGTTTCAGAAGGAATGGTACCAGCTCTTCTTTGTACCTCTGGTAGAATTAGGCTGTGAATCCGCCTGGTCCTGGGCTTTATTTGATTGTTAGGCTATTAATTACTGCCTCAATTTCAGAACTTATGATTGGTCTATTCAGGGATTCGACTTCTTCCTGGTTTAGTCTTGGGAGGGTGTATGGGACACAAATATTTTGAGTCTCCTGTCATCAAGTGAGAGTCTATATGCTCTCTTCACCTTTTTGCGTTCATTTTTGGTGGCTTCAACCATTAGCATATGTGGCAGAAGATGATGGCCGTGGGTACTCTGACATCAGCTCATAAAAGACCATGCATATTCTGCTTTGTTTGCTGGATCACTGAGCTGTCATATGTCTAACTCCTCTGAGGCCACTGTGTTGAAGAAGCCACATGTAGGTGCTCTGGCTGAGAATCCCAGTAGAGCTCAGCCTTTCAAACATCCTTGTCAATCTGGGGACACGTGACTGAATAAGCCATCTTGGCAGTGGATCTTGCACTGCAAGGGGTCCTAATTGACCACTGGCAGTTATTGAAATCACCCCAGCTATTCCAGTCTTCCCAGCTTAAGCCACAGACATCGTGGAATGGTATGGCTAACTTGCAAGTTATTCCCATTCGGCACTATCTGAATCTTTGATCAACTGATACTTGAAGCGTATCAAGTTGGTTGCTACTTTATGGCACTAAGTTTGGAGTGATGTATCAGGTAGCAATAGATAACTGGAACATCCAGGGAAATTAACTGAGTTTCCCTACCTTCCTTTCTGCTTTGTCAAAGCTGACATGTGTAAAATGTGGGTCAACTTGGGCAAATGATTTATTCATCTCAATTATCCCCTGTGTAATAATCTTGTAAGGGTAGAGGAAAAAAAAACTATAAAAGATTATCTGCCACATGGTGAAAACACATCTTGATAGATGTTTAAATGCAACTGAAAAATTGACAAATCTGTTTCTAAATTGAGGTTCCCCAAATAATCTATCTTGCTGAAGAATTATTAATTCACCACCTCTATGGTTTTATACTGTTTGGATATGAAGTCAGTTTCTCATTTTAGCGGAACTATCAACTCACATCCAAGCAAATGATTTCCTTCGCACACTGTACTTTGTATATGAATTTCAAACAGTGCTAGTATGCATTTAAGCCATTATAATGAATATGCTGCTCTTGTTTTTATTCACCTAACGCCTGCATACTTGTGTTTGTTTTACTTAAAGTGAAAATAATTTGCTAAAGGTAAAAATGCACTTCTGGGTGCATGTGTTCCTATGAAACCTAAAAGCAGACTGGAAAAATCAAAGATTCTTTTTCCATTTAAAGCCCAAAGCTTCCATCATTACCACAGACCTTTTTTTCTGAAAAAGAAACAAAGAATTAGTTTCTGTGTCCAATGAAATAGTTTCTTTTCCACCCGCCACCCCAACCTCTACCCTTTAACTTTCTCTAATGATATCACTCTTTTTGTTGTTCATTATGTACTGAGAAGCTATGACATCCAAACCCCTGTTCAGGTCCCACATGGCCTGAAATCCTGTAACTCATATAATTCCACTTTAACTTATCTAATTCCACTTTCTCTACAAGTATGTGTCCTTGGGAACAATAATAAAGATATAAAGAGTGTTGCACATTTGTTAGCATAAAAAGAAGAGCAGGTCTTTTCCATTTTTCCCCACAGCACTAACAGAGTATCCCAAGATTGTTTTGCATATAGGACAACAGAAGTGAATAAAAACCTTCATCAGATGCATGCCTCTTAGAGAGGAAAGCAGAAACCCTCATGATATATGGAGAGAACAAGAAGAAGAAATATGGGGATAACAAGAAGAAGAAATTTTGTAACTATTCGATTTCTGCAATTGGAAATTCATCACATAATATCATTATCTGGTGAAGTGAAGCAACAAAAGTTATTTTAGATCAAAATATATTCAATGTGTCTGAGAATAGCTGGAAGATTATGATTGAAAAATGAGGAATAACTCAACTTTGGTTGGCACTTTTCCTAGGAAGAAATCTGAAAAGCTTTTCAGACGTAGAGAGGAAGCATATATAGACCCTGTACTAAAAACACTGGAAATAGACAAAGGGATTTTGAGGACAGTGTCGGACATAGACAAATCAGCAGAGAGGATATATCAGTGGAGAAATGCAGGTCTAAGCATGGGACCTGAGAGTATTTCTATTTCAGAGGGAAAGGATCCAAGGAAAGTGATAAATGGTTGATTACAAATTATGGAGTTACCATAATTTAGTCCATTCTTTCAGCAGACCAAATGCTCCAGATGGGATGTTGAAATTTTAGCACTATGAAAGATAGATGGCTACAGAGTTCTTTTAATTGCAGCAATTATCCATCCCTTCATCTTACAGTCTAATCTGGAAGAATATTAAAAGTTATTTGTGGGCAGGAGACAGATGATGAGTAGGGTCTTAATTACATCTCAAACAAAATCATCCAGAACCAAATGAGAGAGAAGATGCAAGCCATGTCAACAGTATCAGGGGGTCAGAAGTAAGGGGTGTATAAATGTGAGAAGGAACCAAAGAATGAAATCAGACTGCAGAAGTGATTATTTCCAATCATTTGTTTGAAGTAGAAAAATTCAGTCATAATTTCTAACCACATGTCACTCTTTTATGTCAGTGTAGAAAAAAACCACAGAAACCCAGATTAAAAAAAAATGAAGCTATTTATGTCTCGGCCACATACACAAAAAAACGGGACTAGATTTTTCAACTTTTATCCAGATTTGGCATCGCTTATTGTGGCCAATATGTATTGGCTGTAGAATATTTTATGTAAGAGTGCATCATGAATCTTCAGTTGACTGGCATTTTGAAACACAGGTAAAATGCCTAAGATTTTTATGTAAGTTTTATATTGATTATTAATTTAATCAAAATATGGTATCTGTGCTTCTAGAAACATTGTATACTATACTTTCTCCACTAGATGTCTCCAGAGAAATGCAAGTAAATACTGCTAATAAAGATACTGTTAATAAGCACCCAGTTTTAAAATTGCAAAAGTACCCAGTTCAATTAGGATTAAATAGTTACAAGGATTGACTATTTAATATGAGAGTGGACCTGACACTTGATAGGCTTTTAAATGATGTGAGAGCTTAAAGTTATACCGGAAAGATGGCATACTACTCGCATTTATTTCAGAAAGCCTTTTGTCTTGCTGCTAAATGAGTTAACATTAAAGAAACATCACCTCATGTCTACTTTGCACTGCAGTTAATCATCTCTTTCTCTGAATATGATTTCATTATTTTAGAAATGTTGGCCAGAAGATGAAGATTTATGGAATATACAGAGGAAATCCGTTGAAGTATTATGTCAAAAGGATGGCGTGAGAGTGCCTACAGTTCTTGTAGACTATACAATGTGTCCAGCCACAAATATCTGAGCCTATATATTTCTTCTTTGGCCTCTTCAAGTTGTTCATTGATGTTCAATTTTATTTGGGCTGTATGCATAGTTTAAAAAGGGAAAAAAACCATGAAATCTAACTTTTGTTTAATTTGAATTCCTGCTCCTGTAGGCTTAGTTCAGCCTAACCTAGTCATTTTAAGAAAACATTTTCCCTAGCTCAAAAGAAACAAAGATCACTGGGTCTTTGCCAGAACTTCAATTTATAGAGCTGTTAACCTAGCTGTCCAGGAAGCCTGGGAACCTCACTAGACAAGATAGTTGGACATGGAAGTGCTACCCCCAGGAAAGTGGGGCACTAACTTCAAGACCTTATTATGTTTTACAAGTAAGTTGCAAACTACATGTAGATTGCAAATAGGCCAGAAAGAAAGCAAAGTGATGCTCAAGAAATGTTTTCACGATCCTGTAACCTATATGTTAAAAAGCAGGGGCTTAGAAATAATTTGGCACAAATAGCTACTCTGGATCATGCAAAACCAAGGAAATTTTTACTTTTAAAAAATCTGCACTTGGCTTGAGTATCCAGGTTTGTTGAATCCACAGTCTATGTCCAATCTTAGACAGTATAGGGCAAGTTTAAGGTTAGTTACATGCTGGCGGCAGTAAGCATGATATTACAATGAGTTCATAGTCTCCAGAGGCTACAAGTCTTGTTACAAAGATCCACTAGATAATTTGCAAACTGACAATACATTAGCATCCCGACAGCTAGAAACAAATGATCCTCTCTTTCAGTCACATTATTTTTCTTCAGTTACATAGTAAACCATTTAGTTTTCATGAATGACTTATATTTCTGGGTCACATTTTGCAACCCTGAAAGTCAGACTTAATTATCATCATTTCAATTTTCCTCCCATCTCCCAGGAAAATTACATGGACAACCCCAGGGTCACTGTCTTTTTCTGATGCAGAAGAATAAGGGTCCTGTGTGAAGAGAGACGGTGGGGGGCAGGGAAGAGAGAGAGAAAATTTGACCCTTGATGAGTGCTCAGAAAGGGAAGAATTATGTTCCTTGCAAGATTCTCAATATCTTCTCTAAAACTTGGACTACTCTTTCTTCCATTATCTTTCTTACAACTGTTTCCTTCCCTTATCCTACCGAAAACTTGCTGAGACTTCCTCCCACTATTAGGCATATAATATCACACTTCTGGCCTGGCCTTAGCTTTTTAAGTTCCAGTGCTATAATCTTTTTATGTTTACCCTAATTTTTTCCTTCTCTTGGGATATTCCCCAACATCTAAATTTGCAGGTAGTTTGTATGCACACCTGGCTTGCATTGTCAAGATCTTTCGTGATGTCATTACTAATCCTAACTTTAAATACTGAGGGCTGCTATTTGTTGATTTTCATGGGACTTACACAAGTTCCAGAAATAATGCTCAGGATGGATAGACTTATGGTCTCTATTATTTGAAGTGTGAAAAGAAAGATTTAAGACCTCTCTTTTAATTGTATGAGCATATATCATGCTTTCCACAAAAAAGCATAAATTAATCTCACCTGTCAGAAGGGAGAAGTAATCTTTTGAAATATGACTGCATTTCCATCTTCACTACTCATTTCATGTAATTATTTGTCAATTTAGACAACTGCAAGAGCCACGATGAATGGAAGCCATTAATACTAGTGCATAAAACTGGTTGCAAAGAACGACTAGGTTAAAATTGTTCTTGAAAATAATCAATAAAATTTTAATTCGTTCCAGGCAATATTAAGAAAGCAGGCAACATGGCAGGAAATTTTGATTCTTCCTTCACTCCTTGTATTCACAATCAGGTCTATCAGTTATCATTCCGGACTGTATTTAAAAATATATATTTTTTTACCCTTGATACTTATTACACAAGTCTATATCTCTTTCTCTGAGTACCTCATCCTTCACCTCCAGTCAAACCCTATTGGATTTGAGCAGATATCAGCTTCATTACAAAAAGGTCTGTAAGTAGTTACATCAGTCTAAAGATGAAAAGTGTGGCATTAGTAGCAGTGTAATCTATATTATAATGTCTAACTGGTCTAGAGTTGAAGACTTTTATATATCCATTTAACCAGGAATGTCCTAACAGCTAATTTAATAATATTGATAGTTTATCCGTCCTAATCAATAAGCAGTTACTGACCACCTGCCATTTGCACAACATAAGAGTAATAGAAAGCTATAATATAAAGCAAAAGATGACTTCATAAAGTCAGAATGATTCCATTCAGAGAAATGTAAATGATAGACTAAACTCTTCCTTCCACAAAGGACCAGGGTCAGAATATAATTTAACTTTTATGCTATCTCCTCTCCAGCTCTTCTTTTGAATTGCCCCTTCATTTTCTATAACTTAATCCCAAGATTTTCATATTGAAATGGCCTCTCGATCATATTTCAGCATTTGTGGTTTCACTGTGTGCTTTCTTAATAAACTAAGCAGCAAGTTGTAGAATATTTTAATATCCCATAGTGAGTTTAAGCATAACTCAGGATACTCAGAATCCTCTCTAGTTCAGTCCAGTTCCCCTAAAGCCTTCCCAATAGAACAACAAGGAGAATTCTGACAAAATCTCTCTACCTCACCAGTGGGAAAAGAACATGGATATGACATTACAGAGGGAGCATCTTGTAGCAAAATGGATTGGAATTACACTTTAGGATGGTGTGCAGCTTGTTTATTCAAGGAAGCTGATTGTGGTTACCATTTCAGCTCATTGTTTCCCTCTGATATTCAGATTTCTTTTATCCAAAGTTTTCTGAACATTTGACATATGCATGGAGTAGTAAGAACGCACATTCCTTTGGCTAGGGATTGCATAGTGTAACATTGAAAGGCTTTAGTTATTCTTGATAAAATCAGAAGAATCATTTTGGCAATGTCCATGTTTCCTAATATGTATTTAATTGTTCTAGTTATCTCTAGATTCGTAACACTTGCTTCCAATATTGGCTGCTTTTCACCAGTGGTTATCAGTAGATGTGCTGCATAGACATGTTCAACATCACATAAAGTGTGTCATGAAAAACAATAAAGCACAAATGTTTTTCCTTTCTGCTTCATTTCAAACCTTAGAGAAATTTGTCAGAGTAGATTTATGTTAACTCTATATGTTCCTTGATATTTGAAAAAGAAAGGAAATGAGAGGTAGCTCTCCTTTTTGTACGATAGCAAGGAAAATATGGACTCTCCTACATGGTTCTTCAGCAAGTTAGAATTCTTATTTCATATCTTACACAAGTTTTAAATCTATCCAGAGTTTGTTTTTAATCAACAGCCTTTACCCCCTTGTGATTGTCAGACTCGCATCTACCTTTGTTTTCTGGTAAAAATAATAATAATAATAATCTTTCAGTTCTGATGTGAACTGCAATAACACCTAACAATAATCTTGAGCACACAGACATTATACATTCTACTCTGGAAAGGATTGCAGAATATCTCTTAAAACTCAACAAAAGAATTTTTCTTAAAAACCCTCTAAGATACAAAGGAATAAAACTGAGACTTAAACATGCAGTGAGTCAATTGTTCATATGATTAAAAATAAGTACCTTCTTTATAATGAAAAGGAAAAGTAGCTCAATGTGTTCCTTAAATATAACTAACCAAAACAAATCTTAGCTGGCAATTTGAAGTTGCCGATGCTTCCTGGAAAGAGTTCAGACTCTCAGGTTGATGCAGTGTTCCCTCCCACAACTCTGACATGTATATAAATTCTGAGCTCTCCAAAGCCCACTGCCAGTTCTCTTCGGGGACTAACTGCAACGGAGAGACTCAAGATGATTCCCTTTTTACCCATGTTTTCTCTACTATTGCTGCTTATTGTTAACCCTATAAACGCCAACAATCATTATGACAAGATCTTGGCTCATAGTCGTATCAGGGGTCGGGACCAAGGGTAAGTGAGTGGTTTGGTTTTATAAACCATTTTTCTTTTTCCTCAGCTTGTTAGATGTTCAAGTATGCATAAAGTTTCTCATATATGCCTCAGGGTTTTTTTTCCTAATTATTATAAAGTAATAGGAAAAAAAGGAAAATGTGAGTATTCTGTGATTTATCTATGCACTTTTAAGCTTTAAGACTTAATTGCTCTCTAAATACCTTGAATATAATTGCTTTCTTATGAAATGTTATATAATTCTAATCTAATTAACACAATTTAGCTGGGCATTCTTTTATAATTCCATTTATTTATGTTTTTATTTTCTTCCAAAAATCTGAAATTGAGTTTTCAAAATTAAAAAATCTATTGTTAGGAACTATCATATGTATGCAAACAGCATTGAAATATCTCACATGATGTTAGAGAAAATTTTATTTAAATTACATATGAAGGTTAAATACTGGGTAATGTAACTAGTTCTCTGAATTCTTTGAAGCATTTAAGTTACTTTTAAACTCTGAATTCTGTAAAATTTGCAAAGGTAATTTATATTTTATAGAACTAATGCAACTACAACTAAGCATTTTTAAAATTACACATAATTTTGTAACTTATCCAACCATTTATAATTTTTTAAGCGGATCTTGGCACTTCTTCCTATGCCTCACAGGAATTTTCATAATGTTCACAAGCTTCTTTGACTTACAGTGAAAAAAGACTTCTGTCCCTTTAAGAGGGGAAGGGGAACCTTAAAATTGTGACAGAGGATGTTCTGATCTGTTACTTCCATTCAAAAAGATAAATTCTCCTTTGTGCAACCATATTGTTTCAAAGTTAATTTTAGCACATTTACTTCTGTGATTACTTACCTAGAAAATTACAGAGTATAGTGTCTGTGTACATAATAAACCTTGTCTCTTTTGCTCTCTGACCTCTCATTGTTCCAGAGAGCCCTGAAGTTATGGCCATCCTCCAAATGAGCACATGCTTGGTTTAAAAAGGGTCAGTAGATTATCTACCATTAAAAGTAATAAGGCACATAGAAATAAAATTACGTTCATACTGTTTGAATAGTCCTAGTTGGTTAACTTTTTGAAAAGCTTGTATTTTACTCTCAGAAATGTATAATTTTTCTCTCTCTCCCTGCCACCTCCTGTAGACTTTCGGTTTTTCAACAATTCAGTAGGATTGTGTCAATAATTAGATTTGTGCAAGGCTAGAATCATGTCTTTGGATATCAAATCCACATCTCAACATTTTCTTCTATCAACCAATCTTTAGATACGAAAAACTAGTCATTATTAGGACATTAACTTTTTTCCTTTCCCTCTATCCTCCAGCCCAAATGTCTGTGCCCTTCAACAGATTTTGGGCACCAAAAAGAAATACTTCAGCACTTGTAAGAACTGGTATAAAAAGTCCATCTGTGGACAGAAAACGTAAGTCTCTTTTTTTTTTCATAATATGTCAGTTCCAAAAACAACATCATGATGTATATGCCTTCCCCTGGGTGTACACACCATTCTTCTTGAAAATACTGACCAAAATTGTGAGAGTTATTTAAAGAAAAGAAAGGAATACATACGTGAATAAAGAAGTTCTCCCTGCATCTCCAATATTACTATTAGAACTCAGATTTCTTCCTGAATCCATGTGACATGGAGGCCAGAAGGAAGCAGATCACATGGCTCAGGATTGGGTATAGAATCCGTGTGAGTAAATGATGTTGTTTCTACTCCTGGTTTGGCCCTCTTTTATCTTAGGCAAGTCACTTAACCTCTGTGACTTAGTTTCCTCATTTTATAAAAAAGTGGGCCAGAAAAACAAACTGATTTAAAATATCAGAGTTTCTGAGGCAAAAAGTTAATGTTTGTCTCTAGTCATTTGGAAATTGTCTAAAGTATTCCAGTTTACCGGAGAGTTTTCATCAAAGTTTAAAGTTAAAAAATACTTGAGTTTTATCTCTTTATTTAATCCAGTGATTCTCCGTTCAAGATGCTCCATCCCCAGAGGTCCACAAGGTGATAACGGAAGCTCATCATTATAGTTAATATCTCAATAGCCCAAAGGATGATTATGTTTTAACATATGTTTCACTGATTAGCTTAAAATTTGAAAGCATTATTTATTACTTAATAGACATGCCTTCTGGTTTATTTTACCAATAAATATTGGTGGAAAAAAGTAATAAACACTCTGGACTTATTAAGGTCAAGAACCACTCCTGTGATCCAAAGTCTTTATTTTACAATGAGGGAGACCAGTCATAAATAGGGCAAGTAATGCAATCAGAAAGGTTTAGGTGTCATCCCCAGTCAAGAAAACAGTGCAAGTGGCTCCTTCCTGCTTCCTATTAATTTGAAGTCCACCCTCAGTGAAGGATCCCTTGAGAATCAAAAGACCCCAGGAAGAACCTGCTTAATACATCAGCATTAAAATTCAGTTACCCTAAGTTCGGGTGGAATAATTTATTAGAAACTTATTTCTAAGTTAATAATATTGGTATAAATCCTAAACATGGGCCAGGAGTGGTGGCTCACACCTGTAATCCCAGCACTTTGGGGGGGCTGAGACAGGTGGATCACTTGTGGCCAGGAGTTCGAGACCAGCCTGGCCAACATGGTGAACCCCATCTCTAGTAAAAAAAAATACAAAAATTAGCCGGATGTGGTGGCAGGCACCTATTTGGGAGGCTGAGGCAGGAGAATCGCTTGAACCTAGGAGGTGGAGGTTGCAGTGAGCCGAGATGGCACCACTGCACTCCCGAGTGGGCAACAGAGTGAGACTCTGTCTCAAAAAAAAAAAAAAAAAGATACTAAATATGGAATCACTTAACTTCTTGTAGACTTACCTGTAAAACATGGATTTAATAGCTATATTATAGAGTTTCTGAGAAAATAAAATGAATTGATAAATGTGAAATTACTAAGTAACCATAATGCATAATATCAATTGTTCTTAAAATTAAACTCTTTTAAACAAATGCATAGATGTAGACAGGAAAGGAAGTTGTGACCAGATGCCTATTTGAAATGCACAAGATTGTCTTTATTTCTAAGTAAGAACCATGTATACAAGGCATTTAAGCTTAGCTGGGTTGCATCTCCACATGGTAACCAAGTCTAGGGCACCAGAGGACTTTGCTGACCATCTCCTGCTCATTGGCTTAATAGAGTTTCAACATGATGTTATCTTTTGACCTGAACATTATTCCTATTATTGTGCAGACTTCTGCTAGACTTGTGAGTCATTCACACAATTATAATGCAATCAGTTGTTACAATGATCTCTGCCATGCTGCAAGCTAGGCCCCAGTAGGGACTCTAAGGCTCTGAGTTTTCCTCTTTGTTATTTATATTCTTGGATACCATGAAGCATATTTGAAATGCACACTTAACTAGATAAGAAAGGACCTTCACCCTGAAATGTTAGGGAGAATGCTTATTACATCCTTCCTAGAAGATAGAGAAGAATGCCATAAATTTACTTTAACCATCTAAATATATGAGAGATGTCAAGGCTTGTACAGAGGCTATGCCAAAATTCTTTCTTGCTTTCCATTAAAAAAAAAAAAATCACTACTTTGAAGCCTGGCTTTTTTTTTTTTTAACCAGAAATGTAACAGTGTCTCCTTTGTTCAATTGTATTAGCTTATTTTTCTAAAGTAGATTCATTTTCAAAAACATAGTTACGTCTGGGCACTGAAATAAATGTAAATGCTAATTTCAAATAACCAAAGAAATCAATACTATTGACAGGAAGACTGACTGGTCTGCCATCTGCTTGCTTCTGCTGAAATTTCCAGAGATATCATCAGGACTTTATGATCAGATGACAGAAATGTTTGCCTTTCAGCTGACAGTTGCTCTGGGGATTTGAGAAAAGTAAACTGAGCAGGCCTAATGAAAAACGTGAAGCTTCCTAGGGTCAAGATATTGTCCAAAATATATATTGGTCTAGTAATATAGTATTCTGGAAACTTCCTCTAGAGAATGTCTGTGATATTTTTAGCTGGCATCTCATGAAATGTTAGATACTATTCTGAAAACAAAAATAAATTTCTCATGTTTAGAGCTATGTATAGCAATATTTTTTTTACTCTTGTTTTGCCCTACTGACCATATGGGAACATTGAGTTTTGGGTAGCATAAATGTTCTTCTGAAAAAAACTGCTTTTTTTTTCTTTTCAAAATATCCGCTCAGAGATAACCACATTGTTCAATTATCTGATGATATTACAATGAACTGCTGGAATTTTATCTCATCTACTGCATTAATTCTCTACATTATGACTGACCCTTGTCATATTAGCATTTGCTAATAATAATTTTTTGTTAAATTTCCTTTTCTATTCACTATTTTACTTCAAGTAAGTATTATCAATCTATGGACTAAGCACATTTGTATCTCATTTTTTAAATTGTTTACAACATATGCTAAAGCTAATATATAAGCAATTGTTAATCAATCTTTTGACATCCAATAATTAGATTTATTTACAAGAGCTCATGTAAATAAAATTATTTAGAGGCTCTATTATGATTTGCATAAGGCTCCTATATACCTTTTATATGTTTCCAATACCAACTATTCTTCAAACTATATTAAAATTAGAGAATAACTTGAAGTGGGTATTTCCCATTTAATTTTGTCTGTATTTTTAGCTATC
The DNA here is from genome assembly GCF_000001405.40 of Homo sapiens. NCBI lineage: Eukaryota > Metazoa > Chordata > Mammalia > Primates > Hominidae > Homo > Homo sapiens. The sequence goes on along the minus strand of NC_000013.11, from coordinate 37,593,953 downwards.
TATTATTCTTAAGCCAATATTTCATGCCAGGAATTTTTTATTAACAAATAAAGAATGAGGATCCAAGGTTATAAACCAGACTACAAATCCTAGATAATTACTTAGTGTAGCAGGGTTCAATTTGAAAACATTTATTTACTTTTATTCAACTCTATAAAATCATCTTTTATATCATTAAAATTTTTGCTTCTTGATAGTTTGCTTTTATCATTTTTATCATACTAAAAAAAGATTTTATTCTTATACTTGGCGATCTCTTTCATGTCTAAATTATTTTATTCATTCATACTTCTTGAATACAATTAAGACAACTGGATAAAAAGCCAGAAAAGAAATAGCATTTGAATAAGCTGATTCATGTTTAATTAGTGAATTGCAAAATAATTAATCTATAATTGTCATAATCTGTTTGACATGATATTTATCAATTAAAAATTACAAAACGATGTGCATTTATTTTTTACTTGTAATAATCCCCCTATTTCTAATTGTTTGGTACATGTACCTTTATATTTCTTTTGAAAGGAAACATAAGTAACTATGTAAAATTTGAGTTAAAATAGGCTACCTATGTTAGATGATGAAGTCCAGAAAATATTCTATGAAATGCGAAAAAATAAAAATTAGGATTATATTATAATATTAATAATATAATTATACATTAATATAATCAGTTTTTATTTTGTAAGCAATTATATATAATTTTAAATTATTATTTTCCCTCAAAATATAGTAAATTAGATAAACTTATTTTTTGTATATCGTGATATCTTGAATTTTCTGGTCTGTTACCTTAATTATTGCCTATAGAACTTAACACACTTCGTTAACTTTAAACAGGATGCCACTTTCTTGAATACTAAACTCTAATATTAAAATAAACTTACTTAGATTATTTTTATCAAATTTTACAAAAATAAAAAGATTTTAAAGTTTATATATAATATAATACAATTAATAATCCTACCAACAATTCAAACCAAATATGGCATTATTTTATCTAGCAATGAGATAGCATGTTACGGACTCCAATGGGTCAATGTATTTTCTTATGTTTCCAATTATATTAAAGCAGATTTCTAGCCATTTTTAGTTTACAAAATGATTTCAAAAGCATTATTTCATTTGAGATTCACAATTACTCTGTGAGTAGATATTATAGCTACTATATTCATGTTAAATGCTTGGGGAAACAGGGACTCCTATTGATTAAATGACTTGCTCAAGGTTCACATGTCAACCAAGTAGTAGAACTAGGACCCAAATGTCGTTCTTCTGGATCAACATTATGGAACTTTTCTATAGTAACATGAGACTGTAGTGAGAAATCAAACTCATAGAAATATAGAAAAAATCGGCCGGGCGCAGTGGCTCATGCCTGTAATCCCAACACTTTGGGAGGCCCAGGTGGGCGGATCATGAGGTCAGGAAATTGAGACCATCCTGGCTAGCACGGCGAAACCCCATCTCTACTAAAAATACAAAAAATTAGCCAGGCGTGGTGGTAGGCGCCTGTAGTCCCAGCTACTCGGGAGGTTGAGGCAGGAGAATGGCGTGAACCCGAGAGGCGGAGCTTGCAGTGAACCCAGATCGCGCCACTGCACTCCAGCCTGGGCGACAGAGCGAGACTCCGTCTCAAAAGAAAAAAGAAAAAATCAGGGGGGAAAAAAAACCTGATTTTTAGAACCTCAACAAATCAAGTCAATAAGTGAAATATTTTGTCAAATTTATGTAAAAATGTATCCTATTTAGTTTCTCATTTTAATATTAATTTTCTTCCTATGTACAGGACTGTGTTATATGAATGTTGCCCTGGTTATATGAGAATGGAAGGAATGAAAGGCTGCCCAGCAGGTAAAATCTCAATTTTTTGAATTAAATAAGGAATTATATGCAAAGAAAGGGTTGAGGTGGCTTGTGGAGAAGCCAATTGTGTATGTGTGTATTCAGCACCATCCTAAATCCAAGATATATCCCTCCTATTTTTGTGTTAATCATGAATTTATGAATGATAAAATATAAGAGCATATTTCTCATGCACTGGATGCTGGGCAATACAACAGAAACTTAGTCACAAATTTAAATTAGTTCAGCTTCCCTTCAGGAACAAAACTCTTTACAAAATCCTGTTCTTTGAACTTGTCTAGGAACATGGAACTCAACTACTTGGCAAAACTTCATCTTCTCTAGTTGAACAGCTCTGATTTTATAATATTCTTTATATTGAAATTTGGTTTCCTCTACTTCTGCCAACTAGAGAAAAAAAAAATAGCTCATCTATTTCCTCTTTGAAATGGCAGCCATTCAGATATTTCATGCCAATCACCACACCTTTCCTCCAGCTACCTTCTCTTCTTGAATAAAGTCTTCTATTCTCTGGCTAACCATCCCCAATTCTTTTAATATGACACAGACTTTGAAGCCCTCCCCATTATAACACCAACCCACAGAAAGTCTCTAGTCCAGTAATCTTTCTTCTGAATACAAACCTAGACTGATATTTAAAGTCCATCCATGTGGGTCTGAGCATTTAAGACAATACCAAGATAAGTACCTGATTTGGGGACACCTTGCACTTTGGATAATGTCATTGGTAACCATGTTACATCATTAGCTTATATTGAATTTAGAATCAATTAAAATTGATTACAGTTTTTTTTACATACACTATTAAGTCAGGTCTCTAGGATTTGTTTTTCTCAATTTAGGCATAGGAATTACATGGAACCTTGTTAAATTTAACCTTGTTCATTTTGACTCAATTTCTCCATCTTTTTAGGGTCTTTTAAAATCCTGGTTTTATACTTAATAGTTGTGTCACCAAATCTAAGGATATTCACAAATTTAATAACCATTGATTCTATGCTATTAATCAAATTATACTAATTTTCAAATAAATAGGGTCAGAAAAAATAAGTTGACTGCACATTACCAGATAAATCCCTTCAGGCTGACATTCATTCATGAATCTTTCTTCTGACGTTCGGGAGAAATAATCTGGAAGGATTGAATATTTTAAATCATTTGCTCCCAGAAATTGTAATGAAAACAAGCAGGCCTACATATTTTTAGGGACCCAAATCTATAAAAATGATAGATTTAAATAACAGATAATATTGAATTATAATTGAATTATTATTGACATAGCAGGATTGAGATCTAAATAGGTTAAATGTTAAACCAGGATGACAGTTTAAATTTTTTTTTCCTCAACACAAAGGATATGTAAAATAATGTTTTTCAGTAGCATTTTATTATTTAGCACTCAAAAGATAACTTTTATATAAAAATGATTATTCATATAATTGTATTGCTAAAATTATTAGCTAAATGTCTTGGGAAACACAGCATAAAGTTTAAATGATTATGAATAATATCCTGAGAATATTATCCCCAGTACTGATTCATTTCTTGATTATTTCAGTTTTGCCCATTGACCATGTTTATGGCACTCTGGGCATCGTGGGAGCCACCACAACGCAGCGCTATTCTGACGCCTCAAAACTGAGGGAGGAGATCGAGGGAAAGGGATCCTTCACTTACTTTGCACCGAGTAATGAGGCTTGGGACAACTTGGATTCTGTAATTCATTATTTTTATCAATATATTTATTTTTTGCTGTTATTGTTATTTCATTTTAACTGACTTATTAACTTGGATATTAGTAGAAATTTTATATCTTTCTATTGTACATATATGAGAATACCTAAAGGGATGAGTTATTAAGGGAAGTAAAATATCTTAATACATCCGTAAATAGAATAAATCTCCAGGAGACTTATACTTTAATTTTTTTAAGAAGGGGAATCAAGAATCAGCTAAAAGGGCACTTACTATTCTATTTTACTCCTTTCCTCTTTCCTGTTTGTTTGTGAGGATATGTATGTAATTTCAGATAACATGTCTAACAGAAAGGTAAGTTAAGAAGCCTACTGAAATTTAAAATTATCATAAGCAGTATTATACAGCAATATTTTATTACGTATGTTTAATTATATGTATATATATGGATGTTCAGGTTGTCAAATTTGTATACATGTATGTGGATAGTTAAATGAAATGTGAAAATACATTTGATTTTCAGACTTTTGTGCACAGTCTAATTTACAATGCCTTAAATTATTACTCAATTTCCGAATCTATAAAACTGATATAAAAATACATTCCTACTTTCTACTAGATATGGAGATGAATTGATAATTATTACTAGAGTGAAATATACATAATAAAATGTAGGTATATATCTGTAGGCATTATCTTGCTACACTAGCTGTGTGGTTAATTGCTTGATTATAGAAATCGCTCCTCTGGTTGTCTTTCACCGCATCTCTAACCACCTCTCCAGTTCCTTTTGCTGACTCATCTTCTTCCTTGCCTTAAAGAATTGAGCAATGAGAACACATGGACACAGCAAGGGGAATATCACACACCAGGGACTGTTGTGGGGTGGGAGGAGGGGGGAGGGATAGCATTAGGAGATATACCTAATGCTAAATGACGAGTTAATGGGTGCAGCACACCAACATGGCACATGTATACATATGTAACAAACCTTCACGTTGTGCACATGTACCCTAAAACTTAAAGTATAATAATAAAAAGTAAAAATAAAAATAAAAAGAATGGAACTTATAAGAATTTCTTCCAGCACTTGACTCTGCTCTTTAAATGCACTTATCATGGTTTCAACTATCACTTTAGTGCATACAAACAGTAAACCTACGCTTGTTGTTTGGACTTGTTTCTTCTTGGAACCTCAGTAGAATATTTCTATTGTTTATCTTAGCATTTATCCTTGGATATACCATCTGCATCTTTAAACAAAAGTTATCTAAAACATATGCAATTTTCTTTCCCCCCAATAAATAATTGGTTTTTTTTGTTGTCTTTTCCCCACAATTGGCAGTACCAGTGTCAATGTTCAGACTTGAAATTTGTAAGCCATCCTTACCTCCCCTTTCTCCAATTCTTAAAAACTGCTGTTAGCCTCATCTCATGTTTCATCTAAAGTGATCCCCCTAATACTCTAATTTCTGCTGTACATTACCACTCAACCTTCCTGAAGCCTGGTTCTAATCATTAAATTCCAATGCCACAAAATCTTCAGTGGTTCCTTATGGCCAGTTTATTTCACTCCTCTTAGGGCATTAAAGTTATCCACGTTATTGTCCCACATACCCTTCTAAATTTCTTAGTATTATCTGAGAAACATAAAAGTGTGTATTAACCAAACTGGACAACTTTTGCTCTCTTGGCATTCACCCTATCTCAGCACTGGATTTAAAAGACCACCACACCATTCCTATTCATTTAAATCTCATGGTCTATCTCCAAACTACTTCCGAATAGCTGTTCTTTCTTATTGGAGCCCTGAAAGCATTTTTCCCCTCTGTCCTATATCTTACTCTGTCTACTTTTACCTGCTGCTATATGATAAACAGTTGTGACTTTTTGCTTTACTTATCATTATATTTCCCATAGCATTGAGTAAAGCATAATATGACACATAGTGTTGGATAGATAAAAAGGTACAGGACAGTTGAATTCTTGAATTTGTTATGGAATAAACATGAAACCCTTGTTAAAACTTAAGTGTTGCATACAAATATAATGTCATTTTTGTTTTCTTTTGTTTGCCATTTAAAGTATTTTAAATATGTGATAATTTCATATCTCCCTTTCTTATCATTTTATTATTTATATCAAGATTGTCTCTTCATCAACATATTCACTTTAAAAATTGTGTTCTAAGTACTGTATCACATTCAGGATCCTTAAGTAAGTATCTGAACTTACAAAATCCCTTAACCAATTAGAATAATATAATTTTAAGTTATTTATGTCAATTTTGTATGACCATCTGATAATGAAATGAGAAAATAGCAAGAGAGTAGAAATAGGGTGATCGTAAGACTTTTACTAATGTTCCACAATAAATTGAATTTCTATCATTGCAATTTTTCCTAGGATATCCGTAGAGGTTTGGAGAGCAACGTGAATGTTGAATTACTGAATGCTTTACATAGTCACATGATTAATAAGAGAATGTTGACCAAGGACTTAAAAAATGGCATGATTATTCCTTCAATGTATAACAATTTGGGGCTTTTCATTAACCATTATCCTAATGGGGTAAGTTTTATCAGTAAAAAGTACACTTATGAAAAATACCTTCTTTAATTTTGTCTATACTTTTTATATAATGCTCACAAAAATAATAAAATGTTAGTGAGAATAAGGTAAGTGCTATATTATGACTTTACCCCCAAATCTAGGGCATGTAAATTTCCAATCTGGTTATTAATTTCTACTAAAGAGTGATTGTAAAGGACAAATTACATGAACAGTTCATTGACAGTAGACAGGTATTCTAGAAAAGGAAATTTTAGTAGTTGATATGTTTGAAATAATTTATCGTAGTAGCAAAAAGAATAATCAAAGAATGAGTGTTCTTTTACTCCCCCTCTAGCTACTGTACTAACTGAAGTACTTGTGTGTTTGGATCAGATTTTGTGGGAAACTGCCAACAGGGTCATAGGACTTTTTCCACAGCCAGCCAAATTCTCAGGGACGAAAGAGGTCAATGAAGAAACAATTTTTAGGAAGTTCTTGTAATGTAACTAATTATATCTATACAATAATTATTTGTTTCTCCCTCTCAAAACTTAAATTTTAGGACTGATTAGACTTCTTTACCTAATTCATTGACCCACATTAAAAAGTTTATGACTATTTGCATAAAAGAGAAAAGCAATAATTTAAATGAAAAAAACACCTTTGCCTTATGTTGCTAGATATGTTAAGTATGACTTGACTTGGGTTCTCAACTGGTTCCCTTTTCTCTTACAGTTTCTTTTTTAGATATAACAACATGTAAATCTTCATCCACAGCGTTTACATTTACAATGTAGTTTCCTGTATGTTACATTTACTAGTATAAATGAAAAACTGGGAATGGGCTTGCAGTCTCAGTGGTCAATGGGTATCTCTGGTTTCAGCACTTTGATTTTTCCAAATAATTATAGGTTGTCACTGTTAATTGTGCTCGAATCATCCATGGGAACCAGATTGCAACAAATGGTGTTGTCCATGTCATTGACCGTGTGCTTACACAAATTGGTACCTCAATTCAAGACTTCATTGAAGCAGAAGATGACCTTTCATCTTTTAGAGTAAGTCCAAGAGCAGATTGTCTTGAGTCATTGAAATCCCTCTTCTTCTCCTGTCAAAATCTAAAAACAATAAAAATGCTATTAAATCTGGCAAAAATGTAACACATATTTTTTGAAAGGACTACTATTTTCATTTTACACAGAAGAAACCATCTCATATGAAATAATAATATTTCTGTGGACATGATAGAGTAAGAATGGTTAGTCACATGACTGGCGTGTATTTAGCTCATTTAGAACGTGTTCATCTGTTATTATATGTACTGCTGGATATTGCTACAGTCCCATAAACATGGGCAGAATTCCCATTCTTGCAAACACAATTTGAAGAAAGTTGGAAAAGACATGGTTGTGTCAAAAAGTAATATTTTGAAGATTTAACAACAACAAACCTCTATAGTGTAGGAATCAGCTCCTTCATGTCAGCCTAGGCTAAGTGTGTTGCAATCTTTTTCTGGATTTACAATGTGAAAGTCTCTGAAAAGCACATTTGTGTTTCAGGCAGCTGCCATCACATCGGACATATTGGAGGCCCTTGGAAGAGACGGTCACTTCACACTCTTTGCTCCCACCAATGAGGCTTTTGAGAAACTTCCACGAGGTGTCCTAGAAAGGATCATGGGAGACAAAGTGGCTTCCGAAGGTAGTTTAATGTCTTCATCTCTAAGGAGTCTCCCAGCATTCTGAGAAGGGAATAAAAAAGAGGCTAGTCCTTACCAATAATATTAGTTTTAATAAGCAAAGGCAGGGAAAAATTTTTATTCTGAGATGTACTATGTCTTCCAAAAGTCCTTAAAAGAGTAGGCAGAGTATAATTCTTAAATAATAAGAATACTCTCAAGATCACATTCTTTCATACTGCTTTCAAGTAAATAAGTAGTAGATATTCAGAAGGATTAGCAGGTGTTGGAAAGAAATATTAGATCATCAAATTTTAATATTGTATGCACGTTATGCAATGCTTTTAATTCTGTATTTATGCCAAAAGATATTGAGTTGTGAGAACTGTATGGTTCTCTTGGGCCTCTAATTACTGATACACATAAGAATTTGGTGGCTTTCCAAGCTTCTTTGCTGTTGTCAGATAGGTTTTACATTGTGCTTGCATACTTCACTTACTCAGCCTATCCCAAAATACATTTAACCAATTTAAGATGAGAAAATTTTAGGATGCAGGATAGATATAATGTAGTTGAGGCATAGATCCCTCCAGAGGTCCTTCAATGAATCATCTTTATTTGGTTACTTTCTAGAAGTTGCCTTCCGGAAATAATTTGTCTTATCCTCAGCCTCTATCGACCTCATTACATGTTATATACAAATATTCTGCTATGAGCAGCTATTACAAGATACTGCTCTTGGGTATTTTGGAATTTCACAGGCCTTCCTTTTCTTTCTCTTTTGGTAGAGAGGGATCTTGCTGTGTTTCTCATCATGGTCTTGAACTCCCGGCCTCAAACAATCCTCTCACCTAGGCCTCCCAAAGTGTTGGGATTACAGGTGTGAGCCCTTGTGCCAGTCAAAGTTCCTCTGAAAGGAACAATTCTTGCTTTCACATCAGGAGTTACTTTTTTATGATAGCTGGAACTTAACCTACCACGTTTTCTAATACTGCACCAATCATTTCCTGAAGCTGATCTCCTCTTATTATTCCTACGAAGCTGAGCTGTTTCTATTTTATAGTTGATAGGAAAAAACTTTTAGAACATAAATAGGATTTTAAAGCTGTTAGTGAATCCTTAGGTTTTACTACATTTTAAGGAATACTTAGTTCCACAGTGAAACACATCTTTTCAGGGTCAAATGTTATTTCCCTTGATCTGAAAGCTACCTGTTTTTATTGTGTTCTCCAGCTCTTATGAAGTACCACATCTTAAATACTCTCCAGTGTTCTGAGTCTATTATGGGAGGAGCAGTCTTTGAGACGCTGGAAGGAAATACAATTGAGATAGGATGTGACGGTGACAGTATAACAGTAAATGGAATCAAAATGGTGAACAAAAAGGATATTGTGACAAATAATGGTGTGATCCATTTGATTGATCAGGTCCTAATTCCTGATTCTGGTAAGCAACTTTTTTTGTTTTTGTTTTTGTTTTTTTACTTACTGTAATTTACTAATTATGCTGTCTCAAAGAGTAAGTCCATGAAAAATGAATGTGCAGTATAAAGAATGGCATGCAAAGCACTAACACAATAAATAGTGAGCTACTTGAGCACTCCATAGATAGGCAGTGTAGTGATGGGAACTCCATGCATGAATCTTTGGCTTTCTAGGGTTTCTGACATCTAATATTTATAACCGTTTTCACAGTGCCAGAGTTTTTCTTGGAAAGAGAAGGAAAGATCTAACCAAATGGTCAGCTTTGGATAAATGGAAAAGCTATGGAACTCACAGTATAGAGAGAAAGATGAGAGATGAACAATAGAGAATTAAAGAAACATGTAGTAGGAAGACAGAAAAATATTTTCCTTCTGAAATTTATCGTGATTATCAACTCCCACCAAAAAATGGAAGTGGAACTCTCTTATTAGGGAGGAGGAGGATGTCTTATCACACTGACATTGCAGTAAATAGCTTACAATATTAGAAAAGAGTCAGGAATTGATTTACTAGTTTCATGATGGAGATAATAGCAATGATGACATTGTTGTGATGGTGATGGTTTATTTTTCAGCCAAACAAGTTATTGAGCTGGCTGGAAAACAGCAAACCACCTTCACGGATCTTGTGGCCCAATTAGGCTTGGCATCTGCTCTGAGGCCAGATGGAGAATACACTTTGCTGGCACCTGTGAATAATGCATTTTCTGGTATGTGCTGGACACTGTTGTTCCTGCTCTCTGCCTACACACCTTTTTTTCTTTATGATGATTGTTTGCAATAAGAAACAATAAATGTTTTAGGAGGTGTTGATTAGTTTCTGCATTGGCTACACATACAATGTGTTAACACTACATGGTCTCTACTAAAATGTTCTTCATTTCTAAACATTTCATTATAATGGATAATAGCCTACAGAGAGTGAAATTTGTAATTTGTAATTAAGACTATTCAGGCCAGGCGTGGTGGCTCACACCTGTAATCCCAGCACTTCGGGAGGCCAAGACAGGCAGATCACTTGAGATCAGGAGTTTGAGACCAGCCTGGCCAGCATGGTGAGAACCCATCTCTACTAAAAATACAAAAATTAGCCAGGTGTGGTGGTGCACTCCTGTAATCCCAGCTACTCGGGAGGCTGAGGCAGGAGAATTGAACTGAACCCAGGAAGCAGATGGCACCACTGCACTCTAGCCTGGGCGACAGAGTGAGACTCCGTCTCAAAAAAAAAAAAAAAACGAAACTTAAAAAAAAGCATATTTAGTTTCTCTGTGAATCTAATATTTCCAGCACAATAAGGATGCATTGACAGATCTCTAAAAAAATAAAACTGATTTCTTTATTTGATACCAACATAATAATATTTAGAAATAAATAGGTGTGTTTTGCATCTCAAAATTTGGACAGTAAGGGTGTCAAATTATAAATAAATAAAATGAAGAGACTTATACACTTCCATATCATGATGTAAAATAGTATATATAAATATTTCACCTAGTAGTTGCTATTCACAGACCATGTTCAGATTCATGCAACCTTCGACCTTTCTCAGGAAAATGATTTCACAGACATATTTAAATTGTTAGGCAACATTTATTAATTAAAAATAGGTAACACAATTTTTTGTTTTTCCAAATGCTAAATTGTGATATAAAAACTATTAATCAAAAAAATTGAATTCCTAGATATCCTGACTTTCTTCTTTGTAATAATCCTGCCCATGTGTTTTGACAATAACCCATATTTAAGAGGTTGTTTGCTTTGATTCTCTTTCCAGTAATCAAGATTAATTTACAAAGGATTCATCAGTAGTTCTTTCATGTGACTAACAGATATCTAATTATCAGACAAAGCCTTGGCCACCATTAAGGTTTAGCATTTGCCAGTGACCACTATAAAACTATGTAGCCCTTACAGAGGTGAAACTCATTGATTGAACTGGTTGGAACTGTATTATTGTCATTTAATACAATAGGTCACAGAGTTTCTACTTGGTGAATTGAATTGTTAGTTTTTAGCATTTGGTTGATTCATGTATTATATGAGTGCAAAATCCATGATATCAATAATGTCAGGGATTATCTGTTTATATGATTCTGTCTTACCGGGAGAAACTTCAATGTTTTCTAAATAAAATAATGCTCTTTCTTAATGAATTTATTTACAGATGATACTCTCAGCATGGATCAGCGCCTCCTTAAATTAATTCTGCAGAATCACATATTGAAAGTAAAAGTTGGCCTTAATGAGCTTTACAACGGGCAAATACTGGAAACCATCGGAGGCAAACAGCTCAGAGTCTTCGTATATCGTACAGTAAGTGAATCACAACAAAATAAAAAGTCTGTCAAATGACATGTCAAATAATGCTGTTTCAATGAATATTTCACAGAATTTTATGAGTGTGGTTCTAATAGTAAATATTCATAGAAGCATCAGGGAACTGGGTAGCTTGGGTGAAAAGACTGTGAGCAAAGTCCACAACAAGTGCTATGTATTCAAAACTCAGATAGATATTTTGCATGTGTTTCATTATGAATAACTTTCTATTCTAGAGCATCAATTATTTTAAATTCCAGAAAGCAGTAAATTTTTTAAAATAAACTTTTCCTTTGCAGAGTACTTTACAATTTTCAAGGTAATTCTGTTCTCTGCCTACACACCATTTTTCTTTATGATGATTGTTTGCAATAAGAAATAATAAATGTTTTACAAGGTGTTGATTAGTTTCTGCATTGACTACACATACAATGTGTTAGCACTATGCTGTCTCTACTAAAATGTTTTTCATTTCAAAACATTTCATTATAATGAATCAAATATGCAAGGTGATCTTATACTGTAAAATAACCAGTCAGCATCTGAATATCTTTTGAATGGCTTTCAAGATAAACCTTTATTGGCACATAGAGATTTCTGGACTCTAAAAAAGGGTTTTAATGTACTTTTTTTTTTTAAGGGACAGAATTTCACTCTGTCACCCAGGCTGGAGTGCAGTGGCACAATCATAGCTCACTGTAACCTTAAACTCCTTGGCTCCAGGGGACCCTCCCACCTCGGTCTTCTGAGTAGCTAGGACTATAGGTGCACAACATCACCCTAGTTAATTTTTTAATTTAATTTTTCTTGAGACAGGGTCTTGCTACATTTCCCAGGCTGGTCTCAAACTTTCAGCCTCCAGTGAACCTCCTACTTTGGCCTCCCAATGTGCTGGGATTACAGGCATGAGCCGCTGCACCCAGCCCTAACATACATTTTGCTGCAGGAAAATTTATAGAAATATTGCTTATCAAAATTACAGTTCAACTAATGATACGTTCAGTATTTGTCCAGATAACACGTACAGCTACAACTAAAAGACTTCACAGGAAGTCAGGCATTACCTAGAACTGAATCTGGCACATGTCAGCAGCTCCCTGCAGCTACAAAATTCCAAACATTTTTAAGTATGCATTAAATGTGCTGCACTTTAAATTTTGTATATACAAATATATGTGTGTATATATATATCACGTTCGTTCAAAAAGCTATGAATATGTCAATGATTTGACTTACAATGATGAATAGGGTCTTACAGTCAAGAAAATAAAGTAAATATTTGTGAAGATCACTAAAAGCACTAAAGTGAGGAAACCTTACAGATAGTGTTGGCCAAAAGAGGGTCTAGAGAAATAGTTCAAATCTGAATAGAAATTATAAAAAATGTAGAAGTGGGATTCCATGGAACTTTTGTAATTTATTGACAAAATTACCTGCCTGATCCATAAGGTAGCTTGACTTTTAATAAAAAACCCGGCTAGATAAGAAGTGTCTTGTGAGTTTGTGTGAGCCATTGAAAACAGAGGAAAGAAGCTGTTCCCGTGGCCTCAGACACCAGGCAACCTCTCAGAAGGGCCGATCCGGAAACTTAATTATGTAGTTACATCTATACGGGAAATTTCAAGCAAGGAAAATGACACCCCATACCTTTCTTTCCTTTCCTAGGCTGTCTGCATTGAAAATTCATGCATGGAGAAAGGGAGTAAGCAAGGGAGAAACGGTGCGATTCACATATTCCGCGAGATCATCAAGCCAGCAGAGAAATCCCTCCATGAAAAGTTAAAACAAGATAAGCGCTTTAGGTAAGCCTATTAGTGGCACCTCCACAGAGAATGAGAGCTATTGGCATATTTTTGTTTCATAGGCGGTATCCCAAAAGGCATTCAGTCTCCTATGTGGTTGAAAATGGAATTTAGAATAAAATGTTCATACAAGTGTTTTCAAAATTGATATATGTTTTCGCTGCTACTTTCTGGTACACCGTTATATGATTTCATGTGTGAAAACAAATCTAACAGACTAAACTACTTCTTGACATTTTTCTTATAGTTTTTAGAAATTGATGGTATATATAGCAAAGACTATCTTGTAGAGTATTACATGATAAAAATGCTTCTTTTTTGTTATGTGTGACCTTGTCAAGTTTTATAGGATGAAATCAGATGAAAAAAATTAAAAATTGTATTGTATATTTCAGTCATTTTTCATGATAAAACTTTTAACAGGTAAATTGTATTCGAAACATATGAAAATGTATGAGCAGTTCTCTCATGCTTTCCACAATACATGGATTCTATTCTATTACATGCACTGTAGGTGAACATACCTAAATCTAAATCTGACAAAATACATATACATTCTTCCCACTTAGCACCTTCCTCAGCCTACTTGAAGCTGCAGACTTGAAAGAGCTCCTGACACAACCTGGAGACTGGACATTATTTGTGCCAACCAATGATGCTTTTAAGGGAATGACTAGTGAAGAAAAAGAAATTCTGATACGTAAGTGGAAGTGAATTCCAGATATTTTCCCTTTCATTTCAGGATCTCACTTCTTTCTCAAGCTTTCCTGTCCAGATGTCTGCCTTAAAAATGCCCCCTCTCTGGTATTCATGGTTAGCTTTAGTTTCCTTTTATTTCGTCCACTTGGGATGTGTGGAGGGTCACTCAGTAATGTTCTTAAACTGTGAACTGTTATGTTGTTGGGCTAGATGTTCACTTATGTGGTTTCTATTAAAGACCATGTAATCAGGGGACAAAGAAGAAAACAGTTATAATTTAGAAAATAAATAGATTTTTTTCTCCCAGTAAGTTGGGTTCTATTTTGATTAGGCTAATTGAAATAACTATGTTTTGAAATAGCATCGATATCTACTTGAGAGAATAATGATATTATGAGAAAGTACAATATGGAAAAAGATAAAGACTAATAAGTGTTTTGTTTCTTAGTCCTTATCAAAAAGTCATATTATTCAATAAAAATAAACATATATTTTCCCCTAGGGGACAAAAATGCTCTTCAAAACATCATTCTTTATCACCTGACACCAGGAGTTTTCATTGGAAAAGGATTTGAACCTGGTGTTACTAACATTTTAAAGACCACACAAGGAAGCAAAATCTTTCTGAAAGAAGTAAGTTGTCTAGAATGAATTTATGATAGTGTTCATCCATCATTAAGTTATCTAAATATTCATCCTTAATGAAATTTCCTCATTGAAATTGCCTCCTATTTTGATAGGTAAATGATACACTTCTGGTGAATGAATTGAAATCAAAAGAATCTGACATCATGACAACAAATGGTGTAATTCATGTTGTAGATAAACTCCTCTATCCAGCAGGTTTGTAATTATTGAACTCATTGATAGGCTAAGTCTTTTTTTAATATGAACCTCGATTTTTATTTTATGCTTTCTTACCAATATTCATTTAATATTTCTCTTCATAGACACACCTGTTGGAAATGATCAACTGCTGGAAATACTTAATAAATTAATCAAATACATCCAAATTAAGGTACTAAAAGTTACTTGATTTATTTCTTTTTTTTTTTTTTTTTTTGAGATGGAGTCTCGCTTTGTCGCCCAGGCTGTAGTGCAGTGGCATGATCTCAGCTCACTGCAAGCTCCGCCTCCCATGTTCACTCCATTCTCCTGCCTCAGCCTCCCGAGTAGCTGGGACTACAGGCGCCCACCACCACACCCAGCTAATTTTTTTTGTATTTTTAGGAGAGATGGGGTTTCACTGTGTTCGCCAGGATGGTCTCGATCTCCTGACCTCGTGATCCACCCGCCTCAGCCTCCTAAAGTGCCAGGATTACAGGCGTGAGCCACCGCGCCTAGCCTAAAAGTTACTTGATTTATTTCTAATATGTAGAACATATATTACAGGTTTAACATAACAGGCTAGAAATGTACGCATTAATAAGTAAGTATGTACTGGGCTTGGATTACTCTTTGTTGTTTATGTACCACTGACCCACCTGTAAAGAAATGGCATCATTTCTTCATGGTTTTGTTCAACAAATATCTATTAAAAGCTACTCAGGACCAAGTATTGTGTAAAGTGTTATGAAAAATATGTATTTAAATTGGACATGTCTTTATTCAAAAAGTTTACAGTCCAATTTAGAAAAATAAAATGGTACATAAATGACTAAAATCGTTGTATCATTCAATACTTTCACTGCAGAATATAAAGGAAAGAACATTCACTTATAAAAAATTGTCACTCATCACAGATTAAAGGGAACGGAATATTTTTCTTCTTTTTCAATGTAGGGTAAAAGTAGCAGGAAACATAAAATTGTGTTTCATAAATATATTTAACTTTGGATTAATTATTATATAATTTTTAAATCTCTGAGTAATGAATCCAATGATTTTTATGCCCTCTGACCTGATAGCATTGAATTGGAAGATGATTTATATGAGGACTTCACTTCTATTAAGTGTAATAATAGCTTCACTATTTTTACTTTAATAAGAATTAAAGTGGTGCCATGGTTTTGTTAACACAACTATCACCTTTCATGTTACTAAATATAAACATTTATTTTCAGTTTGTTCGTGGTAGCACCTTCAAAGAAATCCCCGTGACTGTCTATAGTAAGTATATAATAAATATTGGCCACCTGGGTGGCAAGGTATGAAAAAAGAAAACAATACATTTCTTTGTATTTACAGAGATTATTGATAATCTGGTATTTAGAATTCCAAACTATGGCCAATCTCATTTCACTTGAAAAAAGGATTGAGGTCTCAGATAACCTTCAACTCCAATGAACTTCTTCCCCACTCATTGGAAAAACAGAAATGATATGACATGAGAAAGACAGCAAAATATAATATTAGCGTGGCAAAGAGCCAGGAAAATAAAAAGACATATAAAGGGAAGAGATGGCGAAAAGACCCTCTAGAAATATCTAAAAATTCAGATGTGTGGACACAGAAATGACCTTAGCCAAGACTTGTTGTTCACGCCACCCTCAAGCCCTGAGCTATCTAAGGGCAGGCTGAGAAGCACGTGTTGAAGAATACCAATGTTTATAAGGTGGCAGTTCAAAAACTCTCCCATCCAAAATTGGACAAAGGAACAAAAAAATCTGCCATGTGACAAATTTAAAGTTTCCAAATTCCAGGGTTCTTTGATCTCTGACACAACCAGATTATCAAAATTAAACCTCTACTACTTAACAATGATAAAGGGTATTTCATTCTCATAAGTGTAGCTAGTAGTATATCTTTTCCATCATGGCTTTTTCTCTGTTTATCTTTTCTCTCTTTCTTTATTTCACTGTAGCTTTCAAGCAGAAATTCTTTTCATTTTGTTTTGGCTCTGTAATTAAACACTCAAAGTGTATCAGTAGCTAAAACATTACTTCAATACCCACATTTATTCTGGCTAGAAAATCATTCCATTTTATACCATGAGCATCCAGTTATTTAATTAAGAAAATTTCCCTTAAGATTTATACTAGATATGGAAAAGGAGTAAAGCCAATGTAAGGAGCAAAACAAAATGTCTGCTGCTGTTGTTGATTTCAATTATGCAATAATAACATGCAATTCCAGGATCAGGCCAGCTCAGCACTGTATTAAAGATTTAATTGGAATAGTTATGATTCACCATGGGAATACAATCTTGTAAAAAATATGTTTTCTGAAAATTAAGCAATCCTTATGGGCTCTATTCATCAGACATGTTATGTCATCTTTCTTCATCAAAGGTATAAATATATACATATGCATATATATATATACACATTCCCACTACATTTCTTTAGCTTCCCTTCTTTATCCATCTTAGTTTCACTACTTTCTATATATGTGAATGCAATATCTTGATTACAATGAGCAAAAATATAATTATTTTCTCCTACTAAATTACATCCTCACTCACAGAGCATAAGCTACATTTTATTAAGACACACATGTTCAATGGTCCTTCCCTACCTACCCAGAGGCCTTGAAACAGCTCTAACATTTACATTCCAATGTAAGATGTTTCTTTTACTCCTCCTTAGACGGTATGCTGTTATTAAGAAGTATTTTAAAGTAGAAGTAAAGATAAATTAAACCAAATTTTCTATTTTTATATTTCGTTGTTGACTTGTTTCTAAAATTCCTATAATTTTTTGCTGCATATTATCCTCATCCCCAAAATAACATCCATTTTAAAGTGTATAGTTGAGGGGAAGGATGCTGTTTTTGGTATAAGTTGTCAAATATGGAACATTTGACCTGGAGAGGGCTAAAATCAATATTTAATCCTCAGAGCTTCACCTGTCAAAACTATTTAAGTCTGCAGAAAATCAAGATTGAAATGAAAACTACCAACCAGCTGAACATCCAAAACGTCAAATTCCTTAACATGATGTAAAAAATGTAAGCTAAAAGGAATTAGTCCATTTTGATAGCAGCAATAGAGAGCCCTGTGTATTCGTATTCGACTTTCATGGAAAGGTTCTTCTGTGGCAAGACCACCTGTGGAACTAGTACCTAAACACACAGATTTGTTTTATTTTAGAGCTTCACAATTTGAGATCTCAAAATACAAAACCTAATAAGGCTGAAACACAGGGTCTATGAAGGCTAAGAACCCACATTAATTCAAAAAGTTGACACAGCTAAACATCTTACAAGCATGAGGTGAGAACTGCAGAAACCAAAGCTGTGCTAACATCTCACCTCTACTGCTTTGATGTGATCTAGATGCACAGTTAGCTTCAGTGTGGCCCGTTATCTAATAGAACCATCTTTCAAGGCTTTTCATTAGAAATGACAAAAAGCCAGTTGCTCTGGCTGTGTGGCTTCAGAGGCACATTTCCAGTTAATCAGTACAACCAAAGTCAACCAAATAGTTGACTGGTATTTAATTTATTTTAATTTACTTTTATTATAGATCTAGGGGGGTACACACGTAGGTTTGATAGATGGATATATTGAGTAATGCTGGGGTTTAGGCTTCTAGTGAACCCATCACCCAAACAGCAAACATAGTACCTAGTTCAAAGACTATTATCTTACTTAGGTAGACGACACACGTTTAAAATATATACCTTTAAATTAAAAAAAAAAAAGGATAGTGATAACAAAGCTGAAAATTAAAGACATTTTAGCCTATAACTTAAATACTGATCATATCATGTTTGTTGAATAGAGCTCATGTCTGGCTGGCTGAAATTTATTCTTACTTTTAAGTATTCTGAACTATGTTTCATTTTTTCCTTTCTATGTCACTGTTATCAGATGCATGAAAAACATTTTAAAAGCCTTTTTCTTTCATTTTTTCTTTTAATTGAGAAAGAATCCAGCAATGCAATTTAAGATATTATGAATTGCATGACATTAATCATATTTGTCTTCTGTTGCAATGCAGCCAGTATTTTCAAGAAGTACAAAAGAAGGTAAAGCGCTTTAGCGGTACAATTAAAAATTACAGATTTCTAGATATAATTCCTCACTTTGTGAGTATATATTTCACTAGATCAAATTCAAGTCACTAGACTTCAGAGTTCAACACCTGGACATGAGAAGATATTATATTATGTACCATAAATATTTCCTGTATCTGACTGCCTGAACATATTACCACATCCTGTGCCTTAGTATCCTACAGAGACAAAAAAGAAAAGGAAAAAAAAAAAAAACCTTTGTTCAGGTTTTTATGTAAATATTTTTCATGTTCCACTTTCTATACTTTCAGCAACTAAAATTATAACCAAAGTTGTGGAACCAAAAATTAAAGTGATTGAAGGCAGTCTTCAGCCTATTATCAAAACTGAAGGTAAAAATCAATGTTATACATGGTTCCTTTTATAGTAAAAACATCTGTAAAAATACTGATCTCTATGAATGTATCTACATTCTTTTAAAAACTAACATGTTAAATGTTATATAACCAATATTATACCAATGGCATGCTCATGTAATTGCAGAATGCGGAGTGCAAATTATTTAGCAAAGTAGATGATGCATTCCTAATACTTTCAGTACATTTGCTTGTACTTGATTTAATTTGAATCTAATTGGCATTGCATTAACTTAGTATACAGATACTCACTAAACAAAGACATGAGTTTTTTTTACTTTAGTCAGACTCCTACAGGCTGTATACTCTTTATGTTGCTTTGTTTGCAATCTCCCACATGTTCTTTCTTATAACAGTGCAAGAAGCTCTTCCAAAAAAAAAAAGTATAGGCATTTTTCATTGTGTAACATAAGATAGCATAGAAGCTATGTTTACTGAAAGCTTTTAAAATTACAACCACGCATGAGATATTTTTTAATTAGACCATCAGAATTATAAAACAAAATGAGTAGTTTATGCAGTGAATTGATTTTTAAAATACTTAATTCCAGCCCTGAACATATTATTACATACAGACGTATATATTATACATGAGATATATATAATACAGACACACACACACATTCTCTCCTGATGTTTCAGACTAGAACATTAAATAAGCAGTTACTTTTCTCTCTACTCCCACTATGTATGTTAGCCAACTTCAACATCTTTGATGTTACTTTCATTTCATGTATTTTAATTATGTCCAAGGATCACAATTTAAATTTTTTAAGATTTCCATGTATAAGCATCTTAATGTAGCAACTTACCCAGAGAAAAGAACTAGTTATCTCCTTTGTGCTATAAGAAAGCTAGAAACAGTCTTCCAAAAAGAGAACAGATTATATCTTTGATGGAATCTTTGGGAAACTGTAATTATACTTATGTTTGGTTTTGCTATTTCTTTTGGTGGTTTGAGAAGGTAACTTCTTGAATACTTTTATCTATATTTTTTAAAGTAAGTCATTAATTTAAATTTATACACTGAAAATACATAGGTAAAAACTTATTTCCTAGCTAATTAGTTATCTATATTAGTATTTATTCTTGAGACTTAAAATTGAGTTATTCTTTGAAATCTATCCTTGTTTTTTTCTTGAAAAAAATACTATAATTATAATTATTTAATCGACTTTCTATAGTGATGAAGACAATTCGGTATTTTAAGAAGAAATTAAATCAGAAAGTTTTGTTGAAAAAATGTTCCTTGATCATTGTAATAAAACATGACACAATGATCTTTGATAATACAATTGATTTTAAAATCAAATCTTGTCCTGTTTTTAAAAATCAGATTCCCTAAAATTTTGCACTATAATTGTGCACAGCTTCTTTACCTGAAATTATTTACATGTGCCAATGTTCTTATTTTCAAAGATTCTTCTCCTTTGAAGCTTCTTTATTCAACTTATTTATCTCCTCAATCTTTGTCAGTAGGATTCTATCCTACTAATCTTTATTCAGTTAAGATCATACTGGCGGGTCATCTCTACATGGCTTCTTCTTATAAAGGGAACATGGATGAAAAATGGAGTTGTGTCACCTACTCATTAATAACTTGAGTTCAGAAATTACACTCCTGTGTAGCATAATGAAGGAAACAAATATTTATCTTAGTAGTAATTTACAATGGTCCAGCTTCCAGGATTGCTACTGGCATTTCCTTCTTACTATTTGAACAATTACAGATTTATTGATGACTTTTAAATTCTTACTAAATGAATTAAACTCCAGGACACAATTTTAAGGTGTCTCTTATAAAAGATACATAACAGCATTTTGGAATTAAGAATAAATCAGCTAAAATTCAATTCAACAAATAGTTATTGAGCAGCTATTCTGCTGGGTACTTTCTGAGGTGTTGGGAGTAAATAGGAAAACAATTTTGAGAAAATCTCTTCTTTTATAGAGCTTAACTATAAAGGATGTTTCCAAAATTTCAGTTTGGCTTTTCTAAAGAAATATTGATTTAGATATTTTATTAACGCATTTTTGGTTCTTAAATTCCTTAGGCGTCCTTTCTTTTGAAGTTACCGCACCTTAAAAACCTGGCTTTATGTTTTGTGCTCAATATCCCTTGGCCTTATATATCAAATATTATGGCATGAAATACTTATGGTTTCAAAAAACTTTACTTTTATTTTCATTATTTTGGATTGTTCTAGGCTGGTTTCGTTTTGGTAATCATGTACATTGACAATTTCTGAACAAGCAAAAAAAAATGCTCTCAAAGATAAGCAAGCAACAGTTGCATTCCACTATTGAAGGCTATTACAGTATGAGTTAAATGTACTGAACTTATTTTTCTTACTCCTCTGTGAAACAGTCTTAATTAACTAATGTAGTAAGCAGCTTTCTAACCTTCAAAATGATTTTCTGTGGTAGCAAAATCATTTTGCAAGTCAAATGCAACACTAGTTTATCTTTTGCATTTGAAGGACTGTTTAACTATTAACTGGTTAATTGTGTATCATTCCCATACAGAAGGTAAGTACTCAAATTATTTTCCTCATAAAACCTGACATTCAGCATCTTAAAGGTAGGTATACATTTGGTACTTTCTTATGTTCACTCCTATACCCACTAGATCAAAAATATAAGGTACTGAGTGATTTTAAAACTTAAATGAAAAATTTTAATAAGGAAAAAGTAATAGACAATATCAGTATGATAAAGTGGGATCTACACCAGTTATCAGAGAAACACAAATGTGTACATACTGCATGATCTGCAAAGTGTAGCCACATATAATATTTTGCATAATCATACTTTATAACTACGAATAAACAGATGGATTTATCCATCTGTTTAAAAGCTAAAGCAGATGAAAGTAATTTTAGTAGCACACAAACAGACTAAATCATTTGTTCTCATAACTCTTGTCTAATTTGAAGACAATGGGAAATATTTAAAAGTGATTTCATAGAGCCTGAAACCACTTTGACATTTGAGTTGAGTCACACCGAATGTTGAAATAAATGTCCTATTCCGGTAAATTTAAAGGACTGTTTTAACATGATAATTTGTCTCCTAAAATAATGTCCCAGGACCCACACTAACAAAAGTCAAAATTGAAGGTGAACCTGAATTCAGACTGATTAAAGAAGGTGAAACAATAACTGAAGTGATCCATGGAGGTGCGTTCCTTATGTTACCTGGGGCCGACTACCTTCGCTGTGATTATTTTGAAATAGTGTTGGTTTAGAAATATTGAACATCTGATATTTTCTCTTAGTTCTTATTTTATAAAAATTGTGGGAATTATTTCCTCAGCTATGAGTTCTTATTAGCTGGTCAGAAATAAAACATAGTTAGCTTTTAATGGATCTAGTTGGAATTAATTTATCTATTAAGTCACTGGGCCCAACAAAATGTCATGATTTTTGCATATACAAGTGAGGATTGTGGAATAAAATTGTAACATTAATGTCAGTATAAAAGGAAATATTAGAAACAGTAGGAAAAAATGACCATTGTATAAGTCTCTGTCTAATAAGCCACTCCACTACTAGGATTTATGATAGGGCTCCCATTCCAATGATATAGAACTCCCTGGATTCTCACTAAGTATTTATTCCACATCCAGAAAACAAGTATGACATGGAGAGTTAGGATGTCAAATGGCCCTCTCTCTCAACCAAGATTCAGGACATAGCTATTACCTTTTAGATCCCTATTGATATGATTTTTGGGGGATATGTTCTAAAAATGTTTATGATTGAATCTTAAATGGTAATATTTGTAGAAATATAGTTAATCATTACAATGTCTAGCTTATGGATGTATAGTCACAATATGAGGGTAAATCAAATGCATTTGTATTCCCCTGCTTTTAGAGCCAATTATTAAAAAATACACCAAAATCATTGATGGAGTGCCTGTGGAAATAACTGAAAAAGAGACACGAGAAGAACGAATCATTACAGGTAGCCATTAATTCCATACATGGATCTATGCCTAGATTATAAAGATCAAATTATAGTTAATCCCCAAATATAAGAATCATTAAAGAAACAAGTCATTTTCATAGTGATTACTAAAGTTACTTCATATTTTGGCAGATATAATATTATTCTAAATATGTAATCTATGTTTTACTCTGAATTGAAAATTTGTAGACAAATCTAAAAGCATTTGTTTTTATTACATGTATGCATACATACATGTAATATGATATACCATTGATATGATATTCCATTTTCACTTTACTGTTTGTTAATGAGTTAGAGGACCCTAGAAGAAAAGCCATTTCCTCATTTGAGCTTCCATTAATCTTAAGGTCTGTACATCTACCTGCCAAAATAGAAGCAAGTTTATACAAAGCAATTGATCAATATTTTCAGTAAACCTCATATCAGACTTCCAAACTAGCGTCCAGTTGGTCCAAATTAGCCTAAAATTCGCCGAAAATCCTTAATTCAGCTATTCTTTAAGTATTTGTTTAAACAATTAGTGAGCAAGTGTGGCTTGTGCCACCCATTTATGGAAATAAAGTTTTATCGGAACACAGTCTTTCCCATCCATTTATATAATACCTAAGGCTGCTTTCACACTGAAGTATCAGAGTTGAACAATGGCAACACAGACTACATGGCCCACAAGTGTAAAATACTTACTCTCTGTCACTTCGCAGAAGAAGTTTGCCTACTTCTGTTTTAGACCTTTTTCATTGTCCTTCTCATAGGTCCTGAAATAAAATACACTAGGATTTCTACTGGAGGTGGAGAAACAGAAGAAACTCTGAAGAAATTGTTACAAGAAGGTCAGCATTTCTAGGAAAATAAGAATGTGACTTTACCTAAGCTATCCATATACAAGTCTAAAATAACATTCTACATGTTTTCTACTCTATCTCAATCTATTGTTCATTTCCATACCAACAAGAAAAAAGCACAAGAATAAGGAATTAAGCATAAATGGCAGTCATATTTTTTATACAGTATTTTGTTCAACAACTTTATAAGAATATTAGTATGTCAGAAAACAGCACTAAAATTTGTGAAAGAATCGAGTGTTGGGCTGGAATTCATTATTGGGCAGATGCCATTATTTATGACATAAAGTCTGCTGTCTTTATTTTGTTATATAAACCAATTTCTGCTATAAACATGTATCCTCTCAGAGGTCACCAAGGTCACCAAATTCATTGAAGGTGGTGATGGTCATTTATTTGAAGATGAAGAAATTAAAAGACTGCTTCAGGGAGGTTAGTAAAAGGACAACAACTAACCCCCTTAACAGGTTCTAGTGACTGAGTTCAACTTTTTAAAGACTGAGCAAGCAGATTTTTTCTTTTAATTGGGTTAAAAAAAAAAAAGACAACATCCACTGTTGTCTTAATAGATGGATTGGTTCAATGGTAGTTAATAGTTATGAAGAAATGATTACTAGTTTAAACAGTCTTTAAAAAGTTCTATGGTATAAAGTTTGGGGAGCAATGAATATTTTTTTTGCTTTGATTCAGATAATTTTAAGGGCCTTTTAAGTATGCAAAAGGGAAATAATTGTTAAATTGCTAGCTGTTAAACAAGCCCAAATTTGATATACTTTTTATATTTAAAAAATTATATTCACTGCCCCCATAAGAGCAATCAAGGCATGTCTTTAAATTCTATACATAGATATAGCCAAAAATAGTGCATTTAGTAACATTCTTTTCCAAAACTATATTCTTGGGAATGAATATCTGTTTCTTCTAACAGTTTGAGTGATAATCTATACCTGTAGATATAAGTTATTTTGCATATAAAATTAATCTTAATCTTTTATGGAATGTTCTCTGTCTGTGGCATTAAATGAACCTTAAGAACAAAAAAAAAAGAATTCAAAATCTTACACAAACCCTACATAGTAATTATTCAAAGATGTTGTTTATATAGATACATAATTTGTATCATTGGCATTTGAATAAACAAATTTCTACTTCATTTTTTAACAAGGAAAGAATTAAGCTGAAAAATTATTTTTTGTGAAACATGTATTTATATTCTTTAGAAAAACCAAATAGGCACTTTGAAATATACTATTAATTGAGAAACATAACTGAAGTTTGATGTTTATCCAAAACACAGTCCAGATGGCTTTTCAGCTTATACTTTTTA
This sequence comes from Homo sapiens, assembly GCF_000001405.40. Taxonomy (NCBI): domain Eukaryota; kingdom Metazoa; phylum Chordata; class Mammalia; order Primates; family Hominidae; genus Homo; species Homo sapiens. The sequence goes on along the minus strand of NC_000013.11, from coordinate 37,568,404 downwards.
AAACTGTATCACTATGTCCAAGAAAATGTAAATTATCTTGGGACTTTCTATATTTTTAGCAATTATTATTTCTATATTCTGTAGTTTAATAAACGTAAAATCTCTTAAATAGTATTTAGAAACTTGTCAGTGATAGTTTAAAAATTTTTAATTCAACCAATGATTGAATTTTCCCTCAATAGAAATATATATGTCTGAAAAATACAAGTTTCCTCCCAGAATTCTAAGAGTACATAGCACAACAGAGCCATAACGGAACCAAAGATTCCTGTAGGATCTAACAAAGAATTCACTATCTACCCCTAAATGCTCAACTGTCTGCTAGGAAAAAAATCTAAGGATTTGAGGGAAGAGACAAACACATTATGAAGATTAAATTGAATTCTTTTTTTTTTCTTTCAGTCCTTGCCATAGTAAGCAGCTTTGTAGAATGGTAGTGCTTTTTAGGGAATCAATAAATTAGTAGCTGCATCAGTTTATATTGCTTTAATTCATTTAGGATTAAATTTCAGGTAAGTATATTTTCTTCCCCTTTGATAAGCCCCTGTTATTGAGGCCACTATGAAAAATCCAGTTAAATACTAAAGAATTGCTTCAGCCAAGAAAACATATAACTGCTACAAGTTAAGTATATGACATTCAATTTTTAGTTAATGAACTCCTTTCTTAGCTCTTGCCTCTGATCATCCCAGAAGTTTATTCCTTTAGTTCCCAGTGTATGATCTCTCTACATATCTGTAAGGCATCGGTTTTCACAATGCCACGTCAACTATTATAGCATTGTGAAAAAACAAAAAAAATTAAAAGTTTTTATCAAATCATTTCTCCAAGGTTTTGCTTTTTGTAGGAAAAACACTATATGCGGTAGAATTACTAGTACCAGCATTAATTGGACATGCTTGTTTTCTTTTTTCCAGCTATCTAAAACCATCAGGTCATTACTGAGTCACAAGTATCCCCTTGTCTAGATCCTAAAAGGCATTGATAAAAGAAGCTAGTAAAGATTACACTATGTAAGACTTTTTTTTTTTCCAAGGTCTGGCCAATTAATACATATCTGAACCATGCTCTTCAACTCAATAAGTTCTACCTAAAACTGAATTTTCTATCTAAACAGTTCATATCGTATACATTGTGGTACATGTAGTACATTTTTTTTTTTTTTTTTTGAGACGGAGTCTCGCTCTGTCGCCCAGGCTGGAGTGCAGTGGCGGGATCTCGGCTCACTGCAAGCTCCGCCTCCCGGGTTCACGCCATTCTCCTGCCTCAGCCTCCCAAGTAGCTGGGACTACAGGCGCCCGCCACTACGCCCGGCTAATGTTTTGTATTTTTAGTAGAGACGGGGTTTCACCGTTTTAGCCGGGATGGTCTCGATCTCCTGACCTCGTGATCCGCCCGCCTCGGCCTCCCAAAGTGCTGGGATTACAGGCGTGAGCCACCGCGCCCGGCCATGTAGTACATTTTTTGTACTTTTGGTAATTTGAGTATATTTCTCAATCATTTAAGTCATGACTATTAACATGGCTAACTGGTACTTTGAGTACTGATGTTGTGATTTGTCACTGATACACTTCCAAGACCTTAACTGAAAAAATTTCTCATTAAATGCATAAAATTTTTGGGCTTACCTTAGAATTATGCATTCTGAAACGACTCAAGCAATTAAAGGAGAATAACAGACTATGTCGAAAGGAACAACAACAAAAAGTCATTTTTGAAGGTTTTCGCAAATCTGCCAACATAAGAGGTTAAGATTTGTAACCTCTATAGAGAATAGTAGATCGAGTTGTAGGTCTGCATTCAGTCTGAGCCCCAACTCAATCCCAAATTAGTTGACTCTTTTCTTGCTTGTTTCCTTCATCTGAAAGTGAGGATAGTAGTGATACCTACAGTCTAAATAAGTTAATATATGACAAGCTCTTAGAACAATGTTCAGCACAAAGTAAGCTGTCATCAAATGTTACTGTCAATCATCAATTGACATTAACATGGTCAATTAAGTAATGTTTCTCACCCAACTTTAAATTTCCATAGTCATAACCATGGAAACATACAAAAAACAAACATGCAAATAAAATGTCAAAATAATTGAGCTGAGTACTTTGCATGCTTTAGGAAATAAGATGTAGGGTGGTTCTTTGTGCCAATATATTCAAGTAATTGGTTTATCTTCCCATGTTTTGCTGCTCTAAACATGATCTAATATAACTCTCATTCATGTTGACATAGCAGAGAGCTGCTAGGAGTAAACCTGTTTTCTACACATTAATCAAGCTGTTCTTTCAAAGTATTTGTTTGACACATTGAATGTTTTTTATTCTGGAATATTATCACAGCAAAACCTCATTAATTGGATGCTATCAAAATTATGAAAGGAAATCTGAGTGAGCACACTTGTTTTGAAAAGAAATTGGTAAATACTTCTATGATGCAGTTTTAAGTTATACAATTAACTGCTATTTGGAATTTAATAAGTCCACTATAAGCAATGTGCCTGCACACCAATTAAAGGTTGGATCTGTCTCTTCTTGACAATTTTTTAGAAGCCATTATTTCGTTACCAAATAAACCTGAAGTTAAGAAATATTTATATTTACATCTATTTATATCTGTTGGAGAATATTTCATAACTCAGACTTGGTTGTTTTACACAGACTTCTCCCCATTATCCAACATAGTGAGATTTTTCTATAGTTCTATATTTTACTCTAGTATTAATGTGGTTTTATAAATGATTATATGCCTTATATTCTGGGGGGAAAGAAATGTGAAAATGTGCTAAGTAGACAGAAACAGAATATATAAGTTGTTTTGAATGTTATTTCTTTTTTAAAAAATTTGCTTGGTGTCATATAGCCAAAACTATTCATGGTGACAGTTTCATTGCTTACTTTTTATATGATTTCAGCGAATTGAAAACATGTATATAATAGAAAAAACTGGACTTCATGCTGAGTATAGATGATACATATAAAAGAAGTCAAAATTTGGAGAAAAAATTTAAAAAGATAAGTAGAAAAATGAAGTAACTGTAGAAACCATACTTACTCTTTGATCTCAAATGCCCAAAAACTGAATGAAAATGTGAATTTAGGCCGACCAGGTAGTCTTGTCAATAAACTAAAAGAAAAACAGGAAAATTGAGAAATATGTTACAACTATAACAACACAAAACAGCATAGTTTTGAAACACTTGCAGTTCTTAAATATAAAAGCTTTTATTAGTTAATTTTTTAAAAGGATCTCATAGGATTGACACTGAATCAGGTTGGGAGGTGGAACAAGGGTGATGGCATATTCTTTCTGAATTACTTATTATAACATTTCTAGAATCATTAGGTCAGTGCTACTTTGTTGTCGTCAATGTACAATAAAGGAATCACAAATTGATCTTAGTGATAATTTTACAGAGGCAGACATTGCACATAGGTATGACTGCAAAAATGGGTGGCTAACTCTGGGAAGATACTTGTGTTAAACTTTATATGACATTTAATAACCCTTCATCATAAGGCAATGTTTTTTACAAAAAGATTGAAAAAATCATGTAAGTCATTTACTCTGCAAAAATGGCACATTAGGTGGGGTTCCAAAATCCATAATGAAACAATGTGTTTTGCAACTAAGAAACATTCATTATGATATATGGAAAACACTGTCTGTCTACTTGTCCTTTACGAAAAAATGTAAAACTCTGAGGATCATAAAATTTAACTACTAAAAATAATCTTCGTGTTTAAGTGATACTTATTTAAGACTTTACACTGTTCTGTTTAACCATGGTCTCCTGTCTGATTTTAGCCATAATTGCGAAGTATTTCTAACTACAACAATTTAATTTTAGACACACCCGTGAGGAAGTTGCAAGCCAACAAAAAAGTTCAAGGTAAGTGTATTGGCTATAGTAATGTGTGTATATGGCCTCTTTTGTTACATGAAGAGAAATCAAACAATAGGAAAGATTTTAAAGTATTTTATTGAAACTTGTTATCGATCAGAGAGAAAAGCTAGCCAGTTTTGATGAAAACAATTTTGATAACAATCAGAAAATAAATTTCTCATGTTCTATACTATCAGAATCTAATAACAAATATTAAGGGAAAGGTCAACATACTCATGTAAACTGCTAGGCATATTGAACCCTTGAGATAGACTCAAGTGTATATTCTCCATACATATATATATATATATATATATATATATATATATATATATATATATATGTAATGTTTTGTATATACAAGTATACATATAATTTTGTGTATATAAGAGTTAAGTCAAAAAGAAATTGTTGAATATCAGAGATAAACAAATGTAGATTGCAGGTGGACCTGAATCCTTAAAAATGTTATTATGTGAGACAATGCTACAGTTTGAGACATAAGTAAATAAGAAATGTATATATGCAAAAAACCATTAATATAGCTATTTACAAAATGTTCATTTAAATATGTAGATTATATATGTATATATCACATGTGCATTACAATTTATTTCATAATTACACTATGTGCATTTGCTAATTCCTCCACTTAAGTTATCTTACATTCCAATACATTGAGAGAGCAAGAATTTCCCTTGTGGAAGCTAGAGTAAATTGCAAGTTTGGAATTGCAAGTTTGGAATTTCTGGGTTAATTAGATACTAGTAGTGAAAAGGAGACACAAGGCTTATCAATGCGCTATAGGAACTTCTTACTTTAAACCAATCCAATATACAGACCTTTGAAAGTAAAAGATCAACTGCACAGATATTTTTTAACTAAAGAATGTGTCAGTAAATCTATGTAAATATCCAAATTGACACAAATTTTCTAAAGAGTTAAAATTATTAAATTTCAAATTATTATTTTATATACTTTTGATCAAAATATAATATTTGCTTCACCATAAGTTGAAGATATTAAGAAAACATAATCTAAGGTTTATTACAAAAAATAATGGCCTCTGATAGATATACAGAGAATAATATATTCTTAAATTTTAAAATTTCCTAACATTTACAGTCTATACATTCTCCTTTCTTTCTAATTAGGATCTAGAAGACGATTAAGGGAAGGTCGTTCTCAGTGAAAATCCAAAAACCAGAAAAAAATGTTTATACAACCCTAAGTCAATAACCTGACCTTAGAAAATTGTGAGAGCCAAGTTGACTTCAGGAACTGAAACATCAGCACAAAGAAGCAATCATCAAATAATTCTGAACACAAATTTAATATTTTTTTTTCTGAATGAGAAACATGAGGGAAATTGTGGAGTTAGCCTCCTGTGGTAAAGGAATTGAAGAAAATATAACACCTTACACCCTTTTTCATCTTGACATTAAAAGTTCTGGCTAACTTTGGAATCCATTAGAGAAAAATCCTTGTCACCAGATTCATTACAATTCAAATCGAAGAGTTGTGAACTGTTATCCCATTGAAAAGACCGAGCCTTGTATGTATGTTATGGATACATAAAATGCACGCAAGCCATTATCTCTCCATGGGAAGCTAAGTTATAAAAATAGGTGCTTGGTGTACAAAACTTTTTATATCAAAAGGCTTTGCACATTTCTATATGAGTGGGTTTACTGGTAAATTATGTTATTTTTTACAACTAATTTTGTACTCTCAGAATGTTTGTCATATGCTTCTTGCAATGCATATTTTTTAATCTCAAACGTTTCAATAAAACCATTTTTCAGATATAAAGAGAATTACTTCAAATTGAGTAATTCAGAAAAACTCAAGATTTAAGTTAAAAAGTGGTTTGGACTTGGGAACAGGACTTTATACCTCTTTTACTGTAACAAGTACTCATTAAAGGAAATTGAATGAAATTAGTGTTTCTTGAGTTTTTCTCTTTTTAACTTTTAAGCTCAGGGGTGTGCAGGCATGTGCAGGACGTGCAGGTTTGTTATATAGGTGAACATGTGTCATGGGGGTTTTTGTACAGATTAAGTTATATAAAGAATCATTAGACGGCCGGGTACAGTGGCTCACACCTGTAATCCCAGCACTTTGGGAGGCTGAGGCAGGTGGATCATGAGGTCAGGAGATGGAGACCATCCTGGCTAACATGGTGAAAACCCGTCTCTACTAAAAATACAAAAAATTAGCTGGGCGTGGTGGTGGTCACCTGTAGTCCCAGCTACTCAGGAGGCTGAGGCAGGAGAATGGCGTGAACCTGGGAGGCAGAGCTTGCAGTGAGCCAAGATTGCACCACTGCACTCTAGCCTGGGCAACAGAGCCAGACACTGTCTCAAAAAAAAAAAAAAAAGAATCATTAGATAATGAAGCAATCATTAAACATCAGCTGAATACTGAATATAACCCTAGGACTCTGCTAAGCTGTGAGGATTCAAAGGATGAATCAGGCACATTTACTGTCCTCCAAAGGTAAGGAGACATGTAACCAATTAACCTCAATACACCATTGGCTATAATAGTATCATAAATGGCACTACACAAGCAGGGATGCATCAATTCATTATTCCTGGGCTAGGCATGGGGGAGCCACAGAGATGTCCTTAACTTATTTGATGTAACAGAGTCCATTGCATGCCAAAGAAGAAGAAGAAATTTTTTTGCTGGGAATGATGAAAAGATTGACTTGATCAACTCAGACCTCAACAGGTGTCATTCTAACTTAGACTGACTGACATAAGAACCTTCTGGAAACAAAATCCATACTGATGAGAAACTGAATGGTGAGGGTGAAATAGAATTATACCATGCATTATAGGGCACTCACTGGGAGACTGTAAAACCTAGGAAGGCCGAACTGAAGATAACAGGCTTAGCCATAAATTGCCCACCTGAGATCAGAGAAAATCGGGCTCAGCACAAAGGACCTAGAAAGGGGCTTGGATAACTGAAAGGTTCTTGTTTGATTAGTGATTAGGGTGAGGAAGTTAGGTATAAAATTCTGAGAGTGCCATTTGCTAAAGAAGTGCTGCATAGCTTTGGTTTTTGAGAATGCCTTCTCATCTGGGAGAGTGGAGAGATTTATTTCTAACATTTAGAGACCCGCCATTTAGAGTAGAGAGATTTATTTCTACCATTTAGAAAATACCCTACTAACTCTGTGCCAATGGAGAGAATCTCAGCTGGAAAGGGTGTGGCTGTGATCTTCCCAAGATGATTCAGAAGAGGTGGTTACATAAGGTGGTACTGGTAGAATAGACTAAAATATCATCAGCATTGATGGCATGTCCCTATGTTAGTAAATCTACTGAAACAGAAGCAAAAGCCTTTATGGATGTAGCCGCAAGGCATGCCACTCCCAAAGTGACTGCTCTACAAGCTGCAACTCAGCCTCTGCCTCTTTGGTTAATTGCCATGGGGTAAAACTTTCCACTGATAATGAGAAACAGGATTTTTCTGATTAACAGGAGGCACAGAGAAAGCAAATCGAGGCTTATCCTTCTCGTACAACAATATAGCAAAAAAGCAATCCTTAAACCTTCCATTTGCACTGTATAGGTGGGTCCGCTAGATGCTATGGGTTGTGATACATAAATCTCTCTCCTAGTTGTACTTCCAAATCCCCGACCTCCTCATTTCTCCTTATGTAGAGAAGGGTGCAATTTACAGGGAATAAGCAACAGTTGCACAATATATTCTCCTGGTTCAAAACCCAAAGATCTTGTGACATTACCACTACCTGAATTTCTCCTTCATAATCCAAATCAACAACTCCTAGGCCTGTAAGTTAAGACAGCTTTTGCCCAAAATTAATCCCATGTATCCTGTTGGTAAAGGTCCTCAAATGTCAGTGTGAATCTTGGTGGGTTTGTCTCCTCCAACTAATGCAACCCGTTCTCTGACTGGGAGATCTAATTCTGTGCTTCTAGGTGTTCCTGGGGAGAGGGAATCAATGAGCCTCCGGAAACTCACCCCTGAAATGGAGTTGTGGCCTGGACGTGGACTGCCCTCATTGAAGTGTCCGGGTCCAGGCCCCCTTCTCGTTTCCCAATAGGAGGGTGCCATTTTGATGAAATTTTGAATGGCATTGATTAGCCCAATGATTTCTTTTATTGCAATGAGAGAAAAGTCATTGCAAACTCATTATTGCAATGAGAGCAAAGTCCTGGCATTTTTTCTGTTGAGAAGAGTGTTATAAGATCCCTTCTGCCCAGAGGTCTGACGGCATTCTCTTTTGAAATGTCCAATTTTTCTACACTTATAACGCTTTCCCACTTTATGGCTTAACCTTTGGCTTCTTTTAGATCTGTCAGCTACCAAATTAGCCATTGCCTGAGTCAACACCGTAGAGCGATGAAGCTCAGCTCCCACATCTTGACAAGCTGTGAGAAAACCTCCCAAGTCCTCTGCACATCTCACAGGTGCCAGTGCATGTTTACAATCCATGAAAGCCAAAGCTAAAGTTAGCCTTTCTGTAGCCACAAAAGAAGATGGTACAAGCCTCTCCTGTTCACCACTTTCTATAGGTGCTGTAAGTGGGGCAAAAAAAATTCTCTCAAGCCCTGAAATAATGACAGAAAGATGGTACATACCAAACTCCAAACAAAAAAGAGAAAAGAAATAACCAAATTCTTCCCCATATTATCCTGATTCAAAAACTTCCCATTCTTTGCACCTGTAGGGCACTGACCAGTACCTTTTTAGAGCACTGACCTTATGTTGCTGCTGACAGACTTGTAACGGGGTTTCTTATTCATCTGGTTGGTTTTAGATTTTTCTGTTCCAGCAGACCTTCCTCGTTCAAGTCCCTATAGGACCTTATCTGTCCCTATCTTTCCCTGTCTGTCCCTGCAAGTTTCTGCTAGTCTTTGCTAGTCTCTGCCAGTCTTTTACTAGTCTTTATCCCTATCTATCCCTGTCTGTCCCTATGGCCCCTGTTAGTACCTGCAAGTCTCTGTCTTTCCCTGCCTATCTCTATTTGTCTCTATTTATTTCTATTTTATCTCTATTTATGTCTATTTATCCCTACTTATCTCTATTTGTCCCTGCAGGCCTTTTCAGGTCTCTGTTTGTCCCTGATTGTCCCTGTTCAGGTGCCACTTGTGGCAGACCATCATGGTTACTACTTGAGACCATTACTACAACAGTTACCACTGTTACTACTTGAGACCGTTCATTACAACAGTTACTACTTGAGACTGTCATTACAAGACTGAACAAAGGGATGAACATAGAAATAAAAACTTAAGACAAAAGTAACTATTTCAAAGGAAGGGGCCAGGGGAAGAAGAAGAGGGCTCCCTGCTTCCAGTGAGCAAAGGCAGCTGCAGCCCCCCTGAGCTTCCACAGCCCTTTGTATTTATTGGGTAGAATGAGCAGGGAGGAGGAGGTAACGATTGGTCAGCTGCTTAATTGATCACAGGTTCCTATTATTACTAACAGGCTTCAGATGTGCCTAATCACAAGAAACACTGCGCTTGGGGCGTGACTGCCCTCAGCATTCCTTCTGAGCGGCAGACAGACAGAGTTTGTCAGTTTGCCAACATTCTGCATTTATGAGAACAGTTTGCTGTTTGCTCATATAGCCCCCAGTGGTATACTGAGTTGATCATGACCCTCAATCTTTTGGCCTCCAACACCTCCCCTGTGATTTGTTTTTAACTTTTATTTTGGATTTGAGGGTACATGTAAAGGTTGGTTATACAGATAAACTCATGTCACGGGGCTTTGTTGTAAAAATTATTTCATCACCCACGTATTAAACCTGGTACCCAATAGATACTTTTTCTGCTGCTCTGTCTCCCATCCTCCCACTTAAAGTGGATCCCAGTGTCTGTTGCTCCCTTCTTTGTATCCATGAGTTCTCATCATTTAGCTCCCACTTATGAGTGAGAACATGTGGTATTTGGTTTTCTGTTCCTTTGTTAGTTTGCTAAGGATAATAGCTTCCAGCTCCATCCATGGTCCCGCAAAATACATGCTCTTATTCTTTTTTATGGCTGCATAATATTCCATGGTGTATATGTACCACATTTTCTTTATCCAATCTATCTTTGATAGGTATTTAGGCTTATTCCATGTCTTTGCTATAGTGAATAGTGCTGCAATGAACATTCACATACACATATGTGTCTTTACAGTAGAATCATTTATATTCCTCTGGTTATATACTCAGTAATGAGAATGTTGGGTCAAATGGTAGTTCTGTTTTTAGTTCTTTGAGGAATCATCATACTGCTTTCCACAATGGCTGAACTAATATACACTTCTACCAACAGTGTATCAGTGTTCCCTTTTCTCCACAACCTCTCCAGCATCTGTTATTGTTTGACTTTTTTATAGTAGCCATTCTGACTGGTGTGAGATGGTATATCATTGTGGTTTTGATTTGTATTTCTCTAATGATCATTGCTATTGAGCTGTTTTTATATACTTGTTGGCCACCTGTATGTTTTCTTTTGAAAAGTACCTGTTCACATACTTTGCCCACTTTTTTATGGGATTGTTTTTCTCTTGTAAATTTGCTTAAGTTCCTTATAGATGCTAAATATTAGACCTTTGTCAGATGAATAGTTTGCAAATATTTTCTCCCATTCTGTAAGTTGTCTGTTTACTCTGTTGATAGTTTCTTTTGCTATGCAGCTCTTAATTTTAATCTTTGCCCATTCCTATGTCCAGGATGGTATCAGTAGGTTGTCTTCCAGGGTTTTTATAGTTTCTGGGTTTGTTTGTTTTTCTGTTTTGTTTTGTTTTGTTTTGTTTTGTTTTGTTTTGTTTTTGACAGAGTCTCACTCTGTCACCCAGGCTGGAGTACAGTGGTGCAATCTCGGCTCACCGCAAGCTCCGCCTCCCAGGTTCACACCATTCTCCTGCCTCAGACTCCTGAGTAGCTGGGACTACAGGTGCCCACCACCACACTTGGCTAATTTTTTGTATTTTTAGCAGAGACAGGGTTTCACCGTGTTAGCCAGTATGGTCTAGATCTCCTACATTTAAGTCTTTAATGCATCTTGAGTTGATGTTTGTATATGGTATAAGGAAAGGGTCCAGCTTCAGTCTTCTGCTAGCCAGTTATCCCAGCACCACTTACTGAATACAGAGTCTTTTCCCCATTACCTGTTTTTGTCCCACAACCAACATCATACTGAATGGGCAAAAGCTGGAAGCATTTCCCTTGAGAACTGGCACAAGAAAAGGATGCCTTCTCTCACCACTCCTTTTCAAAATAGTATTGAGTTCTAGCCAGAGCAATCAGACAAGAGAAAGAAATAAAGGACATCCAAATAGAAAGAAAGGAAGTCAAACTATCCCTGTTAGCAGATGAAATGATTTTATATCTAGAAAACACCATAGTCTCAGTCCAAAAGCTCCTTCAGCTTATAATTTCAGCAAAGTTTCAAGATACAAAATTAACATACAAAAATCAGGAGCATTCCTATACAGCAACAATAGCCAAGCTGAGAGCCAAGTCAAGAAGGTAATCCCATTAATGATTGACAGAAAAAGAATAAAATAATTAGGAATACAGCTAACCAGAAAGTTGAAAGATCTTACAATAAGAATTACAAAACACTGCTCAAAAAAATCAGAGATGACACAAACAAATAGAAAAAAACATCCCATGCTCATGGATAGAAGGAAACAATGGCTCACACCTGTAATCCCAGCATTCTGGGAGGCCAAGGCAGGCAGATCACCTGAGGTCGGGAGTATGAGACCAGCCTGACCAACATGGAGAAACCCTGTCTCTACTAAAAACACAAAATTAGGCTGACATCTAATTTTGGGATTACGGTGGCTCACACCTGTAATCCCAGCACTTTGGGAGGCCAAGGCGGGTGGATCACAAGGTCAGGAGATCGAGACCATCCTAACACAGTGAAACCCTGTCTCTACTAAAAATACAAAAAATTAACTGGGCATGGTGGTGGGCACCTGTAGTCCCAGCTACTCGGAAGGCTGAGGCAGGAGAATGGCATGAACCCAGGAGGCAGAGCTTGCAGTGAGCCGAGATCATGCCACTGCACTGCAGCCTGGGTGACAGAGCGAGACTCCATCTCAAAAAAAAAAAAAAAAAAAAAGAAAAATTAACCAGGCGTGGTGGCGCATGCCTGTAATCCCAGCTACTCTGGAGGCTGAGGCAGGAGAATTGCTTGAACCCAGGAGGTGGAGGGTGTGGTGAGCCAAGATCATGCCATTGCACTCAAGCCTAGGTAACAGAGTGAGACTTCTTATTTAAAAAAAAAAAAAAAAAAAAAAGGGCTTACTGCCCAAAGCAATTTGCAGATTCAATACTATTTCTATTAAACTCCCAATGGCATGCTTCACTGAACCAGAAAAAAAACTATTTTAAAATTTATATGAAACCAAAAGAGAACCTGAATAGCCAAGGCCATCCTAAGCAAAATAAATAAATAAATAAATAATTTTTAAAAAAACCAATGCTGGGAGAACCACATTACTAACATCAAACTATAGTAGAGGGTTACAATAACCAAAACAACATGGTACTGATACAGAAACAGGCACATAGATCAATGGAACAGAATAAGGAGTTCAGAAATAAGATCACACACCTATGACCATCTGATCTTCACCAAAGCCCCTGTGATTCTTATAAACACTAAAGCTTTTGTTTTATTGTCTGTTTGAATAGCTATTTTAAAGTATAATTACATTACAATGAATTGAAAATATTTGTGTGCAATTTGATAAGTTTGGGCATACTATACACCTGTGAAAACCATCACTACACTCAGGCTTGTAAATATATTCATCATCACCAAAAGTTTGCTTATGCCCTTTTTAATTTCTACCTTCCTACTTCTTCGTGCCCCAGCTCCAGGCAACCACAGATCTACCTTCTATCACTAGAGATAATTACATTTTCCAACTTCTATACAAATTGAATCACACAGTATGCATAGTTTATTTTTTGTCTGATTCTACTTTCTCTTGAGTTAACATGTAATAGTGGAATGACTGGATCATATAAAATGTATATCACAAACATTTTTGGAAACTACCAGGTGATACTCCAAAGTAATTCTACTATTTTGCATTCCCACCAGAAATATGTTAGAGTTCCAATTCCTTTTACCAACACTTAACATGGTCAGTCTTTCTAATTTAACTATTCTAATAGGTATGTAATAGAATCTCATTGTGGTTTTAATTTGCATTTCACTGATGCATGTTTTCCATGTGCTTATTTGACGTTTGTGTATCTTTTATTTGTATTAATTTATTGTACAAGTGCAATTTTGTGACATGCATAGATTGCATAGGAGTCAAGTTAGGGCTTTTAGGGCATTCATCACCCCAATAACACACATTGTATCCATTAAGTAATTTCTCATCATCCTCCCCCCAATCTTCACCCTTCCAAGTGTCCATTATCTATCATTACACTCTCCATGTCCGTGTGTACAAATTATTTAGCTCCCACATGAATGAGAACACCAATATTTGCCTTTGTGCATCTGACTTGTTTCACTTAAGATAATGGCCTTCAGTTTCATCCATGTTTCTGCAAAAGACATGATTTCATTTTTATGGAATAAATAGTATTCCATTGAGTAGAAGTATTGCCTTTTCTTTATCCAATCATCTGTGGATGGACACTCAGTTGATTCCATATCTTTGATATTGTTGATTGATAGGGTTGCAATAAACATACAAGTGCAGGTACCTTTTTAATATATTGATTTATTTTCCTTTGGGTAAATACACCATAGAGGGATGGCTGGATTGAATGATAACTTTATTTTTAGTTCTTTGAGAAATTTCCATATCGTTTCCCATAGAGGTTGTAATAATTAACATTCCTGTCAATAGTGTATTAGAGTCTTCTTTCCTCTGCATCTTTAGTGATCTGTTCAAATATTTTGCCAAATATTAATTAGATTCATTTTTTAAAATTAGTATTATTGAATTTTGAGTTTCTTCTACATTTTGAATACAAATTTTTTATCAGATATGTAAGGTGAAATGTTTTCTCCAAGCATGTGAACTTTCTTTTCATTCTCTTAACAGTATTTTCAAAACACTGAAGTCAAATTTATCTCTTTTTTTTTCATGGGTTGTGTTTTTCGTGTCATTAAAGAAATACTATGTTCACTGAAAGTCACAAAAATGTTCTAATACACTTTCTCTTATAAGATTTATTAGTTTTTTCTACATTAAGTGTAATGTTAAAAAAAAGTGTTCATGGTTAAAGGAATGGTTCTTTTTTTTCTATAGGTTACCAGTTATTCCAATTCCATTTTCTGAAAAAACGATTCTTTCTCTACTGATTTGCCTTTGCATATTTATAAAAAGGGCCACATTTTTTGGGTCTATTTCTGTTACTTTATTTCTATTCTTTCTTTTTGTTCAATTCATCTATTTGTGTTTCTTATTGCAAATACCACACTGACTTGATTACTGTAGGTTTAAAATAAGTCATAAAATCAAAAAGGGTAAATCCCCAATTTCATTCATCCTTTTCAAAGTTGTTTTGGCTATTTTAAGTTATTTGCATTTCCAGGGAATTTTTACATCAGCTTGGCAATTTTCTATTTAAAAAAATAAAAATATCTGCTGGGTTAGTAATTGGGACTGTGTTGAATCTACAGATCAATTTGGCGTTAATTGAAATCTTTATAATAGTTAGTCTCCAAACCATGAACAAAACATATCTGTTAGTTTACTTAGGGTCTTCCTTATTTTCTCACCAATGCTTTATCATTCTAAGTTTACAGGTCTTCCACATCTTTAAATACTTAGGGAGAACTTGACAAAAGATGTGGAAGACCTGTAAACTTAAAATGACAAAGCATTGGTGAGAAAATATTATAAAGATTTCAATTTTTTGATGGAATTATAAATGGCATTGTTTTTATTTAAATTTCTGATTGTTTACTTTCTGTACTTTCATCTTGTATTCTGTAACCTTGTTAAATTCAAGGTTTAATTCTAGTATTAAATTAATTCTAGTATTTTTAAGATTATACAGTATTTTATACATAGATAATTATGCTGTTTGCAAATAAAGATAATTTTACCTCTGTCTCTGTGATCTGGATGCTGTTTATATTTTCCTTTCTTATCTCACAGGTTGATGTTGAATAGTGGAACAATATCGAGTAGAAGTGGTAAGAGTAGACATGTTTAATCTTTGTGATCTTAGAAAAAAGCATTCAGTCTTTCAACTTTAAGTCTGTTGTTTTCTTCCTTAAACATTTGGTAGAATTCACCAGTGAAGTTATCTAGGCCTGCAATTGTCTTTGAGGGAAGGTTTCTAAATACAAATTCTCTTTATTTAATAAATAAAGGGTTATGCTGATTACCTATTTTTTCTTGAGTGATATTTTGTAGTTTGTGTCTTTCAAGGAATGAAACTTGTCTATTTCACACAATTGTCAAATTTATTGTATTGTTCAAAATATTCCGTTATAATCCTTCAAATATCTTAGCAATGTTACCTCTCTCATTCCTGAAACTGGTAATTTGTGTCCTCTCTTATTTCCCTAACCAATCTACTAAGCCTTCAATCAATTTGTTGATTTTGTTCAAAAAACAATCGTTTGGTTTCATTAATTTTCTGCGTCATGTTCCTGTTTTCTGCTTTGCTGATTTCCACCATAATATGTGTCATGGCCTTTCGTCTACTTAATTTGACTTCAATTTGATCGTTATTTTTTAGTTTCTAAACTGTGTGTGTTTGTGTCTCATGTCTCTACATAACTTTTTGAACATATGGACTATAATTATAGTAACTGTTTAATGTCTTCTGCTAATTCTAATAATTGCGCCAGATCTGGGTAAGTTTAGTTGGTTATTTTTTTTCCCTCATTTTGCACCGTATTTTCCTGTTTCTTTTCATGCCTGGTAATCTCTGGTTGCCAAACATTGTAAATTGCCTTGCTGGGTGCTGGACATTTTTGTACTTCTATAAATATTCCTGCACTTTGTTCTAAGATTATAGTTTGGTTATGGAAACAGTTTAATTCACTGGGGTCTTGTTTTTAAGATTTATTAAGCAGAGTCAGATCTGTGTATAATCTGGAGTTAATTATTCCCTCCAATTTAGGCACGACTCTTCTTAGAACTATTCCCAATGTCCAGTGAATTATGAAGTTTCAAAATCTAGATGGTGGGAATAGGTGCTATTTAAGGCTTTATGTGAGAAATTGTTTTCTCTAATTTTTCAGATGGTTCTTTCTCTGACCTTTATTGGTTTTCTCATATGCATGTGTTGATCAGTATTCTGCTGAATACTTAGGTGAACCCTCTATGGATCTCCAGAGTTCTCTGTCTCTACAGCTCTGTCCTCTCTGGTCCTCGGTACTATGAACTCTATTTTCTTGGCCTCCTTCAATACTCAGCTCCATCTTGTCTGCCAAGATTCACCTGGATTTCCCATTCCTGCACTGCAGCCTAGGAAAAGACAGAAAGCTGGGGGCAATCACAGGGCTCATCTCACTTTTCTTTTTATATCCAAAGAATCACTGTGATTCATTGTCTGATACCCAGCATTTTGAAAACTGTTCTTTATTTTTTTTCCGGGTTCAAGCAATTCTTGTGTCTCAGCCACCTGAGCAGTTGGGAATTCAGGCACATGCCACCATGCCTGGCTAATTATTGTATTTTTAGTAGAGATGGGATTTTGCCATGTTGGCTAGGCTGGTCTCAAACCCCTGACCTCAAGTGATCCGCCCACCTCAGCATCCCAAAGTGCTGGAATTATAGGTGTGAGCCACTGCTCCCAGCCCTGTGTTTTAAATTTATTTTTGTTTTTTAAAAATGGTTTTACTCAGAAGAGAAAATATGGTCCCTGTTATTCCATTTTTCAAAAGTGCAACATCCTCTGCCATAGCATTTAGTTATATTAACTCCACTTTATAATCGTAAACTTCACCTTTACATAGGAGCAGCCAACTAGAAAATGCTAAATATAAGACGAACCAGACTGGAAAGTGTTGTAAGACACTCACAAATCTATTATAGGTAGCAGAAAAAGAACCCAATATGAGCTATCTTACAGCCAGTATCATTGTTACACAATATGCACACATAATCCAACATATACCAATTAATTATTCAAAAATGGCAGCTGAATTTAATTTATTGAGATTTATTTTTATATTCATCCAAACAGCTATTTATTTTCAATTATTGGAAAAACATTTCTTGAAGTTTCAGTACTTTTTAGTTTGTCTTGTTTTGTTTTTTGTTTTTGTTATCAATTTGTTTTTTTACATATAGGATTATTGCCTTTACTTCTGTGGGGTCTTTGTAAGGTCTTATACAACATCTGATAATACTCACTGATGAAATTTCTACAATATAATGAGAAAAGACTGGTGATTTTCTAGCCAACCTAAGTTCTGAAAAACTCTTGAAAAACTAGGCCATATGTGAATAAGAATGCTAGATGACTTTCACTTTTAGCAATAACACAATTCACTAATGCATTTTCTAAACTTTTATGAAGTCTCACAAAAAGTTATAAAAATATAGAAAAGTCTGAAAGATAAAGAGTGTATTAGTCTATTTTTTTACTCCTATGAAGAAATACCCAAGACTGGGTAATTTATAGAGAAAAAGAGGTTTAATGGACTCACAGTCCCCATGGCTAGGGAGGCCTCAAAATTATCACAGAAGGTGAAGGAGTAGCAAAGGCACATCTTACATGGTGGCAGGGAAGAGAACATGTTTAGAGGAACTACTCTTTATAAAACCATCAGGTCTCATGAGACTTATTCAGTATCATGAGGACAGGAGGGGAAAACCCACTCCTATGATTCAATTACCTCCCATCGGGTCCCTCCTAGGATACATGGGAACTGTGGGAGCTACAATTCAAGATGAGATTTGGGTTGGGACACAGTCAAACCATATCATTCCACCCCCAGCCCCTCCCACATCTCATGTCCTCACATTTCAAAACCAACCATGCCTTCCCAACAGTCCCCCAAAGTGTTATCTCATTTCAGCATTTACTCAAAAGTCTATATCCAAAGTCTCATCTGAGACAAGGCAAGTTCCTTCTGCCGATGAGCCTGTTAAATCAAGAGCAAGTTAGTTACTTCCTAGATAAAATAGGGGTACAGGCATTGGGTAAATACAGCCATTCTAAACAGGAGAAATTAATTAAAACAAAGGGGCTGCAGGACCCATGCAAGTCCAAAATCCAGTGGGGCAGTCAAATCTTAAAGCTCCAAAATGATCTCCTTTGACTCCATGTTTCACATCCAGGTCATGCTGATACAGGAGGTGGGCTCCCACAGCCTCGGACAGCTCTGCCCCTGTGGCTTTGCAGGGTACAGCCTCCCTCCTGGCCGCTTTCCTGGGCTGGCATTGAGTGTCTGTGGCTTCTTTAGGTGCACAGTTCAAGCTTTCAATGGATCTACCATTCCGGGATCTGGAGGATGGTGGCCTTCTTCTCACAGCTCCACAAGGAAGTACCCCAATAGGGACACTGTGTGGAGGCTCCCACCCTACATTTCCCTTCTGCACTGCCCTAGCAGAGGTTCTCCATGAGGGCTCCACCCCTGCAGTACACCTCTGCCTCGACATCCAGGTATTTCCATACATCCTCTGAAAACTAGGCAGAGGTTCCCAAAACTCAGTTCTCAACTTCTGTGCGCTCACAGAACCAACACCATGTGGAAGCTGTCAAGACTTTGGGACTCGCACTTTCTGAAGCAATGACCTGAGCTGTACTTTGGTCACTTTTAGCCATGACTGGAGCATTTGGGACACAGGGCACCAAGTCCCTAGGCTGCACACAGGAAGGAAGCCCTGAACCAGGCCCACAAAACCATTTTTTCCTCCCAGGTCCCTGAGCCTGTGATGGGAGGGGCTGCTGTGAAGGTCTCTCATATGCCCTGGAGACATTTTACCCATTGTCTTGGGGATTACCCTTTGGTTCCTCATTACTTGTGCAAATTTCTGCAGTGGCTTGAATTTCTCCCCAGAAAATGGGCTTTTTGTTCTACCACATTGTCAAGCTGCATATTTTCCAAACTTTTATGCACTGTTACTTCTTGAACACTTTGCTGCTTAGAAATTTCTTCTACCAGATACCCTAAATCATCTCTCTCAAGTTCAAAGTTCCACAGATCTCTAGGGTGGGGGTAAAATGCAGTACATCTCTTTGCATAGCAAGAGTGACCTTTACTCCAGTTTCCAACAAATTCCTCATCTCAATCTGAGACCACCTTAGCCTGGATTTTATTGTCCATATTACTATCAGCATTATAGTGAAAGCAATTCAACAAGTCTCTAGGAAGTTCCAAACTTTCCCACATCTTCCTATCTTCTTCTGAGCCCTCCAAATTGTTCTAACCTCTGCCTGTTACCCAGTTCCAATGTTGCTTCCACATTTTCAGATATCTTAATAGCAGTACCCCACTCTACCAGTACCAATTTACTGTATTAATCCATTTTTATACTGCTATGAAGAAATACCCAAGGCTGGGTAATTTATAAAGAAAAAGAGGTTTAATGGCACAGTCCCCATGGCTAAGGAGGCCCCATAATCATCCCAGAAGGTGAAGGAGGAACAAAGGCACATTTACATGGCAGCAAGCAAGAGAGTATGTGCAGGGGAACTGCCCTTTATAAAACCATCAGATCTCATGAGACTTATTCACTATCACAAGAACATAGGAAAACCCACCCATATAATTCAATTACCTCCCATCAGGTCCCTCCCACAACACGTGGGGATTATGAGAGCTACAATTCAAGATGAGACTTGGGTGAGTACACAGCCAAACTGTATCAAAAGGTAACTAAGAGACTTCATAAACGATAAACAATTTTATATTACATTCTTCAAGTAATTAGTGGTTGACCATAACAACAATAAACTTGGGATTATAAGAAATATTCCATATGAATTTTTAAAAAATACTTAAAGAGAAACAGAATCTACAAACAAGTATGTAAATTAAGGATCCAGCACAGTGGAAGAAATTTTAATAAGTGCTTCTTGAATAAATTTTTCCTGAAAAGTAATTTAAACATTTGGTTAACTTTAGAAACTGTTCATTAGGCCATTTTTATTACCAAAAAAAACCCAGAATTTTTTTCTTAATATGACAGAAAAATACATCATTTGATTAAAATATTAAGTCACTAACTTATTTTGCTCTAACAGAGTTCAATTAAATTTTTCCTGAAGTTCATTAATATTGCCAAAACTTGAGTTGCAATCATTTGAACTATGATTTCTGTTTGCTTCTCTTAATACAATAAAGCAATTACCTCTCACATCCTTTGTAATGATGACATCCATGTACACTCCTTGCAAAGATGGCAAATGACCTGCCAGAAACATACATTCCTGTGTAATCTCTGCAAACCCAAAGCTGCTCCTTTATTCGTGATCTTAGCTCTGGTGTAAAGAGACCTTCAAAAAATTAACATAAAGAGAAAAATAAAATCAGTGGATTTTCTTCTACTATTTCTCTAACTATATTTCTCTATCCAATTTTCTTGCCAAGCATAGGAGAAGCATTAGAACAATTAATTTATAGAGTCTTGAAAGGCTGAGGCAGAAATTAATAGTTTATACTACAATATTCATTGAATAACAAATACCTTTAATTACTAGATCTTCAACTGGAACATCTCGGTAGACACATTGGGATTCATCAAGGAAACAACTCGACCTAAGGAGAATGGAGAGGAGCAAGACAGGATGACCACCCACCTGAGAGTATCACAAAGTCAGGGGAGTCTTCCTCACCATGGGAAAATGATGAATGAGTAAGAGTCCCTGGAGACCCACAATTCTTCCATGGACCTTTGCAACCCTGAACTCAGGAGATGCCCAGTGAGCTCCCAACCAGGGGCTCCAGACCAACACAGAGAGCTATGGGGAGTCTGGGCAGAGCTGCCGCTCAGGCACATGCAGAGTCCCTGGAGCCTTGATTCCCTGGACATCCCAGAATTAGCAGCAGCAGCTCTGGCTGTGGAGGAGGACAGGTTCTCTCCCATGCCCACAGGAAAGGAACTAAATCCAGGGTCCTGAGCAGCAATGGACTGCAAGCCTCACCTCCACTGCATCTCACAGGCTAAGTCCCACCTGCCTGGGTCTCCAGCCACCAACCCTCTGGACTCTAAGCAACTAACAGCTCTGTAATTCTCTGGGATAAAGCTCCCAGAAAGAGAGGCTGGCCAGCATTTTTGCTGTCTTGCAGCCCCCGCCTCCATAGCCTTCAGGCTTGAGTAGTGATTAGGGAGAGGCGCGGATCTCCATTGCAGTGTAGCCATCCCATCGAAAAGAAGTCAGGCTATTTTTTATGTGGCTCCCAGATGGCTC
This sequence comes from Homo sapiens, assembly GCF_000001405.40. Lineage (NCBI taxonomy): Eukaryota > Metazoa > Chordata > Mammalia > Primates > Hominidae > Homo > Homo sapiens. The sequence continues at coordinate 37,547,180 of NC_000013.11, read as the reverse complement.
CTGCTTTTCCTCATGGGGCAAGACCCACCAAACTGGGACTCCAGCCACATCCCACCAAAGATCTTGGGCCAGTAGCAGCTCTGCACTTTCCTGGGACAGAGCTCTAAGAGTGAGAGGCCAGATGCCATTCTTGCTGTCTCACAGCCCTTGCCACTATACCCTGTGAGTTCTGGGGAGTATGTGGTGATTAGGCAGTGGTGTGGCTCCCAGCACAGTGCAGCCATCCCACAGAAAAGTGGCCAGACTCTTCTCCATGTGGGTTTCTGTCCTTGCTTCTCTTCACTGGGTGGGACCTTCCAACTCCAGCACAATTCCCTTACTCCGCCTTGAACACTTCAGTCAGAAGCAGCTCTGCATTTCTCTAAGAAATTCCCAGAGAGAATCCACAACCCTTCTGCCATTGCAGCTGCAGAGGTACTGCCCTAATCACCCTTGGATGAGAGAAGAAATAAAGAGTCTAATTGTTATTCTGGCACCACCAGTATACTGCAGCCCATTCGAAGAGAAGTCCGGTCTCTCTTCCCTGTGAGCCCTCACCTTCTCCCCTCACCAAGCAGGGCCCCTGGCTTGGTACCAAGAACAACCACCCCATCCCTGGCTGAACATTCCCACTGCTAGTGGCTCTGTGTTTCCTGAGAAGAGGCTCCCAGAGGCAAGTGACAGCCCCCCTACTACTGCCAAAACAATGGTCCTGCCCCTGCTGCCCTTGATCTAAGAAGAAACAAAGACTTTGAGGGGTTCACCTGAGCTTCCAGCACACTACAGTCAGCATATGGAGAGGAGCCCAGTCTCTTCTCCCTGTGAGCCCTCGTTCCCTGACTCTTCACCAAGCAGAGCCTGTAGCTTGGGCCAGCAGAGCAATTGCCCCACCCCTTGGCCGAATATTTCCAGCAGCAGCAACTCTTTGTTTCTCTGAGGTGGAGCTCCCAGAGGCAACTGAAAGCCCCACTACAACTGCCACTGCAGTGGTACTGCCCTTGCTGCCCTCAGACCAGGGAAGAAGCAAAGACCCTGAGTGCTTTACACACAGATTCAGCAAGATGCAGCCACCCTAATGAGGAGAGGAAGTCTGTCTTTCCCAGGTCTCCCCCCGCGCTCCACCCCACTGCTGCTAGTCACCAGGCAAGTCTCTCCCAGCTTGGGCCTATAGCACAGATGCTCCATCCTGGGCCAATCACACTGATTGATAGTGGCTCCACATCTGTCTGTGGTGGACCCCCAAGAGACAAATGACCACACTAGTTCTCCAGCAAGGGTGGTTCTAGGGCTGAAATAGCTGAAATGACAGAAATATAATTCAGAATAAGGATAAAAACAAAGATCATCAACATTCATGAGAACATAGAAACCCAATCCAAGGAAGCAGAGCATCACAATAAAATGTTACAGGAGCTGAATGATTTAAAAAAAAAAAAAAAAAAAGCCATCATGTAAAAGAACTAAACTGACCTGATAGAGCTGTAAAACAAAGTAAAAGAATTACATAATCCCAGCACTTTGGGAGGCCAAGGCAGGCGGATCACGAGGTCAGGAGATCGAGACCATCCTGGCTAACACGGTGAAACCCTGTCTCTACTAAAAATACAAAAAAATTAGCTTTGCATGGTGGCGGGCTCCTGTAGTCCCAGCTACTAGGGAGGCTGAGGCAGGAGAATGGTGTGAACCTGGGAGGTGGAGCTTGCAGTGAGCAGAGATCACGCCACTGCACTCCAGCCTAGGCGACAGAGTGAGACTCCGTCTCAAAAAAAAAAAAAAAAAAAAAGAATTACATAATGAAATTGTAAGTGTTAACAGCAGAATAGACCAAGCTGAGGAAAGAATCTCAGAGCTTGAAGACTGACTCTCTGAAATAGTCAGAAAAAAATGAAGAAAAAAGGATAAAAAAGAATGAACAAAACCTCTGAGAAACATGGGATTATGTAAAGAGAGCAAACCTGTGACTCACTGGCATTCCTGAAAGAGATGCGGAGAAAGCAAGCAACTTGGAAAACATTTTTCAGGATATCGTCCATGAAAACTTCCCCACCCTTGCTAGACAGACCAATATTCAAATTCAGAAAATGCAGAGAACCCCTGTGAGAACCATCTCCAAGACACAATAATCAGATTTTATAAGGTCAAAATGAGAGAACAAAATGTTAAAGGAAGCTAGAGAGAAGGGGCGGGTCACCTACAAAGGGAAGCCCATCGGGCTAACAGCTGGCCTTTCAGGAGAAACACTGCAAGCCAGAAAGAGATTCAGAGCTTATATTCAGCATTCTTGAAGAAAATAATTTCCAACCAGGAATTTTGTATCCTGCCAAACTGAGCTCCATAAGTGAAGGAGAAATAAGATCCTTTACAGACAAGCAAATGCTAAGCAAAAGCAAATGCTCACCAAACCTGCCTTACAAGAGGTCCTGAAAAGTGCACTAAATATGAAAAGAAAGGATGATTACCAGTCACTAAAAAAACATACATAAGTACACAGACCAATGACACCGTAAAGCAACCACACAAACCAGTCAACCTAGTAACAATACAATGATGGGATCAAATCTGCACATACCAATATTAACCTTGTATGTAAACAGGCTAAATGCCCCCAATTAAAAGACACAGAGTGGCATGCTGGATAAAGAAGCAAAACCCAATCTTACACGCAGTGACAGCATAGCCTCAGAATAAAGGGATGGAGAAAAATCTACCAAGCAAATGGAAAACAGAAAAAGCAGGGACTGGTATCCTAATTTTAGATAAAACAGACTTTAAACCGACAAAGGTTTTTTAAAAAGATAAAGAAGAGCGTTATATTGGGTGAGTGCAAAAGTAATTGCTGTTTTTGCATTGTTGGAATTTGCCATTTGGTATTGGGATATATTGCCAAATAAATGTGGTTATGTTATACATCATTTTAATGGGCATTTCTCGCTTTATGGTTTTTTGCTAATGACTTATTACTTGCTCTTTATGTTATGTTTATTTTAGGCTATGGAAATGATGTTAGACTAAAAGAAAATGTGAGCGATTTTCTTATTCAAGTTCAAGATGGGTCATAAAGCGATGGAGACAACCTGCAACATCAACAACACATTTGGCCCAGGAACTGCTAACAAATTTACAGTGCAGTGGTGGTTCAAGAAGTTTTTCAAAGGATATGGGAGTTGACAATGACAAATTGAGAGTGATCATCAAAGCTGATCCTCTTACAACTGCACAAGAAGTTGCTGAAGAACTCAATATTGACCATCCTATGGTGATTTGGTATTTGAAGCAAATTGGAAAGGTGAAAAAGCTCCATAAGTACCTGCTTATTGATGCCTCATGAGCTGAACAAAAATAAAAAAACTTGTCGTTTTGAAATGTCATCTTCTCTTATTCTACACAGCAACAATGAGCCATTTCTCAATTGGATTGTGATGTGTGACAAAAAGTGGACTTTATACAATAACCAGCAATGACCAGCTCAGTGGTTGGACGGATAAGAAGCTCCAAAGAAAGAACTTCCCAAAGCCAAGCTTGCACCAAAAAGAGGTCATGGTCACTGTTTGGTGGTCTGCTGCCAGTCTGATCTTCTACAGCTTTCTGAATCCCATTGAAACCATTACATCTGTGAAGTATGCTCAGTAAATCGATGAGATGCACTGAAAACTCTATCGCCTGCAGCCAGCACTGGTCAACAGAAAGGGGCTGATTCTTTTCCATGACAACATCTGAATGCACATTGCCCAACCAACACTTTGAAAGTTGAACAAATTGAGCTATGAAATTTGCTTCTCACCAACCAACTACCACTTCTTCAAGCATCCCGACAACTTTTTGCAGGGAAAATGCTTCCACAACAAGCAAGATGCAGAAAATGCTTTCCAAGAGTTTGTCAAATCCCAAAGCACAGATTTTTACACTACAGGAATAAACAAACTTATTTCTCATTGGCAAAAATGTGTTTATTATAATGGTTCCTGTTTTGATTAATAAAGATGTGTTTGAGCCTAGTTATACTGATTTAAAATTCATGGTCTGAAACCACAATGACCATTGCACCAGTAATGGTAAACGATTCAATTCAAAAAGAATACCTAACTATCCTGAGTATATACACACCAAACATAGCACCACCCAGATTCATAAAGCAAATTCTTAGAGATTTATGAAGCGACTTACATTCCCACACAATAATAGTGAGAGATTTCAACACGCTACTGACAGTATTAGACACGTAATAGAAGCAGAAAATTAACAAACATCCAGTACCTGAACTGAACACTTGACCAAATAGACCTAATAGACATCTATAAAACTCTCTACCCCAAAACAACAGAATATACATTCTTCTCATGGCTACATGACACATACTGTAATATAGACCACACAAAAGGACATAAAACAATCTTTTGCAAATGCCAAAGAACCAAAATGATACCAACCATGTTCTTGGACCACAGCACAATAAAAATAGAAATCAATACAAAGAAAGTCACTCAAAACCATACAATTGTATGGAAATTAACCTGCTCTGGAATGGTTTTTTGATAAATAATGAAATTAAGGCAGAAATCAAGAAATTATTTGAAACTAATGAGAACAAAGATACAATACACCAGAATCTCTGGGACACAGGTAAGGCAGTACTAACAGGGTAATTTACAGCACTAAATGCCCCCGTCAAAAAGTTGGACAGATTCCAAGTTAACAACCTAACATCACAACTAGAAGAACTGTAGAAGCAAGAATAAACTAACCCCAAAGCTAGCAGAAGACAAGAACTAACCAAAATTAGAGCTGAAGTGAAGGAAAGTGAGATGTGAAAAACCATACAAAAGATCAATGAATGCAGGAATTGGTTCTTTAAAAAATTAGTAAGATATACAGACTGCTAGCTAGACTAATAAAAAAGAGAGAAGATCCGAATAACACAATTAGAAATCAAAAGGGGGACATTACCACTGACCCCACAGAAATACAAAAAAAAAATATTAACAGAGACTACTCTGAACAGCTCTTTGCAGACACACTAGAAAATCTAGAAGAAATGGATAAATTCCTGGACACATGCAACTTTCCAAAGCTGAATCAGGAAGAAATTGAATCATTGAACAGACCAATAACGAGTTCTAAAGTTGAATCAGTAATAAAAAGTCTACAAACCAAAAAAGCCCAGGACCAGACAGATTCACAGCCAAATTCTACCAGATGTAAAAGAATAAATAACTGGTACCATTTTTACTGAAACTATGCCAAAAATTGGGGAGGATTAATTTTTCACCAGCTCGTTCTATGAGGCCAGCATCATCCTGATACACATCAATTAAAAAAAAACTTCAGACCAATATCCTTGATGAACATTGATGCATAAATCTTCAACAAAATGCTAGCAAACTTAATCCAGCATCACATCAAAAGCTAATGCATCATGATCAAGTAGGCTTTCTTCCTGGGATACTAGGTTGCTTCAACATACGCAAATCATTAAATGTGATTTGTCACATAAACAAAATAAAAACAAAAACCACATAATTATTTCAATAGATGCAGAAAAGACTTTCAATAAAATTCAACATTCCTTCATCTTAAAACCCCTCAACAAACTAGGCATTAAGGGAACGTATTTTAAAATTATAAGAGCTACCTATGAAAAACCCACAGCCAATATCAAACTGAATGGGAAAAAGCTGGAAGAATTCTCTTGAAAACAGGCACAAGACAAGGATGAAAAGTCCAGTGGTATCAGGAACACATGGGCATATACATGAAGACTTTAAGAGTGTCTTAGTGAAGAGCCTGCCTTCTAGTCCTATTCTCCTGTTTGCTGTATTTCTTTTATTTTTCCGTTTTCCCTGAATCTGGCCTTTGCTCCCATTACTATCCTTTGGATCCTTATGATTTGCTTTTTAGACTATGGCAAGTTTCCCAATTGGACTTCCTACTTAAAGTGTCTCTTGGTCTTATTTCATTTGTAAAAATTCAATTCATTTTTATTTCTAAAACTCAGTTCTGATAATGTCACTCCATTGCTCAGTGACTTTGAACACTTTCACTTAACTATAGAAGAATGTCTACACTTCTATTCAGACATTTAAAATGCCCTTGGAAAATTAATATTAACTTAACCTCATTCTAAGAGTTGACAAATACTGTGTATGCTGACATAAATTTTATTACTCCCCATTTCCTAGATGAGCTTGGTATAATATTTCCGATGTTTCTTTCCTCTTTATGTTGAAGACTCCACTCAAGTCCCACGTCGTCCCAGGCACCCATGTGGATATGCCCAGACAAACCACCCCATCCTCTTCTGATCTCACAGAGTGCTTTGGTGAAACCTCTCTTTTGTCACATATCTTAGCCAATCTTGTCTCTCTCCAGAATTAGTTTGTTCAGCAAACATGAAGCTGTATTATCATGCCATCTTTCCTAAAAAATTTTAGACTTTAGATAAAATGCCACATTTTCTTCTCATCCTTGTATCCCCATGGCTCCTAACGTTTCATATGGATTACATTTAATGAATGACTAAAACAAATTTATTTTAAAATTTTATTAAAGGCCTTTCAAATATTTCTCCTGAATCAGAATTGTAGTGTTTCCAATTGTGGCTCCGTCCAATTTCTCTCCATTTGTAATAAACATTCCTAGACAACAAAGCTGTAAACAACACATTCAGAGGAAAAAAAAAAAGTGGTCTCAGAATCTTTTCAAGCTGTTGTCAACTGTACACATCTGGTGGTGGTTATTAGTCACAGGAAAATGCCTAAGAGTTTACAAGTTGTATTTTAGTTAGTTCTCCTTCAAAGTCTCTCCATGTTAGCCAACCATTATTAGTCCCTGACTGTACCAGCCCACTCCATGTACACACACGTCGCTTCCTACTTCAAATCTTCCTGCTTGTTCTTTATACTGGTAAAGTGAGAAACTATAATCAATCCCAGGTTGAACACACTCTGAGAACTCCAGAACTGTATTTTCCCTTCACATGGACATATTGCTTTAAATTCACACCAGATTTTTGTTTTGTTTTGTTAAGGATTATTTGGCTCTTAATAATGTGTTGTTAATTAACTGTTATTGCATTTGGCAAAATGATAGCCCCATTATGAAACTGATCTCCCTAGTGCAGATCCAACTCTAAATACAAGTTACTGATAACTCATGAACTTGTAGAGTTTTACTCTTCAAATACTGCAATTAATACCTATTCTTAAGCATAATAATAGATTCTTGTCACATATATGCACAGAGTACACCAAAGTGCTTGGACACAGAATTCAGAATTATTCCAAATTTATTGTGGTATGTTATTTCTCTCAATTTCATGAGTCATGACATATAGGAGATAGAAAAAGTTAATTTAAATGTTATGTTCTCACATCATCTAATTGGATATGACATATTACTATTTTTAGCTGCATTTCTCAGCTTTTATATTAATGTATTTATTAGGATCCATTAGCTTGCAAACAACAGAAAATCAACCCATAATAAATTGAGCAAGACAATAAAGTGTTAGTTTATATACAACTAAATACACTCAAATAGCTGATAGATGTCAAGGAAGAGCTGCACACCACAAATTTAGGAATTGGGACTGGGGATTCTATCTCTTTCTAGTTAGATTTTTGTTTTTTTATTTTGTTTTGTTTTGTCTCTGTATGTTCCTAGGGTATGGAACATGGCTACTGATAATCTCAGTCCATAAACCCTAGATGAAAATATTGTTTTATATGTCAATGCCAAAAAAAGGGAGAGCAATTGATCTTCCACCAGTTACGTGTTCACTCTTTGGACCAGTCATTCTGGCAAGAGAATGTGGTGATAAGAATGCACATAACTTACCAAGACCCAGATGTCTCACATAAAACAGCTACTGCAGTGCACAACAATCTGTAACATGTTGAGGACTTCTGTGTTAATGTCATGAGAGGCGGTGCATGATAATATAGGGAAGTAATTAGGAGAGTCCATTGTTTCATGGAGATAGTCAGGTTTGGATGAGCAACAGGGAAGCTTAATAGTGTGATAGTATTTTAACATATATGGTTAGGTAAAACTCAGTTCTTAGGTATCAAGTGGGTTAATAATAGTTCAGATATTCTCTCAAGAGGTGAAATGTAGCTGCCTCCTCATCTGTCACTGTAGATGTGTTCCCCTCCTATGCAGCAATAACCTCTTTACCTAATGCCCCTTGTATCTGCCTTCCCTGCTTTTTTAAACAGTTTTCCTTGATCCAGGGAAGGAAATGTAAGTCATAAAATTATTCTAATTTCTTACTCTCTTATCTTTTTTTTCTTTTTTTGGCTGGGACAGAGTCTTACTCTATCACCCAGGCTGGAGTACTGTGGCACAATCTCAGCTCACTGCAAATTCAACCTCCCAGGGTTCAAGTGATTCTCCCACCTCAGCCTCCAGAGTGGCTGGGACTAAAGACACATGTCACCAAGTATTTTTGTAGAGACAGAGTTTCACCATGTTGCCCAATCTAGTCTTGAACTCCTGGGCTCAAATTATCCTCCCACCTAGGCCTCCTAGTGCTGAGATTACAGGCGTGAGCTACTGCACCCAGTCATATTCTCAAATCTTTTAAACCAAAATTTATTCTCTTAGAACACAGCACTCCTGAAAATACAAGTAGCATATGAAGTAATGAAAATACAAGTAGCATACATCAATTATGAAAAATCATCAAGTCCTTGTTTAGTCATTTTTATAGCTGAGTATCCTTTATTTATGCCTGGGTGATCTAAAAAGCTCATTGTTATCTATTTCTTTTATTTTTTCAGCTCTAAAATGTTTTAATGGAATATATAATTCAAAGGGGAATTATCTCTCCTAATTTAGAAAGTACTTGGAATTTATTTTTAGCAACAGTCACCCAAAACATAAGATTTAACTTCTTATCCAAAGACAAATTTCTGAAGAACTGCTACATCTATATTAAGTCACAAACTGAGGTGTATACAAGCTATTACCTGCTTAGTAGATTACTATTGTTTCTTGCTATACTCCAAATGTTCGTGTCCTTCTAAAATTCATGTATTGAAATCCAATCCCCAATGTGATAGTATTAAGTGGTGGGACATTTGGAAGGTGAGTAGATCATAGGGATAGGGCCCTTGTAAATAGGATTAGTGCCTCTGTAAACTCTTGAGATCTTTACAACCAATCAAATGGATATATCAAATAAGTTTTTGAACACAAGAATTTACAATTCAAATAAGAAAATTTAACTAGAATAGCTATAATCTGTTCATGTATAGCCACACTGATATTTTTTGGAATTATAAAATTAATTAGATTAGGCCGGGCACGGTGGCTCACGCCTGTAATCCCAGCACTTTTGGAGGCCAAGGCAGGCAGATGACGAGGTCAGGAGATAGAAACCATCCTGGCTAACATGGTGAAACCCCATCTCTACTAAAAAAAAAAAAAAATACAAAAAAATTAGCTGGGCGTGGTGGCAGGCACCTGTAGTCCCAGCTACTGGGGAGGCTAAGGAAGGAGAATCACTTGAACCCTGGAGGCAGAGCTTGCAGTGAACTGAGATCGTGCCACTGCACTCCAGTCTGGGCGACAGAGCAGGACTCCATCTCAAAAAAAAAATTAATTAGATTAGGAGACAAATTAGAGAGAAGAAAGAAGATATATGGATACCCTGAAGAACTTCAGTAGCTGGAGATTAGTAAGAAGAGGAACATCTAGGACAAGAGATTGAGACAGAGAAGCAAAAGAGATGGGTAAAAAACCAAGGTCATAGTTTCAAGGGAAGCAAATGTTTCCAGAACAGAGTGAGCCAATGATGGCCGAAGTACATCCACTGATTATTCCAATGTAGATGTCATTATGGGCCTTGGCAAGGGAAATATTGGGAGCAGAATCCAAGAGTGGATTAACAGATAAAGGAAAAGCAAGACAATCACAGCAGTGTAAATTTTGAGAAATTTGCCTTTGAAGGGAACAGAAAATGGGAAGTACTTGGAGAGGGCTAAGGAATCATGAGAGGTGCTTTCTTAAAGAAAAACATATGAATATTTTTATTGAAATAATTCATTAAAATATATAAATTATAAGTATTACATGAAGCAAGATACTTCATGTTATAAACTGTTCAGGAAAATTTTCTGGGTGGTAGAGTAAAAATATATCTAAAATATCTTATTAAAATCTTCCACACATCCAGATGAGGCAAATATGGACTCAATATTTTGTTTCCATAATCTTTTCTTCATTAACACTCTCATGATTTTTTTTTACCATAATTTCTCACCTGGATTACTGCATGCTATGGTTTGAATGTGCCTTCTCCAAAATTCAGGTGTTGCTAATGTGAAAGTATTAAGAAGTGGGGACCGTAAGAGTTGATTAGGCCTTGAGGGTTCCTTCCTCAGGAATGAGATTAAAGATCTTATAAAAGAAAGAGACTTTATACAATGTTCAGCTAGCTTGCTCTTCCACCTTCCATCATGCGAGGTCACAGCAACAAGGCACCTTGGAAGCAGAGAGCAGCTCTCACCAGACAACTGAATTTGTTGGCACCTTGATCTTGAACTCTGCAGACTCCAACATGGTGGGAAAATAGTTTTCTGCTCTTTATGAACTACTCACTTTCAGGTATTTTCTAAGACACTACATTAGTGTCTAATTGCCTCCAGCCTCTTGCTTCTTTGCTATCAATAATTTTTCAAAATCACAAATATGATGTCTCTTATTTAAAGTGTTCACTTTATCTTTTCGGGATAAAGGGTGAACTCCTTCCTCCAGCTCTTTATAATCAGCCTCAATCTCCTAAATATCTTCTCTCACTTCATTAATCATGCACCATTTTTCCAAACTACAATAATGTATTCAATATATCCTGACTCTTTCCTTCATACTTTTGCATATTCTTAGAATACACATTTGCTTAAAATGTTCTTTGCAACAATCTTCAAACTCAAACCACACTCCTAAATACATACACCCTCAAACATAAAATCCCCTTTTATAACTAGTTAACTTACAGTCATCTTTCAACCCTCAACTTAGATTTCACTTCTTCTGATAAGTTGTCTTAACCCACAAATTTGTTTTAGAGGCTGTCTTCATAAAGTTCATTTTACCATAATAGCACTTATCCCACTGTATCATGTCATTTATTTTTTTATCAGAATTGAAAGAAACTAGAAGTCTTTGAGGCAAGTGTAATAGTTCATGGACCTTGTAGCTCCAGAACATACTGCAATGGCTGGCAATTGTGCTGAACATGAGATATAGCAAAATACCTGGAAGAAACTTGGAAAGAGTGTTGGAGAGAGAAAGGAAAAGATTTACAATTTATAGAAGTTTCCCAAGTGAACTTCAATTCTAATATGCTCACCTGTTTGAGAACTACTGGTCTTGGTGAACATCTATTCCTGGGAAGCAAAAGGAAAAAAATACTTCATTATTTTGTTTATGAGCCTGAAATCATACCCAATTAAAATAATACTTTGTTTTTCTTAACATAGCGTCTGCTAAGAATTGCAGATGTCAAATTTTGGCACATTTGCAATAAACTTACTAAACAGAAATTTAAAATTCATTACTTGAATCAGATAGGAGATTGGAAGAAAATAAAAAGTAACATTAATGATAACCATATTTTCTTCAAAATAAATTCCATGGTTTTTAAAAACAAAAACAAAAAAAAACAAGAAAAAAAAACGTTATTCTATATGGTTTGGCTAATCCAGCTAGAATTGTGACTGCAAGTTTTGAAGTGGTATATTTTTACTGTTAAAGAAAAAAAAAGTCTACGGCCGGGCGCAGTGGCTCGCACCTGTAATTCCAGCACTTTGGGAGGCTGAGGCGGTCAGATCACGCGGTCGGGAGATCGAGACCATCCTGGCTAACGCGGTGAAACCCCATCTCTACTAAAATACAAAACAATTAGCCAGGCGTGGTGGTGGGCACCTGTAGTCCCAGGTACTCGGGAGGCTGAGGCAGGAGAATGGCGTGAACCCGGGAGGCGGAACTTGCAGTGAGCCGAGATCGCGCCACTGCACTCCAGCCTGGGAGACAGAGTGAGACTCCATCTCAAAAAAAAAAAAAAAAAAAAAAAAAGTCTACAGCCTTCAACCATTAAATAATACAGGAAAAAACTAGAGAAATTCTTTTGCACAATTTTATATATACATTTTCAAAACTGATTTGGCTTAAAAAAATCTGCATTCTATTCATGTCGGCTTAGTAAAGTGTTTTCCTTCTCCAGTCACCTATCTATACCTTCTTCTATTCTTTCCAAACTAACAGTAGGCAACAGAACCATCTGCCTGCTATAAATACATTCAGAAGTTATTCCTCAAACTCAGATTACCATTTAAGGGCAAGGGAAAACAAGGAGTATATTTAAACTTCTCATTCTGATTTGTTTATAGGTCATGAACTTACAGAACTTGATTACTTGATTGTCATTTTCAGAATTATTTGTCATAATGCTATGCTTACTAAATAGTTGGTTTTTGAGAGAACATACCATCTTTTTATAGAAAAACAGAATAAAACCACAGTAAAATATTTAGAATTTTTAACATCTTTTGAATAATATAATTCTAGAGCTACGATTTTTAAAATGAAGCAAATTGAATTTCATTTTCTCCTGCCTTTCCACTTTTGAAATGCATCAATGAATTCGTCTGTAATCCACATCTCAGCTTGAGGCCACCTCATTTATTTACCCAACTCTGTCCTTCTCTCAGTCCCCTTCCATATCTAAGCCTTCCTGAATCTCAGCCCATACTCACATCACATACTCGGATCTGAGCCTATTCCTAAGCCAAGCTCAGACATAATGAGAAATGAATTGAGGGATATCATGTTTGATACTCTTTAAAACAGATGTGTCATAATGAGTCAGATCCAAATCACAGAACTCTCAACTGCCGCCATGATGAGATTGCATTATTCCACAAATGACAACAAATGAAGCTTTCCCCCAAGAATGTAATTGAATATAAAAAAAAATAGTAACCATATGGAAAATAGTTTTCTCATTACTGGAAGGAAATTAAGGAAAATTGAAATTATTAAAATTAAATTCATAAAATAATTTTCCTAAAACAATTTCCTCTGGCTAGATACGTATTTTTGAAATACTTGTTTTGGATTGTGATTTGCTTTTATTTCTCCTTTTATATGTTTGATATTTATTTTTTAACATTATTTATGGTCAGGCTTATTTGAGACATGTAAGATCTTCATTTGGAATATTTAGGCAAACACAAGCACTTTTAAACTAAGTTATTCAAACACCCTGGTTTTTTTAAATCCTATTTTTTTGATCAAAATTATACTACATCTTTATCTGTGACACTTAATGAAGTAAAATGGACAATTGGAATAATTATATTAAAAAGTCGAGACTAAATCCAGTTTTCTGTTTCATTGGTACTAAAAGAGCAAGAAAAAAGAGTGAAAAACAAAAAGCAGAAGAAAATGCATTAGAAAATAGCACATTGATCTCCCTATAAATAACTATTGGGTAAGTTCTGCAAAGTGTTTTCTAACCGTGGTTTGTTTTTTTTTTTCAGTATGCAAGGACAACATGTAGACAGGTTTGAATCCCTTTTTCAGTTATCTGAAAAAATAACCATATTGCTTTTGAACATCCACAAATTAAATGAACCATTTTAAAAAAAGCCATTCCATTCTGAGATCTTTGCTTTGGGATCAAGACAATCTAAACATTAGTTGATACTATCTGTACAGGGTTACAAATTAACCACTTTCAAGTTTCAGAGGATATGAACTAGTATACTTAAGCCAAACCTTGAGAAGATGTGAAAGACTATATCGATAGCCATCGATGTTTTCATAATACACACATGAGAAAGACAAAAAGCAAAAAGTCTAGAAACTATATCAAGAAAGCCAATACCAATTGAGGAAGTGTCTGGCTTTAATACAGAATAAAGAAAAAGAACCCGCTAAGAGTTTACAATGCAATGGCACATCATAAGTTACTGCAGTATAAATAATGCATCTCTACCATATTCCATTTCTGAAGAAAAACAGATTTTTTTGGTAATAATCTGTCTTAGTCTGTTTTTTGCAACTATAACAGAAGACCACAGGCTGAGTAATTTATAATGAAAAAAATGTATTGCTTCACAGTTCTGGAAGCTGGGAAGTTCAATAAAAAGGTGTTGGCATTTTGCGAAGACTTTCTTGCTGTATCATCTCATGGTGCAAAGGCAAAGATAGGGCAAGAGAGAAAGCCAAAAGAGATTGAACTCCCCCTTTTTATAACAAACTCACTCTTGCAATAATGGCCTTAATCCATTCATTCTGGCCTCCTGACATAATTGTTTCTCAGTAGGCCCTAACTCTTAACACTGTTGCATTAGGGATTAAGTTTCCAATGCATGCTTTTTGGGGACATATTCAAACTATACATAGTCTGCAATTTAATTGTAGCTATAAAAGTGGAAGCAGCAAAATAATCTTTGTTAATAGAAAGCAAGTTCATCTATTGGAATGGGGTTAAGAGTCATCTATTGTCACGTAAAAGGCATTGGGCAGACTGTCAGAAAACAGTAATGGGTATTTAGAAGAATCACAGAGATAATGGCAAAGAAAGCTGCCAATTTCTTGAAACAGCTAAAAACTTAGAAGCTGTAAGCCTTATTTTCCCAAACTTTGACCTCTTGCAATATAGTTGTCAGTCATTTAAATTCTACATATAATTTAGGCATAACAGTAATATTTTATAGTTAATATTCATTTATATCAACCAACGTATTTACTTTTTTTTTTTTTTTGAGATGGAGTCTTGCTCTGTCACCCAGGCAGGAGTGCAGTGGCGTGATCTCTGCTCACTGCAACATCTGCCTCCCAGGTTCAAGTCATTCTCCTGTCTCAGCCTCCCAAATAGCTGGGACTACAGGTGTGTGCTACCATGCCCAATTAATTTTTGTATTTTTAGTAGAGATGGGGTTTCACCATGTTGGCCAGGCTGATCTCGAACTCCTGACCTCAGGGGATCTGCCTGCCTCAGACTCCCAAAGTGCTGGGATTACAGGAATTTACTCTCATTTTTTCTTTATTCTCTCCCGCTCTTCTGTGTTTTGAACATTTTTTTTTTGCCTAAAAATATCCCTTCATTTATTTTTTTTAGTTCAAGCTGAATGCTGATAAACTCTCTTCATTTTTGTTTGTCTGAAAATGCTTTATTTCACCTACAGTTTTGAAAGATAACTTCACAGTATATTAAATTATAATTTGGTAATTATTTTCTTTCAACACCTAGCAATGTCATTATATTATCTTCTGGTTTTCAATGTTTCTCTTGAGAAATTAATAATTTTTGTTTCTTTAATAGAAATACATCTTGCCTTCAGACTGCTTTTAAGATTTTTCTCAGCCTTTGGTTTTCATTGATTTAATCACTTTATATGCAGGTGTGGTTATCTTGTTTAAATACTCTGGGTTTCCAGAGCTTTGGATATAAAGGTCGATATCTTTCAATGGTTTGGAGAAATTCTTGGATGTTTACTCCTCAATGTTATTTATGATTTATTCTCTCTTTTTTTCCTGGCACATCAGTAAGATGTATGTTACATTATTCTAATAGTAGAATAATGTAATGTCTGATATTTTAGCTCTGCTCTGTGGTTTCCATGCTTTTTACTCTCTCTGCTTATATTCGGTTATGTTTTATTGTTCACTTTTCCACTTTACTAATCTTGTCTTCTCATGCACCCAATTATTACAGGACCAACAATTTCCTATGTCTGCTGTGTAGTAACATACCAATACACTGAGACAGCAGAGTTTACAGCAGAGAAAGAGTTTAGGTATCCAAGGGCAACTAAGCAAGGAAATGGGAGGAGATCCTCAACTCCATGTCCCTGAGGAGTTCTGGGGTCAGATTTTTAAGGGGATTGTGTAGAGTGAGAGGCTGGAAAATCGGGTTCATTGATCAGTCAGGGTAAGGGGGATAAAATCTTCAGCATGTGGAAACTACATTCTTTGGTGAGTCAGCTTCTCACGGCATCCTTCAGACCAGCTTATCTCAATAGTTTCACTGGTATTCAGGACTTGAAAGAATAACTGAAATGGAAAACTTTACATTTCACAATATTCAAGTTGTTGTCTATAGGGCAGTTAAGGTGATCTATGACCTTGTGACAAGGTTTTCATGCTTCTGGGACAGTAGGAAAACAACTATGAGGAAGTGGGTCCAAGAGCAAGCTGACCTAATAATTAATGGTGAGTCTGCTGTAAGCTTGGCTTATCTTCATTTATCTCCCTCCCTTCCTCCCTAAGTTTATAAAGTTTACAGAGGTAATTTCACAATCTACTGATAAACTCATCTATTTACTTGATAATTTTAGATTTTTTTACTTGCGGAGTATCAATTTGATTCATTCCATCAATAAACATCTAATGATATTTTATACTCTCATTTATTTTATACAACTTCTTCTCCATTTTCTTGAATAACTTTCAAACATATTTCTTAAATATATTTAAACATTTATTTCAAAGTCATTGACTGCTAACTACAACATCTCTATTACCTGTGTCTTTACTATTGTAATTTTTTTTATTTGTTATTTATTTTTTCCCCCACTGGTAATCACACTTTTGTAACTATCTGATTATTATAGATATTTGTTCACAGGACAAACACTGTATATAAAAAAAAAAACCTCAGAGACTCCATATGATGTTATATTCCACCAGAGGATTTCTCTTTTTATTTGTTAGGCAATAACTTGAGTTGCTGATTACATCAATTAAATCCAAGGATAAACTATCTCCAGATTGGCTTAGAGATTTAGTTCGGATCTATCTACTTCCAAGTCAACACTATTGTTCTAGCATATACCGCCTTTGTTTTAGAAAAATAAATTAGCAAGTAGCTATCTCATCAGTCTCCAAATTCTGCAGAAGATTAAGCTCTGAATAACAGATTTCCAGCTCAGCTTTCCAACTTCTTACCAATATGGCTTCAAAATCTGGCAAATATTTTGAGGGGAAAATTGGCAGTGAGATTCAGGCTGTCCTCCTCTCCTGTAAGGTTGGCTTCCTAAACTATGTGAAATTGCCAGAGATCTCACTCTGCTTTTTTAGAAGGCTAATCCCAACTCCCTCACCTTCCACAGAGACCCAGATTCAGCAAATGACCCTTGGGTAATATCAGCCTCAGGTTTCCAAATTATTATTCTAGTTGAACATGACCACTAAAATTGCTACTTTAGCTTCCTCTCCTCCCAACAGAAGCTGTCTGTCAGAACTAAGCTCAACCATTAGCTTACCCACTAAATCAGCAAATAACCCCTGGGGTGGGGGTGGGGCAGGTGGGGTTGAAAATCCATTAGAGCACAGACAGTTCTTCACTCTCTGGAACACTAGGTCATCCCGTGATCATTCTTTATAAAGTTCTCTGTGGAAAATTATTTATGTAATTTATTTAGGGTTTTGTGTGTGTGTGTGTTTTAATAGAAATATTGCTCTGATGTCAGCTGTTTCATCTTACCAAGAAGTAGAAATTATCTTTCCAAATGTTTTAAGCTTTGAAATTTTTTGATCCTGACTCTGTGATTTGTATTATCAAACCAAGCTAGTAAAAATTTATAATTTTTAGTGTTCTGAATATTTAATTACATTTTATCAAATATGCCACATCAGCCTTCAAGATCCGTATCCATCCTCCTTCTAAGGGTGCCTCCACATGCCCTCTGCTGTTGGTAATCCTTTCCAGTTTAAAACATGTATTTATCCTGGAAACAGTTCCAAAGCTTTCGGGATGTTCTCATTAGCTCATAACAGCCAGGAGGAGGGAGGAAGGTTTATTGTATAATTTGGGTGATTAAGATAGCAGAAACAAGAGAAAATGTCGGAGTTTGAGAGTTAACAGTGCTAGAAAAGCAGATTAAAGCCTCTGTGGAATTGATAAAAAGCTAAGAGCTAAATGAGAAACGAGATAAAGAGGTCTTACTGGCATAGAAAAATAAGATTCACAAGAGTAAGCAAGTGGAAAGACAGAAACCTTGATTTTAATTATTTTGTTTGTATTAGGTAATTTATATTTTATTAAATCTTTTTTAGATGATACACACACAATCTAGAAATAGTAAATAAAATGTTTGGTGGAAATAAGTTTCATTGTTTGAAATAGGGTCTAAAAAGCAGAATACTAAACACCAAACAATACCAAAGTTTTTACCATGGAATAATGCAGAACAAAGCCTATAGGACATGGAAATACTGACCATTTCTTTGCGCAGTATAATATGAATGGAAAAGATTATAAAGTTGTTAAGTAATTGGTTATTGACTTTTGTATGTAGCCTCTGACATCAATTGGGATAAAATAAAAAACTACTGTGCGTCCAAATCTCTTTCATTAATTGGGCCCATTGCCTTTCCATATGCCTGATTCTATCATGGGTGATTGGTCATAGACAATAATTAACATGTATTCGAAAAACACTTGGGAAGAAACAAGTAAAAATGGTTTCTGAAAGGCCTGTGGCCCAGAGTGACAGTGTGATGAAATGGAAAGACGATAATTTCATCAGGAAGCAAGGTTTAAATATTTGAATCAAGGTGTTAAGGAATCCCCGCTTATCAGGTCTCTGTTTTAATAAAACTTGACCAGAGTGACTCCATCTTGAAGTGAGGAACTAGGTACTCACAAGGCATCTGTAAGGTTAATACTTATAGTCTGAAAATAGCCATATCTCAAGCTAACCACCAATTGTAATTACAGAATATACATGGCCATACAGGACATCTCCCACAACCATGCAGAATGTCCAGATGTCCTAAAACTACTGCCCACTTTACTTGAAACTAATGTTAGTGAGCAAGCTTAGGTTGAAGAATTAATGGTCATCAGTAACACTAATAGCCACTACCTTTAATGAGTACATTCACACATTTAAGTTTGATTATAGCTCCTTATAGTTCCTTATCAATAGAGACACTTGTAACAAAGAACGGCACATCCCTCCTGCTTTCTGAGGACATTGTACCTTTAACAGAGTAGTTGCTAATAAACTTGCTTATTTCACTGTGCTCTGCAACTCACCTCAAATTCTTTCCTGCATGAGATCCAAGAACCCACTCTTGGAGTCTGGATCGGGACTCTCTTTTCTGGCAACTAAGGGGTTATCAATTTGGTTTTGAGCTTAAAGTCCTATGTTGTATAGCACAGAGCACTCTTTTCTTTTTTTTTAATACAATTTTGTAGAGGCAATGAATAAACATGGTATAGAATACAGAGAACAGATTAACATATGGTTAAAACATAAATCTGCTCTCTATCCCTACCCATTCTTTCTAAGTTTCGGTATTGTTTTCAACAAATATACAATGCATATGTGGGCCTATTTATCAATCGATTGATTAATTCATCCTATACATAAAAGGTAGGATATCAAACCTATTTTTCATGCCAATCTTTTTTAACAGTAATACATTATGAAGATCTTTTATATCAGTATATACAGAGCTACTTCATTCTTTTTTAATCCTCCTAAGCTCTGTAGAGGATCTCTTCTTTTTCACAATTTGGTCTCATAGTTTGTCCATTAAACTTTTTTATCAAAGAGGGAAATTTAAAAATGCACTTGTTTAGCTACTGGTTAGTATCTTCCATAGTCCCGTAACTGACTTCCTTTCATGTTTACCATATATAATAATTTAATACTTTTCCAAAATTGGCAAAATTTACTTTTGTTTCCTTTATTAATTCAAAGTTTGAGAACCAGGATTTCAAATAATGTATGGCTGTCATCCAGTTTTGAAAATGCTCTGCCTTTAGAGAAATGGGGAGAAATATGGAGAAGTAATTACTAGGTTAAAACTGACATCCATCCAGAAAGCTAGTTACCCAGCTGAGAGACTGCTGTGGATTTCATGTCCATTAACTCTGAGAGCCTCTACAAATATCATTTGCATGTGTGCATAGTCTCTTGGGGATTTGGTCTGACTTGACCGGTTTGGGAAGCTGACAGGCACAGATTCTTTAATAAAAGAGCATCCAAACTAAACTGTAATCCTTCCAGGCTAGTAAACCACTTGGACAAAAATGGCCAAATGTGGTCACTGAGTTGGAACAGAGAAAAACCATCATGTGAGGAGCCTTGAGCTACACATTCTGGTAGGTTCTGTGAGCTATACGAATAAGTTGAGATTATTTGAAATATATTTCAGTCAACTACAAAAGAAAGAAAAAGAAAGAAAGGAAGAAAGAAATAAAGGAAGAAAGAAAGAACAAAAGAAAGAGAAAAAGAGAAAGAGAAAGGAAGGAAGGAAGGAAGGGGAAAGAAGAGAGAGAAGAAAAGGGAGAAAGAGAGAGAAAGGGAGAGAGAGTAAGGGAGGGAGGGAGAGAGAAAGGAGTGAGGAAAGAAATCATAAATAAAGACAGTTAATGGGCTTTGCGTACCAGGTCACAGAAGTTTAAAATAATAATTACTAGCATTTGTATTTGTATGATGTATTTTAGGTCTTACAAAATACATTCACAAATACTTATTCAATTAAATATTTGAAATTTTGTGAACTCCATATGTATGAGAATAACCACAAAGGGAATTTAGTGATTTGCACACAAACATAATACCACATGTTCACATAAGACATCTACCTAAGACTGATGTTAAAACCTTTAATAAAACTATTACAGGACAGTCAATTGCAAGGGGTCAGGGATGAGGAGGGAGTTGCCTCTGAGGTGCTGATAAAGTCTGTTTCCTGATTTGGGTGTTGAGTACTTTGGTATAGTTAATTCTTAAAAAGCCACTGATCTATACATTTATGATTTATGCACTTTTGTAAATTTTTATTATAGTTCAATTAAAACATTTACATGATAAAAGATTACAAAAGTAATACAGGCTTCAAAAATTTTAAAATATCAAGCACAAATGTATTGAACTCTTCAGTGCTAACACACATTTTTTAGTGTATATATTTTCCATTTTTTTCTATTCATATGTGTATGCACATATTTCAACAAAATATGCAATCACAATGTGGCACTTTTTAATAATTCCTTTTTCACTTTATGACATATTGTAAACAAACATTTTTTCACTGATAATACTTCTAAAATGGCATTTTATTGATTTTCTGTATATAGTCGTATTATCGTTTATTTTAGGTTGCCATTTTCTTCTTCATAGAACACTGAAATATATCAAAATGAATTGGCACTTTTTCCTGTTCTGTTAGTGCCCTTGTGCCCTTCTCTGGAAGGCTATTTTGGCCCTTCTTACTCCAAAGCATCTAATCAGTTCTTTCTAAAATCTTGCTTCATCATTTAAGTTACCTAGCAATATCTGAATGTAGGACTCCTCCATGGATTATTTCTGTTTTAAAAGAGATTTTATAGAAAGAGAAGACATTGAGGTCCTGAAAGAATGGAACAATAATCATGAAAAAATAGATGCTGCTGTGGATATCTCAGGGCAGTGGAATTGGTCTAGACCATTAGTACTTCCCTAATGCAAGGACTGGCCTTGTTCCTATTTAAAGTAAGTTCTTGTAGACTGTAAAACTTTTCATGACAGTAAACATGATATTTGAATTTCAATTTAGAATCATTTAAACTGAAGCATAGGAAATTGAAGTATATACACTTCTTATATATTTCCAGACCCACATTAAAGAAAAAACATGGAGTTGCAGATTTACATCTTTGCTATAATTATGACTCCACTCTTCTTTTTCTATAATTTAAAAATGGATTTCAATATTATGTTTCAAGATTTTGGTGTATACTCTTCTTAACACTAGATAGTTTGTGCTGTCTTTTGTGGGAGTTGATCATCACTCTTTTAGCCATGTCTATTAATTGTTTTTTAAATGAGCCCAATATTGAACTGTAACCTCATATAAATGTATGCATGTTAATATCTGAATTTTATTGTTAGGTTTCGGGGGGTGTAATATTTATTTCTTCTCCCTTCAGCCAATAAAAAATAATACTAATAAAAAATAAATGCATAATTTAACATAATTAAATATATAACTAAATATAAATATATAATAAAACACAAAGTTAATAAAATAAAATATAATAAAACTTACTATAAGAATCCATAATTTTAAATTACAAGCAATTTTTAAAAATTCCATTTATTTACTTTTACAGTATAAATATAGCAACTAATTATTCTGATGATTTAACTTCTTAAAAATTCCAAGATACTTGAAAAATTCAAACATGTAAATATTAAAACAGAAGTTACTAACTTGAATTTTAACACAATTTAACTACACTTTTTATTGCTAGTCATTTTTCTTATATTTCATAATAGATTGTGATTGACAGTTAACAAGCAGAGCCTTAATTCAGCCAACTTTGTTTGAGCAAGATGGATATTAGAAGACACAATATTTCCTTCCACTCCCTTCAGTCTCTCCTCAGTCTTCCACTGTCTTGATAAAATCCTTGGGAAGAAGCTTTTATTCCATCTCCACCACTCATTCATCCTTTTCCATAAAAGTGTGACCTAAGGAAATGGACAATATTAGTGTCTGACAGAACCCCTTGGTTCTACAAGGAACTTGCCATCTCTTCCTCGCCCACCCCCTTGCATTTTATTGGCTCCCATTGTCATGAAGAACTCTCCAGTTGTATGGCCTAGGACGGGACGGGTCACAGTATACAGCCCATTTTTACTACTAGTAGCTGAATTTTCACCCTAATCTGATTGCTTGTCTGTTTCCCACTTTGTTGGAACCTGAAAAGAAGGGATATGACTAATTAGCCTCCTCCATCCATAACCCTTAACACATGCAATGACACAAATATAGCCTAAATATGGCTGGGCACGTTGGCTCAGCCTGTACTCCCAGCACTTTGGGAAGCCAAGACAGCGGGTCACTTGAGGTCAGGAGTCTGAAACCAGCCTAGCCAACATGGTGAAACTCTGTCTCTACAAAAAATACAAAAATTAGCTTGATGTAGTGACGTATACCTGTAATCCCAGCTACTTGGGAGGCTGAGGGGGAGAATTGCTTGAACCCAGGAGGTAGAGGTGGCAGTAGGCTGAGGTCGCGCCACTGCACTCCAAGCTGGGTGACAGGGTGAGACCCTGTCTCTAAAAAACTGAACAAGAAAAAAATATATATATATAGCCTAAACATGCTGTCATAGGGTAACTCTATGTTCCATCAAATGATTTGGAAACATTGGATTTGTAAAGAGATAGACAATTAAAGGAGAGCTATAAAAACTATGAAAAATAATCATATAGAAATGTTATAACTCAGTATACAATGTTTAAAGTCAAAATTTTGACAGATGAAATTACAAGGGACTATGCAGCGAACAAGATTCAAAAATTAGAATGGAGTATCTTTGAATCTGCATTAAATACCCACCCAGGTATGTATAGCTTAAACTCCATAAGACCAAGAAAATTACGATTAAGGTGCAAATTTTCAGAGGTAGAAAAGGGCAAGGAGACATTTGAACTCCCACTAACCAGAGCGAGAGGTCTCATGGGTTACCCAGCATAGTTAGTAAAAGCCCCAAAAACATTGCACCATAGTCATGGGGTTTAAGTATCTCTAGAATAAGCTTATTATAGACCTGTCTTGTAAAAACTTAACATCAAGATGCAGAAAGATAAAACTTATCTGTAAGTAACTTATCCTTCGACCAGATCAAAGTCTAACATTCTTTTTAAAAAGGTAAAAATTCAGACACTGAAATGCATGACATTTACAATATATAGTACCAAATCAAAAATTGCTAGATATACCACGAAGCAGGAAAAGGTAACTTGCCAGTAGGAAAATAATCAGTCAACAGAATCAACCCCAAAGTGAAAGTTGTTAAAGTATTAGCCAAAATACCCTTAAGGATTTAAAAGAAAAATGTTACGAGGAAATGCAAGCTATTTAAAAATAAAAGAATGAAAACAAATGTCCACAATGGAAAATTCCTAGATGGGATAAATTGTAGATTAGATATTATGGAAGAATAGATCATTGAATTTGAAGACATAACAGTAGAAACTAACAAAAGTAAAACAAGGGGAGAAAACAATGGGAAAAAATGGGCAGAGCTTCAGTGACCAGTGGGAAAATAAGTGACCTAACATGCATGTAGTTGGCACCTCAGAAAATCTGTATGTGTCAATGACAGAGAGGTAGGCAAAAATTATCTGAATTAATAATAATAATAATAATTTTAAAAATATGTTTAAACTATCAACCTATAGATCAAATAAGATCAACCACAGCAGAATAAAGACAAAATAATTCACACCAGGATACATTACAATTAAACTGCTGGAAATCAGTGGTAATGAAAAAAGCCTTACATCAGTCAAAACCATTAAAAAAAAAAAACCGGTTATAGGAATTATCACAGAATCTGGCACATATACACCATGGAATACTATGCAGCCATAAAAAGGAATGAGATTATGTCCTTTGCAGGGACATGGATGGAGCTGGAAGCCATTATCCTCAGCAAACTAACACAGGCTCAGAAAACCAAATACCACTTGTTCTCACTTATAAATAGGAGCTGAATGATGAAAACACATGGATACATGGAGAGGGGCAACACAGACTGGTGTCTTCTGGGGAGGGTTGGGGGAGAGAGAGCATCAGGAAGAATAATTAATGGATGCCGGACTTAATACTTAGGTGATGGGATGATCTGTGCAGCAAACCTTGGCACGCGTTTGCCTGTGTAACAAACCTGCACTTCCTGCACATGTACCCCTGAACTTAAAAGTTGAATATTTTTTTAAAAACTACCACTGAGTCTTCATGAGAAACTTTGTAAGTAGAAAGAAAATGAGAAAGCAAAGCTAGAATTGTGTAGCCAAAAACAATATCCTTCAAAACTGAATACTATATAAAGACACTTTCAGACTGATGAAAGCTGGGATTATTTGTTGCCGGATTTACACTACAATAAATCATAAATCAGTTATACAGCCAAGAGCAAAATGACTCTTAATAGAAACTTGGATCTATATAAAGAAATTAAAAGTGCTGGAAATGGTGCATACATGGATAAATGCAATAGACTTATCTTCTTGCTTTTTAAATCCTTTAATATATGATTAACTGCTTAAAAGTTAGAAACATTGTATTGTGTCATTTTTATAAAGAGGTAAAATACATGACGACAACAGCAAAAAGGAAGAGAGGGAGAAACAGGAGACTGCTGTTACAAGGTTCTTACCATATATGTGAAATGGTACATTCTTATGTGGAGATATACAGTGATAATTTAAAGATGCAAATTGTAAAGTCTGGAACATCAGTCAGGTCATAAAAGCAAGGCCTCAGTATTTGCTGTAATATAAATTTAAACTCTGCACACGTGTGTGCATGCATACACACACACACATAGACCTAGGTGAAAACACAGGGATATAATCAGCTCCAACATGTAAACATTAATAATAAGAGAGCTGTAGCAGCTATATTAATACCAAGCAAAAGCTTAAATATGCACTATAAAATTTATTTTAAAAAAATACTAAACAAAGAAGATACTAGAATAGAAAATATTACCAGGGATGAAAGGGAACATTTCATAATGATATAATAAAGATATCAAATCATCAAGATGTATCAAGCATAAATGAATGTTCACCCAACAACACAAATATAGACAACCGATTTTTGACAAAGTTGCAAAGTTAGTTCAATAGAAAAAGAAGTCTTTTCAACAAAGTTAGAACCATTACTAGAAGGAAACATAAGAGAAAAATTATGATGCATATACAACACCAAAAACATGATGCATAAAAGAAAAAAAATAACAGTAGGTTGGACTTTGTCAAAAGACATCAAATTACATGCTAAAATTAGTGCATTTTAATGCAGGCAGTGATATCTAAAGTTAATGTGTATGACAGTCTAGGTGCAAACAAGACAAATATGAAAGTCTACTAAATAATAGGAGAGGTCATAATGAAACTCCAAAACATTCATTAGCTACCTAAGTAAGAATAGGAAAGAATGAGAAAAAGCAATTTTGGCTACCATTATCAGGATGAGTTACATGAAAGATTTAGTCAGAAAGGAGAAGATATTCCCCATGAGAAAACAGCAAAACTAAAGGAGGAAACCCCTGCAGAAAGTTTGTGCAAAGAGACTTGAGTTCTAGTTTTTGTTCAGTAATGAGCAAAGCTTAATAGCTTTGCCACTTGATCTCACTTTCCTAAAAATAAAACAAAACAGAACACATAACATTCTAAAACTAGTCTCCAGGGCAAGGTTGACTTATACCTCTGCAAGAAATGACAATATCCCGGGTATAAAATGTTCTAACATGTCTGTTCAGTGTTCTTACACCCATGAAGCTGACATCAATGTCCTAAAATGGGAAACCATCTAAGACAAAGAATAACTTGATAAGGGTCATGGGAATCGTTCATATGTGACAGGATACTGTGACAGAATAAAGAATGCATTTTAGATTGTTCCATGGAGGTTCTATTCAAAAAATAAAAATGTTTTAAAGCCTCATTGAATCGTGAAATGAATTGGATATTGAAACCCGATTACCTGATTTCAATCCTGGATCCTATGTGTCTATTTCTTAGTTTCTCTAATTTTAATCACCTTCTATGGGCTGGGTCTTTTTTTGTTGTTGTTCTTAATATAATTAGACTCATAAACTAGGAGAGATGAATTAAATCGTAGAGAAAGTGGGAATTAGACAATTGTCATCATCTTTTCCAGTGCTAGGATAGCTAATAATTCATTCATTTCTCTTGATATTCAGTGTCGCCCTTTCATTGCTAATAATTTTTCCATATCCTTAGTAATTCAGACTAATACAACAACATCTTTGCAAGTTTTCTAACCTTACATTCTTCCACTTTAAGGCATCCTACATACTACTGATATAGTCATTTTTAAAGCAACAAAATTATGCCTGCTAGGTCCCACATAAAAAATTTTATCAGATTTTTATTTTTTGACAAACCAAAACCAGAAACTAAAAACTAGACTTTTAAAAAAATCAAAGACAAAATTGTTTAAACATAGCAACAGCATAGCAGGGAATCTAAAACATTCCCAAGGCAATCAGAGAGAAGCCTGTAGCTCCAGGATCAGGTGACAGCTTAGAAACTTTTCTGATTTAGAGTTATAATAGTCTTTTAATGTCTTGCTTTGAGGCATCAGATACAAATAACCCCCATATGCACACATACATACACACACACTGTGACATACATAGTATTAATAGATGGCATCTTTAAAAGTAAAGAGATATAAATACGATTTAAAATACAATAAATATAATCATGACAACAAATTGAATAAACATTTAAGATGGTAGGCAGGGCTGCATCCATGTCTGCTGAGGTCAATTCTAGGTCTGAAGGCAGGAGAAGCTGCCAGAAATTCATTTTCTATGGATAACAGTACTAAAATTGCAGTGAGAATCAGGCCCAGTGTTTAATACTAGGGACTGAAGTAAAGCTTCCTTCTTCATAAGAAGTTGCTAAACCAACTGGCCATATTATTTCTAGGCTATGGCATAAGTAAATCTACGTCTATAAACTAGAAGAAGCAGAAGTAACTTCACAACATACACCTGAGCCAACCTACCCACTGGTTCAGTGCCTAGGTCTACAATACTGTTATCACTTTCAGATGGGGCATGAAGCTGGCAATCAAAACGTAACTTCTAAGACCAACAGAGACATGAGAATGAGCTCAAAGAAAAAGGGAGAGGGAAGAACAAACTTTAAGACAACATAGTCCCGCACTCACCCGTATCTCAAAACATGTGATGAAAACTAATGCTAAGAAAGCCAACAAAATTAACAATGAGAAGACTCGCTCCTCTCAAATGGACAAGAAATGTCAATCAGAGTGTAGGGTCCTCAAATAGCTATTTTTTAAATTTAAGCAACAAATTATAAAATGAAAATAGGCAAAATAAAACAAGTGTGTATGTAAATAAAACAAATTAAAATATTTAAATAAAATAGTCATTAAATCTGGGAGAGAAAGGGAAAGGGAGAGCAATTGCTAATGGATACGAGGTTTTTTTGATGGATAATAAAAATATTCTAAAATTATATTATGATGATGCTTGCACAAGCCTGTAAATGAGCTAAAAATGATTAAATCATAAATATTTAAGTGAGCTTTATGAGTTGAAAATTATATCTCAATGAAGCTCTAAAAAAATCATTAAAACTTAAAAGTTTCAATAGAAAAGTCAAACTATAAATCCAACACAAAAGAATTATCATATTTCATCAATTCTAACTTGTACATATTCTTCAATATTTTAACATCCCTGAAATCAGGAAGCATCTCATAACCAATGATGACTATAATCACTATCACCTAGGCAGCTCTTATGGTGAAATTGTCACTGTCTCACATCTCACATGTGTGAACTTGCTTATATCTATGCCATTATTTATGTGATCCGTTAGTCCCACACATACTTGATATAATTGCGTCTAAAATATCTTCAAAATATTACACTTATTGTTATTTTGTTCTTAGAGTCACTGAAAAAACAGCAGGGAGTAAATTTGATATTAATAAAGCAAATAACATTGTAGGAAGAAAAGCCACAATTCAATATTTTCTTGCAAAGCAAAACAAAATCCTTTCAGAATTCTAAGTGAGGAAAATGCCCATATATAAGAATCTTCATTTCATTCTGATTGCAGGAAAAAACAAGATAAAATGCAAATCCCAGGAAGAGGCATATTTGCTGCAAAGTTAATAAAATTTAAGCTTTAAGACATCTCATTTGTGCAGACTTCTAAGACCCTGTCCTTACTACAAAGGATCACTCCATATTATGAAACTGTAAGCCCTACAAAACCAGAATCCATCCCTGTCCTCAGAATGGGTGAAAACAATTTTTCTTAGTTGGCTGGTGTGACAGATTTGTGTTGAGCAGGGCTGTTATAAATGTGGCAAAAATCAATATCTCAGAAATATACACTTAATCTCTCATATCATGTAGTTCAATTGGAGGAAAAGTACAATTATACATTTTATTAATTTCTTTTTTTTTGTGATGGAGTTTCACTCTTATTGCCTAGGCTAGAGTGCAATGGTGCGATCTCGGCTAACTGCAACATCCGCCTGCCGTGTTCAAGCGATTCTCCTGCCTCAGCCTCCCAAGTAGCTGGGATTACAGGCGCTAGCCATCACACCCAGCTAACTTTTGTATTTTTAGTAGACATGGGATTTCACCATATTAGTCAGGCTGGTCTCGAACTCCTGACCTCAGGTGATCTGCCTGCCTCGGCCTCCCAAAGTGCTGGGATTACAGGCATGAGGCACCATGCTTGTCCTAATTTTTAAAAAATTGATAAAATCCCATTTCCTTCAACATGGCTCAAAATTATACTGCCAAAGCTAAAGGTGCTAATGAGATCAGGTTCAATAAGCAGTGTATCACTGTGATTCCATTCGTAATTGATGGTCAAAAGTTGTTACTATACTTAATTTTAAAAAGAAAAACAGTTCCTAAGAATGAGAACTTCCCCCCAAAGATGTAATTGTATATGCCCCTTAAAGAGAAAAAAAAGAAAAAGAAAAAGAAAGAGAGCTGGGCGCAGTATTTCATGCCTGTAATCCCAGCACTTTGGGAGGCCGAGGTGGGCCAGGAGTTCAAGGTCAGCCTGGCCAATATGGTGAAACCCCGTCTCTACTAAAAATACAAAAATTAGCCAAGTGTGGTGGCGCATGCCTGTAGTCCCAGCTACTCAGGAGGCTGAGGCAGGAGAATCGCTTGAACTCGGGAGGTGGAGATTACAGTCAGCTGAGATCTTACCACTGCACTCCAACCTGGGTGACACAGCGAGACTCTGCCTCAAAAAAAAAAAGAAAGAAAGAGAAAAAGAGGGAAAAGAATGATGGCTGAGCTAATAGAGGACTGGCTGACAGTCGTCTATCTATCCCTGGAATAGATATCAGGGATCTCCATAGTACCCACCAAACATGTGAGTTATTACATTTCCTCTCTCTATACCTAAGCAATGAAAGAATAGACTCACCAAAGTTGAGCGATTTAGTTGTTATCCCTGGTGGCATGAGTGAAAAATTGCAACCAACCCCATGGTGACATCATCAGAACTTACGTTCATACTGAGGAAGAGGAAATTAATTTTATTCCTAATCTACCTTATAGAACAAGTTGACCTCCAAATTCCTGGTTTTGCCCAGATGGATCACATGTTTTCACAGCCCAGGACTCTAAACCAGTTAAGCGGCAGAATAAATGTGCATTTCCTTCTCAAATAATCTGAGATGATCAGTCCCTCATGGTGCTTAAGCCTAGTACAAATTGTGAAGTGGATCATCTTATTGCTATTTTTGGTGATCTCGTAGTTTCTTCTTGGTGCCAAAGACTCCATAGTATATTCACCCATCTACTTATTCACTCATACTCTTGATCTCATCCCTTTTTCAAAGATCAGCATCTTAATAGTCAACCTTAACTGCAGAGTTTATTGAAGTTGAAAGAGACTCTAAATTCTCCAAGGTGTCCATTGAGACATTGTCATCCTGGGACTTGAAGTAAAAGGACAGAGGTCACTTGAATTTTCACTGAGGTTTCTAAGTTACTTGAATTTTCACTCAGATTAATCAACTATCCCAAGGGAGATTGTCAAATTACCAGTTGCTTCTGCAACTACAGTCTAAAAAAATTTTTTAGCTTAAAATTAATATTATAATTTCATTTTTATACCTTTAATATGTTCCTTATTTAATGTATAATTTGTAGTCTCCATATTTTCTGATCAAGCCACCATTTTGGATTACAACATTCAAGATTTCAATAGTATCTGTTGTGTGGTTTGCACAAATCATTTTTTCCCCGATTTTCTCCCTGCATGCATGAATTAATCGTGTTTTGGGGGGTTTTAAAAAAAAATTCATACAAATGTTTCCAGTAATTTTTTTTCTGGAGTAGATTATAGG
The DNA here is from genome assembly GCF_000001405.40 of Homo sapiens. Classification (NCBI taxonomy): domain Eukaryota; kingdom Metazoa; phylum Chordata; class Mammalia; order Primates; family Hominidae; genus Homo; species Homo sapiens. The sequence continues at coordinate 37,516,280 of NC_000013.11, read as the reverse complement.
TAATTTTCTTTTTTCTTATTTGAGATCAGATTTTTTTGTGTGGAGTGGGGTCCACCAAAGGGGGGAAAAAAAAATCAGGCACAGAACAGCTATATCACGAGAAAGAGGCCAAAAGCTATATTCTATCAGTTGACTTATATGTAATCTATCTTTATATCCAGTGGAAATTGCATTTTATTTTCCCTACTAATATCATGGTGAAAAAATGCCACAACAGAAGGAAAATCAGAATATACCTTACCAAATAATCAATATATTAGAAGTAAAACTCAGACACGTCCTGTCATTCAACAACGTAGTGAAATTAAAATTTTTAGACTTTCTTTGCCTAAAATATCATGCAGGAAGAGAATAAAACAACACAAAATTAATACATACTACATATTTATTGGTGATTATGTTTTTAGTGCAAACCTTTTGCTTATGGATTTTGCTGCTTGTAGAGTCACTGGAAAATTGTGGAACAGAACTTGAAACCTGAAAGAGAATCAAAAGTTAGGCATAAACCCCGAAGAATCCCACCCAGCAATGAAACACATTCTGTCCAGCCACAAGTGTTTACCAGGTGACTACGTGTGTCTGATGACAGTCTGTGGTTGGACTATCACACAGTTTATAGATTTTTTTTTTTCCATTGATGAGTCCTATACACAATGAATGAACTTTTCCCAACTTCTCCACCTATAATGAAGAATTTTTTTTTCTTTATTTCTCAGATGTCATCTTTACTCTGAATTAAGGATGTGGTTTCTGCTGCCTTGCTCTTCTGATGTTCTTACATTTTGTGATTTTTTTTCCCTGTTTCATAAAAGGTTTCTCTGAGAAACATCACACTGCTGATGGCTGCTAATGGGAATGTAGATTCATATCCAGTATTGGGAAAGAGTACGAAAATGTTGTAACATATTATCCAATAGACACATTCCCAAACCTCACCACTACTGGTGCCATAGAAAATTATTACTGTAGTAAAGAAAAAAATAAACTTACAAGGATTTTTCTAAAGAAGATTCTGTGCTACCTTAAGAAGTCTATACAATAGACATGTGTCTAGTCTATGAAACTGACAAAAAAAAATACCTTGTGTCAAAAAGCTTTCAATCACCTGGAACAATGGATAAAGGTGCAAAAATCCCTGTTGTATTGGTCAGAACACATGTGAGCCATGACTAGACAGAGCAGAGTTAGGACTTCATCTCTGTGCTCTAGACATTGTATTTTTATTTAGACCAAGGATCTTTTATTCTAGTCTTTGGGGAAAAGAATCCGCATCCAATTTCTGGCATTTTATTTCTTACAGTAAATTGATAAATCTCTCTGAGCACCTGTATCTTACATTAAAATTATTGGAGAGACTAAATAAAATTACATATGTGAACAACCCAGCATATGGGTATTCAAAAAAGTGTTAGCTTTTCTTCTCTTAAGAAACTTGACAGACTTATAGCACCAAAGTTGCATTTTAGGCTCAGGGAAGATCCTTTCTTTCCTGAAAAATTCAACATTCTTTCCTCTTTGTGGTTTCTATACTGTTTCTTCAATCCATCTTGTCCTTGCAGATTGATGCCTTTGTGGAAGAGGCATGAGATCACAGGCAATAGGAGAAGACCTCTCAGCAACTGTTGGAAGCTGTGAAACCATTCAACAGTGGTGTTCGGCTTATCCTATCAGAGAATGCCAAATGCCATCAATTAGGGAAGCCTAGAAGCAGGCTGATTGGGTCACGAAAGCCCAGAAAAACTTGGGTAATGAGAGCACAGATTTGAATTTCCCGAAAAGAATATTAAGATTTAAAAGACAATGGACCAGTGTTTCCACAATCACTTTAAATGTCTTTCAACCCAAAAAGCTATATCCTGACAAACCACCCATCAATTGCAAGGGAAAACAATGACATTTAGGAGCATGCAAATGCTCAAAATATTTTCCTTCCATGTACCCCTTGTCTGGAAGTTACTAGATGATATATTACATCATACAAGGAAATTATCCAAGGAAGAGGAAGACATGGCATTAGGGGATAACAAGATGCACAGAGAAAGGTAAGAAATGCACCAGGTAATGGTGAAGGAAATTCAGAGTGGAGAGGAATCAAGAGACTATTATTTTCGATGAAAAGTCTTGTAGAACAATTTGCCTTTTTAATTCTTTGCATGTAACTTTGATAATAAAAATTATACTTATATAAATTAAACTCAAATCTCAAAATTCTTATGACAATTCTTATATATATGTTTGCAGAATAAGACAGATTAGTCTACGGAATTCTTCAAAGCAGCATTGGATTACTCTAGTTAACCCAAATGTCTTCTTTTAAGTACAGGGCTTGAAATTATATTCTCCATGCAGATAGTCTTTCTCTCAATTAGAGAGATTTTACTTGTAAATATTTCCCAGAATAAAATCACCATAGATTACCTGGAAAGCAGTTTACTCTAACTCTTCCTGCTTCAGAACACGAAGTTGTTTGAACAAAACTGGATTCCAGTGTTACCAGATGTGGAAAGTCTAGACCCTGCCATGCAGAAAGTGTAAGGAGAAAGTTCTTCCTGTCAAAGAGCTACATGAATGATTTGCTATCCACAGAGAGTCCTCTAGAAATGGCTCTGCATACACACCAGACACCTGCATGGTTTCAGTCAGAGTTAGATTCCACACTAACATTCAGCTAAGACCCACTTTGCAATCCTAAATATGCTTGAGCTAAAATAAATATTGTTCTACTTTGAAAATTCTGGCAATGTCATATCTCAAGGTCTAGTCATTAGATTTAAAAACATTTTATTCATAGGATTTTTAAAAATTCTGTTTTCTTCTGTAGAAAATGAACTATTTGTTTTAATACGTGACAATATTTGCCTTAGCAAACAAAAAATAAACATATCTTTAATGGAAAGGCCCATGAAACAAGAAATCAAATAATGTTAACTAAAGGCAAAGGATTTAAGAGAGATAAAATGAAATGTCTTTTTTCATTTATTCACAAACAAAAATACATTTGAAGTTAAAACTAGACTTTCACACTATCAAATGCCAACTATAGACCAAATATACTGCTAACCATAGTGTATAAAAACAGAAGCATTAGACTAAAATCAATGTTTGGTACAGTATTGCCAATTTACAGAAGCATCTCAGTAAGTCCTTAAAGTAAAACCATTTTACTAATGAGGAAATTATAGCTGAGGGAAGTTAAATCATTTGTCCAGGTAACATATATTATTAATTGTGGAAGCAGGACTTGAATCCACGTCTGCCTGATAACAAAGTCCATACTCTTCATCCCCAAAGAAGAAAGGCAAAAGTTAGCACTGCTATTGAAGGCTGACTTCCGCTCTTCTGAGACAGGAGGGGAGGAACTGAAAACAGGTGAAGAAACAGTTGTGCTTTGGATATAAAAGAAGAAAAATTGAAATGTACTTTTGAAAATAAGAGAAAAATTTAATGTTTTTGGTTAGCCAACTTTTGAAGTATAGCATGATCAAAATATTTTTCTACTGAACCACAATATTCTGTGAACAAGTGATTTTTTGAATCCATAACTGTAACAACTGCCAAAAGGTCAGGATTCAAGTTCAACTAAATGTTCGTGCTTTCCATTAAAAGAGTTAGAAATAAGTTGTCATACCAGAGTGTTCAGGTTGAGTCTAAATCAAAATAAACAGCATTTCTAATGAGTTTCAAAAGCACAAGCTATTTCCACACATCTTTAAGTGATAGATTTTAGTGAATATGAGAAAGTCCAACCTACTTTGCAGATCATGTTATAGACTGACTTATGTGAATGGTACTTTGTGCTTCTAATGTGGAAAGCTTCTTGGTTAGCAATTTTTCTGCATCCGAGAAAGGAAAAGAGACTGCAACAAGAATTGAGTTAGTACAAAGAATCAGTCATTAATATTCAAATATTTTCACTAATAATTTTTTAATGTTTAATATATAGAGTTTCTTAAAGATCCATAGATCATTTAAAAATTTTAAACAACTAGTTTAAATTCATTCAACAAGTCTAAAATTGTTGGATTTGGACTTAAGTTTGTCAGACTGCTTAAAATGCAAATACATGACAAAGAGGAGGTAAGTTGAGAAATACTTCAAATGAGTGGGCCATAGAATTACATACATTCTATGTATGTAATTAATACATAGAATTAATAAGATAAATCTAGAATTTCAAAGACTATTATATAACTATAGTTCCTGTGGGAAAATAGAACATATAATCCTTATAGAACCATTGAACCAGAAACAACAATCAAAGATATAATGAAGAAAACATTGCTGAGTTAAAAAAAAAATTCCCAGAGCTTATGAAGATATTTTATTACATTCAGGGTGGGGGGCAATGAAAAAGACCCCCAAATTAGACACATCCTGTAAGTATTGCTGATCTAATAAGATTATAATTATACCTCCAAGCATCTACGCAGAAACTGAATGCGCAAAAAATGTTAAAATTTATCAAAAAACAAAACTCATGTTCTCCCTAGACAGCTTTTCAAAATTCCAGACATCAATAGAGAAAGTTTTAGTAGACTCCTGGAGTTTAGAATATGCACATAATTTTGGTCACCCAGCCAAATTGCATTTTATCAAAGATAGCAAATTTCAGGTATTAAAGGACTCTTAAAATAAATCACTTCTGTGTACTTCTTGAATAAAATATACCAAAAGACAAACTCCAGCCAAACAAGAGTAGAATCACTGTCTTGTACATCCTTGTTTAGTCCTCCTTGAAATAGCCTGTATTTTTGGATATTTTCTTCACTCATTATTCATCCTCAAACAAGAAGAGCTATATTCATATGAGGAGTTAGTTCACAAACAGTATGCGATCACCACTGATTCTTCATTATTATCTGCTGGCAAGCAGGGAATTGCTTGCTCAGATTTGTTTTTGAAGGACATTTCATTTTTGGCCTCACATGGAGCTCTCTTCATGTGAAGTGTTTTCATTTCTTTTCTTACTATCTGGCTCTCTGACACTCCAGTCTTATTCTGGCCGTAGGTTTCCTGCTGATATTAGAGTCAAGGTTGAATCTGTGGTGATGGTGATGGGGTGGGTTTTAATGTATATTAAGATTTTAGGAAGTCCTCGTGCTCCTATAGCACCTGTATCCCTCATTCAAAGGATCTGTAATACTGCAATTGCTTGCTAAATGTTTCCTATTTCTCCTACTAAACTCATATAATCCCTTTAAACCAGTGTCCAGCAGAGTGCTTGAGATAAAGTATATACTTAACAATTTTGAATAAATGAAAGAAAAGGAATTTGTTAGCCAAACTTTGTATTAAATTTTTTTTAGTAAGCAAATCTTCACTAGTTTATATGTAATATTACAGAATTGTGCATCTATTTTTCCTAATATATTAATCAATGCTATGGTTTGATGGCCTAATTGTGGCATATTTGTGACTATTGTTTACTTATGCAAAGATTTTTTTCCCTTTTATTAAAAATATTATATCACTAATGTAACTAGGTTCCACTATGTCTGTTATATGCAGCATTCAAGCAGTTAAGCATGTAGTTTAAACGTTTTACTAACTTAATCCATTCTGAACATGTTAAATCTAAAGCTTAGGTGCACACTTGTCATTGCATAACTGGTGAAAAACAGAAAGTACACATGGCACAGGGGCATGCTGAAACTAGTTTGTAGCAGCTCAGGAGAGCCAGTTGCCACATTTTCAGGAATTTTGAGAGCTGGTGGTTAAACACAGGCATTAATAACAAATAAATTATCTAAATCTACAATTAACTTATATTAATAACAAAGGTAATAAATACAAAAAATTCATTACTTTCTAGTTATTTTACTACATTTTACTGTTTGCTATGCTCCTGAGTTTATTCACATTCATTGTAACAGTAGGGTGGACCTGCTACAACATAGGGTGCTGCTGAGCATATCTTTCTTCCTCTTCATTGCAGCTCATTCTCATCTTGGTTCACATATTCAGCACTCATATACTGGATTTCACCATATTATTTTGAAGTTTTCCATTTTTTTCAGTCAATGTGGTTATTCAAAATAAGATTTTAATTCTCTAGAGAGCAAGACTGCAACTTCTCTTTCCTTTGTATCTTTTACACTGCACGGAGCAAACAACAAATGCTGTGAGAGTCAGAATGCTACAGCTATCATTAAAGATTTAAAAGTTTAGAGTCCCTTTTCAGCCAAGAAGATCAAATTTCCTACTCCTCATAAAGAACCTGAAAGTGCGAACTTCTCATTCTTAATCTTAGGGGCTGCTCAAACCACTGGCATATTCTGGACATCTGATTCTGCCGTGGTCTGAGACTTCCGAGTTCGCTGGAGGATAACAGATGGAAGAATCACAGTGAAGAACAGAGAACAATGCAAAGAAGGGAGCAGCACTAGGAGAGATACAGTGGGGGTGTGCCCAGGTTATTTAAACCAAGAACAGCAAATTAGAATCCTTAAAGGAAAAAGCACAGGAGATTAAGAAACATAAAATTTCTTAAGTACACACATACCTCCAGACAAATCATTGAAATTTAATCGTAAGGCCATGGATTTCCACAAAAGGAAAGAGTGTTAGGTTCACCTTTTCTATTTAAGCCATTGTTTACTCCCTCTGAAGTTTAAGCATGTTGCAGGAGGTTGTTCCTTATCTCTTGTTTTTGGTGAAAATAAAACACTCCTTAGATAATATCCTTCTTTTTATCTAAAGTTTCATATATCTAACTTATCTTATCTCCTGTGCTCAAAATTTTTTTCCTTCAAATTCCAGGCTTCTTCCCAGAGCTTTCTAATGCATCACACAGACTCCTGTTTAAATTTGTCTAAGGTCTGGATAATCTTTCTCCTCCCCTCCTTGTTCATCATAGAATTAATGAAAATATTATTTCACTATTTCTAGTAATCTGATTAGGAGACATTGAAATTAGGTCAAACTGGGTAAGAAGAAAGGAATAAAATGTCACAGGTACATTTATAACTTCTAACTTTAACTTATGATTTTTGAGAAAAGGTTGTAATAGTATCTGTCCTGGAGTTCCAAGCAGGTGGTGGGCTATAGGCATTTTCGCATACCCAAAAAGTCAGGAATAAATTTTCTGTATAACTTAGACTGAAGTCATTTTATAAGATTCTCCCATTTGTCATCTTTCCACAAGAATATTTATGTACACTCAAGTTAATGCTAATGGATACGTTTTATATTATGGATATTTCCCTCCCCTCAACTTCTGCTTGCTACATCCTGTACATAGAATATTGCTTTGCCATGTGTAATTCCATAGACAACAGGCTGATAAATGGAGGATACTGCCAAGATTGTCTTTCATCCTTAATTAAATTTTAATTTACTGAGAACCAACTATACATTGGGTATCAGGCCTTTCAGATAATATTAATAAGATATGGTCTTTACTCTTAAGGTGATTAAATTTATTTACTTTTAAAATTATTTTTTAAATTTTTCCATAAGTTATTGGGGTGCAGGTGGTACTTGGTTACAAAAGTAAGTTCTTTAGTGGTGATTTGTGAGATTTGGGTGCACCCATCACCCGAGCAGTATCCACTGCAGCACATTTGTAATCTTTTATCCCTCACCCCCTCCCACTCTTCCCCTCAAGTTCCCAAAGTCCATTGTATCATTCCTATGCCTTTGCGTCCTCATGGCTTAGCTCCTACATATCAGTGAGAACATATGATGTTTGGTTTTCCATTCCTGAGTTACATCACTTAGAATAATAGTCTCCAATCTCATCCAGGTCCCTGCAAATGCCGTTAATTCATTCCTTTTTATGGCTGCATAGTATTCCATCAGTTTCTTTATCCACTCATTGATTAATGGGCATTTGGGTTGGTTCGACAGTTTTGCAGTTGTGAATTGTGCTGCTATAAATATGTGTGTGCAAGTATCTATTTTGAATAATGGCGTCTTTTCCTCTGGGTAGATACCCAGTAGTGGGGTTGCTGGATCAAATGGTAGTTCTATTTTTAGTTCTATAAGGAATCTCCACACTGCTTTCCATAGCAGCTGTACTAGTTTACATTCCCACCAGCAGTGCAGAAGTGTTCCCTCTTCACCACATCCACACAAACATCTACTGTTTTTTTTAATTTTTTTTTATTATGGCCATTCTTGCAGGAGTAGGGTGGTATCACATTGTGATTTTGATTTGCATTTCCCTGATCATTAATGATATCGAGCATTTTTTCATATGTTTGCTGGCCATTTGTGTATCTTCTTTTGAGAATTGTCTATTCATGTCCTTAGTCCACTTTTTGATGGGATTGTTTGTTTTTTTCTTACTGATTTGTTTGAGTTCATTGTAGATTCTGGATATTATTAATCCCTTGTCAGATGTATAGATTGTGAAAATTTTCTCCCACCCTATGAGTTGTCTGTTTACTCTGCTGATTGTTCTTTTTGCTGTGCAAAAGCTCTTTAGTTTAATTAGGTCCCAGCTATTTATCTTTGTTTTTATTGCCTTTGCTTTTGGGTTCTTGGTCATGAAATCCTTGCCTAAGCCAATGTCTAGAAGGGTTTTTCTAGAATTTTTATACTTTTATATAAAAAAATTATATATATAGTTTTATATATATAATATAAAAATATATATACAGTTTTTTATATAGTTTATATAAATATTTATGTGTTAGGTGAGTCTCCTGAAGGCAGCAGTTAGTTGGTTGGTGAGTTCTTATCCATTCTGCGGTTCTGTATCTTTTAAGTGGAGCATTTAGGCCATTTACATTCAGTGTTAGTATTGAAATGTGAGGTACTGTTGCTTTCATCATGCTCTTTGTTGCCTGTGTATTTTGGCTTTTTGTTTTGTTTTGTTTTTCCTTTTTAACTTGTATTTAGTTTTATAGGTCCTTCGTGATTTATGCTTTAAAGAGGTTCTGTTTTGCTATGTTTCCAGAATTTGTTTCAAGATTTAGAGCTCCTTTTAGCAGTTCTTGTAGTGGTGGTTTGGTAATGGTGAATTCTCTCAGCATTTTTTTGTCTGAAAATGACTGAATCTTTCCTTCATATATAATGCTTAGTTTCGCTGGATACAAAATTCTTGGATGATATTTTGTTGGAGGAGGCTGAAGATAGGTCCCCTTCTAGCTTGTAGGGTTTCTGCTGAGAAATCTGCTGTTAATCTGATAGATTTTTCTTTATAGTTTACCTGGTGCTGCTGTCTCAGAGCTCTTAAGATTCTTTCCTTTGTCTTAACTTTGAATAACCTGATGACACTGTGCCTAGGTGAAGATTTTTTGCAATGAATTTCCCAGGTGTTCTTCGTGCTTATTGTATTTGGATGTCTAGGTCTCTCGCAAGGCCAGGGAAGTGTTCCTTGATTATTCCCCCAAATATGTTTTCCAGGCTTTTAGAATTCTCTTCTTCCTCAGGTATACTGATTATTCTTAGGTTTGGTCATTTAACATAATCCCAAGCTTCTTGGAGGCTTTGTTCATATTTTCTTATTCTTTTTTCTTTGTCTTTGTTGGATTGGGTTAATTCAAAGACCTTGTCTTCGAGTTCTGAAGTTCTTCCTTCTACTTGTTCAATTCTATTTGCTGAGACTTTTCAGAGTATTTCACATTTCTAAAAGTGTGTCCAAAGTTTCCTGAATTTTTTATTTTTTTCTTTAAGCTATCTATTTTCATGAATATTTCTTCCTTCACTTCTTGTATCAATTTTTTTTTTTAATTTCTTTGCATTGGGCTTTGCCTTTCTCTGGTCCCTCCCTGATTAGCTTAATAACTAACCTCCTGAATTCTTTTTCAGGTAAATCAGGAATTTTTTCTTGGTTTGGATCCATTGCTGGTGAACCAGTGTGATTCTGGGGGAGGAGGGGTGCGAGGGGGATGTTGAAGAGCTTGTTTTGTCATATTACCAGGATTAGTTTTCTGGTTCTTTCTCATTTGGGTAGGCTCTGTCAGAGGGAAGGTCTAGGGCTAACGGCTGTTGTTCAGATTATTTTGTCCCACGGGATGTCCCCTTGATGACTCTCCCTCTTCTCCTATGGATGTGGCTTCCTGTGAGCCAAACTGCAATGATTATTGTCTGTATTCTGGATCTAGCCACCCAGCGAGTCTACCTGGCTCCAGGCTGGTATTGGGGGTTGTCTGCACAGAGTCCTGTGATGTGAACCATCTATGGGTCTCTCAGCCATGGATACCAGTGCCTGTTCTGGTGGAGGTGGCAGAGAATTCTGTGAGGGTCCTTAGCTTTGGTGGTCTAATGCTCTATTTTTGTATTGGTTGGCCTCCTGCCAGGAGGTGGCACTTTCCAGAAAGCATTAGCTGTACTAGTGTGGATAGGGACTGGTGGTGGGTGGGGCCCTAGAAAACCCTAGATTATATGCCCTTTGTCTTCCGCTATCAGGGCAGGAGGAAAGGACCATTAGGTGGGGGCAGAGCTAGGCGTGTCTGAGCTCAGACTCTTTTTGGACAGGACATGCTGCAGCTGCTGCAGGGGTTGGGGGAGAGATTCCCAGGTCACTAGAGTTGTCTACCTAGGAGGATTATGGCTGCCTTTGCTGAGTCATGCAGGTTGTCAGGGAAGTGAGGAAAGCTGGAAGTCACAGGCCTCATCCAGCTCCCATGCAAACTGAAGGGCCAGTCTCACTCCCACCATGCCCCACCCTAACAGCCCCAAGTCTGTTTCCAGGCAGAGGACAAGAGGGGCTTGAAAACTTGCCCAAGGCTATCCGTCTCCCAGCTGCGAAAGAAAAGGGCTTTAGTTCTCCCTCTGCCTGTGAAGTCTGCAGGCCTGGTTTGCACCCTCCTCTTAGTTTTGACCAGGAGACTTCTCACTTTGTTATAAATTGTCATGAAGTTCAGGAGAGAATTTTTTCTCCCTGTGGAGTTTTATCCCCTGCTCCTCTGGCCACCCTCCTGAAGGATCCCTGCAGTGCTAGGCAGGAATGGGGTGCTTGGGGACCCAGCGAGCTCCCAGGGTGTTTCTGCTGCTTCCTCTCCCCTGTATTTCTCTTGGCTCTCTAATTTGACTCAGTTCCAGGTAAAGTTGGAAACTTCTCCCAGAAACTGACCTTCAGCTTCTCCAGTGGGGGTGTGTGTTTGGGAGAGGACAGGTCTCCCTTTCCCACTTCCGCAGTTGGGGCACTCACAGTATTTGGTGTGTCTCCCGGGTCCTGCAGGAGCAGTTCACTTCCTTCAGAGGGTCTGTGGTTCTCTTAGGATTACTGGCGTTGGCCTTCCAAAGTCAAGGTAATTAAATTTATATTAGGGAAGAGAAAACTGCCTGCAAAACAGAATACTTTATATGAAGTTGAAATTTGGTAAAGAATGTAAGTCTTTTTTTTTTCTTTTTTTTTTTCTTTTTTTGAGACGGAGTCTTGCTCTGTCACCCAGGATGGAGTGCAGTGGCGCAATCTGGGCTCACTGCAAGCTCCGCCTCCTGGGTTCCCGCCATTCTCCTGCCTCAGCCTCCCAAGTAGCTGGGACTACAGGAGCCCACCACCAGGCCCGGCTAATTTTTTGTATTTTTAGTAGAGACGGGGTTTCACTGTGTTAGCTAGGATAGTCTCGATCTCCTGACCTCGTAATCTGCCCACCTCTGCCTCCCAAAGTGCTGGGATTACAGGCGTGAGCCACTGTGCCTGGCAAAGGAAGGTAAGTCTTTATGGATCTTAAAATCAATGCAAAATTGTGTATATAAAGAGTTTTCCACTACAACACATGAGAAATGAGAGAATGGAGGGAATAACAAAAAAAATTAAATATGAAGACAGACATCAGTATTTAGTTGCAGGAGGCTATGAGTCCTCTGCTCCATGTGTTAAAATGATGTATAAAAGCAAACATTTGGAAATAATCCTTCCCAAGTACTTCTGGCTGCCAAATGTGAACTGTGTCAAATGTCCAAAACTGAAGAAGTCACACCAAATAGAAAGGGACATGAGAAATAATAAGACAACATTTCCATGCCTCAATATTCTTTCCTGGGAAAAATTCGGATTAGGTAAACATGTCTGGAAAACAAGGTACATGGAGAAGCATTTCCATGTCATCAAAGGCTATTTTATTTTTCATGAGTATTAACAGAAACTAAACTATTTAAATACTACCTCTTTAGACCTTGGCAATCCCATCTTTTTAAAGTAAGAAGAAAGGCCAGTGGGCTGGAAATCTAATCCTTGTCTTTTCGTCTTCAGGGTCTATGGTTCCTTTGGTGTTCTTTGCAAAGGAAAATTTACTCTGATCACTTTTCAAAATGGTAACATTCACTAAAGAAGTTACTTCTTAATGTCCCAGAACAAATCAGAATCTTAAGCCAAAATATAGATATATGCGCTCACAGCATTTGATTAAAGTTTTACAAACTTAAATATAAGTAGGCATGGGAAACTTTAACATAAAAATACCCAAAAATAGGGTAAAGAATTTGTGTGCATGTAAATGAAGTAATTAAAATGCAAAATAAAAAGAAGCCATTCTGAAATTATGTTAGTGTTAACTTCATTTATGTGCATCTGGAATTATGTTATTTTCAACATATTCTTAATTAATTAGTCGGTGAATATAAAACAAGTTTTATATTTACAATTGGTGTATTTGGGACTATTTCTGTTTCTAAATAAAGTATAGTTACCTTCCAAAAAAAACCTGTGTACACCATAGGTTTTATTGATCACCACCTTTTTATAAGTGCCCAGATTTCAGAAATTAACATAGAAGTAGCAACAATAATAATAGATACTGCTTATTTTTGAGCATTCACTATGAGCTAAATATACTGCTCATTTAAGGATCTTGATAACCTTTTGATGAAGCTATTATTAGTGCACTTCATACATAGGAAAATTCTAAGTTGCTCAAAGTCATATCCAGTAAATAACAGAGCCAAAGTTAAGAACCAGGTCTCTGACTTGCTGCTCTTAAGCAATCTACTTAAGGTAAAAATGGATTTAGTCCTTTCTGTCTTTTGAAAAATTCTCATAGAATCAGTCAGCTATTTTGATTTATTTGTTAAGTATGAATTGTGTTTATTTCCTTAGAGTAAGAAAAACAAGTCATGAAATCATTGCAATACCAGCATTTGGTAAGCCGTACTCTAGAATTTTTTTTTGACTTTAAGATCTAAGATACATGTGCAGAATGTACAGGTTTGTTACACAGGTATACATGTGCCATGGTGGTTTGCCACACCTATCAACCTGTCATCTAGGTTTTTAAGCCCCACATGCCTTAGGTATTTGTCCTAATGCTCTCCCTCCCCTTGCCCCCCAGCCCCTGACAGGCCCCGGTGTGTGTTGTTCCCCTCCCTGTGTCCATGTGTTCTCATTTTTCAACTCCCACTTATGAGTGAGAACATGCAGTGTTTGGTTTTCTGTTCCTGTGTTAGTTTGCTGAGAATGATGGCTTCCAGCTTCATCCATGTCCCTGTAAAGGACATGATCTCATTCTTTTTATGCATAGTATTCCATGGTGTATATGCGCCACATTTCTTTATCCACTCTATCATTGATGGGAATTTGGATTGGTTCCAAGTCTTTGCTATTGCATATAGTGCTGCAATAAACATACTTGTGCATGTGTTTTTATACTAGTATGATTTCTAATCCTTTGGGTATATACCCAGTAATGGGATTGCTGGGTCAAACAGTGTTTCTGGTTCTAGATCCTTGAGGAATCACCACACTGTCTTCTGCAATGGTTGAACTAATTTACACTCCCACCAACAGTGTAAAAGCATTCCTATTTCTCTACATCATCTATTCTTTACTGACTTGTTAATAATCATCATACTCAGTGGCTTGAGATGGTATCTCACTGTGGTTTTGATTTGCATTTCTCTAATGACCAGTGATGATGAGCTGTTTTTCATAATGTTTGTTGGCCACATAAATGTCTTCTTTTGAGAAGTGTCTGTTCATATCCTTTGCCCACTTTTTGATGGGGTTATTTTTTTCTTGTGAATTTGTTTAAATTCTTTCTAGATTTTGGATATTAGCCCTTTGTCAGATGGATAGATTGCAAAAATTTTCTCCCATTCTGCGGGTTGCCTGTGCACTATGATGCTAGTTTCTTTTGCTGTGCAAAAGCTCTTTAGTTTAATTAGATCCCATTTGTCAATTTTGGCTTTTGTTGCAATTTTTTTTGTAGCAGGCTGGCTAACATCACTGACAGCAATATCAAAGTCTTCAGGTTTCAATACATTGCTCTTGCACTAAATAAAATATGTTTTTAAAAAATTAATTGTGCATTGGGGTTTTGCAAGTTTTGTTTTGTCAATTCTAATATAATTTTAGAGAATTTGGATTTAACTAATTTTAAAGAATCAGAGGAAATTTAAGAAATTGTAAAAGAAAATGTTAACATGTCTACATCATTAGAAACATTTTTATTAAAAATGAAGATTAAAAACTTGACATTATCCCTTATCTATCCCTAAACATACTAAGATAAAAACATAAGGTGTTACTATATATAAATTATTATTATTATTTTAGTTAGACCTCCAGTGATGGGAAGGACTACTGATTGTTTTTTATGATGTTTAATTACTCAAAAGTCAAGTGTTACTGAGAATTGTATCTGTATTAACATGTCTATAACTTTAGGTAGAAGATAATTTGGACTTTGAAAGTGAAAACAAGATTCACAATGAATAAAACTTTTTCTGTATGTTCAATGTCTGACTATAACATGCCGCAGGAATAAGAGAAAAAATGAATAACCATTAACAACTTGTTTGTTCTTAATAAATAAATAGTAAACTCCATGAAAAGAATTTCATCAGGACATTTGTTTTATGCAGTTTTTGCATGTTCATTAGCTAACAAGTAAAAAATGCTTGAAACTAGAAACATTAAAATTTATACTTTCATTCAGTAAACAGACTCTAATCTAGATATGAAGATCTTTTGTTAGTCATTTCCCGCTTTCAAAGATGTGGGCGATATTTGGAAAGTTAGCTATCAAAATTTTCTGGAAAAATGTGTGATTCACAGAGGAATTTTCATAAATCATAATTTTCTCACATACTTTAAAATGAAAAAAAAATCAGTTCAATAACCCTATTATGTTTCAAGCTAAATCAGATTAATGGAAGAGATAGTAGAGAAAATCAACATTAAATATGGCTTTTTTTCCTAAGTGATTGCAAGAGAAAAGAGAATACTATGATAAATAATAGGACAATAACAAAAGTATTCGAATACTTTTCAGATGCTTTGAAAATGTATGCCAGATACTCCATTTAAAATATAGGGAAAATAAGTCTTTTGTCTCTTGGCTGTAATAGCTGTGTCTACATAGTAGAAAGTAGGGGTATGATTTGTTCTAACACTATAGAAATCCAAAAGAAATAATTCAGATACAAGATTAGATATGAAAAAATTAGGTATAAATCTAACAAAATGTATATATAGGACTTGTATACTGAGAACTACAATACTGATGAAAGAAATTAAAGAAGACACAAATAAATGGAAAAGACATCTCATGTTCATGGAGTGAAAGGCTCAACACAGTAAAGATGACAATTCTCCCTAAATTGATATCTGGGTTTAATGCAATTTTCAAACAGTTTTTCAAAATTCCCACAAGATTTTTTGTATACGTATTACTTTTGTTCAAAAGTGATTAAATATAAATATATGATTATTCTAAAATTCATATGGACAGGCGTAGAAATGAGAATACCTAAATAGTTTTAACAAAAGGAAGAATTAAGGGAAGACATCAGTCTACCCAATTTGAAGAGATATTACATAGCTATAGTAATCAAGAATGTGTGCTATTGGTGGGATAATTGACATATAGATCAATGGAGTAAAATAGAGAACCTACAAATAGATCCACAAAAATATGGCCAGCTGATTTTTGACAAACGTTCAAAAGTAATTAAATAAATAAAAATAATATTTTCAATAAATGGTACTAAAATAAATGGATATCCAGAGGGAAAAAAGTGAACCTCAATCTAAACCTCATACTTTATACAAAATTAACTCAAAATTAAGTATGGAACTAAATGTAAAATATAATACTATAGAACTTCTAGGAAAAATCTTCAGAAGAAAAATCTTCTGAATTTAGGAGTAGATGAAAAATTATTAGACTGGACAACAAAACCCTGATCCATAAGATGAAAAATTGATAAACTGGTCTTTACAAGATTGAAAACTTTTGCTCTAAGAAAGAGCCTGTTGGGAGGATGAAAAGACAAGATACAGACAGAGATAAAATATTTACAAACCACGTATCTGACAAAAGACCAGTACCTAAAATATATAAAAATCTCTCAGAACTCAATAGTGAAAAAACAATCAATCCAATTAGAAAATGGGCAAAAGACATGAAGGGACATTTCATTCACTAAAGAAGATACACAGAAAAAATAAACACTCAAAAGATGTCCAGGGAGTAGAATGTTGGTTACCAGGACCTGGAGGATGAGGGGCTGGGCAAGGTTGGGGAGATGTTAAAGAACACAAAATTTCAGTTAGACAGGAGGATAAGTTTAAAATATCTATTGCATAACATGGTGACTACAGTTTAAAACAATGTATTGCATTATTCAAAATTGCTGAGAGTAGATTTTAGGTATTCCCATCACAAAAACTGACAAGAATGTGAGATAACACATTAATTAGGTTAATTAGCTCAATTAAGCTATTCTACAATATATACCTATTTCAACACATCATGTTGTACACAAACAACATATATAATTTTATTTGTCAATTTAAAAAACTAATAAATAAAAGACCCAGAACATAAAAAAAATGTTCAACACTATTGGCCATTAGAGAAATGCAAATTAAAACTGCAGTGAGGTATCACTACACACCTATGAGAATGACTAAAATTAAAAACAAACAAACAAAAAACAGTGAAACACCAAACTCTGGCAAGATGGCAGAAAACTGGATTTATCATACATTGCTGGTAGGATATAGAATTGTAAAGCTGCTCTGGAAACTCATTTGGTGGTTGCTTTAAAAACTTAGTATGCAACTATCATATGTTCAGAAAATTGCCATTCTGATTATTTATCCCAAAGAAATGAAAATTTATATTCACACAAAAACCTGTTCATAAATGTTCATTGCAACTTTGCTGACAATAGTGAAAAACTATAAATAATCTAATCCTTCAACAGAGAATGTTTAAACAATTTTAGGACATCCGTGCCATAGAACACTACACAGCAATAAAAAGAAACTGTTGATACGTGCAACACTTTGAATGGATCTCCAGGGAATATGCTGGGTGAAATAGAAAATCACAAATGGTTACAATTTGCCATGGTTATCATTGGCAATATTATAGAAGTGAAGAACAAATTAGTAGTTGTCAAGGTTTAAAGATGGGGTAGACAGTGATAGAGGGAAAGGAGAAAAGTGGATGTGGTTATAAGAGGACAACATGAGGAACCCTTGTGGTGAGAAAATTATTCTGTAACTTGATAAATCTATGTCAGTATGATGGTTGTGAAGTTGTACTCTGTATATATGCTAACATTGAGGGAAACTGAGATCTGTCTGTATTTTTCTTACAACTGCATGAGAATCAACAATTATCTCAAAATTCAAAGTTTAAATAAAAGCAAGTAAACCAATTATGCTTGAATATAAAAATAAAACCATAAATTTGGAAATTTAAAGCAATTGTACTTCTAAATAACATATGCATTAAAAAAGAAACCATAGTGAAAATTAGAAAATATGTCAATAATAAGAATAATACTGGGGCCGGGCGCAGTGGCTCATGCCTGTAATCCCAGCACTTTGGGAGGCCGAGGTGGGCGGATCATGAGGTCAGGAGATCGAGACCATCCTGGCAAACATGGTGAAACCCCGTCTCTACTAAAAAAGATACAAAAAATTAGCCTGGCATGGTGGCGGGCACCTGTAGTCCCAGCTACTCGGGAGGCTGAGGCAGGAGAATGGCGTGAACCCGGGAGGCGGAGCTTGCAGTGAGCCGAGATTGTGCCACTGCACTCCAGCCTGGGCAGGCGACAGAGTGAGACTCCGTTAAAAAAGAAAAAGAATAATACTAATTATCAATACTTGGCATGTAAATAGAGATATAATTAAAGTGCAAATTATAATCTTAAACTCTTATGTACTAATAAATTCTGGAGATCTTATGCACAACAGGGTGACTATAATTATTAATAATGTATTTCATTCTTGAAATTTTCTAGAAGAGTAGCTTGTAAATATTCTCGTCACACACATGCACAGCAACTATGTGAAGTGATGGATATGTTAACTAGTGTGATTGTAGTAATTATTTCACCATATATACATATTTCAAAACATCATGTACACTTTAAATATATACAATTTTTATTTGCCAATTATACCTCAATAAACCTGAAAAAAAATATTACGTTACTAAAGAAAAAAAGGCAGAAAAATAAGAGCTGATCTTCCACTCTATGGTTGTTTTCTTTTTTTTTCCCGGACATAGTCTTACTCTGTTGCCCCCAAGCTGGAGTGCAGTGGTGCAATCTTGGCTCACCGCAACCTCCACCTCCTGAGTTCAAGTGATTCTCCTGCCTCAGCCTCCAAGTAGCTGGGATTACAGGTGTGCACCACTGTGCCCAGCCAATGTTTGTATTTTTTTATTTTTTTTTAGTAGAGACGGGGTTTCACCGTGTTGGCCAGGCTGGTCTTGAACTCCACTGTAAGATTTTTAATACTGAATAACCTATAAGAAGATAATTACAATAATAGCAGAGGTTAATAAAATATAAAACAAAATAAAAATAAATAGAAGTCTATTTTTAATACCAATTAAAAATGGATAAATTTCTTAAATGACTTGTCAAAACTTAAAGACCAAAGTAATAATTAATAATAAAGATAATGAAAACGGCATGCTCAAAGATACGTAGATAAAACCACAAGCAATAGCTATGAACAATAGTTTACCAATACATTTGAAGTCTTAGATGAAATGATGAATTTTATAGAAAAAGGTAACTATCTAATTTGATGTCTAGAAATATAACAATTGTATAATTTGAATCACATGGTAAAAATTCTATCTTCATAACATCCCCACCCTCGAACTGATGCAGAGACCTGGAATACCACTGTGGTCTCTCTAGTTACAAATGGACTTAAGAAGATTACAGCCTTATCCTGAATCCATCTCATAGCAGCTCCAGTGTGGTTATTTCCCCAGTCCCAGGGTCCAACATCTGATTGTCCACTTTGTGTTTATTGGAATAATCACACTTAGTAACTAACAGAATGCCCATATGAAATAATCAGAATAAAAATGCTGTACTGTGGCAAAGGCAATAAACCTCTAATGCCTTTCCTTAGGGTTATATGGATGCTCCTGCTTTCTATTACAATATAGTCTAGAAGAACTTTGGTCATCACAATACCGCACAGAGCATTAAATGACCATTACATCAAAGACATTTTACTAATTGATCCTAGTGTGCAAGAAATAACAGGAATCTTAGGTACTTTATTGAGTACAATCACACAGGCTAGAGAGGGAGATAAACTCTGTGAAAGTTCGAGGGCTGCTACATCTGAGGTTTCTGGGAGTCTAGCAGTCTGAAAGGAGGTTGGACTATCTACTCCAACATGAAAGATAAGTTGCCACACCTTGAGTCACGCATCCTGAAGAAAATGGTACAATGCTTGGTAGACCTCTTATGATATGGGAGGCAAGACATTCATTTTAGAGTGTGCGGTTCCAATCCATTTTCTCGGTACCCCATGAGGCTTCCAGACTTCAGTGGGGTCTGTGAGGGTGGGTAGGGATATATGAGTATCGTATGTGTATGATATATATCGGAGAGAGTTACAACCAGAAGACCCAATGGTTTTGGAAGAGCCTATGATTGACAGACAGGTTGTACAGAGCCTTAGGCAAACCTCACTAGGAAAATAATGACACATGCCTTGAAGTTTTGGAATAAAGTCACGCCTTTTTTTTTTTTTTGCTAACAAGTATTCTCTAAACACCTGACTCTAGGACATGCAACACAGACCGCCCATTCTAAATAAGATGTTATAACATTTACCAAATTTCAAAATTGGACATGCACAGTAGAATTCCATTGTCAAATGGAAACAGTAGCCTGGGGCTGTGCCTCACACCTGTAATCCCAGCACTTTGGGGGCCCGAGGCAGGCAGATCACTTGAGACCATGAGTTTGAGAACAGTCTTGCCAACATGGCAAAACCCCATCTTTACTAAAAATACAAAAATTAGTTGGATGTGGTGGCACATACCTGTAGTCCCAGCTACTGGGGAGGCTGAGGCACAAGAATCACTTGAACCCAGGAGGCAGAGGTTGCAGTGAGCCAAGACTGCGCCACTGCACTCCAGCTTGGGTGACAGAGTGAGACACTGTCTCAAAAACAAAACAACAACAAAAAAGAAAGAATATATATAAAACTAGGCTCAAGCAGATTCAGAAGTCACTAGTAAACTCCAAAAGCAGGGGGCTCACATTTCCATATTACCTATTCCTACCACTTTTTCATCTCTTTCTCAAAATACCTCTATGGCCTCCGGGAAAACTCCCCAAAACAAGTTTAAAAAGACAGGGTGCCTTGGTTTGCTATAGATTTGTATGGCATGTTGACACCCGGCAAAAATGTATGGCCACCACATTACAGCCCACTACCATGCCCCCAAAAGACAGTAATGAAGGGAAAATTCCAGGGTCCAATATCTGATTGTCCACTTTGCGTGAAAGGAAAGATTGTCTTTCTTTTCACAAGACAATGAACCAATCCTGTTTCAGGGTCAAGGACTTGGAAAGAACCAGATTAAAATATTGGTGATAAGAAATACATAGTGTACCTTTCCCATACATGCAGATAAAACATCCTTGTGTCCATTGCAAAGGAGATTCTCCATTACAATGAGAAGATGGCTCATATTATGAACCATGCTTCTTCTGCTAAATGAGCCTGTGTAAAGAGGCTCATTTGGTAGCAGGGATTCAGTTATGCATGATCTCAGCAATGTGGACTTTATCTCATCAAAGCTGATCTGGCTGCTACTACTGCTTTGTGCCCAATTTGCCAAGGAACAGAGGCCAATGCTGAGTCACTATTCCCTCAGGGGAACAGTTGGTCACCTGGTGACAGTTTGATGTTGGTTCACTTCTATTATACCACAAACAGCAATTTGTCCTCGTAGAAGCACACAAATGATTTGGCAACAGGTTTTCTTTTCTTTCCTGTAGTTTTCTGCCAGCTTGACCATCTGTGAACATATCAAATGTCTTAACTATTTTTCACCAAGTTATTCCATATGATGAGAATATTTGAACAAAGGTTTATAGTAAAGGATAAGAGACAATGGACTCAAGCTCATTGAATTTACTAGTCTTACCACCAGTTCCATCTCCCAGAAGATGTCAGGATTATTGATCCTAATTGCACTTGAGATATTTGGTTGGGAGGCAAAATAAAAGACTGTATCAGAAACCCAGGGAATTTGCTTGGCACCCCTTAGTACTTCCTTCATCAGTAGTCATAATCAAAGAAAAACGGAGACAACACAAGGAAGAGAGGATCAGTAAGCACTGAAATCTGACATAAATGAAGTTTTGGTGCACAACGTTAGGTAAATAACTCCGAACAGCCAAGGTGTTGACAGACATTAAGGGGAACATGGTGATGGAAGAAGGAAGTGTAAGTCTCAATTCAGATCTCACAGAGAACTGTAGAAGCAGGTATAGAACAACTCTGTGTTCTACAATTTAACCATTGGATTTTTTTTCTCTTCCTTTCTTCCCCTGCTAATCCATATGCTAAACATCAAGGATATGTAGCATTTCAGATCTCAGGTTGGAGTGTTCTGGAATATATCCACACTGGCATCACCCAGTGAAGTTAGCATAACAGTTAAGACTGTGTCCCCTGTCTTCTACCTAGCTCCTAGCAGGCACTCATAGCTCCTACCCTCCCTCGTTGGTTTTTCTAACCTGTCCATATCTTTATAAATGGTCCTCCTATTAAGCTGCCCTAAGAGAGCTGATTTGAGTGGACATCTCTTTCCTGCCAGGACCCTAATTGGCAAAAGAAAAAAAATACATGGTTTGCATCTGAAATCAAGTGAGTTTCTTAATATTTCATCTTTTATTAGAATTAGCCATATGATACTGACACAGCTGGACAAATATGGGTCTCTCCTACAAGGGCAGGGTCCTTGCTCCATGGCACAGAGCAGACCTATGCGCTTGTCCTGTATTCTTCCTGTTTCCAAGAAAAGAGTAGCTCAGAAAGAGCCGCACAGGACATGCTCAGATACTCCTAATCTTAACAGTGAAATAATTCATTTGGAGAAAGGAATAAGAGGTGGGCAAGAGACCAAGAGCGTCAACTCTGGGGACAATTCACTGCATGGAAAAATGAAACCAGAGAAGTGGAGACTTTCCCCTAATAAGCCAAGTACACAAGAAATCCTATAAACCAATGAGAAAAAGATAACATGAAATGAAACTTCCCCAAGGATATGAAAGGCAGTTGACAGAAGAGCAAATTTGAATTATCAGTTATGTAATTCCTAGTTCAACATGCTCATTCACTATTCCACTTATTTTTATGAGATCATATTATTAATGAAAGTTAGTTTTCTATTTGGTGTCATACTAAATTTTTTTTAATTGCCCAATGCAGTCACAGGTAACATACAAGTCAGTTCCAAACTTTAACCTATTCTGTCATGGCTTAAACTTTTATCTTCTTAATTTAGCAATGACCTTCCCCTATCCCTGACTATAATCTTACTCCTAATAATGAAAGTAATATAGGGCTTTCTATATGCCAAGCAATGTTCTATGTGCTTCACATGTAACAGCTAATTTAACCTTCACAACAATTCTGTGAAGGGGATGGTATTACTCTCATTGATAGAGGAGCAAATTGTGTGTCCAAAGTCAGCTGGGATTTAAACCAAGGCAGCACGGCCCCTGAGCCATGATCTTAACTATGACATCATATTGCCTCTAATTTACAACTCATTCTTGGCTTGAGCAGCATCCAACCTGTTTTAATAATTTTTCCCCATGACTTGAGCAGCATAAACACTACTTCAAGTACAAAGAAAAATACAAAGTCTCTGATGATAAATTTAAACTATGGTCTAACCCAATGTAAATACTATGAAGAAAAATTGTAGGCATTGGATATTTAATTGTAAGACAACAGATACTATGATGTAGAGCCAACATTTGCCTCTATCTTTGAGTTCTCCCAGTGTTTGGGAAAGATTTAGAAACACTTCGTGGCTATGGGAAGGGGAATTCCAGACTGGAAATTGAGTTTGGACCCAGCAGCCTATTTAAGGAGACAGAAGTTATGGCCTCTACAAGATTGCCCAGGGAGATAAGTAATGCAGACCAAAAAAGGAGCACTAGCTCTCAATGCTGGACACCACCAAACCTGTGAAAGCATTTCAGCAGTCAACCAAGACCACAGGAATGTGGTGCTTCTTCCCACGACAAAAGATGATTATGTCTTAAGCAAAAAAGTCAGAGGTCCTCAATATTAGTACTTAACTTAAAAATCACCTTTCTCTCTCTTAAATATATTTACAAATTGCATTAAAATTGGCGAGAGAGAGAGAAAAAAATATTGAAAGAAGAAAAGAAATAGAAAATGTAGATTGCCACTACTTTTTAGAGATATTTGGGGGAATTTTCAGCAAAGATGATAAAAAATCCTCTTGTAAAATGTAAATTTTAATTTACATTTTAATTTTACATTTAATTTTCAAGACAAATTAGGTTCTTATTAGTCTTGTTCATTATTCTGAGTGTCCTTATTGCATGGAAGAGTGCCTGGCATAGAGACACTCCATACGATTTGTTGAATGAATGAACAAATGAACCAGGTTTGGCAGACCAGGATCCACAAAGTAGTTCTATTTTTTTCTTAAACATAAACCTTACCCCTTTTTGGCTAAAATTTTTAGGATTTTGTGGGTGAAGATGGTATTTTGAACCTAAAAATCAGCCTGATCTCAGCTGATCAAAATGTTTTCATAGATGCAAGACTTCTGTTTTCTTGCCAAGAATTATTGTTTCTTTCTGTAAGTCCAGTGCACATACCTTCTTTTTGCATCAACACCCTTAGGCCTATTTTAGTTTAACAATGAGAGCTTCACCAGTAGAACACACACACACACACACACTCTCTCTCTCATTAGCTGCTAATTAACTAGCCCTAGGCTCTTAATCACTTGACAGAAAAAATAATAATCAATCTATTTACAGATTCACAGATGCATGTGTTTATTTGTGGAAATGTCTGGTTCCTCCTGCCAGGGCAAAAGTTCCACTTTACAAAATGCTTCTTTAATTTCACCCTTGTTCAGAGACAGAGAAACCCTTCAAGAGCCAATATACATCTAAGGAGCCATCCATCAGCCAAGTAAATGAGAAACTGAAAGCTTTTCAGGGCATTAATTGAAAACACCTTGGAATCAGCACAGAAATACATTCGAAAGTGTCCTCTCTAAAACCCGAAGCCACTGACTACAAGCATATACTAATAAATCAAAGCCATATGCTACACCTTGTCTATAGTTTCAAAGCGAACTGTGTGTTGTGTCCTCACTTTCTTCTCAGAGGCTTCCCAGGGCCCTGTCCATCATGTCCTGGCAAGGCAAAGGTAGGCACCAAGGGTAAGAACCCATTCATGTTGGTTAATGCGGCTTCTAAATCAGGTGGTAAGCTAGTTAGTGTGGGCATGATGACTGGCACAGTGCCTGGGGCAGAGCAGTACTCTCTGTTTCTTTCACTCTTACTATGCCCATTTAAATACAAGTCACTCTCTTTCCCAAAGCCTCCTGTTTGAATATTTTAAAGTAATTATAAGATTGGAGTTAAAAGTCAATGTTTTGATTTCTCTTGATTTTGTTTTCAGCTTGTGATAGGTTTATTAATATGACTAACCTGAGTTGGTTAAATATTACCTGAATATTAAGATGAATGTACTATTTAATTATATAGTTCAAATGGGAGAGGAAGAAGATTAATTTTGCATTATTTCTTTCTAACTAACATGCATTAACCTTATATTAACACTAATACTATAACAAATACTAGCATAGCATCCTCCTTAGTCAAATTTGCCTATTTATTTACCTTCAAATATCTGTGCCTTTGCTTGTGTCTCTGTCTTGAATGACTTGAAACCTGATCGCTGTCTTTATCTTCCAAGGAAAATGCATGGGAACCGGCAATATGACCCCAGTCCACAGTACATTACCAACAACTCTCTTCTACAGACTGTGTACTAAACAAACATATGTTACACTCATTTTTTAAGAGATTCTTAGGTACTCTATTATCTGCGTAATTAATTGTACAGAGAATGTTTGGTCCACTGATGTTTTACTGATTATTTATAATAATTTATAATAAATATAAACATGTATACATTTATATTTTTATATAAATACTATATTTATAATTATATACATAATTTATAAACACAAAAAGCCAGAAACATGATTCAATATGTCTTTAATCACTGACCCACTTTTCTTAACGTGGGCATTATACTAAAGGTTACATGGGATTTCAAGGAGGATCTTCAGACAGCGTGGAAACTGGATAGAAGCAGTCGCTTGAATGATTCCAACATTCTTCAATAAGATACTATCAGATATTTTTGTAAAATAGAGCTGGCGCCTCCGTTTTTAGATCTTGATGTCTGTGTACAAGATGTCTAAACTTTTCCGGGAAAAAAAAAAAAAAAAACAAAAACAAAAAACTATACAACATCTGGAGAAAAACTTGGAAAAGCATGATACAAAACTAAAATTCCACCAGGGAATATGTGAAAAAAACACAAGAAGTTATCTACTTCAAAGTCTCTTCCTGTTTCTTACAGTTGGTGATCTTTGAAGCTGCCTGCAAATGAACACATCATGCACATAAGTCAATTTCTTCTTAAGGCAACCAGTTTCCATTAAACCTCAATTGAACAAGAATCCTTGCCAATTCATTGTTTGGCAATGAAGGGAATGATTGTGGTGAAAATCACAGGATATTAAAACAGAAGTTATTTTCAGCAAAATCTAGACTGGCACTTATTTTTAACCCTTATACCTAGAAAATAATATGAGATCAAAGTTTACAATGTATTAAGCAAAGCCTACATAAAAGTTATTGATGATTGATGTTTTACTGCTATAGGTGACCCCATAGAGATACATTTCTTAAAATTCTTAGAGTTTAGTTACAGGATAATAATATCAATGAGTTTGGAGAAATAGGCTTCAATTCCTGCTTTCTGAATTGTTATTCACAACTATCCTCAACTACAGAATTATGTACTGTGATGGAGGAAATTGTAACAAGATGGAAAAATAAAACAAAGTCCCTTTCAGAGAAAGCCTTGTGCATATTTAGAGGAAAGATTTCGAAGCTAAAATAAACCAATTATGATGAAAAGGACTTCCTGACTAACAAAAGGCTGTGAAGAAATTGCCCTGTATATGAAAAGATGGAGGATTTGAGGTTCTGAGGAAAAATAAGAATGACAAAATAAAGGATCCAGTAAGAAGGGATACAGAGTGACCAAAGGGAGGATAACGAAAACCAGCAGTTTTGTTATGATGGCAGTGAGAACTTGCAGAAAATAAAAATATTTAATGAGGACAAGGTTTTGTGGTACATGGTTTCACCCTCTCTCTTTCTCCTACAGAATCTTCATTTAAATCTGTATCATTTTTGGTTTAGTGCTTTGTTTGAGCAAATTTAAAGTGAAAAGACATGAAAATGTTCCTATCCAGCTATACAAAAAGGAAAAATCCACCCCAGTAAATGCAGAAGCCACGGGTTAATAGTAAAAAGCTTTAATCTGGGTCACAGTGAAATGAATCTGATCAATCATCATAACATTACCTTCCCTTTGATACATTAATTGATCCTCATGGTATAATTTTTCTATAACATATTTATGTTTCTATGTTATCAATATGCCTTTAGGCACACACATATACATGCAATCCACTTTAATTTTTTAACCTTTTTCCTTCTTGTACAATTCAGTAAGACTATAACTAAAACATGGAAGATAATAATATACCTCAAGCCAAGCATACATTTTGTATGAGAAATTGAAATAACTAAGGCAGCACGTTTTAGTCTCAATTATCTGAATTCTTTCTCAATTTTCATTTTATCCTGTAAAAGAAGAAGGGGAACAGACAGAAGACAGTTGTAGACTCTCTGGGGGTACTGATCTCACCTCTTCTTTATTTCCTGGGGAAATGCTGCTTTTGGAAGTGGCTTCCTTTTCAGCATTAATTTCTTATTTATAATGTGCCAATGAGTCTTGTATTACACTTAATATGGGAAAAAATACAAAATAAGCACTGTGCAGAATATTTGGCAAATGAAGCAAAGAAACCATTTTTTTTCTAGTGTCTCAGACAGGAACTGAATGAAAATCACATTCTTTATACTAATAGTCACCAGAGCTTCAAGATGAATAAAGATTTAGGAAAGTAAAAGATCCACAAATAAATAGACACTACATTCATGTAAGAAAACTATTAAGTAACTATCCTGGACTTCCAAATAGCATTCTGCCATAGAAATGTTTAACTTCCTTGATGCTATCACAAGTAAATAAATAAATAAAAATTTTAAAAACACAAGCTTTAAACATAGCTTTCTGAAAATATAAAATGAAAGGAAATAGCAAATTCATTTTCTGATAGACCCAACATAAAAACCAATGAGTATAAAATATGGAACATTTCTACCTATAAATGGAAGTTAATTTGAAATAAAGGTAAAATCAGTTAAAAAGAACAAAATTATTAAAAGTTATGGGAGACATACTTTATTATCAAAAAATGTGTCAAGCTTGAGAGTTTCAATTCATAACACTTGTATTTCAAGTCAATTATGTATTATAATATTTAAAAAGGCCAATGAGACCTTCAGGAGCAGTGAAAAATTACAATGTATGAAAGAAAGAAAATTATTATCCTATGTTATGTTGCTGAACATTGTGTTAATCTTCCCTCATATTAAGATAGCTGTGGGCAAATGGAGATGTAATGAAATGTTAGCAACTAAGATGGTGTGGGACACTACATCACATGAAGGGAAGTTGACAAAATAGGGTGCAGAACCTGGACAGAAGACTTAAGCAAAAGCTGAGGAAAAGAGAGGGTAGTTTTCTCCAAGTGTCAGAAACACTGTTACATGAAAGAGTTACACCTGTTCTTCTTGTCTCTATAAAGGGGATCTGGGATCCACATAAGAATGTTTCAAAAGTCCAAACTGTGTCATCATGGAATGGGTAGTCATGTTAGACCTCTTTTGCTTATAAGTAGTAAAACAAAAAGAGAAAAAAAGAGAAAGGTATTAACCACACAATTGAGAAACCCAAAGGTGGAGCTAGCTCTAGGAACAGAGGATTTAGAGGTTTCAATAGCTGCCATCATGCTGTCCATTTCTGTTTGGTTTTTGTCTTGTGTTTGGTTTCTTTCTCAGGCAGTCTCTTGATACACAAGAGCAAAGAGGGCCTCTGGAAGCACTGGGTTTACCAGAGTTTGCAATCAGAAAAGAAGAAAGTGGCCCTTTCTCCTTCATCTTCCACTTGACAGGTGTGATGGAGAACCATGACTGGTTCCCAAAGTGGTCACTTCTTGGACCAGTGACTGTAGATGGGGGATGGATGCTGTGAAAGGCCTACCCTAGGCTATGCGTCTGCCCCTAAGAGCCCGGCAACCATAACTGACATCAACAGAACCACTCTGAGTAGAAGAGAAGGCAATGAGGAGCTGTGAAGCAAAAACAAACAGGCAAAACTAAACTAAACTAAACTAAAATAAGAAAGGATATGTACCATGGCTGCTTTGGAAGGCAATGAATTTCTCATCACTGAAAATGTTTGAGCAGAGGTCTAATAACAATTTATAGATAGAAGGCCACAGCACCCCTTCTGAACTGTGGGACAAGTTCTCCCTCATTTACTTGTCCAGCACTTACAACACAGCAGGCCATATGAATAGCATGGTGCACAAAGTAGACAAGATCCCTGCTTTGCAGTAGCCTGTAATCTACGGTCTCTAGTCCATAAAAAGAGAATATGCTTGTCACACAATATGAGTGTGATTAAAAGAAAAGATGTATGTGGAAACTGGCCGTTACCGAACACTATATGAATATCAGCTATTAGAGAGCACACTTGCTATGTGAACACTGGCGTGGGTAGAACAAGCTCTAATTCCAACCACACCTCTTTGGGGAAGTTCATTGTGTGAGTTGAGGTAAGTCACTACCTCTTTGTAAAGCTCAATCTTCAAATTCGGAAATGAAATGAAAGTGGGTGTAAACTCACTCATACATTCCCAAAAACCCAAATAAATTTAAATGATGAAATAATGGAACATTGCCTCCCGGATCCTAATTCTTAAAGGTTCCTTAATACTACCATTTTATTGTTTGAGTGAGTGCCAATTTTTCCTTTAAAATCTGTCTATTCAATGAAGGCAGCCTAAGATATAAGAATTCACAATTAATCTGTGGAATTCCATGATTCATTTTGAGTGAAAAAAAGTGGTCAAAGTGGACAGCTAATCTTTTTTATTGTTTTTTTTTTTTGGTTTTTGGGGGGTTTTCTTGGTGGAGAGGCACTTAAGATATTGGGCAGGATGAAAAAATAAAAAGTTGCTCACCATTCTCTTAGGTCTTTAGATTTGCCCTGGTTGTTTCACTTACAGTTTTTCCCAGACACATGTGCTATGTTGTGAAAGCCCCTGATGTATGATAGGAAATAGCAGGATTAAGAGAAACCTCTAAATTAGATAGCATGTGGCACAGCCTAGTTTCCAAACCATCTGAACGGGAAGGTCGGTTTGGCAGGACTCAGTATGCCCCACATAGGACTCTTTACATCTTTAAATCAGCCACTGGCCAAAGGGAAATTTCCCTCAATCTCCAAAACATTGATGTCATATCAGTATTCACACTCACTTTCACTTCGTTTTCAAATCCGAAGGTCGAGCCTTAGAGGAAGTGAATTACCTTACCACAAGAATAAACAGAAAATAATTTGCAGAAATTTCCTCTTCTCCGAGGGAGGCAAATAGGATGTAGAAACCCTGCTCAGCTGACTGAAATGAAAAGTGCAGGAGCAATCGCCAAAAATCTACTTATGTGAGGACATTTAAATTGCATGAGCAACCCCATCCCTAAGTAAGGACAAGTGCTTGGGAATTAAACACCAATAAAACAGCAAAGCCCATTGTTTTTCCATGTTCAAAGATATAAAGGAGGCTTCTGAGTCAAAGGTTGTTTATTTGATAGGGAGTAGGGGATTGAGATATTAAGTGTATTGTTGACCAGTGGAGTTGGCAGTAAGTTTTGGTGTTTTGAGGTTTTGTTTTTTTTTAATTCCCAGGTTTCCATTACTGCATGCTCCAGTCATTTGGCAATGAGTAGCCACAAATCACTTTGTAACAATAAATGAATGTCTTGTCTAAAGTCTGCTTGTTCCTTGCCTGTTTGCATTATTCTCCAACACAACATTTTTTTCTGGTGAGAGAGGAAAGATGTGTGTGTACATGCGTGCGTGTGAGAGTGTGTGTGTGCACCCACATAGGTGTCTATATTCCATTCTGTTTTGAGGACAAGAAAAGAGTGATAACTCAAAAACAAAAGCAGTATCCTTTAGTTTTTCAACAGTTTCTACAGCTCAAACATTTCCAATCATAAGTGACCCTACTTCTTTTTTGACAGAGATATTCTATTACTTCATAGCTATGTTTTCAAACTTTTTCCTGACCTTGCACACACAGAACACACAAGGCTGCTCCTGGCTGGCAGTGATCAGCTGCAAAGGTGCTCCTCTGAGGGGGATTGGGCAGGGCATCCGCACTTTGATTTCAGATACTGGGAAATGTCAAGCAACTCCTTCCAAAGGAGCTAGGGTGCACATTCTTTCTCTGAAAACCATGTTGCTAATATGATCACCTTACAGACTTGCATCCTCTTTCTCATTTCAAACACATTAATTATCCATATGTTTGGAGTGAAGTTCTTTATGGTTTACCACAAATATAGGCTGTATGGTTTTCCACAAATATAGGCTGCCCTGAACTAGGTGGACCCATTCCTGTAAGTTGCTGGATCTCTCTCCAGAGGCATTGTCTTTGAGGGGATTCCATCCTGTATAATTTTGCTGCATTATTCTGCAATCAGGAAACAAGCAGGTGGCTCTCAAGTAAAGAACTGATGCCTTACAGATTCATAGGACTTATTTCAAAATCAAGTATCAGGAAAAAAGGTAATATTAGGTAATTTTGACCAAAGAATCAGCAATTCAATGACAAATACATATAGGGATGGTGATATGGTTTGGCTGTGTCCCCACCCAAATCTCATTTTGAATTCCCACATGTGGTGGGAGGGACCCGGTGGGAGGTAATGGAATCATGAGGGTGGGTCTTTCCTGTGCTGTTCTCATAATAGTGAATAAGTCTCATGAGATCTGATGGTTTTTATAAAGGGGAGTTTCCCTGCACAAGCTCTTTTCTCTTGTCTGTCACCATGTGAGACATGGCTTTCACCTTCCATCATGATTGTGAGGCCTCCCCAGCCACATAGAATTGTGAGTTCATGAAACCTCTTTTTCCTTATAAATTATCGAGTCTCAGGTATGTCTTTATCAGCAGTGTGAAAACGGACTCATACAGATGGGTATTGTGGTTTTAGGATTTGTAACAGGAAAGAACTAGTGTTTGCTAAACATGGCCTGTCCCCTGCCTAGGTGTCATGAGAGCCACCCTTCCCAAAGTAGCACTTGTGAGCAGAGGTGATCAGAGGGCTTTCTGAAGAGTGAGGAGGTGAGGACACTGCATTTGTTGGGCAACACTGTATTTGAGATTTTTTTCTTTCTAAGTTTTTGTTTGTATACACTAGTGACTTCAGAGGGCCAAAAAGAAGAAAAGGGAGTGAGACAGTCGTTAAGACTCCTAATCCCGGCTTATTTTTACTGCTTCTCAACACAGCATTGCAAGTGGCTGATTTGGTAAGTATGAATGCAGTAGACAAAAATCTCTGTTCTTAAAGCATTCTTGCTAATGTCAGAATATTTTCTGAAAGCAGTTTTGGCCCATGAAGCAAATCAACCTACAAAACTGAGGCTGTGCTTTTTCATGGCTTGTTCATTCTTGCTGCCTCATTCTTGTGCTTTCTCAAACTCTTATTACATAAAGCTCAAGATTTCAACAGATTTTACTCATAAATTATATCATACTAACTTGGTTCATTTTGAAGGTAAAACAGACTTAGTTAAATAACATATTTCAAAGTTGATTCTGATCATTTAAATGTTTGTGGAAGTCCTCCAATTATTTATTTATTTTTTTTTATAGAGTCTTGCTCTGTCACCCAGGCTGGAGTGCAGTGGCATGATCTCGGCTCACTGTAACCTCCATCTCCCAGGTTCAAGCAATTCTCCTGCCTCAGCCTCCCAAGTAGCTGGGATTACAGGCACCTCCCATCAAGCCTGGCTAATTTTTGTATTTTTAGTAGAGACGAGATTTCACCATGTTGGCCAGGATGGCCTCGAGGTTCTGACCTCATGATCCACCCGCCTCAGCCTCCCAAAGTGTTGGGATTACAGGCGTGAGCCACCGCCTGACCTGAATTTTTTTTTAAATGACATTACCATTTGTTGCTTTCATTGTTTCCCTGGGAAATGATGTTCTTATATTTTAAAGATGCTGGTCAAAACTTGAAATTGCTTTCACTTCTTTTTTTCCAGCTGAGTGCTTCCAGAAATAGATTATAATCCACAGTGAACCCTTAAATGCCTCTTTAAAAAAATTGACTACGACTTTATTCCAAAAAATTATGTGGCCACTGTTATAAAATTTTGACTAAAAAGATGTATAAATAACAAAATGCTGATAGTAAATAGTTGTGCCTTAAAAATATGAAAAATAAAAATGTATTTCACACACACAGAGTTAAACCAAACTAGAATTGGAGTGAGCTGTGTCTGTCATCATTTAAGAAATAAGTAAGAAAATCTTAATTACTGCTTATTAGAAAATCTCATCACAAAATATTATTTACTTACAGCTCATTTGAAATACTCATAGCTGGAGACAAACACAACTCTCATTCTAGTTCTTTGGACTTTAAAACTGAAAACATCTGAGAAGAAAACCCTGCTGGCTTTCTTCAAATGTCACAGCAGACTTAATTGCTTTCTATAATTAAACAAAAACCAACTCATTAGACAATCTGTGAAACCAGCACTTATATGTACTTTCAGCAAAGTTTGTGTGGAACAATCATTAAACAATTAGTTAAGTTTCTCTCTTGCATGGCATCCGCACACATGGACAAACACATAGGTATACAATGTACACATGGTTGTACAAGGAATGAAAGGTATCTTTGTGTGAATA
Organism: Homo sapiens; assembly: GCF_000001405.40. Classification (NCBI taxonomy): domain Eukaryota; kingdom Metazoa; phylum Chordata; class Mammalia; order Primates; family Hominidae; genus Homo; species Homo sapiens. The sequence continues at coordinate 37,482,894 of NC_000013.11, read as the reverse complement.
TTTATAAAGTTCCTTTTTAGAGAACCCAGATTTAATAAAATGTCATGTGCAGTAGAATATTTGGAAAGGCCCATATAAAAAAATCAAAGGGCCTTATTTTCTCAGGTGCTTTCACTGGCAAGAAAAAGAGCTCTTTCTAAATGTTCAGAGGTATACAGGATTTGAGTTGAGAAGAATTTAAATAATCTCCAGCTTTTGATATCATGGTGAAATATAACATTCTCCTAAAAATGTTGCTGAATATAATTGCCAAAAATATGACTAGACTCAGGATGAACAGTTGTTCCGAATATGGATATTCTTATTTTCTAATGCGGAAATAAGAGAACATTAAAATGTTGTGAAATGTATGGGATGGAATATCACTTCATCAGTGCATACTATTGGGTTGAAGTTTCTGGAGAATACTTTGGTATTTGTGCCAACCTCAGACTCTTTAGTGAAGCACTTGTTTTTTTCTTTTATTATTGCCATGGTTTTCAGGTTATTCTCCTAGCTAATGATGGATGCTTCTTTCCAGTATTTTTGTATATTCCCTTTTATGTCTCCTAATCATTCCCCAGTCAGTTTAATCATTATCAGTTGCTATTGGGACTGTGTTAGTTCCTGATTCTATCAAGAAAAGCCTTTTCTCTTTGCCTATTTAAGAGAATTATTTACAATTTATAATCCATCATCAGCTGTCTAATTAGAATACTTGATTTTCCCCACCTTACTTCTTCACCCCCAAAATCACCTGGTCTAATGTAGTCTGCAAAACAAAGCATTCATCACTTTGAGCCCACGCTGGGCTCTCTCTGCAATGTCCTTCCAAAAACATTTCCTTTAGTCAAAATGACTGATTCACTGCAGCTAAACACACCCATATGGCCTGCCTCAAATGCTGACTTTAATAAATTGGCCAAATGAAACATTGAGAATGTCTATATAGTGAGAATACTAACATGCACTTTTTAACAAATGACTGGAGTGTGGTTTTATTGAAAATTACACTGGTAAAAAGAGAGAGATACAGGAAGGGAGTGTGTGCTCATGCATGGGTGGCCATGTTTCCACGGAAACACTTGTTTACCTCATTAGTCCATTCTTTCCTTTCATAGTAATAGAGTTTTTATCTAGATCACATGACCTCTCAGGATGGAGACTATATTTCTGTTTACCTTGCAGATGGATGTGGCACGTGACCAAGTTCTGGCTAATGAGATGTCTGAAACTTAAAGTGGAAGAGATGTATCATCTCCTTTTCCTTGCTCCATCCTGCTACCTGAAAAATGGATGTGGTGACAAGCCCTGGAAAACCACAAGGATGAGAACAGCACTGGAGAGATGGTGCAGCGCATGATGCAATTGCCTAGGTATCTGATGGCTGAGTAGAATTTCTCTCCTCCGACTTTTACATGGGAAGGAAATAAAACTCTATTTTGTTTGAAACTCTGTTATTTTAGGTCAATGTTTTAAGTAGCTGTAGCCATGTACTAATTCTTTCCACGAACAGCCAGGTTTCGCATGATAGCCTTCAGACATCTGAGAGTCACGGCATACACAGTTCTGATAACCTCATGTTGTTATTGCTCTCAGGAACTGACTTGCACTTTGGCTAAACCATCTGGACCTTCAAGCTGAAAACTGAAGTCATTGCTTCAATGTTACCCAATGGATTCTATTACTGGGGTACACAAAGAAAAAGGAGATGTAAATGGGCCTGAGGGAGAGTCTGAGTGCTGGACCTGAGTCAGTTCAGAGACATGATCACAGAATCACATGAGACATTTTGCCAAGTTTTACCAGGGACAAAAGCCAAGGTCTCTTGAATCTCAGCCTAGTGCAGGCATCTTTCTCCTGATGTTTCATCCTTCTTAAAGAACTATCAGAAACCAAATCTTTAGTATAGGTACCTAAGATATTTTTCTAGCTTTTCCCTTTTGTTATTTTCTATTTAGCTGTGTTTCTCCTTGTCCGTTCTTTATTTACTAAACTTTCTATTGAATATCTTTTCTACTTAAAACTAGTCCCATGATTCAAAAGCGGCCCTTGTCTGGCCTACATGGTGAAACCCCGTCTCTACTAAAAATACAAAAATTAGCTGGGAGTGGTGATAGGCACCTGCAATCCCAGCTACTTAGGAGGCCGAGGCAGGAGAATTGCTTGAACCCAGGAGGCAGAGGTCGCAGTGAGCCAAGATCATGCCACCGCACTCCAGCCTGGGTGACAGAGCGAGACTCTGTCTCAAAAAAAAAAAAAAAAAAAAAAAGAGGAAAAAAGAAAGAGTGTGACACAATTTATCAAATATCACCTTGATTCTCCAGAAGAGATCATTATCTTCCTCTGTTCAAGGACTTTGTTTTCCTAATGATAATAATTTAACTTGGCTCCCTGCCTGATCTGAACAGCTCACTATATACTCTGACCATTTTCTAAGTACATAGAGAGAAGACAGCTATATAGATTCACACTGTCAAATGCAGCATCCATTGTCTATTTGACAATTGTGAGAGTTTTTTTTTTTAATGGAATCATTTATATTATTTTGGTCCCTGGCTGTATTACATATTCCCCTGTATTATTTGTCTGCAATTATTTTAAGCCTTTACAAAAACTATTTTTCAAGTATGGCAAAACAGTTTTTGAATTAAACTTACAGGCTTTTTCTACCATGCACTGCCTCAAATTCTGAGCCTAAAGAGCAAAATGTTGCTGGAAAAAAATTTATATACCGAGTTGACCTGGCCCATTTCCATTTCCAACCACATGGGAAAGCAGAATTTACTGTTATTATCTTATTAAATATAATGTGGCCACAAGCTACATCTGTTCTTAAAACTGTTCATGTATTGCCTAAGATTTTTTTCTCCTTTATCTTTCTTCTTTCCCAACAGTAACAATCTCATAACTGCTTCAGAGAGAAAAACAAGATGATCAGCTCAAAACACTCTCAAATTCTATTTAAAAATGCCCTCCCTCATTTCTTTTCTCATCCATCTACTCAAAGAGCATTTCCGTCATCTATTAGATATTTATTGAGTATTTGGGCACTCTAGGAAAGAAAATAAGTATTTCTCAATCACAAATACGAAATAAAGGAGTCTCCTATCTGTTTTCAAGGAGCTATAGTCTCTCAGGAGAAAGTCTTCATGTACACAAATCATTAATATAGAATACAGGAAGTTCTGGGTGTCATCAAGAGACATATCATTAAAGCCACTAAAGAAGAGCAGAAACTTGAAAAGTCATAGTCAGTTTCAGGGACTGTATGTGATCTGGGCCCAATGTAGTTACAATTTGAGAAAACAGACATGGGAGGAGAGAGGTTTTCCAGAGGAAGGAAAAAAGTTGAACAAAGTAATGAAGGTAGAAAAGTATATAAAATGTGCAGAGATATCTTCCAGTTAATCTGGCTTCTCTAATGCAGTAGAAATCTGAAGGAAGAGAGTGAGAGAAGCAAATGTAAAAGACAAATTTGGGTCTGTAATATTGGGCTAAATTGCATAGATTTTATTTATTTTGAAATGGTGAGCCATTGATGGTTTTCTAGTAAGTCAGAGGTATCCAGAAACATTAATCTGACAGCTATCTAGAATGAATGGGAAGGGAAAAATTTGAAATCAGAGATAGCTTGGATATTCCCTATACTAACCTAAATAATAGGCAAAGGAAGCCTGAGAGAGGCGTAGGAGAAGAATAGAGGAGATGGATGGATACAAGGAAATGTAGAAGATCCAGGATTTGACAACTTCCTTGGATTGAAAGAGAGAGAGACAGGCATATTTCCACTCTAAACCTGTTATTCTTTTAAATTGATTTCATGGATAACATTGATATTGATTTATGAACCTAAGTTATTCTTTTAAATTTATTTCATAGTGTTGATTTATGCCCTATTCTAATTTCTAAATAAGAAGTTGCTGAAATTTCAGGAAAGTAGTAAAAAGAAAGGCAATTCAAAAACAATACGTGAATTCATTGAGCCAAGCCAATGGCAAAGTCATATTAAAAATACATGATGAATAGTTCCCTTATTCAGTATAGAATAGTAGCTCAGCAAAAGGGTGCTCTGTTTACAATACAAACAATGATAAAAAGAAGAAACATATGCATCAGAGTCAATGAACCCTATCTCAGTCTGCTTCCTGTTGCTTATAACAGAATACCTGAAACTGGGTAATGTATAAAGAAAATAAGTTTATTACTCACAGTTATGGAGGTGAGGATCCAAGGCTGAGGGACCACACCTGGTGAGGGTCTTCTTGCTTTTGGGACGCTGCAGAATCCCAAAATAGCACAGGACATCACCTGGAAAGGAGGCTGAGCATGTCAGCTCTGGTCTATCTTCTACTTATTAAAAAGCCACCAGTCCCACTCCCATAATAATCCATCAATCCATTAATCCATGAATCATCTCTTCAAGATCCCACATCTCAATTCTGCCACATTGGGGATTACATTTCAACATGAGTTTTGGAGGGGACAAACGTTCAAACCACAGCAAACTCTAAATAAACACTCAACATGTATGTGCCTTTTAGCCAAACTAAAGATGCCAAATTGATTCCACACTGTAATCTGTACTCAGATTAACACTGTACTCAGATAACAAATGCTAAAATAAGTAAAACTGAGATAAAATTGACTGAAATATAGTAATAAAAATAGTAAATTATTTATTTAAAACAATACAAAGCTAAGCATTCTATTCTTTTTTTTTTTTTTTTTTTTTTTTTTTTTTCCTTTTGAGATAGAGTCTTGCTCTGTCACCCAGGCTGGAGTGCAGTGGCGCGATTTTGGCTCACTGCAACCTCTGCCTCCCAGGTTCAAGCAATACTCCTGCCGCAGCCTCCCAAGTAGCTGGGATTACAGGCATGCACCACCACACCCAGCTAATTTTTGTATTTTTAGTAGAGACAGGTTTTCACCATGTTGGCTAGGCTGGCCTGTAATCCCAGCACTTTTGGAGGCCAAAGCAGGCAGATCGACTGAGGTCAGCATTCTATTCTTTACAAACATGACACTTCTACGGTTTCTATTTTCTGCCTTTTATTTTCATTGTAAAAGTGATATTGGAATTGTGTGTGCATCTGTCTGTGAACAATTAAAAGTTCACACTGAGCCCCATTTATAAATGCAATATTTATATTTAAATGATTCCTCAATCATGCTGTTAGCAGTACTTTAAAGAATAGCAACACCCCAGACATTGACTGAGACATAGGCTAAGTGAACTCCAATTCAGAGTCCCTTCTGGAAGGAACGCTGTACGACAGAATTTTCTGAGTACAGTGATCTTCTTCAGTGCCAGGACTGACAAGGAAATGGAAGGTTTGTTCAGTATTTGGAAAGACTGAGAAATAGAGAAGGGAAATTTGGGGGTAAAACAGAGGTAGAGTGAGAAAAATGAACAATATGCCAAAAAAATCAGTGCTCGGATTCTGACTTTATCTATTCCTTATAAGATGTATCTTTGTACATAAGTATAAATCATTATAGACATAAAATGATAAAAGTTGGACACTAGAAGTGGCTTTGAAGTAACTCCATCATAACTCTTTATTTTATGACCATGAAAGCTGTTCCTGGGGAAAGTGAAGTTTTCCATCTCTTCTCTCTATATCCAGTCTTCTCAATCATATCAGCATTATTAAAATAAACGTTATTTCTAAAATGCAATAGTCTATATTTTAACAGAAAGTGCAAACAAGATTTAACTATGAGCTAATCCTCTGAGGTTAGATCAATCCCATCTTATTCCTTTATTTATTGTGGGTGTCCATGTATGGCTAATGACTCAACAGCCAGCCTGTCCTCCGGCATTTGTGCTTCTTCCATGGCTCACAGCTCCTCTGCTTTTCCTCTCTCGTGAGCACTGAGACAATGGCATCTAATCTGAGCCTGGGGATTTGGCAGCTCCTGAGCAGCACTGTGCCACAGTTTATGAGTACGTAAGCTGCTAATTGACTAGATCAAAGAATGGAAGAAGCTACAGGCCACATACCCCAATGTTTCTTGTCAAAAGCAAGTATACAAAAATGGAGTATGATCACTCAAAAACATCAAAACTACAGCCATTTCATTAAAGCATTATGAATTAACAAAATGGATTAAGTAGAAAATTTCCTGTCAGAGGTAGAAAGGATTTATATAAGTACTGACACCTAAAATAGAAACAAATATAAAACTTAGCTTACATATAGGAAAAGCAACTTTTACAAAATGGTATGTTCTGGATGCATCTATCTAAAATTAAGTGGAAATAACTTTTGGTTGTTTATCATGAACTAAAATGTCAAATGTATCCTTCTTAATTATTGAAATTCTGTTAAAATATTTGTGGAAATTATAAGTTTTTGTATGATTTGCAATTCAGGACATCATTAAGAATAGCATATTGGGCAAAGACAACTGCGTCTGGTTAGGATATTCTTTCCAAACTAGGTGATACCATGATATCATGTGTATCACGAAATTAGACCCGACATGTGATTATTGTGAAGTTCTTTGCTTTTCTCTCACTTTACTTATATTTAAATAACTGTGAAAGGGCAAAATTAAAATGTGTAAACAGTTTATTCTAGAACACCTGCAGGAAGTTTTTCTTAATGTTGGCTGCACTTTTTTTTTCATTTACCCCATGAAATACAATAGTAATGTTAGACGAAATGCATATGTCAGTCCTATTTTCAGCATTTTGCCTGGAGGTATAGTTAGATTTTCTTTCTTGAAATCCACACTATTATGTGAGTTCCTGTGGCATGCACTGCTGTGAGCAATCATCATTGAATGTCTACAACAGGATAATCATGAGACTCATGCTTATATTATCAGAATATTGTTTCCAAATGAAGTCATTGTCTTCTTTTCCTGATCTATAGAGTGAGAAAATACAATATCCTAGATGCTGATAATAGATTGTATTGGATAGGAGTGTATTTTGTAAGTATTCATAAATACTCAACCAGTGTATTCCGTGAGTATGAGTGAGAGACTACTCAGAACTATGTTAAAAAATTAAGCAATAGAAAGTGAGTGTGAATACATATATATGTATATAATATCCAGAAATTATCCATTATACTTAGATGAGAAAACAAAGGTGGGATTTTTTTTAATGTATACGATTTAAGATGGTCCACCTTGTACAGTAAAAGCTGAGACACTTGGTTTCAAATACTGACTGCTCTACTGACTGGTTATATAACTTAAGGTTCTTAATCTCTCTAAAACTTAATTTCTCTGTCTAAAAAAAGCAATAAAAATATCTACTTCACAAGATTCCTGTTCAGTATTATAATAGGGTGTTCCTCTCTCCATCCCACTGTTACTCTGACCAAGATGACCTTAATGTTTCCCTTAGTTTGACTAAACTTTTAGACAGATTTCTTTCTGACTATTGGCCCCTGACCTCCCTTTTCTTAAAAGTGTTTACTTTAAGAAAACTTGCAATGTATAAATTCTTTCTATGCCCTTTTGACATGTAAATCTTCTTCTAGCCACTTGCCAGTTTTACAAGCCAGGAATGTCTTCCTCAAGGACCTGAAGGCCATCCTTTTGAAATGTAATCATCAATAATGATAGGGCCCTAGTCTCCGGAGCCTAACTTCAATAAGCAATGATTAGCAAACACAGATAACCACATTGACTGCCTCCCTCCTGATGTCATCCGGGACTTTTCCACTAACCCACCCCAGAGCTGGAAAATTCTCTTGCCTTTAGTTTCTTTTTATTGTGATTATTTTTATTTTAGGTTCAGGGTCACATACGCAGGCGTGTTATATAGGTAAACTCATGTCACAGGAGTTCATTGTACAGATCATTTTGTGACCCAGGTGCTAAGCCTAGTACTCAACAGTTCTTTTTTCTGCTCCTCTCCCTCCTCCCACCCTCTAGCCTCATGTAGGCCCCAGTGTCTGTTGTTCCCCTTTTTGTGTCCATGTGTTCTCATCATTTAGCTCCCATCTATAAGTGAGAACACACAGTATTTGGTTTCCTGTTCCTATGTTAGTTTTCCTTTTGTTTCAATAGAGTTTAGTTCCCCCTATTGCAATAGTCTTGAATAAAGCCCTCCTGGCCTGGTTAACTTGTCCTTTGCAATTTTTCTTCGACAAGTCTTCTAGAATTCTCCTTCTGTGGTTGGGGTGATATGACCCTTGACTACAAGCTCAGTACTGATTGATTCAGGACCTAACAGTAATCCAATTTTGAATAAGATGTAGAGAAGTTAAGAAATTCTAGCTCAATAACTCAAGAGTCAGTAATAGGCTGACTTTAATCACACGGTTTTAATAATGGGTGTTTTACTTGGCTTCCAGAATAACATCCCACTTTGTTTCCTTCATAGGCTATTGCTCTTGGCTTCTCTAAAGAAGCTACCTTGCCTTACAATCTATCTATTACCCCATTACTCCAACATCTTGCTATTTTCATCTTCTCATCCCACCAGGAGCTAATCCAAGTTCATGCATCCTACATTTGTTATGTGACAGTTCCTACAGGGACCTTGCCTGATTTTGCTTGATGTCAAGATCCTCAGCACAATTTTGTCCTGCCTGTCTGCTTAGAAATATCAGACAGTCTGCTACCTGGGCTACTGAATAACCTACATTGCCAAACGTCATTGTCAAATGGAGCTATTTGTCCCGTCAAACTGAGCTACCATTCATCAGAGCTTGTTAGGTGCCTAAGCCTCTGCCCTGAGTTTTGTTCTAGGGTACAGAATGTGCAAACTGTGCTTTAATATGTTGTGTTTCATTTTAAAAATCAATTTAGGCATGTCATTTTAGAATGACTTGTATTTATGGCTTCATATTCATTTTAAGCATATTGTCTTTTATTCAATTTAAGCACATTGATTTAGAATGATGTTGTGTTTTAGGATACCTGATAAGTATGCAGAGAATTCTTTGGAGGATAAAATGAAATCCACAAAAAACTTTCGAAGTATTAAAAAAAATTCAATTTACAAAGAAAACAGCAAAGGCAGGAGGGATTACTAGAGAGGCCTCTGGGGTTCCCAGGAATCAAGCTACAGTATTGGACACAAATCTCCTCTTTCCATCTGGTGCATATACTGGGCATGGAGAAGAAACTCAATGAAAACAACAAAAGAAATAAAATTTTCTATTTTCTTCCATTTTCTTCTTCAATTAGGTCTACCCCTAATGAAACAGATTCTTCTTTTCACTAACTCCCAGGCTGCATACACTTCTCCAGGAAAATCTTCCCCAAGGAATTATCTGTGAATGTGCTCTTGGGTACCAAAACCATTCCTTCTATTCTGCACACAGTGAGCACTACATTTATTGAATTACTTTTTAAAACAACTTAATCACAGTCACAACAGTGCCTTTTCTACAAAAAATAAAGATGGGTTGTTGTAAATAATCACATTCTGCCTCTACCCAAATCAGTAAGAATACATGTGCAAGATAAAAGTAGAAGTGAGTTTTTATTACTTGCAGAATTCATTAAAGAGAGACAATGCCTTGAACTCAAATAATATTCTGACACGTTGGCTGTATCTGGCAAATGGGCTAAACCAGTGGTTCTCATTCAGTAATTTTGCCAACATTTGTAAACATCTGGAAACTTTTTGGCTGTTACAACTGCAGGGTGGGGGATAGGGGATAGGAGGCGTGGTGGGGGAGGTTTGGAGGGCGGCATTGCTACTGCCACCTAGGGGTAGAGGCAGGGATGCCGCTAAATATCCCATAATATTCAGGACATACCCCTCAGCAAAGAATTATCTGGTCCAAAACATCAATGGTGCTAAGGCTCAGAAACCCCGTGCTAGGCAGATAAGTCCCATTGCATGATAGTTGAGAAGCCTCTTGAAATAATTCACTCCAAGGTAAGAAGGAACCAGAGGGAGCAGGGGTAGGTTTAAGTACAGCGTAACTGCTGCGTTTGTTTCCAAAAGAGTCCCCTTCTTTATTGGAATCATCTTTGGGTTCTGGAGATAGCAGGAACTGGAAGCAACACTGCTAAAATCTCATTTGAAAAATCAATAGGTCAACATGATCTTGAAACCTCTTCTCCAACAGTATGTACCAAAGAAAAGGGAATGAGGTGACCATTCGCATGTCTCAACAATAAAAATCACAGTGCTTAGGAAACTTCCAGTTCTCCAAGACAGACTAGCCTCATTCCTCCCAGATCCTTCGTCTTGCAACTAAAATCCCTGGACAAACACAAGCAAGCTTAGGAAGACCCTGAAAGGTAGGCAAATAAAGATTGACCATCTAGGTGAGAGGTGAAGTCAGCTGAGCTTCTGGGTCAGGTGGGGTCTTGGAGAGCTTTTCTGTCTAGCTAAAGGTTTGTAAACACACCAATAAGCGCTCTGTGTCTAGCTAAAGGTTTGTAAATGCACCAGTCAGCACTCTGTAAAAACCCACTAATCAGCGCTCTGTGTCTAGCTAAAGGTTTGTAAACGCACCAATCAGCACTCTGTAAAAATGCACCAGTCAGCACTCTGTGTCTAGCTAAAGGTTTGTAAACGCACCAATCAGCACTCTGTAAAAATGGACCAATCAGCCCTCTGTAAGATGGACCAATCAGTGCCCTGTAAAATGGACCAATCAGCAGGAGGTGGCTGGGGCCAAATATGGGAATAAAAGCTGGCCACCCAAGCCAGTAGCAGCAACCCACTGGGATCCCCTTCTACTCTGTGCGAGCTTTGTTCTTTCACTGTTCACAATAAATCTTGCTGCTGCTCACTGTTTGGGTCTGCACTACCTTTATGAGCTGTAACACCGCAGGGTCTGCAGCTTCACTCCTGAAGTCAGCGAGACCACCAACCCACTGGGAGGAACAAATAACTCTGGATGCACCACCTTTAAGAGCTGTAACACTCACTGCAAAGGTCTGTGGCTTCACTCCTGAAGTCAGCAAGACCATGAACCCATCAGAGGAACGAACAACTCCAGACGCGCCACCTTTATGAGCTATAACACTCACCGCGAAGGTCTGCAGCTTCACTCCTGAAGTCAGCAAGACCACGAACCTACTGGGAGGAACAAACAACTCCAGATGCGCCACCTTTAAGAGCTGTAACACTCACTGCAGAGGTCTGTGGCTTCACTTCTGAAGTCAGCAAGACCATGAACCCACCAGAAGGGAGAAACTCTGGACACGTCTGAACATCTGAAGGAACAAACGCCGGACACACCATCTTTAAGAACTGTAACACTCACCACGAGTGTCTGTGGCTTCATTCTTGAAGTCAGTGAGACCAAGAACCCACCGGAAGGAACCAATTCCGGACACATAGGGACCCCAGTACTTGAGGGTCAAGTTTTCTGGATTTCTTGCAGCCTCCCATGCATCCTGGAAGAGGTGCTATAGCAGCTTCCAAACAAGAACTGGCAACAGACTGACCAGATAATCCCCAAGAAAACCTGTTTCTGCTAGCCAAGGAACTGGGAAACAGGAAGCCTAACAGCAGAAAACCTTGTGGCAATACCTTCCCTACTCTAGCCACACACAGCAATGAGAAAACCGCTTCCTCCCACTCACCTATCACAGGTTCAGCAGGCCCAGTAGGGAGCTGATTTTACACTTCATGCCCCAACCTTGTGGAAAATGGAATTCTCACCAAAGCAAAGAGCAAATCTCCCATCCCACCCCTTCCCCTCCTGGAGAAGCAGGAGTGTCCTGACTCCCCTTCCAGGTATTGTTGGCACAGCCAGCCAGGCAGCTATCCTTTCATCCTCACCAGGCAGAAACAGGTGATGCTCCAGTTTCCCTCCTGGGACAGTGTCAGAGGGATGGAGTGAGAAGTTGATTTTCCACGCCCCCTTCAGTAAAAGCACATGCTGCTCTGATTGTTGTGTCGTCATTTGTATTGTTCTCTCCTTTTTCATCTGTGGCCCTTCTGATTGTGTGTGTGTGTGTGTGTGTGTGTGTGTGTGTATTCTTAGCTTATTTTTCAATTTATTTACATTGTTATAAATACATTTGAAGTAATAAATATACTCATAAGTACTTTTATGGTGCATTCCATATATATTTTATAATTTCCTATTCTTCTGAAGGGTTATTTACTATTTTGTTTTCTTTCTAGGCATAGGAGTATGTTGAGGTTTTTAAAAGATATACTTTCGTTACTGACTTCAACTTTTATTTCACTGAGATCAGAAAACATGGTCTCTTTGGTGCTGACTCCTTAGACCTTTTTTTAAAAGTGAAGATTTTTTTAAAAGCCTAACACAAGGCCAATTTTCATTAATTGCAACCCCTTATTTGCAATTCTAAAACTCAAAAAGCTCCAAAATTAAGGTTTTTGTAACTCATTTGGTGAGGAAATCTAACCTATATGGATTTAGTGATAAAAACCTATATTGAACTGATGCCATTATTTCATGTCTTTATTTACTACTTCTTTAGCTGTAGAAATACTAATATTTGATTATGAAGTCCTATGCTGTATCTCATCAAGGATGGTGTATTGTATATAACATAAGAATTATATTAATTTTATATCACAAAAATCTAAATTTTGAAATTCATCTGGTCTTGTGGATTTGAGATAAAAGATCATGCCCTAAATATATATTAGAGTTTGTTGATAATATTTAAATATTTAATAGTTTTGCTTGTATTTTAAATTTTTTATTTATTATTTTCTGAGAAGAGCATGTCGAAACTCTTCACATCCATTCTTGATTTATCCATTTCTCCCTATATTTCTGTCAATTATTGCATTATGTATTTAAAAGTATAACATTTGGTGCATATATGTTCAATTTTTGTCATGGTTATCTATTAGTGCATTTATTAATCAGGGTTCTCCAGAGGGACAGAATCAATAGGAGATTTTTTACATACATACATATGTACACATACACACACACACACACATACATATCTATCTATATGTATATAGGAAGGCCTGCATGCCCTGCCAAGCCACTGGTGCAAGTGTCAGAGGCCAAAGGCTAAAGAACCTGGAGTCTGATGTCCAAGGGCAGAAGAAGTGTAATCAAGCATCCAACACAGGAAGAAGAAAAGAGCCAAAAGCCTCAGCACAACAAAGTTAACCCTCCTTCTTCTGCCTGCCTTGTTCCAGCTGCACTGGCAGTCAATTGGATGGTGTCCTGCCACACTGAGAGTGGGTCTTCTTCTCCCAGTCCACCAACTCAAATGTCAGTCTCCTCTGGCAACATCTTCACAGACACACTCAGAAACAATACTTACCAGCCATCTAGGCATTCCTCAATCCAACCAAGTAGACACCTAACAGTAACCCTCACAATGCATTAGAAACTACCACATATTTATTGGCTTAAAATAATATATATTTATTAGGTGGGTCAGGAATCCAGGCATAACTTAGCCAGGTTCTCTACTCAGGATCTTACAAGACTATTGAAATGACGATGATGGTCAGGCCACATTCTCATTTGGAGGTTTGACTAGAGAACAATCTGCTTCCAAGATACCTAGGGACCTTGGTGAATTGCATTTTCTTATGACTATAGAATTCAGCTCAAACTGTTTCTTCAAAGCTAGCAAAGGAAAGAGAGACTGACAGAGAAAGAGTGAGGCTGCTAGTTGGAACCTCTGTATTCATAGAAGGTAGGAGACTTCTTTGGATGGGTTAACCTGTTTGGTCAGACGTACCCAGAATGATCTCCCTTTTGATTAAAGTCAGCTTATTTTGGGCCTTAATTGCACCTGCACAATCCCTTAATCTTTGTCATATTCCATTAATTAGAAAGAAATTACAGGGCCTGACAACACTCAAGGAGAAGGGATTTTATAAGAGTGGGTCATTGGGGGGATTATCTTAAAATTCTGCCTATCCCAACTTTGATATCTTATCTTATTTTATTGTGCCTTTGACAAAAGTATAACATTCTTTTCTACCTCATATGATACTTTCTCCCGTAAAATCTATGTTGTCTGGGTTTTCTAAAAATGCTACTTTGCTACCCTGGATGTATTTGGGGTATAATTTGGTGGTAAGTACATCTTTTTCATTATTTTCAACTTTTCAGTATCCTATTATCTTATTTTTAAAAATACAACATTATATTTCTGGAACTGTTTTAAAAACCAAAACATTAGATTTCACACTTTTACTGAGGGCCACTTTGCTATGATAAAGTTTATTTTACCAAACTGTTTTCTATTTTCTATTTATTGTATCTTAAGATATTTGTTAAATTCCGTCATTTGAAAATTTTGTATTCTACTTGTAATCTTCTGATCTCTCATATATATTCATTAAGGACCACATTTAAGGTTTTTTTCAATTTATTGAGCTTATCAATATCTATGTATTGCTCCTGAACCACATAAATACCACAGCATGGTCTCACTCACATCTATTTTTGTTCCTCTCTCCCTCATCTCACACCACATTGGTATCATCGAAATTTCTCATTTTGTAGTGATTTAGATATTTCTTCTCCTTCTTTGTTTTTTCTATAATTTTTAATTCATATAATAGTAAATTTTTAATGTTATCTCTTACTTCCCATATCTTGTTAATTTCTCCTGGATTTATACCTCTTCTTCCTAGAGTATTTCTTTTGAAAGTACTTTCAAGTTGGGTGGGGAGGTGACAAGAATGTAGAGGATTTTGTGGGAAACTGTCTGAATTTCTATTTCTTTTCAAGACTCATAATTTTACTATAATATGTTCTTGATTATCCTTATTGATACTCAAGCTTGGGACTATGTATTCTTTTATTTTAGATAATTTCTGTATTATATTCCAAAATATTTTAACCAGCATTTTTGTCATTTTGGAAATCTATTATAATTTTCATCTTATTATTTATTCATCTTAACTTTTTCCTCATACTTCCCACCTCTGTACAACCCTATAATCCCTTCAATTTCTTGATTTTATTTACCAGCCTACATATTCATTCTTCAATGATATTAATTTTGCCATTTAACCTTCTAAGTTTTTCATTTAAGGTATTTTATCTTTCATACACAATGTCTCCAATTTGTTGTTCTTCATTATTAACTTTTTCCTGCTCCATATCTCTAATATTGTTTCTTGTCATTAAGGGTATTTGTTTTGCTTATTAAACATTTTTTAATTTCTAGACCATTAGATTTGTTCCCTCTGATAATCAATGTCATTTTCTTCTTTGTTTTTAAAAATGATTGCTCTCTCATATGTCTTATTACTTTACCTTAAATGGTATTTTGGCTGCAATATGATCCTGGCATTATCAGTGAAATCCTGAGCTTGTTCTTCAGGGAGGTATATGGGAAATGGGGACAGATAGACTCTAGCATTCATGCATCAATAGAGTGGGGTGTGTGCCTACTCTATTTGTCTCCTGCACTGTTTGAGGAATGCTTTTTCAGTACTCCAGTTTTGTCTTCAATTAGTGCAATTACTGGCTAGTTGAAAACAGTTCAATTAGCTTCATTCACTCCACATCTATCTGCCTGGTAAATTTGTGAATATTAAATTGCCGTGCCTTGGCCAACCAGACCCTTTCTTCTCTTGGAAGAGAGTTCTTAGAGAGAGTAAGTTTTCTCTCCTGCTCTTTGATGGCTAGACTGCCTGTTCCAGGTGGGTATATATACCAGTCCAGGTCCTCTGAGAAGATTCCAAGTGTAAGAAATCTACTGATGGAAAAGACTGTGGGATGAAATAGAGGGGAAGTCACAGGGGCCAGGAGAGCTGGCAGACCATTATGTTCTGACATTGTGCAGAAAAGAGGGAAAGAAGGAAGTCTGGGTAAGAAGAAAACTGCAGTGAAGTTCTACAGATATTTTGGCCAAGCTAAAGGGGAGTCTTTGAGCCAAAGTCAGAAGAGTGCCCTGTCTGTCAGGAACAGGTCTGCATTACCATCCCTGCCATGCAGTTATTGGCTGGGAGGAGCCCAGAGGAAAATAGGCAGAGAACTTAAGGAATATGAATATCACGAGAAGCAAGAAAGGAGAGATTTACAAGAACAACTGATGAAACCTATCAATGTATCAAGTACAGTAATACGTGTATTAAGCACAAAATGCAAAATCCACAGTCAACTATAAAGCTGATTATCCAGGAACCAAGAAAAGATTTTAATCTATAAAATTTAGTTTTTAAATTAAATAAAAATTTCTAAGACACTAGGGATATGTAAAGCACTTAATTATAATTAAAACATTTGTTTAGAACCTATTATATATAAGGCATTGCTATGGAAAATAAATAATTCCTTGTAAATACACAGTAGTTTACCATTTATAAACCACTGCCCCTGCTTTCTAGGAGTTAATTATATTACCAGATGAATTAGAAAGACAACTAGCATCAGAAATATTTTTTGTTACTAACAGTGTTGATATATCAATTTATCATTATAAGATTATTAATTAATTTTTAACATTATTACTATAATTTATTTATTGTTGTTTTATTTTCAGCACAGTCTTAGCAAAAAAGTGAATATTTGCTATGAACATTTGGATTCCATATGGACTTTGTCTTTCGTGGTTCACTGAGCAGCAGTTACTCAATTGTGTCTTCTTTTTCTCCATCTTTCATACACACAAACATACGCACACATGCAGCTTGAGCCCAGGGTTAAACGATTTGAATATGTCATCTGCTTTTATCATTTATTTTTTCTTTAGCAAGTATCATAAACAGCAATTTTACTTAGACTAACAGCATATTCAGCTTCTTATATTTTAAAACCTGGATTATCTTTGGATGCTGCCCAGATATAACCTAATTGGAATGTGATAAAACATGGTAGTTCCTTCTTAAAGGTTTCCAGACTGTATTCCATTTCAAAGAGTTCTATCTATTGTTCTATTGTTATATTCCTTATAAGGAGAGAGCTGATATGACACAGAAACTACTCCTTCCTAAATGTTAGGATTTGTAGGTAATATGATATATAAAAATAGAAAAAAATCCAAAGTTATTACCATGTCTTTCAAGGCCCCATACAATCTAGTTCCTATTCAGAACTTCCAAATCATGAGTAAACACTTGGAATAGAAAAATGATAGGGTTTGTTCTGGAAGAAGGCTACAAAAGGGGTGTGAAATGACTAAAGGACAAATTGGATCCATAAGAGTCTTGAAAAAAAAACTGGAAAACGAGATGTCACAAAAGAGCTTGAAAGCAGTGTCCAAAATAGATAAAATTATTTTAAGAGTCTTTACAGGATCTTAAAGAGTCTATAGAGATAACACAATCCAAGTATGACCTATAGGAAACACATGGCAAGGAACATTAGTGGTTATGACTGATGGTGATGGCAAGAAATTTGAAGGGAAACTGATAATCCATGTATGAGATGGCTTGGGTTCAGATAAAGCTAGTCACCATAGGATTGAAAAAATTCTGACTGAGATAAGTTTGAGAAACCACAGGATAAAATATCCACCGAAACTACTTGCAAACTAGCAGTTTTCTGAAGTTGCAGATAGTATGCTATTATTAATTCATGGCTGATCACACACAGCTGCTCTATATTCTTTATCAAGCATCAGTTTGCTTTCAGCCATTTACTTTGTCTTCAACATTTGCATGTTATATTTTACAATTCCATGTCCCTGTCATAAGATGTTTCTCAAGAAAAGTAAAAGAGAATTTTTAAAAAGCATGATCAAAAGTGCAACAAGAACTACTAGATGCCTCCATGATTTTGCTTCAAAATATACACACACATAAACATCTAACTATAAAAGTGACAAGATTTGAGTTGGTTATTTGAAAATATAAACAAAATTGACAAGCTCATAACTAGACTAAGCAGGAAAAAAGGAAAGAACCTTCAAAAAAATAAAACCAGAAATGGAAGAAGAGACATTAAAATTGATGCCACATATATAAACAGAATCATAAGAGACTATTATAAACAATCACACACCGACAACCTAGATAACATAGAAGAAATAGACAAGTTCCTAGAAGTGTGCAGCCTACAAAGACTGAATCATGAAGAAACAGAAAATCTAAACAAACCTATAAGTAGCAAGGAGATTGAATCAGTAATAAAGAGAATCCCATCAAAGAAAAGCCCAGACCTGATGCTTTCACTGAAGAATTCTACCAAACATTTAAAGAAGAATTAGCACTAATCCTTCTCAAACTCTTCGAGCAATTAAAGAGGGGGAAGCACTTTCAAACTCATTTTATGAGGCAAGCATTACCCTGGTATTAAAACCAGACAAATATATTACAAGAAAAGATAACTATAGATCAATATCTCTACTGAATATTGATGCAATAATACTCAACAAAATACTAGCAAATCAAATTCAATGGCACATAAAAAAAATACTACAAGATGATCAGGTGAGACTTATTCCTGGCATGCAAAGATGGTACAACATAAAAAAATCAAATCAATATAATACATCATGTTAACAGATTGAAGAACAAAAGCTACCTGATCATCTCAATCCATACAGAAAACTAATTCGACAAAATTCAACAGCCTTTCATGATTTAAAAAAACACTTGACAAACTAGAAATAACAGAAAATGTTCTCAATATAACAAAGGGCCATATGTGAAAACTAACCTCATACTCAGTGGTAGAAATGGAAAGTTTTTTCTCTAAGTTTGGAAACAAAGCAAGGATGCCCACTTTTGCCACTTCTATCCAACATAGTGATGGCAATCCTAGCCAAAGAAATTAAACAAGAAAAAGAAATAAAATGCATTCAAATTGAAAAGCAAGAGGTAAAATTATCTGTTTTCAGAAAACATGATGCTACATGTAGAAACTCCTAAAGACTACACACACACACGTGTGCGCGCGCACGTGAAATGTTAGAACTAATAAACAATTCTGCAAGCTATAAAAATGAGTTGTGTTTATACAAACTAAAAATGAACAATCCAAAAAAGTTTTTTTTAGAAAATCCCATTTAAAACAGCATCATAAATAATACAATTCTTAGTAATAAACATAACCAAAAAGGTAAAAGGCTGAAAACTACAAAACATTATTGAAAGAAATTTAAAACACACATAAATAGAAAGACATCTCTTGCTATAGTGTGGATGTCTGTACCCCTAAGCCTCGTGTTGAAGTTTGATCTCCAGTATTGGAGGTGGGGACTAATGGGAAATGTTAGCGTCATGGCAGTGGATCCCTCATGAATGTCTTGGTGCCATTTTCACAGTAATGAGTGAGTTCTCATGCTATTACTTCCCAGGATAGCTGGTTGTCAAAAAGAGCTTGACACCTCCCCATCTCACTGTTGCCTCCACTTTTACCATGAGACCTCTGTACATGCTGGTTCTCCTTTGCCATCTGTCATGAGTGGAAGCAGCCTGAAGCCTTCACCAGAAGCCCAGTCTTCCAGTCAACAGAATCATGAGACAAATAAAAACTTTTATTTATAAACTACTCAGCCTCAGGTATTCCTTTATAGCAACACTAAACGAACTAAGACATCTGTGTTTATTGATTGAAAGACTTAATATTGTTAAAATGTTTATTCTACCCAAAGCAACCTACAAATTCAATGAAATTTCTATGAAAATCTCATTTTTTTACAGAAATAGAAAAAATTCTAAAATTTACATGGAACCACAAAGGACCCCCCAAAAGTAAAAACCCTCTTCAGAAAGAAAAAACAAAGTTGGAGGCCTCACATTTCCTGACTTGAAAGCATATTACAAAGCTGCAGCAATCAAAACAATATGATACTGGTATAAGACAGACATACAGACCAATGGAACAGAATAGAGACCCCAGATATAAACTCATACACATGGTCAAATGATCTCAAACAAGTATACCAAGGCTGAAGGGGAAAGGGTACACTTTTCAACAAATAGAGTTGGGAAAACTGGATATCCACATGCAGACGAATAAAATTGGGCCCTACTTTATAGTATATAACTCAAAAAATAACTCAAAATATATTAAAGAACCAATAATAAAATCTACAACTATAAAACTTTTGGAAGAAAATATAGGGGAAAGCTTCAAGACACTGGTTTTGGCAATAATTTTCTGACTATAACATGAAAAGCACAAGAAAGAAACGCAAGAATAGACAAGTAAAGTTGCATCAAACTAAAAAGCTTGTGTACAGCAAAGGAAACCATCCATAAAGTGAAAACACAACCTATGGAATGGGAGAAAATATTTGCAAACCATATATCTGATAAAAAGTTAATATACAGAATATACAAAGACCTAAAACCATAAAAACCCTAGAAGAAAACCTAGGCATTACCATTCAGGACATAGGCATGGGCAAGGACTTCATGTCTAAAACACCAAAAGCAATGGCAATAAAAGCCAAAATTGACAAATGGGATCTAATTAAACTAAAGAGCTTCTGCACAGCAAAAGAAACTACCATCAGAGTGAACAGGCAACCTACAAAATGGGAGAAAATTTTCGCAACCTACTCATCTGACAAAGGGCTAATATCCACAATCTACAATGAACTCCAACAAATTTACAAGAAAAAAACAAACAACCCCATCAAAAAGTGGGCAAAGGACATGAACAGATACTTCTCAAAAGAAGACATTTATGCAGCCAAAAAACACATGAAAAAATGCTCACCATCACTAGCCATCAGAGAAATGCAAATCACAACCACAATGAGATACCATCTCACACCAGTTAGAATGGCGATCATTAAATCAAGTTAGGAAACAACAGGTGCTGGAGAGGATGTGGAGAAATAGGAACGCTTTTACACTGTTGGTGGGACTGTAAACTAGTTCAACCATTGTGGAAGTCAGTGTGGTGATTCCTCAGGGATCTAGAACTAGAAATACCATTTGACCCAGCCATCCCATTACTGGGTATATACCCAAAGGACTATAAATCATGCTGCTATAAAGACACATGTACACGTATGTTTATTGCGGCATTATTCACAATAGCAATACAAATGTCCAACAATGATAGACTGGATTAAGAAAATGTGGCACATATACACCATGGAATACTATGCAGCCATAAAAAATGATGAGTTCATGTCCTTTGTAGGGACATGGATGAAATTGGAAATCATCATTCTAAGTAAACTATTGCAGGGACAAAAAACCAAACACAGCATGTTCTCACTCATAGGTGGGAATTGAACAATGAGATCACATGGACACAGGAAGGCGAACATCACACTCCGGGGACTGTTGTGGGGTCGGGGGAGGGATAGCATTAGGAGATATACCTAATGCTAAATGTCACGTTAATGGGTGCAGCACACCAGCATGGCACATGTATACATATGTAACAAACCTGCACATTGTGCACATGTACCCTAAAACTTAAAGTATAATAATAATAAATAAAATTAAAAAAAAAAGAACAACTCAACAACAACAACAACAACAAACAAAAACCTGATTAGAAGTGATCAAAGAACTTGGATAGACATCTCTCCAAAGATGATTATGCAAATCACCAATGAAGAATATTAAAAGATGGTCAATCTCACTAATCATCATGGAAATGTAAATGAAAACCACAGTGAGATATTAACTAATACTCCTTAGGATGGCCGCTATACACAAAACAGAAAATCAAAAGTTGTGGTAAGGATTTAGCAAAGTTGGAACACTTATATACTGTTGGTGGGAATACAAAATGGTGCAGCTGCTATGAAAAACATTATGGAGGTTTCTCAAAAAATTAAAAGTATAATTACCATAAGATAGAGTAATTTATCTGCTTAATATTTATCCAAATGAATTGAAAACAGAATCTCAGATATTAGAACACCTAAGTTCACAGAAGCATTATTCACAATAGCCAAGAAGTAGAAGCAACTTAAATGTCTGTTAATGGATGAATGGATAAAGAAAATGTGTTTATATATACAGTAAAATGCTATTCAGTCATGCAAAGAAGAAAACTCTGTAATATTACTACAGCATGGATGAATCGCCAGTGTATTACGATAAGTGAAATAAGGCACTCACGAAAAGGTAAATGCTGCATGATTCTACTTATATGAGATATCTAAGTAGTCAAACTCTTAAAAACAGAAACTAGAATGGTAGTTTCAAGGAGCTGGGAGGCAGGGAAAAAGAGAGTTATTGTTCAGTGGAAATAAGTTACAGTCCTACAAGATGAAAAAGTTCTAGAGATCTGCTGCAAATCCATGGATATATAGTTAACATTACTATACAGTATACTTAAAAAATAGTTAACATGGTGCATTTTAAGTTATGTGATTTTTTTAACACAATACAAAGTAGTTGCAATTTGAAGGCTCCAACTAGGCATGTTTTGCATAATTGGATCATCAAAGATGATAAAGATAATAGATAATAAATAACACAGGGAGGCCATAAATCAATAGGAATAGTTGAAAGAGAGAGAAATTCTACTTTGCAGCATAATATCAGCTAATAAATGTAGAAAGAATGATAGGGTTTTTTAAAATGAAATTTTATAACCTCCAATGTAATAACTGATTCAACAAGAATGCCAAACTGTTGAGTTAAAGGTTGCTGAAGGCAGAATGTTTACATGGACCCAAGATACTAACCCATAAATTACTTATAATTAGAAAGAAGAAAATGTACTTTTACAATGAAGAGATCTGGCATTCAACAACTTAACCAAGTAATAGTTGGACATCTGGTCATTATGTTATACAATAA
This sequence comes from Homo sapiens, assembly GCF_000001405.40. Classification (NCBI taxonomy): domain Eukaryota; kingdom Metazoa; phylum Chordata; class Mammalia; order Primates; family Hominidae; genus Homo; species Homo sapiens. The sequence continues at coordinate 37,460,342 of NC_000013.11, read as the reverse complement.
AAATTATATAACATCACCTACAATTTTTGCCAAAAATGTGTAACCTTAATCTAATCATGTGGAAACAATAAAGAATGTGAGACATTCTGCATGACAACTAGCCTGAACTCCTCAAAAAGTCAATGATAGAAAAAAATCAGTGGGCAGGAGGCTGTTCTGGGTGAAAAGATACTACAGAGATATAACTGTCAAATGCAAGATATAAATTTTGATTGAATCCTGGAATTTAAAAAATAATAACCAGCTATGAAATACATTTTTAGGATCACTGGGGACATTTGAATATGATATGTGTAGAATTTTATATTACCAAATTGTTGTTAATTTTCTTATGTGTAGGAGAATTTATTCTTAGAAGTTAGATGCTAAAATATTTGGGATTGAGATGTCATGATGTTTGCAAATTATTATTACTTTCAAATGGCTTAGCAAATAATGTGTGTGCATTGGGAAAGAAGCAAATGTTGCACAAGCATAAAAACTAAATCTACATGAAGTGTATACAGGTGCTCTTTTTTTTTATTTTCAAGATGAAAACTTGGGGAAAATAATGAAACAGATTTCTTGTACAGTTGTTTTGGGGAAATAGAAGAGGGAAATATATTGTACATGAGCAAATTTCCCAAATATCCCCTTTATCCCTGCTCATTCACCCAATTTCCACTTCCTATTGCACTTACCACTTTATCCTATTCATTCTCCCTCCTCTCTCTCTCCTCCTTCTTTCACTCTTTCCAACAAGCACTCACTCTGTGTGTGTGTGTGTGTGTGTGTATTTAGGGGTGTCTGTGTGTGCGCGCAGACACACACAGACACACACATACAGAGACACCCCTAAATATACATTCATTGCAAAATTCATCCAGATTACCCACTGTCCTATACAAAATGAAAGCTAGATAATTTGCCAAACAGCTACATTATAACATAGCACTGCATATTTATTTGAAAGGTGTGTTCGATTGGCAAGGTGAACAAAATGCTAAATTCATCTTTAGCAATGAAGATTACAACACGAATCCACTGGCAAGATAAGGTTCCTGACCAGGCACAGTGGCTCATGCCTGTAATCCCAACACTCTGGTGGGCTGCAGTGAGTGGATTGTTTAAGCCCACAAGTTCAAGACCAGCCTGGGCAACATGGTAAAACTCGTCTCTACAAAAAAATACAACTTAGCTGTGTGTGATGGCGCATGCCTGTAGCCGCAGCTACTTGGGAGGCTGAGGTAAGGGAATCGCTGGAACCCAGGAGGTTGAGGCTGCAGTGAGTTTTGATCACGCCACTGCACTCCAGCCTGGGTAACAGTGAGACCCTGTCTCAAAAAAAAAAAAAAAAAAAAGAAAAGAAAAGAAAAAAGAAAGGTAAGGTTTCTGCTTTCTCATACACAGCCCTGAACTATAGGCCACTTTAATGGAGAATCTGTGAGAAGTACCTGAAAGGCAGGTGGGAGGTTGAGATGATTTGACTTTCAAACACTGCCAAGCCTCTGACCATCTGAACTAGAAAAGGATATAGTTTAAAATTTGCCCCAGTAGCAAAGCAAAGAACTGAATAAAGAACATAAGAGACCCAAGGGTATGTCAAATGTGTAAAGTTAAACTCCAAGAAGGACAGACGTTATACTAGTCACCTCCGTGCCAAAAAATCAGAAATTAATATATGCTCAGGCAAGTCTCTTCCCCCGTGTAGACCTTCAGTGCTATCTAGATTGGAAAGGAGAAAAGCGAGCTCGCTGTGGGCAGAACACAATCATTAGGAAGGAATATGTGAGCTAAAGATGCTTAAGAAAAAACTAGACCTTGGACTCAAACCTTTAATGAGTTTACCATAAGCTTAGCTTGCTATGCCGTTTCCTCCAAAAAATAGTCAATATTGCTAGTGCATAAAACATGAAGAGTTTTAGATGTCAATTGTTTTTATTGACTTTGAGATACCCATATTTATAGGCATAGCATCCAGAGGGTCATGCAGAGAGTTAGAAACTATTTTCTGCCAGGCGTGGTGGCTCACACCAGTAATCCCAGCACTTTGGGAGGCCGAGGTGGGCGGATCACCTGAGGTAGGGAGTTCGAGACCAGCCTGACCCGTCTCTACTAAAAATACAAAAAAAAAAATTAGCCAGGTGTGGTGGCGCATGCCTGTAATTCCAGCTACTCGGGAGGCTGAGGCAGGAGAATCGCTTGAACCCAGGAGGCGGAGGTTGCGGTGAGCCGAGATCGTGCCATTGTACTCCAGCCTGGGCAACAAAAGCAAAACCCCGTCTCAAAAAAAAAAAAAAAGAAACTATTTTCTCTGTCCCTGTTAACTTTCTTTCACTATGTGTGAGGCAAGGTTAGATTTCTTTTAAAGCTACCTCACTCGTCTAGGAAAAGAATGGGTGAAGAATAAAAATTTTCCTTCAGTAAGCCCAAATCTGCTGACTTCACGAGCCAAAGCCTTCATGTGAAGTATAAAGCATTAAAACCTATGGGCGTATCCTTACATTTCTGGTACAAACATTTCTCAGAAGTTATTAAAATGATGCAATGCAAAAGGTATGTCCAAAAGGAGTAAACCCTGGCTGATTTATAGACTATTATTTCCCTACACTTTTAGTGTTTCTGTCATCATGTTTGCCTGTTCATTCCGTTCTAAAGTTGCATCCATGTGGCTGAAGCAACATATATAGAGCAAGTAATTTGGTTGTCACACAATCAGCATTTGGCAGTGGAACAAAGTAGCAATCATTTTAAGCAGATAGAATATAACAGATATCTCGCATACACATAAAAACAATCACACTAAAACCAGTGAAAATAAGACAGAAAAATAGAACTGTGAAAGATGAAATGATCACCAATTTGCTCTAACTAGAACTCAGTGACTTCTAACATACTGATTAGTGGAAATTTCTCATTAGTAAAAAACAAAATGAAATGTTCCCAAGAAAAAAACCTGAGGCTTTTTCCCTGTTAATAATTAGAATTATGATGGACAAAATGACTAGCAAGTGGTTGGTTCTATTCTGCAGAAAGAAAAACTTGACTCTCGAGGTTCCTTCCAATAATATGTTTATTTTAATGAAGAGTTTATAAAACAAAATTCTGTGGGGAATTGCAATAATTAGGGTAATGTGTCCACCCAAAATTATTCCAACTCTCCAATTTATTTACAGAAATAAATTGAGACAAATTACTGTTTAAGTAAAAGTCAATGTGCTTTTGAAGATCCAAAAGATGTAATTTTGTAGTATAGAACTCAGCACGCTACTTTGAAGTCATGTTTCTTAAGATGTCTCTAAAGCAGCAATTAGCAAAATGTGTTTGAGGAAATGCAAAAACATTACACATTATGATAAAGGTGTTAAAATTGTCCAAATTTTTAAATAACGTACATTTAAAACATATTCATGACATCAAGTGCTTTGTGATCAGCATTTATTACATCAAATGACACTAAAAATGTGAACGTATGGAGTGTATTGCACTAGAGCTGCATATACAAAGAACAAAACTCTCAAAAGATGCTAGAATAAAATCATGTTTTTTCACATATGGGAGGGATTCTGGGTTCTCAGCTACAGGACTCCTGAGAGACCATTTTTTACGGTGTGTTATAGAGTTCCAGGAGGTGCTTGGCCATAAAACCCTTCTCTGCAGATCCTCTCCAGAGACTAGTGTTCGGAAGGTTCACACTTTGGAAACTTCTTTCCTGGAAAACAGTAGGCTTATAATGGTAAGTGAAAGCTTGGATGAGGATAAGATGGTGTATTAGTTTGCTAGGCTGCCATAACAAAGTACTACAAATTGAATGCCTTAAACAATAGAAATTTGTTGGCTTACGATTCTGGAGCCCAGAAGTCTGAGGTCAAGGTGTCAAGGTGTGTGCAGGGCCATGCTTTCTCTGAAGGTGCTGGGGATCTGTCCCAGGCCTCCCTCCTAGGTTCTGAGAGTTTTTTGCCTGATGGCTACACATCTCCAGCCTTCCCATGGAGTTCTCTCTACATGCTTGTCTCTGTCCAAATTTTCCCTTTCTTATAAAAACACTAGTCCTACTGGATTAGGAGCCCATCCTACTCAAATATGACCTCATTTTAACTAATTACATCTGTAACAATCCTATTTCCAAATGAGGTCACATTCTGAGACACTGAAGGCTAGGACTTCAACACATGAATTTCGAGAGATCACAATTCAACCAGTAAGAGATGGGATAACTCCAAGCTGTGTAGAAAAAGCAGTGAGTCACTCTCATCTTCAACATGACAATGTTTGGGTGTGTGAATAAAGTTGGAACCTGTGTCACAGGTAATGCTCCTAACAATAGCTAGAATACCTAGGTTTGTAAATAATTTAACTTTTTACATTAGAATAGACATAAGGCTATATATTTTTAAATGATAAATTATATGGCCTGGAGAATTCTATGGTTAATCAGAAAAAGAAAGAAACTGGTTTTACTTGGAGATTGAACAAAATATGCACCAGGAAATCTAGCTCCTAGTTCATTGGGATATATTAAGGCTGGCTCACAGAAAACACCACTAACATCTCTTTTGTGTAACAGTTTACCATTACAAGATTTAAAAATGGTAAACTGAAGCATGCGTTAACAGTAGAACTACTCATGATAAGAGAGATGTGAAGAGTGAAACTGGCTTTATAGCATTACAATTGATTCTCGTTAATCATGGTAGTTGTTATACAAAGAGTCTCGTTCTGTTGCCAGGCTGGAGTGTAGTGGCACAATCTTGGCTCACTGCAACATCTGCCTAACAGGTTCAAGCAGTTCTCCTGCCTCAGCCTCCCGAGTAGCTGGGCCTACAGGGGCGCACCACCACACCCAGTTAATTTTTGTGTTTTTAGTAGAGACGGGATTTCACCATGTTGGACAGGATTGTCTCGATCCCTTGTGATCATGATCCGCCTGCCTCAGACTCCCAAAGTGCTGGGATTACTGGCGTGAGCCACCGCACCCAGCCAGTAATTCCTTCTTTGTGTGCCTTCTATCTTTTCCTTCTTTCCATTGTTGCTAATGCTGATCTATTTCAAATTCTTAGTATCTTTTCCTGGACTATTACAATATCTCCTTTATCCTCTTGACTGCCTACCTCATTCTCTTACCATCTGAAACTATTTGTCAAACTGCAACTGTCCTGAATTTCTCTCATTTGTTCCTTCAGATCTACTCTTCACTCCCCTCCACTTTGATCTGTTCTCCTGGAAGCTGAAGTGTGTGGAATATATCAAGAGTTCTTCTCCTCTAGCTCCCAGTTGGGTTTGACCGCCAGGAAATGCTGGTAGGAGTTCAAAGGGTGGGCAGAGAGGAAATCCAGGTTATTTAATTCTCCTGGTGTCTTTGATCCTATTAGGTGGCCTTCTTTACACAGCTTTCTCTCCAGATTTTCTCATTTAGAGGTGTGAATGGTGAAGCCCCACCCCCAGCCCCAGTTTCAAGTCTTAGAGGCTTTATTTCTTTTGATTTTCATCCAATCTGCCCACATCTTTTGCAGAATCTCTTTATTAAACTTTTTTCAGGTTACCTGATTTCAATGTGCTATCTGTTTTTTAACTGATGCACTAACCATTTATTTAGCAAAAGGGTTAAATTATGCCCCTCCCTTATCCCAAAATCTTGAATTTTTTTTTCATTATCTGCGTTCCAAACTGTCTAGCCAGCATTCAAAGTTTTCCACAGTGTCTCCCCATCCTTCCTCTCTCATAACCACCCCAGTCCATTTGACTCACCCACGCTCACTGAGTTTACCCAAATTCCCTAAAAAGCTATATATTTTTATACACCAGGCCCAGGAGTTCTTTCCATTCTTTCTTTTCCTGATGAAAGGCTATTTACATTTGAATGCTCTGTTAAAAATACTGCTTTCCACATGCATGCATATATTTGTCACAGCACTATTCACAATAGCAAAGACATGGAATCAACCTAATGCCTATCAGTGGTAGACTGGATAAAGGAAATGTGGTACATATATATCATGGAATACTATGCAGGCATAAAAAAGAACAAGATCATGTCCTTTGCAGGAGCATGTATGAAGCTCGAGGCCATTATCCTTAGCAAACTAATGCAGGAACAGAAAACCAAATACTGCATGTTCTCACTTATAAGTGGGAGCTAAATGATAAGAACACATGGACACAAAGAGGGGAACGACAGATACTGGGATCTACCAGAGGGCGGAGGGTGGGAGGTGGAAGAGGATCAGGAAAAATAACTAATGAGTACTAGGCTTAATATCTGGGTGACAATCTGTACAATAAAGCCCTGTGACACAAGTTTATGTATGTAATAAACCTGCTTATGTACCCCTGAACTTAAAAGTTAAAAACATACTGTCTTTCAATGAAGGCTTCTCTGTTGAAATCATCCCCTATTTTCTTGTTCTTCTGTGTCTATTGAATCATTAATTAAATTCCAACTTAAGACACTATATTAGTAGTATTTTTCATGTATTAATATTTTTCTATGTTTACATGAAAATGTTCCTTTTTGACATGTATATTAAGTGCACCAAAGATTTAGCTTTCAGTGTATGCTAGTTACCAGCAGAAAATGTGGCCTGAGTTGGGTGCTACACACCACTCTAGTTCTACCATTCATGCAAAAGCTGCACTATTTCCAATCATATAGCAACTTCTATGCTATTATGCATTATCAAAAAATGATGATATTGAGAGAAAAATACAGATGTCAGAGCTAAAATAGTGGCTGTATATGTAGTTTTTGGTGAGAGGAAAAAAATCAGAAATAGATATAATTCTCAGAACGACATCTTAATTTCACTGGAGAGAAAGCAAAGGATTGACAAGGATGATGGATGGAGCCAAGGTAGAATAGTCTTCTATGCGTTGACTCATAACCATGTGAACTGGGAAAGGAAGTTGAGAAATTCCCCCAAGAGAACCAAGGGATTTCTCCCTAGGGTATTCTGTGCTGAGAATGTGGAATAAATGTTACACCAATTTTTTCTCATACTAACATCAAAATTTCTTTGACTCTGGGTCTAGAGTCAACTTTGAGGCACAAAATATCAACAACTGCAAAATATACTGGGCCTTGAGGATCTAGTTTCTATCTGAGGCTAGGATTAAACCTAGGTCAAGTTGAGTAAGTGAAACAAGTTTCAATATATTTCTATTTATTTATTTATGATCCATACTCACTAATGCTCACATTGAAATCTGAGAGGATATATTCAACTCTCAATGATTAAAGCAAAGACTTAAGAGATGGTTGCAAGTTTGAAGTTATAGATACTGACCTTGAAGAAAAAAAAAAAAGGAAAGGGAAGACAACAGTCCAAGGCCACCATTCAGGTATTTGGTCTGTAAGATGAAATACAATCAGATACTTTAGAATAATAATAATATTAACAAAAAGTAAGAAAGTAGCATTTCCAGCCACACACATTTGGTGCTTAATTGGGTATCTGGGTTTTTTAGCCACTACAGATAGAGAAAATGCTCAGCACAAAATGAAAGAGGGTGGGATAAAAAGTATTAGCAACGTACTGTTGAACATCAAAGCTCATCTAGAATTTCCCTTGAATCAGGCCTTTTCTTAAAATAAGGGACATGCATCCAAGGCTCTGTGGGATGACAGCATAAAGTCCAGACCAATGCACAGTGGAAGAAAACACACACGCGAAGAAGGGTGTCCCACATTTTACCAAGCCATGTCGCTGCCATCTCTAATTTTGTGGAACTCTTTCTTGCCTTTCTGTGCATTTCTCTCCCCACAATTTCCACAGTTTCCAGAACCCACAGTTTTTCCTCACTCCCCACTCAAGCCACTGCTGGCAAAACACATGATTAGACTAAAACCAAACTCAGATGCTGAAGTTAGAGGCGGCCCATCACAGAATGAAAACAGTCTACTTCCATCTTTAGGTAAAGCTTTTAAACTAGAGGGGAAGACTTCTTTAGGAAAGAATAACTAGAACATAAGATGCCCAGGAATCCACAACATTTATTTCCATGTAATGGGAATTGAGTCAAGTGTTATTTGGTAGTCATAATTATTTCTATGAGTCGGATATAAAATCACATTACTCAGAAACCTGGATTCTATCTTCTCCTTGTAAATACATAATTAAAGCTTTAACTTGGAAGAGAAGTCTCCTTGTAGAAAGAAATGAAAGTGTATTTTAGTTTGAAATTGTAATCAAATCAGTTTTATGAACATCAGCAGTATTCACTATCAAATATTTATCTTAACAGCTATTTTTATGCTACATTTTAAACTCATATGTGATTGATCTAAACAGTCATCTTCTTGGTTGCTCCAGAATAAGGCTCAGGACACAGCTGACAGAGTAAGAAACACTGTGAGGGGTCAGTGTTTTCATTGGAGTAGAAGTCACTTCCATGTTTAAGTTAAAAGAATATCGACACAAACTATTTTGTTACTTATTTTTCCACTAATCCACAATAGTGGCTTTGTTTTATCAGAAGGGAATTCTTTATTCAAATTTGTGGTCAATTATGGTTGTTTCTTTTAAAATACCATTACTTAGAATTCTGGTTATAAACAAACTAAAAAATATCCTTTTTCTCCTCCAAGGTTAAATATTAAAATAGCATCTATAGAAGAAAATGAATTTTCTGTGAGCAGTAACTTTGTGTTAATTGCCAAAACAAAATTGAATGGTTGACACATAGTATTAAAAGTGGATATAAATATTCTAGTTTCACTATAGTATTATATTTGAAAATCAGAATGGGCAGTTTGAATTTCTTCTGGTAGCTTTAGTTCCTTTGCACATATATGAGACACTTATACAAAGCACTTCCTATTTTAGTCTAGATCAAATACTGTATTTTTCATGTTGCTTGAACATAGAGAAGGAAAGCTTTCCACTGCTTCCATCACCATCCCCTGAGAAATGGGCCACATTGTACAACCGTTACATTAAAAATATCAATTGTAGTCTTGGATTAATGGAACTACGAGATATAGCACAATTTAGGTAAACAGAATCAAGTTTACTAACCTAAAAGGCAAAAACACAAAGAAGTACCATCAGGATACAGGGCAGAGAAACAAGTAACACTTTCTGAGAGAGAGGTACAAGCTTCTGAACCCCAAAATCCACACCTAGATTAAACAGATGAGAATAAAGCATCAGAAAGAATAAGGCCTTTACTTTGTCTGAAAGTCCAACTTCCAGGCCTGGAATTCAAGGCCCAGATTCATAAACAGATATAACTTTTTGCAGATGCTGAAATAATTCACCACATAGGCAACAGTAAATATGTACAGGAGACCACTTGTTCTGGTCTTAGAACCCTCGTAATATCTGAATTTTGCAATAAAGGTGTAACTGTGCAGTGTGGCCCAGCACGCTTAGTCATGAACACAGTTCTCATTGATGACTCTCACCTCTCCAGACTAACCCAGATTGGCCAGGGTATATTGGTCAGTGCCATGCAACAAGGAGAAAAGTCAGTTACGCAGTTACTCTCTGAGAGTTGTGCTAGTTGAAGAGAAAAATGAGCAAGAAAGAAAACAATGCCACATTTCACATTGAGAAGAAAAGAAAGTAGAAAAGGAAAACTATCCGTGCATTGTTTCTTTGGAACTCACGCACTGGACACATGTCCCTCTTTCATTTATCTTAATAAATGTTGAGCACTTGTTTTATGCCTGGTACTGTTCTAGGGGCTGAGGAAATAATTGTGTGCAAAAAGAAACATTGCTCAAATCAAGTTGACATCCTACTAGGGCTATCTTCTGTGTTACCTCAAGGTTAGTGGATGTAGGGGAAAAAAACTATTTACTAGATAGATTTTCTGGGAAGCCGTCAAAGCTATGAGGAGTGAACATATGGGAGATGAGAGAATGTTCTGGCACAAAATTTTAGTCTTTCCCATGGGCCCATTTGTTAACTTGTGCTAAAAGTTTTAGAAACTTCAAAATAGAAATAACTCATGATACATAAAAAGTCATGGGGGGCGGGGAGAAGTTAGTAGGAAATTACTTAAAGCCAGAGAGTATCAGATTTCTTTCTGTAGGAGGATAACCATTCTTAAAATTATTGTTAGTTAATTATGATCTTCTTGAAGACTCCACAGTGTCCCTCTTGAATATAGTCAGAGGCCATGAATAATGTGTGTGACTGAAGTGGTGGTGCTAGAAGCAACATAGAGTGAATTGTGGAAAGCTTCTTCTCTCTAAAGCATTCAAACTTACTGTTTAAGAACATGGTGCAGGTTAAATTCAGCCCAAGGGCTACCAAATTACAACCTCTGCCACAGTACTATGAAAATCTATGTTTTTTAAATGATAAAAATAGTAATAATCATTATCATCATTATTCATCAGAAGAGTATTATTAGTGCACATCTCTTATTTTTGCCACCCAGAATCCAGTTACCCTTCCTTTCATGATCATAACCTATTTTTTTTCCTGAGTGGATGGCAACCAATCCATCCCCTAATTTCTAACCACGTGCTTTGAGTAAACCTCCATCCCAGGAAGAGATGGAGCATTTGGGCATAAGCCAAGAAAAGCATTATAATTACCTCAGAAGGGGTGATTGGTTTTGTAAGGACATGACCCAATTAGACCTAATGAGATGCAGTAAACTCTTATAAACCTGTTATTTGTGGAAAATAGATTTTGCTTTCCATGTTTGATGTGAAAATGGGACATTGTAAGGTTTGGAGCTGTTCCCATCGTCCTAGGACCGTGAAGGTACAGCCTGTATGAATAAACAGCACCAGAGTTTACAGATTTGGGTTGCCATGGCAATTTAATATCTCTGTGGCACAATTTCCTAAACTCTAAAGTCAAGGGGGATGGTCTAGATCAGTGACTCTTAAATTTTTCTACCTACAGAGAAAAATAAATACTTACTCTCAGGGGGTGATGCAGTATAACTCCAAACGGCCTGTCATCAGTGGAAATTTGATTCAATTTTATGTTCTGTTTTAAATATAGACACTTTAAAATTTTCATAATGTTTATCTCAATATAAACATAATTCTCCATGAAGAACTGATGTTCCAGGAAGATGGGCAATGGCTGTGTTTCTTCTGGAGCTTCCTCTAGCCCCTGGCCCATCACTCTTGCCTTGGGGGCATTGAGAAACATGGGGGCCCATCACTCTTGCCTTGGGGGCATTGAGAAACATGGGGGCCCATCACTCTTGCCTTGGGGGCATTGAGAAACATGGGGGCCCATCACTCTTGCCTTGGGGGCATTGAGAAACATGGGGGCCCATCACTCTTGCCTTGGGGGCATTGAGAAACATGGGGGCCCATCACTCTTGCCTTGGGGGCATTGAGAAATATGGGGGCCCATCACTCTTGCCTTGGGGTCATTGAGAAACATGGGGTCACATCTGCTGCTAAAGAAATGCCCACCATTAAAAGTCTGTTAACTCGCTTTTCTGAACACTTGACCTTAAAGATGCCCTACAACCTATCTACATGTAAGAGTGATATCATTGAGCTTTCCTATAATTCAAATTAATAAAACACTACCAAATAATTATTTCTTGAGAATTCAAATGGGTCCTTTTTTTCCCCTTTTTCTACTTCTCCCCATCACCACCATTCTGCTCCCTTGCCGTTTTTTTTTTTTTTGTCCCATTTTGGACAAAAATTATAAATTAAAATTATGATATGAATTTGAAGATTGCTACTCATCTAGCATAAATAAGCAGCCCTGCCTCTCCTTATCCAACATACTAATATATGTATTGTTTTCTTAAATGCAAATGCCTTAGGCTTTTACGAGTTAACAGACTGTTTCACCCACTTCATTCCCACCAAAGGAAGCTAAACAAACAAGGGAGGGTGGATGAGGACAAAACAAGTTTTTACTTCCAGGAGAGCTTTATTTGAAAGCATCCAGCTCTGAGGATGCAGTATGAGTCCTGCCAAGCTCCAGGCAAAGCACCCTCCAAAAACTTGAGGACATTCTGCTAACGTGGGGAGTAATTGTGGAAACAACATGTTACAGAGACATTGAAAACTAATCCTGGATTTTCCAGTGTAATGTACATTTGCTGGAACATTCAACTCTTCCCAGGCAGAAGTAAGAATGTTTATAGCTTTCAGCCTCACTGTTTGTAAATGGAAAGCTGAGCTCAGAGTTCATAATCACTGATTAGGCTGCTGTTTTTTATCCAACCTTAGCAGAGGAAAAAATAGTGGGTTCTCATACTGAACCATAAACACATGTTATGTTAAGTGTAATAAATTCCCTAACATTGTACTCTTTTTGAAGGGAAGAATGAGGGATATAATAGAACATTTTCAGCTAAAAGCTAAAAGAGACTGTCTAGTTGGCATATCAAGTTAGAAATGAAAAGAAATCCATTTAAGTACTGCAGCATATGTATTTCATGGGCTAGCATCATAGAATACTGAAGCTAGAAGAGCTGCAGAAGTACCTAATCCAATTCTTTCTTTACAAAAGACAAAACTGAAAACCAATGAAGCAAAATGATTTAAAGTCACATAGATAGTTAGTGTCAACATAGATAGTAGGCTCAATTCTCCTGATTTCTAATGCAGCATACACTGATGGTAACTACTGATCAGTGCCACATATCATACAGGTCATGTCACAGCATTCTGAAACATGTAAGTTCTTTTTCTCACTGTCTGGACCACTTTAGACCTAGGTATGTAGCCATTACCATCATGTGGGACTTTGTTTATGGGAACGGCCTTGCCCCACCTCCTCATGCACGAGAATGAATGCCTTTGGCTAAGTAAGAAAGCTCAGAAAATATCTGTAAGTAGGTCTGATTTTGATGAGTCAAGAAGAAAACTATTGATTATAAGCTAGGAATAAAAACAGTGGGTCAAAATATAATAACCACATTTTCTAGTTTCTTTATATTTGATGCTTTGACATCTTGGAGACTTGCAGACTCTGGAAAGACTGACCCTAGTTAATTCTTAGAGATAGTAAAAGACTAGCTTATGAGTGCACCTTTCATATACCAAGTAACCAATCCAGAGCCCACATCTCAACCACCTTCTTTATTAGTCCTTTACACTGAGGACCACTACCCGCCTGCCCTACTCACCCCAGACCCAGATACCAGACAACTAGGGACAGCCCCTAGATCCCATAGCGTGCTGAAATTACTCGAACTCATCAATACCAAACCTGTTTGCCCTTCCTTGCCAGTCACTTCCTGTGGAAACCATAATAAAGACTTTTGTCCACATTTTCCCCTCACTCCCTCTGCCTCCTGATGCCAGCGCTTCCCCAGGGTGGCCAGGTGTGGCATGGTGTACCCCTTCCTCCTGGAACTGTGAGTAACAAACTACCTTTTCAATGGCAACCATCTCCTAATCTGGTCACCTGCATAATAATAACAAAACCTACATTTTGCAAAACAGAGGTCAAAAGCCAAGAAAACTAAAGGTGCCAAAATCAGAGATGGGTTTGAAGCAAGCAAGAGGAAATAAGAGATAAGTCACAAGTAGGGATAATGTGGCAAAAGTCTGGCTCAGAAGGAACTCATGCAAACCCAGAATACTGATGGGAGTATGCCTTTGGTGCCCTGCTGCTGATATGGGAGGGTTGCCTTAAAGTGTTAAAGTGGCACATCAACAAGTTCCTCCTGAACACATCCTTAATAAGTGGCATGTGAGCACTAGAACATTCCTAGACACAGACTCACTGTGCAGCATTCCCATGACCGGCGCCCTAGTTCTGGTCCATAGCAGAATGCTGAAACAGCTTCTTAGTCATCTCTCTGCTTTTTTTCCCCACCCGTATTTAATTCATCTATTTCAACCCTTCTAAGTCACAGCTTGAATGTTCATAAGAATCTTCCATAGTTCCTCATATCTTCCTCATTTAAATTGAATCCTCGCCGTTACATTCAGAACTTTCCAAATGGTGTCTCCAGCCTGTCCTCCAGTCCTGACTTCCACAGTTCTACATTCCCTACGATCTGGCAAAATTAAAGTATCCACTGTCCTTAGCACATTTTTCCCATGCACTGAACCACTTCATTACTAGTAGCACCATAAAATATATTTTACAGTATTGATTTTGGACATAAACATATCTGGGTTTGAATTCTTGGCCACAAACTGGTGTGATCTTGGAACTCTAAGTCCTTTTTTTGCTCATGATAAATAGATTTCATAATATATATGTTACAGGATGATTAAAGAGGTTAAATGAGATAATACACGTAAAGATCTCAGCACAATTTTGGTGTGAATTAACACTAGTTAACAGCAGCTATTTTATCGTTGCTCACCTTAAGTGTATTAGAGTTTTCAAAGTATGTCAGAAACATAATGACATTTGCTACTCATGAAGTTCTAACATGTATTATAACTGTTGCCATTTTTCAGATGAAAAACCTCAGACTCAAGAGAAGGGACTTGCTCCAGGTCGTATAATTAGGTAAGAATTACAAAAGTTTTTTTTTTTTTGAGACAGAGTTTCGCTCTTCTTGCCCAGGCTGGAGTGCAATGGCGTGCTCTCGGCTCATGGCAACCTCAGCCTCGCAGGTTGGTTCTAGCAATTCTCCTGCTTCAGCCTCCCAAGTAGCTGGGATTACAGGTATGCACCACCACGCCCGGCTAAATTTGTATTTTTAGTACAGACGGGGGTTTCACCATGTTGGCTAGGCTGGTCACGAACTCTTAACCTCAGGTGATCCACCCGCCTCGGTCTCCCAAAGTGCTGGGATTACAGGTATGAGCCACTGTGCCCTGCCTAAAAAAGTTCTTGACTGCTTCTTACTTTCATTCTTTTCTTCTCTACAGTGCAGATGACATAATGCCTTATAAAGTAATTTAATGAAAGGAATGGAAGTAGTCATGTTTTATTCTCACAGTACCTAAGAATTAAGAAGAAATTTTTAAAAACTTGGTTTACTGATTATTTGTATGTGCCTAACACTGTTAAGAGTTTTATATAAATTTTTATTATTTAAATATAACAACACATCTGCAAGTTATATATTATTACATATATTTTCAGGTGAGAAAATGAAAACTTATGGAGATTAACTTGTTCATATCACACAGGTGGCAACTGACAACACTGTACTCATCTAAGACAAAAGCCAACATACTTAAACACTAGATTAAGTTTTGATTCAAAATAGGCATGTAATTAATTTCTATTGAATCAAATTTTAAATGACATATGGAAAATAAACCTGCCTTGCACTGTGGTAGAGGGAAAAATAATGAGATTTTCTGGAAAACCAATTTGTTTGTGTATATGTGTATGTGTCTCTGTGTGTGTGTGTGTAAAACTGATAGATAGATAGATAGATAGATAGATGGATGGATGTTGTGCCCAAGCATATAAGCATGTTTTAATAAGCACTCTTTCTTTTAACAATAATAGAAATCCAATTTAAGCCAAGCACATGGATATTTGGAGGGTGGGAGGGAAGACAACCTTACCAGCCTCATTTGCCACTAGCTGTAACCCTGTGGAAAATTCTGATCAATGGAGTGTTAGGAGAGAAGATGTAAATGACTTATAAGATACACCTTAAGGGAAAGTGCTAGCCACTTTTTCTCCCTTTCTTCTACCCTGCTTAGATCATGAATGTGATGAATGGAGGTAAAATGTAGATTAGGTGAATAAAAATTGCTCCTTAAGGGTGGCATTGTGGACATCTCAAAGTAGCCTGAGTCCCAGGCAACTGTTGTGCCCCGAACATTCTAGATCCTAACTTTACATGAGAAAAAAAGTGTCTATCTATTTAAACCACTGTTATTTTGGTCCTTTATTACATACAGCTCAACAAATTATAACAATTCTTATATCTTAATTATTTACTAATGCATAAACCAAAGCTAAGAACAGAAAGAAGGAAACAATTGAAATATTTTTTGAGGGACTTATGGGTTAAGTGTCTAGCCATAGACTTATGAAATTTCAGAGTTGAGAGGGACATGAACGGTAATCTAATCTATTCACAGAGGCAACCCTCAAATCTACTGTCCCAAATTACAAAATCCAGTCATGGGGTTATGCTAAATTAGATGTATCTAAAATAAAGTGTTAATTTTCATAGTTGTCAGAGCCACATCTATGTATTCAAGTATTCATCACTTGAGTCGAAAATTTACAGGGCCCTGATACTTGCCTAAAATGTACTGGGTCTATATGAAGTGATACAGGAAGGACAAACAGCTGAAGTCATTGCAGGAGTTCAATGGGAGATATTAATCAAAAGAAGATTGTCAAATGTGCACACAAATTTACCACTATGGACCAGGCACAGTGGCTCACACCTGTAATCCCAGCACTTTGGGAGGCTGAGGCAGGAGGATCAGTTGAATCCAGGAGGTCAAGACCAGTCTGGGCAACATAGCAAGACCCCATCTCTACAAAAAAAAAAAATTACCACTATGCTATACCTAAGATCCGTCATTATCTTCATTTAGTTAATCTAACCTGCAATACTTTGTCTCAAATCCTGGAGACTTGAGGAAGCATTTTCTCCCACACATCCTAATGACACATCTTCAATGACTTCTATCATGGGAAGTAGGATCACATCACATGAGACTCATCATGGTTTTTAAAATATGTGTTTTAGAAGAATTGCATTTGCATAGTTATGCAACTTTGGGAGTGAAGTCATTGTTGCTGTACAAAGTAAAATTGTGGTTTATTCTCGTGTTTCTGCTAACTGTTCAGAAGGAAAGCAAACAAATTAAAGGTGCTGACACATTGATAACACCTTCCTTAGCAGAAAGTTCAACACCATACTCCTAAGCATTGTTACTCAGCATCTGCCCAGAGGCCTGACAAAGTGTAATACCCAGACACTAGGTAGAGATCCCAAGAATGGTAAGACATGTTACTTCCATCTGTTCCTTAAGGGGTGGGGTTGGGTAAGAGGAAAACAAGTTGCCCCATGAACAACCAGGATTTTTCTATTTGACTCCTGAATTAAACCCACCCCTCACCTGTACCCAACCCCACGCCACCAAAGGAAGGCATCCCCCTCCATCCTCCTGAAAATACCCTAAGAATCTGATCAAAAATTGACAATTTAAAAGATGCTCTAAAGTCTGTTAAGAATTGAGTTTTCTTCATCTAACATAATTGCTTTCTCAAGCACTTTCTGTTTTTAAGCCATGATTAGGATGTTCTATTGAAATAGAAATACACTGTTGCAAAATGTGCTTTCGCAAACAAAAGAAGGACTGCCTGGGAAGTTTTGCATGATTGTATTCACCATTGCTTATGTACCCACAAACAATGTTGTTATGGACTATCAAATGTATTTTACTCCTGAACTACTTAAAATAATTTATAGAAGATACACTAAAACTTACAAGAAACACAAATATTTCATTGCATATCACTATATTAAGTGTATTTACCTTTAATGGTAAATATACTTACCACTGTACTCACCAATTAATGGTAAGTGTACTTACCATTGTTTTTGTATTTTACCCATACAATTACTTTTTGTATTTTACCAATACAATTTTACCAATTAATGATAAGTGTACTTACCATTGTTTTTGTATTTTAAGGAAAGTAATACTAACTCTTCAGAGAAATAAAATTTGCTCACTTAATAAATATTCTAAGCCTAACTATTTGGTTGAAGTTAAATATATTTTATAATTTTTTTCCTGGAAATATTTGGTCATTGTAAAAAATATATAAAATACAAGTAAGTATAAAGAGAAATAAAACTCACTTCACTCTAATCCCATAATACAAACAAAGTAAACGTTCTGGTATATTTTACAAAAATTTAATATACCCCTTTATTTTATATTTAAAATTATATCACAAGCATTTATCTGTTTTAAGACATTTTCTGTTGTTCATGATATGTCTGCATTCTCTTTTGCTCCATGGACTATATTTTGTTTGGTTTTAACTCAAGTTTCTTGAAAAAAGTCTACTGGTACTAATGGTTAATTTAAGGATTCTTCTAAGACAAGGGAATTTTAATATATCTTGGAACAAGGAAAGTGAAAACACAACATAATAAAGCTTATAGAATGCAGCAAAAGCAGTACTAAGAGGAAAGTTTCTAACAATAAAAACCTACATTAGGCCAGGCACGGTGGCTCATGCCTGTAATCTCAGCACTTGGGGAGGCCGAGGCAGGCAGCATCACCTGAGGCTGGGAGTTCGAGACCAGCCTGACCATCAAGGAGAAACCCCATCTCTACTGAAAATACAAAAAATTATCTGGGTGTGGTGGCACATGCCTGTAATCCCAGCTGCTTGGGAGGCTGAGGCAGAAGAATCACTTGAACCTGGGAGGTGGAGGTTGCGGTGAGCTGAGATTGTGCCATTGCACTCTAGCCTGGGCAACAAGAGCGAAACTCCGTCAAAAGAAAAGTGAAAGATATTGAGTAAACAAGCCAATTTCACACCTCAAGGAACAAGAAAAAGAACAAGCTGAGCCGAAAGTTAGCAGAGGAAAAGAAATTATAAAGAATAGGGCAGAAACAAATCAAACAGAAAATAGAAAAATAAACAAAACTAAGTGTTGTATTTTTTTAAGATAAACAAAATCAACAAACTCTTAACTATACTAAGAAAAAAAGAGAAAAGACAAATAAAATCAGGAATAAAAGAGAAGACATTACAGCAGAAGCCTCAGAATAAAAAGGATCAGAGGGAAAATTATAAAAAATTACATTCCAAGTTGGATAACCTAGAAGAAATGGATAAATTTCTAGAAACATATAAGACTGAATCATAAAGAGATTTGAAAATCTGAACAGACCTACTAAGGCTATTGAATCAATCATCTAAAACCTCCTAACAAAGAAAAGGCCAAGACCAAAAGCCTTCATGGTTAAATTCTGCCAAACATTTAAAGAAAAATTAATGTCAATCCATCTTAAGCTCTTCCAAAAATCAGAGGAGGAAACACTCCCAAAGTCATTTCATGAGGCCGGCATCACTGTGACACCAAAGGCAGAAACATAACACACTTAAAGAAAACTTCAGGCCAATATCCCAAATAAACACATATCCCCAATAAAATGGTTGCAAATCAGATTCAACAGCACATCAAAAGGATTACATACTATGACAAAGTGGGATTTATCCTTGGGATGCAAGGATGGTTGAATACACACAAATCTATCAATGTAATACACCACAGTAACAGAATGAAGGACCAAAAGCCACGTGATCACCTCAAATAGGTGTAGAAAAAGCATTTGACAAAGTTCAACATCCCAAACTCTCAGCAAAATAGTTATAGAAGAAAATTTCTTCAACACAATAAGAGCCATATTTAAAAAAAAAACCCTACAGCTAATATTATAATCAATGGGGAAAAAAATGACACCTTTTTCTCTAAGATCTCATACAAGGCAAGGATGTCCACTGTTGCCACTTCTATTCAATATAGCACTGGAAGTCCTGGCCAGAGCAATCAGACAAGAAAAAAAGATAAAAGGGCCAGGCACGGTGGCTCACGCCTGTAACCCCAGCACTTTAGGAGGCCAAGGCGGGGGGATCACGAGGTCAGGAGATTGAGACCATCCTGGCTAACCTGGTGAAACCCTGTCTCTACTAAAAATACAAAAAATTAGCCGGGAGTGGTGGCGGGTGCCTGTAGTCCCAGCTACTCAGGAAGCTGAGGCAGGAGAATGGCATGAACCCGTGAGGCGGAGCTTGCAGTGAGCCGAGATCGCACCACTATACTCCAGCCTGTGTGACAGAGCGAGACTCTGCCTCAAAAAAAAAAAAGAAAGAAAAAAAGATAAAAGGCATACAAATGGAAAAGGAAGAAGTAACATTATCTCAGCACATGATCTGATCATATATGTAGAAAACCCTAAAGACTCAAAAAAAAAAAAAAACCTGTTAGAACTACTAAACAATCAGCAAAATTTTAGGGTACAAAATCAACATAAAAATGGGTGGCATTTCTAATCACTAACAATGAACTGTTTGAAAAGGGAAATTAAGAAAACAATCCAATCACGATAGCATCAAAAATAATAAAATATTTAGGAATAAACTTAACCAAATAGATGACAGATTTCTACACTGAAAATTAGAAAACATTGATGAAGGAAATTAAAGAAGATAGATAAGTTGAAAGATATCCTATGTTTATGAATTGGAAGAATAAATGGTATTAAAATGCCCATACTACCCAAGTGATCTACAGATTCAATACAATCCTTATCAAAGTCCTAATGGCATTCTTTACAGAAGAAAAAAAAATACTAAAATTTACAAAGGACCACAGCCCCAAATGGCCAAAGCAATCAATAAACAGTGCTGGAAAAACTAGATCCCCACATGCAGAAAAATGAAATTAGGCCTTTATCTCATACCATATACAAAAATTAACTCAAAATATATTTTAGACTTAAAATATTGACTTAAATGTAAGACCTGAAATCCATAAAACTACTAGAAGAAAACACAAGGAAAAAGCTTCTAGACATTGGTT
Organism: Homo sapiens; assembly: GCF_000001405.40. Lineage (NCBI taxonomy): Eukaryota > Metazoa > Chordata > Mammalia > Primates > Hominidae > Homo > Homo sapiens. The sequence continues at coordinate 37,439,927 of NC_000013.11, read as the reverse complement.
TTGACAATCATTTTTTATAATACACAAAAAACACAGGAAAAAATGCAAAACTAGACAAGTGGGATTGCATCAAACTAAAAATCTCCTCTACAACAAAGGGAACCATCAACAGAATGAAAAAGCAACCTACAGAATTGGAGAAAATATTTGTAAACCATATCTCTAATAAGGGGTTAATATCCCTTAATATTTTTTAATATTTGTAAACCATATCTGTAATAAAGAGTTAATATATAAAGAACTCATACAACTCAATAGCAAAAAATAAATAATTTGATTAAAAAATGGGCACAGTACCTGAATAGACATTTCTCCAAAGAAGACATACGAATGACCAACAAGTACATGAAAAAATGCTCAACATCAATCATTAGGGAAATGCAAATTGGAACCAAAATGAGATATCACCTCACACCTATTAGAATAGTTATTATCGAAAAGACAAAAGATAACATGTTGGCGAGGATGTGGATGGAGAAAAGGGAACTCATACGCTGTTGGTGGAAATGCAAATTGGTACATTTGAAAAGCAGTATAGAGATTCCTCAGAAAATTAAACATATAACTACCATATCATTCAATAATCCTACTGCTGAGTATATATCCAGTATAATTAGTATCTCAAAGAGATATCTGCATTTCCATGTGGATTTCAGCCTATTCACACTAGCCAAAACATGAAAACAACCAAAATGCCTGTTGTCAGATAAATGCATAAAGACAATGTTATATACACAAACACACACTCATACACACACAGTGTAATATTATTCAGCCTTAAAAAAGGACATCTTGCCATTTGTAATAGCATGAATAAACCTGAAGAACATTATGTTAGGTGAAATAAGTCAGATACAAGAGACAAATACTGCGTCATTTCACTCATACGTGGAATCTCAAATAGTCAAACTCATAAGAGAGAGTAAAATGTGGTTTCCAGGGTTTGCACGTGACAGAAATGGGGACACATTGATCAAATGGCACAAAGTTTCAGTCATGAAATAATGGTGAATATAGCTAGCAGTACTCTATATTTGAAAGTTGCTAAGAAGGTAGATCTCAAGTGTTGTTACCATAAAAAGAAAGATTGTGCCACTGCACTCCAGCCCGGGCGAGAGAGTGAGACTCACTCTCAAAAAATAAAGAAAATGGTAACTTTGTGGCTTTGTGGGGTGATGGATATGCTAATTAGCTTGATTGTGGTGATCATTCCACAATGTATACATACAACAAAACATCAAGTTGTATGCTTTAAATAATACAATTTTTGTCAATTTACCTTGATAAAGCTTGATAAAATAATTTCATCATAGGGCTCTGTCAAAAGAAAGAATAAATGGGCATCATTTAAGTAACTCCCTTATATGTTAAAAAAAGAAAAGAAAAAAAAAAGAACATTTAGGTTCCCTCTGCCCCTTCCTATAACGGTAGCTTCATAATGTTGGCAAGGCTGACCTATGTAGCTTGGAATTCCCTTTCCTGTATGCTCCTGGACAAGGTACCATGGGCAGAATTGAAGGATGCAGTTTTAGTTGACACACATTGTCATTTATAAGCTGCCTTACTTCATTGGTGTGAGACAGTAGCTAAGCCTGAAATTGCTCTATCTTCATCTAGATCCTCCTTCAGCTTCTCCAACTCCTGGGCCAGACCAGGTGTGTATGTTTAGCTCTGTTGATGAAGAGCCCTGGTTTCTGCAAGACAACTACACTATCAAGTTCAGAGGCTCAAACATAACTGGTTTCAGTCCATCCTAGTGGCTCCAACTCATGCTTGTGGATTTCAGGCCATTGGGTGTTTCTTAACAGATTTATTGAAGTATATGTTACTTACCATAAAATCACTCATTATAAGGGTAAATTTCATTAACTTTTAGTAAATATATGAAATTGTGCAACCACCAAAATAATTCAGTTTTAGAATATTTCTATCACCCCCCCACAAAAAAAATTTCCTTAAGTTCATTTGCAGCAAATTGCTTTTCCAACCACCAGCCGCAGGCAGCCACTTATCTGTTTTACTGTCTCTGTAAATGCGACTTTTCTGGATTTTTCAAGTAAATGGCATCTTGCAAATACAGTAGTTTGTGTCTGACATCTCTCATCTAGTATAGTGGCTTTGAGGTTCATCCATGTTTTAGTATATATCAATATTTTGTTTTTTATTGTCTGCAAATGCTTTATATATTTTGCTTATATATTGATCAGTTGATAGACATTTGAAATGTTTCCAGTTTTTCTCTATTTTGATTAAGGCTGCTATGAGCATTTGTGTTCAAGTCTTTTAGTGAATATATGTTTTCATTTCTCTGCTTGGATAGATTCACCAGGAATTGGTTGCTGAATTCTATGGTAAGTTTTTATATAACCATTTATGAAACTGCCAACCTGATTTCCATAGAGGCTGTACCATTTTGCATTCCCTCAGTAATGTATAAGTGTTTCTGTTTCTCCACATCTAGTCAATATTTCTTATTGACTTTCTTTCTTTATTATAGCCATTCTAATAGGTGTGTATTGGTATTTCATTGTTTTTTGATTTGCATTTCTCTATTTATGATCATTGAGTACCTCTTCATATTTTTATTAGATATTTGTATGTCTTCTTTGATGGGATGCCTATTCAAGTCTTTTGCCCATTTTTAAAATTTGGTTATTTTCATAATGATTGAGTTGTAAGATTTCTTTATATATTTCAGATGCAAATTATTTATCAAATATATGATTTGAAAATGTTTTCTCTGTCTGTGACTCGAGTGTCTTTGGAAGCACAAAAGTTTTACATTTTTATAACATCTTTTTTCCTTCATGGTTTGTGCTTTTTGTTTCATCGCTAAGAACTCTGTGCCTAACCCAAAATCATCAAGATTTTCTCCTATGTGTTCTTCCAGAAGTTTTACTTTTATATTTAGCTGTATCATTCATTTCTAGTTAATTTTTGTTCATGGTGTGAGGTAAGGATCTAAGTTTATTTTTTTGCCTATAGATATAAAATGGTCCAAGAATCACTTCTTGAAATTTGTATTATTTCATTCATTGGATTGCCTTGGCACCTTTGTTCCAGCCCGTTCTGGCTCACTCTCACTTTACGACAATCTTTGCTTCCTGAATGCCTGTTGTAAGGACATCAAACTACAATATTAGACATGAAGACAAAAGTATTATAGAGCAGCTCTCACAACTGTATAAGATCAAACCCTTAATAGATATAGGTAGATGATTGTTAGGTAGATAGATAGATAGATAGATAGATAAGAGAGATAAGAATATTTCTTAGTGGTCTGCTTCTTCGAATCCTGACTGATAAACTAATCATAGTGTGCAATGCTTATGAATATGTCTGAGATTTTCAACTGCAGACTTTTGAGTTAAATATTCAGCCATCAAAGACTCACTATTTGTATTCAGAGTTATAAATATTCTTTAACTACTAATTAAGCATGACTCTAAATTCAACTGGCTTTACTGTTCATATCTAAGATCTTTAATTTGGCACTTTCCAATTCTTGGGATGTTAAATTTATTTTTTTTTTAGTATATGTGGGTGGTAAGTTGTTTTATGCCATCCATATCTGAGACTGTCTTTCTGTTGAATTTATGCATTAAAAAAATTCACTTGTGTGTTAAATCCTTGACATGAGGAATGTGTTTTGCTTCCATGGAAAAACTTCAGTAAAGATATATAATTATTGCCTCATTCTTTTTACAATATATTTACTGACTCTCCTCTTTCATGATCCAAATGTAGATAATATGAGAAAAGTTTATAACTTAACATCAACATCACTTAATCCTAAAGTAATTCTTCTTAAAATTCTCCCTCTTAACACCAAAATATCAGGGTAAATCCAGTGCTAGTCAGCATTAAGCATCATCTATGACTTTTATAGAAACGATGGTTAAAATACTGGCACAAATCATGGGAAAGAGCTCATGAGTTCATTTCTGTGTAATAAGCCATAAGTTGTCTACAGTCTGACTGAATCTTATTTGTAAACAAATTATATGAAACAATTCCAAAAGAACAAGATGTATTTTGTTCACTGGTAGAAGTGTCTGCATCAAAATTCCTGCTCGAGTTTAAAAACACATTATTATAGAGTTAAAATTTATTAAATTGATTTCTCAGTTTATCACTTCCTTTTCCTACATAATCCCCTGCAATTCTTTCTCTATGGAAAAAATTCTTTCAATAAATTTTATTTTATAATAGTTGATTTATGCAAAATATATATATATATATGTTGGCTATGAGGCATAATGAATAATTAAATGAATACTTGTGAGTCCAATCCTTCACCCCACTTAAGATCTGGGACATTGTATTGCCTGTGGGTTGTCCTTGTTTCCCACCCCCAAACCCCCACCACTCTGAATTTTGTGTCTGACATTCTATTTCCTTTTTTTTTATTACTCTTACTGCAGTAATTTTTATTTACAATGTAATTCATTAGTTTTACTTAATGAGTTTTCATAAATGTTTAATCACCACCACAATCACGATAAAAAAGATTTCCATCACTCCGAGAAGATGTCTCTTCATCTTTGTAGTCAGTTTCTTCTCCTGAACCTCTGGCTCCTGGCAAACACTAACCTGTTTTCTGTCATTCTTGTTTAGCCTTTTCTCGAATGTCATATAAATGGAACTTACAACATACAGTATAGCCTTTCATGTCCAATCTATTTCACTTACCGTAATGATCTTGAGATTCATCCCTGTTTGTGTGTGTACCATAGTACCTTTTTATTGCTGAGTAGCATTCCATTGTGTGGATATACCATAAATTGTTTGTCTGTTTACCAGTTGATGACGATTTGGGTTGTTTCCATTGTGGGCTATTATGAATAAAGTTGCTATGAGTATTGAATACAAGTCTTTGTACTGGATACGTTTTCATTACTCTTATGTTTTCATTTCTTATTCCTAGAGGTGGAATTCCTGGTTAATATGATAAGTATATGTTTAACTATATAAGAAAATGCTAACCTGTTTTCCAAAGTTGCTATGCCATTTAATCTATTACTTTTTAAAAAATATAACTCCATCGCATATGTATGTATCCCTAGGCAATATTTTTAGCTTTGTCTGTTTTAGAGCTTTATAAAATAGTATAACAATGTGGTCTTTTCTTACTTGTCTTTTCTTCACTTAATCTTACAGTTCTTACTGTCACCATCTTGTTACATATAGTCCTTAGTTCTGTCTCGTTCACTGCTGTATAATATTTGACTATGTAAATATGCCACAATTTGTTTTTTCATTCTATATGTGCCTATTAAATGTTTTTGAATTGTATTTGCCAATTCTATATCCTTGTGAAAATTTGTTTGTATAACCTATCAACATTGAGATATAGTATATTGAAATCCCCCGCTACAATAGATTTTTATTTTTCTAGATGTTTCTGTTAATTTTTAATTTATACACTTTGAAGATATTTTCTTAAGTGCACATGATTAGAATTGTTGCAGTTATGGCAAATTAAAATGTTTATCACTAAGTAGTATCGCTCTGTATATCTTGTCAGTCTTTTTAACCTTAAAGTTTTTTTTTTTTGACATTAATGTAATTATTCAATCTTCTTTTTTCCTGAAGAATCTTTTTCCAGTTTTTACATCAACTTTTTAATTTTTTTAGGTGTGTTTCCTGATAATAGCATATGACGGTAATTTTTACTTCATCTTACCTGATAATTGGCCATCTTTTAATTGCTCAATTTAGCCCATTTATGTATATTGTGATTAAGTTCTAGCATCTTCTTTCTTACTTTCTATTGTTCCTGCTATTTCTCTTCCTTTCTATCTTTCCTTTAGTATTTTAGGATTAACCGGATTTTTTTCTTTATTTTCTTCTTTTTCCATTTTTTCACTTCTTACAGATATATAATTTATTCTTCTTTATTTTTTAAAAGGGATGACCTTTGAAATTTTACCATGTATATTTATTATTTATTGATTTCTGCAGTTAGTATTTTAACCCAACTTGTGAGCAACATAAGCACGTTTGAACATGTTAAATCTTATTACAAGAGGGATTGAGGGCTCAAACATAGACAAAAACTGTCGAGTCCTGAAACACTCCTTCAAGGCATAGCGTATCTCAGTCTCTGTGAAATATTATGTAAATCTCCCCAAAAGTTGATCAGGCCCTTGTCCCTGTTCCACATAACAAATATAATTGTTTCTTTGTATGTATGTCACACTGAAGTGTGACTACCCTGAGAATAAAGAAAACATCACCTTTACTTTTTATTTGTAGTTCCTGACATAGAACTCAGCATATCATAGCATACATTTATTTTAGAAAATATTTCTTTTCAATTAACAATTTTATGTTCCTATGCACTCATGACTTTTTATTTTCTCATCTTTCAAAGTGATAACCAACTTCATCAAAAACTTTACTTGGCATGGCCAATGATAAAAGAGAAGGTCTGAATAAGCTCCAAATGACAATTCTTATATTTTCTGTGTGTCTCTCCACTTTTGACATGTACTAGTATTCTGATATTTGTTCCTAATTAATTCATCATTCAAACAGTCTAACTACAGTGACTTTAGTTTGAGAGAAGCAGGATTAGGCCTTGTAAGAACTATTCTATCAAATTAGCTCTGTGTCATAAGGAGTCCATGTGTTTCAGAAGCAAAGGAGTGGAAGATGATCTAAGTCTGGCTGAGCCAAATAAGCGGTGGTTATTCTTATGTTTATTCATATTATTTGGAAAGAAAACTGAAAAATATTATATGCTTTCTTAAAATACCACTTGCACTATTTTCTCAAAATTTTATGTAACTTTGGAATTAGCATGCTGTTTTCATGTCCAAAATTTTTCCAAACTCCCCTAGGGAAGGAATCATGGACTGCAGAACTCTGCACCCACCCAGACAGCCAGCATAAAAAGCAGTGGGCACTCAGTAGGTTCGTGATCTTTGTATCTATTATGAAATGAATCCATGAATTAGTGAACAAATGGAAATACAAGAGAATGAAGATATAGTTGTATCTTCCCTGTAATTTTTTACCTAGCCTTTTTTGGTAATTTTAGCCTTAAAAATATTATTTAAATTTTTAACTGAAATTATTTTGAAATATTTTATTTTTAGAAGAACTTTTTTGTTTGTTTGTTTCATTGGCTGTTTTTTTGTTTTTAGCTAAAATTGAAACTAGCCTACAAAAAAGTCTGTGTAACTAGCCAGGCTCAATGGTCACTCCTGTAATCCCATCACATTGGGAGGCGGAGGAGTGTGAATCGCTTGAGCCTAGGAGTTGGAGGCCAGCCTGGGCAAAATGGGGAAGGAAACCTTATCTCAACAAAAAATAAAAGCCTTTGCCAGACACAGTGGTGCACACCTATAGTCCCAGCTATTCAGGTGGCTGAGGCGAGAGGATTGCCTTACTCCTGGAGGTTGAGGCTGCAGTTTACTGTGATCGCACCACTGCACTCCAGTCTGGGTGACAAGACAGAGACCCTGTCTAAAAACAAACAAACAAAAAAAAGTGTATGGTATCATAAATTTAAAAATGTTCTTTTTTAGAGATAGAATGGACTATGCAACCACATTGTGAAGAAAACCCAGCAAGAATAGAGAAATGGAACAACTTGGAGAAAAGTGACAGATCAAAAGGTGGTAGAAGATCTTCAAGGTACATCTGCACGTCCAGATGCAGGCAAAATCAAATGTAAGCCATCTCAGACTATTTAGAGGGTATTTTGCTTTTAAGTGTATGCAGAAAATCGTCTCCACAAATATCCTTCCTAAATTCTAGGAATGGATTCCCAACATTAAATCAAAACTCATTATGATAAAAGCTCACAGTAATGGATGTAATAAATGTCTCATATAGATTGCTTCATTTGTTCCTCATGATCCTAAGACCTAAGAAGAAAAGAGAAAATTGAGGCCTACAGGAGCTAAGAAATCAGCAGAACTAGGATTTGACCCCCAGAAATCTGACTTCAGAGCTACCTGCATAATTACTACACTCCTGGTTTCCCCATACCATAATAAAGCCATGTTTTCATAGCCAATTGATAGTACAATTAAACAAAAACAGATCTTCCATCTCAAGAACTCTCAGTTTAATAGGTTTCACATATTTTAAGGTTAGCTTTTGGAGCTAGTTTCAATTTCAAAAAGTAGTGAAACAGGGAAAATACTGTAGTCTCTAATTTTTCCTTCTCTCTCCAACACCCACGCACAACACTCATAACACACCCCATTCCCTCTACACACTTACACCATTTTTTCAAGCTGTACCTAATTTATTATCACTCTAAGGCCAGCTCTTCATATGTTCTTCTGCCATGCAAATGGGAAGATAAAAATGCCTTTAGTACCTGAAATTTCCTTTTTCCAGGACCATCTACGAAGTAGAGGGAGCAAGTAAGTAGGTGAGACAGTTTAGTGACTAAGATTATAAGCTCCATAGTTTGAGTGCTCTAATTCGTGGCCTCTGATTGCTACTTGTGAAACATCACACAAGTTTTTATTAATATCGTCTGTCGAATGGACAATAAAACTATTTCCAATTGTTATGAGGATCTAATTACATAATCTCTATAAAGCTCTTAATGTTTTGTGTGGTATGTAGTAAGTAGTCAACTAATAATAGACATTAATATTAATTGTTGTCTGGAAAAACATCCAGAGTTATAAATTATGCCTAACTACATTTGTTGTTGTTATTGTTGTTGTTTTCAGCAGATTCATTATGCCAGCTATATAGAAAAATCATCTGTCATTCAAATGTTAACACATTTTTTGGGGGAGTCTTTTGCAATTCATCTCATTGGTACATAGTCATCACTAGAACTGAATGTGTGACAAGAACCATATTGAGTTTCTGTGTGATAGATGGAGGCATTTGATATTATTTAGATGTAAAAAACTGGTGTCTCTTTTCAACCACAGATAAGGCTTGAACACTGCTATTGGGAAATGTGCTGTATGGCTGCAGGCATTCCTCCAGCCCACCTTCATGAAGAGGTGGATAGCCCTTAATTAAGGTAAGAAAACAGGTCTGGAATTTTCACATCAAAATACCATCTCTGCCATTTGCACAACTAACATGAATCTCTAGTTTACCTGTCCTGGCTTTTTACTAGTGACTCCCATCTCAAATTACCCTACTCAGCTTTTAGTAATGACCAAATACCTGGTAACTATAGCAGCTATGTATGCCCCTAAAGTCTCCAAACTTGAGTCCTCCATTAAACCAGATATCCATAAAACCACAAAATTGGAACAGGCTATGCCTGACCTCACATTATGCCTTTCACTTTCACATAAGCTGCCTCCAATTGTTGCAAAAATATTATCAATGACATTATTAATTTTGTCATTAAGAAAACATCCACATGACAAATTTCTCTCTAATCTCAGGGCCAGAATAAAAATATAAATATAGTTGACAAACTGCTAACCTTCCCATTACTGGATAATGAAAGATTTATAACACTCTGCCTACTGGGTTGAAGCTCTGAGTTAAATTTTGAGTTCAGTTGCATTAGCTTTTCACTATCACCTTTTTTTAAATTATTTTACACAGCTTCATATTTCTTAAATAATTTTTATCTGATTTTCATAATACCCAATTCAAAAATGGTTCCTGCAATCTCTGTCTGTTGAAGCACTAAGCTCACTGCTGTCTGCATGTGGTCTTGGGTCTCATGGCGCCATTTAGCTTTTTTGGATCATCTTGCCTATTCTCATATCCATCCTTGCTCAACAGCTTATATTACTCATCTGTTTATAGCAAGCTCTGCTGAATCACTAAGGCAAAAGACTTATTCCCCGATGTAGTTTCCAACTCTGATCTCTGGTCTTCTGAGTGATCTCCTTTGCCTGTAGGTTACTGTCTCATTTTTCTTTGACTTTTTGCATCAAACATCCCTGAGGACTCATCTGTTTTTAGAGTCACCATTTCCTCAGCAAGCATGTTATCTTAAACAATTCAAACCCACTGCTCTACTGTGACTGCTCCTCTCAGATTGCTAATGACTACTCAGTTATCAAATACAGATGGTCCCCAACTTATGATGGTTCAACTTAGAGGTTTTCTACTTTATGATGGTGTGAAAGTGGTAAGCATTCTGTAGAAATTGCACTTTGAATACCCATACAACCATTCTTATTTTCACTTTCAGTACAGTATTCAAAATTACATGAGATATTCAATACCTTATTATAAAATAGGCCTTGTGTTAAATGAAATGATTTTGCCCAGTTGTAGGTTAATGTAAGTGTTCTGAACATGTTTAAGGTAAGCTCGGCTAAGCTATAATGTCTGGTAGATTAGGTGTATTAAACGCATTTTTTATTTATAATAGTTTCAACTTACAATGGATTTATTGGAATATAACCCCGTCGTAAGTCAAGCAGCATCTGTAAAATGGTTAATTCTCGAACTTTATCTTTCTTCCATAGCACTTGACACAGGTGTTCACCCTGTCTTCGTAAGTACACTGTCCTCACTTCCTTCTTAGGGACTCCTCACTTGCTCAATCATTGCTCTGTCTCCTGCATTAGCTCCTCTTCTCTCATTGTTAAAGTTGGAGTCTTCCAACAATTTGTTCTTGAACCCTTCCCCATCATCACTTCCTCCTTTGTTGACCTCATCCAGACTCTAGACTTTAAATGCCATCTATATTCTGATGACTATTGCCTTGACAGAGCCATTGGTCATAAACTGTCTCCACCCTCTTATAACTGAGGCCAATTTTGTATTTAAATTTCCCCAGCCCTAAAATTGTTAGAATAATACCTGTGTCCTCTCTCTCACACCATACATCCGATCTCAGAAAATACTATTGGCTCAAACTTCAGAACACATCCAAACCCCAATGCCCCTCACAAACTCCACTTAAGTTTAGGCCACCATCACATCTCACTTTGATGACCCAATAGCTCCTCACAAGTTCTCTGCTTCTATTATTTTCCTACTACAATCTATTCTTTTATGACATAAGTAATGTAATGTCATACTTCTCAAAAGTCTCCAGAGGTTCCCAATGACACTAGAGAAATGGCCAAATTCCTCCCAGTGGTGTAGCATTACCTCTCTAAATTCATCCCCTTGCTCACTTCACATTCGCCTCTGCTATTTCTCCAGCACACATGGCATGTGGCCACCTCAGGGACTTTGCACAGGCTCTTTCCTTTTACTGGAATGCGTTAATCCTTATTTATTTCATGAGGGTTATTTTGACCACTCAATTTAAAAATTACAGCCAACTCTCCACACTTCTATTCCCTCTGCATTTCCCTTTTTCTTTTCTCTCATCTACATTTTTAAAACATCCATATAATTTAACACTTTCTAACATACTGCATAATTTAACTGATTACATTTGTTGTCTATTGTCTGTCTTGCCTGGCATATACTAAAGACTAAATATTGGTTCAATGAACATGGCAAGAATATCTATATTGATAAGCATTATTAAAGATGACAGAATGTGCTCTAGCTGATCTGAGGAAAATTATGAGACAGTTCCCTTTATCTTTAGTACAACTGAAGTAAAAGAATGACTTTTTGATAATTCCCAGAAGCACGTGGTAAAATTTTCCAGCTAAAAGGGCAGCTGCTGTCAACACTTTGCTCCGTAATTAGAAAGTAGCCAGATAAGGAAGCTGTTGTCACTATTCAAGCCCTACAAGAAAAACAAATCCACTTGCCAGCATTCTTGACAGAATATCCCATCTCTTCACTCATGATCACCATTCTGAAAATGTCCAGTTGGCTAAAACCTAGGTCATAAGCACACCATAGCTGAAAAGCAATCTGATAAATGTAGCTTTTATCTTTCACTTATATTTGTAGGTACCACAGACCCTAAGTGGGTGTGTAATAAGCCAATTGCATTGCTAGTCACAGCCCACCTTGTGGCTACTCAACGTCAGTACATACATGAACTCCCACACTTAACATTTCCAGGTAACAATAGCTAAACACCCCACTTAAAAGAGTTCATCAAGCATTGCATCTACTGCTGGATGATTGATTAGCTCTCCTCAAACTTAGGCATGCTCCTCTCTCACTAGGCTGTAACTTTTGGGATAAATGATTAAGATCACCACTCTACCATGCTTATAGAAAATTCTGGTGAAAAGAGAGGGAAAGGAGGGAAACTATCACATTTTTATTACAGCTTCGGTCTCATTATTTGTTATTGGTCTGTTCAGATTCTGGATTTCTTCATGATTACATCTTGGCAGGTTCTATGTGTCTAGGAATTTATTCATTTCTTCTAGGTTTTCCAATTTATTGGCACCCATGATTGCTCATAGTAGCCTCTAGCAATCCTTTCAATTTATGTGGTATCAGTTGTAATGTCTCCTTTTTCATTTCTGATTTTATTTGGGTCTTCTCTCTTTCTTAATCTAGCGAAAGCCTTGTCAATTTTGTTTATCTTTTTTAAGAAACCAACTTTGTGTTTCATTAATCGTTTCTAATGTTTTCTTTTCAGTTTCATTTATTTCTGCTCTGATTTCTATTTCTTTTTTCTTCTACTAATTTGGGGTTTGGTTTGCTCTTGCTTTTCTAGTTTTTTTTTCTCCTAATTTTACCTTTATTTCGTTTTTATTTTTCACTTTTCTTTTTTTATTTCAATAGTTTTTGGGGGAACAGGTGGTGTTTGATTACATGGATAAGTTCTTTAGTAGTGATTACTGAGATATTGGTGCCCCCATCACCTGAGCAGTGTACATTGCACCCAGTGTGTAGTCTTTTATCCCTTAACCCCCTCCCACTCTTCCCTCCAAGTCCCCAAGTCCATTGTATCATTCTTATACCTTTGTCTCCTCATAGCTTAGCTCCCACTTATAAGAACATACAATGTTTGCTTTTCCATTCCTGAGTTACTTCACTTAGAATAATGGTCTCCAACTCCATCCAGATTACTGCGAATGGCATTGTTTTGTTACTTTTTATAGCTGAGTAGTATTCCATGATATATATACCACATTATTTTATTCACTCATTGACTGATGGGCATTTGGGCTAATTCCATATTTCTGCAATTGCGAACTGTGCTTCAATAAACATGCATGTGCAAGCGTCTTTTTCATAGAATGACTTATTTTCCTCTGGGTAGATATCCAGTAGTGGGATTGCTGGATCAAATGGTAGATCTACTTTAATTCTTTAAAGAATCTCCATACTGTTTTCTTTAAGGTGCATTGTTAGGTTATTTATGAAGTTTTTCTACTTTTTTGATGTAGTTGCTTATCACTATAAACTTTACTCTGAGAACTGCTTTTGCTGTATCCCATAAGTTTTGGTATGTTGTGTTTCCATTATATTTGTTTCAATAAATTTTTCAACTTCCTTCTTAATTTCTCATTAATTTACTGGTCATTCAGGAGCATGTTGTTTAATTTACATGTGTTTGTATAGTTTCCAAAATTGCTCTGTCATTGATTTCTAGTTTTATTCCATTGTAGTCAGAGAAAATGCTTGATATAATTTATTGTTTTAATGTTTAAGATTTGTTTTATGGCCTAATATATATTCTACCCTTGAGAATGATCCATATGCTGAGGAAAAGAATGTGTATTCTGTAGCTGTTGGATAAAATGTTCTATAAATAGTATTAGGTCCATTTGGTCAATAGTGTAGATTAAGACTGAGGTTTCTTTGTTGATTCTGTTTGGATGATCTGACCAATGCTGAAAGTGGAGTGTTGAAGTCTCAAGCTATTATTTTATTGGGGTCTATCACTCTCTTTACCACTAATAATATTTTCTTTATATATGTTGGTGCTCCAGCATTAGGTGCATATACTTTTACAATGATTACATCATCTTGTTGAACTGACTCTTTTATCATCATGTAATAACATTGTCTCTTTTTATAGTTTTTGTCTTGAAATCTATTTTTTCCAGTATAAGTATAGCTACTCCTACTCTCTTTTGGATTCCATTTGCATGGACTATCTTTTCCCATCCCTTTATTTTTAATGTTTATGTGTGTGTTTATAGGTGAAGCATATTTTTTGTAGTCCACAGATCACTGGGTCTTATATTTTTATCCCTTGAGCTATTCTATGTCTTTTGAATAGAGAGTTTAGTTTAGTTGCATTCAATGTTATTATTGATAAGCAAGGACTTATTCCTGCCATTTTGTTTTCTTGTTGTTTTATAGTCTTGCCTTCCTTCTTTCCTTCTTTTCTGTCTTCCTTTTAGTGAAGGTGATTTTCTCTGGTGGTATTCTTTAATTTCTTGATTTTTATTTTTGACTTGAGGTTACCATGAGGCTTGCAAATAATATCTTCTAAGCCATTATTTTAAACTATGACAACTTAACACTGATTGCATAAACAAACAAACAAGCAAAGAGAAAACTAGTAAAAATTTGACACCTTAGCTTCCTCTCTTGGCTTTTTGATGTTTTGTTGTTTCTAATTTTGTATTATTATACTGTCCATGTAATAAAAAGTTGTAATTATTATTTTAATAGGTTTATCTTTTAGTCTTTCTACTCAAGATATGAGTCATTTACATGCCACAATTACAGTATTATGATATTCTGTGGATTCTTTGTGTGCTTACTATTACTAGAGAGTTTTGTACCTTCAGATGATTTCTTATTGCTCATTAATGTCCTTTTCTTTAGATTGAAGAACTCCCTTTAGAATTTCTTGTAGGACAGGTCTGGTGTTCATAAAATCCCTCCGCTTTTGTTTATCTGAGAAAGTCTTTATTTCTCCTTCATGCTTGAAGTATATTTTCACTGGATATACTGTTGTAGGGTGAAAAGCTTTTTCCCTTCAGCACTGTAAATATGTCATGCAACTCTCTCCTGGCCTGTAAGGTTTCCACTGAAAAGACTGCTGACAGACGTATTAGAAGTCCATTGCATGTTATTTATTTCATTTCTCTTGCTGCTTTTATTTTTTTATTTTTTTCACAACCAAAAACAAGGCTTTATTAACTTTCGCCTTTAAGAAGCTGCAGTGTTGAGCCCTGTTTTTTTTTAATTATTATTATACTTTAAGTTTTAGGATACATGTGCACAACATGCAGGTTTGTTACATATGTATACATGCTCTCGCTGCTTTTAGGATTCTTTCTTTATCCTTGACCTTTGAAAATGTAAGTGTTAAATGTCTTCAGGTAGTCTTATTTGGATTAAATCTGCTTGGTGTTTTATAACCTTCTTGTACTAGATATTGATATTTTTCTCTAGGTTTGGGAAGTTCTCTCTTGTTATCCCTTTGAATGAACTTTCTATCCCATCTCTCTCACTACTTTCTCTTTAAGGCCAATAACTCTTAGATTTGCCCTTTTGAGGCTATTTTCTAGATCTCATAGGTGTGCTACATTCTTTTTTTATTCTTTTTTCTTATATTTCCTCTGGCTGTATATTTTCAAATAGTCTGTCTTCAAGCTCACTAATTCTTTCTTCTGCTTAATGAATTATGCTCTTAAGAGACTCTGATGCATTCTTCCATATGTCAATTGCATTTTTCAACTTCAGAATTTTTGCTTTACTCTTTTTAATTATTCCCATATCTTTGTAATATTTATCTCATAGGATTACGAATCACTTTTCTGTGTTATCTTGAATTTCATTGAGTTTCCTCAAAATAGTTATTTTCAATTCTCTGTCTGAAAGGTCGCATATCTCTGTCTCTGCATGATTGATCCTTTGGTACTTATTTAGTTCATTTGGTGAAATCATATTCTTCTGGATGGTCTTGATGCTCATGGATGTTTGTCAGTGTCTGGGCATTGAAGTGTTAGCTATTTACTATAGTCTCCATAGTCTAGGCTTGTTTGTACCCATCCTTCTTGGAAAGACTTTCCAGGTATTTGAAGGGACTTGGGTGTTGTGATCTAAGTTTTTGGTCACTGCAGCGGATTCTGCATTAGGAGACACCACAAGCCCGGTAATGCCGTGGCTCTTGCAGACTCATAGAGGTACTGCCTTGGTAGACTTGGACAAGATCTGAAAGAATTATCTGGATTACCAGAAAGAGACTCTTGTTCTCTTCCCTTACTTTCTCCCAAACATATGGAGTCACTCTCTATGCTGAGCTGCCTGAGCTAGGAGAAGGGTGACACAAGAACCCCTGTGGCTGCCACCACTGGGATGGCACTGCGTTAACATACAGCCAGCACAGTACTAGGTCTTGCCCAAGGCCCGCAGTAACCACTGCCTAGCTACAACCTCTGTTCACTCAAGGCCTTAGGGCTCTACAGTCAGGAAGTGGTGAAGCAAGCAAGGCTTGTGTCCTTCCCTTCAGGGAGACAAGTTTCCCCTGGTCCTGGGTGGATCCAGAGACTCCATCCAGAAGCCAGGGCCTAGAGTTGCAACCTTACGAATCTACCTGGTGCTCTAGTCTCATGCAGCAGAACTGGCACCCAAGCCACGAGACAAAGTCCTTCCCACTCTTCCCTCCTCTTTCCACAGGTAGAAGTGTCTCTCCCCGTGGCCACCACTGCTCCAGACCTATGGAAAGTTCTGCCTGGCTATTGCTAATGTTCATTCAAGGCCCAAAGTCGCTTCAGTCAGCTTGTGGTGAATGCTTCCAGGTCTGGGACTCTCTATTCAGGTTAGTGGGCTCCCCTCTGGCCCAGGGCAGGTTCAGAAATGCCCTCCAAGAGCCAAGTCCTAGAATCAGGAACCCCATGAGCCCACTTGGTATCCTATTGTGGTCGAGTTGGTAACTATGCTTCAAGATGAAGTTAAGTTCCCTTTACTCTTCCCTCTCTTTTTCTTAAGAAGGAGTCTAGAAGAAGGAGTATCTTCCCATGGTCACATCTGAGAATGTGCTAGGTCACACCTGAAGCCAGCATGTCTCTGAGTCTCACCCAAGTCCCATAGTGAGCTCTGTGAGGGCACCACTACTGACTATTCAGAGACCAAGATCTCTTTAGTGAGCAGGTGGTGAACCCTTCCAGGACTGGGTCCTTCTCTTCAAGGCTATGTGTTCCCTTCTGTCCTAGGGTGTGTCTAGAAATTATTCTGGGTGCCAGGGCCTGGAATGGAGGCACTCTGCCTGGTGCCCTATCCTATTGTGGCTGAGCTGGTATTTGAAGTTGCAAGACAAAGTCCTCTCTACTCTTCTCTCTCGTCTCCTTAAGCTGAAGGAAGGAGCCTCTCCTGGAGCTGCAGGTTGCATTGCCTGGGGTTTGGGGAGAGGTGATGCAAGTGCTCCTTTGGCTGCCCTGGCTGGTGTCTCACTGGACTGTGTGCCCTCCTAGTCCACTGGCTCTGAGCCCAGGACAGCACCAAGACTTGCCTAAGAATTGGAGTCCTTGTGGCGTAGACTGCCTTTCAAGTTTATTTAGGACCCCAGAGCCCTTTAGCCCACAATGACAAGGCTTGCTGGAACTCAGATTCCAACAGCTAGGATGGGTGATCCCCCTCTGGCTAGGGATGATCTAAATGCTCCTCTGCAGGCACTGGCTGTGTTCGTCCAGGGTTGCTTTCTGCTGTGACAGGGCAGCAGAGGGTTCGAATGCAAAGTCTCCCAATCACTATGCTTTTCCTCCTCCAAGTGCACAGATTCTCTCTCTGCACAATGTCACTATTGCTGGGGTCTTGAGGAGGGATGGCATCAGCAATTCAAGATTGTCTTTCCTACCCTCTTCAGTGTCCCTTTCAGCAATATGTAGTTAAAACCAGGTAATATGGTTGTTCATCTGATTTTTGGTACTTATGAAGGTATTTTTGTGTGTATGGATAGTTGTTCAACTTGCTGTTCCTGCACGGATGACAACTGGTGGAGACTTCTATTTGGCCATCTTGCTCCTCTTAGTTTTATTTGCCTTGTTTACATGCACCAAGTGAAGGAGGAAATTAGGTCACGTATTTTTGACTCTTCAGTCTATTGTAACATTACATGTTTCAGAGAATGTTCATATTTAGTCTTTATTTTTACTCTAAAGGTGTTTTTCTATCCTACACTTTTATTTTTAAGAGACATTTGAGTGCAAGATAACTCTGAGTGTGGTGGGCTAAATAATGTTCCCCGAAACATGTTTATGATTTAATCCCCAGCACCTGTGAATATACTACATTACATCATAACAGGAATTTTGCAGGTGTGATTTCATTAAAGATCAAGAGACGGGGAGATTATCCTGGATTTTCTGGGTGAGCACAATGTGTTCCCAGTGCATTCACACGGGTCTTTATAAAAGGGAGTCAGAAGGATATTTTACCACAAAGAGCAATGTCACAATGAAGCAGTGAGAGACAAATCTGGAAAGCCCACAGCTAGCTTTGAAGATGGACACAGGCCATGAACCAAAGAATTCAGGCTACTTCTAGATGCTGGAAAAAAGGTAAGGAAATAGATTTTCCCTCTGAAGCCTAGAAGAAAATAAAGCCCCACTGATATCTAGATTTTGGACTTCTGATTTCCTGAACTATAAGATAATAAATTTGTTTTGTTTAAAATCACTAAGTTTGTGTTTTTTTTTATAGCAGCAACAGAAACTAATACATTGAGTCCCTAGAAGGAGATAATGGTACAGCATTGCACCTTCCAAAGGACAATGCCCTCTCATACCAGCTCCAGCAAACACTCTTGCCCTCCAGTTTTCTTATCCCTCAGAGAGCTCAATAATCTTTGATTACATTGTTTTATCTACAGTCTTTATTTACTTTCAAATTATTTTTTATTTTTTATATACACTTATTTTTATTGTTCCCTTGTTTTCTTTAGTCTTGGGTTGAGATGGAATGTCTCATCTCTTTTCATATTTAAATAAATGTTTTTTTCATCTTACTTTTTTTTCACTTAGCTTCAGAGTTTTTGAAAACAAGTCAAAATCAGTAAGTGTAAGTTAAGCATACTCATAAGTCTAGCCATTTGGACATTTCATATTTTCAAATTCTACTTTAATAAGTAATACTTACTCTACTGGCTTTATTTTTAAGAGACTAGCTTGAAGTAAGCTGTATGTAGTTGCCAGGTTCATATATATAGACAATTGCAAAGAAAGATAGGTAGCTAGCCCCCACAGGAGCATAAGAAGTGACTCCACCTATTTTGTATTTAGCTACAATAGTACTATATTTTCAAAATTAATTTAAATTACAGAATTTTTCCCCAACTTCACCTATACCTACAAACTCAGCTTACAACTTCTCTTAGCTCTCTTCTTTCCATCCTTGCCTTCACGTGTAGCATAAGGGTAGTCCTTCCTTTTTACAAGGTGAATAAACCTCATTTCCAAGAGCCATATTCATATTACTGTTGTTTCTCTCTTGAAAAGGTCAGGTCTATTAGTTTAGAAAGCAGTTTTTCACCATTATCTCCTTTACTTAGTTGAGAAAATTTAAAGGGGACTTCTCTCACACAATGCTCAAAGTGTCACTTTACAAGTGTTTCTTAATTATAGAGCTTTTCATGATTTTTTCACCTTCACCTCTAAATTAGCCATCATATTAAAGTGAAACCATCCAACTATTTCCTGTAAGTGAAATGCATACCTTGAGTATTTACAATGTGCTAGCCATTTGGCTTGTTGTCTTTATATTATTATTTATTTTTAGTAATTAATATACACAAAATGATTATGTCAGTCACGGGCCTAAGCACTTTACAAATATTAGCATCATTTTGAAGTTTCTTTCTATTTATTTATCTCTAATTGGCAAATAATAATTGTGTATATTTATGGGGTAAAATGAATTTTTTTTTGAGACAGAGTCTCGCTCTGTCACCCAGGCTGGAGTACAGTGGTGGATCTCGGCTGACAACCTCCGCCTCCCAGGTTCAAGTGATTCTCCTGCCTCAGCCTCCTCTCCTGGATTACAGGTGCCCACCACCATGCCCAGCTAATTTTTTGAATTTTTAGTAGAGACAGGGTTTCACCCTGTTGGCCAGGCTGGTCTTGAACTCCTGACCTCAGGTGATCCACCTGCCCTGGCCTCCCAAAGTGCTGGGATTACAGGCGTGAGCCACCATGCCCGGCCAAAATGTGATATTTTGATCTATGTATACATTGCAGAAAAATCAAACTGATATATCCATCACCTCCCCAACTTATTTTTTTGTGGTGAGAACATTAAAAATCTATTACTTTGGCAATTTTGACATGTACATTATTATCTGTGGTCACCATACAGTACAATAGATAATTCCTCCAGTCTAACTGAAACTTTGTACCCTTTGATCAACATCTCCCCTTTCCGCATCCTTCATCTTCCCCACAGCCTCTGGTAACCACCTCTCTACTCTGTTTCTATGAGATCAACTTTTTAAGATTCCAAACATAAGTGAGATCATGCAGTGTTTGTCTTTCTGTACCTAGCTTATTTCACTTAACATACTGTCCTCCAGTTCTATCCATGTTTCACAAATGACAAAATTTTTAAACATTTTTAATTCATATAACAAAACCATGAGGTAGATACTATCATTACACATGGTTTTACAAATGCAGAATGTGAGAATATATATAAAGTAGCCAAAAGACACAACCTAGTGAGTGGTAGACCTGAGAATGTAACACAGGCAGTCTGTCCCCAAGTCCCTCCTCTTAATCATCACACTCTTCTATTTTGCCAGTAACCAGCATCTCTTACTCTATGGATGCATTACACTATGTAACTCCTAAAACGAGTATAGGAAGCAATGGGTCATTCTGGACATTCAGGGATAAGTGCCTAGAACTCAGGGAGCACTAGCTTAAACACAGGAACTATTGGAATGATGTTTTAGTTCACAGAACTGAACCAGAACAGGGACTCCATCACTGTCATTTCTCTCTCTCTCTCTCTCTCTCTTTCTCTCTCTCTCTCTCTTTGTGTGGGACTTCATCCAGATTATAAAGAATATAGACACAGAATTTCTCTAGAATCACATCATTTGGAAACTTGTCCGGAAGACATTTTCCTAGCAGCCCTGGCTCTACAAAGAACAAGTCACAGAGAGTTGTACAACTGGGCCCCTGTTTGGGACTCCAGGGCATCCCTGCAGCCAGAATGACAGAATCTCATATTTGGGTAGCCTGAGACAAAAGCCCACTCTTGAAGCCTGGGGGTAAGATGGTGTTTGGCTCCACCCACTAAAACTACGTTAGTGGAGTAAGAGTAGTTTGCTCAAAAGAGGGTGTGGGTTGGAAAGGAGACAGAGCCTGTTCTGATTTGGCTAGACTAAATTATTTTTTTATTCTATGAATGAGTGTTATTATTGCCCCACTTACCAGTAAGCTCTAGTAAAACTCTGGTGAGCTTTGAGAACGTAACTTGTTCAAGGTTATGCAACAAGGAAGGGACTGAATCAGGATTTAAACTGAAAACAATATCCAGCTTTTGACCATTAGTCAGTTTACAGTAAGAATTCCTCTGTGTAGTATAGTTGTACTTAGGATCACACTGACTGGGGAAGAAATGCATTGTTTCCTGTGCCATTCAAAAGAAGGAAGGGAAACTAAACATGCTGATAATCTACTTTGAGCCACTCACCTTGCTACATGCTTTAACATATGATCTTATCTGTTTCTCAGCTCAATTTTAAGAAGGAGGTATATTTATTTTATTTTTTAAACTAATTGTCAGTTAAGTAACAGGCTCAAGCCCATACGTCCAATTAGACGTAGAACCATAATTCCTACTAAGATTTATTAGAAACCCATGCCCTCGAAGTAGCTCAAGAGGTGCCCATGCTTTTAACTATTATGAACCAGTAAAATATTAAAAGAAAAACAGTTAACTAACTTACATGAAGTATAAATTTCTATTTTGTCATCTTAGGACATATAAAAACAAACAAAAACAGGAAAGAAGCAGAAAGAAAAAAGGAGAAGGAGATAGAGAAGAAAAAGGAGAAGGAGAAGGATGAGAAAAGGGAGGAGGAAAAGAAGAAAATACACACAAGCACCCTCCCATGTACTGTAACCTTCATTTCATAAAAGGAATCATATATCGTACCAAACACTAAAAAGATCAGAATCTCTGTATAAAGGACAGTTCTTAACATTAACTAGTTTCTCTGTATAAGACGTTTTTTTTTCACTCAGGACCTTGAAGCATTTAAGAGTTTCTTCTGGCACCAAATGCAGGAGGCACTCTGCTGTTCATTCATACCCTGCACACCAAACAAGTAGCGTTGCCTGGAAGTCACTCTCCAGAATGCAGGCATCTAGGATGAAAGCACTCTACCACATCTTCCACAGACGTTCCTCCTCCTTGTCAAGGTGAAAATGAATCATTTACAATATTTCCTTACTGTTTTTTAAGTTCAATTCAATCTTCAGCTATTTCCCCTGTTTCTAGTTTAAATTGTTACTTCCATCAAAATAAAATGCCTTCTCAGATATCTTATTGGTATGCACCAAAAAAAAAAAAATGAAAAAAAGGATTTGTGCCACATACCTCAAATAAATACATCTTGGTCATTGATTTGGGAGAATAAAGTATTCTCTTTTGTTTTAATGAAATAAACTAATCTCATCCACGTTGACTGGCGAGTGCTTTCTATGTGCCTTGAAAAATACAATGTGTAGATTCGTCTGTTTTTGTGCTAAAGAGTTTATATTAACTCCTATATTGTTATATTACAGGAAAAAACGGTTTTTATTACTAATCATAGGGTTTACAGGAAGGGATATATGTGTTATGAATCTCCACACATGTTGAAAATAGATACATAAAGTGTTTACTTTGAAGACAGGATGCACTGATTCACTTAGCCGGAAGTTGTAATTGGCATGGTTCGTTGTATGTATTAGTTTGTGAAACATAGTGCATAGTATTGGCTAAGACCATTACCCTGTCTGAAAACTAATCTTGATGGACAAGTATTTAGCAATTCTGTGTAGCTTAAACATATTGAGTTTTCAGAGCAGATAATTCCCATAGAATTCTCTCACTTCTAGGGATTTGAAAATATTCACCAAGTGATTTTTGTTTTTCTTTAATAAAAGTGTGTGTGTATGTACATACACACACACACACATATATACACACACACACACATCTGTCTAACTGTGATAGATTACACTGTTCTCTAAAGTTCTGGATGGAACAATTCTCTGCAGTCAAGTCCTAACACTTAACAAGCAAAAAGTTAATACTTGAAGCTGTTTCCCATTTATGTAGTTAAATAAATGGGCTTACTTGGTCCAGAAGGAAGCTAAACAGTATTCAAGGGTTATAAATGTGATTCTTGCCTCATTTAGTTTGAAAAACCACCTAATAAAAATTGAGAAAATAATAATCTCAGATTTATTTCCACATGCCAAGTTGAATACAGAAACTCATAGAAAACTACTTCTAGAAATAAGTATTACCAACGACGTAATTAAATAAAACATTATTTATTATTATTTAGGTTTAGAATGAAGCTCATAACTGGGCCCTTAACTCATACACAACTCAAGTCATTTGTTACACTGGGATTTCTTTTTTTTACAAGTGTCATTGTCAAAGATAACAAGGGGAATTAAGATCCAAATATGTTATTTTAAATAATTTGTTCTTTTTTTCTGTTGGCAAACATTAACATATGTTGAAAGATACTCTTGAGAAAGCTTCCAAAGGAATGTTTACACAGACATTAAAATCATAAAGGCTGTCATTATGGGCAATTTATTGAACTCTGTGACATGAAGATGTGTAAAAGACAGCATACCAGAGACATTTGATTCCACAGTTTTTTTTAAATCTAGCTTCAGGAAGAAAAAATGGAGTACATTTATTTTATTGAATATATGTCCTGGCTCTTCTTGTAAAATATTAAAAGAGTAATTCAGTTTTTACATGTTGGAAATCAGAAAGTATTATTACTCCCATCATACTTCAATATCCCTTTCCTACCCTTGTCCCATCCCCATTCTTCAGAGTAACAGAAACCACCAGCAAAAAGCCTTCCTGGAAAGGTGAGATGTTCCTTAATATATATTCAGTCTATGACCTCTTAGCAAGGTCTTTAATCATTGGTGGAACCTCCAGTAGCATGCTGCCATATTTTATGTTTCTCAAAGTGCCAGAGCACTTAAAAGGTAAGCAAAAGTAGAACTAGAATCCCTAAACTTTTTGTGTTCTATTTCATACAGATAAAATAATGCTTCTGGGCTGGGTATAGTGCTGTGAGCCTGTAGTCAACTCAGGAAGCTGAAGTGGGAGGATTACTTGAGCTCAAGAGTTTGAGTCTAGCCTGGGAAACATAGCAAGACCTCATCTCTAAAACAATTTTAAAACATAATAATGCTTTTATTGTTGCATGCTAAAAATTAAATGATCACCAAGCTCTACTGTTTCTTGGTATAACTAGTGTAGATAGTGACAGTAAAAGCAATTACAACATTCTGCCCTGCTCTAAAGCTATGAAGTTTGGGCAAGTTATATTAAATGCTCTGTACACTCTTATGTTTAACACTCTTCACATATGCCTCATGCAGCTCCAAGGATGTTTTTGAAATGAGTGATAGTGTCACTTTCATACCTAACATGACAGATTTCCCCAATCTCAGGTATCCTCAAACTAGTGAATATTTGTCTACTCATTATCACCCCATTGTCCTTTGTTGTTTTCCTACCTGACATCACAGAAGGCAGTGTGTAGAGGACTCAGAAAGGGTTATGTATGATTCAGCCCACCCTAGCTGTAGTCCTGGCTGTCATTAACTATCATAAGGACCTGCTGTTGTAGGTTGGGTTACCTGGGAAGTAAACTCTGAGACAGATATTTGTGTGCTAGGGGAGGTTTGCCACATTTAGCAAACAAAAATTCAGGATGCCTGGTTAAATTTGAATTTCAGATAAACAATAAATTTTTTTAGTATATTTTATGTCCCATGTCATATTTGGGACATGCTTCTACTAAAAATTATTTGTTTGAAATTCTAATTTAATTGTGTTTTACGTGGCACTCTACTTGGAAGTACTTTCAGGATCAACTACCATGGGAAGTGAAGAAACACTCCACAGAAAAGGAAGTTGCAATTACAGCAAAGGTCTCACTAGGCCCATTCTAGAGGGAGCTCTGGAGATACATGACCCTTCAGAATCATCCCCCATTTGGGAAGGGAGGAGCCAGGCCTTTGGACCCCTTCACAACAGTCATTGAATGCAGTTTGTCCCAGAAGGGGGCATGACCTCATCCAGGTGGCTCTTTTCAGCCAAGGAAACTCTCCGCCAGAATCAGCTGAGAGCAGTTGTCCTATTCAGGGGAAGGAGGGAACCTAACTGGCACATCGCAGCCTTCACTACAGTTACCCAGTCTCATCCACTCACTAAAAAAAAGAAAAAAAAAGAAAGTAGATTCGATGATGGAATGTCTGGACACGAAGCTTCAAAGGGAAGGATTCTGTGAAACTGGTTTTCCATTGTAGCAGTCATTCTTTAAAATGCTTTAGGCCAGGCATGGTGACTCATGCCTGTAATCCCAGCACTTTGGGAGGCTGAGGCGGGTGGATCACTTGAGGTCAGGAGTTCGAGACCATCCTGGCCAACATAGTGAAACCCCATCTCTACTAAAAATACAAAAAATTAACCGGGCTTGGTGGCAAGCACCTATAATTCCAGCTACTCGGGAGGCTGAGGCAGGAGAATCACTTGAACCTGGGAGGCAGAGGTTGCAGTAAGGCAGAGGTTGCAGTGAGCTAAGATTGTGCTATTGCACTCCAGCCTGGGCAACAAGAGCAAAACTCCGTCTCAATAATAATAATAATAATAATAATAAAATGCTTTGCATCATAGACCCCTTGAAACTTAGTCCCCTTCCCAGAATAATGTTTTCAAATTAAAAAATAAAATACATAAGATTAAAATGAGAAGCATTTATGATAAAGCTATCAATATTTTTAACAATTACATTTGTGATACAATAAAATACAGTCTCCTTTATTAATACATTAAATAAAGGGATCTAGCAGGTCTAATAAATACCATAATTTCAAAGCACTGATGAATATAAATCATTTTTCAAGCTAGCTTCAACAGCAGTGATATTAAATGAAATCTGTGTTTTATACCAGTAACCAGTCACAGATGCTAAATTATGGTTAGAGACAAATAAAAATAAAGATATTTTTTCCCATCCAAGATTCTAAACCTCAAGTTGATATAGAAACAATTTACCAAAGATAAAATCCTTGGTGGAAATGGGAAGCGAAAATAAAAAGAAAATCACAGTGGTCAAGAAATTCTAATGAGAATTTCCAATAAAAGAAGTATAAAGAACAGTTCGTAAGAATAACATTGATATCACAATGTAATCAGACAACTACTAAAAGATTGTTTGTATCCTGTGGTAGAAATAGAATCAGAGCATGGTTTTCCACGTCTGCCAGAGGTGTATTCTGGTCATCAGTTTCTTGATCTGTAAAACGGAGATAATCTAGCCTGCCTACCTAATTGTATGATTAGGATTAGAAAAGTGAAATTAATCACTAGTAACTTAAAAATATTATTGTACAACAAACATATGATAACATTTTCTGCCCTTTGCAAATATAAAGATGTCACTTTTCACCCTCAAAGTGATCACAACTTAAAGGAACTCAAATAGACATCAACAAACAATGGGGTGAATGTCCTATACCGGAGATAAGAACAGGGCAATGGATACTGCCTGGGCAAAACAGGGCTGACGCTACCGCACAAACAGGATGGTACTATTGTTTTAAAGAATAAAGATTTGCCAGTTAAAGAATGAGGAATTGAGCTGGAGAGTGAAGAGGAAGGATATTCCAGTCAGACATTAGAAATATTTGCCCCAGTAATTGTCTATCAATCCCATCTGGTTTGTTCTTTCTAGATTATATGATTACATTTTTTCTCCCTGAAGAAAAAATAAGAACTCAAAAGTAGTTTTTAACTGACATATAGATACAATCCAGTTAACTTTCTCAAGTGCAAAGACAATATTTATGATAGCCAAATTCTGAGTGAGAAATAAAACAATTAGAAACTAATAATAAGGTATTATTTTGGGACGGTATCTACATACTGTTCTTTAGGAAGAAAAACATACAATATGACTATATGTAAATACTTTAATGCAGTAAAGGTATTAGGAAGAAAACCCATTATAGCAGCTTTTATTGCGTAAATGTAAAATGTTGAAAATCACTTTAGTAAAACAAATAAAATTTCTATAGCAACAACTATTATGTATACTGACATAAAACCTTATGAATTCTGGTGGAAAAGTCTTTTTTTCTTTCCAACACATTTTTTCTTTCAAACACAAATCATCATTAGGCACATAGGAATTCATATGAACTAAAGTTATACATATTTTCCATATTATCTGGGATCTCCATGGGGTTTTAAATTCACCAGGTCAAATGCAAAGTTCAGATATGTTTAGTGCTGTTTTCTCAGAGGCAATGCATCTATAAATTTATCATCATATTTGTATCACTTAGTTGACATAACCATTTAAATTGCACAATTTTCTAATAATTATTCATATGCCTCATCATTGCTCATGAATGTTAATCATGTAATGTCTATTTCTAGGTAATGTAATCAGAGAAATGAATTCTATCTCTTTCAAAGAAGTCCAGATGCTCTCAAGGCTGCTAAAATTCCAGGACAACTCCCAGTCCTTCTGTGATGTGAACTCTGTGGCATTTGACTTGTTGCTGATCATTGCTCTTTTTTTTTGAAATATTCTACCTTTGGCTCACACAACAGCACTCTATTCTGAGTTTTCCCCAACTTCTCACATTCTTTCTTCCCAGCCTCATTTGTGGATTCTTGGCCGTCTTCTGCAGGTTTCTTAGATCCCAGTGTTGCTGAAGTTTCTATCTTCAGTCCTCAGTCTTCTTAACATCTTACTTTCTACAATCTTCTGCTCCTTTTTTTTTTTTTTTTTTTTTTTTTTTTGAGTCAGGGCCTTGCTCTGTTGCCCAGGCTGGAGTGGTGTGCAGTGATAAGATCATAGTTCACTGCACCGTCAAACTGGGCTCAAGCAATTCTTCCACCTCAGCTTCCCAAGTAGCTGGGATTACTTGGGTGCCACCATAACAGGGTAATTTTTAAACTTTTGGTAGAGATGAAGGTCTCTATGTTTCCCAGGTTGGTCTCCAACACCTGCCCTCAAGTGACCCTCTTGTCTCGCTGGGATTACAGGTGTGAACCACCATACCTGGCTACTTTGCCTACTCTTCTAAGAGGATTAATTCACTCCAAAAGCCTCACCACCTTGTTCCTATGAAAACCACTTTACCCTAAGCTGAAACTCTCATCCTTCTCACCTCATCAGCTCTTTCCCTTTATTTTCTCTGCCAAGGATAATGACAACAATAATTTTTAGACACCCAAACCAAAAGTCTTGGAGTTACTTTGACTCTTCATTTTTTACCCACCCACCTGCCAAACTCCAACTGACCACCAAGCTCTATACCCTGCATCTCCTTCCCCCTAGTCTTCAGCACTACTTTTCTTCATTATGACAACAGCACCTCTACCTCCATCGTTGCTCCTTTCAACTCATTCTCCACACTGCAGCCAGAGTGAACCTCCTAAAACATAAAGGGAAGCATGTCCCTCCCCTGCTTACTGTCCTTAAAGATAATATCCCAACATCTTAGCATAATATGCAAGTTCCTTCACAAACTATCTTCTGCTGCTTCTTCAACCTTACCTATTATTTTGTATTCTTAATTATTATGGGTATTTACGAGATGTGTATATTTATGGGGTCTGTGTGATTTTTTTTTTTTTTTTTGAGACAGAGTCTCACTCTGTTGTCCAGGCTGGTGTGCAATGGCGTGATCTCGGCTCACTGTAACCTCCACCAACCAGGTGCAAGCGATTTTCCTGCCTCAGCCTCCCAAGTAGCTGGAATTACAGATGCCCACCACTATGCCTGGCTAGTTTGTTTTGTATTTTTAGTAGAGACGGGGTTTCACATGATGACCAGGCTGGTTTCGAACTCCTGACCTCAAGTGATCCGCCCACCTTGGCCTCCAAAAGTGCTAGGATTACAGGGGTGAGCCACCAAGCCTGACACATGTGATGTTTTGATACAGACATACGATGTGTTAAAATCAGATCAGGATAATTGGAGTATCCATCACCTCAAGCATTTATCCTTTCTTTCTGTTATGAACACACTGATCCCATTTTTTTAGTTATTTTAAAATATACAATAAATGATTATTGATTGTAGTCACCCTGTTGTGTTATCTAATACAACATATTATTTGTTTTATCTAACTATATCTGTGAACCCATTAACCTCTTGTAGGGAGAGGTTTGGGGAACTGATAAAAGAAAAGATATGCCAAGAAGCAATAGCACACACAAGCTTTACTGGGTGATGGCTGGATGGGTGTGCATGTGGGTGAAGTCCCTAACAGTAGCAGTCTGTCCCAATGAATGGCACAGATGTCCCAACACGGAGGCGGTAGAGGGCAAAGAAGCCTCTGGGGGCGAGGCAGTCTGGACCAGGGGCTTAGGTGTCTGCCGATATCCACTTGGCAGCACTGTGGGGAGTCTCTGGATCCGTCCCAAGGGCAGAAGCAGCGTAGTTCTAAGTAGCTAAAAATCTGCTTGTTTGTGCTATTTTTGAAATAACTGAATATGGAGGAAATTTGAGTTTGGCACTTGGTGGGCTTTTGTGCTAACAGTTCTCAGCCTCTGGGGAAGAAATTAACAACTTGGGGTCAATACACAGAGGCCATCTTTGCCTCATTTATAAAATACTCACACCTCTTCCTGACAGAAAATCTTCTTGATTTGCTTACTCAAACTATTTGACTTTTTCCAAATGAGTAATTCACTTTTATACGTCTGCACTGTTGCCCAAAACACTCTTAGGGAACTTACTATTCAGTAGAGGAGGAAAAAAAGGTTGAATAACAGAGTTGGGGGCCAGTATTAGAAGAAATAAACTCAATTCATGCTTATGTACCCAAAGTGTATAATAAAAACCTTCAACCAACCAGAAAGATTAATGTATTAAACATATTCTGAGTCAACAGGATACCACTAAAGACAGCTCTCCAGGTTAGCACCCAGACAAATATGGATTAGACACTTCATGCAAGATCAATGAGTGCCTAGAGCTTGTGGCATGTGTTATTTAATTCTCATATGAGTCATAGGAGCTGGCTATTAGAAGCTTTCTTTTGACAGATGAGGAAATTGGGGCTCAGGGTAGCAAAGTAACTTGCCAAAAGTCACAAACTTAGAAATTGGAAGTGTTGAACTTCACACCCAAATCTATTAGCAAAGCTTTGCTTTCTACCAATACACACTGATCATCAAACACCTATAATTCATTCAACAGGACTTTTTTCCACCCATTTATTGCCTTTCGTCAATGAGATTTTCTTGTCCACATCTGCCAAATTCTTAGAAATTCCAGGTATGCTATGAATGTTCATTTCTACAGACCCTCCCTCAATTGCTAGAGCACAAGTACAAGGTGTTCTAGAATCTCAGAAATGTGGAGCAGGGAAAAAAGGGAGAGAGTAGAGAGTGGAGTTTTCAAGAATAGCTGTTTGGGAAAATTTGCATTAGATATGGTTTGCAAATCATTAATATCAGTAGAATTTAATCCGGCCTAGAAGGTATTAGAGGTTTAGGAGGCAAGCCCTAATGAAGGCAGCAGGGAGGGCCTTGGTTCCAAGCAATTAGTAAGTTTATGAAGGACTCTGGTCCAACAACAATAGTGCTATAAGGCAGTGCTCAGAAGTTAGGCAGGATTTCAAGCCCCTGATGAGCAATAAGCCACCTATTCCCAGATAGGACAATAATGCAGGAACAAGGAGAAATGCTAAGGAACTAAAGAGATGCCCAGGGTCCATTCCTGGAACTCTGAATTCTAGATCCGGGCTCCATTACAAGGTTGGACTGATTTGGAAATTCAGCTAAAGCTGAGTTTGAAGGTGGAGAGCATTGGTGACTGTATTTGGGGTCACTGAGAAGACGAAGGCAACAGGTAAACCTAAGCCTTACAATAACAATGGAATCTGCCTGTTTTCTTTTTAAGTCCAAGCCAGACAAATGAACATCTATTGGCAACATAGACACAGACACAAATAATCATTAATGCATTGCCACATAAATGTTCCCAGTTTAAATCCATACTTGTGGACATTGGGACAATACATAATTTTCTCTCTTCAGAATTCAGAGGCATGTAGATCGATTAATAGAAAGATAACTTTCAGATGATTTCAGAAGTTTCAAGACTAAAGGATAAATTTTCCAAAAATATTGTCACAACATGGTAGTTATTCAATGTTTGAGTAATTGTTGTTTGCCAATGGAAAGCTCATATCTTGAGAAATTTGTGTACAAACAAGTAGAAGAATTAGTTTCTTCATTCATCTGGAATGTGGGATACTGGTGAAATACTGCAGAATATGAAACAATTCGCTCCACAGAGATGCTTTCCATGTTCATTTTCTTGCAAAGCGTCTCTAAAAACAGCAACCTTTTTTTTCTAGGATACAAAATGATAAATTTATTCTACTTTGGATGTTTACCATTCAAATATATATAATCTAATTTCATTTGATATAAGTATTCTGTAATCACTGATAAGGAATGTCTAACGTATTAACTCTGTATTTAGCAGCTACTAATTTCTTTGATATGTTTCATAACTTCCCTTGATTCTAAATAAGATTCTTTTTAAAGATATAATCATATTTCCAGGTTTTGTATTTTCTCAGTAATAGGTCTAATATTTTGTTCCTATAAATTTACTAATATGTTTTGTCGTCACACCTCAGCAATTAAGTGAGTATCCTCATAAATGAAGCTTAGATTTTAGACTATAAAATTTAACCAATATTACACAGCAGGATTTGACACAAACTTTGGTTTGGTCTAAGTTACAGCAGTGTTGTTTTGTTTAAAAATGCCTTCATGAGATAAAACTCACATGCCATATAAATCACAAATTTAAAATATACAATTCAGCAGTTTTAACATTTTTCAATATATGTGCAACCATCCCCCCACAGTTATTTTTAAAACATTTCATCACTTCACAAAGAAACTCCATAGCCCTTAGATACCAATCTGCTGTCCCACCACTACCCACCATCCCTAAGCAATCACTAATCTACCTTCGACCTCTATAGAGTTGCCTATTCTGCACATTTCTTTCTTTTTTAAAAAAATTATACTTTAAGTTCTGGGATACATGTGCAGAACGTGCAGGTTTGTTACATAGGTATACACTTATCTTGGTGGTTTGCTGCACCCATCAACCCGTCATCTACATTAGGTATTTCTCCTAATGCTATCCCTCCCCTAGCCCTCCCATCCCCTGACAGGCCCCTGTGTGTGACGTTCCCCTCCCTGTGTCCCTGCGTTCTCATCGTTCAACTCCCACTTACAAGTGAGAGCATGCGGTGTTGCATTTTCTGTTCCCGTGTTAGTTTGCAAAACAGCAAGCTTTTAAGAGAGACTGTTATAAAAAATGATGGCTTTCCCTGAAAGTTGAGGGATAAGGGGGCTGGTTTGGTCTCCCACCTGGAGTACAAAAGAAAGGCATTGTGTTAGCCAATTGTCCTGGGGCATTAGAGCAACAAACGACAGCTAGGTTAGAATGTCCTGTACATTCGGGGCTGTGTGAGTTTCTCTAGAGTTGGATGGGAACGCCACAGAGAGAAGCTGGACTGAGTCATCCTGAGTGGGCCTCTGCTAAAGAGGAAGGCCTAGGGGTATGAGAGGATCAAGCAGGAATAATCAGATCCATCACTAGGAATCCAAGGGCCTTGGAGGAAGATTGTAAGCAACTAACAACAGGAAGCATCTACCATGTCAAAGGAACTGAAAGGGGAGTCCTCAAAAGAATCACAAGAGTCCCTAAAAACAGCAACAAAATATCGTTTTGAGTCAGCACCTTCCAGAGGACATCAACACCAGATACACCTCACCTAGTAAGACCTTTCTACACCTTAGGTCTCCTGCCCCTCCTGCTCTGAACCTGGAAGAGTCACGTGCCCAGCAGAATAATAGAGAATGAGTAGAGCTGAAGAAGATGGACAGACAGAAAAGACACTGACTATAGTGACTCCCTTACTGCAGGGGGTCTGAGCCTTCCAAACCTGAAATATACCTGAACTGGGGGAAGAGATAAATTTGAAACTGCACACAATGCGAGATAATGTGATTACGGAATTTTTTTTTTCTTTCGAGACAGAGTCTCGCTCTGTCACCCAGGCTGGAGTGCAGTGGCACAATCTCGGCTCACTGTAACCTCCGCCTCCTGGGTTCAAGCAATTCTCCTGCCTCAGCCTCCTGAGTGGTTGGGATTACAGGCATGTGCCACCATGCCCGGCTAATTTTTGTATTTTTAGTAGAGACAGGGTTTCACCATGTTGGTCAGGCTGGTCTTGAACTCCTGAACTTGTGATCCGCCCACCTCACCTTCCCAAAGTGCTGGGATTACAGGCGTGAGCCACTATGCCTGGCCCAAAGTAGACATTTTATTGTTTAAGAGTAACCAGAAATATCATGTCACATGGCCAAGATGCAGGTGCTATTTTATGGAGCTTAATGAAGTGTGGTGAGAAATAACAGATCTTCTTGTGCCTAGCCACCAACTTGTTCAATAAACTGACAGCATTAAGGATCACAGACACTCTTTGTCCTATGAAATCAGGAGATTTAGCTGACAGAAGGTCATCACTTTAGCAAACTACAAATGAGGATAAACAGAATCTGCCTTGTCATTTCCTGTAGGTGTATGTTGCTTTCTAGTTATTTCCCTTGTGTTTGCACTAAGCATTTAGTAATGTCTTATTACAATGTTCCAGCCTGGTACTACCTGGTAGTGTCTAGTTAGTCAGAGCCTTAAAGGAGTAGGAACTCACGTCCACTAGGTCAGTGATGGCATTAATAGCCTCCAGGAGATGCATCACAGTGGAATAAGAATAGGAACTATGAGGTCCCACTGCCCCACTATAGATGCATAGCTCTTTCCTTTGTTACAAAACTGGAAATATGATACTGATTATTATGTTAGGGAGCCAGGAAAATTCTCAAAGATATTATTAAAACACATGAAAGGATACATCTTATAGCTGGTCAGTTGTTATGGATAAATGTTTGTAGCTCTCAAAATCTATATGTTGAAATCCTAATGTCCAAGATGATGATAGTAGGATGTGGGGCCTTTGGGAGGTAATTAAATCATAAGAGTAGCGCCCTCATGAATAAGATTAGTGCCCTTATAAGAGAGGCCCAAGAGAGCTGCCTTTTTTTCTTTCCGCCGTGTGAAGACATGAGACATCAGCAGTCTGCAAAGAGGAAGAGGGCCTCGCTCAGCCTCCAGACCTGTTCTTAGAATCGTCTGTTCTATAATTCTTTGTTATAGCAGCCCAAAGTGACTACAACATTGGTTATATTAGAGTAATTCAAGAGTCATCTTTACTTAGGAGCAAAAATATTTGATGTGTTAAATAAAGAAAGTATACATCCGTTGTTCTGACACCAGGCAAATTAAAACATGGGAAAGTGCTGAGGATCAAGTGTTCCAGGAACTGGAGGTTGCTGCGGAGATCCCAGCCCTCACTCCACATCATCATGAACAGCAGGATTTTAGATTTACTTTTGTCCCATGTTGCGACCATTTTGCACAATAGTTACACCTGCCAATGTAACTACTAAAGAGTGACTGTGAGGCACACACTAAGGCAAAAGCAAATGAATTATCAGAATGGAGCCATAGATCAGCCAGGCATTGATGCATCCAGTAGTCATACTCCTTTTCTTCTAAAGTCTGTGTGTTTTCTGGATTACCCCTTACACTCCTAAAACTGGTCTCCCACTTCTGAAACCACAGTCTTTACAGACTAAAGTCAATGACTTAATTGCCAGAGCTAAGGGCCTTTTCAGTTTTCTTTGCATGTTCTTGTTTTCACATTATAATTAATCATTTTGTGTCTATTTGTTAAATGCCTGCCTTACCACAGGAAAATAGGTGGTTTCATAAGGACATATCACTCTAGCTCATTACTCTATAGACAGCACCAAACACAATATATGCTGCTTAAAAACTAAGCAGATGTGGCCAGGCATGGTGGCTCATGCCTGTAATTCCAGCACTTTGGGAGGATAAGGTGGGCAGATCACCTGAGGTCAGGAGTTCAAGACCAGCCTGGCCAACATGGTTAAAACCTCGTCTCTGCTCAAAATACAAAAATTAGCTGGGTGTGGTGATGGGTACCTTTAATCCCAGTTAATTGGGATGCTGAGACAGGAGACTTGCTTGAACCCAGGAGGCAGAGGTTGTAGTGAGCCAAAATAGCACCACTGCACTCCAGCCTGAATGACAGAGCAAGACTTCATCTAAAAAAAACTAAAAAGATGCTTGAAAACTAAATTATTAAATAAATAAAAGGTATTTAGGAGCTACCTTGTAAAAAATTTTAGTGCCAAACTTGGATATATACTTTATTAGGAAGTGGGAAAACATTGAAGATTTCTTAGCTTGTGTCTCTTAAGTTTGACAAATGCTAGGATAGTTGTTCTGGTTGAGTGGTACAGAATCATCTGGATGGGAGAAAGTCCAGAGATCTATTCCCTACCAACAGAGCCCACAGCAGCAGACATGTGGGCCCCAGTAGCACACAAGTGAATGTCAATATGTACTCAAATAAATCAGAAACTAGCTTGACCATTTGTGTTTGTTTTGTGTATTTATGTGTGTACTATGCTGCTACCCCACTCCCTGAAGCGACTGGTTAGCTGCTGGAATTGATTAAAATCACAGATAGTTAGAAATACATAGCCTGAAGCTGAAATCAGATGGAAGTGGTTTCTGACCTATCCAGTAGGACGTATTGCTGAGGAAGTCTTAACTGGACTTTAGCTTGGTAAATGTCTAAAAAGGGCCAGAGCAACTGTCCAGTTTCTCTTTCCAGTAATTTTATAATCCTTCAAGTGAAAAGTTGCTAATGTTTCACTCTCTGGACTGG
Organism: Homo sapiens; assembly: GCF_000001405.40. Classification (NCBI taxonomy): domain Eukaryota; kingdom Metazoa; phylum Chordata; class Mammalia; order Primates; family Hominidae; genus Homo; species Homo sapiens. The sequence continues at coordinate 37,404,063 of NC_000013.11, read as the reverse complement.
AATGTATGGCAGCCTCTCCAAGCCAGGAAAAAAAATGGTCTGGCTGGCAAGACTCTGACCTCAAGCTTGGCTATCCCTCACGAAACAACCTCAGTTACACAAGAAAAAGATCACGCTGTGGGTCCATCTCAATCAGACTATGGCATACTTTTATACCACAAATAAACATTATCATCATTGTTTCATGGGATCTCCTGCTCCGTTTCTGTAACCCCGTAACTTTTAGAAACTCACATGTAGTCAATCCAGTGGATTTACTGAAGCTTACCTCATCTCACGAGTCATGAAACCATATTTTATAAACTATATGGAAAAGTGCAGTTGACTTATTTTCAGTCATTCCTGACCAATATAACTCAATGAACTGTTCTATTTTTCCCCTAAATTTTATTTCAATAAAGTTGGTTAGCCAAGGACTCCAAATTCAGCATTCTATATCTGAAATACCAAATGAAGTATATTCTATATTCTAATACTTGAAAGTACTAGGATTATTTTTTAAGAACTAACCTCCTCTCAAAGTCTTAAAATAAGAATTTTCAAAATATGATTTCCACACAAGTTATTAGGACAACATCTATTATATAACCAAAGCAAACATTTAGAGTCAAATATCAGATAACCCTAACCACTCAATATTTATGAGTATTCTTTAAAGATAACTAGGTTAATAACAAGAGATAGGAATTATAGGTGAAAATATATATTAAAAGCTAGTCGTTAATATTACACTGGTCTTGGTGCTTTGGTGTACACTATATGGGCATACCTTGGAGATACTGCAGATATTCTGAACCACCAGGATAAAGCAAATATCAAAATAAACCACAAATTTTTTGGTGACCCAGTACACACAAAAGTTATGTTAACATCATACTGTAGTCTATTAAGTGTGCAATAGCATTATATCTAAACAATGTATATACCTTAATTAAAAATACTTTGTTGGTACAAATATCATTTATTCTTACTCATATGTAGGAGCTAAAAATGTTGCTTTCATGGAGGTAGAGAGTAAAATAATGGTTACCAGAGGCTGGGAAGATAGAAGGGGACTAAAGAGAGTTGGTTAATGGATGCAGACATACAGTCAGATGGAAGAATAAAGTCTAGTGTTTGATAATACAGTAGGGTGACTATAATTTAGTTAACAATAATTTATTGTATATATCAATATACAATATCTAGAAGATTTGAAATGCTCCCAACACAAAGAAATGATCAATGTTCAAGGTGATGGGTATCTAATTGTCCTGATTCAATCATTACACATTGTATATATGTACCAAAATATCACATGAAACCCATAAATATGTATAATTATGTAACAATAAATTACTATGTCAAAAAATATTTTTTAAATTTTGTTTTATAATTTTTAAAAAGAACCTATTGATATGTGTAGGAAAGATGAAGTCCAAGGGGATATATAGACCACCCACAGCATCACTACTCAATAAATATTGTTGACTGGAAAAAATATTTTTTGCTAAAAATTGCTAATGATCATCTGAGCCTTCAGTGGCTTACCCTGTTTTTGTTGGTGGAGTGTCTTATCTCAGTCTTGATAGCTATTGACTGATCAAAGTAGTGGTTGCTGAAGGCTGTGGTGGTTATGACAATTTCCTAAAATAAGACAACAATGAAGTTTGCTGTATCAATTGACTCTTCCTTTCATGAAATATTTCTCTGTAGCAAGCATTTGATAGCATTTTACCCACAGTAGAACTTCTTTCAAAATTGGAGTCAGTCTTCTCTAAACCTTCCACAGCTTTATCAACTAAATTTATGTAATAGCCTAAATTTTTTATTGTCATTTCAACAGTGTTCATAACATTTTTACCAGGGGGTAGATTCCATCTCCAAAAAACATTTTCTTTGATCATCCATAAGAAGCAACTCCTCATCCATTCAAGTTTTATCATCCATAAAATTGCAGCAATGCAGTCACATCTTCAGGCTCCACTTCTGATTCTCTTGATACTTCCCCCAGACATACAATTACTTCCTTCACTGAAGTCTTGAACCCCTCAAAGTCATCTATAAAGGTTGGAATCAACTTTCTCCACATTCCTGTTAACATTATTATTTTGACCTTCTCCCATGAATCATGGATGTTCTTAATAACATCTAGAATGATAAATTCTTTCCAGATGTTTTCAACTTAGTTTGCCCAGATCCATCAAAGGAATCACTATCTCTGACAGCTAGTCTTACAAAATATGTTCCTCAAATAATAAGATTTGAAAGTCAAAATTAGTCCTTGATCCATGGCTTACAGAATGAGTGTTGTGTTGGCAGGCAGAAAAACAACATTAATCTCCTTGTACATCTCCATCAGAGCTCTTGGGTGACCAGGTGCATTGTCAATGAGCAATAATATTTTTAAAGGAATCTTTTTTGCTGAACAGTAGGTCTCAATAGCAGGCTTAAAATATTCAGTAAACCATAAAATAATCAGATATACTGTCATCCAGGCTTTGTTACTCCAGGCAGAGTAGTTTAGCAAAATTCTTAAGAGTTCTAGGATTTTCAGAATAAACAATGAGCATCGGCTTCCACTTATAGTCACTGATTGCATTTGTCTCTAACAAGAGAGTCAGCCTGTCCTTTGAAACTTGGCATTGATTTCTCCTCTCTAGCTACCAAAGTCCTAGATGGCATCTTCTTCCAATATACGGCTGTTTGTCTACATTAAAAATCTATGGTTTAGCATAGCCACCTTCATCAATGATCTTAGCTAGATTTTCTAGATAATTTGTTGCAGCGTCTACATCAGCATTTGCAATTTCACCTTGCATTTTTATGTTGGTTTATATTATATAGATAGTTTAGTTTCCTTTAACCCTATGAACTAATTTCTGCTACCTTCAAACCTTTCTCTCTATTTTCTATTTTTTTCAAACTTTTATTTTACATTCAGGGGTACATGTGTAAGTTTGTTATATAGGTAAACTGCATGTCATGGGGTTTAGTGTACAGATTATTTCATCATCCAGGTAATAAGCATAGTGCCTGATGGGTAGTTTTTTGATCCTCTCTCTCCTCCCACCCTCCACTCTCAAGTAGGCCCTAGTGTCTGTTGTTCCCTTCTTTGTGTCCATACATACTCAGTGTTTAGCTCCCACTTATAAGTGAGAACATGTAGTATATGGTTTTCTGTTCCTCTGTTAGTTTACTTAGGATAATGGTCTCCAGCTCCACCCATGTTGCTGCAAAAGACATGATCTCATTCTCTTTAATGACTGCATAATATTCCATAGTGTATATGTACCAGATTTTCTTTATCCAGTCTACTATTGATGAGCATTTAGTTTGATTTCTGCTTTTGCTATTGTGCATAGTGTTCCAAAAAACATACACGTAGCAGAATGATTTATATTCCTTGGGATATATGCCCAGTGATGGAATTGCTGAGTCAAATGATAATTCCAAGTTATTTGAGGAATCGCCACATTGCTTTCCACAGTAGCTATACTAATTTAAGTTTCGACTAGCAGTGTATAAGCATTCCCTTTTCTCAGCAATCTCACTAGCATCTGTTATTTTTTGACTTTTTAATAATAGCCATTTTGACCAGTGTGAGATGGTATTTCATTATGTTTTCGATTTGCATGTCTCTAATAACTAGTTGAGCATAATAACAAAATATTGAGCATTTTTGTATGCATGTTGGCCACATGTATGCCTTCTTTTCAAAAGCGTCTGCTCATGACCTTTGCTCATTTATTAATAGGCCTGATTGTTTTTTGCATATAAATTTAAGATACTCATAGATTCTGGATATTCAACCTTTGTCAGTTGAATAGTTTGCAGATACATTACCCCATTCTGTAGGCTGTTTGTTTACTCTGTCAATATTTTTCTTTTGCTGTGAAGTAGCTATTTAATTAGGTCCCATTTGTCAACTTTTGTTCTTGCAGCAATTGCTTTTGGTGTCTTCCTCATGAAATCTTTGCCAGGTCCTATGTCCATAATAGTTTTTCCTAGGTTATTTCTGGGATTTTTATAGTTTTAGGTTTTACATTTAAGTTTTTAATCCATCTTGAGTTGATTTTTGTATATGATGTAAGGAAGGGATCTACTTTCAATATTCTGCATATGACTAGCCATATCCCAGCGCCATTTATTGAATAGGGAACCTTTTCCCCATTGCTTGTTTTTGTCCACTGTGTCAAAGATCAGATCGATGTAGATGTGTGATGTTATTTCTGGGATCTCTATTCTGTTCTACCAGTCTATCTGTCTATTTTTGTACCAGTACCATGCTGTTTTGATAACTGTAGCCTTGTAGTAAAATTTGAAGTTGGGTAATGCGATGCCTCCAGCTTTGTTCTTTTTGCTTAGGACTGCCTTGACTATTTGGGCTCTTTTTAGTTCCATATGAATTTCAAAACAGTTTTTTTCTAATTCTGTGATGAATGTTATTAGTAGTTTGATAAGAACAGCACTGAATCTATAAATTGCTTTGGGTAGTATGTCCATTTTAACAATATTGATTCTTCCTATTCCCCATGAGCATGGAATGTTTTTCCATTTGTTTGTGTCATCTCTGATTTCTTTCAGCAGTGTTTTGTAGTTCTCTTTGTAGAGATCTTTCACCTCTCTGGTTGAAATACCTAGATATCTTATACTTTTTGTGGTTATTGTAAATAGTATTACATAATTGATTTGGCTATCAGCTTGGATATTGTTGACATATAGGAATGCTACTAATTTTTGTACATTAATTTTATATCCTGAAATTTTGCTAAAGTTGTTTATCAGGTCAATAAACTTTTGGGCAGACACTATGAGTTTTCTTAGGCATAGAATCATCTTGTCTGCAAACAGGAATAGTTTGACTTTCTCTGTTACTATTTGAACGCCTTTCATTTCTTTCTCTTGCCTGATTGCTCTGGCCAGGATTTCCAGTACTATGTTGAATAGGAATGGCAAGAGAGGGCTTCCTTGTCTTGTTTTGGTTTTCTGTGGGAATGCTTCCAGCTTTTGCCCATTCAGTATGATGTTAGTCATGGGTTTTTCATAGATGGCTCTTATTATTTTGAAGTATGTTCCTGCAATACCTAGTTTGTTGAAAGTTTCTAACATGAAGAAATGTTGAATTTTATTGAAAACATTTCTGCATCTATTGACATAATCAGTGGTTTAGTTTGTAGTTGTGTTTATGTGATGAATTACATTTATTTATTCATGTATGTTGAACCAACCTTGCATCCCAGGGATAAAGTCTACTTGATGATGGTGGATTAGGTTTTTGATGTGCTGCTGGATTCAGTTTGCTAGTATTTTGTTGAGGGTTTTTGCACTGATGTTCATCAAGGATATTGGCCTGAAGTTTTCTTTTTTTGTTGTATCTCTGCCAGGTTTTGGTATCAGAATGATGCTGGCCTCATAGATTGAGTTAGGGAGGAATGTGTTTTGCTCAATTTGGGGGCAGAGTTCTGATAAAAATGGTATCAGCTCTTCTTTGTATAACTGGTAAAAATTCAGCTGTGAATCTGTCTGGTCCTGGGCTTTTTCTTGGTAGGCTTGTTATTACTGATTCAATTTCAGAACTCATAATTGGTCTGTTCAGAAGTTCAATTTCTTCTTGGTTCAGTCTTGGGAGGTTGCATGTGTCCAGTAATTTATCCATTTATTCTAGGCTTTCTAGTTTGTGTGCATAGAGGTGTTCACAGTAGTCTCTGAGGGCATTTTTTGTATTTCTTTGAGATTAGTGGTAACATTCCCTTTGTCATTCCTGATTGTCTTCATTTTGATGTTCTCTCTTTTTTCTTTGTTAGTTTAGCTAGCAGTCTATCTGATTAATTTTTCAAAAGAACAGATTCTTGGTTTTGTTGATGTTTTGTGTGGTTTTCACATTTTAATTGACTTCAGCTAGCTCTCATTTGGGTTATTTCTTGTCTTCTGCTATCTTTGGGATTGGTTTGCTCTTGGTTCTTTAGTTCCTCTAGTTATGATGCTAGGTTGTTAATTTGAGATCTTTCTAACTTTTGGGCGTTGATGTTTAGCACTGTAAACTTCCTTATAACACTGCCTTGGTTGTGTCCCAAAGATTCTGGTGTGTTGCTTCTTTGTTTTCATTAGTTTCAAAGAATTTCTTGATTTCTGCCTTAATTTCATTTACCCAAAACTCCTTAAGGAGCAGTTTATTGAAATTCCATGTAATTGTATGGTTTTGAGAGGTTTTTTTTTGTATTGATTTCTATTTTTATTGTGCTATGGTCTGAAAGGATGGTTGGTATGATTTGTTTTTTTTAACTTACTGAGGATTGTTTTATGTTCAATTGTGTGGTCAATTTTAGAGTATGTGTCATCTGGTAATGAGAAAAATATACATTCGGTTGCTGTGGGGTGGAAAGTTCTACAGACGTCTATTAGGTTCATTTGGTCAAGTACAGAGTTTAAGTCCTAAATATCTTGGTTAATTTTCTTCCTCGATGATTTGTCTAATACTGTCAGAGGGATGTTGAAGTCTTCCACTATTATTATGTGGAAATCTAAGTGTCTTTATAGGTCTCTGAGAACTTGCTTTATGAATCGGGGTGCTCCTGTGTTGGGTGCTTACATATTTAAGAGAGAATTAGGTCTTCTTGTTGAATTGCACCTTTTACCATTACGTAATGCCCTTCTTTGTGTGTGTGTGTGTGTGTGTGTGTGTGTGTGTGTGTGTGTGTCTGCGTGTTTATTTTTGTTTGTTTAAAGTTTGTTTTATATGAGATTAGGATAGCAACCCCAGTTTTTTTTTCTGTTTTCCACTTGCTTGGTAGATTTTTCTGCATTCCTTTATTTTGAGCCTATGCTGCCCAAGAGACAGCGTATCATTGTGTCTTGTTTCTTTATCCAGCTTATCACTCTGTGTCTTTTAACTGGGGCGTTTAGCACATTTACATTTAAAGCTAATGTGATATGATGCTGATTTGATTTTGCCCTCATGTTGTTAGCTGGTTATTAGGCAGACTTTTTTGTGTGGTTGCTTTATAGTGTCAATGGTCTGGTACTTAAATGTGTTTTTGTAATGACTGGCAATGGTCTTTCCTTTCCATACTTAGCACTACTTTCAAGATCTCTTGTAAGGTAGGTCTGGTGGTAATGAATTCCCTCAGCATTTGCTTGTCTGAAAATGACCTTATTTGTCTTTCACTTATGAAGTTTAAATTGGCTGGATATAAAATTATTGGTTGGAAATTCTTTTCTTTAAGAATGCTGAATATAGGCCCCCCCAATCTCTTCTGGCTTGTAGGTTTCTGCTTGTAGGGTTTAGCCTGATGGGGTTCCCTGACCTGCCCCTTCTCTCTAGCTACCTTTAACACTTTTGAATTTCATTTTGACCTTGGAGAATCTGATGGTTACATGTCTTGGGGATGGTATTCTGGTGTAGTATCTCACAGGAGTTCTCTGCATTTCCTGAATTTGAACGTTGGCCTCTCCAGCAAGGTTGGGGAAGTTTTTTCATGGATGATACCCTGAATATGTTTTCCAAGTTGTTTGCTTTCTCCCTTTCTCTTTCAGAGTTGCCAATGAGTTGTAAATTTGGTCTCTTTACACAAACCCATATTTCTCAGAGGTATTGTTCATTCTTTTCTAATTCTTTTTTCTTTATTTTTGTCTAAGTTCAGAGAACTAGTCTTTGAGCGCTGAGATTCTTTCCTCTGCTTGGCCTATTCTCCTGTTAATATGTGTGATTGCATTATGAAATTCTTGTAGTATGTTTTTGAGTTGTATCAGATTAGTTTGATTCTTTCTTCTAATGGCCATTTGTCTATCAGGTCCTGTAGCATTTTACTGGAATCCTTAGATTCCTTGAATTGAGTTTTAACTTCCTCTTGCATATTGATAATCTTCATTCCTATCTATGTTCTGAATTCTATTTCTGTCATTTCAGCCTGGTTAAGAACCCTTGCTGGAACTAGCGCAGTCATTTGGAGAAAAGAAAACACACTGGCTTTTTGAGTTGCCGGAGTCCTTGCGCTCATTCTTTCTCATCTTTGTGGGTAACTGTTCCTTTAACTGTGGTGTAATTTGAGTACAGTTGACTTCTTTTCTGGATGTTTTCAGAGGGCCCAGGCTTTTGTGCCAGTTGTTCATTCGTAGCTGATTCTTGTCCTTGGTTTCATGGGGATATATTATAAAGTATTTTTGGTGTTGATGTTTTGGGCTGAGATCCAGTAGGTGGCACTTAAGTGTAATGGCCAGTAGGTAGGTGCTTGTTCAGTCACGCGGCTCCTCTGTATTTCCTCAGGATTGGAGCTGTGCTCCCTCTCAGTGTTCTGAAAGTGAGGACTCCTCTCCCACTTGAGTGCTGGCTGCAGATCTTGGCTGGGCATTCCTGAGCTGCATACCACAGTCTAGGGTGATCTCAGCCAGGCTTTATGTTCTCTTCCCATCCTGGAGGCAGCAGGAGAAAGCAGCAGAGGGTCTTTCATTTGTCTCTTGGGGCTCCACAACAGAGACATGCAGAGCTGCTGTCAATCAGTGTGATCGGCCAAGGATGGGGCAGTAGTGCTATGGGCCCAAGCTGGGGGGCCTCTGCCTAGTGATGAGCAGGGGTGGTGGGTGGGATGCAGGAGAGACAATCTGGCCTCTTCTCCTTAGGGTGGCTGTGGCTTGCTGGATATGTGTTTAAACCATGCAGGGTCTTTGCTTCTTCCCTGGTCTTAGGGCAGCCAGGGCAGCACCACTCCCAGAGCCGCTGTTACTGGGAACATTCAGCCAGGGGTTGGGGTGGCTACACTGCTGCCCCAGTCTGGGGGCTCTGGCTGGTGATGGGTGGTGGGGGACAGGGGCTCACAGTAAGGAGAGAATTAGGCTTCTCTCTGTATGGTGATTGTGGTGTGCTAGAAGCATGAGTAAAGCCCTCAGGCTCTGTTCCTTCTCCAGTCCAAGGGCAGCAAAAGCAGGCTGCTGCAGCCATGGCAGTGAAAGAGAGGCCATCGGTTGTCTCTGGGAGCCACTCCCCAGGGAAACAAAGAGCCACTAGCAGTGGGTATGCTCAGCAGGGGTAGGCAGCTATTCTGTGGTCCTGAGCTAGGGGCCTGCCTGGTGAAGAGTCGGGTAGTACAGGGAAGAGAGACTGGGATCCTCTCCACATGGTGGCTGTGGTGTGCTGGAGGTGCTAGTGTAGCAACCAGGCTCTTTGTTCCTTCCCCAGCTGGAGAGCACCAAGGGCCTTACCACTGCAGCTGCAGTGGGAGAGAGGCTGTGGGTTGTCCCTGGGAATTCCTCCTCAGAGAAATGCAAAGCCACCACTGACTGAAGTGTTCTGATGGGGACAGTTGTGCTGAAGTCCTGGGTTGGGAGGCCCTGCCCTGTGAGAAGCAGGGGTGAAGACACATATGGAGAACAATCTGGCCACTTTTCCATAGCGTGGCTGCATTTTGCTGGGGGTCTGCACCAGACCCTAGTCACTGCCCACACCCGAGAGCCTGAGGGCAACAGGGGTGATGGCCGCAGAGCAGCAAAAATGGCAGCCAGCCTCTTCCTCTGGGAGCTCTATCCCAGAGAAGTGAAGAGCTGGTACCAGCCTGAGGGCCCAGGCAGGGCTGGTATGGCCAGGCTAGGGTCAGAGGCTAGTAGGCCTTATCCTGTGAACATAAGGGGTGGGGAGGCCTACAGTTCCTCAATGCTCAGCCCCTTTCATGCAGGCATGTGAGGAAGACTGACCTACTCCACTGCGGGAGCTGCAGCCACTACTGCCAGGATGCCGTGGGATCCAAGGCTCCCAGGACTCCATGTGTGCCTGAGTGGAGGCTCTGCCCAGACTCCATGTAGCTCTCTGTGTCAGTCTGAAGGCACCACATAGGGGATCTCCCCCCCAAGAGGCATGTACTGGGTACAGGGTTGCAAAGGTCGTGGCAAGGACTCTCACTCACCCATTTCTCCATGGTGAAGGGGACTGCCCCGGCTCCATGCCATTCCATGGCAGGCAGTCATCCAGTCTCCTTCCCCTTCATTGCATGGGGGTCAAATTGTTTCCTTGATGAATCCCAGTGTGTCCACCTGGATGTTCCAGTTGAAGAGCTAGTGTCCACTCACCACTCTTTCTTCTCTCCCTGTGAGCGGCACCCACCAGCTGCTTCCAGTCAGCCGACTCCTCTTTCAAACTTTTTTCTGCAGTTTCTTCGTCTCTCTCAGCCTTCATAGCATTGAAGAGAGTTAGGGCCTGCTCTGGATTAGACTTGGTTTAAGGGAATATTGCGGCTGCTTTAATCTTCTATCCAGCCTACTAAAATTTGATAAGAAAGGCTGCCTTGGCCAGGCACGGTGGCTCATGCCTGTAATCCCAGCACTTTGGGAGGCCAAGGCAGACCGATCAGCTGAGTCCAGGAGTTTGAGACCAGCCTGGGTAACATGGTGAAACCCCAGCTGTACAAAAAATACAAAAATTAGCCGGGTGTGGTGTTGCCTGCCTGTAGTCGCAGCTACTTAAGGGGCTGAGGAGGGAGGAACGCTTAAGCCTGGGAGGTCAAGGCTGCAGTGAGCTGTGATTACACCACTGCACTTCAGCCTGGGCCACAGAGTGAGACCCTGTAAAAACAAACTAACAAACAAAACACCACACAATAGGCTGTTTAGCTTTCTTATCATTTATGTGTTCACTAGAGGAGGAGCACTTTTAATTTCCATCAGGAACTATTTCTTAGCATTCAGAACTTGGCTATTTGGCACAATAGGCCAAGCTTTCAGCCTTTTTCACTTTTGACATGCCTTCCTTGCTAAGCTTAATCATTTCTAGCTTTTGACTTAAAGTAAGAGATGGGTGACTCTTCCATTCACTTGAACATTTTGAGGCTAGCGTAGGGTTATTAACTGGTCTAATTTCAATATTGTATCTCAGGGTATGGGAGAAAAACAGGGGAATGACCAGTCAGAGGAGCAGTCAGAACACACACAGCATTTATTGATTACGTTCACCGTCCTATATGAGCATACTTCATCATGCACCAAAACAACTAAAATAGTAACATCAAAGAGCACCGATCACAGATAACCATAACAGATATAATAACGAAAATGTTTCAAAGATTGTGAGAGTTATCAAATATGATACAAAGACACGTAGTAAGCAAACGCTGTTGGAAAAACAGCACTGATTGATTTGCTAAATGCAAGGTTGCCACAAACCTTCAATTTGCGAAAAATGCAATATCTACAAAGTGCAGTAAAATGAAATGTGATACAATGAGGTATGCCTGTAGCTGGGATTTATAGAACTGTCCAACGAGCATGCCTCTGTTGTTCTTCACTATGTCCTTAGTACCTGGTTTAGTGCCTGGCAGGGCACTATCAGATATCTGTTAAATAAAATGTGAGTGAATAAATAAAGGAATGAGTAAATGAGAATGAATGAATCCTTGATTTGATATAAATAACGTACAAGCAGTATGAGATAAAGTGTTCTCGCCACATTCTTTACTCAGAGACTGTGTTATCTGAAGGTCATGCTTTCTAGATCTCTGAGTGGCCTCATCTAATAGCATGGCCTTAAATAGCACCTATCCGCTGACAACTCCCACTCCAACTGGGCCTCTTTCCTGAACTTGCAGACTTATATATCTAACTACCCACTCAAACACTTCTACTTAAGTGTGTGTATAAGTGTGTGCACTTGTATGTGCACATTTGTGTATACACTTAATGTATCCAAAACTGAACTCTTGGTTTCTAATTATCCCCCTCAGCCCATCTCTCTTCTGTCTTATTCACATCAGCAAATGATAACTGCACATCACAGACAAAAATCTTGGTGTCAACCATGACTCCTCTCTCCTTCCCTCACATCCTATATCCAACTTAGCAGCAAATTTTGTTGCTCAGTCCTAAACTATATCCAGAATCCAACAGCTTCTTCCCACTCCAGCTAATCACTAATCCTTTAACACACACAGCATTTATTGAAGCAATTATCTTCTGGTTTGGACCATTGCAAGGGCTGCCAGATGTTCATCTGACTTCCACTTTCCCAACCCCCATCCCACATGACAGGGATCCCTGCAGAAACTAACTCAGATCATGTTCTGATCATACTGTTTTTTCCCATTCCTTTCCATCTTACTCTGAATAAAGCCAGGATTCCTTACCATATCCTGCAAAGCCCTACATGATCTGCTCTCCGGCTACTGCTCAGATGCCCCCTACTCCTTCTCTGCCCCTTATTATTCTATCACAGTAACACTGGCCACCTTGCTGCTTTTCAAAGCCACCAAAAATGGTCCCCCTCATGGCCACTGTACTTGCTCTCTTTTCTGGCTGGCACGTTGTTCATCCAGGTGTTAACATAGCTCTTCTCACTAAATTCATGTCTCACCTCATCAGATCACAGCACTGGCTCAAGTCACTCTCAGTCTTTTGACACTGCTTGATTTAAATTCTCATCGCTGATCCCCACTTCACATAATAACATTTGTATGTGCATCATTTGTTTGTTTTCTGCTGCTTTGCTGTGGACATAAACTCTGTGTTCACAAGTACTTTTTCTAGAACAATGCCTGATAGGACGCTGTTAATTGAACAAGATCCATGGCACTCTTTCTTATTCATCCTGAATATCTCATGCTTAAATTTGACACAAATCATTGCTCAATAAAGATCTATTAAATGGCCAGGCACAGTGGCTCATGCTTGTAATCCTAGCACTTTGGGAGGCCAAGGTGGGTGGATCAATTGAGGTCAGGAGTTCAAGACCAGCCTGGCCAATGTGGTGAAATCCCGTCTCTCCTAAAAATACAAAAATTAGCTGGGCATGGTGGCGCGTGCCTGTAATTCCAGCAGCTCGGAGGGGTTGAGGCAGAAGAATAGCTTGAACCTGGGAGGCAGAGGTTACAGTGAGCTGAGATCACGCCATTGTATTGCAGCCTGGGGAACAAGAGCAAAACTCCGTCTCAAGAAAGAAAGAAAGAAAAAAAAAAGAGAGACATGTTAAATGAAGCAGTAAATTCATTTTAGAAATAAATCCACTAAGGTGCAGTTAAAGCAATAGGACCAGATGAGATCCCACCGAGCCAGGTCGAGTCCAGCTTGCTTGTGCAGGTAGACAGCAGAGTCCAAGTCTATCTGAATCTTACCTCCAAAAGAGCAACTTCCTTCCTTGCCAGTATATGGCAGACAGCCCAGATGTATGTCTTGGACAAAGCTATGCTCTCAGTTCGTCTTGAAATGGACCAAAATTACAGTGGGTTAATGATTTCTGCAGAACAGTCTGACTTTTTAGGGTCTGGTTTGTTAGCATCCTCCTGACCATAGCTGAAGAGTCATTTCTCATGGAAAAATAACCTGCCTTGACAAAAAGTGGTGGAATGTTTTAGTCGCTTTACATTATCTACTACTTCCTTGTCTCTGAAGGTCATGCTGCCTTCATCTTACTGTGATCACCTCAAAACACACCAAATTGGTTATTTATGACATCTGTTTGAAACAAGCATTGTATTAAAAAGACAACTTAAAGAGTAGCCAAGGCCAGGCGTGGTGGCTCACGCCTGTAATCCCAGCACTTTGGGAGGCCGAGGCGAGTGGATCATAAGGTCAGGAGATTGAGACCATCCTGGCTAACATGGTGAAACCCCATCTCTACTAAAAAACAAAAAATTAGACAGGCGTGGTGGCGGACGCCTGTAGTCCCAGCTACTCGGGAGGCTGAGGCAGGAGAATGGCGTGAACCCGGGAAGTGGAGCTTGCAGTGAGCCGAGATTGCGCCACTGCACTCCAACCTGGGTGACAGAGCAAGACTCCGTCAAAAAAAAAAAAAAAAAAGTAGCCAAATCCTACTTTCAGGCTACACATGAATGTCTAGGACGCCAACCACTTTCTACCTTCTCTTTTCATGCTCAGTTACATATTCTAAGCAGCTATTCTCAGGAAAAGGCTTTCATCTTTAGAAAGAGTTTGTATACAACAAGTATCAACAATAGTAATAATTATCCTCTGAAATTATTCTTTCCCTGCCCAAAAAGAAGTTCAAGGATCTCCTGCTATCTGAAAATTAAATGTCAATGAAAAAAGAAATTTCTGTGAAAAGATATGCATAATGACCATCTATAAAATGTATATAGAGTCTTTGTTATAAGTAATGATCTACACAGTGACATTTTCTTCCTATAAATTGAAGTAAGATGGCCTCTCAGGAGAATTTTTGAGTCTTAACTTTTCCTATAGTGACCTGTGCCATATCGCAAAGCATGTGCCATATCACAAAGCATGCCATGTCACAAAGCTGGAGTAGTATCTTATTTTGTCTACAAATTCCCTTGAACCATAAGTATATGACTGGAAAAAAAGTATTTTTTAAAGCACATTAATAATTATCTTTAGATAATTTATGATATCTACCCATTACCACTAGATGTGAAAAACCATTTTTAAGAGTTAGTGGAGGGCAAAAAATGTATCTTCAGCTCCAATTTTATATGTCCTTTTCCTAATACCCTTTAGTGTGCTATAAAGCCATACACACACACAGTCACACAATCACACTCACACAGGCTCACACACTCACATACACACATATACGTCCCAGCAGGAGGAGTCCCTCACCTGATCTGGTCTTCTCAGGGACAGGATCCTATGCCCCTCGATGCAGTGACAGTTCAGAAATGGGCATGTTCTCAAGCAGAGCAATAAGAGTCCTTGTCTTGAAGAGATTTGTTTCAGACATTAAAAGAGAAACGCTCTCCCCTGAGGTGGCTAAGCTGGGAAGAACTACCTGCCCAGTATGTACAGGGGAAGCCCTGTTTGGTTGAAAAGAATGAGGGCTACTCAAAGGAAAATGCACCTGAGATATAGAACTGAAGGAGAATGGAGAGAGGCAGAATGAGAGTGCGATAAACATTCGTGATCCTGAATTAATATGTGCCTGTTCTCAGTTCCATCTCCATTCTTCTTGGGTACAGATGCCCTCATAGTAAGTTGGGTTAGGTCTGTGTTGCCACCAAATACACTGATCTTGGACAACTTTAAGTCTCTGAGCTTGTTTGTTTCTCTATAAAATGAATACATTAAGAAACCTAATTCAGAAAGTCTTATGAATAGTTCAATAAAGTGATATTCATCAACAGCTAATTTGAGTTATGGCCAGTAGTCTATGCTGGATAAATGTTACTTGCCCATTTCGTTTACTGAGCCTGATGGCAGAATGGTAGGTAGACATGGAAATGAAACTGGTAGTTCTTTTTTTTCTTTTAGAAGGAGTTTCGCTCTCATCACCCAGGCAGGAGTGAAATGGCGTGATCTCGGCTCAGTGCAACCTCCACCTCCCGGGTTCAAGTGATTCTCCTGCCTCAGCCTCCTAAGTATCTGGGACTACAGGCACGTGCCACCACGCCAGGCTTATTTTATTTTATTTTTTGTATTTTTATTTTTTGTATTTTTAGTAGAGACGGGATTTCACCATGTTGGCCAGGCTGGTCTGGAACTCCTGATCTCAGGTGATCTGCCCACCTCGGCCTCCCAAAGTGCTGAGCCACCGCACTCAGCCCAAACTGGCAGTTCTTATAAGGTTGTTATTTCTAGAAAAAATGGACGGTGGCTGGGCACAGTGGCTCACACCTGTAATCCCAGTACTTTGGGAGGCCGAGGCAGGTGGATCATGAGGTCAGGAGTTCGAGACTACCCTGGCCAACATGGTGAAACCCTGTCTCCACTAAAAATACAAAAATTAGCTGGACATGGTGGTGCGCACCTGTGATCTCAGCTACTGGGGAGGCCGAGGCAAGAGAATGGCTTGAACCCAGGAGGCAGAGGTTGCAGTGAGCCAAGATCGTGTCACTGCACTCCAGCTTGGCTGACAAGAAAGATTCCGTCTCAAAAACAACAAAAAAAGGATGGGAAGGCTATGCTAGATGGTGTCCAACTGCCCAAATCTGACCAAATCCCGGCCAGGCTATCCTGGGTCGAAACATTTCCAGAACTCTAGAACAGAGACAATAAAATGGCCTCCTAATACAAAACAATGCGCTCACAAAAATTTTCATTTTCTCCTGGAATTTCTTATTATCATATGGATGAGCACCAAAAAAGACACATCCAAACATTTAACTTGGAGACTCCAAATAGGTACCAATGCTGTTTGAAGTGGGAAAGGGGTTAGGAAGCCACTGGGAGAGATAAGAATACCTTTTACACATTTTTACAATATCTGGGTGAAGCCAGCAACACCATGAAAGTCCACACACTGGCCGCTGTGTTATCCACATGTGGGCAGCCTTCCCCCAAGCCATGATGGAATCTTTCTGTTCTTCTTTTAACAATAGCTTTTAATCCATGAAAGAAAGAACTCACCAGGTATATATGTTCTGAAAACTTTGCTAAATAGTGCTATCCATTATTTTACAATGCTTTACCAAGTCCTTATCTACTCAACATCTGTTTTTATTGGTATCAGATAATACAAGCAGATAATTTGCATTATATATATATATAATATATATAATCTCAAAAAGGTCTTCCTTAACATCACAGATCTAATCTAAATTAGATGACAAAATTGCTTGCTTCTGATATCATTTGTTGGTTTTGCCAGCTTGAGGGAAGTTGATGTTAACCAATGAATAAATGGTTACTCAAGCCTAGCTAGGGCCATGGGACAATGATGTCCTAGAGAAAGTTGGCATCTGAAATTCAGATCAGAGCTTGGCCTTTTCTAGGTTGAGAGAAAAGGCACCTGTTTCAAATTATCATTTATTTAAAATACACAGCAGAGGGAAGAAAATTATAAATTAAAACTTTATAGAATAAGTAATAAAATATTCACCCATATTACTGATTGTCCTAGGTATTCATGGATAGAATTAAGAACCAAACTTGTCCAGCATATTCGGTTTATCACCTTGAGGACAGGGATGGGGTCTTATCTGAGGAACAGTGCAGCACTGTGGTTAGGCTCCAGACCCCTGGGTTCCAATCCAGTGTGCCATTACTAGCTTTGTGATCTCATGCAGGTTCCTCATGTGCCTCAGTTTCCTCAGGTATAAAGAGGATCATTCTAGAGCCTTCTCACAGTGTCGTTATAAAGAAGAAATTAGATAAAACATGTAAATCACTTAGAACAGTGTCTGCCACACACAAACTGCTACATAATTGTTAACTACTGCTACCACTATCATTTTCATTGCTATCATCATTATTATTTGAGTCCTCCCAAAGCATGTACAACCATGTCTATCACATAACAATTGTTCATAAAATACGTGTTGGCTAAATGAATGTTGAACGGAAATTTCAAATCAAAGACACAGCTCTTGTTCTCCATTTGTCATTTTGTAGTGATTGGCTAAGGTGCTATATAAAAAGAACATGAACTTTGGTATCAGATGGACTTGAATTTAAACCTTGAATCAACAGCTCTTATACCCATATGAAAATAACGTGGCCTCTTGAGCCTATGTTTCCACAGGTTGTGACAATAAGTGTCCAGAACAATGTTTCATTGTAGATGCTTAATTGATATTTGTTCTCTCTCTGCTACCTCAAACACTAGTTACCAGTTGAAGAGCAGAGACACTAAAGTTTCTGGTATTTAGAAAAGAAGGAATTCAAGAAATCTGAATGATACCAGGCTGAAGAAGTCTGGGAAGATTTCTTGGAAAAGCTAACTTGGAAATGAATCACAAATGCTGGAAGGATGTCAGCATCAGGGCGGTGGGGGTAGGGAGGAATGGTGTCCCAGGAGCAAAGCCTCACAGCAGGAATGGGCACAAGGGTGGCCACTTTGGTGGGAACAGGAAGCTGGGTAAGAATTGGTTAAAGGAGAAGGTAGGCACCATAATAACATTAGTGAGTTGGAAATTTGAAAGTTTTCTTCAGGAAATAGGAAGTCCCCAGAATCCCTGAGCAGAGATGGGTGTACATGGGTGCTTGCTGGCCATGGGCACAAAGTGGAGACAAGATTGGCAGGAGGAGACTGCTTGAGGTGATGAGACACTTTTCACATTGTGGAGTGGAAAGGAACCACAGGAATAAGATGCATCATCTCTCAGCAGGGTCAAGCTACTGAGTATGAGGGAAGAGGGAGGAGAAGTAAAATGAAAGCATCATTCTATTGTCTTCGGTCTGGATGAAGTACAGGCAGGTAAATAGGAGAAGTGAAGATTTTCAGAGATCTGAACATTTCTTTGAGACAGAAAATAAGAATTTTCTGTATCTGTCCCAAAGACTTGTAAATTCAGAATGCTGGATTTATCATTTGTCTAACAGAGCAGGCTTCCAGTATCTGCACCAAGCAAGATACTAGCTAATAATTATAATTATAAAAATACATATTTCTTGGTTTTAACCCAAAATATCTGAGACATGTATCAGTCGATTTAGAAAGTTTATTTTGCCAAAGTTAAAGATGCATCCATGAAACAGCCTCAGGAAGGCCTGATGACATGTGCTCAAGGTGATTGGGAGTACAATTTGCTTTTATACATTTTAGAGAGATGTGAGACATCAATCAATATGGGTAAGATATACATTGGTTCAGTCTGGTAAGGTGAGACAACTAGAAGTGGAGGCTTCCAGGTTAGATGTAGATAAGAGACAAAAAGGTTTCATTCTTTTGAGTCCTTGATCAGCCTTCCGCTGAATACACAATTTAGTCTGGCTCAGCGAACCTGCATTTTTACGTAAACAATAGGTCAAAGGAAGCAATTAGATAACCTTTGTCTCAGGTGAGCCTCAGAGGGATGACTTTGAGTTCTGCCTGTTCTTTGTCCACAAGGAATTTTCTGTGGGCAAATTGTGAAGGAGGTACGTATCTTACCTTGTAGCTCTCTTATTTAGGAATGAAATGAGGGGCAGGTTTGCCTGACATAGTGCCCAGATTCACTTTTCTCTTGGCTTAGTGATTTGGGGGGTCCCAAGATTTACTTTTCCTTTCATAGTTTCAAGAAAGAACAAAAATTCAGCCTAAGCAAGTCAGAGCTACCTGTTACCAAAAAGCAGTCCAGGTCCAGACCCCAAGAGAGAGTTCTTGGATCTTGCACAAGAAAGAATTTGGGAAAGTCCATGTTGATAAGTGAAAGCAAGTTTATTAGGAAAGTAAGGGAATGAAGAATGGCTACTCCATAGACAGAGCAGCCCCAAGGGCTGATGGTTGTCAATTCTTATGGTTCTTTCTTTATTATACGCTAAACAAGGGGTGGATTATTACTGAGTTTTCTGGAAAAGGGGTAGCCAGTTCCCGGAACTGAGGGTTCCTCCCCTTTTTAGACCATATTGGGTAATTTCCTGACATTGCCATGGCACCTGTAAACTGTCATGGCACCAGTGAGAGTGTCTCTTAGCATTATAATTAGCCTGTAATGAGCAGTGAGAACAACCAAAGGTTAGTTTCATTGCCATCTTGGTTTTGGTGGGTGTTGGCGGGCTTCTTTATTGCACACTGTTTTATCAGCAAGATCTTTATGACCTGTATCTTGCACCAACCTCCTTTCTCATCTTCTGACTTAGAATGCCTAATTTAATAGGAATGCAGCTCAGCAGTTCTCAGCCTTATTTTAAGGCTGAAGAAAGTCCCAGCCCCTATTCAAGATGGAGTTGCTCTGGTTCAAATGTCTCTGACATACCCAAAATATTAACTGTAACTACGTCAAGGAAATAATTTTCCTTTTATTACAATCCAAACAAAGAATTTGGATTTTTGAAAGAATTATGAATTACACCCAAAAGTACAGATGTTTCAAGCAGCACAACAGTTTGTATAAATAAGTACCATCTACCATAATACAAAGATTTTGCAACCATTTATTCATCACAGATTTAATATTCCAATTTCTTGAGAAAAGCTGGAGAGATTGGCCCTGACACAAGCCAGACAGATGGAAAGTACTCATCCTAATCTCTGTTTGCCCCAAGTTATCTCAATCACTAGTGCTTTAATTCATTTTTCAAGAAAATCCAGACCCCGCTTTATAATTCATTCAACCAACATCAAATGTCAGGCACTTAGTGGGAGGTAGCAGTCCATGTTGCGTGGACACAACCTCTGCTTTCTAAGAGTCTCTGATTCATTCAAATCTTAAACAACAACTTAGTTGTTTAATAAAGGCTCTTCAACATAAAGAAAGTAAAGTGGGGATAACAAGGGCTTTCCTGATTTGCAGGGCATACAGTATTCTTTGTTTCTTTAGAGCTACTAAGGCAATTTGGGAACTTGAACAAGCTAAGCTGATTCTCTGTTTTCAAAAGTAATTACTTCACTGTTCTTCTCTTTACCTCTTTAAATTGCATCTGTTAAGTCAATAAGCTTAATAGCTTGAAAAGATAATTATTCATTTAAGCCTTCAGATAATTTCTTTACATTTTTAGCTGCTATACTGACAGAGAAAATGAGGTATACTACTTACTAAGTTCTGGCTTTTCAGAAGCCTCAATATTAGAAATTTATAAATAAAAGCTTCAATCTAGCTATTTGTTGTAAATCCAAAAATATGAAAAAAAAGTATAATAGTATATGTGTATACCTTATATGACATATGTGTCACCTTTTATTTGCAAGCCATTGACTACTGTTACCACTCTAAACCAATTTTATATCTTGGAAGATAGGGAAATGAAATGATCAATGGTTCCCACACACGTGAAAACTGTCAGTTTACAGTGTTAACATTAATTTAAATAATCATTATAATCATTTACTGAATTAACATGCACCAGTCACTACATGCTTTCCATGCAATATCTCAATTCTCACGAAAACCCTGAGGGGAGGAAGAAAAAATAAAAGAAATGTCATTATCTACATTTTGCAGTGGAGCAAATTTAAGCTCAATAAGATCAAATAACTTGCCCACAGTGACACAGCTTGTAAAAGCCTGAACTGAGATTCAGTCTTAGGCTGCCTCATTCTAAAGCCCTTATACCATAGATACACTGCCTCTGTCATAACATTTCTAAGATTCCACTAATCACAAAACAAAACTCAGGCAAGATGGAGCACTTGATTCTAATTAGGGAGACAAGGGGATTCTACGACTTCCCCTGGGAGCTCTCTGTAAGTTTAAAATCTTGAAGAGTATCAGGTTGGACTACCCAGAAATTATTTAACTCAGTAAACAAAACTATAGTAAGTTCTGGTAAACAAATCTTTCAGCAAAAACACAAGTTTCATAAGTAAGCCTGCATTCGTCTGACCCAAAGCATGGTTTCACAATTGTGTCCACTGGTCTTGACTTTCAAACCCATTAAGAGCCTTCCCATCACAAAATGGGAACATGTGTGATATATATTCAGGTTCTTCAGTAGAACATTTGTAAAAATACATGGAAAAATGTTCTGAAAATATAGCAAA
Source organism: Homo sapiens (assembly GCF_000001405.40). Lineage (NCBI taxonomy): Eukaryota > Metazoa > Chordata > Mammalia > Primates > Hominidae > Homo > Homo sapiens. The sequence goes on along the minus strand of NC_000013.11, from coordinate 37,382,795 downwards.
TATGTTTTTTAAAAAATACGTTATGCAAAAAAGTGTCCAGTTAAAATAAGTACTTTTCTCAAAAAGATCATATCTAAAATTTTATCTGATATATTCATGAGGTTCAGAGATTGATGTGGCTTCTGGTTTCCTCCGCTTTCATAAAATTACCATATATTCAATGTTTGGATAAGATAAAGACAGTTTATTCACAGTCCTAGAACTCAGATTGATATCAAACTCTGCTATTCTTGCTTTAGTTGCAGTCCCAAACCACTGAACTCCCTTTCAAGGACAGTAAACCACGCCACCAAATACCCAAAGGGACATCAAAAGTTTGGAAAGAGAAATCAAAAAGCTTAAAGGGTTTTTCACCATCCACAAACAGTCTGTATGGTACACAAAGATTTGCATCAAAAATAAATGCTGACATTTGAGAATAGTGGTTTAGTATTTGTCAAAAATGTAGCCCTGGCAAAACCACGGGTAAGCCTCACAGACTCTGAGAATGCTAACATTCCCAGATGGAAAAAAATGTGGCTACTTCCCTGATTTTGTTTTCTATAAGGTTTGAATAGTTTGTGAGTTACACATCTAAACTTTACACATCTAAAGGAGGAAGAAGTACTGTATAGCTGCAATTTGTGGGCATTGATACAGGCAACTTAAAGAATAATTTAAACTTCTTGCTTCCTGAAATTTAAGACACTGTGTTATTAACTTGCTGCTTTGCTGATCAGAATCATTACACATTAAGTAGTGTTGACTCTCCTCTATTAAACTGGTAGAATTATTAACATTTACAGGTTCTCTCATTGCCCATATACATTTATCCAGATGTTTGGACATTCTTCTCCATCACCCACCCTTGCTCCCCAACCAACCTCCAGTTTGTCCGACTTGCATCAGTTTACTGGGTCCTCCTATGAGACACTTGAATGAAAAGTTCTCCAGAGCTAGAAATAGATATTTTTAGATATTTTTCTTCCTAGTAAGGAAATTGGTTTTTTGATGACAAGAAAATCATTTCTATGTAATGGAGATTTTCCCCCAAGGAATTTTAAATAAATAACACTTAAAGCCACATTTAGTCTGAAATTTTTCATTCGGTCATCTTCCAATCTGGGTGAGTCATGACAGAAAAAAAATATGTCCTTCACCAACTTATGCAGACATTTCTTCAGAATAAGCATGACCTAGATTTCAGGAGGTCAAGTAACTAGGAGGTAAAGTAACTAATCAATATATTGGAGAAGAAAGTCAAATATACAATTGTTAAACTACTTTGTGTCATCTGTCTTTGTGACATAGGTCTGAATTAGACTTTTCAAAACATTTGAAAATTTCAGATAATAATGAATTAGAAAGCTACCAGAAAGCAAATACGGATCACAAATTACTCTTTTCCAAAAGACACAATAATGGAACAGCCACCCAAAATTGAATGCCAAACACATTTAGTACTAACATTCAAAACTCCAAATGTCAGATGGTGATATAATCCCACATCCACGTACTACCATAACAACCAAAAATGATAGACTCATTTAAAATAAAAGTCTGGTAGAAAAGTTTACACAGGTGCAAAAAAAAAAAAAAAAAAGCATTTTCAATATGTATAGTCCATCTTAATTATATTTTATTTAAAATAAATATTCTGCTTGGGGCCTCATGAAAAACTAGAAAGATTTTGTTACCACATCATGTTGAAATAATGTAAATCCTTCGAGAGTGAGGAATATTTCTTATTTACATGGCTGACACCAGAGGACCTAGCACAGTGCCTGCCTCCCAGGACAATGAAAACCACCTGCCCCTATCACACAGGGAGTTCAAGTGCAAATTTGTAGGCCTCACCTCTTATATCTTAAAACAGAAACTTTTGAGTAGATCACAGAAACCTGCACTTTTAATAAGTTCTCCAAGTATTTCTTATGGACACTGAAGTTTAATAACCACTAACAGAAAAGTTACTCAGTAAGTGTTTGATAATTTTGGGACACCAATGTATAGAATCTTGAAGAACCACAGTCAAACTTTCTATTGGAAAAATGGTGTCTGGGCACTAAGCCCAGTCTCCCCCCTCAAAGAGACTGATAATGCTGTCACCAGGCTTTTCATTCTTGCTTTTACTGGTTATATCAAAACTTCAAATCACATCTGCCCCACATCCCAAACCCTGGCACTAGGCCCTCTGGAACCGCCTTTGTAAAATCAGAATTTTTTTTGGAATTCTCTGTATCTTTTCTTAGCTTCCCCCTGTCCCTCATATCCTTAACTTGTCTGATGATACTCATTTCCCCTGCAAGCCTTATAAGTGAGTGCTCACACTAAGTACCTCAGCATGCAGAGGAATGTTGGTGCTGTGGACTGAAGGTTGTGTCCTGCCCAAAATTCATATGTTGAACTCTAAACCCCAAGATGATGGTAGTTGGAGATGTAGCCTTTAGAAGGTAATTGGGTCATAAGGGTGGAACACTTATAAATGGAATTCGTGCCCTTATAAGAAGGGACAGGAGAGAGGTGGTGTCTCTCTTCAACATGTGAGGATACAGCAAGGTGTGTGTCTGTAACCAGGAAGAGAAACCTCGCCAGGAACTTAAGTCACCAGCACCTTGATATTGGGCTTCTCAGCCTTCAGAACTGTAAGGATTAAATTTCTATTGTTTAAGCCACCCAGTCTATGGGTTTTTTTGCTATAGTAGCTAGAGCTGACTAAGACAGTTTGTATCCTACTCTTTCCCCACTGCCACTTACAGACCAATAAGAAGGGTGATGCAGTAAGCCAGATGAGAGCTGATGGCGACTGAGAATGGAATGTGTGGCATTGAAGATAGTGAGAAGTGCTTAGCCTTGAGATATTTGGGATACTGGTACTCTTGAAGACTTAGAGTTTTCTTTGATCTCTGTGTCTCCTCCTTCAGCAAGCTCATCGAAGTCCATGACTTCAATTACCGCATACATACACATGGATGGCTCACATTTCATTTATGTTCTCCACTGATGCCTCTCATTTGATATTCAGTCCCTTATAATCAATTGTCTACTTGGCATCTCCATTTAATTTTCTCAAAAACATCTCAAAATCAACAGTTCAAAAGTTGAAGTTATAATCTCCTCCAAAGTTTAACACACCCCTAACCTGAACAGTAGCCTGTTCCTCTTCCAGTTTTTCTCATCTCAGAAATAGTACCCCCGTCCATCCAGTTACATGAGCCACATGCCTAAAGGTCATTCTGGACTACCCCTCTCCCCTTATCATATAGTCTGTCAGTGAGGCTGTCTATTTGCCTCGTAAGTATTGTATCAATAGACTCTTCTGCATCCCCATCCCTTTGTTCTGGTCCAAGTCACCATTTTCTCTTGAAATTGCCCACTGGTTAGTTTCCCCACAAATCACTTTTATTCCCCCTTGTCTCTTCTCCACAATAATGCAAGAGTCCATAATAATAAATGCCAATGGCTTCTTATTGATTTTATGATGAAAACCAAAAATTTGGATATGATTACAACATGCTCTGGTCCTCTGTCCCTCTCCATACATATTTCCTAAAGTGCTTCCCTTAAACCCAGGCCACAAGGACATCTGGTAGGGTGCTCATTTTGGAAGTTTCCACATATCACAAACACACACATCTACAAGCACACACATGTGCATGCATGCACATAGAAACTATGTTAAAAAGCACCTGGAGCTTTTATCAGTAGAATAGGCGCCTAGCCAGACACACTGCAACCCATATCCTTAAACATCTACTCTGAGACTAACAGTCTTAAGGCCCTGGGGAACATTTCTTCACATCTCTTCCACTATGTTTTCAAAACAAAAGGCGATGGCCTCCAATGCCACCACTGCCAGTTGCAGGAGCAAGACACCAAGAGTGGTGGAGGACTGTGGGCAAGTTACTTAAACACTCTGAAATTTGACATGTCACTAAAAACGACAATAAACATACCTACTTCATAAGGTTGTTTACAATAACATAAACCCTGCACATGGCAATTCAATAAATAGTAAAAGATAATGTTGATCCTTAACATGATCATGATTTCCCAGGTCCCACCACATGTAATGCTCCACTTATTTTTCCAAGTTGTCAGAACAGTCTGCCTGGAAATGAAATCATAGCGTGCAATTACCCTGGAAAACTAAATCCAATCCCCCTTTTGTTTTTGCTGCCAGAAATTTTTTAAAACATGAGAACTACAATGAACCAGTACAGCTGAATTTTAATTATGGAAGAAATATTTTATTAAGTGAATCTATCATGCTGACATACAAATTGATATTGCACTACACTGCCTCCCTTGACCACTCATTTATAACTCAAAACTCTTTAATACTTTTCTATTTATCTGCAGATAGCATTTGAAAAACACATCGGAAAATCATATTTGAAATTACATTCCATGTGGAGTGCTTATTATTGATGGCCATAACTTTTACTATACAGATCTTCAAATGTGATTCTAATTTTATTTGTGTGGCTATAGATGTGTTTCCAACACTCTGGCTCTCAGTGCCTTGACCACCTTCTCCACCAATGGCCTTCTCCTCTACTCCACTTCAACCACTCACTCACATGGCCATAGCCTCAAACTTGTCATTACCAATGTTTGCAGACCTACCATATCTCAATTTCTAGCCATCTCTCTCCTTTCTTCTCAATCTCCAACATCTTGTCACCTATCCACACACTGAACTGATAATCTTACTGCCTATTTCCCTAAAAACTAGAAGTTGCCCTTGATCTTCTTCTCAATACAGCAGCCACATTGGTCTAATTAAAATGTTAATCAGATTGTGTCATTTATCTCCTTAGAACCCCCCCAATTCCACAACCCCCAATGACTTTCCATCATGCTCAGCAGAAAAGTTATGCCCTACAATGGCCTAAGAGTAGAATAAAAAAGGAGCACCATTGATAACTACATCAGAACAATACACATTAGTTGGAAATTTGGGCAAAGTGAGAAGTGAATTTCACCTATGTGGATTTGGATCTTATGACCTACTAGTTTTCCCTTGCTTACCCTACTACAGCTGCATGGTGCTTCTCACTGTTTCTTGAATACACCTAGGCATGCTTCAGCCTAGGCCCTTTTCACCACTATTCTCTTTGCCTTAAACATTCTTCTCCAAGAAACTCTGTCAGTCTGCTTCCTCACCTTTGAGTCCTTACCTTCCTCAGTGAAGTCAGGTGTCCCCTTGATCCACTATCTAAAACTACCACATAGCTAATCTGTATCCTTCTCCAGCTTTGTTTTTCTCTTTGGCCATTATTACTATCTAACAGGCTATATATTTTACTTATTCATTTTATTCATTTTCTTATTATCTGTGTTCCAACATAGGCACTCAAATATATACACTCCCTATAGGCAGGGATTTGGGAAAGGAGCTCCCTCAATAGACATTTACCTTTGAGTCTGACCGAGGGTGACCAGTTATTCAGTTCAAGTAGCCTCACTTCTCCAATATGGTCCATCTCACAAGAAACAAGACTTTCAGCATCTGGAATGTGGACTGGTTAGGTAAATAGAAAGAGCAAGGAAAACACTCAAGGGATAAGGATATACTTACTCATGACAGGAGAAAAGGAAGGTGAGAAAATCAAGAGAGAACCTTGGGGGCTGGCGTAGGAGAGAAGCCTCATAGAGAGGGAAATGGCTCTTAAGCTTGGCCTTGAAGAAAATGGAACTGGAAGGAATGAGGAGGAAGAAGAAATTTCTGAGCAGGGAGGAAAAGTTGGCAAAGCAGGAACAGAAATGATGACGGTATCTTAGTTTGGATTATCCCTCAAGCCGACCTGGGGGGAGGACAACTTATTTCCATGTAATTCCAGGAAGCACAAGTGGGGAAGGAGGGAAAATGACACAGAAAAGAGACAGAAACTAATCAAGTGTATGACAATGACTGGGTAACCGCTATGGGCACTGTAGCTCAATTTTCCTGGAGAATCTAACACATTCTATTAGCTTTCTATAGCTGCTATAACAAGTTACTACAAACTTAGCAGTGTAATTCAACAGAAATTTATTATCGTATAGTTTTGGAAGTCAGAAGTGCAAAAATGGGTCCAACAAAGCTAAAATCAAGGCATCAACAAAGCTGTGTTCCTTCAGGAACTTCTATGGGAAAAGCTGTTTCTTGGCCTTTTCCAACTTCTAGGGATTGCCCACATTCCTTGACTTGCTGCCCCTTCCTTAACAGCCTCACTCCACTTCCATCATTACATCTCTTTCTTATAAGTCCCCCTGTGATTACATTGAGACCACCAACATAATTCTCCCCATCTCAAAATTCTTAATTCAGTCACATCAGTCATCAAAGTCCCTTTTGATCTGTCAGGTAACTTAGTCACAGGTCTGCGGGTTAGCACGTGGGTATCTTTGGGTGACCATTGTTCTGCCTGCTTAGATACCATGTGGAAAACACTTCAGAACCATTCTCCCACCACTACAAGGATGGGAAACTTGGGGCACACGACTCTAATTTCTAGCCTGGACGATTGGTTGCAGGTTGCCCTGGGCTGTACCTGCATACAGCTGAGCAAATTCACAGATTTAGGAGACAGTCGCAGGCAGAGAAGAAGGCACCAGGGATGGGATGCTGCCAGTGGTCAGAAATTGTTCCAAGGGCAGGGCACCACTGTACCTGGTAGCCACGATGCAAACAGAGGTTAAATAGGGAGTATGTGTGGGGAAACCATAGGAATAGTATCGAACAGATAAGACTGGCACAGATGATGCAGTGCCCCAAAAGCCAAATAATTGATGCTAGGGAAACGTGAGTTTTTAAGAGAGGTGATGAAAGCAGTATTTTAGGGAGATTTATCTCACAGGAGAATACTGAGAGCCCAATACAAATAATGCTCTAATAATCCAGAGGTAAGATGATGAAATGCTATGACTCAAAGTATACACCCAAGAATTGAAAGGAAGCAGCAAAGACAAAAAAATAAATAAAGGTCTTGGTACTAAAAATAGGATTCAAGGAGAAAGAAAAATCAATCATAAGTTTTCTAACTTAAAACGCTGAAATAATAGTATCTATAGGGAGTTGAGAATGAAAATTATTCTGGAAGGATAGATTGGTTCAATTTCGGGTTCATTAAATTTGAGATAAAGTGATGATAGTGTATACCCAAATTGAGCTGTCAAGTCATAAAATTTTTCTAAATATCCCTCATCTACACATTTCTAATTAAATTAGAAATCTTATTCAAAACAACCAAGATCACTACCATTTTATTTCATGGGTAAATGGGAAAATATTGTAAGAATTCTCATTATTCCATTTCCATTAATATATTTCCAAGCAGCTCTCCAAATTCATCTATATCCCTTTTATTACACATTTAATAGGAAAGTAGACTTTCTTGAACCCAGAGTTTCAGACTTCTTGTTACAGTATTATTAAGATACTCTACAGACAAACAAGAAATGCAGAACTGTGTATTGAAAATTCTATTGGTCTTGGAGTTCAAACGTCTGGATCACAGCCTTACCTAGCCCTTACAGCACCTGACTGTGCAAACTTGGGTGAGTCACTCAAGTGATCTGAGTGTCTGTTTTATTGTTTGATACTGAGGGATAGGGAATGTACTACTTCTAATGTTTCTTCCAGCCCAAGAAGCCTCAGCTGTCAGCAGACAAACTGCCAAATTCATCACCAATTTGGTCAAATTCTAATCACTCTAATATCATACACATGTTATCTGAGTATATTATTCAATTGTCTATTTTTTAAAGCCAAAGTAAAAAGAGTTAAATGAATGCTGTGAATTGGAACTACCGCGAAGCAACCTGCATTAGTTTTATTAACAATATCTTACATTTGGTAGCACTTTATAGCAATCTTTTATATATTCTTCTCTTACTTTACCTTAAAAGCTAGTTTATATGCATGTTAATATTTGTCTCATTTTACAATTCAGAAAACTGAGACTCAGGCGATTGCCCAGGATTAAACAACCAGTGATAGAGTCTGAACTCAAACTCAGCACTGACACCAAGTCGAATAGTATTTTTATAACACTAAAATATTTCTCAATATGCCAGACATGTAATGTCTAAATATAATTTCAGACTTTAAGATAGAGATTTATTTTAACAAAGATAGTTTACTTACTGACAAAGAAGTCTTATATTTTGTAATTATGACTTGCTGTATTGTAGAGTACATAGCATTATATTTTTAAGAGTTTACATCATTTACGTATCTATCTGGAGAAGGAGACTCTCAGGATAGAAAACATGTTTATCTGTATCTACCATGTGGCCTGGCACAAAGTAGGTTCTAAAAAGCTTTGAGATATGAATATAGTGAGTTTAAATGGCATATCCATGGAGTATTTTATTTCTGTTTAATACTTATAATTGCTGTCTGCTGTCTTTATTGTATGAAAGATGTTAAAAGTTACCGTACATTTTCACAAGGTACTTATTTAAACTGTCATACAAAAAAAGCTGTAAGTCAGAGAATAGACAAATCCACAATAATAGGTGAAGTCTTTAAAAATACTCTCCTAGTAATTTATTGAATGAGACAAAAAAGATAAGAATATAAAAGATCTGAATCTATCAGTTTTACCTAACAACCTTTTTATTCATTCAACAACTACAAAATGCACATTTTTATCAAGTACACATAGAATGTTCACCAAGTTAGAAATCTGTTTGGCTACAAAGTAATTCCTAATAAGTTTTAAAAGACTGAAATTTATAGAGCATGCTCTCTATCACAAGATTTAACCAGAAATTGTGAATGAAAAGATGTCCACAGAAAATGAAATAGTATGTGAAGAGACATCTGCATTTTCATGTTATTGCAGCATTGTTCAGAATAGCCAGCATATGGACTCAACCCAAGTGTCCATCAGTGAATAAATTGATAAAGAAAAGGTGATATATATTCACAATGGAATACTATTCAGCCATAAAAAGAAGGAAATCTTGCCATTTTTTACAGAATGGCTGGAACATTTGGGGAGGGGATTTGGGAGGTTGGTCAAAGGACACAAAATTTCAATTAGTTAGGAGGAATAAGTTCAAAATATCTGTTATGCAACAGGGTGACCATAGTTAATAACAATATATTGTATTCTTAAAAATGCCAAGATAGTGCATATTAGGTATTCCCACCACAAAAGTGATAACTATATGAGGTAAAGCATATGTTAATTAGCTAGATTTAGTCATTCCAAAATGTGTACATATTTCAGAACATCATGCTGTACATGACAAATACATATATTTTATGTCAATTTTTTAAAAATATATACACACGTACACACGCACCTGGGGAATCCCCCATTTAGAATTTTAAAAAACAACTTATAAATAACCCATAAATAAAAAACAAATCACAGATGGAATAAGAAAATATGTTTAATTGAATGACAATTTAAAAAATTGTGTGTGTTTGTAAACTTGTGAATACTACTAAATCAGGGTTTAGAAAAAAACTGATAGATTTGTTTATTTTCTAAAGAGGAGAGGTTCAAAATCAATTATCTATGTGTCTCCCTACAGAAATTAGAAAACGATAAGCAAATTAAACCTGAATTAAGCAGAAAGAAAATAAGGGAGGACTCAGTGAAACAGGAAACAAACTATGGAGAAAATTCACGAAGCTAAATGTTAGCTCTTTGAATCTAAGACCTTTGAAAGATTAATGAGGAAGAAAAGAGAAAACACAACTTACCAATAATACAATGAAAGAGAGTTTTTCCCCAGCGCTCCTATAGATATTACAAATATAATGAGTATTATTTGCAATATTATGGCAGCAAATTTGAAGGCATTGAGATCAGAATGAAAGAAAGAAAACTGACTCAATTTGAAGATGATATAAAACTCTCAGGAGTTAAAACAGAAACTGCTAAAACTAACAAGTGAATTAATAACATTGTAAGATACAAGGTTAACATACAAAATATAATTACAGTCCTGTATACCAACAGCAAAGGTTTGGAAAATAAAATTTAAAACAATTTTTTAACACATGGTAAAAAAAACATTAAATATTTGAGAATAAATTTAACAAAATACACACAAAACCTCCACAAAAACTATTTCTGAAAGAAATTAAAGATCTAAATAAAAGGAGAAATATATACATGTTTATTGATTGAAAGACACAATATTGTTAGGATGTTAATTCTTCTTAAATTAATTTATAGATTTAATATAATCTCAATACTAACACAAGATAATTTTTTAATATACTTTGATAAGATGCTCCTAAAATTGATATGGAAATGCATAGCCAAAACAATCTTGTAAAAGAACAAATCTGGAGGACTTATGGGTCCTCACTTGGAGACTTATTACAAATCTATAGCAATGAAAATACTTTGATATTGGTACAAGGATAGGCAAATGGAGAATAAAGTCCAGAAAGAGACCCACACTTAGCCAATTGATTTTTGACAAAGGGACTAAAGCAATTAAATGGAGAAAGGAAAATCTTCTAACTGATGAAATATAAAGAAGTCTATATCATACGGAAAAAAAAACCCCTCAACTCTTACTCACACCATACATAAAAATCAATTTGAGATAGATCATAGACCTAACTGAAAATTCAAAAACATAAAGCTTTTAGAAGAGAAGATAGGATAATAGCATTACTACCTACCAGTAGGAAAAGATCTAGATTAGACACAGAAAATAATAAGAAAAAAGGAAAATATTGACATATTGGACTTCATCAAAATTAAATATCTGCTCATCAAAGGAAATTGTTAAGAAAATGAACAAGCAACCACCACTGGGAGAAAATATTCACAAAACATATATCTGATCATGGACCCATATCCAGAATATGTTAAGAATTCTTAGAATCCAAAGTTTTAAAAGACAACTCACTTTTTTTAAATGAGCAAAAATGTGAACACTTTACAAGGAAAGATGTACAATAGTCATTAAGCTCACAAAAGTGCTCAACATCATTAATTCATCATCAGAATATTACAACTAAAGTTACAATAAAATACCATTTATAGCCACTAGAATAACTAAAATTAAACAGACTGAAAATATCAAGTGATGCATATGATGCAGATACAATTTGAACTCTCATTCATTGCTGATGAGAATGTAAATGGTACAACCCCTTTGGACAAGTGTTCCTCAGTTTCCTGTAAAGTTAAATATTCACCCCTACTACAACTCAGCACTTCATTTCTGGGTATTTATTAAACAGAAATTTAAAAACATCTGTTCACACAAAGACTGGTACACAAATATTTACAAAGTTTCCTTCATTATAGCCTCCAAATGAAAAAAACTCAAATGTCCATTAACAGGAAAACAAATAAATTATAATATATTCACAAATGGAATACTATTCAGCAACAAAACAGAACTATTATAATAAAACATGAATAAATCTTACAGACATTGTGCTGTGCTAAAGGATTTGAATATGGTAGAGTACATATAGATGAAGTTCCAGAACAGGAAAAATTAATCCATGGCCAATAAAATCAGGAAAACAATAATTAAAGGAAAGGCAAGGGTATTGACTCAGAAGGGGCTTCAGGCAACTTTCTGAGATGATGAAACTACTCTCTATCTTGCAGATGTGTGTGCTTCACATCAATGAATGCATTTGCCTAAATTTGTTGTATTTTCCACTGAATTTTGTGCATACAAAATTTTGGTATATAATTTTACCTTCAAAAAATGTTGCAAACAAATATTGAACTCTTGTTTGGAGACTGGCTTTTCACGGTAGTGTGGGTTAGCAATTCTGAAACTATTTTCTAGGCATTCTAGTCTAGAAGGGTGTATTAGGGCTCCCAAGATAAACAGAACCAATAAGATGTATGTAGATATACAGACAATAGATGGATATAGATATAGACATAGACATAGATATAAAGATATAGATGTAGACGTGAATACAGAAAAAAGATAGAGCGATTTATTTTAAGGAGTTGGCTCACATGATGATGGGGGCTGGTAAGTCTAAAATCTACAGAGCAGGCTGGCAAGCTGGAGACCCAGGGAACCATTGATGCTGCAGTCCAGAATACAAAGGCAGTCTGAAAGTGGAATTCCCTTTTCCATGAGGGATCTCAGTCAGATGAGTCCCACCCACCACATGCAGAGTAATCTGCTTTACTCAAAGTCTACTGATTTAAATGTTAATCACACCTAAAATATCTTCACAGCAACATCTAGACTGTTGACCATATAACTGGTTACCATACTCTGGCCAAGTTGACATATAAAACTAACCATCACAAAGGGATTTACAACTATAAAAATGAAGAAGTTTTAAAATATATCCTGTGACACTGAATCGGAATTGGAGGTATCAGTATGAATGCATGGTTTCTACTGAATAGATACAGACATAAATATAGATACAGCTGCATGTACACCCACATTCACGCACACACATTTCCTACCTCTGTTTGCTGACAAAGCCTAGGAACAAGGACAGGCCAGTAGTAGTAACCATACCTAGCACGGAGATTTTAGTTTCTAAATACCATTTTACACTAAACGGCATCGAGGCTCCCTAGAGAAAAGGCTGATTCTAGGTCTGGGACAAGGAGGGCATAAATGAGCCTAGAATATCTGACTTACAGTACAAGAAAGTACTCAAAAAGTTGTGTAGACAACAAAAGGACACAGAGAACAGTGTGAAGAGGCTCCTACCAGACAATGAAAAAATTCTGGAACAATGAATAAATAAATGGAGGAGAAGAAAACATCCTTTGAGTAGTGGAATGCTACTCTAATACATGTAGAAGTAACAAGGAGAAACACATCCATGAATGCTAAAATCAGTGAATGAAAATTTTAAGGAGCATCATTTACATGTTATCAGTGTATCTCCCCACAAGTTACTTGTTAAATCAAAAGGAAAATTATTTTACAATGGAGAGACCTGGCTGACATAACCTTAATGATAAGCAGTTTTGGACCAAGCCAACATCACATGATTCCTGACATGATGCACTCAGAAGGACACGAATCATTGCTGTGGTATTTCTGCTGAAAATGGATAGCTTTAATATAATCATGAAAAACTGTCCCACAAATCCAAATTGAAGGTCATACTACAAAACAGCTAGTCCATAATCTTTAAAAAATACCAGTCAAAACGGTCAAAAACGACTCACAAACTGTTCTAGCTTAAAGCTGGCTAAAAACCGAAGGCAATGCATGATTGAATTGCTTCATTACTAATTTACTATTAGGTGGATCCCGGATCAGGGAAAAAAAATAGCTATAAAGGAAATTATTGGGACAACTGATAGAATTTAAATATGGGCTGTGTACTAGATAATACTAATGCACCAATGAAAAAGCACATGGTTTCAATAATTATACAATGGTAAGGTAAGAAAATCCTCTAATTTTAGCAAGTATACTAGAAGAATTATTGTAAAAGGGTACCATATCTCCAGCTTATCCTAAAATGATTAGGAAAATAAACTATGATCACATACATAAATATATGTGTAAATATAAATATTAAAAATACAAATAAATTATACATGTATATTATAAACATAACTTATGAATTTATAAATTCATAATTACAAATTTAAATTATATATATTCATATAAATTTTACAAATACATATAAATATAAATGATAAAGCAAATGAAATAAATGTAAACAATTGGCAAACATAGATTAAAGAATATCCAGGGTACTTTTACTGTTCTAGCAACTTTTCCTTAAATTTACATATAAAACTAAAAACAAATCAAATAAAAACTCTAAAACTACCAAAAAAAAGCCTGCAGAATATTTTTAAATGAGTATGAAGTTTCTTATGCACAGAAAAATACCACAAAAAAGGTGCTCAATATATATTTATTAAAGGTTGAATGAATAAAACTGTCTTCTTACAAATATAAAAGCTTTTTGTAAGTTAGGAAAAAACTGTGAAACAGTAAAGGTTTTATTAAGAATTCGAGATCCAATCTTTATAATTCATACCACATTTTTCAGTCCCCAGATAATCATATCACAATGCACACCATGCAAATATTTTTACTTGATTGGACAAATTCGAGCACAAAGATAAACAAGAAGTCAATTTATCCCCAAAATCATTTTGGCTTTTCTTCCCAGTGGATTTAAAGATAGGTTAAAAGGCTAACCATGCAGTCACTTTCTACTTCAACCTGTACGTAACAAATTAGCTCTCAACTCTTTAACTCTCATGGGGCATGCAACTTTTCTTTTGTGTAAAATATTGAACATCTATTTGATAAGGTTTCGGGATGCCTTTCAGAACAGGATGACATAACATATTTTCTGTTTCCCATATGATCCATCCGTCATTTTTACTGCTTGATGCAGCATGTCACTAAATTTGTAAGAAATCCATTTCACAATTACACCATCCAGACCACTTGGGTCAGAGTAAAAATCTCTCTTCATGAAGGTTTATAAGTTGTTAAAAATGAATATCTGAGAATTTGAATAATGATGTACAGTAATTTTTATTACAATTTGATCACTATAAACACTAGAAAAAGTTTATTAAAATCATCTTATTTATATTTTGAAGGAATGATAACAGAAAAACAAAAATATTATTTAGTGAGAAAAACATTCTTCCAATATCCGCAAAGCTATCAAGATTTTAATAAACAACTGGTAAGCCTATTTCTATACAAATCTAGGCAATTGTTATTGTAATCCACATTTGAGAGCAAAACAAATATTGAAACTATGGCTCTGTTTAAGGAAGGAAGCAATGTGAGAGATGCTGGCAATAGTTATCAATGGTTTATTATATGCTAGGGACTACATTCAATATGAATATGCAGATAAGAAGACCCTATCACAGTAGGCAAGCAGGAAATACTATAAGGAACATTGGAAGAAACCTCACCTCACTTGAGGTGGCACACCTCAATAATTCAGTGAAGGTGTCCAATAGGAGCTAATTATGCCTAAGCTGAGTTCTGAAGGCTCAGTGAAATCTATCCAGATAAAGAAAGCAAGAGAATGTATTTCCCGGGAAGGGAGCAGCAAAAATGAAGGCAACGGGGTAGGCAAAGACATACATGCTTGGAAAACTGCAAGGAGTTCGATAAGCCTGGAGCAAAAGTTGACAGCGAGTGTAATGACAAATCAGACTGAGTAGTTGATCATGGACTTGGGTATAAAAAGGCTAGAATGCCATGGCAAGACAGCATGGATTTTGGATTACATCCAAACAACTATGGAAAACCAATAGGGAAATTTTAACTGAGGGGGTGACATAATCTTTTTTTTAAGAGAACATTTATTCCAATGGATTTTAAGTGCAGTCAGACAGTCATCAATTCAATGTAGATATCTCGAAGGCCTGATTAAGCTGATGATTGAGGAGAATAACATGGAAAAGCACTTCTTTTTCCTTCTCTCCACATTTCCCATCAACAACACATAAAATACAAACACCACCAAAAAAGTATGGAAGGTGGCTTCAGACCTCCTCTCCACCACTTCACCAACCCACCTGCTCACTCTGCTCCCAGGAGGAGAACTGATTGACCCAATGGACAGCACAGGGGAAAGGAAACGGCTCCACTGTGCAGGCTTTGCCTCTAGTTGCCTTTGAGAACAGACCCGCATGAAGGAGGGGTCATTGCCCTTCTCCACTGGAGTCCATCACACACTAACAAACCCGTGTCAGAGTCCAGGGACTGCCTTTCAGAGGCAAGTCAGCAGGCCCATGTCTACTTAGAGATCCCTGTTTTCAGGATTTCTCCTCAGGTGTGTAAGTTGAGTTTCTGTTCCCTGTGCTGTCTGCTACATAGTGTAGGCTGTACCATGGTTTCCCCAGATGAATCCTGAGATTCAAACCTGGGTAAAGCAGTGGGAAGCCTCATTTTGACCATCAATTCAGGCTTCATTTTCCAACCCAGTTTTAGCAATAATAAAGGTAATAATCTTTACCAGACTTCCACGTCTAATTCTGGTTTAGTATTCAGAATCAGAATTTCCAACAATAGGGAGAGGAAGATAGAGTTCATAGAACTATAGATGAGTATAAGGTGGAGATAAAGAAAAGGATAAGAGAGTCAAAGGTGGCCCCTGCATACAACACTTTGTCAACAGCTTCTCCACCATAGTCACGGAGAGCTGAAATTCAGAGAAGAAGCAGTGATTCATCTAGCTTGGAAAAGAAATTTTTTTCTAATATGCCATCCTTGGTCTCAGTGTATTCAGGCAGAAATGCCTTGGCAGGACATTCGAGGAAAGGAGGAATGCCAGAATATACATCTTCAGCCCACAGCACTAAGAGGAGGCAAGCAGAGGGGAAACAGTTTTATTAACACCACATAGTTACTGCCTTCCTTGCAGGTAGGCTGAGACCTGAGACCTCAAATTAGGGACTCGACCAGCAGTGATTCACATTTCTGAGAAAAGTGCTGTAAGACATTAAGTGACATTCAAAACAAATTTGTTATTTCAGGTAAAATTAAATAAGTGTCACTGACATCTCACATTATGCCTCTATGCGTAATGCATTCTATTTTTCCTTTCTCTACGTTAGGATTTGAAATCTAAGCAGAGCCAAAATCCAATACTCCATCATCCATTGACTAACATATTTTCCAGCTCCTTCTAGGCCTGTTTTCTCATGTTGTGAAATCTAAAACTATCCAAAGAAAATGTGTGCTGTGGATTGACAAATTTCTCAGATAACTTGCCACTTCATTATTTTTTGGTGTATAATAACATTGAGAATTAGAACAGATGTTTTAATATATGAACTGAAATCAATATAGCATTTTGGTAGAGTATGGAATTTCATGTTATCCTAATACATCCTCGGGGATCAAGCTTTTTAAAAAATTAATGCTTGAAGAACTGAGTAAAAACAATAAATTCATGTCTTTAATATATTAAATATTAATAAACAGTACTACACAAAAATTTGATTGCAATATTGACTGAAAGACATTAACGTGTTACATCCTACTGCTTTATAGCCTGGAATATCATTAATTTAAGAAGAACTTATTCAAATTAGTTCTTGCTACTATGAACATAAAGAAATGTTTTACATAGTCTATTTTTTACATAAATGAACACTTTGTTTTGTCTTTCCCAGGAGAGTAGGCATAAAGAGTGATGTGTTTCCACTTGGCAGTATTTCTTTTTTTTTTTTTTCAAAGGAACATTGGCTCACTTGATACACAGCCCTCAAACAATATTTGTTGAATAAATGAATGAATGAATGATGATCACATGTGATCCTGATTCATCGATACAGAGAGGAAGAGAGGCAGTTTAGGCAAAAAAGGTAAAATAAAATTTATTTTTAATGAACAAAAATCCTACTATTTAAAAAGGGAAAGTGAAAAGTAGAAAACCAGAAAAGAGTATCACTCAAGAGCTATTTTTTAATTTGGCTACACTCCACAACGACCCACCCGCCCCCTGCCCTGCCCACACACACACACAAACAGAGGCTACCCCGTCTATATCACCCCTCAGATAAAGCTAAAGGTGGGTCATAAGGAAAACTCTGGAAGCATAAAGAGCAGGAAATTTTTATCAGTGCTTTTTTTCCATTCCATAATACATTGTCCTAGTTATTGCTCTTTATTTCAAAGAAAAATAATTGTCAATCAAGAGCCCTTGGTATTCAGGAAAGCGGTGTTTGTAGAACACACTCAAGCTACTCAGAGTAAAACATAAGTTGGGAATCTGGAAAACACACATTTTCTAAATTCCTAATAATATATTCATATGGAAAACTTACTTTCACATTAATAATACTCTAACCCAATTGACTCCACTAAGAAACAGAGACTACCAGGTTTATAATTTGGATAAATAGTAAGCTACTTGTATCAAATTTACAGAAGTTCGACATCATAGATGCTTCAGAAAATTTCTCACATTTGGAATGGTAGACTAAAAAGGCTATACTTGCTCTTAGCCGTACTATAACTCAAAAGAAATCCTGCACTAGGCTTGGTTAACACAGTGTTCCATCCAAAAAAAAAAAAAAAAAATTCCTCGAACAGAACAAATAATCTCATTAATAAGGCAAATAACCACAAACAGGCAAATAATCTCATAAGTAAGTTATCAATAATATTCTGGTTGCCTGAATCACATTTGCAATGGTTTAAATTTATCATTAAAGAATGGAATTGACATTGAAACGTAAAACATATAGATAAAATTAATAAATATTGTATCATCATGTATCTTGCTAATAGTTGGTTAGTAAGTAGGACAAAGTTCTTAAAAGACATCTACTAAGTTTTGATAGTTTCTTAAAAGACATCTACTAAGTTTTGATAGTGATTATGCCTGTATACTTGGATTAGAAGTGATATCTTTTTTGCTTGTCTGCCTCATTCAAATTTATTTTTATAATACAAAATTAAAAAAATTATATTCATGTTCATGATATATGGTAATCACTTGCTAATTGAGGATAAAAAAATAGATTCACTTTCCTTTTAATTTCCAAAAAAAAAAAAAAAAAGAGGCTTATGGCTGCTTACTCCTGTGTCTACTACAAGAAGTCTGAACTCTGGAAATTCCTGTCAGCCCCTCATTTACTGCCAACTTTAGCAACTGCTTTTGTTCATTTTGATAACTCAGCTGCCTCTTTATTCCCTACAGATCAATGGTGAAGCTCAACTACATGAATCATAGCCACTTACCACATTTTATTAATTTAGTTGAACTTGGTATTTCTTAGTTGCGGGTTTCATTCAACTTTTAATTTTCTGTGTATAACAGAAGTAGCAACTCATTGAGGATGTACAGCTCCAACTTTTCTCCTACTGACTTTCTGCTCCTTTTGGAAAATCCCATCTGCAGAAGAAAACAGCAATTTGACAATTTGATTGAATGTGCTCCTGCATGTAACCTAGAAGGGACTTTAGGGATAAACTCCGGATTATAGTTCATGGTGGTAATTTTGTCAGCTTTCATGCTTATAAAAGTACGACATTATTTTCTTAATTAGTAATTTCAAACAGTTTTCATGTGTTGAGTTTAATGGTTCCCTCACTGTCAACACCAGGATGTTGAAGCAAGATCAGTTTCCTTTTGCTCCTTTCTTCTCCTCTCCTATCCCCTTATAATATCCAATAACTAATCAAAGTAGTTAGGCCTGTGTTATTCCAAGGAAAGTCTTCCAACTCTGTCTAACTACTCTTTCCACAGCTGGATGAAGCTAGCCATGTAGGTAACAAGTTTATATTTTCCAGTACATCTTTATTTCCACACAGACAACCACCCTTCTCTGTGGATGTGAGTCTGAGGTGGGATTTCCCTATCATCTCTGTGAAAGAGTAATGAGAGAAGCTGAGGCTCAGGAAAATGAAGCAACTTGGCAAGACGTCCCAGGTTCACTCTCTTCAGCCATGACCATCCCCACTGGGGACTGACAGCTGACGACTCTTTATGGGCAGTAGCTTCCGGAGTGAGTCCTGCGTTCCTGAATGTCCAACGAACAAGGTCATAAGGAAGATGGTGGAGCTGGAATTAACCTGGGAGTGTACTTACTTCAGGTCTCCTTCTTCCATTTAATTGGCTGAGCACTAAACTCATTCCAGCCAATAATCAACCACCACACAAGTTCTAGGGCTTCATGACCAGAAATGAACACCCACTAGAACAAGAAAACAGAGGTTTCCCTCAGCCTCTCTTACTTCCTTTTTAAATATCAAGATAATTCATGTGTGCCCGGTGAGATGGCTCACGCCTGTAATCCCAACACTTTAGGAGGCCGAGGCGGGAGAACTGCTTGAGGCCAGGAGTTGAATACCAGCATGGGCAGCATAGTGAGACCCCTTTTCTACATACACACACAAATGGCAGGAAGATCCCTTGAACCAGGAGTTCCAGGACTGCAGTGAGCTATGATCATGCCACTGGACTCTAGACTGGGCAAGAGAGTGGACTTTGTCTCAAAATAAGAATAAGAATAAGAATTCATGTGCTTAGCTTTAAAAGATAGTACTACAAAACTTATAATGAAAAAAAAAAAGAGTCCTTTCTACCATACCCACCCTTTTAGGGCTTCCTCCAGAGGAAACCAATTTCAACTCCTTTTAGCTGTTTCTTCTGGTATCTGTCTCTATATTTCTAAAGACAGACATACATATCTACTTTTGACTTGACAGTTTCAAACATTATTGATCAGTTTCCTCCTATGAAGGATGGAGATTTACCTGTTTTGTATTCCCACAAACTTGCTCTCTCACTCCTCTTCTACCACCCCCCTCTCAATATCACTCCTCTCAATATCACAAATGTCAAAGCAATGGTCATAGCTCACATTAATAGGACTTAAATCTTATCCACAACTGATTCACATCATGTACTAAAATTTTGTTCCTCTTAGAATTGCCAATTTTTGCATTTTTCTTGTTTTCTAAACACCTAACACTAATTCTTACCCACGTTATTTTAAAGGACTAGTAAAAAAAAAAAAAGCTCCTTTAATACAATCAAACATCCTAATCAAAAGGTTCCAACTTCTCTTTCTTTGCTGCATGGCTCCAGGAGCACTCCCTAACCTGCTCCAGCCTGTTGTCAGCTATACCTGCTGCTCAGCTGGCCAATGGTATTTCTCTTTATCCACATCCTGGAGATTTCTTCTCTCCTGCTGGACTCTATTTTCTGGACCCCAGGTCATCCTCATTCATGGCTTCTCCCTCTTTCTGTTGCAGCAGATCAACTGTTCACTTCATGAGATAAGAGTGCTTTTAAGAGACATAACATTTTTTAGAATTCCCATGTCTCAAATTGTCTTATTATAGCTGCAATGTATGATGTATAATTTGGCTGGATGTATAATTCTAGGTTGAAAAGTTAATTTCCATGGTCAATTTGCTCCTTTGTCCACCAGTTAGTATTGTTGCCCTTGAAAAATCTGTCATCCTGATCTCTGTCCCTTTGTGTATATCCTCTGCTTTGGTTCTCTTTGGAAGATTTTAGGGTTGTCTTCTTCTTGGTATTCTGGACTCTTGCAATGATGAGGCTTAGCGTGACTCATTTCTCATTTATGTGCTGGATACCTGGCCAAACCTTTCAGTCTAGAAACTGATAACTTCAGTTATAGAACATTTTCTGGCATTGTGTTGCTATTTTTCTTCTCTCCATAGTCACTATCCTTTCGAAACTAAGATTAGCTAGATGTCAGATCTTCGAGCTTGACTGTCTACCTCTTGTATCCTTTATCCTTTTGCTTATATTGTATCTCTTTATTTACTTGTTTAGTTATGAGGAAATTGCATTAATATCTTCCAAACTTTACTAACATTTTTATTCCTGCTCTAGTATTTTTCATCCCCAGGAGTTCTTTTATTCTGCAATGCTTTCCTTCTGCTTTTAAAGTATTCTAGGATAACTTTTCCCAAATCTGTCTGAAGATGATTTTGTTTTACTTTTTTTTCTTTTGTCCTCCTGACTGTGCTGTTTTTCCCTCTACTCCAAATTCTCAAAGGACTTAAAAGCTAGCATTCAGTAAACAACTTATTTTTTTCTCAGGAAAATATGTAAGTGATCATACAGCTGAGGAGACATGGGTTATTAAATATTTTGTATTAATGATTACTCTGACAATTTAGTATCAAAATAAGCTCTTATTTATGCCCTAATCAACAGCACAAATATGAATAAATGCTAGCACAGAAAATCAGAAATTCCTGACAACTATTTAATCAATAGTTACTTGCTCCTTGTCGGACATCAGTGAATGAGTGAAAGCATCACAGTGACCAGTCCTCAGTCAGACAGATTCTCTTCCTTCACAATTAGCCCAACATAAACAAACAAGTTAACACTTGTGTACATATTACATATTGTTTATTATTTACTTTACCTTGAATAACCTCAAGAAAATCCAAAATGAGGTTAAGTGATGCAGTAGGGTTTTGGGGTTTGGTTTTTGGTTTTCCTTATAAAAGTAAAGATTAGAGGTTGTGAAACAGCTTTTTTCCGAAGAAGAGGAAATGAAACATGTTGATAAATTCTTAGGAATTTAGGGACCAGGAAGTGTATTTTACAACAAGTATCTTAAACATATTCCCATGCTTAAAATCTACCTCTCTGGCAATTTCCCTGATAGCTGAAGAGGATATGCTAGTTCATTTTTCCATTTATAAGAACTTAAAAAAAAAAACAATGTTTTAAGGATGAATTATCCCTTGTAGCAGCTCCGCTTTCTCATGGAATGTGATCTGTTCACTGAAAACAGGCTACAGAATGAAAAAGCAAAGACAATTCACAAGGAAACAATGAACAAAATGAAAACAAGGTAAAACTTAAGGCACACATTGGAGCATATTTTCTTTCTCTCTCTTTTTTTTTTTATTATTTTACCACTCACTTCTATTTAAGCATGTAAACGTTGTCAGGAAGGTTTTATTCCCATAAACATGACCCTGTCCTTAGTTTACCTTGTGTCTTATAGTGCCTCAGTTTTGCTATTACATAGCCTAAGGAAACATTTTAGAAACATTATATCATTTATAAAATCCAGAATACTTATTAACTTCAAATGAAAGCAATGATTTCTTAAAATACAAAAAGCTAAAGAATAAAAAATAAACAACTTTTTTTAAATTCTATGATTTCTATCTGCAGAAAAGGGTGTAACAGAATTGTTAATCAAAACTATAATATATAATCCCATAGTGGGATGTTTCTCCAGTTTGTAGTTAATGATTTAAAAATGCACACTAAATTCTAAATCTGTGCCTATAAGGCTTTCATGAAAATTTGTAGGTTATTTTCATATAATAAAGAACATAAAAACTCCATTAACCTGATCATTAAGATAACGCAATTGATTAATAGTGGAAGAGAAATCCAGTAGCATATACAGGAAACAGGGGCAGTGGTACCTCTAAATAAACTCACAGCACAATTAAAACCCAATTTCACAACCTATTTCTAAGAAAGTCTATTTCTAATAGTCAAAATATTCATGGATTCAGTTAACAAACATTTATTTGCTACTCACTATATGTCAGCCATGCGCATGGGTGTTGGCAGCATGGACATAAACAAGACAAATTCCATTTCTCCTGAAAGTCCTCACTTGACTACTAGAGATTTCCTGCAAATGACCATCAGAGGAGGGTCAATCTGCAGTATCTTCCACTTCCAACCCCCAATAAGAGCCACTGGATAGCCAGACAATCTGATATCGCACCACTTTGGCTTCTGTTCTGTCACCTACTTGCCTTCCATGATTAATTAGCAATCAAATCATCAAGTCATGCTTACCTCTTTCCTCTTAGGGAAGGGTCAGTTTAATTGTGGATGCCCAGACACAAGCTCAACCTTCCAAAACACTTTCAAAAAGACGCATCAATGTGCAATTTAAGGACCTGATTAAGTATCTTCTCCAGCTTTAGTATGTTGATATTGTTTTCATCTGTGGCTTATTTGAAGTCTCCAGTGTTAGACTTGACCTTTTACTTTTTTTTTTTTTTTTTTTTTTGAGATGGAGTCTCACTCTGTCACCCAGGCTGGAGTGCAGTGGCACAATCTCAGCTCACTGCAACCTCCACCTCCCAGGTTCAAGCGGTTCTCCTGCCTAAGCCTCCTGAGTAGCTGGGACTATAGGCACCTGCCACCACTCCCGGCTAATTTTAGTATTTTTAGTACAGATGGGTTTCACCATATTGGCCAGGCTGGTCTCGAACTCCTGACCTTGTGATCCGCCCGCCTCAGCCTCCCAAAGTGCTGGGATTACAGATGTGAGCCACCGTGCCCGGCCTGACCTTTTACTTTCTGGCCTACCCTGTTGGTGTCAGACTGCTCCCTTCTCAGCCAATCCATACTAGTGTTTCCATGAGTTAAACTGCAATGAGGAAACAGCTGCTGAGACAGTGGAAATCAACCCTGGAGAACAGGCTGGCAGGAATAAAGGTGCAGATGTGGGAAAATACCTGGGAAGCCCAGGCTCAATAATGAAAAACAGGACTGAAGAGGAGAGGCCAAACAGGTAGGGTAGATCTATTTTCCAAGTTGAAAATAAGGATATTATAGTCCTTTTGAATTTGGGGAGCTATTTAAAGTGTTTTGACAAAAGCAGTGACGTGCTTGGAGCTATTAACAATTTTTCAAGTTCAGTATATCTTCAACCTGATGTACACTTTCCCAATCCATCCCCGTATTCTTACTCCTTTCCTTATCTAACTTGGATCTGATGGCTTTCTTTTTTAACTATTTTCTCCAGTACCTCCAATCCCCCTAACAGCTCACTCTCACTGAGCTGACTCACCTGTTTCCAGCTCTGGGTCTTACCAGCATCAAGCTCTGGCTGCCCTTGCCCATACACAGCCGAGCCTTCCTGGAGAAAGTCACCCAGCTGTCCTGGTTGGTACCATTTCAAAGTTACAGTTGCTAACACAAATGAGGCCTTTGAAACTGCTAGACAATTCTATTTATTCTTTGTCAGCTTCTTTTCTCTGCTCCTCTAGATGCCATCCCAAACCTCTACCACTGTCCTCAAGCCTCTGATTTAACCCCAGGCTCTTTTGAAATCACTTTTAACTTCTCTGCAAATTTATTTAATCTCTATTTATCTTTATATCCTACCCTTCTATTTTAACCTATTAGTAAGCAGTGACAAGCATGTATCCAAACCAACCTGGACTTTTTATTCATAGCTCCGAATTCCTGGCTTTCAGACTCTCAGTTTCTTCGTTTATAAAATGGAAATATTAATTAGCTAATGCCATTGAAATAAAGATTAAATAAAATATGTACAAATTGCTAGCATAGTCCCTACTGTTGAATCTCTTGGAAAATCACAGAGAACAGGGCAGACCCAGGCCTGGCCCATTTTGTGTTATAACATAGCAAGAAAAATAAACAATAAAAATGATACAGAAAAGGTAAAGAAAGACTGCCATAAGAGCATTTCACAGAGAAACTAAAGCTAGGTCAGGGGATCAAGGAGGAACTTCCTGAGAAAGTGACATAACCTGGAACTTTAAAGGATAAGCTAGAGTTAGAAGGGCTTATTGAGGCGACAGACTCCCAAGGGCAGCCAGAGAAAGTGCTGCAGGCAGGTGGACCAGCATGTGTGCTAAGTCCTGAATCAGAAGCATAGCAAGGAAGTGAGAGTGCACTTCAGTGTGGGGTTGCAGGGGTTGGGGAAACATGAGCAAGGGCCAGATCATGCAGTGACTTAGAAGCCATGTTAAAAATGGGGGACACTATCCTAAAGTAATGGCAACTGCTGGAAAGTTTTAGCACAGAGATGACATTATCAAATTTACATTTTTTAAATATGCTTACTAAATCATGGTTCTCTAAGCCCACCTCCTTCCAAAACTAATGTACTTACCTCTCATGTTTATTATGGCTATGTCTTCCAAGACTAATAAATTGGAAATTTTAAAATACACCATTTGAAAATTAATATATGGATGAGTTAATAAAGTTCAGTTGTCTTAGTTTGGGCTGCTAGAGCAAAGTACCATAAACTGGGTGACTTACAAACCACAGAAATGTCCTCACAGTTCTGGAGGCTGAAAGCTCAAGAGCAGAGGACCAGCATGATCAGGTTCTACTAAGGACTCTTGACTGGGTTGCAGATGGGCCAACTTCTAACTGTGTTCCCATGTGAACTAACTCTCTGGCCTCTTCTCATAAGGGCACTCATCCTATTCATGAGGGTTCCACCCCATGACTTAATTAACTCCAAAATGCCCACCGCCAAACACCATCACATTGGGGATTGGATTTCAACATATGAATTTTGAAAGGAGACAAACATTCAGTCCATTGCAACCATTAAAGTCCAGGTAACACATCTGAAAAGGGAAATAGGTTGTTACCATTTTAAATGTCATGTAAATGAAGTAAGTTACTGGATACTTTTGTTCAGGAACTTACTACACCCTGTATTTCACCTGTGTTCCGGTACTTACTACACCCTAAAATCAGCTTATGATGTCTTACTTATACCTAATCAGAGGTATAAATAATCATAATCTTTCTTCTCTACTATTTATTGGGTTCTAACGTCTCTTTTTATCACTAAACTACCAGGTAGGACCTTTACACTTATGAAGCACAGACCCCAAATCATAGTAGGACTGACTGTTGTCATTAATTCTCAGCTCAAATATAATGGAGAAAGGCCCTCCTCCACCATACTACCAAAACAGCACCCTCTCTATTATCATCCAGTTACAGATAATTCTTTACAGCAATCAGTACAATTTCAAATGAACTGTATTGTTTACATTTCATTGTCTGGGTTGCGCTGGGATAGTACAAACTCCATAAGATCACAAACCTTATCATCTTTTTCTCTGCAGTATCCCCAACACAAAGTAAGTGACTCAATGAATGTTTGTTGAATTAATTAATGTAACTCCATTTACAATTATATATCCCTCAGTTTTTATTTAATCATCAAAAATATTCTGTGCTATGATATTTTTATCTTCAATTTCAAAGAGATAAAAATTGGTAAAGAATGAAAACCAGATTTGAAAAAAAAATTACTTCTCTAATACTTCTATTCATAAACAACCTAAATATTATCTAATATAAGCAAACATTTCATTAATCCAGTCCTGCTAGCCTCTATGACATTAACGAATTTAACTTTATTTCAAATGAATGTGTGGGATAGATACTTGTGATAGGCAATAATAAAAAGTAAATTTCAAAAAAAGCAACTCTATTTTTAATTTTTATGGTTATTTGCACATTTTGAAATATAAAATTCGAAACTTTTTAGCAATTCTATTGATTTACTTAACAGTAAGTCCATCTATTTTCTCAATTCTTGTGAATTATTTCTCATTAACAATCAAAAAACACATCAACAAATATTTTTATATAATTAAAATATACATTCAAATATTTTTTGGTTAATATGTGTGTATTTATTTATACTTTCATAGAGAAGGGAGTTCTTACTATTTTAAAGATACCACACTGAATTCTAGACATGTGCAGCCATGCAAAATGAAAGTCAAATGAATCCCATTACATTCTTATTGGTGTTTTCATGCCTCTATCTGTCTTTCAGAACATAAAAGTCATCCACTTTATACTCTGTAAATGTATGTGCCCTTTATATTCCTGAAAATTACAGACAGCAGGAATAATAAATAAATGCCATCCTTGTTTTTTCTATCTTTTCTAAAACCCATTTACCAAATGAAATCGTCTAATTCAATTCCAAAAATAGTTAAATTTTTAGATCTTTAATTAGTTGCGTAAGTTGTATATCCAGGAAAACTTGTGGAAGTCCTTTTTCATGTCATTCAATGACTTTGATAAGGAAACAATGATAAATATTTCCAAAAAATACCAAATACCCACCCTCCACTACATAGTTACCCTTTTAAAATAATTATGTGCTGACAAGTTGCTATAAATCAGTTCTTGGGTATCTTTTTAATCTAATCAAGTCCTTTGACACATTGGTAAATAAAGTTAAAATTAATTTTTTGTTTGTATTATAGGCAGGAAACAAATATTTGTATCTAGGCAACAACAATGTAAGTTAGATTTGTTTTGTAAGGTAAAGTCAAGCAGTGGCAGTGCAAAAATTGTACTTCTTTCTCAACTGTAGCAGGATGTTACCATCTTGAAGACTGGCACCAGCTAGAAACCAAAAACCAAGAGATTTTGCTGTTTGCTCCTGCTGAATGCAGCCATTTCATTTCTATTAAATTCTATGTTTTGGACTGAGATATACTGGATATTTGGTTTTTGGGGTTTGTTTTTGTTTTTGTTTTTGTTTTTGAGATGGAGTTTTGCTCTTGTTGCCCAGGCTGGAGTGCAGTGGCACCATCTTGGCTCACTGAAACCTCTGCCCCCTGGGTTTAAGCCATTCTCCTGCCTCAGCCTCCCTAGCAGGTGGGATTACAGGCGCCTTCCACCAGGCCCGGCTAATTTTTTGTATTTTTAGTAGAGACAGGGTTTCACCATGTTGGCCAGGCTGGTCTCGAACTCCTGACCTCAGGTGATCAGCCCACCTCGGCCTCTCAAAGTCCTGGGATTACAGGCATGCCACTATATACTAGATATTTAAAGTAGCTATTGTGTGTTGGCCTTTTCCCACTAATCCACACCTTAACCGCAAAGAGACATATATCAGAATATAATCTTATAGGCCGGGCGCGGTGGCTAACGCCTGTAATCCCAGCACTTTGGGAGGCCGAGGCAGGCGGATCATGAGGTCAGGAGATCGAGGCCATCCTGGCTAACAAGGTGAAACCCCGTCTCTACTAAAAATACAAAAAATTAGCCTGGCGTGGTGGCGGACGCCTGTAGTCCCAGCTACTCAGGAGGCTGAGGCAGGAGAATGGCGTGAACCCGGGAGGCAGAGCTTGCAGTGAGCCGAGATCACGCCACTGCACTCCAGCCTGGGTGACAGAGCGAGACTCCATCTCAAAAAAAAAAAAAAAAAAAAGAATATAATCTTATAATTGGAAGATAAATGAAACACTTTGATTTTGATAATAATAACTGTAGAAATTAAAGTGAAATCTTCTTGGCCTCTTGGAAAAATATTAGAAAATGGGAGCACAAAGTAGGGCTTGCACCTTCTACATTCACGAGGAGGAAGCATGAGTTCCAAAAGTTGAGAAGCACTGAGCTAGAGAATGCGCGTGCCATGAACTGCCCCAGTGAGCATACAGTTATGATGTGAGGGACCAAAAGAACAGATAGTCAGTGTGGATGGAGTGGAGGAAACAGATAGAGGCTGGAGATTTGGGTGGAGGTCAGATTACTAGGACATTCTTGGTCATAATAAGGAATTTAGATTTTATTCCAACTAGAGGGGAAAGTCATTAGTGTTAATTGCACATGATTATAGTGGATTAAAACGAGATAGAAAGTGTTGAAAGAAATAATAAAAAGCATTCCCTGACCAGAGAAATCATTTTTATAAAGTGAAAGAGATCTAGAACACAATAGCAAAAAAAAAAAAAAATCCAATTAGAAAGTGGGCAAAGTATGTGAATATACATTTTCTCAAGAGAAGAAAAATAAATGGCCAACATACCTAAGTAAATATGTTCAAAATCACTAATCATAAGGGAAATGCAAATCAAAACCACAATGAGATATTATCTGACATCTGGTAGAATGTTTTTCTATTAAAAATATACTGTATATAATAATTTTAAGTGTTAGCAAGAATTGGAGAAATTAGAACCCCTCTGCTCTGTTGGTGGGAATGTAAAATGGTGCAGCCACTATGGAGAACAATATGAAGGTTCCTCAAAATGACTACAATTTAAAATGTGAAAAACTATTTTTAAAAAACATGATCTAGTAATCCCATTTTGGGTACTTATTCAAAAAATATTTAAATCAGAATCGCAAAGAGATATTTGCACTTACATGTTCACTGGAATGTTATTTGCAATCCAAGATATAGAAACAACCTAAATTTCAACAATGGATGAATAGATAAGGAAAATGTGGCATTTACACATGATGGAATGTTATTTAGCCTTAAATAAGAAGGGAATCCTGTTATATGTGACAACATGGATGAACCTTGAGGACATTAAGCAAAATAAGCCAATCACAGAAGGACAAATACTGTATGGCCCCACTTATACTAGGTAACTAATGTAATCAAATACACAGAAACCAGAGAGTTGGTTGGTAGTTGTCAGGGGCTGGAGCCAGAGGGGATAGGGGAAATGTTTGCCAAAAGACAGAGAATTTCAGTTACAGAGGAAGAATAAGTTCAAGAAATCTATTGTGTATCATGTCTACTATAATTAATAACAATATATTATATACTTGAAAATTGCTAAGAGAGTAGATTTTAAGTGGTCTCCACCACAAAAACACAAGCATATGAGACAATGCATATGTTAATTGGTTTGATTTTGTCATTCCACAGTGTATACAAGTTTTAAAACATGTCATACACCATACACATGTATAATTTTTTATTCATTAATTAAATCAATAATTAAAAAATAAAATTATTTTTTCGAAAAGAAAGATAAACTACAGACTAGTATCTCTTATGAACACAGATACAAAAAGTGTCAACAAAATATTAGCAAATAGAATCAATGCATAAAAAGAACTACACATCATAACCAAGTGGATTTTATTTCACATATGAAAGCCTGGTTCAACATTAGAATATCAGTCTTACCCATTACATCAACAGGCTAATGAAAGATAACACTTTTTTATCAACTGATGCAGAAAAAGTCTTTTGACAATCCAAAACCTGCTTATGATAAAAACTCTCACCAAACCAGGAATAGTGAGAATTTCCTCAACTTGATGGTGAATATTTATGAAAAACCTACAGCTAATATTAAACTTACAGTGAAAAATTAGATACTCTATTGCTATGATTAGGAATGAGGCAAGGATGTCTCCTCTCACCCTATTTTATTCAACATTGTACTGGAATTCCTAGGTAATTCAATAAGATAATAAAGGCAAATAAAAGGCAATATGGACCTGAAGAAATGAAGGAAAGGGATATATAACTAGGTTGAAGGTAAGAAGGGCAGGAGAAACAGAGTGGGATTTTGTGATAAGTTTTGGTTTTTGGAAGGGAACACTTTGAGTATGCCTATGACCTGGGACAAAGAAGTTATAAAAACAAATATATTTAAGATATATGAAACAGAGACAATAATCCATAAGGCAATGCTCCTCAGAACCAGTAGGGACCAGGATTCAGAGTAGAAACAAAGGAAGATAGAGTTAAATACTCCCAGAATTGTCTCAATCACAGACAAATAGGGGCAGTAGAAAGGGAAGAACTGGGTCAATGGCTCTCCAGAATTCTGGGGTTTTCTACATTTCAAAAAAAAAAAACGTCTAGGCTACCCATTTTCATTTCTTGAAGTAGTTATTTTTTCCCCTTAGCCTCTGCAAAAAAAAAAAAAAATTCAAATGAAAATTTCTGTTCTCCCTCCCTTCCAACCCCTGACTTATAGAATTGTTGCAGTGTTTCAACCATATGCAGTTTTGAAAGATTTTTATCTCCAATTACTAATTGTTCTGGGCTTTTCACTTACCTATAGTCAATGGGAAGAAAATCCCCTGAGAGAAATGAATTATGGTAATTAATAATAATATTGATAATTACTTCTTACTGAGCAATATTTTGTGGCAAGGTAAACTGTATCTGCTCTGATGCTTCACCTCACCCTAGCTGAAAATTAGATACCACTGCAAATTAGATCTCTAGGCAATTTTTAAAGTGCAACGCTTGTTTTGAAACTATTCTTAAGCCGAACTGGTATATAACATGAGGTGAATTTATTAGGTATGGTTATGGAGGAAAGGTAACTTCCATCATATTTTATGCTTTTTAAAATATTACTGGTAAAATATTACCTAGGCTAAAGAAAAATTGGCTCACTGATCATAGTAACTCATTAGAAGTTGGACAGTATAATCTGTTTCCTGGCAAATGTTTTCTCCTGAAAACTGGAAAGAATCATTTTAGCTGAAGCCAAAGTGAAAAATAACTTCATCATGCCATATTTGAGAATGTCAAGTAAGAAGAACATTAGCTGAACTAAACTTAGCATTGTATTAATAGATGCCAGATTAGTTTATCATCACCATCATTATCATCATCATCATCGTCATCATTGAAATTAAATTTTGCTTTAATTTAATACATAGCTTGAAGATGATTTTTTTCTCACACAGTTATGTGTGATTTTAGTATCTTTCTGATGGTTAAATCATCCTTTTTGATAATCCTTATTTAATTGCTAAAATTTGGTCTATGGTATAGTAATTTTAAAATATTTAATTATTAAAATCTCCAAGATAAACAGGATTTCTAATGTAGAACTACTTTTAAGTAGGCAGTATTTACTACTTAGATTTTTAAAACTATAACTTCTAACCAGTCATGTAAAAATAAAGATTAAGATGCCATATTTCTGTAAATATAGGTTTTTAAATACTTTGCTTTTTTTTGTTTTAGAAAATATGTTGCTCCCTGAGGAACTGGAAAATGGCAATGGCTGGGTCCAGTGCTTGAGTGTCAGAAAGGGAAGGTAACCTGCAAAAGAAGGCTTGCACCCAGGTCCAAAATGCAGCTCAACAAATGAGCAAGCACAGATATTCAGAGAACCAAGACGGAATAAACCAGGAAGCCAGACAGACAAGGAATGAAGCCAGGATAAAACCAGAGAAAACCTCCAGATAATAGAGAAAAGACACCAAATTCAGAGATTTGCAGATCCCAAATTGCAGAACGTTTACTCCAACAAGATTGCTTGCTGGTCCAAAGTGTTTTCTTGCTCCTGGATCAGGATGTTCTTGAGGCATTTAAAGGGTTGATGTGTGGTCTAAGAAAACAATAATAATAATGGTAGAGATTAGTATGTTAGTACCCTGAAAATATTCCTTTTTTCCTGTCAACAACTTTTATCCACCTTCATTAGGGATACACTACAAAGCCAGAAAAATAGACTTTGTTCAAATAATATTTCTAAATTTCTCTGGGGTTCTTGGATAAAAGGAACCACAAATGAACTATATTAATTTGATCTCTAGAGTTTATTTTTCAGATACTACCAGTATTCTAGGACATAGATAAGAGAGATAAATGAAATTGAATGGGTGCTTTGGGAATTTAAAACAGATTTAGTCATTCATTCACTCTTTTGTCGATTCATCAGACATTTGTTGAGTAATTATACCATGAGCAAGGGAAAGTGCTAGACATTGCAAACACAGTGGGGGAAATAACCCCTGCCCCCAAGGGATTTATAGTCTAGTAGAAAATACAATGATATAAAAGCAGATGTAGGCCGGGCGTGGTGGCTCATGCCTGTAATTTCAACACTTTGGGAAGCCGAAGCAAGTGGATCACTTGAGGTCAGGAGTTCAAGACCAGCCTGGCCAACATGGTGAAAACCTGTAAAAATACAAAAATTAAACAGGCATGGTGGTACACGCTTGTAATCCCAGCTACTCTGGAGGCTGAGGCACGAGAATTGCTTGAACTCAGGAGGTGGAGGTTGCAGTGAGCCAAGATCACACCACTGCACACCAGCGTGAGACTCTGTCACAAAAAAAAAAAAAAAATGCAGAGGTACATAGTATACAGGATACATATCAGAAACCCTTGTCCCCAACACTCCATAAGTCCATAAGGAAGATGACAGGATAGGGATCAGGGAAAGCTTTCCAAAGGTTGAAAGCAAACTAATATTTCTGGGCAAAGGTGGGAAAGGTTGTGAGAGAGAAACAGAGAAAGATGTTGTTTCAGGCAAAGAGAAACATATGAGATGAACTAAAGACAAGAGCCCAGTGCATCTGAGGAAACAAAAAAAAATGCATTCAGACATTTATTCAACAAATATTTATTGAACCGTTAGATGGCTGGGAATAGAGCCATGAAAAAGACAAACAAAGCCTCTGCTCTATTACTGTTTACATTTTGGTTAGGCAAAATACATTTAAGGCAGAGGAAACAGTAAAAACTGCAAGGCCCTGATGTGTTTGAGAAACAAAGAATGGACCAAAGTGGCTGCAATATACTGTCCAAGGAGAAGAGTGGCCTGCAATAAAGTGAGCATCTAGGCAGAAATCAAGTCCTATATGGCTTTCTTAGAATAAGAGGTTTTTATTTTATTTGCCACCAGACGGCTTTAGGCAGAGGAAGTAAGTAGTCTGATTTACATTTTTCAAAGATCACTCTGACTATTATGTAGAAAATGTATTGTGGAGAGCTGACAAAGGAAGCAAGGAAATCAATCAGAGTCTACTATAGTCAGCCACGATAGAGAGAATGCTGGCTCAGTCTAGAATATAAGCACTGGAGATGACAAAAGTGGTTGCATTTTGGATATAGAGGTTTGGAGTTAACAGCACTTATCCATGAATTCAATAGACATGAGGAGCTAAGGGGAAAAATAAATCAAGGTTAACACAAGTTCTACCTGGCTGGAATTTAAAGAGAATGATGAGGCTAGTAAGAAAGATGAGGCTGGGGAGAGAAGAAACAGTTTAAGAGAAATATACATCTCCTGTCAGAGTCTAAATGTTAATACCAAGGGTAATGAAAATATCTTAAAAGATTTTAGGCAGCTGTCTTGCTTTGAGCAAATAATGCTCAAAGATCATTGAGTGATTTGAAAGATTACTCTAGTAGAAAAATTCTTATTCAAAATAGCCTAAAAAAATATAAGATACTCAGAGAAAATTCTAGAAATATTGAAAACACTTTCATAGAGAAAAATATAAACCATTATTAGAGGAGATAAAAGAATAATTAAATGAAGGGATATACCATATTCATGGATTGGAAGACTCAGTGTTATAAAGATTTCTGTTCTCACTCAAGTTAATGTATAAATTCAGTGCTATTCCAATTAAAATCCCCAAAAGACTTTTTAAACATAACTTAAAAACATGGTTCTAAATTCATATAGAAGAGAGCCCCAATAATAGATAAAATAATTTTGATGAAAAGAATGTGTAGAAGGAATTGCCCTTCAGATATCAAGATCTACAAAAAAGCTGTAGTCATTAAACTATATGATAATTTACAAATGAAAGAGAAATCGACTTATTAACCAGATACAGAGTTCATGAACAGAGCAAGCATAAAAGGAAAAAAATACGGTAATAACTTTTCAAAAAATCCTGTGAGGAAATTACTTAATCAATACATGGCCTTGGGACAACTAATTATTCATATGGAAAAAGTAAAATAAAATTGGTCCCTAGCTCACAATCTACCCTTTAACAAAAAGGAAACAAAAGATACAAAGGCTACTGTATTTTAGGGTTGGTGGCAGGAGGTTGAGGTGCTCTCACCTGGTGGTTTCTTTTTTTGTGGGGTAAGAACGCCCAATGAGAGTGACAGCAAAAGTAAGAGAAAAACATGTTTGAAAAAACAAAGAGCTTTGTAAGTTGTGGAGAATAGGAGAAAGAGTTGTTCCAGGCAAAGGAAGAGGAAATTCTGGACAGTATTAAAATACCATAAGAGATAGGAAACTGAATTTATGGTGGCACCCATCTCAAAGCTATTCAGCTTTCCAATAGCTTTCTGGTATAAACTTAATGGAGACATTTTGCATAAGTTGCTGATCACAGACTAAGAAATTTAAAAATGGGTTGAAAGGAGTTAAGAATAATGCCAAGAGAGTGATAAAAGTGATTGAGTATGAACTACAAGCTGGTCAGGAAAGAAAACAGACACAGGAGGAGACAGAAGAATAAATATAAATCAGTTCAAGGACCTAGGTGTCTCTTTATTTATTTAATTTTAATAGAGGCAAGGTCTCTCTCTGTCACTGAGGCTGGAATACAATGGAACAATCCTCAGCCTCTGAGTAGCTAGGACTACAGGCATGCACCACTACACTTTGCTTATTTATTTATTTTTTTTTTCTTTGTAGAGTCGGGGAACTTACTGTGCTGCCCAGGCAGATCTTGAACTCCTGGCCTCAAATGCTTCTCTTGCCTTGGCCTCCCAAAGTGCTAAGATTACGGGCATAAGTCACCATGCCAGACCTGTCCCTTTATTTTAGCACTGATGCAGTGAAAGGCACTAAATGAGAAAGAATGTCTTAATTTAAAATTTCAGTGGTAAAGTGTCTGAGTAATGACAAGGCCAAGGGAATGGTCATGAAAATGAGTGACTGAAGTGGAGTAGAGGTAAATAACAAGGGAAATGAGGCCCTCAAAGAACTGGGAATCCAGCATTTGGATCCATCATCATCAGAACTATTGAAATCAACCAGGATGAAGATAAAATATGGAAAAGAAGGGAAGACAGGAAACCACATGCTTGTCTTCTCAAAACCCATGAAATAAGCATTTCCCTTTTCTCCACGGTACTTACTGAATTTTGGGAGGAGCAATTAGAACCCATTTCCCAGTTTAAGCCAGGTACCTTGGCAGTGCTAGAAACTGCTGTAAGGCTGACAGTGGAGAAAAACGTAGAGAAAACCATAAATAACAAAGAGAAAAATTATAAAAACGTAACAGCCTAGGACCATTTACCACAGTGAAAAAAAAATAGCCCTACATACCTCAGAGAGCCAGAAGATAATATCCAAAGCACAATATGATAACACAATAAAATCCCAACAGTCAGCAAAGCTTAGATTCTAGTCCCTGTTCTCCCTTGGGACAGTCTCTAGGCTCAGTTTCTGCAACCATCTAATGAAAAGATTAGACAAGACCATTTCTAAATTTATTTCTAGCTCAAAGAATCTGTAATGTAATGTCCGTAATGTGATCCTGATATATCACATGATAAAAGTAAAAGATTTTTATTCAGGAAGAGATTATATGTCATAAAAATATCAAGGTGGTACGTTTCAATTATTTGAAAAAATTCCCAAATGGAATATTTTATTTTCCAAGAATAGAGATAAATTTTTAAAAACATTGTAATAGAGACCTAAGTGAATTACTGTATTTCAGAATTCCTTTAGTCCATAATCTAACAACATCTTGTAGAGTACTCTCTTTGCTTTATTTGTGTTAATGTCTCCTCAAAATTAGACTGTGAGTTCCTTCAATATAATCTTACTCAGCAGTTCTCTTTTCTTCTCCAAGCCTGTTCTCACAAGCTCTGGGTATATTCAAGACACAATATTTTTAATGTCCAAAATGAATAAAGACCACATCTGGAAAGTGTTCTCTAAAAGTTTCAGATGAAAAGGTATGATTATACCCACACACATAATACCCTAAGAACTTCAGCCCAGAGCCTGTAATTGTCTTATCTATTTCAACAGAATACACTTAGGAGACTCCTGATATCCCACATCAAAGAGTTGGATGGGGCTGTTGGGGGGTGGGTTATGTAATGTTAAATGGATTTTTGCACATCAAACAAACCTATTCCTAGCCGTTCCCATTTCTGGCTCATATATCAAGAACTGCAAGTGTTTTTAAAGCATATTTTCTCCTGCTCTGCTTTCCAATTAAGTTTAAAAAGCATGTCAAACACACACCTAGAACTTTACAACTGTAGCAGAGACCTAGAGTTCGGATTATTCTTATTTTCCCCGATGTTTTTCAACACAGATCACCAACATAAAAAATTATTGCAAAAAAAGTTAAGAAAATGACAGTTCATATTTTAAAGAATGCAAAATGAGGTACTAACTAAGATGACAGCAATTCTTTAGCCCCGGCTTAATGCTTTAGTGAAAAGATAACGCCAGGCTCCCACTCCCAGCAACTAAAGCTGCACCCATCCTTGGCAAGAAATGACAAATAGCACCAGCAACCTCAAGCTCATGTGCCGCATTCCTCATATTAACTTTGACTATCCTGGTTTGTCTCTCCATCGAACACTGAGAGCTTCTTCCAAGAAACTTCAAAGACCCCTCAACAGCAAAAATAAAACACGTCAGGAGAATTTGGCTGTTGATAGAACAAAATTTACAACACTCTCTACCATAGGATTTGAACATCTCTTATTCTATGAGGATTCTGGCATTAAAAGAAAAATAAAATCCCTCATTTATCTTATTGTACTTAAAAACCTGATGCAATTTCAATAGATTATCCAAATGTGGACATAATCCAAATTTGTACATGGGTTTTTTTTTCATTCATCAATATAACTTATAATCATAAGATATTAAAGACAGAGTGGGATAAGAAAGGAATCATACAAAGAAACAGAGGCCCAGAGATCATCAAAGGGCAAACACATAGTGATAGAACTAGGGCTGGAACCCAAGATTCCTAATTGAGAGTCTAATTTTCTTTCCACTACATCAAGATGCTGATTGTGTCAAATTTCATATTAATATATTCACTATTAATAAAAACACCTATTTTAGGCAAAAGCATTTTCTTTTTTTAGAATTAAAGTGTGGCCCACTCTTTAAAAAGTATAACAGTAGTTGGTAACTTAGATTTTTATGCCATTCTGGTATGTCTTTTAAAATAGGCTAATACGATAATCACTTATCAATCAATATTAATCATTATAATTGCTGTAGCACATGTATACACTACAGAAACATAGTAAATGGGACCACAACTGTTGATGTTAAAGAATATACGCATAAACTCTTACCTTTTCTTTCTCATGTATAATTCTGAAGTACAAAGTAGTAAATGAAAACTTCACTGAATTCAATCATTAAGAGAATAGTAGAAGTCAGCTTCCCAAACGTGCATGCTGCTATTGGTTATAGAGATGGTGATTTAATATTTTTACAAATCACCAGAAATACATATATTCCTAGAATCCTCCTTATTAAACTTAAAAGGCCACCACACTCTGAATCCAAATATAATGTCAAGTATAAATAATTTCATTGTCATTATTCCAACAACTAGGGAGCTCTGGATGTATAAACAGACTTAGCTAGAAAGAAAAAATATCCATAGCACATTCATACTATACCAATTCACCAATATATTACAAATTACATGTAAATGGGCATAAAAGCCACCACAAAGAGGTTTGACATCTGCCTATGGTCAAGAGAATTCAACTCCTATTGCATTATTAAAAGCTAATGTCTGTCATAATTCTATTTAGGATCTGCCTCACAGGGTAATGGAAATGACCTTTTGTACAGCAAACTTGATTAGAATCAGCCCCAGGAGAATATCACATGATTCGAGATTATACAGAGTTGGGACTACGGCTCCATTTTTCATTTACTCTGCACGCTTCCCCTAGAGCTACACAGGATGCTAAAAAATTAACTCTTTCACTTCCAGAGTCACTTCCAAAGGTTAATCTGATTACATGTTGTTTTTTTCCAAATCAAAGGCACATTAAATAAATAAATAAATACAGCATAAGATGAGCATTAAAAGTTCTCTATAACTACCATGGTGTAAAAGCTACTAAAAAATTTCCCTGGTACAAATTATATAAAATCAGGTATATAATACCTCCTACAAAAGATAGCATGATAATTAAAAGTGGGCCTTTACAGAGGAGAGATGTTTATCATATCCAATCTTTCTGAAGTCTTAGCAAATTTTCCCTCTCTGCGGTTTCTTCTCCAATTATCTCTAAGACACTATTCTCTCTTGGTTCTCCCATTGACTCCCCCTTTCTCCTTCTCAGTGCCCACCGGGGTTTGTCTTCCCCTGCCTCCCTGTACATGTTGGTGAGGCTCATTGTTTCAACTCAAGAATTTTTAGAATCTCATTTTACATATCCTCTTTTGATGAGTTCATCTATTTTTGTCGATATATCTATTACCTATATGCTGATGAAACTGCTAAATATTAATATATATTCACTTCAGGGCCTACTTCATTTATTTAAAAAATACAGCATTTTGAATCCTTTTCA
This sequence comes from Homo sapiens, assembly GCF_000001405.40. NCBI lineage: Eukaryota > Metazoa > Chordata > Mammalia > Primates > Hominidae > Homo > Homo sapiens. Next base: position 37,343,556 of record NC_000013.11, on the reverse strand, counting down.
TGTGCTGAGCACTATTCTAGAGTCTGGAGGTACAACAATAAAGTAAAAGGGGGGAATTCATTTGTGGTTCATTAACAAGTACAAATGTACAGTTTGATGGAAGAAATAAGATCTAGTGTTTGATAGATCTGTAAGGTGACTATAGTTTATAATAATTGGTTATACTTCTATTTTATATTAAAATATGATCTACTCTTTATATTCAAAATAGCTAGAAAAGAATAATTTAAATGTTGCTAGCATAAAAACAAATATTTAAGGTGATAGATATCTCAATTAAATGGATTTGATCTTTACAAATCACATGAATGCATTAAACTATTATATGTATCCCAAAGTTATGTGCATCTATTATACATCAATTTAAAAAAATTTTAAGTTACTTTCATCTTAGAGATTACATTCTAGTGGAGGAAGGGAAAAGCAACAATAAGCAAAATAAATAAGCAAAATACATATTAGATGGTAGTAAATGCTATGATGAAAATAATGCAGAAGGAAGAAGATAGTACTTATTTGAGCATTAAACAATAGGAATTTAAAGTCCAGCAAAATAAAATCTTTCTGCAACAAACTTTGGAAATTTCATGTATATTTATTGGGCCTCATGTAATAAGACAATACAACATCTCACATCTTAAATTAATCCAAAAAGATTAAAAACCATCTTTCATTCTAAAGTCCTTAGATCTTCTCGAGATAATGTGAAATATAAAGTATGATCAGTGTCACAGAAATCTTATCAGTAAATAATTTTAGTTTATTTCCTCTGTACTTTGTGGAAAAGACCATTGGGCACAGTCCTCTGTCCCAAGAATGTCATAATGCCAAACCACTAGTGTGGTGTAAGTTCAGAGGCAATGGACAAGCCCCCTAAAGCAGCATTTTCAGTAAAGCTTTTCATGAAACACTTACTCTGATAAATATTAATAGGTGATATAGAAACAAATAATACTGTCACAGGATCCTCAGGGTGTTGCTTTTCCCTGGAAAGCTCTGTGGCCGATGGCTCCTTTGCCCGAGTTTTGCTTGGACCCCCTGGGCTCATTCCGCCACTCAGCCTGGCAGGCTGTGCTCAGCTCTCGCTAGTGGCCTGGATCTCACACCTGCAAAGGTCGAGCCAGGTGCAGACTGGCAAGGGTTGTGTGAGCAAGCCAGCATGAGGTCAAGCCACTGCACACAGGCAGGGACACTAGCTGTGGTGGGGAGGGCAGCTCCAGGTGCCAGCATGGGTGCCAGCTCCCTTTGAGGCTGTGGCTACACCAGGCATACTGCAAGCAGCTTCCATGGCTGGCAGTGGGGAATGTGGTGGCACCCAGAAGCTTGGAGACAGCAAGAACCGCAGAGGCCCAAAGAGGGTATCACAGCCCTGGCTCAGGGAGCTCCTAGGTCATCACCTGCAACATGGTGAACAAGGGGCATGTTTCAGCCTTTTTTCCAGGCCTGCCCATGGCTGCCCATGGACCAATCAGCACATACTTCCTCCCCTCTGCAGGCCATAAAAACCCTGGGTACAGCTCTTTCAGCCCTACCATTTGACAGGTCCCCAGTTCTTGTCCCGTGTCCAGAAAGAATAAGGTATGCCAACAAGTAGAGGGTGAGCAAGGTGAAGAGGTACTTTATTGAGCAACAACAGCTCAGAGGAGACCTTCAGTGGATAGCTTCTCTCTGCAGGCAGGGCATCCATTGTCTGTTCAGCTCTCAGCAGACAGGAAACACACAGTGGTTAGCTTCTCTCTGCAGGCAGGTTGTCTTTTTGTCTCTCAGAGTCTGGCTGAGTCTAGGGGTTTAAGGGCTTTAGAGGGGAGCAAGTGTGTGCTGATTGGTCCATGGGTGGCCATGGGTGGGCCCAGAAAAGCACTATAAGTTCTCACTCTGATCCACAGAATTGACAGCCCAGTGCCCAGCCCTCAGGCCGTCCATGGCCTGAAGGTGGGGTTTCACTGGGACCCATCCCTTTCCACCCAGAAGCCTGTCTGCCTCCTGCTGCCATTAACCTGCCATCCATGGTGCTCATGACACCCAGGCTGTTTGTGCTGAGGGGTGGCTGCAGGCCTGCACCAAGCTGCCCTTAGTCTCCCTTGGCCTCCCTCCCATGCTCGTCAGTGCCCAAAGTTTGGAGAGGATTGAGGCAGCAGGGGCCTGGCATGTCAGCACTGCCCCAGGTGTGTGCACACTCAGCTGGTTGGTGACAGTGCCTAGGCTTGGCCACAACTTTGCTCCAAAATCGAAGCAGGTGCTGGGAGCAGGGAAAGGCTAGGCAGCGGGAGCAGGCACTTCCAAGCCTGCAGGGGAAGAGGGGCTTCCTGAGCCCCCAAGAGTGCTGAGATGCCCGGATCTACAGCCATGGCTGGGTGGCTGCCACCCAAGAAGGTGGAGCTCCTGCCCCTCCAAGTTGGAAGGGGGCAGGGCTTCTGCCTGTTCCTGGCTACTGCCAGGCTCCATGGAGCATGCAACCCCAGCTGCAACTCCCCCATTGCAGCTGGCGTCATGGCAGCGGCTGCTCCAGATGAGCTACTGCTGCCATCAATAATCATTCCTTGATATCTTTGGACAGTTGCTACCAGGATCTCCATGGATACCAAAATGTAAGGGTGCTCAAGTCCCTGATATAAAGTGGTTATTTGCATATAACCCATGAACACCCTCCCCTATACATTGAATCATTGCTTGATTACTTACAATACCTAATACAATGTCAATGCTGTGTAAATAGTTGTTATACTGCATTGTTTAGGGAATAATGACAAGAAAAAAGTCTGTACATGTTTAGTATAGACACAACTTTTTTTTCTTTTTTTGAGATGGAGTCTCACTCTGTTGCCCAGGCTGGAGTGCAATGGCACAATCTCGGCTCAGTGCAACCTCCACCTTCCAGGGGTTCAAACGATTCTCCTGCCTCAGCCTCCCAAGTAGCTGGGAGTACAGGCACCCACCACCATGCCCGGCTAATTTTCATATTTTTAGTAGAGATGGGGTTTCATCCTGTTGGCCAGGCTGGTTTCCAACTCCTGACCTCAAGTGATCCACCTGTCTCGGCTTCCCAAAGTGCTGGGATTACAGGCATGAGCCACTGCACCCAGCCCAGGCACATCTTTTTATCCAATATTTTTTGATCTGTGGTTAATTGAATCTATCAATGCATAACTCATAGATACAGGGGGCCAACCGTAATTGCTTTTCGTAGTCAAATACAATTGCCAAATGCCACGTCAAACAGAATTAAAGAATTTTTTTTTCAAAAACTGAGTCTTAACTGTCCTAAAGTGAATACTGAAATCCCAATATAGGGATAAATAACCTTTACTAAACATTTGACCATAGAACCTTCTTTTAAAAAGTTACTTAAGACTCAGGTTCCCTGAACATTCTTTCAGAATTGTAGGCTTTACCTACTTATTTTTAGTCCATACCTCCTATTAAAAGTCCTCAAAAGAGCTTTACAATTTTGGCCAATCTTTTTAATGTGGGGTTATTATACCAAGAAATATGTTTAGAATGATATGAGTGTGTCATATCTTAATGTGTGACTGAGGGCAGACTTATTTTTTAGTTGACAAATAAAGAGTATGCATATTTTATGGGGTATGATGTTTTAAAACATGTATACATTGTGGAATGGCTAAATCAAGCTAATTAACATAATCATTGCCTCATATACTTATCTATTTGCATTTAGAATACTTAAAATCTACTCACTTATGTGTGGACTCTAAAAAAATCAAACTTATATAAACAGAGGAGAAGGATGGTTACCAGAGGCTGGGGAGAGGCAGTTGGGGAGATGTTGGTCAAAGGGCACAAAATTTTAGACAGGAGGAAGAAATGTAAGAGATCTTTTGTACAACATGGTGACTATAGTTAATATTAATATATTACAGATTTGATTATTGCTAAGAGAGTAGATTGTTAGTGCAGAGATTGGTGATGGAAGCTACCCAGGAAATAAGGAGTTGATATGTTGAAATGGGTGGAGGCAGAGAAAGGAGATCATAAAGGGAGAAGAAAGCCAATAGATTATCTCCCTAGAGGCAAATTTCTCTTACAATTTTGCTAAGAGCTAACCGTAAATTGAATAAATCCATAGGTTTAACAAATGTTAGTTAATCTTCCTCCCTCAAGCCTTCCTTCGTATTTAAAAATTCAAAGTTCCTTGAGGATACTGGCCAATCATTTAATAATATTAATGGTTCTCTCCTGGCTCAGTAAAAACTTAAAATGCAAGTTTGGCATCCCCTATTTATAACCTATCATATTAGCTCGTTTACAAGCAGAGGAAAAAGCCGTTGAATCAGAGCTGAGTTGCTCACATGTACAACACATGTAAAGAAAAAAATTAGAGTCGATTTTGCCTCTAGATCTTTTTGAGATCGCAACTCTTCACATATACAGAATTTATGTATATTAACATTACCTATAACTGACAAGTAAATGACCTATTCCAAATTAGCCATTATAATATCTGTGTATATCTATAAATGTAATCAAGTGAACAGATGTTTTTCCACTTAATACCTGAAGGAATTATGAATCATGTTACTATGCTGCTGTGGAAAGTATGTGTTTGCTATATGGAAGGAAACAGGAATTTGTATCAATCAGATTGTATTCTGTACCTTCCTTAGCTACAAGCTATGGAAATTTGGCAAGACTAACATTCAATGCTGTTTGAACTGCAGCCAGCCACCTCCCCACCACCAACTTCCCTAGTCCTAGGGTTTTATAAACTTACATAATTTGTCCAGACCTATAGGAAATTATGCACTGCAGAGAAAGTTGCTGATATATGAACTACGTTAAAATCCCCTACCCACCCTTCACTGAAAATTACTTTTTGTCCTGCTTTGGCACAGAATAGTAGGCTTTAACTACTTATTTTTAGTCTATACCTCATATTACCTACAAACAATACAATAATTATACCATAATTTGTATAATACATGTAGAAATATGTATGAAGATTGGAAAATTTTTTAGCTAAAGAAAGAACATAAGAATTGCTTTATAAATAAATGATGGATCCAGAAATCCCTCTCAGTTAAGTACTTTTTCTATCCTTTGAGCCCTACCCAGTGCTTTGGTTCACATTGTAGTTTCTCCCCACATCTCACCCCTATTGAAGGCTTAGAGACTTGGGCTAATTGTCATTCATAATTCTATTTTTCCCAACAATAATAATAATAGCAATAATTATATGACACATGTTTATTATCTTATATCATATGCAAAAATACAGTAACCTCATGTATCTACTGGTTCCACAGCTGCAGATTCAACCAACAGATTAAAAGTATTTTGAAAAAAATAATAAAAAAAACAAAAATTTTAAAAATACAAGTTTAAAAACAATACAGTATAACTACTACTTACCTAGTATTTACGTGGTACTAGGTATCATAAGTAATTTTGAGATGATTTAAACTACAGGGGAGGATTGTGTAGGTTACACAGCATGCAAATACTATGCCATTTTATATAAGGGACTTGATCATCTGGGGAGTTTGATATCTGTAGAAGTCCTGGAACCTATTCCTCAGGATACCAAAAAGATGACTGTGTATACAAATAATATCTTTTTGCAATGAGCCCTGCCTAGGCCACTTGTTCTAGGAACATAAGGACTTATCTAGCAATGCTATATCTCAGCTTCGAAAAATTAGGTTTTCCTAAACCTTGTCATGTAGTATATTATCTGCAAAATTATAAACTGCATCTTCCTAAAAGGAGACTCGGATACAATAACTAGAATTATTTTCCTTAGAATTTGGGAAGTTATGCATTAATATGCAAAACCCTATTTTCCTCACTTTTTGTGGATTGTAATAAAGTTTTGCAAAAAGCATTTTCCTTATTTCCACATTTTGGGTCTTTCTTCACATTATCCATCAAAATCAAATTGGAAGCCTTTATTGAGGATTAGTTGTTGAATGGAGCATTTCACAAAACTCTTTCTTATATTTCCAATCAAAAGCAGCATTATTCATTACCTAATGCAAATTTTAACTAACGATTTCAGGAAATGTTTATACTGAAAATGCTGATGGTGTTTGCCCAGGCACGCACATATGCACACTTATACACATACAATCACACTCTACTGAAATTATCTATATGGGAATTGTTTCAATGCTAGGATGCAGGCACTGAAAAATAATGAAATAATTGCATATGTGTATAAAGTGGAGGTTTGAGATTGCTTTTAACAGACATAAGACCAACACTATAAAATTACCAAAGCACAGGAAATACAGGAATCTGCATTTCATTAACAAATGCAATTTTAAAATATATAATGTTATGGCCACCCTATATTTTTATACTGTTTTAAAATTTGTTTACAAAATTGACCATTAGAAATGTTGTTGGGTTGCCTATTGTTTTCATATCTGTTACTATACAAAAGGTCTATCATCATTTCTAATAACCTGTTATGTATCGATGCTTACTTTTCCAATCCATCATCTATTTATAATTGCCTATCAAAGGATATGTCCACCATGATCTTTTAAGTACCAGTTACTAAAATGTATGCTGCCTGAATGGGAGTTCACATTAGGAGAAATCATCTAAGAAAGTCACTACTCTTTTCTATGTCATAATATAAAGAATACTTTTGACACTACACCTAAGGCCCAGATTATTTTCAGCTTGTATCACACTTCCTCATTTACTCTAGTCTATAGTTTGTAATTAGTCTTGGCACAATATCAATACATTAGCTAAGGTCATTTCCCTCATTACTTCATCATATACAAATAAGTATATATCACTTATTATAACACTAGTTTTATTGTAGTGTATACTCATACTTTTGTTCCGTCTTTTTCCTGAACTTACACAAATAGGCTGGCTTGTGAGCTCATTTATGTTAAATGCTATTTTAAATATCAGAAATATTTTATATTTCATTATATCTTCTTGCCTACTTATGCTTATTTTCAATTAAAATGCATATTACTTTATTAAAATTAGTTTTATTCTGCTTCTCTTCATATTAAAATTAAACCCAGATAATTATAATAATTATAGTTAAATTATGTGTCTAGGCATATTATACTACCTGTGAATTTTATTTCAGTATGGTAAGAGAGAAATTACAAATAACTTTTAATAAAGAAAGGGTTAAAGTAAATTGAAAGCAAATTGTTTTATAGTGTAAGAACTTTCAAACAAAGGAACTAAAAAGTCTTTTTAAGTAAATATTTATGCATTAAACATCATTGGAAACAAGATTATTCCATATAGAAATTCATGAGGATTAACATGTTGACAACTTCCTATTATATATTCATAAACAGCATGTAAAGAATAATAATGGAAATGCAATGAACAATATTTTATTTACATTAGTTACAAATTCACCTGATTTGGGCCCCAAATTTTAGGCGTTTTGTCATTACATATTTTTAAATTATAGAAATAATTTGAAATTGTTTTACACAATAATAATAATACTTTATAACAAACAGTTGCCTCAAACTCAAAGAACACAACAAAAACTATGTATGTCCCTCAGGCTTTTATAAATATGCATATGTGTCATTTTAAAACATCGTAATATTTCATACCTGATTTTTTTCTTTACTTAGCATTTTTCCACTGCTAATTCACCATATTCATAGCTATCATTTTTGTCATTATAGAGCATATTATTAAATAGATAAATTGTTATTTATTTAAATATTGTCCTAATATTAACCCTTTATATTGCTTCTAGTATTTCACTGCTTTAAGGAACAGCGCCATAAACACATTCAAGCATTTGCATTTTCTCCATATTTCAGATGACTTTATTAGATTAACATCCAAGAAGTGTGATTATTTGATTAGATGTAAAGAAAATGTTTACATCTCTTAGTAAATATTGCCCCAATAGGTTATATCCATTTAAATACCATAACCAATACAATGTCTCAACACCGTTTTCCTACTTTGGAAATTCACCATTTTAATTGAAAGATCCTGCAAAAATGAATAGGATATAGCACTTTGCCTTAAGGAATTAATAACACAGTATGAGAAACAGAAACTTAAATAATCAAACCTAAATAATAAGCATTGGGGTAAATGGTGTAATGGAATTATTAATTTATAATAATCTTGTTATAAATTAATAACATTTGTATAAACATACATATTTATGCATTTTTCTCTTCTCTCTTTTTCATTGTCTTATTTAAATATATGATTTCTTAGATCTTTTTATCTATAACAATATTTCCCTTCCAAGTGGTGGGTTTTCAAGCTAGGGCCTATGTCATCTGAGAAAGTGTCTACCAGTGACAATCACATTTCTGTTTTGATTCAACAGTGATAATCACGTTTCTGTTTTGATTCTGAAAATTCCATACGGTGTAGGTATTAATGAAATATATCACATAAAAATTAGAAAAATAGATTTATTTTATGAATTTATTCATGAAGTGTTTGCACTTATTTTCCAGAATCATAATGGCCAAAAGACAAAGAACTATATGAAACTGCCAACACTTGAATTTATAAAGACCGATATAAAAGGCAATTTCATTGATTCAACACAATATACGTGTGTGTGTGTGTACTTTTGTTTCAATATTATGTATACATTCCACCAGAGGAGAGTAAGGATGCAGCAATCTCAGAGGAAATTACGTTTGTGCTGGTCTCTACAAGATGCACAGGAATTCACCAAATAAAGAGACCAGCTTCCTAACAAAGAATTCAGAATGAGCAAATCCATGAACGCATGAAAGAATCTGCTATGGCTAGGCCATAAAAAAGTCCCAGCTTGTCCAGTGTGCAGTTTCTCTATGGAGGAAGGGATGGTGACCGGAGGTAAATAACAACAATCTTTCGGCCCTAAAAACTGTAGCTAATTCACAGCAATGTCCTAATAATTAGCCCTCCTAATTAAAAATTATTGTTCTGTTCTAAAAGGAGATGCATCAAATGTTTAGTTATATAAATATGCTTACTCTTTCACTTAATGGCCCCAAACTACTATACTATAAGTAGTTCTTCTCTTTATTGACATGATATTTTCCTCCCTTCTCTAACAGTCAGCCATCATATCACTTCTACCTCTAAAAGTTTTCTACTACCTCGGGCCACCTACATGTTATTTATCAACAGGAGAACAGGAGGCTGAAACACTATATAACAAACATACTAAGATCATGTCTAGTTCATTGATATAATCCCCGGATGAAAGCCTTTTTAACGAAAAATGTGAGCTTTATTACTGGGACTTTGTGAGTATAATTTTGACTTTCTGTGGTCTTTTTGGCTTACTTTATATTCAGAATTTTGTTCCATAGTCAAACATACAAAAGACTAAATTCTTGATCATCTGGGGTGATATTTACCTACTGGACTGAGTAGTTCAAAATTCACAAGCCTAATTTCCCAGAGCCAAATATAATAACCTATCTAATGAACTATTGTGCTTCTGAGCACTGAAGTCTGAGAGGTGCAATGAGTACAAATGCCCACCCAGATGTGAATAGAAAAGAAGAGGAAAGTACCTCCTCCACAGAAGAACGACTGGAGACTGAATCTGTATTACCATTCAGAGTAAACTTTTCTATTATTTCTACTCCTTCGCTGTCTTTTATCCTTTGACCGGCCTAAGTTTGGAACACGATGCACCCCCAACGTAAATCTAGTTCTGCTGAGCTGAATATGCCATCAGTTACCAACACCTGTGGTATATGCAAATTTTAGAATTAAAAGAGGAGAATTACTAACTTTCCCAAAAGGAATTCTAAAAAAGGCATATTTACTAATACAATGTCAATGTATTTTTAACTGGCCGAGTTTGCTTCACTTGGTAAAATCTGATCCTACAACTATGAATGCAAATCCAAATGAATTGCAAAGTCTGTGTTGGTTTGTTGGGCTGATTACTTTTTAAACTTGCTCTTTGTAATTCAGACACTTGTATAGAGAAATGCAGATAAATAATGAAAGCAAGTAACAACCAGAACTAGCATTTTTCCGTGCTAAATCTGATCAAGGCTCTCAATATGCAGCTTTTGGAGTGGTTTAATATATAATTCCATTGATTTATCTTGGTGAGAACAGTTAAGATTTCTAGCTGTACATTTCCTTAAACCTAACAAATAAAAGTTCGTATTTTATGCTTGGAAACAGCCTTACAACATTTTCTTCAGCCAAATCGATTTATATCCAACAGTTATTATTATTTGACCATTATTATTAAGGTCTCACTGAGAACTAGTTGTTATCCAAGTCCACTTGCCAAGCGGTCAAATTCTTTTTGTGTTGACAGTTTTTGCCGTAATGGCAAATATGTGTCAAAAGCATTTTTCTCCAGTACTAATGAAATTAAATACCACAAACACACACTGAAATAGTGATAGCAATAGAAGACAATCACAATCATACTTCCAGCTTATTGACAAGAGAAGTCATACTAATTTTCAGGCTGATGTATTAAAAGACTGCAAAACTCAAAGATGAAATGCATCCCTGAGACCAAAACTTTATGGAAGAAATTTTTAAAAAAGAAAGGAGACAAACTATGTAAACATGGTAGATTAAGCATACATGTTTTTCCTACTGACATCACACAGAACAGAGAATTAATAAATTCTCAAAGGAATAAGACAACTCTAAAAAAAGAAGACTGGCAGTTAAAAAACATAAAATAAGAGGTGGAAACAAGTTGAAAGCTAATACATGTGTGTTACCTAATTCACCTAATCTAAACAAGCCCAAAGAAGGAGGATGCCACTATAGGTTGCTGCAACTCCTGGAAACACTGGCATCCTGAAAGTGTGTCCGGAGTTTGTTCCTTCCGGTGGGTTCATGGTCTCGCTGACTTCAAGAATGAAGCTGCGGACCTTCGTGGTGAGTGTTAACAGCTCTTAAAGGTGGTGTGTCCGGAGTTTGTTCCTTCAGACGTGTCTGGAGTTTTTGCAGTGGGTTCGTGTTCTTGCTGACTTGAAGAATGATGCCACGGACCTTCACCATGAGTGTTACAGCTCTCAAAGGTGGCAGAGACCCAAAGAGTGAGCAGCAGCAAGATTTAGTGAAAAGAGTGAAAGAACAAAGCTTCCACAGCGTGGAACCAGACCAGAGCAAGTTGCCTCTGCTGGCTGGGGTGGCCAGCTTTTATTCCCTTTTTTTTCCCCACCCTCGTCCTGCTGTTTGGTCCATTTTACAGGGTGCTTATTGGCCCATTTTACAGGGTGCTGATTGGTCCACTTTACAAACCTCATGCTAGCTACAGAGCGCTGATTGGTGTGTTTTATGGAGCACTGATTGGTGCGTTTTACAAACCTCTTGTAAGACAGAAAAGTTCTCCAAGCCCCTACTTGACCCAGGAAGTCCAGCTGACTTCACCTTTCAAAAGTGTGTGGGTTGTGACTAAGCCCAGGAAGGCTGGTTTAAAAATCTGATAGAGCTGGCCGGGTGCGGTGGCTCACGCCTGTAATCCCAGCACTTTGGGAGGCTGAGGTGGGTGGATTACGAGGTCAGGAGATCGAGACCATCCTGGCTAACACGGTGAAACCCCTACTCTACTAAAAACACAAAAAATTACCCAGGCGTGGTGGCAGGCGTCTGTAGTCCCAGCTACTCAGGAGTCTGAGGCAGGAGAATGGCATGAACCCGGGAGACGGAGCTTGCAGTGAGCCAAGATAGAGCCACTGCATTCCAGCCTGGGTGACAAAGCTAGACTCCGTCTCAAAAAAAAAAAAAAGTCAGACAGATCCCTAGACACTTTGACTATCCTGCACAACCAGGCAACTCTCCTTCTGCTACCCTGGCTGAAAATGTGAGATTTACTCTCTGGAGAGTTTAGTCCAGAGAAGTTCTGAGCTAAAGGATAATAGTCTGAGCTAAAACTAAAAAAGAAGTGCCAAACTTAGAAATGAGAATTTAACATACTGAACAGAGAATAGCATGCGTGCATTGATACCTCTAAGGATGAGAGATTTAAAGATTCTAAAGAAACAGATCAATTCAAGGGAAAAAACCCACAGAATCAAACATTTGGTGGTTCCTCAATGAAAAAATCAGAAATCCACTTGGCAGCCCTACAATCTATACAGCCCCAATAAGCTTTTAAATGTCTTGTTCTTAAATATAAATAGCCTACAATGGCTAGATATGTAAGGACGCCATCCAACTTGAAAGAGATTCACTAAAATAAAACAAAGATGCTGCGGAAAACAGGAGAAAAGTTATTTTTTCAAAACGTTAAGATCCTCAGATAAGAGAAAATATTGCTTTTAGGAAACGAGTAGGATGCCATTAAAAAAAAAAGGTTTGAAAATATCCACAGAATAAGAAAGAACTACCAAGAGTTTTTAAATGTGGTGGTATAAATGTAAAAATTCAACATTAGTTTTGTAATCTATGGTAGGGGAAATCTCCCAGATACTAGCAAAACACAAAGAGATAGAAGATAGAACAGAACCTTATAAGATCCAATAATTACCTAATTCAGTCTTTGCAAGTTTGATACTTTATAGAGGTTTGAATGAACAGGTTTTAGAAATATACAGTATTTTGAATAATGCCTAAACCTATAGAAATTTTAAAAGGCTAAGATAGATAATGATACTTATACAACTCACTTAGGCATATTTTTCTACTCTTTGTAGAACTTTGGTGACAATTTTGTGGAGTAAGTAAAGAAATGTGATTTTCACCTAGCAAAGTTTAAATTTTCTGAAAGAATGAATAAAAACTGATCTATATCACTAATTGACTTTTCTTTGCATAGCCAACTGATTCCCCTAGATATCAGGATAAACTTATATAATTTAAACTGTTGTCTACAGAAATAATATTCTGTGTAGGCTACTTGGTAGAATATTAGACTTGGAAACAGAAAGATATGAAGCTTTTTTTTCCTATGTCCTTTTACATTTATCCCTTTGCAAGCAACCTGTCAGTACTCTGCCCAACTTTATTTAACAGGACAGACAGTAAAATTGGAATTTTCCTCACCACACCACCCTCAAATAAATGGAATTGGAAAGGGAATGGGGGGTTCAGGTTTTCTGTATGTATGTTCTTTCCTATCCAGAGAACAAACATAAGAAAGTTCTGTGATGCCCTAGCACATATTTTGGAGCAGGAAAAAAGAGAAGAGTAATTGATTGCTCTTTTGAAAAAATCAGAAGTTTATCATCTGTTTAATAATTTAGAGTTTATGGAAATCTTTTTCTTTTACACAAATATTATCCTAAATCAAGTTTTATCTTCTTTTAGCCTAAATTAAAACAAATAAATCTTTGGAATGCAGTATTTATCATTGATTACAAAAATGTTTTTTCCTTAAATTACATTTTCTAAATATATCTGACTTTAATGGAATGAAGTTTAAAAAAAAAAGAAAATGAAATAGGACAAGAAATTTTTTTTAATAGCTATAACATTAAGTACATCAAACATTCAACTAATTAGAGTTCCAGAAAATGCAAATAGAGATAACATAGAATGGTAGATAATTGAAGGAAATGTATTTTTTTATTGAAATGTTCGAGAGTCAGAAAGGTATCTGAAATCTCAAGACCAATAGCAGAAACTAGGAAAAAATATTTTAAGAGATAATAGTATTCACCCTCAAATTACATATTCATCCAAAGTATCAATCGAGAGTATAGACATAAAAGCATTTGCAGACATGCAAAATCTGAAATGCACCCCTGCATATACCTTTTCTCAGAAAGCTACTATAGAATATGCTTCAGCAAAAGGAAGGAGTAAAACAAGAAAGAAAGAAAGAAACATGGGGTCTAGGAGGCACTAGAAGACCAAAATAGGGGAGGAAAAAAAAAGAAAATTCCAAGTTCAGTGGTGAAGACATATCCCAGCACAACAGCCATGCAATAAGCCTGGAGAGCAGTTAGTACAGTTTGGAGGAAGAGAGAGAAGACTCTGAGGGTACAATGGGAGGAAGCAGGGAATATAACAAAGAAAAAGAAATGAAAATGAGGTTTTACCTCATGTACTCTATCAGATTAGAATCTAGAGATCTGAGAAACAGAAACACATATTTGAAAGCTTGATACATGATTCTAAATCAGTGGGGAAATGTAGGATTAAGCAACAAATAATGCCGGGGCAGTTGCTTATTTATATGTGAAAAAAGAAATTGATCCCTTTCTAACACTAAACCAAAATGTTGATTCCAGATGGGTTTTAAATTTTTTTTAATTTGGAAGAAAATGTAGAACAATATCTTTATAATATGGGGATAGGGAAGAATGTCTTTCAAAAACACCTGAAAAGTGCCTTCGGAAGGGGAAAACTAACAAGTCTGACCTCACTAAAATTGAAACTTCTGTTTACTAAAAATTCTTTAAAGAGAATAAATTTCCTGATGTTTTTGGTTCTATTGAGAGGAGTCTGCAGGGTAGAGAGAAATACAGAAAACTAAACAAACAAAAACTAAGGTAATTATTAAGTTCAGGAAAAATCATTTAAATGCTGTATAAGAAAGAGTGATCATTATATAGTAAGTCGCTAATACGTATTTACAGTGTTATTAATCTTAACACTAAATATTGATTTATTTCAAAATCATCATATAATAATATTGGGAAGAATATAGAAGCGATGTATATAGGGAAATGTAAGGAAATGTATATAGGAACCAATCTTTCTTCTCCCATAACAGTAATTAAAAATTAAAAGTAACAGCTAGGTATAGTGATGTGCACCTATAGGTCCAGCTACTTGTGAGACTAAGATGAAACACTTGAGCCCAAGACCTGGGGGACATAACAAAACCTTGTCTATAAAAAGTAAAAAAGAAAAATTAAATTTAAAAATATTAATGAATTTTAAAAGTAACAATAACAACTGATAAGGTTTGCCTGTGTCCCCACCCATATCTCAAGATGAATTGTATCTCCCAGAATTCCCACGTTGTGGAAAGAACCCAGGGGGAGGTAATCGAATCATGGGGGCTGGTCTTTCCCGTGCTATTCTCATGATAGTGAATAAGTCTCACGAGATCTGAAGGGTTTATCAGGGGTTTCTCCTTTTGCTTCTTCCTCATTTTTCTCTTGCCACCACCATTTAAGAAGTGCCTTTTGCCTCCACCATGATTTTGAGGTCTCCCCAGCCATATACAACTGTAAGTCCGATTAAACCTCTTTTTCTTCTTAGTCTTGGGTATGTCTTTATCAGCAGCATGAAAATGGACTAATACAACAATTAACACATTTAGCCCTTACATTTTATATATATTACTTTATTTAATCTTCCCAACATTCCTATAAGGTAGGTGCTATTATTATTCACATTACTTTAATATTTAGAAATACGAATTAAAGGTCAAAAGAAGAGGTAAAAACAATTGCCCTTTCATTTTCAACCTATGTCATATAAAGTATTAGAAAAGGATGATTCTGATTAAGTTATCTTATAATAATATTTGATTTTTTTCACCAAATACGTACTTTGATAAAATAAAAATAAAAATCAACTAAAAAATTAAACTTGCTCTTTTACCAAGCATATTTTCCTTGTTTATCACCTACAGTAATGTAAATAACCTAAGTAAAAGGACAGATCTTGATTCTAGGTTTAATTTACCACTTGCTACTCTTATATAACATGGTACTTATATCTCTCACACAATGGTCCTTATTTCTTTGTTATAAATTTATTCTCTATTACTAAGTGTTGCAATCAGCGTTCAGTTGTTGATCTCCTAACCTCTTGTCTTTTTATACTCACTCCTTAGGTGACCTCATCTGATCCCCTGGCTAAATACTGTTATACACTGATGACTTCCACATATAACTCTAGCCATTAAGTCTTTTCATTAAATTCTAAATTCTTACATTGAAGGTGACCACTCACCCCTAGGACAGTTCAAGTTCATACCTGTCTTAGCTTCCCACAAGTTAGTAGCCTCTTTCACTCTAAAAAGTGCCCTGTTTAAAATGACCAATTATTTGGTCACCCTATTATATCTGACTTACTAATAATGTCTGCATTTGAACTTTAAATAAACCTCTGAAATCTAAATAACCAAAACATAACTTTTTATTCCCTTCCATAAAACCCATCTTCCCCCATATTCCACATGCCAGAAATGCAACACCATTCTTTCTGTTTAGAATAACCATAAATCATAAAAGTGTGGAGTCATCCTTAGCTCCTCTTACACCCCACAGTCAATCAGTTATAACTTTAAAGGGTATCTAGGATGTGAGCATTTTTCAACCCCTCCTGCTCAAGGATCTTTGCCTAAATCCTCTCACATTTCTCTCACCTGGGCTATTGCCACTTCATATGTTTACCAATGGCCTTAATCTATGTTCGCTCAGCCCCCATACCTTCTCAAAACCTTTCAGTGAATTTCCATTCCACTAAAAATAGAATTCAAAGCCTTACTCAATTTAGCGCCTGGCGCCCTCTTCAATCTCATCTCACTACTCTATTCATTCATTCTGTTTCATCCACACTGCCCTCTTTGCTGTTCAACAAACCAAAAATGCTTGAAGGCTTTATAATTCCTTTTTCCTCCAGCTGACATGCACTCCTCTCAGTTAATAACAAGGTTCATTCCTTTCCTTCAGTTAAGTCTCTACTGAGGCTTAATAATAGCTACAACAGAGGCATCTCTGACCATCTAATCCAGCAGCCCCTATCACTTTTTGACCTTCGCCTTGCTCTATGTCATAGCCCTTATCTCTATGTGACATTACATGTTTACTTCTTTTGTATACAGTGTATGGTCCCACACTGGAGTGTACATTACAAGAAGGCAGGGAGTTTGTCAATTTTATTTACTGCTGTATCTCCAGCACTTAGAATGATGCATGATTACAAATATCTGAGAACTATCAATAATTTACTAGGAAATGAATAAGGATTATATGAAAAGTCTTCTGTGGGCTGAAACATAAGGAAACTAGCACTCTTTTAGTGCCCACTGTGTAACCGGCATGTTACTGATGACAATGAGGAGCATTTGCTGCATGTTTATAACACAGCAGTCATGGTATTAAGTGCTGTGCTTCCACTAGCCCAGAATTCTCACAAAGACTCCAAGAAGCAGTTGTTTCCCTTTTGAGAGATGATGAAATACGTTCTTAAAAGGCCAGTGATATCCACACAGTCACACAGCTAATTAGTAGCTACACCAACTTTCCAATCAGAGCTATGTGAATTCAGAGAGTGTGCTCAGAGCTGATGAGTGTTTTTCTTCCCAAGAAGTTTAACAATACATATGCATTATTCTCTAAGTTTTGAACAAAAAAACACTCTAATCTGAAAAGGAGAAAAAAAACAGAAAAATAAACATAAAGGGAAATATATTCTTTTTCATATGACTTCTACATAAATCTTCTCTTAAACTCATTATTATTATTATTTAATTTGTCAAAGTATCATTTAATCATTATGACTAATGAAATTCTAGAAGGACATTTACAGAGAATGTAAGTCATCTCCTACCTTTTCCACTTTCCTACCCTCAAACATACACAAACATATCAATATCTGCATTCAGAGCTTTCTATACTGTTTTTGTTTTATATTTAAAAAGGTATCTAATTGTAAACATTGTTTAAATCAATTTGCTCCTTCAGTTAAAATAGCAACATGGTTCTTCAGTTTAAATAATCATCTCCATTGGTTCACCAGGAACATCTCCTAAGTGAGCCAATAGAGATCTAAATCATTCTTTTCAATAGTTGCACAGTATTCCATAGATGGAATGTGAAACAGTTTCTCCAACTGCTCCCCTAGTGAAGGATATTTGGGGTGTTTTAATGGAATTTTATTATTTGTATGTTTTTTGGAGATTTTTGACACCGTTAACAATGCCACAATAAACAGCTTTTAAAATAACCTCTTAAATACTGATGTTTTAAATTCTGTAACATAGATTTTCATATGTAAATGAAATATTTTCATATGTAGGCCAAAGAATATGCATACATTAATTTTAATAGATACTGCTAACCACATTTAAAATTATTACAGCAAGGCCGTGCGTGGTGGCTCACGCCTGTAATCCCAGCACTTTGGGAGGCCGAGACAGGTGGATCACCTGTAGTCAGGAGTTCCAGACCAGCCTGGCCAACATGGTGAAACCCCATCTCTACTAAAAATACAAAAATTAGCCAGGCATGGTGGCAGGTGTCTGTAATCCCAGCTACTCGGGAGGCTGAAGTGGGAGAATAGCTTGAACCCAGGAAGCAGAGGTTGCAGTGAGCCGAGATCGCGCCATTGCACTCCAGCCTAGGCAACAACAGTGAAACTCCACTTCAAAAAATAAAATAAAATAAAATTATTACAGCAATGTATAAAATATACCATATCTTTATAGATACTAGGTGTTATCATCCTTTTGTCAATTTGATGGATAAGAAATACCAGCTTATTATGTGTTCAATTTGCATTTTGAAGACAACCAGTGAAGTTGAGTGGCTTCATTTTATTCCTTGGCCATTTGGATTTTCTCTTCTGTAAAATGCCCACACAAATTGTTCTGCATAAAAATGAATTCCTACAAAGGGTAGACAAACGATAGATGGCATTTGTTATTTCCACAGGCATTAAGTTGTTTCTATCTAGGTAGGTAGATTTGGCATATAAAGATCCATCTATCTAATGACAAACAAGTGATTCTTTGAAGCAGCACCACTTGTCTTTTCACATTTCAACTTCAATATAATTATAACTAGATATTATTATTTATTGTAAAATTTTTCTTATTCATATTTTTGCTTTCTTAAAAAAATGAGTCAAGACAAATTGACAAAATAGCATTTTTATTAAAAGGCTTAAGTCTCATTTCTGTATTTTACATTACCGTATGAGTCTCAAAAACAAAATTATCAAGAAAATGAAAACTACTTATTCAATTATAAACCTTTCAAAGTCAATCATTACAAAATTATTTTGATTAGAAACTATGAAATAAGCCTTCTATTGAGACGGAATTTTAGCACAATTTTTAAGTTCAAAGACATCTATTATACTTTTGGAGAATGGGCCATAATGGTTGTATTATTACTACTATTTTTTTTTGTCTTTGAGACAGAGTTTCACTCTTGTTGCCCAGGCTGGAGTGCAGTGGTGCAAGCTTGGCTCACTGCAACCTCCGCCTCCCAGGTACAAGCGATTCTCCTGTTTCAGCCTCCCAAGTAACTCAGATTACAGGCATGCGCCACCATGCCCAGCTAATTTTTTTGTATTTAGTAGAGATAGGGTTTCACCATGTTAGTCAGGCTGGTCTTGAACTCCTGACCTCAGGTGATCTGCCTGCCTCGGCCTCCCAAAGTGCTGGGATTACAGGCGTGAGCAACCATGCCTGGCCAATTGTATTGTTTAATAGAGACATAAGTGGTAAAAAAATTAGAACTGAACCACACTTTCAACATTGCCATTGAGTTACTTAGCAATTCTCAATATCAGTCTTATAAATATTTAATATTTGTGGAAACTTTAAATAGCCATATAAACATAATAATATTTTTATACCACACATGTCATTCATCAAGGTGTTATTTCTCCATCTTAAGAATAAATTTTCAGACGTACTTCAACACCTCTAGGTAATAAACAAAAGATATTCTAACAACATAGCTAAGTATGGTATTAAATAATTTTTAACAGATATAATCATGACTCATACAAATATAAATACATGTCAAATATTTTATTTAACTTGTGAGTTAATGAAGAAACAAGTAAGTTGTTATAACTGCTGAAATTAACATACACAATTGAAAAATTAGCTTATTCCAAAAGATGAGAATAGGGAATCAATTGCACCACACCCAGATGATATTCATTTGCATATCTATGAGCAAGAATAATTTGCAGTGAAAGGTTCAGAGACATCATAGAATCAAGTAACCCGGGGGATGTACTTAGACAAGGCCTAGTTTTTCCGTTGAAGACGCTCAGTTAACTTTTTGCTCTGCTTCAAGTTTTTATTGAAAAACTGCTCTCTTTCAAGTCTTTCACAAGAGTATTAATAATGCTATTAGTATTATAAAGGCAAAAACTTTTCTCCTTTTTTTGACATATTTTAGTTCCCTAATAAAACCAGGTCCTGTGAATTAACATAACCATAAATGTATTATTTAAAAGACGTATAGCCAGAATCTTTTTATTCAAATACCTATCTGTCCACTCAAGTTTATTCTAGTTTATCATTGATCAGAAATATATTTTGAACTTGCTGGATGCAGTGGCTCACTCCTGTAATCCCAGCACTTTGGGAGGCTGAGGCGGGCAGATCACCTGAGGTCAGGAGTTCGAGACCAGCCTGGCAAATATGGTGAAACCCTGTCTCTACTAAAAATACAAAAATTAGCTGAGCGTGGTGGCAGGCACCTGTAATCCCAGCTACTCGGGAGGCTGAGGCAGGAGAATTGCTTGAACCCTGGAGACAGAGGTTGCAGTGAGCGGAGATCATACCCTTGTACTCCAGCCTGGGCGACAAGAGCAAGACTCCATCTCAGATGCCTCTCCTATTATCTCTCATTGCTTTAATAAAACACACACACACACACACACACACACACACACAATAAACGTATGGGTTTATCTTTAATAAGAAACATAAAGTCAAAGATTACTAAGCCATAAGCAAGATGATCTTCACTCAGTTCGTTTAACACTAATTGGAGGTTTCAGACAGAAAGTCCTTTATAAAGTTCTATCATCATTTATTTATATACTGGGTATGTGCTTAAAAAGTTGGCTATTTAATCATCAGAATCCACAGTAAAAGATGAAAATGCACACACCGGTCAGGAAGCATTTTGTGTTTAGTTTGTAGTTGCGAATGGTTTTAATCTACACGTCAATATATATTCCTAACGCTACAGTCCTTTTACCCTATTCTTCATTTATACACCCATTTATATTGCAAGGAAAACTTTATTTATATATTTATTATTCCAGTATTTATTTTCAAAATAAATACATAAGCCCACCAAGTTAGACTCCTGCCCTCCCACAGAGACTGGCACAGAGGGGCTCTATTTTTCCTGCTGATGACATTTCAAAGACATGTCTTCCAGGACCTTGAGAGAGACATTCCTGAGTTGTAAAATTGGCAAGAAGCTTTTAAAAAGATGTATATCTCAAATAGACAAAGAAAGAATTGACAATAACAAGTTTTCTCAAGAAAATGTTCTAAGGAAAAAGGACATCAGGGGCCTGAGTTACAAAGAAGCCTGTTAAATTAAGTCAATTAAGGAAAATGCTAAGGCCATCTTGGCCAGACCATTCGTGGTCTCCAGTTACTTTATCTTAGCTTGGAAACAATATTCACTCATGAGCAGCAGTAAAGATTGAATATGATCATTTAAATAATACACTTTGTTTTGTATCTAACACCAAGTAAATACTCAATAAGTTGCCATTGCTATGATCATTATTATAAAGAAACAATATCACAAGATTCTCTACTGAAACCTTAAAACCCACTCCTTGGTACAACTGGAAAAATATGACAGTGCTTCTTTCTAATATGCACTTTCTAGAAGGCATATTATCACATTCTTTTGTAACCAAAATACTACATCAAGGAAAATTAACTGTCCATATGATTGGGAACAAAAGGAAATAAAATAAGGTTTAAAGCCATTGTCTGAGTACCTGATAGTGTGCATAAAAAGTAGGGAAATGATGTCTGATATTGAAAAGAAGATATATCAGAGATGTGGAGGAGAGAAGGTGAAGTTGTCCTACAAATATGTAAGTTAAGTAATGACAAAAAGAAAGAATTATGCCACATAATAAAATAATAAAGATTTATCTTCTACTAACAAAAGAAAAATATGTAAGAAAAAAACTTGATTCAGAGATTATATTTGGGAAATATTTTTTTTCTTTTTCTTTTTCTTTTTCTTTTTTTTGAGGCGGAGTCTAGCTCTGCCGCCCAAGCTGGAGTGCAGTGGCGCGATCTTGGCTCTCTGCAAGCTCCGCCTACCGGGTTCACGCCATTCTCCTGCCTCACCCTCCCGAGTAGCTGGGAGTACAGGCGCCCACCACCACTCCCGGCTAATTTTTTGTATTTTTAGTAGAGACAGGGTTTCACTGCGTTAGCCAGGATGGTCTCGATCTCCTGAACTCATGATCCGCCCTCCTCGGCCTCCCAAAGTGCTGGGATTACAAGCGTGAGCCACCGTGCCCGGCCGTTTTTTACTTTTCTTCCAACTTTTACTTTAGGTTCCAGGGATACATGTGTCTGTTTGTTATATGGGTAAATTGCATGCCACGGGGGTTTAATGCACAGATTATTTCATCACCCAGGCAATAAGCATAGTACCTGAGAAGTACTTCTTTTATCTCGACCCTTCTCCCTCTCTCCACTCTCAAGTAGGCTCTGGTGTCTATCCTTCCTTTCTTTGTGTCCTTGGGTACTCAATGATTAGCTCCCACTTATAAGTGAGAACGTGAAGTAGTTGGTTTTCCATAACTGCATTAATTCACCTAGGATAATGGCCTCCAGCTCCAACCAACTTGCTGCACAAGACATGATCTCATTCTTTTTTATTGCTGTATAGTATTCCATGGTGTATATGTACCCACGTTTTCTTTATCCAGTCCACCATTGATGGGCATCTGGATTGATTCCATGTCTTTGCTATTGTGAATAGTTCTGCAGTGAATATGTACATGCATGTGCCTTTATGATTGAATGAATTACACTCCTTTGGGTATATACCCAGTATGAGATTGCTGAGCTGAATGGTAGCTCTGGGCCGAATGGCAGCTCCATTTTAAATTCTATAAGAAATCTTCAAACAGCTTTCCACAGTAGCTGAATTAATTTACATTCCTACCAGCAAAGTATAAGCATTCCCTCTTCTCCACAACCTTACCAGCATCTTTTATTTTTTTACTTTTTATTAATAGCCATTCTTACTGGCATGAGATGGTATCTCAGGTAGTTTTGACTTGCATTTCTCTAATGATCAATCATGTTGAACATTTTTTCATATGCTTGTTGGTTGTATGTATGTCTTCTTTTGAGAAGTGTCTGTTCATGTCCTTTGCCCTGTTTTCAGTGGGGTTGTTTTTTGCTTGTTGATTTAAGTTTCTTATGACTCTGGATATTAGAACTTTGTCAGATACATAGTTTGCAAATATTTTCTTCCATTCCGTAGGTTGTCTCTTTACTGACAGTTTATTTTGCTATGCAGAGGCTTTTCAGTTTAACTAGATCTCATTGACAATTTTTGTTTTTGTTGCAATTGCTTTTATAGTCTTCGCCATAAAATCTTTGACAGGGACTATGTCCATAATGGTATTTCCATTTTCTTTTAGGATTTTTCTAGTTTTAGGCTTCACATTTAAGTCTTTAATCCATATTGAATTGATTTTTGTGAACGGTAAAAAGAAGGTGTCCAGTTTCAACCTTCTGCATGTGGCTAACCAGTTATCCCAGCACCATTCCTTGAATAGAAACTCCATTCCCCATTGCTTGGTTTTGTTGACTTTGTCAAGTATCAGTTGGATGTAGTATGGAGCTTTTATTTCTAGGATCTCTATTTTTATCCCATTGTTTTATGTGTCTGTTTTTGTACCAGAGCTATGCTGTTTTGGTTATTGCAGTCTTGTAGTATGGTTTGAAGTTGAGTAATGTGATGTCTCCAATTTTGTTTTTTGCTTAGGATTGACTTTGTTCTTCAGGCTCTTTTTTGTTTCAATATGAATTTTAAAATAGCTTTCTCTAATTCTGTGAAAAATGTCATTGATGATTTGCTAGGAATAGCATTGAATCTATACATTGCTTTGGGCAGTATGACCATTTTAACAATGTGATTATTCGTATCCATGAGCATGGAATTTTTTTCCATTTCTTTGTATTGTCTGTGATTTCTTTCAGCAGTGTTTTGTAATTCTTATTGTAGAGATCTTTCACCTCTCTCGTTAGTTCTATTCCTAGCTATTTTATTCTTTTTCCAGCTAATTGTGAATGGGATTGATTTTTGATTTGGCTCTCAGCTAGGATGTTGTTAGTGTAGAAATGCTTCTGATTTTTGTACATTGATACCGAAGTTGTTTATCAAACCTAGGAGCTTTCGGGTAGACACAATGCAGTTTTCTAGGCATAAAATCATATTGTCTACAGTGATAGCTTGACTTCCTCACTTCCTATTTGGATGCCTTTTATTTCTTTCTCTTGCCTCATTGCTCTGCAAGTGCTCCCAGTACTGTGTTGACTAGGAGTGGTGACAGTGGGAATCCTTGTCTTGTTCCAGTTCTCAAAGGAAATGCTTCCAGCTTTTGCCCATTTGTTATGATATCAGCTGTGGGTTTTTCATAGATGGCTCTTATTATTTTGAAATATGTTCCCTCAATTCCTACTTTGTCTAGAGTTTTCAACATGAAGGTATGTTGACTTTTATCAAAAGCCCCTTCTGCATCTATTGAGATAATCATATGGTTCTTGTTTATGTGATGAATCACACTGATTTAATTGTGTATATTGAAACAACCTTGCATTCCAGGAATAAACACTACTTAATCATGGTGGATTAGCTTGTCAGTGTGTTGCTGGATTTGGTTTTCTAGTATCTTGTTGAGGATTTTTGCATCTGTGTTCACCAGAGATATTGCCCCAAAATTTTTTTTTGGTTGTTGGTAATAGAATGATGCTGGCCTTATAGAATAAGTTAAGGAGGAGTTCTCCCCTCCACAAATTTTCGAAATAGTTTCAGTAGGATTGGTACTAAGCTCTTCTTTACATGTCTGGGTGAATCCATCTGTGAATCCAACTGGTCCAGGAATCTTTTTGGGTTGTAGACTTTTTATTATTGATTCAATTTTAAAACTCATTATTGGTCTGTTCAGGTTTTTCATTTCTTCCTGGCTCAATCTTGGGAGTTCATATGTTTTCAGGAATTTATTTCTTTAAGGTTTCCTAGTTTGTGTGCATAGAGGTGTTCATAATAGTCACTAAGGGTTTTTTTGTCTTTCTGTGGGGTGCCAATGGTAGTGTTCCCTTTGTCATTTCTAATTATATTTATTTGGATCTTTTCTCCTTTTTTCTTTATTACTCTAGCTAGAAGTCTATCAGTCGTATTTATTCTTTCAAAAAACAAAGTTTTAGTTTCATCAGTCTTTTGGATGGTTTATTGCATCTCAATTTCCTTCAGTTCAGCTCTGATTTTGGTTATCTCTTTTCTTCTGCTAGCTTTGGGATTTGTTTGCTCTTCGTTTTCTACTTCCTCTCAGTGTGATGTTAGGTTGTTAATTTGAGATCTGTCTTATTTTTTGATGTGGGCATTTAGCAATATAAACTTTCCTCTTAAAACTGTTTTAGCATGTCCCAGAGATGCTGGCATGTTCTGTCTTTGTTTTCGTAGTTCCAAAGAATTTCTTGATTTCTACCTTAATACACTGTTTACCCAAAAGTCATTCAAGAGCAGATTGTTTAATTTCCATGTAATCGTGTGGTTTTGAGAAATCTTCTTAGTATTGATTTCTATTTTTATTGGTGCTATGGTCCAAGAGTGTGGTTGGTATGATTTCTGTTTTTTGAATTTGTTGAGAATTGTTTTATGACCAATTGTGTGGTCTATTTCAGAGTATGTGCCATGTGCATATGAGAAGAATGTATATTCTGTTGTCGTTGGGTGGAGTGTTCTATAGATGTCTGTTAAGTCCATTTGGTCAAATGTTAACTTTAGGTCCCAGATATCTTTGTTAATTTTCTGTCTCAATGATCTGTCTAGTACACACTCAATGGCGTGTTGAAGAATCCCACTATTATTTTGGGGCTTACCTAAGCCCTTTTGTAGGGCTCTCACAACTTGTTTTATGAATCTGAGTGTTCCTGTGTTGGGGGTTTAGCACAAGAACGACTGCAGTAGGGCACAGTCAGGGATGCCCATCCCCCAAGGCTCACACAGTTCCTCTAGGTGGCTTGGGCCCTTGTTGACTGTCAAACCTAGACACAGCATGGTGGTCTTGCCTGTGGAATGGGGCCGGTCTGATCTGAGTGCTTCCCTTTCTGTCGGCTTCTCTCAAGGTGGCTGCCTGGCTGCACCCACTAGCAGTGCAGCCTGGAATGGCCAACTATGGTACTTCTAGCAGCGGCCACCATAGCTCCTTTGGTGGCAGACTGCACCTGACCATTGCGGGGTTCCAGCAAACAAGCCCCCACTGACAGGCACCCACCCCCCTGAAGCCTCCCCACCTACAGCCTTCCCCAACTGCTTTGCTGAGGTACACTCACCTGCAGCCCCTCTCCCCACTGCTTTACTGCCATACACTCATTCACTGTGCCCCCACCACTGCTTTGCCAGTGCTCATGAGTGAGTGGTCTTCACTGCCTTCCCCTGCTGGCACACATATGTGCGCCCCACCACCCAGCTGCTGTCAGCATAAGTGTATGCACCTTGCCATGCACCGACGATACATGCACACCTACGCTGCTATCCTGCCCCTGTGCAGATGCCACCAACCTGCCTTGCTGGCACCCTGCCCCTGATGTGAGTGTGCCCTGCCGCACAGCCTCTGCTGTCAACACATTTGGCTAGACACCACCTTGCCTCCACAGGGATGTTACTACCCTATCCCCACCAGTGCTCTGCTTCCACCAATGCATGCCCGCACCACAAGCCACTGCTGCTGGCATGCACATGTGAGTGCAGGCCCTGCTGCCACCACCCCAATGAAACATTTTAGCTGGCATCCTCCACTGAGTGTTATTGTCAGCAGACCAGGAACGCATTCACTCTTTCAGCACAGCAGGTGCTTACCCTCGAGGGGCCAGAGAACAAAGCCCTGTGTTTGGTACCTGCCCTGCAGGGTTAAAGCATGAAGCTCAGGAGTGCTAAACTGAGTCTCAGACCCCTAGAATCTTCCAGAAATGAAGTCAGTTGACAGAACCCACTTTATACCATAGTCAAACACTTAAGGACATCAAAGAATATAAAGACAAAAAAAAAACCCCAAACCCCAAAACCCCAAAACACCCATCCAAAGGACAGCAACTTCAAACAATAAAGGGATATCAGCCCACACATATGAAAAAGAACTAGTGCAATTCAAAAAGCCAGAGTGTCTTCTTACCTCCGAATGACTACACTAACTCCCTGGCAATGGTTCTCAACTGGCTGAAATGGCTTAAACGACAGACATAGAATACAGAATCTGGATAGGAATGAAGATTATCAAGATTCAGGAGAAAGTAAAAACCCAATCCAAAAAAAAATTTAAGGATTCCAATAAATGATACGAAAGCTGAAAGACACAATTGTCATTTTAAGAGGGAACCAAACCAAACTGATAGAGATGAAAAATACAGTATAAGAATTTCATAGCACAATCAGAAGTATTAACAGCAAAATAGACCAAGATGAGGAAATAATCTCAGAGCTCAAAGACTTGTTCTTAGAATCAGTTCAGTCAGGCAAAACTAAAGAAAAGAGAATACAAAAGAATGAACAAAACCTCCGAGAAACAAGTCATTATATATAGGGACTAAACCTATGGCTCATTGGCATCCCTGAAAGAGAGAGAGAAAGGGCAAGCAACTTGAAAAACATATTTGAGGATATTGTCCATGAAACTTTCCCTAACCTTGCTAGAGAGATTGAGATTCAAATTCAAGAAATGCAGAGAACCCCTGTGAGATACTATACAAGACAACCATCCCAAGACACATAGTTATCAGGTTCTCCAAGGTCAATGAGAAAGAAAAAAAAAAATAAAGACACCTAATAGCGTACCTCTCAACAGGAACCCTACAAGCCAGAAAAGATGAATGGGCCTATATTAAAAATTCTTAAAGAAAATAAATTCCAATTAATAATTTTATATCCAGCCAAACTAAGCTTCATAAGCAAAGGAGAAATAAGATCCTTTTCAGACAAGAAGATGCTAAGGGAATTCATTACCACCATACCCACCTTAAAAGAGGTCTTCAAGAGGGTGCTAAGCATGGAAATTAAATACTGTTACTGGTCACCACAAAAACATACTTAAGTACACAGACCACTCACACTATAAAGCAACTACACAATTAAGTCTGTATAATAACTAGCTAACAACACGATGACAGAACCAAATCTGTACATATCAATATTAACAGTGAATGCAAATGGGCTAAATGTCCCACTTAAAAGGCAAAGAGTGGTAAGTTGGATAGGGAAGCAAGACCCAATTGTATATTGTCTTCAAGAGAGCCATCTCACATGAAATGATGCCCATAGGCTCAAAGTAAAGGGAAGGAGAAAAATCTAAGCCAAGAGAAAACAAAAAGGGCAGAGGTTGCTGTCTTAATTTCAGACAAAACAGACTTTAAAACAAGTATCAAAAAAGACAAAGAACACCATTACATGATAAAGGATTCAATTCAACAAGAAGACTTAACCATCCTAAATATATATACACCCAACACAGGAACACTCAGATTCATAAAACAAGTTGTGAGAGCCCTACAAAAGGGCTTAGGTAAGCCCCAAAATAATAGTGGGATTCTTCAACACGCCATTGAGTGTGTACTAGACAGATCATTGAGACAGAAAATTAACAAAGATATCTGGGACCTAAAGTTAACATTTGACCAAATGGACTTAACAGACATCTATAGAACACTCCACCCAACGACAACAGAATATACATTCTTCTCATATGCACATGGCACATACTCTGAAATAGACCACACAATTGGTCATAAAACAATTCTCAACAAATTCAAAAAACAGAAATCATACCAACCACACTCTTGGACCATAGCACCAATAAAAATAGAAATCAATACTAAGAAGATTTCTCAAAACCACACGATTACATGGAAATTAAACAATCTGCTCTTGAATGACTTTTGGGTAAACAGTGTATTAAGGTAGAAATCAAGAAATTCTTTGGAACTACGAAAACAAAGACAGAACATGCCAGCATCTCTGGGACATGCTAAAACAGTTTTAAGAGGAAAGTTTATATTGCTAAATGCCCACATCAAAAAATAAGACAGATCTCAAATTAACAACCTAACATCACACTGAGAGGAAGTAGAAAACGAAGAGCAAACAAATCCCAAAGCTAGCAGAAGAAAAGAGATAACCAAAATCAGAGCTGAACTGAAGGAAATTGAGATGCAATAAACCATCCAAAAGACTGATGAAACTAAAACTGGAATCAGGCTGGAATCCTGTCCCTGCCACCTCTCCCAGTAGCTCTCTCTGTCAGCTCAAATGTCTGTGGGGGACATGGCATTCCTGATGCTAGGATTCTGGTGGTCTATGATAAAAGTGGGCCACTTCTCACCTATCTAACTCACCCCTTCCCCTGGAGCCGCTGGGGGTCAAGTACAAGTCCTGATGCATAGCAGTCCTATGCAGGGTTGCTAGTTTCCTCTCTCTTTCAGCCCGGGGTCTGCATCCTCCCTTTGACCACTCTCAATGCCTTCCTCCTGAAGATCTGCTCAGAGTAGTGTGTCAGTCTTTTTGACAGTCTGGTCTCTTGCTGGGAGAGTCTCTTTCTGGCTGCATCTAGTCAGCCATCTTGGCTCCCTCTCCCAGGTTGTTTTTCCTGGGGAAGTTTTCATCATGAGTTTGTTACACCATAAAAGGCTATAACAGGCAATGTGAGAAATTGAGCTTTTACTAAAACTCAGTAAAGTAGACAACAAATTCCAATTTTTATTTTCAACATTATGAATACGTTTTCTTCGAAGATGCTTTTGGATAGGTAAGAAACTCGACAGACAAAAAAAATAGTGGTATTGGCAAAATTAAAAGGTCAATTTTCACCAATAAAAGACAAGCTATAGCACTGATTTGCTAGTGGAAAGTCAAATTTAGGTAAAACCATATAAATATTTGCTTTATTTTTCATTGAGAGGAGAAATATTAAATAAAATATATTACCCACACTGGAACTCTTGGTAATGCATAAGAAGCTATCCAAAAAACACAACAAACCTACTGGCAAGAATTCTAGCGCTGACTCACTGAAAACATTTGGATAGAATCAATGTGCATTGATTTCTGGCAGTCATGTGGTTGGTTTGTTCATAAAGGAGACTAAGCTGCTGTGGAATTTCATTTCGGAAAGCAAGTTTTAACTAGTCCTACAGAAATGTTAATGTTTCCCCTACATCTACCAAGACACCTGTGTGTGGAATAAAGTGCTTCCTATTGCATTCCTAGTGGAATACTCCCAATGTGCCAAACAAAAAAGATGGATAGGAGCCTACCCTGCAGGCTTAGAATTTAAATTGTGCTGAGAGGCAATTAGATTTGTTCCAACTTTTTTGAAAGCCAGAATCATGCACCTGGGTGCTTCCCCACAGCTTGTCCTGTACCTTCGGAGATCAGTGGAAGTGAACTGAAGGAAGCACCAGACAGCCCAGCAGGAAAGCATCATTCTGTAGCTCCATTCAATCAGGAAACTCTCTTGGTTCAAAGGGGTGTCTTTAGGTGACTGGGTTGCCTCTCCCCTCAAGATACAGCTGCAGTCTGGTCCTTCTTGGTGCAAGGCTGGTCATCTCCAAGATGGCTGAGTTAACGTTTCATGCAAGGCTGGCATGGTCTTTCAGGTTAGCTATCTTCTCTATATTCCAAGGGCACACAGGTCCAGATATCAAATTCACATAAAGGAAACTAGGCTCATAGAAATGGGTTCGTGATAACTTAAGCAATGTTGATAGCCACTGGACTAGCCATATGTGTCAGTCAGATAATCAAACTTTCTTCTTCTTAAAATGAAGTTATTTGGGAAATCTAATGCATAATCAGACTTCTGCTTAATGATAACCAACTCAGGGCAAACAAGTGAATATTTTTCTCAAGCTATAGTAATCTTTTGATTCTCCCTTTTCTCATTCAAAAGAGTATAAATATCAACCCAAACAGGATCCTCATGTCAGTGGGTCAAGTTATCTCCTCCTTGTGTAATACTGAAGTTACAATGATATATTTTTACTTTACGTTCTTTTTATACACAAGGGTCATATCCCGTCTGCTTATAGTTACTATTATAACATCTCTCTTTTTCTGTAATCTTGTACAGTTATTACCAACATTTAACTTTATAAATCCTCTTAGATTGGTAACATTTCGGGGTAAGGACTTTCTGATAATGTGTAGAGCAACAGTCTATTATTTTCTATGGCTACAGCCAATTGCCACCAGGGAAAGGTTTCCAAATTTGTAAAAATCCTTTTTTTTAGCTTCTCTTCTAATATTTGCCTATTTCTGTTTTTCCCTAATATTTAATGTTCATCTTGTAATCTGTTGTGACTTATTGCAGGGGACTGGAGGGTTCTCTCTCTTTAAACATGTGTGTGTGTATGTGTGTGTGTGACTAGATGTTACAAGAAACATCTCCTGAGAGGTATTAAAAATTTTCAGAATTAATCAAATTTGATCTTAATTTGTGTAATAGGTAATTCAAAGGGACTTATGCTATTGTCTTGGAATTTGAACTGAGGCCCCCTGTATTAGGATTCTCCAGAGAAACAGAACCAATAAGATATGTACATATATCTTTTAGGTAGAGATAGAGAGAGATTTATTTTAAAGAATTGGTTCAGACAATGTGGGGAGCTGACAAATCTGAAATCTAGATTTCAAGCATGTTGAAAATTCAGATAAGAGTTGTTGTTCCAGTCTTGAGTCTGAATTCAGCAGGGCAAGAGGCTGAAAAAATAGGTAGGGTTTCCATGTTGTGATAGTCTTGAAAAGAATTCCTCTTTCTTCAGGAAATCACCATGCTTGCTCTTAAGGCCTTCAACTAATTGGATGAGCCCCCCCACACACATTATGGAGAATAATCTGCTTTAGTCAAAGCCTATTGATTTAAATGCTAATCATGGCTAAAATATATACCTTCACAGTAACATCTATACTGGTATTTGACCAAACAACTGGTCACCATAATCTAGCCATTTTGCCACATATAATTAACCATTACAGGCTCCAGAGCACAACGGGTGACAAGTATTTTTATATTCTAAAGAGAGGCAGCAGGGAAATCTCCAAGCTGATCAGAAATTTATTGTATCACTAAACTTCAAATAGCCTTTATAAAACTCCAACATTTTTGGACATTTACATATTCCATGTTTTCACATTTCAAATGTACAAACACAATTTCATTTTTCTTACATACATAGATAGTCACCATAATCTTTCTCTGAAGTGTTTATATTTTCTGAATTCATTGCAGTTGTCATTGTGTGATATCTTGCTGACAAAGGTATATGAGGGAGGCAAATTAGTCAAAATGTAAACAATACTGATTATTCTGAATAGGTGGCTCCATGTTAAGCAGGATGGTGTTAATTCAGGGAGATCATATGCCCTTATGCCTGGATTCTCCCAATGACAAATCACTGGAGGCCAGGGAGTTTTAATCTCTTGAACCACAGGGATAATAAATAGTGTCAGGCAAGGCAGGTATGGTTACCGCAAGGCAGGTATGGTTACCATAAAGTATGGATTTCTTTTCCTTTTTCAGTTTATACATATCAAAAGGCTGGGCTTAGGCAGCCATCATATTTTACTAGAAAAGTATTCATTCAAATTCTGTCAACCTACAGACAACTTTTAAATGCCTCATATTACACTAAACTTGGTAGAAGTGCTTAAGATGAAATGGAGCAATCAAAACCAATGTGACATGCCAAGTTACTTTTCCACAAAATTCTAGAATTGCATAGTATCTGTTGTAACAAATCTCTGTAATCCAGAGTCTCACACAATTGCACACCACAAAGTGAGGCAGACATCTGAAGAAGACATCCCCACCTTTTTGCTCTTTGCCTTAACTATGGCAGTGTATCTATTAGAGTGTGTTTACAAGTGACAGAAATCTTAATGACTTAGATCAGACATTTGACAAGTCCAGAAGTAGGCAGTATCAGTGTTGATTCAACCATTGAACAATGCCATCAGTAAACCTAGGCTCCTTCTGTACTTTGCTTCACCATCCTGAATATTTTGACTCCTTATCCTTAGATTTGTCTCCTCATGAGCATAAGATGGCTGCTGTAGAGCCAGATGTTATAATTGCATCCAAAAACAAAAGGCAACAAGTAGCCAGAGTGCTCTCCTTTCATAGCACTCTCCATATGTGTGTGTATTATAATATATAGAGAGAAAATGTTTCCCATAATCCCTAGATACCCAGATAGACTTATATCTCATTAATAAGAATTGGTCAAATGCTCATCATTAGAATGTCATTGGCAATTAGAACATCATTGACAGAGAAAAATAATATCATCTACTGATGAAAAAGGAAATTACCTTCCTGAGAACATTACTATCTGCCCAATACCTAAACCAATGTGGGTTTTGTCAAGAAAGAAGGATTGGGGCAATAGGCAATAGGTCAATAGGCAACAGTGACCGCCACTAGCACCTCGCTGTCCATAAATTCTTTATGAAAGTCCAAGTAATCCAAAACATCTTTAACACAAATGCTCTCTCCTCACTGTGAGCATTCTTCATGGGTCTCTGCTTTCACAGTTCAGTTCTTGAATTTTCTATTTTCATTTTTTACCTGGGATAATTATCATTTCCAGATGATTTTCAAAATCCGTGCTTATGGATGATTATTGCCAAAATCTAATTTTTTCAAGCCTCCCTTCACAGTATTTTGGCCATCCCTGAGGTGCTTTTTGGAGTGCATACAAAATATGCCAACTGGTGGCATATAAGTATAAATAACAACCCTCAAATGAGAATAAGAAAAATATTGGAATATTCAGTTATTTTTATTATAGCATAAAACACTGGCAAGAGTAAAACAAAAAATTAAGGAAAAATGTCTGCAAGCTTTTCCATTTTTGAAACACAAATATAAAGCACTGTAATAGTCACTGGCAATATAAAGGTAAAAAGAGACTTGGTTGTTTTCAAACAATACAGTTTGAGGAACAGAGAAAATAATGAACTATTAGTTATAATATGCTGTAAAATCTGCTGTAATTGGAGTACCAATAAAATAATGTGTGAACACAGACAAAGGAATGGCTAAAAAAACAGGAGTAACTGGTAAAAATCAGCAGACAAAAAAAAATTGTTTTAATTCATTTTAATGCCAGAGTAAGGTACAAGAGAAAACAATGTAGATGGCAAGATGTATCTTAAGATCAGCCCAGGAAATAAGGAAAGTGGATCTGGAATGTAGGATGTTTTTTCTTTAAAAATATGGAAATAAACAAATAATTTATAACAAAAATGCTGTAACATTAAATTCATTAAGTGTAATAAATTATATATTTCTTGTTCAAAAATGTTTATTGCATACCTACTCTGTGCTAACATTGTGGTAGATCTTCATCTATCACAACAGCAGGTAAGACAGACATGGCTCTCATGGAGATTACAGTCTAGCAAGGGAGTCAGGTCAGATCTTACATAAGCAAAAATAAGAAAGGGTGATCAGCATTGTATGAAGACATATTGGTTAGGACACTTTTTTAGTTGTAAGTTAAACACACACACACACACACACACACACACACACACACAGAGGTTTGGCTTAAGCCAAAAAAAAAAAAAAAAAAAAAAGGTGGGGGAAATGTAACGGCTCATACAACTGAAAAAAATTTAAACATACATTTAACGCCAAGTGATGTTTGATAGAGAAGTTTAAATGATGTCACCCCAAACTTTTTTCTTTGTCTCCGTCCTCTGGCTCTCCTTCTCTGAAATGATGGCATTATCCAACTAGCTCTCACCTCATAGAGACGAGATAGCTATAGTAGCTGTAGCCTCATATCATCAAAATTTCAGGAACAGCAAAAGAGAGCCACTTTTCCAATAGGTTCCTCAAGAGCCCTGAGATTCATTCTGATTGTAGCTGCTTTGGTCTTATTAATAGATGCATTCTGAGCCAACGATCATAGTCTGGAGAATGTGATTGACTAATAGGCCAATATTTATGGCAATTGTCTCATGGAAACAGATACCATATTATGTCAGATCCAGCCAACACACTCACAATTATTTGTGTAGGCCTAGACTTAGACATCAATGTGTGCATGTTGTTACTAAGCGTTGTGAGAAAATATGAACATCTTACTTTGAGAATAACTTCCTGGACCATTTCTTCTTTCCTATGTAACAAGGACTCATCTTAACAGAAATGTATTGACAATTACTGTATTTTCCCCTTTTTTTCACCTTTACACTTCAAACCACAAGAATCTAAATGAAGCATTCTACTATCAAAATGCCATAATCCAAGAATCGGGTTCTTCACCATAGCAGATGGTATTTAATATAAAGTATTATTTAACTATAATTTTGTTATGTGTTACGGTATTAAACATTTCTAGAACCTTATGACTGCCACACACTCTGTAACTGGACAACTGTAAAAGCCACCATGTAACCCAAAGATATGACATTTGTTTTTTAATATCCGTCTGAGAGAAAGGATTGGGAAGCCTATAATGGGAGATTCTTAGTGATAAGAGAAACCTGGCAGTGCCCAGACGGTCAAATAATTTAAGGGTCCCCGATATATATGATCAGCCCCAAAACCCAGACATAGTGAATGTCAAAAGACACCTGCAGAATAGAACTTGAAATTCCCTACGGATCACAAATTTGTCCCAAGGTTCATTTTACATTTGGGGAGAGGAAAGAAGGAGATAAGGAAAAGGAAAAAAAATTCATACAAAAGGAGAAAGAAGAAAGTCAAACACCTTGACACAAGGTGCTTAGTCCTCCAAGGTAGAAGTTTATAAATTATCATGTACATCAGGTCACCAGGGAAACACTTAAAATGCAGATTTTTGAGCCCTACTCCCAGACATTCTGATTCTGTTTGTTTGGAAGGAGGCTAAGATACTATCTTTTTTTTTTTTTTTTTTTTTTTTTTTGAGACAGAGTCTCATTCTGTTGTCCAGGCTGGAGTGCAGTGGTGCGATCTCGGCTCACCGCAACCTCTGCCTCCCAGGTTCAACCAATTCCCTGCCTCAGTCTTCCGAGTAGCTGGGATTACAGGCACCCGCCACCATGCCCAGCTAATTTTTTTATTTTTAGTGAAGACAGAGTTTCACTTTTTTGGCCAAGCTGATCTTGAACTCCTGACCTCGTGATCCACTCGCCTCAGCCTCCCAAATTTCTTTAGGGCTAAATCAAAAACTGGTCTAACTAATAAACCCAAAATTTTAAGAAGAACTACAATGCATTGTAAGAGTAGGGGAGAGTGGACTTACCAGTTCCATCCTTCATTCCAGAGTAAATGCTACCAGCTAGTTCAGTTCTGTTTTATAAATACAAGCCTGCAGAGAACAGAAAATGTGGATGAAGACCAGTTACTAGAGACATAGAGAGCAGAATTTATGATGAACACAAAGACTCCTGAAAACAAACACTGACACAATGGGGACATGGTGCATTTTTGAGGTGAAGACAGTGAGCAGGATTATATAAAACAAAGGGATTAAATCTAGAAAGATTACTTGAAGGTCAGGCACAGATGTTTCTGGAACAGGCATCAGATCAGCACTATCTGCTCTACCTGTAAGCACTTTAGCAAATGTCCCTAACAAATCTGGAGCTTTGGTTGATTTCCAAAATGACTTCAGGGGATTTGGGAATGTCTGTAGAAGCAATGACTAGTAGGAAATTGTGGTCACCCACATCCCCCATGCAGATCCAATTTCTGATTCATCGGCTTACATCATGTAATGTGACCAGAGAAAAGAGCAAAGTATAATAAGCAGTCAAACTACTGCTCATGCAAATACTTGTTCATTTTCGAATCTACTAGTAATCCAAGAAGTCTGCAGTGGCTTTATACTCTCCATTAATTTTTATACCCAGTCTATCCCCATAAAGTTGATTTCTGCTGGACCTGCAGAAATTTTCTGTACTATATATTTTCACAAAGCCCAAAAATCCATGGGTAATAACTGAAAATCTAAAAGATTTTATCTCTGAAACTTATAAAATGGCCTTATAAACATATTCAAAGACAGTTTTAACAATAATTCAGATACCCAGAAAAAAATTTATACTGTGATGATATATACTGTGTGTGTATAAACAGTAGAGTAGTAACATATGTATATATTCAGTATATATGTGTGTGTGTGTGTGTGTATATATATATATAGGTATATATATATATAGGTATATATATATAGGTATATATATAGGTATATATATATAGGTATATATATAGGTATATATATATAGGTATATATATAGGTATATATATATAGGTATATATATAGGTATATATATATAGGTATATATATAGGTATATGTATATATATATATATACTCTTTTTTAATCAATGTTAATTTTAGAAGCAGCAGCAGAGGGCTAGAATCAATACAGCATAGTAATTAAAAGCAGATTTTGAATTGAACTTAAAAGTTCAACTCTGCTACCACTTTTGAGATTTGGGGTAAGTTGCTTAAATCTCTCAGCATCAATATTCACACTCTAACATGGACACAAAAATATCTACCTTACAGGATTATTGAGAGTATTAACAGACATAATGTGTGTAAAGCACTTAGCACAGTGACTATAACATAGCAGGCAATTACAATGATGATATTGATGAAATATTTAATTTTATTAAATCTTAGAAGTATCAACTCAAATCGTTTCAGATTTTATTCAAAAATGTGTTAGGTGACCTAAAAGCATGCTGTACTTCTTGTGTGTCACAAAATAAGGAGGCCAGAATGGCACAGAACAGCTTTTTACCTACTCTTAACTATAACCCATGGTGAAGATGTGAACTCTGAAACAGCCGCTATCTTAGGTGATGTTGAAAATCAAAGCATATAACATTTTTACACATCCCAGAGTACTGTGTTCATTAGGATAAAACAACTAAAAACTAAAATTCACCTCTGAAAGGGCAACCAGAATACATACGAGTCTAGAAACGCTGCATATTTGAGAATGCTAGTTGTTCTCCAAAAATTATTCTGCTCGTCTATCATGTTGACAGGACACCTCATTTCAGCTGGGCATTTAGCGAGCCACAATAAAGACTCCCTTACAAGTAGATTTGGCCAAGTGACCTGGTTCTTCGGGTCAATAAGATGTAAGCAGATGTTCCTTGAGGTAGCTTCAGAAAACTTTCCTTAAAAGGTAGGCCAGGCATGGTGGCTCACGCCTGTAATCCCAGCACTTTGGGAGGCCGAGGCAGGCGGATCACTTGAGCTCAGGAATTTAAGATCAGTCTGGGCAACATGGTGAAACCGATCTCTACTAAAAATATAAAAACTGAGGTGGGAGAATCACCTGAGCCTGGGGAGGTCACAAGGCTGCAGTGAGCCATGATCACGCCACCCAGTGGCCTGAGTGACAGAGTGAAACCCCATCTCAAAAAAAAAAAAAAAAACAGAAAGAAAACTTTCCTTAAAAGGCAGCTGATACATGATCTTCCCTTTCTTCCCTTTCTTCTTTCTCCTTTGCTTTTACTTGCTAGTAGAATATGAATATGATGGCTAAAGAGAAAGCTGCCATTATGGGCCATGGGGTGTCTTTGGAAATGGAGGACATCCCAGAAAAACTGTAAGCTAGAAGAAATCTTAAGTCCTTACTGCTTTGTGAAGCAAAGCCACCACAACAGGGCTGATCTACATACCTACAAACCTTTGCCTTACACGGATCTCACTTTCTAACTTTTTTAAGTTACTGTCATTTTGGTATTCATCATTGAAACAATTATGTCAAATAAAAAATTTGGTATTAATATAAAATTTTTTTGGTATTTTGCCACCTTTAGGATATGATCTAGTATTTATTATAGTTATACACATTATTTTATTTATTCAAAATTTTTAAAATAATTTTTCTATATGTTTAATGATTCTTTTGATTCAGTGATTTATTTTATTTTATAAATTATATACTTAAGATATTTAACATCACAGATTGAACAATTTCAAATATTTTATGCTCCACAATCACCAGATTTTAACATAAAGGCTCAGAAACGTAAACAGTCATTTGTCTGGGACACATAATTCTTGGGATGCCTTCTGGTAGAAAGAGAGAAAAATTCATGACATATTAATAATTCTCTAAAGTTTATTCTGTGCCTTCAACATGTTAGAAATTATTCTCCTCACTTTCTCTTTAATTAACATTGTGATTTTATTTCTGGGTTTAATATAGAATGTGGAGGAATGTATTATTTACAGATCAAAAGAGATATTAATGAGAGAAAAATTACATTATCCCACCATTACTTTTTCTTTCTTCTCTCTCCTTGGCATGGGGCACACATGCTAGTCCGTTTTCACCATTAGCAAAAGATCCATTCAGGAAACCCTCTCTCCTGGCCTTTCATCCTGTAGTTTGGTTCATCCATGTCACAGCACTTCTCTGCAACTCCTTATACAATATTTTAATACTTTTAGTGTTTTGCATTTAATACTTTTACTGCTCTTCTCTAGCACTTTCACATATCTTTGTTCATCCAAAAAATAATCTTTGTCACTTTCTCGACTTTGAGGATATCCACTTAGCACTTATTCTTCCCCACTAAAGGTTTGGAAAAATAACAGCCTAATGTTTTGGTCTGTTTCTATAGAACAACACTTTTATCTCATTTAATACTTTAAGTGTGCTTCTCTGACACTTTCAACATTAGGTTACATATTTCTTGAGTTTAACAGAATTTTCCAGTGGAAAATGAAGAAAGAAGGGAAACCATAATATGAAAGAAACAAATTGTTCAGCCAACTGATGCTTACTGTAGGAAAAACCAACCGCTGCTTAATTATATACACCTAAGGCGAAAGGAAACTTTCAAATAAGCACTCCACCCCTTTCAGTGTTTCTATGCTAATGGCAATGAAACAGTCAAGTGAGTCATACATCTCTCTTTCTCCTTCATTACCAGGATCAGGGATTGACTGGAGAATTTGAAATGGAGAGTTGAACAGAGTAACATATTTTCCTAGGTCACATCCTACCACAATCACTGACCTAGTTCCTCCTCTTCCTAGCTCTATAACCTTGGATAGTGACTTAATCTTTCTCTGCTTCAGTGTCCTCATCTAAAAATTGGGACTACCATAGCACCTCTGAATTGAGTTATTATAAGGACTAATGAGACCATCTCTATAAAATAATTACCATGGTATTGGGTGCATATCAAGCTTGCAATAAACAGCTCTTCTTGCTTTTTGTCACTATGATTTTGCCACCCTCTCACCAGGCCATGGTGGCAGCCATGAATGACACTGATGGTGTATTTGGATGCTTACTTATGAACATAAAAAACAATGCTTTATATGCAGCCTATTTCCTAAAACTTTTTAAATACACCAAAATGATTTTTATTAAAATATGCATAAAATACATATTTTTAGCCCTTCACTCTTAGAATATAAAATTTCAATATTGACTGTATTATATCTTAAAGGAAGTGTCACACACCATCGATGTGTTTAGCACTGCTTGAGATATCTTGAAGAACGTAGCAGACATATGACAGAGCCTGTCTTCTAGAACTCACCTTATGCTAATATGCCCAATATATTTCCCAGCTTATAACATCAAATGCACTATTAATACAATATAAGATTAAAGGATAAATTGTATTTGAGGAATTTCAAATATTTTTCAGGGCAGAAAAGGATAAGAGAATTCAAGATGTGAAGAAAGATTCTATGAAATATCTTGGTATTAAACTAAGCATTAAGGAATTCTTGACTAAACCTTGGCTGTTTCTTCAGATCAAAACCTGCTTCTGAATATGGGTTAGGTCATGCTTCTCTTGCACATTTTTATTCGTTGAAAAAATTTCTGAGCACTTTCATGCATCAAGAGTTGTGAAAGTCACTGGGAGTATAACATGAAACTGAGTACCTTTCTCTCACTGAAGAAAGCCTACAAGATTGCCTGTTCCTGATGTTAGTGCAGAATTGCAGAACAATTCTTCCACAAGCTTAGTCTGAAACAATTAGAAAAGTTGGAGAAAATACACCATGTATTTGTTTGAAGATAATAATTTGAGAATTCAAGATCATGAAGAGAAGGGAAGTGGAGCATAGTGTTTTTCCCTTCCAGGCATTTGTCAGGCTATAAGAAGAGCCAGGTGAAGAGGCCAAGAAGCAAAGCAGAAAACAGTGACCAAAACCCTGAAACTATGAGTTGAGTTGAGTTTTCACAACAGCCTAATGAGCCTGAGGAGGAAAACATGGGAGTTCTGGGGCTCCCAAAAAAGACAGCCCCGATAAACAACCCAGACCTCTGGAAAAGACTTTGAAAGGACCAGACTGTAGGATTAAGAACAAAGCTCTTATAAAAATCCAGTGTTGAACGAGCTCAATCCCAGATTTGGTAAAGGTAATCTGCTCCCGCTCTAACTGCCAGGTAGATTAACATTAAGTCCTCCCTGGAGAAAGAGGCAAAACTCTACAAATTATCTCTGTATTTTTTCAGTCCTATCTGGCATTTAATTTACAAAATTTTTAGGTATACCAGGAGAGAAAGAGTTAAATGTTCAGAAATCAAGAAAAAGTGTAAAAATAAAATACAGGAAGAGACTCCAGGTAATGTAGACTTTTGAGTTCTCACAGAAGGATGTTAAAATAAATGTGATTAACATTTTTTAAAAATAGATGGCAAGATAAAGAAACTGACCAAAAACTATAATCATTTAAAAATTCTAAAATGAAAATGGCAAATATTAAAATTAAGAACTTTATTAAATAGATTAGAATTTCCAGATTAATTAAAAGAGAATTGGAACTGGAAAATAGGTCAATAGGTCAATTTGAAGTATCCAAACTAAATAACAGAGAAGGAGAAAAAAGATGGAAAATAAACAAAGGTGATAAGAAACTTACAGGACATGATTCAAAGATCTAACAGACAAGTTACTGAAACCCTAGAAGGAGAGGAGCTGGTAGGGCACAAGTATCTTATATGACATTGCTTGAGAATATTCCAAAACAACAGAGACTTCAATCCACAAATTCAAAAAGCTCTATCAAACCCAAGAAGGATAAATACAAAACAACATATCCAGTTTTGTATCATAGTAAAAATGCCAAAAACCAATGGCAAAAAGAAACATTTTTAACTAGCCAGAGGGGAAAAAAATAGTTAGTAGCTCCAAAGAATAAGGCTGACTTTCAACAGAAGTAATGGAAGCCAGCCGGGCATGGTGGCTCATGCTTGTAATCTCACCACTTTGGGAGGCCGAGGCAGGCAGATCACCTTAGGTCAGGAGTTTGAGACCAGCCTGGCCAACATGGTGATGCGCCGTCTCTACTAAAAAATGCAAAAATTAGCCGGGCATGGTGGCGGGCTCCTGCAGTCCCAGCTACTTGGGAGGCTGAAGCAGGAGAATAGCTTGAACCTGGGAGGCAGAGGCTGCAGTGAGCCAAGATCGTGCCACTGTACTCCAGCCTGTGTGATAGAGTGAGACTGTCTACAAAAAAAAAAAAAAAAAAAGAATGGAGGCCATGAGATGATAGAAAAATGTGACTGATGTGCAGAAAAGAAACTGCTTAGAGTTCTACATCTGGAGAAAATATTTTTCAAAAAGGAAAATAAAATAAAGATGTCTTTAGACAAACAAACATTGAGGAAAATCTATCTCCAGGAGAACTGCTCCAAAAAAGTATACTAAAGAGATTTCTTCCAGCGAAAGGAAAAATATCCCAGGTGAAAGCATGGAAATTGAGAAACAAATGCACAACAATAGAGAGTAAAAATATACGAGTAAATCTAAATGACTATTTATTATATAAAAATAATATTAACTTATTTGAATTTAAAATGTGTGTCATAAAATCACAAAAAGGATGGAAATACACTGTCCTAACATGATCTAGAAAGTAATAAAAATACTATTTTGGAGTAGATCTAATATGTCAAAAACATATGTATAATCTCTTAGCAACTAGGGTAGAAATTCTGTTATATTTACTATTTTTTCTATTTTAATTGGATTTACTTTCCTAATTTTTTTCTAATTTGTTGAGATGAATATTTAAATCATTAATTTTATTCTTTTTTCCTTTCTAGTATATGCAGTTATAGCTATACATTTGCCTCTTTAGCTGTTTCCCACAAGTTTCAATATGTCCTATT
The DNA here is from genome assembly GCF_000001405.40 of Homo sapiens. NCBI lineage: Eukaryota > Metazoa > Chordata > Mammalia > Primates > Hominidae > Homo > Homo sapiens. The sequence goes on along the minus strand of NC_000013.11, from coordinate 37,300,548 downwards.
TTCTCTTTTATTATTAACTTATTTTTCTTTTTGAGACAGGGTCTCACTCTGTCATCCAGGCTGGAGTGAAGTGGCGTGATCTCGGCTCACTGCAGCCTTGAACTTCTGAGCTCAAATGATCCTCCCCACTCAGCTTCCTGAATAGATGAGACTACTGGCGTGTGCCACCACGCCTGGCCAAATTTTTTTATTTCTTATACAGATGAGGTCTCACTATGTTGCCCAGACTGGTCTCGAACTCCTGGGCTCAAGTAGTCCTCTGGTCTCATCCTCTCTCTCAGTCCCTTTGTGATTTCCCTCAATATCAAAGAGCCATCTTGCTCAAGAGCACGCCCTTCCTGAGGCAGTTCACATACAATAACTGATCATCCTGGAAGGCAATGAAACTGCCTTTGCAAAAATTATGACTGTAAGAAAAATCTGACATAGGAAAATTATGACAGTGAAACAAATCTGACCTAATCAATTTCATCTTGCTTCTAACCTCCAAGTGGCCCTTACTCATTCCTAGGCATAGGCCAAACTAACTATAGGAAGAATTAAGAGTTTAACTTTTAAACAAAGATAATAACAGCCCCTTCCTAAAACAAATCCCATCTTTGTTTGGGGACCAAAACTGCCTTTGTAAAACCAATAAATTGACCACAAGATTAGAAATTATGGCTCAGGAGTCATCCAGCCAGAGGCCACAAGATTTGTAACCTCCGCAATTGCTCCTGTGGATAACATCACTATGATAAAACCTAAGGTTGGTGTTCAAGACATTCTTAAGACCCTGCATTCTGTTGGACCAGCCGGTGCCACCCGACCAATAAACTGGCTCCACCAGTCCTGTAATCCCACCCAGGAACTGAAGACAGAAGGAAGATCCCACTTTGACCCCCTGTGATTTATCCCTGACCCAATCAATCAGCATTCTCCATTCTGTAGGTTCCCCACCCACCAAATTATCCTTTAAAAGCCCCAATCTCCAAATCTGGGGAAATTGATTTGAATAACAAACTGTGGTCTTCTGTTCAGCTGGCCCTGCATTTATTAAACTCTTTTACTATTGCAGTTCTGCTGTCTCAGTAAATCGGCTCTGAGCAGTGGCTCAGAGTGACTGCAGCAACTCTGATCAGTTGACTGCAGCAACTCTGATAAGACTTATTTGCTTAGAAGTTTCCCTGGGGTTGACCAACGTTTTGTGACCACATTGTGACAGGCATGGAAACCTGGGCTTGAAAACAGCAAGGAATTTAGGATCTCAGACCCCTCAGGATTAGCTATAAAGATAAGCTGAGACTGAAGGAAATCTGGAATAGAGAGTAGGGGTAGGAAGTGGAGGTTGAAGAGACAATGATATGGTTTGGATGTGTGTCCCCTCCAAATCTCATGTTGAAGTGTAATTCCCAGTGCTGGAGATAAGGCTTAGTAGGAGGTGTTTGGGTCATGGTGGTGGATCCCTTGTGAATGTCTTGGTGCTGCCCCTACAGTAACAAGTGAGTTCTCACTCTGATAGTTCATGTGAGATCTGGTTGTTTAAAAAAATGTGACACCTCCCCCATCTCTTTCTCTTGCTTCTGCTCTTGCCATTTGATGCACCTGCTCCCCCTTTGCCTTCCGCCATGATTGTAAGCTTCATGAGGCCTCATCAGAAGCAGATGCCAGTACCACACATCTTGTCTAACCTGCAGAACTGTGAGCAAATTAAACCTCTTTTCTTCATAAGTTACCCACCCTCAGATATTTCTTTACAGCAATGCAAAAATGGACTAACACAGACAATGAATACCAATTCCAGCCCAACACCATCTGCACTGTTGGGGGATACAGTTCTTCCTACTAAACTTCCTCTTCTAAGTTCAGGTCCACCAGAGTCCTGAAGGAGCTACTGCTTGAATTACATGAAGAAGTGGATTTGAGCAGCATAAAAGGTCTTGTGTGATGGATACACCACAGAGGGTAGACTATAGTGGACATAGAGATGCACCACCTAGATTCCACTCCAAAGAAGGTCTTATTGTCCTAGGGGCTGGGAGCTCTGGGAGCTCCTTAAAGATGTCAGCTGCAAAGAGCCACCTCACACGAGTGTGTACTTTTCCAAGGCAGTCCATGCCCAATGACTGATTGCTGCAGGAGCATAAAGGTCTGACCATTTCAGCCCATCAAGGGTCTTCTCTGAAGAGCTATATTTGCTCTAGAGCACCTCATTGGGTTGGCTGAGTCTTTGTCACCTTTACATTGCAGTTTGACTTCTTCATCTTCCCAATCCTGCCTCCTTTTCCTTCCTTCCGCAGGTGTTGACCCCTCATAAATAGCCTGTTCACCAAACCTTTTCTTAGCAGCTTCTGAAGTACTCTACCTATGATGATCATCGAAAAACACTGAATGGCCAAGCATGATGGCTCACGCCTCAGCACTTTGGGAGGCCAAGGCAGGCAGATCACGTGAGGTCAGGAGTTCGAGAACAGCCTGGCCAGCATAGTGAAAACCCATTTCTACTAAAAATACAAAAATTAGCTGGGTGTGGTGGGAGGCACCTGTAATCCCAGCTACTCAGGAGGCAGAGGCAGGAGAATCGCTTGATCCCAGGAGGCAGAGATTTCAGTGAGCTGAGATCGTGCCACTGCACTCCAGCCTGGGAGACAGAGCGAGACCCTGTCTCAAAAAAAAAAAAAAAAACCCCAAATATCCAAGAACAAATCTAACAAAAGATGCATGAGGTCTCAATAAATGCAAAATTATATTAAGAAAAATTAAGGAAGATAAAGTAAATGAAGGGATAATTCATGTTCATGGACTGAAAGTCAATATTGCACAGATTCTTATTCTCCCCAAATTGACCTACAAATGAAATGTAATCCCAACAAATACCTCAGCAAGTTCTATTTGAAAAAAAAATTTCGCTGGGTGCACTGGCTCACACCTGTAATCCTAGCACTTTGGGAGGCCGAGGCGGGTGGATCATGAGGTCAGGAGTTTGAGACCAGCCTGGCCAACATGGTGAAACCCCGTCCCCACTAAAAATACAAAAATTAGCCAGGCATGATATTGTGCATCTGTAATCCCAGCTACTTGGGAGGCTGAAACAGGAGAATTGCTTGAACCCAGGAGGCGGAGGTTGCAATGAGCTGAGATCGCACCATTGCACTCCAGATCTGGGCTACAGAGCAAGACTCCATCTCAGAAAAAAAAAAAAATCATGCTGATTTTAACATTTATATGGAAAGCAAATACCTCCTCCCTCAAATGAAGAAGAACAAATTTGGGGAATCTACTTAATATAGGAAATCATAACTTATAGAACCACAGCCATGAAAAGAATGTGGTAGTGGCAAAAAGATAGCTAAATAGACCAATGGAATAGAATAGAGTGTTCAGAAACACACAGACCGACGCTTGACTTATGACCAGGTGATGCTGAAGAGCAACAGGGGAAGAATGGTCATCTCAACATAAAATTTTGAATCAATTCATTTGTATATGAAAAAAATGAAACTTATCACCTACCTCATCTCATACTCAAAAATCAATTCTACATGGACTGTAGATATAAATATAAAAGATAAAAGAGTAAAGCTTCTAGAAGATAATATAGAGAAGTATATTTGTAACTTTGGTATAGGAAAAGGTCTCTTAAACAGGAAACACACACACACACACACACACACAACTAATCATCTGTTCATCAAAAGACCCCATTATGACATTAGAAAGACACAGAATGGGAGAATCAACAAAGAATTTGATTCTATACCGTCAAAGGACAACTATTAAATCAATAAGAAATAGATAATCCCAATACAAAGCTAGGCAAAAAACTTGACAAATTATTTAAAAGAATTGGTTCATATGCAAATAAATGACCATTAAACGTACGAAAAAGTGTACAACTTCATTAGTCATTAGGAAAAAGCACTTTACAACTATGAATGGTAAAACTGAAACTATCAGCAATACTAACTGTTGGTAAGCATCTAGAGAAACTGGAACTCTCATATATTGCTGATTGGAGCATGTGTTATGATTGCTTTGGAAAACCTTTCAACAATATCTTCTATAGCTAAAATAAACATACCTCATGACCCAGAAATTCTACTTTTACTTTTATAGCTAACAAAAATGCACATATAAATTTTCATCAAAAACTATACACACATGATCACAGATGCCTGAGTTACAATAGTTCAAAACTGAAAACAACCCAGCTATCCATTCACAACAGAACAGACCAACAATTTTGCCATACTCATGCAACAGAACACTATGACAAAAAATAACAAGTTATGGCTACCTACAATAAAATGGATGCATCTCAGAATCTTAACTTTGAACAAAACCAAACCCTGAAAAAGTACAGACTGTATAATTTCATTTATATATACTTCAAAAGTATGCATGGAGATTGTTCAGGAAAAGGAGCATCAGGTAGTGACAATGAGGGGCACAGAAAGAATCCTGGGGTGCTGATATATGTCCCATTTCTTGACATGGGTAGTAGGAATATGAGGGTGTTTAGTCTGTGAACATTTATGGAGCAGTACACATACGATCTGTGTACTTAACTTCTAAAAAATAATAAGTTGCATGCCTAGTACAATACTAGATAAAAGGAAACATTTATCTATTGATTTAATTTGTGGACTTCACTTGTCATACCCACAGTGTATCAAAAGAATGGGAGATCTGGGCACAGGAACAAAATATAAAAACCAGAACATTGTTCTCACACCTGTGGAAAGTCAGACCCGAACGTCTGTGCCAAAATCACTACACCCTTGGCACAGCTATGTGTATGCCCATGTGCCACTTTGTAGAAGAACTCACAATCACTTTGTAGAAGAAAACCCAAACACAAAATTCTGTTTCTAAGATAACATCCTGTACCATACCTTACGCTTTACTTTGGCAACTCAACTGGAATAGTCATTGCCTCTCTTATTTTTAATTGGGGGGCTTCTCAGTGCTACATTTATGAGTTTGTTGTTTTTTTAAGTGGATAAAGCTGACCCACACCACAGCCCTAAATACTTTTACTAGTACAAGTACTATCCACTGCAGACACGTTCTTCACAGAGTAAAAATCTGTCTTCTCGATACTTTTGTCTGGCCAAAAAGACATCCTGCCAGGTTTATAGTGAAAGATCAGAGTTTGCTGACAACAGCGTGAGGAGTATTTCCCATCCAGGGATGAGTGACTTCTGACAGGAGTTGCAGGTTTGGCAAGACATCGCGCAGATCGGGCCAAACCAAACACTGAGTGGAAAACTCCACTCAAACAGTGTACCATGGGCGCAGGCCCCCTGTGGCCAGCCCACGTGTGCAACCTACTCTGATTAGTAGTGAAACAGCAGTCCAACAGTACTGCACATACTGTACAGAGGATGTGCCTCAGCCAGGTGGAGGCAAGGAGACAAGACGGCTGGGACAACATCCCAGGCCTAATCAGAAGAGTACACTCTGAGTTTTTCCAGGAACTCGTAACGCCAGAGATATTTAATCATGGCTTTAAGGAAATATTTTAAGCATAAATGGCTTTTGTGACCCATATGTCTAAATATTTTCCCTTTTAGGCCAGAAGAGAAGGCACCTTGTCTTCACATCTCTACAAAGTGGAGAAAAAATTAAAAGAGAAAACTTAACTCACAAAATGTACCCTACCAGATCCACCATCTATTCTTGCCCTTGTTCTTCAATTGCAAATTCAGTAGTTAGAAACCGAGTTTCTATACACCTTGCATAGTGACAAGTACATGATTCATAGCCAATTATTGAATATTTATTCACACAATCTTTAAGTCTTCTTTGGTTAATTTATTTCAAATGCTACTATGTGGCATTTACTCATTATGTCTAAAACTGGAAAATATGAGCATGCCTGTACGTGGCGAATGCAGAGCTAGATATTCTCCCAAAACAGACGGGAAATCACTTTACATATAGCATATTACAGTAGACTTCACGGAGCACCTGAGCATGCCAAAAGATCCTATAAGTGGAAAGAAAGGTTAATTATTAAAATTCTGTGAACTTCAAAGATTTGGGAAGCTATATAAATACGATTACTCATGTTACACATACTAACATTTCTGTCTTACAATGGCTATTTACATTCAATTTACAAAAAGATACATATTTTCTGACACAAAAAATCTTGTTACTGAAACAACATATTCTTTCCAAATAAATGTATTGAGGTTCTATACAATACATTAAATAAAATAAAATCCTATCTGATCTATGTCTTATCATGCAAAGAATAAGGGAGAGCCGAAAATTATCATAAGCTGTTAATTTTAACAAAAAGGTCAGTTCCGCCTTCTGCTGTGTTTCTTCATGCCTTCCTGGGTCCACATCACTGTGCTTTGCAACTCTATTTTTCATTATTGTCTCAGTAAAAACTCAGAATTATGATTCTTCTCCCAAGTGGCAACCAAGAGTGAAAGACTTCACCCTGGGTGAGTTCCCTTGCCAAAGCAGCTAAGATTTCCTCTGCACCCATTTTCTAACGTCAAAGAGTTTAAGAGGAAAAACAGGTTATTTTCTTCAACCCAGAAAATATTTTGACTGACATTTTTATATCTTTTTCTTTTATAATAATATCCAAAAATGTTTACAGCTATTTATAGTTTACAAAATGCTGCCCCACAACCAGAACACTAAGAATCATATGTTCCGACCACTGTTTTGTAGATGCAGAAATAAAAGCCAGAACCTAATTCTAAGCCCCTGACCCTCAGCACAAAGCATTTTCTGCAACTGCTCCGAAAATGTGCAAGGGATGAGGCCGCTTAGAATTCCCTTCTATTGGGTGAAATGCAAAAAGAAAACACATGATCTAAAAGGAAGAGAGACTAATGGAGCCTCAAAAGATCCTTAGCAATTCTGACTAGGTCTCTGACAGAAAATTTTTAATAAAGGAAGGAGAACTGACATCAAAAGTAATAATTTCAACCTCTAAGGAATTCACTAAAAAATGAGAACAGCTTTAGCATTAGTATGACTGACACTAATGCAAAAGTCCTGACAGGTGCTATAAAAAAAAGAAGAAGAATCTGGGATTAGAACACCACGATTTCAGCCATAACAGGATAGCTGTGGGTGAAAGTTGCTTGTAACCGGTAATTAATATCTCCACCATAGTCAAGTAAAAACAGAGTTTAATAGAATTTGAGTGTAATCGTAAGACTCCCAAAAGACATGACAACTTGAAAAAGGCTTGTGAGGAAAATTACAGTATTATCAGGCAAAGGGAAAACTCACAGTCTGGAAGTTGATTGTAACTGAAAAGAAAATCGTTAACCACCTTCAACTGATCAGGTCTTGTAACTATGCCAGCTGTGTCAGTGGAAGTGACTGGTGGATATCCCGTCCCACTAAATCTGAATGAGACTTCAGCCCACAATTCCACAGCTGTGGGAGTGTGTTAAGCCTTCCCATGATCTCCTTCTGCCTCATCCTCTCCTTCCCCATGGACGGTCTGTCTCAGTGTTTCATGGTGGCAATTGAATTGTGAAAACATACCTTTCACTGATTTCAAAAACTTAAAACAAACATTACCTTATTTAAAAAATTTTACTCACACTGACCTTTATGAGCAATGGAGATTGTATTCAAGATTTCAGAAAAGAAGGATGTGGCATAGCTCAAATTTTAAATTCCATCTTTCAGACACCCTTTTTTCTCAAAATTTCCCTGACAAACATGGGTTTTGGAATTCCTTTCTTTACCCCTTCTCCAGCTTGTACCTCATCTGGTCTCCCAACCTCACATCTTCCTAACTGCTCTTACTTCCCACCGACCTTTCTTCTTATTTTCTTCCCCCTCCATCTTAGGAAATGAAAGTTTTTTTCTTCTCTATGGCTTAACAATTTGGTGACTGTTTTTCATTGTTGAAATGTTCACAAGGTCTCACCATCCAACCCATGAGCTTTCCCAAGCATTTTTCTCCAACAATAGCTCTTAACAATAGTAAAGGGAAAAAGAAATGGGGCAGAGTCAAAAATGACCAAATGACCCTGGCTGGCCATTAATTTCCAAAAAACATACATTTAACAATTAATTTAGATAATGTATGATTTGTGTTATGCATTTAGTATTCATAGTTGTTTTAGAAGCAAATTGCTTGGACATATCTGGATCACAACAATTTGAAGGACCAGCAACCAAAATTCCTCATGCAGAGTCTTGAGCCGTAATTAAGAACACAGCATCCGAAGCATGACAGCTGAGGTGCAAATTCTGACTCTCCAGAATTCTTAGGCAAGTTACTCAACCTCTCTGCAACATGGAATGATAATAATATCATTCCATATATAGCTAAAATGGCCATTAAAAATTAATCCTACCCCAACTCCAGCTACATACAAATAAAGTAATTTTCAAGGAAAATAAAAAACACAAGAGAAAAATCTCATCCTAAAGTATGTTCACATTTTCCAAGAGATTTCAAAATGGCAAGAAGAAGTATTCATTTTCAATTGTTTCCACATTTACATTGAAAATATGTTGGCTATCAAAATTACTAGAAAACAAATACATATATGCAACATGGAATGATAATAATTGTTTCTACCTCGTAGGGTTATCATATGGATAAAATTAGTTAATACATGTGAAGTCCATAGAACATTGCCTGGCCCATAGTAAGGGTTGAATAAATGTTGGCTGATGCTAGAATTAAACTCACCCCAGAAGGCAGTGGTGTCTTTCTGCCTTACTTCTCCTCTTAAGCACTTACTAGTTTTACTATTTATTTGTCAATTATTAATGTGCTACTTTGAAATAACTTATACATCTGTACTATAATAGACTACATCTTACATGCATAGCTGTATTCAATAGCATATATACAACTACCTGTTCTAGACTGTAATCCTCTTACACACATTGAGTCCATTTTAACATCTTTGTATCTACCATAGTGCTCAACACAGTACTTCGCCCAAAATAGGGATCTAATTAATATTTATTAGTTTATGTTATAATAATGACAATTGTGTTTTGATATATTTTTAACCTGGGTTATGGCCTTATCTGAAATCACCTCAAATGATATTTACCAGTTAGTACTTGCCTTTTACTTCCTCTTTCTTTCTGGAGACATTCTAATTTTTATTTCCATGGGCTTTTCACTGTCCCTGCTGAAATTTCAGCCCCCGCCAAAATGAAAGGAAGAAGGCTAAATAGATATTAGATTCATGACGACGCATCTATATCAATGGTAAAGAACACATTTCTGTATTTGTTTTCTAGTAATTTTCATAGCCAACATATTTTCAATGCAAAATGTGGAAACAATTGAAAATGAATTATTGTTGCCATTTTGAAATCTCTTGGAAAATGTAAACACACTTTAGGATGAGATTTTTCTCTTGTGTTTTTTATTTTCCTTGAAAATTACTTTATTTGTATGTAGCCGGAGTTGGGGTAGGATTAATTTTTAATGGCCATTTTAGTGGAAAGTCAAGGATTAAACACTGCTTTCTAAATGCTTATGTCGTGTTACCTCTTCATTGCTCTACCTACATCTCTTATTCTTATCCTCATCTGTACACATAGTCGACCTTAAAATGAGTTCTCAGACTCAGAGATTAATTTCATGAACTAAAGGAAGTCAGCCAAAGTGGAAAAGAGGAGTCAATTTCAGGTCTCTGATTCATTTTGGTCCACAAAGTCTGAGGTTTGAGTTGCCTCCAAACACCTGCACATAACTAGGAGAACAAAAATATGTTTTGTGACTCTCTAACCAACCACCTCTTAATGAAATGAATATTGTCATTTCCACAGGATAATTTTCATGGAAATGCACTTGGCTAAGCAATGGTGAATACATAAAGTCCAATTATTCACATACCATGCCTCTCTATTCATGAAGATAAATATATATCAGATTATGGAGATACCTATACAACCTGTCTTCTATAATAGTAGTAAACACCCAAGGGTGTTTAGAGTAACACTGAAAAGAAGTAAAACAAAAGGTACACAATCTATGGTCTAAGGCAGATTAAGTCAGGGCTCATCACCAGGCCACCATCCATCAACCCTCATTCTGACACCTATATCCAAGATAACCATTTGCAGCAAGTGATATACATAGGAGCTTGTGTTTTGCAAAAAGAATAAGAAAAGGGACTTTGTGACTGGAGTTTTATACTCTGAGAAGAGATAAATGGTAGGGATGCTATCATGTCTGTTCCAAACAGAACTACAGTTCTATGTTTCAGCCCGTATAATTAGTGGGATGAGGTCAAAAATTACTAAACTCTTCTCCATGAAAGATTCTGTAAGACATTGAGCCCAAGAAGAGGTTCTCTGGGCCTTTAATTTTATTTTAAATTGAGGGATAGTATTGGGAAAAGGCCATCCATGAAACCCTACAACATTTTGGCAACTCAAGGGCTATAGCTTGATGCAAAGTATTTTGGGGGGAGACATTTATCTTAAAGTAAATTAGTAAACCATGATGTGCAATGACAGTAATGAACCTTCTCAGGTAGCAGTTCTATGCACTTGGGAGCTAAAACATAAGAAGAAAAAGTCTGGGCCCAAAGGACAACCACATCTAGAGTGTGGACATTTTGAGACATCATTCTGGAAATATATGGAAATAACTGGGAGGTATTGAGATCCTGCTGTTATGCAGATAGAGGCGAACAAGTCAGCAGATATGTGGGTTAAATGTATAATAGGATTTTTTAAAGCTAATAAGTGAAAACATCCTTTTCCCTCCTAACTTTAGAAATGTTTGCGAGATTAAAGCAGGGTTAGGCAGAAGGAAAACAAAGATAGCTTTTATTACTGATGGATTCATGAATGTGGCTTCAGTGTTCAGTAATCACGAGCTTTCTAATACTGGATCCTCAAATTAAACAGAGTTACTCCAGTCACAGGCAATACTGAAGGCTGTAGATCTCTCCACTGGAATAGAAGGAAGGTCATAGATGAATATGTTCTCTCTGCAGGCTGACACTGATGAGATAAAAAGAATTAGGCTACATATGCAAAATTCCTCTTTCCAAACTCACGAGTAATCTTGGGAGCACTGAAGGAGAGAGTTGGATAAGCCACCAAGAGTCTTATACTTGTGGAATTCCTTCCACATGGAAAGACAAACTCTGTGGATAGGACCTTTCTCTCCACCGCCAGCAATGTGCAAAGAGCCTGGCACAGGGCCTATCATGTAACAGACTACAAAACAACCTACCGTGCTCCAGGCACTTACTTGCTAACAACATGAGTTGGATACCAAGAAATATTTGTCTTCCTTACTCCCAGAACACAGTATATACTGGATATTTGCTGAATTCTACTCTTCCTCCTTTTTCAAATGGTTAGAAGAAATATGCTTCTTAAAAGTAACAATTTGTAGTAAATAAGGCTATTTAGCAACTCTACAATTACAAAGGTGATGTGAAAAAGATTTCTACCTCCCAGTTGGATGATCCATGGAGGTAAGGACAGAGGAGCAATAGAGACCATATTCCAATTCAAAGTAACTATTATCAAGTGCTCACTGTGTCAAGCACTAAGCTAATACTTTCATAAATGATTGCATTTTTTTACAATTAAATACTTAACCACATCACAGGAAGAAAAATTGAGATGCAAGAGTGTTAAGTAACTTATTCAAGGAGTCATAAAAAAGAAGAGGTAGAATAATATTTTGAACTAAGTATGACCCAGACTCATTTCATTCCACTATATTGCACACAACATCAGCATATAGATATAAAGACAATTATAGCTTTTTAAAATGGATTTTGTGGGAAAAGCAAAAAAAAAAAAACTTGTGCTACTTTGAATCATACTATTAGGTAAGTTAAAATAATCTACTTAATATTATACCAGTTCTTCTAAAACTAGTTTTAAAGGATTTTTAAATCCTCAATGCATATTTTTAAAAAAACAATTTAAAAGACGAAGAGCTATATGGCCAATATATCAATAAATAGTCCTTGTTTCCCTTTAAATCATGCTGTATATGTTCTTCTTCAAACCCAAACCTTGGATAGTTACCAAAATTAGAGAAATTTTCCTTTACACTGCTCAGATACAGGATAACCCAGTGATCCCACTCTCTTGCAGGCATTTCACATGAGACATTTTAAACACAGGTGGAGATAATCTACGGATGCAAACCAACATAAAATCTGAAGTGGAAGAAAGCAGAGCCCCTCTTTTGTGAAGTGATAGCGCAGAGAAGCAGTACAGAGCGTCTAGAAGGAATATCAGGAACCTTTTGGCATAGCCTGCTTTGATTGTTCCCAGGAGCTTCCTTGGCTGTTCTGCACATTTCCTCTTAGCCTTATTTTCCACCACAACACTTCCCAGAGTGATTAGAAGCAAATAACAATGCCAGGCAAGTCCAAGTACACCGCAGATCCTCCCAAACAGTTGACACTTCCTGCTGCTTTCATTGGCAACTGCATAATGTAGCTTACTAGACAGATTTTAATTTGAGTTCTACTCATGCAATAATTTGAAATTTTTATTGATTCGTTTTCAAAATTATTTCTAGTTTCCTATTTAGAAAGAGCAAGTTATACTTTGGGTTAAGAGACAGAGGTTTTACATAGTGCTAGCCTTAAACATAAATGGAATAAGCCATAATCTGAAGAGTATTATTTGAGAGACATCCACAGAAGTCTAAATTATCTACATTTTTTTGCCTTGACATTTCTCACCTTTTTTATCCACTTTATCTTATATATATTCATTGCTAGAGTCTCTCATTTGAGTTGGAAAAATAAAACAAATTATCTCTGAAAGCTATTAAAACACACGTTATATAGAAAGCAATAAATAGAGAAAGATTATACACAAGAAGATTCCATATTGCATTGAGAAATCATGGTAAATTTCTTTATGTGGCTACAAATATTTCATCTTTAGGAGCAGAGATCGAGGAGAACATATGTAGAGTGCACCGAATTAGAGAAAACATCCGAGCCTATTACTTTGTTAAGTTTGCCAAAGAAGTTTTTCACATAGTTGTGGTAGTTATGTCATGTCTCTTGTTTCTAAGACCTGTGAGTACATTAAACTTTGTTATTTTGAGTCTGTCCTATGTCCCCTCTTGTGGAAACACCTTACTGATAATCACAAAAAAAAAAAACAGGAGGACTATGGACATAGCAGGGAGTGACTTGAGAAATTCCTAACTTCCTGCTTATGTTGACCATGAGTCTCTGTACAAGCAAAATAAAAACTAAACAGAGTTGTAAACTACCAGGACAGTGAAGGTATGTCCCAATTTTTACACAGAGACACTCAAAAAAGGTTGAGAGACAAGTTGGGTAAGGTAATAAGAACATCTCTGTCCAAGCTTTGGCTTACCACAAGCTTAACGAAGTAGAGACTTCAGTGGTCACACATGAGAAAGAATAGAGACTTTAGAAAATTAGTTCAGGAAAGTCACTAAACAAACAAAATCAACAGCAACAACTACAATATAAAAACAGCAATAAAACACCTTAGAGAGGAGATATGAGTTCCAGAGTTGCCTCATTATATTATCTTAAATGTTCAGTTTTCAACAACAACAACAACAAAAATATGAGACATGCAAAAGACAGGAAAGTACAACTCATATGCAGGGGAAAACCAGTCTCTTAGGAAGTCCATGTTGTAGACTTACTAGACAAAGATTTTTAACTCCTTATGATAAAGAAATAACAGAAACCATGTCTAAAGAACTAAATGAAAGCATAAGAATGATATTTTACCAAATAGAGAACATAAATTAAAATATATAAATTATTTTTAAATGAGCCAAATAGAAATTCTAGAGTTGAAAAGAATAATAATTTAATTTGTAAATTCACTAGAGGGGCTCAACAGCAGATCTGAGCTGGCAGAAGAAATAATCAATGAACTTGAATATAGGCAAATTGAGATTATCCTGCATGAGTAGCAGAAAAAAAAAAGAACAAGAAGCATGAAGAAAGCCCCCAGAGACCAATGGTACACTATCAAACATAGCAACAAACACATAATAAGAGTCTCAAGGGAAAAGAAAAGAGAAAACTGACAGAAAGAATATTTGAGGGAAACAATAACTGAAAACATCCCAACTTGGATAACAAACATCAACCCATACATATAAATAGCTCAACAAACTACAGGTAGGATAAACTGAAAGAGATTACCTAGATACAAAATAATCAAACTGTCAAAAGGCAGACAGAGAACTTTTAAAGCAGTAAAAGAGGTGATTCAACATTTAAAAATAATCATCAATAAGATGTATAGGCAACAGTTCATCAGAAACAATGGAGGCCAGATGGCAGTGGAATTGCATATTCAAAGTCATGAAAGAAAAAGACAGCTAATCAAGAATCCAGGAAAATAACCCTTCAAAAACAAGGACTAAATTAAGACATTTCCAGGTAAACAAAACACTGAGAGCACTTGCAGCCCTCTAAGAAACAATAAGGAAGCCCTGCAGGCTGAAATGAAATGATTGTTCCCAGGGGCTCCTAGGGAGCCCTGGACACTGGACAGAAACTTGAATCCATACAAAGAAATAAAAAACATCAGTAATGTTAACTATGTAGGTAAACATAAAATACAGTATAGATATCTTTTTCCTTTGCAACTATTTTCTTTTTCTGAGTAATTTAAAAGAAAATTGCATAAAGCAATATTTATAAAACGGTGTGAATGGACTTGTAATGTTTAAAGATGTATTTTATGACAATAGCACAAGTGGGGAGGACATGGAGCTCTATACAGGAACAAAGTTGTGTATACTATTAAAACTAGTTGGTGTTATTTTTGAACTAGATTGATATAAATAAACTGTTAATTGTCACCCCTAGGAAAATTCCGTAAAAATAAGTATGTCTAGATCTAACAGATATCTGCAGGACACTCCACAAAAACACCAGAATACACATTTTTCTCAAGTGCACATAAAACATTACCCAGGATATGCCTTATTTTAGGCTATAGAACACCTTTAATAAATTTAAAATAATTTAAAAGGATTAATTTTAAATAATTTAAATTACACAAAGTATGTTTTCCAACCACAATAGAATTAAATTATAAATCAATAATATAACTTTGGAAAATTCACAAATATGTAAAAATTAAACAATACACTGCTAAATAAACAAGGAGTTAAAGAAGAAATTGCCAGGAAATGAATCACAAAGAGCAAATAAAAAATCTGGTCTGAAATTAGAAAATACTTTTTAAGATAAATGAAAATAAAACATACCAAACCTATAGAATGCATCTAAAGCATTGATTACAGACAAATTACAGCTTTAAGAATATTATGCTATTTGAAAAGTAAAAATCTAATTATTAAAAAAAAGATAAATAACCCAACTTTTCACCTTAAGAACATAGAAACAAAAGGGCAAACTAAGCCTAGGAAGAAAATAATTAAATAACAACAGAAATAAATTAAATAGAAAATAGAAAATAATAGAGAAAATCAGAGAAACCAAATACAAGTTGTGCATAACCTTTTCTAATTGGATAGCCCCAATAGCAGGAATGACCACCCAGAATATACACATGAGCAAAACATCAGTAATACCATCTGGCAACTTCTCTGAGTAATATCAAGAGTGCATGTATAGGAGGAGAAGGCCACTATCATTATAACCTAAATAGCCCCAGTGGTGGATCCTGCACCCTATCCTACAGATGTTCCAGTTTTGACAGGAGGAGTTTGCATTTAGGAGGACATTTTGCTCCTGCAGTGTCAGAGTCCAATTGCAGAAATGCATCAAGTCTAGATTAATAAAGTTAGGTACTTGAGGTGTCAGAAAAGTCTATGGTTAGGGAAACATCCATTTGTGGCACAGCAATCAGAGCATTACTTAATTTTCTGGCATGAAGGGTTTAAAATCAAAATAGTCAAAAATAACAACAGCTACAATTAGTGGCTAAGGAAGACATAATAGATAAAGAAGCAAATTACAGCCACAAAATATGAATTATGAGTGGAGGGGAAAAGTCTAGAGTATTTTTATGCAATCAAAATTAAGTTGCTATCAGTTTAAAATAGTCTATTATAACTATAGCACTTTTAATCCTAGCCCCATGGTAACCACAAAGAAAGAAATTGCAGCAGATACACAAATAAGAAGGAGAAAGAAAACAAAGTTTAGCACCACAGAAAACCACCAAACTACAGAGGTAAACAATAAGATAGGAAGAAAAAATCAAAGGCTGTGCAAAGAAACTAGAAATAATTAACAAAATGGCAAGAGCAAGTCTTTATCAGTAATAACCTTGAACGTAAATTGATTAAATTCTTCAACTAAAAAATGTATAGTAGCCAAATGGATTTTTTTCAAGACCCAAATATGTGCTGCCAAGAAGAGACTCACCTCGCTGCTAAAAACAAACAGAATAAAAGTGAAGAAATGGAAAAAGATATCTCATGCAAACAGAAACCAGATAAAATAGACATTAAAAATTGTAAAAAAAGAGACAAAGAAAGTCATTATACAATGATAAAGGGACCAATTTTACAAGAAAATATAACAATTGTAAATATATAAGCACCCAACACCAGAGCACCCAAATAAATAAAACAAACATTACTGGACCTAAGAGAATAGATAGCCTGCAATACAATAAATAAAAGTAGAAGACTCCAAAACCCTACTTTCAACAATGGCCAGATCATCTAGACCAAAAATTAACAAAGAAACATCATAGACTTAAATTGCACCACAGACCAACACAACCTAACAGACATTTAGTTCAGGAACAATTCAAAACCATTACATTATAATTCAAAACAATTTACAGAACATTCTATCAAATAACTGCAGAATAAATACTCTTTGTAACTGCACATAGAACAGCCTCCAGTTTAAATTAGATGGTAGGTGACAAAACAAGTCTTAACAAACTTAAGAAGACAGAGATTGTATCAAGTCTCTTTTCTGACTACATGGTATAAAACTAGAAACCAACTACAAGAAAACTCTGGAAACTTTACAAATACATGGAAATGAAACAATGTGCTCTTAAATTAGCAATGAATCTCTCAAAAAATTAAAAGAAACATAAAAAATTTCCTTTAGATAAACAAGAATAAAAACACATCAAATCAAAACCTATGGGACACAGCAAAAGTGTTTTAAGAGGAAAGTTTATAGCGATAAACACCTGCATGGAAAAAACAAGAAAGTTTTTTTCCTTTTTTTTTTTTTTTTTTTTTTTGAGATGGAGTTTCGCTCTTGTTGTCCAGGCTAGAGTACAATGGCACGATCTCGGCTCACCACAACCTCCACCTCCCGGGTTCAAATGATTCTCCTGCTTCAGCCTCCCGAGTAGCTGGGATTACAGGTATACATCACTATGCTGGGCTAATTTTTTGTATTTTTAGTAGAGATGGGATAACCTAATGATGCATCTCAAGGAACTAGAAAAACAAGAACAAACTGACCCAAAATTTGGTAAAAGGAAAGAAATAATAAAGATCAGAGCAGAAACAAACCACAGAGACTGAAAAAGCAATTCAAAAGATTAACAAAATGAAGAGATTATTTTGTGAAAAGGTAAAATCTACAAACATTTAGCTAGCCTAAGGAAAAAAAAAGACTCAAATAAATAAAATCAGAAATGAAAAAAGACATTACAACTGACATCACAGAAATACAAAGGGTCATAATGGACTACTCTGATCAGCTATGCCAATGAATTGATAACATAGAAGAAATGACAAATTATTGGATACATACAATCTACCAAGATTGAATTATGAAGTAATAGAAAATCTAAGCAGACCAATAACAAGTAAGGAAATTAAATCAGTAATAAGAAGTCTTCCATTAAAGGAAAGCCCAAGACTCAATGGCTTGATTGTTGAATTCTACCAAACATTTAAAGAAGAAATAATGCTAATTCTCCTCAAACTATTTTAGAAAATTAAAGAGAGAGGAATACTTCTGAACTCATTTTATGAAGCCAGCATTACACTGATTCCAAAATCATACAAGGACACTACAAAAAAAGAAAACTACAGGCCAATATCCTAGATGAATATAGATGCAAAAATTCTTAGCAAGATACAAGCAGCACACTGGATCCAATAGCACATTAAAAATATCATTCACTATTATCAAATGGAATTCATCCCAGGGATGCAAGTATAATTTAACATACACAAATCAATAAATGTGATACACCATGTTAACAGAAAGACAAAAATCATGCGATCAGTTTAATAAACACAGAAAATGCATTTAACAATCTTTAACATCCCTTCATAATAAAAACTCTAAATGAATTAGGTGTAGAGGTATGTACCTCAAAACAATAAAGGCCATATATGACAAATCCACAGCTAACATCATACTGAATAGGTAAAAGCTGAAAACTTTCCCTCTAAGATCAGGAACAAGCCAAAGATGCCCACTTTTACCATTTCTATTCAACATAGTATTGGAAGTTCTAGCCAGAGCAGCTAGGTAAGAGAGAGAAATGATAGGCATCCAAACTGGAAAATAGAAAGCCAAATTGTCCTTTTTTGCAGAAAACATGATCACATTATATAGAAAACCCTAAAGACCCCATGAAAATACTGTTACAACTAACAAACAAATTCAGTAAAGTTGCAGGATACAAAGTCAACGTACAAAAAATCAGTAGCATTTCGATATGCTAATAGTGAACTATCTGGAAAAAATCAATAAAAAAATTTCAATTACAATAGTTATAAAAGGTAATAATATACCTAGAAATAAATGTAACCAACTAGGTTAAAAAAAATCTCTACACTGAAAACTATAAAACTTTGATGAAAGAAACTGACACATATAAATGAAAAGGTATCTCATGCTCATGGATTGGAAGAATTACTATTGTTAAAATACCCATACCACCCAAAGCGATCTACAGTTTTAATGCAATTTCTATCAAAATACCAAAGGCATATTTTGCAGAAATAGAAAAAAAATCCTAAAATTCATATGAGACTCCAAAAGGGCCTAAATATATAAAGCAATCCTAAACAAAAAGAACAAACTAGAGGCATTTCACTACCTGACTTCAAAGTATACTACAAAGCAGTAGTAACCAAAACAGCTTGATACTGGCATAAAAACAGACACATAGGCTGATGGAATAGAATAGAGCCCAGAAATAAATTCATGCACCTTACAGCCAATTGATTTTTTTTTTTAATTTTCATTTTTATTTTTATTGATCATTCTTGGGTGTTTCTCACAGAGGGGGATTTGGCAGGGTCATAGGACAATAGTGGAGGGAAGGTCAGCAGATAAACAATTGCACAAAGGTCTCTGGTTTTCCTAGGCAGAGGACCCTGAGGCCTTCCACAGTGTTTGTGTCCCTGGGTACTTGAGATTAGGGAGTGGTGATGACTCTTAACGAGCATGCTGCCTTCAAGCATCTGTTTAACAAAGCACATCTTGCACTGCCCTTAATCCATTTAACCCTGAGTGGACACAGCACATGTTTCAGAGAGCACAGGGTTGGGGGGTAAGGTCACAGATCAACAGGATCCCAAGGCAGAAGAATTTTTCTTAGTACAGAACAAAATGAAAAGTCTCCCATGTCTACTTCTTTCCACGCAGACACGGCAACCATCTGATTTCTCAATCTTTTCCCCACCTTTCCCCGCTTTCTATTCCACAAAGCCGCCATTGTCATCCTGGCCCGTTCTCAATGAGCTATTGGGCACACCTCCCAGACGGGGTGGTGGCCGGGCAGAGGGGCTCCTCACTTCCCAGTAGGGGCGGCCGGGCAGAGGCGCCCCTCACCTCCAGGATGAGGCGGCTGGCCGGGCGGGGGGCTGACCCCCCCCACCTCCCTCCCGGACGGGGCGGCTGGCCGGGCGGGGGGCTGACCCCCCACCTCCCTCCCGGACGGGGCGGCTGGCCGGGTGGGGGGCTGACCCCCCCACCTCCCTCCCGGACGGAGCGGCTGGCCGGGCAGAGGGGCTCCTCACTTCCCAGTAGGGGCGGCTGGGCAGAGGCGCCCCTCACCTCCCGGACGGGGCAGCTGGCCGGGCGGAGGGCTACCCCCCCACCTCCCTCCCGGATCGGGCGGCTGGCCGGGTGGGGGGCTGACCCCCCCACCTCCCTCCCGGACGGGTGGCTGGCCTGGCGGGGGGGCTGACCCCCCCACCTCCCTCCCAGACGGGGCAGCTGCCGGGCGGAGGGGCTCCTCACTTCTCAGACGGGGTGGTTGCCGGGCGGAGGGTCTCCTCCCTTCTCAGATGGGGTGGCTGGGCAGAGACGCTCCTCACCTCCCAGATGGGGTCGTGGCCGGGCAGAGGCGCTCCTCACATCCCAGACGGGGCGGCGGGGCAAAGGCGCTCCCCACATCTCAGACGATGGGCGGCCGGGCAGAGAAGCTCCTCACTTCCTAGATGGGATGGCGGCCGGGCAGAGATGCTCCTCACTTTGCAGACTGGGCAGCCAGGCAGAGGGGCTCCTCACATCCCAGACAATGGGCGGCCAGGCAGAGATGCTCCTCACTTCCCAGACGGGGTGGCGGCCGGGCAGAGGCTGCACTCTGGGCACTTTGGGAGGCCAAGGCAGGCGGCTGGGAGGTGGAGGTTGTAGCGAGCCAAGATCACACCACTGCACTCCAGCCTGGGCACCATTGAGCACTGAGTGAACCAGACACCGTCTGCAATCCCGGCACCTCCGGAGGCCGAGGCTGGCGGATCACTCGCGGTTAGGGGCTGGAGACCAGCCCGGCCAACACAGCGAAACCCCGTCTCCACCAAAAAAATACGAAAACCAGTCAGGCGTGGCGGCGCACGCCTGCAATCGCAGGCACTCGGCAGGCTGAGGCAGGAGAATCAGGCAGGGAGGTTGCAGTGAGCCGAGATGGCAGCAGTACAGTCCAGCTTCGGCTCGGCATCAGGGGGAGACCGTGGAAAGAGAGGGAGAGGGAGACCGTGGGGAGAGGGAGACCGTGGGGAGGGGGAGAGGGAGACCGTGGGGAGAGGGAGAGGGAGACGGAGACCGTGGGGAGAGGGAGACCGTGGGGAGAGGGAGACCGTGGGGAGAGGGAGAGGGAGAGGGAGAGGGAGAGGGAGAGGGAGAGGGAAAGTAATACTTTTTAAGACAATCTTATCCAGCCAATTGATTTTTTGAGAAAGGTACCAAAAACACACATTGGGGGAAAGGCAGCCTCTGTAGTAAATGATGCTGGGAAAATTAGATATGTACATGCAGAAGAATGCGACTAGATCCCTACCTCTCAACATATACAAAAATCAACTCAAAATAAACCAAATACTTAAATGTAAAACTTAAAACTATGAAACTACTAAAAGAAAATGTTGGGGAACTCTTCACAACATCAGGCTGGGCAAAGATTTTTAAAGTAAGACCTCAAAAGCACAGGCAACAAAAGTAAAAACAGACAAATAGAATTACATTAATGTAAAAAGCTTCTGCATGTAAAGAGACAACCTACAAAATGGGAGAAAATACTTGCAAACTACACATCTGACAAGAGGTAAATATCCAAACTTTACAGGAAACTTAACAGCAAAAAAATAAGCAACCAACTTAAAAAAAGGGTGAAAGACCTTAATAGACATTTCCCAAAAGAAGACATACACGTGGCCAACAGGTATATTGAAAAATACTCATTACTAATCATCAGGAAAATGCAAATCAAAAGTACAGTGAGATATTACTTCATTATAATGGCCATTATGAAAAAGACAAAAGAAAACAAGTGTTAGCAAGGATGTGGAGAAAAGGAAACACATACTGTTGATAGGATTATAAACTAGTACTGCCATTATTAAAAAAAAGAGTATGGAGATTCCTCAAAAAATTAAAAATAAAACTATCATATGATTCAGCAATTACCCTCCTGTGTATATACCAAAAGAAAATAAAATCAGTGTTTTGAAGAGATATCTGCACTCCCATGTTTATTGCCACACTATTTACAGCAGCCAGGATATTAAATTAACCTAAGTGTCCAACAACAGATGAATAGATAAATAAAGTGTGATAAATACACACAAGGGAATTCTATTCAGCCATGAAAAAGAATAACATCATTTGTGACAGCATGGATGAATCTGTAGTACACCACGTTAAGTGAAATGAGCCAGAAAGGAAAAGAAAAATACTGCATGATCTCATTTTTATGTGGAATCTAAAAAAGAAAAAAGTTATAGAAGCAGAGAGTAGAATAGCGGTTACCAGAGACTGCTTGGGAGGGGAAGAGGGGATGATGGGGAGAGGTTGGTCAACGGGTACAAAGTTACCAATTAGATATAAGGAATAAATTCTGGTGTTCTTTTGCACAATAGGGTGACTATTGTTAATAGTAAAATATTGCATACTATAAAATAGCTATAAGAGAGGCTTTGAAAATTCTCACCACAAAAAAAATGGTAAATGCATGAAGTTATGGATATACTAACTACACTGATTTGATCATTATGTAACATAGATATGTATCAAAATATCAAATTGTACCCCATAAATATGTATGATTAAAATGTGTCAAATAAATAAATAAAGTTAACCAGAAGAAGCCATCATACAACTAGGGCCATTCATGTTCCCCCATTGGGTCAGTGGAAGTAGCAGCTTTTGGCAGACAGAGGGACATTCCTGAGACCTTTTCATAGAATTGAGAAATCTCATCCAGAGTTTTTCTCACTCCTGGATGAGTCATTTTCATTTCACTAAAGAGAATTCCTGAGCCACCCCTATCTTACACTTGAGGCTTCTGCTTGGCTCCTCAACTTGATTGGGATTTCTGATAATGAGAGTATTTCAAAGCCATGAGCCATGCATTCAAAATCCACTAAGGCCCAATAAGAAGCCAATAATTGTCTCTCAAAGGGTGTATAGCTTTTAGGTGATTCCGGGAGCTCATGGGTCTAAAAGTCCAGTGAGAATTACCAGCCTATGGTGGTGCCCTTCTGCCACA
This sequence comes from Homo sapiens, assembly GCF_000001405.40. Taxonomy (NCBI): domain Eukaryota; kingdom Metazoa; phylum Chordata; class Mammalia; order Primates; family Hominidae; genus Homo; species Homo sapiens. Next base: position 37,277,649 of record NC_000013.11, on the reverse strand, counting down.
GATTCTAGTCGGCAAACAGAGATTGCTAAAACCTGTAACTCAAAGGGCAATTTGGATATGTGGGGCCCGGGGGAGGGCAGCCTGAATGTCTCATTGGAGGACTTCCAGAACATCCTATGGGTCATGGCCTCACTCAAAGATAGCAGCCTGTCTGGTAATTCAATAGAAAGGTACTATCAAGATTCTCACATACCTTCAATAAACTGGAAGAATGCCAGTAGCCACATAGGTCCTCCAATCACTAGGCTTTTTTTAAAATCTGTTGGGGCAGACAAGGCCAAAACTTGGCAATCATCTCTGGAATGAGACATTCTTCCCCTTTCCAGATTAGGCCCAGCAATTTCACTTGGGTACTAAGTCCTTCTACATTGTCTGTGTTAATGGCCTAGCTCTGTTACTGCACATGGGTCAACAGGATATCCACTTTTTACCAGGCAGTTCCCTTGTCTGGGCTAACCAAGAGATCAACAGAGTGAAAGGCCAGTGCTCCACTGGGAAGCAGGACTTTTACTAGGGCATGGCATACCCACCGATAGCAGGTAGACAAGGAGGTTAGTTACCTTTGTGAATGGACATTAGAGGCATGTTGCTCCCACTTCCAAATAAAGGCAAATTGATCCTGATCACCTAGATGGATGATTAGGATCAATTCATCAGTTATGCTGAAGAAGCCATTTGAGATGTCAATTGCTGTACACCAAGTTCTCTCAGATTGGGCAACAGCATCTGTGATAGTCACATTAGGTTCTGCCAGTGCCAAAGCCAGCACTGTGTTGAGCCACCTCCATGGTGATTTTTCAGCTACCCAGTGCCTTCCCTTACACGCAGGCCAGCTGGAACTACTGAGTGGAGAAATAGTTTCCAGGGGATTTTGGCTTCCTTAAGCTTGGCAGTGTGAGGGCAGTTCTTTCTTTTGTTTCCCCAAGCTGTCAATGTCGTTTGGGAAAGACAATGGTACTAGGCACCTGTAGTCAAGTAGCTCATGGTCTTCTACATACCCTATTAACACAATCTTAATTGCAGAAATTCCAATCAGAGTTTGAGGAGACACTTAGTCATGAATGCACATAGACAATACATCGATACCATTAATACTTTTGGTAGTGGACGCCATAACAATGGAGGTTTGCAGGAGCCTGAAAGTACCCAAGCAAGAGTCTCAGTGATGCTAGCCTTAGCATCTAAAACCTAAACAGAACCTAAAACCAGACAGCATCGTCTGCTTCACCCACACTCTAGTACCCAGGGTTGTGGAGATCACAGTCACCTGTGCACCGGTATCTGAAAGGTCCAAGAAGTGCAATGGGCCCTCACCCATTGACCCCTGACCTTGGCATGGAAACTCTACTCCCCCCAGGGATGGGGAGATCTCAGCTTGACCCCCTAGTCCTCTTTCTTTTTGAAAGTTTAGAGGTCTGGGTAAGGATTGATGTGGTCTCTGGTTCCTCCAACTCACTGGGAAGAAAGGAAAGAATAGCTCTTGTCACAGGGGCTGTCTTCACACAGAACCTAGCAAAGCTGACCATCAGAACCCACAACAGCCCAGTAGCTGGTCCTGAGTTCCTCGGTAGGAAACTCAGTCTTCTCCATTAAGTCCCATTATCAAGTGACCAAATCAGAGATATTTTTGAGAAGGCCCTTCCCCAAGTCACGCAGGAGAGGATGACCTGTTACTACTCTTACAGTACTCCTTCTCCTGAATGGAAGACAGAGACCATGGAAAAGGAATCATGAAGACAGCAGGAAGAAGTAGCTAGAAATAAAAACAAAAACAAGAAGCTGAGAACAGACTGCAGACCCTAGAAGAGAGGCCACAGTTGCCCTTGTCCGAGGAGATCAATTTTGGGTGGCCATTGAATGAATGGGGCTGATCTAGAATGACACAGTTCCTGCTCCCCACATGGCTGTCTAAGGGACTGCCATGGTTTCACATACCTCCCCACATCTTCTTACCATAAAATCCTACAAACTAAAGAAACCAAGGATGTTTGTCTTCCTTACAACTAACATAGGGAACCACAAATCCTTTGACATTGTTGCAGTCTAAAGTTTGTGGGAAGATATGGTGATGTCAGCCAGTCAGTTCTTGCAGAGGTTTTTGTACAAAGCTAACAAACTACAACTGGACCCTCAGAAAAATCACTTTACAAACTATATAGAGACTGGATTGGAGGGGCTAAAAATAGGTAGAAGGAGAGAACACTAGAAGAGAGGAATTTTAATGCCTGGTGTCGCTGTGTGATGTTATTTTTTCTGCTCTTTTCTTACTGAGTTTGTATCTGTGGGAAGCCAACTGAATACTAGCAGTTACAGCATAAATGTGAGCAATTGCATAACCTCGATAAATCCAGATGAGAAATCTGTTTTATCGTCAATCATAGGGCTTTTCCCATCTCTTCTTTATTTCACTTGACCTAAACAGAGACAGTCAGACTGTGCATGAATTAAACTATACAGGTGAGAAACATTAAAACTAAGACAGAAATTTGAAACAAAGCAGTGTAATAAAGAAACTTTCAACTATGGCATTGGAATAACTCAAGAAACAATGGCCCCAGCGATACAGTAATAATTGTCGTTCACTTTCTTTCCCCATTCAGAGTAATGAATTGGAATGCAGGCATATATCTTCAGTACAGTAGTCCCCAAGGACAAATATATAAAGTTTTCTAAGTCTATATAAAGAAAGGCTGAGTCTAAATATTTTATAAGATCTTTAATTTAGTTATTTTTAAGCTTTACCTTTCATCTTCACTAACATTTCTAGTTTATACATTTATTCCCCTTGGGTTCCAAATCTTTGGTGGAAGTTTCAAGAAAGCTATTTAAATGTTCAATCTAAACAATAATACTCTAAAAAGCAGCCAAATGAAATAAACTGGGGAATTTTCTGATTAAAAAACCCAAAGAAATTGCAACCAGCTGTTCTTCTTCCACCATCAATTTATTTTCTCTGAAAAGCGAACAAAAAGAAACAGGCTGTGGTAGAAAAGATTGGTTTAGACTCTCTGATAGTAAGACCTGTTAAAGAGAAGAACAGTCAACTGAAAGGGAGAGAGAACCAAAGAGAGAAAGAGAACTAAATTTGTAAAGCACTTTTAAGAGCTGATCACCTCTAAACATACGGATTCTCCTTTAAAATTTAAGAGACTCCATAAATAGTTTCCCTTTTCCTAGCCAAAGATCAGAACCAATTAAAAAACAAAACAGTTTATCCAGAAAGAGATGGAAATATCACCTTCATCATTGATGAAGTCTATGGGAGAGAACATGGCCAGGTGTGTTGAGTCCTGGAATTAGGCAGGTTACCCCAACTGGACCAGTGATCAGTCCAGGATCCTTATCTGTACAATCTCATACCATAGCATAAAGTATAGACAGGACAGGAGTGGGTCCAAGAGAAAGAAGAGAGAATAAAGGCTTGAGCTAAGCATGCTTAGTTTCTCTCCCTAATCTACCATCAATAAGCCACATCTTCCCTGGAGAGATGCTGATGGCAGAATGAGGCCATCTGCTAGTGAAACTAAAGCCTCTTTCACTGGGAAGAATCTACAAGGCAAGGAATACGTGCTGTCCTCCCCAACTCCCTCAAAACTTACCACCACTTGATCATAATTAGCTCCCTGAGGCAAGGCTCAAAAAACTTTTAAGTTACTTATTCAAGACCTTTAAATATCAAGTGGTAGAATCAAGATTTGAAATCCAAACCACCTGACTCCAAACTTTTTTCTACTGCCCAGGATTGTTTCATCTTTTTCTTAAAGTATTATAGAATGAAACTGTTTGAACTGTTCCAAAGAGCCATAAGGGATTTTAAGATTCCTTCTAGCTCTCAACCAGTTGTAACAAGACACAAATATTTAATCTATTTTTAATATGAAATCTCAATTGTATTCCATGACTTTATTGTTTTGGCTAAGAAGGAGGACAACCTTCCCCTCAATGGAATTTGAATCTTTGCTCTCAGATGTGAGGAATAAGAATCAGATACTGTGTTTCTAAAGAGGAAGCCTTTCTACCTAAAGGGAGAGGAAGGTGAGTTTTCTGTTTTTCTACATTTGTTTTTGGAAGCAATTTTAAACGAGAGATTGCAGACCTTCCAGATCAGATATCAAGGTCAATGTTATGAGAGAGAAGAAAAAGAATAAGTTTCTTGCATAGGGAAATAAAACCAGGGAAGAGTAGAAAGTGGGGAGCTTGGGAAGGAATGGAAGGAAGACAGATGGAGAAAGGAACCTAATTGCCATGGGCCACCAAACTAAGAGAGTTACAAAAGTGGAGTGTTGCTTTGGGAGGTTCTGGCAAGTGACCCAGGCAAGAACTGCTGCTGTGGCCTCTGCTCAAGTCTAGAAGCTCTGTTGTTGAACAGTCTTAGCCAGCTTGCTACACTGTCTGCATCGAGTAAACGAACTTCCCTTTACCTTCAAAGAGTACCTTAACCCATTATTGTGGAAATGAGAACCACACACAAGCTAAGCTTCAGCAACCCATTGAGGACACCCCATGAATACCTAATGGATTGGTGAAGAGAGGTTCTGTCCTCTGAACTTGAAAGCCAAAATGAGTACGCCTAGGCACCCCATGAGATGGAACTAGCACCCCTAGTACCTGAGGGCCCAAATGGGCATGGATACTAAGATGCTACAGTCAGGCAGGCAACAGAGCTGAGAGTTTGAGCCCAGGCTCTAAAAATAGACTTGCCTGGGTGCTTATCCACCTCAGACACTTGCTAGCTGTGTGACCATGAGCAGTTGCACAATCCCTTCATATCTCAGTTTCTAAACCTGTACAATGGGGATAAAAAAACAATGCCAACTTCACAGGATCAATATCAGGATTTCAAAAGTTAATATATATAAAGAACTTAAAGCCATGCCTGACACATAAGAAACACTCGGTAAATGATATTGCTGCCATCTAGTATCTGGATTAAACTTGAGAATCATCACCAGTATTCCAGAATTGTTAGCACTATTCCATAACCTAATAAGTCCAATAATATTTAGAAAATCAAAAGAACTGATCTTACCTATTGAGTAAGGGACCAGTTGTCTGTGAAACTTCAGCATCTATTATTACAGTTCCTTTCTGAAATATGTTTCCACAATGTGGTCCAGGAGACAGCGCATAGCCCTTGGAGCCAGGCAGACAACCCAGAGGATCCAGCAGCCTATCTTTTGCCAAAGTCACTGTCATGGGTAGAATCCTGCCTCAGCCTGGGAGCCAGCTGCCATCTATGGACTAAGCCTGTTTTTACCTACCTATGCCAAGAAGAAGGCCTAAAGAGAAGCCAAAGACAGTGCTTCCCATCCTGAGCTTCTCCCCATCTTAGTGCTACTAACCTGGCTCTTGGGATGTTGTCCCAAGAGTCCTACCTCTACTCTCCTACAGATCTGAGCCTTTGGGATCTGACTCTGAATGACCTTAGATTTTGACCCATTTTCTAATTGCTTCCATTTAATTTGACATGAAAGAAGGAATGTTGCTTCCTCTTCCTGCTTAGATACTGAACAAGTCTCTCTCTGCAGGTACAGAATTCAAACTCTCCCAATGATGGTTTTGATGAAGCTGCCATTTACCAAGAGCTAAAGATCATGATTTGGCTCTTGGAAACCTTATAGATGAAAGCCTTATTGGATTCAATATCCATGTCTGGTGGAAATTAGCAGTGGCCAGTGTTGGGAGGATGAATAGAGGAGATCTCAGGGAAAAGAATAGAGCTACCAGGCGCACAAAGAACCTCTCAGAAAGAGTCTGTGGGCATGAAAAGCACTTGGAGGCCTCTCAGAAGGAGGCAGCATGACTGCAGATCATTCTAACCATCCAAAAGCATGTATTTAACATAAATAAATATATACATGCTTCTGCTTTGGTGGGATAAGGCCTTTTCAGTCTTAAAATTTCTGCTCTTCATAAGGATATGTTCTGCACAAAGGGCACCCCATTACCTTACATAGCCTCCAACTTCGGGACACTTCCAAATCAATTTTCCTCATCCTTGCAATTACCATTTAGATTAGTGGGAGTTCTCCAGAGAAACAGAACCAATAGGATATACAGAGATAAAAAGAAATGGATTTATTATGAAAGATTGGCTCACATAATTATAAAGGCAGAGAAGCCTCACCATCTGCCATCTGTAAACTGAACGCCAAGAAGAGCCAGTGCAGTAATTCCAGCCCAAGCCCACAGACCTGAGGACCAGAAGAACCAATGATGAAAGTCTCAGTCCAAAAGCCCAATAACTGGGAGTGTAGAGGGGACAATTGTTTATGTCTGAATGTCCAAGAATTAGGAGCATCAATGTCAAGAGAAGGAGAGCAGGAGAAGACAGATGTCCCAGGTCAAGCAGAGAGGGTGAAATTGTCCTTCCTCTGCCTTTTTGTTCTATTCAAGCCCTCCAGGGATGTGGCCCATCTACATTGGTGAGGGCAGATCTTCTTTACTCAGTACTGATTCAAATGCTAACTGGACTGGAAACACCTTCTAGGACACATCCAGAAACCATATTTTACCAGCTACTTAGGCACTCCTTACCCCAATCAAGTTGACACATAAAATTACCCATCACACCACTTGACCTCATCTACTTGGAGTCACTGTTTCCTCAGGCTCTGAGTGGTCTCTAATTCAGAATTTCTTAGCCACAGCACTATTGACACTGGGGCCAGATAATCCTTTGTTATGAGGGGCTGTCCTCACATTCTAGGATGTTTAGCAGCATCCGTCATTTCTACCTACTGTATGCCAGTAGCAACACTCCCCACACCTTTCCCCCACATTTATGACAACCGTAAATGCCTTCAAACATTGTCAAATGTCCCCAGTGGGTGGCAGTGTGGAGGAAGAGAAAAAAATCCCCCCACTTGAGGACCACTCCTTTAGTCCAAAGTCTAAAGTATGTATACGCTGTAGGAAGCATATGTATGTATATGCTTAGTATGTATATCCTGTGGGAAGTGTGTGTATAGTATGTATACATTTAGTATGTATACACTATGGGAAACTCATTTGCTCTGACCAAAGGTACTTGGGCTTTCTCAGGCACCATTTTATTTTTAACAGCTCTTCAGTGTGTTTTCTTTTGTTTACCCTTCATAAATTACTTGTATCCTTGCCAATTTTTCTAGCATATTAGTATATCCGCCTGCAATGTCTTGAAAAACCCAACCTCACATCTATATTTTAAACATCTGCATGAGCCGAAACAGCTGTTTGTGGGCAAAAGAATTCTCTTGGCAAGTATTTAAGAAGATGCTTCATCATTTTATGACTAGCTGGTTTCCTCATCTGTAAAATAAGCATATTTATAGCAGACTGTGGTTCCCTGCATAATTCATAAGTTAATGAACAGAAGGATGAAAATTGCAAAAAGCAGGCTTTAAGGGAGCCCTCCCCACAGTAATGCTCACAGGTCCAAATGTGAAATATAAGCTATAAAGCTAATAGAAGAAAATACAGAGGAATGCCTTTGCAATCTTAAGATGTAAAGGGGTTTCTTAAACAACAGAACAATATATATAAATTACATCATTTTGACAACCATAAAATGTTCTTTTAAATAAAAGTCATCAAAGAAAATTCAATAGACCACTTGGGAAAAAATATTTGTGACATATAAAACTGACAAGGGATTAGTATCCAAAATATAGAGGAATTTTTCAATCCAGAAAGAAAATGTCAGGAAAGTTAACGAAGAAAAGGAAAAAGTACACAACTAGGCAATTCCTAGAAGGGAAAACAAAATCACCCAAGAGAGATAATCAGCCTCACTAGCAATTGAGGAAATGCAAACTCAACTTGCAAAATTAGTATATTACGTATTACCAAGGGCAGCTCATATATGCAGAGAAAGTTTAACTTCTTAAATTTGTCCTTTAATCACCTGGTCTCCCACATGATTGCTTTGAACCCTTTAGTTAAAGACAGGGGAAAAGAAGGGGCACAGGAGGATGGAATAATGATGGAAAAATAATGGTGTTCAGTGTAGTTTAAACCTCAGTCCAATCTGATCATTTAAACTGTTCCTCTCACTATCTCATGAATGCCAAGTTGGCCTCTCAGACAGCTTTCCTTGCCCCCAGCTTGGTTCTCTAAGATACTGTGGGGATGCATGAGGGAGGGCTGTGGCTTCTGTTACCTACAGTGGTCTTCTGGCACCCCTGGTCTCAGGGCAATGTGCTTTTTGACCTGGTGTCACTTACCTTGCTGACATTCATGTCAGAGGTCCATTCGTGGGGCTGCTCTTGATCTTCTCTTCATCTGCTTAGTAAGGTCTGTGGCCACTTCCTGGCTGACTCAGCCTCACATCAGCTCCCATGGATGCTAACAACCCTTCTAAAGTCACCTAGGACTCTCTCCTGTCCCTGTCCAGGCAGTCCACTCTCTCTGGCGTGGCCATACACCTTGCCCCAGCTAGAGTGGCCCTCTCTAGCAAGCTCAGCAGCCAGACCCATCCACGCCTTAAGGGAACCACAGGCAGATGAGCAAAGCTCAACCTCAGGGATTCCCTCTGCTTCCCTACAGTACCAACAAGTCAGCTTGGCTCTGTGGCAAGGTGATCACTTTCCAAAATAATAAACAGACATTATGGCAGGGGTAGAGAAAGGTAGGGGAAGAGGAAAGGGTCAAAGAGTGGAGGGTGAGGAGACCTCCCTACACTCTCCATGTTACCCCCACTTAACTAATGCACGTTACTTGGGGCCAAAGTTTGGGGAGTAGAAAATCAGAACACACACACATACCTGCCTTGTGCCCCCTCTTTCTCCACCCCACAGTTCCCGCATGGTGGAAAGCAGTTTGCCTTTGGTTTCACTTCCCCTGGGTCACATCCTCCCTGAAAGGAGGCTTCATGAACTTACTGTTATAGGCAAAGGGATATCATCTCTGTATGCAAGTGGAACTCTGGGAGCCTAATTCTCCAGGCTTTGTTACTAACCATCTAAAGGGACAGAAGATATAATTTTTTAAAACCTGCCTAAAGAGAGTAATCTGGTTTGCAAGGTGGATGTTCATTGAAATGTCCTGTTTTGGACATCAGAGGCTGCCTATTCCCCCAGTCATCCTTCAGGTAGAAGGGTACCTCAGGCCAACAAGGACAAAAGCAAGAGAGAAAACCATGTTACAAGTTGTTGTTATAAATTGTATCATATTATTTGCTTTTTTTTTTTTTTTTGAGACAGAGTTTCTGCTCTTGTCACCCAGGCTGGAGTGAGTGCAGTGGTGCTCTCAGCTCACTGCAATCTCTGCCTCTGGGTTCAAGCGATTCTCCTGCCTCAGCCTCCCTAGTAGCTGGAATTACAAGCATGCGCCACCATGCCTGGTTGATTTTTTGTATTTTTAGTAGAGATGGGGTTTCACCATATTGGCCAGGGTGGTCTCAAACTCCTGACCTCAAGTGATCTGCCTGCCTCGGCCTCCCTAAGTGCTGGGATTACAGGCGTGAGCCATCACGCCCAGCCTGCTTATTTATTTATATTTATAGGAAGAGTAAAATATTATCATTCTTTTACTGGTTTTCTAAGGAATGCCATTAATCTATATTACATCCCAGACAACTTCAACTTGCTAAACTGCCTTGATAATTTAGTTTATAACTGAATAACCGAGGTTAAATGACATGAAATAATTTTATAGATGAGAATTTAAGCAAAGCATCCAATATCAATAGGTGTCCTCTTGTGATTCCAAAAGTTCTATAAATTAAATGTCCTGGGGAATTTGCCTAGAAATATTTTTTCTTGTTCTTACATAGATCTTCACAATTTTCTAGTTCAAAAATTTCTTTTACCTCAAAACCCCTCTATTTGGCCTATTATTTGCTTTAGTTCTGGTTTCACAAAAACAGTTACTTCTAGTTCCTCGCCCTTATTTATCACATATCTGGGATACATTCGATAGAAAAAAAAATTAATGAAGAACTTTAAAATGCTCATATATAGCCCACAATGTACATCCAAAAGCAACTCATGTTTAAGAGCAATTTTTTCCTTTTACTCTAATCTCATGACAGATTACTTTCATGTGTTTTAAATAGCCACAGGATTACAAAATATACTAATACTATCATCATAATATTGGAGCCTAAAAGAAAATGTTTGTTGGATAGAAAAGATCATTTTTAAAATTCTCAGTGTAATAAATTCCCCCATTATTTTATAATTGCTTTTAGACACCAGTCGTCCCTGCTTGCCATCGTACAGTAGAAGTCCAGTCACTTCCGTGGCTCCTCTCACAGCTACTGTGATAAACTGAAAGTGCCCTAGACTAGTAACAAAAATGTCTGGATACCAGTCTCTTCAAAATTCAGGTTTTTAATGGCAGACTAAATATCACTATGTCTAAAGGCACCTCAAACTGAAACACAGCTGAGATAGAATTCATCTTCTTCTCTCCAAACACACTCTTTCTTCTGTAACCATTTTTCTGGCTAACGACTATTCCGTAACCAAAAATTTTGAATCACTGAGGCACTTTCAACTCAGATCTCTTTCAAAACCAACCATCCATCAGTCTCAAAATTCTCTAGATCATCCTATCTGAAGTCTCTGAAAACTGCATTTTTCTACTCACCCAAAGGAACACTGCCTTAGTATAAAGCCACTTCCTCACTGCCTGGATTACTATGAAAGCTTCCTAACTAGGCTCTATTACACAATTATAAACCTTTTCTAACTCACCCTCTGTTTCCAGAACTCAGAATGTCTGTACTAATGATAACTTTGATTTTATAGAAGCTTACTGTTTCCAGAGCATCTTTAGATATACTTCTCTGGACACTTCTTTTTTTTTTTTTTTTTTTTTTTTCTTCTGAGACAGAGTTGCCCAGGCTGGAGTACAATGGTGCAATCTCGGCTTCCAGGTTCAAGCAATTCTCCTGCCTCAGCCTCCCGAGTAGCTAGGATTACAGGCGCGCACCACCATGCCCACCTAATTTTGTATTTTTAGTTGAGAAGAGATCTTTCCATGTTGGTCAGGCTGGTCTCGAACTCCCGACCTCAGATTATCTGCCCCCCCTTGGCCTCCCAAAGTGCTGGGATTACAGGCATGAGCCACCGTGCCCAGCACTCTCTGGACACTTCTGATCATGCTAATCCTCTCTTTAATACCTTTGATAGATCAATATTTGCTTTAGCTTTTTCTCCATCCAGTTTTTGCCTAGAGAATAAAATATAATTTCCTTAGTATGGTATTCAAGGATCAAGACTGACTTTGATCCTGCATTTCTTGTCCTCCAGTATCAGAAAACTACCTGTAGCCATCTGTATTCATTTTCCAGGGCTGCAGTACACCAAACTGGGCAGATTAAAGCAACTGACATGTATTGTCTCACAGTCTTGGAGACCTGAAGTCTAAAACTGAAGTGTCAGCAAGGACGTGTTCCCTGTGAAGGTGCTTGGGAAGGATCCTTTCTTGCCTCTTCTCGCTTCCGGTAGCCCCAGATGTTCCTTGGCCTGTGGTAGCATAATTCCAATCTCTGTCTCTATCTTCACATGATATTCTCCCTGTCTCTTTACAACATTTTTCCACTAAACTTGTTTGTCTCTGTGCGCAAATTTCTCCTTTTTATAAGGACATCAGTCCTATTGGATTACGGCCCACCCTAATGACTGCATTTTAACTTGACTACCTCTGTAAGAACCTGTATTAGTCAGTTCTCACTTTGCTATAAAGTAATACCTGAGACTGAGTAATTTATAAAGACAAGAGGTTTAATTGGCTCACGGTTCTGCAGACTATACGGGAAGCATAGTGGCTTCTTCTTGGATTCTGGGCAGGCTTCAGAAAAATTTACAATCATGGCGGAAGGCAATGGGGGAGCAAGCAGTTCACGTGACCAGAGCGACAGGAAGGGGGAGGGGCGGTGCTGCACACTTTCAGAAGACCAGCTCTTGTGAGAACAGCAAAGGGATGGTGCTAAATCATTCATGAGAAACTGCCCACAGGAGCCAATCACCTCCCACAGGGCCCCGCCCCCAACACCAGGGATTACATCCTGACATAAGATTTGGCCAGGAACATACATCCAAACCATATCAGAACCTATATCTAAATAAGGTCTTGTCTTAGCCCATTCTTGCACTGTTATAAAGAAATACCTAAAACTGGGTAATTTATAAAGAAAAGAGGTTCCATTGGCTCACAGTTCCACAGGCTGTGGAGGGAGCATGGCTGGGGAGACTTTCAATCACAGCAGAAGGGAAAGGGGAAGCAGGCACGTCTTACATAGCTGGAGCAGGAGGAAGAGAAGGAAGGGGAGGGGGTGCGACACACTTTTAAACAACCAGATCTCGTGAGAACTCACTCACTATCACGAAAACAAGGGGGGAATCTGCCCCCATGATCCAATCACCTCCAACCAGGCCCCAGATGTAACACTGATGATTACAATTCAACATGAGATTTGGGTTGGGTCACAAATCCAATCCATATCAGGTCCCATTCTGATGTAATGGTAGTTAGAGCTCCAATGTAGCTTTTGGGAGGAAGGAGGCAGACCCAGTTTAGCCCATGGCATCATCCTAACAGGCCAAACACTTAAATCCGCTGGTCATGATTCATGCTGTTTTCCTGACCTGAATGCCCATCTTCCCTGCCTGTCCTCCTCAACTGTGCCTTTTCTGTGCCACCAATTCACATGAGTCTTCCCTCCCCATTCTTGAAGTAAGGAGATCATGCTTTTACAGCCAGGGAGTTCACAGTCTCATGACCTGTGTTTCTGCTCCCGCAAACCATTGGCCATCTCCAGGGTTACCAACACTGGAGCAGAGGCCATCGGAGGGAGCAGAATAGCCGGTACAGGCTATGGATGCATGGATAAAGGATGATGCCCTGAAATGTGGTGGGATTCAAAGTAGAAGCCAGGAATACTTGCGTGTGGTGTGCGGTACGTGGTGTGGATTGAGTGCGTGTGTGCATGCACGCAAGACAATTAAATGGCACAGAGTATTCAGGGAAGACTGAATATTGATAATGGTAACAGAGGCTAGAGAAGTCACGAAGTAAAAAGACATAGGATAAAAATACTATGGTCTTATAAAATTAACAGAAATTATAGTCACTTGTATGAATTACTTGTCACTTATTTCAAATTATCATACAATTTAATGCCATCATGTTTGTCATTCAATGTGCTAGGCTATTTTTGTTGAAAGGTCATTGAAGTCTTGTTTTCAAGAGCAAAATCTGTATCTGTGGCTAGCATTCATATCTTTGGCTCATGTAAGATGGTTGTCAGTCCCCCAAAATCAAAATAATTGAAAGAATCATTGCTTAACAAAAGAGAGCCAGGGCTGAGATAAACCACCCATAAGTCCCCGCTTTTTCTTTCTCCTCTCTTCTTCTCCCTGTCACCCTTACATCCTTCATACTTCCCACCTCTTTCTTTGCTCTGGACTGGTCCTGATCTGGTTGCTCAGAACCAAGGTCACTGTGGAGAAAACTGAGTTGAGGAGGAGGAAAAAGCTTCTCCAAACGGCCAGACTCTTTGTATTTGGAGTTAGTTTCAGGCACTACTGCTTGTCTCAGTCCAGGGTAGTCACAGCAGGTGGGGGTCTGCTTTCTGCATAACCTGAGATACAAAGAAGCAGGTTCCCACAGGGCTCAGAAACACTCTTAACATTTCAACCTCTGAGTGACAGGTTAACTAGGAGGCAGGAGCACAACCCAACACAAAGGCTGCTTGGAAGAATCTCTTTCCTAGCTTTTGTTTGTGCTTTCCACTTTTAGAGCTGCAGGTTTGGTGTTGCACCACGATGCCAAGCTAACTTTTGTATTTTAAGTAGAGATGGGGTTTCGCCATGTTGGCCAGGCTGGTCTTGAACTCCTGACCTCAAGTGATCTGCCTGCTTCAGCCTCCCAAAGTGCTGGGATTACAGGCGTGAGCCACCGCGCCTGGCCTTTTCCCTCTTAATAATTGAATTATTATGTTGTCATTTTAGTTTTATATATGATTATTTTTAACCTGGTTTCTGAGAATCTCCTCCCATGAAATGGATCTGATCTTGGCACTGCCAAAATCATATTTCTAATTCCAAAAGATAAAAGTCAGAAGAAGTTGGCATGAGACAAAATCATCAAGATAACACTGCTGGCATTCCCCAGGGCAACACGTGCTCTGCCTTCCCATGGGCTCGCACATACATGCCTTTTCCACAGAGATTTTGCTATTTCAATTTTGGAACAGGCAGTTTGTCTACAAATTAAACATGCAAAAAATGGCCTGAGGGAAAACATGATTGGCCAGCACCCCACACACCTAGTCTTTAATCTTAATTTCAAAAGTATTGCTGAAGCTGTGCTCCAAACCTGAGATGGGCTGTTTGCTGGGGAGTCTGTCCAGGGCTCAGAGAGCTCTAAGAGATAGACACTAGGTGCATAGTAGTCTCTGCCTCCTTCCCCTGTCCTGCATGAAGGGGAGTTGGCCTCCTATTACCAAATGTAATCACCCAGATATCCCACTGGGTTTCCGACACACCCAAAGCAACACAACTGAACACAAGTTATAATTTTCCTTCTCAACAGAAACAAGATCAGATCCACACAGTCTATTCACTGAGATATTTCCCAGATTTGAAAGACAGAAAATGTACTAAGAGACACGTGACAATCATTATATTACCTTGAACAAGAACAACTAGAAGCATCATGAAAACGCAGCTCTTTTGGTCTTCCATTTCAATGGGAGAAGCATGTCCCTGTCACTGGATAAAATCTCACCAGAAATCACTCCTGATTTTCTTTTCACTTTGCATATAAAATAATTCTACAGTCCCTTGGATGTATCACAGAAACGTAATCTGTTCAGTCGAAGGTATTAACTGACACTTCAATGTTTATTGAAATGTAGGACAACCTCCTGGCTGCCTAAGGCTTGCATTGGCAGAGTGTCTGAATTGGGGGATGGGGATGATGTGATTGTCTTCTCCTCTCACCTCCTCCTGATTCTGTAGCATTCATTTCCACCCAGTCAAGGCGATGGAGGAAAGGCAGGGAAACCAGATGGAAAAAGTTTTAGTTAGTGAATGGGCGGTCCTGGGATTAACTCTGGTCTCTTTGGCCCCATCATGTGTCAAAAATTTACTCTCTCTACCATAAGCTCTGCTTTGGACTCTTGTGGGCCTTTCTGTGGGTTCTTCTGACCACAGCTCCCCTGACATGAGCTGTGCTGCGCCTCCACTGGCCACTTTCCCCATCAATGCTCAAGCGTGGAACGATCATCTAGGGTAGGCTGCCTGTCTTTTTGCCCTGCCATTGGTAGTAGTGTAGTTAGATCCACCCTCTCACTCTGCTCTTTTATATTTTCAAAGTGAGAAAGGGATTTAAGCATCACAAACGTAGTTCTTCAATAATCGGCTTTGAAGATTCCTTTGCAGTCATACGACTTACATTCACTTTGGTGTCTGCCTCAGCTGAAACTTGTTTTAACATGCTGTTACATGTTAATTCAATCTTCCAATAGTCAATTTAACAAATATTTATTGAGAACTAACTATATGCCCAGCTCTCTACTAAGTGATATCAAATTAAACATGTTACCTTCCTTTTCTCGAAATTTTACAAAATTTTACTCAGTCTTTGGAATATGAAGGTACTGGAAGGATGGGTCAAAGTGTGTACATAAATAATTAAGTTCAATCTCTAAGTGCTACAGGAGAATCAACCATTTGCTGTAGGAGCACTGAGGAAGGAGGAATTCATTCTCAGGGATTAGTAGGGATGGTCTTCAGTAATCTCCCCATAACTACATTATATTCAACAATATGGTCCCTTGGGATGAAGGAGAAGAAAGGCTTGCCTTACATATAGAGAAATCTAAATTAAAGTTTATTTGTGAAACAACCTGAATTCTGTTATTTTTTATATACTGTATACAGAAGGTTCTAAAAAGTCAACCCCTCAGTTAGATTCCAACCAAGTAGATATCCTCTTAAAACCAGTTTTAAAAAGAGTCTATATGGCATAATGGAAAGAGCCTCCTGAATAAGTTCCTCCTTAGCAGACAGCTTCTCTAGGAGAAAGCATACCTTGGTCCTTGATAGTTATGCTATCATAGCACACCATGCTACCCAATCACACAGCAATGTAGCTGCCTCTGCTGATTTGCCTCCTATATTGAATTATAAGATACCTAGTGCAAGAGATTCTGATGAAGACTCTTGTATGTAGTAAGCATCAAGCAAAGGATGTTTGAATGAGTGGGTCTGTAATAATTTACCTGTCTTTGCTTTTCCAAATCCCATGGTTTCTCAACTTCTAGATAAAAAGCTTTGTTAACAATGCTTAAAGACCAGCAAGAACAGTTTTTAAAAAGTAAACACATTTGTCAGACCATGCATCTCAAGTTTGAGTCCAGAAAATAGTCACTAAATATTAGCTGATCATTTAACATTTCTTCCCTCAGTAATTAACAAGCTCAAATTCTAACATTTTGAGAAAAAAAAAAGCTAGCCTAAAATATCAATTATAAACATGTTTTGGGGGATCTTGTTTTGTTATGTTTTAAGTTCAATGTATCAGCAATCAAATGGCAGGAAGGAAGATACATGTTCAAAATAAGATTTAACCATTATAAGGGGTTATTCATTTAGAGTCCATAAATCTCCTGATGATTCACTTTTTCCTAAAACTTGAATTCTCTGCACCAGGGACATCATTTATCCTTTTGTTGGACCATCTTTAGCTCTTCTATGTCTCTATTAAAGTCTCCTTAATTGTTTTAATCTTCATGTATTTCTTTTCTACTTTTACTTTAATTACTTTAAGTCTTTCATTATGACAATAAACCATCAGCTATATCTATTCTGTTTGTAATTTTTTATTAGTTCTTCAATTGTAATTCTTTGTCTTCAATTTGTTTCCAGTTCCATGCAGTCTTTTACTTTTTCATTCTCAGTCTGATTTTTCTGTTTTTATCTTTGAGGAGTTTTTTAATTCATACTTTTTGTAAATTCTTAAATAATGAAATGCTTTTACAGAGATGCTTCTTCTATTTCTTGGGTCAAGTTGACTTCTAAAAAGTTTTTAAATCTGTATTTTTCCTGCAGTAATTTTTTTCTTTCTTCCCCTGCCTGTTACTTCTTCCCTAATATATTTACTACAATTTAGCTACATAGACTCCAGGCTTATGTACTGTTTTTTGTTTAATTTGTATATTGTTCATGCAAAGGGGCTGATTGAGTGACTGAGCCAGGATCTGCTATTTGATCTGATGGACTCTGAATGGACTTCCCTTTACTCCCTTTCCACACTGTAGTTTTATAGTTCTATTTTAATAGCCTCAGGCCTTATTACTTAGGTTTGGAGAAAAGTAAGTTTCAGTTGAGGTTGTGAGCAGTCTTGATTAGCAAAACTGAGCTCTTCTCTGTCTTCAGGGATTTTGTTAAATAGCCTGTCTCCCAGTTCTCTCTACTTAATCTTGAGTTTGTCTTAATCCAGTGCAAGATAATTTGAAATTTAAATAATTCCTCAATTAAACATAAGTCCCTACAGAGAGTTCTATGAAGGTCAGCCTGGATTTTTCCTAATCACATTTTACCTTTCCTTTCTCACCAGCCACTTCTATTCTACAAAAGAAGTTGAAAATTTTGCCTTTGTGGTTTTTTTGTTTGTTTCTTTTTGTTTTGTTGTTTGTTTTGTTTTACCCCTTTGTTGAGGCCACAGCTCGTTGGAGGAAACTTTACCAGAATCTCCCACTCACCTCCTTTTCTGTCTCCCTCAGAAGATCTCATCTAAGATCCCCTCTTTTGCCTTTTGTTTCACCTGATTTCTGGTTATTCCTGTATTAATGAGTATTTGTTATTTTTGGGATCATCATGTCTTTTTTTCCTCCTCTTTCATTCCAACCAGAGGGCTATCATATGGAAAACTCTTATTTTCTCTGACACTGAAGGGTAAAGGAAAAGGCAAAAAATAATTTTTATCTTTCAAGCACATTTTCACTTCTCCCATGCCTGTCCTCCTCTTCTGTCTCTCCATCTGCCTCCTGAGGAGTTAGATGTTTCAGAGTTGTGTTTATTCGCAGCCCTCTCCCCACACTTCCATCTCCACCCTGACCTGTATGCCAAATTGTCTCTCTGTGAAAAACTTAGGAGATGCCCTGAGTGGCCCCAAGCAATGCCTTGCTAACTCTTGGAAACCCCACTTATTCTTTTATAGACCACAAGCTCTTCCTTTGGGTTGTTTAATGTGTGCTGGCATTTTTTTTTTTTTTTTTTTTTGCCAGATTCTCTTTTTTCCTAATAATTTTTACTTATATTTTTAGATTTGGGGGGAATTTTAAAATCTGGCTCTTCTTTACTATCTTAAATAAGAAGTCATTTATTCTGATCTTAACAGGCCATAGATGATGGATCCCAGGTTCGTAAGAAAGACATTCCTGGGTTGTAAAACTGGCAAGTTGTGTTATAAAATATTTATATACATCTCAAAGGAGTGGAGAAAAAATTTACAGTTACAAGTTAAGTAAATGCTTTAAGAAAAGGGGTGTCAGGAGTCCAGACTCAGGAATTAGCCTGTCTAAAATCTAGTCAATCTGAAGGGAATATTAAGGCTGACATGATTATCTAATTTGGTGTTAACTATAAAAGTATATTAAATGCAAGTCCCCAATTGCCTATCCTGTTCTCCTTCCTTAGTTTGATTTGTATGATTTGATACACAACTGAATAATCTTCAAGGCATGAAAATAATAAAGTAGTCACAAAATAATTTCAGTTGTTGGTACAATTATACAGCATTTGTAGATAACACCAAAGGCTGGGGAGAATGATAAGAACAAATTATCTGAAGCAAGAACACCAAAGTCCAAAAATGTCCTTTGAAAATCAATTTACTGCTTCAGATCATTATTTCAATACAGCCAAATGTCCCCATTTTCTCACTTGAGATCTACCTGTCTAGACTACATGCTGCTCAGAAAATATGCAAACAATTGAAAATTGTTCCTCAGTGATAAAACAGTTTTGTTCTATAGCAAAGGGTTTGCAAGTCTTCTCAGGTTGTCATTCCTAAACATCTTTTTAATGCTCAATAAATTAGACATCCTTTTATATGTTTTAAACTGTGTTTTCATCTTATATTTATTTTTAATCTCAAGTATATTAGACTATACATATTTCTCAATTGTTTATACTACTAAACAGGAGCAAGTGAAATAATGAAAATATTTTGAATTATTTTTAGAATTCTCTTCATGCTTGTATTTAAAGTTATCTGATATTACAAAAATGTATTTTGATTGACTTGCCTCAAAAAGAGTAATAGAGTTTCTGGCCCATTCAACCTGAATTTGATTTACCTCCCCACTGCAACCCATGATATATTTGTAATTAATCTCTTCATTGCTAGACCTTCCTTGGAGTAGATATCCTGGTTTATATGTTTAACCCTAAAAGACTTTTCCTCCTGATATTTAATTTCATTTTATTCAATTCAATGAACATTTTTTATCTCTTGCTGTGTGCCAGCCATTCTATTAGTCACCGAGGTGCCATGATCCGGCAGGATCCAGCTCATGATTGAGTAGGATTCAAATTAAAAATAGAGAGTGAGAAATAAAAATTGACGAATCAAAAACCAAACAATCTTACAATTGCTATCATAAACTTTAAAAGATGATCTTACATGGATGAGTCACACTCAGATATAATATCAGTCCTAAATCCTATTCCTTCTGCCTGGAACACTGTTACCTACTGCCCTAGAAAATCCCACTCATCCTTTAAGCCTCAATCCAGATATCACCTCCTCCAGTTAATCTTCTATGACGTCCACTCCCACTCATGATAGATGGCTCATTAGATCCTCTGTCTTACCACTTATAACACTGAATAGTATTCATTTCTTTACTTGTCTCTATCTCCAACTGGACAATGAGTTCATTAGTGCATCAATGACTGGAGCAGAGTCTATCTCTGATTTCCATGCACCTAACCAGTGGGCATGCAATATAAAATAAGTTGAATGAACAAATGAATAGATGACTAAATATAATAACCATAATAGCTAACATTTATTGATAATTTCTCTGTGCCACCCTCCATGCTAAGTGTTTTCATGTGTTATTTTATTTAATCTAATTATTATTTTCCATTTACAGAGGAGAAAAACAGAAGCTGTGAGAAGTTAAAAATTAACTAAGATTAACCAACTATTTAATAATAGAGTTAGGATTTAAACACAATCAGTCTGATCTTGAAAACTGCTCTCTTAACCACATCATGAATGTCATTAGTTTTCAAATTGGTATTGCACAATTCCGGATGAGACTATCTTCATAAAGAGGTAGAACTAATTTCTGCAAGATATAGTAATTTAGCCACAGTTCCAGCATAGGAGTAAAAAGCAAAAGTTTAAATTGCCCCACAGGGAAATTGACAAATACTAAATATCCCATGGGAGCTAGTTAAAGTATACCATTGCCTAAAGGAAGGAATATCCTTCAAGTCTAGGGACATCACAACTTAATATTCTCAAAATACCCATGCAGCTGGAGAATATCACTGACACAATTTAGCAATTAAGTTTTACTTCTTAATAACCACAGTACTAGTTCATTTTTAAATGAATTTTCCCTAATTCAATATCATAAACCTAATAATTCAATATGACATGCATGTAGTGAATTTTTTTACTGAGTAATTAGGTTATTAAATGTGTACTCGGACTCTCCTCATAGTTAAAAGCCCTCAATTCAGACTCAAATCAAAGTAGTACAGGTATACTCACATTCTGCCTCAATTTTACACTCCTGAAAAGACTGATTATTTTGAGCCAAACCACTTAATAATATTATATTAAAAGCATCATTGCATAAGGTAAGTTTCTGATCCACCTTTAAGAGCAGACACTAAGACTGTACTTCTTTAGAAAAGAAGAGTTATTTGGCTGTTCAAATGTAGCAAAATTTCCCTCATTTCATGGTTTCATTCATGAGGTATTATTGATTCCAGATCACTGACTTCTGTTTCTGATCGTGTCAACTTTAAGTCATCCAAACTGCACAACAGGGGCCAGCTTAGACTTTTGTTAGTTTTCACAGTTTCACCTTCTTCTGAATGGCTCTCTGGTGCCTCACCTAGTTGGAACACACAGGCCACGGTACCTTTTTTACTTTCCGTCAGTGAGTTGGTGTTTTCAGAACAGTTAACAAGCTTCTCAAGCATGTATTAGAACCTCACTTCTCAAAACATGGTTCTAGACCAACAGCATTGTCATCAAGTGGGAGCTTACTGGGGAACTAAGCTGGGTTAAAAACATTCTTTTTTTGTTTCTTTTATTATTATACTTTAAGTTTTAGGGTACATGTGCACATTGTGCAGGTTAGTTACATATGTATACATGTGCCACACTGGTGCGCTGCACCCACTAACTCGTCACCTAGCATTAGGTATATCTCCCAATGCTATCCCTCCCCCCTCCCCCCATCCCACAACAGTCCCCAGAGTGTGATGTTCCCCTTCCTGTGTCCATGTGATCTCATTGTTCAATTCCCACCTATGAGTGAGAATATGCGGTGTTTGGTTTTTTGTTCTTGAGATAGTTTACTGAGAATGATGATTTCCAATTTCATCCATGTCCCTACGACGGACATGAACTCATCATTTTTTATGGCTGCATAGTATTCCATGGTGTATATGTGCCACATTTTCTCAATCCAGTCTATCATTGTTGGACATTTGGGTTGGTTCCAAGTCTTTGCTATTGTGAATAGTGCCGCAATAAACATACGTGTGCATGTGTCTTTATAGCAGCATGATTTATAGTCCTTTGGGTATATACCCAGTAATGGGATCGCTGGGTCAAATGGTATTTCTAGTTCTAGATCCCTGAGGAATCGCCACACTGACTTCCACAATGGTTGAACTAGTTTACAGTCCCACGAACAGTGTAAAAGTGTTCCTATTTCTCCACATCCTCTCCAGCACCTGTTGTTTCCTGACTTTTTAATGATCGCCATTCTAACTGGTGTGAGATGGTATCTCATTGTGGTTTTGATTTGCATTTCTCTGATGGCCAATGATGATGAGCATTTTTTCATGTGTTTTTTGGCTGCATAAATGTCTTCTTTTGAGAAGTGTCTGTTCATGTCCTTTGCCCACTTTTTGATGGGGTTGTTTGTTTTTTTCTTGCAAATTTGTTTGAGTTCATTATAGATTCTGGATACTAGCCCTTTGTCAGACGAGTAGGTTACAAAAATTTTCTCCCATTCTGTAGGTTGCCTGTTCTCTCTGATGGTAGTTTCTTTTGCTGTGCAGAAGCTCTTTAGTTTAATTAGATCCCATTTGTCAATTTTGTCTTTTGTTGCCATTGCTTTTGGTGTTTTGGACATGAAGTCCTTGCCCATGCCTATGTCCTGAATGGTATTGCCTAGGTTTTCTTCTAGGGTTTTTATGGTTTTAGGTCTAACGTTTAAGTCTTTAATCCATCTTGAATTCATTTTTGTATAAGGTGTAAGGAAGGGATCCAGTTTCAGCTTTCTACATATGGCTAGCCAGTTTTCCCAGCACCATTTATTAAATAGGAAATCCTTTTCCCATTGCTTGTTTTTCTCAGGTTTGTCAAAGATCAGATAGTTGTAGATATGCGGCATTATTTCTGAGGGCTCTGTTCTGTTCCATTGATCTACATCTCTGTTTTGGTACCAGTACCATGCTGTTTTGGTTACTGTAGCCTCGTAGTATAGTTTGAAGTCAGGTAGTGTGATGCCTCCAGCTTTGTTCTTTTGGCTTAGGATTGACTTGGCGATGCAGGCTCTTTTTTGGTTCCATATGAACTTTAAAGTAGTTTTTTCCAATTCTGTGAAGAAAGGCATTGGTAGCTTGACGGGGATGGCATTGAATCTGTAAATTACCTTGGGCAGTATGGCCATTTTCACAATATTGATTCTTCCTACTCATGAGCATGGAATGTTCTTCCATTTGTTTGTATCCTCTTTTATTTCATTGAGCAGTGGTTTGTAGTTCTCCTTGAAGAGGTCCTTCACATCCCTTGTAAGTTGGATTCCTAGGTATTTTATTCTCTTTGAAGCAATTGTGAATGGGAGTTCACTCATGATTTGGCTCTCTGTTTGTCTGTTGTTGGTGTATAAGAATGCTTGTGATTTTTGTACGTTGATTTTGTATCCTGAGACTTTGCTGAAGTTGCTTATCAGCTTAAGGAGATTTTGGGCTGAGACAATGGGGTTTTCTAGATATACAATCATGTTGTCTGCAAAAAGGGACAATTTTACTTCCTCTTTTCCTAATTGAATACCCTTTATTTCCTTCTCCTGCCTAATTGCCCTGGCCAGAACTTCCAACACTATGTTGAATAGGAGTGGTGAGAGAGGGCTTCTCTGTCTTGTGCCAGTTTTCAAAGGGAATGCTTCCAGTTTTTGCCCATGCAGTATGATATTGGCTGTGTGTTTGTCATAGATAGCTCTTATTATTTTGAAATACGTCCCATCAATACCTAATTTATTGAGAGTTTTTAGCATGAAGGGTTGTTGAATTTTGTCAAAGGCCTTTTCTGCATCTATTGAGATAATCATGTGGTTTTTGTCTTTGGCTCTGTTTATATGCTGGATTACATTTATTGATTTGCGTATATTGAACCAGCCTTGCATCCCAGGGATGAAGCCCACTCGATCATGGTGGATAAGCTTTTTGATGTGCTGCTGGATTCGGTTTGCCAGTATTTTATTGAGGATTTTTGCATCAATGTTCATCAAGGATATTGGTCTAAAATTCTCTTTTTTGGTTGTGTCTCTGCCCGGCTTTGGTATCAGAATGATGCTGGCCTCATAAAATGAGTTAGGGAGGATTCCCTCTTTTTCTATTGATTGGAATAGTTTCAGAAGGAATGGTACCAGTTCCTCCTTGTACCTCTGGTAGAATTCGGCTGTGAATCCATGTGGTCCTGGACTCTTTTTGGTTGGTAAGCTATTGATTATTGCCACAATTTCAGCTCCTGTTATTGGTCTATTCAGAGATTCAACTTCTTCCTGGTTTAGTCTTGGGAGAGTGTATGTGTCGAGGAATTTATCCATTTCTTCAAGATTTTCTAGTTGATTTGCATAGAAGTGTTTGTAGTATTCTCTGATGGTAGTTTGTATTTCTGTGGGATCGGTGGTGATATCCCCTTTATCATTTTTTATTGTGTCTATTAGATTCTTCTCTCTTTTTTTCTTTATTAGTCTTGCTAGCGGTCTATTTATTTTGTTGATCCTTTCAAAAAACCAGCTCCTGGATTCATTAATTTTTGAAGGGTTTTTTGTGTCTCTATTTCCTTGAGTTCTGCTCTGATTTTAGTTATTTCTTGCCTTCTGCTAGCTTTTGAATGTGTTTGCTCTTGCTTTTCTAGTTCTTTTAATTGTGATGTTAGGGTGTCAATTTTGGATCTTTCCTGCTTTCTCTTGTGGGCATTTAGTGCTATAAATTTCCCTCTACACACTGCTTTGAATGTGTCCCAGAGATTCTGGTATATTGTGTCTTTGTTCTCGTTGGTTTCAAAGAACATCTTTATTTCTGCCTTCATTTCGTTATGTAGCCAGTAGTCATTCAGGAGCAGGTTGTTCAGTTTCCATGTAGTCCAGCGGTTTTGAGTGAGATTCTTAATCCTGAGTTCTAGTTTGATTGCACTGTGGTCTGAGAGATAGTTTGTTATAATTTCTGTTCTTGTTCTTTTACATTTGCTGAGGAGAGCTTTACTTCCAAGTATGTGGTCAATTTTGGAATAGGTGTGGTGTGGTGCTGAAAAAAATGTATATTCTGTTGATTTGGGGTGGAGAGTTCTGGAGATGTCTATTAGGTCCACTTGGTGCAGAGCTGAGTTCAATTCCTGGGTATCCTTGTTGACTTTCTGTCTCGTTGATCTGTCTAATGTTGACAGTGGGGTGTTAAAGTCTCCCATTATTAATGTGTGGGAGTCTAAGTCTCTTTGTAGGTCATTCAGGACTTGCTTTATGAATCTGGGTGCTCCTGTATTGGGTGCATATATATTTAGGATAGTTAGCTCTTCTTGTTGAATTGATCCCTTTACCATTATGTAATGGCCTTCTTTGTCTCTTTTGACCTTTGTTGGTTTAAAGTCTGTTTTATCAGAGACTAGGATTGCAACCCCTGTCTTTTTTTGTTTTCCATTTGCTTGGTAGATCTTCCTCCATCCTTTTATTTTGAGCCTATGTGTGTCTCTGCATGTGAGATGGGTTTCCTGAATACAGCACACTGATGGGTCTTGACTCTTTATCCAGTTTGCTAGTCTGTGTCTTTTAATTGGAGCATTTAGTCCATTTACATTTAAAGTTAATATTGTTATGTGTGAATTTGATCCTGTCATGATACTGTTAGCTGGTGATTTTGCTCATTAGTTGATGCAGTTTCTTCCTAGTCTCGATGGTCTTTACATTTTGGCATAATTTTGCAGCGGCTGGTACCGGTTGTTCCTTTCCATGTTTAGCGCTTCCTTCAGGAGCTCTGTTAGGGCAGGCCTGGTGGTGACAAAATCTCTCAGCATTTGCTTGTCTGTAAAGTATTTTATTTCTCCTTCACTTATGAAGCTTAGTTTGGCTGGATATGAAATTCTGGGTTGAAAATTCTTTTCTTTAAGAATGTTGAATATTGGCCCCCACTCTCCTCTGGCTTGTAGGGTTTCTGCCGAGAGATCCGCTGTTAGTCTGATGGGCTTCCCTTTGAGGGTAACCCGACCTTTCTCTCTGGCTGCCCTTAACATTTTTTCCTTCATTTCAACTTTGGTGAATCTGACAATTATGTGTCTTGGAGTTGCTCTTCTCGAGGGGTATCTTTGTGGTGTTCTCTGTATTTCCTGAATCTGAACGTTGACCTGCCTTGCTAGATTGGGGAAGTTCTCCTGGATAATATCCTGCAGAGTGTTTTCCAACTTGGTTCCATTCTCCCCGTCACTTTCAGGTACACCAATCAGACGTAGATTTGGTCTTTTCACATAGTCCCATATTTCTTGGAGGCTTTGCTGATTTCTTTTTATTCTTTTTTCTCTAAACTTCCCTTCTCGCTTCATTTCATTCATTTCATCTTCCATTGCTGATACCCTTTCTTCCAGTTGATCGCATCGGCTCCTGAGGCTTCTGCATTCTTCACGTAGTTCTCCAGCCTTGGTTTTCAGCTCCAACAGCTCCTTTAAGCACTTCTCTGTATTGGTTATTCTAGTTATACATTCTTCTAAATTTTTTTCAAAGTTTTCAACTTCTTTGCCTTTGGTTTGAATGTCCTCCCGTAGCTCAGAGTAATTTGATCGTCTGAAGCCTTCTTCTCTCAGCTCGTCAAAGTCATTCTCCATCCAGCTTTGTTCTGTTGCTGGTGAGGAACTGCGTTCCTTTGGAGGAGGAGTGGTGCTCTGCTTTTAAGAGTTTCCAGTTTTTCTGTTCTGTTTTTTCCCCATCTTTGTGGTTTTATCTACTTTTGGTCTTTGATGATGGTGATGTACAGATGGGTTTTTGGTGTGGATGTCCTTTCCGTTTGTTAGTTTTCCTTCTAACAGACAGGACCCTCAGCTGCAGGTCTGTTGGAGTACCCTGCCGTGTGAGGTGTCAGTGTGCCCCTGCTGGGGGGTGCCTCCCAGTTAGGCTGCTCGGGGGTCAGGGGTCAGGGACCCACTTGAGGAGGCAGTCTGCCCGTTCTCAGATCTCCAGCTGCGTGCTGGGAGAACCACTGCTCTCTTCAAAGCTGTCAGACAGGGACATTTAAGTCTGCAGAGGTTACTGCTGTCTTTTTGTTTGTCTGTGCCCTGCCCCCAGAGGTGGAGCCTACAGAGGCAGGCAGGCCTCCTTGAGCTGTGGTGGGCTCCACCCAGTTCGAGCTTCCTGGCTCCTTTGTTTACCTAAGCAAGCCTGGGCAATGGCGGGCGCCCCTCCCCCAGCCTCGCTGCCACCTTGCAGTTTGATCTCAGACTGCTGTGCTAGTAATCAGCGAGACTCCATGGGCATAGGACCCTCCGAGCCACGTGCGGGATATAATCTCGTGGTGTGCCGTTTTTTAAGCCCGTCGGAAAAGCGCAGTATTCAGGTGGGAGTGACCCGACTTTCCAGGTGCCGTCAGTCACCCCTTTCTTTGACTAGGAAAGGGAACTCCCTGACCCCTTGCGCTTCCCAAGTGAGGCAATGCCTCCCCCTGCTTCGGCTCGCGCACGGTGCGCGCACCCACTGACATGCGCCCACTGTCTGGCACTCCCTAGTGAGATGAACCATGAACCCGGTACCTCAGATGGAAATGCAGAAATCACCCGTCTTCTGCGTCGCTCACGCTGGGAGCAGTAGACCGGAGCTGTTCCTATTCGGCCATCTTGGCTCCCCCCAAAAACATTATTTGGAATAGATTTGTTAATATTATTAACACACAGTTCATCAAAACAACATTATAAATTTTCTTAAATAACTTTAAAACACAAAAGTAAATCTTATTAGAAATGCATCCATTGATTAAAGGTATTTTTTAGTTTTTCCATTAAGTAATGTATCCACAGTAGATATGACCTATGGCTAGCATGAAATAATGCACAGCACTGATTTTCCTTGTATTTTTTCGTTTTTATAGGCCTAAGTACAAAGAAACCTTAGTCACATAAAAAGACAGATGATAATGGGAGAAATTTTGTTTGTTGAGCAAATGTCATGCAGTTTTTTGTACTCCTTCACCAAAATTACAGTGACTTAAAATCAAAAATTACTTTTTCTGATCAACCAGCTGAAAATTCAATTAGGTCTTTCCCCAGTACTGTTGAAAACAAAGCATTGGAAATCAACTGATTGCAAAGAATTTGCTACACAATTAACTCAATTAATTAATAGAACAATTCATATTCTCATTTTATGAGAGGTATATCAAAATATCTTTGTCAAGTTAATCCTGGCAAGTTACCTGCCACATTAATATTAGTTATACCCATTGTTTTTCATTTAGAAGCACCTATTTAACTCTGCATATGCAAAAAGAGTTAAGGAATCAAGATAATACTAATTCCAATGCACTTTTCTTATTTTAACAACTGTAATATATTCTTTAAATTATTTATCAAAACACCAAATCTGCAGGTTTAGCCTTTTAATTACTGTTACATGTTTTTATTATAGATTTTTCACCTCTAATCATAAATGTAATTTGTCCATAACTTTCTTTTCTCTTTCTGTCTTTGAATTTTTGATATCTACATTATACTAGCCTCAAAAAGAATTTGAGTTTGGCCTAGCATGGTGGCTCATCCCTGTAATCCCAGCACTTTGGCATGCTGAGGCTGAAGTCTAAAACCAGGAGTTCAAGACCAGCCTGGGCAACATAGCAAGACCCCATCTCTACTAAAAATTTAAAATTTAGCCCAGCATGGTGGTGTGCACCTGTAGTCCCAGTTATTCAGGAGGCTAAGGCAGGAGAATAGTTTGAGCCCTGGAGTTCAAGGCTTCAGTGACCTATGATTGCACCACTGCACTCCAGCCTGGGTGACAGAGTGAAACATTGTCTCAAAAAAAAAAAAAAAAAAAAAAAAAAAAAAACCTCACAGGAATTGATCAGGTTTTTTTGCCTCTTTTACTCTTTTCACGGACAATCTAATTTAGGGTAGTATTAGCATTGAAATAAAAATAAAATATAGAGACAAATCTCTAAATTTAAAGTTTTATTTGAGAATTGCTGAGTTGCGATTAGGGGCATACACACAGAGCAGGGTGATCTTCAGTGTGTCCAAAGAAGAAAGGAAAGGTTGGGGTTTTGTTAGAAAAATGCTACATACTATTTTGAAAACAAGCTCATTGACACTAGAGAGGTTTTTGGAAGCTGGCAAGCTCTGATAGGTGAGTGATGCTGGCATCACAGCAGGTTGTTTCAGCAGCTACTAGGTAAAACTGATTTGAGGTTTACAGCAGGCCATTTCAGCCACTGGGCTTGCAGAAAATTCAGTTATTGGAGCAGGTACTATGTAACATTTTCCTTTGGCCCCTTGATTCTGATTTAGTGGGGTATGACAAGAATGACCCAATTTGTATAATCAACTTTCACACTTGAAAGTAGAACTAGCCTGAAAAATCATCTAAACTAGTACGTTTACAGAAGGGATAGTTTTATCGCTATTTCAAATTATTTCATGCTCATTATCTTTTCAAGTATTTTGTTTCTTTTCTATTTCTATTTCATTAAGAACCAATTGCAGCATTTTAATTTTTTCCAGAAATGTAACCATGTCATTTTGATTTTCAAATTAGTATGTGATTATTCATATTTGCTTATGATTTTTAAAATCCTTTTTATATATGTGTATAGTTACTTACATTTCATTTTTCACATTTTGTTTTTCTTTCTTCTACATTTTCTCAGGCTTTTCTACAGGTTTATCTATCTTATCAATTTTTTTCAAAGAAACATGTTAGTTCTCATAATCAAATGTAAGGGGTAATTAGATAAAAGAAATTCCATTCACAAAAAGCAATCCAAAATCTAAAATGCTTATGAATTATTATTTTACAAATGCATTTGTATCTTATGAAGGAAATATAAATCTTTATTACTATAGAAATTATAATTAGCCCTGTTTCTGCATTGAAACACTAATATAAAAATATCAATTCTTCCTACATTACTTTATAGCTTTAATTTGATTCCAATAAGAATGTCAAAAAAATTTTTTGAAATAACTTTAAATACCCCAAAAGGATTTTGAGTTTTATCTGGAAGAGTAATCAGACAAAAATAGCAAAGACACTTTTTTTTTTAAAGGAGAGAGGGATTTGCACATAGCAGTTACTTAAATTCATTATGAGACTAAAATATTTTTAAATGCATTGCTAGCATGAGAATATTTTGGCAAGTCAATGTACTTTTTAAAAATATTTGCAAAGATATCCATGAAAGTGACAGACATTCATTGTTTACTTAATGTCCGTGGTTTCCCCTACAACTCTCAGCCACCTCGCAACTTGCTAGGGCCATGTTACTAAGTGATGAGAGTCAAGGCATACAAGGGTGAGCGTGAGTTGTGCACTTACTCTCTTCCCTCACTCTACCGTTAAGGGTACACAGATTCAGATGGCAACACCCACAATAAGAACAGCCTGAATCAATCATTATGTGGAGGATGAAAGATAAAACTGCCCTATAGAGTCACCTAATTCTCAATGAACACTGTGTAAGCCCCAAATAAATCTTGGTTGTTTTCATCTACTAAGATTTGGGGTTTAATTTGTTATTGCAGCATACATAGCCTATTCTGACTAGTAAAATGAAAAAAAAAATTGGTACCTTTCAATTTTAAAGCCTTATTAGTCATCTGCATTAAGTCCTATAAAACAGTCAAGAGGGCTATTATGAACTGCCCCCAAAATCTTGAAAATAGGAGAAATAAAGTAGCCTCTGAAAATTATACTAAAGAATTAACACTTAATAAATCTGAGTAAAGACCCCCGGATCAGAAACATGAGCATAATTACTCACAGCAATTGAGCTTTCTAGGCTTGCAAGTTGTGTATCTTCCTCTTGTCCCCCAGGTCCCACGAGGGCAATGTGGAGTGAGCCAGGTGGATGCATCACACACAGTGGGTTAGTGTCACAGATGAGGAAACTTGAGCTTAGGTAACCAAAATATTTTATAATGGGCACTAATCAAATCTGCTTGATCTCTGCTCTGAAAGAAATTGTCTTTATTATGCTGAAAAGTAAGTAAATCTTCTGTCTGTTGCAGGGGGGGCATTACTCTATCTTCCAAAGATATTATCTATCCAAACACTTTTGAAATATAGTGTGGAACAAAAGTATAGTTAATGCCTCTGCTCATGACAGGTGCAGATGCCAGAGACACCCTTAGGGAACTATCTCTTAGCAGTCTTAAAAGCAAATAATTATTTCATTGTCTACCATACCTACTTTGGAGGGGTCCAGAACAATCTACTCAGTCTATCCCCAGGTTGTTTAGAAGAAAAATTTAGAGGCCTTATCTCCATAAAGAAATGTCTTGGGATCCGCCACCTATCTTTCAATCAACTTCCGTAAAATAATCAAATTATGAGAGAGAAAAGGAAATTAAATTCAAGCTAAGCTTTATCACTACTCAAATACCATTTTGATAATTTTTTTTGTTATTAACTCCCATCTCTAAAGATCCTTATATTTCACAGACATACCAACAGTTTTGGCAAAATTCTATGTTCATTATTTTCTTACTTCCCTAGGGTAAAGTTTCTCCTCATTTGGTTTAACCAGGGAGAAGAGGGCCTTTTTTCCATACTTACAAATGTAAGAAGTGAGAATACTTGCAAACTCAAGCCAATGGCCAAGTAAGTTGCCGAATTCCTTGCAAAATCATTAAATGAAAACAGCAGCTGTCAGACTGGGCTCAACAAACACCTAAACCTTCAGTAAAAATTTGGCAAGCCACTCAAAGCACTGCTCATGGGTAGAATCAGAAGCTCATTAGATGGATTCAAGTACAATGGAATAAATGGAGTAATGGTCTATGTAAAGAAAACCAAATATATATGTCATCTATGAATATGGAAACTCTTGAAGAGTGGAGAGTTATATGGTACTCTAATTAACATGTCAGGGTTTCACCATATTAAAAGTTTTACGACTATCTAGAGAATAGTGACAGCCACCAAGTAGTTCTTGAGTGTTAATAGTTCAGGACAAACTGAAGCATATTACTTCATAAAGAGAAATATGTTTATGTTTTTAAAAGTTGATTTTAAATCTCATTTTAAAGTACTCCAAAAAGTTAAACTTCCATTTGCTGTAGCCTTGTAGATAGGAAAGTTATCGTAGTTATATGTAAAACTAACAATAAAACATGAAATTTATAAAGATGAATGAGACAGAAATATCAGTGTGGCTGTTGCCTCATACCTTTTAAAATTCCAACATCAACTCAAAATGTGCAGAAAATCCCTTGAGTAATGGGAGTAGCCTAAATGCCTGAACCAGTATTAAAATATAAGCCCATTTTCTTTCTGCAGCTTACCTGATATAGTATAATTTGTTCTTGGAGCCATTTTCTAAAACATTGTGAAGAGTTATGGGTTTGTAAATAGATATTAAAGTTTCTACACTAATTACTTTCTACTGTCTCTCCCATTTGAAGTAAAAAGTCTTTTAATATGCTTCAAGGCTGTTATTTTGAAATATAATTTTTAAAAAACAAGAGTTTTAAACATCACAAGAAAAACCTGAAAATATAGAAATTGCTCATTCTCAACTAATACTAGATAGAAAATGTTGAGAATTTAAGCTGATTACAGATCAAAATTAAAGAAATGAATTTAGCAGTTACCTACATAAACATGGCGTAGAAATTTTGAAGATAATATAACAATTTTTGCAAAGAAGGAGTTGAAAAACAAAAAGTGAGACCTGTTGAGAGATAGGCAGAAAATGAATTTTTAAAAACAAACAAACTACCAACATAGCATTGCAGTTAGTGGGAAAAAAAAAATCTGTTCCATGGTAGTTCCTAAAAAAGTGCCACAAAGCAGAGTTTCACAAAATTATATTGGACATTTTTCTGAAAAGGGTTTAATGGTTTAGGAAATGAGACAGAAGGATTTCTCAGGCCATTAATATGGTAACATGTGTTATAAATATCCAATAGGAAGATACAGAATACAGTACATCCCACATTGGTTGGGCCTCAGAACCCACTAGACATTACATCTAGCAGAACAGCATTCTGGGAAACTCTGCAGCAGAGAATCTAAATTCCAAGTTCTATACACCAGAATGAAGGACAGCAAGAAGGAAGATAGGAATTAGGGAAAGGAAATAGTTATAAAGTAGAGAGAAACGTTACCAGGAAAAGTGTCCTAGTGTAGTGGGCTGTATGGTAACCTCTCCAACAATATGTCTACCCAGAACTTACGAGTGTGACCTTATTTGGAAATCAGAGTCTTTGCAGGATGTGATTCAGTTAAGGATCTCAAGATGAGGTCATTCGAGATTAGTGTGGGCCCTACATCCAATAACAAGTGTCCTTATAAGAAAAGAGAAAGGTAGAACTCATAGAGGAGAGGGTAGCCTGAAGACAGAGGTGGAGATTGAAGGGATGCATTTATAAGCCAGGCAACACCAAGGATTGCTGGCAGCCACCGGAAGCCAAGAGAGAAACACGAAACGGATTCTCCTTCAGAGCCTCCAGAGGGAACCAACCCTGCAGATACCTTAATTTCAAACTTCTGACCTCCAGAACTCTGAGAGGATGTATTTCTGTTGTTTTATAACCACCCAGTTTGTAGTAATCTGTTATAGCAGCACTAGGAAACTAAAGCTCCTATATTAAGAAAAGTTCCAGAAACAGAGAAGATAGAACTAGAGGTAAATAGATGAGAAAGAGAGAGAGATTGAGACACAGTGTTAGATAAAGAACAAAGAAGATGAAAATGAATTGGGAAGAGGGAAGAAAAAGGAATGAGGATCACGAGTTCATTAGGCATTATCAGAAGCTCTTTGAAGCAATCAGCAGAGGAAACAAGGAGTAACAGCTGTCCTCTCCCCTTTTTCTCTTCTCATGCCTCTCAGTAGAAATGGGTAATACTTGTTTTCTTAACAAACTTTATTAATGCATCTAAGGTCTTCTGCTCCATTTTAATTCTCTGAAGCACGCGTTGACTATTTACTCTACATAGTGATATGAGCTCTGTGTTAAGATAGTAACAGCCGAGGGAAAAAAGCCTTTTTCTATCACTTTCCATCTCTCTTCCCTGCATTAGGCCTTCAGGAAGCAAAAGAAAATCTCAATCATGTGGTGTTCGCCTGAGTGATACACCAACTTGAGGTTAGCTAATCATGGGTTTGCTTCCATACAATGCTTTATTATTAAAACAACCAAGCACAATAAGTATAATTATATTTTAAAATTACTTTCAAAGTACACAAAAGAAATAAACTTTCATGTACCTAATTGCTTAATTCCCACCGTGACCAATTTGTATATAAAAGTAGTTTTTTTATTGTAAAAAGTAATATGCTGTGAACCTAAAACTGCTCTTTAAAAAAGTTTTTTTTTTAAGTAACTATGTCATTATAGTCATTTTGGAAAACACATTAAAGCACAAAAAACAAAACATTAAAATCACTTTTTTCAAACCGTATGTATATAAACAGAGCATAAATACAAATATTTCTGAAGCTTTCAAATTCCACATGACTCCCAAAGAAGTTTAAACTTACTCTACTCTTTTTATTCTTTACAGAGCATTAAGCAAACCAATGTCTCCAGCTGATTGTCAAACATTTTATAGTTGCTCAGAGAACCAGCAACAGAAACAACTTTTTAAAAATATGTTTATTATTAGTTTTGTGTTTTAAAGGTTAAACATGCTCACTGCAATACATATATATATAAATATATATAATACATATATATATATACATATATACACATATATATATATACACATATATATATATATATATATATAAAACATAAAAGTAGAGAGAAATAATAGAAGTCACCCGTTCTTTCATTACTACTAGATGGTCACCACTGACATTTTTATCTATTTATATCCTTTTTAAAACTACCATTATATTATAAACATTTTTCATGCATTAAGAACTTTCAAAAACCATAATAAATGTTTCATAATAGTCCATCTTATGGTTAATATATAATACCCTCAAGCATATCTATAATGTTAAACATTTAGGTTCTCTCTGGTGAAACTAAATGAAATAAGTCTATGTGTATGAACTGCTTCAATGTTACTAATTTGTATTGCCAAAATTATTTCCAGAAAGATGGTATCAATATAAATTCCCATCAGACCCTGTAAAGGCCTGTTCCACCACAAACTCATCAACACTGGGAAAACTGATCTTTATCCAATGTTCAAAAAGTAAATTTCACCGTGTCTGTAATTTGCATTTATTAGTGAGGTTAACTTTTTCAAATAGCTATCATCAATTTGCTTCTCTTCTTTATTGAATTGCCTCTTTTTATAGAAAATATAGATTTTTTAATTATAAAAAAATCAAGGAGAAGTTGTTTTATCACACTACACATATTTGTGGCCTTATTTTCTTTTCATGCTTTTTTTTTCTGAAGCGTAAAGGCAAAATATGAGCAGTGTTGTCTCATTTTTCTTTGTATCTCCTTGTATCTTCTTTTTTCCATCAATGGAAAACCAAACCCATGTAAAAACTGGTCCAGATCCTTCTGAAACATGATGCTCATGACAAATTTCTCAAATGAAGTAATTTATAATATTCATATGTATAATGGGAATTGTTTACAGAATGGTGGTCATAGCTTGTAAGAATCTCTCAGGCTATATTATCACAATTGAGGTTCCTTTTAGTGGAACAGGCAGCATAACATGATGCAAGTCAGGTAATTCTACACCTTACTCCCACCGCACCCCTCCACTGTGCTGAATATCTTCCATTTCCTCCTTTAAATCCTTCTCCATACAGCCCTCTGGCCCCAAGAGGCTGACTGGTATGGACAAAGTCAACAGGTTTCCATGTCCTCTGGCTTCTTGTTGAATTCAGCCAATGGGGAGGAGGGAAGATGGTAAGTCTGGTTACTTATTGCCCTGGCTGTAGCCCCTCAAGGTTACAATATGGCTCAAGACTGCCGTCTCTACATAAGTCTCCTGCTGGATTCCTCCCCTAATTCCTTCCACATGAAAAGTGATAAAACTCCTTTACCATTTCTACTCCTGGAAATCAGGAGTCTTTGCTGGACATGACTAATTATTCATTATCTATGTGGTTTCCCTACACTCGATGTGGTTATTATCTATGTGGTTTCCCTACGCTCTGCCCAAACCTTTGGAAATAGTCTCTTGATAAATAAAACCTCCTCTATTTATTCTAATTTACCCCTCTGTGTTCATTTCAAGTTGGGACGTTACTGCTTCATCTCCTAATATAGATATTAGATAACAGGAACAATAATTACCTTCTAAATGATTACCTTCTAAAACTAAAATAAGTTTCTTATAAGAGACTTCTTTATAGTTACTAAAGTCAACACCTTTAACTTCAAACTCATTGGCCTTCTTTTCTTTATAAACTTTTATTTTAGGTTCGGGTACATCTGCAGGTTTGTTAGAAGGTAAATTGTGCCACAGGGGGTTGTTGTACAGATTATTACATCATCCAGATATTAAGCCTAGTACTAATTAGTTATTTTTTCTGACAGTCTCCTTCACCCCACCTTCCACCCACAGGCAGACCCCAATGTCTGTTGTTCCCCTTTGTGTCCATATGTTCTCATCTTTTAGCTCCCACTTACAAGTGAAAACATGTAGTATTTGGTTTTCTGTTCCTGCATTAGTTTGCTAAGGTTAATGGCCTCCAGTCCCATTCCTGCAAAGAACATAATCTCATTCTTTTTTATGGCTGCATAGTATGCCATGGTGTATATGTACCACATTTTCTTTACCCAGTCTACCGCTGATGGACATTTAGGTTGATTAAATGTCTTGGCTATTGTAAATAGTGCTGCAGTGAACATATGCATGCATGCGTCCTTATGGTAGAATGATTTATATTCTTTTGGGTATACAGCTAGTACTGGGATTGCTGGGTCAAATGGTAGTCTGTTTTTGGCTCTTTTAGAAATGATCACACTGCTTTTCATAATGGCTAAATTAATTTATACTCCCACCAACAGTGTTCCCTTTTCTCCACAACCTCACTAGCATGTTATTATTATTATTATTTTTGGCTTTCTAATAATAGCCTTTCTGACTGGTTTGAGATGGTATCTTCTTGCAGTTTTGATTTGCATTTCTCTAATGATCAGTAATGTTGAACATTTTTTCATGTGCTTGTTGGCTGCATGTATGTCTTCTTTTGAGAAGTGTCTGTTCATGTCTTTTGCCCACTTTTTAATGGGGTTGTTTGGTTATTTTCTTGTAAATTTGTTTCAGTTCCTTAAAGATGCTGGATATTAGACCTTTGTCAGATGCATAGTTTGTAAATATTTACTCCCCTTCCATACGTTGTCTGTTTGCTCTGTTAATAGTTTCTTTGCTGTGCAGAAGCTCTTAAGTGTAATTAGATATCATTTGTCAATTTTTGCTTTTGTTGCAATTCCTTTTGATGTCTTTGTCATAAAATCTTTGCCAGTTCCTATATCCAGAATGGTATTATTGCTCACTGGCCTTCCTTTACCCATTTCAAATGTATGTACAGCTGGCAGCAGATCCTAAAGACATAATGCTTCACCAGATGGGTATCTCATGACCTTACTATAATATGAAGTTTCTTTAGAAGATAGGAAATGTAGATTTCAGTGTAAGCTCTAGATAGACCAGCAGAAGCAAACAATTACCAGTATTATGAGGAGTAACATAATGAGTACTGCTATGGTTTGGATAAGGTTTGTTTGATCCTACCAAGTCACATGTTATAATTTGATCCCTAGCATTAGAGGTGGGGCCTGGTGAGAGGTGTTTGGATCATGGGAGTAAGTCCCTGATAAATGGCTTGGTGCCATTCTCCAGGGAGTGTGTGAGTTCTCACTCTTAGCTCCCCTGAGAACTGATTGCTGAAAAGAGCCTGGTGATTCCTCCTCTCTCTCTCATGCCTCCCCTCCCTCCATGTGATCTGCATACACGGGCTCCCCTTCAGCTTTTGCCATGAGTGGAAGCTTCCTGGGCCCTCACGAGATACAGATGCCAGTACCATGCTTCTTGTACAACCTGCAAAACCATGATCCAAATAAACTTCTTTTCTTTATAAATTACCCAGCCTCTAGCATTCTTTTACAGCAACACAAACAGACAAAGACAAAGAAATTCCCAAAAATGAAAAATGTGAGGTCATGGTGACAACCAAAAACAATTACAAATTTTATATATTGCTAAAAGGAATTGCTATTATTTATTTATGGCTGCCAATGGCTATCCATAAATTTGCCTGTATACTTAATGTGTGGTAATTATGTAATATGTGATTTTCGTTTAACTAAGGTTCTTAGCGTAGATTTATATTTGACCCATATTTTTTTTTTTCTTTTTTTTTTTTTTTTTTTTTTTTTGGTGACAGAGTCTTGCTTTATTGCCCAGACTGGAGTGCAGTGGTGCAGTCTCGGCTTCCTACAACCTCTGCCTCCCAGGATCAAGTGATTCTCATGCTTCCCCCTCCCAAGTAGCTGGGATTACAGGCACGTGCCACCAGGCCCGGTTAATTTTTGTATGTTTTCAGTAGAGACAGGGTTTCCCTTGTTAGCCAGGCTGGTCTTGAACTCTTGACCTCAGGTGATCCGTCCTCCTGAGCCTCCCAAAGTGCTGGGATTACAGGTGTGAGCCACCATGCCTGGCCTTGACCCATATTTTCTGCTGCTTAAATTTCTTAATATAACTATGCATTTGTCCCATGTTTAGATATCCCAAATGCTACTGGAAAATGGAATATATACCACTTACAGTGTTCTATAAAACATTATTTGGGAAAATTCATAAAAACTTTTGCAGATGAATATACCACGATTTCTGCTATTCCTACCACCTATACCTCTTTGTAAAGCTAAAATGGCGTTTCACCAAAAGGC
Source organism: Homo sapiens (assembly GCF_000001405.40). Classification (NCBI taxonomy): domain Eukaryota; kingdom Metazoa; phylum Chordata; class Mammalia; order Primates; family Hominidae; genus Homo; species Homo sapiens. The sequence goes on along the minus strand of NC_000013.11, from coordinate 37,239,159 downwards.
CTTCCATTAGGTGAGAATCCAGGTTAAATTCAAGTCATGCAACAAGGTGACAAATTTATCCCTGTCCACCAGAAATCCACTGTCAGCCAGTAATCCCATTGCCATTGATATGGTTTGGATTTGTGTCCCCACACAAATCTCCTGTAGAATTGGAGGAGGGGCGTGGTGGAAGGTGACTGGATCATGGTAACAGATTTTCCCCTTGCTGTTCTCATAATAGTGAGTGAGTTCTCACAAGATCTCACCATTTGAAACTGTGTGGCACCTCCCCCTTCTCTTTCTCTCTCTTCTCCTCTGCCATGGTAAGACGTGCTTGCTTCCTCTTCGCCTTCTACCACGATTGTAAGTTTCCTGAGGCCTCCCAGTCATGCTTCCTGTTAAGCCTTCAGAACTGTGAGTCAATTAAACCTCTTTTCTTCATAAATTATCCAGTCTCAGGTAGTTCTTTATAGCAGCATGAATATGGATTTATACAGCCATCATCCAGGTCCTCATCAAAATGCAATCTCTAGTTATAGGTTATTGAGAAATCAACTGAGAGAAATATTGAGAAAATATCACTGAAGGATAATATTCAGTCTAAAAGTTTCAAAAGCATGCTAAGTTGGTCTCAGCTACTGAACTTATTTTTTATTCATTCAATTAGCAACTAATCTTTACTCAGTGTCTATCAGGTGCAGAGCACTGTTCTAGGCATGGACTGAAAATCAGTGGAAAGTCAAGTAAACACAATTCCTAGGGGTTTTTGTCCCCCTGCTGTTTTTACCCATTTGTTTTCTCAAATGGACTTCAGAAATATTTTTGTACTAGAGCAAGAATAGACAAACATGTTAATAAAAAATTATAAATAGCTCAGAAACAAATTTTATTACATGTAAAAATTTTGCAAATGATAAGAGTGTTATCAGAAATTCACAGAGACGAAAAAATTATGAAGCAAATGGCCTTGGAATAATTTATGAGTAATTTTATGAAAAAAATGTTATTTCTTCAACTCAACACCATGCAGTAAAATAGAGTAAACTCCAAAACAAAACATAGAAAACTTAAAAGAGGATACAATAGTTATCAACCCTTTATAAGGAGTTTTCACAAAGTTGATTAAAAAAATATATTTAAAAAAAAAAAAAAGACTCAGAAGGCCCGGCGCGGGGCTCATGCCTGTAATCCCAGCACTTTGGGAGGCTGAGGCGGGCAGATCACAGGGTCAGGAGTTGGAGACCAGCCTGGCCAATATGGTGAAACCCATCTCTACTAAAAATACAAAAATTAGCCAGGCATGGTGGCAGGCGCCTGTAGTCTCAGATACTCGGGAGGCTGAGGCAGGAGAATCACTTAAACTCAGGAGGCGAAGTTTGCAGTGAGCTGAGATTAGGCCACTGCACTCCAGCCTGGGTGACAGAGTGACACTCCGTCTCAAAAAAAAAAAAAAAAAAAACCTAGAAAAATAAAAATAATTTAAAGATTTGACTTGATAAAAAAGTGAAAATTTATCTGGCAAAATCAAGTTATCTGTTAAAGAACAGATTATGAAATGGTGAGATAATAATTATCTCACTATTCCACACAATGGCTGTCAAACACTTTTGTACCAAGTGTTTCACAGTTTATTCATGTAAGTGACCTACAAATTAATGAGAGAAATGCAAAGACAAGAAACATTCAACAGTCACAGGACATAAACAACAAACAACAAAATAAGCTGATGTAAAATGTAAAATAGTATCTTGTGGACAGTTTGGCAATATGTATCAAAATGATAAAGTATCCACTAACTAAAGTTTAACTTGATGAAATAATGTTAATACCAGCAAAGGCTAATGTATATATCTGTAGAAGTCTGAAAATTGTCTAAATGATCAGTAGTACAGGAATAGTTAAGTAAACTATGGAAACTGCTCTCAATAATTATCCCACTATTCCACACAACGGCTTAAGAAGTCTATGTAATAACATTAAAAAAATCATAATTAATTGAAGAAAGCTATTTAACACTTATGTAACATGATTACAATTATATAAAGATGAAATTATGCATAGAAGAAGAAATTGACTGAAAAGAAATATATTTAAGCAGAAACTAGGCATTTGGCCAAGACCAATGTCTAATTTGTAGATAACTTCCTAATTTATAAATTTTTTTTCTAAGCACTTAACATTTGAATTATGAAAGATTCCAAATAAATGTATCAAATAAACATTCAGGAGTCTCTTCTATTTATTTTTTTCTGAAAACAACATCTGAAAATGTGTGTTACCTTCAGATTGAACTGTCAAAACATAAAATTTTATAAATTCTTATATACCAGCCAAACTTACATTCATCATAACTCATCAATACTGCAGAATTTCTGGTTTTATTTCAGTACCTCATAGTTTTTAAAATCTTTGCCTGTTGAAACTTGTGATTAAACACTGAAGTTTAAGGATATTTTGGGGAAAGCACAAATGTTTCTTAAATTTTTATCTTTAAAGGATGATATTAGCATAGACAATCTATTTAAATGTTACGACACCTAATGCAGGCACCCACTCATAGCATTATAAAGTCATGACTTAAACAGAAAATCCTGTCGTTGATGTTTAAACCACACACACTTCACGAACAAGCTGCAAGCTTTCAGATTTCAACTGCAGATTTTATAAACCTTGCTAAGCCCTCTTGGTCTAAACATTGCTTTAACTAAATTTTGATATGTTGTATTTTCGTTTCCATTCAGTTCAAAATACTTTTAAATTTCCATTTTTATTTCTTCTTTCACCCGTGGGTTAAATAGAAGGTTAATTTTGAGATATGTGTACAAGTTTCTCTGATTTTTGTTGTTGCAGAGGTGTAATCAAATTCCGCAGTGGTCAGAGAACCTACTTATGATTTCAATAGTTTTTAAATTGAGCCTTGTTTTGTGGCCCAGAATATGGCCTATCCTGAAGAATTTTATATGTGCACCTGAAAAGAATGTGTATTCTGTAGTTACTCAGTATGTATATTAGTTAGATTGAGCTGTTTGATAATGTTGTTCTAGCTTTTTTTAACCTTGCTGATTTTCTGTCTAGTTGGTCCATTAGTTTTTGAGAATACAGTAATTAAATCTCCAATTATTATTCTTAAATTACCTTTTCCTCATCTTAATTTTATCACACTTTCTTTCAAGTATGGCTGTGTTATTAGTTACATATACATCTATAATTATTATACCTTCATGATTGTATTTTGCCTTTCATAACTACACAATGTCCTTCCTTGCCTTTAGTAAAATTTCTTATTGTAACTTCTGTTTTATCTGACATTAATATAACCATCTCTCTTATGGTTACTTTATGGATGATATATCTTTTTCCTCCTTTTACTTCCAACATATTCATGTCCTTGAATCCAAGATATGTCTCTTACATACAGCATGTTTCTTGTATTTTTATCCAATCTGACAATCTTTGTTTCTTAAGTAATGTGTTTGGTCCATTCACATTTAATATAATTATTACTGTGTTTGGATTTGTGCCTGCATTTTTCGATTTGATTTCTATATGTCTTGTGTCTTTTTTCAACATTGTTCATTTAGTGCCTAGCTTATAGGCACTATACATATATATATAAACACACACACACTTTCACAAAATTAGGCACTAGATGTATATAGACATGTATATACATGTATATGTGTGTGCTTGTGTATGTATAACCATTTTAATTCCTCTGCTTTTTTTTTTTACTATATTTTAGCTATCTTCTTAGTGGTGACTCCAGCAATTACGAAATGCATTTTAACTTATCATAATTTCCTTCAAAATAATACTGACTTAATTCTGGTAAAATATAGAATCTTTGCTCCAATATATCTCCTTTTCCTCTCCACTCCTTTGTGCTAATATTGTTATATATATTATCTCTATATATGTTGTAAACTCCACAATACAGTGTTATAATTAGTGTTTTGTGCAACCTTATGTATTTTGAAGGAGTTCAAAAAAGAAATGAGTAAAAATATTAATACAGTATTATTAGAAGCTTTTATATTTATCCATATAATTACCATTCACTTCTCATTTCCCTGGTGGATTTCTCTGGTGGTTACTCTCTGGTGCCACTTTCTTTCAGACTAAAAGATTTTCTTTAATTACATAAAGGAAATTGTTGAGCTGAAAAGTAAAATAAAAATCAAAAAAAATTTTTTAGTATTTTTTATAAGACATTTCTGTGGACAATTAATTCTCTCCACCTTTTTTATTTTTCATTTTCTTTTTCAGCTATTGTTTTTTGAAATATTATTTCTGTCTCTTTATCACCTCTCTCTCTGGGATTCTCATTGTATGTATACTTTATATTGTCCCATTGTTTTCTTAGGCTCTGTTCACTTTCTTCAATTACTTCTGTCTCTGTTTTTCAGATTGGATAACTTTAATTAACTCCCTTCTGACTTGTTAAGTCTCCTATTAAATGCCTTTAGTAAAATTTTCATTTCACTTATTGTACTTTTCATCTCCAGGATTTCTGTTTTTTAACATAATTTCTATGTCCTCGTATTTTTTGTTTATTGAGTCATTATCATCATACATTAATTTCATTCTATAAGCATGATTTTGTTTACATAGTTGAATATTGTCATCATACTTGCTTTAAAGTCTTTCTCAGCTAAATGCAAAATCTGGAGAAATCCAGAGATTTTCAATTAACTGTTTTTTTCCTGGGCATAGGTCTCACTTGTTTTCTTGCATATCTTGTAATTTTTTGTTGAATAATGGACATTTTAGATAATATACTGCAGAAACTCTGGATTTTTATTTACTCTCTGAGGCTTATTGTGTTGCTGATTGTTTAATAACTAGTCTAGACTAAATCTGTAAAATGTGTCTCAGTCATAACGTCTCTGCTCATTCTTTTTTTTTTTTTTCTTGCTTTTATGGCCAAGCCTGGTTTTCCAGAAATCACTGATATATTTACATAGCTTAGTGTTCATGCAAAGATTTTTCACAGGTTGTGCTCAGAAACCTCAGGCCAGCAAGGCTTCCACTCTGCTGATGGATCTGTGTGTTGCCTGAAGAACAGATTCAAAGTGCATGCCATTTTCAAGACTTCCTCAGCTTTTACTTCCCACCAAAATCTTTTGAGTCCTCTCTATGTACGTGCTTAAGGCTTGTCATCCAGGAATGTGGGGAGGGGGGCTTGAGCCCATTTCTGTCTCTGCTGCACATGCACAGAGCCTTTAGTCAATCTGGGATATATGGAGAGCTTCTCATACCCTATGACTGTTTCACTCCTGGCAAATCGTTGTTAAATCCCCAGCTAGTTCATCAGTCCATTGTTTACCCTAAACAGGACCACAACCTCAAGCTGACAGTGCTGCTGGTCCTCCCCCTTCACTTGGGTATCAATGTTTTTAACTCAGGACTTTATAACAACCACAGAAGAATTTATCTGGGAACTTAACCTACATTGTAAAGTTAATTCGAAGTAGTTCATTAACAACTTAAGCAAAGTGTCTTAGTGTGTTGCCTGTTGCTTATTATGTAATATTTGAAACTGTGTAATTTATAAAGAAAGGAATTTATTTCTTACAGTTATGGAGGCTGAGAAGTCAAAGGTTGAGAGGTCACTTCTTGTAGGGCCTTCTTGATGGTGGAGACTCTGCAGTTCCAAGGTGGTGCAAGGTATCACATGGTGAGGAGGCTGAGTGTGCTATCTCAGGTCTCTCTTTCTCTTCTTATAAAGCCACCAGTCCCACTCCCATAATAACTCATTAATCCATTATTTCATTAATCCATTAATACTTAAATTAATGAATAGACTAATTTTTTCATGAACTCCGAGTCTCTTAAACACCCCGCTTTTCCATACTGCCACATTGGGGATTAAGTTTCAGCATGTGTTTTGGAAGGGACAAATATTCAAACCATCGCACAAGACTATAACTACAGAATGTTTTTTAAAAAAATAATGTAAAGTTCTGTTCTATAATGGAATGATATGAAATATGTAGCAACTGTTATAAAATGGACCCTGGATTCAGAATGCCTGGATTTCCACCCCAGCTCTACCATTCCTAGCCTTGAAAAAATTATTCAACTACAAAATGGGACTGCCAGCAATAGTGCCTAAAAGGTTGCAGGGAAGATTAAATGAAATAATATATCTAAAGCACTTGGCACAGTACCTGGGATGTAGTAAGTACCCACTAGAGATTATGAAGCTTTTGGTCATGAATGACTTGAGTCATATTACTCCCCTGGTCCTGATCTTGTTCTCCTTAGGTAATTCCAGCAGGTTCCAGCCTGCATTAACTTTTTGGTGTTTGGGGGTTTTGTTTTCTTCAAGCTAATTCACACCATGCAGGTCATTTTCCTGATGCCAATGCTGATACAACAATTGCAAAAAATAATAGTAATACGTAATAAATATTATTGTCTGCAGTTGCTCAAAGTTTAATGAACAGAGTAAGGGTTTAGTGCCTCATCTATACATGGTTTATCAATGTATTTCTACCACTTTTAGAGTAACATTTATTTTTCTCTTTCTAGATACTTTTGCACCAATATGCACAACCCAGAAACTATAGTAGTTGGGGCTGCCCAATAGAAACTCTTTGAATGTTTGTGAACATCTTCTGGGGTATGCTACTGCAGGAGTAATTCTTAAGTGAATAAACTCTTGTCTGTGCTGAGGGAATCCTCTGACACTTTCCTCCATTCTTTTATGGTTATTTCCTATCTCTTGAAACAAATATTTACTGTCTCTGGATCCATTTTCTCTAGGAGTTGAGACTTCTGTCTAACACAGGGCTTTGTTATTTAACTGTTTCATATTTAGTATACATGTGTTTACTTATATTTGTTAGTGGTATTCAACCACTTACCATAATACTGGGTGGTGAAGTAAAAAAGAAAAGCATGACTAATCCAAATTTTAAATCTAATTATTTGGAGGTATTTATTCACAGGAGTTTCTCTTTTAGAATCTACACCAATTGAATTAAGTAAATGTCTTCTATGTGCTCTTCTGGAGTTTATAATACAACACAGATGCTGTTAATGATAATAATAGGTTATATTTGTGCAGTGATTGCATGTGCCAGGTATTATTCTAAGAGCCTTGTGCATATTACCTTATTTAAATTCACAACGACCTTTCAACTTTGATACCATTATTATACCAATTTTACAATTGAGAGAATTATGGCTTAGGGAAATTAAGTAGCTTGCTTAAGGGCAGAAATAGTATGAAATAAAGCAAGTTTGACTCCAGAGCCTTAGCTCTTAGCTGCCAAGGTATACTCCATTCCATAATAATGATTAACATTTACAGAGTGCTTACTATCTACCAAACACTCTTCTAAATATCATACATGTAACTCCTTTAATCCCAATCATAGCCCTAAAAGTTTTATTTTAATCTCAATTTTGGAGATAAGAAAAATTAGGACAGAAAAATTACAGAATTCTACAAGGCTACATGAGAGTAATTGGTGGATCTGGGCTTTAAAGAAAATATATAAAATCTAGTAGTACAGAAGTACCTTTCAACACCTGATTTTTGTACATAGTGGGTTTAGGTAAGGAGGATTCATGAGAAGCTTTCCAATTGTTTTCTCCTACCAAACTGCCAAAGGATCTCACAGAGTAGTGGAAGCAGGGACTGAGGAGGGTTTTTATCTGGGGTGTTATCTCCCATCCACATAATAAATTATCCAGGAAGACGCCACCCAATTATTACTGTTTTCAAGCATAGGGTAGCAAAAGCAAAGTGAACCAAAGGATCTTCTTTATTAACTTTGGATCTTGAAAAGACAACTGAGTGAAAGCAACTCAATGAACTAAAAAAGAAAAAAAGATTACATTTTTATTAAAAAGGAAATGATTTTGGTCAGTTGAGCTATTCATGCGTTTAGTCACAAATACTTAACGTAATCACAAAAGCATTAATTACTGAGACTACCAAATCAAAATACAAAACTATCCAAAAACAAAATGCCAAAACTTTCTTCTATAAGGATTTTAAAATGTAACAGAAAAACTGTACACCAGTGACAATCTGATTATCTTATTCTCTTCCAGGTGAAGTTTACAAAGAGTAACAATGAACTGTGATAAAGATTAAAGATTCCAGTGCTTCCTTCTAAAATTGAATTATTCAGCTTTATCACTTGAAACTGTAGAGTATGATGGTATGCCATATAATACTTTTAAAGTATAAGCTTTAAAAGTGAATGTTTTTTCTTTTTCTCTGGTAGTCCTGATACTTCAAAACCTAAGAGGTTATCTGTGATAGGTTTTCAGCCTTATTCAGGAAAGAAAACATGTTATTTAAGTTTTCTTTATCTGCATTTAATATTAGTATCAAAATAAGTAAATATAAATGAATTTAGCTAGAGAAAAATACATATGCACCCATGTTAATGTCCATAAAATGTTTAAAACCACATCTACATGAGCTAAAATTTTACATATTTAGAACAATATCCTAAGTAGCCATGGAAAAGTATTCAGGGATAAATGCAGCTTTAAATTTTCTAAGAAAGAGTTTAAAAAGCTAATACTGGCTACAATCACATGTATAAATCTTCCCAGAAAGCTAAAAATAAGAATGTGTTAAACAGAATGCATAGAGACATTGAGAATAGCTTACCAAGCTTTCCTAGCTAGGAAAATGTGGCTTTCCCATACATCATTCAATAAAAAACAGATGGAGAAAAAAAATTTGCCAGAAAGAAAGGAAAGACATACACCATGTTATAATTATGAGCTTCAGATAAACAAAGGGAGGGAGAAGATTATTTTAAAACAAAAGGACAAAGTTTCTTCCATAAAAGCTATCTCTATTGAGTAGGGGAAACTAAGGATAAAATGACATCTTCTCAAAAACATAAGTGACCCTAGAATGGACAGTATGTATCATCCAGAGCCCAGCCCACTTCTTTAGCTTATAATATCCCAAATCCTTTGCCACTTCTGTTACTTGTGGTTCAAGGGTCTCACCCAGGCTCTGGGGATGAATCATGTGATTCAAGTTGGGGCAGTCCCTTTAGCCTCATGATCAGGTCAGGACATGTCAAAGACAGGCATGGATATGTCATCCAAATTGGTCCAATTTAGAGTAAATCCTAGGGTTTGTACAGAAACTACCTGAAAGAGATACTCTCTTTTTCTTTGGAGTAAACATAGGTGACTACAGGTCTAAAGTTGCTGAAAGTCATACTGACACCATATGAAGGTAGAATGAAAACGCTATGCAGAAGATAGACAGCTGCTGATAACATGTCAGCTCCTTGATCAAACTGTTCCTGAAGCATATGCTCTTCTGGAATTTTTAGTGATGCCATATGAGCCAATAAACTCCCCTTTTATGTTAAGCCAATCCATCTATTGAATCTAGAAAGGTTCTTCATAATCAGACTCCAATCTCAGGAACAAAATTGAGTAAACAAAACCTAGAGCCACTGCAGTTACAGAGTAGCTTCTTCATATCCATTGTCTAGAACTCTGTGAAGTAAGTGTTACTACATTCCCACTTAACAGATGAGGTTAAATGGCTTGCCCAAGATTATACAGCTGGTATTTAGTAGCATTCAGGTCTTCTGAATTCAAATCCCATGCTTTTTCCAGGTCTCCTCTTCAAATCTCAAGTAAAAGGACCATGAGGGGCTCAGTGGCATGTCAAGTGGTACAAAAAGATAATTTACGTGCAGTTTATCCTCCTAGAGCTTCAATTATATTCAAATATCTAAGCGAAAGGTCATAAGTTAGTAATATAAATTATAAATAGTTCTGTATAATATCACTGTCCCCTACTATGGTCTGAATGTTTGTGTTCCTTCAAAATTCATATGTTAAAATCTAACCCCTAAAGGGATGGTATTAAGAGCTGAGGCCTTTAGGAAGTGATCAGATCCTGAAAGTTCCACATTCATGAGTTCCCATTAGTACCCTAATAAAAAGGCTTGAGGGAGACTGTTCCTCCCTTCTGCCATGTCAAGACATAGCAACGAGGTGCCATTTTGAAGCAAAGAGCAAGCCTTCACCAGACACCAAATCTGCTGGCATCTTCATCTTGGACTTTACACCCTTAAGAACTGTGAGAAGTAAATTTCCATTTTTTTTTTACCAAATCTAAGGTATTTTATTACAGCAGCCCGAATGAATTAAGACATACTCCTAATCCAAAAAGGTGAGAGTTCTCTTTTTTGCCATTAGGAAGCATGTGAAATGCAGTAGTGTTTTGAAGCTCGAATGAAAGGACAAAATTGATTGATAATACTGTGGAGCCTCATTTATTTGCAGTCAATCACTTTCTTTTACATTTAGACACAAAAGTACTAAAGGTCCCAGGAAATAATTATAATGACTATTATAATGGCACCACACCAAGAACATTTTGAACAATGAACAGAAGCCTATAAAAGTACACATTATTCCAAACAGACTAAAATTTCTATTACCATTTAAATATTATTGACCTAGATGGTCCAGAAATTAAGATCACTCACTCATCATTGTTCAGAGAGATATTAAAAATATTTTGGCACTACAATTTAAGCAAATGTTAGTTTTAACAATAATACAGAAAAAAAAATTTTAATTATTGACAATGGACTTTTAATTTTATTCACTATTATTGGCAGGAGTCTAGCTTTCTTGAGCACATAGCAAGGTGAATAAGCCACAAAGGATATAGCTGAATAGTGCCCCCCAAAGATGTTCATATCCCCAGAATCTGTGACTATTCTACCTTCTATAGCAAAAGAAACTTCACCAATGTAATTAAGTTAAACATCTTGAGATGGGTAGATTATCCTGAATTATCCAGGTGGGCCAATGTTGTTATTACAAGGGGCTTTATAAGAGGGACACAGGAAGGTCAGTTTCAGAGATACGATGACAGAAGCAGAGGCCAAAATAATGTGAGACCACAAGCCAAGGAATGCAAGAAGACTCTAGAAAACAAAAGTCTTGAGCAGGTACTTCACAGCAGACATAATTCAAGGCCAATAAACATGGGAAGAGGTATTCAACTTTATTATTAATCAAGAAAATTCAAACTAAGCCATCACACATCCACTAAATGGAAAAATATTTAAAAGGCTGATAAGAGTAAATGTTGACAAAGATGTGAAGTAAGAAGAACTTACATACAATGCCAATGGAAGTATGAACTGATACAAACATTTTGGAAAATAGATTGGCATTGACAATGCACACATTCTATGACCCAGTAATTCTATTCCTAGATAACTGTCCCATAGATGGGACATGTACAAAAAGGTTCTCAATGACATTATTTACAGTAGTCAAAACTAAAAAACAACATAAATATCCATTGACAGTAGAGTGGATAAAACATTGAGATATATTCATATAATTAAATAATATATTTTAGTAAAACTAAATAAATGCAGTTACACAGAACAAGATGAATGAATCTCAAACATAATGCTGAACAAAGGAAGCCAGACACAAAATACACATTGTATAATTTCATTTATATAAAATTCAAAAACAATCCATGAATTTACGGACTCTCAATCCCCCTTCACTTCTGCTCATATATTAGCTGATTCATTTTTTAACACATCTCATTTCTTGAAAAAGCAGCCAATATCAATCAACACAAAGAACCAACACTACATTTTTCTCCCTCTTTTCCTAGAGCTACAATTACCAAAGTACAGTTTTGTCAAATGTTCCACATCATCAAAATATAGATTACTGTCTTTCCAGCCTCCAATAACAGTTTCTTTGCCACCCAATAACTACTATGACAATGTCGCCTTATTTAAGTTTTTGATTCAGTAACAGCACACTCTCTGTAATTAATTTCAGTATCAGATGGATAGACAAGGTTATACGCAATAATAAACAGCCCCCAAATCTCAAGAGGTAACCAAATAAAAATTTGTCTCTTACCAACATTATCCTTTCAGTATGAGTCAGTAAGGGAAACTGCTCATAATAATCTTATAGGAATCCAGGCTGATGCAGAATTCATCTCAACATATAGTTCTATGATCACCATGACAGAGAGAAGAGGAATGTAAAGAATCACAAACTGGGCTGGGTGCCGTGGCTCAGGCGTGTAATCTCAGCACTTTGGGAGGACAAGGTGGGTGGATCACCTGAGGTCAGAAGTTTGAGACCAGCCTGGCCAACATGGTAAACCCTGTCTCTACTAAAAATACAAAAAATTAGCAGGGTACGGTGGCACACACCCGTAATCCCAGCTACTCAGGAGGCTAAGGCAGGAGAATTGCTTGAACCTGGGAGGCGGAGGTTGCAGTGAACTGAGATCACGCCACTGCACTCCAGTCTGGGCACAGAGCAAGACTGTCTCAAAAAAAAAAAAAAGAATCACAAACTGGATTTTAAAATTAAAACCCAAGAAAACTGATACTTCTTTTAACATTTTGGAACTAAAATACTATACAAAAATACCACAAAATGTGAAGCCTGGAAAAACTAAGTGCATGCTAAAGTCCTTGTCCTATTAGGTAAAACCATAAAAATATGTAAAGTCAACTACATACACTAAAATGTTCTAGGCAACCACTTTAAAAAAGAAATGGAATTAGCAATTTCAAAACTTAGTAAAGATATAGGGAAAATAAAGAACACTTAATGAAGCAAATAGACGTTTGGAAAGGAGAAAAAGAAAGGAAAATACAATAGGAACAAGAAAATGAAATAAGGTTATTGATTATAAAATGAAATAAGGTCAAAAAAGCAAAACCAAATAAGTCATGTAATATAATTAATATTTAATGTACTAGATCCATTTATTAATATGAATACCCTCTCACATGATATTTTTAAAAATCTAATTATAGAAAGCCATTCTAAAACCTGAGGAACTGTAGTCAGCCAGTATTCCTTACTTATGAGGTGATGCAAACTTTTTTTTCTGAGGGCTATTAATTTTTGGTAATCCTGCCTAATAATTGCTCATTTGCTTTTATAACTGGACATGGCAGCACACACTAGTAACTCTACAGATCTTCTGGGTTTTAGGCACATCCCTAGCAATCCACATTAAGAAGCAGCAGTCCTATATCATACTGATAATCGGGATAAATCACTACAGTCAACATCCTAATGCCTTTTTGATCTCTTCTTCCATGATGCAAGAAGCAGAATCATTACAGCCCTGCATCTTAGAAATAACTCCCAGAATCACATCACAAAATTAGCCTGCTAAGAGAGCTGCCACTACTTCTGTGGACAAAGTTAATCCATTCCAAAAAAAACTTTACTGGCTTTTTCCTTCCAAATTCTCACAGACCTCTGAGTCATAGGCTACTATCTCTCCACATTTATAGAAACTAAGAGAGTATTATTTGAAATGCCAAACATTAGAATGAAAACTTCAGCAAGATGACTAAATTTTGAAAATAAATTCACTTCCAGCTTCTGGTCAGGCTTGTAAGAAGCTTGAATGTCACCACTCCATTCTTTCAACAAGCAAAAAGATGAATAAACTGAAAAACAACTCTTCTTAGATCCACAAGACAACTGAGGTCACAGAACAAACTGCTTCCCTTCAACTGGAGAAACCAACAGACTTAATTCAGCGAATCACAACTTGCCAGAACAGAAACCCACAAGATGAAACCTTCATGGGAAATGATCCCAGGGTAGGAATATCTGAACTGTTACTGACAAATTGCTAAAGGCACTGCATGGACAAGTCTGAGAGTTAAAAAGCTCCAGGAGATCCAATGAGATGGAGGCCCCACATTTTTGTGACTTTTTACCTCCAGGAGCTTCACTTGGTTCTCACAGTGAATATTGGAGAAAAGTTCCCTCATGCTTCTAGCCAGAGGAAGGGAAAGAAACCATTTTGAAATATACCAGAACATTCTGCTATTCTTTTTTTAATATATACTTTAAGTTTTAGGGTACATGTGCACAACGTGCAGGTTTGTTACATATGTATACGTGTGCCATGTTGGTGTGCTGCACCCATTAACTCATCATTTAACATCAGCATTCTGCTATTCCTAACAAGGTATACCCTCAAGAGAAACTTTTTAACCGGAGTCTAACCTCCTGGGGTTTTATCAGAGCCTGACTGACCTGGGCATAGGGAAATAGCCAACTCCAGCTCATTTTAGCCATCCTGTCCCACCTAAGGGGGAAGGGGTAACTGAGAGGCACATGTGAACTTCATAGTCCAAAGGCACATGCTCTCTGAAAGACAGAGACATAATCATAGAGCCATAGAATGCTTCCAGTCCACCAACTCGCAAACACCTCACTGCCACATTACTAAAGACATGCTCACAGCAGTTACTTTTACCCAGTATACCAGGTCCTGCTATGAAGAAAAAAATTACGGGACATACTAAAAGGCAAAAACCACAGCATGAAGAAACAGAAAAAGCATCGGAACTCAGATATGGTGGAAATTATCAAATGGAGAATTTGAAACAACTATTATTAGTATGCTAAGAGCTCTAATGGATAAAGTACACAGCATGCAAGAAAAGATGGGCAATGTATGCAGAGAGATAGAAATTCTAATAATGTACAAAAATGTTAGAAGTAAAAAATACTGTAAAGGAAATGAAGAGTGCTTTTGGTGGGCTTATTAGTAAACTAGTGATTGTTGAGAATCCTGAGCTTGAGGATAAATCGATAGAAATCTTAAAACTGAAAAGAAAATAAATCTTTTTAAATACAGGGGAAAAGCAATGGACTATACAAGAATGGTGGGACAACTAAAAAAGGCATAACATATGTGTAATGGGAATATCAGAGGGAGAATAAATAGAGAAAGAGACCCAAGAAATATCTGAAGTAATAATGACTGGGAATTTCTGCCAAATTAATGTCAGACATCAAAACACAGATCCAGGAAGTTGAGAGAACACCAAGCAGAGTAAATGACCTCCACCCCCGCAAAAAATATACACCTAGGAATATTATTTTTAAACTACAGAAAATCAAAGATAAAGAAAAAAAACCTTGAAAGAATCCAGAAGAAAAATATATATATCTTTCCTAGCAAAGAACAAAAAATTATATCTGACTTCTCCCTTAGTACTCATGCAAGAAAAGAGTGGAGTGACATGTTTACAGTGTTGAGAGAAATAGAACACCAAACTAGAATTCTGTACCCTGTAAAAATATCCTTCAAAAGTGGAAGAGAAATAAAAACTTTCTCAAACAAAAAATTGAGGAAATTTGTCGCCAGTAGACTTGCCTTGCAAGAAATGCTAAAAGAAGTCTTTCAGAGAGAAGGAAAATAACATAGGTCAGAAACTTGAACCTATGTAAAGAAAAGAAGAGCGTTGGAGAAAAAAACATAAATGAAGGTAAAATTAAAATTCCTCTTTTTTCTTACTCAATTGTCTAACAGATAACAATTTGTTCAAAACAACAATAGCAACAATGTATTCATTTATATATGTTGCTGGGGCTCAGAAGCTGATACTCCTAAATATGGCACATTGACATGCTTAAACTGAAGAAGCCTCAAGGTCTCTCTAACCTTCTCCCTAGTACTGTCTCTCCCAAAACCTTTATCTGCCTGAGATCCAGACCCACCTCAAAAAAATTGTTTCCTCTTCCCCTCCCTGTAATACCAAAAATGTAGCCACATCTGAATAGACCCTTTACAAGTTAATATCTGTTCCTGGATCCATTCATTCTCTCTAGTATTCCTTTATTTTCCATCAACAGACAATATTGTCCCTCAACAGACAGTTCTCCCCCTTGTTTTGCCAGGGTGATATATATGCTTCTTTCATCTTGTTGAGGGGTAAGCAATCATTCTGTCATTCTCCCCATGCATACATGTTAAATAAATTTATATGCCTTTTCTCCAATTTATCTGCCTTTTGTGAGTATATTTTTCAGTGGGCTAAGGGGAAAGCTCTCCCATGACTCCTACAACCCTTATGTGCAACATATGCTTTAATATGCTTACATATAAGCAAAGCAAGTAACAACAATAATACGAAAAAAGACAGAAAGGAATTAGAATTATTTTGTTATTATTAGGTACTTGCACTACCTGTGAGAATGTGAGTACCACTATTATCAGGTATAATACTCATATGCTCATAGTATAGTGTTCTTTGAAAGTAGACTTCGATTAGTTGTAAATTTATATTGCAAAATCTAGGGGAACCAATACAAATATATATATATATGTATATATATATACATATATATTTTTTTCTTTTTTTTTTTCAGATGGAGTTTCATTCTTGTTGCCCAGGCTGGAGTGCAATGGCATGATCTTGGCTCACCACACCCTCTGCCTCCCGGGTTCAAGCAATTCTCCTGCCTCAGTCTCTTGAGTAGCTGGGATTACAGGCATGTGCCACCATGCCCGGCTAATTTTGTATTTTTAGTAGAGACAGGGTTTCTCCATGTTGGTCAGGCTGGTCTCAAACTCCCAATCTCAGGAGATCTGTCCACCTCGGCATCTTAAAGTGCTGGGATTACAGGTGTGAGCCACCGCACCTGGCCAAAAATATTTTTTTTTAAGTAGTAAAACTCATATACTAAAAAAAGGAGAGAAAAAGGATCATATGACATACTCAATTAAAACTTGAAGATGCAGAAAAAGAATGGAAGACAAAAATAGGAACAAAGAACAAGAGCAATAAATAGAAACAGTAACAGATATAGTAGATATTAATCTAATTATATCAGTAATCACTTTGAATGTCATTGCTCTAAATGTACATATTAAAAGATGGATATTGTCAGTGTGGATCAAAAAACAAGACCAAAATATATGTTGTCTACAAGAAACTGCCTTAAATATAAAGACAAATATAGACTGAAAGTAAATGGATGGGGAAAGGTATACCATGCAAACACTAATCAAAAGAAAGCAGGAGTACCTCTGTTAATTTTAGACAGAACTGCAGAGCAAGGAAAGTTATCAGGGTTAAAGAGGGGCATTGCATAATGTAAAGGTGTCAATTATCCAAGAAGACATAACAATCTTCAATATGTGTGCATCTAACAATAAAGTGTCAAAATAAATGAGTCAAAAACTGATAGAGCTGAAAAGAAAAATTAATAAATCTATTATAGTTGAGACTTCAATACCCTTATTTTAGAAATGGACAGATCCAGCAGGCAGAATATTAGTAAGGTCGTAGTTGAACTCAACACCACCATCAATCAACTGGATAAAAATGGACTTTTAGAGACTACTTCAAGCAACAGCAGAATATATATTCTTCTCAAGCTCACATAAAACATTCACAAAGATAGACCAAATTTTGGTCCACAAAACACGCTTTAGCAAATTTAAAAGAATATAAATAATACAATATCTGCTCTCAGACCACAATGGAATTAAACTAGAAATCAATAACAGTAAGATAGCTGAAAAGTCCCAGATTATGTGTAGATTAAACAACACACTTCTAAATAACACATAAGTCAAAAAAGAAATCTCAAAACAAATTTTAAAATATTTGGCACTAGATGAAAAAACAACTTGTCAAAATTTGTGAGATGCTGCAAAAGCAGAGCTTAGAGAGAAATGTGTATCACTGAATCCATATATTAGAAAAGAAGAAAAATCTAAAAGCAGTCATCTAAGCTTTCACCCTAGGAAACTAGAAAATTTAAATTAAAACATCATGCACAAGAAAAGAAATAAAAATTCAAGTAGAAATCAATGAAATTTAGAACAAGAAATCAATAGAAAAAATCAACAAAATCTAAAGCTGATTCTTTAAAATTATCAATAAAATCAATAAAGTTCTAGCCACCATAAGAAAAAAGAAAGGATAGATTACTAATATCCTAAATGAACGAAGGAACATCACTACATATTCCATGGACATTAAAAGGATGATCAAGAAATACTATAGATCTTTACCTGCCACAGCTAAATTGTGCAGAGGTGGAGGCTCAGGTGCATTCAATATTTGGCTTCATCCATAACCCACCACCATGGTCGATGAAGGCATTGCTGCTAAAGGTATAATGGACATTAATACTGCTTTGCAAAAAGTGCTGAAGACTATCCTCATCCACAGGAGCCCAGTACATGGAATTCACAGAGCTGCCAAGCCTTAAACAAGCACTAAGCCCGTCTTTGTATGCTTGCATCCAACTGCAGTGAGCCTATGTATGTCAAGTTGGTGGATGTCCTTTCTGCTAAACACAAAATCAACATAATTAAAGTTGATGACAAGAAACTAAGAATATGGGTTGTCCTCTGCATAACTGACAAAGAGAGAAAACTTTTTAAAGTGATTGGTTGCAGTTCTGTAGTAGTTAAGGACTATGGCAAAGAAGCTCAGGCCAAGGATGACATTGAAGAGTACTTTAGATACAAGAAATGAACAAAGAAAGCTTTAGCTCACAGTCAACAAAAATATTATGAACAATTCTATGCCCACAAAATTTATAACTTAGATAAAATGCAGCAATTCCTTGAAATACACGATCTTCCAAAACTCACACAAAAAGAAATAGATAATCTGAATAAGTCTATATGTATTAAAGAAATTGAAACAATAATTAATAACCTTTCTAAACAGAAACTAGTAGGACTAGATGGGCTCACTGCTAAAATCTACCAAACATTTAAGGAAAATATAATCTCTTTTCAGAAGATAGAAGCAGAGGAATTTCTTCCTAACTCATTCTATGTGATCAGCATTATCATAATACCAAAACCAAAGACATTACAAGAAAAGAAAACTATAGACCAATATCTCACATGAACTTAGGTGCAAAAGTCCTCAGCAGAATTTTAGCAAATAGTATCCAACAATGCATACAAATAATTATATACTATAACCAAGTGGAATTTATCCCAGGTATGCAAGGCTAGTTCAACAATCAAAAATAAATTAATGTAATCCCTCACTTCACAAGCTAAAGAATAAAAATCACATACCTATATCAATAGATGCAAAAAGAAGTATCTGAAAAAACTCCAACATCCATTCATGATATGCATTTTCAGTAAACTAGGTATAGAGGGAAACTTTCTCAACTTGATAAAGAACATCTACAAAAATCTACAGCTAATATGATGCTTAATGGTGAGAAATTAAAATCTTTCCCACAAAAGATCAGGAACAAGGCAAAAATGTACCTTCCGATCACTGCTACTCAACATTATATTGGAAGTCCTGGCTAATGCAATAAAACATAAAAGGGAAATAAAAGGAATACAGATGGAAAAGGAAGAAAAAAACTGTCTTTGTTCACAAATGACATATGATCTATGTAGAAAATCTGAATGAATCAATGAAAATCTCCTGGAACTAATATGATATTATAACAAACTTGCAGGATACAAAATTAATATACAAGAGTCCGTTGCTTTTCTATATACCAGCAATGAGCAAGTGGAATTTGAAATTAAAAGCACAATATCATTTATATTAGCATCCCAAAAATGAAATATTTATGCATAAATATAACAAAATATGTATAAGATCGATATGAGGAAAACTACAAAACTGATGAAAAAATTCAAAGAAATAGAGAGATATTCCATGCTCATGGATAGGAAGACTCACTGTTGTCAAGATGTCAGGTAATCCCAATCAAAATCTCAGCAAGTTATTTTGTGGATATTGACAACATGATTCTAAAGTCTATATGAAGAAGTAAAGACCCAAATAGCTAACACATTATTGAAGGAGAAGAACAAAGTTGAAGGTCTGACACTACCCAACTTCAAGATTCACTGTAAAGTGACAGTAATCAAAATGGTGTGGTAATGGCAGAAGAATAGACAAATAAATCAATGGAACAGAATCAATAGCCCAGAAATAGAACCTCATAAATACAGTCAACTGATCTTTTACAAAGGAGCAAAGACAATAAAATGCAACAAAGATAGTCTTTTCCACAAATGATGCTGAAACAGCTGGATAGCCACATGCAAAAAATAAATAAATAAATAAAGGCACAGATATTACATCCTTCAAAAATTAACTCAAAATCAATTATAGACCTAACTGTAAATTACAAAACTATAAAACTTCTAGAAAATAACAGGAGAAGTCTATATGACCTTGGGTCTAGATACAACACCAAAGGCATGGTCATGAAAGAAAGAATTGATAAACTAGACTTCATTAAAATTAAAATTTTCTGCTTTGTAAAAGATAATGTCAACAGAATGAGAAGACAAGCCACAGATTGGGAGAAAATATTTGCAAAAGATGCATCTGATAAAGGACTGTTATCCAAAATATGCAAAGAATTCTTAAAGCTTAACAATTAGAAAACAAACCTAATTTAAAAATTGGCCAAATATTTTGACACCTCACCAAAAAAAAAAAAGATATACAGATGGCAAATCAGCATATTAAAAAAAAAATGCTCCATACTATCAGGGAAATGCAAATTAAAACAACTATGGGATATCAATACACACCTATTAGAATAACCAAAATCCAGAACACTGACAACATCAAATGCTGAGAAGGATGAGGATCAGCAGGAAATCTCATCCATTGCTAGTGGGAATGCAAAATGACACAGCCACTTTGAAAGATAGTTTGGTGTTTTCTCTTTCTTTCTTTCTTTCTTTCTTTCTTTCTTTCTCTTTCTCTCTCTCTCTCTCTCTCTCTCTCTCTCTCTCTTTCTTTCTTTCTTTCTTAATTTTTTGGAGACGGAGTCTCACTCTGTCGCCCAGGCTACAGTGCAGCGCGATCTCGGCTCACTGCAACCTCTGCCTCCCGGGTTTAAGCAATTCTCCTGCCTCAGCCTCCCAAGTAGCTGGGACTACAGGGGCACGCCGCCATGCCCAGCTAATTTTTTTGTATTTTAGTAGAGACAGGGTTTCACTGTGTTGCCCAGGCTGGTCTCAAACTCCTGAGCTCAGGCAATCCGCCTGCCTCAGCCTCTCAAAGTGCTAGGATTACAGGCGTGAGCCACCGCACCTGGCCAGTGTTTTCTTATAAAACTAAACATACTCTTAATTATACAAAACAGCAATTGAACCTCCTGGTGTTTATCCAAAAAAGTTAAACACTTTTACCCACACAAAAACCAGAACATGGATGTTTATAGTAGCATTATTAATAACTGCCAAAACTTATAAGCAACCAAGATATTTTTCAGTAGGTGAATGGATAAATAAACTGTGGTACATCTAGACAATGGAATAGTACTGAGCACTAAAAAGAAATGAGCTATCAAGCCATGAAAAAACATGGGGGAACCTTAAATGCATATTACTAAGTGAAAGAAGCCAATCTGAAAAGGCTATATACTGTGTGATTCCAAATATATAACATTATGGAAAAGGCAAAACTATGAAAACAGTGAAAAATCAGTGGTAGCCAGTGATTAGGAGAGAGAGAGAGATGAATAGGCAGAGCACAGAGGAGTTTTAGGGCAATGAAACTACTCTATGTGATACTATAATGGTGGATACATGTCATTATACATTTATCCAAATCCATAGAAAGTACAATACTAAGAATGAACCCTAATGTAAGCTATGCACTGTGGGTGATGATGCCTCAATAGAGGTTCATTAGTTGTAACAAACGTGCCAGTCTGGTGGGGGATGATGATGATGGGGAAGGCTTTTCACGTGTCGGGGAAGGGAGTACATGGAAAATCTTTGCGCCTTCCTCTCAGTTTTGCTGTGAACCTAAAACCACTCTTTAAAAAACAGTCACTTTTAAAAGTCTATTAAAAATAAAATCAATAAATCTAATAAAGAGAAGTAAGTATACCTAGTTTTTAAGGAGCTATAGCTACCAGTTACAGCCTTTACTCAATATTTAAATATTCTTCATAGAAAACAGGTAAGTTATTGGAATGTGAATAACTTCACTAAAGAATGTATTCTGTAATCCCATGTATGTTAAAGTCAAATGTCTTATTGATTAACATAGTTAATAAATTTGGCAACTCTCTTTGTCTACTCTGTTCACACCAGGTGATAAGAAATTTGATTTTAAATGCATTTAGTGAGCCACTTTAGATTCTAGAGCGATAGAGTTAACAAAATTTACGAAAAGTTGATACAAAAAGCAATGCATTCCTATGTGTTTTATATGTCTGGGAAACTTCTAAACATACACATGGTTTAAGTGGTTGTTTTAAAAATCATATTCAAGTTCATGAGTCACGTCAACTGACAATTATTATAAGTGAAATGGTACATAGAGATGTCAGGTCTTTCAATAACCATAACTGATCAAAAATGTGTCGTTTCCTTCTGTACTGAATAAGGAATCAGCACACATACACACAAAATACAAAAATTGGACAAAAAATACTAATTTTTCTTTAACAGAGTCTTAAGGAAATTCAAGACTTTTAATCACTTTTTTCATTCTCGTATTTTTCCCTAAAATACTAGTCAATTACAGTCAAAGACCACTAAAATTTAATCCTGATATAGGATTCAATAGAATAGGTCTATCCTATTTCTTAAGTCTCCTGTTGTAAAAATCAAAATCTTGTTACAATTTCTTTATCCAGGCTTTTAAAAATCATGTGTTTCTCCCACTGCAGGCATAAATGTCAGCTGGGTCCTCCTCCATGTGTGTTCATTTTAGATCAATGACTTAGTTCCAGAACACTTTTATTCTCTCAGAGTAAGCACAATTCTCAAATGTTATGTAATCTACTAAATATTCTATAAAAGGTCAGGCAGCACTGATGTGGGTAGCCAAGTTCTACAAAAAAAAGATAGAAAATGAGATGATGGAGAGAGAATTTGTCCCCTCTCTCAACTTGGAAACACTAGATATTGTGGATTCTAGGGGCCACGCCCAGCAACTTGCAATTTGAAAATTACTTGCAACAACAGAATAATAGTAGACAGAGAAAACATATTTCTGTGGCTCAGAATTCACTTATTATCATCTACTTTTTGACTCCTCTATTGCTGAGAGGCGGGAGCAATGTACAAATATGTATGCATGCCTGAAGCTGAGCACTATCATGTTCAATTACACTGTTAACAGTAAGTGATTTCTTTTTTTTTTTTTTTTTTTTTTGAGACAGAGTCTCGCTCTGTCGCCCAGGCTGGAGTGCAGTGGCGCGCAATCTCGGCTCACTGCAAGTTCCGCCTCCCGGGTTCACGCCATTCTCCTGCCTCAGCCTCCGCAGTAGCTGGGACTACAGGCGCCCTAATTTTGGTTTTGTATTTTTAGCAGAGACAGGGTTTCACCGCGTTAGCCAGGATGGTCTTGATCTCCTGACCTCGTGATCCACCCACCAAGGCCTCCCAAAGTGCTGGGATTACAGGCTTGAGCCACCACGCCCGGCCAGTAAGTGATTTCTACATACAGCAAATAAAGAGGAGTTGAGTAATTCTTATCAGTACAGTTCATCTCAATTCATATCTTCCATCTATGTAAATACAACCTTCTAGATGGAGGTCTGAAGCACATCAGGACGCTTTTCATCCAGAGCTAAGGTTGTGGGTACCAGATAAAATACACCTTCAACAATCGTAAACTACTCAGCAAATTATTAAATCATTGTAATCTCAGCCCCTTTTCTGCACTTGGTACTCCCTGCCCCTGTTTCCTTCCTATTCCCTCTTACCTAGATTTTCCATTTGGAATGATGACTTAGTTGGTTATCGACCTGGCTTGGGATTCACTCCTGCCCCCTAGATTCAGCTTCTTTTTTTTTTTTTTTTTTTTTTTTTTGAGACAGAGACTTGCTCTGTGGGCCCGGCTGGAGTGCAGTGCTGCTATCTCAGCTCACTGCAACCTCCACCTCCCAGGTTCAAGTGATTTTCGTGCCTCAGACACCTGAGTAGCTGGGATTAGAGGCACCCGCCACCACACCCAGCTAATTTTTGTGTTTCTATTGGAAACGGGGTTTCACCATCTTGGCCGGGCTGGTCTCGAACTCCTGACCTCAAGTGATCCACCCACCTCAGCCTCCCAAAGTGCTGGGATTACAGGCATGAGCCACTATGCCCAGCCTAATTTTTGTATTTTTAGTAGAGACTGGGTTTCACCATATTGGTCAGGCTGGTCTCAAACTCCTGACCTCAGGTGATCCACCCACCTCAGTCTCCCAAAGTGCTGGGATTACAGGCGTGAGCCACCATGCCTGGCAGATTCAGCCTCTTAGACCATGGTTCTTGCTTCAAGAGTCCCCGTAATCCCTGTAACCACACCAGCCCCAATTCCTGTGACTCTCCCCCACAACCCAAGTCTCATGCAGAGTTCCTATATTTCACTGGAGAAAGTGCAGGCTTCAAGGAGGTAGAAGCATTCCCTTTCCTCAGGTCAAAAGCACCATCAATCTAATAATAATGAAAACCAAGGGAGATTTATGTATAACCTTCAACTCCCTCAGCTATGTACTTTCAGAAACATAAGAATGCAAAGAAAACAAAGGCAGCATTGAATGAAGGAAATACAGTAGTACACCCACATTAAACTATCGATTTGGCCAGGGCAACCCTATATTGGTCCCTTCATAGAAAATATTCAAGCATTAATCTCTTTAATTAAACTTTTAAAATCCATGTAAATAGATGGGTTAAAATTAAAGATTTTAGATTACAATTTAAGTAATAACATAGAGTACAATAAACTAAAACAATAACAACGTAACAGCTCTAAAAAGAGTTGGATTGGAATCCTCTTATCTAAATCACACCCAGACCTCCAAAGGAGATTTTAAACATAGATTCCTAAATCCCATTGCAAACCCACTGAAACAGAACCTTTATGGGTACAGATAAGAAGTGTAAGTTTTAGGCCAGTCGCAGTGGCTCAAGCCTATAATCCCAGCACTTTGGGAGGCCACGGCGGGTGGATCACTTGAGGTCAGGAGTTTGAGACCAGCCTGGCCAACATATTAAAGCCCTGTCTCTACTAAAAATACAAAAAGTAGCTGGGCACGGTGCCACAGGCCTGTAATCCCAGCTACTAGGGAGGGTGAGGCAGGAAAATCACTTGAACCTGGGAGGCGAAGGTTGCAGTGAGCTGAGATCACATTACTGTACTCCAGCCTGGGCAACACAGCGAGACTCCATCTCAAAAAAAAAAAAAAATAGTGTTTCTAATAAGTGATAAGTGGTGCTAGGGTGCTAGTAGTCCCAGAACAAGCCTTCGTCAATCCCTGCTCTGGACAGTGATCTTTCAGTTTTTCATTTTATGTTGCGTGCCTTCATTCAAAGTCACCATAACAAGCAATCAAAATGCCAATTCCGATGAAAATAAGTAGAAACCTAATGTGATTCTGTCGATTTTTACTGACTCTGATTGATCAAGATGTTTTTGCTGCCCATTTCCCATTTTACAACTTCAGTGTATTGTAGTAGTTAAGGACATAGATTTAGGAGACCAGTGGCCTGGTTCCAAACCAGGCTCAGTCACTTACTAACTCTGTGACACTGTGAAATTTTCTCTATGCCTCATTTTCCTCAACTGAGAAAAACAGATAATATGAGTATCTATTTTATAATGTTACTGTCACGATTAAATTACTAAATATATACATAAATTGCTATGAACAATTCCTAGCATATAGAAAGCATTCAATAATCTGAGTTATAATTAATATTTTCATTATAGCATTGGATTAGGTATTCAAAGTTGGGGATATACTAGGTTTAGTAAAAAGAAAGATTTAATTTAAAGAAAATAAGGCTATAGAATATTTTCTTTCAAGAAAATAAGGTTATAAAATATTGTAAATTACTATTTCTTTTCACAGATACCAAAATATCCTTCTAGTTTGAGTTTATTACAAACATAAGTGTTCACATGCAAAAATACTGAATGATGAAGTATAGCATATATAAAAATATGCCTTATGTGTGCATATGTAAATATATCTGTAAACACACACACATACACACACACACACACACACACACACACACACACACACGCTTCCACGACCTGCAAAACTGAGCATAGGTTTTTAAAGTCAAGAGAGATTTCAATGGATTTATTTTCATTTTTAATTGTTTCAGTCTAGAAAGTCAGAATTTCTCAAAAGAATTTTTCGCCCCAGTAAATATGCCCCATGAGATATGAATGATAAATGCATTTTATACTGCAGAAGATTTTCTTTCCAAAAACCCAGTTATCAACCACTTAAACAAATTCCTACAAGGAAGAAGAAACACCATGCACACAGTCAAGTTCTGTGTTTCTCGTTTCTGTCATTTAATTGCTCTGTACTTGTATCTGGCTTTACCACAGGAAAGTCTGATGCATGGAATTTGTTCAAAGCTGAGAATAATAGACTCTACTCTTTCCGATTTATCCTATACAGCATCATTTTCTCAGGGAAGAAATGTGCAAAAGTGCTTTGTGGCAAAATATATGGAATGAAGGAAAAAAATGGTAAAAAGAAAACATTCTCCAAAGGAAACAAAAGTGACTGGAGTGAAACCCTCTGTCTGGTAAATTTAACTTTACTTAAAACCCGTGTGTTACCTATTACTTATCATTTTTCAGTGTCTAAAAGTGAACAGGGAAAGAAAACTATTAAGAGGGAATACTTTAAATTTATGTACACATGTCAAAAATTTCTTACGTTGAGATTTGAGGAAACTTACTCCTTCCACACCTCCAGAAAAATGCAGGCTACCTGCCATACTTTTAGATTTTAGAGAAATTTTGTGTTATTCTCCTGTACCCCTTTAAGAATATATACGTTTGTAAACTAAAGGCATAAAATGACAGAAATCATTTCATCTTAGAACTGAAAAGTAAGTGGGAAGCCCTAAAGGGGGCTTGTTTCTCAGTCCCTCAAAAATTAATGTGGAATCTTGGCGTCTCCTTATTTAAATCTACTTCAAGAAACCCTATTATGCTAAAGTGCCTCCTCGGATTTCTAAGTAGCTCCGTCTTCCTCAAAACTAAAGGGCAAGTGGATACCTCCTAAGGTAGCCCAAGTGTCTTGATGAAGGACTTTGTTGAAGAAACGTGAACTGTCCAGACAGAATTCCACGGTAACAGACTGAAGAAATATCAAATGTGACAGGTTCTGAAAAGACATTACATTATTTTAGTCATAAGTGGCATTGTCTATGCCAAGGACTTGGTAGAGTGTGGAGGTAAGAATGGAAACGGGTGCCTAAGAAGAACCTACTAATGTATCACACTAAGGAGACAGTGTTTGGACTCCTGCTGATACAGGAGTTAAAAAGAAATTATTTAGGCAGAGAGTGAGAGTAAGGAAGTCCTTGGTAAGGTTTCCCTTTTAATAAAAGCAGCCCAAAATAATTTCTTTTCTAGCAAAAAACTGCCTGCAAAATCGAGCTGCAAACATAGATAAGCAAGCTGGAAGCTTGCACAGGTGAATGCCAGCATCTGTGACAAGAGGAAAAGGGGCTACTTGGGGACTAGGCATGTTCAAAATGGCAGCTTCATATTCCCTTTTTCTTGCCAACCACGTTTCCAGTGGGGAGCAGACAACATGCCCTCCAGCCAGGCAAAGACTCTATTTCATAACAAGATGAGGGTGGGGTGGTCAGCTTCCCCACCTGCTATGTAAACGTCACACCTTTCTTTGGGCCCTATGTAAATCAGACACCGCCTCCTCAAGCCTGTCTATAAAACCCTGTGCACTCCACCGCTGGCTAGAAGTCCCACTGGGAGGCCCCTCTCTCTCACAGGAAAGGCAGCTGTTCTCCTTTCTCTTTCTTTTGCCTATTAAACCTCCGCTCTTTTTTTTGTTTGTTTGTTTGTTTGTTTGAGACGGAGTCTCACTCTGTCGTCAGGGTGGAGTGCAGTGGTGCAATCTCGGCTCACTGCAACCTCCACCTCCCGGGTTCAAGTGATTCCCCTGCTCAGCCTCCCGAGGAGCTGGGACTAGAGGTAGGTGCCCCCACACCCAGCAATTTTTTTTTTTTCAGTAGAGACAGGGTTTTACCATGTTGGCCAAGATGGTCTCAATCTCCTGACTTCGTGATCCATCCTCCATGGCCTCCCAAAGAGCTGGGATTACAGGCGTCCTGAGCCACCGTGCCCTGCCTAAACCTCCGGCCTTAACCTCACTCCACATGTGTCACTGTCCTTGATTTCCTTGGCATGAGGCAATGAACCTCAGGTATTATGCCAGACAGCTGCGCCATTTCACCGCCACAAAGAAAGGTTTGATGTCCAGCCAGTGCGAACCAAAGAAGAAAGAGCTCCAGCAAAATAACAGGTGTTATCCTTTTCCCCCTAATCTCCATTCTCTTTTCTTACACCCTGGACAAACCAGATGATGGAGTGGGAGGAAGAAGAGGCACATGAAAAAACCATTTACTGCCTGTTCTTGAGCCACAGATCTGACTGGGCAAGAGTGGGAGCTGGAGCCTTGTGCAGAGAAGAAGCATCTTTGAATTAGGTATGACATTAAAAGCTCCCTGTAGTCTGCTGGACTTCCAGTATATTACCTGAAAATAAAATTCTCATAACTGAAAGATACCAAAAGGTTCTGGGATCTTCCCAAGCTGCCATCCTAGGGGAAGGAAGAGAGAGTGGTAGACCATTTTTGATGTCAGTTGAGGGTGAAGGGGGTGAGGGAGGTGAGGGAGTCCTTTCCTACTGTACAACACTGGGTCCAGGCCATTCAATAAACAGGTTACATTTAGAATAAACCTGCATTCACTGAGGGAAACTAAGTTTCTCTCATCTCTGGAACTTTAAGAGCTCAAATCAAAGATCTTTGATATTTTTACTTAGTCTATTATGTAGATATCTTTTTAGATAAATAGGTAAGTAATATCTTGTTACAGCTTTCTCTTATCTGTCTTCTCTGTTTTTAAATACAAATTCAAGTCTAAAGCACTGAGATTATCTGCTCCCTTCTACATCAGCTATATTTGGAGGTGGGACAGAAAAAGAAATTCCAAGCTCATTTTTTTAATAACAGAAAGCAGCAAGTATTCAAACTATTGGCCTTAGAATGTCTTTTGTAATCCTTTAATTCACAGTAAACAAATATTTTGTTTTCACTATTATCCAGAAGAAAATGCAACTCCACCAAAAAAAGTGTCAATAAAATTTATGTATAATAAGATTACATATATTTTTTATAACTTTGAACTGAATTTTTAGTTTTTATCTACCACAGCCAAAGGAAAAAATTATTTTCTACATTAACATTGGACTATGTCTCACCATGTATTGTCAAGGGGTTGAAATCTACTGTCTATATACTCAGACATGCAGAAATATGATTTTCTGTGTTTTAAATTACTTACCTCATCTTGGCTCTCAAGTTCGCCAACTAAATGTATCCTAGTGGCTTTATTTGGAAATAGTCTACTTAGAGTAATCGCTCATTTCCAGATTTTCACTTTCTCTCCAACTCCTTCTTCCCAACATGGGCTCTGGGTACAAGATAAACCTAAATTTCCAATTAGCAAATGGCAGGAAGTGTCTGGCCCTAATTATTTCCTATGGTTGTGGTGACTCATCCCATTTGGTTAGAGCATTGACCTCTTTTCTCACTGTATCTGCCGATGCTGATGCTTTAGCAGATACATCTGCCTGGTCACTGCATAACCTAACGTAGTGACCACAGAGATGTGACTTCTCCTACTTGGTCTGTTTAGAGTTAGGCTCATATGTGCTGCTGATAATCATGGAAATATGCTTTGCCTCTAGTCCTGAAATGCCTCCACACACTGTGGCCTCTTTATACCAAGCTCAGTCTTCTTATGAACCAATGATTCTCTCAGCAGTTTTTTTCCCCATCCTCAACCTCTACTGCATAGTCAAGTTTCTTTGTTATAAGCGATAGAAGCTCATTCTACCTAAATAAGGTGGGGGTGGTGGGTTTGAGAATTATAACAAGATTTTGTGTGTGGCTTGAAGAAACAACAAGAAGGCTATGGAACCAGACTTGAGTCTAAGCTTCCAGAAACATAATCCAAAACTATGCCATAGGATGTCCACTTCTGAGGAGAATGGAGTAGGTGGTACCAGACCCACTGCAGTAGGTCCCACTGCAGCAGGTAGGAGTCTGCTGACAATCAGAGCAGGCTGAGAATCCAGTTTCAATTAGGTAGAGGGATTCTACTGAGGAAAGGACATCAGTGGAACCTTTGAAGTTCACATGGACTGGAATGATGTGTTAGAAACTAGAATAACTCAGAACTCATGATATGATTTTCCCTAAGGGATATTTTTTAGTTCTGGAGTAGCACAAGAGCCTGGTGTTCTAGGCTGGAAACAAAGCTTCCCACAGTCTCATGGTACCAAGAAGACAAGTCCTCTAGAAAGAGGGAGCCTGCTTCCAACACTCCATTGGTTTTCCCCTCAATACCTTTGCCTGATTTTGAAGTGATTGGGAATCAATTACACCCAGAAAACCTGAAAGGTAGAACTGAATCTCCCAGGTATTCAGGATCGAAAAGATGGAGACTTCACAGGCTATCAGTCACAAACCTGGGAGGGAAACATCCCAAGGAACAGAGTCAAACCACAAGTTGGCTGAGTCTTCCTAAAATTGCAACCCAAAACCAACCCAGATGAATAGTGGATTGGATTGAGATAATCAGTTCCTCTCATTATCCGCCTAACAAAGTGAAGGAAGAACCATCTCCGGCAGAATAATATCATCAAATGGACTTTCTGGATTTGAAAAACATATCATCTGAAATTAAGAACTGAGCAGAAGTGCGTAACAGAAAATTAAACACAGAAAAAGGATTAACAAATTCAGACAGGTTAATAGAAAATATGCAACCTGAAGCAGGACGGGGTGCAGGGGGAGAGAAACAGAGAGAGAGCATAAGACACGTGAAACATGGTCAAAAGCTAATATACGTGTAAACTAAAGACAAGAAGGAGTGGAAAGCAGAAGCTATATTTGAAGAGATAATAGCCAAGACTTTTTCCAAAGCCAATAAATAACAGTAACACAGAAATTCAAGAAGCTCAGCAAGCCTCTGGCACTATAAGTACAAAGAAAAACAAACCAAGCCAATGATAGCCAAATTGCTGAAAACCTAAGACAGATAAACAAAGCAATCAGAGAAAAAAAAAAAGACACCCTATCTCCAGAAGAGCAACGGTAAGACTAGCAGCTAACTTTTCAATGCCACTAATGAATCTCGAAGATAATGAAATGGTATCATTAATGCTGAAAGAAAAACATGCTAACCTAGAACTTATTATTTAGCAGAATGATCCTTCAAAAATGAAAACAAAATAAAGCTAAGAGAATATGTCACCAAAAGACCCACACTAAAAGAAATACTATTATGATATTACTATGGGACTCAGAAATGTCAAAGAACTTTTTTTTTCTCAATCCTGGAGTTTGCTAGGAAATCATTCCGTTTTTGGAATGTATGTTACCAAAGCAGGATCTGAGGTTGATTTTGCTCTCAAAAAGTCCATGGGTTCTTTCTAGAGGGCAGAAAAACAAAAAGAATCACACAAGCCAGTTCCCCATTTGGGATCACAGGCATGACTTTCCACAGACAAAAATATTGAGTAATGTCTACTTTTCTTTCATTTTGATAAAATGACCGCAATGAATTTTGTACTTTGTGCATTAGGCACTCAATGAATAATACAGAAGTATGTATTAATCTCTTGGTTTTTAGTCTGGGGCATTGAAAGCAGAAATTAAAGAAATGTCAATATCTATCTTAAATACAGCTTTTTGGAGTTTACAAAGAATTTTTACATACATGATATTATTTAATGCTTATAAACATCTAAATAAATTGTTAATAGTATTAAAATTTTATATATAAAAACACTGAGTCTCCAGTGACTTAAGCAACATATTGAGTTAAGAAGTGTATCTTAAATCAGGTTGGAGAAAATTTGGGGAGGAATAAAGTAAAGCTAAGTCTCAAAGAGATTAAGTACCAAAATCCAAACCCAGATTTCTTTAAAAAAAATTCTCAACTCTGTCTACTATCTAAAACAAGCAAACATCAGAAATAACAAACATATATGTATGTGTATGTCATATGTATGTTATCTCTACATATTTATTTTTATACATAATAAATTTAAATATATTTTAATCACCACATACTTAATAAGTGTACTCTTTCAAGTAGAGAGTAATGATAAAAATAAAACCATCAGAATTAGTTTCTAACTGTCTAGTAATATAAGGCCTTTAGAGTTATGTTAATAATGAGCTTAACATCACAGATTCATTTTAGCTAAAGTACCTAAAACAGTTTTTCCTTAATTTTCAACTTTGAAATGTTTTCAACATGAAAAGTACTGTAACAGACATCTGTGCACCCACAATCAAGATTAAGCAGATATGAACATTTTTCGTATTTCTTCAATTTATTCTCCGTTTATTTTTAAAGAATAAATATGGCCGGGCGCGGTGGCTCACGCCTGTAATCCCAGCACTTTGGGAGGCAGAGGCGGGCGGATCACAAGGTCAGGAGATCGAGACCATCCTGGCTAACACAGCGAAACCCCGTCTCTACTAAAAGTACAAAAAATTAGCCGGGCATGGTGGCGGGCGCCTGTAGTCCCAGCTACTCAGGAGGCTGAGGCAGGAGAATGACGTGAACCTGGCAGGCAGAGCTTGCAGTGAGCCGAGATTGTGCCACTGCTCTCCAGCCTGGGCAACAGAGCAAGACTCTGTCTCAAAAATAAATAAATAAATAAATAAACAAGTACATATTTCCTCCATGATTCCCCTCCTTCCCTCCCCTAAAGTAGCCACTATTCTGAAATCGGAGTGTTATTAACTGGATATAAATGTATCTATGAACAACTTATACTATTGTTTCAGATTTTTTTTAATTATACTTTAAGTTCTAGGGTACGTGTGCACAACGGGCAGGTTTGTTACATATGTATACATGTGCCATGTTGGTGTGCTGCACCCATTAACTCGTCATTTACATTAGGTATACCTCCTAATGCTATCCCTCCCCACTCCCCCCACCCCACGACAGGTCCCGGTGTGTGATGTTCCCCTCCCAGTGTCCAAGTGTTCTCATTGTTCAATTCCCACCTGTGAGTGAGAACATGCAGTGTTTGGTTTTTAGCCCTTGAGATAGTTTGCTGAGAA
This sequence comes from Homo sapiens, assembly GCF_000001405.40. NCBI lineage: Eukaryota > Metazoa > Chordata > Mammalia > Primates > Hominidae > Homo > Homo sapiens. The sequence continues at coordinate 37,206,228 of NC_000013.11, read as the reverse complement.
CGATGGTTTCCAGCTTCATCCCTGTCCCTGCAAAGGACACGAACTCATCCTTTTTTGTGACTGCATAGTATTCCATGGTGTATATGTGCCACATTTTCTTAATCCAGTCTATCATTGATGGACATTTGGGTTGGTTCCAAGTCTTTGCTATTGTGAATAGTGCTGCAATAAACATATGTGTGCATGTGTCTTTATAGCAGCATGATTTATAATCCTTTGGGTATATACCCAGTAATGGGATGGCTGGATCAAATGGTATTTCTAGTTCTAGATCCCTGAGGAATCCCCACACTAACTTCCACAATGGTTGAACCAGTTTACAGTCCCACCAACAGTGTAAATGTGTTCCTATTTCTCCACATCCTCTCCAGCACCTGTTGTTTCCTGACTTTTTAATGATTGCCATTCTAACTGGTGTGAGATGGTATCTCATTGTGGTTTTGATTTGCATTTCTCTGATGGCCAGTGATGGTGAGCGTTTTTTCATGTGTCTGTTGGCTGCATAAATGTCTTCTTTTGAGAAGTGTCTGTTCATATCCTTTGCCCACTTTTTGATGGGATTGTTTGTTTTTTTCTTGGAAATTTGTTTGAGTTCTTTGTAGATTCTGGATATTAGCCCTTTGTCAGATGAGTAGGTTGCGAAAATTTTCTCCCATTTTGTAGGTTGCCTGTTCACTCTGATGGTAGTTTCTTTTGCTGTGCAGAAGCTCTTTAGTTTAATTAGATCTCATTTGTCAATTTTGGTTTTTGTTGCCATTGCTTTTGGTGTTTTAGACATGAAGTCCTTGCCCATGCCTATGTCCTGAATGGTATTGCCTAGGTTTTCTTCTAGGGTTTTTATGGTTTTAGGATGTTTTTAAATTTCATATATATATGTATATATATATAATGTGTTGTACCAAACAAACCTTTTGCAACTTGCTTAAAAATAAAACAATATTTTGGGGTATTTATCCATGCTGAATGCATGTAGACTGATTGAATTTGTTTTATTTTATATAAAGTTTTCCATTGTGAAGATGAACCATAGTTTATCAGTTCATAGACTAATGGATAGTTAGATGTTTTCCATTTATTACTATTACAAAAGCACCTACGATGAACATTCTTGTGCATTTCTCCTTCTGCAATGTCCAAGACCCTCTAGGATAGACATAATTGGGGTAGATGCACTCGATGATTGTAGGAAGTGTCCACCTTCAGTTTTATTAGATATTCATTAATGGCTCTCCAACTGTGTTGTGACAATTTATACTCTCAATGGTAATGTTTCACTGAACTCATTTCCTATAATGTTACAAAATTTAGAAATACGTGACACTATATATTTGCCAATATGAAGGATATGAAAGATACTCTCATTATTGTTATAATTTTAATAGGCTTATTTGTTATTTGGGTTTTATCTTCTGAAAATTACAGATATACATTCTTTGCCCATTTTTCTGTTGGACTATTAGTCTTTTTCCTCTCGATATGTAGCAATTATTTATGTAGTCCAGAAAGCAATTGTTTTTTATTTATACAGATGTTTCTCCACTTACAATGGGGTGACATCAAGATAAACTTATTATAAAGTTGAGAACTTTTGAGTCAAACCATCTTAAGTCAGAACTGTATTGTAAAAATCTTCTCCCTGGTAAAGCATATTATTAATTTAATTTGATATCCTTACCAGTCCTGGACTGGTAAGGATACCTTTACCTTCACCACCAAACACTGAATACTACAACTTTCAGTGGGGCAAATTCTCTACCAGGAATACAATTTTATTCCAGCTGTGAATGCCACCAGACTTGATGCCCATTCTGTATTGTGAACTTGACATTGCAAACACTTCTACTGTCACTGTGATGAGAAAGAATTCACTATTGCTTCTTTTGGCTTTTCATCTCAAAGTCTTTCACAAGTGGCTGTGATAGTAGAGCTACAAGGGAAAGTGAGTGTTTAACAATCTCAGCTTTTATTAGAGAGATAGTGTCTATACCATTCAAAAAGAGAAACCTCTTTGAAGCGGAAAATAGTTCAAATGCTGTGTGGACTAAATGACAAATGTCTTCCTCATTGCTTTACTGGCATTAATACTCAAAAGCATCCATAAGCAATTTAAAACTGTTTCTAAAGCCGGGCGTGGTGGCTCATGCGTATAATCTCAGCACTTTGGGAGGCCGAGGTAGGTGGATCACTTGAGGTCGGGAGTTCAAGACCAGCCTGGCCAACCTGGTGAAACCCCATCTCTGCTAATAATATAAAAATTAGATGGGCATGGTAGCAGGTGCACCTTTAATCCCAGCTACTTGGGAGGCTGAGGCACAAGAATCGCTTGAACCTGGGTAGCAGAGGTTGCAGGGAGCAGAGATCATGCCACTGCATTCCAGCCTGGATGACAGGGAGACTCCATCTCAAAAAATAAAAATAAAAATAAACTTTCTAGCCCTGCTTTCTTGTAGCTTTTGACCTAGAATCATTTTTCCTTTAATTAAGACAAAGGTAAGTGAAATAATTTATCTATGGTTACAATGAACCTTCCAAAGAAAAGACATGAGGTTAGCTTTCATAGTCCACCAAAATGAGTTACAGATTATTTATGAATTTATAACCAAAGTAAATTTCTCAAAGTACACTGAGAACAAAACAAAGCACATAGTTCCCATCCTTTCTACAAATAAAACACATTAATAGATTCCTTCTTAGAATTCACCACCTGCTAATCATATTTTTGCCTTTCAGACTCACAAAGTCCCATAAAGAAAATAGAATATCTATTTTTTTTAAAAAAGGCTTTGGTTAAATATAAACCTACATTTAACTTTTGCTTTAACTTTTATTGGCTTTAAACTTGGAAAAATTCCTTAATCTCTCCAGTCTTTGGTTTTTCATATTAAAATAGGAATATAAATACTTATATTGCATGTTGTTCTAAAGATTCAAGATTACATATATTAAAATGCCTATTATGTAAGAATACTTTTTAAATGTAGTCAACATTAGGGAGATGAAATATTTTCAGTGAAGTTGGGAAATCTACATTTTTTTCCTTAGGGAATACAGGAAAATACAGAAGGTTAATAAATTTTGCCATGGAATTAAGAGGCCTAGGAATAAACACAAATAGGGAGGATTCTCTGCTTTCAGTGTTTTCACAGACAATATGGAACCAAGTGACAATCTTGTGGATTCCGTTTTTAGGTAGAGAAACTAAGACAAGAAAATAAATGACTTTCTTGATCTCTTATAGATAGACAAGAAAGACTAGAACTTTTTAAATATTTCTTTCAGTCTCATAAGTAAACATATAAAACATATTTGGGCTTTATTTCAAATATTTATTCACCTCTGTTCTAGAATCATCAGGATCTACTCTCATAACCATATTTTCTTGGCGAAAAGTGGGCTACTTAAGAGTAAGTATTTTAAATATAAAATCAGCTTCCATATATATGCCCACTCCACCAAGTACTTCCAACTGAAGACTGTTATACTTGAATCTCAGCTATGAGATTAAAATATGCAGAAAACTCAAAATATTTAAGAATTGACTTTCATCTGCAAGTCATTATTTGTAAATGGGAGCATAAGTGTGAAAATTGGCATATCAATTTAAATAACTATATTATGTTTACTCAGATGCCAAAATACTATCTCTAATTTTCAGTTTAAGCATCAGGAAGCAAGAGTACAGTGTATTTTTTCTGGGATAACATTATGAATCACTTGGTCAGTGGAAAATGGAAAGGAATTTTTCAAAAAACAAAAGTAAGAAAGTATGTAAACAAAATTCCAAAGTTCCTAAACTTGCCACATCCTTTATTTGTACTGGTATATCATTTGTAAATTACACTAGCGAGGAAACAAGGGGCAGTAGTTAAAGGACCTGAACAATTGTCTTGGTTTCTAACACTCTCTCTTTTAGACATGTATTGGGCGATATAGGTCATATCCAGGTATTTTCTTAAAGCACCAGAAATAGGGTGTTATTTTACAAGATCACGGTACCCATCTGTATTATTAAAAACCTATCAGCAAATATTTTTCATACATTGAAATTTCCCTAACGTAGATAATATCCTGAAATTGGCTATATAATAATAGCATGAGCCATATTCTCATAATTTCAGTAAATATTAAACAAAATAACCCCACAATATATAATTATAAGTTGTGAGTGAATTGCAATAGAGTAACATAAAGGGTTTGGTAGTCTCTTTGTGAAGTAATAGTTAAACTAGACCAAAATTGTTAGCATAATTTACCCAGTTTGAGGGATGGGGGGAATTTCACATAGAAATAACAATATATGCAAGGGCCCAAGGAGAAGAAAGAATTCAGCATATTTAAGAACCAGAAAAGCAGCTAGTATTGGCAGAAGCATATTGAATGTACCGAAATTGAAGCCACCCTCACAGGGTTCACAAGAATTCCAGACAGAAATGTAGTTATAATTAAGCATTAATCAAGCTGCACTTTGACCCACTTGCTTTTAACCAAACATAGTACCAGATACTGACCATGTGCATCCCCATTGTTCTATAGATAGGATTTCCACCTTAGAATTATATGACTTCTGTTTAAGATTACTTAAAATGCTTTCCAGTGAAACAGCTGGCACCAACCAGCTTGAAGACTCTCACATAGGAACAGAATTAACATGAGAACACAGACTCTTCATCTCCCTGCCTCATGACTCTACCCTGCATTCTTTAGCCAATCAATGATCTCCACACTTCAGCCCATTTCAAAACTCTTAAAAACCTTTCCCCAAACTTCTTAGGGAGATAGATTTCAGGTTTCTTCCCATCTCCTCACTGAACAGCCCTACGATTACATCTCTTTCTGTACTGCAACCCAGTGTCTCAACGTACTGACTTGCCATGTGCATTGAGCAACAGACCTATTACAGTTACAAAGTTGGCACAAGATAAAGTTTGAAAGCAAATCAAGGGTCAGATTTTCTATGACCTTGTAAGCCGAGACAGGAAGCTTTTATTTTATCCTAATTAAATATATGATCATTAAAGTTTGTGAGCAGGAAATAGCATGATCTGATTTGCATTTTTAAAACGTTCTGTGTGCTGCATGACGAATAGGTGGAAAGCAATAAAAGTAGAAACTGAGAGACAAGTAAATATGCTACTGCAAGAAAAAAGAGAAGACTCAAATTCCTAAATTCAGAAATAAAAGAGGAGCCATTACAACAAATCTAACAGGAATTTAAAAATATATGGGAATACTATGAAGAATTATATTCTAACAAATTAGTAACTTAAATGAAGTGAATAAATTCTAGAAAAACATAAACTACCAAAACTAACTCAAGAAGAAATAGCAAATCTGAATAAAGCTATAACAAGTAAAGAGGTTAATTAATAATTTAAAAGTTTCCAACAAAGTAAAGCCTAGATCCAAATGGCTTCACTATTAAATTCTACCATTTAAAGAAAAATTAACTGATAACTTCAGCAAAGTTTCAGGATACAAAATCAATGTACAAAAATCAGTAGCATTCCTATACACCAACAACATCCAAGCTGAGAGCCAAATCAGGAACACAACCCCATTCACAATAGCTACAAAAGAATAAAATACCTCGGAATACAGTTAACCAAGGAGGTGAAAGAGAATTACAGAACACTGCACAAAAATATTAAAAATGACACAAACAAATTTTTAAAAAATTCCATGCCCATGGATAAGAATAGTCAATATTGTTAAAATAACCATACTGTACAAAGCAATTTGTACATTCAATGCCATTCCTGTCAAACCACCAAAGACATTCTTCAAGGAATTAGAAAAAAACTATTTTAAAATTCATATGGAACTGAAAAAGAGCCCAAATAGCTAAAGCAATAGTAAGCAAAAGGAACAAAGCTGGAGGCCTCACATTACCCAACTTCGAACTATACTACAAGGCTTCAGTAACCAGAACAGCATGGTACTGGTACCAAAATAGACACATGGACCAATGGAACAGAATAGAGAGCCCAGAAATAATGCCGCATACCTACAACCATCAGATCATTGACAAAACCAACAAAAATAAGCAATGGGGAAAGAACTCTCTATTCCATAAATGGTGCTGGGATAACTGGCTAGCCATATACAAAAGACTGAAACTGAATCCCTTCCTTACACAAAAATCAAGATGAATTAAAGACTTAAATATAAAACCTAAAACTATAAAACCCCTGGAAGATAACCTAGGAAATATGATCCTGGACCTAGGCCCTGGCAAATATTTTATGTTGAAGACTCCAAAAGCAATTGCAACAAAAACAAAAATTGACAAATGGGACCTGATTAAACTAAAGAGCTTCTGCACAGCAAAAGAAACTATCAACAAAGTAAATAGACAACCTACGGAATGGGAGAATGTATTTACAAACTATGCCTCTGACAAAGGTCAAATATCCAGAATCTATAAGGAACTTAAACATATTTATAAGCAAAAAACAAGCAATTCCATTAAAAAGTGGGCAAAGTACATGCACAGACACTTTTCAAAAGAAGACATACATGGAGCCAACAAGCATATGAAAAAAATGCTCAGCATCACTAATTGTATTAGTCTGTTCTCGCACTGCTATAAAGAAATACCTAAAACTGGGTAATTTATAAAGAAAAGAGGTTTAATTGGCTTTTTTTGCAGAAATTTATATTCTTGTTCCAAACAAAAATTCAAAGTTCAGGAATAAAGTGTGTCATTACAATTTCAGCAAGGGAAAAATTAAGCAATGGAGAAAGAACTCTCTATTCAACAAATGGTACTGGGACAAATGTACATATTCAGAAGAAGGAAGTTAAACCCAGTTTCATATTAAAACAAAAATTAACTGAAAATTGATTATAAGCCTAAATGTAAGCACTAAAATAAAGCTTTTACAGGAAAATATAAGAATATATATTCATGACATTGGGTTAGGCAATGATTTTTAGACATGACACCAAGAGCCAAAATGACCAAAAAAAAAATTAGATAAATTGAACTACATTACAATTTTAAAAGTTTTGTACAATAAACAAAACCATCAAGAGAGCAAAAAGAGAACTAACAGAATGGGAGAAAATATTTGCAAGTTATATATCTAATAAGGGACTTATATCCAGAATTTACAAAGAACTCTTACAACTCAATAATAAAAAGATTAGTTTGTTGTTGTTGTTTTTCTAAGATAGTGAAGCAGAGGCTTTTAGCATGCCTCAGCTACTTGGAAATACCAAAATAGTGCATAAACCATCAGCTCTGTGAGCTTCAATTGAAGAAAGAAAACAGGAATCCATCAGAAGAACAAAGGACACCCCAGATCCCAGGGAGGAGAATGCAAGCAAACAGCCCTTGGGACGACATCTCACTGATAAAAGTGAATGAAACCCCAGGAGGTGCAGAGTCTCTGTGACTCACCTTTCCACTGGGGATCCTTGTAACCCAGGCCAAGGAGGAGCACTTTGTTTCCCCCAGTCCCTGGAGCTAACTTGAGGAGAGGCTTGGTGACACTGAGAGGGAAAGACAGGAAAAGCTGCTGGCATTTTTTCAGACCCAGGACCAAGGGCAGGATGCCATTTTTACTCCAGGTTCATACAAAGTCATTCTTTGGTGACCTGGCAGCCTAGCCACACAGGCATTTTAGTCTTGGGCCAAAATTTGGGGCATTTCCTTTGGAGTGGGATAGGGGTCTCCGCAGTGAGAATTGAGTAGTGAGTGTGGAAAACACCCCCAGAAGTATGTGCTGAAATTGTGCTCTCCCCAGTCATAGGTCTGCAGTGGGAGGAGAGCTACTGCAGCTACAGTTTCTACTGGGTGATGAGACTTGCAGCCAGGGCCAGTTTGTCAATCTGGAATGGATCTTTGTGTGTCATAGCTGGATGCCCAGCCTGCTTTCCCGAGATAGTGGTGCAGGGGGCCCTCTTTGCTCACCCCCAGGCATATCTCCAGTAATTTCATAGCATCCACTCACCTGGATTAACAGCCTGAGTCCTCCTTTCCTGAGCAGAGACCTTGGTGTAATAGGGCCCTCTCCACTCCACCCCCAGGCATATCTTCAGGCATTTGGAGCACTTCTTATCCTGAGATGTCCCACCCTTTCTATGCAGAGATCTAGTGCAGTCTCCACACTCCACGCCCACGCAGGTCTCCAGTCATCCAGAGTGCCCACTCTCTTGGATTAGTTTAGGCCACTCCCCACTACCATGCATAGAACTCGGAGCAAAGGTTTACCCCACTCCATGCCTAGGCACACCCCTGGGCACTTGGTGGCCATGTGGACTTTCCTCAGCACTGGTGCTTCTGCCTGCCATTGAGGGTCCTGTAGGTAGGCTTGGCCAGTCTGGCCCCACCCATCTTGGTACCCTACACTGGGGCTGAGCAGGGAGCTTAGACCACTGTGCACTCCTTAGAACAGCCCATTGCCTGAGGACAGAGAGCTTCCCCTAGTAAACAAGGATCAAGTATATACCCAGCCATATTTGCCACAGCTGGCTCTTACTGGTGCCGTCTACTGGATTATAGGTCAAACCATGGACCCCAATACAAAACCTGCCAAAAGAAGTGCATAGGGCTATAGAAGCAAAGTCAAAAGATCCTATCCGGCATTCTCTACAATCACACCCTCTAGAGGGGGAAAAAGAGAAAGAAAAAATGATGATAATAATATTATAGAGAAAGAAAGGAAGGAAAAAACATCCTATATACAAGAAAATAATTACAAATATTCAAAGTGTGAGGCATATCTCCAGATGAGAGGGAGCCACTGCAAGAATTCTGGCATCATTAAAAAAAAAAAATATATATATATATATATATGACTATTGTTGATACCGCCAAAGGATCACAGTAGCTCTCCAACATGGTCCCTAACCAAAATGGAAACTCAGAAATGATAGATAAAAAATTCAAAACATGGATTGCAAAGAAGCTCAATGAGATTTGTGACAAGGATTAAAATCAAAACAAAGAAACTTCCAAAGCAATCCAGGAAGTGAAGGAAGAGATAAACATCTTAAAAACAAATCTGAGCTTCTAGAATTGAAATTTTCACTTCAGGAATTTCAAAATACAATTGAAATCTTTATCAATAGACAAGACAGAGCAGAAAGAAGATTTTCAGAGCGTGAAGATCAATCTTTCAAACTAAGGCAGTCAGACAAAAATTTTTTTAAAGAATTTTTTTTTAAATGAACAAAGTCTTCAAGAAATATGTGATTATATAGAGTGGCCAAACCTATGAATTATTGGCATTCCTGAGACAGAAGAAAAAGTAAACAACTTGGAAATATATTTGAGGAATAATTCACAAAAATTTTCCTAACCTTGCTACAGATATAGAAATTCAGATACAAGAAATCCAAAAAATACCTGTGAGATACTATACAAAACAGACATCATCAGGGCATATAGTCATGACACTTTCCAAGGTCAAAACTAAAGAAAAAATTTTAAAGGCAGCTAGAGAAAAAGGTCAGCTCATGTACAAAGGGAACCTTATCAGGTTAACAGCAGACTTCTCAACAAAAACCTTATAAGCCAGGAGAGACTAGGGGCCTATTTTTCAGCATTCTTAAAGAAAAAAAGAATGAAACTGGACTCCTACCTTTCACCATATACAAAAATTAACTCAAAGCGGATTAATAATTTAAATGTAAGACCTCAATCTATAAGAATCCTAGAAAACCTAGGAAATGCCATTCTGAACATCAAACTTGGAAAAGGATTTATAACTAAGTCCTCAAAAGCAATTGCAACAAAAATAAAAATAGGTAAGTAGGACCTAAATAAACTAAAGAGCTTCTACACAGAAAAAGAAACTATACACAGAGTAAAAAGACAACCTACAGAATGGGAGAATGTATTTGCAAAATATGTATCTGACAAAGGTCTAATATCCAGAGTCTATAGGGAATTCAAACAATTCAACAAGCAAAGAAAACAAATAACTTCATTGAAAAGTAGGCAAAAGACAGCCAGGTGTGGTGGCTCACACCTGTAATCCTAGCACTTTGGGAGGCCAAAGCAGGCGGATCACCTGAGATCAGGAGTTCGAGACCAGCCTGACCAACATGGAGAAACCCTGTCTCTACTAAAAATACAAAAAATTAGCTGGGCGTGATGGCACATGCCTGTAATCCCAGCTACTCAGGAGCTGAGGTAGGAGAATCTCTTGAACCCAGGAGGCGGAGGTTGAGGTGAGCCGAGATCGCGCCATTGCACCCCAGCCTGGGCAACAAGAGCGAAACTCTGTCTCAAAAAAAAAAAAAAAAAAAAAGGAGGCAAAGGACATGAACAGACACTTCAGAAAAGAAGACATACATGCAGCCAACAAATATATGAAAAACACTCTACATCACTAATCATCAGAGAAATGCAAATCAAAACCACAATTACATACCATCTCACACCAGTCAGAATGGCTATTACTAAAAAGTCGAAAAATAACATATGCTGACGAGAGTGGGAAAGCTTAGACATTGTTGATGGGAATATATTAATAGATTATTTTGGCCACTGTAGAAAGCAGTTTGAAGATTTCTCAAAGAACTTAAAACAGCACTGCTATTCAACCTAGAAATCCCATTACTAAGTATATATCCAAAGAAAAATAATTCATTCTACCAAAAAGACACACATACTCATATGGTAACCACAACACTATACACAATGGCAAAGACATGGAATCAACCTAGGTGCCCATCAATGGTGGATTTGATAAAGAAAACGTGGTACATATACACCATGAAATACTACAGAGCCACAAAAAGGAACAAAATCATGTCCATTGCAATAACATGGATCCACCTGGAGGCCATTATCCTGAGTGAATTAATGCAGGAACAGAAAACCAAATACTGTATGTTCTCATTTATAAGTGGGATCCAAACATTGGGTACATGTGGACATAAAGATGGCAACAATAGACGCTGGGGATTCCTGGAGGGGATGGAGTTCGAAGGGAGGAAGGGCTAAAAACCTATCTATAAGGTACTTTGCTCACTACCTGGGTGACAGGACCATTCATACCTCAAACCTCAGCATCACACAATATACCCATGTAACAAACCTGTACATATACCCCTGAGTCTAAAATAAAAGTTGAAATTATTAAAATAATAAGACTAATAATCCAGTTTAAAATGAGCAAAGGATTTGAACAGACACTTCTCCAAAGAAGATACGCAAATGCACATAAAACAAGCACACGAAAAGATGTTCAGCATCACTAGTTATTAGGGAAGTGCAAATCAAACCATAAGAGGTTTTACAATTTATCTTCATGATTTATCTTCATTACCCTTCAATGATATATACTCAAAAAGACAGACAACAACAAGTGCCAGTAAAGAGGTAAAGAAATTGGAACGCTCATTCATTGTTGTTGGGAAGAGAAAGCCAGTGAAGACTCTTTTGAACAGAGTTTGGCAGCTTGTCAGAAAGGTTAAACATAAAAAGATTACCATATTACCCACCAATTTTCTTCCTTGGTATATATCCAAGATAAATAAAAATATGTGTACACAATAATGTGTCACAAATGTTCATAGCAGCATGATTCAAAAGTGGAAGCAATCCCAAATGTCCAAGTGATTCACAGATAAAAAGAATGTGTTATATTCTTACAATGGAATATTATTTAGCTATATAAGGTAGTGAATTACTGACACAAGCTACAACATGATGACCCTTGAAAATGTTATGCCAAGTGAAAGAAGCCAGTCACGAAAGACCACACTTTATATGATTCCATTTATATGGAATGAGCAGGATAGGCAAATCTACACAGACAAAATAGAAAGTAGATTAGAAGTTGCCTAGAGCTGGGAGAGGATGTAGCTATGGAAAGAGGGGATTGACTGTTAATGCATAAAGAGCTTCTTCTCAAGGTGATGAAAATATTCTAAACTTAGATCTTGGTGATGGTCGCACAATGTTGTGAATATATTGAAACCCACTGAATTGTGCACTTTGAATGGGTGAATTTAATGGGGTGTGAATTGTATCTCAATAAAGAATTTTAAAAACCATCAAAGGAGTAAGTTCTAATGTTCAATAGCAGGGTAGGGTGACTATAATTAACAACCATATATTGTGTATTTCAAAATAGCTACTGGAGACATTCCCAACACATAGAAACAACAAATGATAAAAGTAATGGATAACCTAAATATCCCGATTGATCATTACACATTCTATGCATAGAACAAAATATCACATGTATCCCATCAATATATACAAACATTATGTATTGGTAAATAAATAAATAAGATTTTAAAAACCAAAAAAAGAAAAGAAAAGAACAAGAATTCACTGCACTGCAGACAGTGGAGTGGTAAACCAGAGCAGTGTCAATGGGTATGGGGAAAAGTGTATACAAGTGATAGAGCTGATGTGAAAGAGGTGGATTAGAGGAGATGACTTTCTTCTACTGAAATGATCAACCAGGTATATAGAAGTGTCGTGTGCTAAGCTCCCTCTATGGCCTCATTTTTGCTTTTGCTTTTGCCACCCCAGTGAATCCTGGTCTTTCATTCTTCCATCCCCCATGCCCTTTTCCATCTTGGACCCCTCACCAGGTCCTCTGCCTGGACTTCTTTGCCTTTGCTGTCCTTCACCTCTTTTTTAGGTAATTCTCAGCCACCACATGCCTGGGTCCCCTGACAATTTCTGTCTAAGCCAGGGTCCCTCATTCTATTTTCTCTTACTATATCTCCAGGAAATAGCACAGCTTGATACACAGAGAACTTTTAATGTTTGTTGAATAAATAGTTAAGTGAATGAATGCTGCATAATTCCAGCTCTGATTGTTCTGATTTGTTGTTGTATTCTTGAAAATCAAGGAAAGTATGCAAGGGCATCTGCTTTTAAGTTACTGATATAGCTGAGCCAAATGTAAGATTTGAAGTATGCTTTTATCTCCTAAATTCAAGTCTTTCTGTAAATGGCCAAAGGGAAACTTCACTCACGCCTCCAAACATGCAGAGGACAGCACATAGCTGCAGAACCTGATTTCCACTGCCTGGTTCTCATCTTCACTCAGTTCCTCAGAAATTGGGTGTTTTGCTTTGAGGAAAAAAAGTTGGCAAGAGCAGTGAGATTCGTGTCTCCATGCCTGTAAGAATCAGTCATCCCCTAGGGTTTCTGGTGGAAGGGAGGTCTTCCCAAATGATTTGTGTTCCCAACAGGGAGCCTGCCTCTGCAGGACATGAAGTTAGTTCTAACACAGTATCAACTGCACCACTAGACATCCATTCTGACATTTTACAAAAAAGCAAAGACAGAATCACAGCACAGAAATTTCTGCCATGTTGAAAGGGCTTTTCAAGACTAAAGCATCTGTGATTCTGCTGATGAATCAGATCACACTTCCTCCCAACTATTTCACCTTTTGTATCTCTCTACCCTTGTGTTGAGATGGGAGGGTGGAAGAGGCAGATATGAGAGTCTGAAGTACATCATACTGTCAATATAACAAGATATAAATAAATCAGATATAAAGAACTATAAACTATGTCTGAGGCTAGATTTTTCTTCTGTGCTTTCATTAGATAGTGTCTGTTGACTTATGTATGGACTTTTAATTTTATAATATTGTCATTTTTCTATATTATGAGGCTTGACTTGTCTCAGAGGGAGGAGGAACTATAAACACCAATTCCCCACTGCAAAGGCAGAGTATATCAACCAAACTCTTTTTAGGGAGACAGTGAAGTTATTTCCCAAACATCAAATCATGCTACTATTTACTTATATTTCATATCAATACAAGTTAACTGTAATAATTGACATAATGACCTATGACAATCCTCTAGTGTATCCCTGACTTGGTGAAGCAGCAGAGCCTCCTTCTCCAATTGAGTTGTCCCTGGAGTATCCTCCCACTCCCAGTCTTTTTGCTTGTTATGAGTTGAGAGAGATGATATGTGAGAGACATGAGAGTCTGGAGTACATCATACCCAAAAACCATCTGATATGTGTGCCAAAACTGGGAGAAAAAATCCATAGTAAGTCCTGAGCTTTGGGTCTCAATATTAATTCAAGGTTCCTGTTCAGGCCTAGGAGGCGTCAGGTGATCAGATTCCAAATGTATCTGCCCTTACTTACACTCTGCTCCTGCCCTACTAACCCCAAAACATCTAGCAATAGACCCAACTTAAGTAAAGAAGAGTACAATAAAAGACAGATCTATTTTAGTCTTGTCCATTATTTACAGGCTGGCAGAAAGTTAAGTATATGCATCAATTCACCTTTCCCAGCTCCCTCCTCTCCCCATGCAATATTATTCCCTTCTTCATGTAGGTTCTCACAGGTTTTTGTCTCCATTATGGTACTGATCACATCTCAGTGAGGCTGGCTACCTCTGATTTTGTCTCTTTCTATGCTATGATTCTTTAAAAGATAGGAAATAGATATTATTTATCTTAGTACTGTCAAGGCTTAGCATATAGTAAATACACAATAGATGGTTTCAGAATAGGTGAATAAGTTAAACTAGCTCTTTCAACCTAGGAGCAATTTAGTAAATTACTAAAGCGTTTCATTCTAAACCAGAGAGCTGGCATCAGACATCATGTTAGAGTTTCTCCCTTGACTCTACTAGAAATGTATCTTAGCCAAATCTCTACTATGATATTGACATCTTTATGAGATACCAGGGTTCAAACCAATCAAATAGGCAATCTTTATTTCAATGTACGGTGTCTAGTTACAAATCTCTGCCTTTCTACTCTGGTGAGATAGCCTGGACTGTGTGGTAGTCTGATGTCTAACTCTTCTGTACTCTCTTTCAACCTGCACCAAAGCCGGTCTCTAGTAGACATATTTATCCAACACAGCAAATATCTGTGGAGTATTTTCCAAGTAGAAGATTCTCTATTGGATGTCAGGCCCATCTTAAACCTTTGCCCATGGTAGTCAACCTGGAGTTCTTCAGCTCTCCAAAGATGAAGTCCTTCTTCAGTCAAAGACATACTTGGCCCTTGATTTCTTTTTTATGAACAGAAATAAGAAATAAGTAGGACAATAATCTCTACTCTACCTAGACATCTTTCTTAGTTTTGTGACCTGTTTTTATTCCTACCACCAAATGTCCCATCCCCTGGGCTTGGGAATAAGCATAATTATTTCTCTCCAACACAACCTTCTCCTACCTGAGGTGTAATGAAAGGCTAATGGCACAGACTCAAACAAAGCCAGAGGCAATGCCACAGCAATGGTTTAGAAATGTATTAAAGATTTTAAATATCTGGTTTCTAATGATATCGTTTATAATGATGCCACCTGATAAAGTCATTTCCCTGGAGAGAGAAACTAGAAGGAAAGAAGAAAGATATTAATACTCATTACTAGACTAAGCCAGGAAGTAAAATAAATTGCCATTTTTGTCTTCTCCCAAAATTTTCTGCAAAAACAAGTTGACTTTTTTTCTTACCAATTAGTAGCTACTTTGAGCAGAGAAGAAATGGCTATCTTACATATTAGCCTGAATAAGAGCAATAAGACCTACTTACCCCATCCTCTTTGCACTCCCCTGACCTACATATTTTTTTCTTTCATTCTCTGTCCTCAAAATCCTTTGGGGAATGATAATTTGATGCTCCCTGCCTTAAATGTGATACTCCACTAATTATTTCTTTAAAACTTTTATTTTAGATTCAGGGGTACATGTGCAGGTCTGTTAATATAGGCAAACTCATGTCATGGGGGTTTGGTGTAAAGATCATTTTGTTTCCCCGGTACTAAGCATAGTACCTGGTAGTTATATTTCCTGACCCTCACCCTCCTCCCTACCTCCTACCTCAAAAATGCTGCAGTGTCTGTTGTTCCCCTCTTTGTGCCCATTGGTTCACATTATTTAGCTCCCACTTATAAGTGAGGTATTTCATTTTCTGTTCTTGTGCTAGTTTGCTAAGGATAATGGACTCTAGCTCCATCCATGTTCCTGCAAAGGACATGATATCATTCTTTTTCATGGCTGCATAGTATTCCATGGTGTATATGTATCACATTTGCTTTATTCAATCTGTAATTGATGGGCATTTAGGTTGATTCTATGTCTTTGCTATTGTGAATAGTGCTGCAATGAACATTCACGTGTGTGTGTCTTTATGGTAGAATGATTTATATTCCTTTGAGAATCTTTTTTTTTCCTAATCCTGTGAAGAATGTCATTGTTAGTATGATAAGAATAGCATTGAATCTGTATGGCAATTTTCACAGTATTAATTCTTCCTATCTATGAGCAAGTTATGTCTTTCCATTTGTTTGTGTATCTCTGATTTCTTCCAGCAGTGTTTTGTAATTTTCATTGAAGAGATGTTTTATCCCCCTAGTTAGTTGTATTCCTAGGTATTTCTTCATGGCAATTGTGAATGGGATTGAATTCCTGATTTGGCTCCCAGCTTGCATGTTGTTGGGGTATAGGGATGCTACTGGGTTTTGTACATTTATTTTGTATCCTACAACTTTGCTGAAGTTGTTTATCAGCTCAGGGAGCTTTGGAGCAGAGACTATGAGGTTTTCTAGATATGAAATCATGTCATCTGCAAACAGGAATAGTTTGACTTCCTCTCTTTCTATTTGGATGTCATTTATTTATTCCTCTTTCCTGATTGATCTGGCCATAGCTTCCAATACTATGTTGAATAGGAGTGGTGAAAGAGGCAGCAGATTTTCAAGGGGAATGCTTCTAGGTTTTGCTCATCCAGTATGATGCTGGCTGTGGGTTTGTCATAGATGGCTCTTATTATTTTGAAGTGTGTTTTTTCAATGCTTAGTTTATTGGGGGTTTTTAACCTGAAAGGATGTTGTATTTTATTGAAAAAATTTTCTGCATCTATTGAGATAATTGTGTGATTTTATTTTATTTTATTTTGTTTTATTTTGAGACAGAGTCTCACTCTGTCACCCAGGCTGGAGTGCAGTGGCTCAATCTCAGCTCACTGC
This sequence comes from Homo sapiens, assembly GCF_000001405.40. Classification (NCBI taxonomy): domain Eukaryota; kingdom Metazoa; phylum Chordata; class Mammalia; order Primates; family Hominidae; genus Homo; species Homo sapiens. The sequence goes on along the minus strand of NC_000013.11, from coordinate 37,189,298 downwards.
AGCTTCTACCTCCCAGGTTCAAGCGACTCTCGTGCCTCAGCTTCCCAAGTAGCTGGGATTACAGGTGTGCACCACTACACCCACCTAATTTTTGTATTTTTTAGTAGAGACAGGGTTTCTCCATGTTGGCCAGGCTAGTCTTGAACTCCTGACTTCAGGTAATCTGCCAGCCTTGGCCTCCCAAAATGTTGGGATTGTAGGCATGAGCCACCGCACCCAGCCCTCATGAGATTTTTGTCTTTACTTTTGTTTAGGTGATGAATCACATTTATTGATTTGTATATGTTGAACCAACCTTGCATCCAAAGGATAAAGCTTACTTGATCATGGTGGATTAGCTTTTTGATGTGCTGCTGGATTCAGTTTGCCAGTATTTTGTTGAGGATTTTTACATCTATGTTCATCAAGGTTATTGGCCTGAAGTTTTTGTTGCTATTGTTTTTGTTGTTGTGGTGTCTCAGCCAGGTTTGGTATTAGAATGATGCAGAACTCATAGAATGAGTTTGGGAGGAGTCCCTTCTCCTCAATTTTTTTATAATTGTATCTGTAGGAATACTACCAGCTCTCTTTGTACAGCTGGTAAAATTCAGCTGTTAATTTGTCTTGTCCTAGGCTTCTTTTTGGTTTCTAGGCTATTTATTACTGATTCAATTTCAGAGCTTGTTATTGGTCTGTTCAAGAATTCACTTTTTCCTGGTTCAATCTTGGGAGGATGTATGTGTCCAGGAATTTATTAATTTCCTCTAGATGTTCTAGTTTGTGTGCATAGAGGTGTTCATAGTAGTCTCTGATGAGTATTTGTATTTCTGTGGGGTCAGTTGTAATGTCCCCTTTTGTCATTTCTAATTGCGTTTATTTGGATTTTCTCTGTTTTCTTCAATATTCTAGCTAGAAGTCCATCTATCTTATTAATTTTTTTCAAATAATCAACTCCTGAATTTGTTGATCTTTTGTATGGTGTTTTAGAGCTCAACTCCTTCAGTTGAGCTCTAATTTTGGTTATTTCCTGTCTTCTACTGGTTTTGGGGTTGGTTTGCTCTTGCTTCTGTAGTTCTTTTAGTTGAGACTTTAGGTTGTCAATTTTAGATCTTTCTAACTTTTTGATGTGGGCATTTAGTGCTATAAACTTCCCTCTAAACACTGCCTTAGCTGTGTCCCAGAGATTCTGGTATGTTGCCATATTTTGCAATAAAAGATACTTTATAAATGTCAGCAATTATTGTTGACTCTGAGGTGACAAAACAATACATCAATCATTTCTACTAAACTTTGCTGCATGGCCAAGCTATAGTGCACTAGTAACTCTAAGAAATTTCTGTATTACTTTAGGCTTGTGTGGTCAGATAAGTCTTATTTTCAATGTTTTAGTTACAGGAAAGCATAGAATCACCAGTTGGAATTAATTTCTATTTCTAGCTCATTACTCCAACAAAAGCATATGGTTTTATAGAAAAGAACATCCCTGCTGTTTGAAGACTAAGAGATGACAGGACTATAAAAAATGGATAATGTCTGAGAATGGTTTTCAGAAATTTGATGAGGAATTTCCTGTACAGTCTGGAGTGGAAAGACTAAGATGTTGTCTCAGTTGTTAAAGTCTAAGTATCCTTTTTCTTATTACTAAAAATATTTCTGCTTTGTTATATATAATACTCCTATTATATGTTATACAATATATAATTCTCCTAATAAAAATATATTATATCATAAATGCTCAGATAAATAACTAGTAAGGTTTTAATGGTTGGCAACCCATCTAAATGAGAATTGACAGTTAGGTATAGGAGATCAGGAGTATACCAGTGTGTGATGACCGTAAGCCATTGTGTTGCCAGCCCAGCATCTATGCACAAAACATAGCACTGCTTCTCCCTCTGCCCCATGAACATGTCCCCATACTGAGCTCTGATGAGTCATGCTTGTACAATGAGACCCATTCCATTGACCGCTGTTGGTTGGAACAGACTTGGGCACTAGATCCAGGCTGAGACAATTAGTTAAGATTAGGCCTGAGGGAAGTTAGTCTTTTTGATATAATTGGACCTATTAGACACATGTGAAGCTTGGGTACTGTGGTTTGGCATCTTCCACCTACCATACTTCCTCCAGCAAAGCAGAGGAATCCATTCTGCAAAGACAAAGAAAGAAGAATGTCAGAAATGCACATGTTCTAGTAAGTGAGGATCCTCCTGCATTTTTAGTGCCTGGGTCCAGTACCTGCCTGCCCTTGACTTCTGCAAGGCACCCATGTACCTTCCTAATAAATTCCCTTTTTCTCTTTCAGCTATAATCAGAGGATGCTCATCAGAGTTTAAGGAGAGCAGTCACAGGGGAGAAGTAAAGTAGACCAGAACTAGGTAGGGGAACCAGTAGAAGAATGTAACAAATGGGGGTCAATAGCAAGGTCGCCCATGACAAAGTAAAGTAGAAATATATGTGCCAAGGACTCCAGACTGTCACTCATACACTGTTACAATCCTTCTGTGTGGCCTGGGCTAACCTACAGCAACAACGATCAAGTAGGAACTTTTTATATTTCTCTCCTCTGTATCTTATAAACATTCTCTCTGTATGTGGCTTAGCCCCAATCTTTAAAAAAAACAAATAAGCAAAAACTTAATTTTCTAAAAAAAAAAAAAATCCTATTTTCTCCTTTCTCAACCAAACAACTTGAACGAACATAAATTGCACTCTTGCCCTTACTTGGTTAAATGATTGTCTTCCTCCTATGCAGCTTTTATGAGCATTTCCTGGCTCCTCAGTCTCTCTCATTACCACGTGACATTGTCCCCAGATAACTCTACCTAAATAATACCTTTCCAATCTATTCCCTCCTCTATATTTCCTCCTCAAGCCCTACCTCAGGCCCTCAACCTCTCTTACTGAGACCTGTGAAATAGTCTTCTAACTGGTCTCCCTGTCCTAACCTTTCCTCTTTCTAATCCATTCTGCATAATATTACCAAAACTATCTTTCTAAAACATAAATATGACTGGGTTCACTGTCATAAGTAAGTCTTCATGTTGCTTTAGACAAAATCTATAATTTTGCTGTCAATACTACCTTAAATCTTACCCCCAACTTATTTTTTTGAATTTTAAACCTATCCTTATGTATTACACTGCTATGGACTGAATGTTTGTGTCTCTCCAAACTTTGTATGTTGAAACCTTAATCCCCAGCATGATGGTATTTGGAGATGGTCTAAGAGGTAACTAGGTCATGAGCGGAGCCCTCATGTTGGGATAAGTGCCCTTATTGTAAAAGGAGACACGAGAAAGCTTAGGTTCTCTCTCTCTCTCTCTCTCTCTCTCTTTCTCTGTGTGTGTGTGTGTGTGTGTGTGTCTTTCTGTCTGTCTTTCTGTCTGTCTGTCTGTGTCTCAACCATGTGAGGATATAGCAACTGTCTGCAAACCATGAAAGAAACCCTCACCAGACGCCAGACCTGCCAATGTCTTCATCTTGGACTTCCCAGCCTCCAGAATTGTGAAAAATAAATGTTTGTTGTTTAAGCCGCCCAGTATATGGTATTCTTGTTATAACAGCCTGAGCTAAGACATATACTCTACATTACAATGACATATTCCCAAACACACCACTTTTTATGTTTTCATGCTTTTTCTGTTGTTCCCTTTGCCTAAAATGCCTTTCCCCCATACATACCATCCCTCCATTCTGTCTCACGAATTTTTAATAATTCCTCTCTGTGAAATTTTACTTGTATTTTTAGCTGCTGATATTGCTTGTAACAGATATATTTGCTTGTGCTAATAGAGCATTCACCACACTATATAGCATGGTTTACAAAATATTCCTGCTGAAGTGTAAACCTCTGGAAGCCCAAAAAAACACATTATTGTTTATCTCTTTAACACCTAGAGATGTTCCTTAAAATACTAAATAAATATTTACTAATTTAAATTAAATTATTAGTCAACTTGCAGGTTAAAATGGCATTTCTATTCCCTATGATTTATACATTGACATAGAAATGTTTTTATTTTTAAAACAACAAGCCAACCGTCACTTACTTTTCATTTAATAATTGTTCATTTTATTCTTCTAACATATATTATTTCATAAGTCAATTGTGCAGCAGTAGTTTCAAAGTCCTTAATATAATAATTTTTATTTAAATAGTGAACAAAAGTTCCAGGGTTGGCAGTAGTCAATAGTCCCAGCTAATTATTTTCACTCAAACAGAGACTGCAATACCCAAATAAAATAACAACTCTGATATTTTTTTGATTTGATATTTTATTTTATTTTAACTTTTATTTTAAGTTCAGGGGTACATGTGCAGGATGTGCAGGTTTGTTACATACACAGCTGTGTGTCATGGGGTATGTTGCACAGATTATTTCATCATGCAGGTATTGAGCCTAGTGACCATCAGTTATTTTTCCTGGTCTATGTGTCCCTGTGTTCCCATCACTTAGCTTCCACTTATAAGTGAGAACATGCGGTATTTGCTTTCTGTTCCTGTGTTAGTTTGTTAAGGATAATGGCCTCCAGCTCCATCCATGTCCCTGCAAAGGACATGATCTCATTCTTTTTTATAGCTGCACGGTATTCCATAGTGTGATACATATTTTCTTTGTACCACACCACATTTTCTTTGTCCAGTGTATCATTGATGGGCATTTGGGTTGATTCCATGTCTTTGCTACTGTGAATATTGCTACAATGAACATAGACATGCACGTTATCTTTGTAATAGAATGATTTATATTCCTTTGGGTATATACCCAGTAATGGAATTGCTGGGTCAAATGGCATTTCTGGTTCTAGGTCTTTGAGGAATTGCCACACTGTCTTCCGCAATGGTTGAAGTAATTTACACTCCCACCAACAGTGTAAAAGTGTTCTTTTTCTCCTCAACCTTGCCAGCATCTATTTTTTTTTAGTTTTTAATAATAGCCATTCTGACTGGTGTGAGGTGGTATCTCATTGTGGTTTTGATTTGCATTTATCTAATGATCAGTGATGTTGAGCCTTTTTTCATATGTTTGCCGGCTGCATATATGGCTTCTTTTGAGAAGTGCTTGTTTGTGTCCTTTGCCCACTTGTTAATGGGGTTGTTTGATTTTTTCTTGTAAATCTGTTTAAGTTCCTTGTAGATGCTGGATATTAGACCTTTGTAAATCTGTTTAAGTTCCTGATAGATGCTAGATATTAGACCTTTGTCACATCCATAGTTTGCAAAATTTTTTCCCATTCTGTATGTTGTCTGTTTACTCTGTTGATAGTTTCTTTTGCTGTGTGGAAACACTTTAATTTAATTAGATTCCATTTGTCAATTTTTGCTTTTGTTGCAAATGCTTTTGGCATCTCCATCATGAAATATTTGCCTGTGCCTATGTCCTGAATGGTATGGCCTAGGTTTTCTTCTAGGGTTTTTATAGTTTGGGGTTTTACATTTAAGTCTTTAATCCATCTTGAGTTGATTTTTGTATATAGTGTAAGGAAGTGGTCCAGTTTCAATTTTCTGCATATGGCTAACCAAGTCTCTCAGCACCATTTATTAAATAGGTAATCATCTCCCCAGTGCTTGTTTTTGTCAGGTTTGTGGAAGATCAAAAGCTTAAGCTGATAAGCAATTTCAGCAAAGTCTCAATTCCTTCAATCAAATAGTGAATGATTCCCTAGCTGTAGGTGTGTGATCTTATTTCTGGGTTCCCTGTTCTGTTCCATTAGTCTATATGTCTGTTCTTGTACCAGTACCATGCTGTTTTGATAACTGTATCCCTGTACTGTAGTTTGAAGTTGGGTAAGGTGATACCTCTCGCTTTGTTCTTTTTGCTTAGGATTGCCTTGGGTATTCAGGCTCTTTTTTTGTTCCATATGAATTTTTAAGTAGTTTTTTTCTAGTGCTGAGAAGGATGTCGATGGTAGTTTAATGGGAATAGCACTGAATCTATAAACTGCTTTGGGCCGAATCGCCATTTTACCAAAATTGATTCTTCCTATCCATAAGCATGGAATGTTTTTCAATTTTTTGTGTGTAATTTCTGATTTCTTTTAGCAGTGGTTTGTAGTTCTCCTAGAAGAGGTCCTTCACTTCCCTTGTTAGCTGTATTCCTAGGTCTTTTATTTTCTTTGTAGCAACTGTGAATAGGAGTTCATTCATGATTTGGCTCTCAGCTTGACTGTTGGTGTATAGGAATGCTAGTGATTTTTGCACATTGATTTTGTATCCTGAGACTTAGCTGAAGTTGCTTATCAGCTTAAGAAACTTTTGAGCTGAGACAATGGGATTTTCTAGATATAAAATCATGTCATCTGCAAACAAAGATAGTTTCACTTCCTCTCTTCCTATTTTAATACACTTTATTTCTTTCTCTTGCCTGATTTCCCTGGCCAGACCTTCCCATACTGTGTTAAGTAGGAGTAGTGGGAGAGTACAAACTTGTCTTGTGCTGGTTTTCAAGAGGAATTCTTCCAGCTTTTGCCCATTTGGTATATTGGTTATAGGTTTGTTATTTATGGCTCTTATTATTTTGAGGTATGTTCTTTCAATACCTAGTTTACTGAGAGTGTTTAACATGAAGTGATGTGGAATTTCATCAAAAGCCTTTTTTTGTATCTAATGAGATAATCAAGTAGTTTTTTTCTTTAGTTCTGCTTATGTGATGAATCACATTTATTGATTTGCATATGTTAAACCAACCTTGCATCCCAGGGATGAAGCCTACTTGATCGTAGTGGACAAGCTTTTTGATGTGCTGCTGGAGTCGGTTTGCCAGTATTTTGTTGAGGATTTTTGCATGAATGCTCAACAAAGATATTGGCCTGAAGTTTCTTTTTTTTGTTATATCTCTGCCAGGTTTTGGTATCAGGATGATGCTGGCCTCATAGCATGAGTTGGGGGAGGAGTCCCTCCTTTTCAATTTTTTGGAATAGTTTCAGTAGGAATGGTAACTCTGGTGTTTTTAAAATATTTACAGCTTATTTTAAATTACCAAAGATTTCATAAACAAACCTGAAATTAAATATTTTATACATTTCAAATCCAAAAATATGTAAGCTTAATACAGAACAAACTGCATATATAAATGTATTTTAAGATACATGTTCATTAGCAGATACAATTAGTAAAATTAATTCTTATTCAAAACATAAACACTATAATAAGATAAAGAAAAATTAATCATAAAAGTTTTTTGCTATTAAGTTATGGTCTAAACATGAAAGTATTTATATTGTAAAATGAATTAGCCAGCATATTCTAGAAAGAATTGAAACTTGGTGAAAAAAAGTTTGCTCCAAATAATTCTCTGTTCCAAAAGTATTAAGGCTGAGGGGAACAACCTAAGATGATAGACTTTGTACCTAAATGATTTTCCACCTTAAAAATTTTCCACCTGCTCCTATTTTGTGATTTACTGACTCCTTCCAATTGCTTCCTAGGTCTAAGTTGTCTGGAGTAATATTCTGGTTGTTAACAGTTGTATGAAGTTAGCATAGCTTTAATGTTTCTGCCAAATGTCATTACTTCACCTCTCAAACTGAGCCCTGGAAATAGCTGGAATCATCTTACACAGAACTTTGATGAGCTCAAATGAAGAAATGGCAAAAGCAAAGATATAATAGCTGATGGAACTCTTCTATGTTTTGTGATTCAGACTTTATAAATATTACTGACAAAATCTACCAACATTTGTTTAATTTGAGATGTGAGGCTATATTATGAATGAGTAAAAATGATTAGATATTTACATGACCCAGATTTTGTAGCTCTGTTAACCAATAGGTTACTTCATTTTGACCATAAAAAGTCAACTAGCCATATAGACACAACCATGACATAAATCAGAGACCTGAAAATAATCAAAGAATCTCATTGGTTTTCAATTCAGAATCAGAGTGAAAACAGATCAGAGGCCATTGCTCGTTACCATCCTGCCCACTCCTCTTCCACCCATGCAGAAACTGCATGTGCTTGTGTGAGTGAATATGTGTGAATGTGTGCTTTTATGTTCTCATACGTAAAATCAATTCTTGCTCACAAATTCAGTAACCATGAATTCACCTACTTGTTAAATTTTATTTGTAACCCCCAAATCAATATACCCAGAGATTTTGTGTTAATTTGTGGACATGCACGGAGCAGTGAAAAATTTGAGTTGTCCAAAGCGCTGGTTTGCAGCTGAGGTAGAACAAGGCAATGTGCTGCCTTCATGTTTCTGCTCCCATACAGAGATGACCAGAAAACACAAGGCAGTCAGGGCAGTGCTGGGTAGTGCGAGAAGCTCCAGCCCTGGGGCCAGGTGGATGGGGTTTGAATCCAACTCTGGCACCTGTTAGTGTGGCAACACAGGCATGTCACTTGGCACTTCTCAATCTCCTTATCTCTTTTGTAAAATAAAGAGAATAGAATCCACCAGGATGAGTTTTTAAGATTAAATATGAAATTTGATTTATATATATTTTCTCTAAGAGTTAATTCACTGTTTGCACTATTTCAATGTTATCAGCAACTTTATAGAACATAACTACCATGAATATCAAGAATCTACTGTATCTCGACATTGATGGTGAGAATCTGAGACATCTTAGTGGCTTCAGTTTTGCGCTCTGAGAAGACTGAGGGAGATCATTCTCACCCTAGGTGTATATGTGCTTATTTTGACATATGCTTCAATGTTATCATATGGTTTGCCAATTTAACTGCAGAAATTAATCTAGCTTTTATAGTTGATCAAATTCCATTTCTATTTGCTATAGGAGATTGTTTATGGAATCACTCAGCTACCCATTGACTGCTGTTTTTCTCTTGATCATATTACTATATAATATTTACCCTAGGCTTAGGTCTTCTACAAAAGTATTAGATAATTATCATGTAGCAGTTTATAGCAATTTCTGGCTTCATGATGGATTTTCCAGCTGGCTAGTGACTGTGCTTGAGTTAGATGTAAGCCAAAATACAGGAACTGTTGAATTAAATCAAGGACTCGTCTACTTTAATTGAACAGAAAAATAACACTTTTAAATTAGAAACAAATTATATGTTGTTGATATATAAATAATTCTTGTACCTCATAATAAGATTACTAAATTAAATATAATTTAAATGGACAAGATTGAAACAGACCACTTAAAAAGTTATACAACTGTCCAATAAGCACATGAAAAGATGCTCAATATCATTAGACATCAAAGAAATGCAGAATAAAATCACCATGAAATATCACTGCACATCCACTAGAATGACTAAAATTATAAAGACTGACAATACCAAGTATTGACAGGAATGTGGAAAAACTACAACTCTCCTACTTTACTAATTGAAATGTACAAATGACACAACTACTTTGGAAATGAATTGCCAGTTTCTTATAAAGTTAAACAAGTACTTATCATCTACCCAGCAAATCAACTCCTGGGTGATTACCTCAGAAAAATTAAAACATATGTCCACACAAAGACTCAGACTCAAAAGTTCATAGCAGCTTTATTTGTCACAGCCAAAAACTGGAAACGACCCAAATGCGAACAATAGGCGCATGAATAAACAATTTGTGATATATTCATACAATGGAATTTAAAAATAAAAATGGACTACCGATAATGTAGAACAACATAAATGAATCTTAAAACCATGATGCTGAATGATAGCAGCAAATATAAAAAAGTATAAACTGTGTGATTCCATTTATATGAAATTCTAAAAAAGACAAAACTAATCTATGACAACAGAAAGTAGACCAGTGTTTGCCAGGGGCAGATGGGGTCAGGGAGAAGAATGTTGCAAAGGATCATGAGAGAATGATGGGGGTTATGGAAATGTCCTGTACCTTGGTTGCAGTGATGGTTACATGGGCACAGATAATTGTCAAAACTCATTGAACTGTACACTTTAAATGGATACATTTAACTTTATGTAAATTATACCTCCAAGTTTATTAAAAAATATTTTTGGCTATGATTGTAGTTCTGTAAGAGAGAATTAGGAATAAAGAAAGAACTAGAGGATAGGGGAGAAGAGAAAATGAAATAATCTGTGAGGAGAAATAGAAGGAAAGTACATAAAGACGAGGTAGAAGTAGTATGATTTACAAAGGCTTCTTAATTCTCAGGGGCTCTGAATGGCAGAAATAAACGTAAAAGTCATGTGGTAGTATAAGCAACTCACTTTTCTCTGCCCTTTAATCCTCTGCCTTTTGGCCTAAGTTCATACATTTTGAATAGTTTCCTTCAAATAAGTAGTCTAATGCCAATATTGACTATGTTTAAATTATTCACCTGTTAGTTATTGATGAAGTATAACCAAGAATAACTACCCTTTTAAAATATCCTATCTGTAGAAAACAAAAATAAAATGACGCCTACTCCGGTAGAGAGTAGCAACTCAAATCCTAAACCAGTTGGGTATTCTTTTTCCCCACTCTGGTTCACCGTTACTACATGAAGTATTCATGAGCTAGTTAAATAAACACATGGTAGTGTGTGATATGTTTCAGACTTTGGATTAGATACCAAAGACACACAAAAATTTGACCAAAACACTGACTGTTCTGTAAAAGAGTGTTTGAGACAAAGATAATTACAATAAATATGATAACCACAGAGGCGTGTTTTCAGTCATTTATGTGCATTAGAATCACCAAGGCAATCGCTACAATGAAATTCTCTGTTCTGCATTCAGAAATTCTGATTTGTGCAGACTGGGTGGGAATCTGAGGATTCTATATTCAATATTTTCCAGCTGATTCTCATGGACACTAAAACTTGAGACCCACGACATAAGATTTTATGGTAGCACCAGGGATTACCAAAGCCCACCTAGGATGGCCAGTTCAAAGGAAGAGCTGCTTGTTCTGGTTAAAGAAGGAGGAATACGGCAAAGACGGGGGTTAAATTCTCAAAAATGTAAGAACTGTATAAATAGTTAAGTGAATGTATATTAAAAGACACAAGGTAGCAGCAATGAGGACTGTCAATGTCAGATAATGGAGAGTTTTAAATTAATTAATTAAGGTGATGTTTGTAAAGGAGTTGGTCTGACCAGAGACGGCCTGGAGATGACAGGGTCAGTTGCTCAGCTTTTCTTATCATTAGTGATTTCTCTGGTTTTTTACCCCATGTGCCCAAACCCAGAAAAAGCCATGTCGTAGGTATCCAACAGCAATATCTTCAGACACGCTGGCTCAGTCCACAAACCTATATGGCACAACTCAACTTGACTCTGCCTTCTATACCATTTCTCCTAGACTCTCAACCTTTTGTTCAGTCTTCTGTTCTGTCTCTTTATTTTAATCAGGAATGTAGGTGGTTAATCATCTCTCCCAAACAAGGTTCATCCTCAAACTTTGTCTTCTCTTACTCTTAGCAGTCAGAGCTCAAGGTCACTCCAGTGTCCTCTGGTCAACACTTTCCCCAAAAGATCTGCATCCAATAATCTTGAAGGAGGTTTAGACATCTAGGTGACTGTAGCTAGAAAACCTTTTACATTTGATGATGTAAATCACTGGAAACAGAGTTTTTATTTTCATTGGTCATTATATTCTATCTAGTAAACTGTTGAGTCTTTAAGTATACAAAGGAAGTTCTATACACATCTCACTTAGAAGGCATTTATTTCAGCTGAGTTCAATTATAGTTTAAAAATTTAAAGTATACACTGTATTTTATAATCTTTTGAACTAAGAAAAAAATCAATGTTAATGAAAGATGTAGCAAAAATGTAGGTGCTTTGCAAATTTTTCTTAGATAATGTAATGTTCACTTATATTATCGTTATGGAGGATTTGTAGAGTGTTTTTTCAGTTTTTTGTTGTTGTTGTTGTTGTTGTTTGGGGGAAGTTTTGTTTAAAAAATTTCGATGCTGTTCAGAGTGCGCCCCAAAGATGAGTGCTATTTTTATGTTGGTGGATGACAAAGAAAATGTTCTGTTGGCTAATAGCTAATGCCTAAAGCAGTTTTATGAGGTGTGTGAATTTATGTGTGCTTAAAGTTGGCCTGAAATATCTTCCTGGAAGGTATTATGCTGATTATCCTTTCAGTTCACTAAATACCTAAAATTAAATCAAACACTGGCTTGTGTCTTCAGAGTACACTATCCACTCACGTCTTTCTTGGTCTTGACCTTAATTCTTTTATAAATCCTTCTCTAACTTCCATCTTCACCCAAGTTCATCTTTCCCTCCTCTGAAACCTTCCAAGCCCTTTATTTGTACCTTTTCATTCCTTTCACTTTATGTCTTTTAACTTAGAATTCTAGGTTAGAAGAATATCGAAACAGGAACACAAGCACACAGAAAAATTCTGATCACAGATTAAAGCAACTAGCATGGGGCACAACACCTGAATCATCTAATGTCAGAACAGGAGCCCTTGAATCCCATGTAAAGGAAGAGGGAGTGCACCTATTCCCCTTGACAATATGTTCTTCTACTAAAACTACTAGTTTTAGACAGTATACTTCTAAAATGGCATAGCCAGCAAGAATTACTGACCCCTACAATGTGCCTGGATTGCCATCCAAAACATAAAATGTAAAAGTTGCCCATTTTGCTGATTCAAAGTCAGAAGTAGGGGAAGGACTAAGAAGCTCCAACTCACGAAACCATTCATAGGATGCAAGACTAACAGTTGGCTGGGTACTTAAGACATTAAGATGTCAGCAAATTTAGACTTTCACAAGCTAGGGAGCTCTTGCTATGATTCTGAATTTAATTAGGAAGTTCATGGCCATAATAAAGAAATAAAACAATATGACCTTTCATGGAATCTCTGATAAAGAGGGTTTAGTGTGGTTAAACTTGAGGTTCATAGAAAAAAATGAGTCCAAATTTGTTTTACTGTAACTATGTCCTCCAACTATACCACTTTTCCCAGGGCAAGAGTGATTTGCATTTGGAGTAACTAAAAGAGGCAAATGCAGTCCTACAATACTTTAGCACTTCATAGTCCCACTCTGTTTCTCCCTGTAGTCACACAAACTGACAGCTCCATTTGTCAGGAAGATTTTGTTGCAACAGCTTTTAGTCTTGTAATATCTAGCTTTCATCTGTTCTGTATATGGTTTTGGAACTAATATTCTAGAGTTCAAACTAGTTAGGTAATACAGAATTATGGGCACACTTGTGAAGATTTAGCAAGAAGCATGAAAAGTTTCAAGTACTTAGGATGAGAAGTTTCACAAGACCAGGTTCTCATGCCAGATTTCTGATACTATACTTCCTGTTTATTCGGAGTCAGAGCTACTGGGAAAAATCTCCATTCTTGTGATAACTGTACTTGAACTTTGAATAGTAATTAAAACCCAGAAACTGTGGCATAATCTGAGACTATCGGGTGTCTGGGGAGAAAGTTACTGTTTCTTTCTCTTTCTTCAATTGAGTTTTTACATTTTAAAAAATGATAAACAGAAAATATTTTGAAGTCATTTCAATCATTTTACTGCTGTTTATTACAGCTTTAATGCATGCAGAAATTACGACCTAGTAGGAGAGATAACACATAAACATCAATGTTTTAAATATCACCCAATATATAATAAGTAAAATATAAGTGAGACAAGGTAAATGCAATTGGTAGCCAGGAGATAAGGGTCACCCTTGGGTGCGATAGACTCTCTAGTGCTTAAGTAAGTGTTGAAAGGTGATGAAAGGGTTTTATACAGAAGACTTTCGGCTTGGTTGAAGAAGGAAAGCATGGTTGAAAAAGAAGGAAAGCATGATGGGAGTCAAGGGAACAATATAAACAGAACTATGCAGACCAAAGACCCAGTGCATATTTATGAGAATTATGAATAGGACATAAGCCATTACACTGGTTTTGTGTTTGATATTTCTGAAAATTAAAAGCCATTTGGAGGCCAGGGAGTTGAAAGCCAACTTAGTGAGTCTGAACGTTACTCAGTCACTCACAAAAGACATTGCAGTTTAGCGGTTAAGAGCCTAGGTGCTGCCCCCCAACTCCCCACACACACTCAACCCCACATCCTGCATTGAGGAGTGGGAGAGAGCAACCTTGGATTCCTAAACTTACAGCTCATAAGCTGTGTGATCTTGGATGAGCTGCTGAACTCCAGCAGGCTCAGTGTTCTTCATAGTTAAATGATAATACTAGCTACCTTATAGGATTATTGTGAGGATTAATTAAGTCTATCCATTTAGAACTCAGGACTGCTTAGAGCCTTGCCTGATACACTGTAAGCCCTCCATAATTGCTAGCTGTTATTATTGAGCAATGAAATAATATAACCAAAGTGAAGTAATTTAAAACCAAAGTGAAGTATTTAAAAAATATTTAGAGTAGGTGTTAAAATGTATTAGAGAGGGGTGACTCTATAAGAAGTGAGACTAATAAAGAAAATACTACTAATTTATTAAGTATGTGGTAATTAAAGACTAAACTAAGGTCACAGCAGGAGGAATATACAGAAAGATAAAGATGCCAAAAGTATTTCAAAGGTAAACTGTTAGGACTGGGGAACTGATTGTCTAAGGGAGACAATAAAAAGCAGTGAGTCAAGGATGGCTCCAAGATTTCATTACCAAGGAAATGGAGCTTCTTTTAGAAAAACCAGGAATGAAATTAGTAGAGTAAGAGACAGTGTAAGTGAAAAGTCATTAGTTCAGTTTTAAGCATGGTGAGTTTGAGGTGCCTATGACGTTCAGTGGAGACATTCACCAGACTCTTAATAATGCAGAACTGGAGCCCAGGAAGGAGAAGCTTGGAACGGGTGCATGAACCATCATCACCTTGAAGGTGGTAAAATAGAAAATAAATGGGTAGTTTTAGATAGAGAGAGAATGAAAAGGGAGAGACTAGGATGACTTTGGAGAACACCAACCATTGGGGCAGGGACAAAAAAGAGTCATCAACATTTTCAGAGAGAAAACAATCCGGGATAAGAAGGGAGCACTCTTCCAGAGGCCAAAGAATAAATGTTTCTAAGAAGTATGAATTAGTTATCAAAGGATAAATGCTAGGGAATTAAAAGAAGATCATTATTAATAATAATGTATTGTGTTTATACCCTGGAAAGTCATTGGTGATTCTTGAGAAAACTGTTCAAAAGAACAGTGAAAAGAGAATGCAGATTGCAAGGACTAAACGAATAAGTCATAACGGGAGACAAAAACAACACATATAGACTGTATTTTGAGGACATAAAATGACTAACCTAAAGGAGACTGAATAATGGTCTTACATTAGCAGAAGATCTAAGAGATGATTAAGTTTGATATGGATTTTCTTCATTGTTTTTGTTAAGGCAAGGGTGAAGGGGTGATGTGTATAGGCACTTACCAGTGAGAACAGAAGTGCAGGCAAGCCCAAACAGAACAGAGGTTGGCTTGTGGGAGACATTAGTGAAGAAAAGCTGAATAAGCCCTGTTTTAAAAGACTAGGAGATCTAATAATGTTTATAAAAAGAAGAGAAAGAGCCAGTAAAAAGGCAGAGAGATGCTAACAGAAGAGAGAAGGAAAATCATCAATTGAATAATTTTATGGAAGAAGTTTAAAAATAGTGGTAGATGCAGGGCACAGTGAATCGCACCTGTAATCCCAGCTACTCAAAAGGCTGAGCTTGGAGGATAGCTTGAGCCCAAGAGTTCAAGTCTAGCCTGGGAAACATAGCAAAACCCCCAGCTCAGGGCAGAAAAAAAAAAAAAATGGTGGTGGAAAGAGCACAAGTGTAAGTGACACATTATCCCCCTGCAATGAAAGAAAACAAAGAAGTAAAGATCAAGAGGAATATGAGGTTATGGGGAATGAGTGGCAGCAGATATGTCTGAGTATGAGGGGAGAAAAACTGCAAGAGCTTGCAACGGCCAGCAAGTCCAGAAGGAGGAGAGTCATCTGCTTAGAGTGAGTGAGAGACCATGAGAGTGGAAGTTGAAAGCATAGAAAATCTAAAACAGCTGCTATGAGGAATGCAATAAGAATTTAACAAGCAATGAATAAGAAAAGAATTGACAAGTAGCATTAAGAACCCAAACGAGGTGAGATAGCATGAATTTGCAATGGACCAAGTCTGCAGTTTCATGACTTTCCATAAGACCAAGCAGGTTACATCATCTTATCGCCTCATCAAGTGTTCCTCAATGCATACTTTCCTTTTCAACTTTTTTCAATCTATTTAAATGAATCCAGAAATGAATTAAAAGCCTACAATATTTGATAAAAGTCTGCATATCATAATACAAGAAAGATAAAATTGTATTTAGCCTAGTACAGTAAGTTTGATTTTTCCCTCTGTGATTCTTATACTCACAATATCATATTAGTGAATGACCAAATTTTCTAGTCTATTCAAATAAGATTATTTAAAAAAGTGCTCATAAAATGACCATAATAAGTTTTATTTTTTAAAAAAAGTTTCAACTTTAATTTTAAATTCAGGGTTACATGTGCAGGTTTATTACATGGGTATGTTGTGTGATGCTGAGATTTCAGATACATGCTTAATTTAACTGATATTCATATTTTATTCCAGAGATTGATAAAATAAATCTGGCCCCTCCGTTTTTGTACAACCTATTGAGAGACAGGACTAGCTGGATTTCCTAGGCCGACTAAGAATCCCTAAGCCTAGCTGGGAAGATGACCGCATCCACCTTTAAACACGGGGCTTGCAACTTAACTCACACCCAACCAATCAGGTAGTAAAGAGAGCTCACTAAAATGCTAATTAGGCAAAAACAGGAGGTAAAGAAATAGCCAATCATCTATTGCCTGAGAGCACAGCAGGAGGGACAATGATAGGGATATAAACCTAGGCATTGGAGCCGGCAACGGCTACCCTCTTTGGGTCCCCTCCCTTTGTATGGGAGCTCTGTTTTCACTCTATTAAATCTTGCAGCTGCACACTCTTCTGGTCCGTGTTTGTTACTCGAGCTGAGCTTTCGCTGGCCCTCCGCCACTGCTGTTTGCTGCTGTCACAGACCCGCTGCTGACTTCCATCCCTCCGGATCCGGCAGGGTGTCTGCTGTGCTCCTGATCCAGTGAGGTGCCCACTGCTGCTCCCGATGGAGCTAAAGGTTCACCATTGTTCCTGCACAGCTATGTGCCCAGGTTGGTCCTAATCAAGCTGAACACTAGTCACTGGGTTCCACGGTTGTCTTCCGTGACCCACGGCTTCTAATAGAGCTATAACACTCACCACATGGCTCAAGATTCCATTCTTTGGAATCCGTGACACCAGGTCAGAGAACACGAGGTTTGCCACCACCTTGGAGGTGGCCCGCCACCATCTTGGGAGCTCTGGGAGCAAGGACCCCCCTCCCCCCGCCCCCTGTAACACTATGAGCCAAGAACTGTTTTTACGTTTTTAAATAGTTGGGAAAAAATCAAAAGGAGAGTATTTCATGACATATGAAAATCATATAAAATTCAAATTTCAGTGGCCATAAATAATTTAATTGAAACACATCCATGCTCATTACTTACATATTGTCTATGGCTGCTTTTGCATTACAAAAGCAGCTCTGAGTAGTTGTGACAGAGATCGTATGGCCCACAAAGCCTAAAATATTTACTATCTTGACTTTTACAGAAAAAGTTTGGCAACCTCTGTCCCATTCATCCATTTAACCAATATTCACTGAGCACCATCATTAGGTGCTGCACTAAGTGTCTGGAAAATAAACAGATAAAAAAGGGACATAATTACTACCCTCCGGGATACTACATTCTCTTAATAGTAGTATGTTAATGCCACTTTAATGGTGTTTGAAAGTTATTAAATATCTGATTAATGCCTCATAGCAATGAACCCCACAGCACTATGTCCCCCTTACATATTTTCCAGGAGGGAAAGCTGAAGTTTCAAGTGTGTAAATTGCCTCTTCACAATTGCAAAACTCATATGTTACACAGTGAAAACTACAACCCAAGTCTTCTGAAGCTGCCTCATTGCACTATCTCACATCCCTTGATTCACTGACATGGGAGTAATTAACCTGAATCACATGGTCTGTGTGAGACCTGAATAAGACAATGTAAATGAACTTTTAATAATTTTTAAAGCTGTCAAAAATGCAAATGCTAGAAAGTGTTACTATCACAAAGTTATGAGGAAGACAGGAGTAAGAAGTTCAAGACATCTATTATACAACATGGTAACTATTGCTAATAACAATGTAATGTATACTTGGAAATTGGTAAGACAATAGATTTTAAGTGTTCTCACCACAAATAAATGATATATGAAGTAATACTTATGTTAGTTAGCTCAATTTAGCCATTCCATAATGTATACATATTTCAAAGCATCATGTTATATGCCATAAATATATACAACTTTTATGAACTTAAAAATTAATTAATATAAGAAAACAAAATAATGAGGAACAAGGATAAATAAGTAATAAAAGATATAATGTGAAAAGTGTCAGTGAAAGATACAAACACATTGCCATGGTGGTCTATTGCACAAAAGACCACAGTTCAGTGAGAGCATGAAGGAACGCCATGAAGCAAACAGGATTTGTGCCCTGCCCAGAGCAGTGGGTTAACAAGGGTTCTGTAATGAGTAAAGAAAATGATCAATATTTTGTTTATGATTTCATTTAGCAAAATATTGAAGTTATTCATTCCTCAAATCATTCTCCTAGCTCTCATTGTTTCATTACAGTTCATCTACAAGATCGTATTAGAATTAATAGTGAGGCGTGGTGGTGTGTGCCTGTAGTCCCAGCTACTGGAGAGGCTGAAATGGGAGGATTGCTTGAGCCCAGGACTTCAAGACCAGCCTAGACAACACAGTGAGACCCCCATCTCAAAAAAAATTAAATTCATATCAAAATTTATATGTTATCCAAAGTGGTGTGTACAATATAATCTATATGGCACCACTGTTAGGAATGAGGCCAGACAAGGCATCCCCCAACACAAAATGGGCATTAATCATTCAGTTCCTGTACTGTTTCCTTAAAGCCAGGAACCAACCTGAAAATCATTTTCCTCACAGCTCCCCAGGAGGTACCATATAAGTTAAAACCTATCTGACAACTCTGGACATTTAAGAAATTAAGCAGTGACACAATATTGTACTTCAGAAGAATTTACTGAAAAAAATCACATTATTGCATTCGGTTTCTCTTGAAGTATACTAATTTGGTTTAATTTGGTCTATTTTATGGGAGGCAAAATTATTTCCAACTGAATACATGTACTCTTCACTAGAAATTAAACTTACAATTACTGAAAGTTTAAATATCCTGAGGCAGATTTTGACAGCAATTTCACGTATACTCAGGCTTGGAATGTATTACATGATTATAATTACTTTATTTCTGAAAGAAAATTTAGGGAACCTTTATCATTATGCTCTGAAACCATTCTTGGATTTGTCACATTATGCCATGTCTTTATAGTCATCAGACCTTTCTAATGCTAATCAAGATGTTTTGGCTGTTTTTGACTTGGGTATTGCTGAAATGGCATATCCTGCTAACTGTCTCATCCTCTCTGATTAAGCACACAGTCCAAATATTTAGAAATGATTCATTATTCTTAACAAAATAAAGATGTAACAATGATTTTATGAACTAAAATTTTAATAAATTCAAATATCTCATAAACTCTTTTTCCTTAACCCTTGTAGGAGGTTACTTTCATTTGAATTTGGGTTTGCCTTTTCCAGACATGTTTTTATAATATGACTGTGACGTATGTATTCCTACACATCACACAATATTGCTATTCATGTTCTCAAAAAGAATTGAAGGAAAAGCAAAACAGACACTTATGAAAATGATCTCAGCGGCCTGCACTTCTTCCAACTTTCCACCATCTAAAACAAGAGTAAGCTTCAAAAGCAAGCAAGTAAATGCAAAGCTCCAGAGAAGTTTGGGGGTGTGATGGTAGAAAGGAGAGGCTCTCTTCTTGGTGGAGGCCTGGAGGAATAAGCCAAGTCCTAAAAGTTTCCTACAGCAGATGAGAAGCTGCCTGGAAGCATGTGGGATAGAGGCAGAGAGTGTCTGCTGCCACCTCACCCAGTCCCCCACAGGTCTGAAGTGGCTTAAGAAAGCAACCTTATTTTCCTACCTCCCTCTAACTAGGAACAAGAAGCCTTAAGGGCTTTCTCTTTAGACAGGAACAGTGCAGAACATAAACCAAATCCTAATCAGAAGGCTTACTATTCAGGGGGTGCAGATGTAGAGAAGAAGCATGCCCAGCTGACAGATGGAGCAAGTTGCACCTAAACAGATGACAAACTGGACAGATGGCAACAACCAGCAGTCACTGCTTCCCAATGCTATCCTGTAGAGTTACAACTAATGTTACTGGGTTTAATTGCAAAATTACTGTGTTTACCCAGAATGCACCAAGACTATGTGTTCTGCCATGAGGAACTGAAATAGAAATTCAGATGAGTTATTTCAAACATAAAAAATATTACTTCTTTATGCCTGAGTAAGTGGCATGAAAATATTATAACCATTATACACACATTGACAACACTCAGTCTTGAAGTTTCACCTTCTAAATTATTTAATTGGAAAGTTACCTTTAAATGTTTTTTAACTAGGAATAATTAACCTGCTGACAACACTTAAACAGTTACTAGTAAAGGCTGTGAAAGGGACATTAAACTTACAGCACACAAATATTTGAATTACCCTTACGCCTTAAGAATTTACCTGGGGAGTGGTAGCTGGGGGTGGGGGTTAGTTAATGGATACTAAGTTTCTTTTTGAGTTGATACAAATGGCCTGAAATTGACTACGGTGATGTTGCACATATCTGTGAATATATTAAAAAGTAATAAATGAGTGAAATGCATAGTATGTGAATTACATCTCAATAAAACTGTCAAAAAATTATACCTCAAATGGGAAAAATATAAATAATATTTCCATTAATTTCAAAGTCACAAATCAATTAAAAACTATAAACAACACTGAGTCTCAGCGGGAAGCACATTTCTAGCATTGGCTGCCTTTAGAAGAAATCCTTGAACTTGGAGTCATAACTATGAATAGAATCCTTCGGCATGCATGCAATTGCTGCTGTGTGAATTTCGTAACTCACTTGGACTCTCTGAGTCTCAGTTTCTATAAAAATAGTACCTATCCTACAAGATTGTTGTAAGAATAGTTTTTATGCAGCAAACTCTTATTGAAAGTCTACTATATACTAAGGACTGACTATATAAATACTGAAAATAGAAAATTAAACATTGGTCATTGTCCTCATGAATTCAGTCTTGCAGGGGAAATAGCCACCAAAAATCTATAAGGTGATGTAGTATTTTCTATAAATGAAGTAATGGGGGTAAATCAAAGGAAAAGGAGCACAGAAGAGGGAGCTTAGAACGGTGGGTTAGGAATGCATAAGATTCAGGAAGGGGAAGTTTGAGGAGAATCTTAACAGATAGGATTCAGGCCAGGCGTGGTGGTTCATGCCTGTAATCCCAGCACTTTGGGAGGCCGAGGCAGGTGGATCACCTGAGTTCAGGAGTTCAAGACCAGCCTGGGCAACATGGTGAAACCCTGTCTCTACTAAAAATACAAAAATTAGCTGTGCATGGTGGCACACACCTGTAATCCCAGCTACTCGGGAGGCTGAGGCAGGAAAATCACTTGAACCCAGGAGGCGGAGGTTGCAGTGAGCCAAGATGTGCCATTGCACTCCAGCCTGGGTGACAGAGCAAGAGTCCATCTTAAAAAAAAAAAAAAAAAAAAAAAAACCACAAGATTCATACCACATCACCCATAAAAATCAATTAGAATTCATAGAGATAAAAATTGGAAAAGATTAATTCAATCAAAACCCATATATGTTAATTA
This sequence comes from Homo sapiens, assembly GCF_000001405.40. Lineage (NCBI taxonomy): Eukaryota > Metazoa > Chordata > Mammalia > Primates > Hominidae > Homo > Homo sapiens. Next base: position 37,167,546 of record NC_000013.11, on the reverse strand, counting down.
ATGACTATTAATATACGAAATAAATTTAAAGTTTCATTCAGAAAACACAGTTGGTGGTAGAGTTGAAATTAGACTAATAAAATTCAAACAGACCAATAAAATGCCAATGGATGTGGCACTACTTATGTGCCTCACAATGTTAAAAGAAAAACACATATCAATAAAAATTTATAAAACATATTTTTGCCCTCAAGGAATTTATACTCTTCCAGTCAAAAAGATATATCTGGTTGACAAAAATCAGTTAAGCTCTGTAAAATATTTGAAGAGATTTATTATGAGACAAATATGAGGACCGCAATCCGTGACACAGCCCCAGGAGATCCTGAGAACATATGCCCAAGGTGGTCAGGCTACACGACCTGTAAAAACCTATAAAAACAGCTTGGTTTTATATGTTTCAGGGAGACCTGAGACACCAATCACTACATGTAAGGTGTATATTCCTTCAGTTCGGAAAGGTGGGACAACTCAAAGTGGGGGCTTCCAGGTCATAGGTGGATTCAAGCATTATCTGATTGGCAATTGGTTATTGCCAGGTTTAACTGACTCACGGTTCTGCATGGCTGGGGAGGCCTCAGGAAACTTACAATCATGGTGGAAGGTGAAGTAGAAGCAAGTGCCTTCTTCACAAAGTGGCAGAAGAGAGTGAAGGAGGAAGTGCCACACTTTTAATCCATCAGATCTCATGAGAACTCTATCACAAGAACAAGGGGGAAGGGTCCCCCCATGATCCAATCACTTTCCACTAGTCCCCTCCACCAACAAGTGGGGATTACAATTTGATGTGAGATTTGGGTGGGGACATAGAGCCAAACCATATCCATTATTATGTAAAGATTTGAAATCAATAGTAAGAAATGTCTGGGTTAAGATAAATGGTTGTGTGGATGTGAGGGCAACCTGGCTGTGACATCTGTCACCCCATTAAATGCCAGGGTTGATTTGGCTGATCTGGCTGGCTAGGCGGGTGGCCCCTTCCTCCCTTACCGCTCCATGTGTGTCCCTCCTGAAGCTGCGCACTCGGTCGAAGAGGATGACCATCCCTGATAAAGAAGGACCGGTCTTCAGTCAAGGGTATACGAGTAGCTATGCTGTCTTGCTAGAACCTCCAAACAAGCTCTCAAGATAAACAATTGTGGAGACAAAGGTTTGATTATGCAGCTGAAGCCTCCAGGTAGCAGGTTTCAGAGCTCTTATCAGACCTAAAAAGGTGCTAGACTCTTAGGTAACTCTCTCCTAGATCTTAGTTAAATCTCTCCTGAAAAGAGAAAGAGATTTTCTACAGAATGTATATTTTCCCCCACAAGGGACAGCCTTACAGGGCCATTTCAAAATATGTCAAAGAAATATATTTCGGGGTAAAATATTGTGATTCCTTTTAGGCCTGCTGTCTGTCATGTGATGCTACACTAGAGTCAGGTTGGAAATGGTGTCTTATTGCTACAGAGTCTTTATCAGTCTTAAGATCTCTGTTTTAATGTTAACTCTGGTCAGGTGTGCCTGAATTCCCAAGAGAGGAGGGTATAATGAAGTATATCTGACTCCCTCTTCCCATCATGGCCTGAACTAGATTTTCAGATTTACTTTGGAGTGCCCTTGGCCAAGAGGGGGGCGTCCATCAATCAGTTGGAGCTTAGAATTTTATTTTTGGTTTACAATATATATGAAATAATTCAAAATACAAAATCATACAAGTTTCTATACAATACAGTGCCAAAAACACATTATAAATGAACAAACAGAACATGAAGAGAAACAAAGCCATCTGGATTTACTGAGGATCTTTGTAAAAAAACAAAATGGGGCACCTAGAATAGAACTAATCAGCGTAAATTAATCAAGAGAAAGGAGGCTGGCATTGCAGGTAGTAGATATGATGAAGGCACACAGCAGAAATGTGCATAGAATATGAGTGAAAAATAAAATGGACCAACTAGACCTAGGCATTGAGGACTATGAGTTTGAATAATCATAGATGTATTAAAGCAGATGGAGCTGGAGGCCATTATACTAAGTGAAATAACGCAGAAATGGAAAGTCAAATACCGCAGGTTCATGCTTATAGGTGGGAGCCAAACCATGGGTACACGTGGACATACAGAGTGAAAGAGCAGACGCTGGAGACTACAAAAGATGAGAGGGTGAGGGGGAAGTGAGGGATGAAAAATTACCTGTTGGGTACAATATCACCCAGACTTCACTGAAACCACCTTTGCAAAAATTATATCAGTGAGAAAAATTACAACAGAAAGCTAAGCTAACCCCCGATCTTGTGTTTCCCTAAATTAATTGTGGGCTGTTGGGCTGAGCTAACTTTGGAAGATATTTAGGCTACAGTGTAAATGCCCAAAATTCAACTACTTTTAAAAGCTAATGGGAGGCCACCAGGCTGCAGGGAAGAGAGGCAGCTGAGTCCTGCTAAGGTGCAGACATAAAGGATTGTCAGCTGTTATTCCAGAGGTTATAAGACAAGCAACTTCCCCAATTACTCCTGCAAATAACACCACTATTGTAGATTGACCTTTTTAGTTATCTTTCCAGGTTTTTTGCATGTTTGACACTGATGGCTCCAACTAAACCTGATGTCTCTACCTAGACCACCAACGCTGCTCCTGTGGCCCTAACCAGAAGCGATTCAGCCCTCAGGAGGACAGCTTTGACCCCCTATGATTTCATCTCCAGCCCAACCAATCAGCAACAAGCACCTGTTACCTGGCCACACCCACCTGTTCCCTCAAACTGCCTTTGAAAAACCCCTAACCCATGAGCTTCAACCTAGATCATCTGAGTACAAATTCCAGCTCCCCTGTGGCATGGCTGGCTCAGTGTCTATTAAACTCTTTCTCTACTCTAAGGCCATGGTCTTTCTTTATGCAGTGGGTAGGAAGAACCCCTCAGGCAGTTACATCATCACAACGCAACAGACGCATGTAAGAAATCTGCCCTTGTACCCTCTAAATATATATAAAATGATTAAATAATAAATAACTTTTAAAAGAAAAGAAAAAAAATCATAGATGCAAAGAAAGAAGAATCCCTGGACTCTAGTTTAGTAATATTTTCACAAAATCATGAAACCAATTTTTTTTGCTATATCACAATTTAAGTCGACAACAGAAAAGTGGGAGAAAAGAAGGAAAGAACACCAAAAGATATGCAACACTCCAAGGATGGACTAAGGATATTGATACAGATTTCTCTAGAAACTGCCCTCCATAGCTGCCCTTCAGATAAACTCCATAAAAAGCATTTTGACAGGAAAACTTTTCTCATTATGGCAATACAGCACATACCATGTTTGAAACAAATATAGTTTCATAAAACATTTTGAAATGAACGCTTTGTTTTGACATGATGACAACATGTTCATGCCCATATGTTTTCATTTATTTCCAGCTAAAGCATGTGTCAGCTATTAGGGACATGAACAGAATGTTACATATTATGTGTATTATATTTACATTTCAATTGGACCACTGTGTGAAAATATTTTAACTTAATTCATTAGCAAAGCTTTCCATTCCTAAAAATTAAATCACCCATCGCCTCTGAATGAAATTCTCAGTCACTAGAAATAAAGAGTTGGCTACTATTACTTCAGGAAAATGCTTACTAGAACTTAAAAAAATAGAACACACTCTAGCAGAGACTAGAAGTCAGACAGTTTTAGACTTCTAACTAACTGAAAGTGTCTTTGAGAATCACCCATCTGGAATGAATTCCAGGTGATTCCCATGCAGAGTGGAAATTTATAATGTCAAATGAAAACCATACACAAAAGCTAGCAGTTGTAAACAGTTTAAATCTGAAGTTGCTTAACATGTATCCCTGAAACTGAGTTTATAGTTTCCTTTAAAACCAACAAATCTAAGCTAAAGGCATAGCAATGTCAATCAAAACGTACCAGATTTTCTAAATTATTTTCTATTGTATATTAGACAGTTCGGCATGACAGTCATTAGTTTTACTGGAATTTTTTTATTGTTCCATTTTACGAGCACAAAAGCATCTCTACTATATCACTCTTAATTTTTTTTATTATACTTTAAGTTCTGGGGTCCATGTGCAGAACGTGCAGTTTTGTTACATAGGTGTACACGTGCCACGGTGGTTTGCTGCACCCATCAACCCGTCACCTACATCAGGTATTTCTCCTAATCTTATTCCTCCCCTAGCCCCCGACTCACTGACAGGCCCTGGTGTGTGATGTTCCCCTCCCTATGTCCATGTGTTCTCATTGTTCAGCTCTCACTTATGAGTGAGAACATGCGGTGTTTCTTAATTTTTTTTTAATGCTCTAGAACAGGTTGTCTTTTGGCTTCCCTGGGCCACATTGGAAGAACTGTTTTGGGCCACATATAAAACACACTAACATTAACAATAGCTGATGAGTGAAAAAAAAAATCAAAAAATTACTCAATGTTTTAAGAAAGTTTACAAATTTGTGTTGGGCCACATTAAAGCCGTCCTGGGCCACATGCTGCCCATGGGCCACAGGTTGGACAAGCTTGCCTTAGAGAATTCTGCAGTCAACATTAACAATCTTTTTCCTTTTTTGTAGACTGCATATATATCATCAGCTCCTCTTTCTGTATTAGAAATCTCTTTTTTTACCTTCCTCTTCATCTTGTTCATTAAACTGATCACCAAGTATGAAACGTGAGAGCAATTTGGTTGCAACATTTATCACTCTGTTGATCAACTGCAGTGCTTGATTTGCCTGTTCAGGCTAACGAGATTTGTGCCCCCTCCTCCTACATAGTTCGATGTACTATTTTTCTCCGAAGTCATATAACTGAAAGGGATGACTTTCCCAAAGAAATATAACACTAAACCTTCAGAATTCTGAGGTCACCTTTGCCTTTAATATTTAAATAGATTGGATTTAGTCCTTTGTCATATATTTCCTAAGCAGACCATCTCAATTATAAAAAAGAAATTCTGTTTCTTACAAGACGACAAACTTCTGTTGCCTGCTTTTCCGAACCAGCTCAAGAAAGTATGTTAATCTGAAGCACTAAAGCAAAGACTATGAGAAACCCATACAAAGATGAAGGAAGTTGAGAATTTGATGGGGTGTAGAGGCAGACAGCTGCTTGTCACAGAAGGCCTGGAACACAATGTATGGGTAAGTTTAAGAAAATTGTTTTTTTATTTTGTTCTTTACTCACTGCCACATTAATCTGCATATTGTCACGGTGGGGCAGAAAAACCACAGCATCAGACCAACACTACAAGGACAACATTAAAACAATTTTCTGAAACCAGATAAGAAGAATAACAGATAACAACAGTTGCAGTTGAACTAAAAGCCACATGAAATTCTCTCCTCTGCCTCTCCCACTACATACTCTAAGGAATAGTGATGGAAGTCAAAGGAGAAAAACTCCCTATAAAAAGTAGTAACCCAGGCCATCTGGAGAAATAAATCAGATTACCAACAAAGGAAATCAACTTGACATCAGACTTTTCACCAGCTACATTGTGGGAATAATAACAATGGAGTAGATTTTTCAAAGTGTTGAAAGAAAATAATGTTGAACCTAAAATTTTATATCTAGTAAAACTATCATTTTAATGTAAGATTACAGTGATGATGTTCTGATGCATACAAGGCCTCAAGAGGTTTTTTACACAAAACCTTCTGGATCCTGTCTTGGAAAAAGTACTCCAAAAAAAAAGGAAAGAAAAAAATCATGAGGGATGAGATACATAAAATATATGAAAAATAGATAAGTAAGTAATTTAGTCAAGTTTAGAGGGTTAAGTGACAGAAGTATACAAAAGTATACCTAAAATAATTTACTACAAAAATTCTCGATACTACTAACAGAAGAGTGGAATGGGATAAAGTACAGAGGAAAAACACTGGGAAATGCAGGTATGCTAAAGTACTCATCTATATGGGAAGACAGCTATATAGATATCGATAATCTTAAGTCACTGATAAGAAAAAAATATAATTAAAATGTATCTTAATATATTAGGCATAATTACTAGAAGAATAAAAATAAAATTTTCAAATCATCAAAAAAACAGAAAAATAGCAAATATGTGTGAGGATATGAAGAAATTGAAACCCTTGTGCACTGTAGGTAGGAAAGTAAAATGGTATAACCACTATGGAAAACAGTATGGAAGTTCTTCAAAAAACTAAAAATAGAACTACCATATGATCCAGCAGTTCCTTTGGTACACGCCCAAAAGAACTGAAAACAGAAACTTAAAAATATATTTTGCATGTCTATGTTCACTGCAACATTATTCACAAGACCAAAGAAGTGGAAACAATCCAAATGCTCAACTGACAGATGAACGGATAAAGAAAATATTGAGTATACATACAATGGAATATTATTCAGCCTTAAAAAAGGAGATACTGTCAAATGCTACAGTATGTTTGAACTTTAAGGACAGACTAAGTGAAATAAGCCAGTCACAAGAGCACAAATACTGTATGATTCCACTTGTGTGAGATATCTAAAATAGTCAACTGTCCAAAATCAATTCTAAAGAAATAATCTTAAAGGCAGCTAGAAAAAAAGATCAGATCATATACAAAGGGAACCCCATCGGGCAAACAGAAGACTTCTCAGCAGAAACCTTACAAGTCACGAGAGCTTGGGGGCCTATTTTCAGCATTGTTAAAGAAAGAAATTTGAACCAAAAATTTCAAATTCCACCAAACTAAGTTTCGTAAGCAAAGAAGAAAGAAAATATTTTCCAGACAAGCAAACACTAAAGGAATTTATTACCAATAGGCCAATATTACCAGAGATCCTTAAGAGAGCCTTAAACATGAAAACAAAATAACAGTGCCTGCCACCACAAAAACACACTTAACTACATAGCTCACAGACCCTATGAGGCCACTACATGATAGAAACAAAAAAGGAACCAGCTAACAACTTCATGATAGAATCAAAACCTTATATATCAATATTAACCTTGAACATAAATGCTCTAAATACTCTACTAAAAAACTCAGAGTAGGAAGTTCAATTTAAAAAAAAGACAAGACCCATCCATCTGCCTTCTTCAAGAGACTCATATCATGTGTAATCACACACACAGGTTCAAAGTAAAAGGTGGAAGAAAGACCTACCACAATAACAGAAAACAAAAAAGAACAGGGGTCACTATTCTCACATCAGACAAAACAGGCTTTAGATGAACAACAGTAAAAAGAGACAAAGAAGGGCATTACATGATAAAGGGTACAATTCAACAAAAGGACTTAACTATTCTAAATATATATACGCCCAACGTAACAAACATTGGAGTGCCCAGATTCATAAAACAAGTATTTCTAGGCCTTCGAAAAGACAGCCACACAAAACAGTGGGGGACTTTAACACCCTACTCACAGCATTAGATAAATCATTAAGGGAGAAAACTAACAAAGAAATTTTGGACTTAAATTCAATACCTGACAAATTAGACCTAATAGACATCTACAGAATATCCAATCCAACAAACACAGAATATACATTCTTCTCATTTGCACACAGAATATACTCTAAGATTGACCACATGCTCAGCCATAAAGCAAGTATCAACAAATTCAAAAAACTGAAAGCATACCAACCATACTCTCAGAATACAGTGGAGTAAAAACAGAAATCAATACCAAGAATATCTCTCATACCACACAAATATATGGAAATTAAACAACTTACTCCTGAATAACATTTGGGTAAATAATGAAATTAAGGCAGACACCAGGAAAATTATTTGAAATAAATGAAAACAGAACTACAAAATACAAACATCTATGGAATGCAGCAAAAGCAGTATTAAGAGGGAAGTTCATAGCACTAAATTCCTAACTCAAAATGTAGAATGATCTCAAATTAGCAATCTGAAATTACACCTAGAGGAACTAGGAACAAAAGAAACAAAGTCCAAATCTAACAGGAAAAAAAGAAATAACTGAAATCTGAGTAGAAGTGAACAAAACTGAGCCCCAAAAATTCATACAAAGGATCAATGAAGCCAAAAGTTATTTGAAAGGCTAAACATGATCAATAGACTACTTGCTAGATTAACAGAAAAAGAAGATTCAAATAAGCACAATCACAAACAACAAAGGCAACATTACAACTGATTCCACAAAAATACAAGAGATGCTCATAGACTATTATGAACACCCCTATGCACAAAAACTAGAAAATCTAGAGGAAATTGATTAATTCCTGTAAATACACAATCTCCAAGATTGAATCAGGAAAAAATTGAAACCCTGAGCAGACCAATATAGAGTTCCAAAACCAAATCAGTAATAAAAAACATAATCACCTAAAAAAAAACCTGGATCAGATGTATTCACAGCCAAATTCTACCAGATGTTCAACCTAGAGCCAGCACCAATTCTACTGAAACTATTCCAAAAAATCATGGAGGAGAGATGCCTCCCTCACTCCTTGTGATACCAAAGCCCTCATCATCTTGATACCAAAACCCTTATCATCCTGGTACCAAAACCTGGCAAAGACACAATAAAAAAAAAGAAAGCTACAGGCCAAGAGCCCTGATGAACATAGATGCAAAAATCCTCAACAAAATGCTAGCAAACTAAATCCATCAGCACATAAAAAAGTTAATTCACCACAATCAAGCAGTCTTTATCCCTGGGATTCAAGATTGGTTCAACATATGCAAATCAATAAATATGATTCTTCACATAGACGGAATTAAAAACAAAAAAAGTGATCATTTCAAAGGACACAGATAAAGCTTCTGCTAAAATCCAACATCCCTTCATTATAAAATCCTCAAGAAACTAGGCATTGAAGGAACATATCTCAAAATAATAAGAACCATCTGTGAAAAACCCACAGCAAACATCATACTGAATGGGCAAAAACTAAAACCATTTCCCTTGAGAACTGGAACAAGACAAGGATGCCCAGTCTCACCACTCCTATTCAACATACTACTGGACATAGTACTATGTCAACCAACATAGCGGTAGACATACTAGGTACTACCAACATAGTATATTTCTTCTTTTCCTATCTGGATGCCTTTTATTTCTTTCTCTTGAGAAAGAAATAAAAGGCATCCAGATAGCAAAAGAAGAAATCAAACTATCTCTCTGTGCTGACAATATAATTCTATACCTAAAAACCCCTAAAGACTTTGCCAAAAGGCTCCTGGAACTCAAAAATGACTTCAATAGTTTCAGGATACAAAATAAATGTACAAAAATCAGTAGCAGTTCTATACACCAACAACATTCAAGCTGAGAACCAAATTAAAAATGCAATCCTATTTACAATAGCCACAAAAAAAAAAACTACCTAGGAATACATCTAATCAAGGAGATGAAAGATCTCTACAAGGAAACACTGCTGAAAGATGTCATAGATGACTCAAACAAATGGTAAAATATTTCATGCTTACATGTTGCAACAATCACTATCATTAAAATGGCCATACTGCCCTAAGCAATCTATAGATTTGATGCTATTCCTATCAAACTATCAATGTCCTTTTTCACAGAACTAGAAAAAAAAAAAAAACTATTCTAAAATTCACATGGAACCAAAAAAGAGCCCAGATAGATGAAGCAATCCTAAGCAAAAAACTTAGGACTACCATTTGACCCAGCAACCCCATTACTGGGTATATATATCCAAAAGAAAATAAACCATTCTTCCCAAAAGACACATGCACTCGAATGTTCATTGCAGCACTCTTCATAATAGCAAAGACATGGAATAAACCTTGTTGTCCAACAGCGGATTGGATAAAGAAAATGTGATACGTATACGGCATGGAATACCATGCACTCATAAAAAAGAATGAAATCATGTCCTCTGCAGAAACATGAATGCAGCTGGAGGCCATTAACGCAGGAAAGGAAACCAAACGCTGCATGGTCACATATAAGCGGGATCTAAACACTGGGTGCTCATGGACATAAAGATGACAACATTAGACATTGCAGACTACTAGAGAGGGGAAGGAGGGGCACAAGGGTTGAAAAATTAACTATTGGTACTGTGCTCTGTACCTGGGTGGCAGAACCAACCATACCCTGAACTTCAGCATCACGCAATATACCCAGATAACAAACCTGCACATGTACCACCTATATCTAAAGCTGAAATTATTAAAAATTTAATAAATAAATTAAATAGTCAATATCAAAGAAACAGAAAGTAGAAAGGTGGCTGCCAAGGGCTTAGAGAGGAGAAATTGGTGTTTAATGGGCACAGAGTTTCAGTTTTACAAAATGAAAAAGTGTAGGAATCTGTTACACGACAATGAATATACTTACAACTAGTGAACTGTATACTCAAAAATGTTTAAGCTGGTAAATTTTATGTAATGTGATAGTAACCACAATTAAAAACAAAATTGCCTATAATCCCAGCTACTCAGGCAGCTGAGGCAGGAGGATCACTTTTGCCCAGTAGTTCAAGACTGCCATGAGCCATGATGGCACCACATAGCACCATTGTTAGAGATACTGGGGAAAATTAATTCTTTAAAAAGAAAAGTGTTAAGAGTCACTCAGACCACCTTAAGAAAAAAGGAGCTTATTATAAAAATATGAAAGGCTATACTCCAGCCTGGTGGGAGATTGAGACCCCATCTGTAAAAAAAACTTTAAATGATAATATAAAATTGAAATATTTTTTTAAACTTCATAGAACAGTCTATATCAAAATTAAAGATTTCAGTTCAATGGTGACCAGCTTAAACAAAGCTGAAAGGTCATGACAAACTAAGAAAAGAAATGCAATTTTTAAAACCCACAAGGGATTAATATTTAAAGCATACAAAAATTTTTGCAAATCAAAAAGAAAAAGAAAGCCCAATAGAAAATGAGGATATGAATTAGCAATTTACAGAATATGAAGCTTTAATGCTAAATACCTAAAGTTAATGAATGAATGCCCTAATTTAGTAATCAGCTACATGTGACTCAGTTATGAGACAGCACTTTATTCTGTTAGAATGGCTAAAGTTAAAAAATATTGATGGTACCAACTGAGAACAAAAGGAAATTAAAACTCATATTCCACAGCCATTCTTAAGAACAATCTGGCAGAATGTTGTAAAATTACTCAATAAAATTGTATAGGGATAGGCCCTAGACCCGTTGATCTTATTTTGTGATATGCATATCCAGAGAAATAAGAAAAAGTCAGTATAGGAGCACAATACAGAATGTTTATCAAATCATTGTTTACCCATTTTGTGGGTGGATAAGTATGATAAATGCATACTATGAAATAACACTCAGAAATTAGAAGCAACAAAATGAACATATATACAACAATGTGAATAGATCTTTAAAACATAATGTTGATTGGGGAAAAATATAGGTAGAATGAGATTCATAGCTCCATGCTATTTAAGAAAAATAAAAACACATACATGTATAACACCATATACTTTACAAGAAGCTTAAGTACATGTAAAAAATGTCTCAGAGTGGGTGCATTTAGGGATGAAATAGAATTGAAGATCTGAGAGAAAGGAAGAGAATGAAAGGAAAGACAAGAGAAGAGAACAAATGATACTTGCAAAGCAAAAAAAAAGATGAAGGGAGGAGCCAAGATGGCCGAATAGGAACAGCTCCGGTCTACAGCTCCCAGCGTGAGCGACGCAGAAGATGGGTGATTTCTGCATTTCCATCTGAGGTACCGGGTTCATCTCACTAGGGAGTGCCAGACAGTGGGCGCAGGTCAGTGGGTGCATGCACCGTGCGTGAGCCGAAGCAGGGGGAGGCATTGCCTCACTTGGGAAGCACAAGGGGTCAGGGAGTTCCCTTTCCGAGTCAAAGAAAGGGGTGACAGACTCACCTGGAAAATCGGGTCACTCCCACCCGAATATTGCGCTTCTCGGACCGGCTTAAAAAACAGCGCACCACGAGATTATATCCGGCACCTGGCTCGGAGGGTCCTACGCCCACGGAATCTCGCTGATTGCTAGCACAGCAGTCTGAGATCAAACTGCAAGGCGGCAGCGAGGCTGGGGGAGGGGCGCCCGCCATTGCCCAGGCTTGCTTAGGTAAACAAAGCAGCCGGGAAGCTCGAACTGGGTGGAGCCCACCACAGCTCAAGGAGGCCTGCCTGCCTCTGTAGGCTCCACCTCTGGGGACAGGGCACAGACAAACAAAAAGACAGCAGTAACCTCTGCAGACTTAAATGTCCCTGTCTGACAGCTTTGAAGAGAGCAGTGGTTCTCCCAGCACGCAGCTGGAGATCTGAGAACGGGCAGACTGCCTCCTCAAGTGGGTCCCTGACCCCTGACCCCCGAGCAGCCTAACTGGGAGGCACCCCCCAGCAGGGGCGCACTGACACCTCACACGGCAGGGTATTCCAACAGACCTGCAGCTGAGGGTCCTGTCTGTTAGAAGGAAAACTAACAAACAGAAAGGACATCCACACCAAAAACCCATCTGTACATCACCATCATCAAAGACCAAAAGTAGATAAAACCACAAAGATGGGGAAAAAACAGAACAGAAAAACGGGAAACTCTAAAACGCAGAGCGCCTCTCCTCCTCCAAAGGAAGGCAGTTCCTCACCAGCAATGGAACAAAGCTGGATGGAGAATGACTTTGACGAGCTGAGAGAAGAAGGCTTCAGACGATCAAATTACTCTGAGCTACGGGAGGACATTCAAACCAAAGGCAAAGAAGTTGAAAACTTTGAAAAAAATTTAGAAGAGTGTATAACTAGAATAACCAATACAGAGAAGTGCTTAAAGGAGGTGATGGAGCTGAAAACCAAGGCTCGAGAACTACGTGAAGAATGCAGAAGCCTCAGGAGCCGATGTGATCAACTGGAAGAAAGGGTATCAGCAATGGAAGATGAAATGAATGAAATGAAGCGAGAAGGGAAGTTTAGAGAAAAAAGAATAAAAAGAAATCAGCAAAGCCTCCAAGAAATATGGGACTATGTGAAAAGACCAAATCTACGTTGGATTGGTGTACCTGAAAGTGATGGGGAGAATGGAACCAAGTTGGAAAACACTCTGCAGGATATTATCCAGGAGAACTTCCCCAATCTAGCAAGGCAGGCCAACGTTCAGATTCAGGAAATACAGAGAACGCCACAAAGATACTCCTCGAGAAGAACAACTCCAAGACACATAATTGTCAGACTCACCAAAGTTGAAATGAAGGAAAAAACGTTAAGGGCAGCCAGAGAGAAAGGTCGGGTTACCCTCAAAGGGAAGCCCATCAGACTAACAGCGGATCTCTCGGCAGAAACCCTATAAGCCAGAAGAGAGTGGGGGCCAATATTCAACATTCTTAAAGAAAAGAATTTTCAACCCAGAATTTCACATCCAGCCAAACTAAGCTTCATAAGTGAAGGAGAAATAAAATACTTTACAGACAAGCAAATGCTGAGAGATTTTGTCACCACCAGGCCTGCCCTAACAGAGCTCCTGAAGGAAGCGCTAAACATGGAAAGGAACAACCGGTACCAGCCGCTGCAAAATCATGCCAAAATGTAAAGACCATCGAGACTAGGAAGAAACTGCATCAACTAACGAGCAAAATCACCAGCTAACATCATAATGACAGGATCAAATTCACACATAACAATATTAACTTTAAATGTAAATGGACTAAATGCTCCAATTAAAAGACACAGACTGGCAAACTGGATAAAGAGTCAAGACCCATCAGTGTGCTGTATTCAGGAAACCCATCTCACATGCAGAGACACACATAGGCTCAAAATAAAAGGATGGAGGAAGATCTACCAAGCAAATGGAAAACAAAAAAAGACAGCGGTTGCAATCCTAGTCTCTGATAAAACAGACTTTAAACCAACAAAGATCAAAAGAGACAAAGAAGGCCATTACATAATGGTAAAGGGATCAATTCAACAAGAAGAGCTAACTATCCTAAATATACATGCACCCAATACAAGAGCACCCAGATTCATAAAGCAAGTCCTGAGTGACCTACAAAGAGACTTAGACTCCCACACATTAATAATGGGAGACTTTAACACCCCACTGTCAACATTAGACAGATCAAGGAGACAGAAAGTCAAAAAGGATACCCAGGAATTGAACTCAGCTCTGCACCAAGCGGACCTAATAGACATCTACAGAACTCTCCACCCCAAATCAACAGAATATACATTTTTTTCAGCACCACACCACACCTATTCCAAAATTGACTGCATACTTGGAAGTAAAGCTCTCCTCAGCAAATGTAAAAGAACAGAGATTATAACAAACTATCTCTCAGACCACAGTGAAATCAAACTAGAACTCAGAATTAAGAATCTCACTCAAAACCGCTCAACTACATGGAAACTGAACAACCTGCTCCTGAATGACTACTGGATACATAACGAAATGAAGGCAGAAATAAAGATGTTCTTTGAAACCAACGAGAACAAAGACACAACATACCAGAATCTCTGGGACACATTCAAAGCAGTGTGTAGAGGGAAATTTATAGCACTAAATGCCCACAAGAGAAAGCAGGAAAGATCCAAAATTGATACCCTAACATCACAATTAAAAGAACTAGAAAAGCAAGAGCAAACACATTCAAAAGCTAGCAGAAGGCAAGAAATAACTAAAATCAGAGCAGAACTGAAGGAAATAGAGACACAAAAAACCCTTCAAAAAATTAATGAATCCAGGAGCTGGTTTTTTGAAAGGATCAACAAAATTGATAGACTGCTAGCAAGACTAATAAAGAAAAAAAGAGAGAAGAATCAAATAGACACAATAAAAAATGATAAAGGGGATATCACCACCGATCCCACAGAAATACAAACTACCATCAGAGAATACTACAAACACCTCTACGCAAATAAACTAGAAAATCTAGAAGAAATGGATAAATTCCTCGACACATGCACTCTCCCAAGACTAAATCAGGAAGAAGTTGAATCTCTGAATAGACCAATAACAGGAGCTGAAATTGTGGCAATAATCAATAGTTTACCAACAAAAAAGAGTCCAGGACCAGATGGATTCACAGCCGAATTCTACCAGAGGTACAAGGAGGAACTGGTACCATTCCTTCTGAAACTATTCCAATCAATAGAAAAAGAGAGAATCCTCCCTAACTCATTTTATGAGGCCAGCATCATTCTGATACCAAAGCCTGGCAGAGACACAGCCAAAAAAGAGAATTTTAGACCAATATCCTTGATGAACATTGATGCAAAAATCCTCAATAAAATACTGGCAAAACGAATCCAGCAGCACATCAAAAAGCTTATCCACCATGATCAAGTGGGCTTCATCCCTGGGATGCAAGGCTGGTTCAATATATGCAATTCAATAAATGTAATCCAGCATATAAACAGAGCCAAAGACAAAAACCACATGATTATCTCAATAGATGCAGAAAAGGCCTTTGACAAAATTCAACAACCCTTCATGCTAAAAACTCTCAATAAATTAGGTATTGATGGGACGTATTTCAAAATAATAAGAGCTATCTATGACAAACCCACAGCCAATATCATACTAAATGGGCAAAAACTGGAAGCATTCCCTTTGAAAACAGGCACAAGACAGGGATGCCCTCTCTCACCACTCCTATTCAACATAGTGTTGGAAGTTCTGGCCAGGGCAATTAGGCAGGAGAAGGAAATAAAGGGTATTCAATTAGGAAAAGAGGAAGTCAAATTGTCCCTCTTTGCAGACGACATGATTGTATATCTAGAAAACCCCACTGTCTCAGCCCAAAATCTCCTTAAGCTGATAAGCAACTTCAGCAAAGTCTCAGGATACAAAATCAATGTGCAAAAATCACAAGCATTCTTATACACCAACAACAGACAAACAGAGAGCCAAATCATGAGTGAACTCCCATTCACAATTGCTTCAAAGAGAATAAAATACCTAGGAATACAACTTACAAGGGATGTGAAGGACCTCTTCAAGGAGAACTACAAACCACTGCTCAAGGAAATAAAAGAGGATACAAACAAATGGAAGAACATTCCATGCTCATGGGTAGGAAGAATCAATATCGTGAAAATGGCCATAGTGCCCAAGGTAATTTACAGATTCAATGCCATCCCGATAAAGCTACCAATGACTTTCTTCACAGAATTGGAAAAAACTACTTTAAAGTTCATATGGACCAAAAAAGAGCCTGCATCGCCAAGGCAATCCTAAGCCAAAAGAACAAAGCTGGAGGCATCACACTACCTGACTTCAAACTATACTACGAGGCTACAGTAACCAAAACAGCCTGGTACTGGTACCAAAACAGAGATATAGATCAATGGAACAGAACAGAGCCCTCAGAAATAACGCCACATATCTACAACTATCTGATCTTTGACAAAACTGAGAAAAACAAGCAATGGGGAAAGGATTTCCTATTTAATAAATGGTGCTGGGAAAACTGTCTAGCCATATGTAGAAAGCTGAAACTGGATCCCTTCCTTACACCTTATACAAAAATGAATTCAAGATGGATTAAAGACTTAAACGTTAGACCTAAAACCATAAAAACCCTAGAAGAAAACCTAGGCATTACCATTCAGGACATAGGCATGGGCAAGGACTTCATGTCTAAAACACCAAAAGCAATGGCAACAAAAGCCAAAATTGACAAATGGGATCTAATTAAACTAAAGAGCTTCTGCACAGCAAAAGAAACTACCATCAGAGTGAACAGGCAACCTACAAAATGGGAGAAAATTTTCGCAACCTACTCATCTGACAAAGGGCTAATATCCAGAATCTACAATGAACTCAAACAAATTTGCAAGAAAAAAACAAACAACCCCATCAACAAGTGGGCAAAGGACATGAACAGACACTTCTCAAAAGAAGACATTTATGCAGCCAAAAAACACATGAAAAAATGCTCATCATCACTGGCCATCAGAGAAATGCAAATCAAAACCACAATGAGATACCATCTCACACCAGTTAGAATGGCAATCATTAAAAAGTCAGGAAACAACAGGTGCTGGAGCGGATGTGGAGAAATAGGAACACTTTTACAATGTTGGTGGGACTGTAAACTAGTTCAACCATTGTGGAAGTCAGTGTGGCGATTCCTCAGGGATCTAGAACTAGAAATACCATTTGACCCAGCCATCCCATTACTGGATATATACCCAAAGGACTATAAATCATGCTGCTATAAAGACACATGCACACGTATGTTTATTGCAGCATTATTCACAATAGCAAAGACTTGGAACCAACCCAAATGTCCAACAATGATAGACTGGATTAAGAAAATGTGGCACATATACACCATGGAATACTATGCAGCCATAAAAAATGATGAGTTCATGTCCTTTGTAGGGACATGGATGAAATTGGAAATCATCATTCTCAGTAAACTATCGCAAGAACAAAAAACCAAACACCGCATATTCTCACTCATAGGTGGGAATTGAACAATGAGATCACATAGACACAGGAAGGGGAATATCACACTCTGGGGACTGTGGTGGGGTGGGGGGAGTGGGGAGGGAATAGCATTGGGAGATATACCTAATGCTAGATGACGAGTTAGTGGGTGCAGCGCACCAGCATGGTACATGTATACATATGTAACTAACCTGCACAATGTGCACATGTACCCTAAAACTTAAAGTATAATAATAAAAAAAAAAGAAAAAAAAAGATGAAGAAAAAATAGATAAAAGAGTGCAAAAGAATGATATGTTTAAATATCTTTCATGGATCAATAATAATAATGTGCAAGGATAGCAAGATACTAGAGAAAATTATGTCTTAAAAAGAAAAGACTAAGAGTCACTCAGACCACCTTAAGAATAATATTGAGCTTATTATAAAGATATACGTAAGGTCTAGAATTAAAACTGTTAACTAGTAAGCAGTCAGAAACTGATGAATCCCTAGGAACCAATTACTCTCTCCATGTTGCACGTTTGTCTCTCTCCTCTGGCTTTCAGGCTCTAGCCTCTTCATATGCAACCTTGCAGCTTAAGTTCCCACTGCTAACTGTCTTGTGCCCTCAACATTGCCTCGTTTGAATACAGCCATACCCCACTTAGCACTAGAGGTGACATTCCTGGCAAGGGGAGTATGGAATCAGCACCACACAAGGTCATTATAGCTTTGTCCCTGTGAAGATTCATTCTTAATTACAAACAATATGCTATTAGAAGTTGATTGGATAAGATTCACATTCCCTTTTATTTTTATTTTTTTTTATTTTTATTTTTTTTTTTTTTCAGAATTATTCTAACAGTGGCTTTAGGAAAGGGGGTGTCTTATTTACTAGCAGTCACACAATACAAACGGCTGCCTCGACTTGCACTTTCAGAAGGGCCCATGGCAATTTGTTGGAGAAACACTAAATTTATAGACTATATTTCTGTGTGTGTGTGTGTGTGTGTGTGTGTGTGTGTGTGTGACATGTATATCATATGTCTTCATTTATTCAGATTTTTTATGTCCTTCAATCGAGTTTGAATATTTTTCTTTTGTTCATCGTTAGGTTAATTCCTAGAAAAGATAGAGCTATTTTCCTTTTGCAAATGACTTCTTATATTATGTTGTATTTTCTTTCTGGCTTTTGATGGTATAGAAAGAATCTATTGACTTTTATGAGCTGAAATGAATTCTTATTTCTGAGTGAATTATTCTATTTCCCTAGATAATTCCTCTTACAAATCTCCATTTTGTTTTTGTTCCTTTCCCTTTTTATGAAAGTCTTTATGCTGGTTCTTTTTTATATTATCTTTCATCCTTGAATGTGGTTAGCCATTTACTGAAAACAAAAAAAAAGTAGAGAGGCTTTGATTTGGGTTTTCTGCTAACCAAGTATGCTTATTTCCTTAACTCTAAATTTTTGACATTAAAAAGATTGATGTGACTCACAGCAATGCTGATAAGTCCCAACTCAGTGTGCTGTGATCCATGTTTCCCTGCCTCCCCACCCTCTCTATCCTTATTTGACCTCTGGTAATCCTCTCAACTAGAAAACAACATTGCAGATGATCAAAAAATCATGTCATTGAACCTCCAGGCAAAATGATAGCCTAAACGGACACAGAGAATCCCCCTGTCATCGTCATCTCCAGCAGTTAGAAATACTGAGACAATGTTTTAATTCAAACTACATGTAACTTTTTAAATATAATATTCTGATTACACATCATAAATGTGATATGGTTTAAGAATAAAAATAGATTAAAGAAATCTTAAACCATTCACATTAGGTTTACTGCTAGCATTAATACTGGCATTACTATTGGTAACAATGTACATTGAATGATAAAGCGATAAGTAAATATGTAAAAATTTTAGGATCTGTCTTATTTAGCGTTCCCCCAGAAACAGGCCCTTAAACAAGGAATCATGTGCATAGTTTAGTTGGGAAGTGCAGGTAACAGTAGTAAGAAAATGGGACAGTAAGACAAGAAAGGGAAAGTAGCCTATAAGGGCTGCGCCATTAAACTAGTTATCATAGTGAGAAATTAAAGCATTTTTTCAATTAACTTTTATTTTAAGATCAGGCATACTTGAGCAGGTTTGTTATATAGGAAGTAAACTTGTGTCATGGGGGTTTGTTATACAGATTATTTCATCAACCCAGGTATTAAGCCTAATACCCATTAGTTACTTTTCCTGATTCTCTCCCTTCTCCACCCTCCAATAGGCCCCAGTGTGTGTTGATCCCCTCCACGTATACATGTGTTAACATTATTTAGCTCCCACTTCTAAGTGAGAACATGTAGTATTTAGTTTTCTGTTCCTGCATTAGTTTGTTAAGGATAACGGCCTCCGTCTCCATCCATGTTCCTGCAAAAGACATTACCTTGTTCTTTTTATAGCTGCATAGTATTCCACAGTGAGCAATTAAAGCTTAATCCCACAAGGAAGCTCTGAGAAATGCATGCAAAACATACACCTCAGAATTGTCCAAGCCTAGCAGCAAGGAAGCTCAGGTTTTCATACACCTGCATAGGAGGGTTGCTGGCTGGAGGCTGTCCCATAGGGACTGTTGATTCACTGGTGCTTCTAGATTGTCATAAGTACAGGCAGCTCTCCACCACTGCAGGCAAAGAGAGCCTTAGTCACAAATGCAGATAGCTGCCATTGGAAATGAGGTGAATTCTCCAGAGATGTGGATGGGGAACTGACTCCATCTGCTACTGTCTATCCCTTGTGCCAATCAGATGCTCCCTGTCCCCACGTTAATTTCACTGCATCTTGTTACTGTTTCTTCAAAGTGGTAGCCAGACACAATTTTTATTTAAGAAAAGAAAAACTTACAACGAGGTTTATACTAGTACAAGCTACAGTTTCTATTAGCTGTTGCAGTTGATCCCAAGCGCACAACTGATATTCACCCTCTCCCACATCTAACACACATTCTAGATTCTTCTCCCTCTTGGATAGCACTTCTGCTCGTGCAGGTCTGTCGTTCAACAAGATAGCACAGACCTTTGTGCCTAAGAGGTCTGCCCCTCCAGTTACCTTAACTTTGTCAGGATGTTGTTCCAGCAGTTTCCACTTATGGTAATCATTGGACTTGAAGTTATAAAGAGGTACCCAGTGAATCTCCTGAGTTTCAAACATACTTCTTCCTGTCATTATTATGTAGCAGCAATCTTTCTCTTTATGATCATCAAAGCCAATTATTCTTTTCAATATACTAATCCTTCTTTACCTTCTAGTCTATTAGTGTAAGAAGTCCAAAATGACCAGGCTACTGCTATAATCTTATATTTACAGAAACAATTAATTTGTCCCTTGGGAACCTAGACCTCGAGACCAAAGCTTAAAGTTGTGGGAATGGAAAGCACACCTTCCCCCAGAGTGGGTTACAGAGTAATGATGTAAAGGCAACTTACACTACCATGCGTTGGATCCTACATGCATTTGTTCTACCTAAGGAAGACATAGCAGTATATGTTAATTCAAGGTATATACCACATCTTTAAAGATAGCACCCAGCAACTCCAGGCTGATGCCTTTGCTTGACCTCTCAGTGGCCTTTTAAACATTCAAGCCAGCAATTTCTGGGTGATATAGTAAGACAAGTGGATTTCATGGACATGTGCTTACTCCTTGGCACAAATGTGGTCCCTTGACCCAAGGTGAAGCTATGTGAGATACAACCACAAATCAGACATGGGCTGATCCCTCAGATAATGGCACAGAACAAGGTGCTATGGCAAGGAAGGTAGACTTTCTTGTTTCTTTTTTTTTTTTTAAGACTGGGTCTTGCTCTGTCATCCAGGCTAGAGAGCCATGGCTCCAAGCAGTCCTCCCACCTCAGCCTCCCAAGTGGGACTGCAGTTACTCACCACCACACCCAGTTTGTTTGTTTCTTTGTAGAGACAGGGTCTTACTGTTTCCCAGACTGTTCTAGAATTCCTTGCCTCAAGCAATCCTCCCAAATTGGCCTCCCAAAAGTGTTGGGATTACAGGCATGAGCCACAACACTCAACCAGGGAAGGTAGACTTATAACCAAAATATGTATCAATCCAGTAAGGACAAATGACTGTCACCTCCAGGTTGGTGTCTTCAGAGGACAGCATCCTATCAAGGGCTCAGCATCAGTTTTTACCACTGACAGTTTGGCCATTCTGCAGTAGCAGTGCCTAGATCAGCCCTGGTGAGAGGGAGCCTCCGCTGCCAGGCTCATGCATCACCTTCACTCCTTGCACAAGGCTACTCCACTCATGGGCCCACTGTGCAAACACTGGGATGGCCAAGAAGAAAAGCTTGCTAAACTCCACTGGACAAATCATCCTACCCGTCTTGTCTTCTACTCCTTCTCTGATGTGGATGATCACCGTAAGTACTGATGTGGGATGCAAAGACTCACATACTTTGTGTCCATTCCTAATAGTCAACCCACATTTTTCTTTCACAGATTTCTTGTAATTGATCTTCTCATCTTACTTCTTCCAGATCTCTAATCAACCAGCCTTTCCAGTACCTTGCATTTTCCTCAGTGGTAGAAAACAGAAGGTACAATAGCTTTTCTAGCTTGGTGGGGACCAAGACCACAATACTTCTAAAACTTTCACCAATGTGGGAGGCCTCTGATTCTCTGTAGCATTTCTCTCTCACCCTTTGGTGTATGTGTCTTACCAAGGCATCCAGAGGACTCAAGACTTCCTTCTCCTGGTCCATTTAATGTGGATGTCATCTAAATGGTAGACCAGTATGAATTTTCTGTAGAATGTTTAGATATTCAAGTTACCTTTTTACTATATAGTGATGAAGAGCAAGAGAGTTAATATAACTCAGCATACTTTTGTCTCTTCCGAATGAATGAAGATTGCTTCTGATAAATTTTTCTGGCAAAGAATGAAAAGAACACTTTCTCCAGATCATTTTCTGTACACCAAGTGCAAGAGACTGTGTTGATCTGTTCTGGTAAATGTACATCCAAAAGAGCAGCTGGAAACTTGGCTAAGTTTTCAGAAGTTTACATTTTCTGTTCCAATCCATCTGGCTTTTTTCCAGAAGTAAGAGTAATGACGATAGTGACAACCACCCCTGAATCCTTCTTTGAGGGTATCTCTTATTGCTGCCATTCCACCTGAGATGCAGTCTTGCTTCTGATTTTCTGTTTTTGTTGGAAAGGCAGCAGGATATTTCAAGGGCTTCCATGCAGTCTTTCCTCCAGTAGCAGCTCTGACTCTCCAGATCAATTAACCAGTCTGAAGGTTCTGACTCTGCTAAATATGTTCATCATGAGTAGGGACTCAGGGAATGAGTACATGACCACAGCAGCCTTTGAACTCACTGTGAGATGGACTTAGGCCAGGACTCCATTTATGGCTTTGTATCAGTTTGATATGGCTGCCATAACACAGCACCACACACTGGGTGGCTATGACACTAGAAACTCATTGTCCCATGGTTCTGGAAGTTAGAAGTCTGAAATCAAGGCATTGACAGGGTTGGTTCCTTCCCAGGACTATGAGGGATTTGTTCCAGGCCTCTCTTCTTGGCTTGCAGATGGCATCTTCTTTCTGGGTCTCTTTACATCATTTTTCCTCTATAAGTATCTGTCTCTGTGTCCAAATTTCCCCTTTTTATAACGACACAAGTCATATAGGATTAAAGCCCACACAAATGACTGTATTTTAACTTGATTACCTCTGTAGAGACCCTGTCTCCAAATAAGGTCACACGCTAAGGTATTTAGGGTTAAGACACCAACATTTCTTTTTATAGGAGACACAATTCAACCTATAACAGAATCAAACACCAGAAACTCCCTCTCTCAAAACATACCAATGGCATTTCAGACCCTTATCCAACAGCCCTGGAAATACATAGTATTCCCCTTTCACCACTGCATTATTACTCTGGTAAGTGGCTCTGGGAAAAAATGGGGAAATTACTACTGTCTGTGCTTGCTGAGGCACTGCAAACTGCTTCCTCAAGACTGCCCATCTTTCTCTTCAATCAATGCTGAGTCTGAGAACTGCCTCATTTCTGGAAAGTGAATAAAGGATCATGACTTCATCTGTTTGTTGTTGTTGGCAGCTGACATCAACGTTTGGATCACCTGCTCTTGATTATTTTGCTTAAACAGATAAAATAATACTCTCACTAAGTGCCTATCTAGTAAAAGCATTGATGATTGAAGTTTTTTATTTCTTTGTTAAGAAAAAAAAACTTATCAAGAGTAGTTTGAACAGTGCTGGCCTTCTTCCTCTCCTATCACATACAATATAAAGTGAGCATCTTTTGTATGCCTTGGCACATTTTCATAGTACTTTCTAAGTTTGAATCAGATTCCAGCATTTTATCCTTTCTACTTTTAATGCGTTGAATTATCTCTGAGAGTTCTCTTAAATGTGAAATTTCTCACTGGCATCGTTTTCTCTTTAACCTTTCCATCATGACCACTTTTCTCATTTAGACTGATACAGTTGCCTTTGCTAAGTTTCTCTGACTGCACGTCTAGACTCTCATAAATAGCAGAGGTGTCAACATTCCCACAGTCAACTATTTATTCTATAAGCCCATTTACATTTGATTAGAATTTCACTTCAAACATTATGCTTTTTGTTTCCTTGCTGTACTTTCATATTTGGCAGGCGGTTCCCTCTTTCAAGTATCCATTTTTGTAAAATGTCATATGGCTTTATCACTGGGAGACAAGGAGATGACACAACTATACATTTGCCATCTGTGTGTGAACTTAATAACAGATATGCATTGGCTAATTACCTAAAGATTTTTTAAAAAGTGACACAATTGGTCACTGGTTAGGATGTGCATCTGTCATTTATATAGTGCTTTATCCACTGAAGAGAGAGCAAAGTTTGTATTTTATGCAATTACTCACAGTTAATATATCTTCATAACTGAAATGTAGACAGTGCTCTTGGGACACTGGTATTAGTTAACTAAACTTAGTAACAGAAATTCATATCAGAAAATGGGTATCAGAAAATCAAAGCAAAAACAATAAATCTATTCTAATGTAGTGAACTCTCTGAGTCATTTGACACCTACTTCAATGATTGGTCAAGGCAGCTCTGGCATGTCCATCATACAAGCACAAGAGTATAGCTGACTCCTGGTGTCCTTGCGAGGATATTAAATCCATATGAGAGACTCATATCAATAAATTTTCCTTTATTCAGCCTTATTTTGTGACTTTTTGTGTGTTACTCTCAAGATCAATTTCTAAGCATGTTTTCCTGATATGTATTTTAGCCAGGTCCTGCAACTCATCTGCTGAATAGTCTCTTTCCTCCCAAATCAGAGACAGTGCTTCCCTAGTTGGGCCAGGATGTTGTGTTAACTAATATGTAATTACTGAGTATTGTGTGAGGGAGATGCTCTAATAGATGTAAGTGTCCCATTCCCAATCACAAGTGCACCTATCAGCTTCCCCAGTTGGGCCATGCTCACATTAAGCCTAGATACTAAGAGGGGAGGTTGAAGCAAATCTTGAAGTAAGTATATCTGCAAGCACATTATCTTGCAAAATATCTGCCTTAGGTGAGTCCTCTGCATCATATCCAGGCAAGGCAGGGTTGGGAGTGAAAGTGACTGCTATCCTCTGGTAAGAGGGATTGGTAACTTCTGCAGGCCCAGGAGTTCAAGGAAATCAGGGAAATTCAGTAGGCCATTTATGCAAGTCCAAAAGTTCATGGAGATCTGGAAAGATTTTAAGATTCTCAAATCAATTCATTCTAGATATCAGAGTCCCATTCTTTTCCTATCAGGTCTGTAATTTTAGAAAGAGACTTGCCAGGACTATCTCTTAGGCTTCTTGGTAATTCTACTACTCTCACAATCTGATGCCAGGCTTGATTTTCAGTGCAATCCATTCTCCAGCTTTAGAAGATGGGAGCTTCCTTAAATATTGCCAAAAAGATTTTGTGACTTTTACATAATTTCCTGGGTTCTTGGCTGGTTAGTTTGAGTGGTTTTCTTTCTTCAACACATCAATGTCATTTAATAGCAACTGACCAAATCTATAGTCTTTGTAATTACCAATATCCTATGTATTAGTCTGTTCTCACACTGCTGTGAAGAAATACCTGAGACTGGGTAATTTATAAAGGAAAGAGATTTAATTGGCTCACAGTTTTGCATGGCTGGGGAAGCCTCAGGAAACTTACAATCATGGTGGAAGGGGAAGCAAACATGTCCTTCTTAACATGGCAACAGGAGAGAGAAATGAAGAGCAAAGAAGGGAAAACTCCCTTATAAAACCATCAGATCTCATGAGAACTCACTCACTATCATGAGAACAGCACAGCGGGAAACTGCCTCCATGATTCAATTACCTCATACCTGGTCCTTCCCCATGATATGTGGGAATTATGGGAACTACAATTGGAGATGAGATTTGGGTGGGAGCACAAAGCCTAACCATATCACCCCATCTCTCAGATTCTAGAGATATTGCATGAGATAGTGCACACCCTTTCACCTCAGCCCAACCTAATTCACCACAATAAGAGTCTCAATGATTATAATGCTACAATACGCCAGAGCCGATCACCACCCCTCTTAGTGCTAACAATGGGTCTTTGTTGCAATCTGAATGTCAAGTGCTTCTATTCTAGAATCCACCTTGAAGATCTGCTTCCTAGAACAACTTCTAATATTAATTGCCTTAGTTTAGATTATCCTCCTCCCTAAAACAAGCAGACCCAGAGAAAATAATTCAAATGAAAAATATTTATTTGGGAGGTACAATAAACAATGGAGAGGAGGGAGAATCTGAGGCAGAAAAGGGAAGATAGTCAATGAAGGGTACATTATCAAACAAAATAGCATGTTGGATAACTGGAGCTTAATCCCTTGGAGAATATCTGGGAAATGATATAAAGTATATGACTCAGAATCATCTTGTCTGAAAGCCAAAGAAACTGGGATAGTTAGACACCAATTTCTCTCAGTCATTGGTTGAAAGACACTCCCAAGAGTCATTAATCCCCAGCGTGGCCAACCTGCCATACTCACAAGGAAAAAAGTCTTCTTCAGACATTTATGCAGCCAACAGACACATGAAAAAATGCTCATCATCACTGGCCATCAGAGAAATGCAAATCAAAACCACAATGAGATACCATCTCACACCAGTTAGAATGGCGATCATTAAAAAGTCAGGAAACAACAGGTGCTGGAGAGGATGTGGAGAAATAGGAACACTTTTGCACTGTTGGTGGAACGGTAAACTAGTTCAACTATTGTGGAAGACAGTGTAGCGATTCCTCAAGGATCTAGAACTAATACCATTTGACCCAGCCATCCCATTACTGGGTATAAAACAAAAGGATTATAAATCATGCTGCTATAAAGACACATGCACACGTATGTTCATTGCTGCACTATTCACAATAGCAAAGACTTGGAACCAACCCAAATGTCCATCAATGATAGACTGGATTAAGAAAATGTGGCACATATACACCATGGAATACTATGCATCCATAAAAAATGATGAGTTCATGTCTTTTGTAGGGACATGGATGAAGCTGGAAACCATCATTCTCAGCAAACTATCGCAAGGACAAAAAACCAAACACTGCATGTTCTCACTCAGAGGTGAGACTTGAACAATGAGAACACTTGGACACAGGGTGAGGAACATCACACACCAGGGCCTGTCGTGGGGTGGGGGAAGGAGGGAGGGATAGCATTAGGAGGTATACCTAATGTAAATGACGAGTTAATGGGTGCAGCGCACCAACATGGCACATGTATACATATGTAACAAACCTGCACATTGTGCACATGTACCCTAGAACTTAAAGTATTACAAAAAAAAAAAGAAAGAAATATTCATCTTAAAAAAAAAAAAAGAAAAAAGTCTTCTTCAGTGTGGAGAGCCCTCATCCAATACCGGTAGTTGAAGTCAACCAGAAAACACAGAAGTGAAAGGGCCTAAGGAATCTGGGCAGGCACTACAGCATCTACTACACTTGCCATCTCTGAGAGCAAGAAGAAAATTGTTTATCTTGAGCCTCAGTGCTGAACAGAAATGAATAATCATCTCTCTATGAATCTAAATCTAGGGAATTCTCTGGATTACCAAATCTCTCAAGAAGAGGGAGTATTAAATGGAGCATTAGGCTGGTGTTATAGCCTGAATTCTATTTCCCTAAAATCCGTATGTTGAAGCCCTAATCCCCAGTACTTCAGAATGTGGCGAAATTTGGAGACAGGGCCTTTAACTTAAAGAGGGGATTAAGTTAAAAGGAGGCCATTAGAGTGATCCCTAATCCAATCTCTTCTTTACAAGAAGAAATTGCAACAGAGAGACATCAGGATGCATGCATGCAGAAGAGAGACCACGTGAGGACACAGCAAGACAGTGGCCATCTACAAGCTGAGGAGAGAGGCCTCAGGGGAAACCAAACCTGCTGTCACCCTGACCTTGGACTTGTAGCCTCCAGAACTGTAAGAAAATAAATTTCTGTTGTTGAAGCCACGTAGTTTGTGGTACTTTGTTATGGCAGTCCTAGCAAACTAATACAACAGAGATGGCTCAATGATCCAAGGACACCACCCTCATAGGAGCAGAATCACAGGAAAAGAATTCCTCCATCCAGCCAACTGTATCTTGATCCAGCAATTCCCCTACAAATGCAATACAGAGCTTGCCCTGGTGCTGCATGTACTGCCAGTCTCAGGACCAGCAGAACTTGTAAGTTTTATTAAGCTTTCCTTTGATATCACAAAGTTTGTTCATCTTCTGAAATGGAATCCAATAAAAATGGCATCACAGATAATCTAGGTCATTTACACATGCTTGATTCAATGCTCCCACCTGAACAAAACACAGCTGGCCCAGACTCAGGACCTCCATTTCATTCTCCATTCAGAGGTCAGATGCCGCAGAGGATGCCAGGGGATAACTGCTAAGAAGAAGATCTTCTGTCTCTCTTCCTCCCCTGGGAAGCCAGTATGGACCTTCCCAAGAATCCTCTCCACCAAGTAATTTTCATCCCCCATCTTCTGTCCCAACACTGAAAATAGTAATGAGTCATCTCCAAAACTGACCCAGCCTTCTGAAATCCAGGACCACAGGAAGATGTTCTTTTGTATCTCTTCTAAAGTAATTTCGATTTTGTTCTTTTTGTCTTACTGCTGTTAGTTAAGTAAATACGCAATGACTCAAATAGAAACTTGACAGAATTGTCATTCTTAAGGTGGTGTTTTATAAATGTACATTGTATAAATATAAATATTATTATTAATAATAAATTGCTCCCATTTTATGAGTTTTATTGGAATTCAGTTCCAAATGTTTATCTTTAAGGCCTAGATAAGTTTAATTCAGCATTTTCTTGTTACTATTTAATAAATCCTTCTTAGTAATCCAGAAACATATCTTTTCATTTTACTGCTTTAGTCAAGTAATTATATGACATTTAAATAGAAGCTTGGTAGACTTACAATTCTTGGGACTTTTTTTATAAGAAGAAAACTTATGTAGTGCTTATTTAAGAGTGAATTTTATGAATTAATTTTTTAAATCAAATTTTGTTTTATTTTATTCTATTTCTAAATAGTGGAAATATAGTGTTTTGGCTTTTTTGGTGTTTGTATTAGTTTCCTGTAGCTGCTGTTACAAAATACCATGAACTAGGTGGCTTAAAGCAATAAATTTATTCTCTCACAGTTCTGGAGGCCAGAAGTTCAAAATCAAAAGGTCAGCTGAGCCATACTCCCTCTGGAGGCTCCAGGGGAAAATTCTTCCTTGCCTCTTCCATCCCCTAGGGGCCACCAGTATTCTCTGATTTTTTTGGCTTGTGGCCACACCACTCCATTCTCTGCCTGTCTTCACCTTGCATTCTTCTCTGAGTGACTATCTTACAGAGATACTTGTCATTGGATTTACGGCCCACCCAGGTAGCCCAGGGTGATTTCCTCATCTCAAGACCTTTAACTCAGTTCCATCTACAAAGATTCTTTTTCCATAAAAGATGCCACTGACAGATTCCGGAAATTAGAACATAGATATACCTTCTAGGGGGACACCATTCAATCGACTATAAGTGTTTCACATGTTCCCTAGAACACGAAATGTAGCGAAAGCTTTACATGAGTAGTCTAGCAAGTGAAGACATTTGAAACTCAAAATATGCTTCTGTATACCAAGGTCTGTATCTCCTCCAGTTATTAAATTAATATATTTATATTAAAAGTGGTAATTTTGGGGGGAAGATAAGACAGTACAATATTTATGAAATGAGAAAAATAGTGAAATTGGAAGTCAAAGTACTTTATTTAATGTATGTGTTAAGGACTAAAAAGACACACACTAAAATGTAAACAGTGGTGCTGGGAGGGGAATAGGAATTGGAGGGTGAGGAGGAATGAAGGGAGAATTTTATATTCTTTCTGTGTATGTATTTGCATTAAAAGTCACATGCTCTAAAAAATAAATACACACAATAAGAGGGAGGGAGAGAAAGACAGAGACAGATTGAGAAATTCAGAATAGCAGAGAGAAGTACAGAAAGATAAAAGTGGATTCAGAAACCACTCTCCAAAATACAAATGTCCCAGGACAGTCCTCTTCTGTGTGGCCCCACGTGCCTTCCCAAGCCAGAGGCAGAACTTCTATGTGACAAAACTTCTTCCAAGAGAGACAAGGTTCAATGAAGATAAACTTCACCTACTTCAAATCTGTCCCAGCACTTGAGGTAAACTATGGGTACATTCACAATGTCCATTATTCTAGGCCTTGAAGATAGACATGGGAATTGTGTTCCAAATTAAACTCACAGGCCAGATGTGGTGGCTCATGCCTGTAATCCTATGTTGGGTGGTCAAAGCAGGAGGATCACTTGAGGCCAAGAGTCTGAGGCTTCAGTGAGCTATGATTGTGCCACTGCACTCCAGCTCTGGGTGACAGAGAGCCTATCTCAAAAACAAACCAAAAAACCTCATAAGGTGCAAAAGACCTGATTCACACACTTAAGTCACAGATGCACACACACACACACAGAACACATATATTCATGATACTGGGAAATATTGTATCAAATAATCAACATGAGTGCAAGGGATAAATTTTAAGAAAACAAAATTCTGGTCAAGGCTATTAGTTAAAATCATTTAGAGTTTAGAAATAGAGTAAGACGCAGTTCATTTTTTCCACAGCATTTCTCTGTTGTGTTGAAACATTTGAAGCATTATCTCAGCACAAATATAAAAATGTCTGATGGAAAAAATATCCTAAGACTATTTAAAATGCTTCTGGAGCAAAGATTAAATTTATCCTGATGCATCAAAATTTGAAACAGATGAATCTGCTGATGTTATGTTTTTTTTCCTCCAATAATATCCTTCCTGGTTATATATGTTTCCACAACTCATGGTATAAATAAACATTCTGAGATTTCTTTTCTCAGTTACTCTTCCATAAAGAAACCATTAAAAGCTTTTACAGGACAAAGGTCCAGACTACATCTTAAACTTTATAAATCAGATTTTCATGCATACGAATGGTGAACTTTATCAACCGATGGCCAAGGATGCAATGTCATGTCTTTTGGAAAAAAAAAAAAAAAAAGAAACATTTAAAGCTGGCCTCTCTATGTCTTATATGGACATCCAAGGTGCCTGATGAATTTTTTTCTTAATAATAGCTGTTTATCCTAGTTTCTGTTCATTGCCAGAACTTTTTGCAAACAACCAGTAAATTAAGAGCCAGCTTATTTCCCTAGAGATACGATTACATTAGTCACTCAGTAAGTCTTTAACTAATTTTGTCCCAACGTTTTCTAAGGAACTCATTAGATAATCTCTGGATCTAGAGAAGTTAGTCACAGGGCCTAAAGGAATTCACCTTTGCTGAACCAAAAAAAGAAAAAAAGAAAAAAATAAGAAAAGAAAACATTCTGTAGTAGCATATAGGCTGAAGAAATCTTAAAAGAAAGACTTCTCAACTCTTAACCAATATGAATTCATGATACACTGAATATTTGTACTATAAAGTAAATAACAATAACTTGTATTTATAGTATCTTGTGCTAGATAGGCCTAAGTCTCAAGATCTAATGTTAATCAGTGATTTACTTGGAGCAGCTAAGCTTTAGGTTGAGCAGCTAAGCTTTAGTTTAGCTAAGTTTCCTTATTCTTCAGTAAGGAATAGATTAATCTCACAGACCTGAATTAATGCTCTACCATACTATTTCACTAACAAATCTCTATGCTACTGAGAACCAAGTCTTTCAAGTAAGCAATCAGATTACAACTCTCTCTCACTGACACATTGTAGTCACCCTTTTCTCTCATCATATTCAAATAAAAATAAGCCAAAATTAGAGCTAATAAGATAAGCAGAGCCAAGTCATTGAATATTTATAAGTTCCATCTCTACTAGCTCTCTCATGGTACACTGTCTTCTAAGTTGCTGGTTCCAGAAAACACATAGACAGGGAAATTATGGATGTAACTGTTAGACTCCAACCTCATAGAAATACACCATCTCCATGTCCAAAACCAATGTAGGAAAATCTATCTAGCTCCACGAAGAGAGTAGGATTCAGAATTTCACCCACTGCATTACCAAACCAATTTTCTATCGCATACTTTTTTCATAAAATTTCAAAATGGCATTAGAAGAAGAAAGCTACTAATTACTTTCTATCTTTAACTGCACAGAAATGAACTCCAAACCTAAGAAAAACAAAATTTTGTTTTATAAATAAAAAATTCACTATTGTCCACATTTTGTATATTTGTTAGCAACAAGTGCAGAACTAAAAGGTGCCATGGGAAATTAAAGAGATAATTAAAAACAAGTCAAAACAGGTACCAAAATACTTTATACATTGTTAAATAACAGTCATGGTGCTAATTAGCAGTAAAGAGTCAAGAGAATTCAGAAAGTTCTTAAATCTTTGAGCTTTCTTTTCATCAATGTGCTATGGAGGAGATCAATGTGTTTTCATTAAGGTCTGGCCCCATTAGAATTTAATTTCTTTCTAGCAGTGGTAAATGACAATCAAAATCTAAACTCTTTCTCTGAGGTCTGTTAACTGCCAGTTTTCAATAGAATGCAAAAATCTTGCAAAATAAAGTGTATTACAGTGAATATTCCAGCTGGCCTTTAGTTGCCTTAAGAAATCAGAACAGCTGTGTGAACTCCTTCATAAACGTCTCCCCTTTGGTGTAAGGAGAGGTTACAGACTGCAATAAACAATGCGGGAGGGCTGATGTGGTCAAAGGAATTCTGCTCCCTGCATGAAACGCTAAGGCTCAGATGTCCAATTGCCCAAGAAACTATCAGCGCCCACCTATTTCACATAATTCTTTGTAAAGACTTTGCGGAACAGTCTATCTTCATCTTGAGAACAAACTAAAACACAAACACAATAACGTGGATCTTTTCTAAGACTGATTCTTTTCCAGCTTTGAAAGTTTGATAACTCAGGGCAATTTGTTCTCAAAGAGCAAAATACCTTTTTACTTATGCTATGGAATAATACATTCAGATACTTAGGAAATGAGTAAATTGCTGGGATCCTGGAGGGTTTTTTTTCCATTGAAAAGATAAAGTCTGTTTTTATGGCCTAATTATTGCCCTTTCTCATATCTCTTCAAGTATTTTGCTTACAGTGAGTTTTCTCCAAAGAATTTCTTATCTGAGTAAATCATCTGAGTTCCATTAGTGAGGCCAGCCCCAAGAAACATCAGCCCTGATAATAGCTAGTTGCTATGAAGGAACAGGAATACAATTCACCTTGACTCCAGGAATCATAACACACATCTATATATATTGTTTAAATTTGACACTGCAAGATAAGATTAAAGAGTAACATTTTATGTGAAATATAGGCTATTCATCCCTTTTTTTTCTTCTTCCAGAGTATATATTACAGGGAATATAACAGAGAAATATGTGCCTGACAAATAAACTTCCATTCCTGATGTTTGTAGATCTATAAATGAACACTGGTTAACAATGTTATTTTTCATCTTGTAAGGAGTGTATCTGTTGAATAATTTACCAATACTTGTTACTCAGATTTAGAGCTCTTTCTGCATCAGCATTAGAGTCACACCAACAAAATGCCTCAGAGAATCCTTTTTTCTCAGTGATCTATACTGCAAACTATGCTCCCCTGTACCCCAACCTCATTTTTGTAAATAAAGTTTTATTGGAACACAGCCACACCCATTCATTTACATATTTTCTACAGCTGCTTTCAAGCAGAGGTTAATAGTTTCAACAGAGACCATATGGTCCACAAAGCCTAAAATATTTACTATCTGGCCCTTTAACAAAAAGTTCACCTGCCCCTGCTCTATATACCCCATCCACCCATCTTTACTCTTTCAATTTTACTCTGATTTCCTTCTGAAGTACATATTTCCAACACCTTATTATAAACCCTGATGATCATTCTACTTCATTTGGCTTGGAAAAGAATTTGAGTAGACTTGCTTTTCCATGGAAGTATGAATTGCCCTTAGCTTTCATAACATAAGCCTTCCTCTTCATCCTCTGCTTGTTTTACATTTACTCAAATGGCTCTCCACTGGTGCTGCTACATACCAGTTCTTTTCTGCACAAAAGGGCCCATCTAGGAGAATCAATGGAGGTTGAATCCAGCCCATACACCACTTGACAAGCCATGAACCTTGACATAAGGCCTTATCCCCCCAAGAGGATAAAATAAAGGAGAGCAGGGCGGGTGCAGTAGCTCACACCTGTAATCCCAACACTTTGGAAGGCCGAGGTGGGCGGATCATGAGGTCAAGAGATCGAGACCACCCTGGCCAACATGGTGAAATCCCATCTCTACTAAAAATACAGAAATTAGCTGGGCGTGGTGGCATGTGCCTGTAGTCCCAGCTACTTGAGAGGCTGGGGCAGGAGAATCACTTGAACCTGAGAGGTGGAGGTTGCAGCGAGCTGAGATCACACCACTGCACTCCAGCCTGGCAACAGAGCAAGACTCAGTCTCAAAAAATAAAATAAAATAAAATAAAATAAAATAGAGCAACTTCATTTTAAATTACACGATTAATGAATAAGGTACAAATCTAAATTTGCATTTTATATTTTTCTCAAGAAGTCTTTACACATTTGGATTCTTTATTTGATCTAGCTTTCTTGAAATAAATATAATTCTGGTTATTCAAACTACGATAGTATACTTATTAAAAGATTTTGAAAATTATGTACCACCAATTAAAAAGCAAAATATTTCACAAAAAATAAAAATAAAAATAGGATTAGCCAGGCACAGTGGCTCATATCTGTAATCCCATCACTGGGAGGTCCAGGTGGGAGAATTGCTTGAGCTCAGGAGTTTAAGACCAGCCTGGGTAAGACAGTGAGCTCCCATCTCTACAAAAGAAATCAAAAATTAGCATACGCTTGTAGTCCCAGCTACTTGAGAGGCTGAGGTGGGAGGATCACTTGAGCAATCCAGCCTAGGCAACAAAGTGAGACCCTGTCTCAAAAAAAAAAAAAAAAAAAGAAAAAGAAAATGGAATTAGTACTCAGCAACTGTGAACTGAACATTACAAAGTGATTATTTGAGTCACATACTTGAATTTGCTTTGGGTCAAAACATGATGTATATAGTCTCCCCTTATCGGCAGGGGATACATTCTACTCCCTGCAGTGGATTCTGAAACCAAGGATAGTACAAAATCCTAAATATACTATGCTTTTTCGATCTGATAACTGAGACTGCTACTAAGTGACTCACAGGCAGGTGGTGTCTACAGCATGAATGTGCTGGATAAAGACAGGAGTCTTACCCTGGAAGGAACAGAACATGATGGCAAGAAATTTCATCACACCACCCAGAATGGCACACAATTTTAAAACTTATGAATTGATCATTTCTGGAATTTTCCATTTATTTTCCATTTCTGGAAATTTCCATTTCTGGAATTACCATGGGTAATGAATGAATCTGCACAAAGTGAAACAGCAGACAAACAGGAAGTACTATAATATCAAGTCTTGGATTGACTAATAAGTTAGCTGAATATTCTAAACCTCATGTTCATAGAAATATAAATGACAAAAAGTAGGGAACCCAAATATACTCAACCACATTCAGAAAGATTATGGAGAAAATACCCTTCTTGGCTGTTCCTAGATTTTGCAAGGGTTGCAGTGGGCCTCTCCTAAAGAAATTGCCTTTGCACCATGGGATTCTGCTGTCAGCCATGTGGCCTTGCCATTGAGCTCAGAGCCCTTCCTTTACCCTGTGTAAGCTGAATAAGATGAGGGTACCCCAGGACCAGTCTCAGCACAATTTCACATCCCAAAGAAAGAGAAGTAGGATAAAAGTTGTTTTGCTTTTGTTTATCTCTTAGTTTTCTTTTGCTGCACAACAAATCCCACTAACTTAGCAGCTTAAAACAACACCATTTGTTAGCCCACAGTTCTGTTGGTCACAAGTCTGGCACCATGTGGCTGGATTCTCTGCTCGGGGTATCACAGGCAGAAATCAAAGTATCAGTTGAGCTGAGTTTTCATCTGGAGGCTCTGAGAAAAACAATCTACTTCCAAGCTCATTCTAATTCTTGGCAGAATTTAGTTCCTGGAGGTTTTGTGACTGGGTCCCTGTTTCCTTGGTGGTTGTCAACCAGTTCTTACAGACCTCCTTCTGTTCCCTGCCAAGTAGCCCTTAACACGGTATGTTCCTGATATGCTCCTTAGGGCCAGCCAGGATATGTCTCTGCTACTTCAAAACTCTGATTTCCCTTCTGGCATCCTCCAAAGAAGGCTTTTATTGCAGAGCTTAACTGATTAGGTCAGGCCCACTCAATATAACCTCCCTTCCGGAGGTTTTTATATGGAATGTAATATAAACACAGCAGTGGATGTCTCATTATATTCACAAGTTGCATCCACACTCAACGTGGAGAGGATTAGATGAAGGTGAGGGTCATTGGAAGTCATCTTGGAATTCAACCTACCACAGTTTTGTTTGATTTTATTAACACCCATAGCATTGGTGATGATGTTGTGAAATGTGCACTGTCATAAAGCTAGTAACTGCCATCTCAGCTACCTCTCAACGTAGTAATCCTCTATCAACCATGCCAGTTACTTTCTTGAAAAGTATAGCAGCTGGCAAGACAATAGTGTTGAGATCAGAAAGGAAATTGGAGCCCCAGTGAAAGAATCATTAAATATATGTTAGGGTGTGTGTATTCTTTACTAAGGCATTTGATTCCAAAACAAACCATATTAGTTGACATTAAAAAGTGTTTCAATAAACAACTGTCCTAACTCATCTTCAATTTTATTCAGGAACATACCTGCAGATATCGTGATTTGTAAAACTTGTAAATTTTCATTTATTGAATTTGCTCATAAAATATCCCTCTTTAAAATTTTGGCTCATCTCTTAAAGGCTTGTAAATCTAATGTCTTTTGCACTTGGCATTTTCCTTATTTGTTTTCACAATTACAGCAAAACGCTTGTGTTGCTCTCTAGCTTAAGGTCTTTTTCCTGGGCCTGATCTTTTATTCATATCACTGTGTTATCCTCAGTGCCTAAATCATCAATAAATACTTGTTGAAAGACTGAACAAATGAATAAATTAATGATGAAATATTAAGAAAATATGGCCTAAAGAGATGTCTCTACTCGTAAAATCTAAGAGAAAGGAAAGAAATAATTATCATCACATTCTTTGGTTTAAAGGGCAGAACTAAACCATATACACATAAAAAGACCATGAATTTTTCACTTGAGGCATATTGATATAAAATTTAATTCAAAACACCATCTAGCAGTGGTATGAATAAGGAAGGAGAAGTATGATGGTTAATTACATGAAGCAAATTGGCTAGGCCACAGTGCCCAAATATTTGGTCAAACTTTATCGTGGATGTTTCTGTAAGGGTGTTTTTGGATGAGATTAGCATTTAAATCAGTGGACTTTGAGTAAAGCAGATTGCCCTCCATAATGTGAGTGGGCCTCATCTATCTGTTGAAGGCTTGAATAAAACAAAAGACTGACCTCCTTTAGCAAGAGGGAATTCTGCCAGCACACAGCTCTCGGACTTGAACTGCAACATCAGCTTTTCCCTGGGTCTCCAGCCTGCCAACTCCGCCTGCCGATTTTGGACTTGCCAACCCTCTATAATCACATGAGCCAGTTCCTTAAGTAAATCTGCATGTGTGTATATAAATATATCTGCATCTACATATCTAATTCGTTCCATTTTTCTGGAGCAACCTGACAAATGCCAAGATGCCTCAAGATATATCCACACTGTCAGAACAGCAGTCTGTTACGCTGGGAACCCTCTTCCCCTCACAACAGCCAAGGCTTTGCTGTTAAACCAGGGTCATCACCTGTGCTGAATTGTCCTATTGTCAATTTGACATCACTGCCATCCTTTTCAGAGGTCTCCCATGCATTACATAAGAGTAACCAGGAAATACATTTCCAGACTCCAGTTCCTTCTGTGGTTCCAGGTCAGCTAATGAGAAGCATTTGCGTGAGATCTAGAAGGCAGAAGAAAAGGAAAGCTGCAGGAAAACATCCATCAGTGCAGCTTTCTTGCCCTTTGTTCCTGAAGTTCTTCCAGCAGTTATGAAGCCTCTGTTTTCCTGTATCGAAACCCTCCACATGCAGAATGCATACAATGCCTTCCATTTTCTCACAACCAGACCCTAACTGTACATCACTGATAGCCTCTTTGGAGAGGAAGGGGGAAGAAAGCACTTCATTTTTTCCTACGAGATGGCCTCATCTACCCTCATCTATCAGAAAAAGAATAATAATTTTGAACTCCTTGGGGGATTATAATTCTTTACCTCCCAGAAGATCCCATAGCTCCTACAAAAGTGGGATAACTCATTCTCTAGTCTTTAAGTTTCACAGGTCTGTGGCTATTGAGGAGACACCGCATAGCCCTCTACAGAGAGCAAGAATGAGGTGATTCTCCACCAAAATTGTTTCCCGTTACACTTACCCTAGATGAGTGGGTTCCAATTTGTCTTGTTGAGACACAAAAACAGACCTTCCCGAAACAAAGAAGATAAAGTAATGGTTTCACTTTACAAATAAAATTGCTGACAAGATTAGAATAACAGTTTATCTCTTTTAAATGTCTGTGCCAGGTACAGTGGCTCACGCCTATAATCCCAGCACTTTGGGAGGCCGCAGTGGGAGGATGGCTTGAGCCCAAGAGTAGCCATTGTCCCAGCTACTCAGTGGGCTGAGGCAGGAGGATCACTTGAGCCCAGGAGGTCGAAGCTACAGTGAGCATGATTGTGCCTCTGCACCCCAGTCTGGGTGACAGAGTGAGACCCTGTAATAAATAAATAAATAAATAACTCTGTGTGCCTTGTGTCTGTTTTCTTTAATTTCATCTCACAGGCAACCTACTGCAACATGATAAACCCTAAAACTCACCCTATTATAATAGGATAAACTTTAAACTGTTAACCTGACTACAAGGTCCTGGTTCTGGTTCATCTGGCCTCAACATAACATCTCAGACACTCCATGCACTCTGAGTCCAGGCCTCATTCACCTTTGGGAGATTTCTTAAATTCACCTAGTTCCTTTAGGTCTTAGGACCTTTGCACATTCCATTCCCTCTGCCTGACAAAGATCCCGTGAGCTCTGCCCTTACGTTCAAACCCTTTGTCTCAGTAATTTCTACTCACTCTCCAAGTCTCCTTTTAAATGTCACTTCCACAGGTGGGTTAGTTCATCCTGGTATACATACTTATATTATATTGTACTTCCCCTCTGTAGGACATATTATGGTAATAATTCACTCATTTTAAAAGTATTTCTTCTCTCCTAGACTCTAGCGTCCTGGTGTTGTATTTTCACTACTGTATCCTTGGTACCTCCCATGGTGTTTAGCAAATAGACCTTCAATACGTATTGAATAAAAGGAAGGAAAGGAGGAAGCAAAGAATGTAACATGATGGTTAAAATTAAATTCACCATAGGTTGGTAATATTCCAGGCAGCACTATGGGAAAAGGAATCCATGGGTGACTAATAAAAAAAGACCTCCACAGAAGGCTAGAGAAGTATTCTGCCTGGCAGGAAATTAATACAGTGCTGAGTTGCTAAAAGAAACTTAGTGTTTTGGAGATTGTAATGATGAGAGAAATGAGCTTAGGTTATTCACTTCATCTGCAATTTTGTGCAGTTGAGTAAGTTTTAAGTAAGGCTGGCTGACATTGGTGGGCTGGTGGAAGCCACACCACCTCCGTTTTGGGGAACATTTGGCTGCTCCTATTTCCCGACTGAACTCCATTGACTATGTCAGCAAACAATGGCTCCAGACTTTCCTGGTTCTTGGCAACTTAAAATAGTCTGAATCATAGGACTGGAAACAGAACAGATGTGTACTATTCTCCCTCTGTTTACACAAGTACAACTTGCCCATGAAAAGGAAAGAAGTGAATACATTATGTCGCCTACTCTGAATATAATG
This sequence comes from Homo sapiens, assembly GCF_000001405.40. Taxonomy (NCBI): domain Eukaryota; kingdom Metazoa; phylum Chordata; class Mammalia; order Primates; family Hominidae; genus Homo; species Homo sapiens. Next base: position 37,127,687 of record NC_000013.11, on the reverse strand, counting down.
AGAGTAGCTCACCATTTGAATCAGGCAATTTGTCCTGCAAGATCTACTGAATTTCTATTATTACCCTCACCTTCCTCATGCTACCTTCATAACCGTCTCCCCCAAAAAAGTCAACATGAAAACTTTCCCCAACGATATGATTATGATGATGATGATAATGATGATGATGATGATGGTGTGTGTGTGTGTGTGTGTGTGTGTGTGTGTGTGTGTGTATTACAGGAAGGGAAGTTGATGTTGATGCCTTTTCATTAATTCAGCTCACAAGCAGAAGGAACTTGGCACCACCAGCAAACTCAGATAAGTTAAGCCAGGGCAAAGAGAAAGGTCAGGTCAAGAGGAAATTTGAGATACACAGTGGGGCTACATCTCTTTAGAACTAGATGCAGGACTTTTGCCAATGCTACATAACTGCTTATTGTCTGGAAGAATGCCAAAATGTGACGGCAAGAAACTTCCATAAATAAGAAAATAAAAGAGTCTTTGTATGGGGGATGGATGCACTGAGAAGGAAAAGCAAACAATCTCATGGCTTTAAATGATAGGAAAGACAACTGAGTAGAAAAGAGAAGTACAGCTTTAAAATTAAGGATACTGAAGAAAAAACTAACATACAAGGAGAAAAGGTGCTGTAAGACATATAAATACTGGATAGCGAAGTACAAAGTATTTCTCAGTTGTCTGAGGGAACGAAAAAAGCAAACATACACAAACATATATACAAATACACATTTATTGAGGAAAATAAGGGAAAGTTCACACGACTAGGGACTTATGAGAATTCATGGCCGTCAGACTACACTTCAGTTTTTAGAGTTGATGTTCTCACATTACTCTTGCCTTCCTTTCTTCATGTGTTGTTCAGGGCAACCTCTGAGCCTCGATCACTCTCTTTCCCAAATCTGCGTAAACTTTCATGATATTTTCCATACAGTAAACCACTTTCCTTTCATCATAATAATAGCCAACATCTATTTTTTAATGTATTAGTTCCCTACATCCCCCTCAAACTATGGTAAGTCATCCTTCAGAAAGATCGAAACAAAAAACAAAAAAACTAAAATGTCTTAACATCTCTATTTCATCCATGCTACCTATATCTCATATGGAAATTTTGTCCAGAAGTTCCACTTAAAGAAACTATTCTGCTACATTTTGTTTGTCAAAGCATGAAGTCTAGCCTTGTACATAATTCACTTTGTTATTGTCTTTTATGCAATATAATGCAGATTGCTTGATTATGCAAATTAATTGTTTCTTTCCAAATTTTCATCCATTGTAATAAACCACATTTCAGTTTCAGTCAGTGAACTAACAAGAATAAATAGTGGAAATGGAATTGCATATTTTTTCTTTTAAAGACCATGGCTTTTCCCATTTGTTGGTCACAGGTAATTTTGTAAACAGAAAAGGAAACATATTGCTCTCAGTCTCTACTGCAACTTTATTCTGTCTCTAAAAACAAGAGCCTGCGAGGTATTCTTCAAAGAATGTATCACTATATATGAAATCTAAACAAGAAACAGAGTCAACACTGAAGTGCTGGATGAAAGGGGAACTTCGAATGTGCTGAAAATTTCTATTTCTGAGGAGGTAGCCAAAATATATTCATGTCTGTGCAAAATTATATGTGTGTATGTATATATACATACATAGTAATGCATTGCAGCACCTCTTTTTTTTTTTTTTTTGAGGTGGAGTTTCACTCTTGTCACCCAGACTGAAGTGCAATGGCGCAATCTTGGCTCACTGCAACCTCCGCCTCCTGGGTTCAAGTGATTTTCCTGCCTCAGCCTCCCAAGTAGCTGGGATTACAGGGCACACCACCACGCCTGGCTAATTTTTGTATTTTTAGTAGAGACGGGGCTTCACCATGTTGGTCAGGCTGGTCTCAAACTCCTTGACCTCAGGTGATCCACCCATCTCGGCCTCCCAAAATGCTGAATTACAGGCAGGGGCCACCGTGCCCAGACTAGCACTTCTTAATAATAAAGAATTGAAAGCAACTTAAACATCTTTCAATAAGAGATTGGTTTAATAAATAATGGTGTATTCATACCATGAAATAACATATAGCCACAACAAAAAATAGGGAAGCTTTTTATACACAGATATAAAATTATCTTTAATATATATTGTTAAGTGAAATAACAGCAAGGCACAAAGAAGTGTGTATAGTCTATTATTTGTGTAAAATGAAAGATATGTACTATCCTGTGTGTGTGTGTTTCTGCTATAATTCCTTAAAAACCTACCTTCTGCAAAGGTTTCTGGGGTGGTTTGTTATAGAGCGTAATTTTAGCATAGTTACTGATCTACTATGTATGTATCATGATTTATTCTACCAGCACCCTACTGAAGGCCATTTGAGTTGACTCCACTCTTTCCCACTACCCTGACATGTCATATTTTTATTAGTATATCCTGAGGATAAATTCATCAAAGTGGGATTACTGATTGAAAGACAGAAATACATATGTAGTTTTGCTAAGTAATATCAAGTTCCCCTCCATAGCTGTTTGCCATTTTGTATTCCCCATGCCTCGCCAACAAAATATTGTAAACTTTTGGAATTTCACCAATCTGATAATTGAAAATGGCATCTCAGTATAATATTAGTATACATTTATCTTATTATGAGCAATGCATCTTTTAATATATTTTAAAGATATTTTGCAATGTTTTTCTGTAAACTTCTCACATCTTTTGCCCATTTTCTACTAGGTTTTTCATCACTTTCTTCTTTTTATTATTAGATTTATTAGTCCTTTTTCCCTGAAATGGGTAACATTTTTTTTTTCTCAGTTGTCATTTTACCATCACCCAGGCTGGAGTGCAGTGGCATGATCATGCCTCACTGCAGCCTCGATTTCCCAGGCTCAGGTGATTCTCCCACCTCAGCCTCCCAAGTAGCTGGGAATATAGGCACATGCCACCACGCCTAGCTAATCTTTGTATTTTTAGTACAGATGGGGTTTCACCATGTTGCTCAGGCTAGTCTCAAACTCCTGGGCTCAAGCAATCCACCCGCCTCAGCCTCCCAAAGTACTGGGATTACAGGCCTGAGCCTGGGAAGATTTTTTATGTAGTTAAATTTATCAGTTTTTTATGCTTCTAATTTTGGTTCATATTAGAAACTTAAGTTTTCTTCTAGTACTTCCATGGTTTCATTTTTTAGCTACCTCTCTGAAACATTTGCAGTTTGTCCTGGTTTATGGAGAAAGGAACGGATCCAATTAGACCTTTTTCCAGGTGACTGACTATCTATCCTAACACTATGTAACATATTTATTTGAGGTGTCACCTTTTACATATACTAAATTTTGCTATATATTTGGGTCTATTTCTGGATTTTCTTTTCTGTTTCATTGGGCTTCTGTCTATACACTCACAAATATCACACTCTTTTCAATAGAGAAGCTGATAAGGGTAGCTCCCCTACACCCATATGCTGCTTTTCTTTTTCAGAATTCTTCTGGCCATTCTTTGTTTATTCATCTCAACAAACTTTAAAATCAAATTGGTTAGCTCATTTAAAAAAACGATATTTTTATTGGCACAGCATTGCATTTATAAACTAACTTAAAAATATTTGAATACGTGGCCAGGTGCGGTGGCTCATGCCTGTAATCCTAACACTTCGGGAGGCCGAGGTGGGCAGACTGCCTGAGCTCAGGAGTTGCACACCAGCCTGGGCAACACAGTGAAACCCTGTCTCTACTAAAATACAAAAAATTAGCCAGGCCTGGTAGCAGAGACCTGTAGTCCCAGCTACTCAGGAGGCTGAGGTGGAAGAATCGCTTGAACGTGGGAGGCAGAGGTTGCAGTGAGCTGAGATCGTGCCACTACACTCCAGAGTGGGCAACACAGCAAGACTCCAACTCAAAAAATATGTATATATATTTGAATATGTAACCTTTCTGAAATGATTATTTGAAAATGTGTGTCAAGAACCTAAATATTGGTACTTTTGACCTAGTAATTCCTCTTCTAGGAGTCTCTCACATAAGGCAGCAATGTGCAATTACAGACAAAAATATTATGTCCATTTCAAGTCATTTAAAGTCACATTTATGAAACATTCTTAACGGTTTGAGAAAATGGGTCTTGTGTAAACAAGATAAGGATGCCCACTCTCACCACTCCTATTCAACATAGTAGTGAAAGTCCTTGTCAGAGCAGTCATGCAAGAGAAAGAAATAAAAAGCATCCAAATAGGCTTAGAAGTCAAATGATCTCTCCTCACTGACAATATGATTCTATACCTAGGAAACCCTAAAGTCTCCACTAAGGCTCCTGCAACTGATAGATAGCTTCAGTAAAGTTCAAGATACAAAAATTAGTAGAATTTCTATACACCAATAATGTTCAAGCTGAGAGCCAAATCAAGAATGCCATCCCATTTAAAATAGTCACACACAAAAAAACAAAATACCTAGGAATACATCTAACCAAGGAAGTGAAAGATCTTTACAAGGAGAACTACAAAACACTGCTGAAAGAAATCGTAGATGAAATAAACAAATGGAAAAACATTCCACGTTCATGGACGGAAGAGTCAATATCGTTAAAATGGCCCTACTGCCCTAAACAATCTATAGATTCAAAACTATTTCTATCAAACTGCCAATGTCATTTTTCATAGAACTAAAAAAACTATTCTAAAATTCACATGGAATCAAAAAAGAGCCCAAAGAGCCTCAGCAAACCTAAGCAAAAAGAACAAAGCCAGAAGCATCACATTCCCCAACTTCAAACAATACTGTAAGGCTACAGTAACAAAAACACCACAGAACTGGTACAAAAACAGATACACAGACCAATGGAACAGAATAGAGAACGCAAAAATAAAAACACACACCCACAGCCATCTGATCTTCAACCAAGTCGACAAAAGTAAGCAATGGGGAAAGGACACCCTAGTAAATAAATGGTGCTGGGATAGCTGGCTAGCCAAATGCAGAAGAATAAAACTGGACCCCTACCTTTCACCATATATAAACATTAACTCAAGATGGATTAAAGATTTAAATATAAGACCTCAAACTACAAGAATCCTAGAAGAAAACCTAAGAAACGCCATTCTGAACATCAACCTTGAGAAAGGATTTATGACTAAGTCTTCAAAAGCAATTGCAACAAAAAATATTGACAAGTGGAACCTAATTAAACTAAAGAGCTTCTGAACAAAAAAAGAAACTGTCAACAGAGTAAACAGACAACCTACCAAATGAGAGAACACATTCACAAACCATGCATCCAACAAAGGTCTAATGTCCAGAATCTGTAAGGAACTTAAAAATTCAACAAGCAAAAACAAATAACTCCATTAAAAAGTGGGCAAAAGACAGACGCTTCTCAAAAGAGGACGTACGAGTGACCAACAAACATACGAAAAAATGCTCCACATCACTAATCATCAGAGACATGCAAATCAAAACCACAATGAGATACCATCTCACACCAGCCAGAATGGCTATTATTAAAAAGTCAAAAAATAGCAGATGCTGGTGAGGCTGTGGAGAAAAAGGGATGCTTATACACTGTTGGTGGGAATGTAAATTAGTTTAGCCAATGTAGAAAGCAGTTTGGAGATTTCTCAAAGAACTTAAAACAGAACTCACTCAACCCAGCAATCCTATTATTGGGTATATATGCAAAAGAAAAATAATCATTCTACCAAAGACACATGCACTCCTATATTCATTGAAGTACTTACTATTCACAATTTCAAAGACATGCTATCAATATAGGTGCCCATCAACCATGGATTGGATAAATAAAATACAGTACATATATATACCATGGATTACTACACAGCCATAAAAAGGAATGAAATCATATCATTTGCAGCCACATGGATGCAGCTAGAGGCCATAATCTAAGTAAATTAACACAGAAACAGAAAATCAAAGACATCATGTTCTCACTTACGAGAGCTAAACATTGGGTACTAGTGGACATAAAGATAGCAATAATAAACACTAAGGACTAATGGAGTGGGCAGAGAGGATAAGGAGAAAGGGTTGAAAAACTCACTATTGGGTACTATGCTCACCATCTGGGTGATGGGATTGTTCATATCCTAAACCTTACCATCACACAATATATCCATGTCACAAACCTGCTCATGTACCCCCAAATCTAAAATAAAAGTTGAAATTATTAAAAATAAATAAATGGGATTTAAAAATCATAGTTATCAGCATTATGTTAAGTGCACAGAGAAAAGATTAGAAGGAAATGTGATAAAATAGCTAAAGTTGGAAAAATGCATAGATGGCAGGGATCCCCAACCTACACCGGGAACAGGGTATTAGAGCTCAATTAGGGTGGGAAGCATGTGACAGCCAATATTGAGTGTTGGAGCCCATGAAGGCTGAGGAGGATGTCTCCGCATAAATGCTGGCTGTCCACACCTCCTCCACAGCTCCTCCACAAACAGGAGGTGTGAACAGCTGGTAAAGGATGTCGGATTCTGAGCAGAGAGGGAAAGAGGGCATCCACGTTGAGTAGCAGCCCAGCTCAGGGTGTTGGTGGCCTGAGATGGCAGAGGAGGGCATCCGAGAGGGGGAGGGGCAGCCATGGTACCAATGGGACACAGAAGCCAGCCAAATATGAGATAATTTGAGCATCAAATTAAATAATAATAGTAATGGATTGTAACCGATTGCATAAAAGAGGAAAACAAGAAGTCCAATCTGATATAAATATCAAAAAGGATAAATTGAAAGTTTTATAAAGAATGGGATATTTTAAGCTTCCAAATATTTATTAAATTCAAAAGGAAAAAGTAACTTTTCAGGAGAGAATTCTGCAGATACCATTTTAATCAGGTGAACAACTTGAGCATCATCAGTAATGGGACAAATTGAAACCTTGTGCCACCTAATAGAATGTAATGAGAAGAACACGCTTCTGTGATATTCCTGTCAAATTTGCATCACCTGAACCTAATCATGAAGAAACATCAGGAAATTCAACTGCAAGAACATTCTACAAAATAACTAGACAGTGATCTTCAAGAGTCAAAGTCCTCAAAGTCAACAAAAGACTGAGGAAATGTTCAAGACTGAAGCCAACTCAAGAGACCCGACAAGATGCAACACTTGATTCTGAACTGGATCTTTTGTTGCAAAAGATATCACTTGGGAAAACTGGCAAGACTCAAATGAGGTCTAAGGATTAGAAAGTACTAATAATTCAACGGTAATTCCCAGAATTTTAATATCATATTGTGCTTATATAAGAGAACGTCCTTGTTTGAAGGCTATTCGCATAAATTATTTGGGGGTTTGGGGGCATCATAGTGGAAACTGGTAAATAGTTCAAGGCAAAAAAAAAGGTCCTTACACTATATTTGCAACTGCTCTGTAAGTTTAAATCACATAAAAATAATTTTAAATGAATTTAAAATTTAAAGAAAAAAATTATAATTAAAAACATTTAAATGATTTTTAAAAGTCATGTACTTTGACCCAGAAATTTTGCTTCTGATAGTCTACTCAAGGAAATGATTCAAAATACATGCCCACCTCCAATACCCTGGCACATCTATTCACCCTTCAGGTTTTAGCTCAAGGTAATTTCCTCAGCAGAATCTTCCCTGACTTCACCAGCCCAGATCTGAAGCTTTTGTCAAACAATCTCACATCAACCTTTGTGGCCTTTATCATGGTTTGTAATTACCTATTTGTGCAAACATTAATTATTCCTCCCCCTCGAAGTCAAGGACCAGGTTTGCCATGCTCACCTTTATATCCTCAGTACCCAGCACACAGCAAGTACTCAATAAATATAAACAAACCTGTCATTAATGGATGAATAAATTAAGATAGATCAATGGACAGATGGATAAGTAGCAAGATGCATAGACATATAATAAGAAATGTTAAGAGCTCTCAGTTAATGGCTATAGCTGTCATTCAGATCTATCCCAGGGACCTAACATTAAAAAGGTCCTGTTAATCAGAAGAGATAAAGGACTGAGAAGAGCTGAGCAAAGAAACACATTTAATAATTAGTATAGAACCTACCTGGAATTACTGGAGCATGTGCATTCCAGCCAAAGGGGGATGTATTTTTTTATTTTTGTAGCCATAGTGTCTTATTTTCCTATTTTATGACCACCGAAGTATTCCCAGGCCCTCTCTTAAACCTAAGAATTCACATATTGGTGAGAATAGCTGGACATTCAAGATATTTTTGTGATTCCTTTTTTTAATCCTCTTTTGTACATGTAATAATGTTGAACAAACAATGAAATGTTGTTCCAACGATTTAATGAGGAAGGAGAAAGACCCTAACTTCTGGGCAGAGTTTTTCCCCTCTTTGTGGAAGGCCCTTATTGAAATGTAGATCAAGATTGTTACCCAAAATTTTGTCTCTGTTATTGCATCTGACTTTAGGATCAAAAAAAAAAAAAAATTTTCCAACTGATGCCTTTCCTTCTGGAATTGTAAGTGAACAAAATAATAGTACCTGTTTAAACATGAAGTGGATATTGTTACAGAGAACATACCAGTGGCTTTCTCAATGTTAAGCTAATAATGCCTCATGAATGTATGATCTATGGAGAAACCCCTGTAGTTGTACTTGCCAATGCTGTTTGTTGGAGAAAAAATTTTGAATGTTTTTTCCTCACAAACAAACAAAAAAAAAGCCATCTAAAGAGAGGGTGATACCTGTCTTTATTCTGGAGAGTTGGGGAGCAAAGTTAAGAATACATAGGGCAATGTTTTTAACTAAGGGTATATATTACAACCCTCTTTGGAACTTGTTAAAAATGCAGATGCTTGGAACAAACTTATGAAAATAGGGATTCAGTGAGTGAATCTGAAAATTCATATTTTATAATTCTGGAGGTGATCCTGATGACCTGCTGATTGAAGATTAATATAGGGATGGCTGGAGACAGTGCTGCGTGCTTATAGTTCCAGCTACTTGGGAGGCTGAGGCAGGAGGATCGCTTGAACTCAGGAACTGAAGACCAGCCTGGGTGATACAATGAGACCCCCTCTCACACACAACACACACAAAAAAATACTAAATAGAAAATGAAAATTTTTCTACTTGAATTATTTAATTCAACACTTCATGTCCTCATTTTGCTTTTAACTAAAAAAATCTTACCTGGCATGATATTTATTTATTATTTGAAAAGGAAGTCTGATATATAAGCATATCAGAGATAGAGTAAAAACTCTATCTCTGTTCTAGCCCCTAAACAGATATAGCTGACTCTAAGGAAAAAAGAACCATAAGCAATAAGAAAAAGCCACTTCTCTCAGAACACATGGGGACCTTAGATAATTAAGATCCCTCTAAAAGAAATTAACACAAAAGAGAGAGGCCGTCACTCTCTTCCCCGTCTCCACCCTAAATTATCACACCCTGGGGGAACTGGGCTGTGGAAAAAATTTAACTCTAGAGCACCTTCTGCCAAGAGTGAGATAAATTATCAGCAAGCCAGTAGGGTTTGGGCAGCAGCCCCAGAAGCTACCATAGCATGCCAAGGATAGAACAAAGCACCCGGTGGCATGGCACAAAGCAGTGAAATGTTGCTGAGCACTTGGCAAGCACTCTCTGGGGGCTATAGGAACACTGAGGAAAACTGTTGCTTTCCCTGAGCTGAGGGGTGCTAGAGTCAGAGTGATCCATGATATAGGTGTTCAACGAAAGAATCTGTGAAATGTTTCCAGGAAGAAAATCCATAATGTTTTTCCTATCACATATATAGGAAAACATTTTTTAAATCGTGTATTAGTGTCACATAATCTCTGTTTGCACTAGAATCATACAAAAATGCTTCATTTCGTTTTTGTCAAAGACGTTATTTATCTGAAAAATAAGTCAGACTTAAGACTTTACTTTTCAAATAATATGAAATTTCTCTCTCATGCCATGTGAGATTTTCTTCGTTAAAAGCAAAATGAGGTCATGAAGTGTTGGACTAAATAATTCAAGTAGAAAATTTTCAATCTTTTATTTAGTTACCCATTTCAATTTGAGCTGTACAATCTAAGTTTTCTACTACCCAAGTACTTTGGTCACGGTTGTTTTCAACAAAGCACTAACATCCTTGAATTTTCACTTCTCTTAACATTTCAGAAATAGTTCAAACCACTTAAAAGTGAGAGGGGATATTTAAAGCAATGTTATGTGAAAAATACCTCTATTTCTCTTCTTCCTATTGCCCTTCAACCCCCTCCCCCACCCCATTTCAACACAACCTAACTTCCCTCCAGCTAATCCCTATTTCTGTACTTACCTTCAAAGCTACACTTCTCATTGTGCACATTCTTTTCCTCATTTCCCCACCCCTCATTCACTCATCCCACTTCAATCTGGCTTCCATCCCCTTTGCTACACCGAAACCACTCTCCCTAAAGTCAATGAGCTCCATCTCCCAAAGGTATTACTTCTCTGAAGAATTTTATAGTGCTGGCCCGGAGCAGTGGCTCAGGCCTATAATCCCAGCACTTTGGGAGGCCGAAGCGGGTGGATCGCCTGAGGCCAGGAATTCGAAACCAGCCTGGCCAACATGGTGAAACCCTGTCTCTCTAAAAAAAAAAGTACAAAAAATTAGCTGGGCGTGGTGGTGGGCACCAGTAATCCCAGCTACTCGGGAGGCTGAGGCAGGAGAATTGCTTGAATCCAGAAGGCAGAGGTTGCAGTGAACCGAGATCGCGCCATTGCATTCCAGCCTGGGCAACAAGAGCAAAACTCTGCCTAAAAAAAAAAAAAATTGTATACTTCTAACCACTTCTCTCTCCCCTTGTACCTATGGGCTGCAGCCTCTTACATCTCTGGCCACGTCTCAGTGCCAGACTTCTCACCCACCAGTCTTTAAATATTGATGCTCTTTCAAACTATCGCAAGGACAGAAAACCAAACACCGCATGTTCTCACTCATACGTGGGAACTGAACAATGAGAACACTTGGACACAGGATGAGGAACATCACACACCGGGGCCTGTTGTGGGGTGGAGGGAGGGGGCAGGGATAGCATTAGGAGATATACCTAATGTAAATGAAGAGTTAATGGGTGCAGCACACCAACATGGCACATGTATACATATGTAACAAACTTGCGCGTTGTACACATGTACCCTAGAACTTAAAGTATAATAAAAAATAAAATAAAATAAAATAAATAAATATTGATGTTGTTTGTGTCTCAGCCACGGGTCCTCTCTCTCCCGACACTAAACTAGTGATTGCACACACCTCAGGGGGTGAAGCCCTCCACTGAAGGGAAAATCCAGTATCTAAAGGGGAAACCCAGCTCTGGGTCATTACTGGCATGCAGAAATAAAAAAATAAATGTTGCCTGATTTTTTAGTTTTTCAAGAGTAGCTTCAATCTGGATCATGTGGAACCTCCTGATTTTTAAATACTGGCAAATAAATGATTTTCTAATAATTGTAAAAGCCAATTTGCTAATCAAAGTAAACCCAACATGCCTACTAGAATGTTTCTTCTCTCTCTGCTCTACTCTTTATTCTCTTTTCATAATATCACCCATGACCCATAGTTCAATTACTATATAAACACCAACTTGTAATTACTTATCTGTACAGTAGACCCTTTTTGAAGCTCCAGGTAAATTCAAATGCCTGCCCAACATTTTTACTTGGATGTCTTAAAAGTGCTTCATATTCAATATGTCCAAAACAGAATCTCCTAATCTGATTCTCTTAGAAGAGCAGACTTATTTTATTATCTCCAATAAATGACATAATTATGGTCACTAACAGCTATGTGTCAGGTGTAGTTGGGCATATGTATATGCAAAGGTGTATAAATATATATTTGAGCCTTATATATGTGTGTGTAATATACGTTTGAGTATATGATATCTATGTGAGATATATATCTTATATATGTGATATAGATACATATATGTGTATCAGTATTACAGCACTAGTGTTGCCAGAATATAGTAAAGAATTATCTGTTAGAAAATAATGATAAGACTTGGAATTGACTCAGAAGAGAATAGCTTACATGAAAGTCACAGTGAGGAAGGTGTCAACTCAATATAAGGCAGAATGTCTTATCTGTAGGGCCTGCTGTGGTGGATGCCATAATTCACAGGGTCTCCTTGAGGAAGGAAGGACTTATTCCACTAGCTGCAGGAGGACTGCCAGAAGATGTGCCTCAGTTTTTAACCTTCCTTGGGGATGGCCTCAGCTGAAGAGAATTGCCTTGCCAAGATGGCACCTCCTTTTGTGGAAGCCAGCCTGCAATGACTGGTCATGATGGAGGTATAAAGGCCCGGCCCTCCAGCCCAAATTCATGATAACTCTGAGGGGCCACTGAAGGCCCAAGCTCACCATGGGTTCAGCTAAAGCCTTTGTCCTCTGCCCTATAGTATCTCCTTCTCTCCTTTCTCAGGGGTGATGCCAAGCCAACTCCCTAATAAATGCCCCGCACCTTAATTTTCCTAAGTCTGCTTCCTAAAGAGCCCAATTTAAGAAACTTGCCCAATGGCAAGTGGAATGCTTGCATCCTAAGTAGTCTGAATGCATTGCTGGTAATGACCAAACAGAGATAGCGTTGTTATTTTTGAATGTTATATTTTGAATGTTACATTTTGAATTTCAACAATGTTATTTTTGAAAGATGCATACATTGGATGTCTTCTAATGTTCATTTCAAATGTAAGATTTTATCACTCTCAGTTTTGAACATCGGAAATCATATGATTAACGTATTTTATTTACAGAGTACTTTACAGATTATACATATTATCTTACTCAAGCCTCCCCAAAACCAAACGAAGTAGGTAGATTATTAACCCCATCTTACAGAGGAGAAAACCAAGGCTCAGAACATTATTTGGTCCAAGATTACATATTTATTAAATAATGGATCTTGTGGTTAAACCAAGCTCTTCTCACATTTGAGCATATAACCAAAATTTCTTTCACCATATCAATTATGCGAAAGGACTAAGACTTTTTATAAAAATACTATATAATCAAAATGATATTAAACTTTTAATTTGCTTTGCTGTCACCAGTATTTTCAATGAGATTTTTTTAAATCATTGAAAATGCTGCTGTATTTCTATTCGCCAGGTCTAAGTAATTCCATCCAAGAATTTTGATGGGATCTTTGAGATTTACAGGATTTTTTTATTATTTCATTTGATTCTACATGAGAGTCTGCCTTTCTGCTCAGTTGTATGGAAATGTTCTATGATACATACCTGGCAGTACGTATTTCATTGCCTCCAGACTGCCAGGACCAAAGCCAGAGATCCCTTAGCAAACTGTTGCATGTTAACAAGAACATTACAATAGCAGATGAAGGAAGCTTTGTACAAAATATTTCTGAAATAAAACGTTAGCAGGTAGACTCTATTCTAGCAACCACCAAACCAGACAAAGGAAAGACTAGCCCTTCAGGTTACCGGAACTTGAGATTTTGTGGTAGAAAAACTTAAACAAAAACCAGACAAGTGCCCTGCTATCATCTTCAGAGTTACATTAGATTCTCAGAATGGGTGGAAGACAGAACTATACTCTGAAGAGAGACAAAAGCATCTTCCCCTGGCTCCCAATTATGTCCTTCAACACAATAGTATAATCCAAATTAACCTTACAAGAGCAACAAGAATCCAGAAGTCTTCATGGACTCTAACCAGACCATATTAGCCCTTCCATTAAAGACTATTTCATACTTGATTTTATGGAACCCCCTTGGAGGATCCTAGAAGGGAAGAGACTTTGTAGTTATGAAATCCAAGTGTACTTTGTTACCACTTTTCTTCTTTCAGGTAACAATGAGGGTTTAGTGTGCACCAGACCAAGTCAAGGGCTTTGTGTGCATTATTTCAATGAATCCTAGCTACAGTTTTGAGATTGCTAGTAATATGTCCTTTATGCAAATAAAAAAAGTGAAGCGCACTTTTCCTAGGACCGCTTGGCTTGTAAGTGGCAGAGCTAGTGTTTGGCTTTCTCTAGCATCTGAGCTCTTAACAGCTCCACACTGCCTTTTCTAAGTCCTTCAAAATGAAAAACATTTAGTCATCTAAATTTTCCACAAAATGTAGCACAAAATTGTAGATTGTGCTATGCAATCTGCAGATTATGTTAAAACTGAGTAAAATCCACCTAGTTCAGCAGCAAGAACTCTAGCTGAACAGAAAACAGGATCTTTACAACTCCACTGTGTATATGGCAACCTGGGCTATAGTGTAGACAGGGGATATTGTCAGGAATCCTACTCTGACCAGTGGGCTTGCCCACTCCAGATTTAAGGAGTCAAAGGAAATAGCTCTCATTTACATGATTTTGAGTTTTCTTGAAAAGCAAAAGACAATTAGTATTTTAAAGGGCCACAAATTACAGGAATAACCAAAATGCAGTTTCTAGCATTCTAGAGGCCAAAGAAAAGCAGAAAAATAGAGTAGTTTCTCTCAGGAGCCAGAGTTATTGGAAATACATTTGACAACAAGAATTTAAAGACTATTACAGAAACATATGGCATAAAACATCATATCCCATTCAAGGGATCTAAGGTTTCAAATAAAGAAGTTAAATCCTCTCTATAACACAAAATATTTCTGTAGGTGGCCTAAAAGAACAAAATATGATCATATTACTATTTCCTTCCAGTCCTGCAAACTACCATAGCTCTGTTGAATACTACTATGCCAAGTAATTGTGGACAAGATTCGGAGAACTGGTTCTCAGTTTCTCCACAAGTCACTGAAAACCATGACATGATTATTAGAAATCCAGGAAAGAACAATACTGATGCTTATAAAAGAGAAAATGTAATGAATAAAAGACCAAGCCAGATTATTAAGGCAGTGAAACTACTGTTTATGGTATTTTAATGGTAAGTACACATCACTGTACATTTGTCCAAACTCACAGAATGTATGACAAACACCAAGAGTGAACCCTAATGTAAACCATGGACTTTGAGTGATAATGAGGTATGAATGGTTCATCAATTGTAATAAACGTACCACTCTGGTGCCAAATGTTGATGGTGAGGGTGGCTATGCATGGCTGGCAGGGGGTAGGGAGGATATGGGAACTCTGTATTGTCTGCTTAATTTTGCTGTGAACCTAAAACTTCTCAGAAAAAAAAAAAAAAGTCTTTAAAAGAAGATGACTAGCCCGGGGTCACATGACAGAGGCTGGGAGACCCGTAGAGGTCCATAGGCAGCATCTTAAAGAAACAGAGGATGAGTAAACCAAATTCCACAGCTCTACCCTGCTACGTTCCAGTCATTTGCTCCATTATGCCAAATAGCCACAGAATATTTACAACCCTCTCCTCCTTGTACTCTTCATGTTGTTTGCACAGAGTTGTCTACTTTTAAAAACGTATTGTATCTATTTTATTCAATTTACTTATTTTTTAATTAATTTATTTTTGTAGAGATAGGGTCTCACTCTATTGCCCAGACTGGAGTGCACTGGTGCCATCATAGCTTACTGCAGTCTCAAACTCAAGCTCAAGTGATCCTCCTGCCTCAGCCTCTCAAAGTGTTAGGATTACAGGCATGAGCCACAGGGTCTGGCCTTAGTGTGCCTATTTTAAAAGGAAATACTCACAAAGTAATGAGTTAGTAAAATCCATTATTGAACATTTTAGTTGCAAAATTAACAGTTACTGATGCTCACTGTACAAAAAATTGGTCTATAATATTTCCTTTTTGCAGCAAAGTTTAGCATAGATAGCAGTAATTTTAGCACTTATAAAAAGTATTCAAAGCTGTGTGAAGGGTACATGAAGGATCATTACATTATTATCTACTTCTGTACCTGTTTGAAATTCTCTTTGATATGAAGGTTTTCTTTTAAAAAAACTGAAATATAAAACCTGCTTAATGTACCAATAACTCTACATAAGGTAATTTAATTGCTATCAGATTATGTTATTATAGTCATAGAAAAATATTCTGTATTCTATAGCACCATCATCTGAAAACATAGCATAGTATTTAAGGATCTGAGTTCAGGAATCAGACTGCCAAGGTGCATTCCACATACTTCACTTCTTAGCTGTTATAACCTTGGAAAAGTTATTTTGCTTAAGCTCCAATTTCCGCACCCAGAAAGGGAATAACATCACCATAAAGCCAGTATGAGAATTAAATGACATAAAATGTGTGTAAAGTCACAGCACAATGTCTGCCTTATAATAGGTGTTCAATAAATGTAAGCTACTATTAATATTGCAAGGTTCTCATAGATATTATTCCTCTAAAATTAAAAAAAGTAGTAAAGCCAATAAAGAGCTCTAATCTATAGATGGGGAATGAGCTCAGAGAGTCACAATTCAGAAATTAAAAAACATTTCCCCATTCTAGTGTATTCCTAAATTATTCCTAATTATTATGAAGGAATATATGTATTCCTTCATATTAGAATATATTCCAATAAATTAGAATATATTCCAATAAATTAGAATTTAAAATTTATGAAGAATTTACAAAAATAAAAGAAACTGTAAAATCCTTGCATAGTCTTTTAATACCAGTTAAATAATCCAAAGAAAGTTTTGCCATTGACTCACTCAATCAGTTGTCAAGTTGACTTTGGCTATTACTTCTCACCAGGCCTTCTGGTGGCACCTCCTCTGTGGCCTGTCTCACACTTAGCCAAAGATATGTGGCTTATTTGGATTCTCTCATAGTCTCCCCTGCATAGATACATGGAGAACTTAGCAAGGCCCTCCAAGGCTATCATTTCTCAGATCTCCCTGTTAACTTCCAGGCTTGTCTACGAGTCCATTGTTTGCCGCAACCAAGACTGTAACTTCAGACTACCTGAACAGCTAGTCTTTTCCTTTCATTTGCCACAAAGATCACTATTTCTACTGACAACACCACTGGGTGTGAAGTTTTTCCACACTGTGCGCCAAACCGAATGATCCCCCTTTGGCAGGGAAGCTGCTGGTTTTCATATTCAGCAGTGCTCTCATAAACTTCTCAACAGATCCACCTTGGGAATGGGGTACAGAAGACATGGATAGGAGAAGCCCCAGATAAGAATACCATAGACTCCCACTGCTCCTACTAACTTACATTCAGCATTTTTTTGTGAATAATTGCTTCTCAATTTGTTGTATGCCTTTGGTGAATTTCAAGAGCCCTGAAATGGTTGTTTTTCACAATATTGTCCAGTTTTGTTATTGTATAATATTTTATTAGAAAAAAATTAAAACATGCAATGTTTTACCACAAAGGTAAATAGTAAGACATGTTCTAAATTGTCTAACTGGTAGCCATTATTATTAGTATTTTGTTTTATAGACAACAATTATATGCAAAATAAAATGTTCATCCAATCTCAATGCAATATTGGCCCTTGTCTAGACACTGTTTTTATGAGGAGTTACATTATCTAATATTTAAATTATTCAAGTTCCTTAAAATGTAAGGATTCCAAAAGCTGGTACTAAACAATAATTCATTATTTAGAAACTCCTTTATCTCAAAAATATGTCTTTTCTGACAGATCATTAGGACTACTGTTTTTAAAAAAACAGGATGCTAGACATGTACTGTTAGAGTGTATGATGATTGGATAAAATTAAATATCTCTGTGAACATAATTATAAGGAACCAGGTTGAGACTTGAAAAATAAATATATTTGACTGCAGAACCCAGAGTTATAAAAAATATTTGTACTCTGCTGGAGATGCTCTCTCTTAGACAAAATTGTCAAAAAGGAACTTCACTGGGATTAAGTGCAAGCCTGTGTATGCACATTCAGGATGCACTAAACTGTAGTTCAGCCAATCCTTTTATTTTCCAATCCATTGTTCACCCTAATCACAGTCAAACTAATCACAAGATGAATCCATAAAATAATTAAAACAACCTAAATTAATGAATCATTTATACTTAGTCTCATTCATTTTGAACATCTGACATAATTACAACTTACAGCTTTTTCTTTGTATTAGAGTAGATAGCTGTTAGAACTTAAGCAAAATTCACTGAAAGGAACTGGAAGATGCAATAAGTGTGATGTCATGAACTGTTTTCATGTAATTTTTCTGATCTTTGAATAAAGTAACATAATTAATGAATGTGTTCACATAATGATCTGCCAACAATTTGAATGGTCTTAATAAGGTGACAACCTGCAAGAAAAAGTAAAAGAGGTTACACAACTCCTCACTGCTCTGGAAGGAAGTCCAGAAAGGTGCCAGAATTGCAATAACTTCATGGGAACCAAACAAAATAAGTAATGATTTTTAAGGCTGAAATTGAACCCTACATTCTCAATATAGTAAAATTGGTATTTAAGTGTTTTCTTTTTTTCAGATAAACATATTGCAAGTTTCAAAATGAGTGAACAGAAAGATGCAGAGCCATGGAGAAAATATTCTTTCATGAAGAAAGAAAAATCCAGCACATTACAATGACGCCCTCTGCTGTGATTTTTGATACTACACCAAATAACCTCATTTCCAATAGTGTCTCACTGTCTTTGCAGTGCCAATACTTCCAAAAAGCTTTGAGGAAAAAATGACTTAAATCCTTCTATAAAGTTAGTCATCTCCAGGATCTTTTAAAATTGAAGTGATTGATTCTGGGTAATGTTATTCTGAACATAGTGTTTGAGCCACATAAATGTCAGTAAATCCCTTAGTGACAGCATTATTTATTTAAGAACATATTTTGATTTATTTTGTATTCTATTTAAATAGTTCCAAAAGGAGATTATATTCATGCCAAATGGTTTCTGTAATGACAACTGCCGACCCAATTTGATAGCCAAAAATTTTTTTTTTTAACTAAGAAATTTTTGTGTCTCAAATGACCATTCTACTAAAGTGTCTCCATTTCCTGGGAAAAGATACCAAGAAGCCCAGAAAATTAACCCCAAAATTCATATGAGACTAAAACCAATGCCATTTGAGTATCATTTCTTAATTGCCAAAAGCAGACACGGACTTACAGGGAAGTGAATAAAGCCTCCTTTGCAAGGTCCCTTCTAAGTGTTAGGAGTGGACAGGAGTTGTGAAGTATTTCAGGTGGGGAGGAGAAGTCAGATTGCAATGTGGAAGCATTTCTATGTAAGAATTTCTGGTCAATTGCATCAAGATAGCTTAGGGGATAAAAAAAAAGACTTGACCCTCTAACACTCAGGTAAATTGCAATGATTTCTTTTCCTAAGTTAAATATTTCATGCCTGTTTGTTGTTGTTCTTGTTGTTGTTGTTGTTGTTGTTTTCTTAAAGAGGGCCACAAAAAAAATTGTATAAAGTTCAGGACTGACAAAACCCGAATTGGCTGTTAAACAGTACAATACTACCCAGTACAATCCTGCCCAGAATACGTTATTTTACTTTTACTGGGGTCATCTTATATTAATAGAAATTATTTTAGAGGCAATTTTGAAATCAAGGCTAAATCATAGCTTTAAAATGCATTGGTAAAATACTTTATACAATTAAAGAAAAGAAACAGAACTAATATATTCCCAACAGTGAAGCCACCCAGCGTTCAGGAGCCTCTGGCTGTTGATGTCTATGTAGGGGTTAAAAGTACTGGCTTTGGAGGCAGGCTATCCTGGATTTCCATTCTGAATCCATCATTACCTACCTATGCCACCTTTGGTGAGTCACTCATGCCTGCAAATAGGAGGCATTCAATAACTATTTGTTGAATGAATGAATAAATAAAGAATGCATCAACCCCACACACTGTCCACAAAACTTTATGAAATACAGTAGTTCAATTTACTTCCATTTTAAAAACTATTTGTTGCACATCTTTTATGGAAAAATTTTGGACAAAAGGGTAGGAGGGGATGCAAGAGTTTAAGCAAAGTGTTGTTTGGGTTTAAAAAGAGTATTTATATTTGGTTGAGGAGATTGGAAAAGGTTTCATGGAGCAAACAGCATTTAAGGAAGAGCCCTGAGATTATTAGGATTAGACCTGGGCGATGGGAAAGATAAAGCAGGCTGGAAGCATTTCAGGCTGAGGAAACAACACCATAAGCCAAGACCCAAAGATGAAAAAATGCAGGGAGTATGTGTTCGGGGAAAAATCCGCAGTCCCACCGGCTTGTGGTAAGAGAATTCATGGGAGACTGGATTGGAAGCTATTCAGGGTCATATCATCACTTCAGTTACTGATCCTCCCCATTCTGGAGATGCTCACAACTTCCCTGTAAGTGAAGGTTCACCCAACCACCATTATAAGTTACACTTGACCTTCTTTATAGACAGTGCCTTTATTTAACTGGTACAAAAAAGTATGGGACTTAGTAAACAATAAATAAACTATAATTAAACTATTCTAGTTCCAGAATTGAAAGGGGATTTTTTGATTCAAGCTTTTGTCCATGTATGGGTTATCTGTAACTTTTTTGAATAGTGACTTCTCTCACATAGAGATTATTTGAATTTCAAGGTTCGTGTTGAAGCCATTGACTGGAAGACTGAACGGGAAGGAAGCATAATGGGCAGTGGGTTAACAACATAAATTTTATTCTTGGTTATTAGAAAGGAAATTGTTCTCCAGGCAAATTTCAACAAAGTTGGATGAGTAAATGAAAGAAATGCCATTCTAGTTGGTACGGTATAAAAAGTAACTACCTTGGGTCAGAATTCAGTTTCAAATTGGCCTCTGACACTTGTCTGTAGTGTGGTCTTGGGCAATTCATCTAACCTCTCTATGCCTTGATTTCCACTTGTATAAAATGAGAAGTACAATCATAATAATAAAATATGCCAGCAGTATACTGTATTACTATCCACCTGAGGTAGGAGTATGTATTTTCACCCCACTGTCTTTGGACCTGGCCATGTGATGTGTTTTGCCCAGTGGAATGTAACATTTGCCACTCCTTTTATTATGAGAACAGCATGCTCCTAAGGAGGCTGCTCTTTCAGCCTGCATTCTAGAACAAAGAGGACACAGGAAGCAGAGATGCAGCTGATCTACAGCTTACATAAAACCTGAATGATAAATAAACTTTGTCATTGTAAGCCACTGAGATTTGCGAGTTGTTCCTGCTGCAAAGCCAAGTAATATACTGCGCTACCCACCTCACATATTTGTCTGAAGTGGACTTTAAAAATGTTTTAAAGCACTTTATAATGTTCTATGCCCGTCTATGTCTCAAACCAGCTCCTTCTCTCGCCATAGATTGATGCAGGTCAGAAAAGTTAACAGCACTAACTTATGTGAGACAGTAAAGTGAGAATACCTGCTTTCAAAGCTGCACCT
The DNA here is from genome assembly GCF_000001405.40 of Homo sapiens. Taxonomy (NCBI): domain Eukaryota; kingdom Metazoa; phylum Chordata; class Mammalia; order Primates; family Hominidae; genus Homo; species Homo sapiens. The sequence continues at coordinate 37,106,466 of NC_000013.11, read as the reverse complement.
CTCTCTCCTGCCTTTCTGCCATTGGCCCCCAAATTCGTTGCTACTGCCCCGTTAGGATTATACTCAGTTCCTATCCCATCTCCTCATAAAACAAAATAATCGCACGGGTTTTGTTATTTGTGATGTGAACTTTCATAAAAATATTGAAATGGTACCGCTTTTTCTGCTAGTGCTGGCCCCAGTTCTTCTGAGAAAATGCTCAGAACTGCCGGCTTCTGTTTCTTCTCCATATTTTGGTTAAATTTTACTTGAATCCTTCATTTAGTCAGTTTTGCCAGAACGTCTCTGTGGAATCCTATTTAAATTCAAAGCACTCTATGAAAAAATTTCAAAAGGATCGCTTTAAAAAAAAAAAAAAAGACATTTCAATTTAACTAGCAGTAAGTAACTCTTGTTGACTAAACTCATTAAAGAAGCAACCACTGAGATCACACAGAAAAACCTCAAGAGGTGGCACCCCGACTCGCATTAACCCAGGGAGACATGATGGCTAAGGAAGTAGATGGGACAATGACTGGGCCCGAAAACAAGAAAATCTTTGTTATAAAAGCCTCCCATTTCTGCACGATTAAGTTGAAAGAAGGTGAGCTTCGAGTTAAGCCTAGGCAGTTTTGAATTCCAGCTCGCCCACAATCTCTTGCAACCTTAGGCCGCTTACCTGAGACTCAGCCTTTCTTACCCAACAAATCAGGGAAAATAATAGCTACCTTACAAGACTAGCAAGTTTGTCTTAAATGGAGTGAGATGAGTGGAACACCTAACAGAGGTCTCAGACAATAACAGCTTCTCCAAAAATTCTCGATTTGTGGTTGGCTGAGGTGGAGGAACAAAATGGCGGCGCCGGCGGCGTGACCGGGCCCTCTGGCCCACAGCCGTTGGTAGCGGTGGCAGCAGTACTGCTGCCCCAACTCGCTGTGCCCCCTTTCTCAGCCCACGACATCGCCACGACAGCGAGGCAGCGACCGCCACCGAGAAAGAGGTGGTGGCCCAGCCTGGAACCTTGAGAAACCCTCGCAAACTGTGGCCTGGCGGAAATCCTGGTGTGCTGCAGGGATCAGGCTGACTCCACGCCCTGTAACACCGGGAAACGCCTCGGTGGCCATTTCCAGCAGCCCTCATCCTCAGCCTTGCGGGCCGGTGGGCCCCGGAGGCCTCCATCCTCCCCTAGAGGGGTCAGGGCTGAGCCCAGCCTCCATCTTTGCCTCTCAGGATGACAAACAACAGCGGCTCCAAAGCCGAACTCGTTGTGGGAGGGAAATACAAACTGGTGCGGAAGATCGGGTCTGGCTCCTTTGGAGACGTTTATCTGGGCATCACCACCACCAACGGCGAGGACGTAGCAGTGAAGCTGGAATCTCAGAAGGTCAAGCACCCCCAGTTGCTGTATGAGAGCAAACTCTACACGATTCTTCAAGGTGGGGTTGGCATCCCCCACATGCACTGGTATGGTCAGGAAAAAGACAACAATGTGCTAGTCATGGACCTTCTGGGACCCAGCCTCGAAGACCTCTTTAATTTCTGTTCAAGAAGGTTCACCATGAAAACTGTACTTATGTTAGCCGACCAGATGATCAGCAGAATTGAATACGTGCATACAAAGAATTTTCTACACCGAGACATTAAACCAGATAACTTCCTGATGGGTACTGGGCGTCACTGTAATAAGTTGTTCCTTATTGATTTTGGTTTGGCCAAAAAGTACAGAGACAACAGGACCAGGCAACACATACCGTACAGAGAAGATAAACACCTCATTGGCACTGTCCGATATGCCAGCATCAATGCACATCTTGGTATTGAGCAGAGCCGCCGAGATGACATGGAATCCTTAGGCTACGTTTTCATGTATTTTAATAGAACCAGCCTGCCGTGGCAAGGACTAAGGGCTATGACAAAAAAACAAAAATATGAAAAGATTAGTGAGAAGAAGATGTCCACCCCTGTTGAAGTTTTATGTAAGGGGTTTCCTGCAGAATTCGCCATGTACTTGAACTACTGTCGTGGGCTGCGCTTTGAGGAAGTCCCAGATTACATGTATCTGAGGCAGCTATTCCGCATTCTTTTCAGGACCCTGAACCACCAATATGACTACACATTTGATTGGACGATGTTAAAGCAGAAAGCAGCACAGCAGGCAGCCTCTTCCAGTGGGCAGGGTCAGCAGGCCCAAACCCAGACAGGCAAGCAAACTGAAAAAAACAAGAATAATGTGAAAGATAACTAAGCGTGAATGAGGAACAGAAGAAGCAGAGCAGATGATTCGAGCAGCATTTGTTTCTCCCCACATCTAGAAATTGTAGTTCATATGTACACCAGCTAGTGGCTGTGAACAACCATTTAGTTGGTGTAAAAAACTTTATTTCAATATAAACTGACTCTGGGGAGCGTTGGTGATGCTGTATCCCAAAGTGTAGCCTCTGTAATTGTGAATATTAACTGAGGTAGTGAAACGTGGTGTCTGGTTTTCTATTGCATTTATTCAAGTAGAAAAGTTAACTAAATGGTTGACACACACGAATTGGTGGAGACATTGTCCATATGCCAATTTTTTGTTAAAACCTTTTATTTTGAACTAGACTGCTTTGAGATATCATTTCAGAAGGACAGTATTCAGCCACAGCTGCAAAGGTTGTAAATGCTTATGATTGAGCATTTTTAGGGTTTCTCCATCCCTGGGGTTTGCAAATTGTTCACATAAAGAGCATTCTTAAAATGGTTGGCTTCTTGTCTGTAAGCCAGCTGATCTAGTAGTAACCAAAAATTCCAGTTTTGAGAATAGGAAAGATTCCGCCTGCTTACCTGTGAAGACATAAGAAAATCTTAGTAACTACCAGATTATCTTTAGAATTCCACATTAACTATATCATGTTCTCGGTATTTTAAAAACAACAACAACCATATTTGTCACAGAAATTTAGTTAACATCTTACAACTGAACATGTATGTACATGGCTTAGATAAATGTAATCACCGTAAACACCCATATGATCTGGGATTTTGTTCATATTTTGAAATGGGAGCTTTTATGTTTTACAAGTTCACTAAAATCTGAAAACTGTTTCTATAAGGAAATAATACTTTTTTAAACAACAACCAAAAAATGCCTTGCTGATTCACTAGGAAATAAAAATCTCCCCAATTTTTTGATAGTCAACTTCGAGCCATTTGTTACATGATATTCCCTTGCAAGTAAATTTTATTTCATTATATAACTTTTTTCAATGTTTTTATTCTAAAATAATCGTTTTGTATGAAGGGGAAATGTATTCTTTCATTTTTCTTTTTCTAATGACTTGTGGTAAAATATCTAGTACTGCACCTGCCAAAACTTGGTATTGTTACTTCTTCCACTGACTAATAGCTGGGCTGATTTCAAATAAGAATGCAAGCATTGAAGGGTTTGACTACAAAACATTGTTGTTTAAAATACTTGTGAAATGGCTATAAGCAGTTGACTTTTACCCTTGGAGAGCACACTGTGAGGTTCTGTGATCATTGACCCTCCCTAACCCCCGTCTGCTTCTCTGAATTATCTGTGTGTGCGTGCTCTTCCTCTCAATCTTTTTGCACGTTCTTTTCTTTTTCTCTGATGCAAGATAAAGGAAAACTCATTTTCCTTTTAATTCTTTAAATCGTGTAATTTATTCACTTATAGCATGTCAGGATAAATTAAAAGAACATTTGTCTGAAAATGCTGCCAGGAGCCTATTGTGTAAATGTAGGCATTTTGTAAAATAACCTTGAAATTGTAAATTGCCACGTTTGGTCAGATTGTGTCAGGTTTCATTTATTTTTTTCTCTTTTTCATTTGAAAACTACTTCAGCAATAATTAATTCCATGATTACCACATTCTGCCATTAAGGGATATATTAGTACTATAATGCTGAAGAAATCTTAACAAATCCAAATGTTGGGGGTAGGAAGCTTCTTTGTTTCTTTCTATCCACCCTTGTTAGTTAAGGTATTCGTTTCTTAGCTATTAAGCCCTTTCCAGAAATCAGTCTCATAAAGCTATTTTTGAGTATAGTTTATGTAAAAGAAAAATATTTAGCTTTGGTAGTAACTTTTCCAACCTGACCTCCCTCTAGCAAGATATTTTTCAGTGTTTTTATTCAGTATGCACTTATTCTGAAATATTTTTGCATTCTTGCCATTTGAAAAGGTTGTGGCATAGTTGGTCTATAATGAAGTTGCAGATTTAAAACTACTGTTAGCTTTGTAAAACAAAATATAGGTGTTTTTGTCCTAGTATATCATTATTCCATTTTTCTTCTAGATACCATTCATTGTCTTCACAGTTCACAAAAGAAGAATGTGAAATTCAGTGAATGCTGTTACTAGTCATGCCAAGAGATGAATCTCATTTCACAAAAATTAAATTATGTTTTTCCACTAAAAGGTGATATAAGTTGAAGACACGTCACTGTGATATTGGGAGACCTCACCACTTAAGGCTCCACAGTGGCTTACTCAGCTGAATTCTGAGTTACTGCTCTTTACTTTGTTCACCCATTGGAGAGTGCAGTTTTTTTAAATGTTGGGAGATGGCCATTCTAACTACTGTTCAATGTCTCTGTTTTGGGGAGGGTAAAACAAGAAAATAAAAAAAAAAAAAGAGTATACGTGTCCGGGCACAGTGGCTCATGCCTGTAATCCCAGCACTTTGGGAGGCTGAGGCGGATGGATCAACTGAAGTCAGGAGTTTGAGACAAGCCTGGGCAACATGGTGAAACCTCATCTCTACTAAAAAATACAAAAAGTAGCCAGGCATGGTGGTGGACACCTTGTAGTCCCAGCTACCCAGGAGGCTGAGGCAGGAGAATCGCTTGAACCCGGGAGACAAAGGTTGCAGTGAGCCGAGATTGCACAACTGCACTCCAGCCTGAGTGACAGAGCAAGACTGTCTGAAAAAAAAAAAAGAGTAGACGTGAAGGGAGACACTAGTTATCTCCTACCATATGGATGTGCTTATGCTTTGATGGTCTACAAATAGATATTTAGAGGTTTACCTTTACTATGATTTTTCCACCAACAAATATTTTTATTAAGAAATTTTCCTACTTCTGCTAATACTCACAAAGATTTATTAATGTTTCAAGCAGAGCACACTGAAATAATTATAAATTTAATTCCATTATAATAAAAATATCAAAAGAATTTTTTAAAAAATCTTCTTGGATTCTTTGTCATTAACCTTCTTACATTGGGAACTTACTGTAGAGTAACAAAAGGAACTATATTCTGCCACATGAAGACAATAACATTTTATATTTTAAAGCCAAAAGCTTAAAAGAAACAGCATGCACACATTTATATGTATGTACTTTTTTCCTTAACATATTTATAGCTCCTCATAGGTCACACACATTAAAAAGTAGCACACATCTGAAATGTGCAGAAGTAAGATCACACATTTTCCAAATAAAGTACATCATCAGTTCTGTATTTCTCTGTCCTCCAACTTTAAAATCCCTAGGAACTACAAAAAGAGGGAGAGAGAAAGAGAGCCCCCCACCTATCAAGAGGTCATATTGAATGATTCCAAGCAATAGTAGAAACCTGTACTGAATCCAAGTTTTTAACTGCCAAGTTTTAACTCCTGGCTGCAGTTCCCAACATATGACATAATTTAGAAACTTGGTTTAGGCACAGGAGAATCATAGGACTTAAAAACACTATGTCCCTCAGCATGTAAAATATTTATGGAAAATCCAGGCAAGTAATAAGTTGTAAAGAAACTAAAAGGAAAAAATTTTGAAAAATGGCAGCTATAGCTTTTTAAATCAAAAAGGGAAAAGAAGAAAGGATGGCCATTTTATTAATGTGTAAGTTGAGTGGATCCTCTTCGGGTCCTTCACAGCCTTTCTATTTTTCCTCCATCTTCTAACATCCATGATTCCTTAGGGCCATTATGAGACCCACCAGGAGGATGGAGCAGCTGAGGATGGTGCTACTTTTCCAATCAGAGATGATCACAGAAGTTTAGAAATAAGCGTTTTCACCCCAATCCAGCAATACCAGCACCACCACCCACAATGCATACAGACTTGCTCACATATACCCTGAAAAAAACTTCCAAGGCTTCCCACTGCATCTATTTGAATCTATCTTAATGGTCTAAGGTTTGACTCAGAAATTATAGATGAAATTAAGTTTTACCTACAAATCTCATCTTTACCTCTAAAATCTCATCTGGTCAATGTTTGTTATCCCTGTTACAGAAACAGAAGAGTGATAAACACAGAAAAAAAGTCACCAAATTATACAAAATGATTTTCATCTGTTCATATTGATGTTTAACCTTAGACATATTCTGATACCCAAGCACCCATCTGTGCATGGCTGTTGTTCTCCATGCTTAAGAGGCCATAGTTATGTTTCAGTACAGTTCATTCACATCTTCAGTTATTCATTTGTTTAGCACCTACTATAGGCCAAATATTGTTCTAGTTGCTGGGGCTGTATCACTGAATAAAATAGGTGAAAATCCCTACTGTCATGAAATTTACATTCTAGTGGGGGCAACCAATAAATGAAATAACTAAAATTACTCAGAAGATAACTGCTATGAAGAAAAATAACAGTGGAGGGAATAAGGAGTGTTGTGCCCAGCTAAAAACAAGGCAGTCAAAGAATCCCTCACTTAGAAAATGCCACTGAAGGAGCTTCTATAGCTGAACATGTGGAGGCTCCTGGAGGGTGGAAGCTCCATGCCCCTTCTCCCACACATCACCCTATGCATCTTTTCATGTGTATCCTTTGTGATAAGCCAGTATAAAGGTTTCATTGGGTATGCCTGCTATAATCTCTGTAATCTCATTGTCATACAATTAATTATTATTGTGGAATAAATTTTCCTTAAATGGAAACATTTGCACCACCTAGAGCTAATGACGCTGGAAAAGATGAAACTGACATATCTGTAGGGCCGGGCCTCACTTTCAGATCCCTGTTTACTCCCGCAAAGCCTCTGTCTTTGAGTCTGTAATGAGCATGTTCATTTCTGCCACTTTGAGAGATGTGCGGCTATAGGAAGCTGTGTTAGGTGTAGTCACGAGATCTGCTAGTCTGCAACACAGTGCCAGTGTATGACAGCCAGTGCACCATCATCTACCCCTGGGTATGGCTGCAAATGAGAAGAGGTCTTTTAAGGTGACCTCCCACACGCACAAACAACTACTCTTTGCCACCACCTTCCAACAGCGGGTTCAACTGGTTGTACAAGCACACTGACAACAAGATTGTTTTTTAGACTGTGTCACCTACTCAGGAGGTTTATAACCGCCTCTGAGTTGTTTAATGAGAGCTGATAACTGAAGGGAATAAGAATGTTGAACTTTATTAGAGGCCTGTCCTCCTGGAAAGCAGTAGTGGTTGAGAAATTCCCCACCCTTTATGTTCTGGGACATGACTAACTGCAAAGGACCACCGTGTGCTTGTAGATAGGACTCACTTCTACCCTTTGTCCTGACTCCCATATTCCTCTACCTCTGTAAAGTTGTAGGCCCCTTTCTCTTTTTTGAGATGTTCCTTATTTATGAACCTTCTCCCTATTGCAGTAATCTGAATAAAGTCATCTCCTTTAAAATAAAATGCTATTTGAGCAAAGACATGGAGTTGAGAGAGCACTTCAGCAAGGGCAAAGGCTCTGAAACAGGAACACACCTGGAGTATTTGAAAAATGGCAAGAGGACCAGCAAGGCTAAAGGAGGGAGAAGTAGGAGATGAAGTCAGAGGTGAAGGAGAGGAGACTTGGATTTTACCATAAATGACATGAATGAGATGATGGAAGCAGAAATGATGGAAACAGAGGTGATGGAAACTCTACCTCAATCATCTAGGTTCCCAGGTGCTTGTGGTTAGGACCAAGCTGGGGAAGGACAAGAAGTTGTTGAATTCTAGGTATATTTGAAAGGGAGAGTTAATAGGTTTTGTAAATATATATATGAAAAAACAAAAGGAGCCAAAGACGACTTCTTGATGTTTGGGCTGATTAACTGGAAGGAAGAAGTTACCATAAACTGAGATGGGGTAACAGTCTGTTTTGAGCAAGACAAAATGAGGAGTTCAGTTTTGCTCACGTTGAATTTCAGATGCTTATGAGATGTAGATGCCTCAATGAGGGATTGGGGGTATGCCTAACAGGCAGTGGCTGGAATTTGGCTGGCTTCTCCACCTTATCTACCTCCAACAGGTCCTTTCACGGTCCCCTTAGCCCTTCAGCCTACACTAAATTATTCCCCTTTCCTCGCTTGGGGGATTGAAATATCACAGATCCTTTCATTGCGGATTCCACCTCTGATTCAAGATGTCCCCCTGCTTTGCTTGGGTAGCTACTCAGCAATACTGTGAAAGCTAAAGTAAAAGGGGCAAGCAGAAAATTTTTAAAGGGACCGAAGTATCCTGGAAATAAGTTGGAATTCTTAAATTACATACAAAGAAGTTCTTGAAGTAAGTAAATTGGAAAAGCATCTGGGACTGAAACCTTGCCATCATTAAGACCACTATTTACTGTGAGAAATTTGCATAATTACTGTTTTATAACATCAGCCTGTTCCCTGTGTTTATGTTTATTATTAAACTAATACATTTCAGCTGCTATATCTTGTGGTTTACAAATCATCAGGAGCTTGGGACATTCGTGGTCATGTGAAGAACAAAAAAGATGTCATTCTCCGAATTACAAAACAGTCTTATCGGGAACAAACATAAACATGATGGGCAAAAAAGCAAGGCACTAAATGACCTTGCTTACAGACCTGTGAAGTTTCTACTAGGGCCCAATAAGGAGCAAAGGAAGAACACTCTGTTCTAAATTAGACAACAGTTCTAGTATATGTGTAGGTAAAGATGTGTTCTAATGTTCTGCACTTAAAGACACACTGTGAATCCTGCCTGCCAGTAGTGTACATTCAAAAAAAAGAGGAGCAAAAATACGTATGTGTTGGTGGAATTCTCGACCATTATCATTTCATTTCAAGATGAGCGGAAAAACTACCTGCCCCCATACCTTTCAACGCTCCTTGATAAGTGATAGGGAGCTACTTCTTTTCAGTTTCATGTAGGTTCCTGCAAGTCATTTGCTCCATTATTTGAAGAAACTTTCATTTGAACAAGATTACCCACTCTTTCCGTTGTGCAGTTACACCACTTAAGGCAGAACTAGTCACAGAATAATGCATGCAGTTTTTATAAGTCTTATGTCTGAAAATGCAAATTTTGGAATCTGGACAATTTGTTGCAGATTCCCAGACGATTATTATCTTCAGACAAACTGACTATTTGTGGTCAATGAGTTCATGTTTTATGTCCTTCAAAACGAATGAAAATTACTATCACTCTTTGAATGGCCCTAGAGTAGGGGAGAGGGGCTAAGTTCAGTCTCTGAGGTCAGAGCTCCATTCCAGGCCCAACTCTGCTTCTTTGAGCAGGGTTGACTTTGGCCACAGTTTCATTTCTGTAAACTGAGGTCAGCAATAGGACCTACCAATTATCTGTTGTGTAGATCAAATGATAAATGACACTCTGCATTGTGAATGGCAAACAATAAATGCTCATTAAAAAGTTTCACCCCAGGCCATGCAGGGTGGCTCACGCCTGTAACCCCAGCACTTTGGGAAGCCAAGGTGGACAGATCACTTGAGGTCAGGAGTTCAAATCCAGCCTGGACAACATGGCGAAACCGCATCTGTACTAAAAATACAAAAATTAGCCAGGCATGGTGGGGCATGCCTGTAATCCCAGTTACTCGAGAGGCTGAGGCAGGAGAATTGCTTGAACCCAGGAGGTGGAGGCTGCAGTAAGCTGAGATGGTGCCACTGCACTCCAGCCTGGGCTACAGAGCGAGACTCCATCTCAAAAAAATAAAAAGTTCACTCCTGATATGTGTGGAGCCTGGAGCAAGAATACAAATGAAGACTCATACAGCATAGATTTAAATATTTGAAAGGTAAAAAATCAAGTCAAACCATCAACTAAAATAGGTTCTATTTATTATTGTATCTATTATATAGCCTCATAATTACCTAGGATCCCTTGCAGTTCCACACCAGAATATGGTAGTTAGGAGGGAAGCAGAACTCTTCTTCTTAAGCAACAATTGCCTGTGCTACACTACCAGTGGTACAGACCATACTCAGGAGGATGGAGACTCAAAGGAGGCCCAAAGAGGTCCCAGATACAGCTTGAGAATGTTTGAGCAGAAATCCCAGAGATCTAGGCACCCACATGTCCTTTTGGCCTATGGACTCCTAACCCCACAGAATAAAGGGGTCTAGCAGGCCTCTGAAGCATGGTACCCTGACAAGGACTTCTCTTGACAAGGTCTAGAAGTTGTATGGTTTCTTATTTTTTTGTTTTGTTTTGTTTTGTTTTGTTTTGTTTTTTATTTTATTTTGAGATGAAGTCTCACTCTGTCGCCCAGGCTGGAGTGCAGTGGCCGATTTTGACTCACTGCAACCTCTGCCTCCCCAGTTCAAGTGATACTCCTGCCTCAGCCTCCCAAGTAACTGGGATTACAGGGGCCCACCACCACACCCAGCTAATTTTTTGTATTTTTAGTAGAGACGAGGTTCTGCCACAACTATGGCCTCTTAAGCATGGAGAACAACAGCCATGCACAGTCCTGGCCTCAAATGATCCACCCACCTCAGCCTCCCAAAGTGCTGGGATTACAGGTGTGAGGCACTGTGCCCAGCCTAGAAGTTGTATGTATTATTTTAAATGAATAAATTATTATTATCTGTTATAGAGTAATAAATTTGTTTTTAAAGCTCAAACAAAATAATCTGATAATATGAGATTGAATAAAAAGGGTCGGGCCTAGTGGCTCATGCCTGCAATCCCAGCACTTTGGGAGGCCAAGGAAGGCAGATCACTTGAAGTCAGGAGTTCAAGACCAACCTGGCCAACATGGTGAAACCCCATCTCCATGAAAAATACAAAAATTAACCAGGCGTGGTGGCACGTGCCTGTAATCCCAGGTACTTGGAAGGCTGAGGCAGGAGAATCACTTGAACCCAGAAGGTGGAGGTTGCAGTGAGCCAAGATCATGCCAGTGCACTCCAGCCTGGGCGACAGAGCGAGACTGCATCTCAAAAAAAAACTCTTCTACCACCCATTTATATTATTCTGTCCAAAACAGAAAGGTCCTCATCATGTTATTTTCAAAATGACTTTTTATATATGGGTTGGTAGGTGTGGATATTAAAATTCACACACCATATATTTATACATGCATATTATGGACTGAATTGTGTTCCCCAAAATTGTATGTTGACTTCTCAACCCCCAATGTGACTGTATTTGGAGATAAGGGACTTTAAAGGAGGTAATGAAGGTTCAATGAGGTTATAAGAGCAGGACTTTAATTAAGTATAACTAGTGTCTTTACAAAAAGAGGAAGAGACACCACGATGTGCACACAGAGAAAAGGCCATGTGAGGACGTAGCAAGAAGGCAGCCATCTGCGAGCCTCCAGAGAGGCCTCGAAAAACCAAACCTGCAGACAACTTGATCTTGGACTTCCAGCCTACAGAACTGTGAGAAAATAAAGCCTGTTGTTTAAACAACACAGACTGTGGTATTTTGTTGTGGCAGCCATAGTGAACTAATACACTTATTCTCACAGAAATCTGTGAAACCATTAGCTAGTTTCATTTTGTAGGTAAGAAAATTATCATTGAGATATTTTTGTTATTATAATTTATAAGAATCATTGTCTCTGCTTTCCAGAAAATCTGAGAACATTATCCTCTTAGAGGCAAAAAAAAAAAAAAAAAAGCAATTCAGTTCTATATCTCCCCCAAGATTCCTTATGAAGAAGGTGACCTAGAATTTATCCTCCAAACTGGAACACTTTTGAGAGTGAAAGGGGGTACTGTTAATAATTATGTTAGTATAAAGTTAAAAGTTGGTACTAGTCCACAGCTAGAACAATTGGTCACTATACTTAACAGAGTTTGTTTATTTTATTTATTTTTAGTAAACATTCATTGACAGGATACTAAGCACTAAAGTTACATAAATGAAAACCATGATCTCTGCACCCAAGGAACTCATAATCTATTTAGCAAAAACAGAAAGAATCTGTGTATGTTTTAATGACAACACTGTCATGAGCTCCATAGATACATATCCCAGGAGAAACAAGCTCAGATGAAGCACTAAATCAAGCTTTGAAATGCAGGGGAGAGGAAGGGTCAGGAAACGAAGCCTCGAGGAGCCAGCATTTGAGCAGAAAATACTGAGCCATGGGCTACGTGGCATTTAAGAGCTGAGTATTATAAACAGAGAAAAGTGCAAGTGTAACAGCAAAGTGGTGTATGAGAAAATATGATCCCCAAGTTCACAATCTCAATATAGTAAGCAATCAAGGGTTTAACAGGACCAAAATTACAAGCATTAATAAGGCTACATAGACTGATAAGGCTAAAGCCAATTCAGCCCTTTGAGAAACGCAGGGTCTTTTCGGAAATGTCATTAGCTGCCTGTGCTAGAATTAAGTGGCGTTATCTCCTCCCTTCTCGAAAAGCTGACCACCAAGTGGCATGTTACAATGAAAGCAAATCCCCAGTGAATACCTGGCTTTTATTACGGTTCAAAAGGACCGGTTTGTTATATCCTTCCTCTCTAGATTCAGAATCAATCAAGAAATATGAAAAAAGTCAAATAAGAATCTGAATATATCCCTTATTGTTGGAAAGAGTAGACTGGGACCTCATTTGGAAGTGTAAAAATGTGAGACTTGGTATTTTATTTTAAGTATACAATCAGCAAGAAGAAAAATCTAAACTAAGGGCTTGAGATAGTTTCCTATCTAAAGAGAATGCGCAGAGTTTAAATGTAGGTAAGGTCAATTTTAGTAAGATCAATGAAGTCATAGTCATGGGTTAATTATCAAAAGGTTGGTGCGTAAATTCAATTTCCTATGACAAATAAAATGTATAACTTTAGTGAGCTGACACAATTTCCTACAACAAACACTTGAATAAGACTTAAGGTTAACATAGTCTTAATATTATAGGTTATAACCTTGGGAGATTAAAAATAAAACTGTATTTAATCTTCCTTACCTGAAATGAAATAGTAAATACCAGCCTTACACTTTGAATTCTTAAAGCATTTGTGTCAACAATGTTTATTCAGACTCTATAGTTCTTTAATTTTAAACAACTTTGAACTTATCTGCTCAATTCAACAAAATAGCTGGATAATGCCCAGCTGAGAGAGAGAGAGAAAGAACTCTAGCAAACCATAGGCTAGGGTTATATAGTGAACCCTTTGTTCCAATCTCACCAAAAAGTTAAGTCACTCCCCCTCCTGGATATAAGATAGGTTAGAGATGTGGAGAAGGATGAAATATTACTCCTCCCAAATGGGTGCTTCTAAATGGGTGAAAGTGTTGGGGGTGTATGTTCCCATTTTATGACCAGCAGGGACTTGGGAGAGGGAAAAAAATGATTCCCCCAGAGATAAGATTGCTCAGGAAGCATATGAAGAGGAAGAAAAGGAGCCCCATTATGGATTCTTGAAGAAAACAAACAATAAAAGTGTAGTTAGGAAAAATAAAAGCCACCAAAAGAAAAAGGGGTAGCCAGAAAGATAGGAGAAGAAAAAAGGGTGTTGTCTCAGAAGCATCAAGTCAAGTAAATGTCTATTGGAAAGAGTTTCAGCAAGATAAATTGTTCAAGCTTACCAAAGACGACAATCTACAATCATCAAAATAAAGACCACGTGTTATAAGCCCCTGTATGTCAGGAGTATTGCTACATGTGTAGCTCAACCAATCCTCTAAATAGGAGGTATTATTCCCACTTCACGGAGAAGAAAACTGAGATTCAAATGATTCAAATAGTTTAAGCAACTTGACCCGATCACCTCAGACAGAGCTAAACTCATTTCTTTCTGACCACAGAGTATATTATCTTTCTACCATGCTGTGAGGCCTCTGAGAATGTGGGACTTGGCTGATACAGCACACAGGTCTTATGCACCTTGTCAGAGACTCTCAGGGCCAGCAGTAGGCTCTCAGGTGTTCGCCCCTTCCCCTGCAGCCACTCCTGCCACCACAGCCTTCCAACTCCACCGGGATCTCCTATTATCCTGTGCCTGCAGTTGATGAGTTGCTTGTATTAGTACAAACACAGGTAATATTAGTATTTGTATTAGTACTGCACAGATAGTAGCTTTTTTATCTCAGAGTATCTGTGGTCAGCAATCTGGGCTGTTTTCTCTGGCTTTGGGTCACTCATCAGGCTGCATTTAATGTGTCAGTTGGAACTACGTCATACAAGGCTAAACTGAGGAAGAGAGAAAGCTTATGCATATCACTGTTAACAGTATTCAGTTCCTCAGAGCTGTTAGCCAGAGGCCTCTCTTAGCTTCCTGCCACATGGGCTTCCCTGTAGAGCATCCCACAATGTGGCAGGTGGCTTCATCAGAGAAGCCAAAGGAGTATGTGTGCCAATGAGATGAAGTCACAGTCTTTTAAACCTAATCTCAGAAGGGACAGCCCATCACTTTTTCAGTATTGTCTTCATTAGTAGTATATCACTAGAACTAGCCCACACTGAAGAAGGGATCACACAAGGACATAAAGAACAGGAGATGAGGGCTGGGCTTGGTGGCTCATGCCTGTAATCCCAGCACTTTGGGAGGCCGGGGCAGGCAGATCACTTGAAGTCAGGAGTTCCAGACCAGCCTGGCCAACATGGTGAAACCCCGTCTCTACTAAAAATATGAAAATTAGCCTGTCACGGTGACACATGCCTGCAATCCCAGCTGCTCAGGGGGCTGAGGCAGGAGAATTCATTGAATCTGGGAGGCGGAGGTTGCAGTGAGCCGAGACAACAGAGTGAGACTCCATCTCAACAACAACAACAAAAACCCAGGAGGTGGGGACCACTGTGAACCATTTCAGATTTCAGAAGCTGCCTACTCCACCCAGAATCTTGCTTGGCTGTCTCTTCCCACCTTGAAGTTCTGGCTCCTTCTACCATTTCCAGACTTGGAAGAACCACCACAAAGCAAAGCGTAGCATTTTGCTTCCCTGGTAGCTCCTAAAAGTGCTGGCTGATGTTCCTCTGAAGTGAGCAGAGGTTAACTCCCAAGGGGCCAACTCTCACCAGTGGAATGTAAGAGAAAAGAAGGTAAGTTCCCTCTTCTTCCTTTTTCCCATGGTAAGCACAGTGTCTCTGTTCTGCTGCTACAGAGCAAATCAGCCACAAATACAGAGACTGGGATGACTGCCTGGCCCTGCCCCTGCTCAGAGCCCCAACCCTGCCTCCCCACCGCCTTCCCACCTCCACCTGTCTTACCTTGAGCTGACACATCAACACTTCTCCAGCACCTTCACTGGCTCCCTGTCCTTGACGTGGCAGGGGTGCATTTTGCAACTGGGTGCTGAAGTAATGTCCAGGAAGTAATGTGCCCTTTGATGAAGCAACCAATGTTAGCTGCTGCTCATTCCATTTGGCATCTGCAGGGACCATAGGTCATCCTTCACTTGCTTAGATGGGTCCTGAAGGAACTCTGGCCAGTGTTGCCTGGCTGGTGGTCACCACCAGAGGTGCTAGCAGTGCAGGTCCCACTCAACCACCCTGAGGACTGTGGGATTCACTATCTGGGAACACACCTGCTTCTCCTTCACAGCCCACCAGGATACCACAGTACATCAAGAAGAACAGGTGTTGGGGACCAGCCTCATCACCACCCATAGGGTATCCAAAGTCTGGTGGCAATGGAGGAATGAGAAGAGACAGGTTAAGAGTGCATAAAGAGTGGGGACCAGGGGGCCAATTGCAAAATGGAGGCTGTAAAAGGCCCCAAGCTCTGGTCTCCACGCTATTTATTGAATACAGTCACTTAGATCTAAGAAGCAGACATTCAGGGAACGGTGAAAGGGAGACAGTGCATCATACACATAATCTATAACAGTGGTGGTTTAAATTAATCTCCTTTGTGCTCAAACAGCATATCTTTAATTTATCGGAGAGTAGCTAGTGGGAGCAGGCTTAACTAGGATCCTGCACGTCTGGCCACATTCCAATGTTCAAAGGAGTGTCTTTCTCCTTGAACACAGTGTTTATGGATAAGAGAGCAAGTCTCGCTCAGAGCATGGGAACATAATGGCGATAAGAAGGCTTTCCTCCTCAGAGGCCTCTTGTGGCTTTCCACAACTTATTGTCCCATATTTTTATGGCCAGTTTATACAGGCACCCTGTAAGCCTTTCCCCCAACAAACAGGTGCCAGGGTGACATGACACATATACTACAGATCATTGGGTTTGGTCCTCAATTAAGTGGAGTTTCAGTAGAGCTGGGGACAGGCAGAGAATTAAGGACCTGAGGTTTAATCTTGATGCTGCAAAGCCTAATATTCAATCAGAATCGGAAATAATTAGTACATCAATAAATGCATTATTCAGGGTTTCCAGAGAAACAGAACTAACAGGAGATGTATATATATATATATATATATATATATATATATATAGAGAGAGAGAGAGAGAGAGAGAGAGAGAGAGAGAGAGAGAGAGAGAGAGACAGAGAGAGAGACAGAGAGACAGAGAGACAGAGAGAGATTGATTTAATTTTAAGGAATTGGCTCACATAATTGCAGAAGCTTTGCAAGTCCAAAATCTGGAGGGTAAACTTGCAGGCTGGAGACCCAAGGAAGAGCAGCAGTCTGATTCCAGAAGCCATCTGCTGGCAGAATTCCGTCTTGCTGAGGGGTGGGCATCTCTGTTCTGTTTAGGCCTTCAACTGATTGGATGAGGCCCGCCCACATTATGGAGGGTTATCTGCTTTACTCAAAGTTCAACAGTTAAAATGTTAATCTCATCCAAAAAACACCTTCACGGAAAGATCCAGAATAAATTTTGACCAACTGTATAGGCACCATGGCCCATACAAACTGACTCATAAAATTAACCATCACAATAGGATATCAAATATTCCTTTGTGTTGAAAGCCCAGATCCACCATTTTCTCCTTAAGGAGGAATAGCTTCAAATTGGCCCAGAATTTCACCAAACGGTTTCTCTTTGGTGCTTTGAGTCCCAAGATGAGAGTATTTTTTCTCTTGCGTTTTCGACTCCACATACTTTTTGTCCAGTAGCTGTATATAGCCTTCTTGTAAGAATCCAGCCCTCCAATTTATAAAACTAAAATAGGAAGTAATCTTTAGAAGCACTCTGCTAAACTTAATGCTGGAAATTCTGGAACTGTATTGGGATCTAGGGACTCAGAGAATAAATTACATAACTTTCCCTCCTGCCTTTGTATTTAATGAAATGTTTGTTCTCATGTGACAGAGGGGACAAAACTGGAAGGTGACCAGGGAATATATTGTAATAGCAGAGCTTATACAAAAATTAATACAAAAATTAGCCAGTCATGGTGGTGCACTTCTGTAATCCCAGCTACTCGGGAGGCTGAGGCAGGAGAATCCCTTGAACCAGGAGGCAGAGATTGCAATGAGCCGAAATCATGCTACTGTACTCCAGCCTGGGCCACAGAACAAGACTCAGTCTCAAAAAAAAAAAACTAAAAATTCAGATTTCTCATGTCCCTCCCCAGGTAGCTTGACTTGGTAAGTGGTTCTGGGAAGGGACCTGGAATCTGTTTGTGAAACTGTTGAGCAAGTTCAGAAACTCTGTGGCAATAAAGAACCGGCAGAGAGGGAGGAAGCAAATGACCCCTGCCTTGGGGCCAGGACTCACCCATATTCTTACTCTCTGACCCCTCAAAGCCATGGTACCTGTGACTGCAAGTTCTTTCCTCTCCTTCTAGAACTAAATGTGTGTCTACTAAAACATCTGCGGCATCACTATTACTTATTTGAACTGTCTCTTTACCTGCCTGTGCTACCCATACGTAACAAAGACAAAGTCCTCCTTGAAGATTAGCCAGATGCCTGTTTCTCTGAGGTAGGCTTAGGTCTTTTGGCTACAGATCAAAACTGTCAATAACTTTACTGTCACTCTGAACTGTTGGTCTATCGTGAGATTCCTGGGAATTGTCTAGAGAAATGATTGAAATAGACTTTTGCTTTCCTTCAGCTTTGGCTCAGTCCTTACAGATTTCCCAAATCCCTCTTGACTTGATGAACATTGATTAGATTCCTCTTCTTCCTCATCTCCCAGTTATCAATGTTATTTTGTTACTTTTGCTTTTCATGTTTCTACACTACCAATAACTTTAAGTACGCCAGTGCTTGATTTCAGCCTCACATCCTTCCTTTCAGGAGTCCTATTTTCTCTGTTCCATGCAATTCCAACCATCAGACCTCCCTACATTCACTGCTAAAGATTCAGCCTTGCCAGTCAGACCTCCCATTTCCCAGGTTTCAATGAGTGCTTGATTGGTTCAGAGTAAACTCATATCTCACGCAAGACTAATCAGAGTTATTTTTGTTTTTTGAGAGACTGATGCGGATGCAGAAATTGTAGAGAATACTTAAGAGTTAGAAGAAAAATTTAGGTCTGAATATACTTGGGACCCTCTTCCCTATCATTTGAAAAGACAGAGACATGAAGCCAGCAAAAACGCAAAGAGAGCCAAGAATAGAAAAAAAGAAGCAGATATTTGACAGCATTATCTGAGCACCTGGAGATAAACATGCTTAATGCTGTAAATCTTGGACTTGCCACTCATGTGAACTGATCATTTCTTTTCTTTTGCCTAAACTGGTTCAAGGTATGCTTCTGTCATTTGTAAAGAAAAGAGACCTGACCAATTTGCCTCCATTTCCACATAGCAACTCCTCAGTCACTTTTGGGGAAGGAAAAATATTTCGCCATCATTATATACTTTACACTTGCACAGAAACTGTGCTTCTCCTTTTTCCCTTTCTTTTCTTAACCTTGACTAACTAAATAACTGTGAAAGCATTCTCAACATTTAATGAGTCTATTTTTTTTTTAGTTACTTTAAATACTATACTGCCTACGAGTAATTTGTGGAGACACATGTGGCCACATAGGTGGGCAGAGTGACCAGCCTGGCCGCAATACAGTTAAGGCCACCTTGTGTTTGTCAACATCACTCATCTTGCTCTTTCATGGCTATGCTGCCCCAAAATCATTGCATTATTGTCAGCAGCCTGAAAATTATAAGAAGACAACATATCCTCTATCTCAACCAATAATTATTATTTGCAAATTCTCCTTTTCTATCAAAAAAAGTTTCTTTTTCTCTTTTGCCAGCTACTTTTGATCCATTTTCATGACCTCTTGCTTCTTTTTTACTGGCCCTTTTGGATCTGATGCTGTCTTTCTGTTTTCACAGTGTGATGGTTAATACTGAGTGTCAACTTGATTGGATTGAAGGATGCAAAGTATTGATCCTGGGTGTGTCTGTGAGGGTGTTGCCAAAAGAGATTAACATTTGAGTCAGTGGACGAGGAAAGGCAGACCCACCCTTAACCTGGGTGGGCACAGTCTAATCAGCTGCCAGCATAGCTAGAAAATAAGCAAGCAGAAAAACATGAAAAGAGAGACTGACCTAGCCTCCCAGCCTACATCTTTCTCCCATGATGGATGCTTCCTGACCTCGAATATCGGACTCCAAGTTCTTCAGTTTTGGAACTCGGACTGGCTCTCCTTGCTCCTCAGCCTGCAGACGGCCTATTGTGGGACCTTGGGATCCTACGAGTTAATACTTAATAAACTCCCCTTTACATATATGTATTCCATTAGTTCTGTCCCTGTAGAGAACCCTAATACACACAGTCATGGCCTTTTTCAGATCTGATTTAAGACAGCTCTCAGCTGCTCTTCGTTGTGTGGCTCGTGATAATGTGTTAAAATATGCTCACAAATCCACTGTCTACTGTATTCAATCCAGGCTCCTCCACCTTCTCACTTTATGCTATGGTCTTAATATCAGTGTCTTTCCAAAGTTCATATGTTGGAACCTGATACCCAATGTGAGAGTATTAAGAAGTGAGACCTTTAGGAGGTAATTAAGTCATGAAGCTTCATACTCATGAATGAGATTATTGCCCTTATAGAAGAGGGCTAGGAGAGCCCATTTGCCCCTTTTTCCCTGTGAGGACACATAGAAGTTGCCATCTACAAAGAATGAGCCCTCATCAGACACTGAATCTGCTACCACCTTGATCTTGGACTACCCAGCCTCCAGAACTATAGGCAACAAATTCCTGTTGTTTAAAAGTACCCAGTCTAAGCTATTTCGTTATAACAGCAAGAACAGACTAAGCCACCTTACCACTCAGTACTCCCTCCTCTTTCTCCTTCTCACCTACCACCTCCAATTTCTCTTCTCAATTCTCTCAGTTGATCTTCTTTTAAGCTGTTTTTTAAAAGTCCAGCTAGGTCACTATCCTTTTTGGGGTTCACTCCATCAAAGTTTATTTTTTTAAGTTAAAAAGAAAAATCATATTAAAAAAAAACTGATTTTCACAGCACAATTCCTGGGAGCAATTTTATGATAAAAGTGAAAAGGAGAAAACTGTGTGATTTGAAATTTTAACTTGATAAAAATGCTTTCTAGGTTTTATTGTTCCAATTGATTAGTTAAGTAACACACTAAATGTTTCCATATGTCAGTGACTTCATTATTATGAACAAATAAACTGACCTAAATACAAGCCAAAAGAGATTACTCAACGAAATCTGTGATTGTTGGATGAAAAAATATAATTAAACTCTAGCCAAGAAGAGTAAAGGGTTATAATAAAAAAAAAAATACTGCATACAGTTCTGGTCACATAGAAACACAGTCAATTTCTAAATCCTCTTTAAACACTTTTTAAAAAGAACAGCAACAGTGTGCTTCTAAGAGAGTCAATCGACTAAAAAGGTTTTTCTACATTTAGAAGCTTATTGTCATTTAAGCCTACTCTGTCTGAAGAGGTGGTTCGTATTGAACAGGAAGTCTTAAAAACTCTTGGCCGGGCGAGGTGGCTCATGCCTGTAATCGCAGGACTGTGGGAGGCCGAGGCGGGCAGATTACCTGAGGTCAGGAGTTCCAGACCAGCCTGGCCAACGTGGTGAAACCCAATCTCAACTAAAAATACAAAAATTAGCCAGGCATGGTGGCACACGCCTGCAATGCCAGCTACTCAGGAGGCTGAGGCAGGAGAATTGCTTGAGCCTGGGAGACGGAGGTTGCAGTGAGCGGAGATCGTGCCACTCCAGCCTGGCTGACAGGGCAAGACTCTGTCTCAAAAAAAAAAAAAAAAAACTGTTGCCAAAATTCTCACCAAAAATATCTAAGATATATTAATACAAACTACCCAATGTGCGTTAGTCAGACAAACTCTAAAAATTATGATTTTTTTTTTTTGAGATGGAGTCTCCCTCTGTCGCCCAGGCTGGAGTGCAGCGGCGCCATCTCAGCTCACTGCAACCTCCGCCTACGGAGTTCAAGCAATTCTCCTGCCTCAGCCTCCCGAGTAGCTGGGACTACAGGCACACGCCGCTACGCCCGGCTAATTTTTGTATTTTTAGTAGAGACAGGGTTTGACTATGTTGGCCAGGCTTGTCTCGAGCTCCTGACCTCGTGATCCACTCACCTCGGCCTCCCAAAGCGCTGGGATTAGAGGCCTGAGCCACCATGCCTGGCCTAAAAACTATGATTTTTAGCAGAATACTGAAATTATGATTTACAGTCTTCTTGCGACATTTGTATTAATACAGCATCTCTCCATAGAAACTAATTGAACGGCAAAGGCTAAATCTCATACTATGGCCAATTTACAAGGCCAACAATATGACATGTAGATTGATCATCAGGCAAATAATTTTATTTCATACTCTATGAAAGTCAAACTATCAAAATTCACTATCAATTAAAGCCTGATTTGAACTGACATTAGGGTATTTACAGTCTTTATTTATCCACTTACTGTGAAATATTAACAGGAAGTGCTACCCCAGGTCTTGTAGTGAATAGGAAAAATTCTGAATTCCAAAACAATTTGGCTCCCAGAGTTCTGGATAAGAGATGGGGATTATATCATTATTTTATAATATTAGAAATATTGATCCTGTCTCTCCATCATGTGCAGATTTTACATATCTGAGTTAACATTAGTTTCCTGAACAGAAGTTTCCATAAGTGGTCAGATTTGCCATTTTCTCATCGCTTTTATCACCAACTATTATTTATTAACGACCAGGTACTCTGAATAGAACACCGTGCTACATATCAGGCAATAAAGAGGGATAAGACATGGCCCCTCTCTTTGAGATGCTCACAAACTAGTTGGGTAGGCATGGGATATGCATGTTTTTTCAAAATATACCGACTCTGTAAATAAATGCTTTAGAATTTCCAACGAAAGAATGATCACTCAAGCCTTTAACCTCCTGGGGGCTCTATGAAGGAAGAGGAGCTTGCACTGGACCTGGAAACATGCACAAGACTTACACAAACACAGAAAAGTGTGCTCCAAAATAAGAGAAATGACATAAACATAAAAAATAGGAAGGCTTATGGTGAGTTCCTAGAAGAAAGGTGACCAATTTAGCTAGTATCAAAGAGGTAGGGGGGTTATTTATATTGATTGTCTACTTTTTGCAGGTGCTGAACTGGAAACTTGAAAAGCAACTGATTAATAAAAAATAGTTCTTGCCCATAGAGAACTGTAATCCGGTAAAGGGAAACAGGTACAGAAATAAAGAATTGTCCTAAAATGTATGTGCTGTGATAGTATGACATAAAGGAGATAGTGAAGACACAAAGGAAGAAATGGTCAAATCTTCTTCATGGATGAATAAGGAAAGACTTCTTAGAGAAAGTAATGATTGAGTTGGGTCATAGAAAGTAAATTAGGCAGCCCAGCGTGGTGGCTCATGCCTGTAATCCCAGCAATTTGGAAGGCCGAGGCAGGTGGATCACCTGAGGTCAGAAATTCAAGACCAGCCTAGCCAACATGGTGAAACCCCGTCTCTACTAAAAACACAAAAATTACCTGGGCATGGTGGGGGGCACCTGTAATCCCAGCTACTTGGGAGGCTGATGTAGGATAATCCCTTGAACCCAGGAGACAGAGGTTGCAGTGAGCTGAGATCGTGCCACTGCACTCCACAGCCTGGCGACAGAGTGAGACTCCATCTCAAAAAAAAAGTAAATTAGACTAATCACATGTGCAAAGCCAGAGGTTGTTATGAAATGTTATCTTAAGTGTATCTATATTGTAAGTTTAAAGCTCTTAAACCAAGAAAATCCTACAACCCCTTTTGATAAAACATTCTGGCATCCAACAACTTTTTACTCTTACAAAGTTCTTTTGTTGTTGTTGTTTGGGGTTTGGGTTTGGTTTTTGCTTTTTTTTTGAGACAGAGTTTTGCTCTTGTGGCCCAAGCTGGAGTGCAATGGCACAAACTTGGCTCACTGCAACCTCTGCCTCCCAGGTTCAAGCGATTCTCCTGCCTCAGCCTCCTGAGTAGCTAGGATTACAGGCGCCCGCCACCATGCCTGGCTATTTTTTGTATTTTTAGTATAGATGGGGTTTCACCACGTAGACCAGGCTGGTCTCGAACTCCTGACCTCAGGTGATGCCCCCTTCCTCGGCCTCTCAAAGTGCAGAGATTACAGGCATGAGCCACGAAGTTCTTTTTATTCGCCACATTAACTCCTCTCTTGTTACAAAATTCATCATACAGTATTTTATAACTTCCAATTTAGGTGTATCATATTCATATTAACAGTCTCTATGTATGAGACGATTAAAGGGGAAAGATATGTTGCTTAAATTCCAATACAGACAACTTTAGCTCTGTGTCTCTGATGCAAAAGAAGACTCGATTCAGGCTCAGTGTTGGCAGTCTGTCTTTGTTTGGCTTTCTTGGTTTCTGTGCTAATAAGGCGATCGTTACTGCTTTGGGAAACAGGATTAACTAAATTCCAGGTGCTCAATATATTCCCCATTTCAAATACAAACACGCCAGGGTGTTTATCCATCAGTCACTGCAAGGACTCCTTGCAGGCTATTTTACTTCCCACTTTGGTTTACTCTTTTTAATCCCTTCCCTCTAACATACTCAGGGACCCTATTAAATGATAGCAAAGATTTTCTTTTCTGGTATATGGAATCTCTTTTGCTCCTGGCAGAATACAAACATGCTCAAATCTCTTTCAATTTTAAGATAATCTTGTTATCTAGCAGCTAATCTCCCCTAACCTTCTTCTTAACAGACTTTGTATATATTTTTAATGCATGACCCATGAAAGACCCAT
The DNA here is from genome assembly GCF_000001405.40 of Homo sapiens. NCBI lineage: Eukaryota > Metazoa > Chordata > Mammalia > Primates > Hominidae > Homo > Homo sapiens. The sequence goes on along the minus strand of NC_000013.11, from coordinate 37,082,255 downwards.
GAGTCCCCATCTTTCCTAAGGCACGTTTCTGATTTTCATGTGCTCAGAGAGACGACCTTCTCATACTTTCCAAGGTAAATGTCTTCTCCTTTGTTCACATTACCCTTTATAGAGAGACCCATTCTATCAAATGTGGAATTATATCATAGTTGATCCATCAAGACAGAAGCCCCACTTTTCATCCTTGGGCTACAACATAATTGCTGGTTCAAAATAGTGCGTCTAAGTAGTTGTCGGGTGAATAAATTATAAAAAATAAAATTAATAGACATGATATTTAATACTACTTTAAACTAATTATGCAAATATTAAAATTTAAAACTCCATTGTTTTGTAAATTTCATATAGCCACTAACAATATGAACTATCTCTAAAATTTTGAGTTTTTCTGTGAAAAAGTTACCTGAAAGATAAAATATCTATCGACTTTTGCTTTCTGGTAACTAAGAATATGGCAGAATGGGAAAAAAAAAAAACCTTATCAAATGAGCACACACTGAAGTGTCATTGATTTGGTATCTCCCAACCTTAAATATTCCAGAAGCTGTTTTTATTTTAAAACAAAATTGTTTTTTCAACCAAAAAATTACTTACTATTGGGCCATCTGCCCATTATCAAGATATAGCAAAGAAGATATTGGGAGCAGAGCTGCTTTCCTAAGTTAGGACATCTAGCAACCTGTATCACTCCAGCTCCAGAAACCATGATATTTAAAGGAAACTTGGGGCAGCTTTGTGCCCTCCCTGGTCCTTTATAGCAGTAGAAATCAGCTCCAGAAATGTTATTTTCTTCCCAGCCTTTACAACTCCTGTACTGTCTCCACACCTCCTGCCTCAGGCTCATTTCATTATTTTCCCAAGAGTTAGATACACTTGGGTAGCTTTGGTCCTATCCTGGCCTCCTGAATTACTGCCTAGGATTAGTCAGTCACACCTGTTTCCCAGGTCCTGATCTGGGAGAACCATCTTAGATCTTGCCCTGGCTGAAACTCACCTGTGGGAATAGAATGTGAATTTAAGTCAGAGAAGAGAAGATCTCAGAACGATGGATTCCTTACAGAACCAACAACCAACAACAACAACATATTTCCTGAGAATTTCACTATTTACAAAGTACCATCCCATACATTATCTTATTTGCTCTTTCTAATCACCCTGTGAGGAAACTGATGGTGATGATGACGACAATGACGATGACAATTTCTCTTTCACAAGTGACAAAAGACAGACTGAAAATAAGCAAGGCCAAACAGCTGGCAAATACTGAAGATGAAATTCAAATCCAAGTCATATGGTTGGAAGTTCTGCATTTTTTTCCTACCCCATTGTAAATGTTCATAGATTGTTGCTCTAGGGACCTAGAAATCTGCTCATGTAGCATGGTATTTACTCCCTACTTCAAAAAATGTAAAGGAAATATTGTTTACCATAAGCTAAAATGAATCTACTTTATCTCAAAGTATCAATTTATTGTCTTTTCGTTTCCTACTATGAGGAGGTCAGCATTTCCAGTTTCTGTCAGTTCTTATTCCATATTTCTTTATTAACTCTGGTGTATCCTAACTCAGATCATAATTTTAAAAGTTCAGATAATTTTCTTCTCGAAGCACTCTTCTTGTGAACCATGTACTTGCATACTGTAAGAAATCTCTAAATCTCTCTATTCAGAATCACTAACATTTTCCTTTGTGAGCATTTGAACAAGGCATGTCACTGAGCTGGACTGATAATATGAAAAGAAATAAAATATATCAGTGACCTCAAAGAACTTGCTACCTACTAAGGATATTCAAATTTTAAATTTAAAAATTAATTTGAAAGTAAGATAGATCATTTCTATCATACCTTTTTTGGTTGCGGAAGAAGAGGGACCTAGTTCACCTGCCAGAAACACTTGAATGGCGAATTTAGTTAAGAAAATATAGGCCAGGTGCATTGGCTCACTCCTGTAATCCCAGCACTTTGGGAGGCTGAGGCAGGCGGATCACTTGAGGTCAGGAGTTCGAGAAAAGCCTGACTAACATGGTGAAACCCCGTCTCTACTAAAAATACAAAAATTAGCCAGGCATGGTGGTACATGCCTGTAATCCCAGCTACTCGGGAGGCTAAGGCAGGAGAATCACTTGAACCCAGCAGGCGGAGGTTGAAGTGAGCCGAGATCGCACCACTGCACTGTAGCCTGGGTGACAGAGTGAGACTCCATCTAAAAAAAAGAAGAAAAAAATATGAATCAGAATGGCTTCCATTGTACTTGGATACAGGTTTAACCAAATATGTGTTTGTTTGATTTTGTTTTTATTTGTCTGAATATTTAGCAGAACTGCCTTACCCCTCAGGCATGTCTGCTAAGCTTTTTAGAGTTTGGTCGTCCCTTGGTGTCCATTGGTTCCAGGAACCCCAAGGATACCAAAATCCATGGATGCTCAAGTCCCTTGTATAAAATAGCATAGTATTCGCATATAACCCTTGTACATCCTCTCAAATGCTTTAATCCATCACTAGAGTACTGATAATACCTAATACAATGTAAATGCCTTGTAAATAGTTGTTATACTGTACATATTATTTTATTTGTATTATTTTTATTGTTTTATTGTTATTTGGGGTGAGTTTTTTTCCAAATATTTTCAATCCATGGTTGATTGAATTCGCACATGTGGAACCCACAGATACGGAGGGCCAACTACACTGCATCTTCAAGCCTCCCACTCGCATATATTTAATTTCTTCTCATTAAAATAACCTTCAATCATTTTTCCTACAGTTAACACCATATGGCCTTAAGAATCAAAGTTAAGTATCGCCTCTCTGAGTTCTCCCTTACCCTCCCTACCTCTCTGTCTGATTTAGATTCTCTCTACACTGCTGACATAGCTTCTACACACAATATAATCATACTGAACTGGGACCATTAATTTGTTTTCTACTTCCTCACTAGACTGGAAGCTTCTTGAAAACATGGGCCATGTTTTATTTTAATTTTATTCATTCAACACAGATAGATGGATAGATGGACGGATAGGTAGATAGATAGACAGATAGAAGATAAAAACATAAATATCATTTGATATTTACAAGCAGGGATTTGAATTAAATTGAATGTGACTCCATGACTCCAAGAGCCATACTTTTTAAAATGTAATATGGTTTTTATCATATTCAATAAGTGAATAAATTCATGGATTGAATGGAATTAGTTATCCAATTAATTTATAAACTCTGTAATTGATTTTTTTCTACTTATTGAACATTAGAATCTCTTAATCTGATGCTGCTTTCTCAAAGCATAAAAACCACCTGTGTCGGCATCTTATAAATTTCTGGGCTTCTTACAAATTTCTTCCCCCAATCTATGTCTATACAATGAGAGTTTTGAAATATGAGCCCTAAGAATCTGCATTTTAGTGAAATCTCTGATGCTTTGTAGTAGTGATAAAGTATGAGAACACTGCCATAGCCTATGGATAGCCAATAAATACTGAAGGTGGAAACAGAAATTACTGGTAAGGCTTATATTTTCTCTACCCTCTTTAAGATTCTTAGAGGCTGAGATAGACCCAGAAGCAGAGGTATCCACACAAAGGCCCCAAAACACAGATGATACAACACCAAAACAGGTAACATCAAATGCAAAAATCTTTTCTACATCATTTGTTATCAAGATGGGCATGGTATATTTAGGGCAGGAGGAGGCGGCGAATTAGTGGTGTGCTGGAATTGGCTTTTATAGGCTTTTGAGAGCTTGCTGCTATTAATAAATTTTCAGGCCTGGCACGGTGGCTCACACCTTTAATCCCAGCACTTTGGGAGGCTGAAGGGGGCAGATTACTTGAGGTCAGGAGTTCGAGACCAGCCCGGCCAACACAGTGAAACCCCGTCTCTACTAAAATACAAAAATTGGCTGGCCGTCGTGGCGGGCATCTATAATCCCAGCTACTTGGGAGGCTAAGGCAGGAGAATTACCTGAACCTAGGAGGCAGAGGTTGCAGTGAGCCGAGATCATGACATTGCACTCCAGCCTAGGCGACAGAGTGAGACTCTCTCTCAAAAATAAATAAATAAATAAATAAATAAATTTTCAAAAATTTTACAATGCAGTTGTTAAACATAGCCATTATCAAAAATTAAATTATACAAACTTATAATTCATTAAATTATGTTAAAATAAAGGCAACAAATATTTAAAACTCATCACTGGCCGGGCACCATGGCTCATGCCTGTAATCCCAGAGCCTTGGGAGGCCGAGGCGGGCAGATAACTTGAGGCCAGGAGTTCGAGACAAGCCTGGCCAACATCGTAAAACCCTGTCTCTACTAAAATTTTAAAAAGTTAGTCGTGTTGGTGCATGCCTGTAATCCCAGCTACTTGGGAGACTGAGGCAGGAGAATCGCTCGAACCCAGGAGGTGGAGGTTGCAGTGAACCGAGATCACGCCACTGCTCTCCAGACTGGGTGACAGAGTGAGACTCCGTCTCAAAAAATAAATAACATCACTACCTAAATGTGGTAAGCTCTCTCTGTCTGTGAGTTCTGCATCCATGGACTCAACCAACCAAAGATTCAAAATATTAGAAAGAAAAAATCATTAAAAATATCAATACAACAATAGGAAATAATATAAATAAAAATAATATAGTATAACTATTTACATAACATTTACATTATACTAGGTATTATAAGTACTCTAGAGATGATTTAAAGTACACAACAGGATGTGTGTAGGTTACATGCAAATACCATGCTATTTTATATAAGGGACTTGAGCATCTACAGATTTTGACACCATCACGTTCCTGAAACCAATCCCCCACAAACACCAAGGGATACCATGGATACCAAGGGTTTACTGTGTTACATAATTTCTTACATTTTTCTTACTTTATTGCTATATTACTTTATTACATTTTCTATTATCTTTGCTTTTGAGGTTATTTATTTCTATTGTATCTTTATGGTGCAAATACTATATACTGGGGTGCCACTGTGCATTTCTTCCCAGTTCTGTGTTCAGCAATGTCATGCTAATAGCTTGAAATCAATCACGATGAGAGTATTTATACCATGGAAATTGGCAAACACTATAAATCAGAAATTGAAAAATATTTCAATTTAATAAATATAATTTATATAGGGTGAGAAATCATTTAACAGTAGATCATATATTGAATTTAGTGACAATAAGTTTGTTGGGAGAAAGACTAATTGGATTGGGATGTAACTCAATTTGTCAAGTCATGGTTGAATGGCAACTATAGGTTGGCTATGGATACAAGAATTTAGCAAAAATCAATGAAAGCATTTGCGATAAGTGACATATGATACTTGCAATTCAGAGTACATTTTATTATTATTTGTAAATTGCATGCTACACTTCCTTTTAAGCAGTAAAATCTGTAATAACTTATGTACACCCAGACACACATACACTTTTTTTCAGAAAATTGGTTGTTAAACATTTATCTGCACACCAAGAGGTTGTGGGAGTCATGTGATAGTTCACCTAAATCTGAAGATCTTATCAGTACTTTCCAAGACAAAAGCTGGAGGTGCCAGCTTTAAAACTCTTAGAAAAAAATTAAATGTACATCTTCATGACCTTGTATTAGGCAACAGTTTCTTAGGTATGACACTGAAAGTACAAGTAACAAAAGAAAAAAATAAATGAACTCAACATCATCAAAATTAAACATTTTTATGTTTCAAATGACTATTAAGAAAATAAAAACGCAACCCTCAAAATGAGTGAAAATATTTACAAATCACATATCTGATAAGGGATGGTATCCAGAAGAGAAAACTCTTACAACTCAACACTAGAAAGACAAATTATCCAGTTTTAAAATGGGCAATAGATCTGAATAGATAATTCTGCAAAGATATACAAGTGGCCAATAAGCACATGAAAAGATGCTCAACATCATTAGCTGTCAAGGAAATGTGAACCAAAACCACAATGAGATAGCACTTCACAACTACTAGGATGGCTATAATACAAAAAGATACATAACAACAAATATTGGCAGGATATGAAGGAATTGAAACCACTTCATTCATTGCTAGTGGGAATATAAAATGGTGCAGCCTCTTTGGAAAACGGCCTGCCATTTCTTCCAAAGGCTAAACATAGGGTTATCATGTGATCTAGCAATCTCACTCCCAGGTATATACCCAAGACAAGTGAAAACCTGTGCACACAAAAACTTGTACATAAATGTTCATAAAAGCATTAATTAAAATAACCAAAAAAATGAAAACAAACCAAAGTCTGTCCACTGATGAGTATATAAAATACGATATATCTGTACAATGGAATATTATTCAGCAATAAAAGCAAAATGAGGTTGGGACTATGCACAGGACCCAGCAAGGGAGACTAAATAGAAGCAGCCGATGAGATAAGGAGAAAACCCAATCCTTGCAACCTCCCTGGAAGCTCTAGGTTTTGTTGGTCCCATTTTACATGCATCTAAACAGAAGCTCAAAGTGGTCATGTTACAAGATGCCTCAGTAAGACAGGGTCAGAATCTAAACCACCGATTATCTGAGTTTAGTTCAGGTTTTTCTACACTTCTAAGATTATAACTGAAGAAAAGATAAGATTCTAAAAATGTGTGTATTGTCACTATAATTGTACTCATCTATAGTTTTAGCATTAGGTTTTTGGCCAGTAATTTACCATAAGAGTTACATCACTAAGTTAAATTTGTCCCACTTCTGCAAAACAAGAAAAACACACATCTACCTTGACTATCATCCCTACTCAAACTTCTCAATATGGTTAAATTGAAGAACACCTTTGGACTCACAGCGCTGATCAGCCAAGACCGAGGTATGTTTCACACAAAGCTCTGGATACAGCTGTGGGAGATGGGCCTGAAGACAGTCCCAGATAAGAAGCATTGCTTGCCTCCTGCTGCAACTACAGTTTTGTGAATTCACCTGACTTCCTCCTCTCCTTGGCTGCTCAGTCCTTTTTTCCATGTTTGGTTTAACCAGTATTTTTCTCACTGTCCTAGCTTTCCTATTTTACCATTTTAACTAGGGTATTGTATATAGTTAAAGCAGCTTATAAACTGACTTAAATGCCTGGGATACAGTAGTATTTAAATCTAGGAAACAGAAATTTAGAGTATTGATAATGGCTAACGATGGAAAAACTATTTTGGAAAAACTGTATTTGACCTTTAAAGCAATGAACATTTGTATATTTAAGAACCAAAAAAGTTTTAGGCAGAAATTCCTAGTAATGACATCTCATTAATAATAAAGAATTTTCTACTCCTTTACAGATCAAAAGTTGTCTAGATCTTTCATCAAGTTTAGTACAGTATTTATTTTTAAATCAAGCCCTGACCTCTAGTGGCTAAACTGAATTAATTAAATACCTCAACCTACTGAACAATCGTAATGGCACAAAAAAAGAAAAGAGCCCAACATTATAACCTTCCTAATATAATGCAATAGGCAAAATCCAGTTCCACCTATGAAATATTTCTGCAAAAAACAAAAATCAGTCCAGAATCTTATCTAGTGTCTAGGTCCAACAAGCAGTTTAGAGGAAATAAAAAGGCAGGTAAACATGTTAGACACCACTAATCTAGAATGTGGAAAGTTCTACTGCACAAAAGAACATAAGAAATGTGCTAGAAGAGAAAATTATTATAGATGAAAACAATTAAAAGTTTTATTGTTATAGATTTAAAGTGTCCTAAGATACTTATAGATTAAAAGTATCATATTAAGCTAATGCTATCTGTGGACCTTGTTTTGATGCTGATTTGAACAGTTTTTTTAAATCGTGAAAAATAGGGAAATGCAAACTGACTGGATATTATATGATACGACAGAACTATAGTTCACTTTTAAGGTATGATATAATATGATTGCTTCTTAAAATTATCTCTTAGATATATATAGTGAACTATTTATGACTGGAATTTTAAAAATTACAGATGCAAAGGCCCTGTTTTTAGGAACAGGAAAAGAGGCCAGTGTGGAGTGAATGAGGGACACAGAGGAAATGAGCTCAGAAAGGCAGTGGGGGTGTGGGATAATTAGGGGATGATAGGACTTTTAATGAGATAGGACATCATCAGAGTGTCATAAAACCCCAAATTCAGGCTCGTGTACCCGACGTGCAGTTGACGCCAAATACTGACACACAGGTGCTCAGAGATAGAGGAAGATTTGATATGGCCAAAGCAAGAAGGCAGGAGAGCAAGATTTTTCAAATCCATCTTAACAAAAGAAGCGGGGGCTGGGCGCAGTGGCTCACGCCTGTAATCCCAGCATGTTGGGATGCCAAGGCAGGTGGATCACTTGAGGTCAGGAGTTCGAGACCAGCCTGGCCAACATGGCAAAACCCCATCTCTACTAAAAATACAAAAATTAGCCAGGTGTGGTGGCGGGCAGCTGTAATCCCAGCTACTCAGGAGGCTGAGGCAGGAGAATCGCTTGAACCTGGGGGGCAGAGGTTGCAGTGAGCCCAGAGCACTTCACTCCAGCCTAGGCAAAAGAGTGAAACTCTATCTCAAAAAAAAAGGAAGAAGCAGAAGCAGGGAGTTTTTATGCAGCCAAAGGGTAAGGGAGTGGGAGTTTCAGGGAATGAAGGGGGAAAGTCTGTTTCTTCAGTCTCAGATAACACCTTGGGCAACCAGACATCTGGGCATCGGCAGCTGTTCGTGAAGTCCTTAGAAGTATTTATTTCACCTTTGTTAACTCACTGTTGAACCCACTGGTCTCCTCACTGTTTCTGAATGTGGTTTCTCCCATCTCTCCTGCTGCTCTCCCCATCGTTTCACTTGTTGACCCCTCTCTCACCTCCTTCAGATTTTTTTTGCTTACAGGTTAATTAGCCTTCACTAACTGTTTTTAAGTCGACATCATTCCTGCCTCTCTCCATCCAGCACTCCCTATATGCCTTTCCCTGCTTTCTTTTTCTTCTTCATGGCACTTATTATCATCTGATAAAGAGAAAGCCCCTGCCATCAGGCAATTGGCCTGATGCTCACAGCTTGGCCCCATTCTCCTGCTGTACATAAACAATTTCATAGACCATCAACAACAGACAAGGACACTCTCAGATTTTGATAAAGTGAGATAAAAACAAGGCCACTGTGCAACCCACAAATTACCAAACACCTCTTTTCTTTTGGCTAAAATTAATGACTGCTGCTTCTTTACCAAGTACAACTTTAGCCTCAATCTAGTCTGTCCTCTCTACACATAAGATTTATTAAGATACCAAATCAGAATTTCCCCTACTTCCTGACAACTTTAAATCCAGAGCAAAGCTCTACTCTTTGAGAACCTGCCCCAAGTTGCCAGCTAAAGCCCAAATCCTATAATAGATTACATTCTTTTTCTGAGCCCCCTATGAGTCCCTATGGTGACTGTTGTCCCTCTCTGCAAAAAATAACAAACCCTAGTTATTCAACCACAGGTGTGTGGCTGGCGGCCTTTTCCTGAAGGACACAGACACATAATGTACTATGTGTTCTCATTTATTCATTTCTCCCTCTAGGAAGTATCTCTCTGAGGGCCTACATGTTTATCCCTTTGGACACTGCTAATGTTCCCAGCAGTTAGAAGCATACCTAGTATATTAGAGGCTCTCAGGAAATAGTTATTAATGAATGAATATTGAGCACCAAGATTGGAGTAGGCATTAGAGATGTGTTAAAATAACTAAATGGGAGGCCATTAGACTGAAGTGGCTCTGACACCCTGGATTCCTACATAAGCAAACTGAAACCTAACGGAATTTTAAACTTTATCTCAGCAAATCACAAATGGCCAATTGGGCATTATTTATATTGTCTTGAATCTTTCACTGAAATAGTCCAAATAAGGCAATTGCTCAAACTTTAACCAGACAAATAATTTCTTTGCTTTCACATTCACCTTATAAAAGTTTTTCCTTCAACCTCTTCCAGGAGCCTCTATTTCTGTGTGAGCCCCTAGCCATTCCCTGCCTGTTTCATGGTCACAGTCTGCTCAAATAAACTCTTAGTTTTTAATGTGCCAAAGGTTATGTTTTAATAGATGCAAACGTGAATCAGAGCAAATCCTGGCGATGTTCTGCAGGCAGTGGCCCAGTTATACGAATGCCTGTTCAATAAGTTTGCCTGGATAAAGGAAGAAAGGGGCAAGAAATGAATCAAATTCTACAGTGGGGACCACTACGTTTCTCTGCTTTCAATGCCTGCTTTATTATTCTTTTCTTTTTCTCTCTTTCTTTATCAGGGTCACCCTCAGGAAAAAGTCAGACACACTCCCCTGAAACCACTGCTGGCTGGAGGAAACAGGTTTAGCATATGTCAATGAGAACCACACATGCTATGGAATTTCATGCCAAAGCTATCAAGCTTCCCTTTGACAGCCTCACTGAGAAAACAAGTCAATAGAGATTCATTAATTGGAATTTAGAAACCTTACTTATTTAAAAAAAAAAGGCTGAAAATTATTATACATTACAGAACAATGATTCTCACACTCCAGGGCACTTAAGAATCCCCTGAGGTGTTAAGAAAAAGAGACTTTTTAATTGAAATAAGTTTCTGAATTTATAATAAAATTAGCATTTTGAGATTAAAGTCTTAAGAAATCTAAATTTATAAACTCATAATTTTAATAAATTGAATATTCACTAAAACACCAGCAACTCCAGGTATTTTTTCAAGCCCCAAATCTTCCCTTGTCGAAACAAGGGAATTAGCAATGCACCTGACATTTATCAGGCATCTTTGTAAGTTCTGTTGCCTTTATTATATAAGGGCTCTCTTGCCTTTATAGCCTACCCACCTTCTTCTTTTCCTTGGATTCAGCTATTATCTTTCTGCTAATTATCAATAAATTAATAATTTTGATTAGGGAAATCTCTTTCAAGTTTGGTAATGTTATGGGATCTTTGAGGTGTCCTTCTCCTGGCTGGAAACCTGTGGCTGGTGGAGGCCTTGCCCAAGTTTTGCTCAGCCCACTGGGCTCGTTCTGCCCACTTGGCCTAGCAGGCTGTACTCAGCTCATGCTACTGGCCTGGATCCCACACCTCCAAGGGAGACAGTGAGTCAAGCATGGAGCAGCAAGAGTTGTGTGTGTGAGCACGGGGTCTGGCCACTGCGCAGTCAGACATGCAGCTGCTGCCATGGGGCGGGCAGCTCCAGATGCCAGCATAGGCGCCGGCTCTCAGTGAGGCTGCAGCTGGACAGGGCGCACCACAAGGAGCTTCCCTGGCTGGCACCAGGGAAAGCAGTGGTGCCTGGAAGCTTGGAGATGCCAGGAACCACAGGGCCTCAAAGAAGGAGTCACAGCCCTGGCTCAGGGAGCTCCCAGGTCTAGACTCCCCAAAGGGCCACAGCTCTCCTTCTCTCTGCCTGTAACGTGGGGAGCAAGGGGCATGTTTCAGCCCTGTTTGTATTACAGTTCTCTTAGCCTTGCCATTTAGTGGGTCCCAAGTTCTTGTCTTGTGACCAGGAAGAATGAGGTACGCATGCAAGTGAAGGGTGAGCAAGATGATGAAGAGCTTTATTGAGCGATAGAACAGCTCAGTCTCCCACAAGGGGCAGCTCCTTTCCTCAGCCAGGATGTCCCGTCAAGTGTTCAGCTCCTAACTGAGAGCTGGTAGCTCCTCTCTGCAGGCAAGTCGTCCCAACAAGTGTTCACTCTTGGCAGGGAGAGTGGCTCCTCTCTGCAGCTGTTCCTCCCATGGTCCAGCTACCAGCAGAGAGGGTAGCTCCTCTCTGCAGCTGGTCATCCCGTCATCTGTTCAGCTCTGGCTGAGTCCTGGGCTTTTATGGCCTCAGAAGTGCCCGCTGATTGGTCTATGAGAGGCCATGGCGGGTGGCCAGAAAAGCCACCACCTCCCACTCCTATCAACTGGATGGGCAGTCAGCCCCAAGCCTTCAGGCCTTCCCTGGCCTAACCAGGGACCTGCCCCCTTCTACCCTCTTAACAGCCTGTCTGCCTCCTGCAGCTGTCCATGGAGCCCAGAATGCTCGAGTCAAGGGGCACCTGTAGGCCAGCACCAAGCTGCTCTCAGCCACCCCTCGGCTTCCCCTGTACTCCTCAGTGCCCAAAGTCCGGAGGGGGTCTAGGCAGCAGGGGGCTGGCGTGTCAGCACTGCCCTGAGCTTGGCCCCAACCCAGCTCCAAGATCAAAGCAGTGCAGGGAACAGGGAGAGGCCAGGCAGGAGCAGGCTTCCCCGAGCCTGTGGGGACAGGGGGGCCTTCCTGACCTCAAGGGTACAGATCCCACAGACGGCCTGGGTCCTGCACCTGGGAAGGTGGGGCTCCTGCCTGCTCTGTGGAATGTGCAGGCAGCCCGGGCCATGCCTCCTCACAGCCTGGGGCGGGGGCTCCAGGTCCTTGCTGGGTGCCTCTCTGCCCACTCCTCTGTGCCCAATCGCGTGGCTCCATCACTCCCCCTCTGGGCTGGGCGACTTGGCCTGGCCTCATAGCGGCGGCCCCCAAGGGGCTGCGGGGCGGCTCCTGCTTGTCCTTGGCTCCCGCTGGTTCCGTGAAGCGTGAAGCGTGGCACAGCCCCGGGCCCAGCTCCGCCTCCTCCCCACGCCCTCCCCACAGCAGCAGTGCGTGGGTGAGAGCAGCAGTGTGGGGCCAGAGTCCCGAGTGATGAAAGCTCCGGGCCTAGGGTCGGGTCCCACCTGGCTGCATGAGTTTGGGGGCAGCACAGGAGGTTGCTTCCGGGACGTGGGGCACAGGGGACCCACCACCGCCACTGCTGCTCCCACAGCCGTTCCTGCTGCCACCCCTCGCACCTCCCCACTGCAGCCGGTGGGGTGGCAGTGGCCTCTCCGGACCACCCGCTGCCACAATCAATAAGTTACCAGACCTGATCCAGCCACAAATTGTCCCTGGTAGGGTCTACCCAAGTGGACGAAACCATAATTAAGAAATACCACTAACTGGTTGCCCTCTGACTGTAACAATGCTTATTTTAGGCAAGCTTTAAAATAGATATGTAGGATCTGGATCTCTAAAAAGAGCATTATTTGTTCAAAGAAAACATTAATACAGTACTGACTATTCCATTTGGTGCCACAAGATGTCACTTATATACAAGCAAACTCTGTATATAAAATAGAAATAATTTTGTTTCAGAATTTTTTGGGTCCTAATTTGTAAGGACACCTGGTCATCCATCCTGGATGATAAAAATATGACTACAAAATGCTTCCTGACCTCAAAAGGCTTAAAAGCTTACAAAGAAGCAGATGTGTGCTCAAGTAGCTGAACACAATTCACAGTATGTTCAATGCAATGCCAGAAATGCACACTGTCTAAGCAAAAATTGGCCTGGACAAAGTTACATAGTCAAGGAAGACTTACTTTAAGGCTATTGCAATAGGTGAGAGAGACCAGAATATAGCATGAACTCAACTCCACTGAAACAAAGGGGAAGATAATTGGGTTTGGGTTTTTTTTTTTTAATATTTGTGTTATGGTAAATATACATAAGATAAAATTTCCCATTTTAGCAATTTTTCAATGTACAATTTAGTGGTACTGAGTATATTCACAGTGTTGTACAAACATCACCACTATCCATTTCTAGAACTTTTCCATCACCCTAAATAGAAACTCTATGTCCATTAAATAATAACTTCCAATTCCTCCTTCCCATATCCCCTAGTAAACCATTCATCTTTTTGTGTCTCATGAATTTGACTAGTCTAGATACCTCATATAAGTGGAATCATGTAATATTTGTGCTTTTGTTTCTGGCTTATTTTACTTAGCCTGTTTTCAAGGTTCATCCATAATGTAGCATGTATCAGAATTCCATTCCTTTTTCAGGCTAATACTCCATTGCATGTATTAACCACATTTTATTGATACATTTATCTGTCGGTGGGCATTTGGAGTGTTTCCACCTTTTGGCTATTGTGAATAAAGCTACTATAAATGTTGGTGTGCAAATATCTGTTCAAGTCCCAGCTTTCAATTCCTTTGAGTATATACCTAGAAGTAGAATTGCTGGATCACATGGTAATTCTGTGTTGAACTTTCTGAAGAACAACCACACGGTTTTCTACAGCAGCTACACAATTTTATATTCTCACTAGCAAGGTACAAATATCCAGATTTCTCCACATTCTTGACGACACTTGTTATTTTCTGTTCTTCTGATAATTATCCTAATGAATATGAAGTGGTATTTCATTGTAGTTTTGATTTTCACTTCCCTAATGATGAGTGAGGCTAAGCACCTGTTCATGTGCTTATTGGCCATTTGTACCTCTTCTTTGGAGAAATGTCTATTCAAATTATTTTCCCATTCTTAAATTGGGTTATTTGGTTTTTCTGTTGTTGAGCTGTAGACATTCTTTACATATTCTTTATTTATACATATATCAAATATGTTATTTGTAATATATTTGTCTCATTCTGTTGGTTGCCTTTTCACTCTACTGATGTACAGAAGTTTAGCAGGAGAGGTTTTAAGAGCTGGAGTAGGGGGTAGTAGGCCATCTGTGTTAACTGTCCTTACCTAAAGAAAACACAAACTTTACTGTATCTTCGTGATAGGAGGTACTGTTATAACTTGGAGCTAAGCACCCTCTCAAGTTGGTTACTGCCCTCCTACAGAAACTGGAGACACGGGCTCTATCTTCCTTGATTATTACATTTCAAGGAGATGGCCCTCCTTAAGAAAGACATTCCAGGGTTGTAGAATTGGTAACAGGCATTTTTTAAAAGTTATATATCAAAGGAGCAAAAAAACAGCCTAAAAGTTTTTTTATAGTAAATGATCTAAGAAAAGGGAGGTCAGTGGCCTAGAGTTGGTAAGAAATCCTATCTAAAGTTAGGAGAACTAAGAGAAATATTAATGAGACTTTATTTTGGCCACCTTGGTTAAAATAAAACATTTGGAGGCCGGGCATGGTGGCTCATGCCTGTAATCCCAGCACTTTGGGAGGCCAAGGCTGGCGGATCACCTAAAGTCAGGAGTTCAAGACCAGCCTGGCTAACATGATGAAACCCCATCTCTACTAAAAGTACAAAAATTAGCCGGGCATGGTAGCGCCCACTACTAGTAATCCCAGCTACTCGGGAGGCTGAGACAAGAGAATTGCTTGAACCCAGGAGTTGGAGGTTGCAGTGAGCCAAAATCATGCCACTGCACTCCAGCCTGGGTGACAGAGTGAGACTCTGTCTCAAATAAATAAATACATACATACATACATACATACATACATACATACATACATACATACATACAAAAGAATTAGCCGGGCCTGATGGCAGGAGCCTGTAATCCCAGCTACTAGGTAGGCTGAGGCAGGAGAATCGCTTGAACCCAGGAGGTGGAGGTTGCAGTGAAACAAGAATGTGCCATCACACTTCTGCGTGGGCCACAAGAGCAAAACTCCATCTCAAAGAAAAAAAAAGCATTTGGGGCCATTACAGATGAGAAAAACTAATTCCAACTGGAAGAAATTCCAGCAAGTATCTCAGAGGTATTAACATTTATGTAGTCAAGCAGGCTGGTATAAGATTCAATGGGCAAATTTATTAAAAAAGAAAATGCCAGATAAAGAAAAATCATTCGTTAAAAAAAAATAGAGAAATAAAAGTTTATAACAAGATAGACAATGCAGCCAGCAAGACAGCAGGATGTAAAGGAGTTATCATGGAAGACTCTGTCTGGGAACATGGATAGCCTTGGACCATGGAGGGCCTAAATGTCATATTAGGAATTCAGACTTCATTTTAAGGACACTAGGGGCTCAAAAAAATGTAACAGGGGGCATATGACATGATCTGGGTATTGGAAGTGTGGAAAGCAGCTGGAGAGAGGGAGTCAGGCGGGAGAGAAGGCTTTGTCTTTCCGTTGTCACGGCTGTGGCTGGCACACCTGGCAGAACAACTGTCCACAAGCCAGCAGGTAGGGCCTCCTCACACACTGCTGCAACCACCCTTTCTCTGTCTTCACTTGCACCTGCCCTGTCCTGGGAGGAGTGACTTGAGCCAGAAAAGAAGCTGTGACATCAGTAGCAATGGTACCAGAGTGGCGAGCATTAGGGAAGGAGGAACAGAGTGATACTCATAAGAAAATAATTTCTTTCAGAGCACAGCCAGGCAGCCAAGCTTTCAACTCTAAAATCGAGGACCCACTAACGTAGGGGGAGCTCAAGGTAACAGCCCTGACAGCACCAGAGGAGGAAAGCAAGGCTCCTCATGAGTTATTTGCATCACAAGTACCCAACACAGCCAGACTTGGGTGGGTCTCCTCCACCACCACTGTTGGTCACTGAAAGATCACTTAACATGTTACTCTGTGCCTCTTTTTTTCAAGTAAACTGGCAGTTAGATCTAGAGGCTTGATTAAATTCAGATTTAGGATTTTGTAAAAAAAAAATTTCATAAACAGTAATACTATAAAGTACTATTTATATAGTATAGTACATAGCACATAAATAGCACATACATAAAGTGGATCACTATTAAGTTTCCTTTCAACCTTCTACCCATTTGGTTATTTGGTAACCATTAGTAATTATTCCCTAGAAGTATTATTTTCTCACAGGTTGCAAAATGGTGATATTCTATCACTTTTTTATTTATTCACTGGAATTCTTCTATTAAAAAATTTTCCCAGACTGGGCGCAGTGGCTCACGCCTGTAATCTCAGCACTTTGGGAGGCTGAGGCGGGTTAATCGTCTGAGGTCAGGAGTTCAAGACCAGCCTGGACAACATGGTGAAACCCTGTCTCTACTAAAAATACAAAATTAGCTGGGCGTAGTGGTGCATGCCTGTAATCCCAGCTACTCAGGGGGCTGAGGCAGGGGAATACTTAAACCCAGGAGGTAGAGTTTGCAGTGAGCCGAGATTGCACCACCGCACTCCAGCCTGGGCAACAAGAGTGAAACTACGTCTCAAAAAAATAAATAAATAAAAAATAAAGTTTTCCCCTATCAACTCTTTGGTTACTCTGAATTTCAGTTTGTGTAGGAAAGCAAAAAATTTGGTTTAAAAACTTTTTAAAAGCAATTTCAGAATAATGAGTTAGTGCCCTAGCAATCCTCAATGTGACCAGTGAGAGGTTTAATAAAAGCATTGAAATTTATGTATTTTGAAATTTTTGATATATTTCAAACTACTTCAGTCAAAAAAATCTTTCTGATTCTCCTTGATGCTCCAAGTGTCCCTTCTTTTGCCAGTAGGAGCTCTTTCAAATTGGACTCTGTATCATTGCTTACAAACACACACACACACACACACACACACACACACACACATACACACACACACACACAGTCAGAGGATTCAGAACACACATGTCTTCTGCTTCTCTCTAAGACCCCATCTAGTTATCCTCAACTGCTAGTGGATCTGTTCATATTCCAATGGCCAAAATGAGTCACATAGCCACATGCAAAATCACCATGAGGAAGTATACTGTGCCCACACTGAAGCCATGGGAAGGAGAGTGAGAAATAAAAATGTTTTAAAATCCTGTGAACTAACACTACTATCTACCACATTGAATGTGATGGTTAATTTTACATGTCAATTTTTCTAGGCTACAGTACACAATCAAACATTAATCTAGGTCTTGCTGTGAAGGTATTTTGAAGATACATTTAATATCTATAATCAGTTGACTTTAGGTAAAGGAGACTAATCTTGATAATGTGGGTGGAACTTATTCAATTAGCTGAAGGCTGTAAGAGCAAAATCTGAGATTACTCAGAGAAAAAGAAATTCTGCCTCAAGACTGCAGCATCAACTCTTGCCTGAGATTCCAGCCTACTCAGCTGCCCAACAGATTTCAGACTTGCCAGCTTCCATAATCACGTGAGCAAAATATTTAAAATGAAGGGATGGCTCTGGTCAGAGCAATTAACCAAGGAAAAGAAATGAAAGTGTTCAAATTGGGAGAAAAAAAGTATAACTATCTCAGTTCACAGATTACATGATTCTATATATAGAAATCCTAAAGAATATACACATGTAGGCACACATACAAAATTAATAGAGCTAATAAGTAAATGTTCAGAGTACAAGGCCAACACTTGCTATGGTTTGAATATATCCCCCCAAAGGACGTGCTAGAAACTTAACCCATAATGCAACAATGTTGGGTGGTAAGGCCTAATGTAAGTTGTTTAGGTCATGAGGTCTCACCCTCATGAATAGATTAATGCCAATTGTAAAAGAACTTGAGGCTTCAAGTTTGATCCCTTGCTCTCTAGCCCTCTCTTTGTCCTTCCACCATGGGATAACATACATACCAAGTAGGCTCTCACCAGATGCTAGCCCTTCAATCTTAGAATCTTCAGCATCCAGAACCGTGAGCCAATAAACTTCTGTTTATTATATGTTACCCAGTCTGTAGTATTCTGTTACAGCAGCAGAAAATAGACTAAGAGAATACCCCAAAATCAATTGTGTTTCTATACATCAGCAATCACCAATCTGGAAAATTAAAAACAATTTCATTTATAATAGCATTTGCTAAGAACTAAATATGTCCCCTCAAAATTCACATATTGAAGCTCAAACCCCCAGTGTCACTGTATTTGGAGATGGGACCTATATAAGAAGGTAACTGAGGTTAAATTGATCACAAGAGTGGAGTTCTGATGCTATAGATTAGTATCTTTATAAAAAAAAAAAACAACAAAAACGACCAGATATCTTTCTCTGTGTGTTTCTCTGTCTGTTTCCCTTTCCTTCTCCCGCTTCCTTTATCATATGAGAATGCAGAAAGAAGGTGGCTATCTACTCGCCAGTAAAAGAGCCCTCACCAGAAACCAAATTGGCAAGCACCTTGATCTTGGACTGCACAGCCTCTAGAACTATGAGAAATAAATTTCTGTCGCTTAGGCCATTCAGTTTATGGTATTTTGTTATGGCGGCTTGAGCAAACTAAGATAGATTTTGCTACCAAGAAGTTGCATGTTGCTTTAATAAAACCTAAACATGTGAAAGTGGTTTTGGAACTAGGTAATGGGTAGAGGCTGAAAGAATTCTGAGGTGCATGCTAGAAAAAGCCTAGATTTCCATGCTAGAAATATGGATGTTAAAGGCAATTCTGGTAAGAACTCAGAAATACAGTTGAAGAGAAAGCCTCCATCTTCTTAGAGAAAACATAATCATGAACACAATTTTGGTAAATATATGTTTGTTAAAGGCCATTCTTGTGAGGTCTCAGATGGAAATGAAGAATGGGTCACTGGAAGACAGAAGAAAGGCAGTCCTTGTTATAAAGTAGCAAATAACTTGGCTGACTTGTTTTCTAGTGTTTTCTGGCAGACAGAATTTGTGAATGATAAAATTGAATATTTAACTGAGATTTTTAAGCAAAATGCTGAAAGTGCGACCTGGATCTTCCTGAATGCTTATAGTAAAATGCAAGAAGAGATGAATGAAAGAAGAAATTATTAAGCAAAAAGGAACCAAGACTCAAATATTTGGAAAATTATCTGCCTGTCATGTTGCAGAAAATGAGAAAGTACATTCTAAAGAAAACACCAAAGGTATGGTTAGACTATCATTTGATAAATAAATGATGAGATTATATGAGCAGAAACACTGCCTGTTTCAACTGAAGGGGATGCAGACAAGACAAAAATGACAGAAGGCTTTTACATGTCCTAGATTCTACAGGACAGGACAATAGAGCTATCCAGCTGCTAACTTTGTACTATTCCTTTTTTTTTTTTTTTTTGAGACAGATTCTCACTCCATTGCCCAGGCTAGAGTGCAATGGCGGGATCTCAGCTCACTGCAACTTTCACCTCCCAGGTTCAAGTGATTCTCCTTCCTCAGCCTCCCAAGTAGCTGAGATTATAGGCATGCACCACCAGGCCAGGCTAATTTTTGTATATTTAGTAGAGATGGGGTTTCACTATGTTGTCCAGGCTGGTCTCAAACTCCTGACCTCGTGATCTGCCCACCTTGGCCTCCCAAAGTGTTGGGAGTACAGGCGTGAGCCACCGCACCTGGCCAAACTTGTGCTATTCTTTAAGAAAAGGGGAGAATGACCTCAAAGCAATTCAGATGTTATCAAGGCCATTACCTAGCAAAACTTTTGGGATGAGACTCTGCCTGGAAGAGCATGCCTGGCAGAGTGTGGGGAGAGGTATAGCATCCACCTAGGGTCCAGAAGGCAGGGCCACCACCCTTGTAGGTCTGGAAGGCAGGGCACTGAATCAAAATGGATTATTCTTGAGCCTTAAAATCTACTAGAATTTGCCTTGCTAGATTTTTGGACTTGCTTGGGACCTGTCATCCCTTCCTTTTTGCCTATTTCTTTTATTTCCTTCCTTTCTTGCTCCTATTTTTGTTTGTTTGTTTGTTTGGAATGCCTATTCTATGCCTGTTCTGCCATTGTATTTTGGAAGCAAACAACTTCCCTGGTTTTACAGTTTCATAGCTGGGGAGAAAATTTGCATCAGGATGAATCATATCTCAAGTCTCACCCTTATCTGTTTTAGGTGATATTTAGAAGAGACTTCGGACTTCAGATTTTAGAGTTGATGCTTTTGAGACTGTTGAAGTGGTATGAATGTATTTTGTATTCAATAAGGACATGAATTGCAGGGGTACAGAAGTCTGTTGACCAAATTATATCTCCACAAAATTCATATATGTAACCCCAAACCCCAATGTCACTGTATTGGAGATAAGATCTATAAGGAGGTAATTAAGGTTTAAGAAGATCATAAAGGTGGGGCCCTTATCCAATAGAATTAGTTACTCATAAGAAGAGACATGAAAGCTAGTGTGCTTGCACAATGGATTCTTGGTGATGACACCAAAAGCACAAGTAACAAAATAGATAAATTAGATTTCATCAAAATTAAAAAGGTTTGTACACTGAAGGATATTACAAAGAAAGTGAAAAGACAACCTACAGAATGGGAGAAAGTATCCACCAATGATATATCTCATAAGGGTCTAATATCCAGAATATATGACTACACATAACTAACAACAAAAACACAAACAACTCAATTTAAAAATGGGGAAATACCTGAATAGAGAGTTCTCCAAAGAAGATATACAAATGGCTAACAAGGGCATGAAAAGATGCTCAAGATAACTAGCCATTAGGGAATGCAAATCAAACCCACAATAAAATACCACTTTATACCCTTTGGGATGGTTACTATCAAAGGAATAGAAAATTATGGTGTTAGTGAGGATGTGGAGAAATTGGAATCCCCCGACAATGCTCTTGGTATGTAAAATGAATGGTTCAGCTGCTGTAGAAACATTTGTTTATGGGTTCCTCAAATATTTTCACGTAGAATTACTATAAGACCCAGAAGTTCCACTATGTTTATACCCAAAAGAATTGAAAACAGGGACTCGAACAAATACTTGTATACAAATGTTCATATCATTGCTATTCACAATAGCCCGAAAGTGGAAACAACCCAAATGTCCATCAGTGGATGGACAGGTAAAACTGTGGCATCTAGGTACAGTGGAATAGTAGCCATAAAGAGACATGAAGTACCGATACATGCAACAAGGTGTACAAGGTGAACCTGCAAAAGATTATGCTACGAAGACAGACCAAAAGGTCACACATTCCATTTATATGAAATATCCGTAATAGGTACCACAGTTTGAAAGCTGATTGGCATTTGCCAGGGGCTGAGAGAGGGAGGAATGGGAGTAACCACTTAATGTGTTCGGATTTTATTTTGGAGTGTACTTTAATACACTTATAATGTGTGCAACCACTAACTCTAATTCCAAGACACTTTCATTCATTATGACCCTTGGCATTGTGAACGGCAAATAATAAATGCTCATTAAAAAGATTCACCCCAGGCCGTGCATGATGGCTCACGCCTGTAATCCCAGCACTTTGGGAGGCCAAGGCGGGTGGATCACTTGAGATGAGGAGTTCAAGAGCAGCCTGCCCAACATAGTGAAACAGTCTCTACTAAAAATACAAAAATTAGCCGGGTGTGGTGGTGCACGCCTATAATCCCAGCTACTCCGGAGACTGAGGCAGGGAGAATCGCTTGAACCCAGGAGGCAAAGGTTGCAGTTAGCTGAGATTTCTCCACTCCACTCCAGCCTGGGCGACAGAGCGAGACTCTGTCTGAAAAACAAACGAACAAACAAAACAAAACAGACCTTACAATGTGTGCTAGTAATGCGGTTTCTGAATTTTTAGAACCCTTCTCTGGGGTGGTTTTTTTAAAAACATAAACTCATTGGCAGTTGATATACTACAGAAGGTTGTACGCATTGGACTAGTAAATGTAGGTAACGGTGTCGCTGTTTTTCCATTTGTATGTGCTAAGCAAAGAGAAAAGCTAGTTCTATGTTTCTTCCACTCTAGAAATTCAACAGGGTCGTTTTTCCCCAAATTCACATCTACACCCTCCCTCCCACTTTGCGGACTCGGACTCCAGGATTGAGCAGAGATCCTGGGCCCCGCCTCCCGCCCGGACGCAAGTCTCTGCGGGCCTCACCGGCGTCCTGCGCGGAACGCAGCGCTCCAGGCTCCTGGCAGCGGCCCCGCCCTCCCGGCTCCTCCCCTTCCGCCCGCCTTCCCCGCCCCTCGGCCCAGCCTGCCAATCGGAAGTGCGGCCGCCGGAACTGGCTGTTGGTGGGGGTGCAGCACTGAGCCGCCGACGGGGCGGGTGGGCTTTGCTGCCGAGCAGGCGGCGCCGTCTTGGGGCCTAGCGGCGAGGCGACCCGCACAGGTGGGCGGTGGCGGTAGGTGGGTGGCCAGCGACTGGCAACGCGGTGGCTTAGACGCGCGAGATCCGGCCAGGGTCAGAGGTGAGCGGGCCGCATCCCAGAGCCCGCTGGAGGAAGACGGGGTCCCCAGAGACCCGGCAGGCCGGGGCGGAGGTTGAGGCAGCTAAACTCCAGGTGGACGCCTACATCGCCTTTCGCGGTGTTGCTAAGCCGAACTTTTAATTTTAGTTTGACTTTTGGGTTCCAGAGACGGGTATTTCCGGACACTGGCAAGAATTTTGCCTTGCGTGTCTTCGAAGGCGGTTTTCTTGGTGTCCATATTGCATAAAGGCTTGTCGCTCCTCTGTGGAGATGACGGTTGTACAGGTAAAGCCTAAGTTGTGACAAAAGCTCCTGCAATGGGAAGACTCTGGTCGATCAGGGAAATCAGTAGAATTGATAGCAACGCGTAGAATTGATAGCAACGCTTAGAATTGGATTAATTACTGGCCATGGTTACCCGGCGCTCAGAAATGAACTTGGAGAACAGTTGCCCTGGAAGCCATCTCCCGTAGCCACTGCGTAGTGGGGGCCGCGTCTTCTTGAGTGCAATTCATCAAAGTCTCTAGTAGGACTCAAAATATAAAGTGACGAGCAGGATTTTCGGAGTCGAGTACAGTGTACTTGGGTTGATCACCATGTTATAAAGTTAGATCCAAATTAAGAAATACATATTCGTCTCTGAGCAGAATTGGGTCCTTTTTTTAATTGCTTTGCTTTTTTTAAAGAAATGTAAAAACAGATGCCGGTTTGATTAGTTTGCAGGTTGTAATATTGGAAGGGACCTAAGATTGGACACAGAGTTCTGAATTCTGATCTAGGTCTGTGATGTTAGGAAAGTCAGTTGTTCTGATTGCCTTATTCTGTAAAACGGAAATGATAATGATTACAGTTTCCTCACAGGTTCTAGTAAATTCTGTGTATAGACAGAATGTTTGCTTTGTGAGAGATATGAAGTTATTAGTTTTTGTCTGAAGTACTTAAATAATTTAAAGTTAGTAAGCCCCCATCCCCAATTTAGTGACAAGAAATCTTAAAGTCATCACATTTTGTCCGAAAAGTACATAGTGTATCTTCATCTTCAAATTCAGTGGTCAGAAAATTTTCACGTTCACCTAAATTCAACTTAAACCTCCTACGAGCTTTTCAAGGGTAGGAGTAATATCTTACTCATTGTAAATGATCGTAAATCATTTACAGTTGTATGGTGCTTGTGTTTGTGTTGTATTAGGAGGTTAGTCCATTTTTTAAAGTTTCAGACGGAGTTTCACTCTTGTTGTCCAGGCTGGAGTGCAATGGGGCGATCCTGGCTCACTGCAACCTCTGCCTCCCAGTTCAAGCCATTCTCCTGCCTCAGCCTCCGGAGTAGCTGGGATTACAGGTGTGTGCCAACACACCCGGCTAATTTTTAATTTTTTTAGTAGAGACTGGGTTTCACCATTGTTGGTCAGGCTGGTCTCGAATTCCTGACCTCAAGTGACCCACCCGCTTCTGCCTCTTACAGGCCTGAGCCACCGCCCCAGCCAACTTTTTTTTTTTTTTTTTTTTGAGACGGAGTCTCTCTATGTCGTCCAGGCTGCAGTGCAGTGGCGCGATCTTCGCTCACTGCAGCCTCCACCTCCCAGGTTCAAGTGATTCTCTTGCCTCAGCCTCCTGAGTAGCTGGGATTTCAGGTGTACGCCACCACACCCGGCTGATTTTTGTGTTTTTAGTAGAGACGGGGTTTCGCCATGTTGTCCAGGCTGGTCTCGAACTCCAGGGCTGAAGCAATCCACCTGCCTTGGCCTCCCAAAGTGCTGGGATTATAGGTGTGAGCCACTGCACCCGGCCTTCTGTATTTTTTTGTAGAGACACTTTCCCCATGTTGCTCAGGCAGGTCTGGAACTACTGCTCCTGGGCTCAGGCCATCTGGCAGCCTCTGCCTCCCAAAGTGCTGGGATTACTGGCGTGAGCCACACCCCACCTGGCCCTTTCCTTTTTTTTTTTTTTTTTTTTTTAATGGCTTGGCAAAAAACAAAGCTTTGGGGTTCACCAAAAATCAAAGCAAAACTGTTTTACCTGGAAAATCTTGTTTTCTGTCATCAGAAGTTGTGCTTTAGTTCAGCTGTGTAGACACCCAGTAGTGGTTACATGAAGTTAGGTGAATAGATTAAAAATAATTTTTATTTGTCATCAGTCTCAGAGCAAATGTTTTCTATTTATTTTTATTTCTAACTTTTTTTTTTTTGAGACAGGGTCTTGCTCTTTTACCCAGGCTGGAGTACAGTGGTGTGATCATGGCTCACTGCAGCCTCTATTTCCCAAGCTTAAGTGATCCTCCTGCCTCAGCCTACCGAGTAGCTGGGACCTGTGCCACCATGCTGGACTAATTTTTTTTTCTTCCCTTAGTAGTGACAAGTCTCACTATGTTGCCCAGGCTGGTCTCAAACTCCTCAGCTCAGATGATCCTCTCACCTGGGCCTCCCAAAGTCCTGGGGTTACAGGTGTGAACCACCATGCCCAGTCTTATCTCAGAGCAAATGTTACGCACCATCCTTTGCTAGGCAGAGTGAGCTTCAACCCTGGCAGCACGTTTGACTCGTCTGGGGAGCTCCAAAAATGGGGACTGTGCCTCACTCTAGACCACTTAATCAGTCTCAAGCAGGTGGGTCACAGGCATCCCACAGTTTGAAGCTCTGCAAGTTACTCTTGTGCAGCCAGGATAAGAACTCCTGTAGTTATAGAAAAGAAGATTTTCTTTTTTTTTTTTTCTTTTTATTATACTTTAAGTTTTAGGGTACATGTGCACAACGTGCAGGTTTGTTACATATGTATACATGTGCCATGTTGGTGTGCTGCACCCATTAACTTGTCATTTAACATTAGGTATATCTCCTCATGCTATCCCTCCCCCCTCCTCCCACCCCAAAACAGGCCCTGGTGTGTGAAGTTCCCCTTCCTGTGTCCATGAGTTCTCATTGCTCAATTCTCACCTATGAGTGAGAACATGCAGTGTTTGGTTTTTTGTCCTTGCGATAGTTTGCTGAGAATGATGGTTTCCAGCTTCATCCATGTCACTGCAAAGGACATGAACTCATCATTTTTTATGGCTGCATAGTATTCCATGGTGTATATGTGCCACATTTTCTTAATCCAGTCTATCATTGTTGGACATTTGGGTTGGTTCCAAGTCTTTGCTACTGTAAATAGTGCTGCAATAAACATACGTGTGCATGTGTCTTTATAGCAACATGTTTTATAATCCTTTGGGTATATACCCAGTAATGGGATGGCTGGGTCAAATGGTATTTCTACTTCTAGATCCTTGAGGAATCGCCACACTGACTTCCACAATGGTTGAGCTAGTTTACAGTCCCACCAACAATGTAAAAGTGTTCCTATTTCTCCACATCCTCTCCAGCACCTGTTGTTTCCTGACTTTTTAATGATCGCTATTCTAACTGGTGTGAGATGGTATCTCATTGTGGTTTTGATTTGCATTTCTCTGATGGCCAGTGATGAGCATTTTTTCATGTGTCTTTTGGCTGTATAAATGTCTTCTTTTCAGAAGTGTCTGTTCATATCCTTCGCCCACTGATTGATGGGGTTGTTTGTTTTTTCCTTGGAAGTTTGTTTGAGTTCATTGTAGATTCTGGATATTAGCCCTTTGTCAGATGAGTAGATTGCAAACATTTTCTCCCATTCTGTAGGTTGCCTGTTCACTCTGATGGTAGTTTCTTTTGCTGTGCAGAAGCTCTTTAGTTTAATTAGATCCCATTTGTCAATTTTGGCTTTTGTTGCTATTGCTTTTGGTGTTTTAGACATGAAGTCCTTGCCCTCGCCTATGTCCTGAATGGTATTGCCTAGGTTTTCTTCTAGGGTTTTTATGGTTTTAGGTCTAACATTTAAGTCTTTAATCCATCTTGAATTAATTTTTGTGTAAGGGCTAAGGAAGGGATCCAGTTTCAGCTTTCTACATATGGCTAGCCAGTTTTCCCAGCACCATTTATTAAATAGGGAATCCTTTCCCCATTGCTTGTTTTGGTCAGGTTTGTCAAAGATCAGATGGTTGTAGATATGTGGCATTATTTCTGAGGGCTCTGTTCTGTTCCATTGGTCTATATCTCTGTTTTGGTACAAGTACCATGCTGTTTTGGTTAATGTAGCCTTGTAGTATAGTTTGAAGTCAGGTAGCGTGATGCCTCCAGCTTTGTCTTTTGGCTTAGGATTGACTTGGCAATGTGGGCTCTTTTTTGGTTCCATATGAACTTTAAAGTAGTTTTTTCCAATTCTGTGAAGAAAGTCATTGGTAGCTTGATGGGGATGGCGTTGAATCTATAAATTACCTTGAGCAATATGGCGATTTTCACGATATTGATTCTTCCTACTCATAAGCATGGAATGTTCTTCCATTTGTTTGTATCCTCTTTTATTTCCTTGAGCAGTGGTTTGTAGTTCTCCTTGAAGAGGTCCTTCACATCCCTTGTAAGTTGTATTCCTAGGTATTTTATTCTCTTTGAAGCAATTGTGAATGGGAATTCACTCATGATTTGGCTCTGTGTTTGTCTGTTATTGGTGTATAAGAATGCTTGTGATTTTTGCACATTGATTTTGTATCCTGAGACTTTGCTGAAGTTGCCTATCAGCTTAAGGAGTTTTTGGTCTGAGACAATGGGGTTTTCTAGATATACAATCATGTCATCTGCAAACAGGGACAATTTGACTTCCTCTTTTCCTAATTGAATACCCTTTATTTCCTTCTCCTGCCTAATTGCCCTGGCCAGAACTTCCAACACTATGTTGAATAGGAGTAGTGAGAGAGGTCATCCCTGTCTTGTGCCAGTTTTCAAAGGGAATGCTTCCAGTTTTTGCCCATTCAGTATGATATTGGCTGTGGGTTTGTCATAAATAGCTCTTATTATTTTGAGATACGTCCCATCAATACCTAATTTATTGAGAGTTTTTAGCATGAAGCGTTGTTGAATTTCGTCAAAGGCCTTTTCTGCATCTATTGAGATAATCGTGGTTTTTGTCATGGGTTCTGTTCATATGCTGGATTACGTTTATTGATTTGCGTATGTTGAACCAGCCTTGCATCCCATGGATGAAGCCCACTTGATCATGGTGGATAAGCTTTTTGATGTGCTGCTGGATTCGATTTGCCATTATTTTATTGAGGATTTTTGCATCGATGTTCATCAGGGATATTGGTCTAAAATTCTCTTTTTTTGTTGTGTCTCTGCCAGGCTTTGGTATCAGGATGATGCTGGCCTCATAAAATGAGTTAGGGAGGATTCCCTCTTTTTCCATTGATTGGAATAGTTTCAGAAGGAATGGTACCACCTCCTCCTTGTACCTCTGGTAGAATTCGGCTGTGAATCCATCTGGTCCTGGACTTTTTTTGGTTGGTAAGCTATTAATTATTGCCTCAATTTCACAGCCTGTTATTGGTCTATTCAGAGATTCAACTTCTTCCTGGTTTAGTCTTGGGAGGGTGTATGTGTCGAGGAATTTATCCATTTCTTCTAGATTTTCAAGTTTATTTGCGTAGAGGTGTTTATAGTATTCTCTGATGGTAGTTTGTATTTCTGTGGGATCGGTGGTTATATCCCCTTTATCATTTTTTATTGCGTCTATTTGATTCTTCTCTCTTTTCTTCTTTATTAGTCTTGCTAGCAGTCTATCAATTTTGTTGATCTTTCAAAAAACCAGCTCCTGGATTCATTGAGTTTTTGAATGAATCTTTCCACCAAATATTAGAAACATATGTACCCAAGGAGTGAGGTTTCGTTTTGTTTTTGTTTTTGTTTTTTGTATCAAATAGGCTAGATAATGTATCTTTTTTTTTTTTAATTTTAGTTTAAGTTCTGGAATACATGTGGTGAATGTACAGGTTTGTTACATAGGTATACATGTGCCATGGTGGTTTGCTGTACCTATCAACCCGTCATCTAGGTTTTAAGCCCCGCATGTGTTAGGTATTTGTCCTAATGCTCTCCATCCCCTTTCCCCCAACCCCCCAACAGGCCCCAGCGTGTGATGTTCCCCTCCCTGTGTCCATGTGGTCTCACTGTTCAGCTCCCACTTATGAGTGAAAGCATGTGATGTGTGGTTTTCTGTTCCTGTGTTAGTTTGCTGAGGATGATGGTTTCCAGAATCATTAATGTCACTGCAAAGGACATGAATTCATTCTTTTTTATGGCTGCATAGTATTCCATGGTGTATATGTGCCACCCTTTCTTTATCCAGTCTATCATTGGTGGGCATTTGGGTTGGTTCCAAGTCTTCATTATTGTAAATAGTGCTCCAGTAAACATACGTTACGTGTGTATGTGTCTTTATAGTAGAATGATTTATAATCCTTTGGTATATACCCAGTAATGGGATTGCTGGGTCAAACAGTATTTCTGGTTCTAGATCCTTGAGGAATTGCCACACCGTCTTCCACAATGGTTGAACTAATTTACACTACCACCAACAGTGTAAAAGTGTTCCTGTTTCTCTGCAGCCTCACCAACATCTGTTTCCAGACTTTTTAATGACTGCCATTCTAACTGGTGTGAGATGGTATTTCATTGTGGTTTTGATTTGCATTTCTCTAATGACCAGTGATAATGAGCTTTTTTTCATATGTTGGCCGCATAAATGTCTTCTTTTGAGAAGTGTCCGTTCATATCCTTCACCCACTTTTTGATGGGGTTGTTTTTTTCTTCTAAATTTAAGTTCTTTGTAGATTCTGGGTATTAGACCTTTGTCAGAAGGATAGATTGCAAAAAATTATCGCCCATTCTGTAGGTTGCCTGTTCACTCTGATGATAGTTTCTTTTGCTGAGCAGAAGCTCTTTAGTTTAATTAGATCCCATTTGTCAATTTTGGCTTTTGTTGCAATTGCTTTTGGTGCTTTAGTCATGAAGTCTTTGCCCATGCCTATGTCCTGAATGGTATTGCCTAGGTTTTCTTCTAGGGTTTTTATGGTTTATGGTTTTATGGTTTTATGTTGTAAGTCTTTATTCCATCTTGAGTTAATTTTTGTTAAGGTGTAAGAAAGGGGTCCAATTTCTGTTTTCTGCATGTGGCTAGCCAGTCTTCCCAGGGCCATTTATTAGATAGGGAATCCTCTCCCCATTGCTTGTTTTTGTCAGGTTTGTCAAAGATTAGATGGTTGTAGATGTGTGGTGTTATTTCTGAGGCCTCTGTTCTGTTGGTCTGTATATCTGTTTTGGTACCAGTAGCATGCTGTTTTGGTTACTGTAGCATTGTATAGTTTGAAGTCAGACAGCATGATGCCTCCAGCTTTGTTCTTTTTGCTTAGGATTGTCTTGGCTATACAGGCTCTTTTTTGGTTCCACATGAAATTTAAAGTAGTATTTCCTAGTTTTGTGAAGAAAGTTAATGGTAGCTTGATGGTAATAGCATTGAATCTACGAGTACTTAGGGCAATATGGCCATTTTCACAATATTGATTCTTCCTATCCATGAGCATGGATTTTTTTTCTATTTGTTTGTGTCCTCTCTTATTAATAAGAGGATTTTTTATCAGCAGACATGATTATATCTGTGATTTGTAAAGTGAACTGGATAGTGATCAAGCCCAGTGGGCAAGCTATTAAAATAATTCAAAGGAAAAATGAGAATAGCAACAGTAGTGATAGAGAAGAGATTTTAAAAAATGTATTTTTTTTCTCTCTGGAGATGTTAAGTATTTTTGAGAAAAGGAGTAATAATTGTAACTTGGCAAGTGTGTTTTGCCTTTCCTAGTTGAAACTACTTTTCAGCAGTGAGTGGATAGGTTGTGGTACATGAATTTTATTGTTACTCATTATTAAAAAGTGTCTTAAAAATATGTATGTCTTAAAAATATAAGTAATTTTCCTTGTTAATTATGAAATATGTAATCTCTTTTTTTTTCTCTTAATAGCCTTATGTTAATATTGGGGTTTTATTGTTTTTGCTTTTCAGTACTGTAAGATTGATGTTAAAGGCATGGTGTTCACCCCACTTCATCAGCGTACATAAGTTATCTCTTCTTTTGGACCCTTATTTTATGCCATAATGGTAAGCTTCAGCTCAGTATGTTCAAATTTGTGTTTTAGAATGTTCTCTTCCTTCATCTTCATAAAGATATTTGTATGGTAGATATAGAAATACTCTTGTAAGCTGTACAGGTTATCCCAACTGGGAAATTACTTAGCAATCCCATTGCAAAGTCTTCTCTATAAAGTATATTGCTCACTAATCAGTGTTACAGTGATCACATTCATCCATCTATCTGTGCTTGTATTTATGAAGTATTAAAAATATTTACCTATATCTACTTTGCCATATTCCAAATCGTTGGCAAGGAGGATGGGTATAAATACAAATAGTTTTGGGGAGTATAGATTTCTCGTATTTTAAAGCTTTTCTTTAGATTTTATTAAAATTTAAAAACAAATGTAACCTGCTAACTGCATATAACGTATTTCAGGCAGCATCAGTGCTAATCTTCTAATGGCACATTTCTGTTCACTGACTTACAGTCACTAAACATAGTTAGGAGTAGGCATTTAACTTTTGCCATTAAGAAATGACAGACTAAGGGAGAAAAACACTTTTTAATGTTTTAAAGAAGCAGCAGCATTTGACAGAGAATAAATGAACATTGACCACCATGTTATTTATTTAGATAACCCCTATTCTGCGTCACAAACTTCAGAAAACATCTGTCTTCCTTCTCCTCTTGGTTCTTGCCTATCTACTCCTCCCCTATTAGAGAAAAGTAGAAGTATCACAGTGGGGTTCTGACAACACCTTGTATTTTGCATCTATATTACCTAATCATTTTCCTCTTAAGTTTTTGAAGGAGATAATGAATGAATGATGCTTTTATTTATGTATGTATGCATGTCTCACTAGACCCTTTGAAGTTTTAATTTCAGAAGATGAAATATTTACTTGAGATGACTGGCTGTTTAAAATTGTCCTAGACTATATATATTTGATTTTGTTTATTATAATTTTTTGATACAAACAAATTTTATGGGCAAAATTTAAAAGAACCTTCTGTATTTGTGAAGTGTATATGTACAGAATTATGTTTTCATGGTGGAACATGGGATCAGGGAAAATGGGAGTCAGGAATCTTAACTTGAATCCTGGGAACCAGTTTCATTGGGAATCCGCTTCTTATAAGTTTTTTTTTTTTTTTTTTTTTTTGGTAGTGACAGAATCTCACTATATTGTCCAGGCTGGTCTTGAACTCCTGATTTCCCACCTTGGCCTCCCAAAGCTTTGGAATTACAGGCATGTGCCACAGTGCCTGGCCAAGATTTTTTAACAAAGCAAATTAGTGTAGATTTATTATAACTGAACGTTTTGAAAAGATGGCAGATTTCAGACTTTGTTCACTTATCATATTTAGATATTTGATAATGTGGGTTTTTTATTGAACAGTGCAAGAAGGCCCACTATTTTTGGAATTATACAAATTCTCCATCCTTAGGACTAGGTGGTCACTTAAAAGTTCCCATGATTTCCAAAGGGTGGCAGTATTTGTTTTTCCCCCTTACCCTCCTGGGACTTTGGTGGGTGGTAGGAGTTTTTACCCACATGCAATTTGGTAGGTTGAGGTATTGGAATCTGCAAAATAAGACAGAAGAATTTAAGTCCTTTTAAATAAAAACTGAAAGTTCTGTGCCTCTTAATAAAATTTAAAAATGACTATCATTATGAATGAAAAAGACTATAAAACAGAAAACTAGAAAGAAAACCACTGGTGGTATATTTGGGTTTTGTTTTATTTGTTTGTTGTTTTTGTTTTTTTTGAGATGGAGTTTTGCCCTTTTTGCCCAGACTGTAGTACAATAGCACGATCTGGGCTCACTGCAACCTCTGCCTCCCGGGTTCAAGTGATTCTCCTTCCTCAGCCTCCTGAGTAGCTGGGACTACAGGCGCGTGCTACCACGCCCAGCTAATTTTGTATTTTTAGTAGAGATAGGGTTTCACCATGTTGGCCAGGCTGATCTTGAACTCCTTACCTCAGGTGATCCTCCCGCCTCAGCCTCTCAAAGTGCTGGGATTACAGGCATGAGCCACCATGCCTGGCCATGTTTAATTTTGTTTAGAACCTAGTACTTTTATTCATATGTGTCTTTAGAAATGATGGCTTTACAAATGAAGACATAGCATAGCTTCACCATGTTTTTTCCTCGTCTCTAAAAAATGAACGGATAGGGATCTACTAGTAGATCTCAAACCTTACATGTAGTAACAGTAATATATTTCATCAATTCTGAGGTTCATTTTCTTTTATATTTTAATATTACTGAATTGATGATGAGTTGATACTCAAGAATATCTTAGAATTGATAGCATATTTTTTTCTGTCTTAATGTTATGCAGAATAATGATGCATGCTTTCAATGGCATCTTGAATTCATTGAAACATGGCAATGATAGCCATCATTTATTCTTTCTAGGCACTGAGCTAGAGATGTTGTAGGTTTTTTTCATTAATATATTAGCAATTTCTAAGTTAATGTTAAGTGCCAGTACAACCGCACTCTCAATTTTCAAGATTTTTAGCAGATGAGGAGAGTTTAGCCTTTGGTTCATTTTGATTGTATACTTTATGGCCAGTATATTTTTTTGAATGGTGCTCTTAAAAATTAATGTCTATGAAGTGATGATAGCTGCCATATCCAAACCTCCCCTATATTAGCCTCACAAACACTGACCAGAGAGACCGTGTAAGCATTCTTATTTAGTTTGTTGTTAGTAATCAGGTGCCCAAGACTCATATTTTTTCTTTGTTATATATATATTGATCATAGAGTGGAGTGGAGGAGACAAATAAAGGAAAATATATTAGACCTGTTTTAGAAAACATTAGAAATGTTAAATGTATATTAAATTTTTTTGTGGAAATAACTAATATTACCAAATATACTATTTACTTTTTACAGCAACAAGCTTTAGAACTAGCTTTGGATCGTGCAGAGGTGAGGTGTGACTAAGTTACATATTGAAATAGTGTTGTCTTTAATTGACAAAAGCTCAGTTTTAAGAGATTTTTGTATGTGATTTTTAAAGGAGCACATTACTATTTTAGGACAAGTATGCATATCATTTTGCTGTAAATATATAAAAATACCAGGTGATATTTGGATCACCTGTTACTTGGAATCCTCAAGATAATAATGTTACAGAATAAAACTTACTTGAAGAAGGATATAGAATTTCTAAAATTGTATTTTCCTGTTTTGACAAGTTTTCTAATTACTCAAAGGAAAAAATAGCTAAGGTATACAGTATACAATTTTTCATACAGTAAGCATATTTTGAACAACCATAAAATATATTGATAATATTTCTGACCTGTGAAGTCATGGTTGTGAAACTATGATTTTGCTTATGGCAATGAAATACTCTGCTAAATCGTGGTGCAGTTCAAATTTCATTTGTTTGAAACTTATCTTTAGATGTTAAGTAGTTTTTCCTACAAGATGTAATTCAGAGAGTTAAGTGAATAGCCTTTTTAGCCTTACGTATGTTTTAGATATACTCAATACAGTTGTTCATAGTCAAAAGCAAAAAGCAAGCTGTTCTCATAAACTTTTGTTTTTTAGTATGTCATTGAAAGTGCCCGACAGAGACCTCCTAAAAGGAAATACCTATCAAGTGGAAGGTATGAATAATTAATTGGTAACATCTTAGATTCATTGAAATATGATGATAGCTACCTTTTATTGCATTCCTCGTAGGGACTGAGCTAGAAATTTTATAGGTTCTTTGCATGTATTAGGAATTTCTAAGTTGATGTTAGCTACTATATTCAGCTCCACCCCAGTTTTTGGGAAATTGAGGCAAAAATGTGAAAATTTAGGAAAAAATTAAATAACATTCATGTCATGATGATTACTCTGTTAACATTTTATATATTTGTTTCATTAAATTTTTTTAGAAAATCTGTATTTCAAAAACTTTATGACTTGTATATTGAAGAATGTGAAAAAGAACCTGAAGTTAAGGTAAGTATACATTTTTATTATGTTGTAGCTTTTGAAATGTAGAAGAGAGGAATTTGGAGGAGTTACATTTGGAGTATTATTTTTGTGTGTGTGAGTGAACTAACATCTTTTTTAACCTGACCCTAGTCAATTCTGTAGCTGACTCAGAGCTCTGGCTAATCTGGCACCAGGCAGAGATCACCTGCTGAGGTAGGAGTGAAGGAACAGTTATATTGAGTATCAGACTGTCTCACTAGGAAGTCATAAGCAAAGCCACAGTATATATTATCTTTTGCTTCTTCTTCCCCCGAGAAGTGATTTATGAGTTTATAGCACTTCCTCCTGAGAAGTTATTTACAGATTTATAGCAGTAACCTGTTTTCTCATGATGATTTAAACTGGAAAGCCAGAGCTATTACAGAGCATGTATGAAATTCAAGTACAGTAATAAAAAGTGAGCTTGGTCATAAACCGAGTTCATGGCCAATTTAACTTAATTCATTTTTATTTGGCATAAAGATATGGGTAGTAGACATGTAACAGAAGTCGATTTATTGATGTCTTGGAGCCCTCGGGTTGGAAGGGTCTAAACGTCTCTATGAGCTTTTGTTGTCTGTCTTTAAAAATGAATACAGTTTTACTATTTAGGCCAAAAACAGTGGAATTCCAGTAGTGTCTAACTTTAAAATCTTTACATTAGGAAAAAAATTATTTTTAAACTTATAAGTAAATCTTACAGTATGTTTTTCATAAGTTCTACTGATACATACTTGACATACAATAAATTGTACATGTTTATAGATTTTTTAAGTTTTGACATGTGCATTATAGAAACACCTCATGAAACCATCACTACAAGCAATAGAATGTACATATTCATCATGTCAGTGACAGAACTAAAATAAGAGAGCTACATATATGAAGATTCTAAATTGGAATTGGCAAGCCACTCTCCACCAGCTAAATGTGGCCTACTGCATGTTTTTATAAATGAATTTTTATTGGAACCCATCACACCTGTTGGTTTGTATGTTGTCTAGGCCTGCCTCACAGGTACAAAGACACATTGAGTATTGCAGCACAAACTATTTGGCCCACAAGCGTAAAATACTATCTGGCCCATTAAGAAAGAAAATTTGCAACCTCTAGTCTAAATGGGATCAACTCTGTGGTAGCTAATTTGTTTTGTTGAAGAGGTACACATACTGTAAAAATTTATCTAATTCTGTCTTAAGTCAAATTATGAGGGTTTTCTCTACACTGAAAAGACTAACATTTTAAGTCTCTCTTTACTAGTTTAACATCAAAGTGGTTAAAAGTTGTTTGCCTTTTTAAAAAATGTTCAGATTGCTTAGTGTTTTGATTCTATGGTGATGACAGATTAAGAATTTATCACTTCTTTCTGTATGTGTGTATGATATATGTTTAATATATATTTACTAAATATAAGATATTCAAAACACTTTGATTTTTGAGATTCTAAAAAAATTTACTGTTATTTTTGCTAAATAAGATTTGATGACATGATTTGTTAAATCTGTAAGTAGGTAGGTTTTATTTTAAATTATAAGCATTTTTAAAATCATGGACTTTGTTGTGGTTTTTAAGGAGCTGTTGAATTGGATTTATAGAAAATGTCCAAATTGCTTACTTCGTCTTACCAATTAGATATTTTTAGGTTCAACATTTCAGCTTAGAGCTGTTGAACTTGTTTGTATCTTATTTAGCCTATAAAATATTTAAGAAATGTGCACTTCTTAGATACAACCAAAGAGAATGCCCCAAATTCTTTAGGTTAGACTTCTACTTAGTGGAAACTGTATGCTTCTGTGTTTTATATATTTGCATTTAATGGTTTTATATACTACTTATTTAAATATTTTTATTTCTTAAGTATTCAAAAGTACTTGTTTTATATTTAAGTGCTTTTATTGTGTTATAGGTCACCCATTTTTAAAATATGAATTAATTTGCATAAAACATAGTAGTAAATAAAAATTAAGTTTACATAGCTGTCCCATACGTAGTGGCTATAGTTTTGTGAGCCTT
This sequence comes from Homo sapiens, assembly GCF_000001405.40. Lineage (NCBI taxonomy): Eukaryota > Metazoa > Chordata > Mammalia > Primates > Hominidae > Homo > Homo sapiens. The sequence continues at coordinate 37,045,506 of NC_000013.11, read as the reverse complement.
CTCCATTTATTCAGAATCATAATGCAGAAAGAGCACCAAAAGGTTAATTCAAGCCTGATTTTGTTAAATCATAGCATTATTTGTTAAGGTTATACTGGATTATTTTCATGAGCTCTGCCTCTTTTTAAAGCAGAAATTAAGAAGAAATGTGAACTTGTTAGAGAAGCTTGTTATGCAAGAGACTTTGTCATGTTTAGTGGTCAATCTATACCCAGGAAATGAGGGATATTCTCTGATGCTCAGGGGAAAAAACGGATCAGGTAAGACCCTCTAGAGCACAGCTGCCACAAAATACTTTTGCTAGGCAGGATGTGCGGTTTTTTTAAAGTAGTTTTTTAACCTGCTAAAGCATTTGTCCTTCAGATAGTGATGACCTAGTGATAAAAACAGATTTTGATCCCAGTTTTCTTCCTTATGATATGTTTTGGTAGAATATTAGAAATTATCTCTCTTACAATTATCTTTCCTGAATGTGCATTTTAGAAGTATTCTAATTGATATGTCTTTCAAGTCCAATTATAAAAGCATCTCAGAACCAAAGGAAAGGTTAAAAAAAAAAGGAAAATTATAGAGGCATAACTTACAGATGATTAAAATAGAATTTCCTTTCATTCTATTGCTATTTATATTTTAAGATAGCATACCGTGTTTAAAGGTAGGTAGTCCTGCAGTTTGAACATGAGTCTGAAATCTTCAAAATTAAGCAGACTCACTGCCTTTTGAGTAATTTTCACATATTAAAATATTTCTATTAATACTGAATATGAACATTTCTGTTAATGGTGAATATGAAAATAATTTAAAAATAGAAACACTTCAGTTTCATTAAAGAGGTGTAAAAATTTAATATGATGATAATGTGAATTCTACAAGGAACTCACATAGCTGGAATTTTGTGTGTGTGTTGGTAATTAATTGTAAAGTGTAACACCAAGAGAATTTTGTTCTAAAAGTGACCACTTTTCAGATAAGGCACCAAATTGTCCCTCTGATTTCCAGATTAGATTAATTGGTCTTCAGTGAACTTTCAGTTACTTTGACATTGGAATTTTATCATATTCTGATTATTTTGCTTTGGGCTGTGGTTCAGATTGTGACGTTATGCCAGATGTTTTTTCATAATGTGTTAGGTTTTTTTTTTCCCCCTTAAGAAGGACATTAGGAGGGCCTTTTGGTTTTGTTTTTTATTTTTATTTTTTTTGATCCTTGCTTGGTTGAAATGCCTTTTGGTTTTATTATATATAGTTCTTTGAAAAGCCATTTGAATTATACAGCTAAGCTTTCAGTGAGCATGATCATTTTCAAACTTCATGTTTTAAATTAAGATTCCGAGACCATTCGACTGCCCTATGAAGAAGGAGAGTTGCTTGAATATTTGGATGCAGAAGAATTACCTCCTATTTTGGTTGATCTCCTAGAAAAATCTCAGGTACAAAATTTTTGTCTTTAAAATGTCTTTATATTTGTTATATGTATATGATATATATATGTCACATTTTTATGTATGTATACATATATGTATATAAACGACTACATGATGTTTCATGACAGATGATATTTAATTTCTATCACTGTTCCCAACAGCCTTTAGAACATGAAATCAGGCTGGGCTTTGGTGGCTCATGATGCCTGTAATCCCAGCACTTTGGGAGGCTAAGGCAGGAGGATCACTTGAGCCCAGGAGTTTGAGCTCACTACAGTCTCAAACCCCTGGGCTCAAGTGATCCTCCTGTACCACTGCAGGATTAGAGAAGGAAGGATTAGAGAAGGAAGAGGAAAACCAGAATTGCAGTGATTGCACCACTGCACTCCAGCGTGGGTGATAGAGCAAGACCCTGTCTCTAAAACTAATAATAATAGAAGATGAAATGAGACATATATAGCTATCTGGAAATGGGCTTATTGTCGGATATTTAACCTTTAGGGTATACTGAAACGTAGAGACGTAGTTCTTCTAAAATAGTTAGAACAATTAGCTCATCAATTGGAAATCTCCCTATAGTTACAATCAAGAAATTATGAAAGAAACTACTTTGAATATTTATGAAGTTTTTCACTTGGGGGCCAGAAACTGGCCTTTACATCTGTACTTCTGTTCATAGCTTGCCTAGGTAAGCACTCCCTTGCCCTGTTCTACTTTCTTCTTACTGCCTTAACTTAACCCCAGCCATACTGTGTACTCTACTGAGGAAAAAGAAGACATCACATGAGAACTCTCGTTTCCTCCTAGCACCAGTCGACTAGCATCCCTACCTCTCTCTTCATATCTGCCTGCCTTCCCGTTAAAATAGTTGATGTATACTGTTTATAGACATCCATCCCCTCCACTTGTTTTCTGGATCCTCCCCTTCCTTCTCAAGGACTTAAAATTATAACCTCTCTTTTTTTCTATTTCTCTTTCTCTATTAAATGCAGAATGCAAGCATACTGTGTTACAGGTTGAGCATCTCAAATCTGAAAATTTGAAATCCACAGTGTTCCAAAATCTGAGCACTGACTGACACTTAAAAGAAATGCTAATTGGAACATTTCCGATTTCAGGTTTTTTGATTAGGGCTGCTTAACCTAAGTATAATGCAAATATTTCCAACTCTGAAATGCTTCTGGTCTGAAGCACTTCAGATAAAGGATTCTTAACCTGTATGTCTCAAATTTTAAAAAAATCCTCCCTTGACCTCATATCCTTCTCCAACTACTGCTCTTGTTACTCTTGACAGCCACGCTACTCAAAGAATTTATAGTCATTTCCTCTTTTGCAGATCCCATTCTTTCCACCACCTATCTCATTTGGCATCATGACATCGTTCTGCAGAGGCTGCATTTGTCAGAGTTACCAGTGATCTTCATATACTGAATAATTGGTCACTTTTCTGTTCTCTTCTTAATTGGCCTCTTAGCAAAGATCAGTGGATATAACTGCGTCCTGCTTGAAATGCCTTTCTGTTGACTTCTGAGACATCATTTTCCTGGTTTTCCTCTGCTTTCTCTAATCCTTCGGTCTTTTTTACTATAATCCCTGTTCCATCCATAAACATGTGTGTTTTCAGGTTCAGTCCTTGGCTCTCTGTTTTTCTTTAGTAATATTCTCCCTGAATGATTTCAGCCAGTTTCATGGGTTTTTAAAATGTTACTTAGTCTATTGCTTATATGCCTCACCATGGCCATTCCACCAAGCTCCTAACTTACATATTTTCTTGGATATATAATAGGTTCCTCAAATTTAACATGACAAAAACAGAGCTTTATTTTACCTCCCAAACCAGTTTTATCACCAGTCTCTTCAGTCTAACAGATGACTCTGTCCTTACCTTCCACATTCAGTCCATCAGCAAATGCCAGTCTCTCTTTAAGATACATGATCGTGCCCAGTGCTCTGAACAAAACCTTTGCTTTCCTGTTTGTCTTCATCTTCTAGATCTCATCCTCACTCGCTGCATTCCATCCATCCTTGTCTCATTTCCACAATAAAACACTCCAAGCTTGTTCCTACAGTAAGAACTTCTCATATGTTATTCCCTCTGTCTGGAATGATCTGTCCCTGAAGTGTCTGGCCGTTTCTTGTGATTCAGATCTTAGGTAAAACCTAAGGTTTCTATCTGCACATACAATCCAGATTAGCCCTTCCCTATTTGATTTCCTTTATAGAATTCATCACTATCTAAAATTACTTTGTTCTGTTTACATGTTTATTGCCTGTCTTCCCACAACTGAGAGCAAATGTTGTCTGACTACTGTATCTGTGAAGCTGTACCTGGATAGTGCCTAGCACATAGTAGGCATTGTAGTTGCTCAGTAAATATTTATTTAAAAGAATGACAATAAGAATGACAAAACATGGAGACCACAGTACCCACTAAAAGTTCTGAATGGGTGAAAAACATACTATGAGTGACCATGGCAAGTCATAACTAGCAAGACTTCGATGATAATAGTTCTTACATTTGAGCATAGAAAGGACTGAAAAACTATTTTTCTTTTTTTTTTTTTTTGAGGTGGAGTCTCGTTCTGTCACCCAGGCTGGAATGCAGTGGCCCAATCTCGGCTCACTGCAAGCCCCACCGCCTGGGTTCATGCCATTCTCCTGCCTCAGCCTCCTGAGTAGCTGGGACTACAGGCGCTCGCCACCACACCCAGCTAATTTTTTTGTATTTTTAGTAGAGACGCAGTTTCACCATGTTAGCCAGGATGGTCTCGATCTCCTGACCTTGTGATCCACCCGCCTCGGCCTCCCAAAGCTGGGATTACAGGCATGAGCTACTGCACCCAGCCTGAAAAACTATTTTTCATTTGAATTTTATATTTAGCTTCCCTCTTATTAATAAAGGCTAAGGGCAAAATTATATTTCTGAAAATTTTAGCAGAGCAAATATAGAAGTTATATCTAGAAGCTAAAACACTGGCAAGGTTGGTTGGCAATTTATAACAATGATAAACTTTATAGTAATGACAAAGTTAGTGAAATGTAACAGTAAGCCTGTGAGCTGCAGAAGAACAGCAGTTCCAAGGATCTGTAACATAATAGTATGTAAATGCCAAAAGTCAAACTGTTGACTTGGTAGATGCCAAAGTCAATCTATAATTAGAAACTATTAAATAGTTTTAAATTGCTTCTTGTGTCATAGTGATGAACATGAAATACTTCCTCTGAAAAGGTTTACATAGTGTTAAATCTACCAAGGAAATCTACTGAAGAGTACATACATGAGTGGCCAGAAATGTTGCATGAATGTAAAGAATGCGAAATGTTTGATATAAACCCACTTATTTAGGCTTTTGGAAAAAAAAATGACGTTTACGTATTTTTGCCCAAACAGGTTAATATTTTTCATTGCGGATGTGTCATAGCAGAAATACGTGACTACAGGCAGTCCAGTAACATGAAATCTCCTGGTTACCAAAGTCGGCACATTCTCTTACGTCCAACAATGCAGGTAAGGATGTTTAATTAAGAAATACTATTTTAGATTTTAGTTGGGAGTTTTATTTATCGAATTCTTCATATGTTTGTGCATAGATTAATAAGTTTTTTAAATTTTTATTTCTTCTAGACTTTAATTTGTGATGTACATTCAATAACAAGTGATAACCACAAATGGACCCAGGTTAGTTGTTTTGTTTTTTAATCTCAAACAGGCAAAATATAGGATGAAAAAAAATTATCATTAAGCAAAAGTGATTTTCTGCTTATTTTTATTCAATAATTAAGTTTGATGCTTTATGTGAAAAGCTGGTATTCCTTTATAAGATCTAGAAGTTAAGGGTCTCTTTATATGTGTAGTAATCCCTCAAGTTGCCTAAGATCATTTTAAGGTCAAGCTGGCCTAATATATTCAATGAGATAAAACTTAGTTCTTTATCTCCTCTCAAACAGAAGAAAAATGTTTTGTTTTTACCATGGTTACAAATAGATACTGGTTTTTTTTTTCAAATAATTCAAGTTTCTAAACCCTAGCCTAGCCTATCTTTCTTTGCCATTTATACTGGTTGCCTTGAAATGAGGGGAACTCTCTTACCCCTGAGAATAACCAGTTAACCCCTCCAGTTCTGGCTCAGTGTTATATGAGGGGACTTCAGAAAGTTTGTGGAAAACTGGAATTAAAAGATAATAATAAAAAATATAAACTTTTCTTCTCAATATAAGCTCCATCAAGTTCAAGATGCTTGTAAATGATATCAACCATTTATTTAGTCCACCCCTGAAGAACTGAGGGTCCTGGGAACTGAACCATATCAATGCAATCTTTTCTACATTATTAACTGAAGAAAAATGGGTACTTTTTAAACTTTTTTTTTTTAAGATTAGGAAACAAAAAGAAGTCAGAAGGAGCCAAATCTGGACTGTAAGGTGCATACCTAATGGTTTCCCATCAAAACTCTTACAAAATTTCTCTTTTTTGATGAGAGGAATGAGTAGAGGCATTGTGGTGCAGAAGTCTCTAGTGAAGCTTTCCCAGGCATTTTTCTGCCGAAGCTTTGGCTAACTTTCTCAAAACACTCATAATAAGCACGTTATCATTCTTTGTTCCTTCAGAAAGTCAACAAGCAAAATGTCTTGAGCATCCCAGAAAACTGTTTCCATGATCTTTGCTCTTCATCTGTCTGCTTTTGCTTTGACTGAATCACTTCTGCCTCTTGGTGGCCATTGCCTTAATTGTGCTTTACTATCTTCAGGATTATACTGGAAAGAATGCTTTAGTATCTTGGTCCTACTTGTTGAAAATTTCTATTGAAAGCTCTGCTTTTGCAGCTGATCGGGATGCAGTGGTTTTGGTACCCATCGAGTGGAAAGTTTACTCAACTTTAATTTTTCAGTCAAAATTATTCAGGCTGAACCAGTTGAGAGGCCTATAGTGTTGGCAATTGTTTCTGCTGTTAATCATTGGTCCTCTTCAGTTAGGTTACAAACAAAATGAATTTTTTTCCTCGTAAATTGATGTGGAAGATCTGCTGCTGCAGGCTTCGTCTTCAACATAGTCTTGTCCCTTCTTAAAACAAGTTACCCATTTGTAAACTGCTGCTTTCTTTGAGGCATTCTTCTCATAAACTTTTCAAAAAGCATCAGTGATTTCACAATTCTTCCACTCAAGCTTCACCATCAATTTGATGTTTGTTCTTGCTTCAGTTTTAGCAGAATTCCTGTTGCTCTGGTAAAGGCTGTTTTCAAACTGATGTCTTATCCTTCTTAGTGTTTCAAACTAGGTTCTGTTCAGACATGTTATAACAGCTTAGTACATGTTTATTTTGGTGCAAAAAGTTTTGAAACCTATGTATAGTTTTTTCTTAATACTCATTTTTCATAAACTTTTTAAAGACCCCTTGTATATGAGATGTCCACTCACAAAAGTGTTCAGTTGCCTGACTATAGTGAGGAATAATTACTAAGTCAAAAGAAAATATCAGTAATGGTAGTTATCCTTTCTGTGACATGTGATTATAAACTAAGCTTCAGTTCATCAGTAACTACCAAGTATTGTGTTTTGGTTTGGGCTATAATGTTGTCATCTACAAAAAGATTAAAAGCTATTAAAAGAATATTAGAAAACAGAAAAACTCATTGGTTACCATCAGAGTTTGCTAGGGCATCAGATTCTTACTCTGAAGATTGATAAAGGAGAGAATATAATATTTATCCTGCCCTTCTTGTTATGAACTGTATTTTAGGCAGCCAAGTAACTGAGGGAAAATTCTTAGGAAAATTTCCAGCTAATAGGTGCAAAAGAAATGATAGACTTTTAAAAAATAAAAGTTTGAAAGTCTTAATGAAGTAGTGAATCTAGACAGCAGTATTTCTTGGATGTGAAAACCATTAGATGATAGGTTAATGGGAAATTTTATAATGTAGAAATCTGATCAAACCCACTGATTGAAGATGAGACAGTCAATTATTGTGTACCTCCTGGTTTGATGCAAGAGACAGTACACAACAGTAGTAATAGTACCAATAAAGAACTCTTGTCCAAAAAAAAAAAAAAGAGCCCATATTAAATCAAGCCACTAGTTGTAACTAGCAGTTTATAGGAATTCAGTGAATAAAATAAACTCTTAAGTGACACAATGAGGAAGAAACCAGCCAGATCTAGTTAATGGACATGAGAAAGCAACTGGTTAATTCTAACAAATTCTTATTTAGCAATATTATTAATTGATTCACTTTTTTAAAAAAAATAGCCTTAGTTATCAAGATATTTCAGAGGTTAAGCAAAATAATAGGATTCAGTAAAATATGTTATGTGATAATAGTAAAGAGCCTGTATGTTTGGAATTGGGTATATAGAGTTCACACAATATTAGCAGAGTCATTTTTATTCTTGTAATGTAGTTGAGTTGAGTATAGGATAGGACTGTTACTTCACAGTTACTGAAAAATGCCATAACCCTTTATGACCCTATAGGTTTTGTGAGAGCAGAGGGTTTTGTTTTGCTCACTACCTTATCCCCAGTTCCTGGAAAGGTGCCTAACACATCATAGGTGCTCAGATAGTTTCTTGAATTAATGAGTAGCCACTCTTACAACCTGACCATTCCGTGCTCTACAAATTATAGTCATACCTCGGAGTTACTGTGGGTTTGATTCCAGAGCACTGCCGTAAAGCAAATACTGCAATAAAGCAAGTCACATGAACTTTTTGGTTTCCTAGTCTATAAAAAGGTTACATTTACACTATATAGTTGACCTTGAACAACACAGAGGTTAGGGGCAGTGGCCCTTGTGCAGTCAAAAACCCATGTATAACTTCTGACTCCTCTAATACTTAACTACTAATACCTACTGTTGGCTGGGAAGCCTTACTGGATTTTTTTTTTTTTTTTTTGAGGCAGAGTCAGGTTGCAACTCAGGTTGCAGTGCATTGGCACAATCTCAGCTCACTGCAATCTCTGCCTCCTAGGCTCAAGTGATCCTCCCACCTCGGCCTCCTGAGTAGCTGGGACTATAGGTGCATGCCACCATGCCCAGCTAATTTTTTTTTATTTTTGGTAGAGACAGGATTTCACTGTGTTGCCCAGGCTGATCTCGAACTCCTGAGCTCAAGCGTTCTGCCCGCCTCGGACTCCCAAAGTACTGGGATTACAGATGTGAGCCACCATGCCTGGCGATTAACATGTATTTTGTATGTTATGTGTATTGTGCTCTGTATTCTTAGAATTAACTGTTAGAAAGAAAAGAAAACATTATTAAGAAAATCCTAAGAGAAAATATGTTTACTATTCAGTAAGTATATCATATTAAAGGTCTTCATCCTCATCATCTTCACATTGAGTAGGCCAAGGAGGAGGAAGAGGAAAAGTTCATCTTGCTGTCTCAGGGGTGCAAAGAGATAAAGAAGATGGAAGGGGAGGCAGAAGAGGCATGCACACTCAGTGTAACTTGTATTGAAAAAAATCTCCTAGCTGGTCGCAGTGGCTCACACCTGTAATTCCAGCACTTTGGGAGGCTGAGGCGGGTGGATCATGAGGGCAGGAGATCGAGACCATCCCGGCCAACATGGTGAAACCCCGTCTCTAAAAATACAGAAATTAGCTGGACATGGTGGCGTGCGCTTGTAGTCCCAGCTACTCAGGAAGCTGAGGCAGGAGAACTGTTTGAACCTAGGAGGTGGAGGTTGCGGTGAGCTGAGATCGCACCACTGCACTCCAACCTGGCGACAGAGCAAGACTCCGTCTCAAAGAAAAAAAAAAAACTCCAGTTTAAGTGGACCTGCATAGTTCAAATCCATGTTGTTCAGGAGTCAACTGTACTGTAGTCTATTAAGGGTGCCATAGCATTATGTTTAAAAAAAAATCTATATACATTAATTCAAAAATACTTTATTGCTAAAAAATGCTAATGATCATCTGAACCTTTAGGGAGTCATAATCTTTTTGCTTCTGGAAGGTATTGCCTGGATATTAATGACTGCTGACAGATCAGGATCTGACAGATTGAGATGGCAGTGGCAGTTTTTTGAAAGACAACAGTGAAGTTTGCCCCATTGATTGTTTCTTTCATGAAAGAGTTCTCTATAGCATGTGATACAGTTTTACCCTACAGTAGAACTTCTTTCAGAATTGGAGTTAGTCCTCTAAAACCCTGTTGCTGCTGCATTATCAACTAAGTTTATGTAGTAGTATAAATATTACGTTGTCATTTCAACAATGTTCACAGCCAAGAATAGAGTCTATCTCAAGAAACCACTTTTGCCAGGTGCCATGGCTTGTGCCTGTAATCCCAGCACTTTTGGGAGGCCGAAGCAGGCGGATCACAAGGTCAGCAGTTCGAGACCAGCCTGGCCAATACGGTGAAACCCTGTCTCTACTAAAAATACAAAAATTAGCTGGGCATGGTGGCAGTTGCCTGTAATCCCAGCTACTCGGGAGGCTTAGGCCGAGTAGCAATTCAAGAATTGCTTGAACCCAGGAGGTGAAGGTTGCAGTGAGCCTGGATCACGCCATTGCACTCTAGCCTGGGCGACAGAGGGAGACTCTGACTCAAAAAAAAAAAAAACACTGTATATGGTCATCCATAAGAAGCAACTCATCCATTCAAGTTTGATCATGAGATTATAGTGGTTCAGTCACATCTTCAGGCTCTCTACTTCTAATTGTAGTTCTCTTGCTATCACCACATCTGCAGTGATTTCTTGTCCTGAAGTCTTGAACCCCTTGGAGTCATCCATGAAGGTTGGAATCAACTTCTCCCAAACTCATATTAATGTTTCTATTTTGACCTCCTCCCATGAATCATGCATGTTCTTAGTGTCATCTACAATGGCACATCCTTTCCAGAAAGTTTTTAATTTACTTTGCCCAGATCCATCAGAGGAATCACTATCTATGGCAGCTAAAGCCTTACAAAATACATTTTTTAAATATTAAGACTTGAAAGTCAAAATTAGTCCTTGATCCATAGGCTGCAGAGTGGATATTGTGTTGGCAGCTATGAAAACATTAATCCCCTTGTACATCTCCATCAGAGCTCTTGGGTGACAAGGCCATTGTTAATGAGCAGTAATATTTTTGAAAGAATCTTTTTTTTCTGAGCAGTAGGTCTCTACAGTGGCCTTAAAATATTCAGTAAAACATGCAGTAAACAGATGTGCTGTCATCCAGGCTTTGTTGTTTCATTTATAGAGCACTGATAGAGTAGTAATTCTTAAGGATTGTAGGATTTTCAGAATGGTCAAATAAGCATTGGCTTCAGCATCAAGTCATCAGCTGCATTAACCCCCAACAAGAGAGTCAGCCTGTTCTTTGAAGCTTTGAAGCCAGACATTGACTTCTCTCTAGCTATGAAAGTTCTGGATGGCATATTCTTCTAATATAAGGCTGTCTTGTTTAATTTGAAAATCTGTTGTTTAAGGTAACCACCTTCATCAGTTATCTTAGATCTTCTGCATAACTTGTTGCAGTTTGTATATCAGTACTTGGCTGCCTCACCTTGCACTTTTGTGTTATGGAGACAGCTTCTACTCTTAACCCTCATGAACCAGTTTTCTGCTTCAAACTTTTCTTCTGCAGCTTCCTCACGTCTCTCACATCATAGAATTGAAAAGAGTTGGAATTTGCTCTGGATTAGGCTTTGGCTTAAGGAAATGTTGCAACTAGTTTGATCTTCTATCCAGACCATTAAAACTTCCTCTGTATCAGCAATAAGGCTGTTTTGCATTTTTATCTGTTATGGATATTCACTGGAGTAGCACTTTTAATTTCCTTTATGAACTTTTCCTTTACATTCACCACTTAGCTAACTGTCTGGTACCATAGGCCTAGCTTTTGGCCTGTTGTAGCTGTTTATAGGCCTTTCTCACTAAGCTTAATCATTTCTAGCTTTGGATTTAAAATGAGAGATGTGTGACTCTTCCTTTCAGTTGAACACTAAGAGGCCATTTTTTGCCTAATTTAAATATTATAATGTTTCTAGAAGTAAGAAGTCCTGAGAAGAAGGAGAAAGATAGGGGAGATCCCACACTGGGGAGTGGTGGATCGGTGAAGCTGTCAGAGAACATACATCATTTCTTGATTTAGTACACATTGAATATCACAGATCACCATAATAGATTTAATAATAATGAAAAAGTTTGAGATACAAAAAAAATTACCAAAATGTGACACAGACACAAAATAAGTGTGTGCTGTTGGGAAAATGATGCTGATAGCCTTGCTTAGTGCAAAATTGCCACAGATCTTCAATATGTAAAAAGTGCAATATTTGCGAACCACAATAAAATGAGGTATACCTGCATTGAATTTCCATTAGAAGTTTCTTTATGCTGTCTGGTTTCTAAAAGTTTACATGCACACTAACATTGGAACTTGAAATACCATATTTTACTGTAGTCCTTAGCAGAATTCCAGGGAATATTTCTAGATTAAGTGCAATATATGATTACATATTTGAAAATCTTAAATCTGGTATTGACATATGCTCTTACACATTTCAGGAAGACAAACTTTTGCTTGAGAGCCAGCTCATCCTAGCTACAGCTGAACCACTCTGTCTTGATCCTTCTATAGCAGTCACCTGCACTGCAAACAGACTGCTCTATAACAAGCAAAAGATGAACACTCGCCCAATGAAACGGTAATTGCCTTTGTGGAAGGGTGAACCAAAAGACACAAGTAGCTATAAATTTTGCTATTTATAGTATCTTTTCCCTCCAGGGTATGGTTGCTCCGATTTTGGTGGGGAAGGGTAGAGATGAGGTCTCTCTTTGTTGCCCAGGCTAGTCTCAAACTCTTGGCCTCAAGTGATCCTCCCACTTTGGCTTCCCAAACAGCTGGGAATATAAGCATGACCAACTGCACCAGCCTCTGATTTTTTTTTTTCTTTTTGAAAATAGGATTCTTAATGGTCTCATATTATATATTTTTATATAGTATTATTATTTTTTTAAATGCTCTATGCTTTAGATTGAACTGTTGCATTTTCTGCAGTCTTTTAAAGAATAAACTTTTTCTAAGTTTATAGTCTGTTTGCCAAAAAGGTAAAGAGGCTGAGATCAAATATGAACAGAAAGAATAATTTTTTCATTATTTTCCTACTAATGAATGACTGATTTAATTGTTGTTAATCCTACTTTAAGGAAAGAATTTGTAATTTTGAGATTTGAGAAAATATGATCATAGTTTTTAGAAGTCAGTTATAAACTGAATCCAGGCACACCTACCTTTTGTTTTTGAAACAAACCAAGCTTATTCCTCCCTCGGCATCTTTTAAAAATGTCCCTTCAAATAGTCATTCCCTGATCTTTCAGAATATTTTCTTTTCCCCACCCTCCATGGGAAACATGAGGGGATTTTTCCCCGGTAGTCACTGTGAGAACCTCTTTGAGCTCCTGGAGATAAAACCCCCAAAAGTCTGGGGGCTCCCAGTGACTAGGTCCCCTTGGAGTTTTGAATCTCTCAGACATGTCCACAGTAGGCCTCCAGCAATTCATCAGTTATACTTGAGGTTCCCTACCCTGGCACTGGTTCCTGAGGAGGTTTCTGCTAATGGGTTTCTGCTTCAGCAAGGCATGATGGTCTGCATTTGCCTATTGGTTTCTCCAAGTTTGGGGCAGTGGTTTGTCTTGTGACCACATCTCTTTGATGGATCTAAGAAGAATCGTTGATTTTTCTGTTTATTCAGCTTTTTACCTGTTAGGATGAGGTGGCAACTTCCGGAGTCTTACATGCCTGTACCCAAAACTGGAAGTTATCCCCTTCACTCCCATCTTTCCATAGCTAATTCCTTCTCATCATTCCTATCTCAGCTCACATGTCATTTTTTCAGACTCTTTTCCTCCCCTCCCTCTCCCCATTCCTTCCCTAATGTTGCCCTCCTTATCCCATACTCTCCACAGTACTCTTTTGCTTCTCTTACTGCTTCTTGGTGTCTGAAATCTGAAATTATTTTATCTGTTTACTTGTGAATGTCTCCTCCCCCTCTGGACTTGATAGCTCTGTGGTGATGGGAATTTTGTTTGTCCTATTCATTTTTATTTCACCTAGTCCTAGTTCCTAGGACTGTGCTTGGCATGTGGCAGTGTTCTATAAACACGATTTGTACATATTCAGCACTGACTAGTTTCAACTCACATATATTATGAGTTTCTTTTATTAGTGCCGTTTAGTTCAAATTTCTTAATATTTCAGGTGTTTCAAGAGGTATTCCAGATCCTCTCTGAATCGGCAGCAAGATCTATCTCATTGTCCACCTCCTCCTCAGCTGAGGTTACTTGATTTCTTACAAAAAAGAAAGGAAAGAAAAGCAGGTCAGCATTATGACCTCAAAATTTCTAAGGCAGGAAATGTAAGTATATATATTTTAAATGAAGCTTATTATGCCCAAAAGCCTGTCTTATTTAGCATTTTCAGTATATTTATATTGTTTTTAATTTTTCAGTATATTGTTTTTAATTTTTCAGTGTGTAGATATGTGGAAACGGAGTCCCTGTAATTTGGCCATACCTTCTGAAGTAGATGTAAGTCAGTTCATGAATTACTTTTTTTCATATAAAGTTTCTCAGTTTTACTATTCGGTTGCTTATACCTTGAGAAAACAAAAAAAAAACTTACTTTAAAAACAAAGTGATTTAGATCATACTCTAAACAAGTTTTTTAAAAACAATATGATTTATTTCAAAAAACATCGAAAAATGATTTTTAGAAGCTGTGTATTGTTCTTTTTTCACATTAAGTTGAAAGAACATAACCCCTTAATATAGTTTTTTGGAGCAGGAATAGTAAAACAATTTTAAAATTGGAAAAATACAGTGTATATTACATAATCACGTGAAATCTCTCTTTTTTTGATAATATTTCATCAAAATTTCCTAATAGTGCTTGTTTACTCAAACTGGTTAAATTTGAAGATTAATAATATTATTTGACATAAAATAAAATAAAGATTAATAATACTAGAGAAGTAACCAAGATTAGGAACATTGGGTTGTATTCTTTATTGATCCATAATATACATGAACTATAAATGGTTGAAGACAAAAAAGGGATATTTTGATGAGTGATCCTATGTTTTTCTTTCTCCTCTGTTGTTTTTTATATTCACTCAACTCTTTATTTTCAGATTTGTTCTTCTGTTGCACCCTTTCCATGCTAGCACATGCATTATTCTTACTATTTCTGATTTAAAAAAAAGAAATTACGCAAAGCACAAAGCCAGAAGCAGCAGTAGACTGTATATACAGCTCAAGGAAGTAAGCCATATTATCTTTTGGTAGCTTATGTGCAGTTCTTCAAGGAACATGGCCTGATAATAGAATTTCAGTGTAAATACTGAAGGGTGGAATTTAGCTTTGGAGGACAAGCTGGAGTACTTCCCAAACTTTAATGTCCTTACGAATCAGCTGGAGAGCTTGTTAAATTGTAGGTTGCTACTCAGCAAGTCTGAGGTGCTAAGATGCATTTCTCACAAGCTCCTAGGTTATGTGATGCTGGGGTCCATGGACCACACATTGAGTAGCAGTTGCCCTCAAAGCTTCTCAGTCTAGCTCAATCAGAAGAATCACCTAGGATATCAGTTAAACATAGAGATTTCAAGCCCTACTCAAAATCTACTTACTTAGGATTTCTAAGGGACAGACATGAAAATCTGTATTTTTAATAGGTGCTCCAGGTAAGTCTAAATTACTCTTAAGATCGTGGTTGCCTGTAAGATAATAACATTTGACTCACACAGATGCCTAGGACATGTACAGAATATATGGTCAAGTCTGACTAGAAAGTGGAAAACGTTCAAAAAATTTGATCAGCTTTAATATTTTACCTTCCCTAGTCTCCCTCAGTTTTGTCCCCACTGTTACATGACCGCTTTTATTTCAAGAAAAGCCTGCCAAAAGGAAAAGATCTTTATCCTTATCTCTCTGACATTCCAATTTTCCTGAAGGAAAAGCTCTAAAGGAAAAACATATCAGCTTATGGACAAAAAAATGAAGAGGCACTGTCTAGAAAAGCAGCTGTGTTTATTAACACTTATTTATTTGGTTTGGTTTTATTAAAGTTGTTTTATACACATCAGAAGACTTTTAAACTGCTTAAGCATAAGTAGTTGATACCGGTAATTTAAGAATTCTTGCGCTAACAAGTATATTGTATTGTCGAGTTACTTAGTTTCTTCTCTTTGATCAGAATACTGATTCCATTTTATCTGATATGGATTCTATTTTATGTGGTATTTCTTGATTTGATTGTTTAGGTGGAGAAATATGCTAAAGTGGAAAAGTCTATCAAATCTGATGACTCACAGCCAACAGTCTGGCCAGCCCATGTAAGAAATCATTGCCTGTCTCTGTTTCTAATTATGCCATTTCTAATCTGGCCTCTGAATTTATTAAACATAAAGTGCAATTGCCATTAGTTTGGGACCTTTTTTCTTTTTTAAATTAGTTTCTGCGAGTTCAGTTTATTACAAGAAGAAACAACTATTTTGTTTATCAGAGTATGCTTTGCATTTTAAACAGCAATTTTTTATTTTTATTTTTTATTTTTATTTTATTTTAATTTTTTGAGATGGAGTTTGGCTCTTATCGCCCAGGCTGGAGGTGGGATCTTGGCTCACTGCAACCTCTTCCACTTCCCAGGTCCAAGCAATTCTCCTGCCTCAGCCTCCTGAGTAGCTAGGATTACAGGCACCTGCCACCACACCTGGCTAATTTTTGTATTTTTAGTAGAGACAGGGTTTCGCCATGTTGGCCAGGCTGGTCTCGAACTCCCGATCTCAGGTGATCCGCCCACCTTGGCCTCCCAAAGTACTGGGATTACAGGCATGAGCCACTGCGCCCAGCCTTAAAGAGCAATTTTAATGAAGAACTTCATTTTTACTTTTGGTTTGCGTATTGGTAGTTCTGATTTGTTTTGTTTCTAATTAATAAATTCTTCTAAGGCTGGCTTTTAACAGAAGTGTTCTTTATAAGTTTTCCTAATTGCAATAATAACGTCTTAAAAAGAGAGGAATAGGTGTAATATTTAAATTAGGTGAACTCTGGGAGTGAAATGATGACAGATGTTTTTTGTGTGTGATAGCAAAAGCAGACAAATGATAAATAGATCTGCTTTTGAAAGTTTTATCCTTTTAATATTATTTAATATTTGCAATTCATATATCTAGTATGAAATTCTGCCATATTAAGCTTGATTAAACATGCCATTTAAACTCTCATTCCCAGAGTACCATGTAAAAAAGAATCCTGTACTGCCCTCCTGAGCATAAACAGGCACGGCAGCATGAGGATCAGGGGTGCAAGCTTAGGGACAGACTGCTAACTCCCTGTGTGACCCTAGGCAATTCAT
This sequence comes from Homo sapiens, assembly GCF_000001405.40. Lineage (NCBI taxonomy): Eukaryota > Metazoa > Chordata > Mammalia > Primates > Hominidae > Homo > Homo sapiens. Next base: position 37,028,742 of record NC_000013.11, on the reverse strand, counting down.
TTAACCTCTCTTTGCTTAATTCCCTGACTTCTAATACGGAGGTAATAACAGTGCCAACCATGAAAATATGGTGGAGCTTTCAGTCCCTGTAGAGTGCTGAGAACAGTGTTTGATTAATGTTCATTGTTATTATATGTATATCAATATGTCTAATAATGTATTTAATGATGTATTAATATTGTTACATATGTGTTCATACTTCATAGTATATGTTAATGCTTTACTAAATGCATGCTGAGTGCCCATATAGTTTTTAGGAAAAGAACCGTGCTGTGCTTTATTCTCATAGGCAGACTTAAATATCTTTGTAGCCTAAGTGCTGTGTGTCTTCCTATCGTCAGATACATGTTACTGTATCATTTATTCCTGATTTTTACTAATTCTTATTGCCTGCCTACTTGTGAAGGTATTTATTTGAGGTGCTATGCATTTTTCAGGATGTAAAAGATGATTATGTATTTGAATGTGAAGCTGGTACTCAGTATCAGAAAACAAAGCTGACCATCTTGCAGTCGCTTGGAGATCCACTTTACTATGGTAAAATACAGCCATGTAAAGCAGATGAAGAAAGTGACAGCCAGATGTCTCCATCACAGTGAGTTCTGTTAAATACAAGTAACTGGAAAAAAAAAAATAAGGCACCAAGAATTTATCTAGTAACTACTGATGAACCATTAATGAATAAAAATTTCTCTTTGGGAACTCACTTATTAGTTAAATATAACAATTAGATTTGGCGGTAGACCTAAGTAAACTTAAGTCGTAGTTACCATGTTGCTCAAGAGTTATTAAAAATAAAAAAACCTATGGTATAATTATTTTTATGCTTGTTTTGAAGGCTATTCCTGTGATATCCTTCTTTATATGTTTATGGCACTTAGGACTTTAACCTTTGAACATGAAGTGTTTGGGCAATAGTGTGTTTAAATAGGAAGCAAGTTTACTATAAATGTGAAAAGATGCTTGGTATTTTGGCACTGCATGTAAGGACACAGACTCAATGCTTATTGTAGTTATTGGCCCTACATATTAATACATAAAAATATAGATGATCTTCCAAAATGTATGAACTACATATATTTGGTACTGTCAGTATTTAGTTTTATTTTGTTTTACTATTTATTTGGTTTTTTTAATCAAATTGATTTGAAAAATAAGTTTTCTGTTTTGAAAACAAAAAAGAAGCTCAGCAGAAAAGGATGGGGGCGAGGTCTATGTTAATTGTAAAGCCTTTACTTACACAAAATACTAATTGAAACTACAGTAGAAAGGTGGATTTTAAAGAGCAACCCCACCAATATTTAGGTAAAAGTCAATGAAAGGAAATAACAGGGAATCCTCAGCTTGTTTTTTCACATGACCAGTTTTTATTATTGTAAAAGGATCAGATATTTTGATAACATACATTTTCTTCTTTTTTTTTTAAGTTATAGACATCACAACAGTTTATTTCTGAATCCTCAGCATGCATTTCTAAGGAAGCCATTTTTTTTCTTTATTTTTATTTTAGATATAGGGGTATGTGTGCAGGTTTGTTACAGGGGTATATTTATGATGCTAAGGTGTGGGTGTCTGCTGATCCCATCACCCAGGTAGTGAATATAGTACCCAATATTGATTACTTATATTTAAAAAAATCTTTTCACTTAAAGACAACATACATTGGCCATTTTTAATTTATTAACTTATTTTTGTAGAACACAAGGGTGATACATGTTCTTTTGTGAAAAAATTGGTCTATAGAGCCAAATGACTAATTTGTTTGACAGGAAGAGAATTGAATTTTTTACCTTTGCATCAGAGTAGCTGCATGATTTATTATCTTCCAGTCATTCTTCCATATTCATAAAATACTTTATTTAATAAACTATGAAGTTAAAGTTTGAGCTGCATTAACTAAGCTTTTTTTTACATTTTATATTTCAGCTCGTCCACAGATGATCATTCAAATTGGTAATTAAAAAATAAACTATTTTAATCTGTTAAGAAATTACATAAATATCAAACTCTTTAAAAAGACTTGCTAAATATACTTTATTTGAATCAGTGATAAATATGTATACTTTGTTTGAAATATATTCTAAGGATCTGTTATGTAGACATTAATAGTAACTTCTAAAATTGCAGGTTAAAGTGAGAGGAAGGCCAAAGACCTTTGCACATGTTAGTTCAGTGATTTTGCTTTAGGATCAATAGTTGTAAGGGTATATAGCACTTGGTAACTTTCAGCCCAGATTATGTTTTAATAAATAAATTTTGTGCCAAAAGAAATATCACTTAATTAAATCAACCAAATTATTCACATTGTTTCATAATGCATGCAAAACTTAGTCATTGTTTCATATGTTTAAATGCATTAAAAAAATTTTTTTCATATCTTGGTAGATTTAATACCAGTTTATATTACTGTGACTAAAACATGGAAGATTCAAAAGTAATCCCAAGCCTTCTTAAGACAACTCTTACCTAATACTTTTCTCTCCTTTTTTTTCCTTAAACATTTTAGGTTCATTATTGGATCAAAGACCGATGCTGAGAGGTAAAAATATTTGCATCTCTTATTTTGGTCAGGATGGATATGAAAAATTTTTCACCCTTATAGGATAGAGAATACTAGGAGTTAAAAACTTTGATTTTGGTTATGCTGTTAACCATATTTACACTGTTTAATATTTATGGGTCTCTGTTGTAAAATTAGGGCATTGGACAATAAAACCTCTAAGGTCCTTTCCAACTTTAAAATCTTACTGATTCTAGAAAAATATCTGTAAGCTTGTGATACACCAAACTACTAAGAATGGTTCTTTTCATGGGATGAGATTTTTGGGGGACTTAAATGCATTTTTCCAAAGTTTATAATACCTAGGTTTTTTTTCATAGAATTAAGAAAACAAAAGAAATGTTTAAAATATAGTTTTGTTTTAAATAAGAAAACTTAGACATATCTACTGTAGCTAAGGAAGATGATTTCTAGATAGTACTTTAATCAGAATCTAAGAAAGGAATTGAGTATTTTCTTTGGCTGCTTATTACTTAAGTAATCCCTGTAATTTCTGTATTAGAAATAAGATATTGAAAGTATATCTTTAGATTGTTATTTAGCACAATGTTTTGGACAATTTGTCATTGAACAGTTTAAAAATATGTACTTTTAATACAAAGATAAATTGCCTAATTTTTAATATTTATGTTAATTTTGATAGAACTTTCTTTTTGCCATTAATAGTCATTATTCTTTCCTATAAAATAAATTTGTGTTTAAAACAGGTTTTCTAATCTTTACCTGTTTTCTCCTGATATTTTAGGGTAGTCAATCAGTACCAAGAATTAGTCCAGAATGAAGCCAAATGTCCGGTCAAGATGTCACACAGCTCCAGTGGCTCAGCCAGTCTGAGTCAGGTTTCTCCAGGGAAAGAAACAGATGTGTGTTTCATTAATGTTACTTCTTTGTGCCCAGTTGTTTCACAAGTAATCTGAGAAATGTTAAGAATCATTTTTGGAGGCTAGGCACAGTGGCTCATGCCTGTAATCCCAACACTTTGGGAGGCCAAGGTGGGTGGATCACCTGAGGTCGGGAGTTCGAGACCAGCCTGACCAATAGTGTGAAACCCCATCTCTACTAAAAACACAAAAATTAGCTGGGCATGGTGGCACACACCTGTAATCCCAGCCACTCGGGAGGCTGAGACAGGAGAATCTCTTGAACCCCGGAGGTGGAGGTTTCAGTGAGCCGAGATAGCGCCACTGCACTCCAGCCTGGGCAACAGAGCAAGACTCCATCTCAAAAAAAAAAAAGAATCATTTTTTGAGGAGCGGGGGTACAGTTTAGTTTTGTTTCTACTTTTACCTTTTTTTAAAATTATTTAACTCTTTATAACATGATTTTTAAATGTACACAAAGATAAAAGGAAAATTACAGTGAACACCTGTGTTCTAGTCATTTGGCTTCAACAGCTGTTATTTTCCTTTAATAGATAAGTATGGAAGAGTGGAAGCTTGCTTTCATCTTACTCCTCTGCCTTTCTCCCTAAAACTCTCTCTTCCCACCCTATTACTCAGAAATCTTTTCCTCATTCTTTATGTGTACTGTAATATATTTCATGAATCTCATGTGAAATTTTCTCTGTAATACATATAGTATTCAATCTGTAACCACTAAGAGCACTTTGCAGAGTTAAAAATCTGGGATTTATAGCAGTATTAATTTTATTTAATAAACTATGAAGTTAAATATAAATATCATCTGGGGTTTATAGCAGTATTAATTTTAACAAGTAAGCTTAATGTCATTGTCTTTTAGCAAACTGAAACCGTGTCAGTTCAGTCTTCGGTATTGGGGAAGGGTGTAAAACATCGACCCCCACCAATCAAACTTCCCTCAAGCTCAGGAAATAGTTCCTCAGGTATTACATTTCTTAGTTTTTTGCAGTCTAGAATAACAAATATTATATAATCATAATCTCTTTTTAAAACTTTGCCCCATTTTGATTTCTACAGTTCACAGAAGTTTGAATTATAAATTTAGGAAATAACTTTTATGTTCTTCTAGGTAACTATTTTACACCACAACAGACAAGCAGCTTTCTCAAATCTCCAACTCCTCCTCCTTCTTCTAAGCCATCAAGTATTCCTCGGAAATCATCTGTGGATCTCAATCAAGTTAGCATGCTTTCTCCAGCTGCCCTATCACCTGCCAGCTCATCACAAAGTGAGTCATAACTTAAATTCTTCATTAAATCTTCATAAGCTTTTGCATTAGTGTTTCTTAAGACAGCTTTTTTCAACCTGTGAAGTAGTGATATCTGAATGTACTGTGTACCCAAAATGTATAAGTTGCTAGAAGCTTCAGGCAGAGCTCTTGTTGATTGTATGTATTATGTCTCTATTGTAATTGTACTTGTTTTTCTGTATCTGTGTATACATTCTGCGTGTACCTTTCTTATAGGCTTACAACCTACACATCTCCTTAAAAAAATAACCTGGTAGTTACATGTGGCAATAAGATTTCAAAATATTTTTTATTCCAGTGTACCCTAGGATCATTTTGCATATTTATGTAAATTGTGTGGCTGATATGAAAAAAATGTCATAAGAGTTGTTGCTGCAGGTCCTATCTTTGTGTATATGTAAGAAGTCAACTAGTTCCAAGGTGGTGATACAATAAACTGAAAAACAATATTTCAAAAACACTCCTACACTCTTTTATAAATTGTTGTCAGTTACTAAAATGTGATGATAATCATAAAGCATTATTCTGAAGATACTGAAATGTAATTTTTACTACTGAATACTTTTTTTTAACATCAAGAAGAGTTATACAAGAATGCTAGCATTAGTTTGGGAGAATTTCTTCAAATTAGTAAATATCTGAAAGTACCAATTTGGGGAAAAAAGTCATTCCAGTTTTTTAGATTTTTTATAGATAGCTAATATATGCTGAAAGTTTTAGTACACTGCACAGTGATAGGGTGGTCTTCGCATTAGATATAAACATCTTCATCTCGATAGCTCAAAAGGTGTAATTTTTCTGCCTTCTTGTTTTGCACAAAGAAAAATATATAAATTTTCTGAAAGTCTTATTCACACTTCTTATGTTGTGGGTATGGATTATGGTAATCTACTGCACACAGTTGTTACTTTAAGTAAGGGTTGAGTGACAGCTTCTGGACATTCACATTTCTTTCCTTTCTTTCTGCAGGACATGAAAGCTAAAAAAGAAAACACCTCAAGAGCTTTTGGTTTTACTTTTTTGGTTTTTGTTTTTTGTTTTTGTTTTTTAAAAAATTGATAAACTGTGCATACTTCATTCACAACAGATTTTCTATACATTCTACATTTAAACAGAAGTACACAGTTACTGTTAAAGATGCAGTATTATCTCTCAGATATTTGCTTTATTACTGTTTTTTGTAAATTTGTTTGTCAGGATAAACTTGATGTGTTAGGAATTAAACATGTATATTTAGGTGCCAAATATGATTGTTAACCATATGTAACTTATTAAATATGTTTACAGTTTATCTCAGACTTTTACACTAAATAAGCAATATTTTTAAATGAAGTCTTGAATTAGTGAAATCGTAAATAACAAATTAATTTGAATTCGTTTTGAACTTTTTAGGCCAAAGGCAGCATGTAGGAAACTAACTTTTAAATGGGTATTGTGGTAGAATATAACTGTATATTTTTACTGTTACTGCAATAGCATCTTTAATGGGATTTTTAGGTGATATACTGCATCCTTAATTGTAATTGAGTGTAGCAACACTCATGTATCATGTGTAGAAATTAACACTTGCAGTTAACTGCTAAAAAAAAAAAAACTAGAACAAATTGTCAGTGCTAAGTAAGATTCCATTAACCTTATTTTAAAAGGACTGGCCATTTATAACAAACTAGCAATTTTTATTTTTCTCAATGAGCAGGATCTGGAACTCCTAAGCCATCTACTCCTACACCAACCCCTTCATCGACCCCACACCCTCCTGATGCTCAGAGCTCAACTCCTAGTACCCCTTCAGCCACCCCTACTCCCCAAGATTCAGGCTTCACCCCTCAGCCCACTTTGTTAACTCAGTTTGCTCAGCAGCAAAGGTCTCTGAGCCAGGCAATGCCTGTAACAACCATTCCTCTTTCCACCATGGTAACATCTATAACTCCAGGAACCACGGCCACCCAGGTCATGGCAAACTCTGCTGGACTTAACTTCATCAATGTAGTGGGCTCTGTTTGGTAAGTTTGCATTGATGTTCGGATTTTTTTTTTATAAAGATAGTTTCACCAATCTAAATAAATTCTTAATGTGTGAAATTAAGAACAAACCGCATATTACTCAGACTGAAAAGGAATAGTTTAGATATGGACAGAAGCTGCCTGACCATGTATGTTTTAATTTTAAATAATACATCTGTTAACTGCACTAAGATGATATCTCATCTTATCGTTTTTGTTTTTTGATACTTCATCTTGACAGCAGCTTAGAATTTCCTATTTATCTTCTGCATTACTTTCTTTGATATTTAAGACAGATAAATAACTAGTTGTGTTTGCTTAGTAGTTTTGTTTTTTAATCTGAGGAATTGTGTGGCTGATTTTTTCCTTTTACAGTGAAGTTTAATGCTTTGTCTTATTCTCCTGCAGTGGGGCCCAGGCTTTGATGAGTGGTTCAAACCCCATGCTGGGCTGTAACACTGGTGCCATAACTCCTGCAGGAATAAACCTGAGCGGCCTTCTACCCTCAGGAGGTCTGCTACCAAATGCACTGCCCAGTGCAATGCAGGCAGCTTCTCAAGCAGGTCAGAATGTTGGAAATAATAACCTCTAAAAAAAATTAAAGTATATGCTAAAGTAAAAATGTAATTTTAAGAGTAATGCTAAAGGCATTTAATGTCATTATTTCATGAAGTGTTGTATCACATATATTTCACTTAAAAAGCCTTTAAAAGTTCTGGCATTTGAATTAAAAGTCTTCTAGCAGTCAACTTCTGTGGAAAACTTGGTAAGCCTGTGAGTCTGTGCAAATCTTTCTTCTGCTTTCCAAATAACAAAATTAATTTTGGTAGCCTTATTGTCATTGTAGTTATATTCCAGGGAAAATAAGTGTATTTTGAAAATATACATTGTGTACAAGAGGCAACTGCATCGCAGTTAAGAGCCTGGATTCTGGAGCCAGACTACCTCAGCTTGAATCCCAGTTGTACAGCTTACCATTTGTGTCATCTTGAGAAAGTTACCTTTGTGTTTAATTTTCCTCATAAATAAAATGGGAATAGCAATAAAAACTTACCTCATAGTCGTGAGGATTAAATGAAATATAATACAAATTATGTGTTTAAACTGTGCCTGAGACATGATAAGCATTCTTTTATTTAGGAGTAGTTATTACCTATACAGGAAAACAGTTATAATAACTTGTGCTTATTTTTTTGATGCTCTTTAAAATAATGTATTATAATATCTTGAAACGATTCAGTTTCACTTGAAGAAAAATGTAATAGGAAAAACAATCTAGAAAAATTTATTAAAAACTTTCTTAGTTATGAGAAAGAGAACCTAGAGAATATAATTAAACATGCTAACATGTTGCTGTAATTTCCTAATTCTAGCTAGTGTTCTTATTTTAATAAGCATAAGTGTGCCTTAGTGCGAGAAGTCCTGGAAATGGACTTCACATCTTGAACTTAGGATATTTACATGTAACTACTAGTTGTACCAGTTACATGTGGCTTCAGTTGCTAAACTGGGGTTCTACAGAAGTCACTAAATTTTTCCCCCTTATCCTCAGTTCAGTTTGCTCTAAAGTGGGAATAAAAATATCTCCAGTTGGTACTTAAGAGAACTAAATGAAGTATGAAAGTGCCTTTGGTAAGCTAGAAAGCATTATACAGATGTCATCCACTTTTAAAAGGGGGTTAAGCCATTTTCTTAAATGAGAATTTTTCCAGAAAGGGATATTTTTGCCAAATTTCAGTTTCTTATACAAGGCTTCGCTAGTGTTACATGTGCATTTCTTCCCTTAAATCTTTAAAAAAAAAAAATGATATGATAGAGAACTAGATACATTTTTAAATAGTGTTCAAATTAGTATATTTTGTTAGCAAAATATATACATACCTTGAGACCAGGATCAACAAACTACAGCACACAGCCTAAGCTAGAAATGGTTACTACATTTTTATAGGATTATGAAAAGAAAATGCAGCAGAGGCCATTTGTGCTCACAAAGCCCACATGATGGCCCTTTATTGAAAACGTTTGTCACCCCCAGCTTTAAGATATGCTCTGTGTTAATGTAACAGATTTTTTAGGAATAAGTTTAAATTAACAGAGCACTGTTTCCTGACTCTGTTTTGATCTTTATACACAAATTGCAACATTCTTTAGCATTCTGATTAACATTTTTAGTTAAAAAAAAATAGCATAAAGCACACCGGTTCTTAGAGATATGATTATTATAGTATACTATGTAGCATTGAGAAATGTAAATAGATGCCAATACCTGGAATGTATTTGCACAGCAGTGATAGTTTTGTTATATTCATGGTGTTCACATAATTCTTGATTACTCTTTGTTCAGCCAACAGTCAGAAGAATGAAAAAGAAGTCCCAGTTTCTGAAATATAGAATATAATGTGCATCTGGTGCTTCACAACTTTGAATAAAATCTCAGTATTGATAAATATTGAAGACAATCTTTTGTTTTTAAGATATTTTTGAAGTATGGAAAATAAGCACATCTATGCAGAGAATACATAAAATTATTGTACTTATATATACTAAAGTATAAATTATTTTCATGTGTAATAAACTTTCAATTCTGTTATAACCATGAGTTTTATTTAACAGGTGTTCCATTTGGTTTAAAAAATACTTCAAGTCTCAGGCCCTTAAATCTACTCCAGGTAAACCTGAAATACTGCTTTTGATTAAATTTTTTGTACATTGACTTTTTTTCTAAACAATGTATATCTATATGTATCAGCACTTGAAATTCTGAGGTCTGTTTAGATTCTTCTAAGGGTGTGGTTATTATTGCTACCTTTGTATGATCAAGCGGATAAAGAGAAAGAATCAGTATCCTATATACCACACTTTGGCTCCAGTAGCCCTGCCTAATTAAGAACTAGCTGTGCTAGTGGGGAGAATTTGCACCTACCAAGGAGGATACTTCCCTACAATAATAATAGTGGATGTATTTAGAAAATAATTGCTTTCCCAACAGATGTTTTATGTATACATATATGTAATACTGGTTTTTTTTTGTGCTTGAAGGAGATTTAAAAAATAGGTATGTGGGCCGTACATGGTTGCTCACACCTAGAATCCCACCACTTTGGGAGACCCAGGTGGGTGGATTGCTTGAGCTCAGGAGTTCGAGACCAGCCTGAGCAATATGGTAAAACCCCATCACTACAAAAAGTTAGCCAAGCGTGGTAGCATGCACCTGTAATCCCTGCTACTCAAGAGGCTGAGGTCGGAGGATCACTTGAGCCCAGGAAGTCGAGGCTGCAGTGAGCTGACATTGTGCCACTGCATTCCAGCCTAGGCAACAGAGTAAGATCCTGCCTCAAAAGAAAAACAAGGGGGGTGAATTTACAACATTCCTCGTGTTATGCTAGGTCCTCTAATTTAAAGAAGGAGTAAGCTTTAAGCTAGTAGTTTGGAAAATGGATAGACGTGACTATAAAGATCTGGATATGTAACATAGTAGAGCTATGGATTGATGGGAAATAACAATAACAGATCAGCCACCCTGGTATTCAGGATTAACAAATCGGGAAATTCTCATTAGAGCTAAAATTTAAAACTTGTTTCCTATATACGATGCAGTATGTTTACAGACTAATTGCAGAACAATATACTTATAATATGGGCAAGCCCACAAATTGCATTTGTTTATTTAGCCTACCTTCCGGCATATTGCTTTTGAAATTTTCTTAGGGATCAGTCTCAGTGTTAACAGGAATGGAAATCCTTTAGTTTGTTATATTTTTCTACATTTACTGTATACTGATTGAGGAAGGAACATTTGATCTGTGCTGTGTCTAGATTTACCTAATGATGAGCTGTGATGGATATAGATAGATACTTTGACCCAAGGATTTTTTATTTTTTTTTTATTATTATTTTTTTGACTATACAGACCTAAGAGTTCTGTATTTGGTATTGTCTTGGACATTCTCCTAAGGACCTCAAAGTGGTCCGTATATAAACCCCTATAGCTTAAAATGGAAAAACTGTTTGTTTTTTGGTGCATTTGAAAAGCATTGTTTTCCCTTTTAACCTGGAGTTTTCTGAGTGCTTCTTTAAAAATTGTTTTTTAATTTGGATTAAATTCAAATTAGATTTGAATGAAAGAGAAAGTAGTGGTCTACAGAATAAATATGGACATCTAAATGCACTTTCTTTTCAGCTTTGAAATTCCTCACTGTGTTATACAAAAGATCTTGTATAATATTTGTGTTTTTGGCAAAACTAGAACAAATTTATGAGGGGTGGCTTTTCGTAGTATACATTTCTGATTCATAAGCTGCTTGTTTGTACTTTCTAATGTATTTAGTGCTCTTTTGTATTGATGTATAAAAAGAGTGAAATGAAAAATAGCATGTGAATTGGAATAGCTAACTACTAGCTTGAAGCAGAAAAATTTATGTTTAAGAGTATTAGCATACTTGGGAGCCCAAAGTAATAGGACTTAAAAACAGTTTCTAAATAGGTCTTTTTTTTAAGGGCAGCCAACTTGTTTTTTCTTTACCTGTTTCTTCAATAACTAGAAGAGTGACACATAGCAAATGATCCAAAAATATTTGTAGAATAAATTTAAATATTTGATATAAAATCATGTGAAATTGGTTAATTTTTGTTTAAATTCTTAATAGCTTCCAGGTGGTTCACTTATTTTTAACACTCTGCAGCAGCAGCAACAGCAGCTCTCCCAGTTTACACCACAACAACCTCAGCAGCCCACAACTTGTAGTCCTCAACAGCCAGGGGAGCAGGTATGGATTTTCTAGCCTTCCATATGCTTTTACATCGAATTTATAACATTTTTTGGTATATTCCAAGCATACTTCATTTGCTTTGTTAGTGTAAACATTTCCTGTACTGTTTTTATTAACAATAGTAGCAATCAGCTATTGGGTGTGTATTCCTAATAAAACAGTCATACCATACTGAATAGATGGTATCACCTGCATCTTGCATAGATGATTGAGATCCAGATAAATGGCTTGCTCTTAGCCATACAGTGAGTGGCAGAGCCAGAGATTCAAACCTAGGTCTTTGTGCCCCTATCACTCATGTATTTTCTACCCCATCATTATCTTTCTGTTTTTAGGATTTTGTTGCTATTGGAATAAAGATATCCCTATTATCATAAAATGTAGGGCAGTGGGAACACAGACAAAAACAAATGTGTACACTGCCAAAGGGAAAGAAATTGAATAAGAATTGCAATAAATGACAGTAGAAGAAGGAAGTACAAGTGTTTCTAAACTTTGGGTACACTGGAGTCATCTGGGAAATTAAAAAAATATTGATTCCTGAGTCCCAAATCCAGAGTTTCTCTATCTCACAAATTATATGAAATATTCACCATTAGTCCTTTTGCCCAGTTTCCCCCAGTCAGGTCTTGGTTGGATAAAGCTCATCCTCTAATAGAGTCCTCAGGAAGGGCACATTAAAAACTTACTGTTTTTTCATTCTAAACACATTAAAGATTGCTTGGCTAGATATAAAATCTTTGATTTTCTTTTAAAAAAATTAATTTTAAGGTACACATAAAATTTACCATTTTAACTTTTTTTTTTTTTTTGAGACAGAGTCTCGCGCTGTTGCCCAGGCTGGAGTGCAATGGCACAATCTTGGCTCACTGCAACCTCCACCTCCTGGGTTGAAGCGATTCTCCTGCCTCAGCCTCCCGAGTAGCTGTCGCTACAGACATGTGCCACCACGCCCGACTAATTTTTTTTTTGTATTTTTAGTAGAGACGGAGTTTCACCATGTTAGGATAGTCTTGATCTCCTGACCTCGTGATCCGCCCACCTCAGCCTCCCAGACTGCTGGGATTACAGGCATGAGCCACCGTGCCTGGCCAAAACTTACCATTTTAACTTCTTAAGTGTGCAATTCAGCAGTGTTAAGTGTATTCACATTGTTATGCAACAGATTTCTATTATAGAACTTTTTCATCTTGCAAAACTGAAACTATATCTGGTAAATAACAACTCCTCCCCTCGGCCACTATTCTACTTTATGTTAGTATGAGTTTGACTATTCAAGATACCTCATATAAGTGCAGTTATATAGTTATTTGTCCTTTTGTGTTTGACTTATGTCACTTGGCATAAAGTCTTCAAGGGTCATTCATTTTATAGCATGTGTCAGAATCACCTTCCTTTTTCATGGTGAATAATACTTGTATATACCATATTTTGTTTATCCATTCATCCACTGATGGATACTTGGGTATCTTCCACCTTTCGGCTATTGTAAATAATGCTAGTGTGAGTGTGAGTGTACAATTATCTCTTTGAGACCCTGTCTTCAACTCTTCTGGATATATACCCAGAAGTTGGATTGCTGGTTCATGTGGTAATTTTTAATTTTTTAAGAAGCATCATACTGTTTTCCATAGTGGCTGTACCATTTTACCTAATTCCCATCAACAACATACAGAGATCTCGATTTGTCCAAATCCTCGCCAACTCTTGTTATTTTCTGGTGGTGGTTGGGTCTTTAGGGAATTTTTTTTTTTTTTTTTTAAGCAGCCTTCCTAATGGGTGTGAGGTGATAATCCCATTGTGGTTTTGATTGGCATTTCCTTAATGACTAGTGGTGTGGAGCATCTTTTCATATGCATGTTGGCCATTTGTGTACCATCTTTGGAGAAAAGTCTGTTTGGGTCCCTTGCCCATTTTTTTTTTTTCAGATTAATTTTTGTTGTTGAATTGTAGGAGTTCTTCATTCTTCATATACACATATATCAGATGTTTGATTTCCAGATATTTTCTCCCATTTGTTGTCTTTTCACTCTTGATTGCATCCATTGCACAGAAGTTTTTTTTTTTTTTATTTTAATGTAGTTCATTTTCTCTTTTTACTTTTCTTGCCTGTGCTTTTGGTATCATATTGAAGATCATTGCCAAATCCAATGTCCTGAAGCATTTTCACTTGTTTTCTTATAAATGTTCTCTAGTTTTAGGTCTCCTTTAAATTTATTAAGAACTCTTCCTACTGTTGACTTGCTTTATATGTTTTTGAGAAATCTGATGCCAGTCTAATTATCTTGCTCTTGTAAGTTTATTTAAGCAGTTTGCCTAGAGGCCCTGAATGCTTGTCTAATATTTTCACTGGTGTGTGTGTCAGAATTGATTTTTCCATGTTTTTCCTGTGGATCCTTTTAATGTGTAGAGTCACTTCTTTATTTCTGGAATGTTTTCTTGGATGATAGTTTGTAGTTTCGTAAGTGGAAGCTTAGATTATTGTGTTGAGGTCATTCTTTTCTAAAATAAACAATTAATGTTACACATTTCCTTCTCAGTACTGCTTAAGCCACTTTCCACAAATTTTGATATGCTGTGCCTTCATTTTGTTCCACAGAATTTTCTTATGGATTCCTCTTAAATCAGTTATTTAGATATGTTTGATTTCCAAATACTTGGGAATTTTCCAAATATCTTTCTGCAGTTGATTTCTAGTTTAAATCCACTGTGATCTGAAAACATATTTTTGGTTCTTTTAAGTTTGTTGAGGTTTGTTTAATGCTTGAGAACGTGATCTGTCTTGATGAATACTCCATATATGGCTGAAAAAATGTATATTCTGCTGTTAGGAGTGTTCCATATTAGATCAAGGTATTTGATGGCATCATTCAGGTCTTCTATATCCTTTTCTTTCTGTATGTTTTATCAGTTACTGAGAGAAGTGTTGAAGTCTTCAACCAAAACTGAAAATTTCTATTTTTCCTTTTGCTAAAGGTTGTTTTTTGAGCCCATATTGTTAGGTGCATATACATTTAGGATTGTTATTTCCTTGATTAATTTACCCCTTATCATTAATAAATGACCTTCTTTATCTCTGGTAATATTTCTTGTTTCTTTCTTTTGATTAACGTTAGCTTAGTACGTCTTTTTTCATCCTTTTAGTTTTAGCCTGAGTCCTTTTATTTCTTAGTATTTGTTTTCTTCTTCAAGATGTTTGTTTAATCATTATTCCTCCTTGTTTGAATATTCCATTTGTGGTGGTGGCTTATAGTCTACATTAGGTTTGTGGAGTGCTTTGGGGGGAAATTGATATCACCTGTAGTTTTTTTGCATTTTGAGTTTTTTTGTTTGTTTTATCATAGCTCCGTTATGGTGGTGATGTGGTCTGCCTTATTCTGTTGTTCATTTCATGAACTGGGTTCCAAATTCAATAATGTGTCCTCCTTTCAGCTCTGTGCTCTTTTGTCCAATCTTTTATATCCAGGGAGATCCCCTCAAGATAAATGTAACTTTTGAAATGTTTGGCTTGCAATTATATACTGAAATGTTACTTCAGACACTATTTTAGGTGGTACCAAAGGATGTCTTTTGCAGAGCAAAAGTTTTTAATTTTGCTGAAGTCCAAGTTAACAGTATCTTTTCTTTATGGAATATCCTCTAGTTTTCATGTCTCGGAACTCTTTACCTAGCTCTAGGTCCCAAAGATTTTCTCCTGTGTTTTTTTTCTAACAGTTTTATAGTTTCTTATTTTGAATCCATGATCCATTTTCAGTTAATTTTTGTACAAGATGTGCAACTTAGGTCCGTGTTTTGTTTTTGTTTGTTTTTGTTTTCCTATCAGTATCCAATTGTTTCAATACCATTTGTTGAAAAAAAAGAAAACAACAACAAAGAAAAAAAACAGCTATTCTTTCTGAATTGAATTACTTCTGCACATTTGTTAAAAGTCAGTTGGGTCTATTTGAGTGGGTCTATTTCTAGGTTCCCTGTTCTGTTTCATTAATCTATGTGTCTCTCCTTCAGCCAATACCACACTGTCTTGTTCATTGTAGTGTCTTAAAATTGGGCAGTGTTTTCTCCCATACCATTTTTCAAAATTGTTGTAGCTAATGTAGGTTCTCTACCTTTCCATATACATTTTAAAGTCATCTTGTCTATATCTACAAAAACCTTGCCAGCATTTCTAAAAGAATTGAGTTAAACTTGTTGATCAGTTTGGGGGAAGAACTGCCATCTTTATGATGTGAGTCTTCCAGTACATGAACATAGTATATGTCCTTATCTAGACCAAAGTCAATGTTTTGTAGTTTTTGGTATACAAGCCCTGTATATGTTTTCTTAGACTTAAGATTAATACCTAAGCTTTTCTCTTTTTTTTTGAGTAATTGTGAATGGTATTTTTTTTATTTCAGTTTTCACATGTTCATTACTAGTATATATAGTGTTGATTTTTGTATATTGGTCTTGTTTTGTGCCCTCTTACTGGACTTACTACTTCTAGGAGCTGTTTTGGAGATTGCTTAGGGTTTTCTACCATATAGACAGTTGTGCCATTTGAAAATAAGGACAATTTTATTTTTTCCTATAAAATCTATATACCTTTTATTTCCTTTTCTTGACTTAGTCTGCTGACTAAAAGTTCCAGCACTATGTTTATGTTACAAAGGGTGTTTTAAGCTTTAAAAAATTGTTTCAGTGAAGCTTTATAAAAGCCTTAGGCGTTATCTAGGTAGCATTAAACAATAAATACAGATGCACTGAAAAATGAAGTTTTCTTTGTTCAAATACCATAAATTTATTCTTGCTTATTCTAAATACCTTTGAAGTATTTTCCTTGTTATTCTTTTTACAAGACTAGTCTAATACTGCTTTCTTTCATATAGGAAAAAATACTGATTTCTTTTCACCAGCTCAAATTTGTTTTTCTTTCTTGTACAAGTCATTTATTATTTTTTTATTCAGGGTTCTGAGCAAGGTTCAACCAGTCAAGAACAGGCCTTATCTGCTCAGCAAGCTGCTGTTATTAACCTTACTGGAGTAGGAAGTTTTATGCAGTCACAGGCAGCTGGTAGGTATCTTCATAACTTTATATGCTGAATTTACTAAACATATCTAATCTATTTGGGATCTCACCGCTTAAATTATTTTCTTTTCCTTCCCTTGCAACCAGTAAACAGGAAAAAGTAAAGCTATAATGTGTAAACTATTAAATTGATTGATGGCTGAGATTTTTTTTCATTGATAGTGGATTAAGAGCTTTGACTTAACATAATTACCACAGTTGTGTTTCCTTGTTACAGTTTACTGGCAAAATAATTATCCACTTTACTAGGTTACCAGAGCTGTTTTCAGTGTTTGCCAATAGTTATCTTAATTAATAACTTTTTTGTTTTCCTGGGTTAAGACTGAATTTTTCTAGATTGCATAATCTTTTGTCTCGTTCTGGTAACTTGTAGTTGCATAAATGACTTAAGTCTTAATGGTCAATAGCATAACTTCTGTAAGTCACTTTTATCATTTAAAAAAAAAGATTAAATTACTTCTCAACACTTCCAGCAGTAAATGGTGAACTAAAGATTACTCTTAATGATTATCCTGTCAGTTGAAGACGATAATTCTAACTTCCTGTCAGTTGAAGACGATAATTCTAACTTCCTGTCAGTTGAAGACGATAATTCTAACTTCACACTTAATTAAAAGAGTAAGCCATATGTATAAGAAAACTATGATAGGAGTTTGAGGATTGAATGAGTGACTGTGTTGTCAGCATCTTATCACTGTGGGCTTACTATGATGCCTTTAGAAGTCTTTTAGAATGATAATCTTTATTTTGGAAGTCAGTTATCCTTACATATAAAGTTCCAATTTAGAGGTAGTGAATTTCCAAATAGAAGTTTATATAATCATATACCTTTATCAGACCAATTGTGAATTTCCGAAAATAGCTGTAGTATAATTTAGTGGAAACAACTCTAGTCTGAAAAAAATCATGAGAATGTTCTTAGCCACAGACTGCCATACTTAACTTTGAGTCTGAGTCACTTAAATCATGTTGGCCTTCAAACTTCCCCATATGTAAAATGAGTGTTGAACTGATTACTGTGGTCCCATTCAGCTAAAAAAATAACAAACAATGCTTAGTCTCAGTTCACCACCTTTATTGTTAGTAGAGTAGTCTGATATTCATTGCAGCATCTTTTGTTTAAAGCAATTGTCTGTCTACCAGCTTTGTTGTTACAATAGTTTGGATTTCTTCCATCTCCCTTCTCCTACTTTGTTGGTTTTATTTCAAAAATAATATACTCTTCTAAACAAAATAGCATCAATATCAAATTTTATACAGATGCAAGAGAAGAGAGGTTCAGTGCTTTGATACATAATGCACTCCCTTCTCTTTTTGTGTCCAGAAAGTTCCATTATCAGTGGTACCCCCAACTAACAGGAGACCATATACTAAATTTATTCTGAAATGTCTATGATTTGATACTTAAGATTAATCATACTGCTAACTTTTCTATTATTTCATTTTCTATGTTGTCCTTTTCTAACCCTGGTAGCCTTCAAACTTTTTGACTGGCCTGCTTTCCCCTTCTCCTCTCTGTAGTGTTGTCTCAGCTTGGCTCTGCCGAGAACAGACCTGAGCAAAGCCTTCCTCAGCAGAGATTCCAGCTCTCCTCTGCCTTTCAACAGCAGCAGCAACAGATACAAGTAATCCAGCAACTTCACTCTGATTACATTTTTAAAGATACTCAGCTCCAAAAGTACCTCAAAATAACTTGCTTTAGTTTTATTTTACTGTCTTTTAAGACTGTACAGTAATTGGTAAATAATTTAGCAAATTTTAAAGTCTGACATTTTAGCCAGTCAACTTGGAGCACTGAATATATTTTGTATATTTAAGCCATACTCTATAAAATTTTTCATGAAGTGCTGGTGGCACATTAACATACATTTTTCTAGTATGCAGTATATTTTGAAAGACAGTTGTAAGTGCCAATTGTTAACTTTCTAATATTTTACTGCAGAAAAGTGTTCCTATTAGTAAATGTCATACCTGTTTATTTAGAAAAATGTTATACCATAATTTTAGGAAGGAAAGTCAGCATATTATAGTTGACTATCTTGATATTCAGGGTTGTTTTATATTGCTATAAACCATCATTATACAACAAAATGGTAACTGAAGTTGCTGAGTTACTACAATATAGACTGGCAGGGCAAAGTAACAAATAATTTTGAAGTTTGCCAAGAATCATTTTTAAAGCCCTTAGCAGGCTTCTGTGCCACTGGTGCTGTTTGACTGTGCATTGTCTCAATGTGGTATAGTCCCTTTTTGTTATCTTGGTGCTTTCTCCCTTTTTCAGTTGTGTTGTTTCGTCACTCAGGAAAAGCACCTTTCTACACCTGCCTGCATTTAACATAACTCGATTTTTTTCCCTCCCTTTTGCAGCAGTTGCGATTCTTGCAGCATCAAATGGCTATGGCAGCAGCAGCAGCACAAACAGCTCAGCTACATCATCATCGGCATACAGGCAGCCAGTCAAAAAGTAAAATGAAGAGAGGCACGCCAACCACTCCAAAATTTTGAGTCTTGCATTACTTTTTGTTCCTTTTTTAAAAACACAAGAGCACTGAATCAAAAGAATTGAGTTTCTACTTTTTGTTTTTTTTAATGTGTCAGTATTTTACATTGCTAGATGTACAAACTTTATACAGAAGCACAACCTTATCATTTTTAAATAAAAACAGGGAAATGGTTTAACAAACTAGGGTTGGTTTGCCTAAGTCATTGCTTTTTAAAAATGGTTTCACTATACATAATATATATGGAAGTGACCTAAGAAATAATAGAAACATCTTTCAGAAGAATGTAGTTTGATATTTATTTAGTATAAAACGTTTGTGCACAGTGTTAACAAATACAATTTTTACAAATCTGTTTTGAAAATGTGGTGGCTGTTTATTTGGGTTTCATACTCTTAATTACTTCATCCATCAGTTTTTTAACTTCTTTGTGTCTTGTAACTGCTCGGCTCATACAGTCCTGAAGTTTAGCTCCAGTTAGCCCACTTCCACCTGAAAAATTATTTTGCCAATACTTTTAATCTCAGTTATCATTCCTTTTCAAAAAACATTAATGTCATGTCAAATTATAAAACAAAAAAATTGGATAATGTAAATCAGGGTACAGTCTCAAGATCTACAAGTTAGTTTCACAAGACCTCCAAGTGATTCTAATGTATGTCTTAAGTTTAAGAACCACTGACATATACCATTAAGATGGAAGAACATTTTAGGTAGCTAAGAAACTATACTAAAATTAGGTAAATAAAATATCCCATATTCTATTTGGCCCTCCCTAATTTAAGGCTCACACTGAGTTTTCATCTACATATGTTTAGGACTGAAGTGGCGGGAACATGCCTGGTTTGTGAAGACAACAGAGTTTGCCTTCCTCATCCATTACTATTGTTAAGGTTCCTGTTGCCAGATGTTCCTCCTCTCCAGTAGGGTCAACTATAAGCAAAGTGCTATAAAAAGAAAAAAATATAAGTTATCAATCCATGGAACAAATTTTACTTTAAAATACTAAACATACTATCAGCCTCCCAAGTAGCTGGAATTAACAGGCACACGCCATCACACCCAGCTAATTTTTGTGTTTTTAGTAGAGACAGGGTTTCAACATGTTGGCCAGGCTGGTCTTGAATTCTTGACCTCAGGTGATCCCCTGCCTCAGCCTCCCAAAGTGCTGGGATTACAGGCATGAGCCACCATGCCCGGCCCTGCTCTTCTATTTCTGAACGTGCTAAAATCCTTGGAAAATATTGAAGATAGCTTCAGATAAATCTTATAGTGAAAGAATTGGAAATTAACATTACACAGGTATAAGTAAACCAAGGAACAGGTAATAATTGTGCAGTGACTAGAAATAATTGTGCAGGGACAAGTAGAAACTCAAGTGTCCAGGGAAAACTAGGATGTAGGGTCACCATAGCACTTCCTAAAGAGTTAGAATGCTGAACATCAATTACCCTAATCTTAAATATAGAAAATTTTAAAGTAAGTTTGATTAACTTACTCATCAAACACAGCAAAGGAAGTTGCAACTGGATGAGTTCTAATATTCAAATAACTTTTCTTCTTTAAATTAACTTCTGCTAAAGCAGTTTCTTCATTTATAGTAACTTCAGGCAACTGTACTAAGAAAAGGCAAATTTGTAAAGTAAGTAAGTCTCTAAGAAACAAATGATTTCTAAGCTTTTTTTTTTTTAATTCACCTTTCCCTCTATTTAACTTGCCCAGAACATTTCTTTTTAAAAAGCACCTTACAGCCACTAAGGTAAATATAGAGGATATACATTGCTTTTCACAACATCTGACATTCCTACCTAGTGCTTATTGCATAATTTTTTTTTAAGTTTAAGAAGTCAATGATTTTTTTTTAAATTTATATCTGCCAGGTACTGTTTTAAGCATTTTCATATTTTCATTGTATTCACCTAATCAATACTCTTACAAAGTAAGTACTATTATCCCTATTTTATTATAGATAAGGAAACTTCAGCACAGAGTGAGAGAGCCAGGAATCTACTTTAACCAGTCTATTATAATATTTTGCTGACTTCATTTTCTACCTCCAATTCACTTAACCACTCTACTATAATATTGCTGTGCTAACTTTATATTCCACCTCCAATTATTTGTTCCTACCAATTCATCATTCATCAATGATAGGGAATATGCACAAGTTATTGAAATCTGTAACTAATCAGTCAACCTAGACTCCTTGCTAAGAAACTTCCCTATTACTATGGCCTCACAGTAAAAACAAC
Source organism: Homo sapiens (assembly GCF_000001405.40). Taxonomy (NCBI): domain Eukaryota; kingdom Metazoa; phylum Chordata; class Mammalia; order Primates; family Hominidae; genus Homo; species Homo sapiens. The sequence goes on along the minus strand of NC_000013.11, from coordinate 37,007,423 downwards.
AGAATCCATTCTACTTCTTTTGGCAATATCACATAAAGAACTATGAGGATACTGGCAGATCTTCACCAATCACCTAGCCAGAAGTTACAACTCTTGTCTCCTTCTCCCACCAATATTAACACTATTTTGGAAAGGACTGAAGTCCTAACTTAAGTAGATGGGTACAGTCAAAGCAGCACTCTAAAGAGCATTCAGTTAGAGAATATACAACTATCAACTATATTTGGAAAGTCATGTCAGCATTACATTCATTAATTTGGAAGCATACGAAAGCAAATGTACATTAAAAGTTTCACAAAACAACATTCTAACCCATGAGTGGGAATATTGCCTTTTTTGTAAGGCTGCTTACCATTTTTTAAAGCCGCTAGCAAAGCAAATGTGCAGGCATCCAAAATGTTTCCATCGTAGTCGAGGCAAATGAGATCACAGTATAGAACCCAGACAAGCTAAAATAGAATTAAACACAAAAGGAAATTAAAGTCTTCTAATGGGTAGAACATGCTATTAGCTTAGACTTAAGAACCACAGAACCCTTGGTTAAACAAGCAAGATAACTTTCAAGGCTCAAAAACCTTAAGAAAATGCTTCACCTTTTTAAAGTTCTATAGAAAACCAGAAGAAAGTGGACAGGTTTTGTGAAAGCTGGCTTTTGATTGCCAGGCTGACAAATGACAAACATGTCCATTTCCCTTAATGGAGCTACAGATGTAGAAGGAATTTCCATTCTCATTGGGAGGTTACAGATAAGGGAGATGGTTTTGAAAGCCCTAGCTAAAATTCAAAATGCACGTTCTCATAATACATGAAATGTTTAAGTTTTACAGTGCTAATGTATCAGTTTATATGATCTAGTAGGAAAGCCTCTCTAGGTTCTAATCAACCTAGTTTTACATTTTCAAATAGACTTTGGAATCTACTGTGTGGATTCACCATAAACATATGTTAACATGATTAATGTTATAATCTGCTATAAGGAATAAAAAATGATTGAACTTTAAAAGTTAAGGGGGAAAAAAATTACTTCAGTTTAAAAGGTAGCTCCCAGACAGGCAGTAAGTTAGTCAAACTTGTTTTTTTATAAACAATATGGTTCATTTAGAGAATTATAGAGTAAGAAATTACTGAATCTCTAAAATCTGTAAGACATCCATATTTAAAGCTACTTTGATTGGTGGTTTTAATTTCCTTGTTCACTTTCCCCCACAAAAAAAAAATCCCTTCAGAATTAATAAGAACTTATAGCTTCTCTATTCCTCTTACCTTTCCTGGAGAAATGCATAAGTCCTCTTTCTGAATTATCTGTGAACTTGATTTAATGACAAAGAGCAAAGTAAATGAAAAGCCCAAAACTATCTGAAAATGAATTGTAATAAAATTTTATCATGGTGCTCTTACTTTTCAATGACATCTGCAATGAACTGGCTAGCCACTTGGGCCTCTTCTCCAGGAGGTCCAGACCGGAATCTCGATGAACACAGGGGTGGTAGATCCACATTAGGAACTGAAAGAAACACTCTGCAGCTATGAACTAAACCTTTTTTTTTTTTTTTTTTTTTTTGAGATGGAGTCTTGCTCTGTTGCCAGGCTGGAGTGCATTGGTGCGATCTCAGCTTACTGCAACCTCTACCTCCCAGGTTCAAGAGATTTCCTTGCCTCAGCCTCCCAAGTAGCTGAGATTACAGGCACACGCCACCACGCCCGGCTAATTTTTTGTATTTTAGTAGACAGGGTTTTACCATATTGGCCAAGATGGTCTCGATCGCCTGACCTCGTGATCCGCCCGCCTCAGCCTCGCAAAGTGCTGAGGTTACAGGTGTGAGCCACCATGCCCGGCCTAAACTTTTCAATTTATGGATTACTGAAGTGTTAAAGGTATTATCAATCCACAGTAAAGGCAACTGTGGCCATGGACAGGCTCTTCTGAGTAGAATACATTGTAACATTATAGTTATATTCTGTTTGGTCTCTCTAAGACTCCCAGCCATGAAATTTCTATTTTTCTGACATTTTTCCCCCATATGCCTTTTTAAAAAATCTATTTTAGACCTCAATTCTAAATCCTTTACGAGTTTTCCTGGTATCTTTCAAAATACCTCAATCTGTAACTGAAGTATATATAGCCCCTCTGCTAACATCCAACTGTTTTTCTCATTTAAAAAAAATGTTGGTTCCTACCATAAAGAACAGATGGTTCCAAGGCAAGAAAAAAATAGCAGTTGTATAAAGCAAAGAATCTTTATGGAAACAAAAGGTGTGCAATGACAGTTCTTTGACTTAAAAAAATTCCATTCTATTTTTTTTTTCTTTTGAAACAGGGTTTCACTCTGTCACTCAGGCTTGAATGCAGTGACACAATTATAGTTCATTGTAGCCTCAACCTCCCAGGCTCAAGCAATCCTCCTGCTTCAGCCTCCCAAGTAGCTGGGACACAGGTGTGCACTGGCACACCCAGCTAACTTGATTTTTTTTGTAGATACGGGGTCTCCTTTGTTTCCCAGGCTGGTCTTGAACTGCTGGGCTGAAGCGATCCTGCTGTCTTGGCCTCCCAAAATCCTGGTATTATAGGTGTGAGTCACCACACCCAGCCAAAATTCTATTTTCTTGGTTAGTAACTTATGAATGTATAAACAAAAATTGAGCAAACAAGTTTGATAAAGGTTAAATTTATGAAATTCTATATCCTGCTATTATGCTATCTTTTACTAACACACGGAAAACTTTTGAGGAATTTGTTTTATTCATAAATATTTCCGAATATTAGGAATAATTTTCTTTACATCAACTTAACTAGGACTTAACTAAAAATTATTAAATGTGTTAAAAGTATTTGTATTAAAATTACAAAACCATTTAACTTACCAACGTATCCTTTATCAGGGGCATCTGTTGATGGTGCTGCAAATTCCTATAGTAGCAAAGAAATGTTTCCTATTGAAAGAAGCTACTGAAAAATTATGAAGACAATTTAGCAATCAGTTATGGAAGGCTCTATCAAATATCAGCTTAGGGAATTGTGTCAGGGCCTCTACGGACATTGGTGCTGATCCTCACAATAGCTCTACAAGATAAGAAGGCACTACAGTACAGTGGACTACACTACAGTGCTGCTCGGCAAGATTACCTGGAGATCTTTTAAAAAATAGTAACTGGGTTTGTGCCCCCAACTACTAGCCAAGAATCTTAATTTGTTCTCCAGATGATAGAGCAAGATTTAGGAACTGCTGCTTTAGTGGTAAAGAGCAAAAGCTCAGCTGGGCGCGGTGGCTCACACCGGTAATCCCAGCACTTTGGGACACAGAGGCGGGCGGATCACCTGAGGTCAGGAGTTTGAGACCAGCCTGGCCAAGATGGCAAAACCCCGTCTCTACTAAAAATACAAAAATTAGCCAGGCATGGTGGCGGGCGCCTGTAATCCCAGCTACTTGGGAGGCTGAGGCAGGAGAATCACTTCAACCCAGGAGACGGAACTTGCAGTGAGCTGACATCGTGCCACTGCACTCCAGCCTGGGCGACAGAGCAAGACTCCGTCTCAAAAAAAAAAAAAAAAGCAAATGCTCTGCAATTACTAAGCCAGTTCAAATGTCAGAGCCATACTTACTGGCTGAGAGACTTCAGGCAAGTTATTTAACCTCTTACCTTAAACTCCTCATCTTGTCAAATGGGAAGAAAATAGTGTCTACTCCTAGGGACTGTTAATAAGGGCCAAATGAGATAGACCTGTTAAATCCCAGGCATAAAACCTGACAAGGAGCAAGTTCTCAAATCTTACTGTTATACATCACTCCAGGTTTACGAAAGAAGAATCTCAACTGAGGTTAAATAACACAGGGTATACTGTAGTCAAAGAAGCACAGGCTTTGGAGTCAGATTTATGTCTAAGTTTTACTTATGAGTCTTATGTACCTGGACAGGTTACTGAAAGTCATCTGTAAAACAGGAGGTGAAGACAAGTAACAAATGATTGTTATAGGCATTAAAGTGGATAATTCTGTAAAGCACCTAAAAAGGTGTCTGGAACATAGCAAGTACTCAGTAAATGGTAGCCAGTATTCCCTCAAATTTTTCTTTTCAACAATTTCAATTTTCTACACATTTACACAGATTACATGTCATCACTGGCTAAAAGGATGTCACCAAAAATCTGTTAATGTCTCAAATGATATAACAATTTTTTTAAAATGGTGACTCAGATTTTAAAAGTTGTTTCATTTTGCTACATTTGACAATTGTTCACTTAGTCATTAAACTTGGGTCATATTATCTAACACTCATAGTGAAAGCTCTTGGGAAATTAAACATTAAAAATTGACACCCAACTACCAAATCAAGAGTAGAATTACAGGTGTATATTACAATCTAATAAATAAAGCTAACTTTGTAACTCAAATCTCAATAGGACATATTTAGACTTACTGCTTTAACTCCACAGATTACTGTAGTATTTCCCAACTTCACTAAAGCAGAACCATCTGCGGTACTAATTGAACCTGAAAAGATAAGCAAAATGAAAGGTTCATAAAAGGAAAACAGCTACAAAATTATCCACATAATAATTAAAATTAAGTGTTTTAGTTTGCTGTGTACGATTATCTTGCTACCCCTCTCAGTTGCTTATGAATATTTCAAGTTAGAATAATTGATTTTTACATAACTATTTTAAATTAGTGTTTAAATAATTATTCACCTGTCCTTGAATTTGTGTTAATCATTTTTCATTTAGTTACAGGGCTTTTGTACGGATAAAAATCTCTTGACAAAAAAAATCATCAAATCCTTTAGACAAAGAATTTGGGTGAAAAACTGTTTGGCTGGTTCATAGACTAAAACTTGGGAATATCATACAGTTGAAAGTGGAAAATACATCCTTACCGATGTTGACAGTTGTGGTTCTGAATTCACCAAGTTCTCTTCCATCAGGACGGCAGTTCTCTTTCTAAATAAATATGTTTATATAAAAATAGATTATACCTATTACATATTTTACACATCTATCACAAGTTTTACACACACATTAAATGTTACTTCAAATGGATTAATTTAAATTACTTGAAATTCATCTTTAAAAGCAGCTCGTTATCAAAACGCATAACATGTACATAACCTTTACTCACCAGAAATCTCCTGTAATACTCCAGAGGTTCCACGGTTCTGAAACACGTGTTAAAAATATATCTGAGATAAACTGATGAATCTTAACATAAATCCAGAAATTGGCAAAGATCTTAAGTGTGGTGATGCAGCATAAATCTCCACAACTTTTTAACTAAAAGTAATTCTAGAAAGTAAAAATCCTTGTAGTAGCAATCACATTCAATTGCTGTCCTTAACTCTGCCATAAACGATTAGAAGATTGGCGTCTAAAAGCCCTTTGAGTGAGCTCTTTAAAAGCTCAATCTGTGTCAAAAGAATCATGTCGTTCTTGCTCTGAAACAAGGATTCAGAGTGATCTAGTGATCATGAAAAAAGATTATTTTAATAATCTAGTGATCATGAATAGTTAACCTCTTACTAGATAACTCAGGAAACAAAAAGGTACATCTTTATTTTCACTGTAAGTGAAATTTAGCATATTCTTCAATTATGACTGTAAGCAATAAGCCATAGTAACATTAGCAGTACCTGCAACTTTAACAACCACGGAGACCACAGATGTTTTCGTTTGCACCCTTTAGCTGTGTAAGGTATGTTCAGGCTCACCGTTACTTTGAAATCCCAGGAGTTACTACTAGTCTCGCCACTAGATCTTGTTTACGAAGGTTAATTTTAAACCAAGTATATATACTACTATATCGTGTCTTCGGAGTTTATACTCATAGATAACTATTTCAACATAATGGATTTCCTTTGGAATCCTATTTATTTTATCCATTTTTTAAAAACTTTAAGAAAGTCCACTGGCTTCACACACACAAAAACCTTCCAAACGAGGCATGATCCTTTTAGAAATAAATTACGGGAGAGGGAGAAGCAGGCGGTATGTGGTTCTGATGCAACAATCTTGATTGATTGATTCTGACAGAGTCTCACTCTGTCGCCCAGGCTGGAGTGCAGTGGCGCGATCTCGGCTCACTACAACCTCTGCCTCCCGGGTTCAAGCGATTCTCCTGCCTCAGCCTCCTGAGTAGCTGGGACTACAGGCGCCCGCCACCACGCCCGGCTAATTTTTATATTTTTATTAGAGACAGTGTTTCACCATGTACACCAGGCTGGTCTCGAACTCCTGACGTCAGGTGATCCGCCCGCCTCGTCCTCCAAAGTGCTGGGATTACAGGCGTGAACCGCCGCGCCCGGCCACAATCTTTAAAAGATTACAACTATGTCTCCTGGGACTGCACGTTCACTACACACCACGCTCACGAGCGCTCGCAGCGGGTATGGAACTCTACAGAGTCCTTTCATCTCCCGTCTCACTGAGGAAGAAGCCCTTTCTTTTCACTGTGACAACCTCCAGGTCCTCCCGCCCATCGTCTGCCTCGACGAGGAAGGAAATGGCACCCCAACGGGGTCGGCCTCCAGGTGAGAGAATCCCAGCTAAGAGTTAAAGGAAGCTGCCGTCCGCCAGGGTACAGAACTCTACCCGCCACCCGCCAACACTCACTTGAACCCAGCCGCCATCTTCCCGCCCGCGCGTCTGCGCCTGCGCCGCTCCTCTCCTGCGCGCCTGTTCCGCCGCCGCACTTTCGACACGGATGCCGGGGCCGCTCACGCCACGGGAAATGCCAAGGTGGGGACGCGACGAAAGGTCCCTGGCCCGCCCTCGCATCGACTTTCCCCTGCCCAGACGCCTTTCTAGGTTTCCTTGCCTTGGACGTATTTTGACGAATCTGCTGTTAAAGAAGGAGCGGGTCTCCCTCTTTATAAAAGAGCTGGTGCTGTGACTCAGAATAACACCAACAGTTCGGAGATAACAGGGTTTCTAGCGCAGAATCAAGCAGTGCGTGTGGAGCGTTATTCCAATGTTTCTGCGTCTTTTTTCTGCCTGTGACTTAGGCTCAGCCCTGGCCTTGCCTCTTCACTGGTCAAGGGCTCCGTGCTCCAACACATGAGAAACCTGAACTTTTTTTTTTTTTTTTTTTGAGACAGAGTCTCGCTCTGTCGTCCAGGCTGGAGTGCAGTGGCGCGATCTCGGCTCACTGCAAGCTCCGCCTCCCGGGTTCACGCCATTCTCCTGCCTCAGCCTCCCGAGTAGCTGGAACTACAGACGCCCGCCACCGCGCCCCGCTAATTTTTTGTATTTTTAGTACAGACGGGGTTTCACCGTGTTAGCCAGGATGGTCTCGATCTCCTGACCTTGTGATCCGCCCGCCTCGTCCTCCCAAAGTGCTGGGATTACAGGCGTGAGCCACGGCGCTCGGCCGAGAAACCTGAACTTTCTGTGCGCTCATTGTCCGCACCACGTTCTGCTCTGCAGGTCCCGGAGCTGAGGGCTCCTAAGCATCACCTTGTGTTGTAGACTGTGTCGTGCTCAAGGCTGCCATCTCCCTCCTAGGTGGGGTTACCAGATAAAATACAGGATACCACGTTAAATTTGAATGTCTGATAAACACAGCGTGGTTTTTTTGTTTTTTGTTTTTGTTTTTTTGTGGGTTTTTTTTTTTTTAAAGCATGAGTATGCCCCAAATAGAGCATGCAATTAGTTGTTGCCAGAACCTGGAGGGAGCTGGGAAGGCTTTACAGATAGATAGTGGTGATGGTTGCACAGTATGTATGTAATTAATGCCACTCACTATTGTAAACTTAAAATGATTAAAATGGCAACTTTTTATTTTACCACAGTTTATAAAAACTAATGTAATAAACCAGAAACCTGTAACTGGATGAGTCGTATGGTATGTGGCTATCTTAATAAGGCTGTTAAAAACATGATTAGTTTTTTAATCTGAAATTCAAATTAAGTAGACGTCTTGCATACTTGATAAACCTGGCGCCCCGCTGTGGAACCTAGCGCTCCTCTCCACCGACTGGGCGCCGAGGGCACGAGAGCGGCGTTTTCTCCGCCTCGCCACGCGGGGGCGCTGCGGCCAGCGGGCGCGACCTCTCTGGCGGCGGGGCCGGGTCGCGCGGGCGCGCTTCCGCCTGTGTGGAGGTGCGGGATTGGGCGGGCTGCCACGGCATGGAGAATGGCTCCGCTTCTGTTGCAGCTGGCGGTGCTCGGCGCGGCGCTGGCGGCCGCAGCCCTCGTACTGGTGAGAACAGGGATGGGAACCCGCGCAGGCCGGGGCTTACCGCTCTCCTGGAGACTGCGGCTCCTCAGGCGTCCCCTCCTCCGCGCTACCAGTTCTCGGAGAAGTCCCTTTTCCCCTAGATTCCCCCAAATTCCTGACCTCGGAGTTTCCTGGAGTTTCACTCTCCTTTTCTTCGGTTCTTTAATTTTCCCTTGGAATCTTATCTCTTTGTGTGCTCAGAGACTTGTAAGTTTTTTCACACTGGAGCGCACCCACCCGGCCTGGCATCATCGCCGCTTCCATCGCCCCTGGCGCCCGCGCCCCCTACCCACCTCCTCTGTCAACCTCGACCTCTCCCAGACTCTCCGGGACCTGCAGCCGCTGCAGTTCTGCTCCACCCAGGGAGGTCTCGAGCCCCCAGAAGGGGTGTGCTCCCTAGCCTGCTCCCTTGGCTGATGTGGTTAAGCAAATAGGGGTGACGGAGCCTTGACGGCAGCCATCTGTTACAAATGGGAATAAATGCGTGGATCGATGAGACCCACTAGGGACGCAGGGTGAGCGAGAGAGACAGGCCTCAGGCGCCTTGTCCGGGGTCGCATTGTGTCCCAGAATTAAGCACCCTAAATATACTGCCCCTAAACAAGGCAGGACGATAGAATGCAAACTCGATTGTCTTTGCCCTTGCTCTCGAAACACAAAAACATTGTAAACACTTGCTGATTGTTAAGTGGTAGAAAATTGGCGAACTCTCTCCCGCACACCTTGGAATGAGCCTGCCCTCTAGTTAGTAAGTGGAGAGGATTTCAGCTTCCTTGACATTCAGATTAGCCACCTAGACAGCACTGCCAGGAAGGCCACTCTGCCATCTTTCCAGAGGTTGTATAAATTTACAGTTTAGATAAAATGTAATGCATCCTTACTTCTTTGTTGATAGTATCTGGGTGAGAGAGGAGTCCTCTCTTGCCCTAACTAGTAGAGATTTCAGGGTTTAGGGCTTTTTTGTTTTTTCAAGTTTTTGAGCAAACCAGGATTGATTGATTGATTGATTGATTTTTGGCGGGGTGCGGGCGGGGAGTGGATTCACACATTCTTAGATTGAAGCTGCCTTACTTTGGGTCTTTTGCACAGATTTTATGGGATTGTACTGACGGTATTTGTTCCCACTAGCTTGAAGTGATAAGAGCTACCATTTATTGATTGTAGTACTTACTATATGTTGTGTTGCACTTGGTTTAATAGGAGTTATTAAATCTTTAACACTGTGACATATATGTTATCATTAGCATTATTTTACTGGTGAGGAAACATGTTGGAGAAATGAGCTCGTGTACTCAAATGTTGCACAACTAGTGAAACTTAGGTTTTTTAAATGCCAGAGCAAGAAATCATTAAAAAAATAATTTTTCAAAACCTCATCCTGTCTTCATATGTATCCACTCTCCATTACTCACAGTCTCACCTCCTTTCTGAATTATTTTAAAACAACTCGAAGACATTTTATCTTTAAATCCTCAGCATTTATTTCTAACAGATAAGGTCCTTCTTTTTAAAATACCACAATAAAGTGGTCACAGATTTAAATTTATTCTGTGATTTCAAATGCCCCCTCAGTTCACTTGCCCTCACTTGTCTCATATATGTCTCAGTATATATGTCTGTTTGTTCCAATCAGGATCCAAACAAGTGCCACACATTGTACTCTGTTGATGTCTTGAGTCTCTTAATCAGTTGACAGTTTCTCCTCCCCCTTTTTTTCTTTTCCTTGTCTTTTTTTTTTTTTTTTTTTTTTGAGACGGAGTCTGGCTCTTGTCACCCAGGCTGGAGTGCAGTGGTGTGATCTTGGCTCACTGCAACCTCTGCCCTCAAGCAATTCTCCTGCCTCAGCCTCCTGAGTAGCTGGGATTACAGGCGCCTACCACCACTCCCGGTTAATTTTTGTACTTTTAATAGAGATGGGGTTTCGCCATGTTGGCCAGGCTGGTCTCGAACTCCTGAACTCAGGTGATCCACCCTCCTCGGCCTCCCAAACTTCTGGGATTACAGACATGAGCCACCGCGCCCGGCCTTTTTCCTTGTCTTTAATATGATCATTTGTCCTGTAGAACTTCTCACAATTTGGATTTCTTTGATTGCATCCCCTTAATGCCTTTTAACATCTTCTATCTCAAATTTTCTATAAACTGGTAGTTAGGATGGAGAGACCTGATCACATACATACTCGATGTGTTTTTTAATCAAGAAAAAATTGTGAGTGATGCTTCTTCCTTTCTCTTGTGTCTCATCAGGAGTCATGTAATGGCCATTTGTCTCTGGTGTTAAGATGGATCTGTGGTTTCAAATGTTGCCAGCCAGACCCACCAGTTTATAAAGTTTGTCATCAGCCTAATGGTTTTAGTAGTCATTGAGGATCATTACCTAAATGCTTTATTTCATTGCGGGTTGCAAAGTGAAATATTCTCATTGTATCCTTCATTTATTACCTAGAGTTTTGTAATGAAAGAAATCTCATCCTCAGCTATTCATTTACCCTAAAATACCTTTCATACATATAAAACGCAAAAGGCAAATTTTTGAAATGAGATCCTTCCTGCATCTTACCCAGTTTTTGTCTTTAGTATCATTGCAAATTTATGATTTACAGTATTTTTCATGGTTTGATCCATTGCAGTAATTTTTTTTGGCAGGGGGGAAGTGGGAGGACGATCAGATTCTTGCATCATAGGCCACTGAGAGCCCATTCAGGTTGACTACTTTGTCCTTTCAGCACAGCCCTTATAATCTTTGATAATCTTTGATTATAATCTTATAATCTCTGAAGTGATAGTAGTTGATGATGGCAGTAAAGATCAGACCTCAAAGATCAAACCTCAGGAGCTGATGACAATGACAATTTGATAATGTCTTCAAATTGATCATTAAATTACAAATGAATAGCATTCCAAAAATTTAAAGACTGTTTTGAAAGCAGAAAGTGTACCAATAGAAACAATGTAAAAACAATGGTTATTTCCAAAGCTTAGCTCCCAAGTGCATATGGAAGGGAGCCTGTAAGTTAGATACTTCAGTAAATGCTGTATTCTGAATTCAAATTCGAGTTAAGTGTCAAAAACATATTCTTAAACATTGTTGGTCCCTACTTGGTAGTCTGGGGAATCTTCCTTTTATATCTTGGGTCTGTCTGGTCCTGGATGGAAAGTGTGCCCTCACCCCGCATGTTCCAACTGCAAAATGGACTTGTCCTGTCACATATAGATTCCAAGTAGCGATAGGACCTTACTATATGTGTGTGTGTCTCTATGCATGTAGACACGCTAAGGATCAGGGTTTTAGGGCACCTGAGAGTAGACTGGTCTTCCTGTAGTGACTGACCTTTATTGTAGCTGGGATGGTGGAGGCCTGGCGAATGATGACTGGGAAGAGACAGAGCCTCCTAAGGCATCAGCACCTTACTGATGGAAAAAAGGACAGTAATTCGTTCATAAGTAGGGGACTCACTATTGTCTAATTTTGGAGTCACCTCTAGACCATTGTTAATGAACTAAAACCTGAGAGTGAGTATTCAACTAAAAGAAAAGTAGATGATGTATTCTAACATAAATACAGAAAAGTCAGCAAAACATAATTTCTGTTTTGTAAAAGACATGTATGTCTGCTTTTAGATTTCCATCGTTGCATTTACAACTGCTACAAAAATGCCAGCACTCCATCGACATGAAGAAGAGAAATTCTTCTTAAATGCCAAAGGCCAGAAAGAAACTTTACCCAGCATATGGGACTCACCTACCAAACAACTTTCTGTCGTTGTGCCTTCATACAATGAAGAAAAACGGTGTAAGCCCTGTTTTGATTTTTTTGGTAAAGGGTAGTTTGGAAAAGAAAAGGAAATTTAAAGTATTTGACTTCACTGTCTTTGCCAAAACATTAATAGATGTGGGCTGTGTTGAGCACACAGTTGATAATTGTTGTAGTTCGGCAGAGAGGGAAGTGAATATTTGCTCTCATGAATAGGAGCAGCATCATGAGGCAGCGGGACTGGAATGTTCTAGAGAGGTAATAAGCACATTGTGGACAGAAGGCAGGATTTCAGATGGGAATGACCATTGGGAAAGTACCAGAGGGGCTTGTTAGATTATTGGGACTTTTTTCTGTATGTAAGCTGAATGTGCCGGGCTTGGAAAATCATTTTCAAAAGTGATTTTTAATATATTTTTTTCTTCAAGTGCCTGTGATGATGGATGAAGCTCTGAGCTATCTAGAGAAGAGACAGGTATCATGTTTTCTCTTTTAATATGATATCTCCAATTAAAACTAGACCAGGTCACCAATTGTGGACCCCAAGCCAGATGCACTGTGAGAGGCAGTCCTGGCAGCACCCCGATCGCTGGGCCACCTGCTGCTTGCTTGTTGCTATCCATAAGCCCGGCACGTAGCATGCTACCTCCAGAGGCAGGTCGTTGACCCAGGACAAACCAGGAAGCGAAAATTTCTGTTTCTGTACCCTCCTACCCATTTTAATCCTGTCTTGCTTGATGATATATTTAAAATTGAGTGACAGTGTATGTCTGCAGACTTTGTATGATGCCACAATGCTGTTTTTACTTTTGTGACTTGTAAGAAAAGGTGTATTGTTGCTGTTTTTGCTGTTAACTTTTATTCTCTTCTCTCTTTTTTTATTTTTTGGTTAACTGGGTTTGAATAAACAGAAAAACTAAGTCTGAATGAACAGAAAAAAGATATTTTTAAAAGACACACTTACATTGAAATTATTTTGTATTTCTTCAATATTCTCAAGAGTCTCCCCTCACATTTTCTTCCTGTTTTCCCTACATAAGGAGAAGAGAAGTAATACACAACCTTCTTTTGTAACATTAGCTGCCATTGGAATCCCCTTGGAGGGATTAAGAATTAAGTGAGTTCTTTTTAAAAAAAAATTGTTTTGATTTACTTTGCTTTTAGATTTTTTGTATAAAGGGGAAATAGAAGATTCACTGAAAGAGAAAGGGCTGTATTACCTTATTACCAACTTCAAACATTCAATTTAGAGAAAAGAAGAAAGGAATTGAGCCTTTAATATGTATGAGGCTTCTACCTCTTCAATTACGTGTAATCTTCACACCAGCCACATAGAGTAGGTTTTTCTGTTCTCTTTTTTTAATCAGAAAATAGGCCCAAAAAGTTAAGTTGCCCAAGGTCATTAGGCTAAGAAATGCTGCAGCCAAGCTGGAATCTGCCCTCTCTGACTTCAAACCTCAGGAGCTTTTTTCTTACACACCTGTACCCTCTCAAATGTGCTATAGCACCACAAGTACCTGGCTTCTTCCACCACCAAGGTACAGGGCAGACTGGGGAACAGCAAGGTGACATGGAGAGATTGAGTCAATATTCACTCTCCACCTCTACCCAGGATCTCTCTCTCTCTTTTTACTTAGCCTTTTTATTTTATGCGGTTTGTGCACTAATATTTATATTCAAATTTATATGTATCAACACTAAAGCAGTTGTTTTTTAAATTACTGGTGATTTGATTAGAATACTTTATGGCAGTTATGCCAAATTGTATTACTTTATTTTTGTTTCTTGCAGAAACGAGATCCTGCGTTCACTTATGAAGTGATAGTAGTTGATGATGGCAGTAAAGATCAGACCTCAAAGGTAAATACACTTGCTTTTAGAATTGACAATAGTTAGAAAATAGAGAATAATTTTGCACATGTGAAATCTCACTTTCATTCACCAGGGGACCCTAAAGCTGTGCCTAACACTCTCCATTGTTATAGTCTAGATAGCAGAAAAAACAGATTTCATTTATGGAACTTCTCCATAAGACCAGGGAAGCTTTGAAGATCGCCAGATAGGGAAGAAACATGCCCGCGCACAGTTCCTCCTGGCCTTTAGGGTAGGAACCTTCGTTGCCTACCAATTTGTGCTTCCTTTTTCCCTAAGCACAGTTTCTTTATGCTCCATCTTGCCTTATAATTTCTAAAGCAGTCACGCCAATAGAAAGCTGCTTTCGTACCAGCCCCTGGGAAGCAGGTGTGTCCTTTCACATGCACAGAGAGCATTGGCAGGATCTGGCTTAGGAAGGGTAAGTGCTGCACTTTGAATAGTATGATGTGAAAGTTATGAACACAAGCCATCTCAGCAGTTTAGTGATACATGAAGGGAATGGCATGGAAAGCCACATTGGACACTTGCTGTTGAGATTATAGAGGTAGCCTAGACCCAGCTGAGGCTGTGCATCTTCTCCTGAGGAGCACTTTTTTGGTGGCCCTTGACCTGTGAGTGGCCAGCTGCTCTGCTGGAAGGATCAGGGATGCCCTCCCAGGGAGGACAAGCAAGGGAGGGGTTAGCAATTGGCCCCACTGCTCCCAAGGTTGGGAGGAAGTAGAAAGTTGAAATTATATTTAGTAGAAGTTTTTATTTAAAACAAACCAGTTTTCGCTAAGTTAAGTATTTATAGATTCCCTGTTAATGTCTTACAGTCTGAGGGGTGTGAGGAAAATTTTAGATACGGCTCTTGTTCTTGAGGCGTTTCAGACCAAGGGGGCACAAGGTATAGTACAAGAGAATACTGCAGTTGTACAGTGATGTTTATTATATCCTCAAACAACATACCAAAAAGGCGAGTAGGCACTCAGTAGGAACTCAGTTCACAAATGGTGGCCGAGTGACAGCTGCTGCCCTGTATACTAAAGGCCATGCTGTAAAGCTTCATTGTGCATCCATTCCAAACAGTTGTGGCTTTAACAATGTTATATTCCTTGAAGCTAGATACCATACTCTAGAGGGAGCTTTTCATCCTAACATAGTAAAGTCTTATTAGTTCACTTAGCTACTTATATAATGACTTTATCTTCTTGGTTTTGCAGTCTCAAGTATTGTGCCATTCCAGAGTAAACATCTACAGCACAAATAACTGTTCTTTGAACACATTTCTTCAGCTGTTAAGCAGAAGTCGAGAGTTCTGACTGGCACTAAAATACAAAGATGTAAAGACCACTTTCTACCTTGAAGGAGTTCACATCTATTAATAATACTGGAAATATGCATCAAATAATTAGAGCACTATGTGTTAGACATTTTTATCAATTAGGAACTATATCATAGAGTGGCTTAGATAATAAAGACGTTTAATTATCTCATCTGCCAGGAAGTCTAGAAATAGTTGATTCCAGAGTTGGCTTAGCATTTAAACAGGATCAGGTTGCTAGATCCATATCATTTTCAGTCTCACGCATTCCTTCATCACAAAATGGCCACAGCTGCAAATATTACATGTCCTGGAGTAGTAAGGGACAGCCAGGACTTTAAGAATCATCTCTGGGCTGGGCATGGTGGTTCATGCCCGTAATCCCAACACTTTGGGAGGCCAAGGTGGGAGGGTGGGAGGACTGCTTGAGCGCAAGAGTTCAAGGTTACAGTGAGCTGTGATCGCACGACTGAACTCCAGCCTGGGTAGCAGAGCAAGACCCTGTGTCAAAAAAAAAGAATCATCTCTGCGTGCATCTCTCCTTTTTAACTAGGAACGAAAATCTTTATCAGAAGTCCTCACCCCTCCCTCTACTAAAGCCCACACCCAAAGTTCACAAGCTAGAACTTAGTGACATGACCACCAAAGCCTGCAGGGAGGCTGCAAAAGTACTCAGCAAAGAGGAGTTAGACCAATCATGGTTCATCCCCTAGGGCTTCACAGTTGTCACTGCATTATTGGGGCCATAACAGCAAAGAAGGAGGCACTGTTTGCTGGTTTGGCAGCTAGTTAACAGTGCTACAACAGGACCATGGCTGCATTTGCTGGTTGAAACTGATAGATTTCAGCTATGTGCCAGATACCAGAAATAAAAATCTTTGCCTTTAAGTAGCTGACATTTACAGTTGCATTGTGATGAGTAAAGTAATAGTTGAATGAGAAAATGCTTCAGTAGTACACATTGCTATTAGAATTATACTTTTCTTTTTCCCGGGGGAAGGTGGGGATGGGCATGGAGGCTAGAAAAGAGAAATGGTGTTTGGCTGAGTCTTAAGCTGGCCTGACAGGTGAGGAAGCTGGAAGACAGTGTTCTGAGAAAAGGCATACAAGTGTAAGACCGTGGTATGGTCTGGAAATCTCAAATACTGCTAATGTTCACGGTACTAATGGGGCAGCCTCAGAAGCTGGCTAAAAAGGTGAAGGCTGAATCACAAAGGATCTCCTATGCTATGATAAGGAACTCATATGTGATGCTTAGAAGCCATAAGTCATCACTGAGGGTGTTTGAACAGGGCTTATGTGAACTGATTTCCATATTAGAAAGGCTACTCGTATAACTTTAGGAATGAATTAGGGAGTCAGGGTAGAGATGTGGGGACTTTAGGGGATAAGGCCCTGAACTAGGTCAGGAAGGTGTGAGGATAGCATGGATTTGAGAGGGATTTTACAAATCAGTCAGTGAGTTATAGTAGCCAGTGAATTGTAATGGGTGATAGAAATGGAAGATGATTCTCAGGTTTTCAATTTGAGCAACTTAGTAGATGATGATGCCATTTGCTGCAGCAAGGAATGTAGACTGAGCAGAAGTTGGGAGGAGGAGATGAATGAAATTCTGGAGTTTTTATTTATCCAATATATAACTAGGTGACACAGGAGAGAAGAGTCTGGGCTCTAAACAGACGTGAGATTCATAAATATAAGCTATAATTAAGCCCATGCAGTGACTCCCAGTGAGCTTTTATGTTGAGAAGAGAAGATGGCCAGGGGTTTCCCATTAGCTGTATGTACAGTGTAGAGTCAGTCCTTGTGTGGATTATCAGCATTTAAGGAGCAAGCCAAGCAAAAGGAGTTATTGGTGAAAACTTGGGAACAGTAGAGGAGGGCAAAGGCCAGATGAGAGCAACTTTACAGCTGCCTGTAGAGATGGTTGTCAAAGGAGAGGGTACCTGATGGGCTAAGGTTACAAGGAAACGGGATGTGGAAGAGCAAAGGGCATGAGCCCTACTACAGTGGACCGAAAAATAAATGGGTGATGAAATGCAGGTGGCAAATATAGATCACTATCTCACGACTTTGATTATAAAGCAGAGTAATGGCCGTAGCTTGAGAAAATAGTGAAGTCAAAGGAAAGTTTTTAGGATGCTGGCAGCTTGAGCAAGTCTGAGGCTGTGGAGCCAGCAGAGAGGAAGAGATTGAAGATTTAGAAGAGAATTTACTGCTGAGAGAGAGGAATTTGAGTGAAAAGATTCGGGAGAAATGGTCAGGATACAAACAGCCTCTCTGGGGAATAAGAGCGATTGCAGACCAGAACAAATACAAAAGTCATTAACCAGTGTTAAGGGCCCAATCATAAGTTTGTACCAGTCAGATAGCACATGGCTTTTGTGGGGTTTTTTTGTTGTTTTTTGTTGTTGTTGTTGTTTGTTTTTTAGCAGCTCAGTAGCTTAGGTAGAGGAGTCAAGAAAAGAAGGTCATTGCCCACTGTGGTGGTTCCTCTGCAGGAAACTGAACTATGATTTCAACCTAGTAGGTCAATGGCACCAAGATTTCTACAGCTCCTCCAGGTCATCAGAATGTACAGTGGGTGTAACCTAGTCACAAGAAGGGATAAACTGCAATAGCAGTGTTTGAGCCAAAGCAAGAAACACAGCTTATATAATTCTCTTTAATCCAAATTAATTTTATTCTGATTTTTATATAATTTCATAGGTAGCTTTTAAATATTGCCAGAAATATGGAAGTGACAAAGTACGTGTGATAACCCTGGTGAAGAATCGTGGAAAAGGTGGAGCGATTAGAATGGTAATACATATTTTCAACATTTTTATCTAAAATATGAAGGTATCTTGAATAATGTCTTTTGCAGACTTGTATGTTTGCCCACTGCTTGAATACCAGCATTTCAAGTTAGTGATAACATAATTTTAATAATAACTTCATGTTTTTAGTCAAATTTTAAGATGTGTCATATCTATAATATAGTGGGTGATTTAAAAATAGATTTATGTATTTATGTTTATCTTAAAGTTTAAAATGTTACCATCTACCTCTGTATCTTTGATAGAGTTAGCAGATAGCTTATGTGGTTTTTTGCAGTTTAAAAAATGTTTTTTGTATTAAGTTTTACCTTGATGAAGGTATGCTGTTATGCATGGTAGCATGAACTAAGATGAATTTGACTTGGGTCTGTCCTGATGAAATGTGCAGTCTAATAGGAAAGGTAAGCATTTGCATAAGTAAAAAAGAAGATTATAATTATGAGAGACATGCAGATAAAGTGCTAAGAAATTTCAAAAAAGAGGTTACTGTCAGCTGAGGCATATCAGCTATGAATCAAGCTGGAAGTTTAAAAATCAAGATATGTGAAAGAAAACCTAAATAATTGACTTTGAGGTCCATTTATTTATTTTTCCCTCATAAAAAGAAGTCTAAAGGTGGGCAGTCCAGGGCTTGTTCAACTCCACAGTCATCAGAAGTCCAGGCTTCTGCCGTTTCACTCCTTCTTCCTCATGCACACAGGGTGACTCCTGGAGCACTAGCCATCACGTCCACATTCAACAGGAAGGAGAAGGGAAATGGTCAGGATACAAATCATCACATGTTGCCCTCTTCACAGTGTCTTATGAGTTGGGTAATATTAGTTTGATTATTATATAGTTGAGGAAAGTGAGTAAAGAAGGTAAAGTAAATTACCCAGTGTTATCAGATGATAAGAGGTAGAGTCAAGATTTGGATGCAGTTAGTTTCACTCTGAAAGCCATGCTTTTAACCTCTCTGATAACTCTATAGAGAAAAGACTTGAGAAAACAGCACGCCATTTAGTAAAGCCAGAAAAGACAGAAGTAGGAACTCTTTGGATATGTACTAGAAACAGTGATTCACTTTGGCTGGGTCACAGGATATATGAAACAGAAAGAAAGTAGGATTGATGCAGTGTCATGATGGGCTTTAAATCTATCCATTTGTTTCTTTATTCAGCCAATGTTGTATTTTCATTAGAGACACTGAGATGAAAGACACCTATTCTGTCCTTAAGGACATCACAGTTTAGTAGGGAGACAGACCATTGCCATACAGTGTTGTAAATGCTATAATAGAAGTACATGCAAAAAGTTGGTGCCACCATCTTTTGAGGGCAGCAGCACAGATGTCCCAGAGGAGGCAAATTCTCGGCGGGGTCTTTAAGGAGGATTAGGACTTAACCACCTCCAAGTTGGGAGGGCAGGGAGCCTAGACGGGGAACATGAACAAAGGCACAGCAATGTGAAAGAACATGCCACAATAAAGGACCCACTCATGGTACCCACGTCTTGACTGGAGATAAGGCTGGAGCGGTGGGTGAGTTAAGGTCACAAACTGTAGACGAGGGGCTTTTACATTTTTTACCATTGACAGAGTGACACTTTAATCAGCCAGCATCAAGTGTAGCAATATTGGGCAAGGTATGATGAATATTTATTTGGATTATGATAGTGACAGAAGAGAAGAAAATGAGGGGATAAATGTGAGAGCTATTAAAATGACATAGCATTGGGTCTGGGATCAGAGAGAAGAATGACATGCTAAGCCATTCTTACATTGCTATAAAGAAATACCTGAGACTGGATAACATATAAAGAAAAGAGATGTGATTGATTGACGGTTCTGCATGCTGTACACGGAGCATGGTGCCAGCATTTGCCTCTAGTGAAGGCCTCAGGAAGCTTCCACTCATGATAGAAAGCGAAGTGGAAGCAGGAGCATCGTATGACGAGAACAGGAGCAAGTTAGCGGGCACGGTGGTGCCACACACTTTTAGACAACCAGATCTCATGAAAACTTGCTCACTATTGCAAGGACAGCACCAAGCTGTTCATGAGGGATCCACCCCCATGACCCAAACACCTCCCACTGGGCCCCACCTCCAACATTGGGGATCACATTGCAATATGAAATTTGGAGGGGACACAGATCCAAACTATGTCAAATGAGTACCACTGGCCTTGGGTAACAGGGAGGATGACGATGCCATTAATAGAAGGAATGAAACACTGGAGGAGGAGCTGGTATAAGAGGCAGTTATGTTGAGTTTGAGCCATGTTAAGTTTGAAACAACATGCAGTGGTATCCAGAATAGCCTAGGAGAGAGGATGTGAGTGAGTCATCCACATATGTCAGATGATAGTTGAACCTGAAGCCATTAAACTGGCAAAGAGGAGGTTACAGAGAAAAGGAGAATCAGGAAATCTTAAGGCAGTGAGGCACATGAGAAATAATGGGTATAAAATATGACTGAGGAAACACAAATGGGAGTTGCTATGGTAGACTGCCTTTTCAAGGAGCTGCAGCAAAGTGAAGGCCATAGACGGTAGAACAGGAAAGTAGGCTTAAACAAGTTTGATCACGCATCATTGAAATTAGTCACTTACTGGTTTTTTGCCCCATTTCAGACTAATAGCTCCAGTTTTTTTACCACCTCAGCCTCCCAAGTAGCTGGGACTACAGGCATGTGCCACTATATCAGGCTAATTTTTTAAATTTTTTTGTAGAGATGGAGTCTCACTGTATTGCCCAGACTGGTCTCAAACTCCTGAGCTCAAGCAATCCTTCCACCTCAGCTTCCCAAAGTGCTAGGATTGTAGTAGGTGTGAGTCATCTCACCTAGCCTTTTGCATTTGTTCTAATGGGTGTGATTAAAAAGACATCACAGATACTAACTAGTTAGCTTATTATACCATAGAATAAATGATCTGATTTCTCTCTACATTTGTATATGTCTTACCTATAGTCACACTATGTTGTGTTATCAAAGCAATTTTACTATATCAAACCATAAATATATTTGCACGTAAGAAATAAGGAATTCACTCAAATACATCAGAGAAATTAAAAGTTGATGTGCAGTTTATTTCTGTATGAAATATGCACTCATGGAGCCATAATTTGCACAAAAGACCAGCCAATTCAGAATTGAATGGCATAATTTTGCTGTTTCAAATACCGCAAATGGCATAACATAACATTTGGATTTATGCATAATTCTTAAAGTTTATTGACACTTTTTATTTCTTTAATTAATTTAGTAAACTTTAGATCCTATAATAAATGATACTAAAGACCTGTGCATTTCACAGCATATCTATATATTAGAATGTTTAATCTGTCTATAAACATGTTCTTTATATGTGGTTCTAAGTAGCCCGTAATTCATTTTAAGCATCATGACACGATAAACATATAATATGTATGATACGTACTGTCCGTTTTTTATTCTTTGTGATGCAGAATATCTTTAATTTGTCCAAACCTATTTTATTATCTTGGTATTTTCCAAGATATTTGTAGTATGACTTCACAAAGTTTTTAAAATAATGAAGATAGGCAATAGGTTCATTTGAGAAGATCTTAATATACAGGTAATTTGTTTTCAGTGAACTCTGGCCTCCTTCAGCCATCTCATACCTCATCTTTCACTCTTAGGTATTTTAAGTAGAACAGACTGAAGTGTCATTGAATTTAACCTGAGTTTTAACCAATTTTCTTTGACTTGAAATTTTAAAATACAGGGTATATTCAGTTCTCGAGGAGAAAAGATCCTTATGGCAGATGCTGATGGAGCCACAAAGTTTCCAGATGTTGAGAAATTAGAAAAGGGGCTAAATGATCTACAGCCTTGGCCTGTGAGTATAAGAATGTAGTTTAAATAACATTCAGTCAAGAATGCAGGAGAGCTAAAGTAAAGTTAAAGGAGAGTTTACCTATCAGTTTAAAAACTGAGTGTTTTTGGTATGAAATCCTTATACAAATGGTACAGCCCCATAGAGGAACTGATCATTTTGTTACAAATATTGTCTGATTTTATGAGATTCACTTGACAATTACTTATTTAATATTGTGACCATTTCTCTCTCTTGGTTTCTGATTGCTTCTACCCAAGTTTTAATATTTATTGTGCATATTCAATTAAGACTTTTATTTAAAAGTATAGCCTGAATTCCAGGTAAAGATGTGAAATGAAGCTGGATCACAGAATCCAGTTTTTGATGAAACAAACAAAATCACAAGCAGCAATCACTCAAAAAGGATTATTTGAAACTTCACACCATAACTTCAAAAAGTGGAGGTTGAGGAAAGAAATAAAATCCTAGTACCATTCCTACCTTTTAAAAGCCATTTAGAGAAATAAGATGAATTTGGCAAACGCTCAGGATCCTGAGCGTTTGCCAAATACTTCCCAATCTGGAAAAAATGAATAAGAGAATGAAAAAGCACCCTTGGACAACATCAAACAATATACCTACCATCACACAATATGTCAAACAATATACCTACCACCACACAATACGTCAGAATTTCAGCAGAAGCAAGAAAACTTGCTGAGGTCTGCCATTTTTCAGGACTGTAAGCTGAATTGGGGACACAGATCCATGTGACTAGATCCTTTCCTGGATGGAGTGTACCTTGTTCAAGACACTCGACAAAATCTCACAAGACCAGGGAACCCAAGTAACCAACAAAGCCACGTAGAGCTCCAGGGGAGGGTCCCTCCTCCCTGCCTTCCCACCGTCTACCCTCAAGTCCAGATATAATACTCAGGCCTTGAAATTCTAGTTTAGAGGGGGAAGAGATACAGGTACATCAAGGAGAATGTTCATTTACTGTAGGAGAGCTGCCCATGTTAATCATGACAAAATAAAAGAAAGAAATGGCAATCACACCAACATATAATTACACAAAAAAGAATTAAAGTTGCATACAAAAGATTTAAGACAGTGTAATCCAAGGAAAAGGACAAAATTACATGCAAGTATTCTGGCTAAAGAAATAAAACAATGAAAATAAGAATTTAGCAACACAGGTCTTCAAAGGTAAGATGACAAAACAACAAAATGGTATTAAAAGAAAAATTACAGGCCAGGTTTACATGCCTGTAATTCCAGCACTGTGGGAGGCCAGGGCAGGAAGATCACTTGAGGCCAGGAGTTTGAGCCCAGCCTGGGCAACATAACAAGACCCCATCTCTGTAAAAATAAGAGAAAAATTAACAGGGTGTGGTGGTGTATGCGTCTAGTCCCAGCTACTTAGGAGGCTGAGGCAGGAGGATCATTTGAGCCCAGCAGTTTGAGGTTATAGTGAGCTGTGATTGCCCCACCGCACTCCAGCCTCAGTGACAAAGCAAGAGCCTGTCTCAAAAAAAAAAAAAAAATTACAGAACTAAGGAAACAAATTGAGACCAAAATAAGATGAATATGTAAAACTATCTATGAATGAAATAGACCTAGTTTAGAACTGAATATTATTACATATTTATTAAGATCCTGTTATAGCAAAAACCAAACCAAACAACACAAAAAGGTAAACATATAAGGCCCCCCCAAATTTAATAATAATTACAGAAAAACTCACTGCATATCCTTCTAGAAATAAATATTTATTTAATTCCACACTTTGTGAAGTATATTTCTCCCCCACCATCATCCATCCCCATCCCTTGTATTTCTAGCTGTTTTTTTTGTTTTTTTCTAGGTGTTTTTTGTTTTTTTAAGATTCTAAGTGAATCAACTAATATAATTCTTAAGAGAATTAGCTGTAAAGATATTCATACCATTGCTCTTCAGACAAGTAGCACTAGCTGCATGTGTCTATTTAAATTTAAATAAAATGAAAATTTAGTTCCTCAGTTTCATTGGCCACATTTAAATTACTTGTTGCTAAAAGCTACCTTTTTTTTTTTTAAAGGAGATAAGGTCTTACTGTGTTGCCCAGGCTGGACTCAAACTCCATCCTCCTGCCTCAGCTTCCTGAATAGCTGGGACTACAGAAGTGAGCCACCATGCCCCGCTTGTTGTATAGCATTTCCATCATCACAAAAAGTTCTCTGGCTTATAACATGATATGAATTTATTGTTGGATATGTTGTAGTTCACTCTTACTAAAAAAGTATTTCATGTCCAACATCTTAGTAAATCATGATAGGCTAAAAGGAAAATCTCATTCATAAAGTTACTTGGTGTGATTTCCTGATTTTCTCCAGAGGACCCCAAGAGAAACTTGATAAATATTTCCCTTGCATTATCTTTCTAGAGGGAGTCACTCAGTGGGAGGGAGGGCATAAGGCATCAGATTTTTAGCAGCTGATTTTGTCATTCAGCAGTAGGGCAAAGATAATTTAAATGATTTTGCTGATGTTAGGGAGTGAACCAAACAATAAAACAAAAATCTGAACTTTATTCTTATAAATCTAGTTCCTTTATACTACTCTGTAAAGAAAAGGAGTTCTGATGCCATATTTTTTCCTTATCATAATCCCATTTACTACACTGTTACTAGAAATGTTAAGTTTTAAAGAATTAAAGCATGTGATTATCATTAAGCTATTAATTCGTAGCCTTGGTTTTACAGCACCTTAAAGTATCCCTAATTATTTAAGTGTCCCAGCTCAATTGAATTAATTTGAATTAAATTTAGTAAGTTTTATTAATATGCATCATGTAATACTCTTTGCAGGAGGTGGAAAGGAGGCAAATAAATGATAGGTGGTTAAAGTTACAAAATTCATAGTTTTTGGATCCACCCAGTGAAAAATATGGTTCTGACAAAGCTTATAAACAGCCAGTCATTGCTCTCAGAAAACTTACATTCTGAAGTTGACATGCATAGAGAAATTAGAAGAAATCTTCTTACTTATGTAATTCAGGTGTTAGAGAACTTTTTCTGTAAAGGACCATATAGTAAATATTTCAGCTTTAAAGCCAGTCAGCCTCTGTGGCAGCTGCTCAACGCTCTATTGTAGCATGAAAGTAGACATAGATAAAATACATCCTTTATTTACACAAATAAGCAGCAGATCAGATTTGGGCTACAGGCTATAGTTTGCTGACTCTTAAATCTAATTTAATCATTTATCCAATATTGGAAAGTTTTTACAACTACCTAGTGATCTTTCAGCCTCTACTGCATAGCTCTAGTGATGCTTAAGCAGCTCATTCTGTCTCAGCTCAGCTGTGAAGTTCCTCTAGACACCAAATGCAAATATGTCTCCTTTTAATCACCCCCTTCCATTGTTTCTGTCTTCTGTAGCTACACAAAATTATCTACTCCACTTCTTTGTGACAGCCCTTCAGAGAGTCAAAGCTGTTTTCCATGTGTATTCTCTGTTTTAGGCTGTCAGTTCTTACGGTTTTTGTTGTTGTTGTTTGTTTGTTTGTTTGTTTTTGAGACAGAGTCTCGCTTTGTCATCCAGGCTGGAGTGCAGTGGCGCAATCTCAGCTTACTGCAAGCTCCGCCTCCCGGGTTCACACCATTCTCCTGCCTCAGCCTCCCCAGTAGCTGGGACTACAGGCGCCTGCCACCATGCCCGGCTAATTTTTTTTTGTATTTTTAGTAGAGACAGGGTTTCACCGTGTTAGCCAGGATGGTCTCTATCTCCTGACTTCGTGATCCACCAGCCACGGCCTCCCAAAAGTGCTGGGATTACAGGCATGAACCACTGCGCCTGGCCCAGTTCTTACAGTTTTTAAACATAGCATATTTTTTTCTTATAATTTTCCACTGAAGATGTGTCTGTTCGTGTGGATTTGGTTTCCACATTACATTGTTACTTCGTACAGGTATTGCCAACTCTTTTTCCTGTTCATTGCCTTTGAACTTTGTCTCTCCATCTCTATACTGGTGTGGATTTCTTTCTGTGTTCTTTTGCTTTGTTTTCAGGAATGGAATTGTGGCTAGTTATCTCAACTTCAACTTGTTAGATTTCTGTGTCTAAAAGTGTAGGTTCTTGTTCTATCTTAGGGCAATAGCTGTTTTCTCAATTCATTTAAGCCACAAATTTGATAAGCATGCCTTGCATGTATTTCCCTAAGCCCTAATAAAAATAGCGACTGAAATAGTTCAGAAAATAATGAAACAGGAACGTGGGTTTTGTAGTCAAGTCCTATAATTACGTGACTGTCTCACTAGATGGCAGTCATTAGCTTAAATATCTTTTACAATATTGCTTTGACCATTTAAGTCATTTCTTTAGTACGTTTTACAGTGGTTTCTAATGTCTTCTTTCTTAGCTGATTTTTTTTTAATGACTACAAAAAGAAATTTATTACTACTTGCTTGTATTTCCTCTTAGAGTAACCAGGTTACATGTTCTGGTTCTGATGATTCTTATACAAAGTCATCTTACAAAAGTTGCCTACAATTTCTTTTCTGATAATAAGTGCTCCTGTAAGGTTTTAAACTACATGTATATAATTTAAGTAGAGCTTTGTATAATACATACAAATAAAATAGGGCATTTACATTTTCATACTAAAAATTTTATTTTATTTTATTTTATTTTTGAGACAGGGTCTCCCTGTGTCACCTGGGTTGGAGTGCAGTGGCTCAATCTCAGCTCACTGCAACCTCTGCCTCTTGGGCTTAAGCGATTCTCGTGCCTCAGCCTCCCGAGTAGCTGGAATTACAGGCACGCACCACCACGCCAGGCTATTTTTTGTGTTTTTTGGTAGAGATGGGGTTTCACTGTGTTGGCCAGGCTGGTCTCAAACTCCTGGCCTCAAGTGATCTGCCTGCCTCGGCCTCCCAAATTGTGGGGATTAGGAGCATGGGCCACCACGCTCAGCCAAAACTTTCATTTATATTTTACTTGTATTTTCTTTTCCCACATCTTTGTTTTTTAATATGCAAAGCTTTCCTCTCAGATTTTCAGTTTCCTAACTGGTAGTTAGTCTACCTCTTTTTAAAAATATGCTTGTTTTTTAGTAATTTTTCTAAGCAAAGTATATGCTGGCCAGGCACAGTGGCTCACATCTGTAATCCCAGCGCTTTGAGAGGCCATGGTGGGAGGATCGTTTGAGGCCAGGAGTATGAGACCAGCCTGGCCAACATAGCGAAATCCCGTCTCTACTAAAAATTAGCCAGGTGTCGTAGCGCACACCTGTAAGCCCAGCTACTCGGGAAGCTGAGGCATGAGAATCACTAGAACCTGGGAGGCAGAGGTTGCAGTGAGTCGGGACTGCGCCACTGCACTCCACCTTGGTCAACAGAGAGAGACTCTGTCTCAAAAAATAATAAAAAATTTTTTCAAAAAATAATCCCAAAGTATATGATGATCACTTGTTCAGTTGCTTAACTTTTCTAAATAGAATCAAAAATCCCTAACAGGCAAAATAAATGCTAAAAAGTGTGTATTTCATGATCATAGAGTCATTTCTCAGGCTGTGACTTAGGTTTTAAATTATTTTATTTATTTTTTATTATTATTTTTTGAGACAAGGTCTCATTCTGTCACCCAGCCTGGAGTGCAGTGATGCGATCTTGGCTCACTGCAACCTCTGCTTCCAGGGTTCAAGCAAATCTCATGTGTCAACCTCCCGAGTAGCTGAGAGTGCATGTGCAAACCACCATGCCTGGTTAATTGTTTGGTATTTTTAGCAGATGAGGTTTCACCATGTTGCCGAGGCTGGTCTTGAACTCCTGACCTCAAGCAGTCAGCCCTCCTTGGCCCCCAAAGTGCTGGGATTACAGGCTGAGTCACCACGCCTGGCCCTTAAATTCTGATTTAGACATAGCTCTAACAAGCTGAGTTTTTAGTTTTTTAAGCCCACAGATGACTAGAATTAATGGATATGAAAAAGATACGGAGAAAAATTACATTAAGAAGAACCATAGGAAGCAGATCTTAACTACACGCACAACTCAGTCTGGAGTGCTGGGTTGCTTACTAATGACCCTGAATGCTCTTCTATCTCTAATATAGTAATCCTTGGCCAGTTCTAGTTTTGTATACCAATGATTCATATCTGCGTGCATGGTTTGGTTCCTTAAAAGAATGTGACAGTTAGTCCTTCTCCCTTTTTTTGTGGACCATGTGAGCAAGTCTAAGAAGCTGGTATGTTTGTTTCACCCTCTCAATATATGGGTAGAAAAGCAGGCTTCCAAAAGAGAACTCAACCTCCAAAGTCATTTGTTTTAGACACCATAACTCTGAGGTAGTGATTAAAATGAGGAAATGTGGCCGGGCACAGTGGCTCATCCCTGTAATACCAGCACTTTGGGAACCTGAGGACAGGCGTTTGAGACCAGCCTGGCCAACATGGTAAAACCCCATCTCTACTAAAAATACAAAAACTTAGCCATGCATGGTGGCACACACCTGTAGTCCCAGCTACTCAGGAGGCCGAAGCAGGAGAATAACTTGAGCCCAAGAGGTGGAGGTTGCAGCGAGCCAAGATCGTGCCACTGCACTCCAGCCTGAGCTACAGAGCAAGACTCCATAATTAATAAATAAATAAGGAAATGTATGTCAGGTGTTTAGCATGTGTTCAGCACTCAACCAGTACCTGTAATTATTAACATTCATCTTTTTTTCTTTTTTTTTCCTTTTTTTTTTTTTAATTGAGACCAAATCTCACTCTGTCACCCAGGCTGGAGTGCAGTGGCACAATCTCAGCTCACTGCAGCCTCTGCCTCCTGGGTTCAAGTGATTCTCCTGCCTCAGCCTCCCAAACAGCTGGGATTACAGGCATCCACCACCAGGCCCGGCTAACTTTTTTTGTATTTTTAGTAGAGGTGGGGTCTCACCATGGTGGCCAGGGCTGGTCTTGAACTCCTGACCTCAAGTGATCCTCTCACCTGGGCCTCCCAAAATGCTGGGATTACAGGCGTGAGCCACCACGCCCGGCTAACATTCATCTTTGTGCTTGATATTTTTTCATCAGATCCAATTCTGTTACTGTTTATGATTGTTAATATAAATTAGCTATATCTCTATCTATTCCTTTTCTCCAGTAAATTGTGTGAAAATATTTAACTTAAAAAGTACTGAGGACCGGGCACAGTGGCTCACGCCTGTAATCCCAGCATTTCAGGAGACTGAGGCATGCGGATCACCCGAGGTCAGGAGTTTGAGACCAGCCTGGCCAACGTGGCAGAACCCCATCTCTACTGAAAATATAAAAATTAGCTGGGTGTGGTGGCACGTGCCCATAATCCCAGCTACTTGGGAGCTGAGATAGGAGAATCTCTTGAAGCCAGAAGGCGGAGGTTGCAGTGAGCTGAGATTGTGCCACTGCACTCCAGCCTGGGTGACGGAGTGAGATTCCGTCTCAAAAAAAAAAAAAAAACAAAGGTGGGGCGCAGTGACTCATGCCTATAATCCCAGCACTTTGGGAGGCCGAGGCGGGTGGATCATGAGGTCAGGAGATGGAGACCATCCTGGCTAACATGGTGAAACCCCGTCTCTACTAAAAATACAAAAAATTAGCCGGGCATGGTGCCACGTGCCTGTAATCGCAGCTACTCGGGAGGCTGAGGCAAGAGAATCGCTTGAACCCAGGAAGTGGTTGTTGCAATGAGCCGAGATCTTGCCACTGTACTCCAGCCTGGGCAACAGAGTGAGATTCCATTAAAAAAAAAAAAAAATACTGAGAAAGATTTTGATTGATTTAGCATTTCTTGCTAGAAGATAATATATACTTTACTTCTTACCACCGTTTTTGTTTTTTTTTTTTTTTTTTTTTTTTGGAGACAGTCTCACTCTGTCGCCCAGGCTAGAGTGCAGTAGCATGATCTCAGCTCACTGCAACCTACACTTCCCGAGTTCAAGCAATTCTCATGCCTTAGCCTCCCAAGTAGCTGGGAATACAGGTGTGTGCCACCATGCCTGGCTGATTTTTGTATTTTTAGTAGAGACGGGGTTTCACCATGTTGGCCAGGCTGGTCTTGAACTCATGGCCTCAAGCGATTCCCCTGCCTCAGCCTCCCAAAGTGCTGGGAGTATAGGCATGAGCCACTGCACCTATTTTTTTGTTTTTTTAAATGAGTTGGGATCTCCTTCTGTTGCCCAGGCTGGGGTGCAATGGTGCCATCATGACTCAGCCACAATCCTCTTACCTCAGCCTCCCTAGTGGCTAGGACTACAGGCACATGCCACCACACCTGCCTCACTTATTAAAAGCCAACTGTCATAGTAACTTAAATACTCATTTTAAAAAACCATGGGAAATTCAGTTATACTCCAAAAGAGGTTTAAAAGAAAGAGACTCCATGTCTACAGACATTTTCTAACATGGGCAGTTTTTAAAACAAAGATATCTTTCATTTCTGAAGAACAGCTAACTTTTTGAAAAAATGTTTAGATTAATTCTACCTGATAGTGAGATTGGTATCAGGGATTCAGCTCTTACATCAGAATTCTTCAGATACACAAAACTCTTAAAAGCTCTTGGGGACTTATGCTGAGATAAAAACGAGATTTGTAAAAGAAAGTTTTTTGGATTTTGATTTGTTTTTAGTTAAATTACATGGTATTTTAACTCTACTCATGAATCTTTGAAATGGAGAAGTATGTTCTTTTTTATGTATTACTCAATAGTGTTGTTGCTCTTTTCAAGTTTAAAGTTAAAACTGATTTGCCATATGCTATTTGAACTTTTAACATGCTTCCTCTCTAAGAAAATCATTCTCTCCCTTTCTGCACAAAGTACCTCTACCAGAAAAACAAGGGAATAAATTATTTTACTACTAAATAGTAGGCAAAGTATATAACACAATTTTTTTTTTTCCTGAGACAGAGTCTCGGTCTGTTGCCCAGGCTGGAGTGCAGTGGTGCGATCTCGGCTCACCGCAACCTCTGCCTCCCAGGTTCAAGCGATTCTCCTGCCTCAGCCTCCCAAGTAGCTGGGACTACAGGCGCTTGCAACCACAGCCGGCTAATTTATGTATTTTTAGTAGAAATGAGGTTTTGCCATGTTGGCCAGGCTAGTCTTGAACTCCTGACCTCAGGAGATCTGCCTGCCTTGGCCTCCCAAAGTGCTGGGATTATAGCCATGAACCACCGTGCCCAGCTAAGAAAATTCTTTTCTTTTTTTTTTTTTTTTTTTTTTTTTGAGACAGAGTCTTGCTCTGTCACTGAAGATGGAGTGCAATGGCGCAATCTTGTCTCACTGCAACCTCCACCTCCCAGATTCAAGCAGTTTCCTGCCTCAGCCTCCTGAGTAGCTGGGATTACAGGCATGCACCACCACTCCTGGCTAGTTTTTGTATTTTTAGTAGAAATGGTTTCACCATGTTGGCCAGACGGGTCTTGAACTCCTGACCTCAGGTGATCTGCCCACCTCAGCCTCCCAAAGTGCTAGGATTACAGGCATAAGCTACCGTGCCCAGCCTAGAAAATTCTTTAAAGAAAATATGGATAGCTAAAACATCCCCCAAACGTTTTATTTTTTTATTAATAATAAAGATAGAATAACCAGAACTGACAAGAATTTGATTTAATAGTCAATATCATACCAGTTAATGGGAATGTAAGTAACATGTTTTGTTTTGTTTTTTTTTTTTTGAGACAAGTTACTGCTCTGTTGCCCAGGCTGGAGTGCAGTGGTTCCTGCCTTGGCCTCCCGAGTAGCTGGGACTACAGGGGCACGCTACCATGCCTGGCCAATTTTTGTATTTTTAATAGAGATGGGGTTTCGCTATGTTGCCAAGGTTGGTCTCAAACGCCTGGTCTCAAGTGATGTGCCCACTTCGGCCTCCCAAAGTACTTGGATTACAGGTAAAGAACCTTTTAAAGGAAAATTTGGCCCATATGCATTAAAAAACATTCAGACTTTTAACTTAGTATTCTACATCTATGACTCCAAAGAAGGAAATCTAAAATACAGATAAGAGTTTTATATTCAAAGATGTTCTTTCAGTTGCCTTTCTATAACATAAAATTAGAAAGGACAACAAATAGGCAAATAGTCAAAGTAATGGTAAATCTGTACATTAAAATATTGTATAGCCCTTACAATTGACAAGAAAAAGAAAAACTACCATGCAGCACTATTATGACAAATTCTTGAAAGGTAGTCAAACTTGAATCTTATCAAGCCTCTGAATCTAACTACCAGTTTAGAGGAAGTACAGGGGACAGGAGAACATGTTAAATGTCACCATGGGGGTGCAATCAGCAACATCTAAAACCTAGGAAACTGTAGAGCAAACAATGTGGTTTCTTCAGGTTACAAGAAAAAAATTTAAAGAGGTCGGGAGAACCCACAGATAAAAGAAATACCAACTGATTTGTATGGATTTTTTTGGTGGTGGTGGTTTGTTTTTTTAGACAGAGTTTTACTCTTGTTGCCCAGGCTGGGATGCAATGGTGCAATCTTGGCTCACTGCACCCTCCGCCTCCTGAGTTCAAGCAATTCTCCTGCCGCAACCTCCCAAGTGGCTGGGACTACAGGCGCATGCCACCACGCCCAGCTAATTTTTGTATTTTTAGTAGAGACAGGGTTTCACCATGTAGGCCAGGATGATCTGGATATCTTGATCTTGTGATGTGCCTGCCTCGGCCACCCAAAGTGCTGGGATTACAGGCGTGAGCCACTGCGCCTGGCCCTGTATGGATTTTATTTGGCCATTCATTCAAACAAACTGAAAACATTTAAGAGAGAATTGGGCAAATTTGAAATATGTATGTCTGATGGTATTAAGGAATTATTGGTGTTTTAGGTGTCATAGTGGTACTATGATTGACATTATATGAATTTGTAACATATGATATCTAGAATTTTTTTCAAAATAATCCCAGGTTGGGTGGGATGGTGGTGGGGGGGCTTTACATAGAACAAGATTGGCAATGTGTTGCTAATTATTGAAGCTAGGTAGTAGGTATGTGGTGCTTCATTTTCCCCTTGTTTCTAGTTTTGCGTATGTTTGAAAATACCCATAATAAAAAGTATAAAAACAATAAACTTTAACATGAATAAATTTTTGTTGAAAAAGAACATGACATACATGAGTAAATTTGAGCTATGTTTTTTTGTAATGTAGAGAAAAAAAGAATACAAAGAAATATACACAGTTTAAAACAGTGGCTGCTTTTAGGTAGTAAGATAATTCATGAGTTTTCTCTTTAATTATCATTTATATATGTAAATTTATATACTTGCAAATTTTTTATAATGAGCACTTTTAAATTTATTTTTGTTAGTCATTCAAAATTCAAATGGTATAAGAAAGATATACAGTGAAACTAGCTCTACTTTTCATCTCTCAGTTACCCTCAGATATAACTAGTGTTACTCATTTCTTTTATTGGGAAGATGCATACTGTGTATGTATTCTTTTTTAAATTGCAAAGTGTGGTACTATACAGTGTTCTCTTGTTTCTACTTAACAATGTGTCTTGGAGATTGCACTATATTTATGCATAAAGACCTTCCTCATTCTTTCACATCTTCATAGCCAGTCCCTTCGGATGGAGATGCAGGTTTGCTACTTCAAATACTGAAATGATTAAACTCTATGAAAGTCATTTTACACATATGCAAGTATATTTGTCGGAAGAATTGTTGGAATTGCTGGGTCAGGTTATATGTATATTTGTAATTTTGATAACGTTTCAAATTGCTGTTGCTAGAGAGTGTGCGGGCACAGTATGGTAAAAAATTATAGGTTTTATTCGCATTACTCTTGGAATAAGTGTAATTGAGGATCTTTTCAGTTGTTCAAGAGCTATTTTCACTTCCTCTTTTGTGTACTCTGTTTCAAGTCTGCTGCTTTTCCAACTGTATTTTTGGGTACTTTTTAAAATAGTAAATGCACTTTATGCTTTTTGGAAATTAACCTTTTGTCTGTAGTATAAATTGCCAATATTTTCCCCCAGTTTTTTTGTCTTTTAGTTTTGAATATGGTTGGATTTTTTGTTATTTTATCATACAATTCTTTAAAATGTTACTAACAAATGGATCAGTCTTCTGGTTTTTTGTACTTGTACCTTCCTTCAGATTATTTACAAAATGATTTCTGATGTTTTACATTTAAATATTTGATGTATCTGGACTATGTCCCATTATTCAGTTAAGAAGCTCAAGTCCAACTTAATTTGGTTTCCAAGTGGCTACCACGATGTCCCACACCATTTGTCAGTTCGTCTTTTTCCCACTGATTTAAAAGGTCATCTTTATCATATTCTAAGTACTCATATGGCTTTGTGTATGTGTTTCCTGGCCTTTTCATTCTGTCCATGGAATTGTCCATGGATTTGTCTATTCACATTCCAGCACCTTAGTTTGAATTATTGTAGCTTTATCATATATTTTTTAAATTTTTGTGATGAGTCATCCTTTACTCTTGAATTTTCCTGGCTTTTTTCTTGATTATTTTTGCTTCTCTTTTAAAAATTTTTTTATTTTCTCACCACTATACTAACAAGGACCTTTTTTTTTTTTTTTGATGGAAAGTCTAAAATCAGCTTGTCCAGTTCAGTGAAAAATCATTTTGGCATTTTTATTGGTTTTAAGTTAGGAAGCATTGATTTTTTTTTTTTTTTTTTGAGACGGAGTCTTGCTCTGTCTCCCAGGCTGGAGCACAGTGGTGTGATCTCGGCTCACTGCAAGCTCTGCCTCCTGGGTTCACGCCATTCTCCTGCCTCAGCCTCCCGAGTAGCTGGGATTACAGGCGCCCGCCACCACGCCCAGCTAATTTTGTGAATTTTTAGTAGAGACGGGGTTTCGCTGTGTTAGCCAGGATGATCTCGATCTCCTGACCTCGTGATCTGCCCTCCTTGGCCTCCCAAAGTGCTGCGATTACAGGCGTGAGCCACCACGCCCGGCCAGAAGCATTGACTTTTTAATGCTGTTACTATATCCTCTCATATATCATGACAAGACCTTCTGTGTGTTTAAATCTTTTGTTTTCCTTGTTAGCATTTACATGTTTCCTTTATTTAGATCTTGTCTAAACTTTCTACCTTTCTTATAAACTTTATTTCTAGATTTTTCATTTTTATTGGTGTTATAAATGCTTCGATTATATCTTGTGATTATTGTTCGTACATGTGACATCTAAAGTTTTGTATATATATTCATTTTGTGACTACTCATCTTTTAAAATTCTTTGTTTCTAATGTAGTTTTTCAGTTGCTATTCTTTGATTTTCAAGGTATATAATTATGTCATCTACAGATAACCCTTTTCTTTCTCATACCACTAATTTTTCTCTCAAATAATATAGTATTTTCACACAGAAAATATCATTTAAAGTTACGAATTTTAACATAACGCATGCCCCTTATATTTAGCTCTATTTAAGCAAAATTTAGTGTCCTCTTAGTATGATTAGGCTTCTCAAAGTTGTACATATTCTGAACTTTTCAATAAACCTTTAAAAGATTTTTAATGTCAACTTTTTTAAAATCAGTTTCTAAAAATGAGATATTCTCATTGAAAATAAATATTTTTATTAGTGATATTTAAATATTGAAAAACTATCTCTGCTTTTTCCCTCAGAATCAAATGGCTATAGCATGTGGATCTCGAGCTCATTTAGAAAAAGAATCAATTGCTCAGGTGAGACTTCATTAATTGGCATGGGACAGCCAATTAATTGGCTTTTATTTCTTTTTTTATATATATATCTGGCAAGAAACTGGCTTTTATGTCTAATCTCTTAAACATGAGGTTCCTTTCAAAAGAAATTAATGTTTTAATTGTGGAAAGGTTATGAAGGATTGGCACATTTTAGAATTGATTTTTTTTTAAGCATATACAAGAAGATGTGGACTTCGCTTTGCCTTAGGATGGAAGCAGTTCTTTTTAATATATTTTTAAGATAAAGAGAATCTGTTCAGTAATAAAACAAACTTTAAATTACGCTTTTTTTTTTTTTTTTTTTTTGGAGACGGAGTCTCCCTCTGTTGCCCAGGCTGGAGTGCAGTGGTGCGATCTTGGCTCACTGGGCAACCTCCACTTCCTGGGTTCAAGCAGTTCTCCTGCCTCAGCCTCACAAGTAGCTGGGACTACAGGCGCACACCGCCACACCTGGCTATGATTTTGTATTTTGGTAGAGACAGGGTTTCACTGTGTTGCCCAGCCTGGTCTTGAACTCCTGAGCTCAGGTAATCCGCCTGCCTCAGCCTCCCAAAGTACTAGGATTAAAGGTGTGAGCTACTGCGCCCAGCCTAAATGATGCATTTTTTAACCAATCAACTTGCCTTTATTTTTTTCTAACATTGGCACAGTTAAGTGCTTTATTTTGAATTTTATTCAGTTAAAAATTTTTTTTTAACCTCATTCCTCTTAGAAAAACACTATCACTATACCTTAAAATTTCACAAGTTTGCAACTGCCCTTTTAGGGTGTAAAAATGTCACTAAAGATGTTCAATTCTTCATTTTGTAGGTTATGCTAGAAAAACTAGAGTAACAATTTCCCAGGTCCCTCTTACGCACATGAGGCTTTGAGAACCAGTAGAATAAAAGGTTGAACCTTTCCCCCAATGATTCGGAAGAGAGATATGTAGAAATTTTAATTTTTAAAAAAGGTATATTGATGACAGAGTGACAAAAACCTTTTAAGGATTATATTGAAGTACAAAAACCCAGACTCTCTTTTTATTTTTTGTTTATTTATTTTTGAGACAGAGTCTCGCTCTGTCACCCAGGATGCAGTGCAGTGGCGCAATCTTGGCTCACTGCAACCTCTGCCTCCCGGGTTCAAGCAATTCTTCTGCCTCAGTCTCCCAAGAAGCTGAGATTACAGGTACACGCCATCATGCCTGGCTAATTTTTGTAGTTTTAGTAGAAGAGGTTTCACCATGTTGGCCAAGCTGGTCTCAAACTCCTGACCTTAGGTGATCCACCTGCCTTGGCCTCCCAAAGTGCTGGGATTACAGGCATGAGCCACCACGCCCGGCCTTCTTTTTTTGTTTGTTTTTTTTGTTTTTATGAGACAGAGTCTAACTCTGTCACCCAAGTTGGAGTGCAGTGGCGCAATCTCGGCTTACTGCAACCTCTGCCTCCCGGATTCAAGCGATTCTCCTGCCTCAGCTTCCCGAGTAGCTGGGATTACAGGCGTGCGCCACCACACCCAGCTAATTTTTGTATTTTTAGTAGAGGCAGTTTCACCATTTGGTCTCGAACTCCTGACCTCATCATCTGCCCTCCTTGGCCTCCCAAAGTGCTGGGATTACAGGTGTCAGCCACCACGCCTGGCCTCTTCTCTTTTTTTTAGAAGTAATTATTTTACTAGCACCTAGTCTAGTATTCTATGTATCCTAGAGATTCTCACTGATGTTTGAAAAAGGTTAATCTGTTAACCATAGAGAATAGCACACTCCTAGATATTTAAAATGGGAAGAGAGCTTAGAATTAATCCTGCTTCATCAGTTTAACAACGCACGGGGGATAAGAAAAGGAAAAGTATGTGTCTAAGATCTTCAGCACATTTTATATATATGTGTGTATAATTATAAAATAGTATATATATGTATAATTATAAAATAGTATATATATAAAATTGTAGTAGAAACTATTAAATACTAAATTCCCACAATAGGAAATACAGCTATAGCCCTAGATGAAATGTGCAGCCAGTAAAGCTGATGATAATGGAGACTATTTAATAACATGGGATAAAACCTGAAATATTAGGTTGTTTGTAAAAAATAGTATGATATTATAAATACAGTTATCTGTGTTGAAATAACAAATAGGCTGGACACAGTGGCTCACACCTGTAATCCCAGCACTTTGAGAGGCCGAGGCAGGCGGATCACCTGAGGTCAGGAGTTCAAGACCAGCCTGGCCAACATGGTGAAACCTCATCTCTACTAAAAATACAAAAACTAGCTGGGTGTGGTGGCGCCCACCTGTAATCCCAGCTACTTGGGAGACTGAGGCAGGAGAATCACGTGAACCCGGGAGGCAGAGGTTGCAGGTGAGCTGAGATCAGGCCACTGCACTCCAGCCTGGGCGACAGAGTAAGACACCTCCTCCTCAAAAAAATAAATAAATAAATAAATAAAATAAATAAAAATTTGTTTTTGCACACTAAAACAGCTAATGAAAATAGATCAATACTAATTTAATGGTTTTTTAAGTACTTTTTTTCTTTCTTTTTTTTTTTAAAATATATTAATGAGATGAGAAAGGATAATCTACTTGGTGAAGGAAAAAAGATAGTTTGGAAAAATAGCCAAATACACTTAGGAGCCAGTGAGTAATATAGGCAAGAGATAGTTCTTGTATTTGTTGGTGGTGGCTGTAGAAAGGAGCCATGTGTTTTGGTTTTGTTTTTCATGGTGTAAATTCTTTTCACTTAGAACTTGCATTGGTTGAAAACTCTGAATTTTTCCTAGAAATACACTAGTATTTAAATGAGACTTATGCTATGGTCTAAATCTTTTACCTAGTACTGCTCTTAGCCAGGTATCAAGGGATCAATCGCAGGAACCACATATTTATAATTCATCTTGTCTCCATCCATCCATTCTTTCAGCTCTAAAACCAAGTGTTTGGTTTAGTGTTCTTGATTCCCACAGAATTGGCTGCCATTCTATAGAAAGAAGGGATAACCTTTGATACTCACTAGAGATCATTGGTTGTCCGCTGCAGATGCTATGACAACTACTGCTCAGTAGGCTTGTTCAAGTCCAGCTTATTCTTATAGAATCATAGCTGTCTCACAAAAGGTTGTCTCCAAGAAGGCACAAGACATGCATCCGCCTCATGTCTAGAAAACTGCAGCATGGCTTTCCATTTCCCTTCGTGTGCTGTCAGTAATAAACCCCTGCATGGTGATCAATCTGTGGACAATGAGAAAATTATAAAAGAACTAATCAAGATAGCAAATGACAACTTCGGTAGCTTATTGCCTAATGTTCAGAAACATCTTTCCTTGATATTTTTCTACATTTCTCAATTATTCTACCACCTCTTTTACTGCTCCCTTGGAAGACAAACATGACACTGCCCTGATAGAGTCTTGTATCATCCTTAAAAGTGCTTACATTCCCATGTGTTCTGTATAACGGTAATGTTTATATATGGTCTGGCTATTCTTGAATTTATCATTTTAAAAGGATTCAAAAATAGAATCCATTAGTGGTTACTTAATGTTTTTAGTTTTTGTTTAAAGAGTCTTTGCTTAAGTCCTGGGACTTCTTTGAACTTCTTATTTTAAGTTAATGAAATTAGAAGTCACCTTTAAATTTCACCTGAATTAATTTCTTGTTTACATTTTATAAACATTGAAGATACTAGCGTTAACACTGAAACAGTGAAAATTGTTTTCCTTAATGTTTTAAATGGCCATTTCAGAAGATCATATAAGCCTTCTCTCTTTTAGTAGCTTCACTTAACTAAATAAGTCTATCCTATATTTTAGGTATCTTCTAAATTTTAAGATATTTTGCAAAGTTCTAAAAACAAAAACAAGATTATCTTGTTTGTGACTAACCTTGTTAAGCTTTTAAATATGTTAGAAATCAAATAACTTAAGGTCTTCATGTGAACTCTACATTTTTCTGCTTTTTAAAAAATAGCCATTATCCTAAAGCAAACAAAAATCCTGTTATTAACATCCAAGCCAGAGCAGTCATGAATAGTTTTATTTGCGAACAAATAAGCTCACTCAAATCACATTAAAAATCACTCAAGGAGAATAATTTATAGGTATTGTTTTTCTACCTTTAATTTTTATTTTTCTATCTTTCAATTTCTATTTGTTCCTTTCCTAAGCATAAGTGCTCTTTTGGAGGTTTAATCAGTCAACCAGTATTTATTGGAAGTATTTTGTATGGAAGGCACTGAGCAAGCTGTTGTGAGATTCCTAAAGTATTTTAAGATGAGGTTTCTGCCCTATCTACTTAGAGAGGTAAGACATATTTACATCAACCCATAACTAATGATTCTAGATGATAAATGAGAAGTGCTAGATCATTTTTAAAAGTTTGTTTTACATACCATATAGATAAGTATTTTATTCTTCCTTTCCTTCCTGCCCTATTTAATACATAAGTAAAATTGTGGTCAGGAGAGTAAAGTAAGCTTTCAAGCTTTCTTCCTGTATGAAGAACATTATTGAGTTCCTGTTATTTTCTGTGCCAAACACTTCGCTATATTCTTTAAAATAATCTCATTTAATCCTTATAATAACTTTGTGAGGTAGGCATTATTCTCATTTTATCAGGAAATGGACTTAGAGGGCTGAAGTAACTTGTTGAAGGTCACCCTGCTAATTAGTAACGGAGCCAGGATTCCAATATAGGCCTCCTAGTTTGGTGCTTTTTCTTTTCTTTTCTTTTTTTCTTTTTTTTTTTTTTTGAGTTGGAGTCTCACTCTGTCACCCAGGCTGGGGTACAGTGGCGCCATCTCGGCTCATTGCAACCTGTGCCTCCCAAGTTCAAGCGATTCTTCTGCCTCAGCCTCCTAAGTAGCTGGGACTACAGGCGTGTGCCACCATGCCTGGCTAATTTTTGTATTTTTAGTAGAGATGGGGTTTCGCCATGTTGGGCAGGCTGGTCTTGAACCCCTGACCTCAAGCAATCCACCTGCCTCGGCCTCCCAGAGTGCTGGGATTACAGGTGTGAGCCACCGCACCTCGCCTGATTTGGTGCTTTTTCTTTGTTACTCTGTTCCACTGTGGTTCTGTTTGGTGTTGATGGAAAAAGCCATGCAAAGGAAGAACGATACTAAAAATTATAATTTTGAAAAGCAAAAGCCAAAAGGAGGAAGGGACCTTTATCCCATAGTATGAGATATTAAATGTTCTAATAGACTCTTAATAGGTTGCTTATGTATGTAAGTAACGCATCATTACTTGAGTCTATTGCCTTAACTAAGGAACATTTTAAAAGATCGTGTCTTAAAGAAGCTGGGTATAGTGGCACACGCCTGTGATCCCAGCTGCTCTGTAGGTTGAGGCAGAAGGATCACTTGATCCCAGGAATTTGAGGCTGCAGTGAACCATGACCACACCACTGGACTCTAGCCTGGACAACAGAAGGCGTCTCTGTCTCTAAAAAAAATTTTGTTATTTTATTTTTTAGAAAGATCCTATCTTTTACTAAATCTTAAATGTGAAAGTCTGGAATCCAGTGATAATAATCTTATGTTCTTATGTTTTAAAATGTGCTATGTTTTATGAATAATGGAATATTCTGTTACTACTAATAAAATTAATCATCAGTAACAGTAGTGAAACTTCAGATGGGATTAAAACCTACTTAATCTTAATATCCAAAGTATTAAAGAACTCAATATTTTAAATGTATTTAATTAGATCTCTGGCATGCTTAGAAAGACCAGGTGTTTGTTTCAAACTCCTTTCTAGTCCATAACCTTCATGATACTCTGCTATACATCTTCTGTCAATATTCTCATTAGTTAAGTATCAACTGCAGGCTTATATCTGTGCTTTGTTTTGTCAATACATCCTGGAAACTGACAGCTTTTTTGAAACTGAAATACATGTGGGGCAAAGCAGCATAAAATATGTAAGTAAACAAGACGTTCTCCTTGCTCACAGCAGCAGCCCCAAACCTGTTTCTCCTGGTAGGCTAAAGCCCTGGCCGCTTGTCTGACTCAACCTCCAGGAAATGAGTAACTGCTTCCTAGTGCCTCTACTCTGCTCCAAGCAGTAGGCATTCTTGCTGTTTCTTTAATATACTTTGTTGGTGAAGCTCATGGAACAGTGGTGTTCTTATGTAAGATCTACCAGTCAATTAAATATTAAAATACAGTTGTCTACAGCCAGGTGTTTTCAGTGTCTCCTTTACAGATGAATGGAAAAGTCATTTATATTTTGTCTTTGTTTTCAGCGTTCTTACTTCCGTACTCTTCTCATGTATGGGTTCCACTTTCTGGTGTGGTTCCTTTGTGTCAAAGGAATCAGGGACACACAGTGTGGGTTCAAATTATTTACTCGAGAAGCAGCTTCACGGACGTTTTCATCTCTACACGTTGAACGATGGTAGGTTTCTGACTGGAATGTATCCAGTCTGTCTTATGACCCAGCCATCTTCTAGGTAATGAGAAACAGCCCTGTATATTTATAATGAACATGTAGATTTAAACAAAATTGACAATAATGTATGTAAACTTGATCTTGCCTTTATACTTTTCCTGAGTTGGATCTTATTTTGAAAATACACAAACCCAACAATATGGTATAAAGTTATGTGTGTTCACCTTAATTGTAGACAGTAGAAATTGAGTGGCCTGAAAACATTTTTTTTCCTTTGAAGAAAAAAGAAAAAGCTCAGAAACATCAAAACAGAATAGGGCACCCATTTTCTCTTTTCTTCCTTCTACGGAAGATAAGGTGTCTTTCCTAAGACCGATCTTTTGACCTCTACATCTCCTTCCACCTTGTCAAAACCTAATCCTGTCCATGTATTTCATCTCTTGTGTATTCAGCCTTTTCCCTTCCATCACATCTTTCCCAGAACCCTTTCCATTGACCCTGCTGTGCCCTTCCAGCTCTAGCCCTGTCTCCTTCACAAGCAACCTTCTCTTGAAAAAGTGTTTTATATTCACTGGCTTTGTTTTCTTGCTTCCCACTCACTCCTCACCCCACCTTCTTCATATGGATTTTCTTCCATGCCTCATCATTTTTTTTTTTTTTTGAGTTTCGCTCTTGTTGCCCAGGATGGAGTACAATGGCAGGATTTCAGCTCACTGCAACCTCCGCCTCCCGCGTTCAAGTGATTCTCCTGCCTCAGCCTCCCAAGTAGCTGGGATTACAGGTGGGCGCTACCACACCCAGCTAGTTTTTGTATTTTTAGTAGAGATGAGGTTTCACCATGTTGGCCAGGCTGGTCTTGAACTCCTGACCTCAGGTGATCCACCCAAAGTGCTGCGATTACAGACGTGAGCCACTGCACCCAGTCTACTTCATCTTAACATCTAGCCACCTCTATGTCATTGAAGCCAGTGGTCATGTTAAATGACCACTTGTCACACTTAACCCATCAGCAGCATTTGATACTCCTGAGCTCTCTTTTGAAATATACTGGAGATACAGGTGGCTAGCACTGTTGTACAGAAGCTGAAACCCTGACATCAGCCCTGACATTCTCCACATGCATATATCCAATCCATGACAGGGCCTGTTGATTTTAGCTTTTGTGTTCCTCCATTTCTCTCCATCTCTACCACCGCCATCCAGAACACCATCCTTCTCCATACTACCATGCTGTAGCCCACAAGGTCTTTGCAAACTTAAGTGTGATCAATCATATGCACCTCTTCTGCTTATATTCCTTCATGGGCTTCCCATGGTCTTTAGTCTGGCCCCACCT
Source organism: Homo sapiens (assembly GCF_000001405.40). Lineage (NCBI taxonomy): Eukaryota > Metazoa > Chordata > Mammalia > Primates > Hominidae > Homo > Homo sapiens. Next base: position 36,964,244 of record NC_000013.11, on the reverse strand, counting down.
GTGTCTCCACATGCGGACTCTTTTCTTTTCTAACCACGCCCCTTCTCACCTTCTCCTTCAGATCTTCCTTAGGGTAGCCTGCCCTCACTCTCTAAAGATAATATAATTAGCTCGGGTGCCCCTAATTATATCCTGTTGCAGTGCCATGTGCTGTATTCATAGCACCTATGACATTTGTAGTTTTTTCTTATATTTGTGTAATTACTTAATGTTTCTTTTTCTCGATTAAAGCATAATCTTTCTCCATGAGAGCAAGAGTCACATTTAATTTTACTTATTAGTATATCCCACTATCTAATATCATGCCCAGCACATAGTAGGTACCCAGTAAATACTGTTGAAAGAACTAATACTTAGTCATGGGTTCTGTGTGAATCCTGTTCATGTTGGGTATCTGCATGATTATGCCAGTATATGTCCATTTTTATACTCTCTACAATTTTTGTGCATCTGTTTTCAAAGACCTGTTGTCTTCCTAGAAATATATGCCATATAACCCCCAAAATACTACTTTAAAAAATGTATTTTCAGAATTATCATTCAGACTTTTTAAAATCTTGTTTTTCTAGATTAAAACATTTTAAGTAGTCTACATTAGTTGTCAAATTTAGATATGTGTTTTTATTATGTTGAAAAATAAAATAAACTCATAGTTAATAGACTTCGAAATCAGAAAATCTAATTTAAGAAACGACTCTAGAAGTAAAGCCCTCTGTCTGCATTAGCTATTTTTCAGTCAGCTATTGCTCCAGAACTAGGGTCAGAGATGCAGGTTCTTTGTGGTTTGAAAGGAAGAATTTAGAAATTGAGAATACTATTTTTCGTTGTTGAGGATCTTTCATTTTTGTTGAAATATAAAAGGTTAGGATTGATAACTTAAAAATCATGAAGCTTCCCTGTCAGGATTGTTCTAGGGCAGCATTGTTTAATAGAAATATGAGACAAGAGGCAAGGCATATATGTAATTTCAAATTTTCTATTAGCCACATTTAAAAAGTAAAAAGATGGCTCATGCCTGTAATCCCAGTTCTTTGGGAGGCCAAGGTGGGGAGGATCACTTGAGGCCGGGAGTTAAAGACCACCCTGGAAAACATAGCAAGACCCTGTCTCCAGAAAAAAAAATTTTTTTAATTAGCTTGGTGTGGTGGTGTGCACGCCTGTAGTCCCAGCCACTCAGGATACTGAGGCAGGAGGATCTCATAAGCCCAGTTTAGGCTGCAGTGAGCTATGATTGCACCACTGTACTTTAGCCTGGGCAACAGGGTAAATCCTGTCTCTTAAAAAAAGTAAAAAGCTGATCAGATTTACTTGTTATCCAATATATTTCCAAGATATTGTCATATCACCATGCAATCAGTATGAAAAAAGTTGAACTATTTTACATTATTTTCTTTGTACTATATATTCAAATTTACAGCACATCTCAATTCAGACTAGCCACATTTCAAGTGCTCAGTATCCTCATGTGCTGAGGGGCTGTTGTATTAGACAGCAGTTCTTGTGGGGTTAAGTTAAAGAACATTAATGGGGTTTTTTTCTTTTTTTAGTGTTAATGTTACATGCAAGCCTTTTATTTATTTTGTGTTAATTGACATAAGATTGACCTCACTTAGTGGCTGGGGATGGTGGCTTACAGTGGTCATCCTAGCACTTTGGGAGGCTGAGGCAGGTGGATTGCTTGAGTCCAGGAATTTGAAACCAGCATGGGCAACAATGGTGAAACCTGTCTCGGTTTGTTTTTTGTTTTAATTTTATTAGGGAAAAAACAAGATTCACCTCACTTAAAATTTTAACTGCTCACATTTTTCTTTAGGGTACATTATGTTTATTTGGTGCCTCTAAAGGAGAACCACCAAGTATACATGTATCAGCTTAATGAGCAGTATACCCTTCACCACAATAATACGTCATCAGTGGTTTTTATTTAAACATCTTTGTTCCTGCACTTTAAATCAAGACTAAAGAACAATATAAGTTACAGAAACCAAGTTGTATATCTATGCCTTATTTCCAAATGTCACCTTTGACATTTGACTATTTTTTCTTAAGGATTCATTGAAATTTTTCTCAGAACTTTCAAGAAATCGAAATCAAATAGAGTTTCTAGGTACTAGAAATCTGTAAAGGAGTATACCTAAAATTAAGACTTTTGGTATCGGCTGGGCGTAGTGGCTCACGCCTGTAATCCCAGCACTTTGGGAGGCCGAAGCGGGTGGATCACTTGAGGTCAGGAGTTCAAGACCAGCCTGGCCAAAATGGTGAAACCTCGTCTTTACTAAAAATACATTTTTAAAAATTAGCCAAGCGTGGTGGTAGGCACCTGTAATCCCAGCTACTTGGGAGGCCGAGGCAGGAGAATTGCTTGAACCCAGGAGGCAGAGGTTGCAGTGAGCCGAGATCACGCCACTGCACTCCAGTCTGGGTGACAGAGTGAAACTCTGTCTCAAAAAAAGACTCTCAGTATCTCTTTGGATTCAGAACTGCAGAGTTGAGTATAGGTATGTTAAGTATATATATTCAAATATTAATATAAATTAAATGGGTATGTTAAAAACAAAAATAGATTAAAAAATTTTAAGTAATGTAAATTTGGCCTTCAAATTCAGATACATATATATACAGTTGTCTCTTGGTATCCACAGTAAATGAATTCTAGGAACATCACCCACAGATACCAAAATCTGTACAGATGCTCAAGTCTTTGCTATAAAATGGTGTACTCTTTGCATATAACCTATGCACATACTCTCATATACTTTAAATCATCTCTAGGTTACTTATACCTCATACAAGGTAAGTGCTATGTAAATAGTATGTGTTTGTTTTTTGTTGTTAGTGTTTTGGAGACAGGGTCTCATGTCACTCAGGCTGGAGTGAACATGGCTCACTGCAGCCTCTGCCTTCTGGCCTTAGGCGATCCTCCCACCTCAGCCTGCTGAGTAGCTGGGACTACAGGTGCATGCCATCACGCCCAGCTAATTTGTGTATTTTTTTGTAGAGACAGAGTTTGCCACATTGCCAGGCTGGTCCCAAAATCCTGAGCTCACGTGATCCTCCCACCTCAGCCTCCCAAAGTGCTGAGATTACAGGCATGAGCCACCGCACTCTGCTTGTATATTTTATTTGTATTATTTTTTATTGTGGTTTTCTACTGTTTATTTTTTAATATTTTCAGTCCATGATTGGTTGAATTTGCGAATGTGGAACCCATGGATATGGAGAACCAACTATGTATATAGCTTCATCTTCAGAGCTGTACTTCACCTAAATTCTTTCCATTTATGGAAGTTAAAATACTTGGGCCAGGTGTAGTGGTTCACACCTATAATCCTAGCTCTTTGGGAGGCTGAGTTGGGCAGATCATTTGGGCCCAGGAGTTCAAGACAAGCCTGGGCAACATGGCAGAACCCTATCACTACAAAAAAAAATACAAAAATTAACTGGGCATGGTGGTGGGCACCTGTAATCCTAGCTACTCAGGGCACTGAGGCAGAAGAATCACTTGAACCCGGGAGGTGGAGATTGCAGGCAAGACTCCATCTAAAAAAAAAAAAAAAGCAAATTATTAGCTAGGCGTGGTGGCACATGCCCATAGTCCCACCTACTCAGGAGGCTGAGGCAGGAGGATAGCTTGAGCCCTGAGGTCAAGGCTGCAGTGAGCACTTGATTGCACCACTGCACTCCAGCCTGGGTGATAGAACGAGACCCTGTCTCAATAATAATATATATATGTTTTTTTCTTTGAAATGAACTTTGCTTCAATGAATACTTTTTATTTTTAATCAGTGTTATAATTTTATATATTAAATAGTTAGTTTGATAGGCTTAGAATAGTAATTCCTTGCCCCAATTTCCACTCCATAGCTGTGGCCACTTTCAACTGTTTTTTGCTATTTCTTTGTGGTATTTGCATTTGTGTTCAAAATAATGGGTCTGCATAGCTATTTCTCAGTTGTTCAGTTTTAGATATTAATTTCCAAAAGAGGAAATCGATGCTAAGAACTAAAGTTCTCTTAAAGTTCTGTATACCCTCCACACGTAAACTCCAAATACAGTTTTAAAATAATTATTTTTTGTCAGTATTGATAGTCATAGCTGTGTGAAAATAATTCACATTTGAGTGCAGCATGATTATATTACCTTTCTTGTACTACTTTTTGTTTTCCCGAAGGTAATAAATGTTTGGGGTTTTTGTTTGCTTGACTTTACTATGGATCTGTTACTTACTCATGTTCAGGCTCTCAAGAGTATAATTATCCCTTACTGTGTTTAAACACAGATTCTGCATTTCTTCATTTTTGCTGGAGACATCTCAGTCAGCTCATGTCTTTCTGCTTGCTCTCTGGCCTGTGATACAGCTTGCTCCATCCTCTATCTCCATTTCCTTATTTATACCCCCATGTTAGTAAAGCACATTCCTCTATTAACTTTCTAAAAATATGAGAAAGAAACTTTTTGATTCCTTGCATGTGAAAAAAAAATTGATTCTACCCTCACATTTGTTTTATAGTTAGGTAGAGAAAGGATTATAGTCATTCAAAATGGAAATTTTTCCTCAGAATTCTGGAAACATTCCTGTATTGTCTTTGGCACTCCATACTTCTGTGAAGGAGTCCAATTCTGAATCTTGACTCTTCGCATGTTGTTTCCACCCCCTTTTGGAAGCTTTTTCTCCACAGTGTTTTGAAATATTATAATTCTAGGCCTTAATGTAGTTCTTTTTCATGCATTTTGTTGAGTATTCAGTAGGTCCTTCTAATTTTTTGTAAATTGACAAATTATAGTTGCATATGTTTAGGATACAAAGTGATATTATGATTTATGAATACAATGTAGCATAATTAAATCAAGCTAATTAATGTACATCCTTTTTTTGTGGTGGGAACATTTGAAATTTACTATCTTAGCAATTTTGAAATGTACAACACATTATTATTAACTATAATCACTACATTGTATAATAGATCTCCAAAAAAAAACCTTATTCCCCCTGTCTGAGGCTTTGTACCCTTTGACCATCATCTCCCCATCTCCCCACCCAGCCTCAGGAAACCACCATTCTACTCTCTGCCTCTATGTGTTTGATGGTTTTAGATTCCACATAAAAGTGAGAGGATATGCAACATTTGTCTTTCTGGATCTGATGCTTATTTCACTTGGCATAACTTAGCATAATATTCTCCAATTCCATCCATGTCACAAATGACAGAATTTCTTTTTTAAGGCTGAATAATATTTCTTTTTTTTTTTATTTTATTTTGTTTGCAGTTGCAAGATTTAATAGAGTGAAAACAGAGCTCCCATACAATGGGAGGGGACCCAAAGGGGGTTGCCACTTCCTGCTCGAATGCCTGGGTTTATAATCCCGATCATTGTCCCTCCCCCTGTGCTCTCAGGCGATATATGATTTGACTATTTCTTTACCTCCTGCTTTAGCCTAATTTGTATTTCAGTGAGCCCTCTTTACAACCTGATTGGTTGGGTGTGAGCTGAGTTACAAGCCCCATGTTTAAAGGTAGATGCGGTCACCTTTCCCAGCTAGGCTAAGGAATTCTTAGTCGGCCTAGGAAATCCAGCTAGTCCTGTCTCTCAGTTCCCACTCTCAACAGGAAAACCCAAGTGCTGCTGGGGAGACCACCGCTCTAACCGCTTCCTGCTGAATTGGGGCGTAGTAGGGGTCATGCAGTTGAGATTTCCTCTGGAGGGGTGCCTTCGATGCCATCAACATCGGAGCATGGGCTAGCAGGCCAGTCCAGGGGTCCATGGTAGATCTTAGTCATGCACTGCATCTGGGGCTCCATTTGAAGAACCACTTGTAGTTTTACAGCTTCAATTCTGGAAGAGACAAACTTAACAAGGAGGTTAAAAATACAGGGATTGAAATGTATGGCCTGAAGTGCAGGGGCATATGGGTGTGGGCAGTGAAAGTGGGGTTTCCTTTAGAAAAACTCCTATACATTGGGGCATCAGTATTTCCAGGAAGCCACATTCTCCATAGAAGCTCTTGGTAAGGAGAGCTAGTGGTGGTACAGCGGCATGGAGGGGGTGCGGTGAGAGTGAAAGGGGGTAAGAGAACAGTAAGGAGGAAAATATGACAAGGGAAGGCCATGGGGATTGGGGATCTGCGATTCTAGTTACTTTCCTCACGGTTGTCGCTTAAAGAGCAGGCACAGATCCTCTAGAGGTTCACAGGAATAGCTAGCGTTGTCTCCTGGATTTTCGGTTTCCTTTGGCAGTATCCAGGGTTTGACTCAAGTGTGATGTATCCAAGACTCCACACCAGCCACTTTAAACGCGGTTGGGGTAGATAAAAGGACTGGATAGAGTCCTTCCCAGGATGTATCTAGGGATGCGGAATTAGAGGGAAGGGACTTGACTAATACCATGTCTCCAGGGTGGAATAGTTCCTTTCCCTCTTCTCGGGGACAGGCTTCCTGTAATGTTTTAAGAACTTGTTGATATTTGGCTAAGGAGGTGATGTCTGCAACTAACTTGGCCGTCTCTTGGTCAAGCACAAGGTCATTGGTTAGGAGTGGCTGTCTATACAGCATTTCATATGGGCTAAGTCCCGCTTTTTGGGGAGAGTTTCGGATTCCTAGTAAGGCTGTAGGCAACAGAGCAGGCCATGCAAGATGGGTTTCTTGGGTTAGCTTTTTTAGATGTCATTTGAGTGTTTCGTTCATTTTCTCGACTCTTCCTGAGGATTGTGGCCTCCAGGCGCAGTGTAAGTGATATTGTATGCCTAACGCCTGGGATACTTCCTGGGTTACCGCAGCCTTGAAAGCGGGGCCATTGTCACTCTGTAAGCCTCAGGGAAGTCCGAATCTGGGAATTATTTCATGAATTAGTGCCTTTATTGCCTCTTGGGCCTTTTCTGTCCTACAAGGGAAGGCCTCCGCCCAACCAGTGAGAGTATCTACCCAGACTAGTAGATACTGAAATCCCTGAGATTTGGGCATGTGGGTAAAATCTAGTTGCCAGTGTTCTCCTGGTAATGGCCTGTTCTTTGTTCTCCTGAAGGAGCTTGGCGATAAGGCAGGGGATTATTTCTTTGGCACACTTCACAGGCCCTGACTATCTGCTTGATAGTTTTGAAAAGTCCTGGTCCAGTAAATAACGATTTGGCCATCTGATGGGTGCTATCAATGCCTAAGTGAAAGGTCTGGTGAAGGGTTTTAAGTAATTTCCATTGGTTAGCTGCAGGCAAAAGTATTTTTCCTTCTTCGGTGGCTAGCCATCCTGAGGGGAGGAAACTATGTCCTCATGAGGTGCCTCATTCTATTTCTTCTGCTTAGTACTGGGGCTTCGTTTCCTGGAGGAGATTACCCCATACTAGGGGTCCTTCTATAAGCATTTCTAATGGAGGGTCCCGCCTTGTAGCTCTTTTGGCTTTTTTGGCTTCAATATCTGCTGGGCGGTTCCCTTCTATTTCTCTTTTCTTTCCTTTCTGATGATCCCAGCAGTGTAAGACTGCCACCTCTTAAAGCTCAGCTCGAGCCGTAACAAACACGGACCAGAGGAGTGTGCAGTTGCAAGATGTATTAGAGTGAAAACAGAGTTCCCATACAAGGGGAGGGGACCCAAAGGAGGTTGCCCAAGGCTGAATAATATTTCATTGTGTACATATACCACATTTTCCTTCCCAGTTTTTCTGTTGACAGACCCTTAGGTTGATTGGATAACTTGGCTGTTGTGAACAGCGCTGCAGTGAACATGAGAGTGCAGTTATCTCCTCAACATACTGATTTCAAATCTTTTGGATAAATACTCAAAAGTGAGATTTCTGGACCATATGGTAATTCTGTTTTTAGTTTTTTGAGGGACCTCCATACACTTTCCCATAATCACTATACTAATTTACATTCTCACCAACAGTGTACAAGGTTTCCCACTTCTCCACCTCCTCACCAGTGCTTGTTGTGTCATCTTTTTTATAATGGCCATTCTGACAGGGGCTTTAATTTGCATTTCCTTAATGATTAGTGATGCTGAGCATTTTTTCATATATCTCTTGGCCATCTGTATGTCATCTTTTGAGAAATGTCTATTCAGGTCCCTTGCCCATTTTTTAATCAAATTAATTGTTTTCTTTCTATGGAGTTGAGTTCCTTGTATATTTGTGATGTTAGCCCCTTATCAGATATATGGCCTACAGATATTTTCTCCCAATCCATAGGTTGTCTGTACAGTCTGTTAGTATTTCTTTTGTTGTGCAGAAGCTTTTTAGTTTGATGTAATCCCATTTGTCTGTTTTTGCTTTTATTGCCTATGCTTTTGGGATCCAATCTAATAAAAAACACATGGCCCAGACCAGTGTCATTTAGTTTTTTCCATATGTTTTCTTCTAGTAGTTTTACAGTTTCAGGTCTTACGTGTAAGTGTGTAAGTCTTTAATCCATGTTGAGGTTTGTTTTTGTTTTAGTTTTTTGATATAAGGGTCCAGTTTCGTCCTTCTGCATAGGGATATCCAGTTTTCCCAACACCATCTATTGAAAAGTCATGTCCTTTAGTTCTGAGAAATGTTTCTTAATCTTTTTTTTTTTTTTTTTTTTTTTTTTCACAATCTCTGTTCATTTTCTCTGCTCTCTTACAAACAGATGTGGAACCTCCTTACTAGTCCTGTAATTTTATCTTCTCTCTTCTTTTCTAGTTTTGATCTTTTGAGATTTCCTCAATTTTATTATCCAATCTTCTTTTTGAATTTTTATCTCTGCTATCAAAATTGTAATTTCCTAGAACTCTTTTTTTTTGTTTTTCAGTATTAACTTTTTAAAAAACCTATTCTTGTTGCATGACTACAGTGTCTTCCACTACCTCTGAATATCTTATTTAAAACTTTGTCATTTTCTTTACCTGCATTGTTTCTGTTGCCTCTGATTTTGTGTTTCTTTTTAACACTCATTCTTCACATGTCTATAGTATGGCACTAAAACACTCAGTAGAAGCTGTGTCCATGCGCAGAGCCTCTGATTGGTAAATTTCGCTACAGGTTAAACCAGCAGAGCTACGTGTGAGAAAGTCCCAACTGGCATTGTCTTTTGGACAGGTCATTTTCATGAAAGTAGAGTCCTTCAATCTCCTGCCTAGGAGCTGTGAGCCTGGCTGTTAGCATTCACAGAACCAACAGAGAAAAGGCATGAAGGGAAGGAAAATCTTAGATGTTCAGTGAGTCCTACTTGCAGCCCCACCTGTGTCTTCACCTGAAGACATCAGTTGAGGCCTTCAATGCCTGAGCCTCTGGGGTGCTCTGTGGCACCCTTCTCCCACTGTCCTGTCCATGTTCCCTACAACTTCCAAGGTTTTTTTTATTTTTATTATCATTTCCTCCCATCTTTGTTCTTATATGTTTATTCCATATTGTTGTGTTAATTTTGATAGGGCTGCAGGAGGCAGCAGTGGGGTTCATGTCCATCTGGTGGGTTTAACAGGGTCTCAGCATATTTTTTGTCCTTTAGGAATCTGTTAGTGAGATAACAGCTGTACCAGGAACTGAGTAAGAAAAGAAAACACAGTGGCTCAGCCCAACCCATATTTGCATAAACAAATGAAGGCATCTTAGTTGGAGAATAACCCTTATACTGTTTCCCCCTAATAACATAAGGCTCTGTATAGAAGTACTTGGTATTTTAGTTAAAATGTTTGCTTAGGTAACAGACTGGGCACTTATAATATGATGATATGAGCTGCATTTTTTTGTATGTGTAATAAATGTCTTCTAAAATGTTTAAGAGGAGAAAGACATAATTTAATTTTGGGTCAGACACAGTGGCTCAAGCCTGTAATCTCAGGACTTTGGGAGGTCAAGCCAGGCGGATCATTTAAGCCCAGGAGTTCAAGACCTGGGATACATAATGAAACCTCTTCTCTACAAAAAATACAAAAATTAACCAGGCATGGTGGCACAGAGATGAAAATTCAAAAAGAGGGCTAGATAATAAAATTGAGGAAATCTCAAAAGAACAAAACTAGAAAAGAAGAAGATAAAATTATAGGACTAGTAAGGAATATCTGGGCCTATGCTCCCAGATGTTCAGGAGGCAAAGGTGGGAGGATCACCTGAGTCCAGGGAGGTTGAGGCTGCAGTGAGCCCTGATTGCGCCACTGCATTCCAGCCTGGATGACAGAGTAAGACCCTGTTTAAAACAAACCGAAAAACCCTTTTGGTCTAGGATTTTTTTTTTAATATAAGGTGATTTCAGTTAACCACCCCACTCTTTTTTACTCAATTGTTTTGTGTATTTGATAAGTCACTAGCTATATACTGATATCCTTAGAAATAATATATAATAATCTTTTTCAGGTTATCAAGTATCATTAGAACTAACTCAGCCCACTAGCTAATATTTTGTTTTTGTGTTAAAAGGAAAGTTAAGGGTAAAGCACCAGGCTTAATATTGAAATTATTTCTTTTTTCATAAGTATCACAATTCTAGGGGACGAAAGTTTTAAAATACAACCCACTTTTGTAAGTGGTTTTATCATAATACTTGGAATTTAAACTATTTACCTAATGGATGATTATGGTATTGTGGCAAAAAACCAAAAAATCTCCCAAATTCAAGTTGTCTGGGATTGGAGAAATCAAATATAAGTGGACTTTAGGCATTTTCTTGTCTGTATTAATAATGTTTTACACCAGGCCCTAGAAGTTTGAACTGTGCTCTGTGCAGCCTAGAAAGTGGGGACTGACTCATGGATGAAGGCAAAACAGTCAAGGACTTTAGACAGTTTCAATGACGATGAAGAAGATTTAACAGGTAGTAGTGCTTTTCTTCCTGAGCTTTAATACCAGTGAGAGAAGCAACTAGTTCAGAGAAATTTTGTAAGCAGAATCCAGGAAAACTTATGAGTCAGGATTCAGAACCTTTAAGGAAAGCAGGTTTGACCTAAGCCAAGGCACTGACTGAAAAGAGGCTTTAAGAAAGACCTTTCGTAAGTGGAAGGAAGGATACACTGGAGATTTAGACTGGAAATGGTTTTAACAGTATATATTAGGACAAGTAAGACAATATATCAGATTCCTATGTATGTATTAATTATACCCAAAGAGTATTTCAGACTAGTCCAAAGTAGCTTTTTACTTTCAATAGTTGCCAGTATTATATTGTGCAGGACACCACAGGGAAGGGGAACAGAAAAGACAAGGAAGGCCCTGGGGACACTATTAGAAAAGTAATCTGGATCCTCTGATGGTAGAAGAAAATAGGCAACCAACTCTAAAGTAATGTAAAACAGTCTCAACTAGAGCATCTCAGAGTTTTGTTTTATCAGCTGTCTGAATCAGTTGAAAATGTCAGTTCTTTACCTTGAGCTAGTCCAGTTAAGGTTAGGATTGAAAACCATCAATCTTGAAATTTTCCAGGATTAAATTTTTTCTTGGAACCCATGAGGCTAGTTTTACCTCTGTGAGTTTCTGAGTTGTAATAGAGATACAATATTATGCAATGATATTCTAAATTATTATTTGACTTGAAACTTCTGAACTACTCAGCTTTGAATTATTTGATTTCTGTGAATCTGATCTTCAGATTTATGGTATAAGCTTTATATCTGCCATGTAAGCTTCTTTAAAACATGCCAAGGTAGAGATGTAGTTGTGTTCTATTTGTCTTTAAAAATAAATATCAATATATTTTCTATTTTAGGGCATTTGATGTAGAACTACTGTACATAGCACAGTTCTTTAAAATTCCAATAGCAGAAATTGCTGTCAACTGGACAGAAATTGAAGGTGAGTATATTGTTTATTGTATGATTGTCTTGAGTCAGATAATACAGTTGTTTAGTAAAGTCAGCTGGCTTTAATGTTCTCCTTGCTCCCCTCATCAAGCCCTTCTCAGCTGTCTTGACTCAAAGATCCAGTTCCAAGGAGAATAGTACCTACTAATACCTTCCATCTGGCTTGCTGCCTTTTATATTTTTTGTCTGTTCATGGGGCCTTCAGTAGGCCTACTACCTTGTCGAAGAAACTTCAATAAAACTTCCTACAATAGACAAAGTCATGGTGATCTGAAATTAGAAGGTTGATAGTCTTTTGAGATAGATAAATTTATTTTTTGCATCACCATTTCCTATATTTTTTTTATCACTAGGTGGATATTAATTAGGTACCTGCAAACCACTATGCAAAGCTAAATAAGAAATAAAAATTTTTTTTATGGCCGAGCACCATGCCTCATGCCTGTAATCCCAGCACTTTCGGAGACCGAGGGGGTGGATCACCTAAGGTCAGGAGTTCAAGACCAGTCTGGCCAACAGGGTGAAACCCCGTCTTTACTAAAAAATACAAAAAGATGGCCGGGCGTGGTGTCAGGCACCTGTAATCCCAGCTAGTCAGGAGTCTGAGGCAGAAGAATTGCTTGAACCCGAGAGGCAAAGGTTGCGGTGAGCCAAGATTGCACCATTGCACTCCCGCCTGGGCAACGAGTGAAACTCCATCTGAAAAAATAAATAACTAAAAGTGTTTTTACTCCAAATGTCCACAGTCAATCCAGAGCCATTTAAAAACTATATCTGTACATATATCCAAAAGTATAAAGATCCCAACTCTATAATAACTTGAAATCTATCATAAATCTTAATAATTCCTATTTTAAAAGGCTTAGACAGCTCTGGCTGTATAGAATTTTAAACATATTCTAGTTTTCTCCTTACCTTAGAATGAACCTAAATTAATTCACAGTGTGGGAGCAGTTAACATAATCAACTGGAGACTTTTTCGAAGTCCAGCTCTTCTGGTGAGAGTCCTTGTTGCAGTAAACCATTATTGCTCTGTAACCTCAGATGTTTAGGGACAGAAAAAGGTTAAGAACCAATCTCGAGATTATACAAACTGTATAGTCTAGGATGAATTCAAACCTCTTTACATCTTGCTGAATCAAACTGAGTTTACAAAATCTTAGCTCATCTCCACAGTAGCTGCCTAGAATCAAAGGGGATTGGGAAGCAGGTCAAAGGATCACTCAGGGGTATCATGATCAACTTTGTTGATTTGTGTTGATCTTTGGCCAACCTAGACTCTATGGGAAGATGAGGTGGGGAAAAGTAAAAGTCCATTTTATGTTTAGTCATTTGCTTATTTGCATTACAGAGATAGTTGTCTTGTAATATGAATTGTAGGTACCTCAACTTCCTCATTTGTGGGATGAAGATAATTTTTGGCCCTGATAAACGATAATGTCTCTACAGTGCTTTGGTGGTAATGTTTTCAGAAGAAAGCTGTCATATAAATTCAGAGCAGTGAAAAAGGTCTTCTTTAAATATAAAGTATAATTAAAATGATAATGAAATGTTAAACCTTCCTCCTGATACTTTATCTGCACGTATATACTATAAGTAATGGTTATAAGAATCTGCTGTGGCTGGGTGCAGTCACTCATGCCTGTAATCCCAGCACTTTGGGAGCCTAAGTTGGGAGGATCACTTGAGCCTAGGAGTTTGAGACCAGCCTGGGCAACACAGTGAGACCTCATCTCTATAAAAAAATTGTAAAATTAGGCAGGTGTGGTGCGTGCCTCCTGTACTCCCAGCTACTGGGGAGGCTGAGGTAGGAGGACTGGATCGTTTGAGCCCGGGAGGTCAAGGTTACAGTGAGCCATAATCGTGTCACTGCACTACAGCCTGGGTGACAGAGCAAGATCTTGTTTAAAAAAAAAACAAAAAAAGAATCTGCTGTGATATGTGGATCAGATATTTAATTAGGCTGGTGTTCTTGTGTAGCCCGAGACAAAGAGGTCTGGACAAAATTATCTTAAGTCTGATCATAGGCTTTATTTTTTATCATTAAGATTGGATTTATGTAGAAATAATCATATTTATCTGTTGTGCTGTATCTTTAGTTGTTTCATATGTAATTATTTTCAGTAATGAGCACTCAGTGAGTAGTTTTTTTATTAGACTTCTAGAGCCCTCACCATATGTAGTCCTTCCTTTCTATAGTAGGGCCGTATGAAATTTTCACTATTTAGATCCTCTCAAGTTTCATTTCACTTCAAGATGTTCTGTTTTTGTTTTTAGAGAAAACCACTCCACTCACTTCAGCTTTGAAATTGTTTAACTTTTTGGTCCATGATTTAAAAAATTAAGGTGCTAAAGGCTCACAACGATCATGTAGACTGACTTTAAACTGATACGTTTTCTGCTGAGTTTATTTAAGCTAATTTGTTTTTAATTATTTTTAAATCACAGGTTCTAAATTAGTTCCATTCTGGAGCTGGCTACAAATGGGTAAAGACCTACTTTTTATACGACTTCGATATTTGACTGGTGCCTGGAGGCTTGAGCAAACTCGGAAAATGAATTAGGTTGTTTGCAGTCTTCAGTTGTGTTCTTATGCTTCAGTGTCACATTTCATTTCATTTGAAACTAAAATTTTAAGTAAAGCTGAAATAAACTTCTTGTCATTGTCTGCCTTTTGATAATTTTAAAGAAATAACTTTCCATAAGTAAAAAATTATATATCTCTTTGGATATAAATGATTTTTAAAAGATGTTTATTTAAAAAGTCAGATTTTCTTTTGTTTGTTTAGCTTCATTATCATTATAATTCTGAGAAACATAATTTTTGTAGACAGAAGCTATTCTTACCCTAAAGTGCCTGCATAACTCTCATGAACTTAACTATAAACTACAATCATGTAACAGTTTTCAGAGATTTAAAAATAAAGCTAGGGTATAAGTTTAAATGTACATAAATTTATCCAAATCAAAGAAACCTATTTCAGCCTATGAAACTTTAGGAAATTATATGTTAAAGGCAAGAATACAGACTTAGTCACAAAGGTGTTCATTTCCTTATAGTCTTACTCATCTCTAGCACTGGAGGCCAAGGTGGGAGGATCACCTGAGCCCAGAAGTTCAAGGTTACAGTGAGCTATGATCGTGCCACTGCACTCTAGCATGGATGATGGAGGGAGTTCCTGTCAATCAATTTTATAATATTAATATATTTACATAGTAACATCAGAAGCCTCTTTGAGATACTGCAAGAACTAATAGCAATTACAAAATAATGAACCCCCAAAATCAGAATTAGATTGTTTCTGCCATCTTAGAGAAACAAACTAGTAACAGTTTGACATTTATTAAGTGTTTACTGTATGCCACCCACTGTTCTAAGCACTTGATATATAATGACTCACAACAGAAGAGGAAACTGAAGCACAAAACGGTGACCTGCCCAAGGTCACATATTTAGGAAAGAGTGGAGTCATGATTGTAACCTGCATAGTCTGGATCCCAAGCCCACACTCGTTAATGACGGCTATAGTCTTCAGTTTCTGAAGGTATGAAAACTGGGGATCATATAAGTAGAAAGTTTTGGCAGTACATTGAATAAAACATTTTTGAGTAGAAAAGTAAGCTAAAAATAACTCCAGTAGTTTGAACAACAGCGATAATATCACATCTGCAGTAGACAATAAGCTTCTTGAAAATAGAAGGCTTGCCGGGCACGGTGGCTCATGCCTGTAATTCCAGCACTTTGGGAGGCCGAGGCAGGCAGATCACCTGAGATCGGGAGTTCAAGACCAGCCTGACCAACATGGAGAAACCCCGTCTCTACTAAAAATACAAAATTAGCTGGGGTGGTGGTGCATGCCTGTAATCCCATCTACTTGGGAGGCTGAGGCAGGAGAATCGCCTGAAGTCGCGAGGCAGAGGTTGCGGTGAGCCGAGATTGCGCCATTGCACTCCGGCCTAGGCAATAAGAGTGAAACTCTGTCTCAAAAAAAAAAAAAACAGAAGGCATGTCTTACTACAATTAGTATCTCCAGCACAGGGCTTAGCATATAGTAAACACTTAATAATGATGAGATGAATAAACTTTATTTACTACCAGATTTTGTGAGCATTAAAGTCACTTAAATGGATAAATCAAGAATAATAGAAAGCAAAGAGAAGAAAAGACCATGCTCATAAGAATTTTTAAGAATAAGCCTTGAGCCAAAAATAAGATCCTTAATGAAATTATAAAAAGGCAATGAAATAATTTGTTATTGCTCTTTATAAACGAGATAGAAATGCATATTTGAAGCATAATAGGAATATTGAAGGAAAGTCACGATACTTTTTATGTACTTTGTCTGTGAACACTGTAGGGAAAAGTCTGATATCATTGATGCCAGCTTACCTTTCTAAGCACAGATTTACCTAAGAGGAATATGGGACAGAATCTGAGGCAATCAGAGAGAAAAGGTAGTTTAACCTGTTAACTTACAGAATCTGCTAACAAAAACTACATGCAGCAATAGCAGAGTGAAATAGCAAAATAACAGCTACTATGTTTTTTGTTTTTTTTTTTTTTTGAGATGAAGTCTTGCTCTTGTCCCCCAGGCTGGAGTGCAATGGCACGATCTCAGCTCACTGCAACCGCCGCCTCCTGGGTTAAAGCGATTCTCCTGCTTCAGCCTCCCGAGTAGCTGGGATTACAGGTGCCTGCCACCATGCCCGGCTAATTTTTTGTATTTTTAGTAGAGATGGGGTTTCACCATGTTGGCCAGGCTGGTCTCGAACTCCTGACCTCAGATGATCCCCCTGCTTTGGCCTCCCAAAGTGTTGGGATTACAGGTGTGAGCCACTGCACCCGGCCACCAGCTACTATCCTTATAGTATGTACAAGGAAGAGTAATGAACATTTTGCATGCATTATGTGGTTTGATCAAACAACTCTATCATGCAGGTATAATTACCCGCATTTCACAGAACGAAGTAGCCAAATAATTTGCCCAGGGTTACACAAGTAGCCATTATTCATGCTTCTACTGAAATAAAAAATAGGAAACAAAGGAACATGGAGCATGATTAAAACAGTATAACCTGAGGATCCTCAGACAACTTGGCCATGTCTATGTCAAGTCTTCTCACTTGTTCTTATAGAATAAGATATATATGAAACTTATTTGACTTGAGGGTCACATATGGACAATAATGTCTCTTGACATCTGTAATCCTCTATCTCCATATAGTTATGTATGGTTGACCCTTGAATAACACAGGTTTGAACTGCACAGATCCACTTATACATGGATTGTTTTCAAAAAGTGTATTGAAAAAGTTTTTGGGGATCTGTGAAAATTTGAAATAGCAACAGGAGGTTGCTGTAAAATTATAGTAGTAAATGATAGACTAATATCTACATGTATTTTATGCATTAATGACATAACCTTTTAATATCTTTCATACTATCAAAGACTTTGATATTAGTCTATAATTTACTATATAAAATACACGTGAATCTATTCAGAGATTTATCAAAATTTATGCATACGTAGACCATACATATCCAGTTGAGAAATTTAAACAAAGATGCAGTATTAGGCTGTGCGCGGTGGCTCACACCTGTAATCCCATCACTTTGAGAGGCCAAGGTGGGTGGATCACCTGAGGTCAGGAGTTCGAAACCAGCCTGGCCAACATGGTGAAACCCCATCTCTACTAAAAATACAAAAATTAGCTGGGCATGGTGGCAGGTGCCTGTAATCCCAGCTACTTGGGAGGCTGAGGCAGGAAAATCACTTGGGGAGGTGGAGGTTGCAGTGAGCCAAGATCACGCCACTGCACTCCAGCCTGGGTGACATGAGTGAGACTCCGTCTCAAAAAAAAAAAATGCAGTATTAAATCATAACTGCATAAAATTAATAATTTCGTAGCCACCTCCTGTTGCTATTGCATGAGCTCAGGTGTTGTAAATATCCACTTATATGCTGTGTGACACTAACCATCTCCATATGAGCAGTTCATCTCTCCAGTAAATTGCATATAACAGTAGAAATTGAGCTCTTGGAGTTCTCATGTGTTTTTCATGTTTAGTGCAATACTGTAAACCTTGAATAACACCATGGGACCGATATGAAGTACCATTAGTAATGCTGGAAATACTCCCAAGAAGCAGAGAAAAGTCATGACATTACAAGAAAAAGTTGAATTGCTTGATATGTACCATAGATGAGGGCTGCAGCTGAGGTTGCTCACCATTTCAAGATAAATGAATCCAAGCCAGGCATGGTAGCTCATGCCTATAATCCCAGCACTTTGGGAGGCCGAGGCAGGCGGATCACCTGAGGTAGTTCAAGACCAGCTTGGCCATCATTGTGAAACCCCATCTCTACTAAAAATACAAGAATTCGCCAGGCGTGGTGGCGGGTGCCTGTAATCCCAGCTACTTGGGAGACTGAGGCACAAGACTCACTTGAACCCGGAAGAGGGAGGTTGCAGCAAACCGAGATTGCACCACTGCACTCCAACCTAGGTGACAGAGCGAGACTGTCTCAAAAAAATAAATAAATAGTGTAAGGACTATTGGGGAAAAAAAAAAGAAAATTTGTGAATCCATTGCCACTACTACATCTGCAGGTACAAAAATCTTGCAATTTTTGCAAAATACCTTTTCTCTCATATTGAAAATGCAGCTTTTAAGTGGGTACAGGATTGCTATAAGAAAGACATACCTATAGACTCTAATATGATTCACAAAAAGGCAAAGTCATCATATGACAAGTTAAAGGAAGGTGAAGGATCTAAAGCTGGGGAATTTAATGCCAGAAATGAATGGTTCATTTTAGAGGTTTGGCTTTTAAAAAAAAAGTCAAGATAAGGGAGAAGCAGCTTCTGCTGATCCAGGAGGTAACACACGAGTTCCCAAACACCATTAAGAAAATCATTGAGGAGAAAGGATATCTGCCTAAACAGGTTTTTAATGCAGACGAAAGTGCCCTAATCTGGGGGGTGGGGGGGTGGAATGCCACAAAGGACATTTATTAGGAAGAGAAGCAAGCACCAGGATTTAAGGCAGGAAGAAACAGGCTAACTGCTGTTTTGTACAAATGCAATCGGGTTTATGATCAGGACTGCCCTTATCTGTAAAGCTGCTAAATCCTGAAAGGAAATGATAAACATCAGCTCCCAGTCTTCTGGTTGTACAAGGAGGCCTGGACAATGATACCCCTTTCTCTGGATTGCCTGCATTGATGTTCTGTCCCTGAAGTCAAAAAGTACCCTGCCAGTGAGAAATTGCCTTTTAAGGTTCTTTTGACATTGGACAATGCCCCTGATCACCCAGAACGTCATGAGTTCAACACGGAAGGCTTAGCAGTTGTCTACTTGCCCCCAAACACAATGTCTCTAATTCAGCCTTTACATCAGGGAGTCATAGGACCTTGAAGGCTCATTACACACAGTTCTCTATAGAAAGGATTGTCAATGCTAGAACAAAAGCCCAACAGGACATGAAAGGCTGGAAGGGGTTGGGGTCTGGTGGCTCACGTCTGTAATCCCAGCACTTTGGGAGGCCGAGGTGGGAGGATCACTTGAGGTCAGGAGTTCAATACCAGCCTGGGCAACATAACAAGATCCCATCTCTACAAAAAAATTAAAAAATTAGCTGGGCATGGTGGTTGGTGCAGCCAGTAGTCCTCACTACTCGGGAGGCTGAGGATGGAGGACTGCCTGAGCCCAGGAGTTTGGGGCTGTGGTGAGCTGTCATCACACCACTGCACTCCAGCCTGGGGAACAGAGCAAGACCCTGTCTCTCAAAAAAAAAAAAAAAAAGTCTGAAAGAATTATACCATTGAAGATGCAAGCCATCGTTATAGAAAAATAAAAGCTGTGAAAGTCACCAAGTATGAAACAATAATTCCTGCAGAAAACTGTGTCCAGATGTTGTGCATGACTTCACAGGATTTATGACAGAGCCAATCAAAGAAATCATGAAAGAGATTGTGGATAGGGCAAAAAAAAAAAGATGGCAGGTGAACAGTTTTGAGATATGGATGTTGGAGAAATTCAACAGGTAATAGAGACAACACCAGTGGAGTTAGCAGAAGATGACTTGATGAAGATGAGTGCTTCTGAACCAGTGCCAGATGATGCAGAAGAAGACATACAAGAAGCAGGACTCCAATTATTGAAGTCTGCTTGTGACTTCTTTTACAACTTGGACCCTTCCACAATATGGGCACTGAAACTAAAGCAAATGGTAGAAGAAGGATTGGTACTGTAGAGAAACATTTTTAGAGAAATGAAAAAAAATCAGACCAGAATTATGATATATTAATATTTCCATGAAGTCACACCAAGGGTGCCTGCCTCTCCTGCCTCCCCTTCCACCTCCTCCACCTCTTCTGCCTCTGTCACCTGGGAGACAGCAAGACCAACCCCTCCTCTTACTCCTCAGCCAACTCAATGTGAAGACAAGAATGAAGGCCTTTATGACGACTCACTTCCACTTAATGAATGTTAAATATATTTTCTCTTACTTATGGTTTTCTTAATAACATTTTCTTTTCTCTAGCATACTTTATTGTAAGAACGCAATATATAATACATATAATTTAGGAAATATGTGTTAATACACTATGTTATCGGTAAAGTTTCCAGTCAATAGCAGGCTATTAGTAGTTAAGTTTTGAGGGAGTCAAAGTTAATGGATTATCAACTACACAGGGGTTAGCACTCCAAACCCCTGCATCGTTCAGGGGTGCACTGTACTTCTACTCGTAGTTGATTCTCCAGTTCTATGTTCCACCTTCTTTATTCAGTTATTTTATTAGTCCTTTCTCAGATTGCTATAAAGAACTACCTGAGACTGAGTAATTTATTTAAAAAAAAAAAAAGAGGTTTAATTGACTCATAGTTCCACAGGTGTACAGGAAGCATAACTGAGGAGGCCTCAGGAAACTTACAATCATGGCAGAAGGTGAAGGGCCTCAGGAAACTTACAATCATGGCAGAAGGTGAAGGGCCTCAGGAAACTTACAATCATGTCTGGAGAAGGAGGAAAAGAGCAAACGGAGAGGCGCCATACACTTTTAAACATCCATGTCTCTTGAGAATTCACTCACTATCATGAGAACAGCAAGGGGAAAATCTACCACTAAGATCCAATCATCTGCCACCAGGTCCCTCCTCCAACACTAGGGATTACAATTTGACATGAGATTTGGGTGGGGACACAAAACTAAACCATATCAGTTATAATTTCCTTAAGAGCAGAAACTTTGCCTTTATTTTATTTGTTTGTCTCTACAGCATCCTAAATTGTGATTGTTCAATAAAGGAAATGGTTAGATAATGCTACCATTTCAATTCACTCATCGAAAAAATAATTCTATGAACGAGATTATCCATTTTATTGACAATTAAATCCCCTGAAGAAGAAGTCTAGAGGACTGCTTTGTTTTTGTTTTTGTGCAGTCTCAAAAATGCTTTGATTGTGTTTTTGTGCAGTTTTTTGTTTGTTTTTGTGCAGTCTCAAAAGTGCCAAATCCACAAATTGATAAATTTATTTTGTTAATCCAATAATAGACTCTAATAAGTGATATCTTTTTGATTCGCTGATTTTGAAGTAAAACTCCAGTTAGTATTTTGATGGTCACAAAACATAATACTTTACCTAGATTTGATCCTGTCTAAATTCTGATAGTACTGAGAAAGGACAAAGGGGAACAAAAGAGGTCCTTACCTGAGCAGTATCACAATGCACCTCAAAAATACTGCTGGGGCCAGGCGCGGTGGCTCACGCCTATAATCCCAGCATTTTGGGAGGCAGAGGCGGGTAAATCACTTGAGGTCAAGAGTTTGAGACCAGCCTGGTCAACATGGCAAAACCCTGTCTCTACTAAAAATACAAAAATTAGCCGGGCCTGGTGGTGGGCACCTGTAATCTCAGCTACTCGGGATGCTGACGCAGGAAAATCACTTGAACCCGGGGGATGAAGGTTGCAGTGAGCCAAGATCATGCCACTTCACTCCAACCTGGGTGAAAGAGCGAAACTCCATCTCAAAAAAAAAAAAAAAAAAAAAAAGACCAAAAATACTGCTGGGGAAAACAAAGTCATAAGGTCTATATCTCTGACCCATTAATATTACAGTAACAACATGTACCTCTGTGCAGGGTAGATGAATGTCACTGCAGCTTTTTCTATCATCGCAGAAATAGTAAAACCTAGGGCCCCAAAGCTATAGTAATTGCAAAACATGTCCCAACTCTCCAGTGGTGTGAATTTATTTAAATCTTTTGAAATAAAATTGTAAGGAAAATAAAAGTCCTTAACATCGCACTATATACACTATGAAGTGTAAGTCCTTCCATCATCCACTCAATGATTGAATGCCTAGCAGTTCTACTTTAAAAAAATGTCTATTCTCGAGGGATCTACTTAGAAAGAAAGGAATATGTTAAACATTTAAATTGCAATGCAAATAATATGAGATCAAGAAGCCAGATATGTTCTGAGGAAGGATGAATCTTTGCAGTCTAAAATTAGGAAAATTTCCCCTAAATTGTTGCATCTCTATGGGACTCCGCATGCACAATGCACAACTACAATGTAAGTAAAATCACCTCCATCTGGGAAGATAGTTTATATACTGTCAGTTCCTTTTGATCTTTGTCATTCTTTTTCGTTTTTTGCCTTTTTTTTTTTTTTTGAGACGGAGCCTTGCTCTGTCTCCCCTGCTAGAGTGCAGTGGTGTGATCTCAGCTCACTGCAATCTCCTGGGTTCAAGCGGTTCTCCTGCCTCAGCCTCCCAAGTAGCTGGAACTACAGGCACGTGCCACCATGCCTGGCTAATTTTTGTATTTTTAGTAGAGACGGGGTTTCATCATGTTGGTCAGGCTGGTCTCAAACTCCTGACCTCAGATGATCCGCCCATCTTGGCCTCCCAAAGTGCTGGGATTACAGGCGTGAGCCACCATGCCCAGCCTGATCTTTGTCAATCTTCTGAAACAGGATAGCAATCCTACACATTTATATTTTACATTGTATTTTTTGAGATCTATAGAAATGTTTTCTTATGAATTTTAGTGAAAGGGCCAGTTGAATCATGATAATTATATGATGAGGAAAAAAACAAGTAAAGTAAGGAATTCCACTTTTGTGAAGACAGAGTAGTAGATGTAATTTCCCCTATTCCTCCTACTAAGTACAACTAAAAACACTGGACATTATATATACAACAAACATAATTATACTCTGAAAGGTGAAAAGAAGAAGGCAAACTGGCTAGGGAACTTGAGGCCCAAGGAATGACATAAAGGTGAGTTCCTTGTTTTTTGTTTGTTTGTTTTTGTTTTTTGTTTGTTTTGTTTGTTTGTTTGTCTCTTATATCCCAGACTTGAAGCTGAAGCTGGCAACCTGGAAATGCCAATGGACATGGACAAAAAGAAAAAGACCCAATAAATGCCTCTCTTGCCAAAAGACCGAGAAAGGGGCAGGCTTACAAGACAAAAAAACATTTAGACAAGAACTATTCTACTCCAACCAATACTACAGAAAAGTGGTGGCCACTCCCCAACTGATACCAGCAAAGACTGAGCGGGGAGACAACTCAAATTCTAATGAGGCTGTAATTAGTCACCAAACACCCCACTGGGGTGATGTCAGAGAAGACAAGTAGGGTGCAGGACTTTTATCCCTGCTAGCCTGTAATGAGTCCTCCACTCCTATGATACCAGTGGAGACCATCAGGGAGGTGTGGTCTTCACCCCTACCCGGCAGTAACAAGTGTTTATTGGGGTGGTGTCAGAGGAGGCCAAGCAGAGAGTTAGTCATGTGTCAGAGTAGGTTTTGTTTCTCTCGTGGCCCAGTGGTGATGAGGCTGCCCCCATCACAGTGACAGTGAAGACCTTGTAGTAAGCCAGACCTCTCACCCCTGCCCAACACCAGTAGTAGTCCTCCTCTCTGGTGTCAGTAGAGACCTAGTGGGGCATCTGTACTTACACCTCTACCTGGCAATGGAGTGGTATCAGGAAAAGCCAGCTAAAACAAAAGGTTCAAATAAGACCCAGAGTCTCCAAACATTTAGAAATCCAGATTTAAAAGGAAATCACTTATCAAACCAAGAACCAAGTAAACTCACTTGAATAAAAAAGGATAATCAATAGATGCCAATAATAAGATTATAGAGATAATAGAATTATCTGGCCAAGATTTTTTTAAAGCAGCCATGACAAAACAGTTTCAATGTAATTGCAAACGTTCTTAAAGCAAATGAAGAAAATAGAAAGCCTCAGCAAATAAATAGAAGTATAAAGAAGAACCAAGTGGAAATTTTAGAACTTAAAAATAGAATAACTGAAATGAAAAGCTCAGTGAATGAACTTGATAGTGGAATGAAGGGGACAGAGGAAACAATCAGTAAACTAGAAGATAGAACAATCTGATCAAAAGAGAGAAAATTGAACAAAAAATACAGAACCTCAAAAACTTGTGAGACTATATATAAAAAAGATCTAGCATTTGTGTCATTAGAATCCCTGAAAGGCTGAAAAAATACTTGAAGAAATATTGACTGAAAACTTCCCAAACTTGACAATAGATGAAAACCTACAGGTTCAGCTGTTAATAGGATCAACCCAAAGATATCCACACCAAAACACATCATACTTAAACTGCTGAAAACCAATGACACTTTATTTATCAGAAGAAAACCATTAGAATGACAGATAATTAATTTATCATCAGAAATCATGGTGATCAGAAGGACATGTCATAATATTTTTCCATTGCTAAAAGAAAGAAACTATTAACGGAGAATCCTATACTTAGCAAAAAAAATAATAATTCAAGAATGAAAGGGAAATCAAAACATTCTCAGAGGAAAGAAAGTTAACGGAATTTAATACCCACAGACCTACTGTGAAAGAATGGCTAAGCAAAATTCTCTAAATAGAAAGGAGACAATAAAAAAGGGAACCTTGGCTAGTTTCTAAGGATCATGAGCGAGTCAGGATTCCTGATCCAGAGACAATGGCCCTGATGGGATGGAGCCTGAGGGCATCATCGAGAGTAACTGGAATGAGATTGTTGACAGCTTTGATGACATGAGCTTCTCGGAGTCCCTCCTCTGTGGCACCTATGCCCATGGTTTTGGGAAGCCCTCTGACATCCAGCAGTGAGCCATTCTACCTTGACCAAGGGTTATGATGTGATCGCTCAAGCCCAATCTGGGACTGCGAAAATGGCCACATTTGCCATATTGATTCTGCAGCAGATTGAATTAGATCTAAAGGCCACCCAGGCCTTGGTCCTAGCACCTACTCGAGAATTGGCTTAGCAGATACAGAAGGTGATCACGGCACTGGGAGACTACATGGGTGTCTCCTGTCATGCCTGTATTAGGTGCATCAACATGTGTGCTAAGGTACAGAAACTGCAGATGGAAGCTCCCCATATCATCATGGGTACCCCTGGCCGTGTGTCTGACATGCTTAACTGGAGATATCTGTCTCCTAAATACATCAAGATGTTTGTACTGGACGAAGCTGACGAAATGTTAAGCCATAGATTCAAGGACCAGATCTGTGACATATTCCAAATGCTCAATAGCAACACCCAGGTAGTTTTGCTGTCAGCTACAATTCCTTCTGATGTACTTGAGGTGACCAAGAAGTTCATGAGGGACCCCATTCGGATTCTTGTCAAGAAGGAAGAGTTAACCCTGAAGGGTATCCACCAATTATACATCAACGTGGAACAAAAGGAGTGGAAGCTGGACACAACTGTGTGACTTGAATGAAACCCTGACCATCACCCAGGCAGTCATCTTCATCAACACCTGAAGGAAGGAGGACTGGCTAACCCAGAAGATGCATGCCCAAGATTTTACTGTCTCTGCCATGCATGGAGATATGGACCAAAAGGAACGAGATGTGGTCATGAGGGAGTATCGTTCTGGCTCTAGCAGAGTTTTGATTACCACTGACCTGCTGCCCAGAGGCATTGATGTGCAGCAGCTTTCTTTAGTCATCAACTACGACCCTCCCACGAACAGGGAAAACTATATCCACAGAATCGGTCGAGGTGGACAGTTTGGCCATAAAGGTGTGGCTATTAACATGGTGGCAGAAGACAAGAGGACTCTTTGAGACATTGAGATCTTCTACAACACCTCCATTGAGGAAATGCCCCTCAATGTTGCTGACCTCACCTAAGGGGTTGTCCTGCTTCCCAGCCCCAGCCAGGGTTCAGTCTCGAGGGGCTGAGGAGCAGCAGGGGTGGGGAGGGAAGGGGAGCCAAGGGATGGACATCTTGTCATTTTTTTTCTTTGAATAAATGTCACTTTTTGAGGCAAAAGAAGGAAACGTGAACATTTTAGACACCCTTTTCTTTGGGGTAGGCCCTTGCCCCAGGCACCAGCCCTTCTCCCAAAAATCACTAATCCATTTCCCCAATCTAGTAACCTCCAGATCCCAGAGAGAGCACACTCCTCACCTCAGCTGACCTCCTTTGAAAGTGATTCGAGGGACTATGTCACTCAACCTCATTTTCTGGACCAAATCTGGAGGGAGAACCCCTAAAACTCCTGAGTAAGGTTGCCAGGGGATTGTCCCCAGGTAGGGGGAAGCAGGGAACAGAAAATGGTAGCCATGTTTACATTGTGTTGTATAGCATTTATTGATTCAGGAAACAAATGCAAAATTCTAAATAAAATGTCTTAGAAACTGCCAAAAAACCAAAAAGGGAACCTTGAAACATCAGGGAGAAAGAAGGCATATGGTAAACTAAAATAAATAAATAAACTTTCCTTCTCCTTTTGAGTTTTAAAAATTGATTGTGGAAGCAAAAATTGTAACACTGATGTAGTTTTAAACGTATGCAGAGGACGTATATTAGATTGTTATAAATGAGGGAAGGTAAAGGGAGAAAAACAGATATGTTTCTATACTTCTCTCCAACTGGTAAAATAACACCAGTAAAATGTGATGAGTTATGTATAATGTAATACCTAGAGAAATCACGAAAAAGCTATATAAATAGATATACTCAAAAACACTATGAATAAACAAAAATTGAATTCTAAAAATTGTTCATCTAACCACAGGATGGCAGAAAAAGAAAACAGAAATATAAAACAAAACAGAAGGCCAGACATGATGGCTTATGTGTGTAATCCCAGCACTTCAGAAGGCTGTGGCTGGAGGATTGCTTGAGACTAGGAGTTTGAGACTAGCCTGATCAACATAGTGACACCCCATCTCAATAAAAATAAATAAATAAATAAAATAGCCAGGCTTGGTGGCATGCACCTGTAGCCCCAGCTACTTGGGAGGCTGAGGCAAGAAGATGACTTCAGCCCAGGAGTTGAGGTGCAGTGAGCCATGATTGCACCACTGCACTCCAGCTTGGGTGACAGAGTAAGACCCTATTTCAAAAAAAGAAAAGACAAACAAAACCCAGACATAAAACAAGCAAAAGTAATGACAGATTTAAGCCTTAAGCATATCAAGAATATATTACATTAAATATAACTAATCTAAATTCAAGTAAAAGAGATTAGCAGAGAGTATTTAAAAACATGACCTAACTCTATGCTGTCTACAAGAAACTCACTACAAATATAAGAATATAAGCAGGTTGAAAGTATAAAATGGAAAAAGATATCATACAAACTTTAATCAAAGGAAAGCAGGAGTGGCTATTATAATATCAGATAAAAGACTTTATATCAAACAAATTACTAGACTCAGAGTGGGATATTATGTAGTAAAAAAGATTCAATCCACCAAGAAAACATAGAAATCAAGTGTGCGTGTCCCAAACAACAGATCTGCAAAATGCATGAGGCAAAACGGACACAAGTGCAAGGAAAAACAGATGAATTATAGTTGGAGATTTCAATACTTCTCTCTCAGACAGTTTTACAGGAAAATTTTACCAATCATTTAAAGAAAAAGAATTAACACCAGTTCTACATACTCTCTTCCAGAAAATAGAACAGATACCAAAAACCAGAACAAGAGAACAAGAAAACAAAACTACAGACCAGTATCTCTCATGAATACAGGCATGAAAATCCTTAATAAAATATTATCAAAGAGAATTTGGGAATATTTTAAAAGATTTACCCATCACGACCAAGTGTGACTTATTATACATCTGCAAAGCTAGCTCATTATTTGAAAAACAATCAACATAATTCATTATATTAACAGGCTGAGGAAGAAAATTATATGATTATATCAGTTGATTCCCACAAAAACCATTTGACAAAGTTCAACATCCATTCACAATAAAACCCTCAGAAAACTAGAAATAGAGGGGAACTTCCTCAACTTGATAAAATGTAAGCACATAAAACCTACATAAAACATTATACTTAATGGTGAAAAACTGAGTATTTTCCTCTTAGGGCAGGAACAAGGCAAGGATGTCTACTCTTACCACATTCTTATTCAATATAGTATTGGAAGTTTTAGTCAATAAAGGGGAATAAAAGACATACAGACCAGAAAGGAAGAAATAAAAACTCTGTATTTGTAGATCACATGATTGTCTACATAGAAAATTCTAAGGAACCTATCAAAAAAAATCCACCTAGAACTAATAAGTGAATTCATTAAAGTCACAGAGGCTGGGCACAGTGGCTCATGCCTGTAATCCCAACACTTTGGGAAGCCGAGGCAGGTGGATCACCTGAGGTCGGGAGTTTGAGACCAGCCTGACCAACATGGAGAAACCCCATCTCTACTAACAATGCAAAATTATCCAGTTATGGTGGCACGCGCCTGTAATCCGGAGGCTGAAGCAGGAGAATCGCTTGAACCCCGGAGGCAGAGGTTGCAGTGAGTCAAGATTGCGCTATTGCACTGCAACCTGGGCAACAAGAGCGAAACTCTGTCTCAAAAAATAAAAAATAAAAAAATGAAGTCACAGAATACAAGATAAACATACAAAAATTTATTGTATTTATATATACTAGCAATGAACACATGGACACTGAAATTATACATGCAATATCATTTATAATCAACCAAAAAAAGAGGAAATAGGTGTAAATCATGTATACACAAAACTCTACAATGCTGATAAAGAAATCAAAGAAGATCTAAGTAAATGGAGAGACATATACCATATTCCTAAATTGGAAGACTCAACATAGTAAAGATGTCAATTCTCCCAAAATTGATGTACAGGCTTAATACAATTTCTATCAAAATCTCAGCAAGAATTTTAGTAGATGTAGACAAGATTATTCTAAAATTTATATGAAAAGATAAAGGAACTAGAATAACTACAACAATTTTGAAAAAGGAGGAAGAATCAACCTTTTTGACTTCAAAACTTATTAGATAGCTACAGTAATCAAGATTGACACTATTGGTGGATAGATAGATACAGATCAATCAACAGAACAGAATAGAGAACCCAGAAATAGGCCCATATGAACATGCCCAACTGATTTTTTAAAAACATTTAGTAGAGACAGGATCTCTCAATGTTGCCTAGGCTGGTCTCAAACTCCCGGCCTCAAGCAATCCTCCCACCTTGGCTTCCCAAAATGCTGAAATTACAAGTGAGCTGCTATACCTGGACCCAACTGATTTTCAATGAAGGTACAATTGCACTTTAGTGAAGGACACAATCTTTTGAACAATTGGTACTGGGAAAACTGGACATTTATAGGCAAAAATTGAATAACCTAAGTCTCACACCTTACACAAAACTTAACTCAAAATGGGTCATAGCTTAAATGTAAAATGTCAGACTTTTGGAAAGAAAAACACAGGAGAAAATCTTTGGGATCTAGAACTAGACAAAGAGATCTTATACTTTATACCTAAGTCACAATCAATAAAAGGAAAAATTAAATTGGACTTCATCAAAATTAAAACCTCTTGCTCTATGAAACACCCTGTTAAGAGGATGAAAAGACAAGTTAGAGAGTGGAAGAAAATACCCCAAATCCACATATCCAACAAAGAACTAGTATCTTAAATATATTAAGATATCTTAAAACTCAACAGTAAAAAAGTAAATAAATAAACAATTCAATTTAAAAGTGGTCAAAAGTACGAAGAGATGTCTACCAAAGAAAGATATACAGGTAACAAATAAGCACATGAAACCATACTCAACATCATTAGCCATTACCAAAACACAAATTAATACCACAATGAGATATCTACTATACCCCTAGCAGAATGGTTAAAACAAAAAATAATGACAATGATAAATGCTGACAAGGATGCAGAGAAACTAGATGATGCATATATTGCCGGTGGGCATGTAAAATGGTATGGCCACTTTGGTAAGTATTTTGGCAATTTCTTTAAAAACAACACATGCAACTATTACACGACCCAGCAATTGTGCTCTTGTGCATTTATCTCAAAGAAATGAAGATTTATGTTCACACAAAAACTTTACATAAATGTTTATAGCAGCTTTACTCATAATAGCCACAAACTGGAAATATCCCAGAAGTCCTCCTACAGATGAATGGTTAAACAAACTGGAGTGTATCCGTACCATGCTATACTACTCAGCAACCAAAAGGGACAATTATTGATATACTCAATAGCCTTAATTAATCTCCAGATTATTATGCTGAGTGGAAAAAAAGCATACATACCGTATGATTCTATTTATAAAACATTATTGAAAGGACAGATTTATAGAAATAGAGAATGAATTAATGATTAGTGAAAGTGTTGGAGTAGGAAAGAAGTGGATGTGGCTATAAAGAAGCAGCAGGAGGGATCCTGTGGTGATGGAAATGTCCTGTATCTTAATTGTATCAGTGTAAATATCCTGGTTTTGGTCTTATACCATAGTTTTGCAGGATGCTACCACTGGGGGAAACTGGGCAAAGAACACTGAGATCTTTCTGTATAATTTCTTAAAATTGCATTTTGTCATTGTTCAGGCTGCTATAACAGAACACTATATACTGGGGTGGCTTAAACAACATACATTTATTTCTCACATTTCTGGAGGTTGGGAAGTCCAAGGTCAAGGTGCCCACAGATCCATGGTCTGGTGAAGGACTCTTCCTCATTTGCAGTAAGCTGTGTTCTCATGGTGCTCTAATTTGGCAGAGAGGGAGAGTGGGTTCTCTATTATAAGGACACTAATCCTATTCATGAAGGCTCTACTCTCATGACCTAATTACCTCTCGAAGGCCCACCTCCTAATACAATCATATTGGGGGTTAGGATTTCAACATAAGAATTTTAGAGAGACACAAACATTCAGTCCATAACCCATGTAAATCTTCAGGTATCTCAAAATGAAAACTCTAATTTTGTTGTTGTTGTTGTTATTTGTTTGTTGAGATAGAGCCTCACTCTGTCAGCCAGGCTGGAGTGCAGTGGCACGATCTCAGCTCACTGCAGCCTCCACCTCCCAGGCTCCAGCGATCCTCCCACTTCAGCCTCCCGAGTACCTAGGACTACAGGTGTGTGCCACCAGGCCCGGCTAATTTTTTTTTTTTTTTTTTTTTTTTTAGAGAAGGGGTTTTGCCATATTGCCCAGGCTGGTCTCAAACTACTGGCTTCAAGCGATCTGCCCGCCTTGGCCTGCCAAATTGCTGGGATTACAGGTGTAAGCCACCATGCCCAGCCTAAAAAGTTTAATTTTGAAAACTAAAATAGGCATTTAACTTTTTCCCCCAGTCCTGTTATTACTGTTACCACCACTACCAGCTACTACTGCCACAACTACTGGTTTTATTATTTTTTAAAAATGCACAGATATTCTTTTAATTTAAAATGTAAAAGTTCTGGTCTTTTTATAGCATAACAGAACATTGGAAGAGGTCTTGTGATTCCACAGGCAATCTTCTGGCATCACAAATGGGGAGCTATGACCCCACTGCAGGATAATCAATAAGCTATGCATGCAAACTAGTGTCTAACTTGTCCTTTTTAAAATAAAAGGAGTATTGGCCAGGCGCAGTGGCTCACACCTGTAATCCCAGCACTTTGGGAGGCCGAGGCGGGTGGATCACCTGATATCAGGAGTTCAAAACCAGCCTTGACCAACATGGTGAAACCCCATCTCTACTAAAAATAAAAAAATTAGCTGCGCATTGTGGCATCTGCCTGTAATCCCAGCTAATAGGGAGACTGAGGCAGAAGAATCGCTTGAACCTGGGAGACGGAGGTTGCAGTGAGCCGAGATTGCGCAATTGCACTCCAGCCTGGGCAACAGAGGGAAACTCCGTCTCAAAAAAAAAAAAATAAATAAAAATAAAATAAAAGAAGCATTAGAAGAACCTATCAAATACAAGCCCTAATCAGAAGAGGACAGATTATCATACCACTCCAGATGTAGGTAGGATGAGATTTGGGCCCACTAATGTTTTCAACTATGGTTACTTTTCTCTTCCCACAGGCTGATTATGTAAAGAGAAAAACAAATGGAGGTTTTAATTTTAAAACCCTCAGTTTAATCAAGTCCCATATAATGTTTTACCCTCTTTAACATCTGCCACCTGCAATTCACCTTTCTGATTATTAATAGTAAATGTATTATAGCTGAGCTTTAGTGGCAACCATATCACATTCACTTTTTTACATTCACTTCATTAAAATTATTCTAATGAAAACAGAAACTTATTTATATTTCACGTAAGAAATATATGCTGGAAAATTTAATCTCATTAAAAATGTGGTTTCTTGGGCATCATATTTTCCTCTAGACAGGCATTGGTTTGGGGGATAGATACTGATTCGCGAGTATGTGACTTTTTCCAGTGAGGTAAGCTGTGTGCATGTCAGTTTTCTTATCTATGACATGGTATCTATGATATGATGTGGGTTGCTTCCCCACAGGGTTATAGTGGTAACCAAATTAAATAACATGAGCGTCAGCTTACAAACTAAAACTTTATGAAAATGTACAGTAACACACATGTACATATCAGAAAGAATATTTTGGTATTTTGTAAATACAGAATATTATCTCATATTTTATTTATGTGTTTATGACCTACCTTATTCTATAGGCAACTTTATTTTAAAAGACTTTATTTCAGGCCGAGCATGGTGGCTCATGCCTGTAATCCCAGCACTTTGGGAGGCCGAAGCTGGTGGATGCAGTGAGCTGAAATCGAGTGATTGCACTCCAGCCTGGGTGACAAGAGTGAAACTCTGTCTCAAAAAAATAAAAAAGACTTTATTTCTCCACTCAAACTTCTCACTCTAAGAGTAATGCAAAAACTAATGAACAGGCCGGGCGCAGTGGCTCGCGCCTGTAATCCCAGTACTTTGGGAGGCCGAGGCCGGTGGATCACGAGGTCAGGCGATCGAGACCATCCTGGCTAACACGGTGAAACCCCGTCTTTACGAAAAACACAAACAAAAAATTAGCTGGGTGTGGTGGCGGGCGCCTGTAGTCTCAGCTACTCGGGAGGCTGAGGCAGGAGAATGGCATGAACCCGGGAGGCAGAGCTTGCAGTGAGCTGAGATCGTGCCACTGCACTCTAGCCTGGGTGACAGAGCAAGACTCTGTCTCAAAAAAAAAAAAAAAAAAAACAACGAATGAACAAATAAGTATCAGGGTTTGTTTCCTTCTATGTCTATTTAAAAATTTATTCATTTTAATTGATAAAAATTGTATATATTTATGGTATAAAACATGATGTTTTGAAATATGCATGCATTGTGTAATGGCTAAATTAAGCTAATTAACATATGCATCACCTCACACACTCATCATTTATTTGTGATATATATAGTTAAAATCTACTCTCTTAGCAATTTTCAAGTATACAATGCATTGTTATTAACTATAGTCACCAGTCACCATGTTGTATAATAGTTTTCCTGATCGTATTCCTCCTGTAAATGAAATTTTCTATCCCTAAATTTTTTTTTTTTTTTTTTTTTTTTTTGAGACTGGGCCTTGCTCTGTCACCCAGCCTGGAGTGCAGTGGTGGGATCTCGGCTCTCTGCAACATCCATCTCCTGGGGCTCAAGTGATCCTTCCACCTCAGCCTCCCGAGTAGCTAGGACTACAAGCACATGTCACCAAGCCCAGATAATTTTTGTATTTTTTTTGTAGAGACAGGGTTTCACCATGTTGCTCAGGCTGGTCTCGAACTCCTGTGCTCAAGTGATCTGCCTCCTAAAGTGTTGGGATTGCAGGCACGAGCCACTGCACCTGGCTCCTAACTATTGTCAACAGAGGGCTAAAAAATAGACCTAAGACTCATTAAATGATATGTGAACCAATAGAAAAGACATGGAATCAACCCAAATGCCCATGAACAAGACTGGATAAAGAAAATGTGGTATATATATGCCATGGAATACTATGCAGCCATAAAAAGGAATGAGATCATGTCCTTTGCAGTGACATGGATGAAGTTGGAAGCCATTATCCTCAGCAAACACACACAGGAACAGAAAACCAAATATTGCATGTTCTCACTTATGAGTGGGAGCTAAACAATGAGAACACATGGACACAGGGAGGGGAACAACACACATTGAAGCCTGTTGGGAAGGGAGGGTGGGGAGAGGGAGAGGATCAGGACAAATAGCTAATGGATGCTGGTCTTAATACCTAGGTGATGGGTTGATAGGTGCAGCAAACCACCATGGCACACATTTACCTATGTAACGAACCTGTACATCCTGCGCTTGTACCCCAGAACTAAAATTAAAAATTTTAAAAATGATATGTGAACATAGAAATACATCATCAAGGAAGAAAAGTGATTAGGTCAAATGTTTAAGATTCTGTGTGCACATGAAACATTTTATGTGTACAGAAAATGCTTTTAGAGATATTCTTTTATTAGCATTTAAAGTATTTTGAATATCTCTTTAATTTCTCCTAGGGTTCTATAAATTAAAGTTAAATGAAAGAGCAATGTGTGGATCGAAGAGCATAAGATTTATTAGCCATTATAAAGATGATAATACCATGAAAATGGCAAAAAGGCAACGTGTTAATCACTTCACAGTTATGAGGAAAAAAATTAGCACATTTCAGACAGGCAGCACACAGACAGGGGTCTTGCTGGTCTCATGGCTTCAGCCTGTCCTTTAAAGGAAAGGAGAGACATTTTCTAGCCAATTTGAGGCCAAAACTTGGCTTTAAACTAAGGGTTTGTTTTCCCGTTATTAGCGGTAAACCCCAACTATTATTCTGAGCTTCCCTAGGTTGTTGCTTTTATTTCAGAAAGTATTACACAGCTTCCAAATCAAAATTAAATTTATCTTTAACTTAAATAGCTGCTATTCAAAAAGAATGGGGCCCATTTAGTTCTATGGGGATCAGGTGTCACAAAATCAAACACCCCCATCACAAACTACAAAAATATATAAAAATGAAATAAATAAATAAAATTTAAATGTAAAAAAGCCCTTATAATGGGATTAGAGTCTGTGCCACATATACCGTCAAATAATTAAATCCCACGTAAAAATAAGAATAAGCCTTAGTTTTACCCTTACAGTGGAAGTTTTGTGGATCATACTCTGTCTCTTCAGCCCCTTTAACATGCCTGCCACTTCTCTATGAACATGCATCACCACCCAGTCCACCCTCACTACACACACACACACACACACATACACACACACACTACTGTTAGTCTTCCAAAAAAGAGTCCAGGGGCAGGCATTGTTTTCTCCTTCATTGCTCTGCACTTGGGATATCAAAAACTCAAGCCCAAGCCCAGGATCCATTATCCTATTCTCTTCTTCTACTCATAGTAAATCTTCCTACATTTCATAAGTATTTAATGAGCATTTACTATGTGCCAGACACAGTTTTAGCTGTGAGAAATGAGAGCAAAATCAGACACACTCTTCATTCTTTTTGATGTTATAATTAATTAAAGGGGACTGATATTAATCAAATAGTTAAATTATATATCAATGTGGAACAACAGTGTTGATTATGAATGAGAAAGATATAGGCCACATGAGATGACAAAACAGAGGATCTAAGTCAGAGAAGACCAAGAAGGCTTCTCTAGGATGTGACACTTAAACTGGGATGCAGAGGAAGGGAAGTCACTAATGAGGCAAGGAGGGGAAGAAGGAGCACTCTACAAGGAAGCCCAGGTGAAATTTCAACTGGGAGCTGATGGTTGAGTAAGTCCTGCCACTTAATTAAGTAGAAGGCTTTCTGTTCTTTTTTATTTATGGCATATTCATTCATTTATTGATTTAATTTATTAAAATCTTTGTGGGTTTGTTAAGGGCAGCAGAGGTATCAAGAACGAGAAGCAAATATGCCATCAAAAGCACAAGCAATAAAAGCAAAAATAGACAAATGGGACAACATCGAACTTAAAAAACGTCTGTGCATCAAAAGAAACATTCAACAGAATAAAAAAATCAACCTACAGAACGGGAGAATATATTTGCAAATCACATATCTGATAAGGGTTCATCTTCAGATTACATAAGAAACTCCTACAACTGGACATCAACAACAACCACAATTACAACCAGAATAAAACATTGGCAAAGGACTTGAACAGACATTTCTCTAAAGAAGGTATACAAATGCCAACAGGCATGCGAAAAGATGTTCAACAGCACTATTCATAAGAGAAATGCAAATCAAAGCCACAACGAGCCATCTTCTCGCACCCTGTAGGATGGTCACTGTCAAAAGAACACAAAATAACAAGAGTTGGCAAGGATGTAGAGAAATTGGAACCCTTGTGCACTGTTGGTGGGCGTGTAAAATGTGGCAGCCATTGTGGACAACAATACAGCGTTTTCTCAAAAAATTAAAAACAGAATTACTGTTTGCTCCAACAATCCACTTCTGGATATATATCCAAAGAATTCAAAGCAGAATCTCAAAGAGATACTTGCACACCCATGTTCATTTTTTCACACCAGCCACAAGGCAGAAGCAACTCAAATGTTCACTGATGAATGGATAAAGAAAATATGGTATATACACGCAATAACAGAATGTTATACAGCCTTAAAAAAATAAAGAAATCCTGTCACATGCTACAGCATGGATAAACCTCCAGGACATTATGCTAAGTGAAATAAGCCGGTCACAAAAAGACAAATACTGTACGACTCTACTCATATGAAGTATCCAAATCAGTCAAAAATCACAGAGACAGAAAGTAGAAAGGTAGTTTCTAACCGGGGGAGAGGGCATTAGTGATTAATAGGCATTGAGTTTCAATTTTGCAAGATAAAAAAGTTCTAGAGATCTGTTGCTGCAAGACAATAGTTAAGACTACTGAACTATACATTTAAAAAAATTAAAGACATTAGCTTCCACTTCCAGGAAGCCACGGCTTACGATGCAGACATGTCTAAGTCCAAGAACCACACACACAACCAGTCCCAAAAACTGCACAGAAATGGCATCAAGAAACTCTGATCACAAAGATATGAATCTCTCTCTTTTATTTTTTTGAGACGGAGGCTTGCTCTATTGCCCAGGCTGGAGTGCAGTGGCTGGATCTTGCCTCACTGCAACCTCCGCCTCCCGGGTTCAGGCAATTCTCCTGCCTCAGCCTCCCGAGTAGCTGGAAGTACAGGTGCCCGCCACCACGCCTGGCTAATTTTTTGTATTTTTAGTGGAGATGGGGGTCTCACTGTGTTAGCCAGGATGGTCTCGATCTCCTGACCTCATGATCCACCTGCCTCGGTCTCCCAAAGTGTTGGGATTACAGGCCTGAGCCACTGCGCCCAGCCGATATGAATCTCTTAAGGGGGATGGGCCCTGAGTTCCTGAGGAACATGTGCTTTGCCAAGAAGCACAACAAGAAGGGCCCAAAGAAGATGCAGGCCAACAGTGCCAAGGCCATGAGTGCACGTGCCAAGGCTATCGAGGCCCTCGTAAAGCCCAAGGAGGTTAAGCCCAAGATCCCAAAGGGAGTCAGCTGCAAGCTTGATCGACTTGCCTATATTGCCCTACCCCAAGCTTGGGAAGTATGCTAGTGCCCTCATTGCCCAGGGG
Organism: Homo sapiens; assembly: GCF_000001405.40. Classification (NCBI taxonomy): domain Eukaryota; kingdom Metazoa; phylum Chordata; class Mammalia; order Primates; family Hominidae; genus Homo; species Homo sapiens. The sequence continues at coordinate 36,926,565 of NC_000013.11, read as the reverse complement.
CTCAGGCTGTGCTGGCCAAAGGCCAAGGCCAAGGCCAAGGAATAAATCAAGACCCAGACTGCAGCTCCAGCTCCAGTTCCAGCTCAGGCTTCCTAGGTGCCCAGCCTCCCACAAAGGCTTCAGAGTAGAGATCTTTGTCTTTGTCTGCCAACGTGAGGACAGAGGACTAGCGCGACACCCCCGGGCTGCCGTGTACATGGGGTTGGTGTTCTCCTGTGCTATTTGTACAAATAAATCTGAGGCAGGAAAAAAAAAATCAGACATTAAAAAAAAGTCAGTCTCATCTAGTCCCTAAAATGGTTCCAAATAACATATTACTAAGCACATTTTTAAATAAATGAATAAATCTGATTAACTCCAATAGTAACATGAATTTAACTGAAATAATAAAGGTGCGTTTCAAAATTTTTTTAAAAAGAATGATAGTCAACAAAACACTGAATTAATGATTAAAAGGTCACCGGTGACCTCTAAGAATATTAGAACAGCACTGAAATCAAACAGTGCACAGCGGAAGACAAAAGCCAGATTTGGTGAAATTAGGAAGGGTGGGGTGGCAAGGAAGAAGAAACAAATATCAGCCCTCCTTGTGAAGTCTGACAGTGGAAGAAAGGCCAAATATTGTGTCGGTTTGAGAAAGGGTTTGTTCTCTCCCAGGACGAAAAGCTCTAATTTGATTGATTTCATGACCTTGGTTATTGTTTCTCTCTCATAGAACAAAAAGAGAGATGCCAAATGGACTTAAGAGAAGTGAAACCCAGAGGCTGCAAATTGTTAGCCAAACTTGGTTCACCATAAAACCCAGGTGGGTTGCAAAATATTTTAAGTTGTGGTTGGGCACAGTGGCTCCTGCCTGTAATCCCAGCACTTCGGGAGGCCGAGACGGGCGGATCACCTGGAGATAAGGAGTTCGAGACCAGCCTGATCAACACAGTGAAACCCCATCTCCACTAAAAATACAAAAATTAGCTGGGCATGGGGGCATGCACCTGTAGTCCCAGCTACTCGGGAGGCTGAGGCAGGAGAATTGCTTGGACCCACGAGACGGAGGTTGCAGTGAATCTAGATCACACCACTGCACTCCAGCCTGGGCAACAGAAAAAAACTATTTTAAGTTGTAAGATTTTCCATAAAATTCTGGATGTCTGTTATCTCTTGAAAGGATATTCTTATTCTCACACGGCCACAGCTGGCTGGAGCTGCATAGCAATCGCTCCCTTTAGAATGGCAAAGCCACATCTGTCTTCTAATTACTTTCCGAATATTTTTCACCACATACTAAACATTTCATTCATTCGACCAATATTTATTGAGCACCTACTATGTGCCAGGCATTGTTCCAGGCTGTGGGGATACAAGTAGTGAGCAAGACCAGCCTTCTAACAGAGGAGCCAGTCAAAACAAACATATACATAGTTTATATAATTTCATGTAGTGATGCTGCTCTGAGGTGGAAAAAGGTAAATACATTTTAGGAACAATTGTGGGAAGAGGAGGGTGATTTTCTTTTATCTTTTTTCCCCAAAGCATAGTTTCCTGCTTCATAGTACTTATTAACCAATTTCTTCTAAAGGTAGCATTTCCTCCCGTCTTCGGTCCTTGATTCCTCCAGTTTTTTTTTTTTGCCAAAGTTTATTGATTATCTCTTCAAAGTGTCCATAAATACATCTCCTCCTCACTTTTCTAGAATCCCACAGACGCCCATCACCTCATGCCTAGAATGTTGCAATGGCTTCCTAATTGGTCTCCTTACCTCTTCTCTCTACAAACTTTTCTCCCTCAGCCCCTTCCACCTTCTAGCCTGTGTAGATTATTCTTCCTGGGATGTCACTGCCCATGTTCATCACTTTTCAACTCCACTTCAAGTTCCAGGACAACAATGAGGTGTAAAAACCTGGGCGTTGGAGAAAGGCAGCCTGGAGGGGATAGTCTGTGTGTCCCTCAGGTTCCTCAACGTAAAATGCAGATGATAATTCTCCCGTGAGAGGTCATGAGAGGGAAATGAGAGGAGGTGTGGGAAGCGCCAGTCCAGTTCCCGGTTGGGGGACTCTCACAATGGAGGCAGCATCTGATCCTCACTGCTGAGTCAAGATGGTCCATTGCTCTCTTGTCTCAATCCTTTAGAATGTATTTGGTGATGAACTGCTGTGTTAACATTGTTTTTCTTATCTATCCAACTAGTTTGACAATTCTCTTAGGAAAACTGAGGCTTTTCTACTCAAAGCCTCAGGGAATTCTGCACATAGTAGGCATTCTGCCTTCATGATTGAACAAGTTGGGCCTGCATTAGAGTGTCAGGCCAGGGTGGCAAGTGGGCTGAAGTGCAGCCTGCACTCTGCTGTGAGGCTGACACCTGCAGGGCTGCACCCACTCAGGCAGGGTGGAGGCCCAGGGGGGTGCAGGACAGTAAGTGTTCATGCTCTCAAGTTGGAGCTAAAATTTCGACCCTGTGAAGACCTCCCTGACACCTCCCTGTGCCCACTCCCCTACGGTGACACACAAAGTTGTGTGATAATCGTTGGTAGATGTATCTCTCTCTTAGGCTGCCTTTACTAAGGGCCAGTGCTCTGTGTTCATATAGTTAATTCGGGTGCCTGGTACTTAGGAAAGCATTCAATAGTGATTATGGAATGAAAGATGACTTTCAAGGAAAGTCCGAATGGGAGGCAGAAAAACTGCAGCATCAGGACAGAGTTACAGATAAAATTTAGAAAGGAGACTTGAGGTGGGAGGAGTGTGGAGGCTATGATTCCTAGTTATTACTCTGAGTGGAACCATTATCATGCTAGCTCAAACTTAAGGTACAAGAGACGTACAAAGCAGAATCTTTGCATCCATGGATGACTACAGACTTTGTTACAATCTGTTATTTTTTTATTTTTTAATACTATTTTATGTATACTCACATGAAAAAATGGTTATACTATCATGTTTACATAATACTAATATTGGAAACAGAATTCAGTAACCAATTACATTTAAATTTTATAAAGAACACACAAACATTAAAACACTGATTAGTTATAGAAAGCAGAGTTTGAGGAAAAACCATTAGCTATAATTTTTATTTTCATTAAAGAGCAGCACCCTCTGAGAAGAATCAAACCAATCAGTAATATTCATCTATATCATAAAGTAATAAGTACAAAGGAAAGCTAGTGACTGTACTGATTTTATTGCTTTTACTAAGCCATTTTATGTTCCTCACACTCAATGAGAAGAAATAAAACATAATCTGAAGAAAAATATCTCATTATTATTCGCAATAAAAAATCTGCTTCATTCTGCAGGCCTGGGCAGATTGTACAATAGAGAGCACTTAATGGCTCAAATGGATCAATGTACCAGTTTGATTCTGATCCACGGAATAGAATCTCATCCATATTTGGTGGCTGGACTAACTCCATGGGTGCTGTGACAGACTGAACTATTTTTGTGGTATCCCCAGATCTCACTAAATAAGAAAAGACCCTACACCAGAAAATATAACAATCAATCCGTCCATAAATTTTATCTATATGCTTGCTCTTCAGTATAAGTTGGAAAAAGAGGCCCTTTCTTGAGGACATGGATAAAAGTATTATGGTCTAAAGATTGCTGGATCGATATTGTGTTGTTATAATAAAGATAAGGTACACATTGAAACCACTGTCTGATTAAGAAACTTCCACAACTTGTCTCAATTCTTCAAATAATGGAGTAAGTTTCTTTTCTAGGCTGACAATTAGTTCTGTATTGGCATTGCTGCTGGCTATGAAACTCACCACCAAAGGTAAATGATTTAACTGAATCACCAGGTAGGTGTAACAGTAACAGATGATACTTTTATTTTTTGAAAGTCCAAGTTTGCTCCCGTGGTCTGTTGCAAGGGCAAAAGTAGGTAAGAAACCAGGTCTCAAAGCATGCTCTGGAGCATTATCAATGGCCACTTTAATAACAGGTACTCCAACTCTGACACAACAATAGCATGGAGCCCTTCAACACTTTGTAACATTTGATACATGAATCGCTTTAGGTCATCCGCCATGATGAACCCCCTTCTCTTGCAGGATCAATCTCCTTGCCTGGGGTTTCTGGGCTGCCCGGTTCTCTCCACTGTCACTTCAGGAACAGCTTCAAAGACCACAGTCTGGTTTTATGCTGGGTATATGGCAAATGCAAAGAATTGGCTCTCTCTTGGGGTAAGGAAGCTGCCCTTCCTACCACTGTTTTATAGCCTGAGGGAGTTCGTGTTAGGCCAAGACCTTATCATCTTTCAGAAAACAGATTTCAGTTTTGCCGTGGTTTTGAGGTCCTGAACCAAAATTTCACTGGCGGTTCTACCAAATCACAACCTCTGAGTCTCTCCTTTCATATGATTCCCATAACAGAATGTTTTGGTGGAAGTTCTATTAAGCAGTAAAACCACAGCCAATCAAGAAATCACTGGGAAAGATAAAGCGAAGTCTAGCTTTCCATTAACCAGGACAGTCAGCTTCTGTAAAATGGAGTGTCAACACTGCGCCTTCTGTCTTAGGCCAAGCATTTTCTCCTTCTTGGAACTCACCAGATCTTATTGTTCTTGAGCGTAATGGATTAACTTTCTATACTAGCCTTGAGGAATACATGATAGGAATTATATCAGTGACAGACTAATGTTTAGGCAGGAAAAAGTCATCATCGTGCAGAAATATCCTGGTATGTAAATGAGAACGTACAGAAAAGAGCAGACTAGACATACTCTAAATCAAAGGCCTGCCAAGAGTCAAGAGAATTCTGCGAACTGAGAAAGACTCCATGCCAGAAGCATGAGCCAGCGCTGCAGAGGTTATAATTTCTTTCTCTGCATCTTGTCCTCTGCATTATGCTCATATACGAGAAGGAAACTGAGATAGTGATTGGGCCATTTCTTTTCTTAATTTAATTTTTAAAAACTTGAGCCACAAGGTATCAATTCTGAGGACCTAATTAGTTTACTGGCAATAAAGTCCACATCCAGCCTAATCCTTAATATATAATCTGTAGCCCTTACCGGTCCCGCTGTTTCCTGGTGTTTCTCACCCAGGACAATCTCAAACCCAACACATAGCCGGGTGCAGAGGTATCTGGGCCAGTGTAGAAAGAAGACTTTGAGGTTAAGGCATGGTATTTAAGGTTCTGCTGCAAATGTTGTTTTAAACAAATCACCGTTCAACTACAACGGTATAATAATGCAAAAATAGCATCTGCCATGAAGAAAGTGCAGTGCTTTGAGAACTAGAAAAAGCAGTTAAATTTAAGGCCTTGCTTTACATTTCGGAGCCGCCATCGGGGCCAACTGGAGGTATGACTTTCCTGCACACAGGAGCAAGCTGAAAACTGCCCTGTGGCTTTATTCCACGTTCACCCCTGCAGCAAATGCCTTTTCTGTGAGGAACTACGGGCTGATGGGGAATCAGAGGTGGTTCTTCCTAAGTGGCGTTTCTGAGTGGGTTCCAGGAGTCCACAGTGACTTTAAGAGGCAGGCTACCTGGGGGACAGCCAGGCCGTGAGACGAGAAAGTTGTACAGTAACATTGCTGTGTGCCCATAAGTTTGTATCTTTTATTAGATTAGATAATATATCTCACATGCTGGGTTGTTAAGCAAATAAATATGTGTAAGGAAATTACAATCCACATAATTACATGAGTCGTTTTAACCACCACTCACCCCCAGAGTGATTAGATTTTCTTCTGCCTATGCCATTGCGGCCCAGTTGCTCTGTCACTGTCCATGGGGACAGGATCCCCTTACTCCGAAAAGCAAATCAGGAACAAACAGGGCAAGTGAGAGTCACTATCAGGGCCCAGAAACATGTGAGGAACAGCAGCTCAGAAGGGTCTCCAGACTGATGGGCCGGTGATCCTATATTCTTGTTGGGCTGACAACTCTTCTGGTTTCGGGCTCCAGGTGCTGGCAAGAAATCTCAGAGGTGGGGTGGGAGAGAGAGACGCGAGGCGACCCACGCAGACAAAGGGCTCCCACCCCACCCCCGGGCCACCCCGGCAGGCCGGGCAGGGGCCGAGCCTGGGGTCGCGCAGGGGGACCGAGAGGGCAGCGCGGGGCTGGGGGTGGGGAAGAGGCGGGAACCGAGCCGCAGGCCGCTGCGAGGAGTACTACCCCGCCACCCCCGCGCCGCGAGTTTCCGCGCACGTGGCCGTGGGGCCGGTCTCGCTCCCGCCCCCCGCCGGGCCCGCGCAGCCCCCTCCTCTGCGGCTCCCGGAGCGGCCAGAGCGCGCGGCGGCGGGCGGGGGCGGGCCGCAAGCAGGGCTCCCTGGCCGCTTTCCAGGTCGGCGCACTAATACGGGCGATGAGGCTTCGCGGCTCCAGTCTGACTGACGCCGGCTGGGGCCGCCGCCGCCGCCGCCGCCGCCGCCGCTGCTGCAGCCGCTGTCTCGGTCCCCGCCGCCGCCGCCGGGCCCTGCAGGCGCTGGGCGCGCGCAGCCAGGCAGTGAGTGCGCGGCGCTCGGAGCGGGCGGCCGGGGGACCACGGCGGGGGCGGGGTTGGGGGCGCCGGACCTGGGTGGGGGAGGGATGAGTGGCACGGCGGGGACAGGTAAGACGTGCCCTCCTCGGCCGCGCGCTGCTTGTGTGCGTGCGTGTGAGCGCATTGAGTGGAGGGCGAAGTTGTTCGTCCTCGGGGCAGCCTGGGAGGCTCCTCGGCGTGAGGCTTGGCTTTTGGCGGTCGTTGTTCCCGGGTTTTTTGGTGGAGCCTGTCTGGGGTGGAGTGGGGTGGGGTGGGGTGGGCGCGGGGCCGGAGGGGACTGCTCTGGGGAGTTGGCCGCGGCGCAGCTCGCCTTCCTCGCGCCTGCATCCGCCCGCGCCGCGGGCCCCGGGACCTGTCAGGGGATGTTCGACCCGCGGCGGGGGCGGCGGTCGGGTCGGGGCTGGGGCCCGGGGCGTGGGCAGGGACCAGGATAGGCGCCTGAGGGGTCGCTTGCTGTAGCTGGAGATAGGGGACAGCGGACAGAGGGGGCGGCGGGGGTCGTCATTGTGACTCTTTGGGGGCCACTTTTAAACTCGCCAGCGCCGAATTGGCCTCACTTGCCTTCTGTTTCGTAGGCTTTTTGCTTTGTTTACCTTTGAGGCATGCGAACTGAGAAAAAAAGTTAGGAATGTTGTTGAAGTGTCTCCGGGCTCGCGCTTGGACTGTGTCGGAGCCGGGGTGTTTGTCTTTTCCTTGGCCCGCCCCTCGGTGCCAGCTCTCCGCAGAGGGGAGGGGGCGAGGTGGGAAGCAGATACAGGAGACTGCCTGACGCCAGCTTTGTGATCGGAAGGAGGAGCGCTGGGAGAACATTTTTATGGATGGCTAATCGCTGACAAGTTTTCCCGTTACTATTCCTTCCTCCTCCTGCCCTTGACCGTGGACATTTGAAGTGATAGTTTGGAAATACTACGTTGACTTATTTCTGGGCTGGAGTGGGTACTCCTGAGAACTAACCTACAAAGGATACAAATCGAGTTTGGAGATAAAATTGTATGTAAATTCTTTACCCAGTAGTTTACAGTGAGAAACACACCCACAGGGCACTGTGGAGTGCTTTGGATGGATCCAGTTTACTAGTACCATTTCGGTGGCTTGCCAGATTTCTCGGATGATCTTTTGGAAATGTAGGTTAGCAAGAAGCATGGAGGCTGACCGTTAAGTCGTGAGGCATTTAATAATGCTGCCTCCTAAGCAGTAACTGAGCGGAACGTTTGTGGCACCCGTCTGGGAAAGTGAAATGTGACTACTACAAGCATGTCTCCTGCCTTAGCATTCCTCCAAGTGTGAGGGAATGCCTTTGGATGTTTACATTTTAAAAATAGTGATCTATATTTAAGAAGGCATTTAAAATAAAAGCCAAAGACATTCTCAACTCCAAATAGACAAAGATTCAATATAAGAGTTTCCCTGTGCTTGTAGGAAAGCATCAGCACAATTTTAGACTGCTTTTAGGTTTGTGGTTATCCAAGAAGGAGGCTTCAGATAAGAAAAGGATGTGACGCTTTATAAATAAGGAGCATTTTAAATACAAGATGACAGCAATTTCAAGTACTGTATCCGAAAAACAACTTTTAGTGGTAATAGTCACCTTCAGTGATGGCAAGACAGCTGTCTGCCAGACAGCCTTCGGCCTCTTAATGTATTCTGACACAACCAACTCCCATTTTTATGCTTGACTGGTTATCTTTGTCAGAGCTGTTTTATGCTTGAGCTCTCTGGTTTCAAACTATGCTTAAGAGAATGCCAACATACTCTTGATCTGAACAAACTCATGTTTATCAGTGCAGTGTTTACTAAAAATCAAAGACGTAAACAAATTTTGGGTTAAACCTCTAAGTACTTTAGAATTGCCACATCATTGTCATCAGTCTTTCAAAGTCAACATGAACTATTTGGCTTTTCTCCTTTAAAAAATTTTTTTAACTTATATATTCCTAGTTAGTAAGTAATCAGAAAATATTCACAGATGTCAACTCTTGCATCTGTGATTGCCCAAGACATGGATGAGAAAGAAGAGTTTTGTTTTGTTTTTTAAATGAAACATTACTAAAGATATCCATAAGTAATAAACAAGTGGTACACTATCTTTACTAATCATGTGGTCAGTTGGAGGGAAAAAAGTCTGTCCAGAAATTGTTTCATAAAGATGAAAATATTCAATGTCAATATGAAAATACTCAATATGTTTTCCAAATAGTTTAATTCTGATTAATGAGAGTGCACTATGCATTGCCAAACTGGAGGGATGGTGTTTCGTAAGTGAGCACCGTAGGATTAAGGTAACTACTTTATATCTGACATTCCCTCTGTAATAAATAGGACAGCAGTTTCATCATGTTCTGCTTTAATATGTGGGAAATAATCCTTATCCACAGGATGTACTCTGATTTTAGGGAAGGTAAAGGTTATGACAAATATGTGGTTTTTCTGATTTGCCAGACATACTATGCTAAATTTTAAAGCTTTAACGAAGCTTAGTGCAGACTTTCTGTATATTGTTTTGGACACTTAGAGAGGAGTTAAAGAAACGGGAAACTGTCCAGAATGAAACAGTAAATATAGCAGTACGTTGAAACCATGAATCTTCTCAAATAGTTGTAATTCTAGGCTGTTGGATTTATATTTCCTTGGTTACTGTTGCTAGTGGGTTGAAAAGTTATTCTAAAGCAAAAAAAAAAAATGCAAACAGTAAATGCATAAGTACTTAACAATACTGTGAGCATTTTCACAATGTTTCATGTTATCCTGGTGAATGTCCATGTCCTAAGTAAGGACATTAAAAAAATAAACAATTATCCCTTGGTAATAAACTAACCTTTTAAAATAAATATTCCGGTAAATTTTGTCTCTTAAGAAACTTGTGTCAACTAAAGTTGTTAGGATTTCAAGATATCTGTTAGCATTAGGAGTCATTATACCCATGAAAACTGGATGTTCTTCTTGCTTGGTGGTCTTCATCCTGACACTTCCTACCCCAAAACCATGACGGACACCTCGGCCGCACTTGCCTGACTTGTATTCTGCTCTCCTTTGGTGTCGGCTTCCTTTTGTGTTAGGCTGACCCAAGACCACTTTTCCAGGCTTATCTTCCCGGTCTTTCCCTATTTTATGCTGCAGTTAAAATAGCAAATGCTAGTTTCCATGCATACCCTGGCTTTCCTCTCCTGTGCACCTTTACCCCACGCTGAGGCCTTCCCAGCTTCCCCACCTCCCACAGGATCCTCAAATATGACTTCTTCATCTTGTATGCCCTGTTCAGGCGCTGCCTTCACGGGACTTTCTGTGATGACCCTGGTCCCAGGTATGTCCTCCTTCGAGCTCCTGTGGCTCTTCGCCTTTTCAACTCTTACCTGTTTTGTATTAAGTTACTCATAGACTAATTTATTTCTTCCCCTCAGACCATCCTTACAAGATCCAGGAAGGAAGGGACTGTTTCATCTACCTTTTTTATTCTCTGAATGCTGACCACAGTGCCCTTTATAGTACTCTATCAATAAATAACAAATACATGACACATTTTTTCACTGAACCCATGGTCCCTCCTGAAATAAAGTCTGTAAAAGCATTTCACCCATAGGATAAAGTCCATCTTTCAAGAAGCTGGTGTTGAATCTGAGCTGAGGACTAGTTCAGAGGCCTGAAATCCCCTCAGCCCAGTTGAGAGCCTCCTTCTCCTGAACATTGTGGCTGAGCATTACAGTCAGGAAAAGCTTCTATGATACTCTTATTGCATTAGCAGTTTTCCATATCAGATTCACTAAATACACAATGGAAGCCATTTAGTAGAAAAACAGATTTTAATGTGATACGGCTACCACAATGAAACACTAATGTGATTCCACAGAAAATTGCTAACACGATATGCTGATTCCTCCCCCCACCATAGCCGCATAAAAATTGATACTGTTTTTAATGTATGTGTTTCAAACTATGCTCACAAAAGAAAAGCAGACTGCTACTGAGATGAGCTGCTGCTTTGTTCACGTTGGATGTGTAAAGGGTCTTGTTATCAGCCTCGTCAGGCAGAATCTGCCTTCTGTGCCTTGGTCATTCTATTATCGAACAATACTAACTCTCATTTTAAAATATATCATGTTCTGTGTAACAATCCAGTATTAAAGTTAATATGATGTGAAAAAATAGAATTTGCTTATAAATGTCATGCCCATATAATATATTCAGTTGTACCGTTTTAATTGGGAAGCTCTAATCAGCTCAAAACGCATTTTTCAAGAATCAAAACGACTCCCAATATAAAATTTAAATTCAGAATTTAAAATAAAAGGCATAAATATTAAGGTGGATTGTATATGTGTGTGCACACGGTTGTAACACTTTAGAAGTCATAAGCACTGAAGAGATTATGGTTCTTCCCCCTCATTCCCAGCCCACATTTAATTCAAAGAAAAAAGTTTAACCCAAAGAATAATTGTAAAGGAGACCTATGTAGTTCTGATTTTTTCCTATAATGACAATTTCCAATTCCTCTTTTTTAGATATTAAATATCAAAATCTTCTCTCTCTCTCTCTCTCTTTGTCTCATTCTTTGGTACTCTGATTAGCTGATTCACTGGTGGGGATTATTTTTATGTGAATTTCCCCTTGGGGAAATTTAATACTTAATATCTGATCACTTCCTTTTCTTTTTCATATTTAATTCTGAGGGACTATAAATAGAAAACATGTACTCCTCAGTCCCGAGGAGAGTTTGGTGCTGCAGTTGCGAAAAGCAATCTTCAGTTTACAAGCACTAGGAGTGCCAGGGATGCCCATTCATTCTAGGACTCCAGTTGCCAGTTTTCTATCACTGAACAAAGGAATCTGGATAGCATACATGTGGTCTTGCGGCCATTCAAACGTGTTGGTGACATTGGGGATTCTGAGTTGAGGATTCTGACGACTTAGAGTTTGCAAGTAGTAGAAGTGTGAACACTGTGAGGTAGCCACATCCTGAACTCACTGACCCCAGGAGCACATCCCTAGATACACTGGGCCATTTGCCTTAAATGACTGCTTTAATCTATGGAATATCTTCTTCCATACAGCCTGTTTTTTACTTTTCATCTGTTAAAGTGCTTAGAAGCCTATCAAATACAGATTTACTTTGGTTACTGTGTATTTTGATTTGTTTTCACAAAACGCAATAATTGTGCAATGGTTAATGTCATTCTAAAGGATTTTGTCCTACGTACTTGTGGGCTATGGAAAGCTTACAGCAGATTTGCAGGTCTTTTTTAAGAAGCATTTGATGGATGGTAGCGTTCAACTGAAGTGCCAGGAGTTGCTTTCTGAATTCTTGTATCTAAATTTAACTGACTTGGTAGTACCACATTTCAGGAGTTAATGGTAACGCAGAAAGGGATTCACAGATTCCATCAGTTTCCCACTTTGTGGCAGAATATTTGACATCTCTTATCAGTACACTTCATCATAAGTTCATGAATTCATCTTGCTCCTTTCTTTGCTGAGAATCACAGTGAGAGAATTGGAGTTTGGCTGAGAGGAGGAGTGAGGAAGGAAGAAGGAAGAGTAAGTTTTTTTTTGTTTTGTTTTTGTTTTTTGAGATGGAGTCTCTCTCTGTCGCCCAGGCTGGAGTGCAGTGGCACCATCTCGGCTCACTGCAAGCTCCACCTCCCGGGTTCATGCCATTCTCCCGCTTCAGCCTCCCAAGTAGCTGGGACTACAGGCACCTGCCACCACGCCCGGCTAATTTTTTGTATTTTTAGTAGAGACAGGGTTTCACCATGTTAGCCAGGATGGTCTCGATCTCCTGACCTCATGATCCGCCGGCCTCGGCCTCCCAAAGTGCTGGGTTTACAGGCGTGATCCACCGCGCCTGGCCCGAGAGTAAGTCATTTTAAGGCTTGGGCAGTAGCACTGTTGAGAAGTTTGAGGCACCTAAGTGTGGAAAGAGGGTGTTACAGAAAGCAGATTGGCAGATGCCAAAGGTAGACATCACATATTTGAATTAGTGTTAGTAGTATGAAAGGCACCTGCGTTGTGAGTTGAGAGGATCCTAGTGAGCTGGCCAGGGAAGTACATTAGCACTCATGACATTGTTCTAGGGGAAGGTGAATTCCAGTTTCCAAATAACTATGCAGGATTGAACACCATTTGTTCATAAAGCAAGACCACCAGTGATTGATGATATGGGTGATTATTATTAATGACATAAGTGATTATTAGAAGCCAAGAATGGTGGTAATGAATGTGGAAGATGAAAAATGTGTTAAGCTAAAAAGATTTTAGGTCTCATGTGGTTTTCTTTGTCTTGTTTATGCATTTAGTCATTCTTTGTTTTCTAGTGGAAGTAGAATTTTATTTTTAGGAATAGGAGTTGAATAAAATATTTGTCAAAGACAAACATTTATGGACATGAATGCTTCCCTTTCAGCTTATTGACTATATGTTTACACAAAGCAGTCATTAGGTGTTGGCTGTGTTTGCAAATAATGACAAGTTGGTATTATTTCAAAGGAGTGGCAGTTTTACTTGCTTTCTGTTGTCATTGCATCTAATTTTATTACAAGATATTCTAAATACACTTTATTTTTTTAAAGTTGTATTGATTATATCTTGGGGTTTTAAAGTGTTGCAATTTTGTGGGTGTAGCAATCACTTTAGAAGGTGGAACTTGTAAATTTATGGGGCTTGTATAGGATATTCATTCAACCATTATTTACTCTGTGTCTATTGTGTCTACCCTGCCTATGAGGCCCCAGAACAGGCCCTGGGGACTACACAACGAAATGAAGTGACAAAAATAAAATCCTAGTCTCCAGGATTTCATAGTGTAGTTAGCGTGAAAGAGATCAAGAAAGCAAATATTAAAATATTTCTCCAATAGTAAGATGTCTTACTTCCCCAAACTGTAATCTATTTGGGTTTATTTCTCTATTCAGCTGGCCCTGTGAGTCAGCAGTTTCTGCATCAACAGATTCAACCAACCACAAATGAAAAATATTGGAGAAAAAATTAAAAATAACACAAATAAAAAATAAGATATAAAAACCATTTACATAGCATTTACAGTATAGTAGGTATTATAAGTAAGCTAAGATGATTTAAAGTATAAGGGAGGATGTGGTAGGTTATATGCAAATATACCATTTTATACGAGGGACTTGAGCATCCTTGGATTTTGGTGTCTGTGGGGATTCTGGACTGAATCCCCCATAGATACCTGGGGATGACTGTATTTTTCCTGATTAGACTTCCGTATTTTCTGTGTGTGAATTTTTAGTTAGTCTTGTCAAGGATAATGAGAATGATCTCATTTGGGATTTGGGAGGTAAACTAGAAGGTAGAGGTAAAATAGAAGACATAAACAGGAAGAGATTCTTTCAGTAAGTCCTTATGAGAACTTAGAGATGCTGAGAACATCCCTAGGCCATGGAATTTCACTACTTCCTGAGTCTGTCAGGAGGAGGATCCAGCCTTTGTACAGTTTCCTCCTGTTTTTCCCTGCTACCCTTTACTGGTTCAAGGGTGAGTGAGTTTGCATGGCTGGTCCTATAGGAAACCCCACCCAACCCTTTTAGCCAGCCAGGGGCCTCCAGACCACTTTGAATACACTCTTCTAGTAACTGTTGTAATAGTGCACCTATTACTTGCCTGATAATAATATGTTTAGATTGCTGTCTCAATAGTAGTATAGAGGAAAGGGACCATGTCTTATCTTGAAATATTCAGCTGCTAGGGTAGTGTCCACTTCATTGTTGATACTTGAACCACTCCACCTTTCACTTCCCTAAATATGTTGGGTTTTCAACGATCCCACCTTTCTCTTCCCTAAATAGGTTGGTTTTTGTAGGGTAAGGTGGAAGGAAGGGCAAGGAATTTGGATTTAATCTGTAGGCAAAGGAGAACTATTCAATTTTAACCCGTAGTCATGATAACTATTAAATGGTTTGAACAGAAGAATCACATAATCAAAGGGGTATTTGGAAGAGTGAAGACAAATTCAAGTGGTTTGCATGCTTTTAAATGGCCACAACTCCTAGCTAAGCAGTTGACACACCATCTCCACTGCTTCATGCTTCTCTTTAGCAAATAAAAATCTGAGCTTCCCCGACTGGGTGCGGTGGCTCACACCTGCAATCCCAGCACTTCGGGAGGCTGAGGTGGGCGGATAACCTGAGGTTGGGAGTTCAAGACCAGCCTGACCAACATGGAGAAACCCCATCTCTACTAAAAATACAAAATTAGCTGGGTGTGGTGGCACATGCCTGTAATCCCAGCTACTGGGGAGGCTGAGGCAGGAGAATCGCTTGAACCCAGGAGGCAGAGGTTGCAGTGAGCTGAGATTGTGCCATTGTACTCCGTCCTGGGAAACAAGAGCAAAACTCTGTCTCAAAAAATAAAAAATAAAAAATAAATTGAGCTTCCCCGAACAGCAGTTCATAACACGGCTTATTTGTGATTCTTTATCAGTTTATGAACTCCACCCGCCCCCCCCCCCCCCAGGCAGCCTTTGGCCGGGAAACAGCCTTCCTCGAGACACACATCTATAAAATTTTAAAAATTGCCCACACATCATTAAAAATATATATATTAAACAGATGATTTATAGTCATTTAATACTTTACAAGTATTCAGACAGATTATGCTCTATATAATATTACCTTAAGTAGATAGACTATGCATAGGAAGTAGGGAATGCATTATATAATTCTGTCTTTCAAAGAAATTTATTGTATTGCGTTAGTAAAGCAATGGGCTTTAGGTTAGAACTTCAATTAATTACATGGGGCTTAATGATACAATAGTTGGCCAGGTGCAATGGTTCATGCCTGTAATCCCAGCACTTTGGGAGACCAAGGGGGGCAGATTGCTTGAGCCCAGGAGTTTGAGACCAGCCTGGACAACATGGTGAAAACCCTTCTATGAGAAAAATATTTTAAAAATTTAGCTGGTCTTGGTGGGGCGTGCCTGTAGCCCCAGATACTCAGGAGGCTGCAGGGGGAGGATCTATTGAGCCTGGCAGGTTGAGGCTGCGGTGAGCCATGATCACGCCACTGCACTCCATCCTGGGTGACAGAGCAAGACCCTTTTTCAAAATAGTAATAATAATATTAATAATACAATAGTTAATGGTATTGATAAAACTGGATTTTACTTTCATTCATTCAACATTTATTGATGGCCTCCTGCATGCTAGGTAGGTAGTACAGACCACAATGTGGCTTGGCTTGTGGCCTGATAGAAGGCTAGGCATCTCTGGAGAAAACACTTACCAAATCTGGGGATTCAAGTGTGGTAAGTGCTGTTGTGAGTGACTAGCACATGTTAGGTGCTGTGGAAGCCCAGAGGAGCAGCAGAGAGCTGATCAGTGCTGTTGCCTGGGGGCCTCCAGGGAAGGTTTCCAGGAAGTTGGCTTCCAGCTCTGTTTTGAAGAAGGAGCAGGAAAGATAGAGCTGCACAGGGGCCTTCTGGGCAGGGAGGGAAGGAGTGATGGGCAAAGGGAGTGAAAAGAGATGAGGCTGGGAATGTAGTCTGGGGAGGCCAGATTGCGAACAGCCTTATTTGAAATTGATGTTACAGGCGTCAACTCACAACCCCCACCTCATGATATTTAGTGGGCTTTTAAGTGTAAAATGTATGGATACAGACTCAGAGTAGAAATTTGGGAGATTCACTCTTGGTGGTGTACATTCTGTGGGTTTGGACAAGTGTATCATGACGTGTATCCACCATGGTAGTATCAGGCAGAGTCGTCTCATTGCCCTGCAAATTCTCTGTGGTCTGTGTTTTCATCCCTCCCTCTTCTCATATTCACTATGGTTCCATCTCTACATTTGAACATAGTGTATTTGAGGATCCTGGAGTCAATGGTGGTTAAATTTTAGTTTAAAGAGCTTGTTTTTAATTTTTTTTTTTTTTTGAGACGGAGTCTCGCTGTGTCCCCCACGCCGGAGTACAGTGGCGCGATCTCGGCTCACTGCAAGCTCTGCCTCCCCGGTTCATGCCATTCTCCTGCCTCAGCCTCCTGAGTAGCTGGGACTACAGGCGCCCGCCACCACGCCCGGATAATTTTTTGTATTTTTAGTAGAGATGGGGTTTCACCGTGTTAGCCAGGATGGTCTCGATCTCCTGACCTCGTGATCCACCCGCCTCGGCCTCCCAAAATGCTGGGATTACAGGCGTGAGCCACTGCGCCCAGCCGGTTGTTTTTAATTTTTGGGGCACCTCTTAACTCCCACAGTGAAGCCTACAGGAGGAATAAACAGAAGTATACCTCCATGTTGGTAATATACAATATTATCTTAGTTTACAGTTTTCAAACTGCTTTCTCTCACATCCCCTCAGTACTTCTGCACAAAAGGTAGTGACTATTGTTTCCATTTTACAGAGGAGGAAACAATATGGAAGTGACTAATTACTTGAAGATGACAGTGATGGTACTAGCACTCAGACTGGAGTCTTCTTCCTCCATTCTTGTGTTTTATTCATTATATCATGTTGCCTCTTGCTTCTGGAAGCATTAAATTGTGGGCCCTTCCAAACTTAAATAATAAAATAACACATTTGTGGGGTGGCATACAGTGTTTCCAAGAATATGCTGACTATATGTGTGTGTAAATTATATACAGTTTATTACGTATGTGTAAAGAATGTAGGTTGCAATACTAGAAACTTACACCATGATCTCTACAAGGTAGTGCTGGCCTTCTCTTGTATCACTGTTATGTTGGCTTATCACTGAAATGTTTAAATATGATCTTAATATTCAGACTATTACATGGAAAAATATAGAACATTCTAAACCTACCTTAAGTGACCCAAACTATTGGGCATGACCTTTAGACTCCTGTCTTTGCTGCTTTAATGCCCATTCTACTTCCCTTTCACTACATAGCAAACAGGCAATGGAATAGTGGTTCTGTCTTCCAAAGAAGTGATAATGAGCAACAATAAAAACTGTATCTAGTTTCTTTAATTTAAAAAATAATTCAAAATCTCCGTTGAAACTTTAAAAATGATATCCAATCAATAGTAACATTCTAGCCAAAAAAACTGTACGAGTGGCCAAGAGAACTGTATTTTAGGGATGTAAGTAAATGTAGACCAAGGCTTCCCAAGTGGCTTATTAAGTATAAATTCCAGTGACATCTGCTTACCATAGTACTTCATTGCCATGAGCACAAGGCTGCCTGGTAAACCAAGAGTCTTCATTTGGGCCACATATATCCCTTGTAGTCATGGCCTTCAGTTTCATGTGAAATTCAGTGTGAATATAAAAAATCCAGCCGTTATTGGAGAGTCTCTGATTTTACAGTGAGATTGTGTGTGTTCTTTCTCCTCCCACCATAATTAGTTGTTTAGTTGCTAATTTGTTTTTATTTTCACTTCTTTTTTTTCCTTTTGACTATTTTATCAGATGCGATTATTATGTCACTTCCTCTGGGCCACAGTATACCCAAATTCAGGAGTGATGATGATGTATTTTTAAAATGAACTTCAAATATTCTCATATTTAGTTGTGTATTGTAAGGTAAATTCACTTAACCCAATAATATTTTTATGTAGTAGATTCTATTCTGTTATATTCCTATTCCAGGAGGGATCCTAAAGTCAGTTTTATGAAAGAATGAATTTTGAATTTTGTGAACTTTTCAATTGATTTGAAGTCATGGAGACTCTGGGGTATTAGTAAAATTTAGCATAACAGAAATTTGTATTTCTGTCTTCTTTCAGAATGCTCACAGTTGTTGAATCTAGGAATGTTTGTTGTATTTAATTATTTGTTTTGACTGAAGAAATTTTATAGTTTGCATTACAAGAATAACTTGTTCTGAGAAAATCAAGCTGAATAATACTGATTCATGGCATGTAACATTGCTGTTGGATGGTTGTGAAACAGAAAACAGATCTCATTAAAAAAGGTTTCTCTAGAGATTGTTCCATATTTTCTCCCCTTTTTAGTATAGAAGCAACTGTTATTTTAAAAACAGTACTTTCTTCTCCCCCTCAAAACCACCACCATCAGAGAAAATGGATATGTTTACATTAATTGGCACTAAGTAGAAGAAAGGATCTGAAAGGCAGGCAGCCTGCTGGGGATCTCATGGGACTGGCTGTCCTTCAGAGAGGGTGGGCTGCTGAAAGGAGATTAACCTATGTAACTGGGCCTGGGCGAGTGTGAAGATTTCCCAGCATTTTACCTTATCAGGGATTCTGTTTTCTTCCAAGGCTTCCAGGTACCGATGGCACATTATTTTCTACCTGAAAATTAGAGTTTATTAAAATACCTCTAATTTGGCAGAGGGAGAAACTCCATTTGTAAAATCCCTTGAAGGTAGTGATGAAGCAAATTACTATAACATTTGGATAGGATTTTCCTTTATTGTGATAAAATATAAATAGTAATGCAATTTACCGTTTTAACATTTATTTATTTATTTTTAGAGTCAGGGTCTTGCTGTCACCCAGGCTGGAGTGCAGTGGTGCAATCATAGCTCATTGCATCCTCAGACTCCTGTGCTCAAGCCATCCTCTTGCCTCAGCCTCCTGAGTAGCTGGGATTACAGGTGGGTGCCACCACGCCTGGCTAATCAAAAACAACAACCACTTTTGTAGAGATGGGGTCTCGCTCTGTTGCCCAAGCTAGTCTTGTACTTCTGGCCTCAAGCAATCTTTCCACCTGGCCTCCCAAAGCCCTGGGATCACAGTCATGAACCACCGCACATGGCCTCATTTTCAGCATTTTTAGTCATATAGTTCAGTGGCATTAAGCACATTCCGGTTTTATGTACAACTACCACCCTATCCATTGCCAGAACTTTTTCATCTTCCCAAACTGAAACTCTGTACCATTTAAACAATAGTCCCCATTTTCCCCTTCTCTTAGCACCTGGTAACCTTCATTCTACTTTCTTCTCTATGAATTTCCCTATTCTAGATATTTCATATAAGTAAGTGGAATCATGCATCATTTGTCCTTCTGTGTCTGGCTTATTGCACTCAGCATAATCTTTTGAAGGTTCATCCACATTGTAGCAAGTGTCAAAATTTCATTCCTTTTTAATGGTTGTGTAGTATTTTATTGTATATATATAACAATTTGTTCATTCATTCATTTGTTGATGGATGTTTAGGTTGTTTTCACTTTTTGGCTATTGTAAATAATGCTATGAACATTGAGTACCTATTTTCTTGTTTTTGGTGTATAATTAGGAGTGCAGTTACTGGCTCACATGGTAATTCTACGTTTACTTTTTTGAGGCTCTCCCAGACTCTCTCCCACACCTGCTAAGCCATTTTACATTCTCATCAACAATGTGCAAATTTTTGCACATCCTTGATTTTTACACATTGTTGCTGACACTTGTTATTTTCTGTTTTGTTAACAAGAGCCATCCTAGTGGGTATGAAGTGGTACCTTGTGATTTTGGTTTGCACTCATTCCCCTAGTAACTAATGATGTTGAACCTCCTTTTATGTGCTTATTTGCCATTTGTATATCTTCTTTGGAGAAGTGTCTATTCTAGTGCTTTGCCTCTTTTGAATTGGGTGGTTTGTTTTTTGTTGTTGTTGAGTTTTAAGAATTTTTAAATATATTCTGTTAACTTTTTTCTTTTTTGTCTCAATTTCCTGGTGATGAGATATATTCTGGATGTGTATCCCTTATCAGAAGTATGATTTGCATAGAATATGGTTTTTAGTGAGGTATTTCTCGAGAAACTGCATTTTTTTCCATTTATTTATGTAAGTGTCTTTTCACATCTAAGATACTTACGTGGAATTCCATAACATACGGTCATATAAATAAAAGGAATAAAACATTTTTTAAAATTTCCTGTTTTTAAAAACCCACCAATTTTTGTTCACATTAATTTTAAATAAATCATGGTTAGAATAAAAGATACCTAGCCAGCATAAGAGATAACAGTCCAGTGTGTGATATAACATTCAATGACACAGCATTTATTCTTCAAATGAAATTTGAAGGGCCATTTGGCCTTTGTGGCTGTAGAAATTTGATCAGTGAAGAAAAATTAGCTGCCATTCCTTAGAGTCTTTGTTATTTTTCCCTTGGTGTTCTCCTTATTTAAAACTTTCGTTTGATTTAAGAGTTGTAAAGCATGTAGATTAGAAATAAGAATTTTCGTCCAGGCGCAGTGGCTCATACTTGTAATACTAGCACTTTGGGAGGCTGAAGCGGGAGGATTGCTTGAGACATAGCAAGAAAATATAGCGAGACCCTATCTTTATTTTCAAAACAATAAACAAAACTTTTAAAAAAATATAACAAAGGATATAAGTTTTTTTTTTTTTTTTTTTTTTTTTTTTTTTTTTTTTTTTTGAGACAGGGTCTTGCCCTTTTATCTAGGCTGGAGTGCAGTTGTACAATCTCGGCTCACAGGAGTCTCGAACTCCCCAGCCTCAAGTGATCCTCCCACCTCAGCCTTCCTAGTAGCTGAGACTATAGGCCTGCAGAGCCACACCTGGCTAATTTTTGTTTTTTTGTTTTTCGTTTTTGTTTTTGTAGAGATGGGGTTTGGCTATGTTGCCCAGGCTGGTCTCTTACTCCTGGGCTCAAGCCATCTGCCCGCCTTGGCATCCCAAAGTGCTGGGATTACAGGTGTGAGCCACCGTGTCTGGCCGGAAGTAATAATTTTTAAAACGGCTCCAGTTCTGCCTTTTCATATTGATATATTGATTAGTATTACTGAAAATCTGGCAGTAACTGTAACTAACAAAAGAAGATACTCAAAAGAAGTGTAAGACCTTTTGAACAGGATAAGAATGATTAAGATTTTCAGGAAGAGTGAATTACAACAGAGAAAGAATGGGAGTGGGGTAAAACAACCAAGTCGATTTCAAGTAATTAAAGTCTAGATGAGGGTTTCTCAACCTCCACTCTGTTGGTATTGGGAGCCCGATCATTCTCAGGACTGTCCTCCAACTTGTAGGATGTTTAACAGTATCCCTGACCTCTGCCCACTAGAGGCCAGTGGCACCTCCCTCCCCCAGTTACAACAACCAAAAATTTCTGTAGGCATTGCCAGATGTCCCGTGGGGGGCAAAATCATCTCCGTCTTCCCTCAGTGCTCAGTGTGATAATAGCCTGAGCTGAGTTCTGATGGCAGAATGGTGATAAAAGGATGAAAACAAGTGAAATCTCAAGTAAAGGAAAAGAAGAAAACTATCAATAATTAATATGTATTAAGCATCTACTATATCCTAGGCACCACTGGGTGCTATGCTATGGTCATTTAACATAAATAACAATAAGAATTTATTGAACACCTCTTTTATGGGAGAGATTGGAGCTACAGAAATGAGTAAAATACTTGCTGCCTTTAAAGGCTTTGTTGTTCAATAAAGAGACAAATGGACAATAAATTGTAGTTCCAAGTGAAAATAGAAATATGTACAAGGTACTGACTGAGAAGATAATTTTATTTGGGGGAGTCACAGAGTCCTGGGATGTCTGAGCTGTGGTTGAAGGATGAGTAGCAGTGTTGCCCCTTGGAGTGGGTTTTGCAGATGAGGTAATAAATTGCCTGAGGCAATGTATTTGCCCATGGCCTTTTAGTGGCTGAATTGAAGACCAAGCAGGTGGCAAAGCTCTCTCCAGACTGTCACTGCCGTCCAGGGAATAAAAGGCCCAGACCATAATTAAAGCTGGGATGATTGCATAGGGCAATTATACATTTTCCCTGAGGCTTGGATAGAGCGATTCGCACCTGGCAAATCCCAGCGCCGTGCAATTTTAGTGACAGTTTATACACTTCACATATTGTTGTAAATCATTATCCAGGCAAGGAAGATCAAGAGTCGCATATCTAACTCCCACCAGGTATCAGACTGCCTGCCAAGTTACATTGACGACACATTGTTGATTTTGAAAAAATCAAATAAGAGGTACACTTGCATCCTCTGCTTAACAATTTCTTTATTAACCAGCAGTAGGTGTGGTGTAATGGAACCTAGAAACAGATGGGACCATATGGCTTGATTTGTGGAGCGGCAATATATTGCTTAATCTCTTACATAGCAGTATTTGCTATGTAAGACAAATAGTTATTCAGTGGCAGTTTACATAATATATATTAACAGTAGGGTGCTCTTTGGATTTCCATAATTATTTATATTTTAAATATTTTACATTGGAAAAGTAAATAGTATGCATCAAAGAAAATTACTAATGAGTTTCTTAAGCTTTATCACGTGTGCCCTGTAATTCTGCTTTTTCTTCACTGCCTTCTGTTCCATTAGCAACAGTAATGTTCAGACTTGCTGATGTGGCTGCCAGGTTATTTAATTTGACTAAAAGTGATGTGTGATAATTGTGTTTATTTAAGATTTTGTTCAGAATGTTTTTAAAAAGGTCACTATGTTACTTTTGCATTATATATAGTATGACTGTAAAATTAACTTATCTAGAAGAATTACTTGTATACACTAAAAGTTTTGGAGACTTTTGAGATTAGATGCAAAAGCTATTTTCTCTCTCAGTTCAAAGAAAACAATTCATTGTTATTCATTCCATTTCATCTTACCTGATGTTTTATTTTTGAAAAAAATGTTTAATGTGATAGTTACTGATTTTTAGTTTTGGTACATTTGAAATACTAAAGACTGACTTGCACACAATAGCTGCTGCTGTTTGCTCACTCTGCCATTGAAGCCTGGAAATGGCCCCTCCAGGCCGGGTGTGGTGGCTGACGACTGTAATCCCAGCACTTTGGGAGGCCGAGGCAGGTGGTTCACGAGGTCAGGAGTTCAAGACCAGCCTGACCAACGTGGTGAAACCCTGTCTCTACAAAAAATACAAAAATTTGCCTGGTGTGGTGGCGCGTGCCCGTAATCCCAGCTATGCAGGAGCCTGAGGCAGGAGAATGTCTTGAATCCGGGAGGAGGAGGTTGCAGTGAGCTAAGATGGCGTCACTGCTCTCCAGCCTGGGTGATAGAGCAAGACTCTGTCTCAAAAAAAAAAAAAAAAAACCAAAAGAAAAAAAAAGAAAGAGCCCCTCGGCACTAGAGCCCAAGGTCTAGGCCTCCCCTCCTCCCTGCCATGTAAACTCCTCTTTGACAGAAATTACTTAGCCATGGTATTTTCTTCCACGCTTCTTATACTCCCATCCTCACGCTTATTTCAGCTGTGGATGACTTTATCTTTTCAGGAGCCCACTCATTCATTTAGCAAACATCAAACACATAATATGTGTCAGGCTCTATTCTAGGTGCTAGGGTACAGTGGTGAACAAAATGGACAAACGTCCATATCCTAATTGAGGCCGTATTGTGCTAGGGAAAGAAACAATAAATAATTTTTAAAAAGTAAAATACAACACAACATTGAAAAAGAAGAGCAAGGCTGGGTGCGGTGGCTCACGCCTGTAATCCCAACACTTTGGGAGGCCGAGATGAGCGGATCACGAGGTCAGGAGTTTGAGACCAGCCTGGCCAACATGGTGAAACCCAGTCTCTACTAAAAATACAAAAAAAAATTAGATGGGCGTGGTGGCGGGCACCTATAGTCTCAGCTACTTGGGAGGCTGAGGCAGGAGAATCGCTTGAACCCGGGAGGCAGAGGTTGCTGTGAGCTGAGATTGTGCCACTGCACTCCAGCCTGGGTGACACAGTAAGACTCCATCTCAAAAAAAAAAAAGAAGAACAAAGTTGAAGGACTCGCATTTCCTAATTTTAAAACTTAACTACAAATATACAGTAATCAAAATAGTGTGGTATTGATGTAAGAATAGACATAGAGATCAATGGAATAGAATTGAAAGTCCAGAAATAAACCCGAACATCTGTGGCCAATTGATTTTTGACAAGGATTTCAAGACCATTCAATGGAAAACAGTCCAGTTCTTTATTCAGTGGAGAACAATGTCTTCAACAAATGGTGCTGGGGCAACTACACAGCCAAATGCAAAATAATAAAGTTAGATCCCTACCTCACACTAGATATAAAAGTTGACTGAAAATGATCAATAACCTAAACATAAGAGCTAAAACCATAAACTTTTAGAAGAAAACATTGGTAAATATTTATAACCTTGAATTTGGCAATAGATTCTTAGGATACCAGAAACATGAATAACAAAAGAAAAAGATTTCATCAAAATTAAAAACTTGCATGCATCAAATGACATAATGAAAATAAAAAGACAACATACAGAAAAGGAAAGAATATTTGCAAATCATGTATCTCAGGGTCTATATATCCACAATATGTAAGGAACTTTTAACAATGCAACAACAAAAATACACACAACCCAATTTTAAAGTGGGCAAGGGACTTGAATAGATATTTTTCCAAAGAAGACATACAAATGGACAGCAAATTTGCTCAGTATCATGAGGCATTAGAGAAATGCAAATCAAAACCACAGTGGACCGGGCACAGTGGCTCATGCCTGTAATCCCAGCACTTTGGGAGGCCGAGGCAGGGAGATCATTTGAGGCTAGGAGTTCAAGACCAGCCTGGCCAACATGGCAAAACCTCGTCTGTACTAAAAATACAAAAATTAGCGGAGCATGGTGGCACGTGCCTGTAGTCTCAGCTACTTGGGAGGCTGAGGCAGGAGAATCACTTGAACCTGGGAGGCGGAGGTTGCAGTGAGCTGAGATCGCACCATTGCACTCCAGCCTGGGTGACAGAGCAAGACTCTGTCTCAAAAAAAAAAAAAAGGCCCAAAAAACAAAAAAGAAGCCAAACCCACAGTGATATATCACTACATATCTACTAAGATGCTATAATAAAAACAGAAACAGTGAAAAATAACAAGTGTCAGTGAGGATGTAGAGAAATTGGAATTTTCATACGTTTCTGATGGGAATGTGAAGTGGTTCAGATGATGTGGAAAATAGTGTGGCAGTCTCTCAAAAAGTTAAAAGTAAAATTACTGTATGACCCAGCAATTCCACTCCTAGGTATATGCTCGAAAGAACTGAAAACAGCTACTCAAACAGATACTTTTGCACAAATGTTTATAGCAGCACTATTCACAATAACCTAAAGGTGGAATATGGACTATATCTATCAATTGTTTATACACACACAAACACACACATATATGATTCATCACACATAGTTTATGGTTTCATTTATGTGAACAATTCAGAATAGGTAAATCTATAAAGACAGAATGCAGATTGGTGGTTGCCAGGGTCGATGGGGAGGGAAGAATAGGAAAAAACTGCTGAATGTGTATAGGGTTCTATTTTGGAGTGATCAAAATGTTTTGGAACTAGGTAAAGGTGATGGTTACATAACACTGTGATTGTGAACATATTAAATGCCACTGAATTGTTCATTTTAAAATGGGTGATTTTATGTTACGTGCATTTCACTTTAATAATTTTTTTAAAATAAGTAAAATAATTTACATTTATGTGTGTGTGTGTGTGTGTGTGTGTGTGTGTGTGTGTGTGTGTAGTCATAATGATAGTTTTAGTGGTAAGTCCTTTCGGGAAAAATAAATCAGGAAAGGTTGATAGTAAGGTAGGGGTGGTGGGGGTTTGCAGTTTAAAATAAGATAGTCGGCCAAGCGGGTGGCTCATGCCTGTAATCCCAGCGTTTTGAGAAGCTGAGGTGGGTGGATCACGAGGTCAGGAGTTCAAGACCAGCCTGACCAACA
Organism: Homo sapiens; assembly: GCF_000001405.40. Taxonomy (NCBI): domain Eukaryota; kingdom Metazoa; phylum Chordata; class Mammalia; order Primates; family Hominidae; genus Homo; species Homo sapiens. The sequence continues at coordinate 36,900,481 of NC_000013.11, read as the reverse complement.
TGGTGAAACCCCATCTCTACTAAAAATACAAAAATTAGCTGGGTGTGGTGGCATGCGCCTGTAATCCCAGCTACTCAGGAGGCTGAGGCAGGAGAATCACTTGAACCTGGGAGGTGGAGGTTGCAGTGAGCAGAGATCACGCCACGGCACTCCAGCCTGGATGACAGAGTAAGACTCCATCTCACAAAATAAAAATAAAAATAAAATAAGATAGGGAAGGCTTCACTAAGATATTTGAGTAAAGTCCCAAAGCAGATGAGGGCAGCAGCCATGTGTATACTAACATGAAGAACGTTGGAAAAACAGTAAGTGCTTTGAAATAGTTGCATACTTGGTATGTTTGAGGGAAAGTAAGGAGGCATTTGTGGCAGGAGTAGAGAGAGCAAGGGGGAGAGTAGAAGGAAAAGAAGGCAGGAAGGTAACGGATTCATGCTCAAGCAGGATCATTCTAATATGCCACCAGTACTGAGAAGTAGTGGTGTAGGACCTTGCAGGCCATTGTAAGGCTTCTGGCTTTTACTTAGAGTGAATCAAACCTTTGGAGAGATTGGAGCAGGGAAAGATTGTGACCTGACTTATGTTTTAATTGGGCCAACATGGCTGTGGTGTTATGAATAGAGGGACTAGTGTAAAGCAGGGAGACTATAGAAGGCTACTTTAATAATTCAATGAAATGTTCTGCTTCTGCTTTTCACATACTACACAATCTCATCCAAACTAGTTTCCTTTTCCCCTCATATGCTGATAAATTTAGGATTCCATCCTTCAGTTCAGCCTCTTCTTTGAGCTCCAGACCCTGAACCCACCTACCAACTGAATTCCATTTTGATATTGTGCTTCCCCCAACTCTCTATCCAGCTCACTACCTCAGACTCAGTAAATCCAAGATGGATGTCTTTGCATCTGTGTTACCCCCGACTTCATTTAGTTCCTCCTGAATTTGTCATTTTCATGAATGGCATGCTCAGGTGCCCAAGAAATCTGGACTCTTCCTACTTTATTGATTCCTAGTCAATAGTCAAGATTTTGCCATATTCTACATACTTTTTCATGTAAATTTTAAAATCACCCTATCAACATATACAAAAAAGTACTGCTAGGAATTTGGTCAAAATGGCATGGAATCTGTAGATTGATTTGGGGAGAACTGAAATCCTAACATTATTGATTTTGCACATCCATGAACATGGTATATTTCTTCATTTAATTTCTTTCTGCAGTGTTTTGCAGCTGTCATTTTCGAGTTCTCCCTCCACCGCCCCACCTTTTTTTGGTTAAATTTATTTCTAAGTGTTTTATGGTTTTTGAGCTATTGTAAATGTTTTCACTTTTTAATTTTCCATTTGTTTTCTGCTGGTAAATAGGAATGTAATTGTTTTTGTACATTTATCTTGTATCCTGCAATTGCTAAATTCACTAATTAGTTTCAACAGTTTTTTCAATTTTTTTTTGGTAGATTTCTTTAGGATTTCCTTACTTTGTTCTTTCTGTTGCCTGTGAATACAGAAAATTTTTCATTTCTAATCTTTATGCTTGTATTTGGTTTTGTTTGTTTGCTTTATCGCACTGGCTAGGACATCCATACAATCATGAATAGCAGTGGTGAGAGTAGATTTCTGTACTTTGTTTCTAGTCTTAGGAGAAGTATTCAGTATTTCACCACTAATTATTATGTTAGCTATAGGTTGTAGTTACCCTGTACAGATTGTGGAAGTTTCCTTCTATTTCTAGTTTGGTGAGAATTAATAATTTTTTAAAACTCATGAATGGGTATTGAATAGTGTCAAATGTTTTTTTCTGCATCTATTAACATGATAGTATGGCATTTCTCCTTTATTTTGTTAGTATGGTGAAACATGCTAATTTATTTTCAAATTTAATACCAGTTTTGCATTTCTGTGATAAACTTCATTTGGTCAAGATGTGTGTTAGTCCTTTCTATACTGCTGGGTGTGATTTGCTAATATTTTGTTAAGGATGTGTACATCTGTTTTTCTGAATACTATTTGTGTTTTCTTTTTTTTTCTAATATCTTATAAGATTTTTGCATCAGGGTCATGCTAGCTTCATAAAATTATTTGGGAACTGTTTGCTCCTTTGTATTCTTAAGAGTAGGTGTATAATTTCTTCTTTAAATGTTTGATAGAGCTCTCCAGTGAAACCATGTGGGCCTGGTGATTTTTCCTGGGAAAGTTTTAAATTGTGAATTCAATTTCTTTAATATATTTAAAGCAGTTCAAATTTTCATCTTTCTGTGTAGACCAACTATGTTACCTACCCCTAATAAGGGTAACCCACACCCTTATTAAGACATAGGACATTTCGGCCGGGTGCAGTGGCTCACTCCTGTAATCCCAGCACTTTGGGAGGCCGAGGCGGGCGGATCACGAGGTCAGGAGGTTGAGACCATCCTGGCTAACACGGTGAAACCCTGTCTCTAATAAAAATACAAAAAAAATTAGCTGGGTGTGGTGGCGGGCGCCTGTAGTCCTAGCTACTCGGGAGGCTGAGGCAGGAGAATGGCGTGAACCTGGGAGGCAGAGCTTGCAGTGAGCCAAGATCGCACCATTGCACTCCAGCCTGGGCAACAGAGCGAGACTCTGTCTCAAAAAAAAAAAAAAAAAAAAAAAAAGACACAGGACATTTCTGTTACCTTGGAATGTTTCCACTAATGAACTTTGGGTAAATAGCTCCTTGTAAGTCATGAACTGCATGAATTGAGCAATTATAACTGAAAATGCAAATGCATTATACCTTTTTTACCCAATCAAGTAAGAGTTTTCATTAGCAGTTTTCAAAAAAAATAGGAATTTTTCTACATTTTGTTTTTATGAAAAGCAGGTTATCAAATTCTGCATTATTATTTTTTATTTAGGAAGATGTTAACTTTCTAATTTCTTCTGAAGATATCCCACATTTTGTCAGTTGATGCCAGTTTTCAAATAGACAGTCATGAATATATTGTAGATTTCATGTACTGTGGGAGAGTCTCTTGTATAGCAGGTTGAGCTTAAGCAGAAAGGGCTTTGCCACAGTATGGAACACTATGAAGCAGGTACCAAGAATGAAGTAGATTTATGTCCTGGTAACAGAAAATATCCTCAAGCAAGTTGCAGAATGCTTGAATCTCTTTAAAAATTCAAACTAATGCTATATTTTTTGTAAGGACTTTAATATGTAAAGATATGCAGAGTAAAATATCTATAAATAAGTCCAAGCTAATTTGAGTAGTCACATCAAAGAGTGCATAAGGGTTTGGGAACTGTGGGTGATGGTCAGATGAGATTTAACCTGATTATAGAAGTTTGAATTTTCATAATAATAGCACATTACCATAGAACTTATGTAATTAGAACTGTGAAGGCCTGTAGCAGATTTACTGATGACTAGAGGGAAAATGCCTCCAGATTTTGTTTTTGTTTTTGTTTTAGCAGTTACTTTGAAGCTGTTGAAAACCAGCTCATAAAATCTACACATAGAGTGTTCTAAATCTGTTTTTTTTTTCAAATTATGGCATAAGAAAGTATTGCAAGTAAAGTTCAAATGCAACTTAGGATTCAAATAAAAGTTGGATATTACTCTTGCTACCTCAAAACTTTAAAAACATTAAGTACTTAATAACATGAAAATGCTTGGAGTATACCATTCATTGAAATAGGCAGAATATAAGATATATTTATAAATGAATTATTTAAAAAAGTTTATTTAGAAAAAATACACAAAAATGTTGGTAGTGATTGGTTTCTCTGGGTGGATAAACAGTGGTTATTTGAGCCGCCTTTTTTAGGAACTTTTCCATATTTTTCTATTTTTTTTGGCTTGTTTTTCATTCACACAAATTTCCGAGAAGGGAAGAGAAGAAAGAAAATTCTTAGCATTTACAAGCATGCTACAGGGAATTCTGGTGCTTTTTAACAGGAGAATGGTAGGATCAGATATGCATTGTAGAAGTCTGGCAATTTGTAGAAGAGATTTGGGAGGTCTGGAGGGAGATCAAGAAGATGGAGAGGAAGAGTTGTTTTTGAAGGATGTTTAGTAAATAAAAAATCGGCCGGGTCTGGTGTCTCGCACCTGTAAGCCCAACACTTTGGGAGGCTGAGGTGGGTGGATTGCTTGAGCCAAGGAGTTCGAAACCAGCCTAGGAAACATAAAGAGACCTTGTCTCTACAATAAATCCAAAAATTAGCTGGGCATGGTGGCATGTGCCTATAGTCCTAGCTACTCGGGAGGCTGAGGTGGGAGGACTGCTTGAGCCCGGGAGGCAGAGGTTGCAGTGAGCCGAGATCGTGCCACTGCACTTCAGCCTGGGCAAAAGAGTGAGACCCTGTCTCAAATAAATAAATAAATAAATAAATAAATAAATAAATAAATACTCAACAGGATTGGCAACAGGGTGGGTGGGAGTAGAATGAAAGAATAAGGGAGAGGTTAATTTTCCGCCTTTTACATTTGTCATTTTAAAACTAAGTCTTTTCAAATCTATTTTGTAACTGCACATTACTTCTGATTTAGGTAACATAAATAGGAAACTGCAGTTCTTCTCTTTCTGTGACAATAACTTAAGTCTCTGCTTAGGTGGAAATCCCAATTTCAGGCTGACTTGGAAAATACTATTTATTTCAAGTAGATTAATATCTGAATATAAAAACTATGATGCAAATCCTTCTAATGTCTTCAACCTGAGTAACTTCACTGGGTAACAGTCCCTAGGCCAACTTAAAAAAAAAGCACTGAATTTCCTATGCCTAGGATTCAAAACTTAATCTGTGTGCAGCCATTAGCAAAGCAATTTCTCTCCAAATATTGAAATTCACATTGAACACATCTTTCTCTGAAATTCTGCTTAATTTCTATTTAACAATTACCCAAATCTAAAAGATCTTGTGATTATTGAGCAGAATCAGGATTTATGCTATATCAGTGGTTCTCTACAGAGGGTGACAGGAGATATTTGACAATGTCTGGAGACATTTTTGGTTGTCATCACAATTTGATGGGAATGTGTGCTACTGGCATCTATAGGTGGAGGCCAAGGATGCTGCTAAACACCCTGTAACGCACAGGACAGCCCCTCCACACAAATCTAGCCTCAGATGTCAGTAGTTGAGAAACCTATGCTAGTTGAGGTTGAGAAACCTATGCTAGATCTTTAGATCGATACAGAGATGCAAGTGAGCTCATGTTTTAGTAAGAGACTAAGGGGTTTCCTCTTAGTCATGTCTAAGAGGTTAGGTATATCCACATCACAGCGTTGTTTACAGTTAAGGAAATCATTGGTACATATGGGTATAGAAATTTGGGACTCATTAGAAAAGGGGTGACCTGGGAACACTGAGGAAGATGTAGATTTGAGGATTTAGGGTTGATGGAGTGGTGGAGGAATCTAACTGGTTAATCTAACCTAAAGCTGACAGGTGCTGGCTGGAACTGACTGCCGGAGATTGAGGTGAGTGCTAAGTAAATAGGCAGTTTGGAGCCCCTCACTACCAAACAATTCGGGAAAACTGATAGCCCTCCTTGCCATGGAAGCGAAGGAGAGTGTGACATAAGGGAATTTGTCATAAATCATGGCCAAGTAGTGTTCTTGGGGTGTGAGATGTTTCTACAAGGGCTAGTTCACTGCTGTCTTTTTCATGGCATCATTTGCATTTCTCAATGAGATGTCACTTGGGGGCTAAAGGAACCACAGGCTCCAGGGGAGGTGGGGTTCTCCACTGGGACCTCAATCAGCATGATGCCACACAGGATAAGTGACATATGATAAGTACAAAGCATCGGGCAGGGGATCAGGAGGACTCCATGGAGGTGACTGGACCTAAAAGAGGGGAGAGGAAGAGGTCAGGAAGCAGAAAGACAGGAATGAAGATACGGAGCCAGGAAAGAGTTTCTAGTCTATAACGAATAATTTCATTCTTGGGCTACTCATTAATTGTTCCATGTGTTAGTTTTGTAACTTTATGAGTTGTTGTATTAGTCTGTTCTCACACTGCTGGTAAAGACATACCAGAGACTGAGTAATTTATAAAGAAAAAGAGGCTTAATGGACTCGTAGTTCTGCATGGCTGAAGAGGCCTCACAATCATGGTGGAAGGCAAAATGCATGTCTTTCATGGCGGCAGACAAGAGAGAATGAGAGCCAAGCGAAAGAGGAAACCCCTTAGAAAACCGTCAGATCTCATGAGACTCACTACCAAGAGAACAGTATGGGGGAAACTGCCCTCATGATTCAATTATCTCTCACCAGGTCCCTCTCACAACATGTGGGAATTATGGGAGCTCCAATTCAAGATGAGATTTGGGTGGGGATGCAGCCAAACCGTATCAAACCATAGTGGTTGCCCAATAAATACTGTTCTTAACATTCTTATTCATTGTTCTAATGCTATTCTAGTTATGGATTAAAATTCTTATTTTTTCTTAATCTTTGAACTTTTGTTGAACTTATATCTGATAAGAAATATTGTTAACAGCAGGGACCATGTTATATAAAATTGTCTAGGATTTTGTTTTAAATTAAAATATTTTATTTTGTAATATTTGATACATTCAAAAGAATATGTAGCACACTTATAAAAATTATGGAATATTATAATAATACAACATATAATATAATATGACAGTATAACATACTAATGCCACATCTTCTTGTTGGGCTACTCCCCTGCCTTCTGCTCAGAAGCATTAATTTCTGAATTCTGTGTTTTTATTGTCTTGATTTTTAAAATGAAATTTAATCACATATGTATCTCTAGGATATTTAGTTTTTATTTCTTTTTAAACTAAATGATTTCATACTCTATGTCATCTTCTAGGCTCTGCTGTTTTTCACTAAATGTTATATTTCTAAGATTAATCTTTGTGGATATCATTAATATGTTTTTATTACTATATGAAATTCAATTGTAAGATTATTTCGTCATTTATTCATCCTCTAGTCGATGGATATTTGGGTTATTTCCAGATTTTTGCTTTTTTGAGTAATACTGCTATGAATATTCTAGTATGTGCAGTGGTTTCTTTATGTGTATATATATATATATTTATATTTATATTTATATATATATCTGTGAAGGGGGAAATATATATATATATGTACAATAGTTTCTTTAGGGAAGTGGCTTTCAATTTTTTTAAAAAAACTATGATCCAGTAGGACATATACACAAATACCTCTATTCATCTCTTCAAAAACTTCAAGAAGTAGAATTTTTCCCCACTATCAACAATGACTGATAAAATCTAGTCCATTTTTTAAAATGCTGGTTGAGATCCAATGAATTGGTTTCATTAATCATTTCTACCTGATGTTTGGAAACTAGCCTAGGTTATATACTTTGTTGTGGAATTGCTATGTCTTATAATATACAAATTTCAACTTTACAAGATAATGGCAAATTATTTCCACAGTTCTTGAACCAACTATTTCTATAAATTCTTATTATTCACATTCTTATCAACACTTGCCAATCCAGACCAAATTTAAGTTTTCTACAAGAAGTCTATTAAGTTAGTAAATTATATGAAGATATTTTAATGATTTTTACCTATGTTCTAATTTTATAACTAAACATTTCTGGCCCAAAAAAGTGCCAGTGTTTCTAGAAGACTGGAGAATGCTGAGTTGTCCTTCATTCTGTTTGAGATTTTGCATAGAATGTCTTCACATTTTCTCTTCTTAAAAGTACTTCTTGCTTGTTATTGTCTTTGCTTTGCTGCTCAAGATTACAGCTATTGATCTATCTCAGTTGTGGCTTTGTGCTGGATTATTTTAAAGTTAAGCATCACTGATAAGTTATCTACTTAGTAAAACTTAAACCTACTGAGAAAACAGCTCCGTCGTTCCTGATGTAGTCCGATCCATTTCACTCTCAGAAGACTGGAATGTTTATGGACAGTTGGTGATGTCAACTTTAAAGGACAAATGATGGTTAAATTTATACAAGCAGATGGTTTAGTGGAAAATTTTGGTTGAGTTTGTCAAAATGTGGTTTTTAATATCTGAAGCGACACAGGAAGAACTTAGTGTAGTTAGTTTGTGGGCTTTGCCATAATTTTTAAGGTTGAGAATGTCTTTCCTGATACTTTCTTTGCACTTGCTAGGGTGGTGCTTTGATAGGCTGGTGTATCCTCTTTTGGCTTTTGCTGTGTTTCATGACTCCTTAGCACATAAAAATCTACTTGTTCATCTACATTCAGTGACTAAATTGACATAGGAAGAATTTTTGCTCTGCACGATGACCAACTTCATTATTCATGGGATATGTATCCTCCGTGACTTTGTAAGGTTCTTTCCTTAATCTGTCTGACCTGAGTGGCTCCAGTTTAAGTTTTCAAGTCAGTGGTACAATGAAGCCTAGTCACCCATTAATACCATTTTATGTACATTTCAACAATACTACCATCGTCATTGACAAAAATATTTCAACATGGTCTTGTACTCTGTCATTTTCTGTGTGTTTTTCTGGCTTGAGAAGGTACAGAGCTCATTACAATGGATGAGCTCACCCTTACTCCAGGACAGATTCAGTTTTTGGTTTTGTTTTGTTTTTAATTTCTGAAATTCTTTCCCAACCTTAAGAATCTAAACTGCAAATCTAAAGAAGTGCTTGTTTGTGTGGTGGGACTGTAGCATTTAACAGATGCCAGATGGAAGGAGCAGACGAATGATAGTGCAGCAGGATTAGGGCCTAATTGTTGTCATTTCCTCAGTTACACCATAACTGCATTTTCAGACTTCCACCTGGAGAAAAATATAGCAAGTTGGATTAGCTTGAGCTTATGCCCTAGGATCCATCCAGCTCTGACCTAGGGAACCGGGAAGCTGTCCTGTGGGTGCCAGTTACAGATTCTGGGGCTTACCAGGCCGGGTGTAATGAAGAAAATACATTACTTCTGGCCTGGCCCAGAGTTTTAGACTCTCTACAATGAGATCACTCTGTTGCCACCTATGTTTAAATAAAAACAATATAAAACAAAGCAACACATCTCCCCCTTCACCTAGTAAACCATTTAGTAAGGCCAGAAATAGCACCTCCCCAATATTTTATTACATGTTTAAGACTCTGAATATTTGAAGCAGGCTAATGGCATCATGACTTAGAGTTCTTATTCCTTAGGCAATGGAGATTTTGAATCTGGGAAAGTATAGCTCATGCCACAGCACCCAGTGCATGATAGAGTCTCAATAAATACTTGTTGACTGAATCAAAGAATGAATGAAAGTGTTGAGAAGTATATCAGGATAGCTTCCGCAAGGAGGTTTTAAAGGGCTTTTTAGAAATAATCTCTACTCCTAAGCACAAGGAAAGATAGTAACATGTTTTTAGTAGGACTAGGCAAAATGGCCATTCATTCTTCTTAGGATTTGTATTTCTCAGAGGACCAAAGCGGGAAGGAGGAAAAGTGAAAGGTCATTTGTTGGGTTTACCACCATGAACTACAGGCTGGAGTGAAGTTAATACATTTTCTAATAAGCCCCATAAAAGTGGCTTGTGAGTTAGCATATGAGAGATTCTGAATGAAAAATAGGGAACGTTTTGAAGAACATGCTCTGTAGTCTGTGTGGTGTGTCTGTGATGCACTGTTCCTGCTCTGCCACCAGCTCACATTCCTCCTGTTTTGGCTGAACTGCATTGATTTTGAGAGAGATGGGGTCATGGGGGTGTGGAGAGGGGAGAGTGGGGGGTGAGAGAAAGGGAGAGAGGGTACGAGTGCATACATGTGTGGTTGGAGGGGAGCTCATTTCTCTGGTTCCCAAGCAGGCATCAGAGTTTAAAAAGGGCATCCAGACTCTCCTGAGGTGACTTTACAACAATGAGAAGAAAGTTGAATGTGCCTAGTTACCTGCAAAACCAGTTTTAAACACCTACTTTAAACAAAGAGAAATATCTCTTCCAAATTCAAGCTAAGCTGTTCCACCTGGGTATTGTCTGATATTTAGAAAAATACAATTTATCTGTTTTCTGAAGGACATGCTGGGAACATTGAAAAAAACTGGTTCATTGACTACGTCAATAAAATATTACTTGCTGCATTGTTTACCAAAAAGCTGGAACAGTTGTATAATTCTTAAAGTTTTAAGGATGCTTGGTGTTTTGATGGGCAAAGAGTTATAAAGCGTCCTCAAAACTAATTTGATTTGTTTTACAGTTTGCTTAACAGTGATATTCTTCAGTGCCCTTCCAGAACATGTAGATGAAAAGATAAGCACAATGCATTTTAAAAGTTAGAGTTATATTTTGGAAGTAGAAATGTATATTGAGATCTCTTAATTTTACTAAAGGGTATAGATTTTTTCTGACCAAAAAATTGAATATGCCTTTAGAAAACAAAAAAGAAAGAAAAAAAATTAGATATGCCTTTCGAAGTAAAATTAGCAGTTACACAGCAAGAGCTTGGTGTAAATGTTCATTGAATAAAAGGATATTTATTCCTGAAAAAGCTGTCTGTGAATCAGATTTTTGTAAATTGAATCATATTTTTACATGTATTATGACTTATTTCATAAGACAAATAATCTTTCCTAAGTTTATATTTTTGATAAACTTAGATTTTCATGGGTCAGAATTGCTGGAGTAAGGACACCTTTTGATGTTGCATAAGATCTGGGGTATTCTTTTTGAGGTTGCCAAAGTATAAGAGGTTTGGTTCTTTTTAAGGGCAATCATTATTTACCAGATGATAAACAATTCAATAAAAATAGATTTCTAAGGATCTACATTTTGTAATTGATAATCATTCATGCTAAAATAGTTGGCCTTGATTCTGTTCTCCTTGAGAATGTGGGATGTTTTATAAACACATTAAGAGTTACAAATAGAGTAGGGCAGGAAGAATTGATTTCATTGTCAGTAATGTAATGATATAATTTTGTGTATACATAAAATTTCAATCAAAGCAGTCTAATAAAAATAAAAAAGCCTGTTAGAGGGAGATCTATATTAAGAATTGCCTTTAAGTAACATGGGCTGCTTTGTTCTATGAGTTAATGGCCCATTTTGCTTCTGTTTTCTCATTTGTCTGCTGAGTTCTTGCGATTTAAGTAGAGTTTTAGGACAAGTAGGAGCTCGTGATGAATGGATTGTCCCTGTTAGAAAGGTGGTCACTACCTGCTGTCTAACTGGAAAGTGCAAGACTTATCTTGAGCATGAAAGAAACATGGAGCCACATTTTAAAGTAAATAGCACACAACTTTCTGATGAATACAGGAAACCCAGTGTTCCTGTGGTCTTAACAAGAGCTGGACCAGAATATGTGGGCACCCCAGAGACACTAATCATATTATACTGCTTCAAAGCGTTTTGAGGAAGGGTGGGAAAAAATGAATCTTTGCTAATAAAACGTTTATTCAGAAATAAATTCAATTATGATATTTCTTCTGAAGCAGAATCAGTGTTTGGAAAGACAGTGGGCAACCTGTTTCCCACTCTTCTGCAGTCCTCTTCTCAATTTCCTATTGTGATTTTTCTGACTTGGGAGGCATTTTTCAGTTGATATAAAATGCAAACTGAAATGTCTTCCACCCTTCTTCTCCTCTGGCCATGTTCCCTTTCCAAAGGCAACAAATGTGGTCAGTTTCATGTGCGTCCTCTCTGGCACATGAAAGTGTTTTCCCTTCCTCTCTAAGCTATTATATTAAAAGGGTTCAAAGGACGATCAAGTTAATCACATCCTTTAGTAAAGCACACAAACACTCTGTATTCCCATTTCAGAATGTCTCCCCACTTCCTCACTTCCAGGTGCCAAGTGTCATGCACATCACAAAACATATTTAGGAGTGTTGTTTTTTCCCACTTGAGAGCACCGCCTACTTCCATCATAACATGATCAGTGTATGATTTGGGAGTTGATTGCAGTGATATTTTTGCATCTGTTATACATAAGTGCCCAAATACTTGCCTGGCTCTTCTGCCTCTTTATCCAGCTCTGGTCACCTTCTGTATCATAAAGGTGAAAAGAGCCCAGCAGTAAGCTGTATTAGTCCATTCTCACACTGCTATAAAGAAACAGCCTGAGACTGGGTACTTTATAAACAAAAGAGGTTTAATTGACTTCCAGTTTCACATAGCTGGGGAGCCTCGAAAGGGAAATTTACAATCATCGCAGAAGGTGAAGGGGAAGCAAGGCACATGTTACATGGCAGCAGGAGGGAAAGAGAGAAGGGGGAAGTGCGAGACACTTACCAAACAAGCAGATCTCATGAGAACTCATTATCACGAGAACAGCAAGAGGGGAATCTTCCCCCATGATCTAATCACCTCCCACCAGATCCCTCCCTCGACAAGTGGGGACTACAGTTCAAGATGAGATTTGGGCGGGGGCACAGAGCCAAACCATAACCGTAACCAACTCTGGTTGCAGGGTGAACACCCTGAAACAGCAGTGCTCATTTATTCTGAGAGTGGAGCTCCTTTTTCTGAAACTCCTCAGAGTGGGACCCTTGCAGTGGCTTTGTTGTCAGCCCTTCTGGCAGACGGGCCCCTGTTGGAGTTTGCCTTTTGTTTTCTATGCAGAACACACCTCTGCTTCCCCACACTGTGGCTACTTCCTACCTTTTCCTTGCTCCTCAAATCTGTCACCCCTCCTGCTGCCTGTCTCACTAACTTCTCTGCAACCTTGGAGTTTTCAGAGGGAACACCCTCATCATCCTGTGACCAGATAGACAAACCTGCCTGTATCTGCTCCCGTTTACTCCTCTTCCCTTCTGTTGTCCCACTTCTATCTTTTGCCACATGCATCTCTCCTTTTTATGGATAATCAGTAAAATGAGTAAGATTCTCTCCAGAAGCCTCATCTTTAAACAAAACACACCACACTGACCTTACCTTCCTAGTAACTACCACCTCTGCCAGGTCTCCCAGCTCTCTCATCTGTCCTTCTACATTGTTTTCTACTTGCTCCCCCATCTGATCTGTTCTCCATATAAGCAGCTAGGACGATCACTTAAAAATGATCAAGTCGGCCAGGCGCAATGGCTCACACCTGTAATCCCAGCACTTTGGGAGGCCGAAGCGAGCGGACCACCTGAGGTCAGGAGTTCGAGACCAGCCTAGCTAACTTGACGAAACCCCATCTCTACTAAAAATACAAAAATTATCTGGGTGTGGTGGTGTACACCTGTAATCCCAGCTACTCAGGACACTGAGGCAGGAGCATCACTTGAACCCAGGAAGTGGAGGTTGCAATGAGCTGAGATCGCGCCACTGCACTCCAGCCTGGGAGACAGAGGAAGACTCCATCTCAAAAAAAAAAAAAAAAAAAAAAAAAAGATCTAGTCAGATCATTTAACTTCTTTGCTTTTCAAACCCATTCAAACTGGACATGGTGGCTCATGCCTATAATCCCAGCACTTTGAGAGGCTGAGGCAGGAAGATCACTTGAGTCCAGGAGTTCAAGACCAGCCTGGACCTCGTCTCTACAAAAAAAAAAAAAAAAAAAAAAACCCATTCAAAGGCTCCCCTTTGCACTTTAGATAAAACCCATTTTCCATATGCTGCTTTCCAGCTCCAGCAGGACACTCGTGTCTTCTCTTGCCTCACTTCCAGCCACTCACACCCTTGCCCACTCTTCCTTGGCCACAGTTTTTCCTCCAGTTACCCAAATGCATGGAATTCTCTCCACCCCTGTGCCACCCTCTTGGCATTTTTCTCTGGAGGTCTCACTCTACAGCCCCTGGAGTGGCCGCACTTTCTCGTCCTCTTGATCTCATTGTCACCTCCTCAAGGGGTCTTCACCAGAAGTCCAAGCAGGTCCCTGGCCCCACAATCATGTTTGTTCCTGCATAAGATTTCATGGCTTGTTAATATTTACATGTTTCATATCCAGACAGTTTCTAAGCCCTGTAAGGGCAAGGGCCATGTCTGCTTTGCTCCCCACTGGGCAGGGCCTGACACATGATAGGCATTCATATCAGGGCCATTTGCTGAGATATGTGAATGAGTGAATGGAGGCTGACATGCAGCTCAGCTCGGATTTGTCCTTTCCTTTAGGAGACAGAGCCAACCTCTCTGTTGTGCTTCATGCCCCTTTAGAGCCACAACGTTTTGGAGATTGAGGAGATCTTGGAGGGCTTCTCTCTCACATATCCGCCATTTGGGCTCCATCTCCCATCCTCCTGCATTTCAGTACAGCTCAGGCCCAGCCTTGGATTCAGGGGGTCTTTTGCTGTCCGTCTCGCCTTGTCAGGGGACGCACCCATGTGGCTTTCCTCCCATGTCCTTTGGGAGCGGGATTATGGTGCAGTGGTTTAGGATGTATGGAGCCAAACTGCAGGGGTCTGAATCCTGGCTTACTAGTGGTGTGACCTTTACAAGATACTTAATCTCTGTGTTCCTTGGTTTCCTCACATGTCAAGTGGGGTTAATGAGCACATGCAGCTGTGACAGTGATTCGGTGAGTAAATGTACTTAAGGCACTTATCATGAAGATAGTCAATATGCGTTGGCCATCTGCCTCTCTCCCCTCTACGTTCTTCTTATGATCTCCATGCACTGTAATCCTTCCAGGCTCTTCCCAGTACCCGCATAGTGAGAACAGTCAGCTACTCTCTACAGTCTCTTTAGCTTAGTCCTCTTCTTACTCTTACTTTCTCCTTTTCCCCCTTTTTCTAATTCAGTGTTGTTGTTTTTTTAACCTTTTTGGGGTCACAGGCTCTTTTGAGAATTTAAAGAAGAATACCTATGGACTGTTGCCTTAGAAAAACTCAGTATTTGTGCAATCACCCAAAATGAGCATACAATTCAAATGTCCACAGATGCCTTGGAATCTCTCTACGGCCCCCTAGATAGAGCTCCCCTGTCTCTGTTGTCTTCTTTGGTGCTGTGGACCAAAGGTATTCCACCCAGAAAACTAGAACTGACCCTTCATGGATATTTAGGAAACCTCAGAATACAGCTAGAAAAGTCTCCTTCCAGAAGGTGAAATTATGATACCATTTCTATGTGTATCCAACTGCATGGTACTAAACGGGTATATGCATAAAGTGATTATGTCTTATAATACAGCTTATGATTGCTACTCATTTGGGACATATGGGAATGCCAGGCTACTTTAAGTGAGGACAAATTTGAATTAAATATACGTGTGTGTGTGTGTGTGTGTTTTAAGCCCAGTTTCTTCTCAAGTTGTACGGTAATAAGACATGATATATGTGTGCCAATGGTGATAATAACAGCCAGCTGTTTTCTAGATAGAAGTCCTTTTGGACATAGTTTTATACTTGTGTGTAAAGTATAAATAAGTTATTATAAAGTAAAATAAGCATTTATTATGGCTGTATTAATTACCAGTGTACAAAAAGTGCTGCAGAAATAGTCTAGATAACAATATGTTTCTTGGAGGGGATTAAATGTTCCTTCAGCAAATGTGTTCACTTTCTAAATTGGTTAGTAAACTGTCTTATAGATACCAAGGTATACTTAATGCTGGTCATGGATTAGCGGGTCAAAATTGATAAGTTTGAAAAATTAAAAGACAAAAACAAATAAGGAAATCATGATGTTTTATCGGGGTGATTGTTTCTGGACTAGGCCCTCGCAGAACAAACAAGTGCTCCCTGACCCCCTGGGCTGAGCGCATTGTGCACCCTGGTAGGTGATGGAGGCCTTGGCCACATTGACCCAAAAGCAGTGCCCGTGAAGGATTGCTCAAAGGTTCCATGTGCCCAGGGCTTAGGAATGCTCCATCTCAAACGGTGTTTTTAAAATTGTATTTTCTTCAGGATTAAAATCACCAACTGAACCTTCCAAGGAGACCAACTGAGTGGAAATCATCTTCAGTAACTGCTAATGGGAGCTGGATTTAAAACCGTCAACTTAAAGTAAAAAAGCTTATGTCTCCTGTACTGTTACCCAGCCGGGTAAATTGTTTTTTAGTGTGGAATCATGTACACTTAAATCATGGTGTATGCATGTGGTCAGCGCTGCTTTTCTTTTAAGTGGGCTTGTTTATTTAAGAGACTCGAAAATGAGAAGTTGTTTTCTTACTCAGTTGGGGTTTATTGTAAAACTCAATGCCAGAAAAAGAAAAAAGTACTGTTTTTATGCTGCAAGTGTGTGAAGTGTGTCCTTTCCAAAGAAAGGACAGTCATGGTGTTTTTTCTCTCTGCCCAAAGAAGGAAAGCTGTAAGGGCCAGCAGGAGGCTTTGTGGGGGATCTGGGCTTATGAACGCTAATCACGCACTGACCAATGGTTTCAAACACAGGAACGCCCAGTATATGCTTTTACTCTTATTCCTTTGCAGAAATTAATACTAAAATGAAACAAGTAGCTGGAGAGCAAAGTGGGAATTGGTTCATGTTGGTAGATGATATTTGTTATTAACAGGGCCAGTTTGATAGCGGTGTCAGAGTTGTTGTTTTGCCCTGCTCTGTGCTGTGAAGTGTCATGAGTGAAGGTCGCGCTCAGACTACTACAAGTAGTCCCAGTAGCATCAAAACAGCTGAGCAAGTCTTGAGATCCCATGTGACACATCCAGCCAACAGCCATGGAGTCCTGGACCCATCGCTCAGAAACACCCTTCCCTGGAGACTGAGCCTTGTCTTGATCTGCAAATGAGGAGGGGGTGAAGTCCAGAGAGACAGCATGACGTGCCTAAGAGCACACAGTTGATCTGTGACAGGGATACACGATTTTCTTACAAAAGTGAGACTATACCACACCAAAAAATCTTGGAAAATTATCCTAATCCACCACAGTTTATATTTTTATTTTTTGTTATTTTTATTATTTTTTGAGACAGGGTCTCTCTCTGTTGCCCAGGCTGGAGTGCAGTGGCACAATCATGACTCACTGCAACTTCCGATTCACAGGCTCAAGCCGTCCTCCTACCTCAGCCTTTCAAGAAGCTGGGACTACATGTACCCGCCACCACGCCCAATTAACTTTTGTATTTTTTGTAGAGATGGTGTTTCACCATGTTGTCCAGGCTGGTCTCAAATTCCTGAGCTCAAGCCATCTGCCTGCCAAAGCCTCCCAAAGTGCTGGGATTACAGGCGAGAGCCACTGTGCCTGGCCAGTTTATTTATTTATTTTTAACTGTGATTTAAATCCTTTTAAGTGCAGCCCAGTTATCCTCTCAGGAATCTTTCCAGACTTTCCGCCCCCTCAGGTTGGGCTCACTTATTGTTTGTTTCATTCTTCTTTGCACTTTTTGGAAATGTAGTAACTGAGAGAAATATTAATCGCCCCTCCTGTTTTTGCAACCAGTTTTTTTTTCAGTGAATGCTCTGAGGGTGCTCTGTTTTGTTATGGTGAACCTGGGCCGTGGAGTTATCAGGAGATGAGAGTAGGTTAGAGCTTAGAGTCTGTGGGCATTTCAGTTCTCTGACAATGGAAAGCTGTTCGGAGCCAGGTTGACACAACTGAATAAACTTACACTGTTAATGTCAGGGCGATGACCACCTGGAGACAAACAGGGAGGCCCTTTGTTCTACTAGTGGCTAAAACATTATAGGAATGAGAATGAATAACCTTTATGAACCCTAAAGTGCACTGCCTGGACAAATAGAAACAACCTAGACAAGGAAATGGGGTCTCTGCCATCCAGGCCGTAGTGTAGTGGTGCAGTCATAGCTCACTGCAGAGTCAAACCTCTGGGCTCAAGTGATCCTCCCACCTCAGCCTCCTGAGTAGCTGGAACCCAGGCTGTAAGCCACCACACCTGGCATGATTCATTTTTTACAATTAATTTTTCTATTAAAAATATGCCAAGCATACAAACAAGCATAGAAAATAATATTTTGAACATCTGTATACCCACCAGTCAGCCTAATTAAAATCTTTTCGATCTATTTCTAGCCTACCTGGAGGCCACTGTTATGAATTGGGTGTTTATCACTCTTGAAGTTCTAAGTTTAACTCTTTGGGGCCTCCCTCAATGCAAGGGCCTGTGTTTAATGGGACAGGAGTGGTATCTTGCAGCAGTAAAATCACAGTTTTGGAACTGTCGTGAGACCACTGTAATGATTTGAAATGTGTCAGTGAGATCGGTCTGCAGAGACCCGAGATGTTTCAGACCCTAGATTCATGACTAGTTGGGAATTCCCCAAGGGATGAGAAAGTGTGGTGGCCACTGAAGGTCACTCATCAAGGGAAACCTCAGACAGACAGTTTGAAGAAAAATGTATGGTTTAGGAGTAGTGCTTTTCAAACTTTTTTATTGTAACCCAACTTAACAAGTAAATTTTCCATTGTAACCCTGGACACATACACCGCACACACATACACACACACACACACACACACACACACACACAGCACATACCTGTGAATGAAAATTTTTCATGAAATGATTATTATTATACTTATTTTTCGTCAGCTGCTCTGCAATAAAGTCTGTTTTGTTTTGTTGTTTGTGCAAAAGCTGTTTTGTTCCAATTCATTGATTTCACATGCCATTGGTAAATAGAAACCCACAGTTTAAAAAAACGAACCAAACAAAACCTGGTTTAGGGAACTGTTGTTTCATGGAGCAAAAGTTTCTAAAAGGTGTATTTGGTTTAACTCGCTGAGTGTTTTTATAAAAAGCTTTTCTCTATGACTGACCTCAGCTTAAAGATCTATACCACAACTTACTAATAATGAGTTCCATGTAAAACTAAGCAGAATTCACAACTCTTTTGGGGTTCAGGTTATTCTATCATGAGACTTCTCCTTAAAGCTTCTAACCCTCTTCAGCCATTGCTTTAAGGCAGCCTGACTAGATTAAGTAAACAGAACTTGAACACAATGACTTAACTATACTTTATAAATTCATGATTGTTAAGCCACAAAATCAACCTTTCCAAATAAAACTGAGTGTAAGTCAAACTGCCAAGCGAAAAGAGCAGCTATGGAGCTCTCAACTCTCCCTTTTGTCATAGTTTATCTCTGTACAATGCCAGATAAAGCCCAGATGAGGAATAAAGTGATGTGACTATTGCTTTATACTTATTAAATCTCATCCGTTATTGTGGGACCATGCTGCCATCCTCCTCACCTGAGGTGCCCGATAATGATCACCCTAGCGGGGGGTTATAAGGCACCTTTGTTCGAAAGAAGTTTATAGAATTGGACTCAGAAAGGTACAGCTTGCCCTCCAGGGAAGCAAAGGAGAAAATTATATTTAATGCATATTAAACAAACAATTGTTGGAGATTATAAGCTACATCGATTCCAAGATCCCAAAATACTTGAGTCAGCTTACTCCAAAATGTTACCAGCCAGCCACTTTAAACATTAATGAGGTAGCTGGTTTCTAAAATCTGGAAGGAGGAGGAGGTTTTGTTTAAGCCAACTATTTCACAGAAGAGGAAATACAGTTCGACCTCAGGAAATTTAAATGAGACTGCTGAATAACTGGGAAAGAACATCTCCTGTGGATGACAGGGCAAAGAAGAATTAAGCTGATTTTAGGCCAAATAACAAATGTGACAGCTGTGCTTTTTTGTGTATGTATTGGTGTGTGATAGTGTATAATTTCTAGAAAAGCAGTTCTCATGCATTTGGGTCTTGAAAATTTCCACTTTTAAAAATTATTGAGAACTCCAAAGAACTCTTGCTTCTGTAGGCTGTATCTATCAATTTTTACCATTTTAAAAATTGAAACTAAGAAATTAAAAAAATATTGATTGAATCATTAAAAAAACTGTATTAACATAAAATATTTTTATTTAAAACATTGTTTTCAAAAAAGTTATTGAGAAGAGTATTATTGTTTTATATTACTGCAAATCTATTTAATACTTGGCTTAATAAATGGCACCTAGATTGTCATCTTTTCTCCATATACTCTATTGTGTTATGTTGTTTTGGTTGAAGTATGTGAAGCGAAGTTAGTTCACACAAATAAGTAATTGGAAAAGAGAGAACCTCATAGTCCCCTTAAAAGGATCTCAGGGGACTCCCAGGGATCCTTGGGGCACACTTTGAGAGCCACTGTCCTGAAAAGTAGTTTGGAAGACTATGTTAAGAATGGCTGTCCAGGAGTGGTGAGATTATTCACGATTCTTTTTTTCTTTTCTTTTCATTAGTATTTATTTTCTACAAGAAGATGGATTGCTTGTGCAAACTAAAAATGAGAAAGAAAGAACATACTCATGTTGAGGGCAGATTATGGAGGCCCTGGAAAAACCCAGGCAGAGGAGTTTACACTTGGGAGACCAAGGAGCCACTGTCATTTCTTAAATGGGAAAATGATAAGAGCTGTGTTTGGGAGTAAGTGAATTCGAATTGAAAGAGAGAAAGAGAGATGCTACTTCAGAGAAGTGGTGTGGTGAGTCAGACCTCAGGTGTTGGCAGAAATGGAGAGAAAGGACAAACTCCAAAGACTTTGAGGGCAGAATGACCTGAGACCTGGATATAGGAAATACAGGAGAGGGCAGAGTCAAAGACAACAGTTTTAAAATTAAAACATTTGAAGAATGTTTTTTCCCTTCTATCCAACTTTGGGGCCTGGTTCTGTTGCTCAGGCTGGAGTGCAGTGGCGCAGCCTTGACCTCCTGGGCTCGAGCCATTCACCCACTTGAGTAGCTGGGACTGTAGGTGTAGATTGCCTCTTTCTATCCAACTTCAACTTTTTCTGAATGTTACTCCGATTAAGCTAATTGAAGTCTTGTCGTGTTTTCCAGAGTTGGCCACCCTGTTCAAGGGCTTAGGAGAAAGTCAACACACTTCGCAACTTGAATTGGTCCCAGCTGCTCCCAGAAGAACGGGCGGGTTGGTCCCTATGCCACCCCTGGAGAGCTACTCGCCGCCCACTTTGCCGTGAAGGGCTGTGCGGTTCCCGTGCGCGCCGGAGCCTGCTGTGGCCTCTTATGCACTCCACCACCCCCATCAGCTCCCTCTTCTCCTTCACCAGCCCCGCAGTGAAGAGACTGCTAGGCTGGAAGCAAGGAGATGAAGAGGAAAAGTGGGCAGAGAAGGCAGTGGACTCTCTAGTGAAGAAGTTAAAGAAGAAGAAGGGAGCCATGGACGAGCTGGAGAGGGCTCTCAGCTGCCCGGGGCAGCCCAGCAAATGCGTCACGATTCCCCGCTCCCTGGACGGGCGGCTGCAGGTGTCCCACCGCAAGGGCCTGCCCCATGTGATTTACTGTCGCGTGTGGCGCTGGCCGGATCTGCAGTCCCACCACGAGCTGAAGCCGCTGGAGTGCTGTGAGTTCCCATTTGGCTCCAAGCAGAAAGAAGTGTGCATTAACCCTTACCACTACCGCCGGGTGGAGACTCCAGGTGGGTCGTCTTTACGACGTCAAGGTTTATTTTCAGAGTGAAGGTCGTGTGCCCCATTGATGGAGAATGATGGGGCACCAGCAGACAGGGACCTCTCCCAAAAGAGAGAGAGAGAAGAGAGGAGAGGGAGGTTCAGTTTTGAGGGACTCGTCCAAAATTTTGTTTCCCGGAATGAGGCAGCTGTCCAATCAAAGAAAGTTCCCATGAAAACGATATTCCTGCCTGGAATGCCACAGGAACACTCAATCCAAAGAGAATCGCAGTAAAACCCTGTTATAGCCAGTGTGAAGGAATGAAGATAAACTAGTCAGGAAAATCTAGAAAGAAGATATTTTCATTTGATTTCATTATGCTGGTAAGCTTTGTGTGATTTTGAAAATGAGGCAGATGGCTAATCGGAGAAAACTGCCATAAAAGTTTTATTTTGAGGTATCTGGGACAAGTCAACATAATCTTTTACCAGTTCTTGGGGTCCTGAAAGGTTTTAAAATGGCCTTGATAATGATGAGCTGTAAAAATTAAACATCCTCCTCCCCCCGCCCCAAACAACTGAACTGAACTGTACTAAACTGAACTAAGGCAGGGTTTTTGGCTGCTACTTTGTTCAAGTTCAGGTAAGTAGAAGATATCTCATGTCTAGGTCTGAAAACAGCCAATGAAAGAGTTGCTGGAAATCATTCCAGGCAGTTATTTTTAAAAATGGTTTTAAGTACAGACAGGTATCACTTAATGATGGAAATACATTCTGAGAAATGCATCAGTAAGTAATTTCTTCCTTGTGTGAACACCCTGGAGTGTACTTACACAAACCATGAGCCTGCTACACCGTTAGGCTATATGGTGTAGCCTATTGCTCCTAGGCTACTAACCTGCACAGCATGCTACTGTACTAAATACTGTAGGCAATCCTAACCACAATGGTATTGAATGTATATGAACAGATCTAAACATAGAAGAGGTACAGCAAAAGTACAGTATCATAATCTTGGGGGACCACTGTCTTATATTGGTCCCTCAAGCAAAACATGATTACACAGTGCATGATTGTATAGGAAAGTATCTTTCTAAAACCCTTCACACCCCTGTGTGTGTGTGTGTGTGTATGTATATTATATATATGTGTGTAAGAAATATGTATATATTTCCTCCTCCTCTTGGAGAAGCCTGGTGTTTGTCTTTGTTCCTTCACACTGGCTATAACAGGGTTTCACTGTGATTCTCTTAGATTGAGTGTTTCTGTGGCATTTCACACAAGAACACAGTTTTAGGAGAGCTTTCTCTCTTTGGCCATCTGCCTCATCCCAGGAAACCAAAGCGCTGGCACATTAGCTCAGGGAAATTGCCCATGTCCAGTGAAGAGATGGTCCTGTCTACGTAGGCAGGTTCACTTAACCTTAAAACAGTATCCAATAAGTGATTTATGCCCAGCCTACCTCAGTCTTAGCTAAGTGATCCTTCAAGCTCCCAGAACTTAACATCTACCTGTGTGTGGATGCCTCCCACAGCCCATTCAGGGACTGAGGCCCTGGCTGAGAAGGTATTAGAAGGTTCCACATGCTTGGCAAATCTGATGCGTTTCCCCTAAATCCTGGAGCGAGTTGCTTTCCACCCTTCTTCCCTGGTTCATTTTGACTCTTTTCGCTTACTTAAAAAAAAAAGTCAATAATGTCTAAGCTTATAACAAAAATGACTGGATTCCATTTTGTGTTTCAAAGATTTGAATTACATTAAGCATCCAAAATATATCCAAATGGAAAAATGTTCATTAATAAATCATTTCTGTCTTCCTGAATAATGTAGTTGTAAAATTTAACAACTTGTAAGAAATATCTTGTAAAATGTACCTGGTTTTCCTTTTGAATATTCAAAAGCCTAATTTTAAAGAACTATTTGACATTTTAGTTTTTCATGTCTTTTGTTTTTTTGTCTTGCTCTGTTGGCAGGCCGGTGTGCAGTGGCGCAGTCTCTGCTCACTGCAACCGTCACCTCCCCAGTTCAAGCGATTCTCCTGCCTCAGCCTCCTGAGTAGCTGGGACTACAGGCACGTGCCACCATGCCCAGCTACTTTTTGTATTTTTAGTAGAGACGGGGTTTCACCATGTTGGCCAGGATGGTCTCGATCTCTTGACCTCATGATCCACCTGCCTCGTCCTCCCAAAGTGCTGGGATTACAGGCATGAGCCACCATACCTGGCCTTTAGTTTTTCATGTTCTGTAAGATTCTTTTAGGAATGATAGTGTGAGTGTTTTACATATGGTAAATATATTTCATTTTATCATAATTTAGGTGTGAATTTCCAGAAGGAAAGATGGGTAACGATTATATTAATTTAAGGTAATATTTAAGTTACAGAGGTTTTTCTTACTTGTGTTTTTTTAATAGAAAAAGTAGATTTTATATCTAGTTAGCTATCCATATTTAAAGTAAATATTTTAGGAATAATAAAAATGTTAATGTTAAACAAGTTTGCTGAGTTCCTATTTATCATAAAGCTTAAGTTTTGCCTTTGAAATCTCATTTTTTAGCCATCCATTTTAGATACATTGAAGGCTGCATTCCCATTTTCTTTTCATTCACACATCCACTTCAATAATTGACTTCAGTGCTTTCCAAGTTATGTGTGGTGAGGGATCAGTTTTTATTTTTTTAATTTCCAGTCCTTCAAACGAACACTTTTATAGTACAGACAAATTACTAGGCAAATGAAATTTTAAAAAGACTTAGAAAATATAAGCCCAATTTTAAAAATTATTTAAACAAGTGTAAACTAGAAACTCTGTCAAATTGCTGTGAAAAGTTTCTAAGTACTAATTTCTTCACAGACTCGTACCCAACAGTTGGTGAAGGGTCCCCAGTCCTCAGACACACTTTACCTGGCACAGTTCTGGTGGAAGCCATGCAAGACTGTTGTTGTGGTACATGATGATTTTACTCCATTTGGCTGGAGGTTATTTCAGGAGTGTAATTTCTTTTTTATATAAAATATTCATATTATATCAAAACCACATGACTTTTTTTAAAAAGACAGAAGTGTTTTTTTTCCAGCTCTGCTTTGCATGCCCATGTGCCCTGTAACTCCTTCCGCTGTCTCCCCCCGTGTGACACTGAGATGTAAAGATAGCATGGTGTTTAAAAGTGGCATAAGATAGGCATGAGTGTCTGTAAGCGCACTGTCATATTTACAAGCAGCAGTTGAGATGTGGAAGTGGAATTAAGTAATTAGGGATAGCTGTGTTGTGAGTGAAAGTATTTAAAAATATGATCAGTGCACATTTAAGGCAACGGAGCCAGTCAGGTCAAATAACAACTAGGATGAAACTATCAGTTTTCTTTGCAAACATCCACTGGCTTTGATTTTACCCAGATGGTAAAAATATATTATCAAGATAGTTGTTATGATAAAGGGAAATGTATCCTTTCTTTTCTCTTGGTGCCTCAGATCTACAGGCCATGAAGAAATAGAAGTCTCTACATTCAGATGGATAGGAGGCATTATATTTTTATCAGTGTTAGGAATATACCGTAGATATTTTACATTAAAACTGAAGTCACAGAGATGATTCAAATTCTTCTTCATAAAGAAGTGAGTGTTTACTTGAACATCGTTAACATTTTGATGAAGGGTCATTGACAAAGAAGCCATACACATTCGCTGTGTCAACTCCTCACTTCAGACTATTCATGAGGCACATAATCTTTTTTTTTCCTGCATAGTTGTGGAATATGAATACATTAAGGGGAATTTAATGGTTTATGATCCATGTCACTGTTTGATGGTGATGTTGAATGTTTGTTCTCTGGTGTCATAAGGCAGCATACGTATACAATAGCTTAGAAAAGGGGAAGAAATTATTTGTTTCTCTGCCACCCTCACCTGTAGCAGTTTTAGTTTAAAACCTTTTATTTACCCTTCTTAGTTTATTTTCTGTCCATATAACTGAAAATTATTGTTTGTTAAGAAAGAGATAGATGTATGGTGTCAAAGGCAGATGGCAGACTTCGGGGTTAATGTCATTGTTATTGTAATTGTCTGTTTATTCCAAAACATTTACCTTTTTTTAAGACTTTATTTTTTAGAGCAGTTTTAGAACATTTACTTTTTATGAGTTTTTATTAATACTTGCCTGTGGTTGACAAATCAGTGGTGTGATTAGAACCAAGATCTGTCCTATTTATACCCGGAGACAAACTCTTCTAAATAATTCTTGCTTAGTTCTTTCATATTTCTCTCTATTATTACTAAGAATTATGACAGTAACTCTAGATAATATATAATATGCTTACATATCTATTTCCAAATTTATCACCTTTTAGATAATGTCATTGACTCTCTACCATAAAAGATGAGGATTTCACTCACATACATACATACATACATATACATATATATATATGTATTTTTTTTTTTTTTTTTTTTTTTTTGGGACGGAGTCTTGCTCTGCCCAGGCTGGAGTGCAGTGGTGCGATCTTGGCTCACTGCAAGCTCCGCCTCCTGGGTTCACGCCATTCTCCTACCTCAGCCCCCCCAAGTAGCTGGGACTACAGGCACCCGCAACCACGCCCGGCTAATTTTTTGTATTTTTAGTAGAGACGGGGTTTCACTGTGTTAGCCAGGATGGTCTCGATCTCCTGACCTCGTGATCCACCTGCCTTGGCCTTCCAAAGTGCTGGGATTACAGGTGTGAGCCACCATGCCCAGCCTCACTCACTTATGTTTTCATCTTCTTCCTTCCTCCTCTTCTCATCCTTGATATCTATATTTTAGTTCATAGTTTGTATTTGTTTTTGGTTATTCCAGTGGTTTCCATTGTGGAATTCGGGGGTAAGAATTATTTGTCCTCAGAAGGGCATTGGTCTGTTGACTTCTAGTAGCCAGGGTTAGAGTGGGAAGTTGAGGTCGGTTGATTCTCATTTCTTTGTAGGTGACTTTGCGGTGATCCTCTAGGAGCTTTTGGAATATTCCAGTTATCCCGCAGTGTTTGAAATTCAAGATGGAAAGACTAGGTCTGGATCTTTTCTTCATTAATTGAGCTCTGCACACTCTGTGGCTCTTTTCAACATGAAGACGTAGGTCCTTTGTAGCTCTTTGAGGTTTTCCTTTGTTATTTCTTAGACCACTTCCCCCTTGTATTTTCTTTGCTTCCCTGTCTGGAACTTATGTTGGTCACAGATGGCTCTTCAACAACAGTTTTGGAGTAGCTACTTTATGCCAGGCATTGTAACCTTCTAGGAGTCGGTAGGACGTGAGGGCCTGGGCAAAGCTTGCCCTTAAGAATTTGAATTTATTCTGAAATTTTGTGTATAATCAGAATCAAGAACAGTAACATTCTTTTTAAAAAATGAAACCCAGAAAAGCATAGTAAATGAACAAACATCATTTATGTTTTGTTATTGCTGCTTATTTTATTTTTTTGAGACAGAGTTTCACTCTTGTCACCCAGGCTGGAGTGCAATGGTATGATCTCGGCTCACTGCAACTTCCACCTCCCAGATTCAAGCGATTCTCCTGCCTCAGCCTCCTGAATAGCTGGGATTACAGGTGCCCGCCACCACACCCGGCTAATTGTTGTATTTTTAATAGAGACGGGGTTTCACCACGTTGGCTAGGCTGGTCTCAAACTCCTGATCTCAGGTGATCTGGCTGCCTCGGCCTCTCAAAGTGCTGGTATTACAGGCGTGAGCCACTGTGCCCTGCTGCTGCTCATCTTTTACTTAGTCACTTTTATTATTATTCACCGTTTGTGTTTTACTTAATAACTTTTAATTACTCACCTTGAAATCTTTCCATTAAGGACACATAGAATGTTTTTATTTCAGTGGCACTACTGAACCTGAAATTGAGTCTGGTCATCTAAATAATTCAACATGATCTCTGAAGGAAAAATATTCTGGGGATCACTTAGGGTTTCATTGCAAGCAAGAGAAACTGATTTTGCCTTGGGGGAAAAAAAGACTTATTTGGCAGAATTAAAGAAAGACGTAACAATCAGGTTGCCAGAAGGCCAGGTATTAGGACAGCTCTGGTCATTTCCAAGGTAGGAATAAAGAGCAGGTCTCTTTAGAGTGCTGACACTAGAAAGATCCTTCTCCAAATGCTTTTGTGAATTATGACATTCTGCTTAAGATTCCGGTTACAAGGAGAAGACTGTTACCTTAGCTTACTCACATGCTTGCTTCTTAGGTGGAGATGGGGACTTAATCGACAGTTTTATGATGAGCACAAAGACTAATGGGAGTAGTTCCCAAGGGGAAAAACAGCTCTATCATAAACAAAAAATAGATAAGAACAGCAAGTATCCACTCTGTTGTGTACTGATGAGCAATGTTCAATTCTAACTGCCTTGTTCCTTTCTGATCCTAGTACTGCCTCCTGTGCTCGTGCCAAGACACAGTGAATATAACCCCCAGCTCAGCCTCCTGGCCAAGTTCCGCAGCGCCTCCCTGCACAGTGAGCCACTCATGCCACACAACGCCACCTATCCTGACTCTTTCCAGCAGCCTCCGTGCTCTGCACTCCCTCCCTCACCCAGCCACGCGTTCTCCCAGTCCCCGTGCACGGCCAGCTACCCTCACTCCCCAGGAAGTCCTTCTGAGCCAGAGAGTCCCTATCAACACTCAGGTCAGTAAGAACTATGGTCTGTGGGGAAATACGGGAAAATAAGCCCAACATCATGATTTATGATGAACAGTCACAATGACAGTCATTGTAACTGTCATTCATATAGTATAAACAGTTTACAAAGCAATCAGCCTTAAAATGATTAGGACTATACCTATTTTGAAGCAGTTACCCTGGAGATAGAACATGTTTTTCCTCTAGTTTTAGTTCTAATGCTCTGGAAGCTCTCAGAAACTAAATGGATTTGAATAGTATCCCTGGGAATTTCCAAGGATTTTTTTTTTTAAGGCAGTAGAAATAAGATGAAAAGACTTCTGTAATCCAAGCAGAAGACTTGGCCTGAGGACAAGCAACATGGAAGATCAATGCTAGGCCTTTACCTTGGTTGCCTCTTTCAACAATCAAAGGAAGCCCTTGCCTAAAACATATGCCTGCATCCTTTGAGTGAGGCAGAAAGTGAAGCCCCAGCTCCAGCCAGTGCATTATCCCTTTCTGCCATGTGAAGCCAGGACAGCATCTTAAATATAGAGCTCTTCAGTTTGCTGAATTGAGAAAGCATATGGAAGGGAAAGGGAGCCTCTAGCATGCTGTCATAATTGCTCTTGCTACCATACCTGTAAAGTGGATCTAAGTTGAGATAATGAATAAAAGATACATATGCACTTTGTGAGTGTGAGATAAATACTGTGCGGAGCTGACAAGTTCCTAAAGGCATGCATAAATACATTTGGTGCCAGATGTTACAATCTGCCTCATTCATTTATTCCTATAATCATTTATTTAATGGATATTTATTAAACTCTTACTATATGCAAGCATTGCCTTAGGATTGCTGAAAGGGGAATTAAAAGGTTAATAAAAATTGTCCCTACGATGTGGGAAGATAAAGAGGGAATTGCCTCTTCACCTCTCAGTTACTTAGTTCCTTTTGCTCCTCAGCAAGTTACATAAGCATCTATTATATTTGTTGCACTATATTATATAATTCCTGTGTGTCTATTTTCCCCATTGAACAGCGAGCCTTCTTTTTTCTATGTCTAGCACAGAGCCTGAAATGCAGTGGTTGCTCATCAGTTGCTTATTGAATAAATAAATTACTACACAGGCGTTTATTTATTTTTATTTTTTATTTTTTATTTTGAGACGGAGTCTTGCTCTGTCACCCAGGTTGGAGTGCAGTGGCATGATCCTGGCTTACTGCAGTCTCTGCCTCCCAGGTTCAAGCAATTCTCCCACCTCAGTCTCCCAAATAGCTGGGATTGCAGGGGTGTACCACCATGCCCAGCTAGTTTTTGCATTTTTAGTAGAGACGGGGTTTCACCATGTTGGCCAGGCTGGTCTCGAACTCCTGACCTCAGGTGATCTGCCCACCTCGGCCTCCCAAAGTGCTGAGATTACAGGCAGGAGCCACTGCACCCAGCCCACACAGGCATTAGAACATGGACATGGAGCTCCAGACCATAGGCACAGGTTTTATTGACTCAGTAAGTGATGACTGAGCACCTGCTAAGTGTCTGGCACTGGGCCAGTGCTAGAGGTGCAGTGATGATTAAGACGGTGTAGTTGTCCCCCCTTATCTGAGGTTTCAGCTACCAGAGGTCAGTTGCAGCCTGAAAATACTGGATGGAAAATTCCAGAAATAAACAGTTCATAAATTTTAAATTGTATGTGGGGATGAAACTTCGTGCCATCCTATCCAGGTTCTGAATCATTCCATTGCCCAGCGCATCCACGTTGTAGATGCTATCCACCTGTGAGTCAATTAGTAGCTGTCTCTGTGATCAGATCTACTGTTGAGGTCACTCTGATTTAATAGTGACCACAGAGTGCAAGAGTAGTGATGCTGGCATATTGTTCTAGTTGTTTTACTTTATTATTAGTTACTGTTCCTAATCTCTTACTGTGTTTAATTTATAAATTAAACTTTATCACAGGTATGTATAGGAAAAAAAACATAGTATATGTGGTATTCTGTACTAGCCACAACTTCAGGTAGCCACTGGGGGTCTCGGACTGTATCTCTGGTGGAGAAGGGGGGACTACTGTGGTCTCTGACCTTCAGGAGTCAGTAGCTATTGAGAGCCATCACATACAGGTAGCCTGTAGCAGTCCAGGCAAGTGATTATAAGGAGTTGAACTAAAACAGGGATATGGGGTTGGAAAGAGGGCAGTGAATTGGGGGAGGGAGGTCCAACAGGACTTACTGTAGGGTGAAGGCAGAGATGCTGGAGGGTAGCTTGAGAGTCATTAACTCAGTGTAGGAGCAGATGGTTGAAGTTTTGCAAGTGGCTGAGTTCACTGAGAAAGAAGAAATACAACAGAAAGAGAAGTCATTTGAGGACAGAACCTTGGTTAAGGAACAGGAGGATAATAGTGTTGCAAAATATATATTTACCTAACACACCTCTATGCTACAAAGACTTCCTGTGCTGACTTTGAATTCCTGCCCTGGTTACTCTGACAGGTTGATGTTCTTTTTACTCTTCCCACCCAAGCAGGACAGACACCAACAGTGATGCAGAAGCTGGTTAGTTTCTCACAGAAGGCATAGCCCTTTTCACTTCAAAGAAAATAATTCTTGTCTGAATGATTAACAGCAAAATGCCAACCTGAGTAACAGACCTGTAGATAAACAAGAGTAAAAGGAACCTTTGCGATTTACTGGTTCAGCCTCTAAATTTTTTAAAAAGCTCTATTGAGGTATAATTCACATACCATACAACCACCCATTTCAAATGTACAATTCAGTGGTTTCTCATATGTTAATTTTTTTCAAGTAGTGGTGAAATATATCTAACACAAAATTTGTTTAACCATTTTTTTTTTTTGAGATGGAGTTTTGCTCTTGTTGCCCAGGCTGGAGTGCAATGGCACAATCTCGGCTCACTGCAACCTCCACCTCCCAGGTACAAGCCATTCTCCTGCCTCAGCCTTCCAAGTACCTCGGATTACAGACATGTGCCACCACACCCGGCTAATTTTTTTGTATTTAGTAGAGACGGGGTTTCACCATGTTAGGCTGGTCATGAACTCCTGACCTCAGGTGATCCACCCGCCTCGGCCTCCGAAAGTGCTGGGATTATAGGCATGCTCCACTGCACCCAGCCCATTTTAACCATTTTTAAGAGTACAGTCTAGCCGGGTGCAGTGGCTCCCGCCTGTAATCCCAGCACTTTGGGAGGCTTAGGCAGGCGGATCACTTGAGGTCAGCAGTTTGAGACCAGCCTGGCCAACATGGTGAAACCCTGTCTCTACTAAAAATACAAAAGTTAGCTGGGCGTGGTGGTGCATGTCTGTAATTCAGCTACTCCGGAGACTGAGGCACGAGAATCGCTTGAATCCAGGAGTCGGAGGCTGCAGTGAGCTGAGATTGTGCCACTGCACTCTAGCCTGGTGAGGACTATTAAAAAAAAAAAAAAGTACAATCTGATGGCATTAGGTGCATTCATAATGTTGTGCAACCATCACCATATCTATTTTCAAAAATTTTTTCATCACCCCAAACGGAAACTCCGTACTGATTTAACAATAGCTCCGTATTTCCCTACTTTGCCAGCCCCTGGTAAGCTCTATCTACTTTCTGTCTCTCTGAATTTGCCTATTGCAAGTACCTCATATACTAGATTCATGCAATATTTGCCCCTTTGTGTATGTTTTATTTCACTTAGCCAAGTATTTTCACAGTTTGTGTTGTGGCATATATCGGTAGTTCATCTTTGTGACTGAACGATATCTCATTGTATGGCTATACCACATTTTAAAAAATCAATTCATTAGCTGTTGGATATTTGGATTGTTCCCACCTTTTGGCTCTAGTAAATAACACCCTGCTTTCAATTCCTTTGGGTATATACCTAGGAGTGGAAGTGCTACATTATATGGTAATTCTATTTTCAGTCCCCCTTTTTTTAATTTTAATTTTTTAGAGACAGGGCCTTGTTTTGTTACCCAGGCTGGAGTATGGGGGCACAGTCATAGCTCACTGTAACTTCAAACTCCTGGGTTCAAGTGATCCTCCTCAGCCTCTGAGTAGCTAGGATTACAGGTGTACACCACCATGCCCAGCTAATTTTTAATTTTTGGTAGGATGGGGTCTCATCATGTTGCCCAGGCTGGCCTCAAACCCCTGGACTCAGGTGATCCTCCCACTTCAGCCTTCCAAAATGCTAAGATTACAGGTGTGAGCCACTGTGCTCAGCCTGTTCTGCTTCTTGAGTAAATAGACATATTTAGTCAAAGACCTACAAAAAGGTCATCTTGCCTTATAACTTTTTCACCAAAGTCATAGGAGTCATAGTCCATTTTCTCACAAGGAAATACCTTACCCATGGTTTCCTAGTATGGTCCACGAACCCTGCATTAGAATTGCCATTGGGGCATGTTAAAATGTACATGGCTACATTCAACCACTGACCTATTGAATCGGAATTGCTAAGGATGGGGCCAGGAATCTGCATTTTTAGCAAGCTCCACTGGCAATTTTTGTGTACACTTAAGTGTGAGAACTACTTGTGTGGACAATTCGATACAACAAAGGCAGATTGATCCAACCTTTTACGCTGTTGTATTCCACCACGCATGTTAACAAGACCATTCTGAACTAACATTAGACATGCATACTGAAGGAATTGGTTGTTTTGTGCTGAGGTCCTCCATAAAGAGTTTTTCCTGTGCCTCATGAGTTTTTACTGTGTTATGAATTATTATCCACGGAATGCATCCCATTTGCCTAACCATGATCACTGTCCAGTCACAGGACTGTCATTTGGGTAGAAGGGCCCTTCTCAGCGTGCCTTGGGTACAAGGTTATAATTACGTTTCAGGTATCTTGAAGTATCTCAGGGATAGAGCGTCCCCGTGGCCATTGTACAATTTGTGACAACATAGAAGCTGAAAATTAAGCTCACTTCAAAGAAGGTTTAGCTTTCTCTGTGTTTTGCAAGCCAGATCACAGACTATTCTGCTATGAGAAAAGCTAGGAGAACAGGTTCTGCATTTGAAAGTCTTGCCCTGAAGTCATTAGAACTCAATGATAACTCAAAAGTCGGAGGGAAAATGAATTGACCCTTTACTGAGGCTCTCAGAACAACCAGTTTCTTCTGTAGGGTACTCACAGTGTCACTTCAGAAGAGCCTTGTTACATTAATATGGTCTCTCTGTAGGAGTAGCACTGTCCACCAAGCTCAGGAGTTTAATGGCAAAAGATGTCGGATCCAACTGTCTTTGTGTGGTTTATCGATTTGACAATTCCTTTGTTCTACTGCTTTCTTTTAGTTGACACACCACCCCTGCCTTATCATGCCACAGAAGCCTCTGAGACCCAGAGTGGCCAACCTGTAGATGCCACAGCTGATAGACATGTAGTGCTATCGATACCAAATGGAGGTAAATTGCAGATGAACAGTGAAATGTAGCTATTTTCCAAAAGTATTTCCTATTACCCCCAAACAAAGCAACTCAAAAAAGAAAACCAGAAATGTACTGGCCTGCTGTTTTGCATGTGTTTTAAGAGGCAAATGGGATGGCTTTGCATTTTAACTTTGACATTCCTCAGTACAATAGAATTAATGTTTTGTTTATCATCATTACTAGAACAAGTTAACTTTTTATTTTAACTCAGCATTTAGAAGTTTGTAGTTCTTGATGTTAAGTATGGAGTTGGGAACTCAAGAAGTTAGGGATTTTATTCTATTTGTGTTTTTACTATATGTTTATAGTGGTGTCTTTCAGTTGGCCAGAGAGGTACTCTTAGAAATATACATAAATGAGGTTTTTACAAAATTTTATTTGCATCTTATAATAGTCTAGATAAGTGTTGCTCGACCTTAATGTTCATATAAACCACGTTGTGATCTTGCATAAATGAAGATTTTTATTCTGTAGATCTTACGGTGGGGTCCAAGAATCTACATTGTTAAGCTTCCTTGTAATGCGGAGGCTACTGTTCCATGAGCCAGATCTTGAGTAGAGAGGTTCTAAAGAAGTGTACCATTTGAAATACTCCAAGTGAATATTTTATAAGCTAAGATCCTTTTGTAAGAGAAATAATAACCCCCAAATTTATCTGTTTCATAAATTTATATTTAATGCATATAGGAACACACTCTAGATGCAAGAATGACAAGGATGTTCAAGGAAGAGAAAGGTAATACAATCACTAGAAAGGCAGAGAAAGGGTGTGAGTGGCAAAGAAAGAAGGAACTCTGAACTTTGGTTAGTTACAGGAAAGTGACTTAACTTTATGTTGGGTGTGAAAACATCCATGGGTTTCCTGATGAAATATCCAGCTCTCTTTAAATGTTTTTTTTTTTCCATGCATAACTAGATATCCACAAAGCAGAATGTGAGCCCCTCTATGTGGAAGCTTTTTTTTTCCTTAAATAATTTAATGTCCTATTCAGCATTATTGATTTGCTTTTTATCATAGTCAAACTATTGTTTTCCATCTCTAGTTTGTTAGAAAATGATACTTTTTGCCACAAGGATTCAAGTGGGCACAGTAACAGCAACATGCCATCTTTCACATGTTTCTGAAAGAAGAGGTGACCTGCCAGCTTCCTTTGAGCTGTGCTTGCTTTAGGGCCGACAGTTTTTTTATGTTCATCTGTTCATGTCATGTTTTCCCTGGCCCCTTCATGACCAATACACATTTATAAATGCTCTAGCCATGGAAGATGAACAAGGACCATGGGCTCTACATCTCAGGTGTGCTAGTGAAATGAGCCGGCCCCAAACAGCTCCCATGAGAGCTACAGGTTCTAAAAGATTGCAGAGCGGCATGCTTGGTCTTGCAGCCGACTTTCTGGTGAAAAGCATTAACTAAGTTTCCTGGTGGAATCATGAACTACACAGCCCAGGTATGACAGTAGCCATGTGTTCTCTGGTTTGTTTTCTTCCAGACTTTCGACCAGTTTGTTACGAGGAGCCCCAGCACTGGTGCTCGGTCGCCTACTATGAACTGAACAACCGAGTTGGGGAGACATTCCAGGCTTCCTCCCGAAGTGTGCTCATAGATGGGTTCACCGACCCTTCAAATAACAGGAACAGATTCTGTCTTGGACTTCTTTCTAATGTAAACAGAAACTCAACGATAGAAAATACCAGGAGACATATAGGAAAGGGTAAGAGCAAAGATGTTATTCCTTTAGTCATCTAGCCGAAATGTAGATGGTCATGTGTGTAGAAGTGCACGTGACCACCCTCACATGTTGGTCATGTGCCCCTGTGGAAGGACCCCAGGGCTGGTGAGCTCTGAGATAGCTCTGACATTACCACTGGGGAAAGCACATAGGTTGTCAGGATCTTAGTCCCTCTTCCTCTAATGTCATCATGCCACTTTCTAGGGGTGGCATGGAGTGGGGATTGTGAAGACAAGCAAGATGATAAATATGAAGAAAGCCGGATGAAATTATTAAATAGAAGTGTTATGCATTATTTTTCATTTCCCTAAAACTTACAAACTAGGATCATTTCTGAAGAACAGGAATTCTGACTAGATGATTATTTGTATCAGGTGAAGTTCCCTTTGGAGACTTAGCAGCTAGGTAGTTAGAAAGAATGACTGATTTATGTCTGGAAGCCTTTGGCATGTGATTGGGGCTCTCCTGTGTGCAGGCTGATTGGGTACAAGTCATACTGGTCTCTTTTCTGACCAGTGATGCTTTTGAAGCCCATCTCATTGGTCTGAGTGATGGTAGCAAATCCCAGCTGAGTGTGTGGTCTGGCTGAGGATCTTTAAATTATTTTCTTTTCTATTGGAATAGTTGGTATCTTCGATTGATACCATGGAGTCATAGATGTGAAGAACCTTCAGTCATTTGACCTTTTCTCTCTCCATCCAGCACTTAAGCCACCTCGGGAAGGGAGCCTGAGCCTTTTCTTTCAAATTTCCAGGGGAGATTCATTGTTCCATTTGGTGATGCATTCTAATATTCTTCCTAACATACCTTCAAAATGTCTCCTGTTGGAGTAAACCTAAAAGCCATTGTTTAGAAACAGGTTGAAATCATTCATTGATGTTGACTCTTAATGGAGACAGTTACTTTATGTTTATTTATATTCTGTCTCCATAGTGGCTTTGAGGCCACTTACGAGAAACCATTGCAGTGAAATGATAAATGAAAAATAGAAAATCAGAAACGGGTCGAGGGGAGGGGAGAAGAATCCAGATATGTCATCCATAAGGGTTAGCATTGTTAACCAAACTAAGCAGGGTCGGGCCTGGTTAGTACTTGGATGAGAGAATGCCTGACCTCCTGGGAATGCAGCCCTGTAGGTCTCAACCTTATTTTACCTAACCCCTATTCAAGATGGAGTTGCTCTGGTTCAAACGTCTCTGACACAGAGAGCTGGAGAAGATGGTGGTGATTTTACTCTAGGTTTCCTGACAAGGAGGGAAGAAATGAAAAACTCACTCTGGAATGTAATTTTTATCCCAAAGGGGGAAAATAGCCATTCCTCAAAGGAAATAATCTTTGAATTAATTCCTAAACAAGTTTCTTGAGCATGGCTTTACTTTCAAATGATTTTTAGAAGAACCTTCAGTGAACTCTCAAGGCAAAACATTAACACATAATGTTGTGAAGCAGTTTGCTGAGGAGCTTTGCAGATTGGTCTGCATGTTCAATTTCTGCTGGTGCCAGTGGATCCAAAGACAGGATTAAAGTATTAAAGGAGTGCTGAATGTGTTCTAGGAACCTGTCTGCAAGTCGCTTCTTCAAGGTGCTCCTGCTGAGGACATGGAGAGTGTGTGGTAGTCTGTTTCACTGCTATAAAGGAATACCTGAGACTGGGTAATTTATTAAAAAAAGAGGTTTATTTGGCCCATGGGTCTGCAGGCTGTACTGGCATGTGCTTCTGGTGAGGGCTTTAGGAAGCTTCTGAAAATCACTGTGTAAGGCAAAGGAGAGCCTGTGTGTCACCTGGGAAGAGACAGAAAGAGAAGGGAGGGAGGTGCTGGTCTCTTTTTAACAAACTGATCTGGCAGGAACTAATAGAGTGAGAATCCACTCATTACCTCAAGGAGGGCACCAAGCAGATCATGAGAGATCCTTCTGTGTGACCCAGATACCTCCCACCAAGCCCCACCTCCAATATTGAGAATCAGATTTCGATATGAGATTTGGAGGAGTCAAATATCCCAATTATATCAGTAGCTCCTGTGTTGTTGACTGAGAGCTCGTCTTTAGGGTTAAGAAGCCACATGAGCAAGAGCTGGGACTGATGACCTGTTCTGCAAACTGGAGCACCTAATAGTGCTCCCCTCGATGCAAGGGTACTCACTGTCACATGGTCCGAAGACAAAGTTACAGTTTTCTCAGAGCTGCTTAGAAATTACTCCAATGTGGAAAAAAATTTTTTTTTGGACATGCCACAAGCCTTGCCATAAAGCGTGTGGGTGGAAAAAAGTGTTGGCTTGGGAGATT
Organism: Homo sapiens; assembly: GCF_000001405.40. Classification (NCBI taxonomy): domain Eukaryota; kingdom Metazoa; phylum Chordata; class Mammalia; order Primates; family Hominidae; genus Homo; species Homo sapiens. The sequence goes on along the minus strand of NC_000013.11, from coordinate 36,863,232 downwards.
TTAAAGCAAGGGCAGTCAGTCTTCTGTGAGATCACAGGATTCTCTCTCAGATGCTGCCATGGGTTATCTGGTTCTGAGCAGCATGGCTTCCAGGAGCACCAGCCTGAGTAAGTTATCTGCAAAATGCATTCCTCGGCTAGCAAATGAGTTAACTTGCTCTGTGGAGTTAGTTAACAGACATTAGGTTTTAGTAATATGCATTCATCTCACGAGTACTTACTGAGCATCGCCTCTCAGCCAGACTGGACACGAGGGATGCAACAGTGGAAGAAAGACCATGAGCAGGCTTCCTGGATTGCTTGCTGCTGGGGAAAGACAGACACGAAATACAACATACAGTATGTCCAATAGAGAAACACAAAGCAGGGGAAGAGAATGGAGACTTTAAACCAGCGTAACCAGGGAAGGCCTTCCTGGAAAAGTGACATTTGAGAAGATGTTACCAGAAAGGTGTCCCGATTCAGACCCCAAGAGAAGATTCTTGGAACTCACACAAGAAAGAATTTGGGGTGAGTCCATAGAGTAAACTGAAAGCAAGTTTATTAGAGAGGTAAAGAAACAAAAGAATGGCTACTCCACAGGCAGAGCAGCAGCATGGGCTGTTCGACTGATAATGTAGTTATTTCTTGATTATATGCTAAACAAAGGGTGGACTTTTTCCTTTTTCATGAGTTTTCTGGGAAAGGGGTGGAGATTTCCTGGAGCTGAGGGTTCATTTCCTTTTTAGACTATATAGGGTAACCTGGGCACGGCCATGGAATCTGTAAACTGTCATGGTGCTAGTGGGAGTGTCTTTTAGCATGCTGATGCATTATAATTAGCATATAATGAGCAGTGAGGATGACTAGAGGTCACTTTAATGCCATCTTGGTTTGGGTGGGTTTTGGCTGGCTTCTTTATGGCACTCTGTTTTACCAGCAGGGTCTTTGTGACCTGTATCTCGTGCCAACCTCCTATGTCATCCTGTGACTAAGAATTCCTAGCATCCTGGGAATGCAGCCCAGTAGGTCTCCACCTTATTTTACTCAGCCCCTATTCAAGATGGAGTTGCTCTGGTTCAAATGGCTGTGACACAGAGAGCAAGGAAGTCAGTGTTCGTGGAGCCTGAACCAGTCTGTCAGGTTAAATTTTAGAGCTCCCTGGCTGAGGAGAGGGGGTCCATTCAAATTGTTGCGGGGCCTTCCAGTTTTATTTTTGGTTTACAATATGATCTGACTTTACACTTTCGAAAAGATTGCCTGGCTGTTCTATTGAGATTAATTAGACGGTGATGGGCAAGGATGGAAGATTTTTTTTTTTTTTTGAGACGGGAGTCTTGCTCTGTCACCCAGGCTGGAGTACAATGAAACGATCTCAGCTTACTGCAACCTCTGCCTCCAGGGTTCAAGCGATTCTCCTGTCTCAGCCTCCTGAGTAGCTGAGATTACAGGCGCACACCACCACACCCAGCTAATTTTTGTATTTTTAGTAGAGAAAGGGTTTCTTCATGTTGGCCAGGCTGGTCTCGAACTCCTGACCTCGGGTGATCCCCTGCCTTGGCCTCCCAAAGTGCTGGGATTACAGGTGTAAGCCACCCCACCTGGCCTGAATATATCATTTTTAAAAATTCTTTTTAGTGACCAGACGCAGTGGCTCATGCCTGTAATCCCAGCAATTTGGGAGGCCAAGGCAGGCAGGTCACCTGAGGTCGGGAGTTCGAGACCAGCCTGGCCAACATAGTGAAACTCTGTCTCTACTAAAAATACAAAAAATTAGCCGGGTGTGGTGGCGGGTGCCTGTAATACCAGCTACGCAGGAGGCTGAGGCAGGAGAATCACTTGAACCCAGGAGGTGGAGGTTGCAGTGAGCCAAGACTGTGCCATTGCACTCCAGCCTGGGCAATAGTGCAAGGCTCCATCTCAAAAAAAAAAAATTCTTTTTATTATAGTTAATGATGAGCCATTCCCCTACCCAGTAGATATCAATTAGCCTTCACACCATTTCTGGCTTTTATTCCTTGTGACTTAAATTAGCTAAATGGCTGGCCCTGCTAAAGGAAGGTCATGTTGCCACCCTGTCAGCACTGCGTGCATTTTGAGTTTTGTTTTCTCTAGTGGTGATGATGGGTCCTCATTTACCCCACTTACCATCTAGTGGGTATGTCCCTGAGGTAGAGGGGCTGGTAGAAAGCATTTATTTGTAGCCATGCAGCAGTTAACTGGTACAAAGGGACTGAACTTATGACTTTGACCTCACTAGCAAGATGCTTTAAATAGCTACTAACAGTTAGCACTAGCACACCAAAAGCTACCACTTAAATGTCAAAGGCAATACCTTGGGCAGCCTGGAACATCTCATTCCAGTGTGGGATCTATCCATATTCTTCCTTAGAAACTAGGCAGACCACTTGAACTCTCTACAATGACATATCAAATAATAATAATATGATGATGATGATAGCTACCCCCACTGATTACCTAATATCTAAGAGACACGCTGGTGGCCGGGCGTGGTGGCTCATGCCTGTAATCCCAGCACTTTGGGAGGACGAGGCGGGTGGATCATGAGGTCAGGAGATCGAGACCCTCCTGGCTAACACACTGAAACCCCGTCTCTACTAAAAAATACAAAAAAAAATTAGCCGGGCGTGGTGGCAGGCACCTGTAGTCCCAGCTACTCGGGAGGCTGAGGCAGAAGAGTGGCGTGAACCCAGGAGGCAGAGCTTGCAGTGAGCCGAGTTGGTGCCACTGCACTCCAGCCTGGGCGACAGAGCGAGACTCCATCTCAAAAAAAAAAAAAAAAGGTAAAAAAATTTCTCCCTTTGTGGGAGAAAATAAGTGATAACCATTAACCCTGGTTATTGAACTTTCTGAGATAGATCAAGCGTATCCTGAAAATAATTATCACATATTCCAAATCATTGCATTGTTTTTGGAATTGGGCTTTTTTTAAACCATTTTATGAATCTTTATTTTCTTGTATATCTCAAGTTCTGTATAATTCTAGTAATTCTTCTTGTTTTATGAAAGGAATTATCTTGACATAAGGATTTCACCAGTCAGCTCCTTGCAGAGATGTTACCGGAAAGCGGTCCTGACCCAGACCCCAAAAGAAGGTTCTTAGATCTCTCACAAGAAAGAATTTAAGGCAAATCCATAGAGTAAAGTGAGGGCAAGTTTATTAAGAAAGGAAAGGAATAAAGAATGGCTGCTCCATGGACAAAGCAGCCACCAGGGCTACTGGTTGCCTATTTTTATGGTTATTTCTTTTTTTTCTTTTTTCTTTTTTTTTTTGAGATGGAGTTTCGCTCTTGTTGCCCAGGCTGGAGTGCAATGGCACAATCTCGGCTCGCCTCAACCTCTGCCTCCCGGGTTCAAGCGATTCTCCTGCCTCAGCCTCCTGAGTAGCTGAGATTACAGGCATGTGCCACCATGCCCTCCTAATTTTGTATTTTTAGTAGAGATGGGGTTTCTCCACATTGCTCAGGCTGGTCTCAAACTCCCGACCTCCGGCAATCCACCCGCCTCGGCTTCCCAAAGTGCTGGGATTTCAGGCGTGAGCCACCGTGCCTGGCTGGTTATTTCCTGATTATATGCTAAACAGTGGGTAGATTATTCATGCCTCCCCTTTTTAGACCATATAGGGTAACTTCCTGATGTTACCATGTTCGCCATGGCATTTGTAAATTGTCATGGCACTGGTGGGAGTGTAGTAGTGAGAATGACCAGAGGTTACTCTCATCGCCATCTTGGTTTTGGCCAGCTTCTTTATTGCAGCCTGTTTCATCAGCAAGGTGTTTATGACCTGTATCTTGTGCCAACCTATCTCATCCTATGACTTAGAATGCCTACCCGTCTGGGAATGCAGCCCAGTAGGTCTTAGCCTTATTTTACCCAGCTTCTACTCAAGACGGAGTCACTCTGTTTCAAACTCCTTGGGCAGAGGGTCTGCATGTCCAGGTGGTATTTGGGTTGCTTCCTTTCCCAATGGATTTCACTTCCCTGTCTCAAAATAGTCCTTTTGTTCTGCCTCTGAACACATGTAAGGCTTCTCATCTTAAAAAAAGCAAATCCTAAAAAATATTTTAACATAGGATGCAATGTCACACTGTTACAGTCATTAAACTTGATGTTGCAGAATACTTAATATCCTGAGAAAATGTTCACAAGATATTATTAACTGAAAACAAGTTTTAAAACATCCTGTAGAGTATGATCCCAATTTTCTTCTTAAAAATGCACATGGCTGAGCATGGTGGCTCACACCTGTAATCCCAGCACTTTGGGAGGTCGAGGTGGGTGGATTGCTTGAGCGTAGGAGTTCATGACCAGGTGGGCAACATGGTGAGACCCTGTCACTACAAAAAATACCAAAAAGTTAGCTGAGTATGGCGGCGTGCATCTGTAGCCCCAACTAGGCAGGAGACTGTCTCAAAAACACATAAAAAAGACTGAAAAATGTTAATAGCTAATAACTAATAGATGTTAGCTTTGATTATTTCTGGGCTGTGGATTTGTGGCTGATTTTTCTTTTCTGTCTGTATTTTCTAAATTTTCTATAGTGGGCTTTCTTGATCCTGTGAGGATGGGGTGGGCATGGTGTGTAAGGGTGCTCTGGAAGGCAGCAGCAGTGGTAAGGGAGACACCTCACAGTGCAGCCCAGGCAGAGTGGCTGCGTGTTTGAGTGACAGTATGGGACATGCCGTGTAGTACAGTTGGACCCAAACAAGCTTGTTTATCATGTTGTCCTGAGAAACTTGGTCATCAGGGGCAGTCTTGGAGGACCAGCCTTGCTATCAGCCCAGAGGTGACTTTGTGTGAGTTAGGAAAAGGTGCCTCTTCCTCAAGAGAAATTACTGCCATCTGCTGGGAAAGGATTGTAATAATTACACAAAGCTCTGAAGACTAGGAGGCAAACCCTGGTTTGCAGTGGTTGTGCAGTGCACAACGGTAGGCACAGTCCTCTGGAAGACCTGCCTCCATCCTCTGACCTAGGCCCTGGTGTGGATCTGGAAAAATGTATTTTTATATTATTAGTATTTTTTTTTACCACCCATTAAAACTTTTTTATTGTGGGAAATTTCAAATAGGAAAACAGAGAGGGGAATATAATGAGTCTTCATCTTAGTATCTCCGGCTTCAATAAAGATTCACATTCTGTGCCGTTCTTTTTCATCTATCGCTCTACAGTATTTTTGCTAGAATATTTTAGAGCAAATCTCATGCTTCATATCCTTTTTCCCATCTATTGGAGTTTATATCTAACTATATAAGAAATAATACCATTATTACACTCAGAAATATATATATTTTCTTAAAGCTTCTAAAATAGCTGTGCAGAAGAAAAGGCAACAAAGGCAAGGGGAAGATTAATTACAAACTCGAGAGGAGGCGTTGTGCTTGTGTTGGGACGTTTAGGTTTTGTCCTAAGAGGAGTGGAGAGGCTTCTGCATCTTCTGTGCAGGACACTCTGCCTTTTATGGTGATCTTTTTGCCTCCCTCCCAGTAAGGAGGGTATCCCTGCACCTTCCTTCTACTTTGGGACACTGACTTCTTCCTCTGTTAGTAGGTTCCAGAGATTGGCACACTCTCACCAGCCTGCCCAACCTGCCCTCTTCCCAGTCATTTCCTGTCATTCAAGGCAAAAGAAGAGGATTGAAAGGGGACACACTATTGTAGTTCCACCCAGCAAACCCAAATTAAACCCAAGGTTCTTCTAGTCCTCATTAACCACAACACAGGACTCCACACTCCATGATCTCATAAAAAGTGGGTGGCAGTCACACACAAATGGAAAGTTCAGATAAAGAAAGACACAGCCCAAGCAGATACAGAGCCCAAGATGTGGGTGGAACTTGCTTGAGGGCTGCATTGCCAGTGTTCTCTTTATGATCTCAGGCAGTACTTCCTTTGGGGCATTTATTCCTTATTGCTAGGAGTTAGAACAGGCTGCAGGATTGTAACACTAGCTTTTCCTTCCACTTCTAATGCTACTAAATTACAATAATGAACATATTAATGGCATATTTGATTGCAACTAACAGGTGTGATGTCTCTTTTAAGCATTTCATACAGAACTGTCAGAATGTAGGCTGCAGTAAAATCTGCACATGTTCATGCTTTTCCTGTACCGTTTTAAAGGAATATCACTGGCTAGGCATGGTGGCTCATGCCTGTAATCTCAGCACTTTGGGAGGCCGAGGCAGGTGGATCACCTGAGGTCAGGAGTTCGAGACCAGCCTGCCCAACATGGCAAAACACCATCTCTACTAAAAAGACAAAAAATTAGCCAGGTGTGGTGGCAGGCGCCTGTAATCCCAGCTACTCGGGAGGCTGATGCAGGAGAATCGCTTGAACCCGGGAGGCAGAGGTTGCAGTGAGCCGAGATCGCGCCACCCCATCTCCAGCCTGGGTGACAAGAGGGTAACTCCATCTCAAAAAAAAAAAAAAAAAAAAGTGCAGGTCACCCGGCCTCACCCTGGACCTGCTGAAGTAGTGATCTGTTTTAATAAGCCCTGCAAGTGGTCTTAGTGCAAGCTAAGGTTTAAGAACCACTGCTCTACTCTGTGGTGATCTTGAATCTGACACTGGCGTTTAAAGCTACTATTCTGGCCTACCAAATGGATGCAAATAACATTGTTGGCCTACTTGACTCCTCCTCAGATGCTGGTGTCTCTAGCCAGAATCTGGCCTCCCTCACCCTGAGGCTGGGTTCCACCCTTTTCTGGTGTTTCTGGGCGGGCTCCGCATGCTGGTCCCATTGGCTCTGCTCTTCTCTCTCTGGATGCTGGACGACTGCCTACCTGCCCAGGCTCTTCTCTGCATTGGTAGCTTTGCCAAAGTGGACTGTGGTTGCAGATGACCTGAACAGGATTGAAAACCAACCCCTGAAGATAGATAACAGACTCAGATAACAAAAAAATCGTATTTATCTTATGTAATAGGTTTTGAGAGGATTACATATTTGAAGGTCATTCAATTCACATACCGACTAAATCCTTAGCAGCTCCACTCTGGCCCCTTCACCTGCTTTCCCTCTTGAAAAAACCTCCGCCCACCCTCACAAGGCAGGTCTTTCCCCTTTGGAGCCCACAGGGGTTGTTGTAAGAGGCGGTGTTTGCATTTTGCCCTGGCCTGGGGTTCTCTTTATGATCGTGAGGGTCCAGCCAAGTAACTCTCCCAGCCAGTTAGGACCATCCTTCTGCCCCCTGGCACCACCACCTAGGCCCTGGGGTTAGGGCCCAAGGCCATTCAGGAGAGTGGGTAACAGCGATGAGATAGAGGAGGGAGAGGAAGGCTGAGGGAAGCGGAGAAGGGGAGCCAGTCTCTGACTGAGGAAGAGGAGAGGCAGTGACAGGACAGTCGTGGACTGGATATCCAGGGCTGTGCTTTAGCTGTGCGACCCTGGCTCAGTTTCTTCAGAGTGATGTGGTTGGGATACATACTACTCAAAATTGTTCTTTTCTAAAATTTTATTAAGGGAAAAGGAAACAATAAATATGGTGGGATGTAATCACATATAATGCAGAACTGCCTCAAGTGCTACTTAGGACCTGACAAAGAAACTCCCAGCAGCTATGTCAGTAACGTTTCCTAGATTCAGAGTCATGCACACGAGGCCCTGAGCAGCCCTGGAAGCTGTGAGTTCTGTTCTTTAAAAGTTTCACAATTAGACCCCAAATATATAAGTATATTCTGGATTGTTTCTACAAACACCTTATAACTGCATAGTGATCATATGTATAATCACATTGACTTCTAGTGCTGGAGACTTTTTTTTCCCCATCAAAAGTGGGAGTAAAATTGTTCTGATATTTAATATTCACTAGACTAGAATTTCTTCATTTTTTTCTAACATCAGTCCCTCGCTATACATTTATATTAAATCTCAAACCCAGACATTTAGAGGGAAAGGATCAACTAAAATTTAATTTGGAATGGAAATTAGCATGAGCAGCAACATTCTCAGGATGCTTTTCTTTTTTTTTTTTTTTTTTTTTTTTGAGATGGACTCTCACTCAGTCGCCCAGTCTGGAGTGCAGTAGTGGCGTGATCTTCGCTCACTGCAGCCTCCGCCTCCCAAGTAGCTGGGATTACAAGCGTGTGTCCCCATGTCCACTTAATTTTTGTATTTTTTAGTAGAGACAGGGTTTCACCATGTTGGCCAGGCCAGACTTGAGCTCCTGATCTCAAGTGATTCACCTACCTTGACCTCCTAAAGTGCTGGGATTGCAGGTGTGAGCACCCAGCCTCAAGATGCTCTTTTGAACTTTAATTCCAAGAATATTAGATAAAGTGATGTAGGCTATATTTTGCTTATGAGTTTTTATATTACTGTATCTGAAAATGTAGAAATTTCACTTCACAAATCAAAATAGACATTATTTATATGATTTATATTAGTGGATGACAAATTTAATTGAAATAGATCTCTGAGGTATTTGTTAAGAGAAACAGATTTATAAGTATTGGTAAATTTTTTAAGTGTCTTTTATTGTTTCCTCTGAGGTAGGTTTAATATGTGCACTTAAGTTACATTTTCATGATATTAACTGTGTCCAGTTTTAAATTTTAAAATTTGTGGGCTGGGTGCAGTGGCTCATGCCTGTAATCCCAGCACTTTGGGAGGCCGAGGCGGGTGGATTACTTGAGGTTGGGAGTTTGAGACTAGCCTGGCCTGGCCAACATGGTGAAACCCCGTCTCTACTAAAAAACAAAAATTAGCCAGCTGTGTTGGCGGGCACCTGTAATCCTAGCTACTCAGGAGGCTGAGACAGGAGAATCACCTGAGCCCGGGAGGCAGAGGTTGCAGTGAGCTGAAATCGTGCCACTGCACTCCAGCCTAGGCGACAGAGCGAGACTCCGTCTCAAAAAAAAAAAAATAAAATTTGTGTATGTACAATGAAGGATTACTTGATTTTTTTGTGTGATATATTCACTTCATTTCTAATATTATAAAACCTTATTTTTGGAACAAATAAACAGGAATGATGGGAGGAATAGTATATGAGACCTTACTGACTGGTTCTTGGGAGTGATTGTTAACATGGGTTGCAATCCACTTTTATTTTTTTATTTTTATTTATTTATTTTTTTGAGATGACATCTTGCTCTGTCACCCAGGCTGGAGTTCAGTGGCGCTACCTTGGCTCACTGCAACCTCTGCCTCCCAGGTTCAAGCAATTCTCCTGCCTGAGCCTCCCGAGTAGCTGGGATTACAGGTGCCCACCACCATGCCTGGTTAATTTTTGTATTTTTAGTAGAGAAGGGGTTTCACTGTGTTGGCCAGGCTAGTCTTGAACTCCCGACCTCAAATGATCTGCCCACGTCGGGCTTCCAAAGTGCTGGGATTACAGGCGTGAGCCACCGCACCCAGCTGCGATCCACTTTTAAATGGATTTGTGGAAAAAGCACAGATTATCATTAAACTAAGCGGCATTTAGGTCACACATCTCATTCATCTGATCAGTGATCTGACAACCTGATGGGAGAGTCACATCTCCTAGGGTTTCAGGAATCAGTGGGAGAGGCACGCTATGAAAGGGCATGTGAAGGAAGGCTGTGTTTTTGTGTCTGCAGGTGTGCACTTGTACTACGTCGGGGGAGAGGTGTATGCCGAGTGCGTGAGTGACAGCAGCATCTTTGTGCAGAGCCGGAACTGCAACTATCAACACGGCTTCCACCCAGCTACCGTCTGCAAGATCCCCAGCGGCTGCAGCCTCAAGGTCTTCAACAACCAGCTCTTCGCTCAGCTCCTGGCCCAGTCAGTTCACCACGGCTTTGAAGTCGTGTATGAACTGACCAAGATGTGTACTATCCGGATGAGTTTTGTTAAGGTAAGGAGTGCTTGCTATCACGTTATAAAATGTTCAGTGAAAAACAAAACAAAAAAGCACCCTGACTGATGTGGCAGGCAGTTGTGCGGTCAATTCTGATAGACAAAACCAATTTATTATTATTATTATTTTTTGAGACGGAGTTTCACTCTGTCACACAGGCTGGAGTGCAGTGGCATGATCTTGGCTCACTGCAACCTCTGCCTCCCGGGTTCAAGCGATTTTCCTACCTCAGCCTCCCGGGTAGCTGGGACTACAGGCACGCACCACCACGCTTGGCTGATTTCTGTATTTTTAGTAGAGACAGGGTTTCACCATATTGGCCAGAGTGGTCTTGAACTCCTGACCTTGTGATCCTCCCATCTTGGCCTCCCAAAGTGCTGGGATTACAGGCGTGAGCCACCGCGCCCAGCCCAAAACCAATTTTTTTGAATTCTATTGTTTTTAGGAGGAGTTCCTCTTTGAGTATAAACTGTCTTGTTTAGCAATTATATGAAAATTGTTACACATTACTTTTGAGGAAAAACAAGGTGGCTATTTGATTGTTTTTAATGCAGATGATAAAGTAACAACAGTAATTTTACAGGACTAGTGCAACAGAGATTTTTTCCATCCTTCCAATTGCCAAGCACTGTTATCACTCAGTGAATGTTGGTGAATTTATCTGAATTCAGTAAGATACTCTCCTTACTCTTAGAAAGCATACAGGCACATGGAGGAGATAATATTTATGAATAAGCTACAAAAATAGGCAGGGTTGGTTCTAATACAAGATAATAAACTAAGTAGTGTTATAAAGGTATAAACAATTTGGAATAGAAACGGGTGTGATTAATTCAGAGAGCAGTATATGTTCTGTTGATGAATATTTGTTGAATTTCTCATATCGAATCTTATTAAGGTTGCTATGAAGGCTGGAGAACCAAGGAAGTTTCTTAGTGGGAAGGAAAGACAACTGGGTTTGTATATGGAAGTGAAAGCCTTCAGTTTCATCACCTGCTATTTTGTCTGTTGCAAAGTACTCGCAAATGAGTCTAGTATTTCAAAATATGGGCTTATCAAAGTATCGGGGTATGTGTGACAGTTTTCTTACTGCCATGATTCCATCCAGGGAATCAGCATGGCTTGTTCCAGGCATTTTTTTCAAAGTAAATTTTATTAGCACTTTAAAATTACCATGACAAATAATTTTTCTATACTCAAATTATGTTTTTATTATCACTTTAGTAATTATTTAAAAAGTAAGAACAATATAGTTTCCAATTTTAAAAAACAGCTGCTTGAAATTATTTCTCTTTCATGGTGACAAAGCAGTTTCATTCAAATTTAGTGTTTTGAAAGCATATATTATAAAGTTATATTAACAAATAACTTCGAAATCTTTTCAAATGTTCTGTTGCTTTAGAAACGGCAGAGGGCATCATTTGAATCATACAGTTTTTTTTTTTTCCGGGTCTGTGTTTTTAAAATTAGGATGAAATGCCAATATCTCATAGGTAATTATTTCACTCTGATTAAATATAAGCTTATATAGAAATCTGATTTTCCTAATAACTAGATACATTTCTCAGATAGGCAGCATTTACATTCATAAAGCTACACAATTGACACAGAAGACAAACTGTTCCTAATACTGCAGGAACTTTTAAAATAAATACATAGTAAATATAACTATAGATCATTTTTTTTTAACATTTGAGATGAGCAGCTGTAGCTACCACTGGGCTGATGGATCAGATCTCTTTAAGGTTTCTTTCAGCTCTGATTTTTACTGATTCTAGGACTTAGTCAGTCAACAAATGTTTATTGAGCACCTGCCATGTGCAGGCCAGGCACGTGGGACATGCCAATGTTTACTCACAGATCTCTGACCTCAGGGAACCAATATTCTAGGAAGGAGAGATGGATAATAAACAACAGCCAAAACACAGAAGAAGGATGGAAAGAGAAAGTCTGGGGGCAGGGTGAAGGGAATTGGAGCACGGGGGCAGTGGAGTCATCTGCACATGAGGGTGGGCCTCATTGAAAAGGTGACAGGTCAGCAGAGACTGGAAGGAGACATGGAGCTAGGCCCAGGGACCCCTGGAGGAAGAGCAGAAGAAGAGGGAAGAGCAAGGCAACAGCATACACCTGGAAACTCTGAAGAGCAGGCAGGCCAGTGTGGCTGGGGCCTAATGAGCAGGGGAAGTGAGATGAGAGCAGCCGCAGGGAACCATAGCAAGGCCTCCTGAACCTCTGCTACGAGTTCAGCGGTGACTGTAAGGAGGTGGCGAGCTTTTGCAGGGATCAGAGCAGAGCATTTTCATGATCTAACTTCTATTCTTAAAGGATCGCCCTGCCTGCTGTGTGGAGGATAGATATTATACAGGCAAGGTTGCAAGTAGGGAAACCACTTAGGAGGCTATAGTAATAGTCAGGTGAGAGTCGCCCCCACCTGGAGGGATCCAGTACAGCTGTGAGAAGTGGAAGGATTCTGAATTGTGAAGGCGGATCAGGCGTGGGAGAAAAAGAGGAAGATGAAGTTAGTTGCCTTCAATCAAGATGGAGAAGACGCAGGTGTAATTGAGATGTCCGTTGCATTCAAGTGGAGTTGCTGAGTAGCCAGTTCGATATAAGAGTCTGGATTCGGGGAGAGAGGTTTGGGCTTGAAATACAAATTTGGGAATTGTCTGCAAAGGGACCGTATTTAACTCCCTAAGTGTGGATGAGAACACCAAAGGTTTGAGTTTAAACTGAGAAGAGCCGGGCGTGGTGGCTCATGCCTGTAATCCCAGCACTTTGGGAGGCTAAGGTGGGTGGATTGCTTGAGGTCAGGAGTTCAAGACTAGCCTGGCCAACATGGCAAAACCCCATCTCTACTAAAAATACAAAAATTAGCCAGGCGTGGTGGCGCGTGCCTGTAATCTCAGCACTTGGGAGGCTTAGGCAGGAGAATCGCTTGAACCTCGGAGGCAGAGGTTGCAGTGAGCTGAGATCGCACCATTGCACTCCAGCCTGGGTGACAGAGCCAGACTCCATCTCAAAAAAATTAAAATAAATAAATAAGAAAGGGGGCTCTAGGACTGAGCCCTGGGACACTTCAACATTTAAAGATGGGACAGAAGGGACAGAATCAGCAAAGAAAACTGAGAAAGACCAACCAGTGAGGTAGTAATAAGACCAAGAAGTGTGGTGCTTTGGAAGCCGAGAAAAGACAGTGCATTGATGAGAGGATGTGATGAACTAAATCAAATGCTGCCCACATAACACAAAGGCTGAGAGCTGATCATTCATTTTAACAATATGAAGGCCTTTTTTGATCTTGACAAGAAAAGTTTTGTTGGCGGCTGGGGTGAGATGATGATCAGAATGGATTTAAGAGAGAATGGAAGGAGACAAATTGAGATGGCTAGTATGGATGACTCTTCTGAGGGTTTTTGCCAGAAATGGGATAAAAACATAGGGCAGTAGCTGGTGGGGGGTGGAGAAGTATCTTGAAGGTGGAAGACATTTCAGTGTGTTCATATGTTGACGGGAATGATATAGTAGACGCAAAAGATTGCAGGAGAGAAGGGGAAGATTTGCTGGAATGATGTCTCTGGGAAGGCAGGTCTGAGAGTGCATTAATGGGTGGACCAGCTTATTTGGAAACACAAATAATTAATCTGTGGTAAGAGGTAGAAAGGCCAAGTATGTGGATGCAGGTCCTGTGGAAACTTATTTCTGATGTATTCATTTTTCTCATTAAAATACAAAATAAATATCAGTTGCAGGTATGGACAGGGAAAAAGGGGTTGCAGGTTTTAGTGGGGAGGAGCGATCACCTAGGAGGGGGACATGAGAGAAGGGACTGGGGGGTGGGTTGTGACTGCCGGGGACATCACAGGTCCACTTGAGGTTCTCAGTCATGAAAGTAAAATGTGATCAGGCAGCATGGTTGTGTTGAAATCCAAGTTTTAAAAAACTCTACAGAGAATCACTGCTCCCAGTCACAGAACTGATTTACTTGGCTGTGATCTCCCTTCATTTTTAAATATCCTTTCATTGATATATAACATATAGAGAAAAATATGCAAATTAAAAAAAAAAATTTTAACTGTCTCTCCTTTGAATGGTGATAAAAGGGAAATTGCCAGTTGAACTAGAGAGAGAGAGAGAGAGAGAATAAGCAAGCTTTGATAATGAGCCCTGAAAAACCAAGAGCGCCTTCCAGTTCTGTCTTTACCACTTTCAGGTCCAGTCACTGGTCTGCAGTAACCATTTTGTGCAAGACACTGTCCTGGGCATGAAGGGGTGAACAAAAGGTCAAGTTTCTTCCTTTGTGGAAGGGAAAATGATTTTTCAGTGCTTCCCGTGTGACTGGAGTGCCAGAACCTCTCTAGATCCGAGTATTCAGTTGTGAACCCTGAGGGAATGCACTGATTTGGATTCATCTGAAGGCATCTGGTTGGTGTGAGAGTTGACCTGTGTTTACAGGAAGGTAGAGGCCATGTTCTCTCCCTCTCAGGTCTCAGGAGCTACGCTGGGGTGTGGGCTCTGTGCCCCGCTGAGCTCTGCCTGGGGCTCTGGAGGCTGAGTGTAAGTGTGGCACCATCACTCAGCTCCTTTCTTGTTTTTCAGGGTTGGGGTGCTGAGTATCATCGCCAGGATGTCACCAGCACCCCCTGCTGGATTGAGATTCATCTTCATGGGCCACTGCAGTGGCTGGACAAAGTTCTGACTCAGATGGGCTCTCCACATAACCCCATTTCTTCAGTGTCTTAACAGTCATGTCTTAAGCTGCATTTCCATAGGATAGAGGCTATTGCAGGGAGTGGCTTGTATCATTTCAGATTTGCAACTGAAGTTTCTAAAAACATGTGTAAATACATAGAATGTATACTGTTCTTATTTTTTTTAATCACCGTTTGTTTTGTGCTTTCTAGTTAACCTGATGCCAGTACAGTGCAATTGGAAAAGCAGGACTTTGGTGCCTGTGCTATAAGCAGCAGATTTTGTGGGAGGAAACACTTGAGAGGCGATATTGTCAACAGTATTTGAAGGGTGTTAGCAGAATAAAAGACAGCTTTAGTCAGCCGTGTCATTATAAAGCATGTTGTGTGGCCTCACAGAAACATTGAAACTGTTTATACAGCAAAAGTCAGGTATTAGCAGCACTAAAGCAAATATCACTCAGATGAAACAAAGCAGTGAAACCCCTACAGTTTAAATGATGTCACTTTTAGTGCTGTTGGCAAGAAAAAAAAAACAACAAACTTGTACAATGAATTAATGAGATAGGCCATAGAAACTTTATTTCTAAGGTTGACATACCTATAGCTGGGCTCCTGTGCTCATATTCAGTGGTACATTTTAAACAAACTGTGATCGGAAAAGAAAAAAAACTGTGAAGCCAAAAGTCATGTTCCCTCAGTCTACCACTGTAAAAACAGAGTCTAATATGGGAAAATAAATATGAAAATAGCATGAAATGCTGTTTCCCAGATTGCAAGATAAGACCAGAACTTGGTCCAAGAGCCAGCCACCCAGGGAGACTCCTGCTTTCCACAGAGGAGACCAGGTTCCTGTCGTGCTGGTTGTTCGTGTCAGGCAGTCCTGCAAACTTTGAGTCTGCGCAGCGTGCCAGAATAGCTTGTGTTTCAGTCCTGTGTCAAGAAGCAGGTGAAACCAAAGGTTGGAGAAAAGCATCACACGTCGACTTACACTTTCTCATTTCCCACGTTCCAGTCTCCTGGGAAGGGCACTCTTTCGCCACGTTTTCCTGCCTCTTGGCAAATATTAACTCTTTGCAGATCACTAAAGCAACAGTAAAGACTTTGAGAAAATCTAGACACATTATTGGATCAATGAGTTATTTAACCTAGTGTCTAGTGATTATCTAACCTGGAAATAAATTCCCAAGGAAAGTGATAATAATTTCATAATCATCTGCAATTTCTGGGGAACAGTGGTACTGAATAATAAGACATCTTTTAAAAATATACACAATATTAAAAACCTGTTCTTATTTTACTTTAGATGAGGGAGGAAAATCCCCCAAATTTCTAGGTACTTTCATATATATACTTGCCATGCACTAAACACTGCATTGCTTGGAAAAATATTTCACACCCTCTTTAAAAATGTACAATTTAAGATGGCAGTTATGCTTGTAACAGACAGCACTTCAGTAATCCAAGAAGTTTCTTCATTTATACATTTTATCTCAACTCTTTCTAGCATTAGTGCACATGGTAGTTTTTCTAATTAAATTGTATTCAAGGTAGAAATGATCATGTGAGAAAGATATATGATTGAGCTACTACTGTCACCTCTTACAGTTACTAGTGTTAGCTAATAGAAACTTTCATATATACACATAGAAAAGAATTATTACATTTTACATTGAAAAATGTAATATATGGCCCATGTAGTGTATAGAAAAATCTGTAGTTTATTGGTTCATCAACTATGTATTGTGCACCTACCTATGGGTGTCAGGTACAATGTTAGGTACTGTAGAATCAAATGTAAATAAGAGACAGTCCCAGCCCTCAGGGAGCCGAGAACCTAATAGTGAATCTGTTTGTACAGACATCTTCATGTTTCAGAACTTTTAAAACAAAACAAAATAATGTAATCTATCATCTTTTGCTTGAAAGAATGTGATTGATTTCTTATCTCTGTTTTGAAATTATTTCCTTACTCTTCTGCAAAGTCAGGTAATGGATTCCTTGTATAAATGCTACTTTTCTTCCATGTCTCAAAGTTGTTTTTTTTCCTCCCCTTTCTTCCCTGTTTTCCAATAATTCTCCATGTCCCCTTTTCTTAGAAAAGGCATTAATATGGTGAATCTTGTATGGGAACCATTCCATGGGAGAACTTCAACACAGTTTTTGCTCCAGAGATCAAACATAGCTTTCGTGATCTCTCTACCAGCTATCTAACTTATCCTCTGGTAATCTTTTTTTTTTTTTTTTTTTTTTTGAGATGGAGTCTCGCTGTGTCACCAGGCCAGAGTGCAGTGGCGTGATCTTGGCTCACTGCAACCTCTGCCTCCCGGGTTCGAGTGATTCTCCTGCCTCAGCCTCCCAAGTAGTTGGGACTACAGGCTACCACGCCCAGCTAATTTTTATATTTTTAGTAGAGACGGGGTTTCACCATGGTAGCCAGAATGGTCTCTATCTCTTGACCTTGTGATCCGCCCGCCTCAGCCTCCCAAAGTGCTGGGATTACAGGCGTGAGCCACTGCGCCCGGCTTCCTCTGGTAATCTTACACCTTTACAGAATTAATCTAAACTGGTGGCTCATAAATGACATTAAAAACAAAAAAAAAATCTGGATGCAGTGGCTCATTCCTATAGTCCCAGCACTTTGGGAGGCCAAGGCGGGAGGATCATCTGAGCCCAGGAGTTTGGGGCTGTAGTGAACTATGATCATACAACTTCATTCTAGCCTGGGTGACAAAGTGACACCCTGTCTCTAAACAAAAATCAAGAAACAAAAAACTTGTATTTCCCTGCAGCTTTGGGAAGCCAGAACACAATATTGCAGTGAATCTGAATTTTCTGTGACAAATAAATTATTAAATTGGCACATATGATCATCACCAGTCATGTCTCATCAAAAGCCTTTATTATGATGCTTGTACATTTTGAAGAATTTAGAATTAATGAGAAGTTAACCCTTTAGTCATTGTAACACAATCATATTTTAATCAGCTTTTTCTTTTGCTACCAAGAGTTTCAAAAAATAAATGCAGTATTTGATTTCAGGCTGCTAAATGGGCTCATTTAGCATTCATTCCTTGATGTAGACATTAAAAAAAAAACTGAATAGCATTCTTTCCAGGATAACTAATAAAGCAGACATGCTAAGCCTATAAATACATCAGCACTGCAGCACACGTTTAAGGTTGCCACGGACAAGGATCACACAATAGAGAACACTGTAGTAACATTTCGGTCTGCTCACAAGACCCAGAACATTGATCAGTTTTTGTTGTTGGTTTATTATTTTTCTGTTAAAAAATTGTGAAAAGTTTGTTTTAGCTAGATGATATTTTAATAGCTGCGAGTGCTTTGGAACTATAAAGATGTCACTACTTAACACATATACCTTATGTTTTGTTTTGTTTTGTTTTACACTCAGTATAAATCAGGAGAAGTTAGCCAACCATCTAGCATTTAGAATCCTCTTTTTTATTGTCTTCTAAGGATATGGATGTTCCCATAACAGCAACAAAACAGCAACAAAAACATTTCATAAATATCACTTGATAGACTGTAAGCACCTGCTTAACTTTGTGTCCCAAATATTTAGTGTGTATATATATATATATATATACACACACACACACATATATATTCAACAAATAAAGCAAAATATAACATGCATTTCACATTTTGTCTTTCCCTGTTACGATTTTAATAGCAGAACTGTATGACAAGTTTAGGTGATCCTAGCATATGTTAAATTCAAATTAATGTAAAACAGATTAACAACAACAAAGAAACTGTCTATTTGAGTGAAGTCATGCTTTCTATTATAATAACTTGGCTTCGGTTATCCATCAAATGCACACTTATACTGTTATCTGATTGTTTATAATAAAGAATACTGTACTTATATGTCTTTTGGCTCATTTTTCCTGTAAACCTCATAGAAGATTCACTGTATGTGGGTCTGCAGCTCCTTAAGTCAATTAATTTTAAACCATTCTATTTTGAAAATGGGATGTTAAATTCCACATGCTATAGAGAAATTAGGTAGTGGTTTTGAATTAAACACCTTAGAATAACCGTCATGAAGTATAGTTCTTGAAGATACTTCACAGTAACTTTAGAAAGGATATATGTAGAACCTTTTTCTGGATAGTAGCAAATACGTGATATTGCAGTATATAGGAAAGAATGAGCACTTTCATTATTGTAAACATCTGTACATTGCTACAGATTGCCTATTAGAAAGGTGCTAAAAGGCAACTGGTGAGGGAAAACTAAGATGAAATCCAAAGAAATATGAACACATCATCTAAAAATGTAAATTCTCAATTCCTTTCATCTAAATTTCCTTCTAATCTTAAAAAGGAAGGGGAAACTCTATTACCTATAAGCAGCTTTCTTATTTACTTGATCAGAGTTGTCAATTTTTTTAACGAAATGGAGCTCTGTATTCAAAAAAAGTGTTTTGTGGAACTCCAAAATAAAAACACATGAAAGATATGCCTGTTTAGATCCTGGTGGGGACCGTGAAGCCTCCAGTTT
Organism: Homo sapiens; assembly: GCF_000001405.40. Lineage (NCBI taxonomy): Eukaryota > Metazoa > Chordata > Mammalia > Primates > Hominidae > Homo > Homo sapiens. The sequence continues at coordinate 36,844,194 of NC_000013.11, read as the reverse complement.
ACACTGTAAGTTTCTGGAGAGCAGTGATTGTGTCTTGTTTGTCTCCCATGGTTCCCGACCCTGTGCTTGCATCTAATATTTGGTATTGGCATTTCAAACACGAATACACATTCTTTAAACATATCATGGTACAGACATAAAATACTGTCTTTAAACATCAGCCCGTCTTAGAGAAGAAGTATTTTCATCATCCTAGACTCCTTATATTTACTTGTCAGATAGTTCTTATGCATCAGCAGGCACTGTAGATACAATGACAAAGTTTCTACTTTTAAGGAGCTTACCATTTTGTGGAGAAAGGTGAACAAGTAAACCAATAATAAGCAGTGTGCTGTCAGCTGTGACAAGCTGCTGGGACCACCGAGTGACATCTACATCAGGCCCTGGGTGAGTACCAGGGAAGGCTTCTGGGCCGATCCAAGTTGCCATCCTTCACGGCAGTTCTCTTAGTAAATCATCCCAGGCATTCCTAAAGCAGGTTAGTGCCTGCTGTCTGTGTTCCCATAATACTTTGTGCCCATCAATGGTCAGTATCAGTTCCTGCACCCCACTGTTGTTTACTTATCCATCTTTCTGCCAGGCTGGGATGTCTTTAAGGACAGGGATTCCATTTATTCATTTTCAGCATTTTCCAGCTACTGTTTGTTTAGAAAGGCTTTTGGGGATCACATTGTAAAGGCAGAAATGGTAGTTATTTTTAGCTCTTTCTTTAAAAATATCCGAAAGTATTTAGCTTCTCCTTTCAAAATAAAAAGCATTGCCAGTCCGCAGTCCGGCCTGGGCGACAGAGCGAGACTCCGTCTCAAAAAAAAAAAAAAAAAAAAAAAAGCATTGCAGGCCTCCAACTGCATATCACGTAACCATGCACAGCAGATAGGGATCAGAAAAGCGTGCTTGTGATTTATTTTGGAAATAGTTATCCAGCTGCATAGCAGTAGCAAGGAAAAGTAGTTTTAGCAATTAAACAGTTAAAATTGCTTTTATTCTAAGTATTTATTTTCACAATGTGAATTTGAGTATGAGAAGCATAAAGAATTTTGATGTTATAACACCAAGTTAACAGACACTAATTCTGAAAGTTTACCTCCGCATGATCACTGATGGTTCCATTATTTGCATACATCTAATAAAAATGTTAGGCAAGGCCTCAGAATGACTCTTAATCTAAATGCCAATGTTAAATGGAGTAAATATAAGGAAAATTATATTCAGTTTGGTTTTTAAGCCAAAGAGAATTCACACCTGCAACGTGTTCTTTGAAGAGAACGCTTGCAAGTGGCAGGCTAACTTCTCTCTAGTCTCATCATTTAGGAAGGAAAAATTATCAAAACAGGCCAGGAGCGGTGGTGGCTCACGCCTGTAATCCCAGCACTTTGGGAGGCTGAGGCGGGTGGATCACCTGAGGTCAGGAGTTCGAGACCAGCCTGGCCAACATGGTGAAACCCCGTCTCTACTAAAAATACAAAAATTAGCTGGGCGTAGTGGAAGGTGCCTGTAATCCCAGCTACTCAGGAGGCTGAGGCAGGAGAATCGTTTGAACCCAGGAGGCGGAGGTTGTGGTGAGCCGAGACCGTGCCATTGCACTCCAGCCTGGGCGACAGAGCGAGACTCTGTCTCAAAAAAATAAAAAATTAAAAATAAATAAAAATCATCAAAATAATCCATTGATATTTAAGCATAATTTCAAATATTCTGAACATCATGCTGTAAAAGTGTTTTGTCTTTTTTGATGCCATAACAGCATATACTTTCTTATACATTCGGTCTTCAAGCTAAATACAATACCATTTTACAATTCATTTGTTAACACACTTGCTTTTCTTGACCCAATTATTTTAAAACAAATTAAATATAGCCCATCACTAAATGAATGTGGAAAGTGAAATTTGTCTTAATAAATACTGAAGGGTATACTGAAATGATTATAGTACAATGTTTGAAACATGTTGATATGCAATAAAATATTTTAAACAAAATCATTTCTTTCATACACCATGAAAAAATGTTAAATTGATTTTTTTCTAAGGGAGTTTGTGAGATTATAGATTACCGTGAAAGGGGTTTGCAAACAAAAGTTGGCAGAGTTCCTATTTGTTTCTCCTGGTTTGGCATAAAAAGGAAATACAAAGCTCAGTGCTGAAGGACAAGAGAGGGCTCTTCAACTTGCTGAAGGAGTGGAAAAGAACTAAAAGGAATGGAAAGAACTTTTGTGAAACAATGATCCATTGGCATTATACCATATAAATCATGATGGCTTGACATAAAGGAGAGAGGCAGAAATAGGCAGGAGCTTGGAGGTAAAGGGTTTTGCATACTAAACTGAGACATTTGAACTACAGGTTCTTAAATCTACAATGACAATTTAAAGCATTGCTACTAGTTACTTTAAAAAGCAACAGTCTATGATAGACCCTCCTTGGGGCCCCCTGAATCATGATCCCCCCATCCTTGCTCCAGACATGCTACAGATTGCTTTGGAAAATCATGTTGGAAGACATCTGAGAATTTGGGAGTTTAAGGCTCCAAATTGTCCCACTGCTTATAAGCTTTATCTCTACGAGTTTGGTTGAGGTTTAGAAAGCTTTGGGTAAGCACCAGAGGGCACTCAATGTACAATAAATATTGCATATTCTAACTTGAGGGAAATGGTTTTTTGATTCAGAGTATGCAATTGGCTGGGTGTGGTGGCTCATGCCTGTAATCCCAGCACTTTGCGAGGCTGAGGCGGGTGGATCACCTGAGGTCGGGAGTTCGAGACTAGTCTGGCCAAAATGGCAAAACCCTGTCTCTACTAAAAATACAAAAGTTAGCTGGGTGTGGTGGTGTGTGCCTGTAGTCCCAGCTACTTGGGAGACTGAGGCACGAGAAGAGCTTGAAACCGGGAGGTGGAGGTTGCAGTGAGCCAAGATTGTGCCACTGCACTCTAGCCTGGGCAACAGAGTGAGGCTCTGTCTCAAACAAGAAAACAAAGAGTATGCAATCATTTTTCTTACAAGTATTATAGCATACAATCTAATTGGCCACTATTGTGTATACTAGCTAAATTTATCTTTTAAATAAGCAAGATACTAAGCAATGCTTGCCTTAGAAACGTAATGAGATTCACCCCCTACCACTGGAAGACTTTTATTAATTTCCTGTTGCTGCTGTAAAAAAGTGCCACAAATTTTGTGGCTTAGAACAGCATAAATTTATTTTACAGTTCTTACCCTTACAGTTCTTGAGGCCACAAGTTTGAAATCTGTCTCACTGGGATAACGACAATGTGGTGGCATGGCTAGTTCTTTCAGGAAGCTCTAGGGGGAATCGTTCTCTTGCTTTTCTTTTTTCTTTTCTTTTTTTTTTTTTTTTTTTTTTTTTAGCTTCTGGAGGCTGCCTGCATTCCCTTGGCTGGCTATGCTTTTCTTGAATCTCTCTAACCTGTTGCTTCCATCATCACATCTCTTGTTCTTCTGTAAGCAAGGGTTCCTCTTATAAGGACACGTGTGATTACATTTAGAGCCCATCCAGATAATTCAGGTTGATCTCTCCATCTCAGAATCCTCAACTTAAGCACCTCTGCAAAGTTCCTTTTGCCACATAAGACAACATCAACAAGTCCTGGAATTAGTACATGGATATCTTGTGGGGGCATTATCCAGCCTATCACAAGACTCTACTACTGATACTAGAGGGAGGCAGGGAAGTGCTGGGTAGAGAAGGGTGGGGTCCCCAGGCGAGGGCTCCACGCTCGGGCCTGTGCCCACAGACCTAAGTGAGAACAGGGATTCCTGTTTTCGCACCCAAATGTTGCACTTCCCAAGACCACTATGGCCTGCCATGCCCCCATCCCATGGCCCTAGAAACCTGAGACCTTAGCAGGCACAGACACAAGTGGCTGGACATTGAGAGGAGCAGAGAAAGAGAGTGGCAGAGAGTGACAAAGAGCGGGAGTGGCAGGGCGGCATGGCAGAGAAGGAAGGAGGCGTCCGTCTACCGAGAACAGCAGGACTCCAGGGGAAGATCACGTTCCCACTCCATCCCCCACTTCCGGTTCCGCATCCATCTCGCTGAGAGCCTCCACCACTCAATAAAACCTTGCACTCATCCTTCAAGCCCACGTGTCATCCGATTCTTCTTGTACACTGGGCAAGAACTTGGGATACAGAAAGCTGTTAAACTGGCCACTGCCCTTGCAATAAGGCAGAGGGTCTATCGAGCTGATTAACATAATCCTTCTGCAGACGGCAAAGCTGAAAGAGCACACTGTAAGAGACGCCCACTAGGGATTCGGGAGTCACAGACAGCCATCCCTAGACGCTGCCGTGAGGTCAGAGCCCAGAAGCGCTCCCCACGGCCTCTGCACCTGCCCGTCTGCATGCTCCTCCTAGGGGTTTGAGCAACAGGGAAACCAAAAGAGTGAGCCATACCCATGTCGCATGCCCCGCAAGGGGGATAAGGGAATTCTCGTTTCACTAGTTATCTTGCGCTCTAATCAGAACCATTATCAATGGAAGTTAATGGTTAAAAACCATTATCTATTGTTAATGTTATTAGATTGTATCCATTTCCTTTAACATAGGGTCCTTCTTAACAGCTGTCAGCTGTCCAATAAACCAAGAATTTGACTGACTTACTGTGTAACTACGGTAGGTTTCACTTCAGTGACCTCCAACGAGCCACACACATCCCAGTGTTGATGGCCACCCACATGACTTTGGGTTAGCTATGTGACCTAATTTGGCCAAAGGCATGTTAGCAAGCATTATGCGAGCAGAGGTTTGAATGAGTACTTGCACAATGGGGCATGTCTTCCTGGAACAGTACTCTTGGGAGCAAGCCCCCATGCTAGACTACTGAATGAAGAGATGTCTGTGGGTCAGGTGCAGTGGCTCATGCCTGTAATCCTAGCACTTTGGGAGGCCAAGGCAGGTGGATCACCTGAGGTCAGGAGTTTGAGACCAGTCTGGCCAACATGGTGAAACCCAGTCTCTTAAAAATACAAAAAAAAAAAAAAAAAAAAAAAATTAGCCAGGTGTGGTGGCACATGCCTCTAATCCTAGCTACTCAGGAGGCTGAGGTAGGAGAATTTCTTGAATCCAAGAGGCAGAGTTTGCAGTGAGCCAAGATCGCACCATTGTACTCCAGCCTGGGCGACAAGAGCAAAACTCTGTCTCAAAAAAAAAAAAAAAAAAAAAAGAGATGACTATGGACAGAGGCTCTGGAGAAGGGGCCAGCAGAATCTCTAAAGGCCCAGATAGTAAATATTTTTGGCTTTGTGGGCCATGTGGTTTCTGTGATTGTCACAACCACTCAGTGCTACCACTGTAGTGCAAAAGCAGCTGTAAATAATACATAAGTGAATAAGCTTGGTCATGATTATGTTCCAATAAAACTTTGTGGACAATGAAATTTGAATTTCATATAATTTTCACATATCACAAAATATTTTTGTTTTGAATTCTTTTTCAACTATTAAAAAATGTAAAAGCGGTTTAATTACTGCAAATGTAAAAATTACTGCTCATGGCAGTACAAAAACTGAGCATGGGTTGGATTTGCACAGGGGCCTTTGGTTTGAAGCCTCCAGCTCTGGAGGATGGGAGGTCATCTTGACTGTCCAGTCACAGCCACACTCCCATCTGAATGCGGCCTCATGAGATACCCCAAGCAAGACTACCAGAAGAAACTCTCAGCTAAGTTCAGCCGACCCACAACATTGTGAGGAAAAAGAAAAAAAAAAAGGTTGTTATTTGAGCCACTGTGCTTTGGGGCTTTTTGGTTATCTAACACATGGAAACAGTAGCCAAACCTGTAGTTGTGCCTATCATTCAGGTGTTTGGAATGTTGATAAACTTTGCCTGCTGTTCATCAAGAGGTCTCAGGTAAGCAGCTTATCACAAAATACAGGCAGTACCTGCAGTTTATTATATGGTTGCTACTCTGGTTCTGATCAATATCTTGTTCAACTTGCTATGCCTGTATGTCAGCTATTTAAGAGATTTCTGTTCAAAATTCTTACTTCCTTTTCCAAGATCATGTGAGAAGGCTTGCCATTTTGGTTGCTAGAAATAAACCCATCAATTCCTGCCTCCTATTGATAGAGGCATGAGAGAGCCAAATGCCTAGGCAGACAGGGAAGGGTCCCCAGAGAACCTCTGACCCATCCAGGTCATTGTGCACAGGGGGCTTGCCTAAACACGCCCACGGTGAAAAATTCTGTCCCTTAACAGGTGCACAATATCGGAAATAAATCAATATGGAATGGCTCAGACTAAGGGCTCATATGCACACTGAGGGAATGGGGTGGAGCCACCAGGAATTCATGCCTTATGCAGGGGAGGAGCCTGGTCTCTTCAGCTTGTTTGTGGTGACCTGGTATTCAATTTGTGAGGTGGGAGCCTACTGGTGGCCCCCCCCCCCCTTTTTTGGTGAGGGTTTTCTTTTCACTTAATAAATTCTGCCCTCTTCACCTTTCAATGTGCCCTTGTGCCTAACTTTTCCTGGCTGTGAGACAAGAACCCAGATTTAGCTGAACTAAGGAGCAAAAAATCCTGCAGCACTATTATTAACACTAGGGATGAGCTATTACATTTCCCAGCAAGGGCACAGTGTAGGCAGTCAGGCAGCACTGGCCTCTGAGGACACTGCCGATCCTGCCACTGCTGCACTTGGCATAGTCACCACAGTGGTCCCAGCATCTGACCTTCAGCACATAGCCAGAGAGACACTCAGGGACTGGTGATCTGCTGCTCAGAAAGCATTCAGCACTCAGCCTTCCTCTCCAAACTGGGCACCTGAGATTTGCTCTGAATGTCTCAGTTCTAAGTTGTTCTTGCCCTTCAGAATGGGCAGTCCCTGGCCTGGGCAGGGGCTAGAGTGACTTTCAATTGCTAACAAAGCAGGACATATTGAGGAAAGTGAGATACGGGGTGGACTTTATAACTCATTAAAGGTAGCAAATGTCTGAGACTAATTGCAAAAGGCAAGTGATTCTTTGTTGTTGGCATTAAAGAGGTGAAGAAGAAATAGAGGAGACACAGTAATGTATCATTTGGGCATGTTACCCAGAGAAGGGCACCCAGATAAGAGAGCAATGCTTGTTTTTTCTTGGACAAGCATTTCCCTGGCCAAAAGCGTTCACCTAACTACCCCAAGAGGCAGGGTGTACATGTCATGATGGATAGTTTAAAAAGAAAAGGCCAGCTCTGCAAGTATAAGAGGAACTCAAAAATAAGAGTCTCAGCACACCCTGCTATGAAGCAAACTTGAGTTTCCATACTAGCAGACAATTTTAGGTTTTCTTAGAAAAATATTGATCTCTGTAACACTCAGTTTCCCTCATTTTTTTTGTTTTGTTTATGGAGACAGGGTCTTGCTGTATCACCCAGGCTGGAGTGCAGTGGCAGGATCAGGGCTCACTGCAGCCTCAACCTCCTGGGTTCAAGCGATCCTCCCACCTCAGCCTCCTGAAAAGCTGGGGTCACAGGTGTGCACCACCATGCCCAGATAATTTTTGTATTTTTTGTAGAGACAGCATTTCACCATGTTACCCAGGGTGGTCTCAAACTCTTGGGCTCAAGTGATCTGCCTGCCTTGGCCTCCTAAAGTGCTGGGATTACAGGTATGAGCCACCACACTGGCTGGTTTCCTTCATTTTCTGAAAAGGATTGCTGTCACAATTACCCTCACTATGCCCCCCACAAGTTTCTGCAGATGCTTCTAATCAGCATGATGGTGAAGTGCAGGTATGCATGTATAGTTTAATGATATAACCATATTACCATAATAAACACTAACAATTTTAACGCTAATATTTAATGTTAATTAATATATTACTATTAACATATCCTGCTGCTTATTAGATTTTCAAAGGCAACCGGTATAAAATCTTATTAGTGCTGACTGTGGTCTCCAATTTAAGAAGAGTAAATCATTCAAGGTGCAATTATAGGAGGAACACAAACAGAAAATCCCACTAGTCATAACTTATCTTCCAGTTGTCTTCCTCAGCTTTCCGTTTTTGTTTTCATGCTGCACCTACTCTTGGAACCTCTAAAGCCCAAGCTACAAATAGCTCATAAAAATCAGCATCTGTGCTTATGGAATACATCTTAAGGCAGGCTACATCCTTTTCTGCTACGAGGGTAAAGCTCTGAAGAGGAAAGATTTATTTTGCTGCAGTAGATGATTTTTTAGAAAGTTCATCTCCAATGCTTTAGAATAATCCAAACAACTATTTGGAGGATGGAGTACTACACGTTAGGCGTAATGGGGGAAACAGCTCATCTTTTGATTAAAAGGTGAGATCAACTCACCTAATTATTAAACATGTCAATTATTTTCATTAAAATGTTTTAAAAACAACTGTTAACTTCAAACTCAATAAAAGCAGTATTTAAATCAGATTTTTTTTTTTCTATAGTGAGGCAAGTCTGCTAGATAAACGGTAGTTCAGCCCATTTTCAAATAAACTGCTATCTGCACACAGGTCCTAATCTATGTACCTTCAACAGTATCTGTGGTCATGAGTATAATATTCATTTTTCTAGCTAAGGAAGTGAGAAACTAAAGACAGTTAGAAACTGAGGGTGTAATAATGATTTTCAAAAAATTCTAAAATTTCCATTTCAATGAGTTACACAAAAGCAATTAGAGCTATTTGACAATATTCATATTAATTATATTTTCTAATTCTAGAAAAAGAAATGGGACATTATAAATCAGTAATCGTTTGAAAGATTCCAACTTGAGACTTTTTAAACCAAGACTAGAAACCAAGAAGCCATAAAAGAAATGTCAGACATATTGAAATACACATGAAGTAAAAGCTTCTATGGCAAACGATACCATAAAAAAGTAAACAAACACATTTTAGATTTGGAAAAAAACAGGATAGAAGTGACAAAGGGTTAAATTTCATGATATTAATCAGACTTTTTACACCCTGAGCTAGAAAAAGGAAGCCTAACAGAAAATAAGCAAAAGATATGACTAAGCAATTCACAGAACAGCAAATCAAAATAAACAGCAAGCATATGAAAAGATACTTTAGGCTGGGCACAGTGGCTCACACCTGTAGTACCAGCATTTTGGGAAGCTGAGTTGGGCAAATTGCTTGAGCCCAGGAGTTTGGGACCAACCTGGGCAACATGGCAAAAACTCATCTCTACACAAAATATAAAAATTACCCAGGAGTGGTGGTATGCACCTGTGGTCCCAGGTACTCAGGAGGCTGAGGTAGGAGAATCTCTCGAGCCCAGGAGGTTGAGGTTGCAGCGAGCTGAGACTGCACTACTGCGCTGTAGCCTGGGCAACAGAGTGAGACCCCATCTCAAAAAAAAAAAAAGAACAAGAAAAGAAAAGATGCTTTAATTTACCAGTATTCCAGGAAACGCTAATAAACGTAATAATACTGGCAAAGATGGGAGGGAAATTAATTCTTTTTCATTTGCTGGTAAACATGTTAAGTGTTACAGATTTCCTGGGGAAAGGAATATAACAACATCTATTTAAAGGAAACATGTAGCCCTATACTCAGCAATCCCACTTCTGGAAGTCAATCCCGAGGCCATAAAACCACCAATATATACCGCTATATAAGGACACATTACAAGGATGTCTGCTGCAGCACTGTTCATAGTGGTAGAAAATGACACCAAGTGAATGCCTATCAACAATGGAATAGTTGAATAAATGATGATGCATTCATATCATGAGATACTCTGCAGTCATCTAAAGGAATGACTTAGAGCTATACAAGTGACTCAGAGGGACTTCTACACAGTACTGCATAAAAAAGCAATATACTGACAGCGTGTATAATATGCCCACACTTTTATGTAACAATGACAATTCTAAATGTATATATGTGTTCATATATAATTATACAAACATGAAAAAAACAGACTACATACTGGGTAGTTGACAAAGGTTACCTGGAAGTCGGGTGGTGCATGGAAGACAGAGGGTAAGAAAATTTTAAAAAGGAACAGAAGGGGGTAAAAAGTTAAACAAAAACCTCTCAGTATATACAATACGATTATTAATGTATTTATATAAAATTGTATGTGTATGCATACAGAAAGTTTCATTTAAAAAAATTTAATTACTTAGCATTTATTGAAGGGCCTACTGTGTTAGAATAGGCACTTGCAGTCGGGCGCAGTGGCTCACACCTGTAATCCCAGCACCTTAGGAGGCCAAAGTAGTCAGATCATTTGAGGTCAGGAGTTCAAGACCAGCCTGGCCAACATGGTGAAACTCTGTCTTGGCTAAAAATACAAAATTAGCCAGGCGTGGTGGTGCATGCCTGTAATTCCAGCTACGCGGGAGGTGGAGGCAGGAGAATCGCTTGAACCCGGGAGGCAGAGGTTGCAGTGAGCTGAGATCGTGCCACTGCACTCCAGCCTGGGCGACAGTGAAACTCCATCTCAAGAAAAAATAAACTAAGCACTTGAAAGTGTTAGTTTTTACTTTAGCGACAACATACTAATCTGGAAAAAGCATCATTTCTGGAGACAATTTTAGGTTCAAATCTTGGCTCTGGCTCTAACAATATGACCTGTTTATACGTCACTTTAACTTCTCTGAGTTGCTTTCCTCATGTCAAAACAAGGACAATACTACTTGCCCTGCAATGTTTTGAGGTTCAAATAAATTAGCACAAATGAAAATACTTCCTAAAATAATATAATTAAGGTTAACATAAAATCTGTCTTTTAACACATTCCAAAAATCAAGGCTTAATTTGTGCAAAGGCTTTATTCTTATGGCCCCATGATGGTGCATCCACTGCCGAAATGCAAGGGGCGTGTCCAGATTGCACTGGCCCGTGACGAAAGCTTCCAACATTGTGCAGTAAGTCATTTGGAATCAGAGGGCCTGGATTTAAGTCCAATAGCTGTGCAGTCTTGAGCAAGTAATTTAACCTTGAAAAGTCTGCTTCTGTGTTTATAAACTAATAATTGTGCATGCATTACGGGATTGTTGTGGAGAGCAAGCAAATATGCATAATTGTTTTGAAAACTATAAAGTGCTAGAAAATTGGCAGATTTTGTCATATTGTTTTTAGATTATACTTTCTTGGTGTATCTCCAGCAGGGAAGTATATATTTTGGACCCCAGGATGGCCTGTAAACTCCAAGGCCTGTAAATCTCACTACACATAAGTGTTACATATATGTAAATAAAGATTCACAAGTAAAACACTTTTTGAAATTTTTTAGAAAAATAGAAAGCAAAGGAGCAATTACTGTAAGCACAAGTTGTCTATACATCTCAATTTCTTTCCTTTTTTTTTTTTGAGACACAGTTTCACTTTGTTGCCCAGGCTGAAGTGCAGTGGTGCAATCTCAGCTCACTGCAACCTCCGCCTCCTGGGTTCAAGTGATTCTTGTGCCTCAGCCTCCTGAGTAGCTGGGATTACAGGCACGTGCCACCATGCTCGGCTACTTTTTTTTTTTTTTTTTTGTATTATTAGTAGAGAAGGGGTTTCACCATGTTGGCCAGGCTGGTCTCAAATTCCTGACCTCAGGTGATCCACCTCCTCAGCTTCCCAAAATGCTGGGATTACAGGCATGAGCCACCATGCCTAGACATCAATTTCTAACAAGATTTTGTTTTAGTTTGTAGTAAGAACAACATTTCTGAAAAGGTCATATATGCATGGTAAGAATTCAAGCAATATAAAAGATCATTTCAACAAAAGATTGTCTCCTGACTACTGAACCCTCTCATCCCACACCACCAGTGCCCCAATTTTCCTTTGTGGCAGTTTGGATTAGCTACACCTGAAGCAAAACATTATTCCATAGTTTTCTACTTTTTTTGTCTTGCCATTTTTAAAATCGTTTTCGCAATGCTCCAGAGCTCTGTTTGATGAGCTGAAGCAAAATGCTTTGAGCTTCTCCTTGAGGTAGGTCCTCCCTGAGTGACTTTCCTGCCATTAAATCCTAAAGGCTTATTTAATTGCTCCAAATCAACTCTTCAAGCAGAAGCCTAATGGTCTAGCTGCTGAGCATTTCTAAGGGCCAAGTGTATTGATAAATATTATAGAATAAAAATTGGGGCTGTCACTAATTGAGTGTAATGAGTACTGCTCACTTCCTGAGTCCATAGATTCCTAGCTGAAATACCTTGTGCTCTCATTCTTCCGACACTTACACTGCAATGTCATAGGAACCTCCAGTCTCCATTAGCCTCATTTCTTCTCTGCTCAGCTCAAACCTATTCCTAAAAGTCCTTTCAGAAGCATCCTAACGTCCTCATCCCTTACTTATTGCACCAAATGAACCCTACATCAAGCCTATCATCTATGTTTCCTACTAATACAGATGGCTGAGCCCAGTGAAACAGCATCACATAACTGCAGATTGCCATTACAAATTCCTGGTTTCCAGTAGGCCAAGTCCTTAATGCCACTTGTCAATCCTTTTCCCTATAGTATTATTTAGAAAACAGATTTGGCTGGCTGTCACAATAACAACAACCGTGGTTATACCATCATCATAACTGGTAGAAACAATACACTCCATTTCTTTTTCCCATAGTAGTTGAAAGGGCATCCCATGCTAGTGTGGTGGCTCAGTTCCTTGAGGACATCCAGGGACACAGATTCCTTCTATTTTGTTACTCCGCCTTCCCCAGTGAATGACCCTCATTTGGCCCATAGATGCTCCATTGCTTTGTCCACATTCCAGGCAGCAGGATGGAGGAAGAGAGGAAATGGGCTGCTTGCCCCGGGCTGCCATCTGGAAGTTGCACTTATCACCTGTGCTTACATCCCACTGGCCAGAATTTACTCATATGGCCACACTCAACTGCAGGGGTAGGTGAGAAAGTCTTAAAAAAATAAAATCAACTATTAAAAAAATTGAAGTGTAAAATATATACTGAAAAGTACAAAAATCATAAATGCATAGCGTGTTGAACTTTCACTAATAGAACACACATGCCTAACCAGCAACTGGAAAAGCAAGCATCTCTGGAACACCAGAAACCTCCTCAAGCCTCTAGACTGTATCCTGCTCCCACGGGTGTTTTATCCTGCTTCTCTGTTCTGACAGCATAGTTTCACCTGCTTTTCTACTTTATGTAAATAGAATCGTACACACGTCATTTGTATCTGGATTCCTTGGCATGGTATGTGAGAATCAGCTATATGGTTATATATGGCTATGTTCCCAACCCAAAATTCTACTATGAAAGAAGGGGAAAAATGCTCTCAGAGGACTACTAGTAGGCTACTAGCTACTAGGCATCTCTCTTTTTTATTTTTTTGAGGCAGTGTCTCACTCTGTTGTCCAGACTGGAGTACAGTAGTGCAATCGCAGCTCACTGCAGCCTCTGCCTCCTGGGTTCAAGCAATTCTCCTGCCTCAGCCACCCAAGTAGCTGAGATTACAGGCATGCGCCACCATGCCTGGCTAATTTTTGTATTTTCAGTAGAGACAGGGTTTCACCACGTTAACCAGGCTGGTCTCAAACTCCTGACCTCAAGCGATCTGCCTGTCTAGGCCTCTCAAAGTGCTGGGACAACTTTGGTGAGCAATCGTCCCAGCCGCTACCAGCCGTCTCTTTCACTGACTTTAATGTATCTTCCTAATATTTTCTTTCTAAAGCCCCTTACTACTTCCTGCACCCCACATTATCATATGACTGATTTTCCAGCTTTGCTGGAAAATGGAAGCTGTGAATTCCTTTATGTTCTTATTACTACAAATAGACATGTATATTTATCATATCTCCTCAAATGAACTGGCACAGAATCACTTGTGCCATATTTTGTTAGAGCAGTCATAAGCCTGCCCAGATTCAAAAGGATAGAAAAGAAAATTTATATCTTAATGGACAACAATGCATAAGAGCATGTGGGGTGAGAGATACTGTGCAGACATCTTTGAAAAATATGGTCTGCCACACCTAGCTTGAAAGCATTTGCACAGCTATTTTAAATCACAGTAATCATATACAGAACTGTGAGAAATAATAATGGCTTCAAGCCATCAAATTTTCAGGTGATTTGTTTTGCAACAATAAATAGCAGCTAGGTGTATCAGCTACCTACTGTCACAAAAATGCTGCATCTAACACACTACCCCAAAACTCTGTGGCTTACAATCATAATTTATAATTGCTCACAAATCTACAGGTCAATTTGGTGGCTCTGCAAATTTGGGCCAGGCTTGGCTGATCTCAGTTGGTTATCAAGTGTATCTGCGGTCAGCTGGCAGGCTGGCTGGACAGCTTATCTAGCATAGCCTCATTCACATGTGTGGCTGGTTGAGAGCTATTAGCTGGTACAATACAGGTGACTGGACTATGTGTCTCATTATCCAGGAAGCTAGGCTGGGCTTCTTACCATGGCAGCAGGGTAGGACTCTAAAAAAACAAGTGGAAATGTTCAAAACTCTCAGAAGTCTATTCAGAGATGGCATCTTGTTATGTCCTCTGCATTTTACTGGCAAAAACAAGTCACAAGGCCAGTCCTCTAGATTTAAGGGGTAGGTAAATAAACTCAAGCTCAATGGGTAGGATGAGCAGCAAAGTCACACGGCAAATGGCATGAGTAAACACAAGGATAAAAAACTGGAGACACACTGCAATACATCTACCCAAAATAAACCTTATTGCTTTATTGATCATTTTATAAGGTAAAAAAATGTCTAATGTGGCAGACAAAAATTAAATTGTGTTGAATATTGTCCTACTATTCTTATCCAAATTCATGAACAGGCAGCTACCTTATCCTAAAAAATATCCTTGGTAAAGATTCTGAGCCTCTCAGTTATCTATCCCACGTCTGACAATTACTCATCATCACAAAGTTCTTACAAATATTTAAATTCAGTCCCTTTTCATTCAGCTCTCACTGGGCTATTATTTTCCCTCCTTTCCCATTTCCATCCATTTCCCATTTCCCTCCTTTCCCATTATTCCATCTAAAGAAGCATAAGCTAATGTTTTCCACCATAAAGGGTAACTTAAGCTTCAAAAAAACTCTCAACATCGTAAGTATGAGAATAAACTAACAGTTAATAACAGACAGTAGATGAATTCCTCTGCATCTAGTAAGAATAAACTAAAGAACAGAATAAAGAAATCAGCTAACTCAAAGGTCAACAACTGGACTTTAATGAATTAATTTTGTTAAAAGTGTTTTGAACAGATATGCAAGTAAAAACACACACATTAAGAAATGAACAAAAACGTTCTTGCTCTCCATAAGTACTTCTTAGAACAGCCATGATTAAGTCGAACTTTATATATAGAGTTTAAAAAACAAGTAACAAATTTTTGTAGAGTTAAACTTGAGACACATACATTTATATCCTAATATTGGATATACTCTCTTGACATTTAATTTGTTATTCCTATTGGTAGGTTTGCCTTTTTAAAGTTTTAAAGTTTTCCTAGGAGAAAGTATAAGAAAAAGGTATCCAGATTACTTATCATTTTTGAACATTACTTAGGAATAACAGTTTTCAGATAGCTCAATTGCGAAAAACAATGACAAAATACTGGAGTGTTAGTTTTATTTTCAGGATCACCTTTTTGAAAAGGATCTTTTTCATTTTGTTTAATAAAAAATAAGTATAAGAAAAATAATTTTGTCTTGGCATTGGTGGGCTGAGATCTATACTGTTCACAAATTCAACAAACAAGAAATGTCTGCTTTAAGAGATCAGCACTAACAGGTAACATCAAAGAGAGAAGCCAACTGTAGGAGACACATCCCAGTGTGCTTAGTTAATCCGTCAGGTTTTACTAACACACCTCTGAAAAGAGATGCACATCCTAAATTCACAGATATTAAACAATAATCACTTTCCTTACGTCTATATAAAATGTGCTTACCTCTTTGACAGCTTCAGTCTTAACTGCAAAGAAAGGTTATTAAGAGAACCCAATTATAGGTGCCCCAACTACATGTTAGCACCACAAAATAGCCATCAACATTTCTTAGGAGTGTTATTGGCACTGCGGGTGAGACAATCTTTAGTATGTGGGACTACCCCTGACACTGCAGAACATTTAGCATTCCTGGCCACTCACTAAAAGCCAGTGGTTTTCAAGGTCACTATGACAATCAAATTGACCCTTGATGAGAACCACTGAGCTAGATGAGTCAAGATTAATATCTATTAACTTTATGACTTCCACAGAAAGTAACTGCTTCATTACCTTCAGTAACAATGACTGAAGAGGAATATATTTTTTAAAAAACATTATAATTAAATGTTATTTGGAAAGATAAGCTGACTTCTTCAAACTCACAGTAATCTGAAAGATTAGATGCACAAAGTGCAATACTTACTTATCCCCAAATGCACACATACATTTACAGGAAAATGTTTATGTTCTACAGGCATAGATTATTACCCCATTTATGTCTGGTAAAAAAATATGCTCATCTATTACAATAAGATAAAAAACCATGTAGATGTTCTTGGTAAGTTCCCTCACATTGATGTTCCTGGAAACTGCTGTTGTCTTTGCTCCAAAACTTGCTGATTTAATAGCTGTTGCTGTTTCTGTAAAAATTGCACTACTTCTGGACTTCTTAGTAACGACTTAGAAAGAAAAGAAAAAAATTATTAATAGCATTAATCTATGTCATTAGACTGTTTTCATGCTAATTACTCTGATGTGTCCCTACATATGATACAATATGTTCACAAGAATATGCCTGAATCAAAAGCACTTTTACATCGGATGCACTGCAACTAAGCTGCAAACTAAAAATAATGTGATGTCACACATCAAAATACTAAAACCTAAAAATAACGGGTGAAGTCTGTTATTGGTGACTTTGTGTAAAAAGGAAACACCTTCTCTAATATGCCAGCAAATATACTCTCTTGAAATATGTAAGAACAAAGAGCTAAAAGTAGCACTGACCCAGGATTATAGCAAGAAAAAAAATGGAGATGAAAGGGGGCCACATGTGAAAATAGCAGCTAAATGCCAGTTTGTACATACATACAAACTAGTGCTAGAAGTCAAGTTTCTCATTAGGCAACTAAGTCTTCATAAAGAAATTAAAAATTGTGTGTATAGGTGTGTATATATATATATGTACATATATATCGGTATATACCAAAATTTCAGGAAAAAATATAACTGCTCTAAAACATCCAATACCTTTTTGTACACTCATCACTTTAAAATATAGTTGTAATAATATAACAAATATAACAGACTATGATTAACATATTATTATTAGAGACAGGGTCTCACTCTGTTCCCCACGCTGGAGTGCAGTGGCGTGAGCATAGCTCACTGCAGTCTTGAACTCCTCGGCTCAAGCAATCATCCTGCCACAGTCTCCTGTAATAGGTTTTTATAATAAAATACTTACATAAATTTATAGAGAAAAAAATCTTTGGCCCCAATAAGCTGCAAAAAGATAAACTGAATAAAGTGAACATACTATCATTAAATACTGACTTTCAGATTATATGTATTATATCTTAGTACATTTTCTATTTATTAAACAGTTTTATTTAAAAATCATCTTAGCTGTTATGACACTGTTGGACATTTAGGCTGTTTCAACTACCTTTTTTACTATTTATGAGAAATATATTCCTGGCAATACCTTTATGTTTAACTCTATCCATATTTAGGATTTACATTCTGTAAATGTCTTCATATTAAATGTGATGTCTGAGTTGAAAGGGATGACTCCTGGTACATATTGCCCAACTGCTTTCTGAAAGTGCCATACCAATATATAATGCCATTAACTACTTGAGAATGTCCATTTCATGAAAGTCTCCACATCACTGCATCATTGTGCGTAATCGTTTAAATAATTTTCACTTTTTGTTTATTTTTACTGATATTGAATACCTTTCCATATCATTTAATGGTATTCTGCCTTTTTTTTCTGTTTCTATCTTTTGCAATGTATTGAAGCCAAAGGTTTTCCTCATCAAATTACAGGAATTTTTGTAATAAACTTTCTTTGCAGTTAAGACTGAAGCTGTCAAAGAGGCAAACATATTTTATATATATGTAAGGAAACTGATCATGTTTAATGATTTATAGGGTGCTCTGTTGCCTAGGCTGGAGTACAGTGGTATGATCATAGCTCATTGCAGCCTCGAATTCCTGGACTCAAGCAATCCTCCTGTTTCAGCCTCTTGAGTAGCCAGGACTACAGCTACATACCATCACACTCGGCTAATTTTTAAATTTTTTTGTAGATGGGGTCTCGCTACGTTGCCCAGAATGGTCTCAAATTCCCAGCCTCAAGTGATCCTCCCACCTGGCCTCCCAAAGTGCTAGGATTACAGGCATGAACCACAATGCCCAACCAGGAATATTTTATGTGATAAAATACCAGACACGTTAACCATAGTCTTTTATATTTGTTGTACATATTTTTGCTCTAGGTCATTGTGCAATTTGCCACCATTTTTGACTATAGCATTCATTTTTATGTAGTCAAGTTTATAATCTTTTCTCTGTGATTTTGTCTATATAAGCTAAAAAAAATCTCATTACATTTTTGAGGTAAAGTTCCGATTCTTTTTTTAAAATTTTGACTTATTAGGAATTTATTTTGATGTATAGTGTGATGTCATGAGCTAAAAATCTCAAAAATCTCAATTGTTCCATTTATAACAAACGTTTGTTAACACATTTATAACTGATTTACAAACAGATATTTACCAGTCTTTTTTGATTTAACACTTGTTCTAAAAGAGTAGGTCTTGCAGGACGATCCCCAAAAGATCCTGTTCTTTGTTTAACAATGGAGAGTATGTTATCTGCACTTTCCTGGGATAAATGATAAAAATGCAAATAGATAAACAGTTAACGTAATAAGTCATGATTACAGGTATTTCAAAGATGTAATGAACAGGTCTTTGCATTTCTTCCTTCTTCTTGCCCAGTCTCTGGGCAACTCTGGGAAAGTTCTTCATTATCATAGGCAAAGTATTGGCAGTTAATTTAATGTAACATTCCTCCTCGCTCCCTCTCCCCCCAGATTTTCAACCTGGGTTCTTTAGTCTCTTGGCAGGTCTCAAAATTAATAGTGTGTGTGATAGAGTGTGATATAGTAATACTGTGAGAGGTGGGCCACTAAGATTGAGGCAGAGTTACTTGTGAGCTATTTTCAATATTACAAAAAATGCCAAGTGGAATTGACCATTCTCTTTATATAATGCTATCCAGGCCGAAACATAATCTGCTTGCCTTTGGATGAAATATATGAACTCAGAGGCAAATTATATACTGCTCAATAAGATATCTGATAGCTTTTTACCCAGTTGGCAACCAAAACAAATGGGGGAGTAGTAAAATATTGTTTAAAGAAGCAACTGATAACCAAAGCTTTCAAAATTTAGATAAACTTGCTTGAAAAAGCACTAGTATAAATAGTCTCCTGCCAACTGTATGAACAAAACAGGTAAGTCCTAAAATGATACCATTACCCTGAGATTTCACTGCCCAAAAACAAAATCAGCAGCACTTATTACCAAATATGTACCCCCAGTTACCTGACAGCATCTTAAATACTTGTAATTTTGCTGGCATAACAAAATATTGTTTAGTTGACTGAAATATTCTGACTCTTACAAAACTATGCCACAATACCACATCCAAAATTCTTACTAAAGTAGCAAATATAAAATTATAAATGTTTTACCGGAAAGCCATACCTTACATGAATTTAACCTCTTTGTTCTTTACTTAGAATATTATCTATGCTGTTTTTTCTCTTGGGCTTCTTTCTACTGGCCTCTGAGTTATCTATGAGAATATCCCCTTAATTTCTTTCATTATGAGAAGTTTACCAACCTGATATTACAAAAATATTTCACCCCTAAACATTTTAGGCCTCAACATATAAAAACTGTAAAAAGAAAATTCTAATACCCAGAGGAAACAAAAATAATTTCTTCCTCCTCCAGCAACCCCCAAGTTGATTTTATTTATGAGATTCTTTCATTTTTATGTGCAAGATAATGGAATGCTGAAATTGACTTGATGGTACAGTACCCTCTGCCCTCACAACCCCACTATGGAAATTCAAAAGGTTAATTCACAAAATATTAGATACTGAATTAGATAAAGAAGCTTGTAGTGAAAATAACCTTTAGTCATCTAGTCCAAACTTGTACAGATGTTGGAATTCTTTTTCAAAAACCTGCAATGCTTTTTGTCCTACAGAGTTTACCAACTTTTGCCACATTTCATTTGGTTTTGAATAGCTCTAACATTTCGGTAGAATGTTAGGTAGCTTTACTTAAGCTGAGCTGAAATACATACTCCTTGTGATTTATGCCTAAGAGTCCTAGTTACCTCAGAATCATGCCATATAAGTCTACTGCTTCTCTTAAATGATAGCTTTTTAGATATTTAATAAGAACAATCCCACCAGCAGAGGTCAATTCATTTATCCCTAGTCCCTTTATGTGTCTCTCATATAGCATAGTTCTTAGATTGGTGGAGTAGACATTATACACATTTGTTCCTCATTTAACCTTGACTTGTGTAAGAAATATTAATTTTAGATACCTTAATTTCTTTAATTTTTTTACCTTAATAAATTCTTCATTGGAATAGAGAACTTAATTTCTAATCTTGCTGCTCACAACATAGCAGAAGACACCATCATCACCTGTCAGTCCTACTATAATAATCTTCGAAAGAGTCTCAAAATCTATAGGCTCTCAACTTTAACCCACTCCATCAGGGTAGGATCCTCTGCTACTTCCTAATTAGATCATTTCATTTAAAGACTCCAAATCCAAATCCCATAGCCTGGCATTCAATACTATAAAAAACTGGCTTCAACCTATCTTTCCAAATTTCTCTCTCATGAATTTTCCACTCAACTATTTTAGCTAGAATAGTCCACTTGCTATCTTCACAAAAGTGTTTTCTGTATTCCTACTTCTCTTTCTTTACTAAAATGTGCTTCTCTTTCCTTTTATCTACCAGAATTCTAGGGAAGCAGTATAGTAAGGAGGTAAAAGTGAAAGCTCTAGAATAAGACTGCTTGCGTTTGAGTACAATACTTGCTGGCTGTATGACCTAGGCCAAATTCTTTAGCCTCTCTGTGCCTCAGTTTCCATGTATGTAAAATATAGTATCTATCCCATTGCTGAAGGGTTGTGAGACTCCATTTATAGCTTAACACAGTGCTTGACACATAAGAAACTCAGCTCATTAAGCGTAAACTATTGCCCATCCTTTCTGGTTTATACTGAGTCACGTTTCCTCTGCAAAGCCTTTCTGGAGTATCTCAGCCTACAATGATCTATCCTCCTCTGAACTACTAAAACCGGACTATACAGTTGGCTCTTATTATATCCTGGCTGGCACTGTTATTTTCTTTACACTCAGTTTAACAAAGATAAAGATTTACAGATCTTGTTACCTCCTCAGAACTGATAAAGTATCCCAAAATATAAGACAAACTGGATAGTAAACTATTAGTATTATTTGTTGCTTATAGCAATTAATTCCCTTCCATAAAAAGTCATGCAAATTATTTTAAAATAGTGAAGCTAGGTGCAGTGGTGAAATAATCCCAGTTACTCTGAAGGCTGAGGCAGGAGGATCACTTGAGCCCAGGAATTCGAGGCCAGCCTGGGCAACACTGTGAGACCCATCTCTAAAAAATTAGATAAGTAAATAAATAACAAAATAGTAATAAGGTTCTTTTTGTGGGAGGTGCAGAGGGAGACGCTAATTCAGTATCTATCTGCCTTTTATACATTTTCCTCACTGTAGATGTAAATGTTAGGTAGTTTAAAAAAAAAAAAGTAAGCAGCCATAGGTTAACTACTTCTTTCTTGAAAATAAGTATTATTAGGCCGGCGTGGTGGGTCTCACCCGTAATCCCAGCACTTCAGGAGGCTGAGGTGGGAGGATCAGGAGTTCGAGACCAGACTGGCCAACATGGCAAAACCGCGTCTCTACTAAAAATACAAAAATTAGCCGGGCGTGGTGGTGCATGCCTGTAATCCCAGCTACTCAGGAGGCTGAGGCACAAGAACTGCTTGAACCCAGGAGGTGGAGGTTGTAGTGGGCCGAGATCGCACCACTGCACTCCAGCCTGAGCGACACAGAGTAAGACTCTGTCTCAAAAAAAAAAAAGAAAGAAAAAAAGTATTATTTTTCTCCCTCTCTAAAGAATTCTGAAGTGAATGGGCACCTGTGGAACATACTGAGGAAGAAACTTGATCACCTTTACTAACTTTCATTCTTTTCCAGATGCTTATTTCCCTAAATCCCCGTAATCAGAGATTTGGTAAAACATACTATAAGAATATGGATTGAGGGGGTTTTTAAACTAAGATTACAGAAGTCCTGAGCCCATTAATTAGTATGCAAAATTAAAGTTACATAGTGGATTTTTCTAGGAAGAGTCTTCATTAAGTCACCAGACCCTCAAAGAAGTCCTCTTACTCCAAAAGAGTAAAACTTAAGGGAAAGAGAAGTCACTCAGTCCTAACCAGTGTGAATTAAGTATGACACACTGGCAACTGCAAATTTTAGAAATATTTAGAATATTATACTTTTTGTTTTTGAGACAAAGTCTTGCTCTGTCACCCAGGCTGGAGTGAAGTAGCACAACCATGGCTCACTGCAGCCTCAATCTCCTGGGCTCAATGATCCTTCCACCTCAGCCTCCCGAGTAGCTAGGACCACAGGCATGTGCCAACATACCTGGCTAATTTTTAAAATTTTTTTGTTGAGATGGGGTCTCCCTATGTTACCCAGGCTGGTCTCAAACTTCCGGGCTCAAGCGATCCTCCCTCCTAGGCCTCCCCAAGTTCTGGGCTTACAGGTATTAGCCACTGAGCCTGGCCTAGAACATTACATTTGTAAACAATTACAAGGTCTAATATTTTAGTGATGGAGCACTTCAAGTTCAGCCTGAAACTAAGAAATTTAAAGACTTAGAATACATCCTAGGACCCTAAGACAGCTTGCAGTTAAAAAAAATTTTTTTTTTTTTTTTTTTTTTTTTTTTAAGGAGACAGGGTCTTGCTATGTCATCCAGGCTGGAATGCAGTGATGCAAACAAGGCTCACGGCAGCCTCGAACCCCTGGTCTCAAGCAATCTTCCCACTTCACCCTCCCAAGTACAGCTGGGTATACAGGCACTTGCCACCATACCTGGCTTGGATCACTTGTAACAAAATTAAATTTTTCTCTACACTAAGGGATTATATAGCTCTCACAAGAAGAAATATCTGCTTATTTGTGACAGCCTCAAAGTATACCACTAACAATGACAATAATAATGGGTAAGGTTTGCAAACTTTAGCCAGTTGCTGGACACTGTGTGAACCCTCAATATGGAATGGCTCACATATTCACAGCAACACTATGAATGACACACGATTTTAATGCCCATTTTACAGAGTTTAATAACCTATTCAAGCCACAAGGCCAGTAAATGATGCAACAGGGATTTGCACCCAGAAGTCGAACTCCAGAACACTGGTTTTACCTTTGACTCAGTTCAAATCAAACAATCCAAAAGTTTTTTGAGACTTATACCCCATTATCATCCTTTTTTTCCCCCCTCAGGGGTACTAAGAAAAGGGGTAGTGAGAACAGGGTACTAACAACAAGGATACTGAGAACAAAGTATATTAAGTATTGGGGTAGTGAGAACATGAGAACAAGGGACTAAACATAGGGGTACTGGGAACAGAGTTGTAAGAAAAGAGTACTACGTACAGGGGTACTACAGACAGGCAACTGAGTATAGCAGTACTAAAAATACGGTACTAGGAAGAGGGTTAACAGAACAGGACACTAAAAACAAAGTACTAAATACAGGAGTATTACAAATAGAGGTACTGAGAACTGGGTACTGAGAACTGGATACTGAGAATAGAGTAGTGAAAACAGAAAGAGATGACTTTCTCAGAAGTACCAACTTCATCTAGGTTCCTAAGTCTCCTTTAGCGATGAACCAGACCGATCATTTACTCTATGTCCTTCCAGCCATATCCCAGATCTATGACAGCTCTGCCGATGTCACATTATTTTTACTGAAATTTCTGCACCTATCATGAGTTCAACAGAACTGTTATTGCTTTGCACATGTTGGTATAAACTTTAATTTAGGGCAAACACTCTAATTCTCAACCACTAACCCAGTCACTGCAAACCGGCCCATTTGGAAGTGGGGAGGCAGGCCCTGCAGATGCGGTTTGCGTTAAGATCGGGTTTCTTCTTCCACCTCCCATCCCCAGGCCTCAGCTAAGTCTGATACCTCGAGTTTGACGTTTCCCGCGCTGCCAGTCGAGGCAGTCCCACCGCAGTTCAGGGCCTGGTCGCTCTTCTTCTTTTTATACTTGTCCTTGTACATCTTGTTGCGGTGTTTCTTGCACATCCACGGTTTGCGCTGCTTGGCCACCTGGCTCGTGGTCTCGCTGCAGCCTTCGTAGGTGCAGGTCTTGCTCATGCTGCCCCCACCGCTGCCCCGCCTCCGGGCGCCCCCGCTGCTGCCCTCGCCCCCCGAGTGAGTCTCCTCGTCCTCTAGATCCTCCAAACTAGCCGCGCTCTCGCCTCCCCCCGGAGGGTCCGAAGTGTCTAACAGGTCCGCCTCGTCCTCCCCAGCCTCCTCTTCGCCATCCCCGGCCCCTTCGCACAGGTACCTAACGGGCTTGCCCGCCCCAACGCTGCCCCCGGGGGCCGCAGCCTCGTCCTGCCCAGCACAGGGTTGCATCACTAGCAGGGTGAATTGAGAGGCCGCGGCCGCCACCGAGGCTGGCGCCAAGGTGGGAGCCGCAGCCGGGGCTAGGGCCGCGGGGTGGGGCACGCCGCTGGCGGCGCCCGGCCCCGCGCCCTCCGCTACACCCTGCGCCTCCATGCTGCTAAGACCTGGCCGGGGTCCACGACCCCGGGCTTTTAGCACCTGCTTGGCCTAACGGCACTTCGCGAACCAAAGACTCAGGACACGCTGGGGTAAAAGGCGCCTATACCGGGAAGGCGCCCCGACTGCGCCTGCGCGACCGCAGCCTGCGCGTCAGCGTGTGTACGCCCGCGGGCTGTCAGGGAGCGCGGCGCCTCTGGGGGCGGGGCTGAGCGCACAACCAACGGGACTGACTGCGCATGTGCGGCCGCGGCCCCTTCGGCCAGCTGGGGGATTCGTAGACAGGGTCTGGGGGCTGTGTCAGGTGAAAACCTGCAGTGGCTGGCAAGGCAGC
The DNA here is from genome assembly GCF_000001405.40 of Homo sapiens. NCBI lineage: Eukaryota > Metazoa > Chordata > Mammalia > Primates > Hominidae > Homo > Homo sapiens. The sequence continues at coordinate 36,819,020 of NC_000013.11, read as the reverse complement.
GCCGTTTTACCTGATCCTATTGTATCTAAAGCGGTTCAAAGTATCTTCTACAGGAGTTCCAGTATGCAAATTAGGATTGTTCCTGAGCGGTCTCACGACTTGTAGTGTTAGGATGCTAATTTTATTATTTCCCCCACAAACTGCCTGCAAGGGGAGATTTGAAGCTGGGATGCAGTGGTGTCACAGCCTAGAGTCACTAGCTCGCAGTCCATGAAGGCAGAGGTGGCTTATTTGAAAATAGTGGAGCGGAGAGGGATGGGCCACACCTTTGGCCGAGTTGTATTTGCATTGAGGGATAACTTTGTTTTTTTTCTCCTGGAAACTCACTTGATTGTTAGTACTTGCTCTTTGCTGTGGCTGCTGAGATAAGTCTTAACGTTTTCGTTTAACACAGTGAAAATGTGTGAAAAGGAATACTGAATGGCAAACGTTTAAAAAAACAATGAATGTTCTACCAGTTCTATCAGTTGCTGGGCAATTGCTGGTTGTTAAATCTTGGCTTGCCCAAATCCCAGGAGAGAAAATATCCTGCCGTATCCTGAACTGTTAAGTAGATGTTCTTTTTCCCTTCATCCTATTCTTTCGCCTAGTCAGATTTCCCATCCCACCTACCGGAAAGCAATGACTTTATTCAACAAACTATAAATCCATTCACACTAAGATGTTTGGGTGCTGACATATAGGTAGATCAGTTATGTTTTAAAGAGAGGCATATGGAAGGGAGAAGGTTTGGAATTAGAGCAACCTAGGTAGTACTTCCTGTGTGACTACAGCAAGTTCGTGACAGCCTCTCCGAGCCTCAGTTTCCTCATCAGTAAAGCCTGCAGTCGGTGGTGTGCTAGCGCCAACTGATGGTAACTGGTTGCTAAAATTTCAGGAATATAATTAGCAGAAAAATTAAACACTGCTATTATTAAAAGTCTTACTACATAAACTTACAATAAGATTATATTAAAAACAAAGGGTACAAATCTCAAAACTCTTCATTTTCTAATTATTTTATTATGTTTTATCATTATCTGTGCTTTTAAGGTTATTTATGTCTATTGTATCTGTATGCGGAAATATTATTTAGTGGTGTGTTACTGCACATTTTCCCAACTCTGCCTTCAGTATGTCATGTTGATTGCTTGAAATCAGCCACTTTTGGAGTATTTACACCAGGGAAATGATCAAATGCTACGAAGCAGGTTTACACTTATTGCTGATTGTCTCTGCACTTAAGAAAGTGACAGTGAAAATGTTAATGAAGATTAAATTTAAGGCCAGGCTCAGTGGCTCCCACCTGTAATCCCAGCGCTTTGGGAGGCTCAGGCAGGTGGATCACGAGGTCACGAGTTCGAGACCAGCCTGACCAACATGATGAAACCCCGTCTCTACTAAAAATACAAAAATCAGCCAGGTGTGGTGGTCCACACCTATAATCCCAGCTACTCAGGAGGCTGAGGCATGAGAATCGCTCGAACCCAGGAGGAAGAGATTGCAGTAAGCCAAGACTGTGCCACTGCACTCCAGCCTGGGCAACAGAGTGAGACTCCATCAAAAAAGAAAAAAAGAAAAAGAAAAAGATTAAACTGAAAATGTATTCTATCTGCAGCTCTCACATTGTGAATATCCAACCCCCCCAACTGAGAAAATATTCTTTCAGTATTTGAAAACTATCATGCAATTCAGCAAAGAAACTGCTTACATCACATCATTGAACAAGTGAAGACCTTATATACATCTTCATTGTTTCACTTTTGTTTTTTCTCAATATAAACAAAAATGTCTATCAACATTCATGTCAAAACTTTATGTCCTTGCCATCATCAAAAAAAAGAAAAAGAACAAAAAGTACACTTTACTTCTTTACTGAATTGGACAGAAACCAAGCATTTATTCCTTTTTTTAAATGAAAAAATATAACTTTATTCATAAATAATGTTACTTTTTTTCTTCGACTTTTATTTTAAGCTCAGGGATACATGTGCAGGATGTGCAGGTTTGGTAGATAGATAAACACGTGCCATAGTAGTTCACTGCACAGATCATCCCATCACCTAGGTATTAAGCCCAGCATTCATCAGCTATTCTTCCTGATGCTCTCCCTCCCCCACACCCACCTTTAACAGGCCCCAGTGTGTGTTGTTCCCCATTGTGTCCATGTGTTTTTATCGTTCAGCTCTCACTTATCAGTGAGAAGATGTGGCGTTTGGTTTTCTGTTTCTGTGTTAGTTTGCTGAGGTTAATGGCTTCCAACTCCATCCATGTCGCTGTGAAGGACATGGTATCATTCCTTTTTGTGGCTGCATAGTATTTCATGGTGTATATGTATCATATTTTCTTTATTTAGTCTACCATTGATGGGCATTTAGGTTGCTTCCATGTCTTTGCTATTGTGAATAGTCAAGCATTTATTCTTTTTTTTTTTTTTTTTGGAGACAGAGTTTCACTCTTGTTGCCCAGGCTGGAATGCAGTGACATGGTCTTGGCTGACTGCAACCTCTGCCTCCTGGGTTCAAGTGATTCTCCTGCCTCAGCCTCCTGAGTAGCTGGGATTACAGGCACCCGCCACCACGCCCGGCTAATTTTTGAATTTTTAGTAGAGACGGGGTTTCACCGTGTTGGCCAGGCTGGTCTCGAACTCCTGACCTCAAGCGATCTGCCCACTTCAGCCTCCCAAAGTGCTGGGATTACAGGCGTGAGCCACCTCGTCTGGCTGCATTTATTCTTATTTTGAATTTGGGACACTGTTGTTGGTGAATTCATAAAAACTGATAGTGATTTTCATAAGAAGTCAAGTCACCTTGAAGTTATGGATGTATAGAATTTACAGTATTGAGTATTGTATATTTTATCAATGTTTGTGAATCACGTGCTAATATTCTTTATCTCAGGTAGTGACACACCCAGAACCCCAGAATTGGCATAAAGATTATTTTAAGCTGAAGACACTTGAGATTCAATTGATACAGAAAGAAGCCTTCTCAGAGCTTCCTTTATCTGACTAGAAGCTGAAACTTCTGATAAATGAAGACCATCATAAATTCCCTCTTGAGGAAAGCTACTACCAGGAGAGAGACCAAGAGTAAATCTACCATAAATACCCCATGACCATGAGTTCAGAAAACCTACATAAACATATATTATCACAAAATGCCTTATTGCTCATTTGTTCTCCTAAAACCACATTTGTTTTTCCTAAAGGAACCTATTTGTTCATCCCATAGGAACATTTACTCCGTCTTCCCTTTCCTTACTAATTTAGGTATATAAGCCTCAAATTCTAACCATCCATTTCAGTAACTCATCTCTGAGCCCTCCTATGTACATGTAGTTCTTGTAAATAAACCCTTTTCTTTTACTAATCTATCTTTTGTGAGTTTAATTTACAAGCTCCCAGGCAAGAAACCTAAGCAGGTGGGAGAAAAGTTTTGTTTCATTTCCAGCCATCAGTTAACTGGTTAAAAATTTTTTTTACCAGCATATTACTCGGAGCAGTATTATTTAAATCTTAGTACAAATACCTGTTATGGTGTTCAATAAGTGGCAGTAAGCTTAAAAAATAAACCTACTTTTTTTTGAGGTATGATTTTGCTGCGGTTTGAACATGTCCCTCAAAAGTTAATGTGTTGGAAACAATTGCCATTGTTAACAGTATTAGTAAGTGGGGCCTTTAAGAGGTGGTTAGCCCTCATGAATGGATTAATGCCGTTATGGCTTAGTTATCACAGGAGTGGGCTCCTGATAAACAGATAAATTCAGTGTCATATACTCTGTCTATGCTTGCTTCTGCCCTCTGCCCTTCAACTTTGGTATTACCCTGATCAGATGCCAGAGCTGTGCTCTTGGACTTTTCAGCCACTTGAACTGTGAGCCACATAAACTTCTGTTCTTTGTAAATTACCCAGTGTGTGGTATTCTATTACAGTGACAGAAGATGAACTAAGACAAATTTACACACCATAAAGTCCACTTATTGTAAGTATACAATTTAAAGATTTTTAGTAAATTTGTAGAGTTGCAATCATTTTTACAAAAAGGTTTTAGAACATTTCCATCTCTCCACAAAAGACCCTTATTATCCATTCTCAGTCAATCCCTGCTCCTACTTCCAGCCCCAGGAATCCACTAATCTTTGTCTCCATAGATTTGCCTTTTCTAGACATTTTGTTAGGAGCAATGAATCCGTACCGGTCTGCAGTGACCTCAATTCTTACCTCCTTACAAGAAAGAATTTGACCGAGGGGCCTAAGGCAGAGTGAGAGACTGAGCCAAGTTTTTGAGCGGGAGTGAAAGTTCATTTAAATGCCTTAGAGCAGGAAAGAAAGGAAGTGAAGTACACTTGGAAGAAGGCCAAGCGGGTGACTTGAGAGATCTAGTGCGTGGTTTGACTTTGACTTGGGGTTTTATCTGTTGGCATGCTTCCAGGGAGTTGTGTCCCTTCTCCCCTGATTCTTCCCTTGGGGTGGGCTGTCCGCATGCACAGTGGCCTGCCAGCGCTTGGTAGGGGCCGCATGTGCAGTGTGTTTACCAAAACTGTGCACATGTTCACTTGAGGCATTCTTCCCTTACCAGTTGAGTGTTTCTAGAGGAAGGTCATATACCACTTAAACTCTGCCATTTTGTCTCTTAGTGTGCATGCTTGAGCCACTTGGCCAACTCCTGAGATCTTATTGGGAAGCTGCTGATCACCAATTTTAGGTGTTTCTATCTATAGGGAGACTGCCTTTCCCTGGCGCGGGCTGCGACAAATTATTACTTTAGAGAAGCAGTTTAACCACTGCCTGACCATGATCTTCTGATGGTTGCCCTCCTAAGGGGGACACTCTCCTGCCTTGTTCACGTCTGACTAAGTACCTACTGTAACAGTTTCATATCAGTGTAATCATGTAATATATGGTCTTTTGCACCTGGCTTCTTTTATTTAGCATAATGTTTTTGAAATTCATTTACTTTGTTTCTTATATCAGTAGTTTGTTCCTTTTTATTGCTGAATATTATTTCATTGTATTGTTTATCCATCTACCAGACCATGGACATTTGGATTGTTTTATGGTTTTGGCTATCACAAATAATGGCAATAGATTTTATTATCTAGTGCTTAGCACACAATAGGTCTCAAAAGTATTTTCTGAATGACTATTAACAAAAGAGTCAGGTTAAGGGAAGGAGCTTGAGTGAATGCAGGACTTTCGGGTTCTAAGCCTGGCTTTGTTCCTAAGTGTCAGTGAAACTGATCAGGCAGGGGCCAGGAATCTCTGAGCTTAAGACTTCCCCTATACCCTCTGAGGGTTTGATAAACAGTCTAGGAAATAAGCTGACCGCAGGCAGATAAACAGGAGAAAAGGTATACACATTTGTTACTTGCACAGGCGCATAACAGAAAAGTGAATACCCCCAAATCCAGTGAGATCTAGAAGCTTATATACCTTCTTCACAGGGCAGAGCGAAGTGGGGATGTAGGTAACTCAGGGGAGAGTAAATAATTTCTGGGAAAAATGAATGGGCTCTTAGAAGAATAGATGACAGTTTGTTACAAATGTTGTCTGGGTATGGTACTGACTTCTAGTCTTCCTCTCCTGTGATAAGAGTTAATCTTCCTAGTTGATAAATCCCCCAGTGATGGGATTGGAGTTCCTTCTGGAGGATCTGTCTTTAGGGAGATAAGAGATGTTCTGAGAATGCCTCTGTCTGCACCCAATGCCTCCCAAGTGCTCTCACTTCAAAGTAGTCAGTATAACAAGGTAACTTGGGGTGGCCTTTCCTGAACCTCCTTAATGATGAAGTTGGTCTAAATGATCTGTAAGCTCTTTCCTAAGTTTAGAATGTAATATACTGTAATGACCTTTTATGCGCCTGTCACTTGGGATTTTGATTCAATTGGTCTGGCGAGGGGCCAAGGCATCCATATTATTAAAAAGCTCTCCAGGTAATTCTAATATGCAATCAGGGTTGAGAATCACTGAATTATCTATAACATACTAAGAAGTAATCTAGTATACTTAGATGTACAAACAGATATCCTAGCTCAGGAATTCGTAAACATAGTGTATTTGTCATCAACCAGTAAGATTTTGCACATATGGTATTTTTTAAGTGGTAGGAACTCAGATTATTGTCAAAGCAAAATTTTAGCATTATTACTATTGCCATTATTTCATTTAGATTCCATCCGTTTACTCTTTAAAGACTTACTGGAAAGACAAGGCATTGTGTAAATTCTGCATGGGCTTCCTCATCTCCTCTATTTATTTCCTTACTAATCCTCCTATTTCCCTATAGCCATGCACATTCCTTCTTTTGTGTTTTTGAAAATGGTGCTTATCAATTACCAAAGGAGTAGTCTTTCTCTCTCTCTCTCTTTTTTTTTGAGACGGAATATCACTCTCTCACCAGGCTGGAGTGCAGTGGCGCGATCTCGGCTCACTGCAACCTCTGCCTCCTGGGTTCAAGCGATTCTCCTGCTTCAGCCTCCTGAGTAGCTGGTGCACGCCACCATGCCCAACTAATCTTTGTATTTTTAGTAGACACGGAGTTTCACTGTGTTGGCCAGGATGGGCTCGATCTCTTGACCTCATGATCCACTCACCTCAGCCTCCCAAAGTCCTGGAGTGATTACAGGCGTGAGCCACAGCGCCCTGCCAGGAGTAGTCTCTTTAAGTGGGAAACAGTGAGATGAAAAAGTGCTTATTCTTTTTTGATAATCTGGCTTATTTTTCATGACAAGGAAGCAAGGCCTATTAAAGGGGCCTCAAGCTCTGGGGGTCAGGGTGGGGCATTGCAGTGAGTGGACAGAACTAGAACAGAATGGCATCAGAATTGAGGCAGGTCTAGGGACCAGCTGCTCTCCCCAGCTCTCTTTCTCTCAGGTCACCTACTTTTTTCTGGACAGTTTTCCTTTGTCTACCAGCTTTCTTCAGATCCTTCATAACTTGGGCTTGCACATGGCTTTCTGGTTGGTCTCTGTTTGACCTGTAGATGTACTTTGCTTGCTGTCCCCTGTTCTTTTCTGTGCTAGGGGTGGAGGCAGGCTGGACTGAACCATACCAGAATTCCCATGGTCTCTGGATTCCGACTGGGTTTGACTAACTCATTAAGTGGGCCACCAGAGCAAGGGGAAAGTGAGAGATGAGGATACTGCCTGCACTCTGCTTCTCTCCTCCACTTTGCCTCTCTGGCAGTCTCTATATCCCTCTGAGGCTACAGCTCCTGCTGAGGGGCACTCTTCCACATTACTAGGTCTTGCTGAGCACCAGTAACCCTATTTCTGCCCCCTGCTCCTTCATACCCGGGTAGTAATGGCTTCCTGCTGCTGCTACGTTCTGGATGGCTTTACCGTCCTTTGTGTGTTCTCTTAACCCTGCTTACATTTCTGCAAACAGTCTTGGTTAAAGTCTCTTTCTTTGAACCATCTATATCTTCTGTTTCTTGCTGGGACTTTAAGATATAGTGGCCATGAATGGGATTCATGTCCTTCAGTTCCTTAGGACCTTTCCATCTTAATTCTCACTGCTCACTGGTGCCATTTCTCCAGGGTTTCCATTTCAGACTCCAGATGGTAAGACTTTGTTTTGCCTAATTTGTCTTCCTATTGCTGGGTTGGTTGGAGCTCATGGAAAAGCCATGGATGGTCTACACCTGGGTAAGGTGCCCATTCTTGATCCAGTCAGTCATTGATTGGAGGAGGAATCCTTTCACATAGAACAGGGGCTGTGGCACTGCAGTTTCCCTTAAAGGGGGATGCAGGCTGGTAGGGACCAATCAATTTCAATCTACTGCTTTAATTCCACTTTCTCAACATTCGAGTAATTTAACCCTGACTTGGCCTTCTGCCTTTAGTAAAGAAAATGATATATGGTTAATTTTTATTTAACTTTAATGAAAGTTAAGAATTATTTTCTAGAACCAAAGGGCTATGCCTTTTCTCCTCTATTTCCAACTCTATACTCCATTTCCCCTTTTCTAGCTTATTTTTCTTTTTTTCTTATTTCCATAAAACAGCGTCATGTTTTCCTGAGAAGTAATTTATGCTGTGAGTTGGGGGCTGAGGAAAAGAACCATTCTAATTTTCTTTTGCCAATCACCTTTTCTTCAATCCTTTTCCAATCACCTATGAAGCTTGGTGTCCACAGAGTACCAATTCTCACCAAAACAGAACTTTACCATTGTTATTATAGCATAGGAATCACATTGAAGAATTCTGATATGAGAAATTTGTTTATGACAATCTGTATTACACATTATATCATGTATCACTATTTTATTTAATTAAAATTTATTTTAAAAAAACTCATCTTTTGCTTCCAGGAAAGTGGGAAGAATATTAGGAAAATAAAAATGAACATAGAGTTCATTTTTAAGCCTCTATTTATGTTTCTTGCATTCCTCAGTTTGTAGATAATGCATGAACAAAAAAGAGACTGTGCTCAGAATTTCAGAAATACTGTTCTGATTTTGTTTAGAACAGCCAGGAGATGACCTCCTTTGAAAGAAGATTCTAAAGAATTGTTGGATACATAACACTTTTATATTTATCTCATCGTGAAAGGTGAAGCAGTTTTAGGGCTTACATATTCTTAGATAGTCATGCCTCATTATGTTCACTTCAGTCAGAGGCTGAGTGCCTATGTTTTTTATCTTTTACATCCCAAATCATTCTTGAATCTGGCCTAACACAAATGTCACAAGATGTATTGCTCATATGTTAATACAATGCAGGATAGCACAGAAATATCCCCAAGCATGACCTTCTGTGGTTCCTTTACAAGAACAGTTCTTTTATCAACACATGTGCGTTAGTCTGTTTTGTGATGCTGTAATAGAATACCTGATGCTGGCTAATTTATAAAGGAAAGAGATTTATTTAGCTCACAAGAAGCATGGCACCAGCATCTGCTTGGCTTCAGGTGAGGGCCAGACATGGTGGAGGTCAAAACATAGTGGAGAAGGTCACAGGGAAAGTGGTCACGTGTGAAGAGGGGACAAAACAGGAGGAGGAGCCTCACGTTACAACAGCCAGCTTTCATGGGAACTAATCCATTCCTGAGAGAACTATTCCAGTCTCGACAGAGCAAAAACTTACTGCCTTGAGAATGGCACCAAGCCATTCATGAAGGATCTGCCCCCATGACCCAAACACCTCCCACTAATCCGCATCATCCAATATTGCCACAATGGGGCTCAAATTTCCATGAGTTTTGGTGGGGACAAACCACGTCCGAGCCATAGCAACATGACATATATTCATAATCATTGTGATGTTATCAGATACTCACACACCAAGCTGACTCCTGATTTGAACATTAGTAGGGAAATTTATTTTAAAAATTATTTTTCAGTAATCTACATAAGTCTGGTCCCAGACAAATAGTGTGACTGGAAGGGCAATAAGAAGCAGTCCCTGATTCACATATAAACATAGAGCTGGCAACTGGATCCATTTGCCATGGCAGCAAAAGTCTGAGTCTGGATGAGAAATAGGTGATGCTCTCATCCTTCTTGCTATATGTAGATATGGTGGGCGGGGGGTAGCTTTTTTTTTTTTTTTGAGATGGGCACTCTTGTTGCCCAGGCTTGAGTGCAATGGTGCAATCTCGGCTCACTACAAACTCTGCCTCCTGGATTCAAGCGATTCTTCTGCCTCAGCCTCCCAAGTAGCTGAATTACAGGTGCCCGCCACCACACCCAGCTAATTTTTGTATTATTAGTAGAGATGGGGTTTCGCCATGCTGGCCAGGCTGGTCTCGAACTACTGACCTCGTGGTCCACCTGCCTCAGCCTCCCAAAGTGCTAGGATTACAGGCATAAGCCACTGTGCCCGGCCAGGGGTGGTATTTAAAAAAAAACTTGTTAAATTGTTGGTTTAACTAAGTTGCTTATTTATTAAGATGCTCTTGTTTTGACTAAGATGAACTGTAATGAGGCATTAAACCCCATCAGTTTATAGCAACATTAATTTTTCCAACGATGGGAGATTTACAGAAATGTGAGTAGGTTACTTTATCAAAGGTCCATTTCTAATTAGGCAAAAAAGGCTTCTAATGACAGAGTAAAGATGATGACTTTCGTAGCCCAATATATGAAGTAGTATTTGTTCTGGGCCATTGCAATCTGGGAAGACCAGTGCCCTAACTATATTTTAGACCACTCTTGCCTTTATACCTTCATCAAGGGACTCTGAGAAGATCTCAAAGGGCAGAGATATAGAACAGGGAGACAGGGAAAGATGCCTAATTATATAATACATAAAACAGCAATTCACCTACAGATGTACTTCCGGCTTGTGTACTGCTACATTTGTGTTTAAAAGCACAAACATTCTGGTAAATTCTATTTGGCACAATTTCCATCAAAAAAGGAAAGAAATACATGGTACATTGTGTATTTACATATTTTTATTGTATGTGCTATATTCCTAACAGAAGAAGACTTCTTTTTGAGTAAGCATTGATGAGAAACAAATCTTCTCCTTATAATTTTACACATTCGATGACTAGAATAATTTTCTTTTTTTCTTTTTTCTGTCTTTCTTTCTTTTTTTTTTTTTGAGACAGGGTCTATCTCTGTTGCCCAGGCTGGAGTGCAGTGGCGCAATCTCAGCTCAATGCAGCCTTGACCTCTAGGGCTCAAGTGATCCTGTACCTCAGCCTCCGAAGTACCTGGGACCACAGGCACACGCTATCATCCCCAGCTAACTTTTTTTTTATTGCACTCCAAGGCTGGAGTGCAATAGCACAATCTCAGCTCACTGCAACCTCTGTCTTCCAGGTTCAAGTGATTCTCCTGGCTCAGCCTCCCGAGTAGCTGGGATTACAGGCGCAGGCCACCATGCCCAGCTAGTTTTTGTATTTTTAGTGGAGATGGGGTTTCACCAGGTTGCCCAGGCTGGTCTCGAACTCTTGAGCTCAGGCAATCTGCCTGCCTTGGTCTCCCAAAGTTCTGGGATTACAGGCATGAGCCACCATGCCCGGCCTCAGCGTTTATTTTTAATAAGCCCCAAGGGAATCTTATCCCTAAATTAGCAAGAGACTGTGAGAACTGGCCTACCTTATAGATTTGCCGTTATTATTGATGGGGTCCAGGACACGCTACCCCAAATATGGAAACTTGGAGGCCACTGTCTGACCTTCTCCTATCTTCATGTGTGAGAGCTGGCTGTAAAAGAATTCTTTGACATACCTCTCCTGAAAGTAGGTCATAAGAACCTCATGTGACAGGTGTCCTGCCCTAAACTCAGAGGAAAGGAATGAAGACATAGTGATGCTGAGAAGAGTCTGAACAAACAGGCCTTGCTAAGTTCCCCCAGTTTATTACTGCTAGATCATATCCCCTTTGTCCAATTATACTTTCATATGACTATCCACTCTTTATCAAACCTAGGCATGAAAACAGTTTTCTCTATTTCTTTGAGTGTTTATTTCTGAAGGCTCTCGTTTCAAGTAAAACTTTTGTTAAATAAATTTGTTAAGCTTTTCTCTCATTAATCTGTCTTTTGTTGTAGGAGTATTAGCCAGGACGCTTGTGATGGATGAGGAAAAGAAGTTACTTTTCCCCTCTACAGTATTAAATGAGACAATATGCCAGCACTTAAAAAGGGCTCAATTAAGGGTAATGGCAGGGCAATCAGTTTATTGAATGAGCTGAATTGGTAGGATTTAGGAAATAACTATTTTCTTCTACCACTTTCTTCAGACCTGATGTGTCTGCTTTTTCTTTCCCAACTCTGCAGTATGTTTTGGGACGATCCCTTAGTTTCTCTATTCAATTTCATGAATTAATAAGCAATCTCATTTTCAGGCTACAAAAAGCCTTGGAAAACAATAATATCAAACTTCATTTTTTTTTCATGTACTTTGGAGCTTCTCTCCTTTATAATTCAAGTCTGAAAATTAACTAATGGGGTGGTAGGCAGACAGCATGCCCAGTTTCTTCATTCTCCTGTCCTCCGCTTTCTCCCCTATTTACTTTTGTGATTTTTTTTTTCTTTTTGAGACAGAGTTTTGCTCTTGTTGTCCAGGCCAGAGTGCAATGGCACGATCTCGGCTCACTGCAAACTCCACCTCCCAGGTTCAAGTGATTCTCCTGCCTCAGCCTCCTGAGTAGCTGGGATTACAGGTGCATGCCACCACCACACCTGGCTATGTTGCTATTTTTGACTCCTTCAATTAAGGCACAGGGATGGGGAGAGCTAAAGTTGAAGAGCGAATCGTAGATGGTGGGTGTTACTGGAATCTGCAGTTGGGGATTTTCATGTGACAGATGTCCTAATGATGGCTTCCTTTCTGGGGGCTTCTATGACTTCTGTTCCCCTGATTTAAGTGATACCCATTACTTAGCATCTTTCTGCTGGTGGATCGCCATACTGCCACATGTGGTCCTCCTGGACAAAGTCCTTTTGGGATAACTAAACCCAACCATCTTGCCCTACCAGAGATAAAAGAGAAGCTGGCTCCTATAGCTACTGGTGTCCCTAGCCTTTTACATTTTTTATCAAGACAGCTTTAGCTAGTCCCTTGCTTTTAGATGTATTTTAGAAAGATTCAGGCAACATTCCTTGTTACCCTGCAAACTATACGGTATGTGTGTGCGATTTCTCTATAATATTTTTTCTAAGTCCTACTCATTTATCTTGAAAGGAAGAAGGGTGTTAAATTTATGAGAGTCCATTGATTTAGACTGAGCTCCTGCACCAGGTTCCTGCAGACCAAACCAGAATGCAGTCACTCATGCTCAAGTTTCACATCCCCAAACTGAAAATAGGTTGTTTAATCTGACCTTCTGAGAAATCAGGAAAGAGATGATAGCCAAATCTCTGATCAGCCCAGTTTTAGCCCATATAATAAGGAAGTCCCCTCTGCTCTAACCCTTACAACAAAAGTAATCTGACACTAACCAATCTGCTTTTTTGTATTATACTATTTCCTTGTTCCTGCTCAAGCTACCTTTAAAAAACGGACTGTTTTTCCATGTCCAGCAGAACGCCTGTCCAAATCTTGTCCAAGATGGGGTGCTGCTTGATTCATGAATTGCTAATAAAATCCAATTAAATTTTAAATTGAATTTGTTGAGATTTTGTTTTTTGACAAAGGAAACACACAGTTCACTTGCCACTCTCCTAGAAGAAATCCTCTCTTTGCATTTTATTTGGTTTTGCCACTCTCAGCTTCTCTTAGATGAAGATGTGGGCTGAAGAGGGGGAATGAGTTTCAGAGTACAGAACCAGTTTGGGACCACACTGGTGCCCTGGGAGCTGGTGTTCTCTTCCTTGGGGACTTACTCAGAACTATGAGACAACAGGAAGAAAAGTAGTTATTGTTATAATTTGTGTAGTCATGGTTTGGGCCACTTAGATCTTCAACTTTTTTCATAATATACTGTTGTTTTCTCATTCATCCTTGCCATTTTTCTTGCAGAAGAGCTCTAATGCTAAGGTACCTCGATTGCTAAGTTACCCTACCATCAGTCGAGGTGGTATATCAATGTGTACCCCCACAACCATGTTCCCAATCTCTTCAGTTTATGTTACTATCACTATTATCATGGTATCTATGCAGTCAATTGTTCATGATATGCACTAAAGCAGGAAGGTAATAGTTTGGGATAATACTGAATTTCCATGTAATAGCAGTATACAAAAAAATGTTTTAGGTTCCTTATTGCTGTCAATGAGAGTCCTCACCTGCTGAGCCTGGAAACCATACCACAAGAAGACTAATTTCCTCACTAGTTTACGTGTTGGAGGAATTCAGGAAGACGGACTTCATCTCAGAAGAAGACTCTACCTTTTAGAGAGATCTGCTATAACATATAAGCAGAATGCAGTGAATAGGGGGAAAGATAGGAATACAAAGTTGGATTAGAAAAACAGCTAGAACAAATTCAACTGGGAACAGGAACCTTCTGACTAAAAGTACCAGACTCTATATGGAGGTATACATGGCCAAAGAAAATTCACAATGCAACATTCTAAAGGCTCCCCAGAGATCTGAGCATTAGAGGATGGTCTAGCATAGGCTAAAGTGATTAAAGATCAATTACAGAAATCTGTCAGGGAACAGAGTACAAACAAGTTATGCTTTGGAAAGAGCATAAATGCCATGATCATTACTTTGGGAGACAGAGAAGCACTGAATCAAGCCATCAAAAGAAATGTCTTCCTGGAGAGCAAACTTAATTAAACATAAGGCGAGGCTCCTGGAATCTGTCCAGCGTCAGAAAAGAACTGGTCCTGCAATATCCAAGCCAGGAGGATGGACACTGACTTCACGCCATCCATGGATCCGGTTCCAATCCAAACACACCTCGTGCTGGGTGTGGTGGCTCATGCCTGTAATCTCAACACTTTGGGAGGCCAAGGCGGTCAGATCACTTGAGCTCAGGAGTTCAAGACCAGCCTGGGCAACCTCATCCCTACAAAAAAATCAACAAAAAATAAGCTGGGTGTGGTAGCACACACCTGTAGTCCCAGGCTGAGGTGGGAAGATCATTTGAGCCCAAGGAGGTCAAGGCTGTGGTGAACTGAGATTATGCCACTGCATTCCAGACTGGGTGAGAGAGCCAGACCCTGTCTCCAAATAAATAAATAAATAAATAACAAAAACACAAATACAACTCACATGATCTTGTGAGGTATTGGAAATCTTTTCATTCTGTGAACCAAATAGTCTGCCTTCAAAATTAAAGGGAACTTGCTGCAAAAAGTAGGGCAGTGGGAAACAAGCTGACATCCTTTTGAATATTTGTGTAGGCTCAGTTCCTGAGCTAAGCAAATGCCACAGACTCCCTGGGGGGTGGCAAGGACAGAGAGGACAGAGACACAGAGCTAAGCAGCACTAGTGTACTTTTAGATGACAAAGGGCTAGTAGATGGCTAAAATTAAGGAAACTACATTTAAATATTTGTTCACCATTATTGTGGTCATCGGAGGGTAGAGTATAGATGCTGCTTGTTTTGCATCATTACTTATTTCCTCTTCTCACACTAGTCTTTTTCAATTAATGTGAGCAAAATAACAGTAAGATGTCACCATCATTAGTTCTATGATTTGTGGGCCAAGCCAATTTTTGGTGGCTATCCTCCATGGCCTTTGGTGTTTATCCTCTTGAAGAGTATTTTGGTACCTGCTATGATGTGTGCACCAAGACAAGCCATGTATTTTGGGTGGGGATGGCTCTAAAGTTTGAATGTAATCAATCATGTGGCCAGAGTCTGGGTCATCCCAAGAGTTCTGATGAGTGTGAAGGGCTCCTGGATGTCTAGTGACTCCTTAAATATGTGTCAGCCTATTTTATTGGCTTACTGTGTCCTTTAAAGTGCTCAGAATGTGTGCTAGCCATGGTGGCTCACACTCGTAATCCCAACACTTTGGGAGGCTGAGGCGGGAGGATCACTTGAGCCCAGGAGTTTGAGGCCAGCCTAGGCAGCATGGTGAAATCCCATCTCTACAAAAAAATAATAATAAAAAAATTGGCCAGGTGTGGCACGTGCCTGTGTTCCAACTACTTAGGAGGCTGAGGCAGGAGGATCACTTGAGCCCAGGAGATCGAGGCTACAGTGAGCTGTTATTATGCCACTGCACTCTAGCCTGGGTGACAGAGTGAGACCCTATCTCAAAAAAAATAAAAATAAAAATAAAAAAATTAAAAAAAATCAAGTGTTCAGAATACAACAGACAGATGACAGTTTGTCATTTTTTTTTTCTATAACAAAAACGTCTAGAACTTTATTGACACCTTATGGATCAGGATGCTTACTTCATTTTTAGAACTATAGTTACAACTTCCAAATGCTACTTTTTACAAAATTGTGGCCATAATTGTGGCCAGTTTTTACCTGCCTTGACAAGAAGTTATTTTAGATTTGCTATATGAGCCTGGTGGACTCTTAGGGAAGATTTTGTTTTGATCAAAGTCTGTGGAAGTCTACATAATTGAAAGTCTACATAATATAGAATAATCTATAGGACAATTTGCCTCCCCTGGTGTGGGGTTAATTTCCATTTCATGGGAGCTATCTAGACAGCTTGTAATGCAGTCCCAGGGAACAGGACTTTTCTTAAAATCATGTTGAATCAATCAAGGAGTCATGAAAATAAAGTTGAAAAGCAAGAATTGTTATTGGAACTGATTTTTTTTTTTTTTTGAGACCATGTCTTGCTCTTGTTGCCCAGGCTCGAGTGCAGTGGCCCAAATTTGGCTCACTGCAACCTCCACCTCCCAGGTTCAAGCAATTCTCCTGCCTCAGCCTCCCAAGTAGCTGGGATTACAGGCATGTGCCATCACACCCAGCTAATTTTTGTATTTTTAGTAGAGATGGGGTTTTGCCATTTTGACCAGGCTGGTCTTGAACTCCTGACCTTAGGTGATTCGCTCGCCTCAGCCTCCCAAAGTGCTAGGATTACAGGCATGAGCCAACATGCCTGGCCTGGAAATGATTTTTCAAACAAGGTTAAAAACAGAGCTTTCATACCCTCTCTATTACGTATACTTATCATTGTTTTGTTATGAACTATAGTTGATCCTTGAAAAACAGTGGTTTGAACTATGCATGTCCACTTATATGTGGATTTTCTTCTGACTCTGCCACTCCTAAGACAGCAAGACCAACCTCTTCTCTTTGTTCTCCTCACCCTACTGAATGTGGAGACAACAAGGATGAAAATCTTTATAATGATCCACTTAATGAATAGTAAATATATTTTGTATTCCTTATGATTCTCTTAATACAATTTTCTTTTCTCTAGCTTACTTTATTGTAAGAACACAGTATGTGATATGTATAACATACAAAATATACTGTTTATGTTCTCAGTAAGGCTTCCAGTTAAGAGTAGACTATTAATATTGAAGTTTTTTGGGAGTCAAAAGTTATATGAGGATTTTCAATTGCACAGGGGTCAGTGCCCCTAACCCCTGTGTTGTTCAAGGGGTCAACTGCATTGTCTCACATTGTCGGACAAGAGAAAAAGAATATGTTAACATCAGGGCTATATCCTCTGGAAGAACAACAAAAATGCTTTTGAGTTGAGAAAATAAATTTAAATGCTACTGAAATTCCTCAGAAGAATTAAGCCAGAGTGCCAGGTATGTTAATCAAGTATCAGTTATGGGAGTACTGAAGTTTTCTAAAAGGAAAGAAAAGAAAAGCAATGATCAAGTAGTTTTTAGTTGGCAGTTAGGTAAACACTCCATGGCCATATTTAACAGTAAATATTGGGGAGACACCTAATCTAGGCCCTGGTGCAGGGGGGCTTTAATGTGCAAGCACAGGAAAGAATCAGCCCCTCCCTGGCACAGGAAGGATCATAATCTAAGATTCAAATGTTAACTCCATGGTGGCTCACACCTGCAATTGCAGCACTTTGGGATGCCAAGGTGGGCGAATCACCTGAGGTCAGGAGTTCGAGACCAGCCTGGCCAACATAGTGAAACCCTGTCTTTCCTAAAAATACAAAAATTAGCCAGGCGTGGTGGCACATGCCTGTAGTCCCAGCTACTCGGGAGGCTGAGGGAGGAGAATCGCTTGAACCCAGGAGGTGTAGGTTGCAGTGAGCCAAGATTGCACCAGTGCACTCCAGCCTGGGTGACAGAGTGAGACTCTATCTCAAAAAAAAAAAAAAAAAAAAATAAAGATTACCTCGACAGAACCTTGACTCCAGCCTCATTCTGCCAGCTCAGCACCGTGGGTGGGGAAGCACCCACTTCTCCTCAGGTGAGATCAAGGGTCTAATCCTCATGAGCAGGATTTATTCTTCATACACTTGGCTGTAAGAGGTTTCCATGGCACTCTGCCCACAGGGGATCCACCATGGATGAGTAAGCTTACTTCTTCAGTGTCATTTGCTTGTTTAATTTTGTTTAATCTGTTACCAATACAGAAGGAAGCAATTCCATAGTTCCCGTCCCTTGAGTTTACACTATACTGCTGAGTTGGTTGAATACAGTTTGTTCTGAATGATTTAATAAAATGAAATAATAATTTGTATTTTACTTTGGACAGAAGATGTAATTGTACATCTGATATTCTGAGAATACTTAGCATTTCAAATGAAAGCATAAAATCATAATTGGTTGAACTTTTGGTGAAGTCCTAAAGGACTTGTTAAGGATGGTGACTATAGGTTTTTAGGATGTATTCAATCAATTCTTTAAAAGAATTTATTGAGATATAATTTATGTACCGTAAAGGTTACCCATTTTAAGTGTACAATTCAATTTTTTTTTAGTATATTTCCAGAGTTGTGTAACCTTAACCTAACTTTGGATTTTCTTCCACTCAGAAAGAAACCCTGTACCTATCAGCAGTCATTCCCATTCTTCCTCCCGAGTCTTTTCCTTTCCCACCCCTAGGCAACCACGAATCTGCTTTCTGTCTCTGTCTTGATAGATTTGCTTATCCTGGGCATTTCATTAACTGATATCATACAACATGTGATCTTTTGTGAGTGATAGTGGTTTCTCTTGCTTAACTTTTCTTTTTCTCCTTTCTTTCCTTTTCTTCCCTTCCTTCCTTCCTCTCTCTTTCCCTTTTTCTTTTCTTTTCTTTTCTTTTTTTCTCCTTTCTTTCTTTCTTTCTTTCTTTCTTTCTTTCTTTCTTACTTTCTTACTTTCTTTCTTCTTTTTCTTTTCTTTCTTGTTTTTTTTTGACAGGGTCTTGCTCTGTCACCCAGGCTGGATGCAGTGGTACAATCATAGCTCACTGCAGTTTAAACTCCTGGCCTCAAGTGATCTTCCTGCCTCAGCTTCCCTTGTAGCCAGGACTACATGTCAGTACCACCACACCCAGCTAATTAAATTAATTAATTAGTTAATTAATTTATTTATTTTGTAGAGATGGGGTTTTGCCATTTTGCCCAGGCCAGTCTTGAACTCCTGGCCTCAAGTAATCCTCTTACCTCGGCCTCCCAAAGAACTGGGATTGTAGGTATGAGTCACTATGCTTGGCTTCGCTTAGTTTTCCAATCACTCATTCTTTCAATATATATTCATTGAGCTTCTATTATTTACGCCGTGGGAGGCCCTGGAAATACCAAGGTAAATAAAACACTCTTCCTTCAAGGAGCTTAGAGTGGTGGTTCTTGACTCTGTTAGACCCAAAGGTCCCTCATTTTTTTAAACAAATATTTTGTAAAATTTCTTTCACAATCTCAAAATAAAATTCGCATTTAAAATGACATGCTTATGCAGAGAATTTAAAAATCAACATTATCCTCAGGAGCTGGAAGGAGGGGAAAATAGAGAGTTGTTTAAGGGGTATAGAGTTGCAGTTTAACTAGATGAAAAGTTCTGGAGATTGGTTGCACAACAATGTAAATATACTTAGCACTATTGAGCTGTATATTTTAAAATGGTCAATATGGTAGATTTGGGAATGTTTATTTTTATCACAATTTAAAATATTCCACATTGTCCTAAATGTAATATAAAGGAGACACAAAGAAGAAAGTAATTTATAATCTAATAATATGTGTATCTAACGTGTTAATTTCCCGGCACAATTAGGCAGAACTATAATGATGTAGTCAAATGCGCTCATCTGATAAAATAAATAAGAAATAGAGGTCATTTTAAAATAAGAGGTATAAGAAAAGGAAAGAACAGAGGCATATGTAAACACCTGAATAGAAATAGTTTAGGAGAAACTAAAACCACACTAGTTTGTATATGATAAGAGAACAAGATGAAAACCTTTAATTGAAGTAGGGAAAACATCCAAGACAAATTATGGGCATTGAAGGGAGAAAATGAGTTGGGCATTATTTAAAAATGAAGGATAAAATAATTCTATTGTGACACATGGTGTGGATAACAGTATCTCACATAATGTCTTAAAATCCCACAATTTATTTAGTTATACAACCAGTCTCTAAAGCTTAAAAATACATGGGTGACCATTCTCTGATAAGCAATGGTGAATAGAGTAGACTGGAAAAAGAAACCATCAGACAAGAGGCTCTAAGAGATTGTGCTCTGGGGACTCCAAATGGTAGAGAAAAAAACAAGTAGTCAAAAAATAAATATACAGATGATATGGTTTGGCTGTGTCCCAACTCAAATCTTATCTTGAATTGTAGCTCCCATAATTCCCACGTGTTGTGGGAGGGACACAGTGGGAGATAATTGAATTACAGGGATGGTTTCCCCCTTGTTCTCTTGGTTGTGAATAAGTCTCATGAGATCTGATGATTTTATAAGGGGTTTCCCCTTTCATTTGGCTCTCATTCTCTCTTGCCTGCCGCCATGTAAGACGTGGCTTTCGCCTTCGGCCGTGATTGTGAGGCCTCCCCAGCCACGTGGAATTGTGAGTCCATTAAACCTCTTTCTTTATAAATTACCCAGTCTCGGGTATGTCTTTATTAGTAGCATGAGAACAGACTAATAACAACAGTTTCAAAATGTAATTATCAGAACATATATATCTTATCATAGTACTTTCAACTTAAACAAATATATGCTAATGATATGAAATATTTGGAAACAATATCTTGTATTAAAATTCAATGACATGTCTGTTTCCTAGGTCTATGGTTCAATATTTTGTACAGAGTCTATGAAAGTTAGCTTAAAATCTCCTGTCACCGGTTTGCAGTTGATTTTCATGACATTCACAGTAAGCATTTTGAAACCATCCTCAGCTATATGTGTAGTAGGAATGATGCCATTTGGCCATACCACCCTGAATCCACCTGATCTCATCTGATCTCAGAAACTAAGCAGGGTCAGGCCTAGTTAGTACTTGGATGGGAAGAATGCTGCCATAATTTAGATTATTTTTGAACAAGTGGGTGAGAAAGTCTTAGCTGGATCCGAGATCTTTTTATTATGACAGATTAAATCATATGTTGTCCTCAAAGTCCAATTAAGTTTTTTTTTTTATATGAGAGGCACCATACTGAAATCAATTAACTTTTCTTGAAAATGCTGGCAAAGATATTCCACATCTGTTTGAAACCACCCAATCTGGTATTGTAAAATGTTAATGGATCTTTAAACCTAATCATCACAGCATCCAAATGAGAGCAATATATTTCTGAGTCAGTATCTTTTAACCTACCCTTATGTTAGATTATGCGGCAAAGCTGAAAACTATAAAAATTAACATTGAGCAGGTGCAATGGATTGAATGTTTATGTGCCCTTAAAATTTAAATGTTAAAATCTTAACACCCCTGGTGATGGTATTAGGAGGTGGGTCCTTTGGGGGTGATTAGACTATGAGGGCAGAGCCCTCATGAATGTGATTAGTGCCCTTATAAAAGAGACTCCAGGGAGATTCTTCACCCTTTCTGCCATGAGAGGACACAGCAAAAAGGCAACTATCTGTGAATCCGGAATAGGGCCCTCACCAGACACAGAATCTACTGGCACCTTGATCTTGGACTTCCCACTCTCTAGAATGGTGAGAAATAAATATTTGTTGTTTTTATGAGTCACCCAGTCTGTGGTATTCTGTTAGTAGCCTGTAAAGACTAATCTGTCCAGCTTATTTAAAAAATATTATGTTTATTGATTAAGTCATGATAATTCCCTATACTATGATGAGATTGAGCTTCTTTCCTTAAAATGTAAGAAGGACCTCATTTGCGCTGTAGCTCTACCTTTGCAGTGGAGAGATAGGACTGTGCCCTCCTTAGCATTAGTTATAGGAGGAAACCTGATATCTGCTACCTCCTGATGTGAGGAAATATGAAGTATAAGCATTACATATGATTCTTGCCAAAAATGTTTGATGTGAATCTAATGAAGTCTATAGAGCTCATTTCGTATTTATAGGGATGAGAGGGAGGAATAAGTTAAATGGCACCATGAAGAGTCAGTCAGAAAAATTCAGAATGCGGAAATTCGAAAGGACAACTGGCTTAGTAAAAAAAGGTCAATTTTATAAAAATTATATTAAAAAATAGGGCCAAGAAATTTTCTAGCTTAAAATAGAGTCATGATGCACAAATGCAATTGATTTTTGCTATTGTCAAAAGGTATTTTGGGGATAGTTGGAGACATTTGAAAATGAACTGAGTATTAGATGACATTAAATAATGATTCTGAATTTTTTTTTACTCATGGTACAAAAGCATTTAATAAGTGATGCATCAGTATAGAAAAACACATCACTTGTAGCTTGTCCTTTAAAAGTAAGATAGCCAAGTGAAAAGTCAGTACAGATTCTTATTTCTAATTTTAAAAAATCAAAGGTACACATTGAGACTTGAACTGCTGTGATTTTTCTTCTTTCCAGAGATGACATACATGCTTTCTGATAAGTAATATTCTACCACACATTACACTAAACCAAAGCAGACAGATGACTGGTAAGGGTGTTTACTATTTCCTACTCATGCTGAGCTAGACTGGCAGTGGAACACCATCTCCACAGGAGAGATTTTGACAGTAAGAAATGGCAGAGTCCCTACCTAACCCTGAGAACCCAGCAAACTTGTTTATACAGAAAGGATTTTCAGCAAACATGCAAACACACAAACATGCTGTAAGAACGGATACCTTTTAGTGTATTTCAGGCACACAGCATGCATTTATAGGTGCCCAGTAAAATAAGAATGAATGCCAACGTAGAAAGCATTTTTGCCTTCGCAACATTCACTAAAAAGCACATGGTATATAATACTTTGATCTTTAAGTGGGTAATCATGGAAGTTCCAAAATCATATCCAGTGGAAATGATACTTTTAATGGCGGTCTTGCAAGATCGGGTGTCTGATAGGCAGGCACACCCAGGGCAGTCATAGCAGGTAATTTATCTCCTAGCATGCAAGTCCCTCCCCAAGTTCCTCATTGGTCGAGTACTATGGGGTTACAATCTTTCTGGATATTGCCTAAGTTGCATTATCCCCTTATAAGGTCATACCCACCCCCTTCCCTGCTTAAGTTTTGATTTCCCTTACTGCAAGGCTACTCAGACAACTAGGTTAGCCTGAGAATTCATCTATACAAATATTTTCCAAAAATAACACTTCAAAGAGACTTCTGAAAATAGTGGGACTACATCAGGGCCAGCAGAAGACATAGTCACACAAGGATTTCAAATGTTAAGACCAGGAATTTTCACACATAGCTTTTAGATAAGGGACATCTCTTTCAGTTGATTCCTCCAGCCAGGACAAGCTGTGATCACAGGAGATTCAAAAATCTCAAGATGGACAGCTGGCTGGAGTAACACCCCAGATAAATATAAAAAACCTCACTGGGGCTGAAGAACTGAAACTCTAACCCATGTCAAAAATGAGATGCAAGTGCACAAAAAATTTATGCAAACCCTGCTGGGATAAAGAGGGTTCATGATGGTGGGTTTTGATACGCAAACGTGAATGCTGGGGTGAGGAAAGGCCCCCCACAGAGTGGAATGCTTGACATGGGCTTGCTCACAAGCTGCCTGAGTCAGAAGCACCTGAGAGAGGTACCTACTTGGGGAGGGGAGGAGTATTAGGGTTAATGAATACAAGAAGGTGATTCGGCCGGGGGAGGGGTGGGTGTGTTGGCTCACACCTGTAATCCTAGCACTTTGGGAGGCTGAGGCAGGCGGATCACTTGAGGTCACGAGTTCAAAACCAGCCTGGCCAACATGGTGAAGCCCCGTCTCTACTAAAAATACAAAAAAATTAGCTGGGCGTGGTGGTGGGTGCCTGTAATTCTAGCTACTTGGGAGGCTGAGACAGGAGAATCATTTGAACCAGGCAGGTGGAAGCTGCAGTGAGCCGAGATTGGGCCACTGCAGTACAGCCTGGGCGACAGAGCGAGACCCTGTCTCAAAACAAAAACAAAAACAAAAACCCAACAAGATGTTTCAGGATAAATAGGTCCAGGAGGATTAGATCATTTTGGCTTTTACCCCATCAATATTTAATGCGAATGAAGAGTTGCAGAACAGAATCAGTTTTTCCAGGATACGTTCTCCTGTCATCATGAGCCGAGCCTATTGAACTACTGAGCCCGTGAAATTGAGAATGATACCATTCATTGTCTGGAGGTAGGTCCTACTGCTGCAGATTGTTCTGAGAAGCTGTCATAGAAGATGATTTGCACAATGAAGTCTCCACTAAACCACGGCTTAAGTCCAGTCTCTGGCCTTCTTTTTCTGCTCTGCAGTCCAGAAACATTTCTTTAAAAGCCAGAAAATCTGTAAATTTGAGCAGCATTTGGAGTATGTCACCAACCACTTCATCTTTGTGGTGCTGTAACGTTGTGAAAGTTGCCATGGTAAAGCCAAGAATTTGCTCCAGCAACTGTTCTTCTATATACTTTCCTGCCAAAGAAATATATTCATTAAAAATAGGTGTGTTCTTCTATATACTTTCTTCTATATACTGTTCTTCTATATACTTTCCTGCCAAAGAAATATATTCATTAAAAATAGGTGTGTAGGTGAGTTTATTCTCTTTGGTGTCCTCAAACTCCTGGTAGTAGTTGTTGATGAAATTTCTCTGTAATAACTGGAAATCTTCATCCATGATAATGTCCTCTAAATATCCAACCGCAGCATCAAAATGTGCATCAGAGTCAGAGGAGAAGGGCACAATGAAGCCTTCTTCTAAAGCACCCATGGTTGGTGCCACCGCACCCACCCAAGTGAGCTGACCCATTGGGTCCCTACGGTTTCTAGGGCACAGAGGTCAGCTGGGGGAAGCCTTGTCGCCCAGGCTGCAGCCCACTCCTAAATTTTTAAAGGTATAGCAATAACATTGTGGTTATGCAAGAGAATATCCTTATATTTAGGAGATTCATGATTAAGAACTCAGAGGTGAAATAGCATGGTCACTGTATTTTACTTTGAAATGTTTTAGTCAAATATACAAACATATAGGAAGCAATTACAGCAAAATACTTGCAATTGCTGAATGTAGGTGGCAGGCATATGGGTGTTCCTTGCTCTAATCCAAGAGTGTCCAATCTTTTGGCTTCCCTGGGCCACACTGGAAGAAGAACTGTCTCGGGCCACATGTAAAATACACTAACACTAACTATAGCAGATGAGTTAAAAAGAGAATCACAAAAAAACTCATAATACTTTAAGAAAGTTTATGAATTTGGGTTGGGCTTCATTCAAAGCTGTCCTGGTCCACATGTGACCCATGGGCTGTGAGTTGGACAAGCATGTCCTAGTCTTTCAACTTTTCTGTATATTTAAAAATAAATATATTAATATACAAAATATAAATTAAAAATTATAATTTGAATAAGGAAGACCTTTTCAAATATGCTTGAAGGCTATATCTCATCAATTTGCAGTATTTCCAATTATATATATATTTTTATTGATCATGTCAAAGATCCATAAAGGTCCATAATGTGAGCCAAACCTTTTAAAAATATTTGCTTGGTGAACCATCTTATTTGGACATGACATTCAAACACTTAAATGACATTTGAAAGATTATGAATAATCTGTCAGTGAAGGGATTATTTTTAAACATTCATTGATGATTATCTTGTTCTCTGAGACTTGGTAATT
Organism: Homo sapiens; assembly: GCF_000001405.40. NCBI lineage: Eukaryota > Metazoa > Chordata > Mammalia > Primates > Hominidae > Homo > Homo sapiens. Next base: position 36,793,575 of record NC_000013.11, on the reverse strand, counting down.
AGGTTGTTGATGAATAATAAAATGACTTGTTAAAACACCCGGTACCTCTTTTTAAAGTTGGCTCTAAACTTACATTATTGGTGCTCCATCTGTTAAATAAGCAATGATGTTGGAAAAGGAAATTTTTTTCTCTTTAATTAATTTTAGGGTTTCAAATATTGACAAATTTTTTGTATTCATTGTTAGCAATTTTGAAAATAATCTTTTCTACATAATTTTTCTGTCCTTGAACACTTTATAGATGCAAATATTAAAGTCTTATGATTATTCAGGTTACTTTTGCCCACTCATAATCAAAGTTATTTGCACTATGCAATTGATTTCAATATCTTTTACCGTCTTCTTAAAGCAGTATTAAATGGGATAGAGAAATTATTTGGTTTGGATTTATTTTTATCCTCTTTGTACTAATCTCTTATATAGCTTATAAAACTAATTTTCTTAGAATACCGTATGATGTACCATATTGCATGATCTTTTATGTTGTTCTGTAAGAACCAATGAGACTCACCTCCTTTTGCAGAGAACATTCTTGAACATTCCAGTGACAGTATAGCAATTTTCAGTTTTCCTTAAATATCAGAAGTATATATATATATATATATACATATCTTTGCCAATGTGATCAACATGTTCCTTTGTAAAATGTTCGCTTACTCTAGATGAGTTCGTTGGCTTAATTAGAAAAAAATGTGTTGGCAGAATAGACATATTGGTGACTGTTCATTTGTGCATAAAAGCTGTAAAACCCAATTTAATATATTTGACTGAATATTTGCCCACATTTAAAATTTATATTTGACATTTTGACCATAAGAGCTAAATGAGGAAATTTGTACATCTACTTACAGTCACCATGAATGCCTCATCGACAAATGCAGATGGATACAGGAGTGTTGTGTTGGTGACTCAAATACCACCCTCAGTGGTGCCCATAGTGATGTGATTTCTGAAATGGGAAACAACTCTTGATAAAGTTCTGAACATAAACCAAGTACATTCTTTCCTCAGTTTATGGTAGTTATATTCCTGTGAAATTCAATATGTAACACCATGCAAAAATACTTTTGATTTTATATAAAACAGAGTATGAATCTTTTTTTTTTTTTTGAGGCAGAGTTTTCGTTCTTTTTGCCCAGGCTGGAGTGCGGTGGTGTGATCTCGGCTCACTGCAACCTCTGCCTCCTGGGTTTAAGAAATTCTCCTGCCTCAGCCTCCTGAGTAACTGGGATTACAGGCATGCGCCACCACGCCTGGCTAATTTTTTTTGTATTTTTAGTAGAGATGGGGTCTCATCATGTTGGCCAGGCTGGTCTTGAACTCCTGACCTCAGGTGATCTGCCCACCTCAGCCTCCCAAAGTGCTGGGATTACAGGTGTGAGCCACTGCACCTGGCCCAGAGCTTGAGTCTTAACTCAGATAATTATAAACAAGTTTTTCACCTACAGAAAGGCCTGTGGAACTTCCAAAGTTGAACATGATGCATATAGTTCTTTTTTGTAGTGAACTGTATGGATATTGCAAGGTGTCTAGCTTCCTGGCTTGTCCATTGAATATCTGTTGTGTTCTCCCAACCCCTAAACTCATTACAACTAAAAATGCCCCTTACATTTTTAAAATGTCTCCTTGGAGCTATATCACCTCTTTTGAGAACCACTGGCTTAGAGTTGAAAAAGAGTCAATAAATATATAAGAAAAATAAAACATTGTAAGTGCTCTGTATTCACTGGTAATTCTAATGTAGAAAGGCTCCTAGGAGAAGGGATATGTAAGCTGAGTCTTGTAAAATCCGTGTGGACTAGGATAAAAGGACATGGTAGGCAGAATGAATATGTCATAAAGTTTATAAATACTCAAGACTTGCAAATAGTTTGGTACAACTGAAATCTAGGATGCAGAGGTGGAGTTTATCAGGAAACAATTCAGGGAGGTACATAGAATCCAGGTCACAGAAAGACTGTCTTCCATGCTAAGGTGCAAAGGTGCATGGGCTGTGTGTGTGTTCATGTGTGTGTTTGTGTGTGTGTGTGTGTGTGCATATGTAGTTTATGGCAAGGGACTGACATAATCAGGTGTGCTTCTCAGAAATGAATGGATTACCAGGGTGCAGGAAGGAAGGCAAGAAAATCAGTTGCTTTTACTATAGACTTTCCAGTAATAATTTTAAGAATCTACCATTTAATAGTTTCCTGGATCTTAGCCCTCTTGAATGTCATTTTAGTGTACTCTTGTTTTTATTCTCCTTTTAAAAAAGAAACTCTGAAACTTTTGGAATCACTGTTTCTGTTCTAGTAATAACTACACACTTTCCCTGCATCTAACACCCTCCCTTATACAAGTTAGACCTTATTGCATTTTCCTTTCCCTTTTATTTATTTATTTTTATTTTTTTGAGACGGAGTCTTGCTCTGTCACCCAGGCTGGAGTGCAATGGTGCAATCTCAGCTCACTGCAACCTCCACCTCCCGGGAGGCGGAGCAATTCTCTGCCTCAGCCTCCCGAGTAGCTGGGATTACAGGCACCTGCCACCATGTCCGGCTAATTTTGTATTTTAATAGAGATGGGGTTTCACCGTGTTGCCCAGGCTGGTCTCGAACCCCTGAGCTCAGGCAATCCACCCGCCTCGGCCTCTCAAAGTGCTAGGATTACAGGTGTGAGCCACTGTGCCCGGCCGCCTTCCTTTCCCTTTTATACATGTTGGCTTTTGAGATCTCATTTTAGTTTAATTTCTCTTTAATATGTTCTCTAATATTTCAACCTTACTCCTAAGGAAATTTTCCTCTAGCTTAATCTGTCTCTTTATTTTCAATTTTCCTCTGCTTATGTTCGGATATTAAGACCAACATGTTTTTCATACAACTCCAGTTTTTCTGTGACATTTTAAGCAATCATGTTCCTCAGAGACCGTATTTGAAAAATTATCTGTCTTTTTATTGGGACAGTGATAGTTTCTTTCAGTTATTTCTCTAGCGTTATCTAAGAAGACAGCATTTTTTCAATGAGGGTGCCCATTTATTCTTATTGTTTTATTAATAAAATGTACTTCCCTTTTAGGTTGAATGCATAATTTTAGTCTGAAATCCAAAGCCTTGGTTTGAATTCATGAAATTAACAAATTCAGGGCCAACTTGAGTTTACATGATTGGTGGTGACTCAACAGTTTATCAGTCACATGAATTGAAGATGAATTCCTCTAAAGTTTCCTCCTTGGCTCTAAATGTGGAATAGAATTTGGGTCTACTCAAAGTGAGATCGTGTACTACCTATTTGAACCTAACACTAATAAGTTAAAGCTAGAATCTCACAGGCTATTGCTCTGTGACCCATGTGGAACCTAACTTCTTTATAGACCTGGATGAAAATCCTGGTAAAAGCCAAACAGTAATGCTGAAACTCTGCCTCTTTCAAGGCAAAACCTCAGTGGGACTCTAAAGACTCTTTCCGGATTTATTTATTCCCTCTATCAGTCCTGGCCGCAATCACAGGCCTATTTGTACTTGTGTTATTCAAGGCCATCTGCAGCTGCCCACAGACTAAGTTATTTTTCAATTTAAACCCAAGTTTGCTTGCTAAAGCCTTTGTGGCTAGTTTTGCTAATGCCACCGAAATCACTGAAGTGATCAGTGCCTGCAGCCCAGGCAATATAGAAAGAGCCTCTTGGTTGTGTATTCAACCACTAGGTCAGAATCTTTCAGAAGCTTGAGACTTAAACTCACTTGTCCAGGCTGAAGCAGCTAAAAGCCGTCTTCATAAAAATCAGGCATAAGGTGCAATATTGGCTGCAGAAAACTCAATGTTTAAGATTCCTGCACGGCTCAAGCTTGGTATAGTTTCCCCAAAGGTTATATCACACCAATCAATTCCTCTAGCCTCCAGAAGCCTTAATCTCTATGTGTTCTAGTTTTGGTTCCTAAATTCACTCAGGTATGTGGCAACAATGGAATTCCTGACACTAAACCCCAGAACTAGATAGGTTTTCCCATCAGGTATAAGCCCAGCATTCCCCTGGCCCTCTTTCCTACCAGAAGCAGAGCTTTTTCACTAAGCCTACACCAAGGCTAAGAGAGGCTCACAGTGCTAAGCAGGCAGGCCGACCCCCAAAAATAAGAGGACGGGAAAAGGATGGGCTAGAGCTCCCAAGTCTGCCACTTGGATTCTTCACTCCTCTTCCTCCATGAATGAGAAGCAAGGGTCATGGTTGAATAAGTCCTCCAAAGGTACGTGCTGGAAACTTCATCCCCACTGCAGCAGTGTCGAGGGGGTGGGGCCTTTAAAAAGTGATTAGGTCATGGGGGCTCCACCCTGTTGGGTGGATTAATGCCATTGTCACAGCAGTAGGTTAGTCATAAAGCCACATTCACTCTCTTGCTTTCTCTGTCGCATGCACTCTCTTGCCCTTCCACCTAGTTTCCATGTTATGATGCAGCAAGAAGGCCCTTGCCAGATGTGGCTCCTGGATTGTGGACTTTTCAGCCCCCAGAACTGTGAGCCAAACAAACTTCTTTTGTTCATAACTTCCCCAGTCTGTGATATCCTGTTACAGCAGCAGAAAATGGACTAAGACACCCAGGGATGTACCTGGAACCTGGAAAAAGGTATGAAGTGAAGAAAAGTAGACCTGATATGTGTACTCAATTTAGGGGATTCTAAAAGTGTTCCTAGCTTTTTCATATTATAATCTTCTGAGAGAAAATCTTTAATACAGAAGGGAGGGTTTATGCCTTATTTATTTATTTATTTATTTATGTTGAGATGGAGTTTCACTCTTTTCACCCCAGCTGCAGTGCAGTGGCACGATCTCGGCTCACTGCAACCTCTGCCTCCTGGGTTCAAGCGATTCTCCTGCCTCGGCCTCCCGAGTAGCTGGGATTACAGGAGTGTGCCACCACGCCTGGCTAAGTTTTGTATTTTTAGTAGAGACGGGGTTTTGCCATGTTGGCCAGGCTGGTCTCAAACTCCTGACCTCAGGTGATCCACCCACCTTGGCCTCCCAAAGTGCTGGGATTACAGGCATATGCCACTGGCCAATGCCTAATTTATTAGCATTGGTGAATCATCGGAGTTTTAAAGCAGAAAAGTAATATAATTGGAATTTAACTTGGCAGTGGTGCGTAGTCAGAGGGCAAGGAGAGACTGTTAGGAAGCTGGTGGAAGGTTTAAGCAAGAGGAAAAGGGAGATTTCACTCAAAGCAAGGAAAGATGAAAAGTAGGGCACTGATTCAAAAACTTTTTCATGTACAGAAGATCTGAATGTGGGCAACGGAGGACAGGCAAGAGGGAGTGGTTCTGATACTTGAGGTTTCCAAGCTCCAGGTACAAGGGAAATGGTGGAGCCATTAGCAAATTATGAAGACAGGGAAATGGTTTTGATTGAGGATATGGGCATGATGAGTTTTTGTTTGTTTATTTTGTAGTTCTGAGTTTTTTTAGGACACTTTACCAAAAAAGGATACGTACACAGCGTAACAGTAAAATAAATACAGATGGAAAAAGTCAGGATCAAGGAAAAAAAGATCACAGAAGACAAGAGTCCACACTGCTGATGTGAATCAGATGCAAATTTGGTTGTGAGCCAAATGATGGGTTACATAGTTCTCATTAATGGATCGCACATAGCACATCAATTATTTGGAGAAGGGGGAACACAGTTTTCCATTATCAAATTGTTTCTTATTTGTTGTTTACTGTTATTACGTTATTATTGCTTATGATGATGATGATGATGAATAATCTAATCATAATAAGATTGGTAACTCAGTTACCAAAATCTGTTGGTTCTATGTTGCTTTATTCTCTCTAGACAGACTGCACGTGTTTTTCTGCAGTCCATAGTTAATAAGTTGGGCCACATCCTGTTCTACCTGGATTACTGCAACAGTCTCCAGTTAGTCCCCCTCCTGTTTCCTCTTCACATTGCTGCCAGAGCCATCTTTCTAAAATGGAAATCAAATCTATTACTTTCCTGCTCCAAACCTTTCATTTATGCCCCATTTTCATTTGGAAAAATGTCCACATTTCTTAGCATGACTTAAAGGCTCTTTGTGATAGGTTTCTGCTGCCCTCCCCAGCCTCAGTCCCCCTGGAGTGAGCATTCACTATTTTGGAGTTGCCTAGCAGCCGTTCTTCTCCTATGGGTAACAGCATTTCAGTTTCCTTCCTGTGGCTCCTATGGACTGTGAGCTGTCTCTGTGGGGCCATCAGGGACAGTCTTGCCTTCCTCTGGCCAGCAACAGGCCTGAGCTTGTTCAATCTGGCTCTCTCTTCAGGGACTTTGGGTCTCAGAAGGAATAACACACAGGCAGAAACATGGTTAGGGCTCATTATCTCGGAGGCAGTGCCTGACAAGCTTATTACATCTCCTGTGTCACTGTGTCTGTCTCGTTCTGAATCTAACCTTCCTGCCCTTTAACTGCATCCGTGAACTTCTGACATTTTTCCCATAAACTGATTTCTATTTTTCTCAGCCAGAGTGGGCTTCTGCTGTTGTCACCAGAATATCCCCCATTCTCCTGGCCAACTCCGACTGTTCTTTCAGGCCTTAGCTTACATATAATTTTTATGCTGCCTTGTGCAGGAGGCAGATTTCTGCCTTGACTTCTATTACTTTCTTCCCTGACTTCCCAGGCTTCCTGTGGTTAAACAGAGGAGCGTACCCATGTTACTTACACGTAATTATTCATTTTCTTTACCCTGTGTTCCCTTATGTTCAATGGTTTTGTTTTTACATTGAGTTTTGTGATTATATTTACAGGAGTTATTTATATGTAAGCTTCTATACTTAATTTATTTTGGCTTTCCTACTTTTTAGTTCTTTATTTTGAATTCCTTCAGTCAGCCACGTATCCATGAGTAGTTTCCTTTCTCAGTCTTTGCCTTCACACGTGAACACCACTTTGGCTGGGAATGAAATTCTTGATTATGCTTCCCCTCTGAAAGTCTTTACATATTTTTCATTATCTTTAGGAACTCAGTGTTGTAAAGAAGTCTGAGGAAGCAGGCCAAGTGTGGTGGCTCCTGCCTATAATTGGAGCACATTGGGAGGCTGAGGCAGGAGGATTGCTTGAGCTCAGGAGTTCGAGGCCAGCCTGGGCAACATAGCAAGACCCTGTCTCTACAAAAAAAAAAAATGAAAAAAATTAGCCGGGTGTGATGATGCACGCGTGTAGTCCAAGTTACTCAGGAAGCTGAGGTGGGAGGATTGCTTGAACACAGGAAGTCAAGGCTGGAGTGAGCTGTGATTGCACCACTGCACTCCAGCCTGGGTGACAGGGCAAGACCCTGTCTCTAAAAAAAAAAAGAGATTTTACCCCTTTTTAAGAAAGTTGTTTTTCCTCCTCCCTATTTGGATATTTTCAGAAATGTATAAATATTCTTGAAATTTTAACTTTTGACAAGGTATGTCTAGTATGAATATTATTTAGATTAATTTAGAATTTGCTTGGAATATAATAAAACATTTTTCCAAATTCACTGTTTTTTTGGCATGTTAAAATGTCTACTATTATAGCTCCAGTACCAGTCAGGATATGATCAGAGACGTAAAACCAGTAGGAATATCATTTATTTTAGGGAATTAAATATGGAAGCCAGTCTTCAAGACAGCTCACCCAATGATCCCTACCTCCGTGTATCTACACCCTGTGTGAACCCCTACCACAATGTAGCGCTCTTGGTCTGTGTGACCAATAGAAGTAATCAAAGGGATAATATACTCACTCCAGGAGGAGCCAGCCACAATGCTGTGGGGACACTCAAGCAAGAGAGATGAGTAACTGTAGACCTCTGCCAATTGCCTGCACTAAATTTTAGTAACATTAACTCCAGCCGCTATTAAACTTTTAGATCAGGAATCAGCAAACTATGACCCTCTCTTGGCCAGTCAGTCTACTGTTTTTGTAAAGAAAGCTTGTTGGAGCATGGACAAGACCATTTCTTTACATATTGCCTGTGGCTGCTCTCAAACTATAAAGGGAGTTGAATGATTGCAACAGAGACTGTATGGCCCACAAAGCCTGAAATATTTGCTATCTGACCTTTATATAGAAAGTTTGCAGACCCCCTGTTAGCATCTTTTTTTTTTTTTTTTCTTGAGATGGAGTCTTGCTCTGTCGCCCAGGCTGGAGTGCATTGGTGCGATCTTGGCTCACTGCAACCTCTGCCTCCTGGGTTGAAGAGATTCTCCTGCTTCAGCCTCCTGAGTAGCTGGGATTACAGGCACGTGCCATCATGCCTGGCTAATTTTTGTATTTTTAGTAGAGATGGGGTTTTGCCATGTTGGTCAGGCTGGTCTCAAACTCCTGACCTCAGGTGATCCACCTGCCTCGGCCTCCCAAAGTGCTGGGATTACAGGCTTGAGCCACCGCTCCTGGCCCCTGCTAGCATTTTGATTGCAACCTCATGAAAGGCCATGAGTTAGAATCATTTAGTTAATCCACTGTCAAATTGCTGACCTACAGAAACTGTGTGAAATAATAAATGTTTATGTTGTTTTGAAGTAATTTGTTGTGCAACCATAGATAGCAAATACGTTGACCTTATATAATTTTGGGAGCTGGTTAGGCAGTCTATGTGAGTCTGTATTGTTTCTGTATCTGGTGCTGGAGCCTGAAATCTACAGGGCAGGTAATTGGAAAGGGAAGATGGATGCGAATTGAAACCTGTAGCCCACAGGGAAGGAGTTGAGCATGCACTGGTCTCTCACCTCTTCCAAACCTGCAACCTTGGTGATGAGGGTGTCCCAAAGGAGGTATCAGTGCCCTTTGCCAGGGAGCTAACCATACACCTGGCTCAGAGGTTGCAGAAGCTGAAGAAGGATCCAGTAGGAGCTGGATGCTGGTGGCCCAGCTGCTGCCCCCACCAACTAGGTGAGACAATGTGCCTGAGCTGCCACAGCACCTTGTTCCCTGACACAACCTTTTGAGCATAAAAAGATGGCTGCAAATTCACTTCTGCCTTGGAAATCTGTAGCAAACTGTCTCTTCTTGCCCATGCTAACATGAAATTAGGAAGGGAAGGGAATCTAGTTCTAGCTTATCTATCCACCACTTTAAGGATTTCATATCCTTAAAGGGTGAAGCACTTTTATTTAATTAGCATCATTGTTAAGTGATTTATCCTTCTGCCATCCTCACCAAAAATTATAAATTGCTACCAATAGGTCTGACCCAGTCTGCAGTTCTTCAAGGGCTTCAAAGAGCGTAAGACACAGTCCATCTCCTCAGTGGCTCTAACATGACCATGTGAGGGCCTTATGTGTTAAGAGAATGAAATGTTTTCAATATGGCTAGGCTGCTTCTATGCTTACAGAACGAAGAAAAAAACAATAGAGGCAGCTGTGTGCCAAGATTCTTGGTCCAAATCCTGCAGAACCCCAGGTATCTAAGCAAAGATCATGGGATCTTGGGATCTGAGTTGCACGAGGTAATGGAATGTTACAGCAATGACTTTTAAATAGTTCATGCCTTCCTTTATCCACACACTGGGATAGTCTCCTCCTTCATGGACTCTGACCTTGGGCACATAACAGCTATGCCCAGTGGGACAAGAGCAAACGTAACACAATTAGATTTGAAAAGTGCTTGTGAATTAGCTTTTTATACTGTTATGAAAATATTCCCAGACTATAATGTTAAGCAACAGTAAATGAACAAGGTGAAGATAAGTATGCACAGTACACTGCCAACTATGAAACAATGATAGCAAATACTATATTAATTCATATATGCATACACATGTTGGAAAAGATGCACAAGTAAATTTAAAAATTCAAATATTGCTCATATCATCCCTTCTGGCACCTCATATTCTCTTTTTAAAAGTATACCTTTTGGAAGTTTTTAGTAAGAGTAAGCTGAAAACTTTCTGGGTTATCTGAGGATGTCTTTGTTTTGTTCCCATTCTTAAAAGATGATCTAGCTGGTTATATGTTTTAGATTAGCAATTATTTTCTTTCAGAACTTTGAGGATATTATTCTATTGTGTTTTGGATTCTTAAAATTACTGTTGAGAAGTCAGTTGTCAAACTATCTGTTGTTTTTTTTTGTAAGTAACTTGTTTTTTTTCTCTCTGAACATTTAAGTATTCAGAGTCTTCTTTGGTGTTCTGCAGTTCTCCTATGAAATGTCTGCATAGATATTTCTTCAATTTGTCTCAGCTAAGAATTATTGTGCTTTCTGAACCTAAGGATTTCTATTTTTCATCAACTTTGAAAGTCTTAGTCATTACTCATTCAAATAAATACCTATCTCACATAATGTCTGTTCAGTTAATAACTTTTTACCTTAATAACTCTTCAAAAAGCATACCTCTTTCAATTATTCTTTCTTTTCCCTGAATAATGTCTCCTTTGCCCAATGTCATACTATTGCGATTTTCTTTTCCTTCCTCCCTCCCTCTCTCCCTTCTCTCCTTCTTTTCTTCCCTCCTTTCTTCCTTTTTCCTCCTTCCCTCCCTCCCTTTCTTTGTTAATTTGCTCCTTTGTAGTAGGCAGGTCTTTATTTTAATAATGTATTCTTCGCCTTTTTAGCCATTTACTTATTGTAACCGGAACAGAATTAACACAGGATTCTGCATCAGTACAGGACTTGATTACTTCTGTTCTGCCTGAAAGACCACTTTAGGTTTTTTAAAACAACCAAATTACTTATAAAAACAATTACATTATTTCTTCTCTATCTCTTTTTGCCTATATACAATAAAGGGTCTTGATATCTGAGTTTAAATTCATTCCAGAATTTAACTACCTGTGGAGTGAAAATTATCTCTTACTTTCCCTTCTTTCTCTCAGGTTTTAACTAATCAAATGCGGAAATTCTCCATGGTCATATTTAAGCTTATGGGAAATAAAGAAGGGATTATTTAACAAATGTCTTAGAATGAGACACACTGTCTTCAGAGACCCCATCCACTCCTTTCTTAGAGTACCTTGAGTGCCACAGCTTTGATAAATCCTACTCTTCCCATTTAGAGAGGGTCTCTGGAGGTAGTATGGTTAGTGGTTAAGGACATGGGGGCTCTCAAGCCAGAGTTCCCAGCTATAAATCCCGGCTTCACTTTCTAAGTGGGAAACAGGCAAAATCATCTTACTGTGCCTCTGTAAAGTGGAGATCATCTCGATACATAGAGTTGTTGTGAGGATTACATAAATTCATAAAGGTATAATGGTTATGACTATACCTACTACAAAACAAATATTCAGTGTATGTCAGCAATGATTTCTCTTATTCAAATAAATGCAAATTGTAGGTACATTGCTTCAAAAGTGATACCTGTTTATGTATTATCTATGCAAGTCATTTTTACTTCATGCCTCACAATTTCATGTTAATGACTTCTCATATAGAAGATGATATAGTTTGGATGTTTTGTCCTTTCCAAATCTTACGTTGAAATGTGACCTCTAATTTTGAGGTGGGCCTAGTGGGAGGTGTTTGGGTCATGGGGACGGATCCCTCATGAATGGCTTGGTGTGCTCTCCCTAAGGTAGTTAGTTCATATGAAGTCTAGTTGTTTAAAAGAACCTGGTATCTCCTCTCTCTCTCTTGCTTCCTCTCTCTTTTGCTCCCTCTCTTGCCATGTGACACACTGGCTCCCCCTTTTGCCTTCTGCCATGAGTGGAAGATTCCTGAGGCCCTCACCAGAAACAGATGCCAGTCCCCTGAAATATTTTCAGGAGAGGAATCAAAGCAGGCTGTGGAGCAACTAGTTGCTAGAGAGATTTAATGACTAAATGGGAGCCAAGTGCTAATAGTCAAGACAATGGAAAAAAGGCCTTGCAGGCCTTTCAGAGGTCTTTGAGGAAGCCCCTCCCATCACAGGCCCAGAGGCCTAGGTTTAAAGAATGGTTTCAGTGGCCAGACCCAGGGTCCTGCTGTCTTGCACAGCCTTGGGACACTGCTCCCTTCACCTCAGCAGCTCCAGCTCCAGCCCCAGCCCTGGGTCAAAAGGACCCAGGTGTAGTTTGGGCTACCACTCTGGAGGGCACAAGCCATAAACCTTGGCAGCTTCTACATCCTGTTGAGCCTGCAGACATTCAGAGTGCAAGAGTGAAGGCGGCTTGGCTGCCTCCACCTAGATTTCAGAGGATCCATGAGAAAGCCTGGATGCCCAGATAGAAGCCTGTTGCAGGAGTGGAGCCCTCACAGAGCACCTCTACTAGGGCAGTGTGGAGGGGAAATTTGGGGTTGGAGGCCCCACACAGACTTCCCACTGGGATACTGCCTAGTAGAGCTGTGGGAAGGGGGCCACCACCCTCTACAACCAAGAATGGTAGAGCCACTGGCAGCTTGCACCCTGAACTTGGAAAAGATGCAGGCACTCAATTCCAACCTGTGAGAGTAGCCACGGGGGGCTGCACCCTGTAAAGCCAAAGGGGTAGAGCTACCTGAGGCCTTGGGAGCCCAAACCCCATACCAGTGTGCCCAGAATGCAGGACATGGAGTCAAATGAGTCTTTTCTTTATAAATTACCCAGTCTTAGGTATTTCTTTATGGCAATGGAAAAGGACAAACACAGAAGGTGTTTTTAAATATATTTACATTTTGTGACCATTTTTGTGTTTGTGTTTTTGCACCTGTGACTCACAAGTATGGGTGAGGAGTGCCATAAGAATCCACATAAAATGGCTTTTTTGGACTGGAATCAGCATTCCTTTGCAATTTTGTTCACATTATAAAATAATAATGGAGTTGATTCTTAGTTACAAGTGTGAAAAACTTGCTGCAATTGAGAAATTATTCATGTATAAATACTTTTTAGAGTTGGAAAGGACTTTATACAATGCTTAAAGGGGTTTTAGGATAGTCATAAATGAAGAAAGGGCAACTCTCACTCATACATATATATATATTGTCATTGTCTTCTTTGTTCTTTGAGTTCTAAAGTTCTTTAAAGCTAAAGATATATAAGATATTCCTATCTCTATATAAGGTTTTTCTACCTATTCAATGATTCAATAAGTACAATTGTTTATTAGATTCTTGCCTGATTTAAATGCTTTATGGGAAATAAAGAAGGAATAAAGAATAAGCATTTGTGACTTGCAATTTTAGCTTACAAAATACTAATGAACAGACTGTTGACCTAGTTTACCTGAGAAAACATTCTGGGACAGTTTGCATGGAGTTGTGATTTTATGTCTTTCTACATCTGCATACATAGTTACAATCATGGGGAAAGTATCTGCTGTACCACGTAGCAGAGAGTGCATTGTCTTCCAAGAATACCCAAACTGTTCTACTCAAACCTTTCTTGCTCACCATATTCGATAATATCTTCAATATAGTATGAGGTTTTATAATTTCTAAAGCACTTCAATACACCTCATTTAGTTCTGATAAAATCCTTTTGAATAACAATAATTATTATTTTTATTTCCAACTTTTATTTTAGATTCAGGGACACATGTGCAGTATGTGTAGCTTTGTTACATAGGCAAATGTGTGCCATGGTGGTTTGCTGCACAGATCATCCCATCACCCAGGTATTGAGCCCAGCATCCATTAGCTATTCTTTCTGATCCTCTCCCTCCTCCCAACCCCCACCCTCTGACAGGCCCCAGTGTGTGTTGTTCCCCTCAATGTGTCCATGTATTTTCATTATTCGGCTCCCACTTACAAGTGAGAACATGCATTGTTTTATTATGATTCTTAGCTTCTTTGCATTGGGCTACAACATCATCCTTTGGCTCAGTGAAGTTCGCTTTTCTCCACATTCTGAAGCCTACTTCTGTCATTTCAGCTATCTCAGCCTCTGCCCAGCTCTGAACCCTTGCTGGAGAGGTGTTGCGGTCATTTGAAGGAAAGGTGGCACCCTGGCTTTTTGAGTTTTCAGCGTTTTTGCACTGATTCTTTCTCACCTTTGTGGGCTTATCTACCTTTAATCTTTGAGGTTGCTGACCTTTGGATGGGTTTTTTGTGTGTGTGGTTTTTATTGTTGTTGCTTTTGGTTTGTTTTTCTTTTAACTGTCTGGCCACTCTTGCATAGGGCTGCTGCAGTTTGCTGAGGGTGCGCTTCAGACCCCTAGTCACCTTGGTTTTTCTCATACCCGGAGGTATCACCAGTGAAGGCTGTGAAACAGCAAAGATGACAGCTTGCCCCTTCCTCTGAAAGCTCTATCCCGGGATGGTAATGACCTGTTGCCTGCCTGAATGTGTCAGTAGGATGGGGCTGGAGACCCTGGTTGGTAGGTCTCGCCTTGTCAGGAGGAATGGGATCAGGGACCCACTTAGGGAAGCAATCTGGCTGCTTTTTGGTAGAGCAAGTGTGCTGTGTTGGGGATCTCTTCAGTCCCCAGTTTGGCATCTCCAAGACCTACAGGCTGGACCGGCCGAGATGCCCAAACGGTGAAGATGGTGGCCTGCTCCCCCACAACCCCACACTGGCACTCCGTGCCAGGGAGAAATTAGAACTCTGTCGGCCGTAGAACATGGGAGGGCGTGGTCGGTGGCCTCAGCTGGGAGGATCCACCCAGCCAGGAGGAATGGATCTGGGTCCTGTTTAAAGGAGCAATCTGGCCATGCTGTGCTGGGGACAAAACAGCCGAGCTGTGCTGGGGAACCACCTCTGCCCCACTCGGCTTGGACTCTCCAAAGCCTGCAGGCTGGAGTGGCTGATTTGCCCAAACTGCAAAGATGGCGGTCTGCACCTCTCTATGGGCACTATGTCAGAGGGAGAAATCAAAACTCTGTCCATAGAATAGGGGCAGGGGTAGCCGGAGGTCCCGGCTGGGAAGACCTGCCCCATCAGGAGGAGTGGATTGGGGTCCTGTTTAAAGAAGCAGTCTGGCCACTTCTGGCAAAGCAACTGTGCTGTGCAGGGAGTGGGGTGGGGGGTGGGAGGTAGAGGGAAGGGGGCGGAGGGAGGATGGGGGGTGGGGTTGGGGATGAGGGATGTTGGGGAGGGGTGGGGGGTTCTTCCTTGTCCGGACCGTTTGAATTCTCTAAAGTCTGCAGGCTGGAATGTCTGAGTCAACCAAATGATAGAGTTGGTGGCTTGCCCCTCCCCCTTGGGGGCTCCGTCCTGTTTCAGGGTGGCTCCACCCTGTTGCTGGTGGCTGGCTGGAATTCCAAGCCAGTGGGTATTTTCTTGTGAGGTGCTGTGGAAGTGGGATTTGCAAACTGATGCTGCTCAGTCCCCTGGATTCAGCCCCCTTGCTAGGGGTATGTACGGACCTCCTGCCTTGCCTGAGTTGCAGTTCCCTTTGTCAGAGATCCCAGCTGGAGTCTGTAAGCTCCTGGGTTACAGCTGGAATCTGTAAGCTCCTGGGTCTGTGTGCATGCCTGAGCAGCTGCTCCGCCTACCCTCCACATAGCTCTGTGTGTCAGACCCAAAGCTGTGGTGGCATGGGCTCACAAGGGGATCTCCTGATCTAAGGGTTGAAAATACCCGTGGGAGAAGCATGGTTTCCCAGGGTCACACATTCACTCACCGCTTCCCTTGGCTGGAGGTGGGGGTTGCTTGGCTCCATGCTGTTCCTGGATGGGCCGTCAGCCCACCCTGCTTTTCTTCCTTCTCCATGGGTTCAAGTTGTTTCCCTGATCAGTTCCAGTGCTAGTACCTGATTATTTTGGTTGAAGGTGCTGTATTCACTCACCCCTTTTATTCCTCTGTGAGTGTTGTGGACCGCAGCTGCTTCTAATTGGCCACCTTGGCCTATCTCTGAATAGAAATTATTATCTCCTTTGGATAGATGAGG
The DNA here is from genome assembly GCF_000001405.40 of Homo sapiens. Lineage (NCBI taxonomy): Eukaryota > Metazoa > Chordata > Mammalia > Primates > Hominidae > Homo > Homo sapiens. The sequence continues at coordinate 36,777,881 of NC_000013.11, read as the reverse complement.
AAACTGAGGTAAAGAGGTTATGTACCTTATCCAAAACCACAGAATTAGTAAATAGAATGGCTAGAGATCACCCTCAGCCTTCTTACTCTGACTCCAGGGCTCTGTTTACCTACTGCCTTTCAGCTGTCCTTCCCTCTTTACATTAAGGACAGTTTTATATAGTCCCTGCAGCATCAAACTAATACCCAATTAATATGGAGGTGTGTGTTCAGGAAGAAAGACAGTGGTGGAGACTGCTGAGGATTCTGGAAGAAATAGGCTTAATGAGAAAGAGCACAGGGAACCTTGAGAGTGGTGAGAACTCTTTATTGATCTTTGTCATACTGAAATAAATTTTGGAATGAAGGAACAAAGCATGTGCCGCCTCTATTGATGATATCTCCCATGTCTTCTCAGCTATCCACTGACCACCGCCTCTCTTTCTCTACTCTCGCCAATTACTGTTAATTGTCTTCTGGGCATCCAGATGGGATACCTGATATACCTTCCATAGGTTTCAAAGAAGCCAATGTGGTAGACAAAATCAGTTTTATAAAAACATGCCACAATAGTGATTGAAGAGGGAAAAAGTAACCCTAAGGGCACAGAAAGAATGTGCAAAGGCTTAGGACTGTTAGTCTCTATTCATACCATTCCTGGATTAACCATCCTGAGGATAAACTATCACTAACTCTCTCTTCTACTTCTCACCATTTTATATGAGGAAGCAATGAAATTCAGCCAGGAAACTAGGAGGTACAGCCCCTCCCTCCATACCCCATCCAGGTCCAATACCACATGGGATACCAGGTCCATTCTGACACCCACACAACCTGTGCCTGCATTGGTATATTTGCAGCCAATAAGTTCCATCCCTGCTTCTTGTCAAGCTCCTCCATGTCCCATCTCCATCATCCATTGTCTCTTCTAGACATACCCTCTACTCTTCAGCTCAGCGTTTTATCTCTGACTCTCCCACTTGAATGACCCACACACCTTTGACCAGGTCTTTTGGAATCATGTTCTATTTTAAGGAGCGCCTGTGTTTCTTCAGTATCTCCATAGAACATTCTTTTCACCCTTCCTATATAATATCATTTCTCTTTCAGCTAATATCATTTCTCTTTCAGCTCTCTTCTGTGGGGAGGGCTTATTCGCCCACACCCACAACATTTCAGGCCTGCTGGTAGTGGTGGAGGGTGAGGTTGCTTAGGATTAACTAGGTTCTTCATTGCAATGTGACCACACTATTCTCCATCGCTGTTTCCTTGCTGTGTTTTTGGGGCTGGGGGCGGGTGCGGGTGGGCAGTTACTTACACAATCCACCGCAGACATCTGCACCTCATTGATCCACTCCTTCTCACACAAACAACCATCCTGGGATACTTTAACAACTCATCTAGTTTTATGTTCTTTGATCTCAGCTCTATTGATCTTTACTTTCTTTCCATTTCAGTATTTTAATCCTTAGGCATACCCCTCTTTCCACTGGATTGCATCATCATCTGAATTTTCTACTTCAAATTTCATAAGCTCCAACACTCCACACACTCTATCAAGCTGCCCTCAGTAAGGTTCCCATCAGCCTCTAAATTTCAAAGGATACCTTTCAGTCATTTGCTTACTGGTTACCTCTGCTGAATGTGAATTTCTTTTCCTTTATACCACAGAAGTGGCTTTTCTTCTTTCTCTTGGGCCTTCCCCTACCATTTCTGTTGTGGCCTGATATGGTTTGGCTCTGTGTTCTCACCCAAATCTCATCTCAGATTGTAATCCTCATCATCTCCACGTGTTGAGGGAGGGACCTGGTGGGAGGTGATTGGATCATGGAGGCAGATTCCCCCATGCTGTTCTCATGGTAGTGAGTGAGTTCTCACGAGATCTGATGGTTTTATAAGTGTTTGACAGTTCCTCCTTCATATGCTCTCTCTCTCGCCTGCCACCATGTAAAATTTGCCTGCTTCCCCTTCTGCCATGATTGTAAGTTTCCTGAGGCCTCTGCAGCCATGTAGAAATGTGAGCCAATTAAACTTCTTTCCTTCATAAATAATCCAGTCTCGGGTATTCTTTATAGCAATGTGAAAACAGACTAATACATGGCCTTCCCTTGGTATTCCTCAGAATTCCACCCGACACCTTCCTCTCTTCTCACACCACACCATCTCTGGCTGCTCCCATGGTTCTAATATACACGTGGACACTGATGAGAAAGAGACCATGGTGACTCACGAGTATCTTTAACTCAAATAGAGCTTTCCTGTGGACATCAGACTCACTCGCTCTACTGCCAGGTCGCCATCTCTCCAGGGATGTTTCACAGCCCCTCAAGCTAAGTATATCCTGAACTACATTTATCATGTTCCCCCACAAGCTCACTTCTCCCCTACATCCCTTGTCTCATTTGTTGGCAAATGCTCAGACCATAGGACTTAAGACCTAGAAATCACTGTTTCTCTTTCTTTCTCCTTCTTCCCACTCTTATAAACAAGAAATCATAAAAGCCATAATGTTTTACTTATATATTTCTCTATTATTTCTTCGTCTCTTCTTTTCCTTCTTATCGATTCTCTACACCGATCTCTTTACTGCCCTGTGCCCCCAACTCCAACCTAAGTGTTTCCTGTGCTTTTCCTCTTTTACATAGCAGGCTGTTCAGTTTTACTTTGTTGCTGTCTTCTGTGCAACAACTGCATGTTTTGGTCGGCTCCAGCTGACCAAACAGATAGAAGACGGCCGCTGAACAAAACTGAACAGCAGGCTAAGTCAAAGAGGAAAAGCCGAGCTCTTGCTCTTAATTACTTCAGCATTCACTATCCCCAGAGACCAGGATCTACCCTGAAGCCTTGGATTTGTTTCATCATAGCTTGTTCATTCCTACTAAGTTCAGGAATCTTACCTAGGAAGGGGCCTAGTTTCCTTTAATCTGGGTTTCTATGATGAAACTTTATGTAGTTTTTTTTAGATCATAGGTTTGATATTAGCCCAGATGCTTGTAGATATTTGTTTACATTATAATACTTATATATTATACAGGAAATAATAAATACTATGTACAATAAGAAAAAAATAAATGCAGTAATAAATATTTAATATGACCAAAGAAATTTGGTCCTTTCTTTAAACACAAAATTAAATAGAAACCCAACCATGTCAAAAAACCAAGAAACAGATGACTATTTTGGGTGAAGTACAAATACTATTGCCTCATCTTCATGGACCCCCAACGGGGTTCTCAGAGGGCAGTTTGATAGCTGACCTGGTGAAAAGAGTGCTAAGGCAGAAGGCAAGACTTTTAGTCTTATCTCTGCAGCTTAACTCCGCGTTATCCCACTGCCTGACCTATGAAGTGTACATAACACTGCTTTCCCCATCTGCATCATAGGGTATTGCAGGAATTTAAAATCATATTTGTACAAGCACTTTACAAAAAAAATCTAGGTAAATATAAGGCTAAAAGTAATGACTTATTAATTAGAAACATAGATAGGAAGATTTGTTTTCTGTATGCCACCTTTGGAGAAATGGGAAAACAAGCAAATAAATTAGTTTTTATACAATTGGTGATTAAAGGAACTTCAAGAGTTAAGAATACATGACCCAGGTAGAATTGTATGCCAAAACTTTATCTGGGTATATGATTTGGCAGGAATAGGATTCGTGTTTTATCAGATCACTTAAAGACTTTATGGCCATGAAAAGGTCGCTCCCTTTCTCCTTCTTCCCATACCTTAGAGCCTTTGAGTTTGAAGGCATCCTCTGCTTCTAGTCTGTACTCCCATAACTGCCTGTAAAATACTCACACGGATACTATCACCCTATTCTTCCTGTAAACCATGCAAACTTGTCACAGAGTAGCTTTAATATGCCATACTCATTAACGTAGGAAAACGACTAAAACAGTGTAGAAATGTGTAAAACAACAAGTATTTAAACAGATGCTTTTCTGCTAAATCTTCATTTAGCCAGAAAGTATAAAAACCAAAACAATTCATCACCCAAGTGGTTTCTTTTAACCATTTTATTAATTTGACCCATGATGTTTCCTGCCCCTCACTCTCACGAGGAATCCTTCATTCCCAGGTGATACAGCTAAACGTTTTGGGACTTGGCCTGACCCTCACCTGAGTCTACAAATGTGTGAAATAGAAGCTTGAGAACTGATCTCAGCATCCTATTGATTTCGTAAATGAATATGCACAGCTGGGTTGTTGATTGTCTTTCCTTTCAAAGGGTAAAATTATATCTGCTTTTTAATGCCAGGCAATCAATGGGATATGCTTAAACTTAAGTTCTTCAGGGTGAAATCTCAACAGATAATGCAATGCTATTGGGCTTCTTCTCATCTTTGTGCAGGAGAAAGTGGGCCATCATTTTGTGAAAGAAATGTAATGGGGAATAAGGCTATATTTCCACTTCGGTGTTTGCCTAGAGCTTGCTATGCCATTATACATAAAATTTTATGAAAAGGGCTAAAACGTGAACTTTCTGGGCCTCTTGAGTGGCCATTCTATTTCTCAGCATGCTTTGTACTCTATCCTCTCTCTGTCCAGCATTATAATATTAAAGTCTGAGGTCTAGAAATAGCTTGATTAAGCAGTGTGCTCATTTGGAACCTTCAGATCTTTGATAAAAATTTCCTCTGTGGTAAGGAGAATGAAGCTTCTTTATTCTGATTGCTGTATTTTTCCTCCTACATTAGATCTTACTGAGGAAAGGACACACAATCTGTATGACATATCTCATAGATCTCTGAAGCAATTTTTGCCAAATTACATTCCCCCCTACTCATTCCAGGCCCACAGCTGCACAGCTACATGTGATTTGTTGAGATTCTCAACAAGGAGTAGGTTCCAGGAATGAAACAATGGAACAGTCTGTTTTGAAATGTAAAATTTAAACCTTTGCTGGAGAAGACCCAAGGGAGACAGAGAGAGAGACAAGAGAATTTCTAGGAATTAATCCTAATGAACATCATTTCAGTACATTTCCTTGGAATCTGGAACTAACATTTCCACATGTGCATGAGAGGAGGTGTGATTACTTATAAATTTATATTAGATGTGACAATTAGCTTAAACTTCTCTTGTGTTACTAAGAGAAGAGGAGGGAGTGTGATGCTGTGAAAGGGAACAGTGGACCAAAGTGATAGGTTCAAGTCAGGTCCTTCTAGCAATTCAAGCGTGAGCAATCCCTTAAAATTGTGATTGATTCATTGATTCATTCAGTTATACATATCCAGTTTGCATCAGCACTGTGCTATAAGCCTGATTTCTCATCTCTAATAAGGGACAGTAATCTGACAAACAAATGACATAATAAATGTGACAACTCTATTGAATACCATTTATTTTGAGTCATACAGTGAAAATGAAATTGAGTCAAAATACTTTCAATAAAAATGGACTATTGTAATGTAGTGTCATCAAATGATGTCATTTTATTTATAAGAAAATATTAATAGAATACATTTTTTAAAACGTTGCTTTCTGAGATGATAATACCTTCTTTAGAGGTTGCACATATTTGACATATTTATAGCAGCGCAATTCACTTTGGTGATCCTGGATACCGTTTTTTGAAGTTACGTTAATTCAGCTTTTTTACTCCAGTGATAGATATACAATCAGAGCCAATCTTGGATAACATGAAAAATGTATATCTATTATTGGAATCATCATTTGACTTAAAAGGATAACTATGTAATCCCAGAATATTTGAAAACTTAATTCAGGGGTTTCAATTGAAGCTTATTTGGTTTTACAAGGGGTCTTCAAAGATTCATGAATATTGCATATTGTGAAAAAACTATGCATGGATTTCAAAATTTTTTTGCACCAAAACAAACTTATACCAATTTGTTATGACATATCTGAGCAGGATCTAGTTTAAGGCACTAAGAAGGATAAGACATCAGTTTGAAAAGATCCTCTATCAGAGCAACATGAATTCTGCTAAAATTTAAGAACAAGCATCAAATTTATGGTAAAGCTTGGGTGGAAGAATGGTGAAATCATTGATGCTTTATGAAAAGTTTATGGGACAATGCCTCAAAAGATAAAAATGGATAACTCACTTTAAGAAGGGGTGAGATGGCTGGGCGCGGTATCTCATACCTGTAATCTCAGCACTTTGGGAGGCTGAGGAGGGTGGATCACCTGAGGTCAGGAGCTTGAAACCATCCTGGCCAACATGGTGAAACTCTGTCTCTACTAAAAATATAAAAATTAGCTGAGCATGGTGATGGAAGCCAGTAATCCTAGCTACTTGGGAGGCTGAGGCAGGAGAATCGCTTGAACCCAGGAGGCGGAGGTTGCAGTGAGTGGAGGTCGCGCCATTGCACTTGAGCCTGGGCTACAAGAGGGCAACTCTGTCTCAAAAAAGGATAAATTCATGTCCTTTGCAGGGACATGGATGAGGTTGGAAACCATCATTCTCAGCAAACTAACACAGGAACAGAAAACCAAACACTGCATGTTCTCACTCATAAGTGGGAGTTGAACAATGAGAACACATGGACATAGGGAGGGGAACACCACACACCGGAGCCTGTCGGGGGGTTGGGGACTAGGGGAGGGATAGCATTAGGAGAAATACCTAATATAGGTGATGGGTTGATGGGTGCAGCACACCACCATGGCATGTGTATACCTGTGTAACAAACCTGCACATTCTGCACATGTATCCCGAAACTTAAAGTATAATAAAAACAAACAAATAAATAAATAAATAAAAAAGAAGGGGTGAGATGATGTTGAAGATGAAACCCACAGCGGCAGGCCATTTACATCAATGTGTGAGGAAAAAATTCATCTCATTTGTGCTCTAACTGAAAAGGACTCAGGATTAATAGCACAAAAAATAGTCAACACTATAGACATCTCAATTGATTCAGCTTACAACATTTTGCCTGAAAATTTAAAGTTGAGCAAACTTTCCACTCGATGGGTGCCAAAACTGATGTATCCAGATCAGCTGCAGACAAGGGTAGAGCTTTCAATGAAAATTTTCAACAAGTGAGATCATGATCCTGAAGCACTTTTTTTTTTTCCAAAGAATTGTAAGAGGAAATGGAACATGGCTTCACCAGTGTAATCCTCAAGACAAAGCACAGTCAGAGCCATGGCTACCAAAAGATGGAAGTGGTTCAGTTAAAGCAAAAGTGCATCAATCCATCAACAGCAGAGGTCATGGCAACAGTTTTTTGAGATGCTCAAGGCATTTTGTTTGTTGACTTTCTGGAGGGCCAAAAAATGGTAACATGTGCCTATGATAAGAGTGTTTTGAGAAAGCCAAAGCTTTAGCAGAAAAATGCCTGGAAAAGCTTTACCACAGAATCCTTCTCCACCATGACAATGTCCTGCTCATTCCTCTCATCAAACAAGGACACTTTTGCTAGAGTTTTGATGGAAAATCAGTAGGCATCCACCTTACAGTCCCGATTTGGCTTCTTCTGATTTTTTCTTTCCAAACCTTAAAAAACCTGTGAGGGGCATCCATTTATTCAGTTAATATATAAAAAAAGACTTCATTGACATGGTTAAATCCCCAGGCCCCTTGATTCTTTATGGTTGAACTAAATGGCTGGTATCATTAATTACAAAAGCATTTTGAACTTGATGGAGCTTATGTTGAAAAATACAATTTGTATATTTTTCTTTCATGTTTTAATCTAATTTTTCCATGAACTTTTTGAAGTTCTCTCAAATAGGGGTAACAGCGTGATCTTTAGGGAGAAAAAAATTCCAGAACATACTCTGTACTACTCCTCTACTCTTAAACTGGGATTGGCATCATATCAGGTCCCATAATGGGATGGAAGTGTGCACTGATTTAATAAGTACATTAGACAAAAGTAGGAGTCCTTTGATCATTTAGGGAGATAGTAAAATGTCATATTTTTGTTTGACTTGATTATTTCTTTTGTCGAACAGGAATCATCCAATGATTCCTTGTTAAATAGTATCTGCTTTGTTATATACAGGATCAAAATATGCTTAAAATTACCACTGTTGCAATTTTGGTAATTCTGAAAAATAAGGCTCCAGAATAGTCACTTGAAACTACCCCAGCAAGCTAGCCCAAGTGCCAGCAAGCCTCGTCTGGAGATACCGGAATGTCAGGACAGGCTTGCAGGTAATGGGGCTGGCACCTGCCTCCATGCACCTGTGCTCTTTCACAGACCCAGCAGAGCAGCAGTGGTGACAGCTCCATGGCAGGTGAGGAACTGGGTCAGAGGAAAAGTTTTGCATGTTTTGAGAGGACAGCACTGAGGTTGCTCAGCTTCATCTTCTCTCTCACAACAAGTCGTAGGTCATAGAGTGGTTTGCAAAGTGCTCTTCTGTCGACTATTTCTTTTCCTTCTTCACAGCAACCCAACATCACACATTGATCACTCAGGTTTTATTAACTTTTACAGAGGAATACATTTGGCTTCTGATGAGGCGATAGCTAAACATTACACAGCAATAAATGGAAAGAGAAGGACTTGCAGCCAGTCTCCTGAACCCTAAATCCCACAGTTCATTGGCTGCCCAATTGCCTCTCCTACAACACAATCTCATGTGGGAAGTGAAAGAAGGAAGTGACTCCATCCTCTTAGAGGGCAGCTCAGAGTTTTAGAGGAGAAGCAGGGGCTTTTAGGAGGAAAGGAAACAAGCGGCTACCTACAAATTTACCACAGTGGACAACTAGTTACTGATGGTGGGTGGTTTGGTTTTGAAAACAATGGATTGGAATGGCATTGACACACCTCTGGAATAATCCATATTCTAACAAACCCCTGTTGTTTTAGGAGCACTTTCAGTCTAATCAGATCTAAGCATCTTTTGGAGTATTCAAAAGGAGTGACAAGATACTAAAGACTTGGAGCTGAACAAATTAACCATGTGAGCATTTTTATGAAGATCAAAGCAATAGAAATGTCCTCCTCCTCATACTGCATCGTTTTAGAGTATATGAGGATGCTTGTCAATGTTTCTGAGCTTTGTGGTGGGAGGTGTAAAATCAATGTACAGACAACTAGAAATTCTGAATAGGACAGAATAAAAGAACACATTATAATGAACATGTTGACAGGAAGATGTATCAGACAACATAATACATCTTTTAATATCAAATTTCTACAGTCTCCATTATGTGTGCTTATATTTTCTGTTCCTTTAGCTCAAGAATTGGCAGAAGTTATTTTGTCTCAAAATATATAATGTGCAATCACAACTTTCCATCTAGTGCATTGTGCTAAACATCCTGAGGGGCCCAAGCAATATAGTCAAATTAATACCCAATTTGCCCACTGGGTAAAACCCCTAAATTTATGGCTCATTCTTTTCTCACATTTCTCATATTGAGAACTAACTTTATCAGGTAGTGAAAGGTCTTGACATTTTCAGGCTGTTTGGCACTGAGGAATTATTATTATTATTATTATTATTATTATTATTATTATTATTATTATTATTTTGAGACGGAGTCTCGCTCTGTCGCCCAGGCTGGAGTGCAATGGTGCGATCTCAGCTCACTGCAAGCTCTGCCTCCCGGGTTCATGCCATTCTCCTGCCTCAGCCTCCGTGGTAGCTGGGACTACAGGCGCCTGCCACCATGCCCGGCTAATTTTTTGTATTTTTAGTAGAGACCGGGTTTCACCGTATTAGCCAGGATGGTCTCGATCTCCTGACCTCGTGATCCACCCACCTTGGCCTCCCAAAGTGCTGGGATTACAGGCGTGAGCCACCGTGCCCGGTCGGCACTAAGGAATTTTTTTAAATCATGTTAGAAATTGGTCACATTTTTTTCTTTTGAAATAGAAATTTCAATGCTTTCTCCCTGACAGCAGACCTTGACTCAGGAAGGAACACTGCAGGATGACTTTTTATTAGGAATTATTTGTTTTTAGAGACTCTGATGTCCTTGAAAGTCCAAATCCCTGCCTCTCATTGGATCTTTAAATTTCATACCATGACCAGCCTTGTGCCTTCAACATAGTATTAGAACAGATACACAATGTAAATGTTGGACACTACCTTAGCTGTCGTTTCATCCAACTTCTTCATTTTGGGGGAATAAGTGTCCCAAATGGTGCCTTCATTATGAAGAGCTAATTTGGTAAAGAGTTAAATCTGGACTCCAAGTCTCCTGTCTTGGGAGGTTGAAACCATCCCTATAAATTATAAAATTAATCAAGGAAGAAGGGAGAGGCAGAAATGAAAATAAATCAAGCTGCAAGCATTCAGCATTAATCATTAGGTGAGCTTGCTCTCTGATCTGCTTCCTTATAGTTGTTTACTTATTGCCCCAGAATCAGTAGATCCTGTTACAAGACTCTATGTAACTTGAACATCATAAAATCTTAAGTTTTCCCTTTGAGATATCCTTTCAGGTCCTGCATACCAGTGAAACTACCGACATCAGCTGGTCTGAAGGAGACTGGTCTGAAGTAAGAAACTGACTGAGTAAAGAATGTAGTTTCCACATCCTGAGGATTTCATCCCTCTTACCCTGACCGATCAATGACTCAATTTTTTTCGGCCTCTTGTCCCCTACAATCTCCTTAAAAACTCCAACCCAGAACTCCTCAGGAGATGATTGTGGGGGGGAGGTCTCCTCGCATCTCCTCATTCAGCTGCCCTTCAATCATTAATCTCTTTCTCTGCTGCAAATCCTGCTGTCTTGGTATATTGGTCTGTTACTGTGCAGGAGGCATATGAACCTGTTGGTCCTGTAACAAGGTCCTGTCTAGTGCTCCATTCACCAGGATTATAAATATTTGTTGGCTGAAGGAAGCATTAAACCTGCCCTTGCAAAGATCACAAATGACCTTCCAATTGCCAAATCCGATAACCTTTTCTCATTTCTAATATTCCTCAGTTTATATTCCTGGGAAACAAAGAAAGGTATCCCAGGCAGAGCCACATTCAACTTCTTGAATTCTGATTGGTAAAATTATTTGTCACATCCTTACTGCTTTCTCTTTAGCCAGTGGACATCTGTCCAAGACCAATCCTTTTCCCTAAGAACAATCTCACTCCTTCTAGGTTCTTTAAAAACTTTATTTAGTGTATGCCTTTGTCTGCCATTAGCAATATCTGTACCTTTAAACTCTCCTTCTGGGCTTACTATTTACCTTCAAGGTAGAAACACAAGTCTGACACCTCACAAAAGCCTCCCTCCACCTTCCATTATTTCCTCTCATCCCTGTCAACAATAATCTTCTGAAAGAACAGAATCTTCTTTCTTCTTAATGAAAGAATCTTCTTTCTGTGTACACCTCCCCTCCCCCCATGCATGCCTCAGCTCCCTGCTTTGTGGCCTTTTCCTGTCAGTCCACTGGTACTGATCTTGCTGGTTGCTGGCTGTTTTTTTTTTTTTTTTTTGTCAGAGTCTCTCCATTTCCCAGGCTGGAGTGTAGTGTTGTAATCATGACTCACTACATTCCTGACCTCCTGGACTCAAGTGATCCTTCCACTTCAGCCTCCTGAGTACCTGGGACCACAGGCATGCATCACCATGTCCAGCTAATTAAAAAAAATTTATTGTAGAGCTAGGATCTCCCTATGTTGCCCAGGCTGGTCTTGAACTCCTGGGCTCAAGCAATCCTCTTGCTCTGGCCTCTCAAAGTGCTGGGTTTATAGACATGTGCCACCATACTTGGTCTGTAGTGCTTCCTAATTACCAAATTCAGTGGATGTTTTTCATCCTTTACTTCATCTCTCAGTGGCATTTGACATTATTGATCTATTGTGGACAGCTGTCATCTGTTTTGGCAGCCCAGCTGTAAATGTAATTCAGGGAATTTTCTACCTTATGAGGAGGAGTCTGTTTCCCAAATGCCGGATAGCTGCTCTTGCTCTCTTCTTCATCAACCCCTCTCTTGCAAGGTAGATATTCCATAAGGACCTGTTTTTAGCCTACTTATTTCTCTGTATCAGGGCTACTCAATCTTTTAAAAAAATATCATGGCACACACAGGAAACATAATAATATGGCACTGAAGGTAAACTGGAGCAAATTTGGGGGTGATTATGTGACAGGTTTTGTGAAAAACAACTCTATATTTTCTTAATATTATATCAAATATTCTTCTGCAAAATAGGTAGAATTAATTGGAATTGAATGTGTGAAAAATGTTGATTGTGTCTTAGAAACATGGCCCCAGGGTAATAAAGTGAGCAATTCCTGATCCTGGGATAATGCAGACAAACTGCACTGAAAGAAGCAAATTGGGTTTGATTTTGCTTTGAACATAAAGACAGTGCTTGGGACTGGTTTGTCAGACACCATATCTCCATACTAGATACTGAACTGAATATTGAATTAGGAATAATATTTGCCTTGTATGCATTGATTAAACCCTAATCCTCTCTTTCTATATTGCCAAACCTGAGGCAAACCAAAGTATTCCTCACTGAAAACATCACTCATGATTCTTAAGGAAACACTCAGATATTACAGTAGGCTGAAAAATGTTCCCTTCTCCCCAAAATATTCATGTGCTAATCTCCAGAACCTGTGAATGTTACCTTATTTGGAGAAAGGGTCTTTGTAGGTGTGATTAATTTAAGGATCTGAAGATGAGGAGGTTATCCTGGATTAACCAGTTGGGCCCTAAATGCAATCACATGTATCTTAGTAAAAGAGAGGCAGAGGGAGATTAAAGACTGACACAGGAGGAGATAATGATGTGAAGATGGAGGCAGAGATTGGAGGAATGCAGCCATGAGCCAAGGAATGCCAACTGCCACTAGAAGCTAGAGGAGGCAAGCGAGAATTCTTCCCTAAGAGCCTGCAGAGGGAGCATGGCCCTACCAATATTTTGATTTCAGACCTCTGGCCTCCAGAATGGTGAGAGAATAAATTTGTGTTGTTTTTAGCCACCAAGTTTGTGGAAATTTGTTACAGCAGCCACAAGAAGTGAATATAGATGCCTTTAGACATTTCTTTAGTATTTATTGATTGCAACTTCATAAAGTCAAGATAATTTCAAGGCTAAGTTTTATGGCTGTATTATTCAAAGCAGTTCTATCACTAACCAAATTATGAAGTTTTGAGTGGGGCACGGTCTTCTTTTTACAAAATAATTCGACTGTTTAGGTACCTAGCACCTTCATGCAAGTGTGACTCAGTGTATACATAGGGGAGTTATGTCAATGTAATTTTAATATGAATGCTTTACATTGCACAAGGCCAAACCCAATAGAACTTTCCAGGAAGACAAGTCTTATCTTAGATTCTATTTCTCAATTTTTCAGGTTAGATGAGAGTGGTAATCTTTTTGAGAAGGAAAGCACAACATATAGGTGGTCATACAAGATAGATGGTTACCTTCTCCGTGCATACATACAGCCCTGATTCTCATGAACATAATTCATATAAATAGTAAGTTAGGACATGTCTTAACTTTGAAGTTGGGATTATATTAAACTCAAGGGGGACACAAAAACGATTGGATGAGCAAGTGAAAAGCAGACCTCCTGGTGTGTGATTTCAGACAATTATTGCAGTCCTTGTTTATTGCCTCTTACTAATTAGAAGTTTCAGCACACAATCTTTCAGCTGTACTTGAGCAGAGGGGCAGGAAAAATTCATTAGCAGTTCAGTACTGGTGATGGCAGCCCTGTGGGATTGCAGTACAGGATAAAGTGAAGTGACGGAGCCTGTGAGGATTTGGAAGTTTCATGTAGGCATGGAGACACAGATTATTGGTGATATGGGTTCATTTGCATAGAGCAATTTTCCAGTTCCTAAATCCTGAATGCAGAATACCCATTTGGACTTGTATGTCCTGCTTCGTAGGCATACACCTTCCACTCTACCATGGGCTGACATTTTGTTGGAATAGATTTTTCCCCTTACCCTTAAAAAAAATTTCTGTGGTACTGAAAAAAAATCAGCTTCTCATTAATTAGAGTGCTCATGTGTCAAGAAAGAGAATCTAGTAGTAATAGAAAAGTTGATTCATAGAAGAACGAGTCACAGGTGGGAGGAAGAATATATTTGTATAGATTTTATGCTGTAGGATATTTACATGTCTAATAGAGTTAAAAATAAAAGTAAAATTTTCTCTTTACCATAAGCAGGTAGGGTTTTGGCCTGTTCCTTAGTGATTTAATCAGGATGCATAATGTATCACATGAAAAACCAAGAGCTGAAGAGCATAGTTAAGAGTTTTTCTTTAATATTCCATTGATATTAAGACCCTGCCTTCCTCATCCCCATCCTTCTGTTAGGTGAAAGGCTTCATTCATTCATCCATTTCTTCAACAAACATTTCTATAGTAGTAGCGTGAGGCATGTGAGGGACAGAAGTGAAGAGTCAGGAGAACTGAGCTATGGTGGAAGCACAGACATGCAGAACCTGGGTGGGACTTGGCAGAGTGACAGCAGCCAGGCCAGTGTGCAGGGAGGCGCCAACTTGAAGGTGCTGAGAGCTGATGGGTTCTGGAAGTTTAAATGGGAGGAATTCAGGGACAGGCTACAGATTCAGGCAGCAGCCAGATTATAAACCCAAATCAGGATTTCGTGTCATAACCCTGAAATATCCTAAAGTGTTTTACATTTTTCTTTAAGACTCTCAAGCTTTTTAATAACAAGTTTTGTTTTTCTAGTAGCATCTATTAACATTCTTTGTAATTCTCAAGGGATATAACTTGGAAATGATTGGACAGTGTAATAGTCTTTGCTGTAAAAAGAGAGTAAGATCACTCCTGTAATCCCAGCACTTTGGGAGGCTGACGCAGGCAGATCACTGGAGGTCAGGAGTTCGATACCAGCCTGGCCAACATGGTGAAACCCCATCTCTACTAAAACTACAAAAATTAGCCAGGTGTGGTGGTGCACACTGTAGTCCCAGCTACTCAGGCGGGAGACTAAGGCAGGAGAATTGCTTGAACTCAGGAGGTGGAGGTTGCAGTGAGTCAAGATCACACCACTGCACTCCAGCCTGGGTGATAGAGTAAGACTCCGTCTCCAAAAAACAGAGAGAGAGTTAAGAGCCATCTACCCCAGGTGGAGAAAACACCAATAAACATTATTGCATAGATTTTGAGAGAGGGGCACTGGATTTTCTATTGAGCGTGCAACAAGCCATTTCCCTGGAAGTAACTCTCATTTTCACTTTGTACCAAAAATAAATTCTAAGCCCTCCAACCAACTGAATGAACCCCTCCTATTGATATGGGAGTTAAAAAGAAATTACTTAGGCAGATAGTGACGCTATGGAAGTCCTCGGTAAGGTTTTCCTTTTAATGAAAAGCAGCCCAAAAACATTTTCCTTTTTAACTAAGAGCAGCCTGTAAAATCGAGCTGCAGACATAGATGCTGGCAGTTGTGCCAATCATGTTCAAAATGGCGGCTCCATCTTCCCTTTTCTTTGTCAGCCACGTGTATAATAAGGAGCAGACAAGGTGGCACTGGCTGGGGGAAGTCCATTTGCATAATAAGATTAGGGTGGAGTGGCCAGTCTTTCCCATGTGCTATGTAAATGTCACACCTGATTGAACCAATCTGTGGGCCCTATGTAAATCAGACACTGCCTCCTCAAGCCTGCCTATAAAATCTGGTGAACTCCTTGGCTGGTGGCCTTTTCCTCTGGGAACCCTGTCTCTCACTAGAGAGAGAGCTGTTTTCCTTCTCTTTCTTCTGCCTATTAAACCTCTGCTCCTAAATCCCTTGTGTGTGTGTCTGTGCCCTAAATTTTCTTGTCGTGAAGCTATGAACCCCTGGTATTTACCCCAGACAACAAAGCTGCTTCACTATGGCCAAGGAGATTCCAAAGAAACCTGAAAATCTAGTTCAAGACATGACAGGAAGAGGAGGTGGACTTGCCTCACTATGCCCTCCTCCCTTTGGAATTCAGGCACAACTGACCAGCATTAACATAAAAATAGAGATCTTGGCAGGGCACAGTGGCTCACACCTGTTATACCAGCACTTTGGGAGGCTAAGGCGGGTGGATCACTTGAGGTCAGGAGTTCGAGATCAGCCTGGCCATCATGGTGAAACCCCGTTTCTACTAAAAATACAAAAAATTAGCGGGGTGTGGTGGCGCGTGCCTGTAATCCTAGCTACTCAGGAGACTGAGGCGGGAGAATCACTTGAACCTAGAAGGCAGAGGTTGCAGTGAGCCGAGATAGTGCCACTGCACTCCAGCCTGGGCAACAGAGCGAGACTCTGTCTCAAAAAAAAAAAAAAAAAAAAAAAAGATCTTAAGACTGACAAACAGACTCTTTGTAGCAATAAGATACCAAATAGATACCAAATTCCAATCTGACTCTAGTAGAGCATCACAGGACAGATAGCAGGCTCTGAAAGAAATCAAAGTATTTTGTCCCAAATATAATCCTTTGTCATATTTTGAAATGGCCCTGCAAAGCTGTCTCTTGTGGGGAAAACTTACATTCTGTAGAGAATCCATTTTTCTCTATAGGTCTTTTTCTGATCCTGAAGAGATTAGCTGGCAGTCTAATACCTTTTAAGGGTCTGAATAGGAAACATTTGTCATCTATTGCCTCTAAGGGTGGCCACCTATCAGATTTCATCTACATAATAAGACCTTTGGTCTCCACAGCCCCTTATCTTAACCCAGACACTTCTTTCTATTGATTACAGGTCTTTAGACAATAACTTAACTTGTTCAACCAATTGCTAATTAGAAAAACTTTGAAACCACCTATGACCTGGAAGCCCCCACTGCGAGTTGTCTTGCCTTTCTGGACCAAACCAATCTATATCTTACATGTATTGACGGATGCCTTATGTCTCCCTAAAATACATAAAACCAAGCTGTAAGCCAACCACCTTGGGGGCACATATTTTCAGGACCTCCTGAGGCTGTGTCATGGGTCATGGTGCTCACATTTGGCTCAGAATAGATCTCTCTAAATATTTTACAGAGTTTGGCTTTTGTGTCAACAACTTACAGCCTTTCCACCTCCCCCAGCCCATAAAAATTACTATGAAGAATAAAAAAACCATGACATAAAAGGGCAATGCTCCTACATTCTTCCCTGATGCCTGAACCCTGCTTATTTTCATGACTGAACTAGGAAATCCTACAGCTCTGGGTTTGGGTAATCTGCTGATGACAATTACATCATTAGCTCTACTAAAGCTAAAGAGCGTATTGCTTTTCTACCATGTGTACTAACAACTGCTTTCTCATTAAATCATCTCTTTTTATAATTTATTGAAAAACAAATAAAATATTCCAATTTTCTTTAAGGTTTAAATATTATCTGTGTTTTACAATTGGTTTCCTTCCCCCCTCACATGCCTTTGAATAAAAATTGAAACTTTCGTTTAATTTTTTTCCAGTAAAGTAAAAATCATCTAGTCTTTTCAGTAAGATGTGGAATGTACTATATCTGTTAGTCAAGAAGTATGTAGTTGGGAAAAAGAAAAACACCTAATTCATATGGGATGTTATTTTCAGCTTGGTGTTTAAGCTGTGCATCTCCTTTAGGCTCAATCATATGATAGACATTGTCTGTAGAAAACAATTAGGTTTTTTTTGACATTTAGGATTTTATTTAGTTCTTTGGTATTGAAAGTTAGTACTGAGAAGGGTCCCAGAGAACATTAATTCAAAGGAAATGAAGCAAATTGTGAAACTTGTGTCCAATCCTCTCGTCACATTAGAATGATCTTGGACCCCTCTCCTCCTCTTCCTTCCTCTTCCAATATCTGCTCCCTCTTCCATTTAAGCTTTGCCCTCTTCTTTTCTTCCTGGTGGGCTTAAGAAGCTTGAGGTGTTCAACCTTGGCTTTCCTATTTCCTATTGCAGCTGTTGGAAGGTAGCTAGAGAAGAGCTCATCACAGCAGTATAAGGACAATCTCTGCTCTTGTACGCTCAGGTAATTTTGTTTGTTTGTTTTTGTTTTGAGATAACCTCGCTCTGTTGCCCAGGCTGGAATGCAGTGGTGTGATCTTGGCTCACTGCAACCTCTGCTTCCCAGTTTCAAGCGATTCTCATGCCTCAGCCTCCCAAGTAGGTGGGATTACAGGTGTGTACCACCAGGCCCAGCTAATTTTTTAATTTTTATTTTTAGTAGAGACAGGGTTTTGCCATGTTGGCCAGGCTGGTCTTGAACTCCTGACCTCAAGTGATCCACCCACCTTGGCCTCCCAAAGTACTGAGATTGCAGGCATGAGTCACGGCACCCAGCCAGCCCAGGTAATTTTAGTACAAATTCCAGAGGACAGAAATGAAGAGATTAGTATAAACTTAAACTCTGCTACTAACTAGCCATATGCCAAGCAAATCATTCCATTGAAAGCGAGTTTATCTCTGTCACTAAACAATTGTGTGGCCTGCTTTTGGTAATTCCCCTTTGAAATAAATTTAATGGCTGCCTAACTTCATTCATTTATTTATCCATTGAACAAGTACTTATAAAATAACTATTATGTCCCAGGCGTGGTTGAAAAGTTCTGGGGATGCAAAAATGAGTAAAAGCAATATAGTTCTGCCTCCAGGAAGTTACTTTCTAGAGAGGAGACTTTAAAATATTGGCAAACAAGGGTTTTCCCATTCATTCCCATTACATTTTATCTCCTCGCTGTGGTTTTAAATTTTGTATCTTAGCAAGCACAGCTGCTGACATTGACTTTTTAAAAGTAAATGAATTAATATTAATATAAGAATTTACTTTTGGAATACCTTCTTTTTTTTAAGGAAGAATTCCTATAACTTCTATATCTGGAGATTAGCATTCTTGCTTTACATATGAAATGGTATTTTATTTTGTTTAAACATTGTGATATCACAGATATCTGTGTGTTTAAACAGTGGAACATCACAGAGTCTGAGAACAGTCTTTTGGTGTTTCTTTTTCTTTGTAGATTTGTCATCACACATATTAAATATTATCCATCTTCTAGGTAATGCTTAATAAAAGGAGATGATTGTCTTTGACATTTGCCCTGGCATAGAATAATATTTTAAGCTGAAATCATGACAAGGTTTTACAGTTCATTATATTTTACAAGAACTATCCCATATTGTATGTATCACTGTCTATAACATTTAATTCCAAAGATTTCAATTCAAATAAGATCCTAAACATAGAGACTTGGGGAAGAAAACCAAACAGGCAAAAAAGAGTTTGATTATTGTAATGCATCATAATTAGGCTTTGGATTGTGGCTCAGCAAATCCAAAGACACTTCCTTGAGCCTGACCATCACTCCTGAGTGGTGTGACACACAGGGACAGACCCTCCTTCTCTTCTACCCCCAAATGTCAAGGGAGGGTCATATGAATGTAGCTCCTTTTGCGTTCTTTGGAAAGGTGGCATGGGTTTTCCTGCTGCCTTCTCTGAAGTGGGCTTATCAGTTGGCAGCAGTCCCATCTTGCATTTGCAAATTTGGCAGCTGCTGTGAAGTCATACAATGTCATGATTGTTTAGTGACAGAACTTGAACCCCCTCTCACCAGAATGACTTGCTTGGCACATGGCTAATTAGTAGCAGAGTTTAAACTTAGACTAATCTCTTTATTTCTGTCCTTGGAATTTGTACTAAAATTACTTGAGCTTATAAGAGCAGAGTATAGACTGTCCATTATATTGCTGTCTTTTCTACAGAGAAGACAGAATTAGGACAGAATTAGGAAAGCTTGAGAAGAACAGGATAGATGTTAAGAAAAATCTCCAGGTTCTAGCAGAATATCTGGTTGGTGTCCATCTTCCCTGATATCCATCAGTTGTTTGTACAAAGTCATCAAAAGGACCAGCATTTGATATATTTTTACAGATGGGTCCAGACTCACTGAAATTCCATATGTGGAAGATTTAAAAACTGGTTTGAAACATTTATTTTCAACTTTTAAGAAGCAATCATATAGGAGAGTTGTTACAGGTGGCATACATTATTTTCAGTTGTATGATCATACAATGATGGAAATAATTCCACACATCCATTTTTCAAAATATTCTCCCCATAGTTTGATTCTTCCAACAAGCAGTTATTTTCTCATTCATTATTAAAATGGTGGCTTTACCCTGAAGGAAGTGATTAAGGGTGTTTCTATATTTGAAAACATCTTCCAAACACTTGTCATCACAGACAAAGACAGCACATTTGGAGCATGATGTATTGTATAATAAATATATATAATGCCTTTATACTAAGCAAATATTCAGCATACATTGCCACAAATAGCCAAAAAGACCTGTGTCATTCAAAAGATTATTCTCTATTCTGTTGCAAAGTATTGTAAAAGAGTCTACTATATTTTTTTGGCTGGGTGTGGTGGCTCCCACCTGTAATCCCAGCACTTTGGGAGGCTGAGATGGGCAAATCCCTTGAGGTCAGGTGGTCGAGACCAGCCTGGTCAACATGGTGAAACCCCATTTCTACTAAAAATCCAAAAATTAGCTGAGTGTGGTAGTGTGTGCCTGTAATCCCAGCTACTCAGGAGGCTGAGGCAGAACAATCACTTGAACCCGGGAGGAGGAGGTCACAGTGAGCAGAGATACTGCCACTGCACTCCAGCCTGGGCAACAGAGCCAGAGTCCATCTAAATAAATAAATAAATAAAAAAAGAGCCTACCATATATTTTAAACTGATGTATAGTAGAGTACATAGTTTTGGGGTACTTGTGATTATTTAATGCATTCATGTAATTTGTAAAGATCACATCAGTCTCATTGCTTCTCAAAGAGGGGAGGTACAAGTCAGTCAGTCAGTCACAGAGTCTCCTCAAGATAGTTACTAGTTGTGATTTCCTAAAATACTTAAGGCAAGATAGTGAAATAAGCTACAATTTCTGCATTGGGACTGGTCCTGAGACTCTAATTGGCATTTATACCTTCTCTCCTCTATTACCCATTCTGTATTTCCTGCATTAGACAACTCTCAGGTGGTCTAATTTGCTTTCCTGGTGCAGTGATTCAGAACTTCAAGTGGTCTGATGCTTTATTTGTCCTGTATATTTTAGGCTGTGATTGCTGCATTTTTCCATTCACCATTATCAGGGGGCATGGAAGTACTGAGAGAGACCCGGTGATTCCCCTAGGTGGTTTCAGTCGTCATCCTCTGTGACTCCATTCTGTGGTGGTAACACCAACTCCTTAATTATTTCAATAAAACAGCAAATCATTTCCTTGCCAGTTGAACTACTATCATGAAAGCCCAAAGTGAACAGGTGGTAGTCACAAGTTCAAGTTCAATGCAACTCTTAGATACACTGGCAGACGTGTTCTTTCCCTGAGAACCAGGACCTCTAATTGGGCAGGATCTTAGATTGTAGGGAGGAGAAACACAATTGCTGTAAATGGGCCCTTGTGTTTGATGGTGAGGTGGGGTCACTTCTACTTCCCTCGCTTCCTGGACCTAATATTCTTAGTATTGGAGGTAAAGTACTATATTATCAGCTGTTGATTTAGTCCATATGTCACTCCTCAAAGACAACAAAGGTGTCAGACGCTGCAAGACGTCAGACCCACAGCTGAGCCTTCAACAGGCTGTTCATCATTTTATGGGCTGACTGTTTCCAGATGATGGCATACATGGTATTATTAGGGAGTTTCCTGGTCTGAAGTCCATTTTTGCAGCACCTTTGCTGTAGAAAATTGCACCGCTGAAGGGAACACTGTGTGGAAAACATGTTGAATGATAAAGCATTCTATAAGTGCTTTGGCGGGGGTGCTAATAGAGACACTGCAGCTAGGAAAGGCAATCCAACATTCAGAGTATGTATCAATTTCAGAATGAATTAATGCTCACTGTCCGCTCCAGTGTGTAAGTGGCCTGATATAATTGACTTGCCACTAGGTAGGTAGTTGGCAGATACCTCAAAGAATGGTGTGGGGTTGAGGGCACAGCTTCAGTCCCTTCAGTTGGCACACTGGCCACTGCTAAGTGGCCATAATGCCAAGAAGCCCTGGTTATTAGGCCCAGGCTGGTCTTCATTCCTTCCATCTTGGCCACTCTGTTCATGGACCCATTGCACAAGCAATGGGCTAGATGAGGAGACCATTCAGGGTCATCTCACCAGAACATCTTTCAGGGTCTCTTACAACTGAGGATATAATACAACAACTGTCAATTTTTAGCACACCAGCATAGTACTCTGTACCTGTGAGCCAGGCTTGCCTTTTCTTCCTCTGTGAGTTGGTCAGCAGAAACCCATGGGTTGAAGGTGAGGCGCTGGTGCAGTAGAAGTAGTTCGTATGCAGTCTGATCAGCAGTTAATGGTAATTTACTCATAATTTTGGACCTGGTCCAGCCCCCTTTTATGTGTGCCAGTTCTGTCATCTGGTGGGTTGCCGCCATGTCTGGCTAACAGTCTGACTTGATGATCTGAAAATATGCAACACCGTAGAGACCATGCTTCCTTCTGCCTGCTCTCAGTGACTGAACAGAGCAGAGATACTAAAGCAGGTCTGTTCCTAAGAGACAGGAGACTTTAGCTTGGGAACTTTCCAATGACCCTGCCAAACTTCCCTTAGAATTGCACCGCAGCCTAAGATGCTTGCACTCACCCTCCCTTCTTTCTTTTTCTCTTTCTCTTTCAATCAGGGGCAGATCTGCATCACGGGCTTGCATGTCCAATTTCACCTTGGCACTTGCTTCTCCGAGGGTCTGGACATGGGGCTTCGTTTGAGTCTGGAAGCAGTGGAGAGGGGCCAGAAGCTCCAGGCCTTGGCTTGGAGATCTCTACAGGTGTGCATGGAGATGTTTGAAGTGCTAATGGCTGAGACAGAGCAAGTGGCAGAGGCCTAGGAGACGGAGGCTGAAAGAGTCTGAGGAGGTACATATGAAATGCCCAATATGGAGAGGTTTCAATGACAGATTGACACTTGCAACTTCAGTCAGATCACTCTGGCTGAAGTAAGATAAATGAACTGGCAGAGAGCAAATATGACAGGGAGCCTAGTTAGGAAATAAATATCAGGCAAGAGACAATAAGCATATGAACTGCAGCAGTGACAATGAAAATAGAGAGAAAGGGACACGTATGGTAGGGGTAGGGTAGTCCTGTAAATTTACAGGACTTAGTGATATCAAGGTCAGTCACTGGGGAGAAGGAGACAAAGCTGATTCGTTGATTACTGTTTGGAAAAACTGAGAGGATAAAGGACACAGAAGGAAAAACTTTTCTACTTTGAAGTAAAACCTTTTTGGTCACATTGAGTTTGAGGTATCATTGGAACTTCCATGTGAGGTGTAGGAGGTGCCGTTCTAAAGCTGAGGAGAAAGTTTAAAGAGCTGATATAGATTTTGAATTCTCAGCCATAAGGGGAAGCTGTGATCAAGGATAAAATCGCCCAGGCAAGGCATGCAGCGCAGCTGCCTCATGCTGGAAGCCTGGGGCTCACCAATGTTTAAGGGGAGAACAGACCAAGAGGTGACAGAGGAAGAGACTGATTCTGAGTTGCAGCGGGAGAAATGGAGTGTAGAGACCAAGGGAATAAAGAACTTCAAGAAGAGAGGGAGTTATCAATGGCGTCAGGTGCACCAAAGAGGTCAAACTAGGTAAAAGCTTAAGTAAAGCCCCTATGTAGCTGTTAGTGATCTTAGCATGAGGAATATCAGAGCTGAATTGGAGCAGAAGCCAGATTATAATAGGTTGGAGAATGAAAACAAAGTATAAAAGTGAAGACAGCCGTGGGAAGGCACTACTTTTTCAGTGAGTTGAACGTGAAGGAAGAGGGTGAGAAACTGAGAAACTTGCCGCCAAATGGATAGGCAGAATTTGAAAAGGGTTTTCTTTGTTTTCTGTTAATTACTTTTTTAAGATGGCAGAGACATGTACATGTTATAGGCTAATAGAAAAGAGCGAGCAAAAAGGGAGAGGTTGAAGTTACAGGAGAGAGAAGAGAGTGATGCGAAGGTAAGGCTTGGGTCAAGATAGTTTCTGTCTTTTTTTTGAGGGTTTTTAGATGGAGAGAAAGAGAGAGAGAGAGGGAGAGAGGAAAAAAAAAAGAATCTCTTCTAAATTGCCTTCTTGATGTAAATAAACCAGTGCATGATTGTCAGATACCAGTCTTCAGCTCCCAGATGATCTTGTGCCTCTATGCAAATCATGGCAATGGCTGACTCCATGGAGCATCTGTAACCTCTGCTAAGCATCAGTGAACTAATCAGGTTGAATCTGCATAACTCATCCATAAAAAATCTCTGCAGGGTGAGGAACATCACACACCAGGGCCTGTCATGGGTCGGGGGTTGCAGGGAGGGATAGCACTGGGAGAAACACCTAATGTAAATGACGGGTTGATGGGTGCAGCGGGCCAGCATGGTACATGTACACCTATGTAATAAGCCCACACGTTGTGCACATGTACCCTAGAACTTAAAGTATAATAATAAAAAAAAAATCTCTGCAACAGTCTGGTCTTATTTCCATCCAAGTCTCAGTGCAAACATTTCAAACAATTGAACATTTCATTAATCAGAGAAAAAGTTTATCCAAAAACTCACTGTAAGAAAGGCATTAGTTTAATCTCCCCTGTGTCACATTTCATTATGACAGATGTGTCTTATTTTGAGTTCTTATTTACATAGCACACAGACATATTATCATTACAGATAATTAGCCTTAAAAGCATTAGCTTTTACAACACTCAAGTTTTAAATTTCCCATTCATCCATCAGCATGTTAAGAAATATGTCCCCTCCCCTCATTATGTTCTGGGTCTAACTTTATTTCTACTCAAGCCCTTTGTCCATTTCATATTTTCCAGGAAAGGAGGCACTGAGGGACTCACATGAAGCTACTCTGTCAGCATTCTAAAACTTCTGACATTCTTTTCTATGAAGATAATTGAATCACCAAATTTGATGAAATGTTCCCCAAATATCAGGTAACAGATTTTCTGTGGGGGTCTATGGATACACTTTAAAGTCAAGGAGAAAATTTTTGGATTGTTTTCCAGCGTGGACTATTTCTTCACTGACAAGGATTTAAAAACAATAAAGCATTGTACATCGACAGAAAACATGACACATGTGGACCTTTCTGTAGAAGAACACATTGCAATCTGAAAATCTAGAGAATATAAACTTGTCTTGAACATTGTCCAAGAAATTTTACTTAACAAATTACTGAAGAGTCTGAGTCATTCCATGTTAGAGCATATCTTTGGTGATACTCTTATAGTAAGGCTTAAGAGCATTATAGTAACAGTAAAAATGTTGTACTATTTTTGTAAGAAGTTCTGTCCCATTTCTGGGATTAGTAATGTGTGTGGGTCACTGAGTATTTGTTGGATACATTCTTAAATTGAGTTAAATTTCTGCAGGTGTAGTCCCTTACAGATATTCCTATTCAAAATTTTTCTTCCCATTAAAAACAGCATTAGGGACCTTAGTGTACAGGGATCTACATTTAAAAACACAGGAAAGGAAAAATGAAAATGTTTTGAGTTCATGTTATTGGAATTAAGGCAGAGAAAATGTGAGAACGGCAATATTTGATGAAATAATGCCTGGTGACTTCCCAGAATTACTGAAAAGTATGTATCCTCAGATTTAAGAAGAATAATAATCCCAAAGCAAGATAAATAAAACAAATCTATATCTACACACATCATAGTGTCTTCAAGATCTGAAGGAAGAGATAAAAGCAAGTTGCCTGCACATACTCTAAGGTTCTCAACTTCTAATGACCTATCCAGAAAGCAAGTAAACAAACATGTAGATTCCTGGGCCCTACCACTTTAAGATTCAGATTCAGTTGATCTAGGGTGAAGTCTAAGAGCTACATTGCTAACCAACTCCATAGGCCACACTTTTGGGCGGCACTCAATGAGTGTAAGAGCAGACTTCTCAACATCAGCAGTAGAGGCCCTAAGATGGAAAATAATATTTTCAAAATGCTGAAAGAAAATAATTATCTAATTGGTAAAATACACTTGGCTAAAATTGCATTTAAGAAGGAGAGTAAAATGAGATATTTTTGGACAACTAAGTATTAAGGGTTTATTACAAACAGATCCTCAGAAAGGAACTTCTAAAGGACTTACTTTAGGAAGAAGAAGAAATAAACAAAGAATGTGTCTGAGATTCAACAACGATTGATGAGCAAAGGGTTAATGTGTGGGTACATCTAAAATGTTGAGCCTATTTAATATTTACTTTTGCAGGTGAAAAAATGAAATTAGTATTAGAAATGTGGTAAAAATATCTGGTGAGCTAGGTGATTTTAGGTAAAGCTTTCTAAGAGCCTTTGTTTCTTAGAGATATTTTATTTCTTAGGTAGAGCTTTTATTTCTTAGAGATATTGATTAATTTTTAGTTATATATGAATATTAGCTTATTAAAGTTTATTCCTAAAGGAGTAAGAATAGAATGAATAACTTTCAAAATTTTGAAATTAAAAGGTTAAAAAATAGAATCAATCAAAAGACAAAAAGAAAGGAAGAGAAAAGCATAAAAGAGTAGGACAAATAGAAAACACAAAATGGGACAATAGAAATATTTTAAAGTATATCAGCAATAAAAATAGATTTAAATGAACCGAACTTGCGACTCTCAAAGAAAGAGTGTTAAATTAGATAAAAAGATACCCAGTTTATTCTCTTTATCTGACACGATTGAAATATAGGAATGCAGAATCTATAAAAGAATGGAAAGATAGATACCATTGCATTAATTTCCTAGGTCTCTCAGCTATAACAAATTACCCCAAACTGAGTGGCTTATGATCAGAAATGTATTCTCTCACAGTTCTGAGGTCAGAAGTTCAAATTCAAGCATTGTAAGTGTTGGTTCCTCCTGGAGGCTCTAGGGGGGAATTCATGCCATGACTCTCTCTCCCATCATCTAATGGCTGCTAGCAGTTCTTGGTGTTCTTGGCTTGTAGACACATCACTCTAATCTTTACCTCCATCTTAACATTGTCTTCCTCCAAATGTCTCTGTCAAATCTCCCTCTCCCTCCTCTTATGAGGACACCAGTCATTGGATTTAGGGCCCACCTGAAATCCAGGATGATCTCATCCTTAGATCATTAACTTAATTATGTTGTTGAAGACTCTATTCTAAATAAGGTCACAGTCACAAGTACCAGGAAATAGGATGAGGAATAACTATAGTTGTCCTCTGGTCCCCTAAAATTCATGTCTGTTCCACATAAAAATACATGAATTCCAGTCCAAGATTACCCAAAGTCTTCACTAATTCCAGCATCAACTCTAAATTCAAAATATTTTCTAAATATTGTCCACTCCAAAAGTTCCTAACCTTGTCATGTAAGTCACTGATCTGCAGGATGGGGAGATTCTGGGTATGATTCATCCTGGGTAAAATTCCTCTCCGTCTGTGGACTTGTGAACTAGACAACACGTTATCTGCTTTCAAAACACAGCAGCAAGACAGGCATAGGTTAGACATTCCCATTCAAAAATGCAGAAATTGGAAGAAATAAAAGGGTCCCTGGTCCCAAGCAGGTTCGAAACCCAGGAGAGTAAACTCCATTAAGTTTCAAGCTGTGACAATATCCCCTTTGTCTGAAGGCACCACTTCTGGGTCCACAGAGGCTCAGAGTTAACTCTATCAGCTCTTTCCTGCCTGTAGAATCCTGGGAGGCTGATGACTTTCTTCTATTTTATCCAGTCTCTTCCCTTTCACTTCAAGACGATAATGTTTCTACTTGTATAACATTCTCAGAAACCTTGTGGGCCTGTGGTGTGTGTCATGGGGATTCATACCATTAGATAAGAAGATCCGCTACGTATCTTTCCTGTCTAACCACATTTCTAATCCTGGCTTCTCCTTCGAGGACTGACTGAATCCATAAGTCACCTGCCTGATCTCTTCAGCAAAAGATTTTCCATCCACACATTCGCCCCATCAACATACTTGAATTCACCTAAGAACATATCTTTATAATACATAAAACAAAACATGACAGAATTACTAACGGAAAATCCATTCACCATTAGAGTAGGTGATCTTAACATACTTCTCATGGTAATTTGTAGCTAAAGCAAAGTGTAACTATAAAAATGATTTGAATGATATAATTAACAAAACTAGATTTAAGAAACAGTCAAACTCTTGAACCCAACAGTTAAAGAATATACATTTTTTCTTAAACACATATATAATAGGTATAAATATTAACCACACAGTCAAAATATGTGAAAATTTAAGTGAAATAGATACATTTATATAACTCTTGATATTTATTTATAGAAATGAATTAAGAATTGAAAACCTTGACTATACCTATAACCATTAAAGAAATAATTATGACTTTGACACCCAATAAATATCAGGCTAAGAGAATTTTATAAGTGAATTCTTTTACCACATTTAAGGAATAGGTAATTTAGGAAATAGATCTCCTCCATAGAATAGCAAAAGAGGAGAAATTCCTCCAAATACTTTATGGAGCTTGTATAACTTTGATACTCAATCCAGAACTTTTGAGAAAAATTACTTGCCAATCTTAAGAACATAAATGTGAAAATACTAAATAAAATATTATCAAAGAGAATCATGCAATTAGTAATACTTAGTAACTAAGTTTATGCCAGGAATGCAAAGATGGTTCTACATAAGAAAAGTATGTTACTATAATTCTCCATTTTAAGATTGAATAAGAAAATCTATGGTCATCTCAAAAGATTTTAAAAATGCATTCAAGTTCAATATATTTTCAAGATAAATCTCTTAGCAAACTGGGAATAGAAAAAACCATCATTAACCTGATCAAATGTATCTATTAATACCAAAAACCTGCAGCAAATATCATCCTTATTGGTAAACTACTAGAAACATCCACTTTAAAATCAAGATGAGACAAGGATGCCTTTATAACACATCTTTTCAACATTGAATTGGAGGTCACAGTCAGTAAGTAAAAAATAAGAAAATTGTATAAAAGATACAAAGATAAGAAAGGAAGAATAAAGATGTATTACTCATAGATAACAATTATTTACATTAAAAAAGAAAATACACAATCATCACAAAAAGAATAAAATACCTAGGAATACAGCTAACCAGGGAGGTGAAAATCTCTACAATAAGAATTACAAAATACTGCTTAAAGAAATCAGAGATGACACAAACATATGGAAGACCATTCCATGTTCATGGATAGGAAGAATAAATATTGTTAAAATGATCTTATGACCCAAAGTAATTTATAGATTCAAAGCTATTCCTATTAAACTACCAATGACATTCTTCACAGAACTAGAAAAAACTATTTTAAAATTTGTATGGAACAATGAAAGAGCCTGAACAGCCAAGGAAATCCTAAACAAAATGAACAAAGCTGGAGGCATCATGCTACCTGACTTCAAACTGTACTACAGGGCTACAGTAACAAAAACAGCATGGTACTGGTACAAAAACAGACACAGACCAATGGAACATAATAGAGAGCCCAGAAATAAGGCTGCACACCTACAACCATATGACCTTTGACAAAGTGGACAAAAACAAGGAATGAGGAAAGGACACCCTATTCAATAAATGGTGCTGGGATAACTAGTTAGCCACATGCAAAATATTAAAACTGGACCTCTTCCTTATACCATATGTAAAAATCAACTCAAGATGGATCAAAGACAAATGTAAAACCAAAAACTGCAAAAACTCTGAAGATAACCTAGGCAATACCATTCTGGACATAGGAACTGGCAAAGATTTCATGATGAAGATGCCAAAAACAATTGCAACAAAAGCAAAATTTTTCAAATGAGATGTAATTAAACTTAAGACTTCTGCATAGCAAAGGAAACTGTCAGGAGGAAACTATCAAGAGAGTAAACAGACAACCTACAAAATGGGAGAAAATTTTCGCAAATTATGCATCTGACAATGGTCTAATATCCAGCATCTATAAGGAACTTAAATTTGTAAGAAAACCAAACAACCCTATTGAAAAGGGGGCAAAGGACATGAACAGACACTTTTCAAAAGAAGACATACATGTGGTCAACAAGTCTATGAAAAAAAGCTCAATATCACTGATCATTAGGGAAATGCAAATCAAAACCACAATACCATCTCACACCAGTCAGAATGACTGTTATTAAAAAGTCAAAAAATAACAGATGCTGGCAAGGTTGCAGAGGAAAGGGACTGCTTATACACTGTTGGTAGGAGTATGAATTAGTTCAACCATTGTGGAAAGCAGTGTGGCAATTCCTCAAAGAGCTAAAAGCAGAACTACCATTCCACCCAACAATCCCATTACTGAGTGTATATTCAAAGTAATATAAATTGTTCTATCATAAAGACACATGCACGTGTATGTTCATTGCAGCACTATTCACAATAACCAAGACATGGAATCAACCTAAATGCCCATCAATGATAGACTGGATAAAGAAAATATGGTATATATACACCATGGAATACTATGTAGCCATAAAAAGAGAACAAGATCATGTCCTTTGCAGAAACATGGAGGAAGCTGGAGGCCATTATCCCTAGCAAACTAATGCAGGAACAGAAAACCAAATACGGCAGGTTCTCACTTATAAGTGGGAGTGAAATGATGAGAACACACGGACACAAAGGGGAAAAACAGACGCTGGGGCCTACCTGAGGGTGGAGGGTGGGTGGAGGGGGAGGAGCAGAAAAAATAACTATTTGGTACTAGGTGTAGTACCTGGGTGACGAAATAATCTGTACAACAAACCCCCATGACATGAGTTTAACTACACAAAAAACTTGCACATGTATTCTTGAACCTAAAATAAAAGTTTAAAAAAAAGGGGCATTATTATAATTTTAAAAAGACGTTAGCAAATGCACTAGATACATATATACAATGAACACGTATTTAATATAAAAAAATCAATCACATTATGTACACAACAAATATGTAGAAAATGTTAAACATGTTAAAAGAGCAACAAAATAAGAATTAGAAAAAAATCAAACAAAACATGGCCATGACTTAATTCATACTAAGTCATAGTGTACTTGCTTGTATTAAGACTTACCTAATTCCCAGCTGGGTGCGGTGGCTCATGCCTGTAATCCCAGCATTTTAGGAGGCCTTGGTGGGTGGATCACTTGAGGCCAGCCTAGCCCACATGGTGAAACTCTGTCTCTATTAAAAATACAAAAATTAACCAGGCGTGGTGGTGCATGCCTGTAATCCCAGCTACCTAAGAGGCTGAGGCATGAGAATTGCTCAAACTCGGCAGGCAGAGGTTGCAGTGACCCAAGATCACACCACTGCACTCCAGCCTGGGCAACAGAGCAAGTGTCCATCTCAAAAAAAAGGAAAAAAAAAAGACATATAATGCTTAGTTGTTTGCTTTGCTTAAGATTGGTTGTCTATCCAAATGAAACTTTCTCCAAGTCAGAAATTGTGCCTTCTACTCATCACACTATCCTATTTAATAATATGCAATACTAAAACATTAAAAAGTACACCTTGAATGAATTATTACTTTGAAAAGTTTCAAGTATGTTAATCCAATTGGGTTTGTGCATATTTGGTGAAAATAGTGGAACAAAAGTAAGCTATCTAACATTTTGGGTACAAGCTTTCTATTACATTACACATAAATAATTTGGAAAGATAGCCATACTTCAGCACATGACACAAAGCTATTTGAAAAAAAACAAGAAAGTTAATATAAATACAGTGGTTAATATAGATAGAGCATCCAAGACCAGCAAACAGAATAAACACTTTCAAAGATATCTCATCAAATGCCATTTGGAACCCACTGGAATGCACACCACCAACAAAACCCGCATTACTGCCCCACATATAACCTTGAATAGTAAGACTTCTTGATGATGGCTAAACTTTTCATGAGATTTGAAGCCTTGCCTATGAGGATCAGTCTTTACTACTTTAGTTTCTTCATTAAACAGAGTTTTGGCGATAGAGGCTACATTAAAAATGAAGCTCTTGCAACCAATAATAGGCAATTAGCGGTTTTGGTTTTGGTTTGTTTGATCTTTGCTAAGCTATTTTTCAGTCATCTGGAGTACAACTTAAAATTTTATGAAGGTGACAAATAAGATAATAAATCATTTTGAATGCCATAAATTGTAATTGGAAAGTAAAGATTATTAGTCTAGAAAAAGAGAAGTGAAATTTATTTTCCTCTTGTGATCCTCTCCTGTGGGATTCCATGAGATGCTGAGATGTTGTTGGAGAGGAGGGCTGGGGTCTTTTGGGTTCTCTCCTGGACCCGTGGTGTCCTATGCATCTCTCTTGCTGATGGGGCTGAGCTAAAAGCCACCATGATATTGAATGCATCTGTCTGCCACATGGTGAGAGTGGCTAGCGGGCCTTGGTTGAGGTTAGTTTTATCTGAGGTCCTTGACCTATCCTGGAGAGTTGCAGCAGCTCTTTAATGACCAGCAGTTCCTTGTTGGCTTGGAGAGGTTGAGGGATAGATAAGCTTTGAAGGCATAGCAATCATAAACCTCCATCGTGTAGTGACCTTCCCTGGCTAGGATTCCCCAGGAAGAGGCCACTGTGAGGAGTGAGCAGAGGGGCTTGGCCAGTGGCCTCAGATTAACCCATCCTTACCAATATTTCCCTCTTTCACAACTCCTACTGAAACATGAACTTTTGAATTGCTTTTCATTTTTATCTTATAGAACCAAAATTACATAGCTTACATTTCCTTTACTCAAACTCTGAGACTACTTGGAAAAAAATAAATAGAGTAGCCTCCTAGGTAATTTGAATAAAACTTAGTGCTTGAGAGATTCTTTTAAATGGAAATGAACAATTGTTATTCATTTCTGACCAGTTTCCATTTTCGTTTTTTCTTTAATTACTGAGCTTCCTTTCTCTGAAATCAAGTCTCTAAAACAGACTTTAATTATTCATTTTTAACTGTAGGAAGATTTATTATTCAAAGAGCAGCCAGCATTCCAGAATAGATGTTGTTTTGTTCATATTTTAAAGGGTTAGTCAGAAATATTTCTTCCAATGGGAATATTTTGTACAAAAAGGCAGTAGTCCAAAAGGTAAAAAGCTTTAAAAATATGGAATTAAAGTAAATCTATAACAGAAGAAAATGACTAAATCTTTCAAAATCTTTAGTAGCATGATCCCCATGGAGGAAATGAATTAAATTAACATAATTAGAATAGAAATAATCTTTGTACTCATACAACATCTATTTTTCCAAGATCTTGTTTTGCTTTCTATCTTAAATAAATGATCCCTCAAAAATACTCTTAAGCCTAACTTGTCTTTTAAGAATCCATCTAACACTCTCTATGTGCTTCCCTAGAAATGATTTTCGTTGTAAAATGAGCCTTTTTTGATCTATAGCTTTAAATTACACAACTATGTCTATCTTAAGGTGTAAAAGCATCATCATTTTCCCTTTAGTTCTCTGTAGCCTGTTTTATAAAGTTTATTTGCCAAAGGACCTTAGGAAATTATTATTTCTGGAAGCCTTTTAAAGTAGGAGAGATCTTACGGAGGCTAAAGCAACTCCATCTTGGATGCTAATCCATCAAGTTGACTTCAGATTAACCCCAGTTCTGGGAAAGCCTCTAAGATTTCCATTTTATCTACTGTTCCTTGTATAAGAGCTTGTACTTATGCAGATTCACGTAGTACTCTTTCCTTTCCCTGTAAGTTCTGTTCCTTCCCTGTGGTACATAAGCCCTGGATCTAGTGGGTATGGGTGTGGGAATCCACCATCTTGTCTTGCCTGGGTCCAGGACATAAAGGCTTCTGTTTTTAAGTCTCTATTAAATCTTTCTTTCTGAGAAACTGAATTTGTCAGCCTCTTTCTTCCACTCAGCTTCTTTGGATTTTGGGTGTAGGTTTGCATAGGCCTGCTCATTGCAGAACAGATCTTTACTTTTGTTCATGAATTAATGTGGTTCTACTTGAAGGAAAAAATAATTGATAGACCCAATGTTACCTCTGGAAAAGAGCTGATGCAAATTAGTTGTAGACATGTTGTCCCAAGGCTTGATGGTACCTGTAGGTGGAGGCCTAGGCAGATGGAAATCAGAACCAGGGCTTGGCAGAGAGGTGAAGACTTTCATGAGACTCATCCATGCAGGAATGCTGGTGAAAGTTGTGAAAGAGTGACATTCAATAAAAGAGAAGAGGAACAAAGACATACCTATGATGAGGGAGGAGAAGAAAAGGAAGAATCCATGTGGGAGTCTGGAGGGGTGCACTTGGAAAGGCTGGAGGAAAACTAAAGAAATTGTGGCATCGCAGGAGGGGAACATTTCAAAAGCTAAGACAGGTCAGCTATGTTAAATGGAAACTGAAAATAATGCCACTGTATTTGGCATCTCATCTATGATGATGATAATTTCTTATAGTTAGATAACCTTGAAAGAACTGCAGTAAAAGAATAGTCAAGAAAGAAGGAAGCCAGCTGGGCATGGTGGCTCACGCCTGTAATCCCAGGAATTTGGAAGGCCAAGGCTGGTGGATCACCTGAGGTCAGGACTTTGAGACCAGCCTGGCCAACATGGTGAAACCTCGTCTCTACTAAAATACAAAAATTAGGCGGGCATGGTGGCAGATGCCTATAATCCCAGCTACTCGGGAGGCTAAGGCAGGAGAATTGCTTGAACCTGGGAGGTGGAGGTTCCAGTGAGCCAAGATCGTGCCACTGTACTCCAGTCTGGGCAACAGAGAGAGACTCCATCTCAAAAGAAAAAAAAAAAGAAGGAAGCTAAAAGGCGCTGTGGACAAATAAATGCCTTAGTAACAACATGGAGGCAAGATAGGTATGGTGCTCCCTGGAACTGCTGGATGATAAAGGCTAGAAATAGGATACTAGCTAAAAGGGCACTGAGATCAGTGATTTAGGGTAGGGACATCTATGCAAATCTGTGGGCAGACTGGCAGACTTCAGAACAGAGGGAAAGGATGAAGGTACTGTTACAAGAAGAACCCAAGAAACAAAGTCCCAGAACAGGCTGGAAGGGATGGGATCAAATTTGTACGCAGGAGCAAACGTTAGAAATGAGAATGTGAATCCAGGTGTCTTCTACCCTTCCTCCCCCAGGTCGGCCTCAATCTACTCTGGTCCTTGGGTTCCTAATTGTATCAGTCCATTCTTGCATTGCTGTAAAGGACTGCCTGCGACTGGGTAATTTATAAAGAAAAGAAGTTCAATTGGCTCATGGTTCTATAGGCTGTGTGGGAAGCATGGCTGGGGAGGCCTTAGGAAACTTACAATCATGGTGTAAGGTGAAGAGGAAGGGGGCGTGTCTTACATTGCTGGGTCAAAAGGAAGAGAGTGAAGGGGGAGGTGCTACATACTTTTTAAAACAAACAGGTGTTGTGAGAACTCACTATCACAAAAACAACAAGGGGGAATCTGCCCCCATGATCCAATCACCTCCCACTAGGTCCCTCCTTCAACGTTGGGGAATACATTTGGATGTGAGATTTGGATGGGGACACAAATCCAAACCATATCACTAATGGTGGCTCCAGGTGCTTTCTGGTCCATATATCTATTGTTCCCACACATGGGTAGGCTAGACAGAAAGGCAGAACCTGTCCCCAATCCCCACAGATAAGGAAAGAGAGAGGAAGCCTCAACATGGAAAAACTCTACCATGACAATGAAGGAAAGCCTGTGAACCAAGGAAAGGGAAAATGAAGAACAAGCACAGGAGGAAGGAAACCTGGAAGCAGCTTGTACCCTGGAAAACCAGGAAAAATTAGAAAATGATGGAAAGATAGAAAACAAGAGAAAGGCGGAAGATGAGGAAAATGCTAAAGAATAAGGAGAAGCCAGAGAGCAAAGGAAAGCCAAAAGGAGGAGAGTCAGAGGGGGAAACAAAGGCTGCAGGGAAGCCCCCCACTGAGGACATTGTACCCAGGAAAGCCAAAAGAAAGCCAACCGGGGGCTGGCTCATGCCTCAAGGAATATAAGAAGGCCATACATGATATGCATTTGAGCAATGGGAAGATGATCAGAGAATTTGATGAGATGGCTAGGGTGGAGGATGAGGTGAAAAAAATCAGACAAATATTGGGGGTAGGCCTTATGTCGGTGTAAAGAAGTTTATAGAACCCCTTCCACCTGAAAAACCCAAGAGAACTCAGCATGGCTGTGAGGTCCTACAAAGGGGAATTGAGGACACTTCTTACGCATCTGCCCCTGACAGGCATTTACCAGGCCCTGTGCTTAACCTTCTGCCAATACTTTGCTTTAAGTCACCCTTCTGTTACCACAGCCTTTGGGCACAACTGCAATGCTCTATGGTTGGGCACAACTGCAATGCTCTGTGGTTCAGTATCAGATTTTCGTCCATTGCATGGAAGAAATGGTGCATTGTAAAATTAAGAAACACAATTTGAAGAACCATTAAAAAAAGAAATGAGAATGGAAAATGAAAGAACTCATAAATGATGGCCTTGGTTTTCTCACGAAAGTAGAGGAAGAAATAATTAATTTTGGCAGGAAGATATTTTTGGGGGAGGTGGAGAAATAGGGCCGAGAAAACACTGGAGAAAAAGTGACATTTGGGTCATGTCTCTCAGGTAGCATCATGTGTTTAGCTATTTCACAACCAACAATCATCAGTGATTTACTTATCCGTGGGTAATTACATGCTACTAACTTCTTATTATCAAGGCCTTTCTCCACTACCCCATTTTCAAGATTATCTATCATTTATCAGGCTTGCCAGTATGAGAGAAAGAACATTAGAACAAGGGCAACAGTAGTCACCAACGCAGAGTTGATAAAATACAGCAAATAGCCCAGTATGGCTGATATATATGGTGCTGGGTTGGATAAGTGGTTAGTGGTGAGGACAGAAGACCTGAGATTAACTAGGAAGGGATAGGCCATACTAGAGAGCTCAGAAGTGATTCTCAGTGGGGAGCTCATGTAGATTTCCCTCATCTGAGTGTAGAGTATGGTATTAATGGTCCTGATGGTACACGACAAGGTAGGGTTTTTCAGGGGCTTGGAGTGGAAACTGTGTTGAGGATGGGAGTTTCTCAGTGTATTGGGGGGTGGAGGCAAGGCAAAGACTTCCCAGTGATGGAATCTCTCTCTCTTTGTACCTCAAGGCTATTGGACTTGTTTCAATAGCCTTGAAACAAGGCTATCTTACTCCTCGGGAGACCTGATTACTATAATCAAATTCATACTAAAAAGCTTAACAAAGTGGTCATTGAGGGTGAAGCCAGGCCCTGCATCCACAGCGTTACACTATTAGAGTCATGGGAGACAATCTAGTCTTCAATGTTGCTCAGGAGGCTCTTCGGAAGCCCCCATCACCTGCTTCACCACATTCTTGATGTCATTGTACTTGGCAATGTTCTCAAGGTGGCAAGTCAGATTCATGACAGTCTTGGCCGTGCCAGTGATGGTGAGGATGCTGCTCTGGGCAGCACGATGACCACTGCACCATGGTTTGCCAGAAGGACCATCCACAGTCTGTGAGTGGCACTGATGGCATTGTTTATAACAGTGAGGTCCTCCCTGCTGGGAGAGTTCCATGGATGTTCTTGGGGAGGAGGGCTGCACAGTTGGTGGTTCAGGTGTTGTTGCTGATAGTCTTGAGGGAATGCTTATGTTTCTCATGGTTCACTCTCCTTGCACACATGGGGGAATCAGCAGAAGAAGCAGCGATGAGGACTTTTGTGACTTCACCTTTAAGTGAACCCCAATCTTCTTGAAGATAGTGATGACACCAGGGGCCCCCATACCAACATCACCCCATTGGAGGTTGGTGGGACCTGTTTCCTGGAAGATAGAAATGGGCTTCCCACTGATGATGAGCGTCCCATTCCTATCCTTAAAGATTCCATTGAACTTGACATAGTGGAATCAACTTGGAACATGAGGACCATGTAGTTGAAAACAATGAAGGGATCATTGGTGGCAATAATGTTCATTTTGCCAGTGTTGAAAGGAGCCCTGTAACCAGACACCTAATACTGCCAAATCTATTGACTTCAACCTTTACAATGGTGTTACATGAATGCGGCTGGCACTGCACAAAAAGCTGCAACTGTCTGTCCAGTGGAGAGTAGCAGAAAGTGCAGTGGGGAGTTATTGTCCCAATTTATAGAAAGGGGTTGAGGCCTAAGAGACATTTTACATTTAGTATACATAGGACACAACTAATATATTCTGTGAAATTATTCATGAGAGTGACATCCCTGGCATGTAATGGATGAGAAGGAAACTTGCCTAGAAGGGCAGGAGTGGGGTTGGGCTTGTGGCTGAAGCATGGGAGTATAATGTTATCACCTGGGAAGACTGGTATGGTCAAGGGCCTATCCTTGACTTTAGGATAGGCCTGTGGAAACCCTGAGAGCACCAGCCAGAACCAGGTCACCATCCAACCCTTCTGTCCTACAACCCTTCCTTCTTCCTGGTCCCATTACTCCCCAAAGCTGCCCACCCCCAACCGAAATGCCCTGACTTAAATTCAAGGGGCTTTCTTTGCTGCATCCCTCCTGCGCTTTATACCTTGGGAATATAGCTGTCGGCCTTGATCCTCCCTGGTCATCGCCTGGTTGAGAACAAACATGTCTCAATAGCAACCTAATTATTATGTAGGTAAGTCAAGAGATACTTTTGAGAATTTAAAGGGGTATAAATGATGGAGGTGGTAGTTTCCTCCATGGCCTTTCTCACAAACTAGAGATAATGAGGTTCTATAGATTACACTTCCTCATGTATTTGACGAGGAAGTAAAGACTTGCTAATGTCTAGCATTTACCGTTATCGCTTTGAATTCACACACTATCCTTTTGCTTTAAGTTTAAAACACTCTGTATGACATTTTCTCAGTTTTGAAACCAGACTCTTAACTCTCAAGGAATTTTGTTAGGTTGCAATAAGATTTGTACTTTGCATTCTAAGTTGAATGAGAAGTGGTGCAGAAAGAGAACATGTTCACATCCAGTCATTTAAAAAATTAATCTTGGGCATAATCCTTCTAAACAAGCATCCCAGTACAACACTTAAATGCTATCCAAACCTTAGATAAAACAAAATATGATTTTGATCAGTCATAATGAATTAGTAAAATGTCAGTCTGTGTTATTTTCAAATGAGATAGGAAATGCATAATGGCTGGTAAATTGCCTTTCATTAGAAAACCACAGAATAAAACTGTAAGCTTTTTCTAAGTATTTATTTCTGAATTTACATAGTTTTGATATATTTACCAACCATGCTTATGCTTCCTGAGTTATTAAATAGATAAGCTGCTTTACAGAATGAACCAAACTATAAACCAATTAAACTTTACTAAGGGGCAAAATTCCCTGCATTTTTCTATGTTTTTGAGTTTCATGGCTGTGTGACTATCCCACTCTCCCCATCCTATCAACCTTCATTTATTGAAGATTTTGCCATCTAATTCACAGAAGGCCTGGCTTCCAGAACTCCTGCCATAATTATAGATAGTATTAATATTCTGGTGAAGAATCCATCCAGACTTTAACTTGGTCTCCTTAACGTTTCACTTTTACTTCTATTCTACATGAGCTATCCATCCTCAACTTCATTCTCACCAAGAACAACTTCATTTCTGAAGTTGCAAAGGTCAATATGAAAATAACCTGTGACCACAGCCTTTTGGTTCTCCAGCTTTTACCCACCATGCCCAGCGAGTCCTTTGGTTCCCAAGCTCCCATTCCCCTCATTGCTTCGCTTCCTTCTATTCCATCCCTGGCTAGAAACGAGGGAGCATCTCTCAAACTGTTCTCCTGCCTGGGCCTTCATTTCTGCCAGTGGTATCACCCTGCTGTGTTCTGACCATGGTTAATGTAAAACTGGCCTTTTCTGTCCCTTGAAGCAGGTACTGAATGTTGTTGGAGGAAATCACAGGTCGTTGTCACCACATACTTTTGGTCTCCAATCTCAGTGAAATGCTCAAAGCTATCCTTTGGCGATTCTCCAGGGAACAGCCTCTTGCTTTCTTCCCAGGGATTCTTCCCTCTTCCTTAAGCCCCAACCTCCCTGATGACATTTCCTTTCTCTCGGCAGATGACACTGCCTCATGCTTCATTCACAGTGAAAGGCAGACGCTTTCAGGCACAAATATCACCACTTCTATTCCTCAGGGTTCCTGCTTTTCCCGTGAGGCCACTTGGTGGACACATATACTGAGATCTCAGCTAGACAGAAGGGATTTGTATTTAACTGAGGCAGAGTCAGGGTCATTATATCAGGATGTCGGAAAACATCTTTTTGCAGCTACCTTTGTTCTGTTTCATAGCAACTAGCTTTCCAGCTCACAGATAATGAAAATCAGGACTGGGTAAGAGAGTGGGTTATTTACTCCACGGGTATTTGTTGAGCACACATTATGGAAATAGCCCTTAGGCCCCATGGACCCAATGATATCAACAGTGTCTCATTCACGTTTCATAGATGCTAACTGAATGAGTGAATTAGATAAATGAATGAACAAATGTGGTAAACAATCCCTGAAGTGAAGTAATGAATGAAAAATTAAGTGCAAGTTGAGTATCCCTTATCTAAAATGCTTGTGACTGTGTTTCAGATTTCAGTATTTTCAGATTTTGAGTATTTGCATATACGTAATATCTTGGAGATCGGACTTAAATCTAAACACAAAATTTATTTACATTTCATATACACCTTATATGCATAGCCTGAAGGTAATTTTATATGATATGTTTAATATTTTGTGCATAAAACAAAGCTTGTGCTAAGTACTTATGTGTGGAACTTTCTGCTTGTGGTGTCAAGTCAGTGCCCAAGAACATTCAGATTTTGGAGCGTTTCAGAATTTGGGTCTTCAGATTAGGCATGCACAACCCGTATAAGATGCGTAAGAAATTTTTCTGCTCAGAAGGAGCATATACTCTAATTTAGAAATACCTTAATATGACATTATATAATAAAGTTTTGAAATGTGTGGAATTAAAAATTAGAGACAAGATAATGTATAAGAAGGTGCTAATTATATAGTCCAGGCAGGGTAATTCAGGCAGAAAAGTTCTT
Organism: Homo sapiens; assembly: GCF_000001405.40. Taxonomy (NCBI): domain Eukaryota; kingdom Metazoa; phylum Chordata; class Mammalia; order Primates; family Hominidae; genus Homo; species Homo sapiens. Next base: position 36,737,020 of record NC_000013.11, on the reverse strand, counting down.
TTTCCTTTTTTAATACAGGAGAGATCACATTATTCAGCTTTGCATTTTCTAGGTTCACAATATATCTCAGGAAAGAGAAAGAATAAATACTTCATGTTGCTAGAGAAAGGGGATGTTGGACCATGAAATTTAAGGCAATATAGAAAGAAAAAGGGAATTTCTTCTAGAGAGCACGGCTAAAGGAAGACCATAAAAAAGGCAATGTGAAAATTGTGGGCAGTGAAAATTGTATCTGGGGAATGACAAGATCAGTTTACCTTGTCCATCAAATTTGATAGATAGAACGTGTGTGTGTGTGTGTGTGTGTGTGTGTGTGTGTGTGTTACAGAAATTCCAACTTAGGGACTAGTTTGTTAGAAATTTAGTAATACTATTGGGACCCACCTTAGAGCACAGTTATGATGGTGCACTCATATTGGAAGAAAAACACTTTTGCTTATGATTATATCCTGGGAGCTTGCAAGAATAAGTCATCTATTCTTGTTCAATAGTTAGTAAAGAGTTGATGTCCCTAATAATTACACAGAAAACTTGCAGAGCCTCTTTCGGATGCGAGCTGATGCCCTAAAAGCTTTGGGACATATAAATATTTACAAGAAAATCTCAGGGTGGGCAAATGAAGGCATGCATAAGCAGTTTGTAACACATAAAAACTCGATTTATAAATATTTCATGTTAATATGTGGTCACCACCAGGGGGCGAATTCCTTTCCACTTGCAAAAATAGCTGCCAGAGGAAAGGAAAACTGCTTCCACCAGAGCTGGTGGAGAACAAAAATCCCTTCTCTGCTTTACAGAGTCATAGAAGATAGTGAAGGTCTCCTCTTTTGCCAGGGGTAGGTTTATATAGGTTTCTAACATTAATTGCATTTCCCCCATAAAAATGTCATAAATAATGGTTAGGTTTGCAGGATGATTCCAAAAGCAAAAAATTAAAATATATTTTAATACTTTTAAAAAGCCACATATACACACATATATGAATGTATTTATATGAATATAGATAATTATGTATAACATAAAATTATTTATAATTTTATGGAAAATTTTATTTGCCTAAGTACAAACTTTCAGAACTCAACGCATTTATATGAGAATGCCTATTCTTTCAAGGCATTAAATAAATGCCAAATGAACAGCGGGTATGTAGTCACCCTTAAATATTTTCCTATCTTCTTAAATGTAGAATTACTTATTAAAGAAACAATAAAGAATTGCCAATACATTTCAAGATAACCTATTTTTTCCTTTTATGAAGGAATAAGTGTTTAGCTTTCTTTTTGCAGCTTGATAAAAAGAGACTAGCCTCCTCGCCTTCATCCCCATCCCCAAGCACTTGATCGCCATTGTCTGAGACTAAATTATAAATGTTCCAGCTAAAGTTAATAGTGAGCTGTGCTGTGCTTATCAAACAGCTTCAGGCTCTGCCAATACCCTCTGTACTACAAACACAAAGGGACATTCATTATATGTCAATTTTTTCAGCCTAATTTGCTCCCAAAGCTATCACAGGTAGAAATTACTGTTATTAGTATCATCTTCAAACAGGAAAGACAGACGGTATTAGCAAGGTCCTTTACCTGTTTTGTAGCAGTGCTTTGACATTACTGCTCAGTGTGACCAATGTCTGTGGCCCTCCCTTCCCATGGAGACCCTGCCCTTTGCAGATTTCAAAATCAGTCTGGTACCTCCCTCCACTTAGAGCCAGTTGGGTTATAAGCCACTAATGAGTATTTTGTTCCTTCTTAAGCAAACAGAAGAAACATAGTTCTCATCCATCTGCTATGGACTGAATTTTACCTCCCTAAATTCATATGTCAAAGCTCTAACCCCCAATGCATTTGGAGATGGGGGCTCTGGGTGATCTTTAGGTTTAGATGAGGTCATAAAAGTGGGCCTCCTGATGGATTATGTCCTCATGAGAAGAGGAAGAGGCCTCAGAGCTTGCTCTCTGCCATGTGAGGACACAGCAAGAAGTGTACCATCTGCCACCAGGCAGGTAGCCTTCACCAGAACCTGACCATGATGGCTCCAGGATCTCAGACTTCCAGCCTCCAGAACCGTGAGGACTAAGTGTCTGTTGTTAAGCCACCCAGTCTACGGCATTTGGTTAAGGCAGCTAAGACAATAATATCTGTAATATCTCAGATCAACTTTTTTCCTTCAGTATATGTTTAGTAGGAAGCATTAGACACATGAAACCCTATTCGTGTAAGGAGTACTACTTCACTATGAAGAGTGACTCATCATCCAATCTGGAGCTCTCAATTAGGCATGATAAAATTGGCTGCAGGCAGAACCTCCAATGGGTCAAGGGGCAGCCTGAAATTGTATCAGTGTTGTATAAAAGTGCATTTTTGCAGGGAGGCAACTAGAGCGTCCTCAAATTTTCTGGTTAGAGTCCCTATGAAGTTTAACAGCCACTTATCTAGATTTGTTTCTCCTCTGACTTTTTGTTTTTCTCATTGAGCTGACATCTGATAAAGAGTATCAACTCTAGGATTATAAACATTGGGGTTGAAAGCTTGATTTCTTTGCCACTTAATAGCTGTGTAATAAGGGCAAGTTTCTTTATTTCTTTCTTTATCACGCAGTTTCCTCACATGTTGTATTGGCTGTTCTTGCATTGCTATAAAGAAATACCTGGGCCGGGTGTGGTGGCTCACGCCTGTAATCCCAGCACTTTGGGAGGCCGAGGCAGGTGGATCACGAGGTCAGGAGATAGAGACCATCCTGGCTAACACGGTGAAACCCCGTCTCTATTAAAAATACAAAAAATTAGACGGGCATGGTGGTGGGCACCTGTAGTCCCAGCTACTCGGGAGGCTGAGGCAGGAGAATGGTGTGAACCCAGGAGGCGGAGCTTGCAGTGAGCCGAGATGGCGCCACTGCACTCCAGCCTGGGCGACAGAGCAAGACTCTGTCTCAGAAAAAAAAAAAAAAAAAAAAAGAAATATCCGAGACTGGGTAATTTATAAAGAAAAGAGGTTTAATTGGCTCACAGTTCACAGGCTGTACAGATAGTATAGAACTGCCATCTGCTTCTGATTAGGCCTCAGGGAGCTTGTACTCATGACAGAAGGTGAAGGGGGAGCAGGCACGTCACATGGTGAGAGCAGGAGCAAGAGAAAGGTAGGGGGAGGTGCCACACACCTTTAAGCAACCAGATCTCATGTGAACTCACTTATCACCAAGGGATGGCCTAAGCCACTCATCAGGGATCCACCCCCATGATCCAAACACTTCCCACCAGGCCCCACCTCCAACATGAGGGTCTACATTTCAACATGAGACTTGAGTGGGGACAAACATCCAAACTATATCACCTGTGAAATGGAGTGTTAACTAATTCCAACCTACAGGGCAGGTGGGATTTTCAATGAGCTATAACAGGGGTTCTAAAATTTGAGGGTGCATCAGAATCACCTAGAGGGCTTGTTAAACCCCACACTACTGGCTCCCACCCCCAGAATTTCTGACTCGGTGGAGGATGAAGCCTGAGGATTGGCATGTCCGACCAGTTCCATGGTGATGCTCAGTGAGTCCATGAGCAACGCTGCTGGTCTAAAGACCACACTTTCAGAACCACAACTTTCCTCCTGAAACACTCATGGAAACCTGGCCCTCGTGATTTATTTGTCTGTTTCTTTGCCTGATACCTGGATAAATCCTTCTGTTGCTCTGTGGTGCAACCCTTCATTTCAGTATCCAACATCTGAAGTTCCAGCTCAGACCTTCTGAGCCAGCAAGACTGCTGGGTTCAGTCTGACCTCACTGGTAAAGAACAGAGTGGGTTTTCAATGTCTAATAGAAATACACTGCATGGCACATGTAATTCTAAATTTTCTAGAGGCCACGTTAAAAAAAGACTAGTAAAATGAATTTTAGTTACATATTTTATTTAACCTAATATATCATCAATGATAGGATATTATCATATTAACATATTAACGATATGGACATTATTAATAAAATATTTTTCTTTTTTTGAACAGTCTTAGAAATCTGGTATGTTCTGGTATGTATTTTACCTTTCTAGCGCATCTTCATTCAGACTAGCCCCATTTCAGGTGATTAAGAGTCATATGTGGTTCGTGGCTACCAGGCTGGGTGGCACAGTCTTAGAGTATTTGTAAGTGGGAGAAAACTGCTGTGTATTCTCAGAGTAAAAAACTCCCCAGAGAGTACTGGGTTCTTTATGTTATAGACTCTTCTGTCACCAGAGTACCATAACCTCTCCAAAGGCCAGGTGTCCTTGCGTGAGAAAACTGAAGGCCTGGGCCTGGGATATTTTTATAGGAAGTTGCACATTTCACTAGGCAAAGAAAACATTCTTAGATTTCTCTTTTAATGCCCCTAAAATAGTCACATTTCCAAAATAAGGCTTTTCTGCTTTGAAATTGAACTCATAACATACCCACTGATTCTGATATTTCAGTTGGGTCCAGGAGTGGTGAATTCACTGCTTTTAATTCTTCCTGGGAGAAATTCTGGGAGACCATTTTGAATAGGCAAATTGCCACGTAGGTAAATTAGAGTCACTGTCTTCGAATTCAGCTTCCCCCAGACAGCAATAGCCAGTGCTTACCCCCAGGAAGTTAGAGCCTACCCACCCCAGAGAATTTTCACAGCAGATGTGGTTGAGTACTTCATAATGAAAATGCTCAGTCTAAATTTACGTTTTCTTCTTAGACAACACTGAGACTTATTTTTGCCATTTTTTCTCATTTCTGCGAAAGCAGTTCTTAACCCATAATATTACCTTTGTAAATATCTCAAACTGAAAATCATTTAAATTTTGTTTCTACGGAAAAGTGTTGGCGATTCATAAAAGAATAGTTGTATTTTCTAAGCTTTCCAGTATTACTGAAATCCATTTGGAAAATGTGACTATATTTTATAGACAGAATGTCAGATGTTTTAGATTTGCTGTGGAATTGCTAAAATTATGCCAGTAGTTGAGAATAAGTTGCCTCTAATTTTTTCTACCTGAACCTGTAACCACATCTAGGCATTTTTCAGGCACATAGTTTATCAGGGAAAAGTAATATTATTATCCTATTGAACCATATAAGACTACTGTTTTTGTAGGTCAAAAATTGTTGAATAGTGACAATTTCATGTATGTAATCATAACTAGAGAGGACAGCATTTTTCTTTTCTGTTCATTTTCCATGCCATTTAAAATTGAGTGGTAAGAAAAAAATGTAAAAGCTATGAATTTCAAATTTGCACTATTTCTAGTGGAAAAGAAATAGAGCAAAATGCTTTAGAGCTGTGATTCTCAATCTTGATGGTGCATTAAAATCACCTGTGCGACAAATACACTCTAAGGTGACCCCTAATGAGTCATGCCCAGTGGAATATGGAAAAGGCATTGAGATGTCACTCCCTTAGTTAGGTTACATTTTATGGTGAAGTTGACATGAATCACTTCTATGATTACATTGTGTTGTATAAGACTCCTTCTTAAGGGAACTGTGGGCAGCTTCCAGGAGTAAAGAGTGCTGATGGCCATGAAGGAAATGGAGAACTTAGTCCCTGAGGGAGCTTAAACAAAGATCGTTTCACTACGAAATCTCTGATGAGACCACAGCCCTGGCTGACAATTGAATCACAGCCTTGTGCAGAGGACTCTATTAGGCTGTGCTCAGATTCCTAGCCCACAAAAACTGTTGGATAGTAGATCTGCCATTATTTTAATCCATTAAGTCTGTGGTAATTCATTTTGCAGCAACAGATTACTGATACAGCTGGGGAGCTTTAGCAAATCGGGATATACGAGACCAATGGCATCAGAATCTCTGGGGCTAGGACCCAGGCATCATTGTTTATATAGTTCGTCAGTGATTCTGATTCACAGACAGAGCTAAGTACCACTGCTGGGGAGACAGACTGGTTTGAATTTTGGCTTTGTTCACCATTTCCCAGCTAGATGACCCTACACAAGTGACTGACAGTCATCTTTCGTTGCCTCTGTTTCCTCACTTGTAAATGTAGACAGTGATGTTACTTTCTGAGGCTCTGTGAGGACGAAATGAGATCACATTTCTTAAATATTCAGTAGGGTCTAGGATACAAGAAACCCTCAATAAAATGTAACTCATAGATGCTAAGAACAGCCCCCTTGTTAAATAATGTAATTGAACCCTCTATTAGTCAGCTTGGATTCCACACAAAATACCACAGGCAGGTGGCTTAAAAAAACAATAGGAATTTATTTCCTCACAGTCTTGGAGGCTCGAAGTCCAAGGTCAAGGTGCTGGCAGATGGGTTTCTGGTGAGTCTGGTCTTCCTGGCTTGCAGCTGGTGCTTTTTGCTGTGCTCTCACATGGTCTTTTCTCTGTGCCCACCCCTTGTGTCTCTTCCTCTTCTTGTAAGGACACCAGTCCTATAGGATCAGGGCCTCACTCTCATGACATCATTTAACCTTAATTGTCTCCCTAAAGGCCCTGTCTCCAAATATTGTACACTGGGAGTTAGGGATTTAACATATGAATTTTTGAGGGCCACAAAGAGATCCATACCCAACAAATAACATCAATATTTCAGGAGGACATTTTACAGCAATGGCACTGATGTTCCCATGAGGTACAGAACATCTTCTATAGCAGAAAACTATGATACCAGAAAGTGAATTCACTGAAAATAGGCCAAAGTTTCATAGGAAGTAGTGGAGAAAAGATTTTATTGGAATTTTATTCTGAAAAGTGAAGCTAAAACATGTAAAAATAAGTTGATTTCTATTTTTAAACACAATTGAATTAAAACTAGAACTATATGCTAATTTTTAGAATAATAAAGAAGGAATCTAGTGTTGATTTTTTAAGGTGTAAATATTCTAACAAAGTAGTATGATAGTAAATATAATTTTCTTCACTTCTAGTTTGACTTTGAAAGCACAATTATAATGAAGATCATTTTTGCAAAACTTATTCAGCTGTCTCCCAGGCCTTCCTAAGTTTTTGCATGTAAATGGCTAAGGATGTACCTCTTGTGCCACCACTTCTGGTCCATTTTCCACGGCTAACAGTACAACTCACCTCACCCTCATTTGTCAGAGTCTATGATTCTAGCAAAGTCCTCAACACATTTTCATGGACTTGATGAAATTCTGCATTTTTCCAGATATTTAAAATTTCAATTTGCAATGACTTGGCCTTGTATTTCCAGATATTTACAATATCTGATCATCTGCAAGAGGCTAATCTACAAACGTATAATGCAAGAAAGACTATTTGAATAGGGACTAATATTGTAAGTAGTAGGTTCATTAGTGAATTACTTCATGATTGTTTCCGTACCATGAAAGATGAGCTCTGACTGTTCTTTTTTTGATCTAACCCGAATAACCTAAACTTGAGGAAATTTGCTGCTGGGAGTGAGTGCAGGTGGGTCTAAGCTCTGTGCAAGGGAAAAGGTTTCTCTGAAGTGGTGTGGAGCCATGCTGTGTGAGGCTGGAAAGAAGAACTGCTCTCCAGGGGACATTGGTCTGAGAATCAAGAATGCAGGAGTTGGTGTGCCATATAGGGAACTCAGTTGAGAGTTTAATAGTGGAATGACTTTTCCTTAGGCAATGGGAACGTCAGGTTTGGTGAGTGTTAATAATTCCTTTCTTTCACACATTTTTGTTTATGTTAAATAAAGTTTCTGCATGGTCTACATTTGGGGAAGTGCAGTGTTTTAAAGAATGGACAGCTCTGCAAGACTGCAAAAGACACTCAAGAGAGGAATCAGTAGGTGAAAGCCATCCCCTGCCATCCCCAGGGAAAGTGGGAGGAAGCTGGATATCTCACTATCAATTTTATTTGAAGGGCAAGATAGCTGGCATCTGAGCTGCTGATTGACTGTACTTTTTAAATTAAAGATATTCTGGAATATTCTTCTTTAGAGACATTTTAGAATCCAAAAGACATTTTACCAAAAGCAGTAGAAGTGGTCCTGAAAAATTTTATGCAGATTAAAATCTTGTAAACCAAATCACAGACATCAATTTCATGCATGAGGATTGCAGTGTTATTTTATCTTAATGTTTTTCTGCTCTTTAATTATTTGCCTTTTATTTTCTTTTGCTGAATAAATCTTTTTAGCTAAGCGGCATCCAAACTATTTTAGTTATAAACAAACATTTTAATCTATCCAAAGTGATGTTATTTAAAATAACCCTTTCATAACCTTTTGGTAAAGCCAAGACATCTTTGTAACAGGAATGAAACCCTTTATTTCATCTGTTTTGTAGTTTGGATGCCAAAGTATCAGGTTAGTATACATAATCACTTTGTTCAAAGGCCTTTAATGGACCTAAAGCTAAAAGTTAAGCTCCTTTGTCTAAATTTGACCTATTTATTAGGTTGGTGCAAAAGTAATTGCAGTTTTTGCCATTAGAAGTAATGGCAATATATTAATATTAATATTATAAATAAAAGTAGTGGGATTAATATCAACATAAATATTAATCCCACTACTTCCCTATAGATATCCCCATTCAACTATACCAGTGTTCTGATGTACTCAAGTTTGCTGTGCCCACTATTCTATTCCTTCAGCCAGTGCTATCCTCCCTGTGTTCTCTGGAACACATCTTATTCTTCCTTCTAGGTTCATTTTCATCTCAGCCCTTTCCCTCAAGATGCTAATTGTAACAATTTCCACTCCAGGCTAGTGTTTCCGTCCTTTCATTTCACATGGCAGCTATCGTCTGGCCCTCAGCTATGCCACTTTGAAGTGCTTTTAGGCAATTGGTATTTATATCACTAATTAAGTTACTCACTCCACAGATATTTATGGAGACCCCCACTCTGTACCAGGCACTGTGTCAGGGCTGGAGATAGAGTGGTAAACAAAATCATTTGCCCTTGTGGAATTTGCAGCCTAGTTGAGGAGATTATCATTACGTAACATCAGCTCTCCTCCCTACATGCCTCCCATCTCACAAATATCTGTATGATAACAATTTTTATAGATTCATTGAAGGAGTGCACAGGGCTCTAGAAGAAAGTCTAATGAGGGATTCAGCCTCAGAGAGACAGGACATGTCCCCTCTGCTCCCAGGTTCTGGTAAAGTGGTATTTAAGCCAAGAATCAATGATAGATTGGAGTTTGCCAAATCAGAGGGCTGGGAAAGCTATGGAAAGTGAAAAAGAATGGTGTGGCCAAAGGCCCTAAGGCAGGCAGGAGCCACGCTGATTGCAGTATTAGGAAGAGGGTTGTAAACTCCTTGACAGCATAGACCATGCCTTAGATCTCTTTGTACCTCACTACGTCCTAATGGGAACGTGGTTACCATTAACATAGTAATGTTGGTAAATTACACAGCATTTCTTGACCTGAGAATTAGTATATAATTTTCTATTTCAGCTATTTTTTCAACCCTGGGAATAAGAAGACATGTGACAACTTTTCTAAACTCATCCTTTCATCTCTTGACCAGCCTGTGTTCAGTTTAAAGCATAGCAATAGAATTTCACAAGAAGCCACACCCAAAGTAATTGACTTATTGTGTGAAATCCTAACTGTAGTATATAGATTTTATTTAACAGCTATGAAAGAAAAGGTACAACATTGAAAATGGTTGCCAAGTAAGTTATTTCCATTTTTTATTCACTAAACCGTAACAGCATTGCTTTAGAAGACAATGGGAAAAAATATTTCTGTGATTACTTTCATTACTTTCAACAAAACACTTGACACTCAATTTTATTGCTAAAAAAATGTCCTCTGGAGTGACAGCAGTATCTCTCCTCTGGAGTGACAACAGTATCTCTCCTCAGAGTCCCTGGGAATGTTTCTGTTATTGTGGAGGGAACAGGGGATATGAGGACAAGGTGTGATGCACCAGGAAGACTGGGTGGTCACAGAAAACACACACATGCACACACACACACACACACACACACACACACACACACACACAACCAAAAGCCACAGCCACCAAAATAACCGGCATCATTTTGGAAGATCCATCTGCCCAATGGGGGGTAGAATTCTCCATGATGACCTGTGACCTGTTCCCTGAGACAGGGAAGACCAGGAAGGTCCTGGGTGGGAAGGCAGCAGGACAGTATTTCACCATCTTGCTGTTTCCTAGCCTTGAGTTGGGCACATGTGTTGAGAACTGGGGAAAGTTGGGGAGTCACCATCATAGACACATGAACACCTATATTCCAGCAGTCAGGCATCCCAGATCTCCCGTGCGGAAAGGGGCCAGGGCTCCTGGCTCTCTGGAGTGTACAGGGGGGCCCCCAGAGCCCTAGCTCATCCTGGTTTGTACCAGATTTTCTACTGATAGTGATTATGCTAGTTATTAGAAAAGAGAATCCATGGCCAGACACAGTGCCTCACGCCTGTAATCCCAGCACTTTGGGAGGCCGAGGTGGGTGGATCACAAAGTCAGGAGTTCGAGACCAGCCTGGCCAACATAGTGAAACCCCGTCTCTACTAAAAATACAAAAAAAATTAGCCAGGCATGGTGGCAGGCACCTGTAGTCCCAGGTACTTGGGAGGCTGAGGCAGGAGAATCACTTGAACCCAGGAGGGCGGAGGCTGCAGTGAGCTGAGATCATGCCACTGCACACCAGCCTGGGTAACAGAGTGAGAAACCATCTCAAAAAAAAAAAAAAAAAAAAAAAAAGAAAAGAAAAGAGAAGAGAAGAGAATCCATGTTTATCTGTGAATATTTCCCAAGGCCATCTGTAGGAATAGGTAGCATTCAAGACAGAAAACCATGAGGTACCAAAGTATTACTTACTGCAGGCTTACTGTCATAAGAGTTTGTTTGTGTTTGGAAGAGATCACTTGGAGGCTTCTACATTGAGTTAGTGCAGAAAAATAAATCATGCCCAGCTTTACAATCAGAATTCTCACTTAGTCACTCATATTGCACTGGACTTCCTGACATCTTTCTTAAACCTTTTGATAACTGCTCTGGGCAGTTCAGTAAGAATCTTTCACTATCTCAAAGCAAGTCATCATTTTCTCATGCCAACGTCAGTGCAGTTCAATGCACGAAGTCTTTTTGATTTCTTTGTGCCTTCTCAGAAAGAATTTCTAATTCAAGTGGAAAACTTTAAGTGGGTCTCATAGATGATTTTACTCATGGAGAGGGATGCCTCTAATGGATCCAAGCAATATCTTTCTCTCAAGGCCTGGGAGTTCTCAGAAGCTCAAGAAGGCATCAGGAGTCACAACCCTGGGAGGGCGATAGTGAGTGGGCTGTGAAGCCCTCTTTCCCTTTGGTCCTTTTTTGATTCTTCCCCTGCCCTTAACCAATATATCCAGTGCATTAGCAAGTCCTGTTGATTCTATCTGTAAAAACTTGTCTCACCTCTATCCACTCTTCCGCCTAATTTGGGCCACCATCATCTCTTGCCTGGACTGTATATCAGCTTTTGTCTCTTTATGGCCACTCTTGTCCACCTACAGCCCATTTTCCAGGGTAGCAAGCGCTTCCTAAATGCATGCTGGAGTGTAATCCCTGACTTCATACCTGGGAGGATTTTTCATTTCATTTTGAATAAACTCCAAGGCCATGATTTACTATCGACATGCTCTGTTCCCTACCTCTCTCTTTAAGCTTATTTTGTGTCCCTCTCCCCATTGTCAGCAAGCTCTAGCCTCGTTGTTCTTCTTTCCCTTCCTTGAATGTGCTACACTCTTCCAGCACTTCGGCACAGGCTGTTCCCTCTGCCTGGAACACTGTTTCCCACCTCTTTGCATGGCTGACAGCTTTCATTTTTGAATCTTAGCTTAAATGTTTGCACCTTACAGAAGGCTTTCCTGACACTGTCTTTAATACAACTCCAACCTGCTTTACAGATTTTGTTTGTCTGTTCACATTTATTTTTGGTTTGCCTCCCCATTAGAATGTAAGTTCCATGAGGGCAGCAACATATCTATGTTGTTTTTCTTTATCTTTTTTTTTTTTTTTTTGAGACAGGGCCTCACTGTGTTGCTCAGGCTGGAGTGCAGTGGTGTGATCTCGGCTCACTGCAACCTCTGCCTCCCGGGCTCAAGCGATCCTCCCACCTCAGCTTCCTGAGTAGCTGGGACTACAGGCACAGGTCACCATGCCTGGATAATTTTTGTATTTTTTGTAGAGATGGAGTTTCACCATGTTGCCCAGGCTGGTTTCAAACTCCTGGGCTCAAGTGATCTGCCCACCTTGGCCTTCCACAGTGCTGGGATTATAGGTGTGAGCCACGGTGCCCAGCCTGTTATTTACTTTATATTTCTAGCACCTAGCACAGGGCCTCATATAATAGGCCTCTCATTAATGTTTGTTAAATGACTCTGAAAAATTAAACAAATGATGCAGAATTCTTCACTGCTACAGGTTTTCCATATGTAAGCAGGACATCAGATACTTACCTCTGAGAAACCGTGCAAGGACTTCCCTACCTAAAGGTATCTATCCCTTCACATCTATTAGGGTTCTGCTATCCCTTTTACATCACTGGGAATACTTCTCCATCAGAATTACTTCTTTTCTAAGGCATTGCTTCTGGAAGGTCACTGTTAGAAAGCAAAATAATCTCCAAAGAGTCATGATCTTATGGGAGTTCCATTAGCTTCTTCTATTTATTTATTAGTGCAGGTGAAGATAATTTGGTGAGTTAGCTAGCTCCTCCCCTTGGAAAACCCAGGGCATGTAGGCCAAGAATGTACCTGCAGGACAGGGAAGATCCATGAGAGGGGGCAGAAGAACAGGACTTCAGGGCCAGGGTGGCATGAGACTTCGGCCCAGAGAGAGTTTGGTAGGGATTAAGATACCAAAAAGGGAGCCCAAACTTCTCCAGATGCACATTTTGCCTTTGGAACAGTCCTATTCATGAATCCACTCATCTGTGATCAGAATGTGACTAGGAAGTTCGCCTTGATAATTTGAATTGGCTTTAGCTTCAATCTGCTTCTGCAGAGAGGATTCCCAAGGTCAGGGAACCCTGAGGCAATTTCTTCTGGGAAGACGAAGAACCAACACATTCTAAGCCTTACCCTTAGCCTAACTATCCTCCACAGTCCTCTCTCAATGACTGGCAATGTCAAAGAAGATGGTGCAAAGGGAATTTTCACCTCAGTTTGTAGGTTTTGTGCTTTGGATTGGAAAATGAGGTTTCAAAAGCAAGAGTCCTCATCAATTACTTTTTGGCTTCTTTTAAATATTCATTGACCTCAGCCACTTTTATCAGTGCTAACCTATTCTATTTCTAGATAAACCTGCCCTCTTCTATTGCTTTTCATCTCAGGAATCCAAGAAGAAATAATCTCATAAGAACCAAACTAAAGGAGTTAGAAGTGGAAAGGTAGGGGGACTCAGGAAGGGAAAACTCTAACAAGGATTTGGCATGATGAACTTGCACACTTGTAACTAACTGAAGTTATTTAAAGCCTGATTAGAATATGTTTACTCAAAGATATTAATTTTGTGGAGGGCCAGGGTGAGCCTGGATGAAGAGTTAGATATCAAGGACTTCAGTCTTTGGCACTCTACTTGAGGACACTCCACTGTATACCTCAAGCATGAGGTCTCCCACCAGCAAAGCTGTTCTTAAGTTCTCTCTGTAATGGGCCCCAGCCCCAACATTTCAGGTGCACAGAGGATTCGACAGCTTTGACTTCATGTATATTAAATCTGCTGTAGTGCCTTTAATGAGTCACACTCTTGCTTACCATAGACCAGATGATACTTGGAGGATACCTGCAAGATAACTCTTGATGCATAAGGTCTGGTACAGAGCCTAAGGGGATTTCCACTCTCTCATTTATGCCATCGGGCCCTGCTGAAAACTGGAGATTTGGCTCCTGGGCTTATCCCAGGGATGCCATTTCTTGTTTTTCCACTCTGTGAAAATCTATCCATTTGGTACTTGATTTTGCCTTGCTAGGCCTGGAACAGCTGAAACTCTCCCCGGACCATGAGATCCCATGGGAGTGGAGCAAGGGCCAAGGAACTGGAGCTGTGGTAGCCCAGCTGGAGCATGAATGTCCAGGTTTACAGAGATCTGCCCGAACCTCAGCTGTGGCGTGGAGGTCTGTGGCAGAAAAGTGTGTGGCCCATCTCTAGCACACCCACAAAAGTTCACAAAGTTCTGCCAAGGAAACCTAAAGAAACCTTGACCTTGCTCTGACTAGAATGTTACTCTAAGTATGTAGATGGTGATAAATGGAGTGCGGTGCCTTTAAGAAATGTGTATAGCTGGCAACCCGGAACAAGGCGTATTCATGACTTAATATCCTGAACTTCCCAGTCTCACCTGCTCCACTCTGTGCTTTGTTTGCTTGATGCTTCAAGTCACCATCCTCACTGCCCATCAGTGGCCTCATCTTGCCCTTTCACCCTAATGCCCCATCCTGTCTCTTCTGCATTTGAGCTGTTTCCTTCCTGAATATAATTTTGTCTTTTTTCTTGCCTCTGCATTCAAGATAGCTCTTGGGATAACACTCAATCTAATTCTACCTCATTTGCCGCATATTATCAATTCCCTTTTAGTAAATTATCTTTAAGCTAATTGTATATTTCATTACTTTATTTTCCATTTTACTTTTTAAGCAGGAAGAAGTGGTAACGGTTGCAGGGGTAGCTAAAAGTATAATTGATGTCATAAACTTTAGAATTAATGGAAAGAGATACTCTTCATTCTAATATAAGCTTATGAGGAAAGATTGAGAGGCTTAAAAAATTCCCTAAACCTACTCATGTAATTTTTTTTTTTTTTTGGATGGAGTCTCACTCATTCTTGCCCAGGCTGGAGTGCAGTGGCACGATCTCGGCTCACTGCAACCTCTGCCTCCCAGGTTCAATCAATTCTCGTGCCTCAGGCTCCTGTGTAGCTGGGATTACAGGTGCGAGCCACCATGCCCAGCTAATTTTTGTATTTTTAGTAGAGATGCAGTTTCGCCATGTTGGCCAGGGTGGTCTTGAACTCCTGACCTCAGGTGATTCACCCACTTTGGCCTCCCAAAGTGCTGGGATTACAGGCATGAGCCACCGCCCCCAGCCTACTCTACTGTAACTTAGAAAAAGCCCATGCTCAAATTATCATCTTTCCCTTCAGGATAGTGGTGAGCTCTGTCCCAGTGACAACTCAGGAGAATTGCTGGGGCATTGATATTACTGTGTAGAATGAGTCAGGCACTAAATGAGGAACACTGATGTGTGGTGTTGAACCTAGGAAGCAACCTGGCTTTCTGTGATTTGTATAAACTGTGCATAATACAGAAGAAGGAAAATCTGGGTAGAAAGATCTGCCTAAAAACGGGCTTCTCAATATAGAAACGTAAGGTTGAACCTAAGAAAATCCTTATAAAGTACTGATCCCTGCCATGAAACCCACAGAGGAAGATTCAACTAAGAATCCATAATTATCATTAGAATGTGAAATATACTAGATGGGCTTTATGAAGGCTGAAAAATTAAATAATTTCCAAAAAGTAGGACTTTCATATGTTAAGGTTAATGTGCAAGTCTTCATAGCAAAAAAGTATTTTTCATGTCCCCACTGAATGGCAAATATGGGGCTAAGCTCTGGGTACACAAAGGTGCATAAGACATAGTCTCTGCCTTCAATGAACTCACATTTCTGGGAAAAAGACAGACGCATAAGCAAATGATGACAATATATAAGGTGAAGGGTGCTTTGGGAGGTGTAAGAAGGAATGACAAATTCTAGTTGGGAATTAAAGGGGACTCTAAGGAGGACATGACAGTGAAGCTAAATTTTGGAGGATACATAAAAGTTAATCATGTGTACAAAATTGATGAGAACTATTCCAAGCAAAGAGAACAGAGGCACAGAAGCACGAAAGAGAAATGCTTGAAGAAATGCAATAATTTGGAATGGCAAGAGTGCAGAGCCTGGTAGAAGTGGAGTAGAAGGTGAGGATGGAAAGGGTCCAAGTCATGAAGGACTTTTTTGTTCTCACAAAGGAATCTAAACGTTATCCCTCAGATCATGGGATTCACCAGTCAGGGGAGTGATACTCCTGGACACATTTTGGAAACATCACTAAGAGGAGAAATGATTGAAGGAGAGCAAGACTAAAGGCATGGAAACTAGAAGAATATTGTAATAGTAAAGGTTAGAGATGATAGGGACCTGAACTAAGTAGTAGAAAAGAAAATATTAGGAAAGTTTTAAAGAAATGAACCAACAACTTGAAGATTGATTAGACATGGGATGTGAGAAAGAAGGAAGAGTCTAGAATGGCATTTTCACCCACTTTATTCCTTGATGTAATTCTGCACCCCCATTTCTTTCAATCCTTTATTAATTTGTACAGTTAACATGTATTGAGGGTCTATTATGTGCCAGGTGTCATACTAAATGCTGAGGAGACAAATGCCACAGCAAACAGTTAACGGGCACGTGCTTTATGTCATGCACTGTTCTAGACTCTGGGAAAATAACAGTGGATAAAACAGACAAAACCATTGAAACAAGCAAAAAAGGGAGGGTCTGTGTTGTTTGCTGCTGTAACACAATACTGCAGACTGGGTAATTTAAAAACAATACAAGTTTTTTTGGCTTGTGGTTCTGGAGGCTAAGCAGCCCAAGAGCACGGTGCTGACATCTGGTGAGGGTTCTTCGATGGCAAAAGGCATCACATGGTGAGAAAATGTATTCCAGGAACAGAGAAAAAATGAGGACTGAACTCAGCCTTTTATTAGGAGCCTGCTCCTGAGATAACTAACCCACTCTCCTAATAACAGCATTAGTAATCCATTGGTGAGGGTGAAGCCGTGATGGCCTAATCATTTCTTTTTTTTTTGAGAGGGAAGCTCACTCTGTCACCCAGGCTGGAGTGCAATGGCGCTGTCTTGGCTCACTGCAACCTCCTTCTCCTGGGTTCAAGCGATTCTCCTGCCTCAGTCTCCCGAGTAGCTGGGACTACAGGCGTGTGCCACCACACCCGGCTAATTTTTGTATTTTTAGTAGAGACAGGGTTTCACTATGTTGGCCAGGCTGGTCTCGAATTCCTGACCTGGTGATCCGCCCACCTCGGCCTCCCAAAGTGCTGGATTACAGGCGTGAGCCACCGCACTCAGCCTCTAATCATTTCTTAAAAGCCTAATCATCTCTTAATACTGTTACAAGAGCATTTGAGTTTCCACCACATGAAATTTGGAGGACACATTCAAACTATAGCAAGGAGGAACAAAAGTTTCCATTAGCCAACTTGGTGGGCAGCAGGGAAGACAGCCTCTAAAGCAGCTACTTCGAAATGACTAAACCATGGGAGTATTTTGTAGGGTTAGGAGAAGAAGTCAGTCTGAGAACAGGTAGCAGAAATTCTGACAACAGAAACCAGAGCAAACTTTTGAGCATTCTACTAGACAAATTCTGGAAAAACAGGATCATGGTGATATTGGTGGGCGTGAACAATAACAAAAGGATTCCTGCAGTTTCTCTGAGAAAGGTACATGTGGTTATTTTTTAGTAACTCAATCTTAACTTAGGGCTGAGTAGAATAGAAAAATCAGTATCAGACCAGGGAAATTCAAGACAGTTAAAAAAAAAAATACAGGCTTTCAAATTCTTGCCCTCATGCAGTTTACATGAAATGAAGGAGACGGAAGAAAAACAAAATAAGTAAATTATATAGTTTATTAGAAAGTGATGAATGCTATGGAGAGAACTATAAAGTAGAGAATAAGAATAGGAAACATGGTGTGTGTGTGTGTGTGTCCACACATGTGTGTGTTATTTTAAGTGAGATGGTCAGGGAAACACTCACTTAGACATTGACCGATACAAATAAGAAATGCCTACTCTCAAGAAACTCAGTGTTCTGGAGGAGTCAGACAGTGTGCACCACATGAGAAGTTCCAAGACAGGGGAATGCATAGGATTGTATGGGAGAGCACGCACTGGGTACCTCACCCCAGTAGGGAGTGGAGAGTGGTTCAGGAAACCATCTCAGATTGAGGTGGCACTTTAGCAATAACCTGAAGTTGAGGCAGAGGTAAGCAAATTGAGTAAGACAAAATATATGAAGGATTTTGTAACAGCAAGGAGCATCATATACCAAGGCACAAAGGTCTCATGGTTAGGACCATTCAGGGAGCTTCCAGTAGTTTAACATAACGGAGAGCAGGGTGTGTGTGGAGGAGTGACGAAAAGGAAGGGCTGAATCATGCATGGACCTTGAACATTACAACAAGGATTCTGGATTTCAGAATGAAGCAATGTGTATGTGCATTTGCCTATGTGTGTGTGTGTGTGTGTGTGTGTGTGTGCAAGCGTGTGTGTGACCACTGAAAGGATTTTAAGCACTGAAAGGATTTTAAGCAAACAAATACTGGATTTGTTTTTAGAAAGTTCAGGCTGGAGGTCATATCGAAGATGGATAAGAGGAGACTATGGTGGAAAAGAATACTATAAGGAACCTAGAGAGACCAATTTGAGGTTATTAGTAAATTCAGGCAAGAAACGAGGAATACCTGAAAAAGTTGGGGGCAGTGGTAATAGAGAGGTAATAGAAGCACATTCAGGAGCTATTTAGGTGGTTCCTGTTGATGGCTCAAACTCTCTGGCCAGCAACCCATTTCCTCATCCATTCCATTCTCTCCGTTCCCTGTGGTTAGAATCCCAGACAAACTCTTCCACTTCAAAAGCTCAGCCTACATGAATCAATCTGCCTATCTTTGGTGATATTACTCAAGCAGCTGCTCAGGAACCACCAGCCTCCTGTGGCCTTTTATACAAATCATCCCACTGAGCCTCTGCTGTGTGCTAGGCATTGTGCAGAATATACAAACATGAGTAAGACGTAGCACTCACCATGAGCAATTTGAGTGAGAAAGGAAGACAGTTCCATTGATAAAGTCTGTAAAGCACATTATGACAAGGGCACTGAGTCATGGAAAGTGGATGCTCAATAAAGTGTTTGATTCCTTGAACTCACAAAGAATTAAACACAAACTGCTGGAATATAAAGAAGGGATGTTAAACTCTGCCAGGGGAGCTGGGGAAGGCTTCACTGAGCGAAGTTTGAACTGGGTCTTAAAGGATGAATATGTGGTTTGCCAGGAAGTGCACAGACAGCATTCAATTAAGATGAACTAGTAATGGCAATAGAGACATGCATAGTCAGCTGTGAAATTATTTTTCTTTCTTGAAATCTAGCTTAGGTCCACAGCTATATTCTGTTACCTAAATTCTGGCTGATTAGGCAGGAAGGAAATGATTTCATTCTGAAGGCAGAGACATAAATAATCACAGAAAACCAAAAATATAAATGCTATTTATTTCTAGTTCTTCTGTTAATGTATAATTAACATTTAGAGTAAAAAATCTCAGGGGAAGCTAATTCTAATATTTGAAATGATTGACAAAAGGGATTTTTGAGGGTCTAGGAAAGGTCTGGATCTTCTGTAAGCATCTGAGGAACAGGGTTTTAAGAGTTAAACCAAGAATTCCCAGTTCCATTTCTGTGTACATCAGCCACCATGTCGCTCCTCAATGAGTCAAAAGTATTGAAACAGACACTAAATGTAAGTAGCCCTGAAATGGTGCCATTTGAAATCATAAAAAGGTTTTCAAGCAATGTGAATATGTGATCTTGGTCCCGGCTAGCAGATGACATAAAGGAGCTGAGGATGACCAAAGGAAGCTTAGTTTCCATAGCCATAAGCTCCCCCATCAATTACTCTCTTTAGCTTCTTATCACATTTCAAATAGGACACAGATTTGAAACCAACTGCACATATCTGAGAAAGCAGCGAAAACCCGCCAGAGGCTAACATTAAAATTTGGTTAACACTGAATGAATTTATAGAAGCTTCTCTCTGACTCAACCAGTAAAGATCTGCATTTGCTAAAGAGGTAATGTGAGAATTGGGTTTGTAGTAAGAATGTTAATACCTGGCTCCCCAGCTGCAGACATTCAACTAGAGATAGATCCCTGTGGCCTCAGGGCAAGAAGACAGGTAGGGGCTCTACAATCAAGGGCCCAGTAAGTATGTATGCCTACTATTGGCTTTGCCTTTCCCTAGTTATAGAGGGAATGTAGAAATAAGTCTAAGATATATTTCCAAGGGAGCCCCCACAAACAAAATACAATTAAGTGTATCCTTGTTTGGACTGTCTGCCTCAGGCAGAAAGATTCCTCTCTTTCTGCCAGTGTCACCAGCAGGGAACTCCTCAGAGAGTGGGGCTTAACCTGGCCCTGGAGAGACAGGCAAGGAGTTGGGAAAGGGGTGTTGTGGGGAGGCACTCCCACTGGTGGAGGAATGGAGACAGGCCAGGGTAGGCAGTGGGGCAGAGATGAGAATGGCCCTGTGCAGAAAGGAGGTGGTTCTATCCAGGAGGAGGGTGACTTGGAGGGCAGGAGTGTGAACAAGTAGGAATGGAGCCAAATTCTGAAGGTCTTCAAAGCTGCCTGAAGGGAGACTTGACCTGGAAGGCAACAGGAGCCATTGCATGTTCTTGAACATGGCTTCAAAATGGAAAATCACTTATGTGCTCAGAAGTTGTATCTGCCAGCGTGGCTCAGCATGGATCACATATGGGAGACAGCAATGTGGAGATTGTAGCAGTTTTCCAAGTTGTTTCAGTCATTCAATCCCAGTTGTCCATGTGGCAACAATGGGAATGGGGAGGAAAGGAAATTACTTTATCATGTTTTATTATCCAAACTTCATTCCTTGAGGAAAACATTGGGGTTGGGAGGAGTTTGGAGAAAATTGGTGTCCCCTTAGGAATCTAGGACAAGAGCTACACAAGTTTACCCATTGAACAATGGGAGAAGCTGCCATGATTCTCCAGTGTTCCATAACCCATAGGGGCAGTCAGATCATTTGAAAATGGCTGGCTTTGTATTTCTGTCAGTGGAGGGCTAGACAGGCAGCCACATGATCTTTCAACTGGAGTATGGAAGCCTGCATGTGGAAATGCAGACTTTCCAAGTCAGGGAAGAAAATGCAAATGCAGAGGGAACTGAGACAGTCAGCATTTCTGTGACAGAGGTCACTGACTCTGGCACAGGCTCTGCTCTTATCTGGGAGCCAGGGTCACAGTGCTGCCTCGGATGGCATTTGGAGAACACAAATGGAAAAGATAAACCCTCCTGAGCCATTTCTCAATTCTCCACACATTTACATTTCTTTTGACATAGCCTATGAGATTCTAGGCTTGTCTGATTATCTTTTTAAAAGAGTTTCTTAACATTTTACCTCTTTTTCTCCTATGGTCTCTTTGCTCATCCGTTGGATTAGTACCAAGTTAGAAAGGCAAATTTCTAGACTTCATTCTTATTTGTATGCATCTTATATTTTATTTATCCATAAATATTCATGGATAAATCCTATATTATAGTAGCATGAGAATCTCCATCAGATTTGAAAATAACCTAATTTCCACAATGCTCAATAACCAGTTTCCTTTGTCAAATGTAATATTAAACTATCAACAGCAAAGGGCTTATGCCATTCATAATTAAAAATCAAGAGAAGGCCATTTTAGCATGTCTACTAAAAATCATTGAATCATTGTTGGTGACCAAAGTCCAACTTAGTTTACTGGACTTAAGTTTTTCAATAAAACCTTCTAACCATGAAATTAAGGAACATGGATGAGTTATAATGCTCTGAGCAGAATTCATTGATTTGGTTCACAAACATGAGTGTCTCCTCTATTCTGAGCAGAATGCTTGGTGTTGGTGACTCTAGTTTCAAAGGAAGAGGTGAACCTCCTCTTGTCCAGCGCTGAGGTCACCATCCTTGCTCTGGATTTTATTTCCTCCCCTCTTCTCTAGGACCTCACATCTTTAAGCATTAGTTGATTAAGTCATTAATTCAGTCATTCAACAAGCATTTCTGAGACTATGGATAGCCCTATTCTAGATCTAGAAGACAAGGCTGGCCTGATGTGCTAGGTGGAGCTTGCCGTCTAGAGGGAGAAGATGGCCCCCTTCCTGTTCATCTCTTGCCTCTGCATGCCATGGGCTACCTCCTAGGTCATAACACAACCCAGGCCTTCCCATATTAACAGCAAAATTCAATAATTCAATGCAAGCCTCCTCTGACACCTGCTCCTCTTTTGTAGCTTTTACTCCATGATGCTATGTTCTCCTGCTTCTTATTAGTCTTTTTGGTGGATTCCTCTTCTTTATGTTTTTTTTTTTTTTTGAGACAGGGTCTCATTCTGTCACACAGGCTGGAGTGCAGAGGCATGATCTTGGCTCCCTACAGCCTCAACTTCCTAGGCTCAAGCTATCCTTCCATCTCCTCCTCTCAAGGTAGCTGGGACTACATGCACACACCTCCCTGCGTGTCTAATTTTTGTATTTTTCTGTAAGGACGTCTTGCAATGTTGCCCCCAGGCTGGTATCCAATTCCTGGCCTGAAGTGATCCCCCTGCCTTGGCCTTCCAAAATGCAGGGATTACAGGTGTGAGCCATCATGTCCAGCCTATGTACCGCTTAAGTACTGTTTTCTTAAAAGCCACAGAGTTCAATCCTCAGCCTTTTTTCTTTTGGATTTGTACATAATCCCAAAGGATCTCATTCGTGCCTTCAGCTTTGGCTCTCTTCTGACCTCCAGACCCATTTATCCAGCTGTCTAAAGCACATCTTCTCAGGAATAACTTAGATGTCAAAACCAGAATCTTTAAACTCATGCTGTCCAACAAAGCAAAGCCCCTTCTCACTTTCCTATTTGTTCTCACTGTACTTATCACATGGGCAACCTCCTTCTCTGGCTAGTGCAGCTCTTATCGCATTGCTCTGCAGCAAGTTACAAGCTGTGTGATCTTGGGGAATGTATCCCTCTGAACCTCTGTTTCTTTCTCTGGAAGAGAGAGATAATAATCCAAACCACATGGGATTTTCGTGGAGATTCAGTGAAATGTATATATCATCTCATATAGTGCCTGACACACAGCAGACATCCTGCACATGTTTGTTTCTTCTTCTTTTTCTTTTCTACTTCTCCTTCTGCCCCCAACCAGACTGTGAGTAACCTGAGGACAGAGTCTGTGCTTTCCTAATACTCAATGCTGAGTAATTGTTAGTGAATCACAGAACCTATAGAACTACAGGACCTATAATAGCAGACATTCCAGATATGTATTTAAAATTCTTTGAAGCTGCTAATCTTTCAGTTTCTGTATTCAGTCTCTAACGAGGTGCAAAGAAGTAAAAATTTAGGATAAACTCTATACTGTGATTACAATAAATATTCATTAAGCTATTTACAAAAAGTCCGTCTTCATACACATTAGGAACAGATCATGTATACACCCTGTATTAGCACATTCAGGGCACAATCTGAAACCTGCACTTCTAAAATTCACCAAAGTTCTCAGTCTGCATATTGTGTGAGCTAAAGGATTTCATGTTCTTGGTCTTTTACTTTTGCTTAATTTTAAAAATGTATAATGGATACAATAATTGTACATATTTACAGGATACAATGTGATATTTTGACGTGTGTATGCATAATATAATGATCAAATTGGGGTAATTACCATATCCGCCACTTTAAACATTTC
This sequence comes from Homo sapiens, assembly GCF_000001405.40. Classification (NCBI taxonomy): domain Eukaryota; kingdom Metazoa; phylum Chordata; class Mammalia; order Primates; family Hominidae; genus Homo; species Homo sapiens. The sequence continues at coordinate 36,713,534 of NC_000013.11, read as the reverse complement.
TCATTTCTTCTAGCTATCTTAAAATATTCACTGCATTGTTATTTGCTATAGTGGTTAACAGAGGCTGGGGAGGGTGGAGGGAGGGAACCAGAAGAGTTTGGTCAATGGGTACAAAGTTACAGTTAAACAGGAAGAATAAGTTTTGGTGTCCTCATGTCTCTAATTTTAACAGAGTTTTATATTTTTATCAAATTTGCATTACACTGGATGCCAAGGTATAAGTTATTTTTGATAAAATACATCTTTATTCTGTGGGGGGAAACTGGAGCACCGAGGACTAATAACATGCTTCCTTCACTAGAAATTACTTGTAGTTTAGCATTCACTATGACAACGTGGCTGAGCATGGTTGAATTGTGATCTTGCCTTGAGAAAAAAGATTCTAGCTACTTGCAGTTTATAAGCAGGTACCTTCTGACTATGCAGAGATCTGTTCAATGTTTCTCTAATTTAATTGCCACGTAGTATGCGGTGGTTCATTGTGTTCAGTCTGCTTTGAGCAAAAAGGTCTAACTCATTTACAGGCTGCTGAGTCATAGGGGCTCCTTCAACAAGGAGAAAGTGGTTCCAGAAGAGAATTAGTAACAGCTGGGGGCTGCACAGTCCACAGTAAGGGCATGGGGTGGAGAGCACAGTACTCCCACTCCTGCCTCACAAGAAGCTGAAAGGAACGGGTCCAAAGCCTGGGGCAGCCAGAGATCGGGACCTGCAAACACTGAAAGAGGCTGTGCTGAGCTTTACGCAGTACATGACTTGGAAAAAACATTTAAACTAAGATTTTTTTTTTCTGTTTTCATTTGTTTTATGGGACATTGTGTAGCTTATAGACAAACATTTAAAAGTGAAAATTCTTTTGTTAATTTAAATGGATTCCTTATGGAAACACTGATGCACATGAGGAAATTTTACTTCTATTTTTCTTAGGTTATCACTCATTCATGTGTGGACTTTTTATTGAGGGGGTTTCATGTGCTTCACACTGGGCTGCGAGATAGCCTGCAGCCTTGCTTGCAGGAGCTCAGAGTACCATGCGGGAGGGGAGACAGATGAATCACTCCAGGGGTGAGTGCTGCATTTTCCATTAACAGCAGGTGATAGGAAACCTGTAGGAGATACCCTGCCTGGAAATATCACAGATGATTCCCTGGAGAAATTGATGTCTCAGTGAAAAGCACGGATGTGTATGATCTAGCCAGGCATTAGGGATGAGGGAGGAATTGGTGTCCCAGACAAAGACAGCAGTGTATATAAAGATGGGTGTGGGTGTGTTGAAGGAAGTTAGGAGAGTGGTAAGATATGAAGTATTGAGGGGTGGTGCCCCAAGGCCTTGGACCCACTGGAGAAATTTTATCTTTATTCTTAGCTCAATGGAAAGCCACTGAATGATGGCACATGATGGGTCAGATTTTCTTTTTAGAGAAATGTCTTTGGCTGTAGATTGGAGATTGGATTGCAGGAAGATGAGCTTAGAAGCTAGAAAACCAGTTAAGGATCCTAGCTGTGTGGCCTGAAACAGGGCAGTGATATTAGGGAGAGGTGTGTGAATTCACGAACTCTAGGGAGGCCTGAAGGTGAGGATGTTGTGGTTGTTTGAATGGAGGTGAGGCAGTCGGTGGAGGCACGTGTGAGCAGAGTCAGCAAGAGAAGGAGAAGGTTGCGGGCATCATGGCAGGAAGATGAGGAACTTAGTTTCGGATGTGCTGAGTTTGGGGCAGAAGGTAGTTAGATTGTAAGTCGGCAGAGAGTCAACAGCATGTGGATGGAAATGAGGCCATGGGAGTGGACATGATTATGTGAAGTGAAAAAAAAGATAGCCAAGGACAAGTATCTGGGGAACATGGACATTTAAAAGAAGAATTGTAGGCCAGGAGCAGAGGCTTAGGCCTATAATCCCAGCACTTTGGGAGCCCAAGGTGGGTGGATCACCTGAGGTCAGGAGTTCAAGATCAGCCTGGCCAACATGGTGAAACCCCGTCTTTACAAAAATACAAAAAAAAAAAGTTAGCTGGGCATGGTGGCGGGCACCTGTAATCCAAGCTACTCAGGAGGCTGAGACAGGAGAATCGCTTGAACCTGGGAGTTGGAGATTGCAGTGAGCCAATTTCATGCCTCTGCACACCAGCCTGGGCAACAGAGAAAGACTCCATCTCAAAAAAAATAATAACAAAAATAAAAGAAGAGTTGAGAAAAAAGATGCAGAGAAAGGTATTGGAAAGGAATGGCCAGAGGAATACCAGAGAAGTATGGGGTCTTTGAAAGCTAGGGGAAGAACACGTTTTGATGAGGGAATATTCAACAGTGTGTTAAGTGCTGCAGGGAGTTCAGACAAGGAAAGGACAGAAGCGACGTCCTTCAAAGAACACAGCAATTTCAGTCGCAGTTGTGTGTGTGTGAGTATGTGTTTGTGTGTGCCAGTGTGTGTGTGTGCATAGCAGAAACCAGACTGCAGTAAGTAAAGGAGCAAACACAGACTGAGGAAGTGTAGGCAACTTATTCAGAAAATCGACATGACAAGAAAGGAGAGAGTGATGGCTGAGGTCCCCGCTGCTTTGGACATTGGCATTGGCTCACTCAAGTGCCTTCCTAAAGACCCGCCTTTATAAACCAGACTATTTCCCCCTGTAACTGCTCTGGCTGTTTTTGGTGACTTTGGTCTCTCCCCAATTCCTGAACCCTGTTCCTAAGGTCTTGACAGTCTCCCTACTTGCTCTCTCTCCCCCAGCTCAAGTTAGAACCATGGAGGTTTATGTAGAGAAAAAAGTGTATTATAAGGAAATAAACACCTGTAAAAATGCTATCCTTTGCCGGGTGCAGTGGCTCATGCCTGTAATCAAAGCACTTTGGGAGGCCAAGGTGGGAGGATTGCTTGAGCCCAGGAGTTCAAAACCAGCCTGGCAACATAATGAGATCCCATCTCTACAAAAAATGCAAAATTAGCTGTGTGTGGTAACACATGCCTGTGATCTCAGCTACTTGGGAGGCTGAGGCAGGAGGATTGCTTGAGCCCAGAAGGTTGCGGCTTAGCGAGCTGTGATCACATCACTGCACTTCAGCCTGAGCGACAGAGTAAGACTCAGTTTCAAAACAAAATAAAAATGCTATTCTTCATACACAATGACCACATTACCCATCTAAATTATTGCATCAAATTTGAGATACTAAATGTGGCATTCATATAGGAAAAAAGAACAGTGTCAAGATTACAGTAAAATAATCCCACATATTGTAGTTATATTTTGGAACAGAGGTAGTAAGAAAAAGCTATTCCATCACCAATGCAAAACTGATCATTCTAAATGATTTTGAAAAATTTATATCTGATAGTTAGCTCTGTCACAAATCATTTCAACATGCATATTGATTTCACAAATGAATTTCCTCCTTCAGCACTTTCTCATGACAATGTAATTGAAAATCAAATCCTATGGAGAGACTTTTATAGATTGGAGTATGAATGTCTCTAAGACCTTAGCTTTGCTGGGATTACTGGTCAAGACAGTTTGAAGTAGCCAGGGTGCAGAAGAATAAGCCAGCAGGCATTGCTGACTCTGAACACAGCCTAGAACTTGTTCCTGGAAGAAAAGTTGAAGACACCAGGGGAAATTTTGGAGAAGAGGAACTTTGGGACTTTGGGGCTAATGAAGCATAACATCAGAAGGAAGGGGTAGAGTGCAACAAATTATTCTCATAAGTCAAAGGGAGCCCAAACCAGGAGGCAGCCAAACCTTTAAAGGGGAAAAAAAGAATTCAGACAGAACTGTGGATTTCATACAGCCTTGTAAACAGTGTGGGATAAATTGTCTGCAGGGTCACTGAAGCAGAGAGTACAAACAAGCTTGAAATACTTCCATATTTATATAGAACAGTTGATTGAGAGCTGCAAGAGCATAGTCAGAGAGAGGTTTAAAGTTTCAAAGAGGCTGAGTTCACTGAACCAAATAAGATCCTTTTTCCTGTTCAGCATTTTTTGTGTGTGTGTTCTTTGGCTTATTACCACTTTCCTCATGTCCCCATGAATATTTTCATGGCATATAGTATATAGTATGCCCTGCTTTACTAAACAACTACTCAATTCAAAAACTCAGTGACCCAATTTGTTACATGTCTTGCAGTCTCACTTCTTTCCACTGACTTTTCTAAGCAAAAGAATATTTGCTATAGCTGGCATGATGCAACAGACACATGGAAAACTCCTCAGATGATCCTCAGAAAGTCAAGTTGCTTGTATTGATTTTTCAGATGGTGCCAGTAAAATCACTGTGAGTCAGTTCTCCTCTCAAGTTTAAGGATTCGAATGCTGTCCTCCTCAGGGAGTGGAAGGAATTTGTTTCTTCCTGCTTGGTCTGTCTTGTACTCCCTCATTCATCCTACAAACATCACAAAGCCATCATATGTTTCAAAAACTGGAAAAGCAGTACTTCAAAGGGACCACTTATATGCTGCTGGTGGGAATGCAATTTAGTACAACCTTTATGGAAAACTCTAAGGAGATTTCTCAAAGAACTAAAAGTAGATCTACCATTCCATCTAGCAATCCCACTACTGGGTATCTACCCAAAGGAAAAGACATCATTATACAAAAAAGACAACTGTGCTTGTATGTTTATTGCAGCACAATTTACAAATGCAAAGATGTGGAGTCAACCTAAATGTCCATCAATTGATGAGCTGATAAAGAAAATGTGGTGTATATAAACCATGTAATAATGCTTCTCAGCCATAAAGAAGAATAAAATAATGTCTTCTGCAGTAACTTGCTTGGAACTGGGGGCCATTAATCTAAGTAAAGTAACTCAGGAATGGAAAACCAAATACCACATGTCTTCACTTACAAATGGGAGCTAAGATATGGGTATGCAAAGTCATACAGAGAGCAGTAATGCACACTGGAGACTCAGAAGGGGGAAAGATGGGAGGTGAGGGATGAAACATCACCTATTGGATACAATGTACACTACTCGGGCAAAGGGTACACCCAAAGCCCAGACTTCACTGCTAAACAATTCATCCATGGAAACAAAAGCCACTTGTACCACTAAAGCTGTTGAGATTTAAATAATAATAATAATGATACTAATAAATATTATGCCCTCTACTTTAAAATAAACTTGTTGAGAATGATGGTTTCCAGCTTCATCCGTGTCCCTACAAAGGACATGAACTCATTATTTTTTATGGCTTCATAGTATTCCATGGTGTATATGTGCCACATTTTCTTAATCCAGTCTATCATTGTTGGACATTTGGGTTGGTTCCAAGTCTTTGCTATTGTGAACAGTGCCACAATAAACATACGTGTGCATGTGTCTTTATAGCAGCATGATTTATAATCCTTTGGGTATATACCCAGTAATGGGATGGCTGGGTCAAATGGTATTTCTACTTCTAGATCCCTGAGGAATTGCCACACTGACTTCCACAATGGTTGAACTAGTTTACAGTCCCACCAACTGTGTAAAAGTGTTCCTATTTCTCCACATCCTCTCCAGCACCTGTTGTTTCCTGACTTTTTAATGATCGCCATTCTAACTGGTGTGAGATGGTATCTCATTGTGGTTTTGATTTGCATTTCTCTGATGGCCAGTGATGATGAGCATTTTTTCATGTGTTTTTTGGCTGCATAAATGTCTTCTTTTGAGAAGTGTCTGTTCATATCCTTTGCCCACTTTTTGATGGGGTTGTTTGTTTTTTTCTTGTAAATTTGTTTGAGTTCATTGTAGATTCTGGATACTAGCCCTTTGTCAGATGAGTAGATTGCAAAAATTTTCTCCCATTCTGTAGGTTGCCTGTTCACTCTGATGGTAGTTTCTTTTGCAAGGACAAAAAACCAAACACCGCGTGTTCTCACTCATAGGTGGGAATGAACAATGAGAACACATGGACACAGGAAGGGGAACATCACACACTGGGGCCTGTTGTGGAGTGGGGGGAGTGGGGAGGGATAGCATTAGGAGATACACCTAATGTTAAATGACGAGTTAATGGGTGCAGCACACCAACATGGCACACGTATACATATGTAACAAACCTGCACGTTGTGCACATGTACCCTAAAACTTAAAGTATAATAAAAAATAAATAAACTTGTGAAGCAGAAGATCATGTCATTCTCTTGTTTAGGAGGGCTCAGCAGCAACCCCCAGCCACACGATAATGCTCAAATCTAACGTGGCCTAAAAGGGAGTCCTGGATGGCTGAGTCCTGGCTCACCCTGGCTGCCACCACTGCCTGGAAGCGCCCTAATGAGTGTTTTGTCATCCTGGGATCATCAGCAGGAAACACACCCTCAGATCTGCAGAGATGGAAGTGCAGCCTTCTCAGGCAGGGCCGCTGTCCTTCATCCTGGGTTTTCAGTTCCCCCTCCCCACCCCCTTAAAGTGCTGCATACAGTATCTAGCTACAAGCTTTGAGATTCTGTTCAACCACCAGAACACTGGGAATTAAGATGCTGCACTAGGAGTGAAAGGTGGGGCACTTTGAAGGTGGTTCTGCACTGATCTGTTTCCCTGCTTTTGCATTGTGTGCTGAGAATATGGAATGCCCAGTGATTCCTTGCACATCCTAAGCATTCTCAGCCTGCATGCCTTTGGACTTGCTATTGCTACTGGAATGCTTTCTTTGGCACTCATCTATATGGTCAAGAGCTGGCTCAAGCATCCCCAACTTAGGAGCAAACTTCTTCCTCTGTCTCTGCCATACCTCATACTTACTTCCAGTAGAGCTAGTTTTCCGACTAGAAAATTCTAATAGCAGTTTATTTTGCTTCTAGCCATTTAGCTGAGGCTGAGTTGGCAGGACATTAAAGTATTTATTCATTCCAATTAGGTGAAAAAAACTCATCTAAACCTTTGGACTTGGAATTGCCCACATAGACCACATCAGCAATGGAAGACAGAGCAAATAACATGTCGGTTCAATGTATGAAGGAGCTTTTCTTTCCCCTGCCCCAACCCTCAGACAGGTAAATCTGTGAAAGCTCTATTTTGATTCTTTTTAAATTATTTGTTTTACATGTTTTGTGTTTTATGTTGGCTGATTCCAAATGGTTGAAATAGTGGAGGTCCAACAACCATTTTCACAGTGTAATCTTCAGAAGTTCATCCTTTGGGTTGTAATTTCATGATAAGGAGGAGCAAGAAGATGCTTTTTGTAACTCAAATAGCATCTTCTGAGAAAGGTCTCTATTTTCACTTGTGTCTTAACTTACAACTGTGTTCAACTCTATTTCCTTTCCTTGCTTTACATTTTTTCTTATGCACCTATAATTATCCAATTTACTATATATTTTATATTTGTCTGTTATTGTCTGTTTTCTCCACTAAAACATAAACTTCTTGCAGGATTTTTGTCTGTTTTTCTCACTGTTGAATCCCAAAAGCAAAGAAGAATACCTAGCATAGAGTTAGTGTTCAAGAAACATTTGCTAAATGGATGAACACCTCTTCATTTTATGAGAAATGAATCTTCCCCAAGAAGGGGCTCCCGGGTGCATCTTGTGTGTAGACATCTCTATGTCCCCAGGCTGCTGTAGAGCTGAGTCATCTTTGTGCCCACACCTGGGAAGCAGGACCCTTGTTCGTGTTTCTTTGGCCTTGGGCATGTCAGTGAGTAAGGAGGATGTGTGGGATCTGTGTCCATATTTACGTAAGAAAGCAATATAGCCTACTGCCCCTTTCATTTTCAGCAAGTGTGTGTTTACACTGGCCTGGGATCTACTATAAAGTTTAATGTTTGGTTATACATTTATTTCTCAGCTACTTTTGTGAATAAACATTTTCTAAAACATATCTATTTTAAAAGTGACAATGTTTGAATGAAAGAAAGAGGAGGAGTGAAGCCTGGTAGTTAATTTGCAGAACTTAGAGCCTGAATTTTTTGGGTTGGATCTTTGATTTTACCATTCATTAGTTTTGTGATCTTCCTCAATTTCCCAATCTGTAAAATGGAAATAATAATAGTACCTACCTCATGGGATGTCAAGAGTAAATATAAAAAATGTGTGACACCCAGGAATGACTATATAAGTACTAGCAGTTAATATTATTTATTATTATTATTCCTGCTTGAATAATCACTTTGAGCTAAATCACTTTGTTTTTACTACTAGCAATAAGCATGCTTAAATACTTTTAATGTTATTATAATTTGTATTATAGTAGACTAATCTGGAATTTTATTAAGCAGAATTCCCTCTAGACAGGCATCTATGCATACGGAGCAAAAAATGATGTATATAATAATAAGTTTGAGGCACTGAAAGATCTTGAATGAGCTTCTGAATCATCAGTTACTGTATCTTTGGGGGTGAGTGAATTTTATTACAAAGAAACTTTTTTTTTTTTTTAAATTTGGTAATCCTTAAGTAACAATGTGCAAATTTCTTTCAAGAAGTGCTGTTGAATGCTAGGGATGAGTAGTGTGATGACTACTCCAAATTAAGACAATAAGGCCAGTTTGACAATCAGCAATGTGCTATGCAGCTGAACTGGAGGCACAGTGGTGCTGGTGAATTGGGCCAGCTCTGGAGAATTTGAACATATAGACAGAGGGCATGATGTCTGACTTCTCCAGGCACTATTGCATCCCAGTCCGACTTTCCTAGGATCACTTCAAGTTTGATCATAACCCCAAATCCCTCAGCACCTTCATTATCACTCATAAGCCACAGGGCGCTTGCTGGCAGCCCTTGTTTCTGATCTGTTTCTCCACCACTGTTACTTGTATTATGGCACATGACTCTGTTCCCAACACCCTCAGGCCTTGGGAAGGGGATAGGCTGAAATAAGTAGATATTGCTGTTGAAAGAAACAATTTCAATGAGGTCTCCCCCCACGCATCCTTGCTGAGGTCGTGGCGAGACATAGATGGAGGGTAGGCAAAAGCAGGAAGATGACAGCAGAGCAGTAAGGGCTCAGCAAACGAGAGACTAGGGCAGGTGTGTGAAGAAGGGAGAATGGAAGAGGAATTGGATGCATGAAGGCAGAGAAAGTAGGTGGTGGGCAGAAATAATGGGAAAATGTGAATCTTCAGAAGTCAAAATTTAATGATGTTTGCTTAACATTTGCATATATGATACTACTCCCCAAGTATGTGAACTAGACAGTTTACATATAAGGCAGGAAAATAGGGTCTGGAGGCAGGGAACATAAGGCCAATTCACACTTCAGCTATGACAGAAAATATCTTCTCCATAGGGCATAGTTGCTAGGGCCACTCAGAGAGAGAGAATCCTGAAACCTAGCATACCAGCTAAAGGGTAAGAATTTCTTACTAGCCAGTCTCTGGCCTCTTTCTCTCTGTGCAAACTGGCTAATCTCCATTGTAAAGTTTTAAATTAATTGGTTTAATAATAATAAGAGCTTAAATCAAATATTTCATCAGGAAAGTAGAAAGCGTAATGCCTTTTAGTTCACGTGACTTTAGCAATTTTTGGGAAATAAAGAGGGTTTTAAAGATTATTGGTAAAATACAATGTCTTTAAAATGGAAACATGTGGTCTAAATTATGTTCCAATATTAGGTTTGCTGAATGCTTTAAGGTCATAAACTGCTTATTTGGCTTTTGAAAATTGTTTAACTTGCCTGCTTTCCAGCTAGGTAAGGCCTGGGAACATGTGGAGTTGGCCATGCCCCTAGCTATGCTGCAAACAGTCAAACCTTTTCAGAACATAACTTACCAGGTTTTACATTAAAGTTAAAATTGCTAAGAGTCACCATTGTAACATGCAATTAAGACTACTAGAAACGGTTTTACATGCACGGTGTGTAAGAATAGTAGAATGTATGTCTCTGTGTGTGTTTTGTAAAAGGTTTTTACTTCTTTAAAATTTCTGAGTCATTATTTTGGCAAAATAAATAATCTGGAATTCCAAAATCAAACTTCAGTTTCAAAATTGTCTTTCCTAATGCCTGGCTTTCTGGATGGATCAGAGGGCCCCTGAAAACATCCAGAAAGGAGGTAAACAGGATTATTTGATGTGTTTAGGTACATGGGATTGCCAAAATGATGTTCCGTGTTCTTTAAGTTTTTTTTGTGAATAATACTAATATATGTTCCAAAATTGTATGGGATTCCTAAAATAGTACATGCTATCAATTATAATTATGGGTATTATGTTAAGTTATTGTAAACCACACAAATAACCAAATTTCCTTGTATAAAGCTACTAACCCAAGTAGAACAAAAATTAATTAAATACCAATAAAATACTTTGTCAGACTTTCATGTTAAACCAGCTGATACTGAAATTTTTAAGATAGTTTATAACCAATGCTTGGTCCCATATTCCTGGGAAGACAATTAAAGCTTCATGTACATTTGGTCACCTTGTGGGCCATTTAAACATTTTATAAAGGGATTTCATTCAATTGTTATTTCCAATGCATGCTTTCTGGTTGTATAAAAGCTTTCCCACGTGAGAGGGCTGATGTTATCACAGTAGATTATTATGCTACAGTGTATTTGCACCAGGTAAAAAAGCTTTTTATGGTTTGAATCTTCTGAGAACACCAGAGAAAGACTCTCCTTACCATCCTCACTGCAACTAAACTTCGGGACCCTGGGCTTTGGGTTCATGGTCTCGCCACTGAAAAGGTTCCCTCCACACTTTTGGAATTGTGCACCCATTGGAACCCTTGAGGTAAAGCTAACCAGAGAAATTTCTCCCAAGAAGAAGAAGATGGCATCCTTGAAGTGAACAGCTTTTCCCAAGTTCACAGAGTAAGACTTCTACTATCATGAAACTCTTATCTTTGAATATTTTTTCTTGCTTATATCTCTACTAACAATAGAAGTGGAAAAAGGGTCTGTTATGTGCACTTATGGGGTATACTTTTATTTGTGAAGAAGTTTGCAGCCAGCCTTATACATGGATAACCTTCTACTTTGATAGAGATGAAGGCCCAATGCAGGTAAGAAACTTTAGTGGTACATATGTTGCCCCATAATCACTCAAAAACAAAATATTGGTTCATCCCTCTTAACCCACATCATGGGTTAAAGAGAACATTGCCAGGGGGTCTTCACTCTCCTAGAAGGGCATCATTTGTTAAGTCCTTTTTCCATGGCTTAAAGTAAAGGAAGCAATGATTAGAAATGTATCCCTCATGATAGGCTCTATAGCAAATCTACTTTAAAGGCTATCGTTACACAACAGATTTTAAATTCTCTTTGAAAGTTATGCTAAATAGAATTGGCTAAACAAAGAAGTTCTTCTGCAGCTGCTGACACTTGCGGCCTATGGAGAAACAGGTCAAATGCAGATTATAAAAATTCAGTGTAGGGGATTAATGAAAAGACCACTTAGTCAAGTGAGTAGACTCTTCATCTAGCTCATTCTTTAAACTATTTAAGTGTAGGTGGTTTGGTTTCTAGGGACCCTGGTTAAGGAGCATACTCTGAACTCTGGGTATTTTCCTTCCAGTAGTGATAATAGTAGTCTCCTTGGTGCACTGTATTCTCTCAAAGGTTTTAAATGCTTGCATGCAGCCATCTCTAGAACATCAAATGGTCTCTCTTCGACTGGAATGACAACAGCTGAAAGAAATGTTCAACCATGAGGACACCATACCTATAAATGATGTGCTGAGACTGGAAACCCAAAATGTTGGTAACTGAGAAGTGGCACTAAGGCCCTAAGTTTTGGTTGCACACTCACCTAAGTGAGAACCTGACCAAAAAGGGGGGATTTTTAAAACAAAACTCTGTGAGGCCATTGTTTTGGACTAAGCTCATGCACTCATGCCCTGGGCCCCAACAGACTAAAGCAAACACAGATGGAGTCATTTGTGCTAAGACTTTAAGGAAACGCTTGGATTCCACAACAGACTAGCTTTTGTTTTTTTCTTCTGCAAATCTCTATAACAAACATTTCTGACAACATAGGTATCCACCCCCTGAAGTTCCCATTAAATCTTTTAACCAAATTCATTTCCTCTCACCTAGAGACCATCAAGCTTCAGATGATGATGCAACAAAGGTTTCAGCCAGTTCCAGGTGAAGACACCACCCTTGGACATCAAGAAGCTACCCTGCCTCCACTAGATAGAGCAGGGAGAGTTCTGTGATCCCCAATAGGTAAGGACTATGCCCCAAGCCAGCATGAAGCAGTTACCAAAAAAGATCATCGGTCCCTCTGCCTCCCATAAAGATTTATGGGATCACATCTCTCAGGGAGGAGATGAGGCAGGAAAATACGGTCTGGAGGCAGGAAACATAAGGACAATTCACACTTCAGCTATGACAGGAAATATCCTCTCCATAGGGCATAGGCCAAGTAAATGACTTTGCAACTTTACTTCATCCTCTTCATTTATGTAGTATGTGTCCCAATCCTCTAGAGGATATTGAAACTCCCAAAATTCTAAATAGTGTGGACTTGGAGCCCCTATGCTCAGGCCCGCTCCCACACTATGGAGTGTACTTTCCTTTACAATAAAACCCTCCATTTCTTCCTTGCTTTGTTTGTGCATTTTGTCCAATTCTTTGTTCAAGACTCCAAGAACCTGGACACCCTCCACTGTTAACACAAATAGTTTCTTAATTCTCACAACATTGTAAGGAGGTTATTATTCTCTTCTAGTTACCAATATCTGGAGTCTCAGAAGGTTGCCTAAGGTTGTAGAGTTAACATTTAGGTCTTGGTCTGAATCCAAATTCTATGTCTTATGGCATGTAGTGTTAGCTAAACAGGGCAGATAGATAACCAAGGAGAAACCACCCAAAAATGTTAACTCTCCACAAGAGCCTGGAATCATAGGAATGAGCCATATAGTGCATCAAGAATAATAGCTGTTTTGAGAATTGAATTTTAAAAAATTTTAAAAGGAGCAACAATTTTAAATGCTTCAACTTTGCTGCAGTATTAGAGTTTCATTACAATATTAGTCACATATCATGTTAAAAGTACTGGAATAATAGTTACATGGACTGAAACATGATTGAAATACTTTAAACAAGGGCCAAATGGGGACACATTAGGTGAGGAGAGAAGAATCTGAGAAGGTGTGTGTGTGTGTGTGTGTGCGTGCGTGTGTGTATGAGAGAGAGAGAAAGAGAGACAGACAGACAGAGACAGAGAGACCAGGAGAGGGAGAGAGGGAGGTGAGAGCGTGGTTGAAACGGGAGGAGGAGGGAGGGGTGTGTGTGGCAACACTCATTCTCAGCTCAGGCCGTTTCCATGGCTAGAAGATGAGCAGATATTTGTAGCTGGGAGAACAACTCACCACCCACTCCCATACCCCACCCAGGGTGGATCTGAATAGGACTTTTTGTCCATCTCTGGTTTATTTTCTACAAAGCATCTACAGTCATCTTTCTGAAACAAAAATTCAATTATATAACTTACCTGTTTAAAATCCTTCAATGGATTCTTGTCACCCTCCGAATAAAATCCAAGTTACTACTTTAACCTACCAGTTCCTACATAGTCTGTCCTGCCCACCTCTCTAGACTCATGCTCTGGATCCCAGTACTCTGACTTTTCTGTTCACAAGCCTAGCCTTTCTCTGCCACAGGGCCTTTGTAGACGCTATCCCTTTGTGGAGAAGACTCTCAACACCCTTCAAATACTATGATCTCATCAGGAAGGCCCTCCCTGACCACCTATGCCTGGTGAGTTTCCCTTGTTGCTTATTATTTCACAGTTTTATTCTCTTCACAGTGCTAATGGCAATTGCAATTATACATATTGTTTGTTCATTTGTTTTTATATCTTCCTTACTAGATTATAAGCTCCGTGAGGGCAGGAACTATATCTGTCTGTTTTATCTAGTGCCAAAGGATGTATTCATTTATTTTATTTTATTATTTTAATTCTTATTTTAAATTCTGAGGTACACGTGCAGGATGTGCAGGTTTGTTAGATAGGTAAGGAATCAACCCAAATGCCCATCAATAATAGACTGTATAAAGAAAATGTGGTACGTATACACCATGGAATACTATGCAGCTATAAAAAGGAATGAGATCGTGTCCTTTGCCGGGACATGGATGGAGCTGGAAGCCATTATCCTCAGTAAACTAACACAGGAACAGAAAACCAAACACCACTTCTATTCATTTATTTAATAAATTCCCATTGATAATAATGTCTTATTACAGTGTCCAGGGTGGCAAACACCCTAACCCAGAGTGGACCCAATCCAACATAAAGAAAAGCTATACTTGCAATGGTTTGATGAGGTCTCTGCATAGTCAGAAGTGACTACAGGGGCTAGTGAGCACTGTTGCTATGAAAAGCAGTATTAGTAGGAAATGTTTCTTACTAAGTGGTAGATGTTTAGGCATGGTTTTGAATGAGAAGGTTGAGTGAGAGGGAGTTACTGTGCTCAGCTCATCACTGAAGGCAGGGGGAAATTGAAGTAAGTGGACTTTGAAAACTGAGGTGCTGTCTTCGAACACTGGGGATGATGGTTTGTTCTTGGATGGTGTATGTGTGGGTGAAGGAGAGCGTATGTCTGAGTTAATGTGTGTGTGTGTATGTGTGTTCATGCACACAAATGCATGCTTGGGCTGGCTGGATAACCAGGAAGCAAGAGAAGCACAGTTGTCCTCTCACTGATGGAGAGATACTGCAGAGAGCTGGTCCTGGGAGATCCAGAGCCTACCGTGAACTCCTCTGCTACAGACCTCCCTCCAGGACTCCATCCATACCACACCCATCCTCACACAGCCTGGGAGTATTCTCTCTTGAATAACTCAGACTCTCTGAAGTCTTAGGTCCAGGGTGTTGGACTGATAGGAACGTATCCCAGGGGACTTTCTAACAGAGAGTCGGAGAGTGGGACCTGGCATTAGATTGAAGTGGCAGCCTCTCTCAGACGGGTGGGAGGCTGACTTCAAGACAGGGGAGCAAGGATAGAAACTGGTGCTTCTCCTAGATAATGTTTTCCTAGTTATGCTGTTGTTTTCCTTTGGACTGTGGGAATAGTCTTACTTAGTACTCAATGTAAAATATTTTCTCTCATCTTATAAATCCTGTCAGCTACCCCCAGTCCTCTAACCTAGTCTGTTATATGCATATCATCTTGTGGGGAATTAAGAGACAGGACAAGAAAGACATGTGACTTTTTGCACTTCCCTCTTCCACCAAGTTTATTACAATAGCAGCAGCAGCAGCAGCTTTCCATTGAGGAGAAGGGTGGCTGGATTCAGACTGGAGCAGGAAAGTAGGTCCCAGTGGGGATTTTGAGCTGTGCAGGGGATGCTCAGCTGGGAGCAACTGCAGTTACAAGGGCAGTGGCCGAGAGGTAAGACCCCTGTCCTCTGCAAATACGTAAGCACAATATATGTGATCCTTCCTCTGCCAGTTTCCCCGCTGATCATCAGCATCACCTGAAGTCCTTGTTAAAAATATCCAGAAATACTCTGGCTCCACTCCTGAAGGTCTGGGGTGTGGCGTGGGATCCTCTATATTGTCGAAGCACCCAGATCGTTCTTCTCATCTGGGAAATGTGGGACTCACTGTCGCAGAAGGAGGTGATCCTTGCAGGGCTGGGGAGAGGCTGACATTTGGGTCACACATTACTGACCCTGCTTCAGACAGAACGTACAGAAAAGGAGTGATATATTTATATGTAAATATATGTCTATACGTCTCTGTGTGTGTGTGGTGTATGCTTAAAACTCTTAGGAAAAGCTTCTTCTCTAGAAGAGATTATAAATCACCTCACTGGAAAAGAATCAAAGAACCAGGCTTTCAATGGACTCCACTTCTTTATTTATAAACCCATCTTCCAACCTTTCTGAACTTCTTAAACAACATGAATTCATCTCAAGTTGTACAATCTGTTACCTTGGCAAGCTTCTAATGACAAATCTTATTTTCCATCTTTGAATGTGGCTCTTAATTTCTCTACTAAACATTGAGAGCAAGAACCATTGCGGCAGGGGAGGAATGGGAGTGTGCTTGTGGATTTGATTTGATTTGATTTTTAAAGTAGTTTTGCTGTCAGAATTCTTTATATCTCTTTCACATGGAAAGGATATAAAGATACCCTGAGGACAGATCATACTCAGATTGTTCTGTTGTGTGGCAAATTTGTCCTTTTATTTAAAAAAAAATCACTTCATCCATGTCCTTGTTTCTCTCTATAACAAAAACAGCATAGGATTAGTCAAAGAGCAAAAGTGATAATATAGATGCCTCTGTAATCCTGTGTAGCTTTCACACGACTTTTAATTGGGAGTATGTGAGTTTATATATATATATATATATATATATTTATGTGTGTGTGTGTGTGTGCGTATATATATGTATATATACATATATTCAGAGAATGCTAATAATGCTCTAAAATAGCAGTTTATCTAGTCCAGTTTTTATACTACATAATGACACCCAACCCACTGCCATGCTTTAAATGGAAGCAGAGGTAAATTTTTCACTAATTATACATTTTAGGGCAGCAACTCTGTGCTGGTCTTATGGTGTTTGGGGACGTTTTTGATATATAAATAGTTAAATGTGTTCTGATTTAAGTGAGGCTTATGAATTAAAAGAAGAAGAAGACTTCTGATTTTCATTCCCAGACCTCCACTCACTCAGCATTTTAGTATGATAAAGATAAACCCTGTACAAATAGTGGATTCTTTCCCCCATTCTAATCACTGGAGAGTGCTGACTGCACAATCTAACCAAACGGTGTGTTGAAGCCCCACTGCTTAAGATGATTAAATGTTTTGAACAAGGAATGATTCAGTTGCCATGGGAAGACCGTGGCGTGTTGATGCAGTGGCCTCCTGTAGGTTGAATAAGTTCAGTGTTTACCCTGTGGGCCATTTATTTTCAAAATTAAATTAAAATTCTTACTCTTAAGGAGCTGCAGTTTGATTGTTTTGTTTTTAGGGGCAGCTTGAGTTCCTCCACATTCCATGTCTGAGCTCACATGTGTGCCTAATTTCACAGACAGCCCCTGCCACCCGCCCGCCGAGTTCAGACATACTCTGCTGCCTGCAGCACGGCAGCTCCTAGGATCCCTAAAGCTCCCAGCAGCTACACAACTTGAGTGCCTACAATTTTTAATACAAACTCACATCCTGAAATCCTAATGTAGAGTATTATGTTAACATACAACAACTAATTATCAGAGACGCAACATTCGTGGAGTATATAATAACACATATATTTGCAATTTAGTTTCTAAGTTTTACAACCTAATGTGAGTGAACAAATATCAGACATCTTGGAGGCTTAATATAATTCTGCACTAAAATTATAAAGACTATGAAACCGAATAAAGGAACTTACACGACAGCTAAGAGTTATTACTGTATAAAATACAACTAAATGAATATTTTCCATATGCTTAATTCTCACTGATAGAAATTATTCATATAAAAACTTCTTGGCATCTCTTCTGGTGCTTCTCTTAGTACTAGTAACAGCAATTAATCACAAAAATTCCACAACTTTGTGGCATTATGACTAAAACATAAGCAGAAAAACAAAATAAAACTCCAGGAGGCAGAAATACATCACAAGCTCCATCATAATACATGTTTGTCTTGCTATTAAAATGTAAACTCTTCCAAAACTTTCCCAAATGACTTACATTCATCAATAAGTGTGATTTTTACTTGTTAAAGTGAAGTTAAAGAAAATATTTAGCATATATTTACCCTCAGTTTTAGAAATGTCATACATTAAATCTAAATTGACTCTCTTCCTTTTTAAGTTTGGTGTCTCCACTTTATCTTTTAAATATGGAAAATAACTTCTACATAGGTCAGACTTGATTTTGCCAGTTTCTGCAGGCTCAGTTGATTTCACGGCTTTGTAAAAGAAATGAAGTGCGAGTCCATGTCCAGCATCCACGGAGAGGCCACCTCAGATGAGCCTACGGCGTCCAACAAAGTAGAATGAACTGACTTACCTGAAGAAGCCCAGTCTAGATTCATCAAGCCATTTGTGTGAAATTCTGCACCTTGGGGTTTGCACACATTTCCACCAACATCGGTGTCTCCATCCCCAAATGAAAAGCATCATGAACAGAAAAGAAATCAGAGAAAAAGGAGAAGGAGAAGCAGGTCTACACCAAAAGGATCATTTCTTTCATGAGGCAATGCCTCACGGGACACTTCCGTAAGGGGATGTCAAAACTGCTGCCACACTCAAGGACTCTTCCATTTTCCTCAGGATGAAAGGTTTGAAAAAGTGGACCTCTGAGAGGAAATGCTGCAGACTTCCAAATTGGTGAAAGAACTTCCAGCGTCGCTTGGATACTCTGGGTAGGAGGAACTGGAGGAGATGATATTTTTGAGCCTCTGGAGGGCAATGATTAAAAGCAGAAGCAGAAACGCTAAAAGGCTGAGGAATATGGACACATAGATGTAGACGTTTGACAGGTGGCCTGAGGATGGGTCCACTGACGTGGACAGGGATGTGGGAAACAGCTCAAGAAAAGTTCCATTCTCCACACTTCCCGAAAATCCTGAGGAAGTGTCAGGTTCAGACATCTTTATGGAGGGTGAAGGAGTGATCTGGTAGATTAAAGTCAAAACTTCACACAGGGCTTACACAGGACAGATTGGCATTTTTTCACGATCGTGTTTGCAGAATTCACAGGCTGTTAAATCAGCACAACAAAACTTGTTTCTCAAAGGCAGCAGGTATCAGATGTGCATTGAGACTGAAAAAAAAAAGCAAGTCAGTGCATTCTTCAGAAAAATCACATTTAAATTCCATTTTTAGGTTTTATTTCAGTAAGGATTAGTTAGAAAACTCAGCATGGAGGAAACAAGATGATATAACTCCCCTAGGAATCAGTCATGTTTATGTCTTTATATTACAAATGATGATATAAAAATGAACGTTTATTTTCTGTCTACAGTACCCTAGGTGCTATGTTTCTACAAGGAGCTGAAGATAAAATAAAAGGGAAAATACATTTATGATGTGCTCCATCTGCTGTGATTTCAATAGATGCTCCAAGTATACACTCTGAGATGAGAACACAGAAAGTTAGTTCCAAACCTCCCTCCCCCAGAAAATTAATTCCATACATTCACCAGCTCATTAGCATAATTCCTGACCAGTAAATCCCTCTAGCACACTTTGGAAAATCACTGCACATGTGAGTTTGCTTTTTATCGAATGTTTGTAAGATGCTGATTTGTTTATGAAAATTCTATCTCCTTGAAATCAGGTGCCATTTCTATGTAACTCTTTTCCTTAAATGTACCTAGGTACTTTGTTTTACATGCTTTAGGCATTTAATTTAAAAACTTTAGATTCATTTAGAAGAAGAACAAAGGTTAGATTCTCTCCGAATGGTAGAGAGAGTATCAGGTTGGCTGTCAAGAGACTTAGGTTTGAGGTCTGAGTTCTCCATTATCTTTGGGAAACTGGGCAAATTACCTACGTTTTCTGAGCATCACTTTTCTTATTTGTAAAATGGTCCAACACCTGCTTCATCTTCCCATGGTGTTATGCACTGACCAACATAATAGACATGGAAGTATGCTGAACTGTAAAGCATTGGAGAAAAAAATGACTTTAGTGTGTGGTGGGAGATAATGGGACTTGGTGGATGGGTGGGTGTAGGGTATTGTGTTTTAAGGAGTGTGGAGGGGGGACCATTTCTTCTTAGCCAGGTGCAAAGAAAAGCTCTTCACTGTGTTCAGGTTGTGAGACAAGAGGATCCCTCCTGATAGATAAGTCTTTCTTCTAGTCCAGAAAAGATGCTCTTCCTAGCTCTGTATGGCTCTAGATAATTTTGCTGTACATTTCTAAATCTTGCTTCCATTGTGGTGCAAAACTAACAGGAAAACATTCACTCTGCCTCTAGCTTTCTCTTCCTAAACTCTGCCCTTCATTTTACCTGGAGAACTTGCCTTTTCCTTCTGTTCTCCAAATCTAATTAAGCAGCTGATTCTTGGAGGGGTTGACATTTGCCACTGTGGCTGGAGCTGAACAGCACTAATGATCCTTGTTAAGGTGGGGACACTTCAGAGAGGGCTGTCCCTGTTGGGTGACAGGCAGTCTAATGAGTCCTAGTGAGTTCTTGAGTAGGCTAGGGATGGTGTCTTAGTAGTTCCTAAAATAATTTGACTCCTACTCCTCATTTTGCATTGCCTGGTGATTTTAATTCCATTAGGCTGCTATAGGTTCCTAACCAACCTTAAGGAAAAAAAAAAAAAAGAAGAAGAAGAAGAATCGCAGTGGGACTGCAAATGTGTTACACTGTTTTGGCAATACCTAGCTTTTTTATAGCACATAAATGTTCCAGCCGTTCATCTTTGGGGAATATAGCAAAGAGTTGCAGAGGTAGCATAGAAAAGAAAACTAGGATAGAAGCCTCACAGATTGGATGGGAAAAACTATTTAAAATGTTCAAGTACAACCTCCTAAGTGTAGCAGAGGAAATAGAGAAATAAAGAAGCTAATTGATTTGACAAAAGTCACATGTCTAATTAGAAGACAAGCAAGGGCTTTTGGCTTCTCCCCACCCTCACCCCCTATAACATCTGGTCTCAATTTCTCTAAGGTTTTGGTGGGAAGGATCAAATGTAAACATAATTTCTTTTCTGCGTGGGCAGATAAGGCAAAGACTATGCATCTTGTGTGTTCCTCATGACTACTTTGCAGGGCAGGTAAAGCAGGAATTATTCCCATTTTGGAGATGAGAAAACTGACATGCAAAAACATCGCGATTTACTCAGGGTACATAGCTAGACAGTGACAGAAAAGTGACTAGAATCCATGCCTGAACTGTGTTCTTGGTTTTCTCAACTGTGGTAAGAAAAGAAAAATTATGCTTTGGATAATTAGTTCCTATCTGCCACTTACTTTGGGCAAGCCCACAGTTTAGTCCCGATCTTTTATTTTTCTCATTTGCACAACAGTGATGCCTACCTTTCCTACTTCTCCAGAAGGTCTTGAGTTAAGATGTGATAACATTTTCCATAATCATACTTAGAAAATCATAAAAGGCCATCCCAAGTAAAGTGCCAGTAGATAGAAAGTTCCTTCTAGAAAGTCTAGAGGAACTTTCAAGGTCTCTCTTAGTCCTACAGTTTCGACAGGTGTAGCTGAAGTTGGCTGATTTTTCTAAAGCTACCTTCTCTGCTACCCAAGTCTGTATCATTTTCAGGGATGGTGCTGGAGGCACAGGCAATGTCACTCTGGTATCAGCAATTCAGTTGGTAAAGCTTACAGCTGGCTACCAGACCTCTTGTTAATATCATTTTACAGGGTAAATATTCTAAGAGTAGGTTTTTACTTCCAGAAGATTGCCTTCTTTCAGACCAAAACCCCACCATGAGCCTCAACTGTTGACAGGAGAGTTTATAGGAAATGAGGCTCAGAAGGTTTGGTCAAAGCATCTGATCTTTTAAGTGGCCTTGGAAGAATAGGAGAAAACAAGGAAATGAAACCTTGTGTCCTTATTTGACATTTCACAACTAAATATCTTCTTCCTTAAGTATTCCCCCCAAATATTATTGATTTAATACCATTTCCGGGGTACTTCTTAATTTAAAATCACAGCTACACAAATTTCATTTCATACTCTGAAACAACAGAGTATGTGCACTGCTAGAAAGAATTTTAATTTGGATGTTAATTCTCGTTTCCTTATTGAAGTTTTAAAAACTGGAATATCTTCTTTCTCTTTGGTTTTATTTAACAGTAGCTGTATAATGCTCAGGGTGACCCAGCCTGTATGTGTTTAGGCATTGTGACAGTGTGGAAACAGGCTGGAGGTTGCACTGCGGAAATGAAATCAAATGAGTGTGTTTCAAGATGATGCTTCTTGGGCTGTTGCTCCCAAACAGATAAGGTTTGAGGAAAAGAAGAAAGAGACTTCATCTTAAATGCATAGCCTTGACCTGTCTCGGGGCAGCGCCAGCAGACTCTCATTTCAGGTGACACCTAAAGCCACATGGGGATTTTGATGCTTTTTTTCCGCTCAGAATCACTGTCCTCAGAAGGTGATTTTTGAGAAAGGAAAATGAGACAGTTGGATCACAACATTATAAAGGAAGACCTGTGGAAATGTTTTAGCTCATGGTCAACCAGCTTTCCCTTTGTCTCTTGTAATAAAAGCCTGGGCTGGGAAGAAATCTACAAAAAAGCAGTCCCCTAGTGAAGTGAGGAAGGAGGGATGTGCAGTCTCTCACCATGTGCCCAGTGGGGTGGGGAAACAGAGAGACAACGTAAGACAGCGCACACCTGGGGTCTCTGGTTCCCAGTCATTTAGCACCACAGCCCTGGGACCCCTTTTAAAGAACTTCCTTCCCACGGAAGGATTATGAGGACTATAATGTTTGGGAAGAAGAAAAACATACTCTCTAGCACGTACCTTCATTCTCCATAAATGAAGAAGAGTTGACCAGCTCTCATCTCTGAGTGCTCTCACATAAGCATTGCAGGACCCATGGCAGTCAGCGCATGGGCCCAGCCTGCGCCACATCCTTGACTTCTATGACACAATAGTTTGTAAAACTCAGGCTACCAGTCAGCCTCAAATATGGCACAGCAATTTTAAATTTCATGACCTTTATTCAAATACATTTCTATGTGAATAACGACTATTTGAAAGGTTTTTGTTGTTGTTGTGGAAAACTGGGACAAGCTGCTTTGTTCCCTTGCGGACTTTATATTTAAAGAGTGGCCTGGCTGTTAGATGCCATATCAATGTTCCATCATTATCAGGTTCTGCTGTCATACTCCAAAAGGTGATCCTCTCAAAACCATGAGGAAAGTGGCCACAAAGTATTAACACAACATAATAAAAAGCTTTTTCCAGTACACAAAAGGAAGATTTGATAGTTGAATGGAATTAATGGTTTTAGATGATGTATTAGATCTTTTCCTCTGTAGAACACCTAAAAATGAATATTTCCAGAATCCAGAAGGGAACTTATCATATCTGAGCAAAGCTGTTTTTCATTCTATTTAGAAAATGCATGTTTTATATAAGACCTTGCAGCCATTCCTTTACCCTTTGCATGATTATCTTCTCTTTTAATGCTTTCTCTCTCCTTAGTGGCCTTTTAGGTCATGCTAGCTGAGAGAAGATTACTGCTGACAATACACACTTCCCACCACCCTTCTCTAAATGTAAATCTTCACTTGCATTCAAAGGCAAACATTTACCCCTGGGCCTTGCAGTAATAGAAATAAAGTTTACTATCTTACGTGCTACCCTTACTCAAAGCTGACTCAGCCATCCATAGAGTTGCCTATTTGAGAACCGCCTTTACTTATCAGTACAATGCTTTGGGAGAGTAGAGTTTTGTGTGAACTCTCATTATGAGTCCTTCAATTGGCATGATAAAAACCAAAGCCACGTTAAGGAAATAAACTGCATCTATCTGCTATCGCACATTGAGAACATTGAATTAGAGGGCCATGTTATGCGAAGAAAGGTGGGGAGATGGAGATTCTGAATCGTCCATTGGGTGATGTGAGACAAAAGATAAAAATGAACAATCTTTTTAATTTACTTTTTAATCTAAATGAATGATCAGAAAATACACTCAGAGTTTTTCCATAGTACTTTGGTGGATAAAAATTATAGAAATGACAAATTAATAGCTTGGTATCAGTGCTTTATTTTAAGAATCAATTCCAGCGCAGGCCATTAGGTTGCTTTGGGTTCGGCCCAGTCTCTCCATCTCTCCCTTAGTGATGGTTTTTGTCTACCTGGATTACTCCTAGGCTTTGTAAAATATTTCCTCAGCAAAAATAAAAATAAATATAAATTATACTCAGAATATTTTTACTTTAGAGAACTTATTTTGCACTAATTCTTTAAAAATTAGTTATCTACGTAAGGTATAATTCTCAGAATATTCACAATATATCTTTCTTGATATATAAAACAGAGTTGATTGAGGGAAACTAAAAAAAAAACCACAGGAGAATCTTTCAAAAAAGGATATGAACTTAATTGTTTTGAGCATCTACCTCATACAGTCTCAAAAGTAATTATAGGTATAAGTCCCTTGCATTTATTTAGCTTTGTTTTTCTGGGGGAAAAAAACTATTATTATTATTATTATTATTATTATTATTATTATTATTTTGAGACAGAGTCTCACTCTGTCTCCCAGGCTGGAGTGCAGTGGCATGATCTCGGCTCACTGCAACCTCTGCCTCCCGGGTTTAAGCAATGCTCCCGCCTCAGCCTCCCTAGTAGCGGGGATTACAGGCACCTGCCACCATGCCCCGCTAATTTTTGTATTTTAGTAGAGATGGGGTTTCGTCATGTTGGCCAGGCTAGTCTCGAACTCCTGACCTCAGGTGATCTGCCCATCTTGGCCTCCCAAACTGCTGGGATTACAGGCATGAGCCACCACGCCTGGATGTAACTATTATTCTTAATAAATTTTTTAGTATGTTTACATCCATGGGAGGATTTTATATCCAAATCACTGCCTTAGCAAGAATAACTATTTAAAAAGATACTCTCTTAGAATAAAATGTATAGCTAAATGGGTAATTTTCTAGATAAAACGGTCAAGTACAAAACCAGGTCCAGGCATAGCATTTTCATGATTCTTTTATGGTGTTTACAAAAGACCAAGGAGTAGAATTCCTGCACTTCAGGGAGACTGGACCCATCTTGGCTAACATAATTGGCCTAAATCAAAACAAGAAAAGGAGTAACCTGCGGGTTGAAGAAAACACTAACTGGTTAAGAAGCAGCAGAATGATGAAAGCCACTTTTAGAGAGCAGGAGAAAAGGTCATTGGCTATACACTTGATTGACAGAAAAAGCCAACAGCCAGAGAAATAATGACTTGAAGATCATAAGTAAGATCATAATGAATCAATGGGAAGAAAGAAGGTAAAAAAAAGATTGGCTTTTCAAGATATTACAGCATTTTAAATGAGAGCTTTTGGGATCAATTCTTTCCCCCCATCCTGCTCTGATCATTTCCAATATTTTAGAAGTATATTAAGAGAAACATCTTTTAATCTCAGATCAGCTAAAATTGGTTAAATCATGGCATTAGTAAAGTAAAAAGTCTTGCTTATTTTTAGCAAAACTAGACAACCTTTCAGAAAATTCTCAGGCTGGGCATGGTGACTTATGCCTGTAATCCCAGCACTTTGGGAGGCTGAGGCAGGAGGATCGCTTGAGCCCAGGAGTTCAAGACCAGCCTGGGCAACATGAAGAAAACCTATCTCTACAAAAAATACAAAAATTATGCAGGCATGATGGCGTGTGCCTGTAGTCCCAGTTACTTGGAGGCTGAGGTGGGAGCATTGCTTGAGCCTGGGAGGTCAAGGCTACAGTGAGCCATGATCGTGCCACTGCATTCCAGCCAGGGTGACAGAGTGAGACCCTGTCTAAAAAAAAAAAAATACATGAAATAAAATAGAATTCTCATAAAACCATGCCGTGCTAGGACAATGGAATGGTGCCTGTTCCTTTTCTTTTGTGTCTCATTTTGTCTCTATAGTAAAATAATTTGTATCCAATATATATTTTTTGTCCAACCAGAAAATGTTCATAACAGTCTCCATATAGAGAGTGATATTTGGAAAGATTTTGTGCTTGTAAAATAAATTTGTGATTGTCACAAACCCCTGGGAATAAGTCAGCCAGAGCTTTTTTTTTTGTTTTTAATCCTTTGCATGTAAACTACTAGGTATCCTCAGGCCTTGGGGCCTTTGTGGGCCTCTAAAACTGTCCTAAGAGAGCAGGGAAGAACTTGAAACTCCATCTCTCACAGGCATCCAGGCTAACGAGTTTAATGAGAACCTTTTTGTTGGTCTCTGTTCCTGTAAATGTCTTATTACGTTGTTGTTGTTGTTGTGTGCGTGTGTGTGTGTGTGTATTTTTAATTTATAAGAATGGATGTGCAGTAAATATTTTATTCACTCTATAACACAGACCCCAAACTTCTTTGCCACTTAGAATATCTTGATAGTTGAAGCTTGATGCACAGAAAGAGAGCAATGTAAACTAACCAATGTATCAAGTTCTCTATTTTTGCACATAAGAATACAACAAGGAATAACAACCATTATCTATCCATAAGATCATGTGTATAGGCACAATTTGGAAAAAAAAAAGTAAAGATTCCCCATTAAGGAGATACTTTTCCCCTTAATGTAATGCAAGATCATTGGTAGATTTTGGATCCACTTGTCTGAAAAAAAATTTCAGCATTAGCAAAATAATTACACAGGTCACTATTTATATCTATCTCTATTGACAACCGTAATCATGTATTTGTTTAAACTAGGGTGCTTTATATAATATCCTATTCCCTAAAAATGGATTAGAACATCACAAATATGCATAAATGTTATGTGTCTTGCATATCCCAATAGGAATTCAAGCTAACAGAGTCTTTCGCTTAATGACATTTTTAATTCACATTTCCGTGAATTAATGAACCATTGTTTCTCATAACACAACTACAGATAGAACCCTAGTTGATTACATAGTCTGTAAATTGCCCATCTCATCCAGATATTAGCCAAGTGTTTGGCATAACATATACATATGAATTTTGCCAAATAAATTATCTCATTCTTCCAGTACTCTGTGGCTGACAGTCAAAGTATGATAATGCTTTCAAGAGTAAAATGGCTATTTAAAAAGAATAATGCCTATTAATTGGCAGCTTAGGCAGGCTAAGTTTTGGATACATCCAGTTTTGGCCATATTATATTCTTTAGTAGTCAGCTGAATACTCAGAGAAAAAAAGTAGGATTCAGACTTCAAGATTTCTTCCCTTATAAGGATCCTCAATGTAAGATCCTTGGTGGATCTTGGATCAATTAAAAAAACCAGCTTTGTTATAAAGCACATTATTAGGACCACTGGGGAAATTTGAATATAGACTGTACATTAGATAATTATACCAATATTAAATTTCCTAGTTGTAACATAGGAGAATGTTCTTGCTCTTAGGAAATGCATATTGAAGTATCTAGCCATAAAGCTTCATATTATCAGCAACTAACCCTCAAGTGGTTCAGCCAAAATAGAAAAAAAAGTATGCACACTTACGCATATACATGCATACATACATAAAACAAGTGTGTCAAAATGTTAACTGGTTAATCTAGTTGACAGATATATAGGTATTTATTGTTATTATTCTTGCAAGTTTTCAACAGTTTTAGAAATTTGCAACGTGCAAGTTGAAGAAAATAATTTGTCCCAAGGAACTTAAGAAAATATGCTTGGAAAAATATGCGCTAAGTCAGCCAAAATGTTAGAAACTTCTAAGGAAATACAATGATAGAAGCCAGATTCTTCTGTGGGCATTAGAAAAGCTCAACTACTTGCTGCTACCATCAGCTCATGATGCCCAGTAAGCCACAAACACTTGCAGTGAAGCATCAGAGGATGAACTAGAGGGAGCTGAATATGACCAGGAAACTGTGCCTGTGGTCGTGGGAGAGGCTGCCTGAAGACCAAGAATGGTGACTCACTAGTAAGCCTTATTCACAATTCTACTCCTGCCACCACCCACTGGACTGAATCTCATCTGGGCCTCCAGGAGCAAGTAATCCTGTTATGTGCATCTTACATCATCAGTCATCTTCAGAGGCAGCCAAGGATATCTCTCCTGCAGTTTAAACACCCAGTCAAAGCTTGGGACTAGCAGTTTTCTAATGAGGACCAATGAGTAGGTGATCTGTGAGAAGATCAGGGAGAACCCACAAGAGCCAGCGTGGTCCAGGTTCAAAGTAGGGACTTCAGGAAACAGAAGCAGCAGATAAACTAAACAGAAGCAGAGACTTCACTTGGGCAGCTAAGTGAAAGAGGCTGCAAGTAGCAAGTTCCACAGATAAAAAGGCTCACACTCCTTACAACTCTTATAACTAGCCTTAATCACCTCCTTAATCACCTTGGTTTGGGTGAGTTCTCTAGTGTAGCAAGAGTCTAAACTTGATCCCATGAACTCACTTACAGTCCAGGGCAGAGTCTTTTGTCATAGGGGCCAATGAACAGTTCAGAAATTGAAGCTAGTCATGGCAAAATGCAGCTGCAATTTTAAAAAATAGGAAACATTTATATGAATAGTGCTTTTCCCCAGTCATCACCAATCATATGACTGAGGATACAGGTAGGGACCTGAAATTGTCAGTGCCAGATGAATCTGATATTAGACAGAGGTTACATAAAACACGATCTATACAAGGAGACTAAGTGCTCTCTCATGGCTGCAAAATTACTCATCTACCTGGATTTCCAAGGACACCTGGGAAGGGAGAAAACAGAAAGAGGACGTTGTGTCCTTCATTAGGAAAGCACCTTCCCATGTGGGTTTCCCGTGGTCCTGCTAATCCTCAGTGTGAACACAGCGGCCGAGCCTGCCAATGCTCTCTGTTTCTCTCACAGGCGGCACAGCGAACTCAAAAGTCTGGTTAATAAAGAAAATGTCTACATGTTCCTCATAACATGGAACAAAATGATATGGCAGGCTATCAAGTGTGGGTGGAAATCAAGTCTTCAGCAGCCTGTTGTCATTTTAGATAACGATTCAAGACCAGAGCCTGTCAAAGACAATATGGAAGCAATAGACAAGTGTAGGCTCAAATTCTCCCAGAGCGTATTTCAATTTGAAAATGTAAGAAGGTGAAACTGAAAAATAATTAGGAATTATTTGTGGAAAACAGACTGCCAAAGTAGTGACCTATAGAAGATAGTTACACATTCTTTTAAAAATATAAATAAATATGTTTTCACTCAAGGAAATTATGGATAATCTTTAGTACAAGATTTAACTGACTTTGACAGTCCTTTATCAAGGCTGAGCTCTTCACCTTACTTTTAGATGATGTGAGCTCTGCATTTTTAATTCATTTGTAGAAATAGCCTACACTTTCACCCATTATTCACTATTTTTACATCTAGTATCAGTTCTCTTTCGTTTCAATGGTTTGAGCTGGGATGCAGAGACACATCATGGCAGAAGAATGATGAGAGGTACAGGAGAGAGGAAAGAGGTAGTGAGGGCATCCCCAAGTCATTGAGGAGTAGCAGTCTGTCTTCAGAGCATGATTGGCAGAGGAAGGCAAACCCAGGATGCTTGTGGAGGAGAAAGAATGTGCAGACAAATCAGTTTGAGAAAAAAGAACCAGAGTAACATAAATGATGGCTGCTAGTATTTATCAAATAAAAGCATGTACCAATTTTGGATGTGTGTCTGTATATGTATGTGTGTTTTCTTTAATCGCCACAACTCATTAAGTCAGTTAGTATTATCTCCCATCATCTTTTTTAGCAAATGAGAAAATTAAAGCTCAGAGAATTTTTTTTTTTGACAGAGTCTCGCTCTGTCGCCCAGGCTGGAGTGCAGTGGTGCGATCTCAGCTCACCGCAACATCTGCCTCCTGGGTTCAAGCGATTCTCATGCCTCAGCCTCCCCAGTATCTGGGAGTAGAGGCACCCACCACCACGTCCGGCTAATTTTTGTATTTTAGTAGAGACGGGGTTTCACCATGTTGCCCAGGGTGGTCTCAAACTCCTGAGCTCAGGAAATATGTCTGCCTCAGCCTCCCAAAGTGCTGGGATTACAGGCGTAAGCCACTGCGCCCCACAAGCTCAGAGAATTTAAAGGCTTGTCCAAGCTCACCCAACCACTTAGAGGCAGGGCTGGAATTCAAACTACATCTCTCCGTCTCCAAATTGTATGTTCATTCCATTCCTTCTCTCTGGGGAGACTGTGGGTTGAGGAGGAATGTATTTGAGACTTGTAGTCACTAGTGCTGTTCACGAAATATTTCTGATGTCCCTTCTCGTAGGCCTGTCGTAGGATTTCATGTTCCCACTCCCTCTGAATTTAGGGTGACTGTATGACTTATTTTGACCAATGAAATGTATGAAAGGTGACATGTCCCTTCTGGATAGAAAATGTAAGACCTAGTGTGAGACTTGCCACACCTCTTCCCTCTGCTGCAGTTATTGTGTAATGGTGTAAGTACCTGCCAATGTCTATCAGTCTGCATCCTTGAGTGACCACAGTGAGTATCTTCACCCCTTGCTGGCCCCATTGACACTTATGTCAACATTAATAAACTTTTGTTGTTTTAAGCCACTGAGATTTGGGGCTTATTTGTTACTGTAGCATCATTCTCCTTCTACTAACTAACATAAGGTCTCACTATACTTTGATGGCTGAGTTTATTATGGGTCTGTAAGAATTTGACCATAAATAAGTCAAATTATGAATAATTGAGAGTTGTATGAATTGTGTATGTAATATATTAAAACTCTATTTTGGCACTGGTGAGAAAGAAGGTTTTCAAGGCTGTTTTGGTTAGCTTTAATTTCATAGAAGTGTTAGGTTTAAGGGCATGAGATTTAGCTACTGGTAGTGCCAAAGACATGTTCCTTAACAAGCTCAAATATGATGAGCTGCTACTGTATAAGGATAATCCTGACCAGCTGTCACTTAAACAGGCCAAATGGTTTCAAATGGGAACAGGTGAGAGGCAATAAGAATATTAAGACTAACTCATGACTCCTAGTGGAAAAAAAAACTCATCGTACAAGGGTCAGTGGTATTGTTTTTGGTTAAGAAAAACTAGCTACTTGGGAGGCTGAGGCAGGAGAATCATTTGAACCCAGGAGGCAGAGATTGCAGTGAGCAGAGATCATGCCATTGCACTCCAGCCTGGGAGACAGTGTGAGACTCCATCTCAACAAATAAATAAAGAAAGAAAGAAGAAAAAGAAAAACTATAGTATTTGCTGCATTCAATCATACATTGAACAAATATTTCTTAACAATGTACAGGAAGGGGTAGAATATTATCATTATGTGCATGAGTCTAATGCATCTATAATTTGTATAGTTGCCAGCTACAGTGAGAAATCTAAGACTTCTCTTATATGGTCTGTCCCTTATGATCTGGCCACAGGCTACTTTTCCAGTCTCGTTTTTACCATTGTACCTAAGATTTGCGTTCCAGGCATAACATGCTGTTTTCAATTCTCCAGTTAAAAAAATACTTATGTTCAATCCTTATATGTGTACATATCCTCTCCCTAACTTGAACCCAAATCCAATTTATTCACTGCAGGTCTCTACTCAAGCCATCCATCCTCTGTCTCATCTGCTTATTATTCACCTAATAGAAATCCCTACCTACTTTCTCTATGCAAATTTCTGGCTCCCTCCTCTGCATTCTCAGCATACTTTCTGTACCTTTCTACACTAGCATTTCTCACATTTTATTATACTTACTACATTTATTTACCTATCTGCTTTAACAAACTGGGAAGTCCTAGAATAAAGAAATAACAATTCACCTATCTTATATCCACAGACTAGTACAGAATGTGGCATAAGGATGATCAATCAGCATTTGTTAGATGGCTGCATGAATGAAAGAATAAGGGAATAAAGAAACTTGAAGCTTCTTGGAGAGATAGCTCATGTTTATTCTGTCTTTACAGGCAAAAGAATGTTTATTTAACAAATGAATAAATGATCTTGTGTAAAATCATAAAGATTACTCAAAGGGGGTAAGCATCAACAGTAAAGAATAATGATGATGAATGCTCTCTAAATTTTAGAAGTGTTTCAATTATGGCAATAAAATTAATAGTTTCTGGTTCCAGGGCAAACTATGCCCATACTTTTAAAAATCAACCAACTGTGTCTTTCAACAATGTCTAAGAAAGCTAAGATTTTATTTGGTCAACTGTTCACCAGGATAATTGAGGAAAGGATGGAGGAGTGTGCTGGAAATACTGAAATACATTCTTGTGAACAAGCTGGAGGGTTGTAACAAATGTATTCTGAAGGGCACAATAAAAATCAAGAGAGTTTACCATAGTGAGACTATGAAGCTCTGGCTGAATATGACCCAGAATGCATTTTTAAAAGAATTTCTTAAACTCCATGATAATTCCATCCTTTGAAAATCACAAATCCTTTATCATCACAACCTATGACACTGTGCTCATCTGTGGAAATAAAAAGGGTCAAGGAAAATCCCCACTTCATGATCATTGTAGGGGAAGCTTATTATAATTCACTACATTCAGGAATATCACATACCATAGGATTGTTAGCTACTCCATCTCAATGCTAAACCAAACCAAACCAAAATGAAACAAAAACAGCTTGAAAAATTCAATAGCAAATCAGCACAGAAAAAGAAAATGTTTACATTTTTATCAAATGTTCAATTTGACTACAAAGTGCTACTTTGGAGATCTGGGCTACTCAAAGTAGCCACCTGGCTCCCTCAGTGGCATGTTGGTTACAGGTCCCTGTGAGATGAGGAAACTGCAATAAATACAGTGCTTCCTTCATCAAGAAAGTCTTGCTACAAAAGAAGAAAAAGAAAGAAAGGAAATAGTTAAACTAAAAAGTATGCCTAGTACCTTATTTGATTTATATTCTGGCACGAGTTCTGTATCTCATGACGAATAAGTAATAATTCAAATGGGCGCTGGTGCATGGACTGTGCTTCGAGTAGTACTTGACGCAGATCATAGCCATGGTGATGTGAGCAGCAATCTCCTTACCAGCACTATGCCAGGGAACTAATCCAAAAACCTCAGCTTCTTAGGAAAATAATAAGAGGAGTGAAAACAGATGAGCACAAGAGAAGCAAATATTCTCTTTTTTCATTCATCGTACAACTAACTGCAAATATATAGCAGGTACTAGGTACCTGATTTATTCTTTTGTTTTCCTTTATAGTCCCTCTAAATCTTAACTTTCCCCTATTAAAAAACAGGAGAATCGCTTGAACCGGGAGGCGGAGGTTATAGTGAGCAGAGATCGCACCACTGCACTCCAGCCTGGCAACAGAGCGAGACTCCGTCTCAAAACCAGAAACAAACAAACAAAACGACAACAACAACAACAAAGTAAAACCATTGAAAACTAAAAACCACACAAGCAGCAATAACAACAAAAGAAAAAAATTTTCATAGAATCAGAGAGCTACAAGTCTTTAGCAATCAGGAAAATGACACCCCCAAAAGTTAAGTGAAGTTTGAAGGTCATTGTTTATATGTCACTTGTTTTTGAAAAAGGATATGTAGTAGGAACTCCAGCTAGTGAAAGAGACCACAAATTGAGGGCCTAGCACCCCCTTTCCAACCCTAAATCCACTCTATACTCAGAGCTGAGCTGAGTGGCTAACAAGAGGAAGGCAGACAAAAAAGAAGTTAATTTTTTTTAATCCAGAGGCTTTTCATCATATGAATCAAAATATGTGCCAAGCAGGGAGTTCAGTGGAAAAATGTAAGGCCAAAACCGACAGGGATAATAAGGCGACACTTGAACAGACTGAAAGATCTTAGAAACTCATTCCATTCAACTAGACCCATTTTGTTGGCGAGGAGTCTTTCTGAAGGTCTGAGACTAGCATCCAAGCTCACCAAAGACTTTCCCATGAGTAGTTGTTAGAACGACAGTTTTGCCTTGAGGAGAATGGCAGAGGGTACAGATTGAGTATCCCTTATCCCTTATCCAAAATGCTCTGGAATCAGTGTTTCTGATTTTGAATTTTTTTTTGGATTTTGGAATATTTGAATATACATGAGATATCTTGGGGATGGGACTCAAGCCTAAACACAAAATTCATTTATGTTTCATATACACCTTATACACAT
This sequence comes from Homo sapiens, assembly GCF_000001405.40. NCBI lineage: Eukaryota > Metazoa > Chordata > Mammalia > Primates > Hominidae > Homo > Homo sapiens. The sequence goes on along the minus strand of NC_000013.11, from coordinate 36,679,978 downwards.
AGGCTGAAGGTAATTTTATACAATATGTTTAATATTTTTTTTTGCATGAAACAAAGTTGTGTGCGTTGAACCATCAGAAAGCAAAAATGTCACTATCTTAGCCACCCATGTGAACAATTTGTGGTTATTTGGTATCACCATAATTCCTGACTGAATTTATATGCTACTCATAGGAATTATTTTCTTACACTTATTCGCACACAAATACTTAACACTAAAAGATATGACATCATTAATACACAGAAAAAAATGTGTTCAAGGGTAACTAAGCAGGTCAGGTGCGGTGGGTCACACCTGTAATCCCAGCACTTTGGGAGGCCAAGGCGGGTGGACCACTTGAAGTCAGGAGTTCAAGACCAGCTGGCCAGCATGGTGAAACCCCATCTCTACTAAAAATACAAAAATTAGCCAGGTGTGGTGGCAGGCACCTGTGATCCCAGCTACTCAGGAGGCTGAGACAGGAGAATCGCTTGAACGTGGGAGACAGGTGTTGCAGTGAGCCGAGATTGCGCCACTGCACTGTCCAGCCTGGGTGACAGAGCAAGACTCCATCTCAAAAACAAAAAACAAACAAAAACAAAACAAAACAAACAAACAAAAAAATTGACTAAGCAGTACAGTTGCATCTCAAGAATACTTGTATCAGCTGTTCAACAACACCAACAACAAACAGCAGGCTTTCAGTCTCAACCTGCTGTGCTGCCTTTTGATGAAAAGGGTACTGTGCACTGTGGCATCATGCCAATGCTCAAAAAGTTTAGATTTTGGGACATTTCAGACTTTGGATTTTTGGATTAGGGATGCTCAACATGCATTAGTAAATTTTTTTTTTGAGCCTGGCACCATTTATATGGGTGTGTCAAATTGAACACATAAATTATGTCTTTATGATATCTTATGTCTTTATGATCTGTGTACTTTTCTATATGAATGTTAACTGCTAATAAAATTCTTTTGAGGAGAAGAGTATTATGTGCCAGGCATAGGGAAGAATGGGTCACAGTGAGGAAGGTCTACTGCTTGTTGCATGAACTATTTGAATGCTTCTCTTTTCACACAAACCAGGTAGCATTATAGGATAACAGTGTAAATGATACATTTTAAGAATTTATCCAATGGAGAAAAAAATCAGACAAGTTTAAAAGTACATGCACAAAGATGTATTCTGTAGCTAAACATTGAAGCTACTAAAATGTCCATGAGTCAAAGATTAGTTAAATAAATGACAGAAGAGTCACACAGTGGAGTCTCTTGATCCTCTTATATTAAAAAGGACTATATTTTATATATATATATATAAATTTTATTTTATTTTAAGTTCCAGGATACATGTGCAGGACGTGTAGGTTTGTTACATAAGTAAACATGTGCCATGGTGGTTGGTTGCACCTATCATCCCATCACATAGGTATTAAGCCCAGCATGCATTAGCTAATTTTTCCTGATGCTCCCTCCCACCACCCCACCCCAACAGGCCCCAGTGTGTGTTGTTCCCCTCCCTGTGAAAAAGGACCGTATTTTCTAACATGAAAAGATGCTGAACATCTATGACTAAGTCAAGAAAGTAACCTTCATGATAGTGTATACTATGATTCCATTTTTTGTAAAACAACAACTACTACTGCTACTACTATTATACACACATATATTTTAGATGCAAAAACAACAAAACAAAACAAGAGGTTATATACCAAGCTGTTAACATATGTTTTTGTTAGAGGGTAGTATTATGGGGGCATGTTAACATTCTATTTTGTGCATTTCTGTATCTATATTTTGACAAAAAGAATGTGTATTGACATCAGAAAAAATAATAAAGGTATTTTCATTAAGAAATAGAAATAAAATTTGATTATAGCATATGCCATGAAAATACTGCTGGTTTTTAAGCCCAGGACTTGTTTTTTCTCTTCCTGCTCCTCCTTCTCCCCTCTTTTTCTGTACTGTCTATACTTAACACAAACCTTTGAAATGGTTCATTTCTACCATTTTTTTTTCAAAGTTTGACTCTCAGGCTGATGCCAGAAAGTCAATCTTCCTAACAGGGGTTAAATGTACTTGGAGGTAGCATTGCATTTTACAGGATGTTGTCAATGTTCTGCTTAAGAAATGAGAATAGTATATCCCTCTGATATAATCCTGGTCACAAGGAAATTGAAGGTGAATAAGGACCAAGCCAGTTTAACTGGCAACAGTTGATAGATTACCAGGTACTTCTAATCAGCACCAGACTACCCTAGCAAGTTAACCAGGAAAGCTGCTATATTGGCCTCCCCTGGGAAGTGAATCTATACGTTGAATGTTCCCTGAATGAAGTTAATTAGTGTTTTAACTGTGGTTTCAGTCATCTTCCAGTCTCTCTTAATTTGAAACTGATTCTTATAGCCACCTATCCTTCTGCTTCCCATCAGAAGTTGGATTCAGGTCTGTTACCTTCTTAAGTGACCCTTTTAACAATTATTAGAGGCTTACATTTTCCAGACCCTTCCAGATTAACAATATCAACATCAAGAATCAAAGTACAAATTGTAGACCTAGACTGACTAATTTCCTGTCTTAATATAGCTTAATAGTTGGGAATTTAAAAGTTAGGAACTCAGAAAATATTAGTGATGTACCCCATTTCTGATGGAAATGTGGAGGTTTGTCATTGGCACTGTTTTGGCTGGATTACGCTACTTCATGCTTAGAGATATGTTAAAGTGTGTACGGCTGTTTGACGGCTCAGACATCTTTTATCTTTTTTTTCTTTTTCCAAAAAAATTTCCAAAGTTAGTAAAGGCTAAATAATGACTATTTCCTATATCCATAAGGAACTCGTGAAGGACGCATTTTATGTCATGAGACTGAGCATGAAGACGTTGTATCCTAGGGATACATCTGCCACAAATCAGAATCAGAACAGAAGGGACCACAGAATTTGGCCCAGTAGACTGTTGCCCGGCTCCTGAAATGGCCCGTGAATGCACAGATGGACTTCCTGAATTCTAAATCAAAGGTTGGGCCACATATGCATACCAAGGGCATCTTCATCTAAGCCTCTGGCTTGAATCCTCTAGGCACACATGTTGGCTAAAAGGAATCCTGCCAACTCGTGGGCTTAAAGCTTGAACTTCTTCCTTGTTGGCTTCCCTATTCCATTAACTAATTTAAAGCCTTTATTATTATTATTTTTAGCTCTCATTATAAACAATCATGAAATCTATAAAAATTAGGTCTATAATACTTTGTATTAATATACTAATATAATATAATAGCCTCCACAAGTAGATATTTGAAGAAAACAACATTCTTCTGTGGCACTACTTTTTGGCTTTTAGTTTCATTTAACAAATATTTACTGAATGGCTTATGGGTACCATGAGCCAGGCAAGTGGGACCTACACAGTGCCTGGCATCCAGGGCCATTCAGAAATGTATTTTTTCAGATTCTTAAATTACTACTTTAAAAACTCAGATGAACAAAACACAAAAATTCAGCCATAATTTTATTTTTCACTTCTTCATTATAACTAATTAAGTATAAAAATGCTCGTACAAACTGTACAAACTTTAAACAAAAAAAGGACCCCCCAAAAATGTTGTAATATAAGTATAGGGAGAAGAGTAAGCCAGAGAAGAACGATCATCAAATGAGCTCAGACTTTATCTAGTATAGAGGCTGAATCAGAATTTTGCCTGTGATGAGTTAGTCTTTCTTTTTTATAATGAACGTATAACTCCAAGTTTGCTTAAAGGTTAGTATGGTTGGTCATTCTTACAAATCAGCTCTGTCATTCTTCATCTGCCCTCACTAAAAAAGAACAAGAAAAAAGAAAAAGAAACCCAGGAAACCTGCAAATAAACTCTCTCGTGGATTTGATGCCACATGCAATCACACAGTTATTTATATCTTAACCCCTGATGTGCTTGTCCAAATCGTAGACATCTAGTAAAATCTGTTGAACTGAACGAACTAACAGCAAGGGAGAATGGACTCAATCTTACCTTACAACAGGTTTCTTTAATGAGAACAATAAATGTGTGCGTTCAGCTCTTCAAAGCACTTTGCCTTATATAGAGGAATCAAAAATAATAAGCCCCTCAAAGCCAAAACACAAAAATGGAATATCCCACCCACGTGCTGGATCTCAATATTTCCAGATTACTTCTGAGGTTGGCAGAGGCTTCGGCGGCCCTACGATGTCCAGCATTTAAAGGTGACTAGGGCATGGGCTGAGGGAGGCTCTGAGACCAGGCAGCCTCACTCACAAGCCCTCCAAAAGGCAATTTGCTTTACAGATCAACTAAAAACGGTGTTCTGAGTGTGGTGGTGGCGGGGGAAAAGACACTACTCTACTTAGTAAAATGAAGAGAATTTAGTTACAAAAAAGATATTTAAGAACCTCTATGGGCATGATCACAAATAAGCTGAGACACCCAGACTAGTTGTATAATTCAGCAAATTAAATATTGTTTTTTTCAGAGGGTGCATGGGGCTCCGCAAGACTGCATTAAGAGACAAACCCTTTAAGAAAAGACTGTCACTTGTGCCTCTTTTCCTGTTGACAGGCTGTTGTCTGAACAATGAATCCTGGAAGCACCTAGGAGAAGGCACCTAGGAGAAACGTCTTAGGGAGTAGTCCCGCGGGTCCGCCCCAGGACAGTAACGCTGTCAGTTTCCCCGCCCTTTGCACCTGTAGTGCAGACGGTACCAAATGCGATGGCTTTGAGACGTCCTCTAGACATCGGAGCCCATCATTTACCACAAAGAACACTGAAGTACTTACTTTAGCAGAACATTTTCCGAAGAAAAATTAACAGGGAGAGGAAATGAAGGACACTAACAAACAGACCCCATCTCTAGAGTCTGAGATCAAACCCAAGTCCGATGGAGCCCGGGCATCTGGTGGAGGAAAGCGGGCAGGCATAGCCCCAATCCTGGTCCTCAACAAGATATTTCTGTGAATGAATCCCTCTGCTCCCTGGAGGAGGGCACATTACATATCCCTTTCCTAAATCAGAACTGAAGCAATTTGCCCATCATTCGCACACCTCGACAGGGAAAGGCAGGATTCCAGTGTCTCATCAGACCCGGGAAGAGGGGAAGGGTCGCTGGCGCAGTTACCTACTGGGTTTCCGGGAGCTAGGGAAAACGCCCCTGGGAAACGCAAGTGTTCAGCGCCACATAAAACTTCCCCGGATTTAGGGCCACCCTAAGACGGGCGAAAAGACTCTCCAGCGCCTTAGCAGGTGCAAAGCCAGCTGTCAGTGTGCGCATGGCGAGTCCCCGTTCCCGAGAAGGGACGCAAATGACCCTAGAAAATCAGACAGGAGCAAAACAAACCCAAGAATGACCCTCCACACACCACAAAGGCAAAAGCAAACAGAAGGCACCTAGACACACTCTGCAAAGTGTAGAACTGTCTACACTTGCATGGAGGAATCCACCTTGCAGAGCGAGGGTAGACCTTCCCGGTTCCCAGTGTCTGGGACCGAGGCAGGTCAACACGGGGCCAAGGACATTGCACTCAGGGCCCCTCGCGGCTCCTCCTGCAGCCCGTGGAGTCACCCCAAGACTCGGAGAGCCGGGCTGCGATTGCTTCTCGGGACAGTAAGGACACCTCAAAAGGGATAGATTTGGGGGTGTTTCTCAGAAAGGAGCCACATCTCCGGGAGCCCAGATCTCGGGGGAGAGTCTGGGAGGCGGCTCGCCTCCAGGACCCGAGGCCGCCCCAGGCAAGGAGTGGGGCGCTCTCCGCGTAGGGCAAGTTCACCCCCAGAGCTCGGGACCCTGCAAGTTTCCCTCACTGACCTGCAGGTCAGGACACGCGACTTCCCCGGCAGGTCTCCTGCGCTAGCGGTGGGGCGGTGCTCCGGTCTGGACGATACGCGCCCGCGAAGCCGTCCTCGGGAATGTTGGGCGCAGCGGCGCGGCGCGCAGTCTGGGCGCACGGCGGACAGCAGGCGCAGCGGGAGTGGATCCGGGCTGCCGGCCCCGCACAGCCCGCGCGTCGTCCCTCCGCCCCTCCTGGCCGCACAACCAATGGCCGCGAGCGGGTCCCACTCCTCACCGCCCCCTAGTCTCGGCTCTAGCGGGCGCTTGGCTCTAGGACGGCGCCCAGCTCGGGCGAGGGAGGAGCTTGCGCCACCATTGGAAAATCTCGGAGGACGAGGAGGCGTTGCGCAGGGAGCCCATCTGGGGAAGGCAGGTGTAGTGGGTGAACTTTTTTGTGTGTCGGGGGGAGGAGGGGGGAGTGGGGAGGAGGGCAGTTTTTTTAGGGCTCAGGGGCCTTTCTCTGCAGATGAAAGCATCCACTTCTTGCCAACTTTCTCCTCCTCTTACATCTTTTATGAGTTCCTCGCAGCCCCCACCCAAAACAACTACTCTGGGTGCATCATCGCAAGCCCAGCTCTGACTGAGTTGCGTGGGGCATGGCCTCATCCTGTGATGAGCTTAACCACAGACAGCCCTTGCTCAGCCTTCGCCGCGTGCGCCTCTGAATCCTATACCAAATCATTAAATGAGTCGAATAGGATTGGAGTTTCTGTCATTGCCAGGGAGACAGTCAGTCATGAGTCCCTACTAGGGAACTGGCGTAGAGAGTCATATATCGTAACAGAACTCCGGAAAAGGAGGCTTTAACTGATCCGACCAACTTCAGTTACCAGTCAGTGCTGCTACCTTGACCAGAAGACTCTCTCTCTGTATTCCTGTTTTTCAGCTGGAAAATGAGAGACTTCGATCACTTGGTGGCTGCGGTCTGTTTCACTCTGACATTCAACAATATTGTTGCTCTGTGGCCTGTAAAGGGCTGAACTCCTGGGAAGTGTTGGTGTGGCTACCTGTTCCTTGAGCCCCTACTCCATCTGGTTCTGCTGTCTTCACCGTGAGACCTATTAGTGGCCAGAAAAGCAAATCATGCACAATACAGAATCAGGCCACCCAAGTCTCAGTGACCACCAACACATGCACGTATACTGCCACCCACCAGGGCCCGGCTCCTAGGAGCCTGCTACTTCCACCCATGTTCAATTGTTCTCCACGTAGAGATAGGCAGGGGCACCTGGCTTAACTCTGAAGCTCCGTGGTACATAAGTAAAGGCTCTCTGTCTCTCCCCTTCCTTCTCTAGGGCAATTGTGGGTGGGTGTGAATCTCTCTTATGTGGATCCTTCTGTGCCTGATGTAAAATGCAGGAGGATGGAATGAGCTGTGTTGTCAAGAGGGCAGATTCAGAGAACCACTTCCCTCCGGGCACACTTGGATTGGCTTCCTGAATTTCACCTGTTCATGTGCCATTCTCATGAGTTACCTTACATCCATCTACAGTCTGCTCCATTATGCACTTAGTAAATTTTACCTTAGATTTTTACTTGGCTTCATCGTAAGCAATAATATCTATGAAATTATTGGTTTGTGAGATACCAGTTGTATTTAATATTTTAATGCACAATGAAATGAAGGCATAAGTCTTCCATGCTAAAATCATTCTGAATATCACTGGTTGTTCTCACAACTCACTTTTTGAAACACTAAGGTGTATGGGGGGGCAGTTAGAACTGTTGACCTTCAAAACAGTGGTCCTCAAAATTTCTTTGTGCATAAGATTCCTAGGCCCCAACCCTATTGTCTGGTTCATTCATACTCTACATGTTTGTTTGTTTGTTTTGTCTCTCCCCTTCCTTCTCCAGGGCAATTGTGGGTGGGTGTGAATCTTTTCTATGTGGATCCTTCTGTGCCTGATGTGATCCTTCTGTGAGGAGTCTTGCTCTGTCGCCCAGGCTGGAGTGCAGTGGTATGATCTCGGCTCACTGTAATCTCCACCTCCCTGGTTCAAGCAATTATCCTGCTTCAGCCTCCCAAGTAGTTGGGATTACAGGTGCCCACCATCACGCCCAGCTAATTTTTGTATTTTTAGTAGAAACGGGGTTTCTCAATATTGGCCAGGCTGGTCTTGAACTCCTGACCTAAGGTGATTGGCATGCCTTGGCCTCCCAAAATGCTGGGATTATAGGCATGAGCCACCGTGCCCGGCTCATACTCTACATGATTCTAATACAGTTTGTCTATTGAGAAACCCTGCCAACATCCTGCAGTTGTCAGAGAGGGGAAAAGAACTGTTGATTGCTGGGCAGTCTTTTTATTTAGACTGGTATAGCAGTTTTCTTTTCCTTGTCTTACCTTTGGTGACAAGGTAAGGTAAGCTTTCTTTCCCTCGGTGTCTATTTTATAAGAGGGTGGATTCAGAGAACTACTTCCTTCCAGGCACACTTGGATTGGCTTCCTGAATTTCACCTGTTCATGTGCCACTCTCATGAGTTACCTTACATCCATCTACAGTCTGCTCCATTATGCACTTAGCAAATTTTACTAAGTGCTTTATAAAGCTTTTCTTGACATTTCCTAAACTTAGTTTCCTAGTTTAGTTCCTAAGTTTCCTAGTTTCTTAGTTCCCATAGTTTCCTGGAGTTAACAAATGACCGGAAACTGGGTGGCTTAAAATAACGGAAATGTATTCTATCTCAGATCTGGAGTCCAGAAATGAAATTGTTGGTTGATTCCTTCTGGAAGCTCTAAGAGAATCCAATACAGAAGTCCCCGCATTGTTCATGGGGTATGTGTTCCAAGGTCCCCAGTAGATGCTTAGAACCACAGATAGTAGTGAGCCCAGTTCTGTTCATCAGAACACATTTCTGTTCATGTCTTCCACCTGCAAGCTTAATGCCCTTTTCATCTTAACTAAGCTCTTATCCCATGCTGTATATGAGAGGCTGTAACTTTTGCAGTTTGAAGTGTGACAGCAAAACTGCACAACTTTCTTTTCCCTTCTTCACAATTTCACGAATAGAAGATTCCTTCTTACTGTAGATCTAAGCAACCTCAGCCTGTGTGTTTTTTCTTTCCTTATTAAGAATTTTCACCTTTTCACTCAAAGGAAGCACTTTACAGTTTTTCTTTGGCATACCCGACTTGCCAGTATCACTACTCTTGTATTTTGAGGCCATTACAAAGTCAAATAAACTTTTCTTGAAGACAAACAGTGTGATTCCATGACAGCCAATTTGATAACCAAGATGACTACTAAGTGGCTAATGGGTGGGGAGCTTAGACACTGTGCATACACCATTATATCCACAGGAGGTATCCATACTGGACAAAGATGATTCATATTTCGAGCGGGATGAAGCAGGACAGTGCGAGATTTCATTACACTACTCAGAATGGTAGCGACTTAAAACTTATGAATTGTTTATTTCTGGGATTTTCCATTGAATATTTTCAGATCACAGACCTGTTACCTGAAACCGTGGAAAGTGAAATCTCAGATAAAAGGGGGACTACTGGGCATGCCTTTTTCTCAGCATTCAGAAATGTTTGGTGTTCCTTGGCTTGTAGGTAGATGCATTGCTGCAGTCCCTGCTTCTGACTTCAAATCATCTCCCTGATATGTTTCTTCTTCCCTTCTTTTCTAAGGACACTTTCATTGGATTTAGGGCCCACCATAATCCAGAATGATCTTATCTTGAGACTCTCAATTAAATTACGTCTGCAAAGACTGTTTTTTCCAAATAAGGTCACATTGACAGGTTCTAGATGTACATATATTTTGGGGGAGGCACCATTCAACCCACTACAGTTAGTATCAGTGATTGCCCAACCCCTCTGCTTTTGTGTGAGGGTGTCCTACCTCCTCAGGGTGACATTGGGTAAACTCTAGTGATTTTAGGCTTTTGGGTAGCTGCCAAAGTCAACAGGGCCACTTTGCACTTCTCAAAAAAAAAAAAATACTGGCCATTTAAAAATGACACAGGGAAAACATGTAAATGTGTTTTGTGGTCTTACTTTGTAAACTCAGTGGTTCTGTAATTCTTCTTTCTCTTTATCTTTTTGGCTTAGGGTAGGGTGCCTTGATAACATCCTCTGTTTGATCTGGTACAAAACTCCTTTATTGCCTCTGTATTAGTCTGTTCTCATGCTGCTAATAAAGACACACCCAAGACTTGGTAATTTATAAAGGAAAGAGGCTTAATTGACTCACAGTTCCACATGGCTGGGGAAACCTCACAATCATAGTGGAAGGCAAGGAGGTGAAAAGTCACGTCTTACACGGTGGCAAGCAAGAGAGAGCTTGTGCAGGGGAACTCCCATTTATAAAACCATCAGATCTTATGAAACTTATTCACTACCAGAGAACAGTGTGGGGGAAACCACCTTCATGACTGAATTATCTCCACCTCGCCTTGACACATGGGGATTATTACAATTCAAGATCAGATTTGGGTGGGGACACAGTCAAACAATATCAGCCTCCAAGTACAGTGAAGAATTTGGGAAGCTAGCTTGATATGGGAAACAAAGCCTTTGTTCTCTTTATCTTAAAAAATTTCACATATAAGATATCTAGAACATTTTACTTGACAAATTTACTTACATAGGACGTCTTCATAGGTAGGACAGGTACCACTCAAAGGCCTGGGAATTTACAGGCAAGGTTTGGAGACATAACTTTTAGGGAACACAATGATTATTCTCCTCCCCTTCAGTCTTATTCAGGGAGAAATGGGTTGTGAAAAAATGGTGTGGAATTTGGAATCAGATGGAGAGTCATTACATTCTGATGCTATCGTTTACTCTCTGTGTGAATTAAGCCAAACACTTAACCTCTCAGCCTCATTTTCCTGATCTATAAAATGAAAATAGTGTCTGCTTTATTAAATGGTTGTTGAGTGCTAAATACGTGTGCACACGCGTGCATGCACACACACACACACATGCACACACAAGAGTTCCAAACAGTTGTCTGCTATCTGGTAAGTGCTCAAAAATACTAGCTCCATCTTTCCTTCCTTGCAGCCATGCTCTGAAAGCAACATTCAGAAGTACTTTTACTAATTTTCTTCTAGGTTATCAGGAAACTTTTTAAATGTTCTACCGTGGTTACTGCATGGACTAACTTGTCTCTCACTTTCCTTTATTCCTTCATCTCAGCTTCCTTTTGATGTTGCCTTTCCAAACTTTATCTTCTCTCTCATGCTCACTCTCTTTTCTTTCAAGCAAGCCTCTTATTCCATCAGCCACAATATCAGAGACCTGTGTTCTGTAAAGGAACTCTGAGAAAATAACTCTGTTCATTTTCTGAGCATCTCTTCAATCCTTTCAATAAATTCCTTTTTTGTTGTTGTTTAAACCAGCCAAAACAGTTTTTATTGCTCACAACTAAGAATACTTTGGCTGAGGCCTGATATAAAGGCTGTACTTCAACAAGAAGAATGCTAATTAACTGATCCAGGTAACTTCTCCATCTAGGGCATTTGAACTGGAATATTAGAATGGGTCAATTAGAATCCATAACAGAAGCAAAAAACGTACACCTAGAAACTAAGAGAAAGGAGAAGAGATGTGTAGGTTAAAATTATGAGTAAGCAGAAGTTATGAATAAGCAGAAGTTATGAGCTAGCAGAAATCAAAATACATGCAGAGGAGAGGGAGTGGTGGTTGGCTGATAGTGGCAGGCAAGTTGAAGCCAAGAGGAACATGAAGGCAAGGGAATGAATGAACCCCTCTTTTCAGGGGACTCCGTGCTAACATATTCACTAGATCTGCCTTGAATCCTGAACTCTTTTCCAATTTCTAAACTACATTTCAGTTTCTATAAAGTTGAATAACCCTGGCTATTCATGTGCTCCCCTGAAATTCCAGTTGCTCTTATTTTGATGTGTATCCTTACCATAGCTCCCCTATTATCTGAGGTAACCTGGCAAAAATCTATTTTTTTTTTGTGACCAAAAGATTCCAAGGATTGCAGTGATGTTTTGACTAGGACCCAGTAAATAGCTGTCAAATAGAGTCACTCAAAAGTCACTGATCCGCCTTTTCCAAGATGTCCCTTTCTCTTCTTATCTTACTTGAAATTCCAAGCAGGAGACCTCCTCCTCTGGGCTGGAAAATTAATGTTTTATAAGAGGCCTCTGTTTAAGACGTGCTCTATTCCCTGAAGGGAAAGAAGAGCCAGGGGTGTTTCTCTGTGCACTAGCCATTAGCACCCAAGCAGATTGTATGAGTTTACCCTCAAAGCGAACTCTCAGAAGTCTGATCTCAGGGAATGAGCAAATTAGAGGGCAGAAGAATTGGGCATTGGGCAGGGGGAGAGTGGAGAGTAGATCATGGAAAATGGCAACGAGAGGTCCCGGGACATTCTAAGGGAATGTGTTATGGACCATTTCCAAGAAGGAAGGTCCTGGCGGGCTGCCCTGTGAGAAGAGGGCTGGAGAGCAGCGGGGCCAGCATAGTGGCTGTTCTAATGAGGTAGACACCAGCACCAAACAGCCCCATTCCCAGCCTGCCTTGCGCCAGCTGCAGAGTGAGAGTTTGCACGATTTTCTTTACCCTTCTGCTCCTCCAGGAGATGGGACCAGGCTAAAGTGGGCCGAGGAAGACAGGCATCATACCTGCCCCATTGGAGGTTCTGCTCAGAAGTTACACCAGCATTAGTTGTGCCTTTAGGTTACTTATAGGAATCTGCAACCTTCCTGTTGTTGTTTTGTTTTGTTTTTTTTTTGAGACAGGATCTTGTTTTATGGCCTAGGCTGGAGTGCAGTGGCGTGATCATAGGTCACTGCAGCCTCAACCTCCTGGGCTCAGGCAATCCTCTTGCCTCAGCCTCCCTAGATGTTGGGACTACAGGCATGCACACCATACATGGCTAATTTTTTAATTTTTGGTAAAGAGAGGGTCTCACTATGTTGCCCAGGCTGGTCTCAAACTCCTGGGCTCAAGCAGTCATCCCAACTTGGCCTCCCAAACTGCTGGGATTACATGCCTGAGCCACTGCGTCCAGCCTGTGGCCTTCATTTTTATCTCCTGCAACATACAGTGCCCTCTCACGGCTTGTTTGAAAGGAAATATCTGTATGTCTCACCCAGGCAGTGAATGGTACACACTCCAGGAAAAAAAAAAGTGATTCTGTTTATGAGACTTGAAGCAGGAAGGAGTGGATTTACTCATGCTGCTGTGTTTGAAGGGAGAGAAGACATATCAAAGCTGCTTTAAAGAAAGCAGAAGTCAAGTTATCTCTAAAGAGCTTTATTCCTTCAAAGTCTAAAATATACCACAGGTTTCTTGTTTTGTTTTTTTATTTTTCCTTTTCAGAATAGTGGGTGGAAATGCTCTTGGAATAGCAGTGAGTCACATCAGGGTGCAGGTAGGAGAAAAACGTTAATGCCATGGATGCATCTTTTCATGGGGTACGAGCCCCATCAATGTCTGTGTGGCCAGATGACGCACTGCGTGTTATAAATCAATGATGAGCAACGTGAAGAGCAGACGGGGAGCTTCATGCATCCTCCACAGCTCTGTCTTGTGACTGGCTCAGGTCCATGTGCAATTTTGAAGAGGATGTTTGAAAAGGATATTCATCATTTTAAATTGCTCTGTGGGAGCTTTGCAGTTCATAATGTGCCACTTAGGTACTTCTCAAAGATCAGTTTTCCTTGACGTGGTTTACAATTTAATAACAGCAAAAGGGCAACTTGGGGTGTTAGGACAGAAAACTAACTTTGAAGGAATTAATAAGAAATGTGGAGTGGAGTGGAGAAGAGCTAAATAGGTTTGAGATATTGGAGCCCAAAATGTCTGGCACTGGTAACTTCCATTGTCTGGCAAGAGCGTTGTCATCCTTTCCTCAGCTTAACCCTCAAATATATGGGGAAAGTCTGCTTACAGCTTTCAGCATGACTAAAATATGCTTTCTCTTGTGGAAAAAGAGTTAAAAACCCAGCAATGTTATTTAACCATACTAGTATTGATGATCTTGAAGAAAATAGAAGATTGTTATTGAGATAGTTCTGAGCCAAACTCATCTGCTATATTCTTTGCCTCATTTTGCGGTTTTACTCGAAGGGATCCTCATCAGAAGTGTGGTATGTGAATGGCACTGACTGTCAAGTGGACAGTTGGAGTGCAGGCAGCTGCTCCCCGGACACTCAGGTGAAAATGAATTAACAATTGGTAGCCTGGGAAAATGTGCATCTTGAGCAAATGTGCTCTCAAGTCAATGAAAGAAGAAAACAGAAATGGATCCTGATTCTTTCAGTACCGTAAATATTAGCAGAGTATTATGTGTGTAGAATAAGAAAGTATGACACTTCCACAGACACTGCCGGAGGGAGACAGGAAAGAACAGCAGACTCAACAGACTTACTGTTACATATTGAACTATTTTTTTCATATGTTAAAAATGTTTTTCAAAGCTCAAGGAGGTATTTCCATGCAAAGTACCTGTAATGAAAGTGTTTTGGGAAATGGTGCCATAAAAACAGAGCCAGTAGCAATAGGATTTCTACTTCTTGCTTTGATATGCAGGCAGGTAAGTAGAGAAAATTTTCCCTGAACAGTGTTTGCAGTTTAAATGTCATAAATACTTTCATGTATTTGACAAATATTTATTGTGCACCTCCCTTGTGCCAGGAACTGTTCTGGGTTTGTGAGACACAGTTGGGAAGAAGACAGACTTGAGCACGGGCAGCGGTGGTTGCCATGAAGATGTGTGAGAAGACAGGCCTGCCTGAAAATGCTGCTGGTCCTGGTACTGTCCTGCCCGCAACAGCACGCACACTCCAGTCTTGCCTTTTCTTGTGCTTTTTTTTCCATTTCTTTTTAAAGAAATCTCATTTCCCTTCTTCTTACTCTTGTTCTCTCTTTTCTTTTCCTACTTCTCCAGGTATTTCTCCACCTTCACGGGACCCTCCAAACCAGTGCCCACTGCTTTTCTCAGTCGGTCATCCCCCTCTGTTCTCACTTCCCTTCTTGTCCAGCTTAGACACCATAATTCATCACTCCAGTGGTCTGCAAACTAGGTGCCCATCAGGTACAGGAAGACTTCCCAAGGGAGGACTTCCTTGCAAAGAAAGTTTTAAGGAAACTCTCAATCATATAGATTCTTTTTCTTAAGTAGGTCCACCTGAGAACTCACAGGTATGTATGGAGCCCCTTCACCTACTCTACATGAGAAAGACACATACCTCATCCATCCCGAATCTTACTATCATGTATGCAACTGGGCCGTAAAACCTTCAGAGTGCCAAATAAAGTGATGTGCCAAAGTATTAGTTTTAGGAAAATGTTCTTAATAATTAATTGAAACACTTAGGACTTTCCTGGTTTTCCTGTCTTCTATGTATTTGGTCCTATAAACAGTGTGTATCTTTCCCATGTTGGAATGTTCTGGAGTCAGATACGGGATAGAATGATATGGAAAGAATAATAATCTTTTTTGTTTAATTACTTTGACTCTTTTATCTTTGGTCTGTTACCAAGGAAACTACTGCTCTGAAAGTAGAGTCCTGTGAAGGCAAAGCAAAGAAGATATCATCAGAAAATGCTGAGAATTAAAAACAACATGTTAAAAAACATACCTGAACAATTTTTGTTTTACTTTATTTATTCAAGATACTTATCCTTAGGACTATTTTTTAAATTAAATTTTAAAATTTTAGAACAATGATAGATTACAAAGATTGACAAAGATAGAATTCCCATCTACTGCACACTTAGCTCCCCCTATTAGTAATATCTTACAATATTATGGTATATTTGTCATAATTAATAAAGCAATTAATGTTTCAATAATGATGTTATTATTAACTAAGGGCCATATTATTTCTCTTATTTTTTACCTAATATCTTTTTTCTATGCCAGTGTCCTATTCAGAATACTGCACTCATATCTCCTTATATTCTACTCTCAGCTGTGACACTTTCTCATACTTTCTTGCTTTCAATGACCTTTACAATTTTGAGGGATACTGGCCAAGTATTTTGTAGAATATCCCTCAATTGGAATTCATCTGATGTTTTTCTCATGATTAGACTGGACTTCTAGGTTTTGGGAGAAAAATCTCAGAGGTAAAGTGCCATTTTCTTTACATCATATCCAGGGTACACACTATCAACATGACTTATCACTGTTGATGTTAGCCTTGATCACCTGGCTGAGGTAGTGTTTGGCAGATTTTTTTCCCATAGAGTTACTCTTTCCCCCATTCCCAGGACATTTTATCAAGTGAAATGAAAAGAACCTTTGAACTGTCCTGGTAGAATAGGTTCATGATGCTGATTCTTGCAGCTATCAGTGGAATGCTTTCCAAGATTAGCAATTTTTTCAAGATATATAAGGTAAAAAAATAATAATTTAAGTTCATGTTCATTATTCAATAAGATAGCTAAAATTTATTTTTAACAAATTTAAGATTTTACCTTATAAAATGTTTAATAATTTGTGCCTCCTGTTAACAGTAAATAATACTATGTGTTGGCTGCTGGGCCAGTGAGTTTTTAGCATATGTGCCTTTTTCCTTAATTCAGAGGAAAAGTCTAAATTTATTATTGAAGACTACTGTATCTAAGAAAATTAATAGAAAATGGGTACTAGGCTTAATAATTTGTACAACAAACCCCCATGGCACAAGTTTACCTATGTAGCAAACCTGCACATGTACTCCTGAACTTAAAATAAAAGTTAAAAAAATTTTAAAAATTAAAAAAAATGTTCTATTCACCTCTTCTGGCAACATAGCTATAAAAGGAGAAAAAAAAAAGAAAATTTCTAATTTCATATTAATTCTTATTTACTCATTCCAAAAGGATGAAAAACAAACTTGATTCATGTATACAACTCACTTACCAGAGGAAGGTCATTCATGTTATCATAATAGTTCTCATTTCATAAAAAAATTACCATCTCATTGCACATTACATTGCATTATACCAGATAACTATTGAGAAACAATGTATTATTGTGGTCTTGTTTTTATAATAGCTGAAAGACATACAAAATAATTATATGAATTCTACATCATTTTAATCTTGGCTGCAGAAACAAGTAATCTAGTTTGCAAAATATATTCGGTAGTTTCTACCTCAGTATTTTAATAATATCCATAAAATACATGTGAAGATACAATTGTAAAAAGTCAGCCGCTTTCTGAATGCAATAAAGTCTGATATTGCTGCTGATTTGGCACTGATATTGGCTTTGCCAGTTAGATTGCATGGAGGGCGTTTTCCTTATATTGAAAGAGCCAAGTCTACAGCTTTGAAGTATTGATGAAAATGTATTGGCTGGGCGTGGTGGCTCATGCCTGTAATCCGAGCACTTTGGGAGGCCAAGGCAGGTGGATCACCTGAGGTTGGGAGTTCGAGATTAGGTTGGCCAACATGGCAAAACTCTGTCTCTACTAAAAATAGAAAAATTAGCCAGTCATGGTGGCGAGTGCCTGTAATCCCAGCTACCCGAGAGGCTGAGGCTTGAGAATTGCTTGAATCCGGGAAGTGGAAGTTCCAGTGAGCTGAGATCGCTTGAATCGCTTCCACTGCACTCCAGCCTGGGTGACAAAGCGAGACCCTGTCTCAAAAAAGAAAATGTACAAAGAACATGTGATGAGAGGGGGAAACCAAATAAAGAGTACACAAGCTCTCCCCGTATTGTTTCTTACAACTGCACGTGAATCTACAATTATCTCGAAATATGAAGTTTAACAGGTATTAAAAAACAGAAAAAATAAATAAGAACTAGCACAGCAGGGTGACTATAGTCAATAATAATTTAATTGTACACTTTAAAATAACAAAAAGAATATAATTAGACTGTAACACAAAGGATAAATGCTTGAGCGGTGCGTACGCCATTTTCCATAATGTGTTTATTATGCATTACATGCCTGTATCAAAACATCTCATGTATCCCATAAATATATACACCTACTATGTACCCACAAAAATTATAAATTAAGAAAAGAAGTTTAATTAAAACAAAATATGATTAAATTAAAGCATTTTATCAAACATATTGTATTGACCAAGGCATAATCAAATTAACATTATTTACTTTTCCAAATTTCTATCTGAATATATTGAATTAAACAAAGTGCCTCTAAGTGAAAGAGTAGCAAGTTATAATTTACATTCAGATAAACCTTAGTAAAGCTTTTTTGGCATGTGTTCCTTCAGAAAAATAAATGATTCCAATAACTGGATAACAAGTCCATTTGCAAGTTAGGAGATTTCTAATTCTTTACTGCCAATAAATTGAGTTATCAGCTGATAGGTTATTAACATATTCCATATAACATAAGGATGATAGATCCTTATATGATATTTTTTGGCTTTCAGATCAAAAGGAATTCAAAAGGTTGAGTGACATTGCTATAAAATGTTTTTCTATTCTTATCTACATAGGTATGAGAAAAAAGTTTCTCAGCACATATATAACAATAAAAATATATAATGATGGTCTATATTTTCTATGACTTAATCTAGAAATAAGTAACTTTTTCCCATGGATGAAATAATTAACTGGAAAAAGGTATCCTCATTTATCTAAACTGTTCTAGTTTGTATTAAGAGAAGAACTTACAATAAAATGTTTAATTTTATGTTTAATAGTTACTTATCAAAAATGTTAACATATTTCTGTTTTGATAAAAGTCTGAATATATAAAAATTATTTTAGTCACTTGTATATCAATCATAATTGCAATAGTAAGTTAGTCTAGAAGACAATTTTCAACACTTAGAGGCTTATACTCATGGAAAATATAAAAATTACATTGAACTTTAGTTTATATACATATTTTTGTTGCAGAGGAATGTGTGAGAATGATAAATAAAAATCTTATGAGTACAAAAATATATTGTAGAATTTAGTTGTGGGGGTGGGTGTGAAGGGAGTAGACTGAAAGTACAGGTTCAAATAGAAAGAAAAGATGTACAATTTCAATTTAAGAAGCACTTCTAAATGTATTTTTAAATGGATGATGGTAGGTACCAAAATTATATGGTATTTAAATTCATTGGTTACATTTTTTAAAAAGTGAGATATAAAAGTGTACTGTATGTCAAAAATATATCACATTTAGACTTACAATGAAAAATTTAGATGTTATCTTAAAATGTGTGGGTACATAGTTTTTCAAAACTATTTTTAGGGGCTATGCAAGCAAGAGTTTGAAGACCACGCAACACTGCAGTCACTCTCTTCCAAACACCTTTGAGTCCTTCGTTCTTCTCTTCTGTCATCACACTCATCTCTCATCTGGCAACCAACTCATCCGTCCAGCTCTACTTAAACCCAAATACCTGCCAACAACATGCCTGCACTCAAGTAGCTCAGTATTGCTAGAGAGGAACAGGAGGCCAGGCTGGCTGGTTTCACGTTGGGTCCATGATCACAGCTCTTGGAAGGGCACACCACACTGCCTAGCAATCCTCTGGTCTTCTCTGGCATGTTCAAGTTCTCACTTCTAAACAACTATTTCACACCTTCTTTTCTCCCCCTCAAAACTCCTATGCCACTTCTTCCACATCTTAACTTGTAACTTACAACCTTACCTCATACTTCCTTGAGAAAATGGTTGAGATAAAATAAGAACTGTCTCATCTTTCCTTTAGCAGCCTCCACTTGCACCCGTAGTCTCCCTTCCTTCTTGTTACTATGGTTGAAGTCCAACACTTCCTTTTATGCTCTGGGTCCCATTCTCTCTCAGCTTCTTAAGAACATTTTCCTTGCAGTAATCCTCTCTTACCTGGATCATCGTCAATATCTCTTTATATAGTATCATTCTCATTAGCTTAATTAAACTGCTTTTGTATATTCTATCTCAAAAAAATTCTTCATCCCATTTCCATATCTTGCCCTCCCCATTTCTCCTCTTTCCTTCATAGCTCAACTTCAAAAATGGGTTTTCTATAGTCATGGTTCTATTTCTTTACCTTACATTGTTGACCCAGTCCACTCCAAATAGACTTCCTTTGTACCACTCCATGGAGACTTCTTTCATAAAGGACAATAATAGCTTCCATATTGCCAAATACAGTGACCGCTTCTCTGTTCTTGTCTAAGACCCATTGATCACCTCTTCCTTCTAGAAGAGGTGACACTACAATATTCTGGTTTTTATTCCACTTTGCTAGCCACTTTTTCTCAATCTCCTTCGCCTTTCTTCTGCTCATCTTGACCTCTAAGTTTGGAATTCTCCCTGGCTCAGTCTTAATTCCTCTTTCTTTTCTATCAACAGACATCTGCTTTGGGAGGTGTCATCCTGTGATTGAGATACCATTTTTATGCTAATAAGTCTCTATATATCAAATAGGACTTCTTCCCAGAAGGGCCCACCTAGCACCTTCATTTACATATCCAATCTTAAATCTAACTTTGTCAACATAGAACTCTGAATTTCTATTCCTCACCCCCAACCGCATGCCTGTATTCTGTCCTATATTCACAGTCTCAGTTAATGCATGACCATCTACCCTGTTCTTAAACCATAACTGAGAAGTTTCCCTTCTGTCTGCTCTTTTTTTTTAAATTTCTTACATCTAATACATTTTAAAAAATCTGTCTATTGTATCTTCAAAACATATTCATAATTTTTCCATGGTTACCTCATATGTTAAGCTATCACCATCTCTCACCAACTCATGGGACTCCTTAGTTCCTCTGCTTGCAGCTTGGCTGGACAACAATTCTTTTCCAATAAAAATTTGCATGATTAAAAATATTAAAGTAATTTGCATGATTAAAGATTAAAAATATTAAAGTTATTTGCATGATTAAAGTTATTTGCATAATTAAGTTATTAAAAACTTAATAACTGAAATCAGAATATATAATTCAGTTGTTTAAATGGCTTTTAATTAGGTATAAAAATCACTCTATGTCTTGGGCTTTCTCACACCTCTACTTGTCTTGTATCACTTCCCCACTCTTCCTGTACTTTTCAACCTAGAACACACCAAACTCACTTTTCTTTTTCTTTTTCTAGAACACACCAAACTCACTTCCACCTTAGGGACTTTTCTCTAGATGTTTCCTCTGCTTCAATTTTTGATATTCAGGTCTCAACCAAAATGTCACCTTCTCAGAGAGTGCTTCTCTGACCTCTAAAATAAACTAGCCACTCAGCTACTTACTATCGCATCACTCATTTAAAAAAAACTTTTCATCTTAAAGTAACTATAGATTGATCAGTTGAAAAATCACACAGAGAGGTTGTTCTTGTGGTGTTTGGTTGGGGTAGAGTGGTTATTGTCTAAAAGTTTCTGTCTTGCTGGATTGCCCCTTTTCCTAGTCCTGTGGCTAGAGAAAATAGGTCTTAATTATTTGTTTGTTTATGTGCCCCTCAGCATTTCCATGTGGTTGGCTTCTCCAGCACACAGTTTGAGATTTATGAAGCAAAAGAAAATCCAGGGAGTGCATGAGCATGTCGTTCCTTGAGTTCTGAGATGCCCTAGTTGGTCCGCCTTTTTCTATCTCCCAGTCTCTTCATATGTCTGTGGTTTTATACATATCGTCCAGGATATATATATATTTTTTTTGAGTTGGAGTTTCACT
Source organism: Homo sapiens (assembly GCF_000001405.40). Lineage (NCBI taxonomy): Eukaryota > Metazoa > Chordata > Mammalia > Primates > Hominidae > Homo > Homo sapiens. Next base: position 36,658,609 of record NC_000013.11, on the reverse strand, counting down.
CTTGTTGCCCAGGCTGGAGTGCAATGGTGCCATCTTGGCTCACTACAACCTTAGCCTCCCAGGTTCAAGTGATTCTCCTGCCTCATCCTCCCAAACAGCTGGGATTATAGGCATGTGCGACCATGCCCAGCTAATTTCGTATTTTTAGTAGAGACAGGGTTTCTCCATGTTGGTCAGGCTGGTCTCGAACTCGTGACCTCAGGTGATCCACCTGCCTTGGCCTCCCAAAGTGCTGGGATTACAGGCATGAGCCATGGCCCCCTGGTGAGGAATTTTAGCTGTACTTAGCAGGAGAAGTAGGGAAAAGCACATCTACACCATCCTCCTGGAAGCAGAAGTCAAGAGGTTCTACCACATTGTCCTCTTTTAATTCTTACTATTGTGTAGCTCCAACTATTAAAATATTCAATATGATAACTTTTATTTTTTAGAAGGACCTTTTTTTTAATTTCCAAATAAATAGTTTTTAAAAAGTTATGCTATTATTGATTTCCAAACTATGGGGAAAGAAATGGCCTTTTTGATACTGATTCTTTGAATGTATTGTAAGCTTCTTTGTGGCTTAATAACTGGCCAATTTTTGAAAATGTTTCATAGATAAGAAGAATATGTGTTCTCATTGGTAGGATGTCCATGAGTTTAAGCAAGCTTGTTAATTGTATTTTAAAATTAGATATTCTATACCCTTCCTAATATCTGTCTTGATCAGTTTTTGAGTTTTTGAGAAAGGAGTCATCCTCTATGATAATTGTATATTGTCAATTTCTTGTGGTAAGTCTGGGAAATTTAGCTTTTGTATATTTGTGACCATGCTGTTAGGTACATGTAAATTTAGAATTGGCTATCACCTTAGTGAATTTTCGCTTTTAATCATTGTATAGTTCTCTTTTATTTCTAATAATGATTTTGTCTTAAAGTCTATTTTCTTATCTATACTATTGTTTGCTTAATACAATTATTTCCATTCTTTTACTTTGCATCCTTATGTTTTAGGTATTTCTCTTGTAACACCCCTTGTCTAGTTGACAGTCTTTGCCTTTAAATTGGGGAGTTTGATGTATTTACATTTAACATGATTATTGGTATATTTGGAATAATTTCTATTATTTTATCGTGTGTATGCTTAATGTTACTTGTTTTTTCTCCTTTCTTGATTTCTTTTGGAATGAGTTTTTTAAATGACTTTTTTTCTCTAATACTATTTGAAAGATATGATATTACTCTCAATTTCTGTTATCTCAATGATTACTCCTAAATTTTTAAACTATGCACTTGACCAAAGGTCTAAAATTCTTCAATATCTTTGCTCTTTTCCTGAATAATATTTTAGATAATTTGAGCTTTGATTTCTACCCTATCTTATATTTTATTTTTCTATTTAATTTTTTTACACTCAATTTAGGCATTACTTCATAGTTCTATATAGTCAATATTTGTTTAGTTTTACTCACATGTTTACCTATTTCTTTGCTTACAATATTTTTCTTCCATTTCACTTTTTCCTTTTAGAGTCATTTTTAAATAAATTTATGAATTTTATGGGTTGAATTGCATCTGCCAAAAAGATGTATTGAAGGTTCAAACCCTAGTATCTCAGAATGTGACCTTATGTGGAAAAAGGGTTCTTGCAGATTCAATTAGTTAAGACTAGGTCATGTGGAGTAGGGTGAGCCTTTAATCCAATATGACTGGTATCCTATAAGAAGAAACACAGAGAAAGAGACAGGAGGAATGCCATGCAATGGTGAAGGCAGAGGTTGGAGTGATATACCTGTGAGGCAAGGAATGCCAAGGATTGCTGGCAACACCAGAAGCTGAGGCATGGAACAGACTCTCCCCAAAGACTTCAGAGACAGCATGGCCCTGCCAACACCTTGATTTTGGACTTAAATTCTCTGAAGTGTGAGAGAATAAATGTCTGTTGTTTCAAGCCACCTTGGTTTGTGGTACTTTGTTACTGCAGCCCTAGGAAACTAATATAATAAAGCACAACTTTTAGAAGTGTCTTTGATGAGGATCAATTAGTGGTAGACTTTTAATTTTCTGTTTTCTAAATGTTTTATTTTTTCCACCGGTGTGTGTGTGTGTGTGTGTGTGTGTGTGTGTATGTAGCCAGGCATATAATCCTAGGTTGACACTTACTTTTGTCAGCATTTTGCAGATGTTATTCTGCTGTTTGATACCTTTAATTGAGGTTATTGAGAATGCCGTTGTGAATCTAATTGCCATTTAGATGACTTTGCTTTTCTTCTTTGGATGTTTTCAATGTCTTTATTTTATTTTATTTTTTTGGTGTTTTGCACATTTCTGAGTCTTTCTTATTCAGAAATAATTCTGGATTATGTCTTCAGATTTGTCTTTCAGTTCATATTCTCTCTTGAGCTGTATCTAATACTATGTTGAACTTGTCCACTGAGTTTTTATTTTCACACATTCTTTTGTTCATTTACAGAAATTCTATTTTTTCTTCTTTAAATCTGCTTAGTCATTTTTGATGATCTCAGTTCCTTGCAAATATTTTCTGTTCTCTTTTTCAATCTGTAAACATTTTTTAAACTTATTTTTTAATTACTTTAAATTTCATATGGAGCCAAAAAAGAGCCAGCATAGCTAAGACAATCCTAAGCAAAAAGAACAAAGCTGGAGGCATCATGCTGCCTGACTTCAAACTGTACTACAAGGCTACAGTAACCAAAACAGCATGGTACTGGTACCAAAACAGATATATAGACCAAAGAAACAGGGCAGAGGCCTCAGAACTAACACCACACATCTACAACCATCTGATCTTTGACAAACTTGAGAAAAACAAGCAATGGGGAAAGGATTCCCTATTTAATAAATGGTGCTGGGAAAACTGGCTAACCATATGCAGAAAGCTGAAACTGGATCCCTTCCTTACACCTTATACTAAAATTAACTCAAGATGGATTAAAGACTTAAATGTAAGACATAAAACCATAGAAACCCTAGAAGAAAACCTAGGGAATACCATTCAGGACATTGGCATGAGCAAAGACTTCATGACTAAAACACCAAAAGCAATGGCAACAAAAGCCAAAATTGACAAATGGGATCTAATTAAACTAAAGAGCTTCTGCACAGCAAAAGAAACTATCATCAGAGTGACCAGGCAACCTACAGATTGGGAGAAAATTTTTGCAATCTATCCATCTGACAAAAGGCTAATATCCAGACTCTGCTGGATATTAAACAAGAACTTAAACAAATTTACAAGAAAAAAACAACCCCATCAAAAAGTGGGCAAAGGATATGAACAGACACTTCTCAAAAGAAGAAATTTATGTAGCCAACAAACTTATGAAAAAATATTCATCATCACGGGTCATTAGAGAAATGCAAATCAAAACCACAATGAGATACCATCTCACACCAGTTAGAATGGCGATCATTAAAAAGTCAGGAAACAACAGATGCTGGAGAGGATGTGGAGAAATAGGAACACTTTTACATGGTTGGTGGGAGTGTAAATAAGTTCAACCATTGTAGAAGACAGTGTGGTGATTCCTCAAGGATCTAGAACTAGAAATATCATTTGATCCAGCAATCGCATTACTGGGTATATACCTAAAGGATTATAAATCATTCTATAAAGACACTTGCACACGTATGTTTATTACAGCATTGTTCACAATAGCAAAGTGTTTGAACCAACCCAAATGCCCATCAATGATAGACTGGATAAAGAAAATGTGGCATGTATACACCATGGAATACTATGCAGCCATAAAAAGGATGAGTTCATGTCCTTTGCAGGGACATGGGTGAAACTGGAAACCATCATTCTCAGCAAAGTAAAACAAGAAGAGAAAACCAAACACTGCATGTTCTCACTCATAAGTGGGAGTTGAACAACAAGAACACATGGACACAGGGAGGGGAACATCACATACCGGGGCCTGTTGGGGTGTGGGGGACTTGGGGAGGGATAGCATTAGGAGAAAAACCTAATGTAAATGACTAGTTGATGGAGGCAGCAAACCAACACGGCACATGTATACCTATGTAACAAACCTGCACATTGTGCACATGTACCCCAGAACTTAAAGTATAATAATAAAAAAACTTATTTTTAGTGTTAAAATACACATAACATAACATCTACCACCTAAACCATTTTTAAATGTACAGTTCAGTGGTATTAAATACATTCTGATTCCACATGTGAGTGAGAACTTGCAGTACTTTCTGTGTCTGGCTTATTTCACTTAACATAAGGTCCTTCAAGTTCTTCCACATTGTTGTGGGTACAAAGTTACAATTAGAAAGGAAGAATGAGTTCTGGTATTCAATTACACAGCAGGGTAACTATAGTTAACAGTAAGGTATTATATATCTCAAAATAGCTGGAAGAGAGAATATTGGATGTTCCCACTACAAAGAAACGATAAATGTTTGAGGTGATGGATATGCTAATTACCCTGATATGATCATTACACGATGCATACATGTGTCAAAACATCACATTTTACCCCATAAATATGTACAATGTTGTGTCAAAAATAAAATAATTTTAAAAATAAATATATTCACATTGTTGTGCGACCATCACCACCATCTGTCTACCACTTTTTAAATTTTACAAACAGAAAACATTAAACAATAATGCTCCATTCCCCCCTCATCCTTGGCTTTTGGCCACAATGATTCTATTTTCTGAGTAATTTTGACTACTCTAACTACCTCATATAAATGGAATCACACAATATTTGTCTTTTTGTGACTGCCTACTTTCACTTAGCGCAATGTTCTCAAGGTTCATCATGTTATGGCATGTGTGAGAATTTCCTTTCTTTTTGAGGGTGAATAATATTCCACTGTGTGTGTATAACACGTTTTGCTTATCCATTCGTCTGTTGGTAGACTCTCAGTTTGCTTCCATGTTTTGACTGTTGTGGTTAATGCTGCTATGAACATGGGTGTACAAATACCTGTTCAAGTCTCAGCTTTCAAGTCTTTTGGATATATGCCAAGAAATGGAATTGCTGCATCATATATCAATCTGTAAGCATTGTAAACATACTTATTTTCCACATTTATGAGATAATTTCAATATTTAAATTACTTGAGGGTCTAATTTAACTGTTTCTCATTCATGCTGAATTTTACTCATAGAGGCTTATTTCCTTTTAGGGAAATCTAAAGGATTTGGTTGAGAGTTCATTCCTCCAGAGAGGACTTAATTTTATTTCTTCCAGATTAGGGTCAGTCTAAACTGACTTTTTAGATTATTGTTTCCTGCACTATAACTGATTGTGTAGGTCCCTACCCCAAACCTGCAAGGGCAATTTTGTAATTAGGAGTTTTCAGGAGGGGGATTCTTCTTTTCCCCACCCAGAGACATAGTGGAAACAGACACATTTCCTTGCAGTCTCCCTTTTGCCACAGGTAGAATTTTACTCATCTGCCCTTTCACTGGGTGTGTAGCTTTATGACTAGAGTTTCAGTTGTGATTCTTCACTTCCAACAGACCCAAAGCCTGCTTTGTCTCTGCATAGAGTGAAACTGGCAGCTGTCAGGGACTATTCCTGGGACAATTTCTAGCTTCAGAACTTGGTTAGCTCTCTAGTTGTGTGTGTGTGTGTGTGTGTGTGTGTGTGTGTGTGTGTACACACATATTCAGGTATGTTTTAGAATAGTACTTACCATGATTAGATCTTCATATTGTATTTGTTTAAACTGTCTTATCTATATCAGCTATAAACTTCATGAGAACAGGGAGCATGTCTATATCTCTAGTGCCTGGCATGTAGTAGATGCTCAATAATTATTCACTGAATGGATAAAGAAGTGAATGAATGCCTTCAGCTGGCCAGTGATGCTTGTATAATGAACAACATCTCAGACTGCAAACTGGAATAAGCAGAAAATAATTTTCTTATTTTTTATAATTCTACTTAGTTTCTGACTCTGAGTCCTCTTTCAATCAATTGACTTTAGTCTTTCTAGGGATTCTCTTCCCTCTTCTTCACCACTTCTTGGAGATTGTACACGATTTCTACGTCTTACATAGTGCTAAGAATGCCCACCTGGTCTTCATGACTTAACCTAATAGGATGCCCACCACATGTCCATTATCTCTGCTTGCTCACCTTCAGGTCTGGTTCTTGGGCTATTTCATTTCTGTGCTTGGGGCACATTTGCTCTTTGTCTATGATACTATGTTCAGCTCTGTGCACAGAGCTCTCTCTACAGGTTATGAGATAATTACTCTACTCTAGGCAGAGGTGTAGGATTGGATAATGACTCCCTTTCCCTCTCTCCCTCTCCAAGTGGTTATGAAAGTTTCTTCTCTAAGTAGGTAGGCATTTAGCACACAGAATCCTGTAAGTACCTCTGCAATACTCCTTATTACTTCTCTCTCAAGGCCGTGAGCTTATGCCTGCTAGAAGGAGAAGAGTAAAGAGGTAAAATGGAAGGAAAACCATTTAAATTAATATCTCGAAATATTATCCAGCTGCCTTTCTGGCACTGATTACCTATACATGGTGTTGATTGGGGGAAAATAAGAGGGAGTAAAAGGAAAGTGTCTTCTCCCTACAAAAAAGTCATCCCTTGGAATTTTATTGAGAAAAATGAATAGAAACAGTGCAAATTGAAGACCATTGATGTAATACAGGGGTAAGCAAACTTCATCTGTAAATGGCCAGATAGTATACACTTCAGGCTTTGGAAGTCATATGCCATATAATTTCTGTGACAATTCTTCAACACTGCTATTATAGTCAAAAGCAGCCATAAACAATATGTAAGCAGATGGACCTGGCTTTGTTCCAATAAAACTTTATTTACAAAAGCAGATGGTGGGCCAGATTTAGCCAACTCCTGATGTAATACATCATCCACGACCCCTGAGAAGCCTGATGTTGGTTGGACAGTAGTTGAATCTTGATGGTACCTAAAAGGGAAGCTTTACCTCACATTGTCAGAATCCAGACGTTTGGCCTGCTCCTTTGACCTTTCTCTTTAGGCTATGGTTCTCAACTCTCTCCCATAACATGGCAGCTGGTTTTCTCCAGAGCTCTCCAAGAGAGGGAGTACAAGAAGAAAGTCACAGTGCCTTTTATGACCTATTTTTAAGTCACACATGGTCACTTCTACCACATTCTATTCACTGGACGTGAGTCATTAATTTTGGCCTGCACTCAAAGTCAAGAAATTGGGTTCTACCTTTTGAGGACTATCAAAGAATCTGTGGGCATATTTTAAAGCCACCAATCTTCTGTGACATGTTGTTTTGATTGACATATATTAAGAAATACCAGCCTCACACTGTTGGAAAGGGGAGTATCTTAATAGCCTTTTCAGAAAAGTGTGGGTATTTTTTAGGAACTATACCAAATGGTGGTTTTTAAAAGGTGAGTTGCATTGTGAAATCTGAAACCGTATCAATGAACTTTTCAAATTCAGTTACGTTAAAATTTGTTAGCCTGTCTTGTACTTTGAATGGATGTTTCACCCATGTCTGATTTCACAACATCATGTATTGGTCACTTGGAATATTGAGTTACTGAATTGTGTAGATGTTCTAAATGTTGGCATATTTCATTATATAATACAAAATATTATATTTGTTAATAATAATGCTACTACTAATTTCATCAGAAAATTTTTGAGTATTGGATAGCTATCAAGCTTACAGGGGCAGATACAATTTTTCTAAAATTTGAATTTTCACTTGAAGGCTTGAATTTTATCATTGGCAGCAAGTACTGTCAGTTGTTTTCCTTGAAGTGATAGTCAGTCTCACTTGGTTCATTGTGGAAAAAATGTCTGCCAAATCCCCTAGTCTAAATAAAGATGGTTCTTCATTGATTCAAGGAAAAGTGTTATTCTCTGAATAAAATGGCTGGTTCAGCTCACAACTCAATCTTACAAGCGCTTTTCCTTGAGATAACCACCATACTTGAGTTTGAGGTAGAAGTGCTTTTTTGCATAGTTCCAATTTTGCCACACAAAATATTAAAAAGATGTATATGCAAGAGCTGATAGTTTACAAAATCAATCATTTATATTGCTTCATCAAGGACATTCTAAAGTGCAACTCTTCTCTGGCTTTTCCCCCTCTGCAAGTGAGTGGCAGTGAAGTGCAATATTCATTGTACTAGGATGCTGGTCACTAGTATATTTGGGGACCTCTGCTTTGAAATGTGCTGAACCACCAAGGGTTTTCCCTACCATTTTTTTGCCCTGTCAATTCAAATGTCAGCACAATGAAAAAGGCAAATAATGTCTTAGCATTATTAAGAAAATACTTTTGAGTTTGAATAACCTGATATTGTCTCAGGGACCTGCAGAGATTCATGGCCCATACTTGGAGCACCACTGTCCTAAGGTATTGGCTCATAGCCAATTTCTCCTGAGAAAGTCAATTAGTCTCTCACGAGCTTTAACACTGATCTTTGTCTTCATCACCCTCCAGCCTCTACCTGCCCTCCACTAACCACCAATGCTTCTATTCATCAGGCTGAGCAATTAATTGTACTCTTTTTATTGGAAGAGATTGCCATTGCCAACTCCTCCTACCCCTCCTCCTCCTCCTTCTCCTCCTCTTCTGCTCCTTTATTTTATTTTATTTTATTTTACTTTATTTTATTTTATTTTATTTTATTTTGCTTTACTGTGGTAAGAACATTTAGGATGAGATCTGCCCTCTTAGCATAATTTTTTTTTTTTTTTTGAGATGGAGTCTCACTCTGTTGCCCAGGCCAGAGTGCAGTGGTGCTATCTTGGCTCACTGCAAACTCCGCCTCCTGGGTTCATGACATTCTCCTGCCTCAGCCTAGGGAGTAGCTGGGACTACAGTTGGCTGCCACCACACCTGACTAATTTTTTGTATTTTTAGTAGAGACGGGGTTTCACTGTGTTAGCCAGGATGATCTCGATCTCCTGACCTTGTGATCCACCCGCCTTGGCCTCCCAAAGTGCTGGGATTACAGGCGTGAGCCACCACGCCCGGCCAGCAGATTTTAAATGTACACTACAGTATCGTTATCTTTTTGTTTTTTTTTTTGAGATGGAGTCTCTCTATGTTGCCCAGGCTGGTGTGCAGTGGCACAATCTCAGCTCACTGCAACTTCTGCCTCCCAGATTCAAGCGATTCTCCTGCCTCAGCCTCCCAAGTAGCTGGGACTACAGGTGCGTGCCACCACGCCCAGCTAATTTTTTGTATTTTTAGTAGAGATGGGGTTTCACTGTGTTAGCCAGGCTGGTCTCCATCTCCTGACCTCGTGATCCACTCTCCTTGGCCTCCCAAAGTGCTGGGATTACAGGCATGAGCCACTGTGCCCAGCCTACAGTATCATTAGCTATAAGTACAATGTGAGACAGCTAGTCTCTAGAACGTAATCATCTTGTGTAACTGAAATTTTATATGTCTTATGAGCAACTCTTTCTATTTCCCTTCCTGGAGTCCCTGGCAACTAAGATTCTATTCTTTGTTTCTATGAGTTTGACTACTTTTGAAACCTTATGTAAGTGGAATAATGGAGTAGTATTTGTCCTCCTGGGACTGGCTAATTTCACTTGCCATAATGTCCTCCAGGTTCATCTATCTTGTAGCATGTAGCTGGGTTTCCTTCTTTTTCAAGAAGAGATTGTCTCCTGACTTATTAAGTTATGTAGATAACTTTATAAAAAGATTTACTTAAAGTATTTAAATATAATTCATGCAGATGATAGAACTTACTTTAAAATAATTTTTAAGAACAACATACTCCAATTTAACAACATTGGTGTACTGCTGTGCCCTTGTTATTAAAGTTGGTAAATTTTCTACAGTACAGGGCATGTTAATAAGTCATGCAATTAAAAGTGAAAGAAATGCTTTTGTTCTAATTGCCCCCCCTTCCAAGGTTTTTGTTTGTTTGTTTGTTTTACAAGTTTCAGTGAATCAGAACCAGGTCTATGTTAAAGTTGTGAAACATTAACTCAACAGAATAGAGTCAGTAGGAGACCTGATGTTCAGAGGTCCCTGCAATCCTTTCATTTTTTTTCTCAAACTAGTTTGAATCTTTGTGCCATGTTATTCATCATGCTGTGCGCTGGCTGCCAAATTTTCTCAGAGATGCTGAACACAGCTTTTGCTGAGAGATTTGGGGGTAGATCATGCCTTTTGCCCTGACTTTTACTTGATGCTTCAAAACCTCATGCCGACTTGGTAGGAGGAGACTGCCAAGTAATGAAACTGGAATTCACATCTGTTTGGCCATTTTTGTTGCAATGATCCACCTGTCGTTATGAGGGTCCATGATGCTGCGTCTAAATTCCGGCCCTCATTTGCCTCTAAAGCTTAGTGTTCGCTTCATTAACCCCTAATATCCAAATGACGATTTATGCAGATCGTTTGCCCACAAATACACAAATTACACCGAGGGGCTTTTGTGAAGCTAATGAAACTCAGAACTTCTCAATTGAAAAGATTCTTTGAAACAGATTTTCCTTGGAAAGGAACCCTTCTTGCTGTTGGGCAGTGGCAGATCTAGGTTTTGTAGGGCCTGAAATTTATATGATTTTGAGATTCCTTGATATCAAGGGCCCCAAACCCCTGGGCCATGGACCAGGAACTGGGCCACACAGCAGGAACTGGGCCACACAGCAGTAGGTGAGCGAGCAAAGCTTCATCTCTACTTACAGCTGCTCCCCATCACTCACATGACTGCCTGAGCTCTGCCTCCTGTCAGATCAGCAGCAGCATTAGATTCTCTTAGGAGCACAAACCTTATTGTGAAATGTGCATGCGAGGGATCTAAGTTGCTCGCTGCTTATGAGAATCTAATGCCTGATGATCTGTCACTGTCTCCCATCCCCCCAGAATGGGACTGTCTAGTTGCAGGAAAACAAGCTCAGGGCTCCCACTGATTCCACATTATAGCAAGTTGTATAATTGTTTCATTATATATTACAATGTAATAATAATAGAAATAAAGCGCACAATAAATGCAATGCACTTGAATCATCCCCCAAACAACCGCCACCCCATCCCCGTCTGCAGAAAAAATGTCTTCCAAGAAACAGGTCCCTGGTGCCAAAAAGATTGGGGACTCCTGCTCTATATGAAAAAAGATAGAAAATTACACAATGATCTTAGTTAAAATGAGAAAATAAATCACAACAAATTATGCAAGCCTTGAAAATTCAATGATCTCTTTAGGCAACTCAGTGGAGACGAGTACATAGAAATGCTTCGGGTGAGAACCCAGCATCTCTCCTCTTGGGACGCTCTATGACCCAATGCTTAGAGCACTCACAGTGAGTGGGCAACGGAGGGGGGCCCTGAAGAGTCACCTTCATTACCTTCACGGTGACTCTATCCCTGCCTTGGGAGAACTCTCTGTTCTAGACAAGGCCATATCTCAAAGCCTGCCAGAGAGCATGACTGTTTTCAAGTGACATAGAAGCCTGATGTTTGTTGAAGTGACAGACACTTTGATTCTTTCCTTTCATAAAACTTATAAAATGACATTTAACAGCCCTTCTTATTCTAAAATTATATTATATTTAAACATTATTAGACATGGAAATATCCCAGAGGGCACAAGTCTCATCTTTATCCGTAAGCAAGTTACAGTCATTACTAAAAGGAGAAGCTACAAATTTCACAAACTCAAGTCATGGCTCACATTAGTTTTTTAAAAGAGGACTGCCTCTCAAGAAGGTGACTCAAGAGTCAACATTTTAATGAGCTCTACTGGGTAGCAGGCAATTCATGATTCCCAATATCATATTTATTATATTTAGAAACTTACATGCTAATAAGAAAGCAAGTCCCTGTCCATAGACATGTTTTATAGTGAAAGAAAAGCTCCTGTGAGTCTGAGAGTACAATGGTTTTAAATAAAACAATAGTAAAGGTCCTTAAGGATGGTATTTTAAAATACGCAGCAAGTCATGAGCTTTCTGCTGAGTGATTTTCTTCTATTCATCTGCCAAAGTTATTTAGTGATATACTCTTATCTCTAGTGTATCACTTGTTTCAGTAAATTAGGAAATTCATGAATAGAAATAAGAAGATTAGAAAAAGGCATACAGAAAAATTTGTGAAAAAATTACATCTTGTAAATGCTAGAGGTGATAAATTAGCCATTCATAAAGAATGAATGCATCTATAATCCATCAGATTTTTTGACATTGAAGTAATACGATGGTTTTTAGCATGTGTTTCTCATTATAAGGATAGAACTATGAGATTTCAGTCATGTGATTATCAAGGCAACCATTCAGTTCTTTATTTTATTTAGATGCAGTGAAAGATCATTACAAATATCTCATCAGCTAGCCAGTTTGACTCTGCAATGGCTTGAATCAACATTAGATGTAGCTGAAACCTCCATAGTGACCTCTTAATGCAGTGTATTTGAGATATACATACTTTCTAATTAAATGTAGATTATGACAGAATCAAGAGGCTCAGACTCAAAAATAAATTAGTGTTTATCCCTGTTTCCTTGGATCTTCAGACAATATCACACCTTAAATTTTCTAGATAGGTAATATATCCATTTTTAAATAAGTTTAGAGGAGATTTTGCATCCTACTTAACAACTATAATATTCACCATTAGAAAAATTTGTTTCGTATTTAACGTAAATCTTTATGCCATGGTTTAAGTAAATTCTACAAGTATTTATTGCGTGTCTGCTATTTACGTCAATCCTATGCTAGGCCATAACAGAAGTCAGGGGCGCTACAAATGAAGCGTTGAGATAGATCTCTCTGAAGAAGAAAGACACACCACAGTGAAACGATGAGGCATTGTGACAACGTGTGTGTTCGTCTCTGTGGTTCCAGCCTTAAGTGCTAAAGGGAGAGACCTGAGAAGATGAAGTTCCATGTTCAAGGGGGACTCATCTGAGGAGGTTTAGGAAGATCTGGGATGTGTCTAATGACACTGAAGGGGGATTACATTTGGGTAGGTGGAGGGAAAAGGAAAGCAACTTTTTGCCTGGAAAGAACAACCTAGGCAAGAGGGTAGAGAAACTTTTATTATCCATTTTATTAGGAGACATAGTTTCCCTTTTGTCTTGGGAAATTATTAAGATCCCTTCAGTCTTCTCTTTTCCAAGTCAAACAATCCCAAATCTTCTGACCTTTCACTCCACACCCTGTTGTCCAGCCCTCAGCCTTTTCTGATGCTCTCCAAGTTCTCTGCCTCACTTGTGAGCCATGTGGCCTAAGGGTGGCAGAGACTCTCTTAGGGGTTCAGGATTCAGACTTCTACTTTTCATTCCTCCTACTCTGTGGCCTTGGCCAGGTCCTTTCTAGGCCTCAGTTTCCATCTGTAATTTTAGGCACTGGACTATGGTCTTTTTATTTCCTTCTATCTCAAAATTCTGAATCTTAAATTGTGAAGCTAATACTTTACATAAGTTTCCAGCCATGTGAAATGAAGTTAAAGAGTTAATTTCCAATCCCCTTCATCCTATTTATTATGTACATTTTTCTTTAAACATTCCAATTTCATAATTACCTTTAAAAACCCTGAGTCCAGGAAAAGGTTTGCTACCTCCACTAGAAACTGGGCTTACTTGTCCTAGACATTGTCAACAGCACACCATTTGTATAAAATGACCTAAAGTCCCAACCCACACTCAGTATGGAGAAAATTTATTTTCGGTTTAGGGATAATGATGATTGCTTTTGGTTTAAACGATTATGCTTGCTTCAAGCTATGAAAAATGTGAAAAGAAGAAAGAAAAACAATGACTTAAAAATCACACTACCCAGAATAGCCATTACAATGTTAGGTGATCATCATCCCAGACTTAACGAAGTATTTTTAGAATACATAACACAGAAACATAACTACTAAAGATAGTTGTAAGGCAAAAGAACATTATTATCATTTTAGTAGTTCTTCTCATGATGTAGAAGTTTTCTTTTTTTATAAAAATCACACTATCTCCCTGTTCCATCTCTTTCCTTCACAATCAAGACTTCCTCTCCTTCTGACATTGAAATCTGACTTTACCACTATTATTCAAATGGAACCTACCCAAGTGAACAATGACATCCAAGTTGACATACCCTGTGGAAAGTTTTTAGTTCTTTGACTTCTGGTTGGCATTCTAGAGACCACACCCTCCTTCTTAAAATTCTCTCTGACTTCTTTGTGAGCTCCTCTATCCCTTTTGCATCCCTTTTATGTTGGGGTCCTATGCTTGGTATTAGTGTCTCCTCAATCTATAATTCTCCCAGGGGAGGTGGGAGGGTGGGGGGCCATTTGCATTGCATGATTTCAGCTACTACTGAGATGATAATTCCTAAATCTTTATTTATATACCTACCTTCTAAATTATTTTTCCATATACAACTGTCTGGATGTCCCAGAGGCACTTCAAAGTCAAAATGTCCCAAACTGAATTCACCATCTCCACTCCTAAACCTGCTTTCTTCCTGTTCAGATGAGCACTATAACTAAAATTATATTTCTTAAGGCCTGAGCTGGGTATTATTTGTTGGTAATCATCCATTTCCACCATATTCTATGCTCTGCCCAATACTGCAGGAGCCAGAAACCTGGGAATTAGTTACATGTAGTAGAGTTCTGGATGCAATTATGCTGTATCAAAGAAATACGCTTGCTTGTGTTTGAGAGGTGGAAGGGAAGCAGAGACATTCTCCTGACAGCAGAAGTGGTGGTGAACACGTGGCCCTTGGCAGACATAAGTTTTATGGTGACTGGGCTTCATGTTTCACTGCTGATCAACAGTTCTGGGGCTGCAGAATGTCTGTGACATTGGCAGTAGTTTCCTGAAGCCTCTCCACCTGTGTGGCAGCAAATCAGTTTCCTGATCTCTGGATTATACTTGCAGTGGTGTGATTAAAAGCTTAACAACCCTGACATTTGTTTTCCAGTCCTTCCAATTATTTTAGAGGCATCTAGTTCCCTGAACTTAACACCTTTTTGCTTGGTAGACTTTGTGTGGTTTCTGTTTTCTGCACTGAACCTTGACTGATGTAACTCCAGTTTTGTTACAGGGGCAATAGCAAGCTCTTTTCTTATATAATCTTATGAATTCTCATTTAAAAATCCTAAGAAAAAATAATCATTGTTTTACAGATGAAGAATCTGAAGTTTAAGAAATCAACATGACTTGTTCATTGCTGCTAAGAGGTAGAGTCAAGGGAAACAAATATTGTCCACAGTCAAAGCCTGTAGGTGCTCTTTTTTTCTTCAATACCAGCTACCTCTAAAACGCCAAGGTAAACTCAGTGAGCCGTACCTTTGAGAATCTTCATTGATTCTTTCCTCTTCCTCTCCAATCGCTTCCTCAATCTCTTCAACACTAAATCTGTTGATTTTCTCTAGGAGATATTTCTGCATTCAGTCTCTTTTTTATCCCGATCCACTACCTTGATGTAGGCCCTCATCATCGTTCTCCTGGATTAGTGTAATTTAGCTCCCTAACTAAAATGCTTGCCTCCATTCTGATCTCATTTAATTCATCTTTCATGCTGCTATGTGGAACTAGAGTTTTAAAACAAAACTGACGTTACTCTTCTGCCCAACTTCCTTCAGTTGCTCTCCATGCCATTGGATGATGTATAAGCCTCTTGGCCAGTGAGAATAGGCCCTTTGTGTTCCAGCCTCTGCAGGTCCCACCTCATCTCCTGCACATCTTCCTTCTCTCTGCCTCCTAACCCACATGCGCTCTTCTTTGTCTCTTCCAACTAGACAAGGACAGGGACAATGTCTTCTTTATCTTTGTACCCATCTTTTAGCCTAACTCAATGCTTGGCACTTAATAGGGTTCCAACAAATATTTACTGAAAAGAATTGATAAAGGAAAAACATATCGTTGTTGGAAACCAAAGACATTTTCATGCTTTTGTCAAAAATCCAGGAAGAGCCTGAAAGAAATTTATGCTAGGCTGGAAATGATAATGAATATATTGTCCTAATGGAGAAACAACAGTATCCTGGTCTAGTCCACCAAAACTTGTTCTGGTTAATTTTGGCGAGGCTGTCTTCATTCTGCATTTCTTAGCTTCTTTCTTTCTTTCTGTAGCTGCTGACCTATAAAGCACTTTAAATATTACAGTGTGGAGGATTGCACTGGAACAATACTGGCTGCAGATTATCCTCTAGCCACATCCCTCCTGACTGAATCATTCCTCAAGATGTTGTCTCTTTTACTTCGTTTTTCCCATTGTGCATCAGTAAGGAAAATGAAATTATGCCTTTTGGTGCAAAGCACAGCCAATTATATACATACTTCATCAAAATAAATGTCATCCCTCTCTTCCTTAACCTTGGATAACACAGGGTGTTGTAACTTATTAAAGTAAGCATTTGTTTAGCAGGTAGGATGTTTAGAAGGCAGGAAGGTCCAAAAAATGAGACAAAAATATTGCTTGAATTGAGATGAATGGATTGTACAGAGGAACCATGAGTCAAAGTTACTAAGATATTTTCCACCATGGTTAATGTTTAGAGCATGGGTTCTGGAGTCATATGCTGGGGTTGAATCCATTTCAACCACTTACTGGCTGCACCCCCTTGGTAAGTTAGTTAACTTCCTAAACTTCAAGTTTTCTCCTCTGTAAACTAACTAAGGACAATAATAGTATGTGCCTCCTGGAGTCATTATGAGGATTAAAGATAATACTGCAAATACAGTCCTTAGCACAATATCTGACAAAGTAAGAGGTCAATACATTTTAGCTGTCATTATTGTTATTACCTGAGCTGTATCTGTTAGCATTGGGTTGGGGCATGTATAGAAAATATCCACAGCAGGAGTGGCTCAACAAGATAGAAGCATGCTTCTCTTTCACATAGAGGTTCCTGAGTAGAAGCCCAGTCCAGCTCAGAGATGCAGGCTCCTTCCAGTTAACCTCCCCATCATTCCCAAGGTGTGACTTTCATCCTCACCATCCAAGATGGTGCCAAGAACTCCTGACATGTTCTCCATAGCAAGATGGAGGAAAGGATGAAAAGTTTAAAAAGGGCAAACAGTGGCATGTCCTACCAGCTGTTTTTTAAGGAAGAATCACAGGAGCTGCCAGAGGCATTCTGGTCCATAATGTGTTGAGGACTGACCTTCATGGTCATCCAATCCCAATTCAAACTTAATTTTTTAAGGTATCACAAGAGCTATTGCCTGTAGTCTACCGTGGTTCACTATGACGATGAAATCTTTTTCTGTTATATTTCTACAATACTGATTAACTAAAACATGAAATAGTCTTACACAATTGAATATTACTCAGTGTTTTACATCAGGTGCCTTTGAAACATTGTCTGAATGTTTTAGACATACCAGAATTGTTCAGATGTTAAATTCTGTACTTCAAAATATGATTTTTCTTCCGCTTTGTGACCCAGGGTAAGGTTTATGTTGTAGCCTAGTTGTATAACAAACGCTTCCATCAGGAGTGCTCTGGGGCAGAGGTGGCCAGAAAGGGAGTGTGACAGAAAAAGGTGATGTGGAAGGAAGATTAGCTTTACTCCAAGATTCACATGAATAATAGATGAAATGTAATGCAGAATAAAACAAAGGTTAAAAAAAAAAAAAACCACCAATGACAAAATCCACCGAAATAACAGCAACTCAAGGTCACACACCATGCTGGGTATGCACAAGTGGGATAAATTACTGCCATAGCCAAATCTGGAATGTGATTTCTATGCTTCCTGTCCCTGTTCAATGACTATTGCTTGGCAGCTACTCATTAACACAAGCAGTAGGATCACTGAATATAAGACAATAATTGGAGTGTAATCTCTTGGTCTGTGGCTTGTTATCTTTTGTAACTGATCAAAATGATTCATTTAGGGACATCTTATTCAATATTTCTAATTATAATAAAACCTCTGATGATTCAGATTTCCTAATCCTAGTGCCACTGCCTTTGCATGGCAATCAGTAGATCACAGTCTTACACAGTTGGTGCAGAATTCGGTATGTTCACGAACTAAATGCAAATTCAAGTTAAC
This sequence comes from Homo sapiens, assembly GCF_000001405.40. NCBI lineage: Eukaryota > Metazoa > Chordata > Mammalia > Primates > Hominidae > Homo > Homo sapiens. The sequence goes on along the minus strand of NC_000013.11, from coordinate 36,640,647 downwards.
AGCATAATTGGGCTAATTTTGAGAAGCAAATGCATTAGTATTAGACATTAATCCTAAATATAAGCCTTCGTAATGAATAGGATTGAGGAACATAAAACAGTTATTCCAAAAAAGACAGAACCTAGTTCGAGTTGAGACATTAGCTGTTTTTGTTTGAGTCGGTTCTCCTAGCTGCTGTAAGAAATGGGCTGGCTGGGCACAGTGGCTCACGCCTGTAATCCCAGCACTTTGGGAGGCCAAGGCAGGCAGATCACCTGAGGTCGGGAGTTCGAGACCAGCCTAACCAACATGGAGAAACCCCCATCTCTACTTTGTAAAAATATTATTTTGTAAAAATACAAAAATTAGCCGGGCATGGTGGCACATGCCTGTAATCTCAGCTACTTGGGAAGCTGAGGCAGAAGAATCACTTGAACCCGGGAGGCAGAGGTTGCGGTGAGCCGAGATCATGCCATGTACTCCAGCCTGGGCAACAAGAGCAAAACTCCGTCTCAAAAAAAAAAAAAAAAAAAAATGGGTTGATGGTAGTTGACAGGGCAAGGACTTTTAGAGCACAGACTCACTATCTCTTTGCCTCATCCATTACAGAAGCAAAAGAGTGACTGAACATTGCTTTTTCTTATCTAATATTTAATGAGTAATAAAAGGCTTCCTTTGACTATCTAATGCAACAAACCATAAAATATTTAAATGATATTTAACTCTGGTGGACACTTGCAGCTGCCTGTTAAATATCTCCCCACTTCCTCCTTGCTGTAAGAAGCCAGATTTTTATCAAGGGCAGGAACATTCCCCTAAATACTTGCTTATGAAGCCTTTTTTGCAGTTAGGAGTGTGTTGCAGTTGTAGCCAATGAAATAAAGACGGAATTTGTCCCAGGTTTTGAGGCTTTCCTGATAAAAAGAGACAGATGCAGCTGGCACTGTTTATCCCTTTTCTAGCTTCCTGTTTCCCTAAAGGCATGTTCTTCTGGAGCTGCAGCAGCTATCTTGTGACCTTGAGGTGAAGTGCATCAGGTAACAGCCCAGAGCATAGCAAACTCTGGCCTTGATGTCTTTGAGCTGCTGGCAATGCCAGCAACCCACTATGTCCAAGATTCTCATGGGTGAACGCTACTTATTTAAACTGGAATAGGGTTTCTGTTACTTGCAGTCAAATGCATAATAATCAAACCCCAGGTTCATATTGAATTTCTTGCCCATTGGGATCACCATAAGAATAATGTAGAGTAAGATATTTCAGTGATTCCTGAATAAGTTAAAAGGAGCACATACATTTTATTTTTAAAGCTGGGTTGGTAGGGTGTATTCAAAATTCTGGGGATTATATTTATGCTGGTTACTCTCCATTTTCCACCCCTCAGATCTGATCTGTGAATTCTTCTCTGTGTTTTAGAAGGCTGACCCTATGAGCTGCATCTCATCACCCCCTGGCTTCTGTTTGGGTTAAACTAAACCAATGGGAAGCACCAGCAGAAAACTGGAGGTTAAGGAGTGTAATAGCTAATATCTGAACCCAAGACTTTGTCTTCCTAAGAAATAGCGATTTTGTATTCCTTAATGCAATGACTAGGGCTTAGTACTGATGTTTAATACTAATATATTTGCTTCTCAAAATTAGCCCAATTATGCTGTTATCTTGAATTTGTATTTAGTTCGTGAACATACTGAACTGTGCACCAACTGTGTAAGACTGTAATCTACTGATTGCCATGCAAAGGCAGTGGCACTAGTATTTAGAGATCTGAATAAGCAGAGGTTTTATAATAAAATAGAAATATTGAATAAAATGTGAATAAGATAAATGATGTGGGGCCAGGCATGGTGGCTCACGCCTGTAATCTCAGCACTTTGGGAGGCCGAGGCAGGTGGATCACGAGGTCAGGAGATTGAGACCATCCTGGCTAACACGGTGAATCCTCGCCTGTACTAAAAATACAAAAAATTAGCCGGGCATGGTGGCATGCGCCTGTAGTCCCACCTACTCAGGAGGTTGAGGCAATTAGTCCCACCTACTCAGGAGGCCGAGGCAAGAGAATCGCTTGAACTCAGGAGGCGGAGGTTGCAGTGAGCCGAGACTGTGCCACTGCACTCCAGCCTGGGCGACAGAGTGAGACTCGGTCTCAAAAATAAAAAATAAATAAATAAATAAATAAATAAATGATGCAAGATGGGACTCGGTCTCAAAAAAAAAAGAGATAAATGATGTGACATGGTTTGGATCTGTGTCTCCACCAAATCTCATGTCAAATTGCAATTCACAATGTTAGAGGTAGGGCTGAGGTGGAAGTTGATTGGATCATGGAGGTGGTTTCTCATGGCTTACCACCATCCTCCTTGGTGCTGTCATCAATAGTGAGTTCTTGTGAGATCTGGTTGTTTAAAACTCTGTGGCACCTCCCTCCCTCTTTCTAGCTCCTGCTTTGGCCATGTGATGTGTGTGTTCCCCCTGCACCTTCCACCATGACTGTAAGTATCCTGATGCCTCTCCAGAAGCTGAGCAGATGCCAGTATCATGCTTCCTGTACAGACTGTGAAATCACGAGCCAATTAAACCTCTTTTCTTTATTATTTTTCTTTTTCTTTTTTTTTTGAAATGGAGTCTTGCTCTGTTGCCAAGTCTTGAGTGCAGTGGCACGATCTCGGCTCACTGCAACCTCCACCTCCTGGGTTCAAGAAATTCTCCTGCCTCAGCCTCCTGAGTAGCTGAGATTACAGGCTCCTGCCACCATGCCTGGTTAATTTTTGTATTTTTAGTAGAGACGGGGTTTCGCTATGTTGGCTAGGCTGGTCAAACTCCTGACCTCAGTGATCCGCCTGCCTCGGCATCCCAAAGTGCTTGGATTACAGGTTTGAGCTACTGTGCCTGGCCTAAACCTCTTTTCTTTATGAATTACACAGCCGTAGGTATTTCTAGCAATGCAAATTGGACTAATACAGAAAATTGGTACTGAGGAGTGGGATGTTGCTATAAATATACATGAAAATGTGGAAGTAACTTTGAAACTGGGTAATAGACAGAGGTTGGAGGAGTGTGGGGAACTCAGAAGGAAAGGAAGATGAGGGAAAGTGTGGAACTTCCTAGAGACTGATTGAATATCTATGACTAAAATGATGATAGTGATATGGACAGTAAAGTCCAGGCTGAGGAGGTCTCAGATGCAAATGAGGAACTTATTGGGAACTGGAGCAAAGGTCACTTTGGTTACACCTTAGCAAAGAACTTGGCTGCATTGTGCCCCTTCTCTAGGGATCTGTTGAACTTTGAACTTGAAAATGATGATTCAGGGTATCTGGTGGGAGAAATATCTAAGCAGCAAAGCATTCAAAATGTAGCCTTGCTGCTTCTAACAGTCTATGCTCATATAGACTGAAGGCATTTCAGAGACCTTCATGGCAACACCTCCCATTACAAGTCTGAAGGCTTAGGAGGACAGAATGATTTTGTGTGCTAGGTCCAGGGCCTCACTACCCTGTGCAGCCTCAGGACATTGTTCCCTGCATCCCAGCTGCTCCAGCTCCAGCCATGGCTCAAAGGGGTTCAGGTACAGCTTGAGCCGCTGCTTCAGAGGGTGCAAGCCATAAGCCTTGATGGCTTCCACGTGTTGTTAAGCCTGCAAGTGCACAAAATGTAAGAGTTGAGGCTTGAGAGCCTCTGCCTAGATTTCAGAAGATGTATGGAAAAGCCTGGATGTCCAGGCAGAAGCTGCTGCAGGGGTGGAGTCCTCATGGAGAACTTCTATGAGGGCAGTGCAGAAAGGAAAACTGGGTTTGGAGCCCCCACACAGAGGCCCCATTGGGGCATTGCCTAGTGGAACTGTGAGAAGAGAGCTGCTGTACTCCAGACCCCAGAATGGTAGATCCACTGACAGCTTGCACCCTGTGCTTGGAAAAGCCCCAAGCTCTCAACCCCAGCTCATGACAGCAGCCATGGAGGCTAAACTCTGCAAAGCCACAAGGTGGAACTGCCCAAGGCTTTGGAAGCCCACTCCTGGCACCAGTGTGTCCTGGATGTGAGACATGGAGTTAAAGGAGGTTATTTTTGAAGCTTTAAGTTTTAATAATTGTCCTGCTAGGTTTTAGACTTGCATGGGGCCTGTAGCCCCTTTGTTTTGGCCAATTTCTCCCTTTTGGAATGGCAGTATTTACTCAATACCCATACCTCCATTGTATCTTGGGAGTAACTAATTTGTTTTTGATTTTACAGGCTCGTAGGTAGAAGGGACTTGCCTTGTTTCAGATAAGACTTTGAACTTTTGAGTTAATACTGGAATAAGTTAAGACTTTGTGGGACTATTGGGAAGGCATGATTGTATTTTGCAATGTGAGAAACATGAGGTTTGGAGGGCCAGGGGCAGAATGATATGGTTTGGATCTGTGTCTCCACCAAATCTCATGTCGAATTGTAATTCCCAGTGTTGGAGGTGGGGCCTGGTGGGAAGTGATTGGATTATGGGAGTGGTTTTTTATGGTTTAATACCATCTCCCCTTGGTGCTGTCACTGCTATAGTGAGTTCTCATGAGATCCACTTGTTTAAAAGTGCATGGCACCTCCCCCTTCTCTCTTGCTCCTACTCTGACCATGTGTTGTGTGTGCTCCCCCTTCACCTTCTGCCATGATTGTAAGTTTCCTGAGATCTTCCCAGAAGCTGAGCAGATGCCAGCATCATGCTTCCTGTGTAGCCTGTAGAGCCATGAACCGATTAAACCTCTTTTCTTTATAAATACTCAGTCTCAGGTATTTATTGCAATGCGAGAACGGCCTAATACAAGGTGGGAGAGCTTTGTGGTTTGGGGCTTTGTCTTCTCTGCTTTGAGCTGAGTTATGTGACAAAATTCATATCCCTCAACTACACTCCCTCCTGCAGGCTCTATTCCATGGCTTCCATTCTCAATGAGTTTCTAAAATGTATTACCTCCCCTTCAGGCCAAGGGTGGTAACTCCTTTTTTTTTGTAGTTAGTTTCTAGGGACTTTAACATCTTTTATCAGTTCCTTATCCCCGTCCACATTTTATGAACATTCCTTGAACCACTTGAGTTGGATTCTGTTTTCTGTTGGTATTCTGTCTGATACAGTATTCTATACCTGAATTTCTAATATGGACATTAATTTATTTGGTGAAAAGCATAAAATATATTTTCAAAAATTCTGTCTGAATTTGGCATGTGACCTGGTACATTCAACTGAAGTTTTGTTGATTTGTGTGGTGATTTGAACAATGTAATCCATTAATACAAATGAACTCATTAAGGATATCTTTCATATTTGCTATCTTATTTGTATTCCATTCTCTTTATGACAATGATGAACAGTCCTAGAGATATCAAACTTTATTTCCACTGCAAAGATATGTTGCCTGGAGTTACATATTCTGATCTAATACAATATTTGCCAAGTAATTGTGTAATTATTTCTAAGTTAATCCTAACAACCTTACTATGAACAGGGTCAATTTTATTATAATCTTTATTTTAGAACTCTGGTTTCTGAGCGAGGAAAAATGATTTGCCTAGGGTTATATTATATGCTGGCTAAAGTTAGTCTAAAATACAGAGTTCCTCATTCTTTTTCTTGAGGCTGTTGGTTTAATGTCTCACTGGAAAAGTAACATACCATCTAACACTAGGGTAGAGGATGTTGGATGTCTTTCCTTACTGATAACGCAAGCCATCACATTTAGTTTATGTTTGTTGATTGTTTCTGATTATTCTGATAAATGCCAAGGAATATTGGATAGTTTCATGATCTTTTTTTTCCCCCTTCAGTTCTTCTCTTATTTTCTTTCCTCCCATGCACCTTCATGAAACCACTGCTACAAAGGAAGGGAAAGAGATGTCTGAGGTAGGAGCGGATTTGCTAAAACGTCTGTCAGTCTAATTATACTCTCCAAGGGAGAAGTGTCCAATGGGTGGATCAAAGGCCAAGTAATGCCCACTTGACTTAGGTCAGCTATTCAACCTGATATTTTAGTAAAAACTTTTAGAATTGGTTTAAAAGGCAACAAGCCCAATTAGACCACTTGTATGTGTTGGTATGATTAACTGCGTCACTACCTGTCAGCAGGGAATTTAAAGTTTTCTCAAAATGGGAAGACTGAGTTCACTTGTCACATATGGGGCACTTGCCATTAAAGTAAGAAAAGATAGCTTCAAGTTGATTTCTTTTTAAATGCTAAAATCAAAGATTGCTATGCTATACTGCATAATTCCATAGGAGAATATGTGCTGTGATCTGCATAGGTCATGTTCATGGTATGATGAAGATAATAAGCTTTCTTTGTAGTCCTGACCTTAACCACTGCCAGTTTTTGCCAAAAATGGAACTTAATCTTCTTACCAAATCACTCTTCTTCTTGAACTTTCTGTGCTCATCATGCAAGTCTTCTTGGACTTCCTGTGCTCATAATCTATTCAGTTGCCCATATACACAGGAGTCATTTTTTGCTTTTTTTCATTCTATATATTTTACAGTCCAAAGGGAAAAGAGGTTGCATTCATTTTCTTTTCCTAAATGGCTTGAGCTCAGGGAAACTATGGATTCTGAAGAATAGAAGAAAGGTATTTAGGGCAATGAAATCCCAATCTCTTGAGGGATTCGTGGATTTGAATAAATATGAATCATGCATTAGCTTTCTGTGACTCCTTTTTCTTTACCTACTGACTAGAAGACAGTATTCCTGTCTTAATCCGTTTTGTGCTGCTGTAACAAAACACCAGGGACTGGGTAACTTATAAAGAACAGAAATGTATTTTCTCGGAGTTTTGGAAGCTGAGAAGTCCAAGATCAAGATGCCAGCAGGTTTGGTTGTCTGGTGAGGGCTGCTGTTTTCCAAGATGGCACCATCCAAGACAAGCTGCACCTCGCTGAGAGTACACATGGTGTGTCTTCACAGGGCAGAAGGCAAGCTGACTGAAGGCAGCATGAAGCCTCTTTATAAGGGTCTTAATTCCATTCATGAGGGAGGACCCCTCCTGGCATAATCACCTCTTAAAGGCCCCACCTCTTAATACTGTTGCATTGGGAATGAAGATTCAATATGAATTATTATGAAGGGGATGAAAACATTCAAACCATAGCAATTGCCCATGAATCCATCATTGGCCTCCTTTTTTTCTTACTCTGTCCTCTTCCTCTGAGTGACTTCTCTCATGTGGATACTTTTGGCTGCCACCTGTGTGATGGTGAATTTAGCACATCCCTCCACTGAACCACAAACACAGGTGCCAAACTGCCTATTGAGCATCTCTACTTGAACATCCTATGGGCAACTCAAAGTCAATGTGTTTGGATTGTATTCCCTCCCAATCTGTTTCTCCTCCTAGATTCCTTGTCTTGAATGTCACCTCTTCCCTCAGTCACCCTCATCAGAAGCTGCCCAGGAGCTGTCACTGTCTCTTCTCTATTTTCAGCCCTCCACCTTGTCCTTCAATAACTGCAATTCATTATCTGCCTTACAACTCCCACACATTAGTCCTACTTCTTGGAGGACATACTGCAATAGTCTCCAGATTGGCTTCTTTACTCTCTCTCTCTCTCTCCAGGTCTCATCAATTCATTCTACTCACATCATCCTCTGCTTAGAACCAATCCATCATTGAATATGAGGCCTTAGCTCAACTCACATGGCCTTAATGATCTGACCTCTCTATAGCCTCATCTGCTATTTCTCCACTTGTATCTTTGTAAGCTGCACAAACATGCCTTGCTGGTTCTCTTTCTTCGTGATTTCACACTTGACATATCATTGCTGGAGATTGTCTTTCCCACCTTTGAATCAAGCAAACTCCTACTCATCCTTCAAAATTCAGTATCATTTCCTTTAGGAACTGATCTCTGGGACTCCTGACTCATGTTTAGACTTTTGCACTGGGCTTCCATCCATAAGTCCATGTACATGCCTCTCTCATATCACTTATTACACTGCATCAATATGTTTCTCTCCAAGTTATCTGGATTTCATTTGAGGGCATTCACTGTATCATTTAAAAAATTTAATGTCATGTTTTATCAAAGTTTTACATGTACATACCTTTCGAAGTCAAATATTTCTTCAATGCTTATTATGAAAAAAAAGTTCCCAGGCCCCTATCCTCTATTCCCTGTTCATTACTGTCTTCCCCCCACCATCCTTTCCATCTCCTTCCATCCCAGCAGCCAACCACCTTCAACCTTTCACTGTTTCTATTTTGTAGTTACTTTCAAATCTCTATATAATATGCCTACATTTCTATTTCTTGATTTTTAGATTTTAGGTTTTAGATTTTCTCTCTTGGAGATGTGGCTTTAGTTTTTTGAGCTACCCTCTCCCTACTTATACTGCCTTCATCCTCCTCAAATAGTTATGTCATATTTTTTTTGGTTTTGTCTTCCTAAAGACATGCCTTCTATCATTCTACACCAGTCTGTACAGGTTTCCTACTAGGACCCTCCCCTTACAACCATCCTGGAGATTATCTGTGCCTGTTGGATGCTATTTCCTGGAGACTGTGTTCTTTTCCATGACTCCTTCTTTTTGTTGGTCTATTCCATCATTTTGAAGGACTGTGTTCTTCAATTGTTTCCTGAAAAAGAACACATGACAATAAACGATGTGAAAGAGGCCGGGCACAGTGGCTCACACCTGTAATCCCAGCACTTTGGGAGACCAAGGCAGGTGGATTGCTTGAGCCCAGGTGAAACGCCATCTCTACAAAAAATACAAACATTAGCTGGATGTGGTGGTGGTGTCCACCTGTAGTCCCAGCTACTTGGGAGGCTGAGGTGGGAGGATGGCTTGAGCCTAGGAGTTCGAGGTTGCAGTAAGCCATGATCATGCCACTGCACTCCAGCCTGGGTGACACAGTGACACCCTGTCTCAAAAAAAAAAAAAAAAAAGATTTGAAACCATCATTTATTTTATTTTATTTATATTTATTTATTTATTTATTTATTTATTTATTTATTTATTTTTGAGATGGAGTCTCGCTCTGTCACCCAGGCTGGAGTGCAGTGGCATGATCTCGGCTCACTGCAAGCTCCTCCTCCCAGGTTCACGCCATTCTCCTGCCTCAGCCTCCCGAGTAGCTGGGACTACAGGCGCCCACCACCACGCCTGGCTAATTTTTTTGTATTTTTACAAAAATACAAAAAAGCCAGGATGGTCTCGATCTCCTGACCTCGTGATCCACCCGTCTTGGCCTCTCAAAGTGCTGGGATTACAGGCGTGAGCCACTGCGTCCAGCCTGAAACCATCATTTGATTAAAATTTTGTAGGGTATAGAATTCTGGATGTAAATATTTTCTCCTTAATTTTTGGAGGCATGCACCACTGTCTTCTAGCTCCCAGTGTTGCTGTTGAGAAGTCTGATATGGGTATGATTCCCAGTCTTGGCATGTTTTGTGTTCTTTTTCTTTTCTGGAAGGTGTTGGTGTTTGTTTGTTTGTTTTTTTTTTCAGGATTCTGAAATTTCACAATGCTGTGTCTTGGTTTGGGTTTATCTTAATCCATTATGGGTGCTAAATAATTCAGAAATGTATATTCTTCTTGTGGGAAATTTTTTTGAATTTGTCTTTATTCTTCCTGTTCATCTCTTCTGGAATTTTTATTATTTGGCTAGGCTCTAGTTTTTGTTTTTATTTTTTCATTTCTAGTTTTCTTTTCTTAATTTTGTTGTATTTCTTGGAGAGTTTTTAAATTTTGTTTACATCTCTATTAGTCATCTTTTCATCTCTAGTATCAATTTTTTAATTTTTAAGAGTTCTCTTTTTATTTTTAATTTTAATTTTTAGTTGTCTGAATGTTCCTTTCTATTTTTATTTCATTGATGCAATCTATTATATCCCTGAGGATATCCATGACAGGTTTTCATTTTACATTTCCTTCTTCCATTGTCCCTATTTCTTCTGAGTACCCTTCCCCTCCCTATTGGTTTACTTTAAACAGATATCCAGTGATCCTGGGGTGTCTAGTCACATTTAAAAATAAAACTATCCAGTTGCTGATTGAAAGTTCCTTATGCAAGGTCAGTGCTTGCTGCCTGTTGGGCTTTGCAGCTAGAGCCCAGCCAAATAATAACAGGCCAGGTCTGGCTGGCCTGTTTCATTGGGACACCCCAGTTCTTCTTTGGGCTGATCTGATTCCCACCCTGCTAATATCTTCCATTCTTCTTCTTGGGGAGCACAGACCTGACTCCTAGTAGTATAGGAGTCCTGGGGAAAATGGGAGCTGGGAGGAGGTCTCACCATTCAGTAGACTTTCCCCTAATTTGTCTTCGCACAGTAGTAACCCTATCCACCACTATCAGCTGTGCTCTGTGTTCCCCAGCCCAGAATACTTCTGGTTTACCCTCCTCAGAGAGCAAACCCCTATTCTTTTCCTGGCTGCTTCTTAAACACTTTTTAACCCAGCTTTCTGTTTTCAGCTTTGCGCTTATCCCTCCTTTTAGCAGTCACTGCTGCTGTGGATCCTGAATCTTTCTGGGGTTCTGTGTTGCAAATCACATTGTTTCTTGGTTTCCCCTTCTGCTGGCTTAGATGTCAGCTGTCTCTGGTCTAAAATCTCAGCCTCCCCTCCTCCATTGGCTTTTTAGCTTCACATTTTGTTGACTGCTGCTTAGCACCAGTTTCTTTGCCCTTGTGGTTGATGATTTTAGCTGGGATTTTAATGGGAATTAAAGAGGAAACAGCGGTAAATGCCTTCGTTAAATTTAACTTCTTTAACTGGTAGAGCCCTCAGTGTTTTATTCCCCAGAACTTGGCATTTAATAGACACTTAGTGGAAGTTAATTGAATAAATATGTCAGTACTCAGAACACAATACCCCCAAATATGGCACCTTGGCAACTGAGAAAACTGCAGAAGCGGTCGCTTTGACCTTACACTCCTTTCTATGTGAAAACTGTTGATAAAGGAATTGTCTGGAGGACAAGAAGAATCTGAACAAACAGGCTTTGCTAAGCTCCCCCACAGTTTATTACCATTAGATCATATTCTTTGCATCAAATTATACTTCTATATCACTGTCCATTCTTTTTCCAACCTAAGCATTAAAATATGGATTTCCCTGGTTTGAGGGTCTTCATTTTTGGAGGCTCCCATGTTATGTAAAACTTTGGTTAAATAAATTTGTTATGCTTTTCTCTTGTTAATTTCTTTTTTCTAGATTAAATTCTATTCGTTTCTTATTTCTCTTTTGTAATTGTGTGAGAGATAAAATAAATGTCTTTTTTGAGCAGTGGCTCTTTTCTATGGCTGTGCATTGGACTTGAAGGGAATCAGGATATGCCACCCCAAAATATGTCACTTTGGCATAAGGATTCTTTTGAGCTGAAGAGATCTGGTTTCTGAAATTCCTTATCTACCTAAAAGCAGAGCCTCCCAAAAGAGCTCAATTTTCCTAAGTGCCTTCCCGGGGAGTAACTCTTATTTTCTCTTCTTGGCACTACACTCAAACAAACGTCATCACAAGACTATCATATGTTCCATCTATTCTCCTAAGGGCCATTTATCTTTCCAAAAACTATTTGCTTTTCCACATGTGCCCTTTTCTCTCTTCCCTTTCCCCTACTAAGCTGGGTATGTAGACCCCAAGTTCTAATGATCCCTTTGAGTTACTCATCTCTGAGTGTCCCGTGTGCATAGACGATTGCATGATGCACATGCTAATAAAATTGTATGCTTTTCTTTTGTTTATCTGCCTTTTGTTAGTCTAATTTTACAAGGCCTCAGCCAGAGAATGAACCTAAGATGGGTGGGGAAAAAATAAAATACTAATGCCTGGGAACTGTCATCAGAAACTCTGATTTAACTAGCCTGGGGTGCAGCCTGGGCATTGGGTTGTTAAAAGCTCCCCAGTGGATTCAAATGAGCAGCGAAGGTTGAGAACCAACTCCTTAAAGTATATTATAAATGACATATGTAAAAATAGATGCCATATTCTATGTTAAGTAAATCAGCTAGTCAGTAAGACAATAGCAGCAGAGATTTAGGGGTTGCACATTTAACCTCAACAAAAATTCTGAGCACTTTACAGTTTATTGCGTTGTCTGAATGAATGTAGCCAGCAGACTCAAAATGCCATAGAGGTGTTGATTAGGAAGGTTTTGCTGACAGTTAGGGAGTTGCTTTCTTGTTATGCTAACCCAGACTTTTCTTCACTCTTCCCAGTTTTCAAGACAATGTTTAGCTTCCTCAAATGTTTATTTCCCCAGGGTTCACAGTCATCTCTTGCATATCGTAGACTTCCTGGAGTAGGCTGATGGAGGCAGAGATTTTCTCAGAAAACAAAAACCCAAGGATATTCATGGTAGAGAAAGAATGAACTTACATGCATCTTCTTGATGTGCTGGCTAAATATCTTAAGCTGTCCCGCTCTTCTTTCTCAAAATTCACTTCAGAGCTTCAATACTACTTTTGGTTTGCTAAATTTTTGTGCATTGATTTTGTTCACAGTGTTCTAAAGATGCATTCATATTTTTCTGCATCTGATTCTCAACTCCAAACATTAAGTCCTAAATTAATTTTAATGAACCTGTGCTCTAAATATTAATTACTGTTTTGATCATGGAGTCATGACCAAATAGAAGTTTTCATTTGAAAAAATAATGAATTGATCGATAATTGGTATATATGAAGGGTTTGATCCACTCAAAACTATAAAAAGAATGACACCTCAGAGACTACCACTTGTGATTTGTAGAAATGGATTTGTCAGAGGAGGTTGGTAGGAAATGCTGTCTTGCACTGAATCAGGAGACATGAGCCCTACTGTTCTACCATGCAATGATACGTGGCCTTGGATAACTCCATTATGGAACTGTGCCTGTTTCTTCATACATAAAATAGAGTTGTTCGTAGTATCTTCTCGGCCTACCTTCCACGGTTGTTGTAAAGATTTAAATAGTAACCTTTCTCACCACATCGCATTCACTAGGATGCAGGACTAATTTCCTTTTGTCAGTGCTTTTGAGTATCATTTAACCTAGATCTGTGGTTCTCAGATCTAACTGTAGTCTGTATCAGAATCACCTGGAGTGTTTGTTAAAACATTTTGCTGGGCCCCATCCTCAGAATCTCTGATCCATTGGGTGTGGCATGGGGCCCAAGAATTAGCCTTTCAACAAGTTTCCAGGTAATGTTCATGCTGCTGGACAGGGGACCACACTTTGAGAACCACTGGTCAAAAGCTCGTCTCTACATATGAAAGGCCCAGTAGACCCTCTTAGCAAAATTTGAGGTTAATTGATGGTGTACTCTACTTTTGCTTTCTGCTGTCATCACTTTCAGCTTCTCCACAGGTGAGAACTCTGATCTCCTCCCCATTCTTCTCCACTGTGCTTCTCCCTGAGCTCTCTTGCCTTGGTTTCCTTCCTCTTCTGTGCATGTACAGCCATATGACTGGGTCTCTGCTCCTTTGGCTGCTTCCTGGTACCCTGCTTCCCATAACCTCCTGCTGCCCTTTGGCTTCTCTGGAAAGCTGCCTTCCCAATGGGCAGGACATAACCTCCAAGCCTATTCTTGCCTCAAGCTTTCCCGTCTCCTCTCACAATTTATTCATTCTCTGTGTAAACCTGAGAACTACTAGGTGACAGTGTTACAGGAAAGGGATCCAGATCCAGACCCCATGAGAGGGTTCTCAGGTCTCGTGCAAGAAAGAATTCAGGGCAAGTCAATAGAGTAAGGTGAAAGCAAGTTTATTAAGAAAAAAAAGGCATAAAAGAATGCTTACTCCATACAGCAGCCCCAAGGGCTGCTGGTTGCCCATTTTTATGGTTATTTCTTCATTGTATGCTAAATGAGGGGTGGATAATCCATGCCTCCCCTTTTTAGACCACATAGAGTAACTTCCTGATGTTGCCATGGCATCTGTAAACCGTCATGGTGCTGGTGGGAGTAGAGCAGTGAGGACAATGAGAGGTCACTCTTGTGGCCATCTTGGTTTTGGTGGGTTTTAGCTGGCTTCTTAACTGCCACCTGTTTTATCAGCAAGGTCTTTATGACCTGCATTTTGTGCTGACCTCTTATCTCATTCTTTGACTTAGAATGCCTTGACCATCTGGGAATGCAGCCCAGTAGGTCTCAGCCTCATTTTACCCAGCTCCTATTCAAGATGGAGTTGCTCTGGTTCAAATGCCTCTGACACCAGGAGGTGTCAGATTGGGTGGTCTAATTAGACTAAAATGTTAATAGCTGATATATTACCCCACCCGGGCTTCTGGATTAATTGACACTTTATTGCTCACTTCCTGGGTGCCAGAACCTGGGATGATAACTGGGTGCATATCTGTGAATAAAACATATATTATTTCTGCTTTTGTGGTGCTTACCATTCTGACTAATGAGGAAAATGAATTTTAGACAATGGACTGGGACCAGTAGGTGGAGATGATGCCCCTTTGATACCGTCAAATAATAGTAGGAAACGAGGGCTGCTGCTGGGGTCCTTGAGTCTCCTGCCCTGTGTGTCCCCAAGGGCCAATTATGTCACCCTTCTTAAACTCTTAGAAGAGACAGCTAAATTGTTGGGTGAAATTGATGATTTCCAATTCTAGGGCCTTGAAAAAAAATAGTATTTCAACTAATATTTATTGAGGGCTTAACATGTGTCCAGGCCTGTTTTAAGAACTTTACATGATAATCCTCACATCAGCCCATTAGACAGGGTCTACTACTATCCCCATCCTGCAGATGAGAAAATGGAGGCACAGGTGGACTATATTCTTAGCTTATGGTCACCCCCTATCAATGGGTGGGTAATCAGTGTTTGAATGTGAAATAATTTTTTGCTCAATGACAGTAACACCTTCCTGGGTACCCTGCCATTTCCCCTGGATATGTTTCTTGTTCTTTCAAGATGGGTTATGGAAACCACAGAAAAAAGATGGGCATGTCTTTTAGTCATTATTTTAAGGAAAGGCATTGTGTTTTTGCCCCTCAAAATCTGTGGAATCGGTTATTTACTGGAAAATGGATATGTGCTATTAAAAAATCCAGGTATGGGCCGGGCGCAGTGGCTTAAGCCTGTAATCCCAGCACTTTGGGAGGCTGGAGGGGGGCAGATCACAAGGTCAGATCGAGACCATTCTGGCCAACATGGTGAAGCCCTAGCTCTACTAAAAATACAAAAATTAGCTGGGCGTGGTGGTGAATGGCTGTAGTCTCAGCTACTCGGGAGGCTGAGGCAGGAGAATCGCTTGAACCAGGGAGTCGAAGTTTGCAGTGAGCCGAGATCATGCCATTGCACTCCAGCCTGGTGACAGAGCGAGATTCCGTCAAAAAACAAAACAAAACAAAACAAAAAAACAGGTGTGTAACTTTACATCACTGTAAGAACACTCACTATAACCTGTCTACTTCTACATGTGCTTCTCTGACTTTAGAGCCAGTGGACCGTGAGGGAAATTTGCCAGTAAAAATCAATGCTCCTTTATACACAGGCTAATTCCAAAGAATTATTGGTTTACATGACATCTCCATGACCCAGGTGAAAAGCTGAGACATTTTACAAGCACATAGTACAATTACCCAAGGGAACTACATACAAGTAAAATACTAATGTAATACCTATTTCAAAAGAAATAAAAAGAAACTGTGAGTGACTATGGAAAATATACGTAGTCTCATTTGTTGCTTTTCCCTATGGGTTTGCTAGCTCTTGAGCAATGGATTCCTAACCCAAGCTACACTCTAGAATCACCCCCAAATCCCTTGGAACAATGATATCAGAATCTCTGGGGGCTGGAACCCTGGCAGTAGTATTTTTTTAAAGCTTTCCAGGTGATTCCAATGCGCAGCCAAAGTTGAGATCCACTGGCCTAGAGTCAGCTCAGGGTATCTTGTAGCAATACTGATGTCTGCCAGTCTTCAGAGACAGAGGGAGAGGACCAGAGCAAAATAGCAATGTTTTCCTTCCTGCAAGTGTTTAGGAAATATTAACGAGCACCCTGACATTTGTCTGATCGCCATCATCCGGAACATTCTGCAATAATTTATCCAACAAGTAATTTAATTAGCATGGTGGAAAGCAAAGCACATCATGAACACGTAGGACACTAATAAACTGACTAGAGGCAGCTCATGATGAGACGATAGATTATGACATTTTGAAAGAGATATAGAATTAAGTACATGACGAGGGCTTAATAAAACCCTGATTGAATCAAGGCTCTCTTACCTGATAGGTGAAATGAATACAAATGGGGAAGCAAGATAGAAATTGTGTTATTCAGGAAAACTGTACAAGTGGTGAGTGTGGAAAGAGGTTCTGTAGAATCTGTTTATTTAAGCAGATATTCTTAGAATAGTAGCAATAATCTATCAATCACTTCACTCAGGGATTTAGTTTCAAGGTAAATTGTATTACCTTTCAGGTACCAAAATATTTAATAATAAACTAGCTTTGAATTTGCAAATAATCATTTCTTTAAAGTGTTAGCTCAGAAACTGATTCTGTTGAAGGGATTTCTCCTTAGTTCAGCTAAAGATGGGGTCCTTGTCACATGGCCATGAAATATTAGGCTCGCAGACACTTTGAAGGGTGAGAAAAATGGGATTTATTGGGCAAAAAGGAAAAAAGGGAAACAGGGACCCTCAGCAGAGTGAGAGTCCTGCTCTAGTGGGCTTCCTGCCTCCCAGACTGAATCCCAGGTTCCACCCAGGAAGAGGAGGGGCCAGGCTCCTCCCCACTGCAAACAGCGTGAACTTCTGTGGCTTCACCCCAGTGCACATTCCTCCCAGTGCGCAGGTGGTTGGAATTTCAGTGGGGACCCCTTTACACTTGGCTCTCTCAATTCCACACTGTGAGTCAGCAGTATAACCAGGAAAAAAAAAAAAGCATTCAGGATCCATTCAAAAATATGCTTCTTAGACTTTCTGAAGGATTACTACAGAGTTCTTCCGATTTTTTTTCTATTTAATATACTCACACGTTTTGCTCATGAGCTTATTAGCATACGTGTGTATTGGTTAAAAAAGGACTCTGAGGCTGGGTGCAGTGGCTCAAGCCTGTAATCCCAGCACTTTGGGAGGCTGAGGAGGGCGGATCACCTGAGGTCAGGAGTTCGAGACCAGCCTGGCCAATATGGTGAAACCCCATCTCTACTAAAAATACAAAAATTACCCGGGCGTGGTGGCAGTCTCCTGTAATCTCAGCTACTTGGGAGGCTGAAGCAGGAGAATCGCTTGAATCTGGGAGGCGGAGGTTGCAGTGAGCCGAGATCACACCATTGCACTCCAGCCAGGGGGATAAGAGCGAGACTTCATCTCAAAAAAAAAAAAACCAGACTGGAGTCAGATAATCTGGGTACCATTCCGGCTTCACTGCTGGCTAGCTTTATGACTTTGGGCAGGTTAACATCATCTTCGTGCCACAGTTTTCTCATCTGTAAAATGGGGATAATAACCTGCCTCACAGAGTGGTTGTGAGAAGAAATGTGTTATTTGTAGAATTCTCTTACTGGGTTCTGGCACACAGCACCATATGCCTGTTAACCCTGCAATTACAAGGACAAAGAACTAATTTCTGGATCCACACACTCCTTTCCCTCTTTTTCTCTTGCCTTTTGTCTGTCTTCAGGCCATTTCACTGTTAATTAGCACCTCCATCTTATCATGAGTGACAGAAATAAAGATAGGAAATCAAGACAGTCAATTTTGGTATTATCACCTAGTTAAAATATAAAAAGTCTGAAGCCATTGACAAAAATGAGATTTGGGGTTGTCTATAGAATTCAGTTATCTGTGTTCTTCCCAGAACCTGCAATTATCCCAACTTGTCCTTTGACATGGATAATTGAAGATTAGTCCAAACCATTGGCACCAAACTCCAGATATATGTTAGAATCATTGGAGATGTTTTGAAAAATGCCTTTGCTCTGGTTCACCCCTAGATTACTGTCATTGGAATCTGCATGGTGGTTTTTTTTTCTTTCAGAAAAAAGAAGATTAGAAGGGAAGGAAAGTTCCTTCTTCGACTGTTCGTGTATTGAGCTGGCCTTCTGTTTTCTAAGTCCGGCTGGTGTTTGGAGGTGTTGTGTGTTTTCTGAGTGCTTTTGTGGGTTATTGGATCCCAGCCCCATGAGTGATTTTTCACCTGCACAGCCCCTAATGCCAGTGATAACACTGCTCCAGCTCATCCCTTACACTTGGGCATCCAGCCTCTGCTGTAGCTACTGCAGGTCCCATCCCTTCTCTAGTGGCCCCATTATACAGGATCTAAAACTATCTCCAGTGGATCATGAGAAACACTCATGCTTCTTTTTCCCTGACAAACTTGAAGTCCAGGCTCATTCCTTTGGCAGCCACCTTTCCCTCAGCACCATTTGTATCAGCTGGTCAGCCCATTATTTATCCTCCAGATTTCTCAGAGGGGAGTTAGTCACCAGTGTACTGGGTCCTTCTAATTTCAGGGTACACATATCACGCTCTGCAAATGATCCCTCTGTAGTTCCTTTCTCTTGGTTCACAACAAAGAGATGAACACTTCCCAGCTCTGACGGCGGACTAAGACTCATGCCACAACTCTCTTTACAGAAAACTTTTTCCTTCTCTCCAACCTCCAAGGGCTCTGAAAGAGCTAGAAAGAGAGAAGACACTGTAACCCCTTTCTCCCCAGAATATGTTCCATCTGGTGGGAGGGGAAACAGTTGTGACTTGAATGAAGCTGGAAGGTTTGATTAATAAGTAAGGGTGACCTTTCTAATTTCTAATTTGAAACTTTGCTTGGCCTTTAGCGGAATTATAGGACTTCGTAATTTTGAAACTAACCAGAGAGTTAGGAGATTGCTAGCCTTTTGATCCAGAAAGAGGGAGGAACCACCTCAGCTAAATAACATTAAAGTTATAGTGGGATAATAAAATTAAGTTGCTTTGTGATTATATCCACTAAGACATACTTGCTGAAGTACAGGGTTACACGGAGATCCAGACAGGATCAATTAGTTGTAAAATGAATTCTCAAGAAATTTAAAATATTAATGAGGTTTAGGTTAACAATTCTATAAACTACTTAAATGTATGAGAACATCTGCTTACAATAATGTCTATGGTTTTATATATATATAAAATATAACAGTTATTATTCATTTTTTCAGACCATAGTTAGTGAGCAATTTTTTAAATTTTATTTTAATTTTCTAAAAATTGAATAGAGAGGGGGCTGGTCTCAAACTCCTGGCCTCAAGCAATCCTCCCAATCCCAAAAGTGCTAGGATTATAGGCATGAGCCACTATGCCCAGTCCTTTCGTACTTTGAGACCACTCCATATCATCACTTTATTGGATCTTTCTGTCTGGTAGGGGCACAATATTACACACAATTCTATTTTTTTTAGGAAATGGAAATATTGTTAAGTAAACATTTTATTTTTTAAAATGTAATGTTGACAACACTTCCTTAATTTGCCATATATATTAATTCACAAAAAGAATTCTAGTCTCCTTCTCTAAATAAAAATGATGTTGAATATCTCTTCCTGAACTTATATTTCACACCTATTAGAATGTTTATAATTAAAAAGACCAACTATACCAAGTGTTGTTGAGAATGGAGAGGAAATAGAACTCTCAAAGATTACTATTGGGAATACAAAATTACAACGACTTTGGATAGCAGTTTGGAAGTTTCTTACAAAGTTGAATGTACACCTATCATAAAGGACAGCTATTCTACACAAAGATATTTACTAAGAGAAATGGAAGCATATGTCCATACATAGACTTATACGTGAATGTTCATAGCAGCTTTGTTTGTAATAGCCAAAAAGGGAAACAGCTTAAATGTCAACATTTCATTGATGTCAACCACCAAAAAGTGACCAAATAAACAAACTGTGGTATATCCCTACAATGGAATACTATTCAGCAATAAAAATTAACAAATGATACCCACACACACGCAAAAAGAATTCTAGTCTCCTTCAAATTGTCAGTCAAATGTTGACAATCTGATTTTTTGATACTGAGAATTCCTTTGCTCACCATCATCATAAGTCATTTATGAAAATTAGACTTCAAGTGGGATGCTTTTGGATTGTGGAAGAGAGACAGTAAGAAATTATCCATTGTAACTGTATGTGTTAAACCAGAAATTCCCTGGCCTGATGCAGATGTTTTAAAAGCAAACAGATTAATTATGCTGTGTTTTTGTAATCATCTTATTTTTTGATGTTTCATTTCTCAGCAAGTCTTGAATATTGAGTTTATGTGGTTTCTGGGGAAACTGAAGCTCTCCCCAATTCTCATCCAGTCCAGTCTCAGGACAGTGATAAATGGACCCCACCACTCTGTTGCAGTTGTCAGGGAGGGAGGGGAAGGTATTCACTTGTAGGTGTCTTAATATTTCAAGTCAAATAAAAATGATTTTGGCTTATCTCTGTTTTTCCATTATCTTCTTTTCTCTCCATCCATGCATACAGTTCATAATTGGCTATATAAATTAAATAATTCACAATAAGCCTAAATCTTCTCTAAATGCAGTTTCATTAACATTAAAAATTACCGGAGCAGTCTGTCATGTCAAATCATTGTATTGATTTGAAAACATACTAATTACCACAGGATCTGTGATTTCAACTTAAGCACTATGAGTGGGGGGACAAAAATATGGAAAAAAGTGACAGAGCAAATTGGTGCATGAAGTTAGGGAATGCAGAAGATAAGCCTGAAGTAACTTGCAGTGCCAGCAAACAAGGAAAAAAATAAAGAAAAAAGAAAGAAAGAAAGAGAGGAAAAAACACACTGTATTAGTCCATTCTTACACTCCTGTAAAGAACTACCTGAGACTGGGTAATATATGAAGAAAAGAGGTTTAATTGACTTATAGTTCCACCGTCTGTACAGGAGGCATGGCTGGGGAAGCTTTAGGAAACTTACAATCCTGGCGGAAGAGTGAAGGGGAAGCAAGCACCTTCTTCACATGTGGAGCAGGAGAGAGACAGTGAATGGGGAAGTGCTACACACTTTCAAACAGCAAGATCTTGTAATAACTCACTCACTTTCACGAGAACAGCAAGGGGGAAATCTGCCCCCATGATCTAATCACCTTCTACCAGGTCCCTCCCCCAACATGGAGAATTACAATTCAACATAAGATTTGGGTGGGAACACAGAGTCAAACCATATCACACACATAATGAAATGGTATGTAAAAGAGACAAAACAACCCATTGAAAGATGGGTTTCAATTTTATAGATGGATGCTGCCTGATTCATGAATCACTAATAAAAGTCAATTTGATCTTTGAACTCAATTTGTTGAGCTGCCTAGGCTGGAGTGCAGGGTGGGATCTTGGCTCACTGCAAGCTCTGCCTGCCGGGTTCATGCCATTCTCCTGCCTCAGTCTCCCAAGTAGCTGGGACTACAGGCGCCTGCCAACATGCCCAACTAATTTTTTTTGTATTTTTAGTAGAGACAGGGTTTCACCATGTTAGCCAGGATGGTCTTGATCTCCTGACCTCGTGATCTGCCCACCTCGGCCTTCCAAAGTGCTAGGATTACAGGCATGAACCACCGCACCTGGCCTGGGGTTCCCAGGCCTTATAAAGATCTAGTTCCCAGATCTTATAAAGAAACTTGTATGGGGGAGGTGGCAGGATCAAGAAATGGAGCTCTTAAATCAGGCGAAAGCTGAATGTTGATGAGGCCTCAGCCTTGGAGGGGGTTTCTTGCCTATTGCTAACCCCCATGAAGAAGAGACAGGAAAATTTCCTTTACCCTTCTGAAATATAACACTGGACACTTAATTTTTAGGTGCTGAAAATCAGCTATGGAATTTTGTTTTTTGAGAAGTGAAAACAAGAAATTTGAATAAAATGTGAACTCAGTTAATAAATAATGTATCAATACTGGCTCATTAACTGTGATAAATATATCATCCTAATATAATACAATAAACTGGGCATGGGGTATATGAAAATTCTCTGTACTATCTTCATAACTTCTCTGTAAATCTAAAACTATTCTAAAATTTAAAAATATTTAAAAACAAGTTTAAGCATTATAGAATATAAGTGGAATTGATGCAGTTCAAGTTACTGCCTCTAAAAAGAAAAGAATATGGCCACAGGAATATCAGGAGTGGGAGCAGATGGCAGGTGAGTGATATGGCCAAGGAAAAGTATTATGTTGTGAAAGACAGGAGAATCTTTCACAGTTATGTAATTATGCTTTAGAGCTATTCTGTTCTGCATGTCATAAAATGTCTCCAAATATACAAAAAAAGAAAGGAGAAGAATAAGGCCCTTAAAAGAGCTCTGAATAAAAGCCAAATCATCAAATTCACCTAAAATTAAAGAAATTGCTTTCTATAAAGATGGAGCATTATTAGATTCTTTATTTTGAAAAGTCCAGAAGAATGGTATCATTGAGAAGGATGAATAGGGCTGGCTTCACCATGACTGTGATTTAGCTGCCTGTGTGACTACATTTAGGTCAGGAGCAACAAAGGAGGGTGCTTTGGGAAGGAAGAAAAGATATGTCCTCCTCTGTCTTTTCTGTTGGTAATCTGGAAGAAGCAGTTAAAGAACAGAGATTTTAGGGGAAGGGGGTGTTGAAGGAGATGTCATTAAAAAGCAATTGATGAAATGTGAGCTCCTTCTGCAGCTGCCATGCAGCAGAGCCTGCCTAATGTCAATGTCCATCTCCCACCAGCCTCTGCACAGATCCAGGAGGCCATTGATCTACAAGCTCTGTGACAGGAGAGGTCAATAGGAATGTCCTAAAAAAGATTATGTGGCTGTATTAGTCCGTTTTCATGCTGCTGATAGAGATAAACCCAAGACTGGGCAATTTACAAAAGAAAGAGGTTTAATTGGACTTACAATTCCACGTGGCTGGGGAAGCCTCACAATCATGGTGGAAAGCAAAAAAGAGCAAATCAGGTCTTACATGGATGGCAGCAGGCAAAGAGAGAGAGCTTGTGCAGGGGAACTCCTCTTTTTAAAACCATCAGATCTCATGAGGCTTAATCACTAACAGGAGAACAGCACGGGAAAGACTTGCCCCCATGATTCAATTGCCTCTCACCCAGTCCCTCCCACAACACTTGGGAATTCAAGATGAGGTTTGGGTGGGGACACAGACAAACCATATCAGTGGCCAATAAGACTGAGATACCCTGTAATTTACTGGCCCCTAATCTGTCAAAATATCCATCTGCATATTACAGTCTCTAAGGAATGGTACAGTAAATAAACTATTTATTTATTTTGAGACAGAGTCTCACTCTGTCGCCCAGGCTGGAGTGCAGTGGCATGATCTCGGCTCACTGCAACCTCCACCTCCCAGGTTCAAGCAATTCTCATGCCTCAGCTTCCTGAGTCGCTGGGATTACAGGCATGCACCACAACACCTGGGTAATTTTATTTTTGTTTTTATTTTTTGTAGAGATGGGGTTTCACCATGTTGGCCAGGCTGGTCTCGAACTCCCAACCTCAGGTGATCCCCATGCCTCGGCCTCCCAAAGTGCCAGGATTACAGGTGTAAGCCACTGTGCCTGGCCAAGTCAAAGTATTTAACTTTAATAACTCACCATTGCTCAGAATTATTTGGCCCTGCAATACTCTTCTCTCTTCACAGTAGCCCATTTTCCCCTCGAATAGTGGAGGTGCACTCCAGTTTGGAAAAACTTCTCTTAAAAAGCTACTATGATGTGACTTTATAAGTAGGCAAAGCTGTAAGCAGATGTTTGGGCTGTATCATGGACATGGAAAACTGTAACTACTAGAGCCAGGCAGGTAGAATTCCATGCTCAGTGTTTACCAGCTGTGTGACCTTGATCCAGTTGTTTAACTACTATGTCTCATTTCCTTATCTGTGAAATGGAATGAATGGAATGAGAATACCCACTTTGCAACTTGCTTTTTTAAAATAAAGATATCTGTCAAGTATCTAGTGTATGCTTGATAGGACCATGGTGCTGAATAAAAAGAGTTATTAGGTTGGTACAAAAGTAATTGAGGTTTTTGTATTGTTGGAATTTGCGTTTAATATTGGAATGCATTCTTTAAAAAATGTGGTTGTGTTATATGTCATTTTAACGGGTATTTCTCATTTTACGTTTTTTTGCTAACGACTTATAACTTGCTGTTTATTTTTTGTTTAATTTAGCCTATGAAAATGATGTTAGACATAAAGCAAATTAAAGTGGCTTTCTTATTCGAATTCAAAATGGGTCATAAAGCAGTGGAGACAACTCGCAACATAAATGACACATTTGGCCCAGGAATGAATGTACAGTGCAGGTGGTTCAAGATGTTTTGCAAAAGAGACAAGAGCCTTGAAGATGAGGAGCCCAGTGGCTGGCCATCAGAAGTTAACAACCAGTTGAGAGCAATTATCAAAGTTGATCCTCTTACAACTGCAAGATAAGTTGCCAAAGAACTCAACGTCGATCATTCTATGGTCCTTTGGCATTTGAAGCAAATTGGAAAGGTGAAAAAGCTTGATAAGTGGGTGCCTCATGAGCTGAGTGAAAATAAAAAACAATCGTTGCTTTGAAGTGTCATCCTCTTTTATTCTATGCAACAACAAACCATTTCTCTATTGCATTGTGACATGCCATGAAAAGTGGATTTTATATGACAGCCAGCAACGACCAGCTCATTGATTGGATTGAGAAGAAGCTCCAAAGCACTTCCCAAAGCCAAAATTGCACCAAAAAAAGGACATGCTCACTGTTTGGTGGTCTGCTGCAGGTCTGATCCACTACAGTTTTTTGAATCCCTATTAAACCATTACATCTGAGAAGTATGCTCAGCAAATTGATGAAATGCTCCAAAAACTGCATCGCTTGCAGCCAGCATTGATCAACAGAAGGGGCCCAATTCTTCTCCACAACAACTCCTGACCATGCTTTGCACAACCAATGCTTCAAAAGTTGAACAAATTGGGCTACGAAGTTTTGCCTCATCCATCATATTCACCTGACCTCTCACCAACCGACTACCACTTCTTCAAGCATCTCGACAACTTTTTGCAGGGAAAACACTTCCACAACCAGCAGAATGCAGAAAATGCTTTCCAAGAGTTCATCCAATCCCAAAGCAGGGATTTTTATGCTACAGGAATAAGCAAACTTATTTCTCTTTGGCAAAAAGTATTGATTGTAATGGTTCCTATTTTGATTAATAAAAATGGGTTTGAGCTTAGTTACAATGATTTAAAATTTACGGTCCGAAACTACGATAACGTTTGCACCAACCTAATACTATCGTTGTTGCCTTGGAGCCGCTGGTGAACTGTCTGACTCTCTCCAGCATCACATACAGAAGGCTTTAAATTCTTTAAAGTAGAAATTAAAGGCAAGTTTTCATAAAGTAGTAATTTTTAAAGATTGAGTCAAGAAAGACAGCTGGGTTCTGTTTTAAAATCTGATGTTAGTTGTATCCTAAGAATGAATACAATATATTTTGTATATTGCATAACAGTAACAATTATGATGTCACTTATTATTTGAATTTAAAAGAGGATGCTGAATGGAGCTTTTTTCTGTTTTCTTGGAAGTTTAGTTGAAGCCCTAAAGCAGAGAAAATAAGCAAAAGATGCCTCCACATACTAAAATGAAGTGCCTGACATGTCTAAGCTAGATCTACTGAAAGACATTAGATCCTGTCTGATATAATAGACATCAAAACTATCACTCACCTCCAGCCACCGTCAGCCTATATAAGAGAAGATGATCACCAAGGAAGGAAAGCTGTTGGCCTAGTGGGGCCAGCATGGCATTTCCTACCCTCCTAGACAAGTACTGGGGATCTGAGAGGCATGCTAACCACAATTGGGGTTGTCTCAAGGGGAGATATTTGGCATCTCACTTCCAGCTGCATGTTCACTGAGCTGCAGATACTCCAGGGCCCACCAGGTGCACTAAAGTGGAGGAGATGGAGCATGGCAAGAAGTTGGCATGGGTTTTCTGTAGACCAGGGTCCCTGTGAATATAAACACTGATGCCTGATTTCTGTCTGGAATATTGTGAAGATAGGTAGACAGCTGAAGAAGCCCCTTAACCCACTGATGGAAGGCAGAGAGAGAGCTAGGGCTTCCTCATTTGCTGTGGAAAGACGCATGAGGTCCTCAAGGATGGAGAGAAATAGCAGTTGCAGATGGTCACCAGAGAGAGAGGCCTCTACGAGTCTGCTGAAGAGTTCATTGTCTATGTCAGGGAATGAGAATATCCTGAAGGTGTGCAGTGAGGATGGGGGAGGGCTCCACAGAACGCTAAATGATGCCTTGACAAAACCAGCACATGTAGGCCTGCCAGAAGGGAGACCAGAACAGCCCATCAGCACTAGCAGGGATAGCACCAGTCACACTGGGCTTTTTCCTGCCTTCCTCTAATCTCTCTCCCTTCCCCTAATTCTGAAGCTCCAGAAAGTTCAGTGGAGAAAGGTCAAAGTCCTTACATCAATCCTTCCCTACTGTAGGGTTCTGAGCCAACTGTGAGTTGGTGGAGAGCGGAAGGATAGAGGGAGAAGCTATGAACTGGCTGTGAAGTTCAAGTTTTGATACTAGATAGAATCAGACCTTTTAATACCCCCAAGTCAGTTAGGCACTAACTAAAACTGTTTTCAAAAATAGCTGGAAGTGATAGGAAAACTATGAGCTCTAACTTAAGCTGTCATCAGGGAGTGGGGAAAGGAAATCCAAGACTGCAAAAGTGAAAGTGGTTTTTGGTTTTACACCATTGATTAAACTCATTTTAAAAACAAGCAACTGTTATTTTAAAATAGAATATTCTATAGAAAAAGCCTTATTGACAGAACAGGCCATTGAAATCTTTTTCTTGTCCTTCGCAGACATGCAGGCCCAGGGAAGGATAAATGGAAGCATTTATGCTTTCTGAACTTAGAGCCTGCATGTATCTCTTCTGCAAGACAAGCTTTGCAAATCCCACTTGAGAGCAATGTGGTATAAGTTGTTGGTTTGTGAAGACAGGTTTTAGACAAAGAACCATGGTATTTTCTGGAAGATATGTAATGTTTTGAAGAGGATGAGGTAAGGACCTAGCACTTATTAATCATTTATTATTTTGCCTATATACCTGACAACCCGGCAGTGTGATAGATGTCTTATCTCATTTAATCTTTCCTACAATAATATGAGGTAATTATTCATATACCTATTTTGCAGATGAGGAAGTTGGGCCTCAGGAATATTATCGAATTTTCCCAAACTCATCTGGTTAATAAATGTATTTGATTCAAAAGCCATTCTGTTTCTACCACGTTGAATTACCAAAACTTGCAGAAGAGAATATAATCCTCATCATGTTTAATTTCGAAAGAGACGGACTGGTAACAGATAGTTTACAGCCGTAGCAGGATTTCTTGTGTTTGTTGTTAAGAAACTTGATAAGAAAGATGGCTGCTCCCTAAAGGAAAGAAAAGGAACAATTCAAAGCAATATGAACTTCAGGTAAGGTTGAGGCAGTGCCGAGCAGTGTCTGGAAAGAGAATTCTCTAGACTAGATTAAACAGAGTTGAATCCAATGAAGTGGGAACATGGAAGGCCGCAGAAAAGCTGACATAAAGCAGAGCAAAGGAACAGTAAAGACACTGGGAGCAGAGGTTGTGTTCAAATGGGCACAGTCGGGGATGAGTACCTCTAAGGAGCATCAGTGGCCCCACACCAATGAGGCCCGGCTCTCCTTCCCAAGTTGACCTAGGGGTGTTTGGTGAACATCAGGGAAGAATGTTTTGGGAAGCTCTCAGACAGGCTTCTCGGAGTCCGGTCAAGCTTTCAAGGCTGTTGCCATTCCCAAATGGATCTTTTGTGAAACTCACCCAAATC
Source organism: Homo sapiens (assembly GCF_000001405.40). NCBI lineage: Eukaryota > Metazoa > Chordata > Mammalia > Primates > Hominidae > Homo > Homo sapiens. The sequence goes on along the minus strand of NC_000013.11, from coordinate 36,612,883 downwards.
AGAAAGGTCACCTGAGGTCACATTATAGAGAGCTGGAAGAAGGACATTTTTCCAAATAAAATTTAAAAAGTGTTTATTTTTAAACTGTCCCTGTTCACTTGGACAAGTATCTCCAAATAAACCAATGGGCTTTGTTTGGGTGTGCTTTTATTAGTGCCAAAGGATACTCCCCTCTACAACTGCATATAAACAAACATCCTACCGTACTCTCATTCCCATTCCTGGAGAATTAAAAATTTTGCGCTCAGTTAAAAATCCCTATGTAAGCATCCTAAGGGGATAGGTTTGGGGCGGGGAAGTGGTCTAAGCCCAGTCTTAGAAACTCTCTAAAAGAGATGGCCCACCTGCTTCCCTTTGTCTGTGTCTCCTTTAACAATCTGCCCTTTCCAACACCTCTGACCTAGAGAAGCTCACCACGAAACACAGTCCTTGTTTTTCTCTCTGTCCCGCATTGAGTTGCATCGGGGAGGGGTAAAGCAGACACATTATCATGCAAGACCAGCAGAGTTGTGGCATTTGAAAAGGGTCAAGTCTCCTTGTTCCACTTTGTCAGTCTTGGCCACTTTTCTCTCTTTGCTCTGAACCAAACTGTGACCACTGAAAGAGAACACATGTTGTCATGGAAAGAGCATGGGCTTGAAGTTATAGACCAGGGTTCCAATCCGGCTTTGTATAATCTTAGGCAAGTTACAGAATCTGTTTCCTTGTCTGTAAAATGCAGAATCCCTGCATTACTGGTTAGCATTTGAGCTGTTTTAATGATTAGATAATGTCTGCAGAGCACTCAGTAATAATCCTGGGATGTGATTAGACAATAAATACTCTTTTCCTTCCTTCAACATCTTACCTCAGTGTTTGCAGAGCTGCCTGCTGCTCTTTAAAACTGCAGTTTGGGCACCCTGAAAATGAGTAGGAGCCAAGAGCACCAGTATGCCCAGATTTCAGAGCACGCTCATTCATTCTGCCAGGTTCCTTCACACTTTCCAGGTCTGTGTCCTGAATTTCTCCTGGCTGAATTAACTGAAATGGCCACAGGAGGTATGTTCTTTTGCAAGTGCTACTGACACCTGTTTTCATTCTTCTTGACATCAGAGCAAATCTGCATTTCTGATGATGTTGCTGGTGACAGGCTGCCACAGAGCAGGCTCTGATTTGGGAGCATCTTGACAGAATCCCTTTGAGAAATTCCTTGAGTGGAAATGAACTGCTTGCACCATGAATGAGTTTGTAAGAATTCCTTCCAAGCCTCAGGCTCCATCACTAAAGATGGACAAAATGTGGGTGGCACCTCCAGCGCTACCCATCTTCATATCTTCAAACGGCATTTGATGCTACCATATCTTCAAAAGGCATTTGCACTCTGTAACAAACATTTTGTATGGGATTTTGTTTTGTTAGCATGATGGTGAGGATGATGTAATATGATATAAACAAAAATAAAGCATTGATATTATTTTGAAATACTAATTCATGTATTTTTTATTCCTTTTATTTTATTGCTTTGAAACATTAAAACTAGATAGTGAGGCTGAGATTCCTTGTTTTACAAGAACAGAAAAATATCTGCTATGAACTGAGAAATAAAAATAAAATCCTAAGCCCTTCAACCAACTGAATAGACCTCCTCTAGGCCAACAGGACCCCAGAGTAACCATGAAAAAAACTGAGTTCTCGGCCGTGGCAGGATAGGAGGTTAGACACACTTCATTATATACCTGTCCTTGCTAACCACCATTAGATTCCTTCCCTAAGGGCTAAACATAAGCCATCTTTTTCAAAAGACCCCACCACTGACATCAACAACTGCTTAATGCTATCCCTCCTTTTTGCCTGATAAGGGACAATCAATCACAGAAATCTGATAAGAGAGTTCCAGTCCATGGAGAATGAACAGTAAGGGTTTGTGTGTTCTCTGCTTTACCCTTTGATGTCATGTGCCAAAACCTCTACCCTGTGATCATGCTAAAACTGCCATTTTTTGTACATGGGGCCCATGTATGAAGCTCATTTGCACATGTGCACGTTTCTTCTCTCATAAATATTTGAGGAGTTTTTAAATAGCTTATTGAATACTTATATTCAGCCACCTCACTCAACTTAAATTCCCATTCCATTTGCCCCTCCCTTGAAGTGTCTGTTTTCAGCTTCTGACCAGAGGCTACACTTTTCAGCCTGTCAGAATGGCCACTCTGCAGGCTGCTTTATGAGAAATAAAGCACTCTTTCAAAATTTATGAACTTTATCATTCTTCAGTTGACAGAATAAAGGGTTAAATTTTTGGCTTTGAGTTCCAAATAAGGTGCATGAAATTCAAAAGCAAATCAGTAAATTTAAAAGCCTAAGTCTTTTGATTGATAAGAGTTGTACTTCAGTTTTTTTTCAAAGAGAAAAGGCTGGAGAATTACATTTTCCACCACAATCCTTGAGAGCACAGAGCTGGCATCCTTTCCCTGAAGGTCATGCACAGGCTGAGAAGAGGGAGAACCAGCACCCAACCCTTGGTGAAAGAATATACCATAAATCACACCTGCTAGAGTCATGGGTAGCAGTGACAGCAGGGCACAAAATGACCCTGAAAGCAGAGGAAGTGTGAAGGCTAGAAGATACTCTGGCATCACTTGTTCATCTACTCAGCAAATATTTATATGGCAATTAACTGCGTGTCAAAACTGTTCTTGGGATACCACAGGGACTATGGATTCTAGCCCTTGGGAGCCTTTGGAGATAAAATGAATTCAGCAATGGCATCACAAAGATAGATTTTTGTCATACCTAAGTTTGTGGACTGATGTGATTGGACATTTAAAGCCGTGGCAAACTGATTTGCAATTTTGAAAGCTGTTGTTAATCTTTCTGGGCAAGTTTTTACAAACAAAACCTGCCCAGAATTCTATAGACAAGAAAAAAAAGCTAAGATAAGGTACTCTCATGCAGGGGTCCCCCAGCTGTGGATCTGCACCAGCAGTGGCAGTATGGCTGTCACCTGGGAGCTTGTTAGAAGTGCCAGTTCTTAGCCCCTCCTCAGTCCTAGTGAATCAGAAACTCTGGGGGAAAGGCCCAACGGTCTGTTAATATGACCTCCAAATGATCCTGTGCATGCTAAGGTTTGAGAACTGCTGCTGTGATAGATAGGGATTACTAACACAATAAATTAATTTAAATTTATCCAATAAGCATTTATTCTACCTGAGTCATGGGTTGGCACTGAGGATGTGAAGGCAAACAAGATGAGTTCCCAGCACTCAGGTGGGTACTCACAGACAGGAATATATATAATTACAGTATCATGCAACCAGTGACATGAGGCATGTTCAGGTATGGTGCAAGCCCAGAGGAGCCAGCTCTTGCCCACACACCTCCTTGCGGTGGAGGGAAGAGAAGGCTGAAAAAGTGAAGGCTGCCCTTCTTGGGATTCTAGGGTGGCAGGGACTGAGAAGAAGTTTCCTCTACCAAGGCCAGAGTTGCCCCTGATTGCAGAGCAAGGTTCCACACCAAGCTGTCTTCAGAAACACAGAGAGAGCTTAGAAACATAAGCTGCTGGTTCCAGAGACTATTTCACTGGATACATGTAAATACACACACGTACATACATACACACGCGTACATACATACACACACATATACACACATACATATGTGTGTGTATATATATGTGTGTATATATATACACACATATATACATAATATATATTCAATTTATTTATATATATAAATACATATTTTATATATATATATATATATATATATATATATATATATATATATATATATTTAACAGGCTCCCCAAGTGATTCTTAGGCACACAAAAGTTTGTTCTAAGAGATGAAGAATGAATCAGCCTATGAACTCTCCTCTCATTTTTTATTAGTATTGTTCATTGAATTATGAGGGAATAGAGGAAATATTTCGCTCTAATTATCCAGTCTCCTATGAGGCACACCTAGGTGGGTTACTTGTCTGAGAGCAATCTCTCATGGCATAGGAACCTTACCTTGTATTGTAGCTCAACTACTATGCTAATTATTGTAGCACTTATTTAGCAAACATTTATTAAATACTGATAGTTCACAATTGCCCACCTTCGCTTGCTTTAACCAATGGGAGTAACCAGACATGACCTTTGCTGTGACTGAACAGAAGCTTTAAATGCCATTGTATTGTATGGTATGGCTGACACTGTTCCCTAGTACCATATCTTAGATAGTGGCTTCCCCTTTGACCTAGATTCCAGAATGAGAAGACACATGGAGCCGAGTCTAACAGAGTCCAGCTGAACTGCAGACCGCATGTAATGTGACCAAGAAATAAATATTGATTGTTGTAAGCTACTGAGATTTGGAGCTTGTTTACCTTGCAGCATAGTCTAGGGAAAGCTGACTATAACACCTACTCTGCGTCTGGCATTATACTGCAGGGACAAAGATGAGTAACACTGTCTCCTTCCTCAGAACACTTGCTGTTCTTGAAGGGGATGAATCAATATCTATCTTATCCTATTCCATAATTCTACTCTATTCATGCATTCCTTAGATTGTCCCAGAAAGCACTTATTCTGGCTTTAATACATAGAATGTAAGTAATAAAACACAGTAAGGTACATCAGAAGCAGATGAGAAGGGAAAGAGAAAAACAGAGGTCAAGGAATACGACTTAGGAAAAATGCATAATATATGCTTGTGGGTAGACTCAAATTTGATTGTAATCATGTAGAAGTCAGTTCATAAAAGAGACCTGATTAGTTTCACAATTCACAGTGCCCATAATATTAAAAGCAAAGGAATTGCTCCAGAGATGCATGGCTATGCCTGATCATCATAATATATAAATTACTCTGAGAACGTATGGGATTTAAACTGTTAAAATTTGCTTTTGGGGTTGTAATTTAAGATTTTCTTTTCCAAAATACTATATGTATAGCCTCAGCTTAATTCTGTTTTAATGTCAAAGAGAGAAGGAAAGAGATAAAAGTTATGTTTTGTTTTGCCTTAGCTAGGAGAGGGAGAAGGTACAGTGTGATAAATCCATAAAGCACTCTTTGTAAGTATAGTCTTTCATTAACCTATCACACTTAATTATAACTATTTGCTTACCTGCTTTTTCCCCCTGGGAGTTATTCTAGGAGAAGGTTGGCTTTAATTTATTTTTACTTCTAGCTTAGTGTTTAGAATAAAGGAGTTCAATAAAGTTTGAATAGAATGAGTGACTGAACATTGAGTTTATTAATTTTCATTGTTGTGTAGTATTCCACTGTGTATACTATTATATATCTATTATATGTCTGTTCTTGACATTTAAGTTGTTTCCAGTTTGGGGCAACTAAAAGCTGTACAACCATAGACATACTTAGACATGTACTCGCTTACACATAAAAGCACATAATCTCTAGGAAATCTAATGTGGAATAACTAGGTGATATGGTGTATATAGCTTCCAATTTACTAAATAACACTATTCTGTTTTTCAAAGAGGTAGTTTCTATTTTCCTTCCCACCAGCAGTGTCAGAGTATAAGAGTGTCTGATGTTTCACATTCACACAAACACAAACATCAAGTATTTTCATATTTTTTATATATACCAATTTTAATGAGTATATTGTTGTATCTCCTTGTCGTTTTAATTTGCATTTCCCATATTACTAATGAGGTTGAGTTTACTCCCACATAAATAATGGCTATTGGATTTCCTTCCATGTGAAGAACCAGTTCAAGAATTTTGCATACTTAAAAATTTGTGTTGTGGTCAGTCGCGATGGCTGGTGCTTGTAATCCCAGCACTTTGGGAGGCGGAGGCAGGCAGATCATTTGAGGTCAGGAGTTCAAGACCAGCCTGGCCAACATGGCGAAATCCTGTCTCTACTAAAAATACAAAAATCAGCCAGGCACAGTGGCATGCGCCTGTAGTCCAGCTACTTTGGATCCTGGAGAATCACCTGAACCCAGGAGATGGAGGTTGCAGTGAGCTGGGATCATGCCACTGCATTCCAGCCTGGGTGGCAGAGCAAGACGCAGTCTCAAAAAAAAAAAAAATTGTGTTGTCTGTTTTTTTTCTTATTACAGGAGCTCTTTATATATTCTGGATACAAATCCCTTGTCTATCGTGTGTGCTACAAATATTTTCTACTCTGGTTTACTTTTTCACTCCTTTTATAATATTTCCATGAAGAAATGTTGTATTGTGAAAGTTAGTAGCCTTTTCCTTTATGATGAGTTATTTTTATATCTTATATAAGAAATTCCCCCTTTCTTCCTTCAAAGTCATGAAGGCATTTCTTATAGTCCCTTCTAAAAAGCTTTGTAATTTTGTTTTTCACATATAGATCTTTAATCCATCATAAATTGTTATAATTAGTATTTAGGAGAGGAGGTCTGGTAGGTTTCAAAACAGCCTACTTCGGTGAATCAGCCCAGGGTTGCCCCAATATTGCTGCATCAGAGCTATACACATAGTTCATGGCAGTAGTGAGAGCGGAGGTTGGTGACTGAGCTATTATCTTCAGAGTGACTAAGAGAGGAAAAGATACGTACCCCACCCCCATTGCCTTCAGATGCTGTAGACCAGAGGCAGTGCCACCATGGGAACACAGGCAGGCAAGGGAGGACCCCCCCCATCCCATCCCCCAGCCCAAGCCCAAGCCCAGGGGTGAGCAGTGGAGTGTAGGTAGTTCAGAGCTATAGAAGGCTAAATAGTGATTTCCTGAAGAAGTCCACATCCTAATCCCCAGAGTCTGTGACTATGTGATTTTATAAGGAAGAGAGACTTTGTGGATATGATTACATTAAAGATGTTCAGATGGAAGGATTATCTTAGTATATCCCAGTGGGCCCAATGTAATCACAAAGCTAAAAATCCAGGCAGTATTTACTAACAGCCTGATGACTTTAGAAGCACAAACCCAAGTACTGAGCTTTCAGATGCAAAAGTGATTTCTGGATGTTTGATTGCAGGAGGATTTACAAGGGAGCAAGCTGAAGTCCAGCCCTGAAATGGATAGGGCATTTGTTGTCTCAGAGAGCCCCACGTGAATTGAAGTGTCAGGGTGAATCTGGTTACTTTTATTCATGGTAATTAAAAAATCTATTTGGAATATTCTTGATTTGCTATAAACAGAGTTTTTCAGGAATGGTATCTTTCTTTCATAGATGCAAAACAAATGCACACGAGACCAAGACGCGTATGGAATAATGTAGAATTAATTTGCAGCCAACCCACTATGGCCACTTTCATCACCTGCCTGACCAAAGGGACCAAGTCAGAACCCCAAGGGACCATGGTGGCCAAGAACCCTTTTTCCAGGGCCTTCTACCTTTTTTTCCAATCTGTATCTTCCCTCAGTAATTTTAAAGGAATCTAAGCCACTGTAATCCCCAGCCTCTTAAGAGAATTTATAGAGGCAACTAAAACCTAATCCATTTTGGCATAAAGCTAGAATTGCTTTGGTGTTGAAATATGCGCAGACATGAAGAGCTTCCTTAAGATCAACAGAGCTCTTCTCTTTCTTCCTGTAGAATACCCTGCAATGCCCAGAAATTTTTATAAGGGTTTCATACACCTGCACATCATGGTATTAGAGGAGGTAAATGATGGAAAGACTTCACAGAGCATCTGGTCCCTGTATTTGCCAAAAGAATATGGTTTCTTACAATATACTCTCTGGAGATCTATTCTAGCTACAAGCTTCTAACCATCCACCTAAATGACTCTATAATAATCTAAAGAGACATTTTCCTTGACATTGAGTATGTACTTTCTCCTCCAAATTTTAACCTCATCTTCCAGAAGGATTCTTTTTTATAGACTTAATTAACTAATTTTCTTTCTTGATTTCGGGACCCCTTAAGGACTGAATGCAAATAACGAGAGATTTTTTTAAGAATAAGGAGCTTAAATAATGTATTTTTGAATCATAACAGATTTTTTTCTGGGTTTGAGTCTACATTCTGTGCTAGTATCTTTGTTTATTACTGTCTAGCTCTTACCAGTTTTTGTCTCCAATAAATCCCAGAACTATCTCGTATTTTGAGTATGAGAACAGAAATGTTAATATGAGTGTTTTAAACTTAGAAATTTTAAAATAGTTTTAGAGTTAAAATAAGACAAATAACTATGCCAATTTAGAAAATTCAAAGAATAAATGAGATGATTGACTAAAAAGAATTGAGCAGTGTAATCTCTGAGATTATATCCTGCAAAAGATATTTCTTGGATGTGTTCAACCACAGTCAGTTCTTTCATTATATTGCCTGGTCAGAATTAAATCCTCAAAAATTGTGGGGAAAAAGGGAAAATGTACAAAATATTTTGAAGTTGTATTTTACTTTTTATATTAGGATCTCAAATTGTGGCCTAAGAGAGCAGTGTCTCTTGTCTCCTCCCTGTGATGGGGCTGGAGGGGACTGGGTGGGGTGAGGACATGAGTTTTAATGACTATATGATCATCTCAATAGATGCAGAGAAGGCTTTTGATAAAATCCAACATCCCTTCATGGTGAAAACCCTCAGCAAACTAGGTATCGAAGGAACATATAGTTTAGAATTTATTCTCTGACCCAATGGCTACTGTCTCTCTCTTCCATTAGTGTCCATTACAATGGACTGCATGGATTTTCCTTAGCTACAGTTTAATTTATAGATTCTTAAGGAGAGTGAAGGTATCTCAGGAGAGAATACCTCTATGGCTAAAATATAAGAAGAGATTAGAAGAAAGGAAACATGTAAAAAGATTTTGTAAACTCAGGCTTAATTCTGAAGTGTGTATCTTGCCATTTTGTTTACTATTTCATAAGACCAGAGATAAGGAGCCTATCAATGTTCTGATCAATAAGTGACTTCACTGGGAATTTTCTTGCTTTTTGTAAAATCTGTAAAGAGGATTGAACATTGACTTGCAGTGAAAATACACAGCTAAATAATTGTCACATTATTATAAAACAACCTTTATTCAAATAGCTGTCTGAGTTTTCATTCTACCTGATGTATTTTTAATCCTCCATAAATATTTTGACTTATTTTTTAACATATGCATTACCTCATATATTTTTCATTTTTTGTTGTGAGAAAAATTAAAATAGTAATTTTCAAGAATATAATATACTGTTATTAACTATAGTCATTATGTTGTACAACAGATCTCTTAAATGTATTTCTTCTCTCTAACTGACATTTGACCAATATTCTGGTAAACATCATGCTACTCTCTGCTTCTATGAATATGACTTTTTTAGATTACACATGTAAGTGAGATCATGCAATATTTGTCTTTTTGTGCCTGGCTTATTTCAGTTAGGACAATGGTCCATCAAGTTTGTTGCAAAAAAGAAGGATGTCCTTTTTTAAGGCTAAAAAGTATTCCATGGCATATGTACGCTACATTAAAAAAATTCATTTCTCCATTGATGGACATTTAACTTGCTTCCATATGTTGGCTATAGTGAATAGTGCCGAAATAAACATGGGAATGTAGGTATCTCATCAACAAGTTGATTTCATATCCTGATATGGTTTGGCTGTGTCCCCACTAAAATCTCATCTTGAATTGTAATCCCCATAATCCTCACATGTCAAGGGGGAGACCAGGTAGAGGTAATTGAATCATGGGGTGGTTTCCCCATGCTGTTCTCGTGATAGTGAGTGGGTTCTCACGAGGTCTGATAGCTTTATAAGTGTTTGGCAAGTTCCTTCTTCAGTTATTCTCTCTCCTGCCGCCTTGTGAAGAAGGTGCCTGCCTCCCCTTCGCCTTCTGCTGTGATTGTAAGTTTCCTGAGGCCTCCTCAGCCATACAGAACAGTGAGTCAACTAAACCTCTTTCCTTTACAGATTACCCAGTCTTAGGAAGCTCTTTATAGTAGTGTGAGAATAGACTAATAAATATCCTTTGGATAAATACCCAGAAGTGGGATTGTGGGAGCATATGGGAGTTCTAGTGTTAATTTTTTGAGGAACCTCCATACTGTTTTCCATAATGGCTATCCTACCAAGAGTATTCAAGGGTTTTCTTTCTCCACATCCTCCCCACAACTTGCTATCTTTTGTCTTTTTGATAGTAGTCATTCTAAAAGCTGTGAGATAATATCTCATTGTGGTTTTAATTTGCATTTAGTAATGTTGAGTATTTTTTCATATATCTGTTGGCCATTTGTATGCTTTCTTTTGATAAATGTTTCTTTAAGTCCTTTGCCCATTTTAAAATCAGGTTATTTGTTCTCTTGCTATTGAGTTGTTTGGGTTCCTTATATATTTTGGATATTAACCCCTTATTAGATGTATGGTTTACAAATATTTATCTCATTCAGTATCTTTACTTTGTTGATTACTCTCTTTGCTGTACAAAAGCTTACTTTAATACAATCCCATTTGTCTATTTTCACTTTTGTTACCTATGTTTGGGAGGTCATATCAAAAAAATATTGCCCAAGCCAATGCCATAGAGATTGGTAAGTTTTATGGTTAGGAATTTAATCCATTTTGAGGTAATTTTTGTGCATGGTAAGAGATAAAGTTCTAATTATATTCTTCTGCATGTGAATATCCAGTTTTCCCGGCACAAATTTATGAAGAGATTGTCCTTTCTCCCATTGTGCATTGTTGGCACCTATGTCAAAAGTCAATTGACCATAAATTCATGGATTTATTTCTGGGCTCTGTATTCTCTTCCATTTGCCTATGTGTTTGTTTTTATGCCAGTATCATGCTGTTTGGATTCTATAGCTTTGCAATGTATTTCAAATCAGGAAGTATAATGCTTTCTGCTTTGTTCTGTTTGCTAAAGATCACTTTGGCTATTCAGAGTCTTTCGTGGTTTAATCTTCCATAAGTATTTTATTGACAATGGTTATCAAACCTCCATATTACTTGTTAAATGTTTCTTCCTTAAGTCCTGTCACTTCACCAGTATAAAAATTATTCCATAAATTCTAAGATATTTTCTCAGTATGCTTGGTTTGGTGTTAAAGATCTCACTTGACACTCCTTTGTTTTTCTAGCTGAGTGGCATTTTTAGTAGGCTAATTGATGACCAGGAAGACAATGAAGGTATAGAGAAAATAGAAAATAGTCTACAATATGAAATAGGAACTGTTTATCTTTCTTGTTAGGTACCTGATTTTGATTCTGTCATTATCCTCTATAAGCTTTTGTTCCTCCACTGCACAATGGCGATGATAGCATTTTGCAGATCCTTGCTAAGTTAGCATGTAGGAGGGAAATAGGCAACTCTCAGCTTTTTATTTATTAGACTTTTGTTTGTTTGTTTTCACTGGGAATCCTTAGAGAAGAACCTTATTCCCAGCCTCCCCACATGTCAGATTTTCTATCTTTTTGTTGTATGGGAAAAGCCCACCACTGAAATGTTGCACTTTACAAGAAATTTACAATTCGCTTTCTTACTTGAGTAAGGATGGCTAGTTTGTCTTGCCATGGCATTTTTTTTCCTCAGTTGTGTAACCACAGTTACTGGTGCCATGTTTAGATCTGTTTGGTGTTAATAAGCTTGTGAGTCATGGATTTCAAAAGCCACTGGCCACTTGTCATCTCTGTCAGAGAGTGTACTTGATTCCTCTGGGCCAGGGTTTTCCCCATCTTCTTTACCTCTTGTTAAGTAAAAGAGAAAACAAAATAGCAAGATACAAACTTCAAATCCTGTAGCCTGGCCCTTAGACCAGAGCTTATCATGGAGTTGAGTCTCCAGGCCTGCAGGCCGGGCAGGATCTCCCTGACCACCCCATCCCCACGCCCACTCTCTTTCCCTTCCTTACAAGTCCGCGTTCCAGACAAGCACTCCTGAAGCTAGGTTATGACTTTAGTGAGATGTATTTGGGTCTGAGGAGAAAGATAACTGTCAAATTTATCCCTTGGGTGTTCTGGTTCTCTCTGGTCTAGTATGTTTACTACAGAAATTGTTAGGTTAATATTTCTGTGTGATTCTCAAAATACTCATGGTTTGAGTGGTGAGAAGATGTAGCTGATCTTGATATTGGAAACAAATGATAGGTAATGTGGAAAATTTCCCCTTTTTTCTGCTGTGTGTAACTAGTTTTCTGAATTCTTTTCACGTTGCTCATGGCAATATTTCTATTTTATGCATCTTCTACTCTTAAAAGCAAATGTGCTGTCGTTAAAATATGGAGAATTAACTTGTGTTCCAGAGCTGCTATTGTTTTATTCTATTCCTTAAGTAAACAGAAAGATTTTGTTGTTTGCATCGCCATCGCTACGACCCAGAAGGCTAAGTAAACTGTGTACACACTAAAATGTAGGAACCCAGCTTGTGTTTGGAATAGCTGACTGAATTCCAAATGGGCACAGAGATGAGTAAGATCATGAATACTGAGTAGCCACTGTTTAACTGTGTCTTTTATTTTCTGCATTCTGATGCTTTGACATCTGGGGCTTGCTGACCCTGGAGAGACTGCCCCTGCCACGTGAATAAAGTCCTAGAAATAGTACACAACTGCACAAGTGCCCACAAGGGTGTGTTTTTTTTTTTTTTTTTTTTTTTGAGACAGGATCTCGCTCTGTCATCTATGCTGGAGTGCAGTGGCGCCATCATAGCCCACTGCAGTCCAGCACTCTTGGGCTCAAGAGATCCACCTGCCTCGCCTCTGAGTAGCTGGGACTACAGGCACACGCTACCATGCCCAGCTAATTTTTAAAAATTTTTATAGACATGGGGTCCCAACCTGTTGCCCAGGCTGGTCTTGAACTCCTGGGCTCAGGCAATCCTCCCTCCTCAGCCTCCCAAACTGTTGGGATTATAGGCGAGAACCACCTTGGTGATCAAGAGTGTGCTTTGAAATGCCAACCAACCAATCCAAAGCCACGCTCCCAACTACCTCCTTTATCTAACACTCCAGGCCATTATTCCACCTGCCCCAATCCCCCTAAGGGCCAGCCGGATGCCAGACAACTGGGGAATGCCTCTATGGCCCAGAGCCACTGAAAGTATTCAAACTAGCCAATCTTAAGCCTGTTTACCTGCCTATCCTGTTCCTTCCCATGGAAACCACTATAAAGGCTCTAACCCGCAGTTCCTCTCTTTCCCCTTCATTCCTGACTGACCCTGGTGCTTCCCTGGGTGGCTCCCTGTAGCATGGTGTGCTGTCTCCTCTTGGAACCATGAGTAACAAGCTATCTTTTCGAAGGCAATCATCTCCTGATCTGTTGACCTTATCATACCTTGAATTTTTAAATTAATACTCTACATTTACAAGCACCCACAGATTATCCATGTACTTGATGATAACATGTTATTGTCCCTCTAAGATGCTGCTAGATGATTCTGTTGTATTAATCTTTATATATAATATAAAAGTCTAACTTATATACTTATAAACAGTATACTTCTTGAATCCTTCAATGACTTGAAGAAAGTGGGCCCACAATAAAATATTTGATTGAATGGATTTATTGTGAAAGTCCAGGGAAGCTTAGTAAAACAAATATATCTTGTTTTTTCCTTCTTTTCTGCCAGTTTTGGGCTTTTATTATTATTCACCTGCTGCTCAGCAATACTAGAATTACAGGTATTAAGTACCTAATAGCTCAATCTGCATTTTTATTTTGATTTCATTTGTGCACAAGATAAAAGCCATTCCTGACCGTGCAAAGTTTAAAAGCTTTACAAGGAAGAAATGGATTGGGTAAGCTGAAAGTATTTCCATGAAACCTTTCTAATTAAGGTTTATAAGGAAAAAAAATGTGAGATAACTCTAACCTACTTTTTTCTTTTCTCCTCCGCAAACACTCATAATAGAATAATGACAGGCTTCAGGATAAGAAACTGGAACATAAGAGGGGCCTAAGTTTTATTTTTTACTTCAGAACTTAAAAATTAATATATTCTAAGTTTAAAACAATAAATTTTATATCAACTGTACTAAATAGAGATAACACTTTAATTAGAAATGAAAGAAAATGATACAATTCCACTATGATCAGAGTTCAACTACTAGGCTTTACATTACCTGAGTTACAGACACAAAGACCCCGAGGCATCTTTCCATTCCTACTTCCTTATGGTCATTCCTGCCTCCAGTCCCACCAGGAGGTGCAGAAGAGGGGATCTCTCTTTAGTACAGCTGCCTCGTTGTTAACAATCACGTGTGCCAATTGCACAGAAAATGTCTAAAAAATGTTGTACTAAATGTACTAAAAATGTACCAAAAATTGACCCCTAGGAGTCTAGGCAACAAAAATTGAAAGAACAGTGAGATGCAATTATAGCAAATTATTATAATTTTATGTTGCCTAGGCATCTATTTTGAAGGCAGGCTTAGCTTTCTTGTGCCAGAGGCAAGGCTCAGTATCCTTGACACAGTTTCCAGTTCTGCACCCACCCAGATGGCTCAATCCAGTGGCCAAAGATAAGAGCTTAGAGGTATCTCTCTGGGCTAGCACACTGGGCTTGCTGCTTTCCTTTCAATGAACCATTCAGGCATTGATATGGTTCGGGTGTGCCCCCACACAAATCTCATCTTGAATTATAGCTCCCATAATTCCCACATGTTATGGGAGGGACCTGATGGGAAATAACTGAACGATGGGGGCGGTTTGCCCCATACTGTTCTCGTTGTAGTCAATAAGTCTCACGAGAGCTGATGGTTTTGTAAGGGGAAACCCCTTTTGCTTGGTTCTCTTTTCTCTCTTGTCTGCCACCATGTAAGACAGGCCTTTCGCCTTCTGCCATGATTGTGAGGCCACCCCAGCCGCATGGAACTGTGAGTCCATTAAATCTCGTTTTCTTTATAAATTACCCAGTCTTGGTATGTCTTTATCAGCAGTGTGAAAACTGGCTAATACAGGCATTTATGCATGAACTTAAAGTGACCCTCCTGTATTCTCTTATATATACTTGTAGTTACCTCTCTCTCTCTATCTCCCTCCCTCTTTTTCTTTCTCTCTCTGCCTAACTCTTCATTCCTGCCTCACATGACTGAGAAGGAAGGACTGCCCTCCCAACTCATTGTGTCCTCCCTGCCCAGGATCTATAAGTGAGCAGCCTTTGAATGTGTTTCCTATTGTGGTGGTATATTGAATTTGCACCTTCCATCTGAAGAAGTAGAGGTTGCCCTAGGCCAGGTTTTCCCTGGGCCCCTGGCCCTGAGGAGAACACAAAGTCAAGCTTCCAGCCCCAGAGCACTGGTCAAGTAGGCATAAACTGGACGTAGGTCAGATAAGAACCACAGGGGTGTCTGCCAGTATAAACAAGTTTCTCATGTAAGGGACCCTCTGGTTGCAAGTTGGACAATGTGGCATTAGGCCCTCTGCCAGGTAAATGAAGTATCCCATGAAAGGCACACTGTGAACATCCAAGAGGGCTACAGCTACCCTTCATTTCCCATTAAACTGGGGTTGCTACCTGCCGTGGTACTATAACCCATTATGCTGGGGTCTCTCAAAACAACTATTTTAAAATAGGCAAAGATTTTAAAATTTGTTAGTGCTTTTAAGATATGGGGACATTTAAAATTACTGTGTGAAACTATAAATCTATACCACCTTCTGAAGGCAATTTGATAATATAGCAAAGCCTCTCTTAACTGACTACCACTAACCAACTTGCCAGATTAGCCAACCTTCTGTCTCTCCACTGGGGAATATACTGACAGAAGCCTACTTCTTGTAAAGTACCCAGGAGGCCATTCCCTCGTCTGTCTAAACATTCTCACTCCCACCTGTTGAACTGTGCACCCTACATGAGTCGGTTGTTCTCATTCCAAAAATCTGTTAATTAGGATGTTATTGGTGACTCATGATTTAATTAAATATTATATAAACCTCTACTAAATATGAGGGTGAATAAAAAGACAACTTTTTTTCTTTAAAAACTGAACTAAGTGCTTTGGAAAGACTAAATAAAAGTTGGTTACTAAAGTGCATTGTTGAATAATATTCCACAGATTAGATGTATACAACAATATGTTGTCTATGCACCTGTTGATGACAACTGGGTCATTTCCAGTTTTTGGTTATTAGAAATAAAGCTGCTATAAACATGTGTGTACAAGTCTTTGTATGGATATATGTGTATTCTTTCTTTATTCTCAGTCTACCTATTATGAGAAGCTGAACCATGTTAACTCTAAGTAGACTATGAAAGGCTAGGCATGAAAATTGTAACCCCTAGAGCAACCACTAAAAGAAAAACTAGTCAAAGAGGTACAGTTAAAGATCCAACAGATAAAATGAAATACTAAAAAACATTTAAATTATCAAAAAGAAGGAAAGGAGAATAGGGAACAACAACAAAACAACAAATACAACTGGCCAGGTGCAGTGGCTCATAACTCTAATCCCAGGACTTTGGGAAGTTGAGGTGGGAGGACTGCCTGAGGCCAGGAGTTCGAGACCAGCCTGAGCAACACAGCAAGACTCCATCTCTAAAAAAAATGTTTTTTAGTTATCCAGGTTTGGTGGTATGCTCTATAGCCCTAGCTACTCAGGAGGCTGGAGCAGGGGAATCACTTGGGCCCAGGAGTTCAAGGTTACAGTGAACTATAATCACAACATCGTGCTCTAGCCTGGGTGACAGAGCAAGACCCTGTCTCTAAAAACAAAAGTGAAAACAACAACAACAACAAAACAGAGGAGACAAACAGAAAACAAATAATAAAGTAATAGACTGAAATACAATCATGTCAATAATTACATTAAATATTAGTGATCTAAAACACTATAATTAAAATGCAGAGATCATCAACATAGAAGCAAGACTATTATATGCTACTCCCAAGAGAAGCACTTTAAATAGAAAGACACTGCTACATTGAAAATAGATAAATGAAAAAAGATATACCATACATACAGTAGCATAAGAAAGCTGGCGTGGTTATATTCATACCAGATAAAATAAACTTCAAGCCACAGAATATTAGAAGAGATGAGGGATATTTTATTATGAGAAAAAAGAACAATTGATCAGGTAGACATAATTATAAATGTGTGTAGACATAATTATAAATGTGTATAGACCTAAGAACAGAGTTTCAAAATACATCAGGCAAAAATCGACAGAATGAAAAGAAAAAATAGACTATTTTACAGTCAGAGTATTATATTTAAGACTCTTCTTACCAATTAATACAACAGCTAGATTTTTAAAAATCAGTAGACTTAGAAGATTTTAACATTATCAACTCCCATGATCTAATTGAAATTCATAGGACACCATTTATAGAACTGAAAAACACACTTCTTTTCAAGTGAAAAGAAGTACATTTTTCAAGACTGACCATATGTTGGGCCATAAAACAATTTTAAATGAATTTAAATGTATTAAAATCATACAAAGCACACTGTGTGAAACAAATCAGAAATAAGTCAGTGGGAATAATCTATTTCAGAGGAAATCACAAATATTTGGAAATTAAACAGCACCCTTATAAATTATTTATGGATCATAAAAGACATACGAGGGAAATTAGAGACTATTTTAAATTGAACGAGCTAAAGCAGTGCATAGAGGGAAACATAGGTTTCTGTTGTTGTTGTTTGTTCTCTTGAGGCAGGGTCTCGCTCCGTCGCCCAGACTGGAGTGTGGTGGCGTGATCAAGCTTATTGCATCCTCAACTTCCTGGGTTCCAGCAATCCTCTTGCCTCAGCCTCCCAAGTAGCTGGAACTACAGGCGCATGCCACCGTGCCTGGATAATTTTTTATTTTATTTTATTTTGCATAGAGACAGAATCTCACTATGCTGTCCAGGCTGGTCTGGAACTCCCGGGTTCAAGTGATCCTCACATCTTGGCCTTCCAAAGTGGTGGAATTACCAGCGTCAGCCACCATGCTCGGCTGAAACATAGTTTTAAGTGCCAATATTCAGAAAGAAAAAATCTAAAATCAGTCACCTTACATTCCACTTTGAGAAGTTACAGAAAGAAGAGTAAGTTAAATAAATTGTAGATGAAAGGAAGGAAATAATAAAGATAGGAGCATAACTTTATTTTAAAAAAGTAGAAAACAGACAATAGAGAAAATTAACAAAGGCAAGTGCTAGTTCTCTGAAAAGATTAACTTCAGTAAACCCTTAGCTGGACTGATCAAGTGAAAAGAGAAAGAACACCTAATCACCAATATCAGAAATAAAAAACAAGTTATCATTACATAGTCTACAGACATTATAAGATAATAAATGAAGGGCCCCAAACCAGTTCCCAAAATCTTATTTTGCCTTTGGGAACTCATAAATAGACAGAAATCTAGTAATATTCAGTAGAGCAAATAGGGATTACTCTGTAAATCTTTTGCTAAATCACAAGCAAAGTGATTATTCTATGCGCTTAAACTTTAAGCCATGAAATTCAATTATAAAGATGTTTGAACCATAGTATTGAGGTTACCAGAGTAGAAAAAAATCTTTACTTTTTTATCTTTTAGGTGAGAAAATCATGAAGCAAGAAAATAAAAATCTTTTTCTTCCTTTTAAGCTTATGTAGTCCATGGAAAGTCATTAAGACATAGGTTACCTTCTGCACTATGGTTCACTATAAAGTTCAAAAGGAGTTCACAGCACTTTGGGAGGCTGAGGTGGGCAGATCACAAGGTCAGGAAATCGAGACCATCCTGGCTAACACGGTGAAACCCTGTCTCTACTAAAAATACAAAAAAATTAGCCGGGGGTGGTGGCGGGTGCCTGTAGTCCCAGCTACTCGGGAGGCTGAGGCAGGAGAATGGCATGAACCTGGGAGGTGGCGCTTGCAGTGAGCCGAGATCGGGCCACTGCATTCCAGCCTGGGTGACAGAGCGAGACTCCATCTCAAAAAAAAAAAAAAGGGAGTTCACAGGAGAACTGTGGTACATGTGCACGTTAAGCACATTCTGTAACAAAACCTTAATTGCAGGAAGGGGTTATAATGTTCCAAGCAAGACTTTCCTAGATATATAAATGTGAAGTTTTATGCAAAGGGAAAAAATCCTGGAAACAGAATCAATCAAATAATACTATAAATCTGCACGCGGTTATTATTAAGTGAAGAAAAATTACAGAGTACTAGACTTATAACCATTGCTTTGACTTGTGCTATACTACATACTGTCAGTGTACTGTTAAGAAAGACATATGACAATATTCATGAAAAAACACAAATCTATACCTAACAGTTGTCTAATAGGTATAGTTGTCTACAACACATTCATGAAAAAAACACAAAAATAGTTGTCTAACATGGCAAGGTAACAAAAATTATTTTTATTTTTATGAATCACTAATGGCCTTATTCTCATGATAGTTCAAATTTCATAAAACAAAGTATAATAATAATAATTCTTTAGATCTTTATTTCGGTTTTGCTTTTGCTTTGTAGGAGCTTGGTTCTTATTGCAAAGTTGCTATATTGGCTTCCTATTATCATCATAAACAGGAACTGTTTAATATAGATTATACCCTCAAAGAAAAAAATATTTGGTAGGTTAATTTGGACATCATTTAACACGGCTAAGTGAGTAACTGCAAAATTATTATTTTTTTGCTCTCAAAAAATGGGAATTTAAATGAAATAGATATTTAAAATATACTTTATATTTCATTAATATACAAATTAAATATTAAATATGTGGAATGTATTTAGATAGCTCTGTTAAAAAGGGATACTAGATGAATTTCCATGTTTCAGGAATAATAGGAAAGGCCATAGTGGAGGCTGAAGCCATGGGGCCCACAGAAAAGAGTGAGTAGATGCAGAAAATGGATTCAGATGTTCCAAGGCCCACACAGAAATGGCTGGTGAACATAACACTATTGTTGCAAAAGATGAGAATAAAGCTGAGTGCCAGATTGCTCTCCTAACAGTTAAAAACCTGAATTAACCTTATTTGAAAATTCAGGATACAACCACAATGTGCCACTCTCCTGTGATCTTGGAAGAAAAGAGGGCAGCTGTGAGAATACCTTAGCTGAGATGATATATGAGCAGGACATTATAACTAGTTCCACTCATATGGATAAAGCCTGTAAGCCTCTAATTGAGAGGCTTGGTTTGTCTCTGTTCAACCCGGAGCGCCTTAGTAAGGCAACTGAAAAACCATACAAAATAAGGAGTTTGCATGGGAGAAAAGCTCCAGTGCAAGATAAGATTTCAGACAAAAGTGATAAATGCATGAGAAAATGCTTAATTAGGAGAGGTACCCAGCTCATATAACAAATGGAAGAATTCATACCAAAGGAGATAGAATAATAACATTTATTCTATAAGGCTTATAAAAATATATGCTGAAACTGCTCATAGAGATTTTTTAAAAGCTAATAGAATTCTTCCAATAAGAAGAAAAGGTTATGTAGCAAGAGCAAGCAGATACACTTTTACAAACTGGAAATCTTAAAATTTTTTGTTTGTTTGTTTTTGACAGAGACTCGCTCTGTCGCCCAGGCTAGAGTGCAGTGGTGTGATCTCGGCTCACTGCAACCTCCATCTCCTGGGTCCAAGTGATTCTCCTGCCTCAGCCTCCCAAGTAGCTGGGATTACAGGAACCTGCCACCACACCTGGTTAATTTTTGTATTTTTAGTAGAGATGAGATTTCACCATGTTGGCCAGGCTGGTCTCAAATTCCTGACCTCAGGTGATCCGCCATCCTTGGCCTCCCAAAGTGCTGGGATTACAAGCATAAACTACTGCGCCTGGCCAAAAATATTAATAAATTTTTTTAAAAGAGAAGATATAGCATGAACAGTGGATTGAAGAGACAGCTACCTAACAAAAAAACAGAATTGAAGAATATAGCAGCGAAAAGTTAAGAGATAGAAAAATAGAATATAAACTAAGACATATAATGGGAGATTGAAAAGTTTAATATTTAATGGAAAACAATAAAAGTGAAAACGGCAAAAGGAAATATCTGAAGAGATAAAGGCTGAAGATTATCTATAATTGAAAAAGGATATAAGTTGTTAGATTATAAGGAGTCACTGACTACAGGACATAAGAAAAAAAGAAGGAGAAATCATGGTCAGTAAGAAAGTAAAGGTAAAATGGTAAAATGAGTCCAAACATTTTAGTAATTATAGCGAATGCAAGTGGGCCAAACTCATTAAACTTAAAAGACTCTCAAATTGATAAATAAATAAAATCCAGCTTTATGAAGCAAAAAGACACTGTCTTAGTCATTTTTATGCTACTGTAACAGAATACCTGAGACTATGTAATGTACAGTGAGGAGAAATTTATTGGTTCACTTTCTGGAGGCTGAGAAATCCAATATCAAGATTCCATCATCTGGCGAGGGCCTTCTTAGATGGCAAGAGAGAATAAGAGAGGGCTGGATTCATCCTTCTTTAATGACACCAATCCCACCCTTGAGGGTAGAACCCTCATGGCCTCATCACCTCTTAAAGGTCTCACCTCTTAAGACTGTTACAATGGCAATTACATTTCAACATGAGTTTGGCAAGGGACAGACGTTCAAGCCACAGCGAACCTCTCAACAAACTGAAAATAAAAAGAAGAAAAAGATATAACAGGGAAATACTAATCAAAGGAAGCTCATGTAAATAACTTAATACTTGTCCAAACAGAACTGAAAGGAAATGGGATCAAAGACATTTTGTACTAATAAATAACGAATCCATCAAGAACACATTATAATTCTGAATAACCTTGCCACAAAATATGTAAAGCAAACACTGAAAAAGTCACAGAGAAATGAATAATTCAATAATAATTGTAGAATATTTTAACACACTTTTTGGGAAACGAAAGGCCAAGCAGACAAAAATATAGTCAGAATGGATTAGATTTGAATGGCACTGTTAACAGTAGATATATAGAACTCTCTACCCAAGAAATAGAGCTTGTACGTTTTTCTCAAGAATACATGAAACATTTATAAAAATTGACCAGAACTCTGTCCCAAAGGAAGATTCAACAAATTACAAACACAATATCATTCAGACAACATGCTCTGATAACAATACAGTGAAATTAGAAATCAATTTTAAAGCGAATGTTCAGAACTCCAATTATTAATTCATGACTTAGGTATGAAATATTTAGGCACAAACAACCAAAATGCGTATTAATGATTCACAGGATACAGACAATGCAGTGCTTAAATGGAAATCTTCTCTGTATACAAATGTATTTATTAGAAAACAAGAAGTCTTGAAAAGAAATGAGCTACGCTTTCAACTCAAGGAATTAAAGAAAATTAAGAATTAAACTTAAGTAAATTATAATAAAAGAAATAGAAATTTAGAAGCATAAATGTAGTTAATTAAAAAGAATAAGAAATAAGAAAATAAAAGTACTCAACATAAGAAAAGCTATTTATTTGAAAAGACATATAAAATAGTCAAACTTCTATCAAAACTGATGAGGAAAGACAGAGAAAAGTTAATGTAAACAATTTACGACAACAAAGTAACAGAATTACAGATACAATAGACTTTAAAATATAAGAGATTATTATAAATGAATGCCAATGACTTTGTAAACTTAAATAACGTTAAAAAATTATAAAAATATAAATTAAAATTTATTTAAGAAGTAGAAAACCTAAATAAATAAAACACTCTTTGATTTGGAAAATATCCTGTATAAAATTACACTCAAGTCAGGTGATTTTTATGTGTGAATTTTGTTAAGCCTGCAAGAAAATGATTGTGCATGATTCGAATGCATAGTATAAAAAGCTGTATTTGCAATAACAAAAAGAGTAACAGAAGTGTGTCTACTAAAAGATGTACAAGAACTTTCTGAAATATTTTTAACTATTAGATTGAAATATATGAAATTCCTCTTTTGTAGATCAAAAATTTTCAAGTATTGGTAATTGTATATGATTCAATCTAGCATATTGATGGAAATAAGAGAAATTCTAAATAAATGGGGTAGTATGATTTGTTTATAGATACAAAGACTTAATATCATAAAGATGTCAGCTCTCCAAAAATTGATTTGCTAATTCCAATCAATATCATTCCAGAAAATTGTATGGTACATTATTTGATATCCGATTCTAAAATCCATGTGAAATATTATTAAATATTCAAAAATAAACAAGATAAATTAAGAAAAAGAGGAGCGGGATTTTCCCTGCCAGATATGAAACTCATTGCACAACTACAGTAATTAAAACAGTGTGCTACAGATGCAGAAACAAACAGATCAAAATAAGCCATCAGAAAGGTCAGAAACAGACTCAATTATGTATGAAAACTTTGAATGTAATAGAGATGGCATTAAACCTCAAAGAACGTTGGGTGTGGTGGCTTGCACCTGTAATCCCAGCTATTTGGAAGGCTGAGGTGGGAGGATCACTTGAGGCCAGGAATTCAAGACCAGCCTGGGCAGCATAGCACAACTCCATCTCTAAAAAAGTTCTTTTTTTTTTTTTTTTTTTAATTAGCTGGGCATGGTGGCATGTGCCTGTAGTCCCAGTTACTTTGGAGGCCGAGGCAGGTGGATCATTTGAGCCCAAGAGTTCAAGGCTGCAGTGAGCTATGATCATGCCACTGCACTCCAGCCTGGGCAACAGAACAAGACTCCACGAGAAAACAAAACAAAGCAAAGCAAAAACTCAATTGCAGAAAGACGAATCATTCAATTAATGGTATCGGGACAACTAGATTCTATAAGGAAAAAATACTCTTAAATATACCACATTAATAGTAATTCAAGAAGGATTAAAAAAAAATCTACCTGTGAAAATATTTTAACTATTAAAGAAAACACACACGTGTGTGTGTGTGTGTGTGTGTGCAAAATCTTTACACATTTGAGATGGGGAGGAATTCTTCAGCAAGACAATTCATAAACAAAAATATTAAACCTTTTTCAATATCAAAATTACAGACACCTATATATGAGAGGCCATCATTAAAATTAAGCAATAAGCTAAGACAACAGAGTAAAGGTACATGTTTACTTCCACTACCTCTCTAAACCTCACTAAAATAACATTTTAAGAATAAAAAAATGTAGAAACCTCACAAGTTCAGAAAAAGAAGGAGAGAACACAGCAACTATATTTTGATGTCACAGGAAGGCTCAGGATTTGGTAGTACCAGATACCAAAAGCAGAGGGAAAGTTAAGAGCCAAAATATGGTACTGATTAAAACTCTATTTCAGGAACAAGTAGATCCTCATAATTTATTTCCTGTTAGTAGCGTGAGAAGGTTTCTTCTTCATCCTGGCAGAAGACTAGAGGTTTAGCCCTCTAGAGAAGGTGAACCAAAAGGTCTCCCAACTAAGGGGCACAAGACACATGGAAGGAAAAGATACAAAACTGGAAATGAGAATAAGTAAAAGTTGACACTCTGCAATGTGAGCAGTTCCTTCCCTCCTCTGCTTCTAGCAACCAGGTTTATACCTTCAAAGCAGAAACTGGAAAGTTATTCCCTAGAGGTTCTGACTTGCTAAGAAAAAGATCTAAAGGTACCAACTCTGGTGTTTCCCAGAGTGAAATAGCCTCACCAAATCACCTGCACACTTACCCATTTATTCAAAGGTCCCAATCAGCTTTGAGACCCCAATCTTAAAAATGACCAGAGAGCCAATGACCACTAGCCAAAGAAAGTTTCCAGCATGAAAAACAGAAATTATTTTCTCCTCTCTTCACCACAGTACTTGACAAAAACTAGAAAAGGAAATTAAAGAAGACAGAGGCAAGATTGTAGAAGAAATCCACAAACAAAAATCACCAACTAAATAAAATTATTGAAACCACAAAGCAGAATCAAAACGCTTTAATAAAAGTATATTTGGGGAACAAAAAAGAGCACTTGAAAACTTAAGACTGTGATAACAGAAATGAGAAGTTAAATAGAAGGTTTGAAAGATAAAAAAGAGGAAATCTCACAGAAGGTCAAAAGTAGATAAATAATAGATTTTAAAAATGGAAAAATACAAGTCAAGGCCAATCCAGAAAGTCTAACATCTGCTTAACAGTGATTCCAGAAATAGAAGGAAAAAATGGATGAGGAGGAAATTATTATAGAAATAATTAAAGAAAAGATCTAGATCTAGATGTCCTCAGACTGATAGAGCCCAGCATGGCAGAATGAAGATCCACCCCAAGACATAGCATCATAAAATTTCAGCCCTGGGCTTAAGGAGAAACTTCCAAAAGGAAAAAAAAAAGGTCATATACAAAGGAAAACAGCAACACTGGAACACTTTAACAAATAAGAAATTTTTTAAACATTCTGGGGTAATCAATGTTTAAATTAGAATCTATACCAAGCCAAACATTCAAACAAGGTAATGTTAGAATGGAGGCATATTCAGACATGCAGAAATACCAAACACTTTATCTCCTTTGCCTGCTTCTAAGAATGCATTTGGGGAATATGCTCTGTGGAAGTGAGAGAATGAAACAAGAAAGTAAAATCTTTGTGGCCTATGAAACAAGAAATCCAACCAAGGAGGGAGATGAAAGGAGATCTTGGGATGAAAAGATGTGGTTGACTTAGGGAAAAATGCAATCAGAATAAAAAGACAGACAATGAAAAAATAAATACCTTCCAGAAGAAGAAATTAGTTAGATATCTGGTGGGCTTCAATGTTTCGAAAGGAGATTTTTTTTTTTGCTTCTAGGAAAAAAAAATGAAGATGGATAGTTACATACAAATTTTGGGAGTTGTCTGGGTATAGACGGTTTGGCTGTGTCTCCACCCAAGTCTCATCTTGAACTGTAGCTCCCATAATTCCTACGTATCATGGGAGGGTCCCAGTGAAAGGTAATTGAATCATGGGGCCAGGTTTTTCCTATGCTTTTCTCATGATAGTGAATAAGTCTCAGGAGATCTGATGGTTTTATAAAGGGCAGTTCCCCTGCACACTTTCACTTGCCTGCTGCCATGTAAGACATGCCTTTTCTCCTCCTTTGCCTTCTGCCATAATTGTGAGGCCTCCCCAGCCATGTGGAACTGTGAGACCATTAAATCTCTTTTTCTTTATAAATTGCCCAGTCTTTGGTATTTCTTCATAGCAGCATGAAAATGGACTAATACCAATGGCTGTGAAGCCATGAAATTGTGGGATCACTTAGAGAATGAGTGTAGAGAAAGAAGAAAAGAAAATGAGCCCTAGGCATCCCAATTTTAGAGGTTGGAGAGACCCAGAAAGAGCAGACAGTTAAGCAAGAACAGAACCAAGAGTGAGGGATATTTAGGAAGCCAAATGAAGAAGGTATTCAGGAAGGAAAAAGTGATTCACATTGTGAATTATTCAAATCAAGTAAGTAAAATGAAGACTGGAAATTGATGACTGGATCTGGCAACAAAGAGCTGCCATTGATGAGAGCTGTTTGGTGGAATTGTGAGGATGAAAACCTAAAATGGGTACATGAGAAAGTGGAAGAGGACTCAGAGACCAACGTGTATACCCAGCTTAAGGAGCTGTAAATGAGAACAGAGGAATGTAGTCAGAGCTAGGGAAGAGAGATGGGTGGAGGAGTGTGTTTTAAGATAGAAATGTAAGCACATTTGAATACCATAGGGAACAATCCAATAGAGAGGGAAAATTTGATGATACAGGAAAGACAAAGGATTCATTACTGGATTCTTAATGCAGCACAGATGGGTGGATCCAGTGCTCAAGATGAGGCCTGGCCTTAGATAAGAGCACAGTAATTCATCCATAGTAACCGAAGGGAAAGCCTAGTATGTGTTTGGATATTATTTAGGGACACATTTAATTATATAAAACTGTTAAATATTGACTCAAATAAATACATAAAATTTATGATAATGGGAGTCTGAAGCAAGGATAGGATTGGCATTGGGGTGGGGTTAAAAAGAAGAATCTCTTTGATCTTATTGATTCAATGTTTTATTTTATTTTTAAAAGACAAAGCAAGGAATATAATTTTAAAATACTTTTTTCCTGCTCCTGTTTATTAGGTTTCAGTGGTATATCAAACAGCTTTTCTTCTCCAAGCCCAATAACTATAAGTCTCAAAATTTTGTGCTACCGATTAGTTTTAGATAGCTTATCAATAGCCAGGTGTCTTATCCACTCTATGCCTGAGCTGGCCATGGATCTTTAAGCCATATTGGGATGTAAAGAGAACCAGATATTTCAAGAAAAGCAGAAGCAAATTCTATTTCAATGCAGATGGAAGGAAGGGCACATAACCAAGAACAAACACAATTTGGCATCGACCTTAAGAATAATGTCAGGATAGCTAACACAGCCCTGGCTCTCAAAGGATGCTGATGTTAGCAACAAAGCATTTGTTTTTAAGCCATGTCAAAACTACAACAGGGAAATGGATCTGTCACCTTGCGGGAGAAGGGGAAAGAATTGTTGGTGCAACTGTTTATTTATATACTTGTACCTCACCTTCTTCCATAAAAGATCTCAAATAACTTAAGAAGATAGTAAAGAAAGATCTTTTTAAAAGTGAGAAAATAAAGGGAAATCAGGATAAGATATATACGATGAAGCTAGGCATATAGAAAGTACCAAAATACTTATGCTATGATCCTATTCACTTTGCTAGAAATGGGCGTCAAATTAGTTTCTAAATGACAAGCATAATCGATTACTCGGTTCTCAGAACCCATGAGATAAGACAGACCCTTTGCTTGGAAGTGCCACTGTCAGTGTCCTAAGACTAGCGATAAATTTCTGCTGTGCATCTTCACAAAGACAGCATTGAGAGCTTTCAAAGTAAATACAAGGTTGAAATGACACCCCAAATTTTTACTCCCCCAATAGCTAACAAAATAAGCAAAATATAGTAAAATCTAACAACAAAATTCCAATATCCAAGGAATAGGGGAAAACCTAATGTAATATACTTTAAAATCTGGCAGCTTAGGAAAGATATAAAAGATTTTGGAGCAGAATGGGGAAAGCCACCACAGCTAAGTTCCTAACTTGCCCTTTTTTCCAGATTGTGTTGAAAGGTTGACAAAATTCTAAGATTACACAGGAATCCCCCCAAATCTGGAGAGATGCAAAATGAGGGTACATCCTTTTCTCTTCCGTGTCTTGAATGATGAATGATAGAAGTACTAGCTAAAGATAAACAGGAAAAAAGGTATATAAAGCTGACTCTAATGGAAAGGAAGGCATTGGGGCCTCAGAGGATGAAAAGACTGAGGACATCCTCCTTGGAAATCAGATATATCCTCAGATCAGGTGGAGCAAACTCTGGTATAGGACTTCTAAATAAATTTCAAAGGAGAGTACAGACCATAGTTTCTCTTTCCACCATCTCCTCAGGCTATAGGAAAATAATGAGAACATAATGTATTAAGCCCTCAACTAGGCTGGAGATAGAAAACATTCCAGTCTTGGGTTAAGTTTAAAGTGAGACAAGAACAATAAAATGCCTAGACAGAATCACTCTATAAGGAGCTGGATGAAAAGGAACAGCAAAGCAAATATGCAAAATTGCCATGTCAATTGCTACAATGTATGTATACACACACACACACACACACACACACACACACACAACCAAAAGACTTATAGAAGAAAATGTTAAGTCAAGAAACAGAAGGAAATATAACCAATTGCCTCATGCTGTATAATAACTTAATGAAAACATATTTAATAAAATAAGAACTGAAAGATAAGATTGTTCTGAAAGATAAGATTGTTAAAGCAACTGAATGAGATAAAAGAAGAGATCGTAAAACTAAGGAAAAAATATACAGTATTAAAATGACTAATAAATGAAATTAAAACAGCAAAGAAGAGAAAAGACTTCATTAAAGTCAAATTCTAACAACAGAGGAAGGCTTGAGATTATCGCAGTAAATTAAGATGAAAAATACAGAGTCAAATAAGTAGAAAGAAGCTAGTAGATATGGAAGACAGACAAAAGGATCTTACATAAAGACAGTTGTAACCTTGAATTAGAGAGCACCCAAAATGGAACAAAAATGTGTTCAGAGATAAAATACAAGATAACTTTCCCAAATGAAAAATTTACAGACTGAAAGATTACTAGGTTCTGGAAAATTTTTATATAGAATGTTCAACAGTGATACATATTGTAGTCAAGCTACTAAATTTCAAGGATAAAGAAAAGATTCTTAATATCTGGATTCGGGAAGGAAGAAATCACCCTATAAGGTGAGATTATTTAGGCTGGCCTTAGACTTTGTCACAGGGAAGACAGTGAAATGGTTTATATTAAGACATGTTGAAACTGGTGTGACCAAAGAGTATGATAGCAAGTGAATATGTCATTTAAGTATAAAAGAACCAAGCATACCTTCCCAGAGACAAAGAGCTCAGAACTTAGCACACAGAGGCTTTTCTTGTAAAAACAACTTGTTAAGAAATCCACACAATGAAAAGACTCAAAATGAAGAACTCAGGGATGGAGAGACCATGGAGGGAAGGAGCTGGCGATGAGCACTGAATTTGATTAATTATTGAATGATTACTCAACAACTATGGGAATTATGTTTCTAAGCAGAATGTAAATATTATCAACCTGAACAAGGTGAAATACAATAGAAACAAAATTTGGGAGACGGGCAGGGAGATGGAAAGAAGTACAGAGGAATGGATGGATTGCATACCATTCAGGTAATCCATTACAAATACTGTTTCTCTCAACCATACTTTTGAGAAGCACTGGGTTTGGCCAACTGTGGGGCTTTACTCCCTGACAAATAGCTGGAAATCAAATCCACAAGTATAGATCCACTGGCTTTCAGATTAAACAAGGTAAAGGGATCCATAAGCTTTTAGAATTATCATGGTTAATCTGAGTTAGTCAATTTCCAAAGGAAGGCAGAAACACACTCACTTCCTGTTTTCACCTTCATGGTCTCCAGAGGGCAAAGGGGAATTCAGATTGGAAGCATATCCCATAAGAAAATTGTAGTTCAACATAATGGAGGGGTGAGGGTTGTAGAAAAGAACTTGGTTGCTTAAAAGAAGCATTCCTTCCCATTTCTATAGTCAGACAAAGAATATCCCAGGGCTCTGAAGGAACCATAGATGTGATGTCAGTATTCCAAGACCTGATGGCGAAATCAAGGAGAATGGGCAAGGGCCTAGACACTGGAGCTGGAGAAATGTTATCTTACTTTGCAAAAGATGAAGAGGTTGAATTCAGAATACAGACTAACAAGCTTGAGGTCTGGAAAAATTATTGAAGGGATGGTCAAATGGCATATAGACTTTCAGGAGTAAGGAAACTAATTTTATAATAATTTACATATTTATCCAATTTGATCCTCATAATAATCCTGTAATGTATGCATTTTTCTTATCACAATGCAAAAACTGCGTCAGAGAAAAATAAGTACTTGTTCAAGGTCACACAGTTAATAGATGCTAGAACCAGGATTTAAATCTTGGACTTTACTTGCTGCCCCATTCGTAAAAGAATGTAATCATCACTGTTCTGTGAAACGGCCTTCATGAAAAGAGACCCTCACATGCAAAAGGAGCCAAGAAACCAAAGAACAAGTCAGAAAAATTTAGTTTGTAAGTGTAGAGTGGCTCACTGGGGGGACTTACCAATGGAAGCATGGTTTTGGGCAGCTGCAAGACAGGTAGATCTCTGCACTGCTACCCCAGACCCAAGGGTTATATACCATAGCGAAAGGGTACACATGCTCCAGCAGGACAATTAAAGACAACCTGCCAGAAAAGGAAAGAATGCTATGTGTGCCAAGCCCTGTAATTTGTACAATAACATCAGGGTTGCTTTGGTCTAACGGCAGGATGTATGGTGAGTACATATTCTTACACTAAGGACAGTAAATACAGTAGGAACTAGGAGGCATTTCCTGGAGTGGGTAAATCAGAAGTCAACATGGTAGATTAGCATCCAAGATGGAGTTACTTTTGTCTCCACAATCACCAATGGTAGATGCAGTTTTACCAAGATATAATAAGTTTGGTCAAACTAGCTTTACTTTCTGTTTTGGTAATGTTCTAAGTATAGGAGTCTGCGAGAGACCTGGTGCACCCTGGATTGGTTAGATGTTTGACCAAGTCTCAGGATATTCTAATGTATGAAGTAATGGAAAGACATCAAAGTTTCATATAATTATGCTTAAAAATCTTCACCCTAAAAATATTACTAGCACTGTGGAATCTATTAAATAAAAAAGTTCTCTAAAGTCAGAGACCATATTTTATACATTTTTTGTTTGTTTCTTTTTTCCTTGTCATGGTTTTTCTTTATTTTTTCATTTTCTGTTTTTTTTGTTTTTGTTTTTGTTTCTTTGTTTTGTTTTTTGAGAGAGGGTCTCACTCTGTCGCCCAGGCTGGAGTGCAGTGGTGCAATCATGGCTCACTGCAGCCTCAATCTCCTGGGCTCAAGCCATCCTCCCACCTCAGTCTCCCAAGTAGCTGGGACCACAGGCAAGTGCCACCACACCTGGCTAATTTGTTGATTTTTTGTAGAGATGAGGTCTCCCTATGTTGCCCAGGCTGGTCTTGAAATTCTGGGCTCAAGCAATCCTCCTGCCTTGGCCTCCCAAAGTGCTGGATTATAGGCATGTGCCTCCATGCCCGGCCTCCTTGAGATGGTTCTGGTACATAGTAGCTGCTTAGAAACATTTGGTGGAAAAGCTCATGAAGTTGGAGGGCAATCTCTAGAGGCAAGCTACAGAGCTCTGTCCTATTAGACATTTTTTTCAGTGACTTGATAAAGACATAGAAAACATGTTTTGCAAGCTTGGAGATGACAGAAAGCTGGAAGAAAAAGTGAATCTGATTGATGATAAAATCAAGATTCAAAATAGTCTTGACAGGTTGAAATGATAAGCAAAAACCAAATATTCTTTTCTGTATTTACCTTTAAAAGCTCAACAGCCTAAGTACAGAATGAGGAGATGTGGTTTGGCAGCAGTTTATGCAAAAAAAGATATGAGGGTTTTGCTTGGCCATAACTTAAGCCAACAATTTAATATAGTTGTTAAAATTAAAAAATCTTGATTGCATTAATAGGATGGTGGTGTCCAAATCACAGAAAATAATAATCTTACTGAGTTTTGCACTGGTCTGATCACACCTGAAATACTGCTTGCAACTTTGGACACCCTAGTTAGGACGGAGACTAACAAGTTGAGAGCCTCCAAGGCAAGTTGGCTAAGAAGGGAAGAAGTTGTATTTCAAGGGACCATTTAAAGAACCAGGGGACTTTGGCCTGTAGAAGTTTGAAGGGGATACACATTAGCTGTCTTTGAATGTTTAAGGGGTAATCATTGATATACAAAAAAAGACAAGATTTGCTCAGTGCTGTTCCAAAGAGAGAAAGCAAAGGGCAAGCAGATTTCAGCTTATAAGGAAGGAAATCATGGGCTTTCAGAGGA
This sequence comes from Homo sapiens, assembly GCF_000001405.40. NCBI lineage: Eukaryota > Metazoa > Chordata > Mammalia > Primates > Hominidae > Homo > Homo sapiens. The sequence goes on along the minus strand of NC_000013.11, from coordinate 36,580,658 downwards.
AGCTCTGAAGCTTTCACTTTAGTGTAAATGACTGCCGGTAGGGGATTTCTTTACAGAAAACAAGGATAATCAGAAATATCCCCGAGATATCCCTTCGGAGACTTTATTCTACACTCAGATTCTGGGCTAGAGAGGAACCTGGTTTCAAATGAGCAGAATCATCAGTGGTTCTCATTTGCCCTCCCCATTGGCCCACCAGTAATTTCTGTACCCACCAAGAGCTTCCTTCTTGCTGCCTATTTTCAGCTACAAACAAATCTATTTCATGAGGAAAAGGCTATTTCATTCCTGTATCTAACATAAATACAACCAGATTCTGTTCCCCCTTCATTCAAAGTATTGCACTTCATAATGTTCTTATTAAAGAAAGAAACTCTTAGAATTAAAACTATTCCCAAGAGTGAGGACTGCTAAAAGAAATGGTCATGAAAAGTATTAGATAAATATATATTTTTTTCTCTTGAAATCACTAGCACAGAGCAAATCTTGCTTCGTGAATATCAGTTCCTCCAGGGTAGGAAACAGGTTGCTCACATAGATAGCCCTTTTACTCTCTGAATAACTCTGGCTGCTTAAATATGAGGAATAACAAATGCAGTTTTTGCTCATCTCTTGCAAGAAGTCAAAGAGACCACTTATTTCTCTAATGGTAAATATCTTCAACTATGATTTCTTCCTTTTTGATGCAGAATCAATTGAATTTTTTAACACAAGTTGCTGGCCTGATATGGTGGTTCACACCTCTAATTCCAGCACTTTGGGAGGCAGAGGTAGATGCATCACCTGAGGTCAGGAGTTCAAGACCAGCCTGGCCAACATGGTGAAACCCCGTCTCTACTGAAAATACAGAAATTACCTGGGCGTGGTGGCAGGTGCCTTTAATCCCAGCTACTCGGGAGGCTGAGGCAGGAGAATCACTTGAACCCGGGAAGTGGAGGTTGCAATGAACCGAGATTGTGCCACCGTGCTCCAGCCTAGGTAACAGAGCAAGATGCCATCCTAAAAAAAAAAAAATTTGCTAATAACTCATCATCATGACTGGAAACACTCACCATGTGCTATTAGAGCCCCGGCTTTCATTCAGCAGGCATCTCTAAAAATGAATGTCTGTCATTGGTAATCAAATAGGTGATTAGATTGTACATTTCTTCAGAAGCAGAAAACAAAATCCTAATTCATGAGATCTGCCATTTTCTTTAAGGACATTAGATATTCCTCAAAAGGCTCTTAAAATGTTCTCATAGTGCATTTCCTCAGCAGCCCACAACTCTACTCTGCCCCCTATCCCTTTATCTCTCCGCTGATCACTTCCACCCACCATTCTCCACTCACAAAACGGAGTGTCTCAGATTCTGCCCTGTTTACATTTTTTTCTTTTATTGAGCCCTTAGTATGTGGCAGACCTTTACTTGCTTGGGCTCCAACTTAAGAGTTCTTAGAATAGGGCCTATAAACAAATTTGAGAAATGGGTTCTCTCCTTGGAAACACAGTATGAAATATGGAAGTGAAGAAAATGTCTAGATTTTGGTTGGATGAGCTGTTTATAATCCAGCAGCAGCTTGAGGTTGGGCTGGATCCCAGCACTGCTTTATGAGTTGCACTGTGTCTGCATTGCCCTCGGTAGGGAGAAAGTGGGGCCAGAATCAATATTCATGCTCCCTTGCTTTGGTTTCTTGATGGGCAGAAATCTGTTCTCTCTTAATCTGCATTCCTTCCCCAGGCTCTGTCAGCTCTTTAGCAGGACCGGAGATTGAATTCCCTGATATCCATGATCTTTTTCTAGGTTAAAATTGCTATTCACATCTGTCAGCTTTTGCTTACAAAATGATCTTTCACCTCCCTTGAGAGAAGCCCGTTATTTCAAGGCAAGGTGCCAGTCACCTTGAAGAAAATATTTTCAACCTACCAAGGAAATCAGAGAAAGAAAGGATGTTGTAGGAACATAAGTGGGGCAAGATGGTTTTAATAAAAAGTCACTAACAACTTTGGTCACTGCAAAGGACTTCTGGAGTCCAAATATTATTTCAGAATGTTTCCACCTAAATTTGAGATAAAACTTTTGTTTCATTAAAGAAAAGAAAGAACTTGTACATTCTTGTGTACTGTGTGTTTTTTTAGTAAAAAGGAGTCCCGTATTAACAAACCTGGTGTTTTATCTTTGCTGCAGTCACCATGGTGTCTTGACTCTTGTTTCAGCAGAAGACATGTCCCAGTGGATTATTAAAAATTGATGTATAACATGCATATGGTAGTGTGTAAAATGCATTGATGTTAAATGTACAGTACAATGATTTTTTACATATGCATACAGTTATATAACTGTACCCAGAGCAAAGATACAGAACTCTTCCAGCATCCCAGAAGGGTTTTTTGTGTCTCTTTCCAGACTATAGCCCTCCAAAGGTAACCACTATTCTGATTTCTATTATTATTGGTTAGTTTTGCCAATTCTTAAACTAAAGAGAATCATACAGGATTTTTGGTGTCTGGTTCTTCTGCTTAACATAATATCTATGAGATTCATCCCTGTTGCTATGCATATCCATTTTACCCATTGGTATTACTATGTAGTATTTCATTGTATGAATATACCACAACTTACTTATTCATTCTTCTGTGGACTTGCAGTTGGATTATTTTCAGTTTTTTGTTATTACAAATAAAACTACAGTAAACATTCTTGTATCTGCCTTTTGGTGAACACAACCCTTTTTTCTCTGCGTATATACCTAGTGGTAAAATAGCTGGTTTATAAGACAGGCAATGTTTAGTCTTGATGGAAAATTTCAAACAGATTTTCAAAGTAGTTGTGCCATTTTAGGAGTCCCACCAGTTGTTCCACATCCTTGCTAAAACTTGTCAGGCACTTAAATTCTGGCCATTTTGGTGGGTGAATAGCGGCATCTCATTGTAATTTTAGTTTGCATTTCCCTGATGAATAATGGCATTGAACATATTTTTATATGTATTGGACATTTGGATATTCCCTTTTGTTAAGTGGCTATTAAAGTCATTAGCCCATTTACAGAAAACAAATCAACAGTAATGAGATATAATTTGCATATAATAAAACCCACTCATTTTAAGTGCAAAGCTTTAACAAATATACACTTAGGTAACTGCCACCACAAAAGATATAGAACATTTCCATCACCCTAAAACATTCCCTTCTGTTTGCAGCCAACATCCATATCCATAGCTCCAAGCAAACACTGATCTTCTTTCTGGCAATATAGATTAGTTTTGCTTATTCTAGAATTTTATATAAATATAATAACACAGTATGCATTCTTCTGTGTCTGGATTCAGTCACTTACCATAACGGTTTTGAGGTTCATCTACGTTGTTGGGCATATCAATAGTTCATTCCTTTTTATTGCTGAGCAGTAGTCCATTGTGTGGCTGTATCACAATTCGTTTAGCAATTCATCTGTTGATAAATATTTAGGTTGTTTTCAATTTTTTGCCATTATGAATAACAGCTAAAGAGAGCTGTTACGAGCATTTGTGTAGATATCTCTTTGTATATACATGTTTTTAATCCTCTTAGGTAAATACCCAGGAGTGAAATTGCTGAAACAGTGTCATATGGTAGGTATTCAATTTTTTAAAGAAACCCCAAGCTGTTTTCAAAAGTGGTTATAACATTTTAAATCCCAATGAGCAGTATATGAGAGCTCCACTCCCAGAACTCCTCACCAATACTCGATGTGGTCAGTTATTTTCATTTTAGCCTTTCTAGTATGCAATTGTAACTAATTTCGGTTTAAATTTAAAAAAAAAATCTTTTTGGCCGGGCGCCGTGGCTCACACCTCTAATTCCAGAGGAGGCCAAGGAGGGTGGACCACGAGGTCAGGAGATGGAGACCATCCTGGCTAACACAGTGAAACCCCGTCTCTACTAAAAATACAAAAAATTAGCCGGGCTTGGTGGCGGGTACCTGTAGTCCCAGCTACTCGGGACGCTGAAGCAGGAAAATGGCGTAAGTAAACCCGGGAGGCGGAGCTTGCGTGAGCCGAGATCGTGCCACTGCACTCCAGCCTGGGCAACAAAGCGAGACTCCGTCTCAAAAAAAAAAAAAAAAAAAAAAAAATCTTTTTAACTTTAATGAGAGTCTTGCTGAACCGTCATCTAATTCTAATATTCACCTATCCCCATCCTAATGTGTAATAAATGCCATTTAAGTCCCTAGACATTTGGTATTCTTTGATGTGAATCTCTGATACCATGTTATAGACAATATTTGTTTTTATTCAATTTTAAAAATAGGGCATAGTGCTAAAGAAGTTGAAGTTTTAAAAATTACATCAGTCACACCTCAATTCGTTTTGAATTTAAAGCTCAGGGAAAATCTGAGAATGCACTTTTACATTAATTTTATTTCAGTCTTTAGTGCTAGCACAACCTTCGCTGTGAAAACCAGAGAGTCTCGGTGTTTTCTTAGAGCACTTATCATTCCCAGGAAGCTCCATACAGTCCACAGACTGAATGCTTGCATTATGAATGTGTTTAGTCCAATTCTGTCTGTACTTTGTTTCTGACTTGCATTAATATTTATTATGTTTAATGAAAGCTAATTATCACTTCTTGAGAGCCCATTGAAAATAGCATTATTATATCCAGAATTTTGATGAAGCTCTGGGAAGTAACTTGATGTGCTTGCAGGTTCTTTCATCAAAATATTATCCAGGGCTGCAAGTACAAGAACAGCTTGAATACTCAGTCATCAGTTCCTGCGAGAGGTGTTCTTTCAAAGAATGAGGCTTAGCAGAGTGAAAAAGTAAGAAAGTGTAAATGTAACACTTCCTCTGTAATTAAAATAGGAAAAAGTACTTTGATAATCTAATAACTTAAGAGGTAGGTAATCAAGTTGTTTCTTCTCAATTTTGCAATAAGAAAACATGAATAGTAAGCAACTCCTTTCAAGAGGTATGGAAAGCAATTGGCAGGGCTAGTGGAACCATAGTATTTATGACTCTCAGATGAGAGATTTGACTTGTAAATATTATTACCTGAGAGAGTTAATTTTATTTGTCAACTTGACTGGGTCAGAGGGTGCCCAGATATTTGGCCAAACACTACTCAGGGTGTGTCTGTGAGGGTGTTTCTGGATGAGATTAACGTTTAAATTGGTAGAGCCAGTAAAGCAGATTGGCTTACCTCATGGAGGTGGGTCTCATCCAATGATTTAAAGACCTGAATAGAACAAAAAGGCTGACCCTCCCCCAAGTAAGAGAGAACTCCTCTTGGCTGGCAGCTCTTAGACTTTTGGATTTACATTGGAATTAAACCATCAGTTCTCCTAGATCTCCAGCTTGCTGACTCACTCTGCAGATCTTGAGACTTAACAACATTTATAATCATCCTGTGGACCAATTCCTTATAACAAATAATCAATCAGTCACATCCTATTGGTTCTATTTCTCTGAAAACCCTGACCAATACATCACCTTCAAGCAAAAAGAGGAAATTTGAATTTAAAACTGAAAAGATTTTGTTTTCAAATATTTACATGCAATAAAGGGGGCTTAAATACAGTCTCAAAACCTGTAATTGCTGTTCCTGTAATTCAAGGTGATCAAGCAGTGGGCTTCTCTGGGCTTTTGTCCCATGATCATCGATTGTAGCCATGGTCCTAGCATTTATCCTGCCAATGTCCTTGCCCATAGAGGTGTCAGGGAAGAGAGTGGAGATGGATTAGCCATAACTCATATTCATTCCTTTCTGGAAAAATAACCCAAAGCATGTACCTTCCTGGTGGGAAAGTTGGGTTCTCCCATGTTGCCTTGCCCCATGTGGAAAGCACAGTGTGTCCATGCGATCCTTATACAACTATGCTGGCAGCCATTGTCCCTGGATGATAGACCATGCCTGCCCTATGAGCATCGGGGTTTTCCATTTGGTATGGAAGAAAGTAGGAAGCCCCAGTGCAACTCTAGGTCTCAAGCCATGTCTTCTACGTTTTTCTCAGAAGTCTTCTTTTGGAGGTTATGAGGATATTCCCCAGATTAATAAAATAGATACTTTGGAACCCAATCCATTATTAGTTCTCTGGATTGTACATTATTGGGCAGTGCCTTGGAAGTAAGACTGGTGACAGGCACAATCCTTTTCAAAATAATCAAAACCAAAAACAAAACATTCAAGAGCCAGATTTCTTTTTATACTGGAAATTTTGATCAGGATAACTGGGGTTGGGCCCAGTTCCTTCTTCGTGTGTATCAGTCTTGGCTTCTGGCTGCTCTAATGGTGGCAGAAGATCAGGTCTTCTGGAGCCCTAAGTGTAGAGATCACATGATTATAGATTGAAAGTCTTGTTCAAAATATATTTACAAGTTATTTTTGGTTCTTTTGCTAGTAAAACTCTCTTCCAATTTCCTTGGCTAGCTTCTGAATCAAAGAGAACCCTGGGAGGTATATTGAAAGTTTTCCATTTTAGAAATTAAAATATCTTATCTTCAGTAACGGCATTAAGTTCTATTTGCCATCAGAATTTTGCTGACTATAACTACATGCATGAGTCAATTGTTGGCATGCAGGTCTCAGGGCTGGTGGTGTTGCCTATAGGTATACAATGCAACTTGTGCACCAGTGGGTGGTAATGAAGGTGTTTATGGCCTTGACAAAGTTTGGAGCAAGTATGTTTGTGTGTATGTGTGAGTATGGGAGTTGGAAGATGAGAGAAAAGGAACAGAGAACTGTTTTCTCTCCAAGAGTAACAGACACTTACAAGAGCTTTACAGTTTCCGCAACACTTTCATGCATAATTATCTTAGTTAAACCTCACACTAAACATGCAAGTTAAAATTGCTATCCAGGATTGACAGGTGGACTGTTGAAACTCAGAGTTTGTTACTGGTATAAGATCACACAGCCAAGTGGTGCCAAAGTGTGCTTTAACCCATCCCGGTCCTCCAGTCTTTTAAAACAAGCCTGGGTTTCCTTGAATCAGCCCCAGGATGACATGGGCATCATATTACAGGAAATGTAATAATCAGGTCTAATTTGTTTCTTTTTCTGTTCGAGTCTTATAAACGTTGTCCTCAACTCTCAACTGATCTTTCAAGAGGTCAGAACAAATAAATAGCTGTCTCTGGATTACCTTGGCTGGGAACCCTGGGTCCAAAAAGATTCTTTACCGTAAACAGGTGAGAATCGAAGTGAAAAAATATTTATCTACAACATGGAACTGTTTTGGGGGAGTTTTAGTTATTTCTGGTGGACAAAATGGCATGACCTGCTGGCTAGAGGACAAGTTGATTTAAAGTACAAAGTTGTTCAGAAGTATGTTTTGTCTTGGCAGGTTATTTTCCTTGTAGATAAGCTTTCTTTAATATTTATTTATTCTTTCAGTGAACCATATTTAGTGCATGCAAGGTTGGACTGAGACAAATGTGTACCCTAAGAAGGCTAACAATTGGGTGCCTTTAAAAACCTATAGCCTTTAAATATTTGGTTAACACTTATTTACGGTGGCAGAGGGAAATTGCTTTTCCATTCCTAAACAGAGATATATAAAATGCACAGAACATAACATGTTAACTTATTTGAAGTTATCTCTTATTTTATAATTTTCCTATTGCTCATAGTTGAATAATAAAAAAGGCTAATATCTCTTGAGTGCTTATTATACGCTGGGTACTGATTTATTTATATTGCTTATCTAATCTCATGCTCATGACAATCTTGTGTGGTAAGCACCACTATTATCCCAAATTTCCAAATAATGAAACTGACACTTAGGTTTAATAAACATGCCCAGGGACACAAATGGCTCCTACCCGTAGAAATGGGATTTGAATGCCGCAGGTCTGACTATAGAGCCCATGACCTTCGTCGCTAGAACTCCATGCCCTTCTGTAGCACTAATCTCTCATGTTCACTGAGTGTGGAGATCACATGTCCATAGGTACAAAATCTTGTTCAAACTATGTTTGCAAGTTCGTCCTGGCTCTTTTGCCAATAAAACTCTTCCATTTTCTTTTGCTAGCTTCCAAATCAAAGAATACCTTGAGAGGCATATTAAAAGTTTTCCTTTTAGATGTTAAAATAAATACTTAATCTCCAGTAACAAGTTCTATTTGGTATCAGAATTTTGCTGATTGCAGCTACATACATGAGCCAATTTCAGCATGCTGGTCTCAGGACTGGTGGTGTTGCTTACATCATCAGTGTATTATACAATGCAACTTACACAGAAGTAGGTCAGCCAACGAGGAGTATTATTATTTCTACTACTGTTATTTCTGTTATTATTGTTTCATCCATGAGATGCTATCTAGTTTAAAGGGAATAACACGGTTTATATCTCACCAGAAACATGAATTAACCCGCACCATTTAAATACAATGTTTTGGAACCCCTTTTAAATTGGCATCCCAGCAAACTTGACCCACTGGTCATGTATGTATATTGTCTGTATGCATCCAGCTATATGAAAATGTAATATCTGAGAAGAAATTCAGCTTTCTAATCCTTGATGGGACCTCTCATTATTCAATTGTGGAGCTGAAAAATAAGACAATCTTCCAAGGAACTTTTCTTATCTTAAATTTGTGGGTCATAACCCTTATATTTCATACATAGAAAGTTAACTTGATTAATGTGTTTAATATCTAATGCTCATATTATGTGACTATGAGAAGGGCTCTCTGAATGTGTAAGTGTAAAGAGAAAAGGGGATATTGAGGGTGATTTGAAGTGAAAAGTCATAAATACTAATGGTGATTAGTCCATAAATTGTAAATCATCTCCAGTTGGCCCATTTTGTGTCCCTCTGACATTATAGTTTGATGAATGTTGCGTTGAATAAGCATGTGGCAATATCTACAATGCAGAGAGCAGAGTACTGTCTGTTTAAACACAGAAGCTACAGGAAACAGTTTGCATTTATGTCCTGGCATCTGAATAGGTTACCCATCTGTTTCAGAAATTCCACTCACTTTCATAAACATTTATTGAACACCTACTACAATCAAAGCAGAGTTCTTTGCCAGATGCCTTAGAGATTAGAAATATGAGTAAGTCACAGCCCTGAGGCAACAGGGGAAATAAGACAATGCAGGAATAATTGCAGTGTCAGACAGAATGAGAAGTGTGGGAGATCTCTAGAGAGCCGTAGACATAGAGGGAGAGCGTGGGGCTGGAATTAAAGAGGTTTCCCTAGGAAGTCATAGGACTCCAACAGTGGATAAGCTATAAGGGTAAGAAGTGAGGATATTTCTGGTAAGGGAGAATAAGAGTAAAGGGTTGCAGTTGAGCATGTATAGGACGTACTGTAGTACAGAAGGGAAGTAGAGACCTCAGGAAATAAAGCTTGAGAGGTATAGTCAGGTACAAATTGTGGGAATCAGACTCCAAGTCTCATCTTTTGGACATGAATTCGATTTAAGATATGAAAATACATGTAATTCTGAATTGATGTGAGTTTGGAGTGTTCTTGTTTGGGAAATTGAGTATTTTGGCTTTTGGAGAGTTATAAAACTTGAAAGAAAAATATGGTGATTGAGCTTTAAACGTACTATTTATTGTGGTTTTTCTGACTACAAGCATTGAACTTAACTGTTCTCCACTACCACAAAATACCCCTTTACATGTTTATGAATGAGATTCTAGAGTATTTAAACACATGGATACACCTTAGTTTTTAAGTTTAGTTTCCCTTTTTTTTCATGTTTAGGTTAGATTGGCTGTAATTTCCAGCTATTATAAATAAAGTTACAATAAAAATTTTAATGGCTAATTTTTCTTAAGTGCTTATAAGGTATGAGGCAGTGCATCAAGCTGTTTTTAAAAAAATGAGGTGAAATTTATATAACTTAAAATTCACCTTTGTAAAGTGAATAGTTCAGTGGCATTAGTACATTCACAATGTTATGCACCCACTACCTCTCTCTATTCCTAAACATTCTCATCCTCCCACAAAGGAAGCTGTTTGCCCATTAAGCTCCTCATTCCTCCCTCTCCCGCTCCTGGCAACTACTAATCTGCATTCTGTTGATGGATTTACCTATTCTGGATTTTTCGTATAAATGAAATCACACAATACAGCCCTGGCTTCTTTGTCTGCCTTCTGTGTCTGGCTTCTTTCACTCAGTATAATGTTTCAAAGTTCACTGATATTGTAGCATGTATCAGTACTTCATTCCTATTTATGGCTGAAAATTTTCTGTTGTGTGTATACACCACAATTAGTTTATCCATTGGTTCATTGATGGATAGGGGTTGTTTCCAGCTATTGGCCATTGTGAATAGTACTGCTATGAACATATGTACATATACTTTTTTGTATATATACAAGTATATGTACATATACTTGTTCGAATACCTGTTTTTAATTCTTTTGGGTGTATACCTAAGAGAAGAATTGCTGGATTATATGGTAATTCTACATTTGACATTTTGAAGAACTATCAAAGTGTTTTCCACGGCAGTGGAATCATTTTACATTCTGACCAGCAATGTATTAGGGTTTCAATTCCTCCACAGCCTCGCTAACACTACTTATTTTCCTTTTTTTTTTTTTTTTGTCACCATGATAGTGGGTGTAAAGTGGTATCTCATTGTGGTCTTGATTTGCATACCCAAACAGCTAGTGATATTGAATATTTTTTCATGTGCTTACTGGCCATGTGCATATCTTCTTTGAAGAAATGTCTACTTAGGTTCCCTGAACACTTTAAAATTGGGTTACTTATCTTTTTAATTACTGAGTTGTAAGAATGATTTGTTTATTCTGGATACTAGTCCCTTATCAGATACATGATTTGCAAATATTATCTCAATTCTATAAATCATCTGTTCACTTTCTTCACAATGTCTTTTGATGCACAAAAGTGTTCAATTTAGACAAAGTCTAATTAATCTATTTTTTCTTTATTGTTCACTTATACATTTGGTGGCATATCTAAGTATCCATTGCCAAATTCAAAGTCATGAAGATTTACACCTATGTTTTTCCTAAAAATCTTATGGTTCAGTTCTTATATTTAGTTTATTTATTCATTTTGAATACTTTTTTGTATATAGTGTGAGGTAGGGATTCATTAGCATGTGAATACCCACCACCAGTTTTTGAAGGGACTATTGTTTTTACATTGAATGGTCTTGGCACCTTTGTCAAAAATCAATTTGACATAGATATATGTGTTATTTCTGGACTCCCAATTCTGTACTATTAATCTGTGTCTATCCTTATGCTAGTACTACCCTGTTTGGATAACTGTAGCTTTGAAGTAAGTTTTGAAATCAGGAAATATAAGTTTTCTAACTTTATTCTTCTTTTTCACAATTGTTTTGGCTATTCAGGACCCCTTTCAAATCTATGCAAATTTGAGGACTAGCATTTTCATTTCTTCAAAAAAAAATTGGGATTTTGATAGAGACTGCATCGAATCTGTAGATCATTTTTATTTTTTGTTGCCATCTTAATAATATTGTCTTCCAATTCATGCATATGAGATGACTTGATTTACCAAGGCCTTTATTTTCTTTCAGCAATGTTTTATAATTTTCACTTTACAAGTCTTTTATCTCCTTGGTTAAATTTATTCCTAGGCATCATTCTTTTGGATACCATTGCAAATTGATTTTTTTTAAATAGCTTTTAAAATTATTCATGCCAATATATAGAAATGCAATTGATTGTGTTTTAATCTTATACCTTGTAGCATTTCAGAACTTGTTTAACTCTGGTTTTTTTGGTATTTTCTATATATAGGGGTATGTCATCTGTGATAGAGATAATTTTACTTTTTCCTTTCTAATTTGGGTGACTGTTATTTCTTTTTCTTGCCTAGTTGTTCTAACTAGAATTTCCAGTTCAATGTTGAATATCAGTGGTGAACCCAGGCATTTTTTTTCTTGTTTCTCATCTTAGGGGAAAAGATTTCACCATTGAATATGATGTTAACCATTAGCTTTTCTTTTCTTTTTTTTTTTTTTTGGAGATGGATTCTTGCTCTGTTGCCCAGGCTGGAGTGCAGTGGCGTGATCTCGGCTCACCTCAACCTCTGCCCCCCGGGTTCAAGTGATTCTCCTGCCTCAGCCTCCCGAGTAGCTGCAATCCCTGGCTATTTTTCTTTTGTATTTTTAGTAGAGACAGAGTTTCACCACATTGGCCAGGTTGGCCTCGAACTCCTGACCTCAGATGATCCACCCACCTCAGCCTCCCAAAGTGCTGGGATTACAGGCATGAGCCACTGCACCTGGCCAATTGTTAGCTTTTCATATAAGGTTTTTACCATGTTGAGAAAGCTCCTCTCCATTCCTAGTTTTCTGAGTGTTTTTATTGTTTAAAAATGTGTTGAATTTTGTCAAATGCTTTTTCCATGTCAATTGAGATGGTCCTATGGTTTCTTTCTTTGTTCTATTAATGTGATATATTACAGGGATGATTTTCTTATGTTTCTTATGTTGAATCACCCTGTAATTCACTTATGAGTGAATTATCACATTTAATCCTCACAACCACTTGTGAAAGGTGAGTAATATTTTCCCCCTTTTAATGTTGCAGCTAAGGTTACTCTCCCAGTTTTGCACAGCTTGTGTGCCAGAATAATGCATCTGACTCCAGAATCCATGCTTTTATTCATTATGCTAATCAGTGAATGTCTACAACATGCATCATTTATTCTCTCAAATATTTATTTTATGTCTATTCTGTGCCAGACACTATGCTGGGCACTTTGATATAAAAATTAAAAAGATAAGCAGAATTCTCACTTCATGGAGCTTATAGACTCTCTATTTTTCCCCTCCCACTGACCCCGTTCCCATCTTCTCCAAGAAACTGCACATCAGCTTTATGTCACTATAAAGTAGTTTGCATTTTTCTGAAGCTTTATATAAATGGAATTATACAGTATATACGTTTTGTTTGTTGTTTGGCTTCTTTAACTCGGGATAATTATTTTGAGATTTATTTATATCGTTGTATATATTAATGGCTAATTCCTTTTTGCTGACTAGTAGTCTATTTTGTGGGTATATCACAATTTGTTTACCATTCATCTGTGGAAGGACATTTGGATTATTTCCAGTTTTTTGGTGGTTACGATAAAACTGTTAGAAACATGTATACAGGTCTTCGTGTGAATGTATGCTTTCATTTTGTTTGTATAATACTTACCAGTAGGATAGCTGGGCCATTTGGTAGGTGTTTATTTAATTTTATAAGAAGCTGTCAACCTGTTATAAAAAGCTGCTGTGCCATTTTGCACTTCCATCAACAGCATATGAGAGTTCCAGTTGCTCTACACTCTTGCCGCCACTTGCTATGGTCAGTCTTTCTGTTTTTAGTCATTCTGCTAAGTGTGCAGTAGTAACTTGTGGTTTTTATTTGCATTTCCTAATGATTAGTGATTTGAAGATGAAAAGTATCTTGTCATGTGCTTATTTACCATCTGTATGTCCTTTTGGTGAAGTGTTTGTTCAAAACTTTTGCTCATTTTAGAAACTGGACTGTTTTCAAATTACTAAGCTTTGAGAGTTTTAAGAAATATACTCTTGGTTGGGCACGGTCGCTCATGCTTGTAATCCCAGCACTTTGGTAGGCCGAGGCAGGTGGATCGCCTGAGGTCAGGAGTTTGAGACCAGCCTGGCCAACACGATGAAAGCCCGTCTCTACTAAAAATAGAAAAATTAGCTGGTCGTGGTGGCACTCGCCTGTAATCCCATAATCCCAGCTACTTGGGAGGCTGAGGAGGGAGAATCGCTTGAACTAGGGAGTCGGAGGTTGCAGTGAGCTGAGATCGTACCATAGCACTCCAGCCTGGCGACAGAGCGAGACTCTGTCTAAACAAATAAAACAAACAAACAAAAAAAGATATATACTCTGAAGGTAGACCCATTTAAGGTATATGCTTTACAAATCTTTTATCCCACTATGTGACTTGGAATTTCATTCTTTTAATATATCTACTAATAAATGAGGATTTCAATTTTGGTAAAGCCAAACTTCTTGATTTTTAAAATTTTATATATTGTGCTTTTGGTATGATATCTGATAAATCCTTGCTTAATCTAAGATGACAAGGCCTTTTCTCTCGAGTTTTCACCTGTAAGTTTTAAAGTTTTGGTTATGACATTTAGGCTTATAATCCATTTTAGGTTAATTTTTGTCTATAGAACTATTTTTGTATAAATTTTTATTTTTTTCTGAATGAATCCAGTTGTTCTAGTACCATTTATTGAAAGCTGTCCTTTCTCACAGTCTCTTTAATAAATGGTGCTGGGAAAACTGGATATCCACATGTAGAAGAAAAAATTGTACCCTTATCTGACATTATATACAAAAATAAATTCAAAATGGATTAAAGACTTAAATGTAAGATCTGAAACTGTAAAATTACTATAAGAAAACATAGGGGAAAAGGTCCACAACATTGATGTGGGCACACAGTTTTTGGATGTGTCCCCAAAAGTGCAGGCAACAAAAGCAAAAATAAAGAAATGAGGTTGGGCGCGGTGGCTCACGCCTGTAATCCCAGCACTTTGGGAGGCCGAGGTGGGCAGATCATGAGGTCAAGAGATCGAGACCATCCTGCCAACATGGAGAAACCCCATCTCTACTAAAAATACAAAAATTAGCTGGTTGTGGTGGCACTTGCCTGTAGTCCCAGCTACTAGGGAGGCTGAGGCAGGAGAATCATTTGAACCCGGGAGGCCGAGATTGCAGTGAGCCGAGGTCACGCCATTGCACTCCAGCCTGGGCAACAAGAGTGAAACTCCATCTCAAAAAACAAAACAAACAAACAAACAAACAAAGGGTTTTCAGCAAACTAAAAAGCTTCTGCACAGCAACGGAAACAATATGAGTGAAGTGGCAATCGATGGATCAAGGAAAATATTTGCAATAAGGGGTTAATATCCAAAATATAAAGAGAACTCAACTCAATAGCAAGAAAAAAAAACCTTATTAAAAAATAGACAAATGATCTTCTGAATAGATATTTATCAAAAGAAGATATACAAATGATCTACAGATACATGAAAAAAAAGGTTCAACATCACTAATCATCAGGGAAATGCAAGTCAAAATCACAATGAGATATTAACTTTCTCCTGCTAGAATGGCTATTACATAAAGGAAAAAAAGATAAGAGTTGACAAGGATGTGGAGAAAACAGAACCCTTAGACATTGTTGGTAGGAATGTAAATTAGTACAGCCATTATGATAAATAGGATAGAGGTTCCTCATGTAAAAACACAGTTGGTTTTTTTATGTTATTGATCTCATATCCTGAAACACTGCCAAACTCATTTGCTAGTTCTAGCAGCTTTTTTGTTAATTCCATTGCTGTTTTTATACAGGTAATCATTTTGTCTGGAAAGAGACAGTTTTGCTTCCTCCTTTCCCATTGAGATGCTTTTCGTTTTAAAAATTCTTGCCTTATTGTACTGTCAGATCCGCCAGTACAATATTGAATAGAACTGATAAGAGTGGCCATTCTTTAATTGTTCCTGACCTGTCACCCTTAAATATGATGTTTATTGTACATTTTCTGTTGATCCCCTCTCTACAGGCCAGGAAGTTAACTTCTCTTCCAAATTTGCTGAGAGAAATGGATGTTGGATTTTATCAAATGCTTTCTCTGTATTTATTTAGGTGATCATGCAGGTTTTTTTTTTTTTTTTTTAGTGTGTTAATATGGTGAATTACATCGTTTTTGGATGATAAGTCAACCTTGCGTGTCTGACATATACCCCACTTGGTTATGTTGTTTGTTTTTATATTTTGTTGAATTTGACTTTTTAAAACTTTTAAATAATTTTATGTCTGTGTTCACGAAGAATATTAGTCTATTGTTTTCTTTTTTGTAATGTCTTTACATAGTTTTTGTATCAGAGTAATGCTGGCCTCATAGAATCAGTTGGAAATTATTCAATTTTCTTAAATTTTTTGAAGATGTCGCATAGACGATATTATTTTTTGTTAAATGTTTTGGTAGAGTTTATCATTTATTTTGTGAACCTGCAGTTTTCTTTGTAGGTAGATTTTTAATTAAAAATTTAATGTCTTCAATATATAATAGGGCTATTCAGGCTATATATTTCTTGTTGAAGAAATATTGAGCTTTGTTAGTTTTTATCTTTCCATGATTTTTTTCATTTCTTTTAAGTGGTTAAATTCATCAGCATAAGTATCTGCAAAATTTATGGTGATATCATCGCTCTCATTTCTGATACTTGTAATTTCTGTCTTCTCTCTCTTTTTCCTGATCACGCTGGCTAGAGGTTTATGAATTTTATTCGTCTGCTCAGTAAAAATTGTATTAGGTTCCGTTTACTTTTCTATGTAGTTTTTCTGTTTTTTATTTCATTGATTTTCTTTCTTATCTTTATTATTCCCTTTCTTTTCTCTATTTTGGTTTTCATTTGCTTTTACTTTTCTTGTTTCTTAAAGTGAAAAATGAGATTGCCGATATGAGGCATTTTTTCTTTTTTAATATGTGTATTTAGTACTAAAATTTCCCCCTAAGTACTGCTATACATAAACTCTAAGTATACTATATACGCTATATAGTACCACTCTACAGCTATAGTGACACTCCAGAAAAATCTGATATAATGTGTTTTCATGTTCATTCAGTTCAAAATACTTTTTCATTTCCATTTTGATTTCTTCTTTGACACATTTAGAGATGTGTCCTTTAGTTTTCAAGTATTTGGGAATTTCCCAGAATTTTTCTTGATTTCTAACTTAATTCTATTATTGTTAGAGAACATACTTTCTATGACTTTAATTATTTTAAATTTATTGACTTGTTTTATGGCTTGGAATATGGTTTATGTTGCTAAATGCTCTGTGTGTGCTTGGGAAAAAAATGTGTATTTTGCTGTTATTGGAAAGAGTGTTCTAAAATTAGGCCAAATTTGTTGACAGTATTGTTTAATTCTTTTATATCCTTGCTAATTTGCTGTTTTCTTGTTCAATAACCACTTCCACTGCAATTTGTTATCTCTTGTTAATGCTATGTAGTATACTTTTCTTTTTTGAGACAGAATCTGGCTCTGTTGCTCAGGCTGGAGTGTAGTGGCGTGATCTCGGCTCACTGCAACTTCAGCCTCCTAGGTTCAAGTGATTCTCCTGCCCTAGCCTCCTGAGTAGCTGGGATTACAGGTGTGTGCCACCAGGCCTGGCTAATTCTTCTGTATTTTTAGTAGAGACAGGGTTTCACTATGTTGGCCAGGCTGGTCTCGAACTCCTGGCCTCAAGTGATCTGCCTACCTTGGCCTCCCAAAGTGCCGGGATTACAGGCTGAGCCACCACGCCTGGTCCAGTATATTTTTCACTTCAGACATAATTGTTTACATTTCTAAAAGTTTTATGTAGGCCTTTTTTCTATATTTTCTATGTCTGTAATTCTGTCTTTGAACATATGGAATTCAGTTATAGTAACTGTTTTCTTTTTTTGGTTGTTGTTGTTGCTTTTTGGGGTTTCTTTGGAGAAAGTAAAGCCAGCTTCTTCTTTGAGACCTAAAGAATGAGTAAGCATTTGCCATGTGATGGGAGTGGGAGGAGAGGTAGAATACAGCAAAAATATAAAGTAAAAGCAGATTCCAGGTGGAATGAACAGCATGTATACGGGCCCTCAAGTATGAAGGAGTTTGAAGTTTTCAAGAAGTAGAGAGAAGATCAGAATGGGTGGGGCAGGGGGTGAAAAGCAGGGGAGTGGTGAAGAGATGCTTGGGAAGAAGGAAGGAAAAACCTTTTAGGCCCTTTGTCCCCATCGGCATAGGTGATATTATTCTGTGATAACAAATAATCCCCTGAATCTCAGTGTTTCACACCAACCAAGGATGATCCGCTCATGTCACAAGTTCATAGGAGGATGACTGTGACTTTCTCCCATATCTTCATTCAGGGCCAAGGGCTGAAAAGCAACTGCTAACTGGAGTATGGCAGCCTAGGCAGACAGAAAAGAGCCTTGTTGGAAGCATCACACAGCTTTCACATCACCTGTTAGGAGCTGGCTGATGGCAACTTCCACTCATTTCAGTGGGCAAAGTAAATTGTGCAGTTGAGCCTGCTGTCAACAGGGTAGAGTGGGACAGCAGATATTTCCTAACAATAGTACAATCTACCATATAGGGCTGAGGATTGTAACCATTATTTGAAGAACAATGGTAAGCCAGGGTGCCCTAATGTCACTCTCTTAAGATTAGACTTTATTTTTAAAAACAATCAAAAGACAGCTGGAGCTGGATGTGGAGGTGACTCATGCCTATAATTCTAGCACTTTGGGAGTCCAGGTTGGGAGGATCACATAAGCCCAGGAGTTCGAGACCAGCCTGGGCAACA
This sequence comes from Homo sapiens, assembly GCF_000001405.40. Lineage (NCBI taxonomy): Eukaryota > Metazoa > Chordata > Mammalia > Primates > Hominidae > Homo > Homo sapiens. The sequence goes on along the minus strand of NC_000013.11, from coordinate 36,562,351 downwards.
TAGGAAGACCCATTTCTACAAAAATTTAATATTAGCCAGATGAGGCCGGGCACGTGTGGTGGCACATGCCTGTAATCCCAGCACTTTGGGAGGCCAAAGCAGGTGGATTACAAGTTCAGGAGATGGAGATCATCATGGCTAACACGGTGAAATCCTGTCTCTACTAAAAGCACAAAAAATTAGCCAGGCATGGTGGCACACGCCTGTAGTCCCAGCTACTTGGGAGGCTGAGGCAGGAGAATTGCGTGAACCCAGGAGGCGGAGGTTGCAGTGAGCCAAGATTGCATCACTGCACTCCGGCCTGGGCGACAGAGTGAGACCCCATCTCAAAAACAAAAACAAAAACAAACAAAAAAAAAAGCACTGAATTTTACTTTGCAATTACACTGAATGATATTTAATCTTTCTTGGCAATATAAATGACTGGGGTTGAGAATGCGAGTGCTGTTTTTTGTTTTTGTTTTTAAGAAGCAAAGCTAAGATTTAATGGCAAATATAAAGTCCACACTTTTAAAAAATTTAACACTCAAATTTGACTTATCAGTTGATTGATTTTTAACTTGGCAAGGGTCTCCTGTGATATTTTCTACTGATTACAGTAGCCTAAAGAAAAATAAAAAGCCTGAAAGTGAAACAAACTTCTTAGGGAGAAGATGAGTTCCCTGAGATACAGGATATTGAAGGAGAGTTTGGTCCACCCTGAATGTTATGAATGGGCTTCAGTAGAGGTTCTAACTAAGGCTTTCCAAGGGTTGATGGATACATGGATACAGATGTTTTAAAGGCATCAGTCTCTAGATGTTGAATTACCACATGTATGCAGTTCTTGACTTGCCACTTCAGCCTCCCCACTCCTATGCTCACAGCAGCCTTTCCCCTTAATTATAAAAGTGGTGGGAAGCCATACCCCTCACGCATCCCAAATCTGCAGACTCAAAAACTTAAAGGATGTCAGACAAAGGGACAATTCTAAAACTTGACTGCAGGAAAATCTTCCTTAATGATCATTGAGAAACTATAGTCTCACCATTGCCTTCCTGTTTATGCCCGTTTTACACATATTTTTGTTATGGATGACACATGGGTTAGAAAACAAGGTATTCAAATGTTCTACATTTAGAAATATTGAAGACAGGGGTGGTGGGAATGATAGCAATGATCATTTAATAACCTCGGCTCTTCTATTTTCAAAATGTCATCCAAGACTATATCCTTCTCTAGAGTCAGTAAGAAGAAAGCAAAGACAGCATCAGTAAGAAATGTGAATGATGGAGGGGAACAACCACACTAGGGTCTTTTGGGAGTTGTGCTGGGGAAGGAAGTGCGCCAGGAAAAATAGCCAATGCACGCAAGGGTTAATACCTAAGTGAGTGCTGTTTTTGTCCCAGTGCCTCAAGGGAAGGAACAGCTAACCCCCTGCAGAGTGTTGCCCGCTCTCAGACACAAGCTGGATTGATCCTTTGAAGCCAGAATTTCGCCCTGTTATAGGGTTTGAAAGAACACTAGGCCTGAGGAGAGGAGAATGTTATCCTTGATTGGTATGGGGTCTGTGACAGTCAGGGAAAAAGGAAATCCAAATCAGACATGTATTTCTCTTTGAGGAAACAAGTCTTGCCTTCCGGAAACCATCTGTGTCCCAGTGCAGGGCCATGTTCCAGCGGAGTAACCTGCACAGGAGGCAGGAGGTGTCCTCCTACAACCCTTAGACTAAGGCCAGCATCCGTAGCACTCGGTTTAGACCTCTGTTGTAGCACTTGCCAGATCACTTAAATTATCTGTAAGTCTGATCTGCTTCCTCACAGGTCATAAACTTTTTAAAAACAAGAACAGCCTCATAGCTACCTTGTATCTGTCACCTAGCTCAGTGTCTGGCAGATACTCAACCAAACAGATGTAGGAAGAGAAGGCCATTGATCTAGCTGTCTATTCCTAGGACAAACTTGTCAGGGGCTCTCTTTCAGTCAGTCAGGGGTGACTTTCAGTCCTTTCTGGCAATGCCTGGGAAGAGCTCCAGCTGTCTGCACAGTGTGAAGGAGGCAGGGGGCAGAAGGCACGCTGGCAGGAAGACCCATCCAGAGGCTCACCTGAAAGAAGCTGCTGCCAGAGGAGTGGGCAGCAGAACCCACATGAGAGACCCAGGGAGGACAGCAGCAGGATTTGAGCCAGAGCAGGGGGGAGTTGGGAACTTCAAAGAAAGGCGTCAGATCCTGTCATTGCTTCTTGCTTGATAATGAGATGTTTCTTTCATACTCAGTGACTAGTTTGCAAGAAGAGCTCTGGGCTCTCCAAAAAGCTGGATTCCTCAGGTTTTTAGGTGGGAATTAGAACCGAGAAAACTATGACTCCCTCTTACCTCCCCTTCTCCAAAAGAAGAAGGCATATGGGACTCTGAGTTCCTTACTGTCTGGGACTGTATCTTGCTTATACTCATCTCTGACATGGAGTGAGAGGGAATAAAGTTTGTATGTATGTCTGCACATATATATAGGGAGTATAGCCTGAAATTAGGACAGACTCAACCCCAATTTCCTATACCTAACAAAATTATAAGGCTATGACCTGAGTAATTCGTACATATATACTCAATATTAGCTTAAGAGAAAACTTATCTTTTGTCTCTGTTTCATAAGAGTAAAAAAACTAATCTTTTATTTATTTGGATTTTGAGAAAACAATTTTGCTGGTTTTTAGAGCCTGGTGAAGTGAGCCTTCGAGTGCTTTGTTCTCCCTGCAAACCTGCCCAGGAGCTGTAACCACCCAGGTCTCATGTTTCTTGTCTGCAGATTCATTGACTCCCAGCCTATTCTGACATGCGACACAGCCCATCAGGCAGGTAATGTTTATGTCAGTAGGTTTCAGGCAAACTAATCCAGAAGGCAAATAAACATGGGAAACCTGGGTCAAACAGAGCGCAACAAATACCTTTACATGGACTCCTTAAAACCTGCAACCTCCTTAAAATGCCCTGGAGAGTGGGTATACAGCATTTCCCAACATACATAACCACAGGACCCTGTTTTTGCAGCTAATGCACAGAAATAATGTTCTGCATAGCCCACTGTGGAATTTCTTGGAAAACAGGAGGAAAGTTCTGCAGGGGCCACAGCAGACCTTGGATCATTACTGTAAGTGACTTTGAGTGAGTCACTATACCTGACGGGGTTTTAATTTTGCTTTCTGAAACATAAAGAAATTAGATACCCATAGACAATAGCTAAAGTCCTATCTGTTCTGTAGTTATATGATATTCTACTAGCTGGACATGGTGGCAGGTACCTGTAGTCCCAGCTACTCAGGAGGCTGAGGTGGGAGGATCGCTTGAGCCTGGGAGGTCAAGGCTGCAATGAGCTGTTATTGCACCACTGCACTCCAGCATGGGCAATAGACTAAGACCGCGTCTCAAATAAATAAATAAATAACCTCTTTACCTATAAAGGCCACTTTTAATAGGATGGAAAAAAAGTAAACTACACCTTGAGAGAAAAATATTTTCTAATTACATAACTGAAAATGGACTTGTATCTAAAATATATAAAGAACCTCCTTGGTTTCAGCCCCCATTTCCATGTGTAAATCCAGGACTTTAATCATTTTGTGAATGCCCCACCTTTTCCTTCAGCAGAAAGAAGTAAATTATTCAATTAAAATGGGCAAAATACTTGGACAGATATTTCACCACAGAAAATACAAAGAAGGAAAATAAGAACATGGAAAGATGTTCAACATTGTAAGTCAAGGTAAAACCATGTTGAGATGCCACTGTACTCTTAGAATGGCTAAAATAAAAAGAAACTCACAATGCCAAGTGCTGGTGAGGACACAGAGCAACTGAAACTCTGGTAAATTTCTAGAAGGAATGCAAAATGGTACAGCAACCTTGGAAAATAGTTGGGCAGTCTCTTATAAAGTTAAACATACCCTTACCAAAGGACCCAACGATTCTCACTCCTAGGAATTTACCTAAAGAAAATGGAAGCTTATGTTCCCATAATAGCCTGTACATGAATGTTTATAATCAGCTTATTCATGGTTGTCAAAAACTAAAAAACAACCCAAATTTCCATCAACAGGTGATAGGATCATCATCAAGCTGTGGTATATACGTATGATGGAATACTACTTGGCAATAATAAGATACCAAATACTGATACATGTACCAACATGGATGACTCAAATGCATTTTGCCAGTTGAAAGAGTACAGACCCAAAGGGCTATGTAGTATTATATGATTCCTTTATTATGAGATTCTGGAAAAGGCAAAACTATACGAACAGAGGACAGATCAGTTGTTGCCAGAGACTTGGGGGTATGAGAAGGGCATAGTTGACTGCTAAGGGGCAGCAGAGGAAATTTTGGAGGTGATGAAACTGGTTTGTATTATGCTGGATACATGACTCCATTCATTTTTCAAAACCCATAGAACTCTATGCCAACCACAAGAGTAAATGGTACTGTATGAAACTTTGAAATTCTTTTTTTTTTTTTTTTTTTGTAGTGACAGGGTTACATAATGTTGCCCAGTCTGGTCTCAAACTTCTGGCCTCAAGCAATCCTCCTGCTTTGGCCTCCTAGAGTGCTGGGCTGACAGGCATAAATCACTGTGCCCAGCCAATTTTTTTTCTTGAGACAGAGTCTCACTCTGTTGCCCAGGCTGGAGTGCAGTGGTGCAATCAGGGCTTACTGCAGCCTTAACCTCCTAGGCTCAAGCAATCCTCCTGCCTCAAAGTCCCAAGTAGCTGTGACTACAGGCATGCACCACCACACACAGGTAATTTTTTAATTATTAATTTTTTTGTAGAAACAGGGTCTCACTGTCTCACTGTGTTGCCCAAGCTGGACTCAAACTCCTGGCCTCAAGTGTTCATCCCTCCTTGGCCTCCAAAATGTTGGGATTAAAGGTGTGAGCTACTGCCTAAAAATAATTTTAAGGCATTTTAATTGATATATAATAGTTGTACATATTTTGAGGGAACATGTGATATTTTGATACCTGTATCCAACGTGTAATGACCAACTTAGGGTAATTAGAATATCCATCACCTCATACATCATCTTTTCTTTGTGGTGGGAACACCTTAATTTTTATTTTCTTGCTATTTTGAAATATAGAATAAATTGTTAACTATATTTTCCCTAGTGTACTATCGAATTCTAGAACATTCTTCGTATTTTTGCAACCCAACTCCTCAAAGAGATACTTGTCTAGGAAGCCTGTGCATTTTTGGAGGATGAGAAGTGCTAATCCTTGTCCAGAGAGAGCAAAAATTAAGAGAACTTATAAAATTTAGGCTATATTAATTCTGATATAAATAAAAATACACAGTACCAAATTTACAAAACCTAGGAACTTTTTGCATACTATGATTAAAATAAAATATTCTCACTTTTAAAAGATGTCTCAGAATTTTTAAACTCTAAAAGAACACATGGTTTGTTGAATATTATTTTCATGGTTGATCAAAATGCCCTGTTTTCTTCCCTGTGCATTACAAACACAACCATCTCCTTAACCATGTAGCAAAATGTAAGATAAAGTGTTTGAAGTTCTGTTTACTTAATTTTTTCACTTGGTTTTCTTTTCTTGCAAAAATTTTTCAAAGCAAAGAACAAGTCTAAAGTTTGTATCATTTGGAAGGGTCGTTTTACTGGAATTTCACTGAAGTGAAGCTGTTGTACTTTCTTTGGAGTGAAAGCATTTCTTCGGCCCCACATCGCCAATGATTTTATGAGAGCCCAAATCATCTTGCTTTAAAACAAAGTTAAAATCAGTTTATTCAAAGATGGACATGCTCCTGAGCATTCAAAGGTAAAGTCTCGATTCATTTTGCATTAGTGAACAAATATTATGTTTTCAAATCAGTGAAAGAAAAACTACTTCTTTAGTGCAACATGCACTCTCCTAGTAGAATTTGTAGGATGAAACTGAAGCGATGGTCTGGTGAGTTTTTAAATTAGAAAGCAATTCTCCTAATGAGAACATGCATTAGGGATGCAGTTCCTGCTCTGGCTCACCTAACACACCAAAACTTTCCAAATGTATTTCATCTCAGCCCTTGAACAACCTCACAGAACCAGCATGATAAATGTGCTCTAGTGTTTCAGTCCTCATGGGCCACTAGAGTTAGAGCAGCCTTTATTTTTTAGCAAATATAACTTTCCTTTTAAGTACACCCATTTCTGTTCCAAGGGAAACAATGCTGCTAGGTCTAAGCTATGAATCCAATTATTCTACAAGATAGGCTTATGCATTTTAGAAAAAAGGTATCTTCTGCAGCCAGATTTCCCATTTCTGTAAACAGAGAAAAACTGAGATTTTTGAAAAGTATGTTGACTTCTTTTTCAGGTCACTTGGATATTTTTCACTTTGGGTATTTAAAGTGGTTTTCAAAAAGCCCTAATTTTCTACTAAAACTAGGAATCTGTCTCATTGAAATTATGTTTCTGACTAGGGGTTAACATAGTAAAGCAAAAGGAGACAGTCATCTAGAGATTGTCTCACAACTGGGGACAATCTCTAAGAAAGACTTTCAGGAGGGACTCCCCAGGAAGAACTCTCAGGGGGCAGGTGATTCAGTCATACCTTAAATAATGACCAAAACCAATGGCACTAGATGACAAAGATGTCATTCTGTGATACCTTCCCTTAACACCAAGATAATTGTATGTGTTTATAAATGCTTGTTAGCATGAGTCTCTAAACCCATTCCCTGCATATTCTGTACATTTTACAGATAATTATAAGAGATAACATTAATTGCATGCTTATTCTGTGGTCAGCACTTCCGGAGCTTTATAGGCATTTTTTAAAATTTAATCCTCCAACAACACTAGAAAGGGGAATGCTATTGTTGCATGAACAGACAATTCTCAAAAGAAGACATACACTTGACCAAGAAACACGAAAAATTGTCTACATCACTAATCGTCACAGAAATGCAAATCAAAACCACAATGAGATACCATCTCACGTCAGTCAGATGGCTATTATTAAAAAGTCAAAAAACAGCAGATGTTGGTGAGGCTGCAGAGAAAAGTGGGCCGAGTGTGGTGACTTATGTCTGTAATTCTAATGCTTTGGGAGGCTGAGGGAGGATTGCTTGAGCATAGGAGTTCAAGGCCAGCCTAGGCAATGTAATGAGACCTTGTCTCCATTTTTAAAAAATTAAAAATTAGCCAAGAGTGGTGGTTTGCACCTGTGGTCCCAGCTACTCAGGAGGCTGAGGTGGGAGGATGACATAAGCCTGGGAGGTTAAGGCTGCAGTGAGCCATGATTGTGCCACTGCACTCCAGTCTTGGTGATAGAGCAAGGCCTCATGTCAAAAAAAAAAAAGGGAGTGGAATGCTTATACGCTGTTGGTGGGAATATAAATTAGTTCAGGCACTGTGGAAAGCAGTGTGAACATTTCTCAAAAAACTTAAAACATAATTACCATTTGATCTAACAATCCCATTACTGGGTATATATCCAAAAGAAAGCAAATCATGCTACCAAAAGGACACATGCATGTGTGTATTCATAGCAGTACTATTGTCAATAGCAATGACATGGAATCAACCTAGGTGCCCATCAATGGTGGATTGGATTTTTTAAAATGTGGTACATATACACCATGGGATACTACACAGCCATAAAAAAGAACAAAATCATGTCCTTTGCAGCAACATGGATGCAGCTGAAGGCCAATATCCTAAGCAAATTAATGCCATAACAGAAAACCAAATACCACATGCTCTAATTTATAAGTGAGAGCTAAATATTGGGTGCTCATGGACATAAAGATGACAACAATAGAAATTGGGGACTGCCACATGGGGGAGGGATGAAGAGAAGGGGACAGGGTTGACAAACTAACTATTGCGTACCATGTTCAGTACTTGGATGATGGGATCATTCATACCCCAAACCTCAACGTCATGCAATATATCCAGGTAACAAACTTGCACTTGTGCCTCCTGAATCTAAAATAGAAGTTAAAAAAATAATATGCCCAATGTCCAAACATTAGTATATATTCATGGCAGCATGAAAAATCTCAGAAATCTATAACCTGTGGCCAGAGCCATCACACTATATTGTATAAGATGAACAGCCTAAATGAAAAGAGGTCTATACATTAAATAAAGAAGGAAATGGCAGAGGAGGAGAAAGGGGAGGAAGAGGAGATCCTGATTTTGGTGAGGAAGAGAATGTGAGAGAAAAAAAGATGAACACTGACATATGACAAAGCCTTTTCTTTCAAGATTAGCAGATTCTGTCCTGTTGTAACTTGGCTCAAGACAACATCAGGAGAGCCATTACTCTGTGACCTTCTGAGCAGAAGTCATTTCATCATTCTCTGATCCTTTCATATTTGCTCATTAGGATGTGATGTATAGCTCTCCCTAGGCCCAAGCCAACAAGGCTAAGGTAATGCTCCATAGCTGATCCAAGAAGGCCCTGCTTCCTTGACCTTGAGACACTTAATTCTCTGGCTTCTTGTTGCTGTGAGGCTACTCACTGGTTACTGCTGGACCATGGAGACACTGATGGCATATTTGATATGACACCAGCAGAAAACAAAACTCTGCTTGAAGGGAGGGCCACAGCTTATTGTTCCCAGCAGGCAGCAGCTGCTGAAGCTCTGATTTCCACACCTCTTGCTCAAAGCTTCCTGGAAACCCCAGCTGGAGAGATTCTGCCCTGTCAGGCTATGTGGACACTTTATCCTCAAGGCATTTAGGGACTCAAGAAAGAGCATGCCAGCTTCAAATCCACTTGTAGGGTAAATGATACAGAAAACCAACTCAGGCGTGGATTTGTACACACATTAAGGAAAATTTAAGGGTCTTCAATCCATGTGCCTCTCCATGACTTTCATTGGCTCAGGGAAGACAGAGAAGTCTTAAAGCAAAGAATTCCCTCCCACTGGAGACACTAATGCCAGGTCACTTCAGGACAGGCTTGCAGGCTGTTTTCTCTAAACAAGTGGTTCCCAGACTTTACTTTCATGGACTGGTAAAATGACCAAAAGCATTATGAGAACTAATATAGTACCAATAATTTATTTTGCCTAGTATGGACATTAAAACAAGCAAACACACTCCTATCTTCTATTTGCCTTCATATCATATTAGAAAGGATGTGCGGTTTCCCAGGTTTCTTCTCACTCCCTACCCTGGCAGGCTGATCTCAGAGTTCTTTGGTCCTCATGTGGCCCTACCACTGTCCCTCAGCTCCTTCATTTCTTCCCTCCCTTTTCACCCAGCTGAGATCCCACAGTCCATTGCTGTCCTGAGTCCTTGACATTGCTCCCTTACCATCCTGGCCTCTTTCTCCTATTGTGGCACTCTCTCAGCAAAACCCTGAACATGGCTAACTACAACTTTTTATCAACTCTGAGCCTTCATCTGCACAATGTGTGCATCTGGAAAAAACATTCAATCTGGCCAATGGTCTCCCTTGAAATTCATGGCCTCTAACCTCAAGTAGGCCCCAAGTACTTCTCATAGATACTACAACAGTTCCCTGGTCCAGTCTCTCGCCCACTGTCCTAGGTAAATGTCTCACATATCCTAGACTGTCCCACGACCATGCCCCTTCTCTTGTCAATCATCTTGTTCCCAAACTATTCCGTGCTCTGACCCTCTCTCCTGACAACCTCACACCTTCTCTTCTTGTCTCTCCCCAGACCTCCAGAACTCCCCCTTTCCCATCCTTCTTCTCAGGCAAGGATCCTCCTTTCTATTTCACAGAGAAAGCAGAGGAAACTAGAAGAGAACATCTGTCTGCTCCCACCACCTCATCTGCTGTTCCGAGCCAGTGGCCAGCTACTCAGCCTTTCTTCCTGTTCTGGTGGATGAACTGCTCTTCAGCCAACAGACAAGTCTCTAGGGAAACAAAAAGTCACAGTTCTTGATCCTATGAAGCATATGATCTATTAGGAAGACAGACCAGCAAATAAAGGATGATAAGATTATTATAATAATCTAATAACAATCATAAGAAGATATTATAGTAATCTTAATGATAAGACTCATGTCTTATAAAGGGCAAGTCTAAAGATTAGTGAAAGGTGCCCCAAAGAAGATGCATCAGGGTCTGCCTAGAGGGAGGATCAGGGCAGGCTTTGCATGTGTGTTTACCCAAAAGAGAAGCAGCCACGCTGGGAAGAGGGGCTACCTGTTGAGGAAAAAGCAAGAGAGGAAAAGCTCTACTGGAAGAAAGCCTAATTATCAAAACCACTGAGGCTTAGACATTGCCCAACAGCAGACATCACATGTCTAGAAAATAAGAAACCATTCAGAGAGTGCTAACTTCGTGAGAACAAAACCATCAATCAGAGGCAAACACCACCCCATGGTATTTGGTATTGTCCTTGCTTTCAAGTTGTTAATAACCGACATGGAGGCTGGTGATAGCCAGGGAATCTGCCAGCAGATGGTAAACAACCCCCAAGATATTAGAAGAAGGTGGACAACAAATAGCATCTGGGTTTCAGTCTCTGCCCTGCCATTAACTGGGTGCGGCTCTGGATGGTCTCCGTTCTCTGGACTTCAGTTGCTTTGCTATAAAGGAAAGGGTTTGGATTATGTTATTTCTAACTTCCTTCTAAACGCTAACACTCTGGATGACTACAGAGTACATTGGGGTTTGCAATTGACAGAAACAAAAGAAGACTTGAGTCTTTGAGTTACAGGGTTGAGACAGGCATCTCATCTCAGCATTGCTGTCCAGGGTGGCTTAGTCTAAGGTGCTGTGTCATTCTCAGGAATATCTCTGATGTGTATTTTAAAGTCTTACAAGATCTTTGAACCAAAGGCTGGCAGATTTCTGCTCTTTCCATTTATGGGAAAATGACAGGAAAGTGTTTGTGTTGTGTGGATGGTTTCCGGTGCCCTCATCAATGTCTGGCTTTAAGGCTGGGTCAATACCACTTTGTTTTCCTTCAGTAAGTGCCTTAAAACTCTCAATGCCAGGAACAGCAACCAATCTTTATTAATTAGCCCTTATTCTCTGAAAAGATGCCTTCCATCACATTTAGAAGGAGAACTTAGTCCTATCCTTGGCACCAATTTCTAGAATCCTGCCCTTCACATTTGTTCTTTTTAATGACTTCGTATCCACGCCTTCTGGGCTATTCATTTGTTCTTAGGTCTGAGGGGCCGGCCTTAGATGACCAGCTCGTGAGAATACTTAGAAATGTACTTCTTGCTTGGCTCTGAGAAAACTAGACCTGATTTGCTTTGGGTTTTTTTTTTTTTTTTTTTTTTTTTTTTGCATAAAAGGTAGCAACTGAGGATTTGATTCCAACCTTCTGCCAAAATCTATATCCTCAAGTAGCTTATCAGGGATAAAATTAACTATAACTGAGGCAGAAAGTGAGTTTGCTCTCTCCTGATGTTAGCACCCTGCAAAGAGTTAATAGAACATGATTCTTAAAAAATTACCCACCAAAGCAAGGGAGAATCCATAATAACTCACACTGATTATTTACTATGTGCCACCAACTGATCTAATTGTTTTCTGTACATTAACCAATTTATATATGAACACCTTATAAAGTAAATATTATTATTATTACTATTCCATTTTATAAATGAGGCTAAGCCGGGCTAAGTATATAGTTAGTAAATGTCAGAGCCAAGATTCCCAAGGAGACTCTCTGGCTTTACAGCGCACAATCCAGACCCCAGGCTATATTGTCTCTCAAGTTTCCCCTTGATGTGTGATTCCATATATCTGGCATTACTAGTTCTATTTCTATCTTCCCCTAGACTATAAGCTCCATGAGGACAGGGCCTTGTCTGCTTCACTCACTTAAACTATCCTTAAAACTAGCGCCATGTCTAGCTTATACTGTGTCTATAAATATTTGTTGAGTGTAATGGAAAATGACTTCTTTCCCCAATTCTCAGAACTGAGCAAATGCATGCAAAATAGTTGCTGGGTTCAGAGTGGAACAACTGAATGAGGGTGTGTCAGGAATTCTCTCCTGCCATCGCTGAAGCTCCCTGGTGGTGAGTGCAGCCACATTCATCATTGTTATACTCACAGAGGCTACTTAAGAAAAATTCCCAAAGGCCTGAACCTTCCCCCATTAATCCCACACTCACACTCACTTCTTTTCACTTAAAAAACCATGAAAATCTCCCTTGACAAACAGAGTCCACTGGCCTTTGGCCTTTTTGTGGGGAGTCAAGAAGCACAGCTGATGCAGGGAATTCTGCCTGCACCCTCTGCACCCTCCTGGCTTCCTTCTCCCACCCAGGCTCAGTGCAGCCACAGGGATCGGGTCTAGGCAGTCCTCCCAGGCTTATTACAAATCTTCTTTGGTTCACACTCACATTCCCAGGGGACCTTAAAAGCAAAGAAGTAGAGTTACTCGGAATCAGCTGAAACCTGTCAAGCCTCCAGGCCAGCTGGAGCAGACCAGTCCCAGGGGATGGTAACCTAGCAACCGTTCAGGTCCCACAGGCCTCCGACTGCAGCACCTTCTTGGAGTTACCGGACCCCATTTGCACCGCAGCCTAAAAAGGGTTGAAGAGGTATTGAGACTGGAGATGGTCCTGGATATGAGGTGCATGTGATGCACACACACGTGCATGTGTGTTTGTTTATATCTAGGGGAAGATAGAAATAGAACACACACACATGTATGTGTATCCCCTGTTTATACTGTTTGTAGGGAGAGGGGATGGAGTAAAAAAAGATGTGGGGATCTTGCCTGTTAAACCAGCTTTGATGTCTCTCAACTGAAATCCGCTGGTGACTGCAAGCCCTAAAAGTGAGCTAGACATTGCTTCAGAAAATGCCAGGAGAGCCATCCCAGTAGGGCAGTATTAGCTTCATAGCAGCAGCAGTATCTAAGTGGAGCTTCTAAGAGCTAAGAATAGCTATTGTTTATTGAGTGCCTGTTCTGTGCTGTGAATAGTGCTAAGCACTAACAAATATTGGTGTGGATTGAGTTGGCTGACTATGAAATAGTCAGGTATTATTCATGCCGTTGTTACAGATGATGAAACTGAGGCCCAGAGCAGTTGGGTAATTTGCCCTGAGTCACACAGCTGGTGAGAGATCCTGGTACAGGCTCCACCAACAACCAACAGCACAGTCTGGGTAGACCTTGGCTTCCTCCCCCATTGAGGAGGAGAATAATGCCAGCCTTGCCTGTTTTGATGGCATCCAAGGAGAAAAGTGATGTGAACATGCTCTGAAAAGGACCAAGGGGTGGATTTAAGGTGATTCTAGGAAAATTCTTTCCCCTGTTTGTACTGTAAGATACTTGGGGGAAAATGTCTCACTTGATTTGTCTGTGTCGTCAGAGGTAGTACATATAAAGCTCTTAGAAAATAACGCATTGAATGAACAAATGAATCAACACATGACAAATAAACTTTTAGGTGTGGTCACCAAGTGCCGCCTCCCAGAAAAAAATCTCAAACTATTTTAAAATTGCTTTTCTCCAAGCCCCTGGGAAATGCAGTGTTTCTATATAGCCTCTGAGAAAACCTTACCACCTGCAGGTGTGAATCTAAGATGCAATCTTTCTGATTTTCTGGGAAGAGCTGTGTGTTTGCTCACGTGGAAATGTGCAAAGGTAAGAAGAGCAAATATTTCATTTGACAGGAGCCAAAATAGGATAATAGCGCCAACAGTTTTTTAAATGAAGTCCTAATTATGGCTCATAGTCTCACTTATGATGAGAATATTTTTGAGGTTCATATATATTCATATAGATCGATTAGATGATAGTTGATGATAGGTAGACAGACATTTGCATATACTATTTTTAAACATCAATCAGGACAACCATGCATGGGGGAGGAGAAGTATTAAAACCGGACACATGGAGTAATGCGGAAAAAGTGGGGAAGGCAGCTTTGTGTTCAGTCCCATGATGGGCCCACCTTGTCTCTACCTGCCATAGTCTGCCTGATAGGAAGTGCTGCGGTGGCCACAGCTGGAGCCGCCTAGGGATGTGTGGCTGCCAACAGCCAACAGCAACAGGCACTTGGTTCGTGCTGATGGCCAACTCGATCCACACCAAATGTTTGGCAAATGAAGCGTGGAGTGGAAATCTGCCAATTTAAATGACACAGTGCTCGGTGTATGCTGTTCCCTTTGAATCTCAGTGTAATAACTATGGCTCTACACCTTCTATTGCCTTTCGCTTAATCTGATATGGTAGGAACCTGGGGCCGGGGCAGGGGGAGATATATCCAGTCAGCTCCTGATGAAGGCAGCTCTCGATGTCAGTGGGTAATTTGAAAACTAGAGATAAACTTTAGGCTGGCTTGGGATTGAGGAATAATGCTGGAAGGAGAGCCACATGCCCCTGACCTTAAGGAGGATCCAGCAGATGGACATGGAAGAGTGATCCTCACCATCCGGGTAATCCATGTGCAGAAAATTGGTAGTCAACTGTCCACTCTTTGAAAAATAGCATATGTTACGGCCACCCAATATCATTCATGACCAAAACCTGTTAGAGTTTGTAAACAGCCTGGAAGAACAATGAGAAAAACCTTAATTGGAGATCTATTTGTGCTTCCCTTATGAAAGCAAATGAATGATGTGTTAATGGAGGGTCTTGGGACTCATTTACAAGCTTTGGCACCTGTAAGTGCTGTCTCAGGCAGCCTCTACAGAAGGACAAGTATCAGCATTTTAAAGTAATCGAGGACATTTTCATATGCGTGTGACCCTTGCTGTCCCCAATTCTATTTACAGTGAACACTTTACATGAAAACAGATGAACAAATAAAATGATTGGGAGATGATTAGCTTTGAAGCATGAAGTGTAAACAGTCTTGGTTTCGCACACATGCTAATTGCTTTCCACTGATCCCTCACAGAGAAAGGACCTATAGGTTGGAACAATTATTGCTGGAGTAGCTGGTGCGATTATGTATGTGAAGTGTATTATACACTGTAAAGTGATGTACAAATGTGAGTGGTTGTTTATAGCAAGAATAGACATGATTCTATACACCCCTTCCCTCCTGGATCTCTTCTCTCTCTGCAATTGCACAGCTTTTAACTACAATACAAATGCACGTGTGTCAGCCTCCCTAGATAATGAGAGGGAAGTTATTCTCTACCTGTCACTTTTCTCTCTCTGGCCCTCATCTATTCTGTATAGTTCTCTCCTTCTCCCCGTAAGGGCATAGAACTCACAGGCTTTCCTGTGGCATTTCAGAAGTCTTCCAGCCCCACAGCAGGCCCTCCCAAACCCACCCTCTCCTGCCCTTCTGCCAAATTTACATCTTATTTGTGACAGCTTTTCTGGATCGGACCCTTAATTAATTGCATTCTTGCTGACCAGTGGCAAAGATGAGACTGCAGACTCCATAAAGACATTATGTTTTCTTTGCACGTCTGCTTTGCAGTAGAGTAACATTTAGGGGCCTGTTGCACACAGGATGATTGGGAGGGCAGAAGACAAGAGCAGGCTCTGGCCAGGCATAAGAGAGCAGATTTTGACTTGACTTCCTTGGGATTGTTTGCTGCTTGAGTGTCAGGCTAAGTTGTCACCTGGCTGTAGTCCCTGGCTTTTCATTCAGTATTGCCATTTCCTGGCTGCTGAAACTGGGCAAGTATTTGATATTTTTGAATATGTTTTCTAATTTATAAAATAGAAATGATAAATAGTGCCTGACTCATAGGATTGCTCTGAGATTAAATGAAATATTTATCAAGTGCTTGGACATTACCTGACATGTACTAAGTACTCCGTAAATGCTAGCAATCATGGCCCAGCCTGTTATTATCTTGCATATGAGTATGCAGTCTACCATTTTGCTGGACTTCTGAGCTTCGGTCCCAAAGATTACCCTGGGACCCAAGGAGGAGCATCTTAGAACCAGGACCCACAGGACCCCAAAATGATGCTCTGAGGCATCAGAGAAACATGAGGCTATCACCTTCAACAGACTATACCAGACGGTCCATGGAAGTCCCGTAAGTAAGCACCATTTTCACGTGTTCCATATTCATCCCCAAAACCTTCCCTAGAAGTTTCAAGAGAGCCTCTTTCCCAAATAAACTGAGCCAGAAGCTTCTTCTGAGCAAAACTGATTGGCAGCCTGAATGATTGCAAGTTCATGTCTAACATGGTAGAGCATCCTGGGCTATTTATAGAACAGGTTTTATTTGACTAAATCTGAGCTTTCATCTTCCTCAAAGAGATGAGGATA
The DNA here is from genome assembly GCF_000001405.40 of Homo sapiens. Lineage (NCBI taxonomy): Eukaryota > Metazoa > Chordata > Mammalia > Primates > Hominidae > Homo > Homo sapiens. Next base: position 36,546,174 of record NC_000013.11, on the reverse strand, counting down.
AATCTTTAAAAATAAATAAGTAAATAAAAGGTAAGGGAAGGGGGAAATGTAAAAAAATAAAAAGGAAGTCATTCTCAGGGCTACTGGAAGTGGGCAAAGGGCAAGAATGTCTCAACATGTTTTGAAGATAGTCATATCTTTTCTGCATCTTTTCTGGCATGTTTTCTGCCTTTTTTGACAAACCCTTCAGCAGAACTCTGACCCAGCATTTCTCCCAAGCCTCTACCCACTGGTTGGCAAGAACACCTTTAACTAAGTTTCCAATCCAGCATTTCTCCCAAGCCTCTGCCTGCTGGTGAGCAAGAACACCTTTAACTAACTTTCCCATCGGTTTAAACTCATTCAATTCATTGTGTGTATCTATGCATCCCTTTAGCTAGTCTGCAGATACTTTAGGGAAAAAATGCCAAATCCCTTAGATAGCCCACTTCCTGCCTTCTTCTGCATCTCTCCCTAGGGTAGACTCCCATTTTTGGAGGAGAGGGGATCTTACTCCTTCTCACATCACAGGGCAAAGAGACTCCCTGGCCTTACACAGTCCTTGAAGGTGTGCAAGCTGTTGTCCCCTGTCACCAGAGTGATGTTCCTATTGCTATGGGTCCTGCTGGCCCCAAAGTCTAGCCGATTTAAGCCATGACTTGGTCTCTTCTGGGTTGCTCTAGGCCAAGAAACACTCATGGGATGAAGTGGCCTCTCCTTGACTCTGCCTATCTGCAGACCCCTGAGCGTCTGCTGCATCTTTGGTCAGACTCTGCTACAGGGCTTCCTTGCCTGCCATGGTAGACTGATTGACAAGTCCCCCGGCCATCAATTCAGCATCCACAGCCCATGGGCACTGACAGCAGCCCAGAAAGCTAAACCCAAGGGATCCACTCTGTCTGACTCTGCGGCTTTGCCCAAGGTTGTTGTAGGTAGTAGAATATCTTAAATGATCATCAGTTCCTGAGTTGTCAGTGTCAGCATTGCTCATATAACACATCTACCTCTCTCTCACATCTAAGTAGGTTCCGTGTCATCAGCTGTCAGGTCTTCTGGTTTTGGTATCAAAGACAAAGGGGTTATCTCAGAGGAAAATCCACAATTTTGAGTCTTTGGTGCATGGCTTCTCTTACTGAAGGTGGGTGGGAGTGAATGTGTAAAGACAGGTATGAAATTCCCTATCCCTACAGTTACCTGATTTTCAGTGTTATTGCTCTGTTGCCGAATCTTAACTTGCATGGGAGAAGTTAAATATTATGTCCAGCTTTCTCTCTGCAATCTTCTGTAATATTTTTCAAACCCCTCCCCAACCCTGCATACAGATACGTTGAGCCAACCAGGACCAAGGTAAAGAACTCACGTAGGTAAAAAGAAAGCCCATTAATGGATTTTAAATAACATCCCTGTTACATATATAACTCCCATTCCCACTCCATTTTGTATGTTCCGTATTTGTTTCCAGACTCTTTCCTAAATACTTCAAAAGAAAGAATTATTTATTTATTTATTATTTATTTGAGACAAGGTCTCACTCTGTCACCCAGGCTGAAGTGCTAAATACTTCAAAAGAGCCTCTTTCCCAAATAAACGCAGCCAGAGGCTGAGCACCCATTTCACGTTGATGAAAATTTCTGTGTGCCATGCACATTCACCATACACACTACATCCATAGCCAAGCTCCAAAATCCTTTGTCTTTTTTTCTGGACAAGATTGGTGCTTTGCAAGCAGAGGGGGGAAGCTCATAAATGGCCCAATGCTATAAAATAAGGCAAATAAATGTTCACCTACTATTCATTATACACAGAGAATTTTGAAAGGAACAAGTGTTAGATTTGATCTAAATAAATTACATTGATCAAACAAATTAAGAACAAAGAGGTTTCCTTGCAGCAGGAGAGGCTGCAGAGCAGGTTTGTAAGCTCTCAGTTTGGGATGGAGCTGAGTGCTTTAGATATATGGGGCTCTTCCTTCAGCATGTGTCAATCTGGGTTTTAACTGTTGTTAAGTTAAAGTTTATTAAGTTAAGAAGCATCAGCAATACCCAAGAAAGCATGAAGGTTCCAGCAGCTATGTTCAACCCATGAAAAACAGAAGCAATTTGAAAGATGGAGCTCATTTTCACAAGCAAAGCAAAGGGAAAAGCCAGTGAAGCATGGAGCCACAGAGCTAGCTGAGAGAATGGAGGTAAGGGCTGCTCCTGCAGATCCCTGTTTGCTAACAGACAGCCTAGGCCAGCGACACAGGAGCTTTCGCTGGCTGTCAGATCATTTTCAGAAGCAGCAATTCATGTCACGCTAATAGCTCAGTCTATAATTAGGCATATTTATCTAAGTCTCTGTGATCTGTCTCCTGCCTCTCTGTGCTTGGTTTCCTCCAAGAACAAATAATCCCAATGAGTTATGAGTCTCTCCAGAGTGGCAAGTGGGAGTGTGTGTGTGTGCTGAAAGCCCCGTTATCAAATGGTCTAAATGCAATCTTCTTATTGTTCAAATATGTGGGTAGAGATTGTCTCTTCTCATGGGAAGTGGATTCTTCAGTGCTTACCAGAAAGAGCTGGGAAGCAAAACACATTGTCTGCCACAAACTGACAATGATCGTGCTATTTCTGTGTCTTCCTATATTAGGTCAAAGGAGTACACCTTTGCAATTGACTTCAAGACTGCTTGAAAAGATGATAAATAAGAGCAATTAGTCAATTAACATTTTAAAATTATTTGGAAAGCCATAAAATCTGCTGCAGGTTGAAGAGCCTGAGAGTAGCTGTCTGCTTTTGTTCTTTTTCTTTATTTCAGCATATTTTGCAATTCAAGAAGTAAGACATTATCATCAGGTGGACTGATTCATCATGCATGGGCCAGTAAGGCAATTGGAAGAAAGTTGGGTGTCCTAGAATTTTACTGGGCCTTAATCAGCTTGATTCTCCATGTCTGTGGGATCCCTGGTGAGGCCCTCCTGCCAGAAGACTGATGCAAAAGACCGCCCTTTGTACTTTTCTCATTTTCCAGGGAAGCTGTGGCATCAGCCAGCTATTGCCTGGCTTGTTGCTCCCTGGGAAATAGTTTTCCTGCACAAATAATGTGCACCCTCTAAATTCTAACTCCTCTGCTAGGGCTTTACATCATTCTTGTAGCAAGTATGTAGTACCCACCAACCCAGGCTGCCAGTCAGAAGAAGATGCAATAATTATAAGCTGCACCAGATAGATGCTTTCTAGAAATAAAGATTGGAATCCACTTTTTAAAAACAAATATCTTTGGTTGCTTACTCTGACACACCAGCTCCTTTAATATTCAGAAAAATCCTGAAGATAAATATTTTCACATCCTCATTTTCCAAATAAGTAAATGGATGCACAGTAAGGTGAAGTTACTGGCCCAAAAAGCCACAACTAATATGAGGCTTCAGTAAGTTTCAACCCCTGGTCTGCTGTGTTTACAGCCTGTGCTACTTTGTCACACTGTCACAGAGTCTCAACCCTTGGTTTCTGTCTAAGCAGGCTGCCTCTTCTAACTGAAACAGAAAGGTATTTGCACTGAGCTTTTGCTGACTGATATGGAAGAATAAAATGTTAGTAATTTGTATTTCACGAGTCCATAGCTCCTTTTATCCAGATTATAGGCCATTTTCTACCCTTCCTATCGAAGGCAAAGGACTCTGGATGAAGTTGAATGTTATTCTTATGAATCACATACACACATAGAATCAGGTCGTATGCATCACTTTCATGAAGCTTACATTTTCTATTCAATTGACCATTGGACTGTATCAGAAACTCCTGCTATTGAAGTCAAGCCTAGATGAGCACATCATATTAAAAACCTGATAAACTGTGCACATTCACTAAATTCTAATGTGCCCCAGTGGGACTTCCTGTGTATGACAAGCTGCTCATTTCTCATGGAACTCTGAAGCTGGATAGACTGGAAATGCAGAAGTCAAGCAGCCCAAGAGATTTATATAAGACAACAGCATCAACCTCTTCCATTACATCTTTGTTAGGGCTTTTACTCAAGCTGCAAAACATATTTGTATGACTTTGATATCCAATTCATTCTCCTCGCATCCACTATTGACAAAAAGACAGACGGCAGAAGAAAATACACAAGAAAACAAAGAACTAAGTCAGTGTTTCTCCAAATGTGGCAGCGACCCCTATTTCATCATCCCATGATGTGCCTGCTAGAAACTCAGGTTTCTGGGCCCCACCCAAGATTTAATGAACCAGAATCCCTGGGGCAGGCCTAGGAATATACATTTTAATAAGCCTCTGAGATGATCTCTAACTCTTGAAAAATTTGTGAACTATTGAGAAATAGTCAGCAAGCTCAGTACTAAGTCCCTATATTAATTAATAAATGAAAATATTTTTTAAAAGATTAGAGACATTGGTAGTGCCAAATTATACCAGTGCTTAAGATCTTTTGTGTCTTTAAAGAATAATGACTTAGTGTTATTAAAATGATACACGCTTAATATTTAAAATTTGAGTGAGAAGATCTAAAAAAATTGGAGACGTCTGCGTACATGGATTGAAATATGGAACTCAATATAATAAAGATGCCAATTGTTCCCAAATGATCTATAGATTTTATGCAAATCCTAGCAAAATTTCAGGAGGATTCTTTGTAGATATAGACATGCTGAGTTAAAAAAATGTATGGTGAAGCAAAGAAACTAGAATAGCTGAACAATTTTGACAAAGAAGAATAAAATTACAGAAATAACACTATCTGATTTAAAAGTTTACTATATAACTACAGTAACCAAGACAGTATGGGACTGGCAGATGAATAGATAGATGGATCAATGGAACAGACTGAAGAGTTCATAAATAGACCCCTGGAAGCACAACCAACTGATTTTTTTTTATATTGGTGCAAAAAATCTCAGCTGAGAAAGAATAGTCTTTTCAACAAATGGTATTGGAACAGCTGGATACTCATAGGCAAAAAATATTAACCTCAACCTAAACCTCACACAGTATCCTCACTCTGCCTCCCTTCATGTAACTTTTCACTACATTGAATATTATATTTATTGTGAAATTTTCTATCTCCCAACAGTGGAAAATAAACCCTATGAGGACATAGACTTCTTTTGTTTGGTTTACTATTGTATCTTTGTAATGTAGAACAATGTTTGGCATATAGTATAAATTCACTAAATATTTACTGAATAAATGACAAAATGAATGGACTCAGGAAAGAAAATGGAAAAAGCAACAAATTATACAATCTCAGCACCAAGATATAATTAGTGTGATAACATGATGTACACCATTGCAGACATCTTTCTTTGCATACATTAATATAGACACATGGATGATAGGAAGATGGAGAAAATGGATAGATGGAAATAATTTTACAGTAAGAGAATGACAGAAAGCCATTTTAGAAAATAAATTAATGTTATTTTAATTTAATATTTAAAAACTAGGTAAAACTGCATATAAATTAAAGTTTTCTTACCATAAGATATTAGTTTTTGTAAGGGTCCTATAGTGTTTACAAAACAATGATTGGAACATTTGAGGTTGGAGTTATTATATTTTTTAAATTATATTCTCAATTTTAGAAAGTTTCAACTGACTCCTCCCTAAAAATGATGAAAATATTTACTCTTATAATTCTTTCCACTTCCTTTTCTGCCTAACATTTTTACTTTTGCTTTGTCAAGGTCTATAACACTAAAGTAGCCATGAGTTCTACAATTGTTCAATTTTAGTTTTATGTATAAATGCAGTGCTCCATCCCAAGGATGTTACCACAGTTTCTTTATTCTGAGTTCTTTATATTGATCTCAATTGATTACATTTTGTAATTGTGTTGATTTTTTCAAAAAAGGCTATGAGTACTAAAGCCCCCAAGTTCTTTCATATTTGAAACTGTCCTCTATATCCTTTTATTCTTGAAAACAACCTAACAGGTACCACATCCACCAATAAAGGATTAACTTCTGCAGAAATTGGCCTCCTTTCATGAAAAAGCTAGAACACTGAACAAATTATATGAAACAATTATTCTCAGACATTGAACAACAGCTCAGTCAGGATAAAACTATAATCCCTGAAAGAAAATAAAAAATAAGGTGAGCCTGTGATTGCCTCACCTGGAGACAGTTTCAAGGACATAGCACAGAATAGGGGTTGATATATGTATTAGTTAGTTCTTACACTGCTATGAAGAAATACAAAAGACTGGGTAATTTATAAAGGAAAGAGGTTTAATTGACTCACAATTCCACATGGCTGGGGAGGACTCAGGAAACTTGCAATCATGGAGGAAGGCAAAGGAGAAGCAGGCACCTTCCTCACAGGGTGGCAGAACAGAGTGAGTGTAAGCAGGGGAAATGCCAGATGCTTATAAAACCATCAGATCTTGTGAGACTCACTCCTTAAGACAAGAACAGCATGGAGGAACCACCCTATGATTCAGTTACCTCTACCTGGTCCCACCCTGACACATGGGGATTATTACAATTCAAGGTGAGATTTGGGTGGGGACACAGAGCCAAACTATATCAGGGTACACAAACAGAGCCTGGCAATATCACTGACTTGAGGAGATGGAGATCAGTGTTTGGAATGTCAAGGCTGCCAGAATGTAACAGACACAGTATAGGAGGAGAAGAACCTGTGTAGAGGGACATCCCTGGAGATCTACAAGGGAGTCCCCTTCAGTCCCACTGAGTCCTTGTAAGTGAAACTCCATGAGACTGAATAAAGAACTACTGAAAAGAAGTAGCCTGAACAATTACTGGAGTACTCACAAGGCTTGGAGTAGTTCATATTCCCATCTACCAGGATGGAGAGGCCTTATCACGATACACGGATCATTGGTAAGAGCCCTCAGAGGAGTCTTGCCTTAGAATGGGCTAAATTAGCTGTAAAACAAAGATTGCTTTAGACCCACTCTGGCCAAAGGTTAAAAGCAAGCCTCAAGAAAATCAAATTGACTCAAAGTAGCTTGACTGCATGCCAGAGTAAATTACAGTACTCATTAGAGGAATATAACTAAATCCACCACCTAGCAACATAAAACCCACAATACTTGGCATCTAAGAAAAAAAATATTGCATATGCAAAGAGGCAGGAAAATATACTAGATACTTAGGAGAAAAATCAATCAATATAAATAGATTCAGAAATGACAGAGATAATGGAATTAGCAAAGACATTAAAACATTCATTTAAAATCTTATAAGGATTCTCAAGGATATAAAAGAAAACATGAACATGGTGAGGAAAAAAATGAAAAATATAAAAAAGAACCAAATGGAACTTCTAGAGATGAAAAATACAGTACAAAAAATGAAAAATAAACTAGATGGAATCAGTGTAGTAGCACTAATTAGCAGCAGATTAGATACCGCAGAAGAGATCAGCAGGTATAGCAATACAAACTATCCAAAGTAAAGAGCAGAGAGAAAAAATACTGGAAAAGTGAATAATGACCCATGGGACAATATAAAATGTTCTAATACCTGTATAATATGAGTGTGAGAAGGGGAAACTGGGGGAAAGGTGGGCATTTTTTAAAAAACTTGAAAACATAATGGCTGAAAATCTTCCAAATTTAATGAACACTATAAGCATTTATATCAAAGAAACTCAATAATCCCCAAGGAGAAGAAACATAAAGAAAATCATACCAAGACACATCATAATTAAATTTATGAAAAACAGTGATTAAAAAAAAGAGCTACCCAGCTGAACATAATATTCTAGGATCACACTTTCTTTCCCTCAGAACTCTGAGGTATTTTTCCATTCTGTTTTCCATCTGGCATTGATTGTTATTAAGTCCAAGTTAAGCCTGATTTTCCCCTTATGGTTGATAAGACGTTTGTACTTGGCTGTTTGAAGAATTCTTCCTTTCTGCTTAACCAGGACATTATTTGTTCATCACCACTCAGTATTATTTTTAACTTTCAACATTCAAATTTATTGCATTTTACACACTCAAATCAACATTTTCATCTTAAGGAAGATTTTCTGAACTACAGTTCTTGATACTTTTCCTGTTCTTTTGTATGAGTTTTGTACTAAAGATACTTATCATCCTTACATTTAATGATCTCGGTCTTTTATAGCTAGTGCTTTCTCTTTCATTGCTTTAATCCTCCATATTTTTTTCCTGTAGTATTATTATCTCAAGCTAGTAATTTTATTTTCATTCCTGTGTATTCTGTTCCTTGTGTTTTCTAATTATATTGACAATGATTTTGTTTCAGGGGAATCTCTTCCTGTCTCTCTCTCTTATTTTATAATTTTGGTTTCAAACTGTTGTTTTATTGCATTCATATATCATTAAATTTTCATATAGTGGAGAGCAGTCACAGAACTAGTTTATACTTTAGTTATATTTTCTTCCAGATTGGGCTTATCTTGTTTTTGCATTTTGTCCTTTTTTTCTTATTTTCCTGAGTGTTCTTTTTCAATTTGCCAGTACTTACTGTGGGCAGACATTGTATACACATTATTTTGCTTTGATATAGAGTAGTATAAATTTCTTTTGACTCCTTTCCTAACATTTTGGAGTCACAATTTGAAAGTTCTGCCTTCTATGATTTTTTCTCTAGGCTAAGAATACTGGAGTTTGTTAGCGAGAGATCCTGACTGAACTGACTGCAGTCCTTGTTTGATATTGGTATTTATCTCTTCTGAGATCCTGTTAAATATACTGTACCAGAGTTCAATCCACCCAGCCAGGGGCCATCCAACTTCAAAGAACTTCAATACACTTCAGCCTGATTTATCCAAAACACATTCCCCAAATGGTCTTTTAAAAAAGCTGTAATATAAAAAAATACCCTGAAACAAATTTGAGCTGTTTGGGAAGAAAAATTCCCACTGGAAGTGGAAAGAGAGTTAACCAAAGTAGTTTTTGCAAATAATTGCATTGAAGGCCGAACACATGTGAACCAGAAAGGCTCAACAATAGGCGAAATGAATAGACATGAAAAATCAAGTCTCAAGTTAAGTGAAAGGAATAAAGTCAATAATAAATGATGTATAAGGCAAGGGAGAATGTCTCCATGGCCATTTGGGAAGGCTACTGAATGGAGAGAATGTAGCACTTGTAGAAAATAAATGATGAATGATGTGTGTATATTGATATCCAATGAACAAGAAACACATGGAAAAGAAAGCGTTGAGAGTCCTTGAAAACTGCAAACATCAATGGGGCTGTAATCAAAGACATGAGTGAATATGACTAAAATAAATTGTCCTTTGAACTTAAGAGGAAAAAAATGCAAATTTTTGAGAAATGAAAGAGTATGATACATTTCTGAAAATGTATTAGATCATATGCCAGAGGGTGACAAAGCTGAGCTATTACTTTTATTCAGAGCTGGCGACTCCATTGCAAGTAGTGTTTTTCTTATTGCTAAGCTAAGTAAAGGAACCCTTAAGATATGTGGTTAGAAATTTGAATCCATGTAGAGATTAACTAATTTCACTGACAGCCACAAAAGAAGCAGCCGAATTCAGGAAGCCTTGTTTATTCAGCTGGTGCTTCAGCCAATATTTATTTGCTTTATTATAAGATACCTGAACATGTAGGGTAATATATAAAGATTTTGTCACATTTGTAAATGAAAAAAGAAAAGCTCATTGGATGGCGGTGAGGGGGACCTTTTGTTAATTGGGAAAGCATCTTTGCTAAATGGTTTTGATTATGGGAACAGGAGCTGCAAAAAGAGTATGATGCCTTTCTGCAAACGTATTAGATCATATGCCATGTTTTTGGAATTTTGCCTGATTCCCTTTTGTCAATAGTAAAGAAAGTTGAATGGTAATCGCTATGTGATTTTTTTAGCCTAACAGAAAACCCAAGAGAAAAGCAGAGCCTTATTTTGGCCTTTATCCAGTAGGTATTTAAAGTCCTTTTTAAATGGCCCATCTTTCTTGTTCTACATAATGATGGCAGAAGAAATTCCTGCTCATTACATCTTTAATGTATGTTTATGCTGTTAGGGAAACTAATGACATGTCAGTGAGCATTAAATGTTTGTTTATTTCCTGAGCAAGGCTATCCGTACTATGGATGACAGTTCATCCATCCGTGCATGAAATACATTACCAGATTTCTCAATTTCTTTTATAGGAAAGACTGTAATTCACATGGATAAAAAGGGATATGAACTTTAAGATTCTGCTTGGGTTTTACTACATTCTTTCCTTTTCCTTATGTTGCAGTAAGATTATCAAAGGATAGAAGATAGTACTTTAAGAAGCTATGTGTTTACAAAAATTCTTTACTTTTCATTTTATCAATGAAAAAGTTTAAAGTAGATCGTATATAAAACAAATAAATATAGGTTAGTCAAGTTATTTTTCTAAGATTCTAGGGTAGTAAATAATTCATTAGCATGAGTGCATGCTTATGATTAATACATGAAAATCAAATTTCTACCTTGAAAATCAGTTTTTACCTAGAAATGGCAGTTGAGAAACCAGTGTAAATTTAAAGTGCTGGGTTATTAATTAACTGAAAGTCAAATATCAGAGGGAGTTGAATAAGTTTATAATACAGTATCCACGCCCTGAATTCCTTAGCTGTCAAAAATAACCACTTTCATTTATCCAAAAATCTGATTCAACAGAAAATTATTTGTAAGCTGTAAAACACTACAAACATATATCTTTATGACTAAAATTGACAATCTTTTTATTTTTTAGCTCATTTTACATTTTAATCATTACTTTGATAATCACATTTTTTTAGATTCAATTGTTTAACTGAGGGGTAGTGTTGCTACCTCCTTGGACAGACCCTAAAGTAACCATTAAAAATTAAAGGAGATATAAATTAGCACAGCCATTATGAAAAACAGTATAGAGATTCCTCAAAAAATTGACAGTAGAACTAACATAGGCTCCAGCAATCCCACTACTGGGTATACCTCCAAAGGATATGAAATTAATATGTCAAAGAGGTACCTACATTCTCATGTGTATTGTAGCATTATTCACAGTAGGCAAGATAAGGAATCAATCTAAGTATCCATCAAGGGATGAATGGATTGCAAAATGTATGTGTGTATGTATATAATACATACAGAAATATTATTTAGCCTTAAAAATCCTGTCATTTGCAACAACATGGATGAATCTGGAGGACATTACGTTAACTGAAATAAGCCAGGCGCAGAAAGATAAATACTACATGATCTCACTTGCATGTAAAAATGAGAAAATTCAGACTTACAGAAGCAGAGAGTAGAATAGTGGTTACCAGGGCTGGAGAGAGGGTGGAAATAGGGAGACATTGGTCACAGGATACCAAATTGCAGTTAGACAAGAGGAATGAGTTCAAGAGATCTATAATCACATGGTGATTATACTTATTAACAATGTGATGTAGAGTTGAAACTTGATAAGCAAGTAGATTTTAAGTGTTCTCGCCACGAAAGAATAAGTATGTGAGGTAATGCATATGCTAATTAGCTTCATTTAACCATTCTATAATGTATACATATTTCAAAACATCATTTTGGACACAATAAATATATAACATTTTTATTTTTCAATAATAAATGGGTAAATAAATGTGAAATATACAAAAATTAAACAAGATGGCTTAACCAAAACAGGAAGCAGTGCACGCACTGTGCTGCTCTTGGGAATATACTAGATAGAGGGACAAACCAGTTTCACTCCCGAGAACCAAATGGAAGATCAAACTTGCCCAAAGTTTGCTTTGAAGCCTGCTTTTCCTCCTGATTCGCTGTCAGCTAATGACATCACCCTTGCCCCAGGGTAATAAGCTACATTTACTTTGGTCAGGAGCCGTTCTATTCACTTTATATATAATAACTAGTATAATTTACATTTGATAACTAATAGTACCCTATGAGATAGGTCCTGTTATTTTCATGTTCAATGGGTGAGAGGCAGAGCTGGGATTTACATCTAGTCTGGTGGCAGCGGAGTTGTAACCACTATTCTGGTCTTTAAAATCCTCCCTCATCTCATCTGTACCAAACCCTGTCCTTCCATCCCTTCCTTTTTATTCCCTGACCTCAGCAACTCTCACATGAGCCATTGTGGCAGCTGCCTTACTGGTGAGAGTGAACAGACAAATGAACACTAGCCAGACTATAGGTTAAAAAAGAACTCTGACCCACAATCTGCAGCAACCTGCCCAGGAAGCCAACCCATTTTCTAGTCAATAGCCTAGAATGCAACCTGCTATCTATGAGTCAGACTTACGGGAAGTCACATCATTGTCTCCAGCAATGAGCTCAGGAAGCCAAACAATAGCACCTGTAACAATCAGCCAGGACTTGATTCATAACTGACAAATTCTCTACTTTTCTCCGTTTCCAACTTAAGTCCAACAAGAGAAAGACAAATATGCTTCCCTAACCAATCACAGATGATGCCTGGCTCCAGGTTAGCTGCCTATAGCTTCCTCATGACAGTAGCCTCTGATTAGGCCATGCCTGACTCTTCCCTTTTTCCACTTTAAAGCTTTCTCACTCCTCTGCTTGCCTTTGAATCTCTTTCAAAACACCGTCATGATTCCCTTGCTACAGGAAGCTCTGAATAAATAGCCATTGCCTGCTCTCATTTGCTTGGTCCTTGTTCATTTTACACTGGTAGCCAACTACCTCCATACCTTCCTCTCTCAGCATAGAGATAATCTAACAGACAGACTGTGTTGTAGAAAGATGGAAGCACACAAATATCCATGGAATGATGGGACTTGAGTTGTGCTTTGAGAGTAAGCAGGATTCAAAATGCTGGGCAGGAGGCTGGGAGAACCACACGGGCAGAGTGAATGGTGTGTGCAGAATTGAAAGAAGTTCCTTTGTGTCCTTAGTCTCCTAAGCCTCTTCCTCATGGGGAAGGAAGGCTGGGCCATGGTGTAGATATAATCCACTTTACACGTTGCCAGCCAGCTTACTGGCTACAGAATTGCTGTAACAGTAGTATATTGTCAGGAGCAAGTAACATGGTAATTGAAGGGTTTTGTGAGTACAGTTAAAGTTGATATCATTAACAATACAGGGGTTCCTGTAGCGCTGATAAAACAACTCATACTTATACCAAAAGAGAAAGCAGTACCTAGCTCCTGAACCAAGATTGCAGAGTCAAATGTGCAGATGTGTAAGAAATTGTAACACGAGATAGGTTTTGCTGTAGGTCATGTTAGCTCATTTATATTCTGTAAGTCCCAACAGCTAAGAAACAACAATGTACCTGCGTATACAGAAAGCAAAATCCACTTGAAATTGTACTGAGTAATGAAGAATTTAAACTAACTGGACTTTGCAAATGCGTGGAGATCAACAGCAGGTCACTCACTTGCAATTACTTCCACGGTTGCTTTTAAGGTTTGAAGAACCTCTCAGTAAAAGCAATGAAAGTCTTTGAATTCCAAGCAGCAGCTTGACATTCTTGGATAGTTGTAACCATCCACTTTCATAGGTATTTGTTTATAAAGGGAGAAATAGACTTATCTTAATTTTTTTCTACTAACTGTCAAGAAGTCATGAATTGGGATAGTAAAGCTTCCAGTGATGGAAAGGAAGACATTGCAGAATAGGTGCTTCAGCCTAGAGTGACGTCCAGGTTCAGTTTTACAAGGTCAGAGTCCCTGAAGAGGGTTCACTAAGCACCAACAGTCCTGTGTTCACGTGTATGTCGTGGCTAGATTCCACAGCATAGAACAGTGCTGGCATAGGGTTAATACTCAGGAAATAGTAATGAATACAGGGATAGATGGACAAATGAATAAATGAAGTGATACTCCTAGGAGTAAAGCCAGGTTATAGGATTGCACCAGCTGTACCTTCATTCTCATGCTCCGGACAATCCTTTAACTTCCTTTCTCAGTGCTTCGAGTGCCTTCAAGGCAGCTGGCAATTCCTCTTCACTCAAGTTCTACTTCTAAATTAGTCCACGCCCTCCAGGAATAACAGTGGCAGTTAATACTTGAGTACTATTAGTTCCAGACACAAAACAAATCCCCTTCTATGCAGGTTCTTATTTAATCCTCACAAAACTCTATTGGTGGATGCTGCCATTATACTCACTTTACAAATGAGAAAACAGAGGTTTTGCCAAGATAAGAAACTTGTCCAAGATCCACAAATTTTGGGGCAGAGTCGGAACTCAGACCCAGTTCATCTGTCTCAGGAAGTCTGTGCTCTTAAGAGTGATGGCCGTTTGCTTCCACCATTTCCTCTCCTGCCTGGACCATTGCCAGGACTTGCAAATTCCTCTCTCTGTTTCCTCACCACTCTTTCCAAACTATCCCACATCCTGCTGCCAGAATAACCATTTTTAAACCTGTATCTGATCATGAATCTTGCTTAATGCCCTTCAACAAATTTCCAATATCTCAGAAGAAATTTCAAATTCCTTTTTGAGGACTTCAAGATACAACATGACCTAGTCACCTCCCTATTTTTCTAACCTCATCTCCTGAGCTTCCCAGCTCTCAATTCTGTGCCCTAGTTTGCCTGGACTTACTCTATTCTTTCCTCTCTGGCATGACGTCCTCCCAGAAGCTGTCCTTATCCTGTGCTCACTCCAGGTTGGGGCAGATCCCCTTTTCCTGTGCCTCTTGAATGCCCTCAACAAATCTATACCAATGTGCTTTTCATATTCTAGTAATAATTTTCATGTAACTGTACTGTCCACTCCATCAGTGATAGATTGGATTATTGTTCCCAGTTCTTCACTACTTTCCTGTCATGAAATTATACATCTACCTCCTGTGCTATGTAGCTTTGCAGTGTCTCCCACAGAAACAAGTCGACAGCCCTACCCCACTGACTTGGCCAATAGACCTTGCCCCTTGGGAGAACTTCCCCTTACTGCTGTGTTTCAAGGCAATTTCTGAGTGGGAGTCCTATAACTGTCCTCGATTTTTATCTTGCTCGCACCCACCATAGATAGCAAACCCATCCATGAACGAAGCTCAGCATTTTGTCCTTTCCCAGTGGTGGTCATAAGGGAGAGTTCCTATGTGGCCACCTACATGCACAGAGTGGAGGAAAGAGTTGAGCTGTGGCACAGTCATGACAAGGGCTGTAGTCAGTTCCACAGGGATTCTGTCACTGCGTGGCCCTTCTGAATCTTCATCCTGGAGTGAGGGCTTCTACTCCCCTGTATCCACCAATCATTGAATGAAGCCTTCTCCAGAGAAGTGGCATGACCTCAAGCAAGGAGGCTGTGTCCAGCTGTGAACAGCTCCCAAAGTGGCTGACAGCTGAGTGACAACTGTGACCACAGAATCTCTATAAGCTGGAGGAATAAATTTTACATTTCCACTGTGAATCTGGGCAGGGAAGCACAGTGGCTGCTACACCAGTAATTTCCAAAGTGTGATCCCCAGACCAGCAGCATCAGCATCACCTGGGAACTTGATAGAAATGCACATTCGCAGGCCCCACCCCAGACCTACTCAATCAGATACCCTAGGGGTGGGGTCCAGCAATGTTTTAACAAGCTCTGCTGGCGACTGATGCACACTAGAGTTTGAGAACCAAGGGGATACACCAACACTGAAATTGTGCTTGGTTGGAAAGCATAGATTTGCTGAGTGGTTAATTAACATTGAAACAGCAGCTGCCTCACCTCCCAAGATGGCCACAGGGAGAACATGTGTAATATCACTGTGACAGAGAGGACCCTGGCCCCAGCCAGCGCCCCCATATGCAAGACTACATTCCTCTATATGGCTGTGTTGCTCCCAGGGATGGAAACTGAGTTGCTTGAGCACCTGGGCTGCAGTCTAAAGACAGATTGAATAATCCATTTCCCCCACATGGAAATGTTAGTGCTATTTGTCTGGTTGACTAATTCCACCTAGCTCCCTGCAGTCCTTGGCATCCTGCTGTCAGAGGCTCTGCATGCTCCCTCCCTCCCTGCCCTCACTGATCTGCTTCTGACTGGCCGCCAGCTTTGAAGACACATTTCTTGGCTGCTAATGAGTCCTCCACTCCTTGAAACTCCAGTTTCTCTGCCAACATTCAAGACAGGCGAGTAAGTCTCTCTGTAAATGTACTCAGAAGAATTAGATAGCATAGTCATTGCTTTTAGATTACTTAGAACCAGCCAGAGTGCACAGTGAGGAGAGTCTGTGCTCAGCTTATCTGTTTGTCTCTGGGGACTTCTGGGCCTCAGGTCCTGGCCAGGCTTTCTGTGTGGTCAGAGCCACCTTCCAGGTTTGTGGGCTAAGCTTTTGTTTTAGCCAGTGTTACCTGGGACTACCATTCAAGATTTGTATTAAGTGAGGGATCATATCGTGATGTATACATGTCTCCAACAAGAAGCTAAATTCATATGATAGCCAAATAGGCAATAAGAGCATCTTTTTTTTTCTTTTTTTTTTAAATTCTCGGCCACCTGCAGCAGAATTACTTGGGACGATTGTTAGAAATGCAAGCGCCAGGATGTCACCCCAGTTTTACTGAAGTAAAATCTGATAAGCAAGGAATCTTCATTTTCCAACAAGCTCCCTAGGTGACTTCTCAAGCTTTACTGATAAGATGCATATGGATCACTTTATTAGAATACGTACTCTCCTTCTGTGGCTATAGGGGGAGTGGAATTCTGCATTGCTAAAAGATTCCCAGGTTATAACTAGGCTTTTGGTTTGGGGACCACACTCAGTGGCAAAATTCTAAATAATTATTTGTTGTTGTTGTTGAAGAGCAAGAGATCTGAGAAATCCCAAATAATTCTAATGCCAATGAGTTTTAAGATCCTCCAGTATGCAGAGAGAAGAATCCAAACTGCTTAGCTTGGCATATAGAGCTCTGCAAGACATACCCCTACATCTTCATCTCCAAATCCTGCCACTCCTTGACCTGCACTTTCGGCTGCATTAATAACAAACTGTTTGTTGTCCACCCACCCCTCAACACATACATGCATGCATGCACATACACACACACATACACACACTGCTCAAAATACAAAGAAAATATCAGACTTCACCTTGCATATCATCTGCCCCCTCTCTTCTCTTCCGTAGCATCCTATGCTTACCTCAATCCTATCACTAACTCTATTTTATTGAAATGAACTGATTATGGTTCTCTCTCTCTCTCGTTTTTGCGTAGTAATACCTGAGAATCGTACTAAAATTTTTTTTTCACTTGTACAAATTTATGAGGTGCAAGTGCAATTTTGTTACTGCATAGATTGCGTAGATCAAGTCAGGGCTTTTGGGGTATTCATCATCCAAATAATGTATACTGTATACCTTAAGTAATTTCTCCTTATCCACCCCTCTCCCACCCCCGCCCCTCACGAAAATATCAGATCTGCACGAACAGTGGGAACACTGACGAATTCATCCTAGTAGTAACAGCACAGAGGATAGTAGGCAACTAATATATATTTGTTAAATTATGTGCCAAACACAAATATTACCATTATAAATATTAAAGAAAATTACTCCTCTTTTAAAGGTCCATTCCTCTACTTCAATTTATGAAAATTTCTGTCAAGTTTAAAAGGACCAGCAATCACCACCAGGACTCTGTGCCACTGCAGCCTAATTATTGCCACACATTTCCATGAATCCTCTCAATGCTCCTTTTTTTCCCCAAATTGTTCTTACAGCCAATAATTTGCTCCAAGAACATAAACCAACACTTGGAAGGTTTCTGTTGTCAAGACTAATTTCAGCGCCACTGACTAATTTCAAAAGAGGACAAGAGCAGGCATGGACATGTGATTTCACAGGAGGTGGCTTTGGGGAGTTGAGTTGGGAGCATTGATCAGCACTGTGCCCTTTAGAATCTATTCCTCAAGGTTACAGCCAAACCACCTTAATGGGGCCGGCAAAGGGCAGAGACGGCAGCTTTGCTCCTGTGGTATCATTCATCATGTTCGTAACCAGCGAATAGAGACTGATGAGGGAGCTGGCTGGAGAGGGCTCGCTGTTCACTCTCCCTCGCTGTGCTCCATGCCTCCCGCCTTGCTCCAGATACGTCCTCTGAGATGTTTACTCTGGAAAGCAAATATTGATACTTGCTGCCACTGGCTTTTTCATGAAATATTTGACTCCTTGATACACATTCTTTGCTTAATTGCTTTCCTTCATATTTCATCTAGTCTGAAACTGGGAAGGAAATTTAGCATTGTGAAAATTTACCTGGATCCCAAACCTCCCACCTTCTCAGGTAGTAGCTGTTATGGTCTGAAAGTTGTGTCCTTCTGCGATTTACATGTTGAAATCCTGACCCTACCCCCACAGGTGATGGTCTAGGGGGTGAGGCCTGTGGGAGGTGATTAGGGCATGAGGGCTCCACCCTCATGAATGGGATTAGTGCCCTTGTAAATGAGGCTTCAGGGAGCTTGTTCACCCGCTTCCACCATGTGAGGATATTGCAAGAAGGTGCCATCTGTGAAACAGGAGGGGGGCCCTCACCAGACACCAAGTCAGACAGCACCTTGATCTTGGACTTCCCCACCTCCAGAACTGTGAGAAATAAATTTCTTTCATTTAGAAACTACCCAATCTATCTATAGTATTTCATTACAGCAGCTGAATGGACAAAGACAGTATTCTTAAATAAGCCTAGAGGCATTTGGTGTTGCAAATCTTTCCTAGCTGAGCCAAGGGCTACAGTGGGCACAGAAGTCTGTGTGATTCGCAAAGGCAACTAGCCTGGGAACTGTTCCTCCCTCTGAGTTTCCTGAACAGACTACTTGGGCTCCTCGAAGAGTCTCGTCCAGCTGTGCACACTGGGGCATCTTTCCGAAGCCCAAACCCAGGCTTTGCTCACTCTCCTCCCACTCAACCCACCTAACTAGAAAAATTAATCATTCCAGGACAAATGCGTGAGGGTTTCAGTGGTGGGCTCTAGTTAACAAGCCCACGGCTCCCCAGCAGTTGGCCTCGATCTACACAGCCACCTCCCTTCTCCCTCCTCTGCTGCTTGGAGAAAAGAGCTTTTATTAATCATGCAACAATGTTTTTCAGGTTTTAGAAAACCTCACATGTGTGCATCACGTTAGGCCTTTAAAAATGCCAGTGAATTACAGGAAGATTCCTGCTGTTGCTCAGCAGTGCTAGATCAGAAAAATGCCAAACATGCTGCAAGTGGCTGTGGATGGATGCCACCTCCTG
The DNA here is from genome assembly GCF_000001405.40 of Homo sapiens. Taxonomy (NCBI): domain Eukaryota; kingdom Metazoa; phylum Chordata; class Mammalia; order Primates; family Hominidae; genus Homo; species Homo sapiens. The sequence goes on along the minus strand of NC_000013.11, from coordinate 36,527,091 downwards.
GCACCTGCCTGCAGGCACTCCAGAGCCTACCTGTTTCCCTTCTCCAGGTGCCTTTTGATGTAATTGAGTGCTGTCATCCCTGACCACACATTAGAATCACAAGGGAGGAGCTTTCAGAACATAAGTCACTCCCAGGAATTTTGACTTAACTGGTCTAGAAAAGAGCCCAAACAACAGTATTTTTTGAATGCTCCCCAGGTGATCCTAATTGAAGCCAAAGTCAAGGAACACCAAATTCTGTCTTTCCAGATTCTTTACTGGAGCAGGGAACTTTCCCTAAGTTAATCTCCCCAGTCATTAGCTTCACTTAGACTCTACCCCTATCCTCTCTTATTCCTCATCAGAATTTAGAACTTTTCAAATGGATGTGCTTTTTTTCTTAAGGGAGTTGCCCAGTTTCTGAACCCTTCTCCTATGTGTGGTGAATCCCACTCCAATAATATGCATTTTAGAAAGAATTAGGACTCACCTCCCACATTGAAGCTGAAAATGCCAGTACCCACTTTCCCGGCCTCCCTTGCAGCTAGACATGGTCAGGAGACCAAGCTCCATCAATCAGACCTACCTTCCTAGACTTTGACTTGAGAACCACTAGGGCAAAGGAGGAAAGGCTCAGGGAATCTTCACTGGTGACAGTGGTGATGGGTGTCCAGAGGCCAGGGCTGGTGGTGACAGAGTGCAAATGGCCCCATCCAATGTTTAGCAGCTACAGTGCAGTGTCCTCATTTACCTAATTTCCCCAGTATAATTTTGGGTCTCTGTGGGGCCTGAAGCCTGGTTCTCTCAATGATTCTGTGAGCACACATTTGTCTTTTAACATATTTCTTTCCCCTTTAAATCAACTACAGTTCATCTCTGTGTTTATACTAAGAACTCTGTCAGGTTCATAGAATCTCATGTCCTAGAGGAAAAGCTGCCTTTTTTGGAATGAGAGTTGTGCCCTTTCCTCCACCCGCAGCCGTTTGATACAAGTCCAGAGATCAGGTCTGAAATTTTCTGTTTCCATTCCGTTATTCTCATTCTTTCATACAGTTCTATGCAAAGATAATCTGGCTAATTGACCTTTATCATTGATCCACAGCAGAGCTTGGGTTAAGCCTCCACCAAAGTGGCTTCTGTTTCTGTACCCTCCATTCAGCTGCCACTGGTATCTGTCAAAAGGTGGCTGCATCATCAGAATAGCAGCTCAATTTGACAGACTTTGCAGCCTGACTTAACTGCACCAACTGTAGAAAGAGACCTCTCTATTCTAAGGGCATGGGTGAGATTTCCTAAAACTCTTTATTCACTTTATGAAAACAAAGAAGAAATGATATTTGACTGCTCTGTGAGGATTCCATTAGTAGATGCCCAGCCAAGGTGCAGCTGTTGGCAGCTCTAATTGTGAGAAACAGTCTGGGGTGGAAGGGTGCAGAGGGGACCAGGTGTCACATGGTATATCTCAAAGCCCTCTTTCATTCATGCTTCAGTGATGGTTGAATCATGAAAGGCATGGAATAAAGCTTCATAAAGCACCATGCTCATGGGGAAGTAGGCTTTCATCATGAACAGGAAAAACCTTGTGCTTGCACCCCACCAAAACACCTCCCTTCCAGTGCCATAGTAATCCCCAATTTGCAACTCAAATATCTAACACATAATCAAGCTGAGACCACATAACCAAGAGCTGCGTGAGTGAGCCACACTGCAAGTGGACCTGCCAGTCCCTGTCAGACTACTGATGGCTACAGTCATGGCCAGGAGTTTGACTGTAACCTCACGAGGTCCTGAGCTGGAATCATCCAGCTAGGAGACTCATATTTTATAGAAACCAGTTAAGCAAGCTAACAGTGAAACTTTCTCTGACTGATCCCCCAAAGTCCTGGCATTTTCTTTCATAGATTTCCTTAGGAATATTGATTATGGTACAAACTAAGAGAAAAATCCATGCTTTTGATGGAAGGCCTCCATTTTCTGTAGCTCCTTCACATGGAGTATTGACAAACATTTGCAATCTCTATAATTCTAGGAAATCCCATTTTTCTCAAAGGTTTTGGTTTCTGGGTGATGACCTGATAGACACACAATCTCAAATCCAAAAGCTTATGTCATGGAGAGAGATGATACATTAGTGCTCACAGAAGAAGTCAGACTCTGTGTTCCTTGAGGGCAAAGACAGTGTTCTTCTAATATTTGTGTCCTGAGCATTTGGACCAATGTTTGGTTCATAGAAGACATTCAACACATGTGTGAATTAAACAATAATGAGTGGATAGATGGATCAGTGGATGAAACAGAAATATTAAGGGAATAAGGAAAGGGATAGAAGGAACAAGACTGATTTTCACACAAATGCAATTAATAAGGTGAAATTAAAAAGTGCTCCTTGTGGACTTTAATATAACAGTTTCAGAGACCAAGGTGATAACTGCTCATGTCAAGGACTTTTCGACTGTTGATATATCAGAAAGATTACCCAGCCAGGATATTAAATAGCTAATATTCTCAGATCTGCCTATATCTTATATTATGTCCTGAACCATTCATTTAGTCTCCTAACACTTCTGCTTCAATATTCATAAAACTGAGATAAATTAGCTAATGTCTTAGATGTCTTCCAACATTAATGTTCCAAGATTGTATTAACTATTGCAATTGCAAATTGAAAATGCAAACTTACAGAAAGTACATTATTAGAATGAATACCATCATTTGAATTTTTCATTTTTGTATTTTTAATAACCTTTTGCTGTAGGCTTAAATTTTAAAAAATTGAGTTTGCTTTTGAAATATAACCATGAATAGAATTCATCTGGAAAAGAAAGTAAAATTCTGATGCCAGCTATGGGGAAAAAAATATTTTCAACAAATGATAGTAGAACAATTGGATATCCACATGGGAAAGAAGTGAACTTTGAACTTTATCTCAAGTGGTTGTTCAAAATATGCCCACAAATTCTTTGATACTCATCCCTTAAAAAGGTATAAATTAACTCCTATCACCTTGAATGTGAGATGGACTTAGAGTCTCACTTCTAATGAATAGAATCAAGCTGAAGTGATGGTGTCAAGCTTTGACAGTAAGTTACAAGAGACACCTTGATTTCTTCTTCACTAGTTCTTTCTTAGATCATTTGCTCTAGGGAAAGCCACAGCAAAGTTGTGAGGACACTCAGACAGCCTTGTAGAGAGTTTTATACAGCAAGAAACTGAGACCTTCTGTCAACAGGTATGTGAGTGACCCACCCTGCAAGCAGACCCCTTGGCCCTGGTCAGATTACTGAGGGCTACAGCCATGGCCAGCAGTTTGACTATAGCCTCATGAGGTCCTAAGCCAGAATCATTCAACTAAGCCACTTCCAAATTCCTGACTCTTATAAGCTGTGTGAGACAAGAAATTTATTTGTTGCTTTAACTGCTAAATTTTGGAGTAATTTGTTATTTAGTAGTAGATAATATACCTCACAGCAGGCATAAAAATGAAATCAAAATAATTATTGACCTAAATATAAAAGTTAAAACTATAAAGCTTCTAGAAGAAAACAAATGAGAAAATCTTTGTGATCTTGGACTAGGCAAAGATTTCTTAATTAAAATACAGAAAACATGAACTATAAAAGAGAATTTAACAAGTTGGACTTCATCAAAATTACTCATGATCCTCAAAGGACATCATTAAGAATGAAAATGCAAGCCACAGAGGAGGAGAAAATATATGTATTTATGTTTTAAGGACTCATATTAAGAATATAGAAAGAACTCAGTAATGAAAAGACAACTTGATTTTTATAACGTACAAAAGATTTGAACAGACACTTTACAAAATAAGATATTAAATGGCTAATAAGCATACAAAAAGATTCTCAATGTCATCAGATACTGAGGAAATGTAAGGTAAAATCACAGTAAGATACCTCTTGGACCTGCTAGACTCACTAAAATTAAAACTACTGATGATACCAAGTATTAGTGAGGATGTGGAGCAACTGGAACTCCTAAACACGTCTGATAGAAATGTAAAGTGGTAAAACATCAAATGGTTTGTACCATTTTACATTCACTGTTTTACTTAAAAAGTTAAACATACACCTAACTTATGATCCACACCTAGGATACTTACCCAAGAGAAATAAAAACAAGTGTCCATACAAAGACTAGCACATGAATGTTCAAAAATGTTCATAATAGCCAAAAAAAAAAAAAACCCATAAAGAAGCTAAATATTTATTAACAGGTACATGGATAAACAAAATAAAATGTATACATATTATATAATGCTACTCAACAATAAAAAGGAATGAACTGTTATATTTATGTAATAACATAAATGAATTTCAAAATCATTAGTTTGAGTGAAAGAACCCAAAGAAAAGAGAGTGCATATTGTATGACTATTTACATAAAATTTTAGAAAATACAAACTAACCTACAGTGACAGAAAGTAGACCAGTGGTCACCCATGGTTCAGAGTGGAGGAAGGAATGAACAGCAAAGGGACACAAGAAATCTTTTGGGAGTGATAAAATGTTTTGAATGCCCCCTCCAAAATTCATATTGAAATTTAATTGGCATTGTGATGGTATTAAGAGATGGAACTTTTAAGAGGTGATTAGGTCATGAGGGGTCTACTCTCATAAATAGATTAATGCTATTGTAGCAGGAGTGGGTTAGTTATTTCAGAAGTTCAGCCTTCTTTTTTCTTAGGCATGCACTCTCTCACCATGTGATACCTACTGCCATGTTATGATGCAGCAAGAAGGCCCTTACCAGATGCAGCCCCTTGATCTTGGACTTCCCAGCCCCAAGAACTGTGAGCCAAATAAATCTTTCTTTATAAATTATCCAGTGTATGGTATTCCATGATAACAGCAGAAAATGGGCTGACATGTACCTTGCTTGTAATTGATGTTGTATACAACTGTCAAGACGCATAAAATCTGCACTTTAAGTGAATGTAATATACGCTATAGAAATAATATCTCATTAAATTTTATTTAAAATTAATAATGCCCACCTCCTTGCATCTCAGCTGTGATCATCTAATACTACAGATTTGTAATAATACTATAGCCTAGAATAGTGTTTTGTCACATAGAGACCGAGGTGACTGGCAAATGACCTTGAAGTCCATGGAATCATTCAGGAATATAGAAGGCAACAAATTAGTAATTCCTTTTTACCAAATATTTCTTTGTATATGGATTAATTACCCTTACATTTCAAAAATGTGGAGTATTTAATAAATAATTATTTCATTCTACTTTTTTAACATCTAGTGACTTTCCAAGTGGCATGTTAATAGCCTGGCTGACAGTTGACTAGTATACATGAATATCTCTGGCTTCAGCTTTTAGAAGACGTGCCCCTTTCCATGTCATGGAGCATGTTTACAGCAAGTTCTTCAAGGCTTAAGTTGTTCTCCTAATGTAAATGTCAAACATACAGGGGGCTCTGTTGCTTTTGCTTTCTCTCTTTCAGAAAACTTGATCTGAACACATTCTATGGCCCCGAGATTTTCTTTTGGATCCTCTTTCAAACTATTCTAAAAGCAAGCACATTTCTGCCCTATCTGAAGCAGCCATTCACAACATTTTCATCTCTAAGATCAATTTCCTTTTTGGTCTTGAAGATAGGCTTAAGACCATTTTCATCTCCAAGACCAATTTCATTTTTGGTCTTAGAGATAGTCTTAAAATGGTCTTAAGACATAGTCTTAAAATAATTTAAATAGCAAACTATATATCTTGATCTCCTGACCTCGTGATCCACCCGCCTCAGCCACAAACTATATATCTCAAGAAACAATTACTTTCTTTCTTTCTGTTTCTTTCTTGGTCTTTCTCTTTCCTTTCCTTATTTATTTCTCTTTTTCTGGTAGTTTTCTGAGGACATGTATGACTTCTCAATTAATTGCACCAGTTAAGAGGGAGGGCTCTGAAGTTAGATGAGCTGAATTTGACTATTGACTCCTCTACTCAATAGTAGCTATCTTTGGATAGTGAGTGTCTTCCAAATCACATAGATAGCCTCTGTTTTCTCTTCTGTAAAATGGGCATAATAATAGTACTTATCTTTGGAGAGCTATTATGAGGATTAAATGAGATAATTTATGAAAATCTTTTAATACAATGCCTGGCACAGAGAGAAAAACAAAAGGTAGCACTGTGTGCTATTGAAATTTCTGTCCAGAATGTGACATATTATTGTATTGTTTAAGGCAATGGTAATCCAGATAATCATAAGTCCACCTACATAGTGATTGCTATGTGCCAGACACTCTACAAATAGAATTGTACTGAGTTTCAAAACACTTTAGCTTGGTGTCTATTATTCCCACTTTCTCAGTGAAAAAGCAGAATGAGTAGGATTAAGAATTTGCATAAGGTCACACAGTTTGTAAATGAATGAGCTGCAAATTTAACCCAAATCTTTCTGTCTTTAAAATGCATCCATTCTTTCTATATCCTGCCTTCCCAAATAGAATTCTGGCCTACGGTCAAAAAACACAATGTTTAGTCAGCCTGTATAATATTATTTCACACAAATAAGCTGTTTCCATCAAACTTTTTGAAAATCTTGAAAATAGTATTTGTACCACTCCCCTACACACACACACACACACACACACACACATACACTCACACACACTGTTACCTTCACAGTGGGCCCACAAGGGAACTTCTGATCCAGAGGGATCCAAAGCAATGTCCACACATGCAAATTCTCTACACGGCAGCAAAGTCAGGAAATGCTAACTCAAGCATTCTGCAGCAACATTGGTTTCTCCTAGTGTAATTAGAGTCTGGAGGTGGTAGGCATAAGCCCCAGAGAATTTTCATTCTGTATTAGTGAAGACCACAGTGACTAATGTAATACTAGGAATGCAGCCTAGGTTCTCACTCCAAGAGCAAGTATGCCGGTTGAAAGGGAATTGATTATTTTCATGAGTTCATATTAGACTGTGTATTCTTTAATGCAAATAATTTTTGACTGTGACTAGGGACTGGAAACACTTTTATGAAAAGTAAGAATCTTCTAAAGTCAGATTTGTCTCTTAGAAGGTTTGGAATGCTTTTTAAATTTTAAATCCAATCATCAGGATGTCTCTGGGCATCTGCTTTTAGCATTTCAAGTTCCCTGAAAAGAAGAAAATTTCGCTCTTAAAAAAATGTCAGAAAAATCAGTGGGGCTCCAAATCAACTTTCTCTGACTGCATCCTCTCTCAGAGGCCTGTCACAGAGGGCAGGATGCCTGAGCTGGTGTCATTTAACGCTTTTGAAAAGAGGCAACTCATTAATATACAGATGAGATATCTATTAACTCAAAGGAAGATACACTCTGAATATTAAAGTGATGGAGTGTTCCTGGAGTGACCAAATATAGCCTCTACGATGTGCCAGACACTCAACAGATAGACTTCTACTTAGTCTCTAAACACTTTAGCTTGGTGACTATTAGTCCCACCTTCTCAGTGGGGAAACGGAATGCAAAGAGTTAAGAATTTGCATAAGGTCACACAGTGTGTTAATGACTGAGCTGCAAATTTAACCCAAATCTGCCTTTAAAATGCATCTATTCTTTCTAAACCCTACCTTCTCAAATAGAATTCTGGCCCACAGACAAAAACAAAACAAACAAACAAAACAAAAACAAAAACAAAAACAAAATGTTTAGTTGCTTAGTTAGCCTGTATAATCTTATTTCACACAAGCTGTTTCCATCAAGCTTTTTGAAAGTCTTGAAAATAGTATTTGTACCACTTTTCTACACACACACATGCACACACACACACTGCTACCTTCACAGTGGGTCCACAAGGGAATTTCTGATCTAGAGGAATCCAAAGCAATGTCCACACATGCAAATTCTCTACACAGCAGCAAAGTCAGGAAATGCAAACTCAAAATGCTGGGAGACAGTTTGACTCACAAAGAGGAAAATGGGGGTAAAAGGAAGAAGTCAGAGGGCAGCCTAGTCAGTCTAGATGTAAGCCATGCCACCCTGAAACTATACCAATTAGAGAACAGGATTGTAGTCTTTAATTATAAATATCCATGGCAAGAATAATTATGATAATCACATGACAGAAAAGTTTACTCTGGAATACCAGCCACCTACAACAGACATCCCTCCTCTCCCTAAAGGAGGCCATCAAAAAACATTGGCCAGGGAGAGAGCAGGCCTTTCTTTCCTTGTTAAGCACCTGGCCCACAGTGTCGTGGATAAGCAGAGCTCTGAAACATTATCCTTTCCAGCCTGAAGGAGCTTCAGCTATAGTGGAGTGTTCACAAGCGAGGACTAGAAGTGTTATAGACAATGTTTATGCCCTGCCCCCACCTGCCAATTCATATGCTGAAACCTAATTCTTAATGTGATGGTATTTGGATGTGGGGCCTTTCAGAGGTGATTAGGTCATGAGGGTGGAGGCTTCACGATTGGGATTAGTGCCCCTATAAAAGAGACCCCAGAGAACCCCTCACCCTTTATGGCAATTGAAGACACAGTGAGAAGATGGCATGCATGAACCAGGAAGAGGGCCTTTCCTAGACACTAAATCTGTTGGCATCTTGATCTTGGATTTCCCACTCTCCAGAACTGTGAGCAACAAATGTTTGTTGTTTAAACCACCCTGTCTAAGGTATTGTGTTACAGCAGCCAGAATGGACTAAGACAAAAAGATAATTTCACACTGTAATATGTGGTAGGAACGGAAATCACAGTAGAGACGAAATGCCAAGATGGTGCATGCTGGTGTAACCTGAAGAAACGGGTGATGCTCTTCTTAGCCCTCACCCTTCAGTTGCTGAATTTGAGTGTGCCTCACTCATCTCTTGAAAATTCTTGGAGCTTTCAGTTGCAGTCTCACTTTTAACCTGAAAAGCATCAGTCCTTCTTCTAAAAGGCTTCCAGTCTCCCTTCTCACTCACCCACACTTCTTAAAAATCATCCAAAGCAGCGGCATTTATCCATTCCCAACATGCTTTGTTTGCCTTCAATGTTCCAGGACCCTTGCTAGGCACTGAGGACCCAGTGAAGAATACAATAGTCCCCCTTATTCGAGGGCTAGTGGGAAGAGTTCCAAAACCCCTGGTGGATGCCTGAAACCAACATGATAGTGCCAGACCCTATATATATGATTTTTCCTATATATACATACCTATAATAAAGTTTAATTTTTAAATTAGGCAGCATAAGTGATTATGGTATTATAACATATATTGGTATATGGTATATACGTTTATATGGTATTGTAACAAATACGTGGTATTATAACAATATACTATCATGAAAGTTATCACACACTGTGGCCATACGTTTCTGGTTTGAGATGTGGAAGCAGAACTACCATGTATTTCTTTTTCCTTCTTCACAATTTCACAGATAGATTTGTTCTTAACACAGCTCTTAGCAACCTCAGCATATAATTTTTTTTTCTTTCCTTAAGAAGTGAAGAGCTTTCACCCTTTCACTTAAAGAAAGCACTTTACAGCTGCTTTTTGGCATACCAGGTTGCCAGCATCACTACTCTTATGCTTCGGGACTTTTATTAAATAAAATAAGGGTTACTTAAACACGAGCACTATGATATTCGGACAGTTGATCTGATCATCAAGACAGCTACTAATGACTAGTGGGCAGCAGTGTCTACTGGGTCTACTGGACAAAGTGAGGACGTCAGTTCACTTTGTCCAGTAGATGGAATGGGATGGCAAGAAATTTCATCTCATTACTCAGTATGGCATGCAATTTAAAATTTATGAATTGTTTATTTCTGGAATTTTCTATTTAATATTTTTGGAGCATGGTTGACTGTGCATAACTGAAACCCTGGCAAAGAAGGCACTATTGTAACTATTGGGAGGAAAGAAGAGAGACAGAAGTAAACATCAGTCCCATGAGAAATATGTAGACTGGAGGCACAGAGGAGGAGTCTTAACAGCCTTGGAATTTCAGGAAGGCTTTCTGAAGGAAGTGACCCTAAATCAAGTCCTGAAAGCCTGCTAGGATGTGGTCAGTGGTGAGGAATTGGGGAGTTCTTGGGATGAAGGCAAGAGCATTCCAGACAGTAGCAACAGCGTGCTCCTTAAACTAGAGAGTCCTACACAACGTTGACATGGTATCACTATTATCCCAATGAATAGGCATCCACCATTCACATTTCATATTTTATAATCAAGTTATTTTTGTGAAGGAGGAAGTATTTATTCGTTTATTCAAAAAACATTTATGGGGCATGTAGTATGTGGTGGGCACTGTGCCAGGCACTGAAAAGAAAGAGAGAGATTTCTCTTTGGTTAGGACTGGTGGAAGAAATCATGCCTAAGTCAACAAATGAAAATCTTTTCAGTGATTTTAAATGAGCAAGAGAAATTTGAAAAGTGGAATAAGATAAAAGGATTAGAGGTAAGGAGAGTTATTATTGGAAGGAAAGTGGGAGAATTTTCTAGGTGTAAGGTCTGGTGTGAAAACAGATATTGAAATAAGACAAGAAGGAGGAGACAGGAACAGAAGGGACCAAAAGATTTGCTTTCCTGGGATGTAAGGCAGAAGAGACACAGATTATGTCGAAAGAGTTCTCTGTGTAATGGGAACATGATACAAAGGAGTCACATGTGGTTTTAAGGATGGCATAGAAACAAAATGTAAGAAAGCCCCAAGTTTCCTAAATTCAATTGAAAACCAAAAGTCTTACATCAGCATTTTGTGGCCATGTAATTTCATACTTTGAATTAAAATCTAAAGCATATTGAAGGCATAAATCTTGGGAACAACCCGGCACCTAGGCAGCTGTAACATTTCCCAAGATTTCTGTATCATAAGATAAAATGGCATGCCTAATGCACTGAGTTAAATGTCATATCCAGGAGAGATGCTGGGTTTTTGTTCTTTAGCCACAAGACCATGCCTTTCCCCCACACAAATGGATTGTGCTTTTATCCCTCTTGACTCATTGGACCAGATAGTCATCTCTTCTACAATATGGGAACTATTCTCAGATGATTGTAGGATGAAAATCTGGCCCCATAGAACAGCTCATGATGTTCTTTGGGGGAGCATAATGAACAGCATGGATTCACTTGCAGAGGTTCCAAGGGAAGAACTGAGAGATCAAAGATCCAACTGCGGATCTGCCATGTTTCCTCTTCCTCACATTTATATTAAAGTGTATTGATTAAACACACCAACTGCTTGGTAGGGCGAGGACAAGTCAACGGACCCCATGAAGTCCTTCCCTTCTGGATTTCCTGTCTATGCAGATGGCACTAACCTACTCAGGCAATAGAACAGATGAAAGATGAGAAAACTGCATTCGCATGAAGACGCAAAGCTAAGACTGGGTGCTAGTGGCTAAACTCCTCAGCAACAGCTTTAACCATCTCTTTTTAATTTCCTAATGTCCCTACTTGATCATCACATAAGCAGTTAACAGGCACCATATGTGCAGCACTGATCCCCACAAAGGAAAGTGTCAGGATGTATTTCAGCCTGCTGGCAACATTCAATGCCTCAGGCCTGCGCCTGGCCTGGAAACAGAGGTCAGCTTTCTGAGCTATTTCAAACCCCACACCTCTAGTCATAACATCAACGGGGGTGCTCCCATGTAATCTGTGGTAGTCTCAGGCTTCAGGCTGCAGCTTTGCTTTAGTCTTTCCCTTCAAAACAAATACGTAAGATGCTAAAAGACCTCCAGCCATGAGAGAAACAATTCATGAAGAATGTGATGGGCCAGGTACGGTGGCGCAAGCCTGTAATCCCAGCAACCCGGCGGGCAACCCAGGTGGGAACATCATCAAAGCCTGGGCGTTCAAGACCAACACAGCGAGACTCTATCTCAAAATAAATAAATAAAGATAAATTTGTTTTTTTAAAAAAAGAACGTGATGGATTTCAAGGGAGAGAAAACGTTTTAAGGGGAAAATCTACATCAAATATGCTCACATTTAACAGGGAGTTTAAAAAGGTTAGAATATTGGAATGTTGCAAAACGCTATGACACATAAGAACTAGAAACGAATCCTTCCCCTGTATTTGACTTTGCCCAGGGTTCCCCCCACCCGCACCCCGCACCACCGGAGGACTGTGCGTATCGGGGCTTGAGGCAATAAATAAGAGGCCAAGCCCCAGCTGCAAGATGCTACCTTCACTGCCAAACCTCAGTGCACTTCCAGCCCTACCCGTGTCCCTCCTCTCTTCACCTTCCTCAGTCTGCCCCTCGGAGTTCTCGAGTTCTCGAGAAGCTGGTAATGAGCCCATTAGAGGATTCATTTAAAGCATTAAATGCTATAACCCTAAAGCTTGAAGCATCTGCGTAAACCCTTCATGGTACCACTTGATGCCTGGCTCCTAGACACAGCTCTGGTTCAGCCTCAGCTGGCAACTTGTCCTAGGGTCTCCACACCCCAGCACTTTCACCCCTCACATTCCGACTCCCCCAGCCTCAGAGGCCAATTTCCAGCTGGCTGCCTCCATGTAGCTTGTGAAAAGAAAGGATGAGAACCACAGACAAAACAAACCAGGAAAGAGAAGAGCAGAGGTGGAGAAGGGAAGACAGAATACAGAACTTGAACATTCTTCAGGATGAGGAGAACGTGGAGGAAAGGAATTTAAATAGTTGTTTCACTTCTTCTTTTGCACATCAAACACCTAATATAGAACAGAACATAGAGGAACAGATGTAGAGGAATAACGACTGTGAGAATAGTGAGGAGAAAAAGAATTTTAACTGATTTTTTTAAAAGACTTCAATAAGGAGAATGAACCTGGATTTATAATTTAAATATTTAATTTTAATTTTAAATGCTCAAAATGACACAAGGTTGGTAATATTAAATTTATTTTACTGAAAATAAACTGAGTTCTGGAGAGGTAATTTACCCAAAGTCTGATTCAGCAATTTCATTTCCAGGTTTCTATCCTACTGAAAGAAATACCTGTGCATGTGCAGAAAGCTGTATGTGCAGAAATGTTTTTTACAACACTGTTATATCAGCAAGTTCAAAACAAATGTTCATATGTAGCAAAGTGATTGGCATACTCTGGAAATAGCATGGAGCTATATGTTTTTTAATGTAGCAAATCTATTTTCTAATGACTTAGAAAGCTCATCAAGATTAAGGAAAAATTGCTGAATGATATGTTCAGTATGAATCTATTTATATACAGAAATCTTTATATGTATACAAATGCTTATACAAGCTATGTACTGATAAACAATAACATTTCAATATAGAGGCAAAATTGAGATCTTCCTTCAACTGTATCTCTTATATCACCCCAAGATCCCTGTTTTTTCCCAGAAGAAACGATTGCCTCTATATATTTCCATGTTGTTTCAAGTTTTTTCAACGTGAATATATTCATGATTCCTTGTATAATTTTTAAAACAAAGTTTGTTTTTCAAAACCATATGATGCTATGCAAATATAACATGCTGCTATAATACTACTTTTGCACAGGAAACATCTGCTACTTAGCAAAAGCCTGGAAATAAATTGGCCTTACTTTTTTTTTGCCTTTTTCTTTTGTCAGCAATAGTTAAGAAATTCCTATGAGACTTTTAGCAGAACAAATCACCCTCCATGCTTAGTTCGGATTGATGGAGAGATTTAGTATGCAGAATGGAGAGAGAGGCAGAATTGCCAGGTCACCTGCAAGCAGTGTTTAACATCTGTAGGCAACATAAGGTCACCTTCCATGATATCATAGACAGCAGCTGGCCTGCCAGCACTAAAATTATATCTCATGCAAGTCAGTCTCTCCAGTCTAGACATAGGAAGGAACAGATGAGAGCAGGATCCTTAAGCAGCTTCTATATCCTGAGCTGAAATGAAATGACCATTAACCAGCAGAACTGAAGAAATCCCAAAGGGACTCACAAAAGTCATTAACAGAGCTAGCAAGGAGCAGGTCTATCTGTGCATTAATAACATGAAGATAACCTGTACCTGTGTGGATTTAATGGATTCCAAAATTCTGTCTCTCTCACGTTTCTCACTTGGTCCCACAACTCTGGCAAATACAATAGGCCATGACTAGGTTTCCTTAGGTGAAGAAACTCAAACCCGCGAAGGAAAGATAGCTGACTAAAGAACCCAACCAGTGAAGGCGCTGGGCCTAGTCATCCCCCACGGGATTTCTGGGCATAGTTGCTGTGTGGCCTGAGAAGCAGGGCCCCCCTCCCCCCACCAATGTTAGGCAGGCATTAAATAAGCCAAAGGATCCCATTCCTGGCCTGCTTGGTGGCTTGCTGTATGTAGATCATTCTTTTCAGCTCTACTTGGGGTTCTTTCAGTAATACCCCCAGTGTTGACATCTACAGACAAGGAGGATAAAATGCTCATGCAATCACAGACATACATGCTTCTTCTACTTTCCTCTAGTGAGCCTGATAAATTTCTATTTTTTCTACTGAGACATGCTCTTAGATCTCATTCATATTCTCTCTCCCCCTCTCCCTTTCTCTCTTTCCCCCAGGTAATTCTGTTTTAGTAAAAGTCTCCAATTTATTTAGGATAATTGTAATCTGAGAGTTTTCCTTCTTCTTTAAAAGTCCAATTTTGGGCCGGGCACAGTGGCTCATGCCTGTATTCTCAGCACTTTGGAAGGTGGAGGCAGGTGGATCAACTGAGGTCAGGAGTTCGAGACCAGCCTGGCCAACATGGTGAAACCCCGTCTCTGCTAAAAATACAAAAATTAGCCAGACGCAGTGGCATGCACTTGTAGTCCCAGCTACTCGGGAGGCTGAGGCTGGAGGATCACTTTAACCCAGGAGGCGGAGCTTGCAGTGAGCCTATATCCTGCCACTGCCCTCCAGCCTGGGCAACAGAGTGAGACTCCACCTCAAAAAAATATAATAATAATTTAAAAAGTCCAATTTTGCCTCCATGTGAAAGCACAGCTCTTGATAGACTACATGTACTCCTAAATTAATAAGTAAAGAACAACTAGAAAGACAGGCCGATGGCAGAATGCCCAAATTAACGTAAAATAAATGCAAGTGACTAAAGGAATTGAAGGCAACCCAGGGACGGAGAGCAAACCAAATCTACATGGCTGAAAGCATGGGAACTGGCCTGCTTTCTGAAACTACCGTGAGTTCTGTGGTCATGACAGGAGTAAAGGGTGAGGACGATTTTGTGCATGCAGTTGAGAACTTTTTTTTTCCCAGTGGTCTGTTCTCATTGTTTTCATCCAGAAAGACACTGATAATAAGATTTCCTGAGTGCCATGAGAGCACCCCTCTGAATACAAGAACAGACTCTCTTGTCCCATCTCTGCCTTCATCCTTATTTTCTAGTCACATGACCTTAGTAAAGTCACTTATTTTTTTAAACCTCTTCTTAATCTGTACAATGGAGATCACCCCGCTGCATGCTTTGCCAACTCACAGAGCTGCTGTAAAGATGCAGATGTTTTCTGTACAACACAAATGAAGGATTCTGATTCACATGAGGATTGCCCTGCAGTTGAAAGATTAAATGAGTTTGATCAGGGTTAAATCCACAGAGCTAAGAGATAATCAGAGTCATTAATGGAAGCTAAGGCTATTCAGGGAACAAAAACAGGCCAGGCCAGGGATATGGATCAACAGGACATTTCTCATTTAAAATTTTCACTCCCATTTATTCAAGTAAAAGCAATACTAATTATTAAAGCTATAAGTTATTGAAAGTCAAGTACTGCACAGGTGGTTTGTGGATATCACTTATAGGATGGAGCATGAGGTAGTAAACAATGCTGGTAAACAATGTGTAGCTAATTTTATTACCAGTTATTTGTTCTTTCACTTAACACATATTTACCAAGTGCCAGACCTCTTCTAGGCTAGACTGGGATAAATACTATTAAAGAAATAAGAAGGTGATGTAACAGTGGTTTATAGGTTGTTTTGGGGGTAGAAAGGGCATCTGTAAATAAAAGTGGTCATGGAAGGCCGGGTTAAGGGGGCAGTATTTGAACTGAAAGCTGAAGAATAAAAAAGAGACTTTGCAGAGCTGAGAGAAGAGCATTTCAGGCAGGGAGGGCAGCAAATATTGAAGAGCTGAGGCTAGGAAAGGGATTGACACACTTGAACGGGAAGAAGCCCAGTGCGGCTGGAACTTAGCTGGAGGATACAATGTCTTATAAGGCATGGTTCTGTGGACAATTCATAGATGCCTTGAAAATTTAAACAGCTGTCTTGCTGTTTGAAAGAAGGAGATGTATCTTGTCCCATCACGAACAATGGGGACCTGGGGATTTGTTCACTCATCCACAGAAAGAAGCGCATGATGAATGTTCTCGGTTTGAGCATAGGACTCAACATTATCTGCTGTAGCCCACATTTATCACTGTTAAAGCAGCCGATGTCCTGCAGTTTTTGTACAGATCAAAATACCATCAACTGAAAGGAGAAAGTGGATGATGTATCTTTCATCCAATGTTATAAAAGACTTGGGTGAGCCAGCTGGCCAATGAAGTATTCGCTGTTTATCATGGTGTTGCAGAAGTTGCCATTTTTACTTAATTAATAAGATGGGAGAGTAATTAAATATAATTTTAAAAGATCTTCAGAGGTTTGCTGTGACAGCATCTAAAAAACCCTTGGAAATGAAATCAATGTATCAACAAATATTTAATTTGCTTCTACTATGCCAGGCACTGTGAAAAGTACAAAGTAACAAAAGACAAAGCTCCTGTCCTCAAGGAATTTACAGCTTACCTCCGGGGAAAATACGTATTCACAGTAGAAACTTAACAAGAATATTTAATGAAATACAGTGTTCTGCTGTATATTTTAGACTGTTATAGGAGACCAGGAAAAGAAAGCCATTCTTCAAGGCTCATGTTAATTGCATAAGGTTTCATGCTGTTGAATGCCTGGTGTATAGAAGATAATAAATAAATGCTTTGTTGAATAAATAAGTGAGGTAGATTTGAGTTTTGATTTTTTATTTCAAAGTTATGTATAAAATGAATTGGCAATGAGAAATGGGGGCTCTCAAGGCAGTGGGGGCAGCATGAGTTCATGTGTGGGTGGGAATAAGTATGACACATAGACAGGTGATATGGAGGTAGGGTGCATGAAGGAATATCGTACCCAAGACAGAGGACCTTGAACAGCAAATTGAAAATTTTGGACTTGATTAAAGGAGAAGTTTTAGGTTCTTAAGAATGAGAGGAACATGAATAAAACAGTGTTTTAGGAAAATTACTCTGATAGTTGTATTCCAGGGAAAAGAGACAGAAGATTAAAGATCCAGTTAGAAATTATGTGGAACATTTTTGGAATAACATAGAGTATAAAAATAAATAAATCCATACATTCATAAAGTTACACATAAATTAAAGATGTTGCACTGTGCGTATATGAGAATGCTAGGAGGATGAACAATGAAGTTCCCAAAGTCTGTTATACATTTAGAAAATCCAAGGTGTATTGCTAAGTCCAAAATGCTTCCTTGCTGTTGCACAGGCACAAGCCACACGCATTCTGGCTTGAGGGCATTTCATTTACATTTGCTGTTACTTCTACCTGAAATGCACTTACCCAAACTCACTCCCTCGCCCCCTTCAGTCCTCTGTTCAAATGGCACCTCCTTAGTGAGCCTTTCTAGATCACCCAATTTAAAATCACAGCCACCCTGGCACTCCCTACTCCTGCTTCCACTTCATTCTACTTCATACCACTTATTACCATCTCACATTCCACATATTTTACTTATTTATTGTACTTATTGATAGTTTCCTTCAAGCAGAATAGAATCTCTGTGAAGTGAGAGATTTTTGTCTGCTTTGTTCATTATTTTATCTCTAGTGTCTAGAATGTAACAGATGATCAATTAATAGTTTATGGATGAATGAATCAGTCTGAAGCATGTCTCATTTTTCTGGTGGAGGCACCAAAAAATAGAACTCTTCTTTCCAGTAAACATGATTGTATTAATAATACAAATCTATTACCAGTCTTACGGTGCAGAGAAGTTACAAGATCTTCTACGGTCTAATATCTTTTAAATATTAGACAGCAGTCTGAGATTCAACACCGTAAATCTGCAAACAAGTCTATCTTAATTGAAATGAATCAGGCATGCAAAACCTAATTGCATCCCTTACTAGGGTTTAAGTGATTTAAAAAATAAAACAAAAGGTTTTTGGGTTTTTTTTGGTTATTTTTTTAGCTTTAAGTTGTCTGGGGCTAATAATCATGAATGGGAAAATGCTCAGGGTCTCATTTATTAGTGTAATTTCTTGTTTGTTTGTTTGTTTTTCTTTTTGTTTTTGAGACGGATTACTGCTCTGTGGCCCAGGCTGGAGTGCAGTGGCGTGATCTCGGCTCACTGCAACCTCCATATCCCAGGTTCAAGTGATTTTCCTGCCTCAGCCTCCTAGGTAGCTGGGACTACAGGCACGTGCCACCACGCCTGGCTAATTTTTATATTTTTTTGTAGAGACGGCGTTTCAACATGTTGACCAAGCTGGTCTCGAACTCCTGACCTCAGTTGATCTGCTCTCCTGGGCCTCCCAAAGTAGTAATAGTGTTGGTTCTTAATGCCACATGTGGAAAAGAGATGAATTTTCATTTAAGAAACATAAAATAAGGCAAGATTATATCAACCTGGGAGTCAAGTGGCAACACCTACTTAGTGCATCCATGGAAGGCATTCTACCCAGAGTCATAAGAGAATAGTAACTAGAGCCAGCCTACAGAGAGTTTGGAACCAGATTGCTGAAGTGAAAAGAAAGCCAGATTTCTGCAAATTAATGCTCTCAGTCTAGCAGTGAGCCATGAAGAAGGAGTAATGGGCTTCATCTGAGCAGCAAGCAGTCTTTGTCAGGCATGGTCTCAAGAACACTCTCAAAGCCACTGGGCAATTAAACAAGACCTAGGGAGCTGTCCAATACACCATCTCCCAGTATGTCTCACAAAACTAAATCACAGGCAATTCCACTTCAGTTTACTTTCTCTCACCCCATAGACTGCCCTGTTCAATATGGGAGCCCCTAGCCACACATGGCTGTTTAAGTTAGTTAAACTAAATTAAACTAAAATTTTAGTTCTAGACTTATGCTTCCAGCCAACATGGAATAACAGGAAAATGGATTTATCATCCCACTGAAACAAATAAAACATAGACAAAATATATAAAGCAATGGTTTTAAAGACATTGGACATCAGGCAACAAAGGACGGTGATCTCTGAAATATGCAAAACAAAAAGGGGAGCTTTATGATTGTCATAACTTACTGCCTTAAGAAAGTTTACAGGCTGTGGAAAAGGGAGGGCAAACCTGGGAGGAGACTGATAGATACTCAGAGTCAAGCACATGAAGCTCAGTGTCCAGGTAAATGGAGATAGCTAGATTTTATAGGAATGAGTACTGGAGAGGAGGCAACAGCATGAACATGAAACCCTGGAGGTCTGCAGGGTTCTCCCTAAGGAACCAGTGGAAAGTTTTTAGCAGAGTAATGATCAGTGTTTACAAGTGAGGATACTACCCAAAGCCTAGGAAAGAACCATCCAAAAGAATTACAGAAAACAGTACCTGGTGCTCACACAAGACTCAGAATGGTATCTGTTCCCACTAGCTAACCTTGAAAACCTTCTGATTGATAAGTCATTGGATAAAGAGCCCAGAAAGGCTTGCTAGGTCTTGTTTCAGTAATGTTAAATAATTGGCCCTAGATTGAACATCTCTTTGGTCTAGCATAGCAAATCTTAAAATCGGAAGCTAAAAAAATAAAATTATTTTTAAGTAACTACAATGCATCCCAGAATAAAAGCTCATGAATATTTATAGGAATACAGAAATATCCAGCACCCAACAAGGTAAAATGAACAATTCTGGACTTCAATAAAAAATTATTATGTGTGCAAAGAAGCAGTAAAATATGATTTATACTAAAGAGAAAAAAATCAATCAAAATTGATTCCAAATTAACACAGATGTTAGAATTAATAAACAAGTACATTAAAACACATTATAACTGTATTCCATATATTTAAAAAATTAAGTAGAGACATTAAAGAAATTTTAAAAACCCAAATTGATCCATTAGAAAAGAACACTACGATGTGTGAGATAGAAAATGTACTGGATGAGATTAAGACAAGATTAGACATTGCCAAAGAAAAGATAGGAAGAGATAAAAAGAGAAACAAATGGAAATAAAACAGGAGAAAAAGGGGAATAGATCAAAGAACATAACATCAGTAAAGTGTGGAATAACTTCACATGGCCTAATATACATGTAATTGAAGTCTCTGATGGACAGGATAAATCAAGGAAGATATAAAAAATGCTTAAAGAAATAATAGCTGAAAACATTCCAAGTTTGATAGAAACTATAAGCAAAAGTTTCAATTAGCTGCAAGCAAAATAAACAGGAAGAAAAATATAACTAGGCAAATCATAATCAAATTGCTCAAAACCAGTGAAAAAGATTAAAAGAAGACAGAGAACAAAGACACATTACATACAGAGAAACAAAGATAAGATTGGGAGATTTTTTGTGTGTGAAACAATTCAAGTGAGAAGACAGTGAAACAACATCTTTAAAGTACTGAAAGAAAAAATAATGGCTGACACAGAATTCTATAACCAGCAAGATTTTTTTTCAAAAAATAAAAGCAAAATAAAGACTTCTTCAAACTTACAAAAGTTGAGGAATTCATTAACAGCACACACATGATTAGAAATATAAAGGGATTACATCACAGTAGTATGGGAAGAAAGAAAAACAAATAAATAATAAAATAAATGTAAAGGGAGGAAATGTGAAAGCAAGTCCTTCAGGTAAAAGGAAAATGATACCAGATAGAAATATAAGTCTACACGAAGGAATGAAGAGGACTAGAAATAGTAGCCACAGGAGTAAGTACATTTTTAGATTATTTAAATGTTTTTAAATATAATTGACTTTCTAACTAAAAATAATAATAAAGTAGTATGGTGTTTATAATATATATTATATATTAAAATGACATGTATAATAACTTTATATTTATATATGTGATTTATAATGATCACATATATAAAATGAACATGTGTAAAAACAACAATACAAAAGATGAGAGTAAAGAAAATATATTATTGTAAGGTTCTTTTACTGCTACTGGTAAGTCATATAATAGCACTTAAGGCTAGAATATGACAAGTAAACTATTTTACTATAGATTTTCAAACAGCTATAGCAATAAAACAGAATTAACACTTATAAAATAACACAGAAGAGGAATGAAATAATAAAAAAAGAAAATTAATGCAAAAGAAGAAAGAAAAAGAGAAAAAAGAAACAAAGAACAGATAGGACAAATAGAAAATAAATAGCAAGATGTATGTAACCAAATCAATAATCACATTCAGTGGAAATGGTCTGAACATTCTGATTAAATTACCAATATTATGAGAATGTATAAAAAAGTAAGACCCAATTATATACTGTCTACAAGAAACACACTATAAATATAATAGAAAGAAACACATAGATTAAAAGAATGAAAAAAGCTGTATTACTGTAACACTAACCAGAAGAAAATTAGAGTGGCTACATTAGCATAAGACAAAGCAGATTTCAGAACAAAAAATACTGTCAAAGATAAGGATGGTCATTTATAAAGCTGTCAAAGATAAATAGGTCAATTCATTGAGAGGACATAAAAATCCTCAACACTTATACACCTAATAACAGAGCTTTAAAATACATGAAGTGATAGAACTGCAAGGAGAACTGAAATTCATACTTACAGTGGACATTTTTGTACTTCTGTCTCAATAATTTATAGAACAGACAGAAAATCAATATGGATATAGAATAATGAAATAATATTGCAAACCAACTTTAAATATTGATATTTATAGAAAAAATCCCCCAATTCAACAGAAAACACATTCTTCTCAGGTGCACACCAAACATTTATAAAGATAGTTCATATGCTGGGCTGTAACACAGCCCCAAATAAGTTTAAAGGGATTCAAGTTATATAAAGTATGTTTTTGACCACAGTGGAATTTTTAGAAAGGAACAACAGAGAGAACTCTGGAAAATCCCCCAAATATTTGGAAACTAAATAATATGTTTTAAATAACCCATGGGTTAAATATGAGATCAAAAGGGAAATTAAAAAGTATTTTTAACTAAATGAAAACCAAATTTAAACATATCAAAATTTGTGACATGCCACTTGTATAATACAGAATTTGACTGCCCTTTGTCCCTTGTTCCTGGGAAGAATAAGATATCCTTGTAATTTATTGAGTAATAGTAATGTCTCTGTTATTCATGAGCCTCTCAGATCACACCTATGTTTATGCTAAAAAATGAGATGACTCAGGATTATAGGCATGGGCCACCAGAAAGACCAATTATATGATTAGATGGGTGGGACTTTGAGCCAGCCTGACCACTAAGGAAGGGAGGGAAGCTGGAGATTGGCCAATTACTCAATCAATCATGCCTATGTAATGAAACCCCAATAAGAACTCTGGACACTGAAGCTCAGTTCAGCATTTTGGTTATTGAGCATGTTGATGCGACAGGAGGGCAATGCATCCTAATTCTATAGAGAGAGAACATGGAAGCTCTGCATTCAGGATCCTGCTGAACTTTGCCCTATGGAGCTGACCCTAATTCTTTTATGATAATACTATAATCATAAATATAGTGCTTTCCTGAATTCTATGAGTCATTCTAGCAACTTATCAAACCTAATGGGATCATGGAATCTCTGAATCTGGTAAGAAGCGCAGATGGACTGGGACCCCATTTACAGCTGGAAATGGAATTGATCATAGTCTCATTCAACTGTGCCCCTGAGACTTTAGAGTCTAAGGTTAACTCCAATAGTTAGTGTTAGCCTTAAATTGCAGTACACCAGTTGGTGTCAGAATTCCATTAAAACAATAATTAAGGAGATGTTTATATCACTAAATACCTATATTAGAAAACAAGAAAGGTCTCAAATTAATGTCCCTAGCTTCTGCCTTAAGAAACTGGAGAAATAAAAAAGTAGATTAAACTCAATGTAAGCAGAATAAAAAAATAAAAATCAGAGCAGAAATAAATAAAAATAGGCTGGGGCAGTGGCTCATGCCTGTAATCCCAGCACTTTGAGAGGCTGAGGCAGGTGGATCAACTGAGGTCAGGAGTTTGAGACCAGCCTGACCAACATGGTAAAACCCCGTCTCTACTAAAAAATACAAAAACTAGCCAGGTGTGGTGACAGGTGCCTGTAATCCCAGCTACTTGGGAGACTGAGGCAGGAGGATTGCTTGAACCTGGGAGGCGAAAGTTGCAGTAAGCTGAGATCGCACCATTGCACTCCAACTTGGGTGACAGAGCAAGACTCCATCTCAAAATAAATAAATAAATAAAATAAAACATAAAAGAAAAAACAAATAAAAACAGTAAAACAAGAGAAAATCAATAAAACATAAGCTGATTATTTGAGAAGATCAATAGAATTAATGAATATCTAGCCAAAGTAACCAGGAAATAAAGAAGACACAAATTACTAACCTATGAATAAGAGAAGTGAACACACTACAGATTCTACAGATATTAAAAGAATAATAGAGAAATATTTTGCATAACTTTATGCCAGTAAATGACAAATTAGATGAAATGGACAAATTCCTTGAAAGACAGAAACTTCTAAAATTCATTCAAGAAGAAATAGATAACTAAAATAGTCCTATATTATTGAAGAAATCAAACTTATAGATTAAAACCTTTCCACAGAGAAAAGTTCAGGCCCAGATGTCTTCTCTGGTAAATTCTGCCAAACCTTTAAGGAAGAAATAACATCAATTCTAAACAAATAATTTTTCAAAAATTGAAGAGGATGAATTAATTCCCAACTCATTCTATGAGACCAGGCCAGTATTACCCTGATACCAAAACCAGACAAAGACATTAAAAGAAATAGGAAAAAACCCTTATAAAAATATATGCAAAAAATATAAACAAAATTTAGCAAATCAAACCCATTAGTACATTATGACCAAGTGAGGTTTACTTTAACCTTCAAAAAATAATGTAATTCATATATAAATTAACTAAAACAGAAAAGTTGTATGATAATTTCAATAGACATATATAAAACATTTGACAAAAATCCAACATCCATTCCTAATAATACTCTCATGAAATTAAGAATAGAAAGGATCTTCCTCATTCTTATAAAGGGCATCTGTGAAAAATCTACAGCTAACATCACATTTACTGGAGAAAAGCTGGACACTTCCCACCAAGAGCAGGAACAAAGATTCTACTTTCAGTACTTGCATTCAATATTGAACTGAAGGTTCTTAGTCATTGCAATAACGCAAGAAAAGGCATCTGGATTAGAAAGGAAGAAACAAACTTGTATTTATTTGCAGAAAACATGTAGAAAATCCAATGGAAAGTACAAGGACTTTTGCAGAATATATTATCAATTTACAAAAATCAGGCTTGGTGCGGTAGATCATGCCTGTAATCCTAGCACTTTGGGAGGCTAAGGCAGGTGGACTGCTTGAGTTTCAGACCAGCCTGGGCAACATAGTGAGACCTCGTCTCTACAAAAACTACAAAAATTAGCTGGGCGTGCATGCACCTGTAGTCCCAACTACTCGGGAAGCTGAGCTGGGAGGTTGGCTTGAGCCCAGGAGGTGGAGGTTGCAGTGAGCTGAGATCATGCCACTGCAATCCAGCCTGGGTGACAGAGTCAGACACTGTCTCAAAAAAAAAAAAAAAAAATCAATTGTACTTCTGTATTTTAGCAATGAATAACCCAAAATTAAAATTAAAAATGCAAATGCTTTTACAATTGCATCAAGGAATATTAGGGATAGATCTGAAAAAGATGTGAACCATGTATTGAAAACTATAGAATATTACTAGCAAAACATAAGGAAGACCTAAATAAATGGAATGATACACTCTCTTCATGGGTCAGGAGGATAAATGTTGGTAAGATGTGGTTCTCCTTCAATTGATATATAGAGCCAATACAATTACAATAAAAATCCCAGGGAGCTTTTTAAAAATAGAAATTGATAAATTTTATAAAATTCTTGTAGAAATAAAATCTACCTAGAATAAACAAATAATGTTGAAAAAGAAAAACAAAGTTGGAAGACTGGCACTACCTGATTTCAAGAATTATAAATCTACAGAAATAAAAACAACATGGGACTGGTTCAGTGGCTCACACCTGTAATCCCAGCACTTTGGGAGGCTGAGGCAGGCAGATCACTTGAGGTCAGTAGTTCGAGACCAGCCTGGCCAACATGGTGAAACCCCATCTCTACTAAAAATACAAAAATAAGCCAGGCATGGTGGTAGGCACCTGTAATCCCAGCTATTCAGGAGGCTGAGGCAGGAGAATCACTTGAACCTGCGAGGCGGAGGTTGCAGTGAGCCAAGATCACACCACTGCACTCCAGCCTGGGCAACAGAGCGAGACTCTATCTAAAAAAAAAACAAAAAACAAAACAAAACAAAACAAAAAAACAAGGTTTTTGCAAGATGATAGACAAATAGATCAACAAGGAAGAATAAACAGCCCAGAAATAAATCCATGCATATTTGGAAAACTGATTTTGACAAAGGTTCAAAGGCAATGTAATAGAGAAAGGATAGTCTTTTCAACAAATGATGCTGAGAAAATTTGATATCCAAATTAAAATTTTAAAAGAACTTGGATCTATACCTTGTGTATAATATACACAAAAATGAACATGAAGTGGGTCACAGACCTAAATGTTAAATCTAAACCTTTAAAATAGCTACAAAAATACATAAGAGAAAATCTTTATGACCTCATGTTAGGCAAAGATTTCTTGGACACAACAATAACAGCATAATCCATTAAAAAGTTATAAATTGGACTTCTTCCAAATTAGAAATTTCTGTTCTTCAAAAGACACTGTTAAGAAATGAAAAGGCATCCAAGAAACTAGCATAAAATTGTTCAAAACAATATATCTTATAAAGAACTTGTATCCAGAATATATATTTTTAAAAACTCTGGAAACTCAATAAGAAAACAAGCGGCCCAAAAATAATCGGCAGAAGATCCAAGCAGACACTTCACCAAAGAAGACATGCAAATGGCAAACAAGCACATGAAAAGGTGCTCAACATCATTATTCCTTAGAAAAATGTAAACTAAAACCACATAAGATGCTATTACAAACCTATTAGAATGATCAAAGTTAAAAAGATTAAACAGACTAACTATGGCAAGAATGTGGAGGAACTAGAACTCTCATAAACTACAGATGGAAAACAGGTTGACAGTTCTTCGAAAGTTAGACATGCATTCACTACAAGATGCCACCATTCCCATCCTAGGTTGGTTCTTACTCAAAAAATAGTGAACGGATCTGTCCATACAAGAACTTGTACATGAATGTTCACGGCTTTATCTGTAATCTTCAAACACTGGAAAACATCCAAGTATCCATCAACATGTTGAATAGAAAAACTGTAGTATATCCATCTAATGGAATACTGCTCTGTAATAAAAAGAAATGAACTATGGATATATTAAATATATGTTACAGCATGACTGAATCCAAAAATAATTTTGCTGTGTAAAGGAATCCAAACAAGGCCGGGCGCAGTGGCTCACACCTGTAATCCCAGCACTTTGGGAGGCCGAGGAGGGCAGATCACCTGAGGTCGGGAGTTCAAGACTAGCCTGACCAACATGGAGAAACCCCGTCTCTAAGAAAAATACGAAATTAGCCGGGCATGGTGACACATGCCTGTAATCCCAACTACTCGGGAGGGTGAGGCAGGAGAATCGCTTGAACCTGGGAGGCGGAGTTTGCGGCGAGCTGAGATCATGCCATTGCACTCCAGCCTGGGCAACAAGAGCGAAACACCATCTCAAAACAAACAAACAAACAAACAAAAAAAGAAGCCAGATAAAAAAGATTGCATACTACTTTATTATTTCATTTATATAAAATTCTAAAATATGCAAACTAATCCTTAGTTTCATTAAACAGAGCAGTTGTTGCCTGAGGATGGAGGAGTGGAGTGGAAGGATTAAAAAAGGGTTATGAAGAAACTCTTCGGGGTGATGGCTATGTTCATTATCTTAATTGGGTGTTGTTTTCATGTGTCTATTTATAGTCAAAGCTTATCAAATTGTACATTTCAAATATGTACAACTTGCTGTGTGTCAATTATACTTCAATGAAACTTTTTAAAGTTAGTTTCTCAGCCACAGTACCCACATTCAAGTGTTCAGTAGCTACATGTGGCTAGTGGTTACCACAGTAGACATTTCTAATGTAGAATATTTTCATAGTCACAAAAAGTGAAAATGGACAGTGGTGCCCTAGAGTTTTGGGAAGAGGCTTTCTGAGAATACATAGACTGGAGAAAGGTAAGGAAGGCACCCAAGAGGAGAAAAACCAATGCCTGCAGATGGAGGGTTGTCCAGCTGTCAATCCCCTGATGCAGCTGAGTAACATGAGTTATAGCGAGTCAGCTTCAGGAGTTCTGGTTTCCTGTATACTTTCTCAGAACTCACAAATCAGCATTTATAATGGATAACTCTTGGTTTTTCAGTGGCGGAAAGCACAGCTACTGCAACCACTGTGGAGCTAGAAAGAATTATTAGATGAAGCTTAATTACTTCAGAGATTGTAAAACCGATGCAGGAAGAACATGGGGTCTTGAGATCTAAGAAAAGAATTAAGCTCCACAAATTGATAGGTCTTAGAAGACACAGCTTAACACTGCTGCTATTAGCACTGTTTATGTCTGCTGGCAGGAAAACATTTACACACTTTTCCTAGGAATAAAATTCCCAGTTTCAAAGTACACATGCCAGGTGGCACTTAGCAACAAACTGACATGCAGAAGAACTAGGAATAGCTCTGCTTTTCGATGTATGAGCTATTTTAATAATCCTGGATTTCTGAGATGCATGCTTCTTTGGATGTATATTTGCTTCCTCCCTCCAGTCTCTTATGCACATTTGCCTTCTGCTTGTCAGGATTGTTTCTCTTTACACCCACTCCGGAAAGTTTCACTATAACATCACCTATTGTTTGAGAGGTGTGTATTTTCCCATTAGTATAGAGCCATGTAAACTCATTGTCCTTGTTTTTTATTCCCTTTTAGAGGTCATCCTTCTCCCTGAACACTAGTATCTTTAGAATCCCTCAGATTTCTGCTGTTCACCATTACCGTGGCTTCCACTCTCTACCCAATCATCAACCAAGAACTAAATCACCAGTCCCTGGAGAAAGAAGGAAGGATCAATTACACCCCCCAGCTCCAATATGTGCTTCTTATAAAAAAAAAAAGAAAAAAGAAAAGCTTACTCTCATTAATCAACAATCAATATATTTGGGTGTGGGAAGTGGTGTAGTATGTAAGAGACAGGGTGACAGAGGGCAAACAAGAACTAGATAATCATGATTTTGTCTTCATTAACATACATAATAAACTTCCAAATTAAAGGTATCAGATTGCCTCCAAGCTCTGAGTCATTAGATAAGAATTCAATTAAAGGATGAGTTTTGTTCCTAAATTTAATGAAGAGGCAGTGCTGGATTTTGCTACTTCTTGTTTCCTGGGAATATGAACGTGAAAGAATGTGAATATATTCCTTGCAGTTTATTAGAATGCCAGAGACTTGTCTCCCTAGACATTGAAGGGAGAACCTGTCATCTGTGGTAAGTCTTTTCCCAAATGGGAAGACATTAGAAGACCTATATTTATAACAAAATTATTTAAAATTTTAATGTTCAGAGTTTTTCTGAGTCTCATTATATTGGAAAAATAGACCCAAATTTTTCCTCTGTGACTTTGCTACAATAGCAGCAAACACATAATAATTGCTGAGGTATCTAAGGTAAAACAAAATATTTCTCTTTTTTTTTTTTTTGAGATGGAGTCTCACTCTGTCGCCCAGGCCGGAGTGCAGTGGCGCAATCTTGGCTCACTGCAGGCTCTGCCTCCCGGGTTCACGCCATTCTCCTGCCTCAGCCTCCCAAGCAGCTGGGACAACAGGTGCCCACCACCACACCTAGCTAATTTTTGTATTTTTTAGTAGTAACGGGGTTTCACCGTGTTAACCAGGATGGTCTCGATCTCCTGACCTCATGATCTGCCCGCCTCGGCCTCCCAAAGTGCTGGGATTACTGGTGTGAGCCACCACGCCAGGCTGGTAAAATTTTTTTTAAGTTTAACTAAGATTTGTTGAATGCTTACTAAGTGCCAGGCATTGTTCTAAGAACTTTATAAATATTAATTCATTTTAATCCTTACCGTAATTGTTATTATTATTATTATCTCCATTTCAAAAATGAGGAAATTGAGGCACAGAAATGACTTGCCCAAAATCACACAGAGAGTGAGTGGAAGGGCCAGGATGAATTAAACTCCTGGAAATAGAGATTGATGGAGAAGATTTAACATAAACATTTTGTCTATAGATAAAATTATTGCACTGTATTTGTGCTACTTAAGCTTTCCTAAAAATTCAAAATCGACAAAAATTAAAATTAATCATTAGGTATATTTTATTCTAATACACTTAGACCATCACACTGTTTTACAGGACTTTTCTAAAGTAGAAATCTCCAACTTTAAAAGGCCAAGTACTTTTTTCTCAACCTGAGGAAAATGCCTAACAGAATCAAAGTTTTCTTCTCAGATATTTACATTATTCATAATTAAAATTTTAAGGCTGCAAGTGATAAAAACATTGCATAGAAAAAGTGATTTCAATTTAGTTCAGAAAAAATATCGTGCATATCAAAAAAACACTCTACAACATTAATGTTTATTTAAACGATGAAATGATTAATAATTTCCCAATGTTTTCTAATAAATAGCTGCATTTAAAATAAGCTTAAAACATTTAAATCCTTAAGGGACAGCATAAGATTTTTGGAAACTTCATCTATTCTACCTAAAATGGTTTTTAAAAATCAGATGTTAGTTGGAAAGCAGACATTTCTGACCAGCAAGTATTAGAAAACTGGTGGGAAGAATTATAATCTTGGGGAGCTCCCTCTATCCCTGAAGCTCTTCAGGAGAAACACAAACTCTTCTGTCTAGTGGTTCCAGAACTGAGACATTCTCTCCCAGGGCTGCAATACTCTTCCAAGAGCCATGGACATTAACTCGGAAGAGTCGTTTTTGCATTCCATTGCCTCACGCTGAGAAACAAGTAGAAAAAGAAAAACTATCCTACTAAAAAGTTAATTTGACCTCATCTTCCACTACTCACTATTGGCTCCAGTGACATTAAATTTCTCACAGATCTTCAAATAAACCATCACACATACCTTTTCCTTTCCTTAAGATACCTTTTCTCTACTTTCATCTCCACTTGAAAATTCCCTCTCATCTTCAAAGTCTGCTTCATGTGTCACCTCAACCTATGTAAAGTCTTTTCCATTCCCTCAAGGCAGTCTTTGCATCCAGGTATAGGAAGCTTCTGGGTCCAAGACACAGCCAAGATCCCAGGAGACAATGTACTGGGGAAAACAGAGTATGTGCAAGAAAAAAGGACTCTATGAGTCCCAAATCCAGCACGTATAGAGAAATCAAGATAAAATAGTCTCTGGAAGCTAAATAGAGGAACCGAAGTCTATGTATTAAATAGCTCCAGAAGAAGTGCAGAAGTTATAGGAGCAGGAGGCAAAGAACCTACATAGGGTCACAGGGAGCAGGGATAAGTGAAGAAAGAATGTCCATTCATTTCACACACACACACATGCACATGCACACGCAATCCTTGCATCTATGAAGGTGTCATGCTAGCACTGTGGGGATTACAGAGATAAGACAATAAGACATAGTATTTGCTTTTTCAGAAGCTCACACTCCATTGGGAATTTTTTTTTAAAGATCATTAGTGACTTTGTTAAAAGTTAAATGTAATGAACACCATACATGAGATTAAAAACAATACTTTTTGGAAGATAAGCACTTGATTCCAGAATCCAAGAGCAAACGTGACACTGAGTGGTCCCTGCTATAGCATCCATGTGGAATGAGTGGAAGAGCGTGGGCTTTGGAGATGGGCAGATTCATGTCCAAATCCCGGCTTGGCCACTGCTTTGTCCTGTGATCTCTGTCAGGTTACTCTGAGAATAATGCCTTCCTAGTATTGTTGTGAACCCTAAACAAGAAGATACTTGACCTAATGAAGGCACTCATTGAAGGTTGGTTTCCTCTCTTCCTCTTGTCTTTGGGAGAATCAGACCAGAATGCTCACTCTGCAGACCACCAGGCAATATGCCCTGGGAATAGCAAGAGAAGTAGCACACGTAGGAAGCCAGGAGCACTCTTCTGAGTGTGGATTCCCTGGACTGTCAGGAACTGCCTTGCTTCTTGGCCCCTAAATCCTCACTTCTACCTACTTCCTCCACCTGGAGGCTCAGCTTCATCCACATTACACACACACACACACACACACACACACACAAATGCACACATGTGTGCGCACACACACGTGCACACACACATACACTTTTCATCCCGTGACTGTTACCCAGACTCTTGGATGGGCTCTAACCTGTTGCTGGCCTCAAAGCCAAGGCCTCTGATTCTTGTTGCTTCTGTCTTTACCTGGGTTCCTGATACTGCGCCTGACTTCTGAGTGTCTGATCATGTTTTGCTTCCCTAAGAATAGCTCCCTGAACCTTGCTTAGTGGTTCTCCCTGGACTCAACCTGGGCTTAGACCAGCTTACTTTGAAGAATGCTTAGCCAGGCCCCCTCCTCAACACTCCTGGTCTATTTTCTCTAGGGCTCTAGTTTGTTCCTTGAGAGGAAAAAAATAATACGTAATGTCTGAAAGATTTCCATAATCAGGTTGAAATAAATGCATAGAGGAAACAAATCCAAAAGATTCCAAAAATATCTCTGGAGAAGTAAAAATATGTAATCCTCCAGTGACCAAGTTCTGTCACCATGACCAAAATATCTTGCCACTATTCCTGACTCTCCATCTGCATTGCCAGCACCTTTTCTTGCAGACACTGCTGTGATAACTTACCAACTGGTCTTCCCACCTCCAGCGTGACCTTCTTCTGATCCAAGAATCTAATAATTCAAATGCTTAAGGAGAAGAAACAAGAAACACAAATGAGTGGCCAGGGCTGAGTGTAATTACATATATAAATACAGTGCAAATAGTGGATTGAGAGGAACAAGAAAGCACTTGCCCCATATTTAGGAGGCACCCACTCCTCAGCTATACCTCATAGTTTAGTTAGCTTCCTCATGCATTTCCAGGAATGCATGCCAGTCTTTCTAGAATATCCTCTTTTTTTTTCCAAAGAAAGATACCCTAAAGTTCAGACTTTTATGTTAAAAAAAGCCCAAGTGCTGACTGCACTTTTTTCTCTTTTTGATCTAATAAAACTCCTTACATACCTTAGCTGTATGAAGTTGAGTTTTTGTCATGAACAAACCAAATTTAATAATGAATACAATTCTTTAATGAGCTGATTACATGGCTGTCTTCCAAACACAGTTGTGAATTCTCAGAGTCAAGAACTGTGTCAAAGTCACCTCTGTATCCCTGGTGCTTCATAGCGGCTGGCAGCAAACTTGAATTTAATTATTTACAAATGAATGGATAGATGGATAAATATATACTCTTTGAAGACCTAAGAGCAGAGAATTAAAATTCCAAAATAATAACCTGTAGGGGGATTTAGTTCTTGAAATTGTAAGAAAATCTCATTGAAACAGATATTTATGTTTCTTATTCAGGCTCCAACCTCCTTCAAGGAAGGAGGGCTTGCATCTGAGACCTCAAAGGCTGCCATCTGTGTTGACCCCTCATGAGAACGGGCAGTCAGTTAACAAAATGTCAATGTGTTCAAGCAGAATGAGCACAAAACTCATATTTCCTTGGGGTACAAATTTACTTGGGGGAAAAAGGCAAGTAATGATCGAGTCTTCCCGGATACAAGGACAGATTAAAGAAGCTTTAAGAAACAAAACAAAACAAAAAAGCTTTAAGTTTACCATTGCGGATAATGTCTTGTGTAATAAGAGGCAATTACACACTTGTGCCATTGTCAGAGGCCATTTCTATGCCCAAAGTTGTTCTTCCATCTTGCTAACAGTCATTCATTGCTTACAAGGAATTGCTTGCTATATTAGATGACTTTGTAAAGGATTGACCTCAGACTGTTACTGCCAGATGTGCACAAAGCCTTCCACTGTATGTGTGAAAAATAAATATCTTCTCCATTTTCTTTCCTAAGCCCCAGTTTCCCCCGCCTGACACACCAGAACAAATTGATGGTCACCTTTGGAAAGGTGTTGGCATACAGCTTGTTGGAGTGGAAGGGCAGCTCTCAGTTATCTGGTTGAAACTTCTAACTTTAAGATGATAAAAACAAAGTCCCAAGAAGGTCCTATCCAACTAGGGCCCATAGCTAGTTATTGGATATACCTGACCCAGCCTGGAAGTTATTGGTATATTCACAAAACTGAAACTCTATGCAGTTTTTCTGACCTTGAGCTATAAAATGCCATTCCTCTAAAGGGCGTTCGATACATTAGCCAAATTTCAGCAGTTAATTTACAAGTGAGCAATTTTGATTTTCAGATCTTGTTATCAGGGGGAAACGTCTGGACTTTATAACCACCTGGCCTAAAGCAGTCAAGTCACTAATACTCTTTTTTCCTTTATTAAATCCACACTTCAGAACATTGCATTGGGAGGTCAGAAGTCCCTCTTCTCTGCCTGGAGCTCAGAAGCACTTGCAGTTGAGGCAATTCCTGCCTCAGCCTGCTGAACCTTGGGGGTGAGAAATAGAAGACTGCTTCCCAAACTGAGATTATTGTTAGCACACCAAGTATTAAGGACAGCTCCAGGGAGGTTTGGGAGAACTTCCTGCAAGCTTTTGTTTGCATGCAACTCTGAATCATAAGGTACTGGAAAACACATAGCTTCAAAAGCATTCTTTGCTGCTGCTTGCAGCATGGGCAAGCTGCCTTTACAGACTTGGGGCATCCTTTCCCAAAGATGTTATGAATACTTGTAAAATAAAATGGTAGCCAGAGAAATGCTACTGTCTGCTTAATCTCAAGCCGTCATTACAGAAAAATAAGCTTCCTGGAGATCCCCTACACTGATTATCATTGAATTCTTATCAGTAAGTTTGTCACAGCCATGATGTCTTTAAGGAATGCCTGGGTAGCCTTTGTAATAGGCAGGTACCTAAACATCCCAATTTAATGAGTATCTGCATAATTGCAAAAATATCTATGAAGACCTTTTTCTTCCTTCATAATCCTGCCATTTGCCACCATGAAGAAAAACGCATCTCACATGAGCCAGGTCAGCCCTGCATAACTCTATGAAGAAACAACAATCTTTTCCTGTTTGTCACATTTCTATGGCCCTTCTTGGCTTCTATTCCCCTATTACCATGATCTCTGTGCTATGATTTTCCGGCCCTCAGGAACCCCCAGATTCAACATCTCCATGATCCCAAAGTCTCCCAACTTCACCCCTACTACCACTCAGACATGTTTTTTCCCACATAACTTCTCTTTCAGTAGGCAAATAACTAGTTAATCTGAGAAACAAAACTGGCGTCTCCCGAACTTTTGTTGTTTTTCAGCCATCTTCTTAATTTTCACTGTATTCATAAACCACCACTTGCATTGTTGACCTAATATTTTTATTTAAATTGACTCACTTTTTAAATGTAAATAATTGCTTTAATTTAATTCCAATCAATATCTGTGAAATTATAGGTTTGATATGTTGTTTATTTTAATGTGTATTAAGACTATTAAAATAAAAAATAGTCATTGATGTACTACTAAAATTATCTTCTGTTCCAATGGTGGTATATTTCTGAAACTTTGCAAAGCAGTAAATTAAATTAAACCCTTGACTGCTATTGGCCTAGAAAGTCTCCTCTTCTGAATAAGAATTGCATTTTAATGGAAACCTTGTGTGTATATATACACTATATATATATATGTATATATATATGTGTGTATATATATATGTATATATGTGTGTGTGTGTGTGTGTGTATATATATATATATATATATATATATATATATATATATATATATAGTTTTTACTTTAAACCCAACTGAAGGATGGCAGGAAAATGATGTAGTGGAAAGCATATAAATTTTTAAGCTGGAAAGAGGCAACTTGTTCTCAATTTATATTACACTATTTTAATTACGCTATTTTATTACACTATTTAATTTTAATTACACTATTTAATCACACTATTTTCTAACATCGTTGCTGCCCTTCCTTACTGAGCCCATCCTCTTAGGCCCTGGGAAAAATGCAGCTTTGTCCTCTTCCAGGGCATGAATGTCAGCCCTAGAGTCTCTGGACAGATCAGATTAAGAAAGAAAGGTTTGTATCAGGGGTCTTCAGGATTTTCCAGAGATTCCCCTGGAAACTGGGGTGCCATTCTATGTCCCACTCCCTGCCCTGCCCTGCCCTTGTCTATGGAAGGATCATACTATCACCCCTTATACTGACATGTGACTTTCCTGTAACTTGCTTTGGCTAATAAAATGTGAGAGTAAGGAACATGTGCTGCTGCTGAGTGGAAGCCTTAAGAACCATCTCATGAATCTGCCATCAAGTTCAACTGCGTTTTTTTAAAGGCTCTGTTTCCACTCATGAATGACCAGCATGTCAGTCCTCCAAGAGCATCAACTAGTGTGAGTTACAAGGGGAATGGAGGGGACCCTTTAATCTAGTGAGTCAGCTTTGTGGAAGCTGGTTATGAGAGCTGTCCTTATTTCCTTTTATTAATGATTAGAGTTATACAATATTTTCATAAACATTTTTTAAAGTTATGTTGGGTTTTATAAGCCACAGTTTTAATGACCATATTATACAAATTTATTGAACAGCTTACACAGTAGAGAACCAAGTCTTTCCTAAATTTGCAAAGCAATTATAACACATTGTTTGTTAAGTTTTATAACATGATCATATTTTCATCTTCTTGTTTTTACTAGAAAATTGAGCTTCTCTTGGTTTTCTATATAGAAAAATTCCTATACTAGAATTTCAGGTCAATTCTATTCTCATTGGTCTTGGCTGCAAAGGTAAATCTCTTTGTCACAATCTGTCCCCATTCTCAAAAAGATAAAGCAGCTCAGGTCAGATTTTGCCACAGTCAATGTTTTTAGGAAGCTTGAATGATTTAGAGCACTCCAAATCAACCTTTTTTGATTCTGCTATGTCATTAAATAGGAAACATTTCTTACCTATTATGTGCCAACCTCAAACATACTCTCTTAAGACATAAGTTTTTCTTTTTCTTTAAAATTGTAAACAATGTCAACTTAAAGAATAGTATAATGAAGAGTATAAATAACTGAATACACTACACTCCAAAATCCCACTCAGATTTCCCCCAATATTTCAATAATGTCTTTCATAGCTAAAGGATCCAATCCAGGATCCTTTGAACCCAGTTGCCTCGTCTCTCTAGTCTCTTTCAGTGTGGAACTGAAAGAGACTTTCAGTCTTTCCTCATTTCCTCAGTCTTTCCTCATTTTCATGAATTTTAAGGTTGTAGGCAGGTCATTTTGTAGAATATCCTTCAATTTGAGTTTGTTTTACATTTTGCCATATTTTAACTTTGATCATTTGTTTAGGTAAGTTTATGTTTAGGCTATACTCATGCTGACAATTACTCCCCTCCACTATGTCTGGATGTGGCAAGCAGAGCAGCAAGGCTTGCACTGAGGCCAAGACCCAGCCCTCCTGGGTTAGTCTGCAGTTCTTGACAGGTTGTGTGCACCTCCTGCTCTTCAAGGGCAATTACTATGAGAAAGTAAGGGCTGATATGCCACTGTGCTTAGTAGTGGTGTTGGAGTGCTGATTACTCAGATTCTGGAGTTGGCAGGCAATGGGACCTGTGACAACAAGAAGACATGTATCATCCTGCACCACCTGCAGCTGGCCAGTTGCAATAATGAAGATGTCAACAAGTTGCTGGGTAAAGTCATTATCACACAGGTGACTGTCTTGCCCAACATCCAGGCCAAGATGCTGCCCAAGAAGACTGAGAGTCACCTCAAGGTAAAGGAAAAGTAAAGTATTAATAATAACACTGCCTTGGGGTTGCAATCCTAGTCTCTGATTAAACAGACTTTAAACCAACAAAGATCAAAGGAGACAAAGAAGGCCATTACATAATGGTAAAGGGATCAATTCAACAAGAAGAGCTAACTATCCTAAATATATATGCACCCAATACAGGAGCACCCAGATTCATAAAGCAAGTCCTGAGTGACCTACAAAGAGACTTAGACTCCCACACAATAATAATGGGAGATTTTAACACCCCACTGTCAACATTAGACAGATCAACGAGACAGAAAGTTAACAAGGATACCCAGGAATTGAACTCAGCTCTGCATCAAGCGGATCTAATAGACATCTACAGGACTCTCCACCCCAAATCAACAGAATATACATTTTTTTCAGCACCACACCACACCTATTCCAAAATTGACCACATAGTTGGAAGTAAAGCTCTCCTCAGCAAATGTAAAAGAACAGAAATTATAACAAACTGTCTCTCGGACCACAGTGCAATCAAACTAGAACTCAGGATTAAGAAACTCACTCAAAACCGCTCAACTACATGGAAACTGAACAACCTGCTCCTGAATGACTACTGGGTACATAACGAAATGAAGGCAGAAATAAAGATGTTCTTTGAAACCAACGAGAACAAAGACACAACATACCAGAATCTCTGGGACACATTCAAAGCAGTGTGTAGAGGGAAATTTATAGCACTAAATGCCCACAAGAGAAAGCAGGAAAGATCCGAAATTGACACCCTAACATCACAATTAAAAGAACTAGAAAAGCAAGAGCAAACACATTCAAAAGCTAGCAGAGGGCAAGAAATAACTAAAATCAGAGTAGAACTGAAGGAAATAGAGACACAAAAAACCCTTCAAAAAATTAATGAATCCAGGAGCTGGTTTTTTGAAAGGATCAATAAAATTGATAGACCGCTAGCAAGACTAATAAAGAAGAAAAGAGAGAAGAATAAAGTAGACACAATAAAAAATGATAAAGGGGATATCACCACCAATCCCACAGAAACACAAACTACCATCAGAGAATACTACAAACACCTCTACGCAAATAAACTAGAAAATCTACAAGAAATGGATAAATTCCTCGACACATACACTCTCCCAAGACTAAACCAGGAAGAAGTTGAATCTCTGAATAGACCAATAACAGGCTCTGAAATTGTGGCAATAATCAATAGCTTACCAACTTAAAAGAGTCCAGGACCAGATGCATTCACAGCTGAATTCTACCAGAGGCACGAGGAGGAACTGGTACCATTCCTTCTGAAACTATTCCAAACAATAGAAAAAGAGGGAATCCTCCCTAACTCATTTTATGAGGCCAGCATCATCCTGGTACCAAAGCCGGGCAGAGACACAACCAAAAAAGAGAATTTTAGACCAATATCCTCGATGAACATTGATGCAAAAATCCTCAATAAAATACTGGCAAACTGAACCCAGCAGTACATCAAAAAGCTTATCCACCATGATCAAGTGGGCTTCATCCCTGGGATGCAAGGCTGGTTCAATATACGCAAATCAATAAATGTAATCCAGCATATAAACAGAACCAAAGACAAAAACCACATGATTATCTCAATAGATGCAGAAAAGGCCTTTGACAAAATTCAACAACGCTTCATGCTAAAAACTCTCAATAAATTAGGTATTGATGGGACATATCTCAAAATAATAAGAGCTATCTATGACAAACCCACAGCCAATATCATACTGAATGGGCAAAAACTGGAAGCATTCCCTTTGAAAACTGGCACAAGACAGGGATGCCCTCTCTCACCACTCCTATTCAACGTAGTGTTGGAAGTTCTGGCCAGGGCAATTAGGCAGGAGAAGGAAATAAAGGGTATTCAATTAGGAAAAGAGGAAGTCAAATTGTCCCTGTTTGCAGATGACATGATTGTATATCTAGAAAACCCCATTGTCTCAGCCCAAAATCTCCTTAAGCTGATAAGCAACTTCAGCAAAGTCTCAGGATACAAAATCAATGTACAAAAATCACAAGCATTCCTATACACCAATAACAGACAAACAGAGAGCCAACTCATGAGTAAACTCCCATTCACAATTGCTTCAAAGAGAATAAAATACCTAGGAATCCAACTTACAAGGGATGTGAAGGACCTCTTCAAGGAGAACTACAAACCACTGCTCAAGGAAATAAAAGAGGATACAAACAAATGGAAGAACATTCCATGCTCATGGGTAGGAAGAATCAATATCATGAAAATGGCCATACTGCCCAAGGTAATTTATAGATTCAATGCCATCCCCATCAAGTTACCAATGACTTTCTTCACAGAATTGGAAAAAACTACTTTAAAGTTCATATGGAACCAAAAAAGAGCCCACATCGCCAAGTCAATCCTAAGCCAAAAGAACAAAGCTGGAGGCATCACGCTACTTGACTTCAAACTATACTGCAAGCCTACAGTAACCAAAACAGCATGATACTGGTACCAAAACAGAGATATAGATCAATGGAACAGAAGACAGCCCTCAGAAATAATGCCACATATCTGCAATTATCTGATCTTTGACAAACCTGACAAAAACAAGAAATGGGGAAACGATTCCCTATTTAATAAATGGTGCTGGGAAAACTGGCTAGCCATATGTAGAAAGCTGAAACTGGATCCCTTCCTTATACCTTATACAAAAATTAATTCAAGATGGATTAAAGACTTAAATGTTAGACCTAAAACCATAAAAACCCTAGAAGAAAACCTACGCATTACCATTCAGGACATGGGCATGGGCAAGGACTTCATGTCTAAAACACCAAAAGCAATGGCATCAGAAGCCAAAATTGACAAATGGGATCTACTTAAACTAAAGAGCTTCTGCACAGCAAAAGAAACTACCATCAGAGTGAACAGGCAACCTACAAAATGGGAGAAAATTTTCGCAACCTACTCATCTGACAAAGGGCTAATATCCAGAATCTACAATGAACTCAAACAAATTTACAAGAAAAAAAACAAACAACCCCATCAAAAAGTGGGTGAAGGACATGAACAGACACTTCTCAAAAGAAGACATTTATGCAGCCAAAAAACACATGAAAAAATGCTCACCATCACTGGCCATCAGAGAAATGCAAATCAAAACCACAATGAGATACCATCTCACACCAGTTAGAATGGCAATCATTAAAAAGTCAGGAAACAACAGGTGCTGGAGCGGATGTGGAGAAATAGGAACACTTTTACACTGTTGATGGGACTGTAAACTAGTTCAACCATCGTGGAAGTCAGTGTGGCGATTCTTCAGGGATCTAGAACTAGAAACACCATTTGACCCAGCCATCCCATTACTGGGTATATACCCAAAGGACTATAAATCATGCTGCTATAAAGACACATGCACACGTATGTTTATTGCGGCACTATTCACAATAGCAAAGACTTGGAACCAACCCAAATGTCCAACAATGATAGACTGGATTAAGAAAATGTGGCACATATACACCATGGAATACTATGCAGCCATAAAAAATGAAGAGCTCATGTCCTTTGTAGGGACATGGATGAAATTGGAAATCATCATTCTCTGTAAACTATCGCAAGGACAAAAAACCAAACACCACATGTTCTCACTCATAGGTGGGAATTGAACAATGAGAACACATGGACACAGGAAGGGGAACATCACACTCTGGGGACTGTTGTGGGGTGGCGGGAGAGGGGAGGGATAGCATTAGGAGATATACCTAATGCTAAATGACGAGTTAATGGGTGCAGCACACCAGCATGGCACATGTATACATATGTAACTAACCTGCACAATGTGCACATGTACCCTAAAACTTAAAGTATAATAATAATAAAATAATAATAATAACAATAACACTGCCTTATAAACCAAAGGCTCTTTGCAGAGCCACCTTAAAAAAAAGGGCTTTTGAAATAAACCAGTTAAAGAAAAAAAGAATAAAAAAGAAAAAAAGAGGCTACAGGACTTATGGGACATCATTAAGAGAATAAATGATCATATTACCAGAATTTCAGAAGAAATAAAGGTGAAAAAGGCATACGAAATCTATTTAATCTAGTAATAGCTGAAAACTCCCCAATTCTTGGGAGAGATATGGATATCCAGACCCAGAAATCTCAAAAATCCCCAAATATATTCAACCAAAAATGTCCTCTTTGAGGCACATTATACTCAAACTTTCAAAAGGCAAAGACAAAGAAGTTTTAAAATAGTAAGAGAAAGTATCCAGTCACATATCAGGGAATCCTCATTAGATGAACAGCAGATTTCTCAACAAAAGCATACAGGCCAGGAGAGAATGGGATGATATATTCAATGTATTGAAAGAAATAAAC
Organism: Homo sapiens; assembly: GCF_000001405.40. Lineage (NCBI taxonomy): Eukaryota > Metazoa > Chordata > Mammalia > Primates > Hominidae > Homo > Homo sapiens. Next base: position 36,485,698 of record NC_000013.11, on the reverse strand, counting down.
TCTATTTGTCCATTCTCATGCTGCCATAAAGAACTGCCTGAGGCTGGGTAATTTATAAAGGAAAGAGGTTTAATTAACTCACAGTTTTGCATGACTGGGGAAGCCTTAGGAAACTTACAATCATGACGGAAGGGAAAGTAAACACGTTCCTCTTCATATGGCAGCAAGAGAGAGTAGTGCAGAACTAAGAGGGGAAAAGCCCCTTATAAAACCATCAGATCTTATGAGCACTCATTCACTACCATGAGAACAGTGTGGGGGAACTGCCCCCATGATCTAATAACCTCCCATGAGAGCCCTCCCCCAACATGTGGGGATTATAATTCAGATTACAATTTAAGATGAGATTTTGGGTGGGGACACAGCCAAATCATATCATATACCCAACAAAGCTATCATGCAGAAATGAAACAGAAGTAAAATCTTTCATGAATAAGCAAAAACAGATAATTCATCACCACTTCACCAGCCTTACAAGAAATGCTTAAGGGAGCACTGTATGTGGAAGCACAAGGACAATAACTACAGTAATGACAACATATAAAAGTATAAAGCTCAAAAGTATAAAATTATGTATCTTTGAACAGATACACAAATAAGAAAGATAACATAATCAAACATAATCACTAGAGAAAACCATCAAACTCCGAAAATAAATAAGAAGCAAGAAAGAAAAGAACAAAGGTATATAAAATAACCAGAAAACAATTAACAAATGTAAGTCCTCACCTATCAATAATAACTTTGAATGTAAATGGATTAAATTCCCAAGTTAAAAAATATAGATTGGCTGAATGAATAAAAGACACAGATCCAACTATATGCTAGCTATAAGAAACTCACTTCACCTATGACACACATATTTTCTTTGTCTGAAAGTATAAGGGATAAAGCCAGGCATGGTGGAACATTCCTACAGTCCCAGCTAAAAGGGAGGCTGAGGTGGGAAGATTGCTTGAACCCAGGAGCTCAAGGCTGCAGTGAGCTATGATTGTGCCACTGCACTTTAGCCTGGGCAACAGAGCATGACCCTGTCTGAAAAAAAGAAAAAGAAAAGAAAGAAAATGAAGGCATGAAAATAGGCATTCCACAAGGCGGAAACCAAAAATGAGCAGAAGTAGCTACACTTATATCAAATAAAATGGATTTTAAGTCTAAAACTATATTTTTAAAAAGACAGAGAAGGTCATTATGTAATAATAAAGAGATCAACTCAGCAAGAGGATAAAGGAATTGTAAATATATACTCACATAACAGTAAAGCACATATATATGTGTGTATATATATATATATGTAGGGGGAGATAGACTTCAATACAATCATAGCTGGAGACTTTCATACACTACTCACAGCATTGGACAGGTCATCTAGACAGAAAATCAAAAAAGAAGCACTCGATTTAGACTGCACTATAGACCAAATGGACCTAACAGACATTTATAGAACATGCCATCCAACACCTGCAGAATACACATTCTTCTCATCAGCACATGGAACATTCTCTAGAATACACCATATGTTAGGCCAAAAAACCAAGTTTCAACAAATTTTTAAAAACTGAAATCATATCAAGTCTCTTTTCTGACCACAATGAAATAAAACTAGAATAACAAGAGAAACTTTAGAAACTGTACAAATACCTGGAAATTAAACAACATGGTCCTGAATGACCATGAGTCAATGAAGAAATTAAGAAGGAAACTAAAACATTTCTTGAACCAAATTAAATAAAAATGCAACATACCAAAACCTGTGAGACACAGCAAAAACAATACTGGAAGGGAAATTTATAGAAAAAAAAAACACCTTTATCAAAAAATAGAAAGATTTCCAAAAACAACCTAATAATGCTCCTCAAAAAACTAAAAAAAGCAAGAACAAACCAAACCCAAAATTAGTAGAAGGAAAGAAATAGAATATATCAGAGCAGAAATAAACAAAATAGAGGCTAAAAAATCAATACAAGAGATTAACCAAATGAAAAGTTGTTTTCTTAAAAGTTAAACAAAAATGAACAAAACTTTAGCTAGACTATCCAAGAAAAAATGAGAAAAGATCCAAATTAATAAAATCAGAAAAAAGAATATATTACAACTGATACCACAGAAAGGATCATTAGAGACTATTATGGAAAACTCCATACCAACGAATTATAAAACCTAGAGGAAATGAATAGATTGCTGACACATGCAACCCATCAAGACAGAACCAGAAAGAAATAGAAAACCTAAACAGACCAATAACAAGTAACAAGGTTGAAGCAGTAATAAAACGTCTCTCCAAAAAAGAAAAGCCAGAACCAGATGGCTTCAATGCTGTATTCTAACATTTAAAGAAGAACAAACATCAATTTTCCTAAAAATATTCCAAAAAGCTAAAGAGAGGGAATGATTTTATACTCATTCTATGAGGCTAATATTACCCTAATACCAAAACCAGACAAAGACACACCAACAAAAAGAAAAGTACAGGCCAAAATTCCTGATAAAGGTAGATGCAAAAATCCGCAAAACATATGCCAGCAAACCAAATCCAACAGCACATCAAGGTATATACCATGATCAAGAGGGATGTATCCCCCAAATGCAAGGATGATTCAAAATATGCGAGTCAATAAATGTGATCTATTTCATCAACAAAATGAAGAATAAAAACCATAGAATCATCTCAATAGATGTAGAAACAGCATTTGATAAGACTCAACATTTCTTCATGATAGAAACTCAAAACAAATTAGGTATAGAAGGAGTGTATCTCAACACAATAAAGGCCATAGATGACAGACCCACCACTGACAGCATGCTGAATGGGGAAAAGTTGGAAGCTTTTACTCTGATAATTAGAACGAGACAAATACACTCACTTTTACCGCTCTTATTTAAAATAGTACTGGAAGTTCTAGCCAGAGCAATTAGACAAGAGAAAGAAATAAAGGATCTCCAAATTGGAAAAGAGAAAGTCAAATTGTTCCTGTTTTCAGATAACTTGATCTTATATACAGAAAAAAACTGAAGACTCCACCAAAAAACTCAGGACTGATAAGTGAAGTCACAGTATACAAAATCGACATACAAAAATCAGTAGCATTCCTATACATAAACAACAAACTAGCTAAAAAAGAAATGATGAGAAACATCATCAATCAAATGATGAGAAAGAAACAAGGACTACCATGTGGTACATTCATTCCACTTCTGGATATATATCCAAAAAAAGGAAATCAATATATTGAAGAGTTATAGGATCAACTTAATTGTCCATCAACGGATGAATAGATAAAGAAAATAGGATACTATTTAGCCATAAAAAGAATAAAGTCCTGTCATTTGCAGCAACATGGATGAATCTGGAATCAACATTAAGTGAAATAAGCCAAGTACAGAAATACAAATATTACATGTTCTCACTCATATGTAGCGGCTAAGAAAGTATTATCTCATGAAGATAGAAAGTAGATTGCTGGTTACCAGAGGATAGGAAAAGTAGGGAGAAAGGAGGAGTGAAGAGAGGTTGATTAATGGGTACAAATAAACGGAAGAAGAAATAAAACCTAGTGTTCGATAAATCAGTAGAGTCACTATACTTAACAATAATCAATTGTACATTTCAAAATAGCTAGAAGAGAATAACTTGAATGTTTCTAGCATAAAGAAAATACACATATTTAATGTGATCAGTAGCTCAATTATGCTGAATTGATCTTCCCACATTATATGCATGTATTAAATTATCACAGATACCTGAAAATTGGTAGTTTTCTTTCTTTCTTTTTTTTTTTTTTGAGACCGAATCTCACTCTGTTGCCCAGGCAGGAGTGCAGTGGCATGATCTCGGCTCACTGCAACCTCTGCTGCCCAGGTTCAAGTGAGTCTCCTGCCTCAGCCTCCCTAGTAGCTGGGACTATAGGTGCCTGCCACCACACCCAGCTAATGTTTGCATTTTTAGTTGAGATGAGGTTTCACTATGTTGGCCAGGCTAGTCTCAAACTCCTGACCTCAGGTGATCCGCCCACCTCGGCCTACCAAAGTGGGTACATTTATTATGTATCAATAAAATATATAAAACAGAAAAGAGATATGATTCTGAAAAGAGAAGAAAGTGACGGAGTCTATGGCTTCTAGCCAGACATAAGAAAAAGCACTTTATTGGAGATTATATCTTATTGAAAAGCAATTTATTTCTGGTATGGCATGCATATTAAAATTCCTTCTTGTTGGCACATTTAATCCGTTTTTAGAATCCTTTGGAATATTAAATTTCTAATGTTTGAAGCTAAACCAAAACTGAACACTTTCAGGGGACAGAGTTGAAGCAGATAGAGCAAGCTGGAGGATTTTATAGTTATTCAAATGAGAGCTGGTGGTGGGAGCACAGGCTAGGGGGAGGAGCAGGCTGACTTGAAGGGCAAGCAGGAGGAGATGAGCAGAACATGCTCACTGTGCAAGAAATGCAGAGGAATTGAGGATGACTTCTAAAATTTGTTTGAGCAGCTGATGGTGTTGGTGCTATTTAAGGAGATGAGATTTGTGGTTGGGAGAAAGGTTGGAGGAAGTGCAATTAGGAGTTGTGGCCTCTCTCTCTTTCTTTCTTTTTCCTTCCTTCCTTCCTTCCTTCCTTCCTTCCTTCCTTCCTTCCTTCCTTCCTTCCTTCCTTCCTTCCTTCTCCATTCAGCCACTCTGTGTCTTTTAATTGGAAAATTGAGTCCATTTACATTCAGCATTAACACTGATAAATAAGGGCTTACCACCCTCACTTTGTTGCCCGTTTTCTGGTTGCTTGTAACTTCCTCTATTCCTTTCTTTCTTTCTCACTGCCTTCCTTTGTGGTTAATTTATTTTCACTGGTAGTATGTTTTAATTCATTGCTTTTTATTTTTAGTGAATCTATTATAGGTTTTTGTGTTGTGGTTACCATGAAGCTTACCAAAAAAATCTTATAGATATAACAAGTTATTTTAAAGAGATGACAACGTATCTTAGATCACAAAGAACAGAAGCCAACAAAGAGAAAACTAAAAAACCTCTACACTTTAAATTCATCCTACCCACATTTTGACTTTTTGTCATCTCAGTTTACATATTTTTATATTGTCTGTGTCTTACAAGATTGCATAGCTATCATTAGATTTGATAGATTTGTTTTTTAGACTTCATACTAAAGTTATGAGTGGATTGCAGTCACAATTACAGTACTAGAGAAATCTGGGTTTGTCCATGTATTTACTTTTACCAGTAGGTTTTATACCTTCACATGTTTTCTTTTTGCACATTAGTGTTGTTTTTTTCAGACTGAAGAACTTCCTTTAGCATTTCTTATAAGAAAGGTCTGGTAGTAGCGGTGATTAAATTATCTCAGCTTTTGTTTGTCTGGGGAAACACCTTATCTCTCCTTCACATTTGAAGAATAGTTTTGCTGGATACAGTATTCTTAAATAGCAGGGTTTTTTTCTTTTTCAACACTTGCAAAATGGCATCTTATTCCCCCTGACTAATATGGTTTCCTTTGTAAAGCCTGTTGCCAGAAGAATTGGAGCCCCTTTATATGTTATTTGCTTCTTTTCCATTGCTTTTTTAGGATACTGTCTTTGTCTTTGATTTTTGAAAGCTTGATTATTATATGCCTTGGTTGTCCTATTTGGGTTGGATCTGTTTGGAGTTCTCTGACCTTCCTATATGGATATTTACATCTTCCTCAAGTTTTGGAAAGTTTTCTGTTATTATTTCTTTGAATAATATTTCTACTCCTTGCTCTTGCTCAACTCCTTATTAAACACTAATAATCCTGAAATTTGACCTTTTGAAGTAATTTTCTATATTGTGTAGGCAATTGTCATTCCTTCTCATTCTTTTTTCTTTTTTCTTCTCTATGTATTTTCAAATAGCTTGTCTTAGATCTCACTTATTCTTTTCTCTGCTTGATCTGTTCTGCTGTTGAGAGCCTCAATTAAATTTTTCAGTTTGGCAAATGTATTTCTCAGATCCATGATTTCTATTGATTTGTTTTTATTACTTCAATCTCTTTGTTAAATTTATAATGCTAATATGTAATAAATTTATGAATTGCCTTTTCATGTTATCTTGATCACTGAGTTTCCTTTAAAATTGTTAATATGAATTCTTGGTCAGAGAACTCATGTAGCATCATCTTGTCACAGCCAATCACTGGTTTCTTGTTTTGTGAGGTCATGATTTTGTTTGCTTTTGTTTCTTGCATACATACTTTTATATTTTCGCATTGAAGTTTTAGTTATTTATTCCAGTTTTCTCTGTCTTGCTTGCTTTCATTTTCATTGGGTCTGTTTGCTCAGAGATTCTTTATAATTTACCTGTTAAATATTTTCCCCCACTAAGTGAGGAAAAATGATGCTGCTGCTGCAGTCTTTCCTAAAAAGGAGACAGCAACTTAGTGATTTGACTCAGTTCTAGTAAATGATTGGAGCACTGCCCACCTCACATGGGGGGTAGCTTAAACGGATATTCCAGTAGTGTGGGATGGCTAGTTAAGGGTTTGTGTCCAGAGGAACTGTGGAACATACCTTTTACAGCATGGCTACTGAACAGCCACTCTGATTTGGTGTTTCTTTTGGTTGAGTTACAAGCAGAATTTCCAGGGCTGGGGATGGGAGTCTTGCCTCCTCCTTTTGACTCTGCCTGTCTTCAGGAATACTTCTCCTTTTAGGCACTCATAATATTTCCTATGGATTGAAGAAGAGACAGCTTTCCTGCCAGGGAACCCAAGATGGTGGGGAAGCTGATCGTCCACCTCGCTTTCACTTTTCAAAGTGTCAAAATCTTGAGTCGGGGAAATTTTCCACATACTTGATGCTGGGCAGATTGGGGATGGGGGAGTGGTGTCACAGATATGGGAAATCCAATTCTCTTACTGTCGAATTAAAGTTTTTTAACTTCATTGTGGACCCAGGAGCTATCTCATCTTTATACTTGAGTTCTGGGATATTGCTAGTGATGATCTCAATACTGGGTATATATATATATATTCATTTTCTGTGGGGGAAGTGAAGCCAGCTTGCTTCTAAGCCACAATTTTTAAACCAGAATGATTTGAAGAGTATATTTCTTCCTATTTAAATAGTTCTACACAGAATAAGAAACTAAAAGTAATGGAGCAAAGCAATAATACACTTCTCAAAATGCAACTGAAAACAACCTGTTTCTTGAGAAAGATTAAGTGTGTGTGTGTGTGCATATGTATGTGTACATATATCAGCTTTAAGAAGCATGTATTAAATATTGCAGAATGCAACATTTGCTTATGTTTAGACCTTCTGTTAAAGTTTATTTCACTAGTTTCTTATTTATTTAATTAGAGTCGTACAACTGCATGAAAGAAAAGAAGAATCATTTGTACAAATAACAGAAAACCTATCAATTTCTTATACTTCCTCAACTCAAGCTCCTTTTATTTTAAAGGGGTGGTTTGGCAGTGAGTGTTCCTATTTGGAATGGAATGAATGGTCACCTTTGGTGGACAGAACATGCACGTCTAATTTCCTTTTACACTATAAGCACCCTATTTTTAGCAAAACTACAGAATGGCTTCTTCTGCCTTTGAATAGTGTTACAATGTTTGCACTGTTAGTTTTATCATAAGACAACCCTTCCCAGATGGTATTTATATCTGGCAGTATGATGATTAGAATTAGCATTTAATTAATTATGCATATTGAACAACTGCAATCCCACATAGATTCTATTACCTGGAATGCTACTGGATTGCTTACTATTTCAGATTCTTAGAACAAAAGGTATGTGCAGATGTCCCCTTTTATTGTATCATTTTCAATGATGATGTTTTAAGTTCTTTTAAAATTTACCAGAAGTGCAGTTTGTGAAATTAGATCAATTTTACTCTGATGCTGCCTGTGGTGAAAAACGAAAAGAAAACAAGAATTTGAAGCTCCTGGAATACAAGCTAGACTCTGCGTATCACCTGGATGTAATGCCTTATCACACATATGTCTTGCCTTTCCTTTACCTCAAGCTCTAAAAAGTTATTCCAGAGAATGATAGAACCTTCCTGAGAGGGCATTTTAATTTTATCAAAATACAAACTGTCCTGTGGCCATGACAACGGCTTTCTTACCTCATGCAATTTCTCTGTACAGCCACATAAGCCTTAACCAAAGCTTTCAGTAGATTTTAAATTGAATCACTATAATTCTCTGGTGTTTTTTCTCCACAATTCTTGGTACTGAATTATACAATTGTTACGTGTGTTAGAAAGTGGCTTCCTTTCAAGCTCCAGGGTAGGATAATGAGCAGACAGAAATTTGAGCAGCCATTTACTTTATATCCAGGTAGAATATTTTTAAACTTTCCTGTGGACATTGAGAATCAGAATCCCATGCTCGTAAGAATAAATTTCATAATCTTGGGTCAAGATTACAGACAATAGTCACTGACAGAGGAGACCAAACTTCACATATTTTTCATTTTTCTCCTTTCTCACTTTGTGTATGAAAATGCTACAGTAAGTAACGTCAGCTTTAATCCCAGACCACCCAATCCATTCTGTAGCCTGGATGAAGTTTCTAGACAAATGCAATCATGTCAATATCCAGTTTAAAATTATGCACAGTCCTCAAGATAAAGTCCAAGTTCTTTAACATAAATTCAAAATATTTTTCCATTTGGCATCTGCCTAGATCAGTGGCCTTAATTCTTGCCTCTCTTCTCCAGCCAAACAGAACAACTTTAAGGTTCTTAAACTTAGCCAAGTAGGCTTGGCATCCAAATTATTTATGCCACCTAGGTATGCTTCCTCTAATCCCACATTCCTGGCCTGGATAACCCCTATTCATCCTTCAAATCTCAACTAAGATGTGGTTTCTGATTGAGGCAGAGCAAGATGGCCAAATAGAAAAGCTATTAATCATCCCCCCACAGGAACACCAAATTGAACAATTATCTATGCAAGAAAACGCCTTCATAAGAACAACAACAGGCCAGGCATGGTGGCTCATGCCTGTAATCCTAGCACTTTGGAAGGCCAAGGCGGGTAGATCACCTGAGGTCAGCAGTTGGAGACCAGCCTGGCCAACATGGAGAAACCCCGTCCTACTAAAAATACAAAAATTAACCAGGCGTGGTGGTGGGTGCCTGTAATCCCAGCTACTCAGGAGGCTGAGGCAGGAGAATCGCTTGAACCCTGGGGGTGGAGGTTGCAGTGAGCCGAGACCCTGCCATTTCACTCCAGCCTGGGTGAAAGAGCAAGACTCTGTCTCAAAAAATAAAAATAAATAAATAATAATAAAAAAAGAACAACAGATGAGCAATCACAATACCTACTTTTAGCATAACAACAAGGAAAGACACATTGAAAAGGGTAGAAAAGATAGTCTTGCTTTACCTGTACTACCCATCCCCCAACTCCATACAGGGCAGCCAAGAGACAGAATCTGTGTGCTTTGTGGGAGGGAGAGCAAAGTGAGAGTGGACTTTGCATTAGAGCTTAGTGCTGCCCTGTCACAGTGGAGCACAACATTGGCACCATTCTATGGGTACCCACAAGGGGAATATTTAGAGCATCCCTGGGCCAGAAGGGAATTCCCCAACAGGAAGAGTCTGAATTCCAACCCGCTTCACCACTGGCTGATTAAAGTGGCCTAGGGCCCCAAATAAATTTGAGTGTCAGCCAGGCCATAGTGACTGCAATTTTTGAGTGAGCCCTGGTGCTGTGCTGGTCTCAGGAGCTGTGGTCTCAGTGTGCCACTCAGTTATAGCTTTTGACTTGTGGTCTATTTCACCTACTATAAGTATTGTCTCTTTTTATGTCTTTTGATATTGTTTATCTCTTCTTGTATTTATTATTTTTGATATAGTTATCTTTTAGTGTTTAAGGTATGAATGGATGTTCGTGATGCTTGTGGACATTCATTAATGTCTGCGTATTGGAAAGTTAGATAAGTATTCTAGTCTTCAGAGTCTGGCCTTGTTTGTACCCATTCTTCTTGAGAGGGCTTTCTAAAAATTCAAAGGGTATTGAGTGTTATCTAAACCTGTGGCTACTGCAGCACTTTGAGCACTAGGGGTTGCCCTAAGCCCAGGTATGCTGCAAATCTTGCAGACTGCTGGATACAGAGCCCCTGCTGGACCTGGAGAAGATAAGGGATAATTTCCTGGGTTCCTAGGCAAAGTCACTTGCTCTCTTCCCTCTCTTTTTTGTTTTTGTTTTTTTATAAAGGAGACAAAGAAGGTCACTATATAATGATAAAGGGGCTAATTCTTCAACAGTTTATAACAATTGTAAATATATATGCACCCAGCACCACAGCACCCAGATACATAAAGCAAGTATTATTAGAGCTAAAGAGACAAAGTGAACCCCAATACAGTAATAGGTGGACTTCAGCACACCACTTTCAGCATTACACACATTATCTAGACAGAAATCAGCAAGGAAACATTGGACTTAATATGCACTGTAGACCAAATGTATTTAATAGACTAATAGACACTTACAGAACATTACATTCAACAGGTTCAGAATACACGTTCTTCTCATCAGCACATGTAGCATTCTCCAAGATAAACCACATCTTAGGCCATACCACTAATAAAAACAAATTGAAAAAAAAGTAGAAATCACATCAAGTGTCTTTTCTGACAACAATGGAATAAAACTAGAAATAAATAACAAGAGGAACATTGGAAACTATATATGTATAGCTGGAAATTAAACATCATGCTCCTTAACAACCAATCAGTCAGGAAAAAATTAAGAAGAACATTAAAAAATTTCTTGAAGCAAATAAAGATGGAAATGTAACATTAAAAAACCTATGGAATACAGCAAAAGTATTACTAAGAGGGAAGTTTATAGCAATAGATACATCGAAAAAGTGAAAAGACTTCAAATAAATACTTACTGATGCACCTCAAGGAACTAGACAAGCAAGAAAAAGCCAAACCCAAACTTAAGAGAAGAAAAGAAATAATAAAGACCAGGGCAAAACTAAATAAAATTGAGACTGAAAAAATACAAAAGAGCAACAAAACAAAAAAATTTTTTTAATATAAACAGACAAAACTTTAGCTAGACTAACAAGAAAGAGGGAAGACTCAAATAAGTAAGATCAGAGATGAAGAAGGAGACATTAAATTGAGTTACCACAGTCATTCAGAAGAGCACTAGAGGCTACTATGAGCAACTATATGCCAATAAATTAGAAAATGTAGAAAAAAGTAGATAAATTTCTAGACACATAAACAATGTACCAAAATTAAACCATAAAGAAACAGAAGGGGGTGGTTCCAAGATGGCCAAATAGGAACAGCTCCAGTCTACACTTCCCAGCGTGAGCGACGCAGAAGATGGGTGATTTCTGCATTTCCAACTGAGGTACCAGGTGCATCTCACTGGGGCTCGTCAGACAGTGGGGGCGGGATAGTGGGTGCAGTCCATTGAGTGTGAGTCAAAGCAGGGTGAGGCATCACCTCACCTGGGAAGCACAAGGGGTCAGGGAATTCCTTTTCCTAGCTAAACAAAGCTGTGACAGATGGCACCTGGAAAATCAGGACACTCCCACCCTAATACTGCACTTTTCCAAGGGTCTTAGCAAATGGCACACCAGGAGATTATATCCCATGCCTGGTTTGGAGGGTCCCACACCCACGGAGCCTCGCTCATTGCTACCACAGCAGTCTGAGATCGAACTGCAAGGCAGCAGCGAGGCTGGGGGAGGGGTGCCCACCATTGCTGAGGCTGGAGTAGGTAAACAAAGTGGCCAGGAAGCTCAAACTGGGTGGAACCCACTGCAGCTAAAGGAGGCCTGCCTGCCTCTGTAGACTCCACCTGTAGGGGCAGGGCATAGCCAAACAAAAGCCAGCAGAAACCTCTGCAGACTTAAATGTCCCTGTCTGACATGTTTGAAGAGAGTAGTGGTTCTCCCAGCATGGAGTTTGAGATCTGAGAACAGACAGACTGCCTCCTCAAGTGGGTCTCTGAACCCCGAGTAGCCTAACTGGGAGGCACCCCCAGTAGGGGCAGACTGACACCTCACATGGCCGGGTACCCCTCTGAGATGAAGCTTCCAGAGGAATGATCAGGCAGCAACATTTGCTGTTCAGCAATATTCACTGTTCTGCAGGCTCTGCTGCTGATACCCAGGCAAACAGGGTCTAGAGTGGACGTCCAGCAAACTCCAAAAGATCTGCAGCTGAGGGTCCTAACTGTTAGAAGGAAAACTAACAAAAGAAAGGACATCCACACCAAAACCCCATCTGTATATCACCATCATCAAAGACCAAAGGTAGATACAACTACAAAGATGGGGAAAAAACAGAGCAGAAAAGCTGAAAATTCTAAAAATCAGAGCACCTCTCCCCTCCAAAGGAACGCAGCTCCTTGCCAGCAATGGAACAAAGCTGGATGGAGAATGACTTTGATAAGTTGAGAGAAGAAGGCTTCAGATGATCAAACTTCTACCAGCTAAAGGAGGAAGTTCGAACCCATCACAAAGAAACTAAAAACCTTGAAAAAAGATTAGATGAATGGCTAACTGAATACGTAGAGAAGTCTTTAAATGACCTGATGGAGCTGAAAACCATGTCACAAGAACTAGCTGATGAATGCACAAACTTCAGTAGCCAATTCAATCAACTGGAAGAAAGGGTACCAGTGATTGAAGATCAAATGAATGAAATGAAGTGAGAAGAGAAGTTTAGAGAAAAAAGAGTAAAAAGAGATGAACAAAGCCTCCAAGAAATATGGGACTATGTGAAAAGACAAAATCTACGTCTGATTGGTGTACCTGAAAGTGACGGGGAGAATGGAACCAAGTTGGAAAACACTCTGCAGGATATTATCCAGGAGAAATTCCCCAACCTAGCAAGGCAGGCCAACATTCAAATTCAGGAAATACAGAGAACGCCAAAAAGATAGTCCTAGAGAAGAGCAACTCCAAGACACATAATTGTCAGATTCACCAAAGTTGAAATGAAGGAAAAAATGTTAAGGGCAGCCAGAGGGAAAGGTCGGGTTACCCACAAAGGGAAGCCCATCAGACTAACAGCTGATATCTCGGCAGAAAGTCTACAAGCCAGAAGAGAGTGGGGGCCAATATTCAACATTCTTAAAGGAAAGAATTTTCAACCCAGAATTTCATATCCAGCCAAACTAAGCTTCATAAGTGAAGGAGAAATAAAATACTTTACAGAGAAGCAAATGCTGAGAGATTTTGTCACCAGCAGCCTGCCCTAAAAGAGCTCCTGAAGGAAGCACTGAACATGGAAAGGAACAACTGGTGCCAGCCACTGCAAAAACATGGCAAATTGTAAAGACCATCGATGCTAGGAATAAACTGCGTCAACTAACAAGCAAAATAACCAGCTAACATCATAATGACAGGATCAAATTCACATATAACAATATTAACCTTAAATGTAAATGGGCTAAAAGCCCCAATTAAAAGACACAGACTGGAAAATTGGATAAAGAGTCAAGACCCATCAATGTGCTGCATTCAGGAGACCCATCTCACGTGCAGAGTCACACATAGGCTCAAAATAAAGGGATGGAGGAAGATCTACCAAGCAAATGGAAAACAAGAAAAGGGAGGGGTTGCAATCCTAGTCTCTGATAAAACAGACTTTAAACCAACAAAGATCAAAAGAGACAAAGAAAGCCATTAAATAATGGTAAAGGGATCAATTCAACAAGAAGAACTTACTGTCTTAAATATATATGCACCCAATACAGGAGCACCCAGATTCATAAAGCAAGTCCTTAGAGATCTACAAAGAGACTTAGACTTCCACACAATAATAACGGGAGATTTTAACACCCCACTGTCAACATTAGACAGATCAATGAGACAGAAAGTTAACAAGGATATACAGGAATTGAACTCAGCTCTGAACCAAGCAGACCTAATAGACATCTACAGAACTCTCCACCCCAAATCAACAGAATATACATTCTTCTCAGCACCACATCGCACTTAGTCCAAAATTGACCACATAGTTGGAAGTAAAGCACTCCTCAGCAAATGTAAAAGAACAGAAATTATAACAAACTGTCTCTCAGACCACAGTGCAATCAAACTAGAACTCAGGACTAAGAAACTCAAAATCTCTCAACTACATGGAAACTGAACAACCTGCTCCTGAATGACTACTGGGTACATAACAAAATGAAGGCAGAAATAAAAATGTTCTTTGAAACCAATGAGAACAAAGACACAACATACTAGAATCTCTGGGACACATTCAAAGCAGTGTGTAGAGGGAAATTTATAGCACTAAATGCCCACAAGAGAAAGCAGGAAAGATCTAAAACTGACACCCTAACATTACAATTAAAACAACTAGAGAAGCAAGAGCACATTCAAAAGCTAGCAGAAGGCAAGAAATAACTAAGATCAGAGAAGAACTGAAAGAGATAGAGACACAAAAAACCCTTCAAAAAATCAATGAATCCAGGAGCTGGTTTTTTGAAAAGATCAACAAAATTGATAGACTGCTAGCAAGACTAATAAAGAAGAAAAGAGAGAAGAATCAAATAGATGCAATGAAAAATAATAAGGGGGATATCACCACCAATCCCACAGAAATACAAACTACCATCAAAGAATACTATAAACACCTCTATGCAAATGAACTAGAAAATCTAGAAGAAATGGATAAATTCCTGGACGCATACACTCTCCCAAGACTAAACCAGGAAGAAGTTGAATTCCTGAATAGACCAATAACAGTCTCTGAAATTGAGGTAATAATTAATAGCCTACCAACCAAAAAAAGTCCAGGACCAGATGGATTCTTAGCTGAATTCTACCAGAGGTACAAGGAGGAACTGGTACCATTCTTTCTGAAACCATTCCAATCTAGAGAAAAAGAGGGAATCCTCCCTAACTCATTTTATGAGGCCAGCATCATCCTGATACCAAAGCCTGGCAGAGACACAACAAAAAAAAAAGAGAATTTCAGACCAATATCCCTGATGAACATCGATGCAAAAATCCTCAGTAAAATACGGCAAACTGAATCCAGCAGCACATCAAAAAGCTTATCCACCATGATCAAGTGGGCTTCATCCCTGGGATGCAAGGCTGGTTCAAAATATGCAAATCAATAAACATAATCCAGCATATAAACAGAACCAAAGACAAAAACCACATGATTATCTCAATAGATACAGAAAAGGCCTCTGACAAAATTCAACAGGACTTCATGCTAAAAACTCTCAATAAATTAGGTATTGATGGGACATATCTCAAAATAATAAGAGCTATTTATGACAAACCCACAGCCAATATCATACTGAATGGGCAAAAACTGGAAGCATTCCCTTTGAAAACGGGCACAAGACAGGGATGCCCTCTCTCACCACTCCTATTCAACATAGTGTTGGAATTTCTGGCCAGGGCAATCAGGCAGGAGAAGGAAATAAAGGGTATTCGATTGGGAAAAGAGGAAGTCAAATTGTCCCTGTTTGCAGATGACATGATTGTATATTTAGGAAACCCCATTGTCTCAGCCCAAAATCTCCTGAAGCTGATAAGCAACTTCAGCAAAGTCTCAGGATACAAAATCAATGTGCAAAAATCACAAGCATTCTTATACACCAATAACAGACAAACAGAGAGCCAAATCATGAGTGAACTCCATTCACAATTGCTTCAAAGAGAATAAAATACCTAGGAATCCAACTTACAAGGGACGTGAAGGACCTCTTCAAGGAGAACTACAAACCAATACTCAACGAAAGAAAAGAGGATACGAACAAATGGAAGAACATTCCATGCTCATGGATAGGTAAAACCAATATCGTGAAAATGGCCATACTGCCCAAGATAATTTATAGATTCAATGCCATCCCCATCAAGCTACCAATGACTTTCTTCACAGAATTGGAAAAAAACTACTTTAAAGCTCACATGGAACTAAAAAAGAGCCCACATTGCCAAGTCAATCCTAAGCCAAAGGAGCAAAGCTGGAGGCATCATGCTATCTGACTTCAAACTATACTACAAGGCTACAGTAAACAAAACAGCATGGTATTGGTACCAAAACAGAGATATAGACAAATGGAACAGAACAGAGCCCTCAGAAATAATACTACACATCTACAACCATCTGATCTTTGACAAACCTGACAAAAACAAGAAATGGGGAAGCGATTCCCTATTTAATAAATGGTGCTGGGAAAACTGACTAGCCATATGTAGAAAGCTGAAACTGGATCCCTTCCTTACACCTTATACAAAAATTAATTCAAGATGGATTAAAGACTTAAATGTTAGACCTAAAACCATAAAAACCGTAGAAGAAAACCTAGGCAATACCATTCAGGACATAGGCATGGGCAAGGACTTCATGTCTAAAACACCAAAAGTGATGGCAACAGAAGCCAAAATTGATAAATGAGATCTAATTAAAGTAAAGAGCTTCTGCACGGCAAAAGAAACTACCATCAGAGTGAACAGGCAACCTACAGAATGGGAGAAAATTTTTGCAATCTACTCATCTGACAAAGGGCTAATATCCAGAATCTACAATGAACTCAAACAAATTTACAAGAAAAAAACAAACAACCCCATCAACAAGTGGGCAAAGGATATGAACAGACATTTCTCAAAAGAAGACATTTATGCAGCCAACAGACACATGAAAAAATGCTCATCATCACTGGCCATCAGAGAAATGCAAATCAAAACCACAATGAGGTACCATCTCACACCAGTTAGAATGGCAATCATTAAAAAGTCAGGAAACAACAGGTGCTGGAGTGGATGTGGAGAAATAGGAACACTTTTACACTGTTGGTGTAAACTAGTTCAACTATTGTGGAAGTCAGTGTGGCGATTCCTCAAGGATCTAGAACTAGAAATACCATTTGACCCAGCCATCCCACTACTGGGTATATACCTAAAGGATTATAAATCATGCTGCTATAAAGGCACATGCACACATAGTTTATTGCAGCACTATTCACAATAGCAAAGACTTGGAACCAACCCAAATGTCCATCAATGATAGACTGGATTAAGAAAATGCAGCACATATACACCATGGAATACTATGCAGCCATAAAAAATGATGAGTTCATGTCCTTTGTAGGGACATGGATGAAGCTGGAAACCATCATTCTCAGCAAACTATCACAAGAACAAAAAACCAAACACCGCATGTTCTCACTCATAGGTGGGAATCGAACAATGAGAACACTTGGACACAGGAAGGGGAACATCACACACCAGGGCCTGTTGTGGGGTGGGGGGAGGGGGAAGGATAGCATTAGGAGATATACCTAATGTAGATGACAAGTTGGTGGGTGCAGTACACCAACATGGCACATGTATACATGTGTGACAAACCTGCACGTTGTGCACATGTACGCTAGGACTTAAAGTATAATTTTAAAAAATTTTGTTAAAGAAAAAATAAAGAAATAGAAAACCAGAACATACTCATAATAAGTAATGAGATAGTAATAAAAACTCTCCCATCAAAGAAAAGCCCACGCCTAACAGAACTAAAGTCTGCTAAATAAAAGGTTTTCAAAAAAGGCCAGGACATACTTTCTTCATTGCTGAATTCTACCAAACATTTAAAGAACTGATACCAATTATACTGAAACTCTTCAAAAAGTTAAAGAAGAGGGAATACTTCCAAACTTATTCTATGAGGCCAGCATTACCTTCTATCAAAACCAGACAAAGACATAACTAAAAAGAAACAAAGAATACTACAGGACAAAAGCACTGAGGAACATAGATAAAAAATTCTCAACAAAACACTAGCAAACTGAATTAAGCAACACATTTAAAAATCGCTCATTATGATCAAGTAGGATTCATCCCAGGGATGCAAGGATGGTTCAAAACATGCAAATAAATAAATGTTATATATCACATCAATAAAACCAAGGGCAAAAACTGTATGATCATTTCAATAGATGCTGAAAAAGCATTCCATAAAATTCAACATCCCTTCATGATAAAAACCATCAAGAAACTGGTTATAAAAAGAACTTATCTCAATACAATGAAGGCAATATATGGCAAGCCCACACCTAGCTTCATACTGCATGGGGGAAAATGAAAAGTCTCTTTTCTAAAATCTGGAACAAGACAAGGATGTCTGCTTTCACTATTTTTATTTAACATAGTACTGTAAATCCTAGCTAGACCAATTAGACACGAGAAAGAAATAAAAGGCATCCAAGTTGGAAAGAAGTCAAATGTTCCTTGTTTGCAGACAATATAATCTTATATTTAGACAAACTTAAAGACTCTACCGAAAAAAAAAACTGTTAAAACTGTTTAATAAGTTCAGTAAAGTTACAGGATACAAAATCAACATACAAAAAGCTATAGCATCTCTACATGACAACAAAAAAAATCTGAAAAAAAGAAAGTTATTTCATTTACAATAGCTACAAAAAATACTTAGGAATAAAACTAACCAAACAAGTGAAAGATCTCTACAATGTCAAATATAATACATTGATGAAACAAATTGAAGAGGACACAAAAAATTGGAAGAGTATTCTATGTTTGCAGACTAGAAAAGTCAATATTGGCAAAGT
The DNA here is from genome assembly GCF_000001405.40 of Homo sapiens. Classification (NCBI taxonomy): domain Eukaryota; kingdom Metazoa; phylum Chordata; class Mammalia; order Primates; family Hominidae; genus Homo; species Homo sapiens. The sequence goes on along the minus strand of NC_000013.11, from coordinate 36,467,145 downwards.
GTTCGTGCTACCCAAAGCAACCTACAGTCTCAGTGCAATCTCTATCAAAATACAAATGACATTCTTCACACTCACACACAAAAAATTCTAAAATTTGGAAATATGGAACCACAAAAGACTCAGGACAGGCAAAGCCTTCTTGAGGAAAAGCTCCGAGCTGAAGACATCACATTACATGACTTCAAATTATACTACAAAGCTGTAGTAGCCAAAACAGCATGGTACTGGCATAAAAACAGACATACAGACAAATGGAACGGAATAGAGATCCTTATATAAATCCACACATTTATAGCCAACTCATTTGGGACAAAGGAGTCCAGAACCTACAATGGGGAAAAGACAGTTTCTTCAATAAATGGTGCTGGGAATATTGGATATCCATAGGCAGAAGAATGAAACTATACCCCTATCTCTAACCGTATACAAAAATCAAATCAAAATGGATTAACAACTTAAATCTAAGACCAGAAACTCTAAAACTACTAGGATAAATCATTGGGAAACACCTCAGGACATTGGCTGGGGCAAAGATTTCTGGAGTAATACCTCTAAAGCACAAGCAACCAAAGCAAAAATGAACAAATGGGATTACATCAAGTTAATAAGCTTCTGAACAGTCAAGGAAACAACAAAGTGAAGAGACAGCTTACAGAATGGAAGAATATATTTGCAAACTATTTAACTGGTGAGGGATTAATAACCAGAATACATAAGGCACTCAAACAATTCAATAGCAAAAATAATAATTTTATTTTTAAATGGGCAAAGATCTGAATAGACATTTCTCAAAAGAAGACATATAAATGGACAATAGGTATATGAAAAAATGTTCAATATTGCTATTCATCAGGGAGATGCAAATCAAAACTACAGTGAGATATCTCACTCCAGTTAAAATGGCTATTATCAAAAAGACAGAAAATAACAAATGCTATGAGAATGCAGAGCAAGGGAACCACTTTTATTCTGTGGTGAGAATGTAAAGTAGTACAACCACTACAGAAAACTGTATGGAGGTTCCTTCCAAAACTAAAAATAGAACTACCATATGATCCAGTAATTCCACTGCTGGGTATATATCCCAGAGGAAGAAAATCAGTATATTGAAGAAATATCTGCACTTTCATGTTTATTACAGCACCATTCACAACAGCCAAGATACAGAATCAACTTATGTGTCCATCAGTGGGTGAATGCATAAAGGAAAAGTGGTATTTATACACAATTGAATATTATTCTGCCATAAAAAGAATAAAATCCTTTCATCTGCAACCATATGGATGGATCTGGGGGTCCTGGTGTCAAGTGAAATAAGCTGAGCACAGAATGACAAATATTGCATGTTGTCACATGTGGGAGCTAAAAAAAAGTACATCTCATGAAGATAGAGAGTAGACTGGTGGTTACTAGAGGACAGGAAGTGTAGGGGAGGTGGATGGGGGTGAAGAGAGGTTGATTAAGGGTTACAAATATACAGTCAGATAGAATAAATAAGGCCTAGTGTTCGATAGATCAGTAAGGTGACTATAGTTTACAACAACCTGTTGTACATTTCAAACAAAAGAATAATTCAAATTCTAGTGTAAAGAAAAGACAAAAATTTAAGAGCAACTAGTCTAACTTGATCTTTACACATTATATGAATGTATTAAATTATCACATGTACCCCAAAAATGTGTACATATATTATGTATCAATGTTCCAAAAGAGCTAATTTTGTCAGAAAGAACATTTCTACCACAAAACATTTACCCGTAAAGGATTCTTTTGCAATGAAGAGCACTTATCTTTTCTATATAGTGAAGGTAAGTAGTGTTTAACTATCCCAGCTGCTGATGCTTCCTTGTGATTATTGTATTTGTTTTGAGATTTATAGCAGTAAAGAAGACATTAAGAAATGAGGTCCTGGAACCCTGCTGCAGTCCCAAGATATCAGTATTAAGTTTATGAATAATAATATTCACACACCAACAGATTAAGATAATAAACACCACCATCACTTTATAGTTAGGTTATCTTGGGATCTAAAATTACTTGCACTACATTGAGTAGTTAAGATTCACAACCCTCATCTTCCCATACTGAAGAGCTCGCCTTCTCTGGATATATAAGCCCTTTTGTGGGAAAGACAAGTAGATTGCTGTCACGCTCTGTGATTACCCCATAGAGCATGATGGCAATAACAACTCTATCCTCCCATTGATAGGAATTTGTTCAGAAATCCTTGGTTAGTATTATGATTGCTATATTATAATGAAAACATCTGTTCTGAAAATAATTTTGGCCATTATCTATAGCACTTACAATCTTTTACTTCTTTGATAATTTCTCTGCAATATTTAAAGACCTCAAAACCTAGGATGTTGGTCTTGCCTAAAATGGAGAACAAAGTGTAACTTAATCGCTCCCTCCTTCCATATCCTACTTCCCAATCAATCGTGTAAAAATGAGAGCAGCAGCAAGTTGTCCAACATTGCAGCACTGCACAACTCCAGTGTCACCATTTACCTTGTATCTCTGGTGTACAGCATAGGATACTATACGATGTGAATTGCACCCCTCAAGTTGGGCAACGTGGCAGAGGTAGACGTCTCTTTTCTTCAGGGATGTGAGCTTCAAGCTACTTACCTGGGATTTAAAACCAGATTCTGAAAATGTATGCAGGATAAAGAGTCTGGATTTTCACTTTTTTCAGGTTAACAATTGCATTTTTTCATATATTATGATTAGGTTTGCCAGACTTACTGCAACAGTAATGGATACTAGGAAGAAATATAGAGCTGTCCTAGAAAATTGATTAGTACTGGTCAGCGCAGTGATATTAATATACTGGCAATGACAAGTGGGACTGATGGATGCAATGTAAGTTTGTGCTTGCTTAAGAAGGCAAAGAAACCAGCACTTACCAAACACTGACTATGTGTCAGACAGCTTAATGTATATTATCTCATTAAGTGCTCAGAACAACACTGTAAGGAAAGCACAATTATTTCTATTTTAAAGTTGAAGAAACTGAGACTCAAAAAGCTTAAGGAATTGGCACAAGTTCTCAGAGCTCTTTGCACAACTTCATATTGTCACTCAAGTTAAGTTTAAGATGAGTTTCTCCTACACAACAAAAAAAAATAAAGTTAAGTCGTTACCAGCTTAGAATAGACTGTTGACATTTTATGTAAACCTCATGGTAACCACAAAGCAAAAGTCCCATGCTAGATAAAACCAGATAAAAAGTAAGAAACCAAAGCATACCACTAAAGAAAATTACTAATTACATAGGAAAATAGCAAGACAGGAGGAAAGGAATATAAGATCTACTAAAGGATCTACTAAACAGCAAAAAAAAAAAAAAAAAAAAAAAAAAGTAATGGCAGTAGCAAGTTCTTACCTGTCAATGATTACCCTGAGTGTAAATTGATTAAATTCTCCAATCAAAAGACATAGAGTGGTTAAATGAGTTTTAAACCCAATACAACTATGCTGCCCACAAGAGACCCATGTCTCTTTTAAGGACACATGTAGACTGAAAGCAAAGGGATAAGAGAAGATATTCTGTGCAAATGGAAACCAAAAGAGAGCAGAAGTAGCTATACTTATATCAGATAAAATAAACCTTAAGTCAAAAATGCTAAGATGAGACAAAGAAGGTCAATATGTAATGATAAAGGAGTACATTTTTCTAGAGCATATAACAATTGCAGATATATATGCACTGATCATCAAAGTTCATAAATATATAAAGCAAATATTAATAGATCTGAAGGGAGAGATAGACTGTAATACAATAATAGTAAGGACATCGATACACCACTTTTAGCAATGTACAGATCATCCAGATAGAAAATAAAGAAGGAAACATTGGACATAAACCACTCTTTAGACCAAATGGACTTAACAAACATACAGAACATTTTATCCAACAGCAACAGGATACACACGTGGAGCAGTCTCCAGAATAGATCATATGTTAGGAAACAAAACAAGTCTCAATAAATTTCAGATTAAAAACAGATCAAGTATTTCTTACAACCACAATGGTATGAAGCTAGAAATCAAGTAACAGGGAATTTTGGGAAATTTACATGTACATGGAAATAAACAACCTTCTTCTGAACAAACAATGGGTCAAAGAATACATTAAAAGTTAAATTTAAAAATATCTTGAGACAAATGAAAATGGACAGATAACATACCAAAACTTATGAGATGCAGCAAAAGCAATTCTAATAGGAAAATTTATAGCAATAAATGCCTATGTCAAAAAAAGAAGAAAGATCTCCAATAGACAACCTAACATTACACCTCAAGAAGCTAGAAAAAGAATAACAAACTAAGCCCAAAGTTAGTAGAGAAAGGGAATAATAAAGATCAGAGCAGAAATACATGAAATAGATAGTAGAAAAACAAAGAAAAGATGAATAGAAGGTGTTTTGAAAAGATAAACAAAATTGACAAACCTTTAATTAGACCAAAAAAGAGAGAAGACTCAAATAAATAAAATCAGAAATGAAAGCAGAGCGATTACAACTGATACCACAGAGATAAAAAAAATCATAAGTGACTATTATCTACAACCATATGCCAACAAATTGGAAACCTTGAAGAAATGGGTACATTCCTAGACACCTGAAATCTAACAAGACTCAATCATGTAGAAATAGAAAATCTGAAGAGATCAATAATGAAAAAGGAGAGACCGGGCGTGGTGGCTCACGTCTGTAATCCCAGCACTTTGGGAGGCTAAGGCGGGTGGATCACCTGAGGTCAGGAGTTCAAGACCAGCCTGGCCAACATGGTGAAACCCCTTCTCTACTAAAAATACAAAAATCAGCCAGGAGTGGTGGCATGCGCCTGTAGTCCCAGCTACTTGGGAGGCTGGGGCATGAGAATTGCTTGAACCCGGGAGGCAGAGGCTGCAGTGAGCTGAGATTGTGCCACTGTACTCCAGCCTGGGAGACAGAGGGAGACTCTGTCTCAAAGAAAAATTCAAAAATAAAAAAAAAATAATGAGGAAGGAGATTCAGTAATAAAGTCTCCCATCAAAGAAAAGCCGAAAACTGAATGGCTTCACTCCTTAATTGTACTAAACATTTCAAGAATTAATACCAATCTGTCACAAACTCTTCTCAAAAATTGAAGAAGAAGGAATACTTCCATACCAACTTTATGCGACCAGCATTACCCTGATACCAAAGCCAGACAAGGACTTTGAAAAGAAAAGAAAATTACAAGAAAAGAAATTTACAAGAAAAAGAAAATTACAGGCCAATATCACTAATGAACATAGATGCAAAAATCCTCAACAAAATACTACCAAACCAAATTCAACTGCACATTTAAAAGATGGTTCACTATGATCAAGTGGAATTTTTCCCAAAGATGCAAGGATGGTACAATATATGCAAATCCACAAATGTGATTCACCACATTAACAGAATGAAGAACAAAAAAAGAAACTGTAACATCATCTCAGTAGATGTAGAAAAATCATTTGCCAAAATTCAGCCTACTTTCATGATTTTAAAGGAAAAAAAAACCCTCTCAACAATTAGGTATAGAAGGAATGTATCTCAACACAATAAAGGCTATACATGACAACCCCATAGATAACATCATACTAAATGGTGAAAGTTAAAATGTTTCTTATCTCACACGAGATACTTAAATCAACTCAAAATAGATTAAAGACTTAAACATAAGACCTTAGTCTAAAAAACTGCTAGAGGAAAACATAGTTGAAAAGCTCTGTGATATTATTCTGGACAATTGTTTTTTGGATATAACTTCAAAAACACAGGCAACAAAAATGAATATAGACAAGTGATACTACATCAAGCTAGAAAGTTTTTGCACAGCAAAGGAAATAATCCATGGAGTGAAGAGACAACCTATGAAATAGAAGAAAATATTTACAAACCACACATTTTATAAGGGATTAATGTCCAAAGTATATAAGGAACTCAACTCAGTAGCAAGAAAACAATTACAATTTTAAAATGGGCAAAGTACCTGAACAGACATTTCTCAAAAGAAGATATACAAATTGCTAACATGTATATGATAAAATGCTCAATGTTACTAATCATCAAAGAAATGCAAATTAAAACCACAATGAGCTGTTACCTCACACCTGTTAGAATGGCTATCATCAAAAAGACAGAAGATAAGTTTTGGTAGAGATGTGGAGAAGAGGGAACCCTTGTACACGGTTGGTAAGATTGTAAATTAGTTCAGTCATTATGAATGATAGTATGGAGATTCTTCAAAAAATTAAAAATAGAACTACCATATGACCCAGCAATCCCACTACTGGATATATATTCTAAGGAAATGAAATCAGTGTGTGGAAGAGATATTTGCATTCCCACGTTCCTTGCAGCATTATTCACAATAGCCAAGATATGGAGTCAACCTAAGTGTCTGTCAACTTATGGATGAATAGATTTCAAAAGTGTTGTATATGCAATCATGCATCACTTAACAGTAAGGATGTGTGCTAAGAAATGTATCATCAGGTGATTTCTTTTTTTTTTTTTGGAGACTTAGTCTTGCTCTGTCGCCCAGGCTGGAGTGCAATGGTGCAATCTCGGCTCACTGCAACCTCCGCCTCCTGGGCTCAAGCCATTCTTGTGCGTCAGCCTCCCAGGTAGCTGGGACTACAGGCATGCATCACCATGCCCGGCTAATTTTTGTATTTTTAGTAGAGATGGGGTTTCACCATGCTGGCCAGGCTGGTCTCGAGCTCCTGACCTCAAGTGATCCACCCGCTTCGGCCTCCCAAAGTGCTAGAATTAGAGATGTGAGACACCATGCCTAGCCTAATTTTTTTTTTTTTGAGACGGAGTCTCGCTCTGTTGCCCAGGCTGGAGTGCAGTGTCGTGATCTCTGCTCACTGCAAGCTCTGCCTCCCGGGTTTACGCCATTCTCCTGCCTCAGCCTCCCAAGAAGCTGGGACTACAGGCGCCCGCCACCACGCCTGGCTAATTTTTTTGTATTTTTAGTAGAGACGGGGTTTCCCCATGTTGGCCAGGTTGGTCTCGATCTCCTGACCTCAGGTGATCCACCCGCCTTAGCCTCCCAAAGTGCTGGGATTACAGATGTGAGCCACCGCGCCCGGCCCCAGCCTCATTTTTTGAACATTCTGTTCAACATGTTACTATACTGAATACTGTTAGCAACTTGCAACACAATTTTATTGCACCTATTTGTGTATATAAACAAAAGGTACAGTGAAAAGAAGTATTAAAAGTTGAGTTAACGGTATTGGCAACTGCTTGGAATAAAGACAAGGAAAGAGTCCAAGATCCCAGGGTGTCTAGTATAGTACTGGTGTCATTAACAAGAGCAAACAAACAAAACAAAACAAAACAAAACAAAAAAACAGAGGAAAAGGAGGTTTGGGAGGAAAGATGATGGCCCAGTTTGGGATATATTGAATTTAGTTGATAATCTGTTAGTGGGTACATAAATAAGTAAATAATAAAATAGAGGTACTTATCTCCTCAAGTACACACAACCTAGTGTTTAGGGAGGTTGGAACTCTACTGTTTACATGTGTGAGTGGACAAGCAGCCTCACATCTCTGTTTCTCAATATCCTTAAATGTAAAATGATGATGATGGAAAGTTACTCTTGGGGATGAATCACAATCAAATGAGCTGGTATAAGTAAAAGATTAAAACAGTACCTGGCCCAGAGTAAACACTCCAGAAATGCTAGATATCGCCACTGTTATTTGTTCCTGTGGCAATAAAGGTCTCCTTCTCATCCCACTTTTGTGTGGAAGACAGAGATAGCAAAAGCTTCTGAGATGACTTAGGGCCTAAGATCTCTGGCACTCTTTGTGGGTAGCTCCAGAGGGCAATTCTATGTCTGTGGATGAAGAGTTAGTGTTGCTGTGGGAATCTCAGAGTCAAGTGCTGCAATATGCTCTAGAAAAGCGCAAAGTTTTGTGATTTGGTGGAGACAACCTGTACTAACTCTCAGGAGTCAATTGTTAAACGTCTGAGAATTTTGCCAGCCAGTTGTTGAACACAGCCATTATTAAAAATAAAATTGTAGGCCAGGTGCATTGGCTCACGCCTGTAATCCCAGCACTTTGAGAGGCCAAGGTGGGTGGATCACCTGAGGTCAGGAGTTCGAGACCAGCCTGGCCAATATGGTGAAACGCCGTCTCTACTAAAAATACAAAATTAGCCGGGCGTGGTGGTGCGCTCCTGTAATCCCAGCTATTCTGGCGGCTGAGGCAGGAGAATCGCTTAGAACCTGGGAGATGGAGGTTGCAATGAGCCGAGATCTCGCCACTGCACTCCAGCCTGGGCGACAGAGGGAGACTCTGTCTCAAAAATAAATAAAAAATAGAAATAACAAATAAAATTGTATAAGCTTACAAATAATTAAGTTATACTAGAAATAAGGTAATAAATGCTCAACACTCATAATTTTAATTATTTTTACTACATTTTAATATTATCTGTGTTCTTGAGGTTATTCTTATCTATTATATCCATAGGGTGGAAATACTGTATAATGACGTGCTACTCCACATCTCTCCACAGCATTCAATGATGTCACATTGAGAGCTTGAAATCAGCCATGGTGAGAATATTTATATCACAGAAGTTGATAACTGCTATGAATTTATTTATTGTTTTGTTGATTGATTAGACGAGAACATGGCAAACTGTAACACATAAAACAAATCTAGCCCATTGCCCATTTTTGTATGGCTTATGAGCTAAAGTGGCTTTTATATTTTTTAATTGTTGAAAAAAATTCAAAGAAGAATAATATTTTATGAAAACTATATGAAATTCAAATTTCAGTGTTCATAAATAAAGTTTTGTTGGAATACAGTCACGCTCATTGGTTTACATACTGTCTGTGGGTTGCTTGTGTGCTACAGAGGCAGAATTGTATAGACAGAGATAGTTGAGATAGAGACCATATGGCCTGTAGAGCCTAAAATATTTACTATCTGGCCCTTTACAGGAAAAGTTTTCCAGTTCCTTGTTTAAACTTAAGAAAGTGATGGATAAAATGTAAATAATGCAGATTAATCTTCTTAAATATGTTATGTCTCTGGCCATTGCATTGTGAATAGTGTTAAAAAATTGAGGAAATATTCTTCCAGCATTCCAGTCAATGACCAAAAAGTGATTTCCCACATACATCTTTGGTATTTTACTTAGTCTCATTCATTGCCTTAAATCAAAATATCCACTAACATTCATGTGAGAACTACATTTGTTTCTCAATGGCAACTGTAGATTGGCTATAGATTTTAAAATTTCAGCAAAAATTAGCAGAAGTGTTCTGTAAGAATCAATTAGCTATATGAATATTATATTTTTACTATTTATAAGTTGTATGCTACATATTCTTTACATTAGTACAATTCATAAGCATATGTACATGTACATAGGCATACTTTTTTTTCCCCCAGAGAGCCAGTTGTCAATTTTTGTTAGTTTTTTGTTTTTGATACGGAGTCTCACTCTGTCACCCAGGCTGGAGTGCAGTGGCATGATCTCGGCTCACTGCAACCTCCGCTTCCCAGGTTCAAGTGATTCTCATGCCTCGGCACGCTAGTACCTGGGATTACTCGAGCCTGCCACCATGCCCAGCTAATTTTTGTATTTTTTAGTAGAGATGGGGTTTTGCCATGTTGGCCAGGCTGGTCTCGAACTCCTGACCTCAGGTGATCTGCCTGCCTCAGCTGGGATTACAGGCATGAGCCACCACGCCCGGCCCAGTTGTTAAATATTTAGTAACATATTGCTGGCTCAGATCCTTTCCTCACCTTTTTGCATTCTTACCTCCCCTGGGAAATGGAAAAATCCCAGTTGATTCAGGGAGTTGGTGACCATTTCCTCTACAGCAGTATCATTCTGGTATTCTACAATGACAACAATTCAGGGACTGGATGACAACAAGTCTAGGGACTGAATGAGTTGAAAATGAAGATTAGACCAGGATCTCTCTGCGAGTCTTTTTCTTAAGATTAGGCTTAATAACAACCTATTATTCAATCTTAACAGAATTCCTGAACTGTGCCCGTGACTTCTCATGAGTTTTGGCTTGAATTATTTTCATCTGGGATTTCTTTTTTTCTTTTCTTATTCTCATTTCTCCAAATTGGCCTGGAATCTTGCCTGCTGGCACCTCTGAATCATAAAAATCTTTTGATAGTCCCCCAGGTGACTTACAAGCTTGGACATCACAGGTGACTTACAAGCTTGGACATCGTCTAAACCTGCCTAGTAGAATGCTTCTTCCTTGCTGCCCTTGCCTCAAAAAAGTTACACAAACTGAGACCCCAGGAGCCCTCGCCCAGATTAAACCCAGCCTCTGGGCAAACATTAAGTAAGAGACAACTGAAAGGATTACAAGCACTCCTTGTTCTCACTGAAAGTCTCTAACAACACAGACACAAGGGCATGCTGGAGGCCTCATTGCAGAACTTGGATGTTAATGCCTTAGTCATTCCTTCCTCCCTAAATTTGTTAAGGCTAAGATTATTGGGGTCACTCACAGAAAATGAACTAGCACAGCTAATTCAGCATTAATAATTAGGTGATGATATATTTATGTAAATACAAATGCATAAAAGCTTTGAATTGGTAGCATCGTAAGAGAAGAATATATTAACTGATTATTTTCTAAAGTGAAGGAAATGTATGCTGCTCATTTAGAAACTGTTCATTTCACCCAAATGTGCTTCTTGAGCAAAAATGTGTTTTAGGCACCAAATCAATGCTTTTATGTAATCATTTTAAAACTGGAGAGCCAGTTTAGATTACAACCATAATCAAAATTCATAGCGTGACGTTTTTTGAAACATTAGGTGTCTGAGAAAATTATCACACGACTTCACCATGGGACTGTGTTGCCAATTGATTTTAAAACTACACTGATGATCTCACAGTTAGCTTTGGGCCCATCATTGACTAACATGTCACATCCCACCTTCCATCAGCTAACTATGTTCTTGTCGAAAAAATGTGAAGTCAAATCTGCTTATGTTTTCTCAAACCAAGGAAAAACAGGGGGTGTAATGTTTTAAATTAAGCAAGGTTGTTATTCTTGTAGGTATAGAAGGACTTAAAAATAGTTTGTACCAACCCAGAGATCCCTTATTCATATTTCATGTATTAAGGTAGCTCTAACTATTATATTTCATCCTTTTGAAAGTTTCAGATTAAGCAATCTGTCTTTTCCTCCTCATGGATGACTTGCAAAAATAGTAAAACTTGTTTTTCCAACAGGTTGCCTAAAGTGACAAGATTCCTATTATGTAAGAAAAAAAATATATTGCTTATATTTAGTAAATTAATTGTTGCCCCAAAACACTCTCCTAAGGTTATAAAACTCCTCCTTAAAGCTGCTTATTAGAATGGAGATCCATTTTAGTAAAGTTACAAATTGTTCATGGCCAACAGTCACATCATTCAATGTGTTGTATAAATAGCAGTAGCTAATGTTTGGGAATAGAATATGATTATGACTTTTATGATATTATCACACAAATTTTGAATGGTTTATTTATATTAATAACACTGATTATTAAGTGAGAAGATGGGCTTGTATACTGAGGCTTGACTACATAGGATAAACATTTCTAATTCCAGGAATAAAATGAAGACATATGTACATGTATATCCATATATGTATCTATATCTTTCTATGCTTACACATATGCATTCATATCTATATAATCTGCAATGAGTTTGTTTTCCTCAAGCATAATTCAGTTTTACTGAATTAGACAAAACCCCCCGAAAAAGGTATTGTATCATCATCCAACTGATTAGAGTCTGAGTTTTACACTTTCCTTCAAGCACCTGACATTTTCTTCTTGTTCTGGCAGCCCCATTTTTAGTTCCTCCCTCCTGTTTGGCCAGAAATGAAACCTTGACAACATGCCACATTCCCCTGCAATCTGATTATAAATCACATCTGTGTGTCTTCTCAGCAGCAAGCAGGAGCTTCATGTGGGGCTGTCGAAAGCTACACAGCTGGAGCTAAACTGTGATTTTATTCAGACTCTGCAAGAGAATTGGGCAATTATAGGCACAGATAATAAATACACCTCCAGGAGAAAGGATAAAAGACAAAAGGGGGTCAAACAAAATAAAGAAGCACAGGTAGAGGGATACGACGTGGTCTCAGCTGCAAAGACTGAACAGGAGGTTGCTTCCTGTCAAAATTCACATCAGCACTTGGCCAGGAACGGGGTGAGACCAGAAAATGCTTCCTGAAGGAGACGATGCCTGAGGTGTGTCCAGAATCACTCACACTGATGCATAATGAAAAGATCATTGGACTTAGAACCAGAGATCCTGGTTCAAGTCCTGGGTCTACTACTCATTAGCTTTGTGATCTCCAGCAGTAACCATTGAAGCTAACAGTTATCACCTCCTACTGTGTATAGGCAAGCACTATGCTAAAATCTTTGTGTGCATTAACTACCATATGAATAAAGCCCAATTATTTTCATCTCCATTTACTGCTACGGAAACTGCATTACAGAGACGTTAAGTTACTTGAGTCAAGGAATGAGTAAAATAAGCAGATTTGAGCCATTGCCATGAGCCACCACTGCAAACTCTAAACTTGCCAAGAATTTGGTTAGTTTTCTTAAATATAAAATGAGACTAACAATGTCTGTCCTAGTCTCACATAATCTTGTAAGGATCAAATGTAATAATGTAGTTGAAAGTGCACTGAAAAATGTATATCCCAGAAAAATACAAGACCTTAATTCTTTTTCTAGCCACTGTAGCACTGAATGACTTTGCACTGTTGCTTCATCAACAGGTGCCATAACTATACTCCCCAGCCCAGAGCTACAAAAGTTCTTTGTGGTCATGTCGTGTGCTTAATGCCCAGAGGATATACTAATTGTTGGCTTCACCACCCATAGGACACACACCCCTGGATGAAAACCATTCTTGCTTAGATGCTCCCACTCCCAACACTGCAAATGTGATACCTGAAGCTCATGTTAGTCACAGGAAACACTACGTCATTAGGGTAGTGCTTAAGGATTCCATCTGGAGGATTCCATCTGAGGCCTGTCCATGCGCCAACTCCCTCCAACCTAAGCCCAGGTGTTGAGGAGTTATGATCTTGAACTTGGTTTTTCCATGGTTTCTGGAGTTCCTTTCTAGTTAAGCTTCCTAAGTTAAGGGAGAGGGGACAGTTGAGTTTACAGTACTGTGATATGGCCAGATCTGAGATGTTTGGCCTCTTGAGTTTAACGAAATAGAGAAAGAAGGAGAGAAAACCTCTGAGGGCCTCCCAACTGCAAGCAAGGCCTAACTCATGGACTCTCTTATCCGTCTGTCGTTGTGGGACAGACAGCTCTGAGCAGAGAGATGGTAACTAAAGACTAAATGCTGACTTTCTGCACATTTCTCAGAGTTATACTGCCACATAGAGGACACTGTGTGGTTAAAAGGAAGCAGGAGAGTGGCAGAGATGGCTCTTTCTCTCCAAATTCAGTTTGTTTGAGTGCAGTATAGATAATCAAATAGAATGGGACTTTTAAAAAAAATCCCATTATTTAAATTTTGCCTTGCTGTTTATTTCTAGCAGATGCGTAACGGTGAAGTCTAGAGTCCAAAGCAACCCTTGGAACAAAGAAGTTGAAACTGATGATCAATTCTTGAAGGTTCTAGTCTGAAACACCAGCCAAACTTTATTAAGCTCTTACATTTCCAGCACTGAGGTGGGTGCTATAGGCCAGTGCTTCTCAAACTTGAGTGTGCACACAAATCTTCTATCTTATTGAAGCACAGATTTCAAATTCAGTAAATCTAGGTTGGGGCCAAGGTTGTACATTTCTAAAAGACTTCCAGACAATGCTGATGTTGCTGATCCATGGACCACACTTTGAGCAGCAAGGCTGTAGAGGAAATAAAGAAAAGAGAAGTTCTGCTCTTAAGGAGCTTGTATTTTGCCACAAGATTGACTACTAATATTTGCTTGAAAGTATCAGTCTGAAGCTTTCCAGATAATTTTAAGGATCTTTGAATAAATCTCAATATATAGAGCCAAAATAATTCTCCTACAAGGAGTATTTGTATGTGTCTTGTGGAATCAATTTTTTTAAGCTGATGTTATGGAGTTACAAGTTTCAGAATTCTAGACTGTCAGATGTTAGTAACCCAAACTTTAGTTTTTCCTGAAAGTGAAAATATAATAAAATCACTAAGTGCTTAATAATACGAGACATTTAAAAGTATTCCAGTAATTTATCTTGTGTCAATATTTAATACAGAGCCCATCACTAACCTGGTGATTTGTATCAGCAGCATTCAACAATTTAACCCCAGGGGATTTGAGGAAGAAGGCTGCAGCTTTCCTGATGCCTCATTTGGACACAAGGGCAATGACTGTAATGCCAACAGGTCTAAGAAGCTAGGAATCTTCCTTAACAGCAGCTGAAGAATTCTATTTTTTTTTTTTTTTTTTTTTTTTGAGACAGGGTCTCACTCTGTTGCCCAGGCTGGAGTGCAGTGGTGGGATCATGGCTCGCTACAGCCTTGACCTCCTGGGCTAAAGCAGTCTGCCTGCCTCACCCTACCAAGTAGCTGGGACTGCAGGCATGTGCCACTATGTCCAGCTAATTTTTGTATTGTTGTAGAGATGGGGCTTTCACTATGTTGCCCGGGCTGGTCTCTAACTCCTGGGCTCAAGCAATCCTCCCACCTCAGCCTCCCAAACTGCCAGGATTACAGATATGAGCCACCATGCCTGGCCAAGAATTATTTTAAATTCTTCTATTTAAAATAAAGAGCTGGATAAAACTTTGAAAGGATTATAGAAAATTTACTAACAGGTAATTTAAACATACCCGTAAAAATCAAATTATAAATAATATAGAGGGCCAGGCTCGGTGGATAATACCTGTAATCCTAGCACTTTGGGAGGCTGAGGTGGGAGGATTGCTTGAGCCCAGGAGTTTGAGATCAGCCTGTTTGAGGACCTGTCGTTACGAATGAATGGAAGGAAGGAAGGGACAGAGGGAGGGAGGAAGGAAGGAAAGAAGGATGGAAGGAAGGAAGGAAGGAAAGAAAGAAAGAAAAAGAAAGGAAGGAAAGAAGGAAGAAAGGAAGGAAGGAAGAAAAAGAAAGAAGGAAGGAAAGAAAAAGAAAGAAAGAAAGAAAAAGAAAGAGAAAGAAAGAAAGAAGGAAAGAAAAAGAAAGAAAGAAAAAGAAAGAGAAAGAAAGAAAGAAAGAAAGAAAGAAAGAAAGAAAGAAAGAAAGAAAGAAAGAAAGAAAGAAAGCGAAAGAGCACACATGCATGGTGTTGCATGCTTGTAATCTCAACTACTTGGGAGGCTGAGGTGGGAGGATTACTCAAGCCTAGGATTTCGAGGTGGCTTTTGTGGCTTAACTGCTCTATAACCACAAATTTCCTTGCATTAGTTATTCTATTTCTGGGGGCTTTGATGAAGCTGTGTCTCCCTACCATTCTGCCACAAAGCCAAAGCTTTGGGCCTTTATGTCACCATGAAGCGGGTTTTGTTTTTCAGGAATTGAAGAATAAATCATTTTATTAAAAGGGCTTCTGAATTAGCCGGGCATGGTGGCGCACACCTGTAGTTCTAGCCACTCCAGAGGCTGAGGTGGGAGGATCACTTGAGCCCGGCAGGCAGAGGTTGCAGTGAGCCAAGATCATGCTGCTGCACTGCAGCCTGGGCAAAAAAGGGAAACCTCATCTCAAAAAAAAGTGAGGGGGCCTTTGTTTATGGACTTCAAAAGCAAGTATGATTTATGATACATCAGATTACATGCAAAATGAAGTTGTTGCTTATTAAATGGCAGCTCAGAAAGAGTTCTCTTTTGAAGGCAAAAATTTTCTCTCTAAAGCAGATAAACACATAAAGGCAAAAAAAGACAGTAAAACCCTGGACTTGTCCTCAAAAAGCCATTGGACTCCCAGTCTTCATCTAAGAAACTCCTTTTGTGTCAAGACTCTAACCAAAGTTTTGCTTTATCTGCCAACTTCTTATACAACAATAAATGTGCTAAGTATGAAGAGAATGAACTTTTTAATGGTACATTGATATCATATACTCTTAACCTTCAATTGCGATTTTTTTCTTTTAACTTCATTTTATTGAAATGTATTTTGAAAAGCTTTATACTTCCCAGATACAGTACTTTATAATTGATTGGATCAAGAGCTAGTGATTGTCTAGAAAAAGCATAATCCTTCCATTCATTCAACCAAATGTGGCTGACTCTCTAACTTAAAGCCAGATGCTGGGAGTCCAGGGGTGAAATGCATCTCCCTGTGCTCTAGGAGGGGAGGCAGGCAAGTGGCAGCCAGCCATACTGAGGGACGCTTTCCTGAAGCTGCCAGGGGAGCCGAAGCCAAAGATTAGCTCTGAAGAATCACCGCAGAGGTAGCCAAGTGGTAAAGGGAAGTGGCAACCATTTTTCAAAAAGAGAGAAGTGTGTGGGAGAGACCCAGGGGATGAAGAGTGTGGCCCACCCAGGGAACCACAGGTTAACTAAAGTGGGTGCTACTTGGGTGGGCAGGGTCTGGTGTGGGAAGGGACTGTGCACCCCATATTTTATCCCAATGATGATAAGACATTGAGGAATTTGATGCAGGAAAAATATATCATCAATTTCATTTCAGAAACACTGGAAACAGTGAAGAGAAAACCGAAGGGTGGTGAGATGGCTGCTACAGGGATTGATACAGATGAGAAATGACGGGCAGGGACAGCAGGAGGTGCAGAAAGAGATGGATTCAGGCCCCGGGGACATAACTCCTGTTACGCTTTATTTCAAGGAGAAATTCTAATTTGACGTTTCGTCTCACCTTTAAGCACCTTCTCCAGCCCAGCTCTTGCCCTAAATGTCAGAACTGTCACACCAAATTGTCCATCCCCAAAACACAGTATGTCAATCTTCCCGCTTCCCCAGCTCTTGCTTTTAGTGCTTGAGGGGGAAGTAGAGGGAGGAGAAATAAGGCAGAAATGAGATGCTGTGCTATTATTTAAAGGCCTAAATCCCTATGACCCCTTTCTGTTGTCCTTAATCATTCTAAAATAGTGCTATTCTCAAGATAGTATGCAGTTTGTGACCAGCAGTCAAACTTCTTACCCAAGTACTGTCAGGTTTAAGACATATAACAAAGTGAATTCTTGCTGACGTTTTCTTTCTTAAGCATTAAAGATTTTCCAGCCAGTTACTGTGGCTCACTGTGTAATCCTAGCACTTTGGGAGGCTGAGGCTGAAGATCGCTTGAGCTGAGGAGTTCAAGACCAGCCTGGACCACATGGTGAGATCCCGTCTCAACAAAATGTCAAAAAAATTAACCAGGCATGGTGGCACATATCTGTAGTCCTAGTTCTAGGGAGACTGATATGGGAAGATCGCTTGAGCCTGAGAGGTTGAGTTTGCAGTGAGCCTTGATCATGCCACTATACTCCAGCCTGGGTGACAAAGCAAGACCTTGTCTCAAAAGAAAAAAATTTTCCAAACAATCGAACAGAATCTCAGATCACTGAATTCCCATGGGCTGATATATGTATCTGAAAGAGCATACATTCAATTGACACACATTCACTGGTTGTATATTCTAATATGTGTTAGAAAACATGTAACTAGCATATCACATCCATTATTTCAGGAATATTACTGCTAAGAAGATGTTAAGTTAAAGTAAGTCTTTTTTGGGTTTTTTGTTTTTTTTTTTTTTGAGACGGAGTCTCGCTCTGTCGCCCAGGCTGGAGTGCGGTGGCGTGATCTCTGCTCACTGCAAGCTCCGCCTCCCAGTTTCACGCCATTCGCCTGCCTCAGCCTCCTGAGTAGCTGGGACTACAGGCGCCCGCCACCATGCCGAGCTAATTTTTTGTATTTTTAGTAGAGACAGGGTTTCACCGTGTTAGCCAGGATGGTCTCGATCTCCTGACCTCGTGATCCGCCTGCCTCTGCCTCCCAAAGTGCTGGGATTACAGGCTTGAGCCACTGTGCCCGGCCCAAGTTAAAGTAAGTCATTTTAAAGGTGACATCTAGATATGGAAGAAATAGTAAAAATGGATCAGTAGCTCAAAACTGAAAAATACTGACCCAATCAAATTTATCATTCACGAAGAGACAGAAGTTTGGGACACTAAGTGAGATGCCCACTGTGGCGAACACAGGCTGTTTATCAACACTAAATTCCCCTTTTGTACTGGTCCATTTTTTTTTACCTGAGACTGGGTAATTTATAAAGAAAGGAGGTTTAATTGACTCACAGTTCCACATGGCTGGGGAGGCCTCAGGAAACTTACAATCATGGTGGAAGGCAAAGGGGAAGCAAGCACCTTCACAAGACAGCAGAAGAGAGAGAAAGAGCATGTGAAGGGGCTTATAAAACCATCAGGTCTCACGAGAACTCACCCACTGTCAGGAGAAGAGGATGGGGGAAACTGCCCATAACCCAATCACCTACCATAAGGTCCCTCCCTTGACATATGGGGATTATGGGGCTTATAATTTGAGATGATATTTTGCAGACACAGAGCCAAACCATATCACCTTTCCTCCCAAGCCTGCAGCTAAATCATGTCTCCCAGCCCCCTGCAGTCAGAATGTGTGTGTCCCCCAACCCCCCAGCCCCGTCATGTTCTTTCTCTTTCCTCACCTGCCAAATACAACAATACCAGCGGGGACTCCTAGGGAAGGATGGCCATGTGGAGGCAAAAGCTCTCTTTCCCCAACACACACTGGAGAGTGACATGAGATAAGTCTTTAAGGTGGTGAACCACAGAGATTTGGGGATGGCTAAAGTGATTAGCTTACCTAAATGCAACCAGCATCACACAAGTAACAGCCAAGCTGGAATTAGGACCCAGGTATCCTGCCTAAGGGTCTTTGTTAAGGATAAATTCCTGGGTGAAAGGAGAAAGCCAGTACTTTCCTTTCATTCTCAGTTTCAATTCTCTTAAAAGAATGAGATGCCGAGAAGCACCCAAATTGCAGAAAGAACGTTTTAGATGACACAAGTTTAAAGTCAGTACTGTGACAATGAGATACTCATCTCCACAAGTTGGTAACAGGATGTTATTATTTCCATTGCAGACTGAAGCAAGGAGAGAAAAACCTTTCCAGTAGGGTTGAGCTTAATCAGATGAACCCAAGTTGACCCCATTCTCTCCCCTCAGCACCTGACCCAGACGTCTATCCAATGTCAGTTTGAGGCTAGGGCAGCGGAGCACAGAAAGCATCCTGGTCGTACTTTCCTGTCATGCTTGGGTCTAACTCCATCCCGAGCTGCTCGCAGAAGCAAGGCGACACATAGGCACAGCCCAGCAGCTTGTAGGTGCAGAGCCCAAGCTTCCACTCTGAGCTTCAATGTAAGTAAGTGTCCTGATGCACCGTCTCCATTAGCTGAGTCTGCGCTTGATAAAGGGCCAGGATTGGCTGCTCTCCCAGCCTTGGGTACTGTGCAACTTTGCAACAGTCTATGTAATTAAAAGGAATTCCATTTGTTCTACGGCAGCCCAACAGCAGATTTCCTGCTGGGATTGTAGCTTTTGGTATTCTCTTTCTCCCTTTGCTTACAAACCAGAGGGAGAAAAAGTGGTTTTGTTTTTTAATGTGATAGCCCATACGCTGATCATAAAGATGGGATGTCTGCAATGGATGTAAGTCCCTGTCCTACAGGTAATACTTGATATTGCAGGGAAAGAGCAATCAATGTCAAGGGTTAAACCCGGGGAAAGGGGGAAGGATATTTAGGATAAAAAGTTAATAGAACTATAAATCAGTTGAGAACATTTCTGCACTTGCCGTGAGTGGGCTGAAACTGCATAACTATCCACCATTCCCTGGTGTGTTTGTTGCAAAGTGGGAATAGCTCTCCCTTTTACCAGTTAGCTAGTCAAATTTCACAGGTAGCAACAAGTTGATGCAAATAATTGTGTCTTGATTGATGTGAGCAAACACACGGAGATGCTCAGCAGGATATCCAGCCAGACTGAAAGGGAGGAGACAACTAAGGAGAAGCGAGTACCCATCGGCCTGGGCAAACACCTACTCCGGTCAAGTGAATGGGCCCATCAGCTCAGTCAGTCAACTTACCTGCCTCAGAAAACTTCATCTTCTTCAAGAACATTCCATCCACAGACCCTGCTTTGACTCAGTTACCCATGGCCTCCTTCCCAGGTCCTGTGTCCTCATGCTTCTCCCCTCAGGCCTTCTCCCTCATTACTCTGGCTCACTGAGCACTGACCATTTAGTTTTTCAAAACTCACGATCAAGTCCAGGAATCACTGATGAAGGACATATTAAACAATTTGCTGCCTAAAGTCAGTTTCTATTCATCCTGTGATGAATGGGACATCCTCCCTGGGGTAACAAAAACCATCCTAGGAGACCTGGGTCTTGTACATGGGCCTTGCCCTGGAGCCAGGATGCCAGTGGGGCCAAAGGCATGAGCTCTGAGGAGCACCTCCCCCACCTCGGGCCCCATCCCCACAGTCCAGACACACGGAACATAAAGCCTGGCTGTGGCACCAGCAAGGGCACTCTCAGCAAAGAGTATACACGTCCGTTTCCAAGTTTTAGTGGTAAAATGTCTAGATATTTTAACTCTGGTGGCAAAAACATACTGGGAAAACAGAAACTGAACAGTTTGAATATATCCATATAATTTCTAGGGCTTTTGCTCCTGATAAAAGGTTGGCAAATGCTTTTCCTATAGTTCTCTCTCATGGCTCACTTCAATAGGAGCCCCTACGTTCATGATCATGCATGAGTTCCTCAGAAAGGCCTGGATCTGTCTGAAGTCACAGGTTAAAAAGCCTGCAGAGGCAGACAGGTATGGCACTCCCACACCCACAGCCCTGTCTGAACCAATTTCCATTGCTGGCTGACAAGGAGTGGGGTAGGAAGATGTGGGAAAATCAACAGAACAGATAATCATGGTGTAGTCATATAAGACAATACAATAGTATAAATAACTAGGATTCTACTTATTCATATAATCTCAAAAAACAATGCCACCTAAGATCCCTATCACTGAAGGATGTGAGAGTCAATAACCATTACATTTTAAAAACAAACATTATTGTTTATGGACACATTCTTATGATGTATAGTCATGCATCGCTTCACAATGGGGATATGTTCTGAGAAATGCATTGTTAGGCAATTTCATCACTGTGTGAACATCATAGAGTGTACTCACACAAACCTCGGTGGGATAGTCTGCTCCACACCTAGGCTGTGTGGTATGGCCTCTTGCTCCTAGGCTACACACCTCTACAGCATGTTAGTGTACTGAATACAGTAGGCAGCTCTAACACAATGGCAAGTATTTATGTATCTAAACATATCTAAATACAGGTAAGGTACAGTGAAAATACACAGTATTATAATCTTATGGGACCACATCATATACACAAATCATTGTTGACCAAAACATCATTATATGGCACAAGATTGTATAAAAATGATGCACGGATTTGATCAACACCAAATTCAGGGAAGAAAAACAATGAAAAGAAGGCACATGCAGGCTGCTATTCCCTCTGAAACTGGGCGGGAGATACACAGGTGATGGTTATATTTCTATTTTTAGATAAAGTATTTCAGAGACATAAAAAAGCACTAAGAAAGGGAAGTCTAAGATAAGGGTCAGGCCTTCGCAATCAGTGGGTGTGTGTGTTGTGGGATGGAACGGGGTTTGGGCAAACCACTATCAGCAAAGAACATAAAAGTTACGTGTTCAGTCCTATAATATGTTTTTGTAATTGAGTCTAAATTTTGCATTTGGTTTTAGAAACAAAAGCTCCTTTGTAAAATAATTCACAGTGGAGAACCTATTTCTACAAGGTCCCCTCTAGCTGACACAAATCATTGTAAAGTAAGAATACTACCAGTGAAAGAAAATGTTATTGTGTCTGGGTCCACTTCAAAACAAACACACATATCACAGGAAAGTGATCAGCCAATACAAGTGTGTAAAGGATGAGAGGAAGCTTCCCTAGCCAAGTCCAAAGCCTTAAGGCTTGAAAGGGACAAACACAGCACTTCTACCACCAAAACCTTACCCAGAATTGCCCTCAAGCTGGACACAGGTGGCACACACCTTAGTCCCAGCTACTCGGGAGGCTGATGTGGGAGAATCACTTGAGCCTCGGTGGTCGAGACTGTAGTGAGCCATGATTGTCCCACTGCACTCTAGCCTGAGCAACAGAGGGAGACTCCGCCTCAGAAACAAAACAATAAACAAACAACAACAACAAAAAACAGAACTGCCCTCTCCCACTCCCCACTTGGGAGGAAGCAATTTGTCTGTCATCCTTTTGAAGTACAAAAGGATAGTTGGAAAGTTCAGCTTGTTCATGCAGTGAACAGAAACATACATAGTCATATATTAGAATATGAAATAACGAGTTATTAATCATATAACATAAAAACAGAATTCAGTATTAATACAGGTCCTGTATCCCCTTTGTGAACTGTGTGCAATAAATGTCAAAACATTTAGGGAAATAATTTCTTCACTGGACCCAGAAATGAAGACACCTTGAGAATGTTTATCTGCTGGGAAAAAAAAGCAGGGTGGAGGGAATGTTAAAATCTTTTAAGAACTTGTGGGTACTTAAAAATTTTTTAAAGACTTCATAAAATGTGGCTGTATTTTTATGTTTATAATTTCATTAGAGCTTGAAAGAAACAAAATCTGCAGTGAATTTCATCTATATCCATTTCACCAAAACGTGCCTGAGTGTAACCTCTTCTATGTAAAGGAATCTAGAAGACATGGATTTCTTATCTCCTTGAGAGGTTTTGGAGATAGAAAAAGCAAATCATGTCTTCGGGACCGCCCCATGGAGTCCCCTCTCCAGAGGCCCCTCTGCAGAGGCACACATAGCCCAGAGAGCTCAAGAACTACTGGTCCAGGGCAACTAATTTTGGTGATAACAAGAGCACAGTGCAAATTCACATTTAATCCCCAAAAAGCACCACCCACCCTCAAGGCCAAATCTACTCATTTTTCCTTCCAATCTTTAGAAGAAATTCTAAACAATTGTTTTGTTTTCCATTTTACCCATCTTGTAGCCTACGTAAGTGCTGGGCAGACACATTGGCTCACGCCTGTAATTCCAGCACTTTGAGAGGTCAAGGTGGGTGGGTGGATCACTTGAGCCCAAGGGTTTGAGCCCAGGAGTTCAAGACCTGCCTGGACAATATGGCAAAAAAACCCACCTCTACAAAAAAAAAAAAAATACAAAAAATTAGCCAGGTGTGCCGGGCGTGGTAGCTCACACCTGTAATCCCAGCACTTTGGGAGGCTGAGGCAGGTGGAACAGTTGAGCTCAGGAGTTCAAGACCAGCCTGAACAACATGGCGAAACTGTCTCTACTAAAAATACAAAAAAATAGCTGAGTGTGGTGGTGGACACCTGTAATCTCAGCTACTCGGGAAGCTGAGGCAGGAGAATCGCTTGAACCCGGGAGGCGGAGGTTGCAGGGAGCCAAGATCATGCCACTGCACTCCAGCCACGGTGACAAGACTGAAACTTCATCAGAAAAGAGGAGAGGAGAGGAGAGGAGAGAAGAGAAGAGAAGAGAAGAGAAGAGAAGAGAAAACATATATAGATTAGTGAAGTAAACTGTAGATCATGAAAGATCATGAATAATTCAAGCCATACCAAAGCTTAGGGTAGAGGTCTCCCAGGAGACACAGTTGGTGGGTTGGGTTCATTATTCTGATGTTCCTTCCGAAGGTGAAATTTGCTTTTCTACCTCCCAAAGCAAGCATCTTCTAAGACAGAAATATATGCTTAATGGGTGCCTAAATCAAACCTGATCATAGACATAATAGCAGCCCTGTACAAATGAGCATGCTATCCTTGGATTAGAATTAAATGTCAGTGACCTCTAAGAGCTATGTGACTACATTTGGGCCTCAACCCCTGTCTTACTGACTAGGATGGTAGAGTGAAGCTAGAGCAGGCAGCGCATATTCAAATCTCTTCACCCATCTGTCTACGCTGTCCCTTCCTTCCTTTACTAATCTATGGCGAGCTACCTGGGGAATAAAGAGACAGGAAGGAAAAAAGCCTCAAAGCGGCCATTTACCAAACATGAATATCCCTGGATGCCTTGGAATACTTAATCCTAATAGCATGCCACGTTTACAAAACCAGTTTTGAAGAATATTTGAAATAGACATAACACTTTTAATACTCTCAACAAACATTCCAGACGAATATGTCAGCCATGATAATTAGTAAATAAATCTAACACATGGTCATAAGACAAGCAGTTTATTGTTTAAAAAATGTTGGACTATATTACAAACTACTAAAGTCTAAGGGAAACTAAATTCATTTACATTTTTAAAATGTCATCTATATTGTAAACAACATTAGTTGATCCAACGTGCAGAAGCCTATGACGATTATTGGCACTTCTGATATGGAGGTGAAGTTCTGGAAGTGCTTCCATTCAGAAACTTATTGTAGAAGAAGAACTGCAGGTGGCTCCATGAGGGACACACACAGGTACCTGAAACAAGACCCAAAGCAAGGTCAGCACAAGCCAAGGACTTTGGTTTGATAAAATCTCAGGTCACAGAAAACTTTCCAGTAGTTTTAACAGAATGGAAGGAAGGAAGCTGGCTGACTACAAGTATTAAAAGCTGACAAATTATAAATCTAGGTCTTTTCAAATTTATTTGTAAATTTGTACACGTACCCTTACTTTTCCAACCTGGCACCAGATACACAATTTAATCTATTTTTAATCTAGTAACCATTACTATAACCCATTAAGCTTTAAATAGAGAGCTAAGATATGAAAATGTCAGTGACTTACTTTGAAGCCTTGTACTTCTCCCTAATTGCTTGCTGAGGTCGATGGGGTATATCAAGGTACGCTTTATGAAGCTCACTCAGGCAAGGCACAATTTCACTTAATGAATACCCTGTAAATGCAGCAAGGGTTTCTGGCTAATCAAGACAAAAGAAAAAAATTGCTTCACATAACTTTATATTAGATATCCGAAGATAACCAATTTGAAATAAAGGGAATTAGTCCCTTAGTAAATATTCACATTCATCTCGAAAGAGACCAGAACCCCCTTCAGAGATTTTAGATGTAAAATATCAGAAAGAACAGCCAAGGCTCTAAATTTTCTCATATTATAAATTTATAATGCTCAATTTGGGGCTGGATCACTTTTTCCTTGTTCCCTCATGAGTGAAATTTTTACTGGTCCTTATAGAGCCCTGCTTGCCTGACCATTCTATTTGTACACAACATGAAAAATTTTTAGTCAAAACACTGCAGTGCTGGAATAAGAATTACTTAAAAAAAAGTAAAAGAAAATTTTTAAAAAAAGAAAATGCAGCAGAAAAAAACATAAGCATTCATGAAAATAAGGGTAGACACCCCACTTCTTTTAGTACAACAGTGAGCCTTCAGAACCAAACCTAGGGGTCCATTTCTGATGTTGCCACCTTCTTGGGCAAGAGGCAACACTTTACTGCCCTGTTGTCTTGAAAGCCTGAGGTGCAATCTTCTGGCCATCCTAATTGGACCTAGGTTTTTGTTTTTAATATAGAAGGTAAAAGTCAACAACTTTTGCTTGAAGCAGTCAATGATTGTACCTCAAGGGCCCTCCCTGAATAACAGTGGGCACTGAGGTTCCCAGGCCTGCTTCTGTTGAAGGAGCATGTGATGCTGTCTCCTTGACTTCCTGCAATCTCAGTCCTCATAGAGTGAAGCCATTGAGTCAAAGCCATCATGACTGACCTGGAAGACTCAGTGGCATGTTGTGGTCTGCTGTCAAGTTGACCAGATCCTTATTAAACTAACTTGCCCTCATAAGAGGCAAGCCCATTCTAGATAGACCTTGAATTTCATCTAGAAAGAAGTTAGAATCTTACCCAAAAGTGCTTGTTCACAGTATAGTTTGCCAGGCAAAAAGCTGCTGCAGCTATCAGTGAAGGAAGATATTTCAAGAATGGATCTGCTTCAAGTAGACTCAGCTCTGCTACGTACTAAGCACAAGAGAAGAAAACACATTGGAATTAGAAATGTGACTAAGGTCACAAGTAAGCCTGGAAATGGCAAGGAAATAAATGGTATCTTATCTTTGTTCAGTCGGCATCTACAAAAATAGATGCTCAAAATTACTTACTGGGTTAGTAATTGGTATGCCTGTCTATAACAACAGTAACATTTATGTTTTGGTAAAATGTCAATACAAAAGTATTTGGCCTACTCAAAGTATAGGTGATAGGTTACTTTTCTTATGCTAATAGTTTAGGTTTATGCTGAGATAAAGTGGTACTGCTCTGGCAGCTGGAATTGGAACAGAGATTTTAGCCAAAAGACAAAAATATTAAAGCTATTAATCTATCAGGCAGTTCAGAGACTAGGACAGCACCAGTGGGAATATCTCATATTAGAAGAAACATAGTAAAACATGTGGACATCCTTATTACCCTTTGCACAGCACATAAATACCAGATATCCTAGATTATGGTCACTGGAAACCCAGTTGACCAAAGCAATACTTCAATGCCTTCAACTAAAGTTCTGTAACTCCAAACAACCAAATAATGCTCATTACTTAATATATTAGGATGAGACTAAAACCTTATTAAACTAGATTTACTTTGTTCCCACTCTATAAACCTAGGAGGTTTTGCTTGTATGTGGTCTGTATCCAATAAGAGAACAGTTTCCAAGCTTAAATTTTTAAATAGTTGGGTGATTAGACAACCCGTGCCTGCCAAATATAGTCAATAGTAATGCCTTATAACCAAAAGCTGGGTTCTTAAAATTAGCTCTTTTTCAGCACTGGAACAGTTTTTCTGGGCCTGTGGGAAGAAAACTGAAAAGGAAAAAAGAACTGAAGGATGATTGGGAAAGGTTGATTTTTACGCTCCTTGGCACTGGAAGTTCCTAGAAATCACGCGGCATACACACCTTAGCCAGGTTCTCAGTCCTGACGCACACTCCTTGTCGCCTCAAGTACTGAAGGAGAAACTGGTTGGTGGTTGGTACTGTCAGATCAAAAGCTAGAACTTTCAGAAGCAAGTGTTCCATTTTTAACAGTTGTCGTTTTGTGTATGTATCATCGGTGATATAGACAAACTCGTCTACTTCAGGAGGATATATCTCTTCATATTTCCTGGGAAAGGAAGAGTTTTCAGAAGTAAAACTTAGAACCTTTGGCTCTACTCCTGTGCTACCATAAGCCACGCCTCTCCGCATGGCCCTTGCAGACTTACTTTGCAGCCACATATCCACTTAAATACCACTAAATGACTCAGGGCTATGAAAGTACTAGGAGCTTGTTTCTGGACCAAGAACATGATTATCACAAGGATAGGTTATATTTACTGCTAGGAGTAGTAACAGAAACAATTTCCAACCAAGAATTTTAGGTTTGGGCCTGTGATACACTGAAAGATTCTGAATGACAGACACTACAGGTAAATTCCTACACATTCTACAGACCTCAAATCACTTCATAGAAAAAAGTGTTAAGATCAACACAGTGATAGAAACAAACTCCACAGGCCTCTAGTTTTTAAAAAGATGCTGTTCAACTTTGTCCACTGAATTAGCAAATGATGCTTATAGCCAAGAGACATAATGATATAATTTCACTATGATCAATTCTTTCCTTCTGCCTTTGTTTCTACTTTCTTTAGGGGAATTTTGGCAAGTTTTTCTGCATTAACAATAGAATGTTTGAGACCAGAAGAACAGAAAAGAAACTACCACTCAGCAACAGGTCACTTAAAGGTAGCTCAGCCACAACCCAGCTCTCTTTTCCCACACAATTAGGTACTTTCATGAATGAATGATAGTAACAGGAACCAGTTGAAGTAGTTTATTCACTGTAACCAAATAAACCTGTTATTATGGGTCATTTGCTAGATCATGAAGATAGCTTTTTGTAACCACACTGTCTTTAAATAGGACTTAATAGATAGGAAATAGCAAAAAGACTACACTGCAAAATAGTTAAATTAGATCCTGAATTTGAGATGATGGCTGCCTTAGTCATGACACTGAACTTGTTGCTATAAATCATAACCAGGTGATTGAAGAGTAAACATGTGGTAAGTTTCAGTTTCTCAGTCAATCCTGTGAAGAGGATGATCTTTTATCAAAGGACACATGACTAGTTTTAATTATCAAGCATTGCATTTCTTCAATAAGAAATAGAGGACAAAAATTCCATGTTTTGACAAGTGATAGTTTCATATTATGCAAGCTGAAAGAACACTTACGAAGCCAAAAGCATAGCTGCTGTTCCTACGAGCTGCAGTTTCCCTCTCAGAACAGACATACATGAAAGGAACCTGTCCAGGAAGTTGACAGCCAGATACAGGGTCTCTGCTCGAAGTTTATATTCTTCCCCAACCTCCACCAGCCAGTCCACCAGAATCGTGCGCATGCCTTCCGTGATGTCTGGCTGCTTCTTCATGTAGTGTGCTTTGGGTCTGTGCCTTATCTGATTGGGAAAAGGTTTTGATATTTAGTAGTTGCAATTTCAGAAAGATCATTCCACAATATAGTTGCTATTTAAAAATCTCACAAGCAAAGGTTGGAAAGATTCTGATCAGAGCCAAATAAATCTTTATCATAACAAGGAAGAAAGTGTAAATTTCTGGTTCTGTAAAGTAATTGGTTAGCAAATTAACCTGGGGTTGGGGGGGCAGGGGAGAATGGCAATATGAATTATTCCTAAGAGTGAAATATTTAACATATAAACCCTTTGAATCATGTAGAAATAGTCCAAGCAATTGCGACTTGCCATCACAACTATTATTTTTCATAGATATTCTTATGTTTAGCTGGCATAAGAGTGCCATTCACTAGTGGTTATGGACCAAGAGTTTATAATTTATCTTAGTAATAAGAGCTCGGGTCCTGAAGATTGAAGTAGAAGGTGGGAAAACTTACTTCAGCTTCCCTAAGGTACTGATAAATTTCTTCAGCATATTCAGTCACATTTATCACATCTGTGCCAAGACTGGATATATCTTCAGACTGGGAGAGGAGAGATGAATCTACCAGCATAGGGGAAACTGCAAGAGTTCAACACTGTCAGATAACTCATTTAATTTAAACATTTGTTCAATCCACTAACCCTCTACAGGCAGTTGTGAATACAGTTATTACTTGCTGTTTTTCTCTTGCTAGTTACTAGCTATTGAATGCTGCAGGCAGTTATAAATACAGGGTACCATCAGCCATCAACCATAGGCAAGTCAGTTACCTGTGTTGAAATCCAGCAGGAAGTGCAGGTCTGACTTGAGTGTGCCGGTGTCTACTTCATACACATCCTCAAATGCCATCCCCTCTCTGACCGAGCAGCTGTCTCTGTCCCCCTGCTCTAGTTCATCCATGTAGATGTCAAACCCTTGCTTGGGGGGCTCTTGGACCCCACAGTCAGGGAGTGCTTTCTTTCCAGCTGGAGGGAAGGCATTTTCTGATCCAGAATAACACCTGATTCTTGTGATCCCCTAAAAAACGTTTAAATCTTTTGTTAGAGGCCACGTCAAAGACCACAGAGGCAATGTGAACCTGCATGACTCAAACCAACAGCCTGGGAAGGTAAGATACATTCTAAACTGAAAAATCTATGTCGGCAATTTAATTCCAAAAAAAAAAGGTCTTCAAAAGTGTAATTTTTCCCCCCTTATCTTTGTCTACATTTGATATTTGGAGAAAGAGCTACCTAAAATTTTAATCTACCTCACATATGTATCAAAGGAAACTCAAGATTGTAGAAAAAAGAAAACCTATAGCTCTCTTCCAAAATGAAATGGGTACCACATATAAAGGGAAAACTGTAAATTGGCTTTCATATTTATAGCATCATGAGATTTTATAAGTAGTCAGCATAACTCTTGATGCAGTGACTGAGTTCCTACAATTCCCCTCCTTAAATAAATAACTTTTTAGCCAGAAGGCCCCTATAATGTTTCCATTTTATATCCACTTATTAAGAAACACGATTTTGGAAACTGATGCTGCTAAATTCTCTTACAAGCCACAGAACCTTTACGTATGACATAATGCATTTACTCTTGGGGAAATTTCTTAGTCACTTCTCCTTTTTCTCTATTCTTATAACATGAACAATGGGAACAACTGTGGTGCCGCCACAGTGAACAAGCATAATGCATCAAACACTGTTGCATATTAAGGTGAGCCATGCCAGATGGCATGAATGTCAGCTGAATCAGGGCAGGTGGGCAGCTCTATGAACCTGAGCTATATTTACGCAAATGCCAGCTCTGTCTACCACATTAACATTTTGTTTATAATGTATCTTGGTGTGTACTGTTGAAGGCTACTTCTAAGTTAGTAGGTGGTTCCATAACTCTCCCTTTTATTTATCAAGTTAAATAGGTGACTTATGTCTGTAAGAAAACGAACACTTATGGTAGTAATTGGGGGGAAATCACAAAGACAACAAAGAGTCACAATCATAAGTTACTGTAACCAGATAACCAAGTTACTGCGAAGTTTGACTCTTGCTACAACCACAGCTCCAAGTTACTGCCAGGTTTGACTCTTGCTACATAGATACTGTGTCCATAGGCTGGGACATATATTTAATAAACAAATATTTACTGAGTATCTACTATGTGCTAGAAGCTTTTCTCGTGCCCAGAATTTAGCAGTGAACAAAATGTTTAAAAAGAACTACCTTGATGGAGTTTATATTCTAGTCTGTGGAAGAAGACTGAAACAAACTAGAAAAGACACAGTAGGAGCAAACAGAGCAGAGTGAGACAGTCATATAGGCCATGAGGACAGAAAGAAAAAAGAGGCCAATCATGAAGCACTTACCATAGGCCAATTAAGGATTAGTTTTCATTACTATTATTTTGTTTTTGTTCACTTGCCAAGGCTGATCTAAGAATTGGCTTTTATTCAGAGACAGGAGCCACTGGAATTTTGGGCAAAGGAGTGGCATAATCTTTTCATTTCTTAAAAGGATGATTCTGGCTGTGCACAGGTGGAGAGTAAGTAAGCCAATCAATTACAAAACTTGAAAATTCTAAGTGAGACACAATAGGGATTTGAACCAGGGAAGTAATTGTAAACCATGAAGAGCAAAATAGTTCTAGACATTTAAAAAGTAGAGTTAATAATATTTTCTCATAAGATTAGATGTGGGGTGAGAGAAAAATAAGAATCGAGGAAGACAAAGGTTTGGAGGCTAAATAACAGAAAGGATGGCTACTCCATTTACTGAGACAAGGAAGACTTGGGAAGAGCAGTCTGGGAGTAGGGAAAAGGATGGGTGTTTCGTTTTATACGTTGCTTATTATATGACCTAAGTGGAGATGCCAAGTAGGCTCCTGAATATGTGAGCCTGCAATAAACCTCAGAGGCCCAGGCCAGAGATAGAAATATCAGTCATCACCAAATAGAGAGTGTTTAATGCTAGGAGACTAAGAGGCTACTAAGGGAGTGAGTGCAAGATTTAGATCAAAGACTAGGTCCTAGGGCACTCTAACTTGTACAGACTATATATATAAGTAACAATTAGAATATCAAACAGTGGCCAATGAGCTAGGTAGAAAACTTGGAGAGAGTGGTGTTCTACAAGCTGAATGAGAAGAAATTATTTCAAGGAAAAAATAATGATCAGCCATGTCAAATAATGCTGATCAGTCGAGGAAGGAAAAGACTATGAATTGAGTCCAAATAGAGCAGGAAAAGAACTAGAGACAGAGAACATTCATCCAACAAACAATGTGTGCCATCCTGGCCAGGCCCAGGTCTGTTCAAAGTAATGGACACACAACAGTGAACATGACAACCTAAATCAACACCTGGATGGAGCTTACATGTTAGTGGGAAAGGCAACATTATATATGTCAAGATACGACAAACTCTCAAGATATGTGGCTTTAAATGGGATAGCTTCTGTCCCATTACTTAAATTTCTTTAAGCACTTAAATTACTTTAATCGACATAATGCAAACAGCTCCTAGACCTATTTCCTTGATATTGGAAAACTAACAAAGAAAATTCGTCACCATTTCTAGCTGAAAAAGGGACCGGTCAAGGTGATTTTACAAAGTCAACTTCTTCCCTGTGGTCCAGATTCCAGGGTTGTAATACTCAGAGGGAGCGTTTAGTTGAAAGGTTTTTAAGATGGGAAAATGGCAATATATTTGTATGCTTACAGATTTGGCCCAGTAGAAAAGAAAAAACTCATGAGAGAAAGAAAAGTGGCTAGAGTAACATCCTTGAAGAAGCAAGAAGACACGAGTATATTGTACGCATGGCGCGGGGGGGGGGGCACCTCTCATGACAGCAGGGACATAGCAGTCACATAACAGGATGTAGATGGCAGATTATATGGCACACAGGGACATGTGGAGATTCTCTTCTGCTTGCTTCTATATTTTTAGGAAAATAAGATACAAAGTGATCAGCTGAGACTGGGCATGAAGGAGGAGGTTACTGAGGATTAAACAGAGAAGGGAAGGTACAAAATAGATTTCTAAGCAGGTTGTAGAGGATAGGTACAGGGAAATGCAGAAGTGGCACCAGGTAACATAAGAGGTTAGCAACTGGGAATTTAAAATGCGACCATTCAACACAGGCACAACTGACAATTCATAAGAACCAAGTCTCAGGCGTTAAGTTTTAAAAAGCAAACATTGCTAAGCAAATTAAAATTTGTTAAAACCACTTCCACTCAATTTTCTCCAAAGCTTTGAACAGAGCATGTGAAGAGTCAGTAGATGAGAGGCTTCTAATCTAGTTTCTACCATAGCTTTCTTTTGGCAGAGGCTTAAACCTTTCAGATTTTCTCACTTATGAAATAGGAAAGGTATAGTTTTCAGTCTGGTTAAGGTATCTATGATCAGTTAAGTTCACACAACTAATATCTGAGGGACCATTACCTGTTAGCATAGCTGCTTAGTCAGTACTGGGAAGATGTCTGCCTTCAAAGCACCCATTTTGGAGTAATCTAATCTAGCCTGATCTAATCCTGATTTTAACACTATCCGCAATGAACACAGCCAAGATTATCCAGGTTTGCTTTAGGCACAGCCTGCATCAATGTGAACACTGCTCTAACCTGGAGGAACCCCAGTTCCACAGTTTATTTGGAAGCATTCACATTTCCTTTTAGCCCAGCCCTTAAATTACTTTAATATACATAACCCAAACAGTTCCTAGACCTATTTCCTTGATAGTGGAAAAAATAACAAAGAAAACTAATCACTATTTCTAGCTGAAAACCGAACCCCTCAAGGTGATCTTAAGAAATCAACTGGCCTGCCACCGTGGCTGACGCCTGTAATCCCAACACTTTGGGAGGCCGAGGTGGGCGGGTCACCTGAGGTCAGGAGTTGGTGACCAGCCTGGCCAACATGGTGAAATCCCATCTCTACTAAAAACACAAAAATTAGCCGGGCGTGGTGGTGGGTGCCTGAAATCCCAGCTACTCGGGAGGCTGAGGCAGGAGAATCGCTTGAACCCGGGAGGTGGAGGTTGCAGTGAGCCGAGATCGCGTCACTGCACTCCAGCCTGGCGACAAGAGCGAAACTCCGTCTCAAAAAAAAAAAAAGAAGGAAAGGAAAGGAAAGAAAAAAAAAGGAAAGGAAGAAGGAAGAGAAACAAAGAAAAAGAAAGAAGGAAAGAAAGAGAAAGAAAAGAAAGAAAGAAAGAACGAAAGAAAGAAAGAAAGAAAGAAAGAAAGAAAGAAAGAAAGAAAGAAAGAAAGAAAGAAAGAAAGAAAGAAAATAAATCAATCAACTTTCCTGTAGTCCAGATTCCAGGGTTGTAATACTCAGGGGGAGTTGTAGGTACAAGGGCAAGAGAAAAGCACCTGGCACCAAAGCAGGAGAGCTGTTCTCCACAAGCATCATTCTCAATGCGTCTGAGTCATTACCTGGCCACAGGTCCTCCTGTACTGCCCATTTGCAGTTAGCAGCCCTAGCACTGTCCTCTGCGGGGGATCCTGGCCCAGCGGGGCTCTGGTGAGTATCTGACAAGCATCGGGACCTCGGGCCACTGTAGCCAGCACAACTCCACTCTTGGGGTTGCTGCAGTGCATTGCTTCAGACTCCACGGGCTGCTGCTACCAGGGAAAGAGAAACAGACAAGCTGTTTAGTCGATTCCGTCCACCCCGGGCTCCAAGGACACAGCGAACCTCTAGGAGGGAGAGCACCAAGCAATGGGACTAACACCAATTGCTGATCTTCCCAGTAATTATTGGGGCTGAAAGGGCAGGTGCGACCGCACAGGCGATCAAAGTTGCTCTGAATCAAAACAGTTATTTGAATCCCTGAGGGAGGCTTTTTATCCCAAGACTTCGTGTTGGGCTGGAAGGAGAGAAACATTCTGACAAGCCTCCAAGTCGGGATACTAAACCCACGTTACCTGGAAGACGAAATCTGGGAGCCCCGGTCCTTCCCAGCTGAGATACTCTTCTCCCCAGCCCCCAATAAAAGATCCAGGGTACATGATTGCGGGAAAGCCGGTCTCCATCCCAAGTGACGAGCAGGGTGCTGCGCTGCGGCCTCCTCCCACCAGACAGGAGGCCCCAAAACCTGCCTGGACCCCAAAGCGGGCCCCGCTCTTCCCGTCGTTATCTTTCTATGTGTCCGGAACAACTGGCAAGTGCACTGGAGGATCGCGGTTAAGAGGTGGCCGGCTGGGCGGGGCAGGGCGGGGCAGGGTTGGGCAGGGCCGGGCCGGGCCGGGCGGGGCAGGGCGGGGAAGGGCAGGGAAGGGCAGGGCACGGAAGGGCGGGGCGGGAAGGACCAAGTGTCGAGGGATTCCAGCCTGGGAGGCGGCCGGGCTTAGCGATGCGGCTGAGCTGCCCACCCGCGTCTGTTGAATCGGCCAATCAGCGGCGCCCCCGGACCTAGCGGGAGCGTTTCCATGCCGACCGCGGCAGGCGTGCGCTCTCCGGGGCCGCATCGCCATGGCGACCTGCTCACCTGACTCGCTCCGGGTGGACTCGCCGCGACCCCTGGGCGTTCAGGCCCCTGAGGGCCCAACGGGCGACGGCCCTCCAGCTCCAGCTGTGCGTCTCCGCCCGGGCGAGGTGGGGCTGACCGCGGCCGTCTGCACACGTCCCCTCTGGTCCGCGCCCCCGGCCTGGGAGGGCGGACTCGCCCACCCCACGATGGCCCCGGCTTTGGAAGGGACTGTTTCCGTGACCCGTTCTCCCAACAGCCGCTAACAACCCCCTCTAACGTCTCCTGCGCGGCCCGCTCCTGAGAACCCTGGCTCGGGAGAGCGACGCGGGGTCCTCGGGGCTGCGCAGGCTGCGGCGCCCTGCCCACGCTGGCCCGAGGGCGCGGCTCGCTCCGGGTCGGCTCACACACCTACGCTTCCTGCCGGGAGGCGGCTGGGACGCGGCGGGGCTGCCCCAAGTGCAGTCGCGGCAGTGTTGCGTCTCCATCGCGGGGGTCCTTGCGGGCCGCGCCTGCCCCGCCCGGCTCCCGGTGCATGTGGCCTGCGAGGCGGCAGAGGAGATGTGGGGATTTAGGGTCGCACGTCGTGCTCGAGGTCCCCACGAGAGGTCTTCCCCCGCGGGCTCCTGCGCAACTGCGTGAAGCCGGCCCGGGAAAGCCAAGATTGTGGCCCAGGAAGAGGAAGGAACGCGGGCGACAGAGCTGGGGCTTGGGACGTTGAGGGGGTCGGTGGCAGCTCTCCGGGCTGGGGGCCGGGCGGGCGGCCCGGCCGCGTGGGGAGAGGAGTCCCTGGGGTCCTTATACGGGGGGCTCCTGGAAACCCGGGGGCTCAGACGCCTGCATAGGTGACTGACAAGCCAGGTGAAATAATCGAACTTTATTTTTTTAAAAATAATATGTATATATGCACACACACATTACCAATGCTATAGTCTGTTACTACTTTTGCTTTTTTTAAAACATCCATCCCTAAATCTCTAAATCAGATCCAAAGTCTATTCAAATGGCCACTTTATGCAAGCAACGGTTATCACCGTTTTTCTAAGTGTGCGTTATTAACATTTTCACCAAGCAAACTGAGTGTGGACATTGCTTTAATGGGAAGATAGTAGTATTCTAACAAAAGCGCCGGTTGAAAGCCTTGCAGTTGAGGTAAATATTAAGAAGTTGGTAAGCATCTGGAGAATCAAGGCTGGATGAGGGAGGAACGCAGAAACGGATCTTGTTCAACATGAAACTCATTTCTATACGTTTGTCACAGACTTCTATTCCTTGAGAGACAGCAGTCCGCTTGCACCCCAGATTTCCTGTGCCTTTGAATATGAAGGAAACACGGGAATTCTGGTAACATCTAGATTGCCGCAACAGAGAGTCAGAGGCCAACGGGGACCAAATGCTCTGCTTCGAAAGGTGAATGAAAGGAGCATTTCTGTCCTCTTGCCTGACGCCACTATTGGATATCTTCCCGGGCGCCCTCCCCCACCTGCCAACAGTGTTGTTATTTCCTGGGTCGCTGAAGGACTCAGTGGCTAACTCCGTCTGGGACTCTACAGCAAGTCCTGCCAAGAGCCTGAGTCGCTTGGGAGCGGACAAGATTGGCTGCGCTCACGAGACCTGGTCCTTTGTACACCCCTTTTCATCTGATTTCCTTTGACAAAAATGACCGAAACCTCACGCCCTTTTCCTTTTCTCCAAAGTAGAGGCGCCGGCGCAGTGTTTGTTCGTGGAACCTGTCGTTTTGATCCACTTTTCTGGGATTGAAGCTGAAGCCAGTGTTGGAGTCGGGGCGTGCAGGGAGTGGGGAGCGCCCAACTCCTGCAGAGGCGGATCTGAGGCTGGTTTTTCTCAACTCAGATCTGGCCAGGACCAGATGACAAGGCTACAAAGGTGTCCAGTGACTTTCAGCCGTCTTTAGCCTTAAAAAAGCCTTAAGAAATAATAGTAACCAAATGAGACCTTCGGATAATTTAATACCCCTCCCCTTATCTGAATGGCTGCACCTTAATCCAGCCTTAATCTATATGAAATAGGATTATCATGAACATCTTTTTTCCTGTTCCATCCACTTTGCTAAACTTGGCAAAGGGAAGTGGTTAGTTTATGATTGTTTTATTGTGCTGTCTTAGAATTCTACATTGTCGTTACAAGCCTCTGGTCATATCTTAAACAGGAGAGTGAGTCCCATGAACTGATATCTATGTGTGCATGTAAATTCAGGTACGTGTATAACTTGTGCAATACTTATGGCTTTCTTGGCTTTAAAAAATATCTACACTGAGGCCGGGCACGGTGGCGTACGCCTGTAGTCCCAGCACTTTGGGAATCCGAGGCAGGCGAATCACGAGATCAAGAGATCGAGACCATTCTGGCCAACATGGTGAAACCCTGTCTCTGCTAAAAATACAAAATGTAGCTGGGCGTGGTGGCGCGCGCCTGTAGTTCCAGCTACTCAGGAGGCTGAGGCAGGGGAGTAGCTTGAACCCGGGAGGCAGAGGTTGCAGTGAGCCCAGATCATGCCACTGCACTCCAGCCTGGTGACAGAGCAAGACTCCATATCAAAAAAAAAAAAAAAGTCTTCACTGAATATTGTGTTCCAACGAGTAATGATTTATGACATAAAAACAAATTTAACTGAATAGGTGTTCCATTTTTACTTTAAAAATCTAAACTAAAAACTTGGCCTTAGAATTAAGAACAAAAGGAGCAGAGAGAGTAGAAAGGACTTTCTCACAAATTGCACAGTTTTAGTGGAATGCATAATTATAATGTTGCATTTAGCAACATTATAATCTAATCTTGATTTTGCTATGCAAATCAGGATTAGATTTGCATAGCAAAATAGGATTAGAACTCAAACATAAGTAGATTTTAATTTTTCCCATCTTTAAATAAACTATATATTTGGTAATATATTGAGAATTAAACAATATAATTGTAAATACAACTTTCTTTAATATCTAAAATATTTGGCATAACTTAAATACTAATATAACCCCTTTTTTTTTAACTTAAAAAGTTCATTGGTCGGCACTTCCAACCTGGCAGTGAATGCTCAACTAGCTTTAACTCTAGGATTAATTTTCAAAATAAGGATGACAGCTGAATTCTTTACTAGGAATTTTGTTGTTGTTGTTGTTGAGACGGAGTCTCGCTCTCACCCAGGCTGGAGTGCAGTGGTGTGATCTCGGCTCACTGCAAGCTCCGCCTTCCAGGTTCACGCCGTTCTCCTGCCTCAGCCTCCCAAGTAGCTGGGACTACAGGCGTCCGCCACCAGGCCCGACTAATTTTTTTTTTGTATTTTTAGTAGAAACGGGGTTTCACCATGTTACACAGGATGGTCTCGATCTCCTGACCTCGTGATCTGCCTGCCTCGGCCTCTCAAAGTGCTGGGATTACAGGCGTCAGCCACCGTGCCCGGCCCTTTACTAGGAATTTTTAAAACCCAAAAGTCCTATTAAAATCAATTCCCTTGTCCAAATTACAATTCAGACAGTCCTTTCAGTTTGTCAGCAATTACCCGGTATTTCAGAGGCAGTTTTTCTATTGCATTTGTTCATCCTAGCTAGTAATTAACCTCCTGTTGAAACATTTCAGTTTTTATTAATTAGTATGAAATCAGGTTGTTTTTCAGGATGAGGCTGAAAGAAAGATTTAAAAAAAAACCCGCCAAGTTTATTTAGGGACAGAGGTCCATTTAGGGACATATGTTGCCTCTTCATAACATGCCTCTGTCATTCTCAGGTATACATTTAACTAAGAACATAGTTTGAACAGTAAAATGAGAGATATATGTTGGAAAGAAACAAGGAACCAGCTGCAATTTGTGACATTTTAGCACTTAGCTCCAGGGAAGATGACTAACGGATTGAGCAAGTCCAGCTTGAAAAGCAGCCAAAACTGTACACACCTTAAGAAGCATATTTCATCAGGTAGTGAAACGTGGATCCCTTAGTACATAATGGGTGAAGTAAGTTTTCATTAAGACTTGTAAGAAGTCACCTTCTCCAAGTGAAAATGGTATGAATACATACATGAGATTAGACAAAGTCTACTGTTCATTCATTCATTTGGCAAAGTTTTTTGAGCATCCATTGTATGCCAGGCAGTAGCTGGGTATGAGTACGATAATAAAAAATGATCCCTGCCCTCAAGGAGCTGTTCCTCCAGGCAAGGAAAAATAACAGATAGTCATGGTGCAGCATAATTAGTGTTTATTTTACCATAAGGAATACAGATGTATAAAGGGGGAGCAGTTGGAGCTTAAGAGAAAAGAAACAAGGTATGTTGCTGGGAAGACTTGGAGGCAGTATCCAGATGATTAAGGTCTTAAAGACAGAGTGAGGGCCTGGCACGGTGGCTCACGCCTGTAATCCCAACACTTTGGGAAGCTGAGGCAGGCAGATCAATTGAGGTCAGGAGTTCGAGACCAGCCTGGCCAACATGGTGAAACCCTGTCCCTACTAAAAATACAAAAATTAGCCATGTGTGGTGGTGAGCACCTGTAATCCCAGCTACATGGGATCCTGAGACAGGAGAATTGCTTGAACCCAGGAGGCAGCGGTTGCAGTGAGCCGAGATCGTGCCACTGCACGCCAGCCTGGGTGACAGAGCAAGATTCCGTCTCAACAACAACAACAAAAAAAGACAGGGCAGGAAGTAAAGTCTACATATATCCTAGAAACGGGGCACCCAAAGAACGGCAATTTTCAGCGGTGCTTACCCAGCACCTTCCAAGGGAAAGCTCTAAATTGTGATGTCCAAAAATACCCCTCACGACTGTCTCTACTGGCTCAGGTACAGACTCCATGAGCAATTAACTCATCAAGAAGCCAACCTCCCAGGAACCTGGTGAGAGGAAGAAGTTTCTGCTGACTTTACTTACCATGAGTTAGTCCCTAATCATGTGCACAACTAGAGATGTATTATTAAAAATCAATTTCCCATGATGCACAGTTGAGGCCTTTCCCAGATTCTGCACCAAGGAAAAAATAATTTCAGTGGGACAATACAGCCATTTTCCATTACAAATAATTGGGAAAGTTATTTTTAATTTCTGTGGATACATAATAGGTGTATATATTTATGGAGTACATGAGATGTCTTGATACAGGCATGCAATGCATACTAATCACATCATGGGAAATGGGGCATCCTTCCCTCAATCATTTATTCTTTGTGTTACAAACAATCCAATTGTACTCTTTTTGTGATTTTAAAATGTACAATGAAATTATTGACTACAGTGTCCATGTTGTGCTATCAAACGGTGGGTATTATTCATCTTTTCTATTTTTTTGTACCCATGGCCACTTCCCCAAGCCCCCAATTATCTTTCTCAGCCTCTGGTAACTATCCTTCTACTCTGTATGTCAATGAGTTCAATTGTTTTGATTATTAGATCCCAAAAATAAGTGAGAACATGAGATGTTTGTTTTTCTTTGCCTGGTTTATTTCACTCACCATAATGATCTCCAGTTCCATCCATCCTGTTGCAAATGACAGGATCTCATTCTTTTTTATAGCTGAATAGTATTCCATTGTGTATATGTACCACATTTTCTTTACCCATTCACCTGTTCATAGACACTTAGGTTGCTTCCAAATCTTGACTATCCTGAACAGTGCTGCAACAAACATGGGAATGCAGATAGCTCTTCAATGTATTGATTTCCTTTCTTTTGGGTATATACCCAGCAGTGGGATTGCTGCATCCTGTGGTAGCTCAATTTTTAGTTTTTTGAGGAACCTCCAAACTGTTCTTCAGAGTATTTGTACTAATTTACATTCCCACCAACAGTGTACAAGGGTTCCCTTTTCTCCACATCCTCCCAACATTTGTTATTGCCTGTCTTTTGGATATAAGCCATTTTAACTGGGGTGAGATGGTATTTCATTGTAGTTTTGATTTGCATTTCTCTGATGATCAATGAGGTTGAGCACCTTTTCATATGCCTGTTTGCCATTTGTATATCTTCATTTGAGAAATGTCTAAGCAGATCTATTGCCCATTTTTTGATCCGATTATCCAATTTTTTCCCTTGGAGTTGTTTGAGCTCCTTATATATTCTGGTTAGTAATCTGTTGTCAGATGAGTAGTTTGCAAATATTTTCTCCCATTCTGTGAGTTGTCTCTTCACTTTGTTGATTGTATCCTTTGCTGTGCAGGTGCTTTTTTATACTTGATCTTAGCCAAAAGCCCAAGAAGCAGTGTGCAGGAGCTTTTTAAACTTGATGTGATGCAATTTGTCCATGTTTACTTTGGTTGTCTGTTCCTGTGGGGTATTTATTGCTCAAGAAATATTTGCCCCAACCTATGTCCTGGAGATTTTCCCTAATGTTTTCTTGCAGTAGTTTCATAGTTTGAGAGGTCTTATATTTAAGTCTTTAATTCATTTTTATTTGATTTTTGTATCTGGCCAGGGACAGGGGTCTAGTTTCATTCTTCTGCATGGGGATATACAGTTTTCCCAGTACCAGTTATTGAAGAGACTGTTTTTTCCCTAGTATATGTTCTTGGCATCCTTGTCGAAAATGAGTCCACTGTAGGTGTATGGATCTGTTTCCAGGTTCTCTATTCTGTTACATTGGTCTATGTGTCTGTGTTTATGCCAGTACCATGCTGTTTTGGTTACTGTAGCTCTGTAGTATAATTTGAAATCAGGTAATGTGATTCCTCTAGTTTTATTCTTTTTGCTTAGGAAAACTTTGGCTATTGTGGGTCTTTGGGGGTTCCATATACATTTGGGGATTGTTTTTTCTGTTTATGTGAAGAATGTCATTAGTATTTTGATAGGGATTGCACTGAATCTGTAGATTGCTTTGGGTAGTATGGACAGTTGAACAATACTGATTCTTCCAATCCAACAACAAAGAATATTTTCCCATTTCTTCCATAAGTGTTTTCTAATTTTCATTATAGGTATCTTTCACATCTTTGGTTAATTCCTAGGTATTTAATTTTATGTGTGGTTCTTGTAAATGAGATTATGTTTTTATTACTTTTTCAGATTGTTCACTGTTGTCATATAGAAATGCTATTGATTTTTATATGTTGATTTTGTATCCTGCAACTTTACTGAATTTATCAGTTCTAATAGTTTTTTGGTGCAATCTTTAGGTTTTTTCCAAATATAAGATCATATCATCTGCAAACAAGAATAATTTGACTTCTTCCATTCCAATCTGGATACCCTTTATTTATTTTTCTTGTCTGAT
Source organism: Homo sapiens (assembly GCF_000001405.40). Classification (NCBI taxonomy): domain Eukaryota; kingdom Metazoa; phylum Chordata; class Mammalia; order Primates; family Hominidae; genus Homo; species Homo sapiens. The sequence goes on along the minus strand of NC_000013.11, from coordinate 36,424,972 downwards.
TGCTCTAACCATACTTCCCACACTATGTGGAATAACAGTGGTGAAATTGGGCATCCTTGTTGTGTTCCAGATCTTCGAGGAAAGGCTTTCGGCGTTTCCCCTATTCAGTATGATACTAGCTGTGGGTCTGTCATATATGGCTTTTATTATGTTGTGGTATATTCCTTGTATCCCCAGTTTTTTTAGGGTTTTTAATCATGAAGGGATGTTGAATTTTATCAAATGCTTTTTCAACATCAATAAAAAACCATATGAAATGATCATATGGTTTTTATCCTTTATTCTGTTGATATGATGTATTATAATGATTGACTTGTGTATGTTGAACCATCCCCGCATGCCAGAGACAAATCCCACTTGGTCACGATGAATGATCTTTCTAATATATTGTTGAATTAGGTTTGCTAGTATTTTGCTGAGGATAAAATTTTGCATCAATATTCATCAGAGATATTGGCCTATGGTTTCCTCTTTTTTTTTTTTTTTTTTTTGAGATGGGGTTTCACTCTTGTTGCCCAGGCTGGAGTGCAATGGCACAGTCTCAGCTCACTGCAGCCTCCACCTCCCAGGTACAAGTGATTCTCCTGCCTCAGCCTCCTGAGTAGCTGGGATTGTAGGTGCCTGCCACCATGCCTGGCTAATTTTTGTATTTTTAGTAGAGATGGGATTTCCCCATATTGGCCAGGCTGGTCTCGAACTCCTGACTTCAGGTGATCCACCCGCCTCGGTCTTCAAAAGTGTGGGGGATTACAGGTGTGAGCCACCGCGCCCGGTCTGGCTTGTAGTTTTCTTTTTTTGATGTGTCTTTGTCTGGTTTGGGTATCAGGGTAAGACCGGCCTCATAGAAGGAGTTTAGCAGGGTTCCTTCCTCTGTTTTTCAGAATAGTTTGAGTAGGGTTGGTATTAGTTCTTTAAATGTTTGGTAGAATTTGGCATTGAAGCCATCAGGTACCAGGCTTCTTTTTACTAGGAGACTTTTTATTACGGCTTTGATCCCGTTACTTGTTATTGGTCTGTTCAGGTTTTGTGTTGTTTTTTTTTTTCTGGTCCAATCTTGGTAGTTTGTGTATGTCTAGTTATTTGTCCATTTCTTCTAGATTTTCCAATTTATTGGCATATGGTTGCTGAAAGTAGCCACTAATGAGCCTTTGAATTTCTGCACTATCAGTTGTAATGTCTCCTTTTTTTCATCTCTGATTTTATTTATTTGGACCTTTTCTCTTTTTTTCTTAGTTACTCTGGCTAAAGGTTTGTTTAGTTTAACTTTTCAAAAAACCAACTGTTTGTTTCATTGATCTTTTGCATTTTCTTCATTTCAGTCCCATTTATTTCTGCTCTGATCTTTATTATTTCTTTTCTTATACTAATTTAGGGTTTAGTTTGGTCTTGCTTTTCTAATTCCTTAAGATGCATCATTAGATTGTTTATTTGAATTTTTTCTTCCTTTTGATATAGGCACTTAGAGCTATCAGCTTCTCTGAGTACTGCTTTTGCTGTTTAGTATGTTGTTTTGACGTTATCATGTTTTCAAGAAATTTTTCAATTTCCTTCTTAATTTCTTCATTGACCCATTTGTCATTCAGGAGCATATTGTTTAATTTCCATGTATTGATTTTTAGTTTTATTCCATTGTGGTCAGAGAAGATGCTTGATATTATTTCAATTTTTTTAATCTTTAGGAGTTGTTCTGTGGCCTAACATATGGTTTATCCTTGAGAATCATCCATGTGCTGAAGAAAAGAATGTGTATTCTGCAGCCATTGGATTAAATGTTCTGTAAATATCTATTAAATCCATTTGGTCTGTAGTGCAGATTAAATCCAGTGTTTGTTTGTTGATTGTCTGTATGGGAGATCTGTCCAATACTGAAAGTGGACTATTGAAGTCTCCAGATATTACTGTACTGGGGACTATCTCTCTCTTTAGCTCTAATAATATTTGTTTTATATATCTGGGTTCTCCAGTGTTGGGTGCATATACATTTAAAATTATTATGTCCTCTGGCCAGGCGCAGTGGCTCACACCTGTAATCCCAGCACTTTGGGAGGCTGAGGCAGGCAGATCACCTGAGGTCAGGAGTTCAAGAACAGCCTGGCCAACATGGCGAAACCCTGTCTCTACTAAAAATAAAAAAAATCAGCCAGGAGTGGTGGCATGCCTATAGTCCTAGCTACTCAGAAGGCTGAGGCAGGAGAATTGCTTGAACCCGGCAGACGAAGGTTGCAATGAGCTGAGATCGCACCATTGCACTCCAGCCTAGGTGACAGAGCAAGACTCCATCTCAAAAAAAAAAAAAAAAAAGCCTAAAGAATCTGTATAGTTTTCAGTTGTGAAAATTCTGTTTGGAAAGAAGAAATCACAAACACATGTAACTTTTTAATAATAATGATAAGTCATAAAATTGTGTGCATGCATATGTGTTCTTTTTTGGCAATTAATATTTTTTCTGACTGAATGAGGCAGCTTGGTGGCTCTATCCATGATATCAGAATTATTTATTACTATTTTTGGTTTTTATTGACAAAGAATATCTTTTTTCATCCATCAGTTTCCATTACTGAACACGTTGCCTGATCAACAGTGAAAAAAAGTCCACCTGAAGTACAGTGTTCTCTGTGTATATGAAAAGCACAACACATTTTCATTTATTCCAATAATAGACACAGAAGTTGCATAAATGAGTAACAAAGAGTCTTATGCAAAGTTTAGTCTTTTAGGAGACTTTAGTCTTATTTAGTCAAATACACAACACAAGGTAATTAGAGTGAAGTAAAAATTTTCTAAGAAGTCCAGAGAAAGTTCTGGTTAAAAGCCACATATGTTTTCAGTTAATTACAGAAATGAGGAAAGGTTTCTTGAAAATGGTGATTTTGTGTTTAGCCTTGAAATCTGGATCTGGTTTTGATCTGCAGGGTTTGGGGAACCTATTTTAGGAAAAGAGTTCTGCATAAGTAAAGACTCTGAGAAGATGATTATAAAACATGTTTTGGATTATGCTGATGTCCTATAACACCTGAGATTATAGTAAAGGATACACTTTACAATCAGGAACATTGGGATAATGTCCTGTAGTATTTTTGAATGCTAGAATAAGGAGTTTGCTGTGGCACTTTTGAACAGAGGAATGATGAAGTTAGAGCTATATTTATAGAAGAACCATCTGAGAGCAATGAGTAGCCTGGGATTTGGGAGTAGGAGATGTTCAGGAAACACTTGCTAGAGGAAATGATGACCTGAACAGGATCATGCCCTGAACACAGAAAGAACAGGAGGTTCAGTGAAGTCACTCTGACCACAGAATCTAGATGACTTAGCAACTGACTGTATGCTGGCTTTGAAGGAGAAGATGGAGACAAACATATTTTGCAATTTCTAGGTCAGGTTGATGACAGGATAGTGGAGCCAGAAGATTAGCTAAATTCTGAGGAAAAAGAAAGTGAAGAGCAAGTTTGATTTCAGACATCTTAATCATAAAGTCTTTTCTAATAATTGCCCAGAACTGCCACATTTCCCTCCACCTCCATCCCTACATATGTATGAGTTTTGATAATAATGAATTCTCCTTATTAACAGAGATTGATTATGGAGTTGGAGATAAAAGTAGATTGATTGTAATACATTTGATACAATGTACCCCCACTGTAAAATAATTATTAGTAGTTAGACAGCTATTCTAGGAAAACCCACGAAGAGGGAAAGAGCAACAGCTTCCTGTCTACCATTTCAGGGTCCCACTCTCCCATTCAAAAGGCCCTCTTCCAAAATCGTGAGTCCCCTAGCGTCATGGATGACATCTTCCTCAACTTTGCAAGCTCTTTTCCTGGCATAGTGCTCAGAACATAGTAGGCACTTCATAAATGTTTGTTGATTAAGTGATTGAACAATAAGATGCAAGTTATGCTTGTTCCAAAAATGAGAAAAAGATGGCCTCTCTATATTGGTTTTATGTGGCTTACTTCTTCATTACTGACCAAGACCATTGGCTCAAAAGCCTGCCGGCAGCAAACTCAAATTCTTGTACAGCCAATTGTTTTAAATATGGCCCAAGAAAGCATATTTTTTAGTCATTCAGAGCCTGCCTGCTTTGCTTACCCCAGAAACTCCACCGACATCTGTTAGCCTTAGATATGCCAGACCCTGAGGCTATGGAAGACCCAAGTCCGTGCTGTTCTTCCTAACTCTCTGACCCAGAGCCTCCCACATCGTGAGGCTGAGGGACATCACCTAGCCAGGTAACCCCCTTTCTCTGATTTTCCACTCCCCAGGGAGTTCCCTTGCTCTCTTCCCCTTTGGGTGGTGGCCCCACGCCATGGTCTCTGGAAGGTCTCCAAGAGCCCTGGGCTTCACCCCCACCTACACTCCTACATGCCAGCCTGTCCAAGCACCACACAAAGCACTTTGTGTACTGCTGCCACCTGGTGGTCATATCTTTCCCCTACCAGCCCCGAAATTGCTGCTTTCATGACATTATTGTACGTGTATGAGGGAGGAAATCTGATGTATTAAATTGCTTTTTCAAACCTATGTGTTTTTTTCTTTCTTCCTTCTTAGGAATTTCATATTTTGTCACTCACTGAAAAAATTCTTAGATCTGAAAAGCTAGGAGGGTACTTGGAGATCATTTCATTAATCCCTGTCTTATGTAGGTGAGAAAACCTTGGTTCAGACCTATTTCCATCAAATTAAATTTCTCAAAGTGACGTTTCAGAAGTAAATTAACACTAATGAATTCTAATTCTAGGATTTATACTAAGAAACTAATCATAAATAGGTTCACCTATAGAGCTTTTTATAATAGAGAAATTAAAAATCATCTGTATGTTTCAGATGAAGGGATTTGTTAAATGAAGTATAGGGCAGTAGTAGTCTATAGTGACAACTATGCAGCAGTATTCTGAAAAACTATTATAGAGTCATGTGAAATTATGTAGAGAAAAAGTGACATACAGAAATGTTCATAACATATTTTATGAGATAAAGTATAAAAACAGTAAGTTTAGTATGTTGGATTTTCACTTAAAATTTTTATATGCTTGGAAGAAGCACCAAAAATAAATATGAAATATTAAGTAGTTATCTGTTTGCATCGCAGGATTAGCTGATCCTAATTGAATTCATTTGGTTTATCTGTAGTTTCTAAATTTCCTATAATAAAAATATTAATTGCTGAATAATTAAAAAATTATTAAAGAAGTCAATTATCATGGCAAGCTGCAAGTTCAAGCTAAATGTGTTATCCAGTAGAACTTTCTGGCTGGGCACGGTGGCCCACGCCTGTAATCCCAGCACTGTGGGAGGCCGAGGCAGCTGGATCACTTGAGGTCAGGAGTTTGAGACCAGCCTGGCCAACATGGTGAAACCCCGTCTCTAGTAAAAATACAAAAATTCGCCAGGCATGGTGGTGCACGTCTGTAATTCCAGCTACTCGGGAGGCTGAGGCACGAGAATCACTTGAACCCAGCAGGTGGAGGCTGCAGTGAGCAGAGATTTCCCCCACTGCACTCCAGCCTGGGTGACAAAGTGAGACTCTGTCTCAAAAACAAAAACAAAAACAATAAAAAACTTTCTGCAGTGATGAAAATGTTCTGTATACCTACATTTCCTATGCCATGTGGCTACTGAGCATTGGAAATGAAGCCATTGCAACTGAATAACTGAATCTTTAATTTATGTAGTCACAGGCAGCTAGTGGCTACCATATTGGTTAATGCAGGATAGACTAGGTGGTAGTTGAGAACAGTCATAGCGCATTAAGAGTGATCATAATTAGTCTAGATCTGCTACTGTGTATGCAAATGTGTATGTTTTTCTTGACTAGCTTCCCCCTAAGTTATTATACCATAATTTAGGATAAAGTGTACCAATAAATGATGACATGAAACCATCTATGTAGAGGTTTTTTTGAGAAACAACTACTTCATCATGTGATTTATAAGGAAGATCCATTTATAAATGAACAAGGAGAGTTCGTCCAGAAATTACATCTTCCTTGTTAAAAAACTGTTCATTCTTTTCCAAGATCATGCAATAGTCCAGAGGTAGAACAAGAACAGCTAAAAGATCAATCTGGATTCTGCTAACCTGGCAAATTAACCCAACTTTTATCATTTAACTTTATAGATATACTACCTACTTAAATATGCTGAATGCTAGACTTACTTATATAATAGTAGTGTAAATTGTCGCTTAAGCTTCATTTTTGTTACTAAAGTTGTTATGTTAAATTTTGTGACCAAATTCATACCCTCCTTCCATAATTTAAGAATTTGCCTCTCAGATTGACATTCAGACTTGTGATATCCTCATTCCTCAGACAATGCTTCATCAGCACCCAAGATAAATCCTTATCTGAGATATGTTGCTTCGTTTCTTGCTTCGTGACTTAACAGACCCGTTATTTGTGTAAATGAGCCTTATTGGAATACAATGAGCTGCCTATCTGCTTTCTGGAAAATATGAAATAGATCATTTACGCAGCAGTGTGCTCACAGTTCTGCGTTTTGATACTATTGTTATTAGACTAACAGGTTCATGTGCCTGCTCTCAGACCAATACACTGAGACAGCAGAGAAAGTTTAATGATTACGAGGCAGACCAGTGGTAAGATGGGAGGAGACTCTTAACTCCATCTCCCTGAGGTGTTCTGGGCTGAAGTTTTTAAGGGGATTATGGAGAGTAAGGGGCTGGAAAATTGGAGTCATTGATTGGTTAGGGTAAGGGGCATGAAATCATCAGGATGTGGAAACTGCATTCTTTGGTGAGTCAGCTCTTTGTGGTATCCTTCAGAGCAGCTGGTGTTAGTAGTTTTACTGGTACAGGGGAACTGAAATCATATCTCAAATTGAAAACTCAATATTTCACAATGCTTCTGTTATCTATAGAGCAGTTAAGAAAAACGATAGTCTTATGACAAGGTCTAGTGATTCTGGAACGTTAAGCAGCAAACAATTATAAGGAAGCTGGTCAAAGAGCAGGCTGACCTAATGATTAATGTGACTATGCCGAAAGATTGGTTTATTTTTGTTTTGTTTCTCCACCTCCCTTATTTCCTGAGTAATTTTATAAAATTTATAGGGACAGTTTCACTTTTAGAACCAAAAATTTCTATTACTAGTTTACTTAATTGTGTAGACTTACTTTTCAATAGATAGATTCCAGAGTGCTTTCCTTTATATACTTATTTACCTAATAAAGCAAGCATACTGTATTGTGATGAAAAATTCTGGAGTTGTGATGAGAATAACATTAAGTATTAAGATGGTAAGTTTTTCAAGTAGAAATTTTCTGGGAGAAATCCTCACAATTACAAGGAATATGGAAGATATACAGCTAGAACTATGACTTTTTTGGCTTTCAAGTCCAAGATTATTTATAACAAATTAGAATTTTTTTCTGAAGCTAGCAGGCACAGTTACTAAAAGAGGAAGAGAAATAGAGTTTGCAATTCAGGCTGGAGGGAACCAAAGGAAGCCAGCGAAATAGGTCAGTTTAACAGCTTGTTGCTATACCAATCCTTTAGGAGAATAATCTGAAAGATTATTTACCCAGTCAGTGAAAATAAATTCAACTAAATAATGATAAAATACTGTGTACTTTGTAAGTGGGATTTGGAAATAATGGCATACTCTAAGCAATATTCGAGATGATCAATATAACAAATATTTTCTTTGTTTCTATTTACTTGCTTTGAATCCACAATCAATATTTTACCCCACCAGAAGCAGATATTGAATCATGTTTAAGCTGTCTTTGTGTTATAGGAAGCTGGCCTTTGATCCTTTTCCTGAAGAAGTACATAAAAACAAGATAGAAATTTGCTTTTTTGATAAGTCAAGAGGTATAACCAACATAGAAACTTCTGAAATTCTGATTAACTATTGATTACAAGCTAAGACCACAACAATAGTGAGGGGGAAACACTCCAGAATAATTGAAGGCCACCAAAAGAAACAAAAGGGAACACTTTCTTAGACTGGGATAGACAGGGCTGGGCATGTCCTCTCACATGTGTTGAGGTGCAGTGCTCTGTCCTCCCTCTAATATTAATAAACTGGAATTTGTTGGGGGTTAATCATCTGTCGGTTCAACAACAGCAATGGTTTCTGTGTGATAAGTAAAATGCAATTTCTAACTCATATGAGTGATTTAATAATCTGTAGCAATGTATTTCAAGGGCAGTTCAGGGTGGAACTGATTTTAAACATATCCATTTAAATTTTGTCTTAGATCATTAATCAGAAAGACTTTATTAATCTTTTTTCCTACAAGCCACATCTCATCCCTCTCTTCATTTTCCACTTCAAAACTGCACTTTTGAGAAAAGATGGGGATCTGAATTGTATAAAAACAAAGTTGTACAGCATTTTTTTAAACTTCCAACTTTTATTTTAAGTTCAGGGGTACATGTGCAGGATGTGTAGGTTTGTTACATAGATAAACATGTGCCATGGTGGTTTGCTGCACAGATCATCCCACTAACTAAGTATTGAGCCCAGCATCCACTAGCTATTCTTCCTCATCCTCTCCCTCCTCCCACCCCACGCTCTCTGTCAGGCCCCAATGCATGTTATTCCCCTCCATGTCCACATGCTCTCATCCTTCAGCTCCCACTTATACGTGAGAATGTGCAGTATTTGGTTTTCTGTTCTTGCATTAGTTTGCTAAGGATAATGGCCTCCAGCTCCATCCATGTCCTTGCAAGGGACATGATCTTCTTCCTTTTTATGACTGCATAGTATTCCATGGTATATGTGTACCACATTTTCTTTATCCAGTCTATCACTGAAGGGCATTTAGGTTAATTCCATGTCTTTGCTATTGTGATTAGTGCTGCAATGAACATACACATGCATGTATCTTTATAACAGAATGATTTATATTTTGGGGGTATCTACTCAGTAATGGGATTGCTGGGTCAAATGGTATTTCTGCCTCTAGGTCTTTGAGGAATTGCCAGTCTTCCACAGTGGTTGAACTATTTACACTCCCACCAACAGCATAAAAGCATTCCTTTTTCTCCACAACCTCATCAGTATCTCTTGTTTTTTTGACTTTTTAATAATAGGCATTTTGACAGGTGTGAGATGATATCTTACTGTGGCTTTGATTTGCATTTCTCTAATGATCAGTGATGTTAAGCTTTCTTTTATAGGTTTGTTGGTTGAATGTATGTCTTCTTTTGAAAAGTGTCTGTTCATGTTCTTTGCCCAGCTTTCAATGGGGTTATTTTTCTTCTGTGAATTTGTTTAAATTCCTTATAGATGGTGGATATTAGATCTTTGTCAGATGGATAGACTGCAAAAATTTTCTCCCACGCTGTAGGTTGTCTGTTTACTCTGTTGATAGTTTCTTTTGCTGTGCAGAAGCTTTTTAGTTTAATTAGATCCCATTTGTCAATTTTTGCTTTTGTTGCAATTGCTTTTGGTGTCTTCATCATGAAATCTTTGCCTGTGCCTATGTCCTGAATAGTATCGCCTAGATTTTCTTCTAGGGTTTTTATAGTTTTAGATTTTACATTTAAGTGTTTAATCCATCTTGAGTTTATTTTTGTATATGAAGTAAGGAAGGGATCCAGTTTCAATTTTCTGCATATGGCTAGCCAGTTCTCCCAGCACCATTTGTTAAATAGGGTATCCTTTCCCCTTTGCTTGTTTTTAGCAGGTTTGTTGAAGACCAGATGGTTGTAGGTTGCAGTCTTATTTCTGAGTTCTTTATTCTGTTCCATTGGTCTCTCTATCTGTTCTTGTACCAGTACCATGCTGTTTTGGTTACTGTAGCCTTGTAGTATAGTTCGAAGTCAGGTAACATGATGTCTCCAGCTTTGTTCTTTTTGCTTAGGATTGCCTTGGCTATTTGGGCTCTTTTTTGGTTCCATATGAATTTTAAAACAGTTTTTTCTAATTCTGTGAAGAACGTTAATGGTAGATTAATGGGAATAGCATTGAATCTATCAACTGCTTTGGGCGATATGGCCATTTTCATGTTATTGATTCTTCCTAGCCATTAGCATGGAATGTTTTCTATTTGTTTGTGTCATCTCTGATTTCTTAGAGCAGTGGTTTGTAGTTCTCCCTGAAGAGCTCCTTCACTTCCCTTGTTAGCTATATTCCTAAGTATTTTATTCTTTTTGTCGAAATTGTGAACGGGAGTTCATTCGTAATTTGGCTCTCAGCTTGCCTGTTGTTGGTGTGTAAGAATGCTAGTGATGTTTCACATTGATTTCATATCCTGAGACTTTGCTGAAGTTGCTTATCAGATTAAGAAGCTTTTGGGTTGAGACAATGGGGTGTTCTAAAAATAGAATCCTGTTATCTTCAAACAAAGATAGTTTCACTTCCTCTCTTCCTATTTGAATACACTTTATATCTTTATCTTGCCTAATTGTCCTGGCCAGACCTTCCAATACTATGTTGAATAGGAGTGGTGAGAGAGGGCATCCTTGTCTGTCTTGTGCTGGTTTTCAAGGGTAATGCTTCCAGCTTTTGTCCATTCAGTATGATATTGGCTACAGGTTTGTCATATATGGCTCTTATTATTTTGAGGTATGTTCCTTCAATACCTAGTTTATTGAGAGTTAATATAAAGGGATGTTGAATTTTATTGAAGGATTTTTCTGCATCTAGTGAGAAAATCATGTAGTTTTTGTCTTTAGTTTTCTTTATGTGATGAACCACATTTATTGATTTGCGTATATTGAATCAACCTTGCATCCTGGGGACGAAGTCTACTTGATTGTGGTGGATAAGCTTTTTGATGTGCTGCTGGATTCAATGGTTTGCCAGCATTTTGTGGAAAATTTTTGCATTGATGATCATCAAGGATATTGGCCTGAAGTTTTCTTTTTTTGTTGTATCTCTGCCAGGTTTTGGTATCAGGATGATGCTGGCCTCCTAGAATGAGTTAGGGAGGGGTCCCTCCTTTTCAGTTGTTTGGAATAGTTTCAGTAGGACTGCTACCAGCTCTTCTTTGTACCTCTAGTGGAATTCAGCTGTAAGTCCTGGGTTGTTTTTTTTTTTTGGGGGGGGGTTCGTGGGCTATTTATTACTGCCTCAATTTCACAACTTGTTATTGGTATATTCAGGGATTCAACTTCTTCCTGGTTTAGTCTTCAGAGTGTGTATATGTGCAGGAATTTATCAATTTCTTCTAGATTTTCTAGTTTATGTGCACAGAAGTATTTATAATGTCTCTGATGGTTGTTTATATTTCTGTGGAGTCAGTGGTAATATCCTTTTTATCATTTTGATTGTGCTTATTTTATCTCCTTCTGCTCTGTGAAGACACAATGAGAAGACTGCCACTATGAATAAGGAAGTGGGTCCTCACCAGACACTGAATCTACAGGCACCTTGATATTGGAGTTCCCAATTTCCAGAACTGGCATTTCAAGATCAAGGATTCAGCAGGTTTGGTTTCTCCTGAGGCTTCTCTCCTTGGTTTGCAAATGGCTGTCTTCTTACCCCGTCCTCACATGGCTTTTTCTCTGTGCATACATCCCTGGTGTCTCTTCCTTTTCTTATAAGGCCACACACAGTTCTGTTGGACTAGGGCCCCATCCTTATGATGTCATTTACCCTTAATTACCACTTTAAAGGCCCTATCTCCAAATACAGTCACACTGGAGGTTTGGGCTTCAACACAGGAATTTGGGAGGGAGGCACAGTTAAGTCCATAACAGCATTTTGGGAATAATGATGTCAGAAAAAAATGTATCAGTGTTGCCATTGGAAAATGGAAATTATATTCACTTTGATTTACTATAATCATATTCATGTGTTTATTCATTTGGGAATTCTTTATTAAGCATTTACTCTGTAAGACACATACTGTTCTGTAGTCCTATGATCTGTGTGTTTTGGTTATCTTCTGTTGCATAACAAACCACCTCAAAAACTTAGTAACTTAAAACAACAACAGTATGTATTTTGCTCACAAATCTACAAGATGGTCAGAGTTCTACTTGATGTTAGCTGAGGCAGCTCAAAGACTAGCCACGGGAATCATCTGATGGCTCATTCACTTACATATCTGGCAGATGATGCTTGCTTTTGGCTGAGACCTTAGTCTTGGCTATTGGCCTCTCCATGGAGCCTGGGTTTCCTCAAAACATGGCACTGGTTCAGAAACAGGGATAGACAGAAACATAAAAAGATCACCAGGCAGACACTATCTTGCCTTTTCCAACCTAGCCTCAGAACTCACACAATGTCACTTTCAGAACATTTCATTTGTTAAACTTGAGTCACTTAGGTTGGCTTATATTCAAGAGAAGCGGAATTGGGTTCTATCTTTTTATAGGAGTAGTGTCAAAGAATTTGTAGGCGTGGTTAAAACCACCATGCCATGTTGATATAGTTTGGTTCTGTGTCCCCACCCAAATCTCAGCTCAAATTGTAATTCCCATAATCCCCACATGTTGAGGGAGGGTCCTGGTGGGAGATGATTGGATCATAGGGTGATTTCCCCCATGTTGTTTTCATGATAGCAAGTGAATTCTCACGAGATCTAATGGCTTTATAAATGGCAGTTTTCCCTCCTCTCCTCCTTCCTGCTGCCTTGTGAAGAAGGTGCCTGCTTTCCCTTCACCTTCTGCAACAATTCTAAATTTTCTGAGGCCTCCCCAGCCATGCAGAACTTCAAGTCAATTAAACCTCTTTCCTTTATAAATTACCCAGTCTCAGGCATTTCTTTATAGCAGTGTGTAAATGGTTAAACATGAATATGGTAAATACCTTAAAGATTTTCTGTGGCTTCAATGATTGAAAAACTTTACCCTAAAGAACAATAATACCAAAGACAAAACTACAACAAAATGTGAGTAACTGTTAAGCCAAAATATAGACCAGGTTATTTGAAGAATGTTGTTTGTTTTTGTGTTTTACCAAATTAGTCCTCAGAGAAAAAGAGTTACTTAACGCTATAGACTAAATGTTTATGTCCCCTCAAATTCATATGTCGAAATCCTAACTTCCAAGGTGATGGCATTAGGAGACTGAGTCTTTAGGAGTTGATTAGGTCATGAGGGAGGAAACCTCATGAATGGGACTAGCGTCTTCATAAAAGAGACCCCAGAGATCTCCCTCTCCCCTTCTGCTCTGTGAAGACACAATGAGAAGACTGCCACTATGAATAAGGAAGCGGGTCCTCACCAGACACTGAATCTACAGGCACCTTGATATTGGAGTTCCCAATTTCCAGAACTATGAGAAATAAATATTTGTTGTTTATAAGGTACTCACTCTATGGTATTCTGCTGTGGCAGCCCAAATGAACTAAGACACTTAATATCCAAGCCCTCTCCAAGATTCTTGTTTGATGGAAGTATTCTTCCAATTATTCTATTTTAATTACAAATTATTTAGGAAAGACAAATTAGCCTGAAAAGATGTCAATTAGAGCTATATGGGGAATCTTAAAAGGTCATCTAACTGAGCTAATAAAAAGACAAAGCCTTTTAGTACAGATTTGGTAATTATTCTTCCAGGTAGGACCTTCAAATTGTAGTGCTGGGATATGGATATAAACAAGATTACTAAGATCAGTTTTTCATAAAGCAACTCACCTTTGCTTTGTGGAGATAACAAATGTAAGTCTCATAGGACAATGAAAAACAATTGTTCTACTGTTTCACAATTGGCTACTTTGTTTTGGAATAAAACTTACAATTATAGTATCATATGCCAATCCAAAGGTATTTTATCTTAAAAGTTGTTTTATCTCAAGATACTTAAAATTGGAAAAAATTAGATGGCTCAAACAGTGGCTCTTCTGATAATGAAGACTCTTGTCTTCAAGAATTTGAAGAAAATTTGAGTAAAATTATTTCTGAAATGAGAAGAAATATTTCAAAATTGGCACATTTTTATAATATTATTTCAAATATAATTGTATAAGCAGATTCATATTAACTAGCTCAAGTAAACATTGACTATTTTGTTAACATCCATTGTGTTCATATATTCATGTTGACCAAAAAGCTTTTTGTATTTTTCCATTATGAAAACAGAGAGCCACCTCATATTTAGGGTTGCCTTTTAATCAGCATATATATTATTTTAAAAGCTTAGCTTTCAGTAATTATCCTTCAGTTCAAATCTATGAATAACATAGTCTGTGTTTTTACTAAATTGGTTTCTTTTCCCTTTGTATTATTGTGTGATAACTAATACAGTAATACAGATTTTCATGGAGCAGACGCATTATCAATGTGATTAATTTCTGAATACAAGCAACCAAACACAGTACCATATACACAAAGGCCCATTTAACAAAGATTTCACTGAAGTAATTCAGTGAGTCTTACTTAATGTGTATCACAAAGAAATGATGGGATTATTGGCAGAGAAAGCTTTCTTCTCAATCTGTGGGGTGGTGTGAGCCAGGAGAGTGCATGCTAGAAGGCCATGGTCAGAACTGCTACCTGGAAAGGTCCAGATCCGCACATGGACTTCTGTTGGAAAAGAACTACAGCTCACTCACCTGTGCAAACTCAGGTCACACCATAAGCTCTCTGTGTACATTAGCATTTTTACCCTGAATTAGATTATTATTCTTTTTATACATTTTAATTAAAATATTGTTATATCTCTATCATAATGAAACTAAGGAAAATACAGTTTCTTTTCTTTTTCAACGTAATGTTAACATTTAAAAGAAAAATTTGTATTTTGGCTCATAGGCAGTGACTATGTCTACATATTTCATTTGTCCAATTCCTTTTTTTTTTTTTTGAGATGGAGTCTCACTCTGTCACCCAGGCTGGAGTGTAGTGATATTATTTTGGCTCACTGAAACCTCCACTTTCCAGATTCAAGCAATTCTCCTGCCTCAGCCTCCCGAATAGCTGGGATTATAGGCGTGCACTACCACACCCAGCTAATTTTCTTTTTTGTATTTTTAGTAGAGACAGGGTTTCACCATGTTGGCCAGGCTGGTATCAAACTCCTGACCTCAGGTAATCCTCCTTCCTTGGTCTCCCAAAGTGCTGGGATTACAGGCATGAGCCACTGCACCCAGACAATTTGTCCAATTCTTGGTTTCTTGTTTCCCAGAACAATCATAAATGCACTATTATTCTACTTCTGACACTTTTTCCACAGTGTTCAAAGTATTAGGAATAGCAGATGGTCAACAGCTTTCTGTGGACTGACAAAAGCAATTACTTATTTCTGAAAACAAAGGGAAGTATGTTTTCTATTTTCACTAAATGTGACTGGTGACTTACTAATTAAGTTTCACTTAGAACACATTATACAATAACTTATTACTCAAAATAAGTAGACATAATTATTCCTCTTTGAAATGAAGAATTAAAAAGAAATTGAATAACTGTCCTGAATGAGGATGACTTTTTAAAAGGCCAGACTAAGATCTCTTTAGAATGGGTCTCCTTCCCCTATGAAATTAGGAACATGAAATAGTATTATTTAATTTGGGCAATTAAATAATGTTTCAGGATTAATTAGATATGAAGCTTAGTCTTCTGAGCTATCCTGATTCTTATAATATTCTACTGATACCATTTGTTGAAATATGTCACCCACTTTGACTCTCGTTGTTCTCACTGATAGATTCAGTGCTGACAGCACTATTTAATTCTGCATTATTACTCAACTGTGTCTAAGGGTTATAAGACCTTTGTGGAACTTATATATTTATCCTTCAAGCTCTGGGTAGCTGAATCTTTACCTTATGGGAACATGCACTCTTCAATAATGAAAATATTTAAATGGTGATTAAAGTTTAATAAAACTGCCAAGTCAATGAGATGAATGTCTTTAGAGATAATTTCCCGTGCCAGATTTTAGAAGTGATATAAAATTTATTTTCACATATTTATCTGCAAAGCCTTTTCAGATCCACTTACATTAAGGAGATACCATGGAAACTCCAAGAAAAATAGTTTCCAATATTTGGAGGCTTCAGGGATTTTGTTGTTATTTGCTGCTGGGGCAAAGAAAAGCATTCTGGAAAAGGTACCAAGTTACAAAAAGTAATATATTATCTAAATTTGCTTTGGAAAGAAAATAAAAAGGTTATATGGTGCTGTTTTGATTATTATTTCTCTTAATTATATGGTCTTCTGGAATTCCAAAGCCAGATTATAAACAGAAAGGGTAGCTGATAAAACACATGTATTTGGGATAAACCACTGCTCAAAAATAAAGCTGATAGTATCTCTCTCACTTCTGTTTTTAACAATGATTAGATTAATGTGCTTGTTATTGAATTTAACAAAAAACATCATGGTTACCTACTAAATATTCAGAATAAGGGATACAAGATGGCTAAGATAGTCTGCCTCTGGCAATAGAGCATTCACGTTTTGGTTTTTGTTTTGTTTTTAAACTCTCCCGAAACCAAACACTTAGACACCAGATAAATTTCACAAAAGTCATTTTAAGCCTGTAGCAGGGATCATACAAGGGTAAGAGAATACCTAGTGATGTTACATGAAGACGGGATTAAAGAGCTAGTCTAGCTCTGAAGCCTCCACTGACCTCAAGGTATTTGATCAGCAAAAGCTAGAGCTTTGTTTCTTTAATTCTTCTTCTTCTTCTTCCTCTTCTTCTTCTTCTTCTTCTTCTTCTTCTTCTTCTTCTTCTTCTTCTTCTTCTTCTTCCTCTCCTTCTCCTTCTCCTTCTTCTTCTTCTACCTCTTCTTCCTCTTCTTTCTTCTTCTTCTCCTCCTCCTTCTTATTCCTCTTCTTCTTCTTCCTCTTCTTTTTCTTCCTCTTCTTCTTCTTCCTCTTCTTCTTCCCCTTCCCCTCCTTCTCCTTCTCCTCCTTCTTCTTCTTCTGAACTGATTTATCACTAAGCACCCTGAAAGTCAACATTTGTTTCACTTTTCATGTTTATAGACAAGGAGAGCTTTTCTCCCTGATATTAGGATCCCCCCCCACTCCCCCAGGGGTTCTACATACTCTCAAGTGCAGAAGCTGGCTCATGGGACTCTGCCCATAGCTTCCCTCTGGACCCATAAGGATGAGTTAGTGGTTCCCCAAAATAAGTCTAAACAAGATATTCCTGGGAGATTTTTTTGGGTACATCTACTGCTAGACTCTGTCATGGAAACGGATGGAGAACTTCTAGAGAGAGCTATAAATATTTAACAAAATATTTACATAGAAAGTAGCCAGTTTTCTTCTACTTAATAGCGATCTTCAAAAATAAGTGCTGCCATCTAAAAAGTGACATACCATTCACCAAACTACTGAAAAGAACTGAATTTGTATGAAAAATTACAAATTAAGGTATGAGATGTGGGTTGTGCTAAATGGCTTTTAAGGGATAATCATCTCTTTTAGTCTAATTCTTTTTCAAGGAAGATATGTGTTGGCCAAACATGGCTTAAACTAACAGTTCTGCTGTGGACTAATTTCATTGTGTTAATAGATGTTCATACTCATGCATCAGAGCCAAATTCCTTTAACAATACACAAGAAGATAAATTTTTTAGGGTGCTAACCCTTTAAGCAATGTTATTTATTAGTAAGGATAAAACCGTATGATTTTTCTTATGGCTATCATATCCATATTATCCTAAAATACACCTCTTCCCAATTACTTTTATCACACATGAAATTGTTTTTATTTTTGTTCTTTACCCGAAAGTGCTAAGAAAATACAACCTGACTTCATGTGGTTTTAAAATCACAACTCCTGATTTATTTGTATATTTAATAGAAAATTGTCCAGGAGTTATTCCACTGTCAAAGACTTTAGTTCCTTTTAGTGATATGGCACGCACTGAAAAACTATTCCTACACAAAAACACCTCAAATACAGTAAAAAGAGCCTTGGATTTTAATGACTGTTCTGGAGCAAAAAGGAAAGACCTTTGGCCTGAACAAAGCTGAGTTAGATTCCAGGCCCCAAAACACATTAGTACACTCGAAGGACTATACTCTTTTGCTCTGGGTAGAAAAGAAAAATAAAAACTGAAAACTCTCACCTGAGAATCTTTATTTATTTATTTATTTATTTAGAGACAGAGTCTTACTCTGTTGCCCAGGCTGGAGTGCAGTGGTACAATCTCTGCTCACTGCAACCTCCACCTCTGGGGTTCAAGCAATTCTCCTGCCTCAGCCCCCTGAGTAGCTGGGATTACAGGCATGTGCCACCGCGCCTGGCTAATTTTTGTATTTTTAGTAGAGACAAGGTTTCTCCATGTTGGCCAGGCTGGTCTCAAACTCCTGACCTCAGGTGATCCACCCGCCTTGGCCTCCCAAAGTGCTGGGATTACAGGCGTGAGCCACGGCGCCCGACCAGGATCTTTAATAATAACCCCCTATCACTTGGATTTATGGTTCAAATTACTCTACCTGCAGCATCCAGGAAACCCTAAACATTTAAAAGTGTACCTGATTGGTAGTATCTTGGAGTACCTGGTTAAGACACCAAAAGATTTCGGATTTGAAATTTTCAAATAAATAGAAAATAAATGTTAAAGAAGCCAGGTGTCCATTTCAACATGGTTCCTCCAAAGGTATCAAAAATATGAAGAAAGCATAGGCAATGACCAGAAGGTTTCAGAAAAGAATCAAATGTGTAACTTCTAAAAATTAAAATATTATCACTGAAAGCAATTCAATAGATTGGCTAAACAACAGAATAGACACAGTTGAAGTGCAATTTATTGAACTTAAAGACAGAACTGAAGAAATTATACATATTATAGCACAAACAGGCAAAAAGACAGAAACCATGAAAGAGAGATTAAGAATCACTGAGGATCGAATAAGAAAATCTAATATAACTTGGAGTTCCTGAAAGAGAGCATGAATAGAATAGGGAAGAGATAATATTTCAAAATATAAGAGTTAAGCCACTGAATTAATTTACAATAGGGAATTTTATGTTATGTGAATTTCCAGGATGGATTAAAGGCATCCATTCTTGAGATTCAGGAAGCACAGCAAATTCCAAGTAGGATGAATAAAAAGAAATGTACTACAACAGCTGGGGCAGCCAAGGGAGTGCTCGCATCACCCTTCCCCTCACCCTAGGCTGCGCTTGCAGCTCCAAGAGAGACCCCTTTCTTTGCTTGAGGAGAGGAGAGGAAAATTGGGGTGGACTTCGTCTTACATCTTGGATACCAGCCGAGCCACCGCAGGATAGGGCACCAGACAGAGTCGTGAGGCCCTTGTTCCAGGCCCTAGCTCCCAGACAACATTTCTAGACACAACTTGGACCTGAAAGGAATTTGTTGTCTTGAAGGAAAGGAGCCAGTCCTGACAGCATTCATCACCTGCTAGCTGAAGAGTCCTTGGTCCCTGAATAACCAGGAACAATACCCAGATACTACATCAAGGGCCTTGGGTGAGCCTCTGAGACTTGGTGGCTTCAGGCACCACCATGGTCACAGCAGGGAAGAGACCAAGTGGGCTCTTGGGGTCCCCAATTCCAGGACTTGATTCTTGGAAGGTACTTCTTGACCTGCCCTGGGCAAAAGGGTAGCCCATTGCCCTGAAGGGTGAGTCCCAGGCCAGGCAGCATTCACCACAAGTTGACTTAAAAGCCCTTGGGCCTTATGGAAACATTGGCTGGTAGTCTAACAGTACTCCTCATGGTCTGTGGTGGTGGTGGCTACTGAGTGGGGCTACTCTGCCTTTGGAAAAAGGGAAGGAAAAGTGGGAAGGACTATGTCTTGTGGTTTGAGTGCCAGCTCAACCACAATACAATACTGCAGCAAGTAGACTTCTAAGGTTTTTGACTCTAATCCCTGACTCCTGGATGATACCTCTGGACCCACATGGGGCCAAGAGACCTCACTGCCCTGAAGGGAAGGACAAAGGCCGCTGGCTTTGTTACCTGCTGATTGTAGAGCCCCAGAGCCTCCAGTGAACATAGGCAGTAGCCAGGGAGTCATTACAGCAGGCCTTGGGTGAGACACAGCTTCAGGTCTGACCCAGTGCAGTCATAGTGGGGGTGGCCACAGGGGTGCTTGTGTCACTCCACCCCCAGCTTTAGGTGGCGCAGAACAGAGAGAGAGAGAAACTCTGTTTGTTTGGGAGAAAGTAAGGAACGAGAACAAGAGTCTCTGCCTGGTAATCCCAAGAATTATCCCAGATCTTGTCCAAGACCATCAAGGTGGTACCTCTATGATCCTATAAGAACCACATTGTTACTGGGCTTGGGGAGCCCCCTAAAGTGATACACCTTAGATCACAACACCCAGGTCCTTTCAAATATCTGGAAAGCATTCCCAAAATGATGGCTACAAATAAGCCTAGACACTGAAGACTACAATAAATACCTAACTCTTCAATGCTTAGACACCAAAGAACATCTACTAGCATTAACACCATCCAGGAAAACATGACTTCACCAAATGAGCTAAATAAGACACCAGGGACCAATCCTGGAGAAACAGAGATATGTGACCTTTCAGACAGATAATTCAAAATAGCTATTTTGAGGAAACTCAAATAAATTCAGGATATCACGAAGAAAGAATTCAGAATTCCATCAGATAAATTTAACAAAGAGATTGAAATAATTAAGAACAATCAAACAGAAATTCTGGAGCTGAAAAATGCAATTGGCATACTGAAGGATGTATCAGAACCCTTAAATAGCAGAATGGATCAAACAGAATAAAGAATTAGTGAGCTTGAAGACAGGCTATTTGAAAATACACAGTCACAGAAGACAAAAGAAAAAATAAAAAACAATGAAGCATGCCTATAGGCCTCTTTAAGGCCAATAACTCTTAGATTTGCCCTTTTGTGGCTTAAAGAGGTAGTAGACAAAGAGGTAGAATGTTTATTCAAAGGGATAACAACAGAGAACTTCCCAAACCTACAGAAAGATATCAATATCCAAGTACAAGAAGGTTATAGAAAACCAAGCAGATTTAACCCAAAGAAGACTACCTCAAGGCATTTACTAGTCAAACTCCCAAAGCTCAAGAATAAAGAAAGAATCCTAAAAGCAGTAAGAGAAAGAAGCACAAATAACACACAATGAAACTCCAATACATTTGGCAGCAGACTTTTCACTGGAAACCTTACAGGCCAAGAGAGAGTGGCATGACATATTTAAAGTGCTAAAGGAAAAAAAAAAACTTTTACCCTAGAATAGTGTATCTGGAGAAAAGATACTTCAAACATGAAGGATAAATAAAGACTTTCCCCGACAAAACAAACAAAAGTTGAGGGATTTCATCAATACCAGACCTGTCCTACAATAAATGCTAAATGAAGTACTTCAATCAGAAAGAAAAGGACATTAGTAAGCAATAAATAATCACTTGAAGGTGTAATCACTGGTAATAGTAAGTACACACAAAAACACAGAATATTTTTTTTTATTTTTATTTTTGTATTATACTTTAAGTTTTAGGGAACATATACACAATGTGCAGGTTTGTTACATATGTATACATGTGCCATGTTGGTGTGCTGCACCCATTAACTCGTCATTTAACATTAGGTATATCTCCTAATACTATCCCCCACTCCCCAACCTCACAACAGGCCCCTGTGTGTGATGTTCCCCTTCCAACACAGAATATTATAACACTCTAACTGTGGTGTGTAAACTACTCTTATCCTAAGTAAAAAGACTAAATGATGAACCAATCAAAAATAATAACCACAGCTTTTCAAGACATATCAGTACAATAATATATAAATAGAAACAACAAAAAGTTAAACAGCAGGAGGACAAAGGTAAAGTCTACAGTTTTTTTAGTTTCCTTTTTTCTTCTTTGTGTATGCAAATAGTGTCAAGTTGTTATCAAGTCAAAATAATGAGTTATAAGGTAGTATTTGAAAGCCTCATGGTAACCTCAAACCAAAAATCATACAATGGATATACAAAAAATAAAAAGCAAGAAACTCATAACACCAGAGAAAATCACCTTCATAGGGGAAGACAGGAAGGAAAGAAAGAAGGAAAAGAAGGCCACAAAACACCCAAAAAACAAATAACAAAAATGGCAGGAATAAGTCCTTACTTATCAATAATAACATTGAATATCAATGGACCTAACTCTCCAATCAAAAGACATAAACTGGCTGAATAGATGAAACAACAAGATCCATTGATCTTTTGCCTACAAAAAACACACTTCACCTATAAAGACACACAAAGACTGAAAATAAGGGGATGGAAAAAGATATTCCATGCCAATGGAAACCAAAAAAAGAGCAGGAATTGCTATGCTTATAACAGACAAAACAGATTTCAAGACAAAAACTATAAGAAGAGACCAAGAAAGTCACTATAAATGATAAAGGGGTCAATTTAGCAAGAGGATATAACAATTTTAAATACATATAACACCCAGATATATAAATAGATAACACCTAAATACGTAGAACAAATATTATTATAGCTAAAGAGAGAGATAGCCCCCCAATACAATAATAGCTGGAGACTTCAACCCCTGACTTTCAGCATTGGACAGATCTTCCAGACAGAAAATCAACAAAGAAACATCGGGCTTAATCTGCACTATAAACCAATTGGATCTAACAGATATTTACAGAACATTACATACAAGAGCTGCAAAATACATATTCCTTTCCACAGCGTATAGATCATTCCTAAGGATAAACCATTTGTTAGGTAACAAAACAGGTCTCAAAACATTAAAAAATATTGAAATAGTATCAAGCATCTTCTCTGACTACAATGAAATAAACTAGAAATCAATCACAAGAGGAATTTTGGAAACTACACAAACACATGGAAATTAAAAAAATATGCTCCTGAATGACTAGTGAGTCAATGAGGAAATTAAGAAGGAAACTGAAAAATTTCTTGAAACAAATGACAATGGAAACACTACATGCCAAGCAGTACTCAGAGGGAAGTTTATAGCTCTAAGTGCTTATATCAAAAAAGAGGAAAAACTTCAAACAATCTAACAATGCATCTTAAAGAATTGGAAAAGCAAGAGAAAACTAAATCCCAAATTAATAAAAGAAAATAAATAATAAATATCAGAGCAGAAATAAATGAAATTGAAATGAAAGAATACAAAACATCAATGAAACAAAAAGTTGTTTTTTTGAAAAGTTAAACAAAATTTACAAACCTTTAACCAGACTAAGAAAAATAGAGAGAGAAGATCCAAATAAATAAAATCAGAGATGGAAAAAAAGACATTACAACTGATACTGTAGAAATTCAAAGGATCATTAGTGGCTACTGTGAGCAACTATATGCCAATAAATTGAAATATCTGGAAGAAACTGACAAATTTCTAGACACATACAACCTACCAAGATTGAACCAGGAATAAAGATAAAACCTGAATGTGTCAAAAACAAGCAATGAGCTTGAAGCCATAATAAAAAGTCTCCCAGTAAAGAAAAGCCGAGGACCTGATGGCTTCACTGCCAAATTCTACCAAACATTTAAAGAACTAATACTAATCCTACTCAAACTATTTTGAAAAACACAAGAGAAGGAAATACTGTCAAACTCTTTCTATGAGGCCAGTATTACCCTGATACCAAAACCAGGAAAAGACACATCAAAAAAGAAAAACTACAGGCCAATATCTCTGATGAATATTGGTGCAAAAATCCTTAACAAAATACTAGCAAACCTAATTCAACAATACATTAGAAAGATAATTCACTATGACCAAGTGGGATTCATCCCTGGGATGCAAGGATAGTTCAACATGCTCAAATCAATCACTGTGATACATTATATCAACAGAGTAAATGACAAAAACCCTGATACCAAAACCAGACAAAGATGCCTCAAAAAAAGAAAAGTATAGGTCAATATCTCTGATTAATATTGATGAAAAAAATCCTCAACAAAATACTAGCAAACATAATTCAACAGTGCATTAGAAAGATCATTCATCATGACCAAGTGGGATTTGTCTCTGGGACGCAAGGATGGTTCAACATACTCAAATCAATCAACGTGATACCTCATATCAACAGAATAAAAGACAAAAACCATATGATCATTTCAATTGATACTGAAAAAGCTTTTGATAAAATTCAACTTCCCTTCACGATTAAAAACCCTCAAAAAACTGGGGATACAAGGAATATACCTCAACATAATAAAAGCCATATATGACAGACTCACAGCTAGTATCATACTGAATGGGGAAAAGCTGAAAGCCTTTCCTCTAAGATCTGGAACACAACAAGGATGCCCACTTCCACCACTGTTATTCAATATAGTACAGGAAGTATGGCTAGAAAAATCAGACGAGAAAGAAATAAAGGGCATTCAAGTTGGAATGGAAGAAGTCAAATTATCCTTGTTTGCAGATGATATGATCTTATTTGAAAAAATCCTAAAGACTGCACCAAAAAAACTGTGAGAAGTGATAAACAAATTCAGTAAAGTTGCAGGATACAAAATCAACATATGAAAATCAGTAGCATTTCTGTATGCTAACAGTGAACCATGTGAAAAAGAAATTGAAAAGTAATCTCATTTACAGTAGCTACACATAAAATTAAATACCTAAGAATAAACTTAATGAAGGGATGAAAGATCTCAATAATGAAAACTGTAAAACACTGATGAAAGAAATTGAAGAGGACACCAAAAAATATAAAAATATTCCAGGTTTATGGATTGTAAGAATCAATATTGGTAAAAAGTCCATACTACCCAAAGCAATCTACAGATTCAATGCAATCCCTATCAAAATACCAATGACATTCTTTACAGAGATAGAAAGAACAATCCCAAAATGTATATGGAGCCCCCAAAGACCCATAATAGCCAAAGCTATCCTAAGCCAAAAAAAAAAAAAAAAAAACTAGAGGAATCACATTACCTGACTTCAAGTTATACCACAGAGCTATAGTAACCAAAACAGTATGGTACTGGCATAAAAACAGAT
Source organism: Homo sapiens (assembly GCF_000001405.40). NCBI lineage: Eukaryota > Metazoa > Chordata > Mammalia > Primates > Hominidae > Homo > Homo sapiens. The sequence goes on along the minus strand of NC_000013.11, from coordinate 36,400,135 downwards.
ACATGGACCAATTAAACAGAATAGAGAACCTGGAAACAAATCCACACACCTACAGTGAAGTAATTTTTGACAAAGGTGTCAAGAACATATACTGGGGAAAAAGACGGTCTCTTCAATAAATGGTACTGGGAAAACTGGATACCCACATGCAGAAGAGTGAAACTAGACCACTATCTCTGGCCATATACAAAAATCAAATCAAAATGGATTAAAGACTTAAATATAAGACCCCTCAAACTAGAAAACTAGTACAAGAGCACATTGAGGAAAATCTCCAGGACATTTGTAAAGCTTTCTTGAGCAATACCCAACTGGCACAGACAAAAAACAAACAAACAAACAAAAAACAAAGCAAAACTGGACAAATGGAATCACATCAAGTGAAAAAGCTTCTGCACAGCAAAGGATACAATCAATGAAGTGAAGAGGCAACCCACAGAATGGAAGAAAATATCTGCAAACTACCATCTAACAAGGGATTAAAAACCAGAACACATAAGGAGCTCAAACAACTCTGTAGGAAAAAAAAATCTAATAATCTGATCAAAAAATGGGCAAAAGATTTGAATAGACATTTCTCAAAAGGAGACATACAAATGGCAAACAGGCATATGAAAAGGTGCTCAACCTCATTGCTCATCAGAGAAATGCAAATCAAAACTACAATGAGATATCTTCTCACCCCAGTTAAAATGGCTTATATCCAAAAGACAGGCGATAACAAATGCTGGTGAGGATGTGGAAAAAAGGGAACCCTTGACCACTGTTGGTGGTAATGTAAATTAGTACAACTACTATGGAGAACAGTTTGGAGGTTCTGCAAAAGAACTAAAAATTGAGCTACCATATTACCCAGCAATTCCACTGCTGGGTATACACTCAAAAGAAAGGAAATCAGTATATTGAAGACATACCTCCATTCCCACATTTGTTCCAGCACTGTTCACAATAGCCAAGACTTGGAAGCAACCTAAGTGTTCATCAACAGACGAACGGATAAAGAAAATATGGTATATATATTCTTTATAGCTGAGTACTATTCAGCTATAAAGAGAAGAATGAGATTCTGCATTTGCAACAATGTGGATGGAACTGGAGATCATTATGGTAAGTGAAATAAGTCAGGCACGAAAAGACAAATGTCTCATGTTCTCACTTATTTGTGGGATGATGATATTGAAAAAGACTTCAATAGAAAAGGTACTTCAAGGCCTGCAAGGAAAATCAAGGGCATTCCAGGCAGAAGGATGCATGTGCGTCTGGAGGCTGAGTGTGAAATCATGTGATGTGAGAGGAATCTCAAGAAAGTTTCACATGGCCTTAGCATGAGAACAGAGGAACTGGGGCCACAGCTAAAGAGATGGCTGGAGAGAAGACAAGGGTCAACTCATGAGACATTTGGTTTTCTGTGCTAAAAAGTTTAGGCTGTAGTACATGGACAGGAAATCACTGGAAGGTTTTTAAGCTGGGAAGTTACATCATTAGATTTGACTTTTTTATCACCTGCCATTATTGTGGTCAGTGAAACGTGAGACTGGATTGGCAATTGAAAACTAGATATATAGCAAAGATATTGAATCATACAAGAAAGCATCTCAGATTTGGGGGATAAGGCCAAAAAATCTGACCATATAACATCGAAAATGTAGAAAATTCCCAAAATTCTGATGAGATCAACCAATCTCAAAATAAACACTTTTTTTAATCAAACAATCTTAATAAAGAAATTTAATGGATATATCAAGGAGACCAAATAGGTCCTTCAACTATCTAAGAAAACAACAGGTTAATGAAGAGGATTCAGTATTTGAATTTGTGTTTCCAGAGTTGTGAAGAACATTAGTCACTGATCAGCATCTTACTCCCTTTATTCTACCTCTATGCTCAGCCTCTGATTCAGTCTTCTGGGAGGATTCCAGGAAAGCATGCCCTGAGCAAATGACAAATGGTAGGTCTCACATTATCCTGTCAGTGCTCCCATTATAAATTAAAAACTTGGTCTTCAGGTTTATGAATTAGTCTCCCTTTTGGTTTGAATAAATTGACTCCCCAGGATTGATTTCTTTCTTTCTTTCTTTCTTTCTTTCTTTCTTTCTTTCTTTCTTTCTTTCTTTCTTTCTTTCTTTCTTTCCTTCCTTCCTTCCTTCCTCCCTTCCTCCCTCCCTCCCTCCCTCCCTCCCTCCCTTCTTTCTTTCCTTCCTTCCTTCCTTCCTTCCTTCCTTCCTTCCTCCCTCCCTCCCTCCCTCCCTCCCTCCCTCCTTTCTTTCTCTTTCTTTCTTTCTTTCTTTCTTTCTTTCTTTCTTTCTTTCTTTCTTTCTTTCTTTCTTTTCTTTCTTTCTTTTTTTTTGGAGATGAATGGGATCTTGCACTATCACCCCAGGCTGCTCACTGTAGCCTCGAGGTCTTGGGCTCAAACCATCCTCTGGCCTCAGCCTCCTGAGTAGCTGGGACTACAGGCACATGACACCACATGCTAATTTCATGCCACTCACGATGCTAATTTTTTTTTTTGAAGAGATGGTCTAGCTATGTTGCCCAGGCTGGTCTCGAACTCCTGGGTTCAGGCGATCCTCCTGCCTTGGCCTCCCAAAGTGCTAGGATTACATGTGTGAGCCTGGCCTCCCCTTCAGGATTTCATTAACTTCAAATGAACTTGAAACATTTATTTTCCTGAGTCTAACAAAGCTGAGAACCAAATCTCACCTTGTGATTTCATCCAAGATGATGCTTACCTGCCAGCAAGTTTCTCCTTGGCACTGGTGTTATTATCTAAATGTCCTAAGAATAAGCCATCTTACTATGAGAGCCACCAGGCTATATCCAACTCTGTAGCATGAAGAAAAGCATTCAGTGGTAGGTCTCTGAAGTTCTATTCCTGAAGCACTGTATTCAAATTTTGCTTGGTTGAATAGTTAATTGCCTTTTACCCAACCAATCAAAGGCTACATTTTATAACTCACTGGGAGAATTTTACAGGTGCATATTTTGGATCTACGGGCTTTACATCTGATGGCTTTAAAATAAGTCAGAACCATAGTCATCTTGACAATTTCTGTTTATTATTCATGGTCGGGGATACTGTATAGTAGCCTCCTGCATATTTTAATAAAATGTTCATGAAGCAGTTTTAAAATTTCCATTGGCCCCTATTTCAAAAATTTTAACATTTACTTTTAAATATCCTCAAATTTGTCACTTTGTATCAAAAAGTAGATTTTTAAAATAATTCAAGGCATTTCAAACCCCATCAGTCAACCTCCCCAAAGAAGCTGCAACCTTTGTGTGTAATTACATTTCAATGGCTAAATCTCAACAATTCTCCTTAGCTATATTACAAGACCTTTACGATACCAGTTAATTATCAGCTTCAGATGGTACATTAATCTTGTCACTTTTTAAAGTTGTTAATGAGCATGATATTCTGTAAATACCAATGCTTAAAACAAAAAATTGTATTAAAAAGTTTTTCATCCCAGAAGAATCGCCAAGATGCTATCACATTTCTTTCTTTCTTATTTCACAGCTTTAGTATTAACTAGCAAATACCAGCTGCGTAGTTGGTCAGTACTTCACTGTCCTTTAATTCCTTTCCCAACCCACACACCATTTTCAACACCCTCTGCCTTACCTACGTGTCTCTTTATTCCACTGTGTTACATCCACCCTCATATTTCCAAACTGGATCAACTGCTGCTGATTTTACAACTATTGACATATTGCAATGGTGAAATGCAATCGCATTATTCTAGGACATATGATCATGTTAAGGTTTAAGTAGAAGGTAGAGGATTTTTCCTGCTCCCATAACATCTTATAACCCCAGTGATTTCTCACTTGCTCCTGATACCTTTTCTCCCTCATGGGACAGGGCCTGGTTGTAGGGAAGTCAGAGATGGTATCATGAGTGGCATAAAATTCCACTCAACTCCAGACATTTATTGAACTCCACTCTCTGTGCAGCTTGTCCTGGCATTGTGGGCAAAGAGGTGCAAGCCTCTCTCTTTAAGATCAAGCATAGACACTCCATCCTTGGTAATGACTAATGAGAGCTTTGGGAGACCATCCAGCTAGGAAAGAACTGCTATTCAGGCAATACTTGTCATTTTCCTTCTTGAGATAACTGAGTCTTTTATTATGATGGGACCATAAAAATGTTTTGAGCCTGGGCACAGTAGCCCATGCCTGTAATTCCAACACTTCGGGAGGCCGAGGGGTGTTAGGGATCACTTGAGCTCAGGAGTTTGAGACCAGCCTGGGCAACACGGCAAAACCCTGTCTCTACAAAAAATAAAAAGTTAGCCCGGCATGGTGGTGCATGCCTCTTGTCCCAGCTACTCAGGAGGCTGAGGTGAGAGGATTGCTTGAGCGTAGGAGGTGGAGGCTCCAGTGAGCCATGATTGTACCACTGCCCTCTAGCCTGGGTGACAGCACAAGACCCTGTCTCCAAGAAAAAAAAAGAAAAGAAAAGAAAAGAAAAGAAAAATCCTTTGAGTGGAGAAGAAATAACCATATCTGTATTTGAAGAACGTAAATAAAGTCACCAGGAAGCGTGGCTTGAATAGAGCTGAAGGAAGAGGAAACTGCAAAAAAGGCTATTAAAATAGTTCTGCAAAGAAATCAACTAAGGGCTGAAGTCAAGCAAATTATCACTAGAGGGCAATAGAGTTATTACCCAGTACATGTTTACTGTCTACCCTATTTCCTAAGGGTGCCTCCTGAGACTCTCACAAGAAAAGGCAGATTCCATAGTTAAGAAATGTATCATACCTCTTTTCTTAAACACTCAGATCACATATAAGCCTTTCAAAGTTCTCTTAATTCTTGCAGCAAAGAAATCTACTTAACTTTATTTCTGAAACACATTTAATCATATTTTTTTCTATGAAATGTTTATCAAAATTATTCTGAGTTTTCCATGGAAAATTATTTGAGAAACCATAATAAATGCTATTTTAGGCTTTGAGAGAAACAGGGAAATCAGTTCTGACTTTGAAAAGTATATATTTTTGGCCTGGGCACGGTGGCTTACACCTGTAATCCCAGCAGTTTGGCAGGCAGAGGTCAGGAGTTCGAGACCAGCCTGACCAAAATGGAGAAACCATATCTCTACTAAGAATACAAAATTAGGTGGGTGTGGTGGCGCATGCCTGTAATCCCAGCTACTCAGGAGGCTGAGGCAGGAGAATTGCTTGAACCCGAGAGGTGGAGGTGGAAGTGAGCCGAGATGGTGCCATTGCACTCCAGCCTGGGCAACAAGAGCAAAACAACGTCTCAAATAAAAAACAAAAAACAAAAAAAAACAAAGAAAGAAAGAAAAGTATATATTTTACATATTATACATATGTCAACATTCAACAATATATGTATGATACAATTATCAGACAAAATAAATGGTATTAAAGAGGTAAATCTTCCAGACTGGAGAAATAAGGAGCTCAACAAATACCTTCCTCAAATGGTAACAAATAAAACTGAACAAATTTTTCAATAAAACCATTTCAGGATACTGGGAATTAACCAAAAGCACATAAAAATTGGGAATCATTTATTTAAGAAAAACTGCTGAACAGTGAGAGTCTATAGCATTTCAGCCCAGGGCTGCTCTCATCCCATCTGCCCTGTACCCCAGCTCCATCAGCCCTTAACGTTACCAGGATAGGGCAGGCTGTGAAAATATACTTTGCCAAAGAGGGCTGACTTTATGTGAAGCAGAGCACAGAAAATCCCCATGCCCTTGGGCATTGTTGGAAACTGTAGTGAGCTTGGAAGCAAAACAGTGAGTAAGGCCTAGTTGCAGCTAGCCTCAGGTTGCCATCCTGGTGGGGGCAAATAGCAGATCAGCAGGCTTGCAGCCAGAAATTTAACAGAGAGATCAAGGGCATGAGACAACCACAGTAGGACTTGAAAAGTCTCCATATATCCCTGATGGCCTGGAAGGCTCTGCACTGCAGAGACCTCATGGATGCTTAGAAGGGACCAGGGAGGTCTTAGCTATTGACGTATCCCTTGTTGCATAAAAGGCCTTACACAGGTGTGTCACATACAAACAGCAAAGCAAGCTAAGGCCAATGCCAATGCCAAGGCTTGACTGATTTGGCTGGTAGACACAAGTCACTTCCAGATTCATTTTACTACTTACATAGACAGCAAAAAAAAAAAAAAAAAAAAAAGAGTAGCTAGCTCCCCAGGTACTTGTCATACACATCATCTGGATAGCCATATGCAGAAGATTGAAACTGGACTCCTTTCTGACACCATATACAAAAATCAACTCAAGATGGATTAAAGTCTTAAATGTAAAATCTGAAACTATAAAAACTCTGAAAAAAAACCATAAGAAACATCATTCTAGACATAGGCCCTGGCAAAGATTTCATGACAAATATGCCAAAAGCAATTGCAATAAAAACAAAAGTCAATAAATGGGACCTAATTAAACTAAGGAGCTTCTGCACAGCCAAAGAAGCTATCAATAGAGTAAACAGACAGCCTGCAGAATGGGAGAAAACATTTGCAAACACACCTGACAAAGGTCTAATATCCAGAATCTATAAGGAACTTAAACAAATTAACAAGCAAAAAGCAAACAACCCCATTTAAAAGTGGGCAAAGGATATTAACAGACACTTTTCAAAAGAACACTTACACGAGGCCAACAAGCATATGAAAAAATGTTCAACATCACTAATAATCATTAAAGAAATACAAATCAAAACCACAATGAGACCATCTTACATCAGTCAGAGTGGCTATTATTAAAAAGTCCAAAAATAACAGATGCTAGTGAGGTTGCAGAGAAAAAGAAATGCTTATACACTGCTAGTGGAAATGTAAATTAGTTCAGCCACTGCGGAAAGCAGTTTGGTGACTTCTCAAAGAACTTAGAACTACCATTTTACCCAGCAATTCTATTATTGGGTATATACCCAAAGGAATATAAATTATTCTACCATAAATACACACACACATATATGTTTATCACAGCACTATTCACAATAGCAAAGACACAGAATCAACCTTGATGCCATCAGCAGTAGACTGGATAAAGAAAAGGGTACAAATACACCATGGAATACTAAATAGTCATAAAAAAGAATGAAATCATATCCTTTGCAACAACATGGATGGAGCTAGAGGCCATTATCCTAAGTGAATCAACACAGGAACAGAAAAACAAACACCACATGTTCTCACTTATATGTGTGAGCTATACATTAAGTACACATGGACACAAAGAAGGGAACAATAGACACTGGGACCTATTTGAGGGTAGAGGGTGGAGGACGGTGAGCATCAAAAAACTACCTATTGTGTACTATGCTTATTACCTGGGTGACAAAATTTGTACACAAAACCCCCATGACATGTAATTTATCTATATAACAAACACATTTCCTAAATAATCCATGGGTCAAAGAAGAAATCACAAAGGAAATTAGAAAATATTTTGGCTGAATTAAAACAAAAATACTAAATTCCAAAATGTATACGATTTGGCTAAAGCTGTGCTTAAAGGTAAATTTACAGCCTTAAACACCTATATCACAAAAGGTGAAAGATCTCAAATACAACAGCCTAAACCTCTACTTAAACTAAAACTAGGAAAATAAAAGCGAATTAAAGCAAAAGCAAGCAGAAAGAATAAAATAATAAAAAGCTTAAATTAAAAATTATGGTGTAAAGGCAGGGTGCAGTGATTCACGCCTGTAATCCCAGCACTTTGGGAAGCTGAGGCAGGTGGATCACCTGAGGTCAGGAGTTCGAGGCCAGCCTGGCCAACATGGTGAAACCCCATGTCTACTAAAAATATAAAAATTAGCTGGGCACAGTGGCAGGCACCTGTAATCCCAGCTATTCAGGAGGCTGAGGCAGGAGAATTGCTTGAACCCAGGAGGGAGGTTGCAGTGGGCTGAGATTGTGCCACTGCACTTCAGCCTGGGTGACAGAGTGAGACTCGGTCTCAAAAAAAGAAAAAGAAAAGAAAAATCATGGTTTAAGGATAAACATCTAGATCAATGAATTGGAACTGAGAGTCCAGAAATCAACCCTTACATTTATGTTCGATTGTTTTTCCATGAAGCTACCAAGACATTCAATGGGAAAAGCACAGGCATGTCAACAAATGGTTCTGCAATAATTGGATACCCACATGGAAAAAATATTGACCCTCACCTTATGCCATAAACAAAACCTATCTCAAAATGAGTCACAGATCCAAATATGGGAGCTAATACTATAAATCTTCTAGAATAGAACATAGAAAAAAAAACATAAGGGCAGAGATGGGGTGGAGGCTGGACAGCCTGAGGATCTGTCTCTCAACTCTTCTCAGGCCTTGTATGGGTTAATTGCAGATCAAAATAGGTAGAGGTCAAAGAGCAAAGCTGTATAGTAAAGATTAATAATGGTAGCAGGTTATGGCCATACTTTGTGTTGTGCTTTATGGTTTCTTGAATAAAGAGGGATGCCAGGATATTTAGGAAGAATTACACAATGACAGTTTGGATTGGTAGGTCAGGTATGTGGCCCTAAATATGGAACAAACTATAATTGCGTGTTAATGAAATATTGTGCCAAAGAATATACCAGAAAGATATTGTTGATGTATTTAATCCACAAAATAGGAGGAGAGGATGCAATAGTATGTAGCAACAATTGCTTTTTTTACTTGACTTTATTCAACAACTACTTATAAGTGGGGTGGTCTGCCTTCCTGAGTTTACATTCGGGAGAGAACAGACTGGTGTAAGGAGTGATGCAGATTCTTCTGATTGGGGTAATGTTTTCATGGATCCACAGAACTGGGTGGCATTAGCTGCTAATGTTGTATCATCCATCCAGGGTTATACAAAATGTCTTCTTTCATTTTTTTTTCTTCATTTGAGAGGTTTGCAATAGTTAAGTGACTGGCCTGAAATTGCCTAGTGTGGTAGGCTGAATAATGGCACCCCAAAAGTGCCCACGCCCTAATCCCTGGTACCTGTAAGGAATGTTACCTTACATGTTAAAAGACTTGGTTGATGTGATTAATTAAGGATCTTGAGTTGGGGATGCTATATGGGTGGGCTCAGTGTAATCACAGGAATAACCTCGTAAGAAGGAACAATAAGAAATGTTGAGTATCAAAGCAAGAGATTGAAGTGATGGGAGGAAGTGGTGATGGGCCAAGGAATGTGGCCACCCTCTAAAGCTGGAAGAAGCAAGGAGCAGATTCTTCCCGGGGGATTCAGAAGGAACCAGCCCTATGGATGCCATGATGTTGGAGCCCTAAAAGACCTATCCTGGGATTTGGAACTCCAGAACTGTGAAGAGAATAAATGTGTGCTGTTTTAAGCTACTAAATTTGTGGTCATTTGTTATAGTGGCCAAAGGATAACTAATGTGCCCAGGAAATGCTCCTATTCAGTATTTTCATTGCCTGAGTAGGGTTGATGTGCTGCTATTGAGCACCCATAGAGCTTGTGTTATTTTCTTGCTGAGAGCTTCCAAAATCTTCACATCATGAGGTAGGTCTTATAGTGAATCCCAGGCCTTTTATAAAGATAAGGCAAGAAGTCTGCAAAAGTATATGGATTAGAAATTTTCTTTCCAAATTCATGGCTACAAAAAGAAATGTCGAGTTTTTTAGTTGCCTATATAGTCAACCTCTTTGTGCTTGGACAAATTTTTAGTTACTCCTTAACCAATTAGCATTCTTGTATTTAAGGATGGCTAGGGTTTCATTTAAAAGAAAAAAACTTTGGAGACTTCAAATGGGATGGATGCAATGGACTCTGAAACTATCTTGCTATTCTAAAATCCCGTTTCTACCAGGGACCAGGGATAGTCTTGTTTTCCACAGCTGCTTTATAGTATAAACAGCCAAAATACAACTTACGTTGTAGTTCCTAACTAATAGGCTCATTTTTTGCCTCTAATAAATCCTAATGCAATAATCATAGATTTCCTTTTTGTTGAAATCCCTATAGCCAATTTCCAATGGATACAGCTGAGACTGAAAGAAAATTGAATATTCTTCTGCAAGTAAGATTGTAAAGCTAATTTCCCTAATGCCCTATAATTCACATAAGCCAAAGTTAACAGATTATACATATTCAAATTTCAGAATTCTAGTGATTAGTTAGGTTTCCTGATAAAGCTTCATAAAGAGAAAAGAAGAGCAGTCAATTCTATTTTGGATACACAAATTGCATTACAGTTTAATAAAGATTTTTTTTTCTACAAAGTTTTATCTATGCACATTGTTTGAGGTAGACGTGGAAAACTGTATCAAAGAATCAGAGAAACTTCCTAAGAAAGAGAAGTAGGACTGTCTGGACAAATGATAGGATATGTATCCCTATAGCGTATGGCCTTGTTGGCCACCCTTGAAAAACTTGAAAATTAGAGTTTAAGAGGGCCTTGGGTCAATAATACTTCAGATAAAAAAACAAATATAAGCTTAAAGAATAGAAAGGAAAGAAAAAACCTAATAACCACCCACATTTCTTTAACCCTGTAACCCTAGTACCTAGAACAATGCTTGACACATAGTACTCAATACTTGTTAATATTGTTAATATTTGTGGAATGCATGTGTGAACCAAAAAATAAAATTCTAAGCCCCCCCAACCATCTGAATGTACCCCTCTTCTTGGGCAAAGGCATTCCAAAGTTAACCTGAAAAACTAGTTCAGACCATGATGCGGAAGGGGGTTATAACTTACTCCTCTTTGGAATTCAGGAAAAACCAATCAGCATTAACATCAACGCAGACCTTAAGCTTGATAAGAAACATTTATAATCTGTTCTCTCTGAAGCCTGCCACATGGAGGCTTCTTCCACATGATAAAACCTTGGTTTCCACAACCCCTTATCATCACTCAGACATTCCTTTCTATTGATAATAACTCTTTCAACCAATTGTTAATCAGAAAATTTTTAAATCTACCTATGACCTAGAAGCCCCCACTTCGACTACCCTTCCAGATCAAACCAATGTAAATCTTACATGTATTGATGTGGTATTATGTCTCCCCAAATGATACAAAAGCAAGCTGTACCCCAACCACTGTGGGCACATGTCATCCTGAGGCTGTGTCATGGGTATGTCCTTAACCTTGGCAAAATAAACTTTCTAATTTGATTGAGACTTATTTCAGATACTTTTGGGTTCACACGTGCATGCATAAAAGAATTTGCTAATCCCAGCACTTTGGGAGGCCAAGGCAGGTACATCACGAGGTCAGGAGATTGAGACCATCCTGGCTAACACAGTGAAACCCCATCTCTACTAAAAATACAAAAAATTAGCCGGGTATGGCAGTGGGCGCCTGTAGTCCCAGCTACTCAGGAGGCTGAGGCAGAAGAAGAATGGCGTGAACCCAGGAGGTGGAGCTTGCAGTGAGCCGAGATCGCACCACTGCACTCCAGGCTGGGCAACAGAGCGAGACTCCATCTCAAAAAAAAAAAAAAAAGAATTTGCTTCCCTGAATATTTTTCTGATAGCTGATATGTCTAAATAGCACTAGGCTTATTTGCTCTTAGTGGAATCACTATTATGCTAAATGAATATTTGAAATGTCAGGGTGTACAGGACACATTACCAAGAAAATGCATTTATTATATTAAAAGATTTTCGCCTGAAGGTAATGCCTTCTCCAGTGGAGCCGATTACAGTTTGTTGTTCTTTAGTAATGAAGAATCATATTATGGTTCAATAAGTTTTGTAACAACTAGTTATTTTTGAGGCTGCTTTGAAGACTCACTTGTATTGGAGGGAGTGGGCAGAGTACATGGACCCAACAATTTCTATCCCTGAAATAGAGACATGTCACCAAGACACAGTTATCTCCAACCAGTATACATCATGCAGTATTCTTCACCATACATGTGTTGAAATTTTTTATTAGCATTTGCTACAGATGAAGAATATGGTAAATTTATCACTTCCTCCCAAATTTAAGTATCACTTTTTTTTCACAAAAGTTGGAATCTATTGAAAAGAAGAGAATGTGATTTCAACAGTGCCCTCAGCCTGACTTCCACCGTTGTGATATGATATATGTGTGCTGGGCACCTGGGGATGGTAACAGGCAGAGAAGGTGCATCACACACGCCCTCACCCAATGCAGGTGTTGACAAACAGGGCAGCAAAGCCCCTACAGGAAGGGGACCTAAGCCAGAGGGTGAGAGTAGAGCATGCTAGACAATCCCCTCATCACAGGCAGAGGGACAGTTAGGGACATAAAAGGAGGGTGGAAGCATCAGGCAAGGGGAACTCCTGGGGAGAAAGGAGAACGCAGGTGAAGAGTGAGGGAGCCTGACTGGCCAGGTGGTTATGGGCTTGAGCATGATTCTGGCACATGCATGGTCAGGAGTGGGCATGTAGAGTTCAAGTCAGAGGCAGGGAAATTGGCAAAGAAGAAATATCAGAAAGGATATTTTAGGTGTGGAAATGGCAAGCTGGTCCACAGGCGGACATAGTCAACGTTGGTCTTGTTTTGCAAATTTTTTTTTTTTTTTTTGTGATGGAGTCTCGCTCTGTTGCCCAGGCTGGAGTGCAGTGGCATGATCTCTGCTCACTGCAAGCTCCGCCTCCCAGGTTCACGCCATTCTCCTGCCTCAGCCTCCCGAGTAGCTGGGACTACAGGCGCCCACCACCACGCCCGGCTAATTTTTGTATTTTTAGTAGAGACGGGGTTTCACCGTTGTCTCGATCTCCTGACCTCGTGATCCGCCCGCCTTGGCCTCCCAAAGTGCTGGGATTACAGGCATGAGCCACCGCGCCTGGCCTTGCAAATGTTTTTTATCATGGGAAAATACACATAACATAAAATTTATTATTTTAACTATTTTAAGTATACAATTCAGTGACATTAAGTATATTCACAGTGTTGTACACCATCCCCACTATGCATTTCCAGAATTTTTAAAAAACATTTTTTATGCTTTGTTTTTAATTGATACATAACTCTATGTATTTATGGGGTACAGTGTGACGTTCCATAACATAGATGAACCTAAAGGACATGCTAAGTGAAATATGCAAAAGCACAGAAAGACATATAGTGCATGATCTCACATGTGGAATCTAGAAAAGTTCGTATCCTAGAAGTAGAGAGTAGACTAGTGATTTCCAGAACTTTTTCATAACACACAGAAACTCTGTATTCATTAAACAGTAACTTCCCTTTTCCCCTTACCTCCAGCTCCTGGAAAGCTCTATTCTACTTTCTGTCTATGAATTTGCCGGTTATCGGTATCCCATATAAGTGGAATCACACAATATTTATCCTTTTGTAGCTGACTTATTTCACTTAGCATAATGTTTTCATATGTAGCATGAACACTGTAGCATGTATCAGACTTTCATTTCTTTTTATGGCTGGCTACTATTCCATTGGATTATATTCCAATATTTTTTATCTAATTTGTCTATTGATGGACACTTGGGTTGTTTCCATATTTTGGTTACCGTGAATAATGCTGTTATGACATTGGTGGAAAAGTATTATGCTCCTTCTTTCAATTCTTTTGTGTATTCCTAGGAGTGGAATTGCTGGATCACATGTAATTTAATTGTTTATTTAAGTTTTTAAGGAAGCACCAGACTTTTACACAGAAGCTGCAACATTTTACATTCCCACCACCAATGCACAAGTGTTCCAATTTCTCCACATCCTCACTAATATTTGTTATTTTCCCTTTTTTTTTTTTGAGACAAGAGTCTCAGTTTGTCACCCAGGCTGGAGTGCAGTGGTGTGATCTCGGCTCACTGCAACCTCCGCCTCCCAGGTTCAAGCGATTCTCGTGCTTCAGCTTCCCAAGTAGCTGGGATAACAAGTGCATGCCACCACACCTGGCTAAGTTTTCTGTATTTAGTAGAGACAGGGTTTCACCATGTTGGCCAGACTGGTCTCTAACTCCTGGCCTCAAGTGATCCACTTACCTTGGCCTCCCAAAGTGCTGGGATTACAGGTGTGAGCCACCATGCCTGCCCTCCCTATTTTTAAAACAATAGCCATTCTAATAGGTATGAAATAGTGTCTCATTGAATTTGCATATTTTGGTTTTGTAATTTTTTAGAGATAGATTTCACTGGAGGTTTGCTCTGTATCAGGTACTGTGCTAAGCACTTTATATGTTTATTACTCATTAATCCTCACAGTAAATCTATGAAATAGATCATTTTATTCTTTCTTTACAGATAAGGCTAAGAGAGGCTAGGTAACTAGTCCAAGTTCCGATGGTTAGTAGGAAAGGGAGCCAGGATTCAAATCTGGATGGATCTGCCTCCATACTTCATGCTCCCAGCTGTTGTTATGCTCCTTCCACTGCACTGACCTGAGGGGAGAGGCTGGCATGGCTTGGCTTTTATGTTCCCTCCTCATTCGGTCCAGGTGATCTCCAACTGGCTAGTGTCTGCCACTTTCCAGATTGAGGTGGGATTCATCAGCCACTTATGACTAGTGACTATGACTCATACCAAGTTCAAGTGGAGGCTCTGATTTTTCTAACATAAATCAAAAACATATACAAATGCACTGCCTTGTGGAAAATGTTGACCAATATTCTTTGGTTCATAAGTAGTAACTAATCTACTAATGCAATTCAGAAGTCATAAGTCAACCCATCTTAAACCCAAAGAGGGAAGTCCTTCAAAGGTTTCTGAGCAGTTATAAAGCTAAAAGTTGAGAAATGGGCTACAAATATTTCTGCATTACTTAATAATATTTTTATAATTATTTTCCTTTTTACAAAATAATTTAATCAGACTATTTACAATGAATTACACTAGGCAAGAGGTTTTTTTTAAGTTTGAGAAGCCACAAGATATCAATACCATTCCCTACTTTTAAAGGACCTTGTATATTTTGGTAAGATTACATGAACTGCTGACCTTTAGTCAATTTTGTATGATCATGGAAACACACAGTATCATTTCTACTACCAATTTAAAAAACTATCTTTTATGTGTGGGCAAAATGAAAAGTCAGTCTACATACCCTTTATGTAACTGTTATATAAGTAACTCTGTAATTAAGAAAAAAATTCCCAAAGTCCTTATCCCATCATTTATAGTGAGAAAGACAGATTGGTGAAAGCATCCAGGTGCTGGAGGTTTAGACTACAAATTAGAGTTCACATTTGTACCCACTACGTCTTTTAGTTGGGGTTGTAAATTAACATCTATAACATCTATTTTATACTATTCCTCTCTACAATAAATAATCCACTGTTCATTATAACTATCATCTGCTACAATGTCCTGTGTGTATTTTGGCTTACATCAATACAGTTCTTTCATACCTTTCTCCTGATCAGTCTGCCCCTTGTCTGCATATACTTGTACCTTTTTTAAAAAGTTCTTTCTAATTTTATTTTTTCATTTATTCCCTGACATATTGTATTGAGCTTTAAAAGAAGGGATGGCACAGAGGGAGACATAGTGTTCTTAAGAAGGATCACAATGCAGACAGTAAGTTGGTGGAGTCACTACAACCCCATATTTCTTTCTTAGCTCTGTAGACTGAAGAATTCAGTTTTTTAGCCTTCTAGAATTTACAGACCAGGTCAGGAATTGCTTCATATAAGATTTCGTACAAACTCATATAAGACTAATTTAAAACCCAAAATTTGATTATTTCTGATTTAAATATTGGCAGGGAATATTACGAATGTTAAGCAAGTTGAAAGCATCAGCTAAGCTGGCATGTATGCTTTCCCCAGCAACTATGCCAGATACAAACCCATGTAGTGCATTGTAGCTCAAAGACACTAGCCAGAAGGATTCTTTACTGAGAATGTTCCCTTCTGGACAGTAATACAGAGGTAGCAAATTTTGCCTTACTCCCAACTCCATTTTGAGGTTCCATGCAGACTGCTGTCCACTGATGGAATAAAACAAAGTTCTTACCGATTTCTTTATATTTTCAATCCGAGGTATTCAACCTAGTTAACTCTACTGAACATTGGCAGTTCCCCAGTCTTCATGATCAGTAAATGTACTATTGGTGAGGCATGGTGGCTCATGTCTGCAATCCCACACTTTGGGGGGCCAAAGTGGGAGGTTCATTTGAGGCCAGGAGTTCAAGACCAACCTGGGCAACATAGCAAGACCTTGGCTCTATATTAAATTATTTTTTTAAAAAATGAAGTGCTAAGGGAGACCCCATCGCCACAAAAAATTTTAAAAATTAGCCAGGCATGGTGGTGCACGCTTATAGTCTAAGTTACTAGAGAAGCCAAGGTGGGAAGATTGCTTGAGCCCAGGAGGTCCAGGCTGCAGTAAGTTATGATTACACCGCTGCACTCCAGCCTGGGTGACAGAGTGAGACACTGTCTCAAAAAATAAATAAATAAGGTTACTATTTTTTAGGGCAGCTATGGTAGATGCTGCTATTGGCTGCCCACCATCCAGTTTCGCTAGGACCTCCTCCCCATTAGATAGGTAATCAAGGGCTCCACCCTCCCCTCGCCAAGCAGTTCACCAAGCAGATGCTCTTTTCTAAGAATCTGACTCTTGAGCAGAGGGAGACTGAAAAATGTCAGAGTTTCATTCTATTCCACACGAACTGGTCTATCCCTGCTATGACGTGATTGTGTTTCCAGCTTCCTTGCCTCTGGAATGACCTTGGTCCTTGCCCATCCCTAAGCCCAATGTCATAGTCACTAATTGATGCTGACAGCCTCCAACATCATTCTCCCGAACAATTTTTCTAAAGTTAAAGTCAGTTTCTGTTTCTTGCAACCAAAAAACCATAAATGGTAGAGTGAATTGTTTCTTCAAATGGCTTACCTCATCTCTGTTGTGTTAGTTTTTACCAGTTTTACCTTTTAGAGACTCTCTGGAGAAAACTTAGGGTAAACAAATCCATCTTAACTGTGTGGAATGTGTACACTGGATATAATAATGTCTGCACCTGAAACTCAGTGGTCCATGAGTGACTACACCAATCTCTAGCTAACAGCTCTGTATCATCAGAGAAAATCCTGCTGCTGCTAGGAATGATATCTAAATAGATGCTATCTATACTAGAAAGTCTCCCTTTTGAACAACACTGTTTCTTAAAGGAAAAAAGTAAAGATCACTCAAAAAAGAGAAAGTTTAAAAGATGCTGTTTATAAAATGTAGTATAGCCTTACATCATTTTCCATGTCTTTCTTACTTACATTTATGAGTGTTTTTTGTTTGTTTTGTTTTTGACATAGTCTCACGCTGTCATCCAGACTGGAGTACAGTGGCACAATCTCGGCTTACAGCAACCTCTGCCTCCCGGGTTCAAGTGATTCTCCTGCCTCAGCCTCCCAAGTAGCTGGGACTACAGGTGTCCACCCCTCATACCCACCTAATTGTTGTATTTTTAGTAGAGACAAGGTTTCGCCATATTGGCCAGGGTGGTCTCAAACTCCCAACCTCAGGTGATCCACCTGCCTCGGCTTCCCAAAGTGCTGGGATTACAGGCATGAGCCACCATGCCTGGCCCTTCCCAGTGTTTTAATAGAACATAACACATTGAGAATGCAAGAAAAATTTTTGCTTCAGGTATAATTAAAGACGAAAAAATCATTTTTCTTAAAGACTGAATTAGATGCTCTCAAAATGGGTTTATTTGAGGAGCTGGCCCCTCTTATGTTGGCATAAATAAGTGGAGAATTGTTTGACTGAACTAAAAACTGAATACTTGAACTTGACCATCAGAGCTTGTGAACAGTTAAAAGATAACATTTGGGTCTGAACATTTGTGCTAACTTCAGGTCTATACCAGAGAGCAGAATGGTTTCGTTGCAATCCACTCATGTCTGAAAGATTTTATTTAACCTTAGGAAAAATTATTTCACCCAAGAATGCACTACCTAAGAAGGCAGTGATCTGTGCTTGTGCTTGATACACCTGTCATCTGGATAATGATTCAAACAGGAAAAGCAGAGTGAATGAGTGATGAGTCAGTGGTATTGAAGCATGCTAACTATGAAAGTGATCAAAGCAATTTTTCACTGGGTGATAATAAGTAACAAATACTTTTGAGGACTATATAGAATGCTTCATTTTATTTCCTTTTTGTATCTTAAAAAAGAAATGCTGGCCCGGCGTGGTGGCTCACACCTATAATCCCAGCACTTTGAGAGGCTGAGGCTGGCAGATCATGAGGTCAAGAGATGGAGACCATCCTGGCCAACATGATGAAACCCTGTCTCTACTAAAAACACAAAAATTAGCTGGCTGTGGTGGTGTGCATCTGTAGCCCCAGCTGCTCAGGAGGCTGAGGCAGGAGAATCGCTTGAACCCAGGAGGTGGAGGTTGCAGTGAGCCAAGTTCGCACCACTGCACTCCAACCTGGGTGACAGAGCAAGACTCCATCTCAAAAAAAAAAAAAAAAAGTAAAGAAAGGAAGAAGTGCTATTAAAAGTTAAGAGCATTTGTGACCCATATCTAAATTTCAGTTATATTTCAAGGATGTATACATTTAAATAATAATTAGGAGCTTGGTCCTCTAATCTGATGAGTTAAGAAGTTGAACTTATTATTATTCTTCGGGCTCACAAGTGGCTGAGGAATCCTGGACTGGACTGAAGTGGACAAATTCAGTCATCCAACAAATCTCTAAGACATATGTCTTAGAGGCAAGAAACACTGGGAATGTACACAAAAAGCGAAGTGGCTGCTCTCATGTGGAGTGTCTATTTCATTAGGAAAATATAAAATTGATTTTAAAAAGTCAAAAATGAGATTTAATACACTTCATATAAAGAAAAAATAGAGTAGTATGAAAAGAGAGTGAGAGGTAAGTACTGTGGATTGGGTGGTAAGTAAGGAAGGGTCCTATAAGGATGTGACATTTAGGTTGAGTGACAAAGAGTAGCCAGCCATAAAAGGATCAGGAGCAACAGCTTTCCAGGAAGAGGAAGAGTTAGTACAAAAGCCCTAAGAAATGAAGTGACAAGTTCAAGAAACAAACAAACAAACAAACAAAAAGACAGCTTGTCTATGTCATAGTAAGCAAGAGGGAAATGGCTTAAGATGAAATCAGTAAACTAGACAGAAGCCGGTCATGGAAGCTTTGTAAGTTCTGCTGAAGAATTCAGATTTTACTCTGAATACAACAGGAAGCTAGTTGAAGATTTTAAGCAAGGAATGGGCTTGATCTGATTTATAATATTGGGGTTTTTTGTTTGTCTGTTTGTTTTTTGAGACAGAGTCTTGCTCTGTTGCCCAGGCTGGAGTGCAGTGGCACAACCTTGGCTCACTGTAACCTCCGCCTCCTCGGTTCCAGTGATTCACCTGCCTCAGTCTCCCGAGTAGTTGGGATTACAGGTGCACACCACAACACCCTGCTAACTTTTGTATCTTTAGTAGAGATGGGGTTTCACCATGTTGGCCAGGCTGGTCTCGAACTCCTGACCTCAAGTGATGCACCCATCAGCCTCCCAAAGTGCTGGGATTACAAGTGTGAGTCACCACACTCCAACCCTATAATGCATTTTAAGAAGATCAATTGAGACGCTTTGGAGAAGGTAAGAGGCATGAATAGAAGCGAGGATCTCCATGTGAAGACCAGTGTAGTAGTCTAGGAAAGACATGTGATGACTTAGGCGAGGTTGGAACAGTACTGACAGCGGGGAAGGGAGAGAGCCAAGACATGTTTAGAGGCAGCAGCAACAGAATCTGCTGGTGAATTAAATGTAGGATATAGGGGAAAGAGAGGAGTCAGTGATGACTTCTAGATTTTTGGCTTGAGTAGCTGGGTGGTATCATTCACTGAGATGGGGATGAGTGAAGGAGAAGTGAGTTTGGCAGTAGACATCAACAGTTCCATTAAATCCCATCACAGTCATGTTGTGATAGTGCGACGCCATGTAGACACAACTGCCAGGCAGCAGAATATATGAGCTTGGAGGTCTGTTCATCAGCATGGGTGGTATGTAAAGCCATAGGTCTTAGTGAGGTTGCTTCAAGACCATGTGTTGCTAGAGAAGAGAATAGCGCCCAGGGAAGAGCCCTGGAGCACCACTGTATTTGTAAATTGAGTAGTGATGAAAACATCGACAAAAAAAACTGAGAAAGCAGAGAGAGGAGGAAGGTGATGCGACTGCTGCCATGGAAATGAAGGAATGAAAGTGTTTTAAAGAGAGAGTGATGGATTGTGTCAATTTTGCTAAAGAGTTGAGCTAGATAAGCAAAATAACTGGTTATATTAGTGATGAGACCACTAATAGGGGCTCTGATGTCTAGGAGGATTCTGGATGGAGTTTAATTTCATGTGGTACTGCTTTTAATTTCAGTGAAAAATTCCTGAGATTCTACTGGTTGCCAGTTACTAGGCCAAGGGAGGGGCATAGAGATTAAAAAGTCTAGGAGCTTAGATTGGAAAAGGAAGACATGGGAACAAATAGCTGCAATTCAGTATAATAAAAACATATTCAAGATGGTGTGAGAAAGGCAAAATGATTAGATGTATGCAGTCCTGACACAGCTCCTTGTTTTAGTGGGCCTAGAAATACCAGTCAGAGCACATTGAGCCATAGTAAGCACTGAATAAATGCCAGCCATGGAACGGGAACTGAGAAGACGGACAAAATCTGTCTGGAAGAATTGAGTGAGGTGTCACAGAGAAGGTGACATTTCCAAACTGGGTCCTGAAAGAGCAGTGTTGAATCTATCCGGCTTATAAGAGGGATACAGAAATTCCAGACTAAAGAAAGAGAAGGAGCAAGAGTAAAGAGAGTTGGAAATGCATGACCTACATAGGGAAGTGCATTCAGTTCCGTGTGGCTAGTCAGTGGGTGCAGGGAATGTAGTGCACTGAAACAAGCTTGGCTGGGACTAGATGCAAAGAGCCTTGTAGGACATGTTAAGCGATTTGGACTTTGATCTTTAGGCAGTGAGAATTCAAAGAAGGTTCTTAGGCAGAGGCACAGAATAATTAGAAATGGGTTTTAGGAAGATGGCTATTGACAATCTGAAACATAGGATGAAAGAAGTGAAGCCAAGAGGATTTTCTTTCGATGTCAGCATGTTAGAGCCTAAAGAACATTGGTGTTTATTTCTAAGTAAGAAATACATAGAAAATAGGATGCCAGGCGCTGTGACTCATGCCTATAATCCCAGCACTTTGGGAGGACAAGGTGGGCAGATCACTTGAGGTCAGGAGTTTGAAATCAACCTGGCCAACATGGTGAAACCCCATCTCCACTAAAAATACAAAAATTAGCCAGGCATGGTGGTGGGCACCTGTAATCCCAGCTACTTGGGAGGCTGACACAGGAGAATCGCTTGAACCCAGGAGGCAGAGGTTGCAGTGAGCAAAGATCGCACCACTGCACTCCAGCCTGGCGACAGAGGAAGACTCCGTAGAAAAGAAAAGAAAAGAAAAGAAAAGAAAAGAAAAGAAAAGAAAAGAAAAGAAAAGAAAAATATAGAATATATAGATATAAGGTAAGGCTTAAAAAGTTTAACACTTTGGAAATCTCAGGAAAGTTTGACTTTGGTGATTCCCAGGAGGTCTAGACAAAGAGTCGGGAGGCTGCTGGAATGGTGATGGGTACCTGAAAATGAGTGTAGCAGTAGAGGAAAGAAAGGGGTGGAGTCTATAGACACAGACATAGGGGTGAGAGGAAGAGCTGAAGAACACCCTGAGTGTCCTTAGTCTTCAGTTGACCCCCAAAATGAGGCCAGGACAGTCTTGGGGTGGAAAAATAACTGAATATCTGTAGTTGACAAAGTAAAAAAGATTTCTATGCACATTACTTCCGATAATCTTTATAGCACCTTGCAACATAGCCACTATTATTATTACATTCCATATGAGACTCAGAATGATTAAGAGAATTGCACAAGATCCTGATAAGATAAGCTAATGAATTCCAGATGGGAGTTCTATTCTATTTCTCCAGAAACCCAGAGAAGAGCTCTTTCTAGGCCACAGCAGCCTATCAGGAAGCAGGAGAGTATAAAGAGAAAAATATGGTTTGCATTACCCTCCAGCTTTATATGAGTTCAGTGTCACCCAATTTAAATTCCATATGTATATTCCAGTATACTGGACTATAAACCAGTGTTCTTCATTAAGAAAAATATCTCTAAGGTATTATCTGGGCTACAGTATAGACCCAGGACCATGACACAGACTCTGTATGTAGGTCAGACACATGAAATGAAGCAGAAGGTATAAGCAATGGAATGGGAGGGTGAAATTGTTGGCTCTTTGTTGTTAGGTACCTTTTTAAATACAATGAGCATAAAAATGCAATAGAAATACACAGAGGGTGGCACAGATAAAATGATTTTGCTTGTGAAATACCTTCTCAAATCACAGCTATCAACTACAACCCCTCACTGGTACACAGAAAGTCTTGCCTTCTAGGAGCTCAGAGAATGAAACAAAGCTTGATACTTAGAGCAAAGTGAGGCATCTTATGATGAATTATAAAAGACAAAATGAAATTTATAATAAATTTGCTTGCTGGGCACAGTGGCTCATGCCTGTAATCCCAACACTGGGAAGCCAAGGTGGGCGGATCACTTAAGCCCAGGAGTTCGAGGTCAGCCTGGGTAACATGTTGAAACCCCATCTCTATGAAAAAAATACAAAACTTAGCTGGGTGTGGTGGCACACGCCTGCAGTCCCAGCTACTCAGGAGGCTGAGGTGAGAGGATTGCTTGAGCCTGGGAGGTGTAAGCGGCAGTGAGCTGGGATCATGCCTCTGCACTCCAGCCCAGTGATAGAGCGGGAGCCTCAAAAAATAAATAAAATAAAATAAGATAAAATAAATCTGTTAAAGAGAATGGTAGAGCTGTTGAACACTGAACTTTCACACCTGTTTTCTATAAGAGAAAACCCACAGATACCTTCAGGACAAAGAAGTCCTTCTTCAGAGAAAACGCATGAACTAACATATAACTACAGAAAACTATCTTCTATAGGCATAGTAAGGTCTCCTTTCCAAAATTCACTCTTTCATGAGAGTCATAAACACCAGAAGTGTTATTTTAATGATATAAAATGAAGAACATTTTCCTCTGAGGATACAGCCCCTCAGGAAGGCAGTCTTTCCCCCAGCATAAAGGTGACCTTGAGTCACACAATGAGGTCGGCTTTCAGTGTCTCTTACCTGTCTTCTCAACAATTCCTCAAATTCTCTTTCGCTTACAGTCTCCATTTCCTTTAGAGAGCAAGGCTTAGAGATCTGACACAAATCTCCCCAAGAGAAGCCACTCTTGAAATGACACCAGTCTTTTATACTTTAATGACTACTAAAGGCTTCAGGTGGAGCAAGGAAGGGGAGAGTAAGAAATGCTCTGTGTTGCCCGGGCGCAGTGGTTCACGCCTATAATCCCAGCACTTTGGGAGGCCAAGGAGGGCTCATCACCTGAGGTAGGGAGTTCAAGCCCAGCCTGACCAACATGGAGAAACCCCGTCTGTCCTTAAAAAAAAAAAAAAATAGCCGGGCGTGGTGGCATATGCCTGTAATCCCAGCTACTCGGGAGGCTGAGGCAGGAGAATCACTTGAACCCAGGAGGCAAAGGTTGCGGCGAGCCGAGATCACACCATAACACTCCAGCCTGGGCAACAAGAGTGAAATTCCGTCTCAAAAAAAAAAAAAGAAAGAAAGAAAGAAAGAAATGCTCAGTGTCTGCTGGTAGAGGAATGAGCCTAAACATTCTCGGCATCAGACTGCTAATTTACCACTTTGTCTTTGATTTAAACAAGACCACGGTACCCCACGCAGGGCAGGAGAGCAGGCCTTTAGGTTGATTTTGTTTCAGGCTGTTCCACTGTCAAGTACAGTACTATTTTGATAAAAATAGGATAAGAAGGTGAAGAATATGAACTGTCTCAATCTAGCAATTAATGAGAGTTTAGTTTTCTCCAGTTTGAACTTGGGTTTGTGAAGCTTGCAGTCAGTAGATCAGTACCACCCAAGACTGACAATCTTTCTTTCAAAGACAAACAACAGTCATTTAAAATGTAAATAACTTTAGCAAAAAATAGAACTCTTCTTCTTCGACTTACTAGACGTAATTTGCATATTTATGACTTTTCTGATTTTTAACTCTGTATATGCCTACTTTTAAATGGTTATAATTATATATACTAAACTTCATTTAATTTTTAATCAATCATTATCTTGTATGCTTCTTTAGATAAAATATACAGCTTCCTTATTATTTTAAATGAAATGATTGCATAAAAGTCTATGAAGTTACTGGATAATAATTGAGTTAATCATCTTTATATTTTTATACTTTGGAGCTTTTAGCTTTGGAGCTTTTATCAGTAAAAATGATGTATCGGGCCGGATGTGCTGGCTCACACCTGTAATCCCAACACTTTGGGAGGACAATGTGGGCAGATCACTTGAGCCCAGGAATTTGAGACCAGCCTGGGCAACATGGCAAAACCCATCTCTACCGAAAAATAAAAAAAAAAAATTAGCTGGGTGTGGTGGCACACGCCTGCAATCCCAGCTACTCTGCAGGCTGAGGTGAGAGGATTGCTTGAGCGATCTGGGAGGCAGAGATTGCAGTGAGCCAAGATCATGCCATTGCATTCTGGCCTGGGCAACAGGAGTGAAACCCTGTCTCAAAAAAAAAAAAAAAAAAAGAAAAGAAAATGTATAGAAACTATTTGTTTCCCTTTGAATTAATTATTTAAAATAACAGTCATGGTGACTGACTAGTGGCAGATGTAAAGGCTTTGGAGGAAGAAAGATTTGAGTTCAGATCCTGACTTTGCCACTTTGAGGCAATGGGCCCATGAGAATACATCCCCTCGGAAGCTCAGATGCCTCTTCTTTAGAATGGGGCTAACAAGTCTTAAATGAGAAAATACAAACAGATCCTCTAATATGTGGTTGCATTGTGGCCATGGCATAATGAAGGGCAGCTATTTTGCTGCAGCAAGAACTATTAAGTAGGATGTTCAGATCCTTCCCTGATCCTCTCCTTCCAAAACACAATGCAGTACTCCAATAAGCACCATGCCTACTCAGTTGTCCCTGTGTCTCTCCCTCTTAACGAGGACATTTTTTGATTGCTTGCATAGAAACCAAGGTATCTGCCACAGAAAGAGCAGGAAAGAAGAGAGCAAGTTCCACATAAGGTAGGGCCTCATGGGACAGTTTTAGTGTTGACATATGAGAGAAGTTCTGGAGCATACAAGAAAACTGGAGCGTGAGAGAGGGGTTTTTAAAAGATTTTGCCCCAGGGTCGGAATCATATCCCTCTAACGTTCTTCATCAACTAAAAATAAAGAATGTAGTCACTTCTTAAAATTTCTGTGGCTGCTGAATTCTGCCGCTGGAACATGACTTTGCTCTGAAAATAAGCAGGTGATCCCTAGATGTATAAGAGTTGCATTATCATGATCATTGTTATTATTATCAGTATTTATTCATATATTTGGAGCCCAGCACCTGAGCCCAGGAGGTTTGATGCTACAGGATGAAGGGGTAAAATCATCTTCATGGCTAATAACATTTTATTATTTAGAAAAACTGCTCTGGTTTACATGGCCTGGCACCTTTCAAAAGAGTTAAGTTCCTTCCCTGGTCTTAAGTGCCAGGGTCTCCAGCTGGATGAAGTGTGTTGGTCATTAGGCATCCTCTCTCTGGAAAACTTAGTATGTGTCTGAACTTAATGGTGGTGGGGCTCACTCAATCTCTGGGGAGAGAGGGTACTTCTGGAGAATCCTATTATCTCATAAGCAGTAAAAGCAAGAAAGGACTTGACAGCTATTCTCTCCCTAGGCTACCTCCCTTGCCCTCTCTGGGGGTATATCATACCATAAGGGGTCAATCCTTAATGTTAGTTGTCTCAGCAATTCCATGGTAAGTGTACACAATTACATCACAAATTGCAAAAAGTTTAATCTAGATTTACCCAACAGATAAGAACAGCTATCTTTTTATTTACCAAACAGATAAGAACAGTTACCAAACAGATAAGAACAGTTATCCATTCAAAGCAGTTTCAGCTTTGAATGGATCCAATTCTTAGTAGCTTCCCAGAGGAGTTGTATTTTTCAACAGCTTTAACTGTTTAAAAGCTGTTATCCGCTGGGCACGGTGGCTCATGCCTGTAATCCCAGTACTTTGGGAGACCAAGGTGGGCAGATCACGAGGTCAAGAGATGGAGACCATCCTGGCCAACATGGCAAAACCCCATCTCTACTGAAAATACAAAAATTAGCTGAGCATGGTGGCGCATGCCTGTAGTCCCAGCTACTTGGGAGGCTGAGGCAGGAGAATCACTTGAACCCGGGAGGCAGAGGTTGCAGTGAGCCATGATCGCACCGCTGCACTCCAGCCTAGTGACAGAGCGAGACTTCATAAAAAAGAAAAGCTGTTATCTTCTTGACTACCCATCAAAAAGCTAAAAAAGATCAAACAATCAAATCTCTGTATTAGCTCAAGGTTACAACTATGTGAAAAGCTAAATTTAGAATAAAAACAAAACCAAGAAACAGATCAGTTCACAAAAGCCACATACTGTCATCAGCTCCATAAATAAATAATATCCCTGGCCAGAGTAAATAATTAGGAAGTATCTATCTTTGCATTATAAATGGCAATAGAAATAAATCAGATATTCACACATACAAAAGGAATGGCCACTCCCATGCCTCCATCTAATTAAAAAATTAAACATGGCCAGGCACGGTGGCTCACACCTGTAATCCTAGCACTTTGGGAGGCTGAGGTGGGTGGATCACTTGAGCCAAGGCAACATGGCAAAATCCCATCTCTACAAAAAATACAAAAATTAGCTGGGTGTGGTGGTGAGCACTGTAGTTCTAGCTACTCAGGAGGCTGAGATGGGAGCTCAGGAGGTCACTGCTGTGGTGAGCCCAGTACCTGAGCTCAGGAGGTCAATGCTGTGGTGAGTTCCCACTACATTTCAGCCTGGGTGACAGAGTAAGATCCTGTCTTAAAAAATAAAGAAACAAATAAATAAGTAAATAATAAAACATAAGAAATCTACAAAAATTCTTATTCTGGTCTCCACCAATCTATACTAATAGAAGTCGCAGAGTAACACCATAACTCCTGCCCACAGTCATAATTCACAACACAGCTTCTACACAAGGCAATGTGTCAAATAAGTTTTGTGGGACAGTAGAATCTCTTTAGTAAGTGTATTAGTTTATTTTCACGCTGCTGATAAAGACATACCCAAGACTGGGTAATTTATACAGGAAAAAGGGTTTAATGTACTTACAGTTCCATGTGGTTGGGGAGGCCTCACAATCATGGTGGAAGGCAAGGAGGAGCAAGTCACATCTTACATGGATGGCAGCAGGCAAAAAGAGAGAGTTTGTGCAGGGAAACTCCCCCTTATGAAACCATCAGATCTCGTGAGACTTATTCACTATCATGAGAACAGCATGGGAAAGACCTGCCCCCATGATTCAATTACCTTGCATCAGGTGCCTCCCACAACATGTGGGAATTTAAGACGAGATTTGGGTGGGGACACAGCCAAACCATATCAGTAAGATATTATAGATATGTATAGAAATCTGAAGTGTTAAAGATGTCATTAAGTAAGTAGCTTTTTAAAAAAATTATTTGACATAGGCCATTTTAAAGGGAGGCTTGAAGTTCTATCTAGGCTAGTGAGACCTGAAGCTCAGTCATCTTCACTCCAGATACACACACATACACATACATGCAGAAACATACCACATGCTACAAACATATGTGCAACTAAAAAATAAGTCATAGATAACTGTGAATGGGAAAGAAATGCCTAATGCCTGTGAGGGCGAAGAGTAGGCTAAACTTGGTAGGGCTGAGATAGGTGGCTGGATTCGGCAAGTAGTTTGCAAGTGAAACTTAAATCTTTTTGACACCAGAGGTGAAATTACCCAGGCCCATCAATCACCAGCAACAGCAGCAGCCCTCTGCTTCAGGGCTCCTGATTCGTTTTTCTTCCTGCCAAATGACAAGACCCTCTGTGTGGGCAGAAAGGGAGGTAGGAAGGAGCAGGCAGGTAGCAGAAGGCAGTGTTGAAGTACAGATCTTGTTTCCTCACCTTGGAGAAGACTGCTAATAAGCCCTCATAATTGTTAGTTAGTTTTAATGTTGGTACTCTAACAGAGATTAAGTCATGTAAGTATCTTTTAAAAATCAGTTACCATTTTTATTTCATACAAATAACCACTCCTTCCTCTTTATGTGCCATACCATACACTTCCCAGAATAATTTATTCTGTAGATCTCTCCCAGAAGACAAGAACCTGAGAATACACTGATTGTCAAGGAGGATTTATTGAAAAGCATTTTCTATAGTTAGTATAAAGTTGTTCTATGTTAACAAGAACTGTCTACCCAAATATCACGAAATAAATCTGTTTACAGAATCCTTTCTTCTACAATCTCATGCTTACATCCTGCTTAAGGGAAAGATGGAAACTTGGTACAACTATTTATACTGCATCTCTATTGGCATTAGCTAAATGCACTGCAAAGGCTCCACCTTGTTACCCTGACTTGAGTGGCCTTTCATTGTGTGTGTGTGTGTGTGTGTGTTTGTGTGTGTGTGTGTGTGTGTGTGTGTGTGTGTATGTGTGTGTGTTCTGGGCATGCAGGATTTCTGGCAAAGAGTTTTGAACTACAATGGCTGGAGGATTAAATGGGAAAGTGTGCTGGTGGGAGATCTTAATCTGCCACAAAAATGACACTAAACAGAGGGAGAATGTCACGCTAGATGTTAAAATGCAAGTTTTACAGCGGCTTGAGATCCTTTCAACGAAATAGTCAAGGAAACCAAGAAATCAGTAGGCAATCAATTAGGAATAGATGGAAAGTGCTTTGACATAAAGAAAACCACCACTGCCACCTCAACTTGGTGACAGCTGACAAACAGTAAAGGGAAGAAATGATGGCCTGAGGCACATCATGACTTTAAGGGATTAGACGAGAACATACATTGGAGATATGTGTACTGTACATATATATATACAGAACATACATACATAGAGAAGGTACACACAGAACACACACTGGAGTCTCCTTGGAAGCTGTGCTATAAAGCAGTGGTTTTCAAAGTGTGGTCCCAGACCAACAACATCCGTATTACTTGGAACCTGTAAGAAATGTTAATTTTGGGACTCCACCTTACCTAGCAAATTAAAAATTCTGGGTTGATGTCCAGCAACATGCATTTTAACAAATCTTTCAGGTGATTCTAATGCCTGCTAAAGTTTGAGAACCACTGGAATTATGTTTCAGTTAGGCTTTCATTTCTAGCTGCTTTATCTACATGCAGGGTGTGTGTGTATGTGTGTGTGTGTGTGTGTGTGTTATATGTCTGAAATTTTTAAAAAGGATATTAATCTTTAAATTTTTGCTTGCTTTAATCCAGTGGTGTTAATAGAAGAAATAAGAAACACAAAAATGGGGTCAAAAAGAAGAAATAAGTAAGCTAAAATGATAGGAAAAGGCCAACAGAAAAATAAACAAATAATTTTTTATTTTCTCTTTCATATAGTCAAGTGTGAGCCCCTTGAATTTCTACTGATGTAAAAATCGTATTTGTTTTCATCTGGAAGGAGCCTTCGGAACCTCTGCTGCCACCTTCTCATCTTACAGATGAAGACCTGATGGGGTAAGGTTTTACTGACCTGCCAGGTTAGACGGCAAGTTCGTGACCCTGGGTCTGAGGAAGAGAGATCGCAGGTAAAAGTTTAAATTGAGTAGATATTCTTGGTTTGTGAGAAAAATAAAGTGCTTATCCACATTTTTTGAAGTTATGTGAATCATTTAAATTGTCTTCCCCATCTCCTGGCTCCTGCCAGAGACTGGTGCTAAGACACGCGTGGTTGGAGGAACACACGCTCTCTCGGGAGGTGACGGCCCAGCAGATGGATCAGCACCACAGACCCTGGCCCCAGCTGCAAGGCTGCCTTTGCCAGGAGAATGAAAGAGTCTTTTCACTCTTGTTTCCTCTCTCCCCATGCCAGGCTCAGCACCAGTACCAGCCCCCACCTTCCGTCTGTGCATGTTTTCTTCAGTCCTGGAAGGAAATCATAAGTGATTTGCCCCAAAAGGATTGCTGTTGAGTGAGTAAAGAGATAAACTTTATTATCATTATTAATCACTACTGTTTTATTTATGCTCTATAATAACCCTCCTTCTTTCAGAAGGTATTGGGCGGGGCCGGAGGAGCTTTATTTTTAAGGGCTGGTTATCTGTCCCATCCCTGACCAGGCCACAACATCGTCAAAGTTCTATTGTGTATTTTAAACTTAACAGAAAGTTCAATTCAACAGAAAGCCAAAGGTATGAAGAGCCAGGCCTGCGATCTCCATGGCTTTACTCTTCCTACAGTGTGGAGTTCACTGCCTTGCACACCATGAAGTCTCTATAAATATTTGGTGAATTACTGAGTGAATGTGAGAGGGCAATGAGGGAAAATGGCAACATAAAGCAGATGAAAGAGAGAGCTCCTGAGAGTTGACTCCTTTGTTTGTTACTTTACCTGTAGGAGAAAAGCAGTCAGTGGGCATTAAATTATGTTAAAGTCACCCTAAAGTAGAGGATGGCAAACCTGATCCTTATGTATTTCCAAGCCTGGGCAGAGAGATCTTCCTGTATTTTCTTGGGGGAAAGTACGTTGGCTTTGGAGATGCTCCAAACCAGATTCCAGGCAGTCGTCAGCAGCTGGGATAAATCAGTTATGGTTCCAGATTAAAATTTAAACTCAGAGCTAACAAAAAGGCATTGATGAAACCACAGCAGAATTTGGAGACAAAATTGTGTTAAATGCCATCATAGACCTTAGATGTCTGCTAGTACTAAGATCGCTATATACGATTATGAAGAGTGTAAGACTAACATATCAGTTATAGGACATCTAGGAGTACATTGCAACACTCCTAATAACTCTACCATTTTTTCAACAACAGCTTCTGATACAGCTTTTAAAGGACTAAATGAATTAATACAAGTTATGTTTTTTCATTTTGTATGGCCTCTTGCTGTTTAAAGTTTTATAAAAAGTGAAATACATAAGATGATGACACTTGGAAGAAAGATGGGAGGCAAATGACCTTGGAAGAAAATCAATAGCTGATTTAATTTTTGAGAAAAATAGCATTATTTAAAGAAAATGTTCTGCAATTTTTAAATTTATTTTTATTTTTTATTTTTTGAGACAGAAATTTGCTCTGTCACCAGGCTGGAGTGCAGTGGCACGATCTCAGCTCACTGAAACCTCCGCCTCCTGGATTCAAGCGATTCTCATGCCTCAGCCTCCCGAGTAGCTGGGATTACAGGCAAGCGCTACCACACCCAGCTAATTTTTGTATTTTTAGTAGAGACGGGGTTTCACCATGTTGGCCAGATGGTCTCGATCTCCAGATCATGAACAGCCCACCTCAGCCTCCCAAAGTGCTGGGATTACAGGCGTGAGCCACTGCGCCCAGCCAATTTATTTTTTAAATTGTTATATTTGTGCTCCAAAAACGTAGAGTGTAATATATTAAGATTTTTAATGTTAGCTTTAGTAATGACTGATTGGAAAAATGTAAAATATACCTATAATATTGATAGCCTCACTTCTCTTAATATTGAATTATTACATATAGTAACCTACTGATTAAATCAACAAGGTATCTTAAGTTCTAGCTAACAGTATGACTTGCATGCAATCTACTAGGAAAGGCAGCTTTCTATTGGCAGGTTTTTTTCATTTTTTTTTTAATAAGGAGGGGTAATAATATATTGGCTGGAGAATCATTGAAATTTTGGAGCGTATTTTATTTCAGTGATGGATAAACATGATCTCAATACATTCTTTCTGTACCTTTTTTAATGGTCCTTCTTCCTCAAAAGCCTTCCAGATTTGTTTGTGTTCATTTGGAAGCTCATTTATGCCTGGTTTGGGCAGAGGACACACCTGTGTTGTTGTTTATTCCTGTATCCTCAGCAGCTCATATAGTGCTTAACATGCTGGAAGGGAGAAAGGAATGAGTAAATGAAAGAATTTATTTTTTGTTGACATGTTTAAAATATGCCCGACTCTTTCCTTGAAAGAAAAGTGATAAGCCTTAAAGTTTTAGAGCCATGATCATTTTACTAGGGGCAAAGGTTTACTAATATTAATGTACGTATATTGAATCCTTTTTTTGATTATATTTAGCCCTAAAGCATGTTGCAATGAGAATAGAGAACACACAAATAAATTGTGTGACTTAAATTTGCAGAGGCAAATGATTATCCGTCGTATCCTGAGAATATATAATTTTTTAAAAGCTTAGGAAAAATGAGTTTAATATTTGTGTCTATTACTATATTTAGGCCAAAAACTCAGACATATTTTAATTGAACTAGAGGACGCTGTGCCAGATGACTGAATCATCACATAGTGAGTGAGGAGATATCACCTGTGAATAGAAGCCCTGCTTCCCGCTCACTTGCTTAGCTAACAAGACCGGGAATACACTGCCATCTACCTCCCTGTTTACTTCAGATCTTCTGTTCCAAGAGAAGCTTACAAGGCTTTTTTCATCCCAATTTAATTATTTTAAGTTTTTTTTTTAAATGGTTTTAAGAGCGGAGAGTTTAATAGGCAAGAAGGAAAGGGGAAGACAGAAGGAAGAAGCTCCCCTGTACACAGACAGAGGGATGGGTCTCCAAAGCCAAAAGAGGAGGTCCCCACCTTGCCACAGATACCAGCCAGGTATATATGCAGAGGCTGGAGGAGGCGGTGTTTGATTTGCATAGGGCTCAGGGGATTCGTTTGACTAGGCATGTCATTCACGTAAACTGCGAAAAAGCTGGCCCTCCCACCCTACCCTTTTAATATGCAAGTGCAGGGTGCCATGATTTTCTACACATGTGGGGATATGTGGGGGCAGCCATGTTGCCAGGAACATGTGGGGAAAGGGCAAGAAGGCCTCCATGTTTGGGTGGACCCAGTTTCTGATAGCCAGCATTTGCATATCAAAGGTTGCTGGCCTGGCTCTAAGAGCCAGGGCTTTACAAGAAACTTTTCCGGAGATGCTTTAAAAACCGAAAACTTCCCAAGGACACCTTTTCCTACAACGCTCCCTGCTGTGGAGATGCCACACTAACTGCTGTTAGGGGATTTTGGGCGGCGAATCTTTCCGGCTACTTCCGGCCGAAAAGGGGCATCGAATGGGGAACAGCAGCTAGCGCTCCTCCTGGGGTGGATCTAAGGGTCCTTAGAAGAATGGCATGTCTATGTGTGGTTCAGTTTACAGCACCATTTGGAGTTTGATTGCTTCAGTCTGATTATTGAATTTTCTTTCTTGGCGCATGCATCAAAATGATACGGCTCTGATGAGTGGAGGAACACCATGGTTCTTGGTCCTCATGCCGGTTTAAATAAAACGACACAGATACACGTAGGGTGGTTTTAAGGAGTGGAGAGTTTAATAGGCAAGAAGGAAGGGCAAAGACAGAAGGAAGAAATTCCCCCGTACAGAGACAGAGGGAGGGGTATTCCAAGCCAAAAGAGGAGGTCCCCCAAGATTTTTATAAATGCATGTATTTTCAGACTTTTACAAACTAATAATTTTTCAGAACTCAGATGCACTCGAAATTTCAACTGAAAAGTGAGTTGAGTATCAGAAATGGCATCAGTACTTTGCACATAACAGATGTGCAAATATTTGATTGATTCATTGAAACTGCTGAACCAGAAAACTGTTTCTATGGAGGCAGGAAGTTGAAATAGGGAGAGAAATATAAAGTTATCTTTGAATTAATGAGGAAGTGTAGAGGATACAGGGAGGTATACCAGGTAAGTGATGTGGTGCTAATGGTGGTAATAGTAGTGTGATAATTTTGATAGAGAGACAGGATGAGATTCCATGGAATGTCTGACATTTGAGATGAATCTAATAAGCAGAGTTGTGAAATATAAGGTCTGTTCCAGAACAGCTGAATAAAGTGTGGCACAGCTGGAGAATAGAAGATGTGAAGAAAGAGAGGCGGCGCTGAGTAGGGAAGTCAGACCAGATTTTATGGAGGGCCTTGAACTCCTTTCTAACGTATTTAGATTGCTTTTCCAGGCACTATGGAGTCATTCAAGGTTTTTAAGCAGGACGGTGAAATGAACAGATTGTGTTTTAGAAAACCCTGGTCACACATAGAGAAAGCATTAGCTTAGAGAGACCAGAGAGAGGAAGCTACTGCAGGAATCCAGGTGAGAAATGGTAAGTCTGACAGAGCGGTGGTGGCTGTGGGACGTGTAAAGACATTTTGAGGGTTGAATTTGCAGGATTTGGTGACTGGCTCTGTATGAGAAGGGGTAAAGAGACCAGAAGATGAGCTCTTACCTCCAACATGCTGGGCATTCTAGAGTGAGGTGATAGGTCTTTAGTCCACCCATGCATTCCACAAATATTCACAGCTCGCCTGTTCCATTGCAGACGTTGTGCTAGATGCTGGAGCTATGGAGATAAAAAAAGATATGGTCATTGTTCTAAAGGCATCTACAAGTATATACAAATTAAAATTCCTCACCCTTACAAAGTCAAAAAACTAGGGATAAAGTTGGATAAATATTTCAACATACATGACCAATATCCTTCATCTGTGCTCCATAGAGAAGTGGGTAGGTATCAATAGGCGGTTTATAGGAGAAGAAATCCAGGAAGAGAGACTTGGCTTTCCTAGTAATCTAAGATATTTGCAAAAACAAACAAAATGAAAAACATTTTGGAGAAAAGTCTGGAAGATTAATAAAAATGAAAAAGAATAATAATAACATAGTAACATATCCCAATTTTATAGGCTAGAACACACATACACATACACACAGAGTAGGAAAAATGAAAAGTATGTACACCATACACTTAATAGTGGTTCATCCCAAAAAATGGGGCCACAGATGTGGTAGTTTTTACTTAATTCTTTGCACTGTATAATTTTTTTTTACTTTAACCATCTGTTGCTCCTATAAGCTAAAAATAACCAATAATGCATTTTCTACTTTGGATAAAATGATAAAGAGTGCAGTGTGTAGAGGAGATGGGAGGAGAGCAGTCCTGGCAGCAGCAGGACACGTGGAAAGGAGTAGGAAGTGGAAGTGTGGGGCATTGGTGGGAGCCCCTAGCAGTTCAGCATCATGCAACCTCCAGTGTCAGAGGAGACAGCCAAGGAGTCATGCAAAACAGTTTAGTTCTTATCCTAAAAGGGACCAGGAACCAGTGACAGCTTTGGATCAGGAGAGAGACATGGCCCTGTGTGCAGATCCCTCTGGGGTCAGTGTGGAGAATGGATGAAGGGGGCTGATTGACAGCAGAGAGGTCACATAGGAGGCCTCTGTTAAAACACAGCAAGAGGTAATGAGGCCCCTGTGGCAGGAGGACCTTGGTCAAGTCAACTTTTGCAAACTTTGTGTTCCTTGATTGTCTCACTGTAAAACGGCAAGAAGAATAGCATTGATCTCAAAGACAGATAGATTATGAACTTAGTGAAGGTCAATTTTCAGGGCCCCTCACTTGCACTAGCCCAAATATTTCCCTTGACAAATCCTAATTCTAATATTTGTAATCTTCTGTTCTTTTTCGTTAATGGGACCTGAAACTATACAAGTTTCAGGCTTCATGAAACTTGGATCCATTTCTGACAAAGCGTGGGATTGCCATCAGAACAACGTGAGCTGATCCCTCAAGCAGGTGTGGGACAGTATCCAGCACACAGTACCTGCTCTAGCAGTGTTGGCTCTTTTTATTATGTGGAGGTGGATTAGGGAGACTGGATGCTTCTAAGATGATCCCTGGGAATTCTGACTTGGGCCACAAGGTGTTAATCCCTCAAATGGAGATTATTTAGTTTAAAAATGAAGGAATACAGGTTCAATTTTGGCTATGTTGGAGCTCATGGTACAGATAAAATAGTCAGTGGGTGTCCAGAAGTAGGCCAGGAAATGGTGAGGTATAGAGCTCAAGAGAGGTTAACGTTATACATTGGAGAATTATCCAAATAGAAAAGATAGTTACAGTCACTATTACTAATAAGAGGGTCCAGGGATAACGTGGAGAATGAAAACGGAATAGCGTTCAGGACAGAATCCTGGAGAACACCAACTTTTAGCAATCAGGAAGACTGTGATGGTGGTTCCATGAATCTATACACAGATATGTAAAACTTTATACTACTGCATACCGTCCCCCAGCCCAAAAAAAGAGTGCATGTAAAAACTGGTAAAATCAAAATAAGGCCTGTAGTTTAGTTAATAATACATACCAATGCTAGTTTCCTGATTTTCATAATGTACTATGGTTATGTAAGGTGTTATCTTTGAGGAAAGCTGGATGACGTACACTTAAAACTATTATTTGTGCATCTTATTATAGTATTTGTCTCAAAATAAAAAGTAAAAACAAAAACAAAAAACAACAACAACAAAAAAAACCAACAGGCTGCAACACTATCACTGCTGAGACGCTGAGGCATGTCCATTTTGGCAGAGCTGATTCGGTGTTGCCAGATAATTCAGAATTAAATACTGAGTGCTGACATTATTTCATGGCTATCTTGAGCAGTAATCTAATTTCAGGCTAATTTCACAAGAATGTGACCAACTGCATAAGCTAAAATAACTGGGACATTCTTGCCAAAATCTGCCTCTGGTCAATAAAAACCCCAAATCTTCATAGGGGAAAAAGGATCAAGCAAAGGCAGAGAAGAGTAGATGGGAAAATTCAGAGAAGGGGGAGGACCAAAAGGCAGCAGCTCAGCATTTCTCTAGAGTTCAGAGAGAGAGAGAGAGAAAGAAAGAGAGACAGACAAAAAGAGGGACAGAGAGAGAGAGAGAGAGAGATGCTTATTTAACTCAACACCTGATTTATTCCCAAACACTAGGAAAGAGAATTCCATTTAATTCCCATACTCTCCTAGAAAAAGTAAATAGGGAAAAATAAAATCAACTAGAAATCATTTTGGTTGTTATTGTTTTCAGAAAAAAGAATCATTACTCATCTTTAGACTGATCCTGTTCTCACAGATCGTCAGGCAAATACAAGGACTGTTTGAAATACTTTCGTTCCATGCCACTCAAAGTGTGGTCTGTGGACCAGTCCCTTGGGGCTTTCCAGAAATGCAGCCTCTCAGGTACCATCCTAGACCTATTGAATCAGAATCTGTCTTTTTTTTAAAAAAAATATTCAGAGGATGTGTATGCATGTTAAAGAGTGGGAAGCCCCGATTTAGCAGTTCTGCCTTTCACCATGTTAATAATCACCAGCAGAAAATTAGTTAATACAGAGGACAATTACTGCCAGCATTTTGGAAAATAATCTTACATAACCAAAAAGAACAGTGGAATAAGGTATTAATTTTTAGAGTCTCCTAGGAACAAAATCTCATTTAAAAAAAAAAAAGTATCCTCCACATTACAGTCTGCTTTCTTGCTGTTGGTTTTGGGCTAGCAGCTGAGGGGCAGCAAGCTGTGGGCTATCTTAGGCACCAAGCAAGCCCTGAGGGTTAGCCTGGTGGAGGAGTAGGGCTCCTCCTACTCAAGATCTACTCAAGATCTGCATGAGTCCAGATCTTCTCAGGTGGCCTCATGCAGAGCACACAGGGGAGAAAGAAACGAGGGATTCTGCATCCTGAGAGCAATGTCTCATTCAGAGCATGATATTGAAATGCACTTTTTTCAATAACTGAGTCACTACTGGACAAGTTGCTTAACAAAGATGTAGTGAATACATGTAGTCAGCTGTGACTCATTAGATCTGGGTATAGCTACACCCCTTCACAGCTGGTCACCTCCTGAGCCTCTGTTTCTTCTTCCATAACATGGGTATTTTTTTTTTTTTTTGAGATGGAAGTCTTGCTCTGTCACCTAGGCTGGAGTGCAGTGGCGTAATTGCAGCTCACTGCAACCTCCACCTCCTGGGGGTCAAGTGATTC
This sequence comes from Homo sapiens, assembly GCF_000001405.40. Taxonomy (NCBI): domain Eukaryota; kingdom Metazoa; phylum Chordata; class Mammalia; order Primates; family Hominidae; genus Homo; species Homo sapiens. The sequence goes on along the minus strand of NC_000013.11, from coordinate 36,362,260 downwards.
TCCTGCCTCAGCCTCCTGAATAGCTGGGATTACAGGCGTGCGCCACCATGCCCAGCTAATTTTTGTACTTGTAGTAGAGACGGGGTTTTGCCATGTTGCCCAGGCTGGTCTCGAACTCCTGACCTCAGGTGATCCGCCCATCTCAGCCTTCCAAAATGCTGGGATTACAGGCGTGAGCCACCACACCCGGCTGACATGGGTATTGTTTGCCTGGGGTCTAGTACAAGGACTGCAGTGATAATAATGCCTGCCTACAATGGAGTGTCCTAGGCATTGCTCAAGGTAATTTTTGCACAGCATGCTGACAACCTTGAAACATCACACAGGCATAAAATCTTTTTATTATTGATATTCATGCAGTCAAGAATTTGTCTTAAAACCAAAGAGCAAAAATATCAATTGTAAATATCAACAGAGATTACAATAGTCATCAGTAATAGCTTTCTTACTATAAGAATGTTGTAGTATAATTAAAAATGTAAATAGTAGCAATAAATGCTTAGTAAAGTTTAGAAAGTTTTCAGTTTCAATTATCCATCAGAATGAAAAGGCGGTTTTAGGGTGATGCAAAGGGGCCAGGCGTGGTGTAAGCACTTTGGGGGTCTGATGCAGATGGATCACCTGAGGTCAGGAGTTTGATGCCAGCCTGGCTAACATGGCGAAACCCAGTCTCTACTAAAAATACAAAATTAGCTGGGCGTGGTGGTGGGCACCTGTAATCCCAGCTACTCAGGAGGCTGAGGCGGGACAATTTCTTGAACCCAGGAGGCAGAGGTTGCAGTCAGCTGAGAGCACACCATTGCACTCCAGCCTGGGCAACAAGAGGGAAACTCTGTCTCAAAAACAACAACAACAAAAACAACAAAAAAGAATGATGCAAAGCGATTGAAAAAAATTATATTAATGTTCCCTCTGGTGGTGCTTGTGTTTGAAAAATTTATGTATTCTATAATTCAAAACTTGTTTTCTTTTAGAGAGTTCAGAAATATCCTGAAAAAGACAGATTCTTTTGACTATTTGAGGTTCTGCTTAGTTTAATGTATTTTGTTCCCAAAAGTTTGAGGTAATACAGATGGCATGCATTTTTCAGAAGATTGCAATAAAAACATGTATATAAGTTGGTTTGCTTCCACCTGGAAACAGTTACATTATATTAATGTTGAAATTGATACAGACAGCATTATGAGGTTAATGTGCAATATCGTTACACCATGAATTTTAGCTCCATGATAGTATGTCTGTGTCTAATGTGAGTATTGGAGAAATATGACAGCTCCCAAGACATTTCTGGACAGAGTTGTCTAACCATCACAGATTTCCAAGTTATTACAGAACTTTAGAGCCTGCATGGCATCTCAAAAGGTTCTTTGTCTATGGAGGTATTAAAAGACTAACTACCAAGAATAGAAAAGGGTCACTTTCTGGTGAAAGTAGTGCCCACTCTAACATAGCAATATAAATATTGATGTGAAAATTCAGAGCTTAGTGGGGGAAGGGGGCAAGAGAAGAAGAATTCTTACCATATTTAGGCAGCAAACTTTTATCTGGCAAGTTGATTCACTTGCATATATGGCAAAACACATGCCTTTAAAGATTTTCACAGATCTCTAAAAACAGAGAGAGTAAAACCCAAACGGTAGTTATGAGAATGAAATGAGTTACTCTGTATACAAAGTGCCTAGCACAATGCCTGGTACTTGGGAGACGGTACAAATGCTAGTTCTTTTACTTCTTACTGTTCCCATATGCATAATTCTTCTCTTCCCCATCTCAGTATGAAATAGCTCCTAGTGTCATCTGGGGATTAGTTACCTAATCCCCAAATCTGAAAGACACTCTTAACACCTTCCTCTCTGCCTCATCTTCCTGCCCCCAAATCCAGTGAACTTACTAGGGTAGCTCTAACATTCATCATTCTAGAACTGCTGATTTCATTTGACATGTTTCCCTAATGGCAATGCAGGAATTTTCTCCAAAAATTTTCTCCACCCAGGCTGGAGTGCAGTGGCGCAATCTTGGCTCACTGCAACCTCCACCTCCCAGGTTCAAGCGATTCTCCTGCCTCAGCCTCCCATGTAGCTGGGACTACAGGCGTGTGCCACCATGCCTGGCTAATTTTTTGTATTTTTAGTAGAGACGGGGTTTCACTGTATTAGCCAGGATGGTCTCGATCTCCTGACCTCGTGATCTGCCCACCTCAGCCTCCCAAAGTGCCAGGATTACAGGCATGAGCCACCGCGCCCAGCCTAAAAATTTATTTTTAATCCACCTGGGTGATTGCAGAATAAAATTCAGCATCTACTATGTTCAAAGAGGTGTTTTTTTTTTTTTTTTTTTAAATTAACAACCTCTTACATAGTGTTTAGTGTTCTAGGCACTATCCTAAATGCCCTATACATACTGGCTCATGAAGCAGTTACTATCATTACCCTGTTTTAGCAGTGAGGACACAGATGACACAGATGAATACAGCAAACTTGCCCAAGGTCACCAAGCTGGCCAGTGGCAGATCCAGAATTTGGACTCTGAATTTGAACAGCTGGCTTCAGGATCTGTGCTCTTGACTACTGCAATTTGCTGTCTCTTGTGGAGTACAGAGCTTTGCATACGTTATTTTATTTAATCCCAAATACAATCCTATGAAGTTGTTACTGCTTTCTCAACAAGCCAAGTTGGAAACAAGCTTTGAGGGTAAGTGACTTGCCTAAGTTCATGTAGGTAGTAGGTAAGACTGTTAGGACTCAAACAGCTGCATGTGATGGTCCATGGCATTAAGTATATGTCTATATTTACAGCTAACCTGAAGAGGCCATCTCTAGCCTTGGCAAATTACTCTTTTTTCTAAGGTGTTTCAGATTTTTCCAAAGTATATTACCTCTTGGGAATTGGATAAACAATAAGACACTGTGGTATAAGAAAAACATGCTAAGGTTTTAAAGTCAAAGACTCCAATTTAAATTACAGTTTTACCACTTACTAGTCACAAGACCTTGACCGTGTTATGTAATGTCAATAAACCCCACTCCATATAATTTTGTGGGGGAGGAGTTTAAAGGCAATATAGGGAAACTAATCATGCTGAGCATACGGTATTCAACAAAATGTTAATTTCAATAAAATAACAGTTCTGAAAACAACCTTTGAGAACCTGGGCTTTGTCTGGTACTTGCTGTGGTTTGGAACATATTACATAAACTTTCTGAGCTTCTACTTCTTCATCTAAGCATAGCCACCTTATTTGTTCATTGGGGGTGGGAGGTGGTGAGATAGAATGATGAATAAAAAACAGTCAGCAGAAGACCTTCCACTTGGCCCCCCAAAACAATATTTATTAGTCTTATCCCCAATTTAATTTTGCAGAAAAGTTAATGGGAACTCTTTTTATCTAAAAAAGTTAATCAAATTCCAAAAGTCCTTTAACTTATTCTGATGGAGTAACTTAAAGACTTGGCAAGTAGGCTTAATATATATGTAGTTTGTGTGGGCTACTTAAAATACGATTTTCTTAGCATTTTAATTTCCACGTCTCCAGGACTGCTTAAGAAGTGCCCTGCTGTTATAATCAAACCTTGTGACTAAATATAGTTCAGTGATGCTCAGCTATGCTGTGATCTGACACTACAGGGACTTCTCTACATATAAATTAAACTAAGGAAATATTTTGGATTGCAGAACTGACTCTTTTAAAAGAAACAGGGATTCTCAAGACCTACTTGTGTCCTGAATGAGAGTTTTAAAAATGGCCAATAGCTTCTTTTTGTCAGTAATAGTAATACAGTACCAATTGTTCGAGCCAAACTGGGACTATGAGAAAAAAATAGGTAAATTCAACTTTCATTTCTCCTCTTCATATATTAGTCATGACAGCAACAAGTCTTTGCAGCTGTGTCAGGGAGATGATGGTTTTTCAAGTTAGTATTGCTTTACGAAAAAGAGCTTTATTTTTTAAAGACACAGCAGCAATTAGAAATCCAAACATGCAAAAAAGACTAAGAAATAAAGACCATAAAATGAATATGATTGAATAACAAAAAAACAAGAGTTTCTGGGAAGAATCGTTTGAAAATTTTAACTGTAAAAATATAAATGTTGGCGTATTTTTGCCAAATCTCATAAAATAGCAGGTTTTTCTTTTTTTTTCTATGAATAGTGACTTTGCTTATGAACATTTTATGAACTGACGCATTTAAATCTGTTTAGTATTGTGTTCCTGGTAATCAGCTATAATATCAGTTCATTTGGGCAATCAGGCTCGGATGGACCAGCTCCAAGAACTGAGAGTCCTGGAGCTGGAATTTCTGGGCCTCGATCTTTCCATCCAAAACCTTCATATTGCCAGAAAAGTGTTAGCTGTTCTGGAATGGGAATTCTCCCAAGACAATCAAGGATGTTCAACAATGAATTCCTGGTGTTCAGTGGATTTTGCCAGCAATTCATCACACATTTTTCTTCCTGGCTGCCCCCATAAATAACCTATTCATGAAGGGCTAGTGTCTGACTGATGATACAGTGAACCAGCACTAAAGATAGTCTCTTTATTCTTGTAATCCACAATTACATAGAATTTAAAAACCTTTTATAAGTATACAGAGAATACCTGAACATAACCAGTGATTATTTTAATAATGCATAATTCTTAACCACTTTGCTGTTTTGCCAAAGGGTTCTTTCACATTCCACTTATAGGTTCCTTTTATAAAAAGACAAGCAGTGTTTAAACAGAAGTTCTGTGGGTGTGACTTGCTGCAGGCTGCACAGCGTAGGACATTCCTCTTCTCCCCTGAATCCTGAATTTCAGCAGAATCCTTACCAGGGGCCTCAGGGGCTTTTTCCGAGGAGGCCATACCTTCACATTCTTCTAAGAAAATGACTGTTTCCAACAACTCGCCTCTGTACCAGCAAAGATGACTTGTGACTGGTCAGGTCTAATCTGCACTCCCAGAAAACTATCCCATGGGTGATGGCCATCAATGCGCAAGGGGCTTGAATTACAAAAGTTTCACTCATGCACTTGCCTCCTCAGGAAGCAGGTCCCAGATAAAGCCAACCATCCACCCTTGAAAAAAACTGATTAGGTATCCATGGTTGTAAGAGCGGGAGCATCCACGCTCTGCCTCACTCCAAGGAGGGTTCTTAGTTGATGGTTACCTGGACCCCCAGGGCAACCACAACCCTGAGAACCTAGGAAGTGCAGCCTTTACGAGGAAAGGGACAGTTGCCTTTCTCAAGTGGAGGAAGAATTTCTACATTAAGACATTCACATATTGGTGGGGAAAATAGGTTTGAGGGATAATGATTAAAACTGTCTTTAAAAGCACTTATCTTTACATTTCTTGAAATAAAGCACTTTTAATACACAGAATAACATATGAAATATTTTACAAATTTCAATTTAGTAAATCATGCACACTAACTTCCATGTATCCTCCCTTACTTATGTTGACAAAAAGAGTCAAACTCTGTAAGATATTTGAAGAGATTTATTCTGAGCCAAATATGAGTGATCGTGGTCTGTGACACAGCCTTCAGGAGGTCCTGAGAACATGTGCCCAAGGTGGTCGAGGTGCAGCTTGGTTTTATACATTTTAGGGAGGCATGAGACATCAATTAAATACATTTAAGAAATACATTGGTTCAGTCCAGAAAGGGGGGACAACTTTAAGTAGGAGGGCTTCCAGGCTACTGGTAAATTTAAACATTTTCTGGTCAACGGTTGAGTTTGTCTAAAGACCTGGGATCAACAGAAAGGGCAGGCTGTCTGGATTAAGACAAAGGATTGTGGAGACCCAAGTTCTTATTTGCAAAGGAAGCCTTCAGGTGGTAGACTTCAGAGAGAATAGGTTGTAAAATGTTTATCATGTGGGGGTCTGTCCCACAGACCCTGACCCAATGATGGATGAATAAAGTACACTGACATACAGCTATTCTGCTTTGCCAATCCAGCAGAGCGTCCAGGCTGCTTACAGACTCCAAGCAGAGTGCTGTAAAGCACGGCCTCGACCAGCCAGCGAGACTCGCCAGCAAGACTCGTATTTATTCAGTAAAGATTAATTGACAAAGGCTTGAGTCAACACCACTAGGGGGTAATTGATATTGTAGACTCCGGAGTAGAAGGCAATTAAGCACCCATAGTAGATCAAAAGTTAGTCTTAGGACCACATGAGTAAACAAGCTAGTTAGGTAAACTCTCCACATTCCTTTGTTTCTACTCTAATTTATTTAACTAAGGGGACAAGGCTGCCTTCAGCTAAGTACTATATGTAAAAACCCTCAGGCCTTCCCAAAGGATTTGTGTATATTCTCTATAACTTTTTCCCACCAGCCTGACTGAACCCCCATATTATCAGACTTAAAGTCTGTGTTGATGTTAATGCCAAGGAGCTATTACGTTAGTGCAAAGGTAATTGTGGGGTTTTTTTTGCCATTACTTTAATGAGAAAAACTGCAATTACCTTTGCACCAACCTAATATAATGAGTCATGTTTCGACCCCCACTTCCCATCATGGCCTGAAACAGTCTCTCAGGTTAAATTTTAAAAGAGCCCTGGCTGAGAAGAAAGTCCATTCAGATGGTTGGGGGGAGCCTTAGAATTTTATTTTTGGTTTACACTTACTAGAAACTTCTCATGATTTTACACTTTCACAGTTTTATGAGATGTTTATAAATTTACTTTGCTTTGTTGCAAGTAACATATATAGTAGGAGATATGTTGGCATGTCATTTTCTGTGCTGTTCCAATATTCCAAACCTTTATTTTTTTGACTGAAAATAGCTGTCCCTTTCCAGGCCTCACTGATTTCAGAGCAAGATTATGTTATGTGGATATTGAAAACAGATATGACCTCTTGGGTGTTTCCCACATTTCCTTTCTGGCACTCAGAATTGTATAGAGTTAGCTCTGCCATGATAACTTAATACAAAATACATGTTGTAGAGCTAGGCATGGTGGTGCATGCCTGTAATCCCAGTTACTCAGGAGGCTGAGGCGGGAGGATCACTTAAGCCCAGGAGTTTAAAGCCTTAGTGAGCTATGATAGTTCCACTGCACTCCAGCCTGGCAACAAAGCAAGGTGCTGACTCAAAAAAGAAAACCAACAACAAAAACATAAAGTATGTGTTGTGAACCCACATACCCACATCTGTTCTAAAGATCACTGCAACTCCATTATCAAGCAATTGCCTGATACAAAGCAGGTGCTTAATAAATATTGTTTGAATGAATGAATGAATCAATACAATCCTAAAGAGCAGACTTACTTTATCTCTCTCAAGATTTTTGTTGTAAACATTTCTACTTTTACCTTGTCTTCTTTACTTACATTTTCTGTTTCTAGGTCTAGTTTCCTCTTCAGCTATTATTAAAAGTATGCCAAAACTGAAATTTATTTTCTTGTGAAAAAAGATTAAAGAAGTAAATCCACGTAGAGTAGAATTGGCTGTAAAGAAGGCATACAGTTGGAGAATTAATCATGGGTCTCCAAGACCATGCTCAGAATTGACAGTTCACTAGGAGGACTCACAGGACTTAGGAAAGCAATTATACCCACAGTTCTGGTTTATTACAGCAAAAGAATATACATTAAAATTAGCAATGGGAAAAGGTGCACAGAGGCAAAGTCCAGGAGAAAACAGGCGCAAGCTCCAACATATCCTCTCTCAGTGGAGTGGCACAGGCATGCTTAATTCTTTTAGCAATGATGCATGACAACATGTGCAAAGTGTTATTAATCAGGGATGCTCACCTGAGCCTTGGTGTCCAGGATTTTTATTGGGGATCAACCTTATAGGCATGCAGTGCCTGTAGGGTTGACCTCCGCAACTCAGAATCAAGCTCCCACAGGCAAAAGGCATAAAAAAACCATTCTTATCAGAACAGAATATTCCTCAAGTGCAGAGGACAGTCCTGAAGACCAGGCCTTTCTTGGAACAGTGCAGGGTCTAAGCAATCAAGGTCTGCTAAGTTATTCACCTTTTCCTGGACAGCGTGAGATTACTTTTTTAAGGAAGGGATGCTCATGGTAGAACATCTTATGATGTAGAAAAAAACCTCCTTTATGCTTCTTTTGTTATAGTCCTCTACCTACAAAGGACATCAAATAGCTATTGTTAATCAACTAATTGGCTGATTAAAACATGACATAGGTTTTCTTTTTAATGACATGGTTTAAAGGGGGGAATAGAATTTAATCAACCAGCCCTCAATCTGATAAAATAGATCTAACCCAGTGTCATCTAAGGTTACTCTACTTCATAAAGTCTGTGAGAAAGAAAGAAAGCATCCTTTGACATCTGAATAGGCCTAGCTTTCCAGGTGTTGCCAGGAGTTGGACTGTTACCTCTGTCTAGGCCTTGGAGTTAACCAACTGAACATAAACAATTCACAGAACATGCATGTCAGACAAGACCACTCTGTGACTACTGAAGGATCAAGACAAAAACACAACCACTCTGAAATCATGTCTGAACAGAGTATTTGAATGTTGTCGAAACCACAAAAAAATGGTCAAACATCTGCCTGTCTTGGCTAATACGAGTGACTGCTGCTTCTTTCCTAATTACAGTTCTGGTGTGGCTCTCATCTTCCCTCCTAGATAAGGTTTAAAATCCCCGATCAAAGAATTATTCCTGATTCCTGACAGCGCCCAACCCAGAGCAAAGCCCAGTTCCTTATACCAAACCAAAATCACCTAACACAAGCCCAAATGCTATAATAGGGCCTTTCTAACACCCTTTTACCGAGATGTCTCCTAACTCCCCATGGTGTGTGTTCTCCCTCACTTCAATAAGTAATAAACCCAGTTTGCTAAAAACCTCCAGTGTATTCTTGGTTGTATTTGGCTGGAGGGCATTGACATTTGCTTTGAGCTTCCATTCCCACCTCTCATAGAAAATCTAATGCCTTCTTCAAAATGTCCAAGGGTCTCCCCAGGGGCTTACAGTCTCGAGGACATTTTTGGCTCTGAGCCTTTCCTTTCCCTAAGGAGCTCAGTTCATGGGTTCTCTCAGCATCATTCTTCGTCTCATTCTTTACATATTTGTCTTGCTCTGTACCATGTAAACAAGATGAATGGTGAGCCTTTTTCCTACATTTCTAGACAAAGCAAAATAAAACAAAACAAGACAAAACACAGCATTTTTTGGCAAACTGCTCTAAAGTATTCAGAAAATGTAGGCTTCATACATCACAACAGCAAAAGCAACCTCAAATGCAAAATTTGGAAATTTCGTTCTGAGTCTTTTGTCAGTCTATCATGTTGCTTGGCTTTTCCTCTCTTCTCAATTTTTAAATTTTCTATTTTTGAGACAGGTTCTGGTTCTGTCACTCAGGCTGGAGTGCAGAGATGTGAACATGGCTCACTGTAGCCTTGACCTCCCAGGCTTGAGAGATTCTCCCACCTCAGCCTCCCAAGTAGCTGGAGCTACAGGTGTGTGCCACCATGCCTGGCTAATTTTCAATTTTTTTTTTTTTTTTTGGAAACGGGATCTCCCTGTGTTGCCCAGGCTGGTCTGGTCTTGAACTTCTGGGCTCAATTGATCCTCCCACCTCAGCCTCCCAACATGTTGGGATTATAGGTGTGAGGCTACCACACCTGGCCTCTTCTCAGTTTTCACTGCTTCTCATTCCCTACTCCACTTGTGCAAATCTTTGCTCATTTGTAATGTAGTGACAGTATTACAAAATGCTGTGTAAGTATTCTCTCATTTATCTGTCTGATTTTGCCTGTGTCCTTGGTGACTCATCTTGAATCTAGGTGGCTTACCAATGTATTTTCCTAAAGGAATGCAGTTATTAGAAGAATTTTGGTGTCTGGTTTTAAATCCCACTCCACCACTCTGTTACACATATAATAGAAAATAAGATAGCCAACCCAGTAGCCTATTTATAACATAATATAAAAAGTACAATTTAGCTAGTACCAAGTCAAATTAGGTTAGTAAGAAATGTTAAAGGAATTGTTTTCCATTTTTAATCAGTAAATTGCCCATCATCCACTATATTTGGTCTGTAAGAGGAAAGTTATACTTTACTAAGAACATCACAATTATTGATCTTTTGTCAAATGCATGCTTTTCATATAATGTAGAGTTCAAGAAAGAAAAAAGTAATGAGATCACAGGTCAGAAACCTTACCTCATGTACAACTTTTAGAACATTATTAAAACATTAACCCTCAACATAATGTACTCACAAGGAGTTTTAGTTTACATCGAGTCATCCCACTGATTTCAACATGAGCTTGGAGCAATTCGGTTATATCATTAGTGATAACCTAAGTTCACTTCATGAGATGGATACCCTGACATCTAACTCAATTCATGGCTAATTTGGACATTTCTCATTTTAATGATATTCATCATTATGTGATATACTCTCTGGGTTTTCTAATACCCACTGACAATATTATATAATAGATGAAAAGAAAAAATACTATATTTTCAGCATGTGAATAAAAGAAATGACAACCTGAATGAAATTGAATCTAGCATAATTTATGATTGAAACTTTTAGCACATTCATCTAACTAAACTACAGGCTTCTACACAAAAGTCTTTAGCATAATCACCCAGGATTTGTAAGTATAATGGGTATTGCATGCCTAAAACCCAAATAGGCATATATCATTCCTAAAGTCCATTAACAAGTAGATTTTTCTTCCGAGAACATTTACGTTATTAAAATAATGCTATGTATACTACTACTGTTTTATTAATGGCACTGTGACAGGGTTACAATAGTGTTCATATTTACCAATTTTTGTACAGTGAAATAAATTCTTTGCCAAGAGAAAACAACTTCATCAATCTTAAGGAAGACAGACTTTAAAAAACATACAGATTTGCTTAGAACCAAATTGATCTTTGCTAATCATTAAAGAATGTCAGCAAGAAGAGAAGAAATTCATGTATTACTACCAATATTTATTGAGTGCAAACTTTTTTTTTTTTTTCAAAATTAGAGATGAGGTCTTGTTTGTTGCCCAGGGTGGTCTTGAACTCCTGGTCTCAAGTGATCCTTCTGCCTCAGCCTCCTAAAGTACTGGGATTACAGGTGTGAGCTGCTGCACCTGGCTTGAGTGCCAACTTTAAATGAGTTACTTCAGTTAATTTAGGTAACCACCCTGTGAGGCAGATTCTATTATCACATCCCCATATTACAGATGAGAAAACAGGTCAGAGTGTTTAAGTGGCAACAACTGTGAGATGAAGGTGGCTTCAAACTCGGGTTCTTGGATTCTAGAACTAGTGGTCCCAGACTCTCTGCTACAAGTATGTGATGTAAAAATATTTGACCGGGGTATGTATACCACTGGAGGTATGCAGAAATTTACAGGGATATAAGATAAGATAATCAATACCCAGATTTTAATTTTTTATGTGCTATTTCCTAGTATCTTTTTTCCTACTCCTCCTTTCACACTAAAACTTTTCCCACTTTATGCAAGAAATACACAGCTCCCTAAATCTTACTCTGGTGCATTACCCAGGGGTAAAAGCCCCAAAAGTGCCATGATTTCAAAATATTGTTCTCTTCTATAATGGTATGATGGTAATTTTCATTTAAAGACCTCAGCCACAATTATTCACTAGTTTTAGAGAATTATTTTTTTTAGAAGGATCTGGTAAGAAAAAAAGACAGGGGAGAAAAGTTAGAAGTTAAGTGACAGCAGCTGGTTTTTAGCCAATTATTCCTATCCTGAGATGGCCAGGTGGAAATGACCAAATCAAATCTCCTTGTAAACATGCAAGGTATATTCTGGTGGAAAGAGAATGGGGAGTCCTTGTCTATGAAATGCTTTTTAGCAGGGTACACCTGGTCTGTCTAGATGGCCTAAGGTAAATAAACCCGGAATTGATCGATATATTAATACATGGAATGGCCCAGTGGAAAATGTCAGTGTCCACCATGTAATTATTTCAGTATAAAACGGAGATAGTTCCTGACTGAAAGAGCTCCATCTGTGTAAGTGTTCACCGGCATAACTTACTCAGAGACCTCACCTGCGAGATCTAAGCCAGAATGTGTTCTAAGGAATTCGGGGAAGCCCTGGGGACCTGGGTTAGTGGTTTTGGATACTGCCATTATTTTCTTGTGACTGGGTAAAAGAAAGCTCTGAATCTTGTCAGTCTGATTTGACAATCCAATCCTTGTTTTACCTCAATAAGATATATTAAATGTTAAAAATGGCTTTTTACATGTTTCCAAATATACGCAATTATTTTCTGCTAATCTCAAGCACCCCTTTGGCCTAAGCAGATCCAAGTTTTGTGATGCTTGCAGCTTTCACAGTTTGAATGGCCTTCTGTAGGAAAATAATAAAAGTGAATCAAAAAATTACTAATTTAAAAAAGCTGACGAATACTACAGATACCACAAAATCCAGAAAAATAACATCATTCTATTATTCAGGTGCTTGGCACAGCCCATAATACTTTCCCCCACCTTTCTTGGCTCTATGCTGATTGCTTCTTCATATGAAAATGATTTTGCAACATATTCCACAGAGATAACAGATAATTCAGTTTTTCCTCTAGCATAGTTTATCAAGATTAGCTTTTTAATATAATTTAGGAAAGCTCAGTTCAGCTTCATAATTCAGTATTAAGAGTGTCACAGAATTTCACAATTATCGAATTTGGAAGGACCACTAATACAGGTTTTGACCAGGTACTGAGGAGCAAACCAAATCCTTTGCTTACACTTTTCTACAGATGAGCTTCTGGCCCTGTTCACTTTACTTGTTCCTTCTACCACATCCTTCTGGTACTGGGCACTGTAGGACCCAAACAGAAAGCAATATGGTGCCTGGCCAGTGTCTTTCTGTTTGGATGCCAGGTAATTCTGCAGTCAGTAGTACGAATATTCCTAGAAGTCAGCACTAGACTACTATGGCTAGCAGTAACTTAACCATACGTGGAAGCTTCTGTGAACATAAACATACCTCATAAAACAAAAATTAACCACACTGACTTACTGCAGTTTTTTGCTTGTTTGTTTGAGACAGAGTTTTGCTCTTGTTGCCCAGTCTGGAGTCAATGGCACAATCTCGGCTCACGGTGACCTCCACCTCCCGGGTTCAAGTGAGTCTCCTGCCTCAGCCTCTTGGGTAGCTAGGATTACAGGCATGCGCCACCACGCCCAGGTAATTTTGTATTTTTAGTAGAGACCGGGTTTCTTCATGTTGGTCGGGCTGGTCTCGAACTCCCGACCTCAGGTGATCCGCCTGCCTCGGCCTCCCAAAGTGCTGGGATTACAGGTGTGAGCCACCATGCCTGGCCTGCAGCTTTGTAGTTAAGTTTTGAAATTGGAATGTGTCAGTCCTCCAACTTCATTCTTCTTTTTCAAGATCTGTGTGTGTGTGCTCATGTGGCTATTCTGGGTCCTTATATTTCCCTGGATTGTATGAATTTTAGGATCAGCTTGCAAAATTCTGCAAAAAAGTCATTTGGGATCTTGACACGGATTGTGTTGCGTCTGGAGGTCCATTTGAGAAGTACTGCCATCTTCCCAATATGAAGTCTTTCAACCCTTTAACATGGGATGTCTTTCCATTTATTTAGGTCTTTAAGTTCTTTCAGCAATGTTGTATGGTCTTCAGCATACAAGTCTTGCACTTATTACATTTATTTCTAAGTATTTTATTCTTCTTGATAATATTATGAATGGAATTAATTTCATTTTTGAAATGTTCATTGCTAGTGTATAGAAATACTATTGATTTCTGTATGTTGACCTGTTGTCCTGAATCCTTGATGTACTCATTTATTAGTTCTAACAGTGTTGTAGTAAATTCTTTAGGGTTTTCTATATATAACAATTTTGTGTATAGAAATTCTACATGTTTTAAACACATTCATCTTTATGGCTGTTGGAAATTTAAAAAATTCTATTTAAATGTATGTACTTTTTAAATGTAAAGAAGTAGAGTAGATGACCAATAAAAGATTTCCTTTCTTTTTTTGGTGGGGGCCAGGGGGTACAGGGTCTGGCTCTATTGCCCAGGCTGGGGTGCAGTGGCACAATCTCAGTCACTGCTGCCTCTGCCTCCCCAGCTCAGGTGATCTTCCTGCCTCAGCCTCTGGAGTAACTGGGACTACAGATGTGTACCACCATGCCCAGCTAATTTTTGTGTTTTTTTGTAGGGACGGGTTTCGTCATGTTGCCCAGGCTGGTCTCGAACTCCTGGGCTCAAGCGATTCTCTTGCCTCGGCCTCTGGAGTAGCTGGGACTACAGGCATAAGCCACCAAGCCTGGCCAATATTTGCAAGACTAAAGAAATATTGACATACAATTTCACAATATGGAACGGAAATATGAGTTCAAGAAGAAAAGAAATGATGTAAAATTTCCTTCTGTTAAAAGCTTGTTCATGTAGTTTTAAAAATTGATGATTTTAGATATTAAATTGGTATTTAGATTCCACTGGCTACATTTAAAAGTTATATAACTTTTATTTTAAAATGTTAATTTATAATAAAACAGAAGTTGCTTCTTTTGTAACTATTTAAGTCAGATGAGAAATTGTGATGGTCAATCCAAAAACGTGGAAGTGAGAATACAGTCATAGTCTTTGGGGACTCCTTTGGGGGTATAAGAGCAAAATCATTTTGAAACCACTGTATTAATATATTCCTAATAGGTTTTGCTTTTTGGGATGACTGACTGCTACCTTTCTGAGATTTGAGGGAGTCACTTAACTGGTCCTAAGGCCAGGCGCGGTGACTCACGCCTGTAATCCCAGCACTTTGGGAAACTGAGGCAGGTGGATCGCTTGAGGTCAGGAATTCGAGACCAGCCTGGCTAACTTGAGGTCAAGCTTTCAAGACCAGCTTGGCCAATATGGTGAAACCCCGTCTCTACTAAAAATACAAAAATTAGACGGGAGTGGTGGTGCACAGCTGTAATTCCAGCTTCTCTGGAGGCTGAGGCATGAGAGTCGCTTGAACCTGGGAAGCAGAGGTTGCAGTGAGCCGAGATCATGCCACTGCACTCCAGCCTGGGCAACATAGTAAGACTCTGTCTCAAAACAAAACAAAAACACAACAACAACAAAACTGGTTCTAAATGCTCCGGGCAAGTACATACTGCTTTTTCTTTTTTCTGTTTTTTTTTCCCTAAGGCAGCCCTATTGAAGAGTCTGTCATCTACAATATTTTACTAATTTAAAAACACTTGTCAAGAAGGGTAAAGTATGTTCATCTTGATTTTACTCTTTGTATCCCGGAATCAGGAACTAACAGTTTTATGATAGTGATATAGACTTTACACACACACCAAGACTTAAAACACGTGGTGCAGGCGGGCTTTTGGAAATTAACTGTGCTCTGGATACAGAAGTCACAAAGCTCAGGCTGCAGAGACATTGAGGGGATAATCAGCCTTTATTGTCTCTCGTGCACTGTGCCCAGCGCTCCCTCTAGCGGCTACAAGCGCTCACTGCCCACACTCTCTACTAGGCTCTCCGGAGGCCTCGGTTTCGCTGGAGAGAAAGAGATTGCGCAGGCGCCGAGCAGCCGACGTGGCCGCAGGGGACCGTGCCTGGGGGGGTCTGCGCGGGGCCGCTGACTCGCGAGGTTCTCTGTCGCCTGCCGCCCTCGCTCCTTTTCTCCCCTTCTAGAGTGTTACGGTGACTCTTGGGTCCGAAGGGGACGGACGTCCTCCCACGTACCATTTAGAAGGTCAGAGTGGGCAGAACCTAGTCTGAGCAGGCCGGTGATGAATCCGCTGGCAAGACGCGCGCGTGGGTACTCACGTGACCTAGGCTGCGGCGGCGGCGTGCTGCGGGCTCTGTGGCGGGAGCGAGGCCGACGGGCGGGGCCGCGCGGCCGCGTGACGCGAAGCGTTCGAGAGCGCGCGTCGTGGAACGTCTTGGTTGCCACGGCAAGCGCGCGCGCGAGGCCTTGGGAACCTCGGGACCGGCCCCCGGCGAGCGCAGCGGCGCCCAGTGTAAGGGAGTGGGAGCTGGTCCGTGCCGCGGCGGCCGCGCAGGGAGCTCTCGAGGCAACGCCGGGGCGCCCGAGGTCTGGAAGGCGCAGGTGGGGCGCGGGGGAGTTCACCCCTGCGCGGTCCCTTGGGTGGGCGGGGTGGGCGCCCCAGGCCCCGCGGACTCGGCTGGGAGGCTGAGCGGGCGACGGTCACGGGACAAGGGTGGAGGGGGTGGGGACCTCATCCGAGTCTCAGAGATGGAATTTTCGAGGAAGGGAGCGATTTCGAGAGAGAATAGTTTGAGAAGTTGTTCTCAGTCCCTTCTCTCGCGGGAGTGTGGTATTTAGGGAAGCTTCGGCCTCTTAACCCATGGACTGTTAGGATGGAGGGAATCCTTCCCGCTCGATTCCTATCGCGGAGTCCTTTCGGAGCATCGCTATTGATCATTCTCGCCGCCCCAACCCCGTTGTTTACTTTGGCTTCGCAGATCTCTGTGGTCTTTTGCCCTCCCGCAGCGCCCATGGCCCCGTCAAGGTTGGGCAGCCTTTCTCTGCAAGAAGGCCCACGAACAACTGCGGTTATATTGGGATGGATTGCGCGTGATTTTACTCTTTACAATACATTCTTTCATGCTTCCTAGGGATTGAGCTGCGCGGCGGATCCCTCCGACTTAATTCTGGGCCTGAGAAAAGTTTCTCTTGGAATGCGCAGTTTCGTGACGCAGCATTATTGCGTGACTCTAGGGCTGACCCAGTTTTTCACTTTCTAATTGTAAGGAAGTGCGCTAGTAGTCCACCGAGGATCCTCGAGGTTGGCCTTATTGTATCATAATTTAACGAATTTGCGTTCCAGGTTGTTACAGCCTTTGAAATAATGGCCTCATATTTAAGAATGTAGCAATTTTTCTTTGAAATTTCCGAAAGTGGGGAAAAAAGTAATAGAAGACTGCACCTATATGGAATTATTTTCTGATTCGCAGTTCTTTATAATCGTAGACTTAATTTGGTGGCTTTATTGGACCTGTTTGAAACAGGAAGCCTTTCTGTAATGTGGTTTCGGGTCGGCTTCACCTCTGGCACTCTCTGAAACGTCGTTGTCTATGGTTTCCCTAAGAAGCTAGAATGAGCGGGATGCTACGGAGGGAGGTGTATACAGGTGTTAGACAAAGCCCCCTCCGCTTTTTTGGTAAAGGGCCAAATAGGCATTAGATCAACTTGTGCTAGCTCTAAGGAGTTAAATGCGGTATTATTAAAGACTGCTTGTAATGTTGACTGTTAAGTGAGAGTGTTACTTCTTTCAGTGTTTATGGAATCGAACTAAATTGCTAGGTATTTTAATGCAGAATTTTACCTTTTCTCGGGTATTTTTTAAGACATACACAGACATACATGTAGTTATGTTGAAATAAATGTGTTTTATTAGAACGTTAAAAAATTAGAATTTAGGTGAACTACTGGTATCGGAACAGATTTTGGTTTGTTGTTGAAGACTGTACACTGGTGTAGGTACTGTTTAATACATCAGATTGTCATTTCAAAGACTTTGTCTTCTTAACTTTGAAAATTAAATAATGTGAAATAATGTGATAATGGTTTTTATCTTTTCAGGACACTTGATTGACACTTAATTGTGCTTAGGAATAGAATAGGCTTTTTTTTAAGTCACCATCCTCCAATCCTTATTTCTGTAAAATGTATTTTCTGAGACCGCTGAGGATATAGCAAATCCCAGTCACAAAATAAAAATGTGATATTTTAATATAAACCTTTTTCTTTCTGTGTTGAGATTCCCCAGAGATTAGACTGAAATTGACCATTAGACTTATATATAACCTCTAGATACCCAGGCTCTTCTCTCGTGTATCCTTTTTTTCTCTTTAAGATGGAGATGTAGCAAGGAAGGTTATTAAGCAATCCTGTGGAATTAGCCCTCCCACTCCACCCCTACACACAGGCACACTCTTCTTTCTCAGTAGCCATCTTGTTCCCTCCATTGACACATTATTAGGAAATCTTTCATCACACCGTATGTAAAATAAGCTTAGAAATAAACGTATACCCAAGGTAAATATTGCTTCTAGCTATATTCCTTCATTATGCCTCGCTTCTACTTTCAAATGCTACCTATTGAAGATTTAAGCCACATGACTTTCTACGACGGGACACTCTGGGTTTTCTTCACCCCTCCCTCACTCTGCTGACTTGTAAACATAGTAGGACTTTTAGATTTGGAATCAAACACATCTCATCTAATTTTCATTTTCATTTTTCTTTTCTTTCTTTCTTTTTTTTTTTTTTTTAAAGAGACAAGGTCTTGCTCTGTCACCCAGGCTGGTTGGAGTGCAGTGGTGCAGTCATAGCTCACTGCAACCTTGAACTTCTGGGCCCAAGCGATCCTCCGGCCTCAGCCTGTGCAGTAGCTGGGATTACAGGCGAGAGCTCATTTAATTTTCTTGACAGATAATCTTCTGATCCATGAACTGATTTGAATGTATCATTTACTAGCTCTCTTCTTGGGCAAGCTGCTCAATATTTGTAAAACATTTTTAAAATCAGATATCAACCTCCAAGAGTGAGGATTGGATAACCTTAGAAGGGTGCCAGACACATATAGAGAGCTTAACAAAAGATAGTAAATTTTGGTGCTTCTGAGGGCCAGAGACAGACCATGTCCATTATATCTTTGCTATATATTATAGTTGTGAGTGATTTTTAAAGCAGTACTTTTAATTTGCTTGTGAACCCCCAAATAATTTTTGTAAAACTGTCCCTCTTGCACACTTTTGGTTAACTTACAGCATTTTACATCATGCGTTAGTTGAAAAGAATGCAGTTTCCCACATGGTATTGATATTAACATTTTAATATTGGTACATCATTCTTTCACCTGTATTCAGTGGGGTATCATATCTTTGTAGTTTTATATCCATCACCATCAATTTTTAAAATACATTATATTTTACACACTTCCTTTTTTAAAAAATTTTACTTTTTTATCACCCCCACCCCACAGAATATTATCTTAAGGTAATGCATTTTTATGCTTGAAAGCTTTTTATTAATCTCTGTGATACATGGCTTTAATAACAATAGTTATATAAATTGAAGCTAAGTTTAAAAATTTCCTATAACTAATTCTGTAAGTTGTAATTTTTCTTTTGGGTTGAGTTATTATAAATAGTTGATTAGAATAGCTTAAAAACTTGATGGATTTTAATGAATAATAATTATTAAGAGTAGAAGTTTACTGGAAATCTGTGTCCTAATGGAATGGATAGTGGGAGTTGTGCCTAAATTAAAGGAGGGTCTTTGAGCCCTTCGACTTATTGTTTGTTGGTAGGGAGGCTTTTCCATCCTGGGGCAGTGTACCATAGTAAGAATAGGAGTGGGTGAGAAGTATGCCTTTATTTTGTAAAGTGGAAGATTGTGAAAGGATCTTGGGGAATAAAAATCAGCATGATAACTGGACAATGGGCATATTCTCAGGCAGATCAGTTTAGTGAGAAGTACTCATGGGAGTAAAGGATCTGGAAGCCTTTTTCTTAAAATTACACATGTCGTTGGTGTATGTCCCATGGAAGACTTCATTTGTCCTGGGGGGCACACATCCCCCAGTTTGAAGACCATTTAGAGTGGTAATTCTCAGTGGGGGACGATTTTGCTGCCCAAAGTACATTTGGCAATGTCTGGAGACGTTTTTGGTTGTCACAACCGGGATGAGGGGTGGTGCTGCTATGGGCATCCAGTGGACAGAGATCAGGGATGCTGCTAACAAAGCATTATCCAACCCAAAATGTCAACCATGCCAAGACTGAGAAACCCTGATTTAGAGGATTTGTTTTGGAATCAGACTATTTAATTCTGTAAACTAGTGCAGGGTCAGTAAACTTTTTTTGTTAAGTGCCAGATAGTAAATATTTTAGGCTTTTGGGGCCATGTATGATCTCTGTTGCACATTCTTCTTTGTTTTTATAACCTTTAAAAAATGTAAAAGTAATTCTTAATTCCAGGGTCTTTCAGAAAACAGGTGATCTAAGGCAATTAATGCTTGCAAACTTCAATTTTCTTCTCTGCAAAGTAGTACTAATAGTAATATTGCATCAAGAATTGTTTGTAAGGATTGAGATAAACACCTAGCATACTGTCCAGCATATGTTAAGTACTCTAAATGATGCGTGGGGATAGTGGTGTCCTATCGTATGTAGCACAAAAGTGGGTGCCAAGTCACAGTGTTGTTCAAGACCCTGTTCAAGTCATTTGGACAAATTTAATGATGCTGGTGAAGCTCCCAATCAACTCACAGATGCCTATTTAACCTCTGCTGTCTTTCTGCTGCCTTAGTCTGGGCCTCCTTGTATCCTGAGGAAGATAAAATACAAAATGCCTGTCTTGTGGTTTCTTTGGAAAGATGTGGCAATCTTATGACACAACAGGATAGTATTCCAGGAGAAGAGATTGTTAATATTGATAGGGGTTGTGGGGTAGAGCAAATACGTGGGTCTGTATATGGTCAATTGTATATGGTATTTTCTAAATTGGGTACTGAATATATTCTGTTGACTACCATGAAGTTGTTGCATAATAAGGCTGACTAGTGGCACTTCAGGTTAGAAAGTATAGTTATATTATTAATCGGAAGCTAGACCAATTTTAATGAATGCTTTCTGTGATGCTTCTGTGCTTTCATAGTGTAGATTGCTGCTAAAATAGTTTCATATCAGTGAAATTCTTCTATCGTAAGTTTTCATGAGATCACAGGAAAAGAATTGCCACATCTAATGACAGTAGCCACTAGGTACATGTGGATATTGAGCACTTGCAATGGGGTTAGTTGGAATTGAACTATCTTTTCAGTGTAAAACACATACTGAGTTTTGAAGACTTCATACCAAAAAAAAGAAAGCTAAAATATTTAACTGAAAGTTTTTATATTAACTGCATATTGAAATAATATTTTTGATATATTTGGATAAATAAGATACTATCATTGAAATTAACTTCACCTGTTTTTTACCTTTTTAATGTTATTAGAAAAGTATAAATTACATATGTGGCTTGCATTACAGTTCTGTTTGACATAGTTGCTCTAAAGCTTCCATTTACTTTTTTAATAGTAATTAAATTTTCTATCATACACATAGATTTAAGAAAAATCTTACCCCTTCCTCCCAAAGTCAGCTTGTATCATTTTTCTTACCCAATTCTTTTGGTCTTTTTTGTACTCTAAACAGTGCGAATATATTGGCACTTTTTCAGTTTTAGGCACTGTCCATTAACTTCTCAGTGAGAAAGATGAAGTTTTATCTCTTTCATCCTTTGTCGCATGCACATAAACTTTTTATCCATCCATCTTCCCATCTTTCAATATGGTTGTACCATAATTTTGTTTATATTGAGATTCATTGTGTATATTATGACACCAATCAAAACTGAAACATTTAGTACATTATGATTACTTTTTATTTCTTGCTCAACATCATTTTCCCTAGAGTTAATCCTTAGTTTTTAATTATTACTAATGGAACCCTGAATACTCTCACAGTTGTGTAGATCTTTTTTCAGAGCTTACAATCACATTAGGTATTCTATCAGTTTTACTTTCTTAAAAAATTCTTTTCTGTTGTCTCCTACTCCACCCTGGAGTGTTTGCCTAATTGTTATCTTGGAAACTCATCATCAGTCTTGGGATTCCTTTCATCAAACATGGTACCCAGCAAACAGAAGATGTAATAACTGAGCAATCACTTGGCTGGGTTTAGAAGCTATTTTTACTCAGAATTATGAATTAAATGTATAATTTCCTTCTTCTATTGTTGCCTTTAAGAAGTTCCTTAGCACTCTTACTTCTCTCTCTTTTTTTGTGTGTAAGTATTTTAAAGATGATCCTTTTGAGCTTAGTGTTCTAAAATGTCATGGTATGTTTCTTGGTGTGAAATCTTTTTTTCTTATTTATTTATTTATTTTTATTTTTTTGAAACAGAGTCTTGCTCTGTCGCCCAGGCTGGAGTGCAGTGGTGTGATCTCGGCTCACTGCAAGGTCCGCCTCCCGGGTTCAAGCAATTCTCCTGTCTCAGCCTCCTGAGTAGCTGGGACTACAGGCGCCTGCCACCACGCCTGGCTAATATTTTTGTATTTTTAGTAGAGACAGGGTTTCACCTTGTTAGCCAGGGTGGTCTCGATCTCCTGACCTTGTGATCTGCCCACCTCAGCCTCCCCTTTTTTTCTTATTTTTTGCCCATTGGTTTTTTTATTTACTTTTATTTGTTAGAGATGGGGTCTTGCTCTTTCAACCCAGGCTGGAGTACAGTGGTGTGATCATAGCTCACTGCAGCCTTGAATTCCTGCACTCAAGTGATTCTCCTGCCTCACTTCCTGAGTAGCTGGAACTACAGGCACGCGCCAGCATGTCTGGCTAATTTTTTGATGTTTTCTTTGTAGAGCTGGTCTCACTATGTTGCCCAGGCTGATCTCAAACTCCTGGACTCAAGCGATCCTCCTGTCTCAGTCTCCTAAAGTGCTGGGATTACAGGTGTCAGCCACTGTGCCCAACCTGTTGGTCTTTTTAAATTAGGAAATTCATGTTTTCCAATTCTAGGAAATTCTATGAATTATTTCTTTAATTCTTTCATCCCTTATTTTTTCTCTGTTCTCTATTTCTAGGAGGTTTTTTGTTTGTTGGTTGGTTTTTTTTTTTTTTTTTTTTTTTTTGATGGAGTCGTGCTCTGTGAACAGGCTGGAGTGCAGTGGCATGATCTCGGCTCAGTGCAACCTCTGCCTTCCGGGTTCAAGCAATTCTCCTGTCTCAGCTTCCTGAGTAGCTGGGGTACAGGTGCATGCCATGATGCCCTGGAAATTTTTTTGTATTTTTAGACGGGGTTTCACCATATTGGTCAGGCTGGTCTCGAGCTCCTGACCTCAGGTGATCTGCCCGCCTCAGCCTCACATATTTCTAGAAGTTTTATTATTCAAATGATATGCCTTATAGACTGGGTCCTAATTTTCTTATTTATTATTGCCTATTTTTCATCTCTGTCTTTTTGCTCTGCTTTCTGGGCATTTTCTATAATTGTATGACCTCATCCTTCTTGAGTTTTTCCTTCCTGCGTTTTAAATATTTAATTTCCCGGAGTTCCTTTTGTCACTCGAATATCCTTCTTTCAGTATGCACGCATCCCACTTTTTATTTTATGGATGCGATATTTTCTTTTTCTTTATGTTGATATAAATGATAGGGTTTTTTTTTTTACGTTTCCTGCACATTGTCCATTTCAACCAAATTACATTGCTCTTCTTTTAATCCTTTATACTGGATGTTTGCCTCATGTTTTGTGATCCTGGGCTGTGTGTGTGTCTGTGTGTGAGTGTGTGCGTGTGAGTGAAGCACTAGAAAGCTGATCTGAGATTCTATGGGTGGAACCTATCAACTATGGCTTCTGAACGGTGAATTGCTTGGACAGTTTTCCTTAGGGAACTCTCACTGTCACTATTCTTTGTGTCTTTCTTCTTGGTGATGATCAGATTCCTCAAGAAGATAACTTCCAATCTCCTTTCTTGAGGGGTACCTGGCAGCCAAAACTCTAATTACCAAGTTGTGGGGAAGAAGGCTGTGGGTCTCAATAATCAATGTGTAACATTTCACTTAATCCCCCTGCTTTTGGTTTTTACCCTTAATCATGCCTGATAGTTTCTTATCCTCACTTTATTTTACACTCTTCTAGATCAAAGCACTCAGTCTTTCAGGGCTGTAGAGAAACAGCGTCCTGATTGCTTGGTGTAGGAAAGATCTGAGGGTGCTAATTTGTAAATAGGCTTTCAACCAGTCCTCTTTTTTCAGCTCTTTGTCTACTTCCTTTCCATAGGAAGATTGAATTCCATCAATTCTTATGCCTTTGGAGGTTCTTGATGTGACGTAAGTGCAGCTGCGTCTCTGATTTTCCCACTGACAGTTTAAAGCATCTGTTTTCTCAAGTGTGTTTTGGGAGTTTTCACTTGTCTGCCTCCTTTTTTGACACCAAGTACTGTTGACTTTTCATCTTCCCTATTTGTCCTTGTGAGTTATGGCTTTATTATTTATCTGTTTTATTGAGGAATCACATAAAATGCATATAGTACCCTGATCTTAAATGTATAGTTTAATGATTTTTATGTATATATACAGTAGTCCCCCCTAACCCCTTATCCAAGGGAGATAAGTTGCAAGACCCCTAGTGGATGCCTGAAACCATGGATAGTGTGGCACCCAATTGCTTTCAATTGGAACATGTTTCTGTTCATATCTCAGCCTTTTCCATCTTAACTAAACACTTGTCACATGCTTTGACCATAAGTTTTGCAGTTTGAGGGACAACAGCAAAACTGGCACTAATTTCTTTTTCCTTCTTCACAATTTCAGGAATAGAAAATATGTTATTAATGGTAGATCTTAGCAACCTCAGCATATGATTTTTTTTCTTGTTAAGTTGAAAACTTTAACCTTTTCACTTGAAGGAAGCACTTCACAGCTTTTCAGTGTATCAAAATTGCCAGCATCACTACTGTTGCACTTTGGGGCCATTATTAAGTAAAAAGAATTAGTTGAATCCAACCACCACAATATCGGAACAGTTGATCTGATAACCAAGATGGCTACTGTATTAGTCCGTTTTCACACTGCTGTAAAGAACTGCCCAAGACTGGGTACTTTATAAAGAAAAGAGGTTTAATTGACTCAGTTCTGCGTGGCTGGGGAGGCCTCAGGAAACTTACAGTCATGGCGGAAGATGAAGGGGAAGCAAAGACCTTCTTCACATGATGGCAGGAAAGAGAGAGCTAGCAAAAGCTGGAAAAACTGCCTTATAAAACCATCAGATGTTGTGAGAACTCACTATCAGGAGAACAGCATGGGGCAAACTGCCCCCATGATCCAGTCATCTCCCACGGGGTCCCTCTCTTGACACCTGGGGATTATGGGTATTACAGTTCAAGGTGAGATCTGGGTGGGGACATCGCCAAACCATATCAGCTACTAAGTGATCATGGGAGGGGAGCATAGACAGCATGGATGCCCTGGACAAAAGGATGATTCATGCCCCAGGGGGCACAGAGAGAGACAAGAGGAGATTTAATCATGATACTGAGAATGTGCAATTTAAAATTTATGAATTATTTATCTCTGTAATTTTCCATTTAATATTAATATTTTCAGATCATAGTTGACTGCAGGTAACTGAAACCACAGAAAATGAAACTATACATAAGTGGGGACCACTGTACACCCTTGTAGTCATCACTCAGATCAACAAGAGAACATTTCCAAAGGCCATGAGATTCCCTCCTGTACCTGTGAAGTCTGTAGCCTCTACCTATAAGCACTATTTTGATTTATGTCATATCATAGACCAGTTTTTCCCATTTAATTCATTCATGTAGAATCATAGTATGTGGTCTCAATATGAAGTCTTTTGTATTTGGCTTTTCCTCAAAGAATTGGTGAGATTCATTGATGTTGCAGGCAATCAGGTTTAAAATTTTTTTTCTGTGTATTATTGCATTGTATGAATGAGTGAGCATTTGGGTTGTTTTAAGGATTTGCTTTTTGTGAATATAGTTGCTGTGAATATTGCCATACATGTTTTTGGCATGCACATGCATCCATTTCTCTTGGTTATATACCTGCAAGTGGAATTGTTGGGTCATTGAGTGGGTGTTTAGCTTTAGTAGAAACTGCCGGTTTTCCAAAATGTTGTATCATTTTTCAGCTTTCACCAGCAAGGTAGAAGAGTTCCACTTGTCTTCACTTAGCACTAATCAGTCTTTTAAATTTTAGCCATCTGTTAAGTGCCTAGTTGGTATCACTCGATTTTAGTTTCACTTTTCTGAGGGAATAGTATGTTGAACACCTTTTCAGATGCTTTTTAAAGATTTTCTTCTGTGAAGTGCCTATTCATGTATTTTTCTCACTAAGAAAAATGGTTGTTCCTTTTTCATAATCTTTCCAGAGTCATCTTAGTGGGATTTGGGGAAGCAACAGGGCTGTGTGGGGTAACCTGCCACCTTTAAGTGGAAATCAGGTAACAAAGTTTCATTCACTTTTTTTTTCTCATTTCTGTTTTCCCCAGTCTATGATTCAATTCATTTTTTATTGGCTGGATATAATCTGGATTTATATTATAATGAATTTTAGAATGAGACTCTTGTTTCAACCATAAGGATGTATGATAGGAAACTATTATAAGAAACCAGAACAAGAAAATTATTTAATAGATGTATTCTGATTTATTCTCTTATGTTTTTAAATTAAGATATTTTGGACCAAGAGTTTTCATTTATTTATCCATTCATCAAATACATGTTAAGTGCTTTCTTTATGACAGACCTAATAGTAGGCTTAAAGGATAGTATAATAGTGAACAAAACAGAGATAAGCGAGGCACTTGTCCTCTTAAAATATATTCAGGTAGGAGATACGAATCATAAGTAAACAATAGCTAAGCAAGATAATTAAATATGTCTCCAATTTTGCAGAAATGGAGCAAGAGCCACAAAATGGAGAACCTGCTGAAATTAAGATCATCAGAGAAGCATATAAGAAGGCCTTTTTATTTGTTAACAAAGGTCTGAATACAGATGAATTAGGTCAGAAGGAAGAAGCAAAGAACTACTATAAGCAAGGAATAGGACACCTGCTCAGAGGGATCAGCATTTCATCAAAAGAGTCTGAACACACAGGTCCTGGGTGGGAATCTGCTAGACAGATGCAACAGAAAATGAAAGAAACTCTACAGAATGTACGCACCAGGCTGGAAATTCTAGAGAAGGGTCTTGCCACTTCTCTGCAGAATGATCTTCAGGAGGTGCCCAAGTTATATCCAGAATTTCCACCTAAAGACATGTGTGAAAAATTACCAGAGCCTCAGTCTTTTAGTTCAGCTCCTCAGCATGCTGAAGTAAATGGAAACACCTCAACTCCAAGTGCAGGGGCAGTTGCTGCACCTGCTTCTCTGTCTTTACCATCACAAAGTTGTCCAGCAGAAGCTCCTCCTGCTTATACTCCTCAAGCTGCTGAAGGTCACTACACTGTATCCTATGGAACAGATTCTGGGGAGTTTTCATCAGTTGGAGAGGAGTTTTATAGGAATCATTCTCAGCCACCGCCTCTTGAGACCTTAGGGCTGGATGCAGATGAATTGATTTTGATACCAAATGGAGTACAGATTTTTTTTGTAAATCCTGCAGGGGAGGTTAGTGCACCTTCGTATCCTGGGTACCTTCGAATTGTGAGGTTTTTGGATAATTCTCTCGATACGGTTCTAAACCGTCCTCCCGGGTTTCTTCAGGTAAGCGAAAGAAAAATGAAAGCATAATTTGAAATACGTGTAGACTACATCATTTTTATTTGTTAATGTTTATGTGTCCAGTATAAGTGCAAAAAGATAACGACAAATTCTACTTTGTTTTTAAATATATTCCATGAAATTATGAGCCTTGAACATGTTTGTGTTTGTCTTTTTCTTTTTTTAAAAAAGATATATTAATAGTTTTATTTTGGTATTAAGTTTGTGATGATAAAACTTGAGAAGAGTGGTCATCCTTACATTTTTAATTCTTTATCTGAAGAAGAAATCTAATAAGTTTAATTTCGAAAGGGATTTATGTAATTCCTGTGGATGTATAGCTGTAAATATTCACAAATGTTGTCAAGACTCAGCTGAGGGTCTGAACTGGGAGAGACCGAGCCCATGGTCCAGAACAGTTGTTCTCAACCCAGGGTAGTTTTGCCTCCCCAGAGAACATTTGACAATGTCTGGAGGCATTTTTGGTTGTCATACTGGAAGTTGATTGCTACTGGCATAGTGGATAGAGGCCACGGATGCTGCCACACATTTTCACAGGACAGCCCTCATGAACAAAAAAAAATTATCCTGCCCAAAATCTCAACTATGCCAAGGTTGAGAGACCTTGGTTTAGAAGTCGAGACTGTGGTGATAATTTAAGATGTAATTCCAACAGTCCAAGCAGAGAAATTTACCAGAATGCACTTGGTCTAAGAGTAAAGAGTGCTACATAAAGATTGATGTCAGGGCATTGCTGTGGATTTAGTGAGGTACTCTGAAGAGAGTGGTCCAGTGACAGTCTCGTTTTAAAAGATTGGATGTAGGTATAGGAAGATGAGTTCTTGAAATGAGGACTCAGTATACGTTGAATATAACAAAGGAGTTTGCATTGAAGAAAGATCACTATTTAAGCAAAACAGATGTTTTGTCCACAGTCCAAATAATGTGGTTTAGTAATAGCACAGCTTATCTCTATTCATTTTCTCTTTTGGTATTCTCTCCTGTTGATTCTTATGTAGTTTTTATATGAAGTCAACTTGAAAGTTGTTTAAAGACAATTCGAGGCTTGCTAGGGATGTGTGAGGGAGATACTTTGAGGGCATTATTGAAAGGAAATATTTGATACTGGACAGAAAGAATATTGTGAATCCTGTAGATTATTTTAAGGAAGGAGCCTTAAGGTTACAAAGAGTAGGCTTATTGATTGGGGTTTGTAGTGGCGGGTGATAAAAGCTATAACAGTTTCTACTAATAGTGTTGCACTGTAATGATGGAATAAAAAATCTTTGGGTCCTTAGCAACTGGAGATGGGGTAGTGAATGGCAGAAATACTGTACCGTGGTTACATTCACTCATCCATTGAAATGACTTGTACTTTAATACAAATTTGTCCTTAGTGCATTTAATTTTGTTTTTAATCTTTCTCATGTGTATTTTTTGTCCTAAACGAAAAGTAAAATTGCACCCAAAATTTAATTTGAGTCTCTTTAAGAGGTTCTCATTTGCTTGTATTCAGGTATTTGTAGCAGAGTGTCCTTAAAAGGAGTTAACATATGTGTTTACTGAATGTTTTTATCCAAAAAAAAAAAAAAAATACAATAATAATCCAACTAAATACTAGAAGTTAGATATTTCCTGTGCTAAAAATCACTGTTAAAATCACTATTGGTCTAAATAGGAAATTAAGTTTTTTTGGTTTTAGGTAGATAGAATTCTGGAACTTCAAAAAAAGATTTTTCTTTTGGTTTTAGTTTTAATACCAAATACTTTTTAAACCTGTTAAATCTATAATTACAGAAATTGGACATGAGATTGCCCTCTGAAAATGAAACTGGGAAAAATCAGCCTATGGTGGATGACTCACTTATCTGTAATATCCTGTCCTAGGAAAGGTCTATAAAGTGTTGGTTTTTTTAAAGACAATTTGGTGATATTGCAGTTCAATTAAGGTGACCAGGATATAGATAATCTGAAAGAAACCATGGAATAGTTTAAAAAAAAGAAAAAAAAAAGAAAAACCTTTCCTAAGTTTTATTTTAGAATAACTTTTACAATTTTTTTGTCAACTCTATACCACTGCTATTACTTGCTTTATATTTTTACTAAATTGTCCCACTTGTCAGTTTTATCTTAATAATAACTGAAATTAAGGGAAATATGTATTTTTCTCATACATATTAAAATAAATAACTACTCAAATGTTAAAAGTTTGTGGGTAAGACTGTTTTGATGTTGAGCACAGTTATATTTTGGTTTCTCAAAGAATGTATTGCATTAGAAATAAATTAGGCAGCCAGGATGTGAGCTTATGTCTGTGTATGTACTGGCAAGCCGACCTCCGCAGATGACATTGCAGGAGAGCTTTTGTTATTTTGCTTTTAATTTCACAATAGATAGATAATCCATAAACATTAACTTAATCTATTCTGTTATGTCAGGTTCTCTTGGGTTTAGTACAAAAAATTATTCCATGTTGTGAGTGAGTGCTGAATTTCTTATTTATTCATTTATTTTTTCTTTGAGACAGAGTCTTGCTGTGTTGCCCAGGCTGGAGTGCAGTGGCACAATCTTGGCTCACTGCAACTTCCACCTCCCAGGTTCAGGTGATTCCCCTGCCTCAGCCTCCCAAGGAGCTGGAGCTAGGATTACAGGCATGCACTACCACCCCCAGCTAATTTTTGTAGTTTTAGTAGAGATGGGGGTTTCACCATGTTGTCCAGGCAGGTCTTGAACTCCTGACCTCAAATAATCCCCCCACCTCTCCTTGGCCTCCCAGAGTGTTGGGATTATAGGTGTGAGCCACTGTGCCCGGCCTGTGAGTGCTGGGTTTCTAATTAAAATACTTGTTCAGCTTCTCTGGTCCAGACTATATGTGTTAAAATCCAAGCTCCACTTTTTAGTTGTTGGTTCTGGGCGACTTAATTGACCTCTCTGTGCCTCAATTTTCTTGTACATAAAATGACAATAATAGTAACTGATTTCATAGGATTGTTAGGAGGATTAAATCAGTAAATACTATTATTTCAGTAAATATTTCAAGTAAATAATATCTGAAAATAGTTTATTTACCACAAAAGGAATATCTGATTTCAATAACGAAAACCTTAATTTACTTTGATTATTATTTATTTAAAGCTGGAGTCATTATTGGTTAACACTAGGCTAGTTAAGGCCATCAGCTTTAAGATTGTATAATTAGTGGAGCCATGGCACATTTAGCACAGTCCTTATTGCAGAAAGATCAGACTAGCAAATGATTAATTTTCTTGGGGATTTGTTGATGTTGATGTTTCTTAAAGCCTTTTAAAATATGTTTCCAACTTTGAAGTGTTTATTTTCTAGTATAACAATTTTATTAAAACATAAATGAAAATCTAGTTTCATTTATTTATATGTATATTTTTTTTCTTCTAATGAATCCTTTCAGGTTTGTGACTGGTTATATCCTCTAGTTCCTGATAGATCTCCGGTTCTGAAATGTACTGCGGGAGCCTACATGTTTCCTGATACAATGCTACAAGCAGCAGGATGCTTTGTGGGGGTCGTCCTGTCCTCTGAGTTACCAGAGGATGATAGAGAGCTCTTTGAGGATCTGTTAAGGCAAATGTCTGACCTTCGGCTCCAGGTAACTTGTGTGATCATCTTTAGGGTGAAAAAAATCTACTTTAACATAAGCACTTCAGCTTTTAGAGAAATTGTAATAACCTCTACTGTAATCAAGGTTAGGAG
The DNA here is from genome assembly GCF_000001405.40 of Homo sapiens. Lineage (NCBI taxonomy): Eukaryota > Metazoa > Chordata > Mammalia > Primates > Hominidae > Homo > Homo sapiens. The sequence continues at coordinate 36,331,294 of NC_000013.11, read as the reverse complement.
ACTGACAGTTCACCATTTGTTTGTGTGTTCACAACTACATGCTTGGAATTTGCTGTAATAGTGGTTAAGATTGTGAGCTCTAGAGTCAAATTGCCTGTATATGAATTCAAACTCTTCCACTTAATGACCGTTTAGCTCAGCTGTTCCTGATCTTCTCTATACTTTAATTTACTTATAAAATGGGGATAATAACAGTGTCCACTTCATTGGGCTGTGGTGAAAATTAAAAATTAATACATTAAGCACTTATATCAGAACGAGTAGTTATGCTCTGTGAATGTTAGCTATTGTTTTCACCACTGTTTTATTGCTCAGCTGGAAAAGTGTACTAATGGGTCTAAATGGTGACATGAAGATAATTTTAGCTTTAGTAGATAGGTTATGTTGGACATTTTAAGGGGTATGGTTGGCATTCTGAGGAAGAAACAGGCTTTGGTTGAGATAATTATCTTTGTTCTTGTGGTAAATGAAGGCCAAATAAAAAAATAAAAAGAAAATATGATTTAAAATATGATCATCCTGGAACTTTCCTTATTTGGCATGTTTCCTCTGCCCACATGCGTACCTGTAGAAATAGAGTATTTCTGTTTAACAGGGAACTTGAATAGAGTATTATGGAGAGACTTTCTTTATATATTGTTGTAGCAAGAGGGAAAAAGTATTTTTGATTATGAATATTGACAGTCATCAGGGGTTGAATGAGGTGGGCATTATAATAGTATAATCTTTTATTCTCTCCTTCAATCAGCAGATACTTGGAATTCATTATTTAACCAGTTACTGTGTTAAGTGATGGGATGGGCAAAGTATGAGAACAGGAGACCACGAAGGTGTGGGGGATGTGTGTGTGTGTGTGTGTGTGTGTATGAAAATATAAAATCAGCCCCTGTTCACCCGAGAATGACCTACCTGGTGGTCAACAAACCAATACTTTAGCATAGCAGCAATTATTTAACAAAATACATGATCAGCATACAGAAGTGTGTAGCCTCATTGTACTTGTGAGGAGGAATTCACAAAGGCAGGAATATGGTCAAATGAAGGAGTTCATCTTCACTTCACTGTTTACTGAGTGAAATGATGCTCTTAAGTATTCACAGACCTAATGTGGAACTATTTCTCCCTTCACCCCTACGTTAACTGGACCTGTATTACTGGGCTTTAGGAAAGAAACTAAGCAGACTTTTAGGTTGTATGTTTATTTTCTGTCTTCAATTTAATTTTTTGGTATTTGTATGTTATTTTTAGCTTGCTTTACTGTCCCAGAACTTCAACTGTAAACATAAGCTAGTTACTAGCTATAATTTTGACTGGTTTTTACTCTTAAGCATTCATTCAGCAAAGTGTATATTGTGCAGAAAATTAAAAAATAAACCTTCCAATAATGCATAATGAAATGGACATGAGTTTTGTTAATTGCCTTTAAATTCACTTTCTCTTGTACATGTTAACTAAAATTTATTCATTAATTAAATTTAAATGTAGCTGCATCTGATTCAAAGATAACTTATACCAACAACTGCTATAAGTTGTCTTTTACACGTTGTCTTTTGAAACTTACTTAGGCATATGCTATGAACCAAAGAACTCAGAGGTTTGGGGTTTGGTGATGAAACAAAAGAGAATCGTAGAGAAAAAAGCAAAAGTAGTTGTTACTGATAGACTGCCAAACTGACATTCAAACAAGTATGTCATTTGAGCATGGTGTAATATAGCTGGCAGAAAGCCATCTAAGAAAAATTCTGATTAGAGTTAAGCTTAAACCTTTATTCTCTAGGCCAACTGGAACAGAGCAGAAGAAGAAAATGAATTCCAAATCCCTGGAAGAACTAGACCCTCCTCTGACCAACTAAAAGAAGCCTCTGGCACTGATGTGAAACAGTTGGACCAAGGCAATAAGGATGTACGTCATAAAGGAAAACGTGGAAAAAGGGTAAATAAAAGAGTAATAAGTGTGTGTGTTGTCTTCTAATGGTACCTTTCTCCAGTTTCATGTATTTATATGATCATATTCCCATATACTAAAGCAAAGCAACTTGTGCATTAGTCAACAAAGTGATCACTGGCAAAAACAATTAGAATCAGTTGTAGTATTTCCCTTTTAAAGTGTGTGTTACTTAAACTATTTTAAAAGATACTCTGTGTTTGGGGGATAGATTTTTTTCCCAACTGTTTGAGAGATTTTATTTTTTTTGAGACAGGATCCTGCCTTGTCACCCAGGCTGGAGTGCAGTGGTGCAAACATGGCTCACTGCAGCCTTGACCTCCCAGGCTCATGTGATCCTCCTGCCTCACGCTCCACGAGTAGCCAGCATTACAGACATGAGCCACCATACCTGGCCAAGATATTTTTATATTTGCATTAGTGATGCACATACTTTCTTATTTGTTTTGTGTTATTCTCTGCCTTCCTATATTCACTAAGAGCTTGGGGGCTAGATATGCTACTGTCTTTTTTTTTCTTACACTGCCATTTTTATTCAGTTTCCTGTTTTTTTATGGATGGGCAACAGGACAGAGATTTGATTTAAAAAAATATACTGAGTGGTTTCTTCTTTCATTTCATAGGCTCTGAGTATGTAATATATTCTAACTGGTAAATTTGGATTAGAGTTCAGGAAATATTTATTGAGAGCTAGAATGTTAGGTCTACATAGTGGAAAAAGTTTAAATTTCTTGTCTCAATGAATTTACTGTCTAATGGAAAGAACAGATTAGCAAAGAGATCATTTCTATCCAATGTGGCTATTAGATAGAAGATGCAGCCTAGCCTAACAGATAAGTGTGGGTGGATGAGTGGTATGGGAAGCAGTGAGGAGCCCCCTCCTACAGGACATTATAACTAAAATGAGTCTTGAAGGATAAAGAAGAGTTGGCCTTATGAATAGCAAATTTAAGGGGATTCTAGGCAGAAGTGGTAATATAAGCAAGTATATGAATAAAACAGCATTGTCTTGAGTATCATAGGCAGTTTAGTATTGTTCATTGCTATATTCCACATGGTAAATGCTCAATAATTATCTTTGGAATTGATGAATATCACGTGAATATTCTACATTTATTTGCAAAGTGTCACTGTGGTTTATGTTGAACATCTTAGACCAGCTATATGAGGATACTGGAAGTCCAAAATGGTTCCAAGATATATATTTTACTTAAAAATGTTGTTTTAAAATTAATCACAAGAAACCAAAGTTGAAGGGTACAAAAGAGTATATGGTAAAAAATAAGTCTGGGCCCTATTCCTGTCCACATAATTATGTGTCCAGACACATAATCTTCCCCTGTCTCCTCACCCCTGCAGATGGAGTCTCACTCTGTCGCCCAGGCTGGAGTGCAGTGGTGCGATCTCAGCTGACTGCAACCTCCGCCTCCCGGGTTCAAGCAATTCTCGTGTCTCAACCTCCCGAGCAGCTGGGATTACAGGTGCCTGCCACCATGCCCGGCTAATGTTTGTATTTTTAGTAGAGATGGGGTTTCAGTTTCACCATGTTGGCCAGGCTAATCTCGAACTCCTGACTTCAGGTGATCCACCCACCTTGGCCTCCCAAAGTGCTGGGATTACAGGCATGAGCCAGCATGCCTGCCCTCAGACACATAATTATTAACTTCTGTTGTCCTTCTAGATATATTTTATGCGTAGTTAAATACACACACACAGAGACATATATAATATTTAACATAAATGGTGGCATGTAAAACATAATGTTTTGTTCCTTGCTTTTTTACTTAACAGTATATTTGGAAATTCTTCCATATCATTTAGAACTTTGTGTTTTAAAATTTAATTTCTTGTTCTAAAAAAATCAAATGATATTAAAAAGTATATGCAGTGAAAAGCTTTAGATTTTACTTATGGGTGACTTTTATCCCATGTAGAAGTTGTTTTGTTTAATGTTGTTTTTATATTTTATGTGACATTCTTTGTGTTACTGGCCACTTTGATTTTCAAGTTATTTTATTATATTAATACTATGAGGTCTGAGTTAGCCTGCATCTTATTTCTTAGAATGAGTTCATTTAGCTTTAAGAGTTTGGGTGTTGGCCCAGGCTCTCATCACAGCTGTTCAGTTAGCAAAGTATAGATATATGTTCTCCATTTCCTCTTAAATGGAATAGCAGATTATTCTGTGTTTATATATTCCTTCTTGTTTCAAATTAGACATTTGTTTGATCTCTGTCAAAACCAGTTTATGAATTCATCTTTGCTTACTGATTGAGTCATTTAACAAAAATCTTTTAATCTTACTGAGTACCATGTGCACACTAATATCTAGGGATGATATCTGTTTGAAGGAAATCAGTCTAGTCCAGAAAAGAAAAAAGTCAATTTAAATGATTTGTTAAATGCCATATTGGACTTATATTGGTATTTAAATCTTACCAGTCAAGATTTATATGGACCAGAACAGTTTTCAACTTCATGGCAGTTCTGGTATTGTACTTTATAAGACCATACTGGTAACTAGGTTGGCTGGAGATATTTTTCATTAATTTTATCTAGTATTTGTTGGCTTCATATTTGTTATATAATGCTTACAGTTTTCCCCCTCTTAGTACTAACTCTTCACATTTTGAAACATTTTTACTGTTTAGGCTAAAGATACTTCAAGTGAAGAAGTTAACCTGAGTCACATTGTACCATGTGAGCCAGTTCCAGAAGAAAAGCCAAAAGAATTACCTGAATGGAGTGAAAAAGTGGCTCACAACATTTTGTCAGGTATTACAGTAATGTTAATTTTTTTCCCTGTATGACATTAAGCCTTTGGAACCAAATAAAGATATTGTTTATTAGGGAATACTGAGAAAGATAATATTTTGTATTTTGGTTTTAAATGATCAATTTAGAAATAAATGTAGAAGGAACTAGTCTTTTGAAACATCAGATATTGTCATATAAGTATAAATTCTTCCTGGCCTATTATTCTGTTCTACTATTGGGAAAATGGATAGTGAAAAGCTTCAGGAATCTTCAAATTCTTAATAGTTCTGAATCTAAAATTAGTTATGTTCGTTTCCCCTTTGAAGCTCCCTCTTAACCTCCCCCTACCCCTGTCCCTCAGCTGTGGTCTGAATGTGTCCCTTCAAAATTCATATATTGAAATCCTAACCCCTGAGGTGATGGTTTTAGGAGGTGGGGCCTTTGGAAGGTGATTAGGTCATGAGGGAGGAGCCCTCATCAATGGGATTAGTCCCTTATAAAAGAGATCCCAAAGAGCTGCCTTGTCCCTTTCACTATGTGAGGAAGCAGTAAGAAGGTGTCATTCTATGAACCAGGAAGTGGGCCCCTCACCAGAGACCAAATGTACCAGCACCTTAGTCTTGTACTTCCCAGCCTCTAGAATTGTGAGAAATAAATTTTTGTTGTTAATAAGCTACTAGTTTATGATATTTTGTTATAGCAGCACAAATGGACTCAGATACCCACCCAAAAAATGAGACCATGTTCATCCATCTTTGGAAGCAAAGCAGCACTGTATAAACTATACAGCAATGCAGACATGAGAACATCTGAGGGTTATAGCCAAGCTCTTTGAGAAGTAGTCTCTGCTGTTTAATTATGGTTATAAAGGGCTTCAGATCAATTATTCTGAAGCCAGAATGATCATTAGTGACACATCTTTCTACTTTAATTGGTTAACATTTCACATAGCTTTTTAGCTGTAGTAACTCTCTGATTTATACCTTTTATTTTGTTTTTTAAAAAATATTGCCAGTCACCATTCAGTGTGTCAAATTCATAACCCCATTAAATGGGTCTTGACTCATTTAAACGACTGTCAATTCAGATTTCCATGTCCACTAAAATCCATTTTAAAAGATGTCTAAAGCAGAGGAAATCTTCAACATAAAAAACCAACAAGCTAAAATAATTAGCTTGCTAGGAACTAATAAAATACTTTTCCTAGTGCCAAAGAACTATGCTTGAGACAAGAAAAAAAGATAGAGCCAAATTTTAAAATGTAGTTGCGATAGTTAAAATTGACTTGAAAGAGATTTACAAAGAAACTGCAATGAAAAATCTTTTCACTTTTACTACCCTACCCCCCAACTTTATAGGCTGCTAAGCATTATTATTAGGAGGCCATCATTCAGAAAACTTGCTTGTTACCCCAACACACTAAATTCAAAGGTCGTTTTCCCAAGTTTTTGGAATTTATACTTGTCAGGCCTCTGAGCCCAAGCCAAGCCATCACATCCGCGGTGACTTGACGTATATGCCCAGATGGCCTGAAGTAACTGAAGAATCACAAAAGAAGTGAAAATGCCCTCCTCTGCCTTAACTGATGACATTCCACCACAAAAGAAGTGAAAATGGCTGGTCCTTGCCTTAAGTGATGACATTACCTTGTGAAAGTCCTTTTCCTGGCTCATCCTGGCTCAAAAAGCTCCCCCACTGAGCACCTTGCGACCCCCACTCCTGCCTGCCAGAGAACAAATCCCCTTTGACTGTAATTTTCCTTTATCTACCCAAATCCTATAAAACGGCCCCACCCTTATCTCCCTTCGCTGACTCTCTTTTCGGTCTCAGCCCGCTTGCACCCAGGTGAAATAAACAGCCTTGTTGCTCACACAAAGCCTGTTTGGTGGTCTCTTCACATGCACGCAAGTGAAAATACTGTTACAAGTTTGTTCCATTTACTACTGCTATGTAACAAACTGCCCCAAACCCAAAGGCACAAAACAACAAACATTTGTTTCTGTGGAATTCAGTGGGCCAGGTATTTGGAAAGGTCACAGCAGGAGTGGCTTATATCTCTTTCATGGTATCTAAGGGCTTCATCTGGGAAGACTCAAAGGCTAGCTAGTGACTTGACAATAAGCTGAAGACTGGAATCATTACTGACACCTCTGGCATCTAGGCTGGGAGAGGTCAAAGTCTAGGACTGCCAAATAGAGTGCCTACACATGGCCTCTTGTGGCTGGACTTCCACCTAGCATGGTGGCCTTAGGCTAGTCTGGCTTCTACCTAGTGACTTGGGGCTTCAAATGTGAATCATCCAGCAAACAGACAGAAGCTGCATTACCATTTCTGACATACTCTTGGAAATTTCCAACATCATTTGGAAATTTGTTGTTAAAAGCAAACAACAAGCCAGCCCAGATGCAAGGAATGTGACATAGACCCCACTTCCCTCTGGGAAGAATGTCAAGATCTTGTGGAAAGATTAACATTCAGAATAGCAGGCACTGTTTGTGGTCATCTTCAGAAATTTTTTCATCAGCTGCCACTAAATCTCAGGCCTCCTAGGTACTATAGATAGCACACCATGGTGCTACCGGAAGCAGTACAGCCAGTTAATCCTGGGAAGAGGTCTCTTTGTAGATTTCAAAAGAACTTTCAGCAGTGCATAATTTTAAAACAAGCAAAAACTGTGTTCTGGTAACACTCAGAGGACTTCTTTATTACTTAAGACCTCAGTTTCTTCGTGCCAGTACCTCTTTTCCTTTTTATTCTATACCTTCAGGGCTGGGGTTCTAGTAATGTCCTCATAGTTGGTAACTGTAAACTATTTAACTGCCTATCAGCGTATATGTCTCTTTATGAGCTTTTTAATAGGTAGAACGAGTAGTTCGTCAAATGTTTATGGTACAAGTAAAACAAAGGGGGGCAGAAAATTAATAAAGATTTACTCCAGGGAAAATTATCTGATCTATCAAGAGACTATTGTTACCTGACTGATTCAGTCTATGTACAAAATGAGTAACCAGGGATATAAATTGAGCTCATTCATCTTAGCCCATAATTGGTGCCTGTCCACTGTCAAAGAATAAGTAAAGATCACTAAAAGCTAGTCTGAGGTTCTCCTAATGTAAAAGGTAAAAAAAGTAAAACAACCATGCTGAAAGTTTACCTGTATAGGCTTGAGAAACCTAGACTTAACACTTTAAGAAGGCAGCGGCTATGCAGTATCAATCGAGTAGAGCCTAGTAAGCTAATTTGGAAGGAGGTAGAGGGTTGCTGACAATAAACTGATGGAGCCCACCTTTGGAGCAATCTACCTTCAACCATTCTGAAACACTTTAGTGGTTGTGAGATAGCAAAACATCATCAAGGGTATTTGAATGTCCCCTCTCAACTCCCTAGTCTTTCCCAATTTAATTTACAGATGGACTCTGGAATGCTAGGCAAACAGTTGACATGGAGTGAGACGGAATGATCACTTTCTGCCTACCTATTCCAACATATCATCCTAGGGTTGAGAGTGAGCAGAACGGAGGCAACTATGATGCCTCCCTAAGATTTCTCCAAGATTATGCATTTTTTGCTACCATTTTGTGCTTCTAGGCCCTAGCAAAAACTTTTCCATTTTGGTTAATTCAGTCTGTTAAAGAATAGACAAACAAGTCCTCCTATTCTTCAGTAGATTATTTCTGGGACTCCATTGGCCTAGTACAGTCTTCCAGCTGTCAGATCCACAAAGACCTTTATTCTGGCATAAATTATATAGAATGAACAAAACATCAAAGAGCAATCATATATTCAATTTATACTTTGATGGGTATAGGGTGGTTAAGTGCTAAGACAAATCATTTCTAGGTTTTTAGAGGACTACGTCAAACATAAGATACATGTCATATGATTGGAAATTCAGTAGTAGCCATGTGCTAGCCAATTTTCTGCCAATTTTCCCCCTCTCTTAGCCAGAAATAAAGACTATCAAAAGCTGAAAATAAAAAGATCAGTGATCAGTGTTTTAAACTCATATTTCTCATGATAAAAATTATTAAAACTTACCAGAAAAGTTGGGTTCTATATAATCTTAGGGTTCAGCTAGCTTTTTACCAGGAGAGAAAGCTGTGATTTGGGACTTCTGTGTTTTTGTGTTTTGTTTTGTTTTGTTTTGAGACAGAGTCTCGCTCTGTTACCCAAGTCGGAGTGCAGTGACGCTATCTCAGCTCACTGCAAACTCTGCCTTCAGGGTTTAAGTGACTCTCCTGCCTCAGCTTCCTGAGTAGCTGGGACTACAGGTGCACACCACCACACCCAGCTAATTTTTGTATTTTTAGTAAACACAAAGTTTCACCATATTGGCCAGGCTGGTCTCGAGCTTCTGACCTCAGGTGATCCGCCCAATTTGGCCTTCCAAAGTGCTGAGTTTCATGCACGTCCGTGTGAAGAGACCACCAAACGGGCTTTGTGTGAGCAACATGGCTGTTTATTTCACCTGGGTGCAGGTGGGCTGAGTCCGAAAAGAGAATCAGCAAAGGGAGATAAGGGTGGGGCCATTTTATAGGATTTGGGTAGGTAAAGGAAAATTACAGTCCAAGGGGGTTTGTTCTCTGGCGGGCAGGAGTGGGGGTCGCAAGGTGCTCAGTGGGGGTGCTTTTTGAGCCAGGATGAGCCAGGAAAAGGACTTTCACAAGGTAATGTCATCACTTAAGGCAAGGACCGGCCATTTACACTTCTTTTGTGGTGGAATGTCATCAGTTAAGGTGGGGCAGGGCATATTCACTTCTTTTGTGATTCTTCAGTTACTTCAGGCCATCTGGGCGTATATGTGCAAGTCACAGGGGACGCGATGGCTTGGCTTGGGCTCAGAGGCCTGACATTCCTGACTTCTTATATTAATAAGAAAAATAAAACAAAATAGTGTTGAAGTGTTGGGGCAGCAAAAATTTTTGGGGGGTGATATGGAGAGAGAATGGGCGATGTTTCTCAGGGCTGCTTCAAGCGGGATTAGGGGCGGCGTGGGAACCTAGAGTGGGAGAGATTAAGCTGAAGGGAGGTCTTGTGGTAAGGGGTGATATTGTGGGGTTGTTAGAAGAAACATTTGTCGTGTAGAATGATTGGTGATGGCCTAGATACGGTTTTGGATGAATTGAGAAACTAAATGGAATAACAGAAGGAGAAAAACAGGTATAAAAGGTCTAAGAATTGGGACGACTCAGGATATCTGATTAGAGAGCGCCTAAGGAGATTCAGCATAGTCCTGCCAGCAAAGATTATTTATTTACTTCAAGAGTTAAGAGTGGCAGTTTGGGGACAGCACCAGGAGATATCAGCTGTGATGGCTTGGAAAAACAGTGTAAACTGGCAGTGTAAACAAGAGCAGGGCATGTATGAGTAGTTGAGAACGGTGAATAGGAGTATGAGTAGACAGAAGATAGTAGGGATGACAGGTTTTCTGGGGCACAGTCTAAGTTGGTCTGGTGTCTCGAATGAGACTGGGGCCTAATAAGGAGCGTCTGTACGGGAGCTTAAATGGGCTGTACCCTGTAGCATTCCGAGGACAGGCCTGAATTCTGAGAAAGGAAAGTGGTAAAAGTATTGTCCAGTCCTTTTTAAGTTGGTGGCTGAGCTTGGTGAGGTGTGTTTTTAAAAGACCTTTAGTCTATTCTACTTTTCTTGAAGATGGAGGACCGTAAGGGATATAAAGGTTTCACTGAATACTAAGAGCCTGAAAAACTGCTGGCTGATTTGACTAATAAAGGCTTGTCTGTTGTCAGACTGTATTGAGGTGGGAAGGCTAAACTGAGGAATTATGTCTGACAGAAGGGAAGAAATGACTGCAGTGGCCTTCTCAGACCCTGTAGGAAAGGACTCTACCTATCCAGTGAAAGTGTCTACCTAGACTAAGAGGTATTTTAGTTATCTGACTCGGGGCATGTTGAGTAAAGCTAATTTGCCAGTCTTGGGTGGGAGCAAATCCTCGAGCTTGATGTGTAGGGAAGGGAGGGGGCCTGAATAATCCCTGAGGAGTAGTAGAATAGCAGATGTAACACTGAGAAGTTATTTCCTTGAGGATAGATTTCCACGATGGAAAGGAAATGAGAGGTTCTAAGAGGCAGGCTAGTGGCTTGTACTATAGCATAGCCTGCCTTTGCTGGTGTGTGGCGATTAGGCCTGGTGGAACTGCCATCAATAAATCAAGCGTGATCAGGGTAAGGAACAGGAAAGAAGGAAATTTGGGGAAATGGGGTGAATGTCAGGTGGATCAGAGAGATACAGTCATGGGGGTCAGGTGTGGTATCCAGAATAATGCGAGAGGCCGGATTGGAGTCTGGGCCAGGAACAACGGTAATTGTGGGAGACTCAACAAAGAGTGAGTACAGCTGAAGGCGCCGGGAAGCAGAAAGTATATGCGTCAGGTATGAGGAAGAAAATGGATTTTGGAAGTTATGAGAACTGTAGAGAGTGAGTTGAGCATAGTTTGTGATTTTGAGGGCCTCTAAAAGTATTAAAGCAGCAGCAGCCGCTGCACGCAGACATGAGGGCTAGGCTAAAACAGTAAGGTCAAGTTGTTTGGACAGAAGGGCTACAGGATGTGGTCCTGGCTCTTGTGTAAGAATTCTGACTGCGCTAACCGTGCTTAGGAAGGAAAGGAGTTGTTGTTTTGTAGAAGGTGCTTGGGTTTGAGAGATCAGTCAGACAGATTGGCAGGGAGAGCACGTGTGTTTTTATGAGAATTATGCCGAGATAGGTAACAGATGAGGAAGAAATTTGGGCTTGATTGAAGTAATGGGGGCTGTCTGAGAAGCTTTGTGGCAGTACAGCCTAGGTAATTTGCTGAGCTTGATGGGTGTCAGGGTCAGTCCAAGTGAAAGCGAAGAAAGGCTGGGATGAAGGGTGCAAAGGGATAGTAAAGAAAGCATGTTTGAGATCTAGAACAGAATAATGGGTTGTAGAGGCAGGTACTGAGGATATGAGAGTATATGGGTTTGGCACCATGGGGTGGAAAGGCAAAACAATTTGGTTGATAAGATGCAGATCCTGAACTAACTTGTAAGGCTTGTCTGGTTTCAGGACAGGTAAAATGGGGGAATTTTAAGGAGAGTTTATAGGCTTTAAAAGGCCATGCTGTAGCAGGCGAGTGATAACAGGCTTTAATCTTTTTAAAGCATGCTGCGGGATGGGATATTGGCGTTGAGTGGGGTAAGGGTGATTAGGTTTTAATGAGATGGTAAGGGGTGCATGATCGGTTGCCAAGAAGGGAGTAGAGGTATCTTATACTTGTGGGTTAAGGTGGGGGGATACAAGAGGGGGACGCAAAGGAGGCTTTGGATTGGGAAGAAGGGTGGCAATGAGATACAGCTGTAGTCCAGGAATAGTCAGGGAAGCAGATAATTTAGTTAGTGTCTCAGCCTAATAAGGGAACTGGGCAGGTGGGGATAACTAAAAAGGAGTGCTTAAAAGAGTATTGTCTAAGTTGGCACCAGAGTTGGGGAGTTTTAAGAGGTTTAGAAGCCTGGCCGTCAATACCCACAACAGTTATGGAGGCAAGGGAAACAGGCCCTTGAAAAGAGGGTAATGTGGAGTGGGTAGCCTCCGTATTGATTAAGAAGGGGACGGGCTTACCTTCCACTGTTAGAGTTACCTGAAGCTCAGCGTCCGTGATGGTCTAGGGGGCTTCCGAGGCGATCGGGCAGTGTCAGTCTTCAGCCGCTAAGCCGAGAAGATCTGGGAAGGAGTCAGTCAGAGAGCCTTGGGCCAGAGTTCCAGGGGCTCTGGGAGTGGCTGCCAGGTGAGTTGAACAGTCCGATTTTCAGTGGGGTCCCACACAGATGGGACGGGGCTTAGGAGGAATCCCGGGCTGCGGGCATTCCTTGGCCCAGTGGCCAGATTTCCGGCACGTGTAGCAAGCTCCTGTGGGAGGAGGTTCTGGAGGAACGCCTGGCCACTGCGGTTCAGGCGTTTGGAAGTTCTTGTGTGCTGGAGATGGGGCTGGGGTTTGTCTCACAGTGGAGGCAAGGAATTGCAACTTTTTTCTATTATTGTACACCTTGAAGGCGAGGTTAATTAAATCCTGTTGTGGGGTTTGAGGGCCAGAATTTAATTTTTGGAGTTATATTTAATGTCAGGAGCAGATTGGGTAATAAAATGTATTTTGAGAATAAGACGGCCTTTTGACCTTTTAGGGTCTAGGGCTGTAAAGTGTCTCAGGGTTGTTGCCAAACAAGTCATGAACTGGGCTGGATTTTTATATTTGATGAAAAAGAGCCTAAACGCTATCTGATTTGGGATAAAGAAAAATGAGCATTAACCTTGACTATGGCTTTAGCTCCAGCCACCTTTTTAAGAGTAAATTGCTGGGCAGGAGGGGGAGGGCTAGTCACAGAACTAAACTGTAAGCCAGACCAGGTGTGAGGAGGGGAGGTGATAAAAAGATTATAGGGTGGAGTAGCAGAGGCTGAGGAAGAATTGGGACCTAGCTCGGCCTGGCAGGGAGTAGCCTGGGGAGGAAGGGAGAGGTCAGATGGGTCTGTAGAAAAGGAAGATTAGAAAGACTCAGCGACGCTTGGTGTTGGGACTGAGGGGACAGGCGGGAGGGAAAGAAGGAAGATTTGGGACGAGTTGCACTGGGCACAGACTAGGAAGGGACTGATGTGTAAAAGAATGCCTGGACGTCAGGCACCTCAGACCATTTGCCTATTTTACAACAAGAATTATTTAGATCTTGTAGGATGGAAAAATTCAAAGTGCCATTTTCTGGCTATTTGGAACTACTGTAGAGTTTGTATTGGGGTCAAGTGGCATTGCAGAAGAAAATAAGACATTTAGGTTTTAGGTAAGGTGTGAGTTGAAGAGGTTTTAAGTTTTTGAGAACACAGGCCAAGGGAGTAGAAGGAGGAATGGAGGGTGGAAGGTTGCCTATAGTGAAGGAAGCAAGCCTAGAGAAAAGAGAGAGCAGAGAAACGGAGGGAAGGGGTTCGGGGTTCTTACCTTCCAGAAAAGGGGTTGGGGCGCAGAGATAAGAGGTCAGGGCGTGGAAATAAGGGATGGGGTGCAGAAATAAGGGGTCAGGGCATGGAAATAAGGGGTGGGGCACGGAAATAAGGGGTCGGGGCACGGAAATAAAGGATTGGGGCGCAGAGTTAAGTTAGGGCACAGAAATAAGGGATTGGGGCACAGAGATATAAGAGGTTGGGGCACGGAAATAAGGGATTGGGGCACAGAGATACGAGGTTGGGGTACTTGCCCCTCCTCTAGAAAAGCAGGACTTGCTGCTAAGAGTGAAGGAGAAGGGGTTGAGGGGTACTTGCCCCTCCCCCAGAAAAGCAGAGAAGGGGTAGAGACAAGGAGAGGAGGGGTTGGGGTACTTGCCCCTTCCCCAGAAAAGCGGGACTTGCCGCTAAGGGTGAAGGACCAAGGCAGGCATCCCTGCGTGGTCTAACACCTTTGAAACGTGGGTGAATAATCAGAGAGGCATCCCTGCAATGATTAAAGGTCAAGGGAAGGCTGCCTTCCCAGTCTGTGACTGGCACCGGAGTTTTGGGTCCACGGATAAAACGTGTCTCCTTTGTCTCTCCCAGAAAATGAAAGGAATTGAAATTAAGAGAAGGGAGAGATTGAAGTGTGGCACCAAGATTGAAAGGAGAAAGAGGTCGAGGGATAGTGAGGGAGGTTGGAGAAGAGAGTAAAAAGAGGCCGCTTACCGGATTTGAAATTGGTGAGATGTTTCTTGGGCTGGTCGGTCTTAGGACCTGAGGTTGTAGGTGGATCTTTCTCACGGAGCAAAGAACATGACAGGGGATTGATCTCCTAAGGGAGGTCCCCTGATCCGAGTCACGGCACCAAATTTCATGCGCGTCTGTGTGAAGAGACCACCAAACAGGCTTTGTGTGAGCAACAAGGCTGTTTATTTCACCTGGGTGCAGGCAGGCTGAGTCTGAAAAGAGTCAGCAAAGGGAGATAAGGGTGGGGCCGTTTTATAGGATTTGGGTAGGTAAAGGAAAATTACAGTCAAAGGGGGTTTGTTCTCTGTCAGGTAGGAGTGGGGGTCGCAAGGTGCTCAGTGGGGGTGCTTTTTGAGCCAGGATGAGCCAGGAAAAGGACTTTCACAAGGTAATGTCATCACTTAAGGCAAGGAGTGGCCATTTACACTTCTTTTGTGGTAGAATGTCATCAGTTAAGGTGGGGCAGGGCATATTCACTTTTGTGATTCTTCAGTTACTTCAGGCCATCTGGGCGTATATGTGCAAGTCACAGGGGATGCGATGGCTTGGCTTGGGCTCAGAGGCCTGACACTGTGATTACAGGCGTGAGCCACTGCACCTGGTCAGTGACTTCTGTTTTTAATAACAACTGTAAATGGTAGCTTTCTTTAGTTCAGTAAAAGTGGACAGTGTCCCACAAGCTGTAGTAGTTAGGTTTGAGTTAGGGAATTTTAATATCTGCCAATGTCTCATTTATTCAGCAAACGTTCATGGTCTGCCATATGGCAGCATTAATACAGTGCATAGGAGGCAAACATGAACAGAATCAATCTATATCTGGCATTGTACATGCCATTTAAAATATCTACATAGCTACCGATGAAATATTGCATTTCCTTATCTTCTGTTGCAGTGTTTACAGTTTTAACATATTTATGTATACTGTATACTTCCATGGTGATATGTGATTATTTGCATCTAATATTTCTCTTTATTAGTGCTGTGACTTTTTATCTCATTTCCATTTATTTTTCTCAGTCATCATTTGACTTCATCCCTGTTATTTCTTATAATTTCATTATAGGATTATAGTCTCCTTTGTTTCACTGTCATTTATTTTATGATTTCTCAGTCTTCATGTTCAGCTGGTTTCTTCTTAAAACTTTTCAACCTATAAGTTAATCTAAAAAGATAATTTTTTTAAATGGGCATCTTCAAGCCTTTTGTTGTTTATGGAAGCCTGTTTGCTTGGGTTTGAATCCTGCACTTCCCCAGAAGTTGATTGTCAGGTAGGACAGTGGGGGTAGGATTGGAGCTGGAGGTAGAGATGTTGACTAAAACAGGAAGAGAAACATAAAATTTCTAATTATTTATTACATGTCACTTTTCATTGTTAACATTTTAAAATAAACTGCTGTGGTTTTCACATGATTGCTGGATGCTTATTCATGGGCTGGAGTAATCATGTAAAACCATGCCACAGACCTTGAGAGAACATAATTAAGTATTTCATATGTTCAGCTTTGAAAGCTCATTGTTAAGTGTTAGCCAAAAAAGAAATATTTTAAATTGAAAGTCTCTGCAGAGTAGGGTAATACTTCTTCCATCTTAGGGGACACTGTTCTTACATGTTTTTTCTTTTCCCATCCCTCTCCCACTCCTTTCCCCACATTTCCACTGGCTGAGGACCTTTTGTCCTCACTAGAGAAGGCCCTTCCATCCCTCTGTTCCTCTGGTGAGCACTTCTGTCATTCAAGCTGCGAGAACATAAGCAAAGCAAAGCAAAGGGCTAGGGCCCACTGTCATGAGAAATGGCCAAATTATCTGGGCCTCACTCTTCTTCTTTTAGATTTTCTCTACTCATGCATTTGAGTGTTCTCATGTTTTTGTCATTCAGGTATGTGTAGCAAGCTAAACGGTGCTGAGATCCAAGAGTTTGGGTTTAGGATTCAGGAAGGAACAGGACCCCCTGACTAAAGCTTTTAGCCTAAAGAAAGTAAGAGTTCTGCCTTGGTGTTTGAGAGGCAGTTTCTTTGGTTTCCATTTTGTGATGTTTCTGTCTTTCTCCCTCAAGATTTCATGGGGAAAAGAGATGCCTGGCCTAAGGCAAAAAGAACAAGAATATCTGGGTTCTTTGGCCAAATTCTATCTTAATGGCACCAAAACTAAAAATTAATACCTAACAGTAATATACTGTGGTAAGTAACATATAGAGATACTGTTTGTGGTCATCTTCAGAAATTATCAGCTGCCACTAAATCTCAGGCCTTCTAGGTACTAGGTAGTGGCAGCATAGAGTAACGCAGAACTGTGTCACTAAGTATTCAGGAAGAAAACTGCAGGTATAAAGTTAGCTTGAAAGTTTATGACATGGCACATTTAGCATCTGAATATCAAACTCCTTTTATTTTTTTCTGGTTGATGTTATTTATTAAAGTGTTCAAAAGCATAATTAGCCCTAATATTGTGCAATTTTAAATTTTCTTTTAAAAAGGTGCTTCCTGGGTGAGTTGGGGTTTAGTCAAAGGTGCTGAGATTACTGGTAAGGCAATCCAGAAAGGTGCTTCTAAACTCCGAGAGCGGATTCAACCAGAAGAAAAACCCGTGGAAGTTAGTCCAGCTGTCACCAAGGGACTTTATATAGCGAAGCAAGCTACAGGAGGAGCAGCAAAAGTCAGTCAGTTCCTGGGTAAAGTAATTCTAGATAACTTTACTTTTTAAAGTTATATTTAAAATAATGTCTTAATCCAGGGTTAATCTGCATGTTCATTTAGATGGTTTAATCTCAAGAATAAAGAATTAGGACAAAGCAGTTTCTCTTTGTTATTCATAGTGAGACCTGCGGACCAGCAACATCACATCGTCCTATCTGGAATCCTTAGAAATGCAGAATTTTAGGGACAGACACACCTACTGATTCAGAATCTGCATTTTCACAAGATCCCTAGGTGATTCTTATTTGCACATTAAAGTTTGAGAAACTGGTTAAAGGGTTGTTCTGATGTGTTGGAGAGGAGAATGTGTGTATCTTTGAAAAAGAGTTCTGAATGTAAAGTCATGTATTGTTTAACGCAGGAGGTAAGTTCTAAGAAATGTGTCATTAGGTGATTTCATCATTGTGTGAACATCATAGCATGTACTCACACAAACCTAAACGTTGCCACTCCACACCTAGGCTATATGATATAGCCTATTGCTCCTAAGTACAAACCTATACACCATGTGACTGTACTGAATACTATAGGAAATTGTAACACAATGGTAAGTATTTGTGCATTTAAACACATCTAAACATAGAAAAGGTGCAGCAAGAATGCAGTATATAAAAGATAAAAAATGGCATAAAAACTGTAGAGAGCACTTACCAGAAGTGTCACTTGCAGGACTGGAAGTTGCTCTGAGTGAGTCACTGAGTGAGTGGTGAGTGAATGTGAAGGCCTAGGACATTACTATACACTATTGTAGACTTTTTAACACTGTACACTTGGGCCACACTAAATTTATTTTAAAAACAAAGTAATTGCACTATGATGTTATGGCGGCTGTGGTGTTACTAGGCAGTGGGACTTAATCAGCTCCATTATAATCTTATGGGACCATGAAATGTCTGAAATGACCAAACCATCATTATGCAGCATGACTGGATGTGAATCCTTGAGTCCTTCTAAGGGATATGACACATTCTTTCAAGGAGAGCAGTTTACTGCTTAGCAGTTGAGGGTCAAGAGGGAGGGATCTGTTGTTTGAGAAAAACTGACTTAGTGATTCTGGTGCCAACCTTCCCAAGCAATGTACTTCTAAATCCTTGCTCTTAGAGAATCACAGCACTGAAATTTGGTGTTTTGAGGTGGGTAGATAGGACCTTAATGGATTACCATTAAATTTAGTAAAATTATCTTTTTTGGTATTTAGTATTTTTTGAATCAGATTTTAGATTGTTTACTTTTATTCACCGAGATAACTGAGATATTTATCAGTAGAAAAATATGAATACGCTAAGCTGGAATAAGCTAAAAGTACCAACCAATCTTGCATTGCAACAGTCAGATAGAAAAGGTGGCTGGTTTTCTCAAGCAGAAGTGCAAGAGCATGTATATCTGAGAGGCAAGGTTATAAACATCAGTAGGCTCTGCAAGCACAGCTTTAAAGCAAACAAAAGCTTTCATTTAAAAAATAACCAGTCTATGCTTCATGCCTGTAGTCCCAGCTACTCAGGAGGCAGAGGCAGGAGGATCACTTGAGCCCAGGAGTACAAGTCAAGGCCAGCCTGGGCAACATAGTGAGACCTCCTCTCTAAGCTTCATATCCTTAAGAAGAAATTGTAACATTATATAGTAAAACAATTTAGATGTTCATTTAAGAATGTTGCAAGATGAGTGGTAAAAATCAAGGGAATAATATATTTTTCCTAAGTTTTCTTTTTTTATGGTCATATTAGTTGATGGAGTTTGCACTGTAGCAAATTGCGTTGGAAAAGAACTAGCTCCACATGTCAAGAAGCATGGAAGCAAACTTGTTCCAGAATCTCTTAAAAAAGACAAAGATGGGAAATCTCCTCTGGATGGTGCTATGGTTGTAGCAGCAAGTAGTGTTCAAGGTAACAAAGGGCCCAGAATTTTAACTATGAAGGTCCGTTTGCTTTGGACTAGATTTACATCGTTTTAAATATTATTTTTACAGGATTTTCAACTGTCTGGCAAGGATTGGAATGTGCAGCTAAATGCATCGTTAACAATGTTTCAGCAGAAACTGTACAAACTGTCAGATACAAGTAAGTTGAATTTTATTTTAATGACTAAATCTCTGTTTTGTTGTTGTTGTTGTTTTTCTGAGAGGGAGTTTCTCTTGTTGCCCAAGCTGGAGTGCAATGGCGCGATCTTAGGTCACTGCAACCTCCACCTCCCAGGTTCAGGCATTTCTCCTGCCTCAGCCTCCCGAGTAGCTGGGATTGCAGGCACACGCCACCATGCCCGGCTAATTTTTTTTTTTTAGTAGAAATGGGGTTTCACCACATTAGCCAGGCTGGTCTCGAACTCCTGACCTCAGGTGATCTGCCTGCCTCAGCCTCCCAAAGTGCTGGGATTACAGGCGTAAGCCACCATGCCTGGCGGACTAAATCTCTTGTAGCATTTGTAAAAACCCATGACGGTCAAGATATTTTTATTAAGTATCTGATAAAATAATTTTTTTCACTCACTGCTTTTCTTAAATAGGGAGAAGAATAGTATTTCTAGTATAATAACAGAATTCTTGTCACTTTGCTTTATGTTACTAATCATTATAAACATTTGTTCATCATTACTGTGAAGAATAAGGTTATTTTTTTTAAAAGCCTGGAATTTCTGTATACCTTATTAACTGACTACATGTTTTTGATGGGTGATATCTGCCTGAAAAAACTTGAATTATAATTAAACTCTTATACCCCATGTTAATATTAGCCCACTCGGTATACAGACTGTTAAAAATTATGTCACATCTTACTTGACTCTGATTACCACTGTACATTTGTATTGGAATGGGTAGATGGTATATCTTCAATTTCATATATTAAGAAATGGACAAACAGAAATGAATGATTTGCACAAACTCACCTGATTAGTGTTATGATTGCTTTCTTATTTGGCCTTAAGGTCTGTCTCTGGAGAGTGGCTATAAATTCTAATCCTGCTGTGTTGTGGCTCAAGAGGAAAAAATCTCGTGAATGTTTTCAGTGTGCGTTTCACAGGATACTTCTTTATCCTGGCACACCCATGACCAGGTGTCCCTCTCTCAGGGAACTTGTTTATGGCAGATGCCCTTGTGGCTCTTTTCTGACCTGTGTCCAGTTTATTCCTACTAAGATAGCTACTCTCTAGGAGACCCTGACTAGGAGGAGAGCAAGGTTTGGGTGTGTTGGTCAGGTGACACACAGAGAAGGCAGCACAACCAAACACACGAAATAACAGAAACTTTTTATTACTCACAGACCCTTGAGAGAAGAGCGGTATGCATGAGGGCCAACAGGAAGTCTGGAGATAGCAGAGTGCTCAACCAGTGGGTGGGGCGAGGGTGGGTGAACAAGGGAGCACGAGCAAGGGAGAGGTGATTTGTGTGACTGCCTTCACGAAAGTCTATGGGTGTTCTTCCTTTGGCTTTCCAGTGGGGCCTGTGGATTGACTAGTTTAAAGAAAACAAGTGTGAACAGGGGAACATTTACATGGCTCTAGTTTTACATGACTCTAGTGTTGACCATTGGATTTTCTCGTGGTCAGCAGCTGTGGGGGTGTGTTGGGTTTTGAGTCAGTGAGATGAGAAACAAGTATACTGTATTGCAGACAACCGCATGGGGGAGAGAGAAGTTTTAACTAGGCCAAAGGTGGTGGGATACAACTAGGTTTCAAGCAACTTATGTCAGGCCTAAAAATAAATGCTGAAGCAACAACTATATAACAAATTTATACAAGTGGTATTGAAGGTGAGAGTAAAGCAGGGTCTTCTGCTTTTAGCTCCTTATTCTTTCTACCTGACTCTACTTTCTTTATACAATACTAGAAGAATCAAGGTCTAAAAAATAAATCTAGTATGAAGGACCTGAGTTGCTTTCTTAGCCTTGAATTAGTTTGGATCTTACTATTTATTTAGAAAGAAAAAAGAAGAGCAATATTGATAGTATTCACAACTCGTGGTTATTTATGTTAATTATCCACTTATTGACAGCATTTAGTTGAGTTCATACTTTTGTATTAGGCACTGTGATCATTGCTTTTCCTACGTATTAATTAATTTTCAACACTGTTATCTCCATTTTGCAGATGAGGAAACCGAAATGTAAAGTTAAATACCTTGTTAAAGATTACTCTCCTAGTGAATAGTAGAGCTGGGATATAAACCAAGTGTTTCTGTCATCAGAACCTGTGCTCTACAGTGCTAATTTAATTTCCATCCTTAATTGGTTCGATCTGCTCCGTCTGGGGCATGAATACATTTGTTTGTTTGTTTTAAGATAGGAAGTAGGAATTGCTTTATTTTTACTTTTTTTATAATTTCAACTATTATTATAGATTAAAGGGTACATGTGCAGGCTTGTTACATAGAATTTGTTGTGTGATGCTGAGGTTTGGGGTACAAATGATCCCATCACTCAGGTAGTAAGCATAGTACCCAATAGATGGTCTTTTAGCTCACACTCCCCTCCTCCCTCCCCGGCCTAGTAATCCCCAGTGTCTATTGTTGTCATCTTTATGTCCATGAGTATCCAGTGTTTATTTCCCATTTATAAGTGAGAACATGTGGTTTTCTGTTCCTGCATTAATTCGCTTAGAATAATGGCCTCCAGCTGCATCCATGTTGCTGCAAAGGATATGATTTCATTTTTTTAGGGCTGTGTAGTATTCCATGGTGTATATATTAGCATGTTTTCTTTGTGCAGTCCACTGTTGATGGGTACCTAGGTTGATCCCATGTCTTTGCTGTTATGAATAGTGCAGTGAACATGTGAGTGAGTGCATGTGTCTTTTTGATAGAACAGTTTATTTTCTTTTGGGTATCAAATGGTAATTCCATTTTAAGTTTTTTGAGATATCTCCCAAAAGTGGCTGAACTAGTTTACATTCTGGGACATACATACCTTTGAATCAAATCAAAGCAATGTGGCATATCATTTTGGAGTGTCAGTTTTTTTTTTTTTTTTGAGACGGAGTTTCACTCTGTCACCCAGGCTGGAGTGCAGTGGCGCAATCTTGGCTCACTGCAACCTCCGCCTCCCAGGTTCACACCATTCTCCTGCCTCAGCCTCCCTAGTAGCTGGGACTACAGGTGTCCGCCACCATGACCGGCTAATTTTTTGTATGTTCAGTACAGACAGGGTTTCACTGTGTTAGCCAGGATGGTCTTGATCACCTGATTTCGTGATCTGCCCACCTCGGCCTCCCAAAGTTCTGGGATTACAGGCGTGAGCCACCACACCTGGCCAGAGTATCAGTTTTACCAAGAGTTGAGAGATAAAACATACAATAGATCTCAAATTCTTCTGATAGAAATATGAAACTCAAGTCTTCCAACTCACTTCTTGTCACCTGTGGCCTGAACTCTAATATTCATTCATTGTTTTATGACCCTGAGGTTACTTTGGATCAGTCATAATTAGAAAAATAGTTCTTTATTTGTAGCAAGAACAGGAGAAATTCAGAAATGCCTTTCAGGCCAAAAGTGAATTATTTTTAGATTATCATATTAGAAAATAGGAAGTGCTTTGTTGGGTTTTATGGCCTACTCTAATGAAAAAAAAAAAAAAAAACTTACCTAACTACAATTAGCTTATTAAAAGTTTGGGATTCACATAACTAGGAAATACTGGATTTTAATGTAGATTTTGTACTTCTGGTCCTTAATGAGAACTTAATATGATAAATAGCATATTTTTAACAGTGATTCTCAGCTCATTTATTTCTATTGTATTATTGCTATTCTTTTTATCCTTTCTTCCAAAGATTCATGGAATTTAAATAAAAACCAGGTAAGTGAGAATTTAGTTAAGTAGCTTTGTATTTCTAACTATGAGGATGATTCAGTCTTAGCAGTAATTTAGTTTCTGCTATTAGAAATTTAGAAGGATGGGAGAGGCAGTAGGGAATAAAAGATTTTATCTAAGTAATACTGTTTCTCACCTTTGGAGCTAATCTGGCCCAAAGTAGAAAATGTCTTTTAAGAGAAGAAACTAAAAGTATTGAACCAGTAATAACTTAGTGATAGAACTGAAGAAATGGAAAAGCTTGTTGTACCTTTGTTTAATTTTGTTCTTATTTGTTTACATACACTTAGGTTTATTTACACTCTTCTGTATTTAAGTTTACTATCAAAAAGTATTTGATAGAATGACCATTTGTGGAGTACTCAAATCGAACTGATGGTAGTATAATAAGGGAAATTTGTGTTCTTAATTGCCTGTGATAAGCGATTGCTCTCCAAAATAGTTATTTTAAATGTCCTTTAATTTTATGCTTGGGAGAAAACCAAATGTATTATATAAACTTCCTTATCTGATTTCAGGTGGATAAGCCAGTACAAAGGATTAAATAACTATACTCTTAAAATTTTTAGCTAAATGCATAAAAAATATTCATTAAGATTCAGTTTATTTTTGTCAGTTACATTAATACTTTTGTCTTATATTTGGGGATGTGAAGACATACAGGAATAATGAAAAACAATAAGTAACTTTAAACCTGCTACACTTAATTGCGGTATAGTACCTATTCAATAATTCATCATTCTACATATGAAGCTTAAGTTTCACCTTTAAGCTTCTTTTATTCCACTTTAAAGTGTTTAAAGAATAATAATATAGCTTTGATAGTTAGATCTATTTTTATTTTCCCCAGCAATATTTTCTTTGAATATATATTTGTGGAACATAAGCTTAATAATAGACTTTTTTTCCTGTAGAAAATTTACTGTTTTATGGTTTTTGGTACTATGCTATAGTTAAGTGTAGCTGATTTATTGGTTTGTTTAGTGAAATTTAATTAAAATTCCTCCTAAATTTGCACTGGATGAAGGGGTAACTTCAATGACAGGTGTCATATTACCCAAAACCAGTTTTGTATAACTGAACACATTGGAGAAATTTCAGAAAAATCTGGTTCAATTGTAGTTTTGAATCTCGTTGACTTATTTAGGCCTACTTCACATTCATTTTTTATTATTTTTCAATTGGTAGTGTTAGTATATAAAATCCGACTTAATGAGCTCTAATTAAAGTAAATTTGTTTAAAAATAAGAGATCAAAAATAAATTTAACTTCCTCCCAGACATATGCTTTCTAGGAGTTTATAGCAGTATAGTTTGAATCTGAAGAAAAGGACTAAACAGTTATTTATGAAGAAAAGAACATATGCCTATTAGGAAAACTAGTTCTAAGGCATATTGGAAAGCAGGAGTGATAGTTGAGGATATATTAAAAAATAAATACAACTGATGAAAAGCTGTTTTATAGTATATTTAAAAATACATGTTTAGTATTTTAGAATTTTAAAACTGCTTTCACACATATACATCGTTTTTTTGAGATAAAGAAGAGAAAGTTGATGATATGTAAAGAGGTAGAAACTTGACCAAGGTCATATGGCTAGTTACTGGCATAGTTGGCATTAGAATCTAGTTTTCTGAATATTCTGTTTTTTTTTCCCAAATTAATAGGAATTGTTACTGACATTGGAGATAGCATAGAAAAACAGACAAAATTAACAAGGTGCAAAACAAATTCATTTTTAGTACGTTATTAAAGACAATGTAGTTTTTAGAACTGTGTTACATACAGAAATATGAGTGCAGCTGGAGGTATCAAACTGTATCAGTGGAATAGGGAACATTCCAAATTCTCAGAAGTGGAAGTTTGTGAATATGGAGGATTTCCTATGCTTGAAAACATGACTGTGAGTTATGTTGTGAGTTATGTTGAGTTATGGTGTCACTTCATTGTAGCTCACATGGTTCTGGAAAAATAAGCCCTCAGGGAAACCGGCTCCACCAAGAGTTACGGTCACTGTTTTTCAGTGCTGAAACTGCTGATACCTTTCTTTTTGTATAGACACAGCCATTACCACCTGACAGTAGTATTTGTTACTGGGGCTTGGTTGACAATGAGAAGGCACCATCAGCAATGGTGCATCTCCTGCACTATCAGCAAATCCTGTGGAATGCTGAGGGGTTGCATAACAGGGACTGTCCGAAGCAGTTGTAGGAAGTTTTTCTGTCTGTTGACTGGTGAGAAGGCCCCCAATTAAGAGTAGTACAGACTTGGAAGGTTTGACAGACTAGGCTCTGCTGTGTGCTAGCTCTAATATAATTATTAACATTAGGCAAAGGACAGAATAGAATCATCCTTTAGGGGCACTATAAGATTATTTCACACTGGGGTTAAAAAAGCCAAGCACAAACAAGCCGGTGGGATCACAAACCACTGTTCTAGGCCAGGCTATTTAGTAATAGAGGACTTGTTAATTCAAAAGGCAGATCTAGTGTTATATAAGATGTCCAGATATAGGTCATAAAGCATCTAGGAAACTTCACTGTGTCCTGGAGAAAATGTAAACTTTTGCCTCTTTGTTTTGTTTGTTGTTTAAACAGTCCTCTATTTGGGGGAAATCTGTGGACAAGAAAAGCTTTAAAAGCCTGTTACCAAAATGGGGTAAAGAGTAAAACAAAACAGTAGGGAAATGTGTTTTGGTGTGCCTGTATAGGACCTCAAATTGTATTTTATCATAGAAATAGTATTAAATGCAGATATTATTATTATCAATAATAACTTCTTTTGTATATGCTTTATAATTTCCCAAGCACTTGCTATGCATTTGATGCTCAAAAAACTCTGAGGCAGATAGGGCAGGAATTACTGATTTCATTCATTCAGTGAATATTCATTGAATATCAGGTACTATTCTCAATGTTTAGGATATGTTAAAGGACAAAGGTAAGATTCTCCTCTCCAATAGGGTTTACATTCTAGTGAGAGAAGCAAGACATGAACAGTGATAATTAATAAGTTCTATAGTATGTAGAAAGTGGTAAGTAATGGGAGAAAAAAAGCAGTGTAAAGGGGAATCGATTGTCAAGAGGTGGAGGTGGGCATGTGGAAAAAGGCAATTTAAACAGGTTAGATAATGAGATTATAGTTGAGCCAACTTGAAGAAGGTGAGGCAGAGAGCTATGGGAAGTCCAAGCAGAGAGCAGCCAGTACAAAGGTCCTAAGGCCTTTGAGTGCTTGGTGGGCTCAAGGAACAGCAAGGAGGCCAGTGAGTGTGCAGTAGAGTGGGATGCAGGGGAGAATGCCATAGAATCTCTGTTTAAAGATTAACTCAAATTCCCATAATTAAAAGACATAGCCAAAGTCTGGTTAAGGTAGAACTTGAAACTACTTACGTGACTCTAGATTAGTTGCTTCTGTGAATATTTTCCCTCATATTTCTAGAAAGGGAGGATTAAAAAAAGAAATAATGACTGATTAATGACCTGTATTATAATTTACACTTTTATTTTTACTTGACAGTCTTTATTACATCATTCTCAGCTAGTCTGAGTTTATTTTCACACACTGTTTTTACTAAAGGAGAAAATACTGCTTTGTCACAGAGTGTGATTTCATTCTCTACTGTGTTTTAAGTTATTAATTAAATTGAAACCTAAGCTTTAATTTTGCTTTCAGGGGTAACACAGTAATCATTTGACTTATTTAATACTAATTCAGAAGACCTTATTTTATATTTATTGTTTCATTGTATGTCCTCTAATCTTTCTTTTAAAGATACGGATATAATGCAGGAGAAGCTACCCACCATGCGGTGGATTCTGCGGTCAATGTTGGCGTAACTGCCTACAATATTAACAACATTGGTATCAAAGCAATGGTGAAGAAAACTGCAACACAAACAGGACACACTCTCCTTGAGGACTATCAGATAGTTGATAATTCTCAGAGGGAAAATCAAGAAGGAGCAGCAAATGTCAACGTGAGAGGGGAGAAGGATGAGCAGACGAAGGAAGTAAAGGAGGCAAAGAAGAAAGATAAATGATGAAGTGCTGGGAATCACTTATACCAAAGCCTTATGAAATGGATGAAATTTTGTTAAATAGGCAAATGTGGAATTCCTCACAGATTAACCAGTATTTTTTAAATGTATTCATTCCTACAAATTAACTTTCATAAATTTTATGGCATGTCTTCTATTTAAAAGGAAAAGAATAAGTATTCTTGCATCTGGCCTTAGAAATGTGAAGTTATATTCTCAAGTTTATTTTTTTCCAAGTGTAGCTAAAATATTTTTGCAGGTAAAATAAAGCTGATAGTACATGTGTTGTTCAAACCTTGTTAAACCTAATATTGAACTATTTTTATATCTGCTGTCTTTCAGAAGGCAAATAGGAAACTATATATTTGCTTAAAAATTGGCATTTAGTAACCTTAATTCTTTTTATAGAAGGAATGACTTAAAGTATTGTCCCCTCTTTTTGCACTAATTGTGGATTTTTTTAGATGCTTCTCAAAATTTTCAGTGTGTAAGCTAAACAAAAACTAAAACTAAGAATTCTCAAAAAAACTTGTTCAAAACAGGGAAAGACTGATGAAAAGTAAAATGGACTACTTTTGTAACTTACCTGTTTGTTAGGAAATGGAATGGTCTCTTTGATTTAAAATAAATAAAAATAGATTATTACGTCTTTTGTATTGAGACTGTATTGTTATGAGCCTAGGAAATTTGGGAACATGATTGTATTGTATTAAAATTCGAAGTGATTATTATCAGCTTAATTGGATTAAAAAAGTACTTCAAGAAATTATTTTATCATATCTGCTTCTGTTTTTCCAAAAGGTTAAAACTTGTAAAAAAAATATATATAAACAATTGAGTTTACTAATGGTAAACATTTTTATTCTGGGATTCGGTCATTGGAATTTATATTAAAAGACAAGTTATTAAAAAGGAAAGGTTCTATTCATAATCAGGGTAAAGAATATGAAAACCTTAGACGTAATCCATGGTGGATAGGCATTATGGTTTCCACTTTGGCAGAAGGCAGACTATTCACAGCCCTATTTACTTACATAGGCTAAAAAACTATGTAACTAAATACCTAATGGTATTTAATTTTTGTTTATTGAATTTAAGAGATTGGTATTAGTTTTCATAGCTGTAGTCCATTCTAATAATTTCTGATCTTCTAGTGGCTACTTAATTAGACATTATTTGAAGCTGTCTGAAGAATGCACTTTATGAATTAAAAAACTGAATTGCCTGACCTCGTTATCACATGAGCTTATATTTTGGGAACACATAGAACTGATGGAGGCTTTTCCTAAGGCCAAGGATAATGTACTAGTTGTTAAAATGGAAATAAAAGTGAAGTGGTAAATAGCTTACAGACAGTCTATGCTTTGTTTAAGAAATGGAATGGCACTTCATATATTCTCATTTGTGGGAGCTAAAAATTACAATAATCAAACTTAAGGAGATAGAGAGTAGAATGATGGTTACCAGAGGCTGGGAGGCATTGAAGGGATGGGGAGGGAAGTGAGGTTGATTAATGGGTACGAAAATATAGTTAGAACGAATTTGTTGTAGTATTTGATAGCCCAACAGGGTGACTACAGTCAACAATAACTTTATACATTTAAAAATAAAAGAGTGTAATTGGGACGTTTGTAACACAAATGAATGCTTGAAGCAGTAGATACACCCTGATGTAATTATTATAAATCGCATACCTGTATCAAAATATCTCATGTATCCCATAAATATATACACCTACCATGTACCCATAAAAATTTAAAAAGAAATGGAATGGCAAATAATGGAACATAAACTTTAAACAGTTAGCTTTGACCAGAGGTC
Source organism: Homo sapiens (assembly GCF_000001405.40). Lineage (NCBI taxonomy): Eukaryota > Metazoa > Chordata > Mammalia > Primates > Hominidae > Homo > Homo sapiens. The sequence continues at coordinate 36,302,546 of NC_000013.11, read as the reverse complement.
AGCAAATATCCTCCATGGGCTAAATCCAGATGTCCACCTGTTTTCATAAATAACGTTTTATTGGAGCATAGCTGTACCCATTTGTTTACATATTGGCTATGGCTGCTGTCTAGTTCAACGTGAGAGTTGAATAGTTGCATCAGAGAGTATATGGTCCACAAGCCTAACTTATTCACTCTCTGGCCCTTTGCAGAAAAAGTGTGCTGCCTTAGTCTATAGAAAATGGACTTTTCCCACCATTCACTGACTCATTAGGAGATAGGCATCTTCTAAAGATTTTTTTTATATTGTGTAATGATTGATATATAGATAAAATTATATATTACTTGTAAGGTATGATGAATAACAACACTTAAAAACTCATCACACCTAAAGACATGGAAAGCTGCCAATTACCTATATGTATGTTCTTCCTATTTTCTTACCTCTTTCCCCATGTCATTTTTTATTGTTCCTTGCCATTTTTTAATCACACATGTATGTTCTCCAAACATACTGTTTCATTTTTTGAAGCTTTCTACATATAGTGTCTGAATGTGAAGTCTTACTCAACTTGCTTTTTTGAGTTTATGTTTAAAATTCATTCTTGCGCTTATATGCATGGATGGTTTACTTGCTCTATAGTATTCTGTGTGAGTATACCACAATTTAAGTGTTCATTTTCCTATCAGTTGACATTTGTTTTTAGTTTTTGTTGGTAGAAACAGTACACTCAAAACATCCTTGACTGTCCCCTGGTACACATATGCAAGAGACTTTATGCGTAAGAGTGGAGTTGTTGGCTTGTCAAGTTTTGCAAAATAATGCCAGGTATTTTCCAAAATGATGATATTCTCTTGAGTATTACTTCCCTTTGCAATGTTTTTATTGTTAATGTAGCATATATAAAAAAGTATCTCATAATTTTAATTTGTGTTTTCTTGACCTCCTTTCCTGACCTTAGATCAGTAATTTTTCATGTTCATTTGCCATTCATTTGCCTGTGCTGTAAAATTTGCGTGTTGTCACTGCTGACAATTTTGCTTCTCATGTTTAGGTGTTTACTGAGAATTGTGTATATGTGTGCAAGAGGTAAGGTATCTAATTCCTCCCCTCCTCCCCCACCCCGTAGATAATCAGTTATTTAACCCCCATTTATTGAATAGTTCTTTTCTTCAGTAATTTCCCACAGGTCTTTCTCTATATATAGAGTATGAGTGTTTCTGGGCTCAGACGTTTGTTCCATCTGTCATTTCTTTTGTTCCTGTGCCAGTCCCACACTGTCATCATTGTAAATTAGTAAGCCCTACTGATTGTTAGGGCAAGAGGCTCAATTCCCTCAACCAAATTCTTTAGGAGTATTTTGGCTGATTAAACAAGTTCCATAAGGAGTTTAAAATCTTCCCACAAAGAAACATCAGCCCCAGATGGACTTACAGGTGAGTTCTAACATACCCTAAGAAAATAATGTTACCTTGGGTGCAGAGGTGCACACCTGTAATCCCAACACTTTGGGAGGCTGAGGTTGGGTGGATCTCTCGAGTCGAGGAGTTTGAGACCAGCCTGGGCAACATAACGAGACTAAAGATATTGTTGGACATTGTGAATTTTACCTTATTGGGTACTGGATGTTTTGTGTTCCTATAAATATTCTCGAGTTTTGTCTTGGGAGGGGATTAAGTTACTTAGAACCAGTTGGATACTTTTGGATCTTTCTTTTCAACTTGTTAGGGCTAGTGTTTTTTCCGACTCCTAAATCAAAATCCTTTGTGTACCTGATGCCCTGTGAATTCAGAGGTTTTCCATTCTGGTGGGTGGTAGCAGGTATTATTCCTACCTCTGTAAACTGTAAGGATTTCCCCTCTAATCCTTTGTGATGGTTCTTTCCCCAGCCTGAGTACTTGCCCCACCATGTGTGTGCATTCATCAGTATTCTGCTGCAGAGTGTACCTTGTGGCAGGCCAGGTCTCATTAACACAGGCCTCCATAACAACTGTTTCAGTACTGACTTGAGTGGCTAAGTTAAATACTAAAAGCTAAAAAAACCAAAGCCCTTATACAAAGGCTGGAATGTAATAAAAACCCACCAAGAACTAGGTCTCAAAGCATGACAAAAAAAAAAAAAAAAAAAAAGAAGGAATTCTTAGCTGGACCCATTTAGGATTAAACAAGTTTTTTGGGGTTCTGAAGGAATCCCCAAACCTCCCTGATTTAGCAGGAGACAGGGGTAATCACCCTAGCACCTGGACCCATTTAGATTAAGTTTACTGAGGCTCCAGAGGAAGGTCTTCAGGACTCAAGACCTTAGTTGTAGATTATAAAAAGTTAACCACTTAATGTCTATAGATGAATGCACACTTACACATAGACATATAGCTTAGAAGGTCTGGAAAACTGTAATTTTGAGTTGGTCTGGTTATAGTTTCCAGGGCTTCTGCCTGTAACTGGTTCCAGAAATAAAAACTCTCTTCCTCCCCAGTTCATCTACATGTTCTTACTGGGTCACAAGAAATAGCAACCCAACCCTCAGTTTGGTCTGGGAACACCCTGTGCAGCTCTCCCCTCCAATATCTGCCCTGCAAAGTCTAGCTGCCTTGTTCTCTCTAGACTCTTAGAGAAACTCCGTTTCCTCAACTTAGGGCAACCACCAGCCTCTGCCTGTTTTCTCCCTTTCTGCTTTGTACCCTGGCAGGCCCAGGCCAATTTGGGAGCTTGCCTCATTTGTGTCTCATCTCTTGGTGATCGTTTTCCCTTATTGCCTGATGTTCAATGTTCTTTTTTTGTTCCTCTTAGTTTTTTAGTTGTTTCAGGCAGGAGGGTAAATTCAGGTCCTTTATCTCTGCCAGAAACACAAATCTGTGGTTTCTGTAGTTGTTGACAAACCTGTTTTCTGCTTGCCTTTGCTCCTAATTTCCCACAGTGAGATCCTGCTAACAGATCTTTTTAAGAAATCCTCTGGGTCGGGTGCAGTGGCTCATGCCTATAATCCCAGCACTTTGGGAGGCAGAGGTGGGTGGATCACGAGGTCAGGAGTTCAAGACCAGCCTGAGCAATATGGTGAAACCCCATCTCTACTAAAAATACACAAAAAAATTAAGCCAGGCATGGTGGTGCGTGCCTGTAGTCCCAGCTACTTTGGGAGGCTGAGGCAGGAGAATTGCTTTAACACAGGAGTGGAGTTTGCAGTAAACTGAGATTGTGCCACTGCACTCCAGCCTGGGAGACAGATGAGACTCCGTCTCAAAAAAGAAATCCTCTGTATATTTGGATTTGTCAACAGATAATCTAGTCCTTTTCACTTCATTCTATTCTGTTTACTTGGTTGTGAGTTGCCCTTTCAGACTTAACAGCTAGACAAAATTTTGATAAGCATACCTCCTATATTAGGGTAATTCACAGAAACAGAACCAATAGGGAGTGTGTGTATAAAAGATTTATTATAAGGAATTTGCCCGTACAATTATGAAGGCTGAGAAGTCTCAGGATCTGCAGTTGACAAGCTGGAGATGCAAGCAAACTGATGTGCAGTCCCAGTCTGAGCCCAAGGCTGGAAAAGTGTTCCAGCTCAAGCTGTTTGGCTGTAGGAGCTCCCTCTTACTCCTGGGAGGTCAGCCTTTTTGTTCTATTCTGTCTTCGGTCGATTGGCTGAGGCCCACCCACATTGGGGAAGACAATGTACTATACTCAGTCTACCAATTGAAATGTTAATCTCATCCAGAAACTCAATTGGAAAACTATGTATTCACAACACTTCTGACACCAAATTGTGTTTTCCACACCAATTATCCCATTCTCACTAAAACCTTGGTCTCCACAACCCCTTTATTCTCTAAAGACATTCCTAAGTCTTTAGTCAGTAACTTTTCAACCAATTGCCAATCAGAAAATCTTTGAATCTAGCTGTGACCTGGAAGCCACCCCGTCCCCCACCCCTTCCAATTGCCCTGCCTTTCCCGATGGAACCAGTGTATATCTTAACATGCATTTGATTGATGTCCCATGTCTCCCTAAAATGTATAGAACTAAGCTGTACCCTGACCACCTTGGGCACGTGTTCTCAGAATCTCCTGAGGGCTGTCACCCGCCATTGGTCACTCATTTGGCTCAGAATAAATCTCTTCAAATATTTTACAGAGTTTGTCTCTTTTTGTCAAGGAAACACAGATGTATCAAGGGTAGGATGCAAACTTTGTGATTAAAAATATAATGAAATTTCAAGTTGCAGTGAGCAGCTCTGAGGTATGTTCATGAACAGCACACAGATGCAAAACAATAATCTGGAGGGTTAGCAGTCTTCCCGAGTTCAGGAGGTACCTTTTTAAGACCAGTTCCTCCCGCTCCGACACTGCCAAATCAGCGACTCTGGTGCTTGTTCAACTGAAGCAAAGAAGGGCGCAGCTAATCTTGGATCCAGCGTTTCCCTAACAAGGGCTAAGAGTGAAGCCGACTTTGCCGTCCGGGGCAATGTTTAGGAAAGCAACCAAAGCCAGCAGGAGGGAAGAAAAAGGAGAGGGATATTCTTGGCCCCCTGACACTCCGCTGTGTAGCCGGAGCACGTCTAACCCCAGCGTCTTGAGCAAGGAGTGTCCCTGGAGCTGTTATCCAGGGTCGCTCCACCGCACAGAGTAGGCTTCTCCAGTCTCCCCGGCTGCCCTCGCCCCACCCCCTGCCGCCTGCGGGCATCGCTTTATGACGTCACCACGTGCCTCTGCGGGCAGGCGCGGGAGGTGCGACCGGGGGGCGGTTGGGGTTCACCGCCTCGTGCCGTACTGGCTTCTGGGTGGCCCTTAATGTCTTGTGCTCTAAGGTGCTGAGGGGAAAGACGCGGGAGGTCTCTGGCCTGACACTATGAAGGAAGAGAGAAACTACAACTTCGACGGTGTGAGCACCAACCGCCTGAAACAGCAGTTGCTGGAAGAAGTCCGCAAGAAGTGAGTCGGCGGGCGGCGCGGTGTGGGGTCCCGTCCACACCCCCCGAGCCTTCACCTGCAGAGTCTCAGGGCTGAAGCCGCTGAGGGTGCTGTAAGACCGGCGCCGTGATTAACCCCTGGGCACTTCGGTCTGGGTTCCAAAAGTATTCCATGCGAAAGATTCACGTGCCTCTTTGAGTAAGCCTTTGGTATTGTTAAGTAGGCAGCTTTCCGGGTAGGATGTGCTGCCCTTAAGGATCCAATCATATGGCGTGTATTTTGCCCATATACTGTAATGCCAAAAGTTGTGTTTGGTTTTGATGTCTCCATAAATCCAGGTTTTCTGCTTAAAATTCCAAAGATTTTATTTAGTTATACGGGGTTTTTTTTTTCTTTCATCCCTTTAAGGGGAACTTCATAAAATGACATTTAGTAAAACTGTTACTCCTCCTTTATGCTTTTTAAAAACAGTATTCGTACTTCGTGTTAAATTTTTGAAACATTTAAAGTATTTTTTGGACATACTCCCAACTCCATCCACAAGTCCCGTGAGAATTGGACTCTCCTTTGTGCCTAGATAGGGTTCTGGGTTTTCCTCTATTGTAGCTCCAGTCACAGTATTTTAATTGCCTGTCTATTTCTTGTTTTGCTACCAAACTACACGCGTTCTGAGGACAGGTTCTGTGTATTCTGAGGAAGTAGAGAATAAGAGCAAGTACTTGAGGACAGTCCTGCAAAAACACAAACTCCATCTCTTGTCACTCAGTAACTATGCAATCTTAGACAAGTTAATTAACCTCTTTAATCCTCAGTTTTCTCAGCTCTAAGACTGGTATACAAATAGTCATCTCATACCTCCTGCTGTTGTTCCCAGGTTGGAATGAAATGCACTATAAAGAACTTAGCATTGGCTTGTGATACGCATCCAGTGGAACTTTGCTGCCGCTATTGCTATTTTTCTGTTCACTGTTCACTGAATTCTTCCGTATTTAATACAATGCCTTGAACATAATAGGCACTCAAAAATATTTATTGAATAAATGGCCCTGTCATATGATAATGTTCTATTTACTGATGCCCTAAATAGCTAACCTTTTAAATTAGTGTTTGTTTTTTTCTCTTTGTTTCAGTTTGTCAGCTGTTATGTATTGCCCTAGGTATGCCTTTCTGTAATAATGTGCAGTGCCTAATTTGCTTGGTTCTGAAAAACCAGGTAACTAACTTCTTTAGGATGATATTTAAGTTAAAAATAAAGGATTTCCAAGGGCCGGGCCTGGTGGCTCACGCCTGTAATCCCAGCACTTTGGGAGGCCGAGGCTGGGCGGATCACAAGGTTAGGAGTTCGAGACCAGCCTGGCCAATATGGTGAAACCCTGTCTCTTCTAAAAATACAAAAAAATTAGCAGGGCTTGGTGGCGCATGCCTGTAATCCCAGCTATTCAGGAGGCTGAGGCAGGAGAATTGCTTGAACCCGGGAGGCGGAGGTTGCAGTGAGCCGAGTTTGCACCACTGCACTCCAGCCTGGGCGACAGAGCGAGATTCTGTCTCAAAAAAATAAATAAAAATAAATAAAAGATTTCTAATGGTTGCCTGGGGGTCTTTGAGCTTTAGTGCATATTTGAGTCCTAGAACTGACTAATTGGAAGCCTTCCTTTGCCTGAGTCTTATTTCTTAACCAGTCCTTCAGTAAATAATGTGTCATAGTAAATTGTTCCTGAAGTAGTAGTGGGTTACTATGTATTATTTTTCTGATGTTATTTTTAATTGAATTATAATCAACAAAAATATTTTAAATAACAGGGATGCAGTGCAACTCTCAATATTTGAACTAAGACACAAGATTACGGAACTGGAAGCCAAACTCAATACTGACAATGAAGGTATATAAGTAAATACTTATATTTGTGACTCCTGTATAATTATTGTTCATTTTACCAGGATATCTATGGTGCATTAAATTCCATATATTGAATAATAGTACCAACATTTCAGTATTGCTTTTTGGCCACATTAATGATAGTTTATGATAGAGGCTTTAAAACTGATACTTCAGAATATCAAACCTATTACTATTTAATTATTTTTCTACCTTTCAAGTTCAAAATGTTCATTAATTAGCAAAAACTTTGTTACATGACATCAATATATTATTTCTTTATTAAATAAATATCACCAGTTTTCTATTCACCTCAAGTTACACTCTTTATATCTTAACTTCTAGGTTTGGGATATGTTTAAAATCCGTATCTAGGTTTTAGCTATTGTTGTTGGAAGAATGTGTGTTTGGTGTGGAGGATGCTGTGTACCTACACACTCATATATCCTTAAAATTTGTAATGTATGCAAGATATGACCCTGCCATATGTCAACACTTTAAATGGAAGACCTTTGTTTTCCCTGTTCTAAAGAGGTTCATTGACTATTGGGAGAAAGTATCAAATCAGATTATGGATATGAGAAGTCATATAAGTTCTATGTAAGGATAAATGAAAACTTAGGGAAGGGAAACCTAACAGAATTCGGGTGAGTTAATAAAGACAGGCTTTCCAGAACAGGCATTGTTTGAACTGAATGCTAAAGAACAGGAGGACTTTATTAGGATTATCAGGGTGGGCATTTATAAGGGAGGAGACCACCCCTCATATTGTCTTATGCCCAATTTCTGCCTCCAGAGAAAGAAGAAATAAAAACTAAAAGGCAGAAATGAAATCCACAGGCAGACAGCCCAGCACCACACCCTGGGCCTGGTAGTTAAAGATTGACCCCCAACCTAATCGGTTATGTTATCTATAGATTACAGACATTGTATGGAAAAGCACTGTGAAAATCCCTGTCCTGTTCTGTTCTGTTCTAATTACTGGTGCATGGAGCCCCCAGTCACGTACCCCCTGCTTGCTCAATCAATCTCAACCCTCTCATGCAGACCCCCTTAGAGTTCTAAACCCTTAAGAGGGACAGGAATTGCTTACTCGGGGAGCTCATTTTTTTGAGATGTGAGTCTTGCTGATGCTCCCGGCCGAATAAAGCCTTACCTTCTTTAACTTGGTGTCTGAGGGGTTTTGTCTGTGGCTCGTCCTGCTACATTTATACTCTTCCTCAATTGGGGAGCCATGAACAAAAAGGAATAGTGGCCATATGGGAAATAAAATGCCACTTTCTATAAGTACCCAGTGCTTTGTTAAAGCTTGGTTGCAGAATACTACTTTGTCCCAAGGCTGAAGTAGCTTCCTCTATCTCCATATCTATATCTTAGATATAACCTCAGTCTCTGGGGGCAGGCTCTCAGTGTACTTATCAAGTAGCTGCGTTGGCAGGGTAACTGGAACGTCCTCATGTACCCAGTTACAGGAAAAACAGAAGGCATGCTCACAGGTACACATGCAATAACTATGCCCAGTAGTAAAATGTGGCTCAACAAGTTGTAGCAGTTCTCAAAAGAAGGAGCTAGTATGTGGGTATAAAGAGAAAACGTCAGAATGATAGGAGAGAAAGTTCTTTCCTTAGTGGGCCAAAAGTAAGGCCTAAGGTGAAGGGCAGAAACATTTACTCCTTTAAAGCCAGGGACTGTGTCAGGTGAGGTAGTTATTATTATCCCCATATATGGAAGAATGAAATTCAGGAATTCAAATAACTTCTAAGGTAATATAGCCAGGTAGTGGCAGAGCCATGACTTGATCCTAGATCATCTATTTACCATGCCTTCAGTAAATGATAATACAACTTCCATCTACCACATCACACTCAAAACACTTCTGCTTGTCTTTTGCTGCATAGCAAATCACCCTATAATTTAGGAGCTTAAAACAACAAACTCTTATAATTCTGTGGATTAACTGGGTTGGTTCACCTGGATGGTTCTTGATTGGGGTCTCTGGTTGCAATCAGGTATACTGAAGATTCAAGTGAGCTGGTCATTCCGTGATGACTCATTCACATGGCTAACATCTGACACTGGCTTTTGACTGGAAGCTCAGCTAGGGCTGCCTGTCAGAAATGCCTCTTGTACCTTTTTCTTCTCACAGCATGGTGGTTAGGTTCCAAGAGGATGTATCCCAAGAGCAAGCATTCCAAAAGACATAAGTAGAGACTGCCAGGCCAGTCAAGGGCTACTCCCAGAACTGGCACAGGGGTATATCCACTGTATTCTGTTGGTCATAGTAGTCACAGATTCAAGGGACTGGAGAGGTAGACTGCTTTTAAGGTCACATTACAGAGCAACACATGGGATGGGATATATTATTGGCAGTCATCTTTGGAAAATACAGTCTGCCACAGGAGCATTAAACATAAAGCCATTTGGGGAATATGCTAAGTAATTGATAAAAATGGAACATAGGTCATAATGAGAATGCATTAGGAGATGAGGTTAAAGTTTATGAAGGAGATAAATCAAGAAGATTGCATGATGCTAATGAATTTACGTTTATCCTGAAGGCAGTGGGGCAATATTAAAGGTGTTTTAAAAGGAATTTATTACTGGAAATATGCGCACATGTGACAAATAGGGGTACATTCACTGTTCAGATAATTTTTTCACCCTTTCTGCTTTCTTCTCAAACCTCTACCACCTCTCCACTCAATCACACTCTCAGGTAATGAGCTTACCCTCTTCTTTCAAAGAAAAAAGAGAAGCAATCAGAAGAGGACTTCTACCTGTTTCTACCAACAGAGCTACCCATCTACCTGCACCCTTGCACATCCTCTTCCCTCTTGTTTCTATGAATGATCTGTCCTTATTCTTGTCTCAGGTTATCTCCTCCCTTTGTGGAGTAGATCCTACCTACTTGCACCTACTCAAGGATATCACTGTAGTGATGGCCCTCTCTTCCCTACACTGTCTGTTTTCCCTGCTCTACTGGATCATTCCCAACAGCAGACCAACATGCTGAATTTATTTTATCTAAACAACAAATGACAGGCTTCTTTTGGCCCCACTTTTCCCCTTCAGCTAGCATCCCCTGTCCCTGCCCCATTTACAGCAAAAGCCTTCAAAAGAGTAGTTTTTATTTCTACTTTCTCATCTGCTTATTGTTTGATCTTGCTTGTCACTGGATTAGTTTTTAGGCAGGTGGTAAACACAGCCAACTCCAAAGAGCTTTATATTCTCAAAGTCACCTCTTGAAGCCTTTTAGGATTCATAGGAAACTGTATGTAGAAAATTTGGTTTTATGTTTTAATTTGAATTTCACAACAAAGTTTAGTAATAAGAAAATGGTAAAGAAAATGTTCAGGTGACTTTTTTTTTAAGCAAGAAGAATTAGTATTTGTGTAGGGCTTTAAGTACGTTTTTTAAAAAAATTGAAACCTCACAACTACCCTTTGAAAATAATATCATTACCTCCGTTTTATAGATTGAAAAATGGAGGCCAGGTGCGGCAGTTCACACCTGTAATCCCAGCACTTTGGGAGGCCAAGGCAGGCAGATCACCTGAGGTCAGAAGTTCGAGACCAGCCTGGCCAACATGGTGAAACTGTGTCTGTACTAAAAATAACAAAAGAAAAATTAGTCAGGTGTGGTGGTGGGTGCCTGTAATCCCAGCTACTCTGGAGGCTGAGGCAGGAGAATCGATTGAACCGGGAGGTAGAGGTTGCAGTGAGCAAAGATTGCACCATTGCACTCCAGCCTGGATGACAAGAACGAGACTCCATCCAAAAAAAAAAAAAAAAAGAAGACTTATTGACAACACACAAGTTTACATCTTCATCCTGGATTTCTCCTTTGAGTCTTTTATAGGCTGGTTTCTATGCCCAAATACCTTTGGCTAGTAGGTAATATATTAATAAATCCAATATATTTTTTTAAATCACCTCAGTAAATGCTAAAATTTTAAAAATAAAATTCCATTTGTTTTTCAAAACAAGGAAAAGAATACTTCTATTTATCTCAAACTAGCATAATACTTAACAATGAAATAGTAGAGGCATTTCCATTCTTGGGGGAAAAAATACCAAAGCTGCCTGCTGCCATTATTAAAATGCAATATAGTTTTTGAAAGTTCTAATTAAGCAATAAAATATGAAATAGAAATGAGTTATAGCTATTAGAGAGGAAGTGATACAGTTATAAAGATTAGTATATTAATAAAGAATTAGAAAATAGTTGGATACAATCATGAAATAAATATTTATTTAAAAAAACAAATGCCAGCAATAACCAGTTAGAAAATAGGGTTTTTAAATGATCCCACCCACAATTCCAACCGAAACCATAAAAGATCTGACAATATTCCTGACCAGAAATATGAGGACCTGTATGAAGAGATAACAGAAGACTATAACTATAAAGGCATAACTGTTTAGTCCAAATTCTTACTTATTTAACATAAGAGATTTCATACAGGAAACTCTAGAATAAAATAAATTTGGGAAAGCTTTGCAGCATTAACACATGTTTGCTGAGCTTCTGAGAGACTTTGTTAGTAAGTGAAACATAACAGTGTGTATCTTATTGCTACAGAGTCTGTCTTGTCAGTCTTATGTGATCTCTATTTTAATGTTAATGCTGGTCATTTGTGCCTAAACTCCAAATTGGGGGAAGGTATAGTGTGGCATGTCCAACCCTCCACTTCTCATAATGGCCTGAACTAGTTTGTCAGGTTTCTTTGGGATTCCCTTTGGCCAAGAGGTGGATACATTCAGTCTGTTGAGGGGGCTTAGGATTTTTTTTTTTTTTAGTTTATATTCCCCCTTTTTTGGTCAAGGTATGCAGAGGTGGTATCCATAGCTAAGCTTTTATTAACTTAAGTTCTGGGATGGTGTGGCTACTTGCCCCTGGTCCATCGTGCCTCTCAGTGGGACCCCTATTGCCAAGGAACTTAGAGTCAAAGACTTAAATCCAATTAAACGTTTTAGGCCAGATGGGAGTGGAGGTGAGCAGGTATTCAGTAATCTTTAAAACCCCTTTTAGGCAACATAAGAGCCAAAAACCAAAACTCAAAAAATAAGATTATAAAGTTGAGTTATCTATAAATTCTCTGCATTGAGATACTGTAATCTTGACTTATAGCAATTAGCTGTACAAAACACAAGCATATTGTTCAGCTGTTTAGGCATCTGTGTGTCTGTCCTTGATTTGGAGGGTCTTAATTAATTTTATCCCTCAAAATCTGGCCCTTACAATGATACACTTCTGCGATAGCCCCTGGGCCTGGAGGGATTCAATAGTTTCAAATTCTGGAGGTAAAAAAAAATGTAAAGTATTAGCAGTGTTTCAAACAAAAAGGTAATAAGCCCTGCCTAGTTCTGACAGTTACAGGAAAGGAAACTTATAGGTAGCTAAACATTTAAATTATTTAGTGTCAATTTAGGCACTAAATTTAAACATTTAAATTATTTAGTATCTATTTATTTAGGCACAGAATAAATTATATTATTTTAGATAGAGGCAAAATTATTAAGAGAATCTTAATTTTTTTGTGGTACAGGCGTGTCCCTGTGTCTCATGAAAGTAGTTTACTATGATTGTCATCTTTGCCCAGATCTAAAAATGGGGCTTCGGTTAACTTAGATTTGCTGTCAGATACTGGCAGGAGTCACTGCCTTCTTTAGATGAGATATGTGTACCCAGGAGTCAAAGCCCTGTAACTTCATAGCACAAGGATTAGTTAATAACACCTGATAAGGACCTTTTTTTTAAGGGGCTGGAGGTGGTGACACTGGAGTCTATGACTTGACTGGAAGCTGTAAAAAGATTCTATAACCTTGCAGTGATTAACTTTTATAGCTTTGATAAACACCAGCAATAAGCCAGAGACTTAATTTTTGTTTCAATTTTGAAGATGTTTCTTAAAAATGTTAAAGGGCTCAAAACATTTGATTAAAACAGATCCACAGGTCATTGTAAACCAATAGTTACTAATTTAACCAAAATGATTATTGAAAGACTTAAAGGCAATACAGAAGGTTACATGCATATAACAACTTTCAGCCTTTTAGGTCTCAGTTTTTCTAAGCAGTTAAAAATCTAATGAAGACAACATATGAATTATTTTGATAAAAAGTAAAATGTTGTTTCTTACGCCAGTTACCAGAAAGGCAAAGAAAAACCTGCAGTGTGACTACTTTTCCTTATAGGAAGCCTATTTAGACAACCTGGAAGTTAAACCTGATGAAAAATATTCTTGAATTTAATCAGACATAGGAAGAATGTGTTCAGGGTTATGAGTATAGCAGAGGAATACATAGTTCTTAGTAACTGCATGAGAAGTTTCTTGATTACATTGAAAAATTTACATCTATCAAGAAAGCCAAGAGTACAGAATCAAATTATACTGAAGGAAAATATTGCTTTTCTAGACCTTTAAGATAAAACATTTTAGCATCAGGCCACAACAGTGGAACCAGAGGAAAAAAGTTACAGAAGCTAATTTAGAAGCTGAAGGAGAGAGCTGTCATCTCAGACCTTCTCAGGGGGAGAAAAAGCTGAAAGCAGTGAGACAGCAATAGTTGAACTTCTGAGATATGATTCTGAGAAGCTTTTAAAAGAAACAGTTTCTAAAATTTTAAAAATCTCTTGTAATTTTATTAAGAGAAAAGTAATACCTTAAGAAAACCTTGTTTTAAGATAGGGGATCAATCTTAGAAAGACTATTAAAAATAATTCCCTTCTAATTATAGCCAACTTAATATATAAAATAGCTTTTGTAATTTTCCTTTTATGAACCTTATCATAACTTACATAGACCATTTATTACATGCTTGGACTTTCTGACTTGTCCTAAAATTTTCTGTTTTCTGAATAACTAGCCATTTTATTTTAGGATAAGAATTTACTATATAAAATCTTTCTCATGTAAAATTATTTGCTTGTTTTATAACTTTTTTATTATAAATACATTTTTGTATCCACAACTTTCTTTATATCTCTCTCCCCTACTCACTGATTCTTTTTTACCTTCTTTTAGAAATAACTTTTAAATAACCTTTGAATTACTTAAATTACTCTTTTTTAAAAAATGAGAACACAACTTGCAGAATTATATATTAGAATTCTTAGTAACCTTAAATTTTAGTGAAAACTTAGGAAGCAAGAAATCCTGAACTGTTTATCAGATGTTAGGATTTTCTGGATGAAACCATTCTACAATTTTAGAAATATGTTTTCCCATATCATAATCTTTTCTTAATTGGAAATGTCCCAGAAATCAAATTATTATCTATTGGATTGGAGCATCTATTATTTAATTCAAAATAATTTTAAGATTTTAACTTACACAAAAAGTCCACTTACAAGCATTTATCTCATTTACATGTATTCACCTTTTCCATTTCTTAATAGTTTATCTAGATTACTTCTGAAAACTGAGATATTACACAAAACTAATCATTATTTAAAGTTATTTCCGGGTCGGGCACGGTGGCTCACGCCTGTAATCCCAGCACTTTGGGAGGCTGCGGCGGGCGGATAATGAGGTCAGAAGATCGAGACCATCCTGGTGGCTAACATGGTGAAACCCTGTCTCTACTAAAAAAATACAGAAAAATTAGCCAGGCATGGTGATGGGCGCCTGTAGTCCCAGCTACTCGGGAGGCTGAGGCAGAAGAATGGCGTGAATCAGGGAGGTGGAGCTTGCAGTGAGCCAAGATTGCGCCACTGCACTCTAGCCTGGGTGACAGAGCGAGACTCCATCTCAAAAAAAAAAATTAAAAATAAATAATAAAGTTATTTCCCTATTAACCATTTTTAAAATCTGAACACTAAATGGTGAGCACCTAATTAAGAACCTTAAAATTAAATGTATTTGCTGATGACTCTGAAGATTTAGCTGTTTCATTGAACTAACAAGTTAGTCTTATTTGTCAAAAAAAAATACACAAAGATTATTCTGTTTTTGGTTGAGTTTAAAGTCTTAGAACCTTTATGTCAACCCTTGACACCTTTGTATACACACTGATACAAATATAAAACCACTTAGACAAAAATGTATGGGGACAATTCTGAAGACCTTTCTATTTTTATCAATAATTTTAAAACCACTTTTATTTATTAAAAATTCACATGCACTTGAAAAGCATTTGGACTTAATTTTTGAGTACTCATTTACTTATAAGCCAGTTTGATAACATGCTAGACACAACGCAGAACATAATACATGAATATTACATAAATATATCTAAACATGTATACATACATGCACAAAGAAATAACCAATAGCTTTTACCTTGGAACTCCAGCCATGAGACAGCATTACAAACTCACAGACCTACAAAAGATAGCTGGCTTCAAGTTCTTTTTCTGACAAAATTGGAACCTGTTCATATGGCCAAACTTCATTTGCCCTAATAGGTAATCCAAGGAAATTTGTGAACCAAAATTTTGGGTAAAGGAGTCTCTATGGCAGTTTTTTTAAACCGCTTTTACCCTTGTTATTTTTTATTTTCAGTTTCAAACAACTTTCCAGTGTTTACATTCTAGTTAGATCATAAATGAGTCCTAGCACCAGCAGCTTAGTAACAGCAGATTTAAAGCAGGCAGAAAAGAGGGGAAGAGGGAAGATAGCTTTAGAAGACTCTACTTAACTCTATAGCTTCAGGTTAACTATTTGAGCTCTAAATTTTTCTTGCTGTAATTTGCCCGTCAGTTTAAAATGTACACAAAAATGCACCATATGTAATCAGCTGCAGTCCCAAAGAGGATGACAAAATCAGGGGCCAGGATGTTGAAAATTGTTTTTTCTCTTCAGTACTGGTTTCCTGGTTTGAACAGGAAAAGAGAAAAAGAAAGGAGTGGAGAGGAGAAAGGAGGTCAGGTTTTATGGGCAGGAAGAGGAAAGAGAAAAGAAGGAAGGGAGGTTTATGAGCCTTCCAGCCACTGCACAGTACCCCTACCTCTCTTGTTTATCTCCTCTTAGGGAGAGCCTCAGCACCCTAGAACTGAAGGGTGTGGGATGAATCCCTCCCATTTCCTCAAGTCACCAGTCAAGGTAAACTGTTTCCAGCCAGAGGGAGCGAAGGGTGGTTTTGGCTGAGAAGAGTAGGGCTGTAGATGGCTTCTGAGATAATCAGGATGATGAAGTTGGAAAAAAGGGGAAAGAGAGAGAGAAAGAGAGACAAAGAGATCAGGGTGCACAAAGATCTCACACACGGACAAACAGGTGGTGTGCATCCAAACAAATCCCTGGTTAAGGGGCTGTGTAGACTCCGAAATCCCTCATTTCAGTTTCAAATGGCTCCCCCAGGCAACTGAGTCAGAACTGAGCAAAGGCCCAAGGGTGCAGCAAATACAAACAAAACCAATGCATAAAATGCTCATATAGTTTCACTGGCAGCCAAGTCTAAATAAAGCAGAGCCCCAGCGACACCCCAAAAGAGGCAGAAGGTGGTTGGGTACACTCTGACTAATGCACCTAGTTCCATAGTTTCTCAGCTTCTCCAGAGGTCACTTTCTTTGCACCAGTGAAGCATTGAAGGTAGCAGACACCATAGCAGGAAGAAAAGAGAGGATCCCTAAGACAAAAGAGTCTTGGCAGCTGCTGGGAAATTCCCTAATATCCTAGCCATGGGTCAGCTAGCCATCAGCAACTAGTATTCACAGGTGGCCCTATGCCCCATCTGATAGAAACCAGACTGGCAGGCTCAGGCCCTGGAGCATACAGCACTCACCATACGGGACACTAAAATTGTAACCAGCAATTGTAAGTGCTGATTGCATAGTTCAATTAACAAAAGCGAGGTCCAGTAGAGAGAAAGTGACTTCATTGACCAAAACTAATAATGGACAAGTGGCCAGATTCCCATCCAAAATAACCATGTCCAATTTCTAGGGAAAAGGCAGGGGGCTTTCAAAGGGAAACTTAATATGGGAGGCATGCAGGAGTTGTGCTGGTTACAAGGTCTGTGTGTCTTGTTTTGGTGTCTATCTTGGGTCTTTTGTGTTGTCCCATGTTGATGTTGGGGTTAATAAAGCCACTTTATGCCAGACCTTGCTCTTATTAATTGGACTCTGTAAGTGGCAAGCAGCCGGATTCCATTTGGTTACGACTGTATACTAATAGGTCGGTCTATCTATCTATGTATCTATGTATCTATGTATCTATGTATCTATCTATCTATCTATCTATCTATCTATCTATCTTATTTTATTTTTTTGAGAAAAATTTTTATTTTTTTGAGATGCAGACTAGCTATGTCACCCAGGTTAGAGTGCAGTGGCACAATCTCAGCTCACTGCAACCTCTGCCTCCCGGGTTCAAGCAATTCTTCTGCCTCAGCCTCCTGAGTAGCTGGGATTACAGGCACCTGCCACCATGCCTGGCTAATTTTTGTATTCTTTAGTAGAGACGGGGTTTCACCACATTGGCCAGGCTAGTCTTGAACTCCTGACCTCAAGTGATCCACCAGCCTCAGCCTCCCAAAATGGTGGGATTACAGGTGTGAGCCACCGTGCCTGGCTGGCTTGTCTATATTTGATAATTAAATTTGATGATTGACTTAAAAGTCAATAATATTTTTAAATAAAATGGTGTCAAAATTTATAAACTGTACTCAGATGTGCCAAAAATAAATTGCATTTTTAATTTTTTGGTAACCATTCTCATCTTGCTCTGAAGAATCCGTTACCATGTTAGGAAAGGGGATACCATGACAAAGGGAGACTTTAGGTAGCAAGTTATAAAGATGATTCCATACAGTTGAGCTCTACTGTATCTTTTGGGTAAATGTTTAGTCTTTCAGGGCTTCTCCTTTCTTCTTGTACCTTTCCAAAGCTTTTGGGTTAATGACTTTCAGTTTCAGTATGGGAGGGGGTTCCATCCCCTTTGGTAGACCGCATTTGCATAGAGATGAGGGTGTAAGGGAGACCTGTGTCAGGGCTGAGGAGGTTGGTAGTGGTATGTGCTAATACTCTTTCTCCTTAACTCTTCCACTAACTGTTATGTAGCAGCAGTTATTTCAGACCTGTGAAGAGCATTTAAAGTTGAAAAAGAAGCCATCTTTTTGCCCTCTACAAAGCCTGACTTTAAAGACTCGAAAAAGTTAGCTTTGGGCTTTGAATCTGAACAAAGACCTTTTAATTTTAGGCTGTATTCTTCTTTTTCCCCAGACATAAGGAAAATGCTTTGACTTTAATAGCTAAAAGGGTTTAGTGAAAGAAAACTGCTTAAGGTTAAGAGAAAATGCCTGAGAAGATAGCTAAATGTACATTGTTCCTTCAGCTTAGGAGTTAAGAGGATATGATTTCAAAGGCAGATAAAACTGGATTAAAAACCCGGTTCCCTTATTTATTAGCTCTGTCATCTTAAGAATGTTATTTGACATTGACATCTTTGAGCCTTGGTTTCCTCATCTTTGTAAAATAGGTGACTACATTTCTAAAATGAGGATTAAATTACTTAATGTATGTGAAGCATTGTGTGCTTTACACACGGCAGACACGTAAGTGATAGTTATTCAGCAGACTTCAGAATTGCTTTCAAAGGAAAAAAAATGAACATGACATTGGATAGGTTAGTAATGTTTAGGATATTTTATATACACATAAACATATATAAAATGTATAAATATATAAATATGTATTTCAAGTTTCCTTGGAACTTGAAATATATATATTTATGGATATGTATATGAAATATCATATATGAAATATATGGATATTATATATATGGGTATTTCAAGTTCCAAGGAAAGAAACATGTCCTGATATTCCCTCTAATTGAATTCATTGTAAGGATGCACAAGAAGTAAAAGAAAAAAGCAGGTGGGAAGTAGGGAAGAAGAGGAATTGCAGTAGTTGTGATAAGGTTTGGCTGTTTGGTAGCCTGAGTGTGAGTCTAATTCTTGCAGTCTGGAAAATCTTACTAACAGAAATACAGACTTAATAACTATTTCCTTCTAGTTGATCTGTATTGCCAATAAAGTCAAATATAGTAATAGAGTAAGATCAAGCTCATAATGTTATTTTAATGAATAAATGAGAGGTGGTGGGGTGATCTTGATTGTTTCTCCCTGTTTTTACTCAGGTAGTGAATGGAAAACCCGTTATGAGACACAACTTGAATTAAATGATGAACTAGAAAAGCAAATTGTTTATCTCAAGGAGAAAGTGGAAAAAATCCATGGAAACTCTTCAGGTACAAAACCAATCATATGTACATTTTATAATTTGAGTTAAAACTGATAAAACATTAAGTGCTCATATTTGATTTATTGTAGATAGACTATCTTCTATTCGTGTCTATGAACGAATGCCAGTGGTGAGTAGAAATGTGATTAAACACAAAGAATAATTGAAGGAAATTATGTCTATTTTTTCCAGACGTATTTCAAAGAGAAGTTTGAAGACTAGCGCAAGGTCCAAATAAACTGTTTTGTTCAAGGGATCTGTTTGAAGGACAACAAATAATTTTTGAGTAGCTATAGGTGGAGCACTAAGTTGCCAGCTATATTCACAGGTGTCCTGAAGAGCAGAGCATGTATAGATATTGCTTTTTGAATCACCGCCAACCTTCAGAGAAAGATATAGACAAATACTGTGTTTTTGCTAATAATGAATTGAGGAGAAATAAGTCCTTTTGCACGCTTGTTACTTTCAACCCAGACATGCCTTTATTTCCATATCTTGGAAAGTCAGGAATTTTTCTAACTCGAAAAATTGTTTTCCCATGTGCTGTCATAGAGTTATATCGCCCTCTTGTGGCATTTAGAAATAGTTGCTAGGGCTATGTTAAGCTTAGTGCCTTTTCTTAATTGCAGGTAGAATTTTATTACTACCTACTGGATATAAAATATTCTGTCTACCTGCTTCTTGATAACTGAGGCTCAGTCCTAGCTCAACAGAGTGGGTATCACCACCCTTGTGGAGAGTAGCAACAAGTGCTGGTATGACTTAGTAAAATACCTTAGGGCATATCTAAGGAGCGTTTAATTGGTTTTCTAACTACTACCTGAGACTCTGGAACATATTCATGTTGGAAAAAATACATTTATTTTCCTTGATGTATTTGTGTTATTTTTGAAGAAAATGTGGTTCTCTAAGAGATTTAATAATTTAGATCCAGAGACAGAGAATTATATTTCTCCACAGTAAAGGACTGAAGAAATATTAGCACAACGAAGAGTGGGACCACAGACCAAGCAGAAAGGAAAGAGAATGAAAGTTCAGTATAAACAGAACTGGTCCTCTCTATTCTCTGGACAGGTGCTTTCATGAGTGTTTGGTACTCATGAATCCAAGAGGGGTGTGTCTGAGCAGCAGAGATTAGAAATCTAATCAAGGAGTCAGCGATAGAAGTGTCCAATTACTAAGCAAAAAGCATTGGGATCCAACAATCCTATATCCAGTCAAGAGACCCTCTTAGCTAAGGACAAAACTAAGTCTTATTCTTTGATATAAAGAATAATATTTGTGAAATTCAGACATATAATTGTGTAATGCAGACATATTTTTGGCTTCCTGTTAAATTGACAATTAGGGAAAAGGGCTTAAATTAGTTGCTTTTGTGGGATAGAGTATGAATTCAAATACCATCTGTAAATTTCCCGATTCTTTATCCTTGTTGTGGATTGTTTAGTGTTTAGGAGTAATCTGTACAGACATACTTATGAAATTGATGTGTTAGTTTGAATACTAATTTTGAATAATTTCAAACTACAGATTTGCTTATGAGTAGCAAAAGGATGGGCACTCGTTGTTGACTAGTATATGTGTAATATTTTATATGTTATTTGACAAAAATGTATAAAATGTTATCTTTAAACTATATCATTAAAGTGGACTTCATTTTAATATAATTTTATCTCTCTTTTATTGTGGTAAATATACATAACTTAAAATTTACCATTCAGCATTTCTTTTTTTTTTGAGGGAGGGTCTCACTCTGTCACCCAGGCTGGAGTGTAGTGGTTCAATCTTGGCTCACTACAGCCTTTGCCTGCTGAGCTCAAGCAGTCCTCTCACCTCAGCCTCCTGAATAGCTGGGACTACAGGCTCATGCCACCATGCCTGGCTAATTATTGTATTTTTAGTAGAGACGAGGTTTCACCGTGTGTCCCAGGCTGGTCTCGAACTCCTGAGCTCAAGCAATCCACCTGCCTCGCCTCCCAAAGTGCTGGGATGACAGGTATAAGTCACCACACCCCGCCTGTTTCAGCCATTTTGAAATGTAAAGTTCAGTGTGATTTTAATATTTTAGAAAAAATTATTCACATAAGTGAGAGTGAAGCTTTAGTCTTTGTTCTGATAATAGGTTGGTGCCTCCAACTTTTTTTTTTCTTGAGGTTCACTTTTCTCCTCTGAAGGTAAGATACGTTATATTATCTTCTAAGTGTCTTTCAGTGGGGTAATTTATTAAAATTTTATTTTAGCATGATGTATCAAGGGTTGCATTTGGCAGAATGTAAGAGAAAGGTTTAAACAAGTAAAGTTTTTTTTTTCTCTTTTCTTTTTTTTCCTCATGTGACAGAAAGTATGAGGTTTGCAGTCCAGGGGTGGTGCAGTGGCTGTATAATGCCTTCAGGAATCCAGGCTTCCCCTAAGTTTCTACTCTGCCATCCATTTGTGAGTGGCTTTTGTCCTCGTGTTTAAAGATGGCTGCTTCGCCTTCTCAGCTGCTTCACGTTATCATTCAAAAAAAGACATAGGTGAAGGAGAAATGGTAAAGGTGAAAGCCGGTCACGTCTACTCCCCTTCAAAGAGCTTTCTAAGATGCTGCACCCAGTAATTCCCCTTGACATTTCATTGGGAGTTAGAACTGTATCATATGGGCACCTTCGTGTGCATGACAGGCTAGGAAATATAGTGTTTTACTGAATATACAGGAAGAAGAGAAGAGTGGATTGTGAGCGTACAGTTGGCTGTATCTGCCACACACAAAGTCATTTAAAGTGAAGGCATTTCATTTTATGTATTCATTCAATTCATTCATACATATTCGTTCAACATGTATTCAGCTGATATTATTTGGAAAATAAAAGGTATAGAAAAAGAATATCATAAAATCAAACATATCCACTGTAGACAGTTCTGTTTTTAGTAATTTTTGTATGCATACATATTGATTAAAAAGAACAACCAAATAAATAAGTCAGCCAACAAACAAAGTGAAAAAGGATTACAGCTAGTTTTTATTGTTGTTTAAAATATAATTATAACCTTACCGCATGGACAGTTTTGAATCCTATGCTAATTGGGGTAATTAAGTCAATTATTTCATATGTTATGTTCTCTTCATGTGCATTTTTCAATGATATATTATGTTCCATTGTGTTGGAATGTGAATGTTCAATTACTTTTCCCTATAACTGGGTATTTTAGGTTGTTTCTGGTTTTAATTTTGAGTTGAAACCCACAGAGTGTATTATGGCAAACAACTCCATATTCTAGTATTTATAAATCTTCAGATCTTTGTCCCTTTTTGACTTTAAATGTTTTAATGAAAACAATTTATAGAGTTGAGATCCCTTTTATTCTCCTCCCTGTCTTCTTTTTGTTTCCTTTTTATAGGCAAGGACTACCATGAATTTGGTATATATTATTTCAGTTTATTTTTAATATCTCTCTACATGTTGTATGTATAAAAATGCATATAAAAAGTATCATACTGTGCATATCATTCTTTTACTCATTATTTAATTCCATTCATGTTAATAAAGATCTAGTAAATTTTATCAGTTGTATAGTATTTCATTATATGTGTATATCCTTAGTATATTTACGTACATCATGAATTACGTAAATTAGCCTATTTACGTACATCATGAATTTTTCAAAATCTCACTATGACAAGCATTGCCACAGTGAATATCTTTATATGTGTCTTTCAGTGCAAAGTGTTCCTCTAGGCTTAGCAAACTTTTCTGTAGATGGATAAATAGTAAATATTTTCAGCATTGCAGTTGTATGATCTCTGATCTTTGTTGTAGCTATTCAACCCTGCTGCTGTAGTATAAAGGGAGCCATAGACAACACCTAATTGGTGGGCTGTATTCTAAAAAATCTTGGTTTACAAAAACAGGCAGAAGCTGAATTTGATCTTTAGGTTATAGTTTGCCAGCCTCTGCTTTAAGGCAGTGATCCATAAACTTTGGTAGGTTATGGAATCACCTAGGGCACTTCATAAAAATACAAAGGCCAAGTCCTGTCCTTCAACCTACTTGCCACCTCTATATTTTTATTAACTCTTCAGGTAATTCTAATAAAAAAGTTTGAGAACCACTGCTTCAAGTATACATGTTCTTAGAAGTGGAATTTTAAAATCATAAGATAGGTAGATTTTCAAATTATTATAAAGTATTTCTGGGTCAGTCTGTCTAAAGACACCCCAGCTCTACAGTTAGTTCAGTATGTCTGGAATAAATAAGAGGGATGATGAGCGATGAAGCTGGAAATAATATGCAGGGGCTAAATAATAAAGGGTTTGGTATTCATGGTAGGGAGTGTGAATTTTTTTTGTATATGATAAGAAGCTATTGAAATATTTTATATAGAGGTTGAAAGATCCTCCCACCCCCACCCCAACCACCATGAAGAAAGGATTCCTCAGGGTGGGTTAGAATTGAATCAGAGAAACCAGCTAGGATGCTTTTGTCGTAGTCTAGGTAAGGGAAGGTGGGTTTTTTTTTAGCTTGGGCAGTATTATATGGGGATGGAGCAGAGGAGACAGATTAAAGATCTATTTAGGAATGAGGATTTCATGAATACTTAGATATTGGGTAAGACTGCAAGAGAATTTAATGACAATTGAGAGTTTTGGCTTGAATAACTTCATGGATTACAATGAACAGGATAATAGAAATTGAAATTAGGATGTTAGGAAATGGTAAGTTTAGTTTTGTTTGTGTGTATTACACAGGTGATAGTGGTTTGGAAGCAACTGAAAATAGTTTTGGATTATGGAAAGTTGCTTCTCTGAAAACAGAGATCACCAAGTCATAAGTGTCACATGCAGTCATGAAACTACAAGGGATTGCTCAGGAAAAATATGCAGTCTGAAAAATAGAATTGAGGTTGAAACCCTGGGGAATGCTGACATTTAAAGTGTTAGGAGGCAATTTAGGGAATATTATTGAGAAGGAAAAATATTGAGAAAGGATGGGGGGACAACTGGAAGAATGGTATCACAGAAGTCAAGAAGGGGAAGGCTTTATGAATGTTCAGGAAAAGAATGTTCTAGAAAATTCTGCTGTAGGAGAGGATAAAACACGTTGTCCAGAGTTCAGGCAAATTATTCAAAAGCGAAGAAAGAAGTGCCAATTAGAGGCTAGGACATAGGAGAAAATGTGATGTGGTGTGTAGTGGAAGAGTAGGGGTGAGAAAATGTACTGAGTATAACCTATTTTCCCTCGAAACGTAGGTTTTGGAATCAGACCATCATGGCTCAAATTCAGACTATGGGACACTGAGGAAGTTATTTCATCTCTCTGAGGCTTAATTTCCTCATCTGTGAAATTGAGTTAATTAAACTCTCATGCAGGGTTACTGTGAAGATTATTAGAGATAGATAAAACAAATAACATAGTGCCTGACATAGTAAGCTCTGTTAGTTCCTGTTCTGTTTTCCCTTGATAAAGGAAAAGTACTATTTTATTAAAACAAGTCTGTTGTGAAATTAACCCCAATCAACTTGGAAGGGATAAGCATAAGGCCCAAAGATGTGCAATCTGTTTTCACTTATTAAGCTGTGCTGTTATATAAGTTGTGAATCTTCTGAATCTTTTGGTACCTTCTCAAAACTATAATAGAATTCATTAGATATTTAACATCTTTTTTTTTTTTTTTTTGAGACGGAGTCTTGCTCTGTTGCCCAGGCTGGAGTGCAATGGCACGATCTCGGGTCACTGCAACGTCAGCTTCCCGGGTTCAAGCGATTCTCCTGCCTCAGCCTCCCGAGTAGCTGGGATTACAGGTGCCTGCCACCACGCTCAGCCAATTTTTGTATTTTTAGTGGAGATGGGGTTTTGCCATGTTGGCCAGGCTGAACTCCTGACCTCAGGTGATCCGCCTGCCTCAGCCTCCCATTACAGGCGTGAGCCACCTCACCCAGCTGATATTTAACCCTCTTAATAAAAAGTGCAGAACCTTTACTTCCCTTGAGCTAGTTGGGTGTACATTTTCTAGTCTCTAACATGTGCATTCACCAAAACGGGACTTAGTGCCTACCTGAAATTCCTTCCAAGAATTTCCAGGTATGTTCAGCAAAGACCTGTAGCCATATTAATATATATTAAAGGTATATTCTTTTTTAATTTTAATGTTTAAGTTCTGGGGTACATGTGCAGGATGTGCAGGTTTGTTACATAGGTAAACATGTGCCATGGTGGTTTGCTGCACCTATCAACCCATCACCTAGGTATTAAGTCCAGCATGCATTAGCTATTTTTCCTAATGCTCTCCACTCCCCCACCCTACCCCCTGACAGGCCCCAGTGTGTGTTGTTCCCCTCTCTGTGTCCATGTGTTCTCAATGTTCAGGCCCCACTTATAAGTGAGAACATGGGGTGTTTGGTTTTCTGTTCCTGCATTAGTTTACTGAGGGAAATGGCTTTCAGCTCCATCCATATCCCTGCAAAGGATATGATCTCTTTCCTTTTTGTGGCTGCATATTATTCCATGGTGTATATGTACCACATTTCCTTTATCCAATCTATCATTGATGGGCATTTGGGTTGATTCCATGTCTTTGCTATTGTGAATAGTGCTGCTTAATGTATACTTTTATATACATTATGTATGTATACTAATGTATATTAAAAGTATACGTTCTGAGGATTTCCCCAGAAATTTGGTAGGTCTGGAGTAAGGCCTGGACATTTGTATTTTTTTGGCAGACCTCACAATAGGCTCTATTACAGAGCACAACTTAAGATCAACAGATATAGGGGATGTATATCCCTCAGAGAAAGATGTGGAATACAGCCTTGCTTGTGATAAGTTACTGTAATGGCTCTTATCAACAAGCCCCACCATATCCCTGTAGTCAATTGTATTGCAAAGTGGAAGTCCTATTCCTTGACTCATTCAGAGTCATAAAAGTGATGACCCCTATTTTTCTCTTTCTCTAGTTTTCCTATCAGTACCCTCCCCCTTGTCCTCCACTACACCCAGGCAGCTTGGATCCTTCAGGGAAATCTCTCACCAGTGCATATGCTTAGTCAGTCAGATGGATCCTGTTCCTAAAGCTAACAAGACTAGCTGGTGGTGAAAAGAATGGGGGAGAAGGTGTAGAAACAGAGAAACATTATTTAGGAAAATACTTAATCTCATCTCAAACATTCTCTGGAAGACTCTTGATCAATTTGTAGAAAACCAATTCACAGGAAGCCAATTTGCCGAAATCCAAATCCTTGAATATGTTCTAATGAATATAATTTTATTTAGTAACATTTTAATAAATGTTTGTTGAAAACCCAAAACTTACGGAAATCATTTAGCATTTAGTATTATTATTGAAAATATTCTTAGAAAAAGAGTATATTTCAGGTTATAAGTTCACATATATGAATGATTTTCCTTAAAGCGAATTTTTAGTAAATTTGGAATCGTAGGTAGATTGGTCTCCCTGCAAATTAATCCTTTGATGAATTGGCTTTTTGAAATATTAATCTTTGCCTGTTTGTCTATATTCCCTTCAGACATATGTTTCAGCTTGCCATAGGACAAACAGGAGAAGAACATATTACAAAAGCAAGAGAAGCCTGAAGAAAGAGATGGTTTTAAGTCTTAGTTCTTTTAAACCATCGGGCCATTGTTTTTATCACACACCTGGCTCTTCAGAGAAGCAAGACTCTCCCCTCTATTATTCTCTGTTGTGGTCCATGTCATGTCCCACTCTCTGACTTCCAGTCTTATTACTCATTGACCTACTTATCTTTTCTTCATCCTGTTGCCCCACACCATTTTCCTGACTGTGATACTAATTTCTTTACCATGATTCAGATTCTTCTTTTAGCTGTGCTGCCTGATGGACATCCAGCCCTATTTGGGTCTTCCTGGGACCCATTACCTCACTGTACACCCAATTAGTCATGCTCCCACTGGGCTCACTGTGGTAGTTTATGCCTTTTGAAAATTCTTAGAAATGTTGTTTTTAATGCCTGATAACCAGTCATTAAAATTAGTGACACTAGAGCACTATTGACACGTGTAAGTATATATTTTTAAAGTATTGAGGTTATTAAAATGCTATAATCTCTGAGACTGCCTCCTGAGGTGTTCTGTGGACAGCCCTCACTGGGTTTGTGTTCTCTCCAAGATCAGAATGGTCAATTGATAGGTACATAGCTTCAAATCACAGACAGAAAAGTTAGTTTAAACAGATTTTATATGCAAATCTAGTAACAGTGCTGTCCACAAGGGGGCATTTGGTATTTAAGAATGTAGAAGGCTGTGTTCTTTCATTGTTGCAGTTGCCTATATTGAAAAGTACTATATATATAGGAGCTGTGCTTAACTACATTGTATTCTCCTGTTTTTTCTTTTGTAAGCGTTCAGTGGAGTGATTTTTTTTTTACTTTTTTTTTGTGTGTTTGTTAGCAATCATTGGTTTAAAAATAATATGCAGGCCGAGCGCGGTGGCTCACGCCTGTAATCCCAGCACTTTGGGAGGCCGAGGCGGGCGGATCACGAGGTCATAGATCGAGACCATCCTGGCTAACACGGTGAAACCCCGTCTCTACTAAAAATACAAAAAATTAGCCGGGCGTGATGGTGGGCGCCTGTAGTCCCAGCTGCTCGGGAGGCTGAGGCAGGAGAATGGTGTGAACCTGGCAGGCGGAGCCTGCAGTGAGCAGAGATCGCGCCACTGCACTCCAGCCTGGGCGACAGGGAGACTTTGTCTCAAAAAAAAAAAAAAAAAAAATGCAGCTAATGGAATTTTCTCTCTGCTTTGGATAGAGGTGAGGGACTTTTTTAAAAACCTAAGTATACTTTATTTCAGGTGTGTAAACAGTATCTTGAAATTTCTTATTCTTACCCTGTTGTTTCAATCTACTCTTGGAAAATGACCTTTAAAAAGCAAATTAAAACAAGATCGTAGGTGAAATATGTTATTGCTTGGAATGCTAAGAAGTTATTAGTGTCAGAAACAAAACAAAACAGCTCTTTTATGATAATAGAATTAGCTTTATGTATATGATTTTCGTTGTTGTTAATATCTAGTAGAATTTTCAGTTTAACTGTGGCGTTGCTTTGTCTTTCCAGGCTGCAGTTTTCTAGTATATTACCATTGATTTATATAATCAGATAAAAGCAGCTCCTTGGGAAGATCAAGAACATTAAGTTATGAACAGTCCAGTGAATTGGAAGTGATGGAATGAGAGAGTCTGTTCTTCTGTTTTAAAGATATCTAGTTCATTTTGGAGTCAGTAAAATAAGAGGGAACCTTAAAGTTATTGTAGTACAATTTTATACTTTTCAAGGATCTCTGGTATGTATATTTATAAGTGGATAATTACAAATATCTTCTTGTTAATGGTCCAGGTTACTTCATGATTGCTGTCGTTTTTGCAAAATCTATAATGTGTTTTTGTCGTCTCCCCAGGATAATTTATTTTTATGCTGGCCTTATTCCCATGAGATTGCCACAATGAAACATCCTAACTTCCTGAGTTATAGTATAATTTCAAAGCATAGTATGCCTAAAACACAACTCATAGGAAGCAGGTATAGAGAAGGAGAATGAAGTGGGTTATTCTGGGAATTCTGGGCCACACCAGCTGTAACTGTGTGTGGGGGCAATGCTGAGGCTAACTGCAGAAGAGAAAATACTTTGTGTCTCTCTGTTGAGCCTGGAGAGAATGAACACGCACAGAGCTGGGAGACAAAGTCATGTGTTAGAGGCTGGAGGAAGAAACCAAGGTGTTAAAGCTTAAAGATAATAGTGAAGAAAGAACGAAGGACAAGGCACGAAGACCACAACTGCTATGAAGCTGCTTCTTAATACATTTTCCACATGGTGCTTATAAAGCTTTAGAAATTAGTACATTACAAAAAAATTTTAAATAAAAACATTGATGGAATTTCTAACTCAAATACCAGGGTGGGTTGTTAGCAATCTCAAATGTGATCTATTTTAGAATTCACAGTTTTTGAGTATAAAATTATTATTTTTAAATCTTGTAGAATAGTAGAAATATTATTGAAGCGTAGTATTATTGTGCTTTAAAAAATGCAAATGTGCATAATTAGAATGTTCCCCATTTTAGTCAAAACATTTTTTGCTTGTGAAGCTAGTAAGTAAGGCAGTATGTGTGTGGGGCCTCAGGATATTTTTTTTATAACTATTACATCATTTGGTGTGTTCACTCTTACATGCTCCTATCTCACAAACCCATATTCTTCCCATGTATAAAACTCCTAAAGTACTCCCACCTGACAAAATCCAATAACAAATGTAAAATTGGAAAACTGTGGGTATAATTGGTGTAAGTAAAATCATAATTTTTTATCATAAATCACCAAAATAGGTGAAGTTGAGTTTGAATTGTGAAGAAAATGTTAAGAATAGGCACCCAGGGGCCTACTTTTACATTTGGATATGATATTTATTAGACAAGACATGATAGCTGATCATTGAAATTAATGGATAAGAAGAAATCTCAGCAGGTGAGTGATTTAAACAAATTTTGGAAGGCTCATAGCTGGAAGAATACAAATTGACTTGATAGAAGTTGAGGAAACAACAACAGAGTGCCTGCAGAGAAGAATATCAGTGAAAATAATGCATTCACTCTTCTGACCTGCTTAGTGCTTTAGAACTTGGCAGGTATGGAAGAAGGTGGGGGTGAGAAAGGAGCTGAAAACTGGGAGACAGTTGAAGATGAACACATGGAACAGTTGGTCACTGGGACCCCTCTGCCATCCCACGCAGCTGGGATACTCTCCTTCAGTTAGGAGTCTATTTTCTGGAGAAATTAAACTGCAATAGCTCTTGTACTTTGGAGTTTCAGACACAGAGACATGTGAGTGAGATAGAGGTCTAAGAATGATGGGATCAAATGAAAATATGCCGTTTGAATAATGGAACTCTCAGCTCTCTTCTCCTGCCCTACTCCATAAACCAGCAGCTAGGATTAAACCTTATGGGGTAGGAGATTGGAGGATTCTTCAGCAAAAAACCTGAAATGCCCTTTAGAAAAGTTAGTGTGTTGATTGGGAAGAAATAGGAAGAAAAAATGAGAGAAAAAATAATTTAAAAAAATAGAAAAGTTAGTGTGGTGACCCAACAATGAACCTCACAGACTTCCCAGGACAGGAAGGTTAATTGAGGACCCTAGGTGCTGGGCTTCAAAAAATTTTTACATGTGTTACTACTTTTGTATCAGGTTTATACTTCCTAAGGGCTATTCTCTGCCTATGATTAAGTGCAGTGGAGCTACTAAAGCAGACCCATTACTGCGAAACATGGGACTCCATTGTTAGCTGACTTCAACTTAAAGTTCCCTGATGTCTTTTTTCAAAAATTTTTTATTTCAATACATTTTGGGGTACAAATGGTTTTTTTTTTTTGTCACATGGATGAATTATACAGTGGTGAATTCTCAGATTTTAGTGCACCCATCACCCAAGTAGTGTACATTGTCCCTAATGTGTAGTTTTATTTTATTTTATTTATTTATTTATTTTTTTAGTTTTTTTTTTTTTTGAGACGGAGCCTCACTCTGTCACCCGGGCGCGAGTGCAGTGGTGCAATCTCGGCTCACTGCAACCTCCGCCTCCTGAGTTCAAGCGATTCTTCTGCCTCAGCCTCCTGAGTAGCTGGGATGACAGACATGCACTGCCACTCCAGGCTAATTTTTTTGTATTTTTAGTAGAGATAGGGTTTCACCATGTTGGTCAGGTTGGTCTCGAACTCCTGAACTCGTGATCCGCCCGCTTTGGCCTCCCAAAGTGCTGGGATTATAGGTATGAGCCACCATGCCCGGCCACTAATGTGTAGTTTTTTTATCCCTTCCTTCCCTCCCAGCCACCCCCTTCTGCATCTCTAAAGTTCATTATATCACTCTGTATGCTTCTGCATACTCAGTAAAGCTCCCACTTATAAGTCAGAACATACGGTGTTTGGTTTTCTACTCCTGTGTTACTTCACTTAGAATATTACCCTTCTATTCCATCCAAGTTACTGCAAAAGACATTATTTCATTCCTTTTAATGCCTGAGTAGTATTCCATGGTGTATATATAACCACATTTTCTTTATCTACTTGTTAGCTGAAGGGCACTTAGGTTGGTTCCACATCTTTGCAATTATGAATTGTGCTCCTATAAACATATGTGTGCAAGTGTCTTTTTTGTATAATGACTTCTTTTTCTTT
This sequence comes from Homo sapiens, assembly GCF_000001405.40. Taxonomy (NCBI): domain Eukaryota; kingdom Metazoa; phylum Chordata; class Mammalia; order Primates; family Hominidae; genus Homo; species Homo sapiens. Next base: position 36,271,415 of record NC_000013.11, on the reverse strand, counting down.
GGGTAGATATCCAGCAGTGTGATTGCTGGATCACATGGTAGATCTACTTTTAGCTGTTTAAGGAATCTCCGTACTGTTTTCTATAGAGGTTGTACTAATTTACATTCCCATCAGCAGTGTATAAGCATTCCCTTTTCCCCACATCCATGCCAACATCTATTTTTTTTTGACTTTTTAATAGCCATTCTTGCAGAAGTAAGGTAGCATCTTTGTGGTTTTAGTTTACATTTCCCTGAGGATTAGTGATGTTGAGCATTTTTCCATGTTTGTTGGCCATTTGTATATCTTCATTTGAGAAATATCTATTCATGTCCTTTGCCCACTTTTTGATGAGATTGTTTATTTCTTGCTGATTTGTTTGAGTTCCTTGTAGATTCTAGATTCTTTATCAGATGTGTGGTTTGCAAATAATTCCTCCCGTTCTGTGGGTTGTGTGCTTGCTGTGATTATTATGTCTTTTGCTGTGCAGAAGCTTTTTAGTTTAATTAGGTCTTATGTATTTATTTTTGTTTTTGTTGCATTTGCTTTTTGCATCTTAGTCATGAATTCTTTGCCTAGGCCAATGTCTATGAGAATTTTTCCAACCTTGTCTTCTAGAATTTTTATACTTTCAGATCTTATATGTAAGTCTTTGATCCATCTTGAGTTGATTTTTATAGAAGGTAAGAGATAGGGATCCAGTTTTATTCTTCTACATGTGGATTGCTAGTTTTCCCTGCACCATTTATTAAAAAGAGGGTCCATTCCCTAAGTTATGTTTTTGTATGCTTTGTCGAAGATCAGCTGGCTGTAAGTATTTGGTTTTATTTCTGGGTTCTCTATTCTGTTCCATTAATCTATGTGCCTGTTTTTTATACCAGTACCATGCTGTTTTGGTAACTATATCCTTGTAGTATAATTTGAAGTCTGGTAATATGATGCCTCCAGAGTTGTTCTTTTTGATTAGGATTGCTTTGGCTATTTGGGCTCTTTTTTGGTTCAATATGAATTTTAGGATTTTTTTTTCTAATTCCGTGAAAAATGATGTTGGTATTTTGATGGGAATTGCATTGAATGTATGCATTGCTTTGGGCAATATGGTCCTTTTCACAATGATTATTCCAATTCATGAGCATGGGATGTTGTTTCCTTTTTTGTGTGTTTCATCGGTGATTTCTTTCAGCAGTGGTTTGTAGTTCTCCTTGTAGAGATCTTTCACCTGCTTTAAGTATATTCCTAGTTGTTGTTTTGTTTTTGCAGCTATTGTAAAAGAGATTGAGTTCTTGATTTGATTCTCAGCTTGGTCATTTTGTTGTGCAACAGTGCTACTGATTTGTGTACATTGATTTTGTAACCTGAGACTTTACTCAATTTGTTTATCAAATCTAGGAGTCTTTTGGGAGGAGTCTTTAGGATTTTCTAGGTATACGATCATGTCGTCTGAAAACAGCAATAGTTCGGATTCCTCTTTTCCAATTTGGATGCCCTTTATTTCTCTCTTGCCCGAATGCTCTGGCTAGGACTTCCAGAACTATATTCAATAGGAGTGGTGCATGTCGGCAGCCTTGTCTTGTTCCTGTTCTCAGGGAGAATGCTTTCAACTTCTCCCCGTTCAGTATGATGTTGGCTGTGGGTCTGTCATGTGTGGTTTTTATTATTTTGAAGTAAGTCCCTTCTATGTCTAGTTTGTTGAGAGTTTTTATCACAAAGTGATGCTGGATTTTGTCCAGTGCTTTTTCTGCATCTGTTGAGATGATCATGTGGTTTTTGTTTTTAATTCTGTTTTTTGTGATATATCACATTTATTAACTTGCATATATTAAATCATCCTTGCATCCCTGGAATGAATCCCACTTGATCAAGGTACCTTATCTTTTTGATGTGCTGTTGGATTCAGTTAGCTAGTATTTTGTTGAGGATTTCTGCCTCTATGTTCATCAGGGAAATTGGTCTGTAGTTTTCTTTTTTTGTTGTATCCTTTCCAGATATTAGTATCAGGGTGATACTGGCTTCATAGAATGATTTAGGGAGGATTCCCTCTTTCTCAGTCTTTTGAAATAGTTTCAGTAGGATTGATACCAATTCTTTGAATGCCTGGTAGAATTTAGCTGTGAATCCATCTGGTCCTGGGTGTTCTTATTGTTGTTGGCAACTTTTAAATTACTGATTCAATCTCATTGCTTATTATTGATCTGTTGAGGGTTTCCATTTCTTCCTGATTTAACCTAGGAGGGTTGTATGTTTCCAAGAACTTATCCATTTCCTCTAGGTTTTCTAGTTTCTGCACATAAAGGTATTCATAGCAGCCTCAAATGATTTTTTTTTTTTTATTTGAGTTGGAGTCTTGCTCTCTCACCCCGGCTGGAGTGCAGTGGCACAATCTCAGTTTACTGCAACCTCCACCTGATGGTTCAAGTGATTCTCCTGCCTCAGCCTCCCGAGTAGCTGGGATTATAGGCATTCACCACCACACCCAGCTAATTTTTGTATTTTTAGTAGAGATGGGGTTTCACCATACTGGCCGGGCTGATCTTGAACTCCTGACCTCAAATGATCTGCCCACTTCAGCCTCCCAAAGTGCTGGGATTACAGGCATGAGCCACCATGCCTGGCTTGAATGATCTTTTGTTATTTCTGTGGTGTTGGTTGTAATGTTTCCAGGATCATTTCTAATTGAGCTTATTTGGATCTTCTCTCTTCTTTTCTTGGTTAATCTAACTAATGTTCTATTTTGTTTATTTTTTCAAAGAGCCAGATTTTTGTATCATTGATCTTTTGGGGTTTTTTTGTTTGAATTTCATTTAGTTCTACTCTGATCTTGTTATTTCTTTTCTTCTTGTAGCTTTGGGTTTGGTTTGTTGTTGTTTCTCTAGCTCCTTGAGGTATGACGTTAGGTTGTCAATTTGTACTCTTTCACCTTTTTTGATACAGGCCTTTAGTGCTATTAACTTTCCTCTTAGCACTGCTTTTGCTGTATACTAGAGGTTTTGATAGCTTGTGTCATTATTATCATTCAATTCAAAGAATTTCTAAATTTCCATCTTTATTTCATTGTTAACCCAGATATCATTCAGGAGCAGATTATTTAATTTGCATGTATTTGTATAGTTCTGAGGGTTCCTTTTGGAGTTGATTTCTAGTTTTATTCCTCTGTTGTCTGAGAATATACTTGATATGATTTCAATTTTAAAAAATTTATTGAGATTTATTTTGTGGCCTATCATATGGTCTGTCTTGGAGAATGTTCCATGCGCTCATGAGAAGAATGTATACTCTGCAGTTGTTGGGAAGAATGTTCTGTAAATATCTGTTAAGTGCATTTGTTCTGGAGTGTCATTTAAGTTCATTGTTTGTTGACTTTCTGTCTGAAAGATCTGTCTAGTGCTGTCAGTGGTGTATTGAAGTCTTTCACCATTATTGTGTTGCTGTCTCATTTCTTAGATCTAGTAGTAATTTTTAAAATTTAAACATTTTAAAATGTTTTATAAATCTGGGATCTCCAGTGTTAGGTGCATATAAATTTAGAATTGAAATATCTTCTTGTTGAATTGATCCTTTTGTCATTATATAGTGACCATCTTTGCTTTTTTTTAATGTGTTATTGCTTTGAAGTCTGTTTTGTCTGATATAAGAATAGCTACTACTTCTCACTTTTGGTTTCTATTTGCGTGGAATATCTTTTTGCACCCTTTTACCTTGAGTTTATATGAATCCTTCCATGTTAGGTGAGTCTCTTGAAGACAGCAGATATTTGGTTTGTGATTTTTTAAATTCATTCTGTATTTTTTAAGCAGAGCATTTAGACCATTTACATTCAGTGTTAATATTGAGATACGAGGCACTGTTCTCTTCATCATATTAATTGTTACCTAGATAGTTTTTTTTCATTGTGTTATTGTTTTATAGTCCCTGTGAGTTTTAAGGTTTCAAGAGGTTCTGTTTTGGTACATATTGGGCTTTTGTTTCAAGGTCTAGAACTCCTTTTAGCATTTCTTATAGTGCTGGTTTGGTAGTGACAAATTCCCTCAGCATTTGTTTGTCTGAAAATGACTTTATTTCTCCTTCATTTATGAAACTTAGTTTTGCTGGATACAAAATTATTGGCTGAGAGTTATTCTGTTTAAGGAGGCTGAAGATAGGACTCTTATCTTTTCTGGCTTGTAAAAATATGAAATTCTTCATGAATTTGTGTGTCATTCTTGCACAGGGACTATGCTAATCTTCTCTGTATCATTCTAATTTTAGTATATGTGCTGCAGAAGTGAGTACTCTTGGTTGGCTTTGCCAAACTTTTCCTAGACTACATTACAGCCTAGGATGCTTTTGCTTTCAGCCAACCTTCTCTCACTGTCCTTTACTAGGGCTAAGACTTGCATTACTGTCAGACTGCTCTCCTGGCCTCCTCCTGCTCCCTCTCTATTTCCTTTTACATGGGCATATCTGATAACATGATCCTTGTACATGTAATCCCATCTTAGTGTCTGCTTCTCAGAAGACCAGTTCTAAAACTAGGAGTATGGATAGTGATACGAGAAAATAGGAGGTAATTTGTAACTGGCTCACTCACCATGTAGCAGGATCTGTTCTGATTGGTAGGTGTGACAGCAATAGATCCTGGCCCAATGTGGCAGTTCACTTCATAAAGATTGCACTGATGATGATCTTGGAAAATGTCCTGTTGGAGTAGAATACTGTGGAAGAAGCCATGATGCAAGCATTTGCTGCTAAGTTGTATTGACACCCTACATAAGGATAATGAGAGGCTGAGAACTGTTAACAAGTATGTGAAACGAGAAAGCCTTGGTGGTAGCCTCATAAGAGGCCCTCTATACCAGTAGTGGAAGGGTGGACAGGGTAAAACAACAGGCTAAAGACCTAATTGTGAGAGTTGCAGAGCTCCAGAGGCATCTGAATGCTCAGCCCAGGTAGGTCTGTTATGTGAAGGACAGGGCCCTGATAGGGATGACCAGGGATCCTGAAAACTCTGACAGGACATCTGGATAGGTGCCCCTAAGGATCTGGAGTCTACAAGTCTACCTGAACCCTCTGGGTGTGCAGAGGTGGCCCACCCTTCCCTAATAAGGGCTAGAAGAGTACCCACTGTCCTGGAAGATGCTGCGGAGGCCTCTTCCCAACAAGACAACTGGTTTCCCCCTCAGGAGCTGCACCCACCTCCTCCCCTGCTTGCCAAGCCAATTAAGAATGGTGCTGTTCAGCATCTCTAATTAAAGAAAGAAAAGCAAGAACAGAGGAGCAGGAGGCTGAAGACAGTCAGCCCAGTGGAAAGCATAATTCTTTACTCATTTCCCAGACCTGAACTAATTTCCAGAACCAGAAACTACTGACCAAAGAAGTGGCTGGATTCCTAAGAAGGGCCCTGCAATACTAGTCAAAGTTTATATTATGACAGTATCCACAGTCCTCCCAAAACGGACCTCTGGCCATTTACACAGGTGACTGTACACTGAGGAAACGGAAATAACTAGATCTCTCAAGGATGATTGAGCACAGGGTCTGAGTTAACGTTGATTCCTAGAGTGGAAATCTATGACCAAATTCCAAATCACAGTGGGCTCAATGTGCCCACAGACTCCCCTACCCCTGCAGTGATAACTATCTCCATCACCAAGTACATAATTGAAATAGATATACTTGACAGTTGAAAGTTACCCCCTTATGGGTCTCTAATTTCTGAAGTAAAAGCTATCATGGTAGGGAAAAGACCAAATAAAAACTTCTGAAACTGCTCCCTTCATCAGATCAAAATTGTAAATCAAAAACATCTCTTATCCCAGGGAAGACAGTAGCGATTAGTGCCATAATTAAAGACCTAAAAGACGCAAATATACTGCTGCCTAACATAGCTCTCTTTAATTTGCCAGCCTAATGGCTGCAGAAACTGGGTGTCTTATGGGGAAAAACTGTAGGCTACTGCAGACTTAAACAATTAGTAGCCTCATTTGCAGCTACTTTGCCCGATGTGATATCACTGCCAGAGTAGATTAATAAGGTTTCAGTTACAGGCTGTGCAGCCATTGATTTGGAGAATACATTCTTTTCATTTCAGTTAGAAAAGGTGATCAGTTTGTGACTCCTTGTTTCAACTAGAACGTGTATATATCTTGAAAGTTGTCAATCTTGTCGTCACAACAAGAAAATGGTGATCAAACTGAAAATCAATGACTTTTCTTGGACCCATTAGAAAATTGAATTTGCAGGGCAAACTCCTACCCTGAAATCTGGATAAACAGACAAAAGTGGACGGTCACAACTGAGATCTGTTTACCTAAAATGAGAGCTGCTAGAATTGTAAACTGGTAGGTGCACCTAAATGGTAATTTTGATAAATTACTGGAGGAAGAATAGACAAATCCATTATGAAAGTTGGAGACTTCAACATCCCACTGTCAGTGATTGATAAATCAAGCAGGCAGTTGACCTGAACAGTGCTACCAATCAACTTGATCTAACTGACATTTATTGAATATTCCATCCAACACCACCAGAACACAGATTCTTCTCAAGCTCACATGTAACATTCATCAAGACAGACCACATTCTGAATCCCCTATTAGATTCTCAGCTTCATGAGGACAGGGTCTGGGTTTGTAATTTTTAGTGTGCTATCCCTAGCACAATGCCTGACACATAAGAGGTGCTTCATAGCTAGTTTTTGAATAAATGAATGAATTGTAAAATTAGGCTACGAGACAAGGAATCTAGTCAGGTTGGGAATAGCAGCAAGATATAGTCTAAGTCACAAAGGAAGTACAGGTATATTAAAAATTTTTAAGCCTCGAGAGTTAGAATTGCAAATTCACACCTGAAAGTAACAGAAAACATCCTCTGTCAGAGAGACTGCCACTTGACTAATATTCCTAAGTCCCTATTTTCATCATATCTCTTCTTTAATAACTTGGAATAGCTCCCAGTTCTTAGACTCCTGAGCCTAACATGTTAAGCTTTCTTTATCCAGGTCCTTCCCTAGGTATCCTACTTTTTTTTTTATTTATTGCTCAAATATTTTGCTTCAGCTGTATCACTCTCATTAAATAATCATTTCTGATTCAAGCCTGTGACCAGTATATAGCTCTTTCATCTCACTTTTTCCATCTAAATCCTTCTCATTTTAGGGACTCTGTAGCCCATGTTGATCAACTTCTTTTAAAAACTTCTGAAGTATTTATTGTGTATGTTTCAGATTTTGGCTTTTAATCATATATTGCCTGTATTTTTAACTGCTATTTTGAATGTACTTTTTTTGGGTATGAATTTCTAAAGTTTTGAATCCCATCTAATTCAGGTTATCTTTAATGCCAAAATAATTTGTGTTTCAGAAAGTTATTTGTAAGCTAACTTCTTTTAGAACTTAGAATACATTTTCCATTAAAACTATACTAAAAAGGGTTGGATTCATTTTACATCTATAAATGTATTTAACAAATTATGTAACTGATCTATGTTACTATGGTAGCCTAAACTTGGAATTCTTGGAGCAAGCGTCCATGTGGCAGAATTTTGAACTACCTCCCTCACCCCCTGATTATCCCTTCAAAAGCTCTTCATATTGAGCAGTTTATTTCATAGGGCTTTAATTTTCTATAAAATGATTCAGTTTAGCTTCTTGCATATGTTTACCTTTTATTGATTTTCTTCTGGAGCAAATTTGTATTTGGGGGAAGGGAACTGGAAACCATTCATGATACTAGTGTGTAATTAATTTTTGAAGAACAATAATACCTACCTGAGAAATATCACCCAATTATGTTTTAACAGGGATGTTAGTCAAACATATATAGTGAGGATGTGTCATTTCTGAGGGACTTGTTTTATCACTAGAATTATTTTCAGAGACTGGAACTTGTCCTGTTTCACCTAATTATTCTCTTAATATAATTTTTAAAATTCTAATAATTGTTAAGAAGTATCTAAGAGAGAATAAAGTGTTTAGAGAAGTAGCTGTGTTTCAGGAAGGTATGAGCTCTAAAATATTTTGCAGTTTTGCTTTGTGGAGATATAAATCAGCTGCTTCCATTTTTCTTTGAATGATTCTTTTAATAGATTTAGTGACCTAGATCATGACCAATATAATTGAGAGAATTTGACTTGAAGATTTTTTCCCTTTAATTTGCAAGAATGTGAGAACTAATTGGAGTTACTGAAAATGATCAGTTATCAGTTGGGGATTAAATTTTAAACCAAATGAGTATGTTATTGCTCTGACCTCTAACCCTTTTTTTCCTCTACTTTCGTACCAATGTTTTGGGGAACTTGATTGTAAATTCAACACATACTATAGCCTTGAAATTCCTCGAACTGCTTAATTCTATTAATCCCTCCCTCTCCTACTCCTTTTCAGCAACCCAGATACCATGGCCAAACCCTGGGCTTTAACATCTCCTTTGTAGAGGGCATTTTGGTTTGGTTTGACCAGCATTCCCTTTGGCTTCTTCTAGGACAGAACTCACCTCCTTCTGCAAATTGTATTTTCTCCTTCTTTCAGTCATATGCTTTATACCAAAAGAGTTTTCACTGCTTTATATGTCCCCAGAGCTCATTAGTCTAGAGGTGGAGACCTTACATAGACTGGCCAACCACAGTATCTCTTAGAAAAGAGATACCCCCATCACTGATCCAGAGCTGGGCACAGAGACATAGTTCAAGAAAGCAAGGCCACTAGCTCTGGACCTATAGTTAGATGGCCCTTTTATGCACAGAGCAGAGCCCAGAACATACTTCCTAGGTAAAAATCATTCTTTAAAGATGCTATGCTGGGCTATCCAGTATATACCAATCTTCACCCCTCCAGCCACCTTTATCCTTTCAGTTGGGGCAGGGGATCTTCAGGTTTTCATGATTGAAGGCTTGAGCCACAATTAAAAGCATATTTGAAGCATGACTTGAATTCCTAGGTATAGTTCAAAGCTAGTAGTACTTCTATTTATTTAGGTATTAGAACTAATCTTTGTGGCACATGTTAGAGGAGTCCAAGACTACCAGGACAGGGCCAGTAGGAGACTAGATCTAGCAGTAAATCAATATATAATGTACTTTCACACCCAGAAGGAGATGGAGGTGTTCATCATTGATCAGGTACTGGCACAGTCATGCTGGTACAGTTCAAATAGCATTATGTGAGATTGGTCAGGCTGGCCTTAGAAAATTATTTCCACCCATCTCCTTTTTGTCTAAGGATGAGATCACATACCTCCCCAAGGGCTGTGTATTTGGTAATCTGAACACTATGTGCTGAAGTGTTGGCAGAGGAGGTTTAATTGTTAACATAAGTCATTTCTGGGTGGTAGATTCAAGTTGGGTGGGGCCAAGCATTTCTGGGCAGCACTAGAGGGGTAGACAGTTATTCCTCTATATGAACTTCCTGAAAAAGTTTCTGACATGTGACAGTCTCTCAACAGGGGCACCTCTTAATGGTTTTCCCAGAGTATAAGAGAAAACTAAAAAGTGTGGGATGATTAAACAACCCAGACCTAAGCAGATTTAGAGTAAATTGGCATCTGGGTCTACTGGGCTAAAATCAACTGACGAATTTACCTGAACTCACAAATGCACTGCAGTAAATTCCAACCAGCAAGTTCCCAGTGGCATGTTTCTAATGTTCAGTTCTGTGATCACAGGGCAGGCTCTGGAGGCAAGTCTAATCATAAAGAATACAGCTTTCCTACGGAACAGGCACATGTTATCTTCTAGTGGTAGTGTGGGTTTTCTTTGCTATGAATTAGCTCTATGCCTAGCATTCTGCCTTCAACTCATATGCTTTGAGCCCCTAATTATGCTAGGCTGCCAGTCTTGGATATCAACCAGTTGAGTGTCCAGCCAGTCCCACCTGAAAAGGATAGTAAGATTGTTTTTTTGGCCTAAAGGAGCCCTTTTGAGTGAAAAAACAAACAAACTTCCTTCTCAGAACTGATAGATTGCCAAATTATGTTGCTGGCTGAGGCACTGTGGTAGGAAAGGTAAAACTATCAGGAACACTTGTCAGGATGAATTGTTGCTCTTTTGAGGTTGGAAGGCATCTTGTATAATCAGCTTGCCACCAAGCAGCTGATTGATCTTGAAGGATGGCACAGTAACAGGGGCTTATGTTGTCGTCTCTTATTGGCAGGCTAGACATTGAGCAGCAGCAGTACTAGATTAGTCTTGGTGGGAAGGGACCCATGCTGTTGAGCCAATGCAAAGTCGCCATCTCAGCCACTGTGGTTACTGTTCATGAGCTCATTGTCCACCCACTGGGGTGACCAAGAACAGAAACCAGATGCTATCTCCTGGTTAAGCCTTTGGTCCACTTGGTTTAATGCCTCTTACACAGTGGGTGCTCTCTGGTGAAAATTACTGCGCAATACAGGGATTTCACCCTTTGTTCCCACTTTTATAGGACCATCCACATACCTCTTTCCCAGATTTCCTCATCCCCAGTTATCAAGTCAGTACAGATTTCTGCCCTCAGTGAATGTTGGCCAGGTAGAAGGATTATTAGATTCTTGAAAGCTTTTCTACATTTCTATATGTGATACCCAGGAAACCGTGTACTTCTAGGTCCTCTCTGAAAAGCTAAAACAGATGGGGGTAGGAGGCTCTTATGAAAAGTAGCATTCAGAAAAGAAAGTTCTAGAGTTTGTGAGGGATGCACTAACACAAAAAATGAAAAACAATATGATCACGAAAAGGAGATTATTTATCAAGCCAAAGAAGTGGAAGAAGTAGAGTGGTAGAATAGGCACTAAAGGAGAATTGTGAGGATATTACAGAGTAGACCAGTTGTAAGACCTTAACCTAGATACTCCTCATCACAAGTAGCTGGAGTTTTTTACATAAGGGTTTCCATACATTTGTTTTACTAATACCAGGAAACTAGTGTAACTCAGATTGGAAGATAACAATTATACATTTTAATTGTATATTTCTCTAACAATTTATAATCATGTATATATATGGTATTACTGATGTGGATCAAGATAATTCACTACATTCCATCTTTTTATAAAAAAAGTGCCATACACTTTTTCCTATATTTGGATGCCTGTTTGATCCTGTTTTTGTAGATTTCTAAGTTAGTTTTCACCAGGAAGTAAAAATCGACTGAGAGTATACAGTTAACAGTAGGACATCCTCTTTAAATGTCTTTGCCTGTACCTCTTTTGTTACAATGGTAACAATAAAATGAACACACATATAATAATTGTTTACCCTCTGTTGCCTTTGGAGTCATTTTACCTGGGTTCACGTTCCAGCTCTACCATTATTAGCTGCGTGTCTTTGAGCCAGTTATGTAATCTCTATAAGCTGCAATCTTCTCAACAGTTAGATAGAAATATATTAGCCATTTCAACTGTAATAAGGATTAAATGAAATAATCTATGAAAAGCATTTAGGCCCAGGGCTCCCAGAGGCATGGAGAGGGACTGAGCTGGGGCAGGCCAAGGAGGCACCTCCATTGGAGCAGGCCATGCCCGAAGGCCACAAACTGCCCACCTGCCTCAGGCAGGCCTGTCAGCCACCCCTCCCCTCCCTGCGCCCAGTCCCTGGCAGGGCCAGAGAGGCCACCACCTGGTGGGAGTCTGGAGAAGATGAGGCAGGAGAATAGGGTCTGGAGACAGGGAGCCTAAGGCCAACCTGCCTCTGACTTCTTGGAATTAAACCTAAAGGAAAACTTCAACCTTTGGTCACGAGCCAAGTCTTCACTTCAGCCTCTGATTGGTCGTGGGCCAAGTCTTCACTTCAGCCTCTGATTGGTCGTGAGCCTATCCTTCATTTGCATAGAGTGTAACTCCACTTCAGCCTCTGATTGATTGCAGGCCATGTCTTCAGCCTCTGGTTGGTCGTGGGCTGTCTTCATTTGCATAGTGTGTAACCAATTGGAAACCTCTAAAGGGTGTTATCAAGTTCTTTTAGTTAATAACCCCAGGGAACATACTCAGACCTCTTGAGCCACTTACTTAAGCCTGCTTCACTCTGTGGAGTGTCCTTTTGCTTCAACAAATGTATGTCGCTGTCGTCCATTGCTTTGTTTGAGCATTTTGTTCAAGTCTTTGTTCAATACACCAAGAACTTGGACAACTGGCAGTCAAGACTTTCCATCCGGTAACAATGGGAAACCAAGAAGCGCTTCCTGGGGGAGAGCTCATAATGTTCCTGAGGGAAGCCACGACAAGATGGTGGCTCTGAGGGGGAGACAGGGACCAATTGACTCAGCTCATCGCCAGGGGTCAGGACGCTGCCTTCTAATTCCGCCATCCTGCTCTCGGCCCTCACTATCATGGCGGCTCTCATCACTTTAGTCCTGCTGCCTACATAGACTGTGGTATCCGAGGGAGCAGGATCCTGGGAGTCCCTGGAGCCTGCCTTCTTGGAAAGAGCAGGGCCCCAGCACAGGAACACATTCTAGATGTGCCTGCAGGGAGCAGGATTCCTCTGCAGGCACTCATCCCGGCAGCTTCAGGCTCTTGGTTTTGATTGTTTTCACACCTGTGACAGATGACATGGCCAGTCACACTGTAATGTCTGGAGAAACTGTTAATGGAAAGGGGTCCCGATCCAGACTGCAAGAGAGGGTTCTTGGATCTTGCACAAAAAAGAATTAGAGGCAAATCCGTAGTGTAAAGTGAAAGCAAGTTTATTAAGACAGTAAAGGAATAAAAGAATGGCCACTCCATCAGCAGAGCAGCCCCCGGGGTGCTGGTTGGCTATTTTTGTGCTTATTTCTTGATTATATGCTAAAGGAGTGGATTATTCATGAGTTTTCCGTGAAAGGGGTGGGCAGCTCCTGGAAATGAGGGTTCCTTCCCTTTTTAGACAGGTAAATTCCTGATGTTGCCATGGCATTTGTAAACTGTCATGGTGCTGATAGAAGTGTCTTTTAGTATGCTAATACATTATAATTAGCATATAATGAGCAGTGAGGATAACCAGAGGTTACTTTTGTTGCCATCTAGGGTTTTGGTGGGTTTTGCCCCATTTCTTTACTGCATCCTTTTATTGACCTGTACCTTGTGCCAACCTCCTATTTCATCCTGTGATTAAGATTGTCTAACTTCCTGGGAATGCAGCCCAGTGGGTCTCAGCCTTATTTTACCTAGCCTCTATTCAAGATGGAGTTGCTCTGTTTCAAATGCCTCTGACAAAAACCTCTGTAGGGGAGCAGGACTCAGCAGACAGGCTGTGGCCCAGACAGCAGCTGCTGAGCTGATGGAGCCTGCACCCACCCAATTTGGCCAAAGAAGCCCCCATACTCTCCTTGAAAAAGATTTCCAGAAACTGTTGTGTCAATAACAGTCTCAAAAGCAAAACCACCAACACTGAAGATCATTCTAGAGTCTGATTTGAAAACTAGGGTCAAATTCTGCAGAGGCTTTCAAGTGGCAAAAAAATCACCCTAGTAGCCAGATCTGCGGTCTCATCCATCACACCAGGGAAAATGTTCCATTCGCCATTCCTCAGCTTCTGGTTCTGGTTTCTGAGTTCTGTCTATATTGGAGGGCTTTTAAAGCTAGAGGGACTTTACCCACTTACTCATTCACAGATCTGAATATGGAGGTCAAGAGGGGAAGTGACATGTCCTAAGTCAGAGTAGACAACAAAATAAGACAATGACTGAGCCCTTAGTGTATACTGGGCACTGGCTAGCTACTGGGGATATGGAGATGAAGAAAACATAGTCCCTTTTACAAGGAGCTCAATCTAGTAAGGTAGAAAGATTTTTTCTTTTTTTCTTTTTTTTTAGTTGGAGTCTTGCTGTGTTGCCAGGGTGGAGTACAGTGGTGTGATCTTGGCTCACTACAACCCCCGCCTCCCGCGTTCAAGCGACTCACTTGCCTCAGTCTCTCGAGTAGCTGGGACTACAGGCGTTTGCCACCACACCCAGCTAATTTTTGTGTTTTTAGTACAGACGGGGTTTCACCATATTGGCCAGGATGTCTCGATCTCTTGACCTCGTGATCTGCCTGCCTCGGCCTCCCAAAGTGCTGGGATTACAGGCATGAGCCACCACGCCCAGCCGGTAGACAGACTCTTTGTAGGCAGGACCAGGCTTCCCTGAAGCAGAAGGAAACTTGAAATTAGGGTAATGAACCTCACCAGGGATGGGCCACCACAGTGCCCTGAGAGGATTGTGTGGACACAGGGCTATGAGATAGCCCTGCTTTGACCTTCTAGCTGTGCTGTAGGGCTAGATGGGGCCTGAAATGGCCTGAGCTAGGGGCTGCCATGAGCTCTTTCCACTCCCCCAAGGCATTGCATAAGTAATGTCACTTTCTATTTGTACAGCCAAATCAAGAACACAGTTTTCTATAACACCGGGTACCTCCCCTATCCCCAGCTCAATAGGTGGTCTACCTGGTCGTTAGGCCCTTGTTTGTGTTAAAGACAGAACACTAGTGGTCAGCTGTGGCCCACAGGCCACTAGCAAATGGAAGCAGAGCTGCAGAGCCCTCAGGAGCCAGAGAGCACCTCTGCCTGCCACACAGTGCCTACCCAGCTGCTGCTGGCCCACCTGTGGGCAGTAGTAATTAGTGATGTGCAGAATCCTGGGACTAGTGCCAGGGAACCTATGGACACTCTGGGTGATCAGACATGTGCTGCTGTGGTGGCCTTTATGATCAGGAGATGACATGCAGTGAGAAGAAGGGAAGAGACAGCCCAGAGGGGTTCAGCCCAGGGTGAGGTCCACAGAGAGGCCAGGGCCAAGATGTGGCCAGCACCCCAGGCCGGTGGGGGCCTCATATCACCCATGCTGGAGGTCAGTCCTTGATCACTCAAAAACCTCTGCTTGAGGGGTTCTAAATGAAATGAGTAGGCCTTCCCTTCAGACGTGACTGAGTGATATGGTTTGGCTCTGTGTTCCCACCCAAATGTCATCTTGAATTGTAATATTCCCACATGTCAAGGGCAAGACCAGATGGAGGTCATTGATTATGGGGGCTGTTTCCTCCATGCTGTTCTTGTGATAGTGAGTTCTCACAAGATCTGATGGCTTTATAAGTGTCTGGCATTTCACCTGCTTGCTCTCATTTTCTCTCCTGCTGTCCTGTGAAGAGGTGCCTTCCACCATGATTATAAGTTTCCTGAGGCCTCCCCAGCCATGCAGAACCATGAGTCAGTTAAACCTCTTTTCTTTATAAATTACCTAGTGTCGGGTATTTCTTCATAGCAGCATGAGAACGAACTAAAACAGTGAGCTGAGAAAAGCGTGAAAAAACAGGCCTCCTGAACTTCCCTAAGTGACTGATGCAAATCACGTCCCTCACACTTCACAGCATGCTGGAGATCTTCAAGGGCAAACTGCAGATGATCTGAATGACAGCACTGACCATCAGCAACCTGCACAGCTGCCCAGCCAAGAAATTGCAAGATGGAAGCAACGCTTGCAGGCAAAGAAGGAGAAGGAAAGGCTGGAGCAGGCCAAGACAGGAATGAAACAGCCCACATGAATATTGGAGTGGGACAACTGACCTCCCTGGCCCACACCGTGCTGAGCGCCCTGCATCTGGTCAAGGGTGGTAAGAGACTACGTGGAGGACGAGGACTTGGCAGTGAATGGGGATTGGGGAAGCAGGACATAGTGGGTCCTCTTCAGCGTCCTGGCCACAAGTTCCTCTGAAGACTGTGGATGACAATGGTAGCTTAGGTGCATCCTTCTTATTTCCTGAGGGGATGTTGGAGAAGCAGAATGCAATTATGGGAAGAAATCCAAAGAAGGAAAGAACTCACAGGACAAGTCCAAAGTCTGATCGGCAAGCAGGCCTCTTTTTTTTTTTTTTTTTTATGGAGCCTTGCTCTGTCACTCAGCTTGGAGTGCAGTGGCACAATCTCAGCTCACTGCAACCTCTGCCTCCTGGGTTCCAAGCGATTCTCCTTCCTCAGCCTGCCGAGTAGCTGGGATTACAGGCATGCGCCACCATGCCAGCTAATTTTTGTATTTTTAGTGCAGACAGGGTTCGCCATGTTGGCCAGGCTGGTGTCGAACTCCTTAGCTCAAGTGATCTACCCGCCTCGGCCTCTCAAAGTGCTGGGATTACAGGTGTGAGCCACCACACCAGGGAGCAGGGCTTTCTGCAGGGTGCAAGGGCACAGCCTGTGGGAGAGTTCCCGAAGCTGTAGCTGACCCTCCCCACTCTATCTGAACTGCATGGAGAACGCATGATGGGGTCTCAGCAGCAGTCCATGGAGGAGGACACCTACTGCCTGGACCCCGACCAGAGACTTCACAAGGTGCATGAAAACTTGAACTGCTTGTATCAGACTGCTACAAGTTGTTCCTAGAACTGGCCCAAGAATTGAAGAAAGACACTTCCAGTTTTCACAGCAAGACCCTCTTCCTTGAGAAAACACCTCAGGAAAGCTGGATGACCGCCATGTCCACTGAGAGAGCACTCTGGGCACTCTGGAAAAAAAAATGACCACAACAGGCAGAAGCCAGCTAACTGTGAGGCCAAGTTCCTGCCCCCACAGGGGCCAGGAAGTGCCAAAGGAACCTGGAAGTGCCAGGGCCCCCAGGAGGGAGGCAGGTCACGATGTGAGGGCTTGGGTCCAAAGCACCAGCTGGTTTGATTCTGTTTTCCCTGTAGCCAGGTCCTGAATGCCCACAGCCTCAGCAGAACATCAGCCAGTGCTGCTCCTTTGAAAGCACTTTTGATTGATCTCTTGTTAGTTTAGCTACTATTCATTAGTCGATGTGGAAATTGCCCTTATTGAAGTTTGATAGAGAGTGTTAGGTTTGTACGATACCGTTTTTCAAATAAAGATAGTTTAATATGAAAAAAAGAAAAACACTTAGTACAATACATGACATATTGTTAGGGTTCAATAAATATTGTGATTATTACTATTACTTAAAAAGTACACATTAGCCCGGTGCAGTGGCTCACGACTGTAATCCCAGCACTTTGGGAGGCTGAGGTGGGTGGATCACCTGAGGTCAGGAGTTTGAGACCAGCCTGGCCAACATAGTGAAACCACGTCTCTACTAAAAACACAAAAAATTAGCCTGGCATGGTTGCAGGTGCCTGTAATCCCAGCTACTTGGGAGCCTGAGGCAGGGGAATCGCATAGACCTGGGAGGCGGAGGTTGCAGTGAGCCAAGATCATGCCATTGCACTCCAGCCTGGGTGACAGAGTGAGACTCTGTCTAAAAAAAAAAAAAAAAAAAGTACATATCATAGAATTATGAAATCACAAAATATTAGGTATACAAGGCATTTACTAGTGAAGAAATTGATGGTCATTTCTTATTTTGTTTAGAACATGAGTACATATAAAATTTTACTATTTATATTTTTAGGAATCCTTAAACACATTACTTAAACAGCTAGAAGAAGAAAAGAAGACTCTTGAAAGTCAAGTGAAATACTATGCACTTAAACTGGAACAAGAATCAAAGGTTTGTTTTTACTCTATACTTAGCAATTCCTTTGAAACTGCCATTATTTCTAATGTTATCTACAAACCTACTCTATAATTAACACAAAACTATTTCCTACACTATAGAGACATACACCTTAACTTAGTCTTGCTAGTATTGCTAATCTTCTCATATGTTGGACCCTTTGCTTTTGTATCTTCACACAGGCTTACCAGAAGATCAACAATGAACGCCGTACATACCTAGCTGAAATGTCTCAGGTAACTCTTTTTTATTTCCAAATTCTAAGTGTTTCTTCTTACTGTAAATTATGTTTTTCACTTTTCTAGGTTTTGTTTTTGGTTTGGGAGAGAAGCAGATTTTGGAGTTAAGTTTCTAAATATGGAGGGTAGACAGGAAAATATACAACTTGTATAAAAAATAAAAAGGGCTGGGCACTGTGGCTTAAGCCTGTAATCCCAGCACTTTGGGAGGCTGAGGTGGTCGGATCACGAGGTCAGGCATTTGAGACCAGCCTGGTCAACATAGCGAAACCCTGTCTCTACTAGAAATACAAAAATTAGTTGGGCGTGGTGGTGGGCGCCTGTAGTCCCAGCTACTCAGAGGTGAGGCAGGAGAATAGCTTGAACCCAGAAGGCAGAGGTTGCAGTGAGCCAAGATCACACCACTGCACTCCAGCCTGGCTGATAGAGCAAGACTCCATCTCAGAAAAAAAAAAAAAAGTAAAAAGGACATAACAGTTTTCCAAATTAAGAGGTTATTTTTTGTATTTGCTTCCTTAATTATCCTTTTAGTTTCACCACTAATCACTAGAATTCAAACAGGTAGCTGCTATCTCTGGGCTATCATGAAATTCAAGGCACTTCACTTTATAATTATGCATGGTAAGATCTCGAGAGATGGAACTTTTGTTAGTAGAAGTGCGTACTTATAAATACAGGACAAAGAGGTGATCAGTAAATTATGAAAGGTGTTGCATCTATTTTCAAGCTATCCATTTGCCTTTCAGTTTTATTTATGATATCGTTGGTATTGTAGAGTTTTTGTTTTGAGGTTGTCAGAGCTATCTTTTATTTATGATTTCTAATGTTACAGTTAAAAAGACCATCTCAATGTTTCATAGCATTCACCACATATTTTAGTATTTGTATAGCATAATATCTGACGTTTAAATATTTAATCAATATTAATCTTATTTTGGCATATGTTTTAAGATTAGGATGTAAACTCAGTTTTCAATGTGTGTTATCCAAATGGAAGTGTCCAAAGAGCAGTTGGATATATGACTCTCAGGAAACAAATAAAGATTTGAAAATTATTAATTTCAAATTATTATATAAAATTTCAAAATTATTATATAAAAAGTGAAGTCATTGAATGAATGAAATGCTTTGGGGAGAATATACAGTGGGAAAAGAAGAAATAGTCTGGGATATTGCTCTGAAGAAGTTCAACAGTGACAGTCAAGGGAGGAAGAGCCGAAAAGAGGGTTGGAGTCCTGAAGACATAGCTAGGTCAGACAAGGAGGTAGAGGATTTTGAGGATGGGAGTGGCATGCAGAATAATCTGCTAGTCACTGATCCAGAATATCTAGAGGGATAATGAAAGGATTGAGAGGAAGGGCATTAGGTTTGGGGATTAGAGCTAATGGGGGACATTTAGAAAATTTTGAGAAAGTCAGTTCTATTGTTGGTAAAGGGAAGTATGTGTTGTAGTGTTGACTAAGGTAAGTAAGAAATTGAGACAAGATAGGATAAGTTCTTGCATTCTCTTGTCTGTAAATGGATGATTAGCTCAAACTTCATGTTCCTTGATACTGGGCTGAAGGCACTGGTTCCTCCTAGATCACAGGCATCTTTATGCCTTTCCTCAGACTATGTGCTTGGAATGTGCTCCTTCTCATACATGCCAATTCCACATCCTTCAAGGTCTAGCACAAACACTACCTCTTTATGGGGCCATGACATGATGAAAAGACCAGACTGTAATGGCATTGCAAATCTGAATTTGAATCCCAGCTCTGCACTTACTACCATGTGACCTTTCTGGGCCTTAATTTCCTTCCTCACCTGTGAAAAGGAAATATCAGTATCTTGCAGGGGTTTTGTGAGTATGTAGAGAAATAATATGTGCGAAGTGCTGGTTGAAGTTTCTGACACATAATAGGTTTTAAATTCCAGTAAATGGTGAATATCACTTTCCTGTGTTTCTTTTCTGATTTTCCTAGCCCCTCTCTGTGACAGGGGCACCAGAATTTCTACTTGCCTTAGCCTTCCTCTTGGTCCCTTATTGCTGATATATCTGTTTGCTTCACTCAGCTGTAGGTTCCTCCCTGAGGTCAGTCAGGGTGACTCATGCTTTCTATTCCCTTTCACAAAGAGTGGCAAAAAGCAAATATGCAAAATTATTTACTGAACTGAACATAAAATAGAAATGTATGCTCATAATCATAAGCCCAAGTTATTAAGAAAAAGGTGATATATAAAACATTGTTGGAGGATTTTTTTTAAGGTTAAAAGTAAAGTCTTTTGTCCCCAAAGCATTCATTTACCTTAGTTTATATGAAAAATTCACTTATGTGAAATAATCCTACTCTGACTCCGCAGGATCACTGAACATATGATAAAAGCCTATTTTAACAGCTTCCCAGGAAGATGTTAATACTGTCCCCAGTATAAATGTTAAAGATTTTCACTCTAGAGTGAATTGTTAATCTTTATAGTGAAGGACAGTTCTAACCATGTGGATACTACGGTGATTGGAAAGGTTAATGGATGATTTGCAGTTCTTCCCATGCTGAATACATAAATAATTGATTCATTGGTAGATAACTAGAGCTATTTGCTGAGTGTGCTGTTTATCCTTCTGCTGCTGTCCTCTCTGTAGCTTTGTCTCACTCTTGATTCACTGTTTTGAATGAAACTGAGTTTCCCCCTCTTGGGAGTCTTCTGATATGCACAACATAAGTACAATACGGACATTGCTTTTTAACACATAGGTACGTTGCATTACTTAAAAGTCAGGCAGAAAGACCGATTAGAGCTTTTTGCAGCACATAATAAACTTAAGTTTTAGCTTCTATCTTTGTAAACATAGGATTTTAGCAATGGCTCTGAGAGATTGAGGAATATAATGCTTTTAGCTCACAGATAAGGAATCTGAGGCTTTTCTGTTTCATTATCGGGAAGTTCTAATTGTTAAAATTGTTAAAACATCATATGATGCCTCTTATTCTCTTTTCCTGAAACTTCCTTAAAATCCACTGGTTTTAGTTACATCCTCTGAAGAATAAGAACAAGTCTACACTCCTGCAAGATAGTTTTTCAAAGATTTGTAAATGACTCTCAGTCTTCCCATAGGTTTTTGTTTTGTTTTGTTTTCTAAGCTAAAATATTAAGTTACATTAGCCATTCCTCATAACATAGGTTCCAGACTGCCCAGGTATTTCAGCTGCCTTTTTGGACAATTCTGTTATTGTTCATTTAAAAATGTGGCTGCCTAGGTTTAAATGTAGTACTTAGGTTTAAATTTAGTACTTTAGATATAATGTCAACAGCATAGTTACCAAAGTCTTAACTAACTCTGCCACACCCATTTTTCTTCTCTGCTGCCTATCATTCTGAAATACAGATACAATAGTGTTCTTTCCTGTTAAAAACCTTCAGTTTGCATTACCCAGAGGATCACAGCAAAGCTCTTTTGGTGTGGTCTCTGCAGGGTCCTCTTCAACTTGGCTGTTCCTGTCTCTGCAGCCATATCCCTGCTAATATCCTAGACTGCCGTTAGACCAAATGCTATGTGCTATTCCTGGATATATCTGCTGCTTTATACCTAAGGTCCTTACTGTTACTTTTACCTAGAATATTCTTTCCTTAGTTCTTAATTGGCTGCTCTTCCATGTGGAGTCCCCCATACCCTCAATTAGCTACATCTCCTGTATGCTTGCAAAGCACCTGTGCACATCTCCATCAAGGCACTTAATTGTAATCACCTATTTATTTTGCTGTTTCCCCGATAGAACCATAACCCGTTTGTCTTTGTACCTGAGTGCTTAATGTAGTGGCAGCATATAGTAGATGCTCAGTAACATTAGCTGAATGAATGAATGAATTCTATTTTCTGTTCCAATATACCCAAACCTGTCACTCATATCAAATGATCTAATATCTTAGCTCACACCCAAAAAGAGAATCTATCAGGTGTGAAACCCAATTTTCCTCCTTTTTATTTTCAGATTTACTATCCTGTTCTTCCTGTCTTAAAGGAAAATGATCCCAAACCTCTTCCCCAGTCTTATCTGCTGTCTCTAGGACTTACTTAATAATATCCCTTCGCATATTTTTAATCTCTCTTTTACTGCCTTTGGCTTATCCTTTGCTTGTGACATGCTCAACTCTTCCACCAAAACAAAATAAAAACAAACTTTTACTTTACGATTAACTGTCCTCATAAAACTACCACCTTAGCTTTCTTTTTCTCAGCCAAACTTCATGAATAAATGAATATACTCATTGCCATTGCTTTTTAGTCCTCTATCTCTTTTCATTTCTCTTGTGACCCCGCCATCATGCTTTCGCCTAGTTTATCTCTTAATAGCCAAATACAGCAACTCCTCTTCAAATTTGGCGAAGCATCTGTGAGGCATTTTACACTGCCAACCATGCTCACTTCTTTGAATACTCCCCACCCTCCCTGACTTGACTTCTATGATAGTAGTTTTTCCTGGGTTTTCTTATTGTTTAAATGATGGCCTGTCTATCTTTGGTAATTGTCCTATCCTTTAAAAGTTGCTTTCTCAGTTTGTATTATTGATTCTCTTACTTCTCTGTGTACCCTCAATGAATGATCTCATTCACTCTTGGCTTCATTTGCCATCTCTAAGATCATCATTCTCAATTGTTTCTGAATTGCAGATTACATTTACACTGACCACTAGAAATTTCCACTTTTATATCCTGGAGGAATTTCAAGATAGGCAAAAATGAAAATATTATCTTGTCTTTCTATTTCTGCCTCAAAATACTACAGCTTCTATTGTCTTATCTACTGTAATGGCAGGGTGCCTGCATTATCTATATTTAGTGTCTACTACAAGAAGTTTTAATGATCTATACCACATAGGTGATATGGTTTTCACAGTTTCCTCTGTATTTTTTTTTTAAGTCACATGGACTGTGGGGCTGAGATAGGGGGATTTCCAGAATCTTTAGAGGCTTGATAATAATGGAGAAGGCCAGAATTTCCCATTTTTCTCAGCTTCTCTTACACATGCTGCAAAAGAACCTGGTTATGGGAGAGTTAATTGAGAATTGACTGTCTCTCTTATTTCTGAAATCAATTATGAACCAAGGGGATAAACACTCAAATTTTTGTATTTCAGGGTTCTGGTTTACATCAAGTTTCTAAAAGGCAACAGGTGGATCAACTGCCTAGGATGCAAGAGAATCTAGTGAAAACGTAAGTCTAGCTATATATTTTCTTTCTAATTCGTTACATTTGCACATAAATGCCACTGACAAAACAGGTGTCCACTATATTTTGGAAGCTGAACTTCTAGGTTTTATAGCAACAATATAAAATTGCATATGGTAAGAGAACTTAAAGAAGTTGTGATCTGTTCCACTATTTATACACATTTTTTTTAGATCCCAGATACATTTTTGGTCCTCAAGCACGATAATATATTATTATATTATTTTTTAAACTAAAATAATATGTACCTAGGAGAACTTAAAACTACACCATTAACAACAACATAAACACAGGCATACCTTGGAGATATTATGGGTTTGGTTCCGGATCACTGTAATGAAGCAAGTATCACGATGAAGTGAGTTACACAAATTTTGGGGTTTCTTAGTATATATAAAAGTTTTTTTTATACCATTACTGTAGTCTATTAAGTATGCAATAGCATTATGTCTAAAAACAATGTAAATACCTTACTTTTAAAAGATTTTATGCTGAAAAATGCTATTGATCATTTGAGCCTTCAGTGAGTTATAATCTTTTTGCTGGTGGAGGGTCTTGCCTCAATGTTGATGGCTCCTGATGGATCAGGGTGGTGGTTGCTGAAAGCTGAAGTGCCTGTGGCAAATTTTGAAAATAGGGCAACAACGAAGTTTGCTGCACCGATTGACTCTTTTATGAAAGATGTCTCTGTCATATGTGTTGTGGTTTGATAGCATTTTACCCACAGTAGAAATTCTTTCAAAATTGGCATAGTCCTTTCAAACTCTGCTGCTGATTTATCAACCAAGTCCATAGAATATTCTAAATCCTTTGCTGTCATTTCAAAAATGACATCACAGCATCTTTACCAGGAGCAGATTTCATCTAAGAGACCACTTTCTTTGCTCATCTGTAAGAAGCAACTCCTCATCCATTCAAATTTTATCATGAGATTGCAGCAAGTCAGTCACCTCTTCAGGCTCTACTTCTAATTCTAGTTCTCTTGCTGTTTCCAAAACATCTACAGTACTTCCTCCACTGAAGTCTTGCACCCCTCATAGTCATCTGTGAGGGTTGGAATCAACTTCTTCCAAACTTCTTTTAATGTTGACATTTTTCTACCTCCTCCCATAAATCACAAATGTTCTTAGTGGCATCTAGAATGATGAATCCTTTCCAGAAGGTTTTCTTCCAGACCCATCAGAGGAATCACTATCTATGGCAGGTATAAACTTATGAAATGTATTTCTTAAATAATAAGACTTGAAAGCTAAAATTACTCCTTGATCCATGGGCAGCAGAATAGATGTTATGTTAGCAGGCATTTAAACAGCATTTATCTTCTTGTGTATCTCCCACAGAGTTCTTGGATGTAACCAGGTACATTCTCAAAAAGTAGTAATATTTTGAAAGGAATCTTATTTTCTGAGCAGTAGGTCTCAACACTGGGCTTAAAATATTCAATAAACCATGCTGTAAACTCTAAACTCTTGTGCTGTCATCTGGGCTTTGTTGTTTCATGTATAGAGTACAGGAAGAGTAGGTTTAGCATAATTCCTAGGATTTTCAGAATGGTAATTGAGCATTAGCTTCAACATAAACTCACTGGCTGCATTAGACAAGTCAACCTGTTTTTTGATGCTTTGAAGCGAGGCATTGTCTTCTCCTCTCTAGCTAGGAATGTCTGGGTGATATGGCTTTCACAGTTTCCTCCATATATATTTTTTTAAAAGTCACATGGACTGTGGGGCTGAGATAGGGGTATCTCCAGAATCTTTAGAGGCTTGATAATAATGGAGAAGGCCAGAATTTCCCACTTTTCTCAGCTTGCATCTTTTTCCAACAGAAGGCTGTTTTGTGTACATTGAAAATCTGTTGGTTAGTGTAATCACCTTCATCAGTGATCTTAGCTAGTTCTGGGTAACTTGCTGCAACACATAAGACATATTTAATTCCTCCAGCAAAAAATTGCAGCAACAGGTGTGACATCAGCACTTACTGCTTCACTTGGCATTTTTATGTTATGAAGGGGGCTTCTTTCCTTAAACCTCATGAACCATCCTCTGCTGGCTTCCAGCTTTTCTTCTGCAGCTTTCTCACTTCTCTCAGCCTTCATAGAATTGAAAGGATTTAGGGTCTTACTCTTGATTAGGTTTTGGCTTAAGAGAATATTGTGGTTTCTTTGGTCTTCTATCCAGACCACTCACACTTTTTCCATATCAGCAAGAAAGCTGTTTTGCTTCCTTATCATTTGTGTGTTCACTAGAGTGGTGCTTTTAATTTCTTTTAAGAATCTTCCCTTTGCATTTATGCCTTGGCTTAACTGTTTGGCACAAGAGGCCTAGCTTTCAGCCTGTCTCAGCTTTCAACATACCTTCCTCACTAAATGACTAAGCTTATCATTTCTAGCCAAATTAAAGTGAGAGATGTGCAACTCTTCCTTCTACTTCAACACCATAGTAGGGTTATTAATTGGCCTAATTTCAATAGTGTTGTGTCTCAATGAATAGAGAAGCCCAAAGAGAGGGAGAGAGACCCAGGAATGGCTGGTTGGTAGAGCAGTCAGAACATACATACCTTTATTAAACAGTTTGCTGTTTTATATGGGCTTGGTTTATGGCTCCCCAAAACAATTACAGTAGTAACATCAAAGATCACTGATCACCATTAACGGATATAGTAATAATTTAAAAGTTTGAAATATTGTGAGAATTACCAAAATATGATGCAGATAGGAAATGAACATATGCCATTGGAAAAATAGTGCTGATAGACTTGCTTAACACAGGGGTGCCACAAATCTTCAATTTGTAAAAAATGCAGTATCTTTGAAGCACAATAAAGTGAAGCATAATAAGACAAGGTATGCCTGAATAATTACAGCATCAGCCCTACCCTTTTTAGTCAGGAAATATGTTCACTGGAGTGGACACCAAAATAAACGTAGGTGACAGTGCAGTTTAAACTGTTTTTTCTATGTAAATAAAACCAATTTAAGATAGATAAAGAACAGAGGGCTTGGTGCAGTGGCTCATGCCTATCATACAACATTTTGGGAGGCTGAGGCGGGAGGATTGCTTGAGGCCTCAAGTTCAAGACCAACTTGGGAAACATGGCAAGACTGTCTCTACAAAAAATTAGAAAAATTGACTGGGTGTGATGGTGTGCACTGTAGTCCCAGCTGCTTGGGAGGCTGAGACAGGAGGATCACCTGAGCCCAGGAGTTCAAGGCTGCAGTGAGCCACGATTGCACCACTGCAATCCAGCCTGGTCAGCAGAGCAAGACACTGTCTCTTAAGAAAAAAAAAACAAAAACACAGGAATGTTTTGTGAGTTTACAAGGTTATGTCTACACACAATTTTCCCTGGTCCTGTACTAAATACAGAAGAATTACTCAGGTAATCCTTGTCTGAGTAACTTTATCCCATGTAGGGAAAAACATTAATATATAACTTAACCCTATAAAAAATTAAGCCAACATGTGAATCAGCTATAAGTCAGCATCCTTTTTATATATAGGTCAAGGTAAGAGCCACTCAAGTATAGCAAATTTCCTTGGTGGAGATTAATGAGGTAGCAACATTTTGTCCAATATTTGGCTAGATAAAGTATATTCTTTCTTGAATAGTCAAATTCTTTAAATTATTATTTATTATCTTTATACATTTTCATTATTGGAAATATAATGTAGTTTAAGTATTAAAATAAATTCTGACAAAGGACTTCCCTGGAAAAACTATTACGCCACTGTGTCAGAGTCCCCAAGACCACTCCCATCCATATTCAGTGGTTCACTAGAAGAATTCTATACTGTCAGAGTCCCCAAGACCACTGCCATATTCAATGATGCACTAGAAGAATTCATAAGGATTGGCATATATTTGTACTTATGGCTAATATATATTTCCTTCCTCCCTTCCTTCCTTCCTTCCTTCCTTCTTTCCTTCCTCTCTTTCTTTCTTTTTTTCTTTCTTTCTCTAATCCATGTACCTCACAGGGAATTTATAGCTAAGGAATACAAAGCAAAATCAACAAAGGCATAAGGCACATGGGATGAATTCTCAGAAAACTAGGCTCAAGCTTCCGAAAGTTTTCTCCAAGTTAGGGTCACATAAGAAATACTTAATTCCTCCAGCAAAAAATTGCAACAACAGGTATGACAGTACATGAAGTTTTACCTACCAGAGAAGCTCGTTAGATACTTAGCATCTAATGTTTCTATTGGGAGCAGATCACATAGGCTTCTTCTGCCTGGCATGCACCAAAATTCCAGACTCCCAGAAGGAAAACAGGTGTTCAATATAAACCACATTGTTTGTACAAACAGCATAGGCACAGTGAATCATTCTTTTCATTTGGGAAAAGGTTTATATCTGTGTAGGGAACTGTTTACCAGTAAGTTTCCAGATACCAGCCAAGGGCCAACCTCGCAAGTGGGCTTTTCCAAAGACAGTAGCCTAAAGCCTGCTATGTTGACTTTTCTGCACAACCACCCTAAATATTTTTATTAATATCTTGCAGTTCAGGTTTATTTTCCAATTCATATCTGTTCTAAAAATATATTACCTCTGTTATTCAAATTTGCTTAAATAGTGAAGAGGGGAATATTTCGAAAATGAAAGTTAAACTTCTTTATTCTAATCATATGTTAGCACATACACATATGTGTGTCACCAGAATGTAGGTCTACGAGGGCAGTTTGGTTTTCCATTGAATATTACTGGGAGTTGGATCTCTCAGGGAGTAGACTCTGAAATAGGAATCAGCATGTAGGAAGTTTATTTTACTTATTTATTTATTTATTGAGATGGAGTTTAGCTCTTGTTGCCCAGGCTGTAGTGCCATGGCGCGATCTTGGCTCACTGCAACCTCTGCCTCCTGGGTTCAAGTGATTCTCCTGTCTCAGCCTCCCGAGTAGCTGGGATTACAGACACATGCCACTGTGCTTGGCTAATTTTGTATTTTTAGTAGAGACAGGGTTTCTTCATGTTGATCAGGCTGGTCTCGAACTTCCGACCTCAGGTGATCCGCCTGCCTTGGCCTTCCAAGGTGCTGGGATTACAGGCATGAGCCACCGTGCCTGGCCTTATGTATTTATGTATTTATTTTGAGATGGAGTCTTGCTCTGTCACCCAGGTTGAAGTGCAGTGGTGCAATCTCTCTGCTCACTGCAAATTCTGCCTCCTGGATTCAAATTATTATTCTGCCTCAGCCTCCCAAATAGCTGAGATTACAGGTGTGTGCCACCATTCCTGGCTAATTTTTGTACTTTTAGTAGAGACAGGGTTTCGCCATGTTGGCCAGGCTGGTCTCGAACTCCTGACCTCAAAAGATCCTCCCGCCTTGGCCTCCCAAAGTGCTGAGATTACAGGCATGAGCCACTGCACCTGGCCAGGAAGTTTATTAGCGAGAGTTCTTAGGATCAACACCTGTGGGGGAAGGCTAGGAACCAGGTTTGGGCAGAGGGAGTAGGGCTATAGCGCAGCTGCAGTCCCATGTACCAAGCTGATTTATCCATGACTCAAGTATGGGCCTTTTCTTCCTCTGGCAGGATGACCCAGACTCTTATCCCTGGGGAATCTGAACTTCTGTTTATCATGTCCTTTCCAAGTCATGGCTAAGATACTTGTCCACTTACTGTCAGAATTGGGCAAGTTACTACCAAAGGACAACCAAGTAGATCACCTGGGTGCCAAACTCATTCCTCCCCACCCCCTTATGTAGCAGCAGCTATGAATCAGGCTGAGATCAGGTTGTCTGTGAGGCCCTCCACACCACAGGTCTGAACTGAGCTTAAGGTGCTGGTGCATCGAGGTAGGTGGCATGGTCTGGTATACCTGCCCATTCAGCTGCTTTGTGCCCTCCAGCACTGCTTGTGCTTGATCCCAGATCAATCACTTCCATCTCTGATGAAACTTAATGTTGAATAGAGTGCCTGGCATAAATTGGTGTTTAATAATTTTTGAATGAATTTATGACTAAATAAATGGTCAAATGGAAAAAAAAAACCCGTTCACTCTCTGAAACTATAAACAATGCAAATCACTCATCTAATAGAAACATAGAAATATCTCTCTAATCATCCAAATTAGGTATATATAATTGGTACTACCTCAAAATATTGTTTTTCTTACTGGCTTAACTCTGGAAGTTAGTATCCTCCTTTTGTTGATGACTCAAATTTGAGTCTTTAAAGGAAGTCACGGTATTAGGCACCTCACAGAATGGGATATCCAAATGGCCAAAGGACATGTGAAGAGAGACTCAACACCATTACTCATCAGCAGAATGCAAATTAAAATTACAAGATACAGCCACAAATTTTGAAGATTGATGATTCCAAGTGTTGTCAAGGATGTGGAGGAATAGGGGATTCTCATACATTGCTAGTAGGAGTATACATTTATATAACCACTTTGGAATATTGTATTAGTTTGTTTTCACACTGCTATAAAGAACTACCTGAGACTGGATAATTTATGAAGAAAAGAAGTTTAATTGAATCACAGTCCCGCAAGCTGTGTAGGAAACATGTTTGGGGAGGCCTCAGGAAACTTACAACCATGGTGGAAGGGCGAAGGGGAAGCAAGTGCCTTCTTCACATGGCAGAGCAGAAGAGAGAGTGAATGGGGAAGTGCTACACATTTTCAAACAACCAGATTTCGTGAGAACCCACTATCACCAGGACACTAAGGGGGAGGTCCGCCCCCAGGATCAAATTATCTCCCACTGGGTCACTCCCCCAGCACCAGGGATTACAATTCAACATGAGATTTGGGTTGGGGACAAAGGGCCAAACCATATCAAATACATTTTAGCATTATTTTCTATATTTAGCTGATCATATACCTTCTCTATAACCCAACAATTCCAGTAATATATCAAATAGAATGGTGCATACATTTACACCAAAAGAACAAGAATGTTCATAGCAGCTTTATTCTTGACAGTTCAAAACTGAATACAGCTTAAATGTCCATCAGTAATGGAATGGATGAAAATTATATATACATATATGAAAATAACAGCAATAAAAACAAACTATAACTCATACAACATTATGGATAATTCTCAGTATTGAGTGAAGTAGGTCAGAAATAAAAGAATATGTACAATGTGATCCCATTCATTTAAAGTTCAAAGACAGACAAAAGTAAACTGTGATGTCAGAACACAGGCTAGTAATTATTAATACCAATGGAAAGGAAGAAGTGAATAATAATTGTGACATGATGGCATCTTCCAGTATGATGATAATATTCTAGTGCTTGACCTAAGTTGTGGTTACATCAGTATTTGCTTTATTATAATTTATGGATTGGTACATTTATGATTTGTGAACTTTTAATCAAGTCTCCATGGCTTTTAATGTTTGCTTTGGTTGATATTCTCATATGTACTAATATTAAAATATTGACTTACCCATTTTTCCTAACATTCAGAACAAATCAGAACATTAGAAAATACCCATATGAATGTGAAATTCTCTTTTAAAAATCTAGCAGAAAGGGATAGTGCCTGATATAATATTAACTATTATAGTCCTACTATATAGACTATGTAGATTTAATATTAGCTATTATAGTCCTACTGTGTAGACATAATACTATGTATTATGACCACAAATGAACAAGATATCTATACTGCTGTTGAAGGATGTATTCTAGAGATCTTTACATATATCAATTGGACAAAAGTCTCTTTAAGATTAAATAGGAGAAACAGTCTTTTTAGTATAAGTTTTGTAAGTTGCCAAAAAAGTCTAGACAAGTCAATAGGTAACTTTATTGACTGTCGCCCATGGTGTGTATTAACTATGAAAAATCATATTCCCGAAAGCAAGGAGCTCAAAACTGATACCACAGGAATAGTTCCTAAAAATAGAAAACTAAAGTTTATTTTTTTCTTTAGTGTGAAACCTCATTTTTTTCTGCTTATGAACAGTTTTAAAGTGACTAAAAGCCCTAAAGGAAGAAAATAACTAAGGAGCCATTGGTACCCTGGAGCAAAAGAACCTGAGGGAAATTGATACTAGGACTTGGTAAGAGACAGATTGTTAGGGGCGTATCCTTCTGATTCTGATTTTTTTAAAAAGCAGCTACAGTAGAGATAACACAACCAAAATATCCAACATTAAAAGAGTAAGTCAATAACTCTGTTGATATTAGGAAGTTGCAAAAATTACATTCTAGGAGAGTACATAGCTGACATAGAAAAACGCTTACCTATAATAGTAAACAAAAATTATAGTACAAAATAGGTTAGTAAAATTGTGGATGATTTATATTTATGCCTCTTAGGTTTTATATAAGAATATGTATACTTTATAATTATTTTAAATAATTTTATATTAAAAGAGAAAAGTCAAGAGATAGTCCAGATAGACTATGGAAATTCTTAAGTCATAATAGCAGTATAAATACTGTGTAACTAATACAGTACAGTGTTTAAAAAAATAGTGAGAAGCAAGGTGGTACAGTAGTCCTCTCTTACCCAAGAGAGATACATTCCAAAGACCACCAGTGGATACCAAAACCATGGATAGTACTGCACCCTGTGTATGCTAAGTTTTTTTACATACATAGATATCTATGATAAAATTAAATTTACAATTTAGGCATAGGAAGAGATTAGCAGTAACTAATAATACAACTTAATTATAACAGCATACTGTAATAAAAGTTATATGAATGTGGTGTCTCTCTCTCTCTCAAAATAGCTTATTGTACCATAATCACCTATTTTGGGACCATGGCTGACCACAGGAAACTGAAACTGGAAAGTAAAACCATGGATAAAGGGGGGACAAGTGTAAATGAAAATCGGCACTGACTTTGGAGCAGATAGACCAATCAATTTTTGCCTCCATTTCTTATTATTTAATGTGACTTTATATAAGTAACCACTCTCAGATTCCATTTTCTCCCCCATAAGATGAAGAGATGAAACCCAAAATGAATGATTGGTATGAGAATTAGAGATTATTTTTAAAAATCCCTAATTCAACAAACACTAACTATTATCATTACTATAGTGCTTTACTGAATATAAAGAATCAGCAGAGTAACAATGTATTGATTTGTGAGGACAGAAAAATACATATGACAATAATTTGGAACTGCAAGTGTCTGTTTTGCTATTAATAACATAAACTTGCTGGAGGCTTAACCACTATTATTTATTTAAAAATCATAATACTCAGGAGCATAGAATGGTTTCCAAACTGTGTTGACCATGACTGACACCATATTGTGATCCCTATACCCACATATATATTCACATATTTTACAGTTTATGAAAGAATATTTTCTCTTACTATGTGTGATGCATATTGATACTTCTTTTTCTGTTTTTTTTTTTTTCTTTTTTTTAAAGAGACAGGTCTTGTGCTGTTGCCCCAGCTACAGTGCAGTGGTACAATGATTGCTCACTTTAACCCTAAACTCCCAGGCTCAAGAGATCCCCCTGCCTCAGCCTCCTGAGTAGCTAGGACTATAGGCATGAGCCACCATGTCCAGCTCATTTTTTGATTTTCTGTAGAGAATATGGACAGGGTCTTGCCATGTTTTTTCAGGCTGGTATTAATCTCCTGGGCTCAAGCAATCTCCCACCTTGGCCTCCTAAAGTGCTGGGATTACAGGCATGAATCACTGCACCTGGCCCCTTTTCTGTTCTTTTTATTAATATATGTTCTTTTTCCTCTTCTGTTCTGTTTCCTTTTCTGTTATTTTTATATTGCTATTGTAATTCAGTAAATCAATCCACTAATGAGTTGCATTCTGCAGTTTGGAAAACACTGCTCTAAAAGACAGTGATTAAATATCTTTTACCAGTGAAGTACCTCAGCTTCATCATTAGTGTCATTAGTTAGTTATTATTCAGACACTTGTGTCATCATGTTAGTTAGATCTTTTAGAAATGGGCCATATTTTGGAAGCTACTCAAAACATCCTTAGTGTAATAGAAAATCATTTAGTACTATAAATAATAAATATCTATAATGAGCTATATTAATTAGACATAATAATTGAATGATTGTGGTTAATTCCATATTTCACCAGAAGAAATCATTTTTAAACATGATTAATAAACTAAAGAAAATTTTAACAGGAAATGGATTATTCCCAAAGCACATTTAAAAAAATTTTTTAATTGAGATATTATTCACATACCAAAAAAATTATCCTTTTAGCCTACAGCTCTGTATCCTTAGCACTTTGGAAGGCCAAGGCAGGACAATCACTTGAGCCCAGGAGTTGAAGGCTGCCGTGAGCTATGTTCGTGCCACTGCATTGCAGCTTGGGCAACAGAGCCAGACCCCATTTAAAAACTTTTTTAAAATAAAAATAATAAAGTGTACAACTCAGTGATTTTTCGTATATTCATGGGGTCATGCAAGCATCACCACTAACTGATTCCAGAACATTTTCATCACCCCAAAAAGAAAGCCTGTATGAATGAGCAGTTAGTTCCCAAACCCCCTTCCACTAAACTCCTGGCAATTACTAATCTGCTTTCTGTTTTTATGGTTTTCTCTGGTCTTGTTATTTCATATACAGTCAGTCATGTGTCCCTTAATGATGGGGACATGTTGTGAGAAGTGTGTCATAAGGCAATTTTGTCATTGTGCAAACATCAGAGTGCGCTTACAAAAACCTAGATGGTAGATCCTACTTCACACCTAGCTATATGGTATAGCCTCTTGCTCCTAAGTTACAAACCTGTACAGCATATTACTGTAGGGAACACTCTGACAATTGTAACACAATGGTAAGTATTTGTGTATCTAAACATAGAAAAGGTACAGTACAAATACAGTATTATAATCTTACAGGAATACTGTCATATATGCAGTCCATTGCTGACTGAAATGTTATGTGGCACATTTCCAACTGTAAATGGGAGCATACAATATGTGAATTTGGGTGTTTACCTTCTGCTGCTTAATATAACATTTTCATGGTTCATCCATGTTGGAACATATACGAATTCCTTATTCCTTTCTGTGACAGAGTAATATTCCAGTTTTTGGATATGCCACATTTTATTTACCGAATCATCAGCTGATGAACATTTACATGTTTACACCTCTTCACTATTATGAATAATGCTACTATGAACATCCCTGTACAAGTTTTGTGTGCAAATATTTTTAATTCTCTTTGGTGCATGCCTAGAAGTGGAATTGCTGGGTTAATTCCATTTTGTTTATCTTTTTGAGGAACTGCCAAGCTATTTTCTATAGTGGCTGTACCATTTTATATTCCCATTAGCTGTGTATCAGGGTTCCAATTTCTCCACATCCTTATCAACACATGTTGTCCTTTATTTAAAAAAATTTAACCATCCTAGTGGATGTGAAGTGATATCTTACTGTGGTTTTGATTTGCACTTTCCTAATGACTAATGATGTTGAAATCTTTTCTTGTACTTGTTGGCCATTTCTATACAGATAGCCTTCCATATCCACAAATTCTGCATCCATGAATTCAACCAACTGTGGATCAAAAAAAATTGGGGAAAATAATAATAATAATAATACAATAATAATAAATAATTTTTAAAAACCCAACAAAGTATAACATCTATTTATATAGCATTTACTTTTGTGTTAATGTAATCTAATGTTAAGTAATCTAGAGATGATTTAAAGTATACTGGATTATGTGTGTACATTATGTGGAAATATGACACCGTTTTATGTAAGGGACTTGAGCATCTGTGAATTTTGGTATCCATGGGGGTCCTGGAACCAATCACCCTTGGATGTAGAGGGACAACTGTATCTTCTTTGGAGAAATGTCTATTCAAGTCCTTTGCCTATTATTAAATTGGTTTGTTTGTCTCTATTATATTGCATTGAGAGCATTTTATATTCTGAGTATGAGACCTTATCAGATAAAAGATTTATAATTTTTTCCCATTCTATGGATGGTATTTTTATTTTCTTGATGATATCTTTAGAAAC
The DNA here is from genome assembly GCF_000001405.40 of Homo sapiens. NCBI lineage: Eukaryota > Metazoa > Chordata > Mammalia > Primates > Hominidae > Homo > Homo sapiens. Next base: position 36,236,642 of record NC_000013.11, on the reverse strand, counting down.
ACAAAAGTTCTCAATTTTGATAAAGACCATCATCTACTTTTTCTTGCTTGCTTGTGTGTTAGGTGTCATACATAAGAAGTCATTGCCTAACCTATGTTTTCTTCTAAGAGTTTTATAGTTTTAGCTCCCTTTTCACCCATTTTGAGTTCATTTTTGTATATGATGTGAGGTAGGCGTCCAGTTTCACTCTTTTGCCTGTATTTATTCAGTTGTCCTAACACCATAGGTTGAAGACACTATCCTTTGCCAATTAAATGCTCTTGGCACTCTTGTAAAAAAACAATTGACCGTAACATATGGGTTTACTCTTAGACTCCCAGTTGTGTTTCATTGATCTATAACTCTATCCTTATGCCAATACCATACTGTCTGGATGACTAACTTTTTAGTGAGTTTAAAATCAAGAAGTGCGAGTACTCCAATTTTATTGTTCTTTTTCAAGATTGTTTTGGTTATTCAGAGTCCCTTTTATTTCCATGTGGATTTAGGATCCACTTGTCAATTTCTTCACAAAATATAGCTGGTGTTTTGATGGAGAGAGTATGTTGAATCTGTAGATCACTTTGGGTAGTGTTGCCATCTTAACAATATTAAGTCTTCTAATCCAAGAACATGAATTTCTTTCTATTCATTTAGATCTTCTTTAATTTCTTTCATAGATATTTTATAGATTTTAGTGTACAAATCTTGCAATTCTTTGGCTAAATTTATTCCTAAAACTGTATTCTTTTTGATGCAGTTTGAAACAGAATTAAGTTTTAAATTTCATTTTAGGACTGTATATTGCTGGTGTCTAGAAATACAGTTGATTTTTGCATATTGATCTTAAATCCAGAAACCCTGAGGAACTTATTAGATCTCATAAATGCATGTATGTGTCTGTGTCTGTATGTGAATGTGTATGCCTTAGTATTTTCTATATATAAGAACATGTCACCTAAATAGAGATTGTTTTACTTCTTTTTTTTTTCTTCTAATTTGGATGCCTTTTATCTATTTTTCTTGCCTAATTGCCCTGGCTGGAACCTCCTATACAATGTTGAATAGAAGTGGTAATAGTGAACATCCTTAACTTGTTCCTTATCTTAGAGAGAAAGCTTTTGGTTTTTACATTAAATATAATGTTAGCTGTAAATTTTGTTCATAGATTTTCTTTATCAGGTTTAGTGCTTAGAGAGAAATTTATGGCCGTAAATATATTTTTAAATAAATCATTTCAAATAAAAAATCAAATCTTTTACCTTAAGAAACTTGAAAAAGAGGAGCAAACTAAACCCCAAATAAGCAGAAAGAAGAAAATAAGAGTAATATTTGCCTCATAAAATAAGTTGGAAGGTGTTCTCTCCTATTTCATTTTTATGAAGTGCGTGTGAAGGATTGGTTTTATATATGTATGATTTAATATGTGGTAGAATTTACCAGCGAAGCCATCTGGTCTTGGTCTCAGTGGTTGCCTGGGAATTACAATTAAGATATTAATTTATAACAATCTACTTTAGGTTCAAAACAACTTAATTTCAATAGTGTACCAAAAGTTCTTTCCTATGTAGCTCCATTCCCTTCACCTTCTTTGTGCTGTTATTGTCATACAAATTACAAGTTTATACATTTTGTTTCCATCAACAGATTTACAATTATTGCTCATGCAGTTATTTTCTTAATCAGTTAGGAGATTTAAAAAGAAGAATTACAAACAAAAACTACATTTATCCTATTTTTATGTTTACCTATGTAGTTATCTTTGCCAGTTTTCTTTATTTCTTCATGTGAATTTACACTTCTATCAAATGTCCTTTTATTTCAACACAAAAGTCTCTACTATTTTTTTATAGGGCAGGTTTGCTGATGATTAATTCCTTCTGTTTTTGCTTATCTGGAAATGTTTAATTTTTCTTTTATTTTAGAAGGATAGTTTTGTTGCATATAGAATTCTTAGTTGAAAGTCTTTTTCCTTATAGCACTTTAAATATTTCATCTCCCTGTCTTCAGGCCTTCATAGTTTCTGATGAGAAATCAGTTGTTACTCCTATTGAAGATCCCTTTTACAGAGTGAGTTGCTTCATTCTAGCTGCTTTCAAGATTCCCTGTTTGTATTGGCTTTTGATAGTTTTATTATGATGTGTCTGGATATTCATCTTGGAATTTGTTAGGCTTCTTAAATTTGTAGATCAATATTTTTAATGAAATTTGGGAAATTTTTAGCTATTATTTTTCAAATATTCTATCTGTCCTTTTCTTTCCCCTCTCCTTCTGGGACACTCATTATACATATGTTGGTATAGTTGATAGTGTTTTACAGGTCTCTGAGACTGTTCAGTTTTCTTTAGTGGGGGCCGCCATAGGCTCTTCGCCCCTGAAGTTTGCTAAAAATCACAGACATGAATCATATTTATTAATAGGAGAAAAGGCACACAGATTTATTTAATATGTATACATGGGAGTCTTCAGAATGAAGACCCAACTTCCCAATGAGTTATAGAAACTTATATACCATTTTGAGGTTACAGAAAGAGTGGGGGCTTAGATTCTGATTTTAAAAAAGGTTTTGGGAGCAGGGAGAAAAGGTTTGGCGAACAAAGGTGGACTTTTTATGTAGATGAAGCCACCCTCAGAGAGAATAGATGGTAAATGTTTCTTCTCAGACTTTTAAATGTGTCAGACTTTCAGTCTCTCCTAGATCTGGGGAAAAGCATAGAAAGGAGAGGTGGCACAGTTGCATTAGTGGAGATTCTCCACATTAATGCAAACTTTCCCACTTAAGACAGCTTTGTAAGGCCATTTCTGCCTGCTGGCCAAGAGACTGACATTTTAAAATATGTCAAAGAAATATATTTTGGGGGAAAATATTTTAATTTCCTTCACTTTATTCTTTGTTATCTCTTGCTCAAACCAGACGATCTTAATTGACAAATCTTTAACTTCATTGACTCTTGTGTCTGCTCCAATCTGCCGTTGAGCTCTTCTAGTGAATTCTTCATTGCATTTATATTCTTTTTCAACTCCAGAATGCCTATTTGGTTCTTTTTAAATAATTTCTATCTCTTATTAGTATTCTTGATTTGGTGAGACATCATTCTCATAATTTCCTCTATAGATATGATTTCCTTTAGTTCTTTAAAATAGTAGATTTAAAGTCTTTCTCTATTAAGTCTAACATCTGGACTTCCTCAGGGAAAGTGTTTATTTGTTGCTTTTTTTCTTGTATAAGAGCCATGTTTTCTTGTCTCTTCTCATATATTGTAATTTTGTTTTGAAAACTGGATGTTTTAAAATATGTAACATGGCCACTCTGTATATTAGTTTCTTTCCCCTCCCCAGGGTTTGTTGTTGTCACTGTTTTTGCTGCTGCTTGTTTAGTGACTTTTCTAAAATAATTATGTAAAATCTGTATTCTTTGTTGGGGTGGACACTGAAGTCTCTGCTGAGTTAGCTTAGGGGTCAGCTAATGATTGAACAGATTTATTTAAATGCCTAGCATCAATAAATCTCCTAGCCTTTGCTGATGGGCTCTGTGTGTGTGTGTTGGAGCATGCCTTCAACAGTCGGCCAGGCAAATTACAACTCTACCTTATTCTTTACTTCCTGCTTGTGCAGAGCCTCAAGGTCAGCCAGAGGCAAGAGCTTAGGGCCTTTTCAGGCCTTTCCTGAGTATGCACACAGTCCTATGCATACCCACAGTTACACATGTGTATGGGCTTCTAGATTCCAAGAAATATAATGGAGCTTATTAACACTCATTTCTCAGCTTTTCCTTTTTTTTAGAGACAGAGTCTCACTCTGTTGCCTAGGCTGATCTCGGCTCACTGCAACCTCTGCCTCAGGCTCAAGTGATTCTCATGTCTCAGCCTCCCAACTAGCTGAGATTATAGGCATGCAGCACCATGCCTGGCTAATTTTTTTTTCTTTTTTTGTATTCTTTTTTTTTTTTGAGACGGAGTCTCGCTCTGTCGCCCAGGCCGGACTGCGGACTGCAGTGGCGCAATCTCGGCTCATCTTTTTTTGTATTCTTAGTACAAGTGGGGTTTCATCATACTGGCCAGGCTGGTCTCAAACTCCTGGCCTCAAGTGATCCACCTGCCTCCCTTAGCCTCCCAAAGTGCTGGGATTACAGGTGAGAGCCACTGAGCCTGGCCTCTCAGCTTTTCCTTTTAAGCTTCCTGGTTAGCCTATTTTTTGCCTCAATTGTTATCTACTACCTCTGGCAGCTCTGAAATTAAACAGTGGTTTCTTATTGTTCCAGCAAATGCCCCTAGGGAAAAGGCTATTTACACTGGACCATCTCCATGTCAGGTCAAATAAAGATAGCTTTGTAAGTGGTCTTTCAAGTAATCACCAGACTGTTTAAATAATGAAATTCCTCTTGGAATGAAATAGGTGTTAAAGGATCTCCAACCCTATTCCACCTCTTATGGTGTCCACCAGGCTACTGAGTTTTCACTGCAATTGTGCGCTGTTGGTTTTCAAGGCTACCATGGAGCTGGGGATGAAAGTCAGGGGAACAGTGGATAGGCATAGGGCAAGTTAAAATGCTACAAAGCTCAGTGTTCGAAGTTTCAGCCGTTTGTTGCTGTTGTTGTTATTTTATAAATTCTCCAGGATTGTTGCAACACTTTCGTTAATTTCCAGGGTTTTGATAAAGTTGCTTCTAACCATATTGCCAATTTGTCATCACTTTTATGGAGGAGAGAATTTTATCCTTCATTTTAATGAGGAGAAAATGACAAGTTCTTACATGTTACATATTTTAAAACATCCAGTTTTCAAAACAAAATTACAATATATGAGAAGAGACAAGAAAACATGGCTCTTATACAAGAAAAAAAGCAACAAATAAACACTTTCCCTGAGGAAGTCCAGATGTTAGACTTAATAGAGAAAGACTTTAAATGACTCTGTCATTTTGCTGCCATCACCCCCTAAGAAAGTTTTTAGGAAATTGAAGTGGCCTTTAACTCTCTCAAGTCAGAGTGTAAGGAAGGTTGGCTTTTTAGTGCCACATAAGTCATTAATGGAAAAAGGATCTCATGGAAATCTAAGAAAAGGAATTCACGGATCTGTCTTATCCTCATTAGACAGAACTTTCCACATTAGGGCACCTGACATGCTGCTTCCAGCCTTTGAATTACCTGCCCTTAAGCTGTATGCCTCTGTAGCGGTGGAGATGATGTGCTATAACAGAAGGCTGCCTAAGATTTGCACTGTAAGCAGAAACTATTCACAGGAAGGTTTCCGTGTGAAGGTCTGTTGGGGGGAACAAGGTGCAATATACATTTCTTCCTGTGTGGCCTATAATGTTTTTGTTGTACATAATGGTGACTGAAAAATTATGATTAACACTTATTTATTTCAGTGGAAGATATAATCCAGCTAAGCAGAAGACAGTGAGTGCCAAGAGAGGACCAGTAAAAAAGATTACAAGACCAAACCATCTTCCAGAACTCCATCCATGATTCCAGAACTGGATGGATTTCTATTTCTTCCTTTTTTTTTCCATTTATAATATTCAAGTTATAAAGTTAATGGTCAGCACATTTCTTCAGGGAATAAAATAGATAAGAACTGCCACATTTTTCTTTAGTTCCTTTTCCAGACGTGTGTTCCTTTGTCTGCATAAAAGTAATTTTCTCCAGTGACCCTAAACTATGTAATAGAAGTGCTTGAGAGTTTTAAAATATCCTAGGGAATCTGAAGGCTGGCATCATTACACTTGCTTTCAATAATATACCCATGATCTGCTCTGATAGTAACGTTGCTATTCTATTTGGTTTCTAGTTGACTGTTAGCAAAAAGTGTGTATTCATAAAACCTTTTTGCCATTTTGGGCTGGATCTTGCTCAGTTTTTTAAATTGCAGGTTTAAACAAAGCCGAAAATCAAGTCCATTTTAAGTTTTGACTTGAAATATTATGGTATCGTAGAACAACCTTCAATCTTAAATAAACTTGTTTGTAGTCTCCACTCTGCCATGAACTTAGGAGATCTTGGGCAAGTCCCTTCACCTCATGTTTATTTCCCACACCTGTAAAATGATTGAAGCAAAACTATACACTTTCTGAGGTTTTTACAATTCTAGAAAACCAATATTTATTCAATCATAAGGTCCTACCACTTACTTAACACTGGTGATTTAAGTCATTTTGTGATGTGTGGTAATTCATAGTGATGGACTAATTCTTTAGACCAAACTGCAATTGTTCACAATACTCAAGTCCAGATGTGGAGATAGAATGAGGATAAGAAAAGAGTTCTTTTGAGGCATTTATAAAATGTATTGAATCCTCTCATTCATGGTTAGACTGTTTTTGTCTTTTAGATAGTTTTTGTAACTGTCACCTAGGTCCGGAACATATAACTTATTTGTCCACTTTAATAAGTGAAATCATTGGACTTCAGATTTATAGAAATCACCTAGAGGTAAGTATAGTTTCCAGCTAATGGTGTTCTCACCCTATATCTGGCACTAAACCTAAATTCTATTATGTATCACCAGTAATGAATACCAAGTGCATTTCTGTAACTTCTTCTATAAAAGTTTATTTTCTTTCCTTAAGGAAGAATATATAAATTTCATGTAGCCAAAAATATTTTAAGTAACTTTAAAATGTAATGTGGAAAAATATAAAGTAACTTTCTATAAATCATTCTACATTGGAATTATTTGTAAATATTTTCCCCTATTCTTTAGCTAACTATTAATATTAGGTGCCTTGACCCATATCATTAGACAAACATTAGATTTTTATGTCTTATACCATCTTTCTCAGCATTAGTAGAAAATTAATAATTTAAATAATAATTATAGGCCAGGTGTGGTGGCTCACACCTGTAATCCTAGTACTTTGGGAGGCCAAGGCAGGCAGATCACTTGAGTCCAGGAGTTTGAGACCAGCCTGGCCAACATGGCAAAACTTGTCTCTACTAAAAATACAAAAAATACAGTTAGCCTGGAGTGGTTGTGCATGCCTATAGTCCCAGCTACTCAGGAGGCTGGGGCATGAGAATCACTTGAACCCGGGAGGCAGAGGTTGCAGTGAACTGAGATCATGCCACTGCACTCCAGCTTGGGAGACAGAGCAAGACTCTGTCTCAAAAAAAAAAAAAAACATTATTATAATAATTATAATTATCAATGAAAAATAAACACATTTTTTCCTTACAGAGCTAAGCTATTGTGGGGACTATTGAGGAACATTTAAAGTTATCTCAATCACTGGGATAAAATATCAGTTGAACATCTTATCACAGGGACTCTATTACATTTAAGTGTTGGTTCTGCAGGAGCTACTTTGGGATACTTTTCAGATACCATAAAATGTCTGTATTAAACAGAATGATGGAATGTTGAGAGAGTATAAAGAACTGAAATGAGGGACTCCAAGATCTGTATTCTAATACCAGTTTTGCCACTTATAAGCTTCTGACTTTGGTAAATAACTTCTCATATCCTCAGTTTTATCCTTTATAATTACTGCCTTGAGATTGCTGTGCAGATCAAGGGTACTTACCACATATTTATTTCTTTACTTCTTTATAGTCTCTTTCCCACTAGAAGGGATGTGAATTAGCTTTTACTAATATAGAGGTATCAAAAAATACCTACAAGATAAAAGATGAAAATAAAAATTAAAATTTAGCAAGAATTTCCAACCAAGAAAAGTTTTAGTTTTAAGCTTTCTACCAGTCAGTGCAAAGAAGCAATGACTGCTTTCCTTTGTAGAAGGAATATACAAGTAGAGAAAAAGTTTTATCCAGTTCTAAGCTCTGAAAATAATTTTGTCATAAAGAAAATGCAATTACTGGCTGGACATGGTGGCTCACACCCCCTGTCACTTTGGGAGGGTGAGGCGGGTGAATTGCTTGAGCCCAGGAGTTCCAGACCAGCCTGAGCAACATGGCAAAACTCCATCTCTACAAAAAATACAAAAATTAACCAGTTGTGGTGACACGTGCCTGTAGCCTAGTACTCAGAAGGCTGAGGTGGGAGGATCACTTGAGCCAGGCCAGGAGGTTGAGGCTGCAATGAGCCACTGCACTCCAGCGTGGGCAACAGAGTAAGACCCTGTCTCAAAGAAAAAGAAAAAAAAATCCAATTATTTGTTGCAATAACCACAGCAAAAATGACAGTTTAGGGTCTTTGATACTCAAATATGTATTGACTTCAGTAGTTGTTTTCTTTCATTGGAAAGTTCAGAATTCATAAAGCAAAACCATCAGTAAAACAATATATATTAAAAAATTTAAGATATCTAAATGTATTACAAAATATCAAGACATACCATTTTTAAAAACAAATATTGCCATAATAAAAAAGACAGATCATGAGTATTGACATGAGTGTGAAAAACCTGGAACCCTCATATGTTGCTGGTGGGGATATAAAGTGATACAGCCACTTTGGAAAACTGTCAGTTCCTCAAAAGGTTAAACATAGAGTTACTATATGACACAGCAAGTCTCTTCGGTATATGCCCAAGAAAAATGGAAACCCATGTCCACGTAAAAACATGTACAGGAAGGTTTGTGGCACCATTATTCAAATAGTCAAGAAGTCGAAACAACTCAAATGTTCATCAGCTGATGATTGGGTAAATAAAATGTAGTATATTCCAACAATGGATATTATTTGGCAGTAGAAAGGAATGAAATGCTGATATATGCTGCAACATGGGTAAACCTTGGAAACATTATCCTAAGTGAAATAATGGAATAACAAAAGACCATATATTGCATAATTCCATTTATATGAAATGTCCCAAATAGGCAAATCCATAGAGACAGAAAATAGATCAATAGTTGCTGAGGGTTGGGGGAAGGTCGGTGATGGAGAATGACTGCTAATAGGTACAGGATTCTTTTTTGGAGGGATGAAAATGTTCTAAAATTGATTGCAGTGACAGTTGCACAACTCTGTGAAACTAATGAAAACTATTGTATACTCTAAGTGGGTTAATTGTATGTTTTGTGATTTATACCTCAGTAAAGTTGTTGTAAAAATGTTAAATATACATTAACATTTTAATATTAGTAGATAAATGTTAATGAAATATTATTTGATCTTTCTCAATAATATGATCCTAAAAATACAAAAGTGCATCATCACTAGTGCTATCACTGGGTATAGAGCTTTTATTTATTTATTTATTTTTGTGTATATGTGTGTGTGTGTGTAAAAATACAATAAACTGGTTGGAATATCTGCTTTATTAGCATATTTGTACCTTCGCTGTCCTTATTCATGTTCTATTCACATCTCTTCAAACAGCCTCCTCTTAAAAGAAGAATTGGACCCTTTAAAGGTCAGCTGCTTGGAGACATTGGGTTTCAGTGCTGCAGGTGTGGCTGGACCAGAGAATAGGACATGCCTCGGACAAAAAGCACTCTGGCCCGCCTGCTTACATGGGTCCTCAACCTTGGCTGTGTGTCAGACTCACCTGAAGAGCTAAAAGTAAAATACTCAGACATGTGCACCACCCCCAGGATTGTGATCTCACATGTATTTCTTTAAGCCTCCCCCAGGAAATTGTACAGAAAAGATTGGGACCCACTCTGCTGGTTTAGTGTGGCTTCATCTCTCAAACTGAATGAAACTTCTTCCAACTCTCCTCGAGCTGACTTCACCTTGGTCTTTTTATTTTTACTTTTTTACAGTGAGAGATAAGGATTTTATTTTTTCTTCGTTGTTATTTATTTCAATTTTTATTTTAGATTCAGAGGTACCTGTGCAGGTTTGCTATCGTGGTATATTGTATAATGCTGAGATTTGGGGCACAAATAATCCCATCACCCAGGGACTGAGCATAGTAGCCGAAAGTTATTTGTCAATGTTTGCTCTCCTTTCTTCCTCCACCCTCTAGTGGTCCCCAGTGTCTATTGTTGCTGTCTTTATGTCCATGAGTACCCAGTGTTTGGCTATCACTTGTAAGCGAGAACATGCAGTATTTGGTTTCCTGCTTCTGTGTTAATTTGCATAGGAAAATGGCCTCCAGCTGCATCCATATTGTTACAAAGGACATGATTTCATTTCTTTTATGACTGTGTAGTATTCCATGGTGTGTATCAGGAGTCCCCAGCCTCTGGCCGTGGACTGTTACCCATCCATGGCCTGTTAGGAATTGGGCTGCCCAGCAGGAGGTGAGCTGCAGGTGAGCAAGCATTACCACCTGAACTCCACCTCCTGTCAGATCAGCAGCAGCATTAAATCCTCATAGGAGCACGAACTCTTGTGAATTGTGCATGTGGAGGATCTAGGTTGCATACTCCTTATGAGACTCTAATGCCAGATGAGAATTTAACTAATGATTAATCTGAAACAGTTTCATCCCAAAACCATCCCCTCCCCAAAATACAGTCCGTGGAAAAATTGTTTTCCATGAAACCAGCCCTTGGTGTCAAAAGGGTTGGGAACTGCTGGTGTATATGTAGCACATTTTCTTTACTCAGTCCACTGTTGATGGGCACCTAGGCTGATTCTGTATCTTTACTATTGTGAATAGTGCTGCGATGAACATGCAAGTGCATCTGTCTTTTTAGTAGAAAGATTTGTGTTTTTTTGGATATATACCCAGTAATAAGATTGCTGGGTCAAATGGTAGTTTTAAGTTCTTTAAGAAATCTTCAGACTGCTTTCCACAGTGGCTGAACTAATTCACATTCCCACCAACAGTGTCTAAGTGTTCCCTTTTCTCCACAGTCTCACCAGCATCTGTTGCTTTTTTACTTTTCAATAATAGCCATTCAGACTGGTGTTAGATGGCATCTTATGGTGGTTTTGATTTGCATTTCTCTGATGATTAGTGATGTAGAGCATTTTTTTCATGTTTGTTGGCCACTTGTATGTCTTCTTTTGATAAGTGTCTGTTCGTGTCTTTTGCCCATTTTTTTTAATGGGGTTATTTTTTGCTTGCTGAGTTGTTTCAGTTTCTTACAGTTTCTGGATATTAGACCTTTGTCAGATGCATAGTTCATGGATATTTTCTCCCATTCTGTAGGTTTTCTGTTTACTCCATCGCTAGTTTCTTTTGCTGTGCATAAGCTCTTTAATTAGGTCCCATTTGTCAGTTTTTGTTTTGGTTGCAATTGCTTTTGCGACTTACTCATAAATTCTTTTGCAAGGCCGACATCCAGAATGGTGTTTCCAGGGGCCAGGCCTAGTAGTTCATGCCTGTAATCCCAACACTTTGGAAGGCCAAGGCATGAGGATTGCTTGAGCCCAGGAGTTTGAGACCAGCCTGGGCAACATAGTGAGACTGCCATCTCTACAAAAAGTAAAAAATTAGCCAGGCATGGTGGTGCATGCCTATGGTCTCAGCTGCTTGGGAGGCTGAGGTGGGAGGATCACTTGAGCCTGGCAAGTCAAGGCTGCAGTGAGCTGTGATCATGCCACTACACTTAAGGCTAGGCAACTGAATGAAACCCTGTCTCAAAAAAAAAAAAAGTGTTTCCTAGGTTTCTTCTAGGATTCTTATAGTTTGAGGGCTTACATTTAAATCTTTAATTCATCTTGAGGTAATTTTTGCATATGGTGAAAGGTAGGGGTCCAGTTTCATCCTTCTGTATATGGCTAGCCAGCTATTCCAGCACCATTTGTTGAATAGGGAGTCCTTTCCTTATTGCCTATTTTTGTTGACTGTTGAAGATCAGATGGCTGTAGGTATGTGGCTTTTTTTTCCTGGGTTCTTTATTCTGTTCCATTGGTCTCTGTGTCTGTTTTTGTGCCAGTACCATGCTGTTTTGATTACTGTAGCTTTACAGTATAGTTTGAAGTCTGGTAATGTGTTGCCACTGGCTTTTTCCTTTTTGATTAAGATTGCTCTGGCTATTCGGGCTCCTTTTTACTTCCACATGAATTTTAGAATAGTTTTTCTAGTTCTGTGAAAAATGATGTTAGTAGTTTGATAGGAATAGCATTGAATCTGTAGATTGCTTTGGGCAGTATGACTATTTTAACAATATTGATTCTTCCACCCCATGAATATGGAATGTTTTACCATTTGTTTATGTTGTCTGATTTCTTTTGGTGGTGTTTTATAGTTCTCCTTATAGAGATCTTTCACCTCCTTGGTTAGATATATTCCTAGGGGTTTTTGTGTATGTCTTTGTGTATGTGGCTATTGTAGATTGGATTGCATTCTCGATTTGGCTCTTAGCTTGAATGTTGTTGGTGTATAGAAATGTTATTGATTTTTTGTACATTGATTTTGTATCCTGAAACTTTACCGAAGTTGTTTATCAATTCCAGGACCCTTTTGGCAGAGTCTGTAGGGTTTTCTATGTATAGGGTCATATTATCCTTGAAGAGAGATAGTTTGAATTCTTTTCATATGTAGATGCCTTTTTTTTTTCTTTCTCTTGTCTGATTGCTCTGGCTAGCACTTCCAGTACTATGTTGAATAGAAAATAGCTATTTTGGGGAGAATTTTCCAACCAAGATGTCAAAACAATAATGATGAGAGCATTACATGCTAATTCCCAATATTTTCCTTTGACTTATTTAAATTTAAATAATCCAATTTTTTTACTTAATGACCTTGTGGAGATATTTATAAAACACCTTTTGATTTTTGACTGGGGCTGGATTTTTAAAAAATTTATAAAGAGCTATATAGTATTGATTTCAAATAAATTATTCCTACCTTTTCTTCATCTGAATTAGTTTTAGCATGTATAGGAGATTCCAAAGCAGAGTTACCTATATCAATTTTAGTACTATTATTTTCATATTCTACTGGATAAGAAATTACTTATTTGGAACTAAGAATTATTCTTGCAACAGAAGCTTATCAGTAACACTATTTGATTGCTTTTTGCTGTGTGCACAGGTGAGGACCTGTCTAGACTTCTATACTATGTACATTGTATTAATTTTGTTCATAAATTAGGTAATTGAGTTATAGATACTAATTTAATATTTAAAAAATTTAGATTGTTGATTTTAAATATCAGAATAACCAAACTGTAACAACAGTGCTGGGATTTTGGTATTTAAAAAGGGCAGAGTATACCAGAATATTGAAAACTGGTATTGAAATCACTACATATAATTGAATTATGAAAAAGTACCTTTAAGATAATAAAGCACTACATAAATATGAGCTCATATCATATATTTGACAGTAGGGCATTATTTTTACAGGTTAACATTCAATTAATCTGACTATGAATTAGAAAAATCTTGAATTTGTAGAGTTCATTTAACTTTATTAAAGCAATTTGCCAACTCAGCTACAGAAATACAGAAAATATTACTATCTGGAGAACTACCCAGTCGTAAGTTTATCATCGTTGAAATTGCTTAAGCAGAGATTAGGTGACCATTCCTCAGGAATAGTATACGAAGGATTCCTGCAGTGGTGGAGGTGTGTATTTGATTGCTGTCAGTGTGCCTTCTGATACTAACATTCTGTAATTCCCTGCTCATTTATCACACAACAAAACATGAGACAAAAATAACTCCATAAAATATATGTTGATTATACCATATAGGTTGTATACATATAGACTATAAATATGAGCTTTCAAAAACGTTTTGCCATTAGCTAATAACTAACAAAATCAGTTTTATTAGGGTGGTTTTGTGTTTATATTGCATGGTGTTCAATGAGCTTATATCTGTAGTTTTCATCAAATGTGGAAAATTTTGGGCCATTTTTGTATTATTTTTCTGCCCTTTCCTGTCCTCCTGGGACTTTAATTACAGCCTGTTGTAAACCACTTGATATTGTTCCTTTTGGTTCTTTTTTTATATCTTCTGTCACTGTATTTATGTTTTCCTTTAAGTAATTGGATAGGCATATAATGACTTTTAGCATACTTACACAGTATCTTTTTCATTTCTCAGTCTGTTTCTGGTGACTGATTTTTCTCCTGGTTTCGGGTTTCATTTTCTGCTTCTTGTAATATCTACTAATTTTATATTAGATGCCAGGCATTGATGATTTCACATTGTTGGTTATAGATTTATTCTTATAGGCAGTTAAATTAATTGCAGTTCAGTTTCTTCTTTTCAAGCCTTTGTTAGGGTAAGTATAGAGTGAGCTTCACCCCACAGAGAGTTTAACACCATTTCTAAGGCATAGCTATTGTGGGATCACTAGAAAATTCTGTGAGTGATCAGCTGGGACACTCAACACTGGCTAGTTGGACCTCAGATGCCTCACAGGCCTGTGTGGCACTCTGCTTGACCTCGTAGAGTTTTGCTCTAGGCTTACATGTCTTAATATCCAGCCACCTCTCAAGGGGCTCCTATGCAGATTTCTGGAATTCTGTTTTTACATATCTGTTAGCTCTCTGGTACTCTGCTCTGCAACTTCAGCCACTTCAGCCTCCCTGAACTCCAGCCTCTGTCTTCTCAACTACATGAAACCACCATGCTTTGTTTGGGATCCCCTACCCTGCTCTGAGGTCTGTGCCTGCAGGTAGAAATCTAGAATGATGGATGGGCCTCACTTCATTCCTCTCAGGGGTCATAGTCTTAAGGTGCATGTCAATATCTGCAGTTGTTTCATATATTTTTGACTAATTTTCTGTTTCTTCACAGTAAGAAGCTAAATCTTTCCCCTGTTACTCTCAAAGCCAGAAGTAAAGGATAAAGCATTAAAATAAAAGCAAAGAAAATATTTTAAAATCTAATATAAAAATCCATTTTGCTATGCATCTGTAACTTTTTTTTATGTTATCACCTAAATATATTTTTCTCACCTTAATCAATGAAATTTGCACTGGATAAAATGACTGGATGGGGCTTTGTCTTACCTTGGCAAGGAGGTAAGTATATTCTGGGAAGAAAGAGCAAAAGCTATTTATTTGGTGATCAAATTGATGGACTGTGGCAAAAACTGTTGCTATGCACTCACCAAACTGTTTTCTTTTTCTATGGGACACAGAACTAGGCTTTTTCTATGGGACACAGAACTAGGCTACACATACATAACAAAGTGTATGTGTTAAACACTTTGTTTGCCAGTGTGTGATGATGCACACATACTTCTTTGCTTAGTGATATATGCATGAAACACTGTTTGGTAGTGTGTGGTATGTATGCTACTGTGTTTAGAGATAGGCGTGTGAAACACTGTGTGCACTTAGGTGTGACCCTGCGACTGACTTCAGGCCAATATAACCTAGACATAAGTGATACATGTCGTTTCTGTGACTAGCCCATTAAAACGTCCCAGGTGATCCTTCTTGTTTGTGCTTTTTCTTTAAAAAAAAATTGTGTTATGGGTGGATATAGAGGGTCTAAAAGCAAATTCCAAGGCCTCAGGGATAGCAGATCCACAAGGTAGAAGAAAATTGGGTCCCCGAATCACTTCATGTAGCACATCCATTCCTCTCACTTTGTTAATCCTCATTTGGTTTTTATGTGAGAGAAAAGGAAATCCTTTTGTATGTTTCTGTGTGTATTAAGACACTGAGATTTAGGTTTTACTGGTTGAAGCAGTCAGCCTATGCTCACTTGTATCAAACAATATTTTTAGTAAGACTTACAGGTATTTAGGTTTTCTTCAGTAGATAATATCTTTCTTGGCAACTACATGAGAGAGAAATTGAGCTATTCATTGATGGTGATGGCTCCTGGCCTGCTGCATCACTGAATCAGGTTCTTGAATCTCAATTGGTATTTTAAAATTGATTCTAACTTGGTATATTTTCAAGTCTGCTGAACATAACTAAAACAATGATTTTTTTTAACTAAACAATCTTTTTGCATTTCCATCAATGTCTTTCTAGGATGCTGTTCTTTCAAGCCTTAGTACAAATACTGTAAAATCTGATAGGCAAATACTTGCTGGGCCCAAACAACTGTGGAATGTAGCAGTCAGTGTGTGAGCATGGAAGGATGCCCATAATAACCTTTGCTCAGATGAGGAAGAACGCACAGCATCACTCATCCACAGCATTTATAAAATCCCATTGGGAAGATATGGTGAAAGCCCTCTTCACTGGGAATGGGGTCGGTTCCTTTCTTGGGCTCTGACTCTGCTCTTGGGAGGAATGTTCTTGTCCATTTTTTCTTAGTAGCCACTGGCTCCAGTCCGTGGGAGTTTCTTCCTTTTTCATCTTCTTGCCCACATTCGAAGTGGATGATGAGGTTATGCCCTCTATTGGGGATGCATAGCTTTCAGAGCTCATAATCTGTTTGAACAAAATTGGGTGTCTAAAGCTGATTTTACAGTTCAAAGGCTTTTTAGTCCTAGTTTATATAAATTCCATCAAAATAGTAGCCAGTTCTATGTATAATATAATTTCAGAGCATGATTTGTTTCTTTGGCCCATACCTCTCTCTGCCTAATGGCAGCTACCATGCAGGTTATTTAACTAATTGATTAAGGTGATGTGAAGTTAACACCTATCCATAATCTGATCCTTGCCACAAGGCTGAGTATTAGTGGCCTTTTGTGGCTTGACTTTTCTCAGCCTTATCTCTTTCTTTTTGGGACCTAGAAATAGTTGGCCTTTCCAACTCTTTAATGCCCTTCAATGCCCCAAATTTCTAGATTCTTTCCTAGACTCTCTCTATTCCCTTTTATTTCTCCTTACAAACTAGTTAGCTATATTGCAAGCTCATCAATTTATTCTCTCTTACCAAAGGCAGCCAGTAACATTTAGTACACATTTAGTAGTCCATTCTCATGCTGCTAATAAAGACATACCTGAGACTGGGTAATTTATAAAGGAAAGAGGTTTAATTGACTCACAGTTCCAGCATGGCTGGGGAGGCCTCTGAAAACTTAAAATCATGGCAGAAGGGGAAGCAAACACGTCCTTCTTCACATGGCAGCAAGAAAGAAAAGTGCCAAGCAAAAGTGGGAAAAGCCCCTTATATAACTGTCAGTTCTTATGAGAACTCACTCACTCTTATCATGAGAACAGCAGCATGGGGGTAACCTCCAATATGATTCATTTACTCCCCACTAGGTCCCTCCCAGACATGTGGGGATTATGGGAACTACAATTCAAGATGAGATTTGGGTAGGGACATAGCCAAACCATATCAACACATTATTATTCGTTGTTTTCCCAACATCCTTCCTTTGACCTACAGTCTTAGTAAGCACTTGGTCTGCTATGGCATAACAGGGATCCCAGGCTTCCAACCTCCCATATTTCTTTCTGTGCCTCTCACTGCAGACCTGCTAAGTTAATGCCACACATATTAGTATTTTGTTTAGGCAGCACCTAAATTCAAGTTATTAATCTCTCTATTATGACTATAAAAAATAACTCAGACTTTAGAGGCTTAACACAAAGATTTCTTTCTCTCACACATCACAATCCATTCTGGCTTCAGCAGTGAAAAGAAGTAAAACTAAATAAATAACAAAATAGTATTTATATCTGGGGAGACAGGGAAATGTGAATGAGAGACACACATAAGGTATTTTAAAATTATTGATAGTGTCTGTTAGGCTGAGTGGTAGGTACATACACATCCATATTATTATACTTTAAATAATACATATGTAATAAATATACTCGGGTATGTATGAAATTTTCAAAATAAAAAAATTAAAATTACTTCAGATAACTTTTTTTTTTTTTTTTGAGACAAGGTCTTGCTCTGTTTCCCAGGATTGAGTGCAGTTGCATGATCATAGCTCACTGCAGCCTCAAATTCCTGGGCTCAGCCTCTCAGGTGTGTGCCACCACACCTAATTTTTTTTTTTTAAAATTTTTGGTAGAAATGATATTTTGCCGTGTTGCCCAGGCTAGTCTTGAACTCCTGGCCTCAAGCATTCCTCCTGGCTCGGACTCCCAAAGTGTTTGGATTACAAGTGTGAGCCACCTATACCAGGCCTCTCAGCTGACTTTTAAACCATATTAGTATACATGAACATATTCACGAGTAAAGTGTGAATGACATTTTTTCCACTCCCGCTTATCCCTCACCTTTACAAACAAGAAGCTTCTCTCCTTGAAGGTGGCCTGACATTTTTGTGCTAAAGAAATTCCTCATGACTTCATACAGCTGCAGTTGGCTGTCACTGTGGCTAAAGGTAAAAGAGTTCATTTGTAACTTTGTGATCTCCTCAGACCATAGAGCTATAACCAATGACTACCATGGGGGGATGCACTCAAAATGAATCAATGTGGGATCGCACAGGCCCACTGTGGACTTTGTGTGACACAGTCCCTCCTCCATGGTTATAGTGTTACTTTGGTTTAGCTCTACATTTCCTAGCAAAGACTTGTGATTAAAATGAGGCAGATTTAGTAGAACTAAATCCGGTTTTAAAAAGTGAACATACTGAATGATGAGAAAACTGTCAAGTCTTATTGCAATCTAACGCAGGGCATCATTAGAAGTTGGCACTATTCTTTGACCTGTGTTACTACCTAAGGGCAGTGGTTCTAAACTCATTGGGAAAAACATGTATTTATTATCACCTTCTGTATGTATACTAAATACTAGGATATGAAATCTAATAAACAGTCTCCGCCTTACCATGCTGCTAAAATCAAGTCATAATTGTTGAGCAGAGGTGTGAGACAGTGTTAGTCTATTTAAAGTGCTATAACAAAATACATACTGGGTGGCTTACAAACAACAGAAATTTATTCTCACAGTTCTGGAGGCTGTGAAGTCCAAGATCAAGGCAGCAGCAGATTCAATATCTGGGGAAGGCCCACTTCCTGGTTCATAGATGGCATCTTCTCACTGTGTCCTCACGTGGTAGAAGGGGTGAGGGATCTCTCGCGGGCTTCTTTTACAAGGGCACTAATCCAGTTTATGAGGGCTCCTCCCCCATGACCTATTACCTTCCAAAGATCCCACCTCTTAATACTATTACCTGGGGGCTAGATTTCAAATATGAATTTTGGGGGGACATCAATATTAAATCTTTAGCAGATGGAATTAGTACTACTTTGAAAATTTTTCGTTGTCTTCTCAGACTAACCACAGAACAAAAGTGTGAGTCAGCCTGTTGTGTGGGAGAAACCCAAGCAAGCACAAGTATAACATTCAGGGGTAAGCAGGTGTGCTAAACCTCAGACAACGCAGGTGTCAGAACTGTGCTTTCAGGTTAGGAGGACTGAGGGAGAGGCAGAAAGAAGGCATGCACGCAGCAGAAGTGGAAGCCTCTTTGATGCAGGGATAATGGGACAGGAAATGTTTTTCAGGCAGAGCTCAGAATCAAATAAGTGAATTAGCAGCTGGGAAGGATCAGAACCTAGATTCAGGGCAGTTCCCAAACCAATAAACTGTGCTTACACTGTTGTGATGGCAAGTGCTATTCTTTAAGGCAGCTTGGGGCTCCTCTAGGCTTCAGATGACTTATCCTATCAATACTACAATTCCAAAGAAAGAAGTTACTCTATCTGCTTGTGCAAATCTTATACTGGGGACTCTTGGGGGGACCTCAGGACACTATTAGGGAATAGAAACTAATCTAGTCACTTGATTTGAAGGTAAGTCTAGAAAGCCAGAATGGGACAAGGTAATGTGGCCCTAATGCCACACAGAGGAATGGGACTTAATTGTAATAAGCAGAGAAACCCTTGTACGTTTTCAAATAGGGAAAGGACACGATTAAAACTGACCTTTCCTTTTCCCCATGCAACCAGCAACACAATTTACACCAGTTCTGGCTTTGAAATACTGAGTTTGCCATTTTGGTGTGTGTAATATTTCTTCCTTTCCTCCAAACGTCATCTTTTCCTTTCCACTACACAAGATTCAAGAATGTGAAAGATGCCAAAGAAATTAAATGGCTTACACTCTATGTTATAATTTGGAGGGGTTATATTAATAGTAGGGTTTCTCAACCTCAGCACGAATGCCATTTTGGGCCACATAATTCTCTGTTGTAGAGCGCTGTCCTGGGCATTGTAGGATGTTTAGCAGCGTCCCTGAACTCTACTGGCTAGAAGCTAGTGCACCACCAGTGATGATAATGAAAAACGTCTTCAGGCATTGCCAAATGTCCCTTGGAGGGCAAAATCTTCCCTGGGAAGAGATGTTGTTTTAGAGTAGATGTCTGTTCATTTACAAAGAAAGTTTTTTGTTTGTTTGTTTGTTTGTTTTTGCGAGACAGGGTCTCCCTCTGTTCCCCAGCCTGGAGAGCAGTGGTGTAATCACAGATCATTGCAGCCTCAAACTCCCAAGCTCAGGCAATCCTCGCACCACAGCCTCTGGAGTAGCTGGGACCACAAGTGTGTGCCACCACGCCAGGCTAATTTTTTTTAGTTTTTGTAGAGACAGGGGTGTCCTGGCTCTCAGGAACTAGTGACCTCAAGTGATCTCACCTCGGCCTCCCAAAGTGCTGGAATTATGGACACGAGCCACCACTACACCTGACCTTTTTTTTTTTTTTTTTTTTTTTTTTAAAGGAGATTGGAAACAAAAATATCTAAGTTAGTTCTTAGGAAGCTTGGACTCATATTCTAGATACAGGAGAAGTTTATTATCTTTTTTTTCTTCCTTCAACACAGTAGTGATGACTTCCTCTCACATAATCTTAGGGGCTTTTTTTTTTACTTAAAAGCAAATGAGTCCGTTTCTCTTTCAACATTGTCTTTGTCTATTAGAGTTAGACTTGCTAGTCTAGACCTCTGGAGCAATGGAAATCTGGTGCTTGCGCATTCAGGACGAAATGCTCAAAGCTGCCTCAATTCACACCCTACACCAATGCCTGGGAAGGACTTCACCTCTGTCTTACATTGGTGAGCAAACCACTTCCCGCACAGATATTGATGTGGATACTGTCAGTTCCTGATTAATTGGAAAAGCAATAGAAGTGAAATTTATTACACTCTATTAAGACGTGTACACTTCCAAAAGTAATGCAGAATGATCCCATCAGAAGTTCATCTGCTCCTTTTCTTCCCATCAGAACTGTAGAGTATCACAGCTGTATTTTTGCATGCCCCCGGGATCTAAATCGGACCCCCAGGACACAGCACCAGCTGCTCAGGAACCAGGAGACTTGCCCAGGGACCGCCTGCAGAGATGGTTCCCCGGAGAGCTCCTCTGTGTTATATGCTCTAGTGAGATCCAGAGTCTGCAGTCATCCACAATAACCACCACACTTACAGCAGTGAAAAATCATGGCACAGTAGTCAAGACACATCCGAGGAAGGATCCTCCGCGGGTCTGACGCCCAATAGGTCTCAGTAAAATGTTCAGTGAAGGTTGAGTAGAGGAGTTTACATAGCAGCAGTCACGAGAAAATTTTATCGCCTCATTGTTTCCGTTGAGAAAATAGGGACAGTATTTGTTAAATCACGGCACAAAAATGAAGTGTTTCTAATATTTTTAATTTTTTTTTTTGAGACGAAATCACGCCCCGTCGCCCAGGCTGGAGTGCAGTGGGCGATCTTGGCTCACTGCAACCTCCGCCTTCCGGGTTCAAGCGATTCTTGTGCCTCAGCCTCCCAGATAGCTGGGATTACAGGCTCCCATCACCATGCCTGGCTAATTTTTGTATTTTTAGTAGAGACGGGTTTTCACCATGTTGGCTTGGCTGGTCTCGAACTCCTGAGCTCAAGTGATCCACCCGCCTTGGCCTCCCAAAGTGCTAGGATTAACAGGCGTGAGCCACCGCGCCCGGCCTAACATTTTAAATTTCTTAGTGGTTTGGAAAGAAATCACCATAGAAGTACTCGCCTTTCCTATCCTCTGTTTATGTTTGTTTAGAAAAGAGCAAAACAAACCCAAGTGTTTGCTAATTCCTAACATTTAAACTGGAAAGACTGCCCGTAAGAAAAGACTTCTTAAAATTTTTAGACCATCTTGAGATGACGCCTTGCCTCCCGCCTCCCCAGGCGGCGCAGTGGGAGTGAGTACGCGGGGCTTAGTGTCGTGAGAGCTGCCCTGGGAAGGGGACTTGGAGTGCGCAGTCAGCTAGTGACGCGGTCTCCTAAGGGCCCCCAGGACAGCTTGAGTAGCCCCCGCGGGCAGGCCCCCGACCCGGGTTCCGCGTTGACCCCTCAGAGCGGCCTGCTGCTCCCCCACGCGCCAGAACTGGCGACAGGGCCACTTTAAGGGCGCCTGGGGCGTGCTCGCCCTCAGCTGCGGCCAGGAGCCATTAGTGCAGGGGGCGGGCCCGGGACGCAGCGGCTGTGGAGCTCCTCCTGCTGGGAGGCTGCCCCAGGACCCAGCACGTGCGCAGCGGCCATGGCTTCCTCAATTATCTGCCAGGAGCACTGCCAGATCTCGGGCCAGGTAAGAGGCTGTGGAAGGGGAGGCAGCTGCGTTTATAACCTCGCGGGCGGGCCCTAGGTCGGTGGTCCCCTCGGCCCTCAAAGCCCGGCCTGGGGAGCTCTCATTGTCGGGGAACTGTGGGGAGCGAATAGCAGGAAGGGCCCCTTCCAGGACGCGAGTCCACTCTCCCCCGGCGCCCCGAGCTGGGGAAGCGCCGACCCGGCTTCTGAGGGTGCCCCCGGGTGCCACCAGGCCCTTGGGGCCTGAGGTTGGGGGACGGGGCTGATTTATCTCGGGAGAGGAGGCCAAGGAAGAAAGAGAACTGAATCGTGTTATAAAGAAAACCCATTAACTGATGAAATGTTCAGTGAAAATTATCTTGAATCCAAAAATTGCAGATTGCATCACATCAATTACTCAATAAATGTGAATTCTCCAACTAAAAAAAAAAAAAAAAAATCTTAGCCCTTGACGTTTCCCCAACTTATTTTTCGAGCAGAAGGCCACTTGTGAAGTTAGCTACCTAGAAACACAATTTAGTAGGCACTCTGGGGCTGGTGGCTGGACAAAAATGTGAACGATGATTTTTATTTTTAATATAAGAAAGTTTATTTAGGCGCGTTATTTTCCTGCATTCCCGTCTCTGCACAGCTGGGCATGCTTATTTTCAGTTTGGGCACTGGCGTGGCATCCCAAAGTGTCCTTCGTGGAGCTTCCCCCCAAACAGGCAACTTTGTGTGGAACCAAAGCCGTGGTGGGAACGGGACCTGCTCTGCACGCATTTGCCACCTCCATGGAAATCAAAAAGCCCGCTGGCCTCTCTTGAAAGCACCTTATTTTTCAGCCCCTTTAGCAAAGCACAAAATCACTTTTGTAACTGTTTTCGATAAAAGTGAAAGGTGATGATTACCCCACTAGGAGGAAAGCGTAGGCGAAACCTCCCCACGCCAGAAAGCAAGGCCAGCTGGGGAGGGGGGCTTTCATCTTAGTATTTTCCGCATCTTGATAAATAGGAGAGAGCAATCTTTTGTGCTGAGTGTAGTCTTATTACCTCTTAGAATGCTCTGCAAACTTAATTTCATCTCTTCTTAAGAGCAAGCTTTCTGAAATGGAATTAGGATCACTTTGAAGTGGACCCGTTTAACAGGTTTTCTTAATTTTTCAAGATAGAGGAACCTATTTAAACTCTAAGGAAAAATAGTATTTTATGGTGCAGGATTAGGCAAAGCTGCACAAAATGAATTCTGAATGAAATATCTGATTATCTAGTAGAACATAAATAATTGTGGTTTCCTCCCCTTAAGAGAGTGTGAAGCCCCAACTGACCCCTTTGTGTGCCTTTGTGAGAAAAGCCGCTTGCTCAGTTTCTCCAGATAGAGCTGTTTAAATCCCTTGACTCCTGAGGAAACTGAAGGCCCGCAATTGCCCCATGAGAGCCTCAGCCCTGCAGCTGCTGCTGATTGTGGGCTGCTCTGCTCCTGGTGATAAGAGTGACATAAATAACAACTCACTAAAATGTAGGAGTGATTTGCTTTAAGCACTTCAGCACCTGCTGTTACTAATTAAGGGTTTAGCCTGCCACAGATTGCAAATGGAAATCCAGTGTTTTAAAAATTGTAGAGACTAGAGTGCCCTGCATGTTACTGTGATCACAGAAATGAAACAGTGGATGAAGTGTCTTGGTGACAATGATGTCGTGTTATTAAAACCACCCACACTTAAAGGGTATGTACCAAGGTGTTAATAGGGCTTACCCTGAGTGGTGGAATTACACTTTATTTTCTTTTTTGAATTTTTTAGTGTTTCCCAGTGAATACATGTTACTTTCGTTTACAAAGGTGTAGTAAGCAATTCAAACAGAAAAAGATATTTCATCAAACGAAGCCTAACACTGGTTCAGATTACTGCTTGCAGGTGAAAATCTTAGATGTACTAAAAGGCAGTTTTCCAAGCAGAATATACTAGAAACATTTATTCCTTTTTCTTTTTGTCAATAGATCTTTTTTATCGCCTGTGTTCATATTACATTGTCAACAACATATTTTAAACTAAATAAATATTCAGATTTATGTTGATTATAAACTATTCTGTTAATTTGAGTTATGGAACTGGGATAGTGGACTTGAGCAGTGTTCTGATTTGTCCATTAACATTCCAAGTGTGCTATGGCACTGATTTTGTAAAGCAGAGAAAGAAGCATTTGGCAAAAGAGCAAATCAGTTCTTTCCAGAGCTGCTTTATGTCATACCCGCTCTGTGCCATGGTGCAAGATGCTATGCAAAAACTTCAGACTCCTGCACAGAACGGTGGGTTAGTGGTGCTTGTTTCTCCTCATCCCTTTCCAGATCATCTTCCTACCTACCCTCAGATTTCTCCCGACTTCCCACTATGCATGTTCTGCCCTTCATAACTCTTTCTTGACTTTTTTTCCCCCCAAAAGGCCGAGAGATTCTGGGGACACTGGAACTGAGCCTCTAAGGGGAGGATAGTGCAGTCAGAATGCCATGTGCTAGCTAGGGAAAGGCTCAAGCTAGGCAGTTGATTTCTATTATTTTAAAGCTTATGCTCTGCAGGAGGCCCTGTTTCCTGAGCACTGTGATTCAAACAGTGCAGAGCCCAGCATGGACACATTTTCCTCTCTCCCCTGGTCCTTCCCCTGCTAGGTTGATTTGACGTTTTCTGTGTTCTTTGTGCTCAGTTCGGTATTACTTGCAAAAACATGGCAATAACTACCACCTGCAGGGCACTATACAAACACTTCTCATAACATTCTTGCAACGTAAGCATTTTGATCCTTCAGACGAGGGTCACTTAAGTGTCTTATTCAAAGCCACTGGTAAATAGTTGAACTAAGTGACAGGACTGTGGTCTGTCTGCCTCAAATGGCTTTGCTCCCTTCCCACTGCATCAAGCTGTTGAAAAAAGATAACACCCTTAGTAGAACTGGTCATACTCTATTCTTCCTATATTCCAAGGATTGAATGCCATGCTTTCTTATCAGCAGAGAAAAGGGCTATTAGAATGTAAGCCCCATGAGGGCAAGGACCTTGTCTTGTTTGTTCACCTTGTGCTCCTAGCGCCCAGCCCTGTGTCTGCCCTATAGTAAGGGCTCAATAAATATCTATGGAGAGAATAAACATCAAGCATATTTAAGCAGAGACATAAAGTGGCAGGATATTTTAAAAGAAAAAATAAACCTTACTAATAGAAAGTTTTACAAACTATATCCCAGGACACCCTAGTTTATATGTGTTATTTTAGTGTAATTATTAATGGCACCTCCTTTCATTCTCAAAAGAGCCTCAGTTTGGAAGATCAATTATATGGCCATACACCCTGATCGTATTAGATAGGTTATTTTTGGGCATTCATATTCGCTTCAATTAATCAGGTTAATTAAAAAACAAAACTATAATTGCTCCTGTTGTGATCACTTGTTAATGACTGTTTCATTGTTTGGCTTTGGGTTCACAAAGAATATATTTGCATAGAAGAAATCACATGCTATGGTGGAGATTCGCAAACAATCTGCGCTCACAGGCATCACAAAGGCTTAGAGTCCCATGCTGCTCCTAAAGTGCTGCTGGAAATGAGGAGTGTTTATAAAATGAAAAGGAAACACACTAGTAGGGCCCCAACGCTCTCTACTGTAGAAATTACATATTTCAAAGCTCATTTAAAAGTGTTGTGCTGTGTTCTTGGAATATAGAGTATTGAGGGAAGTAGAAGGAAATAAGTTTGAAGTAGGTTGGTAGCAGGCTATGAAACACCATGCTAAGGAGTTTAAATTGGTATCCTGTTTAGAGTAGGGTACTGCAGGTGAAGGAGATTGGCTCATGATGATTGAGCACACAGGTCAACCTCCCCATCTACCCCAAACTCCAGAGCAGATGTTTTCAAAATGTGATGATTCCTTCAAGTAAATATCATGGAAAAATAAGAAGGCAGGTATTCCAAATTAAAAGATCAAGGAGATACAACAACCAAATGCAATGCATAGTTCTTAATGGGATCTTGGTTTGAACAAAGCAACTTCTCTCTGAACGTTAAAAAAAAAAATACACAGTAAAATGTGACATTTAGAAAGCAAATGGGGTCCAATTACACCTAAAACAAAAGTAGAAAATCCACAGCTTAAAAGACACAAAGAGAAGAAATGCAGTGATAAAACAATTTTAGTGATAGTCCAGGCTCAATGTTGACAGAAACAAAGATGAAAGTAGCCCAAAGGGTGCTCACCTGGTTTGAATTAGCTGGGTACAGAACTCCCAGGCCAGGTTGGCCCCCTGGATTTACCCTGTGGACTCTCCCAGCTCACTCCTACTAAAGCAGGAGCAATGGTGCCTTTAACTTAAGGATAAAACTCAGGAACTATTCTCTAAAGAAAATGAACTATACATGAGATGAGGACTCCTGGTATGAGTAATTTCCCGATCTCTGTAACTGAAAGAGGAAAGGAAAGGCAGTTCTTTCCAGGAGGAAAATAAACTAACATACTTGGTCTTCAGAGTAGAGCCCACCTTGATTTTGACAATTAGCTGGCGCCAGCCTTTCTGCTCTCCAGCCTTTGCTTTCACTCATCCTGCTCACTCTCACCAAACCCATAGTCAGTTGTCCCATTAAAGGAGGCCCCCACTGAGGAAACACCACCTCAGCTGCAGGAGAAACTGCCTGTTCACACCCACTTAGTTCTTGATTCATATTTATGTTTGGAAACAAAGGATTGACAGACATTAACAGAACTAGACGAATGCACACACTGAACGATTGAAGAGACAGATTTTTAAGGTGCTGTAGTCTGAATGTTTGTGCCCTCTACCGAATTCATATGTTGAAATCTTAACTGCTAAGGTGATGGCGTTAGCAGGTGGGGTCTTTGGGAGGTGATTAGGTCATAAGGGAGGAGCCCTTGTGAATGGGATTAGTGCCTTATAAAAGAGGCCCAAGAAAGATCCCTTGCTTCTCCACCATGTGAGAACACAAATAAATTGCCATCTATGAACTAGAAATTGTGCCATCACCAGACATTTAATCTGCCAGTGCTGTGATCTTGGACTTCCCAACCTCTGAGCTGAGAAATAAATTTCTGTTGTTTATAAGCCACTCAGTTTATAGTCTTTTGTTATAGCAGCTTGAATAAACTAGGACATAAGGGAATAGAAAAAAAAAAAACTTCTAAAATTTGAATTTGTATCTGTAGAGAGAATATCACATCCTAAAAATAGCAGGTTATGAAAAATTACCCAAAAAATCTTAGAAATTAGTAATTCACATTAAATGGATTGAAATTATATAAAAAAATACTTAGAAGGAGTGAAGACTAAGCTGGTAATCTGAAAAATGAAGAAATCTCTGAGAGAGAAGTCAAGGCATGTAGGATCAATTTAAGACATCCAGCATCTCTTAGAAGATTTACAAGGAGAGACAAAGACAACAGAAAGGAGGAAATAAAGAAATAAGAGAAGAAAATTTTCAGAGCTACTGTGTGCCAAGTAGGATGAATAAGATATATACTTAAACACAGCCTAGAAACTATCAGAATGCAGAGGAAAAAGAGGAGAAAAGCATCCAAAGGAACGAAGCAGCTTATTCTTTTCATTAGCAACTTGGATTCCAGAAGGAAAATTCAGAGACAAAGTGATTTTGACCTTATAAGTATTTGCTGGGTAAAACTTGCACTGAATTGTGAGAGCACAGTGAAGATGTTTTCAGACTTGGTAGGACTCTGATGCTATCAGACGGTCTTTAAATAATTTTCTGAGCCTGTACGGCAATTCAGTAAAATGAATCCAAGAAAGAAGCAAATATGAGATACAAGAAACTGTGAGACTCAGAGAAACAAAAAATTAAGTGTAAATGTTAATAAAAATGTAAATATTTAATAATGATTGGAACTAAAATTCCAGATAGTCATGGTTTGGGAAGTATATGGGGTGGAGGGAGGCATGTTAAGGATGCTGCCTTGTTTGGAGAGAGGCTGTAGATTTAGATTAACTCTACATCTTAATTGAAAATGGCTATGTATACTTACTAATAATTAAGTATTTCTGAAATTTTGGCGGCCAAAGTGGAGTAATTTGAGTAACAAAATAAATGATAGTATTGGATTGTAACCCAAAGAATAAAATAAATATGTCCTTACTGATTTAAATAAACAATTGACTAAATAAGTAAATGAGGGAAAAGGAACATATCCTCCTTACATAAGATTTCCAAATCATAAATGTAGATGGAAGGAAATAGAAAATCACCAATGGAATGTCATAGTAATAATTGCTACAGGCAAGATCCACAAATAAAGGGCAGGAACAGAGGGTATAACTTTCAGGAGAAATGGGATATTTGCAAAGCCTCAAACCATCTCCACTAACATATTTATTAATTACTGTGATGGTTTTAACGTACATCCACAATTGTTTGATATTCCTCCCTCCAAGAGGTGGTACTTTAGTCCCTTTCCATTGAGTGTGGCCAGACTTAGTGACTGCCTTCTGAAAACAAGAATGTGGAAAGGATAAACAAGTGACTTAACAGTGGAGAAACCTTGCAGACGCCATCTTAACCAAGCGACCAAGGTGAACCTCCCTGGAAATCTCTCATTGATATATGACACCATAAGAAGGGGGCGCTCATGTCCATGGTATTCTACCCAAAATCTATAGTTCCAGTCTAATTATGAGAAAACGTCAGACAAATCCAAGTAGTGGGACACTCTACAAAATACCTGACCAGCACTCCTCAAAAGCCAGTAAAAACTGAGAAACCATTGCATATTAGAAGAAACTAGGAGACACGAGGACTAAGTGCAACCTATTATCCAGATGGGATCCTGGGACAGAAAAAGGCTATCAGTGGAAAAATTGGTGAAATTCAAATAAAGTCTGTAGTTTAGCTAATAGTACTATGCTAATATTAATTTCTTAGGGTTTTCTTTCTCACAATTTCTTAGTTTTGATAAACATACTATGATTGTAAGATGTTAATATTTGGGGAAGCTGAGTCAGATGTTTATGAGAACTCACCATACCCTCTCTGCAACTCTTCTGTAAGTCAAATTAATTCCAAATAAAAAGACAATTAAGCACTTAAGGTATAAAAATTAGGGATTTCACTCCCAAAGCATTATAGGAACAACAGGATGGAAAAATGAAAATTTGATCAGCCTAAGAGTAGCTATGGAAAAAAAAAATTACAGTAAATAGGAAGCCTGAAATAATAAATGAAAGGGAATAAGGTCATTTCACATTAAATTGTAAATGTTCACAATTAATTGATATTAGCTAATTCATTACATTACATTAATGAAGTTAATGTACACTAGTTAATGTCAGTAATGTAATTACTTAAATTCATACATTAAAAACTGAAAGATCAGCTTGTAAAAACTGTAAATTCAATTAAAAGCTATTTACAAAAGTCACAGAAAAGATGATAAAGAAAAGTTTAAAATAAGGGGGTATGAAGAACTAAGCTGTATATCAGAAAAATAAAATTTGAGGTGAAAAACATTAAAGGGCAAGGAGGTATGTTTTATATAGTAGTATTTGCTATATAGAATCATCTATATATATACACTAATAACATACTATGTAAACATAGATTACATATGTTGTTAAATATTATAGTTATATATTTATATAATATCATTATCATGAACCTTTATGTACTTAACCCATAATTATAAATATAACCTATGATTAGAGAAATTGATGGATTGACAAAACCATAATTAAGGAGATTTTGATACTCTTCTTTCATAAACGGAAAGATCAAGTAGACCTAATATAAGCAAAGAAAGAATTAACAATTTTGTTCTAAAAGATATATAGAACTTTATGCACAACAGAAAACAGGTATTGTTTTCAAGTACCCATGGACGATTAACAAAAACTGTGTATTAGGCTATGAAGAAAATGTCAACAAATTTTAAAAAGTAGATGTCATGCAGGACACATTCATTGTTGACAATGCACTGAAATAAGAAATGAGCAACTAACAAATAGTCAAAAAAATAAAAAACCAAACATACTATTGCCTTGAAAATTAAAAACACCTTTATATAGGTATTTAATAAAAGTCTTAGATTAAAATGGAACTATCAACTGAAATTATAAACTAATTAGCAATGAATGAACATGAACTCACTATATATAAAAATGTGTGGGGTACAACAAAATGCCACTAGGAGGAAAATTTAGATCCTCTACTTTGCTGCCCAATAGAACTTTCCACAATGATGAAAATGTTGTGTAATTATACCGTCTGATAATCCACACTTACCACATGAGGATGTTGAGAATGTGAAATATGGCTAGTGCAACTGAACTGAATTTCAAACTTTAATTAATTTTAATTAACATAAGTTTAAATAGCCGCATGTGGCTACTGTATTGGACTACACAGTTCTATATTCTCAATAAAGCATTACCAGAAAAAGAAAAAAATAAACATTTATAGTTAAGAAGCAAAATGAACTCAACACCAGTAATAGGTATTATATATATATTTTAAAATTAAAACATTAAACAATATAAAAACTCCATATGAAATGGATTTGTAAAATGTATATGAACAAAATTCATTTAAGAGAAGGTGAGAAACTTCAATTTACCATTAATCAATAAGGAACTATAAAATGAAATGTAAGATCCAGCTCTATAAATGTCTTCAGAACCAGATTTTCTAGACATGTTTTACCTAAACTTAAGATGCAGATAATTTCTGTGTTTTATAAACTATTCAAGACCATAGAACAATATTTTATTCTTCAAGGCTGGCATAACCCTGATACCTAAACAAGATAAGGCAATACAATAAAACAAAATTATATCAAGATTCATTTATGAACATAGATGCAAAAATCTAAAGGTGAAGGCATTGAATTCATTACACATTATGAATAGGTTTATCCCAGCAATACTGTGATGGCTTGACATTAGGAAATCTATTAATATGATTCACTGCCTAACAGATCAAAGAATTAAAAAAAAATCATGTTATACTGAAAAAGCATTTAATAAATATCAACACCCTTTTCTGATGTAAAATTCTTAGCTTCCAAATAGAAACTTTTTTAACTGATAAAGGATATTGATCAGAAATCTTCAGTAAGTATCATATTTAGTAGTAAAATGATTTGAAATATTCCCACTAAAGTCAGGAACAAGACAGGAACACCTACTGTCACTCCTGTTATTCACCTTTGTTTTGGATGTTCTAGCCAATGCTTTAAAGTCAAATAAAAGGCATAAGTTCTGGAAATAGAGAAAAAAAGTGTAATTTTTTGAAGGCGGTAGGATTGCCTACCTAGGAAATTGAGAATAATCAATGGAAATGTATTGGAACTGAACAGAGAGTACTATAAAGTGCATTACTTGAAGCAAGTTCCTTATACAGAAATCAATAGCGCTTCTATATGTCAGCTATAATCAATCAGAAAATGTAGTGAGTAAGAAGAGATCCCCTTCACAGTGACCTCCAAAGGTTGAAATATCTGGGAATACGTAGGACATATCTGGGAATACATGCTAGGACACATGCAAAATCGATATGAAAGTCCATAAAACTGAAGATCATAATAGACCCAAATTCTCTAAGATGCATACTTCCTAAATACGGAGATTTAATATAGCAACAATATTTTCTAATTAACTGTTAAAATAGAGGCCACCATAATTAAAACTTTAACAAGGTTCCTTGACAAACTGATGCCGATTTCTGTTGGAAGAGAAATTGTTGGAAAATATATAATAACTGAATTGAAAAATAACAGGGAAACATGCTCTGTCAAATATCAAAACACACTATAAAGAGCTAGTAATTAAGCAGTGTGGTATTAACCAGGAATAGGCAAATAGATCAGTGGATCAGAATGAAGTCCAGAAACACACACACACCCCCACACACCCCTACCTGGCATTGTGAAAACTTCGCTCTTGAAAACACTGAGAGAAGGTTAGTCTGTTCAGTAATCCTGTTGGGTCAATTAGTTCTGCATTTAAAAAAGAAAACTGAAAGCAGATACCTACCTCATATTCATCACCAAATAAACTCCAGCTGGGATAAAAAGCTAAATGCAAAAATAAACCCTTAAAAGTATTAGAATACTCTACCAAAGCATATTTTAACATAAATGGAGATGGCTTTGAAAGCAAGATAAAATTCACCAAAGCCATAAAGGAAACAGTAGATTTGTTACTAAATATTAAATATTTATTAGTGACAAGAGACCTTATAATCAGAATTAAAGGGCTGGGCACGGTGGCTCACACCCGTAATCCCAGCACTTTGGGAGGCCAAGGTGGGCGGATCACCCGAGGTCAGGAGTTCGAGACTAGCCTGGCCAACATGGTGAAACCTCATCTCTACTAAAAATAAAAAAATCAGCCAGGCATGGTGGTGGGCACCTGTAATCCCAGCTACTCAGGAGGCTGAAGCAGGAGAATCTCTTGAACCCAGGAGGCAGAGGTTACAGTGAGCCGAGATCACGCCACTGCACTCCAGCCTGGACGACAGAGTGAGACTCCTCAAAAAAAAAAAAAAAAACAAAAAAAAAGAATTAAAGGCAGAGTGACAGACTGGAAAAAAAAGTGGTTGACTAATATCCAGACTGTATAAACTCCCACAAAGCAATAAGAAAAATACAAACCACAAATAGGAAGGTGAGCAAAGGGAGTAAATGGGCATGCATGATAAATATGTGATAATAAAATGCAAATTGCCACTAAAATGAAAAGGTACTCCATTCATTCAAAAAATGCCAATAAAAAGGATAAGATTTTTTGCTCACAATACAAAATTTTTTTAAAGGTTAAGAATAATCAGTCTTATTAAGGGTTTGGGGAAATGAGTACTCATATATACTGCTTACGGGGATATAAATTTTTGTATCCTTTGGAGTATGCAAAACAAGTAAAAGTTTACTTTCTGATTTTCTAGTTTGGATTCGAGGATATATGCTTATTTGCACACAGATGTATTTATAAATGTATTCATCATGGCACCGTAATAACATCAAAACCCAACACTGGGAGAATGTCTCAATCAATTGTCATCATCGAAAATAAGGAAGACTGGATCAAGATGACAGATGAGCACATTTACCCCTGATCCCAACAAATAATAGAAAACGTATTTTTATGAGAATAAATCTATAACCGCCTGGAAAATGAGAATGTTCCCAGTGAATCAGAAATTTTGAGGAATTGTTGAACTATATTGTTAAATGAAAAAAGCAACTCACTTCAAAAAATACTAACAGCCCATTTATGAAAAGCTATGTATGTGTGTATCGTACTTATATGTTTGACACAAAAATCATCTGGAAGGATAGACACCAGACTCTTGACAGCAGTTCCTTTCAGAGAAGGGATTGAATTAGGATATGAGAGATGGTAAAGGAAGGTTGACTATTTTATAAAAAAAAGGAAGAAAATTAGGTGAGCAGGTGGAAGTGCCAAAGCTTTGCTTACTTTACTATTGCCTAGTTTCTTGCACCTCACCTGTTCTTTCTTGCAACCCTCAGGAAACCAGGCTGAAAAGAGAAGGAAGCCCCACGGGGCCACTTACACCAGCATCCTGCCCTGTGGAGTTGCTTCTTTGCCAAGCTGCCTTTCTCTTTGTACAAGTATTTCCAGCCCCTTCCCTCACTCTTAGCTTCAACTCTAATCACCTCCCAAATCTGTTTTCTCATACAGATGTCTATGGCCTGGCATTTCCAATTGTCTTCTATTTCCATTAATTTAAGCATCCCCATTCTTTGGCATTTTCAGTGGGTTGAGTTCATTAGCTGTAGAGAATAAAACATACAGAAATAAAACATGAAGTTGGGAATGCTCTTTTTCCTAATTGAATATACTTGAAAATATCTCCAAATGCAAATGGCCTTTTTGGTTCCTAATATTGAGGTTTGAATAGCACATATATTCCATTGAAAGGACTTTATTTCAGTGTTTCTTATGATTTAGGAATTTAAATCTTTCTCTGTTCCCTGGAATGTGTGTTTCACCAAAATAAATCATGTGGGAGAGTCATGACTTTGATCCTTTCAGCAATAAACAGATTTTCCAGCAGGAAAGACTTTTGGAAAACTGAGTCATAAGAACTCTATCATTTAATAGGATGAGAGAGAAATTTGCAGAAAAACTGAAGTAGAATAGCATTGGTAGGCAAAATGTTTAAAAACAGGGTGACCTTCAGATCTAATCACTAGTCTAGGTACTGAAGATGTGAAATTAGTAGTTCCTGTCCTTGAGCTGCTTATAGTTGACCATCTAGCCAGTCAGACTAGATATGGAGTCAATTGTTGTGTTATTTGTGAGCTTTATTTATCTTATCCTCTCATACATGACATTTTCCCTATGCCTAGGCAATAATTATGTGACGCCTCTGCTTCCTTCTCTTTCAGGCAAAAATAGACATCTTATTAGTTGGAGATGTCACTGTGGGCTACCTGGCTGATACTGTACAGAAACTATTTGCAAACATAGCAGAAGTCACCATCACCATCAGTGACACGAAGGAGGCAGCAGCGCTTTTGGATGATTGCATATTCAACATGGTTCTCTTGAAGGTGCCTTCTTCACTAAGTGCCGAGGAGCTGGAAGCCATCAAGTTAATTAGGTAAACTTCAAAAGCCTTGATGCTGTATCTTTAGAATCATTTTTTTAAAAACCCATTTTTTAAAAACTCCTAAAAAGATGATATATTTCTATTTTACTTTTCAAATTGAGGGGCCAGGGATTGGCTCATGCGTGTAATCCTGGCACTTTGAGAGGCCGATGTGGGATGATTGCTTTAACCCGGGAGTTCCAGACCTGCCTGGGCAACATAGTGAGACCTCTGTCTCTACAAAAAATTTTAAAAAATTAGCCGGGCATGGTGACATGCACCTATAGTTCCAGTTACTGGGAGGACTGAGGTGGGAGGATTGTTCAGGAGTTTAAGGCTGCAATGAACTATGATCATGTCACTGTACTCTAACCTGGACGACAGAGTGAGATGCTATTTCTAAAAAAAAAAAATGAGGGATATTTTCATGGGGAGAGTCTATGTACATGTTGTTTTTATTTCCAGTTTGTGGTATTTTATTATAAGGAATTATTTTAACTTGAAAATAGGTACGGATTAGAATGTAAGAATCAATTTGTCATAGAAATTTATTTAGTATGCAATGCTTACATTATTCCCACACATACTCCTTTTTAATAACTGTATCATTAAAATGGTACATCTTTCCAGAGTTCATTAATTGTAGTGGCAGACACTAATAAGGAAGTGAGCACTCTTAGCTCTCTGTCCTGTTAGCTGGGGACTGAGGTGTCTCCTGGAGCCATGGGGCCTTCTGGATTCACTGGGTCCAGAAACCACCACCTCCAGTGTTCTTGTTTCGTCTTGCAGTTCCACATAAGTTCTGCTTCTTTTCTTTTCTTTTTTTTTTTTTTTTTTTTTTTGAGGCAGAGTCTCGTTCTGTTGCCCAGGCTGGAGTGCAGTGGCGCCATCTCGGCTCACTGCAACCTGCACCTCCCGGGTTCAAGTGATTCTCCTGCCTCAGTCTCCTGAGTAACTGGGATGACAGGCAGGTGCCACCACGCCTGGCTAATTTTTGTATTTTTAGTAGAGGTGGGGTTTTACCATATTGGTCAGGCTGGTCTCAAACTCCTGACCTCGTGATCCACCCACCTAGGCCTCCCAAAGTGCTGGGATTACAGGGGTGAGCCACCATGCCTAGCCAAGTTCTGCTTCTTTTTAACCCACTCCAGCTCTAGAAAATTGGAGCCCAGTGGTGGGAGAGTTAGATTCTTCCCTGCCACTTAGGATGTATTTAGATAGGGTTAGATCAGAGCAAATTTGTTCTCCTTCCATGAAATACTTAATAGATAAAGTGGAATTGTCAATTATATTGGAACATATGAGAGCTTCTCTGCATTACAAGATAAGCCTCTTTTTTGGCTAAAAAATTCAGAGACAATATTTTGATCCCTGAATAAACAGGCAAGCAAAGTATGTTAAGGGAAAAGAAAGGTTGAAATGAGAAGCCCAAGCCATCAAGTTACTTATTAAACAGAGAGACAGACAGACAGATACTACTCTTGGGGTTTCTTAGAACAACTGGTCTGCATTTCTTTTGGCTTTCTACAAGGTATATGAACTCTAGACACATCAGGCAAACTATCTACCTCAAAGTGAATTCCACTTCTAAAACCTGTTGTAAACTATCCTACTTCTGAGAATATGCTTATTTTATTACAAGCCTTAAAAAAAGGGAGTTCCCTTGGCTGGGAACTCATCATAATACTTCATTTATATCATATTTTAAAATTTTTTACAGCAGCTACATGAGGCAGGTGGAGCAGGATTTTATTGTCCTTACTTGACAGATGAGAAAACTGAGGCTGAAGTGACTTGCCTAAGACCACATGGCTCATTTTTACAAAACTAGATGAGAACTCTACTCTTCCCTTCATTTTCTTTCTAGAAGTCTGTAATTAATTGACTTTTGTATTGAAACCACCTCTTTTTCACCTGTGAGGTTCAGTATGTGCCAAGCTGGGTGTATATCAAACATAGATATGGTTTTGAAAGAGCCCCAGACAATTCAATATGGCTGGTCTCTCTCTTCATTCCAAGATTAGGACCCTAGCTATGCCTCTCTGAATGGAGTAAAGCTTTGCATTTGCTCACTATCAGAGCCACCTTTTGAACAAGATAAGAGTGAAGTTCTGTTTAAGAACCAGCTTTATGTTTAGCTGCAGATATTAAAACCTAGAAGGTTAGAGGAGAGAATTTCTTGTCTGATACTCACTTCAGCAGCTTTTATTGCCCTGAGTAACATAGCTTAAGATTTCTTAGCAGAGAAAAGAAAGTAGATGAAGGTACCAAGTGTATAGCTATGCAAACGGTAGTTCTGTTATTTTGCCTTAAAAGAAATCATTTGTTTGAAAGAAAACAAATAATTTGTGGAATACACCTGGACTTGTATTCCTTGTTTGTCTCCTGTTGCACTATTCCCAACACCCAGTGAAGGTCTTGACTACCAGCAGGTGTTATCTGCCTTGCTGTAGCTCCAGTGAATGCCTGTATGGATGGGTGGGAGAAGCGCCATCCTAGGCAGGCAATGCCTTCTAGCTTTTTTGCTCCTCTCTGCAAGGGGACAGAGTCGTTTGGTTATGTGTGTGTGTGTGTGTGTGAGGGTGTGTAAGCTTTGCTTTCATGGTGCTGTCCTCAGAGGCTATGAATGTCTCTGAAGTTGCCTTTCCTGCCCTCAGAATTGTTATGAGTTTATGAATTGTTTAAACCCCTGTAGAGGATGTTTCCAGTTTTCAACCTATAGTTTTTCTTATGGTAATGAGTCTTGTACATGTACTGCCCCATTTGTAAGGAGTTTAAACCTTCATCTATCCTAAAGCACTACATCTTTTGAGTTTGGGCTAATATTTAATGACTA
This sequence comes from Homo sapiens, assembly GCF_000001405.40. Taxonomy (NCBI): domain Eukaryota; kingdom Metazoa; phylum Chordata; class Mammalia; order Primates; family Hominidae; genus Homo; species Homo sapiens. The sequence goes on along the minus strand of NC_000013.11, from coordinate 36,199,054 downwards.
AACCAAAATGAAAAGCCTGGCTCTACTTTTCTTCTGCTGTATTTTAAATTTTTCTCTTTAGATCTTTGTTGTTGTCTGGTAATATTTCAAAAGCTATGTAGGTCTAGGAAAATGTACAACTACGTACCTTACTCTTGTTTCTCTGGGTGCTTTATGTCTCCTGTCAATGAATGAGGAATTGATGATAGAATGAAAGTGGCCATATATATGTTCAGTATTAGAGCACATGATCACAAATCTATACATCTGTAAGACATATAGATTTTTATTGAAAATAAGAATGAAGTTTAGCCTGTTAGCTATAATATTAGATTTATTTTAGAATAAAATGAAAGCAGCTTCCTTAAAAGATTCTTAAATTTAATCTTACAAAACTATGTTTTAAGCTAGGTGCTAATCATTCACTGACTTTAATCATGCATAAAATATCAGTACTTTACAGACTTTCTCAAGAATTATGGCACATCTCACTTATAGGTTAACGTTCCTGATAGTACTGCCTAATTTGTTTTCATCTCAAGAATGTATTGAAAGAGTATATTTTTATTGAGCAGATGAACTCAGACACTACCTAGTGGTGACATATTTTAAGATAATCTTAGGATTCGTATGCTTAGCTCCAGAATTCCAGGGATATTTCACTCTTGGCTTGGATAAGTTTTCACAATTGAGGATACTCAAAGGGCAGATACTTGATAATTCAGACACATCCTGATACTTATCTTCCAAAGACAGGTACAGAAAGTTTAAATATGTTTTAAACTCGTCAGTATATGGGGAGTTGCGGTTTTCTTCTCAATGAAATGGTTCCGCAGTTAAAATTCTGTGATTCTCATGAGCTCAGAGCAGTTTAGCAACAGAAAAGGAACGCAGGATGTGGCTCCATCTGCTCCGTCAACAAATCAAGTTTGAATCTGATTTCATTTCTTCCCCATGTAGCTTTAATTGTCTGACCAGCTAACTGATCACTAAGAAAACCCAATCTTGTGAGCCACGGAGATCTAACAAGTTGTCCTTTTATGTCTCCAAGACATCCTTGACTTGACAATGTAACTCATTAAATCTTACTAGGTAGTTTACATGACCTACTCCTCTGAATATTCGACAATAAACACAGTAACAGCAAAACATCTAAGTAGCTTTACTAAAACCTTTGTCCTACGAATTGGTGGAGGAAGTGAATAGGAACTGAAGACAACTCCAGGTCTTTATAACTTCTAGCACCATGTCACATGGTGAATGTTGCAGCAGGAGCTCTGTGGGAGAGCCGAGTGGGAACAGGGCACACCACTCTTCACTATTAGCCAGAATAAACTATCAGAGCTTAATTAAGTAATTAACAAAGAACATTATTTGTTACAAGTCCCATGTAGGTCATACCAGGTTAGTTTGGCCGCATTTAGCCCACGGACAGAATAGTGGGTAACTGTACTCAAGAAAACCACAACCCAAAGATGATACTGGCTTTTGTCCCTGGAAATCCTTATGGCTCTAAGAGAAGTAAAGGTAGAAATTTCCGCAGGCTTCATAGGGACTTATAACACCCTTTGGCCCTCTTAGATGATAGATTTCAGAGGCCAGGGCTTTCCTGAGACCCTTTGATCAGCAGAGTGTACAACTCAGCTCAAAACACTTGTATATGATCTTTGTTTTTTCAGCTACCAGAGACAGATCCGGGGATGGGGGCAAGACAGTGGGTGGGTACTGCTGCAGGTTGAGCGATGCTGGCTCCAGTTCTAGAGGGCACTGCAGGCAGGCATAGGAATGGAACCCAGAATATCAGTATCCAATCTCAAAAGTGAGGTGTAGCCTCAGGAAACATCATGACATTTAAACAGCGTAATCGTGAAACATGAGGGAAAATGGATTGTCCCCAAATAAATTGCAAACACAAGAGACATTAATTGAGAAGGTCTCAGAGCCTACAGTTTGATTTTGGTATATAGAAGAGGAAGTACTATCAGTTGGTGTGGATAAAAGTGATTTTTATTTTGGTTTGTTTTTGCATTGCTTAGTTTTGTTTCAAGGAATATTCATTCACAAAAAAAGAGAACATTTTCTGGTTGATCCTAGAAACTAGAAACTCTTTTAGCTTATTGATTTGTAGGGAATGTGAATGAACAGCTGAGCTTAAGACCAGAGTATTGGATTCTGGGAACTCTTATCGATTGCAGGAGTTCCCTATATAGCAGGGGGAGTGTGTGTTTGGTAATTGATTCTGTGCTAATAACAAAAGTCCAAGAATCCCACCTTTGTCTGATGTAAAGCTTGAAATTTGAAAGTCATCAGGGCATATAAATCCATATATCCATATCTTACATATTTTTGTGTCAGTAAAATTAATTTTCAAATTTTTGAAAAGTCGGGTTTTCAAAAATGGACATAGGAAGATTTCTAAAAGCAAACAACCTGTTTTTAAAAAATCATTTAACTGTATTTAACTTAGGATAATTTACTTTTTTGAATCCACTATGCAGTATTTTTTATTTCAACATTTAAACTACCCAATAATTTTCTTTCAGTCCCATCTGCTCAGTCCATTATTCCCTTTCACCTCTCTTTCCTCATTCTGTTGTCTGTACCTCCGTTATAATCCACACTTTCTCATCACCTAAAAATATGTATACGAGGCTAGGCATAGTGGCTCTTGCCTGTAATCTCAGCACTTTGGGAGGTTGAAGCGGGAAGATTGCCTGAGGCCAGGAGTTTGAGACCAGCCTGGGCAACATAGTGAGAACCCATCTCTACTAAAAATACAAAAAAATAGCCAAGTGTAATGGCACACACCTGTAGTCCCAGCTACCTGGGAGGCTGAGGTACAGGATCGCTTGAGCTTGGGAGGGTGAGGCTGTAGTGAGCCTTGACCACGCCACTGCACTCCCGCCTGAGTGACAAAGCAAGACCTTGTCTCAAAAAAAAAAAAAAAATTATCTATCTATCTATCTATCTATCTATCTTTCTGTCTGTCTAAAATGTATATATTTATTTTCATATATATATGAAATGCTGACATCCTGGCAGGCATCATTCTGATCCCCCTATTCCCTCTGTGTCACCACACCACCTACACCAGTGTAGGAAGTGCCTTTCTTACCTCCACATTTGGTTGGCCAGGCAAACTCTATCCTCCCTCCTGCATATGCCTATTTTGATGATAATATTCTGAGTTTCTCATTTCCTCATAGAAACCATATATTCTTTCCTTTCCTCTCTCTCAGCCTAAACTCCCCAGAATTCATAGCACAGAATCAAGTCTGAATGGATGTCAATGTGGTGTCACATTTTCTTAATAATCCTGCTAGTCTGAAGTAATTAATTTAGTAAATACTCTGAAATATTTAACTTTACCAAAGGTTCACGGGTATGCCCGCTTTCCTTACCATCAGCTCTTGCCTGGATCACTGCCCTAGGGTCTTTCCAGTCCACCTGTGTCACCCCTATCAGCGCATCCCATCATAGGCAGAGTGGTCTTTCTAAAATGCAAATGTAATTGTGTTGGTTGCTCCTGAGCTTCATAGCTTTCCGTTGCCCATTTTTCTTCAATACCAAACCTTTCCTGTGGCCTAACAGGCCTTCTGTGAGCAGAGCCCAGCCCTCCCTCGCTCTTTGGTCTCCACTTATGCTTTTCTTCCTCAGATGCCCTGTGCCAGAGCTTTCCTGGACATCTTGTACCTTCTCAAACTCACCTGTTCTCGACCACCCCAGGGCTCCTGCATATGCTGTGCCTTTTGCCCAGAGTGTTCTGTGCTGCACATCTGCTTTCTGCCCTCCCCCTCTCCCCAGCCTTTTCTGTGTCTAGCCAGCACCAAGGGTTGTCTGCCTGGAAGCCTTCCCCAAGGCTGCTGAGGCAGGTTGGTGCCCAGACGTGGACTCCTCTTGGCCCTTTTGGTTTTCCTTCCTGGCATTGGACACATTTTCAGCCATAAAATTATCTATAATGATTCGTTTAATGTCTTTTTGCCCCAAGACCTCCAGCTGTGTGAGAGCAGGAACCTTGTCTGTCTGTTTACCATGATATCCCCCAGAGCCTAGCACAGAGCTGGCACATAAGAGGTTCTCAATATATATGACTCAGATATATAAATTTATATTAATATATAATGTAATTTGAAATATAGAATGTATACTTACTTCCAAATGCATATGTAAGATAAACTAACAATGTTATACAGTGGGGGTGATCCCAGTTCTCATTTTAATAAATAAATAATAACCATATGTAACCACATGCTAATAAATGATGTTTTAAAGTATTTGAGAATAGTTTGCTTTTCTTAGGTAGTTTTAAACTGTTCTCTTTAAAATCTCTTTCACAGTCACATTCTCCCTGCAAATCATTTCATTTTGGCTAATGCCAAGGCTCAGTATCCATCCAATTATCGAATTCCAGACTTACTGTACTGAGTTTAGTGAACTATAATGCCACTTTAAGAAAAAAGTTTTATTTGAAAAATTTCAAGAAATAAAAGGGGAGAGAGTATAATAATACACCCATAATGTAGCCTCAGCGGTTACCCACATCTGGCTCATCATGTTTCTCCCTACCTTCCCACCCCTGCCCACCAGTGGATTATTTTAAGACAAATCTAAAATACTGTTTTATTTCATCCATAAATACTTTAATTGGTACCTCTCTAAGGTGAGGACTCAGAGAATAACCACAAAACCCATATTATACCTGAAAATTAGTAATCACTTCTTAGTATTGTCAAATATCCCATTAGCATTCAAATTTCCCTGCTTATCCTTATGATTTTTTTTAAACTGTGAGTTTATACAAATCAGGATTCAACTTTCCTTTTTCTTGTCTTGTTCTTTAATTATATATATATTTAAAAGGAGTCATTTGTCTTACAGAATTCCCCCCATTCTAGATTCTGCTTGTTTCATTCCCATGATGTTCTTTAAAATGTTTCTTTCCACAAAATTCTTGTAAACTGATGATCTGACCAAAAATTTGGATAAAGTTTAGGCTTTTTTTTTTCATTTTTAAGAAAAAGTGATTCATCTCTTTCCTCACTGATTTGAGATGCTACTTTTACTAAATTTCCATATTAATGATATTATTTTAAATTCTAAAGAAATGAAGAAAATCACTGTAGTTAGTTCCTAATAAGCTAAACTCCTGAATCTCAATTTTTTGAATAATGATTTTGCTTCATTTTAACATTTTCTTTCCTCTCTCAGATTTGGCAAAAAGAAAAATACACATTCACTGTTTGTTTTTATAATCCCTGAAAATTTTAAAGGTATGTACCTGCTAAATATAGTATTTGTTTTTTCTCTAAATAGAAACTATAAGGTCAATATTTAATATAAAGATTCTTAGGTTGTATTTCAGGGCATGGAATGGATATTGCTTTAACTGAACCACTGACAATGGAAAAAATGAGTAATGTGGTAAAATACTGGACAACATGTCCCTCAAACACTGGTGAGTAAAAAATTTCCAAAGGTTTCAAAATTTGAATTAAAATCTTTGAAAACTCTGCTCATATATTCTGACAAAAACAAGCATAAATAAAATAAAGGGAGAAATATGTATTCTTTACCTGGAAAGAAAAAAACTACATCTTCAGAGGTTTAGAATGTGTTGCCCAAGGGCAAATACAGTGCTGCGGTAGGCACAGGGTTTTGGGTGGGGGGTTGAAGCAGCATTGTGTTACTGTTTTTCTTTCTTTTTTGGTAGCCTAGCTACCATAATTTCTTACTCATTAAAATGGAATTAACTGTGCTGTGTCATTGTGTGATTATCTAAAAGCCAGGGGCCCTAACCTACAATTGTATTGTGCTTTCTTCTTTGCAAAACACTTGCATAGAAATTATTTTACTTCTTAAAGTTAATAGGGTGGTTGCCCTTTCTGTTTCAGATTTTAGATGCAGAGGATTAATGTCAATGCTTCAATTAGACCTCACATTTCTAAACTCTTTGCCTATTATATTAAGCATATCACCAGTATCTAAACACTTTAATTAAACTAGCTTTCATTTGGCTTGTGAAAGGACAGACTCCAATTACGGAAATTAAATTCTACTGGAATCATTATTGGTCAGTGACTATTTTTGGTCTTTCTCGGCCTGGGATACTAAATAAGAAATCTTTTAAAATTAAGATGATGTTAAATTGGGACTATTGTTGGTCAAGGGGTACAAGGTTTTGGTTATATAAGATGAACAAATTCTGGGGGTCTAATATACACAGTGTGACTATAGTTAACAATACTGTATTGTCTACTTGAAATTTGCTGAGAGGGTAGATCTTACGTGTTCTCATCACCAGAAAAGGTAACGATGTGACGTGATAGATATGTCAATTAACTTGATTGTGGTGATTATTTCACAATATATATGTATATTATCAACTCAAGTTGTACACCTTAAATATGTACAATTTCGAATTGTCAATTATACTTTAATAAAGCTGGCAAAATTAAGATGATTTTTTCTTAAAATGGGCCTGAAAGACATTTTCTGGATTCTCCTGATAATGATTATATGAGATTTACTTTAACAGTCCTTTTTTAATGTTCTTTTTAAATATTCAGATGAGTGAGTCTGTTTGTGACATTCCAGTGGCTCCCAGCCCTTGTGGTTCTTCCTGGAAATGGCTAACTTTGGTGACCGAGGGCTTTTGCAACCTCTTCTTATTTGGTTCTCAGTGAAATAGAGCAGCTGCTCGTCACCTGCCCATGCCCCTCTGTTGGTCATGACCATGTCTGCTTCCAGTTGTCTCGTCTTTGCTCTAAGGATGAGCAGCTGCAAAAAAGGAAAAAATTTTTTTCAGATGCTATATTTCGACAGTGCAGCTGCTTGTTGAAGACTCATGCGTGTTTTTTGTCTCCTGACATTTACCTATAAATAGGAACTTGATAAATAACTCAGTCGAATGTGTTTTAAGCACACCTGTCACTAAGTGACTAGAATCTGGCTTAAAGGTATCCCGGGGTAAATAATATAGAGTATTTTAGTTTTTGCTTTCTAACCTAGGTGGTTTTATATTTCACAGAAATCTATAAATTGCTTTCAGTTTTAAAAATACTGCTTTGTAAAATCTATTGAGTAAAAGACAACTGCATTAAGGATTGGGGCTTGTGTGTTTGATTAGCGTCATCTCCTTAAGTGACTTCAGAAATAAATAGTTCCCCTCTCAAAACTTTCAGTTAAGACTGAAAACGCAACTGGGCCTGAAGAACTTGGATTGCCCCTGCAGAGGTCCTACAGCGAACACCTGGGATATTTTCCTACTGATCTATTTGCCTGGTTAGTTTTTTGTTCTTTTTCATAATAGCAATATTTTTAGAGAACTTATTGATTGTGGCTATTTTGTGGAAGAGGGGTGCAGCATTTGCTGTACTTAAGAATCCTGAGCTGGCACTGTGGGTACACATTACAGAAGTATTCAACTTAATATAAGGAAATACTTCATAAACAATTAGACTTGACCACAGGGGAACAGGTCAAATTGTAAGGTAGTGAGTTCCCCATCATTGGGGAATATGATCAGTATTAGAGTCTATGTTATCACTAAGCAAAGTTAAATAGCGCAGTGGTATTTAAACTTCATAAAAACAGTGAAATTCCTCAAACAAAAATTTTACATGGAACCCCAATATTTAAACAGACAAGAGCAGCCTCACCTGTTATACACCTACTACTCTGCTTCTTCCCATTGTCTTTCTCGAACTCATGAACCTATCCACCCAGTTATTGAAAATCTCCCTTTAAAAAGGATTTAGTATCTTTTACGTACCTCATGTAGCTTTTGGAATCTTCTTGTTTGGTATACAAGGCAAGTTTTAGTGTGTGTCTCTGTGTCTCCTTGTGTTTCTCTGTCTCTCTCTCTCTCATAGACATTAGAACTGGCATTCAAACCTGGATTGGGTAGGCAGTTGAACTGGGGATCAGACCCTTCCTTCCAATGCTAGTATGCTTATAAAATTCAATTTTTGTGAATTTCTTCCCTTCACTTTAAGCTGATTTCCAAGGAGGTTTTAAGTAGAGCCTAGGGATACAAAGAATGGACATAACTGCTGAGGGCATGCGTACTGATGATGGTGAGAATTTTAAGTTAGTCACTTCCAGAATTTGTAGAATGTGGCCATCTACTGTTTTGAACAAGAAAGGGACTTGGCAGTCAGTAAGTGTGGTTAAACCAAAGCTGACTTTGGTAACGCAGAGATATCAACAGCTTTCTTGGTCTTATTTAACATTTTAATCTTAAAGAGGCTTGCCGTATTAACCCTTATCTAGGATATGGGGTTGGGAAAGGTTTTGGAAGGTCTTAATTTTCTTATATTACTTGCAACTGCTTTTCTTTTTAAAAAAGTTTTTATGACTACATAGTATGCATGTGCTTTTTGATCTCTACTCATCTTGAATCCTTCTGTCTTCCCTCAGTATCCTACCACTGTAAATAAAATTTTCAAATCAAGTTATATCTCTTAGGATAGAGGAAATAGGATTAGTTTGCAAGTTTCTTAGATTAATGTATTTTTAAATCAATCAGAATGCCTGAAGAAGTTCTGCAAAAATAGTAGAGCCAGAAAATGTCCATTAAATGACAAATTTTAAAATGGAGGGAACCTGCGCTTTGCTGGTTGGGTTGGCCTAGGGTGTATCTTGTCCTTCTAATCCTTTATGCTTTTTTCCTGTAATGTACCTTTCCTTCTGAAGGGTGCATAGTCATATAATATGGTGTAGTCATAATTGATAAGGTCAGAATGTTTTAATCCTGCTTGTATGTATTGTTAACAATTTATTTTAGAATTTTGATCAGTCATTGAATTTAGGATGATTTTGATAATATATTCTTTTGAAATTTTGAAATAAACATTCTGCACCAAATGTCTAAGATATGGTGTTTTGACACTTATTGCCCCTTTGTATGAAGCAAGAGACTTAGAGAAGCATCCTTTGTTTAGTGTATTGGTGCGTATTATTTAATTTTGCCCGACAATTTTCCCCTTTAATGTATGGTGTGATTTTCTCTTGTTTCTAGCTCTGAATCTTTAAGGAATGGCAATGGGCTTGAATTAAATGCTTCGTTGTCAGAGTTCGAGAAAAACAAAAAGATCTCTCTTCTTCATTCAAGCAAGGAAAAACTAAGAAGGTGAATTTTAATATAGCACTTTTTAAGCATTATTCTTTTGTAGGGAGAAATTAATGAATTTTATAATTTTTTGTAGTATTATTAAAAGTATAAGTGAAACTAGTAAACTTAGCAAACAAATAGATGCCACTCACTCATTCAGCCTTGTAGTCATTCAATAAATGTTTCTGAGTCTGCAGTGCATGCCAAAGAAGGATTGGAGAACTGATATAAAAAGTAAGTCCCTGCCTTCAAAGGTGTTCTGAGTCTAGTGCTCAGACAGACTTTTAAATAGGCTATTAAGTAGAAAATTATGCTTTTTAATACATGTCATGATGAGAACACAAAATAAGGACACTAGGAAAGTTTTCTAAGACAGAGTAAGGGGACAGTAAAAGTTTTCTTGAGATGGCAGTAGCTAAATTGAGCTTTCCACACGTTGCAATTAATTTGGTTTGGAAATCAGGGAAGGGTATTTTATATGGAGGGAATAATAGGTACAGAGGCTGGCAGTCTTAGAGAGTCCAGTGAATTTATGGAACTGCATGTATGTCCATATGGTTGGCCATCAGGTCACAAGGGGGAAGAGGCAAAAGATGAGAGGTAGTAAGTAGGGGCTGGGTATTTCATGCTATGAAATTCAAATTATAACCTAGTCTGTTGGGCAGTTGCTAAAGGATTTTAGCAAAGGAGTGTTATGATGAGATTTATACCTTAGAATGAACACTCTAATAGGATGTAACACAGTGAATTGCATCCGGAGGCCAGAAGTAGTCTATAATAAGAAATGATAATTTCCTGAGCTATGGTGTTAGCAATGAGATAGAGAGGAATAAGCCAATTCTAGATGTATTAACTAGGAAGAATCAGCATGAGCATGGCTAAGGATAAGTGAGGTGTAACTCCCAAGTGGATGGTGACACCATCCACTGACGAAGAAGGACAGTAGAATGGCAGTGTGAGGTAAATATATTTTTATTTTTACTCTTGTTGAGCTTGAATACTTCTAGGTTTGAATACCTCTTGGAGTGCAGAGTTGGCCCTTTGATTCTAGAGAAAGGTCTAGGCTTAGAAATACAGGCTCAGAGGAATGAGGACACAGCATTTCTTTGAAGCAGTGGACATAGGGATGGATATAGGATGATTGTGGGAAGCACGTAGAGAAGGGACTAGTGGAGAAAAGAACCTTAGAAAGATTCTCAGTATTTAAGGTACAGGCAGCAGAGAAGGAATCCATGGGGAACACAAAGAGTTACTAAGGAGATAAGAAGAATACCAAGAGGCAGTGGTATTGAGCAGACCAGGGGAGAGGAATTTCCTAAAGGAACAGGTGCTCAGGAGTATCATGTGATGCAGAGAGATCAAGTAAGGTTAAGAGCTGGTAACTGACTATTTGTATTGAGCCAGACCTAGATGTCATTGATCTTGGCAAAAATAATTTCATTGGTATGGTTAGAGAAGAAGCACCATTGCAGAAAGAAAGACAGGAACACAGATGAAATGAAGGTGTGAAGTATTTACAAAGGGACTGAGGGTAAAGTACGAGATTTTGATAAGAGGCCAGACTTTAATATGCTTATGTTACAAAAGAAGCAGCTGAGAGAGAGAAAGAAGTTTTGAAGATCCTCATATTCTAGTTATCTGTGGTTGCATAAAAATTAAAACAAGATTTACTGGCTTGAAACAACCACCATTTTATTGTAACTATGTTTTTATGGGTTAGCAGTTCGAGCAGGGCTCAGCCAAGCAATTCTTCTGCCTACATGACATTAACTGAGGTACTCATAGTTTTCAGCTGGTGGATGGTCCAGTCAGGAGGGTCCAAGACATTGCGTATCTGGACTTTTGCCAGCATGGGTTGGAAGTCTGAGCTCAGCGGGGGCTGTCAACTGAAGCCTTTCCAGCAGAGTAGTTTTAGTGTCATTGGACTTCTTTCATGGTGGCTTAGGGCTCCTAGAGAGAGTGTTTCAAGAGACAGGAAGGGGACGCTGCCAGTCTCTTCAGGCCTGGGCCCAGGCCACTTCTACCATATGCTAGTGGTCAGAGCCATCACAGGGTCTACCCAGATCCAAGGGGAGGCACATAGACCCCACCTGTCAGTGGGAGGAAGGTCAAATAATTTTAATCCCCCGCAGCTGATGAGGAGGTGTTGGTGATGGAGTGAGCATCCCTGAGGAGGCAGAAGGCAAGGGAATCCAGAACCGGGTGGAAGAATGTCTCTTCCATGGAAAATGGAGAGGAGGAGTTTAGGCTCAATGTGAATTCACATGAATTTTTCGATGGGGCCCGATCAGGGAGGAAGTTGAGCAAGTTCTTTGCTGAATGGTCCCCCTCCATCTGCTGAAGATTAGTGGGAAGATGATGGGGTTTGGGCTTGATGGGATGGGATGGTGGATAGGCTACTCTGGCTCTAAAGGGCTTCATTCCCATGACTGCTGCCTTGCTAGGTCAAGACTTAGGGCCCGCTGGCCAGTGCTGTCCCATAGATCTCATTCATCTGAAGCCAAATGAGAAAAATACAGTGCACTGAGTATTTTTTAAAGCTACATATTATACAATTGATATCCTAAGATTGTATTCTCCATACTTTATTTGATGTTAAAATAATGTTGATATTAGCAAATGATTATAATGAAATGATGCGAGGAAACATTTATTCCTTGTTTTTTCATTATTTTTCATGTCCAGATCTAATGGTGGGAATCCTTTATTGGTCCCCCAAAGTTACGTGTTAGTTTTCTTTTTAAAATTTTAATGGTTGATGAAAACTAAAATCTAAAACCACTCATCTAGTAGACTGAAAAGATGCTTTGGGGTTGTTCACATCTGTGGCATTATTTGAAGGACTAGAAATCTTTGTTTCTCAAAAAGAAGAGCTGTGACAAGGACCTCCCCCTTTCTCTTTAGAGATTTGCCTGGGAGCTCCCAGGAGGTAAACACCATCCCTGATTAGTTTTTGTCTTTCCCTCTTAACCCTTCTGACCATGCCTGTGAATCTGAAATCGTTGCTTCTAGTCTGTTTCCTTTCTTCCTCCTCCTCTTCCACTCACCTGCTTTACATATGGTTTTGGGTTTTTGTTTGTTTTTAAGCAGTAGGGCAACATGATGTTTGCTAATGTTAAGGAAACGATGGTTCTGGCCAATATTTTTGCACTTGGGAAATTTTTTTCTCTGATACTCGCATTCTTATTAGAACATATTAATCAAAATTAGCTAATTCTTATATTCTTGGTGAAATCCCATTCATTATATATTTATAAATACATAAACATGTTTTTATCTTGTAAAGTGTGTATTCTCCAAATGATGTCATCACATTTTTGTGTACCCATGAGTCTGACATGATGGTGGTGTAATAATTTTGGGGGTGTCTATTCACTTGAGAAGAAGGGAAATGTTGAGCTTTGCCATAGTGTCCCACAAATGAAGACTTTTCCAGGACTAGACAAGTCTTAAAGATTCAAGAAAGGTAGAACAGGCAGTTCTCAGAGGGTTCCAAGTTGTATCTGGCCCAGATACCTTTCCCTGTGAGTCCTTGTTTGTTTGAGACACATTTATACAGAGGAGAGCCCCAAGTAGACATCCGTGCCTTGTTTCAGATCTTAGAGGGAAAATGTTAAGTCTTTTACCATCACATATGATGTAAGCTGTGGCCTTTTGTGCATGCTTTTTTATCAGCTTAAAAAAATGTTTCCTTCTAGTCTTAGTTTAGGATTTTATCATGAATGGATGTAAAATTTTGTCAGTCTTTTTTTCTCTATCTAGTAAGATGATAATTTCTCCTCTTGTTTGTTAATGTGGTGATTATGACTGATTTTTTTAAATGCAAAACTTCACTTTGTCTTAAGGTGTAGATAATTTTTGTTTATTGCTGGATTATATTTGCTAATATTTTGTTAACAATTTTTGCATCTGTGTTTATGAAAGATATTGGTTTGCAGTTTTCTTACAATGTCTTTATCTCATACTGGTCATATAAAATGAAATGGAAAACCTTCTGTTTTCTGAAACAATTTGTGTAGAAATGTTATGTTTGATAGGATTCAACGGTGAAGTCATCTAGGCTTGGAATTTTCTTCGTGGGAAAATTTTAATTACATATTCAATTTCTGTAATTATTATAGGACTAAATTCCCTATTTTTTCCTTTTGGCTGTTTTTTTCTGTGTCAGTTTGGTTAATTTATGTCTTTCAAGAAATTTGTCCATTTAATCTTAAGTGTCACATTTGTTTAACAACATGATCTTATTATCGTTTTAACATCTACAGGTCTGTGATGATGGCTTTTTTCATTCCCGGTATTGATAAATTGTGTTTTCTGCCTTGTTTCTTGATCAGTCTAGCAAAAAAAGGTTTGTCAGTTTTATCGATTTTTTTTCAGTGAAGCAGATTTTGATTCATTGATTTTCTATATTAGCTCATTTTTTTATTTCATTGATTTCTGCTCTTTGTCTTTCTATACTTTGTGGGTTTTTTGTTTGTTTGTGTGTTTGTTTGTTTTGAGACAGAGTCTTGCTCTGTCACCCAGGCTGGAGTGCAGTGGTATAATCTTGGCTCGCTGCAACTTCTGCCTCCCGGGTTCAAGCAATTCTCCTGCCTCAGCCTCCCAAGCAGCTGGAATTACAGGTGTCCACCACCACACCTGGCTAATTTTTGTATTTTTAGTAGAGATGGGGTTTCACCATGTTGGCCAGGCTGATCTCAAACTCCTGACCTCGTGATCCGCCCACCTCGGCCTCCCAAAGTGCTGGGATTACAGGCATGAGCCATCGTGCCCGGCCTCTATACTTTGCTTTTTAAAAAAAAAGTCTTTGAAAATGTGGCACATATACACCACACAATACTATGTAGCCATAACAAAGAATGAGTTCATGTCCTTTGCAGGGACGTAGATGAAGCTGGAAACCAGCATTCTCAGCAAACTAACACAGGAATAGAAAACCAAATACCGCATGGTCTCACTCATAAGTGGGAGTTGAACAATGAGAACCCGTGGACACAGGGAGGGGAATATTGCACACCAGGGCCTGTCGGGGGGTTGAGGGGAAAGGGGAGGGAGAGCATTAGGACAAATACCTAATGCATGCGGGGCTTAAAGACCTAGATAACGGGTTGATGGGTGGAGCAAACCACCATGGCACATGTATGCATATGTAACAAACCTACACGTTCTGCACATGTATCCCAGAACTTGAAGTATTTAAAAAGTAGAGCGGGTGCAGTGGCTCACGCCTGTAATCCCAGCACTTTGGGAGGCCAAGGCGGGTGGATCACGAGGTCAGGAGATCGAGACCATCCTAGCTAACACGGTGAAACCCTGTCTCTACTAAAATACAAAAAGTTAGCTGGGTGTGGTGGCAGGCGCCTGTAGTCCCAGCTACTCGGGAGGCTGAGGAAGGAGAATGGCGTGAACCCGGGAGGCGGAGCTTGCAGTGAGCCGAGATAGCGCCACTGTACTCCAGCCTGGGCAAGAGCAAGACTCCGTCTCAAAAAAAAAAAAAAAAAAAGGTCTTTGTAGGTAGAAACTTCCATCATTGATTTTAACCTTTTCTTCTTTTCTAATATAAGCACTTAAAGCTAAAACTTTTCCTTTATAAAAGTTTTTCTCTAAGCATTGCTTCAGCTGCATCTCATCAACTTTGATATATTTCCACTATCATTCAGTTCAAAATATTTTCTCATATCCCTTGTGATTTTTTTCTTTTCACTAGTAAGTCTTTTCACTGTTTAGAAGTGTATAACTTAACTTGAATGTTTGGAGACTTTCTAGGTATTGATTTATAATTTAATTATGCTGTCATCTGAAAACATGCTTTGTAAAGTTTCTGTCCTTTGTTATTTTCTGAAACTTGTTTTATGGCCCAAAGCATGTTCTCCCTTGATGAATGTTCTATATGCATTTGAAAAGACTGTATTCTTCTGTTTGGGGGGTGTAGTATTCTATAAATATTAATGAGGTAGAATTAGTCAATAGTGTTTTTCATATATTCTGCTCCCTTACTGATTTTTTGAGGGTTAAGTTTTTCAGTGACAACTCTTTTTCCCTTTCTTCCTGAGAGTTTTTGCTTCATGTAGTTTGAGATTCTGTTGTTAGATGCCTGTCTTCTTGCTGAATTGACCCACTTATCCTAAGGAAATGATAATGCTAATTTTTCTATGCTAGTACTCCCTGTCTTAAAAAATCTACTTTGATATTAATATAGCTTTCTTGTGATTAGTGTTTGCATGGTTTTTTTCTAACCTGTATATGTCTTTATATTTAAAGAGTGTCCCTTGTAAATAGCATGTCGTTGAATCTTGTTGTTATTTTTTACTCATTCTGACAATCTCTGTTGTTCGTTTTCATATAATATACTTACTGTTAAGTGCGGTTTTAGGTTCACAATTTTTCTATTTGTGTTCATTAGTCTAATCTATTTTCTTTTTCCTTTTATTCTCATTACCTGCCTTCCTTTGGATTTATCAGGTATACTTTAGCATTTCTTTTTATCTCTTTCATTGACTTTTTAGCTGTAACTATTTTTTATTGGTTGCTCTAGGGATTATGATATGCATCTTTAACTTATCATAATCTACCTTGAATTGATATTATGCCCTTAAAATACAACAGCATATTTCTATTTACCTTCTTTCATTTTTTCTTATTGTTGTCATACATTTTACTTTTACATATGTTATTGTGTTAGTCCATTCTTGTGTTGCTATAAAGAAATACCAGAGACTGAGTAATTTATAAAGAAAAGAGGTTTAATTGACTCGTGATTCTGCAGGCTGTACAGGAAGCATAGCAGCTTCTGTTTCTGGTGAGCCCTCAGGAAGCTTACAATCATGGCAGGAGGCAAAGTGGAGCCAATGTGTCACATAGCAAGAGGAGGAGCAAGAGAGAGAGAAAGGAGAGGCCCCAAACTCTTTTAAACCACCAGATCTTGCATGAACTGAGTGAGAACTCACTCATCACCAAGGGGATGGCGCTAAGCTAAGCCCTAGAGTGCCCCCATGATTTAACACCTCCCACCAGGTTCCACCTCCAACATTGGGCATCACATTTCACCATAAGATTTGGAGGGGACAAAACATCCAAGCCACATCAGTTATCAACCCAGCATTGTTATTTGTTTTGCTTAAACAGTAAGCTGTCGCCCAGTTATCTAATACTGTACAACAGATTACTCTGAAACTTGGTAGTGGAAATCAACAAACTGTTTATCATATCTCATGATTTTGTGAGTCACCAGTTTGGGCAGAGCTTGGCTCTGTGATTCTTCTCAGTGTGGTGTTAACCATGGCACTCCGTGATGTTCAGCCAGCAAAACTGGCCTGTCTGGAGATTCCAGCGCAGCGTCATCCACACATGTGGTCTTCTGGTGGGTGTGGCTGCAGGTTGTGCTCAAATGGGCTGTTCTTCCCTGTGGTCTCATCACTTCTCCACATGGTATCTCCAGCAAGCTAGAAGGACCTCTTACATGAAGGCTTAGGATTCCATGAGACCAGTGTGAAAGCTACATCTTCTGAAATGCTGGTCCCAGAACTGTCATAGAGTCACTCTCCAGATATCTTTTGATTAAAGCAGGCACAGGCCAGTGAAGATTCAAGAGGAGAGGAAATGGACCCTGACTCTTTGTTGGAGAAATAAGTAATTTTCAGTGACTTTAATCTTAACTCTTATCTTTTTAACCCAAATTTCAGATTCTTGTTTGCAGTAGAACAGGCTCTTCACTGTATACAAGATTTTGTCTGAGTTGCAAAAATTCTCTCCCCATGAATTTCCCTGTATTACCATCTTTTGCTCCTGCATTTCCCCACTCAGTCTTGGCTGCCACAATCAAAGGGACATAAAGTACAAGGACACTTTTTTCTTGCCTCTGTAGTAGAAATCTTAGCAGTATACAGCTGCTCTAGGCCTGTCAAATAAATATATACTATTGGTTTTTAAAACATTAATAAATTAGAAAACTACCCTTTAATGTATGCCACCATATTTATCATGTCTTAGACTCTTCACTTGTTTGTGCAAATCATATTTCCATCAGATATTATTTCCCTTTATCTTCATGTAAGATAAAGACATTTTCAGATAAAAGACAACTTAGATATTTTGACACCAGTGGACCTGCAGAGTAAGAAAGCTGAAGGAAATTCTTCAGGCGGAAGGGAAATAATAACAAATGGAAACTCGAATCACTAGAAGGACTACATAGCACCAGAAATGATAAATGTCTGAGCAAAAACAAACATTTTTCATTTTAAACTATTTAAAATACTTAAAACTGTTATAAGCAAGAATTATAGCAATGTATCATGGGGTTTATAACATATGTAGCTATAGTACATATGACTATTACATGAAGAATGAGTGGGATAAATGCACTTGCATAACTTCTGCAGTTATACATTTTATGTGATGTCATAAAGTATTAACTCTAGACTATGAAAACTTCAGATATATATTGTAATCCCTAGAGCAACCCTAAAGAGATAGGCAAAATGCATTGCTGTGAAGCCAAAAGATAAATTAAAATTGGATTTTTAAAAATATTTTAAAATGAAGGAAGGAAAGGAGGAACAGAAGAATAAAAAAGCAAAAGAGACTACAGAGGGAAAAAAAGGTATGGTAGACCTTTATCCAACTATATCCAACTTATAGGCAGAAGTTTTCAGAATAGATAAAAACAAACAAAACCTAAGACCCAGCTATCTACTGTCTGTAACAGAGAAGCTTTAAATATAAAAAAATAAATTAATAGAAATATATCCATTGTGGAAACAGGAAGTATAAGAAAGTCAGATAGGCTATTTTAATATCAAATAAAGTAGACTTGAAGACAAACAGTATTACCTGCGGTAAAGAGGGGCAATTTATAATGATACAAGCGTCAACTTTTCAGAATGATATTAAAATCACAAATAGCATGTGATAAGAACTTCAAAATATTTGGATCAAAAATTTACAGAATTAAATGGACAAATAGATAATTTTAAAACAATTGCTGGAGATTTAACACTCCTCTCTCAGCAATTTATACAACTGGACACCAGAAAATCAGTAAGCTCTAGAAGATGTGAACACCGCTAACCACCTCAATCTCATGAATATTTATAGAGTAACACTCCCAACAACTGCAGCAGAAGACTCCTTCTCAGTGGCACATGGTACAGTCACTTAGATAGACTGCATACCGGTGGGGATATAAGAAGCTTCAAAACATTCAAAAGAGTTGAATTAATAAAGATGTGTTCCCTGACCACAACGAAATTAAATTAGAAATCAGTAAGAGTAAGATTTAAAGGGAAGTCTTAAATATATGGAAATTAAAAAAAAAAAAACTTCTAAGTAATCCATGGGTAAAACAAAAAAAAAAAATCACAAGAAAAATTAGAAAATATTTCAAAGTGAATCTATTGAGAACAAAATATATCAGCAAACCACTATGGCACACGTCTAGCTATGTAACAAACCTGCATGTACTGCACATGTATCCTGGAACTTTAAATTTAAAAAAAGAGAATGCAATATATCAAAGTTTTTAAGTAAACTACAACAAAGTTTAGGGAAAACACTGTGGCTTTAAATGCTTATATTAGATAAGGCAAAAGGCCTAAAAATCAGTAATATAAGGTTCCATCTTAGGAAGCAAGACAAAGTAAAACAAAATAAACCCAAATAAGTGGGGTGGTGAAGGGGGAGGAGGCTGGGAGACAGACACAATATATCACAATCATGAATGAAAGAGGGATGATCATGATAGCTACTCTAAATATTTAAATACAAAAGAGTATACTTTGAACAATTTTATGCCAGTAGATTCTACAACCTAGATGTACTGGATAAATTCTTGAAAATCACAATTTATCAAAACTGATACCAGATGAAGCAGAAAGTCGGAATAGCTCTATGTTTAACAAAATTGAACTTGTTATCAAAACCTTACCAAAGAGAAAACACTCAGGTGGTTTTACCAATGAATTTCAGCAAGCATTTA
Source organism: Homo sapiens (assembly GCF_000001405.40). Classification (NCBI taxonomy): domain Eukaryota; kingdom Metazoa; phylum Chordata; class Mammalia; order Primates; family Hominidae; genus Homo; species Homo sapiens. The sequence goes on along the minus strand of NC_000013.11, from coordinate 36,179,987 downwards.
AAGAAGTAATACTAATCTTAAACACGTTCTTACAGAAGTGGGAGGAGGGAATACTTCCTAACCCCTTTCATGGGAACAACATAACCCTAAGCCTGACAAAGACATTATTTATAAAGAAAATTACAGACCAGTATCCCTCATGAACATAAAAACAAAAACACTTAACATAATTTTAGCAAATTAAATCAAGAAATATATAAAGATATAATATGACCACATCAGGGGTTCATCCTAGAAAAGCAAGACTGGTATGACATTCAAAAATCAACCAATTGGGCTTGGCATGGTGGCTCATACCTGTAATTCCAGCATTTTGGGAGGCTGAGGCAGGTGGATCACTTGAGGCCAGGAGTTCAAGACCGACCAGGCCAACATGGCAAAACCTCGCCTCTACAAAAAAAAAATAAAAAAATTAGCCAGGTTTGGTGGCACACACCTGTAATCTCCGCTACTCGTGAGGCTGAGGCATGAGAATCACTTGAGCCCAGTAGGCAGAGGTTGCAGTGAGCTGAGATGGTGCCACTGCACTCCAGCCTGGATGATAGAGTGAGACTCTGCCTCAAAAACAAAGCAAACCAATGAAATTCACCACATTAACAGAATAAAGGAGAAAAACCATGTGATTAACAAATTCTGAAAAAATATTTGACAATGCTCAATATACCATTATCATTAAAAAACAAATATCTTTCAGCAAATAGATGTGGAAGATAACTTCCTCAATTTGTTAAAAGGCATCTATAAAAAACTTATAACTAACATTGTACTTAGTGATAACATGTTGACTGCTCCTTAAAAAGATCAGGAACAAACTAAGGGTGCCCATTCTTACCATTTCTGTTCATTATCAAATAAATAATCCTAGCCATTGCAATTAGGCAAGATAAAGAAATAGACATACACATTAGAAAGGAAGAAGGAAAACTGGCTTACTATATGTAGATGGCATGATTGGGTATAAAGTCAAAGTCCTAAGACGTTTACAAAACAGCTACTGGAACCAAAGAATGACTATAACAGGGTTACAGAAGATAAGGTACAAAAATCAATGGTATTTTATATATTAACAGCAAATAATTATAAAATGAAAATATAAATATTATGACATTTAAAGTAGAATAAAATAGCTTTAGGATACTTAGGAACAAATATGCAAAAAAAAAAAAACAAATGATCTGTACATTGATCATTCAAAATGTTACTATGAAAAGTTAAATAAAAACTAAATCATGAATTATACCATAATTATGAATTGAAAGACTCACTATTGTTAAGATCTCAGTTCTCACCAAATTGAAACATAACTTTATTTGAATCCAAATCATAATCCCAGCAAGTTTTTTTCCATAAAAATTGACAAGATGATTTTACAATGTATGAAAAGGACTTAGAATATCCAAAGCAATTTTGCAAAAGTACAACAAAGTAGAAGGACTTAAACTATCTTGACTTCAAGACTTACCCTAAAGCTACAATCACCAGTAGGTAACTGGCATAAAAGTTGACAAATAGATCAATGGAACACAATAGCCCAGCACTGGATCCACATATTTATAGTCATTTGATTTTCAACAAAAGCACCAAAGCAAATATTTTGGGACAGAAAATCTTTTTAATAAATGATGCTGGAACAACTAGATATCCATCTGGAAAGAGAATCAACCTTGACCCCTTACTTCACACCATATAAAAAATTATTTCAAGATGGAGCATACTCAGAGCTGTACTATAAAGCTAAAATTATAGAGCTTCTAGGATGACACTATTCAGTTGAATCTTCTGCTGTGTTAAAAATTATATCTTCATCATCTCATACAGTAGCCACTAGCAACATGTGGTTATTGAGTATTCGAAATGTGGCTATTGCAACTTAGGAAAAGAATTTTTAATATATGTAATATTAATTTATATTTATTATATTTAAATAGACTCACGTCTATTGACTACTGTATTGGACATTACAGTTCTACAAGAAAATAGAATGTCTTCATGAGCTGAGAGTACGCAGATGTTCTTTAGACAGGACATAGAAAGCAATAACCATGAGAGAGAGAGAGTAAATAAATTGGATTTATCAAAATTTAAAACTTTTGCTATCAAAAAGTTTTAAGAAAATAAATACGAAAGCCGCAGATTGGGAGAAAATATTTGCCAAACAGATATCTGACAAATCCTGGTATCCAAGATATGTAAAGAATTGCTAAAACTAAAAAATAAAAAGACCTGCAATTCAATTAAAATGTAGGTAAAATATCTGCATGGACGCTTGACAAAGGAAGCTATACAAGTGCCCAAAAGACACAGGAAAAAGTGCTCAACATCATTAGCTGTCAGGGAAATGCAGATTAAAACATAATGGATACTACTGTGTATGCCCCAGAAAGGCCAAAATGCTAAAATGAAAACTACTGATGATATTAAATATCATCAAAGATTTGGAACAAGAGGTCTGATACATTGATGGTGGAAGTGTAAAATGGTACTCCCTTGGTGTGGTAAGAGTTCTGCCTGTTTTTATAAACTTATAAAATGGCCCATCATTTCTATTCCTAGATATTACCCAAGAGAAATAAAACCATGCATTCATAAAAAGACATCTAGAATGTTCTAGCATCCTTATTTGTAATAACCCAAAACTGGTAACAGCCCAAGTGTTCATCAATAAGAGAATGGATAAGTAAGCTGTGGCATATTTATATATTTTTGAATACTGTTGCTCAGTGAAAAGGAGCAAACTGCTGATATGGTTAGCCCCATAGATAAATCCCAGAAACATTAAAGCTGAGTGAAAGAAGCTTTACAAAAGAATACATGCTGTAAGATTTTATTTATATGCTATTTGAGGACAGGCAAAAGTGATGTGGTATGGAAAAAAAATACTAGAATTGTAGTTGCTTTATGGGGTTAGGGGATGGTATTGACTGGGAAGAAACAAGGGCCTTTCTGGGTTTGTGATAATGGATTTTCATGTGTGATTAGGATTTTCGTTACATATATATTTCAAATACATACAGTTGTATGTATTTGTCCAAACTCATAGAATGGGACTCATTGTGCATTTTTGTTTTATGTAGTGTTTACCTGAAAATAAAGTAATTTGAGCTACTGATACATTTAGGAGTGTAATGTGCTTATGTCTACAACTTACCTTGCTTTAATATATGTAAATATGTTAATGTATGAATAGTGGGATGACACATATATAATAAAGCAGATACTAGTTGAGCATCTCTAATCTGAAAATCTGAAATCTGAAATGTTCCAAAATCAAACTTTTTCAGCACTGACATGAGATAGTGGCACCTTTTCTTTCTGATGGTTCAGTGTGTACAAACTTTGTTTCAGGTACAAATATTGTATAAAATTTCCTTCAGGCTATATATATATATTATAAAACATAAATGAGTTTTGTATTAAACCTTGGGTCCCATCCCCAAGCTATCTTATTATGTCTATGCAAATATTCCAAAATCCAAAAAAGTCTGAAATCTTAAACACTTCCCCAGGCATTATGGGGAGGGATACTCAACCTGTACAGTAAATGTTAACTGTAGACTCTTAAGTGGTAAGTGTATAGGTGTTCACTGTATAATTCTTTCAAATTTTCTCTATGTTCGAACATTTTTCTAATGTTGGAAAATTTTAATAGCATTTCAATAGTTTCAATTCTGAATGTGACATATGCCTAGCAAAAAATATTTGGAAAATGTAGAAAATAAAGGGAATAAAAATGATCCATCATCCAGCCATCCAGAAATAACTGTACTGGATGTTTTTGCCTTCAGTCTTTTTTCCTAGGCTTCACTTCTACTTTGTTTAGTGGCTTGGATTATATTTTATATGCTGTTTTGTGGCCTACTTTTCCCCAATAAGCTTTATAACATCTCACTTCCACTGCCAGGTGACATTCTACTGAACTAATAATGTACAGCAGCTTACTTAAGGCATCCTCCTATGTTATGTGTTGTTTTCTATATTTTACTAATATATTGCTCTAATGGGTTTCTGTGTATACATACTGTGCTCTGTGTTTTAGATTCACTCCTCAGGACGGATCCTTGTAAGTGGAAGAACCATGTCAAAGGCTGTGAAAAGTTTCAAAGCCCTTCACACACGTTGTCAAATTGTTGACTCTTCTATCCTTCCCTTCCCAGAATAGTTCCCGAGACACCCCCGCAGAGCCCCCAGAGTTCCTCAGAGCTCAGTGAGAACACCACTGATGTAGAATATTTGAGTTATTCATTGGCCGTATGTCAAACTAGGTTTTTAAATATAATTTCTCTGCCATTCTGGTGTTTACAGAGGTTTAGTAACTTGCCTAAGGTTCCAGTTAGTAATAGCAGAGCCACCATTCAACCCTGTAGATGTCAAGGTAGTATTCAGCACAAAACAGGTGCTTAAAGATGTTTATTAAAGGAACACATGGATAAATGAAGCCACCAAGGGCTTAAGTCAGTTAGATCTACATTTCCTATCCCCCTTCAGAGCTGTGAAAGACAGGTTAGTTTCTTTCTGATACCTGCATCCTGGTCTGCTCGTTCTGTCTGTACCTACCTCATGTAAAGGAAGCAGCCTTCTGATTTTCTTTTTGCTCAGGCCATGAAGTCATGTGGTACAAGATGCTAGCTGATCTGTTGTTGGAAATGTGGTCTAGGTCCCAGTGACATGAAGGTCCTGACTGCTCTTTGCCTTCTAGGCTTCTAGTGTGAATCGCAAAAGGATTTTTATATCATGTACAATTCTCTGCTCGGAGGGCAGAGTGGTCTGCACATTTCCGTAGGCAGCAGGGGGTGGGAAGGGTGCTTTCCTCGGTGACTGGGCATCCTGCGCTCTGCAGCAGGCCTGAGGTGAGAGAGCTGGGGCTGCCATCGGCACACACAGTGCACTTGGGCAGTGGTTCTTTGTGTAGCAGTATGCGTGGGTGCCCCAGGAAGCTGTGATTTCAGGGGCTGTGAGGGCTGCTGGCTTGTGGGGACACAGCCTTTCTCTGAAATGGAGACTATATAGGGAGGGGATGGTTCCTTTACAAACATACCCAGGAGGAAGTGTTGTTTGTCTTTGGGTACAATGAAGACAATGAGACTAATTATTCTTTATGTATTGCAATTCTGTGTCCAGGGAAAGAATCAAATATTGCTGTGAGCAGCTGCGTACTCTCTTGCCGTATGTAAAAGGGAGAAAGAATGATGCGGCTTCAGTTCTTGAGGCAACAGTTGATTATGTGAAATATATCCGGGAGAAAATCTCTCCAGCCGTTATGGCCCAGGTATTTGACTCCCAAAGCTTTGAATTTTATCCTTATAGACATGCTTTAATACTACAATTTTACTTCTTTTAATTTTTTATCATTGGAAAGTATGTGTCTTTGTATCTATGTAAAAATGTCGGTATCTACCTAAATATATTTCTGTGTTTTTTAGATTACAGAAGCACTTCAGAGCAACATGAGGTTTTGTAAGAAACAACAAACACCCATTGAGCTGTCTCTCCCAGGCACTGTCATGGCACAGCGGTATGATAAGGGCTTTTGCGAATCTGAAGTCTGCTAGTTATTTTCCTCCCATGTTGATGCTAAATATGTACACAAAAACTGCTATCCACAGTGAAAGTGCAGGGGCTTATTAAGGGTCAGCGAACTTTTCTAATTGCCGATGTGTATCATTTCGTTGCAGTGATAAACACAGGTAATATTCTCAGGTCCATGGTTTTTTCATCATGTGACTCACCCTTGCTTCTCCTTTCATTATTTCTGAGGTTCTTAAAATGGGGCTTTCTCCCTTGTGAGTGTAGGGATGGTGGTGGTCCAGCAGGGACGTGATGGCTTCTGGTGTTCCTCCATTGTGGAGAGGTCTCGGGCCCTGGAGCTGTCCAGCCCTATTTCAATTAGTGGTGCTTAAAGCAGGTCATTAGTGCAAAATGTGACTTCCCAAATGATTACTTTCTTCTCTAGATTGATCAGAATATGTAAACAAAGAGAAACTGGAGAAAAAGCACATCATTCCTGCACATCCTAAGGAATTATCGTGGGTCATGTGTCTTTGCTCATATGTAAATAATCCATAGTTGAGGCTTTATCAGTGTTTTTAGAACTTGAATGATAAAAGGGCAATTGAACTCAGCAGTGTCCACATTGTTTTCCTTGAAAAATGTGCAAATAATTTTTTCTGTCCTTTCAAGGGAAAACAGTGTGATGAGCACTTACTCCCCTGAGAGAGGGCTCCAATTCCTGACTAATACGTGCTGGAATGGGTGCTCCACTCCTGATGCAGAGAGCTCCTTGGATGAAGCTGTGAGAGGTGAGCTTCTCCTAGCATCTGTGCCACTTAGAGGGGGACCTGCCCTGCCCTGCAAACCCCCAGGCTCCTGTGCATTCACCACCATAACCAGGGAATCCAGGAGAGCTGATGAGTCCTTCTGGTATTGTCAGCCTCAGGTACACAAGGTGGCTACAGTTGTTTAAATAGTGTTATGCCAGAAACTGGGCTCAAAATTGACCGTAATTACCAGAAAGCTCATTCTGTTGATAGATGATAAGCACACTGGTGACTTTGTTTATAATATGAATAGAATCTCAGGGGAGGGGAAGTATTCGTATAATTTCAGGACTGACTGTGTCCTGAGCATTTAACATATTTATTTACCTCCTTCATGCCTTTGCTTGCATGTCACCTCTCAAAGAGATCTTCTCAGCCACTTTCTCTGCTGTATTTGTCTTGATAGCACTCACTGCCTTCTGCTATTCTTTACTTGTGTGTTTTGTTTGTTGCCTATCTTCCATTAGAATGTCACCTCCATGAAGGCAGGGAATTTTTTGGCTGGTTTTATTCATTGCTGTATTTCTAGTACCTAGAACAATGACCAACATACAGGAGGGGCTCAAGAAATCTCATTATGTGAATATTCATTGTGGAACAAATGCTTTCCCGCTGGGAGGCATTTTTGTTATATGTGCCGTATAAGCCTAGACATGCCCGTGTACCTGAAATAACAAGATGGAAAAAAATAGAGGAAAAGAACACAGCTAGCAGTTTGTGACTTTTAGTATTCCTGAAGATAAAGTTACTCTCCGTCTAGAAACCAGGAAGGTATGGACCTCTTGACCTAAATGTTAGACGCTAGATGACAGGACTGCCTCTCTCCTCAGCCTCTCAGTCCTAGATGACACTTCTGACTTCCTCCAACAGGCTCTGCTCTCACCAAGCACCTCCCTTGTACCAGGAATGTCCTTCCTCCCTCACCTGCGCTAGTTAGTACCAAGTCCATCCCTAGTTCTCAGCTTAAATGTCCCTGCCTCAAAGATGGGGACACAAAGATGAATAAAAGGCAGTTCTTGTTCTTATGGAGCTCACAACTTAGTGGTAGAAAGGGTCACAAAAGAAATTATGGCCCAGACAGTCTTGTAAGTGCTGTAGTAGAGGAACCATGCACAGATGGGGATGTGGCGGAAGCCATGGGAACAAATGAAGGTTATGCAGCATAGTGTCTAAAGTCAAAAGAGCAGGGACCCCCAGATAGAACCCAGCCCTGATTCTTCATATCACCAAAGAAGCCTCAGGGTGTTATTTTAGTCAGTTTAGACTTTTCTCCCAACTTAGAGGAGAGAAGAGAGGAGAAGAAAAAAAAATTGCCATAAGTAGCAGTGGCTGAATGTGACATGGAATGATTAAATCAGCTTAGATTAAATCAGATAGAGATCAGGCCACAGGCATATGCCTGTCAATGTTATTTTTTTGTACATACAATACTATTTATGTCCTGCAGAAACTCTGAAACATTATTTTCGTGGCAGCGAGTTCAGGCCTTTCTATGCCCCAGCATTTCAAGACACTGCCTCCCCTAAGGAGACCAATCTTGGGAAGCCAGAGATATGCTAGGAATAGACCTGTGGTAGGTTCAAACCCTAGGAGGCCTTGAAGGTTAAGGAGTCAAAACTGCCATTTTTATTTGATGTAAATACATTTTTGCGTTTGAAAACCAGTGCCGATCCTTTACTAACCTGGATAAGATAATCACCGTGTTCATTTTTTAATGTATTTCCTTCAAGTCTTCTTCCAGATATATTTTTCTATAGTAGTAATCATTGGATATCCCATTTTGTTTCTTGAATTTTTTTACTTAACTTTGTGTCATACATATGTATATTTGTTGTTATGCATCACTCATCACCATTTTAATAGTTTTAATCATTTATCAAGGGTAGAGTAATTTTCTTAGCCATTTTCCAGTCGCTACATTTAGCATTTGCAGTTTGGGGAGAGAGTGATTTTTTACATCATATGATAGGAAATATTTTCCCATATATGAAGTTTTCTGTATTTTGGACTTTTCCTTGGACTGGATTCCTGGAAGAGTATAATGGGTTCCTGGAAGAGTGTGATGGGTGACTTAGAGAACAGAGAACGTGAATGTATGTATAGGCTCTTAATGCATGTTGCCAAATTGTTTTGGAAAGAGGATCAGAGAAGTTGCAATCAGTTAAGTCTTCCAAATTTCGCTTTCACTACCCGCATCAGGAAGTTGAAGGCTAGAGAAGTTAAATGATCACCCAAGGTCCCAGGGTTTCTGTGCTGAGCCTGATCTGTAACACAGACATGTTTTAACCTTATCAGCTTGCCTTTTTCTGTTCTTTTTCATAAATCTCTGTATACAGTTGCTTAAATTATTTTTCCACAAACATTTCAGATACATTTGTATTTAAAGTAGACATACCATTATATTATTTTACTTTCAATATTATTAATGTCCAGTAGAAAATAAATATTGATGGTATTATTTGAGATTACATTGTTAATATTATATATTCAATTTTTTTTCTTCTAGTTACCATGTAGAATATAGCTATATGATGATATAAACCATTCTGCTGAATGGAGTTGTTCTTTCCAACCTTCTTCCTTGCTTCAGAGAGAGTCAATTTTGATTGACGTGCACATTCACATACATCAGAAGGCACAGGGATCTTCTGCTTCTATAAAACCTGTCTTTTAATGTACATGAACACTAATTTATAGTGTGTGTATTGCACTAAATGTCACAATTAGAAAGTTCACTTTGTTTTTCCATCAGCATTCGGGTGTAGCAGGTAGTACAGATTTGTAATGTGAGGAAATGAAATAGCGGGCAGTTTATGTCGAATAACAGTCGTTCTGAATTACAGAATTGTGGATACTGACCCATATTTGTTTTCTTTCTCATTAAAGTTCCATCAAGCTCCGCCTCAGAGAATGCTATTGGTGATCCATATAAAACTCACATTTCCAGTGCAGCGCTGTCTCTGAATTCCTTGCATACTGTCAGATATTATTCTAAAGTCACCCCTTCCTACGATGCAACTGCTGTAACAAATCAGAACATTTCAATTCATTTACCTTCAGCCATGCCCCCGGTCTCAAAGCTTCTCCCTCGGCACTGCACTTCTGGGTTGGGCCAGACGTGCACTACACATCCCAACTGTCTGGTAAGTTTCCAGGGGTCCATGGATCAGATTGGACCCTTTCACTCCAGCCAGCAGAAACCCCTGACCTGCATTTGTTGTTGCTACTCTGGTTGGAAGGCTGGGACCTAAGAGCTTGATTCTGAGTCTCTCTACCCTGATGAGTGAAAAGGAGGTGCAGTCAACCCATGCTCTCGCTCCTCATGCTGCAGGGCTGGTGTCTCGATATCCAGAACCAGTGAAGCTGAATGGGACTGTGCTAGTTTGACGGTGACCAGGTGGAATCTGATCTCCCCTAGCACTGATTGCCCACCCCTCTGCTTCTACTCAGAGCTTCCACAGTGGCACATCCCATTTTAGCACCCTCATCCTCAACTGGCCCCGTAACTAACTGCTACTTATCTCTTAGGTGGGCAGCATCACTTACACTAATCAAAAAGCTTTCTTTCAGTCACCAGCCAGGCTGATTTCAGATACCAGGTGTCTTCATACAGCAGATATTTACTGAGCACCCATTATGTTCTGACATTGAGTTTGTCATTGTACTAAGAATGTGGTATACAAAGGTAGACACGATCCCTGCCCTCATGCAGATTTAGTGTTAAGGGGATGCAGACAAAGAAGCAGAAATTACAATATGGTTGAAGCGGGTAGGAGGAGTGCCCCACTATATATATCAGCTAGATGTGGGCAAGGTTAGTGACTGCTCACCCCTGGAGAAATACCATCTATGTCAATCTCTAGCCACTAAGGAATAGCTAGGTAGAGGGGTGAGGAATCGGGAGTGAGTAGGCAAGAGCAGTCCTGGCAGATGGGTCAGCATATGAAACAGTCATACCTGCATTGTTTGGAAGAACTGTCTAGTGCTAGAGGAAGACTCAAACTAAATTGGCCTACTTAAAATGGACTTCTGTTAACTTTAATATAGTTGCTAATACTTTTGCATATTAACAATAGCTAACATGTTTTGAGCACTCAATAACTAATAGTGCCAAATACTCTGTGTACTTAATGTGCATGATCTTATGAGAATCCCTGAAGTGATCCTTTGACGGTAGATACTGTTACAATCTTCATATGACATCTATAAAATGGGAATAATAGTGACCTTCCAAAAGATATTTGTAAGAAAAATATTCTAAAGAGAATTGCGAAGAAATGTTAAAATATGTAGTGTCTACAGATATCGTAATGTTGCTAATGATCATTAGTATTCCAATAGGAAGGCTAGGGTAAATGAAAGCAAAGATTACAATATTATCATTTTTTAATTGTTGACCTATACTTACTCTGGGTGGGTTTTGTTGAATTGTTGTGAGAAAATAATTACTTTTAATAAGAATATATATTTAAAAACCTGTAAGCTTATTCACCTGAGGATTTAACATAGTTTTGCAAATCATTTCAGATTGTTTTAGGATATAGAAAATACAATCATGACATTATGAGTAAGAGTGGGTGAGGATTCAATTAATGTGGGTTTTTCCCCCTTCTTTGCAGCAACAGTTTTGGGCGTATTAAAAGCACATGTTTGAAATTCACACTCTCAACCACCTACTGGGCGCAGTTTGACAATCTAGGAAAAGTGGAACAAAGAATGATTTTGAAAGCTCCACCCAAAGACCTAATATCAAAAGAGTTGGCATGGTTTGGCTTCTGATAAATGCACTCAAAGCTTCTGCAGATAGAAAGACCAGCAGCGAAAAAGCTGGCCACACACTGTCACTCATCTTCATACACACTTGGATCCCCGCCAGCCAGAGAGCTACAAGAACAAATGGCCTCAGTGACCTACACTCTCTTTTCTCAAAAAATATTCCACAATTTATGAAAAAAGCATGCTATAAGGAAGATCCATGTAGACACGATAAAATGATTAGATTGGGAAGGTGTGTTGATACCTTGTGTCACTGAGTACAGATATTACAACTTGATTCTTATTTTTAGTATCCCTGTGAATTACTGTCACTCATTTCTAGGTGGTCTTTTCCTTATTTGACATTTTAGAGAGTTTCCTTCTTCATTCACCATCCAAACTAAGATATGCAGAGAGATGCTGAAAGAGGGGTTTACCTCCTCACTTGACAACTAATGAATAAATTGATGTGTGCTTTTGCATTTCACAATCCCTTGAGTGAAACGATGGCTAATAGGTAAATATTTCTTTCTGGACCTTAAGTTACAGACTAGCAGGTTTTTTGTTTTTCATCTCTTCCTCCCTATGGGTATTAGAAAGGACAGTTGAAAATAAGGGGGAAAAAGGTTTGTTTTATATTTCACTGAATTGTTCTTATATGTAAGTTTTATTATTAAATAAAATACTCAGTTTTCACCCTGAGCATTGTAATCCATTTTTGTTTTGTTTAATAAATATATGTTTTCTCTTTTAGTAGTACTATGTAGGGAATTTAATTTCCTAGAGTTTTGAGAAGCTTAAAAATTACTGTAGGCATAGCCTAATTCTCACATCAAATTGTACAACTTTTCTTTGAGGATACCAAAATGATGGAATCTGCAGATGTTTGACATACTTTATAAAGGAACAGAAGTTTCCAACTAAGGCTTTATTCTTATTATTAAAAACAGGTGCATGATTCTTCATTCTCTTTCCTTTAGGAATAATTGCTTTGACATTAGAAAAGAACCTGTTGAGGTATTTTGGACACTGGGACTACTGCCTATGTTCCCAGCTGGTCTTAATTGTTGCTGGGGCTTTTGCTTTGTACCAGGGTTTCTTTATATCTCCATGTGGGCTATGAGAGAAGCCAGTGACTGGAAGTTCTTCAACAGAGGACCTAAAAAGTGTGACCCCTAGAGCCATCTCTCTACTTGCTGCTCTCTCAGTCCCATTTTCCTTTCAGCATAAAGAGGAGGCTACCAGATCCATCGTTAGAGCTCTCTACTTTTCAAGGCTGGGTCCCATAATCCTGTACTTCATGCAAGTGTCCAAATTCATTTCTAATGTGAGAATTTCATTTTTAATAAATTATTCTCTTCCAAATGAGCTCAACTCTTAGCCAAGGAAGAAAGGTTAGTTGGGTTTTACCTTGTAGAAAAGGAGCAGGATTTTCCTTGTAAAATCAAGTTGGCTGGTCATGGGACAGACAGTTGCAGTGTTATTTTCACAATGAAGAAGATGCAAAGAGCTTGCCTAGAAAAGGTGACAGCTTGTAAGTTTCACGGTGGTGGTAGCAGGATGAGTGAAACATAGTAGATGATCTGATATAGGGGCTGTGAGGAAGGGCAAAGAATTAAGGATGCCACCCAGGCTTCTGGCTTCAGCAGCTAGTGAGACAGTGTTGATGTTCACTGAGACAATGCAAGGAGAAGAACACTTGGAGTCATGGCATTAGAACATGACAATTTTATATGGGGACATGTTGCATTTGAGGTATTTAAATGATATCCCAGTTGAAGTAGCTAAAATACATTCAGATATCGCAGCACAGGCAATAGATATAGATGAGAGACATGGTTTGGGGTGTCAGCACTGGAGGGGAATGCCAAAGTGGGGGAATTAAACATTAAATGTTGGGAGTGGCCTGGATGACCCAATAGGAACTTGTGATGCTGCAATTCTGTCATACTGTATGATACATTTTAAGAGGTCACTTGGCCAGGCTCCTGATGACACAAGGTGTTGCAGATCACCAGAGATTCAAGGTACATGGGTAAAACCCTCAAAGGCAGAGGGCACAAGTTGCCGGTGGCAGCTGTTTGTTTATTGGCTGTTTTTGAATGTTAAGAAATTAAATTGCTCTGAATTTCTAGCTTCTGAAAAATTCAAAACATAGAGAATACTGGCTCTATTTCTAGTCTGGAAAAATAGTGACGAACTGCTCAGGCAGAGCAGTGCCTCCCTCTACATGGGGCATCAGCTTCCCTTTGGTCCCTTCCCATCCAGCCTGCCTCATTCATTGAAGTGGTGTGCCCTGTTCCAGTTTGGTTCCCAAAGGGGTACTGTTTCTCTATACAAGGAAATCATTTCGGGAAGAGAGGATGGGGGGGTTTGTTAAAATGCAGATTCCCAGGCCATACCCCTACAGGGTCAGATTTGGTAAGCCTTGCTCCCTGGTGCTTGGGAATCTGCATTTAAACACTACAAAATGTGTTTGCTGGTATTTGATTATTCCTCTTAAACACACCCAATTCACATAAAGAGTGCAGATACCCATAGGGGACAGAATAGATACAAACTAAAACCATATGTCATTGATTTCCAAACCTGGCAGGGCCTCAGAAGCACTCATACGTTGATTAAAACTGTACATTCTCGGACTTTCTCCCAGAGATTCTGATTCCATAGCTCTGGAATGAGGCCCAATACTCTGCGTAGGATGATTAGGATGATTCCGATGCACAGCCAAATGTGAGAGCTCCTGTTAACTTACAGCACACTGATCAAGTGCATGTTAAGGGCTGGAGTGGAGCACAAGGAGCACCGCCCTCCTAAATCCAGGCAGGCAGTGATGGAGAGACTCATTCATTCCTCCCACAATGATTAAGAAAGGGTTTGCTGAGATGGGTTCCCGAAACTGCTTTGGTAAGTTAGAAGGATGAATAGGTAGTACAGTTGGGAAACTCAAAGGCGGGAGTGAACCCCATGAATTTTGAGTAGGTATTCCCAAGAAGAGTGAAAACCAGAAAAGTGAGGTGGGGTTTCACTCATTTTGGTTTATCTAGATGGCAATGGAAACTGCATGAAGAGGTGGTTCTGAATTTTTATCAAAGCTTTCATATTTTGTGAAGTTACTCTAAAGGTATTGTTAAAAACAGAATGCCACTTTTGAAAAAAAAAAAAAAAAACATTGGAAAGGATCTGTCATTGAATGGCATTGACATAACAAAGTCTTAAGACCTGAACCTGAACCTCCTGGTATTTTTCTACCCACCTATCAGACATGCTACCGGTTTCCCCTTTTCTTCTGTGCATCTCCCTGTTACATGGAACTAGGAAGCAGGAAGCCCACAGATCACCTTGATTAATCTGGTATCAGGAGCTGTTTTCATCACCATGGAAACATGACACTCCTATGGAAAATGGAGAAACCTCTGATCTTTGTATTTTAAAAATTTTTTTAAAAAACACCCTAGAATAATGTTCTTTCTGAAAACAACAAGATACATGTACAAACACACGATTATATTACACATCTTGTATGTGGTTGAATTTTACTCATCATGCTTGTAAAAATATTAATTTATGCTCAAAGCAAAGGTTTCTAGACATAAGATTATACAATGAGAGGGCTTAAGTGCCACTGGAAGAAACTTCAGGGTAATAGACTTCTAAAATGCACAGATTGTTCTAAGAAGAACATGTATCCCAAGAAGTCTTTGCAAACGGATATTCCTTTATGCTTATTTCTTACCCAGGTAATATCAAGGGTATGTAAGGGTGTCGGGAGTGGCACATTTCATAAAACACTGAATTTTTCCTCCTTTCAATCTGCATCAAGCTATTTCTTTTTGTCCTTCAAAATAATAGCCAAACGTTTAAAAATTCTCTGCTTAGGACTTCTAAGACTCCATGCTGTTTTAAACCCTCAATAACAGATCTCAATATTGCAAGCATCCTGTAGATTATTTTCCACATAGTCCTGAAATAAGACTCAATTTTGAACTGGAAACTATTGAAAAGTAGAAAATCTTTCCTATAGCTATGTGTATATTAGCATAGGCACACAAAAACAAGAATAAACTCACTGATTTCTTTCCCTAGTGCTTTGGGCTAATACTGGTTCTCTCACGTTGTGGTATTCTAATGCTGCTGACTCTTGTTTATAGAACATTAAGGAAGGGGTGAAAAACCTACAGCACTCACATCCCTGGGGTAGTTACTTATTTCTTTAATATTTTTAGATTTTATTTACTGTAATCAAAAAGAAGGCCAATGGGGTTGGAACACTGATTTTTATAATTGAACAGAGAATTATAGTTGAACTATGTGAAATTTAACTGGTAAAATAAAGATGTTAAATATCTTTCTAAAGGAGACATTATAGGCTTTTTCTTTTCTTCAGTACAATAGGAAGTTCTAATTTTTTTTATAGGGTTAGAGAGTCAGGAGCTGGATGAAAATGCCCCTAAGCCTTTGATAGAGTTAAGAGAAAGGGAGAAAGACAAAATACCAATTGAGCTACTTTTTTTTTCCTTTAGAAGTAGAAAATAGTATTTGGAAAAATTTGAATATGAAAACATTGTCTTGGGTTCTTTATTTTAATCTTATGCAACTGAGAAACTAGTGCAGGATTTACTCTGAGCTCAAAGTAATACTCCCTTGCTTTCTTGAGTCATGTGAGAAGCATCGTATATGGGGAAGGGAATTCCTTTCTTGACCATCATTGCCCTCACCCTGCGATGCAAGAGCTATGAGTTTCAATATAAATATTATTGCTGGCCACAAGACTTCCCAGATCCTTTTCAAAAACCCTAGCCGCAGAATTTGACTGGCAGAGGATGTGTTTATACTTAGTCTCACTATCAATTCTCCCTAAAATGGAAAACCTGCAACAAAGGATGCACTAAAATGCTGCTCCCCAGGGCAGGCTTGTGTCAGCACAAGAGGCAGTTACAGGGAGATCATGTTAAGGGATTTGCACTTAATAACCTTGGCACCGGTCCAGCCAAGGCTGGGAAAAGTACTCCCAGTTCTCTACCCCAGCAGCAAATGATGTAATTCACGCTACAAGGAGGCACGTCCGCTGACCTGGCTTGGCAGAGGTGAGTGCAAAGGTGCTTGTATAACTGGTTTGCTTGTTGAGGTCCAAAATGGTTTATGAAAAGGAGGCGCTTAAGCAGCATTTTATCACAGGTTAACTGCATTAGAGAAATTGGGTTAAAACGTTAAATTTCAGCTGCTAGAACCAGCTTTGTGTCATTTGGGTATTTCCTTCAAATGCTAATGAAAGCTCAAGAATACTAATCAGATCCCATTGGCAAAGCCAAGCCAGTCATGGCAGGTTTCCAGCTGAAAATTATTTTTCACTGTCTACACTTGGATACTCTGCTCCCACTTGAACAAACGCACGGCAAAGTCATTGGTGATTGTGCTCCTATGCCCAGTCCAGGCCTCCCGCAGCATGTCCCTACAACTGCTCTTCACAATTATCAGGTCCTTGCCTCTGTAATGAATAGAGCTCTGCTTCTACACCCTCAGTGCCTGATGCTAGGCCAGACACTACTTGCTCACCGCTCAGGCCAGGGCACCGATTACCTCACCTAGAAGAGACAGCTGAGTGTCATGAAGAAAGCACGAGATTAGAAGTCAATGTTGTGAATAGAGCCTAGTTCACGACCCATTAGCTGCATATATTTGGGTAAATTATTTGCCTTTTTGCGCCTGTTTCCTCTTCTGTAAAATGGGAGTAATGAAATTTATTTACTTATTCAGGCTCTGAGGATTAAAGCTCATGTTTATAAAACTTCCTGGCATTTGGTAGCCCCTTGCCCAATGGTAGCTGCTCTTCTTATCTTGCCACCTTCCCTCTCTGCAGCCTACCTACTCCCCAATACACGATCTGCACAGAGGAAGAAAAATGGTTCTTAATGTCACTTCATACCACTCTTCCTGGCTCTGTAGCATCCTAAACAAGGAGGGGTTTTGGTTCCTAGGGGCTGCTGGGATTTTCTCCAGACAAATTTGACTGCCTGGCTGCTGCTGTTGTATAAGCAGAAATTTAACTGGGGTTTCACCAAGTGCGTCTGACAGAGAAGATAATGGCTAGGGAGTTGAATAAGTATGCAAGGGAGTCATGATCTGGAAGACCCGGGGGATCTTGGCTTTACAAGTGAGGAGGGTCATGGGCCCTGGAAAGTGGATCAGTGGATGCAGGGCTTCACCTGTGTGGTTAAAAAATTGTTGATCTCAAAGTAGATAGAGGGATGAGATGTAAGGGTAAGGTGGGGGTAAAAGTAGATGTAGCAGTTAGTGAGTGGCATACTTGGAATGGTGGGTATGGAGGGGGTGTGGCCGTGGGAGTATTCTTTCTCCTTTGTAGAAAAGAAAAATGTGATCATACAAGGCTACGGAGAGAACAGGTAAACTAGTAACTCCAGCAAGACCTCATCTGTCCAGCACTGTTAGCCGTTGAGAATCCCATTCATACAACCATTCCAGACAACAAATGAAGCACATACTTTGTTTTAACGACTTGGAGAGAATTCTTACTTCTGACCAGTTTGCTGAATACATCAATCATATACTAGGGGATATAGTACTTGCACAGAGAGAAAGGGTACGACACAGGGAGAGGATGTGTGAGCACTTTAAGGAAGAATATAACATGCGTCTGTACTGGCAAAGATAACCATTTCCAGGGAGTTACAAAGTCTTCATAAAGTGATAAATTTCTATTTTAATAACAGAAAGGGGACTGTAATTAATTATTTGCTGATCACTTGCCTATTTCCAGTCAATAGCACAGGTAGGACCTTAATGTAATTTTCTACAAAGAAATATATGAACAGATGTTTATAATAATGAAAAACCAATGGAGTCATTTCTCACCAACTAGATATAACAAAGATTATAAACTTTTATACACTGTTGGTGAGGGATTGAGGGAAAACTATCATATATGTGGGTAGGGATTAAATTTGCATCAATTATTTGGCAACATCCATCGCGATTGTAAATGTACATACCTTTTGTATTAAAATTCAGAGACAAAGAGACTTAGATGAATGTAGCCCCAGATGCAGAGTTCAGAACTATGAAGTAAGTGTGAAGTGCTCGATGTGCTGAGAAAGAAAAAGGAAAGGTCTTCAGACTGATGGAGTGTGACAGGATCCAGATGAGCCCTCTTCTTGAGTTGAATTGTAAGTACTTTTCAAACTGGGTAGGATAAAGTTAGCATTTCAAGAATGTTTGCGAAAAGCAGATTATTCCAGAAACAGAAATGGGGAAGCAACTTGAAATTGAAAAAAAAAAAAAAAAAAAAGGAAGTAAAGCTGCATTCCTACATCACACCCCCCCCCCCAAATACTGTAAAATCATTAAAGAAAATGTATATTTTTATAAAAGTGGCATGATGGCTTTTTCTAAAGAATGACAATGGGCCGGGCACAGTGGCTCATGCCTGTCATCCCAGCACTTTGTGAGGCTGAGGCGGGCAGATCACAAGGTCAGGAGATCGAGACCATCCTGGCTAACATGGTGAAACCCAGTCTCTACTTAAAAAATACAAAAAATTAGCCAGGTGTGGTAGTGGGTGCCTGGGGTCCCAGCTACTCGGGAGGCTGAGGCAGGAGAATGGCCTGAACCCAGGAGGCAGAGCTTGCAGTGAGCAGAAATCGTGCCACTGCACTCCAACCTGGGTGACAGAGCAAGACTCCATCTCAAAAAATAAATAAATAAATAAATAGAATGACAATGAAACCCAGACCCATATGATTAAACACTCCTCCCCCTATATTTTCCATTAATATGACTGGCAAATGGCTTGTTTCCCTAATATGCAAAGGGCTCTTCAAATGAATAAGGAACATACAAGCAACCAGGGAGAAAAACGGGCAAAGGCCATCAACAGCATTTCATGAAGAAGAAACACAAGGAAAATAAATAGGTGAAAAGATATTCACAATAGGAATTGATAAAGCAATGAGCTATTTTTCACAGACTAGATATGACAAAGATTATGAACTTTAACAGGGGTTGAGGGGAAACTCTTATGTGGACAGGAATTTAAATTTGCATCAATTATTTGGCAACATCAAGATTGTAAATGTACATACTCTCAATTCCACAATTTCTTATCTACCTGAATTCATTATGAATCTTCCTGAATTCATTATGAGTTCAGGACCTCCTCCTTCTCTAGAGGTGACCTGAGGGCCACAAGGAGAGCCATTGATTTTTCTTCCCCCATCACGACATGACCTGCCCCATCATTATAAGCCAAATCCAGTACCTGAAGAGGCTATAATTAGAAATGACTGCACACCTTCCAAAAGGCCATGGGAACTAGCCTCATCACTCTTTCCATGCCTAGGTCGCTCGTCATCAGAAGTCAAAGCTTCTCATGTCTCTCCCACCACCCTATTGTTGGACAGCTCCTGTTGGAACCCAATTTCCCAGCCACCCTGAACACATACTCACCTCTGGAATTCAATCATCATCAAAATCATTTGTACCCTTCTCCTTGCTAGGCCAGCCTCTCCACTTCCAGCTTGGGTCTCAGCCACTCTTAACTACTCACAGACATTCCTTGAGCAATTGTCCCTTGTCTCTCTTGAACACTGGATCGTCATTTTATCCAAGGTCAATTCCATCACACAATAAACATGATTTAATATCTCCCACCTAAACAAACAAAACCAAAAAATCCCTTTCGACTCCACCTCACTTCCCTCCAGTTACTGCTTGATTTCTCTGTTCTCCTTTGGAGCAAAACTTTTTGAAAGGATAGTGTTGTGCCTACTTTCTTCACTTCCTCACCTCCCATTCTCTCTCATGAGAGTTTTCACTTAACTGCGATTAGCCTACTGGAAGGTGCACAAATCGCAGGTATGCAGCTCAATGGATTATCACAAAGTGAACACACCCTGTGCCAATACCCAGGTCAAGAGATGGAACACTGTCCACACCCCAGAAACCTAGTTCTTTCTTCCGACTACCACTGCTCCCTCTTTCCCAAAGACCATTACTATTATTCCTTTTAAAACAACACATTATTTTACCTATTTTGAAAAATTGCTTTGGAATCTTTCTTGCTTTTCTTTCTTTCTTTCTTTTTCTTTCTTTCTTTCTTCCTTCCTTCCTTTTTTCTTTCTTTCTTTCTCTCTCTTTCTTTCTTTTCTTTCTTTCTTTCTTTTTTTTTTTTTTGATGGAGTTTTGCTGTTGTTACCCAGCCTGGAGTGCGGTGGTGCGATCTCAGCTCACTGCAACCTCTGCCTCCCAGGTTTAAGTGATTCTCCTGCCTCAGCCTCCCGAGTAGCTGGAATTACTGTATGTATTTCTCTGTGCATATTTTCTTTTGCCCAGTGTGATGTTTGTGAGGTTTGTTCAAGTTATTACACATAGCAGGGACCAGATCGCACAACATAAGGACTTTTTCATTTTTGTGGAGTGAAGCCCTTGGGAGGTTTTTAACAGAGGAATGACATGGTATGATCTTTGCACTGAAAGTTCACTTAGCTGCTACCTTGAGAACAGAATGTGGGTTGGGAGGTGAGGTTGAAGAAGAAAGCAGGGAGACTGGTTAGGAAGCCATTACAACAATCCAATCACAGTATTAAATTCTCTGGCTTTAGAAAGAAAAGACATTTTAGGTCAGTCCCTCAGTGGAGCTAAATCAAAGCAATAATAAACCGAGTTCACTGTTGGACCTGCAATAACTAGGCCAGCTATCACAATTTAGGCCCAGAAAATAATTAACACCTCCTCAACAAAAATAGCCTTTGCAAACAACTGTAATTTTCAAAATTAAAATAGAATAATATATGGCTGAGAATAAACAGAAGCTTCAATATTTGGAAACCTTGGGTCTTCAAAGTAATACTTCATCAAACACAGAAAGCATTTTCAAGGCCAGAAAACCGAAATAATTTCAGGCCTTGGGGGAATGACAGGGTGGTAACGACTCATCAAAAGCAGACTGGTAGGCAGGGCGAAAAGTATGGGTTGCCTGGATATAAATAATTGGAAATACAGGGATGCCCTACCCTGCTGCAAGATTTTCCTTTACTATTTACATTCTTTCTTGTTATTCTTAACACTTGCATCATCACAAAGGTGTGTTTTCTTCGTGACAAGTATTTTTACATGACTCAGTTGAAAGCTGAGATTATGTGTGGTTGATTTTTCATCCATGACTGCACATTTGTCTTGATCTTAAGAATTCCCAGCTTTTTGAAACGAAAGTTTTAACATTTTTGCTCAGATCCACATATTTGATTCCTTGTTGGTTTTCACAGCACTCTGGGCAAAAAATGGGACTGAAAGTTGGTGTATGTTAAATCTAAGAGCATGGCAAATAATGCTGGACCACGGCTCTATTCAATTCTATAATTTATCTAGGGGAGTGGCCCCATCCCACGTGCCCTTACCCCAGTGGAAAAGTCTGGCTGCCTCATACGATATCAACATCAAAAGATTAGCGTTGTATTGAATATAGTCTCATTTATTTACCAGTTAAGATCTATTGCCAATGCATTTATCTGGGAATCTTGTTTTAGCTTACTTTATTTTTCGCTTCTATCACCTTTGAAAGAATGTTCCCCTTTGGAGCAAAAGTTTTCAAAATAGTTCATACTGGTCTCCAACTCCTCTCTCAAATTCTTTGTTAAACCCACTCCAACAGCCTTTTGTCTTTAATATAGCCTTGTCAAGGCAACCAAAAACCTGCATATTGCTGTGCCTACACCAGCCGTGCAGAGTGTTTATTTTTCCTACCAACCTTCTGAAGATAATTTCTTTGCCTGTATGTTCTGACCAAAAAAAAAAAAAGTGATTCAAAAGAGAGTTTGAAGCCAGGCTGGGTGTGAAGCCAGTAGTGCAAGAGCTTTAGAGTCAGACAAACCTCCGTTGAAGTGCGAGCTGCATCACCTACTAGTAGGTGACCATGAGCAGTCTCCCTGACCCCTCTTGCCTCAGTTTCCTAATCTGTGAAAATGAGGAGTTAACAGAAGCTGCCTAGCAAGGCTGTGGGAAAATGAAATGAGAGAATGGGCCTGGCACATGGTAACCATTTATTATGCATTAGCTGCTATTATTATTGTCGTTGATACTGTTCTCATCTGAGGCCAGTGGGAGCAAATAAGTTTTATGCCAGGAGATTCCTCCCCACAAATCCTCTTGGGTAAGCAGCTGCCTCTGCTGCTTTCTCAGGCTGCTTTGTTTGACTTCCTGCCTGCTTGAGGCATAAATCAATAACTTTGATGATAGCCACTGCTCTTGTGTGTGAGATGAGGCAGGAGGAAGGAAGGTTACAAGAGGGGGTGATCACTGGAAAAGACTAATGTAAGTCTATAAACTCAGCACCCCACAGATAGAGGAAATGCTCCCAATAAATTGGCCTCTGTCTATACATCTGGATAAAATTAAAACAATAAGCTTTATTTTAATAAGATCATAAAATTGCAAGCTTTGCAAAAGCAGGAGCAACGTCCTCCATTTCCTCTGAGTCCTTCCACACTGCTGTCCTTAGGTAGCTAAGCCAGCAGCCTTCAATCTTTTTCTTTTTCTTTTTTCTTTTTTTTTTTTTTTTTTGCTGATTCACAAAAGTGGATGCCACTTACATGAACGATCACTCTTGTGGGGATGCCCAAGATTCTGTGAAATTCCCAACACACAAGCAGCAATTCCTCCCTGTTCTCTCTCTTGAACACAAGGGAGAATGACAAAAATAGAGGGGTACATTTTAGCTAGCTCCAATTCACTTGGGAAAAAAATACATAATTTGTGAGCTTATCTTTATTGTTAGTCATATGTTTCTTTTGACATCTCACACTGTTCACCTTCACCATTTCAACAGGCATCCATTTCAACAAGCTGTCATCAAACAGTGGTGCCAGGGAGCTACTAGGAAATGGGATGAGGAGAGTCTGGGATGTCTGTTGGTGCTTCCCAACGAGTGTTATGGGCCCTCTGTTTTCAGGTGGACCTTCCTGCAGGAGCAGAAGATTTCTTGCTAAAGGGAGTGTAAAGGTCTTTTCCTTTCTATTTAGTGGATCAGAACCTGCATAGAAACAGAAATGAAATGCTCAGGTGGGAGCAGTGATTCTCAATGGCTGATGTCCAAGACACAAAAGGATAATCACAATGTTTTTATGATATCAACTTCTGAAAATCATGTTTGGCAATTTTTTCCTGAATAACAGACAATATGAAGAAGACCCAAAATGTTTATAAAGGGGAGATTTCGGAGTGGGATCTGTTTCAAGTCAAAGGAGAAAGCAGTCAGGCAGCTTGGGGGCCAATTACAATATTGGGTGAAAGCCACTGGGTTAAAGAGAAGGCTATGGGGTCACCACACAAGACAAAAACTGAACTGTTGATTCCCTTTCCCACCATTCCTCTCCCTTTCTTTTAGCAAATGGCAAACCCATTCGTCACCAAGCCAGAAATCTTTGAGTCATTGTCTCCTCTCTCTCTCTCTCATACTCTCCATTTGATTGATCAGCAAATCTTGACTTTCTGAGTTTCAAAACGTCATCAGTACCTGACCACTTCACTCCAGTGAAGGACAGTACTCATCCTGGTCCAGGCCACCAATATCTCTCACCCAGGTAATGGCCTCCTAACTAGTCTTACTGCTTTCACCTTCCCTTGCTCAATCTGTTTCACGTAGTAGACAGAACGGTCTTTTTAATGTTTAAATCAGATTATGCCATTTCTTTGCAAACCTCCAATGACCTCTCATCTCATTCACAGAAAAGCAGTCTTTACTATGAGTCTATGAGACCTTTTAGGACCTCAGTCCTTGCAACCTGTCCAACAACATCATCTCCAACAGCTCTTCCCCTCTGTCACTCAGCTCATTGACAATGGTCACCTGGGTTTTACTTGAACAACCCTACCTCAGGGCTTTGCACTCGCAATTCTCTCTGCATGAAGTATTTTCTTCCAGGAATTTGCTTGGCTAACTTATTTAATCAGTTCATCATAGGCCTCATTATGAAAGAAGCTTTATTCTTTTTTATGGGCAACTTGATCATTGGCATCTGTTTCAGCAGTCAATGACTGTGAGCAAATTGGCAATGTCAAACTCTGCAAAATTTCGAGATTTTTTTTAATGACCTAAAATAGAGAGTTTATTATCTCAGAAATTTGTTAAGGTCAAATTTTTTGTGTATTATCCTCAGCGCATGGTTGATTTTCTCTTACAAACTCTTTCACTTGTTTTAAAGAATGAATAATTTGGGGACTTTGAGTATTTAAATCTATTTTTAAACATGGTATATGTTCTTGTAACTATTGTTTCTCACATCGGCACTGATTGTACTTTATTAGTTAGTTCCAGAGACCCTTAATTACAGAAAGTTGCCTGGGGAAGTCCAAGACCAAGTCAATTGTATTGACGAGAAAAGAAAAAAGCAAACTAATAGACCTAATGACTTGGAGTCTAAGACAGTCATGAAAGACTCCCCTCCACTTCCTCAAAACATAGGTAGGTGCAATGTTAAGTAGAGTCAGGGAAGTCAGTAACTCATTTTGCCAATTTAAAGCCCCAGCGCAATTTATTTATGAGGCTCGGGGTATTTTAAATTCACCTAAGTCAATCACGCGGTGAAAATCATGCTCGGGTGTGAATTCTGGCCTGAAAATATGCATCCCCTTATTGTATTCACACAGACCTTTTGCATCTCAAGCGTGGTGAGCAGCTGTTGCGGAGTCGGTAGAGCCTGGTCTGAGTAAGGAGGAGCCCGGCAGCGGCCCTGGTGGGGTCGGAGAGAGGGCACTAGTGCTGTTTCTATTTGGGGACGCCGGGGGAAGGCGCCGCCGCAGGGTCATTGCAGCGCCTCCCCAGCGCGCAGGGCTGTGGATCCCACAGCAGCCTCCGGGCCAGGTTCCGGGATGCTTGGGGATGGCGCGGCTGCACCTGTCACTCGCCGCTCACTCCTGCTCCGGGGAGACCCCGCGCTGACCTCTGCCCTTGCGCCTGACAGCTGGGCCCCGAGCCTCCCCTGCCTCTGCTGTCACTCGGAGGTGGCTGGTGATTAGTAATCGTCTCCATCCTCCACGCGGGAGGCGTGACCGGGCGTTTACACGCAGCCTGTGAGCCAGCGCCTGGAAATTCCTTTCAGGGACTGCTTTTGCATCTAGAAACCAGAAGTGATTCAAGTGATATGTTCAACTCCTGCCCCTGGGCTGGGGAGAGCGTTGCAGCTCAGTAAAGCACTGCTCCCAGGGAAGAGCTGTCTCTGCTCCCATGGCATAGTTCTTTTCCCTTTCCTGATCAAGGAGACAATGACATAAATATGACTGTCATGGGTGATGATAGCCAGACTGGAGAGACATTCTCACTAGGGTTTTGTTTTGTTTGCTTTTGTAGACAGTGTCACTCTGTCACCCAGGCTGGAGTGCAGTGGCACAATCACGGCTCACTGCAGCCTCAATCTCTCCAGCTCAAGTGATTCTCCCACTTCAACCTCCCAAGTAGCTGGGACTACAGGCGCATGCCACCATGCCTGGCCAATTTTTTTTTTTTTTTTTTTTTTTAAGTAGAGAGGACAGTCTCACTATACTGTCCAGGCTAGTCTCAAACTCCTGACTTCAAGTGATCCTCCCACCTCAGCCTCCCAAGTGTGTTACCACTAACACACTTCCTCAATTGTAAAATAAGGCATTGAACAAGTTGTTTACATTTAAATCACTTTCTGAGTGTCCATCAGCCTCCAAAAATTGAGGCAGTTTCTCAGACTAATATCAGTAGCAATTCTATCACTATTTCTTCTTTAATGTAAGGGAAAATTAATTTTGATCAATTTGCCAGGTATCAATTTGGGTAACATTTCTACCATCTTGATTTGACATATGGCATTGCAGTTCCCCCTAAGTCACTCCAGCTGGGGCACAAGAGGCAGCTTACAGTCACTGTGGGCAGGCTTTTTATTTTGTTACCTCATGTGCTTAGTCCTTCTTGTCACTGGCTCTGCCCCTGCCCTTGGTACTTGCCCAGGCCAGGCCCCAGGGGAAGAATGCTTATAGACTGGGTCAGATATTTTACCTTCCCCATTGGTCTTGGGAGTGGTCTCCATCTTCTTCCCTTGTTTGTTCATTTTGCTAATTTCAGGAACCCCAGATCCTGGTCCTGGTCCTCCTCCACCAGACGGAAGGAAGTCAGAGCTTGCTCCAAAGAGATTCTTGCAAAGTGGCCCCACAACTGCTTGTCTGAGTCAAGCCTCAGCAGAAAAAATCCCTGTATCCATCATCTATTTCTCTATTCCTCTAGGAATAATTTATCTTATAGTTCATCATATTCCATAATATCTGCTTATGATAACTAAAGCATCTAGCAGCTTGACCTGCTGGAAAGGATATGGATTTGGGACATTTTGTCTCAGATCTACTACATACAAACTTTGTGACTTTGGAAATAGACACTTCCTTGGTATGAGTCTTAGTAAGCTCACCTGTAAGATGGGAGTTGTAAGAATTTTATAGTGCCAGGCACAGTGATTCACACCTGTAATCCTAACACTTTGGGAGGCAGAGGCAGGAGAACCACTTAAGCCTATGAGTTTCAGACCAGCCCTGTCAACACAGAGAGACCCTGTTTTTCCAAAAAACTTAAAAAAATGTAGCCAGGCATGGTGGTATGCTCCTGTCAGCTCTTCAGGAGGCTGAGATGTGAGGATCCCTTGAGCCCAGGAGGTCGAGGCTGCAGTGAGCCATGATGGTGCCACTGCAATCCAGCCTGGGCCACAAAGCCAGATCTTGTCTCAAAAATAAATAAATAAATAAGAGTTTTGTAGGAATCAAGTCAAATAATGTATGACAAAAGATTCTGTGAACCTCACAGCATTATGTAATGGTGTGTGTGTGTGTGTGTGTGTGTGTGTGTGTGTGTGTTTTACTGCAGCAGATTTTGGTGGTTAGAAGAATGAGTTTTTGGAGTCAGACTTCTGTTTAAAGCAAGGCTTCACTAATTACTGGCTCTGTGACCACAGACAAGTGACTTTAATTTCTTTTATATCCCGGCATCATCATCTGTAAATTGGAAATAATAGCTATATTTTAGGGTTGTTGAAACGTTAAGTGAGATAATGTATGCTAAGCATTTAATATAATTCTTAATATGTCATAATAGTAGTTGCTGCTTTCAGGCCCTAAGGATGCTGTTGGCTTGAAAAAAAAATGTACCCTTGAGACTTTTAATCTACCTCCTTTTGTTAACCACATCTGAATTTTTATCTCTAGAAATAAATGTATATAAAATTGCCTTACTTAATTCCAGTTTTTAGAAAATATTCCTTTTTCCACAGTTCGAAAATGCATAAAAATCTAGTGCACCAGCTTCTTATCTCAGCAGTTGAAATTATTTGACTATTGATTCTTGAATTCAACCAAGATTTTTCCAGAAACATCATGAAAGAATCAATCTTCAGAGACTAATGTTCCAAGGGAAGGCCTGTCTTCTGGGAATAACAGACCTGATGTGTGTATTCTGCCAAAACAGTTGAGTAAATGAAACAAACTTAACAGCTTTTTGCCTAATTTGCTAATATACCAACAGGCCTCACAATTAGGTATGCATGTCAGGTGTATTAGTCCATTTTCACACTGCCGATAAAGACATATCCAAGACTGGGTAAATTATAAAGAAAAAGAAGTTTAATGGACTCATAGTTCCAAGTGACTGGGGAGGCCTCATAATCATGGCAGAAGGTGAAAAGCAAATCTTACATGGCAGCAGGCAAGAGAGAGAACTTGTGCAGGGAAACTCCCCTTTATAAAACCATCAGATCTCATGAGGCTTATTCACTGTCATGAGAATAGCACGGGAAAGACCGCCTCCATGATTCGATTATCTCCCACTGGATACCTCTCACAACACATGGGAATTATGGGAGCTACAATTCAAGATGAGATTTGGGTGGGGACACAGCCAGACCATATCATCAGGGTTGTTCAGGAGACTCCTTGGGGAGTTGTAAGTTGTAGCCCTGTATTAGGATGGGGTTCCAGGAGATGCTGCCATGGAGCATCCCTTTTACGTCCACATATGGTCCTTCTGAGGAACATGAGATTCCTGAACATGAAACATTTGTTCTGGGGCAGATAATTTATGGTTACTTTTGCTCATGCACCTGTGATCAGCTGCTAGACTGGCTGGCTGGTCTAGCATTGCCTTAACAGGGACAGCTTATCTCTGCTCCATGTGGTTTCTCTTTCTTCAGCAGGCTTGTTCTCATGGCAGTTGCTGGAAGCAAGAGAGCCAGTGAAAGAGTGAAAGTGCTCTTGAGACATAATGACTCTTCTGCTGCAATCTATTGGTAAAAGCAATAGAATAAAAGGTCAGCATAGATAGAAGAGGAGAAGAAATGGACTCCACCTCTTGATAAAAGGATGTGCAAAATCACATTACAAAGAGTATGGAAATGGGAGAAGTGAAGGATCATGGCCATTTTTGCAACCCTCCACATATGGTAAAATTGCCAAGTTTCTGTCTAAGTAAAGCTGTAGGGCATTTATGCTCCCACTTTCAGTGTGTGAGTTTCTATTTCTCTGCATTCTTGCCAACATTTGGCAGAATACACTCATTTTTTAAATTAATCTGATAATATAAGGTAAGTGGTGTCAATGGTTTTTGTTTTTATTTCATTTTCAGTTTCTTATACCTACTGAGGTTAAATATATTTTTATATATTTATTAGCTATTTGTATTTCTTCTGAGAATTGCCAATTTCTATCTTGCTAATTTTTCTATTGGGAAGTTTTCTGTTGGAATGTTCTCTATTGGAACTGTTATGAATATTTACATATTTTAATTCTTTAAGTGTCATTTCACTGCAAATTTTTTTCCATTCATTTGTCCTTTTTTTCCCAATAGATTTTTGAGGAACACATGGTGTTTGGTTACATGAATAAATTCTTTAATGATGGTTTCTGAGATTTTCATGCACCCATCACTCAAACAGTGTACACTGCACCCAGTGTGTTGTCTTTTATCCCTAACCCCCCTCACCCTTTCCCCCGAGTCCCCAAAGTCCATTGTATCATTCTTATGCCTTTGTATCCTCATAGCCTAGCTCCTACTTTCAAGTGAGAACATAGGATGTTTGGTTTTTCCATTTCTGAGTTACTCCATTTGGAATAATTGTCTTCAGTTCCACCCAGGTTGCTCTGAATGCCATTATTTCATTCATTTTTATGGCTGTGTAGTATTCCATGGTGTATATATATCACATTTTCTTTATCCACTCATTGATTGATAGACATTTGGGCTGGTTCCAAATTTTTACAATTGCTTACTGTGCTGCTAGAAACATGCATGTGCAAGTATCTTTTTCATATAATGACTACTTTTCCTCTGGGTAGGTACCCATGAGTGAGACTGCTGGATCAAATGGTAGGTCTACTTTTAGTTCTTTAAGGAGTCTCCACACTGTTTTCTATAGTGGTTGTACTAGCTTACATTCTCACCAACAGTGTAAAAAAGTGTTCCCTTTTCACCATACCCACACCAACATCTATTATTTTTTAATTTTTATGGCTGTTCTTGCAGGAGTGAGGTGGTATCGCATTGTGGTTTTGATATGCATTTCCCTGATAATTAGTGATGTTGAGCATTTTTCCATATGTTTGTTAGCCACTTGTATATCTTCTTTTGAGAATTGTCTATTCATGTCCTTAGCCCACTTTTTGATGGGATTGTTTGTTTTTTTCTTGCTGATTTGTTTGAGTTTCTTGTAGATTCTGGATATTAGTCCTTTGTCCAATATAGATTGCAAAGATTTTTCTTCCACTCTGCGGGGTATCTATTTACTCTGCTGATTATTTCTTTTACTGTGCAGAAGCTTTTTAGTTTAATTAACTCCCATCTATTTATCTTTTTTTGTTTGTTTGTTTCATTTGCTTTTGGGTTCTTGGTCATGAAGTCTTTGCCTAAGCCAATGTCTAGAAGGGTTTTTCCGATGTTATCTTCTAGATTTTTTAGGTTTCGGGTCTTAGATTTAGGTCTTTGATCCATCTTGAGTTGATTTTTGTATAGGGTGAGAGATGAGGATCCAGTTTCATTCTTCTACATGTGGCTTGCCAATTATCCCAGCACCATTTGTTGAATAGGGTGTGCTTTCCCCACTTTATGTTTTTGTTTGCTTTGTTGAAGTTCAGTTGACTATAAGTATTTGGCTTTATTTCTGGTTTCTCTACTCTGTTCCATTGATCTATATGCCTATTTTTATACCAGTACCATGCTGTTTTGGTGACTATGGCCTTATAGTATAGTTTGAAGTTGGTAAATCTGATGCCTCTAGATGCCTCCTTTTTGCTTAGTCTTGCTTTGGCTTCATTTGTCCTTTAAACTTTGCCTATGATGCCCTTTGCCATAGGCAAAAATGAATTTTTATCTAAAAAAAGTCAAACTTTTCTATTATGAGTTATACTTTTTATAACTTAAGCTAGCCTCAACTTCAAAATCTTTAATATATTACCCCCATTTTTGGTAAAACTAGTTGTAAAGTTTGCATTTTATATTTGGTTCTTTAATATATCTGGAATTTTATTTTTATGTATGACATGAAGGAAGGAATCTAATTTTATTTTTTCTATGTGGTGAACAATTATTCTCACCCACTTTTTGAAGACTGTGTCTTTCCCCACGGATTTTTGGCACCATCTTTA
Source organism: Homo sapiens (assembly GCF_000001405.40). Taxonomy (NCBI): domain Eukaryota; kingdom Metazoa; phylum Chordata; class Mammalia; order Primates; family Hominidae; genus Homo; species Homo sapiens. The sequence goes on along the minus strand of NC_000013.11, from coordinate 36,149,265 downwards.
TCATATATCAAGGCCCTATATATGAGCAAGACTGTTTCTGGACACTCTAAAAGTTCCATTGACTTATTTATTTGTTGTAGCACCAAAAAAATTGCTGTTTTATTTATGATGAGTCTGAATATGGACTAATTTCTAATGAGAAAATATGTTTTTAAAATTATTTTTCAGGATTGTTTAGCTATATCTATAATCTTCTGTATGAATTCTATATGGACCAAAATTTTAAAAAAATACACTGTACCTTTAACTTTTCTCCTCTAATATGCAGAATAGCATACATCTAGCAAACAGCTATTTTTACTGGGCACATAAATCTTACTCCTCCAAAATTCCTGGTCTTTCTTAGGCAAGGGAACATGTTCCCAGTGGAAAAGGCCTGAGATTATATTCTGTTTTAATGCTTCTCATCCTGGTAGAATCATTTCTCTGTTTCTCAATGTTTTTACTTGCTGAGTAATACTGTTAATGTAGAATCTTAAAAACTGTAGGAAGGTTTTATTAAAAGATAAGAAGGTACCATGAGGCCTATTTTTAGTTAGAACTCTGGTACTTTTTGAGTTCTAAAAGCCTCAAATACAATGCCTCATCTCAGATGTCTTAGAATGTAGCCTCTTCACTTATTCATTCAGCAAATATTTACTAAGGTCCTATTACATGGCTGTTACTATCTTAGGTGCCAGGGATAGAGTGGCTTACTCACCAGTTCTTTGGAAGAGAAGAGACAATTATTATTTTCATTTTATAGGTGAAGGAACTAAGGCACAAGCTCTTCATTTAATTTGATTAAATACAAGTTGCATTTGCCGAGAGCTTACAGAGGTCCCAGACTATAGGGTTATGTATTAGGTGCTCTGGGATGATAATATCAAAGATGAGGAAGAGAGATGTTCTCTTCAAGGCTCGTCTCATCCAACATGACACATTACAGTCAACATGTAGCTATTACACTTGAATTCATATAAGACCACTTGCCTCCTTTCTAAGGAGATTTAAATTGATTCCTCAAGAAAGTAGGCTGTAAGTTGACTTTTGAAGAATGGAAGTATCATTGTCTGATTTCTAGTGAGATTATCATGTAGACAGATTGAAGGCCAGAGGAGATGCTGGAGCAAAAAGGGACCTGGGGAGAAAGACAACATTGCAGAGACAGGGGTGAGGCTGGTTGGAATAGAGGAAGTGTTTGGAGCATACAGAGATGGAATGAGTAGTGAATAGCACTCAAGTCTCTTGCACTTCTGGCTAGTAGAGGTCAGTGGATTAGGAGACCTGACATAAATTACAATCACAGGCAGGCTACCTATGCTTTGTCATTTGGTACTGATTCCTTTCTAGTAGTTTCCTTGTAATCTCCTTTACAATTTTTTTTATAATTCACCACTGAAACTTAATCATTCTTCCATCTATGCCCCCTGTACTCTGTGCATTTTAAAATGACAGCATCAGTAATTGTCAGCATACTTGATAATGTGTCTGTCTGCCTAACAGCAGAGCCATGTCTTTGGCCTTTGTGACCTCAACAACTAGCACAATGCCTGTTAGTTGAGGGAAATTTTGTCGATGGAAGAATAAACCTTCACGGCCTATTATTTACTGGATGGCTAGAGTTCCTTGGGTTTGTTTTTTAAAAAAATCTGTACATCTAATGCATCTTATGAGGTAGTAACCTGATGCACTGATATGACATGGGTCACAGAATCATGTGATTATGTGGGGGTGTGGTTATTGATGCAGAATGTGACATAACCCTGAAAGGGTTCTAGCGAGAAGCTGTAAAGAGTTGACTCAGCCAACAGTGCAGAGTGAATGGTCAGCAAATCACACATCTTGAAGTAGTTCAGGCCTTGTTGAGATTTACAGGAAAGACATTTTCCTAGTAATTGGAGGTTTTCTTCCTAGAGCAGTGTACTTATATTGTTCTACAAACTTGGGACTCAACTAAAAGTTGCCGTTAAAAAAGGTTTTAGAATGCCAAACAAGCCTAGTGTTTTCTATATTTCAATTCTCATTTGTTTTTAAATTAAAATTTCTTCAGCATTTCCCAGTCACCCTTTATGATATTTGTCTTGGACTTTTAAAGAATGTTCATTTGGGTATAGATGATGAAGCACAGCTGGAGAAATCATTAACTGTATCTTCCTTGAGAAAGGCACAAACTATTCCAGTAGATCTTATCAACTTGATAAGCATTTCCTGAGAATTTGCCATGAATCTAGTAACATTCTGAGTAAGCGGAAGTACGTCAAAGTTAAAAACAAACAAACTATCACTAAGTAGACATGTAACCTAAAGCTAGTGACTTAAACTATAAACCTTGGTTTCCTCATTTGTAAAACTGGATACTTACTACCTATTTCATGGGTTATCACAAATAAAGAATAAGCATACAAATTTACATTTGCGAAGCACAAGTGTCTGGTAAGACAAAAGACAACTCAGTAAGTAAAAGTCACTCATAATTAATAAATTCAGAGGAACTATGTTCAACTATGCTCACCAGAAACACAGTTAGTAATAGTCATAATAAAGAATGGCAAACCGCCATGTTCCAGAATATTTGTGCTGGAGGAAGCAGTCAATGAAGGACCTTGGGAGGAGGTAGGACAGGATCATGGGCTTTGGAGTCAAATAACCCTTGTTATGAATCCTAGGCTGCCATATACTAAACCCTCAGTCAATATTAGTTCTCTTTCTTTTTCATTGTGTAATGATATAGCCACTTCCTTGGCAGTCACTTATAAGAAGGCCTTGACTAGCTTCCTGTAGGTATAGCCTGGCAGCACCTGGCCTAGAGCTTCATACCAATTACCTCTCACTTTCTGTCCCAGAGCTTTTCTGAATCAGAAATTTGGTTGCCAGAAGGAATCTGCTCTACACTCTGCCATGTGCAATTCTGTCTCAAAGAGAGTTAAAGCCTTGGACATCCTTGAGAAATAGGGGATGGGAACTAATGGATACATGTTTCCGAAGGCGTTTCACAAGGATCCTCAGATGGTCCAGTGGGATAATGCACAGTTGTCTGTAGTAGTGACCACCTTGACAACTTATCATTGCACTAGATTTCTTTCTTTTTTTCTTTCTCTTTCCTACTACCTCATTCCTGCTTCCTGGACTTACTCCAAATAAACCACTTGCACCCAAGACTTTGTTTCAGGATCAGCTGTGGGAAAAACTCAGGCTATTATATACATTGCCTGTGCTAAATACTGGGAAAACAAAGTTGAGGAAGATAAATGCCTATCCTAGAATACTTCACAGTCTAATTCAGGAAACAGGTATTTAAACGTATCATTCCAATACTGTATGTTTATACAGTTTACATTTACTGCATACTTGACATTTAACTCAAACCTTAATCCTAGTTTACTAAATACATAGCAGTTAAACAAATGGAAACTGTTTTGCATTTGTGCTCAACACACGGTTTGTGTGAATCATGTAAACAAATATAAGTAACTGTATTTCATACATTTTCACTGCAGCATAGTTTGCCATTACAAAAATATATCACATGTGATTTATCTACTTTTGTGTTGATGTCCACTTGGATTATTTATATTTTTATATTTTTTCTGCTATAGATAGGGCTTCCAGGAGCACTCTTCTACCTGTCATTTGGAGTACATGTGCAACAATTTCCCTTCTATCTGTTTAGAGGTAGGTATGCTGGTACATAGAATTTGCTTATTTTCAATTTTACTACATAATACCTGACAGTTTTATAATGTGATTATACCAACATACACCTCTTACAGCACTGTATAAGATTTCTGGTTTCTCCACAATCTCGTCACACTTTACATTGTCACACATTTTCATTTTTTTAATTAAAAAATTCCTCATGCTATCTAGTCTATGATATATTGTCACACATTTTCAGTTTGCCAGTGTAGTATGTGTAAAATGGTATTTTGTGATTTTAATTTGACTTTCTGTGACTACTAAGGGGATTGAGCTTTTGTTCACGTTTGTTGACCATGTTCATTCTTCTGTAAAATGCCTGTTCAGGTATTTTTGCCTATTTTCTACTGAGATGTTTTAATTTTTAGTATAGAGGCTGTTTATAAATTGTATATTAATCCTTTATCAATTATATGGGTTGCAAATTGTGTCAACTTATAGTTTATGGCTTATCTTTTAACTGTCTTTATATCTTTCAGTAAATATAAATTCTTAATGTAGTATGAGTTATTCATCTTTTCCTTTATTCTTTGCATTTTCTGTATCTTTTAAAGGAATACTCTCTTATCCTAACGTTGAAAAAATACATATTCTTCTACAAATTTATTTACTATTTTTCTGTTCACATGAAAGTCTTTAATCCACTTGGAACTGCTTCTTGAGTATGATATGCTCTAGGGTCTTAATTTTATTTTATTTTTCCCCAGTGAGGTAACTGATTCATTTACTTAAAAAATCCTTCTTGTCCCTTCTGGTCTGCAGTGCCCACTCAGTCACAAAACAACTTTTCATATGCATGGTGTTCTGTTCTTGGGCTGTCTGTTCTATTCCATTTTTCTATTTGTTCATTCTTGCACCAATACTACAATGTCTTAAATAATATAACCTTGTCTGATAAGGCAAGTCTCTCTATCTTGTTCTTTTCTTCAATCGAGTTTTGGTTATTTATTCTTTGCTTCTTGCTTTCCAAAAAAATTTTAGAATAAGCTTGTCACACTTCACAAAAAATTAAAACACAAGCAAAAATATGGTTGGCATTTTTACTGCAATCACACTAAATCAATAGATCAATCTGAGGAAAATTTATATTTTTATTATTTGATTAAATCAATCCATGAACATGGTATATCTGACCATCTATTTTAAGTTTGTTTTAATATGTTTCAATATAATTTTATAATTTTTTCATGAAGATCTTACACACCTTTTCAAAGGCTTATATTCCTTGATACTTTGTATTTTGGTGCTATGACAAGTGATATCATTTAAATTATATTTTCTAGCTGTTTTGCTGGTATATAGAAATGTAACTAATATTTGTATATTCATTTTATATCAACCTTACTGATTTTTCTCATTGATTCTAACAATTTGTCATTAAATTTATTTGAATTTTCTATTCAGATGGTCATATTATCTAAGAATGACTTTCTAATCCTTGTACTTTTTATTTCTTTATCTTTCCTTGCTATGTTTGAACAGCAGTGTAACAATAAGCATCCTTATCATCTCCCTAATTTAAAGAAAATACTTCAGTATTTCTTCAGTCAGCAGGATGACTGCAGTAGATCTGGGGGCTGCTATTTTAGGACTTCCCTTCTATTGCCAAGATTTTTTTAATCATGAATGCATGGTGAATTTTTATTTAATACTTTTCTATATCTGTTGAGATTATCACATGATTTTTCTCCCTTAAGCTATTTTAGTGATGAGTAACGTCGGCTGATTTTCTTTTGTTAAGCCAATCTTTCATTCCTTGGATAAACTCTACTAGCTCAAGATGTGTTTTATTTTTTATATCTCTAGTTTGTCTTGACAATGTTTGCATCTATTTTTGTAGATGAGATTGAGTTATAATGGTCTTTTTAAAAAAAAACTGTTCTTGTTAGATTTTGGTATCATGCTTTTGCTAGTCTCTTAAAATAAATTGAGGGGAATGTTCTCTTTACTTATACTTAAGAATAATTTTTGCAGGATGGAAATTATTTGTTCCTTCAATATTTGGCAGAACTCACCTGTTTTTTTTTTTCTGTGGGCCTGTTGTTTTCATTATGGGAAGATTTAAATTCTGATCCTATATTTCTTTTCAAGTCAGTTTTGGTAAGTTATATTTTTGAAGACTATTTCATCTAAGTTTTAAAATGTGTTGTCATAAACTCTTATTATCTTTCAAATAACTGAAGCATGCACAGTTAGATCTACTTTTTTATTCTTAATATTATTCACTTTCACCTTCTTTATTTTATTCTTACTTTATCTTTCCAAAGTTTGATCTATTTTATTTGAGTTTTTAAGGAACCAGCTTTTGTCTTTGATGATTCTCTATATTGTGTATTTGTTTTCTAAAACATTAAATCAACTCTATTAATTTTTTATTGCTGTATGACAAATGGCTGCAAACTGACTATCTGAAACAAAACTGATTTATTGTTTTATGTCTGGGTATGGTTAGCTGTATGCTCTTCTCAAGGTGGGGCTGGGGCTATGATAAGGCATGAGCTCTTCTTCCAAGCTCACTGGTTTTGGCAGAATTCATTTCCTTATAGTTATATGGCTGAATTCCCCATTTGCTTGTTGGCTCCTTAACTTCTACAGCTAAACACAATTCTTTGCCATGTGGCCCCAGCAGGCAGTTTACAACATGGCTATTTGCATACCTCCAGGACAGAAGAAGAGCACCTGCTGAACCTTTGAATTTCTCAGACCTCTGTCTCTGACCTCTAAACCCTCTTTTAAAGGGCTCACCTAATTAAGTCAGGTGCATCCACAGTCAACAGAAAGAGATTATGCTGGTTGTGTGCTCAAGGATGCAGAAATCTTGAGAGCTATCATAGCATGTTTTCTGCCAGTAGTCCCTTATATTTGTCTTTTTATAAATCTTATTATGGCTTTATTCTGGGTTTTTTTTTTTTTTTTTTTTTTTTGAGACAGGGTCTCACTCTGTCGCCCAGGCTGGAGTGCAGTGGCACAGTCTTGGCTCACTGCAAGCTCCACCTCCCGGTTCACTCCATTATCCTGCCTCAGCCTGCCGAGTAGCTGGGACTACAGGCGTCCACCACCACGTCCGGCTAATTTTTTTGTATTTTTTAGCAGAGATGATGTTCCACCGTGTTAACCAGGATGGTCTCGATCTCCTGACCTCATGATCCGCCTGCTTCAGCCTCCCAAAGTGCTGGGATTACAGATGTGAGCTACCGTGCCCAGCCTGTTGTTTTCTTTCTAACTTCTGAAGTTAGATGCTTAGTTCATTGGTTTTCTAAAGTATTTTCTAAAGGCCATTATGATTTCTCCTTTGAACAATGTACAACTAAAAGAATATTTCAAATACTTTAAATATATACATTTAATTTTTTTTCCTTAAATTACTCATTTCCTACTTAATTGCATTGTAGGGAAGAATATTGACTGTATGAATCAATATTTGGAAATTTGTTGATTTTTTTCTATTTTCTTTTTATAATTCTGTCAATTCTTGCTTCATATTATTAAGGTCATATTATTTTGTGCTGGTGGGTAGAAATAGATTGTATGTTCTTGATCAATTGACTTTTTTATCATTATGTAAGCCTAGAAATTTTTACCTTAATATACTTATTTGAACTTTGTTAGTATTTGTATGTTATTTTTTTCCTTCTTTATATTTTAAATGTTATTGTCTTGTTATATTTTAGATGTGTCTCTTATCAACAGCATAGAGCTAGATCTAAAAATTCCAGTCTAGCAATTTGGCCTCTTAAATGGAGTTTTTAGCATAGTTATATTTTTGTAATTACTAAAATATTTGGGTTATTTTCAGCATCTTATTTTCTGCTTTATAATTGTTCCTCTTGTTCTATGTTTCTTTCACTTTCCTTTCATATCTTATTTTACATTAATTTTAAAAATTATATTATTTTTCTGTATTATTTTGGAAATTATATACCCTATACTTATCAATTAAAATTTGCTTATTCTAGAAATACATTTTAAAGAATTTTAGTGAGAATTTATGGAAAGTAAACATTTTTAGTTGTAGTTCCTCTGAAGAATATCTTTTTGTCACCCTTATTCTTGAGAATGATTTTCTTTGGTACATAATTCTATGTTGATAATTATTTTCTTTTTGCATGTTGAAGATATCATTCTACTGTTCTCTGGTTTCCATTTTATTCCTCCTAGGTTCATTATTTGCAGTAATTGTGTTCTAGAAACTCACTGTTAACACTGAATTATTAAATATTGAACCACTGCTCCTAGAGAAAATAAAAGGTGAGGTTCCATGAGCATGTGGTCACAACATTTTCATTAGCTTATCAACACATAACCTTGTTTTGTATGTGTTTCTGTTTAAAAACACCTTATTTAATCTATATTGTTGATTAATTAACATTGAACTTGCAGACCACAGCACTGTACTCATATCTGAATGCAGCTTCTGTAACATGTGTATTTTCCCCCAAAGACACATCATAGTCTTCTTGTTCTTAGGACCACTAACAGTATTTTAGCACTATGCTTGAGGAGAATTTTAAACCACAAAATCACCAACAAAAAGCACAGAAATCGAAAAATATGCCACTAAATAGACTGTGAAAAAGACAAATGTTTATAGTATAAGAGCTAATAAAAGAAGGCAGAGGGTTGTGTTGTTTGATCTTGGCTAGAAAGTATGTATGAGATAACTCAGATATTTTGCCACATTGTGCATCTCCCTGAATAACCATGAAAGTGCTGCAAGAATGGATTTTGGGGTTACTAATAAATTTTAGCAAGTAGGCAAATTTTCAAATATTGAATCTGTGAATAATGAGCACCAACTATAATTGGTCCTTTTTTAAAAAAATCTTATTCTTCAGGTTTTGTGCTCTTCAGTTTCACTCTAATAGTATATATGTCAATTTTATTTTTAAAATTTTTTGATAAAATTTTGATTTTCTTAGACTTCATAAATCTGGGGCTTAATATTTCTCATCAGTTCTTTAAGAATGCTCAGCCATTTCTTCTTCAAGTATTCTGTCACCCATTTTCTCTCTCTTTCTTTTTCTGGGACTCTAGACATATTTTTGAACTTTTTACTTTGTTATTTATGACTCCTAACTATTATTCAGTATCTTTCATTTCTTTGTCTCTCTGTGTTGCATTATGGATTCATTCTTTAAATCTAATTTCCAGTTTACTAAATCTTTCTTCGGCTATATCAAATCTGCTGAAAAAGCCATTGTTTAAATTTTAATTTCAGTTGTTTTCTTTAATTTTTACAAGTTCTTTTTGATACTTTTTTCCAAATATTATTGATCTTTTTAAAAATCCCTTGCTCTTGGCTTGAAATCTTTATCCTCTCTTCTATTACTTTAAACATACTACATACATGCATATATTTTTATATCCCATGTCTGATAATACCATTATCAGAAGTCATTTTAATTCTGACTCTATTTTTTACTTTTTTCTAGCTCATACTCATGTTGCTTTCTTTATTAATCTATTAAGTGTTTCCTCCTCCCCCTTCTACTTCTTCCTCTCCCCCATTCCTCCTTTCTTTTCTTCACCATTAGCCTATAATCTTTAGAAGTATATTAGTAGGAATTTTTTGAGACTTGGCTTGAAGATGTATTTCTTCAGTGAGGACTTTGTTCACTTTTCCTAAATGCCTGAAAACCATTTTAAACTGAATTGAGAGCTTCAAGGCTTTTTAGGTCACCAGGAGTATATGAATTTAGGCTGCAAACCTACATGAGGCCCAGAGTGTATACCTAAATTCTTAGGGAATATTTTCCTCCTTAACCTAAAACAAAATGTTGAGATAGGCACCCTTTCTCTGACAGTGTATGGGGTTTCCTTTTCAGCATTTCATGATAAGCATATTCTAGGTTTTGTCTCCAATCTTCCTGCATTGGGAGGCTATGAAAACTAAAGCTCAGTGCTCTCAGGGTAAAGCCAATTTGAGTTCTTTTTCCCTTTGTGTGTGTATTTGTTACTTGAACCACACCCACTGATTTTTATAAAAACAATATATTCTATCATTTGGCCTCACATTTTATTAGAACTAAGAAGGGTAGGAGAGTTTTTCAGAGTTTGGTGTCACATCCATGCGTACTAGGTTAGTGTTGTGAAAGTTCTGAGCACTGGGTGGGGGGCAGTGGGAGGGGAATATGCTTCATTCTTTGTGCAGTTTTTCAAACTATTTTCTTTTCAAACTACAAAACCAGAAAGTGTTCATGTGATAGGGCATTAACATAGAGATACACAAAGAAAACGGCAACAATCTGTCTCCCCCACTATTGGCTCCTTAGCAGCCAATATTTACACTTTTGGATGCATGTTTATCCTTAGCTCTGTAAGCTCATACAATTATATGCCAACAGATACACAATACAGATTCTCTTTCTTTCTCTTCATTACCAAATAATGAGATGATACTATAAATATTTCTGCCACTTGCCTTTTCATATAACAGCATATCATATTCCTCCACGTCAATATATGTAGCCTAAGTCGTATGTTATTAATAGAAGCATGTTATTCTGTAGTATGTATATATGTGCTCCAATTTATTCAGCCATTTCTCTATTTATAAACAGTAGTTTTCCTGCCAGAATTTTACCATTGATGGTAGGGAAAGATCAGCAATGAACATTCTAGACACAATTTTATTTGTACTGGTGCTTTTATTTTTGTAGAATAGATCTTGCTGGATCAAAGGCTGTTTGCGATTTGCTTTCCAAAAAAATTATAGCTGTTGTATAAGAGTGTCCTTTCCTCCATATTTTAGCTAACAATATATTTTATCAGTCTTTCTAATAGATGCCAGGCTGATGAGGGGAAATGCATCTCATGTTTGCCTTGTTTACTTCAACCTGAATTTTCAATAAGGTTGAGCATCCTTCCATATGATTAATACCCATTTGCATCAACTCTAAAGTGGAAAACTGCATACACTTTATTCATTTTTCTATCAGATTGCTTGATGTTTACCTATAAATTTCTATGGCTTTTTGTAAGTTAGAAAGAGTAATCTTTGTCTGTCACATATATTTCAAATATTTTTTCCAGCCTATCATTTGTTTTTTGACTTTGCATTTGGTGTATGGACATTTTTATCAGTTTCATTGAGCTGTAATTTACATACAATAAAATTGACCTGTTTTAAGTGTACAATGTGGTAGATTTTGACAAATAGGTACCTGTATGTAACCATCACCACAATGATGATATAGAAGTTTCATTATCCCACATATTTTACCTATGCTTCTTTGTAACCAATCTTTTCCCACCTCTAGCCCTGTGACCACTGATCTGGTTTTCTTGCCTTTTCTGGAATTTCATATAAATGAAATTATGCAGCATGTAGTCATTTGTGCCTGTCTTTTTTCACTGAACATAATACCTTGAGATCCCATGTTGTGTGTATCAGCCGTTCCACTTTTTAAATAGCTGTATGCATATTCCACAGTTTGTTTATCCATTCACCAGTAAATATTTATTTCAGTTGTTGTTTTACCTAATATGAATAAAACTGGTAAAAAAGTTTAAATACAAGTCTCCGTAAACATATTTTTCTTTTTCTTGGGTATATATCTCGGTATGGGATTGATGGGTCATAGAGTAGGTACAAAAAAAACTGGCAAATTATTTTTCAAAATAATCATATCATTTTATATTCCAAATAGGGATGATGAAGAGCTTTAGCTGCTCAACCTCCTCCCCAACACTTGGTATCATCAGTCTTTTTATTTTTAGTTATTCTGTTGGGTGTGCAATGGCATCTCATTGTGGTTTGGGTTTGCATTTCCCTAAAGACTAAAGATGTTGGGCATTCTTATGTGTTCTTTGGTGATGTGTCTGTGCAAATCTTTTGCCTTTCTACCCCTTTTTTTGTTCTGTTCCCTGTTGAGCTGTAAGAGATCTTTATTCTGGATGCAAGATCTTTATCAGATATATATTTTGCAAATTTTTTTTGCTACTTTGTGGCTTGCCTTTTCATTTTCTTAACAGTGTCTTTTGAAGAGCAAAAGTTTTTTAATTTCATAAAAGCCATCTTAGCTAATTCTTACTTATGTTTCATGTTTTTGGGTCTTCTCTAAGTAACCTTTGTATAGCCAAAGGTCACAAAGATGTTTTTCCCATATTTTATTCTAGAAATTTTATTGTGTCAGTTTTTGCATTTAGATTTATGGTACATTTGAGTTAATTGTTAAATGAAAGAAGTTATAATACAATACATTACATCTGTTAGCATCCTACATTTTTCTGTTTAAAGCTACACTTTTGGTATATATACATATACATGAAAAAGTTTAGAATATATATGTACCAAAAATATTTTGATTTTTTTCACTTAAAAGATTATCAACAGCAGAAATGTAGTACGTTTTCTCTTTGTTTAAAAGATACCTTTAAAAATCCACTTCTACAAATTAAATTAAATTTTAAAAGACTCCTTGGGATACATTAAAAACTTGCCAATGACTCTTTGACTTTACTTATGAAATTATTCAGTCTACAGGCGTATTTTATAAAAGGACAAACACTATTGTCTAAGCCCCTAATTTAAAAAATCCCAGGTGTTTCAGGTGAGGTCTGCTACATGCTTAGAAGACTTACATAACTATTGTGACTTCTTAAATATTTGTATTCTATAGAATCAGTGAGAGTTCTCAGAAAATATAATTATATAAAATATAATTAACAGAGTAGCATACAGTATTTTAATATAAGTATACATTAATAAATATAAAAAGTAAATTATTTGTTTCTAAAAAATTTCTGGAACAAAGAGTGTGGCTAAATAAAATTCTATTTGAAAGCATTTTAGGGCTTAGCATGGTGGCTCATGCCTGTAATCTCAACACTTTCAGAGGCCAAGGCAGGAGGATCACTTGAGCCCAATAGTTCCAGACCAGACTGAGCAATATAGTAAGACCTCATCTCTACCGAAAATAAAAAAGTTAGCCAGGTTTGGTGGCAAGTGTCTGTAGTCCCAGCTACTCAGGAGGCTGAGGTGGGAGGATCACTCGAGCATGGGAGGCTGAGGCTGCAGTGGGCCGTGATCATGCCACTGCACTCATGGCATGGGTGACAGAGTGAGACCCTGTTTCAAAAAAAAACAAAAAACAAGATGTATTTTAGCAAAGGTGACTATTTTTGAGATTAATTTTAGGATCCTTAAGTAAAATTTTCATAATTTTGGGGTAATTACTCCATTCCTTGGGGCAGTGATAGAATGTATAAGTAAGTATACATTCTTATTTTTCTGAAATCCTTGTATCAAGAATAACCTGTAATTTTACATAATTTTATTTTTCACTTGGAGATGCCATATTTAATCTATGGACTTAAAGAACTCTGCAGATTTGAATACTTTACTAAGTTCAGATTCACTTCTCTGCTTAAAATCCTTCAGTGATTTTCCTTTTCTTTAGGACAAGTCCACATTCCTTAATAAGGCCCTCAGGATGTGGGGTGCTGTCCCCTGCCCACTCTTGCAGCTGCCTCTCTCCACTCTGTCTGCCTGTGCCCCAGCCACTCTGCCCACCTCTTCTTCCTTGAACAAGCTGCTTCCCACTCAAAGTCTTCACTCAGCTATTTCTTCTCCTTGGAATAATGCCCTTCCCCCTTGTTGCCTGGCAAATTTCAGGTCTCTGCTTAAATGTTACTTCCTCGGGGAAGAAACACTCTCCTTGAAGTTATTTGTGTTCTTTTCCTTCACGGTACTTAAATAATTGTTTGTGTAAGTATGGGTTTAATCCAATCTCCCTACAAGCTACCAATGCCTGGGCACAGGATATTTGTAACTCTATCTCATGATTGTATTACTTCTACCTAGCATGGTGCCTGGCACATTGGAGACACTCAAAAATTACTTATTAGATGAATGGATGAATGAATGAAAAATTATGTGGTCTGTAAAACTCATGACCTCAAAATGGCATTGAAGTCAAGGATATAATCCTTCATATAAAAATGTGAATTTTCCTATCACTGGATCTCTAGATAATTATTTTCTGGAGAGAACATGTTAACCTCTAATTACTTGAGTACGTTGAGAGAGTCATTGGCCATCAGCCATCAACCTGGAGAGAGACCGTGGGCAGTAAGGTGATGGAGCCTGCTGTGACCATGTTCTGTTGAAAGCTTTTATCAACAACTGAGATGATGATGTTGGTGCAGTGTTAATCAGACTGATAGGATGCTGGAGGGATCATTCAAGTATAATGCGCCCTCATTAGGATCCAAAAGGATCTCACTCAACAGGTTTCAATGGGGGAGCAAATAACAATACGCAAGGTTAATAAAGGAAAATTCCAAGTGGGCACTGGACTTAGGTCCCCCAAATCTAATTAAACAAATGCAGAATGAGTGGTCTTAAGAGCAAAACATGTGAAAAGCATGGAGATTTTTATTGACTGGATGAGTCAATAGCATGGCATGCCTGTCAGAGACATTGATTAGACGTTAGCTTCCTATAATGGAAGCACCGTGTCAACAGCCAATGAAGTCATGGAGCTTCCCTAGTCAGACCACCCCTGCTGTGCCATGCCCAGTTCCGGGAGGCAGATGTGGAGGGAGACACTGACAGTTGCACTGCTGTGAGCATTTCCAAAGATGTCAAATGAGAAGCAGTTGAAGGGCTGAGGATTCCTAGTTAATGAGGAGTCAAATTTGGGAGAAAGTAATGAGACTGTCAAGCAAAAGCCAGGACCATTTGATTTGTTCTCCACAGGTCTAAAGGGTAGACCCAGGGTACACAGGAAAATTCCAGGGAAGTGGATCTTAGTTGAATTTGAGGAGCTGTCCAGCAGGGGAGTGGGCTGTGCAGAGTTCCCCTTTACTAAAGCAAATTACATTTAGGCAGGAAACGAAGAAAAGAGCTTTCAGAAGCTCTCTGCTAGTTTATAGAGGTTCTATGAGAGTAGTAGGAGCCTTTCTTCCTCTGTGTAGGTCCAGAATCTCATGTAGTTTGGACCTCAGCATGTTTGGAGGGCCAAACCAAAGGTAAACAGCCAGTTAAAACAATTATTTTTAAAGATCTCATTTACTGTGTCTAGAATTCCATGATCTATCCTAACACTCAAAGGGATAATCTTATTCCTCTTCACTTTTGCCACAGACGCAACAGAATGGAGGCTGGAAGACAACTTGTTGTGGAGGGAATTCATGCACTGGGTAAAAATTGATAGGCTTCTGCCAAGGTCTGACATCACCGAGTTTCTGTGATTCTAGTAGAAGCCAGAAGTATGTTCTCTGTAATTAGAGGGAATTAGACAAACTATCAGGAAATGCCATACAGAGCCTTCAGAAGAAAAGAAATACAAAGGAAAATCAGACTGACGATTATGTTCTGTAAAGCTGCTTCTCACAATTGTGGCAGCCACTACATATACACAGTCTCCCAACCCAGGAGCACTATATGCCCATAGCCACAGAGGAGAGATTATGAATGAGCCAGAGCAAATTCTTCCTCCTAGAGGGAAAAACAGGAAGTGTATCTCTTCCTGCTCATATTCTCATTCTACAGTTCTACTCGCATCTACATGATTAAGCATATTGTTTATGAAGAAGCCAATGAAAAGAACCTGAAAAAAGATACATGGTGAATTATAAAGTATTATTCCGAAGAATAATGGTTCTCTGTCTCTTTCCTGGTTTGCACTAAAACCTTACATTCAGGAAGACAAGCACACTTAGATAAGATTATCCATCCTCTTCGTTGCCAGAGGTTAAAGTGCAAATGTCCTCATGAGAAGTTTAGTCCAAAGACACATTTGAGGGGATCCATCACTAAAAGAAGCAGTGTTCATGATAGCAAGGAGTTAACTCTCTGTTATGAAGTAATAAGCTCTTTGATTAAAAGACTGCATTTTCCAAAAAAGATTACACTTTGCACTAGAATTTGGTATTGCTTTATAAGCATATGGCCTTAGCAATTGAAAAACTGACTTGAATTTTAAAACATACCGATTTTAAATATTGAAGTTGGGCTTGACATTTTTAAGCTACATGACTGTGGGCAAATGATGTAACCTCTCTATGTCTAAATTCCTTCATCTGTAAGATGAGGATAATAATGCCAATGCCTACCTTGCATGGTTCTTATGAGAATGAAGTAAGAAAATGTATGAAAGCCCCCAGCATGGCAAAAAGCAAGCACTAAATTAATGGGAGCCACTGAGAGAGTTGAGGCCTAGTCATTTTCAACCTGTAGGATATAGAGCTGTGTCTGCTTGGGGCGGTAGTTGGGGTACAGCTTAAATAGCATTTGCTTTTGGGAGCTAGAATGAGATCTCCAATACTTTCAGATGATCCTGGGGGAAAGGATGTATTAGTTCCATTCACTTCTTTGATCAATATCTTAGTAATATAAAGGAAGTAGCATTCGTTTTTGAAAATTACTTGAATTAGGAGTTTTCTAGTTAGATTTCATTTCAATAAGGAATTATTGTTGAATATAAATTAGATTTGCCAAATGCTTAAGCTGCCCTGGAATGAACTTTAGTACCAGCCTGCTGTCCTGGACTAAATGATATGACCATACTGTAGGGCCAATGTATACTATTTAATGTCTTCATCTACTTAATTATCAGTTGCCCCCTGGTTTCCTTAAAGAGCTAATGATGCCCAACTATTTCTAGTGAGAGCACTTTGCTACTGAGAGAGTCAAACACCAAGGTGATTCTCTGAACACATTATCTGTGTGTGCTAGGTACAACAGCTAGGAAGAGGTAAGATGATGGTGAGTTACTTAAAGCTCTTAAGAAATGACCCTAGTAGAATATCCATAGGGGTTAAGAGATGAAATTTATTTCTTGGCTTAGCATTTTGGAAGAAATCACTTGGCATTTGTCATTGGCAAGATAAAAAGAAGCTCTGATTTCTGTTCTCCAGAAGATGTACTTGGCTTCTTCCTTTCTCTTAATTTACCCCTATGGCTCTCATTTTGCCTCAGAATGTGAAAGAATAGGCTTACTACTTTGCATTTAGTTAATTTGGTGAGTTCACTGTACTCTCATCTCTGGGCTATTAAATAGTTCAAAAATAAATATCGCATCACTTGTGGAATATGTAGCATGGATCTCATTTGAGCTGTGTTTTAAAACAAATGGTAATTATTTAACATTTACATCATACTTGGAAAGTATTTCAGAATAGAACTTTTTAATAATAAGTAGTCAAACACATAACTGGGATCAATGGGCAAGAGAAAAATAAAATTTTAATGTTCCATTGAAAGGTGTAGGCTCAGGAAGAGAGAAAAATACTTATGTGTATTTTGTATACTCATGTGTATTTGGGACAAACACAGGTTGTGGACGACAGGATTGAAAGTCAGATTAACTGGATCAAAATTCAGGCTGCGTACTGAGCCAGTCTAAGATTTCACCGAAATCTGGGAGCTGCTCCCACTCCCTGGACTTTTGTGCAAAGACTGGAGGAAGCTGTGAACAGCCTGGGCTAGGAGAACATTCCCCCTCTGGGAGGAGAGGCTCGCATGAGCTCATGGGGCTTTCCACCGCAGACCCAGCCTTGGCAGCCACAAAGTGTCCAGCAGTGAAACCTGGCCCTTCAGTTCTCAAGGGCCCTTTGGAACATATTTGACTCTAAGCAGAGGTCACTATTCCAAGAGTGACTCATGTCTTGGGGTTAAGTGGAGATGATGGGTGGGATCCATGAACAGATCCAGCTCTTCCCAATGTGGGGGGCACCAGAGTGCATAGCTTGGGAGGGTTGGTCATCCGAAGAGGCACTGCGTGGGTGCATCCCGGGCAAAAAGGATGAGAAGGTGATCCACTGGCTTCCATACCCTGGGAAAGGTGTCAGACCGTGAGGTCACATCAAAAGGTATGAGTGTGGGTACCTCCTTCCCTCCCCCGACGGTGGGGGCCTCATCTCTCGGCCATATCACCTCTGTGCCTTGCACACTTCCTGGCTCAGACTCAGCCCTGTCCACGTTCTCTTCCACCATCTGATCTGCCCCCATCTCCCAAAGACTACTTGTGGGGACTAGGGAGGTTTAGGGGTGTAGTCAAGCCAGATGCACCGAGGTTGCTGCGGTGGGAAGAGGGCGCTGGGAGGGAGGAGGACCTGGGGCGCAGCCGTGGTGGGTGCGCCCTGCCAAGAAGGGCGGGGGCGACGGGGCGCGCACGCGGAGGAGGAGGAGGAGGAGGGAGACGGGAGGGCGTGTGAGCGAGTGAGACAAGAAAAGGGAGCGCGCCCGCCGCCGCCGCCGCCGCCGCCCTCCTCTGGAGAGAGAGGCTGGAGTGAGGCTGTGCGAAGCGCCGCATTTCAATGAGGACGGGCCGAGGCACATCCCTGCACTAGTGGCCGCAACCGAGGCGCCGCGCTCCAGCAGCTGCTGCCGCCCAGCCCGGCCCCGCCGCCGCCCCCCAGCCCTGCAGCCCCGCAGCCCCGGCCGCGCCCAGCCCGGCGAGGACAGCACCAGGAGGCGGCCCCCAGCGCGGCCACAAAGACCCCCGGCGGCGTCTCTCCGCGGACCGGTGCGTGGTTTGCCTTCCCTGGGGACGGGAGCTGCGGGGAGGGCGGCCGGGGGACTCCGCAGAGCCCGCTCCGCCCGCAGCCGCGGGGCGCCGAGGGCAGGGCGGGCGCTCAGCTTGGCCCCGCCGCCCCGCCCGCAGTTCCTCGAAAGGCGGCCGCCCTGCCCTGGCCAGCCTGGCCCGACCCGGGGGCGTTGCGTGCGGGCGGCCCCGGGGCTGCTGGCACCTGCCTCTTTTGTTTGGTGCCATGGGGCTTTAAACCTGGAGTCAGGCGAGCGGGCCCTCCCAGGCTTTTCGCGTTGTTAGTGGAGATGGAGAGCCAGGGCGGAGGAGCTGGGAGAGGTGCTTGTCATTGTCAGAACTGGCTGCGGAGCGGGAACCAAGGAAGGAGTGGCCGGGCCCGGCCTCTTATTGTGTGTGTGCTTTTCCGTGTGCCCGGGCCAGTGATGTGTGCTTGTGGATGGGGTCGATTCGTGCGTGGTGGTGGCTGCAGCGTGGGTGTTGCAAGTACGTTTGCAGGGTCTCAAGTTCCTTCAGGGACAGCGAGGCTGCCTCATGTTCAAATTAGTACCTGCAGTGCTAAAAGCTTGCGGAGAGGAAATGGCATTTTTTCCTCCTAGTGGGAGCGCACGCACAGCCCCGCAATGCCCCACAAAAGAGGCTGCTTTTGAAAACCAGGTTTGCGCGGAATTGCTCCTGGATTTGGCAAGGAGATGCTTGGTCGGTGAGAGAGAAGATGAAAGGTTTCATTCAAACCGGCTCCCTCTCTGCTGCACCTGTGAGTGTGTCCAGGCACGGTGCACACACGTTCAGCGACCACACTGCAGGCTGTTCCGTGAATACATTTTATGACTGTTCCTAAATATATTGCCTTTCAGTGGGAAAGGAAAGTAGGACAGCGTTTTAAGTATGAAATGTCACATGGATGCAGGTCAGAAGGGATTTTTTAAGAGAGGTCATATAGAGGAAAATTATAAAAGATATGCACACACCCTGTGATGTCTACGTCCGTGGTGGTGCACGGGCCTGGAAGGTATGTGTGCGTTTTATTTCATGCCAGTCCACCTGAATCCTAATCCCACGGTTAAAATATGCCTTGGGACTTCCAGGTCCAGCATCTATTTAGATGTGGTAGCATTTATGCCATTTTTTTCTTGGTATATATGTGTGTAAATTTCTGAAACAAGAACCATGTGCTCATCTAGAGAAGGATGAACATAGATTCCTCAAAATGGTGAGAAATCCCACCGAGAACAATCAGGGATGTTGGTTTCTTGAAATGGCAGGATTTATAGGAAAAGCTCTGATGAGAGCCAGTGGCCCTTCTTACCTCCAGTGTCTGTGGTCGCTGTGGCTGAGGTGCTGTGGTTACCATCCTGGTGCCACTGCACATGTGCACTCAGGCCCTTGGCCACCTATGGTCTCTGAACATTGAGCTGTGTGTTCTCGCAGCCTTCCTGTGCAGAAAGTGTAAACCTGTGGAAGGCCAGTGGATCTTCAGAAGCTCATGCATGGTTCAAATGTATGACTAAGCCAAGGTGAGGGAAAGAACACCTATTTTGTTGCCACGAATAATTACCAGCACACTAGGGTGTGGAGTGTGCTCCATTTAGAGGTAGCTGTAGCCTTGAAAATGATTTCACTCTGAGTATGGTTTCTTTTGTCGACACCATTGCCCACTTTTGGACAGATTCAGGGAAGGGAAGTAAAAGGTGTAGCCCTGCCCTGGATGAACCTGTGATCCAGTTTGAGGAAATATGCAAATAAAATGAAACAAAGTAAACCTTTTTTCTATTTTAAATTGTTCTTTTCTTCTTTTTTCATCTGGTGTGGGAATTCTTGGTCCTAAAAGCCCGTTCCCCCAGGGAATTCTAACTATTGCCAAATTATTTGGCCTTTGCCAATTGTCAGTCACTGAGAATTCGATGTGCACTCTTTCTGGTAACAGAACTGTGCCATCCTTCCCTATGGCCCTGCTTGTTTTCTTTTAGTTTATATCAATTTGGAAGGAAATCCCCAAACTCCTAGTGTTGGGAGAATGATCACTGCCTTTAAGAATAAAACACAAACTTCAAAAGTGAGTTTGGCCTTTATAATTTACAAAATGTTGAAGAACTTAGTGAGTTGGTGTGAGTACTGGGAGTGTCTTCCACTCCACCCCCAAGACACACTCCCTTTTAGAAGACAAGAGAGCTCACTTTAAAACCATATAAATTAAAAAGTAAGAGCAGTTACCAATATCCTGGACAAAAATTGGTTCTGTTTAACAACTAATGCCTACAGGACTGGATATCAAGGGATCATTGTTTTAAAGTTATCTAACATCAAAATCAATGAAACCAGTTCAGAGCTGCCTATATATAACTGTTTTTGAAAAATGCAAATTCTGACTACTATGAGTTATTAAGAGGCAAGAAATAGTTTTCATATTTGGAGGGAAAAAAGTACACTGAACTCATTAACACTCCAGGTTTAAATCACACTTCATTTCTCCCTCCCCAGACCTTCAGTGGGGTCAGCAATAGACCCATAAGCAGGTAGATAGAATCACCAACATCAGAGGCCTGCTGACCACTGCTTCCTCTGTGTGCAGACGAGGTCTGGATCAGTTATGTGGCCTGTCCAAGGTCACTGAGCTAGTTAGGAGTGAGGGCTTACAAAATCCTGCTTCTCATGCTGAAGAGGAACCAGTTTCAAAGGAGCAAGGGATGGAAAACACCAGCTTTGGAGTTACAGTAAATCTGGGTTCAAATCTCAACCCCTCAGTTATAATTTTGGGACCCTGGATAAATTCCATATTCACCTGAATATTAATAATATTACCTACCTTGTTGGATTAATATGAGGTTTAGAAGAGAATTTTTAGCATATTATACAACTGGTTGATGAGTAATAGTGTCAGGTACCTCCTAGACCTTCAGTAAATATTGCTTTCTTTCACTTCATTTCTGGAGTACCAAATCTCTAGTCATGCTTTCAGGTGTGAAATTTTAGCCACTCTGAATGGATCAGAGGTCAGTTTACTGAGGGCCAAAGAAAGGTTGGGGAGACAGTGGTGCATTGGTGAGTGTTCACTGACCTTCAGAAAGGTGATGTCCATCTAATATGGTGGGACTTGGGGAGTGCTTGTAAGGTTCTTGCTCCAAATTTTCCATTTTCCTGATATTCTATTTCAACATGCCTGAAATTTTGTCATTAAAGTGTCTTTCCTTTGAATGCTTTGGTCTTTCCACTTTCTAGATTGTCTTGTTAAACCACAGATTCCCCTGCAAGGCTCCACAAACCTTTATCAACCAACCCCTCAGCAAGGATGAACTGGTCCTCCAGTCAGCTTGCTGTGGGGACCAGGGGGTACAGATGTACCTTTCAAAAGGTCATGAGATGGAGATCAGGAAGAAAGCAGGGGCCTCTCTTGCCAGAAAGGAAAGATTCTATTCCTGCTAGCTCTTTATGTGTCAGGGCCAGGAACACAAAAACAGATTTTATTAATAAAAAAATTAGTACTTATCACATGTCAGACACTATGATAAGAACTTCATGTGCATGAATTTATTTAATAGTTAATACTGACTGTGAGGTAGGTACTGTTCTCATTCCCATTTTGTGGTTGAGGAAATCAAGGCTTAAAGATGCTGAGCAAGTAGATTTTTCAAGCTTACACAGCTAGCATGGGGTCAAGTGTAAATCGACATCTTTAAGCCTCAATTTCTTCAATCACAAAGATAGTCTTAATGAAAGGAAGAACCAAGAAATGTACTTCCAAACATTTTTTCCTTTCTTGTTGTTCCTCTTCCTTCTCCTCCTTCTCTTCCTTTTTCTTCTTTTTTTAAACTCAACTTTTCTGAAGTACTAAATATAAGTAAATGAAGTATAGTGAATTTGCTTTTAAAAATATTGAATGTGTGAATATGTTGGAAAATCTTCTTTAAGTTGGTCCAACCTACAGATTGATTTAATTTGCTCTCCATCTGGCCATGGGGCACACAAACATTATGTAAAACTTTTACAATCTGACTGTTATGCTGCCTGCCCTCTCTTTCTGTCCCAGCCCACCATAGCTACTTCTCTTTCACTGTATGATGATATGAGAGCTTATTTTCTTCCTGCTACCAGGATTAGCCCTCTGCCCTGCAAGGAGCAGTGGGCTTTGGAGTCAGGGAAACCTGGAACAGAGTTGCTGGTACAAGCATTTCTCAACTGTATTACTTGGAGCAATTTAGGGGAAATTTTTCTGTGCCTCAGTTTCTTCTTTTGTAAGGAAGGACAATACTTTGGAAAGTTGTTGTGTCTATTGGGAATAATATCTGTTTGAAGCCTGATGAACCATGGGCAACCTAGGAGCTGCTTCTAACAAATTTGTGGCTGATTAATAAGCTGTTTCCACTGGGATCGGCCTCTTCTGCTGACAGCGTGCAGAGGAGCCTGTGTTTATTTTGTGGGAATTCACATCCCTTTCTCTTTCTGTCCCACTTGATAACTCATATTAAATGTGTCATCAGTTAAAGCAATATTTCCACCCAGCTGTTCTGAAGCAGACCCTTTGAAATCATGATCTCAAAATAACATCATCCCCAAACTTTGGGAGGCCAAAGGGGTTGGGGGGCGGGGGAGGATCACTTGAGGCCAGGGATTCAAGACCAGCCAGGACAATAAAACAAGACCCTCATCACTACTACTAAAAACAAGCAAATGAACAAAAAATGAAGGAAATTAACCAGGCGTGGTGCAGGCACCTGTAACCTGTAGTAGTCCCGGATACTCTGGGAGATTGATGCAGGAGGATCATTTGAGCCCAGGAGTGTGAGGCTTCAGTGAGTACTTCAGTGAGTGCCATCTCACTGCAGCCCGGTGACAGAGCAGGACCCTGTCCCTAACATAAAAAAAACAAAAACAAAAAAATATATATATATATATAACCTACATCAATATGTGTGTCTGCTTTTGTTTCTGGGGCTCGTAGGTCCTACTTGAAGTCCATCATGTCCTTCGGCAGAGACATGGAGCTGGAGCACTTCGACGAGCGGGATAAGGCGCAGAGATACAGCCGAGGGTCGCGGGTGAACGGCCTGCCGAGCCCGACGCACAGCGCCCACTGCAGCTTCTACCGCACCCGCACGCTGCAGACGCTCAGCTCCGAGAAGAAGGCCAAGAAAGTTCGTTTCTATCGAAACGGAGATCGATACTTCAAAGGGATTGTGTATGCCATCTCCCCAGACCGGTTCCGATCTTTTGAGGCCCTGCTGGCTGATTTGACCCGAACTCTGTCGGATAACGTGAATTTGCCCCAGGGAGTGAGAACAATCTACACCATTGATGGGCTCAAGAAGATTTCCAGCCTGGACCAACTGGTGGAAGGTGAGCGCTGTGAGATAACCCCCACGTGACCCTACAGGTTCCAGGCTCAGATTTCCAGTGTTGTAGCCGATTCGCATTTGCCCTCTGACAGTTGACATTCAGCCTTATGGCTGTGATCCTTATAGTTTCAGACATACGAATGTGCTATTGTGTAGAGTAAAAAGGAAAAAAAATTAATGGTATTGTCAGGTAGCTTATAATAATGTGCTAAGGGAAAAAGTCCCTAATTCTACAGCATTCTCTATTTTCTTTCTCATACCCATGCTGCATTAATTTTAAAAGTCCATTTTATCTCTTCAATCTCATAGTTTATATTCGTTTCTAAATGCAAATTAAACTTTTGCTATCACGATATCCGAAAGTACTTGAATTGAAAATGACAAATGGATCATGAAATTTTAGAGTTGAAAGGAACCTTAGATAGCTATCAAACCCATTAATTTTATCTTTGGAGTCTAAGGACCAGAAAATTCAAATGACATGTCGGTGGTTACGTGGTAAGATAGTGATGACCCTGGACCAAAACAGGTTTTCTGACAGCTCGTTCCACTGCGATGCTTCCTTTTGAGTTTAAAGGATTATTGTCTTTCTCTGATTTTTGAGGATATGCAGGGACTAATCTGTTCAGTTTAATTTTTTAAGTCCAATTTAGGTTAATAGTCATTATCTGTTTTAGACATTTAATGTGGAAATAGGACTGTTTGCGTCCACGGATGCAGCCTGGTATCTTATGCAAGCAGAGAAGGTCACCGACTCTGGGCTACACTTGCCTCAGGACTGACCCTGTTTGAACAGGGCATAAAGCCTGTCATTGCCTTAGAAATCATCGCCAATTAAAATGAGTTGGAGAAAAAAGACTGGGATTAAATGTATACCAAGGTGCAAAAAAAGCTAGCAGATCCTTTTTGGAGGGTTGATTTTTCTGAAATTGAGATCTCAAGGCCCTGATGATGAAGAAGTAGATGGCACAAAAGAATCTGGGAAAGGGAGGTTGGATGGAGTGTTGGAAGAGCTTGATTTCACCTTGAGTTCATTTTTACTCCAGAACTATTTGCTCAGGCCGTGTAACTCAACTGGGTCCAGGAGGGATGCCATATAATCCCTCCCTCTCTTGTGCAGGTAGCAGGAAGCACCCGTTGCAGCCCCGTTGGAGTTGGGGGCTGCTCTCCCCTGACCGCACACTGACAGAGCCCTCTTGTCCTGCTTTGTAACCAGTGTATGTATGTGATTCAAGGCTGGGGACTTCTCCCTTTTTGCTTCCCTTCATCCCTTGGCAGAAATGCCAGCCTGATCACAGTGTGACTGGCCTTGAGAGCGTGCAGAGGAGCCTGTGTTTATTTTGTGGGAATTCACATCCCTTTTCGGTGACTTGACATGCTGCCAACATGCCTGTGGACTTGGCCTTTTTCCTTCTATTCAGAGGGTGGAACTTCCAGTAAATTAAAGGAGAAGAATTAACATGAAATTTTACTGTTTCAGCTTTAATTTCTGTGCCCTGTCCTTTGCATGACCTTTGGAAATCCAAGGTTAAATGAAACATTTGGTGGTATAGTCTAGGGGATCTGGATAAAAGTTATACGCAAAGTCAGGTGCATGACCAGTCAACAAGCCGTCCCTCTGAGGGCCGGTAGTACTGTAGGGAAAAATATGGCAAGATCTCAAAGCACATCCTAAGACAGCCATGGGTTGACACCTCACTCTGTTCCAGAGTCACTTGTGTAGCATCTATGGGGGTTGGGGTACTTCAATCAGTTTCCCACCCAGAAATGATCTTTACTTAGAAGTGGCCGAAGATACTCCAATGACTCCCATCCACCAAGGAGAGGGTCTGGGAGGTGGTAGATGACAGTACTCCCTTCACATCTAGGGACCAGCAAAATTATGGCATGCTTGTCACCATCTTCTTTGTCTTTTACTGCAAAATAATGCTTTCTCTGAGGGACTGATGTCTTGACTGAAGGTAATAATGATAGCTCTCAGTTATTGAGCATGTGCCAGGCACTGGCCAAATCCCTGCATATATGAATACATTTAATTCTCACAATGATCCTAGGAGGTGGGAACTGTTATCCTTATATTAAGGTGAGAAAAGGAAGGTACAGTGTGGTTAAATGATCTGCTCAAACTCACAAAGAAAGAAATGGTAGAGTTAGGATTTGAACCCAGGAAGGCTAGTGCCAAAGCTTGAGCTCATAACTACCTCTAAGATGCTGTGTGCTATGAATTCAACTACTATATTGAGTTTTTCCCCTCAATCAATGTGAAGTAACTGCCGACTGAATATTCTGATGTTTAAAAATGACTTTTTTGGGAAAAAAAAATTATCTGATTGAATGAATGGTAACTTTGGTACAGTGTGTGAGTTCACCATGTTGGCTGCATTTATTTTTTGAATTTTCATTTAAACAGATTTTTTTTCTAATTCATAACACTGACAATTAGCATGCAGCTGCACTTAGTGTTTAAATAGCTGGAAATTCATTTAGATTCGCCTCTTTGTCAATTACATTTTTTGCTTAGTCTGTTAAAATGCAAACCGTTGGTTCATATTCATCATTAGGCTCATATCTCTGACTTTACATACTAATTTTATGTAAACGTCAGTGCATGTTATTAGCTTTTCATTTCCCCTTCCAATATGATGATGTTTGAGTTTTAAATTAAATCCTTTTAGTGGGTGCAGTGGCAAGTGTATTGGACTTATAGTTATTTTCTTGCTCTTTCTCACTTGCTCTCAGACTAAAAATTCTGAATTACAATATTTGTGAATTTCTTTATCTATGACAGTCTTGTGGTCACTGTCACTGTTTTGTTTTTATCTATGGATTATTATGCCTAAGTGTGGTTTAAGCATGTTGGTAGAGCTAGCTGTATGTATTTAGCTGAGCCAAAATCATATAGTCAGTGTGAATGTGTGTGTCTATGATTGTATGTGTGTCACCTATGCACATATGTATGTATATACACACATATTCACACACATACACTTAAGAGCATTCCAAAGGTGACACTCTTGTTTGCTTTCAAAATGGCCTTAATATGTTTTTTTAAAAAAATCATGATGCTTAATAAGGAAAGTTGAATTGCAGGCCTATTTCCGCAAGTGATTCATCTTGAGACTTGGCCTCATTTCCCCCAATTTTGCACCATCTATATTCTACTGTAGGTAGGTAAATGTTGTGATGATAAATAAAGGTGTCACATTTAAAGCCTTTGAACTCTTAGGAGAAAGATGTAATGTAAACCTGGAGCATTGATGGATTGACTGATTTGTCCTTCTTTTAACATCTTATGAAAATGTACATGTGAGAGGGCCAGAACATTTTCTTTAAACATTAAGATAAAAACTCTGTAGATATGTAATCTTCTGGATACAAGTAAGTGAATTTGTTCATCAGATCTGCGCTATTAGAGATGAGTCCCTCTTCTTCTTTGGTTCTCATGTATGCCTTGGCTTTTCACTAACCCTGTATGGACGTTGCCTGACTCTGGAGCTGCAGTTTGCATAAGGGCTTTTTCCAAGTTTCTATCATAATCCCCCTCTCAGGATTAAACCCATGCTTCACCCCACAGTTAGGGAATCTCTTTCCTACCACAGCCTCTGGGTTACCCATCTTTTCCTATTCCCTAATAGAGCATCCTCTACTTTATTTCCCTATTTCACTGGCTTTCTCTATGCCTCTCCTTGCTATAATGAATTTTTTAAAATTAATTTTTGAATAGATATAAAATTTGCTCTTCCTAAAATTCCTCAGAGGGGACCACTTTACTAGTTTCTTTTTCTTTTCTTTTTTCTTTCTTTAAAAACAAAAGCAAAAACAAAAAACAGGGTTTTGCCATGTTTCCCAGGCTGGTCTCAAACTCCTGGGCTCAAGCCATCCACCCACCTCAGCCTCCCAAAATGCTGGGATTTCAGGCGTGAGGCACTGTGCCCAGCCTACTAGTTTCTTGAGGGTCCTCTCAGAGATACCAGTGCATGTGAAGGACACATATACAGCAATGCCCCCTTATCCTGGAAGGAAATACGTTCTATGACACCCAGTGGTTGCCTGAAACTGCAAATAGTACTGAACCCTGTGTATACTGTGCTTTTTTTCCTGTGAATACATACCTATGATAAAGGTATGTATATGATGCAAGGTATATGATAAAGTTTAATTTATAAATTAGGCATGGCAAGAAATTAACAACAATAACAAATACAATGGAACAATTATAACAATATACTATAATAAAAGTTATGTGAATGTGGCGTCTCTCTCAAAACATCCTTTTGTACTGTACTTGCCCTTCTTGTGATAGAGATGGAAGAAGCAAGATGGCGTGAGAGTTCATCACACTACTCAGAACTGCATGCAGTTTAAAACTCCTGAATTGTCTCTTTCTGGATTTTTTCATGTAATATTTTTGGACCTCAGTTGACTGCAGGTAACTGAAACCATGGATAAAGTGGGGCAGTACTGTAATTTGCCCAGAAGGTAACTTTTTATGCCAACAGTTCTGCACCTTGCTTTGTGTACTTAACAATATATCCTGAAGACCTTTCCATACTGGTACATCCAAAACTACTGTGTTCTTTTACTGACTTCATAGTACTCCTTTATACAAAGTTACCATCATTAATTTAACCAGTCTTTTATCAATATGCTTTTAGGTTGTGTTCAATTATTTGTTATTACAGACAGTTGTGTGATGACTATCCTTGGATAGATGTTTTCCAGTCATGTAGGAGAATATCTTTAGGATAAATTCCTAGAAGTAATATTGTTGGGTAGAGAGGTACAAGCATTAAAGTTTTAAGCACTATTTGCAAAATTCCCCTTCATAAAAGTGGATTCAGTTTACACTCCAACCACTTATGTATGAAAGTGGCCGTTTCTCTATCCTCAACAAGATGTTTTGAAATCAGATGTTTCCCATTAACTAACCCATTAAGAAAAGAAAACTGTATGTCTTCTCATACAGTTTTTCATATAATTTTCACATAATTTTCATCTTTTCATGTGTTTAAAGGGCATTTGTATTTCATTTTCTGTGCATTGCCTCTCCATCATTTATGATCATTTTCCTATCAGGTTAGGGTTTTTATTAACTTGTAGAATTTTTTTTCTTTTAAATATATTAACTCTTTGTAATAATGATTGAGAGGGCAGTCATGTGTCATTTAATAGTGTGGATATGTTCTGAGAAATGTGTTGTTAGGCAATTTTGCCATTGTGGGAACATCATAGAGTGTACTTACACAAACATAGATGGTGTAGCCTCCTCCACACCTAGGCTATATGGTATAGCCTATTGTTCCTAGGCTACAAACCTGTACAGCTTGTTACTGTACTAAATACTGTAGACAATTATAACACAATGGTATTTGTGTATCTAAACATCTCTAGACATAGAAAAGGTACAATAAAAATATGGTGTTATAATCTTATAACCAAATATTGTGGCACATGACTCTATTTTTTCCAGATTTCTCTTTAGTGACTTCATTTATTGTGTTTTTTGCCGTGTAGATGTACAAAACAATTATATAATCAAATGTGTTATTCTTTATTTATAGCTTGATTTTCATGCCTCTTGGGTCCTTTGTACACTGAGATCATAAAGCCATTTTTCCTCATTTTCTTGTGGTATGTTTATGTTTTCACTTAAAAAATATTTTAATGGAAGTCATATTGTTATAATATGTGAGACAGGGATTCAGTTTAACCTTTTCTTCCCCCAGGCTATTTGCTTCATTTCTTTAACATTATATTTTCAGATTAATTTGGACTTATACAAGTATCACAGAGATAGGAAGTTCCTGTTTACCCTTCACCCATCTTCCTGTAATGGAACAGCACACACAATCATGGTGCAATGAACAAAACTAAGAAGTTAACTTTGGTACAATACAGTAGTTGAACTACAGGCCTCATTTGGCTTTCCTTCGTTTCCCCACTGATATCCTTTTTTCATTCCAGAATCACACATTGCATTTAGTTGTTGTGTCTGCTTCTCCTTGAAGCTATGACGGTTCTTCAGTCTTTTCTTATCTTTAATGACCTTGACAGTTTGAAGAATACCAGTCAGTTATCTTGTAGAATGTCCCACAGTTTGGGTTTGTCTGATGATTAGATTGATGTTATGCACAGAAGTCATGTTTTGTCCTCAGTACATCATTTCAGGGGGTACATGATGTTGATATGTCTTGTTGGTTACCTGTGATCATTTGGTGAAGGCAGTGTCTGTCAGGTATATTCACTCTAAAGTTATAATTTTCCCCTTTGTAACTAATATTTCGGGAAGAAACTTTGATGCTGTGTAAATATCTTGTTTCTCCTTAAGCTTTTGCCCATGAATTTTGGCATTTATTGGTGGATCTTGCCTATAGCAGTTATTACTATAGTGTTCTAATGGTGATTTTCTTTTCCCTCTTTACTTTCCAAATTTCTAAACATTACTGTCCTCCATTTTCCTGTCTTTGGATCATCCACTGTGATCTCATCAACTGACATTATTTTAACCACTCTTTTAAGGCCTATTACTCCTAAATCAGATCTTTCTTCTGCACTCCAACTACCTGGATATATAGAACTGTTTCTCTTCCTTAGTTCTTTAAAGCTCAACATGTATAATTGTGGACTCATTCTTTTCCATTTTCCAGAATTCATTCTTTCTCTCATGTTCCAGCTCTTATTAAATAGTGTTACCACCTGCTAGGGTCCTAATGTTTGGGACCCCCTCAAAATTCACATGTAAAGGTATTAAGGGGTAGGGCTTTTGGTAGGTGATTAGTTTATGAGGCTGGAGCTTTTATGAATGGGATTCATTGCTTCATGAAAGAGGCCTCCAAAAATTGCCTTGCCCCTTCAACCCTGTGAAGATACAATGAAAAGGCACCATCTGTGAGGAAGTGGGGCCCTCACCAAACACTAAATCTGCTGGTGTCTTGATCTTGGACTTCCCAGCCTCCAGAACAGTGAGAAATAAATGTGTGTTGTTTATAAGCCTCCAGTTGATGGTCTTTTGTTATAGCAGCCAAAGGACTAAGACATCACATAACTTAACATCACCCTTAACGTCTCTCTCTCTTAATCTCTCAAATCCAGGCTATCATCAAATTCGGTTGATTCTGCTAAGACATTTCTCCAACTTGTTTTCTCTTCTCCATTCCTATTTCTGCTTGCTGGAAATCTCCAACTGATTGGCTTCTAGGAACTTCAAATTTAATATGTGCAAAGTCAACTTAATTTCCTTCTTTACTGCCTAATCCAAACCTGTTCCCCTTCTAATTGTATCTATTGTGGTGTATGGGAAGTAGGCCCAAAGAGAATTTTCAGTGTCATCACTTCAGTGTTTTTGTTGCCTCATATTCCCTCGGAACCCACATCCAGTCAATTGCCAATTCTGGCTGGTTGTATCTGCTAAGTACTCCTCGTAACATCCACTCCTCTGTCCCTAGTGTGGATACGTAACATTCAGTTCACCTCCTCTCCTGGTCGGCTGTGATGACTTTCTAGGTGATATCTGGACTTCTCTCTCCCCATGTTCACTTCAGCCCCTCATTCACACTGCAGCCAGTGCAACCTGTTTATCACCCAGGGCTGATCATGTGTAAAACTCTGACCTTGTTGCCTGATGTGGTTTTATCTAACTCGTCTGTCTATGGAATCATTTTTATTTCATTTTTTTTTGAGAAAATGTTTTAATATATCAGAGAATATCCCTTTCTGTACTGTGCAACAGAGCATATTATTATTTTATTTTTATCTGGAATGTTCTCCCCTCTCTTTTTTGTCAATGGTAATCTTACCCTTGCTTCCAAGGCCAGTGTGAATTCCATTTCCCTTTCATAGATAGCCCAGTGGGAAGTGGGAAGTGACTTCTTTCTCCTCTGAATTAGGATGGCCTAGACCACTTACTTAGCAATTATTACTTACTGCCTTGTGGTGGAATCTTTTCATAGACACATCTTGCTTTCTAACCTATTTGAAGATAGTCTCCTGACTTAGGTTTCTTTCCCTTCCCAGAGTGGCTAAGTTAGGTCTTGCACCTATGACTCAGGATTTAGGAGGTTGTTTTTAATTTTTAGGTTTCATTGTTAATGTTGTGTGTGCTTGTCACAGTTTTGTTATTTGTTGTTTTGTTATTATGCAAAATTTTTTAGCAATGAGATTATGGGTATAAACATTTTCGTGGCTCCAAGTAGTTTTCCATGTTACTTTTTAAAATGATTATTACCATTTTAATGTCTGTAATGGTGTTTTCTATTTATACTTTATTGTGTGTTTATCCTTTGTCATATATTTTAGCACCTTGTATTATTTTGTTGCTGCAACCTCAATACCACTTTATTTTGATTATTCTTTTGTTGCAATTATAATAGGTACAAGAGTACATCTTAAATCTGCTTTAACTTGCATTTCTTGGCTTACTATTTAAGCACCCTCCATGTGTTTTCCATATATTCTTTGTTTTGTTTTTATCCTTTGCCATCTATTTTTGTACCCTGTATTTTTGTAAATTATAATAAGCCATGCTTATTATAATAAGAAATAAGTAAAAGAGTCTCTACTTTTCAATTTCAAAAAGTTTAGATCTCTCATTTTTTTTTTCCTTAATGTTGTTTTTCTGTTGCTTTGGATTTGAGAAGGTGACATGTCCACAGGTCTGACATACACATTCAAGTTCATTTTCTATAAGCTTACTTTTATGTTCTATTGTGTTACGGAAGACTTCTGCAAAAGAATGACCCATAAGCACCTTTGGGAAATATTTTTTCTTGCCTTTAATAGCTCAATGAAAATCATCCTAAGCCAGTGACTTCCAGGTAGATTATGAAATGTTGCTGTGCGTATCTGAGTTGCCTCATAAAATGTAATATCCAGAAGGTACTTTACGATATTCTATTCTGTAAACAATATTTCATGTAATTTAATTCAGTTCAGTTGCAGAGGTTTCAATACATATTTGAGTTTTTCCTAGATTTTGCCATAACTCACAATAATGAAATTTAATTGCCAGAGTTTTTAATCAGAAAGTTTATCCTCTGGAAAAATGAAATATATTACGGATATCCTTCACTTAAGGATGCTTTTGACTATGCCACATATTGATCTTAAAGGAAGCCTAGAGGAGGTAACAACCAGCTCTAGTAATGTGAAGGATGGAGATGAGGTCATTTTCAGACTGAAGTTAAGTAGTATCAGAACTGGAATTTACTCTTAGCCAATGAAAAAACTCCCACAATAAGAGGCAAATTTGTAGAATCCCCCAATATAGAGTCTCGTGGAGGAACACTTTTATAGCTGACACACTGCAGGCCCAGTCACCCAGGGAACAGGTACCACATTGTCAGTTTTCAGTAGTGCCCAGGGAACCATTTTAAGTGGAAATATTCTAATTTCATAATGGAAGCGAATGGCAAAGTAGAATTAACTTCACAGATTTTTAAAATAATAAATCTTATTAGAGGAAATGTATTGTTATGCTTTGAAGAATAATGGCCAGTATGATCATTTAAAAATACAGGCCAGTCGCGGTGGCTCACGCCTATAATCCCAGCACTTTGGGAGGCTGAGGTGGGCGGATCACTTGAGGGCAGGAGTTTGAGGCCAGGAGGGCCAACATGATGAAATCCTGTCTCTACTAAAAATATAAAAATTCACTGGGTGTGGTGGTGCATGCCTGTAATCCCAGCTACTCAGGAGGCTGAGGCAGGAGAATTGCTTGGACTCAGGAGGCAGAGGTTGCAGTGAGCTGAGATCACACCACTGCACTCCAGCCTGGGTGACAGAGTGAGACTCTGTCTCAAAAACATAAAAAATGAAACATAAAAATAAAAATACATAGGTGATTTTTTACACAGGAACTCTTCAGTATCTTAAAAATAATCTAGTATGCTTACTTAGATATTATTTCATCCTCCAACTTTCTGAAAATACTAAAATCTTTCAGGAAAGAAATTACCATATTCTGACATTTTAGTATTAGTTGGATCCAAACATAATTTCATGCTTATTTCCTTACTTTTAAAAAAACTGTCATTTTCTTTATCTCTCTCTCTACTTAAAAACAAAGATTAGTTTTTGGCCTTCATTAAATGCCACAACAAAATTCAGCCAGATGCTGCTTCAGCATCTTGCTATTTGTTGGAGTGTCTTAGACACCCAGAGTATTACATTTCAAGTGAAGAATCAGACTTATCATAGAATCCTTAGGGCTTGAACAAACTGAAAAAACAAACAAACAAACAAGAAAAACTGGTTGTATGATAACCAACCAGAAAATCATGATGTTTGCAATTTCTAGTACCACCGCTAAGAGCTTTGCAATCATGCCATCCTTGTTCAAGTTCACCTATAGGAAGTAATGCAAAGCTTCCAAAGCAAATTTTGGGCTGTTTTGCTCAAAAATACCTTGTGTTTTTTTATTTGTTTGTTTGTTTGTTTAAGATAAATTCACTTTTATTTCATTGTTGCAGTAGAAGTTATACCAAAAGACTTCGGGGTGTGGGGTGGCTTAGTGTATGTAAGAGGAAGTATACTACAGTAATTGTAAGCTTACTTTATCTTGTTATTTTGTTTGTTTTTTCGTTTGTTTTTTAAATAAAGAGAGATGGGATCTCGCTTTGTTGCCCAGGCTGGAGTGCAGTAGCACAATCATGGCTCACTGCAGCCTCATCCACCCAGGCTCAAGTGATTCTCCCACCTCAGCCCCCCAAGTAGCTGGGACTACATATGTGAGCCACCATGATTGGCCCTGTCTTGTTATTTTTAAATGGCACTTAACACACATACCTCATGTCAATACTTGAATGCACTCTAAAAATGATTATTTTAACAAGATTATAACTTATCTCTTAACTCTCAGTCACACTAAGGAAGAGATTGAACACTGGATATCTAGAGCTACTTGACCAAATCAAAACTATGTATTCTTCCCATTCAGAACAATCACGTTTGTTAATTTATAATAATCGATGATAATTAGCCCATGAATTGAAAAGCTATTTTTTACAAAATCAGAAAATACAACCAACTTTAATTTAACTGCATTAAGGCGGGAACCACATCTCTTGTGGCAGAGAGAAGTTCAGTGTTATGATTACTGTAAAAATAGTTAATACATAGATTTAAAAAGATTTAATGGAAATTTCTTTTCATGATAAAATGGAAATGTATTAGCATAAGGAAATCAATGGAAATTTATTAGCATAAGGAAATCCATCTGGGCCTTTCCTGAATTCCTGAATAGTGTCACAGACTCTAAATGACTGTGGTGTGTGATCTTGGATTTGGTGGCAGCTCCTTCTCCTTCCTTTAGCTGTTGCTTTCCTGTTAGCACAGTATCATCTGTTACTGGAGTCTCACATCCTTCTCTAAGATTCTCATTCCAGTCTTTAAATCTGATTATCCAGCAGAGGAGCCTCACATTTACAGCTCAGATTAAACACATATTTCTTCTGATCATTGTTGCTTGAACCAAACCAGCAACGCCTTCTCAGTGTAACTGGAGAACTTTCTTATGCTTTTAAACATTTTCAGGGTGCTTTATCTAAGAAGATATTTTTAAAAAGTGTTTATTTTCTCTTTTAACAAACTCACTCCATGTTGCTATGTTCTTTAAAACTGCTCCCTCTTCTAATTTAATATATTTTTAAAGTTTTTGTTGAAATGTAAACTGCTCTCTGTATCTTTGTTTTGCTTTTAGTTATTAGCTTAGTATAGAAACTTATAAATAATCAGACAATTGCATATCTTCAGTTAGCACAGAATTCTGACAGAGGCTAGCTTTGCCAGCTCAGTTACATGCTGTGTGTCTCACTGGGGAGTGTTAGGGCATTCTCACATTGACATGGACCCAACGTGGTGTCCACTGGTAACTGTTCAATATAAGACCTGCTTACCGATTTCTAGTAATTTTGTTTTTGAATTTTTCTTTCAGGCTTACTGCACGATTAGGGTATGTAGCCTCAGGTCATTTTCACTCACATAGCAGGTTTGTATTTGAGATCACTTTGATCTCTATCTTCTAATTTGATCTTCAGAAAAACCTAATGAGGTTTTGTTTTATAGATAAATAAACTACCACCCAGAAATCTGAGGGACTTGTCCAAAGTCACATGCTTGGAGAGGCCAGGTCTTGAGCCCGAATTTCCAGTTCTCTCTTCCCACTATCATGTGCAGGTCATCACTCCATGAAAACTCCCAAAACACTGCTGTTTCTATAGTACCCAAATATGCCTTTCTCAGGATTTAAGAAAATATCAAAAATACATATAAGTTTTTGATATTTACTTAAATCCTGAGGAAGGCATAGCTGAGACAAGTCATGATCTGCCAGGTGAATAGAAATGGGGTTGGTTAAACTTGCACTATTCATACAACTTCTAGTGAGGCATAATGTGTATGTATACACATTAGAGAATATTTTAAGAACATCTGCAAAACAAGTGTTCAGTAACATGTATAACTGCTCTTTTTAACTTTTGAAGGCCTGCTTCAGTTATTTTTATGTGACTACTTATTCTTTGGCCTTGGATGCTTGCACTGTGAATTTAAAAATAATACAAGGACTTAGATAAAAGTCAATGGGCTGTGTTAGATTAGGCCTCGGTCATTTTACCTACAATTATGAAGGTCTTTCAGCATTTTTACCTATTCCTAGTTACAAAAACTTATTAACACAGAAAAAAAGCCATTACAAAATCTTTAATTTCAAAAGGCTTTGACCTAACTTTATGAAATATGTATTTAGAATTCGTCATTTTACAATTTGTTGTCTCTTGGTTCATGTTTTTCTTTTTTGTGTGTGTGATCTACATCTACTTAATAGTCTGATTATTTTCATTAAAAGATTTCCTGCTAAGGAGTCACTTTTAATAAACATTTACTTATATTTATTTTAGAGCCCATTTTTGAAGCTGTAGTTTGTATGTTGAACACTTCTAAAACCTCTTACTTATGAACAAGTATGAATTGACCTTATAGTATGTGTGGATCACTGTGATTGGCACTATATAGATGAGAGAAAGGAAGGGTGATTATTTGCTTGCTTTTGGAACTTTACTGGGCTTTACAAAATCTTTAGCATCAACTCTCATCAAATTCGTAAATTATATGACTATTTTAAGATGCTGTATTCTGATTCATTCTTAGTGTTTAAATTATCTCAGGTAGCAAATGGAGG
Organism: Homo sapiens; assembly: GCF_000001405.40. Taxonomy (NCBI): domain Eukaryota; kingdom Metazoa; phylum Chordata; class Mammalia; order Primates; family Hominidae; genus Homo; species Homo sapiens. The sequence goes on along the minus strand of NC_000013.11, from coordinate 36,112,588 downwards.
TACTTCCAATTTTGAAATTTTCTGCAGATTTAAGTATCTCTAATTCCCAAAGAATATTTTCTATTTTAAATTCACTTTCACACTTCTCTAAGGTCTTTTCAAGTAGATCAGCATTTCTATCACCGACCTTAAGATGAGGAAATGGAGGAATAATGTTTTGTTTTGTTTTTCCAGGATGTGGATCTGTTGCTGACAGTGCCAGATTAGCAATCAGAAATCTTTCTTTTTCCCTAATTATTAATCACACTTCCATTGTTTGAAAAGTCAGGGCTAGCTCTTGCCCCTAAGCAGAAAAGGCAAAAGAGAGGATAAGTAGGAAAAAAGAAATGGGCATATTTTAGTATAAATTTAAATATATTTCTCTCTTCCTTAGGAGAGAGTTATGTATGTGGCTCCATAGAGCCCTTCAAGAAACTGGAGTACACCAAGAATGTGAACCCCAACTGGTCGGTGAACGTCAAGACCACCTCGGCTTCTCGGGCAGTGTCTTCACTGGCCACTGCCAAAGGAAGCCCTTCAGAGGTGCGAGAGAATAAGGATTTCATTCGGCCCAAGCTGGTCACCATCATCAGAAGTGGCGTGAAGCCACGGAAAGCTGTCAGGATTCTGCTGAACAAGAAAACGGCTCATTCCTTTGAGCAGGTCCTCACCGATATCACCGATGCCATCAAGCTGGACTCGGGAGTGGTGAAACGCCTGTACACGTTGGATGGGAAACAGGTAAGAGACATATTGTGATGTGACTTTGACTTTAAGGCAAGAACCAGGGAGTCGGAGGGTGTACGTGGCTAAAGCATACATTTTGCTCAAGTTGTTAAAGGGCCTGGGTCACTTGATCAACAAATATGTACTTGCTGGCCCTAGAACAGTCAGAAGTTTGAGTTGAGCAGGATTATTCATAGGAATAAAGTAAGAAAAAAATGCATATCTTTGAAGATTAAATAATTACTCAGTGATTTCTACTTGTTCATTTATTATTTGCTTAACATAATGATTCTTTTCTGTCATCTGTTTTCAGTTTTCTCATAGATCTTATAGCCTGAAGAATGAATGACTGAGGTGTGAAAGTAAACTCTGACCAGTAGGGAAAATTCTAACTTATTTCTTTGACCTAAATATTTTATGATTTTAAGTCTTTGTAGTGTTCGCTAGTGAGATTTACTTACATTTTATAGATTTTAAAATATGTATCTAAGAAATGACATATTTCCATCTGGATAGCTTTAAAGGCATATTTCTAGAATAGTACGCATCTTGTATTTTTCAGTGTTAAAATGAAAGGGAGGTTTTTCAGCTACAGAATGAACATCAGTTGACTTGGATGGGTGGTCATTTTAATGTGAGTTGGTCAGATGAACCCAAAGGAAGCATCACCTTTTATTGTCTTGGGTGGACTATTTTTGTACAGGTTTGACAGAACCTTGATGGTGAGTTGAATTAAAAAACATTGATTAGGGCCGGGCACGGTGGCTCACGCCTGTAATCCCAGCACTTTGGGAGGCCGAGGCAGGCGGATCACGAGGTCAGGAGATCGAGACCATCCTGGCTAACAGGGTGAAACCCCGTCTCTACTCAAAATAAAAAAAAAAAATTACCTGGGTGTGGTGGTGGGCGCCTGTAGTCCCAGCTACTCAGGGGGCTGAGGCAGGAGAATGGCGTGAACCCGGGAGGCGGAGCTTGCAGTGAGCCGAGATCGCACCACTGCACTCCAGCCTGGGTGACAGAACAAGATTCCGTCTCAAAAAAAAAAAAAAAAAAAAATTGATTATATGTACAGCATGATTTGCTAGTCATTCAGAGTTTACCAGATTATACTTTTGAGCACACTATCTTTGCTGGAAGTTTAGTTTTTAATGTGGTGCTATCAAAATGCTTTTTTAAAAAATTTTTTTTGAGGGATAATTTGAATGATTTGTATGTATAGTAAATATTAAAATTAAAATGATCCATGAATTAAAAGATTGATCTTATTAAATAGAAGACTCCTCCAAGTTCTTAAAGGCTAGCGCATTCAAACTTTCTGAATTAGAAATAGATGCTAATCCTAGAAAGAGTATTAGTCATGAAAGAATACTTCCCTTAGGGATCCATTCAGATGCTCTAAATTATAAAATTCATTAGGAAAGAAGGAATATGTGCCAGTTGTTCATTTGTATTTACCATCTTTTGCTTGGCTTATAACCCTTGCCCTAAGTAATATGCGGATAAGGATTCTAATGGATGAGATTCTCTAATGAATGAGACTTAGTCTTCTATATTTAAGAGTCTGTAGCCTAAATGTCGTAAATCTATCAATGACCAGAAAGTTCATGCTGGCTTGTGAATTATAGTAGCAATAAGATGGCAAACTTCACCTTTACACATTTTGTAAGCCCTTCACTGGCTCCATTTCTAATGAGTTATTCAAACATCTTGTAGTTCTGAATTTTCATATATTGAATTTTCTCAAGATGGGAGTTCATCTATTTTCATAAATATTTACCTATTCAAATAAATATTTTTATAAAGTGTCTCATTAGAGCAAAGAATACATATGGATAAATGTTCCCTCTCCCTGCTGCACTTCAGAATTTTGGGAGTTCCAAAATGCTACTCTGAATCTAAAAATCGGCTTTAATGACTTTAGCTAAAATTTGCCATCAGCTGATTATTTAATTTTGTTTATTTCAGGAATAAATCCCTACAATAGGTATGATGTTCTCAGTTGTTTTCTTCCTTACTGAATTTGTCTAGAATTAATATTTGATAATGGCTAGTTTACTGTGGTTTACATGTAAATAATCCAAAGTCATGGGACGGAATCCGAGGTTTAATGTCAAAAAACCAGGATTCAAGTCTTGGCTCAGCCGTAGATTCCTTATGTTTTTAGCAAAACACTTAACTGAGCTTCATTATCCTCATCAGTGAAACACAGATAAAATGATTACCTGTGTTTTATAGAGTGCTGTGGGTCAACTATGATGATACATGCAATAGCAATTTTGAACTATAATGATGATAGCTTTATTGAGCATTGTTCAAAGTGCTTTGCATGTATTAGCATGCTTAATCCTCATAACAACTTGCTTATTATCCCCATTTAACAGATTAGAACACTAAGGCACAGAACTCGTTAAAAACATGCACAAGACCACACAGCTACGATTTAAACTGGTCTTGCTCCAGAGCTTGTGCTGGTAACCACTGTACCACTTTAGATTATGTTAAGGCACCAAACTGATGTAAATGTATTGAGAAAGAATTGTCAAGGGAGTAATTTGTCCAAAGAATATCATCTGAAACATTTCTGCTCTGTCCTTTTTTTCCCTGCAGTCATTCTGCTGACTGTTGTACTCAACTGTTGTTTTGTCAAGCGTTCAGTTTGCTGCTGTGGCATTTCCCCTAGTGTTGGCATGTTCTCTTCATAGCAGGATCAGTGAAAAGCTGCAGAGGAATTGGATGATAAAGTGGAAAGAACATAAAGACTTATTCGTTGGGTTCCCAGTGAGAACAAAGATGCTTCCTCATGGACCCCAGGAGTCTTTAGAATCTTTTTGGCTCAAAAGAGAAATCTGTCCCATAAGCAGTTTGTTAGAGTAGAATTTTTGACAACCCTGGCAGAGACTGAGGCTTGATAAGCCTCTGAGAATAAATCAGTTTCCTCCACGCTGTCCTGTGGAATAACGCTTGGCCATAGTGGGGTGGCACCTGCACTGCTACCATCTTGGCCTGCCTGTGGTGGCATCGGGGTCCATATGCTGCCAACAAGATGCCACCCTAAGATTACTTGTCCCACCTTTTTAAAAAATAGTTTAACTGAACCCTCACATCAACTCCATAAACAATATGGGAATTCCAGTGCCCAGTAAAGAATTTCATGTTTTTGGGTTGAGGAAATAGAATTGTTTAAAAAATGAATTGCTTGAGTGCTTTGAGTAAATGCGTAGAGAGGAAGATGGTTTTGTAGATTGCCTTGGGGCAGCCTACAGATGTATCCATGGCATGAAAACTGTTGACGCTGGGATTTTGGACAATGGAACCATGAAAGCCGGAGCCTGCTGTTTAATATCTTACCCAGAGGAGACGGACACCGGAGGGCACAGACCACATGCTGTTCTCACTTGTTTCTACCACCACTCCTTGCTCAGTTGCCTCTCGGGTTTGTGTTAGCCCTAAGCAAAGAGTTCATTGAACAGTACTTTTTTTGATGTTTTTAGACTGAGATAAGGAAATAAACGTTTTGGAAATGCTGCACAATCTAGAAAAGATTTTGCAGGAAGCTGCAATTGGCCAAGATGACCGTTGTGGTTCATAAGCAGCCTATGTGTGAGCAAACCCTTTCTAATGATTTCAACTCCATTCTTTATTCAGGGGCACTGAAGCTTCAGCAAATGGTTGCCCCGACCTTCCTCCTCTTCCTTGCAACTTTCAGGGTGACTGCTCACCAGGTCATCAGTCCTTTTGCTGGCATGGCTGGCAGTTCAAGGAAGCACTTACCATGCCTTAATTTCAGTGATGCATTTTTTTTTTTTTTAAATCTGGGCCTTGGTTAAAGACCTCCAAAGAAGAAAAAGGGACATTTTCTAGCTAACAGTTAAAATCATGTCCCCTGAACCCATGTCCAAGGGGAGGATCTGCAGGATCTTAGAGTCTGAGAGTCTCTTCCTCTTGCCCAAGTCCAAGCTCTGGATGTTGGAACTTTGCTGTGGGTTATTCACTTAACCTGCCAAGCAGTTACTCCCAGAGGCCATTTGGAGTATAACTATTTTTTAAGTGCTTAAAATAAGACTAAAAGTTACCAGATTTGCTACAAAGATACCCTTGCATATCTCCTGACTCCTTTTATGGAAAAGCAAATCTGGCTTTCTTGAGCTGCTAAATCTGTGGTTCTTGAATCCGTCCTTAGAAACATAGAACAGCTAGTGCCTAAGTAGGTGATTTATACTATAAAGAACATAGATAGGGCACTTCCCAATGATCCCCTTCCCACTGAAATACAGCAATGACAAACTGGATTGCTCTTTAAGTAGAAAATAAATGCACATCCCTATCTTATCTACTTTTCAACATCAAAGATCTGTACAACATTGCAGCATGCTTTAGTGAAGAGAAAAAAACCCAGAGATGTTATATTTTTATCTTATAGACATTTCACATAGGCCATGTACTTTATAAAATCTACCACTGCTAGTGAGTCGAGATCGCGCCACTGCACTCCAGCCTGGGCGACAGAGTGAGACCCCGTCTCAAAAAAAAAAAAAAAAAAAAAAAAAATCTACCACTGCTAGCATGCTAGAGTGAGCAAACAATTTATTGTTTTCCCAATATGGAAAACATTAGGAATTACTCAGCTGAAGTATGGGTAGCCATAAACTGATTTCGATGGTAAGCCATGAGAAAGCATCATAACTGCCATTTTGAGGACATCCCAGTAGCTGTTGATAAATTAATCCATCATTACATCTTCTCTGTATCTTTTGATCATGAATCCTCATTGCCTGTTATAAAGCTCAAAAGATGCTTGTAAATGAGTCAATAATTGCCGCCATTTATTTTAGGTGTTTAATATAGGAGTTTACTTGATTACAGGAAATGGTAATGATGATTAATAGGAATCTATTAATCAGATATCACAAAATGGTCTTTATTTTCTTCTTTTTGGCCTTTAATATCTAATTCTAATCTGAAGTAAAAATAATTTGGTCGACTCTTGGGTTTAGAGTGCTTAAGATATGTCTTCCTCTTACAAGTTAAAAAAGTGGTACAAATTATTATTGCATCTGACCTTGGCTATAGGAGTTGATAAGCATAGAAAATGTGGAAACTAGAGGTTTCCAGACAAAATGTAAGAAATTTAGAATCTGATAGGATTTATTTGGAATGGGAAAGGAGGTTTTCTGTAGCTATTAGCAGCAGTGGTATTTTTCCTTTTTTATTAGTAGAACTTTTCTGTGACAGTTCTAATTAACTTCTGCAAGCATATTAAAACCCTTCATTCTTGGTATAAAGAATGTGTACTATTGATTTGCTACACTACCTATGTAGCAAAAGGGAATGTAATACTTTTTAGTTTTGTTTGCGATTGGAGTAAAAAAACAGTTGATACAAGTAATTTAGCTTACACTTTAAAATGTCAAATTAAAATTCTCTACAAAAGCTCAGAGCACATGTTAAACCATCCTCATGATTTATTAGAGCTATGAATTGATGGAAATAGATGATTTCAAAGAAAAAGAAGTTTAAGAATCGTAATGACACTTCACTTACAGAATTAAAGTGTTCAGAATAGAATGTACTATTTTAGGTCACATATCCTTGGTCAATATTTAGGACTCATGAGCTATACCTGTCCTTATGTAGATGTTAGTGCCTCCAAATTGGGAAGATTTAAGTCCTTTTTTTTTTCACTTTGAGCTCCTCTGAGGATGTGATCAATTATGGGTACCTGCAGTGATGTATATTTTAAGGCTTAGATTCATTTTAGCAAAAGTTAGTTTTCTGTAAATTGCATTCTAGCTCGCTGTAAAATGAATTCTAAGTTCTCTTAGTGTTCCACTGCTGTACTGAAGATAGGTTTTCTAAAGCCCTTCCATAGTGTGCTGAGAGCATTTGGGGGACGTTTACAAGTCTACTGGCTTTGTGATTGCCTTCTGGTGGTGAGTTCTCTTGCTTCTATGACAGCTGGAGCCCTGACCCGGCCTGTGAGCCTTTTCTGTCTGGCAGGAGCATGTTGGGATGATGGAAAGAACTTGGACTTTAAAGTCAGCTGGTCAGTCAGTTATCCCTGCAACAAACAAACAAAAAAATTCAGCTGAGCCTGGACTGAGATTTCAGTCTGGAAAATCTAGCTTGTGGTTTTTCATCCAAGCCTGGAAAATTAAGTTAGCCTACCCAACTTACTGATTAGTTAAGTTTAAAATTTCTGTATATTGAATTTACTTATAATGAGGAAATTTGCTTATGTATGCTATAAATTAAGCATAGATATACATGATAACATGACAGAGAGGAAAAACATTAGTTCCATAGAATTATAGATGAGTTCAAATCTGTCCTCTACTCTGGGCATAGTGAAATTTATCCTCCTATTGGAAATAGTTCACACCCTGATAATCCTCAGTTTCATCATCTGTATATTGTGAATAATAATAATGATAATAATGCCTGCTCTATAAGTTGTCATGAGGACTAAATGAAACAATTCACATGGCAAATTTAGCACTGTGATTGGTACCCAATTGTTGGTAGTTGTTATAATGGAAAAGCTGACACTTAACAAATTTTTTTTGGAAAAAAATCATATTTTAATGTGCCAAAGGGACTCACTATTTTAAATTATCCTTTTATAATGACTAATCATATTTTCCTTTGTAAATGTGGCTTTTCACATGGAAATGCTTCATGATATAATAAAAAGAGCATGGAATTCGAAATGAGACACTTAACTAATACAAAGTCAAATCCTGACTTGAATACTCATTAGTAGTGTGACCTCTGGCAAATCAGTTAAACTCTCTGAATCTCAATTTCCTCTTCTTTAAGATGGCATAATAATGCATACCTCATAATATTGGGGTGATAATTAATTGACAAAATATGTATATAAAGGCCTTGGCTTGACACATGGTAGGTCCTCTAAAAATATCAGTCCTTCTCCCTTCTGTTCTCATATTCCAGGCTTTCTTAAAACTGTAAGACCCTTGTAGTTGTATAATACCATGAATGTAGAATTGGTCATTTTGCATAGTTTCCATTGCAACTGATCTGCTGTACCTGAACTACTAACAACTGTATTTTTATCATCCCATTTATTGTCAGTCAGTTGTGAATGCGATGCAGATATTTTATTCACTTTCTTCTTCAATGGTACAGGTCATTCCTTAAAGGCATCTTTCTATTGGCAATCCATCCCACCGAGAAAGTAATATTATTATTAGTATCATTTGTTGAATACCTTCTCTGTGCCTGGCATTGGACTCGTTGCTATATATATTTATATTGATGATTACATTGATAATTGAAGGTAATCTCACTGAACCCCAGCTCTGCAAAGCAAGAACCTACTCATTTCTCAAGATTCAGCTCAAAGGTGGCCTTGTCTATGAAATATTTCCTATCTTCCCCATATAAAATTGACAACTCACTCTCTTGGAGCCTGTTCACTGTACATTGTATGTAGCCATGCAAATCTTCATTATGCTGGTCTATTGTAATGCCTGTCTCCTCCTTTCGATTTTATAGGATGAGGCTAAGAAAGGTGTTCTATTGGCCTTTGAGTCTCCAGAGCTTGACCTGGTAAATGACTGAATGACTAAGTAGCTGGATGATTGACCAGTTTGCTGTGGTCTATCCACTCGGCATTAGCATATGGCTCCAGTATTCAGCAAGGTCCTTACGGGTCATGGCCATATAGGAGCTGCCTTGGTCACCCTGGGCTGTGGTCATGTGTAGCTGTAAATGATGATGGTGCCCTCTGCAGCGTGGCCACACACTACATTACCATGCACACCGCACCATGATGGTTGTTTCTAGCTAGGGCTTCTTCATGAAAGACTCTAGTATAGAAAATAAAAAGAACGCATCTGCCAATTTTAGATCATTTTCGCTATTGAAAGCACTTTCATTTTGTGGGGGAACAATAGATATTCTGTTAGAAACATCTCGCCGTCTGAGTCAGGAGAATTGCTGTAAACCTTCCTGACATTGCCTTAGCCATCCAGTGAATAAAGAGAAGAACTGATCAATATGTCCCATGGATATAAAAATTGGTGGTGGGCCAATAGGAGATGCACATGAAAAGCATCTGGCCTAATTATTGCAGAGACACAAACCTGCAGTATTCAAGGGTGTCTGTGGTGGCAGACTATAATATGTTGCACCAGATTTTCCTGATTAGTTTTTAAATCCTTGAAACTAAATTAAATGAAAGAAGTCTGTTTCAGAAATTAAATGGAACTTTAAAAATCCAATTTTAAATAGGAACTATATTGTAAACAACATGCCTTAGAAACAAAAGGACAGATGGGAGATTTATTTTTTAATTGGTCTTGTCCTTTGTAAGATTAATATATAATCAATGTAAAGAATTTTGAAGGAAATGGGAAAATATTAAGATAAGTTAAAATTACCCATAGTCGCATTGAGAAGATGACCCTTGCTCATATTTCGGTCTTTTTTCCTTTGTCTTTTTTTTTTTTTTTTTTTTAAGACAGGTGTCTTGTTCTGTCTCCCAGGTTGGAATGCAGTGGTGCAGTCTCAGCTCAGTACAACCTCTCCACCTCCCAGGCTCAAGTGATTTCTCCTGTCTCAGCCTCCCAAGTAGCTGGGATTACAGGCGCGTGCCACCACACCCAGCTAATTTTTGTATTTTTAGTACAGACAAGGTTTCACCATGTTGGCCAGGCTGGTCTCGAACTCCTGACCTCAAGTGATCTGCCAGCTTCAGCCTCCCAAAGCGCTGGGATTACAGGCGTGAGCCACTGCACCTGGCCCTGTCTTTTTCTTTAAAAACAAACAAACAAACAACAATAACAACAACAACAAAACCCCACAGATCCCACTCTGTGTGCAGTTTGGCTCCTTGCTGGCACCTTCACATGAGTCTGCACATTTATGTGGGAAACGTATCAAGCCATTCCCTCTCTAACTTTGTTATTTCATTGTCCAGGGTCAGATCCCCTGAAGCCAAGTTTCCCAGTGTGCTTTCCTGTCTTGTGACTTGTCTGTAGAGCCTCTTTTGTCTATCTTCTGACTTACGGCTGATAGTAATCATGTTCCAAAGTCGATCGAGAAGCAAACAGCATGTAAAGTAGCAATTCTTGAGGTGCTATTCAGTGTAATCAGTTATTGGAGGTTAAAATTATCTCAGACTCCATCTGCTTTGTCTAGAATCCTCTTAGAAAAAAAGTCACATTTTTCAAAACGTGTCTGATTCCATAAGTCCAGTCTTGTTTTGTACATGCCAGGTAACAGGCTTTTTAGGTCAATGGGAGCACAGTCACCATGATCTTTATGAGTTCCTCCCTGAGGGAAAAACACAAGGTAGTTCTCTTTCTGTGGATAATCACTTCTGCTTTGCCTTAGAACTGTTTGTACACCTGTGTGAGACCAAAATATCTGGGAGAAAGAAGATAGTGCTTTGTTGATTTCTGTATTCACGACTACCCTCATTAGATGCTTACAATTTGTTAAATGACATTTCTTAGTTTTAACTTTTGGCTCATCCTTTAACAAGTAGATTACAGGGCTAGGAGTGCCCCTACAAGAGATCTTTCTATTCCCTTTTTCTCTACTTGGAAGACCATAAACCAAAGTTGCCTTGGCAGATAGTAACATAAAATTGATTTTTTTTATTAAAAAAAAAATCTTCCAGGAAGAAAATAACTCAAGGTAAGCACTAGCTTAAAAAAAAAAAAAAAAAGATTAGACTAGACATTTTCCTTCTGATGCCTTTTCAGAGTGACAGTCTGGGAGCTAGAAACTGCTTACACAACAGAAATAAGTTGTAAAGAGTCGTGCTGTGTGCACAGGTGTATGCTTCATCAGTATTCTTAAAAACCTCACTATCGGCCAGGTGCGGTGGCTCATGCCTGTAATCCCAGAATTTTGGGAGGCTGAGGCAGGCAGATCACTTGAGATCAGGAGTTCGAGACCAGCCTGGCCAACACGGTGAAACCCCATCTCTAATAAAATACAAAAATTAGCTAGGTGTGGTGGTGGGTGCCTGTAATACCAGCCACTCGGGAGGCTGAGGCAGAAGAATCCCTTGAAACTTGAAGGCGGAGGTTGCAGTGAGGCTAGATGGTGCCATTGCACTCCAGCCCAGCCTGGGCGACAGAGTGAGACTCTGTCTCAAAAGAAAAAAAAAATTAAATAAATAAAAACCTCAGTACCAAGAGTGGTCCCGGGACAGCAGCAGCAAGGCCACCAGGGAGCAGGCAGAGATGCGGACCCTCAGGCTCCACACAGACCTACTGAGTCAGAATGTGATTTCAACAAGATTCTCAGGCTGTGTATATTCACATTTAAGTTTCAGAAGAGCTGCTCAGGAGACTGAAGAGTATGAATGGAACATCAGAATTCAAAGCCCTAAAGACGGCGAACCCCGGCTGTTGTTGCGTGGTAGATGCATTAAACATTAGTTTTAGCTGATTTCGCAGTTTTATTAGCATCCTCTCAATGCCAATGTTGACATCAGATGGCAAGATATGATTGCCAGCAGCAATTTTCTGGAAAGCAGCCAGTGCATTAGTGTGAAATGTGTTCTCACTGCAATCTAGCCTCAGTGGGCTGCCTCACGTGGAGGGTGAATGGCTTCCTGTATGGAGAATAAACGTAGGTTAAAGAGTCAGGAAGGCTGAACAAACACTGTGGAAACACGGATCCCGAGGAAGAGATTAATGCCACAAAGTGCATGTGCATGCTGTTAGAAGTTGTCTGTATCTCCCCTCAATACGCTGCACAAACTGAATATGATCCCTGTGCTGCTTCCGGGTGTCTTCTGTGGGAATGAATGGAAGTCATTAACTGGTCCTGAGAACCGATTTTAGATCTTCAACTATTATCAGATGGAGTCCCTACGCATGAGACAATTCCCAACATGGACGATGCCCGGAAAGATGTGGGCTGTTTTTAAGGTGTGCAGGAATGGAGGGGTAACTTTTGAAAATAATTTCCAGCTATAATAATTTTCTAGACATGCCCAAGGATTTAGTGGCCAACAGTCTTACGTACTGCAGACTTGACTATGGAAAACAACAATGGATGGGATAAACTGGTGTGAAGGAACCACCTAGTGATCAGAATTAGAGTGATTTTCTTATAACACAGCCTGGGAGGTTAAGAGACTGAGGGGGTGTCGCCTATTTAATTCAGCTGGCAGCTGGCAGGGGCTGCCCATGACTTAGGGCAGACAGGGCTTTGCAAAAAGCCATACAATGCCCAGCGACCCCATTAACAGGGCCTTTTTTGAATGGGAAGGTCAATTCCATTTCTGAGGTTATAGCTCTAAATTAGGGAAAAAATAATAAGCCCTAGAAATAAGTGGGGTCTGTATACAAAGAACCAGTAAAAGGTTCGTTTCTGTCGTTGGTTGATACAGTGCCCCTGGGAAGAGTAAAATTACTGACATATTTCTCAGGCCATTTCTGGAATTGGTCTCCTGTGAAAGGAATAGCGCAGGCTTATTGTATTTTGTTTCCTGGTAACATCATCATTTTTGTTTGTTTGTTTGAGACAAGATCTCACTCTGTCACCCAGGCTAGAGTACAGTGGTGTGACCTTGGCTCACTGCAGCCTCCACCTCCTGGGCCCAAGCAATTCTCTGACCACAGCCTCCCAAGTAGCTGGGACTGCAGGTGTCCACCACCATGCCTGGCTAATTTTGTGTGTGTGTGGTTTTTTTTTTTTTTTTTTTTTTTTTTTTTTTTTTGTAGAGACAGGGTTTTGCCCTGTTGTCCAGGCTGGCCTCGAACACCTGGACTCAAGCAATCCTCCTGCCTCAGCCTCCCAAAGTGCTGGGATTACAGGTGTGAGCCACCATGCCCGGCCAATCGTTTTCTTATATAGCAAAAATTGCTTTTCTCTTTATTTACATTGTGTGTCAAATTGGTAGACTTAGCCACTGTGTATTGAGAAAAAAACACATCCATTGATTAAATCCTTGCTGCATTTGGCAACAGTTTATAGGAAAAGGGAGAATTTCTGAAGATCATGCTATGATGCCTCTGGGATACGTTCAGTTGGAGAAAATCTAATCTCATGTATTATTGTATTGTACAGAGTGCCAATTATTGACAGTGACCATAAAAAACAAAGACCTGTTACAAAGCCTGTTAGGTGAACAGACTATTCACGGAGTTGTCTTTGGTTTTGCCAAATTGGATCAAGAGTTTCACCTGGGTTTTATTAAGATGATTGTGCTTTAGCTTTTTAACATAAATGTCTTTTAATGTTTAAAATGTGCAAGTCCTTGTAGACTTGTTAGATCCGGAAACATCGATTCAGCATGGATTCTGTGCCAGGCATTGGGAATACCTTAGTTTTCTTTCAGTGGGCAGTGGAAGACTTGGGAGAACTCCTCACAACAGAATCCTAAGGGAAGAGTCCTTTCAGACTCACTGCAAGTTTCATTACTAGAGAAACTTGCATTTTCACATTTGTATGTTCATGGGAGTATGAGATGATTGATACAGTTAATCTTATTTGAGGATGTCCTTGTACTGTTTGAAAATGTGACTGCCGAAACACTGTAACATTGCCTTCGTACTTTAAATAACTGAAAGATGTGTTTTATTTTATAGTTGAATTAATAACACTTCTAGCACATTAAGAATCCAAATAATGCTGGGCGCGGTGGCTCATGCCTGTAATCCCAGCACTTTGGGAGGCCGAGGCAGGCTGATTGCCTGAGGTCAGGAGTTTGAGACCAGCCTGGCCAACGTGGTGAAACCCCGTCTCTACTAAAAATACAAAAATGAGCCAGGTGTGGTGGCACGCACCTGTAATACCAGCTACTCAGGAGGCTGAGGCAGGAGAATCGCTTGAACCCAGGAGGCGGAGGTTGCAGTGAGCTTTGATCGCGCCATTGCACTCCAGCCTGGGCAACAAGAGCGAAACTCTCTCAAAAAAAAAAAAAAATCCAAATAATATTAAAAGCCTACTTTTGTGTACCAGCATGCTAATAAACAGATTTCCATTAAAATTAGTCCCTGTACTCTAAGCTTGTGGCATATTTTAGAAGCCCTTAAAATAAATACTAAATGTCCTAGCCCTCAGTTTTATGAGCCTGCACTTTCCCATTAAGATGTATTGGGAATCAGGTGTGTAAAGTTCCCATTCATTTTCTACCATCAGTTAACGTGAGAGGGAAGTTACTTTCAAAACTTTACAAGATTATCAAAATGCACGAGAACTTGACTTTGGAGATGTTTACACCCACATACCTACATTTTGGGGCACAAGAGAAATAGAGGAAGAACCAGAGGAAATGTGGATCTATTTTGAGGATTGGCAACTGTGTTTTCTAGGTCTTAAAATTACTTTTTTTTTGAAGACAAAAGTGAAGCTTTATGCTATGTATTTAAATAATTGCAAATCTCTCTCTCTCAGTGCTTCTCTCACCTGGAAGGACCAGTGTGAATGACCCCACTGTAAATGGATTCTGTTCATGTGACTTTTCGTTTGTCCTATTTGCCTTATAATTTGGTTTGACATCAGCTGAAGAAAGTGTGTCAGATCAGTTCTGGGATAGTGCACCAGCTCTGTGCCAGAAAATGAGTGATAACACCTTGTGTAATGAATCAAAAGTTGGAAGACATTTTCTGTTACAACAGCTGGAAACATTTTCTCCAGTTTACGTGAAGATTGCTGAGTAATTGGCATTCCAGGAAGGTAAAGGACCGGATCTGTCCCTGGGGGTGAGGCTTTGTAGAAAAGAATAAAATCATCTTGTATGTTGAATCCAGCCCAGGGATAATATCAATAAATGTAGAATAGCAGCTAGTGTTTCTTGAATGTTTACCGTATGCCAGGCACTAACTAAAATTTCGATTTTTTACCCCATTAACAGTATTATGGGAGTAGATACTATTGTTATCTCCCTTTCACAGATGCAGAATCAGGGGGAAAGTAACTGGCCCAAGTGATTAGTACCTGGTCAAGGCAGACTGACATTCTTAACCACAGTGTCATATCTGACATTATATAGTGTTTTCCAAATACTTTAAGTATATAAAATTCATGTGCATCTTTTTTTTTTTGGTAAGAATGCTCACAATTTATTGCTGAGCTTTATTGGTGTGCCTGCTGGAGTTTAAAAATACTTTTCTTCTGAAATTATCAAATTCCTGTGATTTGTCAGTCTTTAAACACATTGAGATTAATATACTACCCTGTTAAAAGGGTTAGACTGGGTTGCCAAAAGACAGTAAATGTTGAGAAAGCTACTGAAATGTCTTCTTTCAATTTCTTCTAAGTGTTTCTTGCTATTTTGATTCCTATTTGGATTGTTAATGATTATGAAAATAATCCATTTAGAGTAATTTTAAAAACTTAAGAATCTTACTTTAGATTATTATAAAAATTTATATTCCCAATAGTGGAAAAAGAACATTTTTAATGTAACTAACACATCACAGAGATATACAGTACAACTATTTTATAGAGTGTGAATATCGCAAAATTTAAAAACATGTCAACTTTAAAATAAAAAATGATTACAGCTTTATTAAGCTATAATTTTCGTACTACAAAAAGCACCCATTTTAAGTATATTATTTAATGATTTTAATAAATGCATAGAATCATGCAACCATCACCACATTCCAGTGTTAGACACTTTGACCAAGAAAGTTCCTTCATCTGCATTTGCAGTCAATCTGGGCTCCCACCCCTAGCCCAGCAGCCACTGATCTGCTTATTAGTCACATCAGCTTTTAAATGTTGACCTCATTTTTCTATCTGCTTTTATAGAAAAGTCTCCTTTCTACCTTCTAAGTCATTTGTGTAATTATGGATTCAC
The DNA here is from genome assembly GCF_000001405.40 of Homo sapiens. Classification (NCBI taxonomy): domain Eukaryota; kingdom Metazoa; phylum Chordata; class Mammalia; order Primates; family Hominidae; genus Homo; species Homo sapiens. The sequence goes on along the minus strand of NC_000013.11, from coordinate 36,097,089 downwards.
TAAGTTCATCGCCTTTAACCTGTAACTGTAGCCTCCATCCTCTCCAGCTCGGTTTGACTAGCTCTGGGTTTTATTGAGGTTTTATAAGTAACTTATTACAGAGGTTATGTAGCCAGTTTCAGCACTGTGAGCCACTTATTATCTTTGCACTCTTTGCACATACGGCATTTCTGAGCTCACTCCAGACTTAGGTATCCAGGAGAAGAAAGCTTTCATGTTCATGGCAGGATGGAATAATTACTGTCTTCTAAGCCCTAGGGATGCTTCCTTGGGGTCTATTCTTCTCTCCTACCTTCTTGGGGCCCCATTTGGTGACATTTGCTTTGTTACAGTCCAAAATACCATTTATAAGCTGATTAGGTTTCACATGATATTAACATATTTCAAGCTGTGTATATCTTTTTGCATTTCATAGTTAAAATATGGCTTCCATGTGCTTTGTCTGTTCCTTGGATGAGATCCAATTATTTCATAATCTCTGTCATTCCCTCTTCATGGTGAGTTTCCCACTTGTCCTTTCATCACTTTGCTATTCAAGATCTTTGAGGACTTTTAAAAGATTACCTATTTCTTTCTTCTCAAGGAAAGAGACTTAATTGTGCATTTTAATATTCTGCCGTACAGTAAAGCTGCACCTGGGGGATTATGTTCACTGAACCATCATTGAAAATGCCTTTGTACTTCAGTGTTAAGATGCTGCTGGCCTTTGGATTCCAGAAAAGATTGTGTATTCAGTGTATACTTATCTTCTTTTTCTTGTTCAAGGCCATCTCTAAACCAAAAACAAGGACCGGTCTCCCCTGTGAAGCCTCTTACAAGATGGGAAAGAAAAGCTGGTCTCTGGCTGAGATTCAAAGGCCTTGGGCTTATATCTAGGCATAGTTCTGAGGTTAGTGAGGAACTGAGATTGCTTCCCAGATTTTTCTCCCTTTCTGACCTCCTTCTTGGTAATCTGTCTCTCCAAAGAACCAAAGGGGTTTTGGTGGTGGTTAGCTACATTAAAGAAAATTACATACAAAAAACCCTTTCAAAACCAATGGAACTTGTTTATAGTTTTTAACCCTCTCTTTTGGGGGCTTTATTATATAGGTCTTATTATTAAATTGAAATTAAATAAAATAGTGATTTAGTTTGTTTATTATATGGTTTATTGTAATTTCCTTTAGCTAAAGCTGACAACAGAAAATAATATCAATGAAATGGAAAAATTCTTTTAATTCCAGGAATTTAAGACAAAATCCTCTATCTTTAATTTAGTTTTTCTTATTTTATCTACAACAATGGCTCTTAAATTTTGGGGCTTGCATTCCCCTTTGAGAATCTTATGACTGCTATGGCCATATCCTCAAGAAAGTTATGCTTCTCAGATGAGGTAGCATTTAATTTTTCTACTATGTTTCTCAGCAGTGTTCAGTCTTTGACTCTCATATTTTGGGGGAAGGGGTGGTGGAATTTATATGTCCATGATATTTACTTATCCGGTGACATAAATCAAGTCTTGTTTTAGATCATCTTTAATTTTCTTGCATTAAGTAGTGGTTTTTTGGAAACATTTGGGAGTTTGAGCCCAGAAAGATATGAGAGAGCCGGGCACAGTGGCTCACACCTGGACTCCCAGCATTTTGGGAAGTTGAGGCGGGCGGATTGCCTGAGCTCAGGAGTTCGAGACCAGCCTGACCACCACAGTGAAACCCGTCTCTACTAAAAATGCAAAATATTAGCTGGATGTGGTAACACATGCCTATAGTCCCAGCTACTCAGGAGGCTGAGACATGAGAATCACTTGAACCTGGGAAGCGGAAGTTGCAGTGAGCCAAGATCACATCACGGCACTCTAGCCTGGGCGACAGAGTGAGATTCTGTCTCAAAAAATACAAAACAAAACAAAACAAAACAAAAAAAACAAAAAAAAAAAACAAAGAGAGAGAGATAGAGAGATATCAGAGGATACATTCTGCCACCTGTGTTCATTCATGACTGATTATCAAAAGAAATTTCTGGTTCTTGACAAAACATTTTCTGTTCATAGAGAAATTGTTCAGTTCAACTGGGCATGGGTTTGCTTTCTGTCACTTGCTGGAAATTCTTTACTGGAACAAAAAGTCTAGTGCTTGTGCATAAGGGAAGACATAGACATGTGGTCCTTCCTCACACCTGCTTCCTCACTCCTGCTTCCTTTTTGCTCCTCATTTTTCTTTTCCATCTTAACTTTTCCCCATCACTTGAGCCTTCAGTAAGTGTGAGATAATTTCACTTTTCTTCTCATGTGATTATTTCACTTACAGGAAATCATATTCCTGGCCCGAAATTGTTTCTTCTTTCACAGCAGATGCTCTCCAGGGCTCTTCATCATTTTGTCCTGAGCAATACATTTTCAAAATGTAAAGTGCTTCCCGGCTGATAGCTCTGGAGCCACTAGGGGGTTTAGGAATGTGGTGCAGTAACGACATTTGTCTTAATACCCTTTAAAAACTGTAAGTAAAGTATAATTATTGCTTAGAAACTTTTTCCTTAAAAAGGAATTGATTTTACAGCCACAGGGTGTATAGCAACTACCCATGACTGGCAGTTAGTGGGGATCAAGTAAGAGTCCGCATTTCTGAGTTGGTTTAATAACGCAACAGAACACCAACAGCTGATAGCTCCTGGTTTTGACCATTAAATTGCTTTAAATTGGTTTTATTCTAACTATCTGTTGTTAATTTTGTATTCATAACCATTGGTTAAATATAGGAGGTGAACAAGGAGCAGAATATAAATGACGATAATGCCAGCTTTTATAAAGCACGTTAAGGTGTTTCTAGCATTTAAGAAAATAATAATAAAAAGAAAATACAATGATAATTGAATCCAATGTAGCTTTTATTTACTGAGATTAAAACTGTCTGACTATGACTAAACAAGATGATTTGTGGAGGGGTGCAAAATTTATATCAGGTCAAAAAAGGCAGATTTTTAAAAAATGCTGTAACATATTTTAATTTGTCTACATTTTAATATAGACTTGACTCTAATGCCAAATAAGGTCTAGTCATTAAAAAAATTTTTGGCTGGGTGCCTGTAGTGCCATCTACTAAGGAGGATGAGGCAGGAGGATCACTGGAGTCCAGGAGTTTGATACCATACTGGACAATATGGTGAGACCCCGTCTCAAAATAATAATAATAATTTTTTGTGCTTAAATCATATATTTGCCATATAAATTAAAATTACCTGAAAATATGTAAGACAGGTTGATTGGGAAGAACAAACTTTGTCTTTATATTCCACAAATACTATCTAAGCTCTATTAATGTATTTCTAATTTTAAATATTTTATTTTAAATAACTATCACTAAAAAATGTCAAAATTATTCTAAAATTCCTTAGGGTATTTGAGAGGCTAAATAGTTCTGTGAAGGAATTCCTGAAAGAAAAAAAAAGGACTGGAAACATAGGGACATGGATTGTAGTCAGGTGATTGAATGATAATGTGCTAGCAATGACTTTGGGAATATCGAGGTCCTCAGGGGTCTCTAGCATGGTACTTTGCTTTGACCAGGTGCTTGGTAAATGTTTGTTCATTAAAAGAATTTATGTATATAATATATGGTACTTTAATCACACGGTGCTGTTTTCATTTAAAAACATGGAAGTCATGGTCTACTATATGGAAACTTAAGTAGGTGATTTGTAGCCACCATGGGAGCCCTTGGCTGGGAGATTCACTGTAGCAAATATCCTTTCACAGATCCAAGACCTGGTAGTACTGAATGAAGTGATGGTTTTACCCACATGATGACTTCTGTCAATCAAAATGAAAAATATACCCACTTTCTTATTCCTACCGACTTCTTAAATAATTTGCCAATCTGTTGCAAATATGGTACACTGCCAATTTTCAAAGTTAGCTATGTGAGCAGTCCTTCCTCCAATTATAGGACCAGTTACATAATGAAGGTTTGATGTAGAAGTAAGGATTTCAAGAACAGTCTGATGCTTGGCATAGAAGTAAGGATTTCAAGCTGCAGTCTGTTAATAGTTTTGAAGTATTGTTATTATTTTTGTCTCTTATTCGGGAAGGCCTAATTATCAGTGATGTTAACAATACTTTCCTCTCCAAAGCCATTTTTTTCTTTTTTTTTGACTTGTCTTATTTTCAAGCTTCTAAAATTCAGATTATACCTATTTTGTGCAGCCTGGGCTCTTGCCTAACATGCAAAGGATATTTAGACGGTAGAATTCATAGAATTTAGTAACTGATTGGATATGGGAAGGAACAGGAAGACGTGAAGAAAAGGAAAAGGAAAGAAAACGCCTCTCGCGGCCGGGCGCGGTGGCTCACGCCTGTAATCCCAGCACTTTGGGAGGCCGAGGCGGGCGGATCACGAGGTCAGGAGATCGAGACCATCCCGGCTAAAACGGTGAAACCCTGTCTCTACTAAAAATACAAAAAATTAGCCGGGCGTGGTGGCGGGCGCCTGTAGTCCCAGCTACTTGGGAGGCTGAGGCAGGAGAATGGCGTGAACCCGGGAGGCGGAGCTTGCAGTGAGCCGAGATCCCGCCACTGCACTCCAGCCTGGGCGACAGAGTGAGACTCTGTCTCAAAAAAAAAAAAAAAAAAAAAGAAAACGCCTCTCGGATAAGAGACATGCCTTGGGCAGCAGGGTAGACAGTAGTTATATTAAAAGTTAAATAATATAATAAGCATAACAACTAACAGCTATTCAGCTATTTGCCGTTGTGCTAGGAACTGTGTTAAGCACTTCATATGCATGATAAAATTTAATCCTCACACCAACTCTAGAAGGTAAGTACTATTTTTTTCTCTTTTACAGATGAGGAAACTGAGATTTAGAAGGGTTATATAATATGTGTGATATCACACAGCTATAAAAAAAAAACCTCAAGAGCCAGAACTCTTAGACATTAGTTGTCTTCCGGTCAGAAAAATAAAGCAGATTTGGAGTTGTATATGGTCAACAGTATCATAGCTGCTAAGTAATGAAATAAAATAAGGACTGTCTGACAACAGTATCACGTGCTGCTAAGTAATTAAATAAAATAATTCATTTAATAAAATACTATAAGGTATTGGCAAGTAGAAAAGATGATGAGAGGACATTCTAGGCAAAATAAACAACATAGAACATTGCCCTGGGCTAGGAAAGCAAGACAATTTGTCCAGAATGATGACAGCTGTATTGGATTTGGGGAGGGGTTGTGCTCAGGGCATAGGAACTAGGAACACAGATAAATGTGAAAAAGTAGTTAGAAAATGATGCCAGTAGTGGGGGAAATGGATAGCTATCGTTGGGAGTGGGAGGGAGGACCCAGATGAACAAGACACACAGCAGCCTTCTTACTGTCAACTTCAAGTGCTTTATCATATGACACATATCACGCTAGGAATGGTGGCTATTTTCTTTATCTACCTTGACTCATATATCACATATATTTATACCTCTGGGGTGTCATGACTGAAATAAATTTTCTGGACTAACTTTATAAATGTATAGAGAAGCAGACAGAAGAAAGAAGCAACTTCTCTGAAGTTTGGGTTATTTTCCATTTTGATGGCCAAATGTAGATTAAAAGTTGAAAGTCATTCATCACATAACAAGCCCTTACGTGCCAAGTATTGAGGATATGAAGATGGGTGAGTTATGGTCCCTGCCCTGAGACACTCAGAGTACAGCCCAGAAGATGAGCATTTTTTAAAATTTATTATTTTTTAAATTTTTTTATTTTACTTTAAGTTCTGGGATACATGTGCAGAACGTGCAGGTTTGTTGCATAGTATACATGTGCCATCATGGTTTGCTGCACCTATCAACCTGTCATCTAGGTTTTAAGCCCTGCATGACTAAAACACCAAAAGCAATTGCAACAAAAGCCAGAATTGACAAATGGGATCTAATGAAACTAAAGAGCTTCTGCACAGCAAAAGAAACTAGCATCAGAGTGAACCCGCAACCAACAGAATGGGAGAAAATTTTTACAATCTACCCATCTGACAAAGGTCTAATATCCAGAATCTACAAGGAACTTAAACAAATTTACAGGAAAAGAACAACCCCATCAAAAAGCGGGTGAAGGACATGAACAGACACTTCTCAAAAGAAGATGTTTATGCAGCCAGCATTTTAACCAGTGGTTTATAATGCCATGGGCTATGTGCCCAAGGAGATTGTACTGAGCCATGTGACAACAGTGCAGGAGAGGGACTGGCTGTTGCATGGGGTGGAGTGGGGTAGGGTGGGGGCTGGGACACAAGACCAAGCTCATGATCATGAGATCCTCATTGTGCTCCCCTGCTGTTTCTCTGAGCTTTCACTGACCTCACGAGAGCATTCGCCCCCGTATCCAGTGAGTCATTCAGTGGCTCCTCCGATCTGCCCAGAAATGTTTTGGGAATCCAGTTACCCTTCTCCACGCATGCGTTCAAGCTCTCACGGTGGGCCTGGACCCTTGCAGAAGTTCCCTAGCTGATCTCTTTGCTTCCTGTCTCTTTCCTCTCCTACCTACGTTCTGTGCTACCTCCAGAGAGCTCTTTCTAAGAACAGAGCTTTTGTCCCAGCGTGGCGTGTAAAATCCTTGGAGATATTGGCCTCTTCTCCCTTTCCAGCCTCACTTCTTGCCATTTTCCCCTGTACACCCTAAGTCCCAGTTCTCCAAACAGCTTGTTGCTTCTAATACTAAGTGTCTGTGCCATCCCATTCTGTCTGCCTGGATGCCCTCCAGCTGATCTTTTCAATGACTCCTCTAAGAAGAAGGGCTCCTCGGGGGTATTTTGAAAATATGCCTGTGAATAGAGGATGTGCGTCCTTATCGGACTGTAGGCCTTACATTTGCTGCTCTGAGAATTTTCATCCAGAAAGATCTGAATGTCCAGACCCAAAGAAAACTATTTTTCTTTTTGTCTTTATACTTTGCCAGAACAATAAATGTCAAATAACTTTCCTTTCCACATCGATAAGCCTACAACTGTTATGTCACCCCACTCTAAAGTAAGGCTTGCTTTATAATGTATTGGAGGGCATGTCGTAGTTTATGAAGGCAAAGTGCATTAAATTTTTTAAATAGTGCTAGGTTATTAACCTAATGCTTATTCCCACAATGCATGTGGCACACTTGGGGACCATAGGAATTGCAAACGCACATCTGGATTACTAAGATTTGTTAATCCTCTCCAATTGATGTGAAATAATGATTAGTCACCAGGAGAGTAAAAAGCTTTGGTTCCCTCATGCTGCCAAATGGAGATCAAAGTGCCATCAACACTTCGCATTAGCTATTGTTGGAGCCACTCTTGTACCAAAGGAAACAAGATTTTGTCTTGTTTTGTATTTGAAATATTGGAGGAAAAAAATCAAATTAGAGCTAGATGTTATTGGTGTGAGGCAAGATTCAGTGACTCAGAAACATAAAAGGAAGTTGGAGAAAGTAAATGACCAGAACTGCCTGTTGTATATTTCTTGGTGCAAAGAAAAAAGAAGATGCTTTTGCCAGAGAATGGAGGTGGAAAGAAGAGAGTGATGGGAAACTTTAAATAAATGGGAACACTTTGCAATGGACAACCCGGAGTTCCTGTTCGAGGGTGGTCCTGCAGAGAAGTGTCATGAGAGAGTGGAATAGTTGAGTGCTGCACAGGAAAGAAACATGGGCTGAACTTGGAACCAAGGTTATGTTTCCAAAAATAGAGTTATATTAACTGCACAAAGCACATAGATTGAGGAAAGCCTGTGCTTCTGTTCAGGCCTAGCAGGCCAGCAGGTCTCTAGGCCATCTGGCCTGTTTCTCCTGGGTTGCCCAACAGTTTGTAATGTGAGGTTTTCTCATCAAGTAGAGGAGAGCTTACATATTTATTCGCAGATATGTGACATTGTACAGAGGAAGAATGATTCGAAATGGGGCAGAAATCAGGCCCATTGAAGACGCTAGAAAAAAAATTAAAACCGCTTCCGAAGCATTTTAATGAGTCTGGCAAAAGCCATTTTGAACTAATTTCAGACTTTTCACCTCCAACTTGAATATAGAAATTGCACCAATGATGATAAGTAGATTGAGAGAATTTTTTTAAAAAAAAGATAGAATAAAATTTTGTTTCTTTTATTGGTTATTGGTATTTCATCTGTTTTTTAAAAAAGTATTCAGAAAAGTTTAGAATCCAGAGGACCATTGAAACAGAGATTAGTGGTGGGAAGGAGTGAAATGTCTGAAGAAATGGTTGTGCTACAAAGGTAGGCTAAGAATAGTGAGTGTTCTTGGGTTATTATGAGCTAAGACATAAATGGAAATGTGGTTGTCATGGGGACTATTTGCAGTAGAATAAAGTATTTTGGTTTGTCAAGAGAGATAGATCTTTTTCTACCACTAATGTTAAGGTTCCACCCTCCCTGGAATCTCAAGGTACATCGGGAACCCCGGCACGTCTCGCAGACCCACTGGCTGGCACTGCCACTCCACTGGTGTTCTGGGGCACGAGGCTGCCTGCTGTCCTGTAGGGCACATTTGCCATCTTACAACCTGCTTTCCCAGGATGTAGTTCTCTACCCTATGCCACTTCTTTCTCAATACAGAAAAGAGCCTGTCCTTTCATTTCCCACAGCATAGCTGAGGCCAAATCCTAACATTTAAGCTTTCCAGAAGGCTTTTACATAAAGGAAGAATGAGAGAACAGCCTTAAGACTGGACCCTACATGAGGCTGCTCCTGAAGTACAGAAGCCAGCTTCTTCTCTGGCACTGAAAGCGGGCAGCTCACCTGCTCACAATGGGAGTGCCCTTCTCATCCCTCACTGGACTCAGCCCTCAGTGCCTCCTCTTCAGCTGCAGAGGGAGTTTTCCTCAAAGGATATGGTCTGCAGCACCAGCCACACCTCATCTGAAACACACTTTAATTATTATGTGGACAGCTCACTCCTCCTAGTCATCAACCTGCTATTCCAGAATCCAGCAGTCACTTAACCTTTGCATAACCACTAGGATGTAAAGTATTTTCCCACTATACAGGAGAGATCGGTTTCCACAGGTGGATTTTAGTCTTCAATGATGAAGAAACAGGAAAACCACATGTAACTTGGCCATTTTCCCACATCATGGTTTTAAAAAACATTGTTGTTTAGACCCAGCCAGAGCATCCTATGCTCATGGGCACTCTAGTGCTACCCAAGACTTCCTTAACATTTTTGGTAAAAACAAAGCCACAGGTTTTGTGCCTCTTGCCCTCTTCGTCTCTGACCACCTTCCCTGCCTTCCCCTTGTTTCCCAGGGGTCTTAGTCTTATCCTTGGCTTGGGAGAATAGTGTATCCACAGCAGGATAGGTGTTTCTAGTATTGGGAATCCAACTGACCTTTGCCCACTCCCAATCAAACCTGTCCCTTGTTAGAAGAGAGTGGAGAGGAGGGAGAAGCCTCCAGGAGTCTTCTTGGTGGGAAAAAGGTATGGATATCCTCAGAGCATTTCCTGCATGCCAGCAATCCACATGGCCTGTTTTCCAATCACATCTTTGCACGTCCAAACTGCCACTAGGCTGCAAATTTCTCACAGTCACAGGATGGGTCATTTCATGTTTCTGTGCTCCACAATGCTTGACTCTAAGAGATACTCAGAAATTGATTACCAAACGAATACCTAACACTATCTCCTAACTCTTTGTTAATTACAACATAAGCGAAAAGATCACAGACTCCTTTGCAAGGGTTTATTTTTCCTTTTAGCAATACCTGTGCTTGAAGATAAATGCCCTGTTTTGTTGTGTACTTTGCAGTCCACCTGTGTAGACATGTAAACAGTCTCTATCATGTAGAGTGTTTAAACAGCTGTCCGGGCACTTCTCAAAAGAAGACATTCATGCAGCCAGCAAACATGAAAAAAAGCTCATCATCACTGGTCATTAGAGAAATGCAGATCAAAACCACAATGAGATACCATCCCATGCCAGTTGGAATGGCGATCGATCATTAAAAAGTCAGGAAACAACAGATGCTGGAGAGGATGTGGAGAAATAGCTTTTACACTGTTAATGGGAGTGTAAATTACTTCAACCATTGTGGAAGACAGTGTGGCGATTCCTCAAGGGTCTAGAACCAGAAATACCATTTGACTCAGCAATCCCATTACTGGGTGTATACCCAAAGGATTATAAATCATTCTACTATAAAGATGCATGCACACGTATGTTTATTGCAGCACTATTCGCAATAGCAAAGACTTGGAACCAACCCAAATTCCCATCAATGATAGACTAGATAAAGAAAATGTGGCACATATACACCATGGAATACTGTGCAGCCATAAAAAAGAGTGAGTTCATGTCCTTTGCAGGGACCTAGATGAAGCTGGAAACCATCATTCTCAGCAAACTAACACAAGAGCAGAAAACCAAACACCGCATGTTCTCACTCATAAGTGGGAGTTGAACAATGAGAATACATGGACACAGGGAGGGGAACATCACACACCAGGGCCTTTTAGGGGCAGGGGCGAGGGGAGGGAGAGCATTAGGACAAATACCTAATGCATGTGGGGCTTAAAACCTAGATGACGGGTTGATGGGTGCAGCAAACCACCATGGCACATGTATACCTATGTAACAAACTGGCACGTTCTGCGCATGTATCCCAGAACTTAAAATATTAAAAAAAAAAAAAAAAAGCTGTTGAGGAAACATTTTATTTCCAGCTGTAGTGCCAGCCAGTAATGTTGTCTGAGGCTGACTTCTCTTGGGACTGATTCTCTCTCCTGTGTGCTTTGTCCTGACACCTGAGTTCAGCTGAGGTGTTCTGGAGCCCAGGGGACCCCTGGTGGTACAGAGCAGACTCCAGAGGGCTGGTGTAGGTTGTGTTTTAAGTCACAGAAACAGCTCCTGACATTGACTTGGTTTGTCGAAGGAGCTAATTAAATAATGCTAATAGCTGGCAAACAGTGATGTCAGATGGGTAAACAGTGACCCTGGCTGCTGAGTTGGATGGGGGAAGGAAGAAAATGAGAGAGAGGGTCTAAATGTAGCCAAGGAAGGATGAACCTTTTATATCTCATGCAGATTAATAATAATTTTTATTAAAAGTGTCTAACCCTGTGGTGAGTGCCACAAGATTTGGTTTGTGGAGAGACTTTTCTTTAAAGATTTCTTCACAGAAGTAATCTATTTTATTATTGGGTAACTAATTGAAAATAAGCAATATGCAATGAAATATTTGTCTGGGGGTTCCTGACTGTTTATTCAAAGTTGCCAGAATGCCAAGAAAGGGGAATCCAAGGATAGGTGAAGGGAGAGCTTCAGGAGTCAGGGGGTCTCTTGGTCTGCCCATGTGTCTCTCTTTTTGCCCTTTTCAAATCCTCTCCAGCCTTCCCTCCCAGGGAGCTCGCTATGCTTAATGGCAGACTGGTATTCTCTCGGTCTACCCCAACTATAATTTTGCTTGATAACATTCAGGGTGTTGGTAGCTATTTCCTCAGTCACAAAGAATAGTGTGTGGTAATTTAGAAGCTTGATTTCTGATAGAAAAAATTAGGGAAAATTACTGCAAACATGAGCAGTCATGGGAACCTCATGGTTGAAGCTTTAAAGCTAGTTATTGATGGTCATTTTTGTCTTTGGGGACAGTGGCACAGAGCTGGCTTCCAAACTGTATTCAGGTTAGTAATTTTTATCTCTACTAAAGCAATTTGCAGAATATGTGCAGTATAGCTTTTTTCATAATTCTAAAAAAACCCAACCTTTGGATTATATACATTTAGACAAAGGTCTGGAAAAAAAACACAATAAACTGATAGGAGATGTTACCTCTGAGAAAGAAAGTGGGATTGGAATCTACAAAGGGTCCATTTGCTTTATATTATTTGAATTGTTTACAGCATAAATGTATTTTAAATATAAACATTAAAGTTAAAAGAATCCAGAGACAACTTTCAGAGCATATAGGCATTTGTTTCAAACTTCTCTGGGGAGAAAAAATTAGTGTATTTGATTTACATAATTTGGAGATAAAAATAATTATTTTAATAATATACTAACTTTGAGTTTCCTTGGGCATATTTATAGTACCTAAATTTTCTAAAGTGGATACTTAAAACATCTGTTATTAGTAATCTATCTTTGGCCACATGGTGGTAATGAGAAATTTGTTTTCCTTGAGAGACAATGTATACATATTTATGGAGTACTTTTGTTTTCAAAGTCTCATCTTGATTTATATAACCACATGATATTTTTTGAAAATGGTATAACAATTTTATTTCTGATGGGAAAGTACTTATATAAGTCTATCCTAGGAAGTTAAAAAGCTAAAATGGGTGCCATATAACCAGTAGCGAAGGCCATTTGCATTGGTTTGTTGTTCTTTCATCAGTTTTTACAAACTTGCTTGGTTTTGTCTGTTTCTCTTAATGTGACATACGGATCCCTTGTTGGTAGTCTTTCTAATAGAGATTTAGTGGGAGTATAGATAATGGCAGAATGATTGTAGCTTTCACAAGTGTAATTAACTTCTTGTAAAGTACAGTTCTTCAGGACAAATCTTGAAATAGAATGACTATTTCCAGATCTGGGCTTTTGTCCCCCTCCTTTATAATTCAGTTCTTTTCACTTCTGTGCTGTCAGTTTAGTGATTCTTCAACAAGACTTCCCAAACTTCAAATTTGTTTATATCTTTTCTGTTTAGCTATTTCTTTTTATCAGATTATACATAAGTGTTTTTTAAATAGCTGCAAGGTTTGACCCTTGTGTGCCCGGTGATTGTACGTCAGTCATTTGAAAAATCAGACGCTCAGCTGTCGTCCCTGTGGTCCAGTTTCTAAAACCAAGAATCATGAACTGTCTGGGGATAAGGGAAATGGAAGACAAACCGAGCTACTGTCTGTCTGCTGATTCTTGCATCTAGTGTTTTTCCTTACCTTTTCATTCTGCCAGGGCGGGGAAAAATCATTCAAGGATGTTTACTGACATTTCTGCATGTTTTTGAATGCCTCAGGAATTATTTGACTTTTCCTTTGTGATAATCTAATCCTAAGTGTCTGTTTGCTCCAATGTATTTTTAATAGCCAAGGGACAAATACATTTAGTTTTCTTCCTTTTGATAAAAAGTTGTTTGAGAAAGGAAAGTATCAATTTGACCGATTTCTATTATTTTTCTAGCACATTCTAATTATGTTATAAAAATAGCAACAGCAAAGTAACTTAGAGAAATCCAGGAGGAAATGAACCTGTTGACTTGGAGGATATATATTCATATATCACTAATCCTGTGTTTAATAGAATGTTTCTTAAAGAAAAAGTTTTCTCTTCCTAGCTTAGAATGGAAGACCAATGGTAGGGGTAGCAAGCCCCTACTAAGCACCTACACCACAGTGGATGTCACAAAGTGGGTCTTCCATAAATATTTGTTGAAATTTTTAAAAAATGAATGGGAAAACTCAAGGAAAAAGATTGTTCCTGGAGGAATTCCTTGGATGATTTATTTGTTATTTGGCGATATGGATCAGCTGGAATGTGAATAATACAATTGCTTGTTTCTTAGAATCTATTCCACTTTCAATCTTTTTGAGTCACATTTGTAAGATTTACAGTACCTATGTTTTGATGATTGTATGGGCACCAATAAACAGTAGAGGACTTGTTTTCTTATAGCCATTTAAATTTTAATTATCATTGTGTAGTGAATGCCATCCCATTTGTTCGACAGGCTGATCTACCAAAGTGGGAACTGGAGTTGAACTGAGGAGGGACCTAACAGAGTAATCGAGATGAAAGAGAAGTTTCAGAGACGTGAACACGTAATACAGTTAAAAACAAACTAGACATTTTTAGTGTATTTTAGAGAACTTCCTATGAGGTCACTAGAACATAAAGGCTGTGATCAGAGGCAAAGGCCAGAGTTTGCTACAGGCCACCATCTTGATCTGTCAAGATAACCTGGTCTTTTTCTACTTTAATATGGTGCTTTCTTATAGCCCAATAAAGAATAGATTGTTTATACTCTTTGACCCTCCATTCCCTAAGGACTTTTTAAATAGCAGTTTGGAATCGGTGGGTACATTGCTTAATACTGAACAGGTGTTTGGCAAATTCAAATGAGATTTCAGATTCTTATGCACAGAAGATATTTAAAGAAGCAACTTTTGTGGACAGAGCCCATTCCCTGTAACCATAACTTTGACTCACCAGGAGCTGGGTTTCTGAGGCAACTATTGCCTTTTTCTAACTGCAGCCATCTCTTTGTATATCCCCTTCTCTCCACCGGGAGCAAGGAAGACAAATGAGGAATGAAGATAAAGTTCTAGGTAGATAGCTGGGGCTCATTCAGCTCAGGTTTTTGTCTAATCCAGTGGGTGGATTTGAGTCTTTTTCATATGAAAGTATTTTAGCAACTTCTAGTGCTTTCTACAACTTCCATTTTCATAAGTTTTACAAACTGTGCTCTCTGAGGGTGGTCTAAGTGAGGACTGTATCTTTTCAGCTGATGTTGGAGGAGAGGAGTTGGTGACACCTTCAGGCCTTCATGATGCCGTCAGTCTGGGGGAAATGACTCATCCATCCAACTCTTTGTTGAGAATTTAAATGACAAATGACATATCAAGTACAGTTCACCCTTGAACAACATGGGATTAGAGGAATCAACCTCCCACACAGTTAAAAATATATGTATAACTTTAGACACTTCCAAAACTTAATTACTAATAGCCTACTGTTGACCAGAAGCCTTACCGATAACATAAGCAGTCAATTAACATAACACATATTTCATGTTATATACTGTATTCTTATAATAAAGTAAGCTAGGGAAAAGAAAATATTATTAAGATAAAATATAACTCCTATTCGTTAAGTGGAAGTGGATCACCATAAAGGTCTTTATCCTCACTGCCTTCACCTTGAGTAGGCTGAGGAGGAGGAGGAAGAGGAGGTGTTGGTCTTGCTGTCTCACAGATGGCAGAGTCAGAAGAGGTGGAGGAGGTGAAAGGGGAGGCAGGAGAGGCAGGCACACTCATAATTTCTATTGAAAAAAATCTGCGTATAAGTTGACTTGCACAGTTCAAACCTGTGTTTTTCAAGGGTCAGCCATAATTGCTAAAATAGCAAGGCTGGAGATAAGGTTATCTGGAGGGGGTGGATTGCTGGCCTCTCCACCCTCATTAGATAGTGCATATCCAATGCCTTGGTTTGCAGGATGCTAAAGTTCTCTTCAAAGCATTGTGGTCTTATAGCGTTGTTGTTACTTACTCCCCTTGACTATAGCAATTGAAATGTTAAAGGAAAACAAAACTTTCTCTAAAGAATGGCTGTGTAAATCGGTCGCTCTGTTTTATCTCCACAATTTTTCTACTTAAGTTGAATAAATGTTATTTTTCCCAGAAGAAGTTAGAGAGCATATTCAAGCAATGGTTTGATGCAATCCTTTATAAGTTGTGAGACCTTCATGCGCATGTGTGCTGGGGTTGAGTGCAGGAGGTAGAGATGACAGTTTCCAGTCCTTTCTACGTGACACAGGTTAGAATTCCCGAACAATGAAACTTTCCAAGAATGCCATTTCTTGGAAATAACTGCTTTTTAAGGCCACCTTAGGCATGACTTTTAAAATGGAACAATGAAAATTTGCATTTCAAAGCCATCTAATTGGCCCTCTATTCTTTTGAACTATGAGTGGTCTTTTTAAGTAGATTTCAGCATACTTAATTTTTTTTATATATGTGACTTTGAATTTTTTTTTCTGCTTCATTAGATTTTTTATAACTTGGCCAAAAAGTTACTTAGTGATGCACTAAGTGATGAGATTCTGTCTTCAAACTTCACATTGTTTTTGTCAGCCTTCATGATATTAGACAGTATTTAATGAGATGTTAGGAAAGGAATAATTTTGAGGGAAATATACTTGAGTCAAATTGAATTCTTAGCTTCATTATGTTAATAATTATTTAATTCTAATTTTTTTCTTTTAAAAGTTGCTTTCATTTTAACCATTTAATTAATGTTATGCTGAATTTTTATATGCATTGAAATGCTTATTTTGTGATATGAATAATGCAAAACTTCTACCAAACACCGAAGTCTGTAATTATTGAAAGCGGAGTTTCTGAACCTGCACTATTGACATTTTAGGACAGATAAGTCTGTACTGTTGGGGCCTGTCCTGTGCAAGGCAGAATGTTTAGCAGCATCTAGCACCACCCACTAGATGACAGAATGCCCTACTCCCTTCCCCCAGTTGTGACAATTAAAATGTTTCTTAGGCATTGCCAAATGTCCTCTGGGAGGCAAAATTACCCCTCAACCCCTGGTTGAGAACCACTGATGTAAAGTCTAAACTCTTTCTTCCCAATAACAGAAAGGGATTCCTCATCACAGAGAGTGAAAGCAGAAGCCGTGTGTGTTGCAAAAATAACTGTGGAAATCTGACTGGAAACATTATATTGTAGATCATTGTCCTAGGTTAAGTAAAACTCAAAATCAAAGGCAGGCTACATATTGAAATAATGCAAGAATCAATAAATTATTTTTACATAGAATATTTCGGGACCAAGATGGAAGTAGACTGAAGTACAATATGGAGCACTACCTGGAGCAAGGTAGTAATTCAATTTCAGCCCACTGAAGGAAACTGACAGATCAGATTCAAAATGCTGTTGACCTTGACGAATATTTCCCTTGAATATGTGTAATATCCTTGACCTATGTAAGATAACCCGACATGGACCAGAAGCTTTATTGAGTCCCTAATTCCTATATTTTGATGTTTTGATTTCACAGGTATTTCCAGCTTGCTTTTCTCTCTCCTTTGATCCTGCATGATATCGTGTTCTCTTGGTTTTCTTGCTGCCTCTTTGTCTCACCTTTCGGCTTTCCTTTCTTATGCCCTCCACCCGAACACTGGTTATCCGCACAAGCTAGGCCTTGCTCTCCTTTCTCACCTTCCTTCTTCATTAACTCTCAGTTACCTCAAATACCAGCTCAGTGCTATTCCCAATCTCCAAAAGCTGTAGAAACAGACATTTTTTTTTCCATAACTCCTTTGTTGGCAAAACCTGACCCAAATAATATGAAGCTTTTATAGTCATCATTGATCCCACCTAATGTGAACATGTGTGTATGTCACTGCAGAATTGTTAATATGCTGATCAAAGGCCACTGCCCAGATGTCATTGGTAAGGATAAGTAATGTGTGATGTATGTGCTGCACCATTTTTCTAAAGTCTGAAAAATTCAGAATCTAACATATTTGGCTCCCCAAGCATTGGGTAAGGTACAGCTACTACTTCTATGTGCAGCATCACAAGTCAATAGCTCTTAATGATCCCTTCATTGCTTGCCTTTTGGATATCTTCCGCTATTGATGGAGCATTCTTTCAATGCTTGAAACAATTTTTTTTTAAATTGTAGCAATTCGTTTTCCTTGCTCTAAGAAACAGAATATTCCTGATAATGCTGTTGGTACTAAGTACTCTAGTCTTCAGAACTTGAGGTTATCTTTTTCTTTTTAAGATGGAGTCTCGCTTTTGTCCCCCAGGCTGGAGTGCAATGGCGCGAACTTGGCTCACTGCACCCTCCGTCTCCCGGGTTTAAGCAATTCTCCTGCCTCAGCCTCCCAAGTAGCTGGGATTACATGTGCCCGCCACCATGCCCGGCTAATTTTTTTGTATTTTAAATAGAGACAGGGTTTCACCATGTTGGCCAGGCTGGTCTCAAACTCCTGACCTGAGGCGATCCTCCCGCCTCAGCCTCCCAAAGTTTTGGGATTATAGGCATGAGCTACCGTGTCCAGCAGAGGTTTTCTTAATGTTCCTTTTCTCTACTTGCCCAGCTCATTAAATTCTCAAGGCTTCTATATCCTCATGCACAAGTTTCTTTTCATCTTTGTTATCCCTTGCAGTAACTTTAGTTTTGAGCTGCTGGATCAGCCTCCATTTGCACATGGCCAGCATATCTGTTGTTTTCCTCTTTCTATGATCTACTGTGACCTTGCAGAGTAACATTCTAGGCATTTCCACAACCGCCCTGACATGGTCTCATCTCTAGCCATGTAGCCACAGGGGCTTTTCTGCACCATTGAGACACACAGCTTCTTTAATGTAAAGTGTTTTGATGCCATGTCCTGCTCATTGGTTGATTTTCTCTCCCTGACTGCAGAGCTCCTTTTCTGAGTATCTGTCCACCATCCCCCTCGGTTTTCTCTTCTCCATACAACCTTCCCTCGGTGCAGCGAGTCACATTTTAGAGGGGGAGTTGCCTTCCAAAGCCTAGTAAAAATGCAAAATTCACAAAAATCAGACCTATTTTTTTTGTAGGAAATGATTCACATTACGTAAAATTGGAAGTGTAAAGTGACAACCTTTTAATGTTTTATGTCACTATTTCAAATTCACATAAAATAAGACCATTTGAAAGTCTGTCTACCAAGAGCTAATCTGACTTTGTCTTTTCATCTGCACTTAGACTGCAACTGGTGGTGTTTCACCATCCACTTGCTCCAGTGCTCAGATACTTCATCTTCATTTGGAGATAGCTCATCCCTCTGGACACCCTGAAAATGTTTCAGTATCTACAATTTGTAAACCACTTTAAATAATAATGCATTACAATATTATGGCTTTCTGGTAGCTGAAATGAAAGAATTGTGGGAGATTTCTACTCAGTTGAAGAACTCTACCCAACTGCTACAGATAACAGATCATCAAGGGCTTGGAGGGGCTTCAGTAGCACACCCCAGACTTTGACTCCATGAGCATTATCTAGAGCCACATTTTAGTCTGTGTGTTGGAAGAAGATGTAAGTGGTATGCTTATTGTCTTAGTCTGTTTGAGGTGCTGTTCTAGAATAGTATAGACTGGGTGGCTTAAACAGCAAACATATGTTTCTCATAGTTCTCAAGGCTGGGAAGTTCAAGATCAAGGTGCTGGCAGATTCAGTTCTTATTCAGGACCCTCTTCTTGGTTTGCTCTGTCCTCACATGGCGTAGAGTGGAAGCTCTGGGGTCTCTTCCTTGTCTTATAGGAGCACTAATCCCATGATGGGGGCTCCACCCTCATGATTTTATCTAAACCTAATCACTCCAAAGGCTCCATCTCCAAATACCGTCGTATTGGGTATTAGATTTTAACATACAAATTTTGGAAAGACACAGATATTCAGTCCAGAGGACTATCTTACTAAATTACTGGTTAGTGAGAAAATCCAATGATTATGACACACCAAAGTTAAGGATCAGAGCTCACAAAGTCATATTAATGTTCATGACATTGCACATTCTCCATGTATGTCCCCGACATCAGCATTGGCCAGGGCAATAGTTTATATTCTGAATTCATGGAAAATAATGCAGGTTTTGATACAGAATAAGCTAGCCATGTGTTATGATTTGTTAAAGCAACCACAGAACAGGGACATGTGTAGAAACGTGTATGGCCCTTGGGAGGTGGTGGTCTTACTGCATTCCCCCAAGTCATCAATCTGTTTGCTCTGTTGACTGCATCTGGCTCTCCTTTCATGTTCCTACCATCACATCTTCTTTGTGCTTTATTATAGAAATTTTCTTTATATATATATTTTCTGCTTGCAAGTCTTTAGTGCTAATAGACTTCTGGCTGCCTGAGAACAAGGACTGTCTATTCATCTTTCCTGTCTCCAGCTCTAGCAGAGTACTTGGTATTTAATACCCTCTTAACAAAAATTGCCAAACTGCCTCTGTGACCCATTTCCAGGGGGATGCTGGCAAACCAGGTGACATCTAGAAGGGGGGCAAGTAGATTTCTGAGAACTTTTTGAATCCAAATGACATAAGGTAACATAATGAGTAGTTGATGGAGCTGTGATTGTTTAGGCTGGAAAATAATTATGTTTGCAAAATATGTTGTAATTTTTGGCATACAGAGCATGGGATACAGAAAGGAGATAAAATAGTGGTTAAGACTTTATAGCAGTGTCACCTTGGGCAAGTCTTGGTGTATCCATTTGTAAAATTGGGACAGAACAGAGTGATTACCCCACTGGGTAGTTGAGAAGCATTAGTGCTTGGGGAGGTATTGATAGTAAGTGCTCAGTAAGTGGCACAGCTTTCTCTATTCTTCTACCTATATTTTCTCCTCCTCCTCTCTTTCTCCTCTCCCTCCTCCTCTCCAGCTTTCCACTGGGGGCATTATCATATCTATTATATAGACAAGGAAGGTAAGGTCAGAAAGGTTACATGATACATTTGATATTTCTTTAAAATATGTGAAAGAAGAAACTATAATCTAAGTTTTGGCCCATTATTCTTTTTTGGACAGAATGTCCATCTTCAAACATTTGGGAAAGCGTTATGTAGAAGACAGAGGTGACTCAGTCTACATTGCTTCAGAGGGCAGAGCCAGGGCCCATGGGTAGATATTACCCACATCAGTACTAGGTGGCGGGTGCAATCGGAACTTCTCTTCTTCCCTGGCATCAGGAACGGCACTGTGCAGATCGTAAGGAGTCCACAAATCATTGAATTAATAGAATTTCACTACTGAAACAAGGACTAGGGTCTTACTATATTCTGCCAGGGAAAACAAGTTTTGAAAAGTTCTTCTGCTGTTAAAATATGTAGAGAGAGAGTTCTCAGGAGTGATCAGAAGGACATACAATAGCAGAGATGGAAGGAGAACTCAAGCTCAATCAGAGCTTTTTCAGGAATTCAGCAAATGACTAGTTGCATTAATTCTCAAGTTATTTTTGAGAACTGAGTGGTCAGCAGTTTTCAGGAACAGTTTTTATTCTGTCAGGAAGACTGGGAAAATGAAGATGATATTTAAAAATAAAATCCATGATAATTGTGAAAGTGCCCATAAATTCCTGGTGCAAGGACCACCTAGTCAAGGAGACAGGAGAAATAGGGCATCTTTTACATTATTAACATGCTGAATGGGTAACCTTACCTCATTTGGTATTTCTCCTCATACATTTTTTAACATAATTTTCTCACAGTGAAACACTTTTTGTGCAGTGATTTCTATTCATTCTTTTGACTCTTAAGAAAAATAATCTTGCAGATTTTTTTAAAGCATGATGAGAATAAGAAATGCAAGATATATTGAAGGAAGGATCAAGAAGACAAAATTAGCATTTTTTTTGAGACGGAGCCTGCTTCCGTTGCCCAGGCTGGAGTGCAGTGGTGCAGTCTCAGCTCACTGCATCCTCGGCCTCCCAGGTTCAAGTGATTCTCCAGCCTCAGCCTCCCGAGTAGCTGGGACTACAGGCATGTGCCACTGTGTTCGGCTAATTTTTTTGTGTGTGTGTTTTTAGCAGAGATGGGGTTTCACCATGTTGGCCAGGATGGTCTCAAACTCCTGACCTCAGGTGATCTGCCTGCCTCGGCCTCCCAAAGTGCTGGGTTTACAGGCGTGAGCCACCATGCCCGGTCAACACTAGCATTTCTTAGTGCTACACTGTAGCTAAGCTATCATACATATCATCTCACTTAACTCTTCTTCATTTCATGCACATTTTGCAGACAAGAATTTGAGGCTCATAGGTTAAATAATTCACCCTAGGCTCTCCAGTAAAGAAGTAATGATCTATCTTAAGAGGCAGTCAATAGAGAGAAATTTTTCATAGAAATAGTTCTTTACTTCTCTTTTTTAAATTGTCTGGGAGCCCTAAATTATAAGGCAGTTGGTGGCATCTGACATATGCTCGATTTCCCAAAATACTCAGATGTCGCATACAAGTAATATCTCTGCCTTATTTATTTCATCCTCATTCATATTTTCCCCTAACTCTGTGCTTCTATTACCCCCTGCGTGATAAAAAGTGTGTTATTCAGGAAGCCATAGTAATTATGTATCAGAACTAATGGAAAAGAGCCTGGCAAATATATCTACTTGTTTTATACATGAGCAGAGTCAATAGAATTATCCTTGTGATCTGGAAGGAATTTAAAACCACGCAGATGATTCTGAAAATATTCTTCACCTTCAATAACCCATCTAATTTTTTTGAGACACAAATTTTTGATGCTATCCCTCATTTGAATCCTAAAAATGTATTTGCCATCCTGCTACAGAAAGATGTGGAGGTCAGGGAGTAATGTGGTCTACTTTAAAGATTGGGTTTTTCCCCCCTTAAACATTTAGAAATAAAATATTTGTACCACTTCACTGGCAGAAATTCAGTAGCAATGGTAAGAATAGAGTTACCTTCTGTGTCTAGTGTTGCCTTTACAGTTGCTTTGT
The DNA here is from genome assembly GCF_000001405.40 of Homo sapiens. NCBI lineage: Eukaryota > Metazoa > Chordata > Mammalia > Primates > Hominidae > Homo > Homo sapiens. The sequence continues at coordinate 36,074,923 of NC_000013.11, read as the reverse complement.
TTCATAGTTTTATAAATTGGGCTTTCTGGTTTCCTTGGAAACCCAGTTGTCGACATTGGTTGCTAAGGAGCAGCCTTGGCTGCACAAAGCATAAGGAGCTGCGAGTCTGCTACTGAGTGACTTCATTCTTGGCAGTAACAGGCAGTGGGACTCTTAGGACCCGCTTATGGGGGGCCTCCATCTTGATTTTCAGCCTGAAGGATTACTATGGCTCTTCCTGATCTTTATTCTCCTGGCAGTTACCAAAGCTATAGGTGTCTATAGGAGCTGAGAATTGTGTAGCATTTTAGAGCATCTTTGTCCTCAACTCTATTTTTTCAGTCACTTGCTATCAATGATTTATTCAACAACGGATAATCTGTTTCTGCAATAATAAGATCCCAAATAAACTGTATTGTCTTCTCTGTTTTTTTTTTTTTTTTTTTTTTTTTTTTTTTTTTTTTTTTTTTTTTTTTGAGACGGAGTCTCGCTGTCGCCCAGGCTGGAGCTCACTGCAGGCTCCGCCCCCCAGGGTTCACGCCATTCTCCTGCCTCAGCCTCCTGAGTAGCTGGGACTACCTCGCCCTGCTAATTTTTTGTATTTTTAGTAGAGATGGGGTTTCACTGTGTTAGCCGGGAAGGTCTCGATCTCCTGACCTCGCGATCTGCCCGCCTCGGCCTCCCAAAGTGCTGGGATTACAGGCGTGAGCCACCACGCCCGGCCGTCTTCTCTGTTTTTAAGATGGGAGGTCTTCCTTCTTAAATTTAGCAGTGAGCAATAATGAAAGAAGCTAAGAATTGTTCATCCTTGCAAATCAGTGTGGTAGCATGACACTGATACCAGACTGTGTCTGATGTACATTTTCTAATATACTGGTTTGAAGAACTAGAGATTATAGTACATGTAAATGTACCATAACTAAATGGTTATCCAATTAAAACAAAAAACAAAGAACTGTAACCCACATTTTCTGTATTGGCATACAACAGATATTATAGTTCTTATAGAAATACATCCCTAACTTGAGTTATACCGATTTTTGAACATGACTTTATAAGCTTTTAGGCATAGTAATTCAGGTGCGGATCTGTCTGTGGTCATGGTCCACATGTCTGTTTTGTGGATGTATGCTGCACGAGGAGGTCAATGATGTGCAAATCTTTGAGATCATAGGTAGCAAGGTCCTCATTTTTCAAATAAGTGTTAAGGACATGTGCAAGCTCCATTTCCATAGTTCAGGTGTGAGCCAGACAGAGCCATCCTCCTTGGCTGTCTGGAGGGCTGATTTGTGTTACAGCAGGTGGTGATGGAATTAAACCCTAACAGGACACCATTCATCTTCCTTGTTTGTTTTGGGTGATAGCATTGTGCAAATTCATGGCATTGTTTTATCTGTCAGATATCTTCAGATACCTGCTTTTAGAGGTAGTTTTTTTTTGTTTTTTGTTTTTTGTTTTTGTAAACCCACATAGTTAAGTGAGACTCTTGTCTTACCCTCTCTGAACCTCATATTCGTTATCTCTAGAATTGGGCAAATAATGATACCTTATGGTTGTTATGGGAGTGAGATAGCCTATGTGAAATGTTTACTTAGGTATCTATCCCATAAGAGGCCCTTAAAAATAGTATCTGTTTTCTAAAAAGGCAAATCCATAAAGACAGATAGATTAGTGGTTGTCTGGGGCTGGACGTAGGAGGATAGCATGACTGCAAACAGGCATGAGGACTCTTTCCAAGGTGATGAAAGTGTTCTAAAACTGAATTGTGGTGGTGGTTGCCAATTGTATGTATTTACTAAAAATCATTGAATTATACGATTAAAATGAGTGAATTTTATGGCATGTAAGTTATACCTCAGTAGAGCTGTTTTAAAAAGTAGTAGCTGTAAGTGGTACAGTAGAGAATTAAACTTTGCTTCTCGTAGGCTGTTCTGGATAAGCGAGTAATATCTTAGATGATTTGAGGTGAGATATCCCAGAATCCATGTAGTAATGCGCATGAATTATAATGAGATCTTGTTGATGTTATATATTATGATACAACAGAAAATGATTATTCTTTGTGATTACCTTATATTACATAATTTCCAGTTCTATAGAAACTTCCAACTTTCATGACTGTAGTAAAATAACTACTGTGGTTTTGTAATGGATTTGGATGACTCTTTTTAACAAGGTAGGGCTGCTGGTTGCAGGGTGTATGGCTGTGACTCTTCTTTTGAGACTCATTGGCATCTGGCTGGATTGTATCTATTCAGTCCAACAGCTTTATTGATCACTTAATATGTGTTAGTGATTTTCTAGAGGCTGGGGGTAGAAGAAGAGATGTGCTCAGTTTTAGATGTGATAAGTTTGAGATCTCTTGTTAGTTGTACCAGAGAAGTTACTGCATAGGCAGTTGGCTACAACGCTGGAATTCAGGAAAGAAGTCTGGCCTGAAGATATAAATCAGGAAGACATTAGCATATAGATAATATTTAAAGCAATAAAACCGGATGAGCTCACCAAGGAAATACGTGTCATTAGAGAAGGGAAGAGTTTCAATGACTGACCTTAGGTTGCTCCAAAATTAAGAGATGGGAAAAAGAAAGGGCACCCGTATAAAGAACTGAAAAGGAGTGACTGGTTAGATAGGAATCAAGTCAGCAGAATGGCATGCCCTGAAAGCATATCTGGGACAGAGGGACACTTGTGCATACACTGCTAATGGCTCAGATAAGATGAGTCCTGAAAATGTGATGATTGAGTAGAATAACCTGGGGGTGTCTGATGATCTTGACAGAGGCAGCTTGGTGGAAATAGGTGAGGGAGCTAGTTTAGGAAAACAAATTAGAGGAGAAATTGATGCAAACATAGACAAGTCTTTCAGGAAGAAATGGAGAGGAAGCTGGGAAGGAAGTAGGGTAGTAAGAATGGCTTCAATCTGATATTTGAATTATTAAAATCGAGAATTTGGTCTATATGGAGTAATTTAGATTTTAATTTCTTTGGCATGCCTCTCTCGATCAATATATCTTTACTGATATTTTTCCAGTTTTGATTTGCAAGCTCTCAGCTTTTACAACAAAATTCGAGTTCTGTTGTGTTTGAATTAATTAATGTAAGATTTTTCCCTACAACCAAAAAGCAATATAGTCTAGTGGTAAGGACCATGCACTTTATGTCAATCAAACTGGAGTGTGAGTCTGTCTTCTGCTCCTTGTTAGCTGTGTGAACTGGGAAAATTCTTTAGTGTTTCTTAGCCTTGGTTGCCTAATTTGTAAAATTTAGATAGTAGCATTCTTGCCTTTTAGAGTTATTATGAGACTTAAATGAAATAACTCAAAATGCCTAGTCCAGCATCTAACACCCATACTTCCTGGTAAAGTTTAGCTTTCATGATAGCCACTAATTTATACTTTGATATGGAGTAACATAGCATAGTAGAAAGAATGTGGGATTTGGAATTAGCCATACTTGAGTTTCTACCCCATTTCATCTCTCACTATCTGTACATATTACTTAATATTGCTGAATTTGTTTCCTCATATCTGAAGTGAGTATAATAATACTTAACAGAATGAGGCTTAAATGAGATATTTATAAAATCACATAGAAAGTGCCACACAAATGTTAATTTTATTTATTTAAAATGAAGTTGTATTTTGTAGAGATTACATCTCTTCTATTACATGTATATACTAAGAAAAGAGAAATCTTAGTATATTTTTGGAGTTTTAAGTGTTCAATTTCATGGGAAATTTGGGCTCCAAATAGAATGAAGCACTCCAGTGGCAGTGTAACGAGATATGTTCATATTATTTCTGGTCAAAAATTCTGAAGTGTTAAAATGCTACAAGCAGAAGAATAGAAATGTGCATTCTATTATGCAATTATATAAAAAAATTTCCTTGTAGACTGACTCATTTTGCTCCAAGTGACCTAGCTTGGAGGCCAAGCAAGTATCTTTTTCTCTTTCTTCCAGAACACCATGTCTCCTAGGTCTCTTTATAAAGATGGGGGCCGGGCGCGGTGGCTCACGCCTGTAATCCCAGTGCTTTGGGAGGCTGAGGTGGGTGGATTGCCTGAGGTCAGGAGTTAGAGAGACCATCCTGGCCAACATAGTGAAACCCCGTTTCTACTAAAAATACAAAAAATTAGCTGGACGTGGTGGCAGTTGCCTGTAATCCCAGCTACTCAGGAGGCTGAGGCAAGAGAATCGCTTGAACCCAGGAGGCGGAGGTTGCAGTGAGCCGAGATTGCGCCATTGCACTCCAGCCTGGGCAACAAAGAGCGACACTCCATCTCAAAAGAAAAAAAATTAAGTTAAAAAAATAAATAAAGATGGGAAAAAATGATACATAACAGCTGGTAAAAACCAAAAGTGAAGGAGAATGTGGTCAGCCAATCCTTGCAGAAACTTTGCAAGTAAGAACAACCTAATGGTAAAAACTTGAAATTAGTGTGACCTTGTTTGATAAATATCTAACCTAACCTAATAGAAATTCTCTGACCAAAAACTGGGGTGACTTGGGTCACTTTTGAGTCCTCTTGGTCACCCTTTACAGAGGTAGAATAGCGAAGTCCAGTACTGTTACTACTAGTTTACGTTTATAGAGTACTCAGCCCTTTTCAAAAGACTTTCATGGGCTTTGTTGCTTGTAATTCTCAGAACCATCCCGTGAGATAAGTTTTGAAACTCGTATTACGTCCTTGTTAAAAAGAAACAAATGGTTTCTTTGGAAGATGCTGTTATTGCCTCTGGGTCAGGACTGGGACTGCAGCCACTTTAGGATGTTTTTGGATTTAAAAAACCATATTTTTTTTCAACTTTTCAGGCATTATGCAACAAATGTGAATGGTCATATTCTGAGCTTCCTTGGAGACTTAAGGATTTTATTTTATTTTTCATAACACAAGCCTCTTGCATCAAAATTCATTTCTAACCTCACTCTTCACCGGACATAAAGTTGGCCCTCAAAGAGTTCTTTGTTGACTGGCTGATTGCACTAAAGGCAAGGCATCCTGCTGGAGCACATGTGATCATTCTAGTTCAATCCTATCGCTGATGGATGCTGTTGCTCTAGTGTTAATTTTAAGGTATAGCACCAAGTTCTGACAGTTAAAATGTTTAGATTATATGCATTGTGGTTCACTATGGTGTACACCTAACAAGTTGAGTACTATCACTGCTCAGAGAGTAATGGGGGGACATCCAAACAAGAGACATTTAGAGGCAATTCCAAAGCAACACAAAAATAAGGCTGATGTTGTGACACAACCTGAGTGAAGGCAAGGATCCAGGTGGGAAGAGGTGGCGGCTCTGGGAAAGATGACCTGACTTCTGGAGAGGAGTCTAATTTGATGGGTGGAGGGGATGGGAAGGAAACATACCATGAATATAGGGGAGATGAAGCAGGTCATTTCCTGTCACCACCCTGGTGACTGAAAGTTGCCTTATGAGCAAGCATTGTTGCTTTCAAGTGGCCTGATATGTGGAGCCTCAGGGTGAAAAACAAAATCAATTTTAACAAATTAAGAAATGTTCTCATTGAAGGAAGAACCATGAATAGTGGTGTATTCTTGGTTTTTTCACTTCTTGTCTTTATTTCTGTTGCATGTTGGCATAGTTACTTAGCTTAATTTAAACTTAATTTAATATCGCTTGGATTCAGGAAGAGGACTGTGTTTTAAAAGAATCCAGAGCCCTTGAAACCTTTTTCTCTAGTTTAATAGAGTTCAGAATAATATTTTCCAAGCATTATTTTCTGGACTGTACTTTTCCAACAAAGCTTTGTGCCTAGTTTCTTTCTTCATCAGTGATCAATTCCTACAAAACTTCGGTTTCTTCATCTGACAAATAGAAATTATTGCTAAGTGTCTCATGGGATTATTAAGATTAAATTGCTATAATGTGATGTGAAAACTGTATTCACTGAAAAATGCGTTAGACTATGCTAAAGTGACATTATATTATTAAATGTAAAGCTATAACTTTTATCTGACTGCTATATTTAAAAACAGTAACAAATTTTATTTTATTTTTCCTTGGTCTTGGCTTACCTTCACAGTAACCTGGAGTTTTCAACTCATCCAAACCAGTTCAGTGTGTTTTGAAAGACTACGTACTTTGGAGCACCCATCATGGTCTTGGAAAGAGGATTTGAAATGCCCTGTGTTGAAACTAGTGAGATGAATTATGGATTTTCCCCCTGCATTTTCTTAAAGCAATCCAGAAGTTTATTGTGGAGAACACATTTAATTTGAGTTGTGTGTCTTAGGCCCTATTGTTTCTTAGGTCATGAGAAGTATTTTTCAAGCTGTCTTTGTTGATCAGATTAACTAGTTATTAAATATAGAATTTTTGGAAAAGAATTATGAGAATTTGTTAAAAAAAAAAAGACTGTTCTCTATCAAGATTCAGCCAAAGAAAACGTTTAAAAGTAGAATTTGTTAAATCTAAGGATTTAATTTTTGGCCTGTAAAAGCTATATTATACAAGTTTTACATAGAAGTTCTCCAAAGCTGAGTTTAAGATTTATTTAGAGAGGATTATATTCACTGAATACCAAGCAGTTCTTTTTACTGTGGCTTTGTGTAAAGAGTTTAGGATTGATTTACATGGCCTCTTATTTTTAACTTGAGACCAAGACAGTGTAGCTAGCCAAAACTATGTACAGTGTCAAATGCATTTTAACTAGATACAGATAAATTTATCTTTGTTGCCCAGCATGAAATCAGCCAGGTCATTTACTGCCAGAATAATAGGAACAGAATGACTTTACAGGCTTAGCAAATTTGGCTCTGTTTTTTGATAACCGTAAATTTTCAGGAATCACAATATAAAATGCTGGAAAGATGTCTTGTGGATTTTTAAAATATTAATCGGTGTGGTCATAGTCCATGGTTATGTTCTTAATACTTAAGTTTTTTCTTTCTGTACTTGAAAAATTTGAACACTTATACATGTGCGTTTACATCATTCCTTTTTGCTCCCTAATATGTAGACCAGTAACTTTTTGTTTTCCATCTAACACAGATGTCCCCTATAAAACATCTGGCTGAAAACAAAGCAGATTAGTGTTCTGTGGGGGGCAGCAGACTCTTCTCATTTAGCATAGTGATTTTGGAGGGTGTTGCAGGAAATGCTGCCTGCTGTGTCAGCTCCTAGGAGAGAAGGGAATACCTCCAAGAAGCAGATTGGAAACCTAGTGGAAAGAACCCTGGCATTTCAGTGGCAGCATGATTGTCCTCAAGGAGGTAGAGCTGAGGTGTGGCACCAAGATCCACTCTACCCAGGGCTGCTTAAGGCCTTAGTTTCTGAATTATGATGCAAAAGAAAGGAAAAGAGGCCTGTTGTTAGCACAGGTTCTTTTATTTTTATTTTTATTTTTTAATTTTATTATTATTATACTTTAAGTTTTAGGGTACATGTGCACAATGTGCAGGTTAGTTACATATGTATACATGTGCCATGCTGGTGTGCTGCACCCATTAACTCGTCATTTAGCATTAGGTATATCTCCTAATGCTATCCCTCCCCCCTCCCCCCACCCCACAACAGTCCCCAGGGTGTGATGTTCCCCTTCCTGTGTCCATGTGTTCTCATTGTTCAGTTCCCGCCTATGAGTGAGAACATGTGGTGGTTGGTTTTTTGTCCTTGCGATAGTTTACTGAGAATGATGATTTCCAATTTCATCCATGTCCCTACAAAGGACATGAACTCATCATTTTTTATGGCTGCATAGTATTCCATGGTGTATATGTGCCACATTTTCTTAATCCAGTCTATCATTGTTGGACATTTGGGTTGGTTCCAAGTCTTTGCTATTGTGAATAATGCCGCAATAAACATACGTGTGCATGTGTCTTTATAGCAGCATGATTTATAGTCCTTTGGGTATATACCCAGTAATGGGATGGCTGGGTCAAATGGTATTTCTAGTTGTAGATCCCTGAGGAATCGCCACACTGACTTCCACAATGGTTGAGCTAGTTTACAGTCCCACCAACAGTGTAAAAGTGTTCCTATTTCTCCACATCCTCTCCAGCACCTGTTGTTTCCTGACTTTTTAATGATTGCCATTCTAACTGGTGTGAGATGGTATCTCATTGTGGTTTTGATTTGCATTTCTCTGGTGGCCAGTGATGGTGAGCATTTTTTCATGTGTTTTTTGGCTGCATAAATGTCTTCTTTTGAGAAGTGTCTGTTCATGTCCTTCGCCCACTTGTTGATGGGGTTGTTTGTTTTTTTCTTGTAAATTTGTTTGAGTTCATTGTAGATTCTGCATATTAGCCCTTCGTCAGATGAGTAGGTTGTGAAAATTTCCTCCCATTTTGTAGGTTGCCTGTTCACTCTGATGATAGTTTCTTTAGCTGTAGCACAGGTTCTTTCCAGACCTCCCCACTATGATGGAAGACGATGTATGTGCCTGATTTACTTGGGCCATGCTAAGTTCATTACAGCACCTCTAAGTGAATGAAAACCATAGAGAGAAATGTACCAGTGATTACTTCAAACAATATCTTGTTTCTTACTGTAACAAAATCTGTTTGGGAAAATGCTGTCATTTAGACTCATTTTACAGCCCAGGAAAGAAGTGTTGTGGCCAAGGACCAATGGGGCAGCTCTACCCATGAATTCTAATATTCCAGGGCCGTTCTGTTCCAGACCACTCTCATGAGAAGAGGTGGAGAAGCCCTGGGTTGATTTCTAGCCTCCCTCCTTCCTGGCTGCCTAAACATGGGAAGTGACTTGACCCTTTCTCTCAGGTGCCTGATCTTGCAGGAACGTTATGTGCTCAACAGACTTCATAGGGTTATTTGAGGTGCAAATGACACTAAGTATATTGTAGCTCTTAGCATATTATAAAATGCTATTTAAATTAGACACGATGAAGTTGTTGTTATTCTGATATCTGGGACTTGTATTTTTTATTGTGTGTTTTTAGAAGGTGGAAAATATAGCATTTGGTATGAAGAAGAAAATAAAAAAAACAGCCATAATTTTACACCAAGAGCTTTACAATTGCTGTTACCATTGCCGTTGTGTGTAAATGACTCAGAATGTGCATAGATACTCTACTATATATTTAATTTTATATCCTCTATTCTTTTGTTGTAATATAATGGCATAAGTATTTTTTCCATTTTACAATATCATGTTAATGATTATTTAACTGTTGGCTATTTAGATTTCTGGACAATTTTAAAACAATGTGCCAAATTAGCCAGATGAGTCTTTCCTTTGCTTAGTCACCTTTAGTCTCTAGCTGACCTTATTTTAGGATGTGGTGTGACAGGTAGCATGGAGAATTTTGGATTCTCAGGGTTAGGTTCAATTCCTATAGTTCTAGAGATAAGAGGGTTTAAACCTCTACTATTTACTCTATCAAAGTAATTCTTTTGTCAGACATATTTCTTACATTTGGGGTGGGATGCTGGAGATTGTGATGGATATTGAAATATATCATATGAAAATATAGATAGGTTCTTAAAAGCTAAGAGGCCTTGGATCTCCACATCAGTCTTTGAAGAGTTGTCTTGCTGAATTATTCTTCCTTTCCAGTTTTCCTTTTGATCCTATAGGAAGAATTACCCAAATTCCAAGTCACTGGAATACCAGCTAACATTTACAGAGTCCTTATTCTGTGCCCACATGTTTAACATCATGTCTCATTTACTCTTCACAACAACCCTGTAAGATGTGTGCTGTTTCTATGCCCATTTTATAGATGAATAAATGGAGGCACTCAGAGGTTAAGTAATTTAAGATCACATAGTATGTGGTAGAGGTGGGATTTCAATTCAGATCATTTCTCTGGGAAATCCTAGACATTAGATGGCACAGATAGCTGAGAAGTCCATTCATTTTGTGTTCATGCTTTCCATAGACTGCATATTTTCTTCAACTATTCTCAAATATCTGCAGTCCGTTTAAAGTCAAGAATTCCAAAGAAAGCATTTTTTTACAGAAGAGTGCTTGGAGAACATTTCTAGCATTGTTTAGGAATATGGTTGAATTATTAGTACCATTGCCTTTCATTATTTAATCATGTTTAAGAAAAGGTAATGAGGTCAAAGTAATGGCATGGTGACCTGTTTTTACTTGAGAATAAAATGCTAATGATAGGAGATAGGTACCCTTATTATAGAATAAATATGAAGATTTTTGCACTGAACTTTCATGTTTCATTACCTTTCTTCTTCTTCTTTTTTTTTTTGTACAATAGACCCTGTTATTCCTGGTAAAGATGAAGTTACCCATTTCCTGCTTTTCCCCTGACTTTCTTTCTTTTTTTTTTTTAATAGACGGAGTCTCACTCTGTCGCCAGGCTGGAGTGCAGTGGCGCTATCTCAGCTCACTGCAACTTCTGACCCCCTGGTTCAAGATATTCTCCTGCCTCAGCCTTCCAAGTAGCTGGGATTATAGGCACACGCCACCACGCCCAGCTAATTTTTGTATTTTTAGTAGAGATGGGGTTTCACCATGTTGGCCAGGATGGTCTCGATCTCCTGACCTCGTGATCCGCCAACCTCAGCCTCCCAAAGTACTGGGATTACAGGCATGAGCCGCCACGCCCACGCCACCCCCTACTTTCTTATGGACTAAAGTTAAATGGACCTTTGTCTTATCTGCAGGAAAATGGCATTTGTGTTGCACACGAGCAAACTTACGATGAACAGTTCACCATACATATTTCCTTCTGGACATTTGCTGCAGTGTATTCAGTGATGCCTAAAGCTTTGTGACTTCTCAGATTAGTGGATGCTTCATTTTGCCTGATGTGTTAAATTCAATGAATGCCTCTAATAAAAATCTTGTGCATAGCAAGAAAATAACATCACGTGTGAATAGTATTCATCAAATACTGTGAGGCGCTTCCCAGTGTTCGCTTACTTTTAGTGTGAGATGTTTATCATACCTTTATTACTTCTCATTTTACCTGATTATTATAGGCTAATTACAGTTGTCAGAGTGCCAAAACCTACCCTTCAGGTCATGTTTTAAAAATGTAGTAATCTGTTTTAATGGATTGTGGAGATTTCTTATGACAATCCCAACTCATCATTAATTTATTCATGTAATAAATATTTATTGCCTGCATTCTCTGTGCCAAGCTGAGTACTAGGAACTGAGTATATGCTAATTAATAAAGCTGTTATTTCAAAGCATTTTAAGGAGGTTGAATTCCTGACTAGCTACTAGGAAAAATACACCAAATATTATTGTCCAATAAAAGAACAATTCTGTTCAGCTCTTTTCACGTTTTCTTAGAAAGGTAAAAAGAAACAAATTCTCCTATTCTGACCATTTCCCTAATTCCCATCTAGCAAAAAGGTGAGTGGTCTGGCAGGTGTGGTCACTTCTGTAATATTGGGCATACCTGTATACTTCTTACGTCTCTTTGCTCCTTTCTTCTGTAACTGATGCCAGACTTACTCCAAAAATAAGAGCCTCAAGGCCTTGAAGTTACTGAGAAGCAGAGTAACTGTGCATATTTTTTTCTCTTATATATTTTGAAAATGGTCAGAGTCTAACTGAAGCCATGATCTAGTGGCCTAGCTTCCTTGTGAGGCAGAGAAGACATTCAGAGGGAAGAAGTTCCCACGTTCTCTCTGGCTCTTCAGCATTGTTGTCTTCATCGCTTGTAATATCCCTGGGACCCTGGGATAGGAGAGGAAGAACTGGACCTCCAGAATGGTCATCTAGACTTTTCCAACATATCTAAAAGGCAAACCCAAAGGCACTTTGTGGTATTCTGGTGACATTGGAGGAGATTTCTGCTAAAAGTTAATAATCTTTATCATAGCTGAGATGATGAAAATCATGATCAACATCAGAATCAGTTCATTTCCACATGCACGTGATGCTGTATTGGCTCCAGGCAAGTTGAATTAAACAGACACAAGTCCTGTTCTCATGAGGCCACTGGCAGCATGTTACATGCAAGCAACCAAAGGACATCAGATACAGACATCCGCAAACAAATACACAAAGACCTTGCATTATGGTCATCTCAGGAAATATACTCATTAAGTTTGCAGATGACACTTGGGTCAGGATTATCGACCTTTTGACATTAGTAGACATCATGGTGACCTGAACATATTGTCAAGTTGGATTATCAAATTGGAACGATGGCTTGTATATTCAATGTTTATTTAAGGTAGATCCAGTCTAGTCTGGAAGAAGTTTCCACAATGACGCCTATCCGTGGTCAGTTCTCTTCTCTCTTGCTTTTTAATTTGAAACATCACAGTTTGCATTTATTAATCACTATCAAGTCGTCATCCTCATAGCGATTATTTGGATATCTTTATGTCAGGCAGCCACTTTATGTAATTATCTCTAATTCTCACAAAAGCTCTGCTGCAAGATGTCATTATTTTCATTTTAAGGATCCATCAACAGGTTTAACTTTTAAAGAGGTATATTAAGTGATAGCTGGGATTCAAACCAGAAACTGCTTAGGCCGAGTAGCCAGGTGCCTTTCTGTCTAGGGTAACAGGTGGGTTGTTCTCCACCTGTTTTGTGTTTGATTGTGAACCTTAGGTTCTCAACACTGACAATAAAGCAAAAACCAAGACAGTAAGTCCCTGCCCCCATGATGCACATTCCAGGGGATACCAGGCAACATCCATATGGCCTTCAGGAGGCTTGGACAAAGGGGGATGATTTAGGAGTGTTTGATTCTTTATATGTAGATTATTGATGAGTGAAGTTCAAAAACAGTCTGTAAACCCTGAGCATCTCAGAGTTAAATACAGTATTTCTTGAACATCAAAGCCACTATATAAATTAATGTAGGTGTTCCTGTTTATAAAATTTATAAAATGGGAACACCCACATTTATTTATATAAAAACCCACAAGGGTGACATTTTAAAATGACAGGAAGCTCAACTGAAGTGTGAATCACAACCAGAAGTCAAACAGAATTGTACCTGACGAGCACTCCAAATTTAGACAGGGTTCTCAGAGAGGTGCTTAACAGATGAAAAGTCTGAAAAATGGGACTTTGGGGTTTCCAACGAGTTGTGGTGACTTCAGTGGTATTTTATGAAAAACAACACATTGATGGTGGATATTGAAATGTACCATGCTGTGATTTAATGCCAGAAAATCTCTGGCTGCCACTTAGTTTTGAGTAGATGCAAGGTAACGCTATTAAATGTTTGGTTGTTTTGGAATATTGATTTGTTGGGCTCTCTGTCAAACACTAAGTTGAGCCAAATTATATTTAAGTTGAGCCAAATTATATTCACACTTCGTCATTTCACTCCTATCTGTTGCAGTATTTAAACTAGAAACTATTTTTGCCATTTTTCCAGATATATTATTTTTATTAAGTGTCATGTGGACTGGTATATACTGCTAGAATTATTTGTGAGTCACTCTTTGGGTAGAAGGAGAGAAAGTAACTAAAACAAAAGAATCCAAATGGAAATTTGTGGAGAATTGAGGCTTTTTAAATGTTTTGCTTACAGTTTTATTGCCCTCTCAGCCATCAGAAGTGAAACCACTTATGTGCTTTGAACAGCAGCTACCTATCTAATCTTCTAATTTTAGAAAAGGGAGTAAATATTTGTCTTTAGATACTTTATTTTTACTTATCATAAAAATACATGTGTAATGGGGTATGTTTTTCTTCTCGAATGTGCTGGGGCTTACTTCAAGGCTGTAACTCGAAATTGGCCATAGATGAGAAGAAATGCCAGTTCTCAGTTTAAGAAAGCCAGAGTGGGGTTACTTCATTCCCTGTTGCTCCAAATGCACTGTTTTTGTGCCCGGCTGATTGCAGTTTTAAGAATTCTATCCAGGCTCATGGTTTCACAACTCCTCCCTCAACTCCCCCATCATCGCCATCACCACATGCTTCCTCTGAGTCTTTTAAAAGATCTGTGTGACCCCATCCCCCTTACCTGAGACCAGGATTGTGTTCTGATCAGTTCCATATGCTTCCATCCTCATATGGCTGTGTACAGTTTTGCACACATTGTTCCTAACCAGGTGTTGCATTCATCACATCTGACATAATGATCACTTTTTCTTCCAGCCTATGGATCATTCCTGCAGACACGGCATTCTGGGGGCTGTTGGGGCACAGAATAAATACTCTATGGGTCTTCCTGTCTGCATCCTTGGTTGTCTGAGTTATGGCCACAACTGCACAGTTCTTTGATTGGTATCTTATCTTTAGCAGTTTATGTTACTAAATTTTTTGAGAGAAAGTTTTGTTGCAGTCTGGTTTTTAACCAGACATCTTTTTTTATTAACTCATTTAATTCATTATTAACTATTTGTTGGTTATTTTGCTGCTGTATGCACTTGCAGAGTGCATACTGAAGTATGATGCAGCAAGATTTTTAAAAATCTCTGCCAGTCAACACACACGCTAGGACACACAACAGCATGTAAATCAAAATTAATGATTATGTATTTATCAGTCAAGTATAATACGGAATGTCTGTGTTTGATAAACATCTGTACATCTATTTGCATACTCACAGAAGACTCCATTAATCGTTCTGATCATGAGGCTGATATAATTGGAAAAAGTATGCTTTCTGGCCACTGTACCACTGAGAATGGGAAGTTGGTATTTGAAAGACAGACAATCAGCTATGAAAGAGTGACGTAGTACTGAGTAGATAATACATGATTGAATGAATTGTTGATTAATAGGCATTTTGTTATACTAAGAAAATGGAATTTAGACCAAAAACACATGTTCATGTATAGATAGCTCATGTGAATTGAATATTGATATTCTACTTAGATTATGAAAATTTGGCTGGGTGTGGTGGCTCACCCCTGTAATCCCAGCACCTTGGGAGGCCAAGGTGGGCAGATCACCTGAGGTCAGGAGTTCAAGACCAGCCTGGCCAACATGGTGAAACCCCATCTCTACTAAAAATACAAAATTAGCCGGGCTTGGTGGTGTTCACCTGTAATCCCAGCTACTTGGGAGGCTGAGGCAGAAGAATCTCTTGAACTCAGGAGGTGGAGGTTGCAGTGAGCTGAGATTGCACCACTGCACTCCGGCCTGGGTGACAAGAGCAAAACTCTGTCTCAAAGAAAAAAAAAAAAAAAAGAGATTTAAGTGAAGTCATCTTTGTTATGAAAAACATGATATACTAATAGAAATTCTCCTTCAGGCTTTAGGGTATTCTGAAAATCAGAAGGGAATAGCTGGGTTAGAACAATATAAGCAAGAGGGGTTTTCTTTTATTCCAACTACTTGTAGCATATTTGTTTAAGCACTTCCTGTGGTATTTGGGGTTAAGGATTACACTGGAAAACCAGTCAGACCCCACCATTAGTTCTGGCTACCCACTTTCTATGGTGCAAGCTCTCTACGGTCCAGAGTCAAATCCCTCAAGTCAAAGTAAGTGGTTTTCTTTTGTGCTTGTATTTCTTTCCCCTGATGCTGGCAGTTGGCCAGTGGGGTTTAGTGGAGAAAATAGTCTCTGGAGGGACAAAGATCTTGATTTTATTTCCAGGCCCACTGTGATGATTTCATAGAATAGTGCCTTATAAACTGCTTTTGGCTTATTGGGAGAAAGGTATTATTTAAATGCCAAGTTTCTAGCATTAATATTTCTCCATGCAGCAGTAAAGTGTGTGTTTATATTACTATGTGAAGGAGGTAATGGATGAGAAAGTGGAGCAGTACTGTAGGGAATTGAAAAGAGAAAGCTTTTATCCTGATCTGACTTAAAGAAAATACTTTTATACACAATGGCACTTTCCTGAGGCGCAGACGCTAATTCTGTTTGTTTCTCAATGTAAATGAAGCTGTATGGCCAAAGCACTATGATGGATGGAGCACTGTGATGATGAGCTTTGCAAAGCATGATTTGCCATCTGATTTGGAGAGGTCATTCTAACAATTCTCAACCCACAGAGCAGTATTTTTCCTATAAAGGTAGCGTTTTGCAGGTGGAATTTTTTAAGAAAAGTATTAGAATCAATTTTATTTACCTTAGCTACTCTCTTTGGCCACGAATGTCAATTGAGAAATCCAGTAGATATTCTGATCATTACTAACTTATTCCTGAGAAAAATAAGGGATATTGGATGTCATTCCTGATCTATTCAGGGAGTTCCAGCTCTGAATTAATCCCTACTGAGCATATACTCCCCACTAAATTATATGTTGGCCTGGATGCCAAATTCAACATAAGCAAAATCAAATGCTCAATCGAGTTCTCACAGTGGCCTTCCATATCAGTGGGGGTCTTCATTCTTCTGAGCCTCAAATCTTTGAAACGACTTTTTCTACTTCTTTCCCTTCAGATAACCCCTCAAATAGCAAATCCTGGGTCTAATTTTATAATATCTTTACATCTTTCCTGGCTGCCGCAATCCCATTTTAGATGTTTCTTATAGCTGTGGACCTCTAAGATCCTCACCTTGTTCTCAGCCTATATCTAGAATTGCTTCATCCTTCCTCACTAAGTGCCTTACTCCAGACTTACCTCTGATGTTAGCTTCACATTTCTTAATTTGCCTTCTAATTAGATCTCCCTCTCAGTCCTGAGTCTTGATCCTGCCCTTGGCACTAATATCTGGTTCTCATTCCCTACTAAAATTCATTCTTGCTCCTCACACAGCCTAGCCCTTGGTTACTCTGGGAAAAGTTCCCTTTCTCAGTCCATCAGGCTCTCAGAATGCTGTCCTGGCTTGGACGCTTGTGGCCAGTGTTACAGGGAGGACAACTCTGTCCAGTGAATGGCAATTGTACTCGATTTTCCTTCACAGAGATGGATCCTTAATGTGTGCTTGTCAAAATTCCACTCTTTTTTAAAAACCCAGTTCTAATCCCATCTGCTTCATTATGTCTCTCAGTACCAGCAGCCCACAGGTTTCCTCTCTCCTCTGAATGTCCTATTAGAGCACTGATGAATTATTCTCTTGATATTTACTGTTATTGTTCAGAATATGGCCATGTGCAAAGATGAAAAACAGTGACTGTTTATATACAACTTGTCTTATCCCCCCCAAAATATATAAGCATTTTGAGGGCAGAAGTCATAGTATGCATCCTCACATTCTGTGTGGTCTTTGTCCCAGAAGCATATGTTTAATAGACAAGCATTCATGACTGGCCGACTTTCTAAACTCTTCTTAAAGCATAGTGGTCATAGGAAAAAAGATAAGCTCAGCCTGAATACAGAGCTTTGAAATCCCTCTCTCTACACCCCCATGTTTCATTCTGCAAACTAAAAGCCATGCTGGCTGCAGAGCATGGCTTTAATCTATTCCATAAATTTAATATCCTGAATCTGAACCTCAACTGAACCCTGCACAGGCTGAAACTACAAATAATTTTTCATGGGTGTCTCACACAAAACAAGGCCTGAACAAAGACCCAGATCTCTTTTAAATGGTATTATTAACAAGCAAAACTTGCAGTTCATCTCTCTGCCCTAAGAGGTTTACAATGGAATTTTTATTTTTTGCTAATCAACCTGATTGAATAACTGATTGATGTCTGCCTTAAATAGTGCTCATTCCCAAATGTGGTGTTACATAGATTTAAGTAACAGTCGCTAATATTTTTCAAGATTAAGCCCTCTGGGGCACTTAAATCCTCACTTATACCTTCAGGTTTTTTAAAGACAGGAAAGTAGAGATTGGGGTGAAGTTACTCCTTTGAAAGAATAAATCATTTTGAAGGGAAGGAAAAGGGGTGGGACGACTGGTGTTGCTATCCATGGTTCTGATTTGTTACTAAAAGACAGGATTCATCTGGAGAACATATCACTGATGTGGTTTACAGAGTCATCATCCTCATCGTCATCATCATCATCATCAAATGCTGAGATATAACTACTTTTACACTATAATAAAATTTTAAATATTGACTATATTTCATATGTATGTGTGTGTGTGTATATAAACTCACATGTGCATGCCTACCTAAGGGTGAGTCCTTGGTGGTAGTTTTAAAACAGTATCTTCTAATCTTCAAAGTCTGTATAATATAATGCCATTTGTGTAAAAAAGGAGAATATATATGTGTGTGTGTGTATATATATATATATATATATTTTTTTTTTTTTTGTCACAGTCTTGCTCTGTCGCCCAGGCTGGAGTGCAGTGGCACGATCTCGGCTCACTGCAAGCTCTGCCTCCTGGGTTCACCCCATTCTCCTGCCTCAGCCTCCCAAGTAGCTGGGACTACAGGTACCTGCCACCACGGAGAATATATTATATACACACACATGCATACATATTTATTGTTATGCATACATTTAACATATACATATATTTTCATTATATGGTTAATTTTTTTTTTTGTGTGCTCTGGAATTTCTTTCTTTTTTTTTTTTTTTTTTAAATTATACTTTAAGTTTTAGGGTACATGTGCACATTGTGCAGGTTAGTTACATATGTATACATGTGCCATGCTGGTGCGCTGCACCCACTAACTCATCATCTAGCATTAGGTATATCTCCCAACGCTATCCCTCCCCCCTCCCCCCTCCCCACCACAGTCCCCAGAGTGTGATATTCCCCTTCCTGTGTCCATGTGATCTCATTGTTCAATTCCCACCTATGAGTGAGAATATGCGGTGTTTGGTTTTTTGTTCTTGCGATAGTTTACTGAGAATGATGGTTTCCAATTTCATCCATGTCCCTACAAAGGACATGAACTCATCATTTTTTATGGCTGCATAGTATTCCATGGTGTATATGTGCCACATTTTCTTAATCCAGTCTATCATTGTTGGACATTTGGGTTGGTTCCAAGTCTTTGCTATTGTGAATAATGCCGCAATAAACATACGTGTGCATGTGTCTTTATAGCAGCATGATTTATAGTCATTTGGGTATATACCCAGTAATGGGATGGCTGGGTCAAATGGTATTTCTAGTTCTAGATCCCTGAGGAATCGCCACACTGACTTCCACAATGGTTGAACTAGTTTACAGTCCCACCAACAGTGTAAAAGTGTTCCTATTTCTCCACATCCTCTCCAGCACCTGTTGTTTCCTGACTTTTTAATCAAAACCACTATGAGATATCATCTCACACCAGTTAGAATGGCAATCATTATATGGTTAATTTTTTAAAGTTTATTTTTAATAAACAGTTAATTTTTAAAAGTTTATGCCTTTTTATATTTTTAATACTGTTTTAAAAATCCTATAATAAATCAGAACTGCTTAAAAATAGAAATAAAAGACCTATTACTGACCTCAACATCAGTGCACTCTGGCAAGCTTTAAAGAAGTTAGAATGAAGTTTTAAAAATCCTGCAGTCAACATAAAGGGATAAAATGTGACATGGATTTATGACAGTGTGGTGTCTGAATTTGTTATATTTAATATAAGTAAGAAAAATAAATTGAACAGCAGTACAGTGGTGTTCTCCAGGAACCCGTCAAAAAGAAGCACTGGGGAAAATGCGGGGAGGTTTCCCCTTATTCTTCTGAAATCTCCAAAAGGAATGAAAAATGGAAAATTTAGTAAGAGAGAATAGACACTGAGTTCACTCCCTGTTTATTGAAAGAAAGCCAGCTGGTTAGGAATAGTCAGCACGAGACAGTTCATTTTCTCTTGCCGGTGTTTTAATAGGGCCCAGGGGCTGGGGTAGAACTAGAGTTTATAGATTAATAAAAGTCACAACAGAGGGCAGAGGAGCAAAGTCCATGAATCTCAAATCGGAGGGGAAGTTTCAAAGGCTATTCTACTAATGCGTCCAGGTTGGTATGTCGAAAATCAAGTCATTATTTATCCATTTACCCATTCTCCCTCCCTCTCAGCCCCTCATCCTTGAGCCCTGGTTTCTGGGAACGGCTGTTCTTCTGGCCATCCATGCTTAAAGGCTCTGAGTCCTCTCTAATCTCTTTATTTGCCTTTTCAGCGAACCCAGTGACCAGTTTTGTGAAATCTGTCTCTTGCTGTTTTTCAGATCTGCTCCTTCTCATAACTCCTACTGCATTCTCCATAGTTTGAGTGCTCATTACCCCTTAGAGATGAGTATATACAGAACGCATAGTGTGGCAGGATTCATGATGCCATGGTTCATATCCCCACCGCACTACTTTTTATGTAGTGGCAAATATACAACTTGTTAGTTGTGTAACTAGTTGTGTAACAAGTCCCCAGCTTGTTAGTTGTGTAAGCTGTGACAAATGCACAACTCGTTAGTGTGGACAAGACCTCAGCAAGATACACACTCCTAGCTTCTGTTTCCTTATCTCTTAAATAGACATAACCATAGCAAGCAGCTGCTTCATTTTATTTTTCAGGTCTCTGCTCACATTTACCTCCTCATAGAGGCCTTTCCTGATCACCATATCTAAAATAGCATCCCCATTACTCTGTCCTTTTATCTTACTTTATTGTTCATTTGTGACTACCTGACATTCTATCAAGTGTCTGTTTGTTTGGTTGGTTGTTTCTCTGTACTTCCCCTACCCCTCTCCCAAGTAGAATGGAAGTTTCTCAACTCAGTGTTTAGTTATTAGCATAATAATAGCCCAGCTATGTTGTGAAGGTCCTGAGATTTACTTTATTTGCAAGCTAAAAAGTTAGACTGTCACATTTTCATGGATACTGGCAAAAGATAGAAAACTCCTGGGTCAGAAATGAAGGACTTTATTACAGCACAGCAGGCAACATGAGCTCCATGTTTGTACTGGTTTTCCCCATGAGTCCCATGCTGGAGATGTGGAGTAGCCTCGGGGATTCCTGGGCATATACTGATGATGTGTCACTGCTGAGAAATTCCAAGCTTAGAAAGCCCCCTATCTTATAAGGGTTGCTACCAAGCCTTTGCCCCAGCCAAGGACATTATCCTGGTGATGAAACAAATATGCCCTTTACCCTGAAAAAAGACATTGTCTCTATCTTCCAAGGCTGTTTGCTCGACCCACAAATTTGCAAAGATAATCTAAGACAAAAGCTGTCATCAGACATGTAGAAGTGTCATGGAGAATTGCTATCCAATTCTGCTTTTCTATCCTTTATCTTCCATGGCTTTTACACTAATCCTGCATTACACCAAACTGCAGCACATGCTGTTTCCCTTTGTGTCAGGTAGCTTCCTCTCTTTATGCCTCAGTGTGTGCTTTTCATTCCAGAGTCTCCTGGGTAACACCAGATCTCATCTTCAAGACCTATCTCTTCCCCTAGATATCTGCATAGCTTGCTTATTCACTTCCTTAATGTTTGTGCTTAGAAGTCCCCATATGAGGTGTTCCTCTTATCTGAAATAGAAACCTGCCCCCCACCCGGCAGCACTGTCCCCTTTATCATTATCACCCTATGACATATATATGTCACAATATATAATACATATAATTTATATATATATATATCGTGATACTATATACACACACATTGTGAAATATATGTCACACTTGTCTATGTCTCCTTTCTCTAAAATCTAATCTCTTTGGAAGTAAAGACCTCAAATGTTAGATGTGCTGCTGTAACCTCAGTCCCCCAAACACTACCTAGCACATAGTAGACGGTAAATAAGTATTGGTTGACTCTGTTAATTTTGCATTTTCCTTTCTCCATGGCTATTTCCAGATTTACTAAGTAGAAAGTGATCTCTGCATCCGCTGAGCCCTTGTTCTACTTGACTTGTCTTTCTCTGTGATGATAATCCTGTTCTGCCCCTTATTATGAAGGTACATACCTGCCCCGCTCGCTAGACTGTGAGCTTCTTGTAGGCAGATTTGTTCTCTTATTCCAGTGGCCGCCTAGTACCTCACACAGTTCTTTCATTTAGTAGGCACTCAATCAATGTGTGTTGCATTTCATAGTAAGTAGAAAGATCAGGCAGCCTTAAATATAGCATTCCTTTTAATACTTGTTTACTTAGCATCTTTAGTAATTGGAATGCACTCTCTAACAGAATTTGGAGGAAATAACTGATGCCAATTGGTTGAAGCTAAGGGAAAAGAGATTTCAGCTAAATACAAGGGAAAACAAATGGAACTTCCCAAGGTAGTGACTGCCTCAGAGATTGTAAGCACCCCATCCTCAAAGAAGCTCAGTCATAGGACTCAGGCTGAGAGACTACTTAGCAGAAGGTTGGCAGCAGATTCAAGGACAGAATGAGTGTTTGGGTGGGGAGTGTGGTTTGTCTAGGGGTTCATAGACGTCTCTCCTACAGGCTAGCTTCTATGACTTCTGTGTGCATATGCACTCATTTACCCATCCATCACATAATGACATGGAGCAGTACTTTCTAAGCCTAGAGGTACAGTTTTCTTTTCATCCTTTTGGGTTGAGCTTTGATTCTTTTGGCTTTTCAATTTCACAGCAATTTGAATACGTCTCCTTTACTTCTCATGTTTTCAGTGTTTGTTTACAAGTCTGTCTTTCTAAGAGACTATGTAACCCCTTATGAGCAAAATTCGTGTCTTATTTAACTACCTATTCCTAGTGTTTGTCCTAGAGTCTTAGAGCTCCTTGGATTTTCACAGAATGAATGAATTATCAACCTAAGGTTGGTCATTTCTATATTTTTATTACTCAGATTTTGAGGCTCTTTGCTACCTGGACTTGCTGAGTGACCCAGGAATATTGCCTTTCTTTCTCACATGATATCCTCTCTACTTTGCTCCTTATAAAACAAATTCTTCTTTGAATTTCTGTAGGGTAATGATCTTGTCATTGCTAAGAGTAGTGAGATGATTTTCTCGTCATCTAATACAGTTCTGTTATCATAGCAAGCAAGAAAGTGAGTTATTCAGTGCCCAGATAAAAGGAAACATCTCAAAAGGCAATTACTAATTGCACCATATAAGCTCAGTGATGAGAGCAAGTTCCGTGATGAGATATAAGTTGAGTTTCTCAAGTAAAAAGAGGTTTGAATGGTGGGGGATATTTTTAAAATAAAGTAGCAGCTATTACTTGCCATCTCTAAAGTGATAGTGATGAAAGTGGAGTTGTATTCCAAATCACCTGGGGGGCTCAGGCTTCCTGTGAATGGCAGCCTTTAATTCTAAGAAGGTAATTTAACTTTCATTAAAGATCTTTTCCCTTCTACATAGCATAGGGCCTTTTTCTGAACAGATTCATTCCCTTCTAAGGTTCTTCTTTTATTAATCGGTAAACATAGCTTTCTAGATGGCTATCACTATAATAAGGAAAGTATTGAAGTTCAGAAAGCTGCTACTGAGAAAAAAAGGGGCATTGTACTTTTAGTCCAAAGAAAGGTGAGGCTGAATAGTACCTTAGTGTTCATTCTCAACTTTACTTTGATTTTTCACTACTGTAAAACAAGCTACCATTCTTCGCTTAAATCAGGGTAATTTCAGAGAGAAAACCAGTGCCATGTGTTAGATGAGATTTAGTGACTGAATGAACAGAATGAAAAGACGAGTGAATTTCAAAAAAATTGTCATGGTTATTAACAAAAGAGAGTGCCCATGAACATGAGGGTAAGGATTAAAAGACCACACAGAGGGTTTTATAATCTAAACCAGCAAGAATAAAGCAAGACAAATGTACTTATGTGTTGTTAAAGAAATAAAAAAAAATTGACTTGTACATAAAGGAAAATAATCTTTTGGCATCTGAAAGTGTGAATATGGTTGAGCAGTAAAGTGATTATGAGGCTACTTTTTCAAGTGAGATGGCTGGTGAGGTTTGGTGGTTGAGAAGTCATCAGTCCTTTTCATTATGATGTGTTGAAACACTGAAGAGTCTCCAGGGACCTTGATGACCAGATAGGCAAAAAATGAATCCTTAAAGATTATGCAAACATGAGCTGGAAGGATTAGTGTCTAAGAAGGGGAGATCAGAAAAATGTTTTGATTATGGTGCTTTTATCTTCTCCTCATTTTTAAAATTTCTTAAATATCTATTCATTTATTTTGTAGTAAATAATACGAAAGGAAATGGGTTGTACTTTGGCCCTTAAGCACTTTAGTGTTTGGGGTGGAGTGAAATGTGTTTTAGCCTCTGTAGCATCACTTCTCATTGGCTGATGTATCATTGTTGTGAATGGCTTGTTGACATGTCACTGGGCTTACAGGCCAAGTTTAACTTTTCATGTTTTTTACATGACCTACTGGCACTCCTCATTCCTGACTGGTTTCTGAACTGGTCCACTTGATGACCAGAGAGCAAGGGATGTCCTTGAGCATCTTTGAATCCTGACACAGCTCCTGATATGGAGAAGACGCTCACACTCAGTAAATAGAGAAATGAACTGAATCAGGTTAATCACAAGGGACACCGGTGGAGATGGTGTGCACTAGTGCAAATCCTATAATTTGAAGGAGAACTTGAACCTCATGCATAATGAAGGACGAGATTAAGTTAATCCTTTGGTATAAAGGGAAAGCACATTTAAAAAACGAATGAAATAATGGGGCCTAATCCTCACATGTCACAACTGCCTGAATGGGTAGATTTTATGGCAGGATAAGGGAATTGGCATTGGGATTCTTAAAGGTTGCAAACCAAATTAGGATTTTGTGATCTTCTGGTGCTGGTTGGCACTCAATTCTCCCTGACCCTCTCTGTTGAATTTAATTTCAGCTACATCATTGTTATTGTTCAAGTCCACCAAGAATTTAACATCCATCAGCACACACTAGAGTAGTACACTATGGCTGTGTTAAAAATTCTGTTCAATGATTGCTTATTTAACTCATGTTGGCTTTCTTCAATTAACTTTTTAGTATATCAAGATATTTGAGGTTGACTAAGAAATATGATTTTTCCTCACTCCCCAGAGCTATTTGTGTAAAAGATATTATTAAACATCAACTATTAATAGGCCCAAAGATTCTAATGATGATAGCAGTTATATGTTAAAGTATTATTCAGTTATAAAATGAAAGTTTAACAGTGCTTTAAACATAGTAGGCTCCAACTATGTGCTGGAGCTGGCGTGTACCAGCTCACTTGAGCTGACTGTTAAAATTTCCAGAATTTTCTGAGCCAGTTGTTAAACACTTGGTAGCTGTAAATTAGCTATGGATGTCATGGAGGGAGCATTTATACCAGGGAAATCAGCAGTCATTACAAATCAGGGATTCCACCCACCTCAGCAAAAAGCCAGTTGTTAAATATTTTTCAGCACTCTGCTGGTTTTCAGTCATATTTGTATTGAATGATTTTAACATAATATATTAGAGTCTTTGTATTTTATTTTTATTCTGACAACTCCACTGTTATTGTTACTTTTGCTCTCTTTCCATAGCCAATTTTATAAGGGTAAGGACTTATACATATTTTTTAAAATACTTGCAAAACTGCAAATATGATTTCAAAGAAAATTAAATTATGAACTTGAATAGTGGAACAGATTTATTGCCATCTTTGGGATAAAATTTTTGAGACATTTAACAAAAGATCATATAAAAGGGTAACAGATAATTAAGATAGAAAACATGAATTTTTATCTAATTTTAAAAATAGTAATTGGAAAAGGATTCTGTTAGACCACATGGGACAGCCAGGAAACTGTCTTAGAGGACTTGGAATATTGGAAAATAAAATGGACAAAGAATGGGAAAGTTTATTTTAGAAAATAATACTTTAATGGAAGGGATCTATGCAACAACCAGATTGCCACAGTGCATTAAATGTCTCCTGAAAGAGACATGTTAGAGGCTTTCAGATATGCATTTACTCTTTCAGGTCATTAGAATTTGGGGATGGATTGACACATTCTTAGCAAAAATCAGAATATGCTCATGTTTCTTAAGCAGCCACACTTACTTGATATGGTCAGGTGCAGTACTAAACAATCTAAAATAGTACACAGGCTCTTCAATCCTGCATCTCATAATCAGGAGGTCCAGAAAACAAAGGCTTCCTTTTTTCTGCAATACTTAGTTTCATTTTCTTGGGTTTTCTATTGTCTTTGGAAAGTGATGTGAAGGAGAATAAGATGGAAAGTGCATGGAAGTCATGAGATAGAGTTTAAAGGGAGAAAAAAGAAACAGAATGAGATAAGATGAGGAGATAAGGTAAATCATCATGGGTAGGAAATTACATGTGAAACCACTCCCAGCCTCCCTCCACTTCCAGCCCAGCAATGCTACTGGATAGATTTCCAAAGCCAAAGCTATTTCCAGAGTGGAAGGAGCCAGAATCCGGAGTCCTGAGGCTTTTGCAGCATTTGCCCACAGGTGCTGTGACCCCAGCTTACCAATGCTCAAGAATAATGGCAGTCGTAAACTTGCACACTATGCAGGATCTTGACCATCACTGTCAAGGAAAGAGAGAAGCTGACTTTCCCAGGAGCACACAGCTTATTAGTAAAGCTGAAAGTAAAGTCTCTTATTTTCCAATTTAGTGCTGTTTCTAGTGTGTTATTCTTGGACATCACTGAATTGAATGTACAGCCTCATTTGTTTTAAGGTGACAAATAACCTGGAAATTATTCAGTTGAGTGAGACAGTCTGCCAAATGGTTCAGAGGGACTCAGGACTTTACCACACTGAGGGAAACCCAAGACTGAGAATATACATTCTTTATAATAGCGGTGTATTTTGAGATCAGAAAGTTTAAATGTAATCTGCATTCCATAAACTTGCAAAGGAAAATATAAACAGTATTACTTTGTGTAAAGAAAAATAATATTGTCTTTAGGTGCCTGTCAATATATATAATAGTTATTGATTTCCTAAACAATATAAAAGAATATTTTTATACTGTTTTAGTTGTTTCTTTCTTGGGCTAACATTTAAAATATTATCAAGAACTTTATCAGAAATGCTTTGTCCCTAGTGAAAGGTTTCCAGTTTTAGCATATATCCAATGCTAAATATATCAGTTGGCTCCAGCTTGGCATTCACAGACTACTTTTTAATTTTTAATTGACAAATCAGAAATTATACTTATGATATACAACATGATGTTTTAATATATGCATACATTGTGGAATGACTAAATCTGGCAAATTAAAATATGCATTACTTTACACCCATATCATATTTTTGTGGGGAGAACACTTAAAGTTTACTCTCCTAGCAGTTTCCAAGTATACGATATATTGGTTTGGGGTTTTTTAGAGACAAGGTCTCACTCTGTCGCCCACGCTGGAGTTCAGTGGTGCGATCCTAGCTCACTGCAGCCTCAAGAACTCCTGGGGTCAAGTGATCCTCGTGCCTCAGCCTCCCACAGTGCTGGGATTACAGGCATGAGCCACCACACCCAGCCCTCAGGTATTTGATATACTATTGCTCATTATAGTCACTATGATGTACAATAGATCTCTTGAATTTATACTTCTGTCCTAACTGAAATTTTGTATCTTTTAACCAACATATTCCCAATTCCCTCTTCCAATCTCTGGTAACCACCTTTCTACTCTCCATTTCTATGAGTTCAACTACTATAGATTCCACATGTAACTGAGATCATGCAGTATTTGTCTTTCTGTGCCTGGCTTATTCACTTAGCATAATGTCCTCCAGGTTCATCCATGTTGTTGCTAATGACAGGATTTCCTTCTTTTTTTAAGGCTAAATAGGATTCCATTGTGTACATGCAGATATATATACTATGTTTTTAACCCATGTATCTATCCATTGATTGACACTTAGATTGCTTCCATACCTTGGCTACTGTGAATAATGCTGCAGTGAACATGAAAGTGCAGATCTCTTTGACACACTGATTCATATCCTTTGATATATACAGAAATGGGATTCTTGGATAGTAGGGTGGTTCCATCTTTAATTTTTTGAGGAACCTCCATACTGTTTTCTATTAATGGCTGTACTAATTTACATTCCCACCAACAGTGTACAAGGGGTTCCCTTTTCTCCACATCCTCGCCAAATCTTGTTATCTTTTGTCTTTTTGATAGTAGCCATTCTATCAGGTGTGAGATATCTCATTGTAGTTTTAATTTGCATTTTCATGATGACTACTGATGTTGAGCATATTTTTGTATACCTGTTGGCCATTTGTATGTCACTTTTTGAAAAATGTCTTTTCAAGTGCTTTGCTCGTTTTTTAATTGGTTTATGTGTTTTCTTGCAATTGAGTTGCTCGAGTTCCTCTTATGCCAGACTATTTAGAAAGAGTGAAGTGTGATGTAGGTCATGAAGTTCAGCTGCCCAGGAAACAGCTGATTTTCACTTATGCAAACTTGGTTCTGACTTCACTCACTTGGCCACCAGTGCTGGCCTTTATGTGCTGTATCTATGGCTTTGGAGTTTCAAATTTCAATTTCATTCTGTTGTTCTGGTCTCATTAGTCCCAGTCCTTCTCCTTGAAGTTAGTTATTTCATATATTTTAAGTCGAGAGTTACTAAAAATGGGAAATGAAAAATCATTAGCTTTACAGGAATGGGGTCATAACACACTCCGCAGAGGGCTCTGAGTCTTGGATTTATCTGTGAAGAGATTGGATGCAGCCACTTTGTGGAATGTCCCACTTCAGTTTCTTTGCTATTACCTATTCCTCCTGTGCTCTGTGCTGGCACAGCCATCAGATTTCAGAGCAAAGGGTTAATGAAATTTCAAACAACCAGTTTACTTTTTTGGCTTTCTTGAGAATGTGATTTATGGATCTAGAAAGTATCACCAAGTCATGGAAGTATTTTAAGGAATGTGTTATATGTGACATTGTCTGTTAAATCACAGTCATAAAATTGTTACTGTTCAGGCGCTGTTTAGCTGTGTGTGTTAGTTTATGTATTAACTCAGATGCTGTTGGATGATTAGAGACCCATTAAGTACTATTTCAATTACTTCAGTAATTTGCATTGTGACATTTAAGTTAGTCATATAATCTTAAGTAAATGTTAAGCCACAGTAGAGTGTATGTTTGCTTCTGCAAGCTTATTAAGCAAGGAGAGAAATTCTTATTAGAAAAGAAAGTAAAGGTTCATCCTAACCAGTTCTCATAACTTTCTTTACCAAAATAACATTTAGGTTTTTTTTTTAGATATTCTTCCTGAATCTTATCATTTAATTGTAAACTTAGGGTTTGTTTAAAAAAGCAACACTGCAAAATAGAAGCCAGTCTTCTTTCCTAGAATTGGGTCATGAATTAACCTAAACTGTACTAAGAAAGTTAAAGTGTTGATTTACTTCAACATACCTTTACTGGGACCCTTTATTGAGCACTGAACTTGGCTCTGAGGAACTTTTTTTTTTTTTCTTGACTTGGAGTCTTGCTCTGTCTCTGAGGCTGGGGTACAGTGGCGCTATCTCAGCTCACTGCAACCTCTGCCTCCCAGGTTCAAGCAATCCCCCTGCCTCAGCATCCTAATGTAGCTGGGACTACAGGCGTTCACCACCACACCTGGCTAATCTTTGTGTTTTTAGTGGATATGGGGTTTTACCACGTTGGCCAGGCTGGTCTTGAACTCCTGACCTCAAGTGATCTGCCAGCCTTGGGCTCCTAAAGTGCTGGGATTATAGGCGTGAGCCACCACACCCGACCTGATGACAAAATTTGTAAAGCTCAAATATGCAAAGTCAAATTTTGACTGAGAAGACTATATTATATTCCAATTTTTAATTTGTTCAATAATTTGCTTGATTTTTTTGATTCTTAAAAGCTTCTTCTAAAACATTTATACATTTGCTAATGTACTTAGGGGAAAGTTCACTGATGTTAGCAATTTACCTTGAAATATATATATATATATATATATATATATATATATATATATATATACACACACACACACATATATAGACATATATATATTAGACGATTATTATATATATCTTCTATATATATATATATATAGAAGATGGATTTTGAATAGATAGAGCATGGGTAGATGGCTGGATATGTGATGAGGTGACTATGGTAAAATGTTAATGGCAGGGTCTGAGTGTTGGGTATACAGGTGTTCACTATAAACATTTTTTCAACTTTATTGCATGTTTGAAAATTTCCACAGTATAATTTTGAAAAAAGTCATGAATCCTTCTACTCAGATTAAGAAATAGAATATTATTACTGCTTCTGAGGTCAGTTTGATTTTATTATAAGGTATATATTTATTTTTATTTGTAGCAAAGTAAGAAATAATGTACTTAGAAATCAAATAGTACCAAAGATGTATAACAAAGCAGAGGCTTTACCTGTCCCATCTTTCCTTGAAAGTCCTGTTCCCTAGACTTCCATTTTCTCAAAAATATCTTGGGTATTTACCTCCACGTTTCTTAAAAAAATATGTTTATTTTGTTATTTCTTGATTTTTCATGTTTAGATTTTTAACGTTTTTGATAAAAACTTGTTATCTTTCTCAATTTCCCTCTGTCACCCTCCTGCATCCATATCACGAATTTTTAGTAGTCAGTAGTGTTTACATTTTATTGCAGAGTCAAGTAGTATACTATTATTATTTCATTTGCTGCAAAATTTGCTCTTTTTGCTTGGAGTTATTAGTTGACTCATTTTTAAAATTTTGCTGAGTTTTCTATGTACCTATCTGTTTCTTGAGATATGTTAAACATTAATCAATATTAATTTCCATATTCTTAAATGTATCAGATGATCTACCAATTACACTTCCTTCAGAAAATTCTTTTGGAAGCCTACATTCCCCTATGCATTAGGTAGGGTTGAATGCTTTGCTTTCTGTACAGTCATCATCTCCACAGTACAGTTTTAAGAAAAAATAAAAACTGGACTTCCCTTTACCATTTTCATGAGTGTGTTAGTCCATTTTGCATTGTTATAAAGCAATATCAGAGACTGGGGAGTTTATATGGAAAAGAGGTTTATTTGGCTCATGATTTTGCAGGCTGTACAAGAGGCATGGCAGCAGCATCTGCTTCAGGTGAGGCCACAAGAAGTTTCCACTCTTGGCAGAAGGTGAAGGGGAGCCTTCATGTCATATGGAGAGAGACAGAGAGCAAGAGAGGGGAAGGAAATTGCAGACTCCTTTTAACAACCATATTGCATGTGAACTCATTACTGCAGGGAGGGCACCAAGCCATTCATGATGGATCTGCCCCTATCACCCAAACACCGCCCACTAGGCCCCTCTCCAACATGGGGGATCAGATTTCAATATGAGATTTGGAGGGGACAGATATCCAGACTATATCAAGAGGGAACCTCCTTTTGGCTTTTACTACTTTCTAGTTTTTGGGGAATGTATCTCATTTTTTGGAAGAGTTTCTCTGATGGTTTCCTAACAAAGGATACATGTAAAATAAAAATTGTGAGAACTTGTTCATCTGCAATATTTGTTTTTATTCAACTCTCACTTATGATGTTTTATACAATTTAAGAACTTTTAGCAGAATTTCAAAGGTCTTGTTGCTTCCAGTGTTGCAATTATAAAATCTGATGCTATTCTCCCTCATATTTACTTCTATATTACCTATTTTTATTTGTTTCTTTCTGGCATCCCGTAGGATCTATTCATTATCTCTGATATTGTGAAATAATTTTGCGAATGATATGTATTGGTGAGAATCTTTTATCATTAGTGTACTGGGCACTCTTTAGGCACTTTAAATCTTTACTGCCTTGTTCTGTTAATTTTTCTTATATTATTTCATTGATAATTTCTTTCTCTTTGTTTTCTCTTCTTTGAAACTTGTATAAGTCAGATGTTGAACCTCCTATATTGATCTTTAAAGTTTGTCATATTTTCTATGTCTTAATTTTTTTCTGACTTACTGAGAAATTAATTTTACCTTTTAATAAAGTTTTTTTTTTAAATTTCTAGGAGCTTTAAAAGTTCTTTATTTTTTGGTGTTTATTTTTCAGAATACTCTCTTTCTTTTTGTGGATGTAATGTCTTAACTCTCTGAGGAAATTAACATTTTTTCATGGTCAATTACACTTTCCCAAATTTACCTTTTATTTTCCCATTTTAAATGCTGTAAATGACTGTATCTTTACTTTCTAACATTTTCTAAAAGGAAGTTCAAGAATTTTTTTAAAGAATTAATGGCTTTCTTATTTTAACTGCTTTCCAGTTAAGTGGGATGTAAAACAAACTTTTTTTCCCTCTAAATATTAAGTGCAGTGATGTTACTCCATCTGATTTTAAGTGGGCCACAGATTTAATTTGAGTGAACAAATATATGCTTATGTAGAAGAAAGTGAATAATTCTCAATAATTGGGTATTAGACCACCTTAAATGTGTTTGAATGTTTTCTCACCAGAATTCATTTAGAAAGAAAAGTTATTAAAATGGAACAGAACAGACAAAAAATTCTTTTGATTTCTTGCTCTAACTTCCTTTAAAATAAATGCCTTGAGTTTCTGTTATGATCCCTTTCTTCAGGGATGCAGAGTGTGTGAGTCAGAACCATATTGGTGGCTCCATTAGATGCCTACTAGAGACCTCTTTCAAGAGGGAATTCATTGAAAGCCTCTGGCTTGGTAGTGTTGACTTTCACATTTAGCTGTGTTTTATGGTTTTGTAGCTGTTTGTACCCTTTGGAAGCCCTGATCATAATATTGTTATTTGAACATTTTCTCTCCTCCATGTTTTAGAGAATTGTTGGGACTTACCTTAATTGACAGCTTTGGTCAAAAATAAGGACACACATAGAAGAACAATGGTTGTATTGTGGATAGGAGGTGGAGAATGTTTCATTGGTGGGCAATTTTGACTGTCTAAATTTAGGTGGTGGTTTCAAATTTAGCCACTAGTTTCTCAACCAATTTAGTGAGCAAACATCCCTGTTTTAAATCAGGTTGCAATGAAAAAGGAAATGAGAAAGTAGTTTTATCCATACTGTATATTGTGAGAAATACAGACAGACATAATTTAATAACCATGTTTAATAAATTTAGGATATGCGTGGAAATGGCCTGTGTCAGTCCCACACAAATTGTCCTCAATCAGGATGTAAAACTGGACAGGATGCCAAATATTCCCTCATGTGTGATCCATCCTTGCCTTGTGTGTTACCATTTCTTTTGGAGTAAAGACCTGAGCCACTGAAGCAAAGCTCTGGCTTTACACTGTGTTCACAGCCCCCATTTGTCCTGTCCCCAATTTGAATTGTTCTAGTAATGGGAGGAACAGAGTAGCCAAGGGAATATTTTCCCCAAATATGGGGCAAGAGAAGAAGAGACAATAAAAATTCCTTATAGATAGAGTCATTTTTGAGAGAATGAATTTGTATTCTCGTATTCTTACTAATGCATAATTGTTAAAGATATCATTTATCTTACTAGAAGCTAAAATTTGAAATATTTCAGCATTTAGAATGTATAAAATTTCATTAAAGTGAGTGGATTGAAGTATAGGTAACTGTGTATGTGTGCATGTGTACAAGAGTGTGTATTAAAAGCACCGTGAATAAACTCCACAGCCATGGAATTCAAGCAGAGTGTTTAAAATACTTGGAAACCTAGACTAAAATATAATTCTATTTTAAATATTCTGGCATTTAGAATACAATGAAGCAGGTTAATATATTCAGCTTCCTTTTTCTTTTTAGAGAACAATGGATGAGACAAAAACAATCTAACTGTATTACAAATGTATGAAACAACCTCACTCAAGGGGGTGGAGGTGCTGAACAAAGTAACATCGGAAGTGAGTGAAATCTGTAAGATGAAGGCAAAAAAAGCTGTACATAATTATTGTCCTGTATTTTAAAAAGTTGTTTCCCGTAGGAGTACAGGTTAACAGTTCTGATGCTACTATAGATGTATGCTGGAATTGGACAGTTAAGTAAATGGATGCCCGATGGTGGAAGCCAGGTACTCACTGTTGGAGTGGAATGTTACAGATAAGCAAAGGAGGAGACTAAAATGATGCAAGTTGTAGATTAGAGTTGGAGACATCAGTATGAACTCAGGTTTAGTTTAGTATAGACACAGATGGTTACATATAGAAATATTTTTCAGTACGTATATATACATTGGTTGGTATATTTCTTTGCTCTATCAACTGAGAGGGCCTAGTAGCAATGAACACATATAATACCTGGATTTTGGTGTTTAATACCATTCTCCAATGAAAGGGAACAGAGGTCCTTGGAAAAATGACTTATTCTAGGACTAGGGAAGGAAATATACTGATCAGCCTGAAGAATCTTATAGTGCCAAAAAGTAAGCAAGTGCTAAAATAAAAACAAAATAAAACAAACCCATAATGATGGAGATACATCAAAAGGACACAGGAACCGATTTAAAATGCTCACAATGGCCAAACTGGAACAATTTGACCAACACATTCAATAAAGTAGCCTTGGATTATAACCCAAAGTATAAAGTAAATATCCATGGTTCATACTGATATAAATAGATTGAATAGGTAGTAAGTGGGGGAGGAGAGATAAATCTCCAAGAATTTCAAACAATTTAGGTAGATATTTTGCCCTGAAGGAAGTGGAACATAACTCCCCACTCCTTAAAATGTGAGTTGCACATAGAGACTTCATTCCAAAGAGTACAGTATAGAAAGGAGAATAAAAGATTAACTTCACAGTTGAAAAACCTGTCAACACTACTCAGCCAGGTGAATAGAGTCAACATCAATAGTGATAAGTCATGCTGATAGAATGAACTCTTGACAGTATGCACTTAGTGTTATAAGGATGCCGCTTTACCCCTGTAGTCTTCCTCCCCAAATCCTATAATCTCAGTTTTACCATGAGGAAAACCTTGACAGTTTGAGGGATACTACTCAGAGATTTGCAGGGTATTCCTATGGAGGAATACCCTGCAAATCTCTGAGTAGTATCCCTCAAACTGTCAAGGTCATCAAAAACAAAGAAAGCCTAAGAAACTGTAATAGCCAAAAGGACCCTAAGAAAACAACGACTAAATGTAATGTGGTGTCA
The DNA here is from genome assembly GCF_000001405.40 of Homo sapiens. NCBI lineage: Eukaryota > Metazoa > Chordata > Mammalia > Primates > Hominidae > Homo > Homo sapiens. The sequence goes on along the minus strand of NC_000013.11, from coordinate 36,040,232 downwards.
TAAAGGAGATCCTGTAACAGAAAAAAGTACTTAAGTGAAAACTAAGAAAATATGAATGAAATATGGACTTCAGTTAATAATCCATGCATTAATATTGGTTCATTTATTGCCCAGACCAATGTCAAGAAGCATTTCTCCTATGTTTTCTTCTAATAATTTTACAGTTTAAGGTCTCACTTTTATGCCTTTAATGTGGAGGTCACTTGAACTCAGGAGTTTGAGGTTGCAGTGAGCTATGATCATGCCACTGCACTCCCACCTGGGTGACAGAGCCAGACCTTGTATCTAAAAAAAAAAAAAAATTAAGTTTAAATTTAAAAAGAAAAGTTGTCTGTATTATATAAATATCTGCTACTTAGTAAGGCCATCTTCATTTTAAATTTAGGGAAAATATACTTTATTAGACACTGCGTTCAAAAGTGTTTTGCTAATAAATTCATAAAAATACAGCAACATATTTATGTCTCTTAGTCATACTTTCAGAATTTCATGATTAAATTAGGTCTTTGTTTAGCTGGATCAAAGATTTTTTTTTTTACCTTGTCGCTTAGTTTTGGAAGATAGAAGGGCAGTGTATTTGTATGTGTGTGTGTGTGTACATGTGTGCACAGTAACCCTGTCTATGCAATACTTTCAACAAAACATTTTACCAAGAAAATTGACAGAAATTTAAATAAAAAGGGAATTTTTAAAAGTCAGTGTTTGCCTCTCTGGTTTAGCTTTAGAAGAAAGTGGTGCTGAAAAAAAATCACCGATGTTCGCACATTTTGAAGAGTGTGAATTTTATTCACCAATTTGCTTTTTATACCAGAGGCCAGCTGCTACCTTTTGGAAGAGTGAAACATTTCAGCCAGAATTGCCTGCAGCTCAGTATAGCTCCAATGGCAGAAGAAATCCTACCAGATTATGTCCTTTGATTTTTCACAGATTTTGTTCAGAGGATCTGGCAATGGGTTGCAGTTTCACACTTCAGAAATACATGGTGGCCAAGAGTTATTTCTGGAGTTTTCTTTTAAAGCCTTATCAGTTGTTGAGATTCTCTGTGCTCCTGAATCCATTTCCTACTCATTCCTTACCTGAAATGAGATATTTATATCTTTTCTAAGTTGCTTTTAAATTTGAAAACTGCATCTTCTACAACAGTGACAGATCAAAATGCCAGCTGGACATTTGATAGGATTCTTCATTGGTAGGCGCCTGACGAATGACTACTAAGTCATGTGAAATACTTTCTTTAGTCATAGGACATGGTGCTGTGAATCATGAAATGTTAGACATAAATTTTACACACAGGGGATTACATTCTAAAATGAGTGCTCAAGATCCTTGGCTGTGGAATTAGAGAAACTTCATTCAAGTCTTGAATCTGCTACCTCCTAGATATTTGAACACATTCTTAACTTTACACCTCAGTTTCCTTATCTGCAAAATGAAAAAGAAAAATAGTGTCTAACGCATGAACACTAATTGTTGTAGTATTAAAGGAGGTAACTTTGCTGTGCTTGTCATAGCGCTTAGTAAAATTAAATAGATATTAAGCATTTTCATTATCATGCTGGCATTTATGGAAGACATGCCAGCTACCTACCCACCTACCTGAATAGCATCACCAAATATGTTGCTTCTAAAAGATCAGTTGTGCATAAGTTGCTTAGGAACATGTACTGGAAAAGCCTCTGAGATTATGCATTTGATTAAAACAAAAACAGGTATGTGCCAAAGAATATCATTGCTCCTTTGGGATCTTGACTTAAAGTTCTGCCCCATAGGTACCTCAGTATTCCATCTCTCACTTCTCTTTCCTGACCAAAGCTAAGCTCTAGGCTCTTGTTACTGTATTTGGTTCTCCAGGATTCTCTGCCCTGCCCCTGGGAGGCTCTCATTCCTGTAACCAGGAAGCACTCTGGAAGACCGAACCATCTCCGGGCCTTAAAACAAACCTCAGGGGCAGGGATGGACCCATGGTGGGGACAGTGACCTGTCCTGCCTCTTCATTCACACCCATCTTTGGGAACTGTTACCAGCTTAGCAAGCAAGGTAACAAGTCACTGAGCTTTTATGGGACCCAGCTTCCTTGTTCATAAAATGAGAAAGCTACCAAAGATGAGGTTGATGGTCTCTTGCTTCTCCATTATTCTCTTGGATTCAATAAATTACTGGACATATCTAGGAAAAATAAATGTCACAGTCACCGCCTCCAAGAGGCTTTCTTTGTTCACAAAGTCTTCCTTTTATTACCACTCAGGCTGCAGTGAGCTGTATCTTAAAAGTCTTAATGTGTCTCTGACACATTATAAGCCATACCCATGGAACCTTGGAAGTTCTTTTTTTACAGTAGGGGATTAGATTTTCTTTCTATTTTTTAAATTTTCTTTTTTTAATTGATACATTATCACATACATGTGATAATTAGATAAATTCATATAATGTGTAAAGATCACATCAGGGTGGCCGGGCATGGTGGCTCATGCCTGTAATCCCAGCACTTTGGGAGGTTGAGACAGGCAGATCATCTGAGGTCAGGAGTTTGAGACCAGCCTGGCCAACATGGTGAAACTCCGTCTCTACTAAAAATACAAAAATTAACTGGGTGTGGTGATGCACACCTGTAATCCCAGGTACTTGGGAGACTGAGGCACGAGAATCGCTTGAACCCAGGAGGCAGAGGTTGCAGTGAGCTGAGATCGCACCACTGCACTCCAGCCTGGGCAACAGAGGGAGACTCCATCTCAAAACAAAACAAAACAAAACAAAAACCACGAGAAAAAAGGTCACATTAGGGTAATCGGGATATCCACCACCTTAAATATATATCTTTTCTTTATGCTAGGAACATTAGAAAAATTCTCTTCTATTTTTAAATATGTAATATGTTATTGTTAACTATACTCACCCTACTGCTCTATGGAACACTAGGCCTTATTTATTCTATCTAACTGTGTGCTTGTACCCTTCAATCAACTTCTTTCATCCTCCTCAACCCCTACCCTTTCTGGCTTCTGGTAACCACAGTTCTATTCTCTATCTTCATGAGATCATTTTTTTTTAAAGCTTCCACATATGAGAGAGAACAGGTGATATTTGTCTTTCTGCATTTGGTTTATTTCACTTATCATAATGGCCTCCAGTTCCATTCATGTTGCTGCAGATGACAGGATTTCATTCTTTTTTATGGCTGAATAATATTCCACTGTGTGTGTGTGTGATATATATATCACATTTTTCTATCCATTCATCCATTGATAGAAACTTAGATTGATTCCATGTCTTGGCTATTGTGACTAGCGCTGCAATAGACATGGGAGTGCAGACATTTCTTCAATATATTGATTTCCTTTCTTTTGGATATACACCCAGTAGAGGAATTGCTGGATCATATCATAGTTCTATTTTTCATTTTTTAGAAAGTTTTTTAAGGATAGAGATAATGCTGTTTTTAACCTTCCTAAAGAGCTTTACCAACAATTACATTCAAAATTAACGTATTATTCATTAAAATTATAAATGTATAGTATATAAATGTTTAACATGTATAAAATCTGATAACTTAATATGTAAATAAAATGTGACTTTCTATGTTATATATATCATATATACCGTATATGATCTTATACCTACACATACACACACATATATCCTTTTGGGTTCAAAAGCACATAAAAATATAAGGAGTCATTGTGATTACAATCCGTAGTAAATGGTGGTCTAGTGTTATGTAGAACATCAAGGTATTTATTCGACTTGCCGTTCAAGGAGTCCAAGAAAAAACATACCACACTGACACAGGACAGGCAAGCCCCCAAACTGGGGCTTAGCCCCAAAGGATTCCTGGCTTTGCCCAGGAAAGAATTCGAGGTCGAGCCGGTGGTGTTGGACAGCAGGGTTTATTGAAGCGGTAGAGTGCACAGCAGCAGCAGAGATGCTGCTCCTTGAGGAGAGGGCTACCTCTTAGGCAGTGTGCCCAGAGGAGCAGCTCAGAGGCAGTTCTGCAGTCATATTTATACCCACTTTTTATATGCCAATTAAAAGGCAGTTTAGGCAGAAACTTCCAGGTTGTGAGGTTGTTTCCATGGAAAGGGGTGGTAACTTATGGGTGTTATGGCAATGGTAAACTGACATGGCACACTGATGGGCATGTCTTACGGGGAGGTGCTTCCACCCCAGCCTTTATTGGTAGGTGCTTCTGCCTCTGTTTTAGCTAGTCCTCAATTTGGTCCAGTGTCCAAGTCCTGCCTCCAGAGTCTAGTCCCTCCTCCTAGCTCAATATCCATGGAAATATTATCTATTTGGATAATGTTGTTATCTTTATAACTATCACAGTGTGGCCAAGAAGAGAGATAACAGAGGTTAATCTCTCTGATACCTTTTTTAAGTAGTATATAATTCAAATTGCCCTAAAACTTATGTTGATTATAATTGACCAGTGCTTGTCTAGGAATTGTAAGGATACCTAAAAAAGTATGTACGTACTTTTGCCAGTGACAAAAGTAACAACCTGAATTCCTTTTGCAACAAAATTATATCAGCACAAGCCAGCATGGTGGCTTTTGCCTGTGGTCCCAGCTGCTCGGGAGGCTGAGGGAGGTGGATCACTTGAGCCCAGGAGTTCGACGCTGCAGTGAGCTAAGATTGTACCACTGCATTCCTGCTTGGGCAACAGAGCGAGACACTGTTTTCAAAAGAAAAATTACATAAGCACAGACTGGATGTTAAATAAATAATTAGATTCAAGCTTTAAATTATTTGGACCCTTTCCCCCCAATACTACTTAATAGCAATATAAACTTTAAAAAATGATGGGAGCCAAAGAACAAGATAATTAAAAAATGAGTTATCCAGTGCTTCATTTGTGGTTTCAGTGTGGGTAGTAAGACATAGGTTTTGGTTCCAAATTAAGTTTTCAATCTTAGGAGGGTCAAGGCAGACATAAAAAGATTATTCCAAATATCACTGCAAAACATTATGAAACAGATGCTATAGAAAGAAAAGGAGTGAATGAGCCAGGGAGAGGCAAAGAGAGAAAGAGAGAAGATGGACAGGGAGCAAGTGAAAGGGAGAGAATTAGCTGATTCGCAGAGGGAGAGACACAATAGCAGACAAAGGGGCAGCCATGGGCAGCGATGTGATTTGGTGGGCAGGACTGACTGGAGGTGGGAGGGTCTTGTGCTACCCCCTTGATATTTGGCTGGTGTTTTCATGGTCATAGAGGAGAGGGGGTTGCAGCAAAGGAGGAAGCCACAGTGGTTTGATGCCCAGCTAGTAATATGCTGCACGTGTGACCTTTCCGCCTACCTAAGCCTTTCCGCTTTTATAACTGGCTCATTCCCTGAGCTCCCTTCCTGAACTTTCTCCTTACCAACACCCTTTCTTTCAAATGGGAAGAGGCGGCGTGTGCTGGAAACCATTTTCCCTGATTCTTGTTAAATATATAGAAATTTCGTGAGCTGGTGGTTAAACTGTTGGTAGCCTGAAATCAGTCCTGGTGGGAATATTGACACCTTGGAAACTGATGAGTGAGAGCTTTTTATTTTCCCCTCAAGAGTCAGTTTACCTGCTCACCACTAAGAGAGGACTTGCCTGGGTAAAAATTTCCTGAAATTCATATGGTTTTCCTACTTATTCATATTTGTGATTGATATCATGACTTAAGTCCTTCAAAATTTCAGGAATAGAATTGACTGTTGGGCTAATTTTTTAATTTAAAGCAGTTTGTAAATCCAAGGGACAAACATGTCCATTTAATATTTAACATTAAAGGAATGCACGTCACTTCTAGGAGATCATCACAGGGAGAGCTGGGGAAATTGAAGAGAAATGACTTTAGAGATTTCAAAATAAAAACAAAAGATACAGGAAAAATATATTGTACAGACTTAGTCATAATTAAACCAAACTTGAAATGTTAATTTTAATTGATAATAACTTTAAAATTCTAATTTAATTTCTATTGATTCTATTCTGGGAGAAAACAACCACGAAGTTTCTATTATCCTTAATTCCGGTTTTCTTTTTAATCCTTATGATTGCATTAATATACACGATACTTCTTTTTAGACTGGAGACTAATTTGTTTAAAATTTTTTATATTCATGACTTCAGTGATAAAATTTTGAGTTAGTTTTGAACTAAGTACCCAGTTCGCTACTGGCCAGGCCTGGACAAAGACCTTCCCTCCTGGCTCCTGCTTTTTCTATGGTGTTTCTTATAGATTTAAAGGATGGCCCCATTGCTCATTATCTATCAAGCTTATATTATTTTCCAGAAGTGTGCAAAATACTTCATATTTGTTTGCAAAATGCTTCATATATGATAAAGGTTTTGCTTTTGTTGCCCAGGCTGGAGCGCAATGGTGCGACTTCGGCTCACCACAACCTCCACCTCCCGGGTTCAAGTGATTCTCCTGCCTCAGCCTCCCTAGTAGCTGGGATTACAGGCATGCGTCACCACGCCTGGCTAATTTTGTATTTTTAGTAGAGATGGGGTTTCTCCATGTTGGTCAGGTTGGTCTCAAACTCCTGGCCTCAGGTAATCCGCCCACCTTGGCCTCCCAAAGTTCTGGGATTACAGGCGTGAGCTACCGCACCTGTACTCATAGTCATTGAGTGCCAGTCCTGTAACAGACTCAGGTTGGCACTTTACATATTTTATCTAAAACCCTACAGCCGTCCCATATGGTAAGTATTATTACTCCCCACTCAGAAAATATTGAGTGGGGAGTCACACCAATATTGAGTCACACCAATATTAAGAATAAATGGTTTAAACTGTTTGATTCCAAAGCCTAAGTTCTTTACCCTATGCCAGCCTGCCTCCTATATATTATGCGATTTTAATCTGCCTATTACCTTATGAAATGCACAGAAAGTATTATCACTACTTTATGGATTAAGTTTTAGTCAGATAGCTAGAAATGTCCTCTGACTTCCTGTCCAGTGATCCTCCCCAGATGGCCAAAATTACATGGGCAATAACAAAATTAAAATAAGGTCATCATATCTGACTTAATGTGAAACTTTAGTAGGACATTATTTCAAACTGACAAAAGCTTCTTCTGGATTGAACACAAACTGCATGTAAATGTCGTTAAGTGGTTCATATTTTAAAAGCGTGAGTGTAGGCCAAGAAAGAAATCTCCAGCTACTGTTTGCCTGCTTCCATCAGAATGATATGTTTGGCGCACAGTGTGTTTTGTATATCAGTCCTGTTGTTTATGGGAAATACCATTCCTCACCCATCCACGTTCCCCTGTTACTAGGTCCCAGCTACTGCCTTACAGAGAAGGTGATGTTTCATATTTGCTTGCTTGTTTGTTTGTATTATAAGGAATTATTCTTAGCGATGTTAAAAATGATTCTTTCCCATGCAAGGAACTTTTAGACACCCAAGTTTACACTCTGCATTTGCGATAAAAGGAAGTAGGAAAGTGGAGCAGGAGCAAAATGCAGAAGACACCAAAAGAACCTTTGCAGAGAGAGTGTCCTGCCAGGGCATCGACGGCCGCTCCCGGGGCAGGAGCTGAGTTAAGTAGAGCCCCAGCACTACTTTCCTTTCCTGATGTGGCTCAAGGGATCATTGCAAAAATGGACTGTCCCCTATTGGAACATAAAAAGGCCAAATCAGAGTCCATTTGACCTATATCCTTTAAAACTGCACAACTGATGGCGGGTGGTGGGGTGGGGGTTGTTAGAAAGCAGTTCTAAGAGCCAAACCGAATGGCATGGCATGAATCTCAAATTTATTTCACTATGATTACAAAAGCAATAGCTACTTGGATGTAAAAGAAAAACTGGGCTGGGCGCAGTGGCTCACGCCTATAATCCCAACACTTTGGGAGGCCAAGGTGGGTGAATCCACCTGAGGTCAGGAGTTCGAGACCAGCCTGGCCAACATGGTGAAACCCCGTCTCTACTAAAAATACAAAAAATTAGCCGGGCCTGGTGGCAGGTGCCTGTAGTCCCAGCCACTCGGGAGGCTGAGGCAGGAGAATTGCTTGAACCCGGGAGGCAGAGGTTGCAATGAGCCAAGATCATGCCATTGCACTCCTGCCTAGGCGACAGAGCAAGAATCCGTCTCAAAAAAAAAGAAAAAAGAAAAAAAAAGAAAAGAAAAAGAAAAAAGAAAAAGAAAAACTGATTTGTAGAAACATAATACCTAATTTACAGTTGACAACCCACTGTGGGGTTCTAAGCCACCCAGGGGAGTGAAAGAAAGATTAATGAATGGTTTAAAAGGGGCCTGCCCCACAGACCTGTCCCCTTCCCTTTTTTCTCTTCTCCTTCCACCTAAAGTGTTGAGCTGCACATCCAGTCTGACCTCCACTGCTGAGACCTCACGTCTATCAGGTGGGGCCTAGCAGGGATCTGGGTGGGAGGTTCAGTCAGATGCAAACAGCAGCCAGCTGTGTAGAAGCCACGTGCAAAGCAGTTCCTCCTGCGCTGACATGACAGCCACGCGTTTCAACAACAACCACAACAAATCGCATAGGGGATCAGAAGACCATGCTATTCCATTTTACACTAACCACTTACCAGCAGCCTCCCAGGAAGTCATCAAATACGTCACTGTAAATAATACTGAGGATGTCAAAATTCATCTTTACAACTTAACAAATGGTACTTAATTATCTAATAAGAATAAGGAACCTTTTTATATTGTCAAACGTATTACCAGGAAATAATTTAAGGCCTGCTGGCAATAAAATCACAGGACTGATCTTTTAAAATCGCATTTGATGACATATGTACGAACACATACACACATATATATGTACGTACATATAATTTGTGTACATATATATCTAAATAAACCCCAATCCTTTGACACCATTACCACTGCAGAGTTCAAGCTACTTGGAGCCGTGTTATAGAAAAGCAAAATACTTTTGAAGCTCGTCTTTTTTTGTGTGTGTGTGGTTGATATTGGACCCAGTCCATGAGCCTCACAAGAAAAATCACTCTTTTGTGCTTAAAACTTTTTAGCCTAAATGGAATTATCCAGTTTGATCACACACATTATTTGCTAATTTGATTTTGGCTATTTTCCAAAGTCAAATCCAGATTCAAAGGATGATGACTCACCACTATTTCGGGTTTTTGAGGAAATGGGCCCAGGCTGTGAAGGGCTGAAACTCCAGAGACGGAGTCTGAGCAATCACTGTGGTGCTGGGAAAAGCGTAGGAGTGAGGACTGTTTTGTGTCATCTTATACATGGTTTAGAAATAAGTCCTGTGGCTTATCAGTTATACCTGCAGAACACAGGGCAATGTTCTTTCTTCGAGTTGCTAAGGGAACAATGCCTCCCAAGACGCAGAGGTCTGAAATAACAAGGTGCTGGGCCGGCATTGTGGGAAGTGTGGCTTGGTGAGAGCACAGCAATGAGTGAATGGGATGGGAGCTGATCAGTTGGGGAGATTCCCTGGGACCTGCCTCTCTGCTGCAGGCAAAAAACCTGAGAAACGTTTATTCTATTTGTTCTGTGCCCTATATCGATAACTTTTCTCTGTTGAAAAAGTTTGCTTTGAGTATAATATTTATTTTTAGTAATGTACTGTCCCCAAATTTGAATAATGAAGATACTGTTCCCTAATGGTCAAGTACTATCCAGACTCAGTGTGTTAAAAAGAAATGGGTCAGGCATGGTGGCTCACGCCTGTAATCCCAGCACTTTGGTAGGCTGAGGTGGGTAGATCACCTGAGGTCAGGAGTTTGAGACCAGCCTGGCCAACGTGATGAAATTCCATCTCTACTAAAAAAAAAAAAAAAAAAAAAAATTAGCCAGGTGTGGTGGCGGGCACCTACAATCCCAGCTACTTGGGAGGCTGGGGCAGGAGAATTGCTTGAACCCAGGAGGCAGAGGCTGCAGTGAGCCAAGATCGTGCCACTGCACTCCAGCCTGGGCAACAAGAGCAAAACTCCGTCTCAAAAAAAAAGAAATGAGGAAACAGAAACAAAGCAAAAGACCATTGGTTAGCTAATCACTCTTGAATGTTTGAATATGAGCTCTTACAGAGTGACAGTGGGGTTCAGACAGGTGCATTCTTTTGGTCTGAATTAGATACTCAATAATGAAACAATCTGGTGATTGTTTAACACTGCTTCATTCAACGTTTGCAAGATTTTGAATGGGTAAAGCCTCCCTTGGACGTGCTCTATTTTCAAGCAACTAAAACTCATTAATGAGTTCCTGGCCTCTGCGTTTGTAGATCTGGGTCAGTGGCTTAGGTCCATGCTGTGCTCACTGTGTTATCTTGGACAAGTTACTTAACCTTTCTGAACCGTGTGTGTAAAATTAGGTTAATTGTTTTTGCTTCCCAGGGTTATTGTGGGGGTTACATGAAATTTAACAATTTGTATAAGCATATGACAATATCTGGCATGGAAGAGACCTTCAAATCCAATAAGAAATGGAATGTAGGTATCACTAAATATCACATGAACATTTTAAAATGTTATTTGTAATGAAAATTCTGTGGAACAGATCTTGTTTTTCCATTGGTTTCTAATACATAATGGAGATAAACTTTAACCAAAATACCCCAAATAGAACTGGGCCTCCTAATAGTCCATCGGACTCTCTTGAGCCTTTCCTTTGCTATGATTGTGTCTCAAAATCAGGTTCTTTGAGAGCACTGGGATTCTGCTTGTATCTCAAAAGTAATACACAATTGCTTTGTTTAGTAGAGTCTAGTATTTAACATTAAAAGTGCATTGAATTTACCTTGGCACCATGCTAATACAAATTATAAGGTAATGGAACGTTATGAGATACGTGTATTCATTCAGCAAATATTGTCTGGTTCACTGCAAGACACTGGGGAATGCAATAAGGAAAATAAGACAGACCCAGTCTCTCCTGCTGTGACGCTGATAGAAAAACAGACTTCCAATGGATAACCACACAAACACATGTGTCATGTCATGTCACTATGACTCATGTTACAAAGCAAATGTATATGGTGCCGTGAGAGTGTGCAATAGAGTTGAATCTGACCAGGGAGGTCAGGGAAGTGATTCCTGAGCTGAGGACTGAAGAAAGAGTAGGTGTCACTGTTACCGGAAAGAGTCCCGATCCAGACCTCAAGAGAGGGTTCTTGAATCTCGCACAAGAATGAATTCGAGGTGAATCCATAAAGAGAAAGCAAGTTTATTAGAGAAATAAAGAAACAAAAGCATGGCTACTGCATAGGCAGAGCAGCCCCAAGGGCTGCTGGTCAGCTATTTTTATGGTTATTTCTGGATTACATGCTAAACAAGGTGTGGATTATTCATGAATTTTCTGGGAAAGGGGTGGGCAATTCCCGGAACTGAGGGTTTCTCTCCTTTTTAGATCATACAGGCTAACTTCCTGATGCCATGTCATCTATAAAATGTCATGGCACTGATGGAATTTTCTCTTAACATGCTAATGCATTATAATTAGCATATAATGAGCAGTGAGGACAACCAGAGGTCACTTCCATTGCCATCTTGGTTTTGGTGGGTTTTGGCAGGTTTCTTCATCACAGTCTGTTTTATCAGTAAGGTCTTTGTGACCTGTATCTTGGGCTAATCTCCTGTCTCATTCTGTGACTGGGAATGCAGCCCAGTAGACCTCAGTCTTATTTTACCCAGCCCCTATTCAAGACAGATTTGCTCTGGTTCAAACGCCTCTGACATCACCTGGGTGCAGATAAGATGAGCATTTCCCAGGCCAAGAAACAGCCTGGAGGGCGGGAGGAAGCAAGGCAAAGGAAACGAGGAAGTTCAGTGGGTATGGAACAGGGTGACCAGGAGTCTCATATGAAGCTGGAGAGGTCACCAGCCCTGAAGGGCTCCTGTGAAGGCGCAAAGGGAAACGTGGAACATTGAAGTCCATGAGCCATGTGGTCAGATGAGCATTTCAAAAGACCAGCCTGAAGTCTCTACTGTTTGGAAAATCATAACAGAATCTCTGTTTTGGACTTAGTCAAATCTCAAATTATAATTCCACTATGCAGTTGGATTTTAGAAAAATCAAATCTTAACTACAAGTGGTGTATCCATTACAAGTAGACACTGAGCTGCTATTTTTTATAGTCAGTAGTTAAGTCCACAAGAAATGCATATTACATTTCATAGTAATTTTAAAATACCTGGAAAGCTGAAAAGCAAGTCTTCTAAAACATCAACTTGATTAACTTAAAAATCAAATATGAATCACAACAAACAACAGAATATAGGTATTTAGGCCAGGCATGGTGGCTCACTCCTGCAATCACAGCACTTTGGGAGGCTAAGGCAGGAGGAGCACTTGAGCCCAGGTGTTAAGAGACCAGCCTGGGCAACAGGAAACCCTGTCTGTGCAAAAAGTACAAAAATTAGCCAGGTGTGGTGCCATGCACCTATAGTCCCACTACTTGGGAGGCTGAGGTGGGAGGGTCACTTGAGCATGGGAGGCGGAGGTTACAGTGAGCTGAGTTCACGCCACTACACTCCAGCCTGGGGGACAGAGCAAGACCTTGTCTCAAAAACAAACAAACAAACAAACAAAAGAAAATAGATATTTGATTGCCCCAGCTAATGTACTAGGTAAAGAAATATTTTTCTTCACATATAGAAATTCATGGCACCTTAAATACTTAACTCATCTCTTCTGTATGCACCCCAGAGCTGCAGTAATTATCTTGGAGGATCAGTTGTTGACATGTTCATTCCAAATAGGCATGTGTTGAAGCTATTCGATTTATTCACTCACCAAAGCTCTGTAATATTTCCCAGATCATGTCTTAGCAATGCATATCCAGTTTTATTGCATTTAATGTTGGTATGGAGCAGCAGTCCCCAACCCCCAGGCCTGGTGGCATGTTAGGAGCTGGGCTGCACAGCATGAGGTGAGCAGTGGGCAAGGAAGCATTACTGCATGAGCTCCGCCTCATGCCAGATCAGCGGCAGCATTAGATTCTTACAGGAGTGTGAACCCTATTGTGAAATGCACATGTGAGGGATCTAGGTTGAGTGCTCCTTATGAGAATCTAATGCCCGATGATCTGAGGCGGAACAGTTTCATCCCAAAACCATCCATCACCCCACCCCCATTTCTGTGGGAAAATTGTCTTTCCCAAAACTGGTCCCCGGTTCCAAAAAGGTTGGGGACTGCTGGCTATAGAGGATAATGCTACATTGAAAATCTCTCCATGTGAAAATAGTTTGAATCCTTAGATATTAGCCCCATCATTTGTTAGTATTTGAAACAGAGAAGTTAGAAAAAAATCAATAAAAGAATTTTAATATCTTTTAAAGTTTTTTTAAATAAGTAGATTTGATTATAACTCAAGGATGGGTAGCTCTCTATATCAATATACCTTGTTTTGGATTAATGAGGGATGCTGATATATTTTTACAACATTATATTCATGTTATAAGCCAACCATCAACTGCATTATACTGGTTCATTATAAGAATGCCTGAGAAGCTGTTGACTAAGAGTGTGTCTGCTTGTATTGAATTTTGAGCAGTTATGTTTCCAAGGAAACCACTCCATTGTCAACAAAAGATTCACTCAAAGCAATGCAAAAACGTTTGCCAAAAATAATCCAACCTTATTATTAAATGTGACTTCAAATGTCCTCCACAGCCCTAAAGCAATAATTAAAAGGGGTTTACATTTTTTGTCGATTCCATTTAATAAATTCACCATAAAATGTATTTCAAATAATCATTTAAGTGGTAGAAAGTAAATGATTTACCTGAAAGATATATCCAGTTTTGAAAGTTAATGTCTTAGATGTAGTATGGATCTGCTAATGAAGAATTGATTAGATCTTTGCTTTTTCTATTAATAAATCTGTAGTTGTGTATAGTGAAATCTTATTTGTCTCAAATTGTTGACAGTTGGCTGTGGGTTGGGTTGTAGTTTGTTTTTGCATTATCTATGAAGAAAGTCTTTGCAAGTGTAAAATTCTTAATATAGTTGAAGACATTTTTGCATGGCCATCTTTCAATATTCACTGCTCTAGCATATTCTTTAAAAAAGCTGACAAGTGTCAGGTTATTTCTAACTTTAATAATGCCAGATCAACACATTTCCTGCCCAATGTTAAAATCATTGAAGCAAAGCTCTCAAAATACCTGGTTCACAGGCACAATCATAGGCTTCATTTTTATTTGTAATCATATATGTAATATGAATAAATGTATAGCTAACATGACAGTTTGTTTCATTTAATGTGCTTAACTTTGGGCAAATTTACCTCTCAAACTGAATTGATGGAAGTTTAGTGAAAACACAGTGCATGTCTTTCCTCTCCCCCCACCATGACCATCCTAGATCAAGTCCTAATTATCTCTGACTTAGATACGTAAATTGTTGCAGTTAGAGCACTTTGCAATTTACCTCTGTGTTGCTGTAACAGTGATCTTTTGGAAACAGATTAAATCACGTCTAAATTTTTTTTTATATTTTAATTCAGTTTTGCTTCATAACATCTGAAGTACTTAATCATGGTGGTAAAAGCTGTCCCATCTTTCTCTCCCATACCATTCCCTTTACCATTCTTACCATGAATTTTCACAAAATTGCCTTACACTTTGCTAATTAGGGACATTGCCTATAAATGGGCCTATACAATATGTGGCCTTTGGTTCGTTTTGCATTCTTTTGCCTGAAAATTTATCGTGTTTTCATGATGCGTTCATGTTATAGCCTGTCAGTGGTACTTCATTCCTTTTTATGGCTGAGTAACATTCCACTGAATAAATATACCACGTTTTGTTTATCAATTAATCAATGATGAACATTAAGGTTATTCCAACCTTTTGTCTATTAGGAATTATGCTAACCATGAGCATTCATGTACAAGTTTTTGTGTGGCCATAGGTTTTCAAGTTTCTTGGGAATATACCTTCATTCTTTCACATGTGGGTGTCTGGTTGTCCTAGAACCATTTGTTGGATAGGATATTCCTTCTCCATTAAATTACCTTGGCATCCTTATAGAAAATCAATTGACCAGCTGGGCACAGTGGCTTATGCCTGTAATTCCAACACTTTGGGAGGCCGAAGCGGGTGGATCACCTGAGGTCAGGAGTTCAAGACCAGCCTGACCAACATGGAGAAACCTTATCTCTACTAAAAATACAAAAATTAGCCAGGCACAGTGGCCCATGCCTGTAATCCCAGCTACTCAGGAGGCTGAGGCAGGAGAATCACTTGAACCTGGGAGGCAGAGGTTGCAGTGAGCCGAGATCGTGCCATTGCACTCCAGCCTGGGCAACAAGAACAAAACTCTGCCTCAAAAAAAAAAAAAAAAGAAAGAAAAGAAAAGAAAATCAGTTGACCATAAATGTATAGGTTTATTTCTGGCTTCTCAATTTTATTCCATTGATCTTTATGTCTGTCCTTATGTCTGTATCATACTGTCTTGATTGCTTTAGCTTTTTAGGAAATTTTGAAATTGGGAAGTGTGTCTCCACCTTTATTCTTCTTTCTCGGGATTGTTTTGGCTATTCTGAGTTCCTTATATTTCCATAAGAATTTTAGATCAGTTTGTAATATCTACAAAAAAAAAGGCAGCTGAGATTTTCAATGGGGATAATGTTGAATCTGTAGAAGAATTTGGAAGGGGTTATTGCCATCCTAACAGTATTACATCTTCAAATCCATGAACACAGGATGTCTTCCCATTTATTTTGGACTTCTTTAATTTCTTTCAACAATGTTTTATAGTTTTCATTGTGCAAGTCTTATCCTTCTTTAGTTAAATTTATTTCTAACTCTTTAATTCTTTTTGATGCTATTGTGAATGGAATTGTTCCTTAAATTTATTTTTAGATTTCTCGTTAGTTTATAGAAATACAGTTGATTTTTGTATATTGATTTTGAATCCTGGAACTTTATAAAGGAACTCGTTTATTCTAACAGACTTTTTGTGAATTCCTTAGGATTTTCCAGATACAAGATCATGTCATGTGAAAATAGAGAGTTTTATTTCTTCTTTTCCAATCTGGATGCCCTTTCTATCTTTTCTTGCCTAATTGACCTGGCTAGAACCTGCAATCCAACACTGAATAGAAATGAGGAGAGCAGGCCAGGCACGGTGGCTCATGCCTGTAATCCCAGCACTTTGGGAGGCAGAGGCGGGTGGATCACGAGGTCAGGAGTTTGAGACCAGCCTTGCCAACATGGTGAAACCCCGCCTCTACTAAAAATACAAAAATTAGCCAGGCGTGATAGTGGGTGCCTGTAATCCCAGCTACTCGGGAGGCTGAGGCAGGAGAACCACTTGAAACCAGAAGGCGGAGGTTGCAGTGAGCTGAGATCCCACCACTGTACTCCAGCCCGGGCAACAAGAAACTGTCTCCAAAAAAAAAAAAAAAAGAAAGAAAGAAAGAAATGAGGAGAGCAGACATCTTCATCGTGTTCCCAATCTTAGGGGGAAAGCTTTCAGTATTTCTGTATTAAGTATGATATTCTCTGTGGAGTTTTTGTGGATGCTGTTTTATCAGACTGTGAAAAGTTCATTCTATTTCCAGTTTTTCTTACTGTATTTATTATGAAAGGTGTTAGAGTTTCTCAGATGGTTTTTCTACTTATATTGAGATGCTCAAGTGGGTTTTTTTCCTTTTTTATCAATGTGGTATTACATTGATTGATATTTGGATATTGTGATGGCCAACTTTCCATGTCAACTTGGAGGATGTTTTGGATAAGATTAACATTTTAATTGGGAAACTTTGAATAAGCAGACTGCCCTCCATAAAGTGGGCAGTCCTCATTCTATTGGCCTAAGACCTGAAAAGAGCAAATGACCCACCTTCTTGAGCAAGAGGGTCTCCAACAGACTGCCTTCTGACTTCATCTGCACTGTTGGCTATACTGGGTCTCTTTCTGCTGGTCTTTGGACTGGAACTGCACCATCAGCTCTCCTGGGTCTCAGGCTACCAGCCTTTGGAATAGACATGCACCATTGGCTCTCTAGGGTCTCTGCCTGCCAGCCCATACACTGCAGATTTGAACGTGCCAGTCTCCGTAATCACATGAGCTAATTTCTTACAATAAATATCTTTATATATGCATATCTGTATCTGTCTGTTGAACCAACTATCTATGCACATCTATCTATCTCTCCCTACAGATATCTATCCTATTGATTCTGTTTCTCTGGAGAACCCTGACTAATACAGATATTAAACCAATCCTGCATTCATGGAAATAATTCCTGTTGCTAATGGTATACACTCCTTTTTATATGCTGCTCAACTCAGTTTTCTAGTATTCGGTTCAGCATTGTTGTATCTATGTTCACAAGGGATATTTGCCTGTAGTTTTCTTTTCTTGTGATGTGTTTGTCTTGCTTTGGTACCAGGATAATACTAGCCTCAAAGAATGAATTGGAAAGTTTTATTTCCTCTTTTTTGGAAGAGTTTATAAAGAATTGTTGTTCATTTTCTTTACATGTTTGATATAATTTATTAGTGAAGTCATATGGTCCAGAGATTTCCTTGTGGAATGTTTTTTGATTACTAACTTATTCTCTTTACTTATTACAGGGTCTAATTAGATTTTTTACTTCTTTGGTAGTTTGTATATTTTAGGAATTCGGGCATTTCGTCCAGATTATCTAACTTATTGATTTACAACTACTGTTAGTTTTCCCTTTTAATCCTTTATATTTCTGCAAGGTCAAAAGTGATGACCCCTCTTTTACTCTTCATCTTAGTATTTTGAGATTTCTCTCTTTTTTTCTCAATAAGTTTTTTTTTCTAGCTAAAGGTTTGTTAATTTTGTTGATGTTTTTAAAGAATGAATTTGCTTTCATTGATTTTTCTCAATTAAAAACATTCTGTATTTTATTTATGTCTACTCTGATTTTTATTATTGCTTTCCTCCTACTCACTTTAGGTTTAGTTGGCTTGTTTTCCAATTTCCTTAAGTGGAAAGTTAGATTATTGATTTGAGATCTTTCTTTTTTTTAAGTAAAGGTTTTACAGCTATGATTTTGTCCCTAAGTATTAACTGCATCTTATCAGCTTGTGTTGTGTTTTCATTTTCGTTCATCTTGAACTATTTTGTAATTTCCATTGTGGTTTATTCTTTAATCCATTGGCTATTTAGGAGTGTATTGTTTAATTTCCATATATTCATAAATTTCTCAAATTTCCTTTATTAATTTCTAATTTCATTCCAATGTGATCAGAGAACATACTTTGTATGATTTCCACCCTTTTATATTTATCAAAGTTTATTTTATGGCTTAATACATGGTCTATCATTTTATGGCTTAATACATGGTTTATCCTGGAGAATATTCTATGTCTCTGTTGAGAAGAATGTGTATTCTGCTTTTGTTGGGTGGGCTGTACTATATAGTTCTATTCATTCTATTGTTTTATAGTGTTGTTCCAATCTTCCATTTTCTTTTTGATCTTCTGCCTAGTTGTTTTATCTATTATTTGAAAGTACAGTATTGAGGTCTCTAACTATTATTGTTGAATTGTGTACAGGTCCCTTCAATTCTGTCAGTTTTTCCTTCAGGTAGTTTTGGGTTCTAGTGTTAGGTGCCTATATATTTCTTAATTACCGTATCTTCTTGATGGATTGACCCTTTGTCGTTAAAAAATGTCCTTCTTTGTCTCTAGGAACAATTTTTGCCTTAAAATTTATTTTGTCTGATGTTAGCATAGCCACTCCAGCTCTCTTTTGGTTACTTTTGGCATATTATGTCTTCTCATTCTTTTACTTCCAAACTACTTGTATCTTTGAATCTAAAATATGTATTTTGTAGATAGCATGTATTTGGATCATGACTTTAAAGAAATAGTCTGCCAATTCTGCTTGCAATTGGAGTGCTTAGCCCATTAATTAATGTAATTACTGATAAACTAGAATTTCTTTCTGCCATTTTGCTATTTGTTTTTATACATTTTAAGGCTTTTCTGGTTATCTTACTCCATTACTACTTTTTTTTTCAATTAAATAAGTGTTTTCTAGTACATAATTTTAAACCTCTTATTGTTTCTTTTACTTTTTTTTTTTATTATTTTTATAGTGGCTATCCCGAGGAATACAATTATCATCATAAGACAATCTAGTTTGGTATAATGCCAATGTAATTTCAGTTATATACCAAGACTTTGCTCCAATATAGCTCTTTCTCCTTCCTCCTCTTTTGTGCTATTATTGTCACACAAATTATACCTTTATACATGAAGGCGGTGTTATAATTGTAGCTTTATGCAGTTGCACTTTGAATCAGATAGAAGAAAAGTGTTACAAACCAAAATATATTTTTACTGTATTTCACATTTACATACTTATATATTTGCCTATGTACTTGGTTACCTTTGCCAGTGCTCCTTAGTTCTTTATGTGGAATTAAGTTAATGTCTTGTGTCCTTTCATTTCAGCCTGAAAGAGTCTCTAGTGTTTCCTGTAAGGCATGACTGCTAGTGACAGATTTTCTCTGTTTGGGGTTTTTCTTTGTTTTTGTTTTTGAAGGATAGTTTAGCTGGATATAGAATATTTAGTTGATAGTTTTTTTTTTCTTTCAGCACCTTAAATATGTCATTCTGCTGCCTTCTGGTCACCACCGTTTCCAACAAGAAGTCAGATTTTAATCTTTTTTAGACTCTTATTAAGTTGTATGCTTGCTGATATCTTGCAGGTCACTGAGGGACTGTTCATTTTTCTTCATTGTTTTTTCTTTTTTCGTTCTTCAGACTGGATAATCCCAGTTGACCTGGAGACAAACAAATGGGAATAGGGGAAGAAAAATGCCACAAAGCTGACTCTTCTTCCTTAGAGTCAGCTGTTTAATAAATGCTCCTCAAATTGGTGCAAGCCTTTGGTTCATTTCCAGACTTCTAAGAAAAGTTTATTTTGATAACTTTTTGCCATTGTTTTTATTTCTATGGAGGAGCCATTCCAGAAGTGCTTCTTTATCATATATTTTTTTAACTCAATGACCTAAGGATTGTGTTCATCCTTTATGAAAGCTATTCAATAACCATTTATCATCTTAATCCATTTGTATTACTACAAAAGAATACTTGAGGGTGGGTAACTTATAGAGAAAAGAAGTTTATTTGGTTCACAGTTGTGCAGGCTGTACAAGAAGCATGGCACCAGCATCTGCATCTAGGGAGGGCCTCACACTGTGTCCAATCGTGGCAAAAGGCAGAGGACAGCCATGTATCACATGGCAAGAGAGGGAGCAACAGAGAAAGATGAGGGAGGTATTTAACAATCATTTATCATGGAAACTAATAAAACGAGAACTCACTCATTACTGGGAGGATGGCACAAAGCCATTCATGAAAAATCCACCCCCATGACCCAAACACTTTCCATTAGGCCCCACCTTCAATATTGGAGATCGAATTTCAACCTGAGACTTTGCAAGGCTAAACAAACCATATATAAACCATAGCATTGAGTAATACTATGAGCCATGTATCGGATGCTGAAGATTACAATGTGCCTTTCGCTGTCTTTTAAAACTCAGTACTGCTTACATTAGCTCCTTTTGTAGTTGCAATTTTTGTATTGCCAAGAGTTAGGAGGGATTGAATAAGAAGCATATGAAGAAATAAGCAGAAAAAGAAAATCTCTAGCATAGTACACCTCTAATCTATACATGAAACATAGTTAATGTGATGATGTTTAGAATCGTGATAAGTGTTCTCAGGTACATGAAGCTTCAGGGATATGAAGAAGAGGTGATGTGAACAAAGAAGTGAGGTCATTATTATGTAAGCTTAAACACATTGATGCATACATTAGTGATGTATATATACTGTGCTGTGTAGTAAGTGAAGAAACAGGCTGACAATACTTTTGATAAGACTCTGGATAAATAATTATCTGTTAATCTATCAGTTACACTTTTTCAGGTCTGGCATTTGGGGCTAGAAGGAGAAAGGTTCAGTAGAAAGGTCCAAAGCTTAAGGAAACAGTGGCCAAGTTATTTGAAAACTGAGTTCTGTTTTCTACATAGGCTTGGATCTTGGGAATACGGGATAGTTTGTTTTTAATCACAGGAACCATCTTATCAGTTTCTATAATAACTAAAAGAACAAATATGAGAAGGTTAAGGAACAGCTTAATTAAAATGTTGGAGAAAATGACAGAAATAAATTAATTCAGAGAGTGCCTTTGACATTAATCATGGAAAAAATGCATCTCATTTTGGTAGCATACTTAGAAAAAGCAAAATAAGAATAAATTTGCATGCCAATTAGATGCAAAGTTACCACACATACCTCAAGATAAATTTGAGATCCTGAAACAAGCAATTGGGTCTATAATATTTTGTAACATATTCATTTGGATATGTGCGCTATCTGCATTTTTAGTGAAAGAAAATGCATTCAATCAAGGGCCATAGAGAGAGTGCTATCAACAATATTCCAAGTTCTAAACTAAATTGCAGAAGATTGTCTGTGCAAGTTCACTTATAATGTGTATAATTTATATCACAGCAAAGTAAATATGGATGAAAGAAACATTTGAATGAGAAAGGGATACACTTTTAAAATTTTGCCCAACATTTTATACTTTTGGATAGCTAATTTTTTATTTAAAAATTATATTCTTCCATAAATAATTATCCATGAGAAAATCTTTATAGGTAGCCTTATAAAATGTTCACAGTAAATTAACACATTTGAAATCAAAATTAATAGGCACTGGTTGTGTATAAAAGAAGCATACATTTTGATTCATGTAATTTGTTCAATTGAGCAACCATGTAAAAAATAATTATGCTACATTTGTCAGACTCAGTTTGAGGATGACTAAAAGATGATTAATGATTTTGAAACATGCATAGAAAAACATTTTAAACTGATTTTTAGGAATGCTTAAAATAATTATTAACTTCAAGTTATAAACTGCACAAGAAAATTAACTTATGAATTTTATGCCATAAATCAAATTTGCTCCCTTAAGAGAAAAGATTTTTGTTTATATTTAATTGAAAAAAGAAAATGAATCAATAGAAAGGTTATGTACAAAATTGGATTTGTGTATAGGGATGTGTACAAACTGAGTCTATAGGGTACACATGACAATTGGTTACAATTTTACAATCATAATGTGTAGTGTAGAGAAATCAACAGCAGAGGAACCACTCTAACACATTAAGTTCCTTGGTCAAATAAAAGAGATTCTCCTGTTGAATAACAGAATTTAAAACATTTTCAGTGGTAGGCAAGTGTGTTAATCTTTCCTGGCCATAGTGGAAATAAAGGCCGTAGAAGAACTGAGTGATGTTATTAGCAGTGCAAATAGAGTTAAAAATTGCCATCATCTAGAACTGACCTCATGTGCTTGGGAAACTGAATCTTCTCGCCACAGATGGCTCTAATGAGTCGGGAGGATGGTGCTGGGCAGAGGTCAGTGTTGGAAGTCCTTTCTTATGGCAAAGAGTTTGCAGTCTGTGCATGCATGTGTGTGTAAGTGTGTGATGAGAGTTGCAGTTGTGGGATGTAAGAAATAAAATGCGGCTGCTTTTTGTATGGCAAACAGAAAACTAGATAAACAGTAAATTTTGAGATCTGGCAATGATAGGTAAAGAGGGGGCTCTGATAATTCCATGTGGTGGTTGGTGAAGCATTACCCTACACACACCATATTAATGACTAGTTTCAGAGATTGAGAATGCAATTAAATATCTGCTGTAAAATGATATTGAACACCATTTAGTTTTTCATTGATTCTGAAGTCATGTTTGGATCATACCATACCCCAGAGTACTCACTACAACATTAGCTATCGAGTCATACGTTTTTATAGATGTGTTGGTTAAAAGAGAATTCTGGTTTCCCAGAATGTTGGGTATCAAACTATCCCCTGCACTGGATTTTATTTAATTCCAAAGGTTATGGACTTTCCCAGTTGTGTTACATTCTATCTTCATCAGTCTAAATGACATTTTGCTCTTGACATTCTGTTCTTCTGTGTCTAGCCTTGGAGTTTTGTTTTTCAGTTATTTAAGGATATGATCACTTCCTTCTGAGAGGCTGTGAAAATAATTATTCCACGAACAGATCCCGCAGTTTGGAGATACGATCAGTAACTCCAATTCTGTATTAAAAGTTGCTATGATCCTTGTCTCCTTCCTTTTTTATTATTTCTAAAAATGTTATTACCTTTCAAAAAAATACATCTTTGCTTTCACAGGGATTCATGTGTTATTTTATCAAACTGCTTAGTATTCACCTTCTTAAGGTATTATGCAGTTGCTGATATTTTTCTGCAAGGCAAATCGAGCAACCTTTCTCATTTGGTTGGATGTTTTTGTTTGGAGTTGTTCTGTCTGATTTCGTGCCACTAGCCATGTGTAACTTAAAATGAGAGTAGTCTGACTTGAGGTGTGTTGTAAATGTGAAGTACGCACACCGTGTCAAAGACTTCATGCCATAAAATAATATAAAATATTTCAATAATTTTTATACTGATTGCATGTTAAAATAACATTTTAGATTATTAGATTAAATACATTATCAAAATTAATTTCATTTATTTCTTTTTAGTTTATTAATGTGGCTACTAGAACATTTAAAATCACATATGTGGCTTGCATTATGTTTCTATTGTTCGAGGATAAAGAAAATGTGTTCAGGTTGTTGCAGGATCCATGATAAAAACTCATGGGGTCATGTCCTTATTGTATGCTTCTCTCGTGAGATGAATGATAGGGAAGAGGAAATCCAGATAAAAGAAAGTGACTGTTTGGTAATTATTGGCTGTGCTTTTCTCTTCTACCATTATGTGTATGCTCCGTTAGCCTGATTTGCTTGGTTTAATTGCTGGGTTGGGATGGCTTCTTGATGGGGGAGGGAATGGAATCATTGTGCTATTTAGGGCTCCTTTTAATGGTGACCCCTTGACTAGTTGATCATTAATAGTTCACTCATATGACTGGGAAGGATAATGGCAGAAAGGAAATACAGAAAGTTTGTATTAAAATATGGCTAATACAAATATGAGATATGCTGCATTTTAATGTACTGTAGGTTAAATTTGCAAACCTATTCTGTAGAGTAAGCATGTAGCAGTTTGTGTTGCTTTCCATTAGTCTGTGCCTGGGGTTACATGTATAAAGCAGCAGTTCCCCCAGACTAGTGATTCTAGCCATTTGAACACGAAATGTGAATTTTACTGCATAATTGATCTGGTTGTTTATATCAGTATTTCTTGGCAAGACCATCTAAATGAAGTAAATTGTCCATGCACTAGCCTTCTGGTTGCTCAGTAGTTATTACCCAAATAAATATATGAAAGTATTCGATGTCCTAGCCACTGAGTGATTTGCTGGTTAACTGGTTCTAATTTCTAAACCTGTTTATGCTTGGATTTGCAGAAGTGTGACAGAATAAATATGGTCATGAGGACAGTCTTCTAACAAATTGATGTTTTTCATCTCTAGTCTGAATAAATACAATGAGGGCCTGAACTAGTCAGTGAGAGAGATGGAGAAGGCAATTGGATTAAAAAGCACAGATGCAAAATAAAGTCCTTTGGGAATGATCACTGGTTGGCAGGTGTGGGTGGTGAAAGAAAGAAATGGATTCCAGGTAAGCCCTAGATTGGTAGTATGGGCTAATGGCTGGATGTTGATGCCTTTTACAGGGTAAGGGCTGCTTTAGGAGAGGGGCAAGATTGAAAATAGGTTGTGACAGGCTCATTGTTAGGCATGTTGACATCACAGCATCATAGAAGCTCTGGCTGAAAGAAAACTTAAGTTCCATCTAGTCCAATAACTTATGGTAAGATTGGTAGTTTAATATAATAAATATTAAATGCCTTCTGTTTCCAAAGCTCTATGCCAGACACCAGAACTCCCCCATTGGAAAAAATTAAAAAGCTGGCTCATTTGAGGGTTTCCATTCCTAAAGAGCTAGTTTACCCAGGTTTTACTGCAAAACAGCTTTGGGTGATTCCCCCTTCCTTCTTCATCACTGAGGCTTGTCAATAAGGAAGGATCCCACATGGGGAGTCACTAACCCTCAAGCTAAACAGGAAAGCTTCAGAAAACACAGGTTCAAACTCATTGCAGATGAGAGATGGCACTTCATATTTCCTGAAGAAATTTGGAGGATGTTGGTGTAACTAATCCTCATTAATGTATTGAATATCTGCTATATGCCAAGGGCTGGAAATATATTGGTGAATGAAAGAGACATAATCACTGCTCCCACGGAGCAGATGCAATCACATCAAAAATTGTGTGGGGGGGCGGATAGGGAGAGAGAGAGAGAGAGAGAGAGAGAAAGAGAGAGAGAGAGAGGGAGAGAGAATTAATAATGGCACATTAGAACATGGTAGGGGAAAAGGATGTTTAAGCCAGGATCTGAAGGATGAGAAGAAGCCACCACTGAATTATGCACGGAACATTCTTCTGTGGTTAATGGAAAGGGCAAGGTCAAAAACATATGATTTACTTGAAATTCTGATGAGTCTATAGCTTAAGTTTAAACATCTATTTTCTTTTTAAATATACACCACTTAAACACACTAATATACTGAATAATTTGATTATTTTTCTCAATCATGTTTGTTCTTATTGTAAGACTAATTTTTTTACAGACTAGAAAAAGATAGAGAATTGTGATCAGTTTACCTGACTTACCTGTTGCTGTTGTTATTTTTCCCAGCAACTCCAAGAGATTGCAAATGGTTTGATAACATTTCTCCCATGAGAAACTTTTCTGGAAACAGTTCATCAGGATTGGGCTTTCATCTGTATTAGATTAGTTAGTCATTCACAGGTTGTTAGGTGACAGTCATAGGTTGTAAGCATTTTAGGTATGAGAAAATAAGGCTGTAAAAAAAAACAGTTTTTATCGGCTGTAATTTAAAATTTTAAAGGCAACAAAAAAGTTGCTCTCTGAAATATAATTCTGAAGAAGAATGCAAAGTAAGCTTCATCTGAATTGAAGAGAAGCCAGCATTTCCAATGGCAAGAATTAAGCCTGTTCACGTTTTCAAACATGCATTTTGTTTATATGATCTTCAGCTCTCTATAAAATTTTAGAGAGGGGTAGAGGAGCCAAGATGGCCGAATAGGAACAGCTCCGGTCTACAGCTCCCAGCGTGAGCGACGCAGAAGACGGGTGATTTCTGCATTTCCATCTGAGGTACCGGGTTCATCTCACTAAGGGAGTGCCAGACAGTGGGCGCAGGCCAGTGGGTGCGCGCACCGTGCGCGAGCCGAAGCAGGGCGAGGCATTGCCTCACCTGGGAAGCACAAGGGGTCAGGGAGTTCCCTTTCCGAGTCAAAGAAAGGGGTGACGGACGCACCTGGCGAATATTGTGCTTTTCAGACCGGCTTAAAAAACAGCGCACCACGAGATTATATCCCACACCTGGCTCGGAGGGTCCTAAGCCCACGGAATCTCGCTGATTGCTAGCACAGCAGTCTGAGATCAAACTGCAAGGCGGCAGAGAGGCTGGGGGAGGGGCGCCCGCCATTGCCCAGGCTTGCTTAGGTAAACAAAGCAGCCAGGAAGCTCGAACTGGGTGGAGCCCACCACAGCTCAAGGAAGCCTGCCTGCCTCTGTAGGCTCCACCTCTGGGGGCAGGGCACAGACAAACAAAAAGACAGCAGTAACCTCTGCAGACTTAAATGTCCCTGTCTGACAGCTTTGAAGAGAGCAGTGGTTCTCCCAGCACGCAGCTGGAGATCTGAGAACGGGCAGACTGCTTCCTCAAGTGGGTCCCTGACCCCTGACCCCCGAGCAGCCTAACTGGGAGGCACCCCCCAGCAGGGGCACACTGACACCTCACACAGCAGAGTATTCCAAAAGACCTGCAGCTGAGGGTCCTGTCTGTTAGAAGGAAAACTAACAAACAGAAAGGACATCCACACCGAAAACCCATCTGTACATCACCATCAACAAAGACCAAAAGTAGATAAAACCACAAAGATGGGGAAAAAACAGAACAGAAAAACTGGAAACTCTAAAACGCAGAGCGCCTCTCCTCCTCCAAAGGAACGCAGTTCCTCACCAGCAATGGAACAAAGCTGGATGGAGAATGATTTTGATGAGCTGAGAGAGGAAGGCTTCAGACGATCAAATTACTCTGAGCTACGGGAGGACATTCAAACCAAAGGCAAAGAAGTTGAAAACTTTGAAAAAAATTTAGAAGAATGTATAACTAGAATAACCAATACAGAGAAGTGCTTAAAGGAGCTGATGGAGCTGAAAACCAAGGCTCGAGAACTACGTGAAGAATGCAGAAGCCTCAGGAGCCGATGCGATCAACTGGAAGAAAGGGTATCAGCAATGGAAGATGAAATGAATGAAATGAAGTGAGAAGGGAAGTTTAGAGAAAAAAGAATAAAAAGAAATGAGCAAAGCCTCCAAGAAATATGGGACTATGTGAAAAGACCAAATCTACGTCTGATTGGTGTACCTGAAAGTGATGCGGAGAATGGAACCAAGTTGGAAAACACTGTGCAGGATATTATCCAGGAGAACTTCCCCAATCTAGCAAGGCAGGCCGACGTTCAGATTCAGGAAATACAGAGAACGCCACAAAGATACTCCTCGAGAAGAGCAACTCCAAGACACATAATTGTCAGATTCACCAAAGTTGAAATGAAGGAAAAAATGTTAAGGGCAGCCAGAGAGAAAGGTCGGGTTACCCTCAAAGGGAAACCCATCAGACTAACAGCGGATCTCTCGGCAGAAACCCTACAAGCCAGAAGAGAGTGGGGGCCAATATTCAACATTCTTAAAGAAAAGAATTTTCAACCCAGAATTTCATATCCAGCCAAACTAAGCTTCATAAGTGAAGGATAAATAAAATACTTTACAGACAAGCAAATGCTGAGAGATTTTGTCACCACCAGGCCTGCCCTAAAAGAGCTCCTGAAGGAAGCGCTAAACATGGAAAGGAACAACCGGTAACAGCCGTGGCAAAATCATGCCAAAATGTAAAGACCATCGAGACTAGGAAGAAACTGCATCAACTAACGAGCAAAATCACCAGCTAACATCATAATGACAGGATCAAATTCACACATAACAATATTAACTTTAAATGTAAATGGACTAAATTCTCCAATTAAAAGACACAGACTGGCAAATTGGATAAAGAGTCAAGACCCATCAGTGTGCTGTATTCAGGAAACCCATCTCACGTGCAGAGACACACATAGGCTCAAAATAAAAGGATGGAGGAAGATCTACCAAGCAAATGGAAAACAAAAAAAGGCAGGGGTTGCAATCCTAGTCTCTGATAAAACAGACTTTAAACCAACAAAGATCAAAAGAGACAAAGAAGGCCATTATATAATGGTAAAGGGATCAATTCAACAAGAGGAGCTAACTATCCTAAATATATATGCACCCAATACAGGAGCACCCAGATTCATAAAGCAAGACCTGAGTGACCTACAAAGAGACTTAGACTCCTACACATTAATAATGGGAGACTTTAACACCCCACTGTCAACATTAGACAGATGAACGAGACAGAAAGTCAAAAAGGATACCCAGGAATTGAACTCAGCTCTGCACCAAGCGGACCTAATAGACATCTACAGAACTCTCCACCCCAAATCAACAGAATATACATTTTTTTCAGCACCACACCATACCTATTCCAAAACTGACCACATAGTTGGAAGTAAAGCTCTCCTCAGGAAATGTAAAAGAACAGAAATTATAACAAACTATCTCTCAGACCACAGTGCAATCAAACTAGAACTCAGGATTAAGAATCTCACTCAAAGCCGCTCAACTACATGGAAACTGAACAACCTGCTCCTGAATGACTACTGGGTACATAACGAAATGAAGGCAGAAATAAAGATGTTCTTTGAAACCAACGAGAACAAAGACACAACATACCAGAATCTCTGGGACACATTCAAAGCAGTGTGTAGAGGGAAATTTATAGCACTAAATGCCCACAAGAGAAAGCAGGAAAGATCCAAAATTGACAACCTAACATCACAATTAAAAGAACTAGAAAAGCAAGAGCAAACACATTCAAAAGCTAGCAGAAGGCAAGAAATAACTAAAATCAGAGCAGAACTGAAGGAAATAGAGACACAAAAAACCCTTCAAAAAATCAATGAATCCAGGAGCTGGTTTTTTGAAAGGATCAACAAAATTGATAGACCACTAGCAAGATTAATAAAGAAAAAAAGAGAGAAGAATCAAATAGACACAATAAAAAATGATAAAGGGGATATCACCACCGATCCCACAGAAATACAAACTACCATCAGAGAATACTACAAACACCTCTACGCAAATAAACTAGAAAATCTAGAAGAAATGGATACATTCCTCGACACATACACTCTCCCAAGACTAAACCAGGAAGAAGTTGAATCTCTGAATAGACCAATAACAGGAGCTGAAATTGTGGCAATAATCAATAGTTTACCAACCAAAAAGAGTCCAGGACCAGATGGATTCACAGCCGAATTCTACCAGAGGTACAAGGAGGAACTGGTACCATTCCTTCTGAAACTATTCCAATCAATAGAAAAAGAGGGAATCCTCCCTAACTCATTTTATGAGGCCAGCATCATTCTGATACCAAAGCCGGGCAGAGACACAACCAAAAAAGAGAATTTTAGACCAATATCCTTGATGAACATTGATGCAAAAATCCTCAATAAAATACTGGCAAACCGAATCCAGCAGCACATCAAAAAGCTTATCCACCATGATCAAGTGGGCTTCATCCCTGGGATGCAAGGCTGGTTCAATATACGCAAATCAATAAATGTAATCCAGCATATAAACAGAGCCAAAGACAAAAACCACATGATTATCTCAATAGATGCAGAAAAAGCCTTTGACAAAATTCAACAACCCTTCATGCTAAAAACTCTCAATAAAGTAGGTATTGATGGGACGTATTTCAAAATAATAAGAGCTATCTATGACAAACCCACAGCCAATATCATACTGAATGGGCAAAAACTGGAAGCATTCCCTTTGAAAACTGGCACAAGACAGGGATGACCTCTCTCACCGCTCCTATTCAACATAGTGTTGGAAGTTCTGGCCAGGGCAATCAGGCAGGAGAAGGAAATAAAGGGTATTCAATTAGGAAAAGAGGAAGTCAAATTGTCCCTGTTTGCAGACGACATGATTGTTTATCTAGAAAACCCCATTGTCTCAGCCCAAAATCTCCTTAAGCTGATAAGCAACTTCAGCAAAGTCTCAGGATACAAAATCAATGTACAAAAATCACAAGCATTCCTATACACCAACAACAGACAAACAGAGAGCCAAATCATGAGTGAACTCCCATTCACAATTGCTTCAAAGAGAATAAAATACCTAGGAATCCAACTTACAAGGGATGTGAAGGACCTCTTCAAGGAGAACTACAAACCACTGCTCAAGGAAATAAAAGAGGACACAAACAAATGGAAGAACATTCCATGCTCATGGGTAGGAAGAATCAATATCGTGAAAATGGCCATACTGCCCAAGATAATTTACAGATTCAATGCCATCCCCATCAAGCTACCAATGACTTTCCTCACAGAATTGGAAAAAACTACTTTAAAGTTCATATGGAACCAAAAAAGAGCCCGCATCGCCAAGTCAATCCTAAGCCAAAAGAACACAGCTGGAGGCATCACACTACCTGACTTCAAACTATACTACAAGGCTACAGTAACCAAAACAGCATGGTACTGGTACCAAAACAGAGATATAGATCAATGGAACAGAACAGAGCCCTCAGAAATAACGCCGCATACCTACAACTATCTGATCTTTGACAAACCTGAGAAAAACAAGCAATGGGGAAAGGATTCCCTATTTAATAAATGGTGCTGGGAAAACTGGCTAGCCATATGTAGAAAGCTGAAACTGGATCCCTTCCTTACACCTTGTACAAAAATCAATTCAAGATGGATTAAAGATTTAAACGTTAGACCTAAAACCATAAAAACCCTAGAAGAAAACCTAGGCATTACCATTCAGGACATAGGCGTGGGCAAGGACTTCATGTCCAAAACACCAAAAGCAATGGCAACCAAAGCCAAAATTGACAAATGGGATCTAATTAAACTAAAGAGCTTCTGCACAGCAAAAGAAACTACCATCAGAGTGAACAGGCAACCTACAACATGGGAGAAAATTTTCGCAACCTACTCATCTGACAAAGGGCTAATATCCAGAATCTACAATGAACTCAAACAAATTTACAAGAAAAAAACAAACAACCCCATCAAAAAGTGGGCGAGGGACATGAACAGACACTTCTCAAAAGAAGACATTTATGCAGCCAAAAAACACATGAAAAAATGCTCATCATCACTGGCCATCAGAGAAATGCAAATCAAAACCACTATGAGATATCATCTCACACCAGTTAGAATGGCAATCATTAAAAAGTCAGGAAACAACAGGTGCTGGAGAGGATGTGGAGAAATAGGAACACTTTTACACTGTTGGTGAGACTGTAAACTAGTTCAACCATTGTGGAAGTCAGTGTGGCGATTTCTCAGGGATCTAGAACTAGAAATACCATTTGACCCAGCCATCCCATTACTGGGTATATACCCAAATGACTAGAAATCATGCTGCTATAAAGACACATGCACACGTATGTTTATTGCGGCATTATTCACAATAGCAAAGACTTGGAACCAACCCAAATGTCCAACAATGATAGACTGGATTAAGAAAATGTGGCACATATACACCATGGAATACTACGCAGCCATAAAAAATGATGAGTTCATGTCCTTTGTAGGGACATGGATGAAATTGGAAACCATCATTCTCAGTAAACTATCGCAAGAACAAAAAACCAAACACCGCATATTCTCACTCATAGGTGGGAATTGAACAATGAGATCACATGGACACAGGAAGGGGAATATCACATTCTGGGGACTGTGGTGGGGAGGGGGGAGGGGGGAGGGATAGCATTGGGAGATATACCTAATGCTAGATGACGAGTTAGTGGGTGCAGCGCACCAGCATGGCACATGTATACATATGTAACTAACCTGCACAATGTGCACATGTACCCTAAAACTTAAAGTATAATTAAAAAAATAATAATAATAATAATAATAATAATAAAATAGCTCTGTGGACTCTGAAAAAAAAAAGATGGTAGAGACCAAAAAAAAAAAAAAAAAAATTTTAGAGAGAAGTTCAGTGTTAAAAATAGCATCCTGTTAGTAGTTAAGTGATTGGAAATGATAGGCATTGCAATTAGGTATAATTGGAAATATATTTTGTTCATAAGAAGAAACCTAAATATATATGTGGAGTTTTATAGACTAAAAATTGTATTAATTACTCCTTAGGATTGCCTTTATAGTCTGGATGATTCACGGTTTGTATACGACACACAAAATAATGATCCCTAACTTCTTAGAAGTCAAAGATCATCCAAGATATACTAAATATAACATAATTAAATATTTCATTAAGTTTTATTGTATGCCAAAAGTGATCAGATGGATATGCTCTTTAGAACAAATCAGTTTCGTTAGTTATTTGAAGACAGCAATGGCTTATAGATTTATGTTTCAATGTTTATGTTCTTCTTTTGCTCTTTCTCTCCTTACGAGTTTTTCTACTCACAAATAGTATGGATTTGGAAAAGATCCTAAAGGAAATATTATTTTAGGGAATAGAATATATTCAATATTCTTACAATATAGAATATCTTCCGGTTCCCTTAGTGTAGTTCATCTGCCTTCCTGTTTGTTGCTCTTCTTTAAGACTATTTAGAGCTTTCCAGCATGCAATATTCATCTCTACTCACAACCCCAAGATATTTTGAGGATTCTCCAAGGGAATTTGGCGGAGATTTTGCTGGGAACAGAGAGGACTTGGACAAAGATTTTGCAAATTCAAGACTGTATGATTCTATATTCACATTTGTGTTAATACAGCCTTGTAGCCTACTAACACTATTCTAGAACACTCAAATTGCATGTCTTGGCTGAAGCTTCTGACTGTGAAATATTAAAAATCTCTACTAAGCTTTATCAGTAAGAAGGCACTATTGGTATTCATGGATTTGATTTTCATGATTTCAGGTGTTTGAGGCTGTTCCCGAAGGTCTGTGATATATAGTTATTCAAAATTGCTTTGAGGCTCAGCAGGAGTGGTGAGCAGTCAATCTATGACATAGTTGGGCTTATGCATGCTGCTGAGTTGACCAATGAGCCTTGCTGGCCTCTGGGCACACTCTCCTCGCATGCACATTTACTTTCCCTAAGTGGTAAGATCTTGATTTCTTTGTGTAAACTTTTCATCAAGATATAAATCTTTATGGAACTTGAAAGCATTATGTTATGAATCTGAGCACAGGAAACAGCAATTCAGACATTTTCATATTTCCAAATACTTAAAGGTATCAAGACGGTCTTCCAAATACATACTCTCTTATCTGATTCTCATAGTAATATCATAGTCCACCTTACAGATGGGGAAACTTAAGCTAAGAACCTGTAAGTTACTTGACTGGGGTCAGCTAGCTTTTGCCCTAAACCTGAGTCCTCTAGATCCAAACTTCATACTCTGTCCTCCACAGTTGCTTCTGGATCTAGGCCACCCCAAATAGAAGGCTCTTTGCCCAAGAGCTTGCGAATCAGTTTCTCAGACAACAAAATGAAGTAATTTTTTCTCCCCCGTGGCCTCTCCTTTCAGGGCTGCGCCCCCTCCTTTCCCCTCTCCTGGGAAGCACTGGCCTCTGGTGTCTTTAAACATGGAAAGTGGCAAAGCAGGTTTTGTACAGCAGGCAAAAACTGTTTCACAAGAGGGCCTTGAATTGCTAAAATATAAATGTAAACATACATACAAATTTGGCAATGTCATGGTACAGTGTATCAGGTTTCATGCTTTATTTGATAGTTTCACACGTAGATGTGGCTCTTGTGGTCCTTTCTTGTTTCTCTTCCCAGTTTAAACCAGAGGTTCTCACAGCATTTCTCTAAACTGTGTGTCTGTCTGCCCGCTGGTTTGCGGGTCTCCCAGCTCCTTGGTACGGCTGCCTGGAAAAGGTGCTTGTCTTCATTCACATTTTCTTCCTTTTCCTTTGTGCATGATTTCCCTAAAAGTTTCTATGTAATCCAAACTTTCTTTTTTTCTTTTAAGTTCTGGGATACGTGTGCTGAATGTGCAGGTTTGTTACATAGGTATACGTGTACTATGGTGGTTTGCTGCACCCATCAACCCGTCATCTAGGTTTTAAGCCCCGCATGCATTAGGTATTTGTCCTAATGCTCTCCATCCTCTTTCCCCCGACCCTCCAGCAGGCCCCAGTGTGTGATGTTCCCCTCCCTGTGTCCATGTGTTCTCATTGTTCAACTCTCACTTTTGAGTGAGAACACGTGGTGTTTGGTTTTCTGTTCCTGTGTTTGTTTGCTGAGGATGATGGTTTCCAGCTTCATCCATGTCCCTGCAAAGGACATGAACTCATTCTTTTTTATGGCTGCATAGTATTCCATGGCATATATGTGCCACATTTTCTTTGTCCAGTCTATCATTGATGGGCATTTCGGTTGGTTTCTAGTCTTTGCTATTGGAAATAGTGCTGCTAATCCCAACTTTCTTTACCAACTCCAGCAACACAAGCTTGCCGCCATGCTGCTAGCCCATCTCTGCTCTTTGCTATCACTTTGCCTGCAGCAGCTACAGCTTTTGTGGTTGAATAGCATATTTCCCTGCACCCTTTTCTAGTGTTTTCCAGAGATACCTATGGAGTGTTACTTGATATCCTTCGAAAGCATGTTCCCATCTTTTTAGATTTTATTATTGTTTCTCTTTGACCTTAAAATGAAGTTAGTAATAGTTTGACATATGCCTTTCAAGATGCAAGATTATTTACTAAATTTTCCTTATATGTGATCATCACATTGTTAACATTTGCTGACCTCCAAAATGGGTTGGGATAATGAGTGATCATTGTTTTTTGTTAAGTCTTTTCTTTTTGCATATACATTTTATTTATTATTCTTTACATTCAGAATAGATACCTTTTATTAGAAACATTCAGCTACCCTTTCCAAATACTCACTCTTACAAGCACTTTTAAATTATAATCTATTAAATCAGCTAGCACTCAAACTTCTTATTTATGTTTCAGGACACATGTGAAAGTTACCTTACTTAGAAACCTCTAAGTAAATGCGGTTTTTGACTGCAGTTTTGGCAGTTTTTTTAATGGCAAAAATCATATACAGTGGCATTTGATTAAAGCTCTGTTGGGCTTACCAGTCTCTTTGTATTAGTTTCATGCTAATGATGTAAAATTTCAGTGCCACAATTTTATTTGTAAATATATTAATACTTAGCCAGATTGTTGTGTACATTTAAAGTAAATAAAGCATTTGACACACAGTAGACAATAAGTGGTAGCAACTATTACTATTTAAAACTTGTGAACAGGCCAGGTGCGGTGGCTCACGCCTGTAATCCCAGCACTTTGGGAGGCCGAGGCAGGCAGATCGCTTGAGCCCAAGAGTTTGAGACCAGCCTGGACAACATGGCAAAACCCTGTTTCTACGAAAAAAATGCAAAAATTATCTGGGCATGGTGGTGTGTTCCTGTAGTCCCAGCTACTTGGGAAGCTGAGGTGGGAGGATCGCTTGAACCCCGGAGGCCGAGATTGCACCACTGCACTCCAGCCTGGGCAACAGAGCGAGACTGTATCAAAAAAGAAACAAAACAAAACAACAACAACAACAACAAAAAACTTGTGAGCAATTTTGTGCCTCACTGAGTATTCTCTTCTTAAGATAACATGAATTTATTAATTTTCTTGTTGTATTTTCACTTTATATTCTATTTCTTTTCCCCCACCCCAGCCCTTTACCCTTTCATTTATTCAACAAATATTTATTGAGCCCCCACTATGTGCCAGGTCCTGTTTTAGGCTATGGAGATTCTGCAGTAAGTGATAAAATCCCCTGCTTTCATTGAGCTAATATTCCAGAACCAGTGCATGTTACTTTTTTGTTTTTGTAATTTTTAAAGTTTGTTTGTAAAATGTGCTAGGAGCTCCATTTTTAGATAGTCTCTGGAAATGCAGACACAGTGGAATCATTTTGTGATCACATACTGAATTATTAGAGACAGTTCAGAAAATGATGTGGCTTTCCAAAAAGGAAGCTGACGCTGATTCCCTTCTGATAATCAAGGAAAGGCCTATATTAAGGCAAAATATCAGATAAATGTATTATTTTGTTGTTATCAATTCCATGACTTTTTATATTTAATCTTTGTGTTTTATTTTGCTTCTTTTCAGAGTGACTATTATTATTTTAGAACAAACAAAACACTCTACAGTAAAGTTAACATAAAGATATAAAATTTTATTTACTCATTGCTCTTTCTTTAATAAGAAAACTTAAATTTTTAATTGCAAAAGCAATATGTGCTCATTATTAGAAAAATTGGCAACAGAAAATGCAGGTAATTAAATTTTAAAAATCATAACTACTTCCATAAAATATCTTTTCAGTCCTTCCAATCTTTTCAGGATGGCCGTATATCTCTTAGGAAAATAAAGTCACAGTGTACAAGTTGTTTTGTGTTGTTTTGTAGCCTTTTGTAACCTTTGACTTATCCATATATTGTGTAGTTTTTCAATCAATATTCTTTAATATAATTTTGATAGGCTGTATATTTTGTATAGCTCTAACTTATGTTGCAGTACCCTATTGTTGCCTATTTATGTTGTTTCCAGTTTATTTTCAGCCTTTATAAGCAAATCTTGCCATGAATCCTAGTCTCAGCAAATATTTCTTGTATCTTCAAATATATCCTTATGATAACCTATAAGAAGTTAAATTGAATAGGCTATTATGGTTCTGGTTATATGTCGTAAAATTGCTTTCCACAAAGATTTCTAAAGTTTATATTTCTCCAGTAGTGTATAAGACACATGTTTCTCCAAACCAGTAATAATATGAAGGATAGCAAATTGGGTGGATTTCACACAGACACACACACACACACGCATGCACTAGTTCTGTGATTCTTTGTTATAAGTGTCTGTGGCAGAATGAAAATCTTCAAGGTCAGTTTCTCCTCCTTGGAGACCAAGGTTTAGTCCCAGAAACATTCTGAGCCTGGAAAATTTAGCTCACACCCACCAAAATCACATGAGATTGATTGGAATCAGCTTGGCATCAAAATGCTCATTCAATAGTTTATGCAACTGGCTTTCCAGTCTCAGATAAGATCAGATAGTTTAGAAAGTATGGGCAGATTGCTGAGAAGAGGACACACTGCTAGATCTGCCTGGGATCCCTGGACCAGACCCACTGGCTTTGGTCACATGGAGAGGAGAGTGGGAAAGAGCACAGACCAGGGCAGGGGACTGCCCTGACAAGGCCTCCCCAGCCCTCAGGGTGCAGCCATAGCTTTCCTTAGAGTTGAAATGGTGCCTTTTATGATTTCCTAAGAACTGTCGCTCCTTCGGAATTTATAATTTATTAAGTTAATTTGCCACAGGATTTAAAACAATTAGTCAAATCATGTGGTTGTCACAAGGATGGTGGATGGTTGAAAGAAGCAACAACCTAAAAGAACATGTATGTTCACACACATACATGTGTACATGCACATATATATTTGCAGATGAGCCAGAGACAGCCTTTTCCTACTGGCCTCAATATTTGTTTTCTAATTCTTGATCTCCCAGCAAGTATGAGCTTCTCTCTGTGTCCCAATATAAAACTATACTTCAATTTTCTTATTTGTTTATTGCTTAAAATGCCTCAGTGGAAACAAAATTTTAATGTAGCATTAGCATTTCAATAACTTTTTAAACCCTAAAAAAGATTGCCATTCCTCCAAGAAAATCTGTTGTTATTTAACGTTGAAGGATAAAATTAGCTGTAAGGGTTATTTTAGAGTACATTTCAAGCTCATTTTATTCTCTAGCACATATTATTCTAGCGAATATTGGTTGCTAGGTTTTGCTGAAGAAATCCTTTGACTTAAATTGGATGACACTAAATTGAAACTCAGAACACTTTTAAAATGTGGAAGTTACCAGCACATTGAATTAACTGTATTGTACTTGTTTTGGAAATGTTTGTCACCTCACTTGGCTTAAAGTAAAGAAAAATGTTGAAAAGACCAAAAAGCCTGTGCTTATATAGGCTTCAATTCTTGCCTACACCAAGCCTTGAATTGGCCATCACCCAGGATAAAAATTGGCTATTTTTTATCATATGTTTTACCTGGCCTTGTGAGTAGAGTTGTTGTTTTTAAAGAGAGATTTTTTTTTTAACCCAACTTCATCATCCTCCTAAAAGGGGATAAGGTAGATAATCCAAGCTAAAAACAGTTCTTTGTACAACAACAAAAAGGCAACAGTGCGTCCAAGCTTCATCTACTTGATACTGAGAAGAAACCAAGCAAAGCTTCCAATTAGCTTGATCTGTACAATGATGGGCTTTCATTCCCAGTTAATTAAGAGGGATTCAGTAAGATCCAGGCCGTGGGTTCTGATCTTTCATCTTCCAAGAAAAAAAAAATTACCCACCAAATAAAAACTTAACTAAAAGGAAACCTTTGTTTAGAGATTCTCCAGGGTGATGAGTCTTACATTTTTTATCTTGTGGTACCACACAGTTCTTCTTTTGTCTCCTTCATCACTTGCAGGGTGCACATCATATTCCATGCCACACATCCTTTCCATTTAAAACACAAAGTCAATGAGATGTCTTCTGGCAGACAAGGGGTGTGATGTTGAGTTCCATGCTAAAGGAGTCCTAGCATCCTTGGAAGGTCAGGAAGAAGGGGACCTGAAAAGGCATCTGGCTTCAGCCTCCTCTTTTATAGAGGAGGAGACTGAGGTCCAGGAGAGTGAAATGACCTGCATGAGGTCACACAAACCAGGAGACTTCTGGAACCCATAGGCAGCTGGTTCTTTCCATTAAACTTTATTACTTTGATGTTGCTGAAAGAATTATTGTCTGTTCAAAAAGGTAGCATTGTTTTTTGCTGTTGGATGTTTCTTTCAACCTTGTGTTTTGTTACTGCTCCTAAAGAATCAGTTATGCGGCCAGGCGCGGTGGCTCACGCCTATAATCCCAGCACTTTGGGAGGCCGAAGTGGGTGGATCACCTGAGATCAGGAGATCAAGACCAGCCTGACCAACATGTAGAAACCCCATCTCTACTAAAATTACAAAATTAGCTGGGCTTGGTGGCTCATGCCTCTAATCCCAGCTACTTGGGAGGCTAAGGCAGGAGAATTGCTTAAACCTGGGAGGCGGATGTTGTGGTGAGTTGAGACCACGTCATTACACCCCAGCCTGGGCAACAAAAGTGAAACTCTGTCTCAAAAAAAAAAAAAAATCAGTTATGCATACAACTTTTATAGCAATGTGTAGAGTACATACTTAATGTATTAAAAATGTAAGTTTGTGAA
This sequence comes from Homo sapiens, assembly GCF_000001405.40. Classification (NCBI taxonomy): domain Eukaryota; kingdom Metazoa; phylum Chordata; class Mammalia; order Primates; family Hominidae; genus Homo; species Homo sapiens. The sequence goes on along the minus strand of NC_000013.11, from coordinate 36,000,877 downwards.
AACAATTCACATTTACTCATTCAATTAACCAACATGTATTTATTGAATGTCACCTATGTGCTGAGTACTGGCAATATCAAATCAGATAATACGTGATCCTGCATTTATACATTGGAACATATTCAGGGTTTTTATTTTGCTTTTGTTTTCTTGTAAAACATCATATGGTTAACAGGTTGTGATTATTCTTGATGGCTTTATTTTATTTATGATGTCTAAATTCCCCAATAAGGCATTTCAAATGATCTTTCAAATACTTTGAAGTTAGGTTGCTTTCGATGACTTTAGTAATGGTATTTAATGGTATGTAAATGGTATATAATACTAATTCATATAATATTTAATAATATTATTTTAGATATTAAAATATGGTATCCCGCTCTTAATGCAGCCTTGCAAATGAGAATGGCAAATCCAAAGCCATTAGGTGATGAAGCTTGTCACCTGCAATGCCTGGTAGCTGCTGATGTGGCCAGACCCCTAGACTTTCTTCATCCTCACCCCTAGAACTGCCATCAACTGGGACATGCCAGAGAGTGTTCTTGCAGGTTGATATCCAAAGATAGCTGACTTGGTTTCCGTCCTTAAGTTATGATAGGAACTCTAGAACTCACAGGGGGAAAAAATGACAGTAGAGAGTAAGTGCCCAGTGAGAAAGAGGAAGTCATCACTGAGGGGAACGGCCATTAATAAGCCTCTTAGATTGTGTGGGGTTTAAGATTTGCCTTGAGGATTACATGGAAGAACTGAGGGAATAGGGCAGGCTGGCCATGTAATAGAAGAATGCTAGTCAAGGTTAGGGGTGAAGTGGGGGAAAGGCCTCACTTGACTTAAAGCTTGCAGTTACTTACTTTCCTTCCTATTTTAGCCACATCAAGTAATTAGTCCCTCTTCCTGCATAACTGTCCCAGATGCAAACGTTTTGCTCCCTAGAATGTAAGACTTGTTTGGGTGGATTGGGAGATTTCAGCAATGATTGCTGCTATTTGTGTATAAAAGTCAGTAGTCTTGTAAGCAACAGTCTAGGATTAGCTCTAGCTGCAGGTCAGCAGACCGCAAGCATCATCCTTCCAGACCATCTCCCAACAGATCTCCTACCAATTTCCTCCAAGAAGAGTTTGGTACTAGGGCATAATAAGACATCAGGTAGCAGTAATGAGGAGAATAGAATTTAGTTTAATATTGCTATTTTTAAATTCCAGCCTCATAATAGCTCTCTTTGTGTCAAGAAAACAAAATTAGGAAGAATGGAAGTCGGAGGCCTCAGGAGAAAGAGTCTGTCTCCCTGATGGCAGGGAGGGCCTTGCTCAGCCAGGTAGAAGGGGTTTTTGTGCTGGTCCTGAGAGGAAGAAGCAGGGATTTTCTATTCCAAATTGTCCTTGAAGGAAGAGAGACAAAAAGAGAGAAGGAAAAAAGAGTGAGGCCACCCATACCATTGACTATAATCTCAAGAAACACAGTGTGCCAAACTTTTGGAAACTTAGGAGGATTCCATTCAGCTCACCCCAGCTCTGGAACAGGCAGGCTGGCAGCTGTGCTGAGTGAATGTCATATCCATTGACTATTCAGAAAAAGTGTAATTGTGGGAGCAGAAACTTATTTGGGAATTTTTTTTTTTTGTTTGAGACAGATTCTTGCTCTGTTGCCCAGGCTGGAGTGCAGTGGCATGATCTCGGCTCACTGCAACCTCTGCCTCCTGGGTTCAAGTGATTCTCCAGCCTCAGCCTCCTGAGTAGCTGGGACTACAGGTGCATGCTACTGCATTCAGTTAATTTTTGTATTTTTAGTAGAGAAGGGGTTTCACCGTGTCGGCCAGGCTGGTCTCGAACTCCTGACTTCAGGTGATCTGCCTTCAGTGGCCTCCCAAAGTGCTGGGATTACAGGCGTGAGCCACCATGCCTGGCCTATTTGGGAAATTTTTTAATTGTACCTAAAAATCAAAATCCTTTATCACCATTGAAATTAGTGATTATCTTATTCTCATATATTTTGGATTCACTGCCCAGTGATAAAAAGCAGTAAATGTTCAGTATCTGTTGTAGCGAAATCTGTAATAATTGCAGCTTTAACTGAAACTCTTTCTGCATTGTACGTTCTCATCTCACCTGGAAATATTTTAGGGTGTAGCTCTGAAAAGGTTAGGGCACTTTTTTGAAAAGCATAATCACAATACCATTATCTTATGTTTGACAAATATTTATTGAAAGTCTGCAGTGCGCATGATAGTGAGTTTCTGTCAGGGAAGCAAGGAGAGACTAACGGATAAGGAGAGAGGGAAGAATATTTTGGTTGCCTAGAAATGATCAAGAAGACCACTCTGGACCCCAGAGTTTGGCATAAGTATGATGATTCTGAGTGGCTTAATTGGAGGGGAAGGGAGATTGGTAGAGACGCATCGGCTGGAGAACAGGGACCCGAAGAGGCAGAAGAGCTATTCGTATGGCTGTGAGGTGCCTCTGAAGAGCCATCAATGTGGGTGTGAGGTTTCTGCATTCGCAGGAGATATTGAATGGAGAGGATTATGAAAGGGCTCTATTTTTCTTTTTAGGATGATAAAACTCAAAACTATTGAAGGGCATTTTTATTTTAATAATGATATTATTTATCAAAATGTTTAGCATTTTCTGACAATAGGAGTGTATTGTGTCGTAGTTTTGTACTTTATCTTAAGGACGTTGTGAGTCAATTTTTCTTCTAAGACTCCTACACTTTCTTATACTTCTTAATTTTATTCAGAATTTAAAAAATTATGTTAAAATTTTAGGGCAGTTGAAGGGACACTAAAATACTCAAAAGGGGGTCAGTAACTAAAGCCACTGAGGAAGGTGGGAGTGGAGCTCAGCATGTCAAAAGAAGAATTGATCGAGTGATGATGCCACTCCAACAATGGTCTGGATCAGCAATCAGAACATGGGAAACTGCTGACCACACTTAGTGGGAAAGTAGACTGGTTGTGCTTTATATTAAATATCAGTAATAAGCTGGAATCAAAAATGCTAAACTTCAGATTGCTACACCAAGCTACCCAAAACACCCCAGGACCTATGCATTCTGGTTAGTCAAAACATTTCTGTATAATGGAACAAAGCAATTGCCAGTAGTTAATCCATGAGAAGCATACTTTGCTGTTTGGTTGGTTTTTTGCTTAGTTTTGGTTTGGGGGGAAGTTCTTTTATATCTGATTTAAAGACTATTACATTGCAAGTTTCATGACTTACAACCATAGTTGGAATGTTCTGTATGAGAAAGAATGTTTTCATTAGCAATCAGTCATTTTTAGGTTAGGACTGAACTAATCAGGCCAACACCACCTCATGATCATCGGTATTAAAAACTATTGATAGATGTAAACATGTGATTGGCTGTTTAACTGTTTTCCATTGTCAGAATGAAATTAACCTGTGAAATTAGAGCCATGCGTGTTCCATTCACACTGGAAAAAGCCAAGAGAGGGAAAATGTTCTTTGCCTCCAAAGCAAGTTTTTGAGATTTCTGCTCTACGATGATTTTCCCCTTAAAATGAGAGATGAGAAAAGAAATTAAAGATAATCATATCTGCCTAGGTTTTAGTTGGATTGGGGCCTATCTTCATTAGTAATAAATCTCATATTTCCTCATCATTAAAAAGAACTTGATCCAGACAATACATGCTCATGTTCAGTGGAGAAGATCACGAGATTATCCAAAGTGGGCTAGCCTTGGCTTTGCATTTGTGTATGGATGAGGCTGATATTGGATTTAATTTCAAACCACAAGGTGTAGCCCCAAGAGAAAGGAGCCATTCTGGAAACTAATTGGCTTTTTCCATCCTACCTTCAACTCAAACATCATTAAACTCTGTTTCTAGCAGGAGGAGACTGTTCCTGCATGCAGATGTAGGGAAGTGGTTAAGGGGCTTTAAAGGGCTTCACTGCATGTAAAATAAATAACACAGGAATCAGAGTGTTAAAAATAGAAGCTCTGAGTAAATAGCTATAGCTTTGTGGCCAACAGGTCGAATGCTCACTCTCAGTATTAAATGGGCAAAAATAAAGTTATGCTGTCCATATGGATGAAAGCAAAGCATGTATAAAAGATGATGCACAGAGTGGATAATACCCTTCAGATAAGTGGTGTATTAATCAGGGTTCTCCATAGAAACAGAACCAATAGGTTGTGTGTATATATATATATGGAAAGAGATTTGTTTTAAGGAACTCACGTGAACATCGAGACAGGCAAGTTCAAAATACTCAGGGAGGGCTGGCAAGCTGGAGACTCAGGAAGAGCTGATGTTGCAGTTCAAATCTGCTAGAATGGCCTCCTGCTTGTGGAGGTCAGCCTTTTGTTCTATTCAAGCTGTCAACCAATAGATGAGGCCCACCTGCATTACAGAGGGCAGTCTGCTTTGCTCAAATTTAGCAATTTAAATGTTAATCTCATCTAAAAACACCCTCAAAGAAATGTGCAGAATAGTGCTTGACTACATACCTGGGCCCCGTGGCCCAGCCAAGTTGACACATAAAATTGACCACCTCAAGTGGGAATGGGCATTGCACATGGTGCTGTTTGCAATACCAGCACACTGAAGCGAATGATGAAGACGGGAGGCCTTAATCTATCTCTCCTTCTTAAAGCACTGATGATTTTATTTACAACTAAAATAGGTTGGCAGGGTGCAGTGGCTTACGCCTAGAATCTTAGCATTTTGGGAGGCCGAGGCGGGTAGATCCCCTGAGGTCAGGAGTTTGCAACCAGCATGACCAACATGGTGAAGCCCCGTCTCTACTAAAAATACAAAAATTAACTGGGCGTGGTGGTGGGCACCTGTAATCCCAGATGCTTGGGAGGCTGAGGCAGGAGAATCACTTGAACCTGGGAGGCGGAGATTGCATAATATTTAACTCCAGCCTGGGCAACAAGAGTGAATGAAACTCCATCTCAAAAAATTAAAAAAAAGAAATAATAAAATTAAAATAGATGAAAATATTGTTGGCCTTAAGTAAAGCCTAATATAGAAGATATTTTAGGAAAACTGTTGTAATCTTATTGCTTATGTTTGTAACATTTCTGCTAGATTTGCATTTATAAGAACAGCCAGGAAACAAAGATTTATGGTAAAAACGTGTGATCTCACGTACGTGGGTTAGTTTATCTTTTTTGAGGTTGTCTCTCACAGCCTGCTGCTAAAAATAAGCAGTCTTCTATTATTTGCTCACCTGTGATTTAGTCAGAAAAGCCAGTGTATTCTAATGAGTTGGGAAGAGGTGAAATTTCCATTCAGAATGGTAATTTTCTGTTAATCATCATTGAAACTGAAGAGCCTCCCAGATTGTTCCTCAACATTTGAATTGGCCTCAGTAAAAATGAAAGAAGACAAAGGAACATTTATATGAAAGTAAAATGTTCTTATTCTTTCTGGTTTTGCTAATAAAACTACCAGATTGGTTTCCTTGTCTTTGTCCTCTGATCTGTTTACATTCCTTTTATTATATTTTGGTGTGGCCCATTAAAAATATTGCCCCATACTAACTAGTATATTGAAAACGGATAGAATTAGATTTCGTAATAAAGTGAACTTAGTTCACTCAAATGTTAAGTCATTTCCTCCACTGAATCCTTGTAGACACAGGCATTTGGATTGTATCTTTACAATATGATATTGGAAAAGATGAGGGAATATTGGTAATTTGAGGTGAAAAAGAAAACTCTTATAATTGAATGTGGATGCTTTGTCTCTTCTTGGAGCAGAGGTTTAAGAAAGAAAAGGAAGAAACTCCACCACTACAAAGCTACCTTGGAGAACACTTAGACAAAAATTTCTCAGAGCATATGCTATTTGGTGAAAATTCACAAATTGCTCTTCATAGCTTTCTGAATTTGTGTCATATCTGCATTTTAAAATTGAATGTGCTGCAGTTCCAACCTGTATGCTTTTGAATGAACCTTAATGATGGGCCATTTCTTATTGCCGTCATCTGTGCCTTTCATTGCTGATTTATGTCAACTTCCTTTAAATGCATTGTGGTATTTAGGCAGTGGATAAGATAGTAATGCCATCGCATGCTGGTTGCTTAATGATGCAATTGCTTGAAAATTTAAAGCCCATAATAGCTTTAGGTCAGGTTCAGAAGTTCATGTTCCATGCCAGACATTTGAAGACTGAATCAGAGCCCGAGCACTGCCAAAATCATGCCACATTTGTCAAGCCTGGCCTTGGGTAAAAGCTGTTGGAAGCCGCCCATTCATCCAAGCCAATCACTGATAATGAAGCTTGAGGGAACATGAAATATCTTTTCTAAAAAGAACAGACAACCTCACCAGTTGGCTGCCTTTTTTTTATTTTTAGTATAATTACCAGGGGCAAACTGTCTTGCAGAATTGCTATCTTATATTAGCTTTGAGTTTGTGTTCTTGAGACCTGATGCAAGGATGTTTTATTAGCTAAGAATATGTGGTTTGAGGTCAGCTGAACATGATTCTTTCAGGTTTTTCTTGTGGGCTGTAATGTGATTGACTATTCTGTGGTGTGGAAGCTTACAGCTAGAAAAGAAACTTCAGGAGAACCACTTTCCTGTTTTCACGCTTATATTTTATCTGACTAATTCGCTTGGCTCCTGCCACAAACATCCATCAGTGAACAGACTTCTGCTACAGGGAAAGTTCTAGAAGAGCTGCCCACCTGGAACACTTCAGTCAAGCCTGAAGCTGGAATTGTAAAGTGTGACTGATTCCAAAATCACCATGCCCCAACCTACTCCTGCTAAATGTTAGATTTTTTTTTTTTTTTGGAAGCTGCATGTTACTTTTCCCCTTTTCTTTTTTTCAAAGGGCTCATAGTATTGGTTCCAGTATCTCAAAAGGATGTTTTGCAGATGAGAGAAAAGTACTTGAAAGAGTCTGAAACGCTGGAAGGACTAGAGATGTTAACTGGTCACTTTCCCTCACTCCTGCCTTTCATATTCCACACTCAGGTCTTTAAAGACTTTGGCTTTGAAGAGAGGAAATGAAATATGGGAGCCTCAAGGCTGATACTTATCCTAGCTTTTTTTTTTTTTTCTCATGAGTGTTCAGAGAAAGGAATTGAATTTGAATTCTCTGAAGCACCATATGATAGGTAGTTCTGATTAAGTTGTGGCTAGATGTCTTTGATGATGTTATTACCATCATCAAAAAAATGTTAACTAATTCCTCATGTATGTAAATCTTTGTAATTCAGAACACACTCACTTTACCTGATTCTCACAACCACTTGGTAATGAAGGCACGGCAGGTACTGGTTTCATCCTCATCCCCCAATGTGTAGATGCGGAAACTGAGGATGAGAGGTAAACCTTTCCCCAAGTTTCACAGATAGTAAGTGGCAAGTCTAAGACAAATCATGCTACGTCCAGTGCTTTTCCTGTATTTTATGCTGCCTCCTGCCTTCTGTCAGCAGATTTTGGTGGCTGTTGGAGGAAAGAAAATTATAAGAAAAATTATAAGAAAAGATCCTTGCTCTTGATGAGTTTAAGGTCTACCTGGAGAGACAGAACTGAGGCATGAAAGAGACAAAGAAGAATGCAAGGTAGGCTGTGCTAAGTGTTCAGTCAGTAGTTTTGAGGTTACTTGTTGCTGGAGCGTCATGTAGGAGAGGTGATTGATCGAAGGCAGGGACAGCAGAGAAAGCTTTCGGGAGGAAGTGAGAGTTGAGTTGGTCTTGAAAGGAGAGTAGGTCTTAGATAAAAGAGAGCAGAGCAGCTTGAGCAACTGTATCACAGAAGCAGATGCATATGACAGTGCGTAGGAGGCTGAGCAAGCAATTGTGCTGGACCCACATATTACATCAGGGAGACATTGCAGGCAAGGCTGCAGAAACAGCAAAAGGACCAGGATGTGAAAATCTTGAATGCCTGAATTTGGATTTAATCCATTAAATAAGGAGAAGATATCCAGGGCTTCAGAGCAGTAGCTTCATGTGTATAATCGATTAGAGACTGGAGATCACTGATGGGGGAGTAGTATATCAGTGCAGTTCATAAAGGTGGTAGAATTAAAATAAAGGAATGAATGACCAGGTCACACAAAGGAAAAAGGATCAGGATTTTCAGGGGAAAGAGGAGAAATAGAGTGATCATAAAATGTATTGTCCAACCTAGGACATTTTCCAAGACAAATGCTACACTGGTCAGGACAGTGGGAAAACAGGCACAAACTGGGACTTTCCTAGGCAAATTGAACATATGATCATACTGGTCAACAATGATGCTGGGGTTTTGAGACTGGGGCATTTGTGGTCATTGATAGAAGGAAAATCAGCAAGGCCAGTGATCTTGGATTTTAAGCTTCAAGATGACTGCAGTAAGTCAGGAGTAGATTTCCAGTGCAAAGTTAGAAATGCACAAAACTTGTCTGTATAACCCTTTGTTTCACCTTTCACTCCTCTTTTAAGCCCCCAACATTAAAAAAAAAAAAAGCACTTTCTTTTGAAGGAAGCAAACAAAGTAAGGAATGGCAGCCACATCCTAGTACTGTCAACATGTTGCATTGTAATTCTCCATTTTGAAACGTGAGCCTGGATGTACTGTCAGGAACTCCTCATCTTTGTGAGACTATGGCTTGCAAAAGCAAATCCTTGCATGTTTTCCCACATCCGAGGGGATCATTTGTCTCTGAAGTGGATTCAGACTACTTTGCGTTTCAAAACAGAATTGAACGTCTGTCAACCTGTTAAAAATTGAGATTTTCAGAAGGAAGAAGTGCGAACTAGAAGGCATGAGTGTGGGAACCCCTATAATCTATGATTTCATTATAGATCAAAAAGAATTTGTTCATTAATTATCAGTTAGCTTGGGACTTTTCAGAGAGGCAATTAAACCAAAATCTACTGAGCCAGGGTAATCATAAAACATAATTTTTATAATTAAATATGTCATTTAGGCTTTTATTTGACATTTTAGGTGATTTATGTGGCACTTTCCAGGCATTAGAAAAAGCTTGATCAATGCCGTGTATAAGATCTTCCTAGCATTACCCCCAAATAGATGAGTAACTTGTCATATGAGGTTAGAACAGGGTAGGCAGTTTCAAGCTCACAAAATGATCTGGAATCAGACCTGGATTTGCTAATGGGGGGAAGAGAAGAATCTTTTCCTCTTCCATCCTAGGTTCACAGCTGAGGCCCCTATAACAAGAGATAGTTTAATGAGAGAAAAGCATGCAAATTTACTTAATACAAGTTGTTGTTGTTGTTTGTTTGAGATAAGGTCTGTCTGTTGCCCAGGTTCTAGTGCAGTGGTATGATCACAGCTCACTGCAGCCTCGACCTCTTAGGCTCAAGTGATCCTCCCAGCTCAGCCTCTCAAGTAACTGGGCATGCACAGCCATGCACCACCACACCTGGCTAATTTTTTAAATTTTTCATAAAGGTGAGGTCTCATTATGTTGCTCAGGCTGGTCTCGAACTCCTGGGCTCAAGTGATCCTCAGCCTCAGCCTCCCAAAGTGCTGGGATTACAGATGTGAGCCACCACATCTGGCCTTTAATCTAAATGACACAGGAGTCTTCATAAGGAAATGAAGACCTAAAAAAATAGTTAAACTTCTGTGTTTCTATGCTAAGTCTGTTGAAGAGTGAACAGTCATGGAGACGTATGATTGGATAAAGGTCTGATCTAATGGTAATAAGTGGGGGGAACTTAGCAAGGCCTGTTTGTTCAGGTTCTTCTTGGCATCTGTGTCTTAGGCACTTTTCTTTAGGTAAAGAGAGGGTACCTCTCCCATGAGGGTCTTATGACCTGCTTCATGGGAGAAGGGGAGGTGGGTGAAATGAGAGTGACCATCCCATTTCTGCTTTTTCTCAAATGACAAGGTGCCATATTTTGGGGTAGCATGTTTTGAACTCCATCACCAAGGAGAGGGTATGTCCTCTTGCCTTGTAAGGAACCTGGTCCACCAGGAAGCCTGAGGCAGTCATCACCCAGAGCAGGAATTTGAAACACTGACTCTCCATGGTCAGTTTTGTATTCTCCAGTCCTACTTTGTAGACATTATGTACAAGAGAATTTATCAGATTCAAAATAACTTGGTGGGAATATTCAGAAATATCTCACTTAAAAAAAAATCCCCACGTTGGCTGTTTAAAAACCAACAAAAATAGTAACATTTTAAGTCTTGCTTGGAGTTCAAAATGAGCTTGGAAACCATCTGCCCTGACTTAATCTAGAGCGTTCACTGAGTGTAGACAACTCTACATAGGTGCTGTGAGGGATCCAGAGATTTCTAAGCCCAGCTGGAAGTCCTACACTCTGTATCTATGAACCAAGTGGAGAACAGGTGTTTATTACACCAACAGCCACTGTCTCTACTGCAGAGCAAGTTCAGAGAAGGCTGGGATTGGCCAGGCATGACCTGGGGTGGAGAGGTATCCTGGGAGCCTTGTAACTGAAGATGAACAGAGAGACAGTGAGAACTCAAGCAGAGATCAGAGGCGCAATAGCCAATTGGGACTGAAGTTCTGGAGCATCAAAGAGCGCCCCCTCTGGGAGAAAGGATGTGCTTCAAAGGCCTGGGCAAGGTGGAGGATTCTTGCAGGATGCTGGCAATTTGTCTAGCATTAATAGAAGCCGTAGTGTAGTATTAAAAATTATGACTTAAATACACACAAAATTTAGTTACTTTTCATTTGTATTTTGGTATTTAGTATTAGTACAACTTGTACTCTGATATTCAACCTAATTTTGTATCCTTGGGGACAATTAACACATGGTTTAAATAGGAAGACATTGTTGGGAACTAGGACCTAGGACCACAAATATATTTTCTATGCTTTTTACATTCTCATCACGAGTGTGCCACCTTCAGATATAATTTTCATATTTTTAGTAGACATATGTAAAAAATGTAATTAAGACTGATTACCCCAGCAGCTGTGCTTTCTTTAAAAAAGCAAAAAGGTATATCTGGCACCTACCAACTCTTAGTTTATCACATATCAGTTATTTTTTAAAATTAAATATTTTCTTCTAAGGTGAAAAATGTGAAGAAAAGTCTTTATAAAGGTGATGTTTTGCTGGATGTGGTGGCTTATGCCTGTAATCCCAGCAATTCAGGAGGCTGAAGCAGGAGCATCTCTTGAAACCAGGAGTTCAAGACCAGCCTGGGTGACATAATCAGACCCCTGTCTCTTAAAGGAAAAAAAAAAAAAAAAGCCAATTAGCCAGGCATGATGGTGCACTGTAGTCCTAGCTACTCAGGAGGCCAAGGCAGAAAGATTGCCTGACTCTAGGAGTTCGAGGCTACAGTGAGCTATAAGCAAGACCCTGCCTCTTAAAAAATAATAATGGTCAGGTGCAGTAATGGGATTATACACCTGTAATCCCAGCACTTTGGGAAGCCGAGGCGGGTGGATCACCTGAGGTCAGGAGTTCAAGATCAGCCTGGCCAACATGGTGAAACCCCATCTCTACTAAAAATACAAAAATTAGCCGGGTGTGGTGGTGAGCACCTGTAATCCCAGATACTCAGGAGGCTGAGGCAGGAGAATCACTTGAACCCAGGAGGCGGATGTTGCAGTGAGTCGACATCGTGTCACTGCACTCCAGCCTGGGCAACAAGAGCAAAACTCTGTCTCGAAAAAATAATAATAAGAAGAAGAAAGTCATGTTTTGAAATTCCAAAGTATAGATATTTTGCAAAAAGCAAATTTACAAGCTGTTCCACTACACATGTATCTTAAGGGAGTCTGTCAAAGGGGAGATAGTCAATTCAGAAAAGCAGAGCATGCGGTAGGTGTTGGAGAGAGTGAATATGTTATGGATTCTGTACCCCTATTATCTTCTAAATCATGGGCTAATTTGTAAAGTTTCTATTTATTGTTTGCTGAAAATTTACATTTACATTGCTGAAGATGGCCTGCAGGTGAGAGAGCACCTGCAGGCAATTTCCAATGGTTGTTTAGATCCTGGAGTTTGCGTCCTTCATGGCGTGTGCTGATGATACCCTGTGAGTTGTTTTGGGCGGCCGCAAAGATTCAGGTCTCCTGAAACGTTCTGGGCTGCAGCCATTTCCTTACTGCAAATGAATAATGAATGAGCTGTGGGTTAAACTAATAGTTCAAGATAAAATCAGAAGCTCATTGCAACATGGGCAACTTTCCTTCGTCATCTCCATGGAAACTGCTATTTGTCAAGACACACTAGTATTTCAGAAGACAGTGAGGAGTCACCAGTTTTTTAACTTCAGGTCAGCTGTTGAAAAATAGATTTAAGAAGCACAGATTGAGACAGAATGAATACAGAGAAAGCCATCTGCATGCAGTGGGGGAGCTCTGTTAGACCATTCTTTGGGACTTTTAGAAAAATAGATCATAAATGGTATAATAAATATTAAGCTGTAAGATTTGAATGGAAAATTGAGTTAACACTTTTTCCCTCCCCCAACACTATGACTTGGCATCTGGCTGGGCCACATAGTGAGTGAGTGCTCAGACCTCATCCAGGTGGCCTTCTTGCATCACAGGGGGAGGGCTGGCACCGGTGTTGCAAGAGGTGAGAGCAGCTGGCTGCACAGCACTGGTACAAAACGGGCACCCTCACCTCGCACATGCATCAGGCCGCGGTGTCGCCAACAGCCTGGGCGTGGGGTCCCCGCTGCAGGGGCTGATGTCAGCATGCTGAGGTCACATTGGGGATCAGATCTCATGTTGCAGCCTGGCAGTGGGTGCGGCGGGGGCCGACGCATCCCAGCGCTGAGAACAGTGGCACTCCAGCCACTCAGGGTTGGAGGGAGGAAACAGTGGGGCTGGGTCTTCCAGCCCCATCAGGACTGGGAGGTGCTGGGGAAAGAGGGAAATAAGGAACAAGAAATGTCCAAAAGTGGGGCTCAGAAGTAGATCTAGCCAGGTGGCTGGGGCTGCCTTCACCAGCACAGCACGCAGGAGGCTGGCCTGAGACTGGGGACCCCTGAGGATGGGCTGCTCCTTGTCCCTAGTGAGACAGATGTGGGGAGCAGGGAGGAGATTGTGCCATAAAAGCTCTAGAAATGTTCAGGCATCAATAATATGTTAAGAAAGCACCTCTTCACACTGTAAGCTTCTGGCCTCTGGAGCACATAGTATTGGGTTACCTCAAGTCCGAGGGAAAAGAAGCAAGTGTTACAGACTGGGACTCTATCTTGGCTCCCCCACTGTGGCCGCGTTACTCAGGGCGGGTTAGGTGTCTTCTCTCAGCCTCCTCCCATTTCATCCGTGAAAAGACCAGGTAGTGGTGCCCCTCAGGGTCATTTTATTTTATTTTTTTTATTGTTGTGGTACATAATGGTGTATGTATTTTATGGGATAGGTGAGATATTTTGATACAGGCATGCAATAAGTAATAATCACATCACAGAAAATGGGGTATCCCTCCCCTCAAGCACCCCCTAAGGGTCGTTTTAAATATGAAATGAGACAATACGTGTGAAAAGATGAAGCCCAGTGGCTGGCGCCTCACTGCTCTCAGTAGAAAATTAAGGCATTTCTCTTCACTAAGGCTGTCTACAGAAGTCTCCCCCTTGCCTCTAAAAAGGGGGTCAGGGTTCAAGCCTTCTCCTGCCTCAGCCTCCTAAGTAGCTGGGATTACAGGTGTGCACCACTATGCCTGGCAAATTTTTGTATTTTTTTTAGTAGAGACAGGGTTTCACCATGTTGGTCAGGCTGGCCTTCAACTCCTGAGCTCAAGTGATCCACCCATCTCAGCCTCCCAAAGTGCTGGGATTACAGGCGTGAGCCACCGCTCCCAGCCGCCACTGATACTTAATTCTCAGCCAGTCTCAGTCTCTATTGTCCACCCCTTTCTCTGCTCAATTAATGAGAGAACAGGAAGGGGAGGTAATTTAAATACTTTTCTACACAAAATATTATTAGGAAAATGGAGCTTTTACAAGAGCATTAAACCTTTTCAGTGCAAACAGAAATGCCTTTACATGATCGTCCAGGCTTTCTTGCAGTGAGGAAACTTTCCTCCTCACCATCTTTCCCCTTTCTCTTTAGGGCTGATCTCCCTCCCTGACCACATGTTCTGTGCTTCATACCCATTGCGCGCATCATCACCCCTGAAAAACTAAGGTGTAGCTCTACTTACAAATGCAGCCTCTGCTTAGGGAAGGATCTTGGATCTGCCTGAGAAGACCATGAGGGTCCCATCAGTTTCTGTGTTTCTCCAACCCCTCCCCTGCCCTACCTCCAAAGCCATTCACTCAGAGATGCAGAAAGCTGCGAGTGAGCGACAAAAGAAACCCTCTCAAGGAGCTAATGTCAGGCAGATTGTGAAAAGTGCTGTGGTTTTTGTGTGTGAAAGAGGTGATCACTTCTATACCCCTCAGTATGTGCTTTTGATTTCCCACATTATTTAGCTGGCTACTCAGATCTGATTAAAAGCATGTGTACGAGCCAAGGTATAGCAATGAAAGTCAAACACAGACCCATGAGAAGATTTAATGGAAACAAACTATACTGGGAGTTCGCTTGCTAGGGTGGGTTTGAGACCAGATCCTCAACCTCCTGGTTCTCCCCTGCCTCCTCTGTGAACCAGGGATAATGCTGCTTCATTGGCCTTTTTTTTTTTTTTTTTTTTTTTTTTTTGAGACGGAGTCCACTCTGTCACCCAGACTGGAGTGCAATGGCATGATCTCGGCTTACTGCAACCTCCGACTCCCAGGTTCAAACGATTCTCCTGCCTCAGCCACCTGAGTAGCTGGGATTACAGGCATGCACCACCACATCCAGCTACTTTTTGTATTTTTAGTAGAGACGGGATTTTACCATGTTGGTCAGGCTGGTCTCGAACTCCTGACCTTGTGATCTGCCTGCCTCGACCTCCCAAAGTGCTGGGATTACAGGCATGACCCACCGTGCCCGACCTTCATCGGCCTTTTAAGTGAGGACTGCACCTCACGAACTCTTAATATCTTCTCCACTCTCTGATTACGATTGTTTGGACTTTTTACTTTTCCTTAAATCTGGGGATCAATACTGCTGTGCTGAGGATGTGGCTTTCTTCCTGATAAAATATCTATTTCTTCCATTGGAATACACTTTAATTTGGGAACAAGCATCAATCTTAGAATAGATCCTTCATGTTCTGCTAGTTGGCATTACTACCTGGCCAAAGGGGAGGAAGATTCTGGAAAGCAAAGGAAAAAGGGCCTGGAGGGGCAGCCCATCCCCAGCCAGTCTCTCCTGAGCCTGTAGGCTGCCAAATCCCTCAGTCCCAAGGGCCAAGGCTGCCAAGGACCTCTCCTTTCAGTAACATCAAAAATGAGATGACATCAGGTTACCCTTTACTAGTGCCTAGAGAGTTGTCAATTACCTTTCAGTCACTTACCCTTTGCTAATTGCAAAATAAACAGACTCCGCAGCCTGCCTTCAATGACAGCCTCGTCTCCTGTCCTAATATTTATATCTTAGCCTCTTATTAATTGCATTTCATTGATCATTTCCTGAATACTCTTCTTCCCTTTTGCATTTTCAGTACTCCAATTTTTTTTTTTTGTTTGTTTGTTTTTCAAAGAGCAGGCATCAGAGTCAGATTTTCTAAAGGGCCTGCCAGTGCCACACCTGCTATTGTTGATCCTCATACCCTGTAGATCCCTAAGGATGGCTAATCCCCTTCACAGGAGGCATTGTTTCCAGGGAGAATGGGCTTATTGGCTTTCCACACCTCTGTTAGAAACAACAGTGGAGAAGGATGATGTGGAAGGGAAGTGAGCTGGTAGCAGGTCTAAATGCATCCATAATCAGAAAGATTTCCAGATTTCCCTAATTGCTGTTTTTATTCACAGAACTTCTATTTTAAGCGCACACACTCACATGTGGATTGACAGGCACCAGCCACTGTAATGGCTGTGTCTGTCTGTAGCGACTGCAAACGCTTGTTTCCATGGTGACGGGAGGCACCACAGAGACACAATTATGGTGCTGCTGGGACCAGGGCACTGCCACACCAGGAGGCCTCTCAAGTGTGTGTGTGTGTGTGTGTGTGTGTGCATGCGCACGCTGGGGGCACAGGGTTGCTGTCGAGTGCGGAGTGTGAAAAAGCCAAGCGGGGAAGGGGTTGGGGAGATAGGCAGAGGGAACATTCGCTGGTACAGAAGCCTGGGGGGTAGTGAAGAGAGGTGATACCTGGATCAGGGGAATGATAGAAAATTGAAGAAGAAGGGGAATACAGATGGGAAAAGGAAAAGGGCAAACAAAAATGGAAAATTTCTCCTCTCTGCAGAATATTATTGCCCCTCCCTTTGAAAGGTTTATTGTGGCAGAATTATCTCACATAAATTTGCCAAGTAGAGAAATAGACTTTAGCGAGCAGAGGCAGACGGTTCAGGCAGTTTGGGTGTCAGAGTTTTTCTGTAACTCCAAAGTTGATAGTTTGCTGCCTCCAGCTCAACAGCCCCATCCTGGAGAGGAGATGAATTGCTCCCTCACCCACTGCAGGGTTTTCTGGGCATGTGAAGCCATTACTTCTCCTCTGGGCTCTGCCCAAGGTGGAGGCACCCAGTGTTGTCTCCAAACAATGTCATTTGGTCTGAGTGAATTACATGTCAGGCAAATGAGGCCTCGTCAAGTTCTCACAGAGGGCACAACTGTTTTTCAGAGACCTTGAAAGGATGCCCAGAGGATTCCGTTTTATTAATGATGACTTGGTGAACATTGACTGAAGTCCTATCCTCGGCTGACAGACAGACACCCACCCTAGGGGTCAAGCAAACAAAAGGGAACTTTCTGGGGTTATCCTTTTAGGCTCTGGTTGTAAAAATCAGTGGTTCTCTGGTTCCAGATTGAGCACTTATTGACAACCTACTGTGTGTCAGCAGTTTTCACATAGGCTCACCTGCACCACTGTAAGTGGTGTTGGCCCCATTTCATAGTGGAAGGCCTGGAGGCTCAAAGTGGTTGAGCAGTTTCCCCATAGTCAAGGAGGTCAAGTCAAACCCAGATTTCCAGATTGCAATTCAGTGCAGTCTCCTGTTCAAGGAGGTCAAGTCAAACCCAGATTTCCAGATTGCAATTCAGTGCAGTCTCCTGTTCAAGGAGGTCAAGTCAAACCCAGATTTCCAGATTGCAGTTCGTTGCTGTCTCCTGTATTCACTAGTTCTCTTTTATGCCAAGAAAAAACTTTTTTAAAAAATTTCTTTGGGTACACAGTAGGTGTATGCATTTATGGGTACATAAGATGTTTTGATACAGGCATGCAATGTGAAGTGATTACATCATGGAGAATGGGGTATCCATTCCCTTAAGCATTATCCTTTGTGTTGCAAACAATCCAACTATATTCTTTTAGTTATTTTAAAATGTATAATTAGGTTATTATTGACTATAGTCACCCTGTGGTGCTATCAAATAGTAGGTCTTATTCATTCTAGAAAAAACTTTCTGATGGAAGGATTCAGGCCCAGGAGTCCCCACTGAGCCTGATTCCACTCATGCACTTGGTGATGGAAGGACCAGGACATGGTGAGCAGGCCCAGCAGGTGTTTGGCCAAACTTGGCTCCTAGACAGAAGTGCTTTCCAGAGATTAACATGCTCCACCAGCCTTACAAAAGAAAGCCTTATGGAAGGGATTTCCTGTCCATCTCTTGAATTTTCTGAAGAGTTCTGGGTTGGCTCATGCCTGTAATCCCAGCGCTTTAGGAGGCTGAGGCAGGAGGATCACTTGAGGCCAGGGATTTGAGACTGCAGTGAGCTGTTATGGTACCACTGCACTCCAGCATGGGCAAAACAGTGAGACCCTGTCTCTAAAATAATAATAATAATAATAAAGAGTTCTGGACCCTACAGGAAGCTTGATAGGTAAAGCAGACCAAAAAGCAATTCATGGTCGGGTGCAGTGGCTCACACCTGTAATCCCAACACTTTGAGAGGCCATGGCGGGAGGATCACTTGAGCTCAGGAGTTGGAGACCAACCTGACCAACATGGTGAAACCCTGTCTCTACTAAAAATTCAAAAAAATTAGCCAGGTGTGGTGGCGGGTGCTTGTAATCCTAGCTACTTGGGAAGCTGAGGCAGGAGAATGGCTTGAACCCAGGAGGTAGAGGTTGCAATAAACCAAGACCATGCCACTGCACTCCAACCTGGGTGACAGAATGAGACCCTTTCAAACAAACAAACAAAAAAAAAGCAATTCACACTAATCAATGGACTTTGAACCTTCCTAATCATTTGTAACGTTCCGCAACAGACGTAACTTAACAATCAGGTTTTAGATTTTCGAAAAATTGTATTCCAAATCCAAAGATTGACAATGAAGCATCGCTTGTGTTATTTATAGTAATTTTTGTTTTGCTTTGTTAATGTTCACATTGTGATCTCACTGTGGGCCCACTCTGGTTTTAGAAATTAATGGAACTTTAGGTATCCTGACTTCACTAAGTTGAAATTCACTTGAATCGGTTGCCCTTTCTCCCTCCCTCCCTCCCTCCCTCCCTCCCTCCCTCCCTCCCTCCCCCTCTCTCTCTCTCTCTCTCTCTCCCTTTCTTTTCTTTTCTTTTCTTTCTCTTGAAATAGGGTCTCACTCTGTTGTCCAGGCTGGAGTACAGTGGTGTGAATCACTGTTCAGTGCAGCCACGAACTCCTGGGCTCAAGTGATCCTCCTGCCTCGGCCTCCCAAAGCAAGGGGATTACAGGCACGTGCCACCAGACCCAGCCTTGTTCCCTCTTTCCTTTGTGAAAAGTGCCTATCCCAGGGGGCTGTGACCTCACCTTAACTCTCTTCCTTTCTGGCCCAGGATCCCTCCGGGTGGGTGTGGTGAAATCTTAAATGAACAATGCATTTCTATAACCATCAGGTACTACTGCAATATTTTATAATTAGAGCTCTCAAAAATTCATAGAATTTCAGCCTTGGGAAGAGTTTAAAAAAATACATGAATGAAGGGTTCTACCTCACACCCACTAGGATGGCTAGCATAAAATAATCAGAAAATAACAAGTGTTGGCAAGGATGTGGAGAATTTGGAACTCTTGTACACTGTTGATGGGAATGCAAAATGGTGCAGCCACCATGGAAAAGAGGGTGACAGTTCCTTAAAAAATTAAAAATGGAATTACCTTGATCTAGCAATTCCATTTCTGGGTTTATACCCAAAAGAATTGAAAGCAGGGTCTCAAAGACATATTTGTATACCCATGTTCATGGCAGCATTATTCACAACAGCCAAAAGGTGGGAGCAACCCAAGTGTCCATCAACAGAAGAATGGATAAATAAAATGTGATATATAATACAATGGATGATTATTCAGCTTTAAAAAGGATGGAGCACAGAGGATTCTTAAGGGCAGTGGAGCTACTCTGTATGATACTCTAATGGTGGATCTGTGTCATAAATTTGTTCATAGAATGTGCAACACAGAGTGAACCCTAAGGTAAACCATGGATTCTGGGTGGTAGTGATGTGGCAATGTAGGTTCATCAGTTGTAGCAAATGTCCCCTCTGGTGCTGGATGTTGATAGTGGGGGAGGCTGTCTGTGTGTGGGGACAGGAGGTCTATGGGAAATCTCCATCCCTTCCTCTCAGTTTTGCTATGATACTAAAATTTCCCTTAAAAAAAGTATATATTTTTTAAAAGCAAGGAAATTCTGACACATGCTACAAAATGAATGAACTTTGAGGCCATTATGCTAAGCGATATAAGCCTGTCACAAAAAAAAAACAAAACACTTTTTATTCCACTTCTATGAGATACCTAGAGCAGGGGTCCCCAACCCCTGGTTAAGAACTGGGCTGCACTCTTTTGATTAATGAAACCTTATAGCATTATGAAATGGCTCTCTTTGTTCCTAGCAATATTCTTTTCTCTGAAATCTACTTTGTCTAATATTATTATTACCTCTTTGGCTCTCTTTTGATTAGTGTTGGAATGGGATTTTTTTCCCCCATCCATTTACTTTTAACCTATTTGTGTCTTCATATTCAGGACTAGGGCTGGGCATGGTGGCTCACACCTGTAATCCCAGCACCTTGGGAGGCCATTGTGGGCAGATCACTTGAGCCCAGGAGTTTAAGACCAGTCTGGGTAACATGGCAAGACCCCTTCTTTAAACAAAAAATTACATTAAAAAAAAAGAAGAAGTACTGGGCTGCACAGCAAGAGGTGACAGCAGGATGAGTGAGCATTACTGCTTGAGCATGCCAGGGATTTAGGTTGCATACTCCTTAGGAGAATCTAATGCCTGATGATCTGAGGTGGAATGATTTCATCACGAAACCATCCCCGCACCCAGCCCACGTCCATGGAAAAATTTTCTTCCAAGAAACTGGTCTCTGGTGCCAAAAAGGCTGGGGACCATGATCTATAGTATTCAAAATTAAAAAGACAGAAAGTAGAAGGGGCTACTTCTACTTTTGCTACCATGATCTACAGTATTCAAAATTACAAAGACAGAAAGTAGTTGCCGGGGGGAACACGGAGTCCGTGTTTTGTTTTGTTTGACACAGGGTCTCCCTCTGTCAGGCTGGAGTGCAGTGGTCGATCTCTGCTCACTGCAACCCCCACCTCCTGGGCTCAAGCCATCCTCCCACCTCAGCCTCCCGAGTGGCTGGGACCACAGGTGCGTACTACTGCACCTGGCTAATTTCTGTATTTTTAGCAGAGATGGGTTCCACCATGTTGGCCAGGCTGGTCTCAAACTCCTGAGCTCAAGCAATCCTCCCGCCTTGGCCTCCCACATTGCTAGGATTACAGACGTAAGCCACCACACTCAGCCAGGGAGTTCATTTTTAATGGATACAGAGTTTCATTTTCACAAGATGAAAAGAATTTTGAAGACCAGCGGTGGTGATGGTTGGACAACAATGTGAATGTTCGTAGCACTGCTAAACTGTACACTCAAAAATGGTTTAAGGCAGGAGATCTTTATGTTATGTGTATTTTACTATGGAAACAAAAAATAAAAGTGTATCTCCTATTGGTCCCAAGTAGATGGGATTTTGTTATATTTTCAACAGCACACTTTGAGTTGTAATATGTTTTTCCCAGAATCACAGAAGAGCCAGTGTGCTCAGGTCCAGCTGACTTAGTGCCAGAGCTGCTCAGAGAATCCTTCATGTCCAGTTGAAGAGGAACCAGGCCGCCTGCATGTGGTTGCCTTTGCGGAGACAAAGGTCATTTTCAGCCCTTATTGCAGGGTACCACATTGCAAAAACTCACTGCTCTCCAGCTGTTAAGATTTGAATAAGGTAAATGACCGTGATTGGCCTTTCGCCACTGGGATTTGTTCGCAGTGAATCATCAGCACTTGACTGAGGAGCCAGCTCAGCATCTTTTTAAAAGTAAAAAAGAAAATTCAGTTCCTTCCCTTTTAGCCAAAAATGCTATGAGTCAGTACTTTGGCACTGGGAGTGGAAAGCAGTGAGAAACGAGTGGGCCTTTGGGATCTGACGGGAAAGGATAGCTCTGGGACAATATTGTTTATGGATTGGCTGTCATGCATTTGCCAAGCAATGGCAGTGGCTGTTTAGAAGCTTTCTGCGCCTCACCCCATTCACATGTCCTCTTTCTGGCTGTCTCAGTTCTGAACCCCATGCAGAGATCAGCTGACATCCCTTGTCTTCCATGAAACCTCATTGATTAGTCCTTCCCCGGCCGGGTCTTCTGAATCCCGGGCTGTATTCTTTTACTTTTAATAGTCATTGGAAAGTCGCTTGGCACTTCGTTGACAGCCCTTGGGCTACTGCCTTTTTGTGGGTAAGGGTTGTCTTCCAGGTGGAGAATATTTCTCCAGACCAAAAACATAGCTTCTGTTTTGTGGCCTCATGGCTTAGCAGAGATCTGTATGTGAGATTGGGTACTGGGAACAGCTTGGCAAGTTATTAACCTCTGCAGAGCTCAGGTTTCTCATTTTAAAAATAAAGACAACTACCATTAAAGGAAGATCGTGTTTTCAGGATTAGATAAGACAATATAGGTAGAGCACTTAGCACTGTGGCTGGTGCTCAATAATTGGTGGTTATTACTCTTACTAGTAAGGTAATAGGTGTGTATTCTGTTTGGGAGTTAACCTGAGTTTACTACCCTTTTAGAAGATAGTTCCATCATTCCGATAATTCATGCCGTTGTCATTTTGTAATATCTTTGTGTGAAATGGGGCCTTACAGAAAAAAAGGTGTGGAAATCTAACGTAATCTCTTGTCAGGGTAAGTGTAAATTTGAGTTTCCTGGAGGTCTAGTGACACCAAGTGGCGAATTGTGATATTACATGTTGGTTGTTTGAGAGTGTTCAAATTCTATTTCATTGGTAAAATAGCAAATTATTCTGCTGTGTATGATTTCTGAGTTTTCCTCTCTTAATTGTAATCTAGTATTGAGTGAGAATGGAAAGAATATTATAAGAGTACTACATTGTAGACTTATTGAATGAAAAACTGGAATTCTAGACCGGGCACGGTGGCTCACGCCGGTAATCCCAGCACTTTGGGAGGCCAAGGTGGGTGGATCACTTGAGCCCAGGAATTTGAGACCAGCCTGGGCAACATGGTGAAACTCCATCTCTACTAAAAATACAAAAATTAGCCGGGCGTGATGTCGCGTGCCTGTAATTCCAGCTACTTGGGAGGCTGAGGCAGGAGAATAGCTTAAACCCAAGAGGCAGAGGTTGCAATGAGCCGAGATCGTACTACTGCACTCCAGCTGGGTGACAGAGTGAGACTCCGTCAAAAAAAAAAAAAAAAAAAAAAAGAAAAGAAAAGAAAAAAAAAACTGGAACTCTAAATTGCACAAAGCAGAAAATCGATTCTTAATGTGCAAGTGTTTTCTTCATGTATTATTTATATCCTGTCAACACAGTGACATATTTGAAATTGACACCAATTTGTAATGGATCGTTAGTAATACTTCCTTAATATTTCTTTCAGGGACAATGACATTCTGCTTATTATCTACCCAGTCTGTAAAGAAAGCTGACATTTGAATACTCACAGAGCTCTTGTTGACAATGTAATTGTGCCCACTGTGTAGAGAACGTTAGTCCTATTAACTTATGATGGCTTCCGAACCTTGACTTTCTTCATGGGGAAAGAAATGAGCAACTTTCCATTATTTGCTATGCCACCGAGACAACATCTGGGCCTGGAGTTAGTGCTTGAACATGGAGCTGTTCTTGGGTGTATGACACCATTCTTAGGTACTGAAGAGCAGACCAGAGTTGATGAGCTGGGATTTTCTAAACCTAATCATTTGTTCTCAGCCTTCTTCATGTCACTGCCAACATTCATCTCTGGCTGTGATCTGGTCTTGTAGGTAATTTCCTCATTCATTATTCAAGGTATTGTGTGGAATTAAAAAAAAAATAGCCCATTAGACCCATCAGAATACACCTGATGACCAGTATTAAATGTGTGCATTTCTGTACTTTAATTAGCAAATACCTAATATTGGGGCAATGGAGAACCATGTGCTTAAGTCAAAAGGGCTTCGTGATAGTCATTCACCAAAATATACCTCCTCAGAAAGAGTCCTTGGACTCACCAATCCTTTGCTTGCCCTCAGGCCACTTATTTGGGGTGAGCTGGGAGTGGCTGACATACCCTTCCCTCCTGCCCACCCCAAGGAAGGAGCGCAGAAATGCAGACAGCAGATTGCTCAGGGGGAAAACTTGCCCAATCTGCCCAGACACTCTGAGTTGGGAACATAATCAGCTGGCATTTATGAGGCTCATAGTTCTGTATTCAGCTTCCTGATATGCATGAAGTAACTTATATATTTGGAACAGTTGATAAAATTTGAATTTATCTTTCTCTCTCTGTATATATATACACACACACATACACGAAAAATACAGCATTTTATTTTTGTCATTTCTTAACATCTGGAGTGGATGCAAGTTTCACAAATGAAGCTTTTTGAATTATTTCTGATTTAATTCCTTAAATAATATAATCCAGATTCCACTAAGGCTTAAGCTCTCTATATCCTTCCTGAGGCTTTGTTAATTCTTTGAGGACACTGTGCTGATGATTGTTAATGCCGTGGTCTGTTCATTTGTGTGACTGAAAGTGTAACTTAGTGCAGCGTCCAGCCAGGCATGCCTCACTTAAAACCTCGGAGAAGGCCGGGCGCGGTGGCTCACGCCTGTAATCCCAGCACTTTGGGAGGCCGAGGCGGGCGGATCACGAGGTCAAGAGATCGAGACCATCCCGGCTAAAACGGTGAAACCCCGTCTCTACTAAAAATACAAAAAAAAAATTAGCCGGGCGCAGTGGCGGGCGCCTGTAGTCCCAGCTACTTGGGAGGCTGAGGCAGGAGAATGAAATGAACCCGGGAGGCGGAGCTTGCAGTGAGCCGAGATCCCGCCACTGCACTCCAGCCTGGGCGACAGAGCGAGACTCCGTCTCAAAAAAAAAAAAAAAAAAAAAAACCTCGGAGAAGCTGAAGTGCTGGGAGGACCTTTCTCAGGGTCACTCACAGAATTCTGCCTCGAGTTCACAGGCTTAAGCATCATCTGCTAAGGGTTCACCAACATCCCTGCCCAGAAGTGTTGCTGAGGCTGTTAGGGAGGAGACGGTGAGCACTGTGCCAGCCTCGGCAAGATGCTGAGGTGGCAGTGTGGCCAGGAGCTTCCATCTGGGCTGCAGCTGCTCCAAAGTCACCTCTCTCTCTGTAGCATCACGTGCCTGTGCTGTCCTTCCTTACTTGCCCACGCCCTTCCTGGACTGATCAGAACTGGTCAGGACTGACCTCCTTTCTCCTCCCAACCTGCCTCCAAACCCACCCTACAATGCTTTGAAAAAGAACCCTACCCGCATGTCATCCTTTGGGGCTGGCTTGGAACCCCGAGGAAAACAGTGAGCTCAATCTGCTAAACAATTGATGCTGTGGGAGACTAGAGGAGTTCCCTAGAGGACTGGCTCCCCTCTGTGTCATTGCTTAGTGGCCCAGTGATAAGCCACAGAGGCCACTGCCATTGAGGAAATAGGTCGGAGGATGTGGTCCCCTGACACATTACAGGGAGGCTTGCTTTGGCTTTGCAGCTGGTAGTGCATTGTGGAAGTTTTCAAATCACGAGTAGATGGCCACTTTCAGAGTGGATAGGGCTCCCTACCCTGTTGAGTTGGCACACAAAAGGCAAGGGAGCGTGGCCCAGATGTCATTAGACATCAGGTTTCCACTGGTAGGAGATCCTTCTGGTGATTTCAGGTGAGTTAGGGCAGAGCCATGAAGGAATCAAGGGAGGAAGCCTGAGCAGATCTGTATGATGCCCCAACCCAAGATTTCCTAGGGAAAACTCATCCCCGTGCTCAGGGCACAGTCGTGCCTCCTCCTTTTGTCTCCAGTTTCTGAGCCGTTTTATACAAAGTCATGCTGCCAGAACTCTGGTAGCAAGTGGGGTGGGGGTGGGGTGGCCTCCAGCCCCTTGATCTCACCTTGGAGCTGGTGGAAGAGGATAGCGTCCTTCGTGGGCTGTGTGGTGGGGACTTGTCCAGGAACAGGGAGTGGACCCTCAGTGTCGCCTCCCTGCACCTTGTTGCCCTTGTGTTTCTGGCACCCCAGGTTGGCACCGTGACCAGCTAGATGGTGCCATGAAATGAGGTCTCCAGCCTGATGCAGGTCAGACCCCCTTTTCTTCTTTTCAGTGGCAAAGGTGAGACTCATCTCTGGTTCTCCAGAACAGGTCATAAGTGTTTTTTCCTGCCCAAGCCTACTGGTCCCTCACACTGTGTCCTCTGCCTCGCCCACACCACAGGCTGCACCTGCCCTCCTGCTCCTGGATCTAGGCAGCTCAGTGGTGCTGTTTCTGCAGCATGGATGGATTGGTGTAAGACCTGACCTAGTCTTTGGTCATGTAGTGTTTACAGTTGTGCACAGGTGTTGTGCCCTTGGGGACCTTACACAAGCTCTGCCCTCACTTTTTTCACAGCACACTAAGCATGGAAATGGCACCTGCCTCAAAGGGCTGTTGACTGAAATGAGATCATTGAGCTGAAGTTCTTAGCACCATTCCTGGTATGTTCATTTTCTAGGGCCTCCATAACAAAGTACCACATACTGGGTGGCTTAAACAACAAATATTTATTTTCTTACAGGGCTAGAGGTCAGAAGTCTGAGATCAAGGTGTTGGCAGGGTTGGTTCCATCTGAGGCCTCTATATTAGTTTGTTCTTACACTTCTATAAAGACATACCTGAGACTGGGTAATTTATGAAGAGGTTTAGTTGGCTCATGATTCTGTGAGCTGTACAAGCTTCTGCTTCTGGGGAGGTCTCAGAAAACTTACAACCATGGCAGAAGGTGAAAGGGAAGCAGGTACACTTTACATGGCCAGCAGGAGAGAGAGAGCAAGAGGGGAAGCGTTACACACTTTCAAACAACCAGATCTCATGAGAACTCACTATCACGAGAACAGCAAGGGGGATATCCGCCCCCAAGATCCAATTACCTCACCATGTCCCTCCTCCAAAATTGGGGATTACAATTCGACATGAGACTTGGGTGGGGACATAGAGCTAAATCATATCAGCCTCTCTCCTAGGCTTGCAGGTGGGACACCCTCCCCTTGTGTCCTTACACGGTCTTCCCTCTGCATCTGTCTGTGACCAAATTCCCTCTTTGTGTAAGGACAGTAGCAAGATCAGATTACATCCCACCCCACTGACCTCATTTTAAAGTAATCATCTGTGTCAAGGTCCTCTCTTCAAATGCAGTCACATTCTCAAGTACTCGGGGTTAGGAATTCAACACATGAATCTGAGGGGGGCTCAATTAGGCCTGTGATCTCTAGCAAATAACAAATGCTCAACGAATGTTAGTTACTTTTTCCTGGGCAGTTATTCTAAACTTTTGTCATTTTGTTTTATTTGTTTTATTTTCTATTTCTATTTTTATATGTCTATTTGCTACTTAGTAAATGACCCTTCCTCCTGTATTTTTTTGCAGAAAAATGAGGTACCAGGGCATAAACTTATTCAACTTACAGAATGTTCTTCCCTCTCCTTTGCCCCAAACCTCACTGACATCATCCCTTTCCTGCCAGTCTCAGAAAGGGGGGTTTCTCTGTCCCTGCTCCAGGTTCATCCTCACTCCTCTGTGCTCTGACCTCCTCCAGGACCATGAGCCAGCCCCTGCTCCCTCTTCCTCACATCTTCAGTTTTCTGCCATCTTCTCCATCCTTAACCTGTCTGCAGGATCAGGTTCCCCGTTCCTTGACCCTGCCTGTCCTTCCAGCAGCTGAGCTCTCTCTTTTTTGCCTTTTCTCATTGGAGCTTTTGAAGGAAAAGCCTACATTCTGTTCTCTTCTTTTTGTCATTCATTCATTTATTCATTCATTTGTTGAGCACCTTCTTTTTGCCAGCACTGGGCTAGGCATTTGGAATCTAAAGATGTGTATTCATAGTCCCAAGACCAGAGAAGAAAACAGATCATTGTAATATAATGAGGTGTGTGGCATGCCTTGTTAGAGAGGAGCCCAGTGGGCCCTATAGGAGGACTTAGGCACATCTGGCCCAATCAAGGCATAGACCGAGGTGCGAGGTGCAGGGGAGAGCTTCCCAGAAGAGGGCCCTGCTCTGAGTCCTGAAAATTAGATGGGCCATGAGCAAGGGGAGGTCTTCCCAGGAGGGGCAAAAGCCTATAAGCAGGAGGCCTGGGATCCTCCAAGTGGGTGGTATTTTCTTTCCTCCCCTTTGCTCCTCAGCTCACTGACCTCTGCATGTGCCTCGCCATTGAAAGGATTTCATGGGGGTTCCACTGGACCCCCACTAAGTGACCTGGAGAACGCAGTGTGTTCTTTATCTAATGGACCACCTCCCCTCCTTCTGCCTCTCCTCCCTTAGCCCCACCCTCACCTGCCATCCTCATTCCTTTCTCCATCTTTCTTTCTCTGTCTTCGTGGAAGCTCCTCTGCTGTGGGCCCCAGAATGTACTGGGTGCTGACTCAGGCAAGTGGGTTATTAGTGATGTCAGCAAAGGACAGGAGGAAGAGCAGGCATGGGGATGTGGGAATAATAATAATGCATTTGTACAGCATGAGGACTGGGAGTTTTGTGACTGGTGAGATGCAGTGGACAGAGGAGATGAGAGAGAAAGGTCAGGACTGCACCAGGAGGCTGCGTGTCATCAGGATACAGGATACAGGGTGTGCTTGAGCCATGATGGTCTATGGGATGGGGCCTCCCTTTTCCTCATTTCTTACATCAAATTAGGTTCAAAGGTCCTTTGTTTTTCCACTCTAGCCATCTTTTGAGTCCACCTCACTGCAGTATTCATCATGCTTCCTTCCCACTCTGTCTCAGTGCTGCCCCCCACCCCATCTCCTTGCTACCTCTCTAACATGCCACTTGCTCCTTGTCACTTCTCTCTGTGTGGCAACCTCTGTTGACTCCACATATCAATGCAGAATACCTCCGGAGCTTTCAGGAATGTTTGTAATCAGACTCCCCATCTTAAATATTTATCATAAATTGATAAGCAAATAGTTATTGGATACTATGTGTGTAGCTCTGAGGTAGTGAGCTTCTCTGTTTGTATGTCTCTTTCTCTACACACACATGAGCTGAGCACTTAGTAAGCAGTCAAGATCTCATGTCAAGGCTGAGGCAGGAGGATTGCTTGAGCCCAAGAGGTCAAAGCTGCAGTGAGCTATGATTGCATAGCGACACCCCATCTTAAAAAAAAAATAAAGGCTACCTGTCAAATGGTTGATTAAGAATCTACATGAGGAAAGAACTTGCTGAAAGATGTTTGAGAGCCACAGAAAGGACCTCAGAGGAAGGAGGAGGAGAGAAATGTCTAGGTGGTAAATAGGACCAGTTGGAGGTATGCTGGTGCTGAGCCACGGAAATGGTTGAGCTGTGGGACAAGGATAGGTATCCAAGTCTGTGGTCACCAATCAATGAGTGTGAATTTTAAGTCAGCAGTTGGAAAAGGAGAAGCTCCTGGGAGTGCAGTTAATGAAGAATTGGAAGGATTTAGTCTAGACGTAGAAAGGAAGTCCAAGATAGGATTATTAGCTGGTAGAAGACAGGAATTATTTGTAACTTGCTCCCTGTCCTTGTGCAAACAACAACAACAATAAAAACAACCGAGGTCCAGGGATGGGATTTCATCCCAGAGGTGCGTTAGCAGCTCCAGGGCCCAGCATTAACAGGGAGAGTGCCTTTACTATGGAATTTTTTTTTTTTTTTTGAGATGGAGTTTCACTCTTGTTGCCCAGGCTGGAGTGCAGTGGCACAATCTTGGCTCACTGCAACATCTGCCTCCCAGGTTCAAGAGATTCTTCTGCTTCAGTCTCCCACATTGCTGAGATTACAGGCATCCATCACCATGCCTGGCTAATTTTTGTATTTTCAGTAGAGACAGGTTTTCACCATGTTGGCCAGGCTGGTCTCGAACTCCCGACCTCAGGTGATCCACTCGCCTCAGCCTCCCAAAGTGCTGGGATTACAAGCGTGAGCCACTGCACCTGGCCTACTGTGGACTTTTGATGAAAGCACGCATCTTCCTGTCTTCTTGTATCTCATCATTTCTCAGGGGAGTGTCATCAAGCTCTAAGTCTTAGCTTCGGTGTCATGTCCTTCAACCTAAAATGGGAACTAGCATGCATGTGTTGTTCCAAATGGCAGAGCTCTTGTGCGGGGTCCAGAGAAAGCCCTTTTAATTCTTTTCTTCTTTTTCAGTGCTTCAGTTACATTGAAGCCAATCAATCATTCTCTGCCTACTTCATTGGCAAAAATTATTCAAGAAAATGGTATCCTGATAACAGACTACCCTGACATAGCACAGTCACTTGTGGAAGAGTGGAAATCTTATAACTTCAGTTGGTTGTTTGAGCTATACAGTGCTAAAGAGCTGGGTTTAACTCACTTTTCTTTTTAACAGAACTGAGTGTATTCCTGGGGCATCTGCTCTTGCCTGTCAAGTATGTTACCCTAACAAATTTGTAGCTTGTTTCTCTGTTACTCCATGGGCCCTTTGCTGCTTCCATGGCCCTGGCTGTTCATAGGTAGCCCAGTCTCATCTCTGTTCTGCCACTGCCCCGTGTGCTAACTGAGGCTGGTGATTAACATTTAGGGCACTGAAATGAGGCTACTCTTTCTGCTTTTGACCTCACCAATTCTCCCCACAAGATATCTGTGAAATTAATTGTCTTAGTTCATTTTATGCTGCTATAACAGAATACCCGAGGCTGAGTAATTTATAAAGAATAGAAATTTGTGTATCATAGTTCTGGAGGTTGAGAAGTCCAAGATCAAGGTGGCTGCAGGTTAGGTGTCTGGTAAGGGTCCAGTTTCCACTCCCAGGATGGCACCTTAAAGGCTGCATCCTCCAGAAGGAGGAACACTATTCTTCACATGGCAGAAGAGCAAAGAGCCGAGAAAGAGAGCCCACCGCCAATAGTCCTTTTATGAATGCATTAAACACACCCATGAGGGTTGAACCATCACGGCCTAATCACCTCTTAGAGGCCCCACCTCCCAATATTGATACATTGGTGATTAAATTTCAACATGAGTTTTGGAGGGGACAAACATTCAAACAGTAGGATTAACCATTTTTATTCTTTTGGCAAAATATCAGAAGCGGGATTGGCTAGAAAAATCCTACCATTCAAAAAATGCTAATATCATTAGGCCTGATACATTAAAGCAAAGTGAATGGTCTCAAATGTGGGGAAGTGGCACTTCTGATATTGCTTTTCACAACTAATTTCTGGATGGAGCCACGAATGGAAAACAATTCTTTAATTGTTAGGAAGATTAGCAAAACCTAGGAAAGCTAGGCAGCTTTGAAAAGAAAAAGTGTGAGGGTCTCGGTCCCTTAATAGAAAGGAGAAAGAGACCTTTAGATTGTGAGAGAGACCTCAAACAATGTCATAGATCATTTGGCTGCTATAACAAAATACCATAGACTGAGTGGCTTATAAAAAACAGAAATTTATTTCTCACAGTTCTGGAGGCTGGGAAGTCCAAGATCAAGATATCTTGGTGAGGAATCATTTCCTGGATCACAGGTAGTATCTTCTTGCTGTGGAAGGGGAAAGGCAGCCTTCTGGGGCCTCTTTTATAAGGTCACTAATCCCATTCATGAGGGCTTCACTGTCATGCCTAATCACATCCCAAAGGTGCCACTTCTCAATACTATTACATCGGGGGTTAGGATTCAACATACACATTCTAGGGGGAACACAAGCATTTATCTCATAGCAAACAACCAAGTCACCACTGATTTTGCCCCTTTGACAACTGAGTCAGTGTGTGTTGGGTGGAGGGCCAGCGTTTCTTAGGGAAAGAGGAACCCTGATAGGGAAACATGCCATCTCTTGTGAGCACACTGGACAAGTTTCCCAGGGCTGCCTTAATAAAGTATCACAAACTTGGCTTAAAACAACAGAAATGTATTATCTCCCAGTTCTTGAGGCCAGAAGTTCATAATCAAGGTGTCAGTAGAGTTGTGTTTCCTCCCAAGGCCCTAGAGGAGAATTCTTCCTTGTCTCTTCCAGCTTCTGGTGGCTCCAAGTATCCTTGGCTTGTGGCTACCTCACTTCAATCTCTACCTCCATGTTCACATGGCTTTCTCCTCTCTATCTTCTCTTCTGTCTCTTATAAGGACATTTGTCACTGGATTTAGGGCCAACCTATTAATCTAGGATGATCTTACCTCAAGATCCTTAACTTTTTCCAAATAAGGTCACATCTGCAGGTACTGGGGGTTAGGACTTGGATGTATCTTTGTGGCAGCCACCATTCAACCCATTACATACCAGTGGAGTCAGGACTTCAGACACTCACATTATATGTCCTAACTGTTGGTTCAAAAACTATGCTCATTATAGTTGCAGGAGAAGTGAAAATTCCCTGAGACACTGTACCCTTGTTACATATGGTGGTAATTGCCCTGATTTTTATCTTCTTTTAACATGTAGCATTTTACACCAGACCCAGGGAAATTTGCTGGAGAGGTTGTGCTTCGTTTTGAACTGTAGATGAGCATTTTGTTTCCTTGTTGGTTGGCTGATTGGTTAGGACGTATTTGGGAGAATGCCATGGGTTGGGAG
Organism: Homo sapiens; assembly: GCF_000001405.40. Lineage (NCBI taxonomy): Eukaryota > Metazoa > Chordata > Mammalia > Primates > Hominidae > Homo > Homo sapiens. Next base: position 35,968,894 of record NC_000013.11, on the reverse strand, counting down.
GTCGGTACAGTCCTGAGAAAAACTCTTTCTTCAGTTTGTGCTCAAAGGCCATTGTTTGTAGAAATGTCCTCTATGCTGGGACTGGGTAAGGTTTTTTCTTCTTGTTTTGTTCTTTCATTTTTTTTTTCTCTTAGAAAGTAAGCCTGAGAATCTATGATCTGCTGAGAGAATTACTTGTAAATCAGAAACTTGGTGTGTCAGTACCCAATCTCGCAGCCCTCCTTTGTGAGAGAATAATTGCAGCTGCCCCTTGTAATTGAATTTCAGAGAAATTCCAATAGATCAACAGTCAGGTGGGCTATAATATAATGCTATTGTTGTATTGTCAGTGTGCAAGCTGTTAGTGCTAATTTGACTTTCTGCCGTAGACTTGTAGACAGTAGTAATTGCAAGTAGGAGCAACTTCATCTGATGTTCAGGAAAAGGAAGCTAAGGGGAATTCTGCTGGAGGAAGTGTCAGATGAAGGTGCTCTGTAGAGAGCCCAAAGCCCAAACAGGTGACCCTCACTGGTCACCGCTGTTGCTCATGCTGTGTTGAGTTTTGCGGCATTAAGTATGTCCACAATGTTGTGCAACCACCACCATCATCCATCTCCAGAACTTTTTCATCTTCTTCAACTGAAGCTGCAGACTCATTAAACACTATCTCTCTATTCCTCCTCACTCCAGCCCCTGGCAACCGTAATTCCACCTCTTGTCTCTATGAATTTCACTATTCTAGGTACCTCATATAAGTGAAATCATACAATATTTGTCTTTTGTGATGGACTCATTTCACTTAGCATAATGACCTCAGGATTCATCCATCTTGTAGCATGTGTCAGAATTTTCATTCATTTTTTTTTTTAAATTTTATTTTTACTTTATTTATTTTTGAGACGGAGTCTTGCTCTGTCATCCAGGCTGGAATGCAGTGGCGTGATCCTGGTCACTGCAGCCTCCGTCTCCCAGATTCAAGTGATTCTCCTGCCTCAGCCTCCTGAGTAGCTGGGACCACAGCAATGTACCACCGCCCAGCTAACTTTTGTATTTTTATTTTTTACTTTTTTTTTTAAATTTTTTTTAGTATTTATTGATCATTCTTGGATGTTTCTCGGAGAGGGGGATTTGGCAGGGTCATAGGACAATAATGGAGGGAAGGTCAGCAGATAAACATGTGAACAAAGGTCTCTGGTTTTTCCTAGGCAGAGGGCCCTGCCGCCTTCCGCAGTGTTTGTGTCCCTGGGTACTTGAGATTAGGGAGTGGTGATGACTCTTAACGAGTATGCTGCCTTCAAGCATCTGTTTAACAAAGCACATCTTGCACCACCCTTAATCCATTTAACCCTTAGTGGACACAGCACATGTTTCAGAGAGCACGGGGTTGAGGGTAAGGTTATAGATTAACAGCATCCCAAGGCAGAAGAATTTTTCTTAGTACAGAACAAAATGGAGTCTCCTATGTCTACTTCTTTCTACACAGACACAGTAACAATCTGATCTCTCTTTCTTTTCCCCACATTTCCCCCTTTTCTATTTGACAAAACCGCCATCGTCATCATGGCCTGTTCTCAATGAGCTGTTGGGTACACCTCCCAGATGGGGTGGCGGCCGGGCAGAGGGGCTCCTCACTTCCCAGACGGGGCGGCCGGGCAGAGGCGCCCCCAACCTCCCAGACGGGGCGGCGGCCGGGCAGAGGGGCTCCTCAGTTCTCAGACGGGGCCGCCAGTCAGAGACGCTCCTCACCTCCCAGTCGGGGTGGCGGCCGGGCAGAGGCGCTCTTCACATCTCAGATGGGGCGGCGAGGCAGAGGTGCTCCCCACATCCCAGACGATGGGCGGCCGGGCAGAGACGCTCCTCACTTCCTAGACGGGATGACGGCCAGGAAGAGGCGCTCCTCACTTCCCAGACTGGGCAGCCGGGCAGAAGGGCTCCTCACATCCCAGACGATGGGCGGCCAGGCAGAGACGCTCCTCACTTCCTAGACGGGGTGGCGGCCGGGCAGAGGCTGCAATCTCGGCACTTTGGGAGGCCAAGGCAGGCGGCTGGGAGGTGGAGGTGGTAGCGAGCGGAGATCACGCCACTGCACTCCAGCCTGGGCAACATTGAGCGCTGAGTGAGCGAGACTCCGTCTGCAATCCCGGCACCTCAGGAGGCCGAGGCTGGCAGATCACTCGCGGTCAGGAGCTGGAGACCAGCCCGGCCAACATGGCGAAACCCCGTCTCCACCAAAAAATACGAAAACCAGTCAGGCGTGGCGGTGCGCGCCTGCAATCCCAGGCACTCGGCAGGCTGAGGCAGGAGAATCAGGCAGGGAGGTTGCAGTGAGTCGAGATGGCGGCAGTACAGTCCAGCCTCCGCTCAGCATCAGAGGGAGACCGTGCAAAGAGGGAGAGGGAGAGGGGGAGGGGGAGGGGGAGGGGGAGAGGGAGAGGGAGAGGCCAGAATTTTCATTCTTTTTAAGGCTGAATAATCTCTTTTATGGTTATGTCATATTTTGTTTATCCATTCATCCATCAATGAATATTTGGATTGTTTCTACTTTTTAGCTATTGTATGTAGTGCTACTATTAACATGGGTGCAGAAATATCTATTCAAGATATTGCTTTCAGTTCTTTTGGGCATATACCCAGAAGTGGAATTGCTGGATTGTATGGGAATTCCACACTTAATTTTTTGTGAGAAATCAGCATGCTGTTTTCCACAGTGGCTGCATCATTTTTTATTCCCACAAGAATTTCACAAGAGTTCCAGTTTCCCCACATCCTTGCCAACGCTTGTTATTTTCCATTTTCTGTTTATTTGTTAATAATGGCCACCCTAATGGGTGGCAACCCATTTCCATTTTCAAATGAATTGTATTTTCAAAAAAGTTTTTTCATGTTTCTTGTTTCATGTGTTTGTTTTGTTTGTCTCTTTACCTTGAGCTTTCTGTTTTTCCTCAGCATTTCCTGATCTCCTGACATCTTGTTTCAAATGTCTAGGAACTCTCCCTGTGGCCCTCCTCTCTTTGGAATGAGAAGTTCAGATCCCTTACAGTCTCTTATTGTTCTTGTTTTTATTTGTATATGGCTCTGAACAGTATTTCTAAGATTGGGCACAGCACAAAACAAAACGGCTGAGAGAGAGAGAGAGAGTGAGAGAATACAAGTGCTCTACTCCACCCCTAAGAGTGGAAGGGGTCTGGATGCAGAGGGATTAAGCATAGTTGATTCTCAGTGGCTTCCAGTCAGTCTTCCTAAAAGAGGAGAGGAGCAATGTGGTTTCTTAACCATTCTTTAGCTGCTTTCTAATGATCTTTTCTTTGTGGGAGGACATTTCAAGGTTTCCCTGAGCAAGAATTTTCTCTTTCTGTCCTTTGCACAGCAACTGGTAAACTGAGATCCTTAAAAAAGTAAATATTTTTAAATGTGGAAACATCGCTTACAACCAAGTGAATAACATCTGGCTAACAAAGAGCATGGCACTATCAGATGGAATTAGGGCACATGCACGCAGTACAAAAGCTCCAGATGCTCGTGTTAATTCAGTTAAATTCGAGTCAAAGAATCAGTGGAGCCGGTCCTTTGGACTGACTGGTCCTATAAATACAAATGGCCAACGCATGCCCAGCCTGGCTCATTGATCAAACAGAGTAGAGATTTATTGACATATACAGGAATATTCTTTTTCTACTGAAAGATGGCTATGTGTGTTGTACTTATTTCTAAAATTATTGGCATCATGAATGACACATTCATGAGGTACCTGCCCAGTGTTCAGAAGACTGTTAGGTAGAGAAGGAGTAAAGAACTGCACTGGTGATCTCAGAACAGTGTCTTCTAGGGCATGATGTAAAGGAACTTGCAGATTTCATGTTAGAGCAACTTAAGTTATGGCTTAAGTCAGCGGTCAGCAAACGTTTTCTGAAAAGGGTCAGAGAGTAAATATTTTAGGCTTTGTGAACCATATGATCTCTGTTGCAACTACTCAACTCTGTCTTTGTATCTGGAAAGCTGCCATAGACGTTATGTAAACAAGCGAGCATGGCTGTGTTCCTAAGACTTTATTCATGGGCACTGAAATTTGAATTTCCTACCATTTTTACCTGACACAAAATGTGATTCTTCGCTTGAGTTTTTTTTTTTTTTTTTCCAACCATTTTAAAATGTAAAAACCATTCTTAGCTCAAGGGCTGTACAAAAAGATTTGGCCCATAGATTTCAATTTACGGAACCCGTGGAAGTCATAGCTTCCAAGAATGTTTCTTTTTGATGCTCAGATTTTTGTATGTGTAGGAAAACTTGGATGCAAGCAAAATAAAAAGTATGTTCTAGCAAATGGTTTACAAAGATTTGAATTTATGAGATGAAAACAAATATTTCCGGCCACATGCCTCAGTGTAATTAGGTTTGCTGATTTAATGTCTTCCTGAAGGCAGAATTTTAGGTAGCAAAGTGAGCCTGCCAAGTAGGAAAGGAAGACGGAAGTTTAAAAACTCTAGCACTGCCTATGAAATCTTAAATCCTGCATTCATGCAATTTGCATGTTCATTTCCTCTTTTACAAAATGCTCCTGGAATTCTTATGGTTTCATTGTTAGTGAAAATTGTTTCTTTTTTTCCCCTTCACAATCCTATATTACAAATTCTCCAAACCTGGCACTTCACGGCATATTCCTTTTGAATGTCTTTAATTCTGCAATTTTATACACCCCCTTATCTTACAAATTTAATTAGTTTCCAGAAGTTCTGCAGAGAAAATGGGCCATAATAATTCTTGATTATTGCCACTTATCTTCTTATAATTTGATACAAGAGGATTTTATTGCATTTTTAAAGTAGTTTTAATCTGAAAAAGATAGTCCTCTCCAAGTTTAACTTCATGCAGTAGTAATAATTTAACTACTATTTCCTGGTTCTAGAAGTATTTTTCTATCTAAAAAGAAATTGCTTTTCTCAAATTATTGTACTACCATTGTATTAGTCTGTTTTCACACTGCTGTAAAGACATACTCAAAATTGGGTAATTTATAAAGAGGTTTAGTTGACTCAGAGTTCTGCATTGCTGGGGAGGCCTCAGGAAACTTACAATTGTGGCAGAAGGGAAAGAGGCATGTCTTACATGGCTGCAGATTAGAGAGAAATGTGTGAGAATGCAGGAAAAACTACCATCTATAAAACCATCAGATCTCATGAGAATTCACTCACTATCACGAGAACAGCATGGGGGAAACCACCCCCATAATCCAATCATTTCCCACAAGGTCTTTCCTAAACACCTGAAGATTACCATTCAAGATGAGATTTGGGTGGGGATACAAAGTCTAACCATGTTATCCGTGATAATAATTTAACTACTTCGTGGTTCTGGAAACACCTAGAACATTGAAGTTCTGAGTTATCATTGACCAGAACAATGCCAGAAAAATTTCATACCCTTTAACCTCTCAGCATAAGCCAATTCTTGATAATCCCGGTCTTCACATTCACAAAATATGGCCAAGCAAAGCTTCCTATTATGTCTCCTACCCTACCAAAACATTCAATAAGAGTGTCTAGTAAATTGTAGAATTAAAATATTTCCATTGTTCCCCACTATACTACCTGTACAAGCTCCTGATGCATTTGGTTTTTAGTGTCTCAAGCGTAGTAGGCTCATAAGAAAATTCACCTCCCCAGTTCACCCTTTGCAGGTTTCCTTTGTAAGTCATGAAACAAAAGAGCTAGAAGAGACATTGTTCATTTAGTATAATTTATCATTTTAAAGAAGACAAAACCGGCACTCAGAGATGCTAGGCTCACACTGTGAGTGATTTACAGAGTCAAGATGAGGAGAATCCAGTTCTGCTGATTCGCTGCAGTGCAAGGTCCTGCCCATGATTCACTTGTTCTTGGGGCATTGTCGTGATTCCTTGTTTCTATCTTAGAAGTCAAGGAGGTGTCCTATAAAAGCTTTCCTATTCTTAGTTCACTCTTCTGAATATATAATGTAAACAACTAACAATGAACAAAGCAGAAAAGACAAAGAGAACATAAGAGAGTCCAGGTAATCCAGGGTCTGTACAAACAACTCTTTCATACAATCAGGAACTGGTCATGGTGGCATAAGTAATAACTGGCATAAATGTAAAATGAATAAAGACCATATGTTTGCCCTTCTTCATGTTGGCAGAACATATGTATGTTACCAGAATTTCCTATGCTTTAGAGTTTTCCTCTAAAACCCTCTGAAACTTAACTAAGCTCAATGGAAAAATGAAGCCTTTTAACAGTTGTTTTGTAAGAAAATTTTTATTTCTGTATATTTCTGTGTGCATGAAAAAACCACACCTGTATTAATTTGTTAAAACTTCTGTAATAAATAACCATGATCTGAGTGGCTTCAACACAAAAATGTATTGTTTCACATTTCTGAGGACTGGAGGTCCAAGATAAAGGTATCAGCAGGGTTGGTTTCTTCTGAAAGCTGTTAGGGAGAATCATTCCCAGGCCTCTCCCCTAGCTTCTGGTGTTTGCTGGCAATCTTTGGTGTTCCGTGGCTTACGGAAGCATCTTCCAACCTCTGCCTTTATATTCACGTGCCATTCTTCCTGTGTCTTTGTCCAAGTGTCCTTTTCTTATAAGGCCACCAGTCATATTGATTTAGGGGCCTGCTCAACTCCAGGATGACCTCATCTTAACTAATTACATCTGCAATGACCCTATTTCCAAACAAGGTCATATCCTGAGGTACTGGGAATTGAAACTTTGACCTATAAGTTTTGGGGGGCACAGTTCAACCCACAGCAACACCCTTCACTGAGATATTGCAAAAAATAAGATAACTATTTTGTTCGCTGTAGAGTTTCATATAGACACTTCTTGAGCTGAAAAATTTTTGTTAACAGTACATGTGTTTGGACACTGAAGGGCAGTATAACACTACAAATAATTTCAAAAAGAAGTTTATGGCTTGATTGCTTCAGAAATTACATTGTTATGGTGATTTTGTTTAAATGCATCAATAACTATGGCTATCATGTATGACGATTTTAACCTTATTTATGTCTGATTACACTTAATATTAAAGTCAGACTTAAAACTTGTGGATAACACGTTGAAATTTGTCTAAATCAGAAACAAGGAGAGAACTTTAATTTTGAGATTTGCGTTGAATAACTATGCCTTTTTTGTGGTTTTAAACCTTTAAATTGCTGTTGATTGTGGTAGTTCATGCTTAGATCTCATTTCCTTTAGCATCAAGGAAGTTATGATTGGCGTGGACAAATGTTTCAGCCTTGAGGGAATTTTCAATCATCTACTTGTCAGGTACTTGAAAAGAATATTATTTCAGGGGATGCAAGGGGAAAGTTCATCTTAATTTAGTTATTGCACTGTATTCTTCACATGTAAAAGAAAAATGGATAATATACAGAAGGAAAGAAAATACAATTTTCATGCACTTTGGTCAATGTTGATTGCAGTTTGAATGCCTTATGGTTGTCTGAATCTAACAGCTGTTAGACCAGAATAATTTTCAATGTAAAACCAGTACAAGGAAAGGACAAACTGGAAACCACTGATTTATTTTGCTCTCTCTTCCATGGTAGTTGACTCTGAGAGTAATCTTGGAAGTTTATGTTTCACCAACATTAACTTAAGGGCTATACTGCTATTATTTGCTTTTCTCTGAACACTTGCATTGGGCCTGACATGTCCATGCATTATCTCATCAAATTCTTTCAATCATCCTGGGAGGTAGATGCAATATTATCCTCCTTCTCTCTGTGAAGGAATGTGTTGAGTAGGTGACTCAAGTCTCCCATTCATGGAATTGAGTTTTAAACTTAAGTTTCTCTGACTCCAGAGCCTATACTCAAAACCTCTATTATATGCTGTTCTATATTGCTGCATTGTTTAAAGTGAATTGGAATAGAAAAATATGTAAACATGAGCACGTTCTCATCCAAACAACAAAAGCATCTTCCTGTGCTAGGTAGATGTTCTGTACATAAATGGACTGGACCACTAGGGACATTCAGAGCCAATCATGACATCGTAAGAGAAGGCCATCAGTAATATGAGACAAGTTTGTAGAAGAAAAAAAGAATCATGTCAACTCATTCCTGATTTGTGAGAAACCCAATAAATAAAAATCAACCATTAGAAATTATTTGTGGAAAGCTCTGATTTTTTTTTGGCCAGGCATGGTGGCTTATGCCTGTAATCCCAGCACTTTGAGAGGCTGAGGCAGGAGGACTGGCTTGAGTCTAGGGGTTCAAGACCAGCCTGGGCAACATAGTGAGACCCCATGTCTACAAATTTTAAAAATTAGCCAGCTGTAGTGGTGAATGCCTGTAGTCCCAGCTCCTGGGGAGGCTGAGGCAGAGGATCACTTGAGCCCAGGAGGTTGAGGCAGTCCAGCCTGGGCAACAGAGACCCCATCTTTAAAATAAAGTAAACAAACAAATGAATAAATAAAACAATAAATAATCTGATTTTTATCCTTTCACTCTGATGTCCTAAACCCCTTTTCCCCAGATTGCTGAGTTTTATTTACTCTGCTTCCTTCCAACTAAAGCTAACATTTCTAATAGTTTTAAATGGCCCTGGTGGTTTTTTAACATTTGGGCAGAGAAGATGTGGCCAGAAGGAAAATTACTGCACATGGTGGATTTTTATTTTTAGAGAGAGAGTATTCATTTTTAAGGTGAAGTTGGTAGCTTTTGAAACCATGATTTGCCCTTGCAGCCAGAGGATGGATTAAGGGGGGAGAAAGGGAAGTAGAAGGAGCTTCTTGGCTTTATTGGAGGGGTTTAGTTTTACCTCTGCTGAGCTGGTAACATTTGCTCTGAAATTTCCTGTTATAGATTCTCCACTTTTTTTCTCTCCTCCTCTCTCCAGGAAAAGGAAAGGGATAGTCATGATGATCAAGCATTGGGGAAGAGAGGAAGGACACAGAAAACAATCTGTTGACTAACACAACCCTTTCCCAGGACAGGAATGTAAGCACATGTAGATGCACTCATGTACATGTGCACATAAACATGCACACACAGGTGCACACACACACACACACACACACACACACACACACACACGACTTGCTGTATTGGTTTTTTCATGAGCTCTAATTTCTAGGAGTGGTGGGTCTTGATTGTGCCCTACCCTGCCTTTGGAAATTACAGGAGCTGAAGTGTCCGGAAGCTGGTAGTCTCCCCTGAGATCATAGAAACAGCCAAGAGTACTGGCTCTGCACATGTTAACCATGGCTGCTGGAATTCTCCCCTGGAGACTACAAACTGCCTGCCCACGGGTTGAATCCAGGACATGGACATGTCTCATTTGGAATACACAATGTTTTTTATAAAACACGATTTTATCACCAACTTTTTAAAAATCAGGGGCTTTCAAATGAAAATCTGATTTCACTCTCTCACAGAAAATTAATCAATCTGGCCTACTTTCCTGCATGACAAGTGTTGAGCTGCCCCATTTATAGGTGGGGGGGTGTTCCAGGTCAGTGCAGTCCCCATCAATTTCCTACTGTCTGCCTGTGTTAATGGCCAGTGATCGCCCTGTTTGCATGGTGTTTTATTATGCCTGGCCCACTTCACTGTGTATGTTACCTGCCAGGTCTCTGTAGGTGTTTGAAGTCATGATGCTTTATGCCTTAGTTCATGCTTTGTGGGGAGATGGAAACCAGCCCCATGTTACTCACTCAACTCTAGATTTAAATAGAAAAGAATTAATTGTAGATGCTCTAATATACATAGTATACAATGAAGACAAAGAGGAAATATTGACCTAAGGTGTTTTCATCACCATATATAATTTTTAAGAGGCCATTAAGAATCAAGTTTGTATTCGTAGTTGTGTACCCACATCAGAATTTATTTGTAAAAACGTAATGTCTTGAAACCAAGCTTTCATTTTGAACTGTACTTTTTTTTATCTTACTATTGCCATCTCTCTCAACCTTTTATTAGCTGTGTTTAGATCTTAATACAATTATGCAAAAACAGTATTATTATTCAAACAATTCCAGAGAATGTTTCCATTTATAATTTTAAGAGCTCACTTGCTCTCAAATATATTTTTGGAAGAACAAGCATCTTTCTCCAATATTTTGGAAGCCATGTAAATGTCTTTAGTAGCTGCATTTAAGTATGGGTGAAAAAAGTAAATTTATTCCTAAAATAATTTTAGAATTCTAGGTTGCATTTGTACTGAATATCACTGTGTTTTGTGAGCAAAACACAGACTAATATGCTGCACAGAACACTCAAGAGACAAAAGGCTCTGTCCTCAGCTCATTTAGAACAAAATCCAAAGTTTTGTAAGGGCTCCCCTTATGGAGATAGTGGTGTTGATGGAAATGATGGTGATAATGGTAGTAATGGTGGTGGTGGTGGTATTGGTAGTTATACTGCTGTTGGTGGTACAGTAGTGGTGATGGTGGTGGTAGTGGTGGTGATGGTTATAGTGGTGGTGATAGTGGTTATAGTGGTGATGGTGTTGTTATAGTGATGATGGTGGTGGTGATGGTTATAGTAGTGGTGCTGGTGGTAGTGGTGGTTATAGTGGTGACGGCAGTGATAGTCATAGTAGTGGTGGTGATTGTTATAATGGTGGTGGTGGTAGTGGTGTTTATTATAGTGGTTATAGTGGCAGTGATGGTGGTAATGGTTATAGTAGTGGTAGTGGTGGTGGTGATGATGGTGGTTATAGTGGTGGTGGTGATGGTTATAATGGTGGTGGTGGTAGTGGTGGTTATAGTGGTGATGGTGGTGATGGTTATAGTGGTGGTGGTGGTGGTTATAGTAGTGGTAGTGGTGGTGGTGATGGTGGTTATAGCGGTGGTGATGGTTATAGTAGTGGTGGTGGTGCTAGTGGTTATAGTGGTGATGGTGGTGGTGGTGGTAGTTGTGGTGTGTGATGGTGATGGTGATAATGGTGGTGGTGGTGGTGGTTATAGCAGTGATGGTGGTAATGGTTGTAGTAGTGGTAGTAGTGGTAGTGGTGATGGTTATAGCAGTGGTGGTGGTGACGCTAATAATCATTTTGGAAATGTCAGCTTTGTGGGATTGTTGTTGTTTGAAAAACATCATTTACTTAAGAAGACTAATTTGCACTGTATAAAAAATGCCTTTTAATCTCAAGTTATATATGCAGAGAAGTAGATTCAAACAAGAAATAAAAATATTTAAAGCAACAGACTCAATACTTTAACGTTAAGTGACCTTTACAAATGTTCCTGGCAAAAGCATACTTCCATGGCTTTGGGAATATTATTTTACACAATCTCAGGCAGCAAGCCAGTGCACAAGAACATACCAGGCAAAGTGATTTATCTTTATGTTTTTAGCTCTCAAATATATGCCAATACTTTTGATACTTATAATTTTCTTGCAAAACTTTTTAATAATCTGATTTTACCAAAGAGTCCTTGTGAGAAATTGATGTAACATCATGTGTCAAGTCTCTCTTAGGGCCTCACACATCATAGGTCTCAGCACTCATCCCAGGCTCCTTCTAAAAAACATCAAGAGGGAAAGTCATAGCACCAGAATGCATTTGTGTGCATGTTGAGTAAGAGTCAACAAAATTATAAGAGAACAATGAGTTGCTTTAAACACATTTTTAAATCCTGACTCTATCTGAGGATGTTGCCTGACACAGATTTTATGGGTTGGGTTTGGTTCTCTGGGTTTGAAGCCTGACTTTTGTAACTTTATCTGCATGCCAAGATTCCTGTAAAGCACCTTACACTAGCTGATTAGTGACTCTTTCCCTTTGCTCCAAGTTTATTTTGCCCCAAACCTATTCTATTAATGGTGTTTTGTAGGCTTATAAACACTTAGTAGGAGAATCTCAGAGCATCATTTCTTTGTTCTTCATCTTGACTTTTCAAAATAGTGACCACCCTAACAAAGAACATACAATAAACTGATACAAGAATAAACATTTGAAAATCTTTTTTGAAGGTATAGTTATTTGCAAAGTTTTATATGAATGCTTTTGAATGGACTGAATCCAGGCCAGAGGAGCATTTTGTATGGGTTTACGTAGTACCACAGATTTTATTTTTTAATTGGAAATGTTAAATTTACAACAATTCTTCCTATTAAAATTTTTTAGAGAAAGTAATGTGGGAGCAGAGTGCCTGATGCTGCTTGCTTTGGACAGGGCATTTATGATCCAGTTTGCCACTGATGATGTTTTTTTTGTTTTGTTTTGTTTTTCCCCAGCCTTCGCTCATCCATATTCCCTACCTATCCCTGGTTGGTCCTGTGTTTATGACTCCTGCTATGAACACCTCTTGGCATTGGTGATGAGAACTTGAAGTGTTTCTCAGAATGACTTGAAGATAGCGTTATGTCCAATATCACTCCCCAGGCATTAAGCAGAGAACCAGCCATATGTTCAGTGCCACATTTTACCCCTTAAGGATCTCCAAAATATTCTGTATTATGTGGCTTCATGTTTCTCTTCATAGTTTTATTTCTTCTTTTTCCAATTATCACAGTAAGATGTTTCTGCCTAATTAGAAACCATGCCACAATGTTAACTACCTACTTGCATGAATCTTTTGTGCAATAGAATATAAGTTTGCCTCTCAGCAATAGAATATAAGTTTGATCTTTTCCTATCCCTGAAAATAATGAGTTCAATCAGATGGCTCAGATAAGCCAATTTCCTGGGCTTGGTCACCCTTAATCTTGAACACTCATCTTAAGGTAATTGATTTAGGTTAGCTTCTGGGTTCAGACCAGAGTTTATTTGTATCCTCTCCAGAGAAACTACTGTGTCACAGTTTTTATTTTCTTGGACTATCCTTTAATTCCTTAAGTGAAAGAGGGGCAAGTAGGTGAGCTATTCTAAAAAGGAGGTAGACAACAGTAAAGGATGTCTTAATGAGAGAAACCAGAGGAATAGGACTGATGTGGTATTAACTTGGCAAAAGACCAGGATTGGAAACCTTCTAAGTAAACTCTATTCTTCATACCTCTCTTTCCCAGATATTTAAGTTTAGTATTCTATTCTTAAATAATAGCCCCAAATCACTCAGACAGATGGTCACTCAGAGACCTACCTACTATGCCTTACTAGTATCAGCACTGACAGCAGTAGCTGCTCATCCCTGGTGTTCTCTGTAAGCCAGGCATGGAACTGATTACTCTACATACATTATCTCATCGAACCTGCATGAAACCCTACAGGGTAAGCATTGGTAGGTCCATTTTACATATGAGGAAACTGAGGCTTGAAGATGTTAAATAGTTGTCCAAAGTCACACATCTATTAGGTGGCCAAGCCAAGGCACCTGGTCAATATTTGTTACTAGGGTGTCATTTTACACTTTGCTCTAGTCTGAACGTTTGTATCCCCCCAAATTCCTATGTTGACATCCTAACCTCCAAGGCGATAGTATTAGGAGGCGGGCCTTTGGGAGGTGATTAGGCCATTAGGTTACAAGGGCATCATCCTCATGAATAGAATCAGGGCTATTATTAGAGGCCCCAGAGAGGTCCCTTGTCCCTTCTACCTCGTGAGGCTAAAGTGAGAAAGCAGGCCCTCACCAGACACCAGATCATCTGGTGCCTCGATCTTGAACTTCCAGCCTCCGGGCTGTGAGACACAAATGCCTGCTGTTTACAAGCCACCCAGTCTAGGATATTTTTGTTATAGCAGCCTGAATGGACTAAGAGACACATTTTTAAAAAGAGAATGAAATGTTAGCATTAAAAAAAAAACAGGATAGATAATAAAGGATGAATCATTTAGAATAGGTTGCAGTCTGCTTAGGTGTGTCTGAGTCCATGAAAGATGGTGATCCATGCATAAAGGGTGCATTCCTGGGTCAGAGGGTATGTTCAACAGAAGGCTGCAATAGCTGATGTCCATGTCAACTACAGCAGCTGAGAACACATCCAAGGAAGGAATACACTTTCAATTCCATAATTGACTTTTTCTGATTGACCCAGCGAATCAAATTGCTACCATTTCAAAGGAGAACTTTTCCTTTTTCTATTTCTTTAAGCATCAGCCTGTTAGTTTGAGTGTTATCTCCTAGCCTATTCTGAATTTCAACAGTATTATCCATTTTTTTTAAAAAAAAGTCTTAGAGCTTCATGTTTTAAACTTGTAAAGAGTACTTTGAGGATCTTTATTTTCTTCTTTCTGTTAATTATTATTATTTAACTAATTTATTTTTTATTCACATATTTTCCTCTGGCCAAGATCCAGAGATTCTTTAAAGAATTTTTTATTAGAAGCTTCTAGCCATAAGAACTAGAGTAAAATAAATTATCACTTTCATAAATTTATCATCAAAGAATGAAAACAAAAATGTAAAGAAGGGATGGAGAATGTGTTTTATGACAATAACGTAACACGCTTCTAATATTTGGCTATAAAACTGATTGTAAACATATTTTAGAACCAGAAACATATGGAATTACATGATTATAGGACAGAAAAATTCACAGTGGTTGACTTATAATATCATGTGGCATAAAAATGTTCATTGCTAAGAATGGAGAGAAGAAGCCAAGTATGGAATGAAATTGGAAGAGGAACCTCCTCTCAATTTAGTTTTGGCAGGACGAGGAGCCCCATATGTGCCAAGTTTTAACTGAAAGCTAATTATAATGGTCACATTACGAATTGTGCAGAAAGAGGAAGGTTGTTGACTTGGCACCTTAGATACATAGGTAACTAGATTTTTTTTTAAAAAAAAAGCAGTGTAAGCATTCCTTTTTGGTAAAGAGCATCTCATTAAACTGTTAGCTACAGAACGTTTAAGCCTGCCATCTTTAACTGGTATTAAGAAGTTTAAGAAATTACAAATGAAGTATTTTAAAGAAAAAGAAAGTTAAAACAGAAATAATGTGCCATACTCGATAATTGCAATAGATGGAATGAATTTATTCGTTTTTACTTCTGTGATGGTTTATTCTCTTGCTTAAAATATATTATTTAAATGGATGACAGCAAAATATTTTGGTGTCTCTGATACAATGGAAAACACCTGATAAAGACACAATGACTTCTGTGGCTTCAAATGCATCCAGGGCTGCAGAGATATCCCCTGTTTCGTTTGAAGAGGGCGCTCTTGTAAAGAAAATATCCTTGCCTAGGCCCTGCTGAGAAACTGGCCCAGCTCCCTGAAGTCAGCGTCACCATGGAGATCTTATTCCAGTGAGGGGGAATGGATTCCACGGTCCTGCTTTGGAAATGTGTAAACAGCAGATGCTTTTATTGCCTTTGTTTGAATCTCTGCCCTTGCAGAGCAACACAGGCCGGAAGCTCAGAGGAGAGGAAGTCCATATTTGTCTGTAGCGTTTTGTTTCCTCGTAAGCAGCTTAGTCTCTTGGGACGACTGTGCGTAATGACAAGTTAATGGAAAAGATATGAATTCAGATTTCACATAAAGAGAGTCAGAAAAAGGAATATGTCTTCCTTGAGCCAAAGGAATAATTCGAACTTCCTTCTTTTAAAAAGGGGGGTTTATTAGACACCGTTTTTATTATATACTATTAATATACAATATATGTGGTAACTATTGATCATAATGATTTTATCAGCTGAAATTTATAATATGCAAATGTGAGGGTGCATGATAGACTCATTTTCCTACAGCTTGGTAGTTAACAGCCTGCATTTGGGTTCTAAGTGACCTCCGTTCAAATTCCTACTGATTTTCTGTTTAACCTGGCTGGATTTTTCATCTGTAAAATGGGGATACTAATACCAATAAATTATTGTCAAATAGAGTTTGTCTCTTTCAGAGTTGAAAGGATTCAGTGTTATCATGTATATTGAAGATGAAATGTAGTAATGTATACAGAACTATTCCTGTTGGTACATCACACCAAAAAGAGTATTTTCATATTTATTTTATCTTTATCATATAATTACTGTGATAAAGCATATTAGAACCAATGCAGTAACTGATAAGCAAGAGAATTTAAGTCACTCATCCAAGTTCATGCAACAGTTATAGGCCAATATGGGCTCAGAACCCAGGTATCCTGACCCTCGTTCAAGGACTTTTCCCAGCACATCTGGCAATTATAATCACCCATGTTTTTTGAGGTATTGTGGGTATGGCATAATGCTAAGCACCATCACATAGAGTCTCATGCAATAAATGGACTGTTTTTCATTGGAGTTAAAAAAAATTCAACATTGGAGTTAGATTTCCGTATAATAACCAAAGCACTAAGTAAAAACTGAAAATTAGTCAACAGAATATTAAGTGTCATGTACTATAAACAGATTACCTGGCTTATGAATTGCATATATTACACATACAGTATCTTTTGCAGTGGAGATATTTCAACAGAGAGCAGTTTTCTCAGAGGAATAAAAATCTCTGGTTGTCACGAAACTAGAAGTTGGTGACAGATCTCAAGAGGCCCTGAGTTAAGACAGTGGTCCTTAGCACATTTGTTATATCAGGTGAATATGCTTACAAATGACTTTTCGCAGCATCATTCTGTGGAAGCCTAATGGAAGTCAGTGGTATAAACCGTGTCCCACCTTTGTGTTAGCAGCTTCTACCAGCTTTCCACCCATTCTCTGATGCTAATTCAAAGTGTGTCTTTCTTTCATCAAAGTAATGATACTGATAGAATCCTTATTCCCAAAGCAAGAATAGGCACGCGTTTGCTACATTTTCTTCAAATCAACTTAGAAAAGAAGCATGTTGGTATAAAACTTAGGAGGTACATACTGTGTGTTTGCTTTTTTAAACATTTTTTCCATTTATATTACGTATGCACTCGATTTATACTTATTTAGAAGTAAAAATACATTTGGGCTAATAAAAAAAGCTAAACTTTATTGAGGACTTATTCTCTTTGGATTCATCGTCTTAACTCATCTTGAAACAACTGATATGATAAACCGAGACACAAAGAGATTAACATCCAAGTGGAAGTGCTGGGTTAACTCAGAAGCTGGGCTCTGTTGATAGTGCTGTGCTCTTAGGGAACAGCTTAAGCAGACATCTCCATGGTGCCAAAAGAAATGGCACCTAACGCGAGACACTGCCTTTGCTCTGACTGAAGCTAGGATCTACAGAAACAGGACTCATTTCAAGATAGCTGATGGAGGTTTCCTGATTTGCGCAAGTCAGTGATGGTGGCAGAGCAAGAGCTGGAGTGATATCACCTGTCTCCAGCTTTTGACAAAACCACTAGAAGGTAATGTAAGTCACTCTCGGCTGAATTACTGATTTGCAACAGGAATTATTTGGATCATAAGTCTGTAAACATATACTAGAAAAGAAGAGGTGATGGATAAGGGCAGCCATATTCTCAAGACCTAGCCCAGTGACTGGCAAATAATGGGCACTCAGTAAACACGTATTGATCAATGGGTAGAGGTTCAGAGCAGGGATGAGTCACTTTGGATTAGAGTGGATAGAGAAGGTAGGGCTTGAATCTGCAACTGAGCAATAGGCTATAGGAGGGATTCGAACAGGCAAAGAGTAAGAAAGGATACTAGATAGAAAAAACAAACACATAGGAAAGAACAAGCCCTTTTTCAAGAAAAACAGGTAAAGCAGATAAATTGAAACATTTTTCAGGTTAGGACATAGTTCTTCCATCCGTCCATCTATCCATATCATCCATCCATCCATCCATCCATCCATCCATCCATCCATCCATCCATGCATCCATCCATTAATCCATCCATCGTCCATCCATCCAACAAATGCTTATTTAAGTATCAGGCACCATGTCCCAACTAAAAAAACCGGAAGCTTGAAAGGTAGGTTGGGGTCAGATTTTGAGGCATCTGGAATGCCAAGCTCAGAAAGATGAACTTTAACTTGAGGATAGTAAGCCATGGATGGCTTTCTGAGCCATGGAGAGAGATATTGAAAATTTGTGAAGGAAGAGTAGACTGACAGAATTAAACAGGATGGATTAAACAGAAAGGCGGTAGGGCTGAGAAAATCCACTAGAGTAAAATGCCAGGGTCCACAAGCAGGAGGACGAGCCCTGGACTGACTTGGTGCTGGGAGTAAAGGAGAGGAGGGTGGGAGAAAGGCCTGGGTTTGAAAGTTATTGCAGGGGCAGAATCTCTGACCGTAGTGAAACCACAGAGAAGAGCAGGCTCTGACAACATCAACTCTCCTGGGAGGTACAGGAGCATGGAGGTGGAACAGAAAAGCTTGGAAAGGTGCTTCTCCACAGGTTGGACATCTCTCTTTTCTCAAACTTGATACTTCTGCCTTTGCGTCTGCCCTGTATCTAATCATGATGAATGCTTCTAACATCTGACACCTACTGAGCAATGAATTCATGGCAGAGAGGCCAATTGTCACTATCCCTTTGTAACAAGAAGCATGTTTTTCATCCATAAAACGAATCTTTTAAAAAACTGGTAACTACACTGAATCTTTAGGACACCAGGTTTCAAAAGGAGTAACACTGCATAGATAAATAAAATCAGATTATTGTGCGAAACACTGGTTTTCAATTCCTCCACCTTTTTATAATTCCTTAATATCAGAATGTACAGTAATGCCTCAAGGAAAATTCTCAATGTACATTTGTCTAAAGAAGAGGGTTATAAATCTCCCTCTGTTATTCTTTCTTGTTAGTTGGAATACATTACAGCTACCTCTGTATCAATGATAATGCATGAGCGCGTGGATAATTGAAGTGCATTGAAGTGCACAGATTATCCTAAATTCATCTTTATTATAACCTTGTGTTTAAGTCTCCTTTGCTATCAACTCTTTAAGAAGACTTCTAGCAAGGAGCGGTTTTATAAAGTTGAATGTGATCTACTGACCATACCTACCTTTTCCAATGGGAAGTTGTGAGCAGGAAAGTGGTTACATGATTTCGAACAGAAAGCACGGAAAACATCAGAGTTTCTGTTAGTTCAACAAATTCTCTCATTTCAATCACTGAAAAGTGAGAGGTAAATGAATGCATGTTGCTTGGCACTGAGGTGACTTGCCCCTGCCTTTTTGTGCTGGGTGATGACAGTTACTTTTCTCTAACAATCATTGCATTCCTTTTATATTCTTGGAGTCTCAGTGTTGGAAAGAACATCAAAATTTCATCACGTTTCATTTCCCGCTTGCCAAAAAAAAAAAAAAACTGCCCAAGATGGATCATTGTTTGTTCTGTTCTTTAAGTCTCAGACTTGGAGAATGGTCATCAGTAAACTGATGGAAGAGCATTGGCTAGCAACCTGCTTAAAACCTGTTGTAGTTTTGATGATGGTTATTTTTCCACATAGAAGTGGCGTGAAATATGCACACACCGATGAGTAGGATGTGGTTAGCAATCAGATGTTCTCAAATGCAAATGGTGGGAGTGGGAATGTGTTTCCTTTAAAAATCAATATTTTTCATCTATCGGAGATACATCATCAGAATGTTTGATGTAGAGTAGGCCCATCATAAATGTCTGAGTGAGTAAATTAGTTGGCAGTGAAATATTTATCAGCTGCAGAAGCATGGCCGCCTAGGAGCAGAGTGGATAACTGTTCTGTCTTTCCTGTGCTCCCAGAGATCTTTTCACCTATGGCTGTCAGCCCACTTCCAAAGGGCACTCTGAGGAACAGTATCTGTCTGCATGATGCTGTGTGAGAAAAAAGTTCTGGAATCAAATAAGTTTGGGAAATACTGGATTTTTCTATCTCTTCTTTGACATCATGGTGTACATTAGAACATTAAGGGTTTTGAGAATTTGGAAACAAATATTTTCCAAATCTGTTTGGCTTTAGAACTCTCTTTTGCACAAAACGTATTAATCATCCACACTTTAGGAGATACTCCTCTTTTGGGTTAATTGTTCACATTTGGGTGGAGATCATGACTTCTTCATTTCTGCCAGATGCTGATTGGAGCGTGGTAGGCATTCAGTAAATACTTTCTGTAAATGAAATGTAAAATGAAAATGGCCATAGGGGGTTGATTGAGATGATGCTAGAAGAAGCTATGGTGTCATGAAGGTAAAGATGAACAGGATTGGGTTGGAGTCAGAGAGAGGAGTGAAATGGAGGGTGGGTTCTGAATTCAAATGGTCTGCTTTTAAACCAAGTAGAATATCAGAGCTTCTGACATCTCTCTTGAAGCCCTTCAGTTTATCTTCCTCAGTGATTACAGCCTCCCTCTTAAATCCCCTGTGTTTTTAAGCTTTCATGGGCAGACTAAACACTGACAACCGTGGATAGTACCTCATTCGTGCTTAATGTTGATTATCAAACTCTTATAGAAATTCCATTTTAAAAACTTCGGCCAAGTGATTATTTAGAAATGAGACATTATTTGGAAAGACAGTCTAAAGCCCACACATCATTGCATTTGGGGACTCTAAATAATGCTGCGTTCTCTCAACTTACTATTCCATGTCTTACAGCACATGTAATGTGTCCGAGTAGCATTCCCAGGGACTAACAAAAAAGCAGAACTCCAGAGGTGCCCACAGAGGAAACTGCAGACAAGTCAGAGAGGAGCGCATTACAAACACAGGGCCAAACAATCGAGCACTCCAGAGAGGCTTGTCTCTGGTCCTCAAATATCCAGGAGAAAATGCTATTACAACATCTATTTCATACAGCTCTGAATGGGTGCCTGCAACTGGCCATCTTATGATTCGTCCAAGTGGTCAAAGGAAATTGAAAATAGTTAAAAATCAGCAGTGTTCCTAGTGTTGGTATTACACATAATGTGAACAAAATATTACATAGTCTATCCAAAGACAGAGAGCAAGATGCTTGAAAATTATTCATTTTGATCACATTTACTTGCAAAAATGACATTTAGCTTTCTTAAAGTTCTCATTGGAGAGTAAGTCGAGTAAATATCAAAAGGTTGCCTTAAAACTTGCCTTTTGCATGGCAAGAAGAAGTTGGGTGGCCTGGGAGTTTTAGAGTTTGGCAGAGCTTGGGTGGTGGGCATACACTTACCATAATCTCTCTAAGCCTAAGCAATAGCTTAATTTATTTATTATTATTTTTAAAAGAGTTTCATTTTTCTTTCAACTAGAGGTAGAATGGGTTTAAAGGAGGTGATGTTCATATCATGAGAGAAGTATTTTTCTTTGGTGATTATCGTGTGTATATGACAGCATCAATTACTAAACATATTTGTTGTTAAAACCATATGCTGACTTGTGTTGCTATCAAAGAGTATTACATTCCGAAGAGGAAAGGGGCACTGCACCTCCTCTATTATGGAAACAAAGGGCTCTTACCTCAGAGCCTGTTGATATATCAAGTAATAAATGTGACAGTTACTGGTTCTATTTTCCTTATCCTGTTTTCCTGCAGAACTGAAATGGAACATGTTTCTTACTAGTAACAGATGCTCGAACCCCTCTTTTGAAATTCCTCTGTGGAAGCTGCCCTGTTGATTCCATTAGGTGGGAAGGGGCTTTATGCAGATGTCTGCTCGTGGGGTTGCATTGTTGTAATTGCTGTTCTACCACCCTTGCTGAGTGCCATGCTTTTCTCTTGTAGGTGATGTGCCTTCAGGACTTTTTTGGTGATGATGACATTTTTATTGCATGTGGACCGGAGAAGTTCCGTTACCAGGATGATTTCTTGCTAGATGAAAGTGGTAAGGAAAAAAAAAGTTCAAAACCAGGGGAAATTTGAGGCAGCTTTCGAAAATGAGCTGCACCAGGCCAAGATTATGTCAACTCCAAAGCTACCAAATCAGTTTCAGATCCTCACCCAGCGTGTCTTTTCCATATCTTGGATTTCTTTGATTTTTTTTTTAAATATGGAAAACAGATGAAATGAGAATTGGAAAAGTTAAATCATTTAGAAGAATAAGTAACTAATGTCTAATTTATAACCACTTAATAATTAAATTGATGTTATGTAGAAAATGATGGTGTGGAATTCTACATTTTTAATTTTTTTTTCACGGTTTTTAGCTGAGGGATTTGTCATCATAAAATAATTTAGGATGTTTCTAGGCTCAGCTTTCAGGTGGCTTCCTTTAATTCCTAACCAGGCAAGTGGTTTGCTTTCCCTTTTTCCTTTAAATACTGTAGAATTCATGTGGCATTAGCATCTGTGAGGTATCAGAAAAGAGAAGTTAGCTTCCTTCCATTAACAAACTAAATGTGCTACTCTGTAATAGATAAAGAGGGGATGGTTATAAAGAGGGAAATACATGTCTTAGGAAATGAATGTGAAATGTTGTGGCTTTAAGAATGATATTTTTGATACTATTAATCATCTGAGAATCTTAGCACTATCACAGGTAAGATTATTCTACCAAACAAAGATTATTGTAGCCCTTCTTTGATAATGTTACTCTAATTTAATTATGGGAGTATTGCATATTTACTGACAACCCAAATTCTGCGTAGTTGGAAATGCTTTTTGAAATGATAATGAATTTTTTGCTTAGATGAATGCAGAAAAACAAATCAGTGAGCTTTTGAAATAGTGGCTGAGCAACACTTGAGCATTAACAATAATGGGAAAAGTGATGTGGTCACTTGACTTGACTTGACTTTCACCTGTTCTACACAGGAGTGGTCTCACTCCAACACTGCAGATGTGTGTTAATGCATAGCATCTATATTATACACATATATACATATTATCAGTTGTATGCATTTAGGAACTACAATTCTTTCATTTAAAAATGACTTAGAGGATGGGCATGGTGGCTCACACCTGTAACCCCAGCACTTTGGGAGGCCAAGGTGGGCAGACCATTTGAGCTTAGGAGTTTGAGACTAGCCTGGGCAACATGGCGAAACCCTGTTTCTACAAAAATTAGCTGGGCATGGTGGTGCACGCCTGCAGTCCTAGCTGTTCAGGAGGCTGAGATAGACAGATCATCTAAGCCCAGGGAAGTCAAGGGTGCAGTGAGCCCTGATTGTGCCACTGTACTTGGTCTGGGCGATAGAGCAAGACCCTGTCCCCCAAAAAAATGACTTAGAGTGTGTAGGGAGGGATAAGAATTTTTAAAATTGCCCCTTTCTCATGAAAACTTCAGATGCCCAATAAGAATATAAATAGATGTGTCATGTGAAGAGATTTATTTTGGTTCAAGGACCATAACTAGACAAGTGGTTTGGCATCCCTTTTTCTCTAAATAAGTTGACTCAAATACATTCCATCTTTATTTCTGACCTACGTGCCCTTTGAGGCACAGATTTTTGTAAATATATCACAAGTATAGTGTCCTCAGGGAAGGTCCCCCCCACGCCACCATTTTAAGAACAGCTTTGCCATTGTGTAGAACAGGTGAAAGTCAAGAGTCAGACAGAAGAGTTGACAGCACGGTTTTGAGAAAAATAAACTGCCCTAACTTTCCATTTAAAGAAAATAGCTGCTTGTGATAGAATGGTTTGGCAGACCAGATGCATTCTGAAATGAAAGTCTGTTTGTTGCTTTGATATAGAAAACAGCCTGTCAAACTCGACCTGGAATACATGTCTTTTTCAAACCAGCAAGCAGAGTTGGCCACAGCTTCCAAACTCTGGGGTCTCTATCTAGGCCCCAGATGGACTTGGGGCCCCTTCTCCCTGCTGGCCAGGCTGGGTGAGCTCACACAGCTGGGCTTCCCCTCCGCAACAGCCAATGCGCTCTCCACCCAGGATGCCGCAGCTACTCCTGTGCACCTGCTATGACCAGCAGGTAGACTTTCTGAGAAGTACAACAGGAAAATGCCAGAAATTCCATAATAGAGTAGGTGCACTGCCCCTTTCCTCTTGCTATTTCCCCCTTAGAATTATTTCTCAATGCCCACAGGCTGGGTGCAGTGGCTCACGCCTGTAAACCCAGGACTTTGGGAGGCCAAGGCGGGCAGATCACCTGAGGTTGGGAGTTCGAGACCAGCCTGACCAACATGGAGAAACCCCGTCTCTACTAAAAATACAAAATTAGCCAGGCATGGTGGTGCATGCCTGTAATCCCAGCTACTCAGGAGGCTTAGGCAGGAGAATGGTTGAGCCTGGGAGGCGGAGGTTGCGGTGAACCGAGATCGCACCATTGCACTCCAGCCTGGGTAACAAGAGCAAAACTCTGTCTCAAATAAATAAATAAATAAAAGAATAAAAAAGAATGCACACAGATTATATACGGAGATATGCACACAAGGGCTCACATGCAAACACACACACACACACCCCAGGACACCTTCTCCATCTTTTGTGGTTTGGCCTTCTGAAGGACCACTTCAAACTACTTAGCTGAGAACTTCACATCCCTTCCCTGGATGAATAATACCCTAACCCTTTCTTGGTGTGAAATACATTTGCTGAGTAACGATGTCCTCCCCCATTCCAAAAGAAACACATGGATATGGAAGGAAAGGGGCTCAAATAGAAAAACGATCTAAATTGAGATTTTACTTCCTTGGATGAACTTACCCCAAGACTAAATTCACACATTGACAACTGCAATTTTCCTGTTGCTTGTACAGCATGTTCTAGCGCTAATGTATTAACATTTGAATCTTTTTTTAAGTGCTCCGAGCATGATTTAGCCCAGCTTATCTGTACTTGCTAAGTGGTATTTGCACATCGATGCTTCATTTGGCCTTTTCCATAGTAGCTTCCTTAAAGGGGTGTCAGCGGTGGGTACAGACATCTTCAGAATTACTACTCTTGCCCTGCGCAGGGCTGTGCTTCATTTAAGGTGCCAAGAAGTGGCCTTTTGCCACAAGGCGGCACTTTTATTTTAACTTTCCAAATTAACCTGGCTCCCAGTGAGTTCAGGATTTAGCAATAATACATCCCTCTAATTACTGCTAGGAAATCTCCTAAGGATGTCTCTTAAGGTCCATCCTTGGAGAAGATTTGCCATTGTAGATGAGTATTTCATGGGGCCACATTGGAGCCAGATTAATATCGGAAACTGCCAGGGAGACTCCTTCCTCCCCTAAGTTTGCACATTCGGAAAATAACACCTTCCTTGTTCTAGTTCAGAATGTAACCATTTTAGCGATATCGTCATCAGTCAGTAGAATCTTAGCACCTTGGAGATGGTGGCTAGTGCACTATAGATAGAGACAAGCAGAGAGGCCAGCAGATCCTTCCCTTGCTGTCTAATTTAGAATGATGAAACAGAGGCAGGGAAAATGTCACATTGGAGACAGGAAGCTCAACATGGTTTTGCTTCTATGTTGATGACAAATGGACGAATTTGTAATCCGTAGCCATTTAAAAGTGATAGGGTTTTGTTGAGAAAGGATCACCCCATGCTTGGGAGGGACAGTGAACTCCTTGGGGATGAGCCTGATGCTGGATATCAATTCTTGTCCAACCTGCTGGCCTCAAAGCCAGTACCCCCACTCTGCTTGGCTTGTTCCTTCACCCATTCATTCCACTGCCATCCGGAGCCTCACCTTGGCCAGGCCTGCTGCGTGCTCGGGAGTCCAGATACCTGTCATCCTCTCTTTCATCTTTTCTCAGATTATTCTGTTTTTTTATCAACTAGTTCCTAACTGCTCTTGATTCTGATGTTAATAGGCGTTACCTTCAATGTCTATTGTTTTGCTTAGATGCTGAATGAATTTCCTAGGGCTGCTATAACAAAGTACCACAAACTGGGTGACTTAAAACAACAGAAATGTGTTGGCTCACAGTTCTGAAGGCAAGAAGTCCAAAATCAAGGTACTGGCAGGGCTGTGCTCCCTCTGAAGGCTCTAGGGAAGAATCCGTCCTCATCTCTTCCAAGTTTCTGATGGCTGCCAGCAATCCTTGGCTTGTGGCAGCATCATCACTCCAATCTCCACCTCCATCTTCATGTAACCTTCTCCCCTGTATGTCAGTAGAATTTCCCTCTTCTCATAAGGACACCAGTTATTGGATTAGGACCCACTCACATTCAGTATGACCTCATCTTAGTTTGGTGACATCTACAAAGACTCTATCTCCAAATAAGATTCATTCAAAGGTACCAGGATTCGGACTGGAACATATCTTTTTGGGGAACAAAATTCAACCTAAAAAAGACATTGGTGGGAGCTGTTCAAATTTTATTTGAACTTGGATTACAAGTAAACTAATGTTTATTTATTTGTTTGGATCTGTCCTTAGATACTTACCGTTATAGCATTATATTTGTTAGTAGAATACATCAACAACAGAGCTGTGGCTGCCCCTCATCTGACCCTTCACACTTAGGGTTTCTCACCTCATGGATCAGAGGAATGCTGTCAGACAGTCTGAGAATTTCAACAGTGCATTTGACAGAGCCCCTCTTGAAGTCCCTTGGACTAAGATGAAAATATATAGTAAATGGTATAGGTGGCTGTATTTTTAATTGATTTATCTTCTCTGTCCAAAAGGTACTGATTTATAGGCTGATGTCAAATGTGCCGGAGGAGATCTCTATTAGGATTGTCCCATCAGGCCCCTGAAGGAAGGGATTGTGTTTGTTTGCTGAGAGTGAACAGGTTTCACACCACAAGGTTCTGCTTTGGACTTGATATGGTTTAGCATAGTTAGAAGTGTCCTTTTGAGGCCAGGCGCAGTGGCTCATGCCTGTAATCCCAGCACTTTGGGAGGCCAAGGCGGGTGGATCACGAGGTCAGAAGAATCACGAAGTCAGGAGATCAAGACCATCCTGGCTAACACAGTGAAACCCCATCTCTACTAAAAATACAAAAAATTAGCTGGGTGTGGTGGCATGCACCTGTAGTCCCAGCTACTCGGGAGGCTGAGGCAGGAGAATCACTTGAACCCGGGAGGCGGAGGTTGCAGTGAGCCAAGATCACACCACTGCACTCCAGCCTAGGCAACAGATCAAGACTCCGTCTCAAAAAACAAAAAAAAAATGTCCTTTAGAAAACATTAAAGCCGTGTGGATTCGAACCATCAGGGAGGAGAGCTGATGTGGTCAAAGGTAGAATGAGGATCCGAAAAGGTTCTAACAGGGTGGATTGTATCTAACAAGATAAACTTTAATTCATATAAACAAAAAGAAGAGCTCTAGGGTGTGAAAGAAAGATAGAAAGAAAAAAGCCAGCCTTGCAAGCTTACTTAGGAGCAATGTCGTTTTCACAGCAGCACGTGTGAAATTTACTTTTACTTGACTGCAGGCTTAGTATGAGATGTTATGTGATATGGGTCATTTGTGTGTGGATTGTAGGGGTATCATATTTTTATACTGGAAAATGTTTTTGCCCCTCTGATTGAAGATGGTAAATATGAACTGAAACAAAACATTAAAATTTAAAAATGTGTTATTTAATATTCATAAAACTAAGTAACTGTAGAAGAAATGTAAACAAGCTTTCAGATTTTTGTATGTTTG
Organism: Homo sapiens; assembly: GCF_000001405.40. Lineage (NCBI taxonomy): Eukaryota > Metazoa > Chordata > Mammalia > Primates > Hominidae > Homo > Homo sapiens. The sequence continues at coordinate 35,941,688 of NC_000013.11, read as the reverse complement.
CTGTGTTTATAATTCTGAAGTCATTAAAGCTCAAAACTGCAGGAAGACTTTTGAGACGCAGCGTGCGTGTGCGTGTGTGTGTGCGTGTGTGTATGCCCGTGCACGTGTATGTGTGCCTGTGCACGTGTGTGCATGTGTAGTGCCCGATCTCCAGGAAATACCAGTTCTGCTTCTCCCTGCACCAGACAGACGTGCCTGTAGTCCAGTGTTGTTCTTCCTGGGTATGTGATTCTAGAATGGACATTTCCTCAGCTTCTCTTATGGATCACCATGGTGTTGGGTACCCAAGATCTGCTTGGTAAATATTTCTAGAAATATTCTATTCTAACCATTTTCCTGGGACTCATGTCCCAAATAAGACAGAAGCTGTATCAGGTACCATTCACCATGGGGTTCTGATCACTTTCCCTAATTCTGGGTGATAAGAAAATAGGGCTAGAACCTATTAGGTTGCTGCAAAAGTAATCACGGCTTCTGCCATTAAAAGTAATGGCAAAAAAAAGTGATTACTTTTGCACCAACCTAATGGAATAGTAGGAACAGTATTGGAATAGTGGGATTGTGTTGAGAAGACACAGTCTCATCCAGGCTCTATGTCCTACTTTCTGTGTGGTCTCTACATCTCCAAGCCTGCTTCCTATTCCCTGAAACACATTTTTTTCCTGTGTTGTAACGGACCTCAAATGAGACAATAAATGTCAAAGCACATTCGAAACTGTGTTCCTTATTACCCAGTGAACGATGCTGGGGAATGACACCTCAGCTGAAATATACCTCCTAGTGGATTGCAGCTGGACTCAGCCATGTAGCTTCATTTGTGGGGCTTAATTGGAGGCAGATGACATCAAGATCTGCTTTTGGTGCTCTTTGGAACCAGAAAGCGATTACTACTGCTTTCTTCCACTCTTAACTTTTGTTGCTGTGGTGGAGGTGAGAGGGAATTAAGGCTCCTTTGAAGATATCCACTCTTCTCTGGAGGGAATCTCTAGAAGATTAAACTAAACCACCTGTAGAAGAACCAATCAGACTTCTAAAAGTGACAGTGTTCAGGAGTCCCAGCCCTTGGTAAATGCTTCCCTCTCTCCGTGCCCATGTTGATTTGGGTTAAAGAGACCTGATGGCCCTGCTGCTTTGTCCTGAGGCTGGTGATGCTAGGAAACCAGAAGGTTAATGGAAACACTGGAAGATGCTCACAGTCAGGACAAAGACCACACCTCCTCACAAACTAGTTTTTGAGCTACTGCTAACAAAATCCATCCATTCTTTCACTCATGCAGTCATTTATTCAATAAGCTAACTTACTATGTACCAGGCAGTGTGCTAAGCTCAAGTACCTGCAGACAGTAACACTTAGGTCAGATGTGACCCTTCATACTAACTTATTTTTTTTTTTTTTTGAGACGGACTCTTGCTGTGTCACCCAGGCTGGAGATGTGACCCTTCATACTAACTTATTTTTTTTTTTTTTGAGACAGACTCTTGCTGTGTCACCCAGGCTGGAGTGCAGTGGCGTGATCTCGGCTCACTGCAACCTCCACCTCCCAGGTTCAAGCGATTCTCCTGCCTCATCCTCCCGAGTAGCTGGGACTACAGGCACATGCCACCATGCCCGGCTAGTTTTTATATTTTTAGTAGAGACGGGTTATTGCCCTGTTGGCCAGGCTATCCATACAGACGTTTAATATTGTTTATGTGTAAAGATGTCAGGGGATCTTAGGTGCTGAACTTTGACCCAGAATATTAAATATTGCATATTATTCTAGTGGCTTTTATCTCTTACGAAACATACTGTGGTAAAATGACTAGTGATTTGCAATAGACAGACAACTCTTTGTAAATCTAAATTTTAATTGGATTATAAGGCCTGTTTACATTGCATCTGTGGGCAGATTTCTTTGAGATGGATGGTATGTGTTGGTGCTGGCATATTTTATCGTTTCAATAGATGTTAATTCTAGGAATATACAGTTTTTATTTTAAAGAAACAGTATAGGGCCGGGCATGGTGGCTCATGCCTGTGATCCCAACAGTTTGGGAGCTGAGGCAGGTGGATCACTTGAGCACAGGAGTTTAAGACCAACCTGGGCAACATGGTGAAACCCCATCTCTACAAAAAATTAACTGGGCATGGTGGAGCACACCTGTAGTTCCAGCTACTTGGCAGGCTGAGGTGGGAGGATCGCTTGAGCCCCAGAGGTTGAGGCTGCAGTGAGCAGAGATTGCGCCACTCCTGCCTGGGCAAAAGAGCGAGACTTTGTCTCAAAAAACAAATAAACAAAAGCCAAACAACTGAAAAACTAATATAGCTATCTTGTTGAATAATTCTAAGTTTTTGTGGCTCTTCATTGTCTTATGAGAAAAGGATATAAAATCTGGTATGATCATTCCCGATTGCATTGATTTGTAGAATTCAGCCTGATGTCTGAAATAGAGGGTTTGGGAGCTTTTGTCTGTTTTGTGTTCCGAATACAGGGCACATTGGCTAACGTGCTTTGCTCTCGTCAGCTAGTTCCCATTTGCCTCCAAGCAGTGGAAAGGCCACAAGGGTTTCTGGAGACGTTCCCGATCATAGCTACCTTTTAGCTCATGCATAAATATGAAATGTCCCGGAACATAGTGATAGTTCCAATTTAATCAACAGCCAAACTATGGATACATATAGAGTACTGCACCTTGGAGACAGACTCTAACTCAAGCTCCAGCTAGTTCCTTCGCTACAAATAGATAATTTTCTACTTAGAAAATCAAGGCATTGTATAACATCTGCAATCTTTTCTTTACATTTTCTCTTCCGGTCCTCACAGGCCTTCCTTTTTATTGTATTCAGTAACAGTGACATGAATTTTTGATGTGGAAAACCCTACAAAATATAGAATTATAGGTGAATCCTGGACACTAAAGGTCTTGGAGGTCATCAGCTTCCCCTCCCCTTTGATGCAGAAACCCTCTCCACAGCATCCAACAGTTGCTTCTCCATCCCCAACTGGAACCCTTTGTTGATGATGGGGTGTAAATTTAGAAAAAGGCCAATTCCACTGTCCGCTAGGGCTTTTTTTTTTTGAGACAGAGTCTCACTCTGTCACCAAGGCTGGAGTGCAGTGGCGCGATCTTGGCTCACTGAAACCTCTGCCTCCCGGGTTCAAGTGATTCTCCTGCCTCAGCCTCCCGAGTAGCTGGGACTACAGGCACGTGCCATCATGCCTGGTTAATTTTTTGAATTTTTAGTAGAGATGGGGTTTCACCGTGTTAGCCAGGATGGTCTCCATCTCCTGACCTCGTGATCCACCCGCTTTGGCCTCCCAAAGTGCTGGGATTACAGGTGTGAGCCACTGCACCTGGCCTAGTGCTCATTTTTGACAAGTTATTGAGCCCAAATTAATGTCTCCCCAGCTTGCACATAGTCCTCCTAGTTCTGGTCTCCAGAGTAACAAATACCACCCACTGCCCTCATTCTAAGGGGAGCTTCCCTCCTACCCCTTCCCTATGGTCAAAGTCACTCACTGTAAACTCCGTTATTTCTTTTCCTTCTAGACCAAAATGACGTATATCTTTCCTCATCTTCTCTCCTGTTTTCCTCAACTTTCCAAAAAATGAAGTCTCCTTTCTTTTCTAAAAATCAATGATAGTCCCTTGTCTTTGTCTTCTCTTTCTCTTTGTGACCTTGCCTCGTCAGTGTTCTGTTCCTACTGTTTCGTGGATTTTTTGTTTTACCCTATCTATAGTCTCTCTTCTTTCAGCCCACAGCCAGGCCCAGGTTCCTCCTATCCTAAAAGAGCCTCCAGTCATCTCTGTCATCTCACCAAACCACATTGCCTTTCTTTCTCTGCCAAATTGCTAAAAAATAATAATAAATAATGACTGTCCTTGAAGCCTCCACTTCTTCAACCTGATCATTTGTTATACCATTGGGTAACTGGTACATGGAACACACAAGAATTATGGGGTTTTATCAGTTTTTTTAGAAAAATTGTCTTCCCCCATCCTTTGAGGTTTATGTAAGGCTGGAAGTTCCTTTCTTGGCACTGGATGGCACCTCAGCAATCCCAAGATTTTTCTGGTCCCTCCTAAGATAGTAAAAAAGTCTGTGGACTCTTCTAGATAAAAATTGCCATCATCATATCTAGTCCTACATAATAGTCATTCAAAATGGGAGTTCCATTTCCACACCTAGCTAGATCCCAATGTAGCATGTGGTGAGTCCCCTACTCTGCAGGACAAGGGGAGGGTTGATGACTTCTCTCCTGCTCACTCCCTCCTCCCCGCTGTTTTGATCCCTCCAAGATTGGAATGGGGATGAGGTGGGTGGGGCAGGATGATGAGAAAGGAGAGGTGGAAAGTCCTTCCTTGACTATTCTGTTATAGGGTGGCTTCAAACTCTCTCGGCCAAGAACTGTGATTTTAAAGCTAACTTTCTGGGACCGGGTGCGGTGGCTCACGCCTGCAATCCCAGCACTTTGGGAGGCTGAGGCGGGCGGATCATGAGGTCAGGAGATCGAGACCATTCTGGCCAGCACAATGAAACCCCGTATCTACTAAAAATACAAAAAAAAAAATAGCCGGACATGGTGGCGGGTGCCTGTAGTCCCAGCTACTTGGGAGGCTGAGGCAGGAGAATGGCGTGAACCTGGGAGGCAGAGCTTACAGTGAGTGGAGATCGCGCCACTGCATTCCAGCCTGGGCAACAGAGAGAGACTCCGTCTCAAAAAAAAAAAAAAAAAAAAAAAAAGCTAACTTTTCTTTTGGATGTTTTAATGGGTTCTTCAGGGACTCTCACTGGGAACATTCTGCTCTTCTTTATTAATGTGGTTGATTCAGTTTCTTCCAGCTTTGGCTGAGTCTCTCTCAGTCCCTGTTTTCCAAAGCCCTCCCTATTGGCCTCAGATGCTCCTCTTGGGAAGAATTTAAATTAGTTCCACGCCACCTTGTGCCCTCAAATCCATCAGAACACTCATGCAACCTTTACCTCCAACAACAGGCCATCCAGTACAGCCAAGCCTCCTTCAGTTTTCTGCCAGAGGCTCTCGGGTGAAAGTCAAACACATAAATACCAGTCTGTTATTTGCCTCTGTCCACAGAGGACACTGATCAAGCACTTACAATCTTCCAGTGAAACCCCTATTGAGGTGAAGGGGAGCATCGCCCCTCTTTTGGAATGATGGAATTCACAGCAAGGCTCTCTCTTAAAGAATCCTTCTCATAGATCTGCTTTCTGTCTAGTAACTTAAGCCTTTTATGTCCTCAAAGTGAGTAAGAAGACTAAGGTCTAGAACTGTTTATATCTGCTTTGACATTTCTGGAATAGGATCTGTCTCACAATTCACTTTGGTATCTGATACACATCTCCTTGGAGTCTGGGTGAAATGTTCATTTTCAATCCTATTGCATTTGCAACTGGCTTCTATGCCTAACATATGTAGTAGTTCCACTAAGCAAGGATAATCTTCAAAGCACTATATTCAGTGTTCTATATTTTTCTTTTCTTCTTTATCCTTCTTGACTTCTTGGTAGCATTTGACATTTTTGATGATTCCCTCCTTGAAATTCTCTCCCCTTGACCCTTCATAGTGTCTTGCTGTCTTGGTCTTTTGCCTGTCCCCCTTTGAATACTCTTAAGCTCCTTTCAGGTTTGCTTTTCTGTCATATATCCCTTAATAATTGTTCCCTAAGATTCATTCATGTTTTTAAACTTAATTACTCTCTATTCCTAGCCAAGTTCATCTACTTTAATGGCTTTAGCAATGATGGTTCTGGTAGACAGTGATGGTGACAAATGGCAACCAGATGGTATGCAATAAGCAAAGCCTTTGAAGGATGTATAATTTTCCCAAATTTACAATTAAGGAAATTAAGGCTTGGAGATGATAAATAATTTGTTCAAGGCCACACAGATAGTATTAAAGGCAGAGGTCAAATCCAAGTTTGTCTTTGTTTGACAATATATCCTTAATCTTTAAATGTACCCCCTTTGAGGTATACATCTCTAACCCTGACTCCTCTCAGGAGCTCCAGAACCACATTTCCAACTTTCTCTTATGAACTTCCCTATGACTATTCCACAGCCACCTGAAATTCAACACATCCCACAACTGAACTCATCATCTACCTGGTCAGCTTCATTTCTTGTTCTGTGTTTCCTGGATGAGCTCATGGCATCAGCATTCTCAACACCAAGGTTGCAAAACATGGAGTCGTCTTTTACTCACCCCTCACTTTTACTCCCCATAGCCCATCTGTCCCCCTCCTTTCCAATGCTACTGCCATTATCTTAGGTCAGTTCCTCATCATCTCCCATTTAGACTCATGAAGATGCTTGAACTTTCCATCCTTGTTGCAGTTTTTCATCTCTCCACACCATGTTTGAACCCGATTAATCCTCCTGAATTGACTTACCTAGCCCTCCACTGCCTACAGACTCCTTGGCATGCTATTCTAGGGCAGTTGTAGTCTGACTGGGTTATATCTTTCTAGCTGTTCTCACCCTTTATTCCTCCTCTGCCCTCCAACCACAGTATTATTTGTTGGTCTCCCAAAAGCTATTTATTTTTGAAATATCTGCTTTTGCTCATATTGCCTCATTCATGTGGAATGCTCTTTTTCCTCTTCTCCTTCCTCACCCACCAAACTCCATCTTGTCCTTTGAGGTTCAAGTCAAACATCACCATCCTTGTAAAGCCTTTCTCCATCTACTTGGTTTCAATCAGTTACTGATTTCTCATTCTTTTTCCAGCTCTTTGCTCTTTATTATACCATTGTTGTTCATTCTGCTGTGTGTTCTGGGATTTTTTTTTAAAATGCATCTAGCTTGTGAATAATAATCACGTTTAATTATCAGGAAACCTCTGCAGTGTTGCTTTACAATAATGAAAGCGATGTTAGGAGAAGTTGAGAAACTGCCCAAGGTCGCTGTATTAATCAGGATTCTCAACAGAAACAGAACCAATAGGATACACAAACACAGACACACACACAGACATACTGATATGGTTTGGTTCTGTGTCCCCACCCAAATCTCATCTTGAATTGCACTCCCATAATTCCCACATGTTGTGGGAGGGACCCAGTGAGAGATAATTGAATCGTGGGTGCAGTTTCCCCAATACTGCTCTCATGGCAATGAATAAGTCTCATAAGATCTGATGGTTTTACCAGGGGTTTCTGCTTTTGCGTCTTCTTCACTCTCTCTTTGCCTGCTGCCTTCCATGTAAGACATTACTTGCTCCTCCTTGCCTTCTGCCATGATTGTGAGGCTTCCCCAGCGATGTGGAACTGTAAGTCCAATTAAACCTCTTTCTTTTGTAAATTGCCCAGTCTCGGGTATATCTTCATCAGCACATGAAAACAGACTAATACAGTAAATTGGTACCAGTAGAGTGGGGTGCTGCTAAGAAGATACCCAAAAATGTGGAAGCAGCTTTGAAATTGGGTAACAGGCAGAGGTTGGAACAGTTTGGAGAGCTCAGAAGACAGGAAAATGTGGGAAAGTTTGGTGATAGCGATATGGACAATAACGTCCAGGCTGAGGTGGTCTCAGATGTAGATGAGGAACTTTTTATGAACTGGAGCAAAGGTAATCTTGTTATGTTTTAGCAGAGACTGACAGCATTTTCCCCCTGACCTAGAGATTTACAGAGCTTTGAACTTGAGAGAGATGATTTAGGGTATCTGGCAGAAGAAATTTCTAAGCATCAAAGCATTCAAGAGGTGACTCAGGGGCTGTTAAAAGCACTTAAAAGGGAAACAGAGCATAAAAGTTTGAAAAATTTGCAGCTTGACAATGTGATAGAAAAGGAACTATCATTTTCTGAGGAGAAATTCAAGCCAGCTGCAGAAATTTGCATAAGTAACGAGCAGCCAAATTTTCATTCCCAAGACAATGGGGAAAATGTCTCCAGGGCATGTCAGAGGTCTTTACAGCAGCCCCTCCCATCACAAGCCTGGAGGCCTAGGAGGAAAAAGGGGTTTTGTGGCCTGGGCCCAGGGTCCCTGAGCTGTGTGCAGCCTAGGGACTTGGTGCCCTGTGTCCCAGCCACTCTAGCCATGGCTAAAAGGGGTAATGTAGAGCTCAGGCTGTGGCTTCAGATGGTGCAAGCCCCAAGTCTTGGCAGCTTCCACATGGTGTTGAGCCTGCGGGTGCACATAAGTCAAGAATTGGGGTTTGGGAACTTCTGCCGAGATGTCAGAGGGTGTATGGAAATGCCTGGATGCCCAGGCACAAGTTTACTGCAGGAGCAGGGCTCTCATGGAGAACCTCTGCTAGGGCAATGCAGAAGGGAAATGTGGGGTCAGAGCCCTCACACAGAGTCCTTACTGTGGCACTGCTTAGTGGAGCTGTGAGAAGAGGGCCACCGTCCTCCAGGCCCCAGAATGGTGGTAGATCTGCCGACAGCTTGCACCATGCACCTGGAAAAGCCGCAGACACTCAATGCCAGTCTGTGAAAGCAGCTGGGAGGGAAGCTGTACCTTGCAAAGCCACAGGGCCAGAGCTGCCGAAAACCATGGGAACCCACCTCTTGCATCAGCATGGCCTGGATGTGAGACATGAAGTCAAAGGAGATCATTTTGGAGCTTTAAGATTTGACTGTCCCACTGGATTTTGGACTTGCATAGGCCCTCTTGCCCCTCTGTTTTGGCCAATTTCTCCCATTTGGAATTGTTGTATTTACCCAGTGCCCGTACCCCCATTGTATCTAGGAAGTAACTAACTTACTTTTGATTTTACAGGCTCATAGGTAGAAGGGACTTGCCTTGTCTCAGATGAGACTTTGGACTGTGGACTTTTGAGTTAAGGCTGAAATGAGTTAAGACTTTGGGGGACTGTTGGGAAGGCATGATTGGTTTTGAAATGTGAGGACATGAGATTTGGCAGGGGCCAAGTGCAGAAAGATAGGGTTTGGCCCTGTGTCCCCACCCAAATCTCATCTTCAATTGTACTCCCATAATTCCTACATGTTGTGGGAGGGACCTGCTGGTTGGTAGTTGAGTCATGGGGGAGTTTTCCCACATACTGTTCTCATGGTAGTGAATAAGTTGCATGAGATCTGATGCTTTTGTTGGGGATTTCCACTTTTGCATCTTCCTCACTCTCTCTTTGCCTGCTGCCATCCATATAAGACGTTACTTGCTCCTCCTTGCCTTCTGCCATGATTGTGAGGCTTCCCCAGCCATGTGGAACTGTAAAGTCCAATTAAACCTCTTTCTTTTGTAAATTGCCCAGTCTCACGTATATCTTTATCAACAGTGTGAACATGGACTAATACACATACACACACAGAAATAGACGAAAGATATACTTATAAGGAAATGGCTTGTGTTATTATGGAGGCTGAGAAGTCCCACAACCTGTGGTTTATAAGCTGGTGACCCAGGAAAGCCAGTGTTACAGTTCAGTCTGAGAATAAGGACCTGAGACCTGGAGGAGCCAATGATGAAAGTCCCAGTCCAAGGTCAGGAGAAGATGAAATCAGATGTTCCAGCTCAAGCAGTGAGACAGAAGGAAAAAGGTAAATTTCTCCTTCATCTACCTTTTGTTCTGTTCAGGCTTTCGTGGATTGGATGAGGCCTACCTACGTTGGAGAGGGTAGTCTACCTTATGGAGTCCACTGATTCTAATGCTAATTTCACCCAGAAGCATCCTCACAGACACACCCCAAAATAATGTTTAATCTGGGCACCCTGTGGCGCATTCAATTTGACACATAAAATTAACCATCACAGTTACATACCCAGTGGGTAACAGAGTTGGAATTAAAACTGAGGATCCTGGACACTTTGTACTTTATCTTACTTTATTGTAAGTGCCTTGAGATTGGTCCTGTGTATCATTAAAACATATATCCCACAGTACATATCAGGGTACCATGAATGTAGTAACAGCTCAGGAAATATTAGCTGAATTATTAGATGCAGAAGGAATCTACTCCATCTGTCAATCATCAGATGCTGAGGACTATAGCCTGGTACTTCCCAAAAGCTTCTTTTCCAGACAAAGTTTCCTCAGCTGTTTCTTTTAAGACTACCCCACTATCCTGGTTGCACTTCTCTTGATATCCAATACTAGATATTGATCAGCAATATCCTCCCTAAAATGGCACCTAGAACAGAACATAGTATTCCTTGGGGGCTTCAAAGAGCATTGAGAATATAAACTTATTTGATAGAGGCAACAAACTTGTCCAAATACAGCCTAAGCATGATTAAGGTTTCTTTTAACAATTGCCAAACCATGCAGGCTCATGGTTAGCTTTTGGCCAGCTGAACTCTCTGGGGCTTTCTGACGTGATGTCAAGCCAGCTTCTACTTGTTTAATTGAATATTTGAACCTCCTTGTAGTGCTTTAATTGTATTCATGCCAGATAGCATCTTATTAATTTTAGTCATTAATTCTGGCCATTTAAGAACTTTAAGCATCCAAATTCTGCTTGAGGATAAATAATAGCAGAGAGTTGAAAAGAGGTCTGATTTCCAGGCCCTTGTTTTTCCCAACTGAGTTACGCTGCTAGAGGCCTGCCTAGCCAAAGACCAACAGCATAGCTGCCTGGAAACTCTGATAAAATGAAAACAAATGAAAAGGTATGCTAACACTCACATTTCCTTGTGGGAAACAACGTAAGGGAGCCTCAGATTCAATGCCTAGCTTTGTCTGGGTGATTGTCTGCAGCTGGTTAACAAACAGTTAAAAGATAAACGTAAACACATTAAAATGTTAAAGAGTTTATTTAAACAGACAGCAATTCATGAATTGGGCAGCACCAAACCAAAAGCTCTTTGGCCTCCAACAGAGTGACATGAGAAGAGGCTTTTATAAGGTGAACATTGACTCAAGGCAAAGAAAATGTTTGACTCATTGAAGTGGAGCAGTATCCTTATTTAGGTTATTCTAGTGGAAAGTCCCTGGTTAAAGATTGGTTAGCAGTTTCTGATGGGTTATGCTTAAGTTTCATTTTACCTTTCACACTGAGTTGTATTTCAGCTTGCTTATGTAGGAAGCCAAGATGCTGGAATCATCTCAGTCTAATGGGGTCCCAATTAATTTCTTTTGTTTTTGCTTTGTTTTTTTTGTTTTTGTTTGTTTTTGTTTGTTTGTTTGTTTGAGATGGAGTCTTGCTCTATCACCCAGGCTGGAGTGCAGTGACATGATCTCAGCTCACTGCAACCTCCTCTCCTGGGTTCAAACGATTCTTCTGCCTCAGTCTCTTGAGTAGCTGGGACTACCAGTGTGCACCACCATGCCTGGCTAATCCAATTAATTTCTTTTTAACAAGTCCTACAGAGGAAGACAACAGATTGTTTTGTCCCTTACACTGACCCACACATACCCCTGAGTACAGGAGGGAACTTCAGGACTTTCCTTTCAGTGTGGGTCCACAGGGCATAGGAACTTATGTTTTTGTTCCTATTTGAAATATGCCCATTTGTTTTCCCACACCAAACATGTACTAGTTAAGAGCCTACTGCATGTCAAGTATTCTTGGGTTTAAACAAAAACGTTCTGGAAAGTTAAATATCTACTTCAGGGTTTAAACAAAAATGTTCTGGAAAGTTAAATATCTACTTCAGGAAAGCAGATGAAGTGAAAATCCCTGTGGAAAATAGTATATGTGATGTGAAGGTGATTTTAAAATCTAGCTTCAAAATTGGGTAATAATTTGATACATGTGTATATAGGCTGTCTTTATAGCTTTTTATTTTTGTAAGTGTTCTAAATGACTAAAATATAATAAGATACTGATACTCTATGGCTCTTCACTACCTGAAGCTAAGTTTTTCTCTCTTAACACCTCTGGAAAATAAACACATAGATAAGCTTTTAGTAAAAAAAAAAAAAAGAAAAAAAATGATTGTGTGGGTGACATCTTCATTTTTCAATAGGCTGAATCACTGTGAAATCATGAGTCTCACTTTTCCTGAAGACCTAAAACAGATATGAAAGGAAGTGTGGTTCTCTAAGTTCATATCACTCCTAGTCAAATAATCAGAGGACACAGCTGAAGAAAAGTGGCAGTGCTGTCAGGAAGTGCCAGCAAATGGACAAGAAGAATCCATACATGTTTGCTTAGAGTAGGGGAATGAGGAAAGGCAAATCTTTGCCAGCAGAGCAGGATGAAACTAGCATCATCTTGCTCAAAGATAAAAATCAGCCTCTATGTTTAGTTATGAAAGCACTCCAGGGCCAACTGAGCCAGTGATTGCCTTTTGTCCACTAAAGGACAGCCTAACAATATGGCAGTGGGGACATCCCACAAATCTGACCACAGAGCTCCCTGCCCAACTATTGAGAACCGAGGTTATAAAGCTTTTGAATTTATTAGCTCTGGAGAAAGAAAAATCTGCTTTTATAGATTTGCCCCTCAACTTTAAAGTTAACATAGCCAAATTTATGTTTTCATACCTTTTTTTATTTGTTTGTTTCACACTTGACAGCCTTTCAACAGAATTTTCCTGAGAATACCATTAGAAGTTAGAAGATTAGTATAAGCTTTTTAAAAAGTGTTTAGAACTTTGGGAGGCCGAGGCAGGTGGATCACGGGGTCAGGAGATCAAGACCATCCTGGTTAACATGGTGAAACCCCATCTCTACTAAAAATACAAGAAATTAGCCAGGCGTGGTGGTGGGCGCCTGTAGTCCCAGCTACTTGGGAGGCTGAGGCAGGAGAATGGCATGAACCTGGGAGGCGGAGCTTGCAGTGAGCTGAGATCATGCCACTGCACTCCAGTCTGGGTGACAGAGTGAGACTCTGTCTCAAAAAATAAAGTGTATAGAAAAGTGAGCTGCTTCTTGCTCAAGTGAGATATAAAATGTCACCATATGCTATGGGGTTCCCAAATATGAAAATTAGCATAGCTCAATATACTACCCACAAGGGCTTATAGACAATTAACATGAATTCAATTTATTATATTGCAGGAGCCTGATCTTATATGTGTATACATGCATAGAGGTATAGATTTGGCAAGATTCAACTAATAGTGAGTGAATATCTACAATGGGCAGGCACTGCTCTTAGCACTAGGCATATCACAGTGAACTAAAGAGAGAAAAATTCTTGCCCACATAGAGCTTACATCTTATCAGAGGAATGCATTTAACATACAAAATCTCATATGCAAATTACTTAGTGTATCGGAAGGTAAGTGCCATGAAGAAGAATGAAATAGGGAAGGGAGAAAGGGAGTAAATGGAGAGTGGGTGGTGTGGGGAGGCTGCAGGGGGCAAGACTTCAGGAAGCAGTGACATTTGAGCAAAGACTTGAGGGGTAATGGAGCCAGCCATGCAGGACCCAGAAGCAAGAATCATCCCCGGGCAGAGGGAGCAGTTAGTGCAGAGGGCCTGAGGTGAGAGGGTGCCTGACCTGTCCTCATGCACAGCTCAGTAGTGGCAGGCAGGCCGCAGTGCTGAGGGCAGTTCCAACACCAACTACCAGGAGTCGGCCCAGACTTCATAGGTTAAGGGCACCATCCCCACCAAGGCTGCCCACGCTTCAGGACCAGCCATAGATTTAGGAGTCCCCAGGCCACCCACACTTCTGACCAACTGGCTACAAATTCAGGGATTCCCACAGCTCCCTCGAATTCAATAGTTTGCTAGAACAACTTACAGAACCCAGGAAAGCACTATCTTTATGATTACAGTTTCATTACAAAGCCTACAGACTAGGGCTAGCCAGTTGAAGCGACAGACAGGGGTAAGGTCTGGGAGAGGCCCATAAGTGGAGCTTGCAGGTCCTCTCCTTGTGGGATCAGGACACGTCACCCTCTCAGCACACTGATGTGTTCATCAAGCAGGAGGCTCACTCAGCTGCTAGCGTCCAGAGTCTTTACCAGGGTTTGGTTATGTAGGCATGGGTGATTACGTCATAGGCCCTGTGATTGGAACTGAGTCTCCAGAGGTCAGGCTGATATCACATGAGTCAAAGCCCTAACCCTCTAATCACATGGTTGACCTTTCTGGTGTGATTGGCCCCCATCCTGAGTCATCTCATTAGCATAAACTTGGTGTCATCCAAAGGACCCAACATAGTGTTATCACTTGGGAATTTCCAAGGGTTTAGAAGCTCCCTGCCAGGAACCTGGGAAGAAAACCAGACACATGTTTTATTATACAGCATGGAAGCTGTCAAGATCTGGGGGAGGATATCCACGCTAATTCTGTAATGAGAATAATGCTGAACACTTATAATAAGGAGAAATCAAACGGTGTAACAAAAACAATGAACTTATCAGAGACTTTGGATCTTTGCAAACAGAGAAAGGCAAAATGACTAGCTCCCAGCTCAGGACAGGGAGGCTGATCACTCCCTTCTCAAGAGTCTGATTTCTGCATAAAGGTCATAGAAATGTTTTGACAACTGTGTACACAGCCAGCTTTTAGTTAATTAGCTCTTAGCCATTGAGAAGGATGGACTTATGGCATGATTCATCTAAAAATATGTATAATGCAAAATCTCTTTCATTTGCTTGTAGAGTAGACTTTATATTTCACACAATGTATTATTTCCTTCAGACAGATAATTTGGAAACTGGATTACTTTTGCTCCATAAAATTCCTAATTGTTGGAGTTGAAAGAACCTTAAGGAATTTCTAGTTCAGTTCTTTCATTTCACAATATGAGGAAGCCAAAGCCCAGAGGGATTACGTGAGGGCCCAAAGTCAACTAGCAGGTTAGTGTCACAGCTGAGGCCTGAAGCATCTGACTTCCAAAAGCTGCTGACTTCCAGTCTAGGGCTCATTCCATTATGTGAAGTTGCACCATTCAGTCAGTACATCAGCATCAGCCTAAAATGTGCCCTTGGAAGAGCACCAGCTCTGGAGATGGGGGTCATGGGTCCCACCAACTCCTGCCCTTCTCACCTGTGTGACCCTGGACAAATTACTTAACCTCTCTGAGTTAAGGTCCACAGTAAAAGAGAGACAAAAGTAGTACCAATCACAAAAGATTGTCATGAGGATCAAAAGAGATGATGTAGGTGAAAACCATGTTGCAAGGCTGTAATATAATGGACAAATATTACTACTTGGTGATATTATTTTTCAGTTCTAAGAAACTGTCATCTCTTGATTAAAATGGAGCAAATTTGAGATCTTTAGTGTGAACTATTTAACAAACATTTATCTGAACAATATGCTAGTGAATGTGGGGGATGCTAGCTTGTGGTGAAACTCCCAGGAAGAGGCCATCCACAGTCAGCAGCAATGCTTAGCAAACTCAGATTGGAAAATGGTACAAGGGCTGCTTGACAATCCAAAGCAGAAAGCTTAGAAATTCCAGCATGTGGCGCACTGTTGAGTGGAATAAGACTCCTGAGAGGTCCCTGACAATAAGACTACATTTGCAGCTGGGCACGGTGGCTTACGCCTGTAATCCCAGCACTTTGGGAGGCCTAAGAGGGCGGATCACTTGAGGTCAGGAGTTTGAGACCAGCCTGGCCAACATGGCGAAACCCATCTCTACTAAACATGCAAAAATTAGCCGGGCATGGTGGCACATGCCTGTAGTCCCAGTTGCCCAGGAGGCTGAGGCAGGAGAATCGCTTGAACCTGGGCGGCAGACATTGCAGTGAGCCAAGATCGTGCCACTGCACTCCAGCCTGGGCGACAAAGTGAGACTCTGTCTCAGGAAAAAAAAAAAAAAAGATTACATTTGCAAATATTTCTTCCCTTCTGGCCAAGAGACTGTTAATATGTGTAACTCTCACCCCTAGCTCTGGACACCTAGTTTTGTATACAAACTGCAAACTACGGGTTTAAGTAAAGCATATAGGTCTTGAGATTTCAAGCATGGGAAACACTAACAGAATTACACTGCATATCTTGGATGTGTAGTCATATTTTCTGTGGTATCTCCTTGCTTTGTTCTCTGCAGAGTGAATGAAGAGTATGCACGTGTATAATTAGAGTCCGTATATGTAAACTGATCAGCCAGCAAATAGGTCAGAATGGTGAGATCTATCCAAAATAAGAATAAAAATAAAAACAACAACCAAACACACAAAAGGTAGTTCTTGACTCAAAGATAATAAAATTAACATAATATGCTGTTTATCAAAAAATGCACTGAAAATGGACATGAGTAACTTAAAACACATTAAAATGGAATAAGACTTTTTGTTAACCTATTTTGTAGCCCAAGAAAGGCATTCTATCAAACTGATTGATATCATTATTTTTAAAATGCTCTTAAGAGATTTTTCTGTATTTCGACTGATCCTAGGCTAGCTAATATATGGCATCGTTTCTGCAGCTTTGCCTTCACGTGGTGAGAACATTAGCATATTTTATATCGTCTTTTAAATGTGCTGCTGCTAATTATATAATTTCTCATGTTTGGTTTGTAGCCAGCATCAAAACTCTGAATTATTTAGAGTGATGACAATTCTCTTGCCTGACTACCTCTTCTCTAGCAGTTTGCAAAGGAGTCTTGACCCAAGATGCCCGTAGCAGGTAGACTTGGAAGAATTCTAACTAGCTTCTCCTTTGGCCGCTCCTCTGCCCAATAGGTTTCCAAAGACGACAGGCCAATCTGTAGTAGATGTCTATAAGTTTGCAAATGTATCAGAGCCAGGAAACTTTTATTCTAAAATCATTTGCTCACCTTTGAATTTTGGTGGTGAATTATTAGCCAGTAAGTGCTCTTGTAGTGGATGGTACTAAAAAGAGCTTGTCTAAATTTAAGGTCAGCAGCCTTTTTCTGGAAAAAGCAAGATAGTGCATATTTTAGCCTTCTTGGGCCATATGGTCTCTGTTGCAACTACTCAGCTCTACTATTCTCATGTGAAAGCAGCCATAGATGATAGGTAAACATGTACAGGTAGCTGTATTCTTATAAAGCATTATTCATAAGAACAGGCAATGGGCCAGGTTTGGCTTTCAGGCTATAGTTAGCTGAACTTTGGTCAGAGCCACTGATTTTTAGTTTTCTGGTGAATATGCTCCTTCATGGGAATTTAATGAGAGGTATGGACCCTACTCCAGAAAAATAAATATTCATGTGCAGAATACTAAGAATACTAAGCCTTCCATTTCTTTTTTATTTTTATTTTTTAAGACAGGGTCTTGCTCTGTCACCCAGGCTGGAGTGCAGTGGCACGATCTCGGCTCACTACAACCTTCACCTTGGGTTCAAGCGATTCTCCTGCCTCAGCCTCCTGAGTAGCTGGGACTACAGGTGTGTGCCACCATGCCCAGCTAATTGTTTTGTATTTTTAGTAGAGACAGGGTTTCACCATGTTGGACAGACTGATCTCAAACCCCTGACTTCAGGCGATCTGCCTGCCTCAGCCTCCGAAAGTGCTGGGATTACAGGCATGATCCACTGTGCCCGGCCTAAGCCTTCCATTTCAAGACTCATCCATGGATCCAGGACTTGGTCTTGACGGTGACAAGAAAGCCTTTGTAACGGTCTGCTGGATGCTCTGAGACAGCCATTTAAAAAAAAAAAAGATTTGCCCCCACTTATCTCACATCAGAAACTCTGGACTTTAATCAGACTCAGCAGTTCATAGAGACATAGAGGTCTTGAACCAGATGAGGCAGCTGCACACATCAAGGGGCTTTAAAGGGAAGAAGTCATGGACAGGTTGGAAAGGTCAGGGAGAAGTATACTTTGGGGAGCACTGGGGAGAGATGGGAGTCAAAGGCAGTTCGGCTGTGATACTTGAGTAAATGGTGGGTGACGTGGTAATTGGAAACACAGCTGAAATACCCAGATCCTTATGATCCCTCGAACTATTCTGGTCCTTAATGACCTCTCCTTTTGCTAGAAGGGGGTCTAGTTTAGCATGTGCATTTGTTCTGCTTCTTACTGTCTTGTGAGCATCAAAATTCCCTGAATTTATTGTCCTATTCTTGACAGCAAGGGCTAACAGACCCCCAGGGTTTCTTCTGTCCTTCAAGGGCATTCTTCACAAAATTGTCACCCTTCTCGGACAGGTGTGTGGCTTATGTCTAACACGTTAATGCTTAGTAATACAGGAACTGCAGCATATAGAAATAGATAGCAGGGAAATATTTTTCCCTGAGTGGTATTCTGAAATACAACTCAGGGCCATACTTTCTGCTCACAGACAGTGACTCACTGGTGAATCAGGGGCTGAGCCAGCGTGTGTCCTTTATGTTTAGTGCCACCAGATTATCATTTGTCCCATAGCCTCTCTACCCCCCACTGCTCCCTCCTAAGCCTCCTGACACCCACAGAATTGGTTGTCTCCTCCTTAACAATGTTCCCTAGGCCCAGGGCAGCCCACCAAGCCCTGGCCGTGTTCCCAGTGACTCAGATGCCCTTCAACAGCTCAGGGGAAAGGTGGTAAAAAAAAAAAAGAAAGTGAAGCTAGTGGCATCTTGGACTGTGCTCCAGAGCCGGGTTGGAAGTCAAGCTCTCCTCCAAACCAAACTGGAGTGTGACCTTGTCAAGCAGGTCCCTTAGCATCTCACCTGAGTCCTGAGACCCCCGTCTCTAAAGTCCCCATCAGTTGCTTTCATCTGGTCACAATCCTTTATTTCAGTGCACAACCCTGGGAGATCCACCCAGGGGTCTTTCCCGCTGGAGTTCCTGCATTCTTTTCCTGGGTAGTTTACTGGCTGGTCGACCTGTTCACTTTACTTAAGTTCCCAATTGATTCATAGCAGTTACTCCAATTCTTTAAAGTTCTGATAGAGAAGCCAAGTCACTTTCAGGAACAAGGAAAGGTAACCAGGATTGGATCTTCATTTCTGGTGCATCGTTCCCATGAGGCAGCTCTCCGGGCCTCTGCTTCTTCAGATCTAAAGCAGATGGGTGCGCTGAGACAGGCTTCCAGGTGCCCAGGGATGGCAGGGGGCTTAGAAGTCAAACATCTGTTTTAACACCACTTGGGCCACTTGAAGCTGTGTGACTTTGGGAAAGTGTCCAATAGCTTGGAGCCCATTTCTTCACAGGTTTATTGTGAGGATTGAAAACAATAACACATGCCAGGTGTGTGGCTTAGTCTTCAACCAGGATTTATGCCCAATACATAACAATGCCTTTCTATCTCCATCTCCATCCGTTCCCTTCCAGTGCTAAAATTCCAAGCTGTATTAATAATAATGGCAAGTGTGAGGTTTTGTGTTCTTGCAGTTTGCGCAGTGCTTTTTTTGTGTGCTATTGCCTACAATCCTCACAATATTCTTGTTCAGAGATAGAGGTTTTCAGTTACATTGTACAGTCAAAGAAATAGATTCAGAACCTGGGTCTGACTGTCCGCCAATGCTCTATGCTGTATCTAATAGGCAATCAAGACATATTTATTGATCATCTGCTGCATGCGTAGCTCTGAACTTGATGCCGTGTGCAGGGCATGGGTGATATGTGGTCCTTCTCCCCAAGGAATTCATGAGTAATGGGGAAAGGGAAGGTAATAGGTAGAAGATAATTGAAACAAGCTACCATCACCCCCAAGAAATGTTTATTGGGTACAAACTGTGTGCAAAGCTGTGAAATTATAGTACCTATTATTTACATTAAAAAATTTGATTTATTTTTTCAGTCACTTTCTCATAATGATCTTAAGAGAAATAGCAGAGATTGAAAGTGAGCCCTGATTCAACTCAAGTGATGATTTTAAAAAGTAAACAAAAACCGCCCTACCTATATGTTTCAAGGTCAGGACAGGGTTTCTAGCCTTGGTAAGGTTTTTGTTGGATAGAACTTATCTTCATCAATGAGGCTGTATGGAGCACTTAAGGTAGTAGGCACTATGTTTCTCTATTTATTTTTACTTCTACCCAACATATGAAATTCCAAAACTCAGTTTCTAGTCCAGACATCCAGCTGTGTCATTGACACCATTTCCTCCCAGCTCCTGGGGTGGCAACTTTATCTCTGCCCTGTCACCTGGTCTTTTCCCCACCTTACCTGCCCCTTCCCACAGTCATCAGCCCCATAATATATCTTGCCAAATGTCACCAGGTCCTTCTTTCATTCTCTGAGTTACTGTGGGAGATTCTTTAGCGCTCTTCATTCCTCTCTTCATTCAGTCAACAAATTTTCATTTGTTTCACTTTGGCCACACACCTTTCTGGGTGCTGCTGCCATTTACATAAGACAGACATGGTCTTTGCCTCATGGAACCTTAAGGTCTCATGTGAGATAGGGACAGGACCTTAAAGGAATAATTATAGGAATGATGTGTACTATGAAAAAGGACATACAAGGGGCTGTGAGACCATGCATTGTGGATCTAAGGTTTGGGTTTTAGGAAAGTCTTCTCTGAGGAAGTCGAATTTCTGCTGAAACCTGAAGGAGTGATAGATGTTAGCTGGTGCCCGAGGTGGGGTCTGATGCTCCATGGGTATGTAGGGGTGAGAGTGGGGTGTTGTGGCCGGGCAGGTGGGATGAGAGAAGAATGCTTTCAGGTACAGGGAACACACACTTGAATACCAGCCAGCTGAGGAACTGGGAAATCCAGGTGGCTAGAGTAGAAGGAGGGAGAGAAAAAGTGGTAGGAAACAGGGTTGGGGCCAGGCTGTGGTAAACCTTCTAAAGCCATTTTACGGATTTGGGATATCCTGGGAATAATAGGATGTGGTCCCAGCAGGGTATGACGTGATCTGACTTGCATTTTCAAAAGATCTCTTTGAAAGCAGCTGAGAATGGATTGGAGGGACCCAGGGGTAAATGCAGGGCAACCAGTTAGGTCGCTTCAAAATAGTCATTGTGGAGGTGTTGGTGGCCTGCTGTGGGCTGTTGGCCGTGGGGGGCAGGGAGCAGTGGACAGAATTAGGAAACATGGAATGGCAGGAATGAGTGGCCACGGTGACTTACTGAATGCAGGGAGTGAGGAGAGGAATAGGTGAGGGACCACGGGCAATTTCCTTGCTGGGGGCCACATCGGGTGGTGACAGGGAGAAGCAATTGGGAAGGAGATACACGCAGCTGTGTATGTATGGGGGATGCTGCTTAGAGATGACCCCAGAGCAGGTGTCCCTCCTCCCGGCACCTCCCACCCCGGTTCCTTCTGCACCCAGCCTGCAGATTCATGGCCCTCAATCTCCGGTTTAGAAAACTTTCGATGAACCAGTGTGTGTAGGACCAAGAACACCCTTCTTGTCCTCCATGGTCTCAACCTTGTCTCTCATTGGCCCCATCCGTAACACTCATTGGTTTCCTCCACAACCCCCGTGCATTTTCCTTCACTTGGCTCATATTCCCTTCAATTCCTGCTTCAAGCCTAACTCCTTGAGAATACACTTACCAACTGCCCTAGCCTGTTCAAGCTTTTGGTTTTGCTATTCATTTTACACTTGAAACACACTACTGAGCTTTCTCGTTATCTTCTCCCTTTATAGACTCTGCCTCACTGATTTACTTAGAAAACCCAATTAGGATATTGTCATACACTTCACAGCTAGTCCCTTCCGTGATGCTATGTGCATTGCTATGCTCCATACGTGTCAAGGCAAGGACACGTGAAGGGCAGGTCTGTGGAGTGGAAGGTGAGACAGATGAATGAGGCTGGAAAGTCTCATGGAAGGTTGAAGATGTGGACATAGTTGCAGATACGAGTAGAGAGATGTCCATATACATTTATATCAGGAGAAGGAATTTATCATTTATTTGGTATATAATAGTGGAGGAAGAACATTGTGAAGTTTGAAACACGAGGATCACACATGGAATGTAGTAATTTAAGAAAATTAATCTGGCAGTGGCATAAAGGTGGACTTGAAGGGGAAAATTGCTACTGATTAATGTATTTATTTTATTTGCCGGCTGTGTCGTAAGCACTTTACATGGGTGAATTTATATAATTCTCACAACCCCCCCACCCCCCCGCAAGAGTGCTACTATCATTATCCTCATTGTACAGAGGAAGAAGATGAGGTCTAAAGAAGGTAAACATTTTTTTCTTTTTTTTAATGAAAAAAAATTTTTTTTGAGAGGGGTGGGGTCTCACTGTGTTGCCCAGGCTAATCTCAAACTCCTGGCCTCAAGCAATCCTCCTGCCTCAGCCTCCTAAAGTGCTGGAATTATAGGCATGAGCCACCGCTCCCAGCCAAGGTAAACTTTTAATTGTTGAAACCAGGTTGCAAATCCAGCCTGCCTAACCATTATGCTGTAGTGTCTTCTGGAAAAAGAGAGGAGTCTGGGAGAGGGCTATGGTCAAACTGTTCAGCGTTCTCTGGGGTTCCAAGAAGATCCTCAGAGTTTGCAGCCAAAATAAAAACCCTCTCCTTCAGCCGGAGCAGCCCCACTGGCATCTGTGTAAACATTTGGGCTCTGCATAAGATTTAAGAAACAATCCCCTGTTTAAAATGTTTGAAACCACTGGATGCAAGGGTTTGTGTGGTTTGGTTTGTTGAAGATGCTATAGAATTCACACCACACACTGCCTTAGACGCTACAAGCCTGAAGAAGTCTTCCTGAGGCAAAGGAATAGATATTTGTTCTTCCCAAAGATGGGAATCTGCTAGCTCCAGAATGAAAAAAAAATGCACTTTTAAAAAACTTAATTAGTACCAAAACTTGTTTTAAAACTCTTGGGGGCCGAGTGTGGTGGCTGATGGCTGTAATCCCAGCACTTTGGGAGGCTGAGGCAGGCGGATCACTTGAGGTCAGGAGTTCGAGACCAGCCTGGCCAACCTTGTCTCTACTAAAAGTACAAAAGTTAGCCAAGCATGGTGGCGCATGCCTGTAACCACAGCTACCCAGAAGGCTGAGGCAGGAGAATTGCTTGAACTGGGAAGCAGAGGTTGCAGTGAGCTGGGAGATTGCACCACTGCACTCCAGCCTGGGCAGCAGACAGAGTGAGTGAGACTCCGTTTCCAAAAAAAAAAAAAAAAACACACTCAGAAGGAAGATTTCTTTTTGGCCTTTAACAAATTATAAGACAATTAATTAAATAGGAGCACTTGTGTTGTTATAGACATTCCCCATTTTCAGGATGCTTTCATAAATCCCTTTATTTGAGCTGTGCAACTATCTGTGAGGTAGATACGGCCAGTCATGATTAGTGCCCATTTTTCTTTGCCAATAATGGGCTTAGGAAGGCTAGGCGATTTCCTGGGGGTTCACTGCTCTGTCTTCAGTACCTCGCACCCAGTAGTTGCTCAACAAATGTTTGTTGAACAGTTGAATGATCGAACAAAGACCATAAGAGTTGGAATCTAAGCCCTTTAAAATCAGGGCTGGTTTTATGATCCCACTCTGTCTTCAATGTGGTGAGAGAGTCCAGTCCATGGAAGCTACTATGCAATAAGTGTCATATGACATTGGAATCAGTTAACTTTTAGTGATTAATGTTTGGAACACTCTCCATGGTCACATAAGCTGAAACACTCTACCCCACATAACTCCCCACTCCTCCACGTTTCGGGTTTGAATCCACACAACCTCACAGATGATCTGTCTGCCGGGTATTACCTATTGCAACCACCTCTGACAAACATATGTTCCTTTTATTACAAACTTTGATGCAATTTATAGAACATATTGTATCGGGATTTGGTGGGAAGAGTACATTTATTCCAAATTTACTCTCTAATGCATTTTAGAAAGAAAAATAAAAATTTGTGTATGCCTTATGAGTCATATGAGGATACGTAGAAAGGATTCATTCTTTTTGCTTGTCACTTGAAATGATCACATCTTAGTATGCCTGTTAAGAATAAGCATTGCCATTTGACTGTAACAGTGTTTAGAGAAGAGAATAGCAGATTAATGGTGGGGTTTGGACATGGTCTCTATTTGTTTTCTCTTCTGTCTGGCTTTCAGGGGCATGAGCTGGCGGCTCTCTGCCCTTGCCCGTGGCTGCCTGAACCTCTGGAATTCTCCCCAAATTCTGAAATGTGTGTCAGGCCAATTGTGCAGTCTCCAGCCCAGCTAGAGAACGCCTCTCCACTGGAGGCCTCCCCGCCCTGCCCCCCGCCACAGGAAATGCTCTGCTGAGCTCTGCCTAAAATATTCCCAGGGTAACTAATGATTTTGAAAATGCCACGTTACCATGGTACTTGAGGCATGGTAGGTGGGGGGCATGCAGCTGGGTTTCGAATTCAGTAGGTATCCAGTTTATAAGCTTTCATTTTCTTTTTGTTTTCAGTTGTTGTTTAATTTATAACATGCCGAGAAGAAAACTGGATCACACAAGGCTTGGCATGCTTTCTCTTTTTCTTTTCTTCCTCCTTGAGGCTTTGTCCTCCACCTCCTAAGTCCCTGCCAGGTGTTCTGTGTTTAGAGGTAGGACGGGATTGCTTGAAAGCTCCCACCTTTGGAGAGCCGGGTGTGCCACAACCTGGCAACCCCCGAAGCATCACTGACCACAGGAAATGCTATTTGAGGGCCCGACAATAGCAAACAAAACCGAACAAAACCCTGCCTCCATCCAGCGTTATTGTTTTAGTTATATGCAATTATAGGGGAGGAAAAATACCTCTTCCTCTCCAATTGTAGATTCATGGCTGAGGCCCCTATAACAAGAGACAGATTAACAAGAGAAAAACATACAAATTTATTTAATATGAGCTTCGTGTGACACGAGAGTTTTCATAAGGAAACAACGACCCATAGAAACAGTTCAACCTGTGTGTTTTTGTGCTAGATTTGATGAAGGGTGGACAGTCATGGAGAAATGTGATAGGGCAAAAAGGGTATGAGTTAAGTGTCATGAACTGGGGGGTTAAGCAAGGCCTGTTTGTTCAGATTCTTCTCTGTGGCCCTGTGTCTTCAGCGATAATGATGCTATTTTCCTCGAGGTAGAAGAAGGCCACCTGTTGAGTGAGGGAGGGTCTTATGATCAGCTTCACTGGAAGGTCAGAAAATCCTTTCTAGGTTTTATGACCTGCTGCAGGAGAGAAGGGAGGTGGAAGGTCTGAGAGGCCTTCCTGCACATGCTGCCTCCTGAATGCCCTCACCTTCCAAGGTGCCGTAGTTAGGACAGCATGTCCTGAACCTTGTCACAATCCCATGAGCATTTTTTAAAGATAGGGATAGATAGATATTCACCATCACATATGTAATATGTATGCATGCATGTGTATCTGTGTGTGTGTATTAAAGTTTCATGTTTTGACCTGCTAAGGAAAGGGTATCTACAGAGACATAGAGGGAGAGAAAAAGGAAGGAGGAGAAAGAGAGAGGGAAATATAAGTGAAGAAAAGAAAGAGATAAAAAGAACAAAGGAGAAGGGCAGGATCAGAAGATGGAAGTTTAAAATGTGTTGCGCCTCTGCTGTATGTTCCTGTTGAAGGCAGGGCTGGGCTTCTTACATGGGGGAAGGAAACCAAGGCTAATTGTAAGGAAGATGGAGAGGGCAGAGGAGGGAGAGGCAGAGGGGGAAGAGAGCTGCCTAGAGGGTCAGAGGGACTGCCTGGAAGTCCCAGATGGTGCTAATCCACTTTGTGTTTCTATAATGTACAGGGCTCTGGGTTGCAGTTACTGGTCACCAGATCCCTTTCAAATGCTCATTTGCTATTTCTGTCCTGAATATAGCTGATCAGTTTCTGTGTTCAAATGCAAACGTTATTTATGGTGCTTATTTGTTATGGGTGTTTTGGTTTCTTTTGCCCATGGGATTCTTAGGGTTTTGCTCCCTGGCATCTTGGAAATCTAGTGTAAGCCTATGCTAACAGGGACCTGAAGATCCTTTTTGCAGAAGGTAAGTGCCTCATCACGCAGAGCCTGAAGGTTAGATTTAGGGTAAGGATTGCATTGACCTGAGACTCACCTTTGACTCCCATCCTTAAAATCAAATTTCCTTGATTTGTTTAATTGTTTTAAAATACTTACTCTTATTCTTCTTTGCAAACGGATGTGTCAGGCTTGAACATTTGAATGAGCTTTGAAAGAAAGCTGCCTCACTTTTTATTTGGTGGCAGCCTACACAGGTTAGTGATCAATCAAAACATAAGTAAAGTAGTAACTCAACATTTCTTTGAATGTTTAGATTACTTACCTTTGCATAGCTCTTAGCCTTTTAAAAAAAATTATTATTCAGACTGAAAATTCAGCTCTGTGTTTTTGTTGGTTTGTTTGTTTTTGAGGTGGGGTCTCAGGGTCACCCAGGCTGGAGTGCAGTGGTGTGATCACAGCTCACTGCAGCCTCAACTTCTGGACTCAAGTTATTCTCCCACCTCAGCCTCCTTAGTAGCTGGGACTACAGGAACCCACCACTACACATAGCTAGTTTTTTGTTTTTCTTTTAGTAGAGAAGAGATCTTGCTATGTTGCCCAGGCTGGTCTCCAACTCCTGAGCTCAAGCGATCCTCCTGCCTTGGTCTCCCAAAGTGCTGGGATTACAGGTGTGTGCCACCACACCCAGCCTAAAACTCATCTTTGAATAGGTAACTCCAGGAGTCAAAAGTAGGGAATATAGTTTGGGGATACACAGCCTTTGCGGCTGGTAACATCAGGGTGCTATGATTTAAAGGGACCCCCTCCGTGTTACAACACTTACTACCCAAGTTATTCTCTTCAGCATGGTTCATAGTATTGACCTAGAACTATTGAGTTTCTGTGACTCTGAAAAAACATAATTTTTTATTTCTTCAATCTGCAAAATAGTGATATGTTCTAAGGATTAACAAATTGCTTCAAATGCCTGCTATGATAGCATTATACTTGAGCTTAACTTATTTTTATGTTTCAGAATTCTCTGAATAGCAGTTAACTTTCTCATGGGAAATTTGGATACATTTAGTAGATTTCAAAGCATAATGCAACAATAAATGTTTCTTTTCAGTATTTATTTGCCCCTTATTGCCTCATAAAACAATTCCTAAAATCATTGGCTCTCTCCAGTGATCTTTTACTCATCTTCAAGTCATCTCCTTCCTCTTTATATTTGATTGAATTATGAGATTTTACTGTTTGCCAGGCCTTCAACTAATTGCCAGGGATAGAATGATGAATAAGCTATGATCTTTGCCTTCAAAAAAACTTCTGTCTTTTCGTGAGATGGTTCATAAACAGCCCAGAATTTGGCAGCCTCAGAAAATATTAGGTTAGTTTCTTTTTTTTTTTTTTTGAGATAGAATCTCACTCTGCCACCCAGGCTGGAGTGCAGTGGTGTGATCACAGCTCACTGCAGCCCTGACCTCTCCAGCTCAAGGGATCATTGTGTCTCAGCCTCCTGAGCAGATGGGACTATAGGCTGTGCCACCATACCTGGCTAATTTTTGTATTTTTAGTAGAGACAGGGTCTTGCCATTTTGCCCAGGCTTGTCTTGAACTCCTGGCCTCAAGTGATCTACCCACGTTGGCCTTCCAAAGTGCTGAGATTCCAGGCATGAGCCACTGTGTCTGGCCTTGGTTAGTTTCAGTTCTCTTTTCAATTAGCAATAATTTTGCTTATATATATATATATATATATACATATATATATATATATATGTATATATATATATATATTTTTTTTTTTTCTGAGATAAGGTCTCCCCTCTGTTGCCCAGGCTGGAGTGCAGTGGCACAATCTCAGCTCACTGCAGCCTCGACCTCTCCAGCTCAAGTGATCCTCCCACCTCAGCCTCTCGAGTAGCTGGGACTATAGGCACATGCCACCATACACAGCTAATATTTGTATTTTTTGTAGAGACGCGTGTCTCACTATGTTGCCCAGGGTGGTCTCTAACTTCTGGGCTCAAGAGATCCTCCTGTTTCGGCCTCCCAAAGTGCTGGGACTACAGGCATGAGCCATCGTGCCCAGCCCTAATATATCTTTTTATTTCCTAAAAATTCGTACCTCTTTCCTATACTAACTGACATAACCAAATTGGAATTAAAATAATGCAGGCTAGAATTTAAGAAAAAATAATCATCTTTCCTGGACAGTGCCCTGCTCAGGTAGACAGCACTTGGTTACCTACCCTTTGCAAGTTTAGTTTTAAACTGCCAAGTTCTAGTCATTGAATTTTTTTTATATATTATGCTTCCGTAACTTCTGTTTTGTCTAGAAGCATGAGCCTTAGTTTCTTTTCAACATTTCTGAAACACTTACACACCCAGTATCAGACTTTTTGCTGGGAAAAAACACTTAGGAACAATGAATAACAAGAATTCGGTTTATTCTGTTTCTGCCTAACATTGTGAGGAGTCTGCATAGTCAGAGTTTTAAGAAAAAAAATGTAATTTAGTGGGAAAATTAAAACTTTGATAGCCAAGGGTATATGCAGATAGCCTTTTCTGTGTATTTCCATTAAAAATAATTTATTTGAGAAAGTGGTTAGGAAGAAAGACATGTACCAAAAAATTTAAATTCTTTACCAAAGGCATAATGGAAGTGCCAAATGTTAAAGAATTGCATTTGAGCATTTGTGGTTGGACATGGTTTCAGGAAAGTATTCATTAAGAAGTGAAGTCAAGAGCACTGGGTATGAATATTGTATGCTAAGGGGAAAATGTATTTTAGGTAGGTGCTGGTGAAAGAATATACCATTATCTTCCTTATCTTTTAAGTATCCAGGCCAGTATCATGGGACCCTGCATTAATAGTGCTTTGGGACTGCACTTGGGTAATATTTTCAGCTGAAACTGAACTAACACAAGGCCCTTTGGGCAGACGATCATCAAAGTCACGTGGCTGTATTCCAGGACCGTTTCACATCAAGCTGCATGGTACAAGACACTGCCCTGGAATAAGTCACATATCTTTGAAGCTCCTTGTGATGCAGGAATTTTCTCACCCCTTGTCAGACTTGCGACGGAGGTGCCCCATTTCTTTGGCCCACCATGCTCAACCTTTTGCAGGAAGGAGCATATGAGTGAGCAAGGGCAGGATCCGGCCAGCTACTCTGGGCGCCAGCAGGAGCAGACTCTCTGTAGGCCCCTCAGCCAGACCAGGTGGGGCTCTCTGCAACCCCCAAGACCCCAGAGGGTGTGTTACAATGCTATCTTAGCTCTGCTGTCCGTGGACAGTGGTGTGTTATCAGCTCAGTGGACTTGCCTCATAGTGTGGGACAGCTGCCCTCTGCCAGTGAGGGCAAAGGGCCACTGTGATAGCTTTTTTTGGGTACTTGCACTCAGTGGGTCCTGAACTCTTGTCTGGTGTCCAAGAAGAATTAGTTACACAGATACTTGAAGGATGGTGGAGGTAGAAAATTTTACTTAGTGATAGAAGTTGCTCTCAGCAGAGAGGGGAGCTGGAGAGGGGTCAGGTTGGGCAGGTAATCTTCCCTGAAGTCCGGTTGTCACTAGCTGGCTCTTCCCTGAAGTTAAGCCGTCTGTCCTCCAAAGTCTAGCTGTCCCACTGAAGTCGAATCATCTTTCTCCAGTCAAGCTGCTTCTCTCTTCTGCCAGCTGAGTCTGGGGTCTTTATAGGCACAGGACTGGGGGTGGGGTGGGCCATAGGTAGTTTTGAAAAAGACAACATTCGATTGGTAAAAAGACATTATTCAGAAAGAACTAATTGGGAGACAGTGGGCAAACAGGAATAGAAGTTCTCATTTTGTGCTGTGGCTTTTTGGCTCAAACATGGGATTTTGCCACGGACCTACCCCTGTCTGCCTACAATTTCTGTGCCTCCTGCCGCTATCACTTGGAGTTGGCCAAGCATTGCCTGAGAGCCCCCTGCATGCCAAACTCTATGCTGAGGACCATGAGGAGGATGCAAAGAATTCAAGGAAGGATTCAGAAAGGGAGGGCCGTGATTGATTGATTGAGCTTTACTGTGGGGCAGGCGCTGTATGAAACATATTCCATTTAATTCTCACAGCCACCCCGAAGGAAGGTACAGTGGTCCTTATTTGCTCACTTGGGAAGCATGGTTGGAGAGATGAGCTACCTCTCCAGGGTCCCACAGCTATGATGGAAGGGCCAAGGGTCCTGGCCACAGGACTCCTAGTATGTGCCCTTACTATGACACCCTGCTCTCTAAACAACAAAACAATCAGCCCACTGCTGGGGCCAGATGCTGTTTTATCCAATCAGCTCTCTGGATCTCTGTATAAGTTAAAGGGTGTATATGGCCTCTTTGCGATGACTGACCACTAAAGTCCTAAACCATTTACTGTCTGGTTATCCTCAGTAACCAGAACAAGAAATTGTTCAGATCCACATCCTAGTAGCAGCTGTACTTCAAAACACAAAGGGCAGCTTAAATTGAGAAATTGTAATGTTCTGGGTGGCAGAGGCAATACTAGTCCTAGAGGTCCGCCTCCTCCTATTTAAGGCATAAATACTACAACAGCAGAGACATCCTAGGGTCTAGACCAGAGTGATGTGGCCCCACATGTCTAGCTGAGCTCCAGCACTAAAGGAAACCTCACAGAAATCCCACCACCTTCTCTCTAACAGGAGATCTGCCACTGTGGCCCCGTGGGTGTCCTGTGGTGGTGGGCAGACAAATATCCCTGGAGAGGTGGGGCCATTGCTTGGAGCAGCAATGGTACAAGTGTTTATCTCTGAAAAGGTCGTTGTTGGTGGTAAAATTTAACAGTTCTTTTTTTTTTTTTTTTGACGGAATCTCGCTCTGTCACCCAGGCTGGAGTGCAGTGGCGCAACCTCTGCTCACTGCAAGCTCTGCCTCCGGGGTTCACGCCATTCTCCTGCCTCAACCTCCCAAGTAGCTTGGACTACAGGCATCCACCATCATGCCTGGCTAGTTTTTTTTTTTTTTTTTGTATTTTTAGTAGAGATGGGGTTTCACCGTGTTAGCCAGGATGGTCTCGATCTCCTGATCTTGTGATCCGCCCACCTCTGCCTCCCAAAGTGCTGGGATTACAGGCATCAGCCGCCATGCCTGGCCAAAATTTAACAGTTATTTAGACCTGTGTTCTAAGATTTGAAACCACTGATGACTTTTCACGAAGTAAGATTTGAAAAAATCTCTCTAGTGTCACATCCCTCAATCGGCCAATTATGCATCATTGTCTTTTGCTAGTTTCTAAAATGATTAATTGCACAAAGAATAGAGATAGCAGGTTTGTGTGAAGGATGCTCTTCTTTTTTGCCACCTCAAATTCCCCGCTTCCTGCCTCCAGCAATTTCTGGTCTGTTCTCTGGATGTCAGTTCATTACCACATTAGTGTGTTCATTGTATGTTCTGTTGCCAGGAAGGTGCTGCCACAGCGGCCCCTGGGAAGTCAGGATGCTGCTAGTTTTCACTGTAGGTCTATCAAAGAGAAACCTGTGGGATTGGGAAGGGATTTGGTCATCCCAGACATGTTCGGTTTTAAGGAACTCTATGTTCTAAGAAATATGTTGACATCAACCTTTTTATTTCCAGCATAGGAAGGAAAAGGAAAAAAGGGAAAGAAATATTCAAATTATCTTGGAGCTGTCCTCTCATTTCTATTAGGCACAAAATCCATAGTTCCTTTTCAAATGGTTATTGACCCAACAAAAGATTGGATGTACTGGGGCTGAGTATTATCTCTGTTATTATCACATTCTTTTGTCTTCTATGCACTTTCATTCATCTCCTGTAGAGGCAGATCACAGATTGATTTTAAAAGATGTAACAATGTCTCCTCAATCGCTGCAGAGTACATTTTGTCATTGTGTTGACTGTTCGTGCATTTCAGTTTATTATTGCTGGTTTCAAAAGCATGTAATTTTTATCGGAAAGTAGGTTACAATTAAGGGAGTTGCAGGTAGTGATCCTGGGTCCTGTTTTGTCTCCTTGATAAATTCAACTTAGAGGAGCTGGAGAACACGTGTCTGGATTTGTAGCTCTCCTGTTCCCTCCTGAGTAACCTCAGGATATAGCACCTGGGGGAAGACAAAGGAGAAGCAAAGCGGATGGATGCGGGTGTCTTTAGCAAAATGACAGGTGAGGCAGGGCGAGAACAGAGGACGGAGGTGCTGGCTGCTAGAAGCTTTTCAAGATGGAGCTGTAGAAGCAAGCCTGTTTTTGGTGAGAGAGGCAAAGTCTCATGCCCAGGGGAGATTTTTGTTTTCTTTTAAGGAGTAATAAAGTCTAGGGTGGTCTGTGTCATTTCACCCTTTCTAGTAAAAAGGATTAGCTCTCGTTGAAAATGCCTCCTTGTCCCCTGAATCTGTCAATACTCCACCTTTGTCCTCACCCTTGACTTTAAAAACCCTGCCACATGACTTCCTATGAATGCATAAATTAAGCACTTTTTTTCCTTTGTAGAAAAAAAAAATACACACACACACACACACACACACACACACACACACACACACATATGCACACAGCAATTAATAACCAGAGTTTATTGAGGGTTTACAGTGTTCCGGCCATTTCTCATTGCATACAAAATCTCATAAATCCCACCCAAAAACCATGAGGTGAGTATCATCCCACCTAGCAGATGAGGAAGTCTTAGAGAGGCAAAGTAAGTTGCTTAATGTCATACAGTGGAGAGCCAGGATTGCCAGCAAGCCTGCCTGGCACCAGGACCCATATTTTTAATGTTTGCGTGTGTCACATGTACAGCGTCTTCCATTTTATGTGCAAATATTCATTTCTCACACCCTCTTTGGAGAAAGACAAGGTGGAGAGGAGGAAGTTGTAAGTGTTGAAATGGGAGCACTCACACATGTGAGTATCCAGGAGCCCCCAGGAGGCTCAGCAGCCATGTGGCCCCACCTACAGCCACCTCATTTCTTTTTCTGCAACATAAAATGCCGCTCCCGGGTGCTATTGAAAATACATGTTGTGTGGTGCTGACACAGTCCAAACATACCTACTGAGCGTGCTCAGATCTAATTAGGAGCCTGTCTCTGCTTCCTGAGATATGAAAGCGTCTGGAAACATGTTTTCTTTTTCTTCTTGCTTTGTAGAGATACATCTTTTTAAAAAATTGCAGAAAGCTTTTTGGTTTCTTGTTCAAAAAAGTATGAATCGGCCAGATGTGGTGGCTCACACCTGTAATCCTAACACTTTGGGAGACCGAGGTGGGTGGATCACTTGAGGTCAGGAGTTCAAGACCAGCCTGGCCAACATGGTGAAACCCCATCTCTACTAAAAATACAAAAATTTGCTGGGCATGATGGTGGGCGCCAGTAGTTCCAGCTACTCAGGAGGCTGAGGCAGGAGAATCGCTTGAACCCAGGAGTCAGAGGTTGCAGTGAGCCAAGATCACGCCATTGCACTGAAGCCTGGGCGACAAGAGCAAAGTTCCATTGGGACAAAGTTGTATGACAAACTACCTTTCTGCCTGAAATCCATAATAGGAGCTGGGTGATAGACTGAGACCCTGTTTCAAATAAATAAAGTAAAATGAATAAAAGAAATGTTACATACTGTTTTGGAAGAAAGCTCACTGGCACTAGAGAAGCTTTTCGGAGCTAAATCATGCCCCAACAAAGGATAGCACAAGAAAGGCTGGAGGAGCCTCTATCATCAACTAGTTAAGAATTAGCATAATCCAGGTCTTTTTCTTTGTCCTTAACCCAGCATTTTCTCCTACTTAATTTGAATAACTGAATGGCCTGCCTCTTTGGATGATGAGAAAGCTTTTATCTTCTATTGAGAAATGATGAATAGTATTGGCTGAGACTTGTTTCCTAATATCTATGCCTTATTCAAAATGTCATAGATCTTTTATACTAATACATTTTAGTATACTAAAAGTTTAGTTCCTTCTATAATTTATCTGTTCTGAATTTTCCATCTCCAACTAATTCAAACCTCATCAGGAGAAAGGAGAAACAAATTGTACCCCAACCATTGTTCCTTCTTGAGTTGTATTATGTCAGCACAGTCCTATTTTAAGATCCTAAACTCTAAAGCTCATTTTTAAGGGTATGAATACGTCTAGACTAAAATCGCAAAGCCACCCCAGAACAAGGAGGAAAAAAAATTAAATGTTCTTAGAACTGTTATTTTTAAACTTAAAGATAATTTATATAATAATAATTACATTTATTCTGAAAGCTCCTACTTGTAAATTGTTATACTCTATACTTTGGTTTTTAGGCTCTTTTTTTTTTTTTTTAAAGTTTTTTCATAGATGTAAAATTGAAGATGGTGGTGAGGGTCTGAGGATAGTTCACAAGACTGTTTAACCCATGCTTAGCTTGAACCTCTGAGCCATAGTGTCCCCTAATCCCTGGCTTGGGCTCTGCTGACACCAACTGTAATGCAGAGAAATGGGGTGGCTTTGGGGCCTGGGATGGCCTCTGCAGGCTGTCCTATCCTGCCTTTCCCCATACGCTCCTGTTGCAATCAAAAGAAAACATAGAAACAAATCTCTAAATTAAATGTTTTATTTGGGAATCACAGAATAGCAATTTGGGGCATACACACAGACTGAGGTGGGCTTTGGTATGTCTGAAAAAGGGAAGCTTGGGAGTTTTATTATAAAGAGAAATGTGGGCCAGGGACAGTGGCTTAGGCCTGTAATCCTAGCGCTTTGGAAGGCTAAGGTGAGAGGATCACTTGAGGCCAGGAGTTCGAGACCAGCCTGGAAAACATAGCAAGAACCTGTCTCTACAAAAAAAATTTAAATTAGCCAGGTGTGGCAGAGCACACCTGTTGTCCCAGCTGCTTCAGAGGCTGAGGTGGGAGGCTCACTTGAGTCCGAGAGGTCAAGTGAGCAGTGAGCCATGATTGCAGCACTGCATTCCAGCCTGGGTGATAGACTGAGACCCTGTCTCAAATAAATAAAGGAAAATGAATAAAAGAAATGTTACATATTGTTGTGGAAGAAAGCTCACTGGCACTAGAGAAACTTCTGGGAGCTGGCAAGTTCTGATTAGTGGGTGTCAGTGATGGTGGTAGGAAAAACCAGTCTTGGAGTCATGGCGGGTCGTTTCAGCAGCTACTAGGTGACACTGTTTTTAAGGTTACAGCTTGCCATTTTAGCAGCTGGGCTTGCAGAAAAGTCAATTCTTGGAGCAGATGCTGTGTCCTGAGTGCTTACCACCTGACTCCGGGCCCTCGACTCTGGCTTAGTTGGGTATGATAAGAATGGCTCAATTTGCATAATCAAGTTTCACACTCTGTATCCCAATTTAGGTCTCTGTGACTTCTGGACCATGCTTCAGGCCACTGCCAAACCAAGGTGTCCTACAACTCACCCTGGCCATGTCATTGTATTGCTAATAACTCTTCAGTGATTTCCCCTGAGCCAGTTGACTTGAGGGTTTCAGAGTTCTCCAAGTCTGCTCTCAAACTGCATTTCCAGACTTTATCTGTAACTTCTTCCCCCAACCAACACATCTCCTGTGTTCATGTCTAACTGGGCCACTCCTAGTTTCCTGGACATAATTTAAGGTTTCATTCCCTCCTTTCATCTCTGTTGCCTGTTGCTCTTTACCATCCATCAAAATCTAGCACAAATGCAATTTCTGTGAAATCTTTCTAACCCTTCACACCAGAAGTAACCATTCTCTCCTCAGAAATCTCATAGCTCTTTAAATTTATTTCTTATTAATTGTTCTCATTCTATTTTCTATTCATTTAACAGACATTGTTAGGCTTTGCTATAGTTCTGTTTTCCTTTATTTAAAAAAAAAAAAAAAGAAAATACTTGGCCAACCATAAAGTGAAAATTAGAAAGCATCTACTTCCTAAATTTAGGAAACTTTTTAAAACTTTTTTCTGTTCTTGAGAGTCTCCCATATAAAGATGAGGCAGGAAGCTGGAAGCTGTGTGGTTGCAATGCTGTTTCTATCTGTTTTGCTGTCTGGATTATTCCAGTAATTTGGAACAGGATAGAGTGGTCCTGGAAGCTAGCAATGTGGGTGGCTGAGGGAGGAAAAGAACAATGCTATTCCACATCCATTTCAAAAACATTCTAACAATGAAACACAAATTCGGATCAGTTTGTTTCCATTTTTAAGTAAAAATACTGTCCACAAGAGATAAATCTCATTAAGATCATGCTTATTCTGTTAATTAAATGAAAGTTTGCCGAGATATATAATGGGCGACTGGGACTTCAGATGGGATGAGTATCAATTAGGAAATCCTCGCCCTGGCAGTCTTTTTTTTTTTGAGACGGAGCCCACAGTCCCACACCACCACACCTGGCTACTTTTTTTGGATTTTTAGTAGAGGCAGGGTTTCACCATGTTGGCCAGACTGGTCTCGAACTCCTGATCTCAAGTGATCCACCCGCCTTGGCCTCCCAATGCGCTGGGAATACAGGCGTGAGCCACCACACCTGGCCTGGCTCTGGCAGTCTTAAAAGGAAGAGAACAAATTAACTCATCTAAGTGGAAAATTCAGAGGTGGCCCTCGGGGTTGATTTGAGCCAGAGGATTTTGAAGTCTCAGAGTTGTGGCTTGCTGTCTTTGAAAATCTCTTGACTTTGTCATCTTCTGTGTGTGAGCTTTGACCTCATGGGCTTTGACCTTGTGGAAGTGAGGTGGCCACTGAGAGCCCCCAGGGCTGTGCGCCTCCTGGCTCCTGGGATAGGGTGGGATCTTCTCTTTCCTCAACCATTGAACAAAATTCTGAGCATTTCTCTGAATAGACAAAGTTCAAAGTATATCACATGTCTACCTCTACACTGTGCCAGAAGAAAACTGTGATTGGCTTAGCTCAACCAAGGCCCACCTCTGGAGCTGGGGGTGGAAAACACAATGTTTATCCAATGGCAATGGCTGGCTGGAGGGTAAGACTGATGGGGGTCTTTGACTAACCACAAGGCAACATAAGGCCACAGTAACATAAGTTGAGGACAGGAGGCCAGGCGCAAGCAAGGGTTCGTTTATCTTTTGACACCCTCTCATTGAGGCCAACTCTGTGCCAGGCATTAGTAGTCTAGGTGCTGGTGATGAGAGGTGAACAGCACAGGCCAGGCTCCTGCCCTGGTGGAAATGACAATCTATTAGGGTAGGAAACAATAAGAAAACAGACAATTAAGTGCACAGATAGTTTCAGGTTGTGACAACTGTCATGGAGGAAATAACAGAATGAGTTGCAGAGATGGGGAAGAGGGTACCTTAGAAAAGGTGACTAGATTTCAGAAATCACAGTAGAAGGGCAAAAAGCCAAAATGCCCCTTTGCAATTTTGCAGATTGCTGCCTACTGTACATGCTGTCCGTGCCCGAGCAAAGCATTGAGACTAATTTGGGAAACCAAAAAGCTTCCCACTTTGCTTGGTCTTCACTGTACCAGCTAGCCCAGATAAATCTTTCTGGCTCTCCCAAGGACTCTCCATCGTTGTCCAGCCCTTCTTTCCTAAAGGCAAAAGGGAAGGAGGTGGACATAGACAAGGAGCTATATGCCATCCAGCACCCACCACTTTCCCCATCTCCCTTCTTTCTTATCAGAGCAGCAAGTGCAATGTTTGATAAAGTCCCCAGTTAAAGAGTCTTTAGAAGATTTTTCTATTAGGCCAGGCACAGTGGCTTATGCCTGTAATCTCAGCACTTTGGGAGGTTGGGGCGAGCAGATCACCTGTGGTGAGGAGTTCGAGACCAGCCTGGCCAACACGGTGAAACCCCGTCTCTACTAAAAATACAAAAATTAGCCGGGCATGGTGGCACCCGGCTGAGGCACGAGAATAGCTTGAACCCAGGAGGCGGAGATTGCAGTGGGCCAAGATCGAGCCACTGCACTCCAGCCTGGGCAACAAAGTCAGACTCTGTCTCAAAAACAAAAAAGTTTTTCTATTAAAAATATTGCTGCTGAGTGAAATTTCCTTACTACTGAAAATGTTGTATGATACTTTGAGCTGCTTGAAATGCTGTTTTAATATTTGGTTTAGAATATCCATAGCTCTTTGTACTACCCCCTCTGCACATAACACACAGCTTTAAACTTTAAAAAAAAAAAAGTAATTGGAATCTTTTCCATGGATTTGTACCTATCCATAAACATATAAGACCCTGTTTGATGTTTGCTTCACTGGAAACAAAACTAACCAGATGAAGAATTCCTAAGATCGAAATATTCTTTCATGTATATAATTCACTGAAGTGTAGAGAAAAATTGATATTGTTAGGTCAATCAATGAACTTAAGGGCTTTTTTTGCATTTTGTTATGCTTTTGGCATATGGATCACAAGTGACTTTATGCTTCTAAAGAAATTATGTTGGTCTGTGGTTTTTAGTAGTTTGTTGTAAAGCATATTTGAATTTTTTTTTTATTTTGTTAGGGCATATATCAAAGCTTGACTTTGGAGGGGGTGGATAGTCTTGTTGTAGAACATTCGTGTGTGTGTGTGTGTGTATGTATAGCCTTCAACATTTTTTAGCTTGAAATTAGTTTTGAGGGCATTAAATATGATATCCTGTTCCTTAGAAAATATTAAAGGCTCTCTGGTTGACATTAGCCATATGGGACCAAATAGAATCTGTATAATGTTATAACTTTATAATTTGATCAAGACATTTATAAAGTAGATGGCAATGAAATAGGAAGAAACAAGCTAAAGGTAAAAAGAAATGAGAGAGAGAGAGGAAGCATATTAAATGCTAAATAATAGAAAGCACGTCTGTTCTGAGGTTAGAAAACTGTTCAATTAGTTGTCTAGCAAGGTTTCTGTAAGCAGTGCCTCTGCCTCCTCTTATGGCCAGACACTTTCTGTAGCATTCTGTTTAATTTGCCATGTGTGCCTGACATAATGAAGTTTAAAGAACATCATGGGGATGATAGAAGCCTTTGCATTTCTAATCTTATGCTGAAGGGCAATTGATAGAAGCAACTCATCAAAGCTTTCTTTCAATCAAAACATCTTGTTTTGATTAAGCACTTCAGGTTTGGTGCTTCATTTAGGGTGTGAAGTTTTACAGAAATTGTTTATAATTGTCACTGAGAAGGCTGCTGAAGAGCCATTTTCTTTCCCTGCCCCATTCTTCCCACTGAAATGAAACCTGGTGTATGAAAATTTTAATTTTAATTATTTATATTTAATTATTTTAATTATTATTTAATTGTTTGAATGATAAAAGAATTTTCTTGCTTTGCAAAAAGATTCCTAGCAGTGTCTTGAAAAGCAGGACTTTGAGACCTCCTTATTTCATCTTTTCTGAAATGTTTGGCCAGCATCTTTTGGACATATGCCTTTAGGATCCACAGTTGTCACTGTTTCGGGGGCTGAAATTGCTAGAAGTGTTAGGAGGCCCTGCCTGTGTCTTTCCATAAGCAGCAGCCTTCACCTGTCATTGTCACAGCACCCCCCACCGCCTTAAGAACTGGACAACACCTCAAGACCACATTCACCATGTTACAGCTCTGCTTCTGTTCCAGTTCCATTATTCTGTTAATTAGTGTCACCATCCCCCTCATCCCCCAGGCTTACATCCTTCATCATTCCTGATGCCTACCCTTTTCTCTTTCTCACAATCTACGCCCACAGCTGCCAAGTGATAATGCTTCTGCCCGCAAATCACCTCTACCATTTTCCTTCCTTTATCTTGGAGAGAGAGCATGCTATCCTGCCAGGATACAGAAAAGTTGATTTGAGGTGGGTCTCTGGAGCCCTGTGTTTGGAAGGATTCTGAGGCCATATCCAAGCTTGCGTAGGAAATCGATTAGCAATGTCTGTGGTGGCAAAGAAATAGAATCACCATATATGCCACAGATTTGTGGCAACTGGTGTCATGATTGAAGCCTTGGATTTTGAATTAAGGAGACCTGGGTTTCACCCTTGGCTCCAAAACTTTCCAACCCTTTAACTGTGGGCAAGTCAGTTAACCTTACTCGGCTTTAGTTTCCTTATGAGTTCAATAGGGCTCATTGGTTAACTTAAAATGCATTGAATCAAATTAAACCTAACTAATATTAAATACTTCCTGTGCATAAAGCAAATCTAGATTTGTTGTTGACTATGATAAAGAACAAATAACATACATTACCCTTCAAAGTGTGGTACCAAACATAAACCGTTCTATTATGTTCAATTTCTTCTGCCATTGCTCTGACTTAGGCTCTCATCACTTAGTTCCCTTCCTCACTATTCTCCACACAAATGCTCCCTCAAAAAAAAAAAATTTGCTCTGCATAATAAAGCAAGGCTTTGATCATGCCATTCCCCAATTCCCAAGCTTTCTGTGGAAGTCGTGGTTGGCAGTGAGTGAGTCCCCTCCTTGGTGTTCAGTATCTTCTGGCAGCATCCTCAGGACTTCCCTGAAGAGAATGCTGTAGCAAGCAGCAGCTGGTGGGGCCTGAGGAGAAGGATGGAGGACAGCCTGGTGGAGGAGGCTGGGCCAGGGTCTAAGAGAGGAGGCCTGTAAGAGAACACGCAAAGGGAGTGCCAGGAGAATCCCCACTTTTAACTACCAAACCTCTGGCTCTGTCTTCTAAAGTTCTACCCTATTTCCTCCCCGCAAGGCCACCCCACCTCCACATCCTCATAGTCTGTCTTTTTTTTTTTTTTTTTTTTTTTTTTGAGACAGAGTCTCTCACTCTGTCACCTAGGCTGGAGTGCAGTGGCACAATCCCAGCTCGCTGCAACCTCCATCTCCTGGGTTCAAGCAATTCTCCTGTCTCTGCCTCCCAAGTAACTGGGACTACAGGCACCTGCCACCATACCCAGCTAATTTTTTTTGTATTTTTAGTAGAGATTGGATTTCACCATGTTGGCCAGGCTGGTCTTGAACTCCTGACCTCAAGTGATCCACCTGCATTGGCCTCCCAAAGTGCTGGGATTACAGGCGTAAGCCACCATGCCTGGCCAAGTCTGTCATTTTCTACTTATGTCTCCTCTGTTTTATCTTTCAGTTTTTATCTCCCTATTTGAATCATAATATAGAACTGAAGCATATTTTTGTAATCTACTGTTTACTGAATTAATTTTATTTCCTCTGTTCTTAATTTTATAAGTGAGAGAGAACATTTCCTTATTTCTTGTTTCTTTCTCACTGTCTCAACACCTGCCTTAAGAAAAAAAAATACTTTGTTGAGTCTTTCCTTTCGCTGAGTTTAATTTCTCCCTGTGGCATAATAGTTCTCATCATAAAGTTCCCTGTTCTTATTGAGAATAGTGACCTCTGCAAGTGCCCTTCAGTTATGACTCCATGCACGGAATTTTTATTTCCACATTCTATAATCCGGCCCTTCTCAACAGAGGGGATTTTGTCCCCCAAGGTACATTTGGCAGTGTGTGGAGACATTTTTGGTTATCACAGCCGAGGGTGGGAGGTGATGCTACTGGCATCTGGTGGATAGAGGCCAGGGAAGCCGGGGAAAAACATCCTTCAATGCACAGCTCCCCGAAACAAAGAATTATCTAGCCCAATAGTGCAAAGGTTGAGAAACACTGCTGTAAAGTAGTGTAAGCTTGCGCAATGCTCAGACAGAGCACTTGGTGAGTAGTTTTTATAAAATGTTTATTTAGGCCCAGCATGGTGGCTCATGCCTGTACAAATCCCAACACTTTTGGAGGCTGAGGCTGGCGAATCACTTGAGGCCAGAAGTTCAAGATCAGCCTGGCCAACATAGTGAAACCCTATCTCTACTAAAAATACAAAAAATTAGCTGGGTGTGGTGGTGCACGCCTGTAATCCCGGCTACTTGGAAGGCTGAGGCACAAGAATTGCTTGAACCTGGGAGGCAGAGGTTGCAGTGAGCCAAGATGGTGCCACTGCACTCCAGCCTGGGCAACAGAGCGAGACTCTGTCTCAAAAAAAAAAAAAAAAGTTTATTTAGTTGAACCTAAACCTCTTAAAGCTAAAGAAATCAGCTTTATACTCTCTCCCTGATTACATTTGTTTTTTGGCCATATGTTGTATTACCCAAATTATCAAGGTATTTCTATTACCTATATTCAATAATTCCTTCTTTCTCATTTATTTTAACTTGACTTAATTCCTGTAACATATTCTTCTACAGTTTCTGTGCTAATTAATGAAGAAAATACTTAGTAAATATATTTAATAAGGTAGGTATGATTTTAGAGAAAGCTGTACATAGATTTGGTTTCTTTAATTTATATTGTTAAATATATGTTCATTTTTTAACCCATGAATACATCTAAAGTAAATTTAATTTAGAAACAGCGTGTATTATAGAATAGCAAGCCATATCTTTTACCAATAGCGTTCTTTTTGTCTTCATTTATATGTGCCATTTTTTCAAAATTATTATTACTCTAAATATGCATTTAATTCCCTTCCCACCTTGTCATTTCTTATAAGCTTCCAAAGTTGTAAGTTATGGGCCAATGACCATAGTTTATGAGTGATAAATTATGAAGATAGATTTAACACTGTACAGTGTTGTAGTAAAAATGTGCACAAGTTAATCTAACACTTTTTTAATGATTTACATATTCATCACTGTGCTGCATTGTAATTAGACATATGGATAGGGTAAGCAGTCCTGAGAAATTACCATGATTAGTATTCTTTCCACATGGCCAAATCACATTTTTATAAGGCTTTTTTTCTTGCTTGCTTAGTTAGTTCTCTAGTTCTTGTAATCAGTGTCATGGCTGATAGCCTCCCTTGTATAGTACAATGTACACTTTATGTACACTTAATTGTCTTCTTTCTCTCTCTCTCTCTCTCTCTCACACACACACACACACACACACACACACACTTGTATTTCTCGTTGACACATACTTAAAATGAAAAACATGCAAGCTGCTCTCTCTCTCATATTATTATCCTGGGGCTTGGGAACATTAAGAATAAGGAGATGATTGGGATCAATGACGCTAGCATCTCACATTTTTATCTTCATTTTGATAATATGGAATTGAAATCATTGTTCTTGTTTGGGAAAAGATAGGGCATAAACTGGAACCCAGAGGTATCCCTCAGTGTCAGTCATTGCATGCTGTCCCCCTATAAGCAGAGCATCATTTTCTGCTTATCACTTAAGGAATCAAAACACATGCTAAGGGTGGTGGCTCACGCCTGTAATTCCAGCACTTTGGGAGGCTGAAGAGGGCAGATCACTTGAGCCCGGGAGTTTGAGACCAGCCTGGGCAACATAGTGAGACTCTGTCTCCACAAGAAATACAAAGTTAGCTGGGCATGGTGGCACCTGCCTATAGTTCCAGTTACTTGGGAGGCTGAGGTAGGAGGATCGCTTGAGCCCAGGAGGCAAAGGTTGCTGTGAGCCGAGATCGTGCCACTGCACTCCATCCTGGGCGACAGAGCAGGACCCTGTCTCAAAAAGAAAAAAAAAAGAAAAAACCCACCATGTTCAAGAGCACACAAACTTAAAGTTGTAACCAGACTGTGACACATAAAATGGCAGCCATGGTCACACCAACCAAGAGCTGCCATATGCTTTTTACTCATTCATGCCTGGGTGAATTTTAAAGTGATAATTCACAATTTCCTTTAAATCAACCAGGTGGTACTGAATTTTTTTCCTTCAATGTTGTTGCAAATATGCCTAAATGGTGAGATCGTAGCCAATTTTGATTCTCATTATTTACAAATGAAATCTTTATAGTATAAGAAATGTTTACTGCTGATGTTTCCTCTCATTCATTAGTAAAAGCAAGTTTTTCAGACATTTCCATTTAAATGCATACTTGCAAGACTTCATTAAATATCTTTCCAAGAACTTGGGGTAATGAGAAGT
Organism: Homo sapiens; assembly: GCF_000001405.40. Taxonomy (NCBI): domain Eukaryota; kingdom Metazoa; phylum Chordata; class Mammalia; order Primates; family Hominidae; genus Homo; species Homo sapiens. The sequence goes on along the minus strand of NC_000013.11, from coordinate 35,898,339 downwards.
ATGTTTGGTTTCTTTCCTGTAGCTTTTCCGGGAAGACTGGGCTAGGACACTTAAGTGTTTAGCTGGCAATTGAAGAGAAGTCTTACTGCTTACTCTTCTAGGATAAGACATTCATTGACATTTTTTAGTTCCAGGAAATAATCTTGTACCTGTAATTGGGACTTATTTAGACTTTCTTAGGCTTTAAGTGTGTGTTTAAAGTAGACTCTTGGAAGCAGTAATGGGAGGGAATCAAAGAAAACCAAACTCAAAAGAAAGGGATTAACCTAATCAGCCACATATGCCCTCTGCTATTTTAGATCATATATTTTAAATCCAGATAATTTAATGTTTTCATATATGTTTGAAGACCTACAATATTAATAATTTATCCTGTTGCTGATGGAGATGGCCTCTTAATTCCAAGTGAAATTTAATTTTTATAAACGCAGAGTTTAAGATGAAAAATTAAAATGTTTAAGATACAGCAACCCTCTAAGTACGACTATCAAGTACAGTTTTATCAGTGACACTCTCCTTTATCAGGTGTGTTTGCTTCCATTGGATTACCTGAATCAAGTTTGCTGTTGTTTTCAGTTGCTTTTGTTTTTATAAGTGGATGATTTAAAATGTTTATGCTTTGCTTACATGAGAAGGTAGACTTGACCTCTACCCAACCATCACTACCAACAAAATCCCCCAACTAATCATAAAAGTCAAATGATGTGCTACTTTAGAAATATGTCTGTTTCTCATTTTTCTTCCTATGGTTTGATAAACAGCCTTTAATGGGAAAAGTTCTCCAAGAATATGGCTTATCATGACTCCACTTGCCATAGCCCAAGCAACGTTGTCCAAGAATTCCTTCTACATATTGGTTTCTTCACCCCTTGGCTATTTATGGAGCTCCTAAAAAGTCAGATCTCTCTGATCCAGCCAGTCTTACCTCACACCTGGTTCCCGCCTTCCATTCTTGCTATCATGGCTAGGTCCAGGCACTCCTCACTTCCCTAGCACAGCACAGGCCCCTGTCTGGTTTCCTTGCCTGCAACCTTGCACTCCTCAGCTCCATCCTCCACATTGCCTCCCAGTGTTCTCTCTAAAAGGCAAATCGTTTTAGATCAAGTCTTACTTATTCTTTTAAAATATTTTGTTGAGTAAGGAGCCTCCTTACCACCCTTCTCCCATCCTCTTTAAATGGTCCCAAATACCCTACATCATCTGGTCCTTATCTGCCACTCCAGAATCCTCTTGATTCATCTTCTGTTCTAATTCAATGGCCCGATAATGAAGAATGGCTGGCAGTTCTCCTTCCCACACTCTCTGTTCTGCCTTAGACCTCTCCTGCCCTGGACCATGCTGTCCTGTAGCCTGGGGCACCTGCTCTTCTCTTCACCTAGTTTATCTCTGCACATTCTCTAAGGTGCACCGCAAGTGTTCCCTGTGCTATGAGCCTCCACACTCACAACCCTCAAGATGGGTTAAATGTCCGTTTTCTGAGCATCTAGAGCCCCCTCCACACACCTCTGTCTTCTACCCCAGCATACTTAGCACCTTATGTTGGAATGATCTGAGGGTGGAGTTGTCTCTCCCTCCCCTCTAAAGGTTTACCTGAGGTAGGGACTGCGTCCTCTTCATCTTATCCTGCCAAGGCCGAGTGCAGAAGAGACACGAGGGAATGATTTCTCTGTGGAGCTTTACTGGATGCCTCAATAAGACGAACTTTGCTGTTTTCTTTCAAAGAAAAAAAAATCTTTACTTTTTTTTTTCTATATATCAAGTTCTAACAGCATATTTTAACTTTTTTTTTTTTTTTTTTTTTGAGGTGGAATTTTGCTTTTGTTGCCCCGGCTGGGGTGCAATGGCGCAATCTTTGCTCACTGCGACCTCCGGCTTCCGAGTTCAAGCGATTCTCCTGCTTCAGCCTCCCAAGTAGCTGGGATTACAGGCGCATGCACCATACCCGTCTAATTTTTGTATTTTTAGTAGTAACAGGATTTCACCATGTTGGTCAGGCTGGTCTCGAACTCCTGACCTCAGGTGATCCACCCTCCTTGGCCTCCCAAAGTGCTAGGATTACAAGTGTGAGCCACTACGCCTGGCCTAACAGCATATTTTAGAGACCTCACTTACTTTTACTTTTCTTTGTTGTTCTATATACAGTCTAAGCAAAGTCTCTCTGAAAATTGTGTGTTCTAACAGCAAATCTTACCAATTTTCTTCCTTGTTTGAAAATAAATATTCAAAATATTACTTTCCTTTTGGGGCATATATACGTTTAACATCTCATCCTTGAAGTTTTCCTGAATAATGATGTCAAAACAAAGCGCCTTACTTGTATTATTCTAAGAATGTTTGGAGGAGAAAAATAGCAATTTTTGTTAGAGAGAGTTTTAGGTTTATGTGAACTACAAAAAAAAAAATCATAAAAAAATCAATCTGGCGTTTGTAGAATTTTTTAAAAATTTGATATTGTTGGTAGTAGATGTAATAGTTTTTTCTATTAAAAATTTATTCATTTTACTTTCACTGAAAAATATATTCATTATACTAAAAGAGCGTTTACTCTCAACTGTATAGAGTATAGGCAATTACTGTTTTGTTTTGTTTTTTTTTGCTATAGTATATGAACACTGAGTTATAAAGAAGATGACTGTAAAATGGTTAGTTTTTTTATAAAATAGGTGCTTTATTTGTGTTCCTCTCTAAAATCTTGTCATAAAATAATTTATAGAGATAGCTACCCACATGCCATAAATGCAAAGACATAATTAGCCACTTCTGATATCACTTACAGAAGACAATTTACTCAGTCCAAGAAGTGGGAATAAGATTAGCGTGTGCATCATGTCATATTGCACTTTAAAATAGATACAATGTAGAAAAATATACCTACATGTAATTTAAATGGGACCAGTCTAAAAGTAAATGCTGCCCCCAAGAACCATGAAGCATCCAGCTACTGGTATTCAATTGTTCATATTTCTAAAGGTATAATAAGAATAATTCTGAATGACCAAAGGAAACTTTAAAATCCATCCAGTGAATTTTCATCTAATTTTTTTTTTTTTTTACCTTTCCTGTTAGAAAAATACATATTCAGTGACCAGGTGTGGCGGCTCATGACTATAATCCCAGCACTTTGGCCTCTCCCAGCACTTTAAGAGGCCAAGGTGGGAGAATCGCTTGAGATCGTTCGAGACTAGCCTGAACAACATGGCAACATTCCACCTCTACAAAAAAATTTTGAAACTTAGCTGGATGTGGTGCTGCACACTTATAGTCACAGCTACTGGGGAGGCTAGAGGATTACTTGAGTCAAGGAGTTTGAGGTTGCAGTGAGCCATGATCACACAACTGCATTCCAGCCTGGGCAACAGAGCTAGACCCTGTCTCAAAAAGAAAAAGGAAAGTGTGCATCAAAGTCTACTTGAATATGATTATCTTTGTAATCATGCCCCAGTTTGGAGTCAGTCTTTTGTTAATCATCATTACAGCAGCCAAATATTTGAAAATAGAGGTCATGGTCAGTGAGAGTTTGGAGATGAAATGCTGCCAGAATCTGAGCTCTTGTTCATCTTCTCTTGGTCCTCTCTGCTCCTCGTGCCTACACATTAATGGCGGGCTCAGGAGGGAAGAAGACTCTCAACAAGGAAGAGCTGAAGTGTCTGTGTAGCATGGCACACTGGGCTGTTCACTCCCACCCCTCCGCTGAGCACCTTCTGGCGTTGTCTTCCCTGGGCACCTCTGTGCCTTGTGTCTTTCCACATGCTGCTTCCTCTTTTTCTTGAGGACACTCTTACACCCTGCCTCTAGGCACTGCTCAAAGATAAGATTGTGTAGCAGAGCGAGGTGCCCAGTGCATATTAGCTTTCCTCCCACCTGTTCCCAGGCTGGAGTAATCTCCCTCCTCTCCACTGCGAGAGCCCTTCCTAGGTAGGGTGCCAGTTACACCCTGGGAATACACGCTTGGGCTCTGGCGTCAGACTGCACCAAGTTCAAGTTCTGGCGCAGATGCCGTGTAGCTGTGTGCCCCTGGATAAATTCCTTGCCGTGCTAAGCCTTAAGTTCATCTTTAAAATGGGGCTGCATTTGCGCTTAGCTCTTAGCATTAAATAGTAAGGTCATGCATGTTGGGGAAGTACACGTTGAGTATCCCTGTCCAAAATGCTTGGGGCCAGAAGTATTTCAGATACAAGGGTTTGGTTGTTTTTTTTTTGTTTGTTTGTTTGATTTTGGAATATTTGCATATACATGAGATATCTTAGCGATGGGACCCAAGTCTAAATATTAAATTCATTTATGTTTCATGTACGCTTTATACATATAAGCTTGAAGGTGATTTTATATTATTTTTATAGTAATTGTATGCATGATACAAAGTTCATGTATGTTGTACCATCAGAAAGCAAAGGTGTCACTATCTCAGCCACCCCAGTGGATGATCTGTGGTGATTTGGCATCACCATCATTACTGACTCTGAATTTATAGGCTACCAATAAGCAATCATTTTCCTGCACTTATTCACACATAAGTACTTAACAGTAAAAAATATGATACACCATTAATACAGGAAAAAAATAATGTGTGCAGATTAACTAAGCAGCACAGCAGCATCACAGAATACCTGGATCAGCTGTTAAACAGCAGCAACAACAGACAGTGCAGGCTTTAGTCTCCACTTACCATGCTGTGTTTTGATTAAAAGGTAGGACACTGTGCAGTGACTCTCTTGGAGACGCTGAATAACCTGTGCAATGTACCTGCATTTTGACTGTGACCTGTCACAGGAGGTCAGGTGCAGAATCTTTCACTTGTGGCATCATGTCAGCACTCAAAAAGTTTTGGATTTTGAAGCATTTCAGATTTTGGATTTTCAGGTCAGGGATGCTCAACCAGTAGTAAGTGACTGGCACACAGGAAGTGCTCAATAAATGGTAGCTATTGATGACTTTGTCAAAGTTGTTAATATGGCTTGCCTTTGTTCTTTAAGGATAGAAACGGGGTTTTATTCTTTTTTGTATGTCACACAGTGGATGTTCAAAAAATATTTGCCAAGGGGATAAGTTAATGAATAAACTTAGAATGGTGTTGTGAGCCAACAGCAGGAATATTTCAAATCTTTCTGGGAAAGCTGCTTGCCCCTTCACCTCTGCTGGACTCCTTGCCCCGAACCCAGTAGTTCAGAACCTTAAAGGAAACTACTCAGATAGGGTAGATGTCTTTGGTTTTGTCTCATTTCTTCATTCACCGTTCATTGAACAATTACTACAGGGCTCCGCCTATGTGTCCAGGCACCACTGACTATCTGAAAGCAAGGTGCCAAAGTGTAAAAAACACTGCTGAAAACAAATCAATTTGTGTTTGTGTGCTGTCATGTGGAGAGCAGAGCCCATCTTTTGGTATATTTCAGCGATGCCTCTTTCTTCCTCTGGGATACCAAGGGCTTTCCATTTATGCTTGCAGCCAAGAAAAGTTTTCCAGAATCATCCAAGGCTATTTACCTTATGCTGAAATATACAAGTGAACAGGTAAAGATCCAGAGGTGTTTAACAGGAGGGGCTACCAGACAATGTTACATAAAGGGAACAGGGAAGTGAGACCTGGTTGAAGGGGAAACAGCCTGTGTTAGGTGACTGTCCCTTTATCATGGGAGAGTGCAAGGCGTGGACTAAAATCCTTTGCTGACTGTGAACTTCTTGAGGGATTAAACTATATACTGGACCATTTCTGAGATCCTCTAAAATACTCAATATATTTTGTTTAATTATCTGATCACTTTCTACTGGAAACTAACATCTAATTCGCATTTTCCTAAGTCTAAAGTAGAGAAACACCTCACAAATGTATTAGTAAATTGGATAGAAAACATTGACAGTGTTTCCTGAGTTATGTGTGTTAAAGATGATTCCACTAAATTAAATTACAGACTTTTGCTCATCAGTGACTCATTTCGGATTTGTGGAAAGAGAAAGGCGACTTACCTTGACTTTGACTCATACAGTGGGGGTTAATAATGTAGTGATTAAGGTAACAGTCATCAAAAGCTGTTGGGAATAATGCAATAATGCCTATACTTTTATTCTTTGTGTTATATTTTAGTGAAAGCTCTTAAATGATTAAAATGTATGAAGCAAGCAAAGTCTACCAAGGAATAATCAGTGCAGGTGTTCAAGGAGAGAGGGTGAAACAGACTCTCTAAGAAATAGTGATTGCATAACACGGTGTGTCACATTCCCCTCAGCAAGGTGAGGACACACAAGAGCATAAAACTGCCCTATGATATGACTCAGCTGGTACCCACCAAGATAAATGCCTTGAATCATTCAAGACTATTTACCATATGCTAAAATCCACACTGTAGCATGTTATGTTATATAGCATCTGCATTGCGGTAAGATTATATAATCCCAGGAATCAGAAGAATGACAAAAACATAGAAGGGAAGGGGAAAACCCCCCTCCATCTGCCCTGATCTCTACCCTAAAGGAGAGAGTGAAAGAATTTGAGAAGGGAAAGAGGACAGCTGAGAATAAACAAAGAGGGAAGGGGGCCTCAGACGATGAATCCACTGAAAACCAAATGTTTCTAGAGTTCCCTAATGAAGCCGTTTCCTAGCCGGTGCAGACGATGCTATGACAGTGTGGTGACAAAGCACAGCACTTTACTTTGCACATCACTCTACTCAAAACACACCACAATTTATTTTTTATAGCAGCTCTATTGAGATATGATTCACATACCATACAATTCACCCACTTAAAGTGTACGATTCGATGGTTTTTAGTACATTCGCAGAATTGTGCAGTCGTCACCACAATCAATTTTAGAACATTTTCATCACCCCAGAAATAAACTCCATATCCATTAGCAGTCCTATAATTCATTTTTATCCAAAGAGAAAAAGAAACATCCTATATTTATAAACCTAGACTTACAATATAGTCATTTTGTTTTACAAAAGTAATGTTATAATTGGGGATAAAACATCTATGACTTGTTATAACTCTTACAAGGAAATAGTAACTTGAAAGGTTGAAAGTGTTTTAAAAATTATAGATAATCCAGCTTGGCTCTCTGTCAACTGTTTTTTTTAAAAAAATTATAAAATTCAACATTTATGCCATTCCTTGAGACTAGACTTCACTATACAGTCTACCTAAGTCATCTGCCTTATTGGTCATTTTCAGGACCCATAATGCCACCTACCTAATGAGAACATTCATTGAAAATACTTTGTGACCTTTTGTTTAAATATCATATTGGATAGTCTCCTTACAGTAATTAATACCCAGAGCATATAAAAGAACAGATTGGCCAATCAGAATATAAAACAATTCTATATGACAAAACACTATAAAAATTAAAATTAGGAGACAAAGGGAAAGTGCTGTTTGTACAAAATGTGTCCTACAAAAGACTACATTTCATAATATATTGATTGGAATATTTGCTAATCAATAAAGGTGAAAAAAAAAACAGAAAAAAAAGCAGAGGGATATTAACAGGCAATTTACAAGAGAGAAAGTCCAAATGGCTTATTAAATATATGGAAAAAGTTTTCAATTTACTAAGTAGTAAAGAAAAGTAAACTAATACAACAGGGAAATCCCATTTTTTTCTCAAACAGGTAAGGAAAGTGTTGTCAAAGCGTGGAGAAGCTCAGTCTCATACCAAGTTGATGAGAAAGAATAGTGCCAGACAGCATCCATCTGTCAAAATTTTAAAGACACGTCAGTCTGCCCTCATTGATCCAGCAACTCTGTCTCTAGAAATTTTGTGCACAAATATACCAAAGTATTTTATAAGGTTTACTGCAGTTTATTTGTAATCACAAAAATCTAGAGGGAAAAAAGTAAAAACTATCAGTAGAGATCTGGCTAAGTAAATTACTATATATCCATTTAATGGAATACTATGCTGTCATTAATAAGAATTAGGCCAACCTAAATAGGCCAATATTGTAAATTGTCAAATATAGATTGTTAAGTGCAAAAATAAAATCAAAGTTATCAATATTATGTTTTGTATCCCATTTTTATACCGGAAAACACATACACACATATACATACTGGTATGCATATTTTTATAATGCTTATATATTCTCTGACCTTTTAGGACAGACCAGCCAAGAAATTGTTATCTATAGCGTATTGAACTAAGAGTGAGAGGAAGTGGGGGAGAGAGAGTTTTTACTTTATCCTCTTATATATTATTTAAATTAATTCTAAGATATTCAAATGTTTTAAAATGCAAGAACATTTTTACATTTAAAAAACAACACATATATTATAGAAAATTGGAAATGCAAAAAAAGTAAAAGCAATGCCTTGATCTAAGGGAAACAAACACTGTTAAAATCTGTTCGGATATCCTTTAAAAATGTTTCTTTGCATACAATGTGCACACTATACTGTTTTATAATCTACATTTTTTCACTCATAAACATTCCACATCACTATATGTTCTTTTACAATACATTTCAAGTAAATATGTCACTGTTAATTACATGGCTATGATAGTCTGTTAGTGCATTTTCTCTTCATTTCCCTTCATAAATAAATTGGAAGGAAAATATTTGGGAGAAAGCAGTAATCAAGGTAATAGGAGAGGTTTGTCAAAATAAATGTCATAAATGAGGATTGGGCGGTGACTCAGAGACCCAAAAGCTAAGTTCATTCTTTAAAAATAAGATGTATCACCAAATCTTAAGGGGGGAAAGAAAACGATGATGGAATGAATCAGAATTACAGAATGTCTTCTACATTTCTAACAAAGTTAACAAATAGTCATTTAAAGAATTAAAACAAAAATGAAAAAACAATTAAGAAATCATTAGCTGACTCCAAACAAAGACAGAGAAACAAGTCTGGGTCCTACACTTTAAAAAGTGGTTGTCCAGGAAAGACACAGAAGACTGCTGTGTGACACAGCAGGGAGAGCCCCTAACTCCTAATTTAGGGTGATTTATTGCTTCCTTCTTTTAATATTTTTGCACATTTTGAATTTTTATAATGGCATATAACGTATTTACAAAAATAATAAATCCATTACAAACCCTTTCTGATAGATTATTTTTAAAGAAAAAGAGGGAAATTATGCATGAAGGGTTGATATTTTCTGTGTATGAACATGATTTTCTCAGTGAGGCCCAGCAGACCTCAGGAGAATCCTGCTGTTGCTAAGAGACCATAGTGTTCAATAGCTTCTCTCTTAGCTAAACGATGTTTTAGGTTTCTGTAATTTTTATCAGGTACAGAATATTCCAGAGAGAAAGAAGAGAACAAGATTATCTGTTTTCTAAACACAAAAGCATATATTTTTAAAATTATATAAATACATCTCTGCTAATATTTTTGGAAAGGAAAAAAATTCTGCCATGTGAGATTGAGTGTCTTTAAACAGGGCTTGACACTTTACTCTTTGTTTTGGAAATAAAAGGGCCAAGTTTGTCATAGAAATACAAGTTTACCTTGCAGTTTACATACCATTGCAATTAATGGGGTAAATATTTGAAGATGATAAGTCTAGCCACCAACAGCAAGTTATCTACTGAAATAATTTTGTGAATTACTTAGCCAACGATAACTGCCTTGTGGATTGCAGTAATGACTGATTTGTTTGATGGCTGAGGGCCAAATGCAAATAGAGTATCATCTGATTTCAGGCGTCTTGGCCACAAGTCAACTGTAATGTCTCCCTTCTAACCAGATCCTTTTCATTGAAAGACCACAATCCCTCCAAAAGCCTATATGCTGTCATATTAGATGGCTGCCTTCGTATAACTACAATATTTATTAGCCTTGAAATGCTGTACCCAGGGACTTACATAAGTACTGCATGGGGAATTCATTTCAAGCCACATTTGACCCCTTGTTGTAAAGGTGATCTTCAAATAGGTTTAAGGGAAATAAATCAAGTTTTCAACCCAAAGTCTGCTTTCTCCTAATAAAAAAGAAAAGAGGGTTTAGATGTTTCTAACCTTTTCTTCTTTTCTTCACTTTGGAATTGAAGATTAATCACATGTACCCAGAGATGTAATTTAATGTCTGTCATTTGGAATAGGAGGGAAAATAGATAAATTGTTCATGAAGAGGGTGCTTTAAAATTAAACAATACAACCAAGGATTTTATTAGACAGTTGGTGGGAAGGATACTTCTCATTAAAAGGAAAGTCAAGTAATTAGAGAACATGAGAAACAGGATAATAAATACTAGACTTTTTGGCAAAAGTGGGGAAAAGGAAATCTGAAGTTTTCAGAGTAGGACACATAGAATTATCCTTGATAATTAACTCACTCTTAAAAAATGTCTGCCTTACTTTGGATGAATGTGAAAGAATATAAAAAGAAGAAATTGTTTAGAAATTGTTGGAATCCAGGAGAACTTTTTCATTCGTAAATTTTCATTGCATATGTATGTGTGAACATGCTTTCCACTGAAGCCTTCTTTTTTTTTTTTTTTTTTTTTTTTTTTTTTTTGAGACAAGATCTTACTATGCTGTCCAAGCTTGAATTCCTGGGCACAAGAGATCCTCCCACCTCAGTCTCCTGAGTAGCTGAGACTATAGGCGCATACCACAGTGTCTGGCTTGAAAGCTTCTATTTTTATTGGTATAACTCTGTCCTTAAGAAAACAATCTAGCTACATGACATAGGTGATTAAATTATGCTCACAAGATCAGTTCCTAGATAATTGTTTGCCTTTGGTTTTTCACAGAATAGGAAACTAGAAGTTTTGTTTTTGAAATGATACGAATGGCCATAGAATTTCCCAAATTCCCGTTTCTTCATCAGTCTTTCCCACCCAGTCTCTTCCTTGAAAGCAACTTCCTCTAAGGCAGATGACAGGAGAGGGCTGAGCAGCAAGTGCAGCCTCCCTTGGGAATTGTGAGCAACCAGATCACGCAGCCAGAAATCCAGAGAACAGGACAGCAGGTCACTTATATGATGGCAGATATGTTGGCTGGTTGTGAACGGCTTTAAGGGGTTCCACCTTGTACTTAAAGACCCACTGGAGCTGCTTAAATATGCAAGTCCAGCCTAACACTGAGATGTTCACCAAGAGTGTCCATTTCTACTTGATTCAGACATTTTCAGGTGTTCTAACCTCACCTCCCTGCCCACTCAAACAGGTCACCTGTGGCACTTAGATCACCTGTAATTTCCCCAAGCAATTTACTAACATGTAGCATCGTTAGCAAGTATATCACTTACGTGACTGACAACTGTAGGTAGCTGGATTTATCTATGAAGACAGAGTCTCATTTTGCCAAAAATATAAGCAACGCAGAACTATTTCGTCTTTCCAGTTGGATTCCAAGCTAACATTTAGGGCAGTTGGGATTCAGCTAAAAACACAGTTGCTTTCTCAGCAGAGTAGAGAATGACTGAAAGAGGAGTGGCCATGGGGAAGCTTAGAATCTACTGAAGCTCCTAGCAAGTGTAGTTTCTAGAAATTTACCTTTTAGTCATATTGAACCTGTGAGATTTTTGTCTCCAGGTTTTCTAAATGTTTTATCCTATTTAATCTTTAAGTGAAATAACCTAACTTTCTGTTTTCTCTGGAGCAGTGAAAATGTCAGGAAAACGACTGACAGACTCCACAAAAGCTGTCCTAACATGTGGGTGTTGTCTGGTTCATGTACTGAGTTATGATAAAAAGGAAAGAATTTATTTTATCCCTGTTTCCTGAGTTCTCTCATGCTGCTTTCTTCAACGAGCAGCCTAGAAACCCATAGGCATAACTGAGTCACCAGAAACTAATTCATATGCAGCACTTAATTGAATTTCTCCGGTGGATCTCACATGTGGCACTCTTCCGAACACTTTTAGAAAAGTGGCATTGCTTGTGCAACATCGGGGGGAGCTTTTTCTAACATCCTTTGCTTCTTTAGGGTAGATATTTCTGCAATCTCCCAAGAAGTCATTAATTCTAAAGCCTGCCAATATTTAGAGCAGTATCTAAACCATTGCCCAGAAACACGATTGGCTGCCGTATTTTTAAGTAGCCCCTTGGAAAGAAATGAAAGTTTTCTTAAGAACCTATTCGCCGGGCATGGTGTCTTACTCTTATAATCCCAGCACTTTGGGAGGCTGAGGCGGGCAGATCACGAGGTCAGGAGATCAAGACCATTCTGGCTAACACAGTGAAACCCCGTCTCTACTAAAAATACAAAAAATTAGCCAGGCATGGTGGCATGTGCCTGTAGTCCCAGCTACTCAGGAGGCTGAGGCAGGAGAATCGCTTGAACCCGGGAGGCAGAGGTTGCAGTGAGCCGAGATTGCACCACTGCACTCCAGCCTGGGTGACAGAGCGAGACTCCGTCTCAAAAAAAAAAAAAAAAAAAAAAGGAACCTATTCAGCCTTTATCTAGCAGCTTTCCCTGCTGTCTAAGAGAACTTCTGCTACTATAATTTTACATCTCTCCTCTAGGCAGTACTATTATTTTAGGTACAGAACATCACCATCACTATAGTAATCATTTATTATTGAAAAGCAATCAAAAGTATTCCCAAAGTTTTATTTCTTCAGACCACACAATCATTATTTTATCATTACTTTTGCATGGTAAGGCCCTGATCATTTTCATTTTTAGATGACAAATCAGCAACCTGAGTTATATATAAAAATATGAATTTGAAGGTTTTAGGGTATGCCTAATTTAATGCCTGATTTTTGTGTGTGTTCTGCCAAACACACATTTGTGCTACCCATCAATTCCCTGAAACAGCTAAGTTTCCTGGCCTCTGTGATTGTGCTTATTTCTTGAAAGTAAAACCTCTTGATTAAATTCTATCCCAGTGAGACTTTGCTCAGGAGTATGTTTACATCACTCTTCTTCAGTATTACTTGATCCCCTTTCAAATAAGCACAGAGCTTCAGCCTGTCATTTATTATGACATTCTGATTACTTTGTTTACACAACAATCTGAATGTTTTGTTCCCGGCCTTACAGTTAGAGTTTTTGTTCTTGGTTTCCCACTTGAATTTTTATTTGTTTATTTATTTATTTTTGTTCTAGTATAGTCTGAAGGGAGAATTTTTTTTTTGTTGTCCCTAAGATGACAGTGCAGGCTCTGAGATGATTTTGATTGGAGAAATAATCTTCCCAAGTCTTGTCTTACCTCATTTACCCAAAGTGGATTCAGGTTGGAGGTCTTTCTCAGGAAAAGGCTTGGCTGACTTCTAGCCAAACACAGATACCTCATTCCTGGTGGACAATCTCTGTTCCCGATCAAGCTTGATGCCCACCTCACAGAACACCTGGACAAGGGTATGTGCCTTTCTGGAAGCTTCCTTTATATAGGAGCCCCTCCTTCTACCAAGAGCCTGGTCCTGTTTTCGCTGACCTGGTGATGACCTGAACAAGGCAGGCTCATCTTGCAAGGTGCTAGAGAATGTCCCTAGCCAAAGTGACCCAAGGTATTGGGCAGCACAGAGGCTGTGGCTTTGTTTTAATGGAATAAGAATGGACCCTATTATAATCTAAACTATGACGAATCATCATCCAAAACAGTACCCTTACCTTCTGTGAATGACACACCTGGAGTTCTTGACTATCATCTCTGTGTGGTCCCCAGAAACTCCAACCATTTCCACTTTCTCAGGGAGCCGCCTCCAGACCACTTGACCTCAACCCACTGGGGCATGTGCTAGAGTAGGTTGAGTATTGGACCACCAAACCGAAATGCATGCTTATCCTTGCTTTTCTGCATGACTGGGATAAAGTCAGGCTTAAAGGAGCCGTACCCAAGGAGACAGTGATCAAATTTTATTTCAGTTCACATTGTTATGCTCTTTTTATTGTTGTTAGTTCCTTTTGTTCCCTTTTCTTTTCTCTTGGAGGAATTCTTATTCATTTTCTAGCTCTCCATTCTTGAGTAATTTATCTATTTCTTGTTTCTTATCTAGCTTTCAGATCCTCCCCGTCTTGTAGCTAATTAAAGCCAGGTGGTCATGAGCTGACAATATATATGAACTCTTGTTCCACTTTCAAAGTCTGCTTTCAACTGGGTCTCAGGATAATAGTTGGTTGTTTTTGCAAATTTGAGTTGGGATAAAAACTGAAGGAGGACAGATATTTGCTGTTTTTTTCAAGACCAGTTTGTCTTGCTAATTTATCTCCTCATGCTTTTAGTTTAGTCTTTTTTTTTTCCAAGTGGCACATTGCACAATTACTTCAAACCCTGAACCTCTGGATTTCCCTTGGTAATTTTCTTATCAATCCACAGGAGAATGGCAAGAGCTGTCTGGTCTGTGGATCCACACCATTGGGATCACATGGGTTTTTAATTTTTTTAAGTGCCCCAGGTTCTACCTCCAATGAGTCTAATATAGTAGGTTCAGGGAAGGGCAGGGAATCTGCATTTTTAAAGAGCTGGGAAGTCTGTCCTTTATCCTAGAGGAAGACTGTAGGCCTTTCTAGACTCTTGGTCTCTCCTGCACTTTGGCACATGAAGCCACTGCACTGTGCAAGGCTGTCAGCAGGACTCACTCGTCAGTACATACACAAGGAGCATATGAGCTGGGATTGCATGTCTACCTGCCCCTATGCAATCCATCCTCAAGCTTTGCGAACTCTATCTCCTCATCATCTCCAAGTCATTGTTTTCTATCCGTTTCTATCACCTCCATCCTAGGCCATGCCACCATCCTTTCTCACCCAGAATAACCACTTTGCAATGTTTCCTCTACACGCCAGCCAGAGTTCCCTTTTAGACTCACAAATCAGACCATACCACTGCTGTCTTAGTCCATTTGTGTTGCTATAAAGGAATACTTGAGGCTGGGTAATTTATAAAGAAAAAAGTTTACTTGGATCACAGTTCTGCAGACTACACAAGAAGCATGACACCAGCATTTGCATCTGCTGAGGGCCTCAAGCTACTTCCACTCATGGTGGAAGGGGAAGGGGAGCTGGTATGTGCAGAGATCACATGGAGAGAGGAGGCAAGGGAGAAGGGAAGGTGCCAGGCTCTTTTTAACAACTAGATGTTGGGAGAACTCTTGCTGGAACTAACAGAGCGAGAACACACTCATTACCTCATGGATGGCACCAAGACATTCTCGAGGGATCCATTCCCATGACCCAGTCACCTCCCATTAGGCCCCGCCTCCCACATGGGGGATCAGATTTCAACATGAGGTTTGGAGGTCAAATATCTAAACTACAACAACTGCCCTTGCTTAAACCCCTCCTAACTTCTCATCTTGCTTAGAGTAAAACCCAAGCCCCTCACTTGGTTGTTTCAATCTTGACTTAATCTGGTGCCTGCTTTCCTCTGTTTCCTTCAGTGTATCCACGGCTGACTTCTTCCTGTGTTCAGAGCTCAGCTTCAACGTCATCAACACCAAGAGACCTTCTCTGACCACCAATATAGAGAAACCACTCACTCAGCCACTCGCTGTCACATCACCCTTTTAATTCTTGGCAAAGTTCTTATAAACTCAGCTCTTGTTCTTGTTTTTGTTTGTTTAAGGCTCATTTCCTCCGCTGGAGTATAAATTCCACAAAAGCAGAGACCCTGTCAACTGATACACTACAGTATCCCGGCACGTAAAACAGCAGAGACTCAGTAAATATTTGCAAAATGTATGAATTTAAGTTGAGTGTGGAGGTATGAACAGAACGTTAACCAGGCAAGGTGGCAGTATTGGGGAATTGTTCCTTTTGCAGGGAAATAAATATTCCAATGCCCAGAGGCAGGAGGTTACTTAGTGCAGTTAAGAAACTAAAATAATGCACCCAAAGAAAAGGGAGACAGAAAGCTGAAGTAGGGAGGGGCCTTACAGGCTACTCTAAGGATATTCTCGAAGAGCAACAAAGAGTCCTAGAAGGGTTCTAAGCAGTGGAGCAACAATAGATTTCCTGATAAAAATGCTCAAGAGAGGCTGGTATCAAAGTGATGTCATACATATTGTAGCAGGCTAAATAGTAGTCACTGAAAGGTTTCAATGTGTAAATGTGACCTTATTTGGAAAAAGGTCTCTACAGGTTTAATTAAGTTAAGGGTCTTGAGATGAGGGGATTATCTTGGGTTATTCTGGTGGGAACCAAAATCCTATCACAAATGTCCACCTAAGAAAGAGGTCAAGGAAATAACACAGACACACAGAGAAGTCCATGTAAAGATGGAGGCAGAGATTTGAGTAATGTGGCCACAAGCTAAGGAATGCCTGGAGTCACCAGAAACTATAAGCGACAAGGAACGGATTCCATTCTAGAGCTTTTGGAGAGACTCCAGACCTGCCAACACCTTGATTTCAGACTTCTGGCCTCTAGAATTGTGAGCAAATATATTTTGGTCATTTTAAGCCATGAAGTTTGTTGTAATTTGTTATGGCAACTAAAGCATACACTTTGGAAAAAAGATAAAGAGAAATCAAAATTCAGATGTGCACCATTATGCGCATGAGTCCATCCAATGAGTGTAGGCCCAGCGTTAGCATGAGATTGGAGATGTTCACCTGCTGTTTCCACAGTCAACCTTCTTTCCCTTGTGAACTGTTATCATGATTCTAGAAGATAAAGGTGGGCCTATTTCACACGACATGCCCCTCAACTGAAGTTAGCTGCTTTGTTTTATGGTCAGCTCAAGAAATGGTGTCTATCCAAGTGCCAGAGGACAGACTGGCAGGGAGACAGGGTGGCACTCTCCAAGGTGTCACAAGGAATAAATGTGGCCACAAGGAACTGGATGTATGAGTAACAGAAAGAGAAATGTACCGAGCCATAGTGCCAAGTGCTGCAGTCAGCTAAGGGAGAGCCATGTGTGCTGTGCAAATCAGTGAAGACCAACCAAATGAGAACAAACTAAGGCTATTTATTCAGAGCTTGCTATAGCAAGGAGTCAGCCAACATCATCTGCATTTTGGCAGGGACTCAAAGGCAGGCAGAGGAGTAGGAGTGCTTTAGAGAAGAAAAAAAGGGAAGGCTTTCCCTGCACCCTGATGGAAGCAGTTGGTATGGGGAAGATGTAGGCAAGCTAACCAGAAGTGGGGCACTCTACGGGATTGGTTAGAGGCGCACATTTCACCCTTTCTAGTTGGTGCTAAGTTGGAAGTGCAAACAAAAATTAGGGATGCTGTCACTTATTAAGTCCTGGCTAATTTAAGGTCAATTGTTACAAGGGTTATTGTTTGGCTTCCTGGAATGTTACTAGAGCTAGACCATTGTAATTTGTTATTGATTTTTCTGCAAGTCTGACTTAGAGTGTGCTACCTTCTGGTAGGCTGTCATAGAAAGGGGGTTTTTCCCCGGCATGTTGCTGCAGGTCGTGAGCCAGAGTTGTGTTTTGTTATATGGTCTGGCCATTGTTCATCTGTATATTCAGTCTCTCAAGGTGATCAGACATCAGTAAAGACTAAGAGGGCATTGTATTTCGGCTGAACAATGTGGAACATATGACATGTGGGAGAACAGGCCCTTGGCATCTTTGATTTATTCAAATCTCTCACTGAAGACACATGGGTTTTTTATGAGAAGAAGCTCAGAGCCAGCCAAAGTGGAGCTTCTCAATTTTAATAACTGCTTTACTTTCAAAAAGGTCAAGATTTGGTGAAGCTTCACTGGCCAATGAAAAGGCAGCAGACCCTGAGCAAAGCCCAGCTGGGAACCCATGGCAGAGAAAAAACAGATGCCTTCTGGGACACGTTTTAATGCCAATGAGGTTGGGTTCTTATGGGGAAAGCAAATGTACCAACTACACTTGCATTTAGGATTCAGAAAGATAAGACCCCAACTGCAAATCAGCAAAAGGGGTACATGTTTGTGTTTTTGAGGCAATACTGCCAGGCTTAATGACTAAGGTTGAAAATCCCCACATCTCAATAGGTAAGAAAAGCATAATCTCTTGCATCGTACTTGCATTCAATCCAAAATAGTGAGGAACACCATTTTGGAGTTGTTTCCAAAGGGTCATTGTAGGGGTCAAGTGGTACCTGGAAGGGAAAGAACCTTACCTAGAGGGCAGCCTGATCACGGGCCATGCTTGTGGCCCTTCTGCAACACTCGGGTTCGCACACAGCAATGTGGAAGTCTCTTTCTCTAACCTCTGCCCCATGACATTCTTTATCCTCCAGACTCTCAGCTAAGAAACCAAGACCCCATGTTCCCATATTCTCAGGATGGTTAAGCAATGGGTACTAATCCAATTTTAACAGACTATTGGAAGACCTTCAGCATTGTCAGTTGCATCAACTACACTACAGTGTAAAGCCCGAAACTCAGTTTATGTCTGCCAGACCTGCAGAAAGAGTATACGAATGCATTGTTTAGAGACTCAAGCAGGTGGTTGGTGACGGTTTCATTAACAGCGTGGAGGAAGAATGTAAGAGTTAATTGAGGGCCCCTCTGGGAAACATTGCCTAATGAAGACATTGGCAGTGGTTCTCTACCAGGGGTAATATGCCCTCAGAGGACATTTGGGAATGTGTGGGGACGTTTTTGGTCACATAACTAGGGAAGCTACTGGCATCTAGTGGCACTGGCATCTAGTGGGTGAGGCCAAGGACACCACTAGCAACTGGCACAAAAAAGTGCAAATGACATGTGGGAAAAAGGAAAGATCAGTATTCATTTCAGGAAATTAAGTTCTGGTAGAACAAGGAACAGATCAGCTTTTCATGCCCGGTGTCTGCAAACCTTCCTCTTTTTCTGCTTTCCCCCGGGGTTGAAACTCAGACAAGGCAACATAAACCAACTGGGACCCTTGTGGATGAGAACACTCAGGTTTGACAGAGATAAGATAGTAGGAACTTGGGTTACCAAGCAATCTCCCGGAGCTAAACCGCCTATCCCTCAGGACACCTGCAGACCTCTGCACTGTTATGTAGGAAAAGATGAACTTTTCTCTTATGTGACTGTTAGGGAAAAGGAAAGGGTTTGGAAAGGAGAATCATTCATACTATCAGAACAGTAGATCTGAGCTGTGACTCTTGAGATGTTAATACAGAAAATCCCAGTGCCATAAAGCCTTCTGCAGATGTTACATAAGGTTTCTGCTCCCAGCAGTGCCTCTAGAGCCCCGTGCAGGTGGAGGAACACGTGGGCGCCATCTGGAGCACTGAGCTGGGTGTTCTGGAAGTTGTGGTGGACCAGTGGAAGTGCTGGTTTAAACATACCTCCCTGTATTTTTAGAAGGTACTTTTAAAATCTTAGTTTCCGGGACTTTACTCTCCAGTTAAGTTACTCCAGCTGATGCCTTTGTCTCCAATTCAGTCTGTCCCATGCCTTCTTTTTCACTTTTGTGTTTTATATATTTTTTAATTTTTGGCCCGGTGTGGTGGCCATGCCTATAATCCCAGCACTTTGGGAGGCCAAGGTGGGCAGATCACCTAAGGTCAGGAGTTCGAGCCCAGCCTGGCCAACATGGTGAAACCCCATCTCTACTAATAATACAAAAATCAGCTGGGCATGGCAGTGTGTGCCTGTAATCCCAGTGGCTCAGGAGGCTGAGGCAGGAGAATCACCTGAACCTGGGAGGCAGAGGTTGCAGTGAGCCAAGATTGTGCCACTGTACTCTGGCCTGGGCGACAGAACAAGACTATCTCAAAAAAAAAAAATGTAATTTTTATGGTTACATAGTAAGTGTATGTATTTATGGAGTACATGAGATATTTTGATACAGGCATATAATGCATAATAATCACATCAGGGTAAATGGGGTATCCATCACCTCAAACATTTATTCCAATTATACTCTTTTAGTTATTTTTAAGTATACAATTAAATTATTCTTCATTGTAGTCACCCTGTTGTGCTATCAAATACTAGATCTTATTCATTTTTTCTAATTATTTTTTGTACCCATTAACCATCCCCATTTCCCCCCCACTGCAATGCTTTGTTTTTAAAAGCTGTATTTTAGAGTGTTTTGATCTTGATTGCTTTTATTCCAGACGTGCTGCGTGTGGAGCTTGGGGAAGCAGCAGTTATTTCAAACCCCACAGGCAGTAGGATGGGAGTCTTACCATGGTGTCAGGGTTCACTCAGAAAACGGGTGGAGTAGAAGAAACCAGATGGGCCTCAGTTCTTACTAGATGCAGGCCCATCCTTTCCTCAAGAAGCCTACATGTGG
The DNA here is from genome assembly GCF_000001405.40 of Homo sapiens. NCBI lineage: Eukaryota > Metazoa > Chordata > Mammalia > Primates > Hominidae > Homo > Homo sapiens. The sequence continues at coordinate 35,878,278 of NC_000013.11, read as the reverse complement.
ATTTTCCTGTAATGCTGCTGCGAAGTATGAAAATCATAACATTTCTATAGAAAGTAAATTTTAGTTGTCCATTATACCAGGATGGCTTTGTTCAGCTCAACCAGGCAGACAAGCTGGAGACTGAGGATGGAGACTGAGATTCAAAACCATGAGGCAGGAGGTGGTGAATCTCCCAGGCACTGGGGGTGCTCAGAAGGAAGCTGGACCACCACTTAGTTGGAATGGAGACAGGAGGAGAGAATATTCCTGAGTTAAGGAGAGAGTTGACTCATTAACCATTGACAGCCTTGATATTCTAGGAGGGCGCCTCCCAAGGGGAGGGAAGTGAACATGTAGGGGCAACTTATTGGAGAATTGGAGAATCAGAATTGCAAGTTCTTTTTGTCATTGACTTTGTGCCATTTTTATAAAATGCCTCTGGAACTGAATGTGCTTCCTCACTCTCTTTTGCATATAGCAACAGAGAGGAATATTATTCCATTTACAGGCTTTGTACCTTTGCCAAATTAAGAGGAAGCTTGCCTTTGTAATCAGGGTATGGTAGAAAGCACAAAGCATCTACTGCTTATGATGGTTTCTTCTAGATGAACTTGTCCATTTCCTGAACAATTCAGAAAACTGAATTTAGAGTTGAGATATATTAAGAGGCCTCTGCCTAAGAGTGCTTTTATGCTGGTTGGTTTCAAAAAAGAGACTAGAAAAGTAAAACCATTTCTTGTTCAAAGAGTATTCCCTAGCCAACATGCAGCATGTCACCAAGGCTGTCTAGACACTCAAGGGACTTCACCTATGCCTTGTTCAAGATTCTCCAGAAGGTCTAAGTAGGCCCCTTTGAATGCATGATCACTATGTGAGCTCAGGTGAGCCACTGGTGTCTTTGGTGGAATTCTGCAACCGTTTCTATTCTTCAGCACCTTCTATAACACTTCAGCCTACCTACCAACTGTTTCTGAGTGGGGGGAGGATCTTTCTAAGTGGAGGTTCTCCTGCCACCGGGAATGTGGCCAAAGAATATGTTCCACCTCCTCCTTATACATCACCATCTGGGCTGTCTCTCTAAATCTGTCCATCAAAGAATGCCCATTTCAGGAGTTCATGTCCTGGGTGAAGGTGAGAAACATTTAACTTCTATAAATCCCCAAAACATTTGTATAGATCGTGTGGGGAATGATACTTTTCACCTCAGATGAATGTAGGGACTAAATAGAGCAGAGATTTAATTCAATGTTGCTTACTTGCTTGCCTGCTGTGGGAGGTTCAGTCATCAGAGAACCAGTTCATGAGTTTGGTCTGATTTCCTGTCCTTTGGGTAGGCTGCAATCTTTAGGAGCAAGAGAAATTACCATCTGTTAGCTTCCTTCAAGTGGCTTACCTACAGTCCTTCGGTGTCATCTTTCTTAAGGAGAGTCTGGGTCATCCAGTTTCTCCACCACCAAAGGAAATACAGTCCTCTTAGAGAATTGGTCAGTGAAATATAGGGGTGCCAAGAAACATCAGAGTAAAGAAGTGATGGCCCCCAAAGGCAAATGCCCCCATGTGAGAGGGGGAATGGAAGGCACTGCTTTCTTCCTTGCCTGAGGCTATGAAAATGTCCTTTGTGTCAACAAAAAGGTTTTCTACATTACTGGCCATTTAGGTCATATTATTCACAATGTTTCAAAATTGTGGTTATCAGCTGATGTAGATTTTGGCATTCTCTCTGAAGCCATGCAGCATTTGTTCCTCACTGCATTTTCACCATTATAAAATACAATTCCTATTTAAATTAATTAAAACATGGAAAATCTAAACTTTATTTGGAAAGATGGTTGGAGTTTTTGTTTTTGTTTTTTATAATTTACGGCTTGGCACTGCAATATTCTTCAGCTGGATTTATGTTGACCCATTTTAGAAAACGTAGTTACTATAAATCTGTTGTTGTTGTTTCTGTTTTTGTTATTCAACCCAAGCCTTTGGAATTATTCTAATCCACAATATGACTCATGAAGTATCACTCTTATCCTTAAGGCAAGTGGTCCAAGAGTTGAAATATTTGTAATTATCTTTCAGACTCCATGATCCTCCAAGCTATTACTTCATTATAACTCCATTTCTGAAAGACAGTTTGTTTCTCTTTTTTTCTGATATACTAAACATTTGATAGACAGGTAGCTTTCATATCTTGAATTTCTTATTTAATGTTGATATGAGAACAGTTGCTTGCAGTTCTTCCCCTGATGCACCATCACCCATTTGTCTGCCCCTGACCATGGACACCGATAGACATTTCCCAGGCTTTCGTCACCATGGAACAGCTTGCTTAGGCCACAGCATCAGATACTGGGGGTAGTGAGGAAGCCACCAACCCAAGAGAGTTGGGTTCTGATGCAAGTCATTTCATCTCTCTGAGACTCAGTTTTCTTGGGTGTACAATGAGAGTTTGGGTTAGTTCAGTGAATACCAAGAGTTCACACAAGTAGTAACAGGATCAGCAGCAATTTGGGCCGATATTTATCGAGCAGCTACTTCATGCTTTTTAATATGGCAGGGACTAGTTAGTATCCAATGGAGTATGGGAGTGGGGAGACGGACTAATAAATGAATAATTCTGACTGATTAATAATATGGTGAGAACTCAGTTCAGGAGAAGCAAGGGAAGCTTTGGAAGCATGATAAGAGGCCACAAGTTTTTCCAATATTTCAAAAACTTAATGAAATACCTACATTTCTTCTGATAAGAAGAGCTGCCTCACAGAAATACCAAGTTTCTTTTTGGTACTTGGAAAAGTGTCAACTGAGTGTGGTAAGATTGGTTCTATTATGGTGTCCTGGATTGCTGGTTGGTAGTTATAGCCACAGCTAGCAACTCTGGCACCTGTGCCAAACAGCATGCCATGAACCCTAAAACCAACTTTTAAATTCACATTGTGGATCACAGATGGATATTATGAACAATGTGTACCATCTGTTAGCTTTCTATCTTAACTATTCATTCTTGCTAACTAGATGCTGAGCTTTTAAAATCATTGTTTTAAATTTATGTGACCTCTGAATGTTCATAACCTGGGACAAAAAGTTCTGGTCATCTGCCCTCATGATCATCTTGATTTTTATTTAAAATGAGAAAATTGAATGTTACTTAACAACAATGTGTTGCATAAACTAACATTTTTCAAACATGAGGTCCATGAAATAAAAATTAGCAAAAAGAGGCCTCACTGGTGAAAAGACTCTATGCACCATTACCAGATGGTAAAGGTTTTGAGTTCCAAAACTTTGTATTGTTCTCCATCATGCCTGCAGCTCTCGATGCTTGGCACGTAGTGGCCACGTGATAAAAATGTACGAGGAAGCATGCCAATGGGCCGGCGACATTGTGGCATTCCAGTTTGGTTGCTAGTGTACTTCCAAAAGGCTAGGCAGAGGCCAAAGCTAGGACAAACTCCAGGATGTGTTGTCAGTTGCATGGTCAGAGCCATGAGCTAATCTGAGATCTCCTTGGCACGTTCCAAAGCTCTGTTTTGCGAATCAAAATCTCCACGGACACCTTGGGCGTTATTGTCCCATGGGAACGGTCCTGGTTTTCCTATTGTATTTTCTGACGTTGTTAATGTTGTTTCTTGGTTACTCCTATCTTTTAATTTTTGTCAATATTCCTGTATGTATAGATTTTTTTCTTTTTTTTAAAAAACAGAAATATCTTGCAGGGTCACTGGGCAGGCCAGAACAGTGACAGTGGCCCAAGTAACTGTTGGGGAAGACTGGGCAGGCTCTGTAATGCCTTGATTCATTTCTCTTTGCTTTGGGCTATGAAAACAAGTGGAGGAAGAAGAAATATCACAAGGCAGAATTTGCTTCCTCTTCTTTTTTAATATTCCCTCTTCTTTTCCCCCATTTCAATTCATGAGACTCTCTAGGACACACTCTCCTCCATGACTTATCTCCTGTTTGTAGTCTTATAACATCTGTATTTCATATAAACTCACATCTTTTCTTACTAAACAATTTAAACTACTTTGTTAGTTTAGATGTTAGAAAAAAATAGGAAACGATGTTTATATAAAGCAATTCAGAATATATAAGAGAGAGAAACATGTTTTGAATTTAGAAAATTAGAAATTGCGTGGATAGGGAAGAAAAATTTTGAAGTCAGGCATCAGAATGAGATCTGGAATGATTATGAGTTCTTTGTTACTAAAGCGTAAAATGGGATTTAAAATATATAATGGAAAAGTTAAAGTAGTTTAATTTAAAACTACTATACTAAAAAGGTTCACCACATTTGAAAAGCTAACATATTTCAACAACTACCTACAATGATAAATATTTATAACATGATAGACTAAGTGTTAAACTTTCATATAGAATGCACTCTTACAAACCAATAAGAGAAAGTAGGACATAAATAAGTAATTGCAAAAGAAGAAATCCAAATGGCTAATATGCGTGTGGGAAAAATGTACAACTTTACTGGCAATCAAACCAATTCAGATTTCAAGAAAGGAAATCCAATATTTGTTTAGAAATTGGCAAAGATTTTTTGAAAATGTAATACCTAACCTCAGTGAGGGACCCAGCAAATGACCACTCATTGTCTATAAAAGTACAATTTGAGGCCGGGCATGGTGGCTCACACCTGTAATCCCAGCACTTTGGGAGGCTGAGGTGGGTGGATCATTTGAGGTCAGGAGTTTGAAACCAGCCTGGCCAACATGATGAAACCCCACCTCTACTAAAAATACAAAAATTAGCCAGGCATGGTGGTGGGCACCCTGTAGTCCCAGCTACTTGGGAGGCTGAGGCAGGAGAATCTCTTGAACTCGGGAGGTGGAGGTTGCAGTGACCCGAGATCACGCCACTGCACTCCAGCCTGGGCAACAAGAGCGAGACTCTGTCTTGAGGGGAAAAAAAAAAGTACAATTTGTTGGACTTTCTGGAGGGCATCATTCAGAGCTTTTAAGAAGTTCTCTTTGAACTCACCAAATCCACTTTGTTCAGCAAATTTTTTAATTTTAATTTTTTTATTTTTATTTATTTATGTTTTTGGGATCTTGGCTCACTGCAGCCTCTGCCTTCCAGATTCAAGTGATTCTCCTGCCTTAGCCTCCCGAGTAGCTGGGATTACTGGCGCCCACCACCATACCCGGCTAATTTTTGTATTTTTAGTAGAGGCAGGGTTTCACCATGTTGGCCCGGCTTGTCTCTAAAATTTTTTATTTAAGTTGGAAAATATAAAGAAGAAATTAGAATATAAGGAGTGACCTGACTTTCTATCAATAGGGGAATGATTGAATAAGTTGTGATATAAACATATTACAAAATATGATGCAGGGTTTAGAAAAACAGTTTTGATTGCTATGGGTTGACCAAGAAAGATGATTATAATATATAAGTATGGAAAATGTATAAAATATGTCGCTATCTTGCCATTTTTATAAAAAGCAAACAAAAACCTGGCTATGTATATATGTGTTTATATAAGCTTAGAAAAGCTATGGTAAGGTCCTTACACTATTAAAAATGTTAGTGATATTGAAGGGGAAAGAACAATATCACAAAGGTAGTGATATTGAAGGGGAAAGAACAAATAGCTATTGCTATTTTTTAAATTTTGAATTTATAATTTTTTAAAAAGAAAAGGGTCGGTAAATATTTTTGAGCACCCACAGTGTGCCCTTGGTTTCTGGCTACTAGAAACTAAATGTCAAGTGCCAGGGACTAAATCTGTCCTAAGGGAGTGATAGGATAACTGCACACTCATTTACAAAGGTGTCATTGAGTAATTATTTATAACAGTGAAATACTGAAAGCAAGTTAGATATTCAATAGTTGGAATTCGGTTAAGTAAATTATGGTATTCCATGCAGTCAGATGCTCAACAGCCATTAAATAACAGAGTGAAAATGCTCACAAGATACTGTATTGTGAAAAGGGTTGGTAACAGATCAACACATATGAACAAATCCTAATGCTGAAATATATAAATGCATAGACAAAAATTCTAGAAGTTTCTATACCCCCCTCCAAAAATAAAGTATCATTTGATCATGGGTTATTGGGGGTGTTTTAAAATATGCCTTATATTTTTCCATCTACAGTGAACATTGATTATCCTTACAAGCATATATTTTTTTGTTAATTATTAGAAGCAGTTTCTTAAGAACAAGATATGTGGGTTTGTACAGCATCATAATTGGTCAAGGGAGCTCACTAAGAGAGAAATAGAAAACTCTCTGCCATTTAAGATGTTCAGCATTGAATATAATGGACATGAACACTGAGAATTTAAATCTAATGAAAGTGAAGTTGTTTCTTATCCTCAAGCCACAAACCATTTCACAGACACAGTATAAAATCTGTGGCAGCTTCATGTGGTGGCACAGGCTGGCAGGATGCCCTTGCAGCAGGGAAATACCACCTCTTCACCAGTTTTACCTCTTCCAAGCAAATGCTGTCATCTCCCACATATCATAAAGACCCACAACTATCTCCGTGAGGACCCATGGCAATAAACTTGGTCCTGTTGTGGTGGGCGGAATCTTCCACCACCACATTTCTTGGTTTATGAGGTTGACCTTTCTTCTAACATTTTCCTTGGAAGCAACAACAGTTTATCCCAAGAGACCCACATATACAGATAACTCAAGGAGTGAGTAGAGAGAAACCCAACAAAACACCTCTTTATTAGCCTATATCACTCCCAATCTAGCCAAAATATTATTGTAAGGAGTGTAACCTAGGGGGATTGAAGTATTATTTACTTCCATGTCTAAGAAGCCCACCCTGTCCTTCCTCTTTGTTTTCTTGGTTTCATTGACATAGACAAGAACCCAGCTGGTGGGAAGTAGATGTGACTGAGGATGGTCATATATTTCTACTTCCAGGTTTATTGTGCATTTTGAGTTGGTGTGTGTGTGCCATTACCCCATAATGATGTGTGGTTTTTGTTCTTTCCCCAGAATGTCGAGTGGTAAAGTCCACTTCTTACACCAAAATAGCTTCATCATCCCGCAGGAGCACCACCAAGAGCCCAGGACCGTCCAGGCGTAGCAAGTCCCCTGCCTCCACCAGCTCAGGTAAAGCAGCAGAGGGGATTTTGAAGAAATTGCCTTGTTCCTGACACAGGATGAGCAGAGGGTGTGTGAAGCCTAGAGTGTGAGGTTTTTAAGCGAGTGTAGGTTCCGGTTTATAATTTTAGAACATCTTAGAGCGGTTGAACAGATTTGCTGGAGTCTAGCATATTGGCTGCAAGAAAAAGCATTGAGCTTCAAAAAATGTACTTAGTGAGGACTCAGGAAACCCAGATTTGCCCACAAATAGAAGAACGTTATCATCTTGTATCCTTTCTACCACCAAAGTTAATCTTTCAGATTCTGGAAGTCTCTGTTAAAGCATTTATTCTACCTGAGACTGGCCTATGAAGAGTTTCCCATTTGTATTCGCTGAACCTTTATTAAACACACTTTTGGCTCTGGCCTCAGTTTCCTTTCATGGCTCTGGAGCTAAAGGTAGTGAGATTGAGAGGGTGGAGCAGGGATTGCTGCAGTGACCTTGGCCTGAGCCTGTCTCTCAGTGGATTCTAGTGCTGGTGTTGGAGAGGCTGTGTATGCACAAGATGAGCACCTCAACCCTACCTTCTCCTTTTTGGTCTTAAAACTGACATGAAGTCAGTTAGAAAGTGTCTTCTTTGTTTGTCTCAGGTGAAGGGTCTCTATTGTTATTAAAGGGAATTATTTATTAAATGACACAAATTGTATTGGGAATTATTAAACGATGCAAATGTCAAAGTGATTGTTACCTGATTTCATGAAGACAAGAAGCTCTTATAAATAAGAATAAAGACCTCTGGGGCCTACTTGGGGGCCTTCTTTTACTCAACAGCATGGGCTAGGGGGAGTGTGAAAAGAGCTCTCGGCTGAGGCTGCCTAAGAAGGAACTCTCAATAGGGTGGATCATTATAGGTCAGGGGCCAGCTAGACCACCCAGCCCTCCTTGATTCTCTAAGAGTCTCCTTCCCCTTGGAGTTTTACCAATTACTGCTATTCTCTAGACAGATCTCCAAAGACCACCTTCCCCTCTGACTCTCAACCTAGGGTGGCATCAATGGGCTGCCAATGCCTCCTTCCCACAGCATGGCCTGCATCATAGCCAGTCAGGAAATACGTTTCAGAGCATCGCTGGCACTTGAGATGCATCTTGTTTGCCTCTGTAGTTTAAAGGTGAGCTGAGAACTCCTCCCTTAGTATGACACTGCTCATGTAGATAGGATAGAGCCCTAAAATGAGGCATTGCTAAAGGATGAGACAGTAGACTCAAAGCTTAGAGCTCATGAGAGTCACTTGGGAACTTGGCAAAGTTTGTCATCCTGAACCCCCACACCCTGAGATTCTGACTAAGGACCTAAACCTGTGTTTCAGCAAGTACTCCAGGTGATTAGGATCGGGTAGTCTGTGGTCCACATTTTGAGAAACAGTAGGTGAGGGCAGTGGTTCTCAAACTAGCAGCATCACCATCACCTGAGCACTTGTTAGAACTACAAAGCCCTGAGCTCCCTCTCCAGAACCACTGAATCAGAAACTCTGGAGCTAGAGCCCAGCAAATTGGAATTTCCCAAGCCCTCCAGCTGATTCCAATGCACACTTTGAGAAGCAGGGGGTTTTGGAAAACAGAAAGGAAGTAAATGCAGAAAACATTTGACTCTGGATAATCTGGAGGGAAAGATATGACTTGTTCATCTTCATTTACTGGCATGACAGAGATGACTTCCTTTCTACCTCCCTGTTTGCCTCCAAGTAGCAATGTCCATCAGTGTCCTTGCAATCCAAGAGCAGACCTTTTAGATACCTTGATGTGTAGACCAAAAGAGCAATGAACAAAGGAGAGTACCAGATGCCAACTTCCTTTTCTCCCTCCTTGCAATGACCTGGCCTCAGAGAGTCAGTCACCTGGGAGAAAAGAGAATTTCTTTCTGAAGATGATCCCTTCCCCAGGATGTCAGGGAAAGTCTCTCCCTTCAAGGGAGATACCACCCACACACAGAGAAGAGGACCTCCACAGAATGACAGAGTGATCCTGGAATTGCTGCATGGAAAACTCCCCTGGAAGAACTGAGCTTGTCCAGCTGACAGGTTAATATTGAGCTCTGTGGAGGATGTTCAGTCTTAACTAAAAAACATTTCTCACTTTCTCTGATTAAATCTGGGCTATAGGCCCGGGCCTGGTGGCTCATACCTGTAATCCCAGAACTTTGGGAGGTTGATGGGGGTGGATCACTTGAGGTCAGGAGTTTGAGACCAGCCTGGCCAATGTAGTGAAACCCCATCTCTACTAAAAATACAAAAATTAGCCAGGCATGGTGGTGGGTGCCTGTAATCCTAGCTACTCAGGAGGCTGAGGCAGGAGAATCGCTTGAACCTTGAGGGGCAGAGGTTGCAGTGAGCAGAAATCACGCCACTGCACTCCAGCCTGGATGACAGAGCAAGACACTGTCTCAAAACAAATAATAAAGAAATAAATAAATCTGGGCTATAGGGTGAACTCCCATGGAGCAATAAAGGAGAACAAAGTCATAAGCCTAGCCAGCTTATTGCCCCTAAAATTTTGGCTACTTAATGCAATCACAGAAGGATGTGAAAGAGAATGAGAGCCTATATTAATGAAACCGTATCAATTAGTATATTAATGAATTAATGAATAGTATCAATACTATTAAAAATCATCAATATTAAAAAACAAAATTAGTTCTCCATCCAAACCAACTTTGACTTAAATTTTACTTAACCTTTCCTATCTTCTTCCTCTCAGTATATAAGATGAATAAAAAAACAAGTGTGGGGCAGATGCATCTAATAATGGGTAATTAGCCAAATTCTTATGTGTTTTATATTACAGATATTCCAAGAAAATCAATATGCACTGCAGCTTTTAACTTTTTATTGTCATTGTTTTTAGCAGTTTTGTTGTTAAGAGCTGTAGGTTGGGCCAGGTGCGGTGGCTCACGCCTGTAATCCCAGCACTTTGGGAGGCTGAGGCAGGCGGATCATGAGGTCAGGAGATCGAGACCATCCTGGCTAACACAGTGAAACCTGTCTCTACTAAAAATACAAAAAATTAGCCGGGCGTGGTGGCAGGCGCCTGTAGTCCCAGCTACTCGGGAGGCTGAGGCAGGAGAATGGCGTGAACCCGGGAGGTGGAGCTTGCAGTGAGCGGAGATGGTGCCACTGCACTCCAGCCTGGGCAACAGAGCAAGACTCCATCTCAAAAAAAAAAAAAAAAAAGAGCTGTAGGTTGTTAGATACTCTAGATACTCCAGGGTTTAGGGTCTTTCTTTTTCTCTTTCTTTCTTTCTTTCTTTCTTTCTTTCTTTCTTTCTTTCTTTCTTTCTTTCTTTTTCTTTCTTTCTCTCTTTCTCTCTCTCTCTCCCTCTCTCTTTCTTTCTTTCTTTCTTTCTTCTCCCTTTAAGTCAATAAAGATGGGGAATGGATCAGATTCTTGCGTACATGTTAAAGAATGGACTGATGAGTCTAATCTTAAAAATATAATTATGCATATAGGCAATAATTTCATTTTATAATTAACTGGTAATGTAATCACTATTCAGCATTGTAAGAATTTATATTCATTTCTGAAAAGTAATTTTGGAAACTCAAGAAGATAGGCGAATATATTAAATGTACTTGTATGTCACTGCCAACATTTGTAATTATTCCTTTTAGAAGTTTAAAATGGGTAGGACACATTGCCTCAAAATCAACAGGTTGCTCCAAACAAGCATTTCCACATTCTATTTTTTCCTTGAAGTCCTTTTCAACTCTAGTTGAAACCTGGTTGAATTGACCAGCACTAACTTGGAATTTGTGATAGGTAAGTCATACCAAGTAGTATCATTTTCATAAAGAAAGTAGAGTCCAAATTCATTCTAAAATTAATATGTTCTTGAAAAATTAGCACTTTAACTTCTAGGTCAAAGTTAATTATATAACACTGATCATATTTTGTTTAATGTGAGCTTTTTGTGTATATAAAATTTTCAACTTGCTGCATTTTGACCTGGAAGAGATAACATGCAATCATTTTCTGATTATATAAGAGATTACTATATGCACTGACTATCTCTTGATTCTGACTTGCTACCAAAAGTGACTTGTTACCACTTTCCTTTGGATGGTACCAATTTAGAGAGTTTCACAGGGCAGTCAACTCCCAGTCACAAATGTGTGGATTGTGCCAGTGACCTCAGGACCACCTCCTTTCCCTGGAACCGGGCCCAGAGGTTAAGGAATTCGGCAGTGTTGCCAGTTCTCCTAGAGGCAAGTGTAGCTGCTGGATGTCAGGGAAACCCCTCTCTCAGGGCCCCTCCACTGCTCTGGCCCAGGTCTCCTGTCCCTACTCAACTATAGCTCTTGGAACTAGTGGAAAGGCACGTTGAATTGTCTCTATATGGATTACATCACATTTTCTTAAAATAGCCTGTTTAGTGTTTTTCATTAATCATATGGACTCAAACATGAATTTTACTTAAATACTCCATAAACATTGGTATTGCCCCAAACCCAACTACCACCTGATTTTTTAATGTTAAAGCATCTTTAGACTGGGTGTGGTGGCTCATGCCTGTAATCCCAGCACTTTGGGAGGCCAAGGCAGGCTGGTGAAACCTGGTCTCTAAAAAAAAAAAAAAAAATACAAAAATTAGCCTGGAATGATGGTTGCTTTGTTTCCTGTGGTCCCAGCTATACAGGATGGCTTGACACTGGGAGGCAGAGGTTGCAGTGAGTCGAGATTGCACAACTGCACTCCAGCCTGGATGACTGAGTGAGACCCTGTCTCAAAAAAAAAAAAAAAAAGAGTCTTTGTTTTCCCCCAAAACATTAACCCAAAGTTTATAATGATTTCTACTTCAGTGTTTAAATTTCTACTTCCAGTATTCAGTTTCCTATATTATACAGAAATTGGAGCGTATTATAAAGTTAAGATCTGCACAATTTTCGGGCTATGCTGCTATGAATATAACATGGTTAACTTATATTTACCTGAAACATTATAGTTTACATACGGCTTTTATTTCTTCAATCTTTTTTGATCCTCCTATTAATTTCCTAACAGCAGGCAAGTAAGGCAAGTTATTATTATCTCTGTTTGTAGAAATAAGGACACAGAGGCAGGGCTGGGATAACTGCTTTGCTCTGAGTCCCAGAGTTCAGAATGGCAACTCGGGGCTGGCACCGGGGACTTCTGGTACTCTAGACACACAAGGCTGGCAGTCCTTGATACCTATTTCTTCACCTCCACTTACTAGAGTTTTGATCTCCAGGAAACAATTAATCTAGTGCCTAATTTGAGATTGCAATTCACAGCATCACAGCACCTTGCAACATAAGCCTAAGTATTAGTCCCTTGGCACCAGCGTTCCAGGAGGTGAATGATTTACCCCAACTTCCTGATGTATAGTATTGCTGGACAGAAACCTCCCTTGTAAGTCAGCATTAGAACAAGAATGGGAATCCTCTGTAAGTCTTCCCTTTGTCCCTTACCCATTTCTCTTCATAGCACTAAAAGAGGTTCAAAGTGATTTATTAATGTTAGGTGTTCATTTACACTTTCAGAACTATCAGTTACAGACCAACTAGTGTCAGGCATTTGCTAGGCACTAATGATGCAGAGATGAAAGAAAGCCCCTATTCTCAAGAAGCATAGGAGTCAAGGCCTCACAGATAACATGATTCACATACCTGTTGAATTATGATTAGTCTCCATAACAGAAAAGGCTGAAAGAAGGCAAACAGAGCTAGCAAAGAGAAACCAGAAGCCTTAATAACACATGAAAAGAGTAAAGAGCCTCCAGACAAATTGCGTGCTGAGACACTGGAGGATGAATCACTAAGAAATTGGAAAATGACTTCTAGCTGCTTCTTAAAGAAATGAGAATCTGTAAGAGCATCATAAGGAATAAGGAGTTTCATATGGGTTTGATTCTTCATACATGTGTATATATTTGGAACACAGATCTAGTAAAATGTATAAGTTAAAAGTAAAATTCATTAATTTTATTTTTGAGACAGGGTCTCACTCTGTCACCCAAGTTGGAGTGCAGTGGCAAAAGTAAAATTCTTTTAAGCAATTTTTTTTATCTACACAGGGAAATTATAATAAAATAACTCTAAAAATAGGAATAAAATATGCATCACTTTGGTTTTAATAAAGACTGATAAAATTTCAGTTGGCTTTATATTGTTTTCTTAATCTTACAAGAAAACTGTGTTTATCTTGAAGTTTCACAGCTGCAGTCCTCCTTAAAACTTACAAACTTCAAAATTTTGATCTTTTCTTGGATTTGGGAAAGCTCTGGGGCCAGGCATGGTGGCTTATACCTTTAATCCCAACACTTTGGGAGGCCTAGGCAGGAGGACTGGTTGAGCTCAGGAGTTTGAGACCAACCTAGGCAACATACCAAGACCTGTGTCTACAAGAAATTTAAAAACTAGCTGGGTGTAATGGTGCACACCTGTGGTCCCAGCTACTTGGGAGGCTGAGGTGACATGAAGTCTTGAGCCTAGGAGTTTGAGGCTAAAGTCAGCCATGATCACACCACTGCACTCCAGCTTGGATGCCAGAGTGAGACCCCATTCCAAAAAAAAAAAAAAAAGAGAGAAGAAAAATGGAGTTTTTTTGTTTGTTTTACAGTTTTTATTTCCATTTAGATAGCCAACTTTTTTTTTTTTTTTTTTTTTTTTTTGAGACGGAGTCTCGCTCTGTCGCCCAGGCTGGAGTGCAGTGGCGGGATCTCGGCTCACTGCAAGCTCCGCCTCCCGGGTTCACGCCATTCTCCTGCCTCAGCCTCCCAAGTAGCTGGGACTACAGGCGCCCGCCACTACGCCCGGCTAATTTTTTGTATTTTTAGTAGAGACGGGGTTTCACCGTTTTAGCCGGGATGGTCTCGATCTCCTGACCTCGTGATCCGCCCGCCTCGGCCTCCCAAAGTGCTGGGATTACAGGCGTGAGCCACCGCGCCCGGCCAGATAGCCAACTTTTTATCATAGAATGATACCCTGTATTTAGAATCTCTGTCTGTGGAACCCTTAGCAGACATAACTGAGGCCCAATGAGTGCCTCACACCTTTCAATTCCAATATGAGATAATGTACTTTCCTGCCCTTCAGAAGCTTATAGAGTAGAAACATTCATGGCAACAACCATTCATTCATTCAGTATGCATTGAGAATCTATAGTGGACCGGCAACGTTGGGTGCTGGAGATGCAAGGGCAAACATTTGAAAGAAGGAAAACCCAAATGGCTCAGTTAATGAGCATCTACCATGACGAAGCACCATTCTGAACACCCAGCCTTAAAACTTACTTCTATGTTACTCCAGAAATCCTGAAGTCTTTTTATTCATGCTATTTAAATTTTACTTTTTTACAGTTCTATAAAAATATTTTATGCAACATATGCAGATAAGAATCAAAGCTGAGGAAGTGAAGAGAATTCTAATCAGCTCACTACTAGTCCAGTTTGTCAAATTCTTTTGATTTATATCAAACACCTTCAAAGGCAGATTGCCAGCTATTAATTTTGAGTTCAGTCTTTTCCTTTAGTGTAGAGAATTCAGCCTTATACAGTCTATGGAGAATCTTTTTTGCTTTGGAGCTCCAAGGAAATTGTTGAGAACAAAATGCATCAAGAAAATCGAGAGGTTGGTGATTCATCCCTTGTGTCTTTGGAATTTCTGGCTGCATGTAAGGCTCATCCCTCCTTCCATTTCTCCTTTCTCTGCACCCACCAATTCTTCCTAGTGTTCACCCCAGCAGAACCTCCAAAGATACTCTTCAAAGCCTTTAACCATTATCTTGACTTACTGTCTACTTGGGGGCAGCAACCTACATCAACTGCTTGTATAAATTTCTCACAGTTAATGCCCCAGGTTAATTAAATATTTCCTGAGTATCTACTGTGTTCCAGACATGCATTAGGTCCCAAGGGTGCAAAGATGATTAAACCACAGTCCTTGCCTTCAAGTTGCTTATATTATAGTAGGGAGAGAAACATATACAGCCATGTGTTGCTTGATGATGGGGATGTGTTCCAAGAAATGTGTTATTAGGCAATTTTGCCATTGTGTGAACATCCTAGAGTGTACATACACAAACCTAGATGGTATAGCCTGCTACACACATGGCTATGTGGTATGGCCTATTGCTCCTAGGCTATAAACCTATACAGTATGTTATTGTACTGAATATCCTAGCAATTGTAAGCAATGATAAGCATTTGCACATCTCAACAGGTGTAAACATAGAAAAGGTGCAGTGAAAATACAGAATTGTAATCTTGTGGGACCACCATCGGATATATGGTCCCTTGTTGACCAAAACATTGTTTTGTGGTACTTGACTGTATGCATGTAACTATAATAGTGTAATAAGTGCTGTGATGACCTAGAGGAAACAGGTTAGATCTCATTAATAGGGTCAGAAAGCTCTTCCAAGAGAAAAGGATTTATAAATTTGGATGTAAAAAAGGGCCAGGAGGACATTCCCTCCCAGTGTGAGCTAAGGCACAAAGACATTAAACTATATGGCATAGTTAGGGAATAGTTGCTTGTTCAATAAAAATGCAGGATAGAATTCTAAGAAAGAGTTGGAAAGATGGTGGTAGCCCCGTTGGTTGTGGTCAAATTGCACAGGGTCGTGGAAGTATGTTTGTGCTGTAGATTGTAGGTATTATGAAGTGAAAGGGGATTTTTCACAGTGCCATGAAAGATCGCAGTTGAGTTTTGGAAACAGTGGCATGGCGGTGGAAAAAATTGCTACACATGAAAGGCCAAGGGCCAGGAAGGCTCTATGAGGCCATTGTAGTCATCCTGGAATGAAATTGTCAAGACAGAACCGAAAGAGCTGGGGGAGACCTCAAAGGGAAATGAAACCAGAAATTTAACTGGATGTGAGGCTAGAAGAAGAGAGAGGGATCAGAGATAGGAAGCAGGTTTGTTGGATGAGGAGAGGTAAGGAATGAGTTTCGTTTTAGACATGTGGAGTGTGAGGCGATTTGGAAATGTCTGTAAGCAATTGGAAATAAATAACTGTTCTAAGTCAGGAGATCTGCGCTAACAATATATATTTGGGAGACCCTGGTATATTGTAGTGATTTGAATAATAGAAACATAAGGTACCTCCCCGCTGCCTCAACAAGAGATTTGTAAAGATGAAAATGGAACCATGCATGGGGGAGGGAAGTCTGCATTTCTTTTTTTTTTTTTTTTTTTTTTTTGAGACGGAGTCTCGCTCTGTCACCCAGGCTGGAGTGCGGTGGGCGCAATCTCCGCTCACTGCTAGCTCCGCCTCCTGGGTTCATGCCATTCTCCCGCCTCAGCCTTCGAGTAGCTGGGACTACAGGTGCCCGCCACCACGCCTGGCTAATTTTTTGTATTTTTTTTTTTTAGTAGAGACGGGGTTTCACTATGTTATCCAGGGTGGTCTCGATCTTCTGACCTCGTGATCTACCTGCCTCGGCCTCCCAAAGTGCTGGGATTTCAGGCGTGAGCCACTGTGCCTGGCCAGAAGTCTGCATTTCTAAGAGCAATCAGCAGAAGCAGGGAAGAACAGTAAGAGTACAGGGACAGAAGTCAAAGGGGCAGAAAGTTTTGAGATGAAGGACGGGGCAGAAATGCTTGATGTTGAGATGTCAGGTAGCATGAGAACTGAATGGGGATCGTAGGATTCAGCAGTGAGGACACCACTGTGGCCTATGAAGGAATGGGCAATACCAGATGGCAGGGGGACCTGGTCTGGGAGTGTGATTTTTGGTGGTCACCGTGGGTCCTTTCCCAGGCTGGCTCCAGGCTTTACTCTAGCGGGAGCTGTCCTGCAGCGATTGGTTGGTAGGGATCAACCCCAGGACCCTCATCCACCCTGACCCTTGGTGCTTGTGGTCCCCAATTCCCCTATCATGACCATAGCCTGTTCTTGGATCCCAGCTGATAGGGATCAGATCCAAAAATTTCCTAATTTTACATCACAGGACTCTAGTTGGTCTTTTTTTATTGTTTAATTAAATTTTTTTTCTTGTACCCCAAATCATCACCAACTCTTTTCTCTCCACCCTGTCCACACTCAGTGGGTCACCATTCTCCCTATGGTGATGCCATTGCTGGCTGGTGTCCTCCCACTTTATCTTACATCTGCCCTGGGCACCAATGTCCAACCTGCTGCCATCACCTGTTGTGTGCCAAATAAAGTCTGAACTTGTTCTCAAGTGAAGGACATCTTCCTTTCCACTCATGTCCCCCATTTCTTCTCTGGACCCATGCTCCATCCTAGAAACAAATTTAAATTGTCCCCAGCTTGGGCTTTTCCACCTCATCCCTTTATTCCTCTCACTTGGCCTAGCTAGAATGTCTTCCTCTGTCTCTTCAGCTGTCTAAAGCCCACTCACCCAATTTGGCCCTGCAGACCTCTGCCACTTTCCCGGATCACCTCGCTGTCCAGGGTCTTCCCCAGCCCTGCAGTACTGCAGCAGCTGATTCACAGATGACACGTTGCACCACCTTGCTCAGTTGTAAAGTCTGAGAGCAGGGGTTCTTTGTGCATTCTACAGTGACTGTGAGTTCATGGTAACTACTGGGTAAATGTTGACCACATGAATGAATTGAGAAACACTAGGAGCTGTTGCCTAAATTTCCTGAGGTTTGGAGCCTTTGTAAGTATTTATTTAAAAAATTAATTCACAGAGCTGTGTCCCTGTCTCCCTCTCCTCTGTTCCTGGGGCCCCTCCTTCCCATTATTCTCAGTAGATGGTTTCTTTGAATTGGACCCATTGTCTCAGTTCAAGAAGAGGAAACAGACATGGAGAAAATCAGAGCTCCACCTCACCTATGAGGTGAGCACCCAAGAAGCTAAAATTAGGGAAAAAGTACGTCTTCTTCCCTCTGTTAGGTAGTTGTCTCTTTTCTCTTGGTCTCAACTGATTCCCTATGCACCCCCCACCCCCTGCATTTTTTTTCCTTCTCAATAATGTGGCAAGCAAGGAACAAAAGCTGAGAAAGAGATTTTAGGGAATGAACAGCCTACACCATGATTAGGGAGTAAAGGAGAGTCTAAGGCAGGAAGCCAGATCTCCCTGGCAGCGTGCCTGAATCGCCACCCCCAAACCCAAGGACACACACATATATGCAAACACATTCTCTCCCCAAATCTTGACAAGTGCAGCACCAGAAATAAATGAGCCTCCTTAAGTGCTAAAAGAAGACAGGGAAACAGTAAGGTGGATTTCACGTCCAAAAAGTTGCACATCTTTTAATTAGATAGTCTCGCTTGGAGATTTCTCTAACTTCAGAACCAATTTGAGACACTTACTAACATTCAGCTTTCACTTGGTGTCTGAGACTTTTAGGAACGCGACTGCAAAAAGAAGTGTTAACCTACATATGCGTGGAAAGTCATTTAAAAGGGCAATGAATTTGTAAATTAAGCCAAGTATTTCCAAATTCTAGATTTTTTAAAGTAACTTTGATGTTTAATCATAAGCATCTTGGGGACAGGGAGCAATAAGAATCTAGCATGTACTAAGTGTACACTACGTGTGCTGATAGGTTGATATCTAGGGCCCTGGACTCGTGGCTCCAGTTAGTGAAGAAGAGTTGGTTCACCTGTCTGAAATGATGAAGGAAAAGGTGGATCTGCACACTTCCTGAGGAGTATTATTCAACAATGCGCTGTGACCGGTATATGCTGTTGGATCCCTGACAGGCTTAGGTGACAGCTGAGTCGAAATAAAGGAGGGTCATGTACCGTCGGGAGGGATAGAAGTCAGCTCTGCAGTGAGATTTCTTCCACAGCTCTTTGGTGGCCAGTGATGTTAATTGGTCATCATGGTATCAGTGAATGATCCATTTTGAAGTTGAGCACTTCTCATTCAAGGGTAACAAGCACAGCAAAGGATGACATTTCCTATTTTTTAAAATAAGAAAATGTACCTATACAGATAAAAGCAAAGGAGACCAGAACTGGGTAAAGGCAGCGGTTCTAATGAGTTCTTTACTAATTCAGAGTTTAGTGGATTCAGATTGAAATAATTAATTGTTCAGCCCTGCTTGGCTGTTTAACAACAACCGTGTTAGTTTAATTGTTCCCATTCAAGATAAAGAATTGTGTAATAAGGGCCTCTGAAAAAATAATGCCATTTTAAGTTGAATTTTAATAAGTTCTATTAAATAAGTCACAAAGCCTTGTTATGGCACTTAGAAACTTCTGGCATTACAGAGTAAAAACCAAGTGTACTCAGTACATGTGTCAAACTTATTTATGAAAGAAAATTATTTATCCCAGCAGTGATTCAACAAGAAGGTGTGTAATGCTTTCTGGATGTCAAGAACCATTTTAAGAAGTTGCTAATGCTCTTCTGTATGGCCAAGAGGAAGAGTCTGAACAGAGCTCTGACCCTAAGAGTACATGCTGTTCCCAATGTTCAGACAAGTTGTGTTCCAAAAGCATTTGATTGTAAATGACTTGTCTGGCACTTGAGTTTCATTTTTCTAGAGATGGCGATGCAAATAGAAGCACTGAGCCCAGTGGTTTTATTAGGTTGGTGCAAAAGTAATTGCAGTTTTTGCTTTACTTTTAATGGCAAAAACCACAATTACCATTGCAATAACCTTGCCTAAAGGAGGCAGATCCGAGTGTCCCGGTGGTAGAGAGAGAAGCCTAGGCATCCTCAGCCCTGCAGATGCTAGGAGGGTTCTGGACATGCCCTGAGGTGCCAGGACCAGCCACTCATGGGAAAAGTGCAAAGTTTTTTGAGTAAGACCTAAATGAAATCCAGCTTTAACTCTGCCATCTTCCAGCTGTTTGTCTTTGGACAAGTTACCTGACTAAACATGTTTCTTCATCTAAAACAGAAAACATTGCACCAACTTACATGGCAGAACTGATGTTACCTAAGGTGCTTCCGTTCAAAGTGTCCAAACTCTCTGTCCTTGCAAACATGCTCCCTTTTGGCCTTAATCTTCTACAGCCAATCAATTACCAGGTTCTATAGTTTTTACCTCTTACATTTCTCTGGAACGTTTCCGTTTACCTCCACCCCATGACACTACCCTAGATCAGCCACGTCAGCATCTCTACCATAGGACCCTTAAATGTGCCCCACTCTCTCCTACCTTGACATTCTCCTTGCACCCAGTATTGTTTCCCTCTAATCCATTCTTGACAGGGCAAGAGCTGGAGAGCATTTTCAAATGCAAGCCTGATCCTGTGGCGCCTGCTTAAAATCTTTGTTTTTGTTTTTGTTTTTCTTCTCATTGCCCTTTGGATAAAAACCAAACTCCCTAACATGAATTTTAAAGCACTACTCACTATGCGGCCCCTGCCTCCATCTCATTCCTGACATTCCTCCGCCTCCAACCCCACATACTTGCTTTACTTAGTTATTTAAGTCTCTTCAGTGTACCACACTGGCCTCCTTTCTCGTATCCAGCCCTGAAACAGGAGATCCCTGGGCTGAGGACACTTTTCCTTCATTGTGCCCCCCTTGCTTCACCAGGCTAACTTCTGTATCCACTGCCCTCTGTGAAGGGCGTAGGCCAACTCTCACTGTTGGTTATTAGGATTCCAATTGCAACACCCAATACTTCTGTTAATGGCTGTTGTGATACCTCGGTTCTTGTCTTCTTAGTTTAAAAGAATTTAAACAAAAGACACACAGCAAAGGAGATGCGGCAGAGAGTCATTCACTGCAAAAGGAAAAGAGTATTTTGAAAGTTAGATGCAGAATAGACAGTATACCCTGAGAGAGAGAGTTCAGGGTGGGCTGCTTGCAAGGGTGAGGCAGTGTTGATTATTGCTAGAGAAACCCCCTTTGTGGGAGTCTTACATGATAATTCATAAGGAGTTGGGAAGAGGTGTTGCTAGTAAGCATGTTCTGGGTGGTCCTCTGGGTGCACATGCACTGTAGCTGTATGTTTGTGTTCATATATCACATGTCTCATTAGCATCTTAAATCTCCACCCAGGGGTGTGTTTTTTACTATAAATGAGCAAAGGGTCAGTTTGATGACAATTAAAATCAAAATGCACATGCCCTAGAGAAGGGACAGTCCCTCCTGAAGATAGCTTTGCTTAAATGAGCTCATTTATGATGTGAATGCCAAGGCTTATTGTGTTGGCTGTGAGGTCACCACCAATGCTGCATCCCGAGAACATGGTCACTTCCTTGACTAACTATCCTGCCTCACTTCCCCTCTCAAAATACTTTATTGTAATTCTAGCTTAGTTCTCTGGTTTACCTGTAGGTTAAAGGGCTGGCACAGTAAGGCAAGGTAGTAGTAAGACTGCAGGTTTTGAACTGCCTAGGTTAGATTTTAGGCTCTGCTCCATATTTGCTTGTGAAATGACTCATCATCTGTAAGCCTCAATTTCCTCACCTGTAAAATGGGTGGAAATGATGCTGCCAATCTTATAGAGTTATTCTGTGAGTTAAATGATGTAATATATATACATACTGATGCACACAGATGCATATATGTTCATATATAAAAGGTCTAAGTGCATTGACTGGTGCATAAAAATGCCTTCAATAAAAATAAATGTCTTTCAAAAAATGCCTTAAAAATACACATACAATGGATACTTACTAAATACTTACAGGCTTTTATTGTTTTGTTTTGCTTTTTAAAGCAAGGTATTCCTGAGACTGTTTTCTTGTGAGCCCTTTGTCTCTTTTTCTTCATTTTCCATTAGCTGGATAAGATCAGAGTCTCAAAGTGAAAAGTGTTAACACTGTGTTTGCTTCCCTATTTGCTCATTTTTTCCCTCCAATCTATGTAGCCTTTACGTATGACATAAAGATGTGCAGTAGAATGCGGGTGGGTAAAGAAAATATTATATTCACAAAATGTGTTCTCCAGCCAACCAGTAAGGCATCCCTTTCTTACTAGTTATAGGCTCTGCTTCTGCCCTTGTCTTTAATCCTTTTCTATTTCTGAGCCCCTTCCTTAGAGGCTACTGGCTGAGGAAGTCTAATGTGATGAGGTCCGAGCGTGAAGTTCACTCAGCAAAGACAGGATGGTGGCATGCAAGCAAATTAAAGCATTCTCAGCTTTCCAGTTCACTCTCTCTGCAAACAAACAAACAAAAATTCATAGCTTTTTAGGTTTCTATTTTTAGGAGTTGCCAAATACATTTCAAAAGCAAAACTACAAATTAATGCAGCATGGGGTATGTGACATTTTTTAAGGTCTTTGGAGGAGATGACAAAACAAGGAGCTTCCCACTTTCCAGGGTTGTAAGTTTTTGGGAAAACATCAAGTGCGAAAAATCAATAAACATCCTACCTTGCCACTGAATTGTGTGAGGGTTTCCTGATTACCTGGTAGTCACCAGGCTTTAGAAGAGTTATTGTCATTTCGATTTTCAGATGAGTCACTGGATCTCTTGCCCCCAGGGCCACTTCATTATGATTCAGTGCAAAGTACTGACAGCACTGGGGCTTCCGGAAGGGAGTGGTGTCGGGATGGGGGTTGCTGTTGGCAAGAGGCTTAATTGACACCTTTGATGTAGCCTAAGACAGAACCTGCACCTCCCACTGCTGCTTGGGAGACGTCAGCTTTACGCAGAAAAGGCATCTGCTGATGAATCCTGCATCTCATTCAGCCTGCTCTGGGAGCAGCCTTAGCCATCCTTAAACTCATCCAACCGATTCCCATTTCCGCGGGTGCTTGGCTTAGTGCTGAGACGGGATTCCGCCGTTGGTATTCAGGTCCAACACTAAGACTGTGTCCATGTTAGAACTCATAGAAGGTAAGTGAAATGCATTGCTGCTCTCCCTTGTGGAAAGCATTTATTTTGCACCCTCAAGAATCTATGTGTCTCCTGGTTAATTCTACTTCACTGACTGTGGGGCTGTAATGCCATTTTTACAGGTAAAATAGAGGTGACCTGATACATCTTTATAAAACCATGTCTTTAAGTGTTTCATCTGTTGTTAGAGATGATGTTACTTAGAGAAAAGAATGGCTTACTTGAGTTCTGTGGCTTTAGTTCAGTTTAGTGAAAATGTGCATAAAACTCTTGAGAACTGGGTAGAATTCCAGTGATTTGAACTTGTTAGCAGTTTTTCTTTTCAAAGGCAGCAAAGAGAAACTGTGAGGAGTTTCTCAGCGTCTGTGGCCAATGACTGTCCTGTTCAAGGCAGGTCCATCACAATCAGCCTAGGGGGATGGACAAGACACAGGTGGATGCAGGACATTTTTCTAGAAGTGAGTTATTAATTATACAAATACAGTGATCTATTTATCAGGTCACTGGAATGTCACTGGTGATCTGTGCTTATATTTATTCCTGCTGGGTAGTACTAGGTAGCTAAACTGAAGAGTTAAGGATTAATCTCATTGAAAATGTCTCAGGACCATACATTCCTAAAGTCCCTGCTGGCACAGTTAAAGACATCATTAATACATTCATCAGGAAAGTTGTGAAAGGTACATCTTAAAAAATAATTCTGTAACCTGCTGCTCTATGAAACACAGGATTTACAAAACTGTGACTCTCTGAAGGTTACTTCCCCAAAGCTGTTCCTCAGTGTACATATGGAAGGGTGTCTAGAGTTCTAGTAGATGGCTCTCTATATAATTGTTTATTTCTTGCAGAAGATGATTTGTCATGAAAATTATTTAACGTGCCATTTTTCTCTGTGTGTGATTCTTTGTATTTCTAGTTAATGGAACCCCTGGTAGTCAGCTCTCTACTCCGCGCTCAGGCAAGTCGCCAAGCCCATCACCCACCAGCCCAGGAAGCCTGCGGAAGCAGAGGGTAAGGAAATAAGCAAGCTGCTTGTTTCAGACCTGTCTCAGCCTTGGTGCAGACAGGTACAGGTGCCAGCAAATCGTGCTGCTCGTCTCTAGGCGATATCTAAGCTAGAACAGGAGGTGACCAATGAGGGGTTGCTTATTGCTTTGGTTTAGCTAGAACTCAGGGCTTTTAGCTTCTCTGTAACCTTGTCCAAATCTTAACTCTGAGAAGAATGCACCTTTGCTACTTCACTTTTACATACTCTCCTCTTTCTGTTCTGAATGCACAGGCTTTATTAGCACTAGTTTGTAAGCCTTCTTAGTTGTGATGAGTTTGATTAGATATCACCATTAAGGGAAAGAAGAAGTGCTGTGAATGGAGGGGAGGGCCCTGGTGGAAAATTGCTTATGGTATGGATGGGGCCCCAGAGCAGCAGAGGGTCCATGAGGTAGGGGATGGGAACCTATGACACGTGCTTTTGTGGATGAAACCCACATTGAGCACCTTTTCATCACTACTTGCATTTATGGAGAATTTGGCTGAGCTTGGAGACCACAGTGAAAAAGTTACTGGAAACTGTTAGCTTCTCCACCCTAAGGAAGAGGGTGAGGGTTAGTGCTTCTTTCAGGATGGAGAGACTACTGTTCTTATCCTGTCACAACCTGTACTGTTTGTCTTTTCCAGTAATACCAAGGCAAAAATAAAAGTAGTGGGAAGGGGGCAAAGGGGGAGGTACAATGCCAAAAACGGAAGGCCCTTTATGGTCCTGATTTCAGACGCAAGGTGGGGGGAATGTACGCTCCTAGGAGGTTTCATGATGGTGCTCACTGAACACTTTAATAAGCGAGAACTCCTTGCAGTCTACTGCACTCAAACACAAGATTCTTGAGTTTAGTTTCTTTTATTATGTGTTTTAAAACAAAACTTCTGAGTTCCACAAAATTACGTGTCATCCAGGATGGAAGGCCCTCTCTTCAAGATTTCTGCACAGGTTGTGTCTTTAGGCTGCCAGACGTCTAAGAGTGCGGGGCGGGGAGATTCAGTTGGTTCCCATCTCCTTTGGAGCCTGTTGCACCAAATATCAAGTTTGGTTATCTTTCTTCACTGATTCACCTGGCATCAGGTGGAACTTGTTTTGAGCGTTTGATGAAGCCTGGGATTTGACGCCAGCTTGTCCACTAAATGGCCGTGGTATCTTAGATAAGCCTATTATCTTTTCTGGGTCTCCATTGGAAACACAAAACAAAACAAGGAGCCTCTTTCCAGATAGAAAGCCCAATAATTCCATTCTACCTCCATTTGAGTGTTTTCACTATGGTTTCTTCTTGGCCACAGTCTAATTTGGAATTTTAAGGTGTTGGAATCATTTGTGAACAACTCCAAGAATTGGCCAAATTTATTTACTCTCCTAAAGGCCTGTCCTTGAGTGAAGGAAGAGCTGGTCGGTCATTCTTTTCTTGTGAACATCACCCAGTGAGGCGTCAATCTATAGGGACCGCCATTGGATACAGAGCAGGAAGGGCCCTCTTTCTGAGAACATTCTGTCTCTTAGAGTGTATGCTTTGGAGAGTACACCTAGCATAGAAATCTGTCTTTATTCTTTGAGCTAATTAAACTCAGATTAAAGATTTATTGGTGTCGTTTATGCTTAGTTGTTGACATTAAGAGTGATTGGGAATTCCCGCTGCAAATGGGAGCTCCTCTCCTTGCTTATTTATTGAGGAGACCTCCAGCTTAGGGATGTAAAGCTGTGCTCAGATGTCCCTTTCTTGGCAGAATGGGGCTAGAATTCGCTTCTTCTGCTTTCTGTATTTCCACTTCAGTATGATTTTGTCCAACTGAGGCAGAAAATTTCCATTCAGCTCTGTGGCTATTGGCTTATATAATTAACATTTCCAGCACTTGGGGAATGATTATAAGATATGGCTTTCTTATAGATTCTTCATTTTACCATTTAAACGATCAGTGCAAACACCATACTTGAGAGAAAAAAACAATCCCATTTGTTTTAGGAGGACAAAGGGTTTATACCATCTGAAAACATTTATTGAGCACATGTTGTGAGGCAGGGCACTGGGTATATTCTAAGATGGTTCCATTTCCAAGCTTTTGAATTTAGGCCATAAATGAACCTCCCCATCCATGTGCTGTGTCAGTGCATGAAGGCATTCCCAGATGCTTTAGCCAGAGGAGCTTTCATCTTGGCATATAGGCAACTGCATCAAATAATCCCTCCCAGTTAAAATGGGCCTAGAAGATCCCTAAAAACTGATCCTGTTTCAAATTTGGTTAATGGTCTTCTCAAATGATTGGCTATACTCCTATGCAGGAAATACTGAAATAAGTGAAAGATGGCATGTGCTAAAAGAAGACACTTCAAAGAATAAATTAACTCTTTTTACTGCAGATTGGAAAACAGTAGCTACTTCTATTTTTTCCTTCTGTGTTGCCTAGCAACATGGCCAAGAAAATGAGTTGACTGCCCCCACCCCAACACACACACACACACACACACACACACACATACACACACATGCACACACGCGCGCCTTGCCCCCATTTTAAAATACAGGAACATGAGCTGTTTTCTCAAAAGGAAGGTTGAGACATTTGACTGGTTTCTTTACAAATAGGAAAATCTAGTTTTTACTTATATTAATTACAAAATTTGATCAGCTTTCTTTCTTCTGTTAAAATCACATTTTTATGTTACCTCTTTTGACATTTTGGAATACTCTTATACAATGAAAACCTGCATGCCAGACATTTCTCTTCATAAGCATATTCGTGGCAATGTACCAAGTAACCTATTTTTCCGAAGCAGAGTTATTTAAGTTGCTGTCTACAGGCATTTGACTGGTCACAGAAGCAGAGCCTGGAGACTCTTTTCCCACTCATGAACTTTTTTTGGTCCCATTTCTTAATCCATCAGGAAGAAATGTGTTGTGTTATGTAGGCTGAATGAAGCTCCCCATTATACTCCCACATCACTGACTTTTGTAGATTATCTGATCAGTCAGATGATGTGAGGAGTGGGTGGTACAAAACCGGAGAAAAGCCAACTCTAGACGCTCTCTGCAGATCTGAGCTGGTTGCCTGGCTACCAACCGAGATCTAGTAGCAGGAAGGGGAGGTAGGAAAGGAGAGAGGAGGTGATGAGTGAGTGGTCGGTTGGAGAACAGGGAAAGAACATTGGGAAGGGATTTGGGGTGAGGTGGGTTAATTTTACACGCTTTCTGTCATCCAAACATAATATTTTGAGAAAGCAATGCTTTCTTGGGTTTTATGCCACATGCAACTACAACATTTGAGTTGCTGCTCTGGGACCAGAATTTGCTGAACGCCATTTGGGCCTCCTGATAAATTATTTTATTGTGAGGTAAGCACGTTCCTTTTCTACCAAGAATGGGAAGGAAATGGTCAAGGAAGAATTGCCTAGTCACATAGTAGTGGAGTTGACCTTTACAGACCTCAGGGGCCATGCAACTCAACGGGCATCAAGGAAGGCAAAAGATTATGAGTAGACCAAGAGGCATTTTCTTGCCAATAAGGCGAAACCAGCACCATTTTGTTTATTTAGATGGTTTCTCTATTATTATCTTTCCTCCTAATCCAAGTTGGTGACTTGAAAAGGTCTAATAATAGTAGAAACTGGGGATGCCCATTCAGTGCTGCTCTCACGAGAGCCACAGGGCACCCAAGAAAGCCGAGTAAACAAATCTATACTGCCCTTCATCTTGCAGGACCTGTACCGCCCCCTCTCTTCGGATGACTTGGATTCAGTAGGAGACTCAGTGTAAAAGAAACAATGGAGCAATGTATATGGTTTGTGATTGGGTGAAGGTTTCACATTTCTGAAGCAAAAGTCTTACAGCAAAATACACAAAAGAGTTTTGCATACCTTGAAATGATAAAAGACCAAATCATCCAAAAGTAAATATGTATGCATTTTGTTTTCGTGATGTTCAACCTTGAAATTGAGAGATTTTTAAAAATATCTCCCACATGGATTTGATTGGGGAGAGTTTGAACACAAAATGCTGAGATTTTTGTACAGGGCCTGGCTCTAGATGAATTTCATACACGGACCCAATATTGAGTACAAGAACACACTAACCATGTGGCAATATAGAGCCAGAATTTCTGCAGATGGAGTTTTCTTCTTAATTATAAGTAGACATAGAGATATAATTTTTCTGTACTTTCTGTAAAGCATATTAAAACGGCACTAGCAGGCATATTTTTTCTAAAGGTTATATTGTTTTTAAAATTTGAATTGCTTGGTTTTTAGAGGTACTTTTATTACAAAATAATAAAAATACTTGGGTAGATTTTTTTTCTCCCTAGACAGTAGAAAAAGCTACTTACTGTTTTGTGGGTTAGTACATCCGAGAGAAAAAGAAAAATTATGACAACGACACATCTCATAAAGACTCTGAAGTTAGGCTTTAGGAACTTGCCTTGTTTTTGTTGTCAAGTAAATTTTATTTTTTAAAGTTATTTTATTAGAAACAGTATAAATTTAGCTTAAGCTATATGCCAATATGAAGAACTTGGCCAATGGCATTGCTATAGATTGTATAATTTTTTCTTACAATCATATACATAATTTTTTAAATGTGTAAAAACTAAAGCTGGGAATTTTTTTTTTTTCCATACAGACCTAAAAAAAATTGTGTCTGGACTTTTTCCAAGAAATCCATTTGAAAAGCAAAATTCACTTAAATGGTGCTGTATAAATCAGGCCCAGAGTATCCAAATCTCCACTCTGAAAAATTCTCAATCTTGCTGGTGTTTTGGAAATTTTCATATGCAAAACTCCTTTTGTGTTAAACCAATTAAGTCTATGATTATAACCCATTGTTAAACATTAACCTACTAATTCTGCTCTTCTAGTCCTCTATTTTAAAAATTATAGTCGTCTTTGCTTAAACATAAAATAATGATTTTAAAGTCTGAATGTTAAAAATTAATTTAATGTGTATGGTCTATTGTATTTAAGCCATATCCTAGTGGTCATTTACTTTTACTAGTTCAAACACTAACAGTTTAAGACTTGTGAAGCATGGTTTTGATATTCTCCAGGCTTGACATATCTCAGTAGGTGATAAATTAAAAATGTTTGATGCCATTTGGAGGCTTTTACATGATTTTTTTTTTCAAATTTTACTTGAAAACAATTTTTAAATGTTTTATTCAAGATGGAGAGAAATTCAGTTGTCACACGCTGTTTTAAATGTTATTGATTTATCTCCCTGATAAATTGTTCAACTAGCAAATTTTACCATCTGGTTTATAGTTACGTATGTTACCATCTCACTTTACAAGTGAATAAAATATTCCAACCAAAAGAAGAGGAAGAAGAAAAAACGTCCAGGCAATCTAACAGCATTTGAAAACTTAGCCCTATAATAATTAGTGCCTCATTATGCTGTCTGTTGGAGAGAAAGACACTTCTCTGGCAGGTTATTCAAGAGCTGCAAACTGAAACATTCCATCTTGAAAGAACAGTTCATAATAATACCTGTTCCAGACTTCAGGTTTTAAAACTGTTTCCAATAGAAATGACCAGAGACTCCTGCTGAGATCAAAAGGCTGCTTTATTTTAGCTGAAACAGTAAACATCTGTGAGGTTGCCTATGCTGGTGTCTGTTTTAGTTATGTCTTTGTAAAATGCATTACTTAATACAGTTGGGTCCATAAAAGATTAGTATGTATTTGACTAAACTGCCAAAAATACAAAGAAAGCAGTGGAACAGTTACTTTAAAACTGGTGGGGTCAGATGGTCCAGAACAAAAATAAATTCCAATAATTTTAACTTCCCTGCACTGTCAATCTTATGGACAACTACTGCTAGAAAGGTCCAATAAATGCTATTTGTTCTAAGTGGTAGATATTGCCAATTGATATAGAGCCCATGGCTTTGTTTAGACAGGGCAAAAAGAAACTGGACTTGTACTAATTGCCGATAGATATCATGGCCAACTTTCCATTCAAGCAGTTCCAAGGGAAGTGCTTTCCACAGCATTTAATCTCTTGAACATATGACTTCTATTAAAGGACTGTTCAGGGGCTATATATATCATTTACTTTTTGAAAGTAAAGTCCCTCAGAGATTGAAACAGCACACCATTTATAGTCTTTGAGATCTCTTTTTATGCAAAACATAATTCTATTAAACTAAAGCAGAAATAAAAATTTCTTAGCAACAAACACAGAAGTTTTCAGTTCATTGGTGGAACAGAATTGGTGATTTATAGGCACTTATGATTGAGTTACTTATAGAATTCTTTATAAAAAAAATTCGGCAATGAATTTTTAAATTGTTCTACTGAGCGGGGAATGCTTCAGCAAAAGCCACGCAGTTTTGTCCTAATGATAATCCTTAAATGCGCTCTGAAGACATCGTGCTGTAGTTCAAAGTTCGATACTTTTTCACTTGCACTCACTTTTTTCTTAGATGTAGACATTGTAGAAAAAGATATTAGGAATATTTCCCTGCTTTCAGCATTTTAGAAGTGCAAAAGTTAAAAATATATAAAGTATGAAGTTCAGTGTGAACTCAAAAGACTATAGTGCTGAAAGCCACATGGTGTGTTTTTGTCTTGTTTAATCAACTAGGCAGGGGGAAAAATCTAGACAGTTTCTGTACTGCCATAGAATTTTAAGAAGTGTCAGGTTCTCTCATCTGTATACATCCCTGTGCGCATATATTGGCTCATCTAAATATTAAGAACCCAAAAAACATTTTCTAAAACCATTTGAACCAGCGCTGATGTACTATATATATATATACCCTACATAACCAGCCGGGGAATTTCCAACACATGCCCTGAAGATCTATACATGATTGGGCTCTTTTTCTTTCTTTCTTTCTTTCTTTCTTTCTTTCTTTTTTTTGCTTAAAAACAATGAAGTGTGCAAGTCAGATTTCTTAATGAAAGTGAATGAATATATAGAATAATATTCCTGAAAATTCCACATATTTTAATTCTTGGACTGCTAAATTTTTCATATGTGGCCATATATCTATACAGGTGTTTGGGTGTTTATGTAAATTTGCCAGGCTTGGTGTGTATGTGGGTATGCTTCTGTAAGTATCTGTGTATGTGTATAAACCATCAACAGTAAAGTATAGTATTTGTGATACAGCCTTATAAGTTACTGGCTCTTGTGGAATTATACATAAAATCTTCATGTAATAAAGTGTTACTCTGTGACATATTAGTTGGGGCATGTTTAAATTAAAAAGCAGTTTGCTCAACTGGTATGGCAAATGGTTCAAAATATTCAGATATACTGATTTATAAAAAAATTGAAATTCAGCTAAATCCAATATTGTGTTAACTATTAAATATAAGTAACATTAATGTTTATATTGATATATCTTTGTTTTCAATTATTAACAAGATCGAATACTATGATTTTTTTCTATTGTGTGTGTATGGATGGCTTGTAGTGGTTGCCAATCACTATACTCTAAAAAAATGAAACATTGATACAGTTGCAGATTGTCAAGTATAATGTTGGAACATAAATAGAAGAAAATCCAGAGTATATTTGATATGAAGTAAGTTTAATAACAAAGCCAGATAACCTGTAAGGCGATTCTGTATGTTCTTTCAAAACTCTAAACTGTTGACAAATTTTGAATATACTTGCTGTATGTGTGTATATATCTACATAAATATATACACACTTGAAAATGTTAATCGAATGAATTTACTATATATGCATACATTTGCTCATTTATGCATATTTGCATTAACCTTGCTAGCATCTCTATTTGTGCATGTTAGTGACAACTGTCTTTGATTGAAATATTGCACAGAGGCATAGTGTGAAAAATAGAGATACACTGAATTCAATATACCAATTGCCTGATATAGCGTGTTGTACTGTCAGTTGAAAAATATTTGTAATTTTGTGCCTGTTATGCATGTGGAAAAAAGAGGAAATCAGAGGCCCTCACTATAATTTTTAAGGGTGCATGACATATGATGTCTTTAAAATGTGGTTCATTTTAGTAGATTATGGATAAATTCCAAGATAGTATAAATGATGCATGTAATACCTGAGTGTTTGTATTATATATGGCCACAAAATGTTTTTGAAGCCAGGGTAGTAGATATCTAAAAGTTATAGGCAAAGAAGTATGAAAGTTAACTTTCTGTGATGTGTTTTTGAGGAGTTGATACTCATCAGTAAGCAAGGAATTGAGTTTATTTTTTCTAAGAACTCTTTACTTTGAAATATATTATGAATGTTGTAAATTTGGATAACGTTTTTATAAAGAGGTTACATACTTTCTGCTCACAGTTTCAGTTGATTGGATGTGTATTCTCTTTAAAAAAAAACATTTTGTGTTAAAACATTTGACACAGCAATATATTTTTTAAATCCATCAACTAAGTCCATCAGCAGAGCTTTATAGAGCTAAGGGTTGACAAAATGTTTCATTGAACTACCCAATTTTGAAAGTTCAGTTACTTTGTGCTGTGGTTTCATTGTAAAATGTTGTACCTTGTGTTTCACACTGGACCATGTTATTCCTCTTGAAGTTAACTTTGTGACACTTACCACCTTAGAATAACTATATAATAAACAGGAAAAACTGCCTATGTTGTTCAGTGAGTTTCTTTCAGAAAATTTGATAAGTAGACACTGAAATTGAAATGACCACATGTGGGATAAGGGTGACCTTCACAATCACGTGTATGGCATTCTTCTGTTGTAATTAGCATCAATGAGTGATATTTGAGAGACTGCAGAATGGTACCACATAACGTCTAAAGTATAAAATGCTGACAGTAATAACAAAATAAGATTATTTGATGAAAAATTCTGTTTCAGGTAGTTGCGTTAAAATCAGGACTCTACCTTCCTTTCAGGGTTGCCTTAAAGGAGGAATTTGTCAGACATATCGATAACTCATTGAGGAGAAGAAATTAACATGCAGTTTTAAAACCACTAATGGTGTCCTAGGCTTGAAGGCATTTTTCCCAAGGTGATCTAATTTGCAGGGGAAAAAATGTGCATGTGTATGTGAGCATGTCTGTGTGTGTATTTATACAAGCTATTTCTTTTAAAATCACTGGATAAATATATAGTTTTAAAAATAAAGTTAATTAAAATAATGATAATAAAATACTTGACTCTAACTCAGAACAAAAATCATAATATATTTCATTTCCAAAAGGATAGAAAAGGATGTTAAAGAGGATAGGAAATTCTGCTGACCAAGCTAGAAAAAATATATACATATTTTTCTGAGACAGAGTCTTGCTCTGTTGCCGAGGCTGGAGTGCAGTGGTGCGATCTTGGCTCACTGCAACCTCCGCCTTCTGGGTTCAAGCGGTTCTTGTGCCCCAGCCTCCTGAGTAGCTAGAATTACAGGTGTGTACCACCTCATGCAGCTAATTTTTGTATTTTTAGTAGAGACAGGGTTTCGCCATGTTGGCCAGGCTGTTCTCGAACTCCTGACCTCAAGTGATCCACCCACCTCAGCCTCCCAAAGTGCTGGGATTATAGGTGTGAGCCACTGTACCCAGACGAAAAAATATTTTATATTGCAATTACCATTTAAGTTCCAAATTCTGGTTTTAAATCTAACATTTTTACTAGTTTTACTTTAATCTTCGAATTACATTAACTTTAATTGGTTCTCTTTATTATTTCCATGATAAATGTCCACAGCAATGATCACAGCAAAATATAATCCAAGTCCATAGCAATAATCATTGGAAGGAATGTTTCCAAATTTATAAAAATTTCAAATTGTAGTTGCAGTTTCTTAATATAACCAGAGTTTAACATAAAATGTAGCAGGTGCCTAGAAGACTAGTGAGCTCCCTTCATTACAGGTTGGGAATCCCATTTGAGGAGTAAATCATGGAGGGAATTATTCTATCCAGAGGAAATACAGTGGATGACTTCCTGGGCTGCTTCCAAACTACGATTTCATGAAGGGTGTAACTCATGAGAGGAGGCTTGTGACTACCCAATGACACAAGTCTCCTTGGGACAAATGGTTCAGATTATCAATTTATAGATCTTGGCTTGCATGAGTATAGTGATTGGACAATTGAGGCCAGAAAAACTACCCAATACAACAAACAGTACAGATCTAGTTGTAACTAAGTGCATTTGTCTTTGAAATCTTGGCTCTCGTGGTTTCACTAACATAGCCATAACACCACTGTTTCCATTCGCGTTTTCTCCTCCTTTCAGTAAACCAACTTCATGAGTAACAGTTTTCTAGTCTTTTGAAAAAATTATCCAAATCTTTATGATAACATTTTACATTTTTCAGTATTCATTCTTACTTATGCTCATGCTTATCTGTGCCATAAACTTTATTTAGGCTGAATGTACTACTATGAAGATTGCAGACAAAGGAATTTGGAAAAAGCAGTTCCTTTGTGCCTTGTTTCAAATAGTGGAGCCTTATTAGTAATTGCAGAGTGATGCCTTCAACTTATTGTTCTATACCCAGTTGGGAAATAAATAAATGTCTGGCTTTTCTGTATCATATAGAATTCTGTGGGTTTCAAGCTCTCTACACCAAGATTATTATTTAATTTTGTTAGAGATTATCTTTAGAGCTTCTGTGGATCTAAAGTCAAGATCACCAAGACAACTGTTTGAGTTTGTTAAAAATGTATTGCTTGTGTTTCCTTTATAAGATTGATTCAGAAATCATATGACAGTGATAACTTGATTTCTAAATTATTTTTAACCATTTTTCAAATCAATATCAACTCAGTAAGGTAATAATTGTATGCCAAGATAAAATGTGAAGTGGAAATGGTGCAATTATCCAGCCAAAGCTAAAGTTGTGTGGTGAGATTTTTCTACCTTGATTAGATCAATTCTCTTAATTGGATATTTTCAAAACCTTTATGCAGCATGGACCCCAGCTGAGTGACAACATTAATACAAATGGCAAGAGTAACTCACACCATTTAAAGTGAACTCTTTTCCACTACACAGTCATCAGATACATCTTGATAAAATGTGGTTAGGGTTGTTATGTCAGCTTTCTCACTTACTTCAAAAAGTGTGATATGTTCTCCATCTGTTATATGATCCCAAGCTCAATAGCTACACTTAGGATGTGTTCTTACTTAGGGCAGTGCTTTTATGAAGGTGTGCCATAAAAGCATCCAGGTGCCAGCAACCTGCCCAAATGGTTCCCATTAAATCTGCTTGGGGGTGATAACATTTCAAATGTCACAATATCTCTCAGAGCAGCTAATTGCCCTAAATTCTAAAATAACTGTACGTTTTGTACTGTACACCCAGATGCCTTGGAATTAGCGAATTGAAGCAAACATAAAATCTTGTTGGCATGTGGACTATAAAATGGTTTATCTGCTCAGAAAAACCAAAAAGGTAAATTGATTCCATTTACAAGCAATGAAAAAATATAGGTGGGCTTTTCAGCATCCGTTGGTTGTAAACAAAGGCTGGTTAATCTCATTAAGTTAATTCTAAAGAGCAAGCACTTACACATTTTGCCTTTACTATGTTCGAAATCCTTTCGTTGGACTTAAGGATAATAATAGAAATGTTCCAGCAGGGTCTAAGTTAGTCTATTTAGGTGGTTTAGTGAAGAATTGGTGGATTACCCAAAGAGCCATCCTGATTACTGAAATGGCTTCAACTGGTAGACAGAGCAAAAACATTAGGAGACCAGATCAGAATCTAAAAGATAACAGACTGGAAGGATATTAATGTAATAAAGATGACATTTAACGTGAGGAAGTGTGAAGTCCTGGACTTGGCCCAGGACAACCTTTCAAACACACACCAGGGAGACATGACATAGCTGTGGGCTCATTGTAAAGGTGAAATGCTATGGCCTCATCCACATAAGCCAGTAAGATCTTGAAGTGAATTAATATTCTATTCATGAGAAAGAAAACCCTATCCTTCTCTGCTTTGTGCTAGTCAGAGCACACCCAGAATATTGCATTCACTTTCAAGCACCAGGTTTTTTTTTTGTTTTTGGAGAGACAGGGTTTCACTATGTTGCCCAGGGTGGTCTTGAATTTGTGGGCTCAAGCAAGCCTCCTGCCTCAGCCTCCCAAAGTGCTTGGAAGACACAGACGGAGACCAGTAGCTATTTTCAAACACCTAAAAGCACTGTCATGTGAAAAGTGGATTAGACCTGTACTGGGCAACTCTAGAAATCAGAGATAGGACCAATAAATGGCAAACATGGAGGGACATAATTTCAACATAACTTACAGAAGAACTTCTTTTTTTTTTTTTTTTTTTTTTTTTTTGAGATGGAGTCTCACTCAGTCGCCCAGGCTGGAGTGCAGTGGCGCGATCTCGGCTCACTGCAAGCTCCGCCTCCTGGATTCACGCCATTCTCCTGCCTCAGCCTCCCGATTAGCTGGGACTACAGACACCCGCCACCATGCCTGGCTAATTTTTTTTTTGTATTTTTAGCAGGAGAACTTCCTTTATTTTGCCTCCCATTAATGATGAAGGGCTGCCTCAGGAAGTAGTATGTTCAGTACTAGAAGTATTTGGACAGAGGCCATCTGACCACCCACTGGGATTTCTGTAGGGGGCATTTGGTCTCTGAATGGAAGTGGGGCAGAATAGGTAATATTTAAGGTCCATCCCAGTCCCCCAAACTCTTTGAATCAGCGGATGGTCACCATCTTGGAAAAGTATTTAGTATTAACTATCTTACTTCTTTGGGAAAAAAGAGATAATACTATTAGAAGTTTAATACATTTATTTTACTGTCTTTGAGCATAATAAATAAAATGAAAGCTTTCCATTTTCAGAGAACTCTGTATGACCGTAAGTACGTTTTTCTCTTGACTGCCCATCATCTGTTACTCTCAAGCAGCAGAAAATTTGAAATGACTTGGGATACATTTTCAGAAACACAAAAATACAGTTGTAACATTGAAAATAAGCAGTTATAAACATAAGCAAACTTGTCTTAACCCTACTTTTTTTTCCTTTTTTTTTTTCCACCAGAGCCTAAAATCCTTGAGAGATTTTTGTTCAGAAAGCAGAGAAAACCCAGCTGGCATTGTGACAAGCATTCAGGGATCAGCCATTTGGTGGCACTGTTAAATCCAATTCATTAGTTGATAAGGCGGTTGAGTGAAAGCCCACAAGTTTATAGAATGTTACAGTTTAAAAGATGTTTTCATGTACTATGGGTCAGAGCTCTGTATCGAGTACCTGATGTTCTTACTAAAAGAACAAGCTTTTGGGACTGAGTGTCTAAATTGTGAACATCTTTGCTAGGAAACATGCTACTGCTCTATTAATTTGGTGAAAGAATGTGTCTTTGTATTCTAAATTTAAAACGCCACGTGACAAGGCAGCACCTGCTAGCCTAAACCACACCATGTGTCTCCATTATGAAATACCATTTGTGCTGCTGCTGGAAGAAATTCAAGGTCCAGAAAGCCCAGAAGAGAAGGTCTACATTGTAGACATTTACTTAGTGCTTTTCTGTTTGGAACACCATTATGTCTGCAGCAAAAACAATGACCCAGAGGATGAAGGATCTCACTGTTCTGGAAAACACACACCTTCCCCTCAAATGTGGTTATGTTTATTTTCTTCGGTTATTGACATAATAAATCTGCCTTGTGTCAGCCTCATACTGCAATATTATAAACACAAGGTTTTCACAAAAAGATGTCCATCCATAAAAGTCAGCAGAGGGTGGCTTAGAAGCTCCTACATTTATAGTCCCTTCCACAGTGTGGGTTATGGGTACATAGTGTCACACTAAGAAAAACTCTGTGTCAAGGTGACAATCTCAATCCGTTTTTGTAGCCTGACATATGACAAATGTGTGCTGCTGGTTACAAAAGATAGAAAAACAGCTCAAGTCACCAGGCTTACTGAGGGGGGATTTTTATAGTATTGGAAAATAATGGGCACATTACACAAACTGTGTAGTATTCAGGGGTATACAAGGGTCATCTCTCAACTTTTAGCCTGTTCTGTAGAAAAGCAGGTGTACTATTGCTATTACTTTAACTTTCATCCCAATGGTGTCAACTGTGAGCTTTGATGAACCTGACCAATGGGACATGCTCATCTTAGTCACACCCAGGAAAACGTTCTGTGATGTTTGACTTAGATGGCTCTGCAGTGACTTAGGCAGCATTTCCCCAACTCTATTAATCTTTTTAATGAAAACTAAAATCTTTGAATCTCCTATGCAGGATACTGTAGACCATAATGAAATTACATCAAACCTCTTTCCTCCTACTTTGTACATACTTTAAGGCTGAATGGGTTGGGGAGGAGGTTGAAGGGAAACAGGTAAGCAGAGGAAAAATAGGTCAGCTTTGCTTCTCGCCACCTCTTCATTATTAATTCAACTACAGATGCTCTTTCCCTTCTCTCTGCTCCACAGACAGCCGGCACCATGAGCCAATGCCGCCCGCCCCCTCACCGCCTCCTGCTCCCATCAGGCCAACCAAGTGGATAAACCCAGGGAAACAGAAGGAAGATCTTTTAGGACAAGCTGTGTTCACTATTTAGAAATAGCATTGAAATGTGCAAATTGTTTTCTCAGGAAATAGATGCAGAGATGGAAACATTCATTGTTAAAGTACTGCCCCATAGCCAATCATAATATTAAATATTTGGTACTGTTTTTTCCTCTGAGCTCTCTCATACAGTTGTTACCCTGTTTGCTTTCATGGATCTTGGGTCAAAAATCAAACAAAATTACAAGGCCTAGGCTTTTATTGTTGTCTTTACTTCAGACTTATTATGTAACGTTTAACAAACCAATAACCTACTCAGTGCTTATGTTTTGATCTCAAGATGGAAATGACAACCCCACTCTTTAACCTTTCTCCTAAAGTTGTGGTAAGGTGGAGCATTTAATTTTTTTAAGGATATTTTATAAAAACAAACTGAAGAGAAATGTTTTCTGTCAGAAAAATAGAAAAAATAGTGGATGGGATCAGTATAGTGCCACATTTGAGGGCCATTTGCCGATAGTCTGTGGAAGAGTGAGGTGAGATGCCTGAACTCTGCCAAACCCAAACAGCGAGCTAAAGGACCCCGATTTTGAGCAAAAGGAATAAGAAGTCACGGAACATTCAAGTTCACAATAACCAGCTTGATCCTGTTATCACAGTCTATTCTTGGTTAATAGGGAGAGAGGGAGATGTGGCCCCAGTTGAATATGCTGAAGGCGTCTTTTTCCAAGTGTTAAGATCAAATCCTCCCTAGCATGGGCAAAGTTTTCTCCTGAGATTCCGGGCTGGGCATGGTCCCTGGAAACTCAGGCATTCTGACCCAGTTTTTGAATTACCGGTTTCTGTTCCCCTACAGAGCTCTCAGCATGGCGGCTCCTCTACGTCACTTGCGTCCACCAAAGTCTGCAGCTCGATGGATGAGAACGATGGCCCTGGAGAAGGTGATGAGCTTGGGACTTGGTATCTGAGGAGGCAGAGGATGGGTTGGCTAAATTTACTCCAAGAAACTGTGGCTTCTCAAGCGGAATGACATGGACAAGGCTGAGCAGCTCCTGAGGGTCAATCACAAGGGGATAGGGTTGAATATGGTGCCCACCAGGGATTGGTATCTGCTCTGTGAGAATGGGAAGGGGAAGTTGGCCCATTTCGGAGACATTTCCCATCCTCTGAGGGCATATGTATCCTAAGAAGGCCAGCTATTGCCTGCTTTGGAAATAAGAGGGGATCGCTGGGATCGTGGCTGCTTTTGTTTTCCCAAACTCTGTTCACTTTTAGTGTTACTTTAAGTGAACAAAGGCCAAATTTAAAGACAATTTATTCTTTTGACTGTTGTAGTCTCACAGATGTACTCTAAATTAAGTGAACTCAATACATGAAATATGGTTTTACAAAAAGAATTGGTGGAAATTGCAAAAATATTCTTGAGGTAATTCACTGCAGAATGTCTCTGTGATGTGGTCAAATGATCAGGATTCCAGAAATGACTTTTTCACTAACTCACTGGATTGTTTTGGACAAGCATTTTCAACTCTCTGCGTCTTACTTCCTCTCCTATGAAATGGAGATTGTGAATCACACCTATTTCCTTCCTGAAGGCTGTTACCAGGTTCAAATCAACTGTGGGGAAGTATTTGGAAAAGATAAAAGTGATACCATCAAGCCACTGTTAAGGAATCTGCTTCTCTTACTTGTTTTAAATGATATGATTTAATTTTTTTTCCGAAAAAAGTACCCTTTGGGAAGTGCTTTTATTATATTCAGTGAAATATGTGATTTACAGTATAATTATTTTCTGACTACAATGCAACTTCAGAATTTTTTGTATTTCCAGAAATATGAAATTCAGCCACATAGAAGTCTCATTTGTTCCAAAGTGTTTTGTATCCTTTGAATGAAATGAAATGGTTCTTGATTTAAGCCTTTGGCTAAGCCTTTTTTTTCTTTTCTTTTCTTTTCTTTTTTTTTTTGAGATGGAGTCTCGCTCTGTCTCTCAGGCTAGAGTGCAATGACACTATCTCAGCTCACTGCAACCTCCACCTCCCAGGTTCAAGCAATTCTCCTGCCTCAGCCTCCTGAGTAGCTGGGATTACAGGCGTCTGCCACCATGCCCAGCTAATTTTTGTATTTTTAGTAGAAATGGGATTTTTCCATCTTGGGCAGGCTGGTCTCAAACTCCTGGTCTCAAGTGATCCAACTGCCTCGGCCTCCCAAAGTGCTAGGATTACAGGCATGAGCCACCACACCCAGCCTGGCTTAGCCTTCTTAACCAAAAGTGAGGAAAGGTACCTTTTATGAATAGTCAAGGAAAAAAAATCCCAAGCCACGTGCTTTGAATGGGTGTCTCAGTGAATGCTCCCACCAGAAGGCAGAATGGAAGTACCTTCTTCCATTTCCCACCTGCAGGGTCACACTTGTACCCAACAGCCAAGGAGGGTTCCTTTCTTAGCCACATAGTAAAGAGCCTTAAGATTGTGTCATCTGGGAGCTGTTTTGTAAATTTGGGTGCTTTGCAGTAGACAAAACTCCCCTGGCTGAGTCCTTCAAACAGAGGCAAAATTGTGGCTTCTTTAGAGGGGTGAGATGGGGTTAGGGGGATTGGCTGCAGCCCTCACTTTATTCTAGAGACCACCTAGATGGCTTCTAGCAGGGTAAGAGGGAAATGTCACCTATAAAGGGGTGAAGAGGCTGTACCAATGCCAAGGACAAAAGTAGCAGCAGCAAATGTCCTACATTTGTTCAACGCTTTCCAGAAATTTCATCCCCTCTAGAATTCAGATTGATGCCAACTGAGCATCATCATAAATCGAGAAGAAAGGCCCTCATGCAGATATCTGATGATTATGAGTCTCCAACAATACAGAGCAAGCATGAATACAAAAACTACTAAGAAAGCCCATTCACCACCTAAAGTTTTATTTTGAGGAGAGATGTTTAGTCTCAGTTTATGACGAAAGGTCGGAAGAGGAGTGCATTTAGAAAACACACCGGGGTTCCATCACATTTTGCATTCAGGTTGCCTGAGGGAGAGCTGGGATTTATCACTTTAAAACATGTACATTTTAGAGCCCAGCTATAAAAGACTTTTTACACCCTTAAGATGTTAAAGGTTATTCAGTATATTTACGTGACCTAACTGTGGCTTATTTAGTTTTATGGCCTTAGATATTTAAAGCATTATTAGGCATTTGTAAAATATTTCAAAATGCATTTTCAGGGGGAAAATGTGTTGTGTTAGTGGCACTAACATAATTGAAACTACAAAACTGTTCCATTCACAGACATAATAGATAGTGTAGTTTTAACTCAACATCTGCTATGCAGATTGCTGGTGAGAACATTTGTCTAAAGTCTGCTCGTTGATACCGAGGACGGGTGGCCATCAGTGCTTAGTTCATGAGGAATTTTACGGAGATTTCCATTTCAGGATGTAGTAAAACTAAGTGTCCAAACAGCAGGCAATTTTCATGCTTGTACAGTGTCAAGCAGCCCAGAGTCCCTTGCGAACTGCGGTTGCCTCCTGCGCCATACATGGGAATGCTATTTTTCTGTACACAGTGGGTATTCAGTAAACACTATTGATCAAATTGGCGTGAAGTAAAAGGAGCAAAGCTTCCTCCTGAGAATCCCTACGGCATCAGAAAACTCAAGTTTCTCTTATATAGGTGGGAGTGGACCCCTTACGTTTCTTTTTATTTTATCATTTGTCTTAGTAAAAACTGTTGAGTATATACAATGTCAGCAAGGGTGGGGAGGCAGTTGCCTCACTGTACAGAGAATGACATATTGATTCTGAATCCATTCCAGTCAATTAGATGATACTTTTAAATGTTTCCTTGTGCAACATCTGTGTTCCCTTTTCAACCAATAAAAAAGTATTAATGATTCTTTCAGAAGTGTCGGAGGAAGGCTTCCAGATTCCAGCTACAATAACAGAACGATATAAAGTCGGAAGAACAATAGGAGATGGAAATTTTGCTGTTGTCAAGGAATGTGTAGAAAGGTGAGAAGGATATCATTTGCATCAAACCTTAAAGGTTACATTTGGCGTTATGTTTTCCAAGATTGTGTCTCTATTTCCAGTCTGTGGCACATATGGAATAAGTTAATGTCTCAACCCCAAATGCAAAAGAATTTTTTGCAAAAGAAAGACCCATCTAACAACAGATTTGAAAAATGTAGTGATACCTGGGGACAATCTATAAATTAAAGACTTTGATTTTTTTAAATGTACTCAGAGAGACGTTGCCAGCTCTTTCAGGTAAGCCTTTTTATTGTTGTTAAAAACCATATTGAATAGTTTTTCTCACACACTTTTTATGACATTTTGTAGAGGTCAGAAAGTTCTTGTGAGAGTATATGTCTGTAATGCATACTAGCATAGGATGAAATACATACACGATCATCTTGAAAAGCTTTAAAATGCATATGTATTGACCCCAACAGAAGTGGTATTTAACACATTAAGACGTATTAAAATGAATGAACCCGGTACTCTGTGGCCCAAAGGGAAGGGTTTATCCTGAGGTTCTAGATACCTAATGGAGGACGTTAGCTGGTGGCTACTAGACGGAAAAGTGACAACTGATAAAGTTACAACCCAGCTACGGGGGCCTCAAGCCCTCCACTCGGTATCAGATTTGGGTTTCTTTTCCTGAGCAGCTGCTTGCTTTAGGGGAGCTGGTCAGCCAGCAGCTTCTCCTCAGGGCTGGTGGGCAGAATACTGCAAAGTTGGGGGAACTTGCCTCATTCCTTGAGGGACTGTGTCCTCTGGCTTTCTGGGGGCTGGACTGGGGGGTACACACTTCCCTGTCACCTTTCTCTGCCCGCAGTGGGGCTGGACACCCTGCCCATTCTTAATCCTCCGAGAATCACACTCCTAAGCTCCACTCAGAGAGGACGACTGAGGAGAGAAGACAGATGAGAAGGCTTTGGCCTGGAAGATCTAGACCTTGCCTCCTCTACAGGCTTTGATTTAGAAGCACAGGTTCCTGCCATATCAGAGCTGGTAGTCTCTACAGGGCCCCACATCTCATGAGGGTTCTTCATTTGGCCAATAGTCACTTATGTGCTCCTGGCACCCCTTGCGGCTCTTTGGAAGCTGCTTCCCCAGCTCAGGTAGCAGAGTCCTCCTTATGGACCTTTGTGCAGAGGATCTCAAACCTTGTTCTACTCCAACACT
Organism: Homo sapiens; assembly: GCF_000001405.40. Classification (NCBI taxonomy): domain Eukaryota; kingdom Metazoa; phylum Chordata; class Mammalia; order Primates; family Hominidae; genus Homo; species Homo sapiens. Next base: position 35,834,853 of record NC_000013.11, on the reverse strand, counting down.
TCAGCAAGGCTAGGATATTCCCAACAGGGACAGAGACCCAGCTGAGCAGCCACTGTGCATCCAGGAGGGGCACGAGTCATAGGGAGCTTGAAAAATCTGTGAGTTGATGCTGCCAGGCCACCGTTCTCCTCTCTCCCTCTCATTCCCCCACCTCTCCACGAAGCTTGGCCATTTGGCACATTTGTGCCAAACATGGAAAATGTCCATTGCATTCCTGGGCCTCACACCTCCCAAAGCAGGAGCAACCTCATTTTGCTGAGCATAAACTATCTACAAAGTCCTTAATTTATGACATTTCATTTAATTAACACAATACTTTCATAATATCAGTATTGTTGTCTCCACGTTATAGATAGAAAACATGGACATGTTAAGCGCCCAAGGTCAGTCAGGTAAGAAGTACTTAGCAAGACATAGGTCCGAGCCCAGCTCCAAAAACCACACTTTTAACCACTTTACTCCACTAATAAGGAGCCTCCCATAAGACTCTGGCTTAGCTGAGCCAAAATCACACACGTTCCCTTTGGCCCTGTACAAATAAGACTAATTAATTTGGGAAAGCCATTCCTATGGTAATGGATAGAAGCGTGCATGCAAATAAATGTGTGCTTATATAATTTTATATTTCATTGATGCTTTTACTGATAGTAAATCTGGCTTTTTTTGGCTTTATTTCTACTGTAGCAGAAAACCCCATTTCTAGCAGATTGCCATGCCCCTGAGCTGTGGGGTGTCTGGTGATTTGCCAGCATCTATCATCTGTTAAGTCTGACATGGTGGCATGTGCTGTTTCTCCTAGCTAGTTCTTGGATTGGGCTGGTGTCTTGGTCCAACAGGACTGGCCTTCTCACAATAGAAATTTCCCATTTCTCCATCCAGAATCAATTTGTTTCTTTCTAACTTGGATTGTGTTTGTTTTGCGTGAGTTCACATCTTGGGTCTCACTGTATGAAACTTCAGAACCTAAACACCAGATTGCTCCATGAAGTTAGTATTCGGCTCCTGCTGAACGAGGACATATGGCATGTGCCCTCTGTCCCCAGAGGTATCAGAAAACATTCTTCTAATATTTTCCAGAGGTCCAAGAAAATAAAAAGCGAGCTAAGAATGTTGTGAATGGCACACATTGCTTGCGGGTACATTCTGCTGTGTTTGGAAGGATGAATATGTATTACCAAGGGTGAATATGCCTCTCCTCTGCTAATCATATCCTGTCACAGGCAAGATTTGTCTACAACAATGGACACAATAACGATGTCTTTCTGTGGTCCTGTTCCGGCATAGTCTTTGGCAGCTAGGTCCATTTAGATTTCTGCCCATGCTCCAGGAGTAACTTCTTGAGTGGCCTCTGGGGTACCTGGGACATACTAAAGGAAGTTAGTGGACTGTGACTCCAGCTGGAAGAGACATGCTCTACTTTGAAGCTGTTTCGTGGAGCATTTTGAGGCCCCATAGCAAACTCAAAGAGCAGAAAAGCTCTAATGAGCGGTCAGAGCATAAGTAGAGGGCGTGATGTGAGATGCCTTTCATCCCTAACTTTCCTGGCTCCGTGTGGACTAATAACTACACGAGCCAAGGGTTGGGGTGATATAGTCATGAGCAGGGATGGTGCCCCCGGTGGCTCTTGGTCGTCTTCCCCACCTGCACTGCTGGCATTGCTTAGTGATATAGGCACCAGAGATGAATTAAAATCCTTGCTGCGGATGCTTCTGTCTCTCCCACCGGCACCTATAAGCCTGAGGATGTGTGCCCCAAGCTGCTGGCTCTAGCAATGAACACAAGCAGGCTCAAATCCAGCAGAACAAGCAGAGATCTTAGGGTCACCAAAATGCATTGCTTCCACCTAGAAAATCTTCAAAATTCTCAATAACCTCAACAAAGCGACCATGTGTCTATAGTTTGAAAGCATTTCCATCAGAACTGGAATTTGGAGGATGCCTTGTGCTGAAAGCTTAGATCACTGCTCTTGGCTAGTGGATTACTGTTCTTCCTTCTTTCCTTCCTGAGGAGCCTCTGGCTCCTGAGAGCCATGGGGCCCTTGTCAAATTCAAAATCAAATTCCACTTGGGAGCTGTCTGACAAGACACTGTGGAATGCCTCAGTTCTCTGCTCTCTGCTCTTGGCAGTTATCTCTTTATGGAGGAGGCTGAGATTGGGCTTTGTTAGGATTACTTGGTAAACAAACGGTGTGTTACTAACTCCTTTTTGCTAGTGTTGAGGGTGGTATTCCTGTCATTGTGCTAACTGCCACCATCCTCTGGAGTTTCCACAATATATGCAGAGCACCTCCTAGTTCAGGCTTATGCTGGGCACTTCTGGGGTTACAGAGAGAGACAAGACACAGCCCCATACAGAGAACTTTACCCACAAACAAGGATTGCCATGAAATTCAATGAATGCTATGGGAGAGGAATGCTTGGGAGCTGCTTTTCCTTCTCCATATACTCTTTTTCTAAATCCTTCAAAACATAGCAAACAACAGCAACAAGAGAAACCATGTTAGCTTAGAGCATCCCAATCTTTGCTAGCCATTTCCACACCACCACCTTTTTTTGACACAGGGTCTTGCTGTGTCACCCAGGCTGGAGTGCAGTGGCAAGATCATAGCTCATTGCAGTCTCAAAGTTCTGGGCTCAAGTGATCCATTCTCCTGCCTTGGCCTCCTGAATAGCTAGGAGTATAGGTGCACACCACCATGCCTTGCTAATTTTTTTGTTTTTATTTTTTGTAGATGGGTCTCACTATGTGGCCCAGGCTGGTCTCAAACTCTTGATCTCAAGTGATCCTCCTGCCTCGGCCTCTCAAAATGCTGGGACGACAGGTGTGAACCACCATGCCTGGCCCATTTCTTTTTTTGACAAGCATTCTGCTACACTCCCTGGGTGAGGGGTGCAGTGGGCAGAAGACTGGCCTGAGTTGGGAATCACTCAGTTGAACAAGACAGCTGTCTCCAAACCATTTTTAGCACAAACACCAAAAGTTGGATTTAATTAAAGTTTGTAAAATTTGAAAATTTCCCTCTAGTAGTTTGGGTTCTAACCTTGGGTCACACTTAATAAGAAGGCAGCCTTACAAATTGATTTCCCTTAGTCAAGGAGGAAGACAAAGTTTTCTGTTGCTGCTGGTTTTGTTGTGGTAAAGAGGGTTCTGTAAAAGGTCAAGAACATAATTTCAAAAACAAGCAAGCAAACGGCCTGTATTCACCTCACCAGTAATCAGTCAGGTCATCTAGTATTCTTCTGAGTACACTCAAACATAGACACCTTAAAGACAAGGATCAGGTCTCGTTCCCCTCTGAATCCACCAAAGAGCCCTGCGTCCCACTGCTGAATAATTACACAGGCACAGCAGTCCTCAGAGTTCGAGGTATGCAGGAAGGCGAATTCATTATATAAGATTCGATTTCTTGCCAAGTGTTTTCACTTAAAGCAGACACTTATATTCTTATTCTTATGACACACATTTAGTCTCCTAACACCTGTTTTCAGGCACACTTTCTAGACTAGCTACTTTCCTATAAACCTGTGATTCTAGGAATTAATTTTTATTATGTGGCTTTTATTATGGATTTTATTATGTGGCTTTGTAGTTCGGCCCTCAGGGAATCAAAAAAGAAAAGATGCAACATTAATTTGGTGGTCCTCTGTGGAGCTCATTGTCCACTATGAAATATGAGTAGATGTAATGGAAGGTTTAATCCTATTACGAAAGGTTGTATAGTGGAAATCCACAAGGTCTTTGTTCCTAGTAAGCCCTAGGTTTGCTGCCCTCTTCCCCTCAGCTGTAGGCTCAGGACAGAACCTGCTTCCTTGGCCTGCTGGGAGCCAACACACCCTCTGGCTCACTGGGGATCCTGCTTCTTGTCTGGCTGGCTGTAAAGGGGGTTCAGCCCTCCTGTGCTCTACACCAGCCCTGAGGATTGAGTGCTTTAAAATTACTCCTTCAAGGGAAAAGAGCATCAAATGGCAAACATGGGGAAATCACCAAGCTAAGAAACCACTTTCTCTTCTGACCAGCACGGTCCTGTCCATCCATCCCCTTTGTGGAGGTGGTGAAGGGAACGGCAGCTTTTATTTTTCAGTCTCACAAACATCCCTTCTTGCTCTCTGGCCTTGCCTGGGATTGCTGATGGTTACCCAGGCAGGCAGTGCAATGGTCTAGATTCCCTGCCATCCAATGGGACATGTTAAGCCAGATAGGAAATTGCTCATGTATTCCAACCTGAGATTTGCTTTATCATAATTTTTTAGTAATTTATGAAAAGCAGAATCCAGAAACACTTGAGCTTTTAGTTTTCCTCGATTAAGTATTTTCAAGTTTGTAGACAAACTCTACAGGAGCCTCTTAAGAAGAAGCTACTTAGAGGGACCCTGTGGTCTTATAGGATATAGAGCTTCTACAATGAAGAATCTCTTCACACGTGAATCATTTCACTTTCTCATTTTCTCATTTATGTTTGCTCTTACATTTTAAATTTCTCTGTCGCCCAGGCTGGAGTGCAGTGGCATGATCTCGGCTCACTGCAGCCTTTACCTCCTGGGCTCAAGCAATCTTCCTGCCTCAGCCTCCCAAGTAGCTGGGATTACAGGCACGCAACACCATGCCTGGCTAATTTTTGTATTTTTTTTTTAGTAGAGTCAGGGTTTCACCATGTTTACCAGGCTGGTCTCGAACTCCTGACCTCAAGTGATCCGCCCACCTTGGCCTCCCAAAGTGCTGGGATTATAGGCATGAGCCACTGCCCCAACCCACGTTTTAAATTTCTAATGTTAAATATTTGGTTTACACTCCAGTGCCTTCTCCTCCTCTACCCCACAGTCTTGCTGGTGGTCTAGTGTTTATGTGGGAACATCTAGCACACCAAGCCCTGCATTTAGCCACAGCCTGGCTCACATCCCATCATGGCCTCTCTGCCCAGCCATGGCAGAGTCTTTGTTGAAAGATCAACAGAGACAGTGGCAGGGGCATCCTTGGGCTTCTAGTGCATTCCCTTCCTGAGTGACAGCTATGGGAATTCCTCTGGACAGCCGCATATCTGCAGGAGGGGAGCCCCGAAGCAAAGGGTTTACCTTCTACCACCTGAACCCCAAAGCCCTCTAGTGAGGAAAAGAGGCTTCGAAGTCATCATCTTGTGATTTTATTCAGCAGATAGAATCATAATTCAGTGTTCACTGTTTTTTGAGGCCGGCACCATGAAAAAGCCTGGAAGTGTCATGGAAGAAGCATTTTTAGGAGTAAATGACATGAAAAATTTCTAGAATGCCCTCAAAACACATTAACGCCTGGTCTCTTGATTCGCTTAGAGGCAAATCATTTTCTTGCTGTAACCATATAACCAGGAAATCCCACTTAATTCACCATACTGAAGATTTTAAAGTCCTATTTTAAAAGCATGTTCTTAATTAACCTCATTACTATTTGTGTCCATTGGATCCACAAAATTGGCTTTTATCTATAGGTAAAAAGCTAGGCTCTCCCGATTTCACACCAGAAATAAAACAGCAATGCTTGTGAAATCGTGGTTTACTATGATTATGAAGTATGCATTGTGCCCTTTAATAATAGACGTGTTCTTGTGTTTGTCACTACAGTTTCTTAGCAATGTTAGCACAAATCAGGAAGCTGTTTAAAGGTAGCGATACGACTAAATCCTTCCTCCTACACCTATCACAGAGGAGGGGCGGCGTTCACTGTGCTATGCAGGGAGCAGGGGCCTGGAGAACTCAGAGTCCAATTTTAAAGCTGCCATGTGGCTTTGGGAAGTGAGTGGATTTCCACTGTCACCTTCATTTTCTTTCAAAGAAATGAGACAGCCCATAAAAGGGCCCAGGGGTCCCCAGGGAGCTCTGAAATAGATTTTATCCCTTTCTTTACACCTTGACCATATCATCTATGAGTTCTCCAGCGGAACTCACACAGGCTCTCACACTGAACTGAGGTCTAAAGAGCGTGGAGTGCTTTCTCTAGAGTCTTCAGTGTAATTGCATGAACATTCAGAAAACTGTCATAGGTGCCCTGGGTGGATAGAGAACCTCAGGAGAGACTTGAGGAAAGGGGAAGGGCGGAAACTCATCTCTGCTTTAGGCTGCTGCTACATCACTTCGGAGGGAAGGGGAGGGAAGAGTAACCTGGCAGCAGGAGAAGCTAAGACACACTAGCAATGCTAGTGTTTTGTTTTGAGAGCAGGAGTGGAAGTTTATTAGAAAGTTTTCCAACAGTAAGAAAAGGAAGGAAAGTACACTTGGAAGAGGGACAAGTGGGCAATTCGAGGAACAAAGTGCCAGTGCTAGTGTTTTTATTACAAGTACGGCAACATAAATAGCCCAAGATTTCTCTATGCCAGCAGACTTACTGTCCTTACACTTGGTCAGTCCATCAACGTTTACATATTTATTTGTTTTTTTTTAAAAAAGGAAAGGAAATCCTTTCACAAAATATTTACAACATGATGCAAGATCTATGGGGTAGGAAATTGATCCCTGACAAAATAATTCAATAGATTTGAAGTTAAGTTTCATTTTAAAAACATGAACTTTCTCTTCGCAGATCGACTGCTAGAGAGTATGCTCTGAAAATTATCAAGAAAAGCAAATGTCGAGGCAAAGTATGTATAAAATTTGTTCTTATGAGATAAGAGTGTTCAAGAGGTCAAAAGAAACACAAAGATCACTCCCAAACAAATACAAGTTCACCCTAAGGGTTGAATTTTGGTGGAATAGAATGTTATACACTTACTAGAATATAACTTTATGTATATCCCTGGGATAAAAGTTATTTGGAATGATTAGATATGACTTCACTTCCTTATCTTTTTGTTTGCTTACTCTCTTCCCTTCTTAATGTGATCTAAGTTTCATCCCATTCTTTGCTATGAAACTGTAGTTATCATGATTGGTTCTGAATTTGCAAGCATTATGTAAGGATCTCCATATCTATTGGCAATTCTAGGCTATATCTGAATATCAGAATATAAGACAGGCTTATTACATTTTACCAAAATGCATCTCTCTTGACCCTTACATAGTATAGTTGTACTCATTTGAGTTAGCCCTCCACATGTTTTATGGAAGCTGATGAAGATAACTTTTCCTTTGGACAGGAGCACATGATCCAGAATGAAGTGTCTATTTTAAGAAGAGTGAAGCATCCCAATATCGTTCTTCTGATTGAGGAGATGGATGTGCCAACTGAACTGTATCTTGTCATGGAATTAGTAAAGGTGTGTATTTTGGAAAGAAAGTAAGTCTTTATTGATGGCACCGCACTTGCCTATATTCTAGAGCTCTTTCCCTTATTTTCTCCCATCAGTATTCAGGTTCTCATTTCTGTACATTGGCCCAGTGATTAGGAATGTTCACAGGAGAATGGTACACAAGGGCTCAAGTCCCAGCCTTGGCACAAAGAGGCCCATGACTTTGGGTCTACCTCTTTATGTCTCACTTTCAACATATGTAAAGTGAGAATATTAATAATATCTGCTTAATGGTGTTATTGTGGGGATGAAGAGATGGCTTCCACCAGTTTGTGTGACACACAAAGCATTAGGTACCAATACAATTGTCGTTGTTGTAATGGAAAATCATTCACTTTTCCATGAACTATATCCAAAGGTACCAGCCATCTTGTAAAAACAAGCTTTAAACTTTTAGTCACCAACATAATGGGAAAATAGCACTGTCCTAATAATGATGTGAATAGTGTACTGACTTTCAGTGAATGTCGTAATCTCATCCTGTCACATAATATTACCTTCTTATTCTATGAAAACAAACTATCGGGATAGCCAATTGTTGATGACGGTTGAATGGAGATGAAAGGTCTCTTACCTGTTCTCTCTCCTTCCATACATTTGACATTTTCGGGAAGTAGAAGTTTTAAAAAATGGCATGCTTCATTTTCATGAAGCTGTTGTGTTCTCAAGTCTTTTCTAGTATATTCATCAAACTGAACGTGTAAGTAATGTCTACCTTAGTTGGAGAATGTTGTAATTGGTTGCACCGCCTTCTGCATCAGCTGTGAGCACCGCCAGGGGGCGCCTCAGGCTCCCAGGGCATGTTTGGAATCCCTACACTGCTGACTTGAATGTGAGGTTTTCTCTTTTAAAAATTCAAGACGAGGAAAGCATTTAGTAAGCTAATCTGCGATGATATGAAAAATGTTCATTCTAGGGTCTTTAAGTTTTTGTTATTTAGAATTGCTTCACCTTAGACATATTGGCATTTTTTTTAACTTAGTGGTTATTTGTATTTATAGGTGAAATTTATTTTTAGTCTACTTCAAATTAGGACTTGTTTCTTTCTTTCTTTCTTTCTTTTTTTTTTTTTTTTTTTGAGATGGAGTTTTGCTCTTGCTGCCCAGGCTGGAATGCAATGGCACGATCTCGGCTCACGGCAACCTCTGCCTCCTGGGTTCAAGCAATTCTCCTGCCTCAGCCTCCCTAGTAGCTGGGATTACAGGCATGTGCCACCACGCCCGGCTAATTTTGTATTTTTAGTAGAGATGGGATTTCTCCATGTTGGTCAGGCTGGTCTCGAACTCCCAACCTCAGGTGATCCGCCCACCTCGGCCTCCCAAAGTGCTGGGATTACAGGCATGAGCCACCGTGCCCGGCCAGACTTGTTTCTTTCAAAGAATGGGAGCCTTTTTTTAGTAACAAGGGTATTGTCATGTTTGAGGCTGAGGGAGGTAAAAATGTTAAACTGAAAATCCAATAAAGAAAAGTCGGCTGGGCAGTGTCTCATGGGCCAGGCGCAGTGACTCACACCTGTAATCCCACCATTTTGGGAGGCCGAGGAAAGCAGATCACAAGGTCAAGAGATTGAGACCATCCTGGCCAACATGGTGAAACCCCGTCTCTACTAAAAATACAAAAAATTAGCCGGGCATGGTGGCAGGCGCCTGTAATCCCAGCTACTTGGGAGGCTGAGGCAGGAGAATCGCTTGAACCCGGGAGGTGGTGGTTGCAGTGAGCCAAGATCGCGCCATTGCACTCTAGCCTGGGCAAAAAGAGCGAAACTCTGTCTCAAAAAAAAATAAAAAAGAAAAGTCGATTTCATTTGAATAAAGAAAAAATATGAAGATTTTCCCGTTGGTGCTTTATTATTAAATTATCTTTTTACCAACATTGTAAATTATACTTTCCCCAGTACCAAGGAGTCTTTTTACAACAATGTTAATTTTTAAACTAACAACTTCAAGCCATTCTGTTGCCCTTCTATGTGCTGTTAGAATTTGATTACCCCCCGTTATTATTGACTTACCCCCACTGTTGGCTGATTTTTGGAGTGCTGAGACTAAATGAAATTTCAAGATGGCAAAGGCTTAGGCACTCTGAACGCATTTGGTGAGAAATCTTAGTCTGTCAATCGTGTGCTTGGTTAGGAGACTATGGTAAGGTCCTCGTTGCACTTAACTGCCTTTGTGAATTCTCTCTACATCACCAAGATACCCTAGAAAGGCCATAGAAGGTCTCTGTAGCCCAGCGCTGGGACCCTCAATTGTGCTGCAAGACCATACCCTTCGATTTAATCTCACCCAGAACGCCCTGAGGACAGCTCGAGAAGCTTCCCAGGGAAGTGAAGGCCAGCCCCAGGCTTGACTTGAAAGACTCCCAGGACTTTTCCACTGAGACATGTGGGTGGGGTATGCTTCTCAAACCCTCAGGGCCCAGGGATGTCCCAAAGAATGCCTGAAGCTCTCAGACAAACAAGGCTCATGTTCCGGACGGCAGTGGATCGGCAGTTAATGAGAATGAAATTCCATGCTCATCAGGCACAGGACTTTAGCCTTCTGCCTCCAGAGGCGGTGCACACGCAGGCTGCCTATGTGTTCAGAGGAAGGCAGGCCTCGTGGAGGAGCTGGGCCTGCAGCTGGGCCCTGAGAGAGCAACGGGAGTTAGAAAACTGAAGGGGAGGGGATGGGACACTTCAGGAAGGGCGCTGTCATGAGGACAGGCTTGAGGACAGAGATCTTGGCCTGTTTGGATGGCTAGGGAAGAAATATCCTGGAGTGTGAGGGTCACTATGTTAAGTAGTGGCAAGACAGGAAATTAAACAGGGTGGAATGAAGGTTGGGGCAGAATATAGAAAGCCTCCTCCTTTCGGCTGTGGGAAAAGAATGGTGATTTCTTGAAGAGAGAAAGAAAATAGCGACATAATGTGTGGGAAGGTAGCAGTCGGTGTGCAGGATGCTTTGGATAAGGAGCTCACGGAGGGAAGCAGAACGGATTGTGAGACCACATGACAACAACCCAGGGATGAGGCAACAGGAGCGTTTGGCGGAGTAGGAAGGCCCAGATGGCTGCGAAGGAAAAACGTGTCCAAGAAAGGACCGATAAGACCTGTTGACTGCATTGTTGAGGACAAAGAAGAAAGGAGCCAGACGCAGTGGCTCACGCATGTAATCCCAGCATTTTGGGAGGCCAAGGCAGGAAGATCACTTGAGGCCAGGAGTTGGAGACCAGCCTGGGCAACAAAGCGAAGCCTCATCTCTACAAAAAAAATAATAATAATTAGCCAAGCATGATGGCCTGCTCCTGTGGTTCCCGCTACTCTGGAGGCTGAGACAGGAGGATCACTTGAGCCCAGGAGTCTGAGGCTGCAGTGAGCCATGATTGTGCTACTGCACTCCAGCCTGGGTGACAAAGCAAGACCTTATCTCTTATTAAAAAGGACATTACAAGATGCCAGGAGCCCAGATAACTGGGACTGGTGGAATCTTTGCAGGGTCTCCATATACAGCCACACATGCCCTGTGGTGGAACTCCAGGGGTGCTGTTCACATAGACCACGGTGACTGTCCCACCTCCTCAAGTGGCACAGAGACAACCTGAAAACCTGTGTGTAGCAGCCTTACCTTTGAGAGAAGCAGAAAGTTGAAAAAACTATTTGCTTTGAAAAAAAAAATTTGTGTGGTTAGCTTGAGAACCGTTGCAGCTTGGGGGACAGTGAGAGAAGTCTCCAGAGTGGAGACTGTACAGGGGCACAGAGGGCCCAGGCCCGAGAGGCAGATTTGAAAATCATCAGCCTACAGGGGCTATCTTTTGCTTTAGCTATTTTAAAAAGAAAACTGAGTTCCTTAGCGCATTAGGTAACAGATGATCACAGTTGGTTACTGTGCATAGCGGTTTGGTACACTGTAGGCAAGCATGATGCACATATTGATAGTAAATCAGACCCCAATTCTCTGAAAGGATTTTTGAATAAATGGAACTTAGGTTGGAACTTAAAAATCATTCCATTTTACCAAAAAGCAATATATTTAAAAAGGAGCAAAGGAAACAAAAGTTCAGATGAATGACAGTCCTAGAAAACTTTCTTTGAGATTTCCCCCCCTTCCTCCCTCCTTCTCTCACTCAACTTTGAAATGAAGTTTCTGGTCTTTTTCTCTGTTCCTTACAAAGGAGCACAATATTGAAAAAGAAAACACTATGCCCACTCTCAGAGAGCTAAATCTAGTGTATGAAGGGGATTGTGTGTGTGTGTGTGTGTGTGTGTGTGCATCCTAATAATTTCACTAGGCAGTAGAACATTTTCAGTGTGCAGTTTGCAGTATTACCTGTTCCTCACTGGAGGAGGTGAAGGATTACAAATTTGAACTCTGGCTGGCAGTCAATGTGAGGCAGGTAGCACATGCCACTGGGATCTTCACGTGTCACAGTCCTCTGCCCTGGAGATCTAGCTGCATCTCCTCGTCCCCTAGCTGGGATCTGTGGAAATGGCCATGTGTCTGGTGGTGGAGAATCCTCACGCTGCCCCTTTCTTTGAGCTCTGGGGGAGATGCCACTGGTTTTTGTAGTGGGTGGAGAAATCACCATTCAGCCTTCGAGCCTTTGAAAGGAAAGTAGCAGGAAAAGCCTTTAGGAACCCAAAGATTCCACATCCATTCTTCCTGTCCTTTGGGGTTTGTCAATGGCCTCTGCAGGTGGCCCCACTGGCCCGTCTGTTAATGTGCTGCTTCAGCTTCTGTTCTCTTCTCAGGGGGGAGACCTTTTTGATGCCATTACTTCCACTAACAAATACACCGAGAGAGACGCCAGTGGGATGCTGTACAACCTAGCCAGCGCCATCAAATACCTGCATAGCCTGAACATCGTCCACCGTGATATCAAGCCAGAGAACCTGCTGGTAAGAGGAATTCCACCTACAGGGCATCCTGAGTTCCAAGCACTCATGAAGGAATATGAATATTTCTTTTTTCTTTTCTTTCTTTTTTTAAAAATTTACCTGAAAGGTTAATTTCCAGTTAGCCTTCAGGAGCTAGTTGGAAACTAGCCTTTTAGGTTGATCTAGATGAGTTAATGCGCCCTTAAGAACACCTGATTTATTAGCAAACAAAAACCAGGCACAAGAATGGGAATTGAACTCGCGAAGGGTAGGGCTGTATTGAACACCTTGGGCTAGGACAAGATAGCGACAAGTTACACAGACACAAATGTCATTTATCTTAGGCACTTTTATGTTAGAAAGTTTTTACTTGCCAGTTGGGGCAACATAGTGAGACCCCCATCTCTACACAAAAAAAATTTTTTTTAATTAGCCGGACATCGTAGTGTGTGCCTGTAGTCCCAGCTACTCAGGAGGCTGAGGTTGCTGGAGGATCTCTTGAGCCCAGGAGGTCAAGGCTGCAGTGAGCTGTGATCACACTACTGCACTCCAGTCTGGGTGACAGAGTGAGACCCTGTCTTGAAAGAAAGAGAGAGAGAAAAGAAAGAAAAGAAAAGTAAAAAGAAGTTTTTACTTGGGGAAAAAAAAAGGAAGCCCTTTTAGACTTTTTTGGAGTCTCCCAACTTTACAGCTCAATAATATGATCCAAAACCTAAAAGAAAAAAAAATTATAATTGGTTTTTAAGACTCTAGCCCCTTAGCATAAAAACAATTTTGAAAAAGACTAATTTTTAAAAACGGAGACATCCTTCCCCCAACTTTACACTATTTGGTTTGCTTTTCATTTACTCCACATCTCTGGGGAAACCTTGAGAGATCTCCACAAAAGCAAATGGGGGTCCTTCCTCACCCAGTTATTAAGGGGAATACATAGGAAAAAAAGAGGAGGTAGAGACTAAGTATGGGGTGCTTCACTGGGAAATATGGGAGTAATATAAATGTTGCTGGCTCTTCAGGCTGGAATTTAATGAAATATATTTCATTTCTATATACTGTGCATATATATATATATATATACATATATTTATATATATATCTTTTCCCAAAGATGCTAGTTCTTCCTTTCATTATCCACCCCTGAGCATTATGTATAAATATATGAGTTCTGTTACTTTGCCCGTCTCTTCAGAAATCTGGGAAAAGAGGATTCTCTTTCTAAAGTAGTGTTTCTGCAGGGTGGTCTAAAGACTCCCTGAATCAAAATTATTCCCAGATGCCTGTTAAAAATGCAAATTTCTGGGCCTAGATGCAGCCCTACCAAATCAGAATCCAGTGACTGATGACAGCTTGCAGAAATCCACAAGGCAGCCACCTCCCCCAGGTAACCCGCATACACACTCAAGTCTAAAAGCAGATGAGCCACCCAACTCCCATGACACAAATAAAAGCTAGTAAGATCCGCCATGATGGAGAACCATCTATGTACTTGGCCCTGTGCTAACGTCTTTACAGTCATTATCTCGTTTCATCCTCACAGCAACCACATTGGGTAAGTTCTATTACTGTTTCATTTCATAGGTAAGGAACATGGGTACCTAGAAGTTAAATGACCTGCCCACGGTTGTCACAGCTCTTAAGTAGAAGAGCCAAGGTCTCAACCTAATTCTGACTTCCAGAGCCTTAGCTCATACTACTACACTACAGTAAGCTCTGCATTAAGGAGAGGTTAACTGAGTACTTGCTATGTGTCAGGTACTGTGCCAGGGAACAAGAGAGACACATGTCTTCATGAAGTTGACGCTGAAGCAGAAAAGATAAGCATTCAAGAAACAAATATGCACACAATTAGTTAATTGCAATTATGCTGGTAATCTTGTAGCTACTGGCTAATAAAAGGCAGCTGAGGTCAAGTGACTGAGCCCTGACTTAATTGCACCTTAAATTCCTCATCTTCACAGTAGCCTAAACATATTCTTCTGCATAGTTACCTCCATCAACTGCAGCAATTTTCTCTCATCTGCACTCATTTTTCCTGTGTCTTGAATTATGTAGGATTGTCTCATGGGAACAGACTTACAACTGGGCCTTTGTTTAAAAACTTCTCTAAGCTCCCAAACTTCAGCGACTGAAAATTAAAGTTTCATTTTCTTTCCTTTTTGCTTTTGCTGCTCAGTTTTGTGTACCCATTGTTCACTTACTCCTCGCTGAAGTGTTATCTCTTTCTGTAAATGCCATAAGTGATTACATTGGAGTGCACTTTTACTAAAATTACAGTTTACGTGATACTTCTAATGTATTATGCTCATTCAAATATATTTTACTTTAAATTACCACAAAAGAAAAAAAATGTTCTCTCCTTTCTTTTTCCCTTCTCTTCTAATTTAAGAAGCTGAACTATATGGAGAAACAATTGCAGTCATTTATAATGTGGTTTTAAAATATCTATATGAAAAACTAACGAGATTTTATTCTCCTTTACAGTGATTTCTGATGGTAGGGATTAGGGGTTGGTGAATTTTGCAGGGATAAGTCTATTATAGGATAAAATAGTTCAAATAAGTTTAGCAAAACTTAACACAACTTATTCTGTCCTGGTTTAACAAAACTAGGATGATGTCACTAATTGCACATGAGACCACTGTTGATTTCACATTCTATTGAGAGTTGTGGAAATAAGAGAACCATCACAGAAGGTAGACCCTCACACACCCAGGATTTATAGTCAGATGGACAAAAGTTCAAAACCAAGCGGTTCACTCTTCCACTGCCTGGTCTTATGACCTTGAGGAAGGTACCTCCTTCAAGCCTTTATCTTTAAGGGGATTTGATGAAGATAACATAACTATTAATTTTCTTTTGAAAATTTCCCCTTTCTTTGTAATTAAAAATGAAATTAAAGTATTCCTTAAAATAAAACTGCCTAACGATAATATATGTAGTGAAAATCACTTTTTAACCCTTTTTTTTTTATATTGCTTTAGAAATTTTACTATTCACCTGTGCATGGATTTGCCACCTCATGGCAAAATGTAAAGCTATAGACTATTTTTTGAAAATGTTATAATAAAGTTAATATAAAGATTTGGAATCCATTTACTTATTATAGGGAAACTTATCAAATACATAAAAAGACCTCACAGCATACTTTGTTTTACTACGTTATTAAAAGGCTTATAAAACCCTTCTAAATTGTAAGACTGACAACAAGATTTTTGTTAGCTAAGTGTTAGATTAATATTTGTTATAACTAGCAAAGTATTTTTAATACATATCTAATTCAGCTATAGATTTCATTGTACACAGTATAATTGTGTATGTAGAACTTTTAGCGTTTTTTATTTTTAATTCTTATAGAACAGCATAAAAATGTAGCCTGGTCTTAAGGATCTATATTGATTGTATGAATGATTTATTTAACTCTAGTGTTTGGTTGGGTTAAAGTATTTTGATGAGAAAATATGATTTGACTTACAGGGATGTTTTCAGCCACATTTTAGGTGAAAACTGGGCATTGACCCAATAAAAAATACCCCTTATAAATTTATTGTTGTATTTAACTAAAGTTTTTCCCCCCAAATTGATCATGCCCATGATTTTACATGGTTCTTGTTGCTTTACTGGTTGTCATGCCTGGTACTTAATAATTGTATGGACAGGTGGACGTCAGAGTGGATGAGTGGAGTGAGTGAGTGAATGAGTGATACTTCTATGAACAGAGGACAGAGCCGCCTGGCAAGCCCAAAACATTCCCAACTGGCCTGTTAGACGGAGTTCTCACACTGGCCTCAGTGTAAACTTCACTGAGCAGTGGGAGAAAGTATGATGCTTCTCCAGATGGGCTTAGGCATGGGACCACTGTGTATGTATGCGTGTATGTGTGTATGTGTATATGTATGTGTGTATGCATGCCATGATGGTTCATGACTAAAGGAACTTTTTGCTTAATTAAAAAAAAAAAAATTAATACCTTCAGTTTACACAAGTCACCACTAGATGGCAAGCTTGTACCCTTAGCAATAAAAACCATCAGTAGCAGCTTGTGTTTCTTTCAAGGACCTGGGCAGGTCTTTCAAAAATGTGTACACAGATGCCTCCTCCTTATGAAAAGTAAATCTTTACTAACCAAACTATAACTCACATCACTAGTTTTTATTAGATTCCAGAAACAAACATAGTCGTTTTCTTCAAATATAAACATTCAAAAATCTTTTCCCTCCCAAAGTCCCCAAGACCCTGCAGGAGAAAAACTGCCTCTCCTTGGCTAGAAACTCTGTGTTCAAGTGTTTGTGCCTGCTCCCAGCTGCCCATCAAAATGACACGTGCAACTCATGGTCCTTGTTTTCACGCAGTGGATTATATCTAGCAATAAGCTAGTCCTGTTCCACCCAAATGACGATGACAGGTTGTGCTCCAGCTCTTCCTAGTTTTCAATTCCATGCTCACAAGATAACATATTTCCTTCACCTTAATCCCATGACTCTTAATTCTCCAAATAAATCCATTTGGTGATAGGATAGCTAACTGCACTGGTGGACAAGATGAGTGCCACAGAGAGAATGGGTCTAGAGGTCATGGACAAAAACACAGAACTTGAGCCCTCAGAGTGTATTGACTAATGGATTGGAGGTTACCCAAAGGAAGGGAGCCAGTGATCTTCTGTGAGTCTGGCCCCAATCCTGCCCTATTCATCATTACCAGTGACTTCAAATGAAGATGAATTATACCAATGACAGAAGTGAAATCCAAAAATATTTTTGGCTCTATAAAGGTCCAAAACTGGTAAGAAGAAATTAAACAAGAGATAAACATAAATCCCTAGAGACTAAGTTAGTTTTGGTGTAGTTGTGTTATTGTCAATTTCAGAAACAGTAATGGAATACTTGGCCTGACTGCAGGTCAAAAGGCTATTAGTTGACCTGGAGAAGGCTGTTCGTTCAGTGTGAGTCTCAGTATGACAAGCCTGCTAAAAATATTCATATGCCCTTAGACTTCTTTCCCTGAAAGAGTCAGGAGAGTCCTTGGTGTGGCTTACCATGGTACCCCTTATGGTAATACTCTGAACACATTCTGTCTGGGCCTGGGGTTGACCCAGAGAAGGGATGTACCACTTGGGGCATGGTGATTCTCATCAAATATAGGAAAGGCTGCCACATGGAGGACGGGATAACTTTCTTGTACTGTATATGACAGCATGGAACTAAAATTAAAGAGAAGATATTAGTGGGCAAGAGATTTAGGGTTAACTTTAGAAAAACTTTTTAATAATCTAATTTCTTTGAAATTTAAATGTCCTTTATTACTGGTAGCTTGTAGTCATTGTGAGTGTCCGGGCAGAAACTGAACGATCCTTTTTTTGGGGGTGTTTAGAAAAAAAATTCTACTCTCTGAATTTGCATGGAAGTTGAGGGAAAATAGAAGACGCAACATTTTCCCAAAGCATTATTTAGTACCGTAATTGGCCAGTTACTGTACTAAGTGTTTACTGGGCCTCTTGTTCAAAGACCTGTGATTTCATCAGGGAGATGAGGACAGGAAGGAAAAGGTATCCCTTTAAGAAGACATTGATTTTCACCTTGTGTCACCTTGGTGGGTCTGTGTTTGTCTAATTCACTGCTCCTTTCTGCTGTCATTAAGAGATGACACTCATTTCTTTCTAAAATGGCACAGCCTTATCAGACTAGCAAAAATTAAAAATAACATACAATGATGGCAAAGTTAAGAGGATAACAGTTATCTCATATGTGTTGGTGGGAGAGTCACTTGGTGGAACCTGTCAGAGAGGCAATTTGGTAATATATAACCAAAACCTTCAATAACATGTGTGCCTTGTGACCAAGTAATTCTACTTCTAGAAATGTAACCTAAGAGGAAGAAACTGGATATGTAGCTATCCAGAGGGATGTTCACATCAGGGTTTTGCAGTATGAGGAAAAAAAACCCAAACGGTATATATGGAGATAAGTTATCTCAGGGCACTGATGAATTAAATAGTGGCACAATGGTGGTTAGACCACCAGTAGTGGCAGGACATCCTGGTTAGACTCTTGGACTCAGACATATCTGAGTTTAAGTTCTGGCCCTGCCACTTATTTGCTGTGTAACACTGGGTAAATTACTTTACATCTTCGAATCTCAATTTTCTCATCTGCAAAATATGAGTAAGAGTGCTAAATTAATAGGGCTGGTATGAAGATCAAATGGGCCAAAATGCACATGAAGTCTTCATCACAATGCCTGGTATGTCCTGTGTGTACAATAAATGACAGTGGTAATAGTAACTGTTGGGATTACTAATATGGTGCCATATGGAATATCCTGCAGCCACTGAGAGTAATTGTATAGATATATGCGATTCACTTCGGAAAAACATTCAGGATATGTTGTTCAATGGAAAAAGAAGGATAGGAAGGAGAGAAAGAAAGCTCTGGAAGTCCATGTCCCAAAATATGAACAGTGTTTATTTCTGAGTGTCAAGATTATGGGTGAGTTTAGTTCCTTTTCGTCTATAGTGATCATTTTCCTACTATGACATATTGGATAATAATTGTGTGACAGAAATGTAATAACGTTTTTTAAAATTGCAGTGGCATTGAGTTCCCACAGTTTTGGCAAAATCCTGGGATGTATAATTCCTAACAGAATCCGGAATGTGCATGTTTTGTGTATCTCGCTGCAGCTGCATAGAACTCCTTTTAAGATAGTTTCATGACTATTTTAAATTGAGGGTGAGAATCAGGTTTCCTGGAGTTTCCGTTCACTTCTCCATCTTCCCAGATATCTCCAGTGTAATATTGAAGAGCAATTTTACTTTTTCGTTTAATTACCTCTCTTCTGACTTACTCCTTTCTAACATCTGCACAACATTCATTATTTTTATTATTTCATTTAATTTTTGATTTCATAAATATTTTACATGTAGGTATAAATTTTTTTATTATGTTTTTCCAGGAGATTTAATTCAAAAGTACATGGGCCATAAAATGCATTCTATAAAATAACTCCCTGCTTAAATGTTGTTATATTTCATTTCTTAAAGATTAAAGATTTAAATTTAAGCCATTTTCCTCAGAAAGCATCATAAAGGCCATATACCGTAGCAAGAGGAAAATCAATGTCTTTTTAAAGGGATACCGTATATGTTAAAAAGTAAATTGACGTTTTTTCATGGCTTTGTCAATTTCATGCCACTTTTGTTCAATTCTATTTGGTGAAATAATTTTTAGTTCCTACTGAGCTCCTCTGTGAAATAGTTTTCAGTGGTTACTAATAATTCATTAGCCAACGTTTCATCAGGGTTACCCTTGGATTCGTAGAAACACTGAGAATTACGTTTGTTCCAACACATCTGTTACATTAGTCAGCTTTTAGTGCCATATTATGGGAATCTCAGAAACCTTTTGACTGGGTTCAGGTTATCTGTGAATTTTCATATTATTTTATGGCCACCAGCTGCATTTTATGACTATATATTAAATGTTTTATTTTTTCAAATAATTTTTCCAAATGGTCTCAGTTTCCCATCCAAGGGAAATCAAGCATATGCCTAAAGATCTACTGTTCAGTAAGTTGTAGCTAATGCAAAACCCCAAATAAACAAAAAAGAAACAAAAATAAAACCCTCCTTTCAAAAACAATCCTGTGCAAAATACCAGTGTGCCCCAAAATCTACATACCTGACCTTTCGTTATATCTGTTCTTGGTTGGATATGCCTTCAGGTTTTAATTGGAACCTTTTTCATAATTGTTGCCATTTAACACATTTAGTCTGTCAAATCATAGGATGTCTTTATAGCCATATAATAAACCCTAGAGAACAACTTCTCCGACTGTAGCCATCTGCAATGATCCCAAGAGTAGCTTACAAAATACTGACAGTCTTTATGGTAATATGATACATATGGCAGCCCACAATTATGTGTAGCTGCATTCAATTAGTGTTGTACAATTACACAGTTTTATTGCTTAGTTAAAACAGTGAAAGCACTACATACTGGGTAATTTGCACTAATCCCTGTCCCTTTAATAGCCCCTCAGTGTTTAAAATGTGGGGGAACATCTATAGTACTTAAAGGACCAGGGATGAACATTAAATCATACCTCATGTTGTGAATACTCCTTGACTGACAATTAATGTACTCCCACTTCACGTGTGGGTCACATTTTATAGAGGCTTTAAAATACAGTTATGGCAAAAAGTTCTTACACCACAGCTCCACTAGCTGGACCAGCCTGTCCAAGCCTGCGCTTGCAGCCTGCTCATGCCCTTTCTGAAAGATGGTCAGAATAAGGAGGAACGCCAAGTAACAAGTCAATCCAGAGAGCAGTCTAAGCCAAGGATTTGGCATTTTCAATGTGAACTTGTTAGAAGCCTTTCTGATTTCTAACTTTTAATTAAAAATTTAGTTCAAAGTGGATTTATGGCTGCCATTTGGAATAATACTTTCTGGAGATGGTTTTGTGAGGCTGTGTGTGTGTGCGTGTGTGCGCGCGTGCAGGCTTTAAATGGGTGTATTTAGCAATCTGTGAATTTTTAACAAACGTTTAATTATATTTTCACATGGCCTCAGTCATGCCCCTGTGTAACTGGCTCAGTAAGAGATAAGGGTGCACGTAGCTCAGGCCGTAGCAGGTGCTAATGAAGAGTCCCCGTTGAGAGAGGGCTTCTTAAACCACTGAGGGAAGGGCTCTCCCACTGGAGAAGAAACACTGAAGTATATTCTTCTCCATCCTCCTCCCAAAGTGTTGACAGAGAAAAAAAACAGAGTGACCTTGTTTCCTGCCCTGCCTGACAGTGAGTTAAACAGAATTCCAAACTAGAGGACTGGACATTTATTCACCTGCAAAAACATTTTTTTTTTGCAGCATTTCAAATGTACTTGTGTCTAGATATGGTTTCAATTACATGGAATTGGCCTTTGTCTTTAAGCTCTTATTTTCTCTCCTGAGTGTCCCTTGAACCTCTTTATGTTCACAAAAATCCTACTGTGTGGTTTTTAAAGCAAAAAAAAAAAAAAAAAAAGCGGGGCGGGGCACTGTGCAAGTGATTAAAAGACCATTGTACAGGGAATAAAAAGAACATCACAATTATGGTTCTATGTATTTCAATGGTTTTCATTTTCGTAGACTTATTATTACTTTTAATAATCATTTTGTATTAGTACTCATTTTCTTTATTTTAAGGAAGATTTTTAGTGATTTTTTCTTAGTTATTGAAACTTTGAACTATATTTTTCATTCATATTAAATATAATTGGTCTATGGCTATATGTTAGATGGAATTTCTATTAAAATGTAGATGTTCGAAAAGAAAACTTTTCCTACATATAGGAGAATTACAAGGTCATATTTAGAACTAAAATGGGACTTATGACTGAATCCACCAACATCTGCTTTTGTCAAACTTTTGAGTACAGTTAGGTGGTGTAGATACTGTGTTTAAGAAAAAAGCTACAAAATTCCTGCATCAAGTGGGTTGAATAAATTACAATCTGCATCACCTCACAAAGCACACAGAATGAATGTTTGGACCTAGCAGAACATCAAAGCAGGAGATTATTTTGCATTTTAGAAAGGTTATTGTTAACAAAATGGAATTAAGGAAGTAAACAATTCTGCTCTGCCTCGGAAATCAACGAGACCATCTACTAGATGTTTCCATCTCAGATTTCTTTTCATGAAAAACATTTGCTTGTCATTTGGATGACCAGAATGGCTGACGTGGTAAGACTACAACTTAGGGTTTTCTTTTGCCTAAGAACAGTTAGGCTGGGGCCGATGTTGTGTTTTGCAGCTGTGATGCCTCAAAGTTTTTAACTTAACTCTAAGTGACCAAGGCTGGACAGCTGCTTCATTAAGTTAGGAAGAAAATGTCCGTCCCAGATGACAGCTGGGCAAAGCCACATCTGTGAGGGACATATGGCTGTTTTTGCCCTAACAACCCAATCACAGGTGACCTCACAAATCTTCGGATACCTGCCAGAGGGCAGCCCAAACTTGATCCTGATCAACAGCTCCTGGGAATAAGACTCCATGCTATGAGTGTGGAGAAAACGTAAAAGAATATTTTCTGCTCAGAAAAGATGCAGTCTTTCAGATAGGTGGATCTGACTGCCTGCTTCTGCCAAAACTGTTGGATCCAGGTGATCATTGCTGATATTGCAGCTTAGCTGGCCAAACATCTGCATTTTGTGTTGCAGTGAAACGCAAAGTTAATCTACTTTTTCCAAAGGAAGGCAGACGTGACGTGTGAACAGTAGCGGTGCCCCTGATGTGTGGAGATGTGCCTTGCTGTGCAAAAGATTCAAACTACTGCAGCAAGTAACAGATGATCACAGAGTGAGAACAGGAGAATATGCAAGCCTCGGCTTGCTGGATCAAGTATTTTGATGTACATGGAAAACTTAGCTGCTTCCTTGAGGCATTCGTGAAGATTGCCCTTGCTGGAATTACTAGCCTTTTACTGTGGTTTTCTTTTCTTAATCTTATTCATTCCAACAGAGGGGACTCAATTAGGATTCTGAACGCCCTTTCATCTTTTCTTTGAAATAAAATAAGTTATTTGGGATACTTTTTAGAGCAGCTCCATTTGTTTTGATCGTGGCTGGAATTAAAGGAGTATAAATACTTGCCTACAGTCACATGCATCCTTTTCTTGATTTGTTGGGTGAAAGAGAGAAGATTTTTACTGCCTTAATAAGGGAAACCTGGACAGGATGCTGACTCTGCACCTGATAAATCTTTCCAAATTGCCACAGGTGAAATGAAATGTTAATATCTCTTTCAATTATTAAGAAATGTAAATAGATCATGTTGAAAATACGAGGCACTGAAAATAAAGTATTTTACTATAAGTATAGTTTTTTTGTATTTAGTTACTAAAGAATTGCATTTTTAAAGTTTCTTTCTTTTTTTTTTTCAGACAGATTTTCGCTCTTGTTGCCCAGGCTGGAGTGCAATGGCTTGATCTCAGCTCACTGCAACCTCCACCTCCCGGGTTCAAGTGATTCTCTTGCCTCAGCCTCCTGAGTAGCTGAGATTACAGGTGCCCGCCACCACGCCCAGCTACTTTTTGTATTTTTAGTAGAGACAGGGTTTCACCATATTGGCCAGGCTGGTCTTGAACCCCTGACCTCAGGTGATCCACCTGCCTTGGCCTCCCAAAGTGCTGGGATTACAGGCGTGAGCCACAGCTCCCGGCAAGTTTTCTTAATATATTGAAACAAAGAGATTATTTTCATAAATCGGAGACACTGCACTAGGGACTTTCTATACTTCATTTTATTATGCAAATCAGTTTTAATTATAGACAACATCAAAGACAGATAAACAAAAGGATTAAGAAAACCTGTAATCCTACCACCAAGAGACAGATACATCGGCACTGTGTTCTTTCAGACTTTTTCTTTTTTTTTTGTATGTACTTTTTTTCTTTAATGGACATTTTATAAAAACCAATCTGAAAATTGCTCTGCTCATTTCCCAAACATAATTCAATAACTATAAACCTGTATCGCCATTTTAAGGTCATGTAACCTCTCGTTGTATGAATGTACTATAATTTATTTAATCAATTTCCATTTGTTAGGTGTTCACCATGATTCCAGTTTTGCAGTAATCTAAAGGAAGTAAGCTATTTTGTATGTATATCCATTCTTGCATAATTGCCTAATTTATTTTTTACCTCCTATACATTAAATTTAAACACAGTGTTCCTCATTTCTTCAAGAAAGGGCTTTTGAGCTCTTGGTTTTCAGACAATTGTGATTTTTACCTTTGTTTTAGGTGTATGAGCACCAAGATGGCAGCAAATCACTGAAGCTGGGTGACTTTGGACTGGCCACCATTGTAGACGGCCCCCTGTACACAGTCTGTGGCACCCCAACATACGTGGCTCCAGAAATCATTGCAGAGACTGGGTAAATGCTTCTCTTATGTTTAAGTGCTATGCTTGCAAAAGAACTAGCCCGCTTCGAGAATAGGAAAAATAGTACTGCTGTGCCCTATCCAGACATAATTAGCTATCAGGTTTCTTCCACTCTTTTTAAAATTGTATTTTATTCTTTAACATTTACAGTGGGAGCCATTTTCTCTGTTTTCCCAATCTGTTTTGTCAATTACTGCAATCTTAAGGCTTCCATTTGGTCTTTGTTAAAGGTAGAACAGAAGTTATTAACCCCAGAGTAAAAAATGTTCAGACTAACAGAAACACACAGCGATGGTAATTAACTCTCATTTGGAGATAAAAGAAACAGACACTGCCGTGTGCGGTGATTACAGTCTCCTGCAGTTATTTCTCTCTGCTGCCCTTATCCTCCAGTCCAGGTCCCATTTGGGACCTCTTGGGGATCCATTGATTTTCCGTGGAGTACAAACACCCTTAGGCATCAGGGACCATTGGGAATTTCCTGGTTTCTGTGTGCAGAATCAGATGAATGTGGGGAGAAGGGTGGGGTAGCCTATTCCTTACTAAGACCCCACAATATGCTAGGCCTGAAACTCCTTTACTTCTTACTCTTCCAGTCGATGGTTTGATTCCCATTTTGCACTTCAATAAATTGAAACTCTAATGGGTTAGATACCATGCAAGCTCATGATTAGTTTTAGTGGTTGAGTCAGGATTTGAACTCAGGTCAGCCTGAGTCAAAGACTCCTTTGGTAAGAAGCCCTATTTCTTACCAAGGGCCATAGGCAGGCTCTGAGGTGCCATCCTTAAGCAGAAGGAATAACAGGGTGGGGCACTGAGGGGAGGCAGCCCTACTTTTTCTTCTCATTAGCAGTTTCAGTCCACAGCTGGGAATCTAGGTGGCACTCTCCCCTGTGACCAGTTGGAGATAGTTTTTCGAGGTTTTGTTTTGTTTTGTTTTTTGCTTGTACCATAGACCACAAGGGCAGAAAAACCAAATAGATGAGAAGGGAATCCCAATAGGGAAATTCCTGAGGCGAGATGTGAGGGAATGAGGACTTTGCTACTTGGCAAATTTGAATGAGGTGGGAGCCCACATCCATAGCCTTGTCTGACCTCCCTCAGGTGGGGCTGCCTGGGGCACAGACACACTTTCTACTGGGACATGCTCTGCTTGCTGCTGGGAGGAAGTGGTGGGTCTTGAAGACCATATTGGGGACCAGCTCTGACACTAACTGTGTGATCTTAAGCAAAATTACTCACCCATCTGAACCTGTTTTCTCTCTTCTGTACAATAAGCAATACTTGTCTTGTCCAACCTACAGAGTTGCTAGGAAAACAAAGTACGATCATGTATGTCAGTGCTCTATAAATTGGAAAACGTTCTAGAAATAATTATTATTCCTAAAGTGAGGGAGTTTATCTCAAGGGTCCATCCTTATCTCAGAATTGTTATTACTATAATAAACCTTTTTGCTGAAAACCTTCATTTACTGATATTTACAAATAAGTCCAGCAATGCATTCCTTTGATTTTTATTCCTGCACCTTGGTCTTTTTTAAAATTATTATTTTTTAAACTTTTTCTTTGAACTCTGTTTAGGTGGTGGGTTTTAGTTTAGCGTTTGTTGTTGGGATTGTTATTTTGTTTGGTTTTATTTTTGGCTTGGAGGAGGAAAGTCATTGATTTTACCAAGCTGCATAATTTGTCCGAGCCTGACCCTCCTAACTCTAACATCCCTTATTTTTCCAGATACGGCCTCAAGGTGGACATCTGGGCAGCAGGTGTAATCACTTATATCCTGCTGTGTGGTTTCCCTCCATTCCGTGGGTATGGGCAACAATCTTTTATTCAGCGCCGACAAAGCATTTCTCTACTCTCTGAGTGATCCATTAGCCCTTCTTGCACAAAGGAGCCTGCAGCAGGAAAAGAGCACAAGAACTTTACTTGCAATCCCTGTTATTTTTTCCCTGTTATGTCATGCATGCTAATTTATATGCCTTCCATATTTCTTCCCCATATCATTAAAAACTCATTCTTTCTTTTTTTTTTTTTCTTTCTGGTTTTGAGACAGAGTCTCTCTTTTGCTCAGTCTGGAGTGCAGTGGCACAGTCTCAGCTCACTGCAACCTCTGCCTCCCAAGTTCAAGCAGTTCTCCTGCCTCAGCTTCCTGAATAGCTGGGATCACAGGCGTGCGCCGCCACACCAGTTACTTTTTGTATTTTTAGTAGAGATGGGGGTTTCACCATGTTGGCCAAGCTGGTATTGAACTCCTGACTTCAAGTGATCTACCTGCCTCAGTCTCCTGAAATGCTGGGAATACAGGTGTGAGCCGCCGCACCCGGCCCAAAAACTCTTTCTTAATTTACCAAAACAGATCCACATTGACATTTTTCAATCGATTAAAAATACACATTTTTACACATTTATGGGGGGAAAGGAAGGGCTCCAGTGCCTAAGACTGAAAAGATGTACACTGAGTTGATATCTTAGTGCTGTTTTTCCTTGTTGTCGTTCACCTAAACAGAAGTGGTGATGACCAGGAGGTGCTTTTTGATCAGATTTTGATGGGGCAGGTGGACTTTCCTTCTCCATACTGGGATAATGTTTCCGATTCTGCAAAGGTAGGTGTCCAGTGCCTTCCTCTTCCCTATATTCTGTGTGTCTTAACGGAATTATTTTTCCAAATCATTGTGTGCAAAGAAACTAATGACATCATAAGTATGATTTCTGTACACATTTTAGTTGTAATTGCTAGGTTTTCCAAGATTTCACAGTCATCAAGTCATCTGTTCCCAGACATCCCAACAAGTACTTATCAAGTGTCTCCATCTGCTGCCTTCATCTCTCTCAGGTGCCATTCCAGTGACATTGCTATAGCCTCTTGCTGTGCCCCACCCTCGCCAGGCTTGAGCCCAGCTCAGATTTCTATATGGCCTGTGGTTTCACCTCTCTCAGCTCTTGACTTAATGACTTAATTTCCCAGTGAAGCCTTCCCAGACCATCCTGGTTCCAATTGCATCTCTTAAACCTTACCTGGCTTGCTGTATCCTACTTGTCTGTTTTATTTTTCTCCAGAACACTTAACACCTGTGTGTCCATCTGGTGTGCTATCTAACTACCTATCTCTCTACCCAAAAAAAGATAGATATAAATAAGTAGGCATGTCTTCTTTATATAGTTCATTTCCAGACTCTCTCCACTAGAATGCAAATTCTGCGAAGGCAGGGATTTTTATCTATTTTGTCCATTGCTGTACTATCCCTGCCTAAAGTATGACCAGCATACTGGTGCTCAATGTATACTGAATAAATGAACAAGTATATGAATGAATCCATCAATTAATCAGAAGGAAGAAAACTCAACCTCAACGTAGGTTGAAATCATCAAGAAAGACTTTATGGGGAAGCTATGATTTAAGTTGAACCTTGAATAATAGCCAGGATTTAGAGGCAGAGGGGGAGGAAAACACAAGGTTCATTGTTTTTATCCCATGAAACTAAAAGATCAGTCCTTAACATGGATGAAGGTGATGGTTGCACAACAATGTGAATGCACTGAATGTCAGTGAACTGTGCACTTGAAAATGGTTGAAGTGGTAAATTTTATGTATATTTTACCACATTAAATAATATTTATGATAAATCAACTTCTAAGAAGGCTATAAAAATCTTACATTGAGATGTTTGTAGACCTTGAGGAGAAAAAGGAAAACCTTTTCATTGCTCTTTTTAAAATTTATGTCTCCGAGTGCTGACTTAAATGTTTAAAAATTTGAGAAAAATGTTCTCAATAATTATCTTGAGAAATAATTATCTTTTGATTGCTCAATGTTTATGCCTTTGCTTTTGTCATGTCCTGAATGTGAGTTCCCTTTAAAAGCCAACCCCTCAGACATGACCACTTTGTGTAGAAAATGATGCATATTGAGTGCAAGTCTCTCATTTTCTTCAACTGTCCAGGAAGCTGCCAGAAAGGGAGTGTCAGAGAAAGGCGCAGGCTAAAGGAGATGGGACGATACAGCTGCAGGGCCGGGGGCTCTTCAGGAACCTGTCCAGCTCCCCATGCCATCACTGCAGGATCTGAGGGCTCACAGTTACTGACAAATAGGACCATCTCCTACACCTCCATAGCACCTGCAAAGGGCATCACACACAGCAGATACTTTCACGAGTTCTGATCCAAGTTAGAAACTGAATGAAGAAGGCTGAGTGAACTCTCTCCCTCAATGAAATTAAATCACCCCCTTCCCGAGTGGTACTATAAAGCCTGTGTATGTAAGGAACTGGATAATGCATATCTAACCATTTTGTGACATGGGAACTTCTAATCCAGAGTGGACAATTGTATAGCATACTCATCGTTAAGACCCAGGTAGAGCATTCCTGGTCCAAGTCCATTTGAGCTCATGAGGAAGTTCCATTAATTTCAGGATGATGAAATTGTTTACCTCTCAATAGTTCTATTTTTCTTTGTATTGATTTGTCTGGAAATTTTTCAAGCAATTGTAACATGTTTCTTTAGAATTCTTTAGCTACTAAAGGATCAATTCTATCTTGCCACCCAGAATTGGGGAAAGACCCAATTCTATGTCTTTCCTCATACCTTTCTTTCAAACCTAAGTATGCCGTCTTGAAATTAGGGGGAAATTTTCATTTTTCCTTTCAGCTGCTAAAGTGAAATTTTAAGTAAAGTGTTTTTTTAAATGTGACTTCTATATTAAACTAATTAATAAATCTGTCTTTAACATGCAAAATGCTAGACAAAGAAAGGAATATTAATTCCTTAACTTGTATAATTTCTTTTCTATTACAAACATTTTTATGAAAATGATTCTGATATTAATTTAATTTTTATTCAACCACAAGCTATGTATTTACAATTCCAAGTGCTTACCATTTTTAACTTTTGAAGGTGATAAATAGCCACAGGTAAGTGGAGTTGATGTATTTAAGATTTAGAGCTTTTACAAATGCTTTTCGAAACTAAAAGAGAACTCTTGCATTTGCACACATACAGCTTTTCACCTTAAATTCAGATAAATGGACTCTAACGTTCCCCTTCACAGGAGCTCATTACCATGATGCTGTTGGTCGATGTAGATCAGCGATTTTCTGCTGTTCAAGTACTTGAGCATCCCTGGGTTAATGTAAGTGACTCGCACCATTTCCTTTGTTCTCTCCTAACATTCCTTTTAAAAATCAGTTGCAGATTTTCTAATGTTATTGCCTCCTTTTGAAAGTGTTGTGGGCCAGGCGCAGTGTCTCACGCCTGTAATCTCAGCCCTTTGGGAGGCCGAGGTGGGTGGATTGCCTGAGCTCAGGAGTTCGAGGACAGCTTGGGCAACATGGCAAAACCCCATCTCTACCAAAAAATACAAAAAATTAGCTGGGCATAGTGGCACAAGCCTGTGGTCCCAGCTACTCAGGAGGCTGAGGTGGTAGGATTGCTTGACCCTGGAAACCAGAGGTGGTAGTAAGCCAAGATCGTGCCACTGCACTCCAACCTGAATGACAGAGTGAGACATCATCTAAAAAAAAAAGAAAAAAGTGTTGTGTTCCATTTTGTTCCTCCCCCTCATATGTGCCAGGACAGTTACAGGATCTTATACTTGTTCCACGAGGGCATCTGATGTATCCATTACATTTTATTCTGATGAGACTGCCTTCTAACTGGTGAGGTGCCAGTGGTCTCAATCTTCTACCCCGCAACCTGCTTTCTGCGGTCCAGATTAGAGCTGAATAATCATCAAGAAGGCATAACAGACTTTCTGAGTCAGTCCTGCTTTTTGCATGATTCCTACCCAAAGTGCAAGTGACCTAAGGGTTTCGACATAAACCTTGGGCTACTCCATTTCAGCACTTCTCAAACTTGAATGTGCTCACAAATCACCTGGAGAGCCTGTTAAAACGCAGATTCTAACACAGTAGATTGGAGGCTCTGCATTTCTAAAATCTCCCCGATGCTGCCTCTGTGGCTGTTCTTTGAGTACACGGGTCTAATGATATTTCATTAACTATGAAGGAATTCTCCAGAGCAGAGTCATTATTTTTTAATTCTGTGTTTCTCTACAACCGATGGGTGAAATTTGTTTTGATTAATAATACTCATAGTTGGCTGGGCGCAGTGCCTCACGCCTGTAATCCCAGCACTTTGGGAGGCTGAGGCCGGCAGATCGCTTGAAGCCAGGAGTTTGAGACCAGCCTGGTCAACATGGTGAAACGCCATCTCTACTAAAAATACAAAAATTAGCTGGGTGTGGTGGTGCGCACCTGTAATCCCAGCTACTCAGGAGGCTGAGGCACGAGAATAACTTGAACCCGGGAGGCAGAGGCTGCAGTGAGCTGAGATTGTGCCACTGTACTCCAATCTGGACAAAAGATTGAGACTCCATCTCAAAAAATAATAATAGTAGGCTGGGCACAGTGACTCATGCCTGTAATCCCAGTACTTTGGGAGCCCAAGGTGGGCAGATTACTTGAGGTTAGGAGTTTGAGACCAGCCTGGCCAACATGGCTAAACCCCGTCTCTATTAAAAAAAAAAAAAAAAATAGCTAGGCATGGTGGTATGCGCCTGTAATCCCAGCTACTCGGGAGGCTGAGGCAGTAGAATCACTTGAACCCAGGAGGCGGAGGCTGCAATGAGTGGAGATTGCACCACTGCACTCCAGCCTGGGTGACAGAGCAAGACTCTGTCTCAAATAATAGTAATAATAATAATGCTTGTAGTTAATACTGATAGAATGCTTAACTTCTAGAGTCTGCCAGAAGTATTTTAAGCATCTTATATACCTTAACTGTGTTGTGTTTGTACTTATTGTGTTCTTCCCAACAACATTGTAACTTTGTAATCTAGTTTCTATGGTAATCCCCACTGACAGATGGGGAAGCTCCATCACTAAGTCTAATAGTTCCTACTGCCAGAATAGAAGACAGATATAGGCTTGAATATATATATGGACGTGGTCATAGAGGTGGAGAATCATAAAATTGTCAGCTCATTGATATAAATTTTACCAGCCTCCCTACTGCACTGAATCATCTGGCTGTACATTGAAGGCCACAAAATGTTCCATTTCTCTGAATTGCCACCTTGGTGAGTAGTCGAGTGATTTGTTTTGTTTTGTTTTCCAAAACAACAAAAGCTTGAGGTCAAGGCATGATTGAAAGCACAGTCAATGTGTCAGGTGACTACATATGGGGGGACAAGAACTTGGGATCTCATTCATGTTGTGCCACTAGATGGCCATAGGTCTAGATTCCAGCATTCTACATGTCTGAATGTGATTCTTCACACTCCACTGGGAGGTTATATACAAATAACAGGAGAATAGACTTGAAAATGAGCATGTAGAGCTATGCACTGAGGTTTGTTTTAAGGCTTCTCATATAGCAGAGTTTTCTAACTGGTGTACAGACATGCAAAAATAGTAATCCCCATGGCCCTAGGGACAGGGGGCTGTACAGCCAGTATCCAGGAGTGGTCACTTCCAGCCTCAACAACATCTGCATTCACCCCAGGGTGCTAAGCAAAAGTTATCCTTTTCTATGAAGCTGAAAAGATTAGGAAGCATCTTACTTGAGCCTCATAACAAGCCTACAAGATAAGCAGGATGGGTATTATTGTACCCATTTTACAGATGAGGAGACTAAGGCTATGCAGGGTGATTTTCTCAAAGTAGCCAAGCTTGCAGTTGAGCCAGAATTTGCAGCCAGATATCCTCACTTTCACCCCAGGTGTTTTAAAGTCCCATGCATCACATTACATCTACCCCACCCTTTGTTACACATGAAAACATGGTAATGTTGTAAACAGGCAGGTACAATATGGACATTGTCATCACTGTAATGATTGCTAATACAAGTCAGCAACCTTTCCAAACTCACTTACCCAGGTCATGGTACCTTTTTCTTAGCTGTGCGGGGAGGAAGAGGCACAAGCCAGCTGCAGGCTCTCTGGGTGGCAGTGGTTGGTTCTGACTGATCCACATGTTAATGCTGTATGACAAAATGCTCTGATTCCTAGTGCCAAAGGTTCAATTCAGTGTATATAACTGAACACACTCATCCATTTGTGCTACTTTTTTTTAATGATGCTTAAAGAGCTCATCCTTTGCAAGTCATCCTTGTTGTTATTTAGGCATTTTATCTTTGCTCAAATTGTTGAAGAATGGTGGCTTTTTTCATGGTTTTTGTATTTGTGTCTAATGCATGTTTTAACATGATAGACGTAATGCGTTGTGTAGCTAGTTTTCTGGAAAAGTTGATCTTTTAGGAATTGTTTTTCAGATCTTCAATAAATTTTTTCTTTAAATTTCAAAGAAAAAAAATAAAAGCTTACCATCCATAAATTGTCAAATTGCATATTAGCTCTGGAGAAACTGAGACAGGGTGACCACACAGAAGAAACTAGACAATCTGAATTTGACATGTGGCCTTAAAAGGCTCCTGAAGAGCCATAGAGGAAAGATATTCATAGGTGACAAATAATCATTTTACTTTTTTTTTTTTTTTTTGAGACAGGGTCTCACTCTGTCACCCAGGCTGGAATGCAGTGGCTCAATCATGGCTCACTGCAGCCTCGACCTCCTGGGCTCAGGCAATCCTCCCGCCTCAGCCTCCCAAGTAGCTGGGACCCCAGGTGTGCACCACCACAACTGAGCAATTTTTTTGAAAAATTATATGTAGAGATTTCTAAATACATTTTTATCAGAGAGACACTGTGTGCCAGCCCTGCCTTCTAGGAACAAAGTCTGATACAACCAGACAGTTCCAGGGTAGTGAGAACAGCTTCCCCAGTCTGCTCTGTGGGGAGACTTCCCAGAGCCCAGAGAAGGAGGTGCCAGAGCTCAATCCTGGAGAAGACTGGGAAGAAGATATCTGACAGTCAGTTCCAGCAGAATGTGCATGTTTGCTAGAAGATAACTTTGTAAATGTGAGCAAATTTGTTTATATACATGAGGGGTCTGGAATGCTGTTGGGAACGACATGAATCTTCCCCTGATTCCAGACCAAATGGCCCTATATTAATAATATCCCAACTCAACTGTGGTAAAGAAACAAAATTAAGAAGGCTTCTGGCTGTTACCAGTGAAAAAACAGGTTGCTCATTATGGCAATATATACGTGTCTCAGCAGTAACTTTCTGCCTCTTCTACCTGGTTTTGTGCACAGTTTTACACATGGTCCCACTTTGCTGATAATTATGTTCCATTGCTCCCTCTGGACCTTAGACTTCTGCTGTCCATTTCAGTTTTTCCTCTCTGATTTCCTACAGGCATTTTCTAAAAGCAGGGAGAGAATTTAAGTAATCATCTAGGAGATCGAAAACTAAAAAAAAAATACCCTTTCTGTAATTCAAACAGACTTACCATCCTAGAAAAAAAAAATGGTTTTAATAAAAGCTTTTTAAAGACTCGATTAAGTGAGTGCTTAACTTTTGAAATTATCTTTATGAAGTAACTAAATCAGAAAACGGATTTTTTCTTCATCTGAAAATAATCAATTGTTAAAAGTAAGCTTTCACAATCAGCATTTAGCATTTGTTGATGTCTCCAAGTACAACAAATGAATGGCCAAGCAAATGAAATAAATAAATTAGGGATTTCAAAGAATATCCATTTAGTAAGACATTTTGCATTTGGCAATCAAATTATATCTGATTACCACAAAGGAGAGAAGGGGGAAGAAAAGTACTAATAATTATGTGAACCGTAAGGACGTTGTCAAAAAGCACTTTCTCTGCTCTCATTAGTTCTAATTTTCTCTATTGCTTATACCATGACTTTTTTACTTGGCATACTTGGAATTGAAAAGGCAGTCTTGGCCGGGTGCAGTGGTTCATGCCTGTAACCCCAGCACTCTGGGAGGCCGTGGCAGGTGGATCATTTGAGGCCAGGAGTTCAAGACCAGCCTGGCCAACGTAGTGAAGCCACACCTCTACTTAAAAAAAAAAAAAAAAAAATTAGCCCAGCATGGTGGTGGGTGCCTGTAATCCCAGCTACTGGGGAGGCTGAGGAATGAGGATGGCTCGAACCTGGGGGCAGAGGTTGCTGTGAGCCAAGTTTGAGCCACTGCACTCCAGCCTGGGTGATGGAGGGAGACTCTGTCTCAAAAAACAAACAAACAAAAAGAAAGAAAGAAAAAGGAAAGGTAGACTTATATAAAATAGACAGTAAAGCATAGGGCAGCAGAAAGGAAAACCTACTCCGCAAAAGTCACTTGTTTTAACCTCATCCAGGAGCTTCCTCTAAGTTCACCTTTATTTTTCACACGTCCTGGGTCCAAATCCCACCATGCTCTGCCGTATTCTTGCCCTTTGCTCTGTTGTTGAAAGAGTCATGAGCGAGGCCTCTCTATGGATGGTTCCAATGAGCCACATGAACAAAGCCATCGTCAGTAAGCAGCCACGTCTGGAAGAGGAATGTAGACCCATGGGAGGAGCATCAGCTTACTCACCTGTGTGACCTT
The DNA here is from genome assembly GCF_000001405.40 of Homo sapiens. Lineage (NCBI taxonomy): Eukaryota > Metazoa > Chordata > Mammalia > Primates > Hominidae > Homo > Homo sapiens. The sequence goes on along the minus strand of NC_000013.11, from coordinate 35,800,377 downwards.
GGGCAAGTCTTTTCTCTCCTTTAAACCTGTTTTCCTATCTGTGAAATGGAGAAAATAGGATTCTCCTCTCCACTTGCTATAAGGATGGGAAAAGGATCATATAGTTGAAGAGTCTGAGAGGGCAATCTTAAGTCCTAGCACCTTGTAGGTACTTAGCAAATATTTGGTGAATTTGAGTCTGAGCCAGATGACAACTGTTTCATCCATTGCTATGTGCTCATGAAATGCAAATTGTGATTAATGTTGGTGAATGAGAAGCTTGATTAAGGAAGAAAGACTGTCATCCCCCAACATGATCCTGTTTGTGTGTCACAGATCCAGATAGATAATATGTGTATCACCAGCTCTGTTACTTTCTCCAGCATCACAGCTACTTTGTTTAATGTAGTTACAAAATACCAACAAAATTATCCCAACTATGTTTCCTTACCCTATTACCCATCTAGTGGAGAACAATATGATTTAGGCACATTTATTATAATATAAGAATAAAATAGGCAATAATATATCTTGACCTTTCCAGGAATTAGAAAGGGGGTTGAGTCACTTTCCCCACAAATGACGGTTTATTGATAGAAAATGTAGGTTCATGATAAGTTCATAAACAGAATTGACATTTCCAGAAAAAAATTCTTATATATAATTAGGATCAAATTATCATCATTGTGATATTTTAAATATATTGCTGTCATTCCATTTTTATTTTCAAAATGCTCATCTACCTTATCCCGAGTTATTCTTCTGATACTCTAGGATGCTATAATTTTATGAATCTATGTTTTACATCAAATTATTTTGCCAATTTAATAGATTAAAAAAAAACTGAGGGCCAGGTGCAGTGGTTCATGCCTGTAATCCCAGCACTTTGGGAGGCCGAGGCGGGCAGATAACCTGAGGTCGGGAGTTCAAGACCAGCCTGGCCAACATGGAGAAACCTTGTCTCCACTAGAAATATAAAATTAGCCACGCATGGTGGCACATGCCTGTAATCCCAGCTACTTGGGAGGCTGAGGCAGGAGAATCGCTTGAACCCGGGAGGCAGAGGTTGCGGTGAGCCAAGATCGTGCCATTGCACTCTAACCTGGGCAACAAGAGCAAAACTCTGTCTCAAGAAAACAAAAAAAAAACAACTGAGGCTCAAGCCTGAAGCCCACTGGAGCCTCTAATACAGGTCTGATGCCTGGGTTTTGCCCCCAGACATTCTGATTTAATTGGTTTGCACTGGCTTCCTGGCATCAGGACTTTTAAAAGCTCACAGATGATTATAACATGAAATGAAGTTCAAGAACTTTGGTACTAGCAGAACAGACTGGTTTAAATAAATCAAATACAGTTATTTAGCCAATTCAAGACTTTCTATCACCTTCCTGGCCTTTACACTTTAGTTTACCTCCTATATCCCACCTACATACTCTTTTGAAAAGATTCTGCTAAGTCCAGATATCCAAAAAGAAAAAAAGAACAAGGGAAAGAAGAAAAAATAGAAGCCTGGATAATCTCCCAAGATATTCCATGTTGACTAATAAAACTCAGCCCTACCCACACACACAAAAATGTAAACATTCATCTTATTGTGCTGGTAGAATTTGTTAGCAATTAAGTGAAGCCCAATGACACTGCAATAATATATAAAACCACTTATTGATATTCACAAATTTTAAACGATGACATGGAATTGCAGTTTCCATATGGGCATTTTATCCTGTCCTTGCTCTAAGATAAATCTCAACTTGCCTTACATTTTCTCCCAAAGTGCAGTGTGAATTGTAGACAGAGAATCATAGGGCCATGCTGAAGAGAGTCAAGGGGACTGGGGGTGCCGTGCAGGTGGGGATGGTTAACAGGAGTCAAGCACACTGGGAGGTGCAGCGGAACTGCTATTGAAGAGTCCTTTAATAACCTTGGAATGGTTTTAAACTACGTGGGAATATTTTAGCAGTAAACTGCTCAAGACTGCCATGCTTCTCCTGAGTTTACAGATATTAATAATGGAGTCTGGCAATGAATAGACTGCAAACCAGATCCATGATTCAAAACCAAAAATCCGCAAGGGGATGAGAATTTTTTAAAGCATGACGCCTGAAATGGTTTCCCAGAGGAAAGCGAGGAATTCTACACTACAGAGTGACTTCACATCCGTTCCCCCACAAGCCTCCCCACAGCTCTTCCCCAGTAACCCCTAGAGAAATGGAGACCAGGAGGCCAGGTCTCCTATGGACAGTGGTGAGAGTTCATTTTCCATTTTGCAAACTAATTTTGTTCGTGTCAGTTGCAATGCTCTGCCAAGTGGTGGATGGGAATTTCTAAATCAAAAACTACTAACCTCAAACCACAACCAGCCTGTGTCGAACTTCAGAAACTACCACCAAACCAGAACGTATGGTAATAATACCGTAACTATTTGTAAAATACTGCCAGATTTGTCACGTTTAGAAAATTCGTAGCACATTTTTGGCACATAATCTATTCTGAATAATGGTGATAAAGATGTATATATATAAATTTATGTTTTTAACGTCCCTATTTATTTTATTGATGCATGACAGTAAGTTAGCTAAATCTCTATCATCCATCTGTATGGCGCAGGTACAGATTAGAGCCCTGCAAAGCCAATTGTTTAAGTCTTTTTATCCAATTATGCTGAAAACCTTCAAAATTTATATAAAAACACTGCAGACTTTTTCATTGTCATGGGGTGTGTGTGTGTGTGTGTTTACATGTATGTGTTTTACCTACTCCAGCTGAGACACCTTATTTCATTGGAAAAAAATCCTAGAACGTTTTAAGATTTATGAAGTCAAAAGCCTCTCTGACAACTTGTTTCGCTACTTGCATTGCTTCAATGTGAACTAATAACCCAAGGGAAGCTCAAACCTTCACTGGAATTTAAAGCTGGAGGCCTTCACCTCCAGGCCCCAGTATCTGAAAGAGTTGCTAGGAACCTTGACAGGAGATTAGGACCAGGACAGGGCTGGGAAATGATAAGGAAATCCATTGTGAGGTGGCTGGAGAGCAAACTCCTAGCTCAAGAACTGGCAGTGGAGGGAAAGCCAGGTGAAGGCAAGTTTCTGAAAAGATGCCAATGGTGGGGAGTGAAAAGAAGGTGGGGTTATTCAGCAAGAGCTGAATCTTTCTCAGTAAGTTAATTAGGGGCTGCTCTTACGAAAACCCAGCTATCTTTCCCCATATTTACACCTAGGCTGGTAAACACAGCCTGTGCCGATCATACGGCAACCCTGTTGGCTCCGTGCAACTCTATGCTGCCCAGTGTCAGCCAGGCCTTGCTGCACTGCTTGCTGCACATAGGATCCTAGAGTCCCGGCCCTAATAGGTCACGTTGACACATCCCAGATTAGTGGACACCCAGTCTCCACTTGACAGAGAATTTCTAACTGTGTTCCACTGGGTCCCTGAAATGCTCAGCGTCTCTTTTATTGACCACCAGATGATTCCCAGGCTCCATTAAGTCGTGTCCAAATATTCTCTGGTTTGTTCAGCCCCTAATTCAATTCTCCTTCCGCCTCACCACTGTGCCACTTTCATCATGGAAAAGATGATTCACTGAGTATTTCCATTTATCAGTTAAGCAGCCCTTTTGTAGCTGATGCCATGCTAGTGAGCATCCTCAATTGATGCAACCTGGTGTGGGAAAAAGAACAGAGTTTCAGGCCTGGTTCAATGCTGACTCAACCACTTTCTAGCTATGTGACGTGGAGCAAATGAATTCACCTTGCTGAGCCTCATTTTGCCCATGTTCAAAATGGGACTAATAAATGGACTGAAGTTTGAGGAGGAAAGAGATCATACATGTAAACAGCAGTTAACACTTGTGTCACCTTCCTCGCCCTGCCGTGCTCTTCTAACTTCCCTCCCCCGCACCTCTGCTCGTTCCCTCTTTGTTTCATCTTTGCCTCAGAGAAAGAGGTAAACCTATACCTCCCCAAGGCAAACCACTTCACTTCTACCCTCCGTCCCTACCCTGCCCTTTCTCGTATCTTTCAACTCTCCCTTTTCACTAGCTTCTTATCCTAAGACCACAATTATGCTCAAGTTTCTTTCATCCTAAAAAGAAAAACCTTTCCTCAACCTTCTCCACAATCATGTTTTTCAAAGTATCTCATCATTGAAAGCTCATTTGATCATTTTGCCCGAGGTAGCCTGGAACTCTACAAAGAGATGGTAAGAAGTACTTGTGTAATCTTGTTGGTGAGGCCAGTAGAGCACCCAAGGTGGCCCCTTTCATTCTGGCAGAACCCGACACTCTGCCAAGACATGATACTAATATTCAGAAGACTTTCAGTATCATTTTATCCCTTGTCAAATGTGGAAAAACTGTCAAAAATTCTAACTTAGTTCCCAAACGCTATTGTCCAACTTAAATTCCAGGGGCCTTTTGTTTCATTCACCAGTTGTTGTTGGTTTTTTGTTGTTGGTTTTTTTTTTTTTTTTTTTGAGATGGAGTTTTGCTTTTGTTGCCCAGGCTGGAGTGCAATGGCGCAGTCTCAGCTCACTGCAAATTCCGCCTCCGGGCTCAAGCTATTCTCCCGTCTCAGCCTCCTGAGTAGCTGGAGCTGGGACTACAGGCATGCGCCACCATGCCCAGCTAATTTTGTATTTTTAGTAGAGTCAGGGTTTCTCCATGTTGGTCAGGCTGGTCTCGTACTCCCGACCTCAGGTGATCCACCTGCCTCGGCCTCCCAAAGTGCTGAGATTACAGATGTGAGCCACCGCATTTGGCCTCATTCACCATATTAATAAAAACATTTTTTATATACACCATTCAATTCACCCTTGTGTTTAGAACTCTGGACGCATAATCCTAATTCTTTGTAATTATCATCTGATTTCTCTTTCACTTGTAGAGTGAACCAAGAGCTGGATAATGTACTATAAAAATACCACAGTAAAGGGAAGGTAGTCCTTCACATTTCTTAAACTTACAGTCCTCTTATTAAAAAGCTCTATTCCTAATGGAGATGAAGGCTTCAATTCTGGGATCTTTTGGGTATTCATTTATGGCCAGTCTTCTGTTTTTTCAGCTTTCTCTGCCATTACCATGGCACATAAACTCTTAACTAGAGACAAACTGTTTGACTTCTTGTTTGGCAGAGATGACTTTGTGGCTTCCCACTTGCACACACCGCACACCAAATATCACCACACCTCCTCTCTGCCTGTCAACACACTCTCCATCATTAAGGGCCAGGTCAAGTCCCATATCCCTCATGACGTCAGCTGTAACTGTTCACACCAGAAAATATGCCCTTTCTCCTCTGAACTTCTTTGGTGAATCTAGCTGAGCCATCCAGCCATGCAGCCTTGTAACAGCTCCTTTTAATCTTGTTGGCCTGTTTCATGATTTTACATAGTGTGTGCATGTTTTGTCTCCCAATTAGCCTGCAAGGTTCTGGTGGACAGAGATCACATCTTCCTCCCACACTCTGCTATTCCTAACATAGCCCTTGACAAGGTCGGCACTTCATGTGGCCCTGCTTCTGTTCCCTCCCCAAGTAGCATCCCCACTCTACTGGAATTTCACTTTGTTTCTAACACCAAAAAAATAGAAATAGTGCAAATTGATATAATGAAAAAGCACTGGGGGTTTCCAGTAAAGCCATTAGAATGGACTGTGCTTAACTTGGGGATAAATGCCTTGGAACAGGCCCGTTAGACCCAAGTTACGAAGAAAAGAAATGGAGCAGAGGGTCTAGGAGAGCAGGGCCCATGCCTGTCTTTGCTCGCCATCGTTTCTCCCCCACGTACTGTAGTACCTGGTCCATGTAGGCATGCAGTTAATGTCCATTGAATAAGTGAATGCCCAAATGCTGAAAGAAAAAGCAAATGCCATGTGGAGGGACCAGCTCGTGCAAAAGGAGCCAGCACATTATGCTTGAGAAACAGCAGACTTATTTTCCTGGGTGGAACCAAGAAATTACCTGCAAAATGATGGAGAGGAAGAAGAAAAGAAAAATAATGAATGGCATCGAAGTGATTGCCAGGAGTTTCTTTTTAGCAGTGAGTTACAAACACTCTATTATCTGTTCATTCATTTATTCCACAATTGAGCATCTAATATGTGCCAAGGCACTATGCTAAGACCTGGAGATTCTATAGTGAGCAAAACACAGTCTCTGCCTTGAAGGATCCTGCAGCCTTTTCATCATGAACTCTAGTAAGTGGTGGCACATACTTATGACCCTGGTTATTGTGATTCTAACAGTATTTAGTACAAGAGAACCATGTGTCCAGCCTCAGTCATAGATGGCTCCAGCAGAGAATAGAGACCTTGGTTAAAATAAGCTCCAATATAAACTATGTCATAATAACAGATGATTTGAAGGCAGCAAGAAAGACTTAAAATTTAAGGAAGATCTTTCTGCCTGGAAGGCTGCCTGGAATTTTAGAATGGCCAAATGAGTAACTGTGGAACAGCCTGAGTTTATTTATGGGCCATGCAGAAGCCCAAGCTTGCCATCCAAGACCCTTGGCTTTGGGTCTAAATGATGGGTTAAGAGGAAAAAAAAATTAAAAAGAAGATGTTCACATTGAATTTTTTTTCTGGTCATCTAGATTAACTTGCTTTTTGACATGTTCCTAGAGCCGTGGTTGGAATAGATTTTATTAGAAACCAAAAACAGAAATTTTTTTTTTTAATTTAGAGACAAATCTCTGAGGGTCAGATGACACAAAGCAAATTAATTTTAGAGCAGATGTGGAAATGAATGAGACCTTGGAGCAGTACTTCCAACAATAGTGTTTAATGAGTAGACATTGGTTGGTTTATTTCTGACATCTTATGAATTCTAAGATCACTGCCTGTGACTAGAAGATTTAGCCTTCATTTTTCATTTATCTCATTTTCTTTCTTTTTCTCTTCTCTTTATTTCTTTTTCTCCAGGATGATGGCCTCCCAGAAAATGAACATCAGCTGTCAGTAGCTGGAAAGATAAAGAAGCATTTCAACACAGGCCCCAAGCCGAATAGCACAGCAGCTGGAGTTTCTGTCATAGCAGTAAGCATCTGAAATATCCACCTATAACTTTTTTTAAAGCAACCCACCTAAGAGACAGGCATTACTCAGGAGATTCTCCAGTCAGAGACAGCAGAATGGGTCATTTCTTTAGACAGCTCAGCCACTTAATGCACTAGAGGAGGTATGGGACTTATATATATTATGTGTTTCTGCAGATCATTTCCCTGGGCATCACATCATTATCCAACACCTCCAGGGTGTCTTGCAGTATATATTAATTTTATGATTTATTTATTTAAAACCGAAAACCTCCCCCATGCTGGACTCTGTGCCAATGCAAACTTCTTGGCTCTAAGAAAAAGAGTTCATAGTGTCCTTTTGCTAGGACCTAGAAAGGAAAGGCAAGCTGAGAGAGACGACATTGCAGGGAGAGCTTGGAACACTATAGATCTTGATACTAGACCTAAATTAAAGTCAAAGCATAGCAGAAAGCTACGCAGTGAGATTTTCAGTGAAATTGAATTACTGTGAACACCCAACGAAGTCACGATGTCTTGCTCCTTAGAAATTTCTGTTCTTAAAGTTGAAAGTCTTTTAACATTTACTATTTTATTGATGCGTCTGCACAAGGCCTTTCTTTTCTGTTCTATACATGCAGACATACACTACATGCAATTTGATCGCAGCTCTAGGCAAAGATTAAATTGGGCCGAGGAATAATGAAACCTCATACTTCCTGGTGTCATATTCTGGAGTAAATATATTCAAGTTCCAATTACTTGAGTTTTTAATAAATTCCTCTTTTTTTCAGAGTGTGTAAATTTTAATAGCATATTCAATCTGAAAATCACTTGAGCTGTTTTTCTTCTCCAAACAAAGAATTTAAGACACTATGATGTGGACTTTTTCAAAAGTATTTATGCTATTAAACAGCACCTCTCACTCATGAGCAGTACTGAATATTTAACCACTTCTCTGGGTGTTTTTAGTTTCTTTCCTTTTTTTCTTTTTTGGTTGCGCGAGAGCTCTAAAAAAAAACTGAAGATAAACAAGTGATCTGTTTGATGCCACCAATCCCAGATCTGGGTTACTGAGTATTTGATATGAGGTTCCAGAATTTGCAAATGGTACGAATGCATGCATACACACCCTCGTACTGTTTGCATTTCGTGTTTCTCGATTGAACCCTTTCAATAGTGATTTACATGCGTGTGAGCAACTGGCACATGTGTAAAGTGAAAGGGAATGCCTACTCTTCCAGATGTTCCTCAGTGCCGCTGAAGTTTTAAAATTTCAAGTTGTTCTTGCCCTCTATCTTTAATTCTTTCTGAGAAAATTCAATGTAGAAGTAAATTAACCTTTACATCTTCCATAGATGGTCAGTGTTCTTTGTTCTGAGCTGATATTCAGTCAGTAAGTTTTGAAAGCAACAATATCATAGTGATTCTCTACTAAACCAGACATTCTATACTCTGTTTCCATTGTTCGTTCAAGATATATGTCTATTCCAAACATTTGATTCCACAGTTTTCTTTTGGAATGGACTGCCAGCATGCTTGTCCATGAAAGGGACTGTTTTTCTCCTGCTAAGGGCTTACAGCTGCTAGAGAGAGTGCCTTTCCACCTCTGTCATTTTGCTTTTGTTTTCTTTTTTTTTCCTGGTCTTTTATTTTAATCAGTCTTTGGTTAAGTTTGCCTTGGTTGCTCAATATTTGTTTGTTCACAGTATTCTAGGAGTCTTACAATGACTAAGGGCAGGAACGTCAGGGCAATTTTCCAATTGACAAACACCACATATTTGAGGGGAAATCCTATTTTAATCAAAGTTGGATAAATTCTGAAGCGTTATCCATATGAATTCATTAAAACCTCATCTAGCTGGATCTTAAAACACTCATTAGTATTTGAAGATCAAAGATCCACTTTTTTTTTTCCTAAATGTCATGATTGGACCACTTTGAATGCAATTTTGAATGCAAGTTTCTCAATTCATCACTAACACGGTTTCCATGGAAACTGCACAAACTGGTAATATACTTACAAATTGTAAAGTGGGCTGTGTAATGCTGAGTTATGCATTGGTTGCATGCTTGTTTAATCTTTACTGCTGCAGAGGTTTTTTTTTTTTTAATAATTATCAACTTAATTCAGATTCAAAATAATTGGCTGGTTTCAGAAAACTGTATCTTAAAAAATGCCTGTCAGATCTATAGCACAATTCATATGTTAACTATCAGCATTAATATTTCAAGCATAAAAGAGAATATCAATGTAGATTTCAGAGATTGTTTTAAGAGAAACTGGTCTACCATACTATGTACATGAGGCACCTTCTCCAGAATGCTTTTCCCTCATAAATATCTCTACCTTCTAGAAGAACCTGGCTGAGGTCAGTAACCAAAGGGTGGGGCTGGGAATTAGAAACTGGCTATTTTGGCCACCTTCATTGTGATACTTTCAGAATAGCACTGGATACATCCAATTATATTGCATAACCATTTTTTCATTCTTAAAATGCAAAGGCTGACTATCAGGGGACTATCACAAGAAAAAGAAACCCTGGCATTAAATAATATTCCAAAGTATGACTGCCAAGAAAGATTATTCTGCTATGAAGCAAAATAAGTGGGAGGTAGAAGAAAAATTTTTTATAAATGGTATATTCTATAAAGACTATTTGATAATTTAATAATTTAATATAATGATTAATTTGCTCACATCATTAAAAGTTCAGGAATTGATATAATACAGTGATGACTTCTCTTTGATAGATTTACAAAAACTGGTTTCAGCATAAATTTCATTCAAACAGAATTTTCCTAGGTATATACGCTCTCCCCAGAGGCTATAAAATAATGTATTTTAAACCGCCTTTACCATGGGACTAATTTTTTAGAATTACATACACCCTTTAGAATGTTTTAAAAATTATTATTTAGGACATAGTGTTAGTTTGTGGTTTGGTGGCAGTTGGGGAATCAACAATTAAATAATTAATTTTTAACTAGTACTTCTCATTCCTTAGTTAGAAACCTAACTACCTGCTGGAGATCACCAATGCTCATCAGAGAATCTGTGACACTCTTTCTTTCTTAGAATGACAAAAGAAAAAAGCATACTGTCATAACCGGCAGCCTCTCTCACAGGTGTAATTTATGATATGAGAGTAGTTTAACATGTACTCATGTTCTGAATTGTAGTGTTTTTTGTTCATGTTGTCATTTTTTTCTTCTGCTTCACAGTCTGTACATTATTAGGACCAAAGAAAGGACAAATGACAACTTTATATTAAGGTCGCAAGAGGGCCTCGAGTTGGCTAGGACAGTAATTACCAGCTGGAGGTTCACAGGGATCACACACCCTCCTGAAGGAGGAAAGGTGCTCTGACATTAGGTCAAGCCATGGGATTAGGTGGAAGGCATTGCATTCCTTAGAATTGCAGCATTCTGTGCCTCTCAGAGAGACGCCATTGTCCCTCTGCTGCCTTTCTCAGTAGTTGGGGGATTTGAAAAAAAAAAGAGAGAGAGAAAGGGAAACAAAAGGTTATTAAAATGCAATTTATAGACATGAAATGAATTAGAGATGACATTTTAACGGTGAACTTTTTGAGAGCTGAGGGAAGAGAGAGAGGCATTATTAGATTTGCTCAGCTTGATGAAGAACCGATGACTAAGATGTCAGTTCCAATTTATTTTTCCTCATTTAACACTGTTTATTATTTTAACCAATAATTTTCCTAATGCTTTAAAGTTCTTCTTTTGCATTTTGCTCATGCAAATAGAGCGTTTCAGTCTAATTGAACAAATCCATACTAATCAGCATGCATATAATTGTGACACTGGGAAGCTTAGTTCTAAAATGAGACCTGTTATATGACACTTTGCCTGTAGATGGCAATAGAAAGCTAATTACTAAGTAGCTGTCTTTGTGGCCAAGCATACACCTTCATCTTCCTGAGAGCCAGTATACTTTGATTTTTTTCTCAATAAAATGAAACACACATTTTTAAAAAGATTAAAACTTCACATTGCATTTTATGCACACTTGGATAGCCTAGTTTATAATCAGAGCACAAAATCCTCCAAGCAGTTTTTAGTTTAAATGCCTGGTGCCCTGGCATGTTTTTGAAATGCCTTTGTGAATTTAGAAGCAGAAACTGTCATCAGCATCATACCAGTAACGCACTTGAAAGAACACATGAGCCCCTCTGAAGAAAGGTGTCCAAGTCGCATCCTCTCGTGGGCAGAATGGGGAAGCGGGTACACAGCATGATTAGTGTCCTTCAGGTTTGGGGGATTGAATCTTTTATCCCCAGGTACCCAAAAGCTAACATCTTATTCCAGGATGAACAACTTTGAGAACTTCTCCTGTCTTCTATTTATTGTACTTTGTGTTAATCAAAAGCACTTAACTGTTCATATGCATTTTTATTATACAAAGAAAACTATTTTTTGTTTTATTTCACTTTCCATATTTTCATAGAGAAAATTTATTGACTGTTTTATACTCTATCTTCTTAGTTTAGAAATGTAATTAAGATTCACCTTTAATTAGATCATATACCTTTTATAAAAAGGAAAAGAAAAGAAAAGATTCACCTTTAAGAGTAGCTCTGCTTTTGAAGATTAACTCAGAAATTTAAATGCTGTAATTGATGAGGTTTCAAAACCTGATTCTTTTCCTCTTTCATTTCATAGTTATGAAGCCCTCAAATTTAAGCCTTATGCGGTAATACTCTATGGGGTCCAATCTGCTTTCTCTTAAGTGGCTAATGCTCATTTCAGTACTTTATTGAATTGTGAAGCATTTTCTATTCTATGGCATATGAAGAGGTGTTTATATCTTTTGAAATTGAGAGGACATGATTAAAATGGTCATTCAAAAACTTGTTTGAAGAACTAGATCTATTTGAGCAAATTGGCCTCCAAAATAGTCATGAGGTGTCACTTCCTGCCTTTTTGTTGTCAGTATGCAGACTTAGGATATTAGCTAGTTACCCTGCAGAAGAGGCATCGTAACTATATATACATATAGAATCAATGAAGAACAGCTTGGTCTGGAGTCTTAATTCTTTAGCACAATGCTGATCCACTGAGTTGCCCCATTTCTCTCTGCTCAGCTGGACCACGGGTTTACCATCAAGAGATCAGGGTCTTTGGACTACTACCAGCAACCAGGAATGTATTGGATAAGGTATGAGATGGTGCAGCTCAACAGTCAGTGTTTCCATGGCAACGTGCTGGCAGTCTCCATTAACCAGTTCCTTCGGTGGATAAACATGCTTTTGATTTGTTATCCAGTCCATATGCTGCTTTATCAGTTTCATTTTAATCTTGATTGAGATGCCACACCCCCTCATTCCTTTTTTTCACCCATTATTCACACTGACATTTGCCAGCTTTCTTTCCATTGCACATGCTCAGTATCAATTTTCCTTATGGTTAAAAGGACAGTATATTTAGTGCTAATGCCAAAGCATTTTCCTGACGTTGCTAATTAAAACAATGATTTCCAGTGCTCTTCTGTCCCTTAACAAATGGAAGAACAATAGCACGCTAGTGTGTGTTCTATAGAAGTATATACTGTCATTTTAAAGTCATCAAGCCCAACCTTGACCTGATTAGATGGATAACAATGCATTTACACCTTAGTAGTAGAAGCGCCTCAAAGTACAATGGGCTATAGAATGCATTGTGTGTGTTGGTAAGCTTGTGTTTTCAAATTCTCCACCTTTTTGTTTTGTTTTTGTTTTATTGTTCCCTCTTCCCCCTGGAAATCCCTCTATGTATTAGCTATTGCATGAATTTATTTTTCAATATCTTGTAACTGTCAGATTATTTAGCTGGCTTATCTGCTCAAGCAAAAGGGATTATGGGAGGTATCGATTTTTTTAAAACTGGGTTAAGAATTCTATCCAATCGTTTTCTATTCCAGTCAACTGCCCTGGCATTTCCTTCAAGGGGCATTGTTTGTGTCTCTTTAAGTTATCCACAAGCAGGATGGTTTTTGATGGTTTGAGAAATGAACTCTGAGAAATTCTAGGGAGGCTGTTTTCGCCATCTTAATGTTTCTGAAGTGATCTCCAGGTAACACTCCACATCTTAGTATTTGAAAAAAAAAAAATTCCACTGGTTTTGGCATTTGTTTTTTCCAAACTGTGGAGCCTATCTGTAGTAAGACAGTAGCTGCCTGATGTTGTTTCATGGTTAGACTGCAAAGTTTTACCAAAAAATTAAAATATATATGTATGTGTGTATATATGCACATATAAAGTATATATGTTATACATAATGTGTATGTGTGTGTATATATATATATAATATATATATATGATTTTAGCCCCAATTGTTACTCCTGGTTATTTTTCTATAATCAGACACTCAAAACATAGTACATAGGAAAGCAGAAAGGGGCATACCTTGACAAATGATTCAGATATACTAAAATCATGATCATTTCCAAATCTGTTTAAAGCAAGAAAACACCCAAAGCTCAATAAAATTTTCTAAGGTCATTTTGACATAGAAGGCTATTTGTGTCTTCTCCATTTATAATGCATGTAGGAGTTGCACATTCATTTATTTAATTTACCTACATAATTGGCCTTATGGATGTAGAAAGAACTTAATTTTTGACCTTATTTTGGAGGGAGAAGGGTGAGTTAATCATAATCTGCCTTTGTGCAGACCCTTCTTTTTTGACTTTGTAACACAGAAGAGGATTCATCCATCTTTTACTTTTACCTGAAAGAATATATACTTCCAGAAGAGTGCACCTATCAGGAATGCACATCTCTATAAATTTTCACAAACTGAACATGCCCCTGTAGGCAGCACCCAGATCAGGCACAGAACATTCCTAGCACCCCAGGGGCTCCCTTCCAGGAGGGGTCACTTCACCTCGAGGGTAAACACTGACCCTAGAGTCCAGCCACATTAATTAGCTTTGGCTGGTTTTGTACTCTATAGAAATCGAATCACACCATGCTCCATCCTTTTTAAATTATATGTCTCCTAATGTCAGGAATATTAACCAGATATATATGTGTAAAGTTAATATACAATTAAAAATAGGCATCAAGTATATCTAATTATAGTTGTGCATATTTGTGTTATAAAAATTACACATATAAAGTCATCTAATTTCAAAAACCTCTGGAAAATTAAATTACTAAATTTGTAGGATTAAGGATGGGAACTAAACCCCAAGTAAACACAATAATTAATAAACGTAGCCAACTATAAAAAGGCCATTTAACTAAAATCCTAGTGATGGTTCCCATCAGCAGACAAAATGACACATCCCTGAATAATGGGCAGGAGCAGATGGGAGATAATCTCTTTTTTCTTGCGCACATAAAGTGCTCTGTTTTCCAGCTGGGGCAGTAACAACAATGTTTATAGTTAGTGCTGTACTGAACAGTGCACCCAGTATGTAAAGCTAAATTGGAGAAATGATGCTAAAAACTCATCGGCATATATGCTTAATTAGGAAGTTTTATAATGCCATTTAGCCCCAGAACGTACACGCTCTCCTTACTGATTGCGAGTGCTTGCCTTTTATCTCCGCAGAAGTGGGAGCATTTGTCTAACCATGGTGGCAGCCAACTTTCTAACACAAACAATCATTACAGGCGAGCATCCCTGCTCCCAATTGTTGTGTTTAAAGCGCTCATGGCTGTTTTTACTGCTGTAAGCCGAACACTTGGGAGTCGCGCTTGCTTTTTGTAAAGCAGATCACATGAGGGCACAGGCTGGGAAAACCATCTCCTCAGGGTGCCCAGAATTGGTCTGTCTCTCTTAACTGGCTTTTTGGTGATTGTAGACAAATAGTGGGGATTTGTTTTCCCCTTTCTCTCCATTCTCCAGCCTCATACCAGAGAGCTGCTTCCAAGGGAGCAGCATCCTTCACTTGACCCACGCATCCAGGAGACTTTGCTCCTGTCACCCAGAGTCCAGGGAGGACGCTGCCCCAGGTGTGAGCTCACTGGGCTATTGCACACTCTCCTGACCTAAGAAGCCACCATTTCCCCCTGCTGCAAGCCACTGGAGAACATTTGCATCCCGTTATATTTTCCCCTTCCTGGAAATGCATCCTTATTCAAAGGGGACGCTGTCACACACATTTCTACCTTCCCAAGTGAAGCTGTCACCATGGCAAGTGCTATGCCCTGTAACACATGGAGAAGAATCCTGCACCTTCAGCACACAGAACAGGGCAACAGCTAGAACTGGGTAACCCGATTAAATAAAACAAATATCAAAACAAGACATAAGCTAAACATGAGAAATAAGATAAAATGGGGAGGTGAGCTAGGACAAAAGGGTGGTTGAGTTCTCAGGCAAGATGTGACTAAAATGTGCATATTGGATTCAAGCACCGTCCTGAAACAGTGAGTAATGAGGCAGAGCGGTGATGGCCGCGCTGTCATGCTCGGTTGTTAAAAGGAATGGGGTCAGTTAAACGCATCTTGCTCCGTGCAGGTTTGAGAAAACTGTTCCCCTGGAAGCCAGGGAGGAACCTCCGTGTGGTGTGAGAAGGGATGTAGGGCCCGCCTCGGCCAGAAGCAGCCAAATGTACACAGCAAGTTGCAATGCATTGCAGGTTGCTCGGTGGCTAGTTGTCCTGGCTTTGCTCTGCAGAGTGAGAACGCTGTCCCCGGGGACAGCCAGAGCATGGTTGGCAGCCAGGGCAGATGCTCCACCCACTCCAGAGGCTCCCTCTGTAACACAGAATTTGGGGGATTCAGTTTAACACATCGAAAAGTCATAGATTTAAACTTCAAAACCACTCAAACTGTGATTAGAGAGAAGTCTCAGGAAAGTAGTTAGGATTGGTCTTGCAGTTGTACCTTGTACCCAAGCATGAGCTATTAGGCCATAGGCTCAAAAGATGAGTGATACTATGCCTGTTGTGGCGTGAAGGTCACCAAGGGTCATTGGAAAGAACATGGGAATGGTGAAACATCTGCATTACATTTCCCAACTCAAACAGGTTGCTCACTGAGGTTTTATTTTCTTTTATTTTGTTTTCAGAGGCCCCTTAAGAGAGGATTCCAATGACATATAAGTCTTTTTAAAATTTAGCTTACTTATTACTAAAAATGAGAAAATGTCATGGCATTCCAAGTCTTAATCATTGAGTGTAAACTGAAGAGAGATTTTAACATTTTCCTAAGATTCCTGATGATTCTAGATTGACTGAAAATTGTGTAGTATCATATTTATTCTGCCCTTGCCTCAGAATCTCTTTCCCTCATTTTGACTTAAAAGTAAACATCTATGCTCTTTTCTACATATTCATTCCTGCCATACTTTGTGAATGCTCCTTAGTGAGGTTCATTGAGAGGATAGAGGCTTTATGAGGTATAAATGCACAGGAAATCATACATAAAGAACGTAATTATAAGTATCAACACACCTTTTGCTAAGAAAGGGTGTAAGTATTCATAGGCTGAAATAAACAATTCTCAAATATATGTCAGACACATGACACTTTTAGAAATTAAACAGTCTTGGAGGCTGGGCGCGGTGGCTCACACCTGTAATCCCAACACTTTGGGAGGCCGAGTTGGGTGGATCACCTAAGGTCAGGAGTTCAAGACTAGCCTGGCCAACATGGTGAAACCCCGTCTCTACTAAAAATACAAAAAATTAGCTGGGCATGGTGGTGGGCACCTGTAATCCCAGCAACTCAGGAGGCTGAGGCAGGAGAATCATTTGGGCCCGGGAGGCGGAAATGCAATGAGCCGAGATCACACCACTGCACTCCAGCCTGGGCAGCAAGAGCGAATCTCCGTCTCAAAAAAAAGTCATGGAGATTGAGATTCAATTAACTTAATTAAAGATTGGCAGCCCAGTGTACAGAGAGAGTGTGGCTTTGGAGTCAAGAAGCCCTGGGTTTGGATCTAGTCCGCCCCATTTCCTGCAGTAACCTTGGGCGAGTTACATTCTCTGTCTGATTTTCCACACCTACGAAAAGGTGAAGAGTGTTATCCACCTTCCAAATTTGTGGTGAGAATTAAATTAGCTGCTTGTGCAAAAGTGCTTTCACACACCCCAGCCCAAAGAAGAAACTAAAAAAAAAAAAATTTGCTTTCTGTTTCCCTCACTTCCAAGAGCAAATCACCCACTCCACAGATTTTCCTGAGAAAACTGATGTCTCTCCAGAGAGAGGCATTTGTTACTAAAGTAGAATCATAAACTGTTTTAATGCTCTGATTAGAGTAAACCGCTCAGTAATGTATATGTTTATATTTCTTGTGAGCATTTGCGGCATTATGTTTTACCTGAAGTAGCTATAGCCAAAAATTCTGATGAAGTATAAGTTTAAAATGTGATCCTCTAGGACAGGGCTTGGCAAACTATGGCCAATGGGCCAAATCTAGCCCACTTCCTTTTTTTGTAAATAAAGTTTTATTGGAACACAGTCACACACATTCATTTACAAACTGTCTATGGCTGCCTTTGCCCTACAGCAGCAGAGTTGAGTAGTTGAGTCAGAGAAACATGTGGCTTGCACAACTTAAAGTATTAACTATCTGGCCCTCTCCAGAAGAGTTTTCCAACACCCTTTCTAGGGGGAAAATATGTCTAAATTAAAAGGCACCATCTGTACAAATGCAAATTCCACAAGAACAGGATTAGGGCTTGTTAAAAACTATGTCTCCACTGCCTAGTAGAAGAGGCCTTCAATAAATATTTGTTAAGTTAACAAATAAATGATTGAACTCTCCGAAGAAGGGACCATTTTTTCACTGATTTTTTCAGGATAGACATGTTTTTGAAGAATTTGGGATACATCAAAGTTTGGGCAATCAAATCACATATGAGATGCTCTAAAATAACATCCCACTTTTAGCAATCCAGGACTAAGCTTTTTGGCAAGGTTAAAATGGTTTCTGCAATTAAAGGAACTATCCCTGACTTACTTGCTTTGTAGGCACTAAATTTTCATAGATTTTCTTAAGGCAGACTGTGCTTTTGGTTCATGTTTAGTTTACTGATATGATGGAGAACAAACATGGCAATTCCGCTGAGGTTGGGCTCCTATAAGAAAATCAGGGGCTGTCGGGCAGAGGAAGCACACAAATTTTGTCCTGAGCTCAACCGCCACCAATTGGCTGTAATTTTAACTGTCTGATGGGAGGCCATCAGAAACCCACTGCAGAGCTAGGCCAATTTAAGACTCTATTAAGAACCAGGTCAGCAGGAGAAGCCTATGTTTAAGATTAGTAGTGCAGAAGCATAAGGTCAGCTCTCCCAGGAAAATGGGGAATAATATTTAAGATAGTCTTGCCAAGAAAGTAAGCAGCTTGGAAGGCTACTCAGTTGCATCCCAAGAAGGCCTCCTTTTGCCATTTTGATGGTCATCTTTAAGAAAAGCCATGCCCTGTCTTCAGATACTGTGTCATTTCTGGCAAGACCTCAAAAGGATATGAAAGCAAAACAAAACAGAACTGCAATAAGCCTGAGAGTAAGCCCAATAAAATGAGGAGGGTGGATATTTCAATCGATTTGTCAGTTTAATTTTACTAGCAAGCAAAACATTTCCAAACTGACAAGCAAATCGTAATGTAGTCCCCACAGAGTAAGGGTAAGCAAAAGAAAGGGTTCCTGAGATTAATGTCCCAGCAGCTGCATCCCCAGTTCAGTCTCCTAGGTAGCATGAATAATGGATGGGCTAAAAGGCAAAATGCACAATAATGTTCTTTTATTAATGAAATGAAGACTATATGTGATGGCTAGCAATAAATTAAGAAAAGCAAAAAAGGAAAAGCAGTCAATGTTTGCCTCTGAAAAATGCAGTTACTTAAATCCAATAATTACTGCCATGACAGAAACCATTGCCTCACAATGAAAGTGAGTACATCTCTTGTGAATCCTGCAAGCATTGCGGAACAGAAACATGTTTGGTCCATAGACTGTAAGGCCTATTGTTTGCTAAGAGAAAAACATAACCCATTAAGTAGATTGATGGTGATATTAAGAATATTCATAGAATTTCATAGGTGAAAGTTTCCCTAGGGATTATGCACAATAACCCCCTTTCAGTCTATGGACCTGGAAATTGGGGCTCGATGTGGTTAGAAAACATGTCCAAGGTCACATAATTAGCTGAACTAGGACAAAAAGCTAATTCTCCTGACTTCCACCTACTGCTGCTTCCAAGGGGATTAAACTTAAGCTACCAGACAAGACAAGCATAGAGACGTGGGGTGACTCAGACCGGCAAAACCTAAGCTAATGCTTCAATTCATGTTCTTGATTATTCCTGACCTTCCTCCTCTATGCTATGTTTTTCCTTTAACGTTAGACATACCAGATGGGTAGTTCATATGTCTTTATACTGATTTTCCCAATTTAATGTCAGAACGAAGGATTTAAACTATCTGAGCACATGTGGAGGATACTGTCATTTCATTGTAACAGAAGAGGCCACAGGCCAAATTCAGTAGATGTATCCTTTATGGGAATAAATCTGATAATAGGCAAGCACTGTCTTTTATTTATGTATGCCTGGTGTTACGGCAGGCACCAACACGATGGGGATGGATTTCCCTAAGATTTTCAGCTACCACATGTGCAGCCACCTGAGTTGCTGAGATAGCTGGCATTATTTTACCGTTCCTCTGCTTTCACACTTGATCTAGCATCTGCTAAGGGCTTTGTGATAAGCCAGGGCTTACAGATTGTGGTAGGAATATGCGGTGTTTCTTCTGGATAGGGCAGGTTTATATTAGTCCATTTCTCTATACCATTTTATTTAATCAACCATGTGTTCTCTCTTTACCAGCTTCCCCCAAGCCATCATTACTCAGCTCTCACCCAGTACCCAGCATGGCAGTCACTATTGTGCACATATCTGAAGTAACTAGGTTAGAGCTGCATCCTTGGTTACCACTGGTCAACTCCAGAATCTCAAGAGATTTCTTGCTTACCTCTAACCTGTGATAATTAGCACCAAAATGTGATAATGCACTCTTCAGAGTCTCTTAGGATCTCTTAGTGAAGTGGTAACTTACTAAGGAAACACTTGGGAATTCTACTGCAAGCCTATTCATGTAGGTTCCAACAAAGCTACAAACTGTGAACAAAATAACTAATAAAATAATAAATCTGTTAGGAACTCTTAAGTGTTCATGGAGCCTCAAGCCTATACCTGAGGACATACTTAATTTACAAAAATAGGCGTTCTGAAGAGACCCTATTTGCTTGATGTCTGGGGATTTTTTTGTGATTGATAAAGAGTAAAGCTAGCCATACACACACACACAAAATCAAGTTGACTCTTGAGGACTCCCCTGCCTAAAAAAATAGTAAAGCTGCCTTTTAGAAATGGTTGAAAGGGCTCACACTCTGAAGTTGTGATGCAGGATTTCAGAGGAACAAATTATGTTTCAAATGCTTTTTTTTTTTTCAGGGGCGGGGAAGAAATTTTCAATTGGATTACATGTTTTATGAGTATACCTTGTAAAAATTATATATTAGCCTACAGTGCTATTTCCTTGGTAACTTCATCTGTCCCAAACTGCATATATGGGCTACAGAATTCAATTGGAAAAGATGAACTGCATATATTTTAGAGTCAAGTTAATTTTGTAGCCACAAACTTCTAAACATCATACATGACAGTGTTTAGTATGATAAGAAATTAGACCACAATAAATGCTTGTAGGATGAGTGAATTCATAAGAGAATTTTAACTTTATCTGACATAAGAATTTGGTCATATTTGAAGCATAAGTTATAGTCTTAAATATTGACTCTTAATACTTTTTACTTCTTTTTTGTGTTGGAGTTGCTTTGAATTCTATTTTTTGCTATTGTTATTATTCAGAAAGTATATAGTCCCCTAAAATAATGCCGTATTCACTAAGAAATGTTTAATACACACTTAATATGTGTGCCACAGTCTACTAATCATCTGGAAAATGCAAAGAAGTTTCAAATTCTACCATAGAGTAGTTGGCAAGGTATTTGGGGAATATGCAAAGAAAAATAATAGAAGGTCAGTGTGCAATTAATTCCCAAAAGTTTGGTCAAAACAATTCTTGCCTAAGGAGTTTAGGAAGAAAATATATGGTACAGGTGGTAAAATTTGATCAAGTCTTCAAGAATAAATAAATTGGCCGGGCGCAGTGGCTCACACCTGTAATCCCAGCACTTTGGGAGGCCGAGGCAGGTGGATCACCTGAGGTCAGGAGTTCGAGACCAGCCAGGCCAACATGGTGAACCCCTGTCTATACTGAAAATACAAAAATTAGCCAGGTGTGGTGGTGGGTGCCTGTGAACCCGGGAGGTGGCGGTTGCAGTGAGCCAAGATTGTGCCACTGCACTCCAGCCTGGGCAACAAGAGTGAGACTCCGAGAAAATAAAAATAAATAAATAAATAAATTTGAGTGGGCAGAGAGAGAAAGAGAGGTAATTTCATGTTGGCGAGTACCTTGAACCAAGAGGTAGATGTGAGAATGATTAAAGTACATTCAGAGATACATCAGTTTGGACTGTTTTTATGGCAAGTGAAGAAAACCAAAACCAAACTGGCTTAAGTGAAAAAGGAAATGTATTCTTTTACATAGCCTGAAAGATTCACAGGTTGAGTCTGAGTTCAGTGATGGATGGATCCAGCACTCAGTTAATGCTTGGTTTCTTGACATCCTCCAACCCTGCCTCCCTGTGTTGGCTTTAGTGTTGGACTTCACATGGTTCCCAGGATGGGAGAAGCAGCTCCAGGCCTGCCAGTCTCTCAAAATTGGGATTCATTATAAATGTGAAGTTCCAGCAAAAGTCTTACCATGTCCTATTGATGGGGTCGGGTGCCCATCTTGGGCCATTCATGGGTATTGGGGAATGCAGTAAACTCAGGCTTACTCCTGAGTCACAAGCCCACCCCAACCCTACTCCCAGAGATAGGAGTAGGGTCAACTTCATCAGGATCATGGAATGTGGGAGTGAGGAGGTATGCAAAGGGAAATTAAGGTATAGTTAACCATAGGCAGAGTAAACAGATGCTGTGCTTGAAAATCAAGTGTCCAGTAAAGGAAGACAATGAGTCTACTGATGCCATAGGATCATTTTGAGTAATAATAGGTATACACCCTGGAAGTTTTTATTGGAAGCACATTGCAAAGGCTGGGACAAGGAATTGGGCTTTATGAGGAGCTGTAAATAAATTGGACCTTGTAGAAATTGACCTGACAGCTGTGTGCAGAATGGACCGGAAGGTGGGTGCTCCAGAGAGAAGCAGATCACCTCTATTGTACTTTCTCATATCTCAAAAGCCACAAAGTTTTTGAAGAGAGAGAAACAGATCACTTCCATTATACTTTCCCATCTTTCAAATGCCACAAAGTTCGTAGAATATCTACTGTGTGCTGTGAACTGTGGAAAACACAGAGACGATGTCCAACGCTTGACCTTGGTCCTCCAAAGAGTCTACAAAGTGGTAGGGAAAACAGTTAATTAGGATCAATTATGGTGCAGGCAGGATGAACAACGATAATGGTACTAGACTGTCATGGAAACAGAGAAGGAAGAAGTTCCTAAAATACTTTCTCTAAGCAGAGTGGGCGGGGGCCCAGAAGGAGAGACCTGTAGTCAGAGACACCCTCTGGAACATCTCTGAGAGCAGGTCAGTTGGGAATCCTCAATGCTGGTTTGAGAATATTATGAGGACCTGAGGGGTGGAAAACTGCACCTCTGTCATCAGACTCAGGTCTCCTTAGGAATTTATGAGCATCAAAATTCAGAATGTGTACACGGGATTGTGTACATGGTGGATCCTATCTGCTCTACAAAGAGAAGTTTCTCTGATCATCAATGTGGAGAAGCCACTGTCTTTTGGTCTTTGATACTACCTGTGGCCAATGTCTTTCCCTAGCTCATGCTGGCTGGGAACAGAGAAGGGTTGAGCTGCTGGGAGTGCAGTGACTTTAATTTATCATTTCAATAAACTTCAGAGTAAATGGGAAGAAACTGCTTGGGCTTTGCACAGGAGAAGACTGAGTTCTGTTCCTAGTTAGCAATGCACATGGGCAAGTCTCTCCACATGCCTAGGTCTCAGTTTCCCTGCCTGTAAAGACAGAACATTGGACAAAAATGCTTTATAAACCCTCATTCAACTTTAAGAGTCTGCAAATCCAATAGAGACAACCTTGAACCACTCATGACACATGCCCATGACCGTGATATATTTCCAAGAATACGTGTCATGAGGATCCTGGGGATCCATGCACCTGAAAGCTCAGGAGCATTTGTGCATGAGGTCTTATCTACAAAGGTGAACATTTAGAAAGCTGCTGAGTAGGGAAATCTGTAGGAGTGGCCAGAACTGACTACTTCAACAGGGACAGGGGAAGGGCTTTCTAGGCAGGACAAGTAAGGAAGAGAATATAATTGTTCTTACAAGGATTTGCAGAAATGAAGGTGAAAGTGAGCGTGAGGGGACCATCCAAGCATGGGCTCAATATTAAGTGCCACCAGCTTCTGCATAAACTGAATTACAGTATTTGTGGAGAATGGTGTATTTCAGTGGCTGCAGCCAAGAGTGTGAAGTATTGAGTGGATAATGGGGAAATGAAGTAAATATCAAGAAGGTGCCAGTGAAACTGAAGGAAAGAGGGAAAGTACTGAGTTAAATTCTAATGTGAGCTTTGTGCACATTGCTTTTCTATGACCTGCAGTTACTTGATTTTAAAACAGTGTCTTACATCAAATTGTAAACAAAAGAACACCTTACATTTCTGGGAGTCTTGGCTGTTTAGAAAGCATTTGCACATCCATTTCTACCTACAGCAACTCTGTGAGAGTGGAAAGGTGCTTCTTATTTAAAAGATGAGAAACCTGGGTGGATGGTCAGCAATGGACAGAGTGGGACGCAAAATCCCTGACCACAAACCTGATGTGCTTTTCTTCCCCACATCTGACTGCCTCTGTTCACAAGTCAGAATTCATTCCAATGCCAATGACTTTTTTCTTTCTCAAGGAGGTAGAAATAGAAAGATTTTTTATGGCCAAGAGGTGTTTATATTACTTTTGGATTAACTACAAAATGCTTTTTATGTAAGACAGACTAAATAGACGTCTGTTTTTTTTACAAACATTCAACTCTACACAAACAGAACATTTCAGTTTGCTTTGAAAGCAAAATACCATGTGTCGTAACTTTACAATGTTTTAAATAAAGTTAGGAATTTGGGTTTATGATACTGAAAATATCATAAAATCAATAGGTTTAAGACTAAGAACTATATGAGGATCCTTAAAAATTCAACAAGAATCAAAGGTAGACGTTTCAACAGACCAGTTACTGAATCATTGTATTAACAATCTAGTGAGACAAGAAGTGAATTATTGAAGTTTATCTTCCTCATTGGTTTGTAACCCTGTTCATTCAGTGTGTGGATAGTTTCTGAAGTAGAGCAGTTCAGCCTAACGAAGCCATTTACTGTACTGGTTCTACACACTGCCTCTCTTTATCTCTTTATTACTTCATTTTGGAACTTTGATTGGCCTATTTTAGATCTAAGATTGCCCTAATGCTATACTGCAATTGTATGAGGGGCTTAGTTTTCACTTTGTTCTCAGAACCAGGCTGGCTGTAAATTTATCTCTGTTCTTTGAAGGAGCTAACAGTAAATTTTCAAGAGGAAAAATGGTGGCATATATCCCTGTAGAAGAAAAGTAATCTCTTAAAAGCAGAATAACCTCCAGGCTACATCCTTTTTAAGGGGGATTTTCAAATAAGAACGCCTTCAACTTTTATATGTGTTCTATATTTTTCTTCAGACCTCATACCTACTCTTCTGCTTTCTGTGTAAGGTTTCTCTGTAATGACCCCATTTTTCCCCCACACCCATTAAATCTGTGATGAAGTCATGCTGTCCCCCATTCTGATGTCATGATAACATCCAGAGCTACAGGCAGATAACACATCCGGGGAATCATCGGAGGTCTCCTCAGGAAATTGAGGCATAGAGACTGGGAGTTGGAATACCTACAAAATTGAATCTCAGTTTCATAAATTACCAAATACTATGATGAAAATGAACTTTGTAAAGTGAAATCCGTGGGAAGGTTTCCACTTGGTTTAATTGCATTCAAAGCAGTGTTCAATTTCAGGCATTGGTTTCATTAAAATTAAACCAATCCTTCCCAGAAATTCAGCCACACTCCCTCATCAACAGATAATAAGATCATTTAGAGTGAGGAGGTGCTAAAAGAACAGGATGAGCCGTGGCTCCGTTTCCATGTCTGACTGACAACTTCATCACCTTTCATCTGTATTATGCAGCTACCCTGAGCTGCATGTTAATTGAAGTTGCCCAGGGAGCATTTTTACACACAGGACTCAGGCACCCCTTTTCAGAGAAGGTGGGAGTGTCCTCTGGCTAGCCTAGGAGCCACCAAGGGTAAATAAATGTGCAGCTAGCAAAAGTCTGGGGAGGAGTGGGGAAGGGTCAAACCCAGTACACCATCCATCCTGCCTGTGCCTGCAGATGTCATGACCAGGTCCCTTAAAGACCTGGATTTGTGGGGAGCAGAGGGCTCCCTGAGAGTGGTGACTGTCAACAAAAAGTGTGCCATGATGGACAGGTGAACTTGGCCAGTGTATTTTTTCTGACCTCAGAAAGTTCTAGAAAGAGTTTGTTTTGCCATTTCCCTCGCCCTAATTGTCCTCTTTCTCATTTTATGCCCCTGCTAGACCACCGCTCTTGATAAGGAGAGGCAGGTTTTCCGACGAAGACGCAACCAGGATGTGAGGAGCCGGTACAAGGCGCAGCCAGCTCCTCCCGAACTCAACTCGGAATCGGAAGACTACTCCCCAAGCTCCTCCGAGACTGTTCGCTCCCCTAACTCGCCCTTTTAATAAGACCCTTTTACTCAAAGTCCTAGCTTAACCCTTTGAGACTCTGAGATTTTTTTCCCCCAAATTTGTGTAAAACAGTTTCATCTGATCTATCTAGCGCTCAATGCTTGAATGGCAGAACTGAAAGTGTTTTCAGGTATCTTTGTAGCGGTTTCCCTTTACTGAATAAGATGACACGTGGTGATTGTGAAGATGGTAATTTGCTGCTAATAGAGTCCTCAAAGGGTTAAGGCCAATTTGCAATTTTTTTTTAAACTTAGAAGCAATGAATGTTTTCATCAGTCAAGCTAGGATCTGCAGTATGTAATATAGCACTTGTTAACCCTCTGAGTGCATAGAATTTTATTGAGAATTCTTGTTTGGGAATTTTTCAGGCCTTTGGATGTATACACACATGTTTCTTGATTTTACTGCAGATCAAGGGGTGTTGTTAGATGCTGAAATGTCCAGAAAAGAAGGACATTTAGAATGATATCTTGTTTGTCCTTTTCTGTGGGTTTAGAACGTGGCAGGTTTATAACTTCGACACACGCACGGTTCTTTCTTCTTCACAATCCTATTCAGAAACAGATTTTTTTTTTCATTAGAGATATGACTGTCAGTTGCAGTGAGTTCTGCATCCCAAGTGGAGGGAATTGGGTTTGTGGCAAAGAGCTTGACCCAGGAAATAGATGGTGCCCCCCAAATTGTCTCCACATGAAGATGTACTGATGACGCCCCAGAAATGCTGCTTCCATATCAGCTGCTGCTAGCGCCAGCGCAGACTCTCAGGGAGTCACCACAGCTTGTCTTGTGCTTGGTGAGTGAGGGTCTCTCTACTCAGTGTCAGACATCTACAGGAAAGAAACAACTGGTGGAAAAGAGCAATAAATTGCCCGGTGCTCTGCAGGGCTGGAATTTCAAACAGAAAGAGGGAATAAGATCCTGTGATTTTTCTCACCTGCTTTTCCACGCACTGTGGTCATCACTGTGCAATCTACATCTAGTATGAAATCCACACATAGGAGAGCTGGGGCACAAGGGGACTGGAGGCAGTTGCTTTGCAAGATGGCTGAGGAGAAAGCACACTGGGAACACAATCCAGAATGTTCTAACAATAAGTTTTCAGTGAATAAACCACTGGCAAGACAATTCCATGTGCACCTTTAGGTTACCTATATAGTCTCCTAGGAAGATCAGGATGAAAGACCTAGATGATACCCCTGAGGATAAAACCTCCATCCCCTAAAATGATTTTTTTTAAATACCACTGTCTTTAGCTGTCCA
The DNA here is from genome assembly GCF_000001405.40 of Homo sapiens. Classification (NCBI taxonomy): domain Eukaryota; kingdom Metazoa; phylum Chordata; class Mammalia; order Primates; family Hominidae; genus Homo; species Homo sapiens. The sequence continues at coordinate 35,773,268 of NC_000013.11, read as the reverse complement.
GGAGGTCAGAGTGTTTTTTCTGTCTTTGGGCCAAGTCCTGTCTGAGACCTGTATTTTCACTCTTGTTACCAAATCTATCTCCCTAGTGCAGTGTCTCCAGGCCTGAGTTTCTTCTGGAACAGATTCCATTTTAGAATGGGGATTCACAGGTTCTGTGCATCACCACAGTGCTCAGAGAGGATTCTCCTGGGGTGTCTTAGAGGCAGGTGCCCAACTCAAATGTATTCCCAAGGTTTGCTGGGCTCTGGGATCCACGAGACAACCAGAGAGGGATATCTCATGAAATTTGCATCTGGTGGCTGAACAGTACCTATGTTCTCTGTTTTGAATATACTTTAATACCTGAGAGTCTTAAAATTTGTGAACAACGTTTCTATAGTCCTTTATTTTCAAATGCACATTGATCTTCACTTGCTGCATTTTTACTCTTCAACCCTGAAACTATGGTCTACATTAATATGGATTTTTAAATCACATGTCATTACTTTTGCAACACCATCACCAAAATTTTTTGCTCTTTTACATTTAGGTTCATCTCTGTGGTCTGTGTTGTCCTGACATGTAAAAAGCATATCGTTTATTGAGGTTTTTTTCCCCCCCTTTTAGAGCATCCGGAAGTGATAACACGCAAAATCACAAAGTAGCATAAATCAGTAAATTAGTTGAGTTGTTTTTGGGGGGGAGGTGGGGGTAGGGGGCACAGAACACCAGAAAGAGTGTTGGTGTGTAGGTAGATTCCATATTAATGAGGAACACTGAACTAGTTGGAAATTACTGCTTTCTCTAGAAATATAAAGCAAAGCACTATTCCAAGGCTATGGAGTAGCTCTACAGCCTGGCCTCAACTCTAAAAGTGTGAAGAATGCAATGGGCAGAGACCTACCTGCAGTGGACTGTCATTTTCCTTTCTTTCTCTGAATTACTGCTTTTTCTGTGGGCATTAACTATATTGCTACAGCATCTAGTGTACTGAGCCTGCGGTGCATGGCTCAGGCCTTTTCCCATCGACGTCTAGGGGGACTCTGGACCGTGTGAAGCTAGGGGGTGTTTCTCAGCACACTGCAGAAGGGCAGCTCAGAAGAATGCAGGGCCCATTCAGCATGGGGATCCCAGCACATCACTGTAGAATTTGAGTGATCTATGCTGAATAAACAGTGGAATGTGACCAGTCAAGTAGAAATCTTGAGTAATCAGATGGAATGCAATCTTTCTAACATTAAGCTACCAAGATCCTGAATGTCAGAGATGTACTCAGAGGGTTAACAGACAAGCACAAGGCATGCTGACTACATTGGTGTATCCAGATTGCTTTGCTTTTAGCCAGTGCTTTCTAATTTTTTTCTCGACATTCTTGGGATAGTTCAAGTTTGAAATAATTAAGTGGTGGTGTTCTTTAAGGAATTTCTATAACCAAATTGATCTTATTTTTGATTTCACTTATCATAGAACAAATATGTATCATTATGGCAGTGTATCTATGTAATTATCAATTTAATCATCACCACCGGTGTTTCCATATTTTTTCCCAAGTATTTAATATAGCTCTCTTATGGTGGTGGCCTGGTGATGGGGACCGTCTTTCTTTTACTGACACATGACCAATCATATGGTATTTTCAAGGGAATTTTAAGATTCATCTTTTCAGTTTGATAGTAGACTAGTTAAGGAAGAACTCTTTCATTACTTGCATCGTGTAAATCATCTCTGTAGACATGTGTTCATATTAATGAACACATTTTTTCTCAACATTGTAGCAGAAATCATTTTATTCGTCATGATCAATGAATATGTGATTTGCTCCAGATCGTTAGAAGGAAAAGTAAGATTTCAGTCATCAAAAATGTTTTTACCGTAGCCCTCATCTAACTTACACGTGGTGCATATTAAAATAAGCAGAGAAAAAAAAATGTGAATAAACTACTGAAAACACTTGGTGTTTTGTGTTCAATGAGACCTTCCTGCAACCTGCTCCCCATGGGTGGCAGTTAACAGGCCCATCAGATATTGTTGAAAGAAAGCAATATATCCATGAATGAAGGCTAAAATTGCAATCCTTTACCCTTTGAGGCATATTTCAGTTGAAAACAAAAAGAAAAGAAAATTTGGCTTAGAGGGTCACAGAGCTCCCATATGACCAAGTCTCAAGCACATTAAATCATGGTTGTTTACTGGCCAAGGGCGTCCACTAGACAACTCTATCCCTTGCGCTGAAGCTCAATCGTGCTGAGGGAGAGCTTTCTTAATATTACTGTGTTGCTCTTAGCCCTTCTCTGGGTTAGGATCTGTCAGCATTTCTATGATAAACTCCTATTCTCAAAGGTTTTTAATTTGACCATAAAAATGTGCCCCAGGCTGAAGTTTGCTATACAGGGCTGTACCAAAGAGTGAAGGTTTACTTCCTTCTCTTTCCAACTTCTTCCCCATTCTCCAAGGAAAAGAACAACAAAAAAATCTGGTATGGTCCCTCCTTAATAGTGATTTCAGAATTTTGGAAAGCACCAAGATCCAAGATGGTAGTTTTAATGTAGTTACTCATTCGCACACATTTTTTAAATTTAATGGGTCACCTGGCATATATTGTAGATAACATATCTTTTCTATAATTTGTAAGTCAATAATTTTTTTAACTGCTACATGATATTTTTTTTTGCCCAAAGATTTTAAAAGACTTGAAGTTGGTCAGTTCAAAACTCAGATTTTTCTACACATTGTCTGCCATGTCCATTAGGAGTTTGGGGAAAATACTCTCACACAGACCCTTACTTTGCATGCAGTTTAGAGGGTAAGATACGTGCTTCTTTTGGGGATAAAGATTTCCTTACTTAATTGTCAAATTTCATGGAGCCATTCTAGTCTGTTGGGGAAAATAGTGATTAAAAGCACTTCCAAAATTAACATTTTTTGACAATTCAGATATGAAAAGAAGCAGGGGAAAATAATACACTTTACTCTTTTCTTGCTTAAAGGCAAACAAATCAATGAAACTTGAGGACACACTAAACATTTGATAACTGCAAATGTGCTTTAAAAATTGGTTCAATGGTGCTTACACATGAAACGGTAACAAATGGGGTTCCTAGGACGTCAGAAGGAATCTTTAGTTTGTATGTAATTACACACTAGAGGAGGAGGTGCTTTTAAGCCAGTCTTTTATTTTTAATCATCTCAAATATGCAACCATACATGCAGTAACATTAAGGGTCGTAAACTGGTGGGAAACAGGAACTTCAGTGGAGAGGCTTAAATGCCTCTGGTTAGAGTGGGGGTTTTTGTTTGTTTGTTTATTGTTGGGTTTCAACACTGAGCATCATTTCTGTGATCAAGTTTCTAACTGGCATGTGTTTTGATCATGAGGTTTACCATATCTTGCCCATACAGACAAATGAGAGATCTAGTTTCATTTTGTTCCCTAAAGAAAGAACACTCTCTAAAATTAAATCATACCTGTAAATTTCTTCAGCATTTGTTTCTGTTCAATGAAATTGAGACCCTTAATGTTGCTTTAATGTAAAATTGAATATTTTGTCTGTGATATACTTTAATAATTTAAAGTAAGTAATAGTTCTAAAGTCTTCACTGTTGCTACTAAGAGAAAATAGAATTTTAAAGGTGATGATAAAGATGCTATAATGTCAGTTCACTCCAGTCCAATCAAATGTAGTAAGAAAAAGTCCTTGAATAGTTCTCTAGGGACAATTTCTCACTTGCCATTGACATTAATCTTTGGTGTATTCTCAGAAAAAATAAAAAGAAATTGAAACTGGTCCAAGGTTATAGTCATATCCTCGATAACTTTTGAAAAAAAATTTTATTAGGAAATTAATACTAGCCTTTTTCATTCTGGCTGAAAGAAAATTATTAAAGGATTAGTTGAGTGTGAAATTCAACAGTATTTTGCTCATACATACTAAAAAGGTGCGTAGGGACTTGGCGCATTTAAACAAGTTTCTGAAAGGTTTCAATTTGACTCAAGAAAAAAATTCAATATTTCTTTTGAAAATACTGAATTTATCACTTGCTGCATGGATCAGATGGCATAGGTTAATCTTTGATTTTCAGAATCCTAATGAAATAACTTTCAAACAATTTGTGTCCTTAATTAAAGGTGGAATGAGATCCAATTTTTCCCCCTAATCCTTCAGTTTAAGCTGATACATGTAGGTTAATGTGGAATGAAATCATCTGTGATATATTATGTTCATTTATCAACTGAGCTTTTTTGATGTTGCCTGTTTTTATGTAAAACATGTTCTTAAAGTTAATAAAATAATAGTACTTGGTGTATGAACTACTACATAATACCTTAGCTGAAGGGTACGCTCCTCAGTTCATTTGCCATATTGGAGTAAAATTTCACCTTAGTTCAATTCACAATTGACACATTCAGTTCACGAAGGAATAGCCCAGCTGTGTTCTTAGGGGGAATTCTCTCTATGCAAGGCTTTAAAAATTAGTCATGCGGTCAGAGTGTAGCTTTCCCACATGTCCTCCATAGCACAGTGTGTATTTCATGAGCATAATTCAAAAACAGCTATTTCAAAAATGTCCCTTGTCATATATTACGTTCCTGCCTGGGCCACTGACTTGGATAAATACAAATAAACCAAATACCATTCAGCCCTATTTTATCCTTCAACCTACGTGCACAGGCTCTCCAGAGAAGGGTGTTGTTTTATCCACTAACCTGTAATTAGCTGCCACTTTTGTAGCAATTTCCCATTAGGCATTCCATGTGTAATATTGGCCTTAGAGAAAATTGCAAAACTGTACAATGGATTTAAGTTCTTTCCTGTCGAGCTTTTCAATGCTAGGAGATTGAAAAGTCAGCCAGCAAAAGTGACTGCAGGTTCCCTGGTGTCCTATGAAGGTGCCAGAATATCTCCAAGTGCCTGTAAAATTAGCAGTCACCTTCCCTGCCATCCACAGGCTGCTGCTGCAGCTGCTGTTCTCCCTTTTGCTGTACTGTACTGTCGTGAAGTCACTGGGTCCTTTCTAGACTCTCTGGCAACTGCTGGGAAACAATAGCTAAAGTGATTACTTCCTAAAGACCATTACCTTGTTTTACGAGGCTGGCAGCTCTGCCAAAAACCTGCCATCGAAAACCTGGGCCTTGGCGTGAAAGCCTCAAGCACAAGTCTGGGATTGGAAATGATAAAACTGCCACATATGGGAATTGGGAAAGAAGGACCTTCCACAACTCCTGGCCATTTGGATGGGTAGTGGGCAAGGTGGCACTCATGTACAGGGAAGGCAGACCTGGAAATGGAAGTAACTGGGTAACAAATACAAAACAGGTGTAGGAGCATCCTGGAAATGTTCTTATAACATCTCCTAAATGGAAGAAAAGCTGTGCTCTTCCTTAGAAGGTAGCCTGCCCCCCACCCCCCACGCCCCCCACCAAGCTCCAGGAGGAGCACCAGGGGAAGACAAGAAGCCACACCCAGCCAGCTGGACCGACCAAATCCATGCTGGCCATCAGCACAGTGACAGATGTCCCAGCCAGCTTGCCTGCACTTCCAAATCATTCATTTAAATGTTTCTTGAGTGAGTGCCAACAACATGGAAGGCCCTTCATTTGAGCCTAGAAAAGAGAAACTTCATTCTCTATGTTTATTTTCACTATGGATCAGAAGACTTTAAAGACAAGAAAATACATCTCAAGCTGGAAAGTTTGCCATTTATTCTGAGACTCTTAGTCCAGGGTTCAGCTGATGTACACACCCACATGTAGCAAGACATTGCATGTATGGCATCTTCCAGTCTCTAACTTGAGGATGTGTGTCTACCATCTGCCTGTTCAATGGTACATGCACCCCATGGTACTCTTGGCTTGACTCCTGGGATCTGAGCTGGAAGGCTTTCCTGAGTCCTCTCTGCCATCTTTAATTACTGTGAGATTTTACCTCTTGTCATGCACTAATATTGCACGATGTCCATTAACCCAGCAAGCGTTAAAAGGACCTACGACGGGTGATGTACTGTGGAGGCTGAGATAAACTAGCACAATTCCTGTTCTTAAGAACTTCCATCTAGTGAGAAATCTTTTACCCTGGATGTTCACAGGGTGGGGTGACTGATTTATCACTCACAGATGACAGAACACCAGTTTGTCAGGGGCACAGCATCACTACCAGCCTGAGACTGGCTCTCAGCATGTGGAGACCGTGCAGGCTGCTTGCAAGCCAGCCATCAGTCACATGCAAATACACTTGTGGCCCACTCTATTACAACAATTCAAATGTCACCCTTAGTAAACCCCTAGAAGGAAAAAGAAAGAGAGAGAGGAAAGAAAAAGAAAGAAAGAGAAAGAAGGAAGGGGGAAGGAAGGAAGGAAGGAAGGAAGGAGAGAAAAAGAAAGAAAGAAGAAAGAAAAAGAAAGAAGAAATAAAAAGAAAGAAAGAAAAGAAAAAGAAGAAAGAAAGAGAAAGAAAAAGAGAAATAAAGAGAAAGAAAGAAAAAGAAAGAAAGAAGGAAGGAAAGGAAGAAAAAAAGAAAGAGGGAGGAAGGAAAGAGAAAGAAAGAGCGAGAAGCCAAGGAGGGAGGGAGGAAGAGAGCAAAGGAGGAAAGGAAGAAATAAAGGCTGAAGAGACCGAAGTTTCCACAGTCTTAAAACTGAGGTATCATTTGTAAAGTTTAAAAGGAAAGGAAATATCAATGTCTCCCAAAGTGTGTTCCTCAAAACTGGTCCTGGGAGATGCTATGTGGGAATCGTGGAACACATTTTGGTATGAGTTTGACATGGGTCTTGGTCTCCTCCACATTTTCCATCCAGGAGCACAGTCCCCCTGTGACAGGGTAAGTGTATTATTATCATAAGATGTCATCAATGGCTCCATCCGTGCATTCTTGTTGGAAGCAGGAGGTGGAGCCTTTCCCAAGAATCTTCTAATTTTCACACATCATTGTCCATTCTTTCCTGGACTTTCAAAATCCTCTTGGAGAACCTATTCTCCACCACCTGGAAGGACATACCCTGAACCTGTACTACTAAAAGGAATTTTAGCCTGGGGAAGCCCTCTCCGACACACCCCGCAACGCCCTCCCCACCATCTGTCACGTAGGCGAGTCTTCTGCTCCCACCTCCAGCAAGTTCCTATCATATGCCCCGATCCCTCTGCTGGATCTGGGGCCACACAACAAAAGTCCTAACCACTGCCGCTCCCACACTCACAGGCCTGTGTGAGAAAGAAGTAGAGAGTTGCCGTCCAGCATGACCAGGGTCGTGAAGGAGGAACGCCCAAGACAGACACGTGGGATCACTTTGAAAAGTCATCTAACTGCCATGGGCAATCAGAGGCTTTCTGAAGAAAGTGTCCCTAAGAGAGGGCCTGAGAGATTAGCAGGAATTAGCCAAGAGAAAGAGGAGGAAGATATTCCAAGCCATGGGAACAATCGGTGCAAACACAGAGAACACAGAGGCGCTCAGAATCGGCGAGATGGAGGCTTCAAGTCAGCCCTAACGAGGCCAGGGTAGAGCCCAGGGAACTGGCCCGTCTCCTTGCTGTGCAAATGTGCTCAGGATGGGGTAGGCAGCTGTAAAAATGAAACGGTGCCGAATGCCAGGTCCCAGAGCTAGCTAAGGAGGAAGCAGGGCTGGGAGGATGGCTCTTGAGGGAGCATTAGAGACCTCAGGCCCTTCTGAAATACTGTGGATTCCAATTGCTCCTTCACAGCAATAGCAGAGGGCCACCTCCTTGTGCAAACAGAGGAGCTAGCCATGGGTTAATCCTTTCCTAATGCATAGAACCTCCTGCTCACAAAGCTTATTAGCTCGCCACTCACGGGGAAAACCTTGTTCTCTCCTATGTTGTTCTGAGACGAGAGAGACAGAGAGGAGAGAGAAATCCACTGACCCTGAAAATATTTCTCTCCCTCCTTCTTCCTGGACAAATCCACATTGTCACCTTTCCCTTACAGCAGGGCGATAATTTATGGTCCACCCGAGACAGGTTTTGTTATTCCATCAGAATTACCTATTAATTTGCTGGATTCCTCTGATTAAGCAGTGAACTTGTCAGCGTGGCTGGCTCATCGTTCAGAATATGAAATATCCTTTCATTTTCAACAAGTAAATCCAAGTCCAAACCAACCCAGACGTTTGCAATTTCTTCTCTTGACATGGTGTCCTCTCTTCCTACTGTCTCAGGTGTTCCATTTTTAAATAACATTTTCTAAGTTCTCTGCTATCTTTCTGAGCAAGCCTTTTTTTTTTTTTTTTTTTTTTTTTTTTGCTTCATGAGAAGCTCCTATTGTTTCTTCTTTATAGAGGAAGGTAACAGTTCACTTTGGTTTCTTAAATTGGAAAACTGAAAATGTTCTGCTCAGGATGGAAGGGAAGCCTCATCCTAACATATTTGTCTGCTGATTTGCTCAAAGGACTTCTGCCTTGTGGTTTTGTGGCTTCTCCTGAAATGCCCACACTTCAATATGCTTTTCTGCAAAAATCTTGCTGAGAGGTATTGTGTGGCTTAATCCTGTCGCCTCTCAGAGTCTTCTTACAACAGAGCATTCCTCTCTCAATATGTTTCATCAGAAGAAAACCTGATGAAAACCCAGCAAGGGGAGAGAAACAAGGAGCACCTATGTAACCTGAGTCTCCCCAATGCCCACAGATGGCTTCAGAAGGGTGGGGACAGCCGAGAACTCTGGCCCTGGATGATCCAGCTGCCAGAGAGATGTCTGTTCACTGTTGGGCTTTAGCTGTCTTCAGGATCGGTGGATCAGAGCTTCTATGGCCCCTCCTAAAACCAGAGTCCAGGGACAGTGGCTGCCCTTGCACCTAAGTGATCACTCCCATTAGTCACACTCAGGATTGTCCAACTCAGCTCTGTCCCCAATCTGTCAGCAGGGCTTGCTCTAATGGATAGGAACTTTCCAGGCAAAAGAGAGGCCAGGGTCTCACGGGGCCAAGCCAGGCTCTAACTGCTGGCACCTGCCTCCTCCCAGCGCATAGTTCCACTCAGTTGTGTTTTAGCAAAAACAGCCAGGTAAACCACTGGCAGTCCAAGTTCAGTCCCTGGCCTTAACCTGCTGTCCTCCCCAGAGGCACATCCACTGCTTGAAATCCATGTGGCTTCTCCACCATAAGCACTCATGGTCTCACCTCCCCTTAATGTGGCCCTAAATCCAAACTGGCCTCTGGGCAAACTCTGGCCTTGGCCACCTCTGTGCCTCGGCCACCTCTGTGCCTCTTCAAGTCTGGAATTTGGGGATGATCCTCAAAGTGAACTTTCGCAGGAGGGACCACAGGCCCCTATGAGAGGACCAGACACCATCTGGAGGAAGTCAGAGCACAGCTGGCAGGCGGGCTATTTGCTGTTCACTGTCCTGCAGTTCCCAAGGATGCCTGGGAGAAGCTTTGGAGCTCAGACCCTGCACCGCAGCTACTCCTGTGTTTCCAAATTTCCCACCGCACAGCAGCAGCTCACGGTGCCATTGCTAGAGTTTCCAGTAAAGTCACTACCTTGTTATCCTGAAAGTACACGTGTATGTATGTGTGTGTGTATGTGTGTGTGTGTAGGCGTGTAGGGGTATATGTGCGTATAGGTGTGTATGAGTGTAGGTGTGTATGTATGAGTAGGTGTGTATGAGTGCAGGTGTGTAGGAGTGTGTGTATAGGTGTGTATGAGTGTATGTGTGTGTAGGTGTAGGTGTGTATGTGTGTAGGCGTGTGTATAGGTGTGTAGGGGTGTATGTATGAGTCTAGGTATGTATGTGTGTAAGTGTGTATGTGTGCATGTGTAGGTGTGTAAAAGTATGTGTATATAGGTGTGTATGAGTGTAGGTGTGTATGTATGTGTGTAGGTGTGTATGTGTGTAGGTGTGTATATAGGTGTGTATGCATATATGTGTGCAGGTTTGTGTGTAGGTATGTATGTTATAGGTGTGTATGTGTGTAGGTGTGTTTGTGTATAGGTATGTGAGTCATGTAGGTGTGTATAGGTGTGTATGTGTAGGTGTGTTTGTGTATAGGTATGTGAGTCATGTAGGTGTGTATAGGTGTGTATGTGTAGGTGTGTATGTGTGTATAGGTGTGTATGTGTAAGTGTGTGTAGGTGTGTATGTGTGTATAGGTGTGTATGTGTAGGTGTGTGTAGGTGTTTATGTGTGTATAGGTGTGTATGCGTAGGTGTGTGTAGGTGTGTATAGGTGTGTATGTGTAGGTGTGTGTAGGTGTGTATGTGTGTATAGGTGTGTATGGGTGTAGGTGTGCATGTGTAGGTGTGTGTGTAGGTGTGTAGGTATGTATGAGTGCAGGTATAGGTATGTGTGTGTGTAGGGGTGTATGTGTGCATAGGTATGTGTGAGTGTAGGTATGTGTGTGTAGGTATGTGTGTAGGGGTGTGTGTATGGGTGCGTATGAGTGTAGGTGTGTGTAGGTGTGTAGGTAAGGATTGTGTATAGGTGTGTATGTGTGTGATGTGTATGTGTATAGGTGTGTAGGTGTGTAGGGGGTATGTATAGGTGTGTATGAGTGTAGGTGTGTATGAGTGTGGGTGTGTGTAGGTGTGTATTAGTGTAGGTGTGTAGGTGTGTAGAGTGTGTGTAGGTGTGTGTAGCTGTGTATGAGTGTAGGTGTGAATGAATGTAGGTGTGTGTATGTATGAATGTAGGTGTGTATGTATGTGTGTGTAGGTGTGTGTATGAGTGTAGGTGTGTATATGTGGTGTGTGTGTGGGTGTGTATGTATGTGTGTGTGTAGCTGTGGGTATGAGTGTAGGTGTGAATGTATGTAGGTGTGTATGTGTGTATAGGTGTGTATGAGTGTAGTTGTGTATGTATGTGTGTGTAGGTATGGGTGAGTGTAGGTGTGTATGTGTGTGTAGTTGTGGGTGAGTGTAGGTGTGTATGTGTAGTTGTGGGTGACTGTAGGTGTGTATGTGTGTGTGTAGGTGTGTATGAGTGTAGGTGTGTGTGTAGGTATAGGTGTCTATGTGTGTAGGGTTGTATGTGTGTATGAGTGTAGGTATGTATGTGTGTAGGTGTGTATGTGTAGGTGTGTAGGTGTGTATATATAGGTGTGTATGCATATATGTGTGCAGGTTTGTATGTGTGTAGATATGTATGTGTGTTATAGGTGTGTATGTGTGTAGGTGTGTGTGTATGTGTATAGGTATGAGTTGTATGTAGGTGTGTATAGATGTGTATGTGTAGGTGTGTGTATGTGTGTATGTGTAGGTGTGTGTAGGTGTGTATAGGTGTGTATGGGTGTAGGTGTGCATGTGTGTAGGTGTGTGTAGATATGTGTGTGTAGGTGTGCAGTGTGTGTAGGTATGTATGAGTGTAGGTGTAGGTATGTGTGTATGTGTGTGTGTAGGGGTGTATGTGTATAGGTATGTGTGAGTGTGGGTATGTGTGTAGGTGTGTATGTGTGTAGGGAGTGTGTGTATAGGTGTGTATGAGTGTAGGTGTGTGTAGATGTCTAGTATGTAGGGAGTGTGTATAGGTGTGTATGTGTGTGGTGTGCAGGTGTGTATAGGTGTGTATGAGTGTAGGTGTGTATGTGTGTGGGTGTGTGTAGGTGTGTATTGGTGTAGGTGTGTAGGCGTGTAGTGTGTGTAGGTGTGTACGAGTAGGTGTGTATGTGTGTAGGTGTATGTGTAGGTGTGTGTAGCTGTGTGTATGAGTGTAGGTGTGTATGAATGTAGGTGTGTATGAGTGTAGGTGTGTATGTGTGTGTAGTGTGTGTATGAGTGTAGGTGTGTATATGTGGTGTGTGTGTGGGTGTGTATGTATGTGTGTGTGTAGCTGTGGGTATAAGTGTAGGTGTGAATGTATGTAGGTGTGTATGTGTATAGGTGTGTATGAGTAGGAGTGTGTGTAGGTGTGTATGTATGTGTGTGTAGGTGTGTGTGTAGGTGTGGGTGAGTGTAGGTGTGTATGTCTGTGTGTGTAGGTGTGTATGTATGTGTGTGTGCTGTGCACAGGTGTGTGTGTGCGCGCATATGTGTGTTGGTGTAAGCCAGCATCATCACACCCCGCAGCCAGCCCGCCAGTGTGGGCAGCCTCCCCGTTCCTCGGCGTCTGCCATCTTCTGTCCTCATAACCATCACCCTATCCCACAGTGTCAGTCTTAATGGTTGGCTGTAACTTGGGACCTCCTTCCCGGCCAGCACTGGCCTCCTAGAGCTCTATTTACTCTCCTCTATTGCCTTCCACTTCATCATTCCACACAAACAGGGAGGCAGCTGCGGTAACTTTATATTTGAGTAGTCAGCCTCCAAAGTCCTGCTGTAAATCAGGAAGGCACGGTCTGGCACTTGGAGAATGAGGCGTTCCTTTCTTCAATAAAAGTTACGATATTTTCTAGTTGAAGCGGGGAGTTTCTTGTCTCCCAGCCTTCCCCCAAATGCTGATGCCATTCAGAGATATCTGATGTGAAAGGCTGCCTGCTGGCTATCGGCATCTTAAAAATGTTTACGTGTGAAATCACCAGACCATTATCTTTCTCCCACACGAGGCCCAGCTTTAACAATCAGCCAGTTGCCCTCTGATATTGACTTTCTTTCTTCCTGCTGGTTTGGCTGACAGTAAATGCCTGCTGGGAAGGCTTTCGCCCGCCTCTGGAGAGCAGAGACCCTGCTGCACCCCTTATCCGTTGATATGGATACATCAATGGGGTCATGGGAGCGAAAGGACCACATCTGTAAGTATAAGCAGAGACTCCATTTGTGCAGAAGATGAAAAATTCTGAGGGCAAGAGTTTGAAATTCCCCTTCTTTTGGGAAGCCCTAGATAGTCCTTCATTTGGTTTCAGCCACACCTGCAAGCCAAGTATAAACTAGGGCTTCTGACAAAGAGAATTTGGAAGCTCGCAAATCATAACTAATTCAGTCCAACGTGGTCCTCCTTGCAGCTAGCCACCTGAGCAGAGACCTCCTCACAGAGATCAAGCGGCTGGCCATAAACATTCTCTAGGGACGCCAAGCTAAGACCGCAGGTCACCAATGAGGATACAAGTGAGAATATCATTGGTGCTTTGATACCACCAAGGGACATGCTCACAATTTGCACAGCCTCAGGAGTCTAAACAGTGTGATGTATCTGCTTAGAGCATCAAGTTCAAAGTCTTGTATGACAGGAAACATGGCGGAGGAGAACATCGTGGGGACTTGTATGTTATACTAAATAATGAAGAGGGTTGTAGGCAAGGCATGACATGCTCAGATGGATATTTTGAAAAGATGACTCTGTGAAGAAAATGGAAGGCTGTTCGAAAGGAGACAAGCCTGGCAAGTTGAAAACCAGTTAGGAGACTTTTGTAATATTTTGGGAAGAGATAGTGACATCCTAAAGTGGACAGTGGAAATAGAGATGAAGAAGAGGAAATGCACCAAGGAAATATTTAAGAGGCCAAATCAATCAGTACAAATTAATAATTTTACTTGGGTGATATGGTGGGTATGGTATGACCAGCAGAGGTGGGAAGGGAAGGGTGCACCATGTTTATATGTGTGTATGTGTTGGGGTAGGGGGAATTGGCTTTGAGTATGTTGAGTTTAGGTGCTTGTGGAGCCTCAGGGAGGAGAGAGTCGGTAGGAACAAGTCTGGGCTGGACACAGTGATTTAGGGAATAAGTGCAACAGTGGTGGTTGAGAAAGAGTGGATGCCATTACCCAAGGAGACATGAACGTGAGTAGAGAAGGAGGCTGAGGAAGGAACCCTGGATGCCCCTGGCAGAGAAAGAGACCCTGAAGGATACGAAGATGTCATACACACAAATGACAGTGAATCAGAATTGGGGTCTCAGGAGCTGAGGGAAGAGACAATTTCAAGGAGGGCATGATTAGTAGTGTTAAGTGCAGCTGAGTGATTTTGATAAGAAGTGGAGGGTTGTGGGAATAAATGAAGACCAACTAAATGAGAAAGGCAAAGGCTATTTCTTCCGAGTTTGCTGTAGTAAGGGAGTCAGCCACCATCACTTGCGTTTTGGCAGAGACTCAGAGACAGGCAGAGGATGGGAAACGCCTTAGAGTAGAAAAAATGGAAGGCTTGGGTGCACCCTGATTGGTGACTTTTGGCATGAGGAAGCTGTAGGCAGGCTAATCAGAAGTGGGGCATCCTGTATGATTGGTTGGAGCATGTTTGGCTTTCTCTGGTTGGCTCTAAGTTGAGAGCAGGAGAAAAAAATTGGGAAGATGCCAATTGCCAATTATTTCAGTCATTAATTAAGTCCTGGCCATTTGTGGCCAGTAGGTATAAAAGTTATTTCACTGGATTGTCACTAAAGATAGCTATCTGGCTTCCTGCAAGTCTGACTTATATAGCAAGCTGGCTTCCTAGACTGTTTTTTTGTAAATAAGGGGTTGATTTCCTGGGCATGTTGCTGCAGGTTGTGGATCAAAGTTCTATTTTTATATATGGTCTGGATATTGTCCTTTTGTATATTCAGTCTCTGGGGGTGCACTAGATTTGGCTTCTGGGCTCATTATTGAAGGCAGTTTCAGCGATGCCAAGAGAATGGGGAGTAGAGGAGTGAACAGGAGTTAAACAGATGCAGACAGAGCATGTGCTGTCTGCCCTTTCAAAGACAGTTTGTTAAGAAGAGGAGTAAAGGAATAAGGTTCCAAGAAATGTTTTGCTTTTAGCCCTTTTCCCATTTTCCCTGAGAATATTCACGGGCAGCACTTGTGGCTGCAGCATTTACCACGAGATAACTTTGCCATGAAATCTCACTTTATTATTATTTTTGCATCTCTCTGGTATATCAACTTTGGAAACAAAAGACATCATCCTATCTATAGCATTCTGTTTCCAGTAGTGGTATTTCCATTTACAAAATATAGTAATTCTCGATCACTGAAAATGTCAAATCCTAGAAAACATAGCATATCTACACATGCTGTTCACATCATTCTCGAACAGTTGTTGGCCAAAGATTCATTTGACGAATCTGATTTTTCTGAAATACGTGTTTCTGATGATTCAGGCAGTTCTCATGTCAGTTCTGTGTAGCAATAACTCCAAGAACAATTTTTATGTTTTGTTTTCACCTTAAAAATCAGTCCAATTTGCTTCAGCCTCAAAGGGCATGTTTATTATAAAATTAAATGAGTGCTGGCAGCGAGTTGCACTTTTTTTTCTAAATGCAAAAAGGGTTAAAAGAAGAATAAACCTAGCCTTTATTACTAGGCAGAGAAAAAACCTGTGAAAAAGGCTGAAAATGTAAGACTACCCATTAGACATCTTCCGCAGGGTGTCTCCTAGGAGCCTCAAATTCATCGAGTCTCAAACTGAGCGCAGTCTCTCTTGCCACAAAGCTGTTCTGTCTCTACGTACCCTGGATTCATTGGTGTACTTCCCTCCATCCCAGCAGCCACTGTAAACCTCCCAACAGGTTCTTTTTGCCTGCTGCATAGACCAAACTGATTTATCAAGATATCAAGGTAGGGCAATTACAATAGAGTTTAATTCAGTCAGACCCAGCTGTACCAGAAACTGGAGTTTTGTTATTACTCAAACCAGTCTCCTTGAAAATTCTGGGATTTGGGTTTTTAAGGATAATTTGGTGGGTAGGGGTTTGAGAAGTGGGGAGTGCTGATTGGTCGGGTTGGAGACGAAACCATAGGGAGTCGAAGCTGCCCTCTTGAGCTGAGTCAGTTCCTGGGTGGGGACCAGAAGATCAGATGAGTCGGTTTATTGATCTGGGTGACACTAGCTGATCTATTGAGTGCAAGGCCTGAAAAAATAACTCAAGCCCCAATCTTAGGTTTTCCAATAGTGATGTTATCCCTAGGAACAACTGGGGAGGTTTAGAACTTTGTGGCCTCTAGCTGCATGACTCCTAAACCATAATTTCTAATCTTGTGGCAAATTTGTTAGTCCTACAAAAGCAGTCTAGTTCCCAGCCAAGAAGGGGGTTTATTTGGGGAAAGGGTGTTATAATCTTGGCAAAGGCAGTTTCACCACCTCACAGAGTCACTAAGTTCTATCTGTCCTACCTTCTAATCATGATCACTTCCACTCTACGCTTCAGCCTCACTGGGACTACTTTGGCTGGGTGCTCATTCTTTCTCAACTGCGCTATTGTGACAGGTGTCAAACGGGTCTGTTTCCAACCTGTGCCCATCTTGTCTCAAAACAGTTCACTGAGCTTTCTTGTTTAAACTTAAATAATCTATTTTCTGCTTACATTCTTTCAATGAAGCCCAAGGGATAAATTGCAAACATCTTAGTATGGCATTTGTTCATTCATTCATTCAACAAATATGAAACACCCACAATGCGCCAAGCATCTTGCTATGGGCTGAGTACGCAACAGAGAATCAAATAAATCCTCCTACCTTCTGAAGTTTGTAATCTAGAGGTAGATAAACATTAATCAAATAAGGGCACAAATAAAAGTTCAGCTATGAGAAGTATTAAAAAGGAGAAATAAGGGTACTACGAGAGGGTGTGATGGAAATTTAGTGGAGATAGGGAGCTCAGGAAAGTCTTCTAAGACGAGGTGAGCCTTGAGCTGAGATTAGAAGGATGAGTAGGAGTTAACTAGACAAAGAAGAAAGAAAAGAGTATCTGGGGGACAACTTGTGCAAAGCTTTGGTGGTGAAAGGGAGTGGGGCCAGCGCAAGGGACTGACATCCGGCCAGTGTGGAGAAAGCATGGTGTGGGAAACCCTAGAGGAAGGCAGGCTAGGTCGGCCTCACAGGCTGAGCAGTGGTTTACCTTTATCCCTTAAGTAATCAGAAGTTACTGAAGGAAATCAAACTATACCCCATAATATAATTTTTGTACATATTTTGAGATGGCTGCCACAGGGAGAATAATCTGAAGTGGCCCTTCAAAACCATCTATTGTGGGGGAAATTTGCATCTGTAGAGAATCTCCATTAACGCAGCCAGGCCTTCCCTTGTCCAGATCTAGGACAGATTAACTGAGTCTGACACTTCTAAAGATCCAAAAGAAACATTTACCATATATTCCCTCTGAGAGCTGCTACCTGTGAGGTTTCATCTGCATAACAAGACCACCTTTTCTAGCCAAGCCTCCTCTTCGCCCCCTCCCATAACCAGCCTTGCCACTACATGATTTACCACCATAACCTGTTTTTGGTTATGCTCTGAGCTCACCTTCTTTCTGTAATCTCAAGATGGTATATAAGTCTCTGCATCCCAGTGGGGGGCCGGGTCTTCATTCTGAAGGCTCCTGTGTATGCACATTAAATAAATCTGTATGCTTTTTCTCCTATTAATCAACCTGTCTCATGTTGGTGAATTTCAGCAAACCTTCAGGGGGCCAAGCGTCCTGGTCCCTACATCACTGTTAGGTTTTAAGCAGGAGGTAGAGATGGTGATGTGATCAGATATTCATTTCAAAAACATCATGCTGGCTGCAGTCTGGAGAGTTAAGGGTATAGACCAAAAATAAAATTATAAGCCCCACAACAATCTGAAAGGAGCCATCCTCTCTTCCAAGAGCGTTCCAAAGTTAACTTGGAAAACTAGCTCAGACCATGATGGGAAGGAGGAGTCAGACATGCCTCATTACCATTAACATCAGCACAGACCTGAAGACTGATAGAATAGACTCTTTAAGTCTGATAAGAAACATTTACAATCTACTCTCTCTGAAGCCTGCTACCTGGAAGCTTCACCTGCATGAATAACCTTGGTCTCCACAACCCCTTATCATAACCCAGACATTCCTTTCTACTGATTCCAGGTGTTTAGATAATAACTCAACCAATTACCAATCAGAAAATATTTGAATCTGCCTGTGAACTGGAAGCTCCTGCTTTCAGTTGTCCTGCCTTTCCACATGGAACCAGTATAAATGTTACATGTATGGATTGATGTCTTAGGTCTCTCTAAAATGTATAAAGCCCAGTTGTAGCCACATCACCTTGGGCACATGTTGTCAGGACCTCCTAAGTCTGTGTCACAGGCATGTTCCTAAACTTGGCAAAATAAACCTCTAAATTGATTGAGACTTGTCTCACATACATTTTGGTTTACAAGGTCATGGAGCCAAGAAGACAGACATAGAAAGTGGTACAGGTAGGAGATGGGAGTAGATAAACTCAGTAGTGGTCCTGGAAATGGAGAAAACAAATATTAAAGAGCTATCCTTAACAGGACTTGAACATAAAAGATTTGAGCACAAGAGATCACAGCTGATTCACTTTCCTGTGCACAAAAGTGAATAATGCTCCCATTCCCTGAGGCAGGGAAGTCTGGAAGAAGATCAGTTGGAGGAGTGGGGGTAGATGCTAAATTAATTTTAGACATGTTCTTTTTTAGGTAACTTTGAAACATCCAAGAGACCTCAAGGATGCAGTAAGTATACACAAGTTTGGAGCCCAGAGGAGATATAAAAGTCTAAGTCATCTACAAAAAATAACTGATAAATGTAGAATAAGAGGAACTTGTAGTGATTAGGCAGAGGAAAAAAAAGCAAAGAGATCATAACAGAGAACTTTCCAAACCTAGAGAGAGGTATCAATATTTAAGTACAATAAGTTTATAGAACACAAATCAGATTTAACCCAAACGAAACTACCTCAAGACATTTAATGATCAAACACCCGAAAGTCAAGGATGAAGAAAAGATCCTAAAAAGCAGCAAGAGAAAAGAAACAAGTAGCATATAAAGGAGCTCAAATACATCTGGCAGGAGACTTCTCAGTGGAAACCTTAAAGGCCACGAGAGAGTGGCATGACATATTTAAAGTGCTGAAGAAAAAAAAACTCTTATACTTTAATATATTCAGTGAACATATCCTTGAAACATGAAGGATAAATAAAGTCTTTCCTAGACAAACAACAGCTGAAGGATTTCATCAATACCACACCTGTTCTACAAGAAATGCTAAAGGGAATTCTTCAATCTGAAAGAAAAGAACGTTAATGAATAAGAAATCATCTGAAGATATAAAACTCACTGGTAACAGTAAGTACACACACAAATACAGCATGTTATAATTGTATTTGTGGTGTATAACCTACTCATATAATAAGTAGAAAGACTAAAAGACTAACCTATCAAAAATAGTAAGTACAACAACTTTTTAAGACATAGACAGTATAATAAGATATAAATAGAAACAACAAAAAGTTAAAAAGCAGGTGAGATAAAGTTAAAGTTTAGAGTTCTTAGTTTTCTGTTTGCTTGTTCATTTTTGCAATCAGAGTTAAGGTATCATCGGTTTAAAATAATGAGTTATAAGAAGTTATTTGCAAGCCTCATGGTAACATCAAATAAAACAGATACTGAAAAAATTAAAAAAAAGAAATTAAAACATGCCATAAGAGGAAACCACTTTCAAAGGGAGGGAGAGAGGGAGGGAGAGAGGGAAGGAGGAAGGGAGGGAAGAAAGCATAAAACAACCAGAAAACACATAATAAAATGGCAATAGTACTTATCAATAATAACGTTGAATGTAAATTGGCTAAACTTTCAATCAAAAGACACAGAATGACTGAAGGAATAAGGAAACAAGACCCAACAATCTGTTGCCTACAAGAAACACACTTTACCTATAAAGACACAAATAGACTGAAAACAAAGGAATGAAAAATATATATTCCATATAAATGGAAACCAAAAAAGAGCAGTAGCTATGGTTTTATCAGATAAAATAATATAAAAACTATAAAATCAAGACAAAAACTATCAAAAGAGACAAAGCAAGTCATTACATAATGATAAGGGGGTCAATTAAGCAATAGGATATAAAAATTGTAAATACATATGCACCAAACACTGAAACACCCAGATATATGAAGCAAATAGCATTAGAGCTAAAGAGAAAGATAGACCCTGATAAAATAATAGCAGGAGACTTTAACACCTCACTTTCAGCATTGGACAGATCATCCAAACAGAAAATCAACAAAGAAACGTAAGACTTAATCTGCACAACACCAAATGGACCTAATAGAAATTCATAGAACATTTCATCCAATGACTGCAAAGTGGTTATTCTCCTCAGCACATGGATCATTCTCAAGGATAGACCATATGTTAGGCCACAAAACAAGGCTTTAAAAATTCAAAAAAACTGAAATCATATGAAGTATCTTCTTTGACCACAGTGAAATAAAATTAGAAATCAATAACTTGAGGAACTTTGGAAACTATCTAAACACATGGAAATTAAACAATATGCTCCTGAATGACCAGTGGGTCAATAAAGAAATTAAGAACGAAATCAAAAAATTTCTAGAAACTAGTGACAATGGAAACACAACATACCAAAACCTATGAGATACAGCAAAAACGGTTGATATAGTTGGAATGTATATCCCTGCCAAATCTCATGGTGAATTGTAATTCCCAATGTTGAAGATGATGCCTGGTGGGAGGTGTTTAGATCATGGGGGCAGATCCCTCAATGAATGGCTTGGGCCATGCCCTTGGTGATAAGTGAGCTCTCTCAGTTCATGTGAGATCTGGTGGCTTAAAAGTGTGTGGCACCTTCCCCTACCACTCTCTCACTTGCTCCCATTTCTGCCATATGGTATGCTTGCTCCACCTTTGCCTTCTGCCATGAGTAAAAGCTCCTTGAGCCCTCCCCATAAGCTGAGCAGATGCCAGTTCCATGCTTGTACAGCCTGCAGAACCTCAAGCCAATTAAAACTCTCTTCTTTATAAAGTACCCAGTCTCAGGTATTTACAGCAACATAAGAACAGCCAAACACAGTGGTACTAAAAGGAAGACTTATAGCAATAAGTGCCTGCATCAACAACGTGGAAAAACTGCAAATAACCAACCTAATAATTCATCTTTAAAAACTAGGAAAGCAAGAACAAATCAAACCCCAAATTAGTACAAGAAAAGAAATAAAGATCAGAACCAAAATAAATGAAATTGAAACAAAAAAATATGAAAAATCAACAAAACAAAAAGTCGGAGTTTTAAAAAGTTAAACAAAATTGACAAACCTTTAGCCAGACTAAGAAAAAAAAGAGAGAAGACCCAAATAAACAAAATCAGAGATTTAAAAGGAGACATTACAACTGATACAGCAGAAATGCAAAGGATCATTAGAGGCTGTCATATATGTCTTTTATTGTGTTCAGATATGTTCTTTCCATATCCAGTTTTTTGAGGGTTTTATCATGAAGGGGTATTGAATTTATTTTCTTTAATTATTTATTAACATTTTGTATTTCCATAGGTTTTGGGGGAACAAGTGTTTGGTTGCATGCGTAGGTTCTTTTTATTTTTTATTTATTTCTTTTTGAGATGGAGTCTCACTCTGTCACCCAGGCTGGAGTGCAGTGACACTGCAACCTCTGCCTCCCAGATTTAAGTGATTCTCCTGCCTCAGCCTCCTGAGTAGCTAGGATTACAGGCAACCACCACCACGCCTGGCTAGTTTTTTTGTATTTTTAGTAGAAATGGTGTTTCACCATGTTGGCCAGGCTGGTTTTGAACTCCTGACCTCAAGTGATCTGCCCACCTCGTCCTCCCAAAGTGCCAGGATTACAGGCGTGAGCCACCATGCCTGGCCGAGTAAGTTCTTTAGTGGTGATTTGTGAGATTTTGGTGCACCCGCCACCCAAGTAGTATACACTGAACCCAATTTGTAGTCCTTTATCCCTCACCCACTTCTCACCCTTTCCCCCGAGTCCCCAAAGTCCATTGTGTTATTCTTATGCCTTTACATCCTCATAGCTTAGCTCCCACTTATGTGTGAGAACATACGACGTTTGACTTTTCATTCTTGAGTTACTTCACTTAGAATAATGGTCTCCAATCTCATTCATGTTGCTGTGAATGCCATTAATTTATTCCTTTGTATTCCACTGTGTATATATATCACAGTTTCTTTATCCACTCGTTGATTGATGGGCATTTGGGTTGGCTCCACATTTTTGCAATTGTGAATTGTGCTGCTATAAACATGTGTGTGCAAGTCTCCTTTTCATGTAATGACTTCTTTTTCTCTGGGTAGATACCCAGTAGTGGGATTGCTGGATCAAATGTTAGTTCCACTTTTAGTTCTTTAAGGAATCTTCACATTAGTTTCAGTTTTCTGCCTATGGCTAGTCAGCACTCCCAGCACCATTTATTAAATAGAAAGGCCTTTCCCCATTGCTTGTTTTTGTCAAGTTTTTCAAAGATCCAATGGTTGTAGCTGTGCGGTCTTATACAAACAAGTGGAGAAACATCCCATGCTCATGGATATGAAGAATCAATATCATAAAAATGACTATACTGCCCAAAGTAATTTATAGATTCAATTCTATTCCCATTAAACTACCATTGACATGGTTCACGGAATTAGAAAAAAACTATTTTAAAGCTCATATGGAACCAAGAAAGAGCCCAAATAACCAAGACAATCCTAAGCAAAAAACAAAGCTGGAGACATCACGCTACTGAACTTCAAACTACACCACAAGTCTACAGTAACCTAAACAGCGTAGTATTGGTACAAGAACTGACATATAGACCAATGGAACAGAATAGAGACCACATCTAGTTTCATACTAAATGAGGAAAAACTGAAAGCATTTCCTCTAAGATCTGGAACAAGACAAGGGTGCCCCCTTTCACCACTGTTATTCAACACAATGCTGGAAGTCCTAGCTAGAGCAATCAGAAAAGAGAAAGAAATAAAAGGCATCCAAATTGGAAATAAAGAAGTCAAATTATCCTTGTTTGCAGATTATATGATCTTATATTTGGAAAAAGCTAAAGACTCCACCATGAAATTATTAGAACTGATAAATTCAGAGAAGTTGCAGGATATCATATCAAAATACAAAAATCAGAAGCATTTCTATATGCCAACAGTGAAAAATCTAAAAAAGAATCAAGAAAGCAATCCCATTTACAATAGCTACAAATAAAATACAAAGGACTAAACGTAACCAAAGAAGGGAACGATCTCTGCAATAAAAACTGTAAAACATGGATGCAAGAAACTAAAAAGGACACAAAAAAATGGAAAGATATTTCAGTTCATGGACTGGAGAGCCAATATTATTAAAATGTCCATGCTACCCAAAGCAGTCTACAGATTCAGTGCAATCTCTATCAAAATACCAATGACATTCTGCACAAAAATAAAAAAAAATCCTAAAATTTATATGGAACCACAAAAGACTCAAATAGCCTATGCCATCGTGAGCAAAAAGAACAAAACTGGAGGAATCACATTACCTAACCTCAAATTATACTACAGAGCTCTAGTAACCAAAACAGCATGGCACTGGCATAAAAGCAAGCACATAGACTAATGGAACAGAACAGAGAACCCAGAAATAAATCCATACAACTACAGTGAACCTATTTTTGACAAAGGTGCCAAGAACATACATTGAGTAAGGGCAGTCTCCTCAATAAATAGTGCTGGGAAAACTGGATATCCATATTCAGAAGAATGAAACGAGGCCCCCCTCTTTCACCATATACAAAAATCATATCAAAAAGGATTAAAGACTTAAATCTAAGAACTTCAACTAGGAAACTTCTAAAAGAAAACATTGAGAAAACTCTCCAGGACATTGGTCTGGGCAAAGATTTCTTGTGTAATACCTAAAGCAAAAAATGGACAAATCGGATCTCATCAAGTTAAAAAGCTTCTGCACAGCAAAGGAAACAATAAAAAAAGTGAAGAGACAACCCACAGAATGAGATAAAATGTTTGCAAACTATCCATTTGACAAGGGATTAAAAACCAGAGTATATAAGGAGCTCAAACAACTCAATAGTAAAAATCCAGCAATCTGATTTTAAAATGGGCAAAAGATTTGAATAGGCATTTCTCAAAAGAAGCCATACAAATGGCAAACAGGCAAATAGGCATATGAAAAGGTACATACCGTTATTAACTATCAGAGAAATGCAAATCAGAACTACAATGAGATGTCATCTCACACCAGTTAAAATGGCTTTTATCCAAAAGACAAGCAATAACAAATGCTGGTGAAGATGTAGAGAAAAGAGAACTCTTGTACACGGTTGGTGGTAATGTAAATTAGTACAACCACTATGGAGAATAGTTTTGAGGTTCCCCAAAAATCTAAAAACAGAGCTACCATACAATCAAGCAACCCCACTGCTAAATATAATATACCCAAAAGAAAGGAAATCAGTATATTGAAGTGATATCTGTACTTCGATGTTTATTGCAGCAATATTCACAATAGCCAAGATTTGTAATCAACCTAAGCGTCCATCAACAGATGAATGGATAAAGAAAATATGATACATATACACAATGAATCACTATTCAGCCATAAGAAAGAATAAGATCCTGTCATTTGCAACAACATGTATGGAACTGGAGGACATTATGTTAAGTGAAATAAGCCAGGCACAGAAAGACAAACCTCATATGTTCTTGCTTATTGGTGGAAGCTAAAACTCAAAGCAATTGAACTCATGGAGATAGAGAGTGGAAAGATGGTTACCAGAGGCTGGGAAGGGGTGTTGGGGGGTGGGGTGAGACAGGAAGTTGAGATGGTTAATGAGTACAAAAATTTGGTGGATTAAATGAATAAGATCTAGTATTTGATTGCACAATGGGGTCACCACAGTTAACAATAATTTATAGTACATTTAAAAATAACTAAGAGAATATAATTGGAATGTTTGTAACATAGAGAAATGATAAATGCTTGAGGTGATGAATACCCCATGTACCCTGGTGGGATTATTACACATTGCATGCCTGTATCAAAATGTCTCATATACTCCATAAATATATATATCTACTATGTGCCCATAAAAATTAAAACTTAGAAAAATTTTTTAAGATAGAGAGAGACAAAGAGGTGAGATGGACAGATTAATTTAATCAGGTCTGCCTGCCCTGCTTGATTGTGTTTGCTTGCTTTTTTGTGGAATTTTTACGCCTTTTTCCATGAAGCTGATGGCTACAGTACCTAAAGATTGCCCTGCTGAATGCTGAAACTTAACTTCAACTTTCCCTGGCTACTTTATAGATAACATTCACAGGTCACCATGCTAATGGTCACTTCTAGTGTTTTTCAGGAACTTGGTCCAGTTCCTGTCCAGTTCAAACCAGATCAGACCACTGACCCTTCCACTGGGCCTGCAAAAGTGCCGGAGAAGTGGCCTTTTGATGTCAGAGGGCCAAAACCTCCACCTTCAGATCAGGCTAACAGCACCATTTTCTGTATATATGTTTATGAAATGCCATGAACCTTGACTACACTTGCGCAGAATGAACCTGTTACTTCATTTTTCCCCACTGCCAATCACCTTTCCCCATTTCTAAGGCCACCCCACTTCCTTAACCCATAAATATCCCTAAGCCTTATCTTTTAGTAGGTAGACTTGAGAGCTGTTCTCTTGCTTGCTTGCTTGCTTGCTTGCTTGCTTGCTTGCTTGGTTGCTTACTTGCTTGCTTGCTTGGCAGCCTTGAGAATAAATCTTTTCTCTTTCACAAAACCCATGTCACACTGCTTGATTTACTTTGAACGGGCCTAGACCTGGCCGATAACAGAAGCAGCTGGAGACATAGGAAGGGCCCAGGAGAGGGCATTGAAGACCAGAAAAAAATATCTGTTGGATTTGGCAATTTGGAGGTGATTCATGACCTTGGCACAACTTCTCAGTTCTTGACCAGAGCAGAATAGAAAATGATACTTGTATAATACCAAAAGGTACCAGGCAAGGCTGCCTGAGGCCAGATGCAACCATCTCAGATGCTCCAGCTTCCAGGGACCCACCTGGCAGCCCTGAAGCCTAAGGGATCCTTAGCTTGACACACATCTGCCTAATCTCAGCAGATGCAGTTGGGAAGCTCTGCCTTCCAGGGAAGGCACTGTTTCCAAGAGTGAGAGCAAAAGTCCTGGAAGCCTGATAACAAGGGATGCAAGGGGAGTTGGTGAGGGGCAGGGCAGCTACCATTACACAGCTCTGGGGGCAACAAACCCATTGTATTCTAAGTGAATGGTGTCACCTGGAGCAGTGGGACATAGTGGCCTTGGAGGGATAAGTATAAAATGAGGAAATAAAGTCAGACAAATAGAACTCACCTTTTAGAAAACATTGGCTGAGAATGGAAGGCTAGAAGTAAGACGTGAATGGAAAGGAATGAGTTAATTGTGTTTTCTCTTTTAAAATCCAGACAAGCATTAATGTATTAGAAAGCAGGGCTAGATGTAGTGGCTCCTGCCTGCAGTCCCAACACTAAGAGAGGCCAAGGCAGGAGGATCACTTGAGGCCAGGAGTTCGAAACTAGCCTGGGCAATATAGCAAGACTCCATCACTACAAAAAATTTAGAAATTAGCTGTGTTCCCATAATCCCAGGTACTCAAGAAGCTGAGATGGGAGGATTGTTTGAACCTGGGAGTTCAAGGCTGCAGTGTGCTCTAATTGCACCACTGCACTCTAGCCTGATGACAGATGTTAACCCCATCTCCAGAAAAAAAAAAAAAAAAGCAAACAAGCAAAGCAAACAGTATACATTAAGAGAGAGGAATGAGTATAAAAATGCATAAAGACTCAACATTACCCATTAGGGAATAAAAATCTAAACCTCAGTGGCATGCCACCTTATACCCACAATACATGGCTTGTAGGGTTTTAAAATGCTGCAGCCCTTCTGAAAACAGCCTGGCAGTTCCTCAAAATGTTCAAGCAACAGTTGCCATATGACCCAGCAATTCCATTCTTAGATATATGCCCAAGAGAATTTAAAATATCTGTTCACTCTAAAACCTATACCCAAATGCTCAGAGTGGCATTATTCATAATAACCAAAAAGTTCGTTGGAAGGAAAATTTTTCCTCTATCCACTTAAATTACCATGGTTGGGGAATGGCAAAAGAACTGACAATAGACAGACTAATAGGAGAAAAGACAAGCTTTATTCACAGGTGCAGGCAGAAGTCACTCAGTAATGAGTGACTCCCTGAATACCCAAGGGCTTTAATGGAAAAGCTGGAACGCTCAACTGGCCTTTCTTTATGCCGATGGGAATGGGCAGTCTGTTTCCTTACTGGAAAGTCCCTGGAGTGGAGAATAACGGCAGTTCAATTTTCAAAAGACCCTGCAATAGTCAGATAAGGAAAGTTTAGACAAGATTTCAAATGTTTTCACTTTAAAATAATCTTTATGCTAAACTTCAAGTGGAAACAACCCAAATGTCCATCAATTGATGCATGGATAAACAAAATGTGGTAGGGTATATTTTTATAATCTAATAGTAGTCTACCATAAAAAGAAATGAAGTACTTAGTCATGCTTTTACTTGGATGCATGGTAAGTGAAACATGCTAAGTGAAAGTGTTAGAGGTGTTTGAACCAGAGTGACTCCATTTTGAATAGGGGCTGGGTAAAATGAGGCTGAGACCTACTGGGCTGCATTCCTAGGTCAGGCATTCTTAGTCACAAGATGAGATAAGAGATTGGCACAAAATGCAGGTCCCAAAGACCCCACTGATAAAACAGGATCCAGTGATAAAGCCAGCCAAAACAAAGATGGTGACAAAAGAGACCTCTGGTTTTCCTCACAGCTCATTATATGCCGATTATAATGCATTCACATGCTAAAAGACACTCCCACCAGCACCATGACAGTTTACAAATGCCATGGCAATGTCTAGAAATTACCCTATATAATCTAAAAAGCAGAGGAACCCTCAGTTCCTAGAATTGCCCGCCCCTTTTTCAGAAAACTCAAGAATGATTTACTCCTTGTTTAGCATATAATCAAGAAATAACTATACGTATACTGAGTCAAGCAGCCCATGCCACTCCTCTGTCTATGGAGTAGCAATTCTTTTGTTTCTTCTCTAATAAACTTATTTTCACTTTATGAACTTGCCCTAAATTTCTTGTGCAAGGTCCAAGAACACTTTCCTGGGGTCTGGATCAGGACCCCTTTCTAGTAACAAAAGGAACCAGTCAGAAAGGCCACACACTGCAAGAGCCCATTTACATGAAATATCCAGAATAGGGAAATCCAGAGTCAGAAAGTAGTCCCGTGGTTTCCAGGGGCTGGGAGGATCTGGTAGTGTGAAA
Organism: Homo sapiens; assembly: GCF_000001405.40. Taxonomy (NCBI): domain Eukaryota; kingdom Metazoa; phylum Chordata; class Mammalia; order Primates; family Hominidae; genus Homo; species Homo sapiens. The sequence continues at coordinate 35,745,318 of NC_000013.11, read as the reverse complement.
TAACTGCCAACAGGTATGGGGTGTCTTTTGGGGAATGTTGAATATGTTCTAAAATGATAAGTGGTGATAGTTGTATAACTCTGTGAATATGGTAAAGACTCTTGAATTGTGGACTTTAAAAGGGTAAATTATATGACATGTGAATGACATCCCAGTAAAGTTCTTATTTTTAAAAATTAAGATTATATGTCCCTGTTCCCTTTCTCTTGCCACATCTGCTGCTGTGCCTCCTCCCCTTCCTCAGCACAGGCTGTGTCAGTCAAATCCAATGACTTATAGCTCTCTGTGTGTATTATGCTTCTCTATCAGCGTGCTCTCTGCAGCCTGGAATGCATCCCACACCTCCTCTGCCAGCTGGTCGAGTTTCACTCACTCTGCAAGAGCCCCCTCGCTCGTCTCCTTCTTGGTGAAGCCTTTGCTAACCACATGCATTTCTGCTCCCAGCGAGTTGTTAAGAGAAAAATCAAGCTCTGTAAAATATTTTAAAGAGGTTTATTCTGAGCCCATATGAGTGACCTTGGCCCGGCGATACACAGTCTCAAGAAGTGCTGAGAAAGCGCACCCAAGGCAGTCAGATTCCACATGTCAGTTTGGTTATCCACATGTTAGGGAAGTAGGAGTTACAGGTAGGCATAAATCAATACACGGAAGGTATACACTGGTTCAGGCTGAAAAGGCAGGATATCTTGAAACAGGGGCTTAGAGGTGGATTCAGAGATTCTTTAGTTTACAATTGGTTAAATGACTAAAGCTTTGTCTAAAAATTTGGGGTCAGCAGCAATGACTGTTTAAGTTAAGGTAAGGAAGTCTGTTAACCAGTACACTGGGTCAGAGTGACTGGCAGGGCTGTGTGAATTAACCCTTATCTGGCATGGCTTTAGGTTCTATTTATAATTTATCTTATTGTCACAAAGAGTCAATTTTGTTGTCTTATTATCAGAGGCGTTTTGAACCAGAGCAACTCCATCTTGAGCAGGGGCTGGGTAAAATGAGGCTAAAACCTACTGGGCTGCATTCCCAGATAGTTAAGGCATTCTAAGTCACAGGATGAGTTAGGAGGTCAGCACAAAATACTGGTCATAAAAACCTTGCTGATAAAACAGGTTGCAGTAAAGCAGTCAGATAAAACCCACCAAAACCAAGATGGCAACGAGAGTGACCTCTGGTCATCCTCCCTGCTACACTCCCACCAGCACCATGACAGTTTACAAATGCCATGGCAATGACAGGAAGTTACCCTATATGGTCTAAAAAGAGGAGGCATGAATAATCCAACCCTTGTTTATGATATAATCAAGAAATAACCATAAAAATGGGCAACCAGCAGCCCTCGGGGCTGCTCTGTCTATGGAGTAACCATTCTTTTATTCTTTTGCTTTCCTAATAAACTTGCTTTCACTTTACGGATTCACCCTGAATTTTTTCTTGCATGAGATCCAAGAACCCTCTCTTGGGGTCTGGATGGAAACCCCTTTCCTGTAACATTATGATCTTTATTTTAACATTAATGCTGGTCAGTTGTGCCTAAACTCCATAAGGATGGAGTTATAATGAGACGTGTCAGAACTCTCTCTCTACTGTGGCAGGGAATCCAGTTTTTAAGCTCTCTCTGGGGTTTCCTTGACTGAGATCAGGGTTAATTCAGTCAGTGATGGGGGCAACTCATCTCATCATAAGGCTATTGTGTTTCCATGCCTGTCTCACCCATTTGAGCTTCTTGAGAGAACTGGCTTGTCTCACCCATGTTTTTCTCTGTAGCATTTAACACTACACTTAAAAAAAAAAGTGATGTTTAGTGAAATAATGCAAGGGACTTCACCCTAAAATATGCCTCCCTGGTACAATGAGTATTTTGAGTTAAAAACCCTCAAAGATTAACAGACACTGAAAGAGACGTTTTCCCTATCTACATAAAGACCAGACTGAGGACAGCGTAGTTTTTCCTTCCCCTTCCTGTTATCTCCTTATCTATTGCAGAAAAGAAGCCCAAGAATGTAACCACATCTGAACAGACCCATTCACAAGATAATGTCCCTGTCTCAGGTTCACTCCATTTCTAAAGAGAACGATTTATGAATTTATCCCTACCCCTCCATCCACTTGTTCTCACTAGTAATCATTGATTGACCCTCAATAGAATTACCTATATTCCCCATCTCCCTCTTCCCTCTGAAATAAGGCTATGTAAGTATGGAGGCCCCACTAGGATATTGAACAATCACTCTGTGATTCTCCCCAACTTGCAATGCTAATAAATTTTTACACCTTTTCTCCAATTAATCTGCCTTCGGTGAGTTGATTTTTCAGTGAAACCTCAGAGGGCAAAGGGGAAGTTTTCCCTTGGCCCCTAAATTAGCAAAGTTTTGGGACAGAGGATGGAGAGATAGAGAGAGAAAGAATGCCCTAATAGGCAATTGTATTGTCAATGAAGAAGAAAAAGCTTCCAAGTGTTGTCAAGTACTATAGGAGAGAAAATTAATTTTCTCTATACCCACCATAGCACTTACTGGAGACAAACCCTAGCAGCAAAATACAAATTAACAAGAGAAAAAACAACAGAAGCTTAAAAACGTATTCTTCCTGTGTATGTGGGAGATACCCGGGGGAAAATGAGTAAATCTCAAACAAGCATCTTTGAGTTCAGGCTTAAATACCATCTTCAACTTAAACAAAATGAAGAGGTATCCAGGTATAGTACATAGTATGGCAAAATGATAATGTTTGCTATGCACACTTAAGTCAATGCTTTTTCCATTGTTAAGAGGCTCTAGTGATTAAGTTACCCTTCTCTTCCTGATTCAGAGAGGGAGACCCTATTATACAAATGGAGATTTCTTTTATATATGTAAATTTCCTTTACAAAGGGGTAACCCACTCTGTTTTCAGAGCTTTTCCGATGTCTGCAATAATAGACATATGTTCTTATGATTATTTTGAGCAGTGTCACAAAATAATCAGTGCAAAATAATCCTTATGCCAAAGGAATATATTTTTGTCAGAGGTGTTTGCATCGGAGCAACTCCATCTTGAATAGGGGCTGGGTTAAGGCTGAGACCTACTGGGCTGCATTCCCATATGGTTAGGCATTCTAAGTCACAGGATGAGATAGGAGGTCGGCACAAGATACAGGTCAGAAAGACCTTGCTGATAAAGCAGGTTGCAGTAAAGAAGCCAGCTAAAACCCACCAAAACCAAGATGGCGATGCGAGTGACATGTGGTCGTCCTCACTACTACACTCCCACCAGTGCCATTGATACAAGAGTTAAGAAGAAATTACTTAGGCAGATAGTGAAGGTACAGAAGTCCTTGGTAAGCTTTCCTTTTTAATAAAAAGCAGCCCCAAATTATTTTCCTTTCTAACAAAGAGCAGCCTGTAAAATCAAGCTGCAGACAGATGCTGGCTGTTGTGCCAATCATGTTCAAGACGGTGGCTCCATCTTCCCTTCTCTTTGTCATCCATGTGTACACTAAGGAGCAGACAAGATGGTGCCAGTCAACTGGAAAGCCCATTTGCATAAGATTAGAGTGGGGCAGCCAGCCTCCCCCACGTGCTATGTAAACATCATACCTTATCAAACCAATCTGTGAGACTATGTAAATCAGACACCACCTTCTCCAGCCTGACTATAAAATCCAGCGCATCCGCCACCGGCCAGTCTTTCCTTTCAGAAGACCTCTCTCTCTCACTGGAGAGAGAGAGAGCTATTTTCCTTTCTCTTTCTTTCGCCTATTAAACCTCCACTCCTACACTCCTCATGTGTGTCTGCGTCCTAAATTTTCCTGGCGTGAGATGACAAACCTTGGGTATTTACCCAAGACAATGTAGCTGCTTCACCATGACAGTTTACAAATGCCATGGCAGCGTCAGGAAGTTACCCTATATGGTTTAAAAAGGACAGGCATGAATAATCCACCCCTTGTTTAGCATATAATAGAGAAATAACCATAAAAATGGGCAACCAGCAGCCCTCGGACTGCTCTGTCTGTCAAGTAGCCATTCTTTGTTCCTTTACTTTCTTAATAAACTTGCTTTCAGTTTACTGTATGGATTCACCTCAAATTCTTTCCTGTGCAAGATCCAAGAACCCTCTCTTGGAGTCTGGACTGCGACCCCTTTCTGGTAACATTTTGGAGTGGCATATTCTGGTTTCCTACAGTCATATTACAGAGTGACATATTTTTGGTCTCCTCCAAGTCAACTGAAAAATCACGAGGTTCATAAATTTAGAAAGGAAAGCTTTCATTTATTTATTTATTGAGACAGAGTCTTGCTCTATTGCCTAGGCTAGAGTGCAGTGGTGTGATCTCTGTTCACCACAACATCCACCTCCTGGGTTCAAGTGATTCTGGTGCCTCAGCCTCCTGAGTAGCTGGGATTACAGGCATGTGCCATCATGCCCCGCTAATTTTTGTATTTTTAGTAGAGACCAGGTTTCTCCATGTTGGTCACGCTGGTCTCAAACTCCTGACCTTAGGTGATCCACCTGCTTTGGCCTCCCAAAGTGCTGGGATTACAGGCATGAGCCACTGCACCCGCCCAGAAAAGCTTTATTTCTTATCAAGGATTATAGCCTGCCGGCTGGCCAACCCACAGGCTGGGAAGTGTAGCTTCTGGTAGAAACCACAAGCAGGCATTTCAGAGGAAAGGCTGAGATCACAATTTATGCTGAATGGGCCAGCTATGTATATATAGTCAACAGGTTATAGGAGAAGCTATGAATATTCATGAAGGTGGACACACACATGTGTAGTAAGCAGACATGCATGTTACATATGTCCCATGTTGAGTTTTGGGTGGAGAATTTACACTTAAATACATTATAATTAGGCAAAAGTGAAACAGAGGCATCCTATGCATAGCCTCTGTAAACTGGATGGAGCCATTCCATGGTCAGTGGTCTCTTATCAGGAAGGAATGCTGGTCAGTTGTGCAGAAACTGCAAAAAGGGAGGGTGTATTAGTCCATTTTCATACTGCTGATAAAGACATACCTGAGACTGGGCAATTTACAGAAGAAAGAGGTTTAATGAACCGCAGTTCCACGTGGCTGGGGAGGCCTCACAATCATGGTGGAAAGTGAAAGGCACGTCTCACATGGCAGCAGACAAAAGAAGAGAGCTTGTGCAGGGAAACTCCCCTTTTTAAAACCATCAGATCTCATGAGGCTTCTTCACTATCATGAGAACAGCATGGGAAAGACCTGGCCCCATGGTTCAATTACCTCCCTCCAGGTCATTCCCACAACTTGTGGGAATTGTGGGAGCTACAATTCAAGATGAGATTTGAGTGGGGACACAGCCAAACCATATCAGAGGGGATACAGCAAGGGTCAGTTGGTTGGTTGAAGTCAGTAGTGGAGCAAATCTTTCCAAAAGGCTGGTTTCTGTTTAGCCCTTAGGAAGGGAATGGTGGTTAGTGAGGGAGGGGGTATAACAAGCCATGTCTGCCATCCCATTCTGCAATGGCCAGGAGCTCAGTTTCTAAGTTTCTCTGGGTTCCTCTTGGTCAAGAAGTAGTTCGTTCAGTCAATTAGGGGGCTTAGAATTTTATATTAATTTTATTTTAATTTCTCATATAGTACTATAGTCTTTAGGTTAAAGTGTTGAAGAAATAACAATTATCATGCTTGCACATTTGCCAAAGTTCACCAACAATAAACATTCAAATCGATTGTGGAAGAGGGGGAAGGTGTAAGCCCCACCACCCTCTTCAATCTAAGGGTTTATTTATCTAGTTACTACAAATCTGTAGTTATATAGATATGGGCTTTTTATAGTTATATATAAAAGATATTCGATAAACAAATATTAAACTATATTTGTCAGGGTTCCCTAGAGTGACAGAACTAACAGGATATATATATAGGAGTTTATTAAGTTATTAAGTTTATTAAGTATTAAGTTACACAATCACAAGGTCCCACAATAGACTGTCTGCAAGCTGAGGAGCAAGAAGAATCAGTCCGAGTCCCAAAACTGAAGAACATGGAGTCCTATGTTCGAGAGCAGGAAGCATCCAGCATGGGAGAAAGATGTAGGCTGGGAGGCTAGGCCCGTCTTGCCTTTTCACATTTTTCTGCTTTATATTTGCTGGCAGCTGATTAGATTGTGCCCACCAGATTGAGGGTGGGTCTGCCTCTCCCAGCCCACTGACTCAAATGTTAATCTCCTTTGGCAACACCCTCGCAGACACACCCAGGAACAATACTTTGCATCCTTCAATCCAATCAAGTTGACACTCAGTATTAACCATCACATAAACCCTGAGTATAGAAAAGCAAACAGGCAGTTTCTTGATTCTCCAAACAACAGACACCATTTTAATGTGCTAATAGCTGCAAATAAGAACTGTAGTGATCGGTTAACACTAAGGAGCGGTGTTACCTACATTTTAGCATATATGGAACTGAAATAGCAAATCAGGACAACGTTTAGAATAACAACAATTTTAACAGACCCAAACCCTAAACTGGGGATTTGTTGAAAGTTGATACTTTCCTTGTCAGCTTAAATGTCTGTATCTTTGACCCTAGAAATTCCAGATACCCAAAACATGAAAATAACATAAGACTAGAACATGCAGGTGAGAAAGGATTTTCCCCCAAACGGAAGTGGCTAGTATTTTTAGCCTTTAATAAATGGCTAGTGGAGTTGCAATTTTATTATTGCATGGTTTAAAAATATCAACATGCAAAAAAAAATGGCACCAAATAGACCATCTGTAAAACACTTGTTTACAGTACGAGAGCTGAAACAAGAAGGCAGAATGATGACTTGTTCAACCTCAGCTGAAGAAGTGCACAGTGGGTTACTCAACTATTTCGCTGTCTCCACATGTTCAAGAAAAACCATGGAAGCACTGTGGCTATTGATTTGAGGATTATCAATATCTCTATTAAGTGGGCAAATTAGAAAATACAGCATTGGCTGGGCACGGTCGCTCATACCTGCAATCCCAGCATTTTGGGAGGCTGAGGTGGGTGGATCACCTGAGGTCAGGAGTTCGAGACCAGCCTAGCCAACATGGTGAAACCCCTTCTCTATTAAAAATACAGAAATTAGTTGGGCATGATGGTGGGTGCCTGTAGTCCCAACTACTCAGGAGCCTGAGGCAGGAGAATTGCTTAAACCCAAGAGGCAGAAGTTGCAGTGAGCAGAGATCACACCACTGCACTCCATCCTGGGCAACGGAGAGAGATTCCATCTCAAAAAAAAAGAAAATACAGTGTCTACAAATATGAAGACCAACTGTATTTTTAGCCTTTAACAAACAGGTTCATCCCATACTAATGCATTCAAGACATTCAACTAATATTCATTGAGTGCTCTAGGTGGAGGAGATACACGCATCAGTAAAACTAAAGAGGTAAAAATCTCTCTCTCATGAGGTTTATATTCTATGTCAGGGCTCAGAACATAGTGCCTCAAAATATGGCATCTTAGCATACTGAGTTGTGTTTTTTGTGTGTTTTGGGTTGTTTTTTGGGTTTTTTGTTTGGTTTTGTTTTGTTTTTTTTTCGTTGTTGTTGTTGTTTCCGAGACAGGGTCTGCTCTGTTGCCCAGGCTGGAGTGCAGTGGTGTGATCGTGGCTCATTGCAGCCTTGACCTCTTAGGCTCAAACGATCCTCCTTCCTCAGTCTCCCAAGTAGTTGGGAACACAAATGAGCGCCTAGCTAATTTTTTAGATTTTATGTAGAGATACGGTCTCCCTATGTTGCCCAGGCTGGTTCTGAATCCCCCGGGGCTCAACAGATCCTCCCATCTCAGCCTCCAAAGTGTTGTGATTACAGGCATGAGCCACCATGCCTGGCCCATACTAAGTATTTTAAACTGAAAGAAATTGAGAAAATTGCAGGAAAAGGAGGATCATTCTCTGACGTTCTCTCACCTTTCTCCCCTGAAACAGGATGTAAAAGAATTTTCTGACCTACCTCCCCTGAAAGTAGGTCATCAGACCTTCATTCCAAAGGGGTCCTGCCTTGTACTGGGAGGCCACAAAGTGGCTGAACAAACAGGCTGAATAAACTACATTCAGCCCATTTATTACTGGTCATTTTACAGAGTCTTTGACTCTGTGTGAGATGGGAAGCTCTTGAGCAGAAGAGCTCCATGAAGAGACTTAATGCCTTAACAGGGTCACTCTGCTGTTGTGTTGAGAATAACTTGTGAGGCATAATAGTGAAAAGACCAGCAGGAGACTATTGCAATAAGCCAACTGAGAGATGGTGGTGGCTTGCCCTAGGGCAATGGTGATGAGTCTGGTGAGGCTGAGATTCTCAGTATGCTTAGAAGGTAGAGGTGAAAGGATTTCCTGATTAGTTGAACATAGGCTATGACGATCAAAGACGGCTGTGAAGTTTTGCCCTGAGCAATTGGACAGGTAGTGGCTACAGATAGAGCATGTTTGGTGAGTATGGGAAAATCAGGACTTATGTTTTTTAAATATACAAGTTTAATTTTTGTCTATTAAATATCCAAGTTTTTTTAACCTTCTTTTCTCCATCAAAATGTTATGAATATCATACTTACCTTTCAGTATTCTTCTATAACACCTTTTTTAATGATTGTATTCCGTTCCTTTAAATAATATAGCATTATCTTTTTAATCATTCTCTACTGATGAACATTTAAATTGTTTCCAATGTTTTATGAATATAAATAAGGCTTCAGAGAATATCTTCTGATATAATGAGACAATAAGAAATATGTTTTTGGGCCGGGTGCAGTGGCTCACGCCTGTAATCCCAGCACTTTGGGAGGCCGAGGTGGGTGAATCACCTGAGGTTAGGAGTTCGAGACTAGCCTGGCCAATATGGTGAAACCTCATCTCTACTAAAAATACAAAAATTAGCCGGGCGTGGTGGTGGGCGCCTGTAATCCCAGCTATTCAGGAGGTCGAGGCAGGAGAATTGCCTGAACCCAGGAGAAGGAGGTTGCAGTGAGCCAAAATCGCACCCTTGCACTCCAGCCTGGGCAACAAGAGCAAAACTCCATCTCAAAACAACAACAACAACATCAAAAAAGAAATATGTATTTGGCCTCTGTCCCTAGTTCCTGGCACAGAACTCCTAAAATCCTTGTAAATTCCTGAGCAACAGGTGTTCTAGGTGCATCTTTTGTTCAAATATTTGATCTTTGGCCCTAATTTTTGACACAGAGCCACTAATCCCTTGGAACTTCCTTGACGGTAGGAGCATCATTTTTTCTAATGAGACAACTCTTTGTGGGCTCCTGGATGGGGCTGGTCACCAGAAAAACCAAACCATTATTAGGAGCTTAGAATATTCAGATCTACTTCCCATTCTTTGGGAAGAGGAGAGGCTCTGGAGATTGAGTTAATAATGGATCAGGCCTATGTGATGAGGACTCCATAAAAATCCTGGAACTAGGGCACACAGAGAGCTTTCAGATTGGCAAATACATCCTTGTGCCAGGAGGGTGGTTCACCTCAACACCATGGGGACAGAAGCTCCTGCCTGCAGGACCCTTCCAAACCTTGTCCTATGTATCTTTTCATCTGCCTGTTTATTTGTATCTTTTGTGATATCCTTTATAATGAATGGGTAAATGTAAGTACAGTGTTTCTCTGTAAGTAAAGTGTTGTGTGAACCATTCTAGCAAATAATCGAACTCAACTAGGGGGTTATGGGAACCTCAACTGATCAGAAGCAGAGGTGACAACCTGGGACTTGCAATTGGCATATGAAATGGGAGAAGTCTTATGGGACTGAGCTCTCAACCTGTGGAATCCGACCCTTCTGTAGTGTCAGAATTGAGTTGAATTATAGGATATCCAGTTGGCGTCCACTGGAGAATCCACGTACATTTCACAGAAGGGTTCTGTGTTTGGCTGAGTGTGAAAGTAGCAAAAACAGTTGGGCTTTTCCTATCTTTTACAACCTCATAGCAAAATCTTCATGCAGATCAATTATTTCCTTAGTGTCAGTTTCTAAAATTCAAATTGCTGGGACAGAGAGTGCTATGGTTTGCATGTGTTCCCCAAAGTTTATGTGTTGGAAATTTAATCCTCAGTGCAACAGTATTGAGAGGTGGGACATTTAAGAGGTGATTAGGTCATGAGGGTTCTGACTTCATGAATCAATTAATATCGTTATTTCAGGACTGAGTTCATTATTGAAGGGATGGGTTCTTGATAAAGAGATGAGTTCTGCCCCTTCCCTGCCCTCTCTTTCACATACATGTTCATGCACCCTTCCACCTTCCACCATGGGATGATACAAGAAGTCCCTCACCAGATGCAAGTCATCTGTCTTGGACTTCCCAGCCTCCAGAATTGTGAGAAATACATTTCGCTTCTTTATAAATTACCCAGTCTGTGGTATTCTGTTATATCAACACAAAATGGACTAAGACAATGAGTTTGTATACATGTGATAAAATTGCCCTCCACAAAGGTTGTACTAATTTATGTTCCTACCACCATGAGTGCCTGTTTTCTTGCACACTTATTTAAGTGCACCTGTATGGTCAGAGATTCAAATTAGAGAAAATATTTCATGAGATGAAAATAAGTTTTCTCTCAATCCAACACACATTTATGGAACACCTACTATCCCCTAGACGATATGCTGCCTGCCTTCACAGGCATAACCTTATTGAATTCTCACAACTGTGCCAAATAGGTAGTAAGAAACAGCCCTAGAATCAAAAGATTAGTGAGTGACAATATCAGGATACGAACTGTGGATCCCACGGTTTGTGTACTGAAGAGCAGCCACAAACCTAAATGTCTTGGGATCCACTGAAGGTCACGGAACATGCTTGGAGGGCAGAAGCTGGCAAGAACAGTGATTAAAGAAACAAAGAGTGACATTTCAGCTTTGAACCCCATAAGTATGTAGAGTTATGATGTGTCAACTAAAAATAAAAGGAAAAAATTGTGGTATTAATTCAATTAAAATTATATTTGCTTATGTTGGGAAAACAAAAGGAGAAGAAACAAACACACAAAAATCCAACAACAGCCCCGTCGGCCCTGAGGGGAGGAGAAACCCCAGACGGCAAAACATCAGAGGTTGAATAATAAGGAGTGGACAGGGCAGAAAGGTTCATTTCGTGAGCACTGACAAGTATGTTTCATTGAAGCAGAAAGAAATTAGCAGTTCAGGGCGCTAAGAAGAAAGTGTGAAAGCTCGAACATTGCCTAAAGAAAAGAAACAAGAGCTTAAAGTGGCATTGGCTGTGTTGTCTTCCCACAGTTGCACAGAACAGAAGAAACAAGATAGTTGACCAGAAAACACACTCTGCAGTGAAAGGAAATTCTGACGTAAACAGGGAGATAGAAACTAGGCCAAAGAGGCCAAGTGATTGAATTACCAGGGCGTAATCCCCCAACTGGGAGGAATCCAAGAGGAAGAAGGAGGTGTGTCCATCTGTGTGAAAATAAAGCATTACACTTAAAAGTAAAAGCATTTTCCAAAGTCCTTTAAAGGGCAAATGGTAACACAGTGATGATAAGAGTAATATTACATTGCACATTGCCAGGCATTTCAGGTCTAGAAAACATTACAGATTAAGCAAAGGCAGTGATGAGGCCGGAGTTAAGTATGCTATTATATGGGAAAAGTTAAGAGGGTAACTCTGAGAGCAGTAGATGGTGACAGGGAAGAAAGTTATGAAACCCGCTTCACCCCACCAGGCATCTCTGTGACCTGCATGTGGTCAAGTCCAGGCTCAGAGGAGGTAAGAATGGGCTTCTTGGCCTAAGTCCTCTAGGGCCTATGATTTTCATCTCTCTAGTGTGTTTCTTCAATGTTTGCAGACTGTCTGATGTGGATGTATGCTCTTCTCGGGGGGCACCAGGCCTTCCTGTGCACATAATTATTTTTTATTTTAACCTTGTGATTTCCTTCTTCCTTTCTAGTGGTAACTCTCAGCCTCGAATCCTGGGTATTTAATTGCATTTTTGCCCAGCACCTGGTGCAAGTGGCAATTAGCTTTAAAAAAAAAAAAAAAAAAAAAAAACTGAAGTGACATTCACATCACAGAAACTTAACACTTTAAAATGTATGATTAAGGCCTGACACAGTGGCTCACGCCTGTAATCCCAGCACTTTGGGAGGCCGAGGTGGGTGGATCACTTGAGATCAGGAGTTCAAGACCAGTCTGGCCACAATGGTGAAACCCTGTCTTTACTAAAAATACAAAAATTAGCCGGGCGTAGTGGTGCATACCTGTAATCCCAGCTACTCGGGAGGCTGAGGCAGGAGAACTGCTTGAACCCAGGAGGTGGAGGTTGCCATAAGCCAAGATCATGCCACTGCACTCCAACCTGGGTGACAGAGTGAGACTCCGTCTCAAAAAAAGTTCATGATTCAGTGGCATTTAGTAGATTTGCAACATTATGCAACCACTACCCCTATCTAGCTCCAAAATGATAATTAGCTAGTGCTGATCTTCAGTATTTCTAATAGCTGCTGTGTTGAACCCTCACCATGTGCCATGAATGAATTTATATATTCAGCATAGTAGTTTAATACAAGTGCACAACGTACTTAGAATGTCAGCCAGGCTCTGTGCCGAGTTCTGCTGAAAGCACTTAGCATTTGTTGCTGTTATTGCTCAGATGTTCCAAGCTTGAAGAGCGCTCTATAAGTGAGGTAGGAAAGGTCGAAGAACAAACTGCTGCTATGTTTCTTTCTTCTTGTTTGAAAAGCTTAAAATAAAAAGGAGGTCTAATTATTGGATGTTGTCTAGTGTATTTTAAGCCCCTGAAAATGGGACCATCTTATCTGTCTTTGTGCTTCCAATACCCAGTGCAGGACGTTCATCCCGTTATGTAAATTCCCACCCATACACCCATAGGTACAGTATTTACTTTATATTTGAGGAAAACTCAACTCTCGTGTGTGTTGATTTTTACCTCAAAAATGATGTCTCTTGAAGAGATGAAGGCCAGGGGCAGTAGCTCACTCCTGTAATCCCAGCACTTTGGGAGGCCAAGGGTCAGGGGATCACTTGAGGTCAGGAGTTCGAGACCAGCCTGGCTAACATGATGAAACCCTGTCTCTACTAAAAATACAAAAATTAGCCAAGTGGTGATGCATGCATGTAATCCCAGCTACTCTGGAGGCTGAGGTGGGAGAATCACTTGAACCTAGGAGGTGGAAGTTGCAGTGAGCTGAGATTGTGCCACTACACTCCAGCCTGGAAGACAGAATGAGACTCTGTCAAAAAAAAAAAAAAAAAAAAAGAAAGATGAATAAAAAGAAGAAATGCTGTGGCTTTAGATCTGGAAAGGACATGAGAGAACATTTTGCACCATTAATTTACACAGAAGTCCAGAGGGTAGTAAAATCATGCAACCTGGAGAAGATTGCCTTGTGGATGGCCCAGGTTTGCAGAGCTCACCTGCCAAAGTGAAATCCTTTGTCTATGTCTCCACTGAGGACACAGTCAGAGCAGCCCACGGATGAGGGATGGCAGTAGGATGGCAAGAAATTCTCATGCAAAGTTTCCTACCTGGGAGACAGTCTCATTTGCTTGGGGGGGTTTATAATCAGCAATCCTTAGGACAGGGTGATTGAGTTGCTGCTTCTAGGCAGAGACAGGTAAGGGATGCAGGACCAGGGGAGAGCCTGAGCTCCCCTACTTGTACAAGTTTCTCAGACGGCATTTGTCTGCTTGGATTGCTGTAACAAAACACCACAGGTCAGATGGCTTCAACAACAGAAATGTATTTTGTTACTCTTCTAGAGGTTGGGAAGTCCAAGATCAAGGTGCCAGCATGGTTGGTTTCTGGTGAGGGCTCTCCCGTGGCTTGCAAATGGCCGCCTTCTTACCATGTGCTCATTTGGCCTTTCCTCAGTGCTCGTGTGCTGGGGTTAGGGGAGAAATACTAATCCTATGGCATCACGGCCCCATTCTTATGACCTCATTTAAATTTAACCTTAATTATTTCCTTAGAAGCCTGTGGTGTTATGATATGTTGTTTTTTGTCCACAGTTTCTGGCTCATAATTCCCATATCCCATTGTTACAGTCTTTTGTTATAAGGCTGGGTGTGTGAGGCCTCAGGGACGGGCCTCAGGAAACAGAATCTCTCTCCTGCCTTCCTTTCACCTGCCCCAAGGCGGGACTCTAATCTTTCCCCACTTTTCTGATTGTAGGTCTTAAGACCCTCCTTTGCAAAGGGTCCTGCCTCATACCCTGAGGGAAGGAAGGCTTCGGTAAAAACCCAAGCAGACTGGGTTAGGAGAGCTTCCTGACAGCTGTACACATGGAGGCTCCTGGAGGGCTGGCACACCCAGAGGGGGCTTGGAAACTGCGTGCCCCTTCTCCCAAACCTCACCCTACACATCTCTTTCTCTGCATCCTTTGCAATATCCTTTATAATAAACTGGTAAACATAAGTAAGTGTTTCCCTGAGTTCTGTGAGCTGCTCCAGCAAATTAATTGAACCCAAAAGAGAGTCATGCGACCCCAACTTGAAGCCAGTTGGTAGGAAGTTCCGGAGGCTCAAAATTGCAACTGGCATCTGAGGGTGTAGGGGGCATTCTTGGGGACTGAGCCCCTAACCAGTGGGATCTGATGCCATCTCCCGGTAGATACTGTCGGAACTGAATTGGAGGACGCCCAGCTGGTGTCCACTGCTTGATGCATGGGGGAAAACCACACGCTTTTGGTCACGAAAGTCTTCATCATCACAGAAGTCTATTGTTGTGGTGGTGTGAGAGCAGAGGAAAACCCTAGGTTGAGAGACTTTTCCCCTACATAAGGCCCAATCTCCAAATATATCCACACTGAGGGGTAGGGTTTCAACATATGACTGTGAACATATGTGAACATACACATTCAGTCCACAGTACAGAGCATGAAGAGCTCATGTGGCCCAGAGCAGAGGCTCATTTAAAAAGCAAACAGGAATCCACATTTGATACCACAAAATGAGTATTTTCTCAGTGCAGCCACAGGCTTGTTTCAATTTACCCAGGCGGGGGCTCAACAAGCCATGCTTTGTTACCTTTGGGTTTGGGTTTTTGCTTTTGCTTTTGCTTTTGTTTCTTAGCAGTAGCAAGTCAGCACACTGAAGGGGACCCATGACCTTTTGTCCTGATGAGATGGAGAACAGAACCAATGTCTTTTCAAGTTCCCTCCCACCAAATTTGAAGCTAAACGCCAATCCTTCAGACACCAAGCCCAAGCGTGCAAATGTCACAGTGTGACAGATCTTACTGGCTCTGCCAAGTGCTGCTGATTTGAGCGAGGGGACTTCTACACAGCTGGAAACTGTTCTTCCAGGTCATTGACGCATGGGCCCCACTGGCCAGCTCTGGGAGGGGCCATTGCTGGGGACCATTTGGCAGAGGGCTGGTGGCAGGCTTCCAGTTTGACAACAGACAGTCCTGAGCTGACATGGATTTGTCCATCTTGTCCTCAACACTGCAGTAAGGACTTCCCGTGCCATTATGGGAAGCTTGAGTGGTTGTACTTTAATAAAAAATTAGAAATAACAGGGAAAAAAATGAAGAGGGCTATGTTCACTCACACGTGTATGTGAAACAGTAACATAAAGTATTCCCATCTTCCAGATGAGTACTTTTTGCTAGTTCACCCTCCCACAAGCAGAACCACCTGGAATCTCATTCTTAGTTGTCCTATGAGTTTCTATTAAATATTAAATACACAATTTAGATACAAGCATCGATCTTTCAACAAATTTTGGTGGAGTAATCCTGGGTTCCTTCCTCAGAACACTGGTTCAATTTCACAAACAATTTCTTCGCAAGGCTCTTCCCAGGAGCTGTCATATTTGAACACGATTCTGCAAATTATACCCTAGAATTTATCCAAAAAAATTATTACTTCAAAGATGAGGTTAATCAGTATAAACCATGGGAACGTTCTAAGCTGACCAAATGTTCTGCTTTGCAAATGTAGATAGTTTTACTTATTCCTTTCCATTCTAGGTGCCTTCTATTTCATAGTCTTGGCTAGTTTTCCTGGCTAGAACTTCCAGTACTTATTGAATACTTATTTATGCCAGGCACTGTGCTAGTGTTTTATGTGCATCGTTTCATTAAATTCTCCAAACAACCCTGTGAAGAAAATGGCACCACTGATCACATGTTGTGCATAAGCCAACTTGGACTTACAGGGGTGAAAAGACCTGCTGAGGTTTCCCAACTAAGTCACAGAACTTGGATTTGAACCTGCATCTTTCTGATTCCACAGCCCGTGGTCTTCAGTTATAGTCCAGGTTTCCTCTCTGCTTCTAAGGAATTCCTCTGACCCTCCAAATGGGGACAGGGTGAAGAGCTCCTAATGTCTTCCGGATAAACTGGAGACCCAAATAAGTGTGTGAATAGTAACTATGCATGTATGTAGTTTATGCATAATAACCCAAATAATGGTTGAGTTGCCATGAAGACAACTCTTTAAGTTTGACAACACTGTGCTTCTATACACCCACATCCCCGACCCTCTGCAACCATGGGTGGGGTTTCTACTCACAATTACTAAAAAGGAAGTAGGAAGAGAAGAAGGCAAATCCCAGAGCAAAGGGGCTGAGGGCTGGACTGGCTCCCCTACCATGTCTAACGTAGCAAGAGAGAGGGATGAAGACACACGAAGTGACTATTTTCTTTTCTGGTGGACTGACTCTGAATAATAATGGCAGGGGACTATTCTCAGGTGCTTTGCCCCTAAGAGTTGAGGGAATAGAATAAATGTCCATGTAGCTAATTTCAAAAAATCTGAATATTTCTTTTTTCTTTTTTCTTTTTTTTTTTTTTTTTGAGATGGAGTCTCGCTCTGTCGCCCAGCTGGAGTGCGGTGGCACTATCTTGGCTCACTGCAACCTCTACCTCCCAGGTTCAAGTGATTCTCCTGCCTCAGCCTCCCGAGTAGCTAGGATTACAGGCACATGCCACCACGCCTGGCTGATTTTTGTATTTTTAGTGGAGACGAGGTTTCACCATGCTGCCCAGGCTTGTCTCGAACTCCTGACCTCAGGTGATCGACCCACCTCAGCCTCCCAAAGTGCTGGGATTATAGGCATGAGCCACCACGCCTGACCATAATCCGAATACTTCTATAGCAGGAAAGGAAACTAATATGCTCTGAGCATCCACGTTCAACATGCACACTTACATATTACCCAATACGTATTAGCCATGTAATCCTTCTAGAGCCCTGTGGTGGAACTATTTTAAAGAAGAGGGAGCTGAGTGTCAGCGGAGTTTACATCTTGCTGAAGTCACATGGTTAGCAAGTGGCAGAGCTGGAGCGTGCACCGGCTTGTCTGACATCCCTGCTGTCAGCCTGTACTGTAAGATTCTGGCTGGCTTCTCTGACTCCCCAGAGAAAGAGTAAATGATAATCCAGTGCAGTTTAAGGCAATCATCTTCAAGCTGAAGTACAGATCCCTGTCTGACCCTACACCAAATCTTTCCATCTGGTACCTGCATTTGGATAATTTTAAGAAAATCAGCTGCGTGCAGTGGCTCACACCTGTAATCCCAGTACTTTGGGAGGCCAATGCAGGTGGATCACCTGAGGTCAGGAGTTCCAGACTAGCCTGACCAATATGGTGAAACCTTGTCTCTACTAAAATTACAAAAATTAGCCTGGCGTGGTGGTGTGCACCTGTAGTCTCAGCTACTCAGGAGGCTGAGGCAGGATAATCGGTTGAAATTGGGAGGCGGAGGTTGCAGTGAGCCAAGATTGCACCACTGCCCTCCAGCCTGGTCAACAGAGCAAGACTCCGTCTCAAAAAAAAAAAAAAAAAAAAAAGAAAAAAAGAAAAACAATTTTCAACTCTTCAACTTCTATGACCTCTCTCTCCTAAAAATTGATTGGTCTAAGGACAAGGCTTTGTTTTTCTCCTTTCCCACCTCTCCTGCCAAAATTTTTCTTCTCCTATTTTATAAAAACAAAAACAAACAACAACAAAGGCTTATTATGCAGCATTGGTCCAGGTGTAAAATCCTCCAGGGCATCAAACACAGAAACAATTTAAAAAACTATAAACTCTCTTCCATTTCATTAAGACAGATGTCCAGTAAAAATTTTAGTTTTGTGCTTATAATTATTTTTTAAATTTGTAAAATATTTATATTGTTATGTCAAATAATTTATTAATAATTAGAATGGCATCTCAATCCAGAAGAAAAGTTTTAAACATACAAATTTAAAAACATACATATACATACACATTCATATATATATTTATCACAGAACCATAGGATAGAGTATACAAGACAAACACAAAAATATAATACATTAAGAGGACTCTTAAAGAGAATTAGAATACAGATACAATGTCAAGGAGAAAAGGGAATGATGTGGAATTTCCTTCTATTAAACAAGAGTTTGTACTTGTATTTTTTAAGTGGATGATGGTGGGTATTAAACCATTCAGTTGGATACATTTAAGGAAGTTAATAACAGTTATATTTTGAATTGTAGAATTTTACAAAGTTAAATCCTTTGCAATTACACAAACTTATGATGAAAAAACTTAGATGTCAACTGAAAAATATGGGTGGGGGTACAAAGTTTTTCAGACTATTTTAGAGGGTACATAAGCCAAAATGGTTATGGATAATTGCTTTGGTATATTCTCATTCTCTGCAAACTAGCCATCTATTAAAAAATATACAACTCTCCATTAGCCATACTCAAATAACTCACTTTGTTAACCTTAACCATGTGGCTGGTTAACAGAGAGTTATTTGCAGAACTTTTTAGCTGTTCTGGAAAGAGTGAGGGAGGGAGAGAGGAAGGGAATGGGTGACCTCATCATTCACGAGACCACACCGAAAATTTCCCTCCCACTGGCGAAATGAGCACCTAGGCAGTGGGCCCCCAGCTATTGCTGCCTTATTCTCTTCCCAGGTGGCGTTGGGTCCTAATCCTGTCAAGGCTAGAATGCAATTGTCCAGTTGGTACTTTCTTACCATTGTCAATGGCCAGGTTTGCAATAGAGAGTAGCCTGCAAATAATAATGCCCCACAGGTGTAAGGAGATGGAGTCCCCTGTGTTATTAGCAAAGGTCTTTGAAGGACCCAATCCCTCTGAATGCAGAGTGTTCCCTTTATTATTCTACTCCATTAGGTGTGTTTTCTTTTGTTCTCTACAAGCATGAGGCTTTAACTTCTGGAATATTGAATTTCGTCGGCTCCCCTTCTCCTCCTTCCCCAGGCTACTGAAAATTGGTTGCTATCCTCAACTGCTTGCCCCACCCCCTGTTCTTCTCCTGGTCATGGTGAATTTGGACCTGCAAAAGCCTTGTATCAGTTTCAATTATTTTTTAATATAAGATAATATTGGTCTTGGCACCAAGGCTTCTCAGAAGCGCTCCTCTTTGCTCTCTCAAAGTGAACCCATTGCTCCCAATTACAGACCTTGCTTCTGTTGCTTTCTCAGCCCAAGTTCAATCCGGTGTGAACATCTCTTCCTTGCCTTTTCTGGTTTATGTTCTGGGGATTATTCAGAGTGACCACAAGCCTTGTCTTTTCTTCTCATCAAATTCTGACAATATCCTTAAAATATTGGTTTTGGTAAATCTGTAGAGTCCTGCTCTTCAGTAACCTATATTATTAGAACAGGGCTCCCAGGTGGCTGGTTACCTTAGGTTTCTTTCTTTCTTTCTTTCTCTTTCTTTCTTTCTTCTTTTTCTTTTCTCTTTCTTTCTTTCTTTTCTTTTTTTTTTTTTTGTAGAGAAGGGTCTTGCTATGTTGCCCCGGCTGTTCTAGAACTCTTGGCTTCAAGCAATCCCCCCGTCCAGCCTCAGCCCCTCAAAGTGCTGGGATTATAGGCATGAGCCACCACACCCAGTCATCTTAGTTTTAAGAGGGCCCAAACTTTCCCCTGGGTCTGAATTAAGCTCTGGTTCCACAATTAGCTTCTTTTTTTTGGTGGAGGAGGGGCCTTGAACTACTAAAGTGATGCATTCTGGGATGCAGGCAGCCTACTGATGGCTCCCGAGTCTGGGTTTGAATCCTAGCTACTCCGAAGACAAACTGCATGATCTTGGGGAAAATTAATTACCTCTTTGAATCTCAATTTTCCTATTTGGAAAATGGGAATACTCGCTCCTGCCTCTCAGGATTGTCATCAGGATCAATCAAGATAATGCTCATCAGGTACATACTTAATTTAGTGTCTGATCTCCAGTAAGTGCCCCAAAATGGTAGCTATGGTTCTAAGTGAGCATGCCTAACAGAATCGTCAAGACTTAAAGGTGAAAACTGTTCATGTAACTCTTTCCTCCACCTGATACTTCGTACTCATATTTCACAAATTTTATTTTTGTTATACTTAAAATGCTAGACTAGAAATCTTTTCTATCCCCTTCTCCTTCTGGCATAATGAATTTTTGTGAAACTAACAAATTAAAGTAGCATTTGCTTTCTTCTATATTAAACACAATCATTTGTTTTACCCCTGAAATCTGAGTCTCTGTTTCAAAGACTCGGTTTTGTCGATTCCTTTTGGGATTGCTTTTCATCAGTGCATTCCCAGAGTCCCCAGCCTTTAGAAATCGCAGGATGCACCAGCCATCATGTGCATACTCAGTTTTCAGAAAGCATCTGAAAAAGCTCAGCTTCGGAGATTGATGGTTCTCAGCTTTCAGCTTTGGTTTCTCTCAGCCAGAGCACCATTTGGATCTGGGCCTAAGAACATAGTCACACAATGTCAGAGTATTAGTATTAAGTAGGCGATGCCCCTCTTCCTGCCTCTCGGCCTCATTTGGAAAAACATGAGAAAATAAATCTAATCTCCTCATGGTTCCCTTGCACTGCACCACAGCAGGAATGTTATATGATTTCAAATTACTTATTAGAAATACTCCTATGGGTATCGTGTTGAGGATTACTTTTCCAAGGTTATTATAGTGCCTGTATCGTTAGGAAAATGAGGTGTAATTCTACCTGCTATCTCACTCCAAAGACTTCTACCTTTGGACAAAAACCAACTTCCAAGTCAAGGAGGAGGACATTTATCTTCTGTTTCACTCTCACTTTCAATCACATGTTGGAGGATGAGCTGAGGGTGGGGAAAAAACATTTTCTCAAACCCTTTGCTTCTAATAACACAGTGTAGGCTTATCTCTGCTTTCAAGGGAGACGATGTTGACACCCAGAGGGAGCTTAGAGTCAGAAAAGTCTGGTGCTAAGAATGGAATTGGTAGCATCACACTTGCACTGATGAACAGAAAACAAAGCTAAGTGCTTATGCAACAATACAAGGCAACGGAACGTAAGTACTGGCGGCCAGGGGACTACAGTCACAGGGAGATAAGCTGCGGAATTTAACTCCCAAGTGACCTTGAACTAGTCACTTCCCTTGTCTATGTCAAAATATCCTCCCTGGCATCTAGCCGTGTGTATCTGCTGTGTTATCCTATGCATCAGTTGTCTGCATTTTGGTTTACCTCAGGCAAATCTTTCAAATTCTTTGACAGCACTTACCATTTAATTATTTTCCAAGTTGACAGCTCACTCTTTCTGCAGGAAACACTAACATTTTAATTCCTTGCTTTACTGACATATGGATCTTCTAGTATTCACTTGCTTTTTCTGCAACGTTCATCCTTGCTGGGGAGCCCCTTGCAAAATGAATTGTACTGCTGTTTTTGCGGCAGAGGTATTTACAAGGGCAGTACAGCTTTCCCTAAAACCTTTGAAGCTGGCAAGGAAGCCTTCTTCTCCCCTTCTTCTTGTTCATTGAGAAACAAGAGAAGAGGAGAGAAGAAAAGCGCTTCCAAGCTCCAAGTCAGTCCTTCAAAGCAAGGTTCCTTTCCTTCCTGAAAGTGAATTCCACAAAATTAAAAAGTACTGGATTTGATTAAAAGCACAAACCCATTTCCAAACCAAATACCACTGATTTTTTGAATCGTCTTGCTTTTCCTAGTGCAGAAAATTGAGGGCTGACTTCATTTGCATTCACTCATATTTGTCCTTTAAGTTCAAAAGACATAATTGCTCTCTGGCTATGCAAACGTGGCTGATCTTGACCTACTCAAAAATAATAAATCAAGTCCTTGAAAAGCTTTTGGAAAACATGAAGAACTCGACAACATTTGTTTGATTCTCATGACTAAGTCATCTTAGCTAAAACAAAGTGAGAACATTATGCAATTATTTAGAGGAAATTCAGGACCTCTGGGACAGCCAATCATAGAATTCAGGCAAAAGTAGATTTGGGGGCCTGACATTTGCAGATACTTGCGCAACTCTCAGCTGTGTGAGCTGGTCCTAAGAGAGCTCCCACCTTCCATTCGCCCTTTTTTCCCATCCTCCTTCACTTCGTGCCTTTTGATTAGTAGTAAAATGAATAAATCAAACCAACCCTAGCTTGGCTCTTATAAGATATGCTAAGAGAAACGAATATAAAAACAAAAATACCAAACTAAAGATATCCTCCTGAAACTCATTTCTCATTTACACACACACACACGCAGGCACACACACACACACACAACCAGACTTGTTGAGCAAATGTGAGCTTAGAAACTAAAGCTCAGGCCCAGATGTTATTAAGTATAAATATTTATAAGAGCCATAAAGATCCTGGCTAAGCTCAATTTTGCCTCAATGCAGCAAATGTTTCAAATTCGGCTCTTTTACCATTTGAAGCCTTTAGAAGGCAGGATACAGTAGAAGGCACATTACTGTTGGTGAGAGGAGGGCAGTTCCTCTTTTATGTTTTATGACCAGTTTTTCATTGAGGGGTATTGCTTTTCTCAGAAATCACTTCTCGCGGCCTGTCTTTTCCAAGAAGCCAGAAGAAAGTGTGCTTGCTGTGGCTGTGCATTCAGGGGGCACCAGCGAAGCATTCTCCCTGTGAAAGGATGTAGGGACGCTAGATTCGCTTTGTCCTTCCTCATTGCAGTTATCGTGAAACACACAGCCACATCCTAAGAGCCTCAGCTTTGTCACCCGTTGAATGGGTGAGTGATTATTGTAAGTGGAGCATGCTTAACCCATGCTTTTTGCCTTTGCAAAAATAAGCATCCACAATATTTAAACGGCTGTTTTAGTCACTTGTAGAGGCACAAACAAAAGAACCCATAGGGGCATAAGCTGTAATTTTATGATGAAACAGTTCAAACTCTATGATCGTTTGGGCTCTGGATTAAGTGTTTCCTTCTCCAGATTCTTGAAGAGGACCCAATATATGAAATCGTTTTTGGGTTTTTTTTTTTTTGTTGTTGTTGTTGTGTGTATTTTTTTTTCCTTTCCAAGATATGGTCTGTCTATGTTGCTCAGCTGGTTTTGAACTTCTGGGCTGAAGAGATCCTCCTACCTCAGCCTCCCGAGTAGCTGGGACTATAGGCCACCACTCTTGGTTATCATTATTATCCTGAATCCAAGTGGTTTTTGGTGAGAGACATCATCTACCTACATGTCTTATCCACCTGTGAACCATGCAATTCCCTGCTTTCTAACATCCCTTTGGTTAAATATATCATGTTAACACATAACCTGGTACATACATGTTTAAAAGACGTATTACTTCATGGGATGATTTGTCTGCATATGGGGATGAAAAGAGCCTTGGTTTTCCCCCTAAGGATAAGTTCTAATATGTGAAATAATTCCCAGTTCTCTGGGAGAATCCTGAAGATTCTTCAGTGTCAGCTGGCAGTGGCCTGCGTGTGGACCCCATCTCTCCACTCTCGAGAGAGGGGGTGTCCCTCTGCTGAAAGCTCAGGGATGAAGGCCTGTGGCCCCTCCACAGAGCCTGGCTTTGCTGGGTTCTCAGCAAGGTCTCCAAATGTCCATGCCAGCCCCACCCCTGATCTCCTTCCCCCACTCTTGCTGCTCAGCCCCTTTTGGCTACTGGATCTGACAATTCATGACGACCCCGAGAACACTGATCTTCGTGGAGGCCTTCATCTGCCGGACACATCTGGAAAGTACTCCGAGGGGTCTACCTGGTTTTCCTGATTAATGTAGATGTAAAGATTTTATCAAGGCTCCTGGCGGCCGGACTTCAAGATGTAATCACAAAATCAATCCACATAGACTAACCGGGCATAGGCTTACTAAGAAGACATTCCACAATGTCAGGCACTTAATTAAGGCGCTCTGGCTCCTCTGCCCCTGATTGATTCTTTTCTTTCCCTAACAGGTGATGCTGGTCCTCTGGGTGGACAGGCCACTCCCCAGCCAGAGACCCCCGTGCATTCAGAGCCTGCAGTTTGGTGAGAAGACCACCAGAGGGCACCCGTGCATCATCCCAGTCCCCAGGGACTGGACCGGAAGACCAACGGGATCCCTCTTCCAGCCCCCCAGCGAACTTGAAGGAGCAGCCAACTCAGCCTGCATTATCTGCTAGGCTGCATTTTGTTTGCTGAGCTCCAGGATTCTTCTCCGACCCTCAGGCATCTCTTGAGCATAATCAGAGACTCCTCCCATCTCCTCACCATCCCACTTTTTGCACCTTAGTGCGTTGTGGAGCAGAGGACTGCCCCGCGCCGGGGAACCAGCCTGTGCTCTGGCCTGAGCACCTGGGAGTCCTAGCCACGCTGGCTTGCTTGACATAGAGTTTCCCACTGGAAATTCAAAAACTTCAGAAATGGGAGTTTTTAAAAATGTAAGCACCTTGTGAAAAGTAGCCCAGATCAGAGATTGCCAACCTACTGCCCCTTGACGGATGCGAAGTTTTTTCTGCATTCATTCATTCATTCATTCAGCCATCAGGTTCATCTGGCATGATTTTAGCACATGACCATTTAATTCATCAAAGATTTGTTTAGCGCCTAACATGAGCCAGGCATTGTGCTGGGAATATACCTGTACTCCAGTCATTTATAAAATGAGGCACTGTCTGACTCAGCCCAGAAGGACGTCATCCAGCCAGTCCTCTGTAACGTCTGAGTATACCTGGGCCAGAATCATCAACAGTAGCTTGGCTGCATGAGGCCCTGCCAATCGAGAAGCAGTTCTACTGCCCCAGAGCAACAAAGGGCTCCAGAGAGGCTCAGACTTCATTGGCCCAGGGCAATCAAGAAGGCTTCATTCATTCATTCATTCAGTGGGTATTTACTCAGCACCTGGTATGTGCCCAGCAACAAAATGAATCAGAAATAAGCCAGACTGGTGCAGCATTCTTCATCACATAGAGAGACTGCTCATTTGGTTGTACCTACATTGGGCCCCAAAATCTTGACTGTAGTAGCCAGGTAGCGTTCACCCAGTCCTGACTGTTATAGATAAAGCAATCTTGGAGGGCTTCTTTAACTCAAATCTTTATCAAGCTGCCAAGAGAATTTGTTTGAAATGATTGGTACTTTGGAAAGAGAAGTACATCTCTATCATTTACTATAGGAGTTTTTGCAAGTTCTTATTCTTGTTCACAAGAGACTCAGGCAGTGTGATCAAAAGGACTCTTCTGTCATCCGTGGAGATACTATGTCCTCTTCCGGTCCCAGGCCATTGGCCATCCGGAAGGCTTGTCTCTGCTGGGGCTCACATCTTTGGCATGGGTCTTCGTTATTGTGGCCAAAATGAGTGTCAACCACAAATTCCATAGTGTTAGAAATAGGACTTTTCCCATTTTTTTCTGTAAGTTAATTTCTGTTTCAAGGTGCTACTCTACCTGAGTGAAAGACACACATTTTCCATTTAACCAGGGATTCCAATCCCCATTTTTCCCAGGGTGATGTTGTAACTGCAGGAACTTGACTAGTGTTGTGGCAAGGAGGTTGGAGGAAATGTGGTCCCTGAGTCCTGTGTCCATGGAGGCCCCCCCCGGGGCATCTGCTGAGCCTGTCCACAGGCATGAGGCTCTCTTTGCCCTGCGCTGAGATGCAGAGGTGACGTTCTTTCTGCTGCTCCCATGAGGCTCAGCACCACCTGCAAACCCTCTCTGGGGTCTTGACTTCTCAGGACTCTGTCCAGGAAAATGTTCAGGATCCCCCTCAGCCAGCTTCCCTGGGATTTAATTCCCAGTCTTGAGGAGCATGTTTTTTCTAGACACCAGTGGAGGAAGTTCTTTTCCATTCTTGAGGTTTTTCCCTGAGAGAAACTTCCTGTACTTTCTGGTTTGCCTTGGAGGCACCTGACGATAGCTTAGTGGGTCGAGGCTTCGGGAAGCCAAGGTAGAGGCAGCTCCCCTCTGCCTTCTAGATTTTCACAACTGCGCTGTCTCACCCTGAGGCAAAGCAGAGCAGGTGAGAGAAAAGAAGGAAGATTTACCAGGAGAGATTTTCAAAACCGGTTAATACTATTTCCAATAAAATCTCAAAAATGTTATTCTACCATATCAAGATGTCCATAGTTTTTATTTCTGCAGAAGTTCCAAGTTTGCTCATAGAACAGTTTGTGTGTGGCTCCAATAGGTGCTGCAGAAAGTATGCTTCCAGATTTACATCCGCTGCCCCAGCCTGCGCCTGTCTCTCTTTACGGCAAGTCCCTGAGGCAGCAAAGGGGTAGATATGCTATAGCTTGGTGGGAAAGCCTCTATCCATAGAATTTTGAGCTAAACCCATCAGCCACAAGCCCAAACACCACTTCACTTCTGTGGTTAAATCCACCACGTAACATCCTTCAGGCTACAGTCCCTTGGGAGCCTCACGGTGTATCTGTGTCACACCTGCCCCCATAAATGGAATTTACTAGGCTCTGAGAGAACAAAAACAAGAGGCAAAGCCTCAGTCCTCAAACAGCTTACAGCATGGGCGAAAAGGACACACCTTATGTGTTTCAATATAAGAAAAGGAGTTCGATTTTGAACACACACTATATTAGCTGATTGCAGAAATTTCTGGAAATATAGCCATTAAGATGTAGGTGATAATTCAACACGGATACAGGACAAGATTATACTACTGAAAATAGTGAACGAACATCTTGAATATTCCCTGTGTCCCATGTGGTGTCCTAATATCTTCACATCCATCCTCTTTTTAACAAGGTTGCTGTTATTATTATCACCTTAATTCACAAGCAAAAAACGAAAAACAAAGATGGAGGAACTTGCAGTTGGGGGTCAAGGAAAGGCTGATGGCTCCAGATCCGTGGCCTAAGCAGAAGGCTTTTCCCCTGGTGTGTCT
The DNA here is from genome assembly GCF_000001405.40 of Homo sapiens. Taxonomy (NCBI): domain Eukaryota; kingdom Metazoa; phylum Chordata; class Mammalia; order Primates; family Hominidae; genus Homo; species Homo sapiens. The sequence continues at coordinate 35,718,291 of NC_000013.11, read as the reverse complement.
CCACCACGTGGTTGTGAAGGAACCAGCACCATCATTTGTCTTCTGGATGATCTCACGGCACTGTGTGCGTGTGGTCCCTAGTTAGTGTCATTAGCTGACTCCCCAAACCTTCCTGGGATGTGGCTGTGAAATTTTATCTTAGAACTTCAGTTTAATTCCATAAACTTTTGTTGAATATCTACAGAAGGTATAGAAGTGAGGATGGGATTCAAAGATAAACCAGACACGAACCCAAGCCATGGGACATTGCTAATTGGAATAGAAAACTGCAACCAGCTTGGTGCTGCAGTGCAGGTACTGAGAACCTCTGGGCTCCTGGTGAGGCTGCAAGACCAAATCCAAGAATACGGGCAGCCTCTACGAGGGGCTGACTCACCCCACAGACTCAGTGGAAAAAGTGCCCAGGACCCACGACAATTTTAGGGCCCCCAAAAGTGTTTTCTATTTTACATACAAAAATTAACCAGGTGTGGTGGCACATGCCTGTAGTCCCAGCTACTCGGGAGGCTGAAGCAGGAGAATCTCTTCAACCCAGGAGGCAGAGCTTGCAGTGAGCCGAGATTGCACCACTGCACTCCAGCCTGTGCGACAGAGCAAGACTCCGTCTCAAAAGAAACAAAAACAAAACAAAAAGTGTTTTTTATTTTCCATTAAAATCAGAAGAAAATGATGAATATAATACAATAATAATAATAAACCCACCATGAATTATATTTGTCTTATATCAACACAGTCATAAAAACAATATCTATTGAATGGGTACAATGTACTGATGTGATAGATGTACCGAGTCCAGACTTCACTACTATGGCAATATATCCATGTAAAAAAATTGCACTGGCACCCCTTACAAATACAAATATGTATTTATTTAATGAACAGAGGAAGGAGCCCATGAAAGCAAAATTGCCTAGATCCCGGGAAAGTCACCATGTGGCCCTGTAGTGATGGCTAAATATTAGCTATTCAACGCATATGGGATTTTATAAAGTACAGAAAACATTCCTCAGCTCTGAAGTACATACTCCGAAACTGGAGGGAATGTTTTATCCATGATCATAAATGGGGATCCAATATCTCAAGGTCCAACCTTCAGAGGAAAATGATCTTAGAAGCATGAGACATTGCCTTAAAAGCCCAGGGAAAGAAGAAAGGTCCAAATACCAGCATCCCCTTCATGAAACCCAAGCAGCATCACTGTGGAGTTTCTGTGGAGAATCCAGGAATTGCTGGGAAAGGGGCCTGCTTGCTCTCCCTGCGCTGAACGAGGATGTGAGGCAGCAAGAAGCAAAGTCATGCTCTGTAAACAGGCGAGTGTCCGTGGCACTGCTGGGGACTCCAGGAGGAGGCTCAGCCGGCTCACTCGCTGAAATGTCACTGCTCGTCAGTGGGCACAGGAGGCCTCGGTGGCTGCTGGCTGGGGAAGCGGGCTGGTGGTGTACGTCAGGGCCTCCCACCTTCGACAGCCCAAGCTGGCCAGTCGCCTCAGAAGGGGTGCCGAAGCTGGGGCCCAGAGCGTTGGTTGGCCTCAGAGACACTCGATTGTGCAGAGTGGGATGCAAGCTCCTGTTAGCACCCAGGTGGTGGGAGGACAAGCTCTGGAACCCAGAGATTTAGGGAGCCCGGCCCAGAGATGGCACCTGCTCCTCAAATCTCCTTCCAGAAGTGATCCTGGATTTTAAGCTTCTTTCAAAGCCATTACAAGGACTTGTTGGAATGGGGTGAGGGCAGCTTAGCCAACACCCATGAAGGCTAAGATTAGACAGTGACTCATGCTTGCAAACGCTGACCACCTCCACCTCATACCTGAAGTGCAAAGTGACATTTCTCACCCTTTCCGCAAATAAATCTTTCCTGTGCAGTGTTCTCTAAGGACCTCAAGGCCTGTCAAGGACTTGGCCCCTAGCTCATTGAAACCACAGTGGATTGCCAAATTTTGCAGATGTTTGCACTGACTGCTTTATGTTTTGTAATATCCCAGAGCTGTTCCCAAGTGATGCTCATCCATTCACCAAGTTAATGCTTAATAAGAATGATCTACAAAGGGTGACAGCTCCAAAAGATGACGAGAGGGAAATAGCCTTCAAGGAGAATGGACGAGCAAAATAAATAAATAAATACAGCCCTGCCTCCACAGACTGAGGTGCAGAAAAGGGAACTCGTGTGTAGCAATTCCTAGGAAAAAAAAAAAAACAAGAAGGACAACAGTGTTTATTTATGAACATGGGCATGTTTGTGTTTCTCAGGGGGGCTGTGAGACCCCGGCAGGGCTTGGCGTGCTGGCGCTGGACTCAGGTGGAGATGAAATGTATAGATGGACCAAGGTGAGCTCTTACAAAAACATGGATCAATTTGATAGCTAAAAAGGGTCAGTTCCCAGAGCAAGAAAAGTTTAACTATGGAGGAAGCACACTGATCCCAGAGCTATAGAAATTGAATAACAATTCCTACTTTTCAACCTGGATAATCTCATGTAATGTTAGAGAAAAATCCTGAAGTCACCGGTGTCAGTGTCTCTACAACAAGATAGAAAGATTGGGGATGTTCTGAAGGTCAACCAACAATTTGGTGGCAGGTCTGGGATGAACAGGCAGGTCTCTATTCCTTTTCAGTGGTTTTTGACATGTAAAGTGCTAAATGTCTTCACAGTTACAATGTATTGCATGTTTTACATATATTGTGTCTATCTTCACTTCAGTCCTACAGGAGTGGTATTATTCTCTTTATTTAAAGATGGCAAAATTAAGGCTCGGGGAGAGATTAAGCAACAGACCCAAGGTCACAGTTTATTCAGCAAATATTAGGCCTCTATTTTGTGCTAGGCCTGGGGTTTCCCAGATACCAGGCAGAGTGAGCACAGTTCAGAAGAAGAAACTCCTGAAAGGTCTCAGCCGAAACAACCTGTATTTTAAAGAATTTTTCTCTCAAAGGATAAAACAAGCATTTGGTGCACCATGGTTTTTTGTGCTAACAGGCTGAATTCCATGTAGAAATGAGAGAAATGCTGAAATTGTTTGGAAGGATTGCAGATGTACGCAGGGTTCATTTTATTAATTAAGCAGGCCTGGATGCTAATTCAGTTGCTATGCACCAGAGCTCCCGGGAAATGCATGCCGAGGCAGAAAGACATACACAGAAATCTTTAAAGAGATTTGTATGTAATGCAGGTAGGAATTTTGGAGGATGGGAGGTGTCACGTGGCTGCACATGTTTTGCAGCACAGAATCCAGTTGCTTAAAAGTTGTGCCTGTGGTCTGTGCCATCCCCAGCCACACACCAGCTGGAGGGATACATATCACAGTAAGAAAGCAGTTTTTTGTGTGACTCTGGACCTACCCACTTTGCAGGAATCCCAGGCTGCCTCAGCTTCCCCCCAGCTCATCATATGGCCCAGGGGTTTGAGTGAGCTTGCTACCTCCGGGTACGCACCAGGCTCCTGCCTGCGCCAGCTGCAGCTGCTTCCTCTCCCTGGGAAGCTGCTGGTGCTGCTGAGGCCTGCCATCCCCCTCCAGCTGGAAGCTGCCCTGGCTGACCTTTGGCTGCCCTGTCCCTGTCCCGCTGCAGAGACTGGCCTCAGGGGTAATCCTGTCTTTAACACACCACCTCCTCTCGCCCAGAGGTCACAGAAGACTGCATCCAGAGCTGGCCTTGTCTGGAGGAGGTTTTAATGAAACAGTTCTTCTATTTATTTGTGTTGCTGCCTCTGTTGCCCGGGGCCATGGTATGGGTTCCCAAGGGGGGACGCTGAGGTTTGGGGGAGGACACTCAGAGGGGACAGCAAGCTTTCTCCCCAGTCACCTAGCCCCTGACACTGACCTGCTGTCCTTGCACCAATCCTGTGGCCTTTCTCCTGTTTTTCTCCCAGTCGAATCCTAGGTTGAATACAGTTTCATTTGCACCCTGCAACACTCACTAAAAGCAAACCGGTTTTCCCAAATGTTCACGATTCCACCAGAGGGAAAACAAAGGTCATTCAGTCATATGGAATCTGATTAACACAAAGCTCCAGACACGCACTCCTGGATTAAATGCTTTCTTAAGCCACTCCTGCCCCGGGGACAGCAGGAGCTATTTTAACTGTGGTGGAAGACCCAGCGGTTTGCTGAAGTTGCCCAGTGGGATGCATTTAGTATCCATATTTCAAGGCAGCTTTCCTAATGCTATTTTCACATTATGCATTTTTAAAGAATGAAACTATTGCTTGGATTTATAAGGAAAGGAATAGAAGAACCAATTTTATACATTGGAATAAAAGATTTTAAAAATTACTTTTAACAAGAATCAGGTTTACTGATGTCTAACTTACATATAATAAAATTCATCCTTTTTAGTGTACAATTTGGCAACAAATATAGTGCCACCACTGCAATCAAATTTTCAGCCCCTTCTCTCCACCCCGTAAAAAAGTTTCCTTGACCAGGAGCCATGGCTCATGCCCGTAATCCTATCATTTTGGGAGGCCGAAGGGAGAGGATCGCTTGAGGCCAGGAGTTCAAGACCAGCCTGGGAAACATAACAAGATCCTGTCCCAAGGAAGAAAAAAAGCTTCCTGTGACCCTTTGCAACGAACCTTCCACCCTGCAACCTCCAGCCCCTGGCAACCGTCGATCTGTTTTCTGGCCCTGTAGTTTACCTTTCCCAGAATATCATATAAATGGAAGCACATACTTATAGAGTCTCTTGTGTCTGGCTTGTTTCACACAGGGGACGCCTTTGAGGCTCATCCACATTGCTGCACGTATCAGCAGCTGATTTCTTTTTGCTGTTGAGTCGTATTTCCTTATATGGGCGTGCTGCAATTTGAATATCCTTTCACCAGTAGATGGATGTTTAGATTGTTTCCAGTTTTTAGCTGTTAAGAATAAAGCTGCTGTGAACTTTGTGAGGACATATGTTTTCATTTATTTGGGGGTAAACACCCATTAGTGGGATTGCTGGGTCATTTGGCAAGTATATGTAGAACTTTTTTTTTTTTAAGAAAGGGGGAGTTTAGGAATGTTGCTGGGTGGTTCATACAGGAAGTGAAATATCAGAGTGATGAGTTTGAAGAGTCAGCTCAGCTCTGGGCTCCATGGTGCCTTTCAAGACCTCTACCCATGGCCTTGCTGTGAGTTGGTAGACTTACTTTATTGCATCGTTGGTCTAGACACAAAGGAAGGGGCAGATCAGTTTCATTCTTAGGTGTTTCCACCTCTTACCAGCGGCATGGCCTCGGGCAAGTACTTGAGCTCATTGCGCTTCTGTTTCCTCAGCTGTAAAGTGAGCATTCCAGCAGGGATGCTGTGAGGGTGTTTTGTTCTTTACTGTGTACTCCAAATGCAGCCAGGAGGATTTTTTTTTTTTTAAGTATACAAGTGAAAAGTGTAGAACAATGCCTGGCACATAGCAAGTACTCAATAAACACCACCAGTTTAAAGTCAGAATCAGCACTAGAATTTCAAATGAAAAAGATTGTGGCAGAGCTCATTTGTCTTCCTAGAAAGCACTGATATTTTTAATTAAATATGCTCACCAGATGACATGAAGAATGTGTTCATTCATTCATCACTTCTTTACTGAGTGCCTGCTGTGGGCCAGGTGAGGAGGCCCTGTCCCGATTCCTACAGAATTTATAGTTCAGGAGGAGAGAGAGGTAGAATGAAAGGCCTGTGTTATAAGTAATTACAAACTCCTCCAGTAAGTACATCAAAAGAAAAGGACAGGGGGCTTGCAAAGAACATCCAACGGGAGAAGTCATGCCACTAGCACCACCAACCCACCTTGCATGAGTACCGCGCATTGCAGGCTAGAACTTTAGGTCAGTTATTGACTCTGATTGAAGGGAAGTGGAGTCCAGCCCCTCCTGACCTCCTCCCATGATGGCTGGAAAATCATCTCCTCCTTCGTTTAATATTCATCAGCAAACATTTACCTGGCGCCCTTTAAAATCAAACTACCGTCCTAGGCATGGAGGAAACGTACAGGCAGGATGCAACATCGCTTCTCCTGCCAGGGAGTTGACAACATCGTGGAGGATGAGACCAGGCTAATACACAGTGACAGCTCCTCTCCCTGCTGGAACTGCACAGATGAAAAGGATCATGAAACCTTGATGGGTTAACAGTTAAGCACCATTTCCCCGACCCAGATTCACCAAGGGGATGATGCCACTGGAACTCGGGGCACACACTGGCCACCTTTGCGAAATGGGGCCCACAGACCTGGAGGGCCTTCTCCTTGGGGGCCATGAGGAGGGGTGAAATCCCCTGAGTAGGAGGCCGTGGAGCAACAAAAGACCAGGGCTCAGTCCCCCGCTGCAGCCAGATGGTGTTTGCCAGAGATTTCCAGAGGAAACTGAGTGTGAACGAGCAGCAGTCTGTGGTGGAGATATGTAACGTGTCTTGGCAAGTAACAACTGTTTCTGAACATTGGAAAAGGTACTGGCTGCTGAGAAGCCATTCCTGATGTGCAGGAACTAAAGTGTCAGTGGGAACCTCCAGGACTGCTCTTCTCTTGGGGTCTTGGCCGGGTCCAGCCAATGTCAGTGAGTGGACAAATGGTCGAGCTAATATAATCCATAGGTCTTACTTGAGTTCTTACCTCAGTTGCCAGCTGTGCTTTCTGAAGGCCTTCTAAGCCCTAAGCATGGTGCTCAGTCCTATGGGGCATCCAAGATGATGATATAGGTTGTGTTAGGTTTTCAGTATCCCCAATTCTTTTGGGGTTCTCCTCCTTCCCCATCCCAATCAGGTGCTGCTATGGGACCACTCATCATGGTATCCTCCCCCTTCTAGTCACAAGACGGTCACATGATTCAGCCCAATTTTTCTACCCCTTCCCCTGGCAACGGTGGTTGAACTTGGGCTGGTCATATGACTTGAGTTGGGCCAACTAGGGACTTTTATGGGACTTCTCGATTTGGGACCACAGGTGTGATGGCTTTGTGACACACTACTGTACTGAACTGCATTTCTTAGAATTCCCTCTCCTGTATGTTTTCAGACAGGGTGGGCCATAAAAGACATACTTTTAGGAGACTGTGAGGACGGAAAAGAAGCAGTAGCCCCGTGTAGTACACACACCCTTCTTCCTGGTTACTCAAACACTCATACAGATGCTGCTGTGAAGGAACTTCACAGGTGTGCTTGAAGCCCCTGATCAGCTGGTGTTAAGTTATGGACACTACCCTGGATGGGCATAACTTGCAAAGCCTTTAAAGGCAGCTTCAGCCTTCTCCAGACATGAGCTTCTGCTTGTGTCTGTGGAGCCCTGCCTGCTTCTGATCTTGCCTTCTTGAAGCCTGCCCTAAAGATTTCTGATGTTCTTAGCCAGACAGTTCCTCACGATCAATTCCTAGGGATGCGTGGGTTTGAGAGTATGTGTCCTACTGATTCTGTTTGCCTGACTGGACCCTGACTGGTACAGCAAGAGACAGAGTTTTGCCTTTGAATTACTATGGTAGTAGAGTCTGCTAGTTGTCCTACGCATCTGTTCTCTTCTCTCATTAGACTGGAACTCTTGAATTTCAGCTAGCTCATCACCACCCACAGATTCAAAATTCAAAACAGGCTGGGTATAGGGGCTCAGGCCTGTAATCCCAGCACTCTGGGAGGCCAAGGCAGACAGATCATTTGAGGGCAGGAGTTTGAGACCAGCTTGGGTAACATGGTGAAACCCTGTCTCTACTAAACATACAAAAATTAGCTGGGCATGGTAGGGCGCACCTGTGGTCCCACCTACTCAGGAGGCTGTGGCAGGAGAGTCGATTGAATCTGGGAGGTGGAGGTTGCAGTGAGCTGAGATTGCACCACTGCACTCCAGACTGGATGACAGAGCAAGACCCTGTCTCAAAAAAAAAAAAAAAAAAAAAAAACCTCAAAAGAGAAGTAAAACATATAGTAGTCCCCTTTTATCCAGAGGGGATACATTTCAAGACACCCAGTGAAGCCTGGAACCATGGATAGTACCTAATCCTGTATTACTATGTTTTTTTCCTATACATACATATTTACGATAAAGTTGAATTTATAAATTAGGCACAGTATTCTTGAGCTCTGGGACCATTGTTAAGTAAAGTAAGTGTTACTTGCACACAAGCGCTATGATGCCACCTGAGGGCTGAGGGCAGAATCTGTCTTCACATACACTGCACACTATTTTGGCCGATCTCAGCCAAGGTCATGGAGGCGGGGCTGCCCCCTCAGGTGACCTGGGATGCCCCCTTCACTTCCTGCACCCACCCTGGCTCCAGCAAACCCAGTCACTCACACCCACAGCCACAGTAGTTGCACAGCTGTGTGACTTTATTAAAAGCTGCTGAATCAAACACTTTAAAAAAATGAATTTTATGGTAGGTAAGTTACATTGAAATAAAGCTGATATGCAAAAAGTGTATTAAAAATAAAGTATCACACAGAAAAACACAAATAATGAAAGGAAACTGAGAATGGCATTCTGGGGAATAAGTACCTTACCCAAGGTGGAAAGAGGAGGTAGATAATCAACAGAGAAAGTGGGTATTGGGAGAGGCAGGAGGAGCTTCAGAAGAAGTGGGCAGGCAGCTGCTTCAGGCACTGCCAAGTGGTCAAGGAAGAGTCGAACCAGTACAAAGGGCATGAACCAACCAGGTCACCAATGTCCCCAAGAGAGCCACGCTGGCAGTGGCTTGCAGAGCTGGCTGTGGGTGAGAAGAATTTGAAGAAGTAACAGGGTGAGGCAAGCTCTTTAGGAAGACCTGAGTACATTTTTGGTCCAAAAGCCACTCCCCTCCCCGACTCCCAGTGCTAGTGCAGTGGGAACAGGCTGAGAGGGCAGGAAGAGGGGGTGGCCTGGCCAAGGAGTAAGGACCGAGGTCTTTTCCAAGTTATGATCTTTTCTCCTTTATCTCTGGTAAGCGTTACTAGCAGGCATATTTGCTTAGGATATTAGAAAACTTAGTTTCTCAGGCCTAAAAGCCCTTTGACATGATAATAACAATAGTAACTTATTTATTGAGAGCATAACTCATTGGACATAAGCATAAAGTGGTTTTATTCCTTCCAATAACCGTCCCTTTATAATGCCATGTTGAAACATTTTTCTTACTAAAGGCCAACTAAGGTCCCTTCATCACACCATTTTGACTTGACTGTATAATTATTCATCATTCTTGGTTACTAAAACAGATTTATTTCAGCACTGAAAGCTCAGTCCTTACCACTGAAAAGGGCTATAACTGCTTTGAGCAAAGGAGTGGGTGCGATTTGGCTTTGAGTCCCCTCTTCAGTAAGAGTGGGCTCCCCAACTCCTGGGCAGGAAGCAGGCAGTCTACCCTCATGACTGTCATGGTGGGGCCATGATTTGGCCCCTCGGTGCTCATGCTCTGCTCTCCTGGCAGCCTCACCAGAGGTGGTTGCCTTCACATGGGCAGTGTGGGAGCTTTCTCCTTGGAGAGCTCTTCAGTTTCACCTCCACCACTGAGAATAATTCAGCCCCATCAGTAATACTGGTCCTCAACCCATTCTCCAGATGGGATGTTCCATTGATCTTGAAGTGTCCCTGGTGCTCGTGCCTCTGATAACCTTTGTGCTCTTTCACTGCCATAGAAACCACAGGGCTCCTCTTCCACAGACTATGAGGGCCATGAAGGATCATTTCATGACCCAGCTTGGGCTCCCTAAGAAGTAGGGTTGCCAGATAAAATGTGAGATGCCCAGTTAAATTTAAATTTCCCAAAAACAGGACATAATTTTTAGTATACTGTCTTGTGTAGTATTTGGAGCATACTCATACCACAAAGTTATTCATTGTTTATCTGAAATTCAAATTTAACTGGGCACCTTGCATTTTTATGCACTAAGTCTAAGAACTGTAGAAAGAATCAGACTCCAAGATGCAGCTTGCATACAGGAAGTTTACTGGGGAATGCTCTAAGGGTCAACACCTGTCGGGGAGGGAAGGCAGCTGAACCAAGCAGAGAGAAGTTGAACTGTGACGAAGTTGCAACAAAGGCCTCAGCCAACCCCACGCAGGGGCTCCTGAGCTGGGGCAACCCTTCAGAGTCATCTCACATTGAGGGAGGTGGTTGGGGCTTTATACCTGTATTAGTCCATTCTTACGCTACTAAAAAAAGACATACCTGAGGCTGGGTAATTTATAAAGGAAAGAGGTTTAATTGACTCACAGTTCAGCATGGTTGGGGAGACCTCAGGAAACTTAAAATCATGGTGGAAGGGGAAGCAAACATGCCTTTCTTCACATGGCAGCAGCAAGGAGAAGTGCTGAGCAAAAGGTGGGCAAGAGCCCCTTATAAAACCATCAGACCTCGTGAGAACTCACTCACAATCACAAGAACAGCAGCATGGGGTAACCGCCCCCATGATTCAATGACCTCCCCGTGGGTCCCTCCCATGACACTTGGGGATTATGGGAATTACAGTTCAAGATGAGATGTGGGTAGGGACACAGCCAAATCATATCAATACTCGACACCGACCATCACTGGGGGTGGGTGGACCCTGGAAGGGGGTGTGACCTTGGGCAAGGTGGTGCTCTTCAGGGAGGGTGAATCCAGAAGTGAGAAGTTCCACTAAGAGCTGCCAGTCACCAGCACCTCCAGAACACACAAGCTATACCCCGCCAGGTAGAAACCAGGTGCCACTGACACATCCCACATGATCAAAGGTTTCAAAGCATATCAGACAGAATCCAGTGGCAGGAGAATCTGAATTGTCATAAGGACAAAGGGCAAGAGGCCAAAGTAAAAAGAAACTGGACTCCAGTAAACTGGATGATAGCCGTGATGAAAACAATGATTTTGTTTCAGCAAAATTCCATTATCAGCCTCTTGCTGGGTATAAAAGTTGGACACCAGTGAGTAGGTTTCATAGGAGTTGAAGGGCCTGAAGCGCTTGTACTGAATTTAACCCTTTTCCCCTTTAACACTGGGGACCAGAAGCGGTGGCTCACCTGAGACCTATAATTCCAGCACTTTGGGAGGCTGTAAGGGGACAGATCACCTGAGGTCAGAAGTTTGAGACCAGCCTGGCCAACATGGTGAAACCCCATCTTTACTAAAAACACAAAAATTGGCCAGGCGTGGTGGTGGGTGCCTGTAGTCCTAGCTACTTGGGAGGCTGAGACAGGAGAATTGCTTGAACCTGGGAGGCAGAGATTGCAGTAAGCCAAGATGGCACCACTGCACTTCTGCCTGGGTGAGCGAGTGAGACTCCGTCTCAAAAACAAAACAAAACAAAACAAACAAACAAAAAAACTGGGACTCCCAGAGAATCCTTTGCCTTTAGAAGAGGTGCCTGCAGAGTTCACATTTGGGAGGCGAGGCTCCAAGACACCGCAGGCCAGGCAGCAGTGTTGCCTCTCTGAAGCAGGGTCCCCACTGAGGCAACATAGGTCCGTCCCCACCCCTTGTGCCTGTCCCCTGGCCCTTCCTCTCTTTCTCCTCCCTTCCTCTGTGGGCCCACCCCTTCCCACGCATCACTCTCCCGTCCTCTTCCTTTGCTCCCATGCCCCAGGGTGGGGGCACTATCTGTCTTTGGACACACTGGACACTGTTTTGGCTGGCCTTAGCTGAGGCCTCGAATGTGGGCCCCCCCATCGGGTGTCCTGGAATGCCCCCTTCACTTCCTAAACCCCCGCAGGCTCTGGCAAACCCAGCCACTCACACCCACAGCCACACCCAGATCTTGTCATCACCCGCTGCTCCTCCTACACCTTCCCCCCAACCCGCTCCATCCTCCCACTTGCTGGCCAGAGCCCCGTTATTCCAGCTCCCTCCCTGGCTCCCCTGGGTTTGCTTCCCGGGTCCCTCCCTAGACCACAAGTCAGCCCTTCAGCTGCTCTCTTACTCGAACTTCCTTCCCTCTAGCTCTTCCTCCCACCCCACCCACCCCTCTTCTCTCTCCTGCAGCCTGCTGGGAGCTGTGGGGTCAGGCATCGGTGATGTCTCTGGAAGCCATTCAGCAATGAAGGGATCCAAGGCTGTGGCCTGCCACTCCCGCTCCCTGCAGGTGACTTCCCCTCCTCCTCACATGGAAACATGGAGGACTTCAAAGGAGGTGGCCCTGGCTTCCCGCCCCTGCCCCTCCCCCTTCAACCCCTTCTGCACCTAGCTCACCCTGCCCTTCCCCTCGAGTTTCACAGGAAGGTGGGTCCCTCCCTGTCCAATGTCCCTGCCATCCAGGCCCTGAACCCTTTCTCCTCCTGTGTCTTTAGCCTCCTGCTGATCATGATTCCATCCATTACCAGGACACTTCTTTTCTACTGGCACAGTCTTGTCTTGTCTTTTTTCTTTTATTTTATTTTATTTTTTTTTTTTTGAGACAGAGTCTTGCTCTTGTCGCCCAGGCCGGAGAGCAATGGCATGATCTTGCCTCACTGCAACCTCCACGCTTCCTGAGTTTAAGTGATTCTCCTGCCTCAGCCTCCCAAGTGGCTGGGATTACAGGCACACACCACCACACCCGGCTAATTTTTATATTTTTAGTAGAGACGGGGTTTTGCCACGTTGGCCAGGCTGGTCTTGAACTCCTGACCTCAGGTGATCTGCCTGCCTCGGCCTCCCAAAATGCTGGGATTACAGGCTTGAGCCACCATGCCCGGCCTGGCCCAGTCTTTTCTGTTGTGTGAACATACTCGAGACCCTCCATGCCCTTTAAAGAATTAATCAGTTGATCCTCTGCTTCCACCAAGGTATCCCCAGGTCTCTGTCCTGTCGGCATTCAAGTTACCTCAGGGAATAAGTTTCCCTTCCACCTACTCCACCTCTCCATCATCCCATTTCAGTCTCTGAAATAGGCCTCCCGCCCCCTAACTTCCCCGCCCCACCTAGGTCCTGGCCCATGTCAGCCTCTATCTTGGGGACTCTTGCCGCTCTTCTTGGCTCTGTTGACCATTCTCTCCTTAAAAGTCTTCTCAGCCTCTTCCTCAGGCTTCAAGGTGTCACCACTGGTGTTGCCATAGGTTCTTTCGCTCCCTGCACTCTTCCTTCCTCCCTCTACTCATGCCCATGCTCCCCATGGCTTACTCCTCCCCACAGAGGCCCATGACTCCCAAAGTGTCACCATCTCCCCAACCCCACCCTATCCTCTCTGGGGATCTCAAGCCCAGGTCTGCAGCTGCCTCTTAGACCTCCCACCTGAGTGCCCTGGGGGCTCCTCTTCAGCTCAGCACTGCCAAACCCACAGATCTTCTCTACACGGATCCCCAGCCCAAGTGTGTGCACCTCCTTCTACCAATGGCTCATAGCCAGAAATCTTGGAGGCATATTGAATTCTTTCCTTTTTCTTCTATATCCAGTCTGGATAGAAAACCAATATAACAGACAGCTGGCAGCCTCTCAAGGACAAACAAAGGTTAAACTTTGAACTTCTTAGACAATGTTCTAATATTATGATTTGCATCTGAGCACTAGCAATGTTTGTTCATTCCTTTACCCCTTCCCTCACTAGCTCACCCAGGCCCAAGCAAGAGCTGAGTGTCTTCGAAGATCAGTGCTGTGTCTTCGAGATCCACAGTGTGGGCCCCTGCCCTCAGGGTCCTCCGGGCCAGCCAGAGAGATTCAGAAACAGGGAGATGACTGAGTGCATGGACCCATGCAAGCACTTGCACAGGACACAGACAAGGGAGATGCCTGTGCCAGCTCAGGGAGGAGGGGACATTTCTCCAAGGAGAGTAAAAGCTGTCTTGGCCAAGACATCATGCTCAACAGCGAAATCCAAAAGTCCAGAAGAGTGTTTGACATGTGCTAGGAGTGCTGTAAATATTTGATGAATCAGTGAGTAAATGTGTGTGTGTTTGTTATAAACCATAGAATAAAATAAGAACCCATGGGTCCATGGTAATATAAATAAACAATTGGATAAATAAATAAATGGGGGCAGGGGAAGGACAGGTCTTCCTTCCAGTAGAATTCCAGCTACTAAATGTGGAAGGAATGATGGAAACAGGAAATTACCATTCAGCAAACCCAACAGTAATCATTGTTTCAGGCAGGAATCAGCAATGGATGCTAAGATTAATGCATGCAATGTGATGAGAGACAATATTTATGTATTTTCAGTGGACTTCCCTACAAAGCACTTATTAATTACAAAGGAAGAAATAGTAACGTGACAGTGAAGAAACCTGGCAGATGACCCTTTATCCAAATGATCAAAGTCAGCAAATAAAGGGACATGGTGACCCCCAGAGGATATGATACCTTCAAAGGACACATCACTTCTGTGGCATTCTTTTTTATTTTTTAATTTTTAACACCTCTATTGAGGTATAATTCACCTATCATATAATTCCAGAACTTGAAGATACGATTCAATGATTTTTGTAAATTTACAAATTTATGTATCACTAGAATCTAATTTTAGAATATTTTCATTATCTGAAAAAGAAGCTCTGTGCCCTCTGTGCCCTCCTCACTTCCCACCCTCACCTCAGTGCTAGGCAACCTGTAATCTATTTTCTGTCTCTCTAAATTTGCCAATTCTGGATATTTCATATTCAGGGAATCATACAATACGTAGTCTTTTGTGGCTAGCTATTTTCACTTAGCATAATATTTCAAGGTTTATTCATGGCATAGCATTGTATCTGGATTTTATTTCTTTTCATTGCTCTGTAATATTCCATCATATGAATAGATCACATTTTGCTTATCCATTTATCAGTTGATAGGCCTTTGTTTTCACTTTTTGTCTATTATGAATAATGCTGCTATGGACATTCACATACCAGTTTCATGTACATGTACATTTTTATTTATCTTGGATATATATACACATATGTATCTTTTATCCATCTTTCTATATACATGCATACGTATGTATATATAAACCACACATACACACACACACACACGCACACACACACACACCTCTAGGAGTGGGAGTGCTGAGTCACATAATAATTCTGAGTTTAACGTTTTCCAGAGTAACTATGTTATTTTACATTCCCACCAGCAATGAATAAGGGTTGCAATTTCTCTACATCCTTGACAACACTTGCTACTCTCTGTCTTTTTTATTTAAGCCATTTCTGGTGGGTGTGAAGTGATATTGTGGTTTTGATTTGCATTTCCCTAATGACTAATGATGTTGCAAATTCTTTCATAATCGTATTGGCCATTTGTATATTTTCTTTGGAGAAAGGTCTATTCAGATTCTTTGTTCATTTTTAAATTGGGTTACTTGTCTTTTTATTTTTGAGTCGTAAGAGTTATTTACATATTCCAAATGCAAGTTTCTTATCATATCTATGATATGCAAATATGTTCTTCCACTCTGTAGATTGCCTTTTTATTTTCTTGATACTATCATTTGTAGCATAAAAACTTTTAATTTTGATGTGGTCTAGTTTATCTGTTTTCTATTGTGACTTACACATTTGGTGCCAGATATAAAGAACCATTGCCTAATTCAAGGTCACGAAGATTTACGCCTATGTTTTTTTTCAAGTAGTTTATAGTTTTAGCTCTTACATTTAGGTCTGTGATCCAATCGGGGGCTAATTTTGAATTTGAATCCCCTTTTCTGTCTCTTATAGACACTTATGATAACATGTAGGATCCACCCAGACAATCCAGGATAATCTCCCCATCCCAATATCCTTAATGTAATCACATCTGTAAAGTCCCTTTTGCCCTATAAGATGACATTCCCAGGCTCTGGGGATTGGGGCATGGATATATTGTGAGGCCACTATTCAGCCAATGGCAATGACCTTGGTGAAAATAGTTTACCTGCGGCTAGGGTGCAGCAGCAGAACTCAGAGGGCTGAGATGTGCCTGGGACCTGGGTTGGGTGACTCATTTGAGTCTTGGCTATGAGGGAGATGTAGGGGAGGGAAACACCAACACTCAAGAATGGGCTTGTATTAGTCAGGGTTCTCCAGAGAAACAGAACCATTAGGTTCCCCTCTCTCTCTCCCTCCCCCTCCCTCTCAGGGGTACCGAAAAATCTCAAGATCTATATAGTTCAAGGGCCAAAGAAGCAGGAGAGCCAATGGTGTAAACCTCAGTCCAAATCTGAAGGCATAAGCAGACCAATGTCCCAGCCTGAAGACCACCAGGCAGAGAGAGGAACATCTCCTTCCTTAGGACTTGGTTCTATTCAGGCCTTCAACAGACTGGATGAGGCCCACCCACATTGGGGAGAGCATCTGCTTTAGTCATTCCACCAATTCAATGTTCATCCCATCCAGAAACACTCCCACAAATACACTCAGAATGGTGTCTGACCAGATATCAGGGCAAGTTGACATAAAATTAACCACCACAGAGCTAAAACCAAACCAAGCCAAACAAAACAGGTATCTGACAGGAAGAGGAAGAATGGCGAGTCAGAAAAGGCAGAGGGGAACAGGAGAGGATGGTGTCAGGTAGCTCAACAGAGGGGCAGATTCAACAAGGGACAGTTCAGCATCATTAGGTGTCACCACGAAGACAAGAAATGGACTGAAAAGCTCCCTCTGCCTTGGGCATGGGGCTTAGACTTTGCCAGGGTGTGGGAGAGGGAAGCTGACGTACAGATGTCTGATATGGGAACGTGAGCTGCAGATGCAGAAATAGGGATATAGAATATTATTTTTTGTTGTTTTTGTTTTTGTTTTGTTTTTTGAGACAGAGTCTCATTCTTTCATCCAGGCTGGAGTGCAGTGGTGCAGTCTTGGCTCACTGCAAACTCTGCCTCCCGGGTTCAAGGGATTCTCCTGCCTCAGCCTCCCGAGTAGCTGGGAGTACAGGCAGGAACCACCACACCAGCTAATTTTTGCATTTTTTAGTAGAGACAGAGTTTTATCATGTCCGCCAGGCTGGTCTCAAACTCCTGATGTCAGGTGATCTGCCCGCCTCAGCTTCCCAAAGTGCTGGGATTACAGGCATGAGCAACCGTGCCCAGCCTTTTTGTTGTATTTTTTTTTGTAGAGATGGGGATCTCCCTATGATGTCCAGGCTGGTCTTGAACTCCTGGCCTAAGGAGATGCTCCTGCCTTGGCCTCGCAAAGGACAGGGATTACAGGCATGATCCACTGAGCCCAGATGGATATAGATTACTTCTTAGAAGCTTGGCTAAAATGGAAAATAGAAGCAAAAAGCACAGTCTGTGGGTGAGGATGAAGGGCCCCAGACTTTTAGGGGCCAAAACCAAAAGTCCCAAAGTCTGTGAGAGAGCAGAGCAGCCTCAGCCCTCCGAGCTAATAAAGACATGACAGAAAAGTTGTGGTCCTCAATTTTTCAACTATAACTGAAGGGGCAGCCTCTATCTTCCGTGCTTAGATCCGCAAAGCTATGTATCCAGAGCATAACATGACCAAGAAAATTCCTGCACATAACCCCAAATATTAGAAAATTAGAAGCATTTGCAAGCCCAGCCCTCAAAGTTGGGATGAGATGACTTCCTTTACTCTGGTCCTTGTGTGAGTTAGTGAGTCAGGGAAGCGCTATGTTGAGAATGACATCCCATAGCTTGCCCCTGTACGGACAAAACACCTCTCTTTCTCCTTCTGAACATCTTTCTCTTCTTTTTCTTGGCAAGGGCACGGCATTTGTTTGGAGAAACATGGGCTAGTCTGGAGAAATCATAATAATTTGATCTTGCCTTTTCTGGGGTTAGTTTTCATCCTGCCTTGTAAAAAATGAAGCCACTCTCCCAGTGTTTACTTTTATCCTCCTTTCTCAGTCTTCCTTACTAGGTTCGTTTCTCTCCCCTCTTCTCTAGGTGCTCTTCCCTGGGCTGCAATGGTTTGTGCTATACTTTTATGTTCTTCTGCCTCTTTTTTCTCCACTCGCTCCACTCCAGCCCCTTCTGCCCACCCACCCTGCCTTCCTCTGTTCTCTCTCCTTTTGATCAGGAGAAGCTGCTCCCTGGGAATCTGAGACCCTCTTCTAAGCAAGAACTAAAGACACCACAGTGAGGCCGCCGGAGTCCTCATCTCCCTCTGGAGTGGAAGGCAGGGGGCTAAGAAGAGCAGCAACCCCAGTCCAGCCCGGCTTGCACCCGACACAGAAAGGGCGACAACCCTCATCAGCCCAGAGGCTGCAGAATCACAGAAACACATTTGAGTCTGCCTTTGTGAAAGAAAATGATCCTCGTGCAGGCAGGTGGTACTATTTTGGAGAACATTTTTATGTGCAATTTAGAGTGCACATTCTACACACAGCTCAGACAGAAATAATCAGTTTAATGTGTGTCTGCACTGTCACGCGGTCAAGCTTTAGGTGAGAGCAGATTTACACACTGAAATCAAAAGGAAATAGCAGGAGCCGTCTTCTGCTACATTCCATGACAATAAATGGTCACGCGATGGAGGGCTGCCAACCCTACTCTCCTCTCCCTTTATTCCTTCCCAGAAAGTGCTTGCGTTTGAAAGAAAATTAGTTTCCAAGATGCCTGAGTGCATCTGTTAAATATTGATTGTTATTAACAGGGGATACATGTAAACAAAGGCTACATAAACAGAAAGATGCCTGGCAGCGAGGAGCAAGTATGCTTCTTGTCAGGCGGTTTTCCTTAAAACAAAGCGTAAGGAAGTTTATAGGAGTTCTTGAGTAGGTGTTTTGGTTCAGGAAGATGTCCTGCTTCTCGATGTCAGCTACAGACCGTCTCAGTCAAACCAAGGAGCTTCACGTTTACAGCACTGGGCATTTGTCACTGTGTGTTGTCATTAAGGAAAAAGGGGTTTGCTTGCAAAGGGGCTGGTATAGTAGAGAAATAACACTGAAATAACATGGTTCCCAGCATCCTTTTCAGAAAGTTCACCCTCCAAATGAAAGAATTGAAGATGATTTTTTAAATGCAAACACCATTGAAAGCATGCGAGTGCCAATACATCAGGCAGTTAGAAGCCCCTAAGTCAAGCCAGAGGCAGATCTACATACAGGGTAATATTCAAAATATGCATGTGTCACCCTTTGGCTCTCTGAAATAATGAATCAGTGTGGACTTTGCAAAAGCAGCCGGGCCGAGGGTGCCGGATCGCCACGGTCAAAGACTGCAGAGCTGGAGAGAAGAAAGTTTCAGATGGAAGGGGAGCATTTTCCCTCTGAAATGAAATAATTGTGATACAGGATTTGATTTTTTTTAAGAAAAACAATCTTCTTCCTGCTGTGATGAATTTATTCTGGAGGTTTGAAAGGAAACATGTCCCCCCTGAGAGCATGAGGACGATGAGTCTGGAGGGTGAAGTCTGCGATTTCAGTACACGTGTTCTCATTTATCAAGGGGCGGTGCTCGGGTGTGAAGGGGGAGAATACCAAGGGTGAAAAGATTCAAGGTGATCAAACTATTTTTCCATTTGTAGCAGAAAAAAAAGAAAGAAAGGAAATAAAAGAGGGAAGGAAAATCATTTCATTATGTGGCAACCAAACACAACCAGGGGTAGCAACCAGAGGTAGCAAGCAAGTAGCAACTTTGTTCTTCAGAGCAGTTCACTCTAGGGTGTCCTGAGTTTTCCAGGGTGCAGTCTGTGACTGTGGAATTTGAAAACAGCAGGAGCACAAGAACAGAAGTTGCATGGATGTCTAGAGTTGTCATCTCTCGAATGCCCTCTGCGGCGAAGATCCCTCCTAGCGCCACCTGGATGAATCACTTCCAGGGGAAAGTGGAAAAAGAAAACTATTACATTGGACATTAATTTCCATGCTAGGCATATTATATGCATTTCTTTCTCTCTGAATAAAGTCTGCAAAATAGGTATGATTTTCCCCATTCTAGAGATAAGCTGAAAGTTTCAATTATCTTATGCGCCCTGTTCAAAGAGGCCCAGCTGGCAGTGGAGGTGAGATGGAGTGAGCTAGCAGTGGAGGTGAGATGGAGTGAGCTAGCAGTGGAGGTGAATTGGAGTGGGGCCTGTCTGCCATCAGCACCAAGTCTTGTTTAATTATTCCACTCTGCCTTCCCAAGATGTCCCTGACATGTTAGGTGGAGTTCTGAAGGTCCGTTTAGCAACACAGGTTAAGGCCTAAAGGATCTCCCTCCCTCCATCGCTTAAATGCTATTTTTATGTATTTATTTATTGTTGAGACAGTGCCTCACTCTGTCACCCAGGCTGGAGTATAGTGGCGTGATCATAGCAAGTGAGCAGCCTCAATCTCCTGGACTAAAGCCATCCTCTAGCCTCAGCCTCCTGAGTAGCTGGGAGTGCAGGCATGTACCACCGTGCCCAGGTAATATTTTATTTTATTTTTTTTTTGTAGAGATGGGAGTCTTGCTATGTTTCCCAGGCTGGTCTTGAATTCCTGGTCTCAAGCAATCCTCCCATCTCAAAATCCCAAAGTGCTGAGATTATAGGTGTGAGCCACCGCACCCAGCTTTAAATGCTATTAAACAAGGGAAATCAGTAGGTTGGGTAGATGTACTCAAAGGGCAGGAATGAGAACAACACACTGAGACTCATTTGGGGAACAGGAGCTGTGCCTTCAAGTCACTGTGGGGTAAGGCAGAATGGAGCGAGTCCTAAGGGCCCCCTAACGCACCCAGTATGTGATATGTGATAGAGAGAACGGTTACTCATCACCACTGGAGATTAACAAGGTCTCATCTGCTCGTCTGGTCGCTTGGCTATGCTGTGACACCTGACACTGGCTGATGATCCGAGGCTTTACCAGCTTTAGAACACACCTATGTGTGAAAGCCTTGGGCTCTGAACCTGATCCACTCCCCGGGGGCCCTTCAAAGGGTTAACACTGACCTTCCCCGTCCAGACCCTTACCATGGGGCCACAGCCTTATCTAAGGAACTTGGTCCCACGCCCTCCACCCTCTGCCCTCCATGAGCCTTTCTCTCAGGCTCCTCCACAGAGGGACACTCATAAAATTCCTGTTGGTCATCACCACATTCCAGAATTCCTCCGTGGTCACAGACTGGGCCTCACCTTGACCCTGAGTGCTGGGCTGCAGAGAGTTGAAATCCATCCCCAGGTTCCCCGTAGTTCAGGTGAGAGAGCGGGATGGAGCTGTCCCAAGCCCAGGCCTCTGCAGTTGTTTGAAACCTGAGCCCGTGCTTTTCTTTGAAGTTTAAATGTGGACCTATTGTTTTTTCCTGATAATAATAAACAGGGTCAGGAGAGAGGAAGGCAGATGAGGAAAGAGGAGGAGGGCAGGCAGCAGTCTTGTCAAGTAAAATTACCCCAACTCTGCCTTTGAAGGGGCGCAGCCTTGGTTCTGCGGTCGGCATGAGAGTGAGGGGACTGGCCAGGCAGGGTGGGATTTGCAAAGAAATCAAGGGTCCTGAAATGTGGTCACCGAGGGAAAGGGGATACGCAGCCGTCCAATAGGAGGACGGGCCATGGTCCTGCCGGACATGCCAGGGCAGCCTGGGCTCTGGCTGCAAATGTGACCTTCCAGTCCCTCTCATTGCCTATTCACTGCCCCCAGGAGGTGTCCTCCGCCTCCAGTGAGTGACTCCAAACCATGAGTTTGTTTGGGCTAAAACCCTTCCCTCCCCTTAAAGTGGCAGAAACAAATGTTTGGAAACAAAGGTGAATTGAGAGTGACAGCTCGTGACCTGGCTCTGGTGCATGTTGAGCCAGTGTCCAAGCGGCCACCGGACACTGTGCCATCAGGCCAGAGTTGATTTCCTGCAGACTGTGACTCTGAGAAGCAGCCCAAACCGCCCACCTCTGTTCAGAGGAGACAGGCTCTCCCCACAGGGTGAGCGTTTGTGTTGCCTGAGAATCCATGAGCCCCGTGGCACTGCTCCTAGCACAGGAAAAGCAGACAGAATGTGTGCGGGGTGAGAGCCCGCAGCAAGGTGGAAGCCCTTTCCTCAGCCCCAGGCTTCAGCAGAAGGCTCAGCAGTCCAGCAGTCTCAGTTTCCCACATTAAAAACATGGGAGTGGGCCAGGTGTGGTGGCTCACGCCTGTAATCCCAGCACTTTGGGAGGCTGAGGTGGGAGGATCACTTGAGGTCAGGAGTTCCTGGCCAACATGATGAAACCCCGTCTCTACTAAATACAAAAATTAGCCAGGTATGATGGTGGGCGCCTGTAATCCCAGCTACTCGGGAGGCTGAGGCACAAGAATCACTTGAACCTAGGAAGCGGAGGTTGCAGTAAGCTGAGATCGTGCCACTGCGTGGCGGCCTGGGCGACAGAGCAAGACTCCATCTCAAAAACAAAAACCAAAACCATGGGAGGGAGTGAGAGGCAGACCCAGGTTCAAGGTTGCAGGCCCCGTCCCTTACCATGCAAGTGACCTGCAGTGGTTCTCCTTTGAAGTAGACTCCAGTAGTACTAGCTGGCTCTGGAGGCTGATGCGAGGATTCAGTGAGGCAACATATGCAACCACTTGAACAGTCCATCGCCTTCCAATTATTAGCCGTCACGATTCAGCTAAAAATCAGCCAAGGAGATCTGTAGAGGGGCCAGTGTTGCCCTGAGCCAGTTGATGGAAAGTCTGGGATTTGAACCCTTGTCTCTCTGGGTAGGCAGCTTTCAGGATGGCTCTGATCATCCCGGCCTCCTGGAATTCACACCCTGGAAAAATCCCTCCCCCATATTGTATCCATAGATCCAGCAGAAGTGACCATACGTCCTGTCCACAACTAGGTGGCAAGAGCCTGTGGCTTTCATCTCCGGCTCTCCAGCTTGGTCATACAACCCTCGGCCGGGGAGCCGGCCACCATGCCCGAGGACAGGCAGGCCACCCACGGGGAGGCCCAGGTGGTGAGGAGCCAAGGTCTCCGCATTGCCAGCGAGGAACCGAGGCCAGGCAGCAGCTGTGAGCGAGCTGGAAGCAGAGCCCTGGTGTGGCAGCCAGGCTCAGCCAACAGCCCGCCTGGAACCCAGCTGAGCCTCCGGTTCCCATCCCACAGAAACCGTGAGAATAAACTGCGAGGTTTGGGGAAATTGGTTACATAGTCACAGACAAATACGTCTGTCTTTACATCACACCCTTCAACACGATTTTTCATTTTATTTGCTCTTTCAGCGAATATTTACTGAGTATCTGCAATCCGCGCCAGGCCTCGAGTTCAGGGATCCGCAGAAGGCAGGGGCCCAGGAGTGGGAGGGGTGGGGGCGTTGGGAATGGGGGATGGGGTGGGTTTGCAGGCGCCAGCCCGGGAGGGGCCAGAGAGGGAACCAGAAGACTTCGGGGAACTAAAGCCTAAAACAGGAGTGGAGAAGGGCGTGGGTACATAGGGCGTGGAGAGAGAAGAAGCGGAGAGGCATGGGGGAGATTCAGAGCCATTAGGAGGGGTGGGTGGGGGACTGGTGGGCTGAGTGTGAGCAGACAAAGGGCTGCTGCAGCTCTCAGCTCTCACCAACTGTGTGCAGCCATCGGGCCCCACAGCTTCTCTGAGCACCTATGGACTGGACGCCCCGGAGCTGATTCTCATCAGGTTGCCAGGAGATGGACCCTGGGAAGAGGGACCGTTCGTTTCCTGGAACTGCCATAAGAACGTACCACAGACTGCGGGGGGGGGGGGGGGGGGGGCGGCAGAACTACAGAAATGTATTGTCTCATGATTCTGGAGGCTGAAAGTTCAAGGTCAACGTGGGGTCAGGGTTGGTTTCTTCCAGGCCTTCTCCCAGCCTCTGGGGGTTTCCCCACGAGCTTTGCGTCCCTCTGCCTCTGCATCACCCACTCTCTGCCTTCATCTGCATATGGCCTTCATCTGCACCTGTCTCTGTGTCCACATTTCCCCTTTATAAGCACACCGGTCACAGTGGACTAGGCCCATTCTGATGACTTCACCTAAACTCGATCACCTCTCTAAAGACCTTATCTGCAAATAAGGTCCTATTCTCAGGTCCTGGGGGTTAGGACTCTAGCATAGCTTTTGGAGTGGGAGGGGCTGGGGACACAGTTCTACCCGTAGCAGGGACGTGGCAGGGGTAAGCTGAGGGAAGTCTTTTACGATCACCCAGAAGTTCATGAATTACTACAGTCTCCAGATGGCTTTTACAACGTGTCCCGGGCCGTTAAGGAGGCAGAAATGAAGCGATTCCGCTGGTGTCAGAGGAAGAAGCCACCCTATTCTCCCAGTGTCAGTGACAGCAAAAACGTGGCCCATCTTTCCCTGGAGCCATAGGTAGGGTTGTCTTCAGTAGTGTATCAGGTGGCTCAGGCTGCCATAACCCACAAGCCAAATACCACAAACTCGGTGGCAGGCGTGACAGAAACATATCTCCTCACAGTTCTGGAGGCCAGAAGTCCAAGGTGAAGGTGTCTGCAGGGTCAGTGTTTCATGAGGCGCCTCTCCTTGGCTCGCAGACACCTGCCTTCCCACTGGGTCCTCACGTGGCCTTTCATCGTTTACGGGCCCCTGATATCTCTTCCTCTTCTTACAAGGACATCGGCCATCGGTCATACTGGAATAAGGTCTTACCCTAATGACCTCATTTAACTCAATTTCTTCCTTAAAGCCCTTATTTCCAAACAGTTACATTCTGAGATACTGGAGCTTGGGACTTCAAAATATTAATTTTGGGAAGGGGGATGCAATTCAGCCAATACCAAGTAGCTACAGAGAAAGTCAGTGTTCTTACTTATTGAGGATCAGCTAAGTTGGTCTTTAAGTTGAGCAGAAGAGTGGATTTCCCCCAGGAGGCTGTGGGGAGACTTCCAGATGAAGGTGTCTTAAATCCATGCCAGCCTGGAAGTCTCCAGGCCTTTACAGGCCCTGCGCAGCACCTCAGTGTTCCTTGCCTGCAGGCTCTCCCCTCGTCCCCAGGTCTGTGGGGATAGCTCTGGGCAGGCTGTTCTGTCTCCCCTGTCATGGTGGAGTGGCTGCCGACCCCTTTGGGGCCAAGCAGATTGGACTTCTGTTTTGACTATTCGTTTTCTCACGTTTTCCCTTTAAATGTAGACTGTCTTCTCTCCCCCTTTCTTATTTTTGTTTCTAACCCCCGTGTTCCTCTTCGATGTAATTTTAAAGTGAAAACACATGGCTGCAAACCCAGGTCTCTCCATTTACTCAGCTGCACCTACTTATTCAATTTAAACTGGAAGGCCAGTTTACAAACTTTCAAAAATAAGTCCTGGGCCAATGAGGAGAACTGTATAAACACAGGTCTAATTTCATTTCTACTTGTTGCATTTTTTTTCTCTCTCTCTTGCAAATGACCTTCCTAGTTTAAAAGCCAGAACATATGTGCGTACACACATATGCACACACACATTTTCTTTCTGGAAGTTTCTTGATTTCTAATTCTGTGACAAAATAAACAGGACTTGAACGGAAAAGGAGAATTTTGAAGAGATGGTTTCCAGCAAACTGTCAATTAACATTAGTGACATCATTCAACACAGTATCAGTTTAAAGGGCTTTAGGACAGAGTGTTTGGTTATTAGAAAAATGGCTAACTGAGTGAGTTCTGCTTTTCTCCAAGAAAGACACACATACACTAGTTTGTCTAACTGTTGATCCTAATCCTCTTTCACTTTAGAAAGGAAAAGGAATGCAGCTAGCTTCAGAAAATAGGGTGAAGAACATATTTCTGGCAGCCCAGCTGTTCATATTTTGGTACAAAGGAACAAATATGAGAACATTAGCTAACCTGAAAAGCCCTGGAAATAAATTCAACTTGCTTTATTTTATCCTACAATAACCAATACTATAGCCGTATATATTTGACCCAACTCAGTCACAGCATTTTGACTTCACATTTCTGGCACACACAGAATCATCCAGAAGAGTCATTGAACTATCAGGTATTAATTTCTTGCTATTCATAGGGCCCAGGACTACACATTTTCATGTATCATATATGACCCTCCCAAAATGCTTGTTCAGGAAACTGCCCAACATCACCTTAGCAGGTAAGGGGTAGAAGATTCAAAACCACATCTTGTGAAGACAAAGGCAGTGCTCTTCCTCTCAACTGGGAGGTTCGAACAAGTCTGAGGTCTTGTCACATTTTCAGATGTCACAAATGAACCTCCATAAAGCAATACTTTTCTTATGAACTGAATCGCGTGTCCCTGGAATTTATACTTTGAAGCCCTACCCCCTGGCATTGCAGCTGTATTTGGAGGGAGGGCCTTTAGAGAGATAATCAAGATTAAATGAGGTCAAAAGAGTGGAGCCCTAATAAGATAGGACTGTGGCCTTATAAGCAGAGGAAGAGAGACCAGGGACCTCCCTCCTTACTCCCTTCCTCTCCCTTCTCCTCCCCTCTCACACAGGAAGAGGCCACTTGAGAACACAATGAGAAGGTGCCTTGGCCAGGCGCGGTGGCTCCCACCTGTGATCCCGGAATTTTGGGAGGCCAAGGTGGGTGGCTCACTTGAGGTCAGGAGTTCGACACCAGCCTGGGCAATGTGATAAAACCTCATCGCTACTAAAAATACAAAAATTAGCCGAGCGTGGTGACGCATGCCTGTAGTCCCAGCTACTTGGGAGGCTGAGGCAGGAGAATCACTTGAACCCGGGAGGTGGAGGTTGCAGTGAGCCAAGATCATACCACTGCACTCCAGTCTGGGCAACAGAGAGAGACTTCGTCTCAAGAAAATAAATAAAATAAAATGACAAAGAAAAAAAAAAGAAAATATAAAAGAAGGTGCCTTCTGCCACCCAAGGAGAGAGTCCTCACTAGAAACCAACCCTGACAGCACCTTGACCTTGGACTTCCAGTCTCTAGAACTGTGAGAAATAAATTCTGTTGTTTAAGCCACCCATCTGTGATATTTTGTTATGGCAGCCAAGCAGACTAATACAATTGTGCTGGGGGATCTTGGCTGAGGGCTGCTTTCCTAGTTTTATATCCCCTTGAAAGAACGAGACTTTTGCCCTTAATAGCATCCTATGTTTTACTCTGTGCAGGAGCCTTTATGACAAAACCTGGAGAAGTTCTTGAACTTGGGACTTTATGGAAGAAGTGAAACGTTAGATGACTGGACCCATATTGGAAATGAAAACCATAATGGCCTGAAAAAAAAACCAAAAACACTACTGTGAAACACAGGGAAATTATAAAATTAACTTCTATTTTCTACTTGATTAAAAAACTAGTGAAAACCTTCAAAGAGGTATGACTTAGGGTGTTACTCTGATGAAACCTAAGTTCTGCCCAACCTCAGCCTCTTATAAGGCTGCCCCCCAACCCCCTTGGCCCTGTCCTATTTTTCATATTGCAACAGAATTTTGTATATCTGAATTTTTAAAAAAGAAATTAGTCTGTAGATGTGCAATTGTTGGGATTCATTTTCAGGACATCCTGTTATCAGTGTTTCTAAAGAGACTTCGTCCTTGCTAAATTTTCTCATGAACATTTGAGGTTTGTTGTTGATGATCTCCTTCTCCATCGGCTGGACAGTTCTTCCATCATCCCAGTTGGTTCTCTGCTTCACCTCCCCAGCTCTTCAGCAGAAGAGCGATTGCTAATGGAATCCACAGGGAAACGAATCCCCTGTTTGAGCCAGAGTCCTCCCTGTGTGATATTATTTCACATCCCTCCAGCTGCGGGCATCCAGGGGTGTTATTTAAAAAACAAAACAAAAACCATTTTGTGCCTGTTCTTATATGGGCTACCCCGTAATGAAGTTCAGAAAGATAGCTGTTCATTATTAGTCCTGACTGCATTCCAAACAGCTGCAGAAAATGTAAGCCGGCTCTGCCAACACTTACTCATCGAGTGCTTTCCCCCTTCCTCCAAGGACTTCCTTTGGTACACAGGGGCCTCTGTCCTCTAGTTCTTGGTTTAGTAACAACCAGAAACAAAAACAAGCCTAAGCAGGTTAGGAGGTAACACCTCAGGTACAACATGGAAGAAGCTTTTCATGAGTTTACTACTATACATTTTTTTTTTTTTTTTTTTTTTTTTTTTTTGCCTAAGCAAAACTTATGTATAATAAATGGCAAAAGTGGCCAGGCACAGTGGCTCATGCCTGTAATCCCAACACTTTGGGAGCCGAGGTAGGAGGATCGCTTGAGGCCAGGAGTTGGAGACCCGCCTGTGCCACATAGTGAGACCCCATCTCTACAAAAAAAGAAAAAATATATTAGCTGGGTGTGGTGGTGTGTGCCTGTCATCCCAACTGCTCTGGAGGCTGAGGCAAGAGGATCACTTGAGCCCAAGATTTCGAGGCTGTAGTGAGCTATGCTTGTGCTACTGCACTCCAGCCTGAGTGACAGAGTGAGACCCTGTCGAAAGAAAGAAAAAGAAAAATAAATAAATAAATAAATAAATAAATAAATCCTGAAACTATTCCTTCTTTTACTAATAAACAATGTGTAATTGGGGATCTAGGGGATGGTGGTATGGTTTTGGGAATGGATATTGTGGAAGTAGATTCCTCATTGACAATCTGAAGTCTCATTGATCCCAGGACAACTGCGCAGCCTGAGACTTGTAGTAGTCAGGGTTCTCTAGAGGGACAGAACTAACAGGAGATATATATATGTTCTTTTTGTTTTTTTTTTTTTTTTGAGACAGAGTCTCACTCTGTCACCCAGGCTGGAGTGCAGTGGCGCCATCTCGGCTTACTGCAACCTCTTCCTCCTGGGTTCAAGCGATTCTCCTGCCTCAGCCTCCTGACTAGTGGGGATTACAGGCACATGCCACCACGCCCAGGTAATTTTTGTATTTTTGGTAAAGACAGGGTTTCACCATGTTGGCTAGGCTGGCCTCGATATCCTGACCTAAAGTGCTGGGATTACAGGCTTGAGCCACTGCACTCAGCCGAGGATAGACGTATACATGAAAGGGAGCTTCTTAAGGAGAACTGACTCACACGATCACAAGGTAAAGTCCCACAGTAGGCCGTTAGCAAGCTGAGGAGCAAGGAAGCCAGTGGTGGATCAGTCCGAGTCCCAAAACCTCAGAAGTAGGGAAGCCTTCAATCTGTGGCCAAAGGCCCCAGGAGCCCCTGGTAAATCACTGTTATAAATACAAGAGTCCAAAAGCTGAAGCACTTGGAGTCTGATGTTTGAGGGCTTCCTAGCATCCAGCACGGGAGAAAGATGGAGGCTGGAAGACTCAGCAAGTCTGCTCTTTCATCTTCTTGTGCCTGCTTTATCCTAGCCACGCTGGCAGCTGATTAGATGGTGCCCACACAGATTGAGGTTGGGTCTGCCTCTCCCACTCCACTGACTCAAATGTTAATCTCCTTTGGCAACACCCTCACAGACACACCCAGGAACAATACTTTGCATCCTTCAGTACAGTCAAGTTGACACAATATTAACATCACAGACCTGAGCCCTTTTCCTCATTGGATCAACCACCTTAAAATGAACAAAGTCCCAAGAAAAGATATTTTGTATTTGAACTCTTTAGAGCCTTTCTTTTACTTTTTTAAAATGAGTAAAGTAAAAACAAAATCTAATGCCATTCTTGCTATCAGCCCAGGGGAGAAATTGCATATTTTATTTTCTGAAGTTTGCTTTGGTTAGTTTTGAAATCAGCCTGGTCTTTTGAGATGGTGTATTCTTCTTTTTTCTAATATTTACTCTTTTATATTAATTTTATATGCATTCTTTTATATTTGTTTTAAATTCATTCTTTTATATTCATTTTAAATTTACTTTTATATTAATTCTCTTTTCTTGTTTTCCTTTCCTTAAAAATAACTGATATAGAAGTTAAGAAAGAATAACTTAGCAGATACCAAGGGTATGA
This sequence comes from Homo sapiens, assembly GCF_000001405.40. Classification (NCBI taxonomy): domain Eukaryota; kingdom Metazoa; phylum Chordata; class Mammalia; order Primates; family Hominidae; genus Homo; species Homo sapiens. The sequence goes on along the minus strand of NC_000013.11, from coordinate 35,688,762 downwards.
GAGTCCTCTGTAAGGCTTTTATTTTATTTTTTTTTAATAAAAAGCAGCCCCAAATCATTTTCTAACTAAGAACAGCCTGCGAGCTAGGAGCTTGTGTGGGTGAATGTCAATGGGAACTAAGGATTAGACATGTTCAAGATGGCAGCTCCATCTTCTCTTCTCTGCCAGCCACCTGTACTGTAAAGGAGCAGACAAGATGGCACTGATCAACTAGAAAGCCCATTTGCATAAGAAGATTAGGGTGGGGCGACCAGCCTTCCCCATACACTATGTAGACATCATACTTGATCAAACCAATCTGTGAGCCCTGTGTAAATCAGATGCCACCTTCTCCAGACTGCCTATAAAATCTGATACAGTCCACCACCTCCCGCCTTTTCGGACATCTCTCTCTTTCGCAAGGAGCTGCTCTCCTCTCTCCTTTCTTCTGTTAAATTTTCCACTCCTTAACTCACCCACGTGTGTCTGTGTCCTGAATTCTTTCTCGGAGTACGACAACGAACCGCAGGGTATATACTCCGGACAGCGTAGCCACTTCATAACCAGTAGAATTTCAGAATATGAAAATACATATTAAAAATGTACAGCATATTAAACATAATTTTAATACATTTTGATATTTGTAGTTCTCATATTTGTAGTATTTAGGAGTCTAATTCCGCTGTTCATTACTTGTACTGATTCTTATTCCTAGTAGAATGTTTTCTTTCTCTCTCTCTCTTTCACTCTCTCTCTCTCTCTCTCTCCCAAGAGCTCATTTTCCATGCAAATTTAATCACGGAAAATTACTGAAGACTAAGGTCCATTTTTCCAAGGACAATTTGCATTTATTTTTTTCCAGGTGCCTAGGGAAGTAGCAAACTAGATCCACTTTAAATGGAAGCCTTGGCTTGAGTCTTTCAACATCACGCAGATCATGGGCTGGGATGTGATCATGAATTTTCAGTAGAGACTGTTATCCTTCTCCACACAAAGCCAAAGAGAAAAAAATTTGTTTCTTTTTTTTTTTTTTTTTTTCCTAGTTCAGTCTTACACCTTAAGAATAGACTTTTAGGAATTCTGGCTTTATTGTGTGTTGAGGGAGTGGGTGGGTGCGGGGGAGGTGGGTGGGCTCTGTTCCAACTCTTTAGTTTGATGGGTCTCGGCCTTATCTTTATTTCTCCACAGGGCTGTCTAAAGGGGATTGGCAAATAGCCTTAGGGTAGTTTGAAGAATTTAGCTTTCGGAATTCACACCTGAGCTTTGATACTGGCCTCTTGTGTGCTCCCTTACATTCTCATGGGCTCCAACATTTTTAGGTGTTTTGTAATGGGATGGTTTGAGAATAGCGAAGCCTCCATATTGCTAAAATAGAATCTAAATGGTTTGCTCTGATTCTTGCTAAATTGTTTATGTCTCTTTACTTCTTGTATTATATGCCCTTCTTTATAAGCTTAAAATGCAGTCTACTCTGTTTTCCCAATATCCCCATGTCAGGATCCCACATGCCCATTCATTTACTCCGATAGTTTTTCCTTCTAAACTTGTACCCGTTTTCTCCTTAGAACTTTGGGTCTGGATTTCTCATTACCTTATTTTATATGAGGAACAATTGGATTTCATTCCCAAACACTGACCACTTCCATATTTCCTTTCACCTTATGGAGAAATCTGCCAGAGATAATGCAACAATTATTTAAATTTTTCTTTGGTCTCTCTGTGAACCAAATATTAATGCCCTTATAAAAATCTGCACTACACTTAACAAAAATCAGTGTAGACACTCACAGTCTTTTGATTTTGTACATAGATGTGTGAAGTTCTGTGAAACAAGGATTTTTAAAAAAATCTTCATTTACAATTTATAATTAAGTGGTCTGGGCTTGCTTTTAGAAGAACTTATTATAGCCCCCTTGTCAAATCCAATAGGAAGATGAGTATTCTCCTGTTAAGTAATGAATTGTGAGGCTTTTGTTGTCAAGGTCCCTCTAATAAGCAACAAATGCTCTCCAAAAATAATTGGGGCTCCTGAAGCCAGAAGGATTGTTCATTTTTTCCAGTACCAATTTGTTTTGCTTCCAGGGGCAGAACTGAGGGTATGTTTGGAAATGACAATGAGGTAGAATTTTTTTTCTATACAAGAAAAGCAAGGCCAGGCACAGTGGCTCATGCCTGTAATCCTGGCACTTTGGGAAACCGAGGCCGAGGTGGGCGGATCACTTGAACCCAGGAGTTTGAGACCAGCCTGGGCAACATGGTGAAACCCTGTCTGTACAAAAAATAAAAAAATTAGCCAGGGGTGGTGGTGTGTGCCTGTGGTCCCAGCTAATCAGGAGGCTGAGGTGGGACATTTGCTCGAGCCCAGGAGATTGAGGCTGCAGTGAGCCGAGATTGCACCACTGCCCTCCAGCCTGGCTGACAGAGTAAGACCCTGTTTCTTACCAAAAATTTTTAAAAAAATAAAGGACAAAAACAAGCAAAACATTTGAATCTGTCCAACAAAGGGGCAAGGTCTGTCTGTATTCTCTATCTCTTAAAAGTCCCAGAAAGGAGATTTCTTCTGGGAAGCCTGTAAGTGCATGTTAGTGATGGAGGAAGAGAACCCTCTATAACCATAAAGATGCAGTTTGTTTCCATCTTTGTTACAATATATTAGTGAAATTTAAGAGTTAGGAAACAACTGCCTACTTCAACGTCGGCAGCTGCATTCTCTGACATTGATTTTTGAGTTCCTTAAGTGCTAATTCATACATTTAGGTTCAGGGGACTCAGCAGAGACCCTGCCGCTGGGAATCAGTCGTGCCTAGGGTGCTGCTAATGTTCTGAGGGGTTGAAGTGGATACTAAGGATTGTCTGTTTTTAGAATTGTTCAGACATCTCTTCTAGAGTGTATGTTGCAGTCCATTAAGAGTTAGGTGGGGGCTGGGTGCGGCGGCTCACACTTGGAACCTCAGCACTTTGGGAGGCCCAGGCGGGGGGGGTCAGCCGAGGTCATGAGTTCGAAACCAGCCTGGCCAACATGGTGAAACCCCATCTCTACTAAAAATACAAGAAAATTAGCCAGGCGGGCATGGTACGGGTGCCTGCAATCCCAGCTACTTAGGAGGCTGAGGCAGGAGAATGGCGTGAACCCGGCAGGTGGAGCTTGCAGTGAGTCAAGATTTCGCCACTGCACTCCAGCCTGGGTGACAGAGCGAGACGCCGTATCAAAAAAAAAAAAAAAAAGAGAGTTAGGTGGGGCTGGGTATAGGGGGTTCACTCCTGTAATCCCAGCACTTTCAGAGACACAGGATAGAGGATTGCTTGAGGCTGAGTTCAAGACCAGCCTAGGCAACATAGGGAGACCTTGTCTATACAAGAAAAAAAAAATTAGCCATGGTGGTGCATGCCTGTAGTCCCAGCTATTCTGGAGGCTGAGGCTGGGAGGATTGCTTGAGCCCAGGAGGTCGAGGCTGCAGTGAGCCAAGATTGGGCTACTCCACTCCAGCCTGAATGACAGAGCAAGACCCTATTGAGAGGTGAAGCCAGCTGGACTTCTGGGTTGGGTGAGGACTTGGAGAACTTTTCTGTCTTACAAGAGGATTATAAAATGCACCAATCAGCACTCTGTAGCTAGGATTGTAAAATGCACCAATTAGTGCTCTGTGGCTAGCTAGAGGTTTGTAAGATTGACCAATCAGCGCTCTGTAAAATGGACCAATCAATCAGCAGGACGTGGGCAGGGACAAATAAGGGAATAAAAGTTGGCCACCCCAGCCAGCCGCAGCAATCTGGGTCCCCTTCCACTCTATGGAAACTTTGTCCTTTTGCTGTTAACAATAAATCTTGCCGCTGAGCATTCTTTGGGTCCGTGCCACCTTTGAGAGCTATAACACTCACCTCGAAGGTCCGCTGCTTTATTCTTGAAGTCAGTGAGACCATGAACCCACTGGAAGGAACAAACTCCGGACACACTATCTCAAAAAAAAAAAAAGAAAAGAAAAAAAAAAGTAAAAGTGAGGTGGGTCCTGAACTGCCTCCTGAGGAGCACCCTGGCACTGCTTGCAGCATTTCCTGTGTGGCTGGAGCACCAACATCAAAGTCACAGCACCCAAAGGTGCGAGGTCACCTCTTCTCCACATTCACATCCTTTTCTTCTCTAACTTCCCATCCTTCACATCTCAGCTTCTGGTCATCACCCCTTCCAGGAAGCCCACCGCAGCCTGGGCAGAGGTTCTCCACTTTGTGCCCCTGCACTCTGCCCACAGCCCTACCAGAGTGGCGATCACAATATCCATTGGCGTCCAGGATTCTGGCTTAACAAGCGACATTTCAGAACCAGCTTATGGTACTTTTGTTGGTATAATACTGATTTTTCAGAATTTCAATCTGAAGTCATATTCATTTATATCTTGATATGCAATTACATAAAATAAAGACATATGGTCTTTACATTCAAACTGAACAAAGGTGCACATGTTTAGAAAGGGCTCTGATCACATCCCTTCTGTTTAAAACCCCTCCCAAAAGATCTCCCTTGGATTCTCATTGTTTCTTCTGCTTATTCCTCTTTTTCATGTCTCCTCAAAGCAGTTTTGAGTTCCAGTGAAATTCTATCGACTGGAAAATCATTTAGAACGAGGGTGAAGTGGAAACAGACAGTAATGCAAACAGGATGGGGTATGGTGAGGGGATTGGAGGGGATGGCAGCGAGGGGAAAGAGGGAAGGAGACAGGAGCTGGGGAGTTTCCCAGCCTAATTCCCATCTCTTCACCTGGAGCCAGACGCATCCCTTCTCCCACAGGTGGTTCTTTTCTCCTCTCATCCTCCATCCCCTTCTGTTTTCTTTCTCAGCTAATGCCAGTCCCTGGAGCCTCCTTTCTCCTGGCCTGAGAAAATTTATTTCAGCCTGTACCGTCTTTCCCGATTATCCTACCTGGAGAAACACAGCTGTGCTTTCAGCAAGAACAGAGACCAGGGACTAGTTTGGAATAGTTATTTTAGCTAGAGGTACACAGTTTGGACATGGCTTATTTTAAGATAAAATACAGTGTATCAGTATTAATGTGGCGATTTTGGGATCCCAGGATGTGATCCATGAAGTGAGAGACCTGCATTGTCATTTTGCCTCTGTTTTGCCATCACTCACCGCAGCAGTGATACTTGGCAAGGAAACGATGCGTGCGTTGTTGGGCTCCCCCACTGAACTCGAGGGTTTTGCTTACTGCTTTGAATGCGGGGCCTCATACAGAACTTGGCAAACCATAAAGACTTAAGACATAATTGCTGAATGAGTGAATGAATTAATGATGGGGGCGGCCTTCATGCTCAGTGAGGACACCCGTCAGGCTTCTCAACATTCGTGAGAGATGGTGGCCCCCATTTCTTGCATTCATGATTTCTAAAACTTCCAGGTTTGGCTGGGCACAGTGGCTCATGCCTGTAATCCCAGCATTTTGAGAGGCTGAGGAGGGCGGATCACTTGAGGTCAGGAATTTGAGATCAGCCTGGCCAACACGGTGAAACCCCTGTCTCTACTAAAAATAAAAAAATTAGCCAGGCGTGATGGTGTGCATCTGTAATCCCCGCTACTCAGGAGGCTGAGGAAGGAGAATTGGAGAATAGCTTGAACCTGGGAGGCAGAGGTTACAGTGAGCTGAGATCATGCCACTGCACTCCAGCCTGGGTGACAGAGCGAGACTCCACCTAAAAAAAAAAACCTTCCAGATTTGCCTCCACCACCACTATGGCAGACAGGCCTCTTCAGGCCCCTGTGAGGGGAGGTTGTCTGCCCTCAAGTTCTTTGCAATGTGCCAACCTAGACACAATCTATCAAGTTAGATTTCCTGAAGGCTGCAAACCTGGTCCTGCTCATTTAGCACGTCCAAGGGTTTGATGCCCTGAGCTGCTTTCACATCATTTCCTTGAATTTTATCAAATGCTCTGTTGGGAAAGGTCACATAAAAACTGTGTTTGCACATGCTGTAAAAGCGTTGCTTGTTGATTTCTCAGTGTCTCAAATATAATGATAAATTAATTTCAGAGTTGTGTGTATGTCCTTGGACAGGATATTTAACCTCTCTGGGCCTCAGTTCCTGTATGTGAACAACTGGAATGATAGTGTCTACTGTAGATGGTTGTTGTGAGGATAAGAAATAATGTATTTAAGTCATATAATTGTGCTAGGTACCCGGTACCCAGTAGGGCTATTCAATAGTTTTTTTTCTTCTTCATTTTTTGAGATGGTGTACAATGGCGTGCTCTCAGTTCACTGCAACCTCTGCCTCCCAGGTTCAAGCAATTCTCCTGCCTCAGCCTCCTGAGTAGCTGGGATTACAGGTGTGCGCCACCATGCCCGGCTAATTTGTTTTTGTATTTTTAGTAGAGATGGGGTTTTGCCATGTTGGCCAGGCTGGTCTCGAACTTCTGACCTCAAGTGACCTGCCTGCCTCGGCCTCCCAAAGTGCTGGCATTACAGGTGTGAGCCACAGTGATGGCCTCAATAGAGTTACTAATAATAACTATTATTATGATGATTATGCTTCTTTTTTGTTTTTGACTGTCCCTGCGAAAGAGCAAACTAGGAAGAATAGCAACCATGCTAACCAAAAGGGAAGGCTGCTGCTATGCCTGAACGTCGTCAGTTTTGAGATTTGCGGTGTGTAAATCCCTGTTGCATGGGCCTGTGCTTTGCGAGTGTCTTCATCCTCACCCGCGGGCCTCACATTTTGACTACTCCATCTCTACTGACGGAGGCAACAGCCTCCGATTTCCTCACTCACAACCAAACCAAACCAAATGCTGAACCAACACATACAGATGCTTTTTCTCTTTCGATGAGGCTATGTCCCCAAAAACCCAACATAAGTCAACATCATGAAGTGGAAAATACATTTAATACCCCAGACATCCATAAAGTGGAAAAATTCTAAATCCAACCATCGTAGGTCGGGTATTGTCTGTTTATTAAAACTCCTGATGCAAATGCACCCGCCTAGATCCCTTGCCTGCTGAGAGCTCCTGGGCCTCTGGGCAGCCAGCCCCACTCCACCCTCCTTTGGTCTCCAAAACAATTCCCTTCAGGGGACCCAGGCTTCCTACTCTCACTTTGTGCTTTGCCTCTAGGACTCTCTCCTTTAGTGTCAACCCAGCAATGCATTTAAACACTGGTTTTTGTATTTGATCCAATGCAATGTTCTAGTTGTTCCATTTGGGTATGGCATCCAGGGCTTCTGGTCCACTCCACAGCCTGAAGTAGAGGAGGCTTTTTTTTCTTTTTTTTTTTTTGTTTTTTCTTTTTCTTTTCTTTTCTTTCTTTCTTTTTTTTTTTTTTTTTTGAGACAGAGTCTTACTCTGTTGCCCAGACTGGAGTGCAGTAGTATGATCTCAGTTCACTGCAATCTCCGCCTCCAGGGTTCAAGCAATCCTCCCTCCTCAGCCTCCCAAGTAGCTGGGATTACAGGCGTGCACCACCACACCTGGCTAATTTTTGTATTTTTAGTAGAGACGGGGTTTCGCCCTGTTGGCCAGGCTGGTTTCGAACTCCTGACCTCAGGTGATCTGCCCGTCTTGGCCTCCGAAAGTGCTGGGATTACTGGCATGAGCCACTGTGCTCGGCCAAGGATTTTCCCAAATACCCCTTGGATAAACCACTTTTCTGCTTCAGTTACCAAAAGCTGATTTTCTTTGCTTCTAAGAAGCACAGCTGATGGAGGGAAGACCCTGTCTCCAAGGACAAAATCCTCTGAGTTTGGCAGATGGTCCATCCAGCTTCCCAGTGTGTGCTGGGCCTGATGTTCCAGCTCCTGAGCCTGGGCATCCCCCGCCGCCCCACTTCAGATCATGAAGGGTGCGTGCCTGGAGCCTTGAATTTCCCTCTGCATCCTGCCAGCTTCCAGCCCTAGCCTGGCACCAAGACCTCTGGCCACAGCCCCACAAAGGACTTTGGGACAGACTCACAGGGGGTTCCTTTCATCTATGCAACCCCAGGTAGAAAGCCAGAGCTTGGGGTAATCACTCCCAGGGGCAGGGACACACAGCAGCTGGGGCGGGGGGTCCCTTGCAGGAGGTTTGTGATGGAATCTGTTTCTGTGGGTAGAACTAAGCCAGTAGCTTCCTGCTACCTCAAGTAGACGTCCATTCAGATCTCAGCTCTGTTGAACCACCCAGGCACAGAGGAAGAGTTACTTTAGTTGGGTTCAGCAGAAGCGTGATGCCCCCGGCTCTGCACCCACCCTGACTTTGGCCACCCTGGCTGCTTTTAGCCGCAGCATCCTGAGTTTGGGGACTTGGGACTACCTCTTCCAGGGCTTCCCAGTCCTCTCTTCTCTGGAAGACAGATGCCCGGTCTTAATCAAGTTGATTTTGGAATTTCAGGAACAAGTAACATTTCAAAAACATTCTAGACACTGGATTTATTTGATCAAGAAAGACATGAATAGCGATCATCTATGGTTTCCTTAATTTCATTTGACAGGAAACTTTCAGCACATACAAAAGACATAACCTCAGAATAAACACAATGGGGTGATTTAGGCATCGGGACAAGCTCGCTGTATGGCCCTTATTTGTCTAATTTCTCATTAGACCAAGGGCATCTTTGTCCTGGGCCCTCAGATCAGGGTTGAGAACGGGCGGTCTAATGACACAAGGGATGCTAGGCAGCCCACCCGTCTGCCCCTGGGGGAGCCTTTGTATCTGCAGCAGGGTTAATTCTCTGTGTTGTCTTAACCAGCCACTGGGTGCCCAGATTCAACATTTCCTCTGGGTGTGTCTTTGAGGCTGTTTCTTCATGGGATTTGCACTCTGTAAAGTGGTGCCACCGCCAGGTGTGGTGGCTCATGCCTGTAATCCCAGCACTTTGGGAGGTTGAGGTTCATGGATCACCTGAGGTCAGGAGTTCAAGACCAGCCTGGCCCACATGGTGAAACCCCATTTCTACTAAAAATAAAAAATTAGCTAGACGTGGTCATGCACACCTGTAAACCCAGCTACTCAGGAGGCTGAGGCAGGAGAATCGGAGAATTGCTTGAACTGGGGAGATGGAGGTTATGGTGAACTGAGATTGTGGCACTGCACTCCAGCCTGTGCGACAGAGTGAGACTCTGTCCCTCCCAAGTGTGGGCAGACATCAGCCCCTCCACAGAGGCCTGAATCCAACAAAAAGGTGGAGGAAGGAGCGAGCCACCCCTTTTGCCTCCCACCTGTCTGCTTGAGCTGGGGTATCTCATCTCACCTTCTCCGGTGCTTGGACTAAGATCGACACCTTCAGCTCCTGCGGTTCTCAGGCCTTCGGGCTCAGGAGGAACCACACGACTGGCTTTCCTGGGTCTCCGGCCAGCAAACTGTGAAACCTGTCAGCCTCTGTAACTGTGTGAACCAGTTCCTCATCAAGCATCTCTCTATATGTATGTGTGTATGTGTGTGTGTATATGTACATACATATTTATATGTGTGTGTGTATATGTACATACATATTTATATGTGTGTGTGTATATTTACATACATATTTATATGTGTGTGTGTATATATTTTTTGTGTGTATATATGTATATATGTGTGTATATATGTATATGTGTGTGTATATATGTATACATTTATGTGTGTGTATGTGTGTGTATATATATGTATATATTTATGTGTATGTATATATGTATATATTTATATGTGTGTGTGTATGTATACATATAGATAGAGATGTATTCTACTACAGCTCTGTTTCTCTGGGGGACCCTAATACAGTCTTTCTCATCCCAAACTCCCCTCCCCCACCACCCCCCTCACGGGCCTGCAGCCCCTCTCCAGCCTTGTCCTATCTGATCTGGGTGTTCATTAGGGCAGGGGAGCAGGATGGGGACCCTGCCACCTACCACCTGTGTGGTTGGCCTGGGACAGGGATCATGACCTCTTTGGGCATCAGTTTCCCAGTAGGATAATAGAGGCGAGTGGATGAGTTGGCCTCTGTGGCCCCTCAGTAACCTTGGGCTAAAGGCTTCTCTCCTCAGGCCCGTGGCCTGTCACCCGGCCTGCCCCTGGGAGGCAGAGCTTGACTCTTCCGCAGGCCTCTCTCAGCCTGAGTGGAGCCGGCTCTGGTCTGTCCTTCTCAACATTCCTGGCCTCCAGCTGCAAAAGCCCCTCTGCCTTCAGAACCATTCCTGGGGGAAGTTCTTGCCACCAGAGGGGAGGGAAGTACAGTGGCATCCGAGCCTCTAACCACCCCTTTCCCTACCAGGTTTTTGGCTATAGACGCAGAGGTGTCCAATCCTTTGGCTGCCCTGGGCCACACTGGAAGAAGAAGAATTGTCTTGGGCCACACCCAAAATACACAAACACTAATGATAGCTGACGAACTGAAAAAACAATTGCAAAAAAAAAAAAAAAAATCTCACAGTGTTTTAAGAAAGTTTACGAATTTGTGTTGGGCTGCATTAAAAGCCATCCTGGGCCACATGCAGCCTATGGGCCACAGGTTGACCAAGCTTGCTCTAGAGGCAAACAGGGAATACAGTTCATTTCTCCAAGAACAATCACAGCCAGGTGCAGTGGCTTATGCCTGTAATCCCAGCACTTTGGGAGGCCAAGGCGGGTGGATCACCTGAGGTCAGGAGTTCGAGACCAGTCTGGCTAACATGGTGAGACCCTGTCTCTACTAAAAATACAAAAACTAGCTGGGCATAGTGGCACATGCCTGTAGTTCCAGCTACTTGGGAGGCTGAGGCAGAATTGGTTGAACCCAGGAGGCGAAGGTTGCAGTGATCCCAGATGGCGCCATTGCACTCCAGCCTGGGTGAGAGACCAAGACTCCATCTCAAAAAAAAAAAAAAAAAAGAAAAAGAAAAAGAACAATCACTCAGAGAAAGGCCCGGTTGCGAAGAGAGCTGGCTTTCCAAGTGATGTCAACTAGCTTTCTGTTTTTTTTCTGTGCTGACTGGGAAGGCACATTAAAAAAAATAGAACTCAATTAAACAAAATGTCTCTTACTAGGTGGTAAACTGAACCAAAATGCAAATTTATGCCACTGGCCCAGGCTCCCCCACAGAGAACATAGATTTTATAGAAAAAGAGCCCCAGATCCTCCTGGGAGGTTTGGCTGTGTCATAAAAACTCCAATTGAGGCCCGAGGGCTTCATTGTTCAGTAGTGAAACCTTAGTTATGTGGCACCTTATGATTTGCAAATAATGTGAAATCCACATTCTATTGTATCTATTTTACATCTGAAGAAACTAAGCCTAAGAAAGGTTAGAGGACTTTCCCAATGCCACAGAGCTGGCCAGCAGGGGAGTTGGGACACAGACCCAGGACTCCAAGTTCCAAGTTGGCTATTTTTTAAGAGGTGGGACCTTTTAGGAGGTGATTAGCACATGAGGGTGGAGCTCTCATGAATGGGATTAGTGCCTTTGTAAAAGCGACCCAAAGGAGTTTGTCTTTTCCGCCACTTGAGGACATAGAAGGTGTCATCTATGAATAATGAGCCCTCACTGAACACCAGATCTGCTAGCCTTGATCTTGGACTTCCCAGCCTCCAGAATCATGAGAAATACATTTCTGTTGTTTATAAATTACCCAGTTTCAGGTATTTTTTTATAGTTACACTAAGACAGGTGCTAAAGGAGGAGTGTGTACAAGCTGTGCACAGAGAGCAGGGTTCCTACTGGACAGTGGAGGGGAGGCTGCCTGGAGGAGGAAGCACTGGGGCCAGGCTGTCGTCAGAAGAAAAGTGCCCATTGGGACATGGCAGCCAAGGTGGCAGACCTAAAAAGCACTGGAGAAAGGGACGAATGGTGATGGTGGTCCCAAATTCAGATGATGGGCAGACAAATTCAGAGTGGTGACAAGAGCCAGTGCTTTTTCAAAAAATTTTTTAAAAGTGAACTTCTTTTTATTGAAGGGTAACATACACACAGAAAAGTGAAAAATCATCATTACACAGCTCAATGATGGTTCACAGAGCAGACCCATCTTTGTAACACCCGTAGCTCTGAGATAGAGTCCAACACCCCAGAATAGCATTCCAGTACCCCCAAACCCCCTCTGGCCCTTACCAGTCACTACCTCTGGTCAGAAGTAACCACCGTTCTGATTCCTAACAGCATATATCAGTGTCTGGATTTTTAAAAAACTCAACAGGTATATTTGGTTATTAGGAACAAAGTTGACAAGAGCATTCTTTTCCATGTGTGTTGATGGATGGAAAAAGCATTTATGTTGGAACTATATGTAAATGTGGGATTATGGCATCATACATAGGCTAGGAATATGCTTAGTTTCCTACCAAATTTGGAATATGTTACATTTTTCTAAGCAAGGGTGGAGAGCAGGGGGCAGGGAGCTGTATCTCTTAAGGGTTATTTGATTTGATCTCAAGTACTAAAAATAAATAAATAAACAAACTAAATACAGCTTCGATCAATGTAAGGGGGAGAGAAAAGTGTTTATTGGTCATTGACTAAAGCAAACATCCAGAATTGGGACATCTGTAAATATGAGGGCAATTTAGGTTCCCAGAAACTTGTGGCTGGCATACAAGTGCACATGCTCTTTCATTTCTCGTGGCTTTATTCTTACCTATTGCAAACAGGTCTTCTCTACAACAGAGAACAGGGTTGCTAGTAGTCCCCGATTTCTTATTGACAGGTTAGTGACTCTGGAAGAAAGAGACTTTTCTTTCTGACTTCAAAATATAAAAAATTTCAAAAGGGTTCTCATTGGCCCAACTCAGGTCATGTCTAACCCTGACCAATCATCGAGGTCCCAGAAATGAAGGTGACATGGTTGGCCAGGCCTGAGTCCAGGAAGTTCCAGGGATCCGGTGGTACAACCGGCAGTCCTACTAAATCCCATGATGAAGAGAGGAGAAGTTTCCCACAGGAAGATCCATAGCAGGTAAATAGGGAAAGGGATGCTGAGCAGATGAGGATAATCCATGCTCACCAGATGGTGGGAGGCAATGACCATCTGCTGAACTCTGCGGGGAGCCAGGTGCTTTACTAGGTGCTTGGTATATGCTCTGTATTTTGATACTCAAAACAATACTTAACGTAGCTATTGTGCCTGTTTTAACTGATGAGGGAGCCAACAAGTTATTCTCAGAGTGAAGAGCCCAGTTATTGGATTTTGTTCTTAGGCAGCTTGAATGGGCTGCAATACCAGAAGCTCTTACCCCAGATCATCTGTCAGCTCCTTTTTCTTCCCACTAAATGAATGTGGGTCAAGAGCAGTAATTAAAATCTTAAAATATTCCCTCTTTTGGTGCTTATTGGAAATTGATTCTCTGAACTTTGATGGAATAGGCCCACAACTGAGGTGGTACTTGGAGCAGGAGGTTCCCTGGCGGGCACTGTCATGCAGGCTGGGAGAGGGTGACATGAGGCTGTGGGGCCCTGGGACAATGAGAAGAGGGAAGTTTGGGGGCTCTGGACCGTCCCAGCCAACTTTGTCATTTTGCTTAGGGACGTGGTATCTGTCTGCTTATCTATACATTCCGCAAATCACATTTGTTGAGAATCTACTCTGAATCCAACACTGCTTTAAGGACATAAGCTTCGTGTTGCCCATGAAGCTCATAGCCACATGGAGGAAAGACATGTGAGTTACAATAATGCACTGCTCAGGGCTGTGCCAGGCCCACCACCAGGGGTGAGGAGGCTAAGCCAGTGGTCAGGGAAGACATCCCAGAGTGGGGAGCCTGTAAGAGTAAGTAGGAATGTTATGATGTTGTAATTTACTTTAAAATATCCAGTATAGACATGTGATGTGTTAATTTATACTGCGTTCTAGGGATAGTCAGTTGCCCTGATCAGAAATATACATTTCAGAAAGGTGTCATTCCAACAATCCAGCTTCCTAATCCTGAATAAACTGGAAGCTCTATGAGTTAGGGTAGTAAATACTAGAAATGGCTTTGCAGCAGGGGAAATTATTGGCTTCTAAATTAGTTCAATGGATGATAGAAATGTTCTTTTGTTGATGGAATTAATGATGCTAAATATACATATAAATTCAGTATATGCTGGCTAAAGTATTTGAACTTTTCCTACCTCTCTATAACCAGGGTTTAACAATCTAATGAGGCTTTTAGCACATACTCTTAGGGTGGTGCCCAGAGCTTGATGGCTTGATGATTGGGTTGGAGGATTGAGGCTGCTGATGGCATTACAAGGCTCATGGGATGCTACTTCTAGAATATTAGTGCATCTGCTTCAAGTGTACCTTTGGAAATGTAAAATGATTTTGAGATCACGTAAAAAAGCCAAGCTCTGGACTTCACCAAACTCACAGAAGAGTTGCAGGCACTCTTTTGCCTGCTTGCTAAAATGTGTTTCATTTAAAAGTATACCGGCCGGGCGCAGTGGCTCACGCCTGTAGTCCCAGCACTTTGGGAGGCTGAGGTGGGCAGATCACTTGAGGTCAGAAGTTCAAGACCAGCCTGGCCAACATGGCGAAACCCATCTCTACTAAGAACAAAAAAAATTAGCTGGGCATGGTGATGCGTGCCTGTAATCCCAGCTACTTGGGAGGCTGAGCTGGAAGAGTTGCTTGAACCCAGGAGGCGGCGGTTGCAGTGAGCCGAGATTATTCCGCCACTGCTCTCCAGCCTGGGCAACAGAGTGATACTCTGTCTCAATTAAAAAAAAAAAAAAAGGTATCCCCACACATAGCAGAAACTGTTTCTAAAAGTTGTTTTCATCATGAAATAGTGAAGATGTGGTGTTTTGGGGGCTACCTTTACCTGCCAAAAAAGACTGTGCATGACCAAATTGGTTTAGGTCAATCTGCGACAAGGCAGTAGGCGAGTGGTGCAGGCAGAGAGGGGCCGCCTGGCAGGAGGAGCCTTAGGGACTCAGGTGCAAGAGAGTTCTCAGGAACTTGGAAAAAGGCTGGTTTACTAGGGGTGCTGGCTGCTGGGGGTGGTTCCTGAAGGACTTCGCTTCACTGAGCTTAGAATTTATCCCTCCAATCAGTGTTGTTGAAAATGTGCCCAAGAAGTGCTTGGGGTGGGAGGGGGGAGCGGTGGGACTCTAGATCCTGCTTTTAAAAATAAGCTCCCCAGGTGATTTTCAACCCACCAGAGTTTAAGAATACCATTTTAAGCCATTGGTATTGGTTTTTCAAAGTGCTGGGGGGTTCTGGGGGGCGCTGGGGGGCACTAGGGGGGCGCGGGGCGGCAGGGAGGGAGATGACTGGATGGGTGCCTTCGCAGCAGGGCGGAGCATGGATGGGAGGGGACAGGTCAGAGGTCAGGAGGTTTTCGGACAGTCCAGATGACAGTGCTGGAAAGGGCAGGGGCAGTTTCAAAAGACACTTTAGGTAGTGATCAGTCAGTTGGCTGGAGTGCCTGGCAGGAGGGCTGGGTGAGGGAGCCAGCAGGGCAGATGACTGACAGATTTCTGGTTTGGGGATAGGATGGAAAGTAAGAGCGCAAACCTTCCTTAGGCTACTGTTGGGTCTGTCCCTTTAGTCTCGGGAATGCGGATGGAAGCACGGCCTGCAGTTCTGTCATTCTCTGGGCCTGTCTGGGCCGCTGCCCCAACCACCCATGCCAATCTGTGTGACCGAATCCCCCTCAGCCCACTCGTGGCTGCCCTTGCTACCACCCATGCCAATCTGTGTGACCGAATCCCCCTCAGCCCACTCGTGGCTGCCCTTGCTAGCAGCTGCTCAGCCTCTCCAGGTCCTCGGTCCCTGCCTGTGCCATGCCTGGTCACTGATGGGTTCTAGAAGGTGTGGTTTCAAATGAAAAAGGCATTATGTGATAACACTCAAAAAAGGAGTTATTATAACCTTCACTACTTAGTTCCTTTTAAATAAAATAAAGACAATCCCCAAAGTGGATTATGCAGAATAGACAATGAGGGCCGTTTCCCCATGGTCGCTGTTGCCCCAGATCCCTGCCAGATGGCTCGGCAGAGCAGCTCAGGTTTCAGCAAATTGCAGAACCTCATTAGGACTCGATTTCATGTTTTTAGATGCTGTAGGCTCTACATCAGATGATGATGACTTCGGAAACCTGTATGACAACACAATGAAAGCATGCTAGTGACATGTCCAATGAAATCTGAAACAGTCGGTGAATTCTTTGCATATTTTATTTTTCTTTTTTTGATTTCCAACTCACACACATCTGGCATATTTTACATCTTTGCAATAAAACATGGTTACAATAGCTTAAGGAATTTATATATCCAAAATATTTCACCATGATCTCAAGATGAAATGAACTTGTCTTCCAGATGTTAAGTATCCTCCCAATTCTAAGCTACAAACTCAAGATATTGCTTACAGCCTGGTGATGAATAACTTAATCATTACGCTGATTCCCCATAATTTCAGAATTTCATAAATACAAACAACAGTGAAGAAGGAATTCAGTGCTAAAACTTACTAGTACAAGGTGGATAACAAATAAGTAATCACATCAATAAATAATGATATGTTTCTGGTGCAAAGTGCCAATACAAAGAACCCATTATCTTGTTTTATCTTTTTAAATAAATGACTGCGAGTGAGTGTAAATTCTGAGAAAATTACATTCCTGTAACATGCCTCATAGCCCTACCGACACAATATGTACATCTATGACGATACAGTCACCAAATATACAAAGAAGAAACATGAAGAAAGTGTATATACCCCTGGGTGTATAACTTGATCAGTACAATGTATGGAAAATCATTTGATAGCCATCATTTTATATCATAAAAGATGAAATGCCTTAGGCTAAGAATGTGGCTTTCAGTGAGAATTTCACGAGAACCTAAAAGAATAACTTCAGTTATTGTTGTAATAAAGTTTGACTTGTTATTAAAGAAACTAAGCTATTCAAGAACCAAAGAGAAAAAAAAAGTTAGCATCAGATTATCCTCCCCTAATGTATACACACCAAGCCAGTGGGATAACTCTGGAAGAGATGTCCAGGTGCTGGGAAGTTATTACTACAGAACTAACGCCCATGACTCCTATTTATACAAGAAAAACCAGGACCTCATCCCTAAGCCCCCTTTCTGCTGTGTCTTCAAATTATGCAGGGTAGGGCTGAATTTTCTTTGTATAAAGTACCCAAAATGGCAAATAATGGCTTAGTATCCAAATGCTTTATGAGCAAATTTCACTCAGAAGGGATGACTTTAGATTAAAAAGTGCAAACTATATTTTGGTGAAAATGTCAAAAATTACTGATGGAGCCCAAATTCAACCCTTTCATACAAGCTGTGTCCTTGGACAGATCTTTCTGTTTCATAGTGTGAATGCACCTGTTCCATCAAGCCAACAGGAGTAAGGAACATGCAAGTTGTAACTCCACAATAAAATTAAGAAACATTTTGTTCTTTATACAAGGTTTTACTTTTACAAAAGTATCCCTTTTAAATAAGATGCATCTGATGTACAAAGTATCAAACGTGTTTTTTTTTTTTTTTCTCAGCTTGAAAAGAGGCTGGAAATGGGATGCAGGTTAGGTTCAAAGCTTAAACTTTGTAACAACTGGACACAAGGTTCCTCAGAATTGTCAAAAGTCTCTTGTGACACATCCTACAACCTTTTCTCAATAAACAACAATATATGAAATAATTACCAAAACATCTCCTAATTCATATAATTTACATGATATAAGCTTGCTTGATAGCAGCTGGTGTTCAGTCGTGAAAAAACACACAAAGTAAAATGGTTGCTGACTACAATGTACAGCTATTGCTGGGTGTGATGGAATGTACAAACGGAGGTCGATGTAGACGAGTTTTTTCCACCAGAGATATTGCCTTTCCATGCAGCACTTGTGCTCTCAGCTTTAACTTGGCTTTTGGTTCTTCCTTTATCTTCAGTATCTGTTCTGATGCTCATAATGCCACCGATTAAAATCTATATTAAAAGCTACAATGCTACCAGAAGCCATGCCAGTGATCAGAGTCCTGGAAAAGCAGAAACAGCAGTTAAGAGTGATATAAAATCATTTCTGTGGTTGCTATTTTACACTAGACAGTATCTCAAAGTTTGGCATTTTACACTAGACAATATCACGATCTCAAGGTTTGCCAAGTCTTAATTTTGTATTCATGGAAGTAGGACTGAAATTTCTTCTTGGTTCTGCTGAGAGGAGCACAGTTAGCCCGCACACACCTGGACAGCCAGCCCTGCTGCAGAGCGTGAGGGGCCCACGGAACCACATTTCCAGCCTCCGCTGGGTGCCCCATTTCTCTCAGCAATCACACACGTGCCTGTCCGCTGCCTTGTTTTGGGCATCTATTGGCTTCTCTGAGGATATCTGGCATCTCTTCCTATCTCTGTGACCTTTCTTTTCTTTGCCCCCTTGAATCACTCCACCTCTTGTCCTCTCGGTCCACAGTCTCCCTGGACGTAAAGGCAACGACGTCTCATTCTGAAGCCCCAGATGCTGATTTCCCATTGCCAAGTGGAGGTCACTGCCAGGCTGTGTCACAAAACCCTCAGATTCAACATGTCCACCATGAATCACTGGTACCTTCTGACCTTGCTGGTCTTTTGCTGGTTAAGTCACCTTGTCTCCTCTCCCTCTCCCTCCTAACTGATCAGCTGTTCAGCTCTGAGGCTTCTTTTTCAGGGATATTCCTCCCCAGTCCCACTGCCACTGACTGAACTCAGGTTTCAGGATTTCTGTCTACATAAAGTGTTGCTTCACTTTTGATTAGACACCTCATCCAATAAATACCTTTTGAGTAATATCCCCAATATATGTTTATCAGTTTATAATTGATATGCATGCACTATTCATTATAAAACAACAAAATAATCAAAACCAAGGATGAGGTTAAAATAGAAATAGAAACTTAGTATCTTTCCCCCCTCCATTGAGACCCCCTAATACTACTGCAACTTTGAATATGCTCTTCCATCCACCCTGTCTGTTCATGCCTGGTGAATGGATGAGCCTCTTCTAAGGTCTTTCCTGCCCTTCCCAGCCCTCAAGAAGAGTTCATCCCTTCCTTCTTCTGTTAGTCTGTTCCTGGTGCCCTCATATGCAATGATTATGAGGATCTGAGCTCTCTGGGGTCAGTTTCTTGTTGTGGATCCTTAGTACTTTGCACTGCACTCAACCTATGATGATGGCAGCAAAATGAATACACGAACGAGTAAGAATATCAGGGAAATATTGAAACTGCTTACAAACACAAATCATTTCAAACACTCTGGAAACACACATATATACAAATAGTAACACAACAAACCATTCCCATTTATTCCTAAGTATGGGCTGCAGCACTTTGGGATACTCCAATAATAACCTTAAACCTTCTTTAAAAACAGTCTGGGCTGCAGACCAAACATCCTTTCCCAGACTAAATTAGCTTACAGCGTTTTTCCTGATGACTTCAGTGCCATTTTATTATATTGTGAAGATGCTTTGTTAACTTTATTATGTCTTAATATTTAAAATATTTTAAAACCAATACTGTTATGAGGAATATTACATGTAGTTGGGAAAAACGTTGATTAACAAGCTTTTCTTATTTCTGTTAAATAGCAAAAATTAGAAATCACATGCCATATTCAGATTACAGGGTTGTAGTTTATTTTAAAGGCTTAGGAACTTTAGACTTTATATTTCTAATATTATTTTCACTTTGTAAGAAACCCAAAGGTAAATTTCAGGAAATAATAAAATCCTATTGCAAATTGAGGAACAATGGAAAATCATTATTAATTGATTAACATCCATATCAACTCTTTCCAAGAAAGAGCTGGATTAAAGGATTAACGTGTTTTAAGGAAATACATACAATAAAACAAAATAACATAAATGAGAAACAGGTAAATAAGAACATGGGGGTAAAAAAATTGTTCTGGGTAATGCGTGAGTGCCGCATGCTGTTGAAAGGGGGGCCAGCTACGGCCCACACTATGCACTTTGCTGGAAACTGGTTAGCAAGAAGTAGGTCTCACACTGAATCCCACCTCTGCTGAAAAATACGTGTTTCCCTCACATCATATAAGCCAGGGTGGCCTGTCTGAGACTAGGCAGGAACCTGAGAACAGGGAACTTGGTGGGAGTAAGTTCTATGTCTTGGGCCCTTAAAACATGTCTGCAGGCACCTGTTCTTCATCAGATCCTTTTCTTTTTTTCCTTCTTATTCTCTTCCTCTGTTTCCCTCTCACTAGAATCCTTACTCTTCCCCTCATTTTCCCCTTTTCTTTGCCAGTCTTTCTTTCATTTGGATGCTGGAATTGCACTCACAGCACAATTCACCCTTGGTAGAATGAAGAGAGCCTTCAATGACAGTTCTCAGTGATGATACTTGTCCTTGACGCAGCTCACCTCTGGTCATGGGACAAGTCCATTGCTCTAATGCCAGCATCACATCCAGGGTAAATGTACAGTTGCTTGAAGTCACAGGCCTGCCAGACCTCTACTACCCCATTGTCCCCTCCGGTGACCAGGTTCTGGCCGTCACTGCTCAGGAGAATGGCCTTCAGAAAAGGTAAAACAAACAAACAAAAAAAAACAAAATAAAATAAAATACACAACAACCATTTCTCTCAATTTTTCCTAAATAGCCAACTGTCACTACTGAAAAGTACTCAGTACAGTTCCCTTATCATTATTGCCTACTGTCAGTCATTTGTCCAACAAAATCAAGTTCAATCCACAGAATTTCCATTGTGGAATTCATCGAAGTTCTTACATATACAAAAGATCTTATTAAAACCAAGATTAAATTCCCAAGAGAATATTATCAATTTAATCCAGGAAGAATTTGAGCATTAAGTAACATGTTTAGTTAAATCTTGAATATTAATATTATAGAGAATTAAAGAACAAATGGAAGAAACATATTTCAAAACAGTGTTTAATAATGACAACCCAGCAATTATAATTTATTCATGAATGAAGGGCAAATGGGTATATGTAATTTTTGTTTAGGGTTCTAGAGATAGAAATCTTTGAAAATAAACTCACTTTTAATGTTGTGAGGGTGCAGCACTGAAACAATTATAAAAGGAGCTTTAAAAACCCTCCCGAGGTTCTAAGCTTTAATCAAACAACAGCTATCATTTCTGAAGTCTAATGCAGTGAGTTAATTACTTGCAATTAAATGAACTTTGGGTTTCTTTAAAGTACCAGTCCGCAAGAAGTTATATACTTTTAATCTAGAACACATTTATCTGGATAGCACAGACATTCTATTATGAATTATTTAATGTAAAACAATCAATCTTTAATCTCTTGGCTTCAGTCCTACTTAGCACGAACTATGCAGATTTACCCGTGTTGAATCATTGATCTCCATTTGAGCCAAAAGTTTCCCATTAATGCTGAAATTACTGAATCGCCCTCGTTCATAGTATATGATACAGTGGCCTTCGCTGGAGACAGATATCAAGCGTGGGAATAAGCAGTTTTCTGGTCCTTCAAGGGCTCTCAGCAAATCTCCAGTGATGGTGTGGACAAGGCAAGGGCCCTCTGCAAAGTGGGGACATCAATGCCAGGGTCAGTTGGGGACGACAAACGACATACTAGCTCCCACCAACCTGAAAACCTTGCTGGGTGTGCGCTCAGATGTGACGGAAGAGGACAGGAAAGAGGTAGGCTGGCCAGGCCAAGCGCTGATGCTACATTTAAACAGAGCAAAGCCAGAGTACCTGCTACATATCACACTCCTACGCCGCACGCTTCTTCACCAGGTAGATACTTGGTCTTTTCCTTTGTCAGGTAATATTCATAGTAAAATGGTACAGCTCACAGATTACGTGACAATAAAAGACTTTATGTGCCAGACATTTTCTCTTAATACGCTTTTAGAAACTTTTCTTGAAAGTTTAATAGAATTATCAGAACAGCTGCTCATTTTCTCAAGTAGCATCAAAATTTTACGCGTTGTACCACATCAATACACTGCCGTCAAGTACATTTTACCTTTTTCTGTCATCCATACGCATAAAATGTAAAAGCAAAATTGAGAAAACTTAAGTATTTCAGCCTACAGAAAGATATTTTGTCTTTCAAATAAATGAATAGTGAGGCAAGAGTGTGAAAGGAGGGTAAGGAGTGACATTTGGCTCTGATGGTTTCTGGGTTTTTTTGCCCTTATAAAATAGTGTTGATAAAGTAAAAAATTCACTGATCAATTCATAAAAATTGGTCACTATAGTTTGGTGTTATATATCTATTCCCTTGTCCCAAAAAGATTTCCACAAAACAATGTATGAATTACGTGTTTATTTTTAATTGAGCTGAATAGACACATATTTTACAAAGCAAGTGACATGATTAAATTTTGTCCTGATTACTAAAGTAATAGACTTGCCCTATAGAAAATTAGGAAAACACCAGCAATCATCTCTAATATCACACAGCCCCTGCAGGAAATGTCTCTTTCTTGGCGCCTACTATGTGTCACTTATTTTCCTTTTTTTTTTTTTTTTTAACTTCACAGGGTAAAATGATATTACACATATTATTACTTTTTAAAATTAAAAGACTGAAAATATCCTATGTGTCCATTTCTGGGTTATTTATTCTTAGATACCAAAATTTTAAAAACATGGTGCCAGCCTTCAGACTCTATCCATTCTCCGTAGAAAGGCTGAAATGAGCTCTAACAACCAAACCTATCTATCTCATCACCTCGATTAAAAAACTTCAATAGTTTCCTACTATACTCATTTAAAAAAAAATTGCAAATGCTTGTGCCCCAGGCCCCTCCCATCCCTTCAGCCTTCTCATTCCTCCAGGTTGTGGCACCACGGTGATACTCCAGCAGCACCCAGGGCTCCTTTCAGTTTCTCCAAGCATCAGGCTCCTTTCTGCCTGGGAGTCTTCCCACAGAGAACTGCTATTTGAGCCAGAACTAGGACCTAAGTTTCCTGACTTCCTGAAATGAAAGATCTTCTACAAAAACTCCAAAGAGGCTGGGTGTGGTGGCTCACGCCTGTAATCCCAGCAATTTGGGAGGCTGAGGTGGGTGGATCACCTGAGGTCAGGAGTTAAAGACCAGCCTGGCCAACATGGTGAAACCCCATCTCTACTGAAAATACAAAAAATTAGCCAGGCTTGGTTGCGGGCGCCTGTAATCCCAGCTACTAGGGAGGGTGAGGCAGGAGAATCACCTGAACCCAGGAGGCGGAAGTTGCAGGGAGCCTGGATTGCACCATTGCACCCCAGCCTGCGTGACAAGAGTGAAGGTATGCCTCAAAAACAAAACAAAACCTCCAAAGAACCAAGTAATCTTTGTTTCCTTTCCACCAACCTCTACACAGCCCCTGGCCTTATAAAGAAAGGGACTTGAAGAGGGAGGGGATCCTAGGCCGTGTCTGATGAGTGACATGACCCCCCACCTCCCCCACTACATCAGGGATACTTTCCCCTTGTCTTTTACATGTCCTTTACAATGGCTGCATCATAAGAATACACTGTAATTTATCAGTGTTCTGCTTAGAACACTGTTGACCACAAAATACTACATAAAATTTTATACATATTTTATATTAGTGCCAGTAAATATTAATCATAAAACTAAACATCTACAAATAACTTTGGGATACCATTTGTCTATGGGAAGCTTCCTGGAAGAAATAAACTGACAATCACGCTTAGTGTGAGAAAACAGTCATCTTCTAGACATTGAAAATGAAAGAAATGACTTCTGACCTTTAGCACCACTGATAACAAGCCCAAGTTCTGCACAGACAGAAACACAGACAACTTCATGGTCATGGCCTGTGAGGACGGCTCTTGGTGCCGGATAGTCACCTGCAAGAAAACAGCAGCAGTGAGGCACTACAGACCAATAGCAGGGGGAGAGAGCTACACCAGCAATGCAATATTCAAAAAATACCCATGTTTATTAAGGGCATTATTATTAAGCTGTGTGACCATGAGCCAGTTACTTAACCTCTCTGCTCTCCTCTTTTGTGAAATGCGCATAACTAGCGAATCTATTATACATGCTGTTTAGATGACAGGACAAGTTAACGTATGTAACATGCTTAGAACGTAACGAGAGTGGTAATGGCTATTCTTTTTCTTCCATTATTGTTATGAAACAGGTACAATGCCTGCTAAGGCATTTATCTGTGTTACATCATGTATTTATGGTCATGCTCTATGAGGTAGGAACTCTTACTATCCCTAGTCTATAGCCTAGACACCCAAGGCTTTGCAAGGTGATTCAACTTGCCCAAGTTCATACAGCTAAGGGTTGGAATTGAACCTACTTCACTTTATTAGTGCGAACCTAGCTAAAAAGTCCAGCTGAATTATATCCCAGAAGCATTTTCACTGCTAACTGCTTTCATAAATTGAAGGACTTAGAGAATGTTATGCCTTTTGTAAAAAGTTCTATATTTTTCTCTTCTTTTATCAGAAAGAAATGAGCTTATTCTGCATCACCCATATAGGTTGTTCTGTTTGCGGTCTTTCTTTTCTAGCACTTGTGTTCTTTGCATGCTTGCCTGTTTTCCTTTGTGAATTCCTATTTTTGGTGGGGTAACCACCCCCGATCCCCTATCTTGTCTCTCAGAGAACCACTCTGTACTTTGGTCTTGGTGCCCCTCTTTCCTAGAGCTGCCTCCTAGGTTGAACTACTGGCCCTCACTGGGGTTGGGGGAAGTTAAATGTTCCAGGGCTGGCAGATGCACCTCCCCCTGAATAGCCCCTTCTTTGGCACTTATGGGACCTCTGGGTGCTGGCTAGCTGGACTGCTGCTCCAGTTCTCTGCCCACAGTGGCAAGAGGGAAGCCACAGAGAGTTCATGAGGAAAGTGCATAATCACAAGGCCTTACCCAGTAAGACGACCCACATCTTCCACTCTGGTCGGCCAAGAGCCCCTTCCTTAAGACCTGCCTATCTTCTCTTAAGACCTGCCTATCTTCTGTCTCCCCAAGGATTTCTCCGTTTTATTTGCATTTTCTCAGACCCATCAGCTCCAATTTTGTTTTTGAGGCATCTCTTAGATGGAGTGTGGGAGAAGGGGGACAGCAGCTCATGCTAGTTTGCCATCTTCTTCTGAATACATGGATATTGCTATAATGTGTTTTGACTATTGGTAGAGTGTCCATTTATAATGTCAGCAGTCCTGGATTTGTCTGAAACATATTTATATAATTTATAAAATTATGTTTCACACTGCAGGAAAAAGGTGAAAAAGAAAAAAAAATTGTTTCAAAGATGCCCTGGGCTTCCTGGTAAAATAAGCTTTAAGCATTGATAAGAGTTTTCCAAACAAAGGAAATCAGCAAATCAGAGATATCTGCACCCCTGTGTTGACTGCAGCACTATTCACAATAGCTCAGATATAGAATCAACCTAAGTGTCCAACAAATAATGAAAAGATAAAGAAAATGAGATATATTTACATAATTGAATATTATTCTGCTATAAAAAAAAAGAAATCCTGTCATTTGCAACAACATAGATGGAACTGAAGGACATGAGGTTAAGTGAAATTAGCCAGGCACAGAAAGACAACTGTCCCATCTTCTTACTCATATGTGGGAGCTGAAGAAATTGATCTCACAGAGGAAATAAACAGAATAGTGGTTACCAGAGGCTGGCAAGGGTGGTGGGAAGGTGTTGGTTAATGGGTAGAACAATACAGTTAGATAGATAAAGTTAGGCAGAAGGAATAAAATCTAGTGTTTGGTAGCAAAATAGGGTGACTACGGCTAATAATTTATTGTACATTTCAAAATAACTAGAAGAGAAGATTTAGAATGTTCCTAATGCAAAGAAGTGATGAATGTCTGAGGTGTTGGATATCCTAATTACCCCAATTTGATCATTACACATTGTATCCTTGTATAACATATCCCATCAATATGTACAACTATTATGTATCCATAAAAATTAAATCTCTAAAAAAGTATTTGTAAGATTTTATGTGTAATATCAGGTTTAATTTTTCTAAATGATAATTTTATCTTGGAGAGACTAGCACACTGGAAAACCCTGAAATTATACACTTAATTCATTTATATAAAATGAATAGTTTTGGGACCTTTCCCTAATATGCTATAGAAAAAATAAAAAGCAATCTGATCCTATTGCAGGGAATTGAGAAAAAAAATGTATAAAAATATTCCTTATGCATGTTATACATTTTCTGCTAGGAAATGAGTTTTTCAAAGGCTCATGTCTGATTTAGAGAGTTTAAAATATTTTATTTTTTTCATTACGATTTCCCCAGATCATCTGAATAAACTGTGGAACTTAACTATTAGGGGGTATTTTTTAGGGCCCCTGAAAGCACTGTTTCCTTCTTTAAGTGAAAGGCAAATAAAATGCCATTCCAGGCTTTCTGAGTTGGGAAACCTGCAGCGGCGGGAAAGCTTGTTTCCTATATTTCATTTCGTTGCTAGGGACAGATGTCACACACCCCAACAATCATTCAAAATCCTAGGAATATTCTGTCACTGTCACATCACAGTTGATGGATGTAGCCCAGGGTTAAAGGGCCCAGTGCAGAGGGAGGTGCAGGTGGACCGCCCCTCTGAGGGCCACCGCCGTTGCCCTCAGGCCCACCACTGCCTCCACAGAAGCACTCACCGTGTGCTGGAATGACTAGAACTGATGAAGAACAAACACGTCCAATTTTTAGATTCCTTATAGACATGCATTTGGAAACTCCGAATATTAAAAGGCTTAAAATAAACAAATTCCATCCTCCTTTTATCAAAGGTCATTTCAATATTCTCAAAATGGATGATAAAAAAATATACTAGTATTAGATGCTGCTTATTCACATAGACAGGAGAGGTTTTTTAGTGAGATGGTCTCTGGCTTTTAGAGAAATGGCCAAAGTAAAGAACTCATGGTTCTTATTTTAAACCTCATTTGTGGGACACTGATATGCAGGGGAAGCTGTGGTCTTTCTGATTTAGAACTAAACAAAGCCAGTGGAGTTTCTAAGACCTCCGCTGCACAGTGAGAGGATGAACCTCCTGATAAAATCTGATTCAGATTTTATTTCTGACCCTGGGGAAGTCACTGCAGAATCATGGCAGAAGATATTTTTATTCATGTTTATACTTAGATAAAATATGATGGAGTTTTGAAAGTTAAAATCCCAGAATAAGGGATTTAGTCAAAGGGTATGGTAGTTTCATTACTACTATGATTTCAAGATTTATTTCAACATATTATGTTAGAAATTTGCTGGAATAGCTGAGAAGAGCGGTATCGGTCAGGAGTCCCTTATCAAGACCCCAACTCCTCAGCCACAGGCAGGTGCTGTGGAGGTCTGTTCCAAGTATCAAATACACTTGGACCCGCATTTCCCAAGGTCCCAAGATAATGCAAGTAAAAACATTCTGTGGGTTGGAAAATGTCAAATTCACCCATGATGTGGTTTCATTTCCTTATGTACTCATAGAGTATTCAGTGAAGAATGGAAGACAGATACGGTGAAATTATTTATTCATTCATTCTAACTTCTTTTTCCTCTTCAGAGATAACAATGACTACATTTTCCTCTGAGCACTGCCACTGCAGGACAACCTCTTCTCTTGAAGTCCTGAGCCCAGATCTAGGTCACAGTACATTACTGTCCTACGCTCACCTAAAAACAACTAATAGTATCATCCACCTCCCCTTCCTCAGGAAGCTGGGCTCTGCGTAAAGCCCAGACACCCCCTGGTTGGAACCTGAAGCTCTCTGATCAGAACACATTAGTCACTCTGTATATATTGCTTCCAATCTAGGCCAAAGACCTTTCTTGAAGCCTTAGTCCCATAAAAGGAAAGGAAAAGCCGAGGCCGAGTAGCAAGCAGCTCCCTTCTCAGTCTGGAACCCTGGAAAGTCTACTGGTGTTAGAATGAGGGGATGGGGTGGATGAGTGGTCTACTGCAGAATGGACTCTGTGCCATCGATGTTCCAATACATCCATTACCATTTGGTCCTCAAAAAGCCCTGCAAGGTGAGAACTATTGCATATGGAGCTACACTTCCTCTGATCTTACAAAGATGGTTTAACATATGCTAAATCCTAGCTAAGATTCTTTGCTCCGAGAAGTGATACAAACTTGTTTAATGTA
The DNA here is from genome assembly GCF_000001405.40 of Homo sapiens. NCBI lineage: Eukaryota > Metazoa > Chordata > Mammalia > Primates > Hominidae > Homo > Homo sapiens. Next base: position 35,660,804 of record NC_000013.11, on the reverse strand, counting down.
TCTAAATCTAAATATACTCTACAAATCTCTCTGGGCTATCCATCGGCCATGCTTTCATTTCTTATAATAGCACTGGTTAGTGGCAGTTGTGGAGCTGGGCACCAGGATAGTCTTTTTAAAAGAAGCCTGGATGCCAACAAAGAGAGGGATGTGATTTGGCAGATGTTTGGTGACAGGTTGTGGCTGGCAGGAGGGTCAGCGTCCAGAGCTGAGGCATACACAATGGGAGCCCAGAGAAGGTGTGTGTGCACAGCTGGAGTCTCCTTTGCAATTGGCTTCTCCTTTGACAGTCTGCATAATGCCCGTACACGAGCTAAAATACTTATTTTTAAAAAGTGGAATAGAAAAGCATAATAACAATGTGTTATACAAACTACCCAATGAATATTTGTAGATTTGAGTTGAAAAGATGAACGGTAAATCCTCTTTCAAAGTTTCACATGGCTATGATTTAAAAATTTTTGTATGTATGTATATCAAACTCTCTATAAAGCACCTTGTATGTGGTATAAACATTAAAACTACATTCTTTAAAAGCAGATTGGCTTTTGAGCTGAAGTCCCAATGTATTTTGAGTGTCTGTTGAAGAGACAACAATGTTAACTTGCCTCTATTGTGACTATCTTGTTGGAAGCTACAGCACGTAATGAGAAATGTCAAGTCCTAAGATCAATGAAATTTTGGACTCTAGGGATTCCAAAGGAATACCATTGATCCTTTTAAAGAACACCAGTCAGAGATGGGTTGTAATATATTGCAAAGAGAGGCTCAAGAGGATAAGCGGCCAAGTCCAAGATACCTACCTGACAAAAAATTCAATCAGCTTTTAGCACAAATTGCCTGCTCTGCTCTGCTCTCTTTCATGCAGTAGGCTGCTTCCAATTAAAGTGCGCAAATTAATTTTTATCACTTCCAAATTAGTTTCAGAATTTGTGTAAAAGTCTGTTTCGGATGAAAGCATCTGTCCTTCACATCTTTGCAATTCTGTTATCTAGTTAGGGACCTATTTAAAGTCTCCAAGATAATTTATACGTTCAAAGCCGCGAGTTTGAAAGAATAACAATGAATAATATTATAAAATACATTAATAAAGCAATGATAATTCAACTCTAACCTGCACTAGGTAGACTTTGCTTATCTCTTTTATGGTCTGAGACTCTATATCTGATAGTCTGCTTACAAATATTCATTATCTTTGTGACCAATTCATCACAATGGTCAAAATGATTAGAAAAAGACTAATATTTCTGAGATGTCTGCATTCTTCACAATATATTTGACACAATAAAACCATACATACTTTCTATACCTGCCAAAAAGATTTCACAAACATGACATTTTTTCTTCGTGGAATTAATAGAGCTATCTATTACAATATAATAATGACAATGCAAGAGAAACAAATATGTTAAAGTCAGTTGAATTTTATCTTGAGAAGATTTTAGTGATATGCATGTAAAGGTTAAATGATAAATCCTATCATTTCATGATGTTGTGATGAACAGGTGTGATTTGGCCTCGGTGACACACAAAGCAGTTCCATGTCCACACCAAGGCCAATCCCTTCATTATAACAGCTACTAGGATATTATGTTACATGCCAGGACTTCCCACGTCAAGGATAGGTTAATACATACAACCTCCAAAACCTAAGGGCATTGTGTCACACACTTTAATACAAATTTAGACATAACTAGCTTTCTGGTCTTGAGTATCAATGTATTATGAGATAGAAAACACATATGGCCTGCTTCTCTGACCTGTGAATTGGAAGCTAGAGTAGATTAAACTGGAACAGAAGAAAATCTCTTTCACATTGTGAGTTTTCTGATGGCAACAACTATGTCTATGTCAAACCACAGGCAGGGCACTGATATGGCAGTCAATTCAGTGTGTGCTGTGACTGCCTGAAAAAAGAGTGAAGAGACCGACACAGATGGTTGCCCTAGTCAGGCATATATATGCTACTAGGTTAGCTTTTTAAATAGATAAGTGGGTCACAAATCAGTCAGTCAATCAATACTAAACCTGAGATCACTTTTTTACTACTGTGATCATCCTTATGGAAAAAAGCTAAAACCAGTTTTTTTCATAATCATCAATTTGATGTAAAGTTAAGCATTTTACGAATCCTTAAAGTATGGTACAAAATATTATCGGATAACAATTCATGATTCATTTAACAAATACTTGACATCCTCAGTATATCCAAGCAGGAGAAACAGTTTGTGATCAGTATAAAAGTAGATTCTTGTAAACTCTAGAAAGTCAGAGGTTGTGACTTTGCAGCATTCCCAGCTGCTGGGATAGTACCAGGCTCACAGTAGGCACACAGTAGGCACCCAACACATACTGTTGCTTGACTAATACTTTAGGTGCTTATCTTGTTTATTCTAGAAGAGCACTTTTCCCTTTTATTAATGTACCATACTACGTATGTTCACATTAAATATCTAATAAAGTCTTGACAGGATGGATTCTATGGAAGTGGTTTAGGTTCATAATGATGACAACAGCTTTTCACTAAAAATAAATTCCTATAGATGGAGGTAATACTGAAAAATACATATTGATAATTTTGTCATAATATCTTTAAGATAATCTTGTCCTTACTTAAAACTAAAATATGACACTGCTTTTTAACAAATATAATATCCATATTTTTGTTCTTAAGAATTAAAAAAGCATTTTGTATTTACACAGCTCCTGTTGTAAGGAGCTTTAAATAATTTAAATATTATTGTATTTAACTTTTCTTGCTAACTGATGTACCAAAGCTACAATTGATAGTTAGCCATCTTTTGGTTTAAGAGATCATTAGAAAACACAGTAGTGAACATAGATAATTACTATAATTTAATATTTTTCTTTAATATTCTTTACCTCCTAGCAGTATATTATATAAAACATCTTATCTCAGCTACCAGATGGCAGCTTTTAAGAAATAAATCCCCTTTTTGGAAATAACACTTGCATCATTTCTGGGCTTCATTTTGAAGACGGTAATTAATTAGATTTAAAGCTCTATTCTGTTTCTTTTAAATTTTTTCTAACAAGTTCTAATTTTTATCAATGTATATGAAAGATACTACACAGACCTGCTGCTTAATTAAACTTTTTAAAGAAATGCTACACTATTATGGAAATAAAGACAATTTGGAAATATGTGAACATATATTTAGATAAAATATACTTGATAATGTACCATTCTTGAGAATAATAAAGCCATCGCTGGTAGGTCATATGTCTTATACACATGTACACATACGCATACATAGGCATACTAGAATTCTGTTAAAAATGAATTGTTTACGGACATGGCTTTACAAAAGAGTAAATAGGGAGATTATCTTACTGGTATTTAGAGCATAATGTTTGTTAATAACAGAATTGGTAACTAATTATTTGAACTGGTTGGAAATCAAGCAACATTGAATATCTTTTCCCTCAAATAAAGATCACATCTTGTTCAAATTTAGAACAGAGACTCGTATGTACAATAGACACTCTCTTGTTCAGTAGCTATGCCAAGAGGCATATGCTATTTTACAACACACCTAGTTTCTTCATCCACTGTTCAACTCTAGCTATGGGCAACAGGAATAAAACTTCACATAACATTTGGACATCTAATCCAATCTTCCACTATCTTCTCATACAAATGTATTTCTCCATTCTCTCCTGTACTATGATGGGGCCTTTGTTCTTATCCATCCAAAGCCATTTCCTATTTTTGCGGTATTCCTGTCAAAATGCATAAGGGTTGGGGGGATGGAGTGGGACATGAAGGGTGGATGTGCAATTCAGTTTCCACCCCTAGCTGTCTCACAGGTTGGAACTAACCAGAGAGGCAGCAGCCAGCCACGCAATGTAACATGGCATCTTGTAGATTTCTTATCTACTCTTATAGTATTTTAGTTGTAGATGCACAGGTTTCCTGAAAAATTTTTATCTCTGTTGGGTTATAAGTATTCCCCAAATTCATGTTTCAGTTTATTTTGGAGTGCTGTGTAAGCTGTGACAATTTGAATAATCCTGGTTTGAGTACTTGCCATTATCACTTCACAGAAACCTTTCTATATTATACAGGAAAGTCATGCATTTGAGTGAACTATTGAAAGCTTAGTAATTAAAAGCAGTAATTATTTCTAGCCAATCTCTTATCCAGCTCTTCAGTCATTTAATTTATTGGAAACCTATTATGTATATTACTATGACAGGAACTGAAGATGGAAAGACAGACACTCATTATCTACTTTAGTGTTTTCTTGGGGCAGCAGTCCAACAACTAATAACTAACTTCTCTTACATAAATAAAAGTTTCATTGGAAAAAGAAGTTTGAGAGGCTGCGGATTAAACAAGCATCAACAAATTTATTTGTGTAAGACTTTCAGAGCTTATGTAGAAAGTTTGAGTATAAACACTGTACTCCAAAATTATTTCACGAAGGAGTCCAGCCTCTCCCAACGCTTTCTTCCTATGGGATATCTTAGGGTGCACTGTGGAATAACTATCACTTGAGGAATCCTCCCAAGCAAGGAAACTGTCTTATTCAGTTTTTGCATCTCCCACAATGCCTCATGTGAAGGGGGTACTCACTCACTGTTTGCTAAACGAATAAATGGAGAAATTTACTACAGTATATATGGTAGATAGCAGTTAGTGCCCTGAATGAGACACAGGCAAAATCTTCTAAAAATTCAGAGCAGGGAGAGATTATTTTCAGCTGAAAGAAATAATATGAGGTTTAATGGATAAGGTGAAGCTGAAGAAAATTTCTGAAGGATGGGGACATTTGGTGACTGGGCTGCTGAGCAGAGGGTCTGGGTAGGGGACTGGTGAGGGGATCTGGAAGTCTCTCCATGTTGTAGGTGATAGTACTGATCATTTTAACACTTTGAACATAGCTACGTTCCAGTACAGATTTTGGCCACTTAAGCTTTCATATTTTAAAATCCTTACACCTCAGGAAAAAACTATTAGGAAAATCAAAAAGGCAAAATATATTTAAATAAACTATAGTTTGATAGGACAAATTTGATACAAACACTCACTGCTGTTAGGGTTGTCTCCTATGATATGGTGCCGCCCACTCCAGTACCAGAGCAGCAGGGTGGCATCTCGAGATCCGGACACGATGTAGCAGTCCCCACCAATGTATGACTCGGACCTGGCCAAGCAAGTGACCACATCCCAATGGCCAAATACAATCTGAGTCAATTTCCCTGCAACACAGAAATGACAGGTTTGCTTCATTTAGTCTTTTTCTTCAAATGGTAATAAGTGTAACTTTATCAGATTTTTTAAAAAATTTTACCATATTTTTAATTTTATTTTACCAGTTTTGTGAAAAGTTCATCTATGGGCTGACAAAGTTACAATGTTATTCAAATCTGGCTACAGGTTGCTTTCTTGCATTGCTTTTGGAAACTGATACAAGAATGTCACTTGAGATTTTTAAAGAAAAGACTTTATAAAATAACACAATCACGATTTTTCTCTTCAGGGTTTGGGCCAGACCAAGGGGAGTTTTAGGATCTTTTACTGCATATGAATTTGTGGGAAAGGAACAATAGCCCCATTTGTCCTATGAATTCTGGGATCATGCTAACGTTCGGAATACATGAAGTTATAGTTAGTTACTTTGCTTACAATGTGAACATTTAATTTGAATCTTGACTACTCAAGTTGGCAAATGATAAAAATGCCTACATTAAGTATGATTTCATATTCAGCTTTGGTTTTAACAATAGTCATTTTGAAGAGAATATGGTGTTTCATAGTTAGGATTACCTGTTTCTGTAGAATAAACTCTGAAGCTCTTATCCCAGAATCCACAGATAAGAATATAGCGATTATCTGCTGTTACCACAAAACAATGTGCATTGATTTGTATACTCTGGTCAACGAGGTCTGTGATCTGCCGTTTGTTTACACCTGAATTATTGGCTAAAAGTAAATGGAAAAAAGCATTTGAAGAAAGATTCCATATGAGTTTTGCCAAGCACTCAAAGAAGGAAAACAATACTTTCATGCTTCATTTATCCAGAAATAGTTTTTTTAATGGTATGAGATTATTAAGATTCTCCCTTGAGGAATATAAATTTCCTTCGCAGTAATTATTTATGAACCACATTATGTATTTTAAAATTATGCCAGAAATTTTAGTTCTCCCTCCACCAATAAAAACAATATGAGGAATTCAAGACAATTAATTTAAAACATAATACAATATTTTAATGCATTTAATTCTTTAGATGTTCACTATATACAAGTTCATTAGTTTATAAGAATCACATGAAAACTAAATATTGTATGAAGTATGTTATTAAGGAAGAGATATATTAATATTTGCCCCAAGTCTGTCATTTTCAGATGGTATTTATAATTCCTGTGAAAAAGGAGGGTAGAGATTTGAGCAAGGGATGTTGTTACGTGGGCAGCCCCACAGGGAGCTTCAGGTCAGCAGCTTTACAGGCCTGGATTGTCAACAGACAGAAGGCCTTTCCAGAAAGGGCTAGCAGGGGAGGAGAGGAACAAAAAAGATGAGAGAGGGACTGGGGAGGAAAGAGACAGGCAAAGAATCAGTGCAGAGCCCTGGGATTGAATCTGAATAAAGTCAGGAACTCAGAGACACCATCTGATTTCCCCAGTGCCTGTCTGCATGCCAGCCTGTCCCTTACTGCGCACCATCCTTTCAGGATAAATCACTGGGCTGAATTCTTAAACAGAAATGCAGATGTAGAAGGTCACCACCACTCTCTAACACCAGTTAAATATTAAGTACTACTATCTGTAGATATCTACTAACAGTATAAAAATAATTACTAAGAAACATAAGCAATAAAAATATTATACACAAAAGTCAGTAAGGACAAGAAGACCAAGGGTCCCAGGCCACTTGAAAACTATACAGTTGGTCCTTTACTAATTAGAATAGACCTATTAATTTTTCCATGGTTACACACTAGCTGTATATTTCATTGTCAATGTCTACTGGAAAGAGAAATAGCTAGACTAGACTAATAATATTCTTAATCCTAAAGCTTATAAGCTCCCAAAGACATGTAAATGGTATTTTGTGTATGGGTATAAGTAACTAATTGAAACGTCTGTATCTTATCTTATTTCCAGGTTCAAAGACGAAGGATGAATTTGAATCTAAGAATAAGAGGCTGCGCGTGGTGGCTCACGTCTGTAATCCCAGGACTCTGGGAGGGCCAGGCAGGCAGATCACTTAAGGTCAGGAGTTCGAGACCAGCCTGGCCAACACGGTGAAACCCTGTCTCTACTAAAAATACAAAAATTAGACAGGCGTGGTGGTGCACGCCTGTAATCCCAGCTACTCAGGAGGCTGAGGTGGGGGAATTGGTTTAACCTGGGAGGCGGAGGTTGCAGTGGTCTGAGATTGCATCACTGCACTCCAGCCTGGGTGACATAATGAGACTCCATCTCAAAAAAAAAAAAAAAAAAAAGAACCCAAGAATAAAACACCTTGACTTTAATATGTAGCTTAATAATTTTTCGTAGCATTTTCAATTTTTTTCTAATTTATCTTACTAATCATCCAGTGATACAGATAGAACAAACATTATTAAAAACTGTCTTACATATATGAAACCGGAAGGGCCTCGAAAGACTAAGATGCTAGCTCTGGATCCAATGGCTAATAAATATGTACACGATTATTTAAAAATATTTTGAATGTCTGCTGCAAAGAGTTATAGCTCATCAGTTTGCAATTCATATGAAACATTTGCTTTACAACATGTCAGTTTAAAAAAATTCAGTGATAAAGACTGCCAGAGGTGGCCGGGCGCGGTGGCTCACGCCTGTAATCCCAGCACTTTGGGAGGCAGAGATGGGCAGATCACGAGGTCAGGAGATCGAGACCATCCTGGCTAACACGGTGAAACCCTGACTCCACTAAAAATACCAAAAATTAGCCGGGCGCGGTGGCGGGCGCCTGTAATCCCAGCTACTCGGGAGGCTGAGGCAGGAGAATGGCGTGAACCCGGGAGGCGGAGGTTGCAGTGAGCCGAGATCGCGCCACTGTACTCCAGCCTGGGCGACAGAGCGAGACTCCGCCTCAAAAAAAAAAAAAAAAAAAAAAAAGACTGCCAGAAAAGATGTTCTTCAATATTAGCTTCCTTTTTTTTTTTTGAGATGGAGTCTCGCTCTGTCACCCAGGCTGGAGTGCAGTGGTGCCATCTTGGCTCACTGCAAGCTCCGCCTCCCAGGTTCACGCCATTCTCCTCCCTCAGCCTCCCGAGTAGCTGGGACTACAGGTGCCCGCCACCGCGCCTGGCTAATTTTTTTATATTTTTAGTAGAGACGGGGTTTCACCGTGTTAGCCAGGATGGTCTCGATCTCCTGACCTCGTGATCCGCCCGTCTTGGACTCCCAAAGTACTGGGATTACAGGAGTGAGCCACCATGCCCGGCCCTTTTTTTTTTTTTTTTTAAATTTAAGTTCTGGGGTACATGTGCACAATGTGCAGGTTTGTTACATAGGTATACATGTGCCATGTTGGTTTGCTGCACCCATCAACTTGTCATTTACATCAGGTATTTCTCCTAATGCTATTCCTCCCCCAGCCTTTAGTAATCTTTTTGAATCCTTATATTTTAAATAATACTGAGCTGTTAGAGAACACTTTAGGCTGAAAGAAAATACAGTTTGGAATTATTTGCCTTATTTATAACCAACTTAAATGACCTCCAAAAATATCAAGAAACGATTGCTTTAATACCAAAAAGTTCTTAGATGGCATATTATGATTTACACAGCTCCTTGATGATAATTTGATATTATTAGCATTTTAATCTTGTGGTAGAAAAAATATTGTTCAACTATCTTATGAAAAATAACTATATATGAATATATGGATAGTATCCATGAAAATTTATTCTTTTTTATTAACATACCTATTAATGGATCCATTTCAATGGGAAGATGGTGGGCTTGATCCAAGGAGTATCCTGGAGCTCCTCTGAGGCCTAAAGATTAAAAAAAGAGAGAAAAACTAACATAAAATTCTCAGAAAGAAGGGATTTCCTAATGGGTAGTGTTTTATGATGATTTTACAAAATGCATATTTGCTTAAAAATGATTTGATAAATTGTTCTGATACTATGTGTCTCTGTAGACAGCCTTACAAAATAATCACAACAGGGACTTCAGGTTTCCACTTACGATGTACAAGGCTGGGAAGAGTTTTGTTTCTGTTCTAATGATGAGAAAAAGCTGGATAAATAGAAGATTGTAACATTTATTGAACCCATCAAAAAGCTAAGGTCATGAGCAATCAATGAGCCTGAAATCAATGAAAGGGCTATGCTTCCAAGCAGGGATGGGTATGAGGCTGGGCTCACCTGGGGCAGGACACAGGAAGCAGAAATCAATGAAAGGGCTATGCTTCCAAGCAGGGATGGGTATGAGCCTGCGCTCACCTGGGGCAGGACACAGGAAGCTGGGGCTCCCATCCAATGGGGCCTTTTTTTCAACATGTGACAAGTAAATGGAAGGTATAAAAATTGGGCCACACCTAAAATCTTAATCTCACTAAAAGCTACTTTCAGAGGATTAATGTTTAGAGCTTGATGAAGTTCATTAGTCATAGTTTTTCACACGTGATTATACAATATATACAACACTTTCAAACAATTTTAAATAAAAATTTAGTCCTTTGTAGTTTTTCTCAATGCAAAACATTTCTAGAGGCTGTCTCCTGAGAATAATACAGTCATATATTTTCCTTAAGATATGTGCTGCCTATCTCTGATGGAATGGAAGTAGCGTTACCTTACGTTGATAATATCACCAATAACCTTAAAATAGGTGCACTTAGAAACTCTTAGGAGATAAAGCTAGGATATAAATCACTGTATTTTTTAGAGCAATGTAGAGGTCAGTAAAATAGAAAGATTCAGGTTACTTCGGCATGGCTCAGCTATTCAACTCTGGAGACGGGGAGTCCTCGGCTTCCTGGGAGATCCCAAGTGGTAAACTGGGCCAACTAAATCATTTGGTCACATCCACTCTGCCCTGGTTAAGCATCCATATGTCTAAATGTGTTTTGATTTGTTGGTTTGTTTATTTTGAGACAAAGTCTCACTTTGTCGTCCAGGCTGGAGTGCAGTGGCGCGATCTCAGCTCACTGCAACCTCTGCTGCCCGGGTTCAAGCGTTTCTCCTGCCTCAGCCTCCCGAGTAGCTGGGATTACAGGTGCCTGCCACTGTGCCTGGTTAATTTTTGTAGTTTTAGTAGAGACGGGGTTTCACCATCTTGGCCAGGCTGGTCTTGAACTCCTGCAATATGTCTAAATGTTTGCCACAACGTTATGTCGCTTCAAGATGTACTGGCTGGTACTTTCAGGAAAGAGTTTGGAGAAACACATGTGAAGTGTGAAATCACTGGAGAATTTAGATTTTGTCTTTTTGCAAAGATTCTAAGCTCTGCAAAAATAGAGTTGGTGCTTGTTTTGTTTATTGCTGTATATACAGTGCTTGGGACTACTTGACACATAATAGTCATTCAAATATTTGCTAAATAAATTACTGATATAGAGACAAGAGGATGTGAAGCCAGCATCCAGAAACCCATATTCAAACTCTCTTCTGTTTGATATAGGAAAAAAGAAGGGTGTATTTTTTTGCAGTTAGGCAATAGCAGAATAGAGTAGGAGAACCTGAATTATTGGTAGAACTGCTTCAATTTGTCAAATAGTTACTGAGTAGTTGACTATGATCCAAGCATCCTATGAGGCACTAACATACAGCAGAAATGAAGGAGACAGATAGAAGTCCCTTAGTTGGATTTGACAATTATTTATTTAGTCTGCTGTTTTTTGTAGATAATGTGGGATATGAGCTAATCCCAGTCCCAGTACACTTTTTTACTTTAATTGTAGCTTTTAAGAAATCTTTAGTAAGTGATTTGCTCAGGCACACATACCTACTGTGTTGTGCCATCTATTCACTGCAAAGAGTCGGCTGCAAGTCACTGTCACCACTGCGGGGATGGTCAAGTGGGGCAGAGTGTTGGCTGCCACATGGGTTACTGGAGAATTTGAAGGAAACTTCAGCACCATTATCACATCCTGTTGCATCTGATCTTTAAACATGAGCGGACTCTGTGGAAGGAAACACTGTTGAATAGAAAGGGAAGAGAACAGAGGAAGACAAAAGGAATAACATAGTTAGTGAAAGGTCTAGGGAGAATGAGGTTAAACAGACAAGGCTAGCACGAGCACACACAAGGAGGAAAAGCCACCTAAACTTTCATACTGGTGAATGTCTGCCCCAAATCGAGCAGCTTTGACTGGGGAATGGCACAGAGAGTAGAGAATAAGAATTCTGTGAAGGCACTGATACAGGGACACAGAATCATTAAAGACCAGCCTCAATTCAAATATCACCACAATGCAATGTGAAAAGTTAGCTCATAGACACACCCACATGACGTAACACAGTTATGCAATGCAGCTTAAAAATCAGTTTGGTGGGAAAGTTAGTCAAATTAGTGACTCCCATTTTTTACACGAAATATAAAGTGAATTGACTAATACTTTCATTTCTATCTGGTTGATCTGGGGTCATGACTACAGTCTAAATAATTAAAATACAGTAGCCCCATAAAGCAGCCGAGCGCTTCCCTGGCAGTTCTCCCCAGGTTCTGCTCTGGCACTGACTGTTTATGGTTGAAGCCTTGTTTCTCCCTTCTAGGCTGGGAGCTTATGGAGGGCCAATGCTTTTTCTTCTTCTTCTTCTTTTTTTTTAATTATTTTAAGTTCCAGGATACATGTGCAGGACACGCAGGTTGTTACATAGGTAAACGTGTGCCATGGTGGTTTGCTGCACAGATCAACCCATCACCTTGGTAGTAAGCCCTGCATACATTAGCTGTTCTTCCTGATGCTCCCCTCCCACCACCCCCACCCCCATGACAGGCCCCAGTGCGTGTTGTTCCCTGTCACGTGTCCATGTGTTTTCTTCTTTCTGTTTTTAGCGTCTGTTTTGTCAACATCTAGCATATGACTTGACAGAAAGTAGATACTGTAAGTCCTACAAAACACTACAAATACCACCATATTAAAAACATAAAGTAGGGAGGCTGGAAATAACCATTATTTAGCTTTCATACATGTTTCTTAATGGTTTGCAGTATATATGAATTCTCTGCTACATGAACTTAGAAAGCTTAGAGTTTCTTTATAAACAGTTTCATGCCAATTCAGTCTCTAACAACTTCCTCTAGGAAAGTAATGAATTCTGACTGGGCATATCTCCAGGATAAATATTTTTATTATTATTATTAAACACAGAAAACTAACACGGGAATAAAACTCTTCTGCCAAAGCATTTCATAAAATAAAGTGTTAGAGATATTCTTCTGGACAGTTTATTAAAAACGGTGAGGCTCCGAGGCCACATCTCTATGTCTACAATGTGGCTGAGGGGTTTATACGGCAACAGCCTGAGCTTGGTGCAAACCTTTCTGTTTAGTTACACAGAAAGACCAACTGCAGTCAAAAGAGTTCACTAGTGACTAACCAAGGAGGCTGAAGCTGTTTGGCTGAGCTGTTGAAGGAAGGTAAAAAAAAAAAAAAAAAAAAAAAAAAAGAGTTTAAACACACACCAGGCAGGCATGGTGGCTTATGCCTGTATTCCCAGCGCTTTGGGAGACTGAGGGTCCCCAGGAGTTCAAGACCAGCCTGGGAAACACAGCAAAACCCAATCTCTACAAAAAATTTTAAAAATTTAGCCAGGCATGGTGGCACACACCCGTAGTCCCAGCTACTAGGAAGACTGAGGAAGAAAGATCGTGTGAGCCTAGGAGTTTGAGGCTGCAGTGAGCCATGATCATGGCGCTATATTCTAGCCTGTGCAACAGAGTGAGACCCTATCTTAAAAAAAAATTTAAAAACAAATGCATTTAGGTCGGGCGTGGTGACTCACACCTGTAATCCCAGCACTTTGGGAGGCTGAGGCAGGCAGATCACGAGGTCAGGAGTTTGAGACTAGCCTGACCAACATGGTGAAACCCCATCTTTACTAAAAATACAAAAATTAGCCAGGGGTGGTGGCGCACACCTGTAATCCCGGCTACTCGGGAGGCTAAGGCAGGAGAATTGCTTGAACCAGGGAGGCGAAGGTTGCAGTGAGCTGAGATTGCGCCACTGCACTCCAGCCTGGGTGACAGTGAGATTCTGTCTCAAAACAACAACAACAAAAAGCATTTATGTGTTTCCCAAAAGTTCGACTACTGATTTCTTGAAAGTTTAGAGGACTTATTTGTCACTGTATCTCCAGTGCTTAGCATCAGATCTGACATACAGAAGGGGCTCAATAAAAATTCGTTAAATGACAGAGTAAATGAAAGGTGTGATTAATACTTCCATCACAAAATAACACCTTATACATTTGTTTACACATATATTATGGACCATATTCCAGAGCTCTTTACTCTAAAATTAGAGTACTTGTTGTCTTGAAGTTCATCTTGTGAACGCATTTTTACCTTCAAGAATTGTTTACTTCAGTAAAAAAATAGTGAAAAATCAGTTTTAAAAAAAATTCTAAAGAAATTGCTCATAAAAATTTTACCTTCTTCAAATTACTTAAAGAAGAAAATGTTTACTATTTGCTAATAAACTGTAAAGAAACTTTTTTATGGAAATGGACTTTTAAATTCAGATTAAAATGAAAAGAATATGACTCCCTTGCAAAGTGGGAATAAGAGGTTTAACCAGTAGCTAATTATGATGATGTCAGCTCACATTTATTAAGAACTTATTGTATGACAGGTGCTGGTCTAAGTGCTATACAGTATTGAATCATTCAATTCTCAGTAGTAGGTACTATTTTTACCTCTATTTTGAAGATGCTGAAATGCAAAAACAGAGAGGTTAAATACCTTGCCCAAGTCATTTACTAGCTAGTGCAGAGATGGTGTTTGCCCTGTCCGGCTCTGGGGCCCTTACTCTTAACCACTCTGTTCAACAACCTCTCTGTAATAACCACAAATTACCTTTATATTTCTTTCCTTTTATTCAAATGAACTACTTCCCCTACTGTATCTTGCCACGAAATTTGGCAATATCATATTGTGTCTGCAATACATTTTTCATTGTAATTTACAAATATAGTCTAATTCTGGTGTCAGTGTGTGTCTCTATGCCTGTGTGTGCATGAATGAGTTTATGTAGAGTCATACATAGAGAAGATGGCTATTTTTGTGAATCCAAAAGTGGGACAGCTTAAGTAGGACTTAAAGGTAGATTTACACTTCCTTCTCTGTCTCTCCCTGGGGTATTAGTTTGTACTTAGGCTGAAGAGTTAACCAATAAATCGAGAAGCCTTTTAAAATATGCTGTTAAAATCACAATTTTATTTGCTCTATTCCCAGGTAAAAAGGAAAGAAAAAAAAATCTCAACATGCTGATATGTCTTACCAGGTGCATGGCAGAGCTCCGAGGCGGATGTGGCTCAATAAGCAACTGAGATGGCGTCTGTCCAAAGTTCTGTATCTGTGCCTCCATGGCCTGCAGGGGAAGGAGGGTGATTGTCATAATCAATATGCATCAAAGAGAGAGGCCAACACACTCTTTGACAACGCAAGTGTATCCCAAGTCAGCCATGAAAAAAAGTCCAGAAAATTCAACGGGTGCTCTTTTCTCAGGGTGCAGAATCATCCAAGTGTTAGTATTTTGTAGACAAGCTTTGCTTCTCCTTCCAAACATGCTTCAGTTAACCCAGTCACTATTCTTATTCCCAGAAGCTGGGGTTAAATGTGGAAAATCTAACCTGTGAATACATGCATGCAGCTAAAGACCAAAGAACACTTTCCACACTAAATACAGAACATATACCTTAATAAAGTCCTTTGTAAGAAGGAAAGTGTGGGGGTCTCTAATGAAATAAGCTTCTGGAATCTTAATGGGGAAAAAAAAGAATGAGACATGAAGTCTACCAATTATACAAAATAAAATTCAGAAAGTTATAGGTTCCAATTAATTCAGAGGGTGATCAGCAGAAAGAACACCAAGATTTTATAGAATTATTAAATATAACAAAACTTTTGTTACAAAAATATATTTTAGCTTTCTATGCTATTTTAAGATGAATTCTGGAATATTATTTTTAAGGTATAAATTCATTTTCTCAAAAATTTTCCCTGAAATTTTAGAGAGAACTCACCCAAAAAAGAAATAAATCTTCCTGTATCCTAAGCTATACAATATTTCATTAAAGCCTGTGTAGCTGGAAATGAGATTTTATAGCCTCCAAGGAATAGAAATAATTTTAGCCCTCAAACTGTCTGGACTGTACAATATACCTTTCTTGTGTGTGTCAAAGAGATCATCTTAAAAGAAACTTAAGTATTTCCTCGATACATAAATTCTATAGGCAAAATATTTCCATATATTAAGCTAGACTAACAAAAATCTTTTTCTGAAATATTATATGTAATTTATGTCAACAAGGAGAAGCATGATATTTACTATGATCATTACTCTGCTACCATGCTAATTTTTTCCCTAAATTGTGTGCAATTTGGTTGCACGTAAAAGTGAAATAGGAAAATCATAGCTAGGTGCTTGTAGAAGCACAGGTGAGTTGGTAGATGGCTCTTGACATAGCACCACCACTAATCTCATCGCTATCTACAATTCTAATTTATAAAGTACTTAAATTTAAAAATCTGTCCTCCTACACTGTATTTCAAGAAAATGTTTATCAATAAAAATGCGAACCTGCAAATTTATTAGCAATATTAAATATGAATGCATCATTATCTGCCATATTTTAGCCATCGCGTAAATGGGACTTTGGTTCTTTTATCTGCAGAGGCAATGGGATGAATTATTAAATCTCTTTAAGTGCTGTCCAATTTTTATGTATACATTTATTTGCATGGTGTCTACTCACAAGTGTGACTATTTAACTAAATTTTATTCACATATGATGCATTTACATCCTACTTTTGTCTCCCCAGTGCAAGATTTATGATTATAAAAGGGGGAAGAGACCATTTCTGGTTAGGTTCACATTTTTAATAACTAACTCTTGAGAATTATTTGCAAAGAAAAGTGGTAATTTTATTGTTAACGCTGCCCTGGTTAGCAAGTGCTTAATACCTAGCTTCATGTATCATGAACAGCTAAACGTCTCTCTAACAACAGATACTACTACTCCTGTTTTTACTTCCCCAGAAAAAGGACACAAGTGGGGGCGAGGAGCCGGGGGTAAAATTAAACATGTTTTAATCTCTAGATCAGTGTCTTGCACTTAGTAGGGAGCCTTTAAATGTTTATTGAAGGAATTAGTCAACAAACATGCTTTGCTTGACTCTAGTTTTGTTTCTTAAAGGAAAGTATTAACATTGTACTAGAAAATGTTATGAAATGGATAAAATTTCTAGAAATCTTCTGTGCAGTTCTCTTCAGTGAGTCCCAACTCTGACCATTTTGGACTAAGGCAGAATACATATGCATATATATTTAAAAGAGTTCCCCAATCAGGCATCAGGATAAAGACGAGATTGTGACTAACTTTATCCTTTCATTAAGACAGTCAGTTCTCGACACTGAACGTTTATTTCTTTTGAGACTATACTGACTCCCTCTTCCTTGTGATCTACTTTACATGCCTTCATGACCCAAAGGATCTCAGTCCAATATTTACCTTTTAGCTATCTGGTAGTCCTGCCTTCCAGTAATTCCTTACCCTCTGATTTAAAAATGTACAGATCTTTCTGATCTTGAAAAGCATGCTGTCTCCTTTAAGTTCTACTTCTTGTCATTACTAAAACGTTTGAGGGGAGAGTGAGCACCTACTATCTTTCTTCACCTGCTCCCCATGTAAGATTTTCTGTCCTTTCCCACTTTAAGGGGGTCATCAATGACTTTCTTGTCAAGTGTGCAGGTCCTGTGAATGGGAGGGTTGCCTGGTGACACGCAGAACTCATTCTGCAACCCATGAATTGTTACAATGAAGTAGTTGTTCTGAGAGCTACTCCCTGTGTAGGAGAAAATCCTCCCCGAATGCTAACCTTGGGCAAGGATCTAAATCCTTCACCTCCTTGGGCAAGGATCTAAATCCTTCTAAATCATAATGAATGCCCTGCATATTCTCACAGCACATTTTTCTCCTTTACTATAGATTTTAACACACAATTATTTATGTATGTCTGTTTGTTCAGACTGAATCTCTGCAGGTCAGGATGGTGACTTAGTCTTAACAGAGATTCTAAAAATATTTGGTGAATACAGAAGCAGGGCATTTGTATAAAACTGAAACCTGGTCTAGAAAAAGAAAAGCACTTCAGAATTTTTTACTTTTACAATTCAATACCACAAAAACAATTAACAGACATTTGTTGAATGCTTACTCTATGCCAAGGGATACAAAGTCAGATACCAGGCTGACCTCAGGAAGTTAGCAGCCCCCAAAATAAAGACGATGAGTGTGTCAGTGCACATGGTAGGGAGCAGGACACAGGGGAGACAAGCCCAGGCTGCCCTGGGAGCCCAGACGAGTGACAGAGGGGAAGGGGAATAGGTTCTTAGGAAAGAGACTTTTGGAAAAAGGACAGAGCTCAGGTTTGAAGATTAAGTAAGAATTAGCTTGTCCACAGCATGAAAAGGTTTTCTACCATATAGAAATTTTCCCTTAAAAATTTCCAAATATATCAAGTTAAAAAAAAAAAGAAACTACTGGAACTGTGAGATGAATTCCTTCTATATTATCCAGAAATGTCATTAAAAAAATTCTACATGTATCTATTTCTCTATACATTGGTCTGCAAGGGTCAGTGAGATTTAACGTTAACTTTATTTATTCACAAAACATGTATTTGTTGAGTACCTACTACATACTAGATTCCATTCTAGATATTAATGATACTGGTAAAATGAAACAGATAAAGATTCCTGCCCTCAAAGAGCTTACATTCAGCCCAAAGTCACACACTGGCATCCCATGGGCTAGATTCAGCTCACAGACATGGTTTCTATTTGAGCCAAAATTTACAGGTCAGTAAATGGCATACAAGAAATTGGATTTTTTGGCTTCTCTTAAAAACTTCGCAGATCAGGCAATACCACATCAGCATTCCTGCACAACTGCCCTTTTGTAACGCCCACCACTCACATGACCTGGGCACTGCCACTGGCTTGTGTCACTCATCTATTCCCTGTCTGGTTCTTATATGCTTTGGGGCTTGTGAATCCTTTTAAAATATAATAATGAAAACTTTAATTTGTATTACAAGATATCAGTTGCTTTGTGTATCTGTTGTACTTTCCAGTAAACCCAAAATGAGTTAACATTGAACACGTGAGCTCATGAGCATGTATAATGTATATGGAAAGAGACTAAAACTTTGGAAATGTCCATCAATCCAACTTCATTAAATCTATGTTATCCATTATTAGAAGCTCCATTATTTTATATACTATTAATAAGTAAAATATGCTATCAATTAAAATATGCTATGATTGATTGATTGTAAGACACATTATGATTTTGGAGTATTGAGATATGAAAATGGTGTGCATCTTAGAATCAATAAATCATAGTGACTTTTTACTTAAACAGTGGTATCATGAGTCTTACATATTTCATACAAAGCCAGCATAGGTAATAGGCTTAAACCACTAGATTTTTTAAAACAAATGTGGCTAACAAAACGTTTGATGTTTCACAAATACAAAAGACCATGCAGCCATTGGTAGACAACACTTTGGTAGAATAACATGAAAATATAGATTTGCTTGTACTTAAATAATATTCTTTCTTAATGTTATTAAGAAATCACTGATTTTGGTATCCTGAAGTTAAGCTTATTATGTGCATTCACTTTTATTTATTTATTCAAATTACTCATTTTTTAAGGTTTAAGATAAAAGTGTATAAGGTACACTAATCTTAAGTGTACAGCTTGATGAATGTATATATGTATGTATATACATTTTTTCAGTTCTTCTAACCACCATCTACATTAAGACAGAGGACTTTGGAATGGAACTAGAAGGTTCCATATCTTGGTCTGGGTGGTGGGTACATGAGAGAATACATAGATACTGGTAACCTTGTGTGCCTCCCCAGCCAATTATTCCCCCTATCTAGCCCCATCACCCTGTCAAGCTAATAATTATTCTGATGTTTATCATCAATTATTTTTTATTCTTGAATTTTTGATAAATTGAGTTATACACTACATATTTCCTGTTTCTGCCTTTTTTGATCAACTTTATGTCTGCAAGATTCAACCTTGTTGTATGTATCGGTAGTTTGTTCATTTTTCTTTTGCTGTATAGTATTCCCCTGTATTAACCTAACACAATTTATCAATTCTGTTGATGGATATTTGGGTTGTTAACAGTTTCAGGTTACTGTGAATAAAGTTGCTTAGAAGATTCTTGTACATGTCTTTTGATGGAGGTTAGCAGCCAGTTTTTGGAGGGTCTATACCTAGATATGGGATTGGTGAGTCATAGGGTAGGAGTAAGTTTAGTTTTACTGCCAAAGTGTTTCTCCAAAATGGTTTTGTGTATTTATTTTCTGTAAGTATTTGTGAACCCAAAATGTAATGGTCGAAGCTGTAAATAAAGTAATGATTTACATTATGTAATCTTTTAGGGTACTGATAACTTATTAATAAAACTTGTATATATCAAAACTCAATTGTCTCATAAAATAATTATAATAATTATTTCTTTACCTGGAATTGTTAAAGTAGAAATGAAAATTAAGTTAAAGAGTGTTAAATTTTAATTGTTATATGGATTCTTACTGATTATAAAATTGTTTGCTGAATATTTATTGAACTGACATCATGCACTTAGCATTTATTTTTCTCTCCAGCTAAGACTCACCGAGAAATAGGTAGGTTGAACACCTTGAGGAAGTTCTAAAACATGGAATTTTGTAGGTATAGGCAGAGAAGTAAAGATAAATGTGAAGTGAGTTATGCACAAATGAACAAAATAAGAAAATCTGAACAGCATAAATGATTTTCAGGTTACAAACACATATATGACACATAACTCAGTTTTACCTGCTTATCTGTATATAGAGCTCCCATTAAGGAAAAGTTTCGATTAGGGACACTTTCTCTTTTGTCCCCTCCCTACTTCCTGATTATCCCATTCCTTAGTCTGATGAGGCTCTCCTTTATACAATTCTGCAGGACCCACCTACTAAGTTACGAAATTATGACATCTTCATGGGAGTCCCCTTTTTCCTTACTTAACAAGTTCTCTTGAGTCTTTCTTCTTTCTCATAGGTCAGGGCCACCGTGCATGGGTATGCTGTTTATGCCCTGTACAAAGATGCCCAGTTGGAAGGCAAATAAGTAATAGAATCTACCTGGAGAGCCAGAGAAAGGAGTGCCTTTTGTAATTCATCCATTTAGAGAAGGTGTCCTCTAAAGTGTGCACAAAGGGGCATGTGTGTTAGCTATGATGTGACACATGCCTTCTTTCTTTGACCTCCGTATCTCTTAATTGTTTTCTTTCCTTTTTGGCTTTCCTTCCAAGGAAGTTCTACCTCCTCTATGAATAAAGATACATACCTGGAATTGAATCCTCAGAAAAGGAAATCGATAAATATAATGTGTGCTTATGTGTTGCACATTTGCTTATTCATATAAAAGACTTCCTACTAAGGTAAAATTAAATGTGGCAACCAAGTAAGCCAGAATTCAGAAGCCATACCTTCTCTGGTGTGTGGTAGGCAAAAACTTTCGTTAATCTTGTCTTTTCCACATTGCAGGTAGATTTAACCCATTTACATTTTTCTCCATAGAATGATTACAACTGCTTTTTTTTTTTTTTTTTTTGGTAAATGTAATTCAGTATTATCTTTCAGATGAAATGCCGTCAGGTCTACAGAGCCATGACAAACAGCATGAAGGAGCTAATAATACAGGCTCTCAAATGACCTATTCATCCATCTCCCTGGTCTGTATAAACTTTTAAATTGTTTTTCAGAAAAATCAGCATTTTATAAAGTACTATAGGTTATGGTACCCACAATGCAAAATATCAAACTACGTCCAAATACCAGTAAATTCACTAACAATTTTCAGAAAATTCAAGAAAAAAGTAGTAAAAGTGGTTGCTTGAGAAAACAGAAAAAGATTTTCAAAGTTTCCTTAGCATTTTGTTTATCTCACTGTATAGCTCTTACTTACAAGGCTTTTAATACTTAAAAGTGCTCTTTTTTAAACCAAAAAATACAAGCTTGACACAAAATAAAAAAATACATGTGATTGATATCATCTTTCTGTTCCACCTGCAATTCTACCAATGCCAAATAGGAAAAAAATAAACAAAAACAATGGAATTTTAAGTCTGAAATGATAAAAGGAAAGGTTACTTAATGGCAGACTACATTTTAACTGATAAGCTTTTGCTTCTGGTTTATTGTTGTAATAAAACAAGATCATATAAAGCATTACTTTTTAATGCTGGAAAAACAGGAGCAAAATAAATCAAGCAAATAATATCTGCACTTTGTTGTTTCTTGCTTTATAAATATTAAACTATATAAAAAATTAAAATGCTATTTTATATTCAACTGCTTCTAGTTTTTCATAGAAACCACAAAATAGGAGAATAAATATTTTTCCTTTTGTTTTAACCTTCAACTGCATTAAGGCTAAAATTATCCTGGCAAAATTATTAGAATATTTAAGCAAATATTTGGTAATCCGAGTAAAAAGGGACCACAATTGCCTTAATTAGTAGATGCACTTAGACAATATTTGAGAGAGAGATTCTGATTTGTCCAGTTACCTGCCTTAATTCTTGGTTTCTTTCTTTTAGCGTAAATCTAAGTAGAATTAAGATGTGACTTATCCTCTTGCTGATCCCTGTTTCCTCCTTGGCATGTTGAATTATAATGGTGATATTACATAACTGACTTAACAAATGAATGTGAAAAAGTAAGCATCATTTCCTCCGGAGAGAAAATGCTCCATCCAGAATATTTTCTGTCCAAATCAGATCAGTGCCATCAATGACAAGCTCACTCAATTTCTCCACTTAAAATAAGTATAAGTCAACTCAGGTAGGAAGAGTGAGTGCATTTTAATGTAGCTGATTGTGGCTGAGCAAGCCTGGAAGCCTTAAATAAGTCTTCTTGGCCTAGAGAAATGAACAACCCAGGGGGAACAGACCAGTGAGCTGGACACCTTCTTTGGCTCTGGAAGATGCGCCTCCATAGACCTGTGCTCCCTTGCTCTCTACCTTCCCAGTGGGTTCAGCCAATGACAGAGCTCAGGAGCAGAGACAGGATTATATGGCCCCTCTCTGCCAAGTCCCGTTTTGGCAGTGCCTGGCCAGTACTCCTCTACCTAAGGCCACAGCTCTTGTTGGGTGAGCACTTTTATTGCCAGATTCTGGGAATGGCTCCCTTTCCTTGTCGCTTTCCCTTGTTCATCCACTTTACCATGTCTATACCTTTGTAAATAGAACCATTATTAAACTCTCTTCATTATCCTTTAAAAAAAGTTAATTGTGGTAGAATATATATAACACAAAATTTACCATCTTAACCATTTTTAAGAGTACAGTTCAGTAGTGTTAAGTACATTCACACTATTGTGTAACCAATCTCCAGAACTCTTTTCATCTTCTAAAACTAAAACGCTATATTTATTAAACAAAAACTCGCCACTCCCTCTAGTCCCTGGGGGTCACTATTCCACTTTCTTTCTCTATGATTTTGACTCGTTAAGATACCTCATAGAAGTGGAATCATACAGGATTTGTCTTTTTGTGACTGGCTTGTTTCACTTAGTATTAATGTCCTTAAGGTTCATCCATGTTGTAGCATGTGTCAGAATTTCCTTCCTTTTTAAGGTTGACTAATAATGCATTACACACACATACACCACCCCACATTTTGTTTATCCATTCATCTATCCACGGACACTTGGGTTGCTTTCAACTTTTTTTTTTTTTCTTTTTTGAGATGGAGTCTTGCTCTGTAACCCAGGCTGGAGTGCAGTGGCGCAATCTCAGCTCACTGCAACCTCCGCCTCCCGGGTTCAAGTGATTCTCCTGCCTCAGCCTCCCGAGTAGCTGGGACTACAGGTGCCTGCCACCATGCCCGGCTAATTTTTGTATTTTTAGTAGAGACGGAGTTTCACCATATTGGCCAAGCTGGTTTCAAATCCCTGACCTTGTGATCCGCCTGCCTCAGCCTCCCAAAGTGCTGGGATTACAGGTGTGAGCCACTGCGCCTGGCCTCGACTTTTGACTATTGTGAAAAGTGCTCCTGTGGACATAGGTATACAAATGTCTCTTTGAAGCCCTTTCTCTCAATTCTTTTGGATATATATCCGGAAGTAGAATTTGCTGGGTCATAGGGAATTCTATTTTTAATTTTTGAACGATTGCCATATTGTTTTTCCTAGCAGCTACGCCAGTGGTAGCATTTTATATTCCTATCAATGGTGCACAAAGTTTCCAGTTTCTCTACATCCTCACTAACACTTGTTATTTTCTATTTTGATAGTAGCTAACCTAATGGGTGTGAGGTGGTATCTCACTGCAGCTTTGATTTGCATTTCCCTAAAGATGAATGATGCTGGCACATACTTGTTGGTCATGTGTATGTCTTCTTTGGAGTCTTCATTATCGCTTTGAAAGGTAATGTGCTGAGATCCTGACTGATACAAATAGGATTGTTATTCAGGCACAACAAATGAGAGAAATGCTGGTTACCTTTTGCTACATGTTGGGGTAGGAATGACCAAAAAAAGATTATATCCAAGCAAGGGGCATTTTCACTGAGGATTTTAAATATTTCAGAGATAAACATTGTAAGCAGATAGGAAAGGCTGTAGAGTCTCATTGCAATAAATATTTGTTGATACTCAGGAAGAGAACTGAAATACTCTTTTCTAGATGACTTAGGGATTCGCCTACCTGGAAGCGAAGATTTTAGCAGATGATCGCTTAAGGATTCTTCCAGGTTTCTGGTTCTTTGCCCACTTTGGGGTTAATCATTAAATGGTACCTAAGTAGAGGACTCAATCCACAAATCCTTTACCACAGGTGAGAACAATCAGTATGACATCCCTGCCAAATTTTCCCTGGTTGAATAAGTTTATATAAACTAAACTCTATGCTGGCTGATTCAGGAGGTGAAGGAGGAGGAAAACAAGTTGAGGGGGAGGTGGTGGTGTAGGAGCAGGAACGAGAGAGAAGTGGTGGCCTTTATAAGTTCACTAGAAGTGTTTAATCATGGGAAAATATTTTTTTAAAAAGCTGAAATAGATTTGTTTGGTATGTGGAATGACATTGAGACACAGGTTTACCAGGTGCTGGTATAAATATTCCAAATTGAAATCATATACTTTTAGTATACTAAAGTGAGAATAAAGTATTATTGGACGTATTCAGCAGAACAAAATATTCTTGATTTTGACATAAATGGGCAACAGTAATTTAGATATACTGTACTGAGACTTCAAATGGCTTTAAATAGGCTCATTATCAATATGTTTAAAATGTTTAAAAATGAGTTCTAAATATCTAACTGAAATGTCTAGGTACTTAGATTGAGTAATATCTATTTCAACAAATTGAAGTATGCAATATGTTTTGAATAATTGTTAATTTATGCTGAGGTAACAACTGTGTTATAGAAGTGAAATCTATGTTAATAGAAGATAAGGAAATCCCTTCC
This sequence comes from Homo sapiens, assembly GCF_000001405.40. Classification (NCBI taxonomy): domain Eukaryota; kingdom Metazoa; phylum Chordata; class Mammalia; order Primates; family Hominidae; genus Homo; species Homo sapiens. Next base: position 35,636,096 of record NC_000013.11, on the reverse strand, counting down.
AGCTATTTCTATTATAAACAGCAGGCTGCAATTTTCACCCTTCTTCCCTTGAGTAAAATATGGCTTTAGATGCTTGTGAAAGTACTTGCTGTTAATTTCTGAAAATCAATAATTAGCACTTCTCAACACCACACAATAAAAATAACACAAAGCGAAGAAAGAAGCACAAGTCACATAAATGACATACATCCAACTTTGACTAGCTGCATTATTTATGCTTTTCTAGTGGACGATTGATGACCATGGCCTAGTGAAGTACTGCAGTAATTATGAGCAGGTAAGATAGACCTAAATTAAAGATTTATTCACTAATCAAAATTAAATGTGTGTCATTAATTTCCTTGATACTAATTTCTATATTAAAACCTTATTCATCAAACCTTTGCAATGCAAGCCTTATGGCTCTCAATGAAAACCTTTGCAGTGAGAAACACATAACAAATATATTTGAACCTATATCCTTATTAGTTTTAGGAATCATGGTATTTTTCATGTTCCCAAAATGATCCTTTAGCTTTAAAGAACACCAAATACGTATTTTCACTCCACTAATTAAAATGTAGGGGTTTTCTTTCCATTTTAATTTGGCTTTTGAATCTGTTAAAATTTTCATCCCAGTAAAACATGCAGTAATTATAGGGGGAAATTAAGATGGTTTTAAGAAATCTTAATCACCCACTTTGTGATCATTTGTTGCAATCACTTCTCAGAATAACTGCCCAGGAGAAGAACCCTGGATATCCCCCATATGAAGACAATTAGGCATCATGGCAGTTGTAAATGGATAACCTTGTGCTACAACTCATTCACGCAGATCGGGCAGGTGGTGTTGATATTCCTTGTCATATCAAAGAGAATCAGAAATGGGGGGAGGAAAGGCTGAGGAATAAAGGATTCATAGAAAGAATAAAGAATAATAGAAAGAATTCAAGGAAGACAATGATTGTAGAGGTCCTCAATGTTGTCATTATGGGCCCTTAAATTACCCTTCATTTACATCATCAGGATGAAAAAGTGTGTTAATTTTTTGTCTTATAAATTTTATGAATTCATCTTCTCAGAAAAGCCAGCATTGCAGCTGTTTTGGTTAAAGACACATCTATCTTCTGGTTCTTGACAGCCCTATCATGTCAATTCTCTGTAGTAGCAAGGAATATTTCAGCAAGAAAATAAAGTAAAAACTGAAGTAATCTAGCCTACTTCCTATGGGCATATTTTCACCATAGCCGATCCAAAGGGAGGCAGTGTTATCCCTGTCAGATTGAGAAAAAGATAGAAAAAGAAACTATAAGCTAAGAAAGCCAAGAAATATTAACAGAAAATTAGACTAAAAATGCCACATTTTTATGACTGTTGGTAATATTAAAAACTACTTAATATTTTAATATTTCCAGCATAAATAAATGTGTATATCTATAAATAAATATTGCAATGGCTCACATGTTCTAATAGCTGCCAGCAAAACAGCCTTTTATGATAGACTTATGTGCATACCTCTCACCGTTAAAAAGAAGCCATTGAAATCATTTTCAGTCTGGCAACGTCAACTATAGAATGATGACAAGTATTATGACAAGTTCAGAACTTAGTATCTTGTTAATAACTTGTCTGGTATATGCTTACAGCTTCTGTTGAAATACTGACTCAATTTTTTTCTCTTGCTGAACCAGTACAACTTTAATGCCAGTAATAGTGTTGCTAATTCATTTGATAATATGAATACAAAACTAATGACACTAAAGTAAAACTTTTTTTTCAGATAGTCTCACTCTGTCGCCCAGGCTGGAGTGCAGTGGTATGATCTTGGCTCACTACAAGCTGCGCCTCCCGGGTTCACACCATTCTCCTGCCTCAGCCTCCCGAGTAGCTGGGACTACAGGTGCCCGCCACCACGCCCAGCTATTTTTTGTATTTTTAGTAGAGATGGGGTTTCACCGTGTTAGCCAGGATAGTCTCAATCTCCTGACCTCGTGATCTGCCTGCCTCGGCTTTCCAAAGTGCTGGGATTACAGGCATGAGCCACAGCGCCTGGCCTAATGTAAAACTTTTAAAAATATAAAGGATAATAAAGGATATAAATGCTAATACTAATTTAGATCAAGAAAGAATGTTACAGGCAATAAGTGGGCTGCAATTAGGCCATCTTTATAAAATTTTGGAGACAGTATTGAAAATAAATTTAAAAGCCACAACTGCTTCTTTTTACTAAATAATATTAAAAACAAATTAACTTATTTTCTCTGTTGCTAACAGATTTTTTAAAATTAAATTGATAGTTTTGGTGTCATATATAATGAAATTATTAAAACAAAAGTTCTTCTAAGATAACTTCATTTAATTATGCCTTTAGGTAATAATGCCTGTGTAGTGCTTTATAGTTTAAGTATTTTCACATATTTTTCTCCCATGAATTAGGTATCATCTCTGTCATCAATTTTTTAGGTGAGAAAATACAGGTACATAAAATTCAAGTGACTGACTTAATGTCACTCAAATACTAATGGTTGAGCTGTGATACAACTTATAATATCATTCCCATCTTTCTATCCATTTTTGTTGCCTATGGCATACAATATAATCATACTCTGAGGCAGACAGGTCTTGAACTCCTGACCTAGTGATCCACCCGCCTCGGTCTCCCAAAGTGTGGGGATTACAGGCGTGAGCTATCACGCCCAGCTGAAAAAATTATTTAGGCCGGGCGCGGTGGCTCACGCCTGTAATCCCAGCACTTTGGAAGGCCGAGGTGGGCGGATCACAAGATCAGGAAATTGAGACCATCCTGGCTAACATGGTGAAACCCCATCTCTACTAAAAATACAAAAAATTAGCCGGGCGTGGCAGCAGGCGCCTGTAGTCCCAGCTACTTGGGAGGCTGAGGCAGGAGAATGGCGTGAACCCGGGAGGCAGAGCTTGCAGTGAGCCCAGATTGCGCCACTGCACTTCAGCCTGGGCGACAGAGCGAGACTCTGTCTCAAAACAAACAAACAAAAAATTATTTAATGAGAGTGTTAGCTAGATTAATGGTTTTTAATTGGGAATGTGTGTGAAATTCCCAGATAATTTTTTTTTTTTTTTTTCAAAATAAGACTTGCTTCATTGAAGCCTTTCCCTGGATATTCTGAGATGCCCATGTGATGGGGAGGATAGAGTGGATGGGGAGTTAGATGGGTATGACATGTGTATTAAAAATAGTACAGGGGGGCCGTGCACAGTGGCTCATGCCTGTAATCCCAGCACTTTTGTAGGCTGAGGCAGGCAGATCACCTGAGGTCAGGAGTTCAAGACCATCCTGGCCAACATGGTGAAACCCTGTCTCTACTAAAAATACAAAAATTAGCCAGGTGCGGTTGTGGGTGTCTATAATCTCAGTTACTTGGGAGGCTGAGGTGGGAGAATTGCTTGAACCTGGGAGGTGGGGTGCAGTAAGCCGCTGCACTTCAGCCTTGGTGACAGAGTGAGACTGTCTCTGAAAGAAAGAAAAAAAATACAAGGGGAGGGGTGAGGTTTTGATGAAATGGTTTTAAATTTTTGAAATTGGGTGATAGGTACATGGAGGTTCATTATACCATTCTCTGTACTTTTGTAGGGGAAAAAAAAAAAGCTTTCCAAATGATTCTAACACACCTTTAGTAGAGCAGTGCTTCTTAAAAGTTAATGTCTCAAACAAGTTGCCTAGGGATCTCATTACATGTATTTAGTAGGTTGGGGAAGGCTGAGAGGCTGAAGTTCTAGCAAGTTCCCAGGTGATGCTGATTCTGCTGGGTTATGGGCCACATTTGAGCATCAAGGTGTTAGAAAACCATGGGACTAAATGATTACCAACCAGAATATTCTCTTTCCTAAGCAGGTCATAGGATGAAGTTTCTTGGTCATCATTTAGTAAGTAAAAATATAAATCAGATCATATACTTTTTATTAATATATAAAAACCGATAAGAAAAAATATTCTTTATAATGCTTGAAAAACTGCTCAAATAGTACAGCTCATCTATGAAAAAAAGTGCATAGAAGATTACGATGTAAGCCAAGACTTTAGACAATTTAAATAATATCTACTATCCAACAGATCTAGTGTTTACATATTAAGAAGAGCTTTGTACCAGAACTGTACTGTCATGTTTCTGCCCAGAGGCTGTCATGATAAAGTTTATTATCAATTACTGCTTTACAAGTATAAAATAAGTTAAGCTGTCATAATTTTCTCAGCCAGAGTTCCTAAACTGTCAAAGAATGTCAATTTTCAATCTGACATAGAGAAGAAAATTATCTGTTATTCTGACCTCTAATTTCTTGACATTTTAATGCCATAATTGCTGTGGTTAGTGCTGCTTCATGATTTCACCTGTCAAGAAAGAATGAATCAATAACCTTAAGCCATTTCTCAAACTTTAGCACTAACTTCAAAACTCAAAGTTATAGGCAAGTAGTAGAATTTTTTTTTTTTTTTTTTTTTTTACAAAGGAGACATATATAGATATTCATATATTAAATATTTCTCTTTTTAAATTAGTGTTTAATTTAAGCATGAAAAAATCCATCTTAGGCTAGATGGAGTTTAGTGTAGCCATAATTAGCCTTCCTTTGGTTTTATCTATATGAAATGTACAATCTTTGTATTTTAAAAATACTAAGATAAACATTATCAAATAAAATAAATGTATTGAGCTCAATAAAAGGGTTAATATCTTAAACTCTGCTTTTTCCAAGAGTCTGTGTCCAACCACTTAGGTGGGAATCAACTCTCTCAAGTCGCAACACAGCAGTACAAGACCTCCAGGAACTCAACAAGAATGTTTTAAAAAAAGGTATTGTGCCTCCCACATGGTCTACTCATAGGGGTTGTATATAGGTAAGGGTGCATAAATGACCACTAAATAATGAATATGCTGTACTTCACTCCATTTTATCTGGGTTCTTTCTTATAACAATAGATGTATTTACAGAGAGAGCAACTGAGGTAAAGTGAGATTGAATGACTCGGCCTCACTTACCCAGCTCACAGGATTCAGGTGGGCTCTCGTCCTTTGGAGGACACTATTCCTCACATTCTTAAATGTTAGTGCAGAACTGTCTTTGTGGGAATCTGTTAGCTTCTACTTGGCTAACTGGCATTAACAGCAATGGGAATATGTTAGAGGGGGGAATGGTGGGAAGTGGGAAAGGGGAAATTAACTAGCATTCCTTGAAATCATTTAATCTGTTATGTCTACACTGTACTAAATGGCCCCCTAGTGGTCACAAGGAGATAGAGGCTCTTCCTAAGCAATCTTGAGTCCACACAGGTCCACAGGGTCATGGTAAACCTCTCTGCTGATGTGTGCTCAGGCCTCTGGGGGCTGGGGGAAGGGAAGTAAGAGTATTCCAGGTATGCGCTCCTTCACATGTATCGTGTTCTAAGAACTGACACAGAATTATAGGGTTGAGGAAGTGGGCAAGGGGTCTGGGGAGAAAGAACATAACATTTCACAGTATGACTCTGGGTCTCTCTAATGAAACCTGAGTGTCTGGCAATTATGTGCTTCGAATGAGCATGCTGAAAGGAGACAGAGTCCTGAGCTGAGGCACCCTAGTAGCAGAGAGTCTGCATCACTAGAAGGTCATGAAGCTGTAATACAAGATATTGTTCAGACCATCTATATAATATGCCAACATATGCTTGAATCATTCCCATTCAACAGAAGACAATTTTTAATTTTTAATTTTTACATTTTAAATTTTACATTTCTATGTAATGTTTCATTAAGAAGTTCTACATTAACAAAGCCTTATACACAATTCTTTCACTGTCCAAAGCAATGATGTTATTTTGTAGAAACAGGTATTTTGATAAGATTCAAATAATGAACACTGTATCCATGTAAAGAAAATTTCCATTTTAATTTCATTTTCAAATTCTTTCAGTTATCTCTTTTTAAACCCTCATTTAAATTGGACAAACCTGCTATTTTTCTGTCAATTTTAATGCTGCCTTGCACTTTCATCACATATAAGATGCTTAATGTATTTTATTTTGTATTTAATTTATTTAATTTATTTTATTTTGTGTTTAATGTATTTAATTTGTTTTGCCCAACAGGATTAACTTGCAACTTTCTTTATAAGAACAGGACTTTATTATAATGGGTAAAAATGTATAACAAAATATCCAAAAGCAAAAATGCCTATGACATTTAGAAGTCAAAAGACAATTCAGTTGATCTTAGAATATAAGGATGAACTATTACAACTGTTTTCTTTTTTTCTGATTCTAAAAGGTATTAGCCTTAAAAGAATAGTTTATAAAGTATTTAATAAAACAGGCATGTAATAAGCAAGGGTGTACAGTTGAGACTAATTAAGCTCAGAATTATCTCCTACCAAATAATCTGATTACAATTTATACACAACTGGGGATACTCAGTTGGGTGAGTGTAATGATTTGTAGAGAAAATTCCTTATTTCACCAGCCATTTCATAACACCTGCCTTCTCTCTCATTCATTCATTCTGTCTCTATGTTTTTCTCTTGGCTTCAGGCAATAATTTTATCTTGTGTGCACACAATATGGTACAATATTGCCCCTAATAATACGCTTGCAACGTGTTCTCAGAATATTTTGCCCTAAGGGTCCAAGGATCAATGATTATGAGGCTCTTCCCTTCCTTTTCCTCTTCTTTGCTTGAACCATACAAATGGAGTCATTTTAATTTTATAGAGGTATATAAGAAATAAACTTATGAATGCAAATTTTTCTGTAGAGCTTCATTGCGCCCATCTCCAAGTTTTCCACCTTTAAAATAAAAAATAAGAAAAGCATTCCACTGGCTGGAGATGCAGAAATGATTACTTGTTTTGCATACGACAGATGGCAGATATCTGGTAGAATGGAAGACTGGGATATCACTTCCTTGAAGCAACACTTATGTAGCAGCTGTTGCATCTTCACTCTTTCCACTTATCTGAAATCATTTTGTGCAATGTAGAAATGATTTAAGTAATATTTTATATGAATATTTTCACTAAAAATACTATATACATACTACAGCACATAATTCCCAACTGTTAGCTATAAACATTTCAGATTGAAAACACATAAGAATAAAATAGCATAACTGCATCTATTTCATTCATGCATGTTTTTGAGTATTCTGTCTAAAAGGTAGAAATATTCCTTTTATTTATATTTATTATTTTTTTGAGATAGGGTCTCGCTCTGTCACCCAGGCTGGAGTGCAGTGGTGCAATCTTGGCTCATGGCAACCTCTGCCTCCTGGGTTCAAGTGATCTTCTCACCTCAGCCCCCACAGTAGCTGGGACCACACAGCTGCGCCACCACACCCTGCTAATTTTTGTATTTTTTGTAGAGATGGGGTTTCAGCATATTGGCCAGGCTGGTCTCGAACTCCTGGGCTCAAGCCATTCACTCACCTTGGCCTCCCAAAGTGCTGGAATTACAGGCAAGAGCCACTGAACCTGTAATCCTAGCACTTGTGCTGTTATTTTTAAGAATAGCCACAGTGGCAGATTATGTTAATGTGGAATATTCCTATTTAAATATTCAGCTAGGTTTCACTTATTACTAAAATACGTAAAGCATTACATATTTTAATGTAAATTTTGAAGTAAGAAAAACAAATATACAGATATAGAAGTATATTTAAAGTGTCTGAAATTTAAAAAGGAACCACATACTGGTTGCATTACTTGTTTTGGGACTTTTCAATTTTTCCACATATGTCAAGAACCTGAAATCTGTTTTGTAAGAAGTTATGTTGAAAACAAAATTATACAGAAAGAGATGAAATGTCAAATTTGTGTTTGAGAGATGACAGAAATTTTTGGAATAATATGGGATTTAACACCTACCTCCCTGAGCACAGGATCAGTGATACTATCCAGGTTCACAGAGCCTTCATAAGTCAAGTAGTGAAAAACATTCAGAGCACGAACTGCTTCTGGTCCTCGCTGCTTATAGCCAAATATAAGGTCGATCCACTGATGAAGTTGGCAAGAAACAAATTCACTTTCTAGGGCCTGAAATGAGTCAAGAAAGAAATGAGAGACCATCAAAACTTAGTACACCTTCATATCCTTTTATTTTTTTTTTACTTTGAAATATATATAAAAAGGAGAATATGCTCTTTAAATTTCTGTACTTGATTTATATGTATCAGATCTTCAGTTCCTAGAAATGGAAAAATACTACCTCAGTAGTATTTTACAGACACCTAAATGAAAGTACAGAGACCTAAATGAAAATTTTCCCTTTCTAAAATGCTAAACTTTCTCTTGGCTCCATTAGGTACATAATATGATTTAACATAAATAAATTTCTTATTAAAACACACTCATGTTTAAAAGAAAAATAATTTAAATTACCTTTTTTAATACCATGTTACAGTTTCATTTCTCATTTTTAAATATTAGTTTGAAATTAAGCAATTTTATGAGAAACTCTGATATACATTTATTTTCCTGCCTGAAGTCCTCCAGCTTACCTCTGAGATGACTAGAAGGGAATATCTTTCTTCCACTATGAATTAACTCAGCTATTACACAGTTTGGGAATCACTGGGCAATTTTGGATGTTTGCTAGCTAATGGGAAAGAAATATAAATTACTGAGAGTCAAGGCCCATACTAAGTTTCCATAAACAGAAAAAAGAAAAAAAAAAGGCCTTTTTATTTCCTAAGAAGCCATCAGAAGCTTCCTAGAGGTGTCTTGACAGGTAGGTAGGGAGTCTTGCTCAGGTCCGTGAAATAAGTAGTGATGGTGCATGGCTCACTACGCCTCTCACTTACTGCAGTCATTTATCATCAACTTCCTAGTGATTTAAAGAGGACACTGATTTCAACAACATGGAAAAGAGCTGTACATCTAGCTTTGTAAATTTCAGCTATTGCAGAGCCATGTAAGACAATTTTCTAAATTACGGCGGTCACTAAATATGTGAACAAAGTCATTCTCTGTGATTTCCATGGTGTTGAAACCAATTTGGAATTCACTTAATGAATAAATGATTTCTTGAATTAAGATTGCCAAAAACTGCTTTTCATTTTTTAAGTATATAAAATATTATAAATAATACTTTTCAACTTTTCCTGTGATCACATTTAACTAGTAATTTATTCCCTTCAATCCCTTTCCTGATTTATTCCTTTCAAAATTTTTTGTATTTCATCTACACCAATTAGTGTGGATGTTTCTCATTCAGCAATGTAAACAATGACATTTTATGAAAGAACAGTTTCCATACTAAAGGCAAACAGAATTTCTATATTGTCTATCTCATCGATCTTGAAATAACAGTTCAGAGTAGAACACAGGAAATGAGTCTGAAAGAAGAGATGGTTAAAATTCTGTATTATGTCTATATTAGTTTGGTCAATTTGTATAAATGATTTTGTCAATTCTCTATAACTATTCAATTAAGAAAAAATGTCAGTCTAATTATTTAGTAATATTTTCAGTGTCTGATGCAATAAATGAAGGGATTTAAAAAATGAGTAAATAGAGGTTCATTATTGAGTAACTACTGCTCAAGTCTATTCACAGGAATTCAATTTAGTTATGGAATCAGATAAATAATTTAAAGGAAGATTTTACCAACATGATCAGCTAAGCGCATTCATTACAAATATATCTTATAGATACCACTAAAGAAAGGTTTGATGAAATTTACTATTATCTCTATTAGAGTAAAACCATTATTGAATAAAATACCTAATGGAATCATGAGTGGTAGTGGGAATGATGACTTTTCAATAATTTGAGCTTTTAAAATGTGTTTTTTCTCTTTTATCTCCATCTCCTATTTTCATTTCCTTCCACCACCATGGGCAATAACTATAATGTATTTAATGTTTCTCCTTTTGTTTGCATGTGCCCTTATAAAATATTACTCATTCTTTTGTGGATATACTTTTGAACTATAAAAATATATAGGGTTAAAAATTTCATTTTGTTCCTTACTTTTCTCACTTAGTATTATTTTAAAAATCTACCTGTGTCACTGTGTGACTAGCCCATTGCTTCTCATGGCTGCACAAAACTCCCCTGGTAACAAACACCAGGCTACCTCTAATCCCCATGACACAAGCCTGTGATAAATGCCCCTTTTGGATCTTTCTGAGAATTTCTTTGGGATTTATAATCTGGAGTAGAACTGGGAGTGCATACTTAATGTGAGTCATCCGTGCCCACTCTCTAGCAATGCATGACAGTTTCTATACGTCCTTATCTCCATCAACTGTTAGTATTATCCAGGTTTCTAATTTTGGCCAGTATAAGAGATACAAAATAATATCTCATTGTTTTAATTTGTATTCCTCAAATTACTAACAGATTTGACATCTTTTTAATATGCTTGTTGGTCTTTTGGGTTTCCTCTTCTGTAAATTTCCTGTTCATATCCCTTACCCATTTAAACACTGGAGGTTCTTGTCTTTATATTGTTGATTTATATATTTAATTTTATTATTATTATTTTTTAGACAGGATCTCACTCTATGGCCCAGGGTGGAGTGCAGTGTTGCGATCTCAGCTCACTACAACCTCCGTCTCCTGGGCTCCAGTGATCCTTCCATCTCAGCCTCCCGAGTAGCTGGGTGGGACTACAGACATGCGCCACCGTGCCTGGCTAATTTTTGTATTTTTGTATTGCAGGGACAGGGTTTCGCCATGTTGCCCAGGCTGGTCTCAAACTCCTGAGCTCACGTGATCCGCCTGCCTCGGCCTCCCAAAGTGCTGGAATTACAAATGTGAGCAACTGCACCTGGCCTGATTTATATATTTTAGATAAGAGTTCCTTGTTGGTTTGAAACACTGCAAATGCATTCTCCCAAATGTCATATATCTATTAACTTTATCCATGTTCTTTGTTGGATATATTTTCTTAATTTTGAGATCATCAAATCATGTTTTAAAAATGTTTATGCTTTGAGGTTTTGTCTTGAATTATAGAGATAAATATATTTGTATCATTTAGCTTTATATTTATGGTTTTACTTTTCATATTTTGATCTTTAATTAATCTACATCTACTTTCATTCATATATGATATTAGATATGGGTCCAGTCTTATTTTTGTTTATAAAGTGAGTGAGTTTTTCCAATACCATCTATTAAACAAAAATTCCTTTTCTCAGAGATGTATGGTATTATCTTTACTGTGTAAATATATATTTGAAACGAAGACATAAAGCTGCCGTTATTTACAGATAATATCATAATCTACATAGAAGCCCAGTCTCCTTCCTCCTTTTCTTTTGCTCTCTCTCCTATGTATTTATCATGTCTAGATATGTGTGTGCCCAGCTTTCTATATTTTTCATTTCTATTATTATCTTAATTTATTTTATCTTTATATTCTTTTGCTCTCTCTTCTATGTACCTATCATGTCAACGTATGTGTGTCCAGCTTTCTATATTTTTCATTTCTATTATTACCTTATCTTAATTATCTTATTTCTTACATATCTCAATATGTGCTAGAATTTATTCTTTTTTTCAGGATAAACTAGGCTATTCAGGAACATTTATTCTTCTTTGTAACTTTTACATTAAGTGCATAGATATATCAAAAGAATTTGATTGGAATGCCAATCAATTTATACATTAATTTGTGAACACTGACACTAGGTTTTACTATCCAAGGTCCCCAAATATCTTGATTTATACAGATCATTTTCTATGTCCTTTATTAGAGTTAAAAAATAAAATTTTCTCCATAAAAGTTTTATCTTAGTGTTCTTGGTTAAGTTTATTCCCAGATACTTCATAAATTTTGATGCAACTGTAATACTTTGAAACTATATTTTATACTTGGTTATTAATGATGTAGAACAATGATACTGATTTCTAGAAGTTGATTGTGTTTGTAGCCACTCTTAGTAGTTACACCTACAACTTTTTGTTTTCTTATAGAATTGTTCTTAGCCTTAAGAACTATGTAAAACAGCAGTGGTGATGTGGAAAATCCCTATCTTTTTCCTGATCTTAAGGGTTAAACTCTACTTAGTCCTGATGCAATTCTCACACACACACACACACACACACACCCACACACACACAGGCATATACACACACATTTAATAACATTGATAAGAATTCATTTAGAATTTTTATATTTATAGCCGTACATGAAATAAGCCTTATTTCTTTTTCCTCCCCTTCACTGTTTTTGGAATTCTAGCCTCATAAAATTAGCTGGATAGCTTTCCATGTTTCCTGGAACAATTTGTATAAGAAAATGAATTCATTATCTGTTGAAAATTTGGTAGAATTTACGTGTAATGTAATATGGGCCTTGAATTTTGAGGAGGGGATGGGAAGATTTTACCATTTAAATTTCCATAAGCCTTGTAAGTCTCAATTTTGACATTTTAAATATTTTTCTCAGTATTCATCCATTTCATCTCAGTTTTAAGATTTATTAGCTCATAGATGCTCATAATAGTCTTTAATTAAATTAAAAAATATTTATGTCTATAGTTATTTACCCTATTCTATATCTTAGAGAGGCAGCATAGTGAATCAATAAATAATTAATTATAGTTAAATAATTTTGTCTTTTTTATTATAAAATTAAATGGCAAAGGAACAATGAGGTAAGAGGTTAAACAAAGTCTTGTCGATTTTTTATCTTGCCACTTACTGTGCAGAAAGAAAAGAAGATACAGTTTACACATTTAAAAGCTAAATCTAGTTCAAAATTAAATGAATATCTAAGAATGGAACATTAGCTATCAATAATTAAAATATAACAACTTGTCTAAAGCTGAAGCCTGACATTAAGACTCTTTACTATAAACAGTATTGACCGGTCATTGGTATCTGTTTATTTTGTTCTTTTCAGAACCATTTTTATATACAAACCTATTTGGCACTTTGAAACGGGATTTTTAGTACAATACTTACATTGGAAAAATGTAAAGAAATACTTGATTACTAAGCTATTAGTGTCATAATGGTCTTAATAGCTTTCTTTACCCTCTACTTGCATATCTAAAGGCAGAAGCAATTGCGTTAAGCCTAGATAAACCAATTCCCAATCCAGAGCTCTACCCTGGGGATCTGGAAAGAAGGAAATAAAGAGTGATATTTAAACTAGAGAGGATATCTCTTAGATGGATAATATTTCCCTCATTCTAATTTCTATTTTCTCCCATGAGTATTGGATGGTACAGAATTCTTTCTCTAGCAGGTTTGGGGTAAAGCTTCTCCGAAATTTATGAAAAAAAAGAAAGTAGACTACCAAATTTAACTGTGAGGAGACAATATTTCTCCTGAATTTTAAAATTTAAGAATATTAAATACCCATGTCTTCTTCTAGATCAGAGCAAAAATATTTCCCATCCCTTTTTCTCATTACGTCAAAAATCTGCTTTTGAGATTAAAAAATTCTCTAAATAGAGTTGCATATATTCAAGTAGATAATCAGAAAGCCATATTGTCACTTCTGTAGTGTCTATGCCATCTTCTTTTCATAATTTGACTGAAGTTGTAGCTATTACAACTTCAATAATTCAACTGTTTTAAGTAGAGACAATATAGTTGTCTTTGATGTTTATTTTAAGGGGCTTAAATTATTCCAGTACTTGACTGTTTCTGGATGTATAAGACAGAAGATTATTTCTAACCCTCACAGCTCTCCACATGGGTTACTACAACATACTTCAAACTTCTTCTGAATCCAGTCTGTCTGGTGTCCTGCTTGTGGGACAGACTTGTCAAGCCATCATGTCCACATTGCCATTCTCTTTTTCAAAGCTGCCACTGCTCCTCCCAGCATAACCTATGTGACTCAGGCCTTTCAAACCTCCATCCCACCTTTCCCCACTGTTTCTCAGGACTTCCTGATATAAATCCTTAGCTTCCCCAGCACAGACACTTCACAGCCCTTGGGCACACAGCAGCTGGTATGACCTCAGAGCTTTTGCTTTCTTTCTCTCTAGCTTGAAAGCATTGTCTTCCTGCTTTTTGAAGACCTACTCATCCTTCTTACTCAAGTTCAGTGTTTGCTTCCTGTGTTCTCAGCTCTCACTTGTTTTTTTCTATGAATTTCTACCCAACACTTTTCATCAGTATCCTCTTGTTACTTAATAGAGTAAGATAACACATGCAAATTTACTTGTGAAATCATTTTACAACAAACTGTGAGGTACTGTACAAATGAATGGGATGATTGCCAATTAGCACTTCATTGTTTCCAAAGTTAATACTATATCCTCAATTAGAATGTAAGCCTTTTGAAGATAGGGACTTTATCTAATTCTTATCTTGCATTTCCCACAACTCTTAACCTATCATTGGATAATAACTGTTTAATAAATATTTATAGGTTTATTAATTAAAGCAGTGGAAAAGATGTGATGATCACAAGAGGAAGGAATAAAGGAAATGTCAGTAATGAGGGCGGGGCTGGGGAAGAAGCTCATTCATTCACTCAGCAAATATTGATTGGCCATCTGCTTTGTGACAGACCCTCTTCTAGATTGTAAGATTATAGCAGTGAACAAAAAAACCCAAAGTCCCTGCAAGAGAGTTTACATTGTACTGGGAGGAGACCAACAAAAACTAACATAATTAGTAAGATACAGGGTGTGTCAGCAGGTGACAAGTGCGAAGGAAACAGAAAAGCAGGATGGGGAGTAGGGTGTATGTGTAGTGGGGGAGGATTGCTAGTTTAGGGGAGGAGGTCAGGGAAGGCTTCTCTGAGTTTGTGACAATTAAGGACCCCAGTGAAGAAATGAACTATAAAGACATCTGGGAGAAGGGCATTTCAAACAGAGGGAGCATTCATTCATTCAACATGGAGCACCTGTTATGTGCCAGGCAGTGTTCTAGGCCCTGGGATGCTGTGACAAACAAGACAAAACCTCTGATCTTTGGGAGCAGATCCCACTGAAATGCAAATAAACAAGGTGAATATAGTCTAATATCTCTCCTGCCCCAGATTACTGACCACCAACCATATGTCAGACATTAGCCTTAGAGGACACATAGATGAATAAGCATTCGATGTCCTGAAAAAGATTACAGTCTAGCGGAGGATAAACATGTTGACTCTGGCTTTTTCCGCTGCTTAGAATTTCTGCTAAAGGGCCAAGTTGACAACAGGCACTAAACACCCACGCTTTCATTTTAGCTGAACTCTCTAAAATGTTCTGCTAAGATGGATTTATCTATCTCTGCTGCTGTAGCCATCACTACTCCGCATGCTCATCCCCAGCCCTTCACCTGCCTCTGTAAGACTAGAGATACCTGAGGGAAAATGGCCACTGGTAGGAAGTCCCAGGGAGACTATAGGCTCAAATTTTAAAATACACCCAGAATCAATAATTTCTTACTACTTTTACTGCTACCCCTGGTCCAAGCCACCATCATCTCTCAAATTACCTTCTAGCAGATCTCCCTGATTCTACCCTTGCAGAATCATTCATTCCCAACACTGCAGCCAGAGTGATCCCTTCAAAACATAAGGAAGATCAGTCACACTTCCACTCAAAAGATTGCAAGGACTTTACATTTTACTCAGGGTAAAAAGGCAAAGTACTTATGATGGCCTTCAAGACCCTGTGTGATGCTCCCCCACTACTACTCAGTCCTCTTGTCCTACTGTGTGCCCACTTGCCCACCCTTTCCTGGCCCACTGGCCTCCTTGCCAACCACATCCCTGCCATAAGGCCTTTGCTCTAATGTTCCCTTTGCCCACCATGCTCTTTCCCCAAGAGAGTCACTTGGCTCCCTCCCTCTGCTCCTCCAGGCCTACCTCTAATCTCCCTTCATAGGGAGGCTGTCCTGACCTCTCTCCCCTGCAGGTACTCACAGTCTCCTTTTCTTGCAGTGGTATTTTCTACCACCGGTCACCTTCTAAGATACTAGATATTTCACTTTTAAAAAATTGTCTATCGCCTGTCTCCCTTTGATCAAAAGTGAGCTCCAGGACGGCAGGGATCCTTGCAAACACATAAAACATCACCCGGAACACTCAACAGGTATCTGTTGAATAAACACTATCAGTGTTTACTGGGACTGTTTGTTTATTTGTCTGTGTCCCTAACTAGAGTGCACCTTCTGAAGCCACTCACTGAGTTGCTCATCCTTGTGTTCCCAGAGCCCAGAGCAGGATGAAGTGCATGATAGCCCCTTCATAATTACGGAATGAACGAAGGAATTTCTCTACTCTAACTTCACTTAGAGTAGGATCCATGGCCATTCTTTGTATTTTCCATAATGCTTTGCTCATAACTAGCTCTCAGTAAAGACTTATGGAATGAACAAGTCCTCAATTTGAGAAATAAGGAGGACACTGCAGTTCCAAGAGATAGGGTGTCTTACTTCCAAGTGTCATGGTGTGCGGTAAGCTGCACCTGACAGTGATGACTTGAACAAACCTTGAGAAAGACCCTGTATGGCAGACACACCTGAATGCAGTTGAGAGTCTCAAGCTAGGGAATTGGGGTGGCCAACCTGGAGATCCATTCCTTATCTGTGAAGAATATCTGAGCCCCCTCTGGCCCATCTCTTGGAACTCAGGCCATAATGGGAATCAAGGCCCTTTGTTTTGGGTTAAATGAAGGTTGCCAGATACAGGATGTTGTGGTTGGGTGGGGGAGTGTTAAATAAAAATGTGATATAAACAGCAGGTTTTTTGCAAGCGGTTGCAGTTCTGCTGTCCAGTCTGCTGCCACTGAGCCATATGGGTCTCCTGTCCAGCCTGCTACCACTGGACTTTCCCCGATAGGTAAGTCCCCAGTAAAACTCTATGTCATGCTCACTGGCTCTGGGTCTCTTCTTTGGCCTCTAGAACCTGGTGCCATCCCTGTTGAAGTTAATAGGGGTTCAGCACAACACATGGCTAACAGGTGTTCCAGAGATGGCACTCAAACACAAGATGTCTATCTTGATATTTTGAATTCCTACATAAGACTTCCAAAAATTCTTATGTTATTTGCTTAAAATTCTTTTTTAAGCTGGGGTTTTTAAAAGTAGATTATACCCCAAATGCAAATTTTTACATTTGCATTTGGGGTATAATCTACTTAAAAAAAAAACCCAGCTTAAAAAGGAAACATTTTCTTTGAAATACGGACATTCTGTAAAGGTTATAATACAATATGAGCAGAGCCACACTGGAGCTTGGCTTCCCCTGCCTCAGTTGCTGTGCATGCTCTGCTGACTGCAGACAGCCTGTACTTGGCCCAGCAGCACCAGGAATCTGCTGGGCTGAGGGCGAGATGAGATTATCAATGCACATCCGTGAAAGGGCCTTTTTCTAAAACAAATTTTTAAAAGGGTAGATTATGATGGATGAACCCAGCATTAGGGTAATGTTATCAGATACTTTCTATTTCTGTCCTTTGTCAGAAGGTCAGATTATAATCAGGTTAGAACTAAACACAATGCTTTATTAATGTTTCATGAGTAAGTCAGTCTAATAAGCCTAGCTTCATGTGGATAAATTAAACCAATTCTTGACGTATAAACTTAATGACCTTAGAATGCATTGAAATGTCTACTAAATGTGTCTGTATCGCTTTTCCAGGTTTTCTAGTGAGAGTAAACTTTGTATTTCACAGCGAAACATAACTCTTGGCACTGTATTTACAAAACAAACAATTCTAACCAATTACATACATGTTATTGTCCATAACTTAAACAACAAAGTACTGCTTCATTTTTTAAAAAAATAAAAAATGAAATTAGGTTGTAGACATGTAAAGTCTGCTACAAATGCATCAAATACCTGCTGTTCAATTGCTGGCATGCAGTAATAAAGCTGGGCATTTAATCATCAATGATATCACTTTTTATAATATTTTGTCATCTTTGCCTTGAATTTCTTAATGACAGTTTGAAAGAAGGAGGGAATACTCATAGGTACAGAATACTAATCCATACAAAGAAATGGAGGTTTTTTACCACTGTGAATGTCATCTCTTTGGAATATATGACATTTTCATTTTATACTTTAGGCTCATTACAAAGAACTCTTTCAAATAACTGAAGATAATCCTAGTCAAAATTATAAATATACTAGAGCACATTTTCTCTAAAGCTATTTCATAAGAACTAAATCCTGTATGAATTACCCAGCCAATATAAAGTTAGAAACTTTTAAAGTTACAAAACAACATAAAAAATACAGCCTATATTCAAGGAATTTATGGAAAATTTAAATACTTGATATTTTATATGAGTGCCTAGACTTTGTATATTACATAAATACTCACCAAATAAACATTCCTTCAGCAAGTATGAACATATGTAGATAACTGGTTAAACTTTTTAGTTTTAACACAGATATCTGACATTATTTCTGCAAGAGATCAGTATGATCATTTCCTAGTAGTAGGATGAGAAAACCGACCAGGAGTTGGAGCAACAGAAACTATGAAAAAGGTGCTATGAAGGAAAACTTCAAGTTGAAGCAGCACAGGAGACACTGAGAGACGAGCAGCTGCAGAATCATGCAGCCACATTTCACGAGATGTCTTTGCGTAGCGTTGATGCTTAAGACAGTTCTCAGAGGCAGCAGTGTGGGCTTTTCCTTTAGCTCTAATTCTGAAGCAACTAAGAATGGCTGCTATAGCTGTTATGGATACAGCTTTTTGTTGACACACAAGGTAGCTTTCCCTTTCTATTCCGTAGGCTTCCTTCAAGGAAAACCCAGAAGCACAACACAGAAACAATAAGCACTTTTCAAGTGAGGCACTCCTACACGTGATCCATTTCACCCGGCACTGCTTCCAGGTGATGCAGAGAACACAGACTGGGGCAGTTTAATTATCCTGAATATGCAGAATTTTGTATAAAGCCTTTCGCTCCATGGAATAAAGTTTCAGTTCACAAGTCTTACCAGATCCATTAATTCCTATGATGAAATAACAGGAATTTGGTTTAGAACATAGGGAAACTGCAGTGCCTTGCTTCTCTCATTCCTTCATGAACACAAGTTGGAACTTACTACTTACAATTAAAATGGACTATTCATTTCTGAGAATGTTTTATATTTCCAGAGATGCACAATATGTATCCTTCATATATTAGTTGTAAAACTTAATTCTTCTGAATCTGCGAGAGTAAATATTTGAGGAACAGTGGCTTCACTGAATTACATATGAATCCTTACAGTTCCTAGTGCATTGCACACAGCTGGCTGGATTAATATGTATTTACAGGGATGCTACACCGTGAGGCTTATTTTAAAGAAGCACACTTTGAATAAAGTCTGCTTATCAGCACTTTAGATGTTAAAAAGACAAGTTATAACAGGTAAGAAGTATATATAAACAGAAGTCAGTTCTTAAACTGGTCATATTAGTATCAGGAGTAAATTATTTGTTATATTTAATTTATGTGCAATATAAGTACTCTGAGCAATTATAAATTTTAAAAATTGTTACTCAGAATTTGTATTCATGTGTTTTATTCTCTCTTACAGTAAGAGGGAAAACCTACTTCAGAGTTTAAATTGTCTTTATAGTATTATACAATTTTTCAGGCTATTCCTTTCAATGAATAATCTGTTAATTCTCTAAAACCCAAATGTCATGAAACCATCTGGTGAGAATCAGGTTTTTTAAAGAGACTTTTTAAAAGAAAACCTGTGTATTGATCACATGTGTACTGAGACAGACCAGAGTGTCACTGAGGAAAACTGAATTTTAAGTCTGGGTCACAATTAGGTGTTTGGAGGCCATCTAAGCACAGATACAGACAGTTTGCAAATAACAAACAGGATATTCCAAAGTTTCTTTATAATTTGGTGATTGGAATATATATTGCAGTAGAAACAGTATTATTCTACTATGGTTTTGTTCGCAGGTCAATCTATAAATTAAATTTAATTCAAAATACAGGTGGAATTTTACAGACTTTAAGACGGAACAAGGGGACACTACATTCAGAGTTCCAACTTGTGACACCAAGCATGGTTAGTTAGAAAAGCACTTGGGTTCAGAGTTTCCATGAACCACTTTGCCTTCCTAGGCCTCAGACTCCTCATTCAAATAAAGGTGTATTCCAGTTCTAAAATCCCATGACTACAAAGCTTAGAATGTAAATGAATATCATTTCTTCCATTTGTAGAATTGAAGGAGGACACACTTCCTCTCATACCAGATGGGCAGAGAGAGCTGGCACTTCCTCAGCTGTAAGTTCAGGGTTTCCTGGCAGTGAAAGGAAGCCTTACGGGTAAGGGTGGAGGGTAAAAGATATAGAAACAGGGACCATAGACAGTCAGGCCCTAAAAGCTGCTGGGGCTGGACCATGCTGAATTCTCATCTCTTCCCATCTTCTGCTCACCCTACGGAGCTGGCTTCGGATTTCCTTCTCTTCTCCTTTCTCCTCTCCTCCACGGCTCCTCTTGCCTGCCACCACCACTTACCTATCCTGGAGACTGTGAATAAGAACACTGACACCTTGATAAGGTGGTGGTATTTGGCATGTAAATTTACCTCAATGGGGCCGAGCATGGTGGCTCAGGCCTGTAATCCCAGCACTTTTGGAGGCTGAGGCAGGCGGATCACCTGAGGTCAGGAGTTCAAGACCAGGCTGGCCAACATGGTGAGACCCTGTCTCTATTAAAAATACAAAAAATTAGCCGGGCGTGGTGGTGCATGCCTATAATCCCAGCTACTCGGAAGGGTGAGGCAGGAGAATCACTTGAACCCAGGAGGCGGAGGTTGCAGTGAGCTGAGATCGTGCCACTGCACTCCAGCCAGGGCAACAGAGTAAGACTCTGTCTCAAAAAAAATATATTTTTACCTCAATGGGTTTCAGGTCAATAACTCCTCAGCTAATTTTTTTTTTTTTTTTTTTTGAGACAGGGTCTTATTCTGTCACCTAGGCTGGAGTGCAATGGTGTGATGTTGCCTCACTGTCCACCTGGGCTCAAGTGATTCTCTCACTCAGCCTCCCGAGTAACTGGGACTATGTACCACCATGCCTTGTTAATTTTTTTTTGTTTTTTTTTTTTTTGTATTTTTAGTAGAGATGGGGTTTCAACATGTTGCCCAGGCTGGTCCTTGAACTCCTGGTCTCAAGCGATCGATCTGCCTTGGCCTCTGAAAGTGATTTTTTAAGGATTAAAACAATGATGCACCTGAAGTTCTAGCACAGTATCTGGCACAGAATACACACTCAAATGGCATGTCCTACAAGCACTATCATTGCCATTATGATATCCTGGTCAACCTTCATATCAGGATGACTCAGGACTATCACTAGGGTATGGGGTAAGGTGGCTAAGATTAGGGTATCCATTCTGATTTGCAGCAGTTGTCAGCAGTTAAGTCTTGGAATGAGGAAAGAGGAGAAACAAATGCAAGCAGCTATACTAGGGGAGAAGAATGCCTTAGGCCAGCCAGATAGCTGTTTGCATGTAAGAAGAAGTGTTAACCTGGTGCTGCCTGTAGTTACATTAATTTACTAAGGATGGTTTTGTCACTTCATCTGTTGATACACAACTTCCAAATCAGCAGTGGCCAGTGAAACTTGAGGTAGAGGCTAAAGTCACTCCCTATCAGAGCTACAAAATTCACATTTCCTCTACGGCCTCACTGAGCACTTGACTGATTCTTAAGCCTTATAATAAGGGCTTGATACAATGAATTATCTGGTTTTGTAGTCTAGAAGAGATTGTAAACAACCAATTTTCATTGGTATGGCTGAGGGCTATTAAAGGGAACTGTACTGATAGCTGACAACCTGAAGAAGAAAGTAGAAAATAATAGATATGGAATTATATCACTTCATGGAATAACAATGGGTACTCAGGATGATAAACTTGACTTTTTTAAGTAAAAAATGAAGTATCATTCCTTGTATAAAAGGGCAGGGAACAAAGTAGTAATAAATTTTAGAAAGATAACCATAATACAAGGAACCGAAACTACTCAACAAGGAAACAAATAATCCTATTAAAAATGGGCAAAGAATTTAAATAAATATTTCTCAAAAGAAGACATACAAATGGCCAATGGACATATGAGAAAATGTTCAACATCTCTAATCATCAGAAAAATGCAAGTTAAAGCCACAGTGAGATATAACCTTATACCTGTTAGATTGGCTATTATAAAAAAGATGAAAGATAAGTGTTGGCAAAGATGTGGAGAAAAGGGGAACAACTACGCTGTTAGTAGTGGCATAAATTAGTAAAGCCATTTTGGAAAACAATTTGGAGATTCCTCAAAAAACTAAAAATAGGCCTGGCTTGGTGGCTCATGCCTGTAATCCCAGCATTTTGGGAGGCTGAGGTGGGAGGATTACTTGAGCCCAAGAGTTCAAGACTCTTCCATCTCTATAACAAATTTAAAAATTAGCTGGGTGTGGTGGCATGCACCTGTGCTCCCAGCTACTTGGGAGGCTGAGGTGGGAGGATCACTTGAGCCCGGGAGTTCAAGGCTGCAGTGGTCACTGATTGCACCACTGCACTTCAGTCTGGGCAAGAGTGAGACACTGTCTCAAAACAAACAAACAAACAAACAAACAAACAAAAACAACTAAAAATAGAATTACCATATAATCCAGCCATCCCACTAGGTATTTACCCAAAGTAACTGAAATCAGTATGCTAAAGGGATATTTGCATTCTCATGTTCCCTGCAGCATTATTCATAATAGCCAGGATATGGAAGCAACCTAAGTGTCTACCAACGAATGAATGGATTTTAAAAATATGGTATATATAAACAATGAAATGATATTCAGCTTTAAGAAATAACAGGAAATTCTGTCATTTGTGGCAACATGGATGAACCTGGAGGATATTATGTTAAATAAAATAGGCCAGGCACAGAGATACAAATAATGTATGATCTCACTTATGTATGGAATCTAAAAAAGTCAAACTCATAGAAGTAGTGAGTAGAATGGTGGTTACCAGAGGCTGATGGGAGATATGGATAGGGAAAGGGGAAATGTTGGTCAATGGTGCAGTTACAGTTAGGAGGAATAAACTCTGGTGTTCTATTGCACAGCAAAGTGACTGTAGTTAATTATTTATATATATATGTAAATATATATATTTTTAAAATATATTTTAAATGTTCTTACCACAAAGCAATGATAAATATTTGAGGTGATGGATATGCTAACTATTCTGACTTGTATACATATATCAAAAGATCACAGTATACCCCATAAATATAAACAATTATTAATTGTCAATTAAAAATAAAATAAAACTTAACAGATAACCATAATGCTTCTAAAAAGTTCTCACTTAGGAAAATCTAGAAAATTCATTTATCTGGAAAGTTTATTTAGTTGGATTGCATTACCACCCAACACACTAGTTGAATGTAGCATTTTCTGCAGATATAGGTAGGTCTTGCTTGTTTAGCTTATACCAACATTAATTATTTAAAGGTTTCTCATCAACAATAATTATTAGCTTTTCCTACATTCAAAAAATTTGGGGTATAACACTGTCTAGGGGATTTGTCTTTAAAAGCAAGACTGGCTTTTCTATTTCATTTAGGCACATCAGTAATAAAATTATTAATTCTGGGGGCATACAAACTTCTTTGACTATGAAGAACACAAATTCTGTGTCTATAATGAATCACTAAATGTTTTATTAAAATAAATCTAAAAATGTTTTAGCATTCAATAAATACATGAAGAGATGCTCAATATCATTAGTCACTAGGGAATATATATTAAAATTGTAGGCCAGGCGCCGTGGCTCACGCCTGTAATCCCAGCACTTTGGGAGGTCAACGTGGGCAGATCATGAGGTCAGGAGATCGAGACCACTCTGGCTAACACGGTGAAACCCCATCTCTACTAAAAATACAAAAAATTAGCCGGGCGTGGTGGCGAGCGCCTGTAGTCCCAGCTACTCAGGAGGCTGTGGCAGGAGAATGGCGTGAACCCAGGAGGCAGAGCTTGTAGTGAGCCGAGATGGTGCCACTGCACTCCAGCCTGGGCGACAGAGCGAGACTCTGTCTCAAAAAAAAAAGAAAAAAAAATATTGTAATGAGATATTACCTCACATTCACTAGAATGGCTGTAATAAAAAAAAAAAACAGGTAATAACAAGTGGGAGTGAGGCTATGGAGGAACTGGAACTGTCATACATTGCTGGGGAATGCAAGGTCATTTTGAGAAACAGCTGGGCAGTTTCTTAAGAAGTTAAACATAAATTTACCATATGACCCAGCAATTCTACTCCTAGGTCTATACCCCAAATAAATAAAAATGTATGTTCACATAGAAATTTGTATATGACTGTTCATAGCAGCATTACTCAAAATTGCCAAAAAGTAGAAACAAATCAAATGTTCATCAACTGATGAATGGGTGAACAAAATGTGATATTCCACACAATGTGGTAGTATTATGTAAAAAGTTGGGCAAAGTACCAATACATGCTACAACATGGGTGAATCTCAAAAACTACTCAAAGAAGTCAAACTCAAAGACCACATATTGTATAATTCCTTTTATATGAAATACACAGAAAAGGCAAACCTTTGGAGATAAAAAGTTGATTAGCAGTTGCCTTGGGCTGGAGGTGGGCAGGGAATCTTTCTGGGGTGGTGAAAATATTCTAAGATTAGACTGTGGTGATGGTCATATAACTGTTAAAATTTACTAAAAATCATTAAATTGTACACTGAAAACAAGTGAATTTTATGATATATAACTTATATTTTAATAAAGCCGTTAAAAATGTTTTGGCATCATCCAAGTGACAGCAAGAAAGTGATTTTGTTACATGTATCAGTGCTTGGTTCTTTTTTATGGCTAACTAGTACTTCATAATATGGAGTTACTATAGTTTATTTTAGTTTGTTTATCCCTTTACCAGGTGAGAAATATTTGGGTAGTTTCCAGCTTTTGATGAAAGCAAATAAAGCCATTATAAACATTGATGTACTTGTATAAGTTTTCATTTTTGGGGGGCTAAAACCAAGAAGCAGGGTTGCTGGGTTATATGGTTGGTGTGTGTTTATAAGAAACAACCAAACTGTTTTGTACCAGCAGGATATGTGAATTTCAGCTATTGTGCATCTCTACCAGGGCTTGGGATGTCAGAGGTTTTTTTTTTTTTCCCCCTTTTAATTTTTAAAGTCATTCTAATGTGTAATGGTAGCTTACTGTGGTTTCAATTTGATTAATTTTAATTTGTGGATTAATTTTTGATATGAGGCATCTTTTCATGTGTTTATTTGCCATCTACATATCTTCTTCGCTGAAGATTCTTTTGCCCCTCCTTTAAAAAAATTAATTATCTAAATATTGTTTTATTTTTATTGATTTTTGAGTGCTCTTTATATATTTTAGATCCTAGTCCTTTATTAGATGTGTTTTGAAATATTTTTTCTCAGCCTGTGGCTTGTCTTTTAATTTTCTTACAGTAGTGTTCAAACAAGCTAAGTTTTAATAAAGTCCAGTGTATCAATGTTTTCTTTTATAGGTTGTGCTTTTGTTGTCATATCTAAAACATCTTTGCTAACATAAAGTCACAAAGATTTCCTCCTATATGTTTCTTTTAGATGTTTGATAGTTTCAGGTTTCAAACTTAGGTCCATGATCTATTTTGAGTTAATTTTTTTATATGGTGTGATGTAAGGACTGAAACCTTCCCCTTCCTTTTTTTTGGATATAGATATCCAACTCTTCTAGCACCAATTTTTCCAGCACCATTTGTTGAATGCCAATTTATCTTTATTTTATTTTATTTTTTTGAGAGAGGGTCTTGCTCTGGTGGAGTGCAGTGGCGCGATCTCGGCTGGAGTGCAGTAGCGCAATCTCGGCTCATTGCAGCTTCGACCTCCTAGGCTCAAACGATCCTCCCACCTCAGCCTCCTGAGTAGCTGGAATCACAGACACTGTGTCACCACACCTGACTAAGTTTTGTATTTTTTGTAGGGACAAGGTTTCACCAATTTATCTTTAAAGCCTGTTTTGCCATGTCTATTAATCAGGTAAAGCAATAAACACAGCAGAACAGCTAAGAAGACAGTGTGAGCTATGAGCAGAGAGGAAGACAAAAAGGAGGAAAAACTGTGGGGACCAATTTCTATAGCAAACAAATTATTTTTCAGTGGACGAATCTGGAGGCATTTGACCAATCACTTAGTCCACTGTTTCCTATGTCTGCATTTGGAAGCATCAGTGCAGACGTACTCCTAAGAAGAGATATCACTGAGGACCTTTACTTCCACCTATCTTTGTTATGACTTCGGCTCATTTACAGAGCAGGCAGCTTCTCACCAAGACCACTGACTAGCTGTGTTCCTATTTCCAAACAGCATTCTGCGCAGGCTTTCTCTATCTGGAGAAGTATTTACCTGTATTATAATTAAGTACTAGTTTAAATACTTAGTTACTCCTGTTCTCACTGAAATTTGCTATTGGTAACGCAAGATAAGGGAGCTGCTGCAAAAACTGAAAGGAGACATCATACTCTCTCTCCAATGGCTTCTTTTCAATACAAAAAAGTCTCTGCTTAAATAACTATAATGAGAAACTGATCTTACATAACTGCTTTCAAAAATGCTAACGCCAAATGCCCTATGCTTTTCACAACACAATTTTGTTAATTTAGGCCTCTACTAGAAACTTAAGACAAGATGGTTTAGATCATTTACATGAGAGCCCACTTCCCCAATTTTTAAAAAACATACGTCCTTTCCCTGTATCATAGTAAATCTTCGCTCATCCTAAAACTTTCTTCTCAAACTTTCAGTCTTTTATTAAGAAGGCAAATCCCTTTCCTAAAGTTATCTGTACACTGAATGGAATGGGTACCACTGAAAATAGTACTCTTCTAGCAGGAAATGTGGCCTAGTCCTGGGACTGGGAAACAACAGTGGCCTCCTGCTCATCCAGTCTGCATTACTGCATGTTTAGAAGTCTAAAAAATGTCATATACATTTCCTGGTACATTATCAGTAAACATTAGCAAATTAATAAATGTGAAATGTCCAGTGGATAATAAAGATAACCACTCTATTTTTCTTTAATGCATATTTAAGCTTAGTATACTTGCAGTCTTTATCTGTGAATGATCTGCATTAACCATGTCCACGAAGTTAAAGGAAATAAATAAGGTCTGGATTGACAATTATAAACCTAAAAGTAGAGATCGAATAATCTCAAAGAATTTCACAAAGAAGAGATAATATCAGAGGTAGCTGGCATACTGGAAAGAGTATAACTTAGGAGTTAAAACTTTTCTGTACTTGAATCTGGGCTCTGCCATGGATAAATTATGAAACATGTCTGGCCTTCATATTTCTTATCTGTAAAATAAATGTTAAAAAAAATCAAGTGCCTTGCTTAATGCCTGACAGGTAAGAGGCACTTATTATCAGCACCCATATGAGAATTCTGTTCAATAGCATGATCAACAAAAGCATTGGTCCAACAACTATTGGCTACTTTGCTTGCCGGAGTGAAGGATTCATTCAGTTTGACTGGTTTGGACTTAATAGACTATATGCTAACAGCTATGAGATTACTACACCTCTATAATTCATTAATTCATTCATTCACTCAGAAATATTTCCTGAACAACTAGTATGTGCCAAGCAGGGCTCTGAGCTCTGGAGCTACAATGGAATGATGTGACTGAGAGATATTGATATACAATGAGCCTTTAGGGTTCCATTTGTAGCGCTGGTATCCTTACACTGATATTTACAGATAACATTCAAGTATGTGAGAATAATGTGGTGATGAAATACCAATTCTAAAAAGAATCAGAAATTTTCAGAAGTATATATTACTGAAATATAAGTCATTCACATTAAAAATATAAATTGAAGAAATAAGCTATTGTTCAAGGGAATAGTATGAAATAACTGCATATATCTGAAAGTGCCAATTTAACAGATTGAGAAGTGAGAGAGATTGGCAATAAGACTTATGCAAAACATGAAATTTTCTTAAAAAAAAAGGGGGGAGAACACATTGCAGATTATCTAGATGATGCTTTTAAGCATAGGTATATTACATCAGCAACTTTCTAAAATAAAGTACGTTAAAAGTAAAATATTTCTTAGAGACAGAACATACAGCTCCAAAATAGAAGAAAATGTGTGACTGACAGTAAAGTCCAAAAGAAAAGTGACAGAAAATCGAGAGGAGGGGAGGAGAACCCCATATTTTATGATTCTGTTTACATGAAATGTCTAGAATAGTCAAATCAATGGAGATATAAAGTAGATTTGTGTTTGCCTTGGGCTAGCTGGGGAGAATGGGGAAATCAGGAAAAATCGGGGAAGATGCTAAAAGGTATGGGGTTCTCTATGAGGTGATAAAAATGCTCTTAAATTGATTGTGGTGATGGTTGCACAACTTTGTGAATGGACTAATATTCATTTTTTTTTTACTTTAAATGATGAACAATTTGCACAGGATATGAATTATATTTCAATTAAGCTCTTTAAGAAAAGAGGATTAAGGAATATGTGAATTCCCTCACAATGTGTGGACCTTATTTGAATTCTGATTCAAATAAATAAGCTGTAAAAACAAAATAAAATATATTTATCAGACAGTTGGAAAAACTTGGGAGTGAATGAAACAGGGTTAAAAATATATTTGGCGTCATTGGTTTTATTGATGTAATTCAAGAGTACACTAGAGAGGCTGTTTTGTAAAGTGGTTTATTGTCACCTACTATAACCATGTTGGGATTAAAATCTCCTTAAATATGTGTGAAATGTATTAAAACCCATCAAATTCCCATATGTGAACATTCTGTTTATACATTTCTCATTTAAACACCCAGATATCTGTAATATAGCTTAAAATAATGATGTTTTCTTCTGGGAGGCCTAGGTAGGAGGATTTCTTGATCCCCGGAGTTCAAGATCAGTGCGTGCAACATAGTGAGATCCTATCTTACCAAAAAAAATCTTTTTTAAAAATTAACTTGGCATGGTGGCATTTGCCTATAACCCCAGCTACTCAAGAGGCTGAGGTGGGAGGACTACTTGAGCCCAGGAGTTTGAGGCTTTAGTGTGCTATGATTGCACCACTTCACTCCAGCCTGGGCAACAGAGTGAAACACTGTCTGTAAAACAAAACAAAAAAAGATGTTTTCTATTTCAGAATGTTTACACCATAAGGTATGTTTCACAGCATAAATATCGCACATATAAATATGTTCTAAATAAATTTTTTTCTGTTCTGAGTGTTTTTATAAGTGAAAAAAGCGTTCAGATTTAGTCAGTAGATAAAACTAAGAAATAGGCATTTATTTTAAGCACTTTAGAATACATTATATTAGTCAACAGATGCTCATCTGATTGTCTTCTCCTAAAGGAGCAAACATAACTGAATTACCATTGCTTTATTAGTCCTCATGAACGGAAAATCCACTCTACAATAAGGAATGCTGTCAAGACAACAGTAAAATGTTTTCTTTTTCATTTAAAATTTTAAGCTTGTATTTATAGATGTTAAGTATAATTGGTAATATTATAGTAAAGAACAGGACAAAACAAAACTACAGAATATGTTAACTCCCTGATGACTGCCCAAGCAAAAGCAAAATCTCTCTTACCATCCTGTTGATCCGCACAAAGTCTTCAGGTTTTTTTGCCCAAGGGGGAAGATCAACATCATTTACCACTACTTCATCTTCTCTGACTCCAAGATTATATCCATTACTGTTGACAAACATCTCTGGTAGGTAGTAGAACTCTGGAATTAGTTCCTATCAGGAATAAAAATGAAGCATATTAAACCACTTTATAAAAATCAGTTGAATAAAACTATTAACTTATAACTTATTAACTATAAATGGAATAAAATAATTTCTTAAAACCAATATTTTATGAATTAATTCTATTCTATTCTTCATTTAATTTTATTTAAAGATCTGAGATGAAGCATTTCTTGTGAAAAATTCACTTGAAAATTTATGTTTATGATAGCTACTTTAAAATGTTACCTATTTTCAATCTTATCCTCCCATAAATTAATGAAGAGAAATGAGTATACAAATTAACAACAGTTCACAATAGCATTAGAAAACAAATATGTAAAGCTATATAAACAAGTCTATGTTGTGTAAAATCTTCATCTGAAAATTTATGAACTATCCAAATTAAAAACTAATTGCCAGTATTTGTAATAGATCACATATTTTCTACTTTTGTTTTTAACTATACTGACAATTACAATATGTGATTTTTATAAAGAGATTCATAGTTTTTTTTACTTGATAAAGTAAATTATTTTTATATCAATCACTGAACACAATAAAAGAGATGATACACAATATGATAAACAGTTTTAAATATTTAATGCATGCCATAGAAATGACAGGTTCTCAATAAATTGGATGCAAAGACAACTTGTGTTACTTGTATGTAACTGTAGCATAAACAACTGGATTCAAGGAGAACTTGTGTGTGATGTACAGCATCTAATTTGAGGTTTCTGTTACTTTAGAATAAATCTGATGTAGAAATGAACTGATTTTAATACCCTGAAAGTTTTTGTTGTTTTTTAAAAAGTAATTGGGAGAAAATTAAAACAAACTGCTGTAGTTTTTATGTGTACCATCCTGATCATCTTTTTTCAAATATCAAGATAGGGTTGTGAGGCTACACATTTATTTGTGTAATATGATCAACATTGATGGCATAGCATCTGAAATTTAAATCTCACTGTAGTCTTTTCTAGGGATGCATAGAAAAAATTAAAACCACCACATACTGAGGTCTTCAAATAAACTGGATCCCTAACTTTCTAGAAAAAGCATATATAAAATCTTTCTCTTCACGAGTTCTCCCACTAAAACTGATATATCTGTTTTAAGTGGGCATTCATTTTAGTAACACTCTGTGTGAAACTGACCATTACTCTTATGATGATCACTGTGAGCCATAAGAAAAATATAAATGTTCATTTTCTCCAGCATTATGGGTGCATCAACAGGTCCATATAAATGATTTTTCTGGATAAATGGAGCTTTGCTTTTTAAGAATCTCAGTTTTCTTCTATTTAAATAGAAATCTTTCTAAAATCCTTTACATATTTCTCTGACATTTACTTATGCATACAGTAAAGGTTTTTAGTACCAGAAACTGTGATGTGTACTCAGGAAACAAAAAATGAACAAGACATGGCCTTACTGTCAAGTAATTCATAGTCTGGCCTGTGGGGCAGATGTAGAACCAGATGGTTATAATACACAATAGCAGCTGAGGAAGAAGGGAGCAGGGAGGAAAGAGCAGGGGATTCTGGGCAAGTCAGGAGAGACTTCATTGGAGATGGGCCATTGGAGTTGGAGCATGGCTAAGATGAAAACCAGAAGAGGGGGCCGGGCACCCTCAGGGAGTTATATGGAATGGTGAGAAACTGAGCACAAGAGGAGAACAGGGTATATTGTGGGTAGATCAAGACAAGGGAGGGATGAGATGGTGGGAGGTATATGAGGCCAGATGGATGAGAAAAGTTTAATGAAGGATACGCTGTTTGGATTTTGTCTTAGTGGTTTAGAAATTTTAAAAAAGAGTTTTTAACACAGTCAAATTTGTTTTATAGCAAGACACTGGGTGACAAAGTAAAGGAGAGATTGGAGAATGGGAAGATGTGGTGTATATGCATGTATAGGGAGGAGAAAGAGAGAAGGGCAACTGCTAAGTGTGGAGAGAAAGGGGCCCTATTGTGGAACTTTATCAAAGAGGGGAAATCTACAACAGAGCTAAAGAGAGGGAATTAGATGGCTCACACTAGGGGCCAAATGTGTATCAACAATAAACTATGTACAAGACCTCAAGGCCACAACGAAAAAGGAAAAGAGAATTCTAGTGGAATTAATACAAATTAATATAATTTTTCAATGACTCCAATATGAACGGGGAAATGGAGAAGAGGCTGAAAGAAAAACCATACTGTAGAAAACACATGTTCATTTGCCAAAAATCATACAGTTTAATTGAAGGATAAGACAGGCTAAAGGGCACTTCAGCAGTGACTATTCTATCAGCAATGACTATCATGAGTTTGATTTCCAGGCTGGGCAAACATGACAGTGTTTATCAGTCACGGAAGGAGCAGTTTGGTTTGATCGCTGACAGGAGAGTAGAAGTAAAGAATCACTGCTGTTCTCATGTATTGGCATCCAATCAGAAATGCATATTATTATCTTATGACTTCAATGTATGAATGTAAAATATATAGTTTCTTCTGCTCTTACTCTCACTCTTTGGGAAAACATGAGGAATTAGTAAAAGGCGCAGAGAAGGCAAAGACTATTGCTATTTGCATATGACCTGGTCTTCATGTGACACAATAGCAATAACACCCTAAAGGGTCCAAAGTGGGAAGGAACGTAAGCTTGTGCAGCTGCTCGGTTGGGAGTGTGATTTATATGTACTAGACTCACATAAATCAGGTGTTTCCCTTACTGCCTTTCGTCAGTTATTTGTGCTCATGCCCTATCTCTACAACGAGGCTACAGAAGCTTCCTTGAGGGCAGAGAGGAACGTATATATCTACATGTACATAGCAAAATATATTTAGTTTTATTTAAACAACTAAAATAGTCTTAATTTATCTTATACCATCTTGGCACTCTATAATGTTTTTCATATATTATTTCCCATTCTTTCCTGTATAAAATATGTGGTCATTATTAACCTACTTACCACTACAATGCAATTTCACTGAAAGTCATTAAATTAGATTCACAAAGGCGCAAGAAACATAGGATGTCATATTTATTAATGTGAATAAAATTGGGGAAAATGCAATTTTAGTATGAATAAAATCTGGGCAAACGCAAAGTTTTGAGCCTATTTTGTGAGGTTTATGTTTTGTTGGATCCTTCGTAGCTCTCAGTGCTATACTTTGCACGCAGCAGGTGCTCATTAAATATTAAGCTATTAAAGATATTGGATGAAGTTATTTTAATAAGACTAGAAATCTGGGGAATACACAGATGGTCAGAAAAATGCCTCAAGATGGGGAAAGAGTGAATGAAGAACTTTATTAAAGAAAAGGAAAAGGATATAAACCCTGAAATGAAATCTGCCTTTTAAGGGGAAACTTTTCTGTTTAAAAAATGTTATCTTGCTTATTCAAGTTACATTTAAAAGGCTCAAAAGTATAAAATAGCTCAATTTAAATATAGAAAAAGTTGATTTTAAAGTTGCCATCAGAATTGTTCTCAAACTGCAAAAGTGGCAGAAGACTAATTTCATTTTCATTTAGGCACTCTAGAAAGAAGGGCACTAACAGCTGGCCTCCACCAAAGAACAAGGAAGGCCTAGAAAGATCTGTCTTGATGGTTCTTTAGAAGGGCAGGAGGAAGAATACTCCAGTAGGATCATTCAAGGAGGCCCTAACTGGGGCTAGTCATAGAAAGAAGTCGTGTTACCAGGGCCTTCAGGACACCCTTCTAAGTAAGGATGGTTTTTTTGGCTCCATTCTTATCAGGCCACCCAAATGTGGTCATAAATTAGGGCATTAACTAAGATGTAGATGTAAGCTGTTAGAGGCTTGATGTTTGAAGGGACAAAGAAACTCTCCCAGATTTCTCATAATGGAAACAATCACTAAACAGACATGTTTTAAACACAGATAGAAAGAAACTTCTGAAGCACAGCTTGTTTGCAGAGCCCCTAGAGGTTTCAAACACCAGAGCTATCAGTGACTAAAGCTCTCTGAACCCGAAGTCCAGAGTTGGGGATAGTTTGGAGTTTTGTGAAGGGGATAGTAGAGGAAGTGAAATCACAAGAAGTCTAGGGAGAAGTAGCTGAAGCAGCAGAGGTGAGATTTTTTTTTGGTCTCAGTTTTATTGTTTTACAATCTTGTTTCAAATAGCAAGTTTTATTTAAAGTTAGTGTATGTAAACACAAGACATTAGTATAATTTATATTCACAATTCCATTATTGAAAAGATTTGTTGTTTCAAAAATATAAACCAAAGAATATGAGCGTTTCATCTCTGAGATTTAACTGGTTATGTGCAAGAAGATGGCAATTACTACATTTGTGCTCCAAGGCCAGGAATCAACTTAAATGTTACCTGTGGTCATTCTGTTTTAAACCAGCAGGTAACATTTATTTTGGTACCTTTCTATGTCTTGGCACTGTTCTAAGTGCTTTACATATATTTTCTTAATCTTCACAAAAAGTTTGTGAAGTAGGTGTTCTCATTATTCCCGCTTTATAGACATGAACACTGAGGTAAAGATTGGGTGGGTAATTTGCTAATGGCTGCACTGCAAATTGGTAGTAAGGCCAAAAATCAAACCCAGATACTTTAAATCCAGGTTTCCTGCTCCTATATTCTGTATTCTGCCTTTTAAAGTAACAATCCAGTCATTCTTTTTTTTTTTCTTTTTTTTTTTTTTTTTTTTTTTTGCGATGGAGTCCTGCTCTGCCACCCAGGCTGGAGTCCAATGGCATGATCTCAGCTCATTGCAACCTACACCTCCCAGGTTCAAGCGATTCTTCTGCCTCAGCCTCCCAAGTAGCTGGGACTACAGGCGTGTGCCACCACACCTGGCTAATTTTTGTATTTTTAGTAGAGATGGGGTTTCACCATATTGGCCAGGCTGGTCTTGAACTCTTGACCTCGTGATCTGCCTACCTCAGCCTCCCAAAGGGCTGGGATTACAGGCATGAGCCACAACATCCGGCCACCATCTAGTCATTCTATATGACGTTACTCTGTTTTAATTTTCTGCATAGCAATGATTATTTTCTCTATTTATTGTTGTATGCTTGCATGTCCCATCATAATAGAAATCCCAAAAGGTAGGGACCTTGTCTATCTTGCTAAGAATGGTGCTAACATATAATATGTAATCCATAAATATTTGTGAAATTAAAAATGAATCAAGATTACTATGTTTACCATATCCTAAATTTCAGGCATTGAAATGTTGATTAAAAACTTTGCAGGCCCTGGTTTTCAAAGTGTGTTTCTTTTTTTTTTTTTTTGTTGAGATGCAGTTTTGCTCTGTCACCCAGGCTGGAGTGCAATGGTGCCATCTCGGCTCACTACAACCTCTGCCTCCCAGGTTCAAGCGATTCTTGAGCCTCAGCATCCCGAGTAGCTGGGATTACAGGTGTGCGCCATGATGGCTGACTAATTTTTGTATTTTTAGTACAGCTGGGGTTTTGCCATGTTGGCCAGGCTAGTGTCGAACTCTTGATCTCAAGTGATCTGTCCACCTCTGCCTTTCCAAGTGCTGTGATTACAGGCATGAACCACCGTACGCGGCTCAAAGTGTGTTTCTTAAAGAAGAGGAACCTCATGGCTACCAGTGAGTTGAAGATAAAGGGGGAAGCTGGGCAGGCAGCAGCATTGGGATTGTCCCTTCTTCTACCAGGGAAATGCTACCTTACATACATCAGAATCAAACAGGTCTGAGTCCAATCCAGACTTCTTGCTAGCTTGGGCAGGTTTCTTAACCTTTTGACAAAAAGTTTATTGATATGTAACATGGTGGTGATGTCAGCAATGAACTCTTAGGGTAGATGTGAGGATTAAATGAAATAATGTTTATAAAACAATACATTTCATAACTTTATATAAAATATATTCTAGAAGCTATTTGGTCTCAATTTTTTTTAGGGGCACGGATCAAAAATATTACTTCTGAGACTAGAGTTTACCCAGTACCAAAGTGCATCCTGTAATTCAGTAAAAAAGTTCTGTCACTGTGGATTGTGTTTCAATGAATAGCTATGTAGACAGTTCAGATGATGCAAGTATTTTTAGCAAATATGAGGAAAAGAATAGCTCACAGCAGTCTGAGTTATGTGAGGCATGCAAAAATTCATCAGGTCCAGAGAGACGTGCGTGTGGGACATCAGTCACTCATGCTGCCTCCTCAACCCAAGCCTGGGGAGCAACTGTTTAAAAAGGCATTTGGTTTCTGACCAGCTGCCTTACCCATTATCTTCAGTTCCTGAAATCGGTGATACAAAGAACAATGTATAGCCAATGGCTTATCTTATTTTAATGTAAATTCTTGGTAAGCAACTTAGGACCTGCCTCTTCTTTTTTTCTTAAAAACCCATTTATGATTGCTGCTAATCAGAGTGTATATTCAGGGCTACTTGAACCTATGTTATGGGGTGACCATTCTCAAGCTTTGAGCTCAAACAAACTTTACACTTAATCATATTTTCTGAATATGGTTATTTAAAGTTGACATATATATGGACTAACATATATTACCTAAACTAATCAGATGTATTTTATAAATTGCTTGCTCA
This sequence comes from Homo sapiens, assembly GCF_000001405.40. Classification (NCBI taxonomy): domain Eukaryota; kingdom Metazoa; phylum Chordata; class Mammalia; order Primates; family Hominidae; genus Homo; species Homo sapiens. Next base: position 35,599,895 of record NC_000013.11, on the reverse strand, counting down.
TGAGATTTTGGTTTATGTCTAAATGCACACTCAGACTGTAGAGAATGGTACAAACCAAACTAGTACTTAAAGTATTTTTTAAATTGGTAACTCACAGAGTTTTCTCATAGATGGCTATAACAGTCCTCCCATCCCAAGAGCAAGCCCTTTGGCATCTCCAGTTTACTCCTCCCATAAAGAGGTGGAGTCTATTTCCCCCTTGTCTGAATATGGCCTGGCTTGTTTCAACACACAGAACGTGACAAGGTGACACTGCAAGGCTTCTTAGGGCAGCCTAAGAGTTTAAGAGGCCTGGCAGCTTTTGTTTTAGTCCTCTTAGAAGCCAGTTACCACATGCAATAGAGTGGCTCCCTTGCTATAGAAACATGTGATAGAGACAGACATGCCCAGGCAGTTCCTGGCTGTTCCAGCCATCTCAGATGAGGCACAAGACATGTGAGCAAAGCCACTGTAGATTCTGCCGCCCAGTCAAGCTGCCCCACTGTCACTGTGTGGCTTAGAGGTTAGCTGTCCTTTTTGAGCCTTAACTCTGATTGCATAATTGTCGATGAATAAATAGTTGTTTTAAGCCTATAGGTTTTGGGGTGATTTGTTACAAAGTCATAAATGACCAAAACAGAAACTGAATCCTCAAAGTGGAGTGCTAAAGTAATAAAAAGAATTTAACACATGATTCTGGCTTGCGATGAGGCAGCAGGCAGAAGTGGGAGGGGTGGTGAGGAGCCTGGTGGGGTCTGGAAGATCAGCAAGGAAGTTGTTATTGGAAGCAGTCCCTCTTAAGTAGTGGTGGAAAATTAACATCGTCTTCTGCAATAATTTCAAAGACAGAACAAGTACCTAATAAGCATGTGCTTCTGACTTAGAAGATTTCCAGGCAGAATGCTGAAAGTGACCAATGGTTTCATCTAATGGTGTAAGCTATGCAAAAGAGATAAGCTATGCAAGAGAGAGATGAACTCAGGAAGAAACTGTTCAGTTTTGAAGCAGTATTTCAAGCAATAGAAGGGCCTAGAACACTCTCTTCAGTTGGCAAAAGATTCTCAAAATAAGACATAGGTTCAGGATGGAGATCAATTCGAAGGTGCTACAAGTAAAATATGGCCATAGAATAAAGCTAAAATCAAGGGTGTGTCTGTAAAACCCTTTTATAAAAGTTAAAATTTCAGGTAGTGTTTTTCAGACTTGCTCAGCTACACAGAGTGATTCACGAGAAAGGGATTCTTAGGGCATTATAAACAGTATCCTAATTCACAGCTTGAAAGAGAGAATCCTGTTCCAAAAGGATTTGTGAGTATTAGCTTTTTCTAATTTGATACACAGAAAGGCTACACAGTTTTAAAGCTGCTGTACCAACTTGGGAATATGAGGCTTTGGCCCTAACTTTCTATGGTCAGGAAGCATGCAGAGAAAGATACTCAGCTGCAAACCATGTTTATTTCTTCTGGAAACAAAAGAACGATTCAGAGGGCAAAGCCAATGTCCCAGAGGAAGTAACCAAGAGCCATGGAAAATAATGAATTAAGGAGCCAAGCCCAGATAACAGACCTGGGCCCTAATCCATGGACAGTCCCTGTCCCTGCAGTCTGGGTAATCGACAACTTATTCCTGGCTGCGTTTCAGAACTGCTATGAACATTGACTGCTATGTACCTTCCACATTCTCCCCCTTCTGAATGGAGTTTCTACCGAAGTTTAACTGTTCTGTCTTACCACCACATGTTGTGTGTACATGGGACAGATAATTTGTCTTTTTAGCTCCCAGGTCTCCAAATTAGGAATTGCTGTGCCTTATCTGTACCTGGGGCTTATGTAGACAACAAGATACCAGATTTTCAGTCTGATACAAATACTGGGATGGGACTTGTGGGGAACAAGTTGAGTATATTTTACATGTAAGAGGAATGTGAATTTTGACCAGATTCGGAGGACTGTGGTAGACTGTCTCCGAAGGTGGGCACAGTAATCCCTCCACCCTCAGTGACCTCTTGAAATGTGACTTTGCAACTCATCTCATCAGGAAGTGGAGTCCGTGTCTACTCTTCCTTATTCTGGGAGGGCCCCATGACTTGCTTTGAGCAATACAACGCTGTGGAAGTAACATGATGTGACTTCCGGGCCTAGGCATGAAGTGGCCTTGCAGCTCCCATTCTTAAAATCCTCTTGGATATGAAGCATCTTAAATAACTGGACAGACTCTGTGCTAGTACTGGCTTCCTCTTTACCTGCCTGCGTGTGAACTTAGGTGAGTCACTTAATATTCATGAACCTCCTTTACAAAATAGGGTTAATGACTACTACCTCATAGGATTGTTTCAAGGACTGTATCAACCAACAAAAACATGTTTGAAAACTATTCAGTATTATTTTAAAAGATGGGCTTATTTTTATAATGTGTAAGTGTACTCCTACAGAGGCACATTAGACACTAGATTGCATGCTTAAGATAACTGCTGTTCTGCTGACTCTCTTCCCATTGATAAATTTCTGTTAATCAGCTTCTCTTTAAGGAAAAAGTCTAAGTAGTTTAAAATTTCCTAAATGAAAAACAGTGCAGGAAAACACCAAATATTATTAAAGAAATGGCAAAATGAACATTATAGCAGACATTTTGTGTCTATAAATGTGATTTCTAGTTTATTTTAGCAGCTACACTAAAACCCCACGGTATAGTTAATAGTATTATATACATTCTGTCAAAAAATAAGAACATATCCTCAAATGCGATTCCTAATTTATAAGCTTATGACAAGTTCAAGCTGCTGAGAAATTGGACCTGAAAGTATGTCTTAGAATGATAGAAGACCACTATTAACACTATCATAATTGTATACCTATTGCATCAAATCTGACATTTCAGTTTAATATATTTTGCTGAGAGAGCGTACCATTTTATGGCTTCCTAGTGAAATCAAATCCGATCCAGACGTTTTCACTTTTCTAATATAATTCATTGCAAGGTTTTAAAGCTGCCATCTCTTTTCTTTCTTTTTTTTTTTCAAAAGACTGATGCCCTGGCATTCATTAATTCCACAAGAGCTCATAATGGGTCAATGAGTCAGTGGCGAGCACCTCCATTAACTGTATTAATTTACACTATGTCACCTTAATGACATTTTGTCACAGCTACCTTTTCTGACATCTACATAGCTATTCTAAAAGTAATATAACAACTTTTGAAGGCATTAAGGAAAATTAGTGTAAGAACTTCAGTGAGTTGAATGTCATTGTTACCAAGACTAGGCTAGAGGGAAAGAAATTTAAAAAATAATAATAAAGTAAAAACTAACTAGTCTGACTCAACTCCAGAGACCTCTCTCCTGAAAGGTCACTTCAGCAGCACTCCTTCTTCCCAGCTTGCGTTCATTAGCACAGGAAGAGACTGACATTAATAGAGACAGACAGAATAAAACCATCTACTGCATCCTAGTTCTCTCCTATGTGATTAACTGACTAAGTTAGTAGACATTGCAGAGATACTTTTCTTCTCTGGAAATGGAAACACACTTCCTTAAAAAATATATCATGCTGTGCTTTAACAGCTTAGAAATAAGAATAAAAACTTTAGGTTCTAACACACAAGTAGCAAAACAATTACTACTCGTAGCAACATATTTTTCTCTGATAAATCAGGTTTAATCATGAATTCAGAAGATTCTCAAGTTAGCACTAGTTATTACCCAAAAGTCTTATCTTCTCTTTAACACTCTGGTCATGAGGACCTCAAATTCTGATGCTATAGAGGGGAATATAAATATATTTGACTGGACACACACACACATACACACACACATGCACACACACGCACACGCACACACACATTAAACGAACCATAACAAAGCTAAGACGACCAAGAAACCCTACTTGCAATGGAACCTTCTGCAACTTCAAAGATCTTTTTCAAATCAGTAAGAAAAAGACATGTGACCCAACTGAAAAATGAGCAATAGATAGGAGTCAGTGTACAGGTCAATAAGTACATGAAAAATGTTCCACGTCACTCAAAAAAAAATGCAAACTAAAACAAACATAACTTAATTTTTCACTTGCCAGACTAGCAGAAGTTCCATTGTTTAATACAATAGTGATGATGGGTGTAGGGGGCACGGGGAAGGAGGTACCCTTGCACACTGCTGTAGAGAGTGAATTTTCATCTTTGAGGATGATGGTTTGGCAATATCTTAAAAAATAAAAAAAGTATATTGTCTTTGAGCCATCAGTCCCATTAATAAGAATTAGCCTTTATGTATATAGAAGGAGTCCATCAGGATGTCTGTGCAAAGATGTTCACTACAGCCTTGTGCTTCATAGTAACAATCAGGGAGAAAGATTCTCCATCAACCAGAGATCACATATATAAATTATTGTATATATGTAGCATGCTGCCTTTAAAAAGAAAGGGGAAGTCTACATGGCAAGATATCTAAGATGTATTAACATATAATATGAAAGGTTCATGAGTGGTGGTAAGAGAGCTGAAAATGAGAGCAATCTGTGTAATGTCATCCTGGGGAAATGAGCTTCTTATGAACTAATTAAGTCTTTGGGGAAAAAAAAAGCTGCATGTTTGTGTTCAGTACAGCTGCTTGAGGATAAAAAACAAAAAAACTCCCAAGTTAGTGATATCCACATTGGTCTTTGTCCTGGATGATGTGAACCCAGGAGCCCCCCAAATACAATTAGTAATAAAATGTAAATGTTTCTGAAAGGGTTTTGAAGAGGAAAATTTCTGGGAGAATTTAGAGGAAAAAGCCCGGTACAGGGCATCGGTTATCAGAGACTGGTGGTATAAAGCATCAGTGAAATTCTCAGGCTAGGAAGTGAAATCTAAAACTGTATATAAAAATTAGAATGACTGACCCCCAAATATGTGAGGGTGGATCTCTGAATTAAGTTGAAAAGCCAATTTGTGTGTGTGTGTGTGTGTGTGTGTGTGTGTGTGTGTGTGTGTGATGATGTCAAACAACAGTGAGCAGGCATTTTCATTTGAAATAGGCTGATATAATATGGATATAGCTCTGATTTAAAATATCAATAATCTTAACTGCGATAAGAAGCCTTCAATTACAGATAAGAATATTTAATTCACATACAAAATATTTGAGTGCCTTTTATGAACATTGTGTGAATTCTGGATACTACTGTTCAATGGGAGCCTATGGACTCCCATTTTCTGTATTAATTCTCAAAGTGTTATTATATAAGAAACAGACTCCCTCCTTGACTTCACTGGTAACAAATCATTTTAAATGATGGCTTATGGATATTTTAGAGTTTAAGTCTCAGCAAAGTTGTAAGACCGTTAGAACTTCAAAGCTTAATATAGTAAGGATGCATATTAAATTCTCTTATTTTTTTTACAAATGTAAATATGTTGTATGAATAAATATTCATTTATGTAAAGTTTGACAACAACAAGTAAAACACACAGATATGTTACAATCTACTTGGCTCCATTTCCTTTATTTTCTGCTTTGGAAAAATACTGAACAAAACTTGTATTCATCCAATTACAGTTCAGTAACACTGAAATTGCCTTTTACAAATGTTTTGCAATAGAGAAGCATAAATATGTGAATGACAATTTTGATTTTAACTCACTAACTTTTGTTGGTTTAAGGCTCTAAATGGAATGATACCGTAACATTTTTGTACTGAGTGACAGTAATGGGAAAAAAATGTGCCTTGAAGAAAATGAGCTTAAAATAAGAAACACATTTACCTATGCAATAACCTGGCCATGTAACCTTATTATCAGGAAAAAAAATGAGACAAATGAGAGAACAAATATATATTATTGCTTTGAATACAATGTTTTTCTTTTTTAAAATAGGAGCCCATATAAATGAATAACAAATCCTTGTATTTAACAATAGTTAAGCAGTACCAACTGTAAAATTACTCTGCTCTCTGGCTGTTTCTGGATATTGTGTGTGTGTTGGTTTAATCTAATGTGTATTGTTGCATAGTATCCCCAGGCACAGTCAAGTAAAAGCTAAGGCTATACGGAAAAGCCTACATTTTAAATGGGTCTTGTCATTAATGCTTTATTAATTGCCCCAGGCTACGCAAACCCCAAGCCAGGCAAGCTATAACAATATGACACATTAAGGTCAAATCCAATTCCTGCTGTGTTTTATGGAATGGACCAAATATTGAGTTAACAGCAGGAAAGGCATTTTATAGGCTTTTCACATCTCCTGATTATTTGATCTAAATTAGGTAGGAATTTTTTGAAATAACGAAAACACCTTCACTGGGTAATATGAAAGAATTTTCAGTTATTTTCTATAATGTTCAAAATTATTTCCTATAAGGTTAGATGTACCATATAATTTTAATATGATGGAACAAAGCTGCAATATAAAATGTCTTATACATACCCACTTAAAAAAATCAAAATTTCCACATATTTTGAAATTTAATGAATATCAACAAATAAAAGAGCCTACCTTTACATCAGAAGTATCTCTCTGACTAGTTCTCCAAGACCTTGCAACGGATGAGAAGGTTCGATCTGGATGATCAAATTTTCCATCATTTGCATTGAGGAAGAAGGTTGTGAAAGGTTCCTAAGCAAAAAAACAGAATCAGAAATTTGACCACTCTAAACACAGCTGCCCTCGTTCCTTTGTGAAACATGGCTATCTTGAAAATCCTTCAAGATGTGGAGGCAGATCAGGGTCCTAGAAAGATGCCCCCAAATTAAGGCAGTAGGAGATGCCTGTCTGGGCTTGACTAGGCCAAGGCAGCAGTTGTCAGTCTGCAACTCTGGCAGGTCATTTTGCTTCTGGTCTTCTCATCTGTGAAATGATGGGGTTCCAGTGCTCTACGATTTTCTGATAAATAATTTTGCATTAATGACAATTCATAAGTTGGATTTTTCTTTCGAATAATTAAGGCTATATATACACTAACATTGCAATAAGAAAAATCACTCTGATACTGATCACAAAAATCACTCTGATACTGATCACAAAAATCACTCTGATACTGATCACTGCAGTGTGGAATTAGGTAGAGAATGTCCATGATTACCTGTGAAAGACTACGAAAGTATTAGTACTACCTTATGGTCTGATAATGTTTTTAAAATGCAAATCCCTGCTTAAAAACCTTCAATAGCTCTTGGGAGTGATTAGGAGAGAGTCTAAACTACCTAATTTGTTTTACAAGAGGCTGAATGATCTGGAACCTGCTTAACTCTTATCTCTCACCATTCCCCTCTTCACACTCTAAAATCTTGCCACACTACTCTCACCTCTTGTCCTTTGTCTGTGATGTTCCCTAGGCCGGGTATAAACTTACCCATTTATTTCACTATTCTGACCTGACTAAGTTCTTTTTATCCTTTAAGACTCAGCCATGATGTCATTTTCTCCTGAAAAACTTTCCTTGCGCTACCACGGCTCTCCAGTATGCTCAAATAGCAATCTGTGTTTCCTCAAACAGCACTGAAACATTTATCACACTGGTTTTAATTGATTGTTAATCTGTCTATATTCCCCACTATGAGTAGGTTCCGTATCTACCTTATTCATTGTTTTATCTCCAACACTTAGAACAACTCCTGGTACATAGAAGTTGCTCAATATATAATCTGTTGAACGAAGAATAAAGTAAGTACAAATGACAGTAGATGAACTAGACCTTTTTGCATTCTGTGACTATTGTCTTTGGATAACATAGTGTCTGCCATCCAGTACATGTTCCTATAGCAGAAAACCTAGGAATAACTTTATTGCAATGTCCTAATGCATTTAATTTTAATGCTTTACCTGTAATTCTTAAGTTGGGAGTTCTCACACTGGGAGTTCTTAGGTTGTTCTTATGTTTTTGATGTCATTAAATTTGCTTCCAAGTTTAAAAGGATTAAATAACATTCATTTCTGCTAAGGATTTCTTAACTACAATTATAGCAAAGATAGATACATATTTCCCTTTCCCTGCTTCAATTCTTCTCTCTCAAGTCTAGGATGAATGACATGTCATTCCCAGGTTCAATAATGCTAAGAAACCTACATGACATTTTCCAAAATATTTTAGTCCTCTTTCTTTAATATGTAATCTCTGTTCATTCCTTTGTATGCTTTACAATTCCTTTGTATGTATGTACAAAGGGGACATACTTTGCCCCCTTAAACTCCCTTTCTTGCCACTAACCTTAAGGGCTGGCTGTTGGAGTAAAAGCAACAAATACTGATCTTCCTCAATATCTCCCTGAAATTTAGTATGGCCAGATGTCATCAATTTTGTAAACTTGTAATATGTTGCCACTATTTCATGTTCAGTGTTGGATGAGAGAAAAGGGTGATGAAAGAGATAAGATCAACAATGAAAAAACAATATACAAGTAAGGGGGACAGTATTGATTCACCTGAAAATCAGATATGCATCCAAGAAGTCCATATTGCTGTTTAGGATTTTAAGTGATATGAGAAATAAATAAATGTTAGTGAAATTAAGTTAGAAAAAAATTATATGACATGTCTTTCACTAATTTATTTGCTTTTTAGATGTTTAATTCACTATTAAAAATAAGGTAGTGAAAATAACATATCTGTCACTAAATTATATTAAATAAAATGGGGATATAAAAATTGTAGATGCAGCAATGGTAAACTGAATGCAATATGACAGATTTAAGTTTGAATCTTGGTGGAACTATTTCTCTATCTTGGGCAAGCTTACTTAACCTTAAGTAACTGTGTCAAGCAACTGTCTCCATTCCTTCATCTATGTAAACTGGGAATGACAATACCTTGGGGGAATTATGGGATTAAATAAGATTAAATGAAATAACATAGAGAAAGCTTGATGTATCTTACCTGGCACAGAGTTATGAAAATGACTACCAGCTTTACGCACTGTACCAAGTATTCACTGTTGGACTTCCCACCAGACTGCCAGTTCCTAAGGCCTTATTTATCTCTCTATCCCCAGCCCCAAGCACAGCACATGGCTAACAATGTTTAACAAATGTGTGTTAAATACACCTAAACATACAAGGTATTGTTGGGAGATGGGAGTATGGTGGGTGAGAGTAAGATACGGGTTTTCTTTTCAGTTCTTAACTACTAGTAGGTTTGACCAAAAAGTTTTATCTTCAGAACCCACTTTATTATTGCAGGATGCTGATGTAAGGCATTTAATTTTCACTGTAGGTAGTGGGCAGAGATTAATTTAGAGGGATCAGGCTTGTCTCTAGGTTTTTTAACCTATTAAACAGATGTGAGTGAAAACCCATTTATACATGCAAAGCCGTACTTCTTATCATCAGCCGCTAAAAGCTGATCTCCACCTCAACCTAAATTACAAAATCCTGTCTAGTTTTCAACTCTTAACAAAGACATGCCAAGAATAGCACAGATGGGCTTAGTGAAAAGAAATCTGAAATTAAAGAATTATATTTATTTCCGGTAACAAAGTTATGAATGAATCTGGTGGCACCTAAAAGCAGAGAATATTGAATTCCACATTTCAGTGTTTTAAATAGCTTTTAAAAAGATCTGATTAACAACTGTCTTAAGGTCACATATTACATTACTGACATATATTCTCATTATACCTGAAGGCCTCCAGTTGCTACAGTGGTAGAGTACTAATAGAAATTGATAACCTATTTGTTTATAAGTAAGTATTGATCTTTCAAGCTCTGATTACTGTGGAGATTGCTTTTTCCATGTGTTTCCCTTTTACCTTCAAGCCACAATGCAGAGCCTTTCTTTTTCATTTGACTCATGTCTGACTAACATAGAGGATTAGGTGCTATATTAACCTTAAAAAACTTTTATATTTATTTGCCTACTACCTGTCAATTGGGCCATTTTCCATGTGTACATCAACAGATTGGACATTTCACCATTATATTAGAAAAGTTTTAGGCATGGGAGATAAGATGTATAAATGAATACATATTAAACGGTAATTTCAGGAATTACAATTCTGGAACTCGTTAGTCTTTACAAAGTTCAGGTTAGGTCCTGCAATATAAATGGCCAATGGCAGACTTTCTTCTCCTAATTACATCCACTCCAACATCATTTCATATCTTCCAACCCTTTTTCAGTGATGGAAAACTCACCTTGCCTGCACTGGAAAGTACCTGTCCTTCTGTATTCTATCATACCCCTTAGTCCCCTCTGAAGACACTAACAGCCTTTCTTGCTTTTGGATGATTACAGATCAACTAATTCCATCGTGGGCATCTAATGCCGTTTCCCTGTTGCCTCTTCTCTTTACTCAACTTCTTCATTCTTCTGTCTTACACGATTTTCGCTTAGTCATCTCATAATAATCTTTTACATCCTTCGCTTCTTGTAGTTCTGTTCTGTTCTTCTTTTCCTTCTCTTCATTCCATTTAAAAGCCAAAACAAATCTCGTTTATGGGTAATAGGTAGTGCCTGGGACATAACTATAGCAAAGAAAAGATGTATATTTGAAGTGATTGGAAGCATAATAAAATACAAAGGGAAGGGAAATAACAGCTACAAAGCATTTTTCTGTGCCAGGCTCTGTATTATCTAAGTTAACTGAATCCCTACTATCGCCCTTCAGAGTAGGTGTAATTATTCCCCTTTTATATCTGAGAAAATTCAAGGTCACATTCTAACAAATGGAGGAACCATTATTTCTAATGGCCTTTGTCTAATTCCAGAAGTTTATTTTCTCCTATTTCTCTTCCAAGAGCCAAGAAGTATCTTTTAGAATCTTCCAAAAGTTTTCACTAATTAACCTATGTACCTACCATGCACTAGGCTCTTGGTTAAGTATTTCTCATCTTCCTCTGAGTAAATATGCATTGTCCTTAATGCCTCAGTATTCAAGATAAACAACAATATTTTATTCAGTAGCACTATCTTTTGGTTTTAGTTACAACACTTGCAAAAATGTTTCTACTATACATATATACTTTTAAAGACACATTATGGTTTAAAGAGGCTTTAGGGTAAGCTTTCAAAACAAGCCATAATTTACACAGAAAGTGTCAAATTCTAAACATCACTTCCTTGGAAATTATGAAATGTTTGACGAATGAGTTTTGAATAGGAGGGTTGAATATACTGAATTTGGAAGGTGAACGAGTTACTGAGTGGTCAGCAAGCCAGGGAAAAAGATTTAATTACTTCTGTATACATGTTATATGTCTAGGGTAAGTTGTAAAGTAAAAACATTCCAAGTAAAATGTGTCTTTTAATATTAATATCTGAAGAAACTCCAAACACTGCTATAAGTTTATTCATGATTTGCCCAATGGCAGCTGTCAGGAAAACAGTCTTTTCAGGGTCTCATATTGTAGACAAGTGATTTCACTGGTAGTTTGTTTAAAATAATATTTTTAATTTAAAGTAATGAAGTATGTAGTTAATTAGCATTTTTAAGCAATTATTATTGTTGTTATACTAAGTACATTGAAACAAATAACAAGTTTAATGACTAGGTCTAAAAGGTCTAAGGTAAAGGACAGACACTTATTTTAATGTGTATTTTATTTTTGTGAACAAATTCTTAGTGACCCAAATTTTAATGCATTTTCTATTTCATAAACTCCTTGGAATGGGAGTGAGGACATTACAATTCCCTGGACCATAAGGATAAATACTTAGTAAACCATTAGACTGATACTTTTATTTATAACCACGTGACATAAGATATTTGGGCTGAGTCTCCAAAAAAGCAGTTTTATAGATCTGTCCAAAACAGTAGCCACTAGCCACATGTCACTATTGAGCACTTGAAGTGTGGCTAGTTCAAATTGAGATGCACTGTAAATATAAAATACACTCTGAATTTCAAAGACTCAGTACCCTCCCTCCAAAAATGTAAAATGTAAAATGCCTTATTTTACATTTTTATATTGGTTACATGTTTAAATGATAACATTTTGGAAATAGTAGATTAACAAATATATTTATTAAAATTAATTTTACCTGTTTCTTTTTTTACTTATAAATGTGGCTACTAGAAATTTTAAGTCACATGGTAGTTTACATTATATTTCTGTTGTGCAGCACTGCTATAGACAAGGGCATGTGTAGGATAAATGTGCAGAATATTCTGGCATACCCTTGCATAGATTCAAGTTTGAATTCCATTTCGCTGGAATAATAAATCTACTTAAGAATAAATTCTGAGTTATGATTTGAGAAAGTGTTTAGCTGATTAGGGATAGATGAGGTTAACTTAGGCTGTTCATAACAAGTATTCTTATGGAGTCACACTTGAAGAAGTCTTGTAAATCTGGCTTCAGACTAACTTGATTAGGTAAAAAAACAGTGAATACCACTTTATGTATTTCAAAATACTATCATATATATACTCTCATTTAATTCTCCAAACAACCCAGTTGATAACATTTTCTCAGGAAGGACTCCTGACCTTTTTCCTCATCCCCAAAGTACCTGCAAGAGGTGTCCTGCTCCCTCCATGGTGGTGGCTCACTAAGGCAATGATTGTCATTGACGGGACCTGAGGTGGTATGAAAAGGCCTCCCAGGGTGAAAATCTCTAGTTTCAGTGTTTTCCAAAAATTTCCTTTGCTAACAGTTTTGGTGGTCCCCTTGAGAGTTCCATGTGGACTAACCTGATGAACTCAAATTGACTGTGTAGCTTAAGAAATATATCTCATGGGCTACTTAAGCCCAGGTACATCTTTTCTTAGCTTCCAGGGTGGACCCTAGGCAGCAAACAGAATTTGAACTCCAGTGACTTTTTTTTTCTAGGTTTTAAAATTTACTCCTTCTACTGATTTTTTTGTTTGTTTCTGGTTTCCGCACAGCTAATAGGTAATTTTCCACTGGCGGCAGTAATGATTGAGAATGTAGTTTTGGTTTTATGGTCTGATCATTTGGTGATCAGCGAATCCAATTAATTAGTTTTTTTGTATTCTTGTCTGACTATTTGAGAGTTCAAATCAATTAAGAGCATATTTTATATCTATTATAAAGAAAGCCAGCTCTTTTGAGATCTTGACTGGTAAATTTTTGTGACTTTGTTTAGTTTTGACTTGTGGCTGAAACTGCAGGTTGGAAGTTATAAGCTCTTTATGTGTCCATGTATCTGGAATTTGAAAAGCATTTGCCTCTTGTGAGTGTGAAGTATTTTCCTACTTCTGGAATTATTATTATCACCCAGAAACTAAAGATGCTCTGTTCTGATTGCTTTATAGAGATAAATAGGCAATGACATAAATCTAATATTCTCAAAATTAACAGAAAATAAAAAAGAGAACATCTATACTTTAAAAGTGCCGGATTTAAAAAGTATTTCTCAAGAAACTTCTAACTCAGAAACATTTTTTATAAAAGAATCCAAGTTCACAGAATTAAGGTGAATGTTTGGATAAACTAGACTGATTTAATAACTTTGGTCTAAAAATAGTTTTATGTCTTTTCCTTTAGTTTATCATTACAGAGTTCATTTTTAAAAGTAAGATTTGGGTTTGTTTTCTCAAAAGACTAGTTAGTCCAGACTTCCTTAACTTCTTATGCTGGTGTAGAATTATGAAAGGGATAAAATCTGTGCTCAAACAGAATCATAATTCTGACAACATTTTTCTTAACAAAAATAATTGTAGTTTGTCACCTATCAGTGGTTTCCAAGTTACTTAAAATGTATTCATACTAAATTTCTGTAGAAAGTTAATTTTTTCCCCATAATGGAGAGAATGCCTAAGGAAGACCTACAAACTAGAGCTGTCATTTAGGTGAAGGGAAAAAATATTTTCGAAGACAGGAGATGCAGTTTCATATACTCTGCTTTACCAATGTGTTTCTTGGACACATCAGCCCCATACAATAGAGTGGTCTGAGGTATATCTTAATAAGGGGAAAAATTATTGATTAAGAGATTTAATTTAGCATTCTACAATACTCCTCAGTCACTTATAGTGCTCCTATCTAGACCAGAATGGAGAAGGCAAGAATAAAGGAAAAGAGGTTTGTTAAGAGCTTTGGCAATACTCTAGGCGAGAGAGAATGGGAATCTAAATTAAAGAAAGTGCCACAGTATACAGAAAAGGAGATAGAGATATTTAGTTGGTAGAATCTGTGGATGTCTGACTGGATGTAAGAGGTTGGAAAGACAGAGAAAATATCTAGGAAAAAGCTTCCCAATTTCTAGATTGGGCAGCTGAGTGAATAATCACGGCATTTAACCACAGCAGGTACATGAGGGAGATGAGGAGTTCATTTATTGAAATGCTGCTTATGGTACTGTGAGATGTTCAGGTAGAAATATCTAGTAGGCACTTGGAAATATGGGTCAGGAACCCATGAGAAATGTTTGCAAAGAAGAGAGAAGCTGGAAATCACTAGCTTGTAACTGAATGACACAGCTCAGCTGAAATATAAAGAAAAATCCTGTAGAAGAGGAACATTAAGGAAAAACAATCTGAACAGGAGACTGAGCAGAACAGTTAGGATGACAGGAGGCAAACCAGGAGAGGGTATTGTAAAAGGAACTTGAAAGAAAATTTCAAGGAGAGATTAGCAATAGCGTGAAATGCTTCAAGAGACATGATAGGTAAAAAATGGGATGCTCTATCTGCATAATATGTGACCTCCCCAAAACAGTTCAGTAAAGTGATGGATGTGGAACTGAAATCAACCAGGCTAAAGACTGAATGGGAGGTGATAAAGTAGAGGCAACAGGTACCACAGTGCACTGCAGGACAGCAGAGGTTGTGCTTTCAGGAATCTGACTGTGCAGGGAGAGAGATGGGAAAGAACTTCAGAGTGGGCGGAGGCTGGCAGGAGGCTTTTTTTTTTTAAGGTCAGTGAGACTTAAATATATTTATGTCCTAGGAGAAAGAGAAAAGTAACAGAAAGAGGTTTTCAAAACATTTGGAAACTGGTTTTAAAACATGCTGCCCAAGAAGAAAGAATGAGGGAGGGGGGGAGAGCAAGTGCCAGTGTGCCTCATTTGTGAGAAAGGAGGCAGTGGGTATTAAGAATGCACTCCAGGGCTAGGTGTGGTGGCTCACACCTGTAATCCCAGTGCTTAGGGAGGTAAGGCAGGAGGATCACCTGAGCCCAGGAGAACAAAAGTGAGAGACCAGCGTGGGGAACAAAGTGAGATCCCATGTTTAAAAATAATAGCTGGGCCGGGCGTGGTGGCTCACGCCTGTAATCCCAGTACTTTGGGAGGCCAAGACAGGTGGATCACCTGAGGTCAGGAGTTCAAGACCAGCCTGGCCAACATGGTGAAACGCTGTCTCTACTAAAAATACAAAAATTAGCTGGGCGTGGTGGTGGGCATCTGTAATCCCAACTACTCTGGAGGCTGAGGGAGGAGAATCACTTGAACCTGGGAGGCGGAGATTGCAGTAAGCCGAGGTCATGCCATTGCACTCCAGCCTGGGCAACAGAGCGAGACTCTGTCTCAAAAAAAAAAAAAGAAGAGAAATAAAAAAATAATAGATGCGCAAGGTGTTACATGCCTGTAGTTCTAGTTACTCGGGAGGCTGAGGCAGGAAGATCCTTTGAGCCCAGGGGTTCAAGGCTGCTGTGAGCTATGATAGTGCTACTGCAACTCTAGCCTCAGTGGCAGAGTGAGAGACCCTCTCACTGAAAAAAAAAAAAAAAAAGGTATGTACTCAATTTTGGCTCCTTTATAACTGGACAACTGGTTTGGTTTAAGCTCATAATACCTAGCAACAGATAACTATCTTCCTAATCCAATTTTGCAAATGAGACAACTCAATAAAAAAAATTCATATTTTGCTACTTTGAAATCTTTAATTTCTACTTCACTCGTCTCTAATCTTTGTTAATCAAATTACAACTGATTTGATTTTTATTTAATTTACTTATGTTAAAATTTTAAGGTACCAAAGGCAAGCTAACTCAATGAAGATACTCACAATTCGAACAAGCCAGGATAAAGTAGATGTTGCTGTTGAATAATGGGTATTATAATGGTAGGGTGGGCTTTGATCATCTTCCCATGTCTCATAACGCTCTGCATAAAACACAGCTCTCTTGGGGTTCAAAGCACCAATTGGCTATTAAAAGAAAAAAAATATTTTGTTTAATACAGTCATATTAGATATCCTAGATAATAAATCTTTATACTTTCAGTATTTCACTGTTAATTCATTTTAGCCATACAGCATAAATACATTATTTTGTATTACATTTTTAACCATACTGGATTTTGATATTAATTACAAATCATTACACTTGTTATAAACTGCCCAAGAGGATAATTCATAGTACAAAGTATCTAGACTTTACCAAGTTTTTGTTAACTAGATTATCAGAGGTGATCTAGTTTAAACTGTTAAGGCCACACCAACAGTTTCGTTATTTTCCTTCTACTTAATAAGCTACATAATGAAAATTTAGCTTGGAATACAGGAAACCCAATGGAGGGAAGGTGAAGAGATTGACCATTTGACAACCATATTAGTGAAAACCTTGTCTTAACAGCCAGTTACCCAGAGTGTGAAAGACAACCCTCCATATGGAAGCCTGATAGAATGTTAGTCTCATTCTGTTAGTATATAGATGGAACAACTATCCTTTTTACTGTTAAACTACACACCTAAGGGTGATGGAATAATCCAGGAAATTCGGATTCCTTGGAAAGCATTTTGCTGAGGCCACTAAGACCTCTCCTATCAGTACCACCACCCTATTTACTGATTATGATGCTAATCCCTATACTGATTTCTTCAAAAAGCATGTGCTTAATTGCATCACAGTCTCAAAATTTTAGCACATCTAATCATTAGGAATTTCCAGCATACCATCTTCATGATTTCAAATAGCAAACTGCCTTAGCTTCAGTTTTTGTCTGATTTTGGATTAATGGTATACAGAGTCCGTGCTTATGGTATCAAATAAGCACATTATTTTGATTTAAGTTGCATACTATAAATTAAGTATGTTTACAGAGAAAACAAGAGTACTAAGTACAATGTCTACTTTATTTCAAAATTTAATATTTATAATTAACTATGAAGATCCCTCGAAGGCTTAATTTTAACAAGAGAAGTAGTAGAAAATTAGTGTTTCAAAGGGACACATAATGTTACACAAGAGAGGAAGATTCATTTATAAATTGTTATGAGCCTTTTCTTTTGGCCTCAGGAGACTAATTCAAATAACACAATGAGGTCATCAGCAGTAAAAAGTCTGTTAGAATTTCCATAATAAACTCTTATTTGCAAGGGTGCTTATCCTGAATATTTAAATTACTTGTAAATTATGTTCATTTTTTGTTAACTTTAATTATGATTAACAAAGACTCAACAATTTATATAAAAGCTGTATTTTTCACGCACAAAAGTGTTAATATTTTAAGGTTCCTAAACTTTTTTGTCCTCATTTTGTAAAACAAAGTATGACAGTATAAAAATTTAGATTTTTTAAAAAGTTCTAAGGTTTAAATTTTATTGTGTTAAATTTCATTATCTCTCAAATCTCTTTAGATAGATGTAAAAAAGGGAATGTAATTTTGTTAAACATTACATAAAATCTTAATATTTAAAACAACATAATTACATTATTGGTAAAAGTAATTGCTATAAAGTGAAATGAATGTAAGGTCTGTTACGGAATTGAAGTAATGAGTTTTTTATTTTTTTATTTTATTTATTTGTTTATTTTTTTGAGATGGAGTCTCGCACTGTTGCCTAGGCTGGAGTGCAGTGGCGCGATCTGGGCTCGCTGCAAGCTCCGCCTCCTGGGTTCACGCCATTCTCCTGCCTCAGCCTCCCGAGTAGCTGCGACTACAGGCGCCCGCCACCATGCCCAGCTAATTTTTTGTATTTTTAGTAGAGATGGGGTTTCACTGTGTTATCCAGGATGGTCTCAATCTCCTGACCTCATGATTCGCCCGCCTGGGCCTCCCAAAGTGCTGGGATAATAGGCGTGAGCCACCATGCCTGGCCGAAAGTAATGAGTTTTTCATTTAAAATTACCCACATATTTTATACTTTACTAGATGTTCAGATATGTTTTTCTAACTCAGTATATTTTTCTTTTTTTTTCTTTTCTTTTTTTTTTTTTTTAATTATACTTTAAGTTTTAGGGTACATGTGCACATTGTGCAGGTTAGTTACATATGTATACATGTGCCATGCTGGTGCGCTGCACCCACTAACTCATCATCTAGCATTAGGTATATCTCCCGATGCTATCCCTCCCCCCTCCCCCCACCCCACAACAGTCCCCAGAGTGTGATGTTCCCCTTCCTGTGTCCATGTGTTCTCATTGTTCAATTCCCACCTATGAGTGAGAATATGTGGTGTTTGGTTTTTTCTCCTTGCGATAGTTTACTGAGAATGATGATTTCCAATTTCATCCATGTCCCTACAAAGGACATGAACTCATCATTTTTTATGGCTCCGCAACCTACTCATCTGACAAAGGGCTAATATCCAGAATCTACAATGAACTCAAACAAATTTACAAGAAAAAAACAAACAACACCATCAAAAAGTGGGCGAAGGACATGAACAGACACTTCTCAAAAGAAGACATTTATGCAGCCAAAAAACACATGAAAAAATGCTCATCATCACTGGCCATCAGAGAAATGCAAATCAAAACCGCAATGAGATACCATCTCACACCAGTTAGAATGGCAATCATTAAAAAGTCAGGAAACAACAGGTGCTGGAGAGGATGTGGAGAAATAGGAACACTTTTACACTGTTGGTGGGACTGTAAACTAGTTCAACCATTGTGGAAGTCAGTGTGGCGATTCCTCAAGGATCTAGAACTGGAAATACCATTTGACCCAGCCATCCCATTACTGAGTATATTTTTCAAAGCACTGAAAATGTTTAATACTTTGTTCTGTCGTGAATATGCTAATAGACCTCTCACGTGCATAAAATGTCTGTGCAATCCCTAAGGTTTGATCTTAACTGATACTGTTTGTCCTGTAAAATCTCACAAAACATTCTTTAAAAAGGAGCATGTCTCTTCCTCTAATCTTTTTCAATCTTCTCTTACACTTCTGGAAAAGGAAAAGTAAATACTTATATTTTTTATTTTACACAAGTTTCATCAAAGTCATGTTATTGCAGTGTTTTACAGAGTAATGCTTTGTAGGAAACAGTTGCACAGTATTAAAGTCTGTATATGCCTCCATTAGTAACTTCTTAAAATGTATTTCTAATTTTGAATTTTTACCTAATAAGGTTAGAAATTACTTTTATGAAACATAATGCAAGTGATTTGCTTTGTACTTAATATTTTTCTATCATTTTGCTTCTAACAGTCAAACAGCAATAAATAATTAGAAAGCAAAAAGCTTCCAAATGTTTGGGGAAATAAGAATTTTGTCATAGATGACATTTGCTTAAGAGATCCTAATAGATACCTATCATATCATATTTATCCATCTATCAATCAATTACCTACTTACCTACATACTGACAAGGTTGTAAGTTTGCTATACTTCAAAAATTTTAGCAAATACTGCAATGTCAATATCATCTGATTTTGGCAGATGAATATGGTAAGAATTCTGGTCAAAAGGTAAGGCTACACTTAATAAAATTTATAAATTTACTTTGCAATATTTTTCAATTTTCATTATAGTTACTACATCAATAAATAGTGTCCTTTTCTGTCAAACAGTGGGCATTTGGATACAGTGACTTCCGCACTTTTTAAGTGTTACCATATACAAAAGTTTAACTGAAAGTTTAAAGCCTGTTTTTAGATTTATTGCTGTTTTGTCTTTTTTAGCTTTTATGTTACAGGTGAACACTTTAACAAATAGGAAAAAATGGTGCAAAAAATGCAAAAATGAAAAATAAAATTTCTATCCCTATAAAACTTTATTATTATAATTCAGTTTTTAAAACTGCTAAAAAGCCTACATAGCTTGCAAAAAGGCACTGTTTCCAATATTGAAGAATCAAAGAAGTGACTAATGTAAAAAAATTCACATTCCTTATAAAATCTACGGGAAATTACATGTGTAGCATTAGGATGTTCACATGAAACACTACTGTAGTTAGTGAAGAAATAATGCTGAGAATTTTCTCTACTCTTATCACTCAGTTTCCCTGTTTTGAAGACCAAAGAGAGAAATCTGTCTCAAACTTCAGTGCCACAAAAAGCTTGGTTTTCCTAAAAATAAAAACCTTTGTGACTTTATTACATGAAACAAAAATCCTACCAGATGTTTGTGGGGATTTACGTGATCTTAAGGCTCTGATAAATACTATAGTAAATATAATTGTTTAAATGTGTTTATTCCAGTGCTTATTTTTTAAAATTTTTAATGGGAAATACATACTTCTTTTGTTTTTAAAACAACTGTTTAGATGCAATACCTTAGATTGTACCTTGAAACATTCTGGTATGTATTTGATGTGTATTTCTGCATGCTAACTTTTTCTTTAGTTTCATTTTGCTGTTTCCTCTTTCTGTCATCTTAGCCTTGATTTACCAATATTTTTCTATCTTTTAAACCTGCATATTGTACCAAGCCCTTTTCTTAGGACAGGTATAAAATATATAAATTTAGTAAGTAAAAATGACCACAAAAATTATATAAATAAAACATATTGGATAAATGGTATTATATGAGACATCAGAAGAACTTTTAGAGAACATAAAAGTCTGAGCACAGAGTTATTGATTTAAACAAATACAAATAAATAAATGTGGATTGATCTGATGAATGGTCAATGTCACCAAACTACATTATAATTTTCAAGAAAAAAAAGTTTGTCAAGGACAAATCAGAGGCCTAGTTAAAGCAATGTCAATAACACTGAATTCTAATATATCATAAAAAACTGAAAATGGTAATGATGTTCATGGTACTAGGATTCTACTGTTACATAGGTTGAGCATCCCTAATCCAAAAGTTTGACATCTGGAATGCTCCAAATTCCAAAACCTTTTGCATGCCAACATGACACCATAAGTGGAAAATTCCACACATACGTACTTAACACAAACTTCATTTCATGTACAAAATTGTTAAAAAAAAAAAAAAGTTTAAGATGACCTGTAGGCTATATGGAATATGGTGTATATGAAATGAAATAATTTTTTGTTTAGGCTTGGATCTGTTCCCAAGCTATCTCATTGTGTATATGCAAATATTCTGAAATCTGAAACAATCTGAAGTCTGAAACACTTCTGGTCCCAAGCATTATGGATAAGGAATACTCAAACCTGCACACATAAAATGTTCAAGAGTTCACTACTGCTATTACAACTGCTGATGATACTATATATTTGTATAACATATTGTCTTCACATCCATTTTCTAGACTGATTTTCATAAGTATCTGAGGTCAGCAAGGCATTCAATACGAACCTAATTTCATGAGGAGGAAACAGGTACCTGGGTCTCCACATTCCACACTACTGCACTGCTTTTTCATTGCTAAATATGAAATTCTGATCTTAATGTGACTTTATTTTTCAATAGATATGGAATCTCACTATGCTACCCAGGCTGGTCTCGAACTCCTGTCCTCAAGTGATCCTTCTGCCTTGGCCTCCCCAAAGTGCTGGTATTACAGGTATAAGCCAGTATGCCCGGCCCTTGATGTGACTTTTTTCTTTCATAATTTCCTACTTAATTCCTCATTCCTCACAGATCCACAGAAATGGAAGGAAACATTCAGGTAAACTTGACCAAATCTCTTACAAATGAGTACACTGAAGAAAAGTCAAATGAAGATCATGTTGCTAGTCAGTGGCTAGACGTTTTACAGAACCAGCTGCAGCTCTGTGCTAGATACAGCTTGAAGCTGGGTATATTTGACTCATTTGTCTGGCTTCTAACAATAGCTTTTAGTTATCTCAATACTTTTAAGACATTGAACTGCTAACATATCTAAGTTATCGTGTTATCTTTTGTAATCAAGGGCTTGAAAATCCTTAGAAGAGGCTTTGAGAGTTCTTACCTTTTTTGTTTTTTAGTCATGAACTACCTGTCATCATTCTGAAAATTCTGTTATGACAACATAGAAATCATACCTACAGACACTTCTGTGCTCAAGTAAATTCCCGGGCTCCCTTTTTATCTAAGGAACTTCAACTCATTATTTTGGAGGTTTTTCAAATTGCATCTGTAAAGCCTTACATGACACCATCTGGTAATAGGCAACTTTCTCATCTTTTTAACCCAGTAGTGTAGCCCTTCGAAGAAACTCCCTGTCTTTTATTCATCTCTTTATTCTCACACCTACAGTACCTGAACCTTTTTAAGCGAGCAATAAATGCTAAATGAATGAAGACTGATTGACCCAATTATATAATATTATATAAAATTTCCATGTGGAAATTTTAGAAAAAAATTTTATGCAAAAATCGAAAGACATAACAAAGTGAAAAATATTCATAGCACATAAGAGCTAGTTTCCTTAAAAATGTGCTCTTACAAATCAATAAGAAGCTAATGAACAATCTAATTAAATAAATGAGGAAATGATATGATGAATAGGCAATTCACAGAATAATAAATGCCAATTTCCAATATATATAAGAAAAAATAGTACCAGTTCCTACAATGTAATGGATATATATTCTTTTTTTCTGTTTAGCATTCATTATGCCTTCAACCTTTGTGAACCATTCCTTCCCCACTCTTGGTCTACCTGGTGCAGGTGAGCTGACCTCGCTACCTGACTCCCTGGGTGGGCATGGGATCTAGACCTGTCAATCATAATATTTTATCCACATTGGCACTATGACTGCAGCAGAAATGGACAGGTAATTCAACTTGATCGGATGAAACTTTGCTGCAACTATCTGGGAAAAGCTCTCTTTTTCTAGCGGGGTTACAAAGACATCATTACTGTAACACAGGGAAGCCTGTTTGAGAATGAAGCCAATGTAGAAAAGTAACAGAGGTGTGGATCCTGATAATTCTGGTGGGCACTTGGATCCAGTTTTCCTGAACTGACCCATCCCTGGATTTCTCAGTTATATGGGCTAATCAAATTTTTATTTTAAATTAAAGCCAGTATAAGTTGACTTTCTACTATATGTAATCAAAAGTCGTAAGTACACTCACAATTGTTAAAATGTCAAACAAAAACTATTTTTATTAACTAGATTGTCAAAAATTATTAAGTTTTATAATACTCAGTATTGGAAAACATGATATCTCATAATGCTATTGGCAAATAAATCAGTATAAATTTCTTGTGGGGAAAATTGGTAACATTTAAAAAATCATATAGTTTTGATCAAGTAATTCTACTTTGTATAATTTATTTTTTGAAGAATATATATGACAGTATATCAACAGTTGTCTCTGGGCAGTGAGAATGTGGAGACTTTAGTCTTCCCTGTATACTCTTTTTTTGCTGTTTAATCATGAATTTGGTTTATCTCATAGAGATAATTTTAGTCGGCTTTTAGAATTATATGACCCAGAAATATATTTCACATGTGAACATTTTAACTTTGATAAATTTAAATTAACTATAGTAACTTTATATTTTGGCTAGTGTTATTGACCAAATATTTCCAAATATAAATTTCTATTATTGGCCAGGGCAGTGGCTCATGCCTGTAATCCCAGCACTTTGGGAGACCAAGGTGGGTAGATCTCTTTGAGGCCAGGAGGTCAAGATCAGTCTGGCCAACATGATGAAACCCCATCTCTACTAAAAATACAAAAATTATCCAAGCATGGAGGTGGGCACATGTAATCTCAGCTACTTGGGAGGCTGAGGCAGGAGAATTGCCTGAATCTCGGAGGCGGAAGTTGTAGTGAGCCAAGATTGCACCACCGCACTCCAGCCTGGGTGACAAAGTGAGACAACGTCTCAAAAAAAAAAAACCAAACCAAAACAAAACAAAAAACTTCTATTATCAATCTTCATTGATATTTGAATCAGCGTACATCAAAACCTTACTAGTTACAGCGAGTTAAATGACAACACGAGGAACAAAAAGACAAATTCAGAAGCCTAGCATTGGCATATAATAAATACATGCAAAATATTGGCTGTTATTGTTATGTTCTATAAGATAACTGGCATGCTCTCTTAAATGAGTCAATATCATGAAAAAAAAGGTGGGGGTGTTAGGGTGGCTGGGAGCTATTCTAACCTTTAGACAGATAAGACAGAAGAATCAGATGTACTGTGTGGTCGCTGACTGAATCCTGGCTTAAGCAAAACAATTTTTAAGACACATGGGAGATAATTAGAAAACCTTGATTATAGGCACAGTGTTAGATAATATTAGGGAACTGTCATAAGTTTTGTTAGATATAATCATGGTGATCTGATTATATGGGAAAATACTATTTTTCACACTGAAATATTTAGGGGTAAAGTATGATATATTTAATTTATTTAAAAATACTTCAGTAAACCAATAAAAGCTAAACTGTCAATAATTATAACATGTAGGTATTGGTTAATGGGTATTGTTATTAGGAATTGGTACTTTTTCTTTGCTTAAAAATTTTCATAGTAAAGTCAAAATCAATTAAAATAGAGTACAAAAACAAACAAAACCTTTCCAATCAATCCAAGTCTTTCCTATGTTTTGGGTTGTTCTAAATAAGAATGCTTTAAATGACTTGAAAATTTGTTTCTCTAAAATATGTTAAAATTACGTTCTTGTAAGTGTGGATTAAACATTCCCTTTGCAATTTTATACTGTTAATTGGCTTAATATGGCCTTTTGTCATCAGATGAACTTCAGCAAATCAGTACACAATTTTCAAATACATTATTAAGGAACAGAACCTGAAGTCATGAAACGATAATAAAGAGAAGTGTTAAGATTACATTTTTCTATTAATTAAATGTGTTTCTTTTTATAGTTTTTCATAGGGTGGAATTGAGTATATTATGAAGAAAGATCATCTTTGATCTAAAGTTGCAATTTGATTAGCAAAATCTATTAGCACTTGGCCGCATGGTGGCTCACGCCGATAATCCCCACACTTTGAGAGGCCGAGGCGGGTGGATCAGGAGTTTGAGAGCAGCCTGGCCCACATGGTGAAACCCCATCTTTACTAAAAATACAAAAATTAGCCAGGCGTGGTGGTGCACGCCTTTAATCCCAGCTACTGGGGAGGCTGAGGCAGGAGAATTGCTTGAGCCCTGGAGGCGGAGGTTGCAGGGAGCCAAGATTGCACCATTGCACTTCAGCCTGGGCAACAAGAGCGAAACTCAAAAAAAAAAAAAAATCTATTGGCACTTTATTTTTTTAATTTAATTTTTTGTAGAGACAGGGTTTGGCTATGTTGCTCAGGTTGGTCTCAAACTCCTGGCCTCAAGCAATCCTCCTGACTCTGCCTTCCAAAGTGCTAGGATTACAGACGTGAGCCACCACATCCAGCTTTAGGCACTTTCACAGGAATGCTAGTCCCACATAGGACTGAAAACTTTGGAGGTGTGGAATGGCTCACTGACCGCATTTCTTTTGACTCCTCTCCTCATATCTGACATGACTGAGCATTGTGCAGGATATTTTAAAAGAACTCATTCTTACTGGATAATAGGGAGAGTTTTTCTTTTTTCTTTTTCTTTCCTTGTTTTTTTTCTTTTGTTTTTCTTTTTTTTTGATAGTGTATAAAAACTGCCAGGGCACTTAGAAAAGGTAGAGGGCATCTAGAAGAGAAATTAATCACTAGCTTTTTTTTTTTTTTTAAAGAATATCCTACCTATGTATTATGGAGAAATAATAGGTAACGAATGGAAGAAAATGCAATCTATATAACCAGTGCAACTCATCATAGCGTTGTGAGGGTAAAGCAAGAAAATCCATGTAAGATGCTTAGCACAATGCCTGGCATATAATAAACACATGCAAAATATTGGCTATTATTATTATCATTATCCCAAGATAGTTCCTAAGAAAGTTAGTTTTATATATCTTAGTGAAAAGTAAATACTTTCACCTACAAACAGTAGAGCATCTTAAATCTTCATGTGTTAGTTCTAGAAGTTTTCCAGGTATTAAGTAGAAGGATAATGATGGGGCTACAAATTAGTTTCAAGATCACTTCTAACTGCTTAATATTTTGTTTCAGCTGGAAAGAAAGGTTAAAGGAGACTGAATTTGGCCTAGTTTTGCATGATAATGCTGTGGTTTAGACACAGAGGTGACATGTGGCTGGTGAAATTAAAGTGCATAAAGCAGGCTCTCTTTTCCTTTCCATAGGTAGGATTCTTCTAAGAGCATACACTAAACAGTGTTCCTGCTGTTTTCAGTTTCTTCTTTAACAGCCTAAAATTTTCAAAGCAAAACAGGCTCTATAGGATTTTTTTCCCTCTCTTTTTCTGAAAGGGTGATTCAGCTGGCTAAGTGGGAAGGAACAAGAAAAGAGGATAAAGAGACATTTAGTATAAGCAAACAGAGCCTAGGACTGCTTTGGAAGTTCTGTATAAATCTATAAAGCTCCCTGTCACCCTATTATGTCTCCAACAAGCAACACTGGAGATATAAACAAACAAACACAAAAACACTTCACTGTTTCTGGTTACCAGTGTCTGTGAAGTCTACCTTTTTAGTTGCACTTTTCTTGGTTCTTCCATTTTTTCAATTAGAAGGAGAACAGCTTAATATGTCACTGGGTAAACAATGACTGTAACTTCTTAAAGGTATGAACTAAGTCTTATTGCCTTTGTATCTCCAGTGTCTGGCACAGAGTAGGTTGGCAATAAATGCTTGTGTAATGAAAGAATGAGTGAATGAATAAAAGTATTAATTTAAATAAATGAATATCTCATGAGTTTAAAACAGTATCCAAACACTGCCAGTCAATACCTTGTCCCTCAGCACTGCCATATTAGCAAGTCTAATGAAAACAATTTTCAACATAGTGTGGATTATATGTTAAGGCAGCATTCAACATACATTGAAACAAGTTATTTCAAATTTGGCAGCAGGGTTATTTGGCAGATGGTATATAATTATATTTACACATTTACACTTTTATCTTTTAGTTTTGTATCATCCTACCACTAACACACCTAGTAGTTTTGCCCATACTTCATATTTTGTTGTTTAAAATTAAGCATTAGGTAGATTATGATCAAGTAAATGGAATTAATTTCATTTTAGATGTTGTTAACTTACAGTGAAAAAGAAAGATAAAATAACCACAGAAACTTGCTCTAGTTGAGATTGTAGTGAGCCAAGATCATGCCACTGCACTCCAGCCTGGGTGACAGAGGGAGACTCCATCTCAAAAACAACAACAACAACAACAACAACAACAACAACAAACCCAACTTGCTCTAGATTGCTGAGTCATGCATTCCCCACCTTACCAATATAAACTCTTTTCTGTGTGGTAGATAGACATTTGGAAGTATTGAGGGTGGATGGTTGAAGAGTATTCACACTTCAGTGCATCCATTTGCATTATCACATTTCAAAGCCTCAAGGCATTATCACTTCCTTTTATTAAGTGGCATAATAATTTGGGAAAATGGTTATGCTTATCATCATCTGTCAGTCAAACAACTCCTGTGTTAACAAAATATATTTTTTCCACTCGATGAATGGGTGTGTGTATGTGATGTCTTATGTTCATGTCAATATTAGTAGGACTTGGTTTTGTGATGAAACTATTTCACTTATCAGAGGGCATGACTGGGAAATAGGAAAATTCTATTTACACTTTAATGAGCAGAGACTGTGCTTCACATCAAAGTCATGTAACCACTGTAATTTAAGAGTCGAGTTCATATGAGTATATGTAAATAACTGAAGCCCTAGCATATATCATGTTGTAAGATAGATTTCACCATAAGGTTACATCTCCATAAGGAATACCTATATAAATGGGGTGGGGAGGAAATCTCTAAACCTACTGTTGGTTGGTGTTGAAAAGATAGGTCAAAGGCAGATTGTTTCATCTGTTGACCCTCATGTCAAACAATAAACATAGCCCCTAACCTGTACACATAATAAATAAAACTTGAACCTGTGATGTCTAATCAAATGAGAGGTCTAAAAAATCTTACTGATAAAGAACTTTTTTTTTGCTCCTGTGCTCTTCGAATGTTCAATTAAGTGGGCCAAAGAACAAGTAAGAATATTATAAATATAAAATATTTCAGTCTAAATAAATGTGCACCTAAAGTTCTAATAAACATTTAATATAACCTTAGTGTTTTGATGTTACAGTTTTGATAATTTGATAACTCAAATAGATGATAAAACAGAATTATTTATTGAATTAAAATATTTTATTAAATGGCATTAATTTTTAATCTTACTAGAATAAAAAATAAATCAGAGGAATCAAATAACCTTCAGTAGGTTTTTGTCAATCATACCAAAGATAGTGAACTCTCAAATGACAATTATGGAAATTTGCTTTGTCACTGCCACTCACTGAATGCCACTTCTGTGTCAGGCATTATACTAGGTGCCTTAACTACTTTACGGTGTTAAAATCTTTCAACAACCCTATTATGTAAGTATGATTGTGTTCATTTTAAAGATGAGAAAACAAGTTCAGAGAATTTAGAAAACATCTTAAATTTGCACAATATGTGACACAGAAACAAATATTTGAGCGAAGCCTACATTCTTTTCATGTTCCAGTTACAACCTCTTGACTTTTTCTCCCAATTCCCACTATTGTTCAAGCCACTTTCAGCTGTGTTTTCTGAAACTTTCATTCAGAAGTTTCCCAACTGATACAACACAGAATTTCATGAAGCCTGTGTAATGTGGTGGTATAAAGAAAGAAAATAAATATTTATTTTTTTGGCATTGTACATTTCATAGTTTCTTAATTCTTTCATATAGTAAGGAATATAAAAAGTATTTGGGGTACCACATGTTTATTGAAACAAATTCTAGAATTATTCACTGCTAAGAATTATTACTGGGATCAGGAGTCCCAGTGTTTGTTTAGAAACAACTACTTTTGTTGTTAGAGATCTTTTAGAATGTTCTTGGTCATATCATTCAAGTATTTCAATTTTTCCTTGAGCTTCTGAAGAGTAAGAAACTCTCCATTAAAATTTTCATTTGCGGTATTGATTATAACTACAAGAACTTCATGTGCTTCTTAGTGGACATCTCTTCATTGTGATAATATTGCACTATAGTAGTTTTTCCTTCCAATTATATTATTATACTTCAAATGTCATTTTCCCATTAGGCATATAAAAAGATATATTTTCATACATTAAAATCTTGTTTATTGATGGATTTTATACAGGATAGTCTCAGGTTTCTAGCTCATTTGTAAGAAGCTCCTATTAAGAAATTCAATGAAGCATGGGAACAATGCACGAGTAATTTATTAACATATCAAGAGGCTTTAATTTGCTAACATTTTCCTATCATGCTAGGGTGACAGAATAGAAAGAACAAATTGCTAAAGCATAGAATATAGTAAAATTGGAAGAAAAGCTACCTATCTTTTAAGAGCTCATGGATTCAACTGTTCACAGCATGAAGAACTACATGCTTGCAAAACTACAGTTTGTAGTCACATTGCCTAATTTATTTAGGCTCCGTCTGTTTACCTGTATTATTTACTTAACACTATATAAAATTAGAGGAGCACATGTGAGGCACAAAAGGAAAAGCTCTGCCAAAGGAAATACACATTACACAGATTAGCATAAAAACCCTGAAATGGGCTGGGCGTGGTGGCTCACGCCTGTAATCCCAGCACTTTGGGAGGCTGAGGTGGGTAGATCACAAGGTCAGGAGTTCAAGACGAGCCTGGCCAACATAGTGAAACCCTGTCTCTACTAAAAATACAAAAAAATTAGCCAGGTTTGGTGGTGGGAGCTTGTAATCCCAGCTACTTGGGAGGCTGAGGCAGGAGAATCGCTTGAACCTGGGAGGAGGAGGCTTCAGTGAGCCGAGATTGCACCACTGCACTCCAGCCTGGGCGACAGAGCGAGACTCCGTCTCAAAAGCAAGCAAGCAAACAAACAAACAAACAAACAAACAAAACCTTGAAATGTTTATATCTTCAGTTACTGTAGAAACAGTGACTTCCTCATTTATTTTAACTCATTTTTTCCTACATGGATAAATGAAAAAAATCTATGATTACCAGCAAATATGTTACCAGATGCCTTCTATAACCCATACTAATCATAATGAGTGCCACATTTTCTTTGGCTGGGCCAGTGTTTCAAGAACATTTGAGTCCAAATGTCTTAGTGAGTCTGAGCCTGTACTCCCCAGTGAGGCACAGTCCCTACTATACCTATCTTGTAAATGCTGGCCTCTCATATTACTGTTAACTATCTGAGTTTTCATTTTGCTCTGGGCTGAACTCCCTTCAAGTGGCTGGGAGTATGTCTGCTTTATTCACTCCTGTACACTCTTTCACTTGTAGAGTGTTTGACATATAGCACATGTGTGATAAATATTTGTTGACTGAACAACTGAAAGAATAAATAAATGGAGAGAAAAAAAGGAGCTTCAGTCTATAAGTTTCCTTTAAACACAACATCCCAGTTGATTTTAAATAAAAAGAACTTCCTTCCTTGTTTTAAAAATAATACAATAGCCATAATAGTAGTCATCGTACGAGGTTGTAATATGCTACCTGAGAATCTATACTCTGAATTTTTATCGTATATATATTTTATAATGTCTAAGTAATGGCTATTCAATTTATGTTAAATAAAATACATGCAGACAAGATTTTGTCAAAGAACTAGTTTGACAGTTTTCATCCTCACATCAATAAGTTAGTTTGGTTTTTGTTTTACACCCCAAAATTACACTTCAACCTTGGCAAGTCATGCATGCCATTCAAATATTCTCATCCAATATGTATGTAGTAGCATATATTCATCATCATTATTTGAAACACAATTCAAAGCATATGGCCTATATCAATGATTCACCACTCTATTATTGTCATATACATAGCATTAGCTAATACTGATGTCCCTGCACTATTCTAAGTCCTTTATGCTTATTAACCCATCCACCACTCCACACAACAACCCTATTATTATTGATGTCTCATTATATAGGTGAGGAAATTAAGACAAAGAGAAACTAATACTCTTGTCTAAAGCTCCACAGCTGGTAAATGGCAGAATTAGGATTTGAATGTAGGCAGTCTAGCTGCAGAGTTCTTGTTCCTAATCTTGTCCCTAATCCAAAATTCTGAAATCTCAAATGCCCCAAATCCAAGTTTTTAAGCACTGATGTGATGCTTAATGGAAACACTGCAGCACTTTGGATTTTGGGTTTTCAGATTAGGGATGCTCAACTGGTAAGTATATAATGTATATATTGATATTTCAAAATCCAGAAAGATCCAAAATCCAAAACACTCTGGTCCCAAGCATTTCAGATACAGGATACTCAACCTGCATGTATTATCTCTTGTGTGGGTCTCTCTAAAATATTGTACTTTATTTTTAATTTTTTGGGGGACTGATCTTATTATTTAGATAATCTATAACTAGATTTGTTCCTGAAGGGCAGGCTGCATGAATTACAATGCTTCTATCTACCTTATCTTAAATAATTTAGTTACCTGAATATGGTAAATAGTTAAGAATTTTTGGTTGACTCACCTTGGAAGAATTACTATATTTGCAAGCGTATTAGAATTCATTTGCTAGCAATTTATTTCTACCAGTTGTGTGACTCTCAGTAAGATGTTGGCTAACTGATCTTTTAGGTCCCTTTAACATCTATAATACCACAGCTAAAATTATCCATGAGCTATCAACTAAAATTTAATAGGGAGTTATATAAAATAAAAGAATTGGATACTGAATGACGCATAAGAACATGAAAAAACTAGCAAACAGTCTTCAAAAGAGGCTAAGAAATATTCCATGTGTAACAATAATACTTAATACTCAGGAAGTGCTTCTATGTGCCAAGTACTATGTTATAATTTTTAAATGTACATGTCATTAGATCTGTACAACTATTTGACATGGGACAGTATTATTATTCTCATATTACAAATGGGACAAGAGAAACTAGCTTTAGGTCACAGAGCTAGTAACTAGTGCAATATAGAACTTCAACTTAGGTACGTCTAGGTTTCAAAGGCCAGAAAAGGGGCAGAAGCAGGCATGCTGAGTTAAAAACCATCTGTGGGATTAATTTTAAATCAGCTGTAATGTTGTTTCCCTAAATCACAGGGCTTATGCTGCTCTTGTCAATTAGCCCCTTAAACCTGCCCCCTAAAACCAAATGTATACACAAATACCTTTCAACTTTCTGTGGATTGCTAAATCAGACAATCAAGTCTGATAGAAAACAGAGATACATTCCAAGTCAATGGGCTGAGGCTTTACTATGGCTAACATACATAAACTTTAAGGCAGGCCTCTGGCGTAAGCTTAGACTATAGAGCAGCTTTTTGGGCTTAGTTCCCAGTTCTTCACTGAATTTCAAACAGTTTAGTATCACACTGTAGTTTCCTCTGGACAAATGAGGTGAGCTAATAAAAATTTTGCCTTTTATTTCTCATTACCGTTATGCACCATTTTCTTGCCATCTTTTGGGCCATATCTTCTCTCTCATATATAGACAGACACTTGGTAAAATTAACTGACTTTCTTTTCAGTATTATATTTCCCTACAATGTGTGTATTTTATGGTCAATATAAATGTCTTACCATCTAAGGAACATATCACATAAATGATTTGCCATCATATTTTCTACTAATTTTAGGTTTTTAACCTTGACTTTAAAGCCTAGGATATATGAGAAAACTCTCTCTACATCTGCTGTTTCTCAAATACCCATTTCATTTTGCCTATGCTAGTACTAGTTTATCTTCTTGTAGCTTAATTCCTGTGCTAAGAATTGGTAAGATTTAGAAACTGACTATGTAAGTCAAGATAATCAGTTTCACCTTCTTACAAACATTAACTGGCTATATATACTCTGACAGAAATACTATTAGACTATAGCCTTATGAAGAAAGCTGACTTCTATATATTTAAAAGTTACCTTTGATAGATCCCTGAAGTTTCCTGGAAGAGTCAGGTCCAACTCTTCTGATTCATAGTTGGTTAACACCCACGGAAACACTGGATATTGGTTCAGATCATTATATGTCCGTCCTAGTAAAGAAAAACAGAAATAAAAATTTGTACACACAAAATGCTTATGAAATAGTTTCTGTTTTTACAAAGCATCTACTGAATTTCAGAAGAAAATAACTTTTTATTTATTGAACCGTATCTTTAACTCTGATAACAATGCATTTCAAGGGAATTCACTCAATAATTGTTTTAAGACGTAACTAGAATTACTATTTATAAGACTGTGATAGAGGCTACTGGCTGGTTATTGTAATTGATTCTCCTCTTCCTGTGTTACACCACATTTCTCAGCCTCCCTTACAAGTAGCTCTGGCCACAGGATTTAGTTCTCATCTACAGAATGTGAGCAAAGTCTCTTCAAGACTTGGCCCACTGAAACTTCCTGCATGTGTGTCTCATCTCTCTTCTGCTGATGTAGATAATATTGCAACCCCGGAAGCAGAGCCTTGCCAGTCAGAGGCCCTGAAAGTAATTATGGAGGAAGTCACCCCACTGACCTGCACATCTGCAGCTTATGTGGTGGTATTCTATTTTATCTTTTATTTATTTATTTATTTATTTTGAGATGGTGTCTCCCTCTGTCGCCCAGGCTGGAGTGCAATGGCGCGATCTTGGCTCACCGCAACCTCTGCCTCCCGGGTTCAAGCGATTCTCCTGCCTCAGCCTCCTGAGTAGCTGGGATTACAGGCACGCGCCACCGCACCTGGCTAATTTTTGTATTTTTGGTAGAGATGGGGTTTCACCATGTTGGCCAGGCTGGTCTCCAACTCCTGACCTTGTGATCCATCTGCCTCGGCCTCCAAAAGTGCTGGGATTAGAGGCCTGAGCCACTGCACCTGGCTGTGATGGTATTCTATTATAATGAATATATATCTAGAAATTATATTATGAGTACACAGAATACTATGTTAAACTTATATCAAGAATGAATGCAGAGAATTTGCGAGTGGACAGAAGTACTCTGAAGCTAGGATGAGAAACTACAGAGGCAGATGTCAATCATACATTTTTTCACTCCTTAAGTTCATGAAATATTTTTTTGTCTTATGTTGTTTCACTTTAGCGAAGAACTGCTCGATCTTAGGGTGAATATGTCTGCTTATGTTTTGGTAGAATGACTTAAATATTTCAGGTATGATATTGAGGCACAGTGGGAATGGGGAAAGTTTAGGGGAGCAAGCTGCGGCCCCCCCTCATAAACTGAAACTGAAAAAACATGATCAGGTGAAATTAAGAGAATAGCTATTAAAGAAACAGGATCCTAAGAAAACTTTTGTTGAACAAAATTATTTTTTATAAAAATGCGTTATGATCCAATTATCAGTAATTTTCTAAATTTCCATTAAAATTCACACAAAACAGCTATTTCACTGGTATTTAGTGATATGAGTTTCATCCAGTATGCCATGGTTGCACACACCACATGTACTATCACAGTAGCATAGATATGCAGATATTATCTTGTTCATCATCAGGAAATTACATTAAATGATATCTGCTCTTACAGCATTTGGAAAACATAACTGTGAAATAGAAAAAAAAAGAACTACAATCTGAGTAAGAACCAAAATCTGTAATTGCAAGCACCAAACCAAATTAATTAATATATTTAGAAAACACTTTATTGATGACTATTTTATCTGTTTATTATATGAAGCTTTGCATTTTACAACTAAACTGCATATTGCTTTAAATGTATAAACTGGTGTGGGTATGTAATATAGGTGTGGGTATGTAATATAGGTGTGGGTAATGGCAGCAGAATGTTGCTTCCACTTTGCATTTACTGGGATGAGGTTACAGCTAGGTTAGGGCTTCCCCTGTGTTGCCTCACCACAGTTCTCATACAGACCTCTATTACACCTGATATACATTGCTGTTTACTTCTCTGCCTCTCCACCAGTCTGTAAACTCATAAATGTCAGGGCTGGGTTGTTTGTTTGTTTGTTTTAATCTCTGTGTGTTGGCATATGCCATCTGCCCAATAAATGTTTGTTGATGGAATGGATATGCATGTGATAAAAATGGAATAAAATGACCCAAATTTCAGAAGATGAACAAATATAAGTCAAGTAAAGGAAAACTGCAGAACATTATCTTTAGAAGACGAGGATTATGCAAAGGCGTAGAGGTATATATGAGAGAGAATGATATTGTGAATGTCTACATTAAACGAGAAGAAAACATCTACAGCTAGGTAGCTCAAGCAATCAATGAACCTGCTTGTGTTTAAGTCTATGGTGAATAATACTAATGATGAGATTAAACAAGAGTTCGGAGCCATATTAAAGTCTTTTGACATGACAATAATCTGCTAAAACAGTACCAATATTGTAAAATAAAAGCTGTACAATTCTAAACTTGAAAATTTATTACTAATAGTTCATATGTATGCTAACCTAGGACACCTGATAGGGCTCAGTACTTTTTTTATATGTATATATACAAAGAGTACAGATTGGCTAGACAGAGCTATTTCTGGGATCCTAAATGGGTCCATGGCAGAGTTTAGAGCTCTTCCATTTTCTTGGGGGAGCTGTTCTACTTAAAAATCTGTAGATTTTAATGAAAAGCAAGTATTCCAGTGTATATTTTTTTAATAGAATAATGCTGATGCTACCTATCTAGATATAACATATATTACTTAAATAAATTAATTGATAGATGAAAATCAGATAACCACAATTGTTAAAATAATTTCTGATGAAGTTTTATAATTTATATATTAAGGAAAACTGTTAAAAAGCCAATTTACATAAACACAGTATTTAAATGTACTGTGTCAATGCAAACAGCATAAAAATGTAGACTATATTTGAAGACACCAGCCTTTTTAATAGAAATGATTTTCTAAGAAAGAAAAGGATACTGCTTGAGGGTAGAGGGAAGGAGGAAGGTAAGGATCCAAAAACTACCTATTGGGTACTATGCTTATCACCTGGGTGACAAAGTAATCTGTACACCAAACACCCATGACATGTAATTTATCTCTATAAAAAATCTGCACATGTACTCCTTGAACCTAAAATAAAAGTTAAAAAAAAAATAATGCTATTTTAGGAAAAAAATACAAAGAAGAAAAGCATTATTTAAAAATACACACACACGTATACACAAAATGAATGATGCCAATAGCCATATTTCATGTCTATTATTCTGTCCTGCATTTTTTTTTGTAATTCACTTTCAATAATCTTTGAGAGGTCCTTTGAAAATAAGTGCTAAAAAGAAAATTTTAGTAATTTTTAAATTAGCAGAGATTTATAGCATTATTTTAATTCTAATAAATATAATAAACTTTATAAATAAATATGACATTAATGCTTGTTTTTAATAAAAATTTCTGCATAAGAGCCTTGTAAAATGGACAGTCATATATGTATTTGATTTGAATTAAAAATGCACAATGTATTTAATGTTACATGGAAAAAAAGAGTGATGAAGTGGCACTTTGGGGTTTTGCATTGATATGTTTTAATCATGAATTAGTATTACTCCTTTAATTATTTTACTGAACACCTTTGTGAAATGAAAAAAAATACTGTTCATTAAATCATCCAAAAAATGAGTTATTTCCAAAGTAATACTCATGAGGCTCTGGCATACCTAGATGTTTAATTACTAATTGTTTTGTTTTTTCTTTAGGATAGTTGATATTTAGTAAATACACTGGTGCTATAATTGGTAGGGTCCTTTCCTTTTCCAGCAGTGGTAAGTAAATATATATATTTGTGTGTGTGGAGATTATCTATCTATCTATCTATCTATCTATCTATCTATCTATCTATCTCCACACACACACACACATACACTTTATTTTGCTAACTATGCTTATAAGAATTTATCTTGGAAGATGAATATTAAATACCGCAAGCCTATGACACTAATCTACTCAAATAATAAAAGTGAAACAGTAAATGAGATCTCAGAAACACTGGATATGTTTCTTCATTAAAAAAACTTTTTAATTAAACCATCCAATTTAATGTTTTTATATGGCACTTTGGTTTTGAAGGTAAAGTGATCTAGAGACAGCTGACAAAGAAATTATAACTGCAATTCCTTGGTGAAAATGTTAATGACAGCAAAATATTGTTTAATTAGATGATGGCAGCATCTGGATTAACACTCTTTAAGAGCGATGTTCCTGTGCTTGTCTGCTTCTTCACACTTTACAGACATTTTGTCATCTCTAGGTCATTAGGAAAGAATTTTTAATGATTTTTCTAGAAGCAAGCAGTTCAAGTTACATCTAATTAGATGACAATAATAAGCCCAACACATGCAGTTGCTAAATATATACATAATTAACCAGGGAGGGCTTGTTCATCACAGAGTAAAAAAGTGGAAAATGCTAAACAGGAGAAAAAGGTTGGGGTTGGAGAAGTTGTGCTGAATTCATTAGCTGATCATATGAAAAACAACTCAAAATCCTTAAAAAAAATTCTCAAGTTTAACAGGGGATCATTTACACAAAGCCGTGTTAGCGGTTACTCTCCTATTTTTTAAAATGCAAGAATTACAGGCTTTAATATCTTTTGCATAATATTATCTAACAAGGTATAAAATAAGGCATAGGTTGTATTTTTCAGAAAACAAACAGAAATCAGGTCAATTTGGGAACTGAAAGTTGAAACCACATTTTTAGTAGAACTCTAAGTATCATTAAGATTATTTTACACAATCATCTAAAATTTAATGTTCTTTGAAAAAAATCAAGTGTTTCAAAAATAGTTAAAGAAATTTTGCCATATTTCTAGGTTGGACTCTCATGTAGTTTTAAAAGTCATGCCTTCAAAGAATATTTAGTGAAATGGAAAAAGTAGAAAGCAAACCTGTATACATTACAGGTTCCCAATGACACACCACACACAGAGAATGAAAAACAGAAAAATCACCCAAATGTCAACTGTGATATTTACGGTTAGACTTTTGAGTGGTTTAATTTTTAAAATTACCATTTTTTGTATTTCCAATTTTCTATAATGAACATTCATTAAATTTATAAATAGAATAAAACAAAGCCTAAGAACACATTTATGGGATTTTAGATGTCTTTTAAATACGTTTCCGGGATATTTGGCAAGCTTCTTTTGGCAAGATACTTCTATGTAAAGTATCTTTACAAAACTTACATACAGTAAATGTGTGTTTATTTATATGCAATTATGCACATGTACACATACCACAGGAGGGTGTAAAAAGTCTGCATAATGCATTAATACTATGATACTGAGACCATGTGCTTTATACAGAATCTTATTTTTAAAAGCATCTAGAAAGGAGAAAAGTGAAATTGGTCAAGTATGAGACACTTTTAAGAAATGGGTCATAAAATGTACTTTGCATTTCATACTAAAATAATATTTTTGGGAAAAAAGATAAATCTGAGAGTGTAATAATAATGTACAGTTTGGTACTGTTTTAATCTAAGTCTTAGAATTATTTATAGAATATTTGTGGATAATATTTATAGAAAATATGAAATTTATTAGGTCACATTGACCTATATTTTTAAACATGTGAAGCCAGAAAAGATTGTTTCATCTTGTCAACCAGATTCCAATTCTGTAACACTTCTCTTTAATCCAAGACGTTTAAAGAATCCCTCGTCCAGTAATTCTAGTGAATTTACATAATAGATCACAACATCCTGCAAATATTTACAAAAATAAATATTAAGTAACTTAATTTCATGGGTATTTACTGAGCAAAACTTTTTTTCTCATTGGGAAGATAAAATGCACATAAAATGCTAAGGATGCCCTATCATAAGAGTCATCATGTGTGATACTGACGGTGCTATATGAAGATTAATAAAATTATTTTTAGGTATGTCTTTTAAAGATATAGATATAGGGCAGTAATTCTCAAAGTGTGGTCCCTAGATCAATGGCATCAGCATCAAATGGGGAGTTCTTAGAAATGCAGCTTCTTGCGGCTCAATCCAAGCCTACTGAATCAGAACTTATGGCAGTAGGGAACCAAAGATCAGGGTTTTAGCAATCCTGCTTTGGATACACTGAAGTCTGAGAACTGCTGGTATGGTGGATGCTGGGAGCAATGATGGCTGGTGGTGTTCATGGCTGGTGGTGTTCAGCTATGTCCATCTCGAAGAATTGCTACCATTAGAAGAAAGCCCCCAATCCAGTCATGTCTCCTTCCCAGGAGTCTGCATCCAATGATTGCAGAGTGGAGGTAATGAAGACCTGGCTCCCTTGCCTCAAGCCAAGACAACTTTGAACGGTTACCCCAGCCCCAGGCACCCTGTGGGATCTACTGAAGCCTTTGTCACAACTGCACTGAGGTCTGAATCCTCCTTCTGCCCAGTTCTAACTTCTTCACTCCCCCACAGATGTTGATCCCAAGGGCTTTTCAATAAAAATCCTCAAGCAAATCTCTGTCTCAGAGTCTTTTTCTCTTGATCTAAAGCTTAACTGAAAACAGTGCCAGCTTCTACATTAAAGATAGTAATTCCAGGCCCAGATCTAGTACTAGAATATCAGTATCTACAAAAGTCATGACAGTAAATAAATTTCAAAGGGTTAATTTGATGAAATGTAAAAGAAAATTACAAAATTGTTTTAAATCATTAATTATTTAGGTTTTAAAAGCAGCTAATAAGTTAAAGCTGGTGACTGGAGGTGAAGTTGTATGGTACCAGGAATATCCTGGAACAGTACGCTGTAGTAACTGAATGAAGACTCTGGAGCTAAACTGCCTAGGTTTGAATCCCGACTGTGTCACTTATTAGCCCTATGACTTGGGCCAAGTTATTTAGCTACTCTCTACCTCATCTCTGTAAAATGGGGATAAGAACAGAACCTAACTCATGGGGCTATTGTGAGGATTAAATGAGCAAATATATATAAAGTCCTTAGAACAATGTTTGGCACATTATAAATTATTCAATAGTCATAAACTATTATTTACTATTTTTTCTGAGTTCTTATTATTAACAAAGAAATGTTTCTTTTTTTTTTTTTTTTTTTGAGACGGAGTCTCGCTCTGTCGCCCAGGCTGGAGTCCAGTGGTGGGATCTCGGCTCCCTGCAAGCTCCGCCTCCCGGGTTCAGGCCATTCTCTTGCTTCAGCTTCTCCTGCCTCAGCCTTCCGAGTAGCTGGGACTACAGGCGCCCGCTACCACGCCCAGCTAATTTTTTTGTATTTTTAGTAGAGACGGGGTTTCACCGTGTTAGCCAGGATGGTCTCCATCTCCTGACCTCGTGATCCACCTGCCTCGGCCTCCCAAAGTGCTGGGATTACAGGCGTGAGCCACTGCGCCCGGCCAAGGAATGTTTCAATAGGAAAAATGAAAGAAAGACATAATAACAATACTATTTTTTTTCTGAATCTTGATATCAAATAAAAATGTTTAAAACATATTATGACAAAATATAAGCCAACCATGTCTTGGCTTTAGATTACCTAAGAAATTACATTTGTCAAAAAGAAGACTAACATCCTATCTAGAAATGATAAATCTTAAGTTTCAATCAATCAAATGAAATAAATACTTCCTGAACAATAACCGTATCCCTAAAACAGTGTTATAAAATAGTATGATTATTTTTAGGACCCGTGTTCGTTAAAGTGATACTGGTACAACTTAACATCTTTAGAGCACCCTTTATTTTAGGATCATAAGAGAACTCTGAAGGGTGATTTGATAAGAAGAGATGAATGGATACACACTGTCCACCAATCAGGAAAACAGGCAAATCTAATTGCTGCCCTAACAAGTATTCAGTCATGGCATTACTGAAGCTTCTCTAAGAAAACCATCACCCATGTCTTTAATGCTGGTGCTCAGTTTAAACTGGCACTCCTATTTAAAATTTCAGGATGATAGCAAAGGAAGAATTAAATTAATAGGAATATATCCAGGGAGAGTACCTCAGGATATTCATATTCATAATTTTTTTCAATTGTCATTCTACTTATTACGGTTTATTTTGCCTGGATAGTCATCTACATCTGACAAAATCCTTAAAGAGTTCATTTAAAGCTCATCTTTTCCAAGGTTTCCTCGAGTAGACTATTTCATATTAATCTCTCACTTCTCTAAACTTTTATTACACTGAATGGCACTTAATCCTGTACTTTCTTCTATGTTTTAAATGTTTTATATGCAAATCTTGCCCTGATAATTAGGTCTTAAATGGCTAATGCAATTGTGCTCAAACTTTTTGTATCAGAACCAACTAGAGGGCTTGCTGAAAGGCAGGTTGCCGGCTTCTGATTCTGTAGGCTTGAGGAGGAGTCTGAGGATCAGAAATCTCTAACAGGTCTCCAAGGTAATAGTGCAGGTCAGGGGACTACACTTTGATAACCACTGAACTAGAACAAATGACAGTGAAACTTTTTTGTATAATGATATTGTACAAAGTGTCATTTACTCTCTTTTTGCCATACCTGCTGCCATATGCTCATCCAAAATCTTCACCTCACATTTTCTTCTTGGAATGCCCTCTGCCTACTTTCTAGTGAACTCTTAATCATATTTCAATTCCCAATTTAAATGTCACCTATGGGAAGCTTTTTCTGCTCTCTTAGTTATAAATAATGGCTCCTAGATTTGACTACCTCAAATGGCTTCACATATACTCCCATTATAATACTTTTTTATACATTATAAAATTGTACACAATTTTATACATTCCAATACTTTTTAGTGGAATTACTGGTATACGTCTGCTTCCTCACTATATTACGATCTTTTCAAAGGCAGAAACCATACTTTACTTGCTTCTGTAGTCAGGGAAAAATAGAATATGTGGTACATAGTAAATATTCAGTAACAATTTACTATTACTACTCCCCTTATAGCACTAATGCTAAGGAATCTCAATTTTGATTTATGCCATACATAATTATCAGTTTAATTTTTCTAAAACTCCACATCGCATTCCCTTCTACTCTAACACTATACTGACTCCTAAAAGCCTCTTTATAATCTGGCTCTTCTCTAAGGCTCCAATATTATATATAATTCTCTACTCCACAGAAGGTATGATAATTCTGTCCACTGAATACACCATATATATACAACTAGCAGAAATTTGTGAAGCTCTTCTCTTTTTTTCTCCCCAAACACATTTTAAAATGCCTCCCCTCTGCTAAGCTCATGCAGCATTCACGATAGCAATGATTCAGCATTTACTATCAGCCATCTTAAAATGTCTTATTTACGTGTATTTCACTTATTCATCTAGACTGTAAGTGTTCTGTGTGCCTAGTCCCTATTGTTAATTTTTATCCCATTGCTTACAATAGTCAGGCTTTCATGTTTAGTCATAATAATTGCAAAGGAAGTACCCAGTAATTTTTGAAAAAAATCAGTGGCCCATATAATCTTCATGTTATAAATAAAACAGACTTCAACGATTCAAACAATAATAGCAAGATGCTTTTAAATTCCCACCAGAGTCTGCATGCTCTGGCTCAGAAACCCAAAGATTGTCCCAAATAGAAAAAAGCATATTAGGCTCTATACTGCTCAGGTGTAACTTTTAGAAGGCATGACAATGTTATCTCTATCCAGATTTAGACACAGCAACCTTTCCAGAGTTGGACAGATAAAGAGACTCCCAGAAAGTAACAGGCATGAAGTGGGTGGTAGTTATAGGTGGTACTGTACCACACTGTGGGAAACTGACCTTACATGAGTAAAATGCAGTGGGAAGGGATGGAGACTAGAAGAGACCTTTAAAACAATGAACTAGAAAACATTCCATCCAGAGCCTGGAGAAAATCTCATTTTAGAATAGGAAAACCATTTAATATGAATGCCTGCTACATTGGAAACTGAACTACAAGTGAGGTATATCACCCTGCCCTCCAGTTTTATATCCAACAGCTCCAAATAGCTAGCACAGCCAAGGGAAAAAAAATCACCTAATGGTGTCTAATGATACTGTCTTGATAGGTCTCTCAAGAGCAGATAATATAAAAACCTAATACAGGGAATATGGAAAACTGTTACACAAGAACGTACAGAGAATATCATCCCGAAAAATCAGGTAAAGATCCATATAGCTGAAAATAATATACTGCATGAACACATAATTTCAATAGTTTGAAATCTTTCTTAATTTGCAAAAAGACGTAGACCCCAGAGTGTGAAGTTAATAATAATCTGGATTCTGGCTAGTAATTTATATTTGCGAATATAAGCAATGAATGAGAAATAAAATTGAGTTGAAGTTTTTGTCTTAGGTATGATTTAAAAATGTTAATTGATTTTTGAGTTCAAATTAAGAAAAATAGTTTATAAGGCTTTTAAAAATGTAATATCTCTAGGGGAATTAATAACAAGGTGCTTACATTTTAAATCACAAGAGCACTGAGCAAAAAAGCATTCGTAAAGCCAGAGAACAAACAATATAAAAAGCAAGAGGACATTAAAAAAAAGTATAAGACAAGATGATATAAGACCAAACATACCAGTTATTAAAACAGATGTAAACATATTAAATATTGCTATTAAAATATTAAAAGTCCACGATAGAGTTAAAAGTTAAAATTCAACTTATGCTCCAGGACAGAAAGTTGGCAGATCTGGGATTCTCTCCCTCTTCTCTTTGGTGTTGAAAGTTGTGTTCTTTCTGCTACACCATGCTATTTACTTAAATATGCTCATGAAATTAAGTTCTTTACATTTCAGATGTTTAAATTCATTCTATTTATAAATAATGTGCTAATTAAATAGTATAACACATTTCTTTTATCTTTGAGGGAGTAAACAGGTTTATTCAAGATATATATGTGTATGTACTACACATATGAATAAATGCATGTATATATGAACATATATATACATGAATGTATTGGGATTAAAGTGAAAAAGCATTTTAATATATCAAATAGCTTTATTCCCTTTTGTGGACAAATCAAGTTTTGTCTATTTAATACATATCTATATTACCCGCATTTAATATATACCTATAGTATCTTTAGTCACACTTATGTATGATAGATTAAAAAAGAGTAATATTACATAGTTATATTTTTAAAGTAATGATTCAGAGAAGTACACAGCTCTAAATACACGGTTGTGAGCATTCATTCATAACAAAACAATAATTATGGTAAGCACCTTTATTTATGTGGTTATTTGAATTCATCTAATTGCAAAAACTTTTTGTAGAGCCTGGTTTATAGAAGTAAACTCTTTGTAATTCATCATGAATAAGGGCTTTTGGAGCTTAACTTAAGAAAAAAGATGAAGTACTTAAATCTCATAGACATGTTTAACCACTGACAACCACTGATTTAGCAGAAAACAAAGCCACTACCTCCTTTTGATTTGCAAGCATGG
Organism: Homo sapiens; assembly: GCF_000001405.40. Lineage (NCBI taxonomy): Eukaryota > Metazoa > Chordata > Mammalia > Primates > Hominidae > Homo > Homo sapiens. The sequence continues at coordinate 35,555,603 of NC_000013.11, read as the reverse complement.
TACTGCAAAGGTTGATGGCAGTTACTCATAATTTAGAAAATGTAATCTGATTTTGTATTTTTATTTGAAGATTTTAAGAAAAAAAGATGCTGTAACCTAATCATGCCATATTCCAGGTGACATCTGTACTAGGCAGAATCCTGTTGTTATTCTCCTGTCTAGCTGCTATTGCTGAGAATGACAAAGTAGTGAAATTACTTTTCCCATTATTATTTCCAGACACTCTGGCAATGGTTTGTTGACTCTAATAAACCTTCAGACAAAGCTGTCAGCAAAGGAAATGGCAGAAGGAAAGCAAGGAAAAGCCTCTTCAACAATAAATGCATCTAAAAGTTTGGTATGAGCTTGCACAGTTTCTGATAAAATTTAATGTGAGTGCTTCAAAATTTACTCTAATGATGCATTTGAATTCCAAAGAGAAAAATGTATTATATCAGGCTACATTACCATGATTTTGATGAACATAAACATATTATTAGATTAAAGAATGAGACATCTTACCTGCAATAGTATTAAGGAACATCAAATATTCGAAGTTTGAAATTTCCCTTCTTTGCCAGCGCTGAGTCATATTGGAAGATTTATAAAGCTGTCGAGGAGTGGCCAATGATATCCTCCTAGCAATTAAGCACAGCATAACAAACATAGTCTCTTTAATTCATAACTTTAAAAAATCCAATATTAACTAATATATTGCTTTGATAATCAACTTAAAATAATTTATGGTTTATCCTTCTTAGATGAATTAGAAAATATATTTTAATTGTAGAAATTAGCAATATTTGAGAATTCTATTATAGAGAAGATACACTTAATTACTCAGGATAAAACAATTTGAAAGCAACCTTATTTGTCAAATCACAGCTGCAAATGAGTCACAAATCCACAAGAAAAAAAGTAAAACTATACTTAAGATAAATCAAGTAGCTTTTAAACAATACAGCAAATCTGCTCCATGTTAATTAGGTAGGTAGGTAGGTAGTCAGGTACCTGTTTACATGCATTTGACTTAATGTCTATCAATGAACTTCTTCGACTTGCCTTCACACACACAGAGTGTGTACACATGCACAGCCTCTGCCCGTACAATATCTATCCCTGCAATGGTGTAAAATATAAACAACTGGGAACTTTGAAAAAATGCATGGGTCCAGAAGAAGGGACATAGGAACAGCCTAAGGGAATAAACCATGATCATTGGTCCAAATTATGAAACTTTCCAGGTTCAATGTGTTCATCTAAAAATAACAAAAGCAGTTGTATTTAGAAAAGTATGATAAAGCTACTGGGTTTTTAAACTGATTGACAGAGGTTCTCAAACTTTTTCAATTCATGGCACCCTTAGTATCTCCATAATTTTTCATAGTGCTCCTTGACCAAGAGAAATATCTTACAATTCTGTTTATTAAGTAGTTAGCTCTAACAACTCAATAAATATTTAACATCTTAACAACTGAGTAGCTATTTGAAAATACAATACTCATAAACTTAAAGAGAAATATTTATATTTCATTCTTAAATAACCACATTTACTAATGGGGTGTGTATGTCTGTTGGAAACTGCACAGCTTCTGAAACCTTGGAATCAGATCTGACACCACCACACTCATTTCCTGTTCCACACTGATTTTTCATATGGCTCTTGTTTTTGAAGACAGTAGCCACCAAACACCAGTTTCTCAGAGGTGTCACTGAAAAAGATGCAGCCCTATCTAATCATTCTAAGTTGAAACTTGGAACTAACTCGAGCAAATAGTTTGTGTGGTATCTGACAAATGTTGCTGTTTTTCCCTAAAAAATTAAAAAATGACCTGCAGCACCCCTGAGAATTCACTGTGATATCGCAGGACTCCTTCGTGTTTAGTTTGGGAACAACAGACTTAAGGCTATTTCTGTTACTCATGGATTATTAACATGAGTATTCACATGGAATCTTAATAGGCATTGTCTTGTACATAGCACAAAAGATTATCAAAATATCTCTTGCAAAGATATCTTGCAAAATATCTCTGGCAGAATATCTCTTGTAAAGATATTTTCCCCATTTTATGGTAGATAAGAATGTCATTCTGCTTGAGTAGTGTTATTCATTCTTTCCACCAATATTTATTGAATTGCTACTAAGTGTGAGGCTTGCTTATTGTTACCCAGCTAAGTGACAGGTTTAAGCCTAGATGCAGTGTTTCCCCATTGCCACTTGGTACTTCTAAGGATGTATATCTAGGGAAGTACATAAAACTGAGTCTGTAAGAATATTATTAGGAAACTAATAATTAGTTGAGCTTTTTGGGGGAAAATAAGCCAAGGACAACAAAAGGACGTTTGAAGATAGAATGGCATTATGAATTACAGAGAGACCAAAACTACTGAGCTGCCTTTTGTTTTCAGTTTTCTTATAAAGAATCATCTTCCAGCTGGGCATGGTGACTGTTGCCTGTAATCCCAGCACTTCGGGAGGCTTAAGTGGGTGGATTGCTTGAGTCCAGGAGTTCGAGACCAGCCTGGGCAACATGGTGAAACCCCATCTCTATAAACAATACAAAAATTAGCTGGGCATGGTGGCACATGTCTGTATTCCCAGCTACTTGGGAAACTGAGGTGGGAGGATCTCCTGAGCCTGGGGACATCAAGGCTGCGGTGAGCTGAGATCACGCCACTGCACTCCAGCCTGGGTGACAGAGTGAGACCTTGTCTCAAAGAAAAAAAAAAGAATGATCTTCCAAACGTCAAAAAGAGACCAAATGTGGTTAAAAGGGAAACAATACTCATCATAGGTAAGAAATAAAATAAAAGAGCTTCTGATTGTTTTAAATGAATTCCGGTCCAGACAAGTCAAAGAATACTGAGGGAAATTATACATGCCATATAGAAACCTCTATTAGTAATCTTTCAGGAATCATGGTCATTGAGAAATATGCCAGAAGACAGGAGATTATTCTTAAATAGGAAAAAGTTAGGCCCATTCGTAAGTTCTTAATGTCAATTCCTGAGTAAATTCTTGAATTGATGATTAAACAAATAGTATGTAAGCACTTGGGAAAGGAAGTAATGATTATTATGAGTCAGCTTAGATTCAATAAGAACAAGTCTTGCAGAACTAACCTCATTTTCTTTGATAGATGAAATGCATTTTTCTTTGACCTGTATTTTATATAAGTGCTTCATTATCTACTAATATCTTAGTTTAATCTTGTCATTCTACTAGCAAATATCTTGAGCATGTGTATACGTGTCAGTGAATTGGTCTTACACTGTAAGCTTAAAGAGAATAGATAAGTTGCAATACAAGGTAACCCCAGCTAAACAGCACTTAAAAAGCACTGCTGCAATTAGGCACTGTGTTAGGTCCTGTAGATTAAAGGATAAATAAAACACAGTCCCTGTCTTTCAGTTGTCTGTAGCCTATTTAAGGGAGGATAGACAAAGATTAGTTTTCCTTTCCATCCATACAGTGCTGTGTAATAATTCTCAAGGACATAACAGTCTATGTGGTAGACATTGTTGTATCTACCTAAAGTCAATCTCCCTTTGTTCTTCATCAACGGAAATCCTCTTTTGTTCATGTAGGAGCTGGCAAAGAATCAGAGGTATCTTTTTCCATAAAACCTAGGGAATGATTGGGCTAAGCCAACAGAACTCACACCTTTTTGGCAGTGATTGTTTTAGGAATGGGAAGGTGACTGTATTCTGGCCAAAGGGACTTAAGATAAAGATTGCTTTAGGCTTCTGAGAAATACATTCTTCCTAAAACAGAGAAGCTTAAAGAGAAATCCTTTGTGTCTTTTTCCTACTGTAATGCAGTTGTGTGAAGATGTAGTAGCTGAAGAAGTAGCGGTGATTTTGTGAATACAAAGCCAACAGGGTTCTGACATCACTGAACCTCTGAACCAATACTGGCAGCACCTTAACTCCAGATCTTTTATATTAAACACACACACCCCTATAGTTTAAGCCACTTTTAGTAAGGTATTCAGTTATTTCGAGCCAAAAACGACAAACTGATATCAGCAATATAAGTAACTACTGATTATGTTTTCTACTTACATTAGTATCTTTTAATAATATAAGATTTCAAAATGATTCTTCTAAAATACCAAGATGAAAATCTAGGAAATGTGGTTACAACTATACCATAATTAATGACTATTACCCTTAATAAACTCTCAGGGTTTTATTGTTTTAATTAAGAAGCATTTATATATGGCATTTATAAAAACATTATTTATATGCTATTACATAGCAATTAATCATTTATGATCTTCAGGCTTTTGGTATGTTTCCTGTAAGATTTTAACAAGCAAGAATGTCTTAATTATATGCTAGCTATGTGATAAGCAATCAAGTTTTTTACTTTGTTATTTATATGTATTAAATAAAAATCTGCCCTAACCATTCTGTCATTCTCAAAATAGCTATTTTCATAATCTCTATCCCTACAAATAACCTTCAGAGAAAGAAAATTCTTTGGTCTCTGAAATAATTATAATGTTATAACCACATTTACATTGCTGTAATATTGAGATTGAAATATGTTAACAAGCCATAGATAATATGTAATATGATATAATTACCTGGCTTGTGGCAGACCATAGCTGGTCCCTACTCCAACCCGAGGCAAGCTATAGACAACTTTTTTTACTGTTGCTTGATCAGGGAAATTAAACATAACTGAGGCTGTGGTAAGAAGAAAAAAAACAGAGTTTAGAAAACCGCAGGATAAGTTAGCCATCAATTTTACAAGTCATCTTCAAGTGCCTATCATGATTTATTTGTAAAGCTAATGAATCTTCATGAAAAATCAGCTTTCAGTATAACTTTATCCATGAGAAACCTAGGGCTAACATTTCAAACAAATTCATTCTTTTTTTATTTTTTAAAAAGAATTTCTGTTTGTTTAAGCTAGAGCACATCAGAAATACAGTAGGAAAAATCAAGACATTATCATACCATGTAAATGAATAATATGTAAATATGAGCACATTTTCTTTCAAAATATTAAGGGGACTTACTTCGGTTTGCCATAAATACTTCCAAAGCAGTGTTTTGTAGAAGGTAACGTCTTGAAAATACAGCTCGTATCTCGCTGAACATCCATTTTCCGTGAAGTCCCTCAGTGTATGCAAGAACCTAAAATAAACAGTTTAAAGGGAAGTGTCAATCAATAAAATATGGATTTAAGATCTACTCTGACAGTAACTTAGTAAAAGTCAGAAAACTAGAAATGAATTCACTGTCTGTCACAACATTGTCAATAATTTGATACTGTGTATTTGCAAAATTTCTGCCTTTCTAAAGTGTCTTAGTTGGGTCTTGAGGAAAAGAAGGAGTAGAAAAACATATTCAAGGAGACTCTGTGACTTAAAACCGAAAATATATTATCACTTTTGGGTCTTGTATATAATTAATTGGACCAGGTGACCACCTGTGAGACATATATTGTTGGTTCTTTCCAATATCCTTTCTCCCCTTCCTTGCTTAATGGAAGCCCAGCTACCCCCAAAGTGTCCATATGGTCAACCCCAGGCAAAGGATCATGATTGGTTTAATCCAGGTGTCAGCAAACTTTTCTGTAAAAGGCCAGAGAGTAAATATATTTAGGCTTTGCAGGCTATATGGTCTCAGTTGCAACTACTCAGTTTTGCCATTGTAACATGAAAGGAGCCATAGACAATGTGTAAATAAAGGGGTATGGAAGTATTCCAACAAAATTTTATTTACAACAAGTATGAGCTGAATTTGGCCCCCAGGGCAGAGTTTGGCTGACCCATGGTCTAAGCCAGTCCTGACAATGTTATTCCCTGCTTCCCCAAATTCCCTTGTAACTTTGTGGAAGGACATTAGGCCAAGCACTGGTTAATGAGATCAAAACCAAAAGCAGTTGAGGATGTTTGAGAAAAGCTGATGAAATGAGTCATATATAGCTGGCATACCACTTTGCCCTTCCTGCTTGAATGGAGATATGATAGCTGAAACTGTAGCAGCAATTGTGTAACTATGAGAGGAAGGCCAAGGTTGGCTCTAATACTGAGCTACTGAAACAATCACAGCAAGCATCCACATCTGGACTTCTGGTTACCATGTATATAATCTATATTTGATTAAGCTACTGTCCTCAAATCTACAACAAGCACATTCCTTCCTGATACACCAACGTGTATTAACAATTCAGAGGGACTTTTCTACTTGCTGTGGTATACTCTACCGCACTTATATTTGCTTTGGTGGAAATGAAAACAGTTACTGAGTTTTACATACATTATATTCATTTTACATGCATTATATTCATATATACATTTGAAAACAAGTTATGAAGTTCCTTTTTACACTTCCTTTCTCTAGGAAATATACATAAAATATGTAAGTGTATAATCTTTTGGTCTTTATTTTTTGAAAATCCCATTTTGTAACCCTTAATTCAGTTTTTGTCTTTCTCTAGACATTGAAAGGTTTTTGGAGGCAGTCAGACGTCTATTTAAATCTGAAACATTTTGGAGCCATTCAGACTCCTACTTAACTCTTGGCTCTGCTATTTACCAACTACAGTATTTTGAAAAACAATTATTTAACTCCATCTGGTTTTTGTCATCTGAAAAACAGTGATAATGATACCTGGAAATGGTTAGTTTAAGCAGAGACAAAGAACATAAAGTACATGACCCTGGCTATTAAGTTCCATTGATGAATTTATGTCTCCTTGTTGTTGAGCATCAGGTGACAATTGGTTTTTGATTTCTAAATGCAAAACTTCTTCTTGTACATTTCACAAAAGGGTTATAGTGACTTGCCACAATTTATATTTATAAATTGTTAGTTGGCTATAATGGTTTCCATATTTGATTTTCATAGACCAGTATGATTTTTAAAAAGGAAAGGGATAGTGATACAGGATTAATTCTCTTTTTTTTGTCAAGTAGGAAACATTTTAAGACAAAACAGCCACAACAACAAAATCTATCTTCAACTATAATAATTATTTCACTAAGGTACTAAAAATACTATGGCCATTTGAAAACCCAAACAGTAAAGTGAATATAATATCAGAAAAAATGATAGATCTTCCCATGAAAGCTGTGTTGGCACCCTTATACCCATAGCATTATGTCAGAAAGATACCTGTATCTATATTTCTAGGTCCAGATATATTAATATCTCACATGTGTATACACACACAGAGTCATATTTTGACTTATTTTTTCCTTCTGGAGCTATGGTGTAATGAAAATTTGACCAAGCATTTATTTCCATTAAGCATGTTATCAGTTTTTACGTTAGTTATAGCAAGCAGATAGCTCCAAAAAGTATGTTAGTTTGACTCCTTAAGTGCACCATGTAAAACTGTATTTTATAAACTGTGCCAATTATTCATTTATGGCCTTCCATGTGCAAATTCACCCTTAATTGCTTGCTCTGTGAAAACGAACCTGTGTCCTTAAAATATTTTTCCTTTGCTACCTGTCATAGCATTAAACTTTGTCAGGAAAGGGCACTGAAGAGACCACACAGGAGGAAGGGTGTTTTTTCTTCTCTGTTCTGGTGTTCTCACTTGGCAGGCGCCTGTTCTCCAGCACTTGGCTCTGGGACGCATGATGCTCCCAGCACCCAGTGACCAGCAGTTTTCTCAGTACTTCCCTCACCCCGAGCCGTTCTGTAGCAGAGTGTTTCTGTTGGGACACCTCCCATAAATGGCTTCATCAATTCCCTTTTTTTTTTCTTTTGAGACAGGGTTTCACTCTGTTACCCAGACTGGAGTGCAGTGGCGTTATCTTGGCTCACTGCGACCTCCACCTCCTGTGTTCAAGCGATTCTCCTGCTTCAGCCTCTCAAGTAGCTGGAATTACAGATGCGTGCCATTACCATCCGGCTAATTTTTGTATTTTTAGTAGAGATGGGGTTTCACCATGTTGGCCAGGCTGGTCTCGAACTCCTGATCTCAAATGATCCACCTGACTCGGCCTCCCAAAGTGCTGGGATTACAGGTGTGAGCCACCACGCCTGGCCAATATTCTTTAGAGTTATCTTTATTTCTTACTAGCCAGTCCCTTGTTACTCAATCTCCTGGCATAATTTATATGATAATTGTATCACACTTTTCCTATCTAAATTGCACTCTGATTCCTCTCCCCTGACTGGATCCCAGCTAATACACAAACTCAGTTTTCCTATCACCATTCTCTTAGCTACAGCCTGGGAGCATAATGGTCCTTAGGGACCCTCTGCAGCAAGAAAAAAGGAACCTAAGATCAGTAAAGCTTAAATGCAAAGAGGACAAGGAGAGATAACAAAATTAAAAGAAAATGATTTTGCTAGTAGCTTCTAAATGGCTTAGGAAGCAAATTCTGAAAGACAGATCCAAAGGTCCAAAGCTATTTTGAACAATGGCAACATCATTTAAATAAGTGTTCAGCCCTTACCAAAGGGGACATGGGAAGAAAAATTATTTTTATGTATGTTCTTATATGCTTTTCAAAAAACCTACCTAATTACTTTACAATAACCCATGTTATATTTAAGCATCTGAAATCCTAAAAGGGCTGATGAAAGACGATGTTCTGAGCTAGCCATAATTCCCTGCTAGGAAAACCTGATAGAGCCTAGGGTCATTTTCTTTTCTTTTCTTTTTTTTATAGCAAACCACCTCCTGCTTTCCCTGCTTGTTACCTTCAAGACTGATCACGGAATAAGATGATCCTACAATTTCTTTATTTAAAAAGAGTTTCATTCCATAATACATTTTTATTTAAAAAAATTTTAGGCCGGGAGCGGTGGCTCACGCCTGTAATCCCAGCACTTTGGGAGGTTGAGGTGGGTGGATCACAAGGTCAGGAGTTCGAGACCAGCCTGGCCAATATGGCGAAACCTCATCTCTGCTAAAAATACAAAAAAATTAGCCGGTCATGGTTGCACATGCCTGTAATCCCAGCTACTTGGGAGGCTGCGGCAGGAGAATTGCTTGAATCCGGGAGGCAGAGGTTGTAGTGAGCCGAGATCATGCCACTGCACTCCAGCCTGGGTGACAGAGCAAGATTCCGTCTCAAAAAAAAAAAAAAATTAATAATAATTTTAGATCTACTCCTCTCAGCTGCCTTTTCTGACACACAATTTAAGAGTTATCATGTAACTCTATCTCTTTTTTTTTTTTTGAGATGGAGTCTCATTCTGTCAGCCATGCTGGAGTGCAACAATGCCATCTCCTCTCATGCAACCTCCACCTCCTGGGTTCGAGCGATTCTCCCACCTCAGCCTTCTGAGTAGCTGGAACTACAGGCGTGTGCCACCAAAACCAGCTAATTTTTGTATTTTTAGTAGAGACAGGGTTTTGCCACATTGACCAGGCTGGTCTTGAATGCCTGACCTCAAGTGATCCCAACACACAGCCTATCTTATCACTGTTTAATTCTGCACATGAAAATGATTAATTTTCTTACTTGTTTTTTGTCTGTCCCCTCCCTGTGACATCAAATAGGAGAATAGAACTCTCATCTATCCTATTTACTGTTCGATACACAGTGCCTAAAATAGTGTCTGGCACATATGTGCTCCATATATGTTTGTTTAATAAATCACAATGGGAAACTGATAGAAATAGTACATATGGGGAAGGTTCTAAAGAAATTGTACAGAGTATGTGCATTTTGACTCCTTTGCTAAACCAGAAGAAGCTCTCTCCAATGTGGCCTTCAGACTTCTCATGTTTATGTCCTAATGGTATAGTCCACCAAACAACCCTGCTGACTTTAATCAAGAACCAAAACAGTAATCTAAATACAGCTGGTTTCTCTTTTTTAGTAGTTTAATTTGCACTACCATGGAACTTTCGACTGGATTAGATCCATTCTGAGAAGACACTACCTTTACAATGAAAGGATTCCTTGACTCCAGAGGAGTTATGGAAGGGCTTTAGGCTAAGCAATTTTGACTTGATATTATGGACTTACGCCTCTCACATGGGAAAATGTATACTAAGGTATGTCAAAGAATATCATTTGGAACCCCTTCTTGAGCATCAATTTTATTTCTGGTAAGCAATTTAAAACAGTTTTGTAGTAAAATTAGCACAGGCTGGAAAATACTGCAAATATGAATGAATTGTTAAGATAAAACACTGGTACTCAGATACATGTGATTACTGTGGCTTCCTTGGACTATACCCCAGGGCTCTGTTACCCTGCTCTGCTCACAGGCACTGGGAAAGTCCTGAAGCTTAGCAGGAAGGTGGCAGAGTGAGATTTGAGGCACAGCGCTAGGGAGGCATGTGGAGGATAGAGTGGAATGCAGTGGGATGGGGGCAGAATGACCGGAGGGGATGCTGCTTCAGGCAAGTGATGAGTTAATCAATCTGTATAACTTTCATAAATGTAAAGGAATATCAATCACAGTCAGTTGAATACTGAGTTTATGGTACATTTCTATAAAAATCTGGGCATCAAGCTCAGGCCTGAAATATGGCCTGATACTATAAAATCGTCTTCTTTATTTATACCTTTACTGGTTACATAATTTTCTATAAGTTTAAGGACATTCTATAATAATTCTTTCAGTTTGCTTTTTATTATAGTCCAAGATATTTTTCTGTCATTTAAGTACTTTCATGTATACTTGAGGTTTGTGGTTTTGTTTTCTTTCTTAAGCCAAGCTTCCCATATCATCTAGCTTGTGCCTGCCTGTTTCTTCAAAGTATTTAATATACAATGAAATCTAATCAACAAATACTATCCCATCCAGTTTCATTTTTGAGAACTGAATAAACATAATTTTTGATACATCATACAGATCATAAGCAAGAATATTAAAGCATCTTGACCCCAAATCTTATGGAACTTTGTGATTTTCTTAAGTGACCACTGAACTATACTGAGCTAACTGCTTAATATCCAAAAGAAGTGAAGGGAGAAAGTTCATGTCAGGCTCATACCCTGAAGTCTGCCCCATTCACTTATGAATTTTAGTTCACTTATGAACTAAAGTACATAGAAAGCACATAGAAAGTAAGGTACATAGAAAGTAATACAATACAAATGTCATAGAAATCCCTTGTAAACCACCTACTCAAATATGTGCTTACCACATATTATCTGATGATCATGTTGAAAAATACAAGGCTGCTGTGCACTCATGCGTATCGGACATGTATATGTTGTCAGAAACATGTAAATGACTGTCAAATCACAGATGAAAAAAGTTTCACCTTTTTTTCTTTTTAAGGAAGCTAAATATTGTGCAACTTAAAAAAATACTTGTTTAGTGATAGCTTTGCTGATCTCAAATCATCTAATGCATATATTAGCACAAGTATTACAAATTTTTTTTCTTTGAATACGAAAAAAATCTAAATTTTGTTTCCAGTTGAATTTCCTGTTACGAATTGTTGAAAATGCTGCAGAAGGCTGGGCAAACCCTTTTTAGAGTTCCTAAGGTTGTCGCGTTCAATCCACACTTGCAGCCTCAACAGTTTAATTAAAGAGCTTGTTGTGGTGCAATTTAAAGTTACAAATCCCTATTACTTTTATAATTTCATATAAATTTGGAATTTGTGGCAATGGCTCAGGATTACAGCAAATATATTCAAGAAGAATAGTTCAAAAGAAATTTCAGGTCCACACTCATATGAGATCATCCATGCTCTTTTTAAACTGTCAGCTGAATGGAGAAGATTCCAAGGCCCTGAAGGAAAGTCGATCTACAAACTGGGAGAGGCTTGACTTCCAAAATGACCACCTGGAAGACCATGTCTGACTGATACCTGCTGTGTGGCACATGCAGTGAGGATGTGGGGAGCAGCTATGGAACACTCCCTTCCCACCTCTCACCACATGTCTTGGTGATGCTATTTCCCTACCAAAGAAATGGAGAAACATAAGATAGTACAGGTTCTCTTTCCCATCTCCAAAAAGGAGATGGGAAAAACACATTGCCATTCTCCCACTTAAAAAATAAAATAAAAAATGGTATTTCTCTATGGTGTATTGACTGGAGTATAAGATCTGTTGAGGGGTAGGAGCATCAAATTGGATGATTCGAAATACCTGATGGAGGCATTGGAAAGTGAATGTTCCCAGTGACTGGACTGAAAAAAAAATCCTTTTGCAAGTCAGATGTTTTCCCAATTCTTTACTTTCAAAGAGGAGAAGTTGGATCTAAATGGGCTGTCAATTGAGAGATAATTAAAAATAACTTCTGACAATAGATCCTTATGTGATTTTTAGCACACAACTTGGAAAGAGTAGAAAACACTGAATAACACTGTCTATAATACAACTTCGACATGCTGTTTACTTATGTGAACAAGATTTTTCAACACCTCTATAAAAAAGAAAGTTATAAGTAGCTCTAATATTGATTCCTGTATTATTGTAGCAATAAGTAATATTCATATGTGCATGTGTTAACTATTCATCCCATTAAGAGATGAATTTCTAATATAATTTCATTTTTTATGCTTAATTATTTTTCAAAGTTCACAATATATTTATGCTGTTGTATGACTGTATGCTAATAATATTTGTAACAATTTATTTCAGAATAAAAAATTTAAATACTTAGAATGTTATGGTCTTAGGAACCTAAAAAACTAAAGCTTTAATCAGTAAGTATATACACTTTTTGCAGAGTAGTATAACATAGTGATCAAAAAAGACTCACAAGCACAAATATTTTAGATTAGGTAAATTTGGGGGAAGGAATTGAAAGGAAGTATGAGTTCAAAGAGAGAAATTATATAAAATGTTCATTTGAAAAAAGAGCTTATTTGTACATCTTAAAACAGATGATAATAGTAATCAATCACTACTCTACTTATTTTATTCTACTGGATATATCTGAAAAGTAATATAACAATTTTATTTTAAAATAGTAATATTTAGAACATACTGGATATCACGTCTTTTTAAAATATTTAAAATTATGGAAAATTGTAACTGTTAATTTAAACATGTGCAATGTGGTATAGAGCTTTATAAAATTCTTTTATAATAAAATTGGTGAAAAAAAGTTAGAGAACAACTGCTATAGACCACTCCTACACAATAAAGAAATCTTCAAATATCTGGTAGAAGAGTTTCACTTTAGCCTTTTATTCAATTAATAATGAATACTATCATCAAAATAAAATTGTCAAGGGCAGGCACTATAGTCAGTAAAATGTAATATGGACCAAAAGATTGATCACAGAACCAAGTCACTCCATAAAACTTACATGGAAAAGAATTAATCCTGATGAAAATAATTCAGTAATATAAAACTGAAAACGGGAAAAATTGGAAATGGCTTAACTGTGAGGCAAACAAAAATGATCAAGAAATGAAGCTGGAAAAATGAAGCTTTCCAGAAAATACATCCTCAATGAAAATTAAACAATGTTGCTATAATGGCTGTGTTTAGGAATGTTATTATATGCCATTATAAACACAGCCATTATTGGTACATGGGCATATGGGTATGCGGTGGGGGGGGGGTGTCAAAACATCCTACAATTGGGGGAAATATAGGCAGCCCATCCGTAGAGAACTTTTGATTTAATAATCTTGATTTTTTTTCTCTAATTCATCAATTTATGGACCTGCTTACCTTAGACTTAAGGCTTCCCCTGGGTCTGCCTCTCTTACTAGCTGTGAGACCTCAGGCAAGTTCATTGATTTTTGATGTTTTGGTTTTCTTATCTAAAGATGGGGAGAAATAATGGTACCTAACTTCATGGGGTCATTGTGCGATTGAATGAGATATTAATAGCTCTTTTCAAAAAATGCTCAGCACAGTGCCTGGCACACAGGAAATGCTTAACAAATGTCAGCCTACTACTGCAATTACTCCCTACCTTTTTGTGCATGTGTACAGACACAAACACATACACACACACACACACACACACACACACACACACACCCATGCAGACCTCTGGTTCTAATCTTTGTTGATGACATCACCAAAACAGATGTAGAAAATCTGGACCACAGCACATAGCCTTTTACTGAACTAAAAGCCACATTTATTGTTTCTTTAGTGGTAGTTTGTATCCTAGACATTATTGGAATCATAGCACTTAACTCTTAACTACGAAGCCCAACTATTTGGGACACCAGCTACCAGTCTCACTATAAGCAGTGATAAACTGCAAGAAGGCTTCCTATTTTATAAACAGCCCATAATTAGGTCAGCTCTTTTCTACCAAGTGTCCTCATGGTTTATCAATTTTATTTTTCTTCCGTTCCTTTAATTTAACAAATATTTATCAGCTGACCATTAGGAACCAATGGTGAACAGGAGAAGCAGAGTCCCTGATCTCTAGGAGTTCACAGTTTGGTGGAAAATCACAAATAATGGGAAAAGGCAGGGGAGTGGGGAAAAAGGAAGTACCAAGCAGAAGGAACAACACATATGTAAACATGTATGTAAAGATACATAAACACAGTGCTGGGGGTGGGGGGGCAACGGACACAGACTGTGTGTGCATATATTGTAAGAAGCAGAGAGGTGAAAAATAAAATTAGAACAACAAAGGGTGAGTGGGCAGCAGGATGTGGGGCGAGATCTCATAACTCACATTAGAGTTTGGACTCTGGTCTGAGAATAATGGAGAGCTGCTATAAGATTTTTAACAAAGAAAGAGGTGAGACAATGAAACTGGCACTTTAGAAATCACTGCTGTGGCTGCAAGGTAGACGCTATTTGGACTAGAGAAGTGCAATACTGTTTCAAATCTATGTGAATTGTATTTTATATTCATTAGTAAAGAACCAGGAACTACTCAAAAGAGCATTATTTGTATTTCTCCAATAGCATCTCTTACATTGTGGCAGGTCCTTTTAAATTGATCTATCTTATTATATACATCCCCTAAAAAATGGACTTAATGAGGATAGAGACTGAGTTGTACTCTATTTTTGTATTCCTTATAGAACTTGCACAGAGAAGGAACTCAATTTTTGTTGAGCAAAATATTTTAAAATTTAATTTACAAACAAACTGAGTTGCAGCTGGAGTCCTCTGTGTCTACTTCATCTTCAAACACATACTCTCAAATCATGGTAAAACTCTCAAAATTAAAAATGATACTGGCACAGTTGCTTCATTTTTGTCCTACTCATGAATGTTCTTGTGTAAATATTGTATCTTTGGCTATGTTTCCTCATTTTCTCAAATTTGGCATAGTCTAAAATCTTTTATTTTTCTCTCTGCTATTATTTTACAAAGGGATGAGGTGGGGAGACCAGAACTCTATACTACTGAAAATAAACGAATTTCTAGTTTCCAGTATTTACTTTCATTTCTATACTGAATACATTAACTTCTCTATGTATTATTCTGCATATTGCTAATTTTTTAAACTAGTTATATTTATATGTCTTCTCTCTATAGACTTATTTATTTTCTTCTGTTTCAGATCATTTGGATTTCTGGGTTAGAGGTTTTTGTTTTAACTAATTAGGTAATAGGGTCTGATTTTACAAATATTATAAATTGTCGAGACAAATTATTTTCTCTTTTTAAAAGTATTTCATATTAAAATTTTAGATACAGCCAGAATGAAACAAGATTACAGGGTAGAGTTGCAGTAATGATTGTAGCAATAGTCAAATATGACTTAATTAAAAATATTTTTTTCTCTAGTTAACATTTCTTTATGTTAACCTGAAGAAAACTGCATGTATTACAAATACTAGTGCACTTTTTTTTTTTTTTTTTTTTTTTTTTTGAGACGGAGTCTTGCTCTGTCGCCCAGGCTGGAGTGCAGTGGCAGGATCTCGGCTCCCTGCAAGCTCCGCCTCCCGGGTTCACGCCATTCTCCTGCCTCAGCCTCCGGAGTAGCTGGGACTACAGGCGCCCGCCACCACGCCCGGCTAATTTTTTGTATTTTTAGTAGAGACGGGGTTTCACCGTGTTAGCCAGGATGGTCTCGATCTCCTGACCTCGTGATCCGCCCGCCTCAGCCTCCCAAAGTGCTGGTATTACAGGCGTGAGCCACCCCGCCCGGCCCTAGTGCACTTTTTAATTTTAATCCATTATAGCTTCAAACATTTTTTAAAAATTTGCATCCTAATGTCATGAAAATCAAAATCATAGTACAATTTATGCATATGAAGCATATATACTATGGTACATAGTAGGTATTTAAAAAGTGGCAAATGTTATTATTAATAGTAGTATAAAATCCCCTATTTAGCCACAATGTGCATTCTTCCTAGCTCTTAAATTCTAACCATCCTGAACACTTCTCTGCTCCCCAGTGTGCCGTGTTCTGTCACACTTTTGTGCCCCTGCAAATGATATTTCTTCTGACTGGCAGATCCCTTCTGATTTTGTTCTTCTGATTAACTTCTACTAATGATTAAGCTAGGAGATCCTGCTGCTCCCACTGGGAACCCTGTACCCACCTTTTTATAATACTTACCAAACTATAATTGTTGGTTGACTTCTTGGTGTCTCCCACTAACCTATTGACTCACTGAGGGCAGGAATTCTGTATGTCTCTGCATTCTTCATACTTAGCACAGAGCCTAGCACATGGCAGTAATTTAACACACTAATGAATTATGAATACTTTTCTTGATTTTTATTTAATAAGAAACATATGCAAAAGAATTATTAATCTACATGGTCTATAATGATTAAAACCAGCTATATTAAAACATTCCAGAGTGATTCCCAATTTGTTATGGACTAGATGGAACATGGGTGACACCCTCTTCTGAAAAGTTCCTTTGTACCATGTTTATTACCAATTATGCCACCACCCTGGATTGAACCACGATGAGTACTAATATTAAAAGTACACCTTGAGCATCTCTAATGTGGGAACACAAAATCCAAAATGTTCAAAAATCAGAAACTTTTTGAGTGCTAACATGAGGCCACAGGTAGAAAATTCCACATCCCACCTCACGTGACAGGTCACAGTCATAACGCAGGTATGTGACGCACTGTTTATTCAGTGTCCTCACGGGGGTTACTGTACAACCTCCTACCTTCTAATCAAAACCCAGCATGGTAGGTAGAGACTGAAAGCCTGCATTGACTGTTGTTGCTGCTGTTTAACAGCTGATCCAGGTATTCTGTGATGCTGCTGTGCCGCTTAGTTACACTGAACACATTGTTTTTACACGGTGTTAACAGTGTGTCTTTTTTTTTACTGTTATGTACTTATGTATGAATAAGTGTAAGAAAATGATTGCTTATCAGTAGCGTATAAATTCAGTGTGAAGAATGATAATGATGCCAAATAACCACAGACTGTCCACATGGGTGGCTGAGGTAGTGACACCTTTGCTTTCTGATAGTTCAATGCACAAACTTTGTTTCATGCACAAAAGTATTTCAAATATATTGTATACAATTACCCTCAGGCTACATGTATAAGGTATATATGAAACATAAACAAATTTCATTTTCAGACCTGGATCCCATCCCCAGGATGTCTCATTATATATATCCAAAATGTGAAAAAATTCAAAATTTGAAACACTTCTGATCCCAAGCATTTGCGACAAGGGATACTCCACCTGCGGTTATCTAAGTAGGGTAGCTACAGTCTGTGGTTGTTAAAACCATCAGAGCCATGCTATCATGAATTTGGCTGGCTGGTCCAATCAGAGGATCTCTCTTAATGATCTGAATTCAAGATATTCAGAGACGGCCTGAAGAGGACAGTGGGAAGAAGCTAGAACACAGCGAGAAAGCAGTCAACAGAAATCATAAGGCAGCAGAAGTTCTGAGGAAGCAGAGCCAACAACAAAAGAGATGGGATGGGGTTAGTGGTGCACACAACAGGTCTCCTGCTCCAGATGAATCAGGTTCCACTTTGCCCTTGAGGTCAAGCCACACTGGCCTTTGTTCAGTCCCTTGTTACCTACCATGTTGTTTCCTGTCACAGAGCCAATGCACATATTCTTCCCTCTCTGGAAATATCTTCCCTCCCCTATTTGCCAAGTTCACTTCTACTCATCTTCAAGGTCTCTTTTTGCTTCTATTTTTGCCACTGACCTCCCTAGCTAGGTAAAATCACCCTATCTTACGCTCTCATAGCACCTATGAGACAAGTTCTCTTCACAGCACTTACCGCAAATGTAATTTTGCAAATTCATTGTATAATTTCATTTTTAATGTAATCTCCTCCACTAGACTATAAGCTTTTTGACCATTTTTTTTCTTCTCATTACTGTATCTCTATTACTTAGCACAATGCCTGGTATGTTGTCGAAACTCAGTAAAAAATCTGTTGAATGATTGAATTAAAGGGTATATATAGAGTCTGATTTCTGATTTTGTTCTTCTGATTAACTTCTATTAATGATTAAGCTAGGAGACCCTGTATATATACAGGGTCTATATATAGTTATTCTCTAGTAGCAGAAGTATAAACAGAGTAATTGGTGCTATGTCAATGGGTGTCTATGATTGAGGGAGACAGAAAAAATGTGGTTTATTGGAGCTGAAAAAAATTCCAGTTTTTCAGAAGGCCTGATCAAAATTTACCATTTGTATTTTATTATGCTTTCTTAAAAGAAACTCTATAGTAGACACTACTGCTTACTTACTCAGAAACCATTCCACTCCTCCTATTCCAACCCTATCCCCCTGCCCCATTTCCCTGATTGACACAACTCCAATCATGTTCAGGTATTGACTTCTCTTACATCACTTCCAAGCCAGGACACACTGACCCCCTGGCCAGTTCCAGGGGTATATCGGATTTAGAAAAGTTTCCACATGCTGTGAGGGAGCCAATGGAAGAGATGCTCTCTCATTCCTTTGAATATTTCTGAGCTTATGTTGATTTTTTGAAGTGTTGGAGCCACATTGCTATCAGCGTAAGAATTAGGACAAACCAAGGATCACTGAGTAAAGACAGGCAATGCACCTGGGTTTTTGACAGCATCCACGACTAGCTGAATCAACCTTGGAGACCACCAGAATCCAGGACTGACTGTCTGTCTGTCTGTCTATCTATCTATCTATCTATCTATCATCTATCTATTTTTTACGAAGCCAGTTTACAGTGTCTGTTACTTGCAGCTGACAATTTTCTAATATAAAGTGTTATTATCAGATGTTACTTTCATGTCTCTGTTCTTTGAAGAAGGAAAAAAACAGGACCAATACACACACATATATAGGAACTCTCTGTATTAGCTGTTCAATTTTCTGTAAACTTAAACTGTTCTAAAAAAGTAAAGTCTATTGAAATTAAAAAAAAACAAATGCAGATATCAAACATTTCCACACTTTATGTTCTAGAATAACTTCTCCTCCTTGTCTACCTGGTAAATTTCTATGATATATTAAAAACTTACTGCTCAAAAAAGCATTTATTCAAAAAATATTTACCATTTATCAAGTATCTGCCAGGTAGGTAGTAGGCTCATCAGGGACCAGAAAGAAAAGATGAATGTGAATTATTTTTCAGGTTTTAAAGACTTTTCTTTTTCAGTGACAATTAGCAACTGAAAGCTATCATAAAATATGGGTTCCGAGTTTGTGAAGCATATTTTCACTTGAAAACCCAAGTGCCCCTGGGTATTCACAGGTGCATGCTTGGGGTTCATGAGAATTTATTTTTCTTTCTCTTAAAGCTACAGCTCCCTCAGCATCACCGTCTCCTGAAGAGAAGTGGTAGAATGAAACATAACCTCATGCAGGCAAACTTGCATTTTGGAAGTCCTTTTGATTGGGTCTATTTTACTGTGTATCTACCTAAGGCAGTATGAATGTTACCCTTGCCACATTCCCTCATCCTACCAGTATGTAGCAATAAGTATGTACTTTACTAGCACTTAGTTTTGTAGACTAAAGTAATTTTTTATATATCTGTATGCCATGCTGTAGTGGAAAGAACTTGGACTTGGAGGATGACACACAGACTCTAAAGTTTGTATAACTTCAGGCAAGTTTCCCAATACACTTGTGACAGTTTCCCTTATATAAAATGGGACAAATTACATCTACTTTGCAGGGTTGCTGTGAGTATTAAATGAAATAACACAGCAAGTATCAAGTGGGGAGGTTAGCAGAAAGGCTGTGCTACATAGATGTGTTGAACAAATGAATTCACGATCCTCCCCTACCCAGACCTTAGTGAACCCTCAGTCAGGAGTGATGGGAGCAGTCTCTGCCTTGACCCCAGCCCAGATCCTTTTCAGTGTACTTTATTCTCTGATCCAGTCTCTGGTTCTGTGTGTCACATTGCTCCAATCAGCTCTGATTATTTCCTGGAATTTGTTCTTATTTACCACTTACTAAACGGTTTTGCGTGTTCTGTCTTCTGCATTTGAAGTTTAACATAAAAAACAAAACAAAACAAAACTAAACAAAAAACACCTTAAAGCACCTTCATGCTTCAACTACACAATGCACCTACTGAATTTCCCATGGTGTTTTTGCTTCTGCCGCCAGTTTTCTACATTACAGGAAAATTAGCTCTTCAAGAAATGCAACTCAGTTTAACTGTAAATAGCCCAGTAAATGGCCCTTGCTGGCAAATGAGTACCTTTCACAAATATCTATAATTGGGTAAAAAGAGGATTTAGAGATTACCCGACTTGCAGGCAACGAAAACAGTATTTCCAGGGTTAAATATAACCAAAAAGTTTCTTCTGCATTTCTGGAATGCCCCAGGATTATTTTTTTCTCTTCTGCTGAGTTTTTATTCTTTTTTTGTAAAGCTATTTGAAGCAAAATACTAGTTTGCTGAAAATTTGCCTTTTATTTGTTTCATTTGAATATCATGAGCAAGTTCTCTGATCCTAGGCAAAGCCTGTTGGCATAACACATAATTTGTTCATCAAAAAAAATTCAGTCGGCATGTACTAGGATCCAGATATTGTGCTAGGTGATGGGACACATTGTGAACAAGACAGAGACGGCCCCTCCTTTCATGGAGCCCAGCTTTTCTATTTGTGTCTTTATCTGTAAGATTGATAGGATGATTCTATTTTACTGGGTTGTTGAAAGAATTAAATGAGCTACGGTATGTAAAGTTCTTATCTCAGGTGTTTCCACTCCAAGTACAGAGGTCACATGTCTACAGGCAAGAGGCTGTCCAGAGCACTCACTGCAGAAAGGATGAACTGGAATGGGGATTTTAACTTAGCCCTCAATAGATGGCAGCTCTAATGAGGAATGTGATGCCATTGAGAGCACTGGAGGAAGGTGGTTATAAGATTAAAACTGCATTTGCAAAGAGCACTCTGGAAGCAGTATGGAGAATGACTTGGAATGAGGCTAAACTAGAAATCTGAATGAAGCCAGTAGGAAGTAGAGGAAGTCTGACTTAAGAGAGTTGCAGCAGGTAGGAAGAGGGAAGGAAGAACAGACAGTTCTGAGACAGATAGGGCTAGAGTGTTTTGTTTTGTGCTGAGGTAAAGGTATGAAAGGAGTCTCAAGGGTTTCTGGCTCCAGTGGCTAGGAGTTTTCTGCCATTTCCTAGGTTTAGGATTACTGGCAGATTTACGAGTATTATGAAAAAGAAAAGAAGTTCAGTCCAGACTTTAGATACGGCAATCACTCTGTTTGTTATCACTCACATAAACATGAACTTCCACAAAGAAAATGTGTTACCAATAAAAACAATTAACCTATCTACACCTGACAACTTTAAAGGAATGATAACCAGTGAATAAAATATAAATTAAAATATCTAGTGTTATTAAAACTTTGCTCTCCACTGATAACATAAATAAACCTAATATTATTTTCTCCATATATAGAGGTTATTTCTGTGTTTCAGTCAAAACCCCACCTTAATGTGGAATGTTTTCCCTGGTGCTCAGTATAGTGTGTGGCACACAGCAAGTACTCAATGAATGCAGCTGCCTGGAGTGCCAGTGTATGCTTCTCCAATATGCATGTTTAGTAAATAAATAAAAATATATACTAGAGACATCCACATTGGCTAACTAATTTATAAAGGATGCAGCCCTTCTGGTTTAGAATTTTATGTAGCAAACAGAGTGTTAATATATTTAGCTAACTGTATTATAAGTAATAAGCTAGAATTTGAGGTAATAGGGCAGTTGATCTATGCTAGAGCAGAAAAATTCTTCTTGGGTATGCAGGTAAATTAAAAAAAATTCTTATCCTCAGAACAAATGACACTAATATTTAGGAGGAAATTCCATTGAGGAATGAGAAATTAACTTAGGTTGGGAGCAGGGAGAAAGGGACATACCTATATGTGCATATAATTTTCATTATACGTATTATAAATTTTTATGTTAACTAATATGGAAAAATAACATGCATGAGACAAACCATACTATTTATCAATAATCCCCTCCCACAGACATTGAGAGGGTGACATTTTCCTTTTAAAAAAGCTCAAATAGATAAATCACAGAAAATAGTAAAAATGGCTTTCCTTGACTGAAAACATGATTAAATTGATTCATTGTTGGAGAAAGAACATTATATGAAAATGCTATATTTTTAATCTATCAGATTGGTAAAAATCCAAAAGTTTGCTAATACTGAGCTTACTGTGAGAAAAACAAGTTCTCACTACATTGCTAGTGGGCGCACAAATAATAAAACATATCAAGAAAATTTTGGCAGCATCTATCAAAATTGTATTTGTATATACCCTTTGACTTGGTGATTTTATTTCTATGAATTTATGCTGTGAATATACTCCTAGAAAAGCAAGATGAAATATGTACCAGATCACTCACTGCAACATTGTTTATAATAAGCTATGCACATGAATATTTAGAATTAGAAAAAAAAAACTCAACAAATTACTAGTGCCTTAGAAATTAGGTTCTATTCTTCTGAGATCTTTTAATGCAACTTAGTAAACTGAAACCACTGTACCATTATCAGCAACTCCCATCATCCCCAAGGCCTGAAGAGTAAGGGGCCCTGGCTGAAGATTCATTAGCTTTACAGTCAATCTACTTCTGGTACTAGAAGTATCTAGAATGATGCATAGACTCAAACTAATTTCTAATTATTGTCATATTTTACTTAACTTCTAAATACGTGTTTTTCTTTAAGGTGCCAATATAGATCAGAAATGTCAAGTATGTCACAAATAGATAATTTCCTTAAGTTTATCATACCTGTAACAAAGCTTTTTGACTGCACAATCAAAGTATTTAGTACTTATTTAATTATAATTAACATTGTGATTTGATGTCATTTTTATTATTACTAGCATATTTAATGCATGTTCAACATTATATTTCAAAATATTTAAAAGGCTCTTTGAATATATATGGAAAAATACCCCTTTTTCTCTCCATTAAAAAAAATAAAGGGTTAATGGTTTCTCTATTAAGGATTGATGTATCTGTATTCAGCTGCTCTGAACCAGCTTTCCCTGAAAGGTACTTTTCATGTGATGAGGAAAAGATATTTTAATGCATTTTGAAATAAAAATCGTAGCCACTAATAAATGACCATGAATCTAAGCATTAAAATGAAATTCAATGACAAATCGAAGCTAAATACAAATTACACTTCCTTCAACTTTTTAGCTCCAAAATAGGGTCTTACAAAGCAGCATTAAAAAAGAAAGTTTAATATATAATAGCTGACAATTTGAAGCTAATCCCTACTCTACTTTCTATGTCTTTTATGAGCCGCCAAAGCAAAGTCCAACAGACAGCATAAGATGAATCTCAGGTCCAGTACAAGCTTTTCAAGCCTAATCAAATGGGTGTAAAAACATATATAAAAAGATGAAAGTGCTTTGCTTTTACATATGGCAAAATAAATCAGTGAAAAGCTGAAAAAAGAAGTGAGATGTTCCATAGGGGCAGGTTAAGTCTGATGCTAATGCTTACTTAAAATGGTGACAGTCTGGAGTAGGGAAGCCTTGCTGGGCTGCTTTAATTTCTCCCTGGAATAGCTCTCTCCCAACCTTCTGCAGCACATCAAAGTCTCTGGAGCTCAATTAAAATTGGATTATATTGAAATGCTCTATCTATGGGAACTGTGTGCTCACTAACACTTTTCTCTCAGTAATACTCCAGATGACAGTTGCCCATCCCAATTTAAACAGTTGTCATAGAGACGGGGAACTAAAGCAGTGAAAGCTAACAATACAAAGGAAAGGTAAGGGCTAGGATTTCTGTGAATGAGGAATTTGATTTTTTTTCAGCAACACTACTTATTACACCAATGACAAAGCATATGAGATACAAACATTATTATATTTTGTATCTTTACATGTGAAAGGAAATATAGCTAACAGCAACACTAAGATTATTTAGACAAATATGGTCAGATATGTTCTATTTGGGCATGTTCTATCTACTAAAAATTAAGATAAAATGTTTCTCTTAATGGAAAGCAGCTATCAGCAACTATGATAGTAGGAAGACTACGGCAAGTCTCTAAGGCACAGATGTCAATAGCTACTTTTTAATTACAGGTGCAACCCAGAATAATAATTTCTTGGCTGAAGATTTTTTTTTTTCTTTCCAATTCTGCAGTTCTAAAAGTTTGAATTTGGGGTTGAGAATGATAAATCATGACTCTGTAGAAATGTATGTTTCAAATGCACTCCATTTTTGGCAAATCGTTAGTCTTAAAGGGGCCCTATCATTGACAAAGAAGCATATTTCTAAATCTGATTTTTGAATTTATTTCTGGTTTTAATTAGCAAGTATTCTACAGTCTTCCGTAATTTCTCTTTCTGACGTCGAAGCCTATGAACACAGGCAGAAAACTCTGTCAGCTTCCTAAAAGCTCAAAAATGAAGACAGCTTAAATTTCTGGCAGTTCTAAAGAGCAGTGTATTTGACAGTGTAGACTGTTAGTAATGATCCTATGTTTTCATGTAGATGGCATGTTTCTGGCACTAAAAAAACTCTTAACCTTTCTTGTAATTGGCTTATCACAAGTCCCAAGATTGTTTTTCCTCCATTGTGCAGATCACCATGGAAATAGATTAAGTATTGCTATTTTATGAAGTATTACACTATTGTTTCTTTTAAGCCCTCAATAACGGTGGTTCTTTTTCTCTTGGGAAGACTATGTTAGGATTTTGAAGCAGCAACAAGGCAGAGAGCACAAAGTGCAGGCCAAAGGGGAAGGAAACAAAAATGTGTCAGAAAATCTAAAAACTGCACAGATCAAAATTTGTCAAAACAAGGCCCTGGTTTAAACCAACAAGAAGGGCCCCTACAGCTTGGGCTTTTACAAAGCACAGACTTTTTATTTATTTATTTATTTTTAGCCCAGCTGTAGAAAACACCATCTAATGAACCTGTCTGGGGCGGCTGTCCCCATCCTGTCAGGCATGTCAGGAAATGACAAGCACTGGGGACAGGCCGCCGCCAGTCACAGACAGGCCTGCCAGCTGGAGGGTTCAGCCCCAATCTAATCACACCACCAGAAAATAACTTTCACGCTTGCAGCTTGACAGGATGGACTTGAGGAAAAAAAATTAGGATTGGAAACAATGCTTTTTGTTTCAATTACATATTATTTTTACACAGTAATTAAAAAGAACCTACTAACACACGCAATCCATGTTACTTCATATTAATGCAACCAAGTGTAAATGTCATCATTACAGAAAAACAGATACAAAGCTTACTTTGATACTATGAACACAGAGTAAAGAAACATAGACCAGCTCCATCTCTATCCAAACAGAAGCCACATCACATTGGAAATTTAATATTGTTTTCAGTTCAGCTTATTGATATTTGAATTCCTTATCTTCAAAAACAATCCTCTTGTAAAGATTACCGGGTAGCAGTAGTGCTAATTTTATTTCCCATATTCTGAGGACAAATATGTGTAAAGAGAATAATGGTACAAAATGAGTATTTTCACATGGCAATAACAAATTTTCTGCCTTTTGTGATGCTGGGAAAAATGTACCATTATAAATAAATACAACCCACTGAGGACATGACAGCTTGGGCCCTGTCTATACAACTTGACACGAGGGACTAAAGAGTGAAAGGTTGTAATAAAAACCACATTCTAATGAAATAACTTCTCTGAATCAGATGGTTATTTGAGCATCATATAGATATGTCACAGTATGACTCTGTTCTATTTACATGTCTTTCAAAGTAAAGTTATATGTAATATGCATAGGTTGATTGTTTACTATATGCCCACATATAAAACGGTACTTATATAATAAAATGTACTTTCTACTACACTTTAGTGTTTTTCACTAACATTTTCCATAGGGTAACTACTGGCATTGGCACTGAAACCAAAAGAGCCAAACACAATGCTCCATGTGTATAAGTGTACACAAGTGCATAGTGTACTTAAAGTGCTATTCATTTTGATTTCTAAAAATAGACTCCCACTCACACTTACTTTAAAAGTCATAAATCATGAAATTTGATAGTGGATTGAATATTAATATATTTGCAATACATTCCTGAAAATGTCACTACTGAAAATATGAAGTTAGCATCTAATAACTGCCACTTACTAGCCTGGTTACTTTGGTCAACTTATTTAACCTGTCTGAGCCTGTGTCCTCATCTATAAAATGGTGAAAATCATGTCTGCCTCAAAGGGTATTGTGAATCAGAGAGTGGGTGTAGGGTACCTAGCACAATTCCTAGAACATAGTAAGTACATGTTTAACAAAGTTATTTACTATCATTATTTCACATAAAGGAATCCAAAGAAGGGTAAACAACTCAAAATTAGATTTACCCTCTATAAAATAATACCATACTCACTTTGAATAGCATATGGGGCTGGATACTGCATCTACTGTATGAAGAATAAGTCTTTAATCACATTGAAATCACAATCAGCAAACAGAATCCAGTAACCACCCTTGCTCCCTAGAAAAAGACCATGAGTTCCTTAATGAACATAAGAAGATATGACTTAGTTTTTCTCTCTTAAGATAATGGAGGTGAAGTGGGAATGCATTTAAAATTTCATGTTTTCTTATATAAAATATGTATTTCTAGTGTATAATGATTTTGAGCCTTAATGTATAATTTTGTCATTAGTCTGCTCAGTACTGCTTTGCTACTGCATTATTTAATTCATTTCAGGCATGTAAAAGCAAGAAGAGCTGTGGCCTACTGACCCCAATTTTCACTTAAAGAAACAAATTTCCTTTTGCAAACTAAGACAATTTTTCTCCTGTCAACCTTGTTTTAAAATATTAACCTTATTCCCAATACAGTAAATATTCATATTTGTCATCCAAATTTGCCTACAATTGTAGTTTTTATCAAGTTGTGGAATTGCTTCTGGTTCTTAATTTACCTATCTCAAAGATATAATTAAAAATCAATATTTTCAATGAGCAATCTTTCTTACAGTGTAAATGCACTTAAACGAATGTCTTCTTTATTTCTGTTTGGCATCAACACACAGAAAGAGAACAAAAAAAGACAAACAGAGTTTGATTACAGATTTTCTTGATGATGACTAAATTCAGTGTTTCTGAAAATCTATGTGAGTGGCCTGGCCCTTCTATTAAATGTCATCATAATGGATGTACTTATGCTTGGGGTAAAATTGTTGCATATATGAAAAACTGAAAATTGAGTAGGAAGCCTAAATTGAACATGATCATATTAGGATAATGCATCCATATAATAATGTGGAGTTTCTAGGGAAAGAGGGAACAAAATGGAACCATTGTGGGGTAAAACTTATATTTTTTTTATTTTTTGAGACAGGGTCTTGCTTTGTCACCCAGGCTGGAGAGCAATGGCATGATCTCAGCTCACTGCAACTTTCACCTCCCAGTGATGGCAGAGGCAGCCTGACTAGAACAGCTGCTGGGAAGCCTCCGGCTGATGCGCGGAAGGTGCGGATGAAGTTGTGTGTTCGGCAATGCAGCAGGAGCCAGGAACAGGTGGGAGCCCCGCCTCCTACTGAGCTACAGCCGCCCAGCTGTGGCTCTGGACCTGGGCATCCCTATGTTCTCAGGGGCCCTGGAAGCCCTAGCTCCCGCAGGCTCAGAAGTGCCTGTTCCCATTCCCTGGCCTCTCCTGGCTCCCAGCACGTTCTGGTACAGTACAAGGCTGTGGCTGAGCCTGGGCACTGCTGTGACCCAGCCGGGTGTGTGTGTGTACTTGGGGTGGCAATGACATGCCAGCCCTCCGCCGCCTTGGGGCCCCGTCTGGACTTTGGGCACCCAGGAGCTCAGGAGGGAGGCTGGGGGTAGCTGAAGGCAACCCGACATGCACCTGCAGGCACCTCTCAGCATAAACAGCTTGGGTGCTGTGGATGGCATGCTGATGGCAGGAGGCAGACGGGTTCCTGGGCAGAAAGGGGAGAGTCCCTGGTGAAACCCCACCTTCAAGCCAGGAATGGCCTGAAGCCGGGAGGCTTGACTGCCACTTCCGGGTGAAATCCACAACCCAGAGGGAAGACTTCATTGATGACCGTTCGGCCGATCAGATGGTGCATTTTCCAGGCATGCCCACGTTCACCCATGGACCAATCACCATGTACTTCCTCCCGTCTGAGCCCATAAAATAACCTGACTCAGCCACACTTCTTATGGGTCTCCTCTCTGCTAAGGGCTGGACATTAGTCTGGATGACCGAAAGAGCTGTTAACACAAACAGGGCTGAAACATGGCCCCTGCTTGCCATGTTGTGGGAGATAAGAAGGAGAGAAGAGAGAAGGAGAGAGGAAGAGAAGAGCTGGGGCCCTTCAGGGAGCCCAGACCTAGGGGCTCCCTGAGCCATGGTTGTGATACTCTCTTTGGGGCTCTGTGGTTCCTGGTGTCTACCAGCTTCTTGTCGCCACTGCATTTCCCGGTGCCCATCATTGAAGCCACTTGCAGTATGCCTGTTCCAGCCTTAGTCTCATACAGAGCCAGCACCTGTGCCAGTGCCTGGAGCTGCCTGCCCTGCCACAGCCAGCACACCTGGCTGTGCACGGTGGCCGGACCATGCACTCGCTCACACATTCTTCACCACTCTGTGCCTGGCTCGCCCTTGGCAGGCATGGGATCTGGGCCAGTAGTGCAAGCTTAGCATAGCCTGCCAGGCTGAGTGGGCAGAACAAGCCCAGTGGGCCCAAGCAAAACTTGGGAAAAGGCACCATAGGCCACAGAGGTTTCCAGCTGGAAAAGTGACACTCCAAGGACACTGGGTTCAAGTGATTCTCCTGCCTCAGCCTCCTGAGTAGCTGGGACCAGAGGCGTGCATCACCAAAATTTTTATATTTTTAGTAGAGACGGGTTTTCACCATGTTGCCCAAGCTGGTCTTGAGCTCCTGGATTCAAGTGATCCACGGGCCTCGACCTCCTAAAGTGCTGAGATTACAATCATGGGCCACTGGCCAAAAACTTGTATTTTTTTAATGTTTTATTTTGTAAAAACGATCAGAAGCAAATATATCAAATTTTATGAAATGTTAAAGTTGGGCAGTTGAGTACATGACATTGGTTGGTTTTTCTACTGATTGGACCGTTTCATAGCAAAATAATTTAAAATATCTACAAAACAAAATGTAGAAGTTCTTAATATATAACTATATACATACCACACATTTTTCAAATATTCAACTTTAAGCATCACAAAATCACTTTTTGATAGGCTGGACAAGAATTTGTATCCCCATTTTACCAACGAGGAAGGAAAGACTTAGAACTGTTAACTTATTTCATCAAGGTCACAAAAAGTCTAAATGCTGGGAGAGCTGAGACTGGAATCCAAGTGCTATGGTCCGAACGTTCGTGTCTCTCCCTTCCCTCTGAAATTCATATGCTAAAACCTAATCTGTAATCCCTAAGAGGTGGGGCCTTTGGGAAGGAATTAGTACCCTTATAGAAGAGGCTTGGGAAACCCTCTTCCCCTTCCACCATGTGAAGACACAGCAACAAGGCACCATGTATAAGGCAGAGAGCCTCCACCAGACACCAAAAGTGCTGGTGCCTTGTTCTTAGACTTCCCAGCCTCCACAACTATAAGCAATAAAATTCTGTTGTCTATAAATAACTTGATCTAAGGTATTTTGTTATAGTGACCCCAAAAGACTAAGATACCAAGTATCCTGCCTCAGAGTTCCCATATAGAGTACACTTCCCTCTAAATATGGGAATGTTTTCTCAAGTTTTTTTGTTTTTTATTTGTTATTTATTTATTTATTTATTTATTGAGATGGAATCTTGCTCCTGTCATGCAGGCTGGAGTGCAGTGGCGCGATCTTGGCTTCCTGCAACCTCTGCCTTCTGGGTTCAAGTGATTCTCCTTCCTCAGCCTCCTGAGTAGCTGAGATTACAGGCATGCGCCACCACGACTGGCTAATTTTTTGTATTTTTAGTGGAGATGGGGTTTTGCCATGTTGGCCAGGCTGGTCTCAAACTCCTGACCTCAGGTGGTCCACCCACCTCGGCCTCCCAAAGTGCTAGGATTACAGGCGTGAGCCACCGCACCTGGCCTCAAATTTATTTTAATAATATAGTAATATTTACCACTAATCTCTATAATGATTTAATGCATATCTTGATTGACATTCAATGGTTTGATATACCAGGCACTAAAGCAAGGTAAGTAAATATATTAAGCAACTACATTTAATATCCTTTGACAGTAACAAGATAACTTATTTCTGATATGCATTAGTTTGCTTTAAATATTCTCTGAAAAATGGTAGGACATTTAAAAGGATAAAGTAATACATTTTGTTATTGAGCATTCTTCTAAGTAAATGACATCAATTTAGTTCTCTAAATTAAAAAAAGGATCCACAATGGGGACCAGAATACACTATGTCCTATCTTTATTATATTGACTCTCTAGATAAAAGGCTTCTGAATCATTCATCCAGGTAATCTATTCTTGCAATACCTTGTGTGCTGACAAGGAACATCCTGGTAAGTGCTGTATTTCTGACCATTTAACATTGTGTAAATAAGCCTTTATTTAGAAGAGAGTTGTTTTATTACTTTTCTATGATACATAAATCAGTAAGTTTAGTTATAGAATTTATGTCCACATGTTCTAGTTTAATGTTATTTTAAATAATATTAAATAAAATCCAAGTGGTGTATTTCAGCATTTGTTTTTTTCCTTTGGAAAATGTTTAGCTTTAGTTTGTTGGTTAAATATGACAAACTCAATGTAATATACCAATCTGACTTGAAGGAATTTAAAAATGATATTCAATGACACAGAATTTGATTTGGAACTTATTTGAACCGCAATAAATAACCTGTGGAGTTATTTTGCTGAGAATGGCTCAGTTCAGTGGAGCTTAATGGAAAACTCTACTAAGTACTTGGGGGAATGGGAGAAAGTGAAAAACAGATGGGAAAGGCAGTACAAGGGCTTGGAGGCACTCCCCGAGCTCCTATCCTCACTCAGATCACAATGTTCATTGCTGACTTTTTCCTTTGGAACTTAACCAAAAGATTTGACTTGGTGTTTTGAAACATACTCGAAAAGAGAGGATGAATCTTTTTCTTTTTCTTTGAGTCTGTAGCACAGCTCTTCCTTATGGATTCTGAGTTGAGTGGGTAACATGTGGTATAGAATCTAGAGGGAGCAATGTGAGGCTTTACATTATCCTCTTTCCAGTGCCCCAAGAAAGACCTTATTACCAAAGATATCCTACCAATTAGATTCATTTGGGTTAATGTCATTGTCTTAGGCATGAACACAGTAATAGAGCATTTAGGAAATGGTGAATATTTAAAACATTACCATGAAATGTGATGAAAATAGAAAGCCAATGTAAGTTTTTACTTTTAAATGCTTACAACTATAAAGAAAACTTCATGAATTTGGAATTCAATTTAAATCTTAAAAAAGCAGAAAAAAAATCAAAGGAAAAAAGCAGAGGGAAATATAGCTAAAATAAATAGAAAAATCATTAGAAAATTTAAAAGTGAAAATTTAAGAAGTCTAAAAACTGGTTCTCAGAAAAGACAAATCCCTGGCAAATATTTTTGAAAAGAGAGAGAAAAAGTACAAATCTAAAAAGCAGGGCTATAATAACTGATATAGAAGGGATTCCTAAAATTGAAAGTGAATGCCTTGAAAAATTGTATGTCAGTGTATTTATGATGTCAAACAACCCCCAGGAGAGGCAGGCGTATGCTTTACATAGTAACTCATTGGGCAGCTTCCTCCTCCTGAGTGATTTCTGCCACTCTCATAATTCCCACTTTAAGCTGCTGTCTCTCAAATCGAAGGGTCCAGCCCAGACTGCTCATAAGTTGCAGACCCATAGTCAAATGTCCACTAGACCTCTCCAGCTGAATGTCTCACAGGAAACACAATGTAGTAAGTCCAAACTGAACTTCTATTTTCCTTAAAATCTGTTCTTCTTTCTTAAGAAAAACAAACCCAAGTGCACGGTGGTTCTGATGTCAGAAATGGGCATGAGAATTAACTCTGTACCTTGAGTTACATGAATGTAGGCAACATACCTAAATTCTTGAAGACTTTCATTTCTTATATATAAAACAGTGAAAATAATATCAATCATGGGGACAATAGAGTGATTAAATAGTGGATGGAAAGGTTTCTGGCACAGTATTTTGTATATAATGGGTACTCAGAAAGGGTGGTCACTATAATAATAGTAAGTTTTTGTCATTATCTTAGTGGATGGCAACACTATTCATAAAGCCATCAAACTAAACATTTGGGACTCATCTGTAAATATTCTTGTCATTTCCTTTCTACGTCCAACTGGTGGCTAATCCTGTTGATTCCAGCTCCACAGTATTTCTCACATCTGTTCTTTTTATTTTCACTGATAAAGCTGTGTAAGTCTCTTAGCAGCAGTCCTCAACCTTTCTGGCACCAGGAACCCGTTCCACGGAAGACAATCTTTCACGGACCAGGGGGTGAGGGGGTGGGGTGGTCTGGGGATTAAACTGTTCCACCTCGGATCATCAGGCATTAGATTCTCATAGGGAGTGTGCACCCTAGATCCCTCCAATGCACAGTTCACAATAGGGTTCACGATCCTATGAGAATCTCATGCTGCCGCTGATCTGACAGGAGGTGGAGCTCAGGCAGCAGTGCTTCCTTGCCTGCTGCTCACCTCCTGCTGGGTGCCCTGGTTCCTAAAAGGCCATAGACTGGTACCGTCGCAGGGGAGGGTGGGGACCCCATCTTAGTGGTTTTCTAACCTCCGGCAACCCTTACCAATGCCCCTGCCTCCAGACTCTGACTCCCATCCCCAGCATCCATTTTTTTTTTTTTTTTTTTTTTTTTTTTTTTGGAGATGGTATCTTGCTTTGTTGCCCAGGCTGGAGTGTGGAGTGCAGTGGTGTGATCTTGGCTCACTCCAACCTCTGCCTCCCGGGTTCAAGTGATTCTCCTGCCTCAGCTGCCCAAGTAGCTGGGATTACAGGCATGCGCCACCATACCTGGCTAATTTTTGTATTTTTAGTAGAGACAGGGTTTCATCATATTGGCCAGGCTGGTCTCGATCTCCTGACCTCAGGTGATCCTCAGGTGATCCACCCTCTTTGGCCTCCCAAACTGCTGGGATTACAGGCATGAGCCACCGTGCCCAGCCAACCACCCCCAGCATCCTATAGCAAATGCTGCTGCTGAGTATCAGCATCCATCTCTGGGTTCCCCTCATACCACTGCTCTACATCCCCTTGAATCCCTGCTGTTCTCAGAAGTGGTTCGCCTCTCTGTACTTTTGCACTCACTGTTCCTTCTATCTGTATGGAATGTCCTGCTCCTCTCTGTCTGACTCCCTGTTGATGGGTTCATATTTAAGAATCTTCCTATCTTTCTCCAAACTGGGTTGCGCATTCTTCTTTCTGAATAGTATACTGAGGAAAGGAGGAACCAAAATAGTTAAAGGGGAGAGACTTTTTGGAATGTATGTACCAACCATGCCCCCTTTCTCAAAAAAGCTTTCCCATACTCTCAGAGGTGTGTCCCTACTTCTTTCTGACCAGAGCTGATTTAGACCAGGGTGAACATTTGTTGCCGAGGCAAACCAACCAAATTCCCTCTCCTTGGAATTTGAAAGTGGAACTTTAGTTGGTAATGGAGCAGCAGTGAATTGCAGTCTCTGTAATGTCCCTGCAGTGACTTTTGGGTTTCTAGCGGGGAGATCCAGGGACATCTTATCTGTGAGGAGAAACAACGATGAAGCAGAAGCAGAGACAAAGAACCACGTGGCCCAGAAGGGGAGACATCCAGACAAATGGCTTTCCAATCCTCAGTTCCAGTCTCTCCTCAGGTTCTGCCTGTTCTTGTCATGGGATTTCATGAGCTACTCCTATTGCTTAAAATAAATGATCTTTTACATTAAGCTAGTTTGAGTTCTATTTCTTGCAACCAAATGATTCCTGAATATTCATACTTGTAATAATAATGGAATCAGAATTAGAACCTGTGGGTGAAATTTTGCTGCTTAAAGCCTATCGCATTTTGCCTTTTCCTGCAGGGTTTTTGACTAAGGAAATGTACATCAGGGGAACAATAACCAGATGTAAAACTAGGAACTTTTCATAAAAATTAATAGTAATGACTATAATATTAAATAGTAATTATTCATAAATATTAATAAAATTAATATCTAATATTATCCTCCCTTATTGCAAGGTTATCCTGGGAAGACTTGATCAATTCAGTGTGATTTGAAACCAAAACAAGGCCTCCAACACCCAGCAATGAAAATGCTCTGGAAAATGAGAGCAGAAATTTCCTTCCCATGGGAAGAACAACAAAAGCTTGAGTGGAATTTTCTTCTCTATGGACAAAGAAGGCATGTGAGGGAATAAAAGATTTTTTCCTCAATGAAAAATTTTCCTCATCAGTAAAGATATGTCCGAAAAAAGTTTCATTTATAGTATGTCATACATAAGTTTCAAGAAGAAGCTCTCAAAATGAAGTGATATAAAGACTTAGAATTTTCCAATAGAAGTTTAAAGGAGTCTGAGGGCTAAAGGGAGAGGACAGTTGTGAGACGCCAGAAGACTGTGTTCTTTTCCTCTTTGAGGTCAAAAGGAAAAGAAACCCTGGGTGAAAGTAATCTATAATAGTACTGGAAGAGAGAAATAGGGGAATCAATTCCTGAAGCTAGTTGGAAAAAAGAGAGAGAGATCACTGGTCACTTGGTTGGTGTCCCTCAGAGTTTCTGTGGCATGACGTCCTTGGCACCATGCTCCTGTAACCCTGGATACTCTAACCTTTTCCTCGCTAGCATCAGCACTGGCACATCTTCCTTCTCAACCTCTCTCCAGTCCCTTATCCTATAAAAACTTTCTCAGTGCTAATGAGAGGAAATGTTAGAATCTCGCTGGTATAGGAAGAGACATGGTTGCCTTATCTCAAGGCATTTTTTAACTGAAGTATTATTATACATGGTGACTATAGTGATACTAGGATAGTAGGCACCTTAGGCTTGGCTTCTACCTAATCAAATCACCAGGTTAAATTATGCTCTTCAAATCCAGTCACAGAAAGACAAATATACAACAGTTGATCTTATAGAGCAAGAGTCCCCAACCTCCAGGCCATGGGCTGGTACTGGGCTTTACAGCAGGAGGTGAGCCATGGGCCAGCAGGCGCAAACCCTGTTGTGAACTGCGCATGTGAGGGATCTAGGTTGGATGCTCTTTATGAAAATCTAATACTTGATGAGCTGAGGTGGAACAGTTTCATCCTGAAACCATCCCCACCCATGCCCTGGGTCCATGGAAGAATGATCTTCCATGAAACCCATCCCTGGTGCCAAAAAGGTTGGGGACTGCTGTAAAGAAGAAGAAAGTAGAGTAATAGTTACCAGAGGATGGGAAGGAGGTGTGGGGATAAAGAGAGTTTGGTTAATGGGTACAAACATACAGTTAGATAGAAGGAATAAGTTCTAGTGTTCAATAGCACAGCAGAGTAACTATAGTTAATAACAATGTATTGTATATTTCAAAATAGGTAGAATATTCAAAATGTTCCCAATACAAGAAATGATAAATGCTTCAGGTAATATCCCAGTTATTCAGATTTGATCATTACACATTGTATACATGTATCAAAATATCACATGTACCCCATAAATAGGCATAATTATTATGTATCCCTTTAAAATTTAAAAAAAATAAATGAATTATACTCTTCATTTCTTCTGTAAGAAATATTCATGTCTACATTACACTGAATGCTATTTACAAGGCCAAAACTATGTTAAAAAATAAATGAAACTAATATTTCATGAATGCCTAGAAAATCTGAAAATAAAAAGAAAATCTTTATAATCAAAAGCACTAGTATATGAACATTTGGGTATGTCACCATGATGGGTAGTAATAAGGTCAATGAAAGGGACTTGTATGATCCCACCTTTAAAAGTTTATAAGTTGAAACATAAAATTAGAATCATCTAATAGATGCAAGAAATTGAATAAAGAAATCCTAACTTATCTAAAACTTAGGAGTATCATTTTTTTGTATGAGTATGTGGACTAGAATTTTGAAATTTGGGTAATGTGAAACCAACAGAAAATTTTTACTTTTCCCCAAAACAAAGAATACATTTAAAAACAGCTTACAGGAAAGGAAGACAAAAGAAGTCTTGATAAAGGAAGTTTGGAGTTAAAAAACAAGAAGAAAAGAATAAATAAAGAGACACGTAGGCATAAGAGGCAGTCTGAGAGATTGCTTGAAAGGCTAAGTAGAATTGTATTAGTCAATCTGTTGATGTTTGCTTGCTTTTTCCTTTCACAACGAAGCATCAAATTTGCTTAATGCAAAGGGAAGAGAGGAACTAATTCTATTTGTCATGTTCTACGTTTGATTTGGACTTATGGTGAATGAAGAATTGCTCTCTTATAATCATCTGCACAGCAGCACATGCAGTGGAAAGTGTCAGCCTCTATGAGGTATCCTGCAACCTTCCCCCCACACCGCCCCAAATCAAAGCTCGGTAGGATGCAGAAAACATTCTCTCTGACCCAAATTATATCAATAATTGGGATCTTGTGACTGCTGCTAGCAAGTAGGGCAACCATGTGTGCTCAACCTGATTGGGCATTTTGCACAAAAGTAGAAAGATATTTTCCTTCCTTTTATAAAACTGCAGGGGGTATGCTTTCCCTAAGTTTAACAAGTAATACCATTCTAACCATCGTCTGGCATAATTATGACTAATGTTCCCTGCCTCCTCTAGTTTGAGGCAAATACAGGAGTTACAGTTAAGAGCTCCTGTCATGTAACATCTCTTTGCTAAGACAAGGATATGCAGAGCCATGTGGCACAGTGGAAAACCACAGACTTTGGCTTTAAACCATCTTTAATTCCATTTCCGGCTCTGCCATTTTACTGCTTTTGTGATTTGGAAAAAGTACCTTTGACTCTCAGAGTCTGCTTCCATATTTGTTAAATGGGGATAAATAGTACCTACATTTTATAGTTGTTATAAGGATTTAATATAATTAAGATTAAGATATATCTAAATATATAATAAAGTGCTCTAATTTCTCTTTTTAATTTTTTCCATATATCATACATATAACTACAAAGGACTGTTGGTATGAAATGTCATATGAAAAGAGCAGTATCTTCTCAAGGAAATAGTGACCTTCATGAAGGTAGGGACTTGCTCACCTCCATATATCCGGAATTAACAAAGTACCAAGGGAAGTACATGCTCATTAAATGGTAACTATTATGATAATAAATTGCAATGTATAAATGTAAATTAGGAAAGAAAATACATTCAAGAGTGTCAAATAATCAAAAGGTTAATATTAAATTTCAACATAGTAAAGGCTTTTTCATGTAAAAGAAAAAATATTTTAAAAATACTTGATTGAGACTGTCAGATAATTTTATTTAACTCAATTCAACAAATATTTATTAAGTATCTTGTAAGGTTATTCCAAGTACTATGTGTATAAGATACAATGGTTCCTGCCTTCAAGATGTTTACTGTCTAAGGAAGTGAGTAGACAACTATAGAAATAATAAAAGACAAACTACAATAAAATATATAGTAGAAGGTACAAATTGATTGGAGATTCAAAGATGTGAGAAATACACACGTTTGATTGGTTTGGGGCGAGCCTCTTACTAAAGATGATATCTGATAATGGGCCTTGAAGGATGGTTGATCTGCCAAAGATGGAGATGGGAGATAAACTCCAATAGGCTAAAGAGGTGGGAGAGGCTTCTGATGCTGAGCTAAAGAATTTCTAAGTAATTCAAATGGGCAATAAGGCCTGGGTGATTAGAATCACGACATCTTTTAAAATTGGGAAGTTAAAAGGAAATTAGAAAAAAGGAAAATTATGAGCTTGGTTGAGATAATCAAAGCATACTAAGAGCTAATCAACAGAGCAGGCAGCTAAGAATATAGAGCTGTAGAAGGAAGACAAGACTAGAGAAGTACCTTTGGGATTATCTGTACACAGTGAAAGTTTAAAGCACGAAAAGGAATTAGATCTCTATGGCAGAGAATGGAGGTGACTGAAAGGACATACCTTTGGGGATGGGAGAATATTGAGGGCGAGGCCGACGGAAGAGTGGCCAGGGAAGGGGAGCGGAGGACTTGGCAAGGAAGCATGTTTAGGATTTCGGAAGCTCAGTGTCAAATGTTATGCAGAAATCAAGGAATATGTGGGCAGAAAAAGGCCACTGAATACAGACATTTGGAGATCTAAAACATGGGATAGATGTAAAAAGACAGTATAATTTTGACTGTATATGTTAAGATATAGGATAGACAAGAGTAAGTGAGTATGTAGTAATTGAAAGAACATGATCTTTGGAACCAGGAAAATTTAGATTTGAATCCCTAACACTTCCCAGTTGTGAGCTTGGAGAAATAACTGGACATCTCTGAATTTGCTTGTCCTTTGTAAAACAGTGATAATGATATCTAACTCACTTAGCTATTATAACTATGTTAAGTTAGATAATATATACAAAGTGCCTAGAACAGTGTCTGACACATATTAAGTACTTGGGAAATGTTAGTTTCTTTTCCCTTACTCTACAGAAAAGATAAGGCAGAGGATGCTCCTTTAGTGAAGAAACATTTAAGATAATTTAAAAGACACATATCAAAACTAGCAAAATATCAAAAAACAGAATGTGGCATGAATAACAAATTAAAAAATCAAACAGCAAATGGAATGTAGATTGGATGAGGTATCTGAAGATGGTTTTATTCTTAGAAGCATCATTTACTATAAAATTACCTGGGTAGACTCATTTAATTTTCTGCTCCTCAAATTTCCCATTTATAGAACTAAAATGGAAATTCTAGTTCTGCTAATCAGAAAATGACAAGGATAAAACATTATAGGCATACAGAGAGACAGTATGCAATAAAATATAGCATTACTAGATGGTATATACGTGTAGCATTTAATAGCATTACTGCTATGCATGTCTGTGTATGATACACATTACACTCTTGATTATTATCTGGCTATCAGCCTTGCATGGGTCTCAATTCTGACTGACTCCTGAATCTTAATCCTTTGTTACCTTTCCTGAATATAGGAACTTGCTATGTAGACAAGGATGAAATGTAGGCTTCTTGTTCCCAAATTAATCTTTGAGTGAGTATCTCCATTGGATACATATTTAAGCTTGTAATATGATCATTTTATTTTTCTACTAGTCCAGCACACAGAAACATATATATAATTTAAAGTTTCTACAATGTTTAAGGTTAACTCCGTATCATGAGTAAATTATAATCAGAAGGGATTTCATGCCCCAAAAGGTTTCTTAGATTACAGCAAAACACCTGTGTTACCACCATTCTGCAACCAGAAGGATAGTGGTTGCTATGTTATAATTGCATCTTATTGTGTGTGATATAATATGTGCTTTGGAGTAATTGGCCCAATGAGAAGTTATAAGAAACAGGTAATTAAAAAAGATATAAATGGAGAATTTAGTATTTTAAGCTTTTAATTACTCACACCCTTCATTTAACAAAGAGAAAATATATTTAAATTTAAAAAAAAAAAACCAGTTACTACATGAAAGGGAAATGTACTTAGAAAATGGAGAGTAAAAACTGCTTATAAAATATATTGCCTTTTTAACACAATGTCCTCAGACTAATCAAAATAATAATATAATGGATTTTGAAATGTTTCATCACAGAACGTGATTCTCTAAATTGAAAATAGCAATTTTTTGGCAATGCATGGAAAAAACCATTTTGGTATTTTATAATTTTGGGTTTTAAAAGCTTAATTAATAATCAAAGCTGCCAAACACACATACATATATACACAAAGAATAAAACCTTCTGCTGAATTTTTGCTGTGATTTTGGAACATTCAAAAGGTAACAGTCATTATGTGTATTTTGATAAAAAGGGAGGTGGCTAAAAAGTGCCTTGTCAGTATCCTACTCTTTGCCAGATGCATTAAAATGCAGCTCTGAGCACCTTTTCCCCTCCTCAGTCTGGAATTTCAGGAGCAAAGAGTACAAAAGAGCTGATGAGCAATGAATGCTTCACCCTTCCTCAATTAATCTTGTCTCTCTACCTTTGCTTTTGCTTTCCCTCTACATGAAGGTAATAATGACACCCTCATCCATTATCCTTTTATCCCTGTTATTCTCGTGAAATTGCTTAATAATATGTTACAGATTCGTCTTCACTCACATAATTCTTCCTGTCATTTGCAGTATATCATCCTACAAACATACAGCCCACTTTCACTGCCCGTTCTTTGAAGATTATTGTCAGTGACATCTTCAGGATGCGTTTGGAATCTGGAGCATCATTTCTGTTGCAATGGGGAATTACACGGACTTATCTGTCATTGCCAAAAGCACAACAAGCAATTCAGTGTTAATGCAAAGGTAACACAGGTTTTTGTCATGCCGCCAGAACAAGAGCTCTTGTAAATTTATGCTAATGTAGCCCTTTTAGAGTTTAATAACCTCTTACCCTACTGGAAAAAGACCCACACATACACAAACACCTACAAATGCACACTGCCATATATTGGAATGATAAATGATCAACCGGTAATTATTTATTTTCGACCTCTTTTTTGTTTGCACTAATGTTAATTTTTCTTGGAGTATTACATAGATATGGTACAGAAAACAGCAAAAATGAACAGATTCCATTTCAATCACCAAAGTACTAAATTATTTTTGATGAAAATATTTTTTTCTCAAAAATTAATAAAAATTCCTCTATGACCACTATTTTAGTAGGCTTTTGCATCAAGAGTTCAAGACCCACTACAAATGAGCAGTTTTTTCTGATTGAGGGTGGCATTCCAGAGGGACCCAGGCAACCCAGCGTACATGCCAAGTCTGACAACACATGACAAGCTGGTCGGCGTGCAGTAATTTGACTAATTATACCGGATTAGAGCATATTAATGCAAGCTGTTTTCTCCAGAGTTAATGACCTGCTGACTGGGTTCTGTTAGGCCCCACTAGGTCTACAGGCAGCTAAAAAACAAAACCCTGTTTTGTAAGCCCTCGTCATTTCACATCAGCAAATGAGTATATCAAACTACTGAGCAGCAAAATGTAAGCGACATTTTGTCCGCTATAAACTCATGCAGTCTTCCCAACTTTCCACCTCAAGGGCTTCTTTTATATAAAATTGATGTCAGTTTCTTTTTTTTTTTTCTAAAGGAGTAGCCAAGAAGTAGAGTCTGGGGAAAAATAATTTTAGGAGTATGTTATTGTTGGAGGGCTAGAGGCTGCTGTTTTAGAAACGGGTTTATGTAGAAATAATTTAAAATGTATATTAATTTTATTACACTTCTACTACCTTCTCCATGACAAAGAATATGTTACAAATAGTTATGACAAAAAATGATTAATGTGTAATAAAATAGATTTTCTAATCTCAAATTATATTTGAAAGATAGTTCTAAACCCAATGGGAATTTTAGGTTTTTTTAAAAAAGTAGCTGGATGATTTAAAATTACTTAAATACAGAAAAATGTCACATACTATTATTTTCCAATACTTTGTCCATTTCTTTAAAATTTGCTCACATTTAACTAAAAACTAGCTGGAAACATGAACATGTTCCTGAATGTGTTATAATTTATATACTTTACATCTATACCTCACTTCTGAAAAGATATAAAGTGACTTACAGGAATATATAAATTATAATTCAAATTAGAAATATATTTAAAAAAAGGTGAAAAACAGAAAATGAATTCAGGTGTAAGTTGGATAATAAGACTAAAAAAGCATACCACAGAATCATTTAAACTTCCTGTGTTTGGGGCACAAATTTGTGAACTCCCAACAGGCAATGTTGAAAAAGAAGTAATAGGCCAGGCACGGTGGCTCATGCCTGTAATCCTAGCACTTTGAGAGGCTGAGGCAGGTGGATCCCTTGAGGCCAGGAGTTCAAAACCAGCCTGGCCAACATGGTGAAACCCCATCTCTACTAAAAAAAAAAAAAAAAAAAAAAAAAAAATTGCCAGGTGTGGTGGCAGGCGCCTGTAATTCCAGCTACTCGGGAGGCTGAGGCAGGAGAATCGCTTGAACCTGGGAGGTGGAGGTTGCAGCGAGCCGAGGTTGCGCCACTGCATTCCAGCCTGGGTGACAGAGCAAGACTCCATCTTAAAAAAAAAAAAAAGAAAAAAGTAATAATTTCACCACAAAGGTAATGAAGATAAAAACAAACGAGTTCAGGAATAATTGCACAATTATTTCCTAATACTAAAGCTAGAAATAAATTTATGCCAAGAGTTTTAAAAAAACCTGTATAGTATAATCAATAATGTCTTCAACAATAACCTTACACTGAGTTTCAAGGCTTACAATATTTCCCAAAGCACAACTTAGAAAAATCAATCCTACCATGAGGTAGTACAAGACAGCCTGCAGCTGCCTTCTGAGAGAAATGGGCTCAGCCACAGTTTTTGTGGAAGGAGGTCGACCTATGAGGACCGCAAGGTACCTCCTCTAGGCTGAATCAACGACAGCTAATCCAGAGGTTTGCCAATAGTCCGTGGTTTGGCCTGACTAAAAAATAGGAGTAGAATGAGTCAGATTCTTTCTGTAGAGAGCTAGAAAAAGGAAATGCAGAAAGAACTGTGTGGCAGTA
The DNA here is from genome assembly GCF_000001405.40 of Homo sapiens. NCBI lineage: Eukaryota > Metazoa > Chordata > Mammalia > Primates > Hominidae > Homo > Homo sapiens. The sequence continues at coordinate 35,512,669 of NC_000013.11, read as the reverse complement.
GGAACTGAAGCTGAAATATCACAATGTACTGAGAGGCCAGGGAGCCAAGATAAGACTCAGGCAAGCTGAAAGTACAAGGAACCAAAGCTGTTTGAGTAAGCACAGGAAGATTATCTGTTGAGAAGAAGAAAAGAACGCTCAGAGATTAGCAGACCAAATGGTTTATGAAAGACAAACAGAGCAGTTGGTCCCTAAAGCTGACTCAGCTATTCCATTTTTAAATTCCAGACCATATATACCTATAGCATCTATTGCTTGAGGTAACTTGAATGAAGCCTATTCCATGCAACCAAAGATTTTAACCAGAACAGGGGCCAACATGAAAGTCCAGGTTGACAGTTTCTGCTATTCAGGTTTAATCCCAGGATACAGAATATTTAGGAATGAATGAACCCTTCAACCATCAGGTAATCCTCAAAAAATACTGTTTCATGCAGCCAAGATTTTAATTGATACTGGGAAGCTATGGGTTCACGATTTTACTTCCTGTTGTGTACCTGTAGTGCAAACACAACTAATGTGTGTTAGAAATTAAAAGCATGTGCTTTCACTGACAGTTCAAGACGGGTGAGTTTGATGAGTTCTTTTAGACATTGAGGTTTTAAAAATTCCTGAATAGAATATCTATCTTCAAATAGTCACTGCATAGCTTAGTCAAAACATACTTTAAGCAAACAAAGTAGAGTCAATTATAAATATCAAAACATCTCCACTGGACATTAAAAACAACTTTCAGTAGAGGTACTGACAGATAATACAATTTCCAACCATACTTTTTTGTCATTCTCCTAATTATTTGCAAACAGTACTCTCAGGTAAATAAATGAGGTAACTGCTATATTAACAATACACAATACCTAACTTCTTATATTACAAATAACAAGATATGGGATAATTTAAAAAATATTTGTAGAAGTTAAAAAATTAAAACATTATATAACTTCTTTGAAGAGTGTATTAACATAGGTAATATGATACAGTGTAATGCTGCCTTACTAATAGCAGTATATTTGACTATCTTTGCTAACTGCATATATAGAGAGATATCTACTTGCATAGAATACTTTAGAGTAAAAATATACATTGCAATCAACACCTGATGAGGGTTGAGAGATACTGGATGTGTGGATAACAAATCCAGTAATAATTATGCTAGTGATTATTTTTTCTTTCTTTGTCAAATGGGTTCCTTGCTCGAAAAATCTGTAATAGGTTCTGTACTTAATATTTCATTGTAGGTTTAAGTCAACTTTAAAGTACTTACGTGTTCTGAGTTGTATGTTATATATGCAACATACTGTTATATATTGATAATCACCAATAAATACATTATTTTAAAAGTCCTTATGTGGTTAAAAATTCTTTAAAGTCCAGTCATTGTAAGCAGAGAATAAAATAGGTATTCCACAGCAACTTGAACAATGCTTCCTGTGCTATATTGCTTGACAATTGCAGGCTGACTATGTGAATAAATATATCTCAAAACTAACAATGATTTTCAGGAATAGCCCAAGCTTTTACTTGAGTATTTATTTGAGTTTTTACTTGGGATTGCTGATATTTAAATGGATCACATTATTTTAAAAGAAACATACATTTCCTTCAATAGCAAACTTGAATGATGTACTTATAATCCACCATATTTTATTATTTTCATGTTTTCTACTTATTATTATGTTATCTGAAAATCCATTAAGAAGTCATAATAGGACTAAAATATTAAAATGAGGAAAATGAATTTTCCAGGTAAGATGGCATGATGTGTGGTGGCAAGCATTCTGGACATTAATAAGATCTCAGCTTTATTTCTTACTTCCTACATAGCTTTTAGATAAGTTAATAAATCTTACTGGACTTTCTCAAACTCTAGTTTTCTCCACTGTAAAATGAGTGCCTAACAAAATTGTAAGGACTAAATGAGATACTATACATGAAAGTTTCTAGCATAATGTTTGGTACCTAGTCAGATGCTCAGTAAATACTTCCTTCTTCCCTCTTTTACCTTCTTTCCCACCTTGCTTTCCCTTTCTTCCTTCTTTTTTATTCCTTTGCAAGTTGATTTTATTTTTCTGAGTCAAAAAACAGACAGTAACGTGTAATACGGTAAAAAATCTGGTGCAAGAACTATCTAAACATCATCCTCACACATCCCAGCGAGGTGGCTGGTGCATGGCAGGCCCTTAGTGTTAACACTTACAACACAAGGCAGATTACTTTTACCCAGATAGGTCAGAACAACAGAGCTGAAAAATTAAGTCAAAATATAAATGGACACTAAGGTATTTAATATTATTTTCATGTCATGGATGCTACAAAAATGCAAAACTATGTCAAGAATGACAGAAGAAAGAGCGGTTGTATGAGGCTGCATGTGTCCTTCCTTAAACTTATTTAAGTTGTGAATAAAAACCTCTCTAGAACACCTCACTGTTTTTCTTGATTTGTAATATAGGCCATGGAAACACACAAGTTCCATGGATTGTTCTTTCAATTCTCCATTCAAACGCTCACAGTCTTAATCTCCTCTACACAGAAATTCTGGAGTCACCTCTGATACAAACCCATTTCAAATGTTTTCAAAAGTATGTTGAGAATAATTAATAAACAGTTAGTGGCTATAAGGAAAAATCTTCCTCAGAATTTCATATTCAGATCAGATCTATTGACATTCAAAATCATGAAGTAGAAGTTAGCTTGAAGTCTGCAAGATGAAATTTAATAAACTGAAATGAGCTCCCCTTTTAGCTTGAAAAATGAAAAATACTTAATATCCTTAAGCCCTTGACAATCTGCTGAAACAACCCTTTTCATAGTGACTGTCGCCTTATTCAATTCAATGGCTATTTTCAGTCCCTATCTAGCTGACCCCTTCAGATTTGGCACTGTTCGCCGGTCAGTCCATCCTTCTTGAAACGCTTTTCTTGACTTCCACTACCACTCTCCTAATTTTTTCCCACTAACTCTCTATCTATTCTTTAAATGCCATTTGCAAACAACTCCTTCCTATCTTTAAAAGACTGGCATCTTTGTAATGGAAACAACACAGCAAAGGTTGCTGCCTAGGTACTAGAAGTAGAACACCACAAATGGCTTAAGCCGGTGGCCAAATACAAAAACTTAGAGGCCTCTCTCTGGCCTAGCAGACTGGGCTCTTAGCTTTTTTGCCATTTCCTTCAAATGGACCATTCATACATTTGCCCACGAACTTAAAGTGACTCTCCTGCCCCCATTCCCTTACATATACTGCTAGTTTCCATGCAAGCACTCACTCGCTCACTCTCTCTCTCTCTCTCTCTGACTCTACACACCTGCCTCACATGACCTGGGACAGAGAACTTCCCTCCTGACTCATGGTGCCTTCCCTGCCCAGGATCTATAAGTAACAGCTTTCTGAACTTATTTCCTGTTGTGGCGGTGTATCGAATTTGTGCCTTTCATTAGAAGAACCAGCTACCAGCCAGCTACCAGCTGGCTTTTCCCTAGGATGCAAGGGGGAACCACAAGGTTGGGTTTGCAGAACCATAGCCACGGTCAGGCAGGCATACGCCAGACACAGGTCAGACAAGAGACACAATGGCATCCGCCATTATAAACAGTTACCCATGGGAGGGACTCCTGGTCAGGGCTGGACAATAAGGCATCAGGCCATCTGCAGGTAAAAGGCATATCCATTGAAAGGCACACAGTAGACACTCATGTCCAGCTCCCCTTCCTTTCCCATTAGGGCATGATTGCTAGACACTCTGATATTGGAGCCCCAGTTTAGCCATGGAATCTCCAAACAATCCGCCATTCAACTCATCCAGTTCTGTGACTTCAGTTACCACCCATGTTCTGATGTCTCACAGATTTACCTCACAGATTTACCTGCAGCTGAGACCTCCACTCCCCTAGATCCTAGATCAGATGTCATCTGGGTATTACCACTGAAATGTCTCCTAGATTCCTTTTACTATTTCCAAAAGTAAAGTTATCACATCTCCTATACCCATTCCAGCACTACCTTCCTTTCCTCCAATGGTCATTCTGAATGAATGTTATCAACCACTCAGCCAGAAACCTGGCAGTCATCCTCTCTCTCACCTCCCACATCCAGTCAGTTCACAAATGTTATCCACTTTACTCCTGAAATCCACCTGATCTATCAATTTCTGTTTTTTTCACTGCTACTACTCTAGTTTAGGCCATTAAAACTCAGCATTGTTGTCATCCAATTCATTCTTCATGCTAACATTAGAGTAATCATTAATTAGAAAAGTAAATCTGCTTGAAATACCTTAATAGTACCTTCCCAATGTTTGTCAGTAAAATGTAAACTCCTCAAATATGGCTTATAATATCCCTCAAAACTGAGCACTTCCCTCTCTGGTCTGATTCTTGCCAGCATTCTGTCCCTTATACTTTCCCAATATATTGCATGTTTTTCAAATCCTTGAGTGTATCATGTTCTTTCTCATCTGCAGCCCTTCATATGTGATGGTCCAAGGATTGGCTTTAAAGTGAAACAGGTCTGGATTCTACTACCGTTTCTACCAATTTCTAGCCCTGTGATCTTAAGCAAATTACTTAGCTTTTCTGAGTCTCTATTTCTTCATCTACCAATTGAGATAATAATTCCTATCTTTAAGGGTAATAATGAAACAAAGTTGCATATGTAGGTGCTCCACAAGTGATAGTCACTTAATTATTTTAGATGGTGATACCTATCTAGCAGCAATTAATATAAAAGAAATACTGGAACTTTGGTTGACTCCAGTCAACACCATGACATGACTACTAAAATGATCCTTACAATCCTAGAATGAATTATGATGATGGAAAAGGGATAGAGCAATTCCATTGCAACACGTTCAATCAGGCCATTTCTGAGTATTTCATTGTACGGGGTGCATTCAAAATTAAAGAATACCCAGAAGAGGCTTATCTACATGGTAGCCATGGAGATGGTGACAAGTTAAATTCTGGATATATTTTGAAGTAGAGATAATGTGACTTGCTAAGAGACTGTATATGTTGGGTGTGAGAGAAAGAGAGAAGTCAAATTAACTCCAAGGTTTTGGCTCGAACAACTGGATTGAAAGAGCTGAAAGGAACTGTGATAAGAAAGACTGTAGGTACAGCAATATTTTGGGAATTGGGAAGGGCAGTGGAAAAGAAAATAGGAGTTCAAAACTAGACAAAGTAAGTTTGGTTTATCTATTGGACTCTCAAGCAGAAATGCCAGGTAGGCATTTGAATATAAGAGCCTGAAGTTCAAGAAAGAGAGTCAGGCTAGAAATAGAAATTTTGGAGTTTTCAGTATATGGAGGATATTTAAGCCATAAGATTACCAGGAGAGTAATTGTAAAAAGAAAAAAAAAGGTCCAAGAACTGAGCTTTGGGACACTCCAACATTAGGTGGTTGAAGAAAAGGAGAGAATTTTGGCAAAGAAGACTGAAAAGGAGAAGCGAGTGAGGTAGAACAGGAGTAGGGCATCCTGGAAGGGAAGGTCAGTTTCAATTCAGGATGAGGGTATGATAAATTATGTAAATAGAATAGAGATTGGCCTATGGATTTTGTAAAAGGGAGGTCATTGGTGACCTTAACAAAAGCATTTTCAGAGAAGTGTTGGAAGCAAAGCCTATGTTAAGTGGTTTTAAGACAAAGAAAGAAAGAAGTCATTGGAGATAGCTTTAAGGGGGACAAGGGGGACAGTAGCCAGAAGGGGAAAAATTAACAGGAGGTCCTTATTGCTATAAACATTCAAAATGGATGGATATTAAAAGGGATGTTCAAGAAAGGAGTCCTATAATGTAGAATTAGACCAGATGACTTAGAAAATACCTTCAAACTCTATGGCAATGGTTCTATAATTTGAGAAATGGTTTGGAGTTAAGAACATGGACCTAGGAATCAAACGAGCCCTAGGTTGAGTTCTTCTAACTGGCTCTATGACTTGTGACAAATCATGTTGAGGCTTTATTTATTTTGAAAAATTGCAATGAAATAATTTATCACAAATTCTAACTCAAAAATTTGTGGGGTAATTTACTTAGGATTTATCTTTTGACTGTGTTGTTGGGAATGAGTGAGGGACGGACAGAACACGAACCCACCTGACCCCTGGGCTGTTTTAACTATAGCATTTTGCTATCACAGTTCTTTGTAAGAATTTCAAATTACTCTTGCTGAATCAATACATTTGATTTCTCAAACACTTAAAAAACATAAGGCAGACTTATAAACCTAAAAAAAAAATTCTAAGTATTTAAACTACTGCCGTAAATAGTAACAAATCAGATTTATACATTTAATGGATGGGTCTGGTTGAGGTGGCTCACGCTTGTAATCTCAGTTCTATGAGAGGCCAAGGCACGAGGATCACTTGAGGCCACGAGTTCAAGACTAGCCTGGGCAACAAAGCCAGACCTATTCTCTACAAAAATAAAATATATATATATTAGCTGAGTGTGCTGGCACGTGCCTGTAGTCCCAGCTACTCTGAAGGCTGAGGCTGGAGGATCACTTGTGCCCAGGAGTTTAAGGCTGCAGTAAGCTAAGATCGTGCCACCACACTCCAGCTCAGGTGACAGAGTGAGAACATGTCTCAAAAAATAAAATAAATAAATAAATTTAATAGATGAAGTTGGAAATATATAAGAGAATCTGATGAATTAGTATGGATCTGGTGTTAAGTGATTAAAGGAATTTGATTTCTCAAACCTATCAGTTATTTAAATTTGAATTGAAGATTAATTGAAAGTAAATGGTGTTTTTATATGCAAAATATTTATGAGTAAAATCAAATCTGTAAGTTGAACATGCAGACTAAAGTAGAATGCTTTCTGTCTTTAAATCTAATTAATTTAAAATCAATTAATTGAATATTCATTAAAACACAAAGAACTTTTAAAATGTCCCACACACAAAAGATTTCCAGATATTAAAACTCATGGATACCTCTCATAGTATTTATTTTACTACATTAACCTTTTCGAGGAGAAAACTGTAGTTATTAAGGGAATGCATTTTTAACCTATTTCTTCAAAATTGTACTCTGGTTATTCCTTCTAAGATGGAATCACAAATTTAAAATATAGCTTCAGGCTTCAGCTTAGGCATAGATGTATCCCTAATATAACAGTTAAAAAGTCCGTATTTACGCTCATTACATGAAAAAATGAAGAGTTGAAGGAGAAATAATAAAACTGGACTATTTAAACAGTGACAGCTGATTACACTCCCAGTTCAGAATTCTTACTTCCATTTCTCACTTCCAATTCTCATACTCCGGAATAGGTCGCCATGGTTTAACTAAGTTTTACATTAACTGCGGAGCATCGTGAGCTAGTCTTTAAGCAACAAAGGTCAAAGGCCAAATACGTATCATTGAAATAATAGTTAGCTATTTATAGGTCTAAACTCAAACTCTATATGTCTATTGTCAACTAATTTTTTTTAAAAAGCCAGTTTTTACCTCAATGTTGGATTCATATGAACATAGTAAGCATGATTCCAAACAAGTATAGGTATGTTTTAAATAAATGCATATCTCAGTATGTATGCTAATGGCATAGCCTCTTTTAAAAATGTTATTTTGAATTCTGATTTCTGCCCACATTCTTTAAAATAATATATATTTTATAATATTTACTTTAAGCAGTAAATTAATACAAGCCAGTAATTTACTGAGATACAAATGAGGTTCCGATAATCGTAGCATTTTTATTTTATACCAAAAAATAAGCAACATTGCATTTAAACATGAAAAACATATTGGCTGGGTACAGTGGCTCACGCCTGTAATCCCAGCACTTTGGGAGGCCAAGCGGGGAGGACTGTTTGGTGAGCCCAGGAGTTCGAGACTAGCCTGGACAACATAGTAAGACCTCTGTCTCTACAAAAAAATAAGAAAATTAGCCTGGCATGGGGGCACGCCTATAATCCCAGCTATGATTGATCCCAGGAGGTCAAGGCTACAGTGAGCCATAATTGTGCCAGTGCACTCTAGCTTGAGCAACAGAGTGAGACCGTGTATCAAAAGAGGAAAAAAAAAGTTCCCTCCTACCTACAATATAAAATACTTAAATATTAACAATATCAGAAAAAAAGAAAAATAAGTAAATGAAAAGATTTTTATCTTTTATCTTTACATACTCAAAAACAGCAACTGCAGATAAAGTCAAGTGAAGTCCAAGAGTGAAGTGGGATGGGTGTGAGATGAGACAAAACGGTCTCAACTGTGGCAGCCTCCAAGTTGGGCATGCTCAATCTAAACAGGTAGGTGTTACTAAGGTTTCAGGGAAAGGAAGAGAAACAGTTTTAGTTAAGAACTGGTTAGATGTGTATTATATTACATAGGAAGAAAGCCACAAAACGCAGAGTTTGTAAACTGGCAGGCTTTAGGCCAAATTTTGCTTCAGATACGCTTTGCTTGGATTGCAGTGTTTTTGGTTGTTTTGTTGTTTGTAACTTCAATTAGCTGGCAACATTCTACAAAGGGATACTCCACATTCTGGTTTTAAAATCCAAAATGTTTCCTCTAAAACAAATATTCACTCATGAATGGATGTGAAGAATGTGAAATATCTCAAATATCCAACTGTAAATGAATATTCATAATTGCTTCTCTTCCTAGATAGCATAATATATATTTTATCAGGTCTTTCATGTAAAACTGTATTCTCATATTTTTACATAAATTTTGCACACTTCAAATCATGTATTTGTTCCTTTCTCTTAGGGAATAATCAAAATTGAAAAATAATACAATAACATTTAATATACTGAAGTCAATTTTAAGCTTACAAGCTATAGAGCACGAAGAAATAGTTTTAAAATTAGATTCTTTAAAACCAGTGTGATGATCAGTTAATCAGGTTAACAAAAATAAATAAGAATAATAATACCTATATTGACAAAGGAGCAATAACATAAATAATCCAATATGCTATTTTACATATTAGTACAAAATTTCTGAAGGGAAATTTGGAAGCAATTTGTATAGATGCCTCAAAAACAAAATGAAACAAACCATGAATTCTCAATACCAGCAATGCTACCTTAAGAAATGTATCCTGGTAAATGAACAAGTATACAAAAGAGTATTTACAAAATTATACAGTATTTAAAATAGAGAAAATATCAAAAAATGTTTACCTGTAGGTGATTAGTTATTATTAATATATGGTATTCATACAATGAACTGTTATGTAGCTACTAAAAGAAATAATGTAGATCAATACTTATTGATATAGAAATATGTTCATATTATATTTTTGTGTGAATAATGTGGGTTACAAAATAATCTTTATACTATGATCTATAAAAATTATATATCTACCTATATGTAGACAGATACATTGAAAATGTATAGTATTTTAAATTCTTATCTCTGGGCTGTTTGATTATCAGTAATTTTAATTTTATTTTTTATACTATTATATATTGACTACACTATAATATTTAAGTATTTAGCAAGTATTACTTTTATATTAGAAAAAACCAATGAGTACATTGGTTTTGAAAGCACAACAACATTTAATTCATTATAAGGAAAAAAATAAAGACTGATTGATAAAGGTCATTAGTGTGCAGTTTAAAAATATACCTTCGAATTTATATTGCCTGTGATTACACTGGAAACTAGTAAACATTTACATGCAAAAGACAATCATTTAAAAAAGTAATCATCACTTAATCCATGGGGAGGAGTTGTGGCTATTATCTTAAAAGATAAATGATATAATTGGCTAAATTTTAAAACTCATAAAACTTAATTAATAAAAAAAATCCAAAACTTGATTTTAAGCTTTCTAGTTTCCATTTATAGCTCCTTTGGAGCTATGGAGGGAAGCTGTGTTATGGACTCTTTTTCCCAAATCTATTTGCAGGCCCAAATCCCACGTACTGTATCAGACATAAGCACGGATGTGCTGCTAAACAAGCTGGTGCAGGGAGGGGAGGAGAATTTGCAGGGTTTACCAATTTCTGTTGTATAGATCCTACTGTCATAAGCAGATTTCAAGCTACCATAGTGAGGTCACTGAATGTACAGACCCACAAACCCCCAGAGGATCTGGTCCCAGCACACTGTTCATTCACTAGTGGAAGATTCCAATCTGCTTCCACACGGTAAGCAGATAAATCATGGAAAAAACTTTGTGGAAGAAAGAAAAGAAAAAAAAAAACCCAGGGAAAATATAATGAAGAAAAAGGAATAGTTTTAGAAGTCACTTGCTCATTCCTGTCCATAAATGTAACTTAAAACTGAGCCTAAAACTTTCCTTAGAAATTATAATTATTTATATCTCCTTCCAGATGCCCTTTTCTACATGTTCTTTTACCTAATATATTACCAGCACAAATTTCATTATGTTTGTAAATTTGTTGAGTTCGAAGCATATGCAGAAATATTTTCAGTTCTTTGGAAAGAAAATAAACAAAAATTTTTTATAGCATGATGTTTTCAAAAGGTTAGCCTAAGGTCACTTGCTTAGGAAAACTGTCTCTGAACTTGCTGACCAGATCACATTCCCCAATAAGAGCACATTCACAGTCGTAAGTTTACATTGTTTCCTGTGATTTCTGTCCATCTCTCCACTCCACTAAAGCCCCGGCAGGCAAGGTGGTATTGTTTGAGCTCTCTCTGCTGTTTCACTGGCTCAGTCCCTAGCACTAGCAGGTGCTTCAAAAATATTTTTAGAAATAAATACCTTTTTCTCTGTGGAAGGATGTTCACGTGTGTATATACACATGTATGCACACACACATACATACATCCCCTCTGACAATGTGGAAAAAAATCAGAGAGGGGATCTGGAATTTAAAAGGATTAATAGGGGTTCCCCGCCCCCGTCATATTGGAGGCTTTGCAGTTGCAGGAGGAGTCGAGGAAATGGAACTTGGCATGGAATGTATAGTTCCATCATCAAATGCTTTACAGACAGCAAGAATTACATTTACCATATATTAACTGTTTTAAGAAAGATAAATGTGTATTCAAAAGCATCACATAAAAAAGGTGAGGTAGGTTATTTATTAGTGCTGGAAGCTCTTGTGTTTGAAGCTACTGTGGTCTACATATAAACAAAGATGTAACTGAGTGCATATAATCAAGCCTGATTACTATTTACCAGGCTGACTTTATTACTCACTCTCAATTCTTTGCAAATCAGAGACTTTATAAAACTACAGCTTTGAAAAATAACAAGAAGACATTTACATTTTTAAAAATGGAGAGCCCAAATATTCTTGAGGATTAACAGTCATATATATCACAATGACAATAATTTTTTAATTGAAAATCTATGTTATCAGAAAGCAACAACAGTGGCTCACAATAGAGACTCCACTAAACATTTAGCTGGTATTTTCCACACGTTGCTCTGATGAAAAAGGGTAAGCAGTAAAAATGTGCTTCTGAGAGTTTTAAACCATATTGTACAGAAGTCACATCAAATTAATACTGAGGACCATTTAGAGCTTTTATTCTGAAAAGCTTTTGAAAGGGGATTAAACTATGAAAACTCTCATGATACTAAAGTACCTATTAATGGGTTGAGGAGGTAAGAAAGGAACAATGAAAGTGTTATTTTAGATAAATCTTTACTTTGTGTGTAGCAGCACAAAGCTTTGCTCAAGGGGCACAGCAACAGTTCTCTAGCGATATCCCACGCATGGAACTGCTGATTAGCAGAATTCTATTGTCTCTTCTTTTTAGAAACAGGTCATTTTCTTTAAACAGTAACATAATATGGCTAAATATAAATATATCTTGATGGTATGGACAAAGTGGAGCAAAATGCTATTCTACGTAACACAATTCTGAAAATACTATAGTGAACTCTGTTTTCCTGAATAACAGGTAACTGGTCTTTGCAAAGCCTCTAACTATTCTCCTAAAAATTAGTTTCCATTTCCTATGATAATATTTTACAGAACCAACAATTATGTTTTCAAAAAAAAAAAAAAAAGAAGAGCCAGGAAAGAGCACGAGGAGTGAGAACATGAACCTAGATAGTTGTCATCTCATCAAAAATAATGAATGCTCAAGAGGTTTCAACTTCATGTCTTCCCAGTCGTTTGTCCAATCACAACAGACTACCAGAAGAGAAAAGAGTAGGCAAAAAACACTCTTCTTTATCAGCCCCAGCTAGCACCTGTAACCTCCAAACAACTATATACCAGCTGATTTGACAAGGCAGCAACCCCAAAAGACAACTGGAAATGTTGTTGCTAGCCTGCTGAGCCTCCATCAGTAAAGGAGCACACCACACGGTGGATGACAGCTTTGTGTCTGTCCCATCCTGCAGCCTTTCCCCCTCTTCCCTGACACACAGTCATGCACTCACATAACAGTCTTATGGCTAATGATGCAAACATGAAGTGTAAAGTCTCTTTAATTTGACCCTTGTTAAACTCCTAATTGGATTGAAGCAGGCTCCGAGTGGAAAGCAACCCTGGATTGTTCAGGAAAGCTCTTGCAAAATGAAGCCCAAATTACAAAAGGCTGCTTGGGCTGCAGGACATCACAAAGAATAGGCAATGAATTGCAGCTGTCACTTAAGTTAAAAATCTAATCAATTGCCTTTTTTTAAACAGGTAACTTTTAGAACAGTTTCTTCATTGTGATACTCTTCAGAGTACGCTTGACCCAAATTTAATAAGCTGCTATTAAAGCAGAAGAGCAGCTGTAGAGCAAACACTGTAGAATGAGACTGTGCATTCAGAGTCTTAATGATTTTAAAATGACTACAACCATTGCTTCATTCATGAGGAACAAAGCTCAGGCTCTCTGCTCAACAATGTCTTAACACAAACTGTCTGAGCAGACAGCGTTCATTTGTCCTTCATGAACTGCAAAGGTCAGCTGCATGGCTGAGGATATCGCAACAGTTTAATTGTGTTTCTTCTGTAGGCAGTCTGAGGGGAGAAACTTAGGAGTCCTTGTATATGAAAACTAGCTTTTCTGCAAGGAAATATACAGCTTAAGTACAGAGACAAGCGGGTGCATGATACGCAGACAGGTGTAAAACATGAAGTAATTATAGAAGCTCAAATTAGTTCTTAGGCCTGAGGCAAAAAAGAGAACAGTGCCTGGACAAAAGGGAATAGCAAATAAGGGTAGCAAACAAAAAATGGCTTGAATGTGTAAATTAGCAAGAAAAATGAGACAGAAAAGCAGCTTTACTCTACTATTATTCCCCACATGAGAACAGAGCAGCTGAACATGATCAAGAGAGCTTTGGAGAAGAGAGGCAGGCATCAACACGGACTCCAAGCCAAAGAGTGGCAGCTCCGCACTTTCTAGTCAGTCACTCATTATGTGCTGAAGTGCTCTTGAGAAGTGCCTCTTATACTTGACCTATCATATTACTTCTTCTGTAAACACATAATCCCTGCTTGTTAGGTGGTGTCAACACTAGCATTCATTCACTATGGGAGTCTTTTTGTGAATAGACACTTTAGAAGTGCTGCCAAAACCAAAGAATTGACACCATAATAAAACAATTTGAATTTCAACCAGGTAAACAGATCTTATGCTTTGCTGTAAAATGCAATGTAAAAAGCATCACATCAATTTTCTCTCATTTAGAAAAAGAAAACCCAAAACAGCTTGCTATAGCAAGACTGTTTTCTTCTTAAAGTGATTATAATTAACTTGGGTTATAGAACCAAGGCCAGAAATAATACCTATTCTTCAATTGCCTGGTGTGGTCACACAAATTCCACTAAGTACTCTTTCTTTAAACAGCACCACCACACAAATCTCAACAGAAAGGTCATGAACACCTCATCAATAATATCAGAAAAGTATATGTCGTTTGTACCAGGCATAACTGAGCATAAGGTATAAGGGGAAAAAATTAATGGAGCATTTAGCACATTACATTTCCATTGGTGAAGACAGATATCATGTAATTAAACTATAACATGAATAAAAGATTTAATGTAGATAACTGAAAAATATGATTTTATTATTTTTAAATATACATTTTCTTATGAAGATTCAGATATGAAGCAAAAATATTTTCATTGTGCATTTGCATAAATTAAATAGTCAAGGAGAGAATACAATTTATTGAAGAGACTGGGACACTTTGTTTTTGAGCAGCTTTTCTTTAAGTTATCCTGATGATGTAGTCCCCACTCTCCTAGTGCTTTAAGAAAATCATTTCATCCTCTAATATTGCTACAACCAGTTCTAAAATAAACAAATCATGATGCTCTCATGTGGTATAGTAGCTATGTGTCACTATGGCTTATTCCATCAGTCATCAATGCCAGAGGACTCCTGCCTGTGGATCCCTTGTCCTAGGTACTACAAAGGAACCCATTTGCCTAGGGAGGAATAAATTGAACAGTAATTATCAATGATTTGCCATAGCTCATGAAAGATATATTGGTAACTCTTACTGGACATATAAAAAAACAAGATTAGCAATGAGAGATTTTCAACACAGAGAGGACTTTCTTTACAAGATGGACATTACAAGTGAAGTATTTAACCTATACATAAACAGTAAAATATCCTTATAAGCAAGTAATACTTAGTGCCTAAGAAAATGTCTACTAAGCATCTCCAATGCATTTCCTTTATGAAATTTGGTACATATGACCTTTAAAGAATAGAATTTTTGTGCAAATCAATACATGCTAAGATCTCCAATGTTAAACATCTACCATTAAATAATTTTGCCACTAAAATACCAATAGTGTTTGAGAAAAAGTCCAAATTTAAGCAACACATTCAAGGTAAAAAATAATAGCCAATATTACAAAGAATGTTTAGTAAGCTCTTAATATAAATAATCCATTCAAGTGGTTTTTATTCTAAATAGACTCTCTTTAAGCATTTGGTAGAAAATTAGTGGAAAGGCATAAAAATATTTGGTTATATAATATTAAATAAGATTATAAATACATAGTCTGAAATCTCCCAGACACCTGTAAGAGTTGATTCCTCATTTGCCTATCATTAAAAGAGATAATATACATGTCTTCCTCATTTTTGTACTTCAGGCAAGGTACTATCTAAATTGATGGGTCAAGTGTTACAAAACAGAGAAAAGACTGAAAGATACTGCACCCAGATTTATGCAGACCTTGCTGATATGCAAATTAATCTCTTGTAGGTAAACCAAATAATCTGGCTGCTAACTTCTTCAGCACTCTATAGATATCAGGTAGTTTACTGGAAGAATAATATGCTAAAATGTACTTCCAGAGTATGAAAGAAAGTCTAACTTACTGCTACAGTGTAATTTATGTTCTGAGAGAATATAGCAAATGAAATAATTTTTCTTATTAAAATCTTATTGAAAATTCCACTCTCCAGTAACAAAAACATTGTTTTAATGCAGATAAATATAAATGTTAAGAACATCTGGCAAAATAGATTTATATTTTTCAGTCCACTTTTTTGTATGTGTATATGAAATCATACAGAGTATAAGCACTTCCTCAATTTCTCCTACAGAAGGTTCCTTAGGCCCTGAGTGAATCACTTTAAGTGGCAATGTTCACAGCTTATGAGATAACCTATTGGAGGTGATCCTGGACTGGTGATCATATCCTTAATTTTTGTACAATCTGCATTTTGTTTTGCAGATTCTATTTTTAACTCATCTACATATCTAACTAAGCTATTTGCGTAATTCACAGTGCTTATGACTGAAGCATAGACTTAGGAGAAAGAGTTGCTTCATGGTTCTTTAGATTTGATAAAGTTAGGAAAAAGTTCCTTCCAAACCATAAGGAAGTTGTGCAATAATATATTTAGAGTTTGGTAAATTTGTTTGGGGGAAGGGAGCATTATTTTGTTGAGAAAGACATGAGATGTCCTGATTCAATATCTAAGTTCTAGCTCCAGTCCTGGGAGCGGTAGAGGTGCCTGCACACCAAGCTGCTCCAGTTATTAAGGCTTCTCCTTGACTTTTTGAGAAAAGACATATTGCAGGAATTAAACTTATCCTTGCTAGAAGAACAGCTATTAAAAACCACTGTTTGACTTTTCTTTTTCTTTTCTTTTCTATTCTTTTTTTTTTTTTTTTTTTGACAGAATCTCACTCTGTAACCCAGGCTGGAGTGCAGTGGTGACAATATCGCTCACTGCAGCCTCAACCTTCTGGGCTCAAGTGATCCTTCCACCTTAGCCTACTGAATAGCTGGGACCACAGGTGTGCACCACTATGCCTGGCTAAGGTTTTCATTTTTTTAGAGACAAGATCTCACCATGTTGCTCAGGCGGGTCTCAAACCCCTGGGCTCAAGCTAACCTCCTGCCTCAGCCAATCAAAGTATTGGGATTATATGAGTGAGCCCCCACACCTGGCCTTGTTTGGCTTTTCTACATAGGACTTTAAAAATCCAATTTAAGGAACACAATATATGAAAGTAGAGCCAGGCACAGTGGCATGTGACTCTAGTCACTCTCAACTACTTGGGAGGCTGAGGTGGGAGGATCCCTTAAACCCAGGAGTTTGTGTCAGGCCTGGGCAACATAATGAGACCTTGTTTTTTTAAAAAGGGAAGTACAATACTGCCTATATCTTACTGAACTGAAAAGTACAGTTATAATATTCTTCCTTATTTTGTGCTGTAACTTCCACCCAATTATCTTACTTGTGTCCTCTGGAAGGTCATGTATACATATTAATATTCTCCTTGCTATAAACGACAGGCTTCTTAGAGGAAACTATTATATCCTACTTCATCCCCATCTCTACCATCCAAATTAGACTCCTTAGTTGGGTACACTAGCCTCAGTTCTTTCAAGTCACATGGCATGGTTTCTATATCATTTATGAATCTTGCCTATCATCCAAAGTATTTGCTGTTCAGTTTGTCAACTGTAGAAAGATTTTTAATTCCATTGTGTCAAAAAATCTTTGTATTATTTTAATCCTTTTAAATTTATTGAGGCTTGTGTTATGGCCTGACATATGGTTTATCCTGGAGAATGTTCCATGTGCACTAAGAAATTTTGCTGTTCTTGGGAGTGTTCTGCAGATGTGTATTAGGTCTGGTTGGTTTATAGTGTTGTTTGAGTCTTCTATTTACAGATGTGCCCTGACTTATGATGGTTTGACTTATGATTTTTTGACTTTACAGTGGTGCAAAAATGATACATATAAAATACACTCCTCAATTTATGATGGGTTTGTCAGGATGCAACACCCTTGTAAATTGAGGAGCATATGTCCTTGTCAATCTTACATCTAGTTATTGTCTTCATTATTGAAAGCGGGGTATTGAAGTTTCCAACTATTATTGGATAATTTAATATTTCTTTTTTCAATTCTATCTGTTTTCGCTTTATGGACATTGGGCTTTGTTGTTAGGTGCAAATATATTTATAATTGTTATAACTCCCCTATAAGCTAATCTTTTTTGATTACAAAGTGTTTCTCTTTGTATGTAGTGGCTTTATTTAGTGTAAAAGTCTATTTTATCTGATATTATTGTAGCCATCTCTAGGTCTTTTATGGTTGCTGTTTGTGTGCATATCTTTTTTTATCTTTTTATTTTCAACCTATCTGTATCTTTGAACCTAAACTGGGTCAAAACACATAGTTAACAGCATCTGGTTGTATGTAGAGAGCACAGAGTTGGATCTTATTTTTATTTTAATTCAGTCGACAGTCTCTGATTTTTTTTTCTTTTCTTTTCTTTTTTTTTGACAGAGTCTCACTCTGTTGTCCAGTCTGGAGCACAGTGGTGTGGTCACAGCTCACTGCGGCTTCAATCTCTATGGGCTCAGGTGATCCTTCCACCTAAGCCTCCTCAGTATCTGGGACTACAGGAATGTGCCACTATATCCAGCTAATTTTTCTATTTTTTGTAGAGATGGAGTTTTGCCATGTTGCCCAGGCTGGTCTCAAACTCCTGTGCTCAAGTGATCCATCCATCCCAGCCTCTCAAAGAGCTGAAATTACGGAGCCACTGCACCTGTCTCTGATTTTTTATTGGACTGTTTAATCCATTTACATTTAATGCTATTATTGATATGGTTGGATTTACATCTGATATTTTGCTTTTCGTTTTCTGTATCTTTCATATCTTTTTTGTTCACCTCTTCCTCCTTTACTGCCTTCTTTTGCCATTCCTTCACTTGTTTTTTAACTACATCTATTTAGTTATTTTATTAGCGATGGCTCTAGGGCTTACAATATATTAGGTTGATGCAAAAGTAATTGCAGTTTTTGCCATGAAAAGTAATGGGAAAAACCACGATTCTTTTGCACCAACCTAATACATCTTAATTTATCAGACTACAGATTTATTTTTCAAAAATTTAGATCTTATTTGCTTACCCACAGGATTTGAGGCAGACTTGACTTTTTCCCTTAAGTCTTAATCACATTTTTGTTACCATTGTTGATCAGAAGGTGCCAAGCAAAATTCTCTAATATTTTGCTCTCATCTAGTCTTCTGACATATCTCACTGTCTCTGTAATTCCTCAACAATGATTGGTCCTTCAATCAAACCTCCAAATTCTGTTAGTACCCTGAAGTCATGAATTCATTTAAAGTGATTAATTACTTTCTTACTATTTTCTTACTTATCATTGGTTTTGTATTCCTTATATTCATATTCATTATACCCTTTATAAAGTTACATAAAGACAAATATATAGAGTTGTTTTTAAAAATATTTAATAACTAAAGATTTAAATTTGAAATTATACATTATAAAGAAATCATTAAATTTATAAAATGAATTCATTTTTAAAAGATTTATTGTAAGGATCCTTTGAAGAATAAATTCACAGATATATTTAAATATAATTCAAATAATAAAAATATGCTAACTTTTCAGGAAGGTATATGTTGCACATGACGAGATACACCTTTAAAGGTAAAACTGCTGCTATTTTGTACTCATCTCAAAGTTAAATAATACAGAGAACTGAATGAATTTTAGAAGGGAAATCATCTACTCCAATGCCTTCATCACACAGGGCAGGAAACTAAGCTCATTAATAAAGATTGTATATTCTATTCAAAAAGGAGCAAGCTCTAAAACCCAAGCTTTCTGGTTCCTAATGGAGGGCTTCCTCACTCTACTGGGAAACTAAAGAAAGTTATATGATATGAAAACACTTAAGAGTAAAGTATCTTTGGCAGTTTTACATACTTCAAATAAAACATATGACTAGGTCCTACCAAAATATCCTGATGGACACTTTGGTAGTATTGGAAACAGATATACTAAAGTGGATTATCACTTGGGCAGACACCTAAAAAACACTTTCATATGGAATGTTAGGGTCTTTTAAAATAAGAGTCTATGAATTCCCTGGCTCCAGGAATAAATTTAAATAAACTCCCATATCATTAGTTGTTGATGATAAAACTGCTTATCAAATCTCTCAAAAGTATTCAAAGCATTAGGCTACAAAGGATTTCATCAAGTTATCTTTTGGCTTCCAAAATCCCAGCAACCCCTCTTAGGCCCATTTGTTTGTTTTGTGCAGGCTCTGGTGACTCAGATTGTCTCCTGTTCCATTCACTTAACAGCATTCATTCTACTCTTCATGGGTCTTCTTTCCCCAAAATTCTTTCCCTCTCCACCCAGAATCTTATAATCACTTTTAGAGAATTCAGTATTCATATAGACAATCTATTCTGTACCTTAATCTTAAAATTCTTTGATTTCTTTGTATTTCAGCAGTCTATGCCTGTGTCCATATTCCGCTTAGTAAACTATTCTGCCTATGTTTAAGCTATCTCAGTCACTTATCTATTTAGAAATTTTACTACATCTACTTTTCTCCTTCATCTAGGGTTGCCAGGTAAAGCAGGATTCAGCATCGTTATCTCCCATTCCTTTTAGTGACAGTTTAAACATCTAAGTCCCTTCTTGAAGCTTACCTCAGTCCCAGTGCTTTAAGTGCCAAGAGAAAACTGAGGCCTAGTTGTATAATCCACCAACTTTAAAAACCACCATCTACAAATTTATCTTCCACAATGCAACAGTTTCTTCCTGCTACATTTTCAGATCTCCACCTGTTTATCCTAAACCCAACATCTCACCCTCCACTGTTACAAATACATATGGAATAAAATAAAATGCAATATTAATAATTGTGTAGAGTTTATCTTCAAGGAAAAAAGCCATCTCTCATTGTAGCCTCAAGACAATGATACCATTTCCTTCTACTGATCTTGGAGATAGAGAGACCTCCATGATTTAGTCCTTCATTTTAACTTTAACCTCTCCTCTATGGCTTCTTTCTCTATGCCCTAAATATGTTCAAATACCTTTAAAATTTTTTCTTGCATCACTTCATAATTACCATACTATCTCTTGCATTTCCTTTATTTCTACTTTTTAAAAATTGTTTATTTCCATAGGTTTTTGGGGAACAGGTGGTATTTGGTTACATGAGTAAGTTCTTTAGTGTGAGATTTTGGTGCACCCATCTCTTGAGCAGTATACATTAAACCCAATTCATAGTCTTTTATCCCTCATTCCCTTCTGACCCTTTCCCCCTGAGTTCCCAAACTCCACTGTGTCATTGTTATGCCTTTGCATCCTCAAAGCTTAGCTCCCACTTATGAGTGAGAACATACAATGTTTGGTTTTCCATTCCTGAGTTACTTCACTTAGAATAGTCTTCAATCCTACTTTTCTTGAAAGTGTATTGTCTACCTCACTTTCCACCTCCGATTTACTCTTCAATCCTATTGTGATCTGCTTCTGTCTCTACAATTCCATTGATACGGATGTGGAAAGACAAAGAACTTTTTATGTTATTTGAACTCTATGTGGTAGCTGAACTGTTGTCCACTAACTTTTTATTACAACTCTCTTGTGTTTGGCATTTAAGATAGTCATATCTGTTAGTTTTCCGCCTTACTTTTCTGAACATTCCTTCTCATTTATTCCTATTGGATCATATTCCTCACAGAGGAATATTAGTGAGAAGCTATGTTCCCTAGCATAATTCCTTGTACTTTTTCTCATTCTATATTGCCTCAGATAACCAGTAGTACACATACAGGATAATGGGCACCAAAAATAAATTAAGAGATGATGGTGGCTTGCAAGGATGGAAGCTGTAAAGTTGGTGAGAGATGGGCAGAGTCTGGAGGATTTGTTGACACTCTGGATATTGGGTACACAAGCAAGCGAGGAGTCAAAGATGACAGCCATGTTGTTGGCCTAAGAAACCGGAAAAAAGGCACTGCAGTTTACTGAGGTACAGATGACTGATGGAGAAGCAGGTGCTCAATTGGGAATCTAAGTTTGAAATGCATCTTATATATGTGAGATGATGTGGAGAAGACCACTGAACATACCAGCTTGAAATTAAGGGGAGAGGTCTTGGCTAGAGATATAAATTTAAGAGTGATCAATGTATAGAACATATTATATTGGCGAGTATTGTTTGAAAAATCCTTCACTCATTCAGGCACTGAGTACCTGCTATATGCTATCAAAATAACCAGCAAAATTAACAAAATCTTCCACTGGGAAGTACAGAACAGATGATATTCATTTAATTATTCATTCAACAAACATACCTAAGCATGATGCTACATAAACTCAGAAGTCTGGAGATAGAAAAAGCTGGGTTTGAGTCCTATCTTTGCTAGTTACTGTGTGGTCTTGGGTAATATAAGTTTAAAAATATTCTTTTTAAAACACATAAACTTTTATGTGTATTAATTTATTTAACCTGTGCAACAACCCTATGACACAGAATTATCCCTGTTCTACAGATGACAAGACAAACTTAGAGAGGTTCTATATGATGACTAAGAAAGCACACTCTGGAGCCTGGGGCCAGATGGCATAGATGAAAATCTTAACTCTGCTAACTCCTAGCTTTGTGAACTTGGAAGAGTTACTTGAATTCTCTGTGTTTCAGATTCTTAACAATGAAATGAGGCCAGAAGTTTCTACTTCATAGTGTTGAGAAGATGAAGGTACATACAGTAATATAGATAAAGCACCTAGCAGAATAACTTGCAAATAACAAAAACTCAGTTTTAGCCAATTTTACCAATTTGTTCTTTGTCTTGTTTAAAGATGTAAAAATGTTCTTAAAAAAATGACCTGCAACTTTTCATCAAGTTCCTAAGACATGTTTTCGAGTGTTTAGCTGACTTTTAGGCAGAAGGTAAAATATGAGAAACAGTAACTTCTTACGTCAGGGTATACAATTAAGACTAGAATTTATCTGAGGCTGGATTAGGTATCCTGTAATGAGATTCAGGAATCTCCAACTGGTCCTTTGGTTGATAATCAGTCTAGTTGGTGATCTACATTAGTACAGGTATTTCAGTATGTCTAACTAATAAAGTGGTACTTGCCCTTAAGGGTTTTGTTATCTGGGCTCTAGAATATGGTAAATATTAAACACTGGAATCAATAGGTAAAACTAACAATTCTTAATAAATTCTACTATAGTTTCTAGACAACAGAAGATCAAATAGGACATAGCTTATAAAACTACTTAGCTGAAGTGGCTCCACTATCTTATTTACTGAGTATAAGGCTTTAATAAAGTTATAGCCTTCTTTTGTTGGCATTTGTGTCTGTCCTCATTCTAGTGTGCCCTCAGTAAGCTACCAGATCTGAACCCGCACAACAAAAGTGCCACTCATTGAAACAGTTATAACAGGAAAGGAAAGCAAGTTGATGGGATTTACAGCGTTACAGGCCACTGAATCACTGACTACTTGGTGAGGGCACGTAAAGAAACATCATTTTCAACACTGCTAGGACAGTGAAGCCAGGTTAATGAAACAGCTTTGGAACATGAAAGCTATTCATAAAGTTTTTTTTAAACTTCAGATTTCCTTGGGAAACCTAATTAAGAAATAGGAAACTTCCATTAATAATTTTCAATTATTTTACTTGTAGGTTTGATTTCCCAGTGGTACATTTTTTAATGAGCTTTTATTGCTTTATATTTTCTATGCTATTATCTACTTGCAAGTGCCATAAACATTTTGAGATTTAAACAAAAACATAAAATGTTGAAGAACTGGCATTCTTCTCAAGCCTGGGGACTAATAAGTAACGTAAAGTTTTACTTTGAAACATGTTTCTCAGCCTTTCAAATACCGAATTTACTTTTGATGTCCATCAGCTAAGCATAAAGTAGCTGTATCAACACAATGCTAGGAAAAAATAAGTGGCATAGATTATGATTTGGAGAATTCTTAGGGATCAGAGAAGAGCATAAGAATAAATCACTTAGAGAATTAGCTGTATTCCAGGCTTCATTAGTTCTAATTATCCCCCAAATATGCCCAGCAGAATGCACTTGGGTCAGCTGGGACTGATACACAATAGAGTAGGCAACTTATAAACTCCTCAAAGCACAGAAAGAGTTCATAAAACGACCGCTTGTGCATTTAGATTCATGTGATAACACCTCTTATTGCATAAGCCACCAGATGAAACAGATGGGGCAGCTCTTCACTTGAGAATGTTTCTGTTGTAAACGCACTGGACTTCTTTATTCCCCATTCAAGATACAAACTGCAAGAAAGCCAAATTTCAGGCAGGCTGTCTTTGTCTTTTATTGCCTAGATGTCACAGCAGTAATAAATAAAGTAGTAATGAAACATCCTCATTAAAAAAAAAACTTGGCAAATAAAAACATGCGCCTGCACTTAAAGAAATTCAAGGCTTTAACACAAAAAAGTTAATGCAATTTTTTTGCCACCCATACAGACATAAATGTATTTTGTATTTTACAAATTACTTAATTAATATATATTAAAATGCATTTTGTATTTTACTACTGCTTCTCAAATGTGTTTTGAGAATTCTCAGAATACGTTTTTTCCAACAATGTATTTAATACTTAAGGGAGGCCTCTTTGCCCTACATTCACCAGTTCACTCTGTGATACTGAATATTCAGTTCTAGGCACTGCACTTGAAGAAAACAACTGAGCATAATGGGTCTTGTGACTACTTTGGTTTAATTTACAAATTTTCACATTGGCTTCAAGTTATTAAAAATATCACTTTTTAAAAGTATTTACCTCTGCTCATGCTAAATTATTTAGAAACTCTTGTTATTGTCAAAAGGTTAAAATATGTAGATCAATATGTTGGTGATTCCTATAACAGTCTACAAGTCCTAGAAGCACATCTATTTGCATTGAAAGTTTATTAGTTTGCTAGTCATTGATCAAGCATGTGGGAAACCTGCAGATTTCATTTGTAGATACAAAATTTATTGACAAAGCAAAATTGATAAATGCCAAAATACATAAAGTATATACTTTATCCCAAATGAGGCTTCTTAGTTACACATTTCGATAAAGCTATGAAAAACTAATATTAGGATTTTAAATATTTGGAAAAAAAACTATACGAAGGCTGTGGAGTATTTAGTAAATTCAATGTATCCTGAGGTCTTATTAAGTGGATTAGCTTCCTTCTACACTTAAACTGAGCAAAAACATTAAATTCATTAAAGTTAGATTGTTTTGCTCTGAATATTCTATGTGTAGCTTATGAACACATTTTTAGAAAGAACTGTTATGCCTATTGATTCTTAAAATAATGATGTATAACTTATTATTATAAGTCAAGTCACGGAAAAAATACCTAAAAATAGCAAGATATGAGTTGGATGAATACAAAAGTCATGTACTTAGGACCTCGGTAATAATATGTTTAAACAAATAAGATATTTGTTGACATACAGCATTTATCTGCGTGGGTATGGATATGCCCAAAAAGCTCATGTGACCCATGTTTCGCTATTATTCTCCACTTTACATGTACCAATCCATTCTAGGAGTAATACTTTCTAGGCACCGTACTTGAAGAAAATCATGTACCAGAATGGCTCCTGAACAGTGAGGTGACTTAAAAGATGCCAAAGGTGTAATAGCTGAAAGACTGGAGTATGTTCAACTTGGTATCTGAAATGCTGAATTTAAAAAGCATATATTTGTTAAAGGGATAATACTATTCAGAAGGGAAAGTAGGGGCCAGAAGGTGAAAGTTTCAAGGGGAAATATTTTGGTTCAATATTAGGAAGAGCGTTCTAACCACTAGAACTGTTGTAAGTGCAATTAACTATCTGAGTAGGTAGTAAGTTTCTCATTCATGGAGGTAAAAGTAGAGGTTAGATAACCACCTCTGGCTATGGTTGTTACCATGGCTGGTAATGGTGTAGAGAAGATTCAGACAGTTATGAAGAGGGTTACATTGCATTATCCTCCAGAGTTCTTTCCTGCCCTGATATAAAATGTCTGACTTATGCGGCAGAATTACTTTTTTCCCTGATACTAACTGCATGACACATTTTAGTAAAATTTTCACTGTAAGTTTTAATTTTTATGTAGAGTGAAATACAAATTGAGCATAAGTACTGATTAGTAACTATAAGTACTAATTCTATATAAGTACTAATATAATTCTACTAATCAGTACATAAAATAGTCTTTATATAATAATATAATCATATGTATCATTGAAAAAATTTCCTCACATTTTAGTATCTATACCAAAGAATAATTTACTACAGAATAAATACAACTGGCATTGGCATAGCTTTCTTGGAAATGACTGCACTTAAATTCATGATCAAAGGAAGTTTTCAATGTGTCTTGAGCTGAAAAACAATATTGTGGGTGGTATAGCTCACTGATATTACATAGTAAAACTATGATATGGATAAACCTTTATAAAAGAAAAGTATATAAATATTTCACTCAAGTAATTATTGAAATAATTGCTTCTCCTCATCACATTTATAAAGGTATATCCCATTAATCTTAAGTTTTACAATGAAGTGGTTATCTAGGTGAATTAGTCCAATTTGATATTCAGTAAACAGTACATATCTTTCCTAAATAGTTTCTCCCAATGTGATAGATCAATACATTATCCTTATAAAATTAAAATTTATAACATAAAAGTATCTCAGTATTTACCTATTTAAAAGCATCCTATAAAGAACCTATCTTTAAAACTCATCAATTATGTTGTTTATGTAAATGCAAGCCTAGTAGCAGTTTCTATGAATTATATCTGGCTATGGACATATGTAGTCTAGAAACTGTAATGCTGATGGCAGCCACAGTCAGACAGACCTGGCTCTGCAATTACCTGTGTGACCCTGGTAAGATGCAACCTTTCTAAACCTCAGTCTCTTTATTTGTAAATGGGAGCTAATATTTGTTGTGAAGATTAAATGAGATTAAATACTCATTAAATATTGGTCCCTGTTCCTTGTCACCCATCTTTCCCAGCTCAGAATTATTTTAAGTATCAAATGAATTAATGGATATAAATCCTTTGTAAATTGAAAAGAATGTTGCAATTGTAAAGCATTATCTCATTTAATAGGTAATTTATCCCTCTGAATTACATTATGGTTAATGGTGTTCATTATTGTTTTGAATAATCCATGTAAGTATAGGTTCTGTAATATGATAAATTTCTATAGAACAAATTAATAACTTAAAAGATCATATTTGAAAATACCCAGAGAAAACAATCATTAGCAACAATTATTCTCTAAATCATTTTGGAATAACTAAGTTTTAATGACATAATATAACTATTGGCTTGGGACAGGCTAGGCTTGTACAAGCAGTGGGAGAATTGAGGCTTTACCATTCATTCAGGTGAAGAGAAGAACATATTTTCCCTCAAAATTTCATCAGCCTATTTTTTAGACTAAACAATCTGGAGAATTTTCTCAATTACCTATTACCTGATTTATACGCAGAGTTCAAATACACACTCTAAAGTGGTTGTGAAGTATGTCTTACCCAGAGTTTCTTATTTAAGAATATTACAGCATTCAAGGGTAAAACACTGTAAATCATACAAATACTGGAAACTTTTAAAAGCATTATTTGATATTATTCTGATTTTTGTTTTTAAAGATACAGATATTGAAACTATCACAGCTGATCATTTCATTCTGACATGAGTTTTAAAGGTTAAGTTACTATCTGAAGAAAGGTAATCTGGTTGCCTTTCACAGCAGCCTGCAAGCTCTGCAATCTGCATAGAGAGGGGCATTTGTCATCATTAGCTGAGCTGTGACAGCTGGCACCCAGGGTGTCCCAGAATCAAGAAGTGGCAGAGACACTCTTGGTTTAGGTTGCCATTAAGTATAGTAGGTTTCTTGAGGATCAAGTATATTTTACGAAAAGCTTTGCGATGTAACTAACAGTAGTGAACATATTTGAATTTTCCATAACATGGATAATACAACGATAGCACATAATTAGCAGGTTGCCTCTAGACAACAAGATGCCAGATTATAGTATGAATAAACATCTACTGCCTGCCACTTAGAGAGGTAGAATTGTTTTCAGTACCCTAACAGCTCCAGCAGAGTGGTTTTTTCAGGGCTGGGTGATTAATTAAGTATATTGAAGGAAATAGGTTAAAGATGGAGAGGACAGTTCTCAGATATATTTTAAATTTGGTTGTAAATAATACATAACTTCCCAAGAATTAGCTAAACTGTACACATCCAATATAGCACCCATCTTTTTTCATAATATGAATATGAAAATTAAAGTAATTCATATAGATGCAGTCTTCCAATTGGCTGAAGTGTACGTAATTGGTAATATGTATTTAAAAATATTCCTTGGCA
Source organism: Homo sapiens (assembly GCF_000001405.40). Lineage (NCBI taxonomy): Eukaryota > Metazoa > Chordata > Mammalia > Primates > Hominidae > Homo > Homo sapiens. The sequence goes on along the minus strand of NC_000013.11, from coordinate 35,485,083 downwards.
AAAGTTCAAAATCAAAATCTTCTTACCAAATGGGTGCTACTATGAGTCTGAAACAGTTGTGGTAAGTATATCTAGAAAAGAAGTTTTAAAACTTTAAAATGTTATAAATATGTCTTTTAGATCTTAATGTAAAACTATTTATCAAAAGAAAGTTTAAATTATACAGGTTGATCAGACTTTTGAAAATTTAGAATACTACCACCCCTCTAAAGTCATCAATGCTTGGAAACATAATCAATAACAGGGGTTTTATATTATTATGTAAACTAGTTTTCCACAAATAAAACTAATTTTTGTGTTAATGTAAAATCTATGCAAATACATGCAGTCATTTATCAGGAAAGCTGACAAGCATTCCATATTGGAGGGGAAATGAAACTGCCTCAAGAATAGAGGCAATTAATTATTTCTGTATTTTTTCTTTTTCTGTCTTGAGGCACAAAAGTTATCCATCCAGTTAAAACAGCAAATGAAATAAAGAGATTTTTTTTTTATTTAAACACATATGGCTTTTGCCTGCAATACTGATCACCACAAGGTCTACAGATGCCCGTGGCTAAATTGTACACTGGCAGATGCACACAGGGGAAAACTGTGCTAATGCAGCGTGGAGAGCAAAACAAATGAAGAACTGAAATTGCCAGTAAAAAACAAAAAACAAAACATCCCACATTTTTCCCCCTGAAGAGTTATACATTTTGTTTATCAAATGCAGGTTAAGGTTGCAAAAAATTTAAACTTGGTCTGTTGCAAAAAAGTAAAAAACAATTTTAAATTAGTGAGGGTCTACATATATATATATATATATACACACACACACACACACACACACACACACACACACACACATATTAATGTAGGTAAATATTTAAGTAAATTTTTTCTATGGACAAAATGGCTAGCAATAAACTTCTCAATTTCATAATTAAAAGCTTATGACATTCAAAGTTGACGTAGTATATGTGACTGAATACATGCTGTTGGAATTTCCCGTGTTATTTTAAAAATCCATTTAGGTACAGTCTCTTCAGGTATTATCAAAAACTGTTAAGGGTTATTATGAGACAAACTTGTGGATGTGGATATTACTTCCTGGTGGCAACAAGATTCCAATATTTAGTGGTTGTTTCCTTTTAACAGATGAATACGGAAAATGTATAGAGGCCAATTCAATCTTTTGCTATCTTAAACACTGGTGTTTTTGTGTGTGTGTGTGTCTGTACACAGCCTGCATGCATGCATGGGCTATTTTGCAAACCATAAAAAGAGTGTATTTCCTAAAGATGGTTTGAGATTATTAAGAAAGCAATAACTTCTTTCTTAATAGGCCTGTAAGCATGCATAACATTAAAATTTCTATTGTAACTGCAAAATAAAAATACAAAACAGAAAGCATTTAAATAATTTGTATATCTTGGGGGAAGAAATAAAAGACTAGTTGTACTATTCCAAGTTGTAAAAAGACAAAATATTTGAAAGAGCATCATTATCAATGTCTTCACTCCTATAATTTAATAATTCTTGGTTTAGAGTATTTGTAACCATCTACATTTACATAATAATGTATATTTATACAAAATTAGGATAATGTATATTTATACACATGTCCCAAGAATGTGCATATATTAAGTAATATTAGATCTAATAAACTCTTTAGCCTCAATTCCTACCACTCAAAGGGAAGGTTAATTTACTGAAAATGTAAAGTAAAAATATTGAGAAATCTTGACATTTCTTTCTCTAGTGCCATAAAGCTAGAAACATTACAAATATGCCTCAAATGTTGCTAACTTATATGAGAAACCCATTCTTACTTGCATATTTTGATGTGTAAGCTGTAAATCAGATTCATAAATCTAACACATATATTCATGTTAGCTACTAAATATTAGGAGTTTCTTTGAAAAATCAATCTTCTACCAAGTATTAATTTGTCACATACATGAAAATTAAACTTTACATAAAATAAAAATTATAAACATATTGCTTATATATCTGAAATATTATTTTACACTTTGCCTGTGTCAGTGTTTTTTGATTAAAACTTGTCTTTAATTAGAAGCATGACAAAATAGTAAACTCTAGGGGAAATAAATAACGGTGTTACAGTCTAAAGATCTTTTGATATAAAACTAAAACAGCCAGACATTTATACATTAATCATAAAATTTCCAAATAAAAATAATGAAATCAGGGCATGAAGAAACATTTTTGTGGTAATAGAAATGTTCTATCTACATGTGTGGTAGAGCTTCTATGATGGTATATATTTGTCAGAATTCATAGAATGGCACAATCATATGGAAAAATCATGGAATACTACTGTATGCAAAGTACACATCGACATATCTAACTTAAAAAAATAAATTTCACAGACATATCTAACTTAAAAAAAATAAATTTCACAGAAAAACAAAGCTATACATTTTATTTCACTAGGTTCCCACTTTTTTTTTTTTAATCAGGAACACCACTACATCTTACAAACTATGCTGTTCATGCTTCTAATTTGATTGGGATTTTAGATAATAAAATGGATAAGGATATGTGAATGTAAAAGTATTAACTATTCATTAGTATTACTTTAGAATTGATATTTTTGACAAATCATTATATGAAAAAGTGTGCTTTCAAGAAATAGTACATATTGGTGTACTAAAATGTATATTATTACAATAGTGAAAATATTGAAATGTAACTGGAAATGAAATATTATATAGGTATTATATTCTCAGATAGTTATCTCTATACTTATATGTAAAGATATAAAGAAAATTTATATTTATAAACTAATTTCCTTCTTTTTCTGTAAACCATTTATTTTACTGCACATAATATACATGATAAAAGGTAATCGTTTTCTATTTTATGTAATTATCCTTTTAAATTATTACTCCAGTTACTAATCATTAAAAAAAATAAATCTTACTTTAGAAGAATTACTTTGCTCATTAAAAAATAAGCTCCAAAACTATAAATTAAAAATAGGAAAGGTTATTTTAGACATGTAATCACTGGAAGTTGATTATCTATGTACCATATTCTAGTCTCAAGGTCATGTTGAATATTTCCAGTGGCTTAATCACATACAGTATGAAACAGTAATGAGAGCAATGCAGTCCTGGATGACCTAGTACAGATGTAGGGATTAACAGACACTAATCGATTCTGATTCCTTTGTTTTCTCTAAATGCAATAAAAAGATAGCATATTAAGAGTACTAAAAATGTAGCCATATACACAAATGTACGTAAATTCATGTATGTAAAATCATACATACATTTGTGTATATGTTGTAGGTTAGGAAATACCTAATTTTCATACATTATATAGAAAAGAATCATGTGAGCCCATTTATCCTGTCTGAATATTTCTATAATATCACAAGAAAATTATAAGCTGATATCTAACAAAAAGATTTTAGTTTTATTAGAAAGATAATAGTAACTTTCTGAAGGGTTTGTGAGAAATTAGACTATTGGAATCCATATTTCCTACACAGTATTCAATAAATGAATGACTAACTTCATTGTCCTTAAATGTTTGGAAAAGGTTAGAGATCACAATTTATGCTGAACAATAAAAAATTCTTTAGGTTGATAACCTCCCTTTCCCCATTTTTTTTTCAGTTTACAGATACAACTGAAAACATCCTGTACCTCTGTGTACATATGCAAATGAAGTGAGGAAACAGAGACAATTATGAAAATAAGCCAGGCTTTAAATTTCTTTTTCTACCAAAAGAAAAGTTTTGGCTAGTTATCCAGTATTACTTCAAGTCTGCAAATCAAGCAGCGGTGGTCAATTCTTACAAGTATACTCCCAACTTCCATTTTTAATCTCAAAATTTTCTTTTCAAAAACCTATTAATACCAATATCAAGCTTATTAAGCAACACTGTAGAGAAAAAAAGTACTCTTCACTACAAATGTGACTATATGATTGTGAACTAGGGTGATGAAGAAAACTGAGGCAAAGGCCTTTATCAGTCAAGTGAAGAATAAACAATTCTAAAAAATTAACCACGATTCTCAAAATGTTCTAGTTGAAGAAATAAAATAGGGTCTAAATTGTGCAAACAGTGACCTCAATCCTCTGCTTGACTTTGAAATAAATCTGATATTAAAAGATGAAATAATTACTTTAAGAAATCACTGAAACCTTGAAAGGTTTCAAGCTATTTTTTGTCTCAAGTGTTCTTATACCAGGAATCACACAGGAAGAAAGGTATAGATGCCATCAAATTAGGTTACCAGAAAAACTCTCTCTATTTTACTTTATTTAATGTGACACATAAAGAAAACCCTGCACAAATATCTGTCTTTAATTTCTCTAGTGTAAAAAAAGAAATATATTGTGTCTGGCAGAATGAAACACTTGAAATAGCCTGGGTGCATTTAAAAAAAAAGAAGGGGGAAAGAAATCAGATGGCTACAATGAGCCTTCAAAGCCACTCCAGCAGTAGGGATAAATAATGTAATAAACTCAACTTCATATTCTTTTTATCTCCCCAGCGTAATAAGCACATATTAAAAAAATAAAACTTTAAATTCATTAATACTTGTGAATAGACTAGCAGCTAGCAGATAATGAAAAAACACCAAACAATATCTATATAAGCACTTAACATGTATGTGCATATCCTTTAACAGATACCTTTTTTCCAGATGAAAGGTTACAATTACTGAGATTTGTGAACATGCAATTCAAATTTAAATCAGGTTTTTTTCGAAAACAAAGAAATATTGCATTCTTGTATTTCTCAACATAACAGGGTTTTTCTTTAAGCTTAATAATGACACTATTTATGAATTACTTTGTATATCCCATATAAGTAAGCAGGTCTGCAGAAGTGGAGACAAGTTATTTAGGAAATACTACTTGAGGCAAAGTTGTTTTGCCACTGTTATTTCGAACGCTTCGAAGTGTTAAGGATCACAATATTTAATTATTTTATATTCACTAATACTACTAACATTTATGATAATGGTGTGCTATGTCCTTATTGCTTTTTTTTTTTTTTTTCCTAACTGGTACATTTTAAATCGAGCCTGCCTCATAAACTAAGTAAATGCAATGTAAAAGTCAGTTAGGCATTAAAATTCTAAATACCATTCAATATAAGCATTTCAAACTATCATTAAATCATGAGATTCTTGAGATTTTTTTCCTTCAATTAGGCCAGTTTTCCTCAATTATCATTCTATTATTAGCTCATGTCAAAGATGTCTGCATGCCTACCACTGAAAACAATTAAGTATTTACATCCTAAAGCATGACACACACACAATTTTATTCTAGTAGCACTGAGTATATTTACAACAAAAAATATTGCAAGACTGGTATAACTGGAGTTTTTTAAAAAAACTTTTCACATTAATACATAAATGTATATTAAGCCATCTCTATGTACTACATAATCATTTGACATAACTAGTTTAATAGGTCAAATGATATTTTTTTAAAATTCACTGAAAAATAGTTAAATATATTACTCCCATAAAATAAATATATCCCCCAAGCCTAGATTAAAATCGGCTGAACTGCACAAAAATGTACTGTTATTTGCAATCCCTCTCTATAGGTCATTTCCATAAAAAAATTTCGGGGATGGAAAACACGCTTCTCCGAATAGCTTAATTCTCGCTTCAACAATGAGGGGCGTCTACGATCACTGAAAGGATTCAGCTACAGAAGGCAATTCATTTCACGTGTTCAGTGTAATAGAAAATCACTGTGTTGCAGCAACAAGCAGTACTTGCACTAGAGTATTATTCATTCCAGGGCGCCCAGTTCACCCACAGTGATAATCGCGGACCGGTGAATCCTATGTTATGTAAATCACCTTCAGCTCCTTGTGTGAGGGGTGCTTAAGGAAGCAGCTTAGAAAACACAGTCCTGGCGTCCTTTAAACTAAATGACTTCACTTTCCTGAACACTCTAGATCTAATGAGTTTCCTAGTATACCTTTTCTCACCATCCATTTTTCTTTCTCAAAGTGCAAATCGTTAGTGAAAAGGCGCTGGTTGCACCAATTAGTTTGCACAAAGTGCTTCGGTGTTTAGCTTCGCTTTAACCCAATTAAGCTGCACAGTGAGCCCCGAAGATGCGCCACCTGCGCGCCTGGCTCCAGCCAGGCCCGACCGGCATCCCTCGCAGGCCCGCGTCCTTCCCGTTGGACCCACTTAAGGTCCCCCGAACAGCCCTGGGGCCTCCCCGTCCTCGGCTGTCTCACGTCCTTGACAACCAAGGGTGTTCTGCAGGTGGCCCAAGAAGGCAAGGGGCGAGGTCTTGGGGCAAGCATCTCTGGCCTGAACCCAAGGGAGAGAGCGCAGGGCGCAGGGGCCCGCGGCTGGGGCTTGGCTGCGACCACACCTGGGCCGGACGTGGGCGGTGCAGGCTGAGGGGTGCGTGGGCAGACCGTGGTCTGGAGCAGACGTGGAGAGTAAGCCGGGACACCAAGTAAGGTTTTCAAATAAGCTCACGCAGAAATAAAGCGTAGCGATCTTGAGCCCAGAGAGGAAAGTAAGAGGGCACGGGAATGCGGAGCAGCGAGAGAGAGGCGGCGAGCGGACGGCACAGGGCCACACGCGCCGGGTGAGGGCAGAAGGCGGCGTTTCCCCAGAGACCACTGCACATCCTCGCCGTCGTGGCTGCAGGTTCTCCGGCTCTGATGGGTCTCCCCTCCAACTGCCAAAAGGTAGTGGTGCATTCACCCGCGATGACGGCAAAGTGGGGAGGGGTTTTTTGGGTGTTCCCAGACCCTGCTCTTAAGGGGATGGAAGGTTCTTGGGAAATAGAGTAGCTGGGTGCCACGCACCCCAATGTATACTATTTTCAGCTAAATTGGAATCTATCACTGTTGGATAAGGAGAAATTAAATAATAGGTGGTTTTGTGATGCTGTGCCTGTGCAAAACAAAACACACAAACAAAAATCAAAAGCTTAAGTAGCAAGTGGGAGCCCTGAAGAATATCTTGTTAAAAGTGACTCTGAAAGTGTCTACAAACATGTTACCGGGAGTTATAGGATTTGACGGGAAATATTCTTAATTGGAAAGACGTGGCATCTAAATTAAAGGTAGACAATTAAAAAAATCCACCTAGTTTTAAAAACCACAACGTAACCACTAAGTAGTATTTCTTTAGTTTCCTGTACTTTGAGGACACAACTGGACCACCAACTAGAAAAAAAAATTCCTCCTCCTGTTTCCAGGTTCCAAAATTCAGAAATGAAATGATTTATTTCATTTTTGTTTTCAAAATGATGTTTAAATCCAAAAAACCCCCCAGATAACTGCAAGTTAATTTTCTTTGCAAATGTTAACCATTTTCCCTTAATTAAATCACACGAAATAGTATAAAATTAGAAGTCTACTGCCAGGTCACCACTTAAGGACACTTAAGACAGGAGATATATCCTTAATTATACATCTGTAAACAAGCCAGATACCCCAAACCTTCAATTTTTCGGGATAGTTATCTGTGAGGAAGCTTGATCTCTATGATCTCACCTGAATTTTATGTACTAAAATACAGGTCACTATGAAATAACGCTAAAGTACTCTGTCCATCCCACAGACAATTTATTTTTCAAATGTTTCTATAAGTGCATATATAGCGTTGTGTCCTGCTTGTAATGCTGGGCAAGTCCACCAAAGTGCAAAGACTGCATCTGCTGGGGCAGAGGGATGTACGAAATATTTTTTAAATATCCTAACTTAAACAGGGGTAGAACATCTCACACACTCAGCAATAATTTTCAGATTCAACAAATGGAGAAAAGAAAAAAACATAAGTAAAAAAAGAGCATACTACCTCCATAACGTTTCAAAAAATCATTTTAACATATAGGAACATCCAGAATGAGAAAATTACACAGGTACTCCTCCATCTAAAGCCAACTTCCATATGCCAGTAGTCTGCATGAAAGAACAAACTTTCAACCTGCATTTAAGAAGACCCCAAGGATTAACAGACGTTAATTATCTTACTCTAAATGCAAGTTAGTGATTTTGTTTTAGAAAACCCCGTCAAGATCACTAATTGATGGATGCCCATTAATACACCTGTATTTGCATTTCAGCGGTAAAAGACAAGCAGGTTTTCGGCACAGAAGAGAGCCGCTTTGCCAAGTCTTTTCAAAACGTCAATATGCTTCAAGTAATACCAAAGCTGAGAGATTCCTCTTGATTTCCAAACTGTCTAGGTGGCCTGAGTGGTTTTCCGCCGGCAGCAGCCTCCTACCTTTAGTTTGTGTGCCTATATCCATGAGTGGGGATTAATTAGCCGGGTTGGAGCTGAAGGAGGCTGTCGTGACGAGCCCAGTGGCGATTGGCCGCCCGCCTGCCTGGCCCTGCCTTTATAATTTCCACACGAGTGCATCTGGGCTCTTAGACAAACCAACAGCAGCTTCTTCTGACATATACACACGCACACTCACCCCGGACACACACTCAGCACACTTTTCCTCCATTTGATTAACAGTGCTGCACACACAATGATTACGGGAAAGCGCAAATAAATACGGAAAGGGGTGCTTATTTTGACTACTGGAAGAGCTTTGCTGGGTCTCAGCGCAACTTTTGTTTTTTATTCCTGAGAAGGTGATCTCTCCATGCGGTTCTCTCACACAAGGATTCTTTAAAAGAGGAAGAGAGACAAGCAGAGGGGGGAGGACAGTCTTTCACTTTAAGAACGGCTGGGCTCAAAGATAAAAGGAAGGGAAAAGCAGCAGCAGCAGCAGCAGCAGCAGCAGCAGCAGCAGCAGCAGCAGCAGCAGCAGCAGGGAAACCAACGCTGCAGCACTTCCGAAAGGCATTTTTGATCCATTTCTGAGTGTTGCGGCCCGTTTCTCCACCGAAGTTGGCTCCAGCTCTAGCAGCCGCATTGGATCCCACAGCTTACTGCGAGACTCCGGTGTACAATCCGGATCTCTGCCCCAACATGATTGCGGCCCAGGCCAAGCTGGTCTACCATCTGAATAAATACTACAACGAAAAATGCCAAGCCAGGAAAGCTGCCATTGCCAAAACTATCCGGGAAGTCTGCAAAGTAGTTTCCGACGTACTGAAGGAAGTGGAAGTGCAGGAGCCGCGGTTCATCAGCTCTCTCAACGAGATGGACAATCGCTACGAGGGCCTCGAGGTCATCTCCCCCACCGAATTTGAAGTGGTGCTTTATCTCAACCAAATGGGGGTGTTCAACTTCGTGGACGATGGCTCACTGCCCGGCTGCGCGGTGCTGAAGTTGAGCGACGGGCGCAAGAGGAGCATGTCCCTCTGGGTGGAATTCATTACCGCCTCCGGCTACCTCTCGGCGCGCAAAATCCGGTCCAGGTTTCAGACGCTGGTGGCTCAAGCGGTAGACAAATGTAGCTACCGGGATGTGGTAAAGATGGTGGCAGACACCAGCGAAGTGAAACTGAGAATCCGAGATAGGTACGTGGTGCAGATCACGCCGGCCTTTAAATGCACCGGGATCTGGCCGAGGAGTGCTGCCCACTGGCCACTTCCCCACATCCCCTGGCCGGGACCCAACCGGGTGGCGGAGGTCAAGGCGGAAGGTTTCAATCTCTTGTCCAAGGAGTGCCACTCCTTGGCCGGCAAGCAGAGCTCGGCGGAGAGCGACGCCTGGGTGCTGCAGTTCGCGGAGGCAGAGAACAGACTGCAGATGGGGGGCTGCAGAAAGAAGTGCCTCTCCATCCTCAAAACCTTAAGGGATCGTCACCTTGAACTGCCGGGCCAGCCCTTGAACAATTACCATATGAAGACTCTGGTTTCCTACGAGTGTGAAAAGCATCCCCGAGAGTCGGACTGGGACGAGTCTTGCCTGGGTGATCGGCTGAACGGGATTTTGCTGCAACTTATCTCCTGCCTGCAGTGCCGGCGGTGTCCCCACTACTTTCTACCGAACTTAGATCTGTTTCAAGGCAAACCTCACTCAGCTCTGGAAAACGCTGCCAAACAAACGTGGCGACTGGCAAGAGAGATCCTGACCAACCCGAAAAGTTTGGAAAAACTTTAGAGGATGATTTAATCAAGAGCCGAAATTATTACCCTTCTCAAAGTCCTTATTAAGTGTAAACTTCTGTTCAATTCCTAATATTCCACTCCGCAGTGCAAACAATCTCTTCCTTTAAAAAGGAATAATAATACAATATTTAAACATCATCTCACCCACCCCCACAAGGGGAGAAAAAGTAGGGGAAGCGGATGGAGAAAAACCCAAAGCCACTAGTATTAGAAGACTTCTTTCCACACGATTTCCTATCTCCCTTGAAAAGTACACCGTAACACTCCGTAAACAGCCCAGCTGTAACGCCAGACCGAGACGAACACTCTGCCTAACTATCAAAGGATTATAGCAATCCTGGTGATTTAGGTGCATCTGTCTGTGAGTAAACACGATTTGGATATGCCATCTGAAAGAAACTGTAATGTATATTTTGATTTGTAACAAATATTGTGATCTCACATTGTCTTTGAAAGTGTGGATGTTGGTGTTTTGTGATTTGGTGAACAGAACTTAAATTGCCATTCTGGATACTTCCAGACATTTTCCACTAACAAAGATATCATTTAAAGGTAGATTTCTTCCTGGTACTTTTATCTGTCTTTGAAAGTGTCTGAACTTTAAAAAGTTTACATTTTGTTTCAAATATTGCTTGTTCTATTTCTAACATTCCATAAATATACTTGAAATGTTATTTAAATATATTCAAAGAAATTTGAATTCAGCTTATATAATAACGCTTGAATATCTGAATTATATATTTGAAAAATGCACTTGAAATACACTGGATAATTACTTTTGTGATTTAGATTTTAATTTGTTGCTGGTTTTTATTTAATTAGATGGTAATAAATGAAGTAAAATAAAAGTTGTTGTGTCTCACTTTAAATTGTTTCCTATCACAAGATGTAATGATGCATTTTGAAAATCAAACCCACTTGAATATCTTAAATATTTTGAGAAATATGCTAATGAAATCCTTAAAAATAAAACATTGGAGAAAAGCTCTTTCTGTATAGGTCCATAAGATAACAATCTACTCTCAGTCTCTAACTTACTTGTAAGACAATTCCTTTCTACAACAGAAACAATTTAAATCTACCTTTGAAAGCTTGCTCTTCTTGTAGCATTTTTGATAATATAAGAAAAAAAGTCTATCATGACAGTAGAGATGACTGAGTTAAAAATCTGACTAATTCAGAGGAAATGAACTTAACAAAGTCATAATGAAACTTCGAAAATTATGTATGAAAACTAATAAAACGATCCTTTCTGACCAATATATTTTATGTCAAACCTTATTTTATGTAATAAGGGTTCCATTAGCAGAATAAATTCATTAGAAATTCAACATTTCTTTTTGACTTCATAGGGCAAGCTAATAAAAGGATGAACACAAAATTTAAGTTATTTTAAAATAAAATACAGTGCATTCAAGCTCATTTTAAAAACTACATTTGCAGCTAGAAGTAAAAGAAGTCCCATGGCTCTCCTTTGGAAGAGTTTAGTAGTCAACAAGTGCTGAAAAGGCTGATCACCTATGGGCCTTAAGTTAGTTAATTCAGGTGATGGTAAATTTTTGGATTTCAGCTCTAGTCTACAAATACTATTTTATAACATTTTATTTCAATATCTAAATTAAAAACAATAAAGTTCTGGATCTGTGGGAGCATTTGTCTTTGACTATTTTAGAATAACTGCCTCTGAAAATAAAGGAAGATCTTTGCAAAATGATGCTAGAATTTCTAGCATGACACTTCATGCTGTTGAATTCTTAACCCCAGAATAGAAGTTTGCAAATTGCACAGTAACATGAAAGTTAAAACATTAGAACAGATCTCAGAAAATGCTGAGAAAGAGCTACTCTAATACTCTGGTGTTTAAAATCTACACAATAACATTTAATAAATATGCATTTAAATGGTCCAAATTTGTATTTTCTGGCATTATATCCAAAGAATACAATATTTAAACATCTGAGTGCTAGCATATATATTTAAAATCAAAGCTCAGAGAATCAGTTGCTTTTCTCTTAAATCCACATATAAAACCCATTCTTATTTCAGGAGATGGACAAAATGGGTGTACTAATGGAGATTAATTTATATCTAAATGCTCTCCCCCCAGTTTCCTTATAACTTTTCAATAATCACATTACAATATAAAGTTTTGAAAATTAAAAGTGATCTTAATAAGAAATTTCTCAAGACCTTTCAAAGTCAGCCTCAGAGCCTGAGATTCTGGGCCCCAGGGACTTGGAAGCAATTGGCTTAACTACCAAATCTGCCCAAATGCAAACAAAGGCACTCATAGAAAGACTGTTAAAATGTGCATGCTCTGGTAATACAGGATTTAAATTCATTAATATATTCTTCAATTCCATAAAGAGAACATGCTATTTCATTCATTTTATTTTCTATGAGAAAGAGGAGAATGTGCTCCCCTCCTCCACTGTCAGGTAAAACCAAACAAAATTGAAAACCACTTCCTGCCACAAAGCCACCAATACTGTACATGGAATCGCTTTAACTCACTTTCGTGTCGATCTTCTTGAAGGCAGAATCATCCTCATCTACCTCGAAGTAGATTTCTGTCGTGGTGATGGAGAGAGTCCCCTTGGCCACCACCACGGGAGCGATGAGCTGGGCAGGGGTGCTGAGAACCACTGGGCCTGCAAGGCAAGGACAAGGGGAGTCAGGCTGAGCCCCTGTGGCCCTTCCTGCTCCCTCCCAGAAAGGTACCAGAGGTTTTTATTGGTAAGGATGCACTAGAAAAAATGGTGCCTGTATTATGCGGCAAACTCTTTTTTCACGTAAGATAAGGACTACTTAGCTTTTATACATTACCTTATAACGAGACTAGAGAGAAAAAATGGTATGAAAACCCAGGAGGTCAGGATACCGAATAACGCTCAATTTCCACCTAGAAATCCTACATGGTTGGTAAGGGGCTGCCATTAACTTACTTAAAAGTGCAGAACGGACAAATGCCCCAATTCTCCATTGAGTATCACTGGCTTTTCCAGAGACCCTAGGCAGTCAGCACTGCCCCCAAGACCAGCCATCGCGCGAAGCCGTTCCACTCAGCAGCGGCGCTCCCCAAGGAGAGGCGAGAGGACGAGAAGGGGGCAAGGATCTAAATGATAAATTCCGCTGTTCAGAGCGGTTTGCCTCTTGCAGGAAGATTAATCTAATATCGGTCTCCTAAGGCGCGCTACACACACATACATACGCGTGCATACGGACATTACATAAAGTTCTTACGTAGAAAAGAACGAAAATCTTAGTCATTTTCTTACAGAGAATATATCAAAAGTGATGAAAATGTAAGACGCTTGAACAAAACGGTTCTCAAAAAACCGTGCGAAAGTGCTACTTCTCAACTTTTGAAACTACAGAAACAGCTTCACTAGAAGTGCCTGCCAGGGTGCTTGCTTCGAATTCCCTCAATCTGTTAAGGTTGAAAATCACGAATTACGCGTATGGAATATGAATTCAAATGGGATATTACCTAAATGTTTTCTGTAAAGTCTCCCCAAAGGGAGCCATTCTTCGCAATCCTGGATTCGAAACACGATATAACGTTATACATAACGTGGGGATCGGATGTAACTATTCATTTGTAGGTAGCAAGGGCGCATCATAATCCCTTCCACTTCTCTCAAATGCATACAGTCAGATGCGTCACAATAACAGTCGGAGAAAGGCAATAAAAAGTTAGGTTCCCCGCGGCCGCTAGGCCTCGGCCCTCCGGGCGGAGAGCCCTCGCGCCGACACCGCCCTCGGCCCCCGCCGGGCCGGGCTCGGGAGAGGCGGCCAAGTTGGCTTTCCCTGGCGCAGCACACACCCAATCTGCGACCGTCCTGCACAATGCCGGGCCGTTCCCGAGGCTGCGGGAACACAGAGGGCTGGGCTGGCTTCTGTCGCGATTACAAGGGGGTGGCTAAGGAGCAAACTGTGACAGTGTCAGCTTTCAGCCCTGTCGGGACTGCCCGGGCCAGACCCACGCACAGCCCTGTCTTTCATTTCACTGCTCTCGATCCCCCGATGAGCCCCCGGGGCTCGCGGACTCTGGGCCTCGGCCTCTGCCCAGCCGAGTCGGGGTCCACCTCGGTTGCACAAGGTTTTTCTTTGGAAAGGGAGAGGCAGTCGATCTGAAGCACCACTTTAAAGGATCATCAATCTTAATCTAGATTGCTCAAGTAATTACGCCCGAATCTCTTGTACGATTACAAGTGGATTTGGGTTTCTATTCCCCAGGCCCTCCTTTGTGTTTATTGGAGGGTCTGTGCGCGCGCTTGGCGGCGCCTCCTGCCTCCCGCGCCCTCCTCCGAATCCCCCAACGCTCGGGCCGGTTCGAACCGCTCCCTTAACCCTTAAGCAACCAGGACGCTCCCTTGGATGCCACTTTTCCTATCTTCTCTCTGAAGAAATCTATGCGGTTTACTCTTGCTTGGGGCAAGGTGAGAAAGGTGATTTGGTTCACACTGGAAACAAAGTTGTACATTGTTGGGCATTGCTAAAAACCTCAAAAAAGTCTCCATTCTAAAGACAGAGGACTATCAAGATTTATAGTTTAACAGAGGTTTCTGGCATTTGGAGACAAATAATGGTCAAAAACACTAAAAATGGTGAATTACTTCTTTCTCTTAAAAAGTAATTTAACGTATCCAAATTGAGAACATGAAAAAAAAAAGATCGTGAAACATCAAAACCATACCCATTGATTTATTGAAATACATTACAAATTTTAAGTACACATCCGTGAACTTTCCGTGGGGAGCATATCTTCTCTACTTCTCTGTGTTTCTGAAAGGGGACGGCTTCCTTTGGATTTTACTCCAATATCCTTCTGTTGAGGAGATTTTCTGGGCATTTATAAAAGGGCTTCGAACTGGTCTTTCTTTAAGAAAGACCATCATGAAATATTCAGCATTAATAGTGTGTCATTTTTACCCTCGTCCTTTGGAAATCTCCAATTACAACTTCCAATTCCATAGCATGTTTAAGGAGCACTGAATCTTTTTGTTGTAGTCTTCAGGGAGCAAACCAGCCGCAGAGAGAATACAGAGTTAATCCACTACAGAATAGAGAGAGGGGATTATGTTTTAATCCCCTTTGGGGGAGCCTTTGGATTTTAGGGATCCGATATTAAAATGTTTACATAAGGCACAATCACAAGCCAGCACATCTTCCATACAGTACTTGGTTATTTGAAAACCTCGGATCCCTTTCCAAATAAAAATAGTTTACAAAGAATAGCATCTCTGAATGATGGTGAGATGGTGATCTAGCTGATTCTGTTCTAGAAGATAACTTAAGTAACTACACATTTAACCTCCTAAACTTTGCTTGGTGTAGTGAGTTGAGGAATGACTGTAAATATATTCATCCCAATCACTACTATAGCAATAAAAGAATAAATTATAATGTCCTCGGCACACATAGAAATATTGATATTAAATGTTAAACAAATGGATAAGACAAACCTCTTCCTATTGCATTGATGCATATAATAATTTAAAATTCCACCATCTAAAGTGGTAATTAAAAGGAAAATATAAATGTTATTTACTTTTTACAACTGGCAATATAATGCTTAAAAAATACTGATCCATTACTATTTTTGAAAGAAGTATAGGGGTATTACTTCCCATTTATCTAATTTAAAATCTGAACTAGAACAAAAACCGCCCAAGCATAATGAATCTTTAAAATAATAACTTCTCTTTAGAGCTGTAAGATCTTTAACCAATTGAGATGGTAAACCTCATCATGGACCTACAGTAGAAAGTACACATTTTATATTAAAAAAGAAACAATTTATCAAATATATTTTAAAAGTAGAATGTTAAATACTTGTGGGTTTAGATTATCTTGATGAAAATAAAAATTTCAAGCACAGAAATCTTAATAATATGCTGACATTTTGGTAAAACTTTACAAAATTCTTTTTTTTTTTTTTTTTTTTTGAGATAGAGTCTTGCTCTGTCACCCAGGCTGGAGTGCAATGGCTCAATCTCTGGCTCACTGCAACTTCTGCCCCCCGAGCTCAAGCGATTCTCCTGCCTCAGCCTCCTGAGTAGCTGGGAGTACAGGCACGCACCACTGTGCCCAGCTAATTTTTGTATTTTTAGTAGAGACAGGGATTCACCATGTTGGCCAGACTAGTCTTGAACTCCTAACCTCAGTTGATCCACCTGGCTTGGCATCCCAAAATGCTGGGATTACAGGCATGAGCCGCTGTGCACGGCCACAAAACTCTTTTATATTTTTACAGAACTAATAGTCCAATATTCACAAATTTTAAGTTATTGGATGTGTCAATGCTTTCTTGCCAAAGACCACCAAGAACACATCTGTAGTTGAACAAGTGGGTTTTATTACTCATTGCAGTGAGAGAAACTGACAACAATAAGTACCATGGGGTGACTTAGGGGTGTTAAAAGACTCATTGTAGGATCTGGATTTTACTTAAGTGATTTTGGGAAGAGTTCAGGAAAGCAGGGCTTTGCTCTGGATTGGGCTCTGTCAGGCATCAGAAATAATTCAATGATTAAGTATTTCAATCAATCTTATCTAGAGGGAAGGAAGACTAAATGTATGTATGCTAAAGCTCTAATTGAAGAGATGTAGCAGTCACTCATATTAGCCAAAAGAGGGGAATGTCTGGTATTTTTGTGGTATGCACAGTGATCTTGCTTTTGTCTGTGCTTAGTCAAAATTATAAAGTTGTTTTTTGTCTCACATCATCATCACACAACCCTGTATGAAGTTGGTGCTCTGTGAGGTTGTTTATGTCCAACAAGAGAACGCCATGGCCTAGCTGTGAGCTCCAGGACAGTTCTCAAAAAGAATGAGGCTTAGATATAGGCAGGCCAGTTCCCAGAGGTCAGAGGCTGCTTTTTCTTTTTCTCAATTGCAGGGATTAATCATTTTCAGGGGAGGGGAGTGGGGGGGGGGTGTAAATCATTTTCAGGAGGGGGTACACTGCATTCTAGTGATTAAAAGGCAACGATGGCTATTAAATTTCCAAGTAATGCTAAGCTTCTTTACAACTTTCAATGTAAAGCACAGCAAAGACTACGTATGGAAAAAAAAGAGTTGGAGTTTAATTAAAATTGGAATTGTTAGAAGTATTTGATGACTTTCAATTGGTAAACTATATTTAGGGTACATAAAATTATAATGTATTTTAGAATCACTTGAATATTTCCTAACCTTAGTTTAATATTGTTAAAAGTTGTATTAGCTATATGGATTTTCTTCAGCTTCAATTACTTGGAAACTACATGCTCAGTTTGCTTTTAGAACATGTAAAATATTGTTATTTTGGGATAATAAACATTGACTAATCTTAGTAGAATTATTAAACTTAAAATCCTGACATTATTTAGAAGAACTAAAACTAATCTGAAATTCTTTATGTTCAATGTAAAATAATATTATTCCAAAGAAATCAGGACAAAAATATAATAAGGGAGTAAATTTTTACAATTATTTTTATAAAGTGGTATACATTGTAGGGAAATAATTCATAGCATGAGTGACTGAACATATCTAAAATATCTGTCACTGCTTTGGACTCTTTTATTTTTTTTAGATGGAGTCTTGCTCTGTCACCCAGGCTGGAGTGCAGTGGCATGATCTCTGGCTCACTGCAAGCTCCGCCTCCCGGTTTAAGCGATTCTCCTGCCTCGGCCTCCCAAGGAGCTGGGATTACAGGTGCATACCACCATGCCCAGCTAATTTTTGTATTTTTAGTAGAGATGGTGTTTCACCATGTTGGCCAGGCTGGTCTTGAACTCCTGACCTTGTGATCCGCCCGCCTTGGCCTCCCACAGTGCTGGGATTACAGGTCTGAGCCACCGCACCTGGCCATAGACTCATTATTTTTAAGTATGGTACAGTCAGTTTCCCTAAAACATTCTCCCCCATAGAAATAAATAATAAGATGTTTTAATCTCAAAACAAATTACTGAAGAATATAATAAAGTTGTAACTTTGTTTTGGAATCCTAGGAAAGCTTTGGGCATTATAAAAATGGAGGTATTTGTGTATGTGCATGGAGGGGGGAAGTTCTAGAAAAAATACTGTAAAAAATTTTAGATTCCCAAATTTTAGATATCCAGGATGGTTCTCTGGGTTTCAGGTGACTGAAGTATCTTAAGGAAATAAAAAAAAATCATAGTAGCAAAGTCTACAGATAGTGACTGTTTTATTTATATACAAATAATATTGATAGCTGTCCAGATAAAATTTCAGAGCAATGGTATTTTGAAATTTTCAAACTTTTTTTTTAGGGCTGGGCATGGTGGCTCACACTTGTAATCCCAGCACTTTGGCAGGCTGAGGCGGGAGGACTGCTTGAGGCCAGGAGATTGAGACCAGCCTGGGCAATATAGCGAGATCTCATCTCTATGAAAAATTTAAAAAATTAGCTGGGTTTGGTAGCACATGCCTATTGTCCTGGCTACCTAGGAAGCTGAGGTGGGAGGATCCCTTGAGCCCTGGAAGTCAAGGCTGCAGGGAGCTATGACAGTGACACTGCACTCCAGCCCTGAACTTTTTTTGCATGGAAATAGTTACAGGATGTTTTTGCTTGAATAAAATAAAAATACTTTAACAACTCATAGAATACAATGCCTTAAGGGTTATGAAGTTAAACTTCAGTACTACTTCCTCCCCAACATATTCACAAAGACACAATGTACTCTCCCCTAAACTATCCATTATAAATATTCTATAAACTCAAATTTTACACAAAAGCTCACTGTTTTCAGGAATTGGCCTCTTGATGCTGCTAGGTGACTTCTTGAGCATAATCTATCCTTAACACTAAGATTAACAATAACTAATTATCCCCACAGATCATAGTTTCCTTAGATTATTATTGTATAAAATGAGACAGATGAAGAACACATATTAGGTGTTTTGAGATGAGAGTAAACCTACATCTGAAAAACTCAACTTAGCACAGTCTAAAACAGACATGGAAGGAATGGAGCCCTCTTATATGAGCAACTGAATACTGAAATTTAGCATATTATTTGTTCATCATAGTAGATCATCTATTTTTACACTATTATCTAAAATCCCACCTTAATGTATTTATAATACATAATTTTAAAAAGTACTGAGAAAGACTCTTATATGCTCTAACTTTAACCTACTATTTATGTTTACCAATTTATTGTAGAGCAGGTAATTCTTTATGTTACAAGGAACCAAAAAAGAAAAAAAAAAAACTGCTGCATTTTCTGCAAAGGCAATGTGTGATTTCCTAGAAGAAAAAGCTTACAAAGCATATATACTATAAGTAAAATAGCACGGAGTTATTTTCTAATACAAAAAGTACTAAACAACAGTGATAGTTTCAATGTTCAGTGTGAAAATTTGCTCTGCCTTTTGATTTAATAAGTGAGCCAGCTGAGATTTCTGTTTCCAGTTATATTACATTTAGTTCAACATATGGAATACATTTTTCACCTTCTGGAAGAGTATTGACTCTTTTACGGCACTGGGATATCATTTAATGATCGGGAAGAGTAAATTTCTACTAGACTAGAGGAGTGAATAAACCAGAGGATATGATTTAAATCTTTGCACCCCTAGGTTGGATTAAGTAGCTTGCCTTTATATTTCCATAGTTTCCTAGCCATATCTTTATGGCACTTAAAATATATTAAATATATGTGTTTAAAAGTCTGTTTCTCCCATTTGGCACAAGCTAATTGAAGACAGGGGTTATTATCTTGTTCACCTATTACAGTATCTGTCATATAGTATGCAATCTGTGTTTGTGGAATTGAATATAGAAAATGATATATACCAGTGTTGCATTTATATGTCATAGTAAAAGCCCACTTAAATTAATATATTACATCTTTTATGTTTTTCTGAAATTGATTTCAAATTTTTCTTTATAAATATAAAAGATAACTGTATTTTAGAGAAAATATAAATTTAAAAATATACTGAAAACCAATGAGAGTTATAATGTAATTGATCATTCTAGTTATATTACATGCATACTATTATGGTTTTAAATGGCATAATTTTATGACTATCGTATTTTTCCTAGTGTATAACTTGCTTGCTCTTTGTAATTAAATGTGTAGAGACATATTTAATTCAGCATTCATTCATTCATTCACGTAGTCAACGAAAATTAATGAGTAGTATATTGTTTTTGCATATAAGGAGAGAATACAGCAGTGTATAAGACATACATTTTACCCACAAAGAGCTTATAGTATAAGGTAAAGAATACACAAGAATAATTATGACATAAGGAAGAAAGGGTTAAACTAAGAACTGTGTAAGGCACTTTATGTGATTTATTTCTCTTAACATCCCTGTGTGATAGCACTACTATCATCTCCATTTTACAGATAAGAAAATGAGACTCTGGGTTGGAGTAATTTAGAGGTCATACAACTAGTAAATGAGAGATAGGATTCAAAATTGGTGATCTGATTCGAAAGTCAGGGTATTTGTTATATACGCTGCCTCCTATCAAGAAAGGGACAGAAAAAAATTCTGGACATTCACAGAACAATCATGATTTCCGGCCTATTTTTGGTGGGGAAGTGAGCAGTTGGGATAGAATGATGGCAGTGACATCTGTAGTGAGCTGTGATGGATGGGTAGAAATTTGGACAAGTTGTGGTCTTCGAGAGCATTGTGAGCAAGGGGGAATAGTTTGGACAAAAACACAGTTGTAGGTGTAAATGAGCAGTAAATAAGTTTGGCCAGAGATGAGGATGTGTAAGGGAAAGCAGTGTGAGATGAAACGGAAAAATCATACATATACTTGAATGTCAGACTTTGTAGGTTAAGGAATCAAAGATTAGAGCTCAGAAATTATAGTGCAGAGCACTGGGGTTTACCCTTTTTCTGGGTCACACATTCTCCCGAGAAGATGGTTAAATATACGGATTTTTTTTTCTAGAAAAGTTCACCTATATATTTGTTCATCCTGATTATATAATAAATGAAGAATTCATATTTTGGAAAAAAATTAAATTTTTTTCATTTGTCTTCCTCTATCTACAGATTTTTCTACATCTGCATTTATCCCTAACTGTCTCTGTCTGCATTTATCCTTAACTGTCTCTGTCTGCATTTATCCTAAACTGTTTTTCAGCAGTTTCTGGAAATATATCTTTCCTCTTGTTTGAGGTAGTTACCCCCTCTATCTGTGCTACTAGTCCTACCCTCCCCTGCCCCCTCTGCTCTCTTATTTCTATCTCCTTTCTTCCCTTCTTTGTTAAGCTCTAGACATGAGTTTCCATTTCTTAGTTCCTCACTCCTATTCTCTCCTTTAGTTTCAGTCCAACCTCTACTTAGGCCAAGATGTTTGGGAAATACTCATTAATTAGTAAGTTAAAGGCTTGAAAAAGTCCATCAATTTAAAAAGTCTGCAACTTTTTCTGGTTTGTTTTTTTTTGCGACGGAGTCTCACTGTGTCACCCAGGCTGGAGTGCAGTGGCGCCATCACACAGTAACCTCTGCCTCCCAGTCTCAAGGGATCCTCCCACATCAGCCTCCTGAGTACTTGGGACCACAGACTCGCACCACCACACCTGGCTAATTTTTTAAATTTTTTCGTACGGATGGGGTTTCACCATGTTGCCCAGGCTGATCTCGAACTCCTGAGCTTAAGCGATCCTCCCGCCTCACCCTCCAAAAGTGCTGGGATTATAGGCATGAGCCACCGCACCTGGCCTGCAACTTATTTTTAAACTCACAATTTTCCAAACATATTTAACTATAGAGTTTCTTTTTTCTCATTAGCATCTTTCAAAAGACCTGTGTTACAAGGAGCATTAGTTTGAAAAATGCTGAGCCAGAGTTCCTGACTCGTAAGCATAGGATTCTTTCCTTTTCTCTTACTACTTTACTTCCTGCTTGGTATCCTATTATGGGCTCTCCTTCATTGGCTGCCCTTTAAACCTTGTGCCACAGGGCATCTGATTTTGGCCTACTACTTCTCTCTTTATTTTCTTACTTTCCTTAGGTGATCTCACTGGTTTCCATTATGAACTCCATGCCCAACTTGGCTCTCAAATTTCAAACTTCTATTCTTTTGAAAATTTTGGAGGCCCAACAGATCACGCATCTTCATCTCCCACCCACAGAAGACCTTGCATCTGCACATTCCCACACACAGTTAATAGCTTCTAGACCACCTCTCCTCTCAGGCCTGATTCCCCTCATTCTTACTCCCTGCACTAGTCAGTTATTACAGTCCTCCACAAATTACCTTCTAATTTTTTTTCTTTTTGGTAGCTGTCCCATTCTCCTTTCTCCTGCCTGCTGCCAATTTACTTGAGGCTCTCATCACTGCTGCTTTGGAAAACAGCCTCCTGTCAAGCTCTTACCTCAAGTCTGGGCATCCTAAAAGCATATTCTACACAAGGGCCAGAGTGATTTTTTTAAAAAAATTCATCACTGTCATACTTAAAATCTTTCACAGTCTCACAGTGGCCTTCAGGATAAAAACAAGGTTCCTTAAGGCACATAAAGCTCCCTCCCCAAGCGCTTGTCAGTCTCAACTTCAGAGACTCCCTGACTCATGCTTTCTACCTAAGTAATTTAGAACTACTGTAGTTTCACACAGAAGTTAATGTTTTAGTATACATTTCCCGCCATCTGCAACAACTCTCTAAATGTTTAACTTATTTTTCAAGACTCAAGAAAGGAAATACCCATTCTAATAAAGGCTTTCCAGAATCCATGTTATTCTAGGATCGTGTTTTCTGTTAGAATGGTTTCCTTTCTATATCTAGGTTAACTATTTTTTTCATTATCTCTTCTCCTCTATAACTTCCTGGAGGGCAGAATTTTGATCATATGTGTCTTTTTACTCTAAGCACTCACCATTATGTCTTACATAGAGTTGATATCCGATACTTATATTTGTTTTGGTGGGACAACCACATTCACCCGAGTGAAGTTTCGATCTAGCATCAGAGAATAAGGGTCCAACAGGTCCTTCCAGGTCTTGTCCCTACTTTGTGTGAATCTTGACATTTTCTATTCTAATCAGATTCTATTCTAAGAGAAAACAATTGACTTGTTTTTATTGGACTGATGACTTGAACTGATAGAACATATTCTACTGGACTAGCTATTTGTAAATTAATTGCCATGTAAATACTTGTCCTTAGGGCTAATTGTTTAAGTATTTCTATAGCTGCTATTCTGGCTCTGCAACATCAAGCCATGGAAATAAACTAATTAAACAAAATATTTTCAGTATGCAGAAAGACTTATTGATCCTTCTGTATAGCACTATTCTAACTGTAGTGGCAAAATCTCTTTTTAACTTTATGTTTGAGTAAGCGGCAAAGTCTTTCAGGGAGAGGACCAGGACACTCTTAGGTATGGCAGTGACAAGATAATGAAGAGCTCACTCTTCCTCCTTTCCAAGTTGCTAACATCCATAATTTGATACTAGGAAAATTGTTTTGTTATCTTGCATTTTCCCTCAAATGTGATCTAACAAGATGACCCACATATTTTCAGTAGGTGATCAATATCCTCATTCACATGCTTAAAAACAACCATGAAAGCTTAGTCACCTCCATATAGAAAAATATGGTTTCCTGGTAAGTTAGTTATTTATTGCCCCATTCTCCAGATTGGTAGACAGTATGACTATAAATTTGTAGAGGAATTAGTTTATGATAAATTCTCCATACAGAGAAAAAAGTAGAAAATCAAAATGGGTTTCAACTATTACACTGTATTAAGAAAGAACAGATCTTATGAGTACGGTTTGTGAAACACCTGACCATAACAAAGGGTGGCTTTTATTCTTAAAATTAACAAAAAATGCAAATTATATATGATTTATGGTTGATGCCTACTGTTGTGTAAATATGTTTGTTTGTCCCCTCCAAAACTCAGGTTGAAATTTAACCCTCAATGTGGCAGTATTGAGAAGTGGTGCCTTTAAGAGGTGACTGGGTCATTAGGGCCCTGTCCTTGTGAGTGAATTAATCCATTTGTGGATTAATGAATTAATGGGTTATCATGGGAGTAGAACTGGTGACTTTATAAGAAGAAAAAGAGAGACCTGAGATAGCATGTGAGTTCCCTCAGCCCCTCACATGTGATGCCGGGTACGGCCTCAGGACTCTGCAGAGAGTCCCTACCAGCAAGAAGGCCCTCACCACATGCAGCCCTTTGACCTTGGACTTCTCAGTCTCCATGACTGTATAAAATAAGTTTCTTTTCTTATAAGTTGTCCAGTTTCAGGTATCCTGTTATAAACAACAGAAAATGAACTAAGACAATGTCTAATAAGCATGGTTGAATTGTGTCTTTTTATTATATTTTTAATTTACACAGTTTGGTTATCAAGGATGTTGTTACAATTAAGAGTACCTTATAGTGTTTCATAGATGATGGAATCATGGTTGAAGGGGACATATGTTTATGGAAATAAATATGGATTACAGTAAAATGTTTGCACATTCTAAAAGGACCTGTAGACTTTTTGAAAATAATGAAAAGAGGCAAAGAGGCTCAATATTCAAGATGAAGCTTTTATTTATTTTTATAACACCTTAACTGATATAAAAATTAAGTTAGAAATTTAAATACTTTAGCTTTTATAAGAAATAGGCATGTATTAATGTTGTCTCTAAGAGCTTTGTGAATTCTGTGTTTGAAGCTGAATGTGAATCCTTTGGGTATACTATTTATGACTGGCAAAGCAACTTCCTCATTCAAAGAGAGAAAAAAGACTCATAAAGACTCATAAGGCTTTTTGAACATCAAATAGCTTTCACTAAACAACATTTTGATGAGTTAAGTGTGAGTGAGTCAGGGACATATGGATTAAATTTCCCTTAAAATACACATGGGTTTAAAAAATACGGGGAAAATTCTGAGCAAAACGCATTTTAGAGAATCCAGAATGTTTAAGAGATATTTTCCCCCTAAATACAAGTATCAGGTTGAATAACTTCTAGTTAGACTCTGTAACT
Source organism: Homo sapiens (assembly GCF_000001405.40). Lineage (NCBI taxonomy): Eukaryota > Metazoa > Chordata > Mammalia > Primates > Hominidae > Homo > Homo sapiens. The sequence goes on along the minus strand of NC_000013.11, from coordinate 35,460,069 downwards.
AAAAATGAAATAAAACTAAATATGGAGGAATCTTTAAAAAATACTAGTTTTGTTGGAGACAGAATGTTACATTCACCATATCAGAATTGCAATGCACAGAGTTAGGCTTAAGCAGATGGATTTGAGTCTATCTGCACTGAACATGCTCTCTCCCATAGTAAGTATTCCAGTCAACAGTTACAACAAAATTTTCTGTGCCACTGGCTTATACTATTATTCTTTTTTAAAGAACATATTCTTAGACAAACTCTTAGCTTTTAGAATTCTGTAGTTTATTTTAATTATGTTTCCCCAGAATCTTGAATTCTTTCGTCTTCCCACATGCTCTACATTTTTGTTTTATTCTCATATCTAGCTCAGTTTGTAGAAAACATTCAATTTATATATAAACAACTTTGCCTGTGGTATCTGGATATTTGAAGTTAGGACACTGAAGGTCTAACTGCCAAGCTGATTATTTCAACTGTCTACTTTCATTTCTTAGGGAAGATACATTATCTGCCATAACTTCCTGGTTATTTGAGTTACCCAGAGGTAGTGGTAGCAGAGCTAATTCTCTTGAGGACTTTTTTTTTTTTCTATCACAATCTGAGTACCAATGTTCTATATATTTAGTAGATATTCAAAAGATGTTAATGGTTAAGTAAATGAGCAAGTGAATGCATTCAAAAAGACATTTAGGAAGGCAGAAATGGTCAGCCTTAAGAAAAATTCTACATAATGCCCCCTCTTCCACCTACCAGCCCTGTTTTCACCACTGGATACCTGATTTTGTTTTGAACTAGTAGAACAATAGCTATGGAATATGTATACAACCTAACCAGTTTACAAGAAGAAAAACAGCTTGAAAATATATTGCCCTCTAAAAATCAGGGAAGGTACAACTGGGAAGTGTCATGGGCAACAAAGTGGGTCATGAAGGAGATGACTGGCACTTCAGAGAGCCTTTTAGTAGATCTCCTCCTTCTGTATTTTTCTCATTCTTAATTTACATAATTACTTTTCTGAATTTTGGATTCTTAACTTGGTAAGTGTGTGTGTGTGTGTGTGTGGGGGGGGGGGGGCGGTGGTAAAGAAATATAAACTTACCATTATGAAAAACCCAAATTAAAAAAAATCCAACACTTACATTTGAATACTTCTTCCTTGTGTTGCTATCTCCCTGTACTAATTACTTAAAAAATATCAAAGTAGCATTACAATCCATTGGATATAGAACAGCTTTTCTATTTGCTAAATTTTTTTTACAGTAACAGTAGGTGCGGTATTTTGACCTTATAAATTGGAACTTACAGAGACATTTAGTTAAAATGACACGTTTACCAGAAGTGGAAATGCAATAAAGATTAGCTTAACTTTAGCTGTTCCTATCCTGGAAAATTCAAGTGATGAGCTGAATTGAAATTCAGCTTTTGGTATAATTAAGTTATACCAAAAAACAAAAGACAAAACAAAACTTATTATGAGCTATTGAAATTATTTGAATAATTCAGTTAGTATGAGCAGATAGTCTGATAATTTGAGCCCCCAAATATTTATTTCAACAGCTCGTAAGTTTTGTTTTGTCTTTTGATATAAACTAACTCAATAATTATCTCAGCTTTCCAGTTTACCTACATAACATTTTTAAGTGGGAACCTTTGAGGGCAAATAATTGCGTTAGGAGATTTCTTCATGGTTCAAAGCTACACAGTATATGAATGCTGTCTTTAAGCGATCTAGTCTAAAAGGACAGAGAAAACATGGAAGAACAGCTACAATGCAAGGCTTTATGTGGTATGTGTCTTAAGAATGATACAATCAAAATGTGGTGGGGCGGCTATAATAAAGGAAGACAGATAATAACATGTCTTGGAGAGGATATGGAGAAATTGAAACCCTCACATGCCGCTGATGAGAATTCAAAATGGTGCAGCCTCTTCGGTAAATAGTCTAAAAGTTAAACGTGGAGTTATTATTTGACCCACCAATTCCCCTCCTAAGAATATACCTAAGATAAATGAAAACATATGTCCACATGAAATTTTGTAAAATGTTCACAGCAGAATTATTCATAGTAGTGAAAAGGTGGAAACAACTTGAATGTCCATCAACTAATGAACTGATAAATAAAATGTGGTGTATCCATACAATGGAATAACTGCCATAAAAAGGACTACATGCGGCTGGGCGCGGTGGCTCACGCCTGTGATCCCAGCACTTTGGGAAGCCAAGGTGGGCGGATCACGAGGTCAGGAGATTGAGACCATACGGCTAACACGGTGAAACCCCATCTCTGCTGGAGATACAAAAAATTAGCTGGGCGTGGTGGCGGGTGCCTGTGGTCCCAGCTACTCGGGAGGCTGAGGCAGGAGAATGGCGTGAACCCGGGAGGCAGAGCTTGCAGTGAACCGAGATCTCGCCACTGCAGTCCAGCCTGGGTGATGGAAAGGGACTCTATCTCAAAAAACAAAAAAAGGGACTACATGTCAAAATATGGAAAGGGCTTGATGACACCATGCTAAGTGAAAGAAGGCAGACACTAAAGTCTATCTATGATTCCATTTGTATGCAATGTCCAGAATAAGCAAATCTATAGAGACAGAAAGTAGATTAGCGGTTGTCCAGGATTGCGAAAGAGGGAACAGGAAAATTGGTGAAGAAAGGCAAATGATAACAAGGTTTCTATCTGGAGTAATGAAATATTTTAAAATTGATTTCGGTAACAGTTGCATAACTCTGTGAATGAATATACCAAAAAATCACTAAATTGTACACTGTAAACAGGTCAATTATATGATATGTGAATTACATCTCAATAATGCTATTTCCAAAAAAAAATGCTAACACAAAATATTATGGAGATGATATGACTGGCCAGTGAATATTTCATAAGTGTTTTAAATGGGTCTTAAAAATGGGTAGGGTTTTTAACAGGAGGAGATGGGAGAGGGAGTGGAACAGAGAAATAGGAAGGATATTGCAGGTGAAGAAGTGTGGACATTAGTTTGGGCCTGTGAAATTTTTAAGTTAGTAGACATTAACATGGGTGGACTGTTGGTAATAAAAACATATATATCTATATCTATATATCTATATATATATAAACTAATAACAATATACGTATGTTGTTATTGCTAACAGCAAATATATATGCAAACAAAAAAAATTATTACAATTTACAGAACTGTTAACAAAGCATAAAGAACCATCATTATCATTAACTCACAATTCCCTAAATTAGTAAAATTACTAACTTTTGGAAGAAATAATAAGGAACCTATATACATTCCAATTACACTATGTAAAATATTTCTATTATCACTCAGCATATGTGACAGAACTACCATTCTAAAAGAAATGAAATACGTTTCATTGGTGGGATGCCATTTTTTCAATTTAATTAAATCCTTCACTTACCAATTTATATAAATTTGAGTTAATCTTGAATTTCAGTTACTCAATAGTTATTTGAAGAAACAACTTGCTAAATTTCAAATTAAAATAGGTAATCAAGATTTTATATTAAAATTCATTGAATTATACCAATCTCAATGTTTTCAGTAAAAAATAAAATTAGTAAATTGAAATCTTTAGTCACATATGGGATTTAGGTACTAATTCACTTTGGTGAATCACTACAAACTAAAAATGCAATTAAAGTAAATTAAGTTAGGTTTTATTAATATAATAATTACTTTATTGATTGGCATACTTCTATATTATAATCATATTAGCCATTTGCTACAATACATAATAAATTGGGTAATTAGTAGTCACACACATTTAACTTGCCTCTTGAGACGAACAGCTTGGGAAGAAAGGGAACTAAAAGTGAAACATAAAATTGTATGACATTTAAAGCTATAGAATTTTGTGGAACATTTTATCTTTATTAAAACTAGAAAACTCCAGACAAAATGGAGGAAACATAAGAAAAGGCCAACATTAAGTAAAATTGTACTAAAAGCATTCTATTTATCATAGTTTTTAACTTACCAGATTGATTTGGACCACACATAGACTATCTATAAGCAAAACTAAAATTAATTATTATACATATTCATATACTTCTAATGTAATGGAACCAGTGTAAAAATTGAGTTATAAACAGAAGATGTCATTTTCACATCATTTTAGAAGAGTCTTTAATGATATATACCTACAAACACACTCACATACACACATTTAAATGTACTATTTGGTATATTTTAGTTCAAACCATATACTATGTATTTGCAAGGAAATATATTATTTTGCCTACTTCTTAACCTTAGGCAAGTTACTTAATCTCTTGACCTCTTTATCTTTATTTCCAAAATTGGTGGTAATAATTTTTACCTTATTGGGTTGTTGTTTAGATTAAATGGGTTACTGCACACAAAGCTGTCTGAACACTAACCCTAACCCTAAGCCGAACTCTTTTTTATTTAGAGAAGCTCACCATATCCATTTGTCAATATTTTCAGCTATAAGGAAAATAGTTTTAAAAACATGAAAATGTAAATGTACTGAAGAGTAACTGCTATTAAACAGTTCTCAACAGGCAGAAAATACAGATTTTCCTTTTACAGAAAATGTTAAATCTATAATAGCAGCATCATTTATATGTCGAAAAAAGCTGGTTTTGATGTCTGGCTCCTAGTACTTCATGCCAGATATTCTTCTTTCTCTTCTTCTTTTTTTTTTTTTTATAAACAGAAATTGATCTATCTTTTGAATTAAAATAAGAACAGAATTAATCTTAACTAAATTAGTACTTTCTCTAAGTTTTCTGTACTAATTAGCATACTTTCTTCTATTTGAATTTAACTTATTACATATTGGCAAATTATACTGCATATCTGCTTATCTCTATGCCTATGTCAGCAAAACGGGGTTTTGTAAATAACAGGAAAATGTAGTATGCTAATCAGCAGGTTTAGGTTTACCTTTACAATTATAAAAATGATGTATTCTTTCATATATATTCTAAAATCTAAGAACTCTAATTACTTTTATATATTTGAAAGTACATTTCTCATACTAATAATATGCAAGCCATTTCATTAAGTTGTCATGAAAAGATAAACCTGTGATTTTTATCTCAGAGATTGAAATAGGCACTTTTTACTTTATATAATATTTCTGAGATAGCAAATAAATATAAGATTATATTAATATTGTACACCGATTTTAGGATTTCCTGTTTTTTTATTTTTTATTTTTATTTATTTTTTATTTATTTTGTTGAGACGGAGTCTCATTCTGTCGCCCAGGCTGGAGTGCAGTGGTGCGATCTTGGCTCACTGCGAGCTCTGCCTCCCGGGTTCATGCCATTCTCCTGCCTCAGCCTCCCGAGTAGCTGGGACTACAGGTGCCCGCCACCATGCCTGGCTAATTTTTTGTATTTTTAGTAGAGACGGGGTTTCACCATGTTAGCCAGGATGGTCTTCATCTCCTGACCTTGTGATCTGCCTACCTCGGCCTCCCAAAGTGATGGGATTACAGGTGTGAGCAACCACTCCTGGCCTGGGTTTTAATTTGAATTTAAGTCTCCTGTAAGGGTGACATTTTCTTTAGGCAGTACAGCTCTGTCAGGCTACTTAGAATGACATGTTATGAGTAAGACAGACATTATTATTAAACAAATTTTAATTTCTGCAACAGAGATAACCATGATTTGGACAATAATTGCTTAGGGCAAAAACAGTTACGTATTGATGTAATCTGCATCTTTAACCAATAGCTGATTTCTTAAACCTAAGAATTCTGGCTTGTAACAAAGTTCTAAAAATGAATTTTATGTAACATTGTAACTATTATGTTAGTCTAGATTAATAGGCTTCAGCATTTACAAAATAAATCTATTCTTATAACCTATGCAGCATATTTCTGTGGCCCTTCATAAAACACCCATCCCTTACTTCTTTTCCACTGTATTCAAGGTTCAGAGTATATTTGTAGACTGCTGTTTTTAAAATGAACTCTACAGAGTAGGCAGAGGATCAATACTTTAGGACAGCTGTAACACACAAGGATCCCGCTAGAAGAGTATGAGTTAGGACCAGGTATATTATGGATAGGAACAGGTATGCTCAATGACAAATCCATTAAAAGACAGAAATTAGAGGAGTCTTGATTCAGTGAATTGGTCAGGAGCCATATAATTTGATTTTAAAAAGTTTATTTCAAGCATATTTTCACTGTTCTTTAGGTGTTTGAACTTAACTTTTTTGGGGGATGTTTTCTTATAAAAATAAATTAATATTAATAATTAGCTACCATTAAAGAAGAGAAATATAAAAAGGTTATTAGTCTTTGTTGAATTGTGCCACTGGCATTACTGGGCAGTCTTATAATAAACTTTAAGGGACTATGCAAATCTATACTAACTAATTAATTATCTTCAGTAGGAACAAAGGACCAGGGAGTCTAATTTGAACTGTACAATTATTAAACATCTCTGCTAGCATATATGAATAGGAAAGACAACACATAATCTAAAAGGGTCAGAAATAACATTTGTGAATTTTCTGTATTCTTTAAGATGAAGAATGAGACCAGCAGAAAAGAAAACACATCTGTGGGCAAACAGAATCAATGACCTTCATTAGCTTAAATTTCCAAATGGCCTCATATAAAATCTCTGAGCTACTAAAACAAACCACAAAAACAACGAAAGCAAAACTTGAACATTTACTTAAGAATTTGAGGCAAACATTTGGTCACAGACTTAAGAGTACATTTAAATCGAAAAAATAGTTTTTATAATACAGAAATGTGAATAATATAGAAATATCTAGGAACTAGCATTAGAATAAACTTATTAAATATTTTCTTTCTTAATCTAGAAAAGGGAGAATAATGTGCTATCTCCAGTTTATAATTAACAGTAACATCTCTTTGAAGATGAAAAGAGAACTCTCTAACCAGTAGAAAGAAATCACTAGAGACTTTCATAAAGCCATGCCAGATAATTTTCAGTATGTTCCTTGCAACAAGTGTTATGTTGTATCAAGAATTATAAATATAAGTCCACCTCTCTATTGCCACCTGCCACCTCAACCTTGTGTGGGCTGCAAGTATAGAACTAAGACTCAGCTACTTTTTGAGACTCTGAAGCAGGCATTTTTAAGGTGAGGTTGAGGATATGATTCCATGGACTGGTTTCTGGAGGTCAGTGACCACTATGACATTGTGTACAGAATTGTATGTGCCTCTTCATGAAGCCATTTGCTTTCATCAGATTCTCAAAGTGGCTTAAAACCCAAAAAAGGTTGTGGGTGAATACACTAAGATATCTATACCCCATCTGCTCACTGTAGAATCACATCCAGAATTGATCTCAGACATATATCATGACAAGGTAAAACTGAGGTGGTAGGGGAAAGAATATCTGCTAGTGGCTTAGCAATATGAGGCTACAGAACAAAACAGGAGTGGAGAGAGACATTCTTTAGAGTGACAAATGGGAGGAAATGGCAAATTCAATTGGCACCTGGGAAAAGGACCTTGGCTCTTAGCATGTTGGAGATACACGTAAATCAATGAAACTGTCATTCTGTCCCACCTCCCAATTATAATATAGGCCGTAAGATGTGAATAACTGATACTGTGTATTATTCCTTCTATATAAAAAATTGCTCTTCATTACCTAGAAATTTGATGATATTCATTTATTGCCAATAAAATACACATTTCTTTGGGGTTCTCTCTTCAATATTAGAAATGAGATAAAGTAGAGTTTTAACATTCATGTGATTGAGCATTGTTACAACCATTGGCACACATTTATTTACTAGGAGACAGATTTTGAATTCAGTAGCTTTGTGTTTATTTACAACAAATAGGAAAAATATATTTTAAAATTTACCTGCAAGGTTGTCAATTTCTTTCTCCTGTAGCAGACTGACTGCATCATCGTCTCCTTCCAGCATAAGTTCTGTCTCTGCATTTTGGTTCACTATTGCTTGACTTCTGAATGTTTTCTTTGACTTTACTACATCTTCTTCCGTGCCTAATCACAACAAAAATATAATCATTTAGGTTATTATGATTGTTTCTGCTTATAGTAGGTATTATAAATAATTGATTGCTTTATTAAATTATATGCTGCATTTACATATTACTTTACAATTACAGAACATTTTAACCTTCTTTATCTTGTTTGGTTTTCTGTGAGAAACATGGGGTGTGCGGAGCTGTAATGATCTACCCTTATTTTAAAGATGAGGAAACAGGCAGAGGAAGCTACATGCATTTTGGAGGAACCTAGCAGTTGCTAGTGGTAGAGAAACGAACTCTACCATGTCTAAGGACTCGAAGATCCATGTCTTAGGGCTCTAAGATCAGTGCATGTTGCACAAAAAGTCTGTACTTCACCCCAAACTTATTTTCTTAAAATCACACTATTTTACATAATTATACTTTGTCTTAATTAGCTAATCAATTGCTAATTAGCTAATTAGAAGATCATTTTTGAAAGTGGATAAGTATGCAGCAAACGAGAAACCATTCACATGTGAGGGGAAAAATGATCATTGGAAAGTTACAGAAAGGCGGAGTTAGAAATGATGGAGACATAAAAGCTTCTTCACAATAGCTATTTCTTTAGCAATTAGTGAAATAAATACTGGTTTTTCTGAAATGATAGCCTTATTTTGCTATATATAATAACACAAAAAGCTGGTTGGGCGCAGTGGCTCACGCCTGTAATCCCAGCACTTTGGGAGGCCGAGGTGGGCGGATCACGAGGTCAGGAGATGAGACCATCCTGGTTAACACGGTGAAACCCCGTCTCTACTAAAAACGCAAAAAATTAGACGGGCGTGGAGCCAAAAGCCTGTGGTCCCAGCTACCCGGGAGGCCCAGGCAGGAGAATGGCGTGAACCCGGGAGGCGGAGCTTGCAGTGAGCCGAGATCGCGCCACTGCACTCCAGCCTGGGCGACAGAGTGAGACTCCCTCTCAACAAACAAACAAACAAAAACACAAAAAGCCAAAACCAAAACACATGAAAATAAGCAGAAAAACTGAAATACTGGAAATATTGCAAGATTTGACCTGGCATTAATGCGTTAAGTTAGAAACGAATGCATCTGAATCCCTCAAGAATTTGACTGCTTAATAAATGTTTTCATATTTACATTCAAACATCTGCTTTGGCAGGTGTCAATTAATATAAAATTATCTGAACTGAAAGCAAATTTTATACATGCATACACCACCTACACCCACACAAACACCACAGACATGAAATACTTCTATATCACTTGAAGCTGAAATTCAATTTAGAAGAAAGCATTGTCATATACTGTGTTCTGTATTAGGATATAGCCTTCAAGGAGCAGCATTAACTAGGAAAATGTCTTCATATCTCATTTGGGGTGGTGGATATATTCCTGGAAATGGGAGCCTTATAAATCAGTCCTATATGGTGTTGTATTATATTTTTAGGGGACATTATGGTGTCGGACCATAAACAATGGCTCTCCAAATGATGTCATGCCTTTGGTCGAAAGTGTACAATACTTTTGGTCAATTCACCCAGGCCCAGACCATAGAACTTCCAACAGTCCATTACTGCCTATTGATGTTTGCTCAACCATTTTGTTGTTGTTGTTTGAGACAGGGTCTCATTCTGTCACCCAGGCTGGAGTACAGTGGCATGATCACAGCTCACTGCAGCATCGACCTCCCAGGCTCAAGCAATCATTCTGCCTCAGCTTCCTGAGTAGGTGGGACCACAGATGTATACCACAATGCCTGGCTATTTTTTTTATTGTTATTTTTTTTTTTTTGTAGGGATGGGCTCTTACTATATTCTCAGGCTGGGCTTGAACTCCTGAGCTCAAGCGATCCTCCCACCTTGGCCTTCCAAAGTGCTGGGATTATACGCATGAGCCACTGTGCCCAGCCTCAACCATTTTCTTGCAAGTACATCTGGCTGTCATACAACTTGCATTGTAAAATAGTTGGCTTTTTTCCTTTTTCTCTTTGCAGTTTGTATACTTCTTTTTCTCAGTGAATATAGGCTAATTCTGTTTGCTAAAATATGAAAAAATGGACTCAAAAGGCTGCCAGAGTAAAAACACATGTTGAGGAACATAGTCACATCACAATACCATTACAGAGTATCACTGGCTAAGAGGTATAGTCTGTCATCCTAGCTCCTACTACATAACCACATTTAGAGCACATGGTTAATGCGTACCTTAAATGTATAAATAGATTGTTAGACATATATTTTGATAAATACTTCAGAGACAAATAGTATTATGACAAATCAATGCTACATTGGAGGGGAGGGGAATTAAATGGGTTCCATGTGTATTTTTCTTCCACTGGCCCATAGATAATTATTATTTCTGGAATAAAAGATTAGGGATAGATCACTGAATGCTTCAGAACCTTATCTTAATTCTATTTGATTTTTGGTGATATAAAGCCAGCCCAAGAGTAATCTTCTGAGGGTAGCTATCTTTATAACTTGTTTGCTTCTTGGCAAACAGAAATATAGAGCTTGCATCATTTGAGAACAAAAGAGGGAAACCCAATGATTAATAATTCAGAAATCTCTCCTGAGGTCTTCTCAGCTATATTTCTGGACTTTGCCTGAATACTATTAACTGAACATTTCTCTTACTGAGCTAATTGTCTCTTGCTCCTTCTCCTCCTCCTATTTTGGCCAACCATGTACTTTAGCAGAAACCTAGGAATTCATCCTGCATGGTGACTGCCACTGCCCTAGTTCAGGCCATCACTGTTTTTGGTCTAGAGGGTGTCAACAGCTGCCTGACTCACACCGCCTTCCATACTTTTGTCAGAGTGATTTTTATAAAACACAAATAAATTGAGGACATTTTCCTATTAAAATTATTCATTAACTCCTCCCAGTCAAGAACACCTAATGCAAGACTTAGACTGGAGGATAAAATCCAAACTTCTTAGCATGGCTTACCAAGGCCTTTTATCCTCTCATTACCAGTTCTGTGTTTTCACCACACCTTCCTCAGCAATATTGGACCACTTATAGCTTCCAAAATATGTCATGCTTTCACATACCTCTTTACCCATGCTAATGTTATTCCCTCTGCAGGGTATGTTCCTACCTTTCCTCCTTGGCCTGGCTAATTGCTACTTGCCCTTAAAAACTCACTTCCTTCAGTTGCCTTTCCTAACAAACCCTACTGCACGTTAACAGCTTACACATAATTCAACTGCACTGTATAGGTGTTACCTACTATGTGTCTGTCCTCAGTCCCATTTCTGTAGCTTCAGTGCCTGGTGCCCAGCAGTTCTGCCACAAACATGTGCTGAACTGAAGTTCAAGTTCACCCCACCACCCCATTCCCTTCTCTGATTTCTTAAGAGCACTTGTGTACTCTTTCCCTTATGCTTCCACCATACCTCGTAAACCCTGCTACTGCATAATTTATAGATATTGTAACTGCTTGCTTATTTAACTCCACAAAAGCCTCCAAGTTCCTTCATGACTGGAAACATGTTTTTGTCTTGGTATTCTCAGTACTTAGCACACTGCCTAGCACAGAGCAAGCCCTCATAAATCCTGAATAAATGTATAAACTCAGACATTACAGTTACCCCTGCATATTTCAAAGTCTGAAGTTCCCAGGGTATCTCAGAATCTCAGTGATTTGCCTTTAGTTTGGGGCAAGCCGGAGAATATATGTATTTACATGAAAAGTAACTTGGTTTTTTACAATAAAGTCAAAAAAGCCTTTAAGTGTGAGTAATCTAATAAAGCAAGTTTTTCCTTATATAAAAATCATGGGTAATCTTTGTCAGTAAAAAAGCTTTATGTTACTTTTGTATTACCAAAATAAAAATTTACCAAAGAAGAAAATGTAGTAGAAGAAAGGTGAGCTCTGAAATGTATATCAAGCTTTCAATTTTATCCCCTCTGGTTTTAAAGCAGTAAAACAATCATGACTTTAAAAGATATATAGTAAACTAATCCATATCAACACACTAAGCTTATCATCCTTGTTGAAGTGTTATCAGTTTGCAGCTCAGCAAACTTCCTGATTTCATGGTACTGCACCAAACATTTATCTAAATTAAAGTGTATGAGATCTAAAGGTGCTTTTCAATCACAATATCCTTTATGAATTAGAGTTTCATTCATCAAAATTACAGGCAAAAAGAGGGAAGGTCTCAAAGGGCTGTCTCATTACAAGGCTTGTAAACACTGTCCTTAGAAAGAATTGGTTTAACACCCAACAAATCAAAATCTGATTGGGAAGAGAATTTATTTGAGATCATCTATCTTCAGAAGACATGTTGGACTGAGTGCACTTTTTGGCCTCTTTAGCCATTCATCAAGAAATTAACAAGCGAATACCACAAACTACCAGAACGCCTTGGATCTGAAAATGTATATTATGTGTAAAGCTGGGTAGGATAGACATATATGCTATTGCCTATGAAAACATTAAAATACCACAAAATTTAAAAGTTTCAGGAGAAAAAATGCCACTGAATTATAGCTCAAGGAAGCTAAATCCAAAACCGCACTTATGTTATTTTCTACATCATGTGAGAAATAACCCATGAAAGCACTCCATAGACTGACTTCTTAGTAAATATATATATATATAAAGCTCTGTATATGAAAATGTTATGTAATACAGAATATTGCATTGCAGAAATCTAAAGTTCCTTTTTCATAAAATTTCTATTAATAACCAAGAATCCATGTGAAAAAAGGTATATTTTAAAGGTGAAGTAACAGCAGAACTAAAATGTTTCTAGTATTGTTACTATATTCCAGTATTATTGTTACTCTTATTGATATAGTTTAAATTTCCATTTTAAAGTTTTGTTGTTATTTTAAATAAGCATAAGTTAAAACACAGAAATGACAAACTGGAGACATGAACTCCTCCTAACGACATCAAAGAATATGTCTACCTGGAATGGCCACAGGATCAAGGCAAAGAAATTAGTTCATGTGCCCTTTATGTTCTTTTCTATTGATAAATATAAACAATTAATGTAAGAAAAATACAGTATTTTATTTCTGTTTAAGAAATCCTCCTATAATCAACTCTAAAACATCTATACTAATAAAGAAAAAAGTAATTCACAACAATAGGTTAGCTATAAATCATATGTGTGGCTAACACACAAAGAAAAGAGATATAACCACATAATAAGCCAGTTTTAATGTAGACTCAGCTTTTCACCAGCTTATGCTATTATTATTTATATTGACTGTGGAACAATGGGGTTTTCATTTATTGAAAAGTTATATATATAGGTATATTTATATAGATATATAGGTATATATGTGTATCTATCTAATGTATATCAACAATGGAATAATACATTTTCAATGTTATTTTATTTGTACCATTTAAACATATGGTTTAAAGCTCATGATCTAGCTTCTGCTTATTTAACCTCACTATTTTACTGATTTGGCCTCTTTGCACCTCATATTCTCTAAAAGCTGAATGTTTTTGTCTGCATACATGCCACATTGTCTCAAATCTTTAAGTCCGACCTATGTAATTTCTTTTACATAAAATCTCTTACATGCCTATTCCTTCAGGATTCAGTCAGGTTGATTATTTCCATCTCTGTATAACATTTATATCTTAGAAACAACAGGTGCTGGAGAGGATGTGGAGAAATAGGAACACTTTTACACTGTTGGTGGGACTGTAAACTAGTTCAACCATTGTGGAAGACAGTGAGGCAATTCCTCAGGGATCTAGAACTAGAAATACCATTTGACCCAGCCATCCCATTACTGGGTATATACCCAAAGGATTATAAATCATGCTGCTATAAAGACACATGCACACGTATGTTTATTGTGGCACTATACACAATAGCAAAGACTTGGAACCAACCCAAATGTCCATCAATGATAGACTGGATTAAGAAAATGTGGCACATATACACCATGGAATACTATGCAGCCATAAAAAAGGATGAGTTCATGTCCTTTGTAGGGACATGGATGAAGCCGGAAACCATCATTCTCAGCAAACTATCGTAAGGACAAAAAACCAAACACCACATGTTCTCACTCATAGGTGGGAATTGAACAATGAGAACACTTGGACACAGGAAGGGGAACATCACACACTGGGGCCTGTTGTGGGGTGGGGAGAGGGGGGAGGGATAGCATTAGGAGATATACCTAATGTAAATGACCAGTTAATGGGTGCAGCACACCAACATGGCACATGTATACATATGTAACAAACCTGCACGCTGTGCACATGTACCCTAGAACTTCAAATATAATATATATATATACATATATATATATATATATATATATATATATATATAAACATTTATATCTTAGAATTAAGTCATCATATCTTATCATTGTTCAATTTTGGAGTGTTTTTATTTTAGGGATTCTCTACTGGACTTTAATTTCACATGTCAAAATGGTAACAAATGTTTGTTGAGTAAATGAAAACACATAAACACACTTCACATATTAGTCATTTTACATGCACATTAGTTAAGTTACTTTTCATGTACTTTACAGTTTCCTCATAAGTGGGAGAGTTGGACTATTTGATTTGCCATTCATAAGTTATTGTTCCCCACTAATATCCATTAGAAACATTAAAAAAATTCAGACCAATCTCTTAATTTCAGTTTCCAAATTTGTAGAAGAGTAATATTAAGTATTTTCCACATTTTCTTTCACAGGATTATTGCAAAGTTAAAATGAGACAATGGAAATGTGTGGAGATTATTTACATAGTAAGCTTTCAAAAATGTTTATTAAAATTTTGATAAAATAAATAAAACAAGAGGATAAAAAGTATACTGAATACATAATTAAAACTGAAAAAGAACATAGTTAATGCTTTATTGCTTATAATAGTGTTGCATAAGATTTACGTAAAGAGGGGGAAAAAAAGCTGGCTTATCTGAGGATTAAAAAACTCAAGATAAAGCATGAGTCTATGGTCTTGGCACAATGCCTATCCAACATCAGGTATTCAACAAGTGATAGTTTCCTTTCCTTCAGTTGGAGTTACTATTCTTCCTTCCACCATGCTGTTATAACAGTGTTCGTATTCATTAAAATGTGAATGAGCCTTCAGCTCCTCCACTAGATTGGATGCTCCCTGAAGACAGGAATGATAGCATGAAGTACAGGTGTTAGGAAGTACTTTGGAAATTGAATGTAGTATAAATAGCTTACATTTTAAATGTAATGTAGGTTTTCCATAACTATTTTATTCATTTAAAGATATTAAATAAAATTACATAAAGCACCAATGTATTTGACATGTACTTCTGATTTTGCATACAGATATTTAATTATATAAATATGTTTAGTATCTTGGATATTTGAAGGAAAAGAACTGCTTTCTCAAGAAGAGATAATGCATTTAATATAGGCTTCTTTTCATCTTTGGAAAAAGATCTTTGGGAGGACACTGGCAGAATAGAAATCTGGTCTAATTTTATTTTTACCTAAATGTATTATCAGGTAATTCTGTTTCTAAACATTCAGGAATCTGTTGAACAGGATGGCATTCTTTTTCAAAGAAGAAATTCTTTTCATTATACGCCATTTCTCAATATTTTTTTAGCTTGTTCAATGTATTTTGACGAAGTCTACCACTCTTTTAGTAGAATAAAATGTTGCAATTCATTTCCAAACCTAAATACTTTTTAAAGTGCATTAATTACATGAATACTTTGAGAAATTTTAAAGATTACTTTTTCTCATTAAAACTTAAGTCTGAGCAACAAATACCTTTTCAGACCAGTGCTTTTAGTAACTCTAAATGGTGCTGTTTAATTTCCACTAAAAGGAAAAAGATTTAAGATAAATATACCTCTCAGAAAATTACAATAGATATGATGACACAATCTTGTGCAATAATATGTATGAATCAATCTATTACTGGGAAGTTTACAATTTTGAACATTTCAAAAAAACCTGAAAGAATGCTTTTTCTTATACTGAGGAACCTATTGTTCGAAAACATTTTATGCTTACCTTAGTGTATCTGTGAGATAAAAGTAATAGATACACACTAGAACAGTCTACTGTAACAATCATTTCCTAATAAGTAAATATTTTTCTTTGTAAATCATCTAAATTCCAATTTTAATTTTGTGTTTGACTTTATTAAGTGCGTCCTTCCTTAAGAAACAAATTACGATAATAGGAAAGATCACTTTTCTAACGAAGATTAATGACAAAAAATTAAATCATCTTCTTTATAAAATAGCATTTTTTTAAAAAGGAGAAGAAAACAGGTCTTTCAATAGAAAAATCCCAATGGCAAAACTGTTAGTGATACTGAATAAAAACACTAAATTAGAAAGAATGACCAGAAATCTCAAGCATTTTCTCAATCTTTTATACCTGATACTGAGTCAGAAGCCTCACTTTATCAATATAAAATTATTTTATGAAAGCAAGTATTTCTACACATGAAATAGACTTTCTATTTGTTGTTCCAAATACATTTTAGGTAAAAATCTGAGTATTTACTAAGCAAATTTAATAAATACAGATATAAAGTCTGGATAGTTCAACCATCCAATTCCTCCTTTCTTAGTTGTGGATATTTTAGTTTGAATGAGTTGGATCTAACCATGATTCCCACTTCAATTTAATTTTGTTGACAGAGAATATATTGAATAATCCAAAATAGATATTATCTATACCACTATAAAATTAAAAACCCAAGACACCAGCTTCAAATTTATAATAAACTTGGTTCAAAAATGCTATTCCTTACGTGGATCAGTAATTCATGGCACTTATGGTCCATTTTAGCACATGACTATATTACATAAAAGTCAGAGTACAGCATCTTACGTAATTTTACCAAAAAGGAACTTGTACAGACTTTTGTTTTAAACTACATATAAATATTACGTCTTTAGGTAGGCTGTGTTTTGAAAAGCTGGGGGAAAACAGTTCAGTGGTATAGTAAATGTGCAGCATTAGCAATCTGGGAATTAACACATGGAAATTATTCCAAGTGTTAAATTTTTATTCAGATTAGTTATGCTTGTAAACAATTGATTGGAATTTAAGAAAGAAGAGAAGAAAATGGCTACCTAACACCAACAGTTATTGCTCACTGGAAAAGGACATCAAGGATACTTGCAAGCAAAAGAATTGGATCAATACTAACGTGATTTTCATTTCATGCTTCCCCAACTCCAGTAAGCTGACAATATACTCTGATTATGTGAACTGCCTCAGAGTAACAGAGAAAAGGTTATTAGAGCAAGAGGTGGAAATGGAATGCACTTTTTATATTGACAGGCCTGCTAATAGAGTATACTGATTTTCAAAGTCATGCAATTCATTTTTACAATTTGGTTCTGACAGCAAAAACGGAATTTCATTTATTCCTAATTCAAAATATTCATAGGTAAGCAATATTTTTTAGAGCAGACCAACAAACGGGAAATTCATAAACAGTATTTTTAAACAGAGAAATGCAATTAAAAAAGTGCAAGAAAATATTATTGAATTTAAGTGAAGCACTATATAAGTATGAAATGTTAACTTAATAATCTTCTTAATGGAGTCAACGTAGAAAACTGCCTTCTATGCTTTCTAAAGAAAATTTGATAAACCATATTTTAAGAATATACGTGACGGTAAACGCAGACTCTCTCCACATTTTAGACGGGATATTACTCGACAGGATTTTGATTAGCCATGAAGTTAAGATTTTTAATTATTTAAAATGAGATTTCATTATACTAAAAATCGCAGGGCACATTTTACTTGTAAAAAAACGTAATAAAACATATAGAAAACTTGCGTCTTTTTGGAACTCTCTAAATATCATAAAGAGCAGAGATGATGCACTATTCATCTTTGTGACTATATGAGTACATTGCATAGCGTTTGGTCCCTATGATAAAATACACACAGAAAAAGACTAACATGAAATAAATACATGAAAATGATAAAGACAGTTATCTTTATGTGGATGACTTCTTCAAATTTTTTTGGCACTTTTGTTGGTATTTCCTATAATGAGCATATGTTTTTCTGAAAGAAAGCAAGGAAAGGAGGGAGGCAGGGAGGGAGGCACAAAGGAAAGGAACCTGCATCATGTACCAATACGGGTAGATGGCTAGTGAGCAGCAGAATGTGAATTAGAAAGTTTGGCAACTATTAGAATGAAAAAAAAGATTAACTGGACAACTTGAGAGTGGGCTGACAGGGTGGGGAGACTTTCTTGCACAGTAAGTGACATTACCTCAGTGTCTTCTTTTTTTTTTTTTTTTCACATCTAGCATTCCTTGTTTACTAGAGTTTTAACCTTTTTCCATTCCATGTATTTTCAAATAGGAGACAAGTTTATTTTTCCATCTTGCAGATAGCATATGCACTAAGACAATATTCTCAGTTTTTGATCTCAATCCAATCATTTAGTGATTTTGGTATCCCCATGGCACATTTAGTAAATTTATAAACCTGACAATTCCCTAATTGATCACTGATGGAGCAGCAATTTTTGTGAAGGTGGCCTGGGTCATGAAGGTAGGGGAAGGAACCAGCAAGAAGTCAAAGAATTAAGGTGGCATTAATGACAACATGGCCTTCATTTGGGATATGGCATATCCCAAACATATAGGCTTTGATAGGTCATGCAAGTTAGCATTTATATTGTATTTTAATTACATTATGCCAAAAATGAATGGTGGTTTTGCTCTACACAGCATTAACAACCAGAAATCAGATTACTATAGATTAGAATTTTCAATGGAGAATTTATAGTAAGAATTTTAAAAATGTGAGGGAGAAAATCATGTTTGTACAGACAATTTAAGGAAAATAAATGGAGACAATAAATATGGGCTGGTTTTCCATGAGAGGCTTGGTGTCTTCTTTTAAGTATATCACAAAGTCCAATGTGGACAATTCACTTTAAAAGTGTGAGATGATGGAAAATGGGGGTAGGAGATTTTTGAGACAGGCAAACAATTGGCCCAGAGACATGGAAGGAAGAGAAAATTTTAAAAGTCTCTTTAATTATTAAAAAATGAAATACATAAGTGATGGTGCTGATACAGATTATCTAAAAGCACTTTTTAAAACACCAAAACATTTAAAAATGTTTTTCTAAATGGCATAGAATACATATCCTGGGAATGATACTAAGTTCATCTGTTCTGATGTATCTTTACAGACGATAGGCTGTAAGCGCCAACCAAATATTAGCAGGTAAACTTTACAGCAGGGAAATGTTCGGTAATGCCCTCATAGTTAAGGAAATTCCAAATGTATTTACTACAACACACTGTAGAGTAAGAGACTGGTATTTGGGTTGAGTTTTAGCTCTATCTATCACTTATTATTTAGCATGTCCCCTAATTTCTATGGTTTGTCATTTTCCAAATAAAAATTGTTTAACGACAATCCCCTTCACAGCAGGGCCACAACTGTGTTTCAGCCTCATCTTCATACCATTTCCCCACACTATCCTGTGTTCCATCATTTAGTACCATTTTCCATTCCTTGAATACATTATGTTGTATTATGTGCTCCCTTTTTCCACAATGCCACTCTCCCACTCATTGGCTTGGGAAGACTTCCATTCATCCTTTCGACTCCAGCTAAAATATATTTCTTCAGTTAGGCGACCCTCTTTACTGAGCTCCCATAACATTTTTAATATACTTTGATGAAAATATTACAATTGTATATTATAATCACTTGTAAATGTGATTGTGTGTACACTTTACCAAAAATTAGTCTAAAAGAAGCAAGATTCTGAACAATGATCTAAATTAGTTCCATGACAGTCAGAAATGATTTGGAAATACCATCCTTCTAGACCTAGTTTATAGAAAATCCATCCTTCAATGTTGTTACCCAAAGTGATGAATGGTGTGGTTAAAATCTGTTTGTATACCTTAAAATTAATCAGTTATCGGGCTGGGCATGGTAGCTCATGCCTGTAACCCCAGCACTTTGGGAGGCCAAGACGGGTGGATCACCTAAGGTCAAGAGTTCGAGACCAGCCTGGCCAACATGGTGAAACCCTGTCTCTACTAAAAATACAAAAATTAGCTGCGCGTGGTGGCGCATGCCTGTAATCTCAGCTACTCAGGAGGCTGAGGTGGGAGAATCGCTTGAACCTGGGAGGTGGCGGTTGCAGTGAGCCAAGATCGCACCATTGCACTCCAGCCTGGGCAACAAGAGTGAAACTCCGTCTCAAAAACAAAAACAAAAAAAATCAATCAAGTATAAATTAAATAAAAAAATAGCAACTGAGTAATAAGCACAAAGAATTGTATTAATGTGAATGTTCCAAATAGAACTGATAGAAGATCTGATTCTTTTTTTTTCTAAAATGCAAATTCAATTATTTATTTATTTTTTATTATACTTTAAGTTCTAGGATACATGTGCACAACGTGCAGGTTTGTTACATATGTATACATGTGCCATGTTGGTGTGCTGCACCCATTAACTTGCCATTTACATTAGATATATCTTATCCTCAAATGGTTTTTGTTTTATCTAGGAATATGAGACATCTAAAATAAAAATACCTTCTGAAACCTTTATGAAGTGACTTGTCATCAAATGCCAAATATTAAGGCCATTCAAAGGAGTAAGGGTCGTTTATGTCTCCATGCCATGGTAATTTCTGTTATGACCTCTGCCTTTACTCCCCGATAACCTGGCAAATTCATAATCAAGTCTTGAGACAATTCATAAGCCTTTACTTGTACGAAGCCTACTCCAACCAGACTCAGTAAGTCACTGTCTCTCCCTGTGCCCCTTTAGGAACTACTACATCCCTCTATGATAACTGTTTATTTTCTTTATTCCTTTCCACTGGACTAGGGTTATTCAAACTTCGGTACTATTGATATTTCGTGCTGGAATTTTGCTGTTGTCATTGTTGTGGGGAGCTCTCCTGTATGTGGTAGGATATTTTAGGCAGCATTCCTGGTTTCTACCAATTAGATGCCAGCAGTGCACTCCTACCCCTGCCCCTGTTGGGAATCACTACAGTAAACTATGTGCTGTTAGATGGAAGAAACTGATTGTCTCAGTCTCCAAATCCAGCAGGTAGCACGTGCATAGTATGTAGAAGTTATTCAATAACTGCTTTTAAATTAATAAAGTTACACAAGTCCTCTGAGTCTGTTTAAAATCTACAATCTGAACCTTCAACAGAAAACTAAGTGGCCTCTTAGAACATTTATTAATATGAAAATGCTACATAATATCTGTCAAATGTATTTTATAAGAATATTTTGTAACTTAGCCTTTATATAACCCATTGAAATTATTTTAAGAGACTGTAAAAACCATAGGGTGAAGACAAGGCTATGATACTAAAATATGACACTGACACCAAAAAGAGCTGACAGACACTTCCTGCATGTCTTTCTCTCTCTCTTTCTAAAAATTTACATCATTAACTTTCAATAAATTATTTAAACCATAACCAGATTACCTATTTCATTTCAAATAAGGAGATCCAATTAATAATACACCAACTAAAATGGAGTTATCAATGAACAATAATGAAGATGTTTACTAGAGTCTCTACATAATACAACCAATAGGTTATTAGGTTTTACAAAATCAAGTCATCTCTCTCACATGTTGTAAGAACTATAAAGTCTTGAAAAATGAAGTCAGATTACTTGATAGCTTCTTTCTCAACAATTGTATAGCTGTCTTAGTATTTTTCTATTCTCACTGCCTTTCTTATTCTTGATGGCTGAAAATAGCACATTACAGTAGCCATGCATATACCATCAAAACTAATTTAATTCCAGATTCATTACAGAGCTGCTTTTTATTCATCAAGGTCATAACTTGATGGCTTCACAAGCTTAGATAAATCAGGTGTTAAGCAGACACATCTCTGAGGAACATAAGAATGTTCTCATTTGCAGTTCTCAGCATATCTTATTATTTATTGCCAAAGAAATGACTGATTAACTTTGTCATTTTTGCTCCATGTTTTTTTTTTCCTCAGGCTGAAGCAGTCTGCTCTCTTCTACGATGCCTGATCAGACCTATTTAAGATGCTGTCTTTGATCACAGACATGGAGGTGCTTGCAGTCTTAGGTTTTGATGAAACATTGTTCCACTGTAATTTTATGAAAGGGCAACAGAGGCCTAAATAATAATTGACAGTCAACAAAGACAATCAAACTTAAGATTTTGTACCATTCTTCGACAACTACAATATTGACATGCTAGAAATGCACCAGAATTTGACTAGTCTAGGTTTTATTTTAATATATAAACAATATACAAAACCCTCCTTTTTCAATCATTTCCCTATTAGCTCATTTGCTCAAAAGAAAAAGAATTCTGCAGATCAGAAGGTGAGTTTATGAGTTTTAAAATATTTTCCTTATACTGTTCCATTGCTATGGTCCATAAAATTCATGGTAATCAATTAAATTTTCACTTGTATGAGATTTTACTATTAGAAAACACCTAAATAACACATTAAATACACGCAAAATTAGAACACTAACCAGCAGGGAAAAAATTACCTGCCTCTAGGTTTTCATTAATCACATTCCAACACCAGAGGCTGAAAGTATATCAAATCACACAAAATCTTTTGCACATGACAACCTCATAAATTATTCAACTCATTAGTATTACTAAAAAAGCATGAAAAACTCCATCAGTATAAAGGATATTTTCCAACTGAAAAAGGTCAACCAAGTTTTAATAATGAAATTGAAGGGAAAGCTTTTCAAAGTAAATATGAAATAAAATTATTTTCCTTTATTTCCTTGAAATTATATCCAATTCTGATTGTTTGCTCATTTAAAAGAAAGCATTGCCAATATATTATTAATATATTTGAGGCACCAAATAAATTGCCTGAAAATAATGTCATGAAATCCAAATGATGGCTAAATGTTCCTTCCCATCACATGAAAATGCAACTGTAATTTAAAATGTTTAGTTGAATTTAGGATATTAGAAAAAATCAAATGACTCAAGATATTTTTATTAAAACATGAAGTCTGCAAAAT
The DNA here is from genome assembly GCF_000001405.40 of Homo sapiens. Classification (NCBI taxonomy): domain Eukaryota; kingdom Metazoa; phylum Chordata; class Mammalia; order Primates; family Hominidae; genus Homo; species Homo sapiens. The sequence goes on along the minus strand of NC_000013.11, from coordinate 35,437,085 downwards.
CAGTTTCACTTCTATTACACTAATAAAGGCTTATATTCTTGAACTACAGTATACTTACTACATTAATAGATAAGACGAAATCAATGGTTCAAATCCCAGGGATTGCTTTGATGGTCATGTAAAAATTTTCTTTCTAAGTAATTTAAGCTTGTTCTCCCAGTGTAGACAACATGTTGAAAATTCTGAAAACTTTGATAACTAATTCAAATACTTCTAGACATTCTGAAAGTTCCATCTATAAAATGTTCTTTTGTACCTAAAATCTTTTTTGTTGCTACCATGTGGATCAATATAAAATTTTTTGACCAAAGTTTTCAGCAGAAATTCTACACAGTTAGCACTTAACTTTCAAAGCAGATTTTTTTTTTTTTTTTTTTTGAGACGGAGTCTCCCTGTCGCCCAGGCTGGAGTGCATTGGCGCGATCTAGGCTCACTGCAAGCTCCGTCTCCCGGGCTCATGCCATTCTCCTGCCTCAGCCTCCCGAGTAGCTGGGACTACAGGTGCCCGCCACCATGCCTGGCTAATTTTTTGTATTTTTAGTAGAGACAGGGTTTCACCATGTTAGCCAGGATGGTCTTGATCTCCTGACCTCGTGATCCACCCGCCTCAGCCTCCCAAAGTGCTGGGATTACAGGCGTGAGCCACTGCGCCCGGCCTTCACAGTAGAATTTAACAACAGGGAAATTGAAATAGTGTCATTATTTAACACAGAGGAAGAGATCAGTTGAATTTCAATTTATTCTAGTAGTTTAGTCAGAATTTGCAGGTTTGTGCTATCAATATACTCTTAATCTACATCTATACAACTCCAAAACATTAAGTCATTTGGATGTTAGTCTATACAATGCCAGACTTCAAAATACTTAAACACATTTAAATGTTTAACGGCAGATGGAATATTCAGACGTCAGGCTATTTTTTTTTAACTTTTACATGGACGTCCTGGCAATTTGTATATACAAAATCTTTCTTTAAAAATATGAAATCTGTTTTCTTTTTTTTGAGTCCATTCTTTTTTTTTTTGAAACCAGTCTTCCCACAATATTATATTGCTTTTCAGATTTTCCAAAGAAAACTGTGGCGAATAATTTGAAATAGCTTTTTTTCCCCTGTCTTTTAAGTCATTTCCTTGGGTCAAGTTCCTAGATAGGGAATTGTTGGGTCAAAGATTATCAGCATTTTTGAGACTCTTGATGTGCATTGGCAAAATGTTTTGCAAAGGATTTGTTTCCAGCAATCCTCATTTACATTGTTTCAGCAACGTATATGAGATTCTTTTTATTTTTTACTGCAAACCCACTAATACCTAATATTACAAGAAAAAGGTTTCTAAGCTCATTTACAGTGGATAAATGATTTATTCTATACTTTTTTAAATTGCTTTTTCTTTTAATTCAACTTGCAGGGATAAAATTTAAACAATATCTGAAATAATTTCAAACTAACAGAAACATTTCAAATATAGTACAAAACTCCCATTTTTATCCTTATCCAGGTTTTCCCAATATTAACAAACATCTACACGCCCCCCCCACCCCACTCCTGCACATATCCATTATCACTAATCTTTTGAAAACTTTTTGAGAAGTTGCAGGTATGGCACCCTATTACCCCTAACTACTCCGTTGTATTTCTCAAAACAAGAACATTCCTGTCTAAGTACCATCAACCCTCCAACTCTGGAAGTTAGCATTGATAACAATACTGCCATCCAGATCATGGACCCCAGTCAAATTTTACCAACTGCAATCATCTAGAAAAATGTGCTGTAAGGCCGAGCGCAGTGGCTCACGCCTGTAATCCCAGCACTTTGGGAGACCGAGGTGGGTGGATCACCTGAGGTCAGGAGTTCGAGACCAGCCTGGCCAACACAGTGAAACCCTGTCTCTACTAAAAATTCAAAAGAGTTAGCCGGGTGTGGTGGCAGGCGCCTGTAATCCCAGCAGAAGAATCGCTTGAACCCAGGAGGTGAAGGTTGAAGTGAGCTGAGATCGCGCCATTGCACTCCAGCCTGGGCAACAAGAGTGAAATTCCGTCACAACAAACAAACAAACAAAAACAAACAAACAAATGTGCTGTAATAATCTATCTTATCTTTTTTGGTCTTCTCCAGTTTGGAATATTTTCTCAGTCTTTCCTTATCTTTTGGGTCCTTGGCAGTACAAAATCTGTTTTGAATTAAGTTTTTCAACATTTACTGGATTAAGTGCTTTGTAATAATTATTGACATGTACTTCCTATTTCTTCTGAAGAGATATTTTCTATATAGGTTAGAGTGCACATTAAGAGGTAGGAAGAAGGCACAATACTAAATTTCTCTCGTCAATTTGTGATTCTTCCCTCTACTTCTACGTATAGATCACTCCAGGGAGAGCTTCCCACTCACCTTCTCTACATCCTCTGTATTTACTCCCAACTCTCCACTCAGTCCTAAAGTCCATAGACTTGTGAACTGTGAGGAAGGTTAGAGGATAATTGTTTTTGGAGATAAAATTGTTTTAGTTCTCTTTAGTCTTCCACTCCCTGACCTTAGAATGACCATGGAGTAACTCCAATAGTACCATGTCGATTCCCTGAATATTTTACTGTGTAGATGTGTCATCTTTGTTCTTAATAGGTATAATAAAAACATACTCCTCTTTTCTTTTATAACAGAACACAACTCAAGAGGGATAGATAATGGGTTCTGAACGTTGCTTATGATCCAGATTGAAAATTCATAAATACTGTATTTTAAAATATAGTACATATAAAGAATATTTAGTATCACACCTCTTACCTATTTCAAAATTACGGTATTATTTTTTACTTTAGGTTCATTAACAATAGTTACTATTTTATTAAAATATGACTATCAGTTTGAAAAAGATTTTATTCAAAGATTTTAAATTTTGTTTCTTATAGGCTTTGACACTGGTTTATTAGAAATTATTTTACAAATTAAACACACAAAGTATTCACTTTTAAGAAGAAATACAAACATTTTTCTAAAAAAAGCCTTGCTTAAAAGTAATCTGTAGATTGTGGAATGTAATATAATATGAATTCTGTACAATTAAAGCTTTGGCAACTCAGTATTACTAATGATATCACTGTAGTATAAACTCTGTTACAAATTGTCTTTATATGTTTCCACTTTCAAATGAGATAAATTCAGGATTAATTGGTGAAAAAGTCTAAATTATTGGTTAAATGAAATGAAGGTTTAATAATTTTAAGATCATATTATAAAGCATGCCACTACTAGGTAGGCAGATATTTCTAAGATTCTCTCCTACAAGATCATAATGATAACTCATTTTGAGTTGGTATCAAATCCTTAGAGGGCTATTATCCTTAGGTGCTATTTTTAGTTATTCAAAGAAGACAAACTATAATTTTTTTCCAGCATATTTTTTCCATAGTTACTTTTACTATATAAAGTTACTGTATAACTTTTATCTTAGGTATAACAGTTTCATATGAAATCCTTATCTATTTTTAATGATATTTTGATGCTTATTAAGTTATAGCAATTCATAGCTTACTGGGAAAAGAAATTTTAAAAGCTTTACACATTTTGTCTTTTTATTACTTCCCTGTTCAATTCATTAAGAACATGAATGGTTTTACATGACATAAACTATGATTTGATATAATACTATTTATCAACTGTTTTTAAATTTTAAAAACAGATGGCTCACTTAGTACTCCCAAATAAAAGAAAATTAATATAATAAAATACAAGTAATTGAAGAACAAAAGTGGATAACAAACACATGGACAGTGTTCATTACTGGTATTTCCTTAGTGAATGTGGTTTGTAAAATTCTGATATACCCCATCACACTTTAACTTGTTACAGCATTTAAAAATGGGCAAGTAGACCAAATGTTCCTAAGATACTTCTTAGCAGAAAACAATCTAAAGTAGCAGCATTTTTATTAAACTACAAAAATATTTTGGTATTTGTGATTGTACAGTTTATAAAGAACAATTTAGGGTATAGTTCTACTGTAGTGTGATAATTAATGATACTGTAAGTAGGAGACCATCTTTTTCAAACTTCATTTGTAGTGCATTGGAGGACTGGAAATTTAAATTGGCAGCTTATAACAAGATTTTAAATTCTATTTTATTAAGCTGAAAGGAATAGGTGGGATTAAAACAAAATATCATATAAAGAGGTTATAAATAAAACTTTTTTAATATATACAATATGTATATGCATACATAAACATATACTCACAGTATACATATGTATATATATTACATGTGTATATGTATATTAATGCAGTATATATAAGTATGTACACAGAAACAAATTTATACATAAAATATCTAAGTCTGAGTACAGGATCACAGTATTTACTATGGGTCTTGGTCATCAAAGTTTGAAAGACACCGAGAAAGAAATTGATTTTATTCTTGTGTTAGGATATATGAAAGGACTGTTAGTTAATAACTAACTATGTGAAGTCCATTTAGCTCTTAAAAATAAGTTGAAGGCTACAAAAATATATCTAATCTGAGAAATATTGGGTTGATTAACAGTAACCTAAATGATGCTGAAGGATAAAGCAGAACAAAATATTTCTGACTCAAGACATGGAGAACATTAAATACTAGCGAAAAAAAAAGAAGGAATTCTCAAACACAAGGAGTCACCTCACATCCAGAAGTATTTTTGTGGAAGAAGCATTGGTACTAACCATATTCTATTGCAGCTTTCAGCAATGCTTCAGCATGAGTGGAGCCAAATGCATTGCGAACAAATCGTCTCCTTCGACGAAGATCATCTTCCCAGTAATCCAAACGCCAGAAATCATGCAATTGGCTAAGAGTAGAGGGAAAAAAAGTAATCCCTATTAATAACAATGCATAGCTGGAAATACATTTTTCTATAAAATTGAAGTTATTTTGTTGGTCTCATTGAAAAATTAAGATAATTTTGGAGATACTTATATTTTACACTTGTATTTGTGTATATATATACATATATATATATATTTCCTCTACAAGTGAAAAAGACTTAAAATAATAACATTCTCATATTTCAGGTATTATACCACTCAGCTCTGCTTTTTATTTTTTAAAACTTTCTTCTTTCTACTAAAAGCATTAATCATGTGGAGTTTAGTAACAAAGGCAACATCAAATTACACCGTAGTAATGGTACAGTTTGCTTTCTTTTACACTGTTTTTAACAAGGGTTGTAAATCACGGAATAGACCTCACTACAAATAGTTTACAATTTAATGACCATGGTTTCTTAGTAGGCTGAATTAAGAAGTATAAAATATTGCCCACTTGGATTTGGTGGAAAAATGATTAAAATAATGTGCTGAAATATTCATTGAAATAATTCCCCGCTGCCCACAGCAACCTGAGAAAAATGCAATTTTATCCATTATTAATAATACTGAATTAGAGCTGCAAAAATTTCCAGTATGTGGTAATTGTCTTGGTAAATTGTTACTCTAATGCTAATAGAGTTCTTGGATGATTCTACAGCTTTCAACTAATATAAACCATTAATAGCCACGGCCAACATTGGCCATCACTGTCTTTTATACTCTAAACCAATACTAAAAATCCAAGAGATATTTCAGAAATGATGGAAATAGCCCATTATATAGCCAATGAAACATTTCATCATATAATTTTTGTTTTCAATTTATTTTCAATAAACATTAGTAATAAATACCACTGCTTAAGACGTCAATTTTTCTGCATCTAGTAGTGGAGTAATACACTCGAAAGATAATATTCTAATTTTCCAGAGCAGCACTATTCATAAAAACATATAAAATACTTTCCTAGAAGATTTCATTTCATTATTTTGATATTTTACTGTAGAAGAACACTTTAAGTCTGATTAAGGCAGGACCTATGTATGTTTTGCTCATCATTATATTTCTAGCACAATGTCTCGCCCACAGTATGTTTTTACTAAATATTCATTGTATTAATGAAAACGTTTTTTTAATTTCAAAAAAAAGCTATGGATTTTTTCAATGTATGGCCATTGAGAAAAATAATTTCATTTTGAAAAGCATTTTAGATTTTATGGCTATATAATTTTGTTATCTATAACTTCATTATAAAAACCCAATAGTATAAAGGGCATATAAAAAGAACTAAAATTGTAAGTCTTTGAAGTATGCTTTAATGCACTTATTTTTCCTGTACATCATAATTACAACTTAATTCTTCTGTTAAATAATGATTACTTGATGAATAATAGTAATAAATAGTATACCTCCCTAATTTAAAATAGGATGATTTCTGTCCTTACAAATACAAACTAATCCCAGTAATTTAAGGAAGACCATGCTAAAATCATGCTATATTGATTTTCATTAAGATTATGTTAAAATTAAGTCAAAATTCACCAAAAGTGGTCAGAGAGCTAATGTTATCTAAAATTTCTAACCATAGACATACTCTTCCCTATTCTTCTGTAAGGGCAGCTGAACAGTTCTGGAAAGAGTATGTAAAACAAACATAAGAAGACTCTGAAGACCTGAAACCCCATACAAATTCTAGAAGATAACACTGGAAAAACTCTTCTAGACATTGGCTTAGGCAAAGACTTCATGACCAAGAACCCAGAAGTAAGTGCAACAAAAAGAAGGATAAATAGATGGGACTTAATTAAACTAAAAAGCTTCCTTTTGCACAGCAAAAGAAATAATCAGTAGAGTAAACAGACAACCCATAAAATGGGAGAAAATTTTCATAATCTATACATTGGGCAACAGGAATCCAGACAAATCAGCAAGAACAAAACAACCAATCCCATCGAAAAGTGGGCTAAGGACATGAATAGACAATTTTCAAAATAAGATTGACAAATGGCCAACAAACCTATGAAAGAATGCTCAATATCATTAATTATCAGAGAAATGCAAATTAAAACCACAATGCAATACCACCACGCTCCTCCAAGAATGAACATAATCAAAAAATTCAAAAAAAAAATGTTGGTGTGGATGTGGTGAGAATGTAAACATTTTACACTGTTGGTGGGAATGTAAAGTGGTATACCCACAATGAAAAACAGTGTGGAGATTCCTTCAAGAACTAAAAGTAGAGCTACCATTTGATCCAGCAATGCCACTCCTGGGTATCTACTCAGAGGAAAAGAAGTCATTATACAAAAAAGAAACTTGCACATGCATGTTTATAGCAGCACAATTTGCAATTGCAAAAATACAAAACCAGCCCAAATACCCATCAATCAGTGAGTGGATAAAGAAAATGTGTGTACACACACACACACACACACACACACACACACACGTTGGGGACTCAGGGGAAAGGGTGGGAGGTGGGTGAGAAATAAAAGACTACACATTGGGTATAGGGTACACTGCTCAGGTGATGGGTGCACCAAAATCTCAGAAGTCACCACTTAAATAACTTATTCACATAACCAAATACTGCCTGTTCCCCAGAAACCTATTAAAATAGATTTTAAAAAAGAGAAGACTCTGAAAGGTGAGAAAAGGCAGACTGGCTAAGGACCCCAGGACCTAAGGAACAACATATTGATGAGTTGTTTTTGTTTCATATATCCCACACTTGGAGGCAAAGAGGCCAACAGCCCAGATAGACCAATGAGTACAAACAAACAAACAAAAAGCCCCAGCAAAAGCCTGCTCCCTCTAGTCAAAAGATCAAAAAAAAACAGCAGTTTAGCAAGATAGAAAACTTTCAGACAACTGCTATACTCCAGCCAAACATCACAGAAAAATTGTGTCCCCACCTGACCTACACCAGCAAAGGATGGGTGTGAAACCCAGACATGTACCCTCATGAAGGTGTAATGAGACACCCAACACCCTTGCTGGGTGGTATCAGAGAACACCAAGTCGACAGCCAGGACTTCATCTCTGCTGGCTGGTAACAAGGTGCCCCACTCACATGGAGTCAGTGGAGACCATGTGGAGAGGTTGGATTTCCACCTCCCATTGGACAGTAATGGGGCATCCCTCCCCCTCCCCACTGGGGAAGTGTCAGAGTAAGCCTACTGCAGAGTCAGGACTTTCACTGCTGACAAACAGCAATGAGGCCAGCCCACCAGTGGACATCACATGGGGACAGGGAACTCCCACCCCCATCAAGCAGTAAAGAAGAGCCTCCGACTCACTGGGTTTCAATGGAGGCCAAGTGAAGAACTTAGATTTCTACCACCATCTAGCAGATATAAGGCAGTGTCCCCACTTCCAGATGAAGCAATGTTACAGGAAGTCTAAATAGAAGGTTTAAATAAAATAAATTATCTCAGAAAAAAATAAGAAAAGGTCCAGGTTTCAATCTAAAATCACTTGTCATATCAAGAACCTGGAAAATATCCAAGGGAATGTAAAAAGATCACCCTAAAATGCCAACATCGAAATGGCAGAGAATTTAAAAGAGCCATGATTGAAAATATACTTCAATAAGCAATTATGAAAATGCTTGAAATGAATGAAAAAAATACACTTAGCAAAGAAATAGAAACTCTCAGAAAAGAAACAGAAGATGTAAAGAAGAACCAAACAGAAGTTTTTGAACTGACAAATATAATAACCAAAATAAAAGCTCAGTAGTTGTGCTCAACAGCAGAACAGAAGGAACAGAGGGAGGAATCACTTAATTGGAAGACAGGATAATAGAAATTATGCAAACTGAATAACAGAAGGAAATAGAGGAAAAAGTGAACAGAGCCTTAGGGATCTGTGGAGCACAACATTTAGCATTTGTGTCACTGGAATCCTAGAAGGAGAGGAGAAAGTCGGCAGAGCTGAAACAATGTCCAAAAAAATAATGGCGGGTGGGGGAGGAGCCAAGATGGCCGAATAGGAACAGCTCCGGTCTACAGCTCCCAGCGTGAGCAACGCAGAAGATGGGTGATTTCTGCATTTCAAACTGAGGTACCGGCTTCATCTCACTGGGGTGTGCCAGACAGTGGGTGCAGGACAGTGGGTGCAGCGGATCGTGTGCGAGCCAAAGCAGGGCGAGGCATTGCCTCACCTGGGAAGTGCAAGGGGTCAGGGAATTCCCTTTCCTAGTCAAAGAAATGGGTGACAGATGGCACCTGGAAAATCAGGTCACTCCCACCCTAATACTGCGCTTTCCCAATGGGCTTGAAAAACGGCACACGAGGAGATTATATCCCGCACATGGCTCAGAGGGTCCTACGCCCATAGAGTCTCGCTCATTGCTAGCACAGCAGTCTGAGATCAAATTGCAAGGTGGCAGTGAGACTGGGGAAGGGGCGCCCGCCATTGCTGAGAATTGATTAGGTAAACAAAGCAGCGGGGAAGCTCAAACTGGGTGGAGCCCACCACAGCTCAAGGAGGCCTGCCTGCCTCTGTAGGCTCCACTTCTGCAGGCAGGGCACAGACAAACAAAAAGACAGCAGTAACCTCTGCAGACTTAAATGTCCCTGTCTGACAGCTTTGAAGAGAGTAGTGGTTCTCCCAGCACACAGATTGAGATCTGAGAACGGGCAGACTGCCTCCTCAAGTGGGTCCCTGACCCCCGAGTAGCCTAACTGGGAGGCACCCCCCAGTAGGGGCGGACTGACACCTCACACGGCCGGGTACTCCTCTGAGACAAAACTTCCAGAGGAACGATTCGGCAGCAGCATTTGCAGTTCACCAATATCTGCTGTTCTGCAGCCACCGCTGCTGATACCCAGGCAAACAGGGTCTGGGGTGGACCTCTAGCAAACTCCAACAGACCTGCAGCTGAGGGTCCTGTCTGTTAGAAGGAAAACTAACAAACAGGAAGGACATCCACACCAAAAACCCATCTGTACGTCACCATCATCAAAGACCAAAGGTAGATAAAACCACAAAGATGGGGAAAAAACAGAGCAGAAAAACTGGAAACTCTAAAAATCAGAGTGCCTCTCCTCCTCCAAAGGAACGCAGCTCCTCACCAGCAACGGAACAAAGCTGGATGGAGAATGACTTTGACGAGTTGAGAGAAGAAGGCTTCAGATGATCAAACTACTCTGAGCTACAGGAGGAAGTTCTAACCAATAGCAAAGAAGTTAAAGACTTTGAAAAAAAATTAGATGAATGGCTAACTAGAATAACCAATGCAGAGAAGTCCTTAAAGGACCTGATGGAGCTGAAAACCATGGCACAAGAACTACGTGACGAATGCAGAAGCCTCAGTAGCCGATGCGATCAACTGGAAGAAAGCGATGGAAGATAAAATGAATGAAATGAAGCGAGAAGTTTAGAGAAAAAAGAATAAAAAGAAACGAACAAAGCCTCCAAGAAATATGGGACTATGTGAAAAGACCAAATCTATGTCTGATTGGTGTACCTGAAAGTGATGGGGAGAATGGAACCAAGTTGGAAAACACTCTGCAGGATATTATCCAGGAGAACTTCCCCAACCTAGCAAGGCAGGCCAACATTCAAATTCAGGAAATACAGAGACCGCCACAAAGATACTCCTCGAGAAGAGCAACTCCAAGACACATAATTGTCAGATTCACCAAAGTTGAAATGAAGGAAAAAACGTTAAGGGCAGCCAGAGAGAAAGGTCGGGTTACCCACAAAGGGAAGCCCATCAGACTAACAGCTGATCTCTTGGCAGAAACTCTACAAGCCAGAAGAGAGTGGGGGCCAATTCAACATTCTTAAAGAAAAGAATTTTCAACCCAGAATTTCATATCCAGCCAAACTAAGCTTCATAAGTGAAGGAGAAATAAAAAACTTTACAAACAAGCAAATGCTGAGAGATTTTGTCACTACCAGGCCTGCCCTAAAAGAGCTCCTGAAGGAAGCACTAAACATGGAAAGGAACAACCGGCAGCAGCCACTGCAAAAACATGCCAAATTGTAACGAACATCGAGGCTAGGAAGAAACTGCATCAACTAACGAGCAAAATAGCCAGCTGACATCATAATGACAGGATCAAATTCACACATAACGATATTAACTTTGAATGTAAATGGGCTAAATGCTCCAATTAAAAGAAACAGACTGGCAAATTGGATAAAGAGTCAAGACCCATCAGTGTGCTGTATTCAGAAAACCCATCTCATGTGCAGAGACACACATAGGCTCAAAATAAAGGGATGGAGAAAGATCTACCAAGCAAATGGAAAACAGAAAAAGCCAGGGGTTGCAATCCTGGTCTCTGATAAAACAGACTTTAAACCAACAAAGATCAAAAGAGACAAAGAAGGCCATTACATAATGGTAAAGGGATCAATTCAACAAGAAGAGCTAACTATCCTAAATATATATGCACCCAATACAGGAGCACCCAGATTCATAAAGCAAGTCCTTAGTGACCTACAAAGAGACTCAGACTCCCACACAATAATAATGGGAGACTTTCACACCCCACTGTCAACATTAGACAGATCAATGAGACAGAAAGTTAACAAGGATGCCCAGGAATTGAACTCAGCTCTGCATCAAGAGGACCTAATAGACATCTACAGAACTGTCCACCCCAAATCAACGGAATATACATTCTTTTCAGCACCACACCACACCTATTCCAAAATTGATCACATAGTTGGAAGTAAAGCACTCCTCAGCAAATGTAAAAGAACAGAAATTATAACAAACTGTCTCTCAGACCGCAGTGCAATCAAACTAGAACTCAGGATTAAGAAACTCACTCAAAACCGCTCAACTACATGGAAACTGAACAACCTGCTCCTGAATGACTACTGGGTACATAACAAAATGAAGGCAGAAATAAAGATGTTCTTTGAAACCAATGAGAACAAAGACACAACATAGCAGAATCTCTGGGACACATTCAAAGCAGTGTGTAGAGGGAAATTTATAGCACTAAATGCCCACAAGAGAAAGCAGGAAAGATTTAAAATTGACACCCTAACATCACAATTAAAAGAACTAGAGAAGCAAGAGCAAACACATTCAAAAGCTAGCAGAAGGAAGAAATAACTAAGATTAGAGCAGAACTGAAGGAAATAGAGACACAAAAAACCCTTCAAAAAATTAATGAATCCAGGAGCTGGTTTTCTGAAAAGATCAACAAAATTGATAGACTGCTAGCAAGACTAATAAAGAAGAAAATAGAGAAGAATCAAATAGATGCAATAAAAAATGATAAAGGGTATATCACCACCGATCCCACAGAATACAAACTACCATCAGAGAATACTATAAACACCTCTATGCAAATAAACTAGAAAATCTAGAAAATGGATAAATTCCTCGACACATACATCCTCCCAAGACTAAAACAGGAAGAAGTTGAATCTCTGAATAGACCTACAACAGGCTCTGAAATTGAGGCAATAATCAATAGCTTACCAACGAAAAAAAAGTCCAGGACCAGATGGATTCACAGCCGAATTCTACCAGAGGTACAAGGAGGAGCTGGTACCATTCCTTCTGAAACTATTCCAATCAATAGAAAAAGAGGGAATCCTCCCTAACTCATTTTATGAGGCCAGCATCATCCTGATACCAAAGCCTGGCAGAGACCCAACTGAAAAAGAGAATTTTAGACCAATATCCTTGATGAACATTGATGCAAAAATCCTCAATAAAATACTGGCAAACCGAATCCAGCAGCACATCAATAAGCTTATCCCCCATGATCAAGTGCGCTTCATCCCTGGGATAGAAGGCTGGTTCAACATACGCAAATCAATAAATGTAATCCAGCATATAAACAGAACCAAAGACAAAAACCAAATGATTATCTCAATAGATGAAGAAAAGGCCTTTGACAAAATTCAATAACCTTCATGCTAAAAACTCTCAATAAATTAGGTATTGATGGGACGTATCTCAAAATAATAAGAGCTATCTAAGACAAACCCACAGCCAATATCATACTGAATGGGCAAAAACTGGAAGCATTCCCTTTGAAAACTGGCACAAGACAGGGATGCCCTCTCTCACCACTCCTATTCAACAATGTGTTGGAAGTTCTGGCCAGGGCAATCAGGCAGGAGAAGGAAATAAAGGTATCCGATTAGGAAAAGAGGAAGTCAAATTGTCCCTGTTTGTAGATGACATGATTGTATATCTAGAAAACCCCATGGTCTCAGCCCAAAATCTCCTTAAGCTGATAAGCAACTTCAGCAAAGTCTCAGGATACAAAATCAATCTGCAGAAATCACAAGCATTCTTACACACCAATAACAGACAAACAGAGAGCCAAATCATGAGTGAACTCGCATTCACAATTGCTTCAAAGAGAATAAAATACCTAGGAATCCAACTTACAACGGATATGAAGGACCTCTTCAAGGAGAACTACAAACCACTGCTCAATGAAATAAAAGAGGATACAAACAAATGGAAGAACATTCCATGCTCATGGGTAGGAAGAACCAATATCGTGAAAATGGCCATACTGCCCAAGGTAATTTATAGATTCAATGCCATCCCCATCAAGCTACCAATAACTTTTTTCACAGAATTGGAAAAAACTACTTTAAAGTTCATATGGAACCAAAAAAGAGCCCACATCGCCAAGTCAATCCTAAGCCAAAAGAACAAAGCTGGAGGCATCACGCTACCTGACTTCAAACTATACTACAAGGCTACAGTAAACAAAACAGCATGGTACTGGTACCAAAACAGAGATATAGAACAATGGAACAGAACAGAGCCCTCAGAAATAATGACGCATATCTACAACTATCTGATCTTTGACAAATCTGACAAAAACAAGAAATGGGGAAAGGATTCCCTATTTAATAAATGGTGCTGGGAAAACTGGCTAACCATATGTAGAAAGCTGAAACTGGATCCCTTCCTTACACCTTATACAAAAATTAATTCAAGATGGATTAAAGACTTAAATGTTAGACCTAAAACCATAAAATCCCTAAAAGAAAACCTAGGCAATACCATTCAGGAACATAGGCATGGGCAAGGAATTCATGTCTAAAACATCAAAAGCAATGGCAACAAAAGCCAAAATTGACAAATGGGATCTAATTAAACTAAAGAGCTTCTGCACAGCACAAGAAACTACCATCAGAGTGAACAGACAACCTACAGAATGGGAGAAAATTTTTGCAACCTACTCATCTGACAAAGGGCTAATATCCAGAATCTACAAAGAACTTAAACAAATTTACAAGAAAAAAACAAACAACCCCATCAACAAATGGGCGAAGGATATGAACAGACACTTCTCAAAAGAAGACATTTATGCAGCCAAAAGACACATGAAAAAATGCTCATCATCACTGGCCATCAGAGAAATGCAAATCAAAACCACAATGAGATACCATTTCACACCAGTTAGAATGGCGATCATTAAAAAGTCAGGAAACAACAGATGCTGGAGAGGATGTGGAGAAATAGGAACACTTTTACACGTTGGTGGGACTGTAAACTAGTTCAACCATTGTGGAAGACAGTGTGGCGATTCCTCAGGTATCTAGAACTAGAAATACCATTTGACCCAGCCACCCCATTACTGGGTATATACCCAAAGGACTATAAATCATGCTGCTATAAAGACACATGCACACATATGTTAATTGTGGCACTATTCACAATAGCAAAGACTTGGAACCAACCCAAATGTCCAACAACGATAGACTGGATTAAGAAAATGTGGCACATATACACCATGGAATACTATGCAGCCATAAAAAAGGATGAGTTCATGTCCTTTGTAGGGACATGGATGAAACTGGAAACCATCATTCGCAGCAGACTATCGCAAGGACAAAAAACCAAACACCGCATGTTCTCACTCATAGGTGGGAACTGAACAATGAGAACACATGGACACAGGAAGGGGAACATCACACACTGGGGACTGTTGTGGGGTGGGGGGAGGGGGGAAGGATAGCATTAGGAGGTATACCTGATGCTAAATGACGAGTTAATGGGTGCAGCATACCAACATGGCACGTGTATACATATGTAACAAACCTGCACGTTGTGCACATGTACCCTAAAACTGAAAGTATAATAATAATAAAATTAAAAAAAAAAGATGCTCTGCATGTGAAAGAACGAAGAATCTAAAAAAAAAAAAAAACAAACAAACAAAAAAATGGCGGAAAACTTTCTAAATTTGGCAAAAACATAAATGTACAGATTTAAGTAGCTTACTGAACTCTAAACATGATAAATCCATGGAAGTCCATGCTAAGACACATCATAATTAAATTTCTGAAAACTGAGGGCAAAGAAAGTCTAAAGAGCAGCCAGAGAAAAGTGGCATCTCATCTGCAGAAGTAAAACAGAATGACAATATATTTTACATCAGAAACAATGATGACCAGAGAAAGTGGCAAAATATTTTTTAGGTGCTAAAAGAGAAGAACCGTCAACCCCAAATCCTATAGCCAGTGATGAGACCTCCAGAAATAACAAGTGAAGACATCTTTAGATGAAGTAAAAAACAGAATATTTATTGCCATCAGAGCTAGTCTAAAAGAAAGGCTATAGGCAGTCCTGTAAACATGAGAGAAGTAATAGAAGAAACACTGAAACATTAGGAAGAAAGAACACAATAAGCAAAACATGACTATCTATAATAGGCTTTCCTTTTCCTCCTGAGTTTTCTAAATTATGTTTTACTGTTGAAACAAAAATTGTAACACTGATGTGGTTCTAAGTATATTTACTGGTAATATTTAAGATAACTATATTATAAATGGGGGAAGGCAAAGGGATGTGAAAGGACATAGTGTCTATATTTCACATGGACTGACAGAATGTTAGCACCAGTAGACTGATAAGGCTATGCACAAAAAATGTAATACTTAGAGCAAACACTAAAAAAGCTACACAAAGGGATATACTAAGAAACATAGATAAATCAAAACAGAATTCTAAAAAATGACCAAGTCACCCACAGGAAGGCAGAAAAAATAAATAACCCTTGATTTAAAAAAGAATTCTCGAGGGAAAACCAAAAGAATACAGAACTGAATGAAAATCACAATAAAAAATATCAACACTTGTTGGACACAAGTAAAGTAGAACTGAGAGGGTAATCTATAGTACTAAATGCATATATTAGAAAAGAAGAAACATTTAAAATCAGTAACCTAAATTCTCACCTTAAGAACACATAAAAGGCAAGTAGAAGAAAGGAAACAATAAAAAAGCAGAAATCAATAAAAATCAGTGAAACTGAAAACAGAAAAACAACAGAGAAAAATTAACAAAAACAAAGAGCTGTTTCTTTGAAAAAAATCAATAACACTGACACACCTCTAAAAAGACTGACAAAGTAAAAAAGAGTAGACACAAATTACCAATATCAGGAATGAAAAAGGGGATATCACTAGTGACTCTGAAGACATCAAAAGAAGGAGTGGATACTGTGAAAGACTCTACACACATAAATTTGGCAGCTTAGAAGAAATGGACCAAAAAACATGAATGACCACAACTCACCCAATGTGAAAAAGATAATATGAACAACTCTGTAACAATTAAAGAAATTTAAGATGTTTACTCCTCTTTCCCCAAATCTCCAGGCCTAGATAGTTTCACTGAAGAATTTTATTAAACATTTAAAGAAGAATTAACTCCAATTATACATAATCTCTTCCAGAAAACAGAATAGGAAGAAATATTTCTCAATAATTATTATAGCTAACATCACCCTGATACAAAAACCAAAAACAGTACAAAAAAAGAAAACTACAGACCAATATCCATCCTTTATATAGACAAAAAAATCCTTAAGAATCAATGTAGTGCATTACATTAACAGCTGAAGAAGAAAAATCACATGATCATATTAGTCATTATAAAAGATATTTGACAAAATTTAGCAACGATTCACAATTTTAGAAAAGTTCAGGAAAACAGGAATAAAAGGCAATTTCTTCAACTCGATAAAAGTGTCTACAAAAAACTTTAGCTAACTTTATACTTAAGAGTGAAAGACTGAATGTTCTCCACCTAAAACTGGGAATAAGGCAAAGATGTCTGCTGTTACCACTCTTACTCAACAGAGTACTGAAATTTCTAGCCAATGCAGTAAGGCAAAAGAGAGGAAATAAGAGGAATATAAATAGAAAAAGAGGAAATAAAATTGTCCCTATATGCAGATAACATGACTGTCTATGTAAAAAATCATGCAAAATCTGTCAAACACTCCTAGAACTAAGGACTGAGTTAAGCAAGGTCACGAGATGCAAGATAGACACACAAATAATAATTGTATTTCTATATACTAGCAGTGAATATGTGGACACAAAAAATTATAATCACTAAATGGAAAGATAATGGGCTATACCCTACTATACTGTGGGACCTGATGGAGGAGTTCTATTACTTTTTTAGACTGCACCTCAGGTTATTCTGGGTTTTGGTCCTTCTGATATCTATCTCAGAGCTTTGTGTTGTTCCTTGGCACTTCTGTGCTCTTCTTTTCATGTTTTTCGGGGGGTGGGGGTAGATATTAACCCAACATTCACATTATTTAAAAATGTGGCACTCATCATTAACCAATGGATGAGTTTTACAGATTCACAAAACTCCTGAAATGGTCTACAAAATTTTATGGTATATGTACATACGTATTTTTGAGGGAGAAGTCTAGAGTTTTATTACATTTTTCCAAAAGCAGTTTCTAATAAAGAAATGTTCAGAAACACTGTCATTAGTATGGTTTCTGTCCAAAATTCATATGTTGAAATCCTTACCTCCAAGGTGATGGTATGATGTGCTGGGGCTTTTGGGAAAGTAATTAGGTCATGAAAGAAAAGCGCTTGTGAATGGGATTAGTGCCCTTATAAAATAGGCTCAAGGGAGCCTGTTCGTCACTTCCATCATGTGAGGACACAGGGAGAAGGCACTGTTCTATGAACCAGGAGGTGGGGCCCTCACGAAACACCAAATCTACTGGTATTTTGATCCTGGACTTCTCACTTCTAGAACTGCAAGAAATAAATTTCTGTTGTTCATAAGCTACCTAGTTTATGGAACAGGTTAAGCATCTCTAATCTGAAAATCCAAAATGTTCCAAAACCCAAAACTTTTTGAGTGCTGACATGATGCCATAAGTGGAAAATTCCACATATAAGTACTTAACACAAACCATGTTTCATGTACAAAATTATTAAAAATATTGTATAAAATCTTCAGGCTATGTGTATAAGGTATATATATGAAACATAGACAATTGTTTTTAAACTTGGGTCCCATCCCCAAGATATCTCATTATGTACATGCAAATATTCCAAAATCTGAAAAAAATCCTAAATTCAAAACACTCTGGCCCCAAGCGTTTCATATAAGGAATACTTAGCCTGTAATTTGTTATAGCAGCCTCAACGAACTAAAACATAGAGTATACAAATAATACTCTCCTTATATTCTCATTTTTCTGATAATATTGTTTACCACCAAGTCATGAATCATGAGACGTTTTTCTACTGTAGAATAATATGTTCAAAAAAGGCTTATGTTCCAACACCATTATATTTGGCATCTGTGCCAGGTTACCAATCTAGGATATCATCATCTGTTTTCTGTTCAAACTCCTTCTTGTCTATTTCTTTCCATCCTTCTTTCTATGGTTCTCATTCAAAAATATATTTACTGAGCATCTATTTTGTGTTAGGCAATATTCTCAGTGCTGAGCATATATTCTTGTGGTAAAACAACATCATGCATTTCCTTTCCTTTCATTCTCATATGTTCTTCACTCTGTTTTCCTACTGAAATTCATCACTATACAAGCACATAGTTTCTTCTGTTTATTTAGCTAAACTCCTCCTGCATCACTCCTTCTATTTAGTATTTCAACATAATAAGTTATTCTTCTGCCATTTTCTTCTGCAAATGAGTCACTATAGAAAAAACAATAGAAAATACTCTAATAATAATGTCTTTAAGAGTAACACATAACAATATTAACTTTAAATGTAAATGGGCTAAATGTTCCAATTAAAAGACACAGACTGGCAAACTGGATAAACAGTCAAGACCCATCAGTGTGCTGTATTCAGGAGACACATCTCACATGCAGACACACACATAGGCTCAAAATAAAGGGATGGAGAAAGATCTACCAAGCAAATGGAAAACAAAACAAAGCAGGGGTTGCAATCCTAGTCTCTGATAAAACAGACTTTAAACCAACAAAGATCAAAAGAGACAAAGAAGGTCATTACATAATGGTAAAGGGATCAATTCAACAAGAAGAGCTAACTATCCTAAATATATATGCACTGCATCCAAAAGAGGAGCACCCAGGTTCATAAAGCAAGTCCTTAGAGACCTACAAAGAGACTTAAAATCCCACACAATAATAATGGGAGATTTTAACACCCCACTGTCAACATTAGACAGATCAACGCGACAGAAAGTTAACAAGGATATCCAGGAATTGAACTCAGCTCTGCACCAAGAGGACCTAATAGACATCTACAGAACCTCCACCCCACATCAACAGAATATGCATTCTTCTCAGCACCACATCACACCTATTCCAAAATTGATCACATAGTTGGAAGTAAAGCACTCCTCAGCAAATGTAAAAGAACAGAAATTAAAACAAACTATCTCTCAGACCACAGTGCAATCAAACTAGAACTCAGGAGTAAAGAAACTCACTCAAAACCACTCAACTACACGAAACTGAACAACCTGCTCCTGAATGACTACTGGGTACATAACAAAATGAAGGCAGAAACAAAGATGTTCTTTGAAACCAATGAGAACAAAGACACAACATAGCAGAATCTCGGGGACACATTTAAAGCGGTGTGTAGAGGGAAATTTATAGCACCAAATGCCCACAAGAGAAAGCAGGAAAGATCTAAAATTGACACCCTAACAACACAATTAAAAGAACTAGAGAAGCAAGAGCAAACACATTCAAAAGCTAGCAGAAGGAAGAAATAACTAAGATCAGAGCAGAACTGAAGGAAATAGAGACACAAAAAACCCTTCAAAAAATTAATGAATCCAGGAGCTGGTTTTTTGAAAAGATCAACAAAATTGATAGACTGCTAGCAAGACTAATAAAGAAGAAAAGAGAGAAGAATCAAATAGATGCAATAAAAAATGATAAAGGGGACATCACCACCGTTTCCACAGAAATACAAACTACCATCAGAGAATACTGTAAACACCTCTACACAAATAAACTAGAAAATCTAGAAGAAACGGATAAATTCCTGAACACATACACCCTCCCAAGACTAAACCAGGAAGAAGTTCAATCCCTGAATAGACCAATAACAGGTTCTGAAATTGAGGCAATAATTAATAGCCTACCAACCAAAAAAGTCCAGGACCAGACAGATTCACAGCTGAATTCTACTAGAGGTACAAAGAGGAGCTGGTAATATTCTTTCTGAAACTATTCCAATCAATAGAAAAAGAGGGAATCCTCCCTAATTCATTTTATGAGGCCAACATCATCCTGATACTAAAGCCTGGCAGACACACAACAAAAAAGAGAGAATTTTAGACCAATATCCTTGATGAACATTGATGCAAAAATCCTCAATAAAATACTGGCAAGCCAAATCCAGCAGCACATCAAAAAGCTTATCCACCACGATCAAGTTGGCTTCATCCCTGGGATGCAAGGCTGGTTCAACATACCCAAATCAATAAATGTAATCCATCATATAAACAGAACCAAAGACAAAAACCACATGATTATCTCAATAGATGCTGAAAAGGCCTTTGACAAAATTCAACAGCTAAAAACTCTCACTAAAGTAGGTATTGATGGGACGTGTCTCAAAATTAGAGCAATTTATGATGTGTTTCAAAATAATAAGAGCACTCACTATCATACTGAATGGGCAAAAACTGGAAGCACTTCCTTTGAAAACTGGCACAAGACAGGGATGCGCTCTCTCACCATTCCTATTCGATATAGTATTAGAAGTTCTGGCCAGGGCAATCAGGCAAGAGAAAGAAATAAAGGGTATTCAATTAGGAAAAGAGGAAGTCAAATTGTCCCTGTTTGCAGATGACATCATTGTATATTTAGAAAACCCCATCATCTCAGCCCAAAATCTTCTTAAGCTGATAAGCAACTTCAGCAAAGTCTCAGGATACAAAATCAATCTGCAAAAATCACAAGCATTCCTATACACCAATAACAAACAAACAGGGAGCCAAATCATGAGTGAACTCCCATTCACAATTGCTTCAAAGAGAATAAAATGCCTAGGAATCCAACTTACAAGGGATGTGAAGGATCTCTTCAAGGAGAACTACAAACCACTGCTCAATGAAATAAAAGAGGACACAAACGAATGGAAGAACATTCCATGCTCATGGATAGGAAGAATCAGTATCGTGAAAATGGCCATACTGCCCAAGGTAATTTATAGATTCAATGCCATCCCCATCAAGCTACCAATGACTTTTTTCACAGAATTGGAAAAAACTACTTTAAAGTTCATATGGAACCAAAAAAGAGCCCACATCGCCAAGTCAATCCTAAGCCAAAAGAACAAAGCTGGAGGCATCACACTACCTGACTTCAAACTATACTACAAGGCTACAGTAACCAAAACAGCATGGTACTGGTACCAAAACAGAGACATAGACCAATGGAACAGAATAGAGCCCCTGGAAATAATACCATACATCTACAACTATCTGATCTTTGACAAATCTGACAAAAACAAGAAATGGGGAAAGGATTCCCTATTTAATAAATGGTGCTGGGAAAACTGGCTAACCATATGTAGAAAGCTGAAACTGGATCCCTTCCTCACATCTTATACAAAAATTAATTCAAGATGGATTAAAGACTTAAATGTTAGACCTAAAACCATAAAAACCCCAGAAGAAAACCTAGGCAATACCATTCAGGACATAGGCATGGGCAAGGACTTCATGACTAAAACACCAAAAGCAATGGCAACAAAAGCCAAAATTGACAAATGGGATCTAATTAAACTAAAGAGCTTCTGCACAGCACAAGAAACTACCATCAGAGTGAACAGGCAACCTACAGAATGGGAGAAAATTTCTGCAATCTACTCATCTGACAAAGGGCTAATATCCAGAATCTACAAAGAACTTAAACAAATTTACAAGACAAAAACAAACAACCCCATCAAAAAGTGGGCAAAGGATATGAACAGACACTTCTCAAAAGAAGACATTTATGCAGCCAAAAGACACATGAAAAAATGCTCATCATCACTGGCCATCAGAGAAATGCAAATCAAAACCACAATGAGATACCATCTCACACCAGTTAGAATGGCGATCATTGAATCAAGTCAGGAAACAACAGGTGCTGGAGAGGATGTGGAGAAATAGGAACACTTTTACACTGTTGGTAGGACTGTAAACTAGTTCAACCATTGTGGAAGACAGTGTGGCGATTCCTCAGGGATCTAGAACTAGAAATACCATTTGACCCAGCCATCCCATTACTGGGCATATTCCCAAAGGATTATAAATCATGCTGCTATAAAGACACATGCACACGTATGTTTATTGTGGCACTATTCACAATAGCAAAGACTTGGAACCAACCCAAATGTCCATCAATGATAGACTGGATTAAGAAAATGTGGCACATATACACCATGGAATACTATGCAGCCATAGAAAAGGATGAGTTCATGTCCTTTGTAGGGACATGGATGAAGCTGGAAACCATCATTCTGAGCAAACTATCGCAAGGACCGAAAACCAACCACCACATGTTCTCACTCATAGGTGGGAATTAAACAATGACAACAGTTAGACACAGGGTGGGGACCATCACACACTGGGGCCTGTCGTGAGGTGGGGGGAGGGAGGAGGGATAGCATTAGGAGATATACCTAATGTAAATGACGAGTTAACGAGTGCAGCACACCAACATGGCGCATGTATACATATGTACCAAACCTGCACGTTGTGCACATGTACCCCAGAACTTAAAGTATAATAAAAAAAAGAGTAACTGTAGATGTGACTATTATTAATAATTTGTAAGCATGATCAAAACTTCATGTTATCCTATGATATGCCTATTTAGTCAGTATATTCTGACTGCTCTAAGAGTTTCAACGAATGTCCTCAGTTTGGTATATAAAAGCATTTCTTTTCATGAAGAAGGGCTAATTTAGATTTCCTGTATTTGGAGAGTACCCAGTTGAACAGACAGGAGCCACTTATGCTACTGTCTCCACAGTTGCATGGGTACTCATGCTACACCGAAGTCTGTTTGGATTTGCTAGCTTATACTTTTATTATCTCATGTATGATACCTCCAGTGTCAACACTAGGAAGGTGAGTGTGGTATCATATGCTTTCTTTTCATTTGTTTATTTTTTGTTCTTTATATCTTTGTGCCATTAATGACTAAATTATACAGAAACATTGAGCATCATATGTATATTTTGTTCATGAGTGTGGCTATACGAGAACAGTGTACTACTGCAAGAAAAGAACATATGAACAATCAATAATTAATGAAGGGAAGATTTCCAGTTAGGTTGTATTATGATAATTAATATTACTATTGATATAATGATGTTCATTAGCTGGAACTTGGTGTTATTTTTAGATAAATAGGGTTTAGGTACTCATAGTTTCCTCAATAAAATTTTTGATAATTGCATTTTCAGCTTATGAGCATGTACTTGATTTTCCTTAAAGCCTCCTGGCCCCTCAGGAATGGTTCCCCTTTAAAAGCTACAGAGGAACCTGAATTTACCTGGTGAAGCACTACTGAAAATTAATTGATTATTTAATACGTAGTAACAAAAACTATCCAATGGAACAGAGGAAAGAGTGAAGTAAACAAAGGAATATTTTACTAAATACACACAAAAAATACATAAGAAACAGAATTTCCCTTTGGCTACAAGAGTTAAGTGGTAATCATTGAGGTCAGGACTTCTGTGCATGAATTCTAATCCTACCAAGATTAAACAAAAACATAAGTACTGAGAGTTACAAATGGTTATCCTCTCCTTCAATACACATTTTAAAATTGTACTTTTCTATCACTTTGAACTTAATCATGTTGATGTGACCTCCTCCAGCTAATAAAATGTGAGCAGAAGTGAGACATTTCCAGACAAAAACTTTAAGAGCTAGTATATAATTAGTAATATTCCCTTCCTACCACTTTAGTGATCAAGAAAATAGGCCAATATTTACTGAGAGCTTATTGTGTTTAGGTACCTTTCTAAATATTGTACACATATCTACTCACTACTCAACTACTTTTCATTAATCCCTTTGAGATAGGTACTATTATTAATTCATTGTACAGATGAAGAAATGGAAGCACAGAGTGGTTAAGTAATGTGCCCAAGATCATACAACTAGCTGGTGGCAGAATGTGTCCTCAGGCAGTCTGACTTCCTTGCTTATGCTGCACCGCTTCTAACTGCAAGAAAAGCAACCAAGAAAATGGACTATCTTAAGAATACTACATTGACAGCACCAGCATAGCTGTTTCCTGCCTCTCTAAAACCAGTACTAAATACTCTGGATAAACAGTGATAACTATGATATACATAGAGTACTGTATGTGTAATGTCTATGTTCATTCATTAGAACAAACACTTACTGTACAAATCTATGAGCCAAGCCACAGACTAAATACGAGGTATGCATACTAGGTAAATATCAGCATGATTCTAGCCTTTGTGCAGCTTTCAGTCTATTTCATAATAAAAACAAACTTATAGTTAAAATTTTTGCCAAATTGAAGGAAAGAGGTGAGACAAAGTAATGAAAATGGGGGAACCCACTTGCCGCACAGGTGAATGTATAAGTATATATATGAGAAATCACTAATGAAACATGATTACAAAATATGTTGAAAAGACACAGTCTATATTTACTGGCACTGTTCTCCACCATAAGAAAGGTCAGCGCCCTTTTAGTTAACATGTCTTGTGTCCTGTTGGATGTATTCTCAGTGATATATAGTACCGCAATGCTGTGGGTTTGTGCATGCATGTGTGCACACACACAAAATCTCTTACCTATAATATATATCTATACACATACTAGCAGACTTCAAAAAGTTCATGGAAAATGTGTATTATGAAAACATTATGCATGGATTTCAAATTTTTTGCACCAAAATAAACTTGTACTAACTTGCTACATGTCTGAACAGGATATAGTTTAAGGCACTAAGAAGGGTAAGACATCAGTTTGAACAAAACCCTCTCAGAGCAACGTTAAGTGCTGCTACAACTGAACTAAGAACAAGTACCAAATTTATGGTAAAGTTTCGGTGGAAGAATGATAAAATCATTGATGGTTAAAAAAACATGGGAAGAATTAAAGAAATCAGAAGTTTACAAATAAAAAACTTGTATTGTCCCCCTTCTTTTCACAGGTGTTGATGGATGACTTTTTAAAGAGACAAGCCAAATGTGGTGGCTCATGCCTGTAATCCTTGCACTTTGGGAGGCTGAGATGGGAGGATTGCTTGAGCCCAAGAGTTCAAGATCAGCCTGGATAACATGGTATGACCCTTTATCTACAAAAACTAAACAACAACAACAACAACAACAAAACAAAAAACAAAAAAGAAAAACATTAGCAGGGCATGGTGGCACATGTCTGTGGTCCCAGCTATTCAGGAGGTGAGGCAGGAGGATAGCTTGTGCCCAGGAGGTCAAGGTTTACAATGAGGTGTGTTTGCACCACTGCACTCCAGCCTGGGCAACAGAGTACAACTCTGTCTCAAAAAAAAAAAAGAAGAGACAAGACAGTGTTGAAGATGAAGCCTGCAGAGGCAGAGGCAAATCATCTACAACAATTCATCAAAAAAATTAATCTTGCTTGTACGCTAATTGAAGAGGACCAATTGGACATAATAACCAATACTGTAGAAATCTCAACTGGTTCGGCTTACAAATTCTAACTGAGAAATTAAAGTTAAGCAAACTTTCCACTGGATGGGTGCCAAAATCAATGCACCCATATTGGCTGCATATGAGAGCAGAGCTTTCAACAGAAATTTTAAACAAGTAGGATAAAGACCTTTAAGTATTTCTTTGAACAACTGTAACAGGAGATAAAACTTAACTATCCTAAAAACAAAGCACAATCAAAAAAATGGCTACCAAGAGGTAGAAGTGGTCCAGTCAAAGCAAAAGAGAACTGGTCAAGAGCAAAGGTCATGGTAACAGTTTTGTGGGATGCTCAAGGCATTATGCTTGCTGACTTTCTGGAGAACCAAAGAACGATAATATCTGCTTATTATGAGAGTGTGTTGAGAAAGTCCGCTAAAGCTTTAGCACAAAAATGCCCAGGAAAGCTTCATCAGAGAGTCCTCTGACTTGATAATGTTCCTGCTCATTCCCCTTATCAAACAAGTGCAATTTTCAGAGTTTCTATGGGAAATCAGCAGGAGTGCATCATGCAGTCTTGATTTGGCTCCTTGTAACTTCTTTTTGTTTCCTAATCTTAAAAAGTTTGTAAAGGGTACCCTTTTCTTCAGTTAATAATGTAAAAAAACTGTACTGACATGTTAAATTCCAAGACCCTCAGTTCTTTAGGGATGGACTAAATGGCTGGTATCACTTACAAAAGTGTCCTGAACTTGATGGTATTTATGTTGAGGGATAAAGTTTATATGTCTTTATTCCTATCTTTTAATTCCATTTTTCTGTGAACCTTTTGAAGTCCCCTCTTACATCTGATATATATCTTAAGCCATTACTACTATTCTGACTCTTGCCTATGTATTATTTCAGGGTCTTCTTTCTCTGACACTCTTCCATTCCCCCTTACCTAGGGTTGTGTATTATTATCTGGTTATTATATCAATTTACATTGCAAATTAATTGGTGAAGTTCTTGAAAAATGCATCCTTCCTGCCTTTACGAAGTATACTCTCATATTCTGACACTGTAAAGCTATGGCTCAGATAGTCAAATCCTAGTTTTTAGTTCAATGTTTTAAAGCCAGACTAATTTGTGCCTTCTCCATGTGATTGCTAAACATGGAAGGAAAGATAGGATTTTATAATCAGAATTGTAAATACATCACTGAGATGCATTTCAACTTTTTGTTTATATCCCCATTTATTTCCATGCATATCAGTAGGATATAGTTATTATTAATGATGATTCTTGATAAATTCTCTGAAACATTTTGGATTCAACTAGAGGAAGACAGTAATAAATGCCAGTATCAAATCAAAAAGATCCCCCACTAATAATAATGAAACTTTAGGCAAAAAAGCATGAATATAATTAAAGTATAGGTTAGATGGTATAACCTATACTTAATAATTAGAAAAGTTTGTTATCAACCAAATCAAATAAAGACATGAAAAAAGAAAGTGGATAGGAAAGTAACATTTTGTCTAAAATTTTAATTCCAGTATGTGTTTCTTTTACTGAGCTACTACTTTGTTAAGCTGCGGCCCTCTCTACACTTCCCCCTTTGTAGTTTCTGCTACCTTCTGCCTTCCTTTTCCCCTGTATTGCTCACTGCAGCAATATATTTTACTTCTTGGCATCACTTTTACTCCAAATTTACTTATTTATCAGAAAGAGAAACAGGTAGAACCATTTGGTTAAAGTATGATAACTTATTATTAGTTACATAATATGAAAAATAAAACATCTAGGCATAAAATACACTATGCAAGTAAACTCTTCACTTACAGTGAACTTTGAAATATCATGTTAATGTTACACAGTAGTTTTTTTTAACTTTTAAGTTCAGGGGTACTTGTGCAGGTTTGTTACATAGGTAAACTTGTATCATGGGGGTTTGTTGTACAGATTATTTCATCATCCAAGTATTAAGCCTAGTACCCACCAGTTATTTTTCCTGATTCTCTCTGTTCTCCCACCCTCCACTCTCATATAGGCCCCAGTGTGTGTCATTTCCCTCTATGTGTCATGTGTTCTCATCATTTAGCTTCCATTTACAAGTGAGAACACGTGGTGTTTCATTTTGTGTGCCTGTTAGTTTGCTTAGGATAATGGCCTCCAGCTCTATCGAAGTCCCCGTGAAGGACAGGATCTCATTCTTTTTCATGGAAGCACAGTACTCCATGGTGTATATGTACCACATTTTCTTTATCCAGGCTATCATTGATGGGTATTTAGGTTGATTCCGTATCTTTCCTATTGTGAATAGTGCTGCAATGAACATACACATGCATGTGTCTTTATAACAGAATGATTTATTTCCTTTGGGTATATACCCAGTAATGGGATTGCTGGATCTAATGGTATTTCTGTCTTCAGGTTTTTCAGGAATTGCCACACTGCCTTCCACAATGGTTGAACTGACTTACACTCCCACAATGTACAAGTGTTCCTTTTTCTCCACTACCTCACCAGCATCTGTTGTTTTTGACTTTTTAATTATAGCCATATTCTGACGGGTGTGAGATGGTGTCTCATTGTGGTATTGATTTGCATTTCTCCTAAGATCAGTGATGTTGAACTTTTTTTCATATGATTATTGGCTACATATATGTCTTCTTTTGAAAAGTGTTCATGTTCTTTCCCATTTTTAATTGGGTTGTTTGTTTCTTGCTTGTAAATTTGTTTAAGTTCCTAAAAGATACTGGATGAGACCTTTGTCAGATGCATAGTTTGCAAAAATTTTCTTCCATTCTGTAAGTTGTCTGTTTAGTCTATTGATATTTTCTTCTGCTGTGCAGAAGCTCTTTAAACAGATCCCATTTGTCAATATTTGCTTTTGTTGGAATTGCTTTGGTGTCTTCGTCATGAAATCTTTGCCCATGCCTACGTCCTGAATGGTATTGCCTAGGCTATCTTCCAAGGTTTTTATAGTTTTGGGTTTTACATTTAAGTCTGTAATCCATCTTGAGTTTATTTTTGTGTATGGTATAAGGAAGGGGTCCAGTTTCAATCTTCTGCATATGGCTAGCCACTTATCTTAGCACTAAATTTATTGAATAAGAAATCCTTTCTCCATTGCTTGCTTTTGTCAGGTTCATCAAAGATCAAATAGTGGTATGTATCTGGTTTTATTTCTGGGTTCTGTATTCTGTTCCATTGGTCTATGTGTCTGTTTTTGTACCCACCATGCTGTTTTGGTTACTGTAGCCCTGTAGTATATTTTGAAGTTGGACAGTGTGATGCCTCCAGCTTTATTATTTTTGCTTATGATTGCATTGGCTATTTGGGCTATTTTTGGTCCTATATGAATTTTAAAATAGTTTTTTCTAGTTCTGTGAAGAATCTCAATGGTAGGTTAATAGGAATAGCATTAAAACTATAAATTGCTTTGGTCAGTATGGCCATTTTAATGATATTGATTCTTCCTATCCATGAGCATGGAATGTTTTTCCAATTATTTGTGTCATTTCTCATTTCTTTGAGCAGTGGTTTGTAGGTCTCCTCATAGAGATCTTTCACCTCCCTAGTTAGCTGTATTCCTAGGTACTTGATTCTTTTTGTGGCAATTGTGAATGGGAGTTCATTCCTGATTTGGCTCTCTGGCTTGACTGTTGATGATGTATAGCAATGCTCGTGATTTTAATGTTATGCAGTAATTTTTAAAGGACAAGGTATATTTATACCAGAAATGTTAAAGTGGACAGACACATGTCTTTTTGATAAAGGGCAGAGCAAATCATTCAAGAGGAAATCTTCATTCTGTCCTTAAAATAATCTTATCAGAGGCTTACAGCCTTTTTTTTTTTTTTTGAAATGATGCAGAAAGGTCTTCTGATAAGAGTATTAGATGTCTTTATATTTGATTCTTTAATCTGGGCTTTATTTTATTTTACTTTCTTCAGGAAAAGCAGTTTTTTTAAGAACAAAAAAAATTTAGCTGTTGCTTTTTGTCTCTTGGTTATCATTCCCTATAAGCCTAATTTTCTGGTATCTGAAGGAATAAAGTGGTTTTATAGTCTTTAAGGGATAATTTCAATGTGATAACCACAGATGAAAAAAAATAGGCCGGGTGCAGTGGTTCATGCCTGTAATCCCAGCACTTTGGGAGGCTGAGGCAGGTGGATCCCTGGAGGTCAGGAGTTCGAGACCAGCCTGGCCAACATGGTGAAACCCTGTCTCTACTGAAAAAAAAACACAAAAATTAGCCAGGTGTGGTGGCGGGTGCCTGTACTCCCAGCCACCTGGGAGGCTGAGGCAGGAGAATTGCTTGAACCTGGGAGGCAGAGGGTGCCGTGAGCTGAGATTGCACCACTGCTCTCCATTCTGGGCAACAGAGTGAGACTCTGTCTAAAAAAAAAAAAAAAGAGCAAAGAAAAAAGAAAAAAAAACCCATAAACATCTGGTCAGGTTCTGTATGCAACTGTAAGACATAAGAGCAAGTATTTTAAGTGTGTTGTCCAGGAAATTGAGCTCAACTCTCACAAAATATTTATTCACAATATTTATAAAATCTGAATTTCAGCTAAAAGAAGAGGAACAAAATTAACAATTGAGTGTTCAGACAGAGCAGTAGAGTTGTGGTTCTTGAGCTTTCCTTAATCTATGACTAAAGAGGAAGAGCCACCCCAGTAGAACACTGCCAACTGATTTCTTGTGATGGTTCAATTTCTTAAAGGTCACCAGGTGTGATCCTACATAAAAGATTTGACTGAAACCCGGATGGAATTGGAGACCATTATTCTAAGTGAAGTAACTCAGGAATGGAAAACCAAACCTCATATGTTCTCACTCGTAAGTGGGAGACGAGCTATGAGGATGCAAAGGCATAAGAATGATACAATGGACTTGGGGACTCAAAGAAAGGGTGGGAGGGGATGAGGGATAAAACGCTACAAATTGGGTACAGTGTACACTGCTCCGGTGATGGGTACACCAAAATCTCGAAAATCACCACTAAAGAACTTATTCATGTAACCAAACACCATCTTTTCCCCCCAAAACCTATTGAAATAAATGAAAAAAAAAAAAAAGATTTGGCTGAGGTCAATGGAAGGTTTTAAAGGTGAAGCCATTGAGGAAAAATTTAGTATAATGAGTATATTTTTTCACTTTATTAACATGAAGGAAAAAAGTGACTCCAAATATTAAACAAGAAGGCAGGGCTGGAGAGTAAAAAGAGAGAAATGATTTGTTTTTAGCTTTATTCAATAAGCTCTCTATTACCACAAATGTGGAATTGCATTTTCACTCTTCGCGTCTTTAACAAGCTCTTTTTCTGACTCAGCCTTTTTTTTCTGGAGATGGAGGGGGCAGGAATAGCATACAAACCTTTTTAGAGCTCTTATACACTCTTTTTCTTTTCTGCCAGTAGAGCTAGACTCTCAATTTAAAGCAATCTTAGGGCCAAGATAATTACTTTAATCTTAATTAACAAAACTGTAAAATTACTTGTGAAATAGCTAATTCTACTGAGCAATTACCACACTTGGAAGAAAGTAGGCATTCTTTCATCTTAATAATTACTGCTATATGGAATAGGCTTATTCAATTATTTTTAGAAATTATAATTAAAAATTCTTCCCCATAAGACTTCAACATTTGATTACTGTTAGAAATCCCACAGAAAAGGACTTACTTTGAGGAATATCCTTAAATGCTAAATTGTACAATTGTCAATTGTTTTTGAAACTACGTCTATCACAGCAAAATCAATGTTTTTTAAATCTCATAAAATATTTTATATTAAAGATGTCTTATTAGCTATGTCACATTTACAAGCCTGGTATTAAAATTATTAAGTTCATGATTTTTACTACTGCAATTATCTAAACCTCAGTTCTTTCATTCACAAAATTGGGATAAATTAAATCGATTTTGTAAAACTGATAGAAGGAATATATGTAAAGTGTTTAGCCCAGTGCCTAGCACATATAAGAAAGCAGCAGTAGCAGCAGCAGCAGCATGAGACAGTCTACTAAGATATGGGTTCAAATCCCAGCCCTGCCACCTACTAGGTAAATGACAGCTTCTCTGAGTATTCGTTTCTCATTCATATGGATGTAACAGTTCTTATAATGCTCTTTTCCTAGTGCCTGCCATGAGTCCACCAATAAATAGTAATTACATCAACTGTTACACAGACTAAAGTGCATGTATTTTTGCATTTCTATTTCTACAACAATATGTTTTCAAAAAATCCAGATTTGTTTCTTTTCAAACATAACAATTTTTAATGCAATACTTACTGAAATGACAGAAATATTGAAGTAAATTTCCTATGCTGCTTCTCAGGGTCCACAGAGTGTGCCCTTTCCAGTATCATCTCTCTTACTGCATTATTTAGAATCTTTACTCCCTTCTGACTGTTTCCTCCAATCGTGTTCATTCCAAGTTCTATGCTATTCTTCTCATTAAAATTTTAATGCTTATCGAATTGGCAATTAATTGTGTATTCTTCTTTGCTATGTTTCTAATATTTATTTCGTATCACATGACATTCCTCTCTCTAAAATACTCTTGCTTGTAAATTTGGCAATTAATCATTGTATTGTTCTTTTTTTTAAATTTTATTATTATTATACTTTAAGTTTTAGGGTACATGTGCACAATGTGCAGGTTAGTTACATATGTATACATGTGCCATGCTGGTGTGCTGCACCCATTAACTCGTCATTTAGCATTAGGTATATCTCCTAAAGCTATCCCTCCCCCCTCCCCCCACCCCACAACAGTCCCCAGAGTGTGATGTTCCCCTTCCTGTGTCCATGTGTTCTCATTGTTCAATTCCCACCTATGAGTAAGAATATGCGGTGTTTGGTTTTTTGTTCTTGTGATAGTTTACTGAGAATGATGGTTTCCAATTTCATCCATGTCCCTACAAAGGACATGAACTCATCCTTTTTTATGGCTGCATAGTATTCCATGGTGTATATGTGCCACATTTTCTTAATCCAGTCTATCATTGTTGGACATCTGGGTTGGTTCCAAGTCTTTGCTATTATGAATAGTGCCACAATAAACATACGTGTGCATGTGTCTTTATAGCAACATGATTTATAGTCCTTTGGGTATATACCCAGTAATGGGATGGCTGGGTCAAATGGTATTTCTAGTTCTAGATCCCTGAGGAATCGCCACGCTGACTTCCACAATGGTTGAACTAGTTTACAGTCCCACCAACAGTGTAAAAGTGTTCCTATTTCTCCACATCCTCTCCAGCACCTGTTGTTTCCTGACTTGATTTAATGATCGCCATTCTAACTGGTGTGAGATGGTATCTCATTGTGGTTTTGATTTGCATTTCTCTGATGGCCAGTGATGATGAGCATTTTTTCATGTGTTTTTGGCTGCATAAATGTCTTCTTTTGAGAAGTGTCTGTTGATGTCCTTCGCCCACTTTTTGATGGTGTTGTTTTTTTCTTGTAAATTTGTTTGAGTTCTTTGTAGATTCTGGATATTAGCCCTTTGTCAGATGAGTAGGTCGCGAAAATTTTCTCCCATTTTGTAGGTTGCCTTTTCACTCTGATGGTAGTTTCTTTTGCTGTGCAGAAGCTCTTTAGTTTAATTAGATCCCATTTGTCAATTTTGGCTTTTGTTGCCATTGCTTTTGGTGTTTTAGACATGAAGTCCTTGCCCATGCCTATGTCCTGAATGGTAATGCCTAGGTTTTCTTCTAGGGACTTTATGGTTTTAGGTCTAATGTTTAAGTCTCTAATCCATCTTGAATTAATTTTTGTATAAGGTGTAAGGAAGGGATCCAGTTTCAGCTTTCTACATATGGCTAGCCAGTTTTCCCAGCACCATTTATTAAATAGGGAATCCTTTCCCCATTGCTTGTTTTTCTCAGGTTTGTCAAAGATCAGATAGTTGTAGACATGCGGCGTTATTTCTGTATTGTTCTTTTTTTGGATCTCAACTGTTAATTTAATGCCTCATGCATTTATACCTTGACACTCTTACTAGATTGTAAGCAACAAGAGATCGGGATATTCACCTCATGCAGCTTTGCAACCCTATAGTACTTATAATAGTGTTTGCAAATAATAGGCAGCTATTATTAATATTTGTTATTAATCATATTAACATTAATAACTATTTCAAAGAAAATATTTAAATACAATTTTAAGTAATTTATTTTAATTAATTTTTTATTTATTATTTGTTAATGTGATTGCTGTCTCACAGTTTTTTCATGCAATAAAAGTAGACATAAATTTTAAAACAAAGTTATGACACAGAATAGTCTTCAAAGGCAGAGGAAAGCTCCTAAGTGTTAAACATGCTTATGGATTTTAACAAAATCATGTATGTCCTATTTTGCTTCTCCACTAAGTGAGGTGGAAGTAGTTATGAAACTACTGATAATGGAACTAAAAGCATCACTTTTTAAGAAGCTTATTGTTCTTTTGTAGGAGGGAATTATTTGCCAATAACACTTTTAGCCCAAAAAGGAAAATACAACATAGTAAATTAAGAACATGGTGACAATTTAGTCTGCCTTCGTGAAGTCTGCTTTAGGCTATGCAATCATCTCAGTAATTAAATGCAATCCGGCCTATTTGTATTTGATTCTTTCTGATATTTATGAGACATGCCAAAGAAAAATGTTTCCATCCCACCAAAAAGTTATCAAACACATCTGCTTTTAAACTAATTAAAAAGTGTACTTGTTAGTTTTACAATTAACTTCCTATTTACAAAAGCTCTTAACTTGGCTGAAGTTTTCACTTTTGTGCCCATTCAGAAAACAATCAAACTCTCCACACTGTGTGGTTCGGTTCTTTTCCTACACATGTCAGTCCTTAAAACTGTAAGCCATCTCAAAGTAATTTTCTCTCCCTGACTTATATTTGCCACATTAAGAGTATTATAATAATAAAAGAACAAGAAAAAGAACTGCTAGTTCAGCATCCATATGGCAATCTTTCATTATATTTTTTCTTCCAAATTCTCATTAATGTGGATAAATATTTTTAAAAATGGCATTCACAATACAGAAATGATTTTGTACTTATTTAAAATTGATATTTAAAGATAACATTTAATTTTGAACTCATTTTTACTATTCAGGTATAAAATATTTTTCTAAAGATCAGCATAACAGATGTATTTATATAATTTAAACTTTTTAAGTATTTACTTCGAGATTTATATCTGTTATTGCAATTATATTTAAATTTTATATTAAAATGTCTGAAATATTTTCTTGTTCACCTTTTGAAGTGGTTTTAAACTATTTCCCCAATTTAGGTAATTATCAGAATTTTGCTTATTTTGACTCAATATCCAAAATTTAAATAGTTCATGTAAAATTAATAACGATAACATGTTAATAAAAACCCAAGATTTTGTACACAGGTTACACAACCTATAATTACAGATGGACAGCTGCACTCGTAATCAATTTCATTATTTCCTCTTTCACATAAAGGAGGTTTATGTATTTAAAACAATGGCATATATCATGACTAGAAAACTCAGCACACACTTCACAACTCACTAATCCATAATCCATTGATTTAACCTTTAATGGAAGTTTTTTTCTAATTCTAAATATAAATAATGAACATAAAATGATGTACATTTAGCTGATAATAAATGACCTCTGCCTTCTCTAAAAGCACATTCTTTTCAAAGCAATAGACGGATCTTATTGATTCTGAACTATTTAAAGATGGCAATGACCCTTTGTAAAAGAGCTAGAAGATTTTCTCTTACAGATGTCTTAAGATAGAGCAACAGAGGGTGTAACAAATGTTTTAGAATACACTTAGGAAGACTTGATTAACTAACTTTAGGGAACCTGGTGAAGTTTTCCACAATAGTGGAAATCTGAAGTAAACAAAACTGTTTACTGTTTGGGTACTCAACATTTCCTAAATTCATTTGACCACACACTATTTTATTTAAGTAACACTTATTGATAGCCCTTTGATTTATACTTTGTAATGTGTTGTCAGGGAGATGGTGATTCTTCACTTAAAAATATCATTTACTATGAGGCAGGGGATGTTAAGCACGTTAGCTCAGTCATGCCACCTCCTACTTGCTCATGAAGGCAGATGTCTTTTCTGTCTTATCATTGCTCTATTCCCATTGCTCAGAAATAGTGCTTGCTACAGCGTCTGTTTTTGAGTGAACTACCATGCTCTAGTAACTGTGCTAGGAGTTAATACAATAAATATTAGTAAGGAGTATTTTCTACTTAAAATCTTACAGTAATGTGGAAAGGAGAACAAATAGATAAATAATTACAATATAATATAATCAATGTTTGAATAAAGTGCTTTGAGGGCACATGTGAAGGAATTATGAATTCTGCTGGGGCAAAAAGAGACAGATGATGTTAGAAATGAGCCTTTAATGATAAAGAGGGATGTGCCATGTGGACGAGGAAAGCAGGGCTACTTAACCTCGGAGTACAGCCACTCTGAAAAAGAATGAGCCTAAAAACCATCAACTCCCATTAAAAAAAAAAGGTTTATCAGTGATTTTCTCCTTTTCTCCTAACATAGGAGTGCTCCACAAATGGATAAATGAATTTTGCTTGAGATTGTGATAGCCTTGATCATCCCATAGTCTGAATCCCATTCCAACATTTCCAGAGAACTTTCCAGATTATAAATTCCAGACTACAAATGGAATAATATAAAATTCATTGTGGATTGAGGCAGTAAGGGGAGGGAGGGTTGAATCAGATTTTATAGAGCTCCCAGGCTTGCTTAAAGTATTTTTCTATCATCTTGGATAATATGAGCTCTAAGGTTCTTTCCTCTCACTTTTTCTCTCAAGGTTGTGGTATAATCCTCAAAAAATATATATAATTTTTCTTGCTCTGAGAAAAAGTAGGACATATTAGATGTCTCCTTTCTTTTTTGTGATTCTCAATAAGATAATTTTTCTGAGTAACAAATGTGAGCCAGGCACTACATTATATCCCTTAAACATATAATTCTTACAATAGTTCTATGATATATGTTTTAATACCCAAATTTCATAGATAAGGAAAGGAGGCTCAATAAATCATATACCAAGTCCAGCTGGCAAATTAAGCATAGCCATATCTTGTTTTATTGCTCTTTACTTTAATGTACTCACAGATACTTTTTTTTTTTTTTTTTTTTTTTTTTTTACAAATTGAAGAGTTGTGGCAACCCTGCATCTAGCAAATCTATCCGTGACATAGTCCCAACAGCATATGCTCACTGTGTCTCTGTCACATTTTAGTAATTCTTGTGATATTTCAAACTTTTTCATTCTTATTATATGTTATGGTTATTTGTCAGCCATCACCTTTGATGTTACTACAACTGTTTTAGGGTGCCATAAACTGCACCCATATAAGTTGGTAAATTTAAACAATAAATATTGTGCTTTCTGACTGCTACACCAACTGGTTGTTCCCCTGTCCCTCTCCCTCCCTTTGGGCTTCCCTATTCCCTGAGACACAACAGTACTGACATTAGGCCAATGAATTACCCTACAATGGCCTCTAACTGTTCAGGAGAAAGGAAGAGGCTCACGTCTTTGACTTTAAATCAAAAGGCAGAAATGATTAAGCTTAGTGAGGAAGACATGTTGAAAGCTGAAACAGGCCAAAAGCGAGGTCTCTTTCTCCAAATGGTTAGCCAAGTTGTGAATGCAAAGAAAAAGTTCTTGAAGGAAATTAAATGTTCTTCTCCAGTGAACACATGAATGATAAGAAAGCTTATATGGTTTGGCTTTGTGTTCCCACTTAAATCTCATCTCCAATTGTAATCCCCATGTGCCGAGGGAGGGACCTGTAATGACTGGATTATGGGTGCAGTTTACCCCATGTTGTTATCCTGACAGCAAGTGAGTTCTCATGAAACCTGATGGTTTTATAAGTGTTTGGAAGTTCCTCCTTCATTTCTCTCTCTCCTGCTGCCTTGTGAAGAAGGTGCTTGCTTCCCCTTCCACCATGACTGTAAGTTTTCTCAGGCCTCCCCAGCCATGCAAACTGTGAGTCAATTAAACCTCTTTCCTTTAATAAATTACCCAGTCTCTGGCACTATCTTTAAAACAGTGTGAAAACACTAATACAAAAGCAAAATAGCCTTATTGCTGATATGGAAAAAGTTTGAGTGGCCTCGATAGATCACAACAGTCACAACATTTCCTTAAGCCAAAGCCTAATCCAGAGCAAAGCCCTATCTCTTCAATTCCATGAAGCCTAGAAGAAGAGTTTGAAGCTAGAAGAGGTTATTTCATGAGATTTAAAGAAAGAAGCCATCTCCATACTGTAAAAGTGCAAGATGAAGCAAAGCAGCAAGTACTGATGTAGAAGCTGCAGCAAGTTATATAATGATCTAGCTAAGATCACTGATGAAGGTGGCTACACTAAGCAACAGATTTTCAATGTAGATGAAACAGCCTTATATAGGGAGAAAATGTCACCTAGGACTTTCATTGCTAGAGAAAAGTCAATGCTTGGCTTTAAAGCTTCAAAGGGCATGCTAACTCTCTTACTGGGGGCTAATGCAGCTGACAACTTGAAGTTGAAGCCAAAGCTCATTGACCATTCAAAAAATTCTAGGGCCCTTAAGTGTTATGCTAAATCTAGTCTGCCTGTGCTCTAAAAATGGAACAATCAAGCCTAGTGACAGCATATTTGTTTACAGCATGGTTAGCTGAATATTTTAAGCCCACTATTGAGACCTACTACTCAGAAAAAAAGATTTTCAAAATATTACTGCCCATTGACAAGGCACTTGGTCACCGAGGGGCTTTGATTGGAGATGTACAAGGAGATGAATATTGTTTTCATGCCTGCAAACACAACAGCCATTCTGTAGCCCATGCATCAAGGAGTTATTTCAACTTTCAATTTTGTTATTTAAGAAACACATTTTGTAATGCTATAGCTAGTGATTTCTCTGATGGATCTGGGCAAAATCAATCAAAAACCTTCTGGAAAGGATTCAACATTCTCAATGCCATTAAGAACATTTGTGATTCATGGAAGGATGTCAAAATATCAACATTAACAGGAGTTTGGGAGAAGCTAATTTCAACCTTCATGGATGACTTTCAGGAATTAAAGATTTCAGTGGAGGAAATCACTGCAGATATAGTGGAAATAGCAATAGCAATTGTTACAATCTCATAATAAAACTTTTGAGGATGAGGAGTTGCTTCTTATGAACAAAGAAAACGGTTTCTTGAGATGGAATTTCCTCCTGGTGAAGATGCTGTGAACATTATTGAAATGACAACAAAGCATTCAGAATATTCCACAAACTTAATTGATAAAGCAGCTGCAGGGTTTGAGAGGACTGACTCCAATTTTGAAAGAAGTTCTATGGGAAAATGCTATCAAACAGCATCACATACTGCTGAGTAATCTTTTGTGAAGGGAAGAGTCAACTGATGTGGCAAAACTTCATTGTTTTCTTGTTTTAAGAGATTGCTACAGACACTCCAACCTTCAGCAGCCATCAACATCAAGGTAAGACCCTTCATCAGCAAAAAGATTATAACTTGCTGAAGTTTCACATGATCATTAACATTTTAGCAATAAAGTATTTTTAAATTAAAGTGTTTTCATTTCTTTGACATAATGCTATTGCACACTTAACAGACTTCTGTATAGTGTAAACTCGGAAACCAAAAAATTCATGTGACTTGCTTTATTGTGATGTTCACTGTATTGTAGTGGTCTGGAACTGAACCCACAGTATCTCTGATGTATGTGTGTATTCAATAAAAATATACCTATTTAATGGCTATTCTATAACAGGCACTATTTCTAGGAGCTGAGGATACAGCACTGATCAAGAGTAAAAAAAAGTCTCTGCCCTCATGGAGTTTACATTCTCCTGTAGTTAAGCAGAGTATGTAAACAAAATACTTGTGGATAAGGTTAAGTATTATGAATAGAATAAAGCTTAGTCATGAGATAGAGATGGACTAGAAATATTATATACAGTATGGTTGGGGAAAGCCTCTATGAGAAGTTGACATATGAGCTGACAGCTCAATGATGAAAAGGATCCAGCCACCCAAAGATTAAAGGTAAAAGCACTGACAGTAGAGACAGCCTGCAGGGAAGGCATTAAGTTGGATATAAGCCTGGTGTGTTTAACAGAAAGAATGTTAGTATGGCTTAAGCCTAGTGAATAAGGGGATCAAATGTGTTCTAAAAGGTAGGCAGGGACAAATTCATTTGGGGTCTTGAAGGAGTCTTTGAAGGTTTTAAGGAAGGGGTAGTAATAAAATTAAATTTTTACTTTATCTTACTTTGGCTTCAGTGTGAGGAAAACAATGGTAGTGTTAAAGTGGAAGCTGAAAGGCAGGTTAGCAAGATAGTGTAGAAGTCCAGGATGAAGACACTGGTAGTGCATAGCATTGAAAATGAAGAGATGAGGTCAGAAATGGAATATCTTTCACTGATAGAGCCAACAGGACTATCTGATGTAATACAGGGGCACAGGGAAGGTTACTGGAGGAGTGGTAAAGGACAGGAATGAATGAAAAA
This sequence comes from Homo sapiens, assembly GCF_000001405.40. Lineage (NCBI taxonomy): Eukaryota > Metazoa > Chordata > Mammalia > Primates > Hominidae > Homo > Homo sapiens. Next base: position 35,396,830 of record NC_000013.11, on the reverse strand, counting down.
TTACTCCTAGTTCGAGTTCTACTTCCGGTTTGGAGGAGTAAACGCCTCATAAATTGAATCTCTAACAGATAGCAATTATAAAATCTGAACAAAATAGAGGTTACAACAATGTGAGTGTTCTGGGAGTAAACAAAAATAGAATCATTTTGGAGGTGAGGAAAATTTGGAGGAATTGGTGAGTTACCCATTTCTGAGCATTTGGATTGAGTTCAACTGCAGTCCCTAGCAATGGCGCAAGGTGACTAAGACCCTGTCTGATAAGCTACAAATGAATCTATATGGTTTCAAGGTTTCTATGTTTTACATAAAGTGATACACTATTAACTCTATGTAAACTGAAATTTAAGGATGTATAAAATAATCCCTAGACAACAACTAAAAATATGCTGCAAAAATACATAGGAAAAATGTAATATATAAATTAAAATGAAATTCTAAAAATATTCATATAATTCAAAAAAAGAATGAAAGGGAGAATAGAGCACAAAGCAGAAATAAACAGAGTAGACACACAGAAACAAATAAATATTAAAATTTTAGAGCTAAATCCAATCACATCAATAATTATAATCAACACTAATAAACTAAACATTCTAATTGGAAGGCAGAGATCAAAACAGATTAAAAAGCAATACCCACTAGGTGCAGTGGCATGCACCTACAACCCCAGCTACTTGGGAGGCTGAGGCAGGAGGTTCATCTCAGCCCAGGAGTCTGAGGCCAGACTGGGCACCATAGCAAGACCCTGTCTCAAAAAAGAAAGCAATACTCAACTATATGTTGTGTGTTCACAAAATGCACTAAAAAACATAGACACAGATGAGTGGAAAATAAATGAATAGAAAAGCATATAAATAATAAGCATAAGATGCCAGAGTAGCTATGTATATTATTATCAGACAAAGTTTGCTTTAAAACAAGTACCATTACCAGAAATAAGGAGGGATATTTAATAATGAGAAAGAGTTCAATTATTGAAGAAACATAATATTCACAAATGTGTACTTAGTCAATAACAGAGCCTAAAATATATGATGCAAAATTGACAGAATCATAGGAATAAATAATCTCACAATCATATTAGAATATTTTAACATCTCTCTTTTAATAGGGAGAATGAGTAGACAAACATATTAGTAAAGAAACAGTCTGAAACACACTATCAACCATGTTGACCTAATTTAAATTTATAGAACACTATGTTCAATGAGTGAAAAATGTACATTATTTTCCAGTGAACATGGTATGTGTATTAGTCCATTCTTGCACTACTGTAAAGAAATACCTGAGACTGGGTAATTTATGAAGAAAAGAGGTTTAAGTAGCTCACAGTTCTGTAGGCTATATAGGAAATATAGCAGCTTCTCCTTCTGGTGAGGCCTCAGGAAACTTAAAATCATGGCAGAAGGCGAAGGGGAAGCAGACACGTCTTACATAACCAGAGCAGAAGGAAGAGAGAGAAGGAGAAGGTGCTATACACTTTTAAACAAGCAGATCTCATGAGAATTCTATCAGAGGAATAGCACCAAAGGGGGAAATCCACCCCTGTGATCCAATTACCTCCCACCGAGCCCAACCTCCAACACTGGGGATTATAATTCAACATTAGATTTGGGCAGGGACACAGATCCAAACCATATCATTATGTTTGACAAGATATGTCATATATAATGTGTCCTAAAACAATCTTCAAATTTAAAAGAACTGAAATTACATGGAGTATGTTCTCTGATTACAATGGAGTTGAAGTATAAATCAATAACAAGATCTCTATGAACACTCCAAATATCGGAAACTTAAACAACATACTTCTAAATAATACATGGGTTACAAAAGAAATTTAAATGTAGGAAGCATTTGAAACTCAACAAAGGAAGTAAAACAGATAAAAATTGTGGGATGCAGTTAAGGCAGTGTGTAGAAGGAAACTTACAGCTTTAAATATTTATATTTTTTAAAAAGTAGAAAGATCTAAAACCAATGACTTAAGCTTGTACCTCAAAAAATTAGAAAAAAACAAAACAAAACAAAGTAAGCCTAATATAAGTAGAAAAAGAAAATAATAAGGATGAGAGAAGAAACCACAAGGAATTATCTGGTAGAGAATTTGCAAATTTAGCTGGATCCATGTCTAGCATAGTTTTGGAAATGTCCCAGGGAAGTGAGTTCATGTTCTGTGTTTGTATATATGCATATGTTATGTGGAGGAGATACCAAGATCTAGAATGCATGAAATGTCTCATTTTTTTTTCCAGCGAGTTTGCTCATGTAGCAAGAAAAATACATTTATATTAATTCTTTGTATTTGTGGGTAAATCGAAATTGAACCACTTTTTATTTGATTTGGAAAATCTTTACAACTACTTAAAAATGTTTCTAAACATTACAGCTTTACTGTAACACTTAAGTTTTCATCAATGATCACATATATACTTGAAGCTCTACTCTAACACCAAAAAGGGAGGAAAAAAGGCAAGAGGGAAAAGTAAGGGAGTGAGGGAAGAAAGGAGAGAATTACAAAATGCACTTTCCCTTGTGTTTTGAAAAGACAATCCTTTCCTTCTAGGTAAAGAAATACATAAACGTCTGTTCCCAGAAGTAAGCCTTTCAGATCTGTACAGTGTTCAGCTGAAGTGCGTGGTGCAGATAGGCTAATCCATCAATGATTGGGAGCAAAAAGAAGTATAGATAAGCTAAATAAAGTCTCTGCTTTTCTGGAAGGGAAGGATATGCTATTTTCCCACACTTAGTACATCTGTGTCTATACAATGATATAAAATAGTTCAAACAGGAAGGTGAGCCTTAGTCATCTTGGTATGCTGCATATTATAAAAGAATACCTAGAATGGGCTGTTGATCTCTAGGATACAGCTCCTGGCAGCAAAAGTAGTAGTTATACTGTTTAACACATATCCCCAGGGAAAATAAGCCTATTAGAGAATAACTTCTAATTAGAGAATAACTTCTCTAATAAGGTACATAACTTAAGCCTAGGTTTGCTCTGTCTAATCAAATACAAATCTAAATGGAAGGGAGACAGCAAAGATAGACAATGTATTTCATACTTCTTTCCTTTAACTTGGAAAACCATACACTAAAATTGTATTTCTAATTGTCTTAGTGTTTTAGCTACTTCATAGTTGCAAATTTGGATATCATTGGTACCATTTACATACAGAAATTTCAAATAAGAAAAAGGATGTTTTAATGGTACCTGAATTTTCCATAAATGTTTGAAACTGAAAAACAAAAAAGGACTCTAAATTTAAATAATCTCAATAAAATAATCAGAAAATTTTCTGAAATAAATGAGTGTTTCAAATGATGTTTTGGATTCCAATTTTCACCAAATAAAACACTTTAAAGAAAAAAGCATACCAAAGGATATTAATTTAAATGTTTGGCAATGAAAGCTAAGTTATCATTTTCTATTTATTCTATGCCATAGAATTATCCTAATTTTTGGAGTATTGTACTTCTTATAATTAATCTCAGCTGGGATGAAAGCAAAACTCTAGTGGATGCTCTACAATTTTACATTTAGTTGTCTACCAGGAGAATTTAAAAAATCATTTTTTTAATGTGCTAAAATGTGTTTTGAGAGGCAGCTTCCATTACTGCTCCAAGTTAACTGTTTAAGGTGTTGTACGGGGAAAAATAATCTATTACAATTGCTATCTTTCACTTTAGGGTAACTGGACAAATTATATTGATTAAATACAATTTCAAACCAGTCATATTGGTAGGGTTAGTCTAGAGAGGTTGTAAAAAAACAGCTTCTCAGAAAGAATGTAGATCATAATTACTGAATAGGACTCCGAAAGTGCTAGCTCTGGATAGCCAACAAATACAACTATAACAGGAAATAATTCCCAATGGAATGTTCAACTGTGACCTGGGAGGTCATTAATAACCACAATGTGTCCTATTTGGACCTTCCTTTTGAATACTGCTAACTCAACTGAGTTTTTAACTTCTGCACCTCAAAACATCTTTGGTCTAGGCACGATACCATTCTTAATTTGAAATTATCTAGGGCAAAAAAAGTCCCATTTATTCAAAGACCTGACTTCAACTTTTCCTTTCTGATTGCTCCAGGTCTCACGGCAGCTTTGATCTGCCATTTGTACCGTTAGCACGGTTCTTATGCACAACCCTTGGGATTGAGTATGTTTTGCAAATCATAGTTTTTCTCATGTTAGAAGATCAGTATGGTGCAGCTACTTTGTATTATATATCATTCCTAGTAGCATTTAGATTACTACTCTGTAATCAAATAAATTAATATTTCTGCAAAGAAATGTATGAATATTGACTCTAAGTGGGATAAAGGCAAAAAAAAAAAACAAAAAAAACAAAACCACACACACACATACTGGCTCAAGTTAGGTTTTACCACCAGATGTTTCCTATAGGCATATTACAAAATTTACATACTTCAGGGCTTTTAAAGGGATTGGAGATCTGTAACAATTCCTAAAAGTAAAACTCTTCTCCCTTTTTGGTCCAAGTGCTTGAATAAATGCCACAATTCCTTAATTTATTTTCAATAATATTTCTCAGTTGCCTTATTACAGTACTAGCAAGTAAACATAAATCTTTTCTTTTGCTTTCATTTTCATAAATGATTAAAGGATGATCTTACCAGTCTCCCTGAATTCTTCTAAATAAAATTAATAAAAATATTGCATACAAAATACAAATATGATATTTGTAGAAAAGTTTATTTTTATTCACTTATAATATAAAATCTAAGAGAAACAGCGTGCTTGTGATACCTTCTACCAAGCGGACTGCAATTATTCTTACGTCTCCCCTATATATAAGTTTAGCTCCACTATTGATCAAACTCATATTAATGAAAGTAGCACTATATGTGTGGTATTGCTTACAACAGAGATAGAAGCAAAAACTAAATTCAGTTGTATAGAAAACTCATTTGCAAAATTAACAGATATAATTATATCTGAGGAAAAGTTAGTAAGAAATAACTTTCTGATGACTTGGTTTGACAATCAATGCCAGAGATAGTTTTCAATTAATACATGTAAATTTCCTTATTTCACTTGTTTAGATATTTTGTGTAGTGCTCATAAGAATCAAGTGCACAGAAATTACCCTTCTGAATTACTTTTATGTTCCATGTTTCCAATATTCTTATTTATTTATATACACATACTTCATGCATCTACAATGATTATTTACCTAAAAACATCCATGTAAATATTAACACACATGTATAACATTCTTTTAAGCAAAGCTTAAGTATGCAACTAAATAGCAAAGCAAGGTAAACTTGTAGAATGTACAACAAATTTGTAAATCTTTAACCATCTTCATTATTCAGTCTTTCTGAACTATGTCTCTCTTTTAAATAACTTCTTTTATATCTATAATAACAGTTGCATAACTACAATTTCAAATTCTTCTATGTGTACAACATGAAACTCAAGTAATGAAGAAAAGAAAACTAGGTATACTCTTACAGTGAGTTATTATCTCTAGAAACCTTTAAGCTATATGGCCCTCTTCTTCTTCTTCTTTTTTTTTTTTTTTGAGATCAAGTCTGGCTATGTCACCCAGGCTGGAATGCAGTGGCACAGTCTCAACTCACTGCAACCTCTGCCTCCTGGGTTCAAGTGATTCTCCTGCCTCAGCATCCCCAGGAGCAGGGATCACAGGTGCGTGCCATCAAGCCCAGCAAATTTTTATATTTTTAGTAGAGACAGGGTTTCACCATGTTGGCCAGGCTGGTCTTGAACTTTTGACCTCAAGTGATCTGCGAGTCTTGGCCTCCCAAAGTGTTGGGATTACAGGCATGAGCCACTGCACCTGGAATGCAAGGCCTTCTTATGGCATAGGACAACTGATTTAAGAATTTTCAGGTAAGTATGAAGAAATAAAACCATTACTCCTCTTCAATCAGGCATTTTTGTATAGCAGCAATATTAAGAAAATAACAACATGTACACTGATAACACAAAATATAAAAAAGGAGATAATACAATTTGAAATTCTTCAAAGAAATATAAAATTTAAGATTTAAAAAGTGATGTTTCCTTTACTACTTTAATAAAAACAAAATTTTCCAAAAAATATTCTTGAAGACCTATTATGCTCAAGATACCTATTAGTGCAAGGTACTTACTAGCTGATTTTTGTTTTCAGAAAGTGTATAATCTCTAAAATAGCCTTATTTTAGCATTATTTAAGTTTCCCCATTCCAGTCCCCCACTTCACAAGAATCTGTTTGGATGAACTTGAGTCTTCTACCTAGCCCTGACACCTCTGACAGATAACATTTAGTGCCTTTTCTCTGCAGGCATCGATTCTCTAATTGTTTATTCAAGTATTTTAGCAAACATTGCAATTCTACTAGTTTCCAGTTTGGGAAAGAACAGGAATATCTAGTTTACTGAATTTAGGTTCTTCAAAAATTTTGTCCTTGTATTGTCTTGTGTCTGGTTCCAAATGGATTAAAGTCTCCAAAGAAAAAGAAAGTGTTAAAGCCCTTATTTTTGCCTTTGAGAAATTAGAAAGAATCCAAATATATCTACCCTGAGTGTCAACTGCATTAATTTTTATAGAAAAGGTATTAGCACGGAATAGGTCTTAAGTCCCACTTCCTGGGTATTTACTGCACTGGGAGGGATTGCTTTATTGTACCTAGAGAATAAGTACACATGAATGAGAAGTGATGAATGGACTCATCTAATATGCCTATAAGTTTCAAAAATCAAAATGTAAATATTCAAAATAATCTTAGAAAAAATATTATACAAATATATGTTCTAAAACAAAAACGATATATCAGAGAGTACTGAGTACACACACACACACACACACACACACACACACACTCTACAAAAGACATAAACCATAGAAATGACCAGAGGACAGGTTATATATTAGAAAAAAACTGTAATCTTAACCACAAAAACTACTAAAGTGAGGGAACTAAGAGAGAATAATAAAATTAGTATACTCAGCTAGCAGTTGAGCCATTTATAAAAGGACCACTTTATCTGTGCTCCTTTCTTTTGCAGAATCCAATAAACTGCCATTATATTCCTTTTAAATGGTTCCATTACAAGGATTCTATCACAGCAGACTAATCTCTTGATAATTATAATAAATGCTTGCAATCAAAGTAGGAACCATTTAAAATAGGAAGGAGAAAAGCTGTTTTCCATCAAACTCACAGTTGTTCTGTGACCTTTGAAGCATTCAGCTATAATAATACAGCTTTCTATCTAATCTCATTTAAAAAATTTTAAGAAAATACTAGATCAATGATCATTTGGATTGAGGTATTTTAGCATTTTTTTGGTTTCAGAATTTTAAATTTTGTTAACAGTAAGAAATAGAGAGACATCTTTGCCTAGAATACAAATTTCTAGAATTTAAATAATAAAGGATTTGATTAGACATGTAATATTTCCTTAGGGGGAAAAAGCAACGGTTATTTTAGAAAACTGCATAATGATGAGTATTCACAATGCTTATGGGTTTAAGGAAGTATTATTTTCCTAGAAGACAGCAACACTCAACAAAGAAGCTGGGACTGAATTTACTTGAATAAACAATGCTTTCCAGAGATCATATAAGTACCACAGGCTGATACAATTACGGGAAATGACTATGAATGATCAGAATGGCTTTCATCTGCATTTGGCATTTTGTTAGACCAAGAATTGATTTCACTTTTCGGCTGTGAACAGCAAGAGGCCAGCTGTGGTCAGAGTGGGAGCAAACTGTGAACCAGGGTTACATTCAGGGAGGAATTGTTTACCAAAAGAAAAAAAAAAAAAAAGAAACCCGCCAGACTTTTCAAGAAGTCTTAGCAAAAAAATCTACTCTTCGTAAACGTTTAGAGAAATATAGGTAGGGGTTTCCACAAACTGTCAAAAGTGGAGGATCTAATTTATGACAAAATGAAACCTCTGTGCTCAGTTGTGGGAATAAATAGAATTATGAGGAGAAAATAAACAAAGAGAAGGAAAATATAAAATATAATGCCTTCAAGGCAGAAACAACTACATTTTACTTGGTATTCCCAGATGTGCTAAGAGGAAATTTATGACAGCACACTGAAAAGCAAGATTCCCTTTGTGAAACCTTTCACATTTATTTAACTAAGCACAATCACTGAAAATGACCTTTATCCAAACCCTTCACAGCAGTCTTAAAATGATCTAAAATGACTGCCAGATATTCTTTAAATAACATTACTTAACTAAAAGTCATTACCCAGGGGAAATATTAAAGTACTGGCAAGTAAATACAGATCTATTTTCAGCAAAATATAACACAGGCTTAATAAAAAATAGATAACATATTAAATATCTTTGTCAAAAAAGCTAGCATACAATATAAATTATCTTAGTTTTTTAGAATTGGGGGGAATGTATGGTTTCCACATTAAAGGCATCTTATTTGCCTCTTAATGTAGAGAACCATCACAGAAACTAAAAAATAATAATGTTGCTTAACACTAAAAATTGTATGAAAAAGTGTTACACCCAGAAGGCTTTCCAAGACATATTTTAACTAAATAAATTCCTATTTTTGCCAAATGTAATAAATTTCTTTACATAATTATTCCACCTATCGTCAAAATGAGTACATAAGATTTGGCCATCTCTCTTTTCTCTTTTTATTTATATTCGATGTTAAGATCAAAGGTTACCTAGTAGGTAGGGAATAGACAGAGGGGAGAAGCATAGGTCAGGAATAATTGATAGTTGATTAAAAAGATGTGTATTTGTGGATTCGGAAATTTAAAAAAATTCTATCATTTCATAATGCATTTCTGTTTCAGTTAGCAAAAACTGGACACACTCTGGGGGGAAAGATTTTCCTCTATTAAGAGGATGATTAGTTCAGTAAATCATGGCTTTCAGACGATGATGATTACTATATCTCCTTGCAGGGAAAAGGCGAAGGGGATAGGAGGTTCATTTCACCACAAAGTAATTATGCTGAGCCAGAGCGTTACCATTTATCATGGCTGAAAGATGACACTCACTGTTAGCCAAGGGAAACTGCTACTCAAATGCTCCCATCTAGATCAATACACCATGCATTTTTTTTTCCTAGCAAAAAGTAATTATACAACAGGAACTTCACAATCAATACCTTTTCAGGCTAACTTAAAGTCGGCTATGTAGGCATGAAGGTATGGTACTGTCAGCTGTCACTGAAGTCTACCCCATTAAATCCAAATTAAGCCTGTTTTCCTGTGCTGTTAATCAAATCTTTTCTAGTGTTATTTCAAATCCTCAATACTGGTTCCTGATAAATAAGAAAGTGTTGTCAGTTTTTTGTTTTCGTTGTTTTTGGTAATAAAGCATATCAAGTTACTATTGACCATATAACAACATAGAATAGGTGCCATTAATTAATCCATTAGTAATTTTCAAGGAAATAAAAAGAAAAAAAGGGAAAAAAAATCAATTCGCAAGGAAAAAAAATCAATGTCCCTACTCAATGAAAACTAAAATACTTCTGGAACCATGTGTCTTAACCTTCCAGTTGAGGCTCTGACCTTCTTTGAATATCCAAGACCCATAAACAGCACATCTATAATTTTGTAATGCGAAATTGAATTTTTCTCATGATAAACAATCCTTCTAGTTAGGGAGGTAGAATATATATGATTATACACACAGGTATTTTATATACAGGGATAAAAATAGTTGTTACAATCATTTAAAAATCTATCCAAATGTCAATTTGACAACTACTTTCTATAAGATAGAGCTTAGTCTTATAAACCAATCTAATATATCAGAAAAGGTTAAAGGGCATGAAAAAATCACTACTTCAGTGAAAAAAATTTTGACATCCAATTTTCAAGCTGATTTATCAGTGGAAAGCTAAAATTGATAGGTTGCCATTACTGGGGAGCAGCCTGTCTAAGAAAGCTGTTACAAAACCTCTCGTTTTGATTTAGCCACATTAATCAATACAAACCTATACTGTTTCAATTTTTAAAACATTGATCTTCTGCTATAAGCTTAGGGCAGCCACATTTATCAACAACCATAAAAAACTCAATATATTTTTAAACAGAGGTTTAGAAAATAAAATGATCAAATGAAATTCAGGTTTGTTTGCCTTGATGGTCAATCATGGTTACAAACTAATTGTTAAATCTAGTTAACCAAAACATTGAATTTTAAAAAATACTTTGGGAAATAACTATTACTTTTTCATTTTGCCTGTTCTCAATTTTTAACTAGGTCAACATTATCTTACAGGATTAGATAAGCCTATAGTTATTTTATAATGAGCTATTGTAAATATTTAGAATTAAAAAGAGAAAAATTTTAGAGTCAGTGAATTATTATGTAACATACAAAGTACCTCCATTTGTTAACTAACAGCTAAAAGTGGCATTAAGCATTAATAAAGCATTTTGCAAGAATTTCAGACTATGTAGTAGAAATATTTTGGGGACAGAGAACACTTAATTGTTTCTTAATTCACAAATGTACGGATGAAAATTCTGTTAATAGGAATTTTGCTCAAGTCATCCATAATGTACTGGAGAGTTTAAAGTAGAACATCAATATATTTTGCAAACAAAGTGTAAGTATTTGTTGCCACACTATTAGTATTTAATTGTGAGTACCATTAAGAATCTAGAGAAAATAAACAGTTATGGAATAATCATGGCCTTTAAAAAAATCTTCCAAATTGACAGCATTCAACTTCAAATTATATATTTTATTTTTAACATATTTATTTTATCTATTTATAAACATTGTAGGTTTTCTATTATATATTCAGAAAATGTGTATTTTAATTAAAACCTGGCACATTAATGTAATTACCTGAAATACCATTATATTTACTGTGAATCTCTCTAGGAAATTATATAAAACATTACAAGAAAATGGATGGGATGGGGAAACAATGTAAATCAGTGATGGTAAATGTTATTTATTAAGCTCCACCTTCCACATGTGCATGGCACTGTGGTGAGCCTTATATAAAGCCAATCCCTGTTCAGTCAGTATGAAACAGAGAACAGCAATAGAGATTTTATTGCATTAGGCACATACCAAAGACAAAACATTTCCAGTTAACATGTTTTATTTTTATTTTTTTATTATTATTTTTAGAGACAGGATCTTTCTTTGTCACCTAGGCTGGAGTGCAGCGATGTGATCATGGCTCACTGCAGCCTCGTACTCCTGGGCCCAGGCAAGTCTCCTGCATCAGCCTCCCAAGTAGCTGGTACTACAGGAACACACCACCACACCTGACTAATTTTCATTTTATTTTTTGCAGAGACAAGGGCCTTGCTATGTTGCCCAGGCTGGTTTAGAACTTCTGGCTTCCAGTGATTGTCCACTCTGCACTCCCAAAGCTTTGGAATTACAGGCATGTGCCACCATTCCTGGCCCAACTAGTATGTTAAATAAAATAAAATATTAATTTCTTAATGTTGTAAATTGAGAAATGTATGATTTATATTGTTCAACCAGGTGGAAGCAAAATGCTTAAAAAGAAAAAAGCAAGGCAAAAAACTAATTATAAAAAACTGTAATTTTAAAACAAAAATTTTAAAACCTTTACCTCATAGAATAATCAAAACAAAGTACTCTACAAGTAATACATACAGAAACTCAAGCCAACCTTAACTTACTGAAGTCTAAAAAAGCTGAACTATTTTAGAACTTATTAAAATTTTAATGCAGCAGAGACTAAAAAAGATTTACTTGAAGAATAAAACTATCACCAGTAGAAGGAAAAAATGTAATACTATAAATGCAGTGTTTAAAACACAGGACATCTGAGCCAACAGTAGCAGGAGTATACTTTCGAAAGAGAAAGGTAACATCAAAAAGTAGATAATATTTTCAGACTGAATCCTGTTTGGTGATCCTCAGCTGAACTTGTAATTAACAATGGGAATGGTGCAATATCATAATCTTTCCAGAAAAAGTAGTCCACTTGCAAAATGAAGATGATTGAAAATAAGTAATTAAAAAACAGGCCGGGCGCGGTGGCTCACGCCTATAATCCTACCACTTTGGGAGGCCGAGGTGGGTGGATCACCAGAGGTCAGGAGTTCAAGACCAGCTTGGCCAACATGGTGAAACCCCGTCTCTACAACAAATAGAAAAATTAGCCCGGCATGATGGCAGGTGCTTGTAATTCTAGCTACTCAGGAGGCAGAAGCACAAGAATCGCCTGAACCTGGGAGGCGGAGGTTGCAGTGAGCCAAGATCGCACCACTGCACTCCAGCCTGGATGACAGAGCGAGACTCCCTCTCAAAAAAAAAAAAAAAAAAAAAAGATTATTCAAGGTTCTAGATGCTGATGGGATGCATTTTAAAAACTGCTTTGTAGAAAAGCCTAAGTAAGACAGCTTTGACAAGAGAAGGCTTTAATCCACTGAAGAAATAATCACTCCTCTGATTACATATAACGTACTTTTGGAGATGTATTACTCTCACATACTTCAAAGGTTCTACTTAATGTCTCAGAGATGTAATTTACTGGTTAGCAATTTTTACTAAAGGTAGAGAGAATCCATTTAGGTATAAAAGCTTAGGATAAGTAAATACTCTTTAGAACATTACAACTGATTCAGTAACAGAACACTGATATAATATTAGCATCTGAAAATTAATATTCATGTTGTTCATGTTTTTCTTCCAGTTTTCTAACCTTTTCCTTGGTGTCTTAGTGACTTCCGCATGCTACCTCACTCAGTATGGGTGTGACTGGGCCTTGGTATTAGAATCTCTTTCCTTTTCAATTTTTCTTTCAATTAGTTCTAGAAATCACTTGTGCCTCTATACTGGATTCATCTTTCCAGATTGACTCTCTTTTGGCCAGCCAGTCATATGCCAATACCTATCTGCTTGGCTTTTTCATCACTATGCCAAACATAGAAGAAACTATACATTTACCTTAAACATAAAAATATGTTTAAACATGCTCATACACACAAATTTGTATTTTTTCCTGAAATTCTTTTCCTTGTCTTTAAAAATACTGATAAAAATTTTACCAACATTATTCCTGTCATCGAGGTCAAATTTCATGAATAATTTTAGTTATTGTTCATTTTCCTAACTTCTGTATTATATACTATATCCTTCCATGTCTTTCTCAGCAGTACAGCTACGTCCAATAGATCCTGTGTAGTGACTGTTGTCTCTGGGCTAGGAGGATGCCTGCACGAGGACCAGTCACATCGCTTGGCTATGCCTGACCCTCTCACCCACAATGGTCTCTCATTGCTTTTCTTCTCAATCTAAAAGCTGTATTTTGGATTATCTCTGCCTTGAGTTGATCTAAAAGTTCACTTAAAAGCATTATTTCCAGCTACACATTGACAATCATTCCCCTGGGTATGCAAAACCCTATAGCTCTCTGAATTAGACTGAACTATGTTACATGAACAATCCCTATTCCATCTGTTCACTCTCCCCCTTAAATAATGCTATTGACAGTTAATATATTGATTAGGCATATCTTGGTCCTGGCTGATATTATTTTATTTTCTGACTTTAGATAATATACGTCCTTCTATTCTCAATTCTGAATGCTCTTAAAAATTCTACCAAGTCATCTAACCTCCCTCAGTTTGAGGTCACCTAACTTACCAAATTCGGAGTCTTTCTAGATGGGCAGTTTTGATGATTTACCTCCACTAAAGCCTATGTCTAAATTTCTCTTCCATGAATTCTCTTACAATTCAAATTTCCTCAAATCTATAAGGTACTGGTATGTATAATCAGTGTATAGTGAGATGTGTATCTGGCCAGTATTAATGCATTTAAGGACAGAGGGAAAAGCAACTGTATTATCAATTAGTGCCTGCTGGTCTAAAGGTTATATAAAGACAGATGGTATGAGAGAATTATGTCCTTCAGTGGCACTGTTCACACCAGAATGATTACTCTTCCTTTGTTTGTAGCAAAAGTTTGAATTTGAAATACAGCCCATAAAAGTCTAAACTAGGGGCTTAAGATGAACTAAAGTTTCCCTTGCTACCAAATTAACCACTTTTAGTTCAAATTAGCTTATGAAATTTTTTATCATGTTGCAAAATACAGGCATTTTTACTATTAAAGTGAATAATATAAATACACTTTTTGGAAAATGTAAACCTATTAAAAAGTTGTGATTTAAAAAACAAGTGAATGAGAAGAGATTAACACTGTGCATATAGGCTTATGTAGAAATGATAACAATTCACTCCCTTTTTGCATTAATTCATTTCACAATTATTTATTGATAATTGTTATGTGCAATTAATGTTTTCTAAAAGACAGCATTTACTACTCCAAATGCAGTATACTCCCCAAAACAACAAAACTGTTAATGAGTTTCTCATCTATATGGCTTGTGTTTCTCCTTTTACCTTCCTTCCAACTACAAAGGCTAGCCTTCTGGTGCTTAAGTATATGTTAAATAAAATAGAATTACATTATTTGTTCTGAATATTAAGATAACTAAAACAACAGCCAAAAAGGAAATGATAAAGGTATTTTTATCATTTCAAATGAAATCTGTGGCCATTTGCCTCTTGTTTAAGCAAGTGCTGGGCTAAAGGGATAAAGACATCATGAAGAGAGTCTATGGGATTCTGCTATCATGACTACCATAGAAAATCCTTGTTATCATGTCATCAGGTTTTCAGTACTAAATGATAAATATCCTGGCTAGTGCCCTATATAAGATGTTTCCCCTCACATTCATCACTCAGAGGTACTATATGGCTTGTTTCCTTTTCTCCAGTGCCCTGTGACCTCATTATAACATTTAGTATCATATGACATGAATGCCTATTATATCTGTCATGGCTAGAGAATAATTGTTGTTTTCCATTCTTCATCAATTTAGTTTTACAACTAAGAAATATAATTAGAAATAGAAGAAGATAATTAAAAATGGACAATAAACAAATTATTTTTATGAGTATAAAGCAACACCGGTATAATAATCAGTCACATAAACTGGTTTGGTGAAGGTGAAGAATTTCATTAAGGATTAAGGTGATTACCTTCTTTTTATTATGAACTCCCAGTTCTGATTTATTATCACCAAAGGCAGGTCAGGACCTCTCAAGATATATTTCCTTATTTGTAAAATTGAGTTGCTTACAGAACCAGGTAGAACCAGGTCTAATCTTTAGCTGGGCATTCAAGATCCTCCTTGATTGAATTTGGACTCTACTTTGCAGTAGAGTTGCAGTCTTATCTTCAACTACTATTGCTCTCATACTTTATTTTAAATAACTTAATGTTTCTCAAAGAAGCCTGGCGGTTTCATCCCATGCTACTCGGGAATAGAAGTCTGGATATTCATGTATGTCTTTATAAAGCATACAGGTTAGTTAATGCCTCACTCAAATATTACTAAATATTGCTTTGTATTAATATTATAATTACCTAAGAATTGGTATGCTCTCACAAATGAGACTATAGCTCATTGAGGCTGGGACTGATTCTTATATATCTTTCCATTTTACAAAGTGTACAGCATAGTAGTCTGCTGTGACATATTACAGAATAGTTGTTTAATGGCACTAATTTGGATGAAAGAAAGTATATATTCCCCCAAATGACATATTAATTGAACTACCAGTTAGCTAACAAAAACTACTACTTAGGTACCAAAAACATTGCCAGAGGGTAGGTACTTAAACTGTCAAGAAGTTTACAGTCTGAAAAGTCATTATAGAGTTTAATAATTACCTTTTGATAGCTTAATATTATAACCACATTCAATTCAATCACTACCATTCGTAGAAAAAAAGAAAAATCATATGGCAATTATGATAAAGAAAAAGCATATTAAAAAATTCTATACCAATTTAGGATAAAAACTTTTAACAAATAGGACAGGAAGGAAATTTCATTAATTTGGTAAAAAGTATCTATAAAAAAGCAAAACGAAACAAACAACCTATGACTAATATCACAATTGTGGCAAAATATTTAAAACTTTCTCTGTCATTAGAAGCAAGACAAGGATTCTCATTATCATACTGCAGTGTACTGGAGACCGCAGTCATTACAGAAAGTAGAAAAACAAATCAAAGCTACACAAACTGAAAAAGAAAACTGACAGCATTTGCAAATGACTGTGCTCATAATCTAATAAAATATATAAAATCAAATAAAATGTACAAACTATTATAACTAGTAAGCAAATTTGGCAAGGTTATTAGATAAAAGTATATGCAGGAAAACAAATTCTTTATCAGTCTCAAGTTCATAGTCAAATTTTAAAAATGATATTTTTTACAGCAGCTTCAAAAAATATCTAACACCTACAAATAAATCTGATGAAATATCTGTAACACCTCCACACTGAAAACTACAAATTATTATTATTATTATTATATTTTTTGAGACAAGAGTCTCACTCTGTCTTGCCCAGGCTGGAGTGCAGTGGCGTGATCTTGGCTCACTGCAGCCTCGGCCTCCCAAGTTCAAGTGATTCTCCTGTCTCAGCCTCCAGAGTAGCTGGGATCACAGATGCCCACCATCACACCAGGCTAATTTTTGTATTTGTAGTAGGGATAGGGTTTCACCATGTTGGCGAGGCTGGTCTTGAGCTCCTGACCTCAGGTGATTCACCTGCCTCAGCCTTCCAAAGTGCTGGGATTACAGGTGTGAGCCACCGTGCCCGGCCAAAACTACAAAGTATTACCAAGAGAAATCACAGATGACCTATACAGAAAGGCATATATCAATAAATGATGCCATTTGCATATCAAAAGTGCAAAGGTGTCACTTCCCTCCAACTTGTTCTCTACCTTCAATGCAATCCCAATCAAAATCCTAACACTTATTTGCAGAAATTGGCATGCTGATTCAAAAAATTAATATGAAAATGCAAAGGCCAAGAATAGCCAAGTCAATTTGTGAGAACCACAAAGCTAAAGGGCTTACACTACCAGGTATAAAGATCTATTTATAGAGATATGGTAATTAAGACAGTGTGAGATTGGTCTAAAAATAGACAAACTGACCAAAAGAACTGTAGAGAGAGTCCAGAAACAAACATCTTAACTACAGTAAGAAAAAGTATGGTCTTTTCAATAAATAACACTTTGACTGAATATCCATGCAAAAAAAAAAAAAGTAATCCTGACTTCTGCCTCATGCCATATACAATTCCAAATGGTTTTCAAATCTGAAAGTAAAAATCAAAGCAAGAAAGCTTTTGGAAGAAAACCTAAGAGAACATCTTTGTGATGCCACACTAGGCAAAGATGCTTTAAACAAAAAACAGAAATCACTAATCATAAAAGATAAAATGATAGATTAGAAGAACTAAAAATAAGAAAGCAAAAGGCAACCCAGAGTAGGATATTTGCAATATATATATCAAACAAATGCCTCAGATCCAAAATATATACTGAATTCTTACAAATCAGTAAGAATAAAAAGACAATCCAATAGAACAATGGACCAAAGGCTTATATAAACATTTGACAAAAGAAGATAGGGAAGTGACCTTTTTTGGCCATGATGAAAGGCACTCAACCTCAGGAAAATGCACTAACACTATAAGGCAATACATCATACTCCCACCTAAATAGCTAAAATGAAAATCACAGAAAATGTAAAGTATAGGAGAGAATGCAGAGCAACTGAATACTTTGGAAAACTGTTCAGCAGTAAAGTTAAACACAAGTCTACACTATGACTCAGCAATTCCAATCCTAGGTATATGCTCAACAGAACTCTATTCATAAAAAAAAAAACAAATATGTACCAGAATGTTCAGAGCAACATTATTCATAATAGTTAAAATCTGTACAATAAATATATTCAGTTACATTAACACAATGGACTACTATATAGCAATGAGAATAAACTGTATGAAATAATATCAATGAATGTCACAAATGTAATATTGGGCAAAAGATACTAGACAAAAACGTTTATACTATATGATTCCATCTACATTTATAAATGTAAGGGTAAACAAAATAAATAAATGCTCTTAGAATTTAGGATAGCAGTTACCTTAGCAGGGTGAGGAATACAAGAAGGGCTCATATAGGGTGTTGGTAATTGTCTGTGTCTTCATCTAGTGTGGTAAGTGCATAGGTGCCTTCAGTTTTTGAAAATTCATGGAGCTGTTCAATTATGACATATGTACTCTTCTGTATGTATGTATACTTTAATATAAAGGAAAAAAATCAGTCATGCCTCTTTGCCTTTTTAAATATCCTGTGGTGATCTATAGTCCATTTCAACGTGTATTTGAAATTCAAATCCATCAACTTGATTTACTTGTAAAATAACACTTACCCAAGACCTAAAAGGCTCTAACTTGGATTCTTTACCAACAAATAAAAATAAAGTATAAGGCTAACTTTATAAGCAGTGGCTAAGTGGCCAGCCAATGTCATGATATACCTTAAAGATACCAGGACAAAACCAAAATATGTTTTGAATGACCTATTTTATTTTCTGAAATTTGACCACAGGTGTTCATTCCTGAGTTATGAATTTTTCTCTGTCTCTTAGAATCTACTAGCAAAATAGACTTATTTTTGTGAGGCACAGACAGGGTGTTTGTCTTCAGAGGCCAGGCCAGCCAGCTGGGCCAAAGAGATTTCTAGAAGCAAAGATATTTGAAATGTGAGGAAGAATGAAGCAAAAACAGACTTTATTTCTATGGGCCTATTCCTGGATACACACAAACACATACATACACGTAAGTATTCCTGTTTCTCCCCAAGACAGTAATATTTGATGATAACATTTTATTTTGTTCTTCCATTCCTAAAGCTATATTGTAATCAGAATAACTATAATTTATTTGTAAAAATACTAAGACAGGGCTCTATTTTGAGCTGCTGTCTTAAAGTAATTACTGAAGAGCTCATAAAGATCAAAATAATAAATAAGAAACTTCAATGAAAAGACACAAATCAGTGTTTTTGTTTCAGGCAGGGAGTAAGCTTATGTACCTGTGTATATGTTTATGGTCTATTTGTTTTGATTGGAGAAATGAGAGACAGGGATAACAGGGGTCACAAAGATAGGACTACACTGGTAGAAAGTATCATAATTTATGGTGAAGTTACTGGAAGGCAAGAGTCAAATGCTTCCAAGATGTTAAGGTATGGTAAAACAGTGGGCTGAGAAAGCAATTTAAAATTAGAGGGAACTGGAAGGCTAAATATCAGGGATAGATAGGTACCAATCACTGAGATCTGAGCTAGAGGCTTATTCAATGGAACAGGTAAACTTAACAAGGTTATGGAATAAGAGATAGCACCTTGCTGCTTTAAGACAATGACATGTTTCAGCAGTAAAAGTTTGGAAGCATTAAGTATTTGGGAGACATTAACTATCAAACTACAGTGAATCAAGATTATTGCTATACAAGAAAGGGATATCCCATCAGACCCTAATCTCCAAAGGATAGTTCCTTCTCATGGCCAGCCTCAACAGTTCAACCTAAATTGACTATGTAGTCCTTCATTGGCAGGGAACTGTATTCTGCCACATCTCCCTTTGCAATCCCTAGACAGTGTTCAAATTAGCTTCCTTCCCAGCCCTGTGTTTCACCATTGCTGCTGCTGCTCCTTGCTGTTTATTAGATTAATACTGTTTTTGATGAACATCAATCACACTGCCACCACTGTAGCTTACTCCCACAGTTGGTGGAGACATCTGTTTCTTCTCTTCACTTTTTTTATTTTGGTCAAAATTTTAAAACTAACCAACCTATCATCAAATAAAATATTGCAGAACACAAACTTCATTTTAATGATCTATTTCTCTATGTCTTAGCTCTTCAAGGAATCATGAAAACAAAGGGTATGTAACTATAATAGGCTTTTCATCACCACAGAATTTATCCTTTTACCAGTATGGAAGGAGGTCTGAAAATTTGCTAGGAATGTGGGACAGGGCCTCTCAATAGGTAAGTTCACCAGTCTGCTCAGTGGGGTACCACATGGTCAACCGGAGGCAGGCTTACAGAAACTTTTCTGCAGCCTCCCTGTATTACAGCATGTGCCCACAACTTCAAAACCCCTTTTCCTAAACACTCTACTACTCTAAATCTCCTTCTCCTTCAACAGTCTAACCACCTCCTCCATTCTAGACTAATCACCTCACAGTCTAATCCAGAATGGGGGAATCCTATTCCTCCTCCTATCAGTTTCACCCTAAGACTCCGGCCTCCTAGAGAATATTCCTTGGCTCTTGAGCAATTGTAGACAACTGGAATAATTTATAGAACGAATGAAAAGAAGCAAAAGAAGAAAAATGAATAAAGGGGCATCATGACACCAAAGTATTTCTCTTTCTTGCTGAAATAAGAGTTGTCACTGAACACTAGATTTTATGAATAATAGTAACACTATAATTATATTTTAGTTTAAGTGACAGTAGTTCTAAGTAAGAAAAAATGAGAGAATTCAGGCTTATGAAAACATTTACAGACCCTTAAACTATAGCAGTGCAATTAAATTTAACTAAATTTAAAATGAAAGAGACAACAATCTTAAAAAGTGATGAAGGCTTTCACTCCAGAATTACTTGAAACATTCAAATAAGGAAATCATATCAATGAACAAATACCAGACAGCAACTTCATAATGTGCAAAGGCTCTGTACTTGACAACAGCACCCGTAATGGAAAAGTTAATGTAGCATTGAATAAAAGTGAGCTGCTCAGTTGTTGCAGTAAAAACCTTTAGATCATGGAAATAACAGGTCCTTGTTCTTTTCCAATTGCCTTCTTGACCAAAAGCAAAAGTAAAGAATAATAATAATAAATATATAAAATGAAGTCTTTTGTTTTATAGGGTATCCAATTAGTCCCTGACAACTGTATCCTAGACAATTTCCCCTCATAAATACTTCTGAGGAGAAAATATTTAACACAAAGGCATTACATTTCAAATATTTAGGTAGAAACAATTTATCTATTAACTGTAAATAACAGTCATATTAATTCAGGTAACTATGAATTTTAGAAAGTAACTGAGAAATTACGTCTAATGTTTTAATAAATTCCCTAATATTTCTGACTCATTATATTTAAGATCACTTGTTGTTCTGCTGCAAAGACAAATGTCTGTCATTTACAATAAATTTCAGCATCACAAATGCTATGATTTCATGTATGGTTTCTAGAAACACAAGTTAACTTGTCACCTTGCTGGATTTTTGCAAAACTATGACATAATCATGCATGTCCCTTTCTCTGTATTAC
The DNA here is from genome assembly GCF_000001405.40 of Homo sapiens. NCBI lineage: Eukaryota > Metazoa > Chordata > Mammalia > Primates > Hominidae > Homo > Homo sapiens. The sequence continues at coordinate 35,375,605 of NC_000013.11, read as the reverse complement.
ATAAAAAATAGTTGCAAGTCTTTTATGTAGTGGAAGTAAAGAATAAAATCTGTAAATATGTATGTTTAATCATAATTCAGTTAAGGTGGAAGGGGAAAAACCAGAGTCAAAAATTGAGGATTGATATAATATTATTTTTTGAATAAGTAGGAGATTTTCTAAGATTTCCCCCTTTTGAAATCAGAAAAACATTGTTACCTTCTTAAATTTCATTTTACCAATGTATCAAAAAGTTGTTGAAAATGGAGCACACGAATATGATGTATGAGATGACCTTACGTTGAGACGGCGTGGCTAAAAGTTCTTGAATAAAATAGATGTTTTAGGCTTCACTTAAATACCAAAAGAAATGAATGTCTACCATGAATTTTAAATCTTGATTTTAATTGAGCAAATAAACACGAAAACTAGTAGAAGCGTTCAAAAGTTGTGTGTGTACTGCTTTGAAAGGAAGGAAAGCAGTGCGAAAGTGACTAATTATAATTAAATACTGAGAGATGAAAAGCAGTCTTATGCACATTCTAATTTTAATAAATAAAAAAATACTGCCAGTGAATTTTAAAGCCAAAGGTGAATTTCTGCCTTATGGTATTGAAGTTGGTATTGTTTCTCTTGGAAAACATTTACAAATGAACAATGCTCTGACACAGTTTTATTTAGGAAAGTTATTTCTAGTAAATAGTCTAGCATGCATTCCTGTGTATTTGTAAAAGTACAATGCATTGATAAATTTCTCACTGTTATAACAGTGAGAAAAATAAAGGAAAACCGTAAGTAAATGGTTAAAAATCAGAACAGTAAAGATACTTTTAAACTTGTGTAAATTTTATTAGTTTGAAATATGCTGGTGACTATTCTGATGATTAAATATAATACTGTATATATTTAAACTAGAAAAATAAGACAGTAAGTGTTGATGTTATTATTTAGGTTTCCTTTTAAATTTATTACCAATTTGAAATATCCATTTATTTAATACAAATTTCATAAAACTGCAGGATTTTGTTTTCTAACATATGCTCCACAAACCTATGAGGTACAACACACCTTGTTCTACTGCACTTAGCTTTATTATACTTCACAGATAACTGTATTTTTCCAAATTTAAAGTCTGTGACAACCCTGTATCAAGCAACTCTCTTGGTGCCACGTGCTCATTTAATGTCTCTGGGTCACATTTTCGTAATTCTTCCAATATTTAAAACTTTCTAAAATATCTGTTATGGTAATCTGTGATTAGTGATCTTTGATGCTACTACTGTAATTGTTTTGGGGTGCCATGAATGTTGCCCATATCTAACTGTGAACTCAACCAATGAATGTGTGTTCTGATTGCTCCAGAACCAGCTGTTCGCCTTGTTTCTCCTTCTTCTTGGGCCTCCCCATTACCTGAGGCAAAAAATACTGAAATCAGGCCAATTAATAACCCCAACTAATGGCATCTAACTGTTCCAGTGAAAAAAAGTGGTGTCTTTCATTTAAAGTCAAAAGCTAGAAATGATTAAGTTTAGTGAGGAAGGCATGTCAAAGGCTGCTTCCATACCATAAAGGTAAAACAAACAAGTGCTGACGTAGAAGCTGCAGCAAGTTATTCAGAAGATCTAGCTCAGATCACTGATGAAGGAGGCTACAATAACTAAGATATTCAAGTAGAGTTAACTCTGGAATAACATGGGTTTGAACTGTTCATATTCACTTATACATGGGTTTTCTTCCACCTCTGCAAAAAAGACCCCTGAGACAGCAAGACCAACCCCTTTGCTTCTTCCTCCTCCTCAGCCTACTCAACATGAAGATGATACAAATTAAGACCTTTATGATGATCCACTTCCACTTAATTTGTAATAAATATATTTTCTCTTTCTTAGGTTTTTGTTATTATTATTATTATTATTATTTTTGAGACAGTGTCTCCCTCTGTCACCCAGGCTGGAGTGCAGTGGCGCCATCACATCTCACTGCAACCTCTTCCTCCTGGGCTCAAGTGATCCTCCCACCTCAGCCTCCTGAATAGCTGGGACTACAGGCATGCACCACCATGCCCGGCTAATTTTTGTATTTTTTATAGAGATGGGGTTTTGTCCTGTCACCCAGGCTGGTCTCAAACTCCTGGACTCAAGCAATTGCCTGCCTCGATCTCCCAAAGTGCTGGGATTACAGGTGTAAGCCACCGTGCCTGGCCATTACTTCCTTAATAACATTACATTTTCTGTAACTTACTTTCTTGTAAGAATACAGTATATAACACATATAACATTAAAATATGTGTTATGTGGGGCTTTAACATGGCTGACTAGAGGCATCTGGTACTTGCCCCCTCCACAAAGAAGAACCAAAATAGCAGGTAGATAATCACACTTCCAACAGATCATCTAAGAGAGAACACTGGAATTCAATAGAGAGGTGACAGGAAACACCTAAGGCAAGGAAGGAGAGGGATGTGAGGCAGCCCACTCAGCTGAGATCAGCTGGGAGCCTGGAAAGGCTTCCCAGTATGGGAAAAGGGTGAGAGACCCCCAGTGGCTCACATTCCCACCATGGACTCCTGCAGTCCTAGATTCAGGCGAGTCCCTTGGCCCTTGGAGGCTCTGATAATAAAACAAGAAGCTGCCTAGAAACAATGTGATTACACTGCCAGAGAAAAGGAGCTCAAACTGATCCCACATACCCCTGAGGCCTAAGCAGCTACATCAAGGCACCATTTTGAGAGCCCAGTCTCCATTAGACTACATCCTGCCCTGTGGCCCAACAGCCCCTGCATCTCTACATCCTTGGGCTTCCACTGACATCCCTCACCCACAGCTGCCATGCTGTTGGCTGCTGCCAACAGAGTTGAAGCACAAGCCACTGGTAGCATCCCCACTGCCCCCAGAAATGGTGCCACTGCACATTTTTATGTGTGCTAAGGATAGACACCACCACACGAAGCTGCTACCTGGGCTGAAGTGCACACTCCCCAGCTCCCTGCTTATGGGTGCTGCACATTGAAAGCAACCACTCCCTCCCCAGCAGAAAGGCCACAGTGCAGTTGTTGCTATCCCTATCCAAGCAATTCACTGGGGGGCTGCGGAAAAACCCCTCCCTGTCTACCTCAGCCAGCATATGCATGTATCACCAGGATACTTGAGGACAGGTCCTGCTGGCCTGGATCTGCCCTCCCCAGTGCCCAAGGACACTCTCTGGAGGCCTGGAGATCACTCTGCCCTGTCCACCACTGTTGCCACCTGAGTACTTCCCATGGGGGCCTAAGGATGGGCCCACCCAATTTGCCACTACCACCACAGCTAGCACCCATTCCAATATACCATCTGCAGGCCTGGGACAGGCCTACCCAGCCTGTCACAGCCACCGCCAATGCTAGCATAGACAACTTGGGAGCCGGAGGGTTGTCCTGCCATTATTATTACCATCACTCATACCACGCCCACTGCCCAGGGAACCAAAGACCAGCCAATCTGCCCATCTACCCACCTGGCCCTCTGCTGCCACTGCTGGCACCCAAGAAAGCCACCTGGAAACTCAAAAATTGGTATGCCTGGACTTGCTACAACTGGTACTAGCCTATGCCAGATAGGGGTCCAAAGACAGGCAGACTTGGCCCACCATTGCCACCACAGAGCCCAAAGGACTGGCCCACCTGGCATCTCTATCTCCAACAAAACTTTACTACAGCCTCCACAAACAACTACACCCTAAGCTGCTGAGGAAATCATGGATACAACTGATGCTGTTTAAAGCTTAAGAAATTATATAGAGAGTACACTACTGCATGCACCCAGAATCAGGCCAAAGTGCCCTACCCAACAAACACCACAGACATATCTTCATAAAAGTATCCTCCACTGCAAAAGCAAATTCAAAAAATTAGAAGTAGCATCAATTATACCAGATGTGCAGATATCAACATAAGGATATAGGAACCATGAAGAAAGCAAGCAAATACGACATCTCCAAAGAAACAAAATTATGGTCTAGCAGGAAATTCCAAAGAAAAAGAAATTTATGAAATCCTAGAGAAAGAATTCAAAATGATATTCAAGAAACTCAGTAAGATATGAGAGAATTCAGATAATACAAATAAATCACAAAACCAATTCAGAATATGAATGAGAAATTTACTAAAGAGGTATCATAACAAACAAACAAACAGGAATCCTGAAACTGAAGAATTCATGGAATGAAATAAAAAATACATTAGAAAGCTTCAACAATAGACCAGCTCAAGCAGAAGAAAGAATTTCAGAACCTGAAGAAAGATATTTTGAAATAACCCAGTAAGAAAATAATAAAGAAAAAAGAATATAATAAACAAAGTCCTCATAACACAACACACATCACAAAGCTACTAAATATTTGAATTTTTAGTGTCACTGAAGATGACAGGAAAACAAAAGAGACAGAAAACCTATTTAAGAAAATAATAGCTGGATATTTCCCAAGTCTAGTAAGTGATTTAGACATCCTGATACAGGAAGCTCAGAGATCCCTAAAGAGATACAATTTCAAAAGGTCTTCTCCAAGGCACATTAAAGTCCAATTGTCAAAAGTTAAAGACAAAGAAAGAATTCAAAAAACAGCAAAAGAAAAACATCTAACTACTTATATGGAAACCCCAATCAGACTAGTAAGGGATTTCTCAGCATGAACATTATAGGCTAGTGGAGAATGAGATGTCATATTCAAAGAAAAAAAAAACTGCCAACTGAGGACACTTTACCCAGCAAAGTTATTCTTTATAAATGGAGGAGAAATAAAGTCTTTCCCAGACAAGCAAAAGCTGAGGAAATTCATCACCTCTAGACCAGCTTCACAAGAAATACTTAAGGGAGTCCTATACTTGGAAGCAAAAGAATGCTATCTCCAATCATGAAAATACCTGAAAGTATAAAATCCACTGGTAGACTAAACACACAAATAAGAAAGAGAAAGAACTCAAATGTTACCACTATAGAATACCACCAAACCACAATGATAAACAATAAAAGAGAGAAAGGAACAAAGGATATACAAAACAACCAAAAGTACATTAATATAATGACAGAAATAAGTCCTCATGTATCAATAACAACCTTGAATGTAAACAGATTACACATTCCACTTAAAATATATATATTGGCTGAATGGTTTAAAAACATGACTCAACTATATGCTGCTTACAGGAATCTCATCTCATCTGCAAAGACACATACAGACTAAAAATAAAGGAATGGGAAACAATATTCCATGTAAAGGAAAACCAAAAATAAGCAGGAGTAGCCATACTTATATCAGATAAAACAGACTTTAAGTCAAAAGCAATAAAAACAAAAGACAAAGAAGGTCATTATGATAAAGGGACCAACTCAGCAAGAGAAAATAACAATTCTAAACATATATGCACTCAGCACAGGAGCACCTAGATATATAAAGCAACTATTATTAAATTATTCTATCTAAAGGGAGCGATAGACTCCAGTTGAGTAACAGTTAGGAATTTCAACACCCTACATCAGTGTTAGATCATCTAGACAGAAAATTAACAACAACAACAAAAAATTGAATTTAAACTGTATTTTAGACCAAATGGGTCTAACAGACATTTATAGAATATTTCATCCAATAGCTATGGAATATGCATTCTTCTTGATCAGTACATGGAACATTCTCCAAGACTGACTATATGTTATGACACAAAATAAGTCTCAACAAGACAAGGATGACTATTTTCATCACTTCTACTCAACACAGTACTGGAAGTCCTGAACAGAGCAATCAGGCAAGAGAAAAAGTAATGGGCATCCAAATTCGAAAAGAAGAAATCAAACCATCCTTCTTTACAGATGACATAATCTTATATCTAGAAAAACCTAAAGACTCCACCAAAAACCTCTTCGATCTGATAAATTCAGTAAAGTTGCAGGCTATAAAATCAACATAAAAAATCAGTAGTGTTTATATACAGGAATGATGAACTAGCTGAGTAAAAACTCAAGAAGGTAATCCTATTCACAATGTAACCAAAGAGGTGAACAACCTCTATAAGGAAAACTACAAAACATTGATGAACAAAACTGAATAAAATATAACCAGAGGGAAAGACATCCAATGCTCACTGATTGAAAAAATTAACATTGTTAATATCATCATATTATTCAAAGCAATCTACAGATTCAAAGCAATCCCTATCAAAACACCAATGTCATTTTTCACAGCAATAGACAAAAAGTCCTAAAATTCATATGGAACCCTAAAAGAGCTTGAATAGATTAAGCAAATCCTACAGAAAAAGGACAAAGCTGCAGGCATCACACTACCTAACTTCAAAAGAGCATGGTATTGGTATAAAAACAGATGCATAGACCAATGGAACAGAATAGGAAACCCAGAAACAAATCCATGTACTTACAGCCAACTGATTTTCAAAAACAGTGTCACAAACACACACTCTCTTCAAAAAAAAAAAAAAAAAATGGTGCTGGCACAACAGAATATCCATCTGCAGCATGAAACCGGACTCCTATCTCTCACTATATAAAAAAAGGAACTAAAGATGTATTAAAGGCCTAAATGTTAAAACCCAAAGCTATAAAATGACTACAAGAAAATGCAGGCAAACACTTCGGAGCACTGATGTGTGCCTTAGATGGTTTGGTTGTATTTGTTAATTGGTCAGAGGCTAGAATAGAGGATTCTTGTTAGCCACACTTTCTAACCTTAGCATCTGAAAGAAAAAAATATACTGAACTGAGTTAATATATATTAGATTTTAGGTATAATTTAGATATTTTAATATTTTTATATCATTAACAAATTGCCTCATTTGGTAAATACGTAACAAGGAATGACATAATAATAACTAACACCTACTTACATTTGCATGTTTTTAATCTTCAAGCCTAAGTGGCAGGTACTGTGTATTAAAAATAATAGTCTTGTTAAATGTTAAAAATCGTTCAGACAGCCACTTAAAATATCTGGAGTATAGATTGTTTCAAGAAGTAACAAACGAACAATAGTAGTATCAATAATAGTAAAGATATTTATAATAAATGAAATAAAAACAAATAATTTTTGATTGTGTGAAGATGGATGAGATTGCAATTTCAAAATAAAAAATATTTTATTGGCATGATCTCAAGTGGGACAGAATAGAGATAGAGAAGAAATTCAAACAATGAAAAGTGACAAATCTGACAGGTATTTTATTCCTTTATGTCCTGTATTATACACCAAAATCAGAATAGCACAGACCAGTCACAAAAAGGCTGAGACAGGAGTATATTTAGGTTTCTTTATAAGATGATTACTATTTTATTGATCAAATTTGGGTTGACCACAGTTGAAGTTTAATGTAAAATAATGTGAGTGATAGTAAATTAGAAATAGCTGGAATTTACCTGGGAAGAAAGCTTTATTATTAATATAGATTGAAAGGACCTATATAAGATAACGAATTACATAGTAGTAATTGATTTATATATTTTACTTTAAACTAAAGTAGGTATCAACAGATAGGATTCTTTTCAAGAAAATAATTACAAAATCCTCTTCGCTTAAGTGCCCCTGGAAGCATTAATACTTGGAACCGATATTCACATAACTCTGCCCATAACACATCAAATTTAATGAAAGGTGAAAATTTTAACAATCCATCAGTTATTGCGGACTTAATTACTGATCCTAAATCAGTTAACAAGGTATTTTGTTAGTTGTCCACTTCGTATGCATGTTAACTTACTGCTTAGTAATGTGTATTAAAGTGTCATAAGAACACTTAGCTTATTCAGTTGGATAAGTCTAGTTTACAACCTGTAAAAATGCCAGTGTGATAGTTTATATTTGGCATATTTTACTGCCTAGACTTCAAAAGTCTTTCTTCATCCAAAAGCCAGATGTATTTAATTTTTTAGACTTATGTTAAGACTCAAAACAGGCATAAAAATTCTATTTGTGTAATACTCTATTCCCTAGCTCTGAATGGTATCTTTATCAATAGAGTGTTTGACTACAATTTGGTAACTACTTACTGAATAATGGTAATAGAAAAGAACACCAGTTGGAAAAAAAAAAAACAACAACAACAGCTTCTAACAGTATGCACAAGGAGATATTACAATTTGTAACTTCTAGAAAAATTACGAATCAAATTTTTAGGACTTATATCAACTTGAAAGCCTGTTAAAATAGAAGAAAATATTCCTGGGGCTCAATTGTCTAAACATAAAGTAAAATAGTTGACCATTTATTTACTGACACATATCCACCTTATCTTCATGGAAGATGTTAATGGTCTAAGATTAAATTAGTAAAGATACTTCTACCATCTTTTTTTCTGCGGACTTATACATCATAGTAATATTGTTTTTCTTTACTGACAGGCTTCAAAACCCTCATTTTGTTAGGTTTCTACCTAAGTAGCTACTAAAAATGCTTATAACGGTCTTTACAGTTATGTTAGACATAATTCTATAATAATAATTCTATAATAATCTTTATATAAAGCATAAATTCTATGATTTTTCACAGATTTCACATTATATAGCATACTTTTAGTATTTAGAATGTATCATTATCATGCAAAGTACAAAATATCGTTCAAAAAGAATAGAGATTCTTACTACACCAAACTAAATTGCCATTTTTTTGTTACATATGAAAATTGGTAAGAGGCAAATGTAACTTGCTTTAAAATAATTTTATCTTACAGATCTATTATGTAAGCAATGGGAGTACTCATAGTATTTACTTTTTCAGAGGCTGTTGAATCTAAGTTTTATTTTCCTATTGTGTGTGGACATGGACTCTGGAATATAGTATAGTGAGGACTGAGTGTTAATTCCCTTAAGTTTCATCCATTAATTTTTCCTAGTGTGATGTGTTAATTATTTTTTCAGTTTTCCAATTTCCTCAGTTTTTTTTTTCCTGAATACCTGAGTAGCTGCTTACATTGGGGGAAAGAGGAACGTACTGTAGTTAAAAATTTATGTTTGAGGAATTATAATTATAAAATTAAAATGAATGAACTAGAGAAAATTAACAATGGAGATATAATACAATAAAAACACAATGTAAAATAAAGCTATATTAAAACATCATTGCAAAAAAAACCCTAACTTCATTATTTTTATAATCATAGGTATACCAAAAATTTTAAACTGCTATTTAAAAATCCAGTCATAATATGCATATTACTTGTATCTATTTTCTTTTTTTAATATATAATAATCTGTTAGATACTGCAAACATTATCAGAAAATATAATATATAATAACTCCTTATGTTCTAGTAAGTGTTATCTGTTAGAAAAAGGGGTTGGTATAATAGAATGTTTCTGTAATACTGCTTACTGGCTTATATTTATTCCATTACATAGTTAATTCCTAAAGCTGAAACAATCATTACATTTTGATGTTCATCTGTTTTATTGATCTACCCACAGGGAGATTTATGGGAATGCTATCATGTCAAGGTCGTAGGATTAAGTGAACAGTGATGACAGTAAACAAGCCACTTCTCTATATTCCAAAGGGTTTTTAACTCAGTTACTTAAAATGCCATAAACATAAATAGTCTTCTCTCTCTACAATGTATCCATGACAGATGACTTCAAAATACAGCACTCTAGGGCAATGGCACTTTCCAACTACACAGGCAAGCCTTATTACTGACAAATGACACTAACCTACTTGTGAGCACAAATATCAGAAAATGCTCCACAATCTAATGCATACAATTTGAGTGTGCATATAATATAGAACAATATCACTGTAAACCAATTTACTCTTCACTTATGAAAAACAAAAATATATGTTGTTATAAAAAAAGGATATTTACAGAGAAAAAGGCGGTCAGAATTCAAATTTCTAAACCTTTTTAACATATATTTACATAATTTTCCAAACATTTTTTGAGTAGAACATTTTGTTTTAGAAAATGTGATGATATATAAATAAAAATATCTAAACCAAAAAGCAAGCTTCTAAAACAAAAATCGCAGCAAGTGTCAAGAAATTTATCTCACTAGCCTAATAATGTTCCATCTTCAATGATTTCAACAAAAATGCCTTAGAATCTGACAAGATTCCAGATGTTACTTTTTGAAAAACATTTTTTGGTTTGGTAGATGTATATTTTAATAAGCAGCTAAGTTATAGACTAAGAGACTGTGATAGCCTCACTTTAACTACAGATGTTTGTTGCGAATGGGTCAAAAATTTTAAATGTCATGCCATTTGTAAGCCAAGGAGCAGTTTCATTAATGTAGGGAATCCAAAAACTAATTTTTATTTTAAAACTAATGACTTTTCTGTTGCTGAAAAAGTAGTTTAATATTTGTGAGAGTTATTTTACATTTACATGCTGATTTTCTTCATTATCATTATTTGTTGTTTCATGTAATTCTAATCTATGTATTAGGCATTTTACAAAGTATCGTACTTCTGACTTACTAATTATCTTAATTTGTAAAAATCTACATATTTTAGAAAAAATGCATCAGAAATGATGACGGCAATGAACTGGCTCATAGAGGTTTCTGCCTAATTTCCTTCATGTCAAATAACAGACATTTTTGGTGCTGACCCATCCAATCATTATTGATCTACATCACTAAGTGCTTTTAAATAGTTACTCTTACCAATGTGACCTGTATTAGAGTTCTATCAGGGTCAAAGAATTTTGACTGGCTTTTAAAGCTCTGTTATTCCGTAATGTATTTTCAACTCCTCTCCCTTTGCACCTGCATTATATTTTGTTTTAAGGAAGATGAACTTTGAGATGGGATTCTTTTAAGGCTCCTGTTAAATCAGGCAATACCATCTTATACCTCTCCTCATTTGGGATTATCTGTCAGCCTCACAGGCCATTTCACTTATCTACTGAAGACTTTTAGAAGATGCTGACAATCTTCCTTTCCTGGATTTATCTTGGGTAAATCAACAAAAGATTCCATCCTTTTAGTTTCATAATCTCCTGATTACCATGATCTTCAATCCCCCTTAATCACTTTCATGACAACATTTTGGAGTTGTCAATCTTGTATTAATTGCTGTATTTCTGAATCTTAAATTCAAACATCCTACAATGTCCCATCCTTTTAAAACACTGATGCTTGTTTCCTTAACTTCTTAATTTTCTGCTCATCAATCCCCTTCTTTCTTTACTTACCTTCTTTAACTATCTCAGATTAAGTACACTCTATTATTTTAACCACTTCCTTACTTGTGTCTCAATATTTACCTTGTTCTTTTGCCTTGGTGAACCCACCCAGCAAGACACAGCCCTGGAAGAACCCATCTTCAAACTATTTTCAGTGCTTGGAAGAAGAAAGCATATACTCTACATGTGTTGTTGGACTTGCTGATAGACTATTTGTGTATATGGGTTGTATAGGCAGAGAAAGGGCTGAAGGAAAGAAGTAAATCAAGGATGTTTCCTAGATGCCCTTCACTGGGAAAATGGGAGAGATGAAATTTGTTGGCCATAAGAGAAATATGTTTTGGATATGTTTGAGAAGGTTATCACATGCACAAGTAGTGACCTCATGTCACATGGAGCTATTTCTATTTTCAACTTCCTGGTAGACATTTCCACTAGAACATGCCACAGGCAAGGCAAACTCAACATAATCATATTCCTTTGTATACCAGTTCCTTCTGCATTTGTCAGTTCCAAGAGTGGCACCACCATTCACCCAATGAAGGATGACAGCAACATTCCTGATTCTTTCCTATTTATTCAATCAGTAAGTCACAATGATTCCACCTAAAGTGAGATTTATGTTTTCTGTTCATTAGAACAGTTAGAATTAATCATTTAGCTAGAACATGATGAGTTAACTGTCAGAGGTTCAAACATCCAAGGGAGAAGAAAAAATTGTTCCATGGTTATATAGTACCTTCGAATCGGATAGATGTTTTAGGATGGTTCTAGAAAGGGAAGCCAGGGAATCCAAATGGATCAGAGAAATAAGCAAAATTTCCACTTCATCCTATGCCAACCCTTTCAGAACAAGCAGGATCTTGAATTCAGGAGACCTGAGAATTCCCTTATCTTCTCAAAAGATATAAGAACTGTTAGCAGATGAACTAACCTAGAAGAAGAGGATGGACAGGAAGGCTCTTTGGGGTGAGGAAATTGAAGTAATCAGGGTTCAAGTAGTTAATTCCAAGGCTAGGAAGGTAATATAAGAAAGGGGTCATAAAAGTGATAGGGTACATTTACTTTTAATGAAATGGCAGGAATCCATATAGCCATGCCCTAGGTACCACAGCTCCTTGCCTTAGTATAGAAACTAATGTAGCATTTTGGCCAGAAACAGACCTACCTTTAAGAAGAAATCAAACACGCTCCTAGATTCCAGAGTGAAATAAGAATCCCAGGGCTTTACACCAGTAAAATTATTAAAATTTCTACCTAATCCTGGAGTGTGTATGTGTTTGGGGCTCTATAAATAACTGGTATTACATTTTCTACCAACCAGCCCCATGGAGGGGCTAGGAGCAAATTAAACTGGATTTAAATAAACGCCTTAGTATGGTGGTTGCAGTGCACATCCACCATAAATGGCAACGGTGAAGGTCTGAAGATAAGGGAAACAGGAGTGGGACCAGGAAGTGAAAGTGAATAGACTGCATGAGAATATTCTAAACCCAGAATTTGCTGAAAAAGCATATAATTTTTACTTTACAGTTCCACCTAGTCATTGCTTACTTTGTTTTAGTGCTTACCTTATGTCACTTTAAGTTATTATTTTGTGCTTATAATCCTCATTCTAATTTATTTAAATTATTATTTTGACTTTAAATTATTGAAACAGTGAGTTTAAGAACTCTTGTTTTGGAAGTGTAGAATATCAAACTGAAATCAAAGAACACATGTTCTCATTTGAACCTGTTATGTACATTTACATAGCTCTCATAAAACTATAACATAGCCTTCTGTGAGGCTTTATAGCCATTAAAAATATAATCTATGATGTAAATATATTTATTTCCTAAGCATGTTTGTTTGGTGGGCATGGGTGAGTCATCTTAGATCTCACGGTGTTACTGAGATCACAATTGGTAGACTGTTTAGTCTAACTCAATAACTGTCAATATACTTGTAACAACTATAATTCATTGAGTGTAGAGCACATTTCTAGGTAAAACCTGGACATTTTATATTATATAAAAATTGCTGGGAAAAGTTTATTTTCTCATCTTAATAATTCATAATCTTTATTAGAGAATGGTAAATTTAATTTAGGATTATATAAAACACACATATACACATACACACACATATATAAATACATCTAGTAAAAATTAACCTATTTATAGGTATAGCTATAGAGAAAGCTAATCCAATTTATGGTCTTGAGACTCTATGACCAACATAATAGTGTTTGCACAGAAATAACAGATAATCTGAGCTGTAACTTATTTATCTTTATAACAACAATTAAATAATATTTGATGGAAATCTTTACAATAAATATATAATGCAGACTGTGACAAATACTAGTGTTGACAACTGAATAATCACCTATAAAACCTTTCCCAGGCCATGTATTTTTTTAAAGTTTTAAAACATTTTAAAATTTACATATAGTAAAATTCACATTCTGACTTACAATTGTATAAATCTTGACAAATGCATACAGTCATAAAACCACTACCCCAGTAAAAATATAGGACAGCTCCATCATCCTGAAAAGCTCTCTCATGTGGCTACTTTCTAGTTAAATCCTCCCTCAGGTGTTAACCCTTGAAAACCACTGATCTGTTTGCCTACAGTAACGAAGCATCTGTTAAAATATTTAGGTTGCTTTTCTTAATTACAATATTTGTTTCTCATTGTTAAGTTTTAAAAGTATTTTTTCCCAGTCTATGGTTTTCCCAGTCTGAAGGAATGTGGCATTCTCTCAACAGTCTTTCACAGAAAAAATGTTTTTAATTATTTTTTCTTTTATGGATCAGACTTTTGGTACTGTATTTAATAACTCTTTGCCCAAAACAAGCAAGGTCACCAAGATTTTTCTCCTATGTTTTCTCCTAGAAGTTTTATGGTGTTACATTTTGTATTTAAGTCTATGGTCAATTTGGAGTTAAGTTTTGTATATGGTCCGCAGTGCAGGTCAAGTTCCGATTTTTGCACATGGATGTTCAATTGTTCCTGCACTATTTGCTGAAAAGATTATCATTTCTCCACTACATTGCCTTTGCACTGTTGTGGGAAAAACAAAACAAAACAAAGAACGCTTCTGCATTCTTAAAGTCCCAAGTTCTATGTTTTTGTTCCCCTTCTATCTGAAAGAGGTCGTCTGGAATTTCTTTGATAACATTTTGATTAGTGAAGACTTCTCTTAATACTTCATTGAGAATGTTTTAATTTTGCCTTCATTTCTAGAGAATATTTTTGCTGAATGCTGAATTCTGGGTTGCCAATTATTTTTCTGGCCTCCATTTAACTATGATAAAAAAGTTATCTTTTGAATTGTTGCCTATTATATGTAACATATTGTGTTTTCCTGTATTTTCTTTCAAGATTTTTTCTTTACCTTGGTTTTCAGAAGATTAATTATGATGTGTCTAGATTTAGCCTTAATTGGATAATTGTATTTATACTGTTTGTCATCTCTGAGCTTCTTGAGTCTCTAACTTGACATCTTCCACCTAATTTGATACATTTTCAACCATTTTTTCTGTAAATAATGTTTCTGTACCAATTTCTTTCTCCTCTTCTTCTGATGATTCAGTGTTCAAACTTAGACGTTTTGTGTGATATTATCCCAGAGGTGCCTGAAGCTCTGTTAATTTTTCCCTCAATCTGATTTCTCTCTTTTCTTCAATTATAAAATTTTGTTCATCTATCTTCAAAATCATTTACTCTTTCCTCTGTCATCTTCATTCTACTATTGAGGTTATCCAGTGAATATTTCATTTCAGGTGATGGATTTTTCATTTTTTGTTTTTTTATATACTTTTTATTTCCTAGCTGAGATCTATCAGTCTATTCATTTAAAAAGTATTTACCTTTACTTCATGGAAGATGATAATAAAGGTGCTTTTAAGTCTTTGATAGTTTCAACATTTTAGTCATCTTGGGATTGGCATCTGTTAACTGTCTGTCCTTGAGAAACGGTGAGATTTTCCTTTGTATATTGAGTAGTTTTGGATTGTATCCTGGACATTTATAATATTACCTTGTAGTACACTGGATCATGTTAACTTCCTCTTTAGGATGTTTGTTTATTTTTGTTTTGGAAGTCAGGTGAACCTTTTAGGTTCAGACAAGTTCTTTCATGCCTTCAGTGGGTGGCAGTTCCAAAGTCAGTTCAGTTTGGGCCTTGGATTTAGGAAACCTAAGAATACTTTTTAAAGCTCCAGATTTGCAAGTCTTCAGTCTTCTTCTTAATTACACAGTTCTTTGCATTTCATTATTCTAATGGCTAGTTTTTATAATCAATACAATAATCAGTAATTAGTCATTGAAATGACTACAAGCTTTAGGTCAGATCAACCTAGACTCAAATCCTGCTCCTGTCTCTATTACTTAGCTGTGTAATACAGGGCAAGACATTTGATCTCTATGAATCTCACATTTTTTACCCGTAAAATAGAAAAAATAATGTCTTCCTTACAGTTGTTAGGATGAAAATAAGACATTCCAATGGAAGTATCAACATAGTTACCGTCAATACATAGGTGTGCTCCCAACATCTTACCAGAAAACTAAACAATAGTAATGATTATTTGAAAATGAATAATAAAAACTGAGATCTCACACACACACACACACACACACACACATACACACACACACACCTATTAAACTCAAGGGGCTATTAAACCCTGTTCACTGAAATTTAGGCTGTATGGCTTACGTAGTTTAAGCAATAGGAAATATCCAAAAAGCTAAAATAAACAAAGAAAAACTATATACATTGAGCATTATTTAACAACACTGAATCTGGAAATATGCATGTTAAAGGATCTCTCATAGCTTTTCCTCAACACAGAAATAAAGATCAATATTATTAATTCAAATGCTAAAGTATGTTAGAACCGACCCCACCACTGAATCCAAAGATAGATGTAAAAGAGATTTTATGTTATAACTAAACTATTTTTTTGGTAGAATAGCAAGTAGAAAATTAGAGGGATGAAATTCCTTCATATTGAACATATATTTGAGAACAGGGATATAACAACAATTAGTATTCAATTCCTATGCTTAGGAAGCTACAAGTATGTTGAAAGAGACAGGCACATTCACATGGCTATAAAACATTAAGTGATATATCACAGTTAATTTCAATACAGATAACAACAACAAAATATGGGGAAGCAGTGTTAAAAAAGATAAGAGAAAGCCAAGGGATGCTATAGAAAAAGGTGACATTTGAACTCAGCTATAAATAAGGTGACTATATTTTCCTATTTATCCTGCATATGTGTCTTCACATAACAGCCAGACTGATGTTGTTAAAACATAAATCAGATCATGTTATTCTCCTGTTCAAATACTTCTTTGCTTTTCATGCTACTTAGGATAAAGTCACAAATCCTTAACGTGATTGAACAGGACTTTAAATCATCTGGCTCATGTTATTCTCCAGCCTCCTCTCAAGCCACTACTCCCAATATTCACTAAGCTCCAAACTACCCTCCTTTTTGTTCATTCTGTTTTTCAAGCCCAGAGTCTTTGTAATATTTCTTTTCTGAATGATTCACACACCACCCTTTGCTAAAGACGCGCTACTCATCTTTTTACTTAAACAGAGCTTCTTCAAACAAGTCTTTCCTCACTCCCTAATCTAAAATAAAGCTCCTCTGTTTTATGTGCTCCTTCAAAGTACTTGGCACTTTTCTATCCTATCATTTGCCAAAGTTTTATATCTTTTATTTCCATAATTTTTTTTTTTGAGACAGAGTCTTGCTGTGTTGCCCAGGCTGGAGTGCACTGGCACAATCTCGGCTCACTGCAACCTCTGCCTCCCAGGTTCAAGTGATTCTCCTGTTTCAGACTCCCGAGTAGCTGGGATTACAGGCACACGCCACCATGCCCAGCTAATTTTTATATTTTTAGTAGAGACAGGGTTTCACCATGTTGGCCAGGCTGATCTTGAACTCCTAACCTCAAAGTAATCTGCCCACCTCAGCCTCCCAAAGTGCTGGGATTACAGGTTTGAGCCACCTTGCCTGGCCTGTTTCTATAATTATTAATTCAATATCAATCTCTTCTACTAGACTATAAGCTCAGTTGGGGAGAAAGTATATCTGTTTTGCACAAATAGAAGCTCAAGAATTATTTGTTGAGGCCAGGTGTGTTGACTCACTCCTATAACCCCAGTACTGTGGGAGGTTGAGGCGGGCAGATCACTTGAGGTCGGGAGTTCAAGACCAGCCTGGCCAACATGGTGAAACCCCGCCTCTACCAAAAATATAAAAAAATTAGCTGGGTGTGGTGGTGCGTGCCTGTAATCCCAGCTACTCAGGAGGCTGAGGCAAGAGAATTACTTGAACCCGGGAGGTGGAGGTTGCAGTGAGCCGAGATCGTGCCACTGAACTTCAGCCTGGGTGACAGCGTGAGACTCCATCTCAATTGAAAAAAAGAATTATCTGTTGATAAAACAAATAAAATCAACATATTACAACTATATATTAGAAGTTAAGGAGTGATTAAGCAGACAGAAAATATTTTTAAAAGGGTCTTTGCAAAGAGCAGACTAACAGAAAAAAGAAGAGACTACTAATAAGCATTGGATATCTATTGTGTCTGACATTATATTAAGCATTTTGCACACAGTATTTCAATTTTTCATAGTAACGTAACTCAATTTAGTAGAAACTATTCATCCCATTTTCTGAATGAGAAAAGGTGAACATCAGGAAGGTAAAATCTTTGTTCAAAAGACATGAAATCAACAAAAATGGCCATAAATGATAGACTCTATAAAGAAAATATGGTACATATACATGATGGAATACTATGCAGCCATAACAAAAAATGATATCCTTTCCTTTGCAGGGACATGGATGGAGCTGGGGGCCATTATCCTTAGCAAACTAACACAGGAACAGAAAACCAAATCCCACGTGTTCTCACTTACAAGTGGGAGCTAAATGATGAGAACACATGGACATATAGAGGGGAACAACACACACTGGGGCCTATGACAGGGTGGAGGGTAGGAGGAGGGAGAAGATCAGGAAAAATAACTAACAGATACTAGGCTTAATTCCTGGGTGATGAAATAATCTATATAACAAACCCCCACACGTGTTCCTATGTAACAAACCTGCACATGTATCACTGAACTTAAAAGTTAAAAAAAAAACAACAAAAAAGAAAAACAAAAAAACCTCTCTGTTCGAGATTACACAGCTTACAAGTCATACAGCTAGTAAGTAATTGAGCTCTTAATGTTGATTATAAAGCTCAAATTCTATGTGGAAAGTATCAAAACTAGCTTACATGCTATCTACACAAGTGCCATGATACATGTGTATGGAAATTTTCATGGATTCATGAATTTTTAAATTATGTGTTGAACAATTATTATATGCAGAGTTCTATGCACTGGGTACACACCAGTAAATGAAAGTCCATAATATCAGGTAAAAAAATAGTTAAACAGTAAATTATATGCCAAGTGATAGGTGCTATGAAGATTAAAGCTTAGAAAATTTAGGGAGTGATGAAGGGAAAAATGTGGTGTGCAATTTTTGATAGAAAGGTCAGAGAAATCCACTCTAATGAGGAAACACTTGTGCAAAGACCTATCTGAGTATATCATGCAGAAGGAACAGCATACAAAAGGAGGAAGTGCTTGGCCTGTATACAAAACAGACAGAGGCCAGGGTGGCTGTGGTGGAGTGAGCCATGGGCTGAGAAGATGCATGGCAGGATGTGAGGTCAGACGTAATGGTGAAACACAAGAGATCAAAAGAATAGAGTTCATAGAAGACTGTCAAATACAGTTTAGAAGTTCAGTAGGATGAACTCCAAACAAAAAATCAACGGTCACTCTAATATGGAAGAATATTTTTCAGTTACTCCTAAGTATGACATAAATATTCTTACATGCACAATTGTATTAATCCCATTGGATTAGCAATGGAAAATATGGCCACATATTTTTCTTGCATTTACAAGTTGAAAGCATCATTCTGTAGTAGAAACGTACACTGTATAATATATAGAAGTTGATAATTTATACAAAAACCAAATCTGTAACATTCACAGAATAAACAGCATTCAAAAGCAACTTTTGCTGTTGAAATATTTTCCTGTCTTTTTGAGGAACTTGTGACTCCAGTTAGAATATATAAACTTTTCTATGTAAAATGTTACTGGATTTGTGAACACCTGTTTTAGAGTGTTGCTGGCTCTAACACTTTGGTTTCATGCAGGGATAAGTACTTTTTGGCATTTTATAAAGTTAAATAAAATATAAAATTATTCCCAATGGACTAGTTTATTTTCTATTATTCCATGATAGGTATCATTACTGAAAAAAGGGCATACACCAAGTGTTTATTCATTAATTTATTCACAAATTTTTTGGTACCTACTATGCATCAGGGCTTATTCTAGGTGCTGGGGATACAATTATGGATAAAAGAGCAAAGAATCTATTACATTATGAAGCTTACATGCTATTGGAAAACAAAACAATAAAAATAATATATAAGTAAAATATATGAAATTTTAGTATCAAAGTAATAGATGTTGAAAAGTGGGGAAATGCAATATAAAATATTTGGAGGAAGAGTAAAATTTTAGACAGAGTGGCTAGAGAATGATTTTTTTTTTGAGATGGTATCATTTGGAATTAAGGCCTGAAGAAAATGAAAAAGTTTGACCAATGAACTTTTTGGGAAAGCATTCTAAACAGAGCAAACATGACCTGCAAGAAAGAAGCCAGGGTGACTAGAACAAAAAGAACCAAGGGGAGAGTATTGGCAGAGGAGGTTGAAGAGTTAACAAACAAAGACTAAACCATGTAGGGCCTAATAAGTCACTATGAGATCTTATTTTCCCCCTCAGTGAATGCTAAACCTCTGCAGCAAGCGTTCAAAAGAACTTTCTGCAATGACGGAAAGGTTCTGTGATAACTACTATGGTAGCCACCAGCCACATGTGGCTACCGAGTACTTGAAATTTGGCTAGTGCAACTGAGGCATCACGTTTTTCATTAAATTAAATTTTAATTAATTAAATTTGAATAGCCACACATGACTAGTGGTTACAGTCTGGCATAGTACAGCTGTGGAGGTTTCTAAGCATAGGAGCAGAGGGATCTACATTTTAATAAGAGTCACTCAGGCTGTTGCGCTGAGAATGGACTTTAGGAGGACAGGGGAAAAATATAAAAAGAAAGACTATATATCATGCTGGTACAATAAGTCAAGTGAAATATAAAAATAAGACTATATATCATGCTGGTACAATAAGTCAAGTGAGAATGATGTGGCTTGGACTAAGGTGATCCAAGGTAATGGTGAGAAGCAGTCGAAGCTGGATATATTTTGTGGCAGTGTCAGTAAGATTTGCTGAAGGGCTCAATGTGGGATGTGTAAACAGTAGTCAAGGACAGAGCAACATTTATGGCCTCAGAAACAGTAAGAATGGAGTTGCCTTTGGCTGAGATGGAGAAAAATATAAGAGAAACTGGTTTGGAAGAAAATATTAGAAGCTTAGTTTTCATATGTTAGGTGTGAGGTGACTATCAGCTAATCAATTAGAAGATACCAAGTGGGCAGATGAATATACAGACCTGGCGACGGGAGAGATCTGGACTTGGAATAATAAATTTTGGAGTTATCAACATATTAGTAGTATTTTTAAATCATGGGACTAGATAAAATTGTCTAGAGAGTGAATAAGATAGAAAAGAGAAGAGGTCCAATGACTGAGCCCTATTAGTTAATCAAATACTAAGGAGAATTAAACAGAACAAAACCTATGCTTAAAGGTTTAGAGTTCAGTGACACAGTTAGTAAATGATCATAAAAATATTGTGGTTTTTTTTTCAGATAGTTGGCAGTAGAAACTAATGTGCAAGGAAAGAAGACACCTGCTCTTCTGAGGGCTCAGGCCATGCTTTCTGTCAGTCTAATGAGATGTCAGAAAGGTTGTTGACTAGCTAGCACAGGACGCATCTGACATGTTACCACATGACTGCTGCTATGGAGGTCACTGTCCTTTAGCTGTATTCTAATTACATAAGGAAATAATTAAAACCCAAACCATGTACTGCTTTATACAGCTAAGGCAATATCCTGAATCATACCAGCTGCGTTACTAGCAATATAATGTTACAGTCCTGACTACATATAAGTAAGTATTAATAGATAAACCCAATTCAGCTGACACAAAAAGGGAGACAAGGTCTGTAGATGGGTAAAATGCTCAGGTTATTGTTAGTGTGTTTCATGGTTAAATTTTATGTCAACCTGGCTAGGCTATAATGCCCAGTTGTTTGGTCAAACATTAGTCTAACTGTTGCTGTGGAGGTATTTTGTAGATATGATTAACATCTACAGTCAGTTAACTTTAAGTAAAGGATATTACCCTCAAGAATGTGGGAAAGGCTCATCCAATCAACCGAAGGCCTTAGCAAAAGCTGAGGTTTCCCGGAGAAGAAGAAATTCTGCCTCAAGACTGTAACACAGAAATCTTGCCGGAGTTTCTAGCCTGCCAGCCTGTCCTACAGATTTCAGACTTACCAGCTCCCATGATTGAATGAATAAATTCCTTAAAATAAATTTAGTTAATGAATATAAATATCTCTGGAGCATCCTGACTGATATAATCTGCCTCTATTTGTACAAGCAGTGTGATACTATGTAAGTTTTATTTAACCTCTTTCAGCTTTAGGTTCTTCCCGGTAAAATGGAGAATACCTCAATGTCACCCTTAATAAAGATGTTCAAGGATAAAGGAAATAATCCATGTAAAGTTCTTAGTATGGTCCCTCGCACACAACAAATAATAAATGTTAGAGGCCATGGGTTATTGCTATTATTATGATAAATATTAAATGCTGACTATTTTAAAGACACATGTTATAATTTTACCTTAAATCCAAAATTAATAAAGTTTTAAAAAACCTATCTTACACTCATAATCCCAGGAAGTTGGTTAAATACCATCCTACTCATATTCTAGGTGTTTTTCTCTAACAGAATCTTTTTTTTTTGAGACAAAGTCTCACTCTGTCACCCAGGCTGGAGTTCTGTGGCACAATCTCGGCTCACTGCAACCTCTGCCTCCTGGGTTCAAGCAATTCTTGTGCCTCAGCCTCCTGAGTAGCTAGGATTACAGGTGCCCGCCACCACGCCTGGCTAATTTTTGTGTTTTAGTAGAGATGGAGTTTCACCATGTTGGCCAGGCTGGTCTCAAACTCCTGACCTCAGGTGATCCAGCAGCCTTGGCCTCCCAAAGTGCTGGGATTACAGGCGTGAGCCATCGCACCAGGTCAACAGAATCATTTTTACCAAGGCTCTTCTTAGTAGTATCCCGTTTACATTTCACCAGCCAACTTTGTCAAACAGATTTAATAAACTCTGCCAAACACAGACTTAATAAAAACATTTAGTGGGGTCAAAAAACATAATATAAAAAGGAAGAACATCAGCAATCTAAATATAGTGACCTGTTTCACTTCTAGTTTTCCAGAAAACTTCATTGTATAGATAACAACAACAACAACAACAACAATAATTGTATGTCCACAAAACTTTAGGGAGAACATTTGTGATTTATAAACAACCAAATTTTGGTTTTAGTTGTACTATATTATCATAAACAATCATATTTGAGATGAAAATCTTCCCTTGGTAAGACTGAATAGAAAATTATGAAAGAAAACTTTTTAAAAGAACATATTATTTCTCTGTAGTATATGCTTATATATGCTTCTGTATAAAAAAGAATGATATAAATTTAATAAGTAGGAAGAGTTGACTCTAAAAGATTCTTTTTTAAAAAGAGCCACTTCTCATACCTAAACATCCATGTTACATATGAGAGACAGTAGACTAAAATACTTGCCTAACCATATTTTGTATTATGTTGCATATTATTATAAAGTAGAAATAACTTCCACTGTAGCTACTATAAAAAGTTTAGGTTTTCCCTTAAACTCTTCTGATGAAGAATTATTAAAGATTTCAGGAAAATTTTCAAGTAATTTTTTATATTTTAAATTATATTTTCTAAATGACTTTTAAATTTGTAGCCATATTTTTATTACCAACTATTATAATTAACCTATGAATTATTATTTACTCGAATTTATTATAACTCACCTATGAGAAACTGCTCCCCAAGCACCATGTTTATTTGTGAGAATATTGAGAATCTTCTGTTTCAGCTGATTTGCTGTTACATGATCTCGATGTTTAGCAGCACTGATAAGATGGTCACACATCTTTTCTTCCTCTCTTCTATCAGCAGCATATTGGGCACACTGTGACTATAAAGAAATACAAATGATGCATAATAATAAACTTTTTACTGCATATAAGTAAGGATGATATACATTTAAGTTAAACGGTAACAGGAATTCAACTTTTTAAAACTCAAATAATGTAATCTTTTGATATTTTGTTCTAAAGAATACATATAGTCACCTTTCAAATATAAAAATGTGCTCTTTCTAAAGTATATGTAAAATAATTTGAATAATATTGAAGTAATTAAAGACTCATGGTTTCTTCCAATTCTGAGAATCTAATTTTCATGTATTTTAGAAGCACAAATATTTACTATAAATGTAAACCTACTTGTTTATCAAGCCAATATAGTATATCTCACTTAAAATAAGAGGTATGTTCCTGATAATTACATATGAATCAAAAATCTGTCATTTAATTTATATTTTCCATTTCATGAATGGTAATGTGATACAGAAGAAAATGTGGTCATTTAGGAATTCAGTAGACCTAGATTTTAATTCACAAAATATGCAAACTCCATATATTTTAATGTACTCAGTTTCATATTTGTAAATGAGGAGCTGAGACAAGATTTTTTTCTATGATCCCTCCATATTCTTAAAATGTAATGTGTTCAAAGGGTTTCATGAGAACTACTACCTTATTCTTACCTTCCTTTTCCCATAATTATCAGTTGTCATGTCAGCTATCTGACATGTATTCATTCTTACATTTGTTAGCAACACTGCTATCAATGGATCATTTTTTGTATTAAAAATATTTAATGTAAACATAAAGAGAAATATTTCTTTAATTATAAATTTGATTCTTGTTATTGTAGTTTTTATACAGAAAACTACAATAAATATACAGAGTGGTGTGACTATAACTTTTAACATTAATAAATGTGTAATACAAGTAATATAACTAGGAAGAAAAAAGTCTCATACATCTGATAAAATAAATAGAAGTAGTTCACATTCATCATTACTATGCAAAAATCTATTTCATGGAAGGTACTTGAACATATTCCTCTCATTTATCTATTGATATACACTACTACCACAAGTAATCTCTTCTGGAGAAATAACCCTACAGTAATCTAAGAAGGATTAATTCATTTTCCAATTTATCTTTTTGTACAGGGAATCACCAATTAGTACAACGATCTGCCTCAGTAATGAGGTTAATATTTCATTAGCTCATTGGAGAGTAAAATTAAATTTTCATTTTTCTTCCTTAACAACTACAGTAGTTAACTAAAAAAACTTAACTGTGAAGTACCCATCTAAAATCAAATATACTTTTCTTCCTAATTATAGGCTGATATGGGGGATAGAAAAATTCCTCAAAAAGTTCTAGCAAAATGTCATGACTTGTAAAATCTTTTACAATTTAAAAGGGATATCTTTGTGTAAACTACACACACACACACACACACACACACACACACACACACACACACATCAATAGCTCTAACCCAAAAAGGAGAGATATAAACATTTCAGGTTAAAAAAATAAGGTACAATCATCAAATAACACTGGCAATATAATCAAAATTACATTTACATTAATATTATATTTTATGTTTATAAAATCTAAAAAACACTAAGTCTTCATGTTTCCTTGGAAACCTCTTATCACCTTGGGAAGATGACCCACAACGAGAGTAATCTCATTCCTAAGAGTGAAAAATTGGTGTGTGTCGGGTGGGGGATAAAAATATTGTTATTTCAGTACATAAAACACAAATGTATGTAAGTACAAAAACAGATACACAGCCTATGGGTGGTATTATAAAATTTCTTTGGGATGAGAGGCCAATTAGGCAAAATGTCTAAAAGGACTCCTTAGGGAATCAATAACAACAATAAAAAAGGTTGAGAAACACTGCCCTTGGCTTAATGTCACCTTGGTTAAACATGTTAAAGCTCATAACTAATATCTAGCCACTTGAAAATCTATTTTAAATGTTTTCACATGACAAATATTGATCTGCTTATATCCTCACAAATTATCTTGATTTTCTTAGTGGAAATACAAGAGACTCAAAACTGATCCTGCAGGGAATTCAGTTGAGATTCCAAATCTTTACTAATACGAAACTTCACTTTGATAAACACTTAAAGATCACTATACTTTTATCGAAGTTTAAAATATCTGGTATCTTTCTCAGAATACGGTTGTTGCAATTTCACAAGACAAGTGGCTGCTTGTCTTGTGCCTCTTCTGACCAAATGAAGCAAAGGTCATGTGTTTGAAAGCGATAGTGGCTATTTTCCTGTCTCATGCTTTTCAGCCAGCTAGGTCAGAGATCACTAGACCTAGTCTATCAACTTGTATGACTCACAGAGCTGCTTTACTGAGATAAAAACCTCATCAAAACTAGAATTGTGGGCTCTGATTTCTAGCTACACCATACTTGTTAGCCTGTTGTATCAGGAGAATAAATTGGTGAGTCATTTATTACTTTCAAGTCCAACTAAGCCAAACAGCAGGGCACATAAATATTTCTCGGACCTATTTTGTCTTGTAAATGGAATAAACTGAAATAATAAATAACTGTTATGTATAAAACAGAAATTGAAAGATTTTTTTGAATCTTATATGAGTTTATTCATATAACTGTATCATATACTCATATCTACCTATTGGTGTGTAAATCTCTGCTAGCTTAAAATAACTAAAATTGTTGCATTATAAATTATTTTTTGCATTTACTCTTGAGTAGGTTAGAATAACTTCAGTCTACCAAATGGTTAGGCATATATAGGGCAGAAGGAATGTTTTCATGCTGTAAATGGGGTGAAAATATATTAGTACTCTGTTTGACATTTACTAAAGCTTTTAAAAAACAGGAACAGAAATGCCTTCAGTGAAATTTTCCTTTTAAAAAAACCTTCTTATGTAAGGTCACAGATAGGTGATTTTTGGCTTATAATAGAAAGGCAGAATTTAGTCTACTCCCAAAACCTTACCTCAAACTCTGCATGTTTATGTACATCCTCGGCTCTTTGTCTGTTCAAAATAAACTCAGCTTCATTTGCAACACGGACTATATGGTCCTTCATAGCATGGCACAGTAATCTAAAAAGAAAAATACCTTTAGAAATATTATTCTTAATAGCTTTGGTCAGTCCAATTTTTTTCAATAATCAGATTTCAGTACTTCAAATATACATAAGTTTTAGATAAAGCTAGATATAAAATTAATATATTTTAAATTATGATTCAGTAAAATGTGAAATATAGAAAGATGTCATAAAACTGTTGCACCAATTCCTCTGTTAAATAGTGTGTCTTGTTAATCAGCAATTCAGTTAATTCAATTAAGATAGGTTCCTCAAAAATAAAAAATTTTGGTTGGAGTGTTTTCAAATGGTTATGCAACAGAAGTCACTATCTTAGAGGTAATTTTTCACAGATAAGTTCAATGACCACACTTTAGGAAATCAACAGACTAGATTCTTACTTTATTTTTATTTTTTTATATTGTACCTCAATAAAATTTTTAAAAATATAGGATGCCCAGTTAAATTTGAATTTCAGATAAACCATGTAGATTCTTACTTTAAATAATGCAGATGATAGGACTAAATGACATCTAAAATTCTTTTAAATGCTGAGATTCCAAATTCTAATATGGAACTACAGTTAAAGTTCAACCATATAGCTGACTTTTTTAACTACAGAAGTTACTTATTTAGGAGATTCGAATTATTTTTAAAATGTGTAGTAACATTTTACAGTGAAAAGCCTCTCACTATGTCCCCTAGTCACCAAATTTTCAACCTCAACAGGTACCCACTGTTATGCCTGGGTGTGTTTCAGAGACTTCTAAAATATATAAATAAAAATACAAATATATTCTTTTCCCACACTTCCTAACACTGATAATTATTAGTACATTATACAGTCTGTTCTTTACCCAGCTTTTCTCACATAGAAATGTATCTTGGACATCTTTTCACATGTACACACAGTGAGCTTCTTCTAACTTCTTTAATAACATGTGGCAGAGATTACTTCCAAAGATGGCTGCAACAACATTTCCCATCCCACATGCTCTTTTGCAGTGTGACTTTGTCATCAAAAAATGGAGACTTTTTCTACTCCTTGTGGATCTGGACTTGCCCTGTGACTTCCTGTGAGCCACAGAATACAGCAGAAGTGATGCTATGTGACTCCTGAGGCTAGGACATAAGATGCCAGGCAGCTTTTGATTTTTTTTGAACTCTCTCTTCTGGAGTCTGTTGCTCCCCTGAGAGAAGCCCACATCACATGGAGCACATTGAAGAGCACAGAATTGCTCGGGCTCTCAGGCCTAAATGAGGTCTCAGCCCAAAGTAAGTCACATTCAGGACACTGCAGACCCAGGCAACTCCACATGGAGCCAGAGAGAACTGCTTAGCTGAGCCCAGGCAATGAGAATCATAAGAAAGAAAAAAACTGATTACTGGTTTAAGCCACATGATGATGATGATCATGGAGGAGATGGAGGAGGAAGAGGAGGAGGAGGAAGAGGAGGGGAAGATAATATTGATTATAATAACTAATATCATTTTGTTTTTCACTGTGTCAATTAAAAACAATGATTTGGCCTTTTTGTGTCTTCTTCAATTTTTTTTGCATTAAGTAATTACTGCATATTAAAAAAAATAATATTTAAAAAGCTACCTTCAAGTCATTCTGGGTTTTCCTTAAAGGGCAAGCTTAAGAAGTGGTTTCAGTTCCTTTGTCTATGTCCTTTTTAAATTTCATTCTAATCCTCATATTCCTTCATTGTCCAGTTTTTCTTTCCGGGGATTTTAAACAGGAGTACTACTTCAATAACAGCATTACTTTTTTTCACTGCTCATTAATGAAATATATCAACTTTTTTTTGCTCAAGTTTTCATAAATATAAATCAGATGGAAATAGGTTTAACTTTGTTTTAATTTCTGTACTTACTAAATACTAAGTCCTAGTAATTCCTCCTATATTCTTCACTATATCATGTCTACCTGTGGCAAACTTTCTTCTTTACTGATACATAAATATAAGCAGAAGAAACAAAATATCATTATGTATTCTGATATTTCTAATTTATTGTTTAAATATAATTTTAAAAGCCTACATATGTCTTTGAGGTGAGTGTGACTATACTGGATTTATTTGTTCTTTCTAATATCAAGGTTGAATTACAAAACATGAAGTTTTAATATCTTCCCACCAAATTACTTGCAATATCTTTGTGGCATCTTCCATAAAAACCGACAGGTGAATGGTTCCTTTATTTTAGGGTGGTAATGTAAATACTGAGCAACACTGAACTCAAGATAGTTCTCAGTAGAAATCCGTCTAAAATCCATGTCTGCTCAGATATAGATTTAATCACTCCTTGATAAGATTTAGGTTAAATAACTACTCTGTCACTCTAGGACCAGTGGGAACGGTTCTGACAATATGACAGCGGCACCAGTAAAATCTTGCATAGCAGCAGGATAGCTGCAGATATTTCCTAGAAGCATGGAGCAGCTATCTCTCCAATCTGTTGAGGGGGACATAGACACATTCTAATGGGAAAGTTGTCCAGTTTTCAGTCTAAAAGTTAACCACAACACAAATTATTAAAAGAATACAAAGGTTATGGAAATCTGTTAGATGTGACAATACTTAGGAAAAAAGATAAAAACTCCTCTGTAAATGACGTTGGAGGGCAAACAAACATACAGTCTTAATCACTGAGGGAAATGGAAAATTAAAAGAAGCTAAAAAAGAACATCACGTAAACTCTGATTATTAACTTTTGATCATATTATCAGCCTACATTTTGTAGAGAGGCTTCAAAAGAGAGAAGAGATGTGATATTAGAATATTTCGTTCAATGGCTTTGTCTAGTGCATGCTGAAGGCTGAAGAAAGCCAGGAAGAAATCTAATATGTGCAAATTAGTGCAAATTACAAAACTTAAATAGATTAACAGGAGACAGCAGGAAGGGAAGGGTACATGGTCTGGCTGGCTAATACATATCATTCCCAGGAGCAAAGCAGTGGATTAGAAAAGCAAAGCAGCATGGCTGTGGGGGTGGAGGCTTTGTAACAAAAGACTCCTGTCCTCAGACACACCAAAGAAATTGTATCAGTTTTTTAGTCTGTTCCCCTATCTTGGGCACTTATGAGTTCTGCCAACTGATCTATGATGTTTTATTTACACGAAGAGAAGGTATCTTTCCATGACTCTTGACACCACTCTGAATGACACCATTATCCACATGGAAAACATTGATCACAGCAGCTCACAATTCTTTGACTGATTAACTCAAAAGATCTTCAAGTCTCCCTTACTTCAGCAAATAAATCCAATGGCCATAAGTAGCTTCATTTCACAAGTCTTTATGCTTTAAGTCTACTCTCAGATCATGATCTCCTATCCTTGCTGCTCTCTTTCCTCTTCTGCTTAATAATTCACTTCCTTTTGCATCCATCTGGGATCCCACAATTCCATGTTTTAACCACTCTCTTGCCAACACCTTCACTTAATTCCTGATCTACCTGCTGCACTGGAGTCAAAGATGTGTGACCCTGGGTTAACACACTGGTCTCCTTTCTCAGTCTTACATCTAGACTGCTAAGGAAAGTAACAAAATGAATTTTCACTGAGGATAAAATCTATATTTCTTTTTCACAGTCAAGTTGTTTTTAACTCAGGTTTTGAGAGGCGACACGAATGTCTTTACTATCCTAAGCTCACTCACTTAAAAATAATAGTATATGTAAATATATAAATAAATAAATAAACCACTCTGCTGCACTTGGTATTTATCAGTCTCTTGCTTCCTTAACAAACCATTTTATCTCACATATGTATATATGCCAAAGCAATATGTTGTTCAGATTGCTTGTGAGTTTTATAAATAAAGCTGCAGGTTTTCTGTAGATATTGTTTTTTAAATTAAAATAGTTCAAAATTCTCTTCTATTCTTAATTTGCTAAGAGTATTCTTTCTAATCATGAACGTTACTGACCTTTACTAGATGTCTGCACCTACTAAGATGATCATAAAAGTTTTCACTTTTAATGTGATAAATGAATGACATTTTTAGAAATTTTTAAAATGATGAACAACTCCTGCATTCATGGGATAAATTTCCCTCATCACCGTCTTCCAGTTTGCCCCACATACACATGTTATCTTTTTATACACAGTTGAATTGAGTTCTGCTAATATTTTAATTAGAACTTACAGATCTATATTCATAAGGGAGATTGGCATGTGATTTTCCTTGTTTGCTCTTATAATTAAGATTACACAGTCCTCAGTGAACAATCTGGAACATTCCCTGTTTCTGATCTCTAGGAGTTTGTAAGTTTGGAACAGAGTTTTACTTGAACATTTGGTAGACTATTCCTGTAAACTATTTGGGCTTAGAGTTTTCTCTACAGGAAGAAATTTTACTGATTAACTTCCTTTCATACTTAAAGAACTATTTAGGGTTTTGTTTCTTCTTTTTCAGTTATAGGAAGCTGTATATTTTCTAGGACATTGCTCATTTCATTTAAATTTGTAATTTTAATGGTATAATGCTTTGATAGCACTCTCATTTTCTTTTCTAATTAGTTTTGGTTATAATTATGTCTCCTTTTCATTCTGTATGTTCACTATTTGTGTTGTTTTATTTTGTTCTTAATCAATCTTAGAAGAGTTTGCTCATTTATTATTAGTTAATGAATAAACATTTATCTTTGTTAATCTTCTCCACTGTATCTTATTTTTCTATTTTGCTGATTTCTGTTAAACTTCTTTATTATTAGCTTTCTTCTACTTTGTGAAGGGGTTCTGTTATTTTCCTAACTTGGACATTTTTTTTTGCAGTTAGAGATTTAGTTCATTAATTTTAGGCTTTTCTCTCAAGTAATAAGCTTTTACGCAAATAGATTTATCTTCATGTTTCATTTTCCTTACATTCTACAAGTTTTTGTATTTAGTATATCTATTATTGTTTAGTCTAAATACTTTTTATGTTTCTTTGAAATATGTTAAGTGTTCAAAATTCTTCAGCAGTAATGAGAATATTTTAATATAATTATTTGTCCTCGCCTTCAAATATAAATTTACACTGGTCAGATATCATGGTATTGATAACACTAATTCTTAAAATCTGGTAAGACTTGTGTTATGATCTAACTATGTCATCAGTTCCCAACCTTTTTGGCACCAGGGACTAGTTTCATGGACGACAATTTTTCCACGGGCCAGTGTGGGTGGAAGGGGATGGTTTCGAGATGATTCAAGTACATTTATTGTGTACTTTATTCCTATTATTATTACATTGTAATATATAATGAAATAATTATACAACTCACCATAATGTAGAATCAGTGGGAGCCCTGAGCTTGTTTTCCTGTGACTAAATGTTCCCATCTGGGGGTGATGGGAGATAGTGACAGATTATCAGCCATTAGATTCTCATAAGGAGCATGCAACCTATATCCCTTGCATGCACAGTTCACAATAGGGTCCATGCTCCTATGATAATCTAATACTGCCACTGATCTGACAGGAGGCGGAGCTCAGGCGGTGATGCCAGCAATGGGAAGTGGCTGTAAATATAGATGAAGCTTTGTTCTCTTGCAAGTCATTCACCCGCTACTGTGCTGCCTGGTTCCTAACAGGCCAAGGACTGGTACTAGCCTGTGGCCCAGGGATTGGGGACCCCTGAACCATGTGATCAGATTTTACACAGGTTACATGTTTGCTTGAGAATAATATGTACTGTCTATGATTGGGTGAAAAGTTCTATATATCAATAGTATCAAATGCTAATTATGTTATTCAAATCTTGTATATATTCACTGAATTTTTTTGTCTCCTGGATATTTTGATAACTGAGATAGGAGTGTTGAAATCTTCCACAAAGATGGCAGATTTGTCATTTTCTCCCTGATGTTTCATCAATTTTTGCTTTACACATTTTGAGGTTATTTATTTGAAATACATGAATTTAGGATGGTAGCATCTTACTTAAGAAAATTCAGCTCTTCCTACCCATACAACTTAGTTCTTCACTAACAATTTTTCCCTTGAAATATTTTTTAAAATATCAATATAGCTATGTCAGCTTAGTTTTTTGATTAGTGCCCAGGATATATTTTTCTATCTTTTTACCTTCAACATTCTTTTGGCTTTAGGTATGCCTTTAATAAATGGAACTCACCTGGAGTTTTAATCATATCTGAGAAATTTGGTTTTTAATTGGAAATCATAGTCCTTTTATATTTATTGTGCTTATTGATATATAATGTATTTAATTCTAGCCCAATACTTTAAAAATCTTCCATTGGTCCCAGTTTTTTAATGCTTTTTATTGGGGTGGGGAGGGGTTGGGGATAGAAACTTTAGTTTTAATTCCATCTTTTTTACTCCCTACTGATTGGAAATGTATTTATTCTACTCTTTTCATTGCTATGCTTGGGCTTTTACCAGGTATAGTTAACTTAAATAAGTATGAAGTTAAATAACATCATAAGCCTCTTCTGCAACAATATTATGTAACAATCCCTTCTAACTTACAAGCTATTGCCCAATATTGTCCAGTTCAAACTCACATATTACATATCATTAGCCCTTTATAAAGACAATTTCTACGTAGATGTACACAAATTTACCAATTTGTTTGCATACTTTTCTCCTTGTATAGTTTTGTCATTATGAGATTTTCTTATGCTGTCCTGACATGCATACATTGTAAGTTTCTTAGTTGCTGTTCTCTTGGGGATAAACCATCTAAAATTATGGTTATCGCTAAAAGTTCATTTCATGCTAATTTTTAAAAAGTATTTTTAAAATTGAGATATATTTCACATAACAAAATCCTCTCCATTTAAAAATGTACACTGTAGTGGTTTTTAGTATACTCACTATCTTGTGGAACCACGAACTATATAAGTCTAGATCCTTTTTATCATTCTGCAAAAATCCTTATACTTAGTAGTAGTTAGTTTCAATTTCCTCTTCCTCCTTTCTTCTGGTAAGTACTAGTCTACATTCTGTTTCTATGGATTTTCCTATTCTAGACATTTCATTTAAATGGAATCATACAATATGTGTCTGGCTTCTTTCAGGTAGCACAATATTTTCCAGGTTCATCCATGTCAAGTATGAGTACCTTATTCCTTTTTATTGGTGAACAATATCCCATTTTATGCATATATCATAGTTTGTTTACCAACTCACCAGTTGATGAACATTTGGGTTGTTTCCACTTACAGGCAATTAGGAATTATGCTATTATGAATAGTTTTTTGTGAACATATGTTTTCAATTCTCTTGAGGATGTATCTACAGATGAAATTCTGGGTTATATGGTAACTCTATGTTTAACTTGTCGAGTAACAGCCAAACTCTTTTCCACAGTGGCTGTACTATTTCACATTCTCACCAACAAAGTGTGAGGGTTCCAATTTCTGTGAATCCTGGCCAACACTTGTTGTTGTCTGTTTTAAACATTATAGCCATTCTAATGAATATGAAGTGGTATCTTACTGTGGTTTTGATTTGCATTTCTGAGAATCTTTTCATGTGTCCATTGGCCACCTGTATGTCTTCTTTGGAGAAATGTCTACTTGTATCTTCTATTCATTTTTAAATTGGGCCATTTGTCTTATTATTATTGAGTTGTAAGGGTTACTTTTATATTCTGGAGATTAGACTTTTATTAGACACATGATTTGCAAACATTGATTTCAATTCTGCTGTTATATTTTCACTATCTTGTAAATGAATGTCTTTTGACACACAAGTTTTAAATTTTGATGACTATCAATCTACTTTTTTTTGCTTGTCCTTTTGGTGTCATATCTATGAAAACCATTGGGTAATTCAAGGTCATGAAGATTTTTAACTATGTTTCCTTCTAATAGTTATAGTTCTCACATTTGGGTCTTTCATGCATTTTGAATTCATTTTTTCATAGAGTGTAAGGTTGGAGACTAGATTTGTTCTTTGGCCTGTTGATATCCAGTTGTTCCAGCACCATTGTTGAAGTGACCGTCTTTTCAACAATGGTAAGGACAGTCATTTTGAAAAGTCTTGGCAACCTTGTTGAAAATAAATTGACCATAAGTATATGGGTTTCTTTGTGGACTCTCAATTCTATTAAATTTGTCTGTAAGACTATCTTTAACTAGCACCACACTGTTTTTATCACTGTAGCTTTGTATTAAGTTTTGAAATTAAGAAGTATAAGTCCTCCAAATTTATTCTTTTAATATAGGTTTGGTTATCCTATGTCTCTTGCAATTCCATATTTTAGAATCAGCTTTTCCATTTCTGAAAAAAGACAGCTAAAATTTTGATAGAGTGCATTGACCTTATATATAAATTTGAAAAGTACTGTTATCTTAAAATTATTAACTTTTCCAATCCATTAAAACCTGGGAGGTATTTCCACTTATTTATACCCTCTTTAATTTCTTTCAACAATGTTTGAAAGAAATTCAATAATGTTGTGGTTTTTGATGAACAAGTGTTGACATTCTTTGGCTAAATTTATTCCTTTTTTAAAAAAAGTTTAATTGTAATAAAATACATATAATATAAAATTTACAGCATTTAATTGTACAGTTAAGTGGTACTAAACACATTTTCATTGTTTTGCTACTATCACTAATATCCATTAACAGAACTTGTTTCATTTTGTAAAATCTAAATTCTTTACCTATTTAGAAATATTAATAATTCCCCATTACCTGCTCCTCCATCCTCAGCCCTTGGCCACCATCATCCCACTTTGTCTCTGTGAGTTTCACTACTCTGGGTACCTCATACAAGTGGAATCATGCAGTATTTGTCCTTTTATTACTGGCTTATTTTATTTAGCATCCATGTTGTAGAATGTGTTAGAATTTCATTCCTTTTTAAGGCTGAATAATATCCCATTGTATGTATAAAGAGCTCTGTTTATGCTTCACTTGTCAATGGGCATTTTGGTTGCTTTAACCTTCTAAGTACTGCAAATAATGCAGCTATGAACATAGGGGCACAAATACTACTTAGAGTCCCTACTTTTAAATCTTTTGGCAACATAAGCAGCAGTGGAATAGCTGGATAATACGGCAATTCTATTTTTAAATTTCTTAGGATCTGCAATACTGTTTTCCATAGTGACTACTCCAATTTACAATCCCACCAACAATGTACAAGTGTTTCAGTTTCTCCATGTCCTTACTAACACTCATTATTTTCTAATTTTTTGATAGTGCCTAATATGGTTTGGATCTGTGTTCACACCCAAATTGTATGTTGAAGTGTAATTTCCAGTGGTGGAGGTGGGGCTTGGTGGGAAGTGACTGGATCATGGTGGTGGTTTCTCATGAATGGTTTAGAAATATCCTCTTGCTGCTGTTCTCATGATAGAGTGTGAGATCTCATGAACTTTGGTTGTTAAAAGTGTGTAACACCTCCCACCTCTCTCTTGCTCCTGCTTCTGCCATGTAAGACATGCCTGCCCCCACTTCACCTTCTGCCACGATTGTTTGTTTGTTTCCTGAGGCCTCCCAGAAGCCAAGAAGATGTCAGCATTATGCTTCCTTTACAGCCTGCAGAAGAGCCAATTAAACCTCTTTTCTTTATAAATTATCCAGTCTCAGGTATTTCTTTATAGCAATGCAAGAATAGACTACTACAGTGCCCATCCAAATGGTTATGCAGTGGTAGCTTATTGTACTTTTG
Organism: Homo sapiens; assembly: GCF_000001405.40. Classification (NCBI taxonomy): domain Eukaryota; kingdom Metazoa; phylum Chordata; class Mammalia; order Primates; family Hominidae; genus Homo; species Homo sapiens. Next base: position 35,339,482 of record NC_000013.11, on the reverse strand, counting down.
ATTTGCATTTCCATAATGACTACTGATGTTGAGCATTACTTAATATCATTGTTACATTTTATTATTTTTGACTTTATTGTTAATGGAACCATCTTCTTAATTTTATTTTCAGATGGTTCATTGCTGGTGTATAGAAATGCAATTGATCTTTGTATATTGGTCTCATATCCTGCCATTTTGCTGAATTTGTTTATTAGCTCTAACAGATCCTTTTTTTTTTGGTAGTTTCTTTAAGGTTTGCTATATATAAGTCCTACCTTCTACAAATAGAGAGTTTTGTTTCTTCGTTTTCAATTTAGACAGTTTTTATTTTGTTTTCTTAATTAACTACACTAGCTAGAACCTGCAGTATAATGTTGAATAGCACTAGTATTAGTGGCCATTGTTGTCTTCTTCCCTTAGGGTGAATACATTCAGTCTTTCATAAATAAGCATGACTTCATTGCGGGGTTCTTTGTTTTGTTTTGTAAATCTCACTTATCAGACTGAGAAAGCTTCCTTCCTTTCCTAATATGTTGAGTATTTTTATCATTAAACAGTATTAAATTTTGTCAAATGATTTTATCTATTAAGATGTGATCATGTGTTTTTCTCCCAGTCATTTCAGCAATATGGTGTATTACGTTGATTGATTTTCATGTGTTAAACCAACTATAAATTCCTGGAATAAATCCCATTTAATCAAGGTATATAATCCTTTCTTACATATTGCTGACGTAGATCTGCCAGTATTTTGTTCAGGATTTTTGCATCCATAGTCATAAGATTTGTAGTTTTATTAACCTTTACTTAATAGCGTGGTAGATACCGGTTTGTTACTTTTCAAACGACTTTATCTGGGTTTGGTATCATTAAGGGTAATACTCGCCTCATAAAATGAGTTAGTGTTTCATCCTCGTCTATGTTTTGGGAGAGTTTGAGAAGGACTGCTGTTGATTCTCTTTCGTCTCAAATGTTTGATAGCATTACCAGGGAAAACATCTGGTAATGAATTTTTCTTTGTTGGAAGTTTTGCTAAATTACTAACTCAAACTCCTTACTGTTACAGCAATACTCAGATTTTCTATTTCATATTCAGTCAGTTTTAGTTTAGTGTTAGTTATGTTTCCAGAAATTTTTCCATTTCATATGTAGAGTTTTCTAGTATTGACACAATGGTTTATAGTAAGTATTCCCTTATAATCTTTTTTCTTTCATTAAGGTCATTAATAATATTCCTACTTTCATTCCCGATTTTAGTGATTTGAGTCTTCTTTCTTTTTTTTCTAGCTAAAGTTTTTTCAATTTTGTTGGTCTTTTTAAAGGATCAACTTTTGGTTTTATTAAGCTTTATTACTTTCAAATTCTCTGCTTTATTTATATTTTAATTGCTATTTTTTCCTTCTTCAGCCTGTTTTGGAAATAATTTGCTCCTCTTCTTCTAGTTTGTCCTGTTGGGGGCGGGGAGGTTATGTTAATGTTTTCTTATTTCCCCTTTTTAAAAGTAGTTACTTATAGTCATAAATTTCCTTCTGAGCCCTACTTTAAATGCATCCCATCAGTTTTGATTTTTTTTCATTTCTTCAAAGTATTATGTCATTTCTCTTGTAATTTATCCTTTAACCCATTGGTTATTTAGTAGTTTCCTGTTTAACTTCCACACATTTGTGAATCTTTCAAATTTCCTTCTCTTACTGATTTCAAATTCCAATCCATTGTGGTTGGAGAAGATAAAATGCATGCTTTCAACCTTTTTAAACTTACTGAGAATTGTTTTTTGGCCACATATGGTCTGTCCTACAGAATGTTTCATGTGCACTTGTGAAGAACATGTGCCTGCTACTGTTAAATGACATATTCTATAGACGGCTGGGAGGTCTAGGTGACATATACTGTTGTTTCAGTCTAGGTGTTCTATCCATTATTCAAAATGGGATACTAAAGTCTCCAAGTAACATATTTGAATTATTTATTTCTCCCTTTAGTTCTGTATGTTTTTGCTTGATATATTTTAGGGGTCTCTTGTTAAGTGCATATATTTTTAAAACTATGATATCTTATGGATGGATTTACATAATTAACATTATATAATGTCTTTGTCACTGTAATGATTTTTGTATTAAAATATAGTTTGTCTGATATTAGCATAGTCATCCGTTCTTTTGAGTTCTATTTGTATGGAATACGTTTTAAAATCATTTTTCTGTCAGCCTGTTTGTGTCTATTAATCTGTTTCCTGTACACAGCTTACAGTTGAATCCTTTTTATAAAATCCATTCTTCAATTCTCAGTGTTTTAATTGGAAAGTTCATTTCACTTACATTTAGTGCAATTACTGATTTATCGATAAGAAAGGACTTCTGCCATTTTTCTATTTGTTTTCAATATGTCTTATTTATTTCTTCTTCCATTTCTTGCCTTCTTTTGTACTAACTAAATATTTTTTAGTGTAGCATTTTCTTTCCCTTGTTATTTCTTTTTAACTTTTAGGTTCAAGGGTATATGGGCATGTTTGTTATATGGGCAAACTGCATGTCACAGGGGTTTGGTGTATCGATAATTTTGTCACCTGAGTAATAAGCACTGTAGCCGATAGGTATGTTTTCTGATCCTCTCCTTTATCCCACCTTCTACCCTCATGTAGGCCCCAGGGTCTGCTATTTACCTCCTAGTATCATGTGTTTTCATTGTTTAGCTCCCACTTATAAAAGATAATATGCAGTATTTGGTTTTCTGTTCCTGTATTAGTTTGCTTAGGATAATGGCCTCCAGCTCTATCCATGTTGTTGCAAAGGACATGGTTTCATTTTTTTTAAGGCTTCATAATACAGTGTATATGTACCGTATTTTCTTAACCCAGTCTACCATTGATGGATATTTATGTTGATTCCATGTCTCTGCTATTGTGAATGATGCTGCAGTGAACATTTGCATGCATGTGTCTTAATGGTAGAACAATTTATATTCCTTTGGGTATATACCCAGTAATGGGATTGCTGGGTTAAATGGTAATTCTGTTTTAAGCTCTTTAAGGAAGTGCCACGCTACTTTCCGCAATAGCTGAAATAATTTGCACCCCCACCAATAGTGTATAAGCATATCTCTTTGACTAGTGGAACATATTTTAAAAACTTAATGTCTGTGTTTAGAAAGTTCTAGGCAATATATCCTCAAGCAGAGTTTCTATTGATTTGGTTTTTTGCTGTGTGTGGGTCGTACTTTTTAATTTGTCTCCTTGCAATGATGTTTTGAGTATTATAATATGGCAATTCTTGAAATCTCATTCTCTCTCTTCCCTAGGATTTGTTGGTGTTTTCATTATCTGATGAGTGATTTTTCTTAACTAATTTTGTATGGTTTGCATTCTTTGTCATGTGTGGCCACTGAAATCTGTGTTTCATTACCTTAGTGGTCAGCTAATAATTGAATAGAGATTTCCTTAAATTCCTGGATAGAAAAAACCTCCCAGATTTTCCTAAGGAACTCTGTGTAAGGACAGCCCTTCAATAATCAACCAGGCAGGTTTCAACTGTACCTTAGCATTTACTTCCTGTTTCCATATTGTCGCAAGGCCAGCAGAAGGTGAAAGCTTAAGGCCTTCTTAAGTCTGTCCAGAGGATGCATGTAGCCCCCGGCATGCGAATAGCCTTTTAGACTTCCATAAATATGTTAGAGCTTTTCAAAGCCCTTATGTACCTATTTCCAAGCTGTTCCTCCCAAACTTTTGGTTAACGCACTATTTGCCTAAACTCTTATCTTTTACCTAAGGCAGTAACATCTCCTAGGATGTTAATTAATTAACATTAATTAACATTAATATATGTGTAATTAATCTACACAGATGTTTTCTGACTTACGAAGTTGTGTCCTAATAAAACCATCATAAGTCTAAAATACTGTAAGTTGAAAATATATTCAATACACCTAACTTATCTAACCTAAGAAGTGAAAGATCTTGATAAGGAAATTTATAATACATCGATGAAACAAATCAAAGAGAACATCAAAAAATGGAATGATATTCTGTGTTCATGGATTGGAAGAATCAACAGTGTTAAAATGACCATACTATCCAGAGCAATCTACAGATTCAATGCAGTCCCCATCAAAATACCAATGACATTCTTCACAGAAATAGAAAAAAGCCAATGGTCAAATTTACATGGAATCACCAAAGACCCAGAATAGCCAAAGCTATCCTAAGCAAAAATAACAAAACTGGGGAAATCTCATTACTTGACTTCAAATTATATTACAGAGCTATAGTAACCAAAACAGCATGTTACTGGCATAAAAACAGATACATAGAGCAATGAAACAGAATAGAGAACTCAGAAACAAATCCACACACCTACAGTGAACTCATTTTTGACAAAGGTGCCAAAGAAAGACAATCTCTTTAATAAATGGTGTGGGGAAAACTGGATATCCATATGCAGAAGAATGAAACTAGACCCCTATCCCTCATCATATATAAAAATCAAATCAAAATGGATTAAAGATTTAAATCCATAAACTCAAACCATAAAACTACTAGAAGAAAACACTGGGGAAAATCTCCAGGATACTGGTCAGGCCAATGATTTCTTGAGCACTACCCCAAAAGCACAGGCAACCAAAGCAAACATGAACACATGGGATCACATCAAGTTAAAAAACTTCTTCACAACGAAGGAAACAGTCAACAAAGTGAAGAGATAATCCATAAATTGGAGAAAATATTTCCAAACTACCTATCTGACAAGGGATTAATAACCAGAATATATAAGGAGCTCAAATAACACTATTGGTAAAAATCTAATAATCCATTTAGAAATGGGCAAATAATTTGAACAGACATTTTTCAAAAGAAGACACACGAATGGCAAACAGGAATATCAACAGGTGTTCAACATCACTGATCATCAGAGAAATGCAAACCAAAACTACAACGAGGCTGGGCATGGTGGCCCACGCCTGTAATCCCAGCACTTTGGGACACCAAGGTGGGTGGATCACCTGAGGTCAGGAGTTCGAGACTAGCCTGGCCAACAGGGTAAAACCCCATCTCTATTAAAAATACAAACATTAGCTGGGCGTGGTAGTGGGCACCTGTAATGTCAGCTACTCAGGAGGCTGAGGCAGGAGAATTCCTTGAACCTGTGAGTTGGAGGGTGCAGTGAGCTAAGATCATGCCATTGCACTCCAGCCTGGGTGACTTGGTGAGACTCTGTCCCAAAACAAACAAACAAGCAACTACAATGAGATACCATCTCATGCCAGTTAAAATGGCTTTTATCTAAACTTTAGCAATATCAAATGCTGGCGAGGATGTGGAGAAAAAGGAACCCTCATACACTGTTTGTGGGAATGTAAATTAGTACAACCCAGTAAGAAGAATGCTTTGGAGGTTCCTCAAAAAACTAAAAATATATCTACCATTTGATCTAGTAATCGCAGTGCTGGGTATATACTCCAATGAAAGGAAATCGATCTACGGAAGAGTTATCTACACTCTTACGTCTGTTGCAGTACTGTTAACAGTAGCCAAGATTTGGAAGCATCCTAAATGTCCAACAACAGATGAATTGATAAAGAAAATGCAGTACTTGTACACAATGGAGTAATATTCAGCCATAAAAAAGAATGAGACCCTGTCATTTGCAACAACATTGATGTAACTGGAAGTCATTATGTTAAATGAAACAGGACAGGCACAGAAAAAGACAAACAGCATGTTCTCACTCATTTGTGAAATCTAAAATTCAAAACAATTGAACTCATAGAGACAGAGAGTAGAAAGATGGTTACAAGAGGTTGGAAAAGGTATTGAGGAGTTGGAGAGAGGTAGGGGTGGTTAATGGTACAAAAAAATTAATTAGAAAGAATGAATAAGGCCTAATATTGAATAGCACAACAGGGTGACTATAATCAATAATAATTTAATTGTATATTTAAAAATAACTAAAAGTATAATTGTATTGTTTGTAACATAAAGGATAAATGCCTGAGGCGCTGGATACCCCATTTTCCATGATGTGATTATTATGCATTGCACACTTGTATCAAAACATCTCGTACCCCACAAATATATACATCTACCATGTATGCACAAAAATAAAAAATTTTAAAAATCCAATTAACTAATTACCTCCATCTTTGTCTAATCTGATGAATCATCAATAAACATCTTTTTTCCAACTTGTATTTTAAAAATTCTACAAGTTTTATTTTTCCAAATATTCTTCTTCATTTTTAATGGTCTCTTTTTATTCATTCTATTTTGCGCTTTATTTTATTTCACAATTCTAACCTTTGCAGCCCTTAGAGATCTAAAATCTTTTTTCCCCCTTGATGATTCTCATGCATATTGGCTTTCGGTCTCATATATTTAGTCATTAAGTGTTTATCTATGATGGTTTGCTTTTGTTTCTGGTGATAACAAGAAGAGTCCACTAGAAACATATCAGCCTTTCTTAAGGATCTTGGCTTAGTCTGATAGTTCCAGGCTAGATTCTCTGCTTTACTTCTGGTGGCAGCTTTAAAATCCCAATGACATGTTACTTTAGGCATATACTGAGGGAATTCCTTCCCCTTGGGGCACTAATTTATAGTGGGGAGTGCTGGCCACGAAGGAGTCCTAACACTTTTAAGACTCATGATGCCTCAATGAGTGTACTCTATGTAGAATGTGAATATTCTGAACCACCAAGGTTTGTGAATTTTACCTCCATAATATACTTTTAATCTATTAATTCTTTCAAGTAATAATGCTTTTGTTTAAATTTTAATCTTTTCTCACTTGGATTACAACAGCCATATAATTTTCTGCCTCCCTGAAATCTTCCATCCTTCTAATACATTTTTCACTTTTCCATTGGTGTTATCCAAAGTTAAATTTCTCCAATGGCTACCCATAATTTACAAGATAATAGTTAAACTTATTATGATATAGAAATGTCTGTCTACATCTACATTTTTCACTTTTCCATTGGTGTTATCCAAAGTTAAATTTTTCCAGTGGCTACCCACAACTTACAAGATAACAGTTAAATTTATTATGATATAGAGATGTCTGTCTACTTCTCTAACCTTCTCTGCTGCCACTTTAACATATTTATTCTATATCCTTGAACAACCCTTGTATTTCCTTTAATGAGTCATGCTATTTCAGGGCCTTTATATATGCCATTTCTTCTTCTTATAACCCCTGCCACGCCCTCATCCCTATAGAGCTAAGAGACCTCTCCCAATCTCTCAGATGTTCCGGATATTTATTTATCACACTAGCTTGGCTATTTCCTCTTATTTTCTTTTAAAAAGTCTTTCACTTTCTAAAACTGTAAAATTCAGTAAATGACGTACAAAATCTATTTATCTCAGTATCCAGTATGATTTGCATGGTACCTGTCATGAAGTATGAAATCACCAATAGTATACAGCTAAATGGATAAATGACTGAATGAATGCATGAGTATGTTATGTGGGAAGAAGAACACTAAGAAAAATAGAATTTTAATGATCATGTCATTTTTGTTAAAGCTATAAAACTGTACAGTACATTTAACATGGAAAAAACAAGGTAAATAAAACATCAGATAATTTAAGAATAGCTATTACAGAACATTTCCTACTTGGAGTATCTATACAACACAGAAAGTGAATGAAGTGATGTTCATTTTCTAATGCAAGGTTATTTTCCATAGGAAACAGAAACAGAAAATAGTTTATCCAGTCCTATTCTTTTCTGTTTAATAACAGATAAGAGTTGTCATGAATACCAGAAAAAAGAAGTCAGTTAACAGAACAAAGTATCCTATTCAAAATGGAATAGATGTCAACAAGCAAGTTCTGATGTTCTTGGAAGTAACTGACTTTATGCAGTTTGTTATCTTTTAAATGCATGTCTTTGACCTCAGACTGTGAGATCTTGCATTTTAAATATAAACAATTTCTATTACTTGATGAAAAATACATCAATAGAAAAGGCAATAGGATAGGTCAGACAAATTCATTTTTCATTATATATAGATTACAGAACAAAAGGGAGAACTAGTTTGTATCTACGTTCTGTTGTTCAGCAGCATTATAATTTTGGACAAATAATTTTCCCTATGTCTTAATTTCAGTTTTTGTCATCAGAGAATGGGAGTATACTATTTCAGATCTCCTACAAACTAGGGGAAAGAGTGCATGCCCAAACTGTAAGATTAGATTTTAAGATCCTGATTTACTTAGTGAAGAAGACAGACTTTGATTGGGGATTTAATACCTCAGTGTAATTTCCTCTGGCTCCAAAATCTCAAAAGTAAGTCACGAAGTTTCTGGTGTCACTAAAAAGTACCTGAAAATGGTAGTTCCTTTTTCTGAAAGATACACATTGATAGATTGGTCATCTTTATGCTCCTTAGAAGAGAGAAAAAGAGATGGCAGATCTTGCTATTTAGTTATGAAGCTCCATATCAGACTGTGGTGGGAATTCATATCAATTCTTCATGTTCATAATCTAGATTTGTAGTCTGCCATATTAGCTATGAATTATGCTACTAATCAAACTTTTTTTTGAAGGATGAACCAATTTACTCATTTTCATAGGCTGTAAAATTACAAAGATCTGAACACTGAGGCATAATGATGGTATATGTAGCAGGCTATTTTGAGACTTTCTATTTGTGTAGAACAAGATGGAAAAATAAGACACTAGAGACTTTCCCCTCTATATAGCTATTAGAAAAAAATTGATAAGCTATTCTCTCAAAATAGAAATCTTTCCTCACGGATAAAATCTATCAATTATTCATGCCTTTGCGTCAGTTGATTATATGAACAATTATATAAAAATACAATCAGACCTAACTACGTATTAATTCACTATGGGAACTATCATTTTGATTGGGTGAGAAGTAGGGAGAATAAAGAGAAACCAAAATAATAATTCTGGAGCTTGACAATGAAACATAAGGGCTTGATATGGAAAGGAGAGAATCATTGAAAAGAGAAGGCAGGGTGATGAGAGTGAATTAACACTGGATGAAACCCATCCCTTCCCTGTGGAATTAAGTGTTAAGGGAAAGCCCCTAGATAGGAAACCCATCTGTGCTCCTGCGTGGGATGTGAAAGGTCCTCAATTTTCCTCACGATTGTCCAGAGCCTTCAAAATCCAGCTAAAGTGCCACTTAAATAACTAAATCCTGATAAAAACAAATGACATTTCTTGAGTCTTTATTATGTTCCAGAAACATTGAGAACTGATTACTTAATAGGCTAAGTGCTTTACAGTTATCATCTCATTTGATTCTTACTTCACTTCATATCTTATTAGTTAAGCACAATTAGCCCCACTATACACAAAGAAAAAAAACTGAAACAGATTAAGTAACTTGCTCAAAGGCACAGAAACAGGTGACTATGTTGTTCGGGAAAAGCTATCAGTTTGGTGTGGCTGCTAATAGTTTCCAGAGAGTAAGTAAAGACAAGGGGTACAGAGTTAGGCATTCATCTACTGAACAATAATTTACTGAGAACCTTCTTTGTGGTAGTAAATGACAGTAAAATATAAGCATGGTATAGGAGCACTTCATGGAACCTGAAGTAGATTCCTAATTCAGTGTGAGAAGTAAAGAAGGCCAGATAAGCGAAGGCCTTCTGGGTAGTGTTACAGAGCCTGAACTTTATAAGTAATGAAATGCTACTGTAGTTTTTTTAAGACACAATTTACATATAATATAATTAACCCTTTAAAATGCAGTTTAATTTTGACAAATGCATATTTCATCTAATCAAGACCACTATCAAGAACACTTCCCTCACCCCAAAATGTTCTTTTGTTACCTTTTCCTGCCATCTGTAGCAAGTGAACTTGAACTGTTTTCTGTCCCTATAATTTTGTCTTTTATAGAATGTCACATAAATGGAATCATGTGGTATGTCTTTGCTGTTTGGCTTCTTTCACTTCACATAAGCATTTTTAAGTTCCATACATGTTATTGTGTGTATCAGTAGCTCATATTTTTTAAATTGTGGAGTTGAATTTCCTTATAATGATGGATGATAATGAGTAACCATTTACCTGTTGATGTACATTTGGGGTACTTTCAGTCCTTGGCTATTACGAATAAAACTGCTACGAATATTCACATACAGGTCTTAATGTGGACTTATTTTTCATTTCTCTTGGGCAAATACCTAGGCTTGGAATTATTAGGACATATGGTAAAAATATGTTTAACCTTGTAAAATACTGACAGAACTGTTTTCCAAGTGGGTATACTATTTTGCACTTCCACCACCATGGTATAAGTGTTCCCGTGGCTCCACATCCTCACCAATGCTTGGTGTTGACAATCTATTTATTCCCATTACAGCAAGTGTGTAATGTTATCTAATTGTGGTTTGAAACTGAATTTGCCAAACGACTAATAAGGTGGAACATTTTTTCATACAGTGATTGGCCATTTGTATATCTTCTTTGGTGTAGTGTCTGTTCAGATTTCTTGCCTACTTGTGTAGTTCATCTTTTTATCATTGAGTTGTAAGGTCTGGATTCTCTATTTCCTTCCGTTGATCTGTCTATCTTTATATCAGTGCTATCCTGTCTTGATTATTGTAGTTTTAGAATAAGTCTCAAAGTCAAATGGTATAAATCTTCCAGCTTTGTTCCTTTTCAATTTGTTTTGGCTATCTTAGGCCCTGCGTATTTTCACAGAAAATTTTAAATCAGCTGGCTAAATTTCTACCAAAAAAAAAAAAACCCTGCTGGAATTTTAATTAGGTTTGTGTTGTGTCTCTCACTTTAGAAAGAACTAACACCTTAATAATGCTGGGTCTTCAGATCCATGAACACCGTGTCTCCACATTTTTAAATATATTTATATGTTAATTTTTGTGGGTATATAGTTGGTATATATATTTAGGGGGTGCATGAGACATTTTGATCCAGGCATGCAATGCATGATAATCACATCATGCAAAATGGGGTATCCATCCCCTCCAGCATTTATCCTTTATGTTACGAACAATCCAATTATACTCCTTTAGTTATTTCAAAATGTACAATTACTTTGGCCATAGTCACCCTGTTGTGCCATTGAATACTAGGCATTATTCCTTCTTTCTATTTTTTTATACCTGTTAACCATCCCCATTCCCCCTGTATTTATTTTTATTTTTTTGGCAGAAATATGTTGTAGGTTTTATTGTATGAGTCTTTTGTATATTTTTAAAGTATACCCCTAAGTGCTTCCTATTTTTGATACTATTATAATGGTTTATTTTATTTCAGTTTCCAATGTTTTATATATGTTAACATGTTTGTTATTATAACTGATTTTGAATATTGGTCCTGTATCCTGTGACTTTGCTAAATTTACTTATTAGTTCTAATACCTTCTGTCATACATCTTAAGATCTTCTATTTGCCAAAATGAACTGGCCAAGAACTCCAGTCAAAGGTTTGATATAAGTGGTGAGAACATCCTTGCCTTGTTTTAGATCCACAAGGAAAGCATTTTGTCTGTCACCATGCATTAAAATGTTAGCTATATGTTTTTTGCAGATGCCACTCATATTGAGGGAGTTCAACTTAATTTGTAGTTTGCTGAGAGTTTTTTTTTTATATATCAGGAATAGATGCTGACTTTTTCAAATGCTTTTCCTACATCTATGACAATGATCGTATATTTTTCTCTTTTGCAGTCTGTTGATGTGGAATATTCATTGATATATATTCCTTTTAACAAATAATTTCAATTTTTATTTTAGATTCAGGGGATGCAGGATCGTTACCTGGGTATATTGCATGATGTTGAGGTTTGGGGTACAATAGATCCCATCACCCTGGTAGTGAGAATGCCCAACAGATAGTCTTTAAGCCCTTGTCTCCTGCTCTCTCTCCCTCCTCAAGTAGTACCTAGTGTCTATTGTTGCCATCTTTATGTCCACATTTATCCAACGTTTAGCTCACACTTATAAGTAAGAACATGTGGTACTTTGTTTTCTGTTCCAACTTTAATTTGCATAGGATAATGGCATCTAGCTACATCGATATTGCTGCAAAGAACGTGATTTAATTCCTCTTTATGGCTGCATAGTATTCCATGGTGTGTACATACCACATTTTCTTTATCCAATCCACCACTGATGGGCACCTAGGTTGATTCTATGTCTTTGCCATTGTGAATAGTGCTGCGATGAACATACGTGTACATGTGTTTTCTTGGTAGAACAATTTATTTTCTTTTGGATATATACCCAGTAATGGGATTGCTGGGTCAAATGGTAGCTCTGTTTTAAGCTTTTTAAGAAATCTCCAAACTGCTTTCCACAGTGGCTGAACTACTTTACATTTCCATCAACAGTGTATAAGCATTCCCTTTTCTCCACAGCCTCTCCAGCACCTGCTGCTTTTTTATTTTATAATATCCATTACTCATGGGTGTGAAATGGTATATCATTGTGGTTTTGATTTGCATTTTTCTGATGATTAGTGATGTTGAACATTTTTTCATGTTTGTTGCTGCTTGTATGTCTTCTTTTTGTATGTTTGTTCATGTATCTTGCCCATTTTTAAATTGGGCTATTTGTTTTTTATTGTTGATTTGTTTAAGTTCTTTATAGATTCCGGATATTAGTCCTTGGATGCATGGTTTGTGAATATTTTCTCCCATTCTGTAGGTTTTCTGTTTACTTTGTTGACAGTTACTTTCACTGTGCTGGAGCTCTTAGTTTAACCTTGTCCCACTTGTCAATTTTTGTTTTTGTTGTAATTGCTTTTGAGGACTTACTGAATGGGAATAATTCCACTTGAGAACTGGAACGGGACATGAATGCTCACTCTTAACATTCCCATCCCACATAGTACTGGAAGTTGTAGCCAGAGCAATCAGGCAAGATAATGAAATAAAAGGCACCAAAATAGAAAAAGAAGAAGCCTAACTATCATACCATTACTGACAATATGAATCTATACTAGAAAACCCTAAAGACTCTGCCAAAAGGCTCCTGGAACTAATAAACAATGTCAGTAAAGTTTCAGGATACCAAATCAATATATAAAAATCAGTAGCATTTCTACACACCAATAACATTCAAGTTTTGAGCCAAATAAAAAATGCAATCCCATTTATAATAGTTCCCCTTTCCCTCCCAAAAATATCTAGGAATACATCTAATTTGGTGAAAAATCTCTACAAGGATAACAATAAACCACTGCTGAAAGAAATCATAGATGACACAAACAAATGGAAACACATCCAATGTTCATGGATTGGGAGAATGAATATCATTAAAATAGCCATACTACAGATTCAACACTATTCCTATCAAACTACCAATGTCATTTTTTCACAGATTTAGAAAAACTTATTCTGAAATTCATATGGAACTAAAAGAGAGCCTGAACAGCCAAAGCAACCCTAAGCAAGAAGAACAAAGCCAAAGGCATCATTACACAACTTCAAACTATAAGTCAACAGTAACCAAAACAGCATGGTGTTGTTGGTACAACACACATACAAACCAATGGAAGGGGATAAAAAACCCAGAGATAAAGCTGTACACCTACAGGCATCTGACTGTCAACAAAGTTGACAACAATAAGCAATGGAGAAAGGACTCCTTATTCAATAAATGGTGCTAGGATAGCTACCTAGCCAAATAGAGAAAGTTGAAACTGAACCCCTACCTTTCACCATATATAAAAATTAACTAAAGAAAGATTAAAAATTTAAATTATATCTAATCTCAAAATGTAAGAATCCTAGGAGAAAACACAGGAAATACCTTTCTAGACATTAGCTTTGGGAAAAAATTTATGATAAATCGTCTTGAATGTTATATACACTTTGCATTTTGGAGAATCATTACCTTTTTCATGATATAATCCTTTTCATATATTGCTAGATTTGATTTGCCAAACCTTGTTAAAAATTATTGCACCTATGCTTATGATGGATATGAGTCTGTAATTTCATTTCTTGTTATGTCTTTTTCTGGCGTTGGTATCAGTATTACGATATCTCATAAAAGGAACTATAAAGCATTACCTCCTCTTCTATTTCTGGAAGACTTTCAGTATATTGGTATTATTTATTCTTTAAATAATAATGTTTCATCCCCATTTACCCTGATGTGATTATTATGCATTGTATCCCTGTATCAAAACATCTTATATATCTTGTATACATACAATTATGTACCCACAAAAATTAAAAATTTTAAAAAACTAAAAAGAAATATTTATTGTTTAACATCAACCCAGTTCTTTAGTAAGTTAAGTCCATTGTTTTTCTTATACTGGTCTATGAATACGGAAATCTAGACTTTGGTATAATCGATTGTTTTGAAGTCTGCTTTATGAGTAATTCTTTTAAAAAAGAAAAATATGTAAAATTTTCATACTCTTTCTGATATAGAGATTAATGTTATAAAACCCGATCAGCATTAAGAATTAAGCAAATTACTGGTTAGCACTAAAAAATCAGGAAAACTTTGACTATTTAAATAATATAAACTTCAAAGACAGATTTTATCTTTTCCAACTAAAATTAGGACCACATTTGCTTCATTAGATAATGAAACTCAAAAGGTATTTTCTGTTGTTCTAAATTTTAATTTTCACCAAAAAAGCCAGGGATGATTTTTTGTTTGTTTGTTTGGATTCCACACATTGTGCTTATATTGCTTAGGTCCTCTCTCTCAAAAGAAACCTTCTGCAATCATTATTGCCCAATGAAATAGCTCCTTCTAAAGTCCCTGACATTTTTATATCATTTAGCTTGAAAACAGTCATATATTGACTATAATATTTTGGAACTGTTTAATTTTTTTCTGCACATAAATCCTAACCTCTCAATTATGAGTTACTCGTAGATGAGGAATATGTGCAAAATGTATTTATGTCCCTGCTAAAACTAACTACATAATGAGTGTTTTCTAAGTATTTATTCAGGTTTTGTTTTTTAAGATACATTGTAATTAATAAGTGCTAAGAACTTCAGGAATACATGTCCATGTATTATATTACCTTTGTAATTAAAAAACAGTAACAATAAGTTTTTCTTAATCCTTGTTTGGCTGGGACTGGATCTTTATAAGAGACATGTTATAGAAGAAATATTCTGGTTTTTCAAATATTGATCTGTACAACAGGACATGAGGAATATAAATCAGTTACGTGTTCTTATTTTACCAACATATGAACTAATCAGTCCATGTAACTCAATATTCTAATTCTCCTGGCATTTTGGGACTCTTGCATAGGCTAAAATCTATGACACAGGTCATGCCTGTATTCTTGTCCTATCTGTCCTGCTCATCTTATCTCCTCACTTCTCACCTTTGGTGTATCCTTTGGCTACGTGCACAACATCTATACCTTCCTGTTAGTGTAGCCCCTGTTAATTCACTTCTACCTGCATCCATTATGTCACAATACACCAGCCACAAATGCAAAGGCCAACTCTAGGCTCCTCTATTGCCAAGTTGATCTTACCTATCAGAATGGTATGGAAATTAAATAAAAGTTTTCTAATAAAGGCACAGATTATGTACATCTTGACTGGCTTTTGTATGCAATGAGTAAACCAAGAACAAAAAAAATATGATATGTGTCTCTAAGAAATAAGAAATGGAAAAATATGGCATAGAAATGAATACACCAAAATAGGTAACTTTCTCATTGATTCACTTTTAAATTGTTATGTTTCTTAATGTAATAAGGAGAAAAGTATATTTAAACTTGTGCTCAGAAGAGAAAAAATAATATGTGTACATAAGTAGATATATTTTATTTTATTTATTTATTTATTTATTATTATACTTTAAGTTTTAGGGTACATGTGCACAATGTGCAGGTTAGTTACATATGTATACATGTGCCATGTTGGTGTGCTGCACCCACTAACTCGTCATCTAGCATTAGGTATATCTCCCAATGCTATCCCTCCCCCTCCCCCCACCCCACAACAGGCCCCAGAGTGTGATGTTCCCCTTCCTGTGTCCATGTGTTCTCATTGTTCAATTCCTACCTATGAGTGAGAATATGTGGTGTTTGGTTTTTTGTTCTTGCGATAGTTTACTAAGAATGATGATTTCCAATTTCATCCATGTCCCTACAAAGGACATGAACTCATCATTTTTTTATGGCTGCATAGTATTCCATGGTGTATAAGTGCCACATTTTCTTAATCCAGTCTATCATTGTTGGACATTTGGGTTGGTTCCAAGTCTTTGCTATTGTGAATAATGCCGCAGTAAACATACGTGTGCATGTGTCTTTATAGCAGCATGATTTATAGTCCTTTGGGTATATACCCAGTAATGGGATGGCTGGGTCAAATTGTAGATATATTTTAAACATGGTTAAAAATGTGATTTAGGCTGGGCATGGTGGCTTATGCGTGTAATCCCAGCACTTTGGGAGGCTGAGGCAGGTGGATCACTTAATTTCAGGAGTTCGAGACCAGACTGGGCAACATGGCAGAACCCCATCTCTACAAAAAATACAAAATGCAGCTGGGCATGGTGGCTCGTGCCTATAGTCCCAGCTACTTGGGAGGCTGAGTTGGGAGGATTGCTTGAGCCTTGGAAATGGAGGTTGCAGTGAGCCGAGATCATGCCACTGCACTCCAACCTGGATGACAGAGTGAGACCCTGTCTCAAAAAACAAAATATAATTCAAATACAATTTATGATCACAAATTTTGAAATATATTTCCTTATTACTTAAAATCTAACCATTATTAAATGGGACTTTAGTTTTAGATAAATAACATTTTATTTATCATCAATGTCTAAGGTTATATGTATAAATAAGAAATACTATTTAAGATGTA
The DNA here is from genome assembly GCF_000001405.40 of Homo sapiens. Taxonomy (NCBI): domain Eukaryota; kingdom Metazoa; phylum Chordata; class Mammalia; order Primates; family Hominidae; genus Homo; species Homo sapiens. Next base: position 35,322,692 of record NC_000013.11, on the reverse strand, counting down.
TGCAGGTAATTTTGTAAAAGTCATGTTTCACGTATGAAACTCAGTATGTTTATTAACTAATTAGATGTATAAAGTGAATAAAAGAGTGGCAAAAAAGGAGCATGGGGCGTTGGCTGGCCATCTTGCCGAATAAGAACAGCTCCAGTCTGCAGCTCCTAGCGAGATAAACCCAGAAGGCGGTTGATTTCTGCATTTCCAACTGAGGTACCCAGCTCATCTCATTGGGATGACTAGGCAGTGGGTGATTGGACTGGTTAGACTGTGGGTGCAGTCCACGGTGGGTGAGCTGAAGCAGGGTGGGGCATCGCCTCACCTGGGAAGCACAAGGGGTCAGGGAACTCCCTACCCTAGCCAAGGGAAGCCGTGAGGGACTGTGCCATGGGGAACGGTGGACTCCGGCCCAGATACTACACTTTTCCCACAGTGTTTGCAACCCACAGACCAGGAGATTTTCTTGGGTGCCTACATCACCAGGGCCCTGGGTTTCAAGCACAAAACTGGACAGCCGTTTGGGCAGACACTGAGCTAGCTGCAGGAGTTTTTTTTTCACATCCCAGTGGTGCCTGGAATGCCAGCGAGACAGAACCGTTCACTCCCCTGCAAAGGGGGCTGAAGCCAGGAAGCCAGGTGGTCTAGCTCATCAGATCCCACCCCAACAGAGCTCAGCAAGCTAAGATCCACTGGCTTGAAATTCTCGCTGCCAGCACAGCAGTCTGAAGTCAACCTGGGACCCTCTAGCTTGGTGGAGGGAGGGGTGTCCACCATTACTGAGGCTTGAGTAGGTGGTTTTCCCTGCATAGTGTAAACAAAGCCACCGGGAAGTTTCAACTGGGCGGAGCCCTCCGCAGCTCAGCAAAGCCACTGTAGCCAGACTGCCTCTCTAGATTCTTCATCTCTGGGCAGAGTATCTCTGAAAGAAAGGCAGCAGCCCCAGTCAGGAGCTTATAGATAAAACTCCCATCTTCCTGGGACAGAGCACCTGGGGGAAGGGGCGGCTGTGGGTGCAGCTTCAGCAGACTTAAATGTTCCTGCCCACTGGCTCTGAAAAGAGCAGCAGATCTCCAAGCACAGTGCTCCAGCTCTGCTAAGGGACAGAGTGCCTCCTCATGTGGGTCCCTGACCACAGTGCTTCCTGACTGAAGGAAACACCTCCCAGCAGGGGTCAAGAGACACCTCATACAGGAGAGCTCCAGCTGGCATATGGCAGGTGCCACTCTGGGAAAAAGCTTCCAGAGGAAGGAACAGGCAGTAATCTTTGCTGTTCTGCAGCCTCTGCTGGTGATACCCAGGCAAACAGGGACTGGAGTGGACCTCCAGCAAACTCCAGCAGACCCACAGCAGAGAAGTCTGACTCTTAGAAGGAAAACTAACAAACAGAAAGGAATAGCATCCACATCAACAAAAAGGACGCCCACTCAAAAACCTCAACTGAAGGTCAACAACATTAAAGACCAAAGGTAGATAAATCCACGAAGATGAGGAAAAACCAGCTGAAAAAGGCTGAAAATTCCAAAAACCAGAATGCCTCTTCTCCAAAGGATCACAACTCCTCGCCAGCAGGGGAACGAAACTGGATGGAGAATGAGTTTGACAAATTGACAGAAGCAGGCTTCAGAAGGTGGGCAATAACAAACTCCTCCAAGCTAAAGCAGCATTTTCTAACCCAGTGCAAGGAAGCTAAGAATCTCGAAAAAAACGTTGGAGGAATTGCTAACTAGAATAACCGGTTTAGGGAAGAACACAAATGACCTGACACAGCTGAAAAACACAACACGAGAACTTCATGAAGCATACACAAGTATCAATAGCCGAATACATCAAGCAGAAGGATATGAGAGATTGAAGATCAACTTAATGAAATAAAGTGTGAAGACAAGATTAGAGAAAAAGAATTAAAAGCAGTGAACAAAGCCTCCAAGAAATGTGGGACCATGTGAAAAGACCAAACCTACGTTTGACTGGTGTACCTGAAAGTGATGGGGAAAACGGAACCAAGTTAGAAAACACTCTTCAGGATATTATCCAGGAGAACTTCCCCAACCTAGCAAGACAGGCCAATATTCAAATTCAGGAAATACAGAGAACATCACAAAGATACTCCTCGAGAAGAGCAACCCCAAGACACATAAACTTCAGATTCACCAAGGTTGAAATGAAGGAAAAAATGTTAAGGGCAGCCAGGGAGAAAGGTCAGGTTACCCCAAGGGGAACCCCATCAGACTAACAGCGGATCTCTCAGCAGAAACCCTACAAGCCAGAAGAGAGTGGAGGCAAATATTCAACATTCTTAAAGTAAAGAATTTTCAACTCAGAATTTCATATCCAGTCGAACTCAGCTTCATAAGCAAAGGAGAAATAAAATCCTTTACAGAAAAGCAAATGCTGAGAGATTTTGTCACCACCAGGTCTGCCTTGCAAGAGCTCCCGAAGGAAACAGTAAATATGGAAAAGAAAAACTGGTACCAGCCACTGCAAAAAATATACCAAATTGTAAAGTCCATCGACACTATGAAGAAACAGCATCAACTAATGGGCAAATTAACCAGCTAGCGTCATAATGACAGGATCAAATTCACACATAACAATATTAACCTTAAATGTTAAATGGGCTAAATGCCCCAATTAAAAGACACAGACTGGCAAAGTTGATAAAGAGTCACGACCCATCAGTGTGCTGTACTCAGGAGACCCATCATACGTGCAAAGTCACATATAGACTCAAAATAAAGGGATGGGGGATTATTTACCAAGCAAATGGAAAGCAAAAAAAAAAGCAGAGGTTGCAATCGTAGTCCCTGATAAAACAGACTTCAAGCCAACAAAGATCAAAACAGACAAAGAAGGGAATTATGTAATGGTAAAGGGATCAATGCAACAAGAAAAGCTAACTATCCTAAACATATATGCACCCAATACAGGAGCACCCAGATTCATAAAGCAAGTTCTTAGAGACTTACAAAGAGACTTAGACTCCTACGCAATAATAGTGGGAGACTTTAACACCCCACTGTCAATATTAGACATATCAACGAGAGAAAATTAACAAGGATGTTCAGGACTTAAATTCAGCTCTGGACCAAGTGGACCTAATAGACATCTACAGAACTCTCCAACCCAAATGAATAGAATATATATTTTTCTCAGCACCACACTGCACTTATTCTAAAATTGGCTGCATAATTGGAAGTAAAATACTCCTCAGCCAATGCAAAAGAATGGATATCATAACAGTCTCTCAGACCACAGTGCAATCAAATTAGAACTCAGGATTAAGAAACTCACTTAAAACCACACAACTACATGGAAACTGAAAAACCTGCTCCTGAATGACTACCAGGTAAATAACGAAATGAAGGCTGAAATAAATAATTCTTTGAAACCAATGAGAACAAAGACACAATGTACCAGAATCTCTGGGACACAGCTAAAGCAGTGTTTAGAGGGAAATTTATAGCACTAAATGCCCACAATGGAAAGCGGGAAAGATCTAAAATCAATGCCCTAACATCACAATTGAAAGAACTAAAGAAGCAAAAGCAAATTCAAAAGCTAGCAGAAGACAAGAAATAAATAAGATCAGAGCAGAACTGTAGGAGATAGAGACACAAAAAACCCTTCAAAAAAATCAATGAATCCAGGAGCTGGTTTTTGAAAAGATTAACAAAATAGACAGACCTCTAGCCAGAATAATAAAAAAGAAAACAGAGAAGAATCAAATAGACACAGTAAAAAATGATAAAGAGGATATCACACTGATCCCACAGAAATACGAACTACCATCAGAGAATACTATAAACACCTCTATGCAAATAAACTAGAAAATCTAGAAGAAATGGATAAATTCCTGGACACATACACCCTCCCAAGACTAAACCAGGAAGAAGTCGAATCCCTGAATAGACCAATAACAAGTTCTGAAATTGAAGCCGTAATAGCCTACCAACAACAACAAAAAAAGCCCAGGACCAGACGGATTCATAGCCGAATTCTACCAGAGGTACAAAGAGGAGCTGGTACCATTCCTTCTGAAACTATTCCAAACAGTAGAAAAAGAGGGACTCCTCCCTAACTCATTTTATGAGGCCAACATCATCCTGATACCAAAACCTGGCAGAGACACAACAAAATAAGAAAATTTCAGGCCAATATCCCTGATGAACACCAATGCAAAAATCCTCAATAACATACTGGCAAACGGAATCCAACAGCACATCAAAAAGCTTATCCACCACGATCAAGTTGGCTTCATCTCTGGGATGCAACGCCGGTTCAACACATGCAAATCAATAAATGTAATCCATTACATAAACAGAAACAATGACAAAAACCACATGATTATCTCAATAGATGTCAAAAAGACCTTTGATAAAATTCAACACCCCTTCAAGCAAAAAACTCTCAACAAACTAGGTATTGATGGAATGTATCTCAAAATAATAAGAGCTATTTATGACAAACCCACAGCCAATATCATACCGAATGGGCAAAAACTGGAAGCATTTCCTTTGAAAACCAGCACAAGACAAGGATGCCCTCTCTCACCACTCCTCTTCAACATAGTATCAGAAGTTCTGGCCAGGGCAATCAGGCAAGAGAAAGAAATAAAGCGTATTCAAATAGGAAGAGAGAAAGTCAAATCGTTTCTATTTGCAGATGACATGATTATATATTTAGAAAACTCCATCGTCTCAGCCCCAAATCTCCTTAAGCTGATAAGCAACTTCAGCAAAGTCTCAGGATACAAAATCAATGTGCAAAAATCTCAAGCATTCCTATACACCAGTAATAGACAAACAGAGAGCCAAATCATGAGTGAACTCCCATTCACCACTGCTACTAAGATAATACCTAGGAATACAACTCACAAGGGATGTGAAGGACCTCTTCAAGGAGAACTATAAACCACTGCTCAAGGAAATAAGAGAGAACAGAAACAAATGGAAAGACACTCCATGCTCATGGATAGGAAGAATCAATATTGTGAAAATGGCCATATTGCCCAAAGTAATTTATAGATTCAGTGCTATCCCCATCAAGCTACCACTAACTTTCTTCACATAATTAGAAAAAACTACTTTCAATTTAATATGGAACCAAAAAAGAGCCCGTATAGCCAAGACAATCCTAAGCAAAAAGAACAATGCTGGAGGCATCATGCTACCTGACTTCAAACTATACTACAAGGCTACAGTAACCAAAACAGCATGGTACTGGTACCAAAACAGATATATGGACCAACGGAATAGAACAGAGGCCTCAGAAATAATGCCACACATCTACAACTATCTGATCTTTGACAAACCTGTCAAAAATCAAGCAATGGGGAAAGGATTCCCCATTTAATAAATGGTGCTGGGAAAACTGGCTAGCCAGAGGCAGAAAACTATAACTGGACCCCTTCCTTACACCTTATACAAAAATTAACTCAAGATGGATTAAAGACTTAAACGTAAAACCATAAAAACCCTAGAAGAAAACCTAGGCAATGCCTTTCAGGACATAGGCATGGGCAAAGACTTCACGACTAAAACACCAAAAGCAATGGCAACAAAAGCCAAAATTGACAAATGGGATCTAAGGAAACTAATGAGCTTCTGCACAGCAAAAGAAACTATCATCACAGGGAACAGGCAACCTACAGCATGGGAGAAAATTTTTGCAATCTATCCATCTGACAAAGAGCTAATATCCAGAATCTACAAGGAACTTAAACAAATTTACAAGAAATAAAACAAAAAAACCCATCAAAAAGAGGGCGAAGGATATGAACAGATACTTCTCAAAGGATGTCATTTATGTGGTCAACAAGTATATGAAAAAAAACTCATCATCCCTCGTCATTAGAGAAATGCAAATCAAAATCACAATGAGATACCATCTCACACCATTTAGAATGGCAATCATTTAAAAGTCAGGAAACAACAGATCCTGGAGAGGATATGGAGAAATAGGAACGCTGTTACACTGTTGGTGGGAGTGTAAATTAGTTTGACCACTGTGGAAGACAGTGTGGCAATTCCTCTAGGATCTAGAACCAGAAATACCATTTGACCCAGCAATCCCATTACTGGGTATATACCCAAAGGATTATAAATCATTCTACTATAAACACACATGCACACATATGTTTACTGCAGCACTGTTGACAATAGCAAAGACTTGGAACTAACCTAAATGCCCATCAATGATAGACTGTATAAAGAAAATGTGGCATATATACACCATGGAATACTATGCAGCCATAAAGTAAAGATGAGTTCATGTCCTTTGCAGGGACATGGATGAAGCTGGGAACCATCATTCTCAGCAAACTAACACAGGAACAGAAAACCAAACACTGCATGTTCTCACTCATAAGTGGGAGGTGACAATGAGAACACATGGACTCAGGGAGGGGAACATCACACACTGGGGCCTGTTGGGGGGTGGAGGACTAGGGGAGGGATAGCATTAGGAGAAATACCTAATGTGGATGACGGGTAGATGGGTGCAGTAAACCACCATGACACGTGTATACCTATGTAACAAACCTGCATGTTCTGCCCATGTATCTAGAACTTAAAGTATAATATTAGAAAATAATAATAATTAAAAAAGAATGTTAAAGAAAACCTGGCATAGGTCAGATTTTATAAGAAAACACATGGAAAAGAAACTTCTGTTTTCCAGTAGCTTCCAGAGATTATTGGCTCCAAATTAAACCAGAATATCTACTTTAGGAAATAGTTTCTTATTTTACAGATTTGGAAGTTTTTTTTGGTTTGTTTTATTTTTAAATACAGTTTTTGCCAAATCAAAGACATAAGAGAAATAAACTCAAGCAAACCAATGCTTGTTGGTTAAAATATTAACTAGCATTTGTTAAATTAAAGAATACATTCAAATTGGTGCCATACAATCACTAAAAAATTATACTTGGATGCAATATGCTTCTCCTCTTAAAAACCTAAGAAATGCATGGTGTATATTTTCCCCTATTCTAAAGGACAAAACAAAAAATCAGAATCTTGAGAGCTCTAGCTTAAATTCAGTGCTAAACATAAATATTATCTGTTCTTTTCTGATGAATATTCAAAAATTAAATTCTATATTCTTTTAAAAGAGTGACAAAGGTTTATTTCAGGCAAATGATTAATTTATTTAAAAAGATCACTCAAATTCTGTATTTTAAATAAGTACTTCCTATTTGCCTTATTCTTCAATGCATATTTTAATAATTCAAATTCCAATCATTATTGCCAAGATATTACAGGCAATTTTACATCCCATTAACCTTGCTTTGTTTTAATTATAAAGATCCTTTGTTAGATTCCTTTAAATGATCCAGTGTATAATTTCAGCCGGTCCCAGGGAGTACTTTAATTCAGATGCACATTTATCAACTGTTTTTGTCCTGTTAATTGTAGACAACTGCACAATTGCTTTCTCCAGCTATGATTGATGAATTGTATTCAAAAGTGTAGCTGTTAAGTAGGATAAACATTTATAATAATTTCTACTTAAAGATTTTTATCTTCATTCCCATAAGGACAAATTAAAGACTGATATTCTAACAACCCAAATAAAGTGAATTTTTAAATATTTCATATTAAGCCATATGAAAAAGTTGTAAAAATGTTATATGTGCATGCAAATGGGATAAAAGCATGTATAAAATATTTAATTTGTGCTTCGCACATAATGGGCATCAACATACAGTAGGAAGATAAACAGAGTAATAGTAATTTTGGGCTTTTTACTGGAACTGCATCCCAGCTACCTAAAGATGACTTTTTGAACCAGAAGTCCCAGTTCATGCTTGTGAAAGAGAAAAGTCTAAATTGAAAGAAATGATCCAAACTAAAGGTGGGAATAAGCAAAATTCTGAATACATATTATATGTAATAACAAAAGTAAAAACTTCCATTTTAAGGACTTATAGCAGCTGTAATAAATATCATATATATTATTTTGAACTTTCAGGGAAACTGAGCAAGAAAGGTGCTACAGTATTCTACAGATGAGAAACAATGTCAGAGGAAGATTATGATTTGCCTGTTGTCTAACAGCTTATCAATGGGAGAACTGATATTTGAACTCAGTAGAATTAACATATGGATACTATGTATTATACTATGCATTGTGGAACAGCCATAAAAAATCCACTACAAATAAACACTATAGATAGGTAAATATAAATCAGGGAAAAATTGAGGTACTGGGAGAACAGAGAAAGGTACCTAATCCAGATTAGGGGTAGGAAGGGGTTGGTCCTCAGTGAAAAGATTATTTTCACTAAAGTAAGAGAAGTCAATGTCTTAAAGCAAATGCCTATCTTCTCTGAACTGCGAACTGCTGAAGAAAACATTACACTATCAAAGACAGCAACCTCAATTGGCTCCCCCAAATTGCCTGGCAAGCCTCTCAGGTTTCTTTAGTTTTTTCTCTTCTCCATTCTTTTACAATCGCTATTTTCAGTATTCTTTACTTTTCTAAAGATAGTATATACCCTCTCCCAATTCCTTTTATTCTCAGCAAATGACCTTACCTGCCACTTCATAGACAGAAGGCATCATATGAAATCTCTTCTGAATTCTGCCACCAATTTAATTGTCTTCACCCTTTCTCAGTGCTCTTCCACTAAAGGCCAATCCTTCTATCTCAATGCACCCCTCTCAGAGAGTTTATGCTGTCAATATTGCCTTCTTTCCCTCCCACCATATTGCGTTTTTCCATCAAAATTGAAAAATAGGTTCTTCATTCTAAAAAGTAACCCCTCTCTCCAAATTTAAACCTTATTCACCTACAGCAACCACTCTATCTTTCCCTTTCTTGGCCAAATTTCTTTAGCGAAGTACTTGCTGTCTGTATTTCATTTTGGGCTAGCTCTTCAACTCAAAGCAACCTGGCTTCTGTCCCTCTACTCTAGGTAAATCATCACTTTTTCAAAAAATACCTCTCTCAGTTGCCTGCTCCCATAGCATCCTCTAGTTGTCCTTCACATATTTATTAAACTTGCAATTACTTAATCTAAGGCTGTTGCCCACACTAGACTGTAAACTCTAATAGGGTAGGATTTGGATCTACACCCAGCTTCTTTAGCACACAGGTGTTCACCAGCATTAAGTTTGGATGAGATCATCATGACCTCCTTGTGGCTGAACCCAGTGGTCCCTTTAGTACTAACTTAAAAATCCTCTTTTTGACCATACATTCTTCCTTAAACATTCCACTCACCATTCTTTTCTTTATGCTTTCAATAAATATTCATTTAACAGGGCAAATAAATAGATATTTCATTAGCATGCTAACTACATGCTAGGCACTATTCCAGAATATAGAGATATAGCAGCAAATAAGACGATGAATAAGACACAAGATCTTAAGGAAAACACATTTTAGCAGGAGAAATAGATGTAAACAAGCAAACAGAGCAGATCATTTGAGATGATGTTATTATGTGTTACAAGAGGATTATGTCATGGGAGTGTAACAACTATATAAGATAGTCAGGGGAGCCTCTGTGAGAGGGTGGCATTTAAGCTGATTCCTCAAAGTCGAGAAACAACCAGTCGTGTCAAGATGTGGGAGAAGAGGATTCCCAGCAGAAACAGGAGTAAAAGCAGGGCCTCTGGTTCTCCACTCACTCTATTCACTCTCTCTGAGCATCACATCTGAATCCTTTCTACAGTTTACCACGAATAACCTGGAGACTCATAAGTCTAAATCTCCATGCCAGCTCTCTCTTTGGAGAGCTCAATACTCAAATGCCCATGCCTATTGAACATCTCCACCTGGATATTTCACTGGTACCACAAGTTCAGTGTAACCCAAAAGTGAAAAACTCTCAACTCAAACCTCGCTTTCTGTACTCTCCTAGCCAAGTGAATTATACTTATACTGTAAACTATTAGTTACTAAAGCTGACATCAAAATATCCTTGATTCCTTCTTTCCCCTCTTCCATCCAATATATTAGCAATCATAGTGACTTAATTTCCAAAAGATACTTCAAATTTGTTCACTTCTTCCATCCTCATAGCTACTATTAGTCCATGACACCATATTCTTCAACAAGATTACTGAACCTCAGATTGGTATTGCTTCAAGTCTTGAGCCCGTGAAACCCTCCACATTGCAGGCCACACCTAAACATTTTCAGTTATTCTCCAGTATTCTTTGCACAGTTTCATGGCATGACCTTTGCCAATGACCTGTGCCTCCATGTGGCTGGCATACAACATGCATTTAAATAGCTGCTGGCTGACTGGAAATAGCTCTCCAGTAACATGTCTCACTATTCTCTTGCCGCTAGTCCTCTGCACTATACAATTCCCTCTGCCAATAATTGTATTTCTACTTTTTTTTCTCACTTGGCTGTCTCCTAATGATCTCTCAAATGGCATTCCTTTGGGTAAGTACTCTTTTGAAAACCTTGATAATCCCACCACTCAGTGGAATGCATCCCTCCAGACTAGGTAAATTATTCTGTGGTACGATTGCATCATTACCTATACCTCTTTTATCACAGTATCCTTGTATTACTGTATGTGTTCATCTAATGTTTGCCTTTCCCCAAGAAACTGGAATCATTTATATCTTATTCCTAACTCTATTCCTAACTCTTATAGCAGTATTTGACATGTAGTGGGTGTTGAACAGACATTTGCTGCACTCATGCATACATGATTTGTTCTTATATATTTACAGCTATTCATGTTTGAATCCTTATTCCAAAATCATATTTATTTGGAAGAACGAGTCCTATGAAGAGTAGAAACAGAAACTTAGGAGAGCACAGAGAACATAATGGACAGAATTTCAGAGATTATTATAGGTTGAATTTTTTTTTTTGGTGGGGGGACGAAGTCTCGCTCTCATCGCCCAGGCTGAAGTGCAATGGCACGATCTTGGCTCACTGCAACCTCCACCTCCCGGGCTCAAGTGATTCTCCTGCCTCAGCCTCCTGAGTGGCTGGGATTACGGGCACCTGCCACCACAACTGGCTAATTTTTGTATTTTTAGTAGAGATGGGGTTTCACCATGTTAGCCAGACCGGTCTCAAACTCCTGACCTCAGGTGATCCACCCAACTTGGCCTCCCAAAGTGCTGGGATTACAGGCGTGAGCCACTGCACCCAACCTAGATTGAAATTTTTTTTAAAATTGTGACTACTTTCTTTATTTCTAACCTTTCCTAATATAAAGCAAATCCCAAATTCTACCACTGACTGACAAAAGCATTATCAGAAGCTTAAAATCTCTGATATTAGCAAATTTTCCACCCCCTTCCTTTTCTAAGCCTATTACTATAATCTTAATTTAAGTGTTTAGAGGTTCAATTCTGATAACTCTTAGGAGAGTTACTGATAATAATAATTTTATATATATATATATTTTTACTTCGCAGTTGAAACAAAATAATTGTGGATATGTCATTGAGAGTTATTTCTAAAACTTAAATGACAATGATTAGCCTTAGCAAATAGTTTTTTCTGTTTATTCATCACCTGAAAACGGATAATAATTGTTAGTAACTCTTATCACAGTGAAACTCTGTAAGACATGGTGAGTGCTGTTATGTAAAACACTATTTGCGTTATAAAAGAAAACTGATATTTTCCTGCAACTTTGGTGTTGCAGTGAATGCAAAGCCTATTTTAAATTTTAGATCTGTACTACTGGCTAACATGATTAGGTCACAAAATATCAAAATGAGAAATATAAAATAAGATAAATTGTTATAAAAACAGAAGATATTTCTCAAAATATAATACAGTGATAAAAAATGAATACTAAGTGATATTTAATTTTTAAAAATTGGGTATCTATACCATATAGAAACTAATTTTCAAGGACTATTCTTTCATGACTCCCCTACTTGAAAAGATAAATTTTATATACAGTAAGCATTATTTCCTCATTAATCTAATGAAAGCTGGTTTCAAATATGAAATGAATAGGTCATGCCAAATAATCATCATATTCCAAAGAATGCACTATATCATACAAGAAATTCAAGTTGTAAAGTTTGCAGGTCTTGGGCTGATAGAAGCTATATATGTCACATGGTGACAGCTACGTCTGTTTTAATGTGTCCACTGCCAATAAAGCACTGCAAAAATAATAATTAACAACTATTTACCACAAAATGGTAAATAATGGGTTCAAATGTAATTTTACTTATTGTTTTAATAATAGAATATACAACCTTTGTGAGTCAGCCATGCCCGCAAAGCGTGCTGTGTTTTAGTCCTGGTAGGAATATTTATCAGAGTTCACACTATATAAAACCCAACAGCTTCAACTATTGCCCTTTCAACAGTTTTGCCACTGACCGGATAAAAACGGTTTCAGTCTTTGGATGGATGTGTTTGTGGTTTGTAACCATTACGGTTTAAACCATGGTTTAAGAATTTGCCCAAATAACAGAAATTTTGTTCAGGAAGGGATAAACTAGATATAGCATACAGAGCCTGTTTTTGAGTTTTAGATACTTTATTTGTAAATAACTTAAAATAGCTTTCTGAAACCGTGCATTCTGTAGTTTCTTCCTTTCAGTGAAATTGCTAAATGTCAATGTATTTTTGGCACTGCGATTTTAACCATTTATTAAATAAAAATTTTGTTAAAGAAAAAAAAAATAATAGAATATACAAATTTCTAACCGAGACAGATATATTTGCTATATTTAATATCCCTCACATTTTCAGTTGGACATTGAATGCATGACATGTTCAGATAAAACTGTTTCACATGGACTGAGGAGAAGCTGAAGGAGTAAACACTGAGCACTGCTCTGAAAACAGATGGAGTGGCAGATGGGATTGCAGATTGGGTTCACTTGATCTGTGTAAAACAACTTTACTACTCAGTAAAATGTACTTCAGATCTCACCAAACCTTATAAGGTTTGTCCCTTTATTTCATGCACGGCTTTTTCTTCAAAAATAAATGTTTAGCATTTTAAACTTTGTTAAAGATTAATTAAGTACCTGTGTGATAAATTATTTAACTAAAAGACATTTTCTTCTACATTTTTGGAACAGATGGTAGGAAAGAGCAATTGCCCAGTGGAATAAAATGTACACTGACTAGTTGTCTAAAATTGTAAAATTAATTACCTTCCTTCATTGATGAGCTCAATAAATGCAAGTCCTGCATTCTTCTGAATAGAGTTTTGCCATTCCTAAAAGGAGAAACCAAAACAAACGTGAGAAAAGTGAACACTTAATGAAAGTAACTTCTGGTTTAAGGATCATGTTGATATTGTTAATAACTTCCACATTATATTATTTCCAAATGTCTTTACAAGATTTTGTAATGAATATTATTTTGTAAAAAATCAAATTTTAGTTTTATCACTTAGTTTATAAGGTGCTTTTGATTCACCAGAAAATTTCAGGCTGGATGCAAACTGAGATGGAAAGTGAGACTGCAGGTATAAGGGGCTCTGAGCACAAAGCTTCTTTCCAAAAGACAGCAAATGACCAAAAGAGACCTAATGTGACTACACAAGGACTAGAAATATTTGGGATAGAAAACTTTAGCTCCTCATATAGAAATTTTACATTAAGATAATAAAATGAATACTAGAAATATAAACTCTTAGAAACATTAACATATTTAAATTGACTTGGAAGTGCAATGTTCTAGTTATATGTACATTCCAAATTACTTAATGCTAATTATTTAATGCTAATTAGAAAAAAGTTACAAATTAACTATTTTGAAAATTGTAAAAAAAAGTAGTAAACCTATGGCTAAATATGTAATAGATAACTATGTAATCTCTGCTAATTTAGATTATATTTGTGAATTTGGCAGTTCTCAAGGTAAGGCTCATCATTATGAACATAAGTGATTATAATGAAGTATTTTGGATTAGAAAAGCATATGCTTATTTTATGCTGTTCCTAAAGCACATTTAGAATATAATTTATATACTGTTTTTGGTTTATGCTAGTGATTTCTATTTTTGGGGTTTTAAATATATACATATTTTGGGGTTTTAAATATATATTTAAATATATATATTTGGGGTTAAATATATATATGGGGTTTTAAATACATATATATATCTGTGTGTGTGTGTGCATATATATATACATATATACATATATACATATATACATATATACATATATATACATATATACATATATACATATATATACATATATACATATATATACATATATACACATATATATATACACATATATATACACATATATATATACATATATATATATATATATATATATATATATATATAGTAAATAGCAGTGTTTTGGATTGAAAATTATATCCCTTCCAATGGTTCTATAACTAAATACTCCTCAAAGTTCCCTAATGCATTTTAATAGAAAAATCTTTATTGACCAGTCATGGCCCTCCTCTATAGATTTTTCCCCCTATGATTTTTCTAATAAGGTGTTGGTTGTACAGAGGTGATCAGCTGCCCTGGCCATGGGTTCAGCTTCACAAAAAACACAGTCTCTGTATCAACCCTTCATTCTACTCCTGATCCCTTTCCCTTTAAAGGCTTTACACTCATTCTGAAAATAAATATGGTCCCCCAAAGTAGGTACTTGTGTGTATATAAATATTCTCTGCTCTAAGTAAATGTGTGCTGAATTATAGAATAACAAATCCTGAATCTCCCAAGGAGAGAAAATCAACAACTAGTGAAAAGAGATATGGTAACTTGGGGATAGTACAAAGCCACTGGGTTCTAGCTATCATAATCTTTAACTAAAATTTATCCAAATGACAAGACTGCTATTCCATTGTACAGAACTTACTGAAACTTTCAAACAATTTCTGTATAAAACAATTACAGAAAATTTCTTTTCCCAAATGTTTACAAAATTTAAAGCCTCTTTGTTATTCTCATTCTATATTCTGTATTTATTGGAAATCAGGATCCTACAAAATACATACATTTCTCAGAAATACTTCATATTCATTGGGATATTAACTTAAAGAGAAAATTGATTTTTACATACGAAGACCCATGCCACTATGAAGACTAGATTCTTACAACTTCTTACACCTGATTTTCTGTGATAGTGTTTGTACACTAAGACTCTTTAGTCACCATAAACTTCTAACATGAATAAGATTTTTCGGTAAGATATTTCACAGAGTACATATCTAGGTATTACATGTGCATCCCAAAGTATGCCTTGTCTAAAAAAATCAAGAGAAAATTATCTTTGAATCAATCTAAAATTATATGGAATCTGCATACAGCCAATGAGATGTACTAATTTACAACCTTTGATGGAGGAACAGTAGAAGTAAGTCTGAGCTAAGCTAAGGACATTACAGTTTAAAGTTTGAGAAAGCCAATGAAAGTATATGATCACAAGACTTCATTCAATAAATCAGTGTTTTAGAAGAGTAATTTGTCAGTTTTGAGCCAGAGGAAATTGTAGGATATTGTTGTTACACGCCTTTCCACAAGAGAAATATTAGGAGTCTAAATGAGTATTTCAAATAGGGAATAAAAAATAAGAGATGTTACAAAGAAGAGATGCCGAGACTAGATGAGAATCTGAATTTAAGAGCTGATGTAGAGAAGTTGAGATAAAAAAATTATTAAGTTTTCAATGTACATGACCAGGATAATGGTAATATTATTATGAAAATACTGAAGAATACATTTGGGGAAAATCACAAACACTGTTGTCTGAATTTGTTGGATTTACAGTGGCAATGGTATATCAAAAAAGAATGTGAAATTCAGAATTATTTACATAGAAATATTGAGTAAGGCATAACATTGGGCAAAGTCTCCTAAGAAGTATAAACAAAACGAGGATCAAATATCTAGGCTGAGAAGGTATTCCTAGGCTGGAAAGGATTCACATTTTTAAGATTGCAAAAAGAGGCAATAGAAAGGGACAGAAAAAGATCTATCAAAATTTAAGAACAGAAGCAGAATATTATAGCATTATTTGAAAGAAAACACTCCACGTATATACATTGCCTCAGGAAAACAGAAAGAGAAAGGACCCTTTAATGACAAATATTACTTTCAAAGTCACTACCTATGATCCTGTTTGCAACCTTATATTAAAGACACAGACCAATATTAGAAAGGGATAATGGAGGTGGGGGTTGGAGGGAAGGGAATGAAACCCAAATAATGAGAGACAATGAAGCAACACCAAAAAAATGTAGTAATAAAACTGGGACATATGAAGATATTGTATACATTAAAAAAGAGTTGAAAATATCTCCCAGAAAATAGAACAAAGAGATAATGAGGTACAACCAAAAAGACAGAGATAGAAAACAAAGGAGACAAAGAAATTAGAGGATCTTCCTTTTAAAGGTCACTATCTAGTAAATAGGAATTTTAGAAAGAGTGAATGAGAAACATTGTATCAAGAAATTATCAAAGGAATTTCAAATATTTTCTAGGATTTAATTATATGATGAACAATATAATACATAATATAACCTAGCAAGTATATCATCATTAAATTTTAGAACACCAGGGTTAAGGAAGAGGCTTGCAGGAAAAAATAAAAGTTTATATAAAGAATCAGGAATCTGAATGAGATTAGACTTCTCAACAGCAAAACTAGAAGATGGAAGAAAGTAAATCTTCTGTCTATCCTGCTTTCTGCCTGTCCTGCTCACCTGTCCTGATGTATGTAGACATCAGATACTTTCATTTGATATACGAATTTAAAGTAACTTTAAGTTGAAATACCAATTTTTCAATATGAGAGTTTAACATCAGCCAGTTTCAAAATTATGAAGAATAGAATACTCAGAACAAACTATGCAGCCAAACTATCAGTAACATATGAAGATAGAATAATCACATTTTCACACATGCATAAAAATTTATCACTGACTCTTGTTCAAGAACCCACCGATGGTGTGCTCTGCCAAAATGAGAAAATATATCAAACAGGAGAAACAAGTTTATGTTGTGCTAGTCCCCGAATCTCAGGGGCTTAAAACATGAAAGTTTACTTCTTGCTCAAATTCTGTGTCCACTGTCTGTGTTCTGCTCTACATCATCATTGGCATCATCCTGGGAGTCATACTATGTTGCAATTGTCTGGAACACTGTTGGCAGCCAAGATGGAGGGAAAGAGAAGGGGTCTAAGCATGCCCCGGCTCTTGTAGCTTCTAGCCAGAAGTAACACATGTCCCTTTGCCCATATTCACTGGCCAGAGAAAGTCCTATGATGAAGCCCAATCTCACTGGAGGAGGGGAATGCAAACACACCAAAAGCGCTCAATAAGACGGAAAGAACTTGTGACAAACCCTAAACATACTATAAGAAAAGAACTTTAAAAAGAGATAGACCCATATCTAAGAAATGGTAGACTGAAACAAGACAGAGGCAATGAAAATTATCTAAATAATTGTTAATGGAAGTACCAAAACAGGATTAAGCAGAGGCTGACAGAATACTTAACATGCACTAGAGTTAGAGCAGGTTTTTAGTTCTACTGGAAAGTTTGGGGGAAATTTAGTAACAGGCATCCAGAAAACTTAGCCAACAAATAAAGAGCGAAGAGGCAATTCACTCTAAAAGAAAATAGTTATCTTAGGAAGGAAATGGTGGATAGTTTAGCTACAGATGATACTTACAAGAAACACTGACACACTTAAAACTGTGATATGGCTATAGTGGGGAAATGCTGAGAAAAGCAGAAACTTTCCCCCATATTTTTTAGTAGGTGGTAGTGGCCGCATTGTAAGAGTGACATGCTATATATAATAAATTTAAAAAATATTTAAAATTGAAAAACCAAGAACATTAGTATAACAGTGTTATTTCAAAAATATAGTTTACTAATAAAGTAAACAGATAAAAGAGTTGAAATAGTTGATTTCGACCAGTGGATCTCAGTGGTGGAGTAGGGGTCTGTTATTTGTTGGTTATGTGCCTTTAAAATACACACAGTAAATATAAAAAATTTTTAAAAACAATTTTTTTAGAACAGTGATAGTTTTACAGAACCATAAAGAGTTTCTGTGATGAATCAGGAGAGACTTGTACTGAAAGCAGGGTAACAGACTGTCAAAAAGGAAACAGTAACTTTATCAGCCTACAGAGAGAGATTCTGAACACAGAAGACTTATGAAAACATTCTGAATAAAAATGTATCACTGCAATTATATGTTTTCCCTTCAAGAACTGCTTTTGTCATACAAAAATTAGCCGGGTGTGGTGGTGAGCACCTATAATCCCAGCTACTCGGGAGGCTGAGGCAAGAGAATTGCTTGAATCAGGAGGCAGAGGTTGCAGTGAGCCAATACCGCGCCAATGCACTCCAGTCTGGGTGACAACCCAAGACTCCGTCACACACACACAGATATACACACACACACACACACACACACACAGAGAATTGCTTTTGTCAAGGCAATGTAATTCCTGAATTTGTTCAATGACAATATAATACTGTTGACCTGTATTTGTGTTCAACTCCTTTCTCAGAAGGCCTGAGTTGCTCTTTTTTTAGTTTTCTACCAAAAGAAGAGTCACTATTAGAGAGGAAGAGAGGGTGGCAGAAGTCTTCTTGTCGAAGAGAATATTAAACATTTTCTGACAGTAGGACTGTGTCACTTTCTCATTTTGATGGTGGGACTGTGTCACATTCTCATTTAATTTTGCAAGATTTTCCATATTTTTAAAATACAATCATTAGAAAACTATCACTATTTCATTTGTTTGCATGCCATTACATTGTCATTTTCGTATTTCAGGAAAGTCAGGTATGATGAGGACAAAAGACAGGCCCTAAATGCTGGGAGGAAAGTCATTGTACTGGGCTGGTAAGTGAGAAAGAGAAAGTGGTAACTAGAGTAAACAATCACAAAAAGCTTTGTGATTAAAGCCAAGAAACAATGGACAGGATGCTCAGAGAAAGATAGGTTTGAAAGTGTTTGTGAAGTTTTTATGATGAAGAGACTTGAATATAATTATGGACCATAATGAAAGGGTGAAGGAGAGACAGAAAGATTACAAGAGATGAAAGGTGACAGAAATCCTGATGAATGCATAAAAGAATGGAGTGTCCTGAAAAGGGATAAGAACAGTTAATTCTTCAGAAAAAGAGTAAAAAGTGTGAAGTTTTCCTGTACTTGTTTATGTATAAAATAGTCCATTTATTATTCATGAAGGCACCCAGACTTTAGTAACATGACTGTAAACTTTACTTCTTTCCCAGAAAACTGTAAACTCCTTGGTCTTATTTGTCTTGGTCTTTTTGAATTTAAGATATATGTGGTTTTAAATTCTAATATAATTTTAAATCAATACCTGCTACAGTCTGAGTAACATAATAATAAATATTATTAACTAGTGATCTACTGGGTCAATAGTGATTAACATACAATCCACCTCTTGTTATTGCCAAAGATATGAAACCAGGTGACTGGTAATGAGACCTCTTAAAATAATACTACTACGGATGAACAATACTAATTGAACATAGTGTTTCTTTAATCCTATAGAAAACGAATCTAACTGGGTTCTCATTTTCCATGAAGACATGAAAAAGTATTACTAATTATGAAAATGAGAAAGGATTTTTTTAATGTAAAGAAGATTTTTTTGTTCTCCTCTGTGCCCTGCAGGAAATTTAAGTCTTCTGTCTATCCTGCTATCTGTCCTGCTCACCTGTCCTGACATAGGTAGACATCAAATACTTTTATTTGATATAGGAATTTAAAGCAACTTTAAATTGAAATACCAATTTTTCAATATGGGAGTTTAACACCAGCTGGCTGAACAGTCTTCTTCATGTGACTCTATGAGTTCAGTTTACTCTTTATGTGTTTTATGTGCACATTATATAATTAGATTTTAAGTACTGTATTTTTAAAGGAAGAGACAGGTTTTATTAATCTGTGATGACACTAGGGCCAGAAGAAATAGATGGTGCAATTGTCATAATGACTATACTACAACATTAAGGAAACAAGACTTTAATTCTAGAAGTTTAGCCAACATTGAATGGCAAACACAGAAAAAATCCTTATGTATAAAAATGTTTAAATTTTATATTTCCTGGTGCATTTTTTTCCCTAGGTTCTATTATTAGTTTGTTTGCCAGATATGAATGTTTTGTTTTCTGTCACACATGCTCCATTAATATGATATGGCTGGGGCACAAGAACAGTTTATGCAGGCCTTGACCTAAGCAATAGCCAAAGTGGTTCCACCTAATATTAAGAGAGTATAATTCAGTTTTTGAAGGTTTTCAAAATTCTTCAGCTATTTGCAACTATTTGCATAATTTCAATTTACCAAGTCAATGTCTGTTAACTACATGAACAATTATGAACTGCTATTAACAATGTATAAGGTCACAAAAATGTTACCAATTGTCTTTTCTGAAGGAAGGGAGTTTAAAGTTTTTGTTTATTCAATTTGGGGTATGAGATACATAAGACACAGGCAGTAACTATGCCCAGGATATATAATACATGTCCAGCCCCCTGGAGCCTGAGAGGAAAACAAAAAATTAAAAAATTATCTAAAGTAATCTAATTCAAAATATTAAGGAATGTAAGAACAATAAAGTAAAATGAGAATTTGAAAGCCTAAGAGCATAGAACATTTGTGATTCTGGTGGTTGGCATGCGTTACAGTTTGGGCCACCCTTCCAACTCCTCCCTACTGCAGCCCATGAGGCGCTGCTTCAAGTAGAAGAGTTGGAGAATTAATGACTTTAGCCATACAGACAGCACTAAAACTAGAAATTTTAAAGATAAGTTTGTATCAGCTATTTTCTGGGATTTAGCATAAAACATATTGTGGGCTCTCATGAGATACCATCTCATGCCAGTTAGAATGGCGATCATTAAAAAGTCTGGAAGCAACAGATGCTGGCGAGGATGCAGAGCAATAGGAACGCTTTTACACTGTTGGTGGGAGTGTAAATTAGTTCAGCCAGTGTGGAAGACAGTGTGGCGATTCAAGGATCTAGAACCAGAAATACCATTTGACCCAGTAATCCCATTACTGGGTATATACCCAAAGGATGATAAATCATTCCACTATAAAAACACATGCACATGTATGTTTATTGCAGCACTATTTACAATAGCAAAGATGTGGAACCAACCCAAATGCCCATCAATGATAGACTGGATAAAGAAAATGTGGCACATATACACCACGGAATACTATGCAGCCATAAAAAAGAACGAGTTCACGTCCTTTGCAGCAACATGAATGAAGCTGGAAACTATTATCCTCAGCAAACTAACGCAGAAACAGAAAATGAAACACTGCATGTTCTCACTCATAAGTGGGAGTTGAACAATGAGAACACATGGACACAGGTAGGGGAACATCACACACTGGGGCCTGTTGGGGGGTTGGGGAAAGAGGAGGGGGAGCATTAGGACAAATACCTAATGCATGCGGAGCTTAAAACCTAGATGACGGGTTGACAGGTGCAGCAAACCACGATGGCACATGTATACCTATGTAACAAACCTGCATGTTCTGCACATGTATCCCAGAACTTAAAGTAAAATTAAAAAAAAAAAAACATATTGTGGACTCTCATTGTTGTGGTCAATGAAGAAAACAGAAGTTTATTTTTTTCACCTACTAAATGAGAGACAGAAAAGGGACTATAAAATATTCTTCACAAGATAAAGTATATTTTCCTCCTCAGAAAATGTTAGGATTGCATGTGGTTTTTAAAGCATGTTTAATAATTTGTGAATGACAGTTGTAAAAGTGGCAAAGATAATTTTTTTTTTACCATATTTAGTTGAGAAGTCCAATCCCTTTACATCCTAGGTAGACAACAGTACACAGTATTGGGTGGCAAACAAAAATGCATAAGTATAAAGAAAAAAACGGAATGAGAAGAAAAATGTATCCTATAGGAAAAGTGTAACAAAGGGCATCTTCTCCATTGGTTATCCTAAGCTACCGATGAATTTTTAGGCCTGACTCCTATGGAAAAGTGCAATACCTATGACAAGAATTTATGCTTCTTATTGCCCCTTTCCATAGGAGTCAGGTCTAAAAATTTCTATTTCTATCGCCCTTTTCCATAGGAGTAAGGTCTAAGAATTTATGATAGCAATGAAACAAATCTTAAAGCATGTAAACGAAATAGTTTTAAAACTCTGAAAATAAGAAATGGGATAAATCCTACATCATCTTCTCATCAGTTAATGTTACTTTTATTAATCATGAAACATTGCCTCTGAAATGGAATTATTTATATTTGTAGTATTTTATTTACAGTGTGTGTGAAGTAAATGAGATACACACGGTTCTGAATTTTTGTAACAAACTTGGGTAGGCAATGATTATATTCTTTTATACTGATGCACATTTCTTTTTATAATTTCAAAAAATACTTGTTTTTCTTGTTTTTTGAGACAGAGTCTCGCTTTGTCACCCAGGCTGGAGTGCAGTGGCTCGATCTCGGCTCACTGCAACCTCCACATCCCGGGTTCAAGCGATTCCCCTGCCTCACCCTCCTGAGTGGCTGGGACTACAGGCGTGCACCACTATGCCCGGCTAATTTCAAAAAGTACTTCTTAAGTGCATATTACTATGTAACTGATTCTAAGAGCTTCAAAAAATAATTGGATAAAATATTGAAAGGAGAGATAAACAAAACTTTGTGACAAGAAAAGTACATAGCATAGAGGAGAAACGGTATTTGTTTGTTGTGGATGCTGAGATATAAGCTACCTTGAAAGTTAAAAAATGGGATAGAGGTGGACATGGAAGACAACTTTAGTCCCTGTCCTAGCACTCTAACAATTCTCTCTGACAAATACATAAACTTAGAGAATTTGCTTAAAACAAGGCACACAGATACATGAAAACACATGCAAAGGGATAAGAATAATTTACTGTCATTTCATCAACAACAAGCTCTTGGCAATGACAGGAAAAAGGTATATTTTAAAGTCTTATCTTACAAATTATTCCAGAATTTTTTGCCATTTGAGAAAACACACCTACATAGACATATATGCACTTTTCTGCTGAAAAAATAAATGAACAACCTTTTATTTTCATGGGGACAATACTTAACTTTGGGTTTGAATGCCTGCAGAGAGCTGCCAAGTCTTTAGATAGTTTTGTCACAATTTTTTAACTCTTCAACATGGATGCATAAAATTTCCTCAAGATGAAGGACTTTTTCAGGGAACTGGATCTCATGTTAAGGACCCTTTGAAACTAAACACTTTGAAGACAAATAAGTTCCAGAAGGATGACGATAAAATCCCTATGTTCTCTTCACAATCGCTTTATGGTAGTTAGATGGACTAGTCGAAGAAATCTCAGATCCAAAATATAATGCTTCCCATCAGTTTCTCCCCATCTATGTCAACTCAATGTACATTTTTCATTCCCTCTTCTTTGTATACAATTAAATAAACCGTCCTTAGAGATTCAATCCATCATAAAAGTTTTGAATATATAAAAAAATTACAAGGAAAAATGGTAGAGTAAATTGATATCTTAAGTCTTCAAGAATTCCAGAATTGATTTTATATTTCTGATATCTTTAATATCTATTTATCATTATCTGTCACTAAAATACATAGGTGTGTTTCTTAAAATTTTCAAAGTGAATGTTCATTATAACTGGCATGTTTAGAAATTCTGTGCTGTAAGTTGAAGTCAGTAAGTATAAGGAGTGAAGTGAAAAAAACACTCTGTAGGGTGAAAATAGAGACGAGAATTTTTTTCAATGCATATAAAACATACATAATTACTGAAAATATATATGTGAAGTATTTAAAGTACCATTTATTTCATTTTCATTTCTTATTTTTATGAAGATCTTACTAAAAGTATTATAGGAAAAACTGAATGTAAGAAATGAATAATGAATGATCAATTCAAAGAGAAGATTACCGATATAATAGTCAACCATAAAAAAAATTAGGAAATACTGAAATATATTTAGTTGGTTACTCAAGGAAAAGTTGGCGTATCATATAAACATAAGCAGGCTTCCAGGACTTTAGGTGATCACTAAATTATGTTTCAAATTGGACACATCTTATTATTATAAAATGAGTGTATGTATTTGTATTTGTGTTTGTAATAAAAAAGTCTAGACTGTTTTACAAGATATTTTTAAAGAGAGCATATTCTATGAGTATATACAACACTCATGTTTATTAGGTTTGAGTTGTTAAAAAGTTTCTCACATTCAAATGTGTAGTTTAAGATTTAGAAATAGGTACTAAGTTATATTAAATATTTCATATTTTATTCACAAATGATCATGCAGCAATAGTTGTGGAAGCCAGTATAAGAACATTAGTGCTGTAGAGAAATTTAGAGATCATCATTTTTAACTAAGTACAAGAATCTCTGACACATAATTAGCTGCCATTTGTTTGAAGACCTACTATATTCTTGACCTCTGAAACAGCTTCTTGTACTTTTGGACTACATTAAAATTAAAAAAAGAAGCATATACATATATATATATATATATATATATATATATATATATACACACACACACACACACACACACATACACACACACACACTGGCTATGTATCTATATATATTTTTAATAACATTTTCTTTTCTCTAGCTTATTTTACTGTAAGATTAGAATGCATAATACATATAACATAGAAAACGTGTTAACTGATGGCTTATGTTATTGGTAAGGCTCTGGTCACTAGTACTGAGCTATTAGTAGTTAAGTTTTGGGGGAGTAAAAAGTTATATGCATATTTTTGACTGTGTAGGGGGACTGGCCTCCCTAACCTTCTCATTGTAGTGTTGATGGTTACATAACATTGTGAATTTAATTAATGCCACTGAACTGTATACTTAAAATGGTAAAAATGGCACATTTTACATTTTATGTATTTTATCACAATAAAAATAAATAACAAATCACCTTAGCTAATATATATTCCTTTTTATTTATAAAATAACTCAAAATGTCATTAATAACTACCTATACTATATGCTGGATATTTATACTAGGAGTGGAAGACATAGTGGTAAGCACAACAGAAGGCAATAGAAAAATAAAGTGATCTTTAGTATGGTGTAAATTTGTAGCATAATTGAAATGAATAACATCCATAAAGTGACTTCACGAAACTGCAAAGTTCTGTGTCATCCTTAAGTAGTCTTTTCTTCTGGATTGTTGTAAATAAACAATGTATGATTTTAAATGCTCTTCATAAATGTTAATATATTGAGACTATACAATACTTATTTTCTCCATTGGCAGAATAGAATTCTTCAAAAAGAAAGGAAATACTAGAAATGCAGCTTATTCTAATGGAACCTGAAATGTGGTAGATAAAGAAAATCATACCTTAATCACATATAAGAGCATCCAATTAAAACATATAAACAGATACCTATATTTATCATCTAGATTTATGCACTCAGATGCTAAGGGAATGATGGAGAGATTAGAACCTTATAACAATAATAATACAGAAAGGCTTCGTGAAATAAAAGAGTTTGAAATAATTGGGAAGATATGAGGTACAGGAACAACCATGTTGGTTTCATTAATACTTGGAATAAAATTGTATTGAGTTACATATACATACAAATGAACACATGTAAAAAAGAGAGAATGCTGAATAATGTCTATCATCTAGTTGGCAGTACTACATTAATATCAATTTCCTGGTTTTTATACTCTACTACAGTTATATGTAAGATGTTACTATTGGAGGAAGCTGAGGGAAGGGTACATGGGACTCTGTGTACTATTTTTGCAACTTCCTGTGAGTCTCTAATTATTTAAACAACGAAACCACAGAAAAAATGATCATGAGGAAATGTACAATGTAACAAAAAAGAGGATACAGAAAACTACTTATTATATGATAGCTAATAAAAATAAAGCATATTGAAATATGTGTGACAAAAATGAAGAAAATTTACCACCAAAAAAGAGAATGTATACTAGAAGTAAAAGTGTGAAATATATATATATATAGTTTTCACTATTTTTCAAAGTTGTTGTAATTTGTCTGAAAAACTTATACAATGTAGACACAGGAAAATAAAGATTAAAGAAAAATAAACCAAAATACTGGGAGAAAGGGAAATGTGAATTTTGAGACAAAGTATGGAAAGAAATTTTAGGTCAGGGAGGTGGGCTTAGTGTCAGGGATTCAGGGATTCAGAATATTCTACATTCCTTCTCTTCTGTCACAGACATTAAACACTCTTAAAAATGATCCTGCAGATGGCCTAGGGTTATTGATTTCTTTTTTCCCTCAATTTTATTAGAATTATGAGAAGTTAGACATAAGAAAAAAAAGACTGTTGTTCTTTTTTATCTTTTTTTTTTTTTTTGAGACTGAGTCTCGCTCTGTCGCCTAGGCTGGAGTGCAGTGGTGCAATCTCAGCTAAATGCAACCTCCACCTCCCGGGATCAAGAGATTCTCCTGCCTCAGTCACCTGAGTAGCTGGGACTACAGGTGCCCACCACCATGCCCAGCTAATTTTTGTATTTTTAGTAGAGACGGGTTTCACTATGTTGGCCAGGCTGGTCCCGAACTCATGATCCACCTGCCTTGGCCTCCCAAAGTGCTGGGATTACAGGCGTGAGCCACCGCGATCAGGCTTAGTTTATAATTTCTAACAGATGAGGTCAGAACTTTTTGTTTATTCATAAACTATTACCTCTATAATTTGAGGTGGATATGTGCTAAGTTGTTATATATAAGTGTTATGTGATGTGTGAGTATTGTATGTATCACAGGTAGCTTAGAAAAAATATTTTATAACATAAAAGAGACTGACTCAAAATTTCTTATACCTGCTAACTTCTCTAAGAGTTTTAAAAAAAGAATTCAACAATAAAATATCTCATAGAACTAATCAAAAGTAATTTGAATTATATGCTCTTTAAATCTTTGATTAAATTTTCATCCAGGAATGCTGTAAGTAATTGAACATATAACAGAGAGCCCGTCTTCCTGTTGCAATCTGTTCTGTACTGATTCTCCCCAAGATATATTAAATACAGATTTCCCAATTATTTTCTACTGATACTCTTTTTCCTTTAAAATGTCTACATTTTCAGTACATAACTTTCTCCATATTCTCTAATAATTTTAAATATTGTTATCTGAGGTGACTATAATCTTTATGCCTCACTGTATTTTCACCTTCCTGTTTAACTTTTATTTATACTTTAGGACATATTACAAACTTTTATGGCAATAAAGATTATATAACATAGACACTCCAAAAAAATTAAATGCCCAAATTTGACCCCTTTAACTTGGAAATGACATTATATCACAGATAAGAGGTGGGGTCACCCACCGTCTAGAGAAAAAGGCAGGGATTTCTTAGATATTAGAAAATGAAAAAGTGGCTCTTCTAAAAACAGAATCTATAGTCAATGATCATGAACTATCCAATACTGTTTAAAAGTTAGACATTTCTTACTAGCCTTAATTCTATACTATTAACACACTACAATATTTTATATTAAAAATACTCTTGAGGAAGGTATTGGATTACACATTGCCTGGAAATGGATAATACCCTAGATAAACAAATAAATATTATATTTATTTATATTATAAATATTATATTTATATATTAAATATAAATATTATACATTGCCTGGCCACTTAATTTCTGCTATTTTTTTTAATTTTTTTTTTTTAGTTCATCAGCTGTCATTAGTGTTAGTGTATGTTATGTGTGGCCCAAGATGATTCTTCTTCCAGTGTGGCCCAGGGAAGCCAAATGATTAGACACTGTTGAACAGACTCATTCCTCTCCAGACCTCAGGTTTCTGAAGAAACAGGGCTCAGGCTGTTTCTTCAGCCCAATTCTCCGCTGCTTATGCTGAATAGGATACCTTGCATCGTCAGGGCTCATTTTTAGTTCACCTCAATAAACTTTTCCATGACAATCTTATTGTTGGTACATAGGACCCATTTACTGAACCATACAAAGGTAACTGCTCATTTATATTCAGTTTTAAGTATCAGGTCATAATTTTTTATTGTTCTTAATTGAATTCAAATTCAGCAGCAAAACTGGCAAGTTTCATAGATAACACTAAACATGAGAAATGGAACAATGTGTAAGTCTTTAGTAACCATTAAAATGTTTAAAAAATGTAGTCACTAAATAACTACCAAATTAAATGTGACATAACTTCATCATGATAATTAGGATTTCATGATATTTCCAAAGACAACGGGGAAAAAACATCTACTCCATCCCTGGTTTCCTTATATTTGAAATCTTCTTACTATACACACCAAAAATCCTTTCACTACTGAGTACTTACAATGAATATTTTTTAATAGGCCTCTATGTTCTCTTACCTATGTCTTTGTAACTCAGCCTCAGAAGAAAAGTATATTTTTTTCTTTTGTACTATTTGACTCAACTGTATCACACTGGAGGAAAAATGAAAAACGTAAATGTTCAAAGGCCAAATCATTAAAAAAAAAAAAGATTGTTCTTTAGTTGTGGTTCTTTTACAAGTGTTGTCTTTAGAAGTCCTGGGTTAATGCTTTGATCACATCAATGAAGTCACTAAAATTCTTTTTATTTAAGTATATGAGGTATTTAGAAAAAAGTAAATTCAAACAAACCACAAAATAATTCATGTTAGTGACTTCATACACAGATGCCTAACTAAGACTTGCAGGCCTCTTACTTTATATTACTTATACATCTTTAGCTTTTCAGTAAGAGTAGAAATGACTTACTAAGCATGCATTTGCTTAATCATTGCCTCCAGTCAGAAAGCATTTAAATACTAAGAATTTTTTAAATGTACAGTTTCTCAATTTATAAAATGTTTTCTATTGACAGATAAGGCACAGAAAAATGCAAGTGCCATCTGCTAAGCTTTACTTATAAAAACTTACAGAAATGCTATGGGATAACATCAGTCCACTTTTCCTGGAGTATATCTTATGGAGACTTCCTTAAAAAATCTGGAAGTAATTAGGAACTATTATAGCACCTAAAGAAGTTTACTTGAAAACTAAATCTGCTATTCATCAAAGAGCACAATACAGTAAAAATAATGTAATAAACCAATAAGCACAAATAGAGAATAAGCACTTCAATCATATCTAATTATAAAACTTTTTTAAAAAGCTATGATAGAAGATAGTATCAGACCTGTGATATACTGAAGAATCTGTAGAAAACCTTGTACTCCCTAATTAAGCACTGATTTGATATTAATTTTTTTACTTTAGTTCATTTCACTTCAAAATGATATGAAACCAATTTTTAAAATGCTACTAACAACTTTAATACAAAATAAAAGTGAAGAAGAATAAATATACTTGTATCATAAGATCTATATCAGAAAAAAATCCAGAATACAGTCAAAAATGTTTTGGGTATTTGTGGAATGATAAATATATCAGAATGATAATATTAACAGCTTCTTCTTAAGACTTAAATATGTTTTCCACAAAGATGAAAAATTACATTGGGGGGTAGACTGGATGATATAGCCTTTGGAGTTTAAAAGTTTGCCCATATGAACTGAATTATCCTTGACAAGTACCTTCAGACACTTGTAATATGATCTCACGTAAATTTAGACCATATTTTGGGCACAAACTATTAGGAATAGTAAGTTTATTCAGGAGCTCAGATAAGAAAGAAAAGCTAATATCCTTAATAATATGTAGTTGCTAACAGGAAATTTCCAAAATGAAAATGAGAAGCATAAAAATAAAAGCCATCTAATGTGTTGTAGCAAAGAAAAACAAAATCCTATAAAAAACACAATATTGCATTTTCTTTTCCCTTTTTAATACTTATCTGCCCGGTCTCTCAAAAAATTTTTATCTTTCAATGGCTTGTCTAAATTTGGAAAAAGAAAAGCATATTTTATGCAAATAAATACATTAAAAATTCCATTTGCAGAATTCCAACTTATTCTAACCAGCATTAAATTACAATATGAATAATATCTTAGTTGGATTTCTCACTGTGGAAAAATATACACATAGTATATCAAGATAGTAACTTAAAGTTACTCATTCAGATTTTCAACTATTTTTATTAGTATTAATACTGGTCATGACAGTAACATGGAGCTATCAAGACTTACAAAGGGCTGTCTGTAGAGCAAAACAAAAAGAACTCAGAACTCTGCAGCTTTCAAGATTCATCAGGATTACCTACTGCCTTGGCACAAAGACGGCCTACAGAACTGTACTAATTCTACAGGGACTGTGCTTCATTCTACAAGAGATGCATTAAAGGCTGTAGAAGAACACTGCTTTGGAGAGAGCTATGCCAAGCAATCTCCACAGCATCATTAACTGTATTTATTTCTCTTTTCAGAGGTATGTTACTGCTATGTTGCCCTGTTAATGGATGAAAATAGGATATAAATCATCTCAAATTTAAGTAGTATAGAAAAATGGCACATTATTTTAAGAAACGTTGAAGACATGTCCATTTTTTGGTATGTGTGTCCTTACAACTAAAGACATGATTTTAAACATTCATGGAGCAATTAATGATCTACAAAGATAGTTCTAGAAGCTTAATTTCACAGTAAAATGGTAAACTTATCCCCCCTGAATAAGAATAAAGGAGGATTATTTGTTTCATTAAAAATATTTAGTCGAAAGCATTATTTCAGTTAAACAGAAAATAACAAAAACAATTGGGAGCTATTTTAAAGAATAAGCATATATTCTTAAGTTACTTAAATGAGGTGCATTTAATCAATTAAACACTTAAAATATTTAAAAACACTGAATTATTTTAAAAATTCAACTTAAAAATCAAATCGAGAGGTGTGTTTACAACATTGCTTTGCTGAAACACTGAAAGAAAGTGCACTGCATAGAGAGCTTAAATTTCTCACTCTTCCTTTCAATCAATATCTGAGGCAAAGTTTCATCTCTAGGGCCCTTAATGGCAGGAATTCCTGGAGCCAGCAAATGAGTAATGTTAAACCTATGATTAGATGATGAGGCCATCAAAGACACTAGATCTTAATGCTACATTCCTCTTTATTTCTCTGAACTGCAGTGAAACACAGGGCTATGGAAGAAGGAATTCTAAGCTATTTTTCCATAAACGCATTTTACAGAACTGTGCATCATCATGAATCGAAAAGGTCCAGATAGTCTCTCGAACTCAGGACTTCAACAGTAGGTGACAAAATTTTCAAATGCCCTGCAGACGACCTCCTCACAGGGATGTTGTTTTCTTTAACCTCTTCCTTATCAATATTGTTCCTGGCTATAAAGAGGAAAATGGGCCTAATGATTTTCCTAGGAATATATTCTTGAAGAAAATAAACCTGAAAACTGAAATCAATTGGTAAGTTTTTCATTTGTTTTGTTCAGTTTTGCTGATGTTTTAGAGGATCACTTGAAAGCATATTGTTGTTTGTCTGCGAGTTAGCTGTGGCTTTAGGCAAACCTCAGGCCAGTAATTAGGAATAGCTTAGATATATGTTTCTTTCTACTGAGGAAACTACGAATAAAGATAATAACTGCTTATTACAAACACACACAAGCTCTTTTTTCCTTCTGATATTAAAAAATATTTAACACTAATATGATAATCAGGATAATCAGGACTGCTAGGAGACTTGACAGAGCTGGTGAGAAGAAAAACCAATAGGTTCCTATTTAAGTAATCAGAAAATATGTTTACATTTATTTTTGGTTGCCCTGTAATTGTTAAGAAGAAACAATACCCAACAATTATCATTTATCTTTGATTCTGATTATTAAAGACAAACAGCTCAAGTAGATTTTTAGAATTTACACTGACATATACAAATTACATTTAAAAAAGAGAAAGCAGCAAGGTCTTATATCAAAGACCATTCATTAATAAGCTGTATCATACACTTTGGGTATGGAATTTAAAAACTTACTTTTCATTATCTCAAATATAAGAGAAGAAGATACAAGATAATTAATAATACATTTAAAAATTATAAATTAAGATATTTTATATATCGTATTTTATATACATATATATGATAGGAAACAATGGAAGAATCGAAAGGGTAGGAGAATAATACTGCTAAAAAGAGTAGAAGAAGGGAGAGGGAGAATAAGTCAATATTTACATGGTAAGATAATCTATATACTAATAAAACTCAACATAAATTATTTTCTCCATCTATGGGATAATAGATGGAAATTTTAAAAATATATAAACATACACATATATATGCACATACTTTTTATTATTAGTCACAAAAAACCCTCATATATTAATGTAACTGAGTGAATGGGATTTTGTACCTGAGAACAAAGCAGCATAACAAGCTCAACCACAGATGTGCTGGACTTCATACAAACAAGGCCTACAACAAAGAAAGGTTAAAACAAAATGAAATTACAATGGCAGAAATTATCATTCTGAGTTAATTCATTATATAATTTTAATTTATAAAA
Organism: Homo sapiens; assembly: GCF_000001405.40. NCBI lineage: Eukaryota > Metazoa > Chordata > Mammalia > Primates > Hominidae > Homo > Homo sapiens. The sequence continues at coordinate 35,290,297 of NC_000013.11, read as the reverse complement.
AAAACTTTCTTTTAAATAGAATTCCTAAGGTAAACTGAATGAAAATGTTCACCTAGCATACATTTTTAGCAATAATTTAAAACTATTTAGATACACTTCCAGTTTTTGCCCATTCAGTATGATATTGGCTGTGGGTTTGTCACAAGATGATGTGAAAATACTCGAAAACTGACTTCATGCTTTGGTTGTTTATTTGGTTGAGGCATTTCTTACATTTAAACAAGGTGGGGAAGGTTATTAAAATTGATGAGCTAGGTATAGCTGCTATTACGCCAATGACATTTATTATATGGTTGTTTCCTTGGAGCAAAGAACAATAATCACTGAAGTTCTGCCTAAATTTTGTTCCAAAAGACAAAATTAATTTACAAATAGGTAATTTCAATAGCTTATCAGTTATTAAATAATTTTAAAAATAATAAAAAATGTATGATTAACACATCAAGCAATGCTTATAAAATATTTCACCGTTATACTCCAATCTCCCCAAATAGATAGCAGAAGAAAAAAACCTGATTGCAATAATGTCTATGTAATAATGGCTACTACTCATTGATCACTTAGCATGTGCTGGGCAATATTTAACACACTGGCACAGTGCCTTACGTGCATGGTCTCATTTAATTATCATTATACTCTGTGACATAGTATTATTATTCCCATTCTACAGGTTAAGAACGTATATTTCCTATAAACAGTTTAAACATTAATTCTTATATGTATTGATGAAGTTATCAAGATTTTTTCCAATTAAAAGTATGACTGCTGTATAACGATGTATATAAGAAAGCAGATCTTAATTGGTAGTTTTTCGAAGTGCCAACATAGAGAATGAGGTAATCAAGTATTAAAAACACTGTTGAGAGTACGTTAATTATGATGTTTGGTAATTTAAAAATATTTTCTAAAGTTTTTCACTGTTTTTAAAATTAATTTAATAAATAGATTTTTCCTCTTTCAAAAATAACTTCTGTGTAACAAGAACATTCATAGTTTTTAGAAATACTATCATTTTTCTTCTTTTGATGATAAATGTAATTAGTAAAAGCATCATACAGTAAGGCAGGCCATGGTCTTAACATTATTTGTTGCTAAATGGAAAATCGAAGTGAAACCAGTTATTTTTGTTTCTTGAGGTGATTTCAATAAACAGTCTCAAATGCCTTCTAGACACTAGCATGCATATTTATTGTAGGTAGTGGATAAATACTCTTTTGTGCCCATTTTGCTAACGACCCTATCTCCTTATTGTACAGACCGACAGAACAAGCTGTAAAAAGGTACTAGTATTCCATCTTATCAGATATTTGGGCAGACAGTTAACTAATGAAATAAGAGGCAGATGTGAGAAGCTCATTTACGAGACAATTGGTGTAACTGATCAGCAATTCTCATGCTCAGGTTCTAGGGAGTCAGAAAGATTAATGGGACATTTATCACCTGTTGACTACTCAAAGATTTGAATTCTGACAAAGAAAAAACAAGTAAAAGGCCAAAGGATCATAATTAAACTCATGTAAATTTAGACAATAAGGCTTTGATATAAAGAATTATTCGCATACATTTTGTGTATGAGTTTTTAAATATATAATAAATTGAAGTAAAATTGGAAAAACATGAAATTGCATTAATTTCTCAGAAACCAATTTTTAAAATGAACTTATAAAAAACCCTATGCAACAAGACCATTTATAGTTTTTTACAAATACCATCATTCCATCATAAGAAAAATATAAACAAATGCTTCATTAATGCTTTGTTCAAAAGGAATGGCAAAAAATTGACACAATAACAAAATTGCAATTTGCAAACAGTGCTCTCAGTATTTTGTAAAAGGCTATTGTGATTTCAAGTCCATAGAACCTCACACCTTTACTCATGTGTTTTGTCTAATTAGTTTTGGACAGAAAGAATAAATGGATTCTCCCAAAAGCAAAAGAAGAACTAAACGTGACATTGAGAACACAAGCAGAGGCAAATTTGAAAGACCTATCTATCTTCAAAAATTACATAATCACTTTGGTTGGGAGTATTACTAAAAAAAAGAGGTAAACTCAATGTTTTACTAGAGATAATGAAAATACAACCACTGACTGATGCTATAAGTAACTCTTAAGCTGTATATGCATGAGACAAATATTTTACAAGTGTACGTCTCAAAAAGTTTGAGTGTATCCTTTTTGTATGTGGCAAAAAATTCATAATCAAATTAGCTCATTTGATATCTCCACTTATGAGCAAAATATAATGTTAGTACTAAGGAGTTTACAGTAATAAGTTATTATTTATACCTTCCCAAGTGCCCATATTTTAATTCAAATTAAGATTACATAAAATTTATATAGAGCTTTAGAATTTACAAATAACTTACATATATGCTGACTCATTTGAATCTCTTAATAACTGTTTAAACTAGTTATTACTACCTCATTTGATACATAAAAATTGAAGAGACTTGGTGGCTAGCCAAAGGTGTGTCATTCAGTCAGTGGTGGAACTGGGTCCCAAATTCAGGTCATCTAACTCAAAGCCCATTCTGTTTGCTGCAGAGCTACATGAATAGTTTGGCATTAATAAGATGGCAATATTTGATTATGAGAAGGGTTGTAATGGTCAATTCAAAGGTGAATGATTTTGACAGTTTTCCTGGTGAAAGTAGCTTATTGTGGTCAGACAAGGGGACAAAAAGCAATAGCTTAAGCAAAAAGTACACAGGAAGCAGAGAACAAAGAGAAAATCTGAAAAAAACCTTTATAGCTTGGGGGATGGATGAATAGACTATAAGAGTGTTTAAAAGTGGACTGGAGGGCTAGGGTGAAAACCAAAGATAGATTAAGATTGAAGGAAAATTATATGGTTTTGAAAGACAAAAGGAATAATTTAAAGCAAGTTATAAAACGGGAGAAATGATACTAAGGACTGTTTATAGCATTCCTATTCTATCATGACAATCTGTGCCTTGTTAATTAAGAAGAAGCCCCCAAAGGAGCTGTACATATGTGCCTCCCCAACAAAAATATAGTTAGGAGTGCAGGCAAAGTAATAGAATATTTTCACCAGAAAATATATATGTTCACTGGAATAAATATTCTAACCAGAATTACTGATTCAGTACTGCAAGCCATACAGCTTAGCAGTATAAAATGAACACCTGGGATGTAAACAATAAATGTGTGGGGGCCTATGAGGAAGGAGGCTTGTATATTTGGGAGATATTCTAACAGTAAGGAAACCGTCCATTAAGTGCTTTTGAATATATTATGAACTATATTGTTGAAAGATGAAGTCAGCTCACTGAGTGGCTAAGATACAAGTACTTGAGAAGATTAATTAGCTGGACAAACTTGAGGTGGTCCAGATCCAGGCAGTAAATAAAACAGATATAGCTGAGTAAACCATTATCCAAAAAAACTGGCAGTTCTTTTGGGTTCACACTGACTAGGGGTAGGAAGTCAATTTCTATTTTCAGAATGACACTCCCTCCCCACTAAAAAACAAGATAAAACAAAACAAAACAAAACAAAACAAAAAACTGCCACAAATGATAAACCAGATAAGAAATCTCCAAAATGAGTATAAAGTTAGAAGCTTGGCCTTTGGGACAAAGCTATCTTTATTTAATACAAACACTACTAAAAGGTACAATGATATTATTTTAATAAAGAACTGTCAGACTCTTTTGAGTCAATCTGCGGGTCTAACTTTTTACATCTGTTGAATTGAATATCAAGTTAAAAGAGCCCTAAAGCTTTAAAATACCGTTGAAAAATTCCATCTCTAGCAGAATGTTCCTCATGGTGGGAGATGAAGAATATTACATGTTCTAGGGACAAGAAATCATGCTCTTATATGGAACTAATCTTTTAAATGTCAAAGTTTTCTTTAAGTAAGGATCCAAGAGAGGAGACTCTGACAGACATCTATGATTGCTTTGAATATATTATCAGTAAATATTAATTGAATCAATAAATCTATAAATCATCATTCACTATCAACTGTAGAGAAAAAATTACATTTTGAGCAAAAATAAGAACATCATTTTTTAGAATAAGATCCCAATTCATTCAAAAAACATTTACCAAACATATTGTCTAATGTGCCTGACACCATGGCAGGTACTAAGTGGGATGTGGGGCAGATAATATAAGCAAATAATCATGATAGAGAATCTTAGGGGGTTCATAGAGAATGCAGTGTGAGAAGCACAGGAAGGGTAGTAAGCAACTGTGTCTAGGAGAAGAAGTTATGGGGAATGTGACATTTAAGTTGGATAATGCTGAGCCTATCTAAGCAAAAAGTAGAAAGAAAGGAAGGTCATTCCAGGTGACAGAGAAATGTCTGAGGTATAAAGAAGCATGCAATCGTCAGCAAAGTGGAGTTGGAATGTTATGTCGTAGGCTGTGAAGGATGAAAGGAAGTGACTGGAAATGAAGACAGAGAGGTAGGCAGGAAGCAGAGCCATACATGGCACACTATCCTATCATCACCAGGGAGCCACTACAGGATTTTAAGCAGGGCGCAGACAGAATTAGCTCTATTTTGGAAAGACCACTTTCTGTCAGCAGTATAGGAAGAAGCTAGTAACTAAAGAGTTTAGTTACACGACTGAAAGCTTGAGCTCAAGATGGTGACAATGCAAGGAGAGACAGACTCAAGGCATTCTGTAATGAGACAAACTATTTTAGACAACTATTTTAACAACTATTTGGGACAGGGTAAAGGAACCATCAGAGTGTGATGATGATACCTTTAACTGAGATAAGGAAAGCAAATTAAGAAGCAAATCTGCAGAAGGAAAAGTGATCAGTTTCATTATAGACAATATTTCTCCTCACAATAAAAGATACCAATTTATTTTCTATCAAATAGACATGACTATACTGACAATCTGAATTTTAAAAATCAAATATGCCTAGGACTAACTAGTTTTTAGTTAATCTTCTAATGATTTTTAATCTTTTTGTTTGTTTTGGAAGCAAAATCTTGCTCTGTCACCTGGGCTGGAGTACAGTGGATAATTTTTGTAATTTTCGTGGAGACAGGGTTTTGCCAACTTTCCCAAGCTGATGTGAACTCCTGAGCTCAAGCAATCCATCCACCTGGACCTCCCAAAGTGCTGGGATTACAGGCTTGAGCCACCAGGTCCAGCCTATTCTTAACTTTTAAAAATCCCCAAATTAGTAGAGCTGAATGGCACTGAAATACTTTCATTTCAGTAACAAATGTTGAATAACTATAGACGTGGAAAGGAATTTTGCATGTCCAATATGCTTCATTTGCCTTAGTTTCAGTGGTGTATTCTTCAAAATTCTGTTCTCTACACTTCTCCCATGGTATTGTGAAGGATTCTAAGACACAGGGTATTACCATAATGAGTGTCTTTTAGACTCCTGTAATACTTATACACCTCTATCTGCACAACAGTAATTTCTGATATTTTCTACTATTCTTTTACTTTTTTAATCTGAAACATGAAATTGTCTTCCTATTCCCTCACTGTGATATGCTTCTCTCTGTAAAATTTACTTTCAATGTTACCATGTAAGTCACCTGAACTTACTAAGATCTAAACCCTAAAAAACAGCAAAGCAAGCAATTCATGTGGCTTTCTAATTCAAAACCAAGAAAACAAACAAAAATAGACATGAAACATCCTTTGAAATAACAATAATGGCTTAAATTTTTATCATTGCTAAAATTAATATTAAGATGTATATAGGTAGATTAGTTACTATGTTAATTGGACATTTTAAGGTTTGCCTATGTGTTCTCTCAAGTATTTTATTTTAAAACTGTATTACAAATGGAATCAACTCTAATATTAACTTAAAACTATAATAAAATTCATTTTTTTGACTAAAAAAGTTTATTTAAATATAATTAAGCCAATGCAGCTTACATTCATGTTTGGATTATAAATTTTAACAAAAAAAACCCTGCAAAATACTGTAAAGACAGTGAGAGTTCATGCATTCATTGATTTCTTTAGTTCACTAAAAACTGAGTTATCACAAACTTATGGCAGTCTTACTGTCTTTAAAATAGGAACAAAACGTAAGTTTCTGGATATACCAGATATATTAGGGGGCAGCAAACTTTTTCTGTAAAGGTCCTGATAGTAAATATTTTTGACTTTGGTGGCTATAAGTTTCTGTCACAACCACTGAACTCTGGCATGTGGTACAAAGGTAGCCATAGACAATACATAAACAAATGAGTTTGGCTGTCTTCCAAGGAAACTATTTACTCATCCCAAGATGTGTGTGTACATGCATCTGTGTGGTGTGTGTGTGTGTGTGTGTGTGTGTGTCTGTGTACACATGTGCATGAGTACATATCTGTAAGAGAAAAGGAAAAAGAAAAACATATGCATACATACACACACTTACACATCTATAGATATTAAAAATCACAGGGGCAATTATTTCAGCTGTACATCCATGATACTTTACAATTCTGAAACCCAAAAAGCTCTGAAAACTGAAAGCTTTCATGTAAGATTATCACAAATTCAATTATCAGCAAAATTTCCCCTGAATAATGTGATGCTATTTACAATTTGTTATTCTATTTATTGTGAAAATCCTTATGTATTACTGTAGACATGTTAATGTGTTTTATTAGGGAGCTCTCCCAGCCTTTCCTAAAGATGCTATGAAATATATGCACTTATTACCTTTCTTTGATCCAAAATATTTGAATTGTAAAATGCATCTGGCTTATCAAAAGTCAGAAATCAGTGGTACTGTGTTACATGAGATATTTTCGAAGATTGATAAAGAAATTAATATTATTAATTTTAATTGCAATTTCAAAGTAATTTGATATTACACATTTCCCTACGGAAATTTCAGATATTTGGAAGAACTGAAATCAATTTCCACATGAGAATGGTTGACTAAGTGCTTTTAAATTGTAATCCCAGAATGTTTAGATTGCTCAGAAACAAAGTTAAGTTTAATTGTAGTTACACAATACCCAAATAATAATTTTGATTGATTTATTGAAATAAACTTTCTAAATTTTTTGTCATTGTGTTGATACAGCCTAGAAATCTTACTGTGAATATTTTTTCTTTTTTATAGTTTTGCTTCTGCTGAGAATTTTTTACATAATGCCAGAATTGAAGTTCATAACACTCACAGATAAATCTTCTACAAAATGACAGATTATAATACAAAAAGGAATCTATAGTGATGGTTTTTATACAGATTTAAACTAGTAACCTGATTTTAATATGAGCTGAAGAGAATACTCTAATGGCATTATCAGCAATATTATTAACACCTACTGTCTGTGAAACACTGCCCCAACTTTACTGTTTTTTAATTTATGCTTTAAAAATTTATTTAAGGAACAATAATTACATCACTGCTATAGGCCTTGCACTATCTATAAGGATCTTTAAGAAATCCAGAAATGATACAGTCTTCGGTCTCAAGGAGCTAACAGACCAGTTACAGAGATAAGACATACAAATACAGATTTATGTAAGAGTCTAAAGAATATGGTACTGAAATAAGGATTACAATAAAGTACTATGACTCTAAATAATATAAAACAATTATTTTTGAAATTGAATGAGATACTTTTATTCACAGTAGTAACTCAGATTTCTACTACAGAAGGTGACTGACCTGAGTGTCTTGCTAATATAATCACAACAGCAATGAGTACGGATGAAATAAGGGAAATAAGAGACATTTTCGCTATCATAAATCATTTGGATCTTGCAATTATTTTTGGGTTAAATTTAATTATAGAATCAATTGTTATTCCTGTATCACTCCTCTGCATCAACTTTCTTTATTTCTCTCTGAGCTCCTTGAAATTTCAAAAGCCTTAATTAAATTCTAAAGTTACTAACCTATGTCTGGTTCAAATTTTAACACTGCTCAAGAAAGACTGGTCCTAAATAATTATTAAGAATGATACATGTGTTTTAACCATGTACACATCATTTCAAGAAATATTAATAATCAAAAGAGAACATATACCATGTTAGTCATATGATTACATTACACAAGTAGTTACATTTAAATAAAAGTGGCTATAGTAATGCTTCCATATTAAAAATAAAATAATTGGCCGGGTGCAGTGGCTCATGCCTGTAATCCCAGCACTTTGGGAGGCCGAGGTGGGCAGATCACAAGGTCAGGATATCATCCTGGCTAACACGGTGAAACCCCATCTCTACTAAAAATACAAAAAAAAAAAATTAGCCGGGCGTGGTAGCAGGCGCCTGTAGTCTCAGCTACTCGGGAGACTGAGGCAGGAGAATGGAGTGAACCCGGAAGGTGGAGCTTGCAGTGGGCCAAGACTGGGCCACTGCACTCCAGCCTGGGTGACAGAGTAAGACTCCGTCTCAAAATAAATAAATAAATAACATAATTTATATTCTATAAAATATAAATCCTTTTAAGCATAGTGTGTATACACGAACAATTTGTATACAGTTTCAAACTACCTAAATTCTGATATTTATTTAAATTCTCAAATAAATATATTTACTAATTACAAGTTCACAAATTTAAATAAATTTCAGGTAGCTTTTGTATTGTATACACCTTTAAGATCTTTATTTTTGTATTCAAAAAAGCACTGGTGTTTTTTCTTTGAAATACTTAAATAATATATCATGTAAAATGGAAATGCTATGTATCACTCTTCATAAAAAGATATTCACGAAGTCAAAGAGAAAAAACATAATTGGTAAAAGGAAACTATTTGATAATCATTGTAATTAAGGCATAAATCACCAAAAAAATGGTTTCAGGCTAAGGCAGGTTCAAGTAGAGGTCAGTCAGGCGAACCTCACTTACTTCCAAAAGCACATTAACTTTATACAATAATTATTGCCAAATTGTTGAAATACCCTGAAAAAACAAACTAAACTTCACAAAGTTCCTTATTTGTGCTCAAAGCAATAAATTCTCAAATGTAATCCAAGTCGAATTTTCTTACGAATCCTCCATTTAAGAAAAAAATTAGAGATGAGTAATCAGTACAGTTGCATTCATTCATAGGAATGAAATAGGTTCTTAGAATTTCCTTCAATTTTACAACATTGAAGATATTCCCCAAAGTCACAGAAACTATTATAATCATGATTCAACCCAAGAAATAATTTATTGGGATAGTATGCCAAAGACTATATACACAAAAAATTACATGTCATTGAATTAACAAGATTATTTTGCCTAACTAGAAAATCCTATATCCAAATCACAACTATCCACAATTCATGGTGAGATCTTAAGAGTCAAGTTCTATATTACATACCAGAATACAGTCCAATAATGATACAATAAAGAAGTCAGTATGTGAGTCACTTCGTAATTTTAAAAAAACACTTCTAGTGTAAAATATTAGACCTATTATAAACTAAAAGTAAGTGGTACTTTTATTACTCAGAATCCAGTTATAATATGACGGAGATCTATTACAAAGTGAGTTATATTTTGAAATTGGATGAACTAGGAAATCTAAAAAAGGGCATCAAATAAATGGCAAAAAAAAAAATCTGTCAAAAAGAGAACCCAGTCATTTCCAAGGATAAAAGGCATCCAAAGATTTGATTCTATAAGTAGTGTGCATACTTACCATAGGCCAGGACACAAATATAAAACAGTTATGTTCCATCTGCTGGAGAAGCCTGAATTCTAATGGAGTATACAGGTAGTTACATTGATCAGTTTATTATGATGAGACCAAGTATTATCTCAGAATCTTTTTAGGATATTGACTTGGTAAGCAAGCTAAATGATGCTATTAATGTAATTCCTATTGTGATTATTAGAAAATGGTGGAATTAAAAAATACCAGTAGGAAATATTTAACTTGAAATAATGAACAGCTATTAATTTCTAGAGAAAAACTGACCTAGGGATTATTCTAGGATCAGTAATTATAAATAATATTATTCAATTTATAAAAGAAAATCTGCTGAAATTAATTTAAACATCTTCTTTTACTCATGAGAGGATGTAGAGCCTCAGATATTCTCTATAACAAAACAAATATGTAAATAGCACACTTAATGTGAGAATATTTTTCAGTTGAAATTACCTATATAATCTTTTTAAGTAAATAGTTTATAAGCTAAAATATATGTTTAATCAGAAGAATATATTTGGTTGGACTTTGTGTAATTAGAACAATCCTACTGAGTACAGAGAGAACAACCTTTCAGGTGTGGATAATATAACATGTATATCCCTATAAATTAATTTAGCTAGATACACACAAATAAAATCTCTACTAAAATAAATTTCAAATAATTTAAAAATTAGAAAATAGTCTTATATGTTAAAATTGTCCTTTAAAAAATCAACCTGACACACCCATGATGGGCAGACAGGAGAAATGGATAACTTCTCCAGGTTTATGTCTTAGGAAATGTCCATTCCCTCAGCTTATTTTTCTCAGGCTTTTCAGCAAGTTAGTTCTTGGTGGCTTATTTCTCTTGTGATCCAGTGTCCACCTATGTTGTGGTAACGCTACCTAATTAAGGGGCATGTGTAATGGGAAAAATTGTGTTTTGATACCTGAGAAGGACAGACTGAAGACTGATGGTCAAAGTTGACATGCCCTGGGCCTGACCTCCTAGTCTGAAACTAGAGAGCAAGGAACAACATATCTGGACAGCACAGATCAAGGTCCAGGAAAAACTCTGTCTGTATACTTTCTAATTCATTGTATTGTTTTAAACTCAAATTAGGTGACTATTGCTAATAATCTGAATGTTAGTAATAAGCCAGTTAGTTTTTACATTCCTCTAAATATTTTAATGTTAGGGTTTATCCTGATCATTCAAAATTAGGCAATTTTATAAGTATTTCAGAATTATTTTAGTCTGAATCTAATTTTTAATTCAGTCAAAGAAACTCTGAACTGAAAATCAGAATATCTGGTTTTAATGTAGTCTCTACAAACTAGCTGTGTAAACTTGAGCTAAGACACATCACATTCTTGACACTAAATTTCCTTGCTAGTAAAGATTAATGATTTAAAATCTTTTTTATTACAGTCTACAGCAATACATTTCATATCATGATCCTGTATATGTAACTGAAACAAATGTTTTACAAAATAGTACTTCCTTTAACTGTGATATTCTCATCTATGTTATGCTATGGCATGGTTTGCCCTTAAAAAGTATTGGCCAGGGCTTGCTTTATTGATTACATTGTATACCTAATGAATCACAGCCTGCAGTCTGAAAATCAATTCTCCAGAGCTGGCCCACCTTCTGTTTTATATGGCCTGTGAGCTAAAAATAGTTTTAATATTTTAAAGTTAGTGGAAAAACAGAAAGAAAGGCAATATTTCATGATACTTAAAAGTTATACAATATTCAAATTTCAGTGTTCATAAAATTTTATCAGAACACAGCTGAGCTTATTCTTTTACATATTGTATGTAGCAAATTCCATGTTATGGGAAAGTTGAGCACTATGACAGAGACTACATGGTTGCAAAGCCCGAAGTATTCATGTTTTGGCCCATCTAAGAAATAGTTTGCCAATCCTTGTGCTAAAGCATACATAGTTCTTTCTGTCTTGAGTATCCCAGGTTCTAAGTCCTTCCTTCAGGTCTTACTGGGCTGAACTGGTACCAAAAATAAGATATATGATAGCAGAAATGAAATGATATGGAAAAGTATTGGTTCTTAGTTATTTAAGCATCAAATTTCTATTTAATTATGTACTTGAAAACAAGAATCAAAAGTGGCTAAACCAACAGGCAGTATTTGGCGGTAGCATAAAGATGACAAATCATTTATAGAATCTGTTTTTGTGAGTTCACGGGGTTTTATCTTGTAGACCTTGAGCATTTTGGTTAAATGATGGGACCAATAAAGGCTCTTAATACTTTTAGCAGGGATTAGGCTTGAACATAAAATGGTCAATTACATTGCATTGTATTGCCATGTGTTAAACTTACAATACAATAATAGGTAGAGAAAATGAAGCCACTTTCATATACTTTAAAACTGCCTTTCAACTATCCTTTTTTCTTCCATTGTTCAAATTTATAACATCCTTATTGAGTTTGTTCAATACAATCTATTCTTTCTACACCCAAACTCTCCTTCTATTTAATGCTTGTTGTACACTACTGTTTCTAAATCATATACATGCATATATATGTGTGCATATATATATATTTTATGTATATATATATATTTTATATATATATATATTTTTTGAGATGGAGTTTTGCTCTTGTTGCACAGGCTGGAGTGCAGTGGTGCGATCTTGGCTCACTGCAACCTCTGCCTCCTGGGTGCAAGCAATTCTCCTGCCTCAGCCTCCCAAGTAGCTCAGACTATAGGCATGTGCCACCACACTGGCTAAGTTTTGTATTTTTTAGTAGAGATGGGGTTTTGCCATGTTGGCCAGGCTGGTCTCAAACTCCTGGCCTCAAGTGATCTGCCTGCCTCAGCCTCCCAAAGTGCTGGAATTACAGGTGTGAGCCACTGTAACCGACTCTAAATCATATTTTAATTTTGTCCCTTTCTATTCAAATTTTTTTCAAGAATGACTAGAATCTAGGTTTCTTTTTTTCCTTTAGAATATGTGTATTTGGCAAAGTCGCTGCTCCTTTCTTTCTACCCTCCTTTGCATACATATGTTGTTTCCCCCACTTTTTTTTTTTTTTTTTTTTTTTTTTGGAGACGGAGTTTCTTTCTTGTTGCCCAGGCTGGAGTGCAATGGTGCGATCTCAGCTGACTGCAACTTCTGCCTACCAGGTTCAAGTGATTTTCCTGCCTCAGCCTCCTGAGTAGCTGGGATTACAGGCATGTGACACCACACCTGGCTAATTTTGTATTTTTGGTAGAGACAGGGTTTCTCCATGTTGGTCAGGCTGGTCTGGAACACCCGACCTCAAGTGATCTACCCACCTCGGCCTCCCAAAGTGATGGGATTACAGTAGTGAGCCACCGCGCCCGGCCTAATGTGATTTTTAATAAGTCATGAACAAATATGAGTTTTTCTGGCTCTCTGATGTCTTTACTTCCTTTAATACCTGGTCTCTGCCAGGTTTAAACCTGATCTGCATGTCATCCACCTTGGTTTTTTTGTGTATGTACTGTATTTTTACTTTACCAAATTTTGTTTTAAGAATATAGTTGGAAACAAAGCAGTGTTAAGGTAAGTACCAGCTTTGTTGAATCTTGTCCATAACTAGCTGAATTTTTACATATAGGTATCTCCTATGTTCTCTCTACATCCCTGCCACCTGGGGCCACAGATGCTTATGTTGCATTGTTATTGTTCTGCATGCATGCTTTCCATTACTCTGTTAAAACAGAAGGAAAAAGTAAACCGTTCTCTAAAGTTTTCTTTAAATATGTAATGTAATATTACAAAATTTAAACAAATGTATAATCTATTTTATATTCAAAAAGAATCAGAATTCAATTAAAAAAACGTGGACTTTGCTTAGAGCAACCTGAGGATGGGCAGAAGGCCATCAGCTACTAAATAAACTCAGGCTAGTATCTTATAGTCTATTCACATTTAGGAACTACAGTATGTCTGTAATAAGTATATAAATTACTTGGAAAATGTAAACACTACAATATAAGTGCTAAGCAATGTATTTCCTTTTTAAAAATTTCCCAATTTAGTTTTTTCCCAAGTTGTTTACATATTTCTCTAACGTGCATTAGTATCCCAGAGAGTATAATAATAAAAGCCAACATTAATTCCATGCTTAGCTTCTTGAAGATTCCATGTAGTTTATCATGAGTAGACATTATAGTCAGCATGCAGTTTTTCATAATGTAAAAATATTTCTTGTCTCAAAAGAAGTTACATGTATGCCCTCCAAACCAAACCTGTTATTCAATGACATAAATTTAATGGAATATATAGACCTTTCATTACATTACCTTGTATTTTAAGCACCCAAATGTCTTGATTTGTCAAAACAATCCAAGCTCACACCAGATGCCTGAGGGTAATTCTAAACATAGCCTCTTTTTTTTTGGTATTTTCCTGGTTCGCATTTAAAAATTTATACAAATACACCAATTGTATTAGAACAAAAGGGAAAATAATTCCCTTTAAAAATTATCATGGAATATACAACACAGGCCATATGTGCTCTTATTTTGTAAAACAAAAGTGTCTTCTAATCACCATATCAAAGTAGAAGATTGATTTCATAGTAAGGGATAAAGTCATCTTATACTGACTAAAAATTACATGTATTCAGTCAGCCCTATAGCAGATGTTCAGATATGCCATCTACAACTTTTGGGTGCTCATCTCTTCTTTTTTTAAATTATTATACTTTAAGTTCTAGGGTACAGGTACACAACGTGCAGGTTTGTTACATAGGTATATACGTGCCATGTTGGTTTGCTGCACCCATCAACCCGTCATTTACATTAGGTATTTCTCCTAAGGCTATCCCTCCCCCCAGGATCTGTTCTTTCCTAACTTTCTAATGATCGCCATTCTAACTGGCATGAGATGGTATCTCATTGTGGTTTTGATTTGCATATCTCTGATGGCCAGTGATGATGAGCATTTTTTCATGTGTCCGTTGGCTGCATAAATGTCTTCTTTTGAGAAATGTCTGTTGATATCCTTTGGCCACTTTTTGATGGGGTTGTTTGTTTTTTTCTTGTAAATTTGTTTAAGTTCTTTGTAGATTCTGGATATTAGCCCTTTGTCAGATGAGTAGATTGCAAAAATTTTCTCCCATTCTGTAGGTTGCCTGTTCACTCTGATGATAGTTTCCTTTGCTGTGCAGAAGCTCTTTAGTTTAATTAGATCCCATTTGTCTATTTTGGCTTTTGTTGCCATTGCTTTTGGTGTTTTAGTCATGAAGTCCTTGCCCATGCCTATGTCCTGAATGGTATTGCCTATGTTTTCTTCCAGGGTTTTTATGGTGTTAGGTCTTACATTTTAAGTCTTCAATCCATCTTGAGTTAATTTAGATATAAGGTGTAAGGAAGGGATTCAGTTTCAGCTTTCTACATATGGCTAGTTTTCCCAGCACCATTTATTAAATAGGGAATCCTTTCCCCATTGCTTGTTTTTGTCAGGTTTGTCAAAGATCAGATGGTTGTACATGTGTGGTGTTATTTCTGAGGCCTCTGTTCCATTCCTTTGGTCTATATGTCTGTTTTGGTACAAGTACCATGCTGTTTTGGTTACTGTAGCCTTGTAGCATAGTTTGAAGTCAGGTAGCATGATGCCTCCACCTTTGTCCTTTTTGCTTAGGATTGTCTTGGCTATGCAGGATCTTTTTTGGTTCCATATGAAACTTAAAGTACTTTTTTTCCAATTCTTTGAAGAAAGTCAGTGGTAGTTTGATGGTAATAGCATTGAATCTATAAATTGCCTTAGGCAGTATGGCCATTTTCATGATATTGATTCTTCATGTCCATGAGCATGGAATGTTCTTCCATTTGATTGTGTCCTCTTTTATTTCATTGAGCAGTGGTTTGTAGTTCTCCTTGAAGAGGTCCTTCACATCCTTTATAAGTTGTATTTCTAGGTATTTTATTCTCTTTGTAGTAATTGTGAATGGGAATTCACTCATAATTTGGCTCTCTATTACTGGTGTATAGGAATGCTTGTGATTTTTGCACATTGATTTTGTACCTGAGTCTTTGCTGAAGTTGCTTATCAGCTTAAGGAGATTTGGGGCTGAGATGATGGGGTTTTCTAAGTATACAATTATGTCATCTGCAAACAGAGACAATTTGACTTCCTCTTTTCATAACTGAATATGCTTTATTTCTTTCTCTTGCCTGATTGCCCTGGCCAGAACTTTGAATACTATGTTGAATAGGAGTGGTGAGAGAGGGCATCCTTGTCTTGTGCCAGTTGTCAAAGGGAATGCTTCCAGTTTTTGCCCATTCAGTATGATATTAGCTATCGGTTTGTCATAAATAGCTCTTATTATTTTGAGATACATTCCATCAATACTTAGTTTATTGAGAGTTTTTAGCATGAAACGCTGTTGAATTTTGTTAACGGCCTTTTCTGCATCTATTGAGATAACCATGTGGTTTTTGTCATTGGTTCTGTTTATGTCATGGATTATGTTTATTGATTTACATATGTTGAACCAGTCTTGCAACCCAGGGGTGGAGCTGAATTGACCATGGTGGAAAAGCTTTTTGATATGCTGCTGGATTCAGTAGGCCAGTATTTTATTGAGAATTTTTTGCGTTGATGTTCATCAGGATATTGGTCTAAAATTCTTTTTTTGTTGTGTCTCTGCCAGGCTTTGGTATCAGGTTGATGCTGGCTTCATAAAATGAGTTAAGGAGGATTCCCTCTTTTTCTATTGATTGGAATAGTTTCAGAAGGAAAGGTACCAGCTCTTCTTTGTATATCTGGTAGAATTCGGCTGTGAATCTGTCTGGTCCTGGACTTTTTTTTGGTTGGTAGGCTATTAATTATTGCCTCAATTTCAGAACCTATTATTGTCCTGTTCAGAGATTCAACTTCTTCCTGTTTTAGTCTTGGGAGGGTGTATGTGTCCAGGAATTTATCCATTTCTTTTAGATTTTCTAGTTTATTTGAGTAGAGGTGTTTATAGTAGTCTCTGATGGTAGTTTGTATTTCTGCAGGAACGGTGGTGATATCCCCTTTATCATTTTTTATTGCATCTATTTGATTCTTCTCTCTTTTCTTCTTTATTAGTCTTGCTAGCAGTCTATCTATTTTGTTGATCTTTTCAAAAAACCAGCTCCTGGATTCACTGACTTTTTTTGAAGGGTTTTTTGTGTCTCTATCTCCTTCAGTTCTGCTCTTTATCTTAGTTATTTCTTGTCTTCTGCTAGTTTTTGAACTTGTTTGCTCTTGCTTCTCTAGTTCTTTTAATTGTGATGTTAGGGTGTCGATTTTAGATCTTTTCTGCTTTCCGCTTTCTCTTGTGGGCATTTAGTGCTATAAATTTCCCTCTACACACTCCTTTAAATGTGTCCCAGAGATTCTAGTACATTGAGTCTTTGTTCTCATTGGTTTCAAAGAACATCTTTATTTCTGCCTTCATTTCGTTATTTACCCAGTAGACATTTAGGTGCAGGGTCTTCAGTTTCCATGTAGTCGTGTGGTTTTGAGTGAGTTTCTTAATCCTGAATTCTAATTTGATTGCACTGTGGTCTGAGAGAAAGTTTGTTGTGATTTCTGTTCTTTTTCATTTGCTGAGGGGTGTTTTACTTCCAATTATGTGGTCAATTTTAGAATAAGTGCAATGTGGTACTGAGAAGACTGTATATTCTGTTGATTTGGGGTGGAGAGTTCTGTAGCTGTCTATTAGGTCTGCTTGGTGCAGAGCTGAGTTCAAGTTCTGGATATCCTTGTTAACCTTTGGTCTCATTGATCTGTCTAATATTGACAGTTGGGTGTTAAGTCTTCCATTATTATTGTGTGGGAGTCTAAGTCTCTTTGCAGGTCTCTAAGAACTTGTTTTATGAATCTGGGTGCTCCTATATTGGGCACGTATATATTTAGGATAGTTAGCTCTTGTTGAATTGATCCCTTTACCATTATATAATGGCCTTCTTTGTTTCTTTTGATCTTTGTTGGTTTAAAAGTCTGTTTTATCAGAGACTAGGATTGCAACCCCTGCTTTTTTTTGCTTTCCATTTGCTTGGTAGATCTTCTTCCATCCCTTTATTTTGAGCCTATGTGTGTCTTTGCACGTGAGATGGGTCTCCTGAATACGGCACACTGATGGGTCTTGACTCTTTATCCAATTTGCCAGTCTGTGTCTTTTAATTGGGGCATTTAGCCCGTTTACATTTTAGGTTAATATTGTTATGTGTGAATTTGATCCTGTCATTATGATCCTAGCTGGTTACTTTGCCTGTTAGTTGATGCAGTTTCTTCATAGCGTTGAGGGTCTTTACAATTTGGCATGTTTTCGCAGTGGCTGGTACCGGTTGTTCCTTTCCAAGTTTAGTGCTTCTTTCAGGAGCTCTTGTAGGATGGGCCTGGTGATGACAAAATCTCTCAGCATATGTTTGTCTGTAAAGGATTTTATTTCTCCTTCACTTACGAAGGTTAGTTTGGCTGGATATGGGATTCTGGGTTGAAAATTATTTTCTTCAAGAATGTTGAATATTGGCCCCACTCTCTTCTGGCTTGTAGGGTTTCTGCAGAGATATCCACTGTTAGTCTGATGGGCTTCCCTTTGTGGGTAACCCAACCTTTCTCTCTGGCTGCCGTTAACATTTTTTCCTTCATTTCAACCTTGGTGATTCTGTCAATTATGTGTCTTGGGGTGGCTCGTCTCGAGGAGTATCTTTGTGGTGTTCTCTGTATTTCCTGAATTTGAATGTTGGCCTGTCTTGCTAGGTTGGGGAAATTCTCCTGGATAATATCCTGAAGAATGTTTTCTAACTTGGTTCCATTCTTTCTGTCACTTTCACATACACCAATCAAGCGTAGAGTTGGTCTTTTCACATAGTCCCATATTTCTTGGAAGCTTTGTTCATTTCTTTTCACTCTTTTTTCTCTAATCTTGTCTTCATGCTTTACTTCATTAATTTGATGTTCAATTGCTGCTATCCTTTCTTCAACTTGATCTATTCAGCTATTGATACTTGTGTATGCTTCACCAAGTTCTCGTACTGCAATTTTCAGGTCCATCAGGTCACTTAAGCTCTTCTCTACACTGGTTATTCTAGTTAGCCATTAGTCTAACCTTTTTTCAAGATTTTTAGCTTCCTTGCAATGGGTTAGAACATGCTCTTTTAGCTCGGAGAAGTTTATTACTAACCTTCTGAAGCCTACTTCTGTCAACTCGTCAAAGTCATTCTCCATCCAGTTTTGTTCCCTTACTGGCGTGGAGTTGTGTTCCTTTGGAGGAGCAGAGGCATTCTGATTTTTGGAATTTTCAGCCCTTCTGCTCTGGTTTCTCCCCATCTTTGTGGTTTTATCTACCTTTGGTCTTTGATGTTGGTGACCTATGGATGGGATTTTGGTGTGGATGTCCTTTTTGTTTACGTTGATGTTATTCCTTTCTGTTTGTTAGTTTTCCTTCTAACAGTCAGGTCCCTCAGCTGCAGGTCTGTTGGAATTCGCTGGACGTCCACTTTAGACCCTGTTTGCCTGGGTATCACCAGTGGAAGCTGCAGAACAGCAAATACTGCTGCCTGATCCTTCCTCTGGAAGCTTCGTCCCAGAGGGGCATCCACCTGTATGAGGTGTCTGTAGGCCCCTACTGGGAGATGCCTCCCAGTCAGGCTACATGGGGGTCAGGGACCCACTTGAGGAGGCAGTCTGTCCGTTATCGGAGCTCAAATGCCATGCTGGGGGGAACCACTGCTCTCTTCGGTGCTGTCAGGCAGGGACGTTTAAGTCTGCAGTAGCTGTCTGCTGCCTTTTGTTCAGGTATGCTCTGCCCCAAGAGGTGGAATCTAGAGAGGCAGTAGGCCTTGCTGGGCTGTGGTGGGCTCTGCCCAGTTCAAGCTTCCCTGCTGCTTTGTTTACACTGTGAGCATATACCTGCCTACTAAAGCCTCAGCAGTGGCAGATGCCCCTCCCCCTGCCAAGCTCCAGCATCCCAGGTCAATCTCACACTGCTGTGCTAGCAGCTAGCAAGGATCTGTGGGTGTGGGATCCACCAAGCCAGGCACGGGGGGAGTCTCCTGGTCTGCTGGTTGTGAAGACTATTGGAAAAGCACAGTATTTGGGCAGGCGTGTACCATTCCTCCAGGTACAGTCACTCATGGCTTCCCTTGGCTAGGAAAGGGAAATCCCCAGACCTCTTGTACTTCCCAGGTGAGGCGACACCCTGCCCTGGTTCAGCTCGCCCTCCATGGGCTGCACCCACTGTCCAACCAGTCCCAGTGAGATGAACGAGGTACCTCACTTAGAAATGCAGAAATCACCATCTTCTGCGTAAATCTTGCTGGGACCTGTAGACCAAAGCTTTTCCCACTCAGCCATCTTGAAAGTGGTCTGTAACCATTCTTCTTGACAAATCATGTCTTCTTTGGATTAACCATCTTTATTACATAAAAGGAAATTTCCATATTGAAATACTAAACTGTGCAGTTTTAAATGTTTGTTTATGACAAAAGAGTATAATTTCTCTATGTGGAGGTTGTTTTATTGGTAGAATTTAACTGTAATGAAAAAAATCTTTGTCAACTTCTACATTTAGTAAACATTTGGATTACTTTGGGGGCTACTTAATTTCTATTTATTTGTAAGAAAAAAATAATTTGGAGAAGTTCTCAGAACATCAGGTCAAGTCAAAAAGAGGTATCCTTTGGACACAAAATCAAGTAATAACTGAATTAGAATATCCTGAATGGTAAATTGAATAAATAAAATGGACAGAGAAAATTCCATTTACATTTCCCTCAACCCATGTCTATTCCTAGCCTATAATTTATCCTTCTAAGTTTAGAAGTTGTCCTTGCTCCCCTCCAGAGCAAACTTCTCTATTTCTTCTAAGTCCTTTCTTAACTCATGACAGCTTTTCTGCATTATTTCTCTTATCTCTGTCAATCTTCATTTTTACATCTCCAATGGTTCTTTTTCCTCTATATCCAAACAAACATAGCTTTCCCTTCCATGAATAAAATCTTCAACAGTTACACAAACCTCCACCAATTTTCCTCTTTTGTTTCATTGTCAAATTTCTCCAACGAATGGTCTGTTTACTCAGTTTGTTATTCAAACATTTTACACCCTACAGTTCTATATTCGTTTCCACTACTCTTCTGAGGTCTGTCTCCAAATCAAAGATTCTAACGATGACATCATGTGGTCTGTTCCTAATCTTCCTTCTGTTGACTTCTCTATAATATTGACCACTTCCATGTAGTAAGAGGGAATATGCATCCCCCATATTTACTGTACTAGTTAGAATATTCAGTAAAATGTTAAAGTAATGAGACATAAAACTCTTGCCCAATCTTACTTGGTCTTTTACTGTCAAATATGTCATAAGTTGTTTTTTCCTAGATACCAATTAGTTCAGCTTTTTTTCACTTCAGGTCCTATTTTTCTGAGATTTTATTATGACTAGGTATTGAATATTAACAGATGCATTTTCTGCATCGACTAAAAATGAGAAAACAATGTTTAATATACAGATGACCTCCAACTTGTGATGGTTCAACTTATGTTATTTTTTACATAAAAAGAGTTTATGGGTATGTAACCCCATCATAAGTTGAGGAGCACCTGAATATTCACACAGAAACCATTTCTTGTACTCCTTTTTTCATTTGTATGTGTCCATGTTTCCATCTGGTATCTTTAACCCTCTGCTTGAAAACCATTTTCTTAACAGTGTTACAATACAGATCTGCTGGCAATAAATTTCCTCAGCTTTTGTTGTCTGAAAAAGTCTTTATCTCACCTTCATTTTTGAAGAATATTTTCACTGAATTAAGAATAACAGGTTGGCAGTCTATCATTTTAGCACTTTAAAGATGTTCCATTATCTTCTGGCTTGCATAATTTCTGTCTATTTTTGCAAGTGATGTGATTTTTCTTCTGACAGATTTTTTAAAACTTAAAATTTAAATGATCATACATTAAAATGGACCTTTTTACTTGTTCTCCTACATAAAAATATATTTACTAAAAAAAGACTGGAAATGAATATACAAAATGATAATGTTCAGAGGCAAGATTACAGATAAAATTTGGGTCAGTTTTCAAGATTTTTTGCAACAGGGCTGCATGGTTTTTTGTTGTTGTTGGCGTGTTTGTGTTATTTTTAATAGAATTTGTTTAATTCTAAGTTTGTATATTTTTTCCAATATTTTACTGTGGTACAGGACATAAAACATAAAATTTACCATATTAATCATGTTTAAGTGTACAAGGCAGAGGTATTAAGTTCAGTCATAATGTACAACTATCACCATCATCCATCTCCATAACTCTTATTTTGTAAAACTGAAACTTTACACCCATTAAACAGTAACTCCCCATTCCCCACTCCCTGCAGCCCCTGGCCACCACCATTCTATTTTCTGTCTCTGTGATTTTTGACTACTCTATGTCCCTCATATAAATAAAATCACACATCATTTGCCTTTCTGTGACAGGTTTATTTCATTTAGCTTAATGTCCTCAAGGGTCATTCATGTTGCATTATATGCCCGAATTCTCTTTAAAAGCGAATAATATTCCCCTGCATGTGTACCACATTTTTCTTACTCATTCTTCCATCAGTGGACACCCAGGTTATTTCAATGTTTTAGCTGTTTTGAATAATGCTGCAATGAACACGTGTGTATACAAATGTCTCTTTGAGACCAGGCTTTCAATTCCTTTGGGTATGTACCCAGAAGTCAAATTGCTAGGTGACATGGTAATTATATTTTTAATTTTTTAGGAACGACCACACTGGTTTGCACATCAGCTGTACCATTTAAAATCCCACCAACAGTTCAGTGTTTAAGTTATTCCACAACCTTACCAACATTTGTTATTGTTTTTTCTTCTTCTTTTTTTTTTTTTAAATAGTACCCATCCTAATGGTGTGAGGTGACATCTCATTCTGGATTTGTTTTGCATTTCCCTAATGACTAGTGATGCTGAATATCTTTTCATGTGCTTATTCACCATTTGTATGTACTTTTTTGAAAAAATGTCTACTCAAGTCTTTTGTGCTTTTTTGAGTTTTTTTTTGTGGTTGAGTTTTAGGAGATTTTTATATATTCTGGATATAAATCCCTTATTAGATAAAAGATTTGCAAATATGTATCTCTTTCTGTGGAGTGCCTTTTTACTCTGTTGATAATGTATTTTGATCAACAAAAGTCTAAAATTATTATGACATCTAATTTGTCTAGTTTTGCTTTTGTTTTCTGTGCCATTGGTGTCATATCCAAGATATAATTGCCAAATCCAATGCCCTAATGCTTTTCTCCTTGGAGTATTTTTGTTCATTAAAAAATGTACAGATAAAATTGTATATTTTGTAAATATCATTTTTGGAAGTATATACACATTGTGGAAAGACTAAATCTAGCTAATTAGCATATGCATTGCCTCGCACAGTTATTTTTGTGGTAAGAACACTTTACATTCACCCTCATAGCATTTTTCAAAAATATAATACAGTTGACCCTTGAAAGACACAGCTTTGAACTGCCTGTGTCCACTTATATATGGATTTTATTCCGTCTTTGCCACCCAAGAGACAGCAAGACAAACCCCTCTTCTTTCTTCTCCTCCACAGCCTACTCAATGTAAAGGCAATGAGGTTGAAGACCTTTATAGTGATCCACTTCCACTTAATGGATAGTAAATATATTTTCTCTTCCTTATAATCTTCTTAATAACATTTCCTTTTCTCTAGCTTATTCTTAACAATACAGTACATATTAACATATAAAATGTGTTAATTTACTTTATGTTATCAATAAGGCTTCCTGTCAATAGAAGGCTAGTAGTAGTTAAGTTTTGGGGAGTTGAAAAGTTATATGGTATTGTCAACTGCACACGTGGTCAGCACCCCGAACACTGAGTTGTTCATGGGATAACTGTTTATTGTTAACAATAGTCACCAGGTTGTACTATAGATTTCTTGAAATTATTCCTCTTATCTAATTGAAATTTTGTATCCATTGATCAGTATCTCCCCAACTCCCATAACCAACTACCCTAGGCCCTGGTAACCAACATTCCACTCTCTATACCTATGAGTCTAACTTTTTATATTCCACACGTGAGTGAGATGATGCAATATTTGTCTTTCTCTGCCTGGCTTACTTCATTTAACATAATGTCTCCCAGGTTCTTCCATGCTGTTGCAAAGGAAAATATTTCCTTCTTTATGCTGAATAGTATTCCACTGTGTATATATAGCGTATTTTCTTTATCCATTAATCTGTTAATGGACACTTAAACTGAGTACACATCTCGGCTACTGTGAAAAAATGCTACAATAAACATGAGAGTGTAGATATCTCTTTGACATACTAATTCAATTTCCTTTGGATACATACCCAGTAGAAAAACTGCTAGATCATATGGTAGTTCTGTTTTTAGGTTTTTGAAGAACCTCCATTCTGTTTTCCACAATGGCTATCCTAATTCACATTCCCGCCAACAGTGAGCAAGTGTTCCCTTTTCTCCATATCCTTGCCAACACTTATTATCTTTTTGGTAATATTTATATTTAAAAAGGAAGGTGATATCTTATTGTGGTTTTAATTTGCATTTTTCTGATTAGTGATGTTGAACATTACTTTTATATACCTCTTGGCCACTTGTATTTCTTCTTTTGAGAAATATCTACTCAGTTCTCCTACCCATTTTTAAATCAAGTTATTTGTTTTCTGGCTTAGTTAAGTTACTTATATATTTTGGATATTAGCCACTTGTTAGATGTATAGTTTGCAAATATTTTCTCCTACTCTGTAGATTACTTCTTAACTGTTGTTTGTTTTCTTTGCTGTGCCGAAGATTTTTAGTTTGATGCAATCCCATTTGTCTTTGCTTTTGTTGTCTGTGTTTTTAGAGTCACATCCAAAAATCCTTGCTTGGACCAATGTCATGGAGATTTCTCACTATATTTTCTTCTAGTAGTTTCATAGTTGTAGGTCTTACATTTAAGTTTTTAATTCATTTTCAGTTGATTTTTGTGTGTGATGTAAAATGAGGGTCTCATTTTATTTTCTAAACATGGATAGCCAATTTTCCCAACACTATTTATTGAAGAGTCTCCCTACCTCCACTGTTTTTAGGCACCGTTGTCAAAAATCAGTTAGTTGTAAATGTGTGGATTTATTTCTGGGCTATCTTTCTATCCTATTGGTATGTATGTCTATTTTTATGTCAGTACCATGTTGTTTGGGTTACTATAGCTTTGTAGTATGTTTTGCAGTCAGCTAATGTGATGCCTCAAATTTTTTTTACTCAAGATTACTTTGGCTATTTGGGGTCTTCTGTGGTTCCATACATATTTTAGAAATGATTTTTCTACTTTTGTGAAGAATGTCATTGGTATTTTGATAGGGACTGCATTGAATTTATAGATCACTTTGTGTAGTTTGAATACTATTAACTTTTCAGCCCATGATCCATATGGGTTTTCATTATTTGTGTCTTCCGCCATTTCTTTCATCTATGTTTTATAATTTTCAGGTAGAGAGCTTCCTTGTTTAAACACATTCCTAAGCATTTTACTTAGGAAACATTGCAATTGCAAATATTATTGATTTCTTGATTTCTTTCACAAATAATTTGCTGTCAATGTATAGAAACACTATTGATTTTTTGTATATTGATTTGCGTTCTGCAACTTAACTAAATGTATTTATTAGTTCTAATAGTTTTTGGAGGATTCTTTAGGGTTTTCTACATATAAGATCATGTCATCTGCAAAGAGACAATTTAACATTTTTTTTTTCTCATTTGGATGCATTTTATTTCTTTCTCTTGCCTGGCTGTTCTGTCCAGGACTTCTACTACGTTGAACAGAAGTGAAGAGAGTGAGTTTACTTGTTCTCTCTCAGATCTTAGAGGAAAAAGTTTCAAATTGTCTCCACTGAATATGATGCTAGTCGTGTTTGTCAGAATGCCCATTATTGTGTTGAGGTATATTCCTTCTGAAGTTGTAGAGACTTTCTATCATGCAAAAACAATGAATTTGGTCAGATGCTTTTTCTTCATCTATTCAAATGATCATATGGTTTTTGTCTTTCAATCTGTTATTGTGATGTATCACCATTTATTGATTAATGTATGTTGAACTATCCCTGCATCCCTAGGATGAATCTCACTTGATCATGGTGACTGATCTTTTAAACGTGCTGTTAAATTGGGTTTGCTAGTATTTTGTTGCAGATTTTTGCATCCATGTCCATCAGGGATATCGTATTACAGTTTTCTTTTTTCATAATGTCTTTGGCTTTGGTATCAAGGAAATGCTGGGTTTGTAATATGTGTTTGGAAATATTACCTCCTCTTCAATTTTTTAAAAGGGTTTGAGATGAGTATAAACACTTTAGTTGTTTAATAGAACTCATCAGAAAAGCCATCAGATCCTGGGCTTTTCTTTGATAGGAGATGTTTTATTACTAATTTGATCCCTACTCATTATTGATCTGTTCAGATTTTCTATTTCTTCATGATTCAATCTTGGTAGATTGTATGTATCTAGATTTTTTTTTTCATTTCTTCTAGGGTATCCGATTTGTTGGCATATAGTTATTCATAATAGTCTCTTGTTGTCCTTCGTATTTCTGTGTTATCAGTTGTAATATCTCCTTTTTCATTTCTGATTTTATTTGAGTCTTCTCTTTTTTCTTAGTCTAGCTAATGGTTTGTAAAGTTTTTCTTTAAAAAAAAAACAACTCTTTGTGTTGTCAATCTTTCCTATTGTTCTAGTCTCTATTTCATCTATTTCTGCTCGGATCTTTATTATTTCCTTCCTGCTACTACTACCTTTGTGCTTAGTTTTCTCGTTTTTCTAATTCTTTGAGGTACACTGTAGGTTGTGTGAGATCTTTCTTCTTTTTTGATGTAGGCATTTATTACTGTAAAATTCCCTCTGAGATCTCCTTTTGCTGTATCTCATAGGTGTTGGTATGTTGTTTCCATTTTTGTTTGTCCAAGAAATATTAAAGTTTTTCTTTTAATATCTTCTTTGACCCATTAGTTGTTTAGAAGCATGCTGTTTAATTTCCATGTATTTGTGATTTTTCTGAAGTTGTTCCTCCTGTTTTCAATTTCTACTTTTATTCCTTTATGGTCAGAAAAGATACCTGATACAATTTCAGTCTTCCTAAATATGTTAAGACTTGTTTTGTGATACATGTTCTATTCTGGAGAATGCTCCATGTGGATTGGGGAAGAATGGGTATTCTGTAGCTACTGGATAGAATGTTTCAATATGTCGGTTAGGTCCTTTTGGTCGAGAGTACAGTTTAAGTCCAATGTTTCCTTATTGATTTTCTGTCTGGATGATCTCTCCATTGCTAAAAGTCAGCTGATAAAGTCTGCTACAATTATTGGATTGCAGTCTATCTTTTCTGTCTGTGTTGTTAGTGAAGGGTCCAGCTACATTCTTTTGCATGTGGATATCCACTTTTCCCATCTGTTGAAAAGACTGCCTTTTCCCAGGGAATGATCATGGCACTCTTGTCAAAAATAATTTGACTGTATATAGGAGACTTTATTTATGGGCTAGAGATTGTATTCCATTGGTTTATATGTCTGTTTCATTCCAGTACTTCACTGTTTTGATTACTGTACCTTTGTTGCAAGTTTTGAAATTAGGATGTGTGTGCCTCTCAGCTTTGCTCTTCTTTTTCAGGATTATTTTGGTTATTCAGGGTTCCTTAAGTTTGCAAATGAATTTTAGGATTGATTTTTCTATTTCTGCAGAACACATTATTGGGACTTTTATAGAAATTGCAATTAATCTATAAATTGCTTTGGGTAGGACTGACGTAAACTCTTCCAACCCATGAACATGGAATAGCTTGCTAATTATTTCTGCCTTTAATGTCTTTCAGCAGTGGTTTGTACCTTTCATTGTACAAGTCTTTTATCAGTATTTGTGTAGTTTTATGAGTGTTGTCACATGCACTGTGTTTTGCCACCACAATCAACACACAATAGCTCCACTGCCTGAAGGAATCCTTGGAAGTCTTAACCTCACCCATAACTCCTGGCCACCACTAATCCATTTTCATCAGTATGATTTTGTTATTTTGAGAATTTCCCCCAAAAAAGGAAATACACAATATGTAACTTTTTGAAATGAGTTTTCTTACTCACAAGAAAACTCATTGTAATAATGTCTTTGAGTTCATCTACATAGTCAGGTTTATAAGTGTGGCCCTTTGTTTCTGTTCAGTAGCATTCCTGTGTTTAAATCATGGTTTGTTTATTCATGAAGGACATTTGTGTTTTTCCATCTCTTGACTATTACACCAATAACTGATGTGAACATTGATTTATAGGTTTTTGTGTGAACATAAGTTTCATTTCTTCAGGGAAAATACTCAGAAATGGGATTACTCGGTCATATAATTAAGAGTTTGTTTAACTAAATAAGAAACTTCCAAACTATTTTCCTCTATGGCTACTATTTTGCATTCTCAAAGCCATGGATGACAACCATGGATGAGATGCCAGCTGCTGCATATTCTTGGCAGCACTTGGAATTGTCAGTAATTTTATTTTAGCAATTCTCATATATTTGTAGAGGTATTTAATTTTGGTTTTAATTTGCATTTACCTGATCGCTAACGATGTTGGCCATCTTTCTATGTGCTCATCTGGCATTTAATATAATCACTGGTGAAGTGTCTTTTCAAGTCACTGTTAAGTGAACTAGCTATTTGTCTCTTGCTAATAAGAGTTTTTTGAAATTTTGCTGTTTAACACTGCTTTTAAACACTTTACTTATGTTACGTGGTAATTTTTATTTGTGTTAATCCTGCTCATGGTTAGCTGAATTTCTTGGATATTAGGATTTATAGTCTTCAAAATATTTGGGTATTATTTTCCACTCTCAACCCCTTTTCCTTGAACTCCAATTCCATGTATATTAAACTGCTTGATTTATGTAATAGGTTTCTATGGCTCTGGTCTCCATTTCTTTTTTCGTCTTTTCTCTGCTTCAGTTTGGAAACATACTATTCTACATCTCCGAGTTCACTGCTATTTCTTAATCAGTATAAAATATTCGGCTCAAGTCATCAAATGAATTTTCATTTTAGGCCTTTATTTTTCATTTTCCAGAGTTCCATTTCTTTCTTTTTTACATTGTCCAATTCACTTCACATTCATATTTTACTTTATTATTATTATTATTTTGAGATGGAGTCTCGCTCTGTTGCCCAGGCTGGAGTGCAGTGGTACAATCTTGGCTCACTGCAACCTCCACCTCCCAGGTTCCAGTGATTCTCCTGCCTCAGCATCCCTAGCAGCTGGACTACGGATATGCTCTACCATGTCCAGCTAATTTTTGTATTTTTAGTAGAGACAGGGTTTCATCATGTTGGCCAGGCTGGTCTCGAACTCCTTACCTAGGTGATCCACCCGCCTCAGCCTGCCAAAGTGCTGGAATTATAGGCATGAGCCATGGCACTTGGCCCATATTTTACTTTAAATATTTAAACATCTTTATAGTAGCTGACAATCCTTGTCTTTTAAACCCCTTATCCCTGTCATTTCCCAGAAAGTTTTACAACTGACTTTCCTTTCAGTAATGTGCTTCATTTTACTGCTTTATCTCATGTCTAGTAATTATGTTTGGATGCTGGGTATTATGAGTATTACATTAAGTGTTTGCATTTTGCTGTATTCCTTTAAAATGTGTTGGGCTTTGTTCTCATAATTGAGTTACTGGCGAAACAATTTGGTCATTTGAGGCCTATTTTGAAGATACTTTTAGATCAGATTTAGACTTGAATGGTTCTAGAAAACCCTTTACTCTAGAAATAATTTAACTCTACTACTAATGTGCCACTCTTCTGGACTGTCTACTCTCTGTCCCAGGAAATCAATTAGGATTAGCCACTCTGGCTGATTAGAGATAGAAAAACACTTTCAGCTCTGTGAGCTCTAGAAATTTCTTGCTCTAAAGGTCCACGGTCATATTTTACCCAGTCTTGTGGAATTTTGCCCTTTACATATGCATCTCAAAAAATTCAAGATTCAAGGGGCTTATAGGCAGATTTCTCAAGCTATTTTACTGTGATGCTTCCTCTTCCACAAAATTCTGCTCCATAACTTCCTGAACTCTGATCACTGTCTCCTCAACTCAGCAAGAGTGCTGTGATTTACTGGAAATTCCCTTTCTTGTACTACAATCCAGAAAGTGCCTCCAGGCAAATCAGAGAAATTAAAGAGCCCAACTCAATTATTTCTGTTCTCTCATGGTTCACAGTTATCTGAGGCCTACTGTTCAATGTATAAAAACTGCTTATTCATATATTTTGTCCAATTTTCTAGTGATTATAATTGGAAATTATTAATAAGGCTACTTCTTGTTATGCCATCATGAGAAAAAGAAGAAATCAAAGTATGTCTTTTAGAATTTTCTTTCAAAACACTATGTCACTGCCTCTTTTTCCCTGTTCCTGTCAATATCCTGTGTAGGGCCTTATATTCAATCAATACTAAAGAAGCTTTAACCTTGGCTAAAGACTGACTTTGTTATTTCATGGGTTTTAGTTTGATTTCCCCATCTCTGAAAGCACGAAGAAGTGTGGACATGATCTTACGTGTTTGAAGTAAAATCCTTGATTGTATACAAAATACTATGTTACAGATATTAAAGATAACCATATCTTCATATTGGATTATAATTTCTATGTGAAGGCAATGTAGCCATCAATTGTTAAAGCACTGATTGTCAATGTTGAGTAAGCTGATGCAACTAATCAACTGGCCATCTTTTTCCATCTTGATGACTATCCAAATATTCTATATTTTAAATATCATTCCTGAAATAACATTTCTTTGATTGAAGTTATGTTGTAACACAAAATCTTGACCATTTGAGAACCCAAATAACTTACATACCTAAAAAATTTCAGTGGCTTTTTGAAAGTTATGAGATCTTTTGATGAAATATCATTTAACTATATTTGTAAAAATTCAAATGATTATCTGTTCATATGCCAATAGGTATCTCTAAAGAATAATTATAATATATTTTTTAAAATTGCTAATAAAATGTTTTATTTTTAGGGTAAAAATGATTGATTTTAGATTGATAAGTTTTTGTGAGATTTAGCAAAATAAGTGAATTATTTTTCCCCTAATGTGAAAATAGAATCTATCATTTACAAAAACTTGAAATGTTACACAAAACATCACTGGTGTATGTCTGTAAAATATTTTTAAAGTGTTAGTGACCATTTTCTTTAAACAAGATAACTAATAACAACTCTAGGAACTACAGCTGCTCACTGCTAGTTAGGCAGAAATTATGCAAATAACTGAAAATGATACCTGTTAACAAAATTGATGAAAACTAGTTATCAAAAATAGGAAGATAAATGCTTTCTGCAGTCAATGTAGTTCATTATTAAACAACATAGTAATAAATTTAGATGGCCAGGAAATTTTACCAGTTGAGTCTGGTGCCGAGCTAAAAATAAAATGAAATTTATTTCAAAACAAAGGTTTCAAGAACAGGTATTCAGGACACCAGATAATAAACAAAATGGAGAAAACTAACTTCCCATAACCATTTATTAAGGAAAAGCTTGTAAGTGCTTAGCATGGAAAGGAACCACAAATGCTGCTTGACTTAAAATGGGGTTATGTACTGATAAGCCCACTGTAAGTTGAACGCATCTTAAGTAAAAAATTTATTTAATATAGCTAACCTACTGAATGTCATAGCTTAGCCTAGCCTACCTCAAACATGCTCAGAACACTTATATTACCCTATTTGGGGGCAAAATCATCTAACACAAATCCTACTTTATGGTAACATGTTGAATTTCTCATGTAATTTATTGAATGCTGTACTGAAGTACAGTTTCCACTGAATACATACCGTTTTTGCACCATCATTAAAATTTAAAAAATCATATTAAATCATTGTAAGTCAAGGACTGCCTGTACAGATATCATATGAGATTTACAAGTTACATCATCATGTAGTATAATAGTCACAGCCAATTAAATGAAAAATAAACACCAACATTATCAACAGTATCTAAATTTAATTTTTCTGTTGATGATGTTATTACTTCTTATTCTAGGAATGGGGTTGACAAACTGTAGTCTATGGATGGGCTAAACCTATTCTGCCACTGTTTTTTTTTTATGGCCAGTAAATTAAGAACAGATTTTATGGTTTTTAAGGATCATAAAAATAAGAGAACACAAAAACCAGAAAATATGGCCGGGCATGGTGGCTCATGCCTGTAATCCCAGCACTTAGGGACGCTGAGGCAGGCGGATCATGAGGTCAGGAGATCGAGACCAGCCTGACCAACATGATGAAACCATCTCTACTAAAAATACAAAAATTAGCCAAGTGTGGTGGCGCATGCCTGTAATCCCAGCTACTCAGGAGGCTGAGGCAGGAGAATCGCTTGAACACAGGAGGTGGAGGTTGCAGAGAGTGGAGATCGCGCCACT
This sequence comes from Homo sapiens, assembly GCF_000001405.40. Classification (NCBI taxonomy): domain Eukaryota; kingdom Metazoa; phylum Chordata; class Mammalia; order Primates; family Hominidae; genus Homo; species Homo sapiens. The sequence goes on along the minus strand of NC_000013.11, from coordinate 35,258,222 downwards.
GCACTCCAGCCTGGTGACAGAGCGAGATGTTGTTTAAAAAAAAAAAAAAAAATGACAAAGACTGTGTGGCTAACAATCCCAAACCTTCAAAGAAAAAGTTTGCAAAACCTTATTTTACAGTACTTCCAATTCATGAAACATTAGGAAAACAAAATAAAATGTAAAAATCTATAAAATGAAAATTTGTATTATATGTAAAGTTCATTACAAATAAAAATAATAAATATTAAAATCTTTTGTAAAAGTGAGTCAAAATTCCATTTTGGAGAGACATAAAACATGAAGAGTCTTTCAAATTTCCTGTATGAGTTAACTCATTTTAGATTGTGAAAAAACTGTTCACTCAAGTAAGAAAAAAACTGGAGCATTTTCCTTTCATATGTCAGACTTCATTAAATTTATTTTTGTTAATCAGATCTATATGAAAATTACCAATTTTTGTTTGCACAGGGACAAATGGCCCAACAGGATATAGAAAGGTGGAGTCTGTCACATTTTAAAAAGCAGGAAATAAATTTTTTTAAGAATGATTTTCAAATAGTTTACCACTTATATACAACTTTTTCCAAAATATTTTTTTCATTAGATTATTGAACATAGCTAAGTTTCCTTTCCATTTTCTTCATGTCATACCATCATGTTGTATATATTATAAGCTCAAATTTGTGTAAAAATGGAAACTGTAACCACATGAAGTATTTTTTAAATATCTCAAATAGTAAACATAACCATAGTAGTCATTTACATTGCTGCTCTTAATTAATGCAAATTTTAATAAATTTTGTGATCAAAGTTAGGTGACTATTTTATGTTACCTCCCAGGAGTAGTACAGAAATTAATCATATATAAAATATTTTAAACAGATTTCAAAATACCAATAGAATTAGCAAAACTAGAAAGGAAAATTCAGAACAGTTAGCATCCAAAAACATATTTTTCCACAAACAGTATTTAATGACAATTTGACCTGTACATGCCTCATATAAAAATGCTAACAAGTTAAACTTATCCACTTTACTACTATAATTCTATCAAGCTGCCATGCTCTTTAACAGATTTTGCCTATCTATAATTTTTCTCTGTAATACTCTATCCACTTCCTTTCTCTCACACACTTTTAAAAAGTGACATTGATGGCAGCAGTGGCCCATCTGGAGTGGCCACTACAAAGACACCAACTGCAGTGGGGGAGGCATGGCCAGGGCTGTGGGCTGCATGGACTAGGTGGGGGCTGGAACAGGTGGGAGCTCCCTCCACTATTGAGTTGGCAGGGCAGGAGTCCCAGGCTCCCGGGTGCAACTGCAGCTGCCCAGCCATGGCTCCAGACCCTGGCATACCTGCACTCTTGGGGGTGCAGGAAGCCCTTGCCCCCACAGGCTTGAAAGTGTTTGCTCCCGCTGCCTGGGCTCCCCCTACTCCTGGCACCCACTCCTGGGCAGAGCAAAGTTGTGGCCACACCCAGGCATTGTCACGACCTAGCTGGGCGTGCACATGCTTGGGTGGTGCTGACATGCCAGCCTTATCACCTTGGCCCCCTCCAGACATTGGGTGCCAAAGAGCACAGGAGGGAGGCTGAGAGGGTACTGAGGATGGCTTAGCGTGAGCCTGCAGGCGCCCCTCGGCATGAACAGCCTGGGTGCCATGGATATCATGTTGACGGCGTAGGAGGAAGAAAGGCTCCTGGGCAGAAAGGGGTGGGACCCTGGTGAAGCTCCACCTTCAAGCCAGGAATGGCCTGAAGCCTGGGAACCAGGCTCTCAGTTCTGGGTATAGTCTGCAGTCCAGAGTGAGAACTTATGGTGATTTTTTCAGGCCTGTCTATGGCCTCCCAAAGACCAGTCAGCATGAGCTTCCTCCCTTCTGAGCCCATAAAGACCCCAGAACCAGCCAGACTTACACAGACATCATGACTACCAGCTGCAGAAAGAAACTATCCACTTTGGGTCTCCTTGACTTGTCAGGATGACCTGCCTGCAGAAAGGAGCTTTCTACTATGGGTCTCCTCTCCGATCAGAGCTGGACATTCATAGGGACAACCTGCCTGTGCATAGGAGTTACCCATTGCAGGTCTCCTCTCTGCTGAGAGCTGGGACACTTATCGGGACAACCTGCCTGCAGATAGGAGCTACCCACTCTGGGTCTCCTCTCTGCTGAGGGCTGCATTTGTCAGGACTACTTGCCTGTGGAAAGGAGCTACTCACTCCAGGTATCCTTTCCACTGACAGCTGGACACTCACTGGGATGACCTGCCTGCGGAAAGGAGCTACCCACTTTGGGTCTCCCAAGAGTTGTTCTGTCACTCAGTGAAGCTCCTCTCCACCTTGCTCACCCTCTAGTTGTCCACATATCTCATTCTTCCTGAACATGGGTCAAGAACTTGGGACTCACCAAATGGTGGGACTGAAAAGCTGTAACACAAACAGGGCTGAAACAATCCTCCCACCCCCGCTCACCACACTGTGGGTGATGAGGAGAGAACAGCTGCAGGACTCAGGGAGCCCAGACCTAGGGGCTCCCCAAGCCTGGGCTGTGACACCCTTTCTGGGGCTCTGTAATTTCTGGCGTCTCCAAGCTTCCAGGTGCTATCATCTTGCCCTCATCCAGACATGGGTGCCTGCAGTGGAAGCTGCGTATGATGCACCTGATCTAGCTGCAGGCCTGCATGAAGCTAGCGCCTGTGCCAGTGCCTAGAGCTTTTTACCCCACTGCAGCAGTCAGTGTGCCTGGTTGTGCACAGTGGCCGGAACCTGCGCTTGCCCGCTCATGCACCCACTGCTGCTCTGTGCCTGGCTCGCATGGGATCTAGGCCAGCAGCATGAGCTGAGTGCAGCATGTCAGGCCAAGTGGGCGGAATGAGCCCAGCATGCCTGAGCAAAACTCAGGGAAAAGTGCCACTAGCCACAGAGGTTTCTGGCTGGCAAAGTGACACCCCAAGGATCCCATGACAATATCACGTTATAATTCAATATGGAAAGAATGAAAGTGATGCTTCGCAACAGTCCCTATTTATTCCAAAATTAGTGACTAAGTATAACCATTCAGTGGGGAAAAAAATAAGTAATGTTTTAGAGTTTGGTAATGGTACTCTATACCTTTTATCCCTGATAGCCAAGCAACATGAGGTCGATTCATTAAATAATAAATTTGATAACCTAATATTACTGTGAAACAAAATCGCATTTTATTTTTTAGTTTTCACAAGCAACAGGTAAAACTTTAGTAACAGAAACTAATCTTATTGTATTATTCCCATTAAATTGTTATTTATATAATACTTCCCTATGGAGAAATAATCTTCAAAATAATTTTATATTAAAAAAATATTATTTTAATGTAACAATAAAAAGGAGAATATTTCTAAGAATCCAGTTCATAGATTTATTCTTACCAATTTGAAATTTTGGATATAACAATGAGGTATATTTGCTGTATCAACTTTAAGTGCTTTTAAATTTAGATAACGGAATTTGAACTAAAAATAGTATTCCAGAAGTTATTATATAGTTAATTAAACTGTCTTTATCTTGAAAAAAAATTTTTAAAATAGGAACAAAATTAAAGTATTGTATATACTAATACTGCTATCAAAAGTAAGAAATAGGCCTGGCACGGTGGCTCATGCTTGTAATTTCAACAGTTTGGGAGGCTGAGGTGGAAGGACTGCTTGAGCCCAGGAATTCAAGACCAGCTTTGATAACATAGGGAGACCCCATCTCCACAAAAAATTTTTTAAAAAATTAGCTGAGTGTGGTGGTGCACACCTGTTGTCCCAGGCTAGGCTGAGGCTGGATGATCAACTTAGCGAAGGAGTTCAGGGCTGCAGTGATCTGTGATCATGCCACTGCACTCCAGCCTGTTAACAGAGTAAGACCCTGTCTCAAAAAAAAAAAAAAAAAAGTAAAAAATAAAAATGTTAGAAACTTAGTTAAAAGTTTTAAGTTTTACAATATAATTTTAATTTTTTAAGCATTTTATAGTAAGAATATTACCCCTGAAGATTCTGGCTAAAATTGGACCAAATATTAATCAAATGCTTTCATCAAGGGGCAAAGTTCTTATATATATTATTATAATAGTTTCCCCAAAAAGGTGGGAGAAATAAGATCATGTTATTTTTTCAGCTGAAAATTAGATAAGGATGTAGGTACAAAAATATGTTATAAAATTTAGGAAATAAATGATACTGCTATAGTTTGGAGGAGAAACAAAAAATGTAGTTGACTAATTTCCAACAAAATGTCCCTGACTAAATACCCAGCAATCATCAACTTTATTCAACTTGGATCACGAAAGAACTTCATAACTTCATCAAAAGTGTAAGGATATCAGATGACAATGACAATACCAATATACCATTCTTCTGTTCTTTTTTTTTTCTTAATACTTCTTACTTACAAAAACGTATAGAAGTATAGATCAAGGGTAAGCAATTTTTTAAAGGGTCAGATAGTAAATATTTTAGGCTTTGTGAACTACATGGTCTCTGCTGAAACCAATCAACTCTCCCATGTAGTACAAAGACAATCTAGATAATACATAAAAGAATGGCCTGCCTGTATTTCAATAAAACTCCATTTACAAAAGCAGATTTGACTGCTAGGTCATAGTTGGCTGAAACCTGGTATACACCATAATATAATGATGATCAACACACAGTTTTAAAAATACAGGCATCCTCAGAGATACTGAAGGTCCAGTTCAAGACCACTGTAATGAAGCAAGTATCACGATAAAGCAAGCCACACAATTCTCGTTTCCCAGTGTATATAAAAATTATGTTACACTATACTATAATCTACTAAGTGTGTGATATCACTATGGCTAACAATCACAAAGTACATACCTTAATTTAAAAATATACCATTGCTAAAAAATGCCAACAAAGAGACACGAAGTGAGCACGTTTTTGGAAAAGTGGTGCCAGTAGACTTGCTCCATGCAAGGTTGCCACAAACCTTCAATTTGTTAACATAGTATCTGTAAAGCATAATAAGTGAAGCACAATAAAAAGAAGTATTCCTGGGTATATATTTTATTTCCAATTTTCGGGTTTTTTTGAGGGTCTGGGTGTCATTTATTGACAGCAGTTTACACACATTTGTTTTCTTCCCATGGTTGTTTCCTTCAAAGCACAGGCACAGAGCCTTTGAGAAGAGCAGTCTGTGAATGAGTGAGCCAGGAACACAGGATGCATACTTCCTCGGCAGGCATGTTCAGCCCTGTCAGGATGCAATCCTTCAAGTTGGAATTCTGTTGGGTATTTGAGAGAGACCAAGGTGGGGAGTAGAGAGGATGTCTTCAATGGGACTCACATCTTGGTCCAGGCCTCCTCTCTCAAGTCCATCCCAAGTTTTAGGGACCTGGGGGGCAACATTCAGGCCCATCCAGCTCAACAGGAACAGATTCTTCAGTCCATGCCCACTTTACAAACACCTGCTTTGGCTGGTCACACTGTTAGAGAGAACCACTCTTAGGGTAAGAGACAGACCACAGACCACTTCCTCTCTGACCTTGGTTAGCACCTCTCTTCAGCTGCATCTGTGCAGGGACAGCTAGTAAAACTGAGGCCTGCCTTCTCGGTTCAGCTACATATCCATCATCCTCAAATCTTTAATCAACCATCAAGGACAGGATAGAGGCTACACATTACTCAGGCTGACAACTGTGCTCCCCAGTCGATCACACACTGCCCTACCTTTGTTATGACAATTGCCAGTGCCTAGGCCAGAGCTCCAGCAGGCCCCGAATTGGGGCTTAAAGCCAGTCTGCATATATACTTTGGAATTTTTGGCAGGGGAGTTGATATGGTTAGGCTTTGTGTTTCCACCCAAATCTCATTTTGAATTGTAATCCTCATAATCCCCAAGTGTCAAGAGAGGGACCTGGCAGAGCTGACTGAATCATGGGGGTGATTTCTCCCATGCTGTTCACGGGACAGTGACTTCTCATGAGATCTGATGGTTTCATAAGGGGTTCTTCCCCCTTTGCTTGGCGATCCTCCTTCCTGCAGCTTTGTGAAGAAGGTACCTTGCTTTCCCTTCCACCATGATTGTTAAGTTTCCTGAGGCCTCCCCAGCCATTTGGAACTGTGAATCAATTAAACCTCTTTCCTTTATGAACTACCCAGTCTTGGGCAGTTCTTTATAGCAGTATGAAAATGGACTAATACAGAAGTGGATAAAAAAGTAGATGGATGTGAGAAAAATGAAAGTGCTTCATTTGATAGAGTATTTAGAGATCTGGAGTGATTTTACTTTTATTTCCTTCACTTGAAACCAATCACAAAATTTCACAGTGATTTCTGGGGTGGGAGCAGAAGGAAGGCTGGTGTTAACAATCATCAGAGCTGTGGCCCAGTTGGCCCGCGGAGGTGCAGGTAGCACTAGAGCAGGTGGAGGAGCATGGACTGCCCCGTGGGCAGGTGGGTAACATTCTGAGAGCACAAGAGCTGGTAAGCAACGCTCTTGGTGGCTTTGAGCATGTACAGCTCCATCGGGTAGTCATCCCCGGGCACCAGTGAGTTGCTCTGGAGCCATATCATAGGCAGAGATGATAGCCGCCTCTTTCTGCTGCTCATCCTTTTCCACCTCAAATCTGGCCATCTCTGCTTCCCGCTGAGCTACCTGTTTGGCTTCCACTGCTTCTGTGAACGCCTTCCTGAAGGTCACATGCATCAAGGACATGACGTCCAGGATGAGCCCAGAGGTGGCCGCTGCTCACTCCACAAGGTCATCACTCACCTGGCTTGGGGAACAGCTCTCTCTGAGTGATAAGTTCTCCAGCATCAAAGTGAGCCACCACTGACGAGGATCTCTGTAGTGACAGATGGCAGAACACCAGCACACAGTCATTGGAGTCCTCTCCAAGGCTGGTGAGGATGTGAGGAAGCTGGCAGTGACAGGCTGGAAGCGGATGCACAGGGATGCTGGCATACTATGAATCTGCTACCAGCGACGACTGGCATACTGCATGGTTGACAGCAGCAGTGGAATGCCATTGGTTTCTGTACCCATGGGATGAGAAAGTGAGTCCCCTCCCCTACCACAATGTCCCACACTCCACAGAATCAGTCAAAGAAAACAGCTCTGTGCCCAGCATCCACATTATAGAAGGCAGAGTTCACCATGCCTCGTGCAATGGCTAAGGCCAGGCTGAGCTTTGGCAGCCATGTTTTCTTCTGTGGAACCCTTACACCTGCTTCCATTCTGATGTCCACATGCATCCCCCATGAACGTTAGAGTTACAGCACTGATACCATTCCCCTAGATGTAATAACTACTGTAAATTTATCATCTTGATTGGCATTTATATTTTTATCACTTATGAATGTGTCCCTAAAGAAGATACAGTATCCTTATCCATGTGTTAAGCTTTTATGGTAAATATCATTTTTGTGAAATCCCATTTCACTACTGCATAGTATACCATTTAATTATACAATTTTCTTTTAATATACATTTAGGTTGTTCTCAGTATGTCTTGGGTAAAGTCACTGTTTTTAATAAGCATTTTACATCTGTATCTTCTTGTGTACACATGCAAAAATTATTCCATGGTATATTCCCAAGAATGAAATTGCTGAGTCAATGTACATTTACAAATTCAACTTTACATGATAATGCAAAATTATTCCTCAAAGTGGTTTCATCAATTTAGACTCCCACTAGAAAACTCTACACCTTTCCTAATAAATGGATTTTAAGTATAAATTTTATACTTATTGGATGGGAGTGAAATTGTTTCATTTTGGCTTTATTAACCATTTATGAGATTGCAAATGAGGTTGACTTTTTTTTACATGTTTACTGACTGCTTGTATTTAACCCATCCACAAATTAACAGATTTTTATTCTTTTGCCCATTTTTTCTATAGAATTGTGCTTTTCTTATTCATTGGTAGGAGTTTCTTTGTGTAATCTAGATATCAACATTTGTTGATTATCATTGTTAGACATATACCTTTCCAGTCTATGGGTAAACTTTTCACTTTAATTAAAATTGTAGTAAAATACACATAATATAAAAATTAGTCTTAACCATTTTAAAGCACACAGTTCAGTAGTGTTAAATATATTCACATCTCCAGAGGTTTTTCATCTTGCAAAACTGAAACTCTATACCCCATTAAACAACTCCTATTTCCCATCACCCCCAGTCACTGGCAAATAACATTCTACTTTCTATTTCTTTGAATTTGACTACTCTAGATAACTTGTGTAAGTGAATCATACAGTATTGTGTTTTTGTGACTTGCTTATTTTACTTAGTATAATTTCCTTAAGGTTGAATTCATGTGGCAACATGTGTCAGAACTTCCTTTTTATTAAGTGAATACCATTCCATTGTATGTATATACTACATTTTTTGAAATGCATCTATATGTTGATAGAAACTTGGGTTGCTTCCACGACTTGACCATTTGTTAATACTGCTGCTATAAATGTAGGTCGCAAATAATATTTCCTTGAAACCTTGCTTTAAGTTGTTTTGGCTATAAACCCAGAACTGGAATTTCTAGATCATATGTTAATTCTATTTTTTATTTTCTGACAAAATGCCATACTGTTTTCCATACTGGCTGCACAATTTTACATTCCCACAAAGAGTACACAGTTTTCAACTTCTCCATATCCTTGTCAACATTTATTATTTTCTGTTTTTTTGATAGCAGCCATCCTAATAGGTGTAAGGTTTCTTCTTGTGCTTAATGGGTATAAGGTTTCTTCTTGTGCTTAATGAGTGTAAGGTTTCTTCTTGTGCTTTTGACTATATCATTTTTAAACTGGGTTATTTGTAGTTTTATTGTTCAACTCTAAGAGTTCTTATACATTCTGAATAATAAGCTCTTAACAGATATATAATGTGCAATATTTTCTCCCTTTCCATAGGTTGCCTTTGCCTTTCACTCTGTTGATTGTGTCTTTTGATGCACAGAAGTTTAAAATTTTGATGTAGTCCAATATATCTATTTTTACTTGTTGCCTATATTTCTGATTTTAGAAAGAAATCATTGCCAAATCCAAATCCAATGTCATCAATGTCATGAAGCTTTTTTTTTTTTTTTTTTTTTGTAAGATGGAGTTTCACTTTTTTTGTCCAGGCTGGAGTACAATGGCACAATCTCTGCTCACTGCAACCTCCGCCTCCCAGGTTCAAGCAATTCCCCTACCTCAGCCTCCTGAGTAGCTGGGATTACAGCAATATGCCAACATGCCCGGCTAATTTTGCATTTTTAGTACAGATGGGGCTTCTCCATGTTGGTCAGGGTGGTCTCGAACTCCCGACCTCAGGTGATCTGCCTGCCTCGGCCTCCCAAAGTGCTGGGATTAGAGGCATGAGCTACCACGCTCGGCCATCATGAAGCTTTTATCCTGTTTTCTTCCAAGCGTTTTACAGTTTTGGGTGTTACATTTAGGTTTTTAATGCATTTTGAGTTAATTTTGGTATATGGAGAAAGGTAAGGGCCCAACAACATTCCTTTACATGTGGATATTAAGTTTTCTTAACATGATTTGTTGACAAGACTGTCCTTTCATTATTAAATGGTCTTGGCACCCATGTTGAAAATCATTTGACCATATAAGTAAGGGCTGGCTTTTTTTGTTTGTTTATTTGTTTGCTTGTTTGTTTTGCTTTGTTTTTGGCTAGAGATTCTATTCCGTTGGTCTACTATGTCTTTATGCCAGTGCCACATTGTTTTGACTTGTGGAGCTATGTAAGTAGAAGTTTTAAAATCGGTCCTGTGAGTCCCCCAGCTTTGTTCTTTCTTAAGATTGTATTGGTTATTCTGGGTCTCTTGAGATTCCATATGAATTTTAAGAGGGCTTTTTTTCCCCACACAGTAAACTAATTAAATAAGATGATCTATGTAATTCTTTTCTTCATTCTGTGTGATGTATTACATTGATCAATTTTTATATGCTGAACCATCCTTGCATTTCAGTAATAAAATTTACTTGGTTATGGTATATAATCCTTTTAATATGTTGCCAAATTCAGTTTATAGTATTTTGTTGAAGATTTTTGCATTAATATTCACAATGGATATTGGTTTTATAGTTGTCTTTTAGTACTGCATCTAGTTTCAATATCAGGGCAATGCTGACCTTATATTATGAGTTTGCAAATATTCTATCCTGTTGTAGGTCTGTTGATGGTTTGTTTCTTCATCTGGGTAGGTTGTGTGGTTCCAGGAACTTACTCACTTCCTCTATGTATCTAATTTGTTGGCATAAAGTTATTCATAGTATTCTCTTATAATCAATCCTTTTATATTTCTGTGGCATTGGTTATAATGCCTACTCTTTCATTTTTTACTTTATTTGAATCTTCTTTTTTTTTCCCTAAATCAAGCTAAAGGTTTTTCAATTTTGTTGATCTTTTTAATAAAATAAACTATTTTGGGGGAGATGAAAAAATGGCAGATAGGAGGCAAGACTAAATTGCAGCTTCTACTTGGATAGACAGAGCAGAATGTGGAGACTCACATTATCAACTTTTGCTTCAAGATGAATATGCCAAGAAAGCCGAGAGAATCCACAGACCCTTTGAAGGAAGTGGATTGCTCCTGCAGGACCTGGGAGACAGCCCAAACACTGTGAGTGTCCAAACTGTGAAAGTGGGAAAAGGGGATCATCTGCCCCTGAATGCACACCCTCACTGGGGAACGTGAGGGTCTAGATCACTGGAAAAGATTCTAACCTTACCTGAAACTGAGACAATTTAGAGAGCCAAGCAAAATACAGGGTAGAGGAAACAGCAGGGAAAAGCCCTGTGGGTTCTCTGGGTCCCCAGGGAAGCCATTCCTAATGTGTCTCACTGGGGTCTTTGGGGAGGGCTGCCAGAGGAACTGGGAAAAGACTACAGGGAGAAGGAAACCTCCAGCTGAATTTTGTAACAATTCCAAATGAATGTGAAGTTTCCTGGCAGAACTTGGGGGAAGGCAAGAATTCAGTGTGAAGACATGACAGGCAGGAGACGCAGAAGCCCTGCTTGCTTTCTGGGCCAGGAGGCCGGTAGCCTGGGGTAAGTTCTCAGCCCTGCTCACCCACTGCCTGGAAACAAACTTGATGCTGTTGGGAGAGGCATGGTTGGAATGAGACCGGCCATCTGGGTTGAGTGGGAACTGGGTGAGTCCTGTAACTGCTGGCTTTCCTGCACTTCCCTGACAACCTGCTTGACACAGGAGAGGCAGCCATAATCCTCCTGGGAACATAACACCATTGAGCTGGGAACCACACACCCCCATTGCAGCCATAGCAAGCCCAGCTCAAGGAGAGTCTGAGCTCAGAAATGCCTAACCCTGCCCCCACCTGATGGTCCTTCCTTACCCACCCTGGTAGCTGAAGACAAAGATCATATTCTCTTTGGAGATCTAGGGCCCTGCCCATCCTCCCTATACTACCACCTGATCCTCCCTATACTATCACAGCTGATGCTCTCTTGAAAGCACCACCTCCTGCCAGCCAGTACAAAACTAGTGCATTAAACAACTACAACTGAGGACCTTCAGAGAGTACATTTCACTCCCCTGCCACCTTCATTGGAGCAGGTGCTGGTATCCACGACTGAGAGAACTGAAGATGGTTCACATGACAGGACTCTGTGCAAACAAACCTCAGTACCAGCCTGGAGCCTGGAAGCCCTGATGGGTGGCTGGATCCAGAGGGAAAAAAGAGTCACTACAGTTTGGCTAGCAGGAAGCCACATCCCTAGGAAAAGGGGAAGAATATGACATCAAGGGAGCACCGCGTGGAACAAAAGAATCTGAACAGCAGCCTTGAGCCCCAGATCTTCCCTCTGACAAAGCCTACCCAAATGGGAAGGAACCATAAAAATAATTTGCGTAATATGACAAAACAAGGGTCTTTAACATCCCCCAAAAAATCACAGTAGCTTACTACCAAAAGATCCAAACCAAGAAGAAATCCCTGAATTGCCAGAAAAAGAATTCAGGTTGATTATTAAGCTAATCAAGGAGGCACCAGAGAAAGGTGAAGTCTACCTTAAGGAAATTGAAAAAGTGATATAAGATATGACAAGAGAAATCTTCAGTGAAATACACAGCATATATAAAAAACAATCACAACTTCAGAAAACAAAGGACACACTTAGATAAATGCAAAATGTACTGGAAACTCTTAGCAACAGAATTGAAAATGCAGAAGAAACAAATTTAGAGCTTGAAGATAAGGTTTTTGAAATAACCCAAACCAGCAAAGACAAAGAAAAAAGAATTTAAAAATGAACAAAGCCTCCAAGAAGTTTGGAATTATGTTAAATGACCAAACCTAGGAATGACCGGCATTCCTGAGGAAGAAGAGAAATCTAAAAGTTTGGAAAACATATTTAGGGGAATAATTGGGGGAAACTTCTCCAGCTTCGGTACAGATCTAGACATCCAAATACAAGAAACTCAAAGAATACCTGGGAAATTCATTGCAAAAATATCATCACCTAGGCACACTGTCATCAGGTTACCTAAAGTCAAGGCAAAGGAAAGAATTTGAAGAGCTGTTGGGCAAAAGCATCAGGTAACCTATAAAGGAAAACATATCAGATTAACAGCAGATTTCTCAGCAGAAACCCTACAAGCTAGAAGGGATTGGAAACCTATCTTCAGCCTCCTTAAACAAAACAATTATCAGCCAAGAATTTTGTATCCAGAGAAACTAATCTTCATAAATGAATGAAAGATACACTCTTTTTCAGACAAACAAATGCTGAGAGAATTCTCTACTACCAAGACAGCAAAACAAGAACCGCTAAAAGGAGCTCTAAATCTTGACAAATCCTGGAAACACATCAAAACAGAAACTCTTTAAAGCATGAATCTCACATAACCTATAAAACAAAATTACAAAAAAAAGGATTCATCAACAAATAGCACAATAAATGGAATACTACCTCACATCTCAATATTAACATTGAATGTAAATGGTCTAAATGCTCCACTTAAAAAACAGAATTACAGAATAGATAAGAATTCACCAAACAAGTATCTGCTGCCTTTAAAAGACTCACCTGACACATAAGGATTCACATAAAATTAAGGTAAAAGGGTGGAAAAGGACATTCCATGCAAATGGACACCAAAAGTGAGCAGGAGTAGGTATTCTTATATCAGACCAAACAAGAGAAAGAAATAAAGGGCATCTAAATTGGTAAAGTCAAACTGTCGCTGTTTGCTGAAAACCCTAAAGAAAAACCTAAAGACTCCTCCAAAAAGCCCCTAGAACTGATAAATGAATTCAGCAAAGTTTCAGTATATAAAGTTAATGTAGACGAATCAGTAGCTCTGCTATACACCAACAGTGACCAGGCCGAGAATCTAATCAAGAACTCAACCCCTTTACAATAGCTGCAAAAAATAAAATAAAATACCAAAAGGTGAAAGTACTCTACAAGAAAAACTACAAAACACTGCTGAAGGAAATCATAAACACAAACAAACAAAAACACATCCCATGCTCATGCATGGGTAGAATCAATATTGTGAAAATGACCATGACCATACTTCCAAAAGCAATCTACAAATTCAATGCAATTCCCATCGAAATACAATCATCATTCTTCACGGAACTAGAAAAAACAATCCTCAAATTTATATGGAACCAAAAAAGAGCCCACATAGCCAAAGCAAGACTAATCGAAAAGGAACAATCTGGAGACATCACATTACCTGACTTCAAATGATACCATAAGGCCATAGTCACGAAAACAGCATGGTACTGGTATAAAAATAGGCACATAGACCAATGGAACAGAATAGAGAACCCAGAAAGGAAGCCAAATACTTACAGCCAACTGATCTTCAACAAAGCAAATAAAAACATAAAGTGGGGAAAGGATACTCTTTCAACAAATGGTGCTGGGATAATTGGCTATTCACATGTAGGAGAATAAAACTTGATCCTCATCTCTCACCTTATAAAAAAATATTGATTTTTTTATAAGGTGAGTGGCATATTCAAAATATGTTGTTTTATTTCTAAGTGTTTATGGAGTTTCTAAATTTCCTTCTACTTTTTATTTCTATTATTCAAAATATGTTGTTTTATTTTTAAGTGTTTATGGAGTTTCTACATTTCCTTCTAGTTTTTATTTCTAGTTTCATTCCACTGTGATTAGAAAAGATACTTTGTAAGATTTTAATAGTTTTAAATGTATTAAGACTTGTTTAATGACCTAACATATGGTCTTAATGTATTAAGACTTGTTTAATGACCTAACATATGGTCTAACCTAGAGGATGCTCCATATGCATTTTAGAAAAATGTATATTCTGATGTTATTGGGTGAAGTATTCTTTGGTCTGTTAAGTCCAATTGATCTATAGTGTTGTTCAAGTCATCCATTTCCTTATTCACCTTTTACCTGGTTGCTTTATCCATTACTGAAATTGGGATATGAATGTCTCCCACGATTATTGCAGAACTTTTTTGCCCTTCAAGTCTGTCAATATTTGCTTCTTACACTTAGGAACTCTCATGTTTGGTACATATAAATTTATAGTTGTTACATTTTCTTTGTATAACCCTTTTATCCTTATATATTGTTTTCCTTGTCTCATTTAACAGTTTCAAAAGCTTATTTTGTCTTATATTAAACATCCCTGTTCTGTTTTGGTTACTATTTGGACAGAATATCATTTTCTACTCTTTCACTTTAAACTTCTATGTGTCCTTAGATTTACAGTGAGTGTCTCTTAAAGACAGCACATAGTTGGTTCCTGATTTTTTATCCATTCAGCTAATCTATGTCTTTTGATTGAGGAGTTTTTATCCATTTACATCCTGAATAATTACTGAAAGAGGAAGAACTATTTTAATTTGTTGTTTTCTGTATGTCATTGTATTTTTGTCTCTTATTTCTTCCCGTACTTCCCTCCTTTGTGTGTAGTTGAATTTTGTTGTGATTTGCTTTTTCTCTTGTTCTTTCGTGTAATTTCTATAGAAATTTTCTTTGTGGTTATCATGTGGATTACATAAAACATCTTAAAATTATAACAGTTCATTTTAAACTGAACAACTTAACTTCAATCGCATATAAAAACTTTATTCCTTTACAGCTCAGTCATCTGCACAAGTTATGTTACTTATGTCACAAGTCATATCTTTATATATTGCTTACCCATTAGCATAGATTCATAGGTTTGTTTTTACATTTTTGGATTTTAATCTTTTAAAAGAATAGTAGAACCAAAATTATAATAATAAAGTTTTCATATTTGTAATATGTCTATTGTAGAACTTTTAATTTTCATATGGCTTTGAGTTACTGTGTAGAATCCCTCTTTCCAAGTTGAAGGACTCCCTTTAGCATTTCTCGTAGGTTAGATCTAGTAGTAATAAATGCTCTCAGCTCTTGTTTATCTGGAAAATTCTTAATTTCTCCTCCATTTTTAAAGGACAGTTTTGCTGGAGGTAGTATTATTGGTTGATAGTTTCTTTTTGTTTTGTTTTGCTTTTTACTTCATGCACTTTAAATATATCATCCCACTGCCTTCCAGCATGCATGGATTCTACTGAGAAACCTGGTGATAACTTATAGAGGCTCATTGTACATGTACAATTTTCTCTTGCTTCTTTTGAGATTATCTTTGACTTTCAGTAGTTGGATTAAAATGTGTCTCTGTATGTGTCTGAATTTATCCCATGGGAGCTTGTTGAGCTTCAGTTCGTATGTCTGATTCCTAAAATTTGAGAAGTTTTTTAGCCATTATTCCTTCAAATACGCTCTCTGCCCTTTTCTCTTTCTTTTCCTTATGCAACTACCATAATACCTATGTTAGTCTGTCTGAAGATGTGGTCCTTTAGGCTCTGTTCACTCTTCTTCATTCTGTTTGTCTTGGTCCTCTAGCTCAGTAATTTCATATGACCTGTCTTCAAGTTTGCTGATTCTTTCTTCTGTCTAATTGAGTCTACTCTTGAACCCTAATAATGAATTTTTTAATTCCTTTGTGGTTTTCAGCTTCAAATTAGTTTTTGCTTTTAAATAATTTCTTTAGGTTCATATTCTCCTTGTGTTCATAAAACCTTTTCCTAATTTTGTTTAGTTGACAGTCCCTGCTACCTTTTGGCTCATAGGCATATTAAAGACAGTTGTTTTAAATTATTTTTAAAAGAAGTCAGAGGCCGACATTTCTTTAAACGTGGTTTCTGGAAGTTGTTTTGTTCCTTTGCATGAACTATGTTTCTCTCTTTCTTTGAGTGCGTTGTACTATTTTTGTTAAAATTCGGGCTTTTAAAAAATATAGTCACTTCTCAGTCTTTAGTGAGAATGTTGCAAGCAAGTTCCATTCTTTCCCTTCCACCCCAAAGGAGTAATTGGGAACTGAGCAATTTCCTCATTATCATGTATGCTGCACTGTGTTGAGGAGGGTGTGGGATAAGGGCAAACAAAATAGCAATGGATTTCCTAACGTTTTGAGTAGCTCTGTCTTAGCTAGGTGTTTACTTCATTGCTGCAACATCTTATCTGATCTAATGAATCTTAATTGATTTATTAGCTTTCTAACAACACTAATTTGGTCCATGTATTTTTGTACATTCATTTTTTCTTTGGGAGAATGAGGACTTCAAGGTTTGTAGTCACTATATTGCTCATGTTACTCTCAATCTTTTCACTTTTTAATGTTGTTTTGATAAAACAAAACAGTTTTAATATGGTGATTTTTTTACCCTCTACACTTTACGCTTTTGTATCTAGTTTACATAATACCTTTGGTATTACAGATATTTTCCTATGTTTTTTTCTCCTGAAACATTTGATATTTGATTTTCAACCACAGTGGTAGTGTCTTTTGTTTGTTCAGGGAGGAAGAGATCCACTTTGTTTTGTCTTTTAAATTAACAAAAGGGAATCCAATTGATCTAGATCCACTGTTCACGTATTTCTCCCCAGTCTACAATGGAGCTCTGTCTCATAATGTTACCATATGTATGTGGGATCTGTTCTTGGAGATTTATTCTGACACACTGATCTATCTCTGTGCTACTGCTATGCTGTTTTAACTATAATAGCTTGTTAATTTCCAAAATTACTCGATTTTTTCATCCCTTTATTCTGCTCAGAAATTTAAGATAAAGCTTATTAAATTCCATGAAAATAATTTAAAAATTATTTTAAATCAAATTTTTATTAAAATTGATATATTAACATGGACTGAAATAACTTTTTTGTGATGAGTTTTCCTACCATGAATATGATATAGTTCACCATTATTTAGGTCTTTAACGTCATTCAAGAATTTTTATATCTTCTCCAGAGAACATTAAAATATTTTATTACAAAATATTAATAAGTAAACTGCAGAAAACATCAGTTAATAAACTATTATGAAGTGAACATCCTTGCAACCACTAAATAGCTAAAGAAATAAATTATTACCACGTATCCCAGGAGTACTCCATGTTTCCCATTCTAACCCTCTCCCTACTTATAACAAACCATTATTCTGATTTTTATGATAATCACTTTGCCTTTGATTATAGTTTTTAATACCTAAATCATAGAGTTATTTCTACAAACAACTTAGTTTTGGTGATTTTTGAAATTAAAAAAAAATCTCTTTTAAGCTACAGGTTCTTCCTATATCTCTTTTCCCCATGTAATTTATTTTGAAGAGACCAACTCAATTTGTATTGCAGAATTTCCTCCAGTATTAATTTTGATTATTGAGTTCCCATGGTATAATTCAACACGTTGAATATACAGATTTAATCAGGTGTGCTTTTATTTTATTCATTCATTCATACATACCGTCTTGATAGGTGATGGTATTTTTCCTATCTAATTGTCTAGCTGTCTCTCTATTTGTGAGTTTAGCAGCCATTGAAGCTTAGATCTATTAAATTCTTAAAGGGTGCTAAACGATAATCTAACTCACATATCCCACCACTATTTATCAGATGATATATTTTTGTAAAAACAAAACATCCCCCCTCAATAACTTCATAATACAATGATCCGTTCACAAAGAAAGGACATAAGAAATACTTTATTCTTTTAATTTTCTTATCAGTTTTCAAAGTAAGTTCTCTATCATTCTCTAAATTTGACAAAATCATTTTCTAAATTATCATTACGAATACATAGATTTAAACATATCCAGGTGTTTCAATGCATTGCAGTTATTATTGGTTGGTGCAAAAGTAATTGCGATTTTTGCCAATTGCTAATAAAATCGCAATTACTTTTGCACCAACCTAATAGATTTATGGATGCTCAAACTGCTCCATCTTGGGACAACAGGAATTTCTTTAAGTTAGCTCCTGAGCTCTTCTGACAACATTTGATACCTTCCTTGCTTTGTGGTATCACAAAATGTTGCAGGTAAATGATTAATATTTCCTGCCCCAGCCTTGACATCACTTATTTCTCTATGATAAAGTCCCAGTTTCTTTCATTGGCAAATGATATTTTAATAGTAAATATGGACCCTAAGTGTACTCACTGCTACTGACTTGGTTTTTGTGTCCAGGCAAAACAACAGACAGGGCTACTAGTATAGTATACATATACCTATAGAATATGGGTATGCGTGTATGTGTGCATGTACATGCATATGTATGCATAAGTTTACATGAAAATGTCCAATTCAAATTCCAAATTAAAAGCTTTTACTTAAACTCTCCTATTTTATATCTGGATCGCCTTTCTTCAGCCAGAATCCTGATTTTCAAGAACACGGGATAAAATAATTAGAATATTAATAATTACCAAGCAGCTTTATCCAACATTACATAACAGTTTTGTAATATCGATAATATTACTACCAACATAATTACTGCCCCATTTTTCAAATTTTTCAGAATAAGCAGTCATATCCTTTAATTTCTCCTATATAACCCTCATTTAGTTAATTCTCCAAATAGATCTATATTTGATGGCCACCATGAGTCCTTGCCACAAATAAGCTGATATCATGTATATCATGTAGCTATAAGCTAGATGGTCCCCACCTAGGCATATTTTGGGGTCCAATGAGATACCTGTCACCTAGTTTTGTTGTAAATGTCCATTCATTGTTCTTGTAGTTATTGTTTCATTATCTATTCTTCCATCCATTTTTTATGGAGGAAATCAGGAATATTTAAAAATTATGCCAGCATTTTCCATTTACCCAATTTTCTTGTGTACATTTTTTTGTATTATTGTAATTTAAAAACAATAATTCTGAAATTATATTTTAGTCTATAATTTTTAAATAAAAATACGGCAAGTTTTTCTGATTATGTGCCTATAATGCTACTACAAATGATCTGTGAATGATATGGAGCTTCTTGACTAGGCTCATTCATTTTAGAATATGTCAGTGATATCCTCTTTGGTGAAGGTAGAAATTTCATGCTATATTTATATACTTTTAAAAAATGCTAGTCGTGGAAACCATAAATATTCTTGAGTATTATATGATTTTAATAAAATATTTATTGATGCCACCAAAAGTAGAGTGGACCCTTCAGTGAAATTTCCTGCACTGCTAACATCTCTTTCTAAAATGTTTCAACTTGTATATAGAGCCTAAAAGGGAGAGCCTCATGTATCTCAGACACCTCTATCCCACCTCAGGCTTAGCTGATTATGACAGGGTCAGACACCTAACCCAGGAGGAACAAAGTAATAGGCCTGGCTAAGCCATTCAGATTCTCTGTTGATAAGTTAAGTGACTATAGTTAGATGATGCAGGATATTTACATTAAAAATGCATTAAGATTCAGGGCTAAGGTGCTATGCTAAGAGATGTTCTGATGACTAAGCAAGAGAAGTTGGTCTGGGAGGAAAGTAAAAACACTGAGTAGATACACAGAGAGAATAAAAGACAGGAGGCTATAAAGTTGCTTTGCGAATCAAAGGGAGTAGTCTTTGTTACTGACTTTTCTCTCCCATTTCCAGGCTGCCTGAAGATCAACTATATTTTATTTCCTGTCCTTGGACACATATGAGACTTTCTGCTATATCCGCATCATAACTAAGTTACTCTGAATATTTCTGTGAGCTCCCAATAGAACATAAACAATGCTCACAGAACATAAACTGGATTCTTAGGCAGCTTTGTTATCTTTGGCTGGTAGGTTTTGATACTTGCATACATACCTATTCTAAGTAGTTTTTATGCATTAGTTTATAAATTGAAAACCCATAATTTTCTTAAAATTCAGTAAGCTTCAAATTACTGTCTTCAAAAATCCTTAATTATTGCTAAGAGAAAACACACATCAAAAGCTACCTAAAAATAGCTACTGTTAATGAATGGTCTTAAAAGGTGAACTACATTGTTCTAGAATGATACAATCACAAGCTAACTAATCAAAGTAATAGATAATTAAGAAAATGAAAGGACACCGACAATAAAAACTGCCAAGGATTAATTATCCCATAAGAAATAATTTAAACAAAAATAAATGTGTGCCTTAAGAAAAATGGAATATAAAACATAAAATAAAGAGGCAATTCAAATATACTTTATGGCTATTTGAAGTTAAAAGAGTAATTGCTTTTTCTTTTCATAGACATTAAAGTATCTTCAGTTACCTAAATTCAGTTTTGTTCCTACCACACACACACATATTTATATGGTAAATTGAAATGCAGTGAGATTTATTCATCATAAGCACTATTTCTTAAATGGAAATATTCAAAGCTAGGGTAAATATGTTTTTATCATGTAAATGTCCTGAGTTCTTCATAATGCTTTGATACATTTTCTTCTCAAGGGAAAGGAAAAGCATATCAAATTAGAGAAAGAAGGGAAACAGAAGGAGAGCGAAGAACAAAGAATGAGTAAGAGTACATGCTCAAGAATGAGAAAATAAAAGGACATACATTTCTACAGGCTGGGGTGGAGAGCAAGTATGGACCTTGGATGAGTGCAGCAGCAAACTCCTAGGTCTGAAGAACTGATCAATACCAGGAGTTCTTACCACAGAACATAAAATCTTACCAATCCTTCCTTATTTTCTTTTTAGCGACAGGGTCTCCGGTGCCCAGGCTGGAGTGCAGTGGTACGATCGTGGCTCACTGCAGCCTCAATCTCCCACTCAAGCAATCCTCCCACCTCAGCCTCCAGAGTAGCTGGGACTATAGGCACATGTCACCAGGCCTGAGTAATTTTTTATTTTTTCTAGGGACAGGGTCTAACTATGTTTCCCAGGCTGGTCTTAAACTCCTGGCCTCAAGCAATACATCTGCTTTCGCCTCCCAAGAAAGAAAAATAATATCCTATGCAAACACAAGGGAAAAACACTGAATATTTATGATGTACCAGAGTCTAAGTTAGGTAATGACAATATAAACAATAAGATATTTCCTATTTCAATAAGTGTAAAATAATTTTATTAATATTATGTAAGTAAAATACTGTAGGAGCACATAAGTCATGACATTAATTTGCTTAATGAGCCTGAAAATGGACTCAAAGGATGAGTATAATTTGGGGAGATTTAAAAAAAAAAAGGGTTTAGGCCGGGCGGGGTGGCTCATGGCTGTAATCCCAGCACTCTGGGAGGCCGAGGCGGGCGGATCATGAGGTCAGGAGATTGAGACCATCCTGGCTAACACAGTGAAACCCCATCTCTACTAAAAATACAAAAAAAAAAAAATATATATCTGGGCGTGGTGGCAGGCACCTGCAGTCCCAGCTACTTGGGAGGCTGAGGCAGGAGAATGGCGTGAACCCAGAAGGCGGAGCTTGCAGTGAGCCAAGATAGTGCCACTACACTCCAGCCTGGGCGACAGAGCAAGACTCCGTCTCAAACAAAACAAAACAAAACAAAACAAAACAAAACAAAACAAAACAAAACAAAACAAAAAGGATTAAATGCAGAAAGAAGAGCTGTACAAAAACAAGGAAATGTGATAGTATGTAACTTCTTTACATGTTTAAGAAATGTTTTTTTATAGCAAGAAGATAAAGACTAGTTGGGTCTGGAAGGGAGGGTTATGACCAAATTGTGAGGGATACTGAAAGTCATTCTTTTAAACAACTATAGTTTCCAGAGTTCTGGGTTGTATGAACTAGCAAAAATTTAAAGGATCATATTTTAGGGTTGTCAGCTTTTTATACTGCCAAGTCACTGGCATTTAAAAAGCAAAACTCAAAACCTAAAAATCTACCATTTGCTGTCATCATTTTATAAAGAGAAGTCATTTTAAACATCAGCAAAGAAAGACATAAATATTACATCCATATAGTTTAAAAAGTAGGATGTATTAAAATTCTTTGAATGTAGAAAGTTACAAGATATAATTGTATACTGCCAGGGGAACACAAAATGAACTTTTTAATATCTAACCCGTTCCAGTATTTCATTTCTAGCATAGTTACATTAAAAAAAAATCCAGGTTCACCTGGATGCACTGATAACAATGAAGGCATGTTCTTAATGGTCTTTCCACTCAATTCAGAATATGTGAGGTAAACAGAGAAGCTAAAAAAAATAACTCTCAATTACTCAATCATTTTTCTCTGTGCATTGATGAGAAGAAATAAGTAAGAAACAATGTGAATGTGTGGTCATGGAAGATTCTGGGAAATAACTACACACAGGGGTTCCTGATTTTCCAATACAGAGCAGTTAACATAAAATTGCCACAGACTATCACTTAGGAGCCAGTAACGTGAGTCTTATAACAACATAATTGTGCCTTTGCTCTGGCGGCTAGAAAACTTGCACAGAATTTGTCTTAGTTTTAATAACATTGCAGGACTCACTACTAACATTATTATTACAAGACTAACTTTATTCCCTGTTTTATTTTATTATGTCTTTGGTCAGTATTTATACATTTCTGTAAAACCTATCAAATCATTTTAGGAAAAGATAGATAGCAACAGAAAAAATAAAAGGCTTTTATCTTGTAGGGAATGAGGAAACATTTAAGATTTGTTTTTTCAATGATGTTTACTGAACTTCTTTATTTTAATAAAGTAACACATGTTACAGAAAAGCATGAAAATAAAAATATCAATAACCAGCATTCTTGCTCCTCAATAGCATCTAACTACAGGAAATCAAAAGAATTAAAAGCAAAAAAAGGAACTCAAGAAGGACCAACTGATAACCTAGTACCTTTTAGAATCCGTAACTATGATGCCACCACTTTTAGCTAACATAATATTTAGGCTACTTTGGAAGGTTTTTATACATGGCTTGATATAATATTTGTAATGTTAATAATATTTGAAGAACTATCCTCTAAATATTGTTTTCGGAAATTATTCATTCTCATGAAGTAATTGTAAATATTAAAGTTGAAGGAGAAAAGAGCTAAAGAAAAATCAAATTTTCACCTCAAATGTTTGCATTAATAGTAATGCTAATGACAAAATAAATACATTTAGAAGGAAAAGTAAATTGAGGGAAAACAAATTTTGGATAAACAGAGTTTGAGGTATCCCTGGAGTATATGGCTTTAGATGTCTATGCTAGGTAACTTCAACTATGTCTGGAATTCAGAAGACTGGGTTGAGCTGTTACAGGAGTTAGGTAGAAGCAGGGAACATAACCCTTTCAAACCTGTGTCCTCATAAAGATGAGGAAGTGGCTTTATGGCAGCAGGAGTAAGACCAGGTATACACAACTACCTCACTGACCCAGTTAGAAGAATATGTGCCCTGCAAGTGGTCAGTAGGCCATCTAGTCTCATTTCCCACTGTACCTTTGTATATACTTTCATTATAGCACATATCCTATTTAATTTTAATTATTGGTTTTTATGTCTCTTTGCTCATTAGACTGCAAACTCCATGAGGAATATTTCTTCTGTTTTGAATGAATCAATGAATACATGATTTTGTGTAGTCAATCATACACATCTAGAACAAAGCTATTTAAATTACACACACAATCTGCGGCCAAGCAATAGTTTTTAAGCTTCCAAGAACTTTTAAAGTTCATTTTGCGGCTGCTTTGAATTAGCATGGTTCTTCTCAGAATCCAATTCTTCAGAGCATTTTATACTTCACTTTGTAGGTGGGAGTATAATAATGACAATAGTAGCATCCAGGGTGACAGCCCTACTTAAAACATCAGCAGCCTCCCTACAACACACTAGTTAAAGCCAAAGAACCCATTACCTCTCTGGCCCTAATATTCGACTACTGTCCTTCTGGTTCACATGAGACTGGCATTTTTGCTGTTGGTAGATCATACCAAGAACATCTTTCTATCATTTTAGGGCCAATGTACTGACTATTCTCTCTGCATAGAACACTCCTCATCTAATAAGCTGTATGGCACTTATTAAGTAAGTTTTATTACTTATTATGTAAGGTTTTGCTCAAATGTAACTTTTACCATGAGGCCTATTTAAAATTGACCACTCTCTTTAAACTTCAGCCTAACCTTGTCATTCTGTAATCCCAATTCTCTGTGTTGTATTTATCCTTTTACATAACATTCACTATCTTCTAGCATGCTATGTAATTTAATTATTCATTTTGTTTAATGCTTATTGATTTTGTGTCCTTGTTAGAATATATGCTCCATCTGAAGAAAAGCGTCTTTGTCTGTTTACTAATATATCAAAACTATGTAACATAGTACCTAGCCCAGAAGGAACTCAGTACTTTTGGAAACCTGAGAAGCTCATTATGTGACAATATTCTAAGAGCTTCAAATGCCTTGCATAATTTAATCTTCACAAGAACCCTAAAGTGCTGTATCACTGACTCCAATTTATAGAAAGGAAACTAAGATACAAAGTGGCTAAGTAATTCACAAAGGCCACAAAGCTAAGAAAGTAGTTGAACTAGGATTCAAAGTCAGCTCCCAGATGCCGAGTCATTAACTATCACAGTCTTCCTAATAGAAACACTGTGTAGAAGCAGTTGGGACAATAACAGAACAGGCACAGGAAAACTCTCTTTCTTCTACAGTAAACAGGAAGTGAAAAGCAAAAAAGATATACAAGGATGCTAAATCCCAGGACTACCTGAAACAGCATCTAAAGCCATTATTCACCTACAGATCATCTTGATATTATCTAATTCTTTCTGAAGCTCAGAAATATTCATAAAACAAAACTTTTTAAAAAGAAATACGATTTTGATTAACCATATTTTTCAAAGCCACTCTCCTTGTAAATTTTTCTCCTTTGCCTCCTTACTGTATGTAAGCTGCTGTTGAGGAGACAATGGGTTCATCAATTCTTTGTTAAGTATTTCTCTAGATTTTTAATGTCTTCTTAGTTAAGGATTCCCACACTACAAATGTTATGTGAATAAGAAAAATCACTTAAAGGTGCATGGCTCTCAGAGTCAGAAGGAAATTTCAGAGATCACTGCTTAATAAACAGGTTATCTTAATGACAGGATATACATCAGCCCTGATAGATGGATTAAAGAGCCAAAGCCTCCCATTCTGACACCTTTTCAACGTTCTTCATCTTCAAAGTTTTCTTACTGGCATTGACCATGCAAACATGTTATTTAAAAAAAATGAGTGAAGAGAAAACATATTGAATATCTTATTAGAATTTGTGAAGTAATGCCTTTACATTCTTTTGGAAATATATATTCCTCCAGAAGCACAAATTATGCCATGATTAATACATACATTATAGGAAACTAAAATAATTATAATAGAGAAATCATACCTTCTATCAATAGCTCTTGTCCATGACTGCCAAGAAGTGTACGAGATAGGAATGGGGCAAAGTCTACAAAAATTTCACGAAGAAGAGGAGCAACTTTTTCTAACGCTCTTTCAAGTTTTGCAGTGATGCTGTTGAAATTAAGACATAAAAACTAATAAATATAATTCAATATAAAATGTCAAATAAACTTTACTTCTAAATTAAAATATTTAAAAATCATAAATGTCCTTTCTAGCCCATGGAATAATAACAAGCTTCATGTATAAGGGATACCCTGTACAGTTTCACAAACAGTCATAAGGCTACTGAAAGGTTTCAGCTAAATTGCAATGACTATACTATGAAAAAGAATTGGGGTTATGCCACCCGAAAGGGCCAAAGACTGTCCACCGCTCTATGAGCGTCATGTAAATGAGTTTTTGTATGCCTTCTCTATGTATCTATCCATCAAAGAAAATGATCTGGAACACTGACAATGTGGGTCCCTGTGCCAGTTACAAATAATTTAATTCTTGCTCTCAAGGAGGTATTACCTGAAATCTGGACAAATAAGGGAATAACTGAAATTCGTTGTAATACAGTTGAATGCTTTGCCAAAGTAGGCATTTTCCATTTCATAAGCCTATTTACTTTTCTTTACAAACTGCTGTATTATTATATAGTTCACTGTTGAATTTTAAGTTAATAGCCATACATAAGCACTACTTGACATTCTTAAAAATACTTTGGTACATGTAAAAGTAAAAAATGGGGAGGAGGAAAATATTTCTGCTTAGACAAATGAATAACATAGTAACAGATTTATCTGTCTTAGATAAAAGTGCTTTGGAGTAAGACTGCTTAGACTAGAATCCTGGCTCTATCATATACTAGCTAGGTGACCTTAGGCACATTAGGCTTTCTATGTCTGCAAAATGAAGATGATTGCAGTACCTACCCAGTGAGGATTAAACAAGCTAAGGGATATAAAGTGCACAGAAAAGCACCCAGCACACAGTGAGAGGTCAATAATGTTCACTTTTTTGCTCTACTTTGAACACACCCATATTTACACTCACAAAATGTGATTCTGATACATTAAACAAACCAAAGTCAATATATTAGATGAGTACACATTCTTCTACACAGACGATATGTACAGTTAGCAATTAAACAATGTTACAAAATAATACAAGGTCTGCCACAATGCCAGGTAACATTTTGTTACACATGAGGCAAAAATTTATAAATGAAAAAAAGGTAATTAACCATAAAATAATTTGCAATATATTACTAAGGTTTAAAACTAAACTATGGCCTCTTTTTAAATTTTTTAAGCAATTAAATAGCTATTAGAGAATAATATCGGATGACTTCTTTCCTAAATTGGAAACAGCCAAGTTTCAAATCTTTGAGCACTCTAAGTATCACCATCAGCACTTCTGTTTAACTCTGTCTCCTCTTACCCGTGTCAACAGCTCTAGAGAAAGGAGAAACCATGGAGAAAACTCAAGTTTGATCACTGCCACATATATTTAGAAAATTCTGGAGGAACATTTTCCCGTAAGAAAAAGGGATTTGAAGGGGATTTGGCAGACTTACTGAAATTAAGAGATTTCAATAGTCTCCCCTACTCTGTAATTCCTAAAGCAAGGACCTCCTGAAGACACTGGTTCTCAAGCTTTAATGTGGATCAGAATTATCTGGAGAGTCTGTATAACCAGACTGCTGAGCCCCACCCTAGTCTCTGATTCAGCAGGTCTGTGTGTACGGCAAGCATTTGTTAGAAGTACAAATTCTCAGTCAGTGGTGTTGATGCTGCTGATCCAGGAAACACACTTTGAGAATGACTGTTTTAATGAGAGTATTTACTATTAGAAAGAATTAACAAAGAAGCAAGCAAAAGAAAGGCTACCTGAAGTCACCGAATAAGCATAATCACAGTAAGTTACCTGTTAGTGAATACAAAGAGATTCTTTTTTGAATCTACAATTTCATTAATTCCTTCAAATCTCTAGAATCATGTCCTACAGCTCTTCCCAGCTAAACTAATTCCCTCTACTAAGAAATGGTAAGAATGGTAAGAGTGAGTTTATTAAAAGGAGAAAAATCTAGATATAATAGTTTCTGATGCTCAATTATAAATGAAGTATGATTATTTTTATTTAAGATTAATAAGTGAGAGTAAAATTATAAAAATTATTGATTAATGGAGGGTTGCATCATAGCTATTGGATTTAATGTACTATTATTGAGTTAAAGCCAGGAACATTTTTTATCCTAGGTTGAGAACTTTCTCCCCTATTTTACAGATTTCGGTGTGATTTAGAGGCTTCAGAATTACAAAAATACTGTTACTGGTGATTAAGTTAAATACAAAATAGAACTTCAATTAATCCGAGCAACTGATTACTTCTGTAAGTATGTATAAATATACATTATTATCGATTATCTTGACTAAAGGGTAATAGATAAAAACAGATATTTCTCAGAAAGTGAATCCCTATTAAGATTTTTTTGCAAATATTTTCTTATAAAATTTATTAGAATAGTAAATGTTGCTCTTACGTATCATCCTGCAATGAGAATTTTAATTTTCTAATAGGGGGCAAAGAATATAATATTTTACTCAGCAAGAGATTAGAAGTTTTATGTATATAAACCATTATCAAATAATTCTGCTGGAATTACAACAGCAAAATATTCTAAATGGAAAAACTTCATCCTCATTTTTCATAGTGAAGAAAGCTTTTGTTGTTGTTGCTTTTTACAGATTCCCCACAATGTATTCCAAAGAAGGTTGTAAATGCTGTATAAATTAGCTTCATTGTTACACAATTTAAATTCTGAAAGAAAATGGTACAAACATAAACTTCAGCCTAAGAACCTCCTTTATCGCCTGAAAATAAGGATTAATTACAAAAAATACCAAAAAAGACATATTGTGGCTATATTGTCATTTTGTTATTTCCATTCTCATCTCAAAGAAACACACAATGTAAAACTCCTTTTCCCCAATTCCAAGACACATGAGACAGCTATCTGTTAATATGTAAAAAAATAAATTAAAAGCTATGTTAATGTGAGAAAAGCCCATGCCCTTAAGTCCTATAAAAATAAATAAAATTTTCTCCTTAAAATAAAAATACAAAGAACATATAGCCACCAGAATAAAACCAGGTATTCTTCAGCAAATTATTTTTGTAAGAAAAACTGGCATAATATACTGACTTTAGGGGAAAATTCTAAAGAGTGATTTTTGAGTTTTCTCTGAAAGTTTACTTTCATTTATTCAAAAACATTCATTTAGGCTGGGCATGGTGGCTCATACCTATAATTCCAGCGCTTTGGAAGACTGAAGAAGGAGAATGGCTTGAGCCCAGGAGTTCAAGACCAGCCTGAGCAACATGGTGAGACCCTGTCTCTACCAAAAAATTAAAAAATTAGCCAGGTGTGGTGGCGGGTGCCTGTGATCCTAGCTACTCAAAAGGTTGAGGCAAGAGGATAGCTTGAGCCCAGGAGGTCAAGGCTGCAGTGAGCTATGATCATGCCACTACACTCTAGCCTGGGTAACAGAGCAAGACCCCTATTTTGCCACAGAAAACAAAAACAAAAACTATTCATTTAGTCTAAGACATTTTATGCACAGAAGTAATACAAAGGTGTATTTCCCTATGTAGGGGAATCTGCCCTGCACAGTCTGAGTGAGTTTTATAATCTTATACTCTAATAACTTAATATTTGGTTAAGTTCTTGGGCTCTAACCACAGACTTTATCAAGTGTGGTTTGAAAAGCATACAATTTCAAGCCACTCATTCTATTCTCCCCAGTCTATTTTTTCCCCTTAAGTCACACTAATGATGTGTTTAAGATGCTTGATTGATGACTATTTTGAATTTGGCTATTTTTCTTAATAGTAAGTGTAAACTCTTAAGAAAAAGAATTAAATTACTGGAACAGGAGGCCATTATCTTAAGTGACTCAAACAGAAAGGCGAATACCACATGTTCTCACTTATAAGTGGGCGCTAAATGATGTATACACATGGACATAGAATATGGAATGATAGACACTGGAGGCTGGTGACTTGGAAAGGCTGGAGGGTGGAAGGTGGGAGCGAGAGGTAAGAAATTACTTAATGGGTATCATGTACATTATTCAGGTGATGAATACACTAAAAGCCCAGACTTCACAACTACGCAATATATCCACAAAACAAAATTGCACTTGTATCCCTTAAATTTACACAAATAAAAAAAAAAAAAGAGAATTACTTATTTCCATGAAGAAAATTCTTGCTGAAACTTGAGAAATTATAAACCACTCTAACAAAATTACCAACTCAAAACAAAATATTCAAAGGAAATAATAAGGCTTTAGATGAAATTCTATAGCTCCAATGATTGGATTAAAACAATATGACTTAAAACACAAAAGCTTACAATTATGGTTTTTAAAAACTGCAATCATGTATTGGCTTTTACCTGTATTAAGGAAGTCTCATTCACACTTAATTCTAAGAAATTCGTATGAATAAAAATACAATTAATCCATGGGAAAAATAATGTATGAAAACCCACGGCTTAATTATTATCAAATCTTGCCAAATGTAACTGGCCTCAAGAAATATCCAAAGCCATGGTAATTTTAAGTACACAAATCAGTAAAAAAAAAAAAGAAGATTTTTCTCTCCTGTCATCTAAATGAATCCCCTTATAAACATAGTTCATAACAAAGTGATCTTTTCTTAATGTTATATGTTTTAGAATTCTAGAAAAATATAATAATTCTATTCTTATTTAGGGCCCTACATACATTGTGTATTCTATTTTAACAAACACCCTTATGTTTGTGCTACTTCATAAAGTCATTTTTACTTATTTTTGATTTTATTTACTTTTTGTATTCTCCTAGGTACTTAGCACAATGTCACAAATATAATAAACAACAATTCGATTTGAAAGATTAGAGTGCTTAAATTTCCTAATTCATTTCTTAAATCATATAAAATAGGTAGTTTATAATAAGAAAACATAGAACAAAAAGAAATAATTACATACCCTTAAGTATTGTACCTAAAAGATTTACTCAGACATAAAAGAAATTATTATACTAGTGAATTCTATAGTAGATTTTTATTAATTGAATGCTCCTATGTAAATGAGGAAATGTAGGCATCGGTAAGTGAACTGATTGGGTTTAGGTAAACACAGATGAAAAGACAAGATTAAGAGAGTATTAATGATAGAATAAACACACATTGTAAAGTTAAATTCTTATCAGCTATATATTATGACTAGGAATTGACACAACTCAAATACTGTGTCTGTTGTCACTAAATTTCTAATATTAAATATAATTTAACATACTAAAATAGCTGATGAGTAAATGTATCCTAGATCTGCAAACCTGTGACATAATTACCTACTGACAATTTTATTAAGTTACAGCTTTCTAAGGTTGTGGCCGCTACGGAAAACATGATATT
Source organism: Homo sapiens (assembly GCF_000001405.40). Lineage (NCBI taxonomy): Eukaryota > Metazoa > Chordata > Mammalia > Primates > Hominidae > Homo > Homo sapiens. The sequence continues at coordinate 35,227,151 of NC_000013.11, read as the reverse complement.
GAAAAAAAAAATGCTTACTTATTTTACTTCCCTGTGATCTTATAAATTTAAAACTGGCATTTTGTCTTTATTACTCCTAAACAGAATTATTTTCAAGTGCATGATGAAAAGGTTAAAAAAGTAGATAAAGCTATAGAAGACTAAGAAATTGAAGCTAAATAGAATATTTTTATAAGTAAAAAGTTTACTGCTTTATATCGTAAACAAAATTCCAAGTAAACATTTTTCAAGTTTTAAGATGTGTAATGCCTACGTGAGCATGATGATGCAAACCTCTAGTCCCAACAACTTAGGAAGCTGAGGCAGGAAAATCACTTGAGCCCAGGAATTCAGAGCTGTTGTGTGCCATGATCGCATCTGTGAATAGACATTATGTAATGCTTTTTTGGGGATGCCCTTAGACATCCCCAACTTAGAAAAGTTTTTTGGAGTGTGCTAATTACGAAAGTAAAAAAAAAAAAAAAAAAGATGTAGAACAATTCCTTGTTTCCAGTCAATCACTTAAATTAAATGACACAAAATTTAACTATAGTGAAATAAAAATATAAACTCAAGAATGTAAGTCTAACTAAAACCAAACAACAAATCTAGTGATAAAAAGGGTAAGGCTAATTGTATCTTAAATATTTGACAGGAAAATTGTAATAATAACATTTATGCTCCTAAATACAATATTTCGTATATTTAAAAAAATATTTTAATGTAGTAGGAGCTGTGGTGTCTCACCAAGATCCAAGATCCTCTTTTAGGATAGAGACATTCTTTCCCTGGAGAGTTCTGAGGAGAACTGTGGGGTGATGGCTCACAGCTGAATCCCTCCCTAGAAGGGAGCTGCTTCACCCAAGGTTAAGCCCCCTCATTAGGAGCAGTGTGAATTCAAACAATGGTCAATTAGAAGAAAAATGAAAAACCCCAGCTCCTTTGACCCAATTGAGGACACCTCTGGAGCCATTCCAATTTCAGAGCTTTCCCATGGAGTGGCCTGGAATATCTCTTACAATTGCATTACTTTTCCTTCAGACCAATCTTCCACTGCCACTTATTTACAGGTGGTGTTATCAAGAATATTCCCCAGTAAAGCACCGAAAGAATTTGTTTTCTGGAATAGCAGTTAATGAGCATTTTGTAGTGTAGTATTTAGTAAAATATAATATTTTTGAATATATAAATTGAAAAATCAACTAAGAATTTGAACTTTTAAAATTAAATAGAGGACTTCTATTTCAGATGTAGAAAACTAGAGTCATTCCCACAAAAATCACAAGAAAAAGCCAGATAATCTAAAGAATTATAACTTTGTTAGGCCTCATCAGAGAGCTGAGGTTGCTAGGTAACCAAACAGCTTGAAATCTGAGGATAGGAACTCCAAGAAGACTTAGGATGCATGAACTTGCTAACCTGAGGCAGAGAACAGGAAGCAGCAGCACTGGGCACCACATTAAGCTGGCAAGAAAAAAATCAGCTAAATTTTTTAAATAAATTTCTGAAGTCCATGTGTGAACTATAAGAGAATAAAACCCCCAGAGCTATAGACACAAGGGGCGTTTGCAACGATGCCCAGCCTCTTCCATTCAAACCTAACCAGTATTCAGGAGAAAAATTGGAGGCAGCATGGAAGACTGCAGAAAACTTCCTTCATTGCTCCAGGTTAAAGGAGGGAGAATTAATTGCTGCAGAAAAGATACAAAGTTCTGCCTAGATCCTTCTTCCTATCTCCTCTACAGAATGGAAGCCTTATGCATTTGAGAGAAAGACAACAAATCCTGTCACTTTTGGGGCACAGTAGGAGGCCTGTTGCAGCTGGAGGAAAGGAACATAAAAAACCCTCTACTCTGAGGGAGGGGAAGGGAAACGTTCTGAGTCCTGAAATTTACAGATCCCCAATCATGTAGAAATACATAAAATCACTGAAAAAGCCCTACCTTCAAGATCCAGGACAGCACTTGACTAAAATGGAGTCTAGACCAGGACAAAAGAGAACCCTTGAACACCAGGCTTGCAAGCACCCAGTAACAGATAACAGTAGTCTACTATTGCAGAAGGGACTACATAGTGTAGAGAACCTCTCTGAATCAGAACAGGGTAGAACAGAAATAGTGAGTAAGACACTCTGAAAAACTAGCACCTAACTAAACACAAAGTAAAAGTAGAGAAATTTAAAGTCCGTGGTACACAGAGAGTAACAAAAACAACAAGAAAACATAAACCCTGCTCAATTCCAGACTAAAATGACTCAACCCCTCTCACAAAAGCCTTAGCATAAGGAGAGGCAGACCCATTTAGAGCACAAATACGACTGTCAGGAACTACTATCCTATACATGATGTCCAGTTTTCAACTAAAAATTACCTTACACATGAAGAAACAAACAAACAAAAAAAGCCAGAGAAAAACCGATAGAATCAAAATCACAGATGAACCCTATGTTGGAACTATAAAATAATTTAAAATAACTGTGATTAACATGTCAAGAGTTAATAGCTGAAAAGGCAGACAACATACATAAACAGATGGAAATTTTCAGCAAAAGTAAGAAACTGTAAAGAAGAAACAATGGTAGAAATAAAAAATACAGTAAAAGAAATGATATGCCTTCAATGGACTTATCAAAAGACTCAATGAAGCCAAGGAAAGACTCAGTGAATTTGAAGATAGGCCAATAAAATATAGACATATTAAAACAAAAAGAAAAAAGAATATATACACACTCAAACGGAGTGTGCACATTGGTGCATTCAAAAGCTATTAAACAGTATCAAATAATTTTATATAAATGTGATTGGAGTCACAGAAAGAGAAGTGCAGTATGCTGGTATGCCAAATAATGGCTCCACAAAGATACCTAAACCATAATCCCTGGAATCTTTGAATAAACTATATTACATGGCAAAAAGAATTTTGCAAGTGAAATTAAGGTTATGGGCATTAAAATAGATTATCCTAGATTACGTAGGTAGGTTCAGTCTACATGTGTTCTAAAAAGCAGAAAACTCTCTGGCTAGAGAAGTACAGCAAAAGAGGAAGGCAGAAAAGATACGTATAAGAGGAAAACAGACAGATCCCAAGTTTGAGAAAAACTGGATGCATTATTACTAATGCCGAATGTAGGAGGCCATGCGCAAGGCGAATTCTAGGAGATAAGGGAAGCCTCTGACAGCAGGCAAATAAACAGGTCCATGTGTTCTACAGCCATACAGAACCGAATTATGCTAATAACCTGAGTGAGCCTGGAAGCTCATTTTCTAACAGAGTCTCCAATAAGAAATGCAGCCCTGCCAACATCTGCATTTTAGCCCAGTGTGACCTGAGTGTTGGACTCTTAACCTACAGAACTGTGATATAATTAATAAATCAGTGCTGATTTAAGCTGCCAAATTTGTGGCAACGTGTTATTCTAGCAATAGAAAACTAACACAGAGACATACCAGAGCAGAAGAAATATGTTAAGAGATATTGAGTGAGAATTTTCCAAAAACAATGAAGTCATAAAACTACAGATACAAGAAGCCCAGAAAACACCAACTAGAATTTTAGTAAATAAGTAAAAAAATATGTAACATAATACACTGCTGAAATTCAAATATAAAGAGAAAATCTGAAGAAGGCATTCAGAGAATAAAGACACATTCCATAAAGAGGAACAAAGATAAGAATGACATTCTCATTAGAATCTGTGCAAGCCAGAAGAAATGAGATGAAATCCCTTTCAAAGCCATTTTAAAATTACATAAGTCCACAATTTTATATGTAGCCAAAAAATTCTTTAGAAAAAGATGGTAAAATAAAGACCTTTTAGACAACAAAAACGGAGGTAATTCATGTAGCTGACTTTGTACTACGAATACTTTTAAATGTAGTTCAAGTATAAGGAATATACCAGACAAAAACAGATTTATACAAACAAGAGTGCTAGAAAAGATAAATAAATCTATAAAATGCATTTATTTTTAATTGCTCTAAAATAAAATTCACTGTCTAGAGCAAAATAGCAGTGTACTGTTTATTTTCTTTTTCTTTTTCAAGACAGAGTCGCACTCTGTCGCCCAGGCTAGAGTGCAGTGGCACAGTCTCAGCTCACTGTAACCTCTGCCTCCCGGGTTCTAAGTGATTCTCCTGCCTCAGACTCCGGAGTAGCTGGGATTACAGGCACATGCCACCACACCCAGATAATTCTGTATTTTTATTAGAGATGCGGTTTCAGCATGTTGGCCAGGCTAGTACTCTCAAATTCCTGACCTCAGGTGATTCACCCGCCTCAGCCTCCCCAAGTGCTGGAATTACAGGTGTGAGCCACCATGCCCGGCCTACTGTTTCTTCGTTAAGATATATAAAAGTAAAACGTATGACAACATTAACACTAAGGATGTGAAAGAGGAATTAGGAGTAAACTGTTACAAGCATCTTTATTAACACATGAAACTTTGTAATAATATTAAAAACTGAGTCTGATAATTTAAAGATTTATATTGTAAGTCGTAGAGAAGCCCCTAAAATGTTTAAAAAGTTGTCTTTTATTTTAAGCATTTTAAAAATGTTTGAAATATTGTCTACAATAAGACAATATTGGAGAGAAAATGAAATAATAAAAAAAATACTCCATTAACCCAACAGAGGGCATAAAAGAAGAAAAAGAAAATAAAGTACAGATGGAAAGTAACAATTTATTCTAAAACAATTACCAAATTGGTAGATATCAATACAATCATGTCAGTGATTATACTGAATGCAAATGATGTAGAAATACCAATTAAAATATAAAAATTGTCAGTTTGATTTTTTTAAAAAGCAGAACTGCTTTAAGTATAAAAATATAGACAAGTTTAAAGAAAGGAAAAAATTACCATCAAAACCCTTCACTAAAATAAAGAAAGTCATGTAAGGAGTTGAAAATGTTTAATTGGATGAACTTTATACAACTTAAAAATTACCAAAAAGTTACACATTTTTCTATTATATAATTAAGGATCAGAAGGAATGGATCTGACATAATCCAGCTGAAATCAGTGATTAAAAAAAACCAAGCCATTTTAACATTTACACTCCATCTAATATATGATCATAAACACAATAACTATATAAAAATAATGTGGATTTCTACCTTTAGTAATAGGCAAATTCTCCTGCTGAGAACAACTAAAAAAGCTGGACAAAATCAAAAACACTTCTCTGAGGGAAATGGAGAGTTAAGACAGAAGTCAATTATTTGACCATGATCCTGAAGAAGAAACTCTAAGATGATTTTGGTTTCTGGACCGCTCTTCTCCCATGGACATGTTTTGGTAGAAGCAACTGAATGATTGAAATTCAACAAAATTTTTGGAGCTCAGAGCCTACTAAAGAGGAAAAAAAGCTTAGAAAAACCCTTATGATGTAAGGTTCTATAGGTTTATCTGATTTATGATTCTATAGGTTGAGATCCTATAGAACTACACTTTAAAGAAGTGGTGAATCGAAAAAAGACTGGCCCTCTAACCTTGACTTCATTAAGGTCCTTTAGGATTGCTAATGCTTACTAGAAAAAAATACATTTTTTTCTGGAAGAAAACACCACTTTGTACTTTCATATTATGTTTATAATCTTTCAGATACTACATAGGTTTTTCACATAATAATAACAAGAAAAGAAATATAAGTAGACAGGAAGATATTATTGAATACCAAAAGTAACACAAGATGACAGAGGTAGCTCTGATAAATAATCAAAGACTTTAGGGTAACTATATTTACATTCAAGGAAATTAAAGATCAAGATAAACAACTGGATAAGATAGACAATTGGAAGTTTTTTTAGTTTTTTGTTTTTTTTTTTGAAATAGTGTCTCACTCTGTCGCCAGGCTGGAGTGCAATGGCACAATCTCAGCTCACTGCAACCTTGGCCTCCTGGGTTCAAACAATTCTTCTGCCTCAGCCTCCCAAGTAGCTGGGATTACAGGCACTCACCACCATGCCCAGCTAATTTTTGTATTTTTAGCAGAGATGGGGTTTCACTATGAAGGTCAGGCTGGTCTCGAACTCCTGACCTTGTGATCTGCCCACCTCGGCCTCCCAAAATGCTGGGATTACAGTCGTGAGCCATCACGCCCAGCTGGAAGATAATATTAAACCACAAAAGTCAAATGGAAATTTGAGTACTTATAAAACTTGAAATTAAGAACTGAGAAGACTGGACACAGCTAAAGAGATAATTAGTAAAGTAGACTATAGGTTAAAAGAAAATACTCAAAATCACTGAGAGAGAAATAGGCATAGGGGGAAAGGATATAGATAGGTAAGAAATGTATTTTTAAAAAGTCTAATTTTTATGTAAGATAAGCTCTAACAGAAGGATAAAATGGGTCAGAAGCAATACCTGAAGAGGTAATGGCTAGGAAGTTTCAAAATTGAATGAAAGTGATAAAACTTCAGATTTGAAAAACTCTACAAATCTTAAGCAGGATAAATACAAAGAAAATCCACAGCGCCTGAAAACATCATAGTAAAACTTATCAACTCCCAAAATACAGAACACCTTTAAAACAGACATCAGGTGGGTTGGAGTGGAGAACAGAAACAATATGACTAGGAATTAACCTATAAAATAAATAAATAAAACACAGAATGAAAAAAGCCAAAAGACAATAAAATGATATTTTCAAAGCACTATAAGAAAATAATTGCCAACCTAGAATTCTATTGGTTCAAAATATCCTTTCAAACATCGAGGTGGATTTCCAAGATGTTTAGAGAAATAGGAACTAAAAATTCATGACAGGCAAACCTGCACTAAATCAAATACTAAGAAGCGTTCTTTCAGAAGAAGAAATATGATACTAGGTGGAGGTCAGACATTCAGAAAAGAATGATGAGCAACAAAAAATGATAGTCATTTGGCTAAATCAAAACAGATGTTGACCAATAAAATAAGTATACTTTCTTGCAGGGTGTGAATTTAAGATGAACATGCACACATGCATACATATGTACATGTATGTCTGCAAAATTTGGGGTAAATTAAGTTAAACTAGAGTAAGGAAGGGCCATGCATTGTCTGGGAATAGGACCTCGATAAATCAAGGATAACTCCTGCGATGTGGAGGATTATCAATTACACACTGTTTCTCAAAGTGTGTATTCTGGACCAGCAGCATCAGCATGATCTAGCATCGTGGTTAATTTTATGGGTCAATTTTACTGGGTGTCCAGATATTTGATTAAACAGCACTCTGGGTATGACTGTGAGGGTATCTATTGATAAGATTAACATTTGAATAGGTAGACTGCCCTCCTTCATGGAAGAAGGCTTCATCTAGTCAGTTGAAGATATGAATAGAACAAAAAAGTTGAGCAAACTCCTTCTGCCTGAATGTTTGAGCTAGGAGTACTGGTCTCTTCTTGGCCTTTGGACTCAGACGGAAACATCGGCTCTTCTTCAGTCTTGAGCCAGCCAGCTTTTGGATAGGAACTTGTATCACTGGCTCTCTTGGTTCTCCGACCTTGGTACTTTGATTAGAACTACACATTGGTTCTCCTGGGTCTTTAGCATACTAACTGCAGATACTGGGAATTTTCAGTTTCCATAATCATGTGAGCCAAATTTTTATAATAAATCATGTGTATATGCATGTATATTCATATGAATGTAAACATCCTATTTAATCTGTTTCTCTAAATAAGCTTGACTAACACACCTAAAAACTTGTTAGAGGTGCCCTAAATTCTCATGCCCTACTGGAGTCCTACTGAATTAGGTATCCAGCAATCTGTATGTTAACAAGCCCTCTATGTTATTCTGATGCATGCTGATGTTAGAAAACTACTGCACTAAGGAAACAAACAATGTACAACTTTCAACTTAACCGTTTCTTGTTATTTCTCTCTAGACATTTTTTTGGCAATATGAATAAAACTGATTAATCACTGCCAGAGCTTATCAAGAAAAGGAAGGAAGGCAAGGAAGGCAAGGAAGGCAAGGCAGGAAGGCAGGAAGGCAGACAAGCTGGCTAGCTTAAATAAAGAATATCAAGATTAAAAAGAAGGGACATTACTACAGATTATATGAATGTTAAAAGAATAACACAATAATATTATGAAAAGCTTTATGCCAGCAAAAACCTAACAAAGCTGACACCAGAAAAAAATAGAAAATTTTGGGAGATCTGTAACTAATTAAATTGAAATTTTAATTAAGAAACTTTCCTAAAAGAAGAGATCCAGGATTAGGTGTCTTTGCTTGTGAAGTTTACTAAATATTTCAGGGGAAAAAATAAAAAAATAATCTTATAGAAGCTTTCAAGAGATAAATCTATTTCACATTACAATGAAATTGGATTTCTTACAGAAATTGAGAATTCTTTTAGCATTTAAAAATTAAATCAATATAGTATACCATGTTAACAGAAGGAGAAAAACCACATGATCATCTTAGTGTATATTTAAAAAGCATAAGATAAACTTCAACATACGTCATGATAGCAAGTTTTTGTTAATTACAAATATAAGAGATGTATAACATTTATTGAAAATTATATATAATTAATAGGTAAGAAGCATCATAGTTAATGATAAATGTTCAATGTTTTTCATCTGAGATGAAGAATTTAAAAAGAATGCCTGCTATAACCATGACTATAATAAATTGCATTAGAGGTACTGGGTGGCACTGTAAGTTCAGAAAAAGAAATTAAAAGGTGCAAGGATTTTAATGGGAGAAAAAACTCCCCCATTATTCGTGGATGACAGAATTATGTATATACATATACATTTTGAAACAATCTATAGAAAAATAATTAGGAATAATAAGTGAGTTAACATTTCAGGATATTCTGTCAACATACTGAAAGGGAAACAATTAAAAGAATTAAAATTTATAAAAGAAATCATTGACAACATGATAAGAATATAAAATTCATTTGTAGCCTTGAAAAAGTAAGATGGTCTAAAATTACCTTCCATGCTAACAGTTAAAAATATTAGACAAATACAGGGAACAACTATTTTCAGGCAATACAGGGAGTACAGGACTATGAACCCTAAGGACAGGGAAACCAATGAGGTGAGCTCCCCCATCATCCATGTTTCCTTTATGGAGGTATTTCCTATATTATGGCAAATACTGAGTCCTGCAATGTTTTTGAGTTGACACGACTGAGACTGTAGTTCAAAACGGCCAAGGTGAATAGAATTTGCAGAACAGAGTCCCTGAGAGGAGGAAGCTATGAAGAAAAAAATTTCCCAAAACCTGAGTCTTAGGCTGAATAGCAATCTACTTATGTGAAGCCTGAAAGCTCCAAGGGCTAGAATAGAATAATTTTTTGAAAAGAATAATTATGAAGGAGCTGCAACACAAACATCACTGAGAGTGCATAGTGCTGGGAATAGTCTGTATTCCCTCCAGCCAGAAAGGAGAGATCTCATTAAATACACTGAGCATTCAGGAGAAATTCTAGCAAGTCTACCCTTTCTAAGTGTGGCAAAAGCAATCCAAGAAGAGAGGCCTCTCTAAATTTGCCTTAAAAGGTCTTAAAAACATGCCTCATGGGCAAGGATAGCCTTTTCAACAAATGGTGCTGGAACAAATGAACATTCATAGGCAAAAATGTGTACCTCAACCTAAACCTCACACCTTACACAGACATCAGCTCAAAATAGATCACAGACTTAAAAGTAAAACAACTTTTAAACCACAAAACTTTATAGAAAATACAATATAAATTTTGGGAAAGTAGAGGTAGGTGAAGAGCTCTTAGACATGACACCAAAAGCTTAACTATAAAAAGGTAAATCTGACAAGCCAGATTAAAAAAAATTTAAATTTTTCTCTGCTAAAAAACCCATTAAAAGGATGAAACAGGGAGCACGTCTAAGATAAAATATTTGCAAACTAAATTTCTAAAAAAGGACTTGTATTTGAATATAACAAAAACTCTCAGAGTTCAAAAGTTAAACAGTGATCCAATTAAAAAATAGGCAAAAGACATGAACAGACAATTCATGAAGGAGACATATTGATGGAAAATAAACACAAGAAAAGATGTTCTGCATATTTATCCATTAGGAAAATGCAAATTCAGACCACAGTAAGATATCACTACATACTATCAGAATGCTTAAAAAAATGCTGGTAACAATGAGGAGAAACTGGACCACTCACACATTGCCAGTGGAAACATAAAGTGGTTAAGCCACTCTAGAAGACAGTTTTGCAGTTTCTTATAAAACTAATCATATACTTACCATAGAGCAAGTAATCTCACTCTTGGGTACTTATCCCAGAGAAACAAAAATGTATGTTCACATAAAAACAGATGTCCACTGTAACTTTATTTTTAATAGCCCCAAACTGGAAAAAAACTTAAATGTCCTTTAGTAGGTGTATGTTTAAACAAACTGTCATCCGTACCATAGAATATGACTGAGAAATAAAAAAGGAACATACTATTAATTCATGCAACAATTTGAATGGATTGCATGGCAGTATTTTTAGTGAAGGAAGATAAATGTCAAAATGCACCTCTGTAAAGTGTATGAATCCAAGAAGAAATAGGGAAAATTAGAAAAAAATATTGAATTGAATATAAAAAATACTACATTTGTACAATACAGGTAAAACTGTGCTTGGAGGAAAAGTTATGGCTTTAAATGCTCATATACCATATCATTAAACAAGAAAGTTCTAAAATCAAAGATCCAAGAGAGGGGCTGGGAAACATCTGTAAAGGATAAGACAGTAAATATTTTAAGCTTTAGGCCATATCGTCTCTGTTCCAACTATTTAACTCAGTCACAGTAATGTGACAGCAGTGATAGGCAATACATAAGCAAATGAGTGTGGCTGTATTCCAATAACTTTATGTACAAAGCTGGTGGCAGAATGATTTGGCCCATGGTCCACAGTTTATAGACACTCAATCTCAGTTTCCACTCTAAGATATGGGAAGAAAAAAGCAAGCAAACGTGATGTAAATAGAAAGGAGTAATAAGAGCAGAATTCACATAATAGAAAAAAAACACTCTAAAAATATTAATGAACACAGTATCATTTTTGGGGGGAAATCATAATATTGAAAAGCAATAGCTATTCTGATAATGAAAAAATGAGAAAAAACAAAATAACAAAATCTGAAATGAAAGAGGGAACATCATTAGGGATCATGCTTATATTTTAAAATATTAATAATAAAATTTTTAAAATTACAAAGAATTTATGGCAATAAATCCAACAACTTAGATAAGATGGGTAAATTCATTGAAGACAAAAATAACAAAACAGATACAAAAATAAATATACTATCTGGATACTCATTTATCAATTAAAAAAACTAAATCTATAATTTAAATTTTCCCAGAAAGAAAATTCCAGGCAGAAATGGCTGTACTGGTGAATTCTCAAACATTTTAGGATAAATAATACTAAAGCTACAAGTGACATTATCTCATGCATAGAAAATAATAAGGAAACTACAGAAAGTGTTAGATCGATTATGTGAGTTTAGAAAGTTCTAAACAACTTACCACGTTTACTAAAAGTAAGTGGCAAGATTATAAAATATAAAATCAATATATAAAAATCAATGTACTAATACAAAATTATCCCCTTTTTTCAGTTTTATTGAGGTAAAATTGACACAGGCAATCACTGATTTGCTATTTTTTAAGATAAATTAATTTGCATTTCCTATAATTTCATAAAAATGGAATCATACACTATGTACTCTTTTTGGTCTGGCTTCTAACTCCCAATTGGAAATTTACAGCAAAAAATCTAATATAATATCATCAAACACATGAAAATTTAGAAAAACATAAAAATTTAAAAAGACATAAAAATAAGTACAAGAGTTTTACAATGAAAACTACAATAAGTTGCTGAAAAAAATTAAAGATCCCAATGAATGACAATTTCAAAAGTTTGAATACTCAGTATTATGATGAAGAGTCTCCTCAAATTAAAAGGTTCAACAGAGTTGTAATTAAAATTTCAGCAGAATTTCTTTTTTTGTTGCTTTAGAATTGACAAGTCACTTCTAAAATTTACATGAAAATGCGAATTAACCCAGAAAAGTAAAAAAAAAATAGTTACAGGACTTACATTACATCATCTCTTTCAAAACTTAATATAAAGCTACGATACAGGAAGATAGTGCAGTAGTGACATATAGTTCATGGGACAGAATGGAGTCTAGAAATAGATCTACACATAGGTGGTCAATTGATTTTAAATCAATTCCAAGGTAATTGAATGGTACTAAAACATTAATATACATAAAGACAGAGCCAAATCCCAACCTTTACCTCACCACAGACACAAAAACTAAGTCAAAACAGATCAGAAACCTAATAAAGATAAAACTACAAAACTTTTATTTTAGAAGAAAATATAGTAGAATATCTACATGACTTTGTGGTAGGTAAAGATTTCTTATGATTTACAAATGGCACAAATCATAAAAGACGAAACTATTTGAGACAATGAACTCTGTCAAATTAGAAACTTTTGTTATTAACAATTTTAAGAAAATAAAAATATATACAACAAAATGGAACAAAAAATTCTAGACTGCATGTTTCTCACAAAGGACATATATGAAGAATATATAAAGAACTCATATCTCAAGAAAAATTTTAAAAGATAGCAAGGGATTTCAATGGCCCATAAGCATATGCAAAAAAGAATACTCACCATCATTAATCAATAGGAAAGAAAACATAAAACCAAATGAGATATGGTTACCCACCCATTATAAAGTCTTAAAAAGACTGACAATACCAAGTGCTGACAAGAATATGGAAAAAATAGAACTACACATTGCTGACAGTAATATAAAATGATACTACTACTTTGCACAACAGCTCAGCAGTTTCTCAAATGGTTAAGCATACACTTACTATCCAACCACAATTTTTCTCCTAGTGTTCAGCCATAAGAAATGAAAATTTATGTCCACACCAAGACGTGTTTTCAAATATCTATAGAATCATTATTTATAACTACAACAAAATGGGAAAACCCAGATGGCTATCAACAGGTGAAAAGAAGAGTAGATTATTAATAGCCATATAATGGGATAATACCTACCAATAAAAAGGAATAGACTACTCATAAACAAAAAGATATCGATAAATCACAGATCATTAGGATGAATGAAAGAAGACAGACACCAAAAATAGTATGTACTGTCGATTCTATCTATGTGAAAACCTTGAAAAGGCAAATCTAATTCACAATGTTAAAAAGCACTTCAGTGTTTCCCTGGAGCAGAGATAGGAGTGAATAACAAACAGGGCACACAGAACTTTCGGGGTGATGGGTATATTCTACATCTTGATTGTGGTGGTGGTTATGTGGATGCATAAACTAATCAAAACTCATTAAAATGTATGCTCAAAATGAGTGTTTTTTATTGAGTTTGAACAATATAAACAAATAGTTTCAGTGAAGTTTATCTGAAAACTTCAGGAAAATAGAAACATACAAAATATTCAATTCCTAAGAATAAATCAATTTAGAAACATCTAAGACTTCCACATAGAAAACTAAAAATCATTACTAAAAAAAATAAGAACACCTAAGGAAATGGTAGGAATATATGATAATCACAGTTTGTTAGTCACAGATTGAAAGAGACCTATATAGCCCCACTTGCAATAGATCCAAATACTCCATTACTTATGAAAACCCCAGCAAGTTGTTTTTAAAATGGATACTGACAAACTAATTCTAAATATAAATGTAAATGCAAAGCATCAAGAATACCTCAGACTTTCTTGAGGAAAAATAACAGGGTGAGAAGATCTTACTCAACTCAATATTTATTAAACCTAAGGCTAATTAAGATGGTATGACTTAAAGACAGACAAAGAGATGAGGCAGAGCTGCTTGCTGAACCATAATCAAGTGTATATGAAAAACTAATTTGTGACAAAAGTGACAGAACACAGGGAAAAGAAGTGTCTTTCAAATAAATGGTGCTGGGTCATCTTCGTATACCTATTACTCCTACCTCATTTTAGTCACAAAAAATTCTAAATGGATTACACATCTAAATATAAAAAGCAAAGAATAAAGCAGCCAGAAGGCAAGACAGGGAAAATGTAGACAAAGCATTTACAACACCAAAAGCACTTATAAACCAAAAAATTATAAAGTGAATTTAATTAAAATTTACAACTTCTGTTGATCAAAATAGACCATATTGATAATGATAAGAAAAGCCAGAAAATGGAAGAAGATATATGTATGGCATATAATCTACAAAGGGCTCATTTTCAAAAAATTAATTAGAAAAAGACAAAAAAAAGCCCACAATTTAAAAAAATGGACTAGAGACTTCAACAGGCAAATCAAAAGAAGAAAACAAAAGACCAATGTATTTAAAAAGTATTCAACCTCATTTATTATCAGGAGAATGCAAACTAAAAATACAATGGAATGCCACTATACTTCTGCCAAAATGGCTAAAATGACAGAGACTAAATACTAAGTCCTATCAAAGATATGAAGCAACAAGACCTCTCATAATCAGCTGCTGAGTTAGTAAACTAGTACAACCACTTTTGCAAACCATTTTGCATTATCTAGTAAAACTGAACATATACAAACACTACGAATCAGCAATTACACTCCAAATTATCTAACAAATATGCATATTAATGTGCAGTACACACATGTAATAGTAGTATACTCATAGTAATTATAAGTGGCCTTATCTATATAGCAGTATTATTTGTAATAACTAAGAAATGGAAAATTCCAAATGCCCATCATCAGTAAAATGAATTAATAAATTATGGTATAGACACATAAATAAATAAAAGGAGAATAAATGAATAAACTCGTTATATGCAACAATAGTAGATGAATCTCATAAAAATAATGTTGAACAAAAGAAGCCAGAGACAAAGAAATACATAGGATGTACTTACATTTACATAAAATTCAAAAAGGACAAAACTAGCTTAGTATTAAAAGTCAGGGTAAGGAATTGGAAGAAAAGCAAGAACAGTGACTGGGAAAAAAGTGCAAAGTAGGCGTTCCTGGTGTACAGTCTATTTGTTGACTTTGTTGATGATGAGTGTGTTCATTCTTTCAATAAGCTTTTATATTCTATATTTGTGTTATACTTCTATAAAAACTGTGAATACATACGTGTGTGTGTGTGTGTGTGTGTGTGTACACGTATACACAATCTTACTCCAAGAATGAGGGCCAGTCTCTTCTAGGAATGGTCTTTAATCATGACAGATAAGGTAATGTTTGCTTATTCAAGTTCCAATGATGTTATATATAACATTGTAGATTTATTTTGAAAGTTACTTAGTTTGTTTGTTTATTTGTTTATTTATTTATTTATTTGAGATGCAGTCTCACTCTGTCAACCCAGGCTGGAGTGCAGTGGTGTGATCTAGGCTCACTGCAACCTCTGCCTCCCGGGTTCAAGTGATTCTCCTGCCCTAGCCTCCCTCCCGAGTGGCTGGGATTACAGGCGTGCACCACCACACCCTGCTAAGTTTTGTATTTTTAGTAAAGACAAGGTTTCACCATGTTTTCCAGGCTGGTCTCCAACTTCTGGCCTCAAGTGATCTGCCCTCCTCGGCCTTCCAAAGTGCTGGGATTACAGGCGTGAGCCACCACACCTAGCCTGAAAGTTTATATTTTAAACTTTTTATCACCCCCCAAAGATGCCCAATTTTATCATGTTACCATTTGTACATGTTTTAACCTTTACCGGAAATAGTAACATGCACTAAATGACAGTGAATTACTATACACTATACGACAGTGAACATTTTAAAATCACTGAAGATCTCTGCTTAGATCGAAATATATCATAGATTTTTACATAATAACTAGCCAAAAATATCAGAATTGTGAAATGTAATCACAAAATAATTAACCTTCATTCTCAAGAACTCTTTCTATATTTTTGTATTTTTGTGTACTGTTTCACTACATTTAAAAAGAGTTAAAATGAATAAAAAGTAGTCATGCATACCTCATATTTTCAGCTGAATCTTCTGGCATTGGAGCAACAGTTTGTACAGCTGGAAGGTTTTTGCTAGTAGCACCATTCACAAAACTAGAAGAGGAGGAAGAGGAGGAGGACCCTGAATCCACGGCACCTGTTCCCAAAATAATAATTTTTAGCCTTAAACATAAATTTATTTAAAAAAATTTTAATTACACCATTACTATCTGATTTTGAAAGAATTACTCATCAGATTTTCAAAACCGAATTTGACAATTAATCATTTGGCCATTAGTAAGTATGCTAATGAACATAATTTTATATAACAGATGTTGCATTGAAATCTAATTGATTTACTTACATTAATCTAACAAAACTACATACTACAAATGGGGTATAAATAAAAAACATCAAGAAATGAAAAAATTTTTCGATAAAATGATGCTGATAAAACAATGCAAACTTAGGGGTGAAAAACTTATCTTTTTATAGCTACATTGTAATATTTTTGGTTTTCATCATTTAAGACATAGTTTGGAGTGAACTATCTGAGCGTAAATTTGTGGCACTGAAGCATCTAATGCTCCTTTTGATAAGATCACTGCTTAAGAAGGGCTATAATGAGTTACATTAGTACCTGGTCTTAAAATAATGAGTCTTCCCTCAATGATATAAAGATGCCATTTTAGTAAAGATTTTTCTATCATATGCCACGTAAGTATATTAAGTAGCTGTGGAGTTGAGGGACATCTAGTGTTCCTAAATATTATTATCTTATACTAATTCCCATAAAACTGAATTGCTTACTGGGATTTCCACTATAACATTTTATAGCACCTATGTGCCAATATTTGAAATGAACAGTATGCCCAGTCTTTAGCTGTTGGCTCACAATTTATACACACACACATACACACACACACACACACTTTTAAGAAGTTTATCACTTACATTTTTCTCATTATAATATTATATACTTTATATTATCATCAAAACTCTTGCTACCATCACTTTCCATATTATTAATTCTTAAAATAGAAATTAAAAAGAAAACATCATGACTTGTCTCATATAAAAATAAAAAAGGTGATTTCATTTTGCATTTGCCTAACTCCTAACAAGAATAAGGACTTTATTCATATTTTTAAAACCTTTACACTTTTAACGTATATACTTTAGTAAAAGAAAAACAGTTTTACTCCTATTTCTAGAAAGCTGAATGAGTATAAAGAATGAAACTCTAATACTGGAAAGACTTTAAAGTCTTCAGACAAGCCAGATAGAAATATCTATTTATAATACAGGTAAACAATAGATGGTCTATTCTTTGACACAATGCCATTAATGACATTCATTTGCCAATATAAATATTCTTAATAGAGTACATTCTACTTACTACAACCCCATAAATGTGTTGTTCATGATATGTCAGACTCAGGTGGTATGATAAACAAGATAGATACAGAAAGCACAAAAAAGAGCTATGAAATTAATAAAAATGGGAAGAATCTAAGTAATGATAATAAATGGAAAAGTTCAAGGCTATACAGTTTGGAGAAGAGAAGACTACTATAGTCAGGGAAGAAAAGTCAGGGATCATCTTGCGCTGTATAAATACCTAAAATGGAATCACAAAGATTTGGGTAAGGATTTATTTAGCTAATAATCAACAGGAACATTTCTGGAAATTTACAAAAAAAAAAGGTTATTTTAGGCAGACTTTTAATATTTGTAATTGATTTGAAATTTTTTGTTCCTAGATTCATTAGGAATTTGTTGGGCAATGAATTGGATCAAGTTATAATCTATGTATATGAATTAATTCAACGTCAAACAATGGTTCTTATTCACATGCACTTTTTATCAAGTTGAGGCGCTTGCATATCGTCAAGGTTCTTAGGGGAGCTCTGCCTCCCTTAGGGGATTTAGCAAAGAATATATATTAGAACTCAACCAATCATGTCCCCAAATCTACTTTCTGTCACTAACATTTTTAGTACATCTTGATATTCTTGATACATTTTACTGATTTTTACATATCAAACTTCAGTGTTCAAATTATCCTTTGCTTCTGCTCCCCAAATATCTTTCAGTAATCTGATTTCACTCTGAAAATAAACAGCACTGTTTTGAGAAGACTCAAAACCAATACTGTCCTCTAAAATGACCACTAAAAAATGCACTCTACAACTACAGACAAATTCTAAAAGTCATAACATAAAATATAACCTTCTTAAAAATTAAGATAATCTTAAATGATTAGGGTATTTTAATTTTTAAGATCAAATAAGCAGAAAAATGATACAGAAAACATAAAAAGATGAGTATCACAAAAATATGTAAGTACAATACCTGTTGTATTAATCATACTTTTTGGTGTAGCTCCAGTAGCAGCAAATATATTAGAGGTACTGCCTGTTGGCAGCCCACTTCCAGCAGTAGTGGCTCCCACAGTGGTTACAGCTAAACTACCTGGAGGTGGTTTCTTTACAGGCACCACAACACTCCTGCAAAGAAATGAAGGATTGAAAATAACAAACATGAGGTTGAAGATGAATTATAATCCTGCTGCAACAGATATACATAGTCAACATCGAATTTCTCCCTCTCTTCTTTTAATTAAAAAAAAATTTTAAACTCCTTAGTCCAGCTTTGTCAGTGGAAAGGATATGGACATTAAGGATATATTATAAAGTGTGTTGCCTAATTGATTTGGCCAACATTTTTGAAGACTTAGGAGTCTGCAAACCTTTCTTAAGATGGCAAATGGACTGTGATCATAAATCTGGGAATATTAAGAAATTTGTGCTAAAGTTAGGAGATTTTGCCTTTGCACATAGAATTTTTGGCAAAATATACATAAAAAATGTCCATCTTACCCATATCACATTCTCCATGTTTAAAATATTCATAAATATGTAAAAACATAAAACATTTGAATGCCAAATTCTTTTTTTGTTTTTTGATTTTTTGTTTGTTTGTTTTTTTGAGACAGAATTTCACTCGGTCACCCAGGCAGAGCACAGTGGTGCCATCTCGGCTCACTACAATCTCTGCCTCCTGGGTTCAAGTGATTCTCCCGTGTCAGCCTCCCAAGTAGCTGGGATTACAGCTACGTGCCACCACACTCAGGTAATTTTTGTATTTTTAGTAGAGACGGGGTTTCACTATGTTGGTCAGGCTGGTCTCAAACTCCTGACCTCAGGTGATCCATCCACTTGGCCTCCCAAAGTGCTGGGATTACAGGCGTGAGCCACCGTGCCCAGACTTTAAATGCCAAATTCTAAAGCTTCTTCATAGTAAAGCTGAAAATTAAACCAAGGAATAATAAATAAACTTCTAAGAGCACAATAAAGTTATGCTTTATTTTTCTGAACAAAATTGAGTTGCTTTTATAGTAGGAATATTATTAGAATGAAAGAGAACAGAGATGATAGAGAGACATTTGGTTAGAAGTTTATTTCACTTTTGAGCCTTGGTTTCTTTAACAGAGGAGTTCAACATTTCCCCAGGTTTCTTTAGCGTATTTTAAATGTATTTCATTTAAAAATTTCTGAATTTGACATTGTGTTAAGGTTAAATGACAAATAAATATGGATATTAGTCAGTTTTTAAAAATGTATAAAGAAACTACTTCTCTAACTTAATAAATATCTAAATTTTCTTGCAGTAAAGGTTCATTCTTCTCAAAGTTTATAGCACTGCAAACTTCATTTAGCAAATATCTTCCAAACCTTACTCAACCATCACAGAATTTATTCATCTACAAATAGATTTATGATCTATTTTAATCAAATGTAATGCTTGGAAACTGGTAACTGACAGTACTAAAATATCCAACTTGATTTACATCTTTTTAATGCATCTCTATTTCATACTTACTCAATGAAAAAAATCTACCTAAAGAAAACTACATCAATGGTCCTTTCTCAAATAAGTTTGTTGCTTAAACTTCCTTAATATCAACACTTTTTTTTCCACAAATAAGTGGTTTTGTTAATATCTTCAGTGACTTCTTTAATGTTAATAATCTATATTTGTAATAATTATTATTCTTAATTTTAGAAATACTTAAAACATTTTGTATAATACCTTAATATAATTAAGGTATTATAATCTTAAATAGTTTTACTCATGCCAAAAAATTTCTTCACTATCTCCTTCTAGGTACTTTCTTCTTTTCTCTTTAAGCATGTTGGTGTCAAATTCTTTAGACTCAACCTTTAATTCTCAACTATCTATCTAATTACCTAAAGCACACATTATGCCTTCATTCCCTATATTGGCAAGTCCTCATCTAATGCCTTCGTTTATTTCATTGAGAGGTAGTGTGACATTGCAGAAAAGAATATAAGATGTGGACTATATTTCAAAACTAAGGCTTGAAAACTGGACCACTCTCAAACTGTATGATCTTACATTTTTTTGAGTGTAAAATCGTAAGACTAATGCTACCTCCTTCGCATACAATTGGGGAGATTAAATGAGATCATATTTAAATGGACTTTGTCAATTATGAAGTGTATTATAAATGTTAATAATCATTACCACTGTCTAAAGTGAAATATATTTTTGTCTATGAGATATAAGGCATCTACTTATAATGATCTACATAAAAATCAACAGAAAAA
The DNA here is from genome assembly GCF_000001405.40 of Homo sapiens. Taxonomy (NCBI): domain Eukaryota; kingdom Metazoa; phylum Chordata; class Mammalia; order Primates; family Hominidae; genus Homo; species Homo sapiens. The sequence goes on along the minus strand of NC_000013.11, from coordinate 35,206,575 downwards.
AGGAACTTGCCAATATTTGGAGTTTGTTATCAAAATTCTCCTCTAAACTTATAAAATAATGTGAGATGTACTATTTCATTGACTCTCCAGCAAGAAAACAAAACCATCAACTGTCGATTTGAAGATAAGTCATTAGTGAAAGTATAATGCTCTTTTTTCTGCATCTCTCATGATTTTTTTAGAACAGCAGACACAAAGATGTTTATTTATGGATAAAGAATCATGAGCTAATTAACAGTGCTATGAGATGAATTTGCAGAAGGTAGAAAAACTATTACTATAAATTTCTGATCTGTTGATCATTACTAACTTTGAGCAAAAGCTCTCTGTAACAGACTGGTATCTTGTCTAATGTGGAAGCTATGAGAAATAAGTTATATTAGGAAAAATAAGTTATGAGACCGAGAGAAAAAAAATCTCTAAATCCCATAATTATGACTTATAAGTAAAATATAGACAGGTTAAATGCCTACTAAAAATCTCAAAGCACTGAATTAATAGCAATTGATGTGAAAGCCTCCAGATATTTCATTGCTTGCAAACTCAGCAGAGTTTGACAGTATGGCACAGAATTCTAACCCTACAGACCCGGGTTAGAATTCTACCTTCAGCAGTTACTACGTGGTATTGGGCACATAGATCTCTCTAAGCTTCATTCTCCTCCCCATTAAAATGAGATGCATAATGGTAATATCATCATAAACTTAAGATTGCTATAAAGATTGTTATAAAAGGGTGCAATAAGATTGTTATAAAGATAAAAGGAGGTAACACATATAAAGTACTTAGCACAGTCCATGGAATATTCTAAGCAGCCAATACATTTTAGCTATTACGAGTATTGCTATGGCTCCCAAAAGTGCTGATATAGTCTGGGTCTATATCAGCAAAAATACCCAGACTGAAAGAAGCAATAATCCTCATATACTCTGCTATTGTCATATCTCATACGTGTAGTTTTAGGCACTATATTTCAAGGATAATGACAAACAGAATCATGTCCCTAAGAGAACAGTTAGGATGACAGTTGATCTGGAAAACAAGTCATATGAGGAAAGGCTGAAAGGACAGAAAATTACAGTAAAAGGGTGAGAAAAAGTTACAGCATTTTTAAAAAATCTGAAAGTCTGATAAGAAAACAAAATGAAACTTCCATGTACTTCAGAATACCAAATTAGGACCAACAAGAAGAAAAAAATCTCTGATAATTTTTATGAATTCCAGTTTCTAATCACTTATGTGTTCAAATGGCTGAGATGACCAAGTTACAAGGGTTTAGTTGAGAGAAGCAGGAACCTGTATTTGACCGATTTCTCCGATCTTTTTCTGCACCTACATTATGAGTTTGTAAGAACTATTTCCCCTTTGATTCAGATGGCCAAACTGTTTATCTAGGACTAAAGGACTGCACGTTCTTGTCCTTAATATTGTTTCTTCACCAACATTACCCCTTCCCTTTTATCTCAAACCATTCTCTTTCTTAGCAATCAATCTTACAATTAATTTGAAAGTCCACACTAACCAGTATGTGTTGATAACAAATTAATTATCTTTTAAAATGTTACTTGGTATTAGCAACTATTCATATATGAGAGTAAAAATTTTCAACTCTTATAAAATCTTCTATCAGATTGTTACACAACGTTTCACACTGGCTATCTATTCCATCTACACCAAAAAAATCTTACCTAGAAGTCTAGGTACCTACTGTGGGTAACCTATTTAGGGTAGATAAATACACTAAAATATATACAAATTTTGGTGGTAAAAACATTTTTTTAGAGTGAACATATAGTTTTTAATGAATTTCAAAAACATACATAGCCACAAAAAGGTTAAGAGCCATTGAACTAAACTATTCAGGTATTATGCTCTTCTTTTAGATCTGCTATTCATCCTGACGGATACCTTGAATCCTCTACTCCAGTGGTCCCCAAAGCTTTTGGCACCAGTGACTGATATGGTTTGGCTGTGTCCCCACCCAAATCTCAACTTTAATTGTATCTCCCAGACTTCCCACATGTTGTGGGAGGGACCTAGGGGCAGGCAGGTAATTGAATCACGAGGGCCGGTCTTTCCTGTGTTATTCTCGTGATAGTGAATAAGTCTCATGAGATCTGATGGGTTTATCAGGGGTTTCCACTTCTGCTGCTTCTTCATTTTCTCTTGCTACCACCATATAAGAAGCGCCTTTCACTCCTGCCATGATTCTGAGGCCTCCCCAGCCATGTGGAACTGTAAGTCCAATTAAACCTTTTATTCCTTCCCAGGCTTCGGTATGTCTTTATCAGCAGTGTGAAAACAAACTAATACAGTCACAGATCATCAGGCATTAGATTATCATAAGGAGTACTTAACCTTGATCCCTCACATGCACAGTTCACAGTAGGGTTTGTACTCCTAGAAGAATCCAATGCCACCACTGATCTGACAGGAAACAGAGCTCAGGCAGTAATGCGAGCAATGAGGAGCAGCTGTAAATGCAGATGAAGCTTTGTTTACTTGCCCACTGCTTACCTCCTGCTGTCTGGTTCCTGACAGGCCACAGACCGGTACCAGTCCATGGCCCAGGGGTGGGGACCCCTGCTCTATTCTACATATTCCTTACCAATGGAATTTTTTAAAAAATCTCAATACTATGCTTTCCACACAATTTCAAACTTCTATCACACATCTTTAAGACTCTTAACTACAAGAAAGTGGATAATTCTTTTATACTACATAGAATCTATACACACTCCAAGGTTGTAAAAGTTATCATCAAAGTGGTATAAGCCAGGACATATTTCAATCTAATTCACTTGATAAAATATTTCATTAATTGATTATATGATTTTAATAAATTGACTAATAAGTAATACATGTAAGTGTGAATTCTTCCATCATTGAATTTATCCTATCTCAAAGCTAGAGGTGATACATTCACTCATTCATTCAACAAATATTTATTGAGCATTGCAATGTGTGTGGAACTGACGTAAGTTCTGGAGATATAGCAATATATAGAATAAAATCCCTGCTCTCATGGAACTGACATTTCAATACAGAGATATAGCAAATACAGTAACATAAATGAGTAAATATAGTATATCAGATGTTAAGTGCTGTAAGAAAAATAAAGCATAGATAAGAAGAAGGAATAATGTTGAAAGGGCGGCTCAGAGAAGATTGACAAAAAATGGTAGTATTTGAGAGAACACTGAAGGGGGTGAAAGAATAAGCCAGGAGGCTATCTAGAGAAGAGCATCACAGGCAGAGGTAACAGTACAAAGGCTAGTGTGACAAGAGAATACTGGGTGACATGGAGAGCTGTAAGAGATGAGATAAGTAAGAGGGCTGAGTTCACAGGGCCTTGTAGTCCATTGTATAGATGCTGGCTTTTATTCAGAGAGGGATGAGAAACCATGAAGGCTTATGCACAGAAGGATATAACCTTATGTTATAATAGGACTACTCTGGCTGCTATGTCACAGATAGTCTTAGGAGGGACAATGGTTACTGTGGAGAATGGCTAGGAGACTACAATACTACAAACAAGAAATGATGGTGGTTTGGAGTGGAATAGCAAAGTAAAACCTGGTGAGAAGTGATTCAAATTTTGGCAATATTAAGAAGGCAGAGCAAATAAGATTTAAATAAGAACTGGAGGTGAACATGAGAGTAAAGTCAAGGATTATGCAAAAAAATTTGCCTTAAGTAACAGAAAGGACAAGTTGCCATTAACTAAGATAGGGAAGAATATGGTTGGAGCAGCTTTCTTATACTAATTTTTTATACCTCTTTTTAATCATCCAAATAGCAATGTTGAATAAGCAATTGGATAGATAAGTCTCTAGTTTAGAAAAGAGGTTCAAACTAAGATATAAATATAAGAGTCATCAGCATACAGATGCTATTTAATGCCAGGAGAGTGGATGAGATGGCCAAAGAAGTGAATGCAAAGGGACAGGAAAAGTGGTATAAGGATAGGGTATTGGCAGTCTCCATTAAACAGTTCGGTAAATTTTGTAAAAACAGGGATACTATCTTATCTGTGTACATCATGGTTTATCCTAGGTACAAACGGAGATACTGAAGATAAGAAAGAGCTTTTAAACAGTGACTCATTAAGGCAAGTGAGTTTTATAATTATTCATGGCACACTATAAGAATCCCGTTCTTTCTGTTCCCTTCTACTGTTTGAGCACTAACAGGGGATTACACTAAGTTTGGGAGACACAAGACAAATAATACATGCCCCATGCCCTGGGGCATATTCCTTAGATACTTTAAGGAATATGACACACAAACTGACCATGCAATATATTTCAATAATTGACCTGGTCAGAGTTATGCCCAGGACCTTTCAGGAACACAGGCTGTGCACAATCAAGGAAGAGTGGGCTGAAATGAAAAGGATCAATAGAAATTAACCAAGTAGGGAAAAGTGCATACAAAAATTTAATAGTAAAAACCTAGCAAGGCAAAGAGACATGAAAAAACAAGGTAGGTTAAAGGAATTGCTTTAGATACTTCTGGCTGGTGAAAGGTGTGGACTTTCTATTCCAAACTAAAATAATCCTCCTTTATTATATAAATAACAAGAATTATTTCAGAATTTTCATCAGCTTCACACTTTAGAAAAATGTCTATGGCATAAATGTAAAAGATAAATTTGGGGTGAGAGAGGAAACATGGAAATAGTGAGGGCAGTTAGGAGGTAACAGAAAGAATCCACCTTAGAGACGCTGAGGGGCTAATGTAGTTTGAGAATGGAGATGCACCTTTTCTGGGATTCAAATCTTTTAGCCAAGCTCGAAAATATCTATCTGTTGCTTTGGGGGACTAATAATAAGCCCATTTCATTTAAATAGGATTTTGGAAATTTATGAGACTTTTTAGAAATCATGTAGCTTTATATCATATTATATGGGTTGGGAAACTGAGTTCCAGAGAGCCAAAAAGAATGGATCAAGGTCCTGGAACAAATTGAAGAGAGACCAACTATTAATATCCAGTTCCCCTAATTTCCAGATTATCACTCTCTAACTAGGATGTGGATGTTAAATATGTATCTTGAAAGAAAACGTTGAAACTTAAAAGAGAAAAATAATTTGTTACTGATTCTAGGATAACATGACAATTTACTTCAGTTCATCAGAAATCGCAAGGTGAATGCTCTCATGATGTTATCTATCATGCTTCCTTATTTTGTAAAATATTTGAGAATTGCAATATAAAAAAATATGTTTAAGAAACAATAAAGAATCTCATTAAATCACCTATTAATGAGAGATACTTTATTCAGCTCACTGAACTTTATTCAGCTCTCTATAAATGCCAGGAGACACAAAGTCAACAACATTGGGGAAATGAGGACACAAACATGCTCAGTCAAAACTGAATCTTCCAGCAATTGACCTTAAAATATATACTCAGGGCACTTGCAGCATAATAAAAGCAGAAATTACAGTGGCTAGATGTAGAAAATTTCAATTGTAAAGGCTGGAAGATGAATAATCAATTTGGCTTACGTTTATTTGTTCATCTTTTAAGTGATAGGGTCAAAATACTTTTTTAAAAAAATAGTAATAAGAACAAATTGAAGTCTTCAGAAGTAATTATAATTTTTCATAGTTACTTAATTCTAACTTTAAATAAATCAACATAAGACCTCATTAACTCTACTCAATATTTTTAAAAATATTTACCCTGAAATTTCATCCTTACCACTAATATCAATATTAGAATACTAATGAAACTAAAGAGAAAATACCTAGCTCAAGCTTATACTTCATGGTTAATAATATGAAGTCTATCTAAGTTGCTTTTTTGGCCCTATATTATTTACAAAATAGATTTTTCTTTTTCAGATAATTAAACACTGGGAAGCAAGGATATTAAAATTTTGAGGAAAAAATACCTACTAGTTTCCCTGAATATATCAAACCCAGTAATTTGAATACAGGAGGTTTGCAAAATCTGAAAAAGTGAAGTGTAAGTTTGAGGTCTGTTAGCCAAAGAAGCAACACAACTATAAGCTTTGTGTGATATCACACACTTAAAACAATTTTTAAAAACATACTAACAGTTAAAAATGTATGAGAAGCACATTGCCCTCTATTTTTTTTTTTTTTTGTCTTTTGTTCAAACTAAGTGGGAATCTCTGGAAATCCTAGGAAGTTAAAACTAAACCAAAACATAGATATATATATATACCAAACACTCAAAAGATAAAAAGCATGCAGATATATAAGATTAAATTTTTAGTTTAAAAGGTAAGTAAAAGGTTAATTGGTGGCTTTAGATAAAAGCATTACTCCAAAGTAAAAGTTACACAGTACATGAAAAATAATAGCTCAATTAAAACATTTTATAAACCATCGATAAATATAGCAATCTATCTAAAGAGATAGTATTGTTAGAGAACTTGGCAACTTGATTTAAGAATTCTAAAATGAGATTATTAAGCTTTTCTGTTAAAAATAAAACCATCATAAATATTTCTCTCTGCCTCACAGTAACAGAACTTTGAAAAAATTGTTATAGTTTTATGATTGTATTTCCTCTTTACATACAGTGTTTGCTCATTATAGAACAGTACTAGAGGATCTCTAGCATTTTAATACTTCATGAGTACACATCTGTTCGGATCACTGAGTATAATCAAAGATATATACTTAATCTGCACAGATGACTGAAGGAAATAGAAAAAGAATCAGTACTTTCCTTATATGTACAGAACATTTATGTAATATTTCATAATCTGATGAAATATGTAATAGTAAAGAAAAAAGGTTTATTTTAATTAAGTCTAAATGTTTCTAAGAATTTGATGTTGCAATTTTTTATTATAAACTTCAAAACACTGAAATTCACCAATGCTCCATCCTAAGGGGTGAGATACACTCGACGTAGAACACAAGTTAACATAACTCAAATTATCCCAGTTGTTCTAGGAAATTATTTCCAAATTTAAAATCCAGGATAAGTATAAGGAAATCATTGTTAGCATGTCTGCAATATAATCAATAAACAACTGGTTAACAAAAGTAAAATCCTACATGAATTCTATTGAGACTGTACAATATTATTAGGAGTGTGATTTAGTTACAAAGAAGCGACCAACTGAGTTTATATCTACTTTTCAACTAAAGATTAAAATGAAAAACACGTTATTGGTAAAGTAAGACCCATGATAGATTCTGTGTTTGAAACCGGTAGCATTCAGGACTTTCATTCTAAAGCCTGTCATCCTGGATCTCATTTTCAACGAATTCAATCTGATGTTAAAAGACATGTCATAACTTGGATTTCAGACATTAGTGCTTCAGAAACATGTTTATATACCTCATAATGTAATTATAGCTACCTTAAGACAGATAAGGCAAATGGTAGCAATACCCTGGAAGTATAATTGAAAAATGCACTGGTCCAGAAGCACTTGTGGGGATGATGTCTCTGAAAAGCTGCTCAAAGCTTCAGAGTTTGAAGTTAAATTTTTGATGTTGTCACTCTCAATCTATTGAATGGCTGACAGACAATCAAACCCGTCTGGCTGGCTGGCAGCTCATTTTGCTGGCAGGTGGCAAACAATTAGACACACCAATTTGTGCCTCCTGATGACATTAAAGCATGAAACTAAGTTGTATGCAGGGCCTAGTGATTTGTGTGAAAGCATTTCAAAAATAATACTCTTTGCCGTGGCAACTCATTTCAAACTGCCACCTCCCATTATGGCTTTGAGTAGTGAAGACGACAGACTTGAGTTACGTGCAGTGCAAGGCCGCTTCTGTTCAATCCGTCATCAGCGCCCCCGAGACCTCAATCCCCTCCTTTCATCAATATCACCTCATCATTTACATTTGATAGTACTTGAGCTATTGCATATATTAACTACACTAGAGACTCTTTTCCTAAAAAGAACTGAAATATGCTTTGTGCTCTTCCATTTCATTTGTACTTATGCAATTTAGAATAATGATTCCACTCCTACTGCATTTTGTACAAATGCTATAGGAACATAAAAAGCTGTATTTTTCTTAAAGCAATATTCTCAAAAGTATAATAAATTTTGAGTAGCTAAGAATATTAGCACTCAGGTGACTGCTTTTTAAAGTTTTAATTAAAAAACTCATTCTAACAATAATCCAAATTAAAACAAAAAATTTTACTTAATGTTTATTTCATTGGATTTTCATATGTAAATCACAATAATCATCTGTATTTATTGGTTTGTATTTTACCAACATTTAAAGATATAATTTAAAATTAACTAGAATACAAAACTTAAATTACTATATATTACCTTATAGGCTTATAGAAATACACAAGTACATATACTTACATGCATATGTTTATACAAACTTATAAACACACATATAGGCATATCGTGAAAACATAAACCAAATATGTGAAAAAGGTGAAATAAATGTGAAACATCATAAGGAACACCCAGGGAACATCACTATATGAATGAACATCCAAACACAATATTAATACCAAAATACCAAAAAAAGAAAAATATTTCTTACATTTTATAGTCCTACCATTTTTTACTTTTTAAAACTTCTGACACCACACATTTTATCTATTATAGCAATTATTTGCAAACATCTTCTTACTACTCTCTAAATTCATAGAAGATAAAACTAATTTTATTCATCTTTATATTCTGCATGATAACCAGTGCCACTTAACATTTTCCACAACAGATTTTCAAGACGTATTTGTAAAACACTGGCAAAAGTGTTTACAGGCAAAGTTTAAATTATATTGTGTATTAAAAGGGTAATTCGGCCAGGTGCGGTGGCGCACGCCTGTAATCCTAGCACTTTGGGAGGCAAAGGCGGGTGGATCATGAGGTCAGAGTTCAAGACCAGCCTGGCCAAGATGTTGAAACCCCGTCTCTACTAAAAATACAAAAATTAGCCAGGCGTGGTGGCAGGTGCTACTCAGGAGGCTGAGGAGAGAATTGCTTGAACCCAGGAGGTGGAGGTTGCAGTGAGCCAAGATCGCACCACTGCACTCTAGCCTGGGTGACAGAGTGAGACTCCATCTCAAAAACAAAAAAAAAAGGGTATTCATCCAAACTGAAATGACTATACCGCCACATCCTCTACCCCTAAACTAAAATGTTACTTAGAACAAGAGCAGTCTGGCTACTTTAGAGAAAGCAATATGGAATAGATATTATTTTTTGACTATATACTTTGACATTTCCATTTAGAAACATTTTATTTCCTAATTTGATCTTGTCTTTCTAAAACAAAAAAAACACTTGCTTGTCAATCACCTCATACATATACATAAATTTTTGGTATGAAAAGATGTTTTAAAACATCAATAACAATGATTTACTTTAAAAGGTAAGCCATCACATTTTTCAGTTAATACATTAACACGCAAACATTATTTGGAATAGGCATTAACCCCAGTGATCAATGTTAAGTACTACTGTTAGTAATTAGTGACTAAAATATTCTTCTAATCTTGCACATGTTTTTAAATAGTGGAAGATATTAGATGACTAGGGTATTAGGTTCTAAAATATCTTATTCTGCTTCTGTGAACTATCATTTTTATTGAATGTATACTGGAATAAAAAGTTAATTGTTCCTTAAAAAAATTCCTTGCATGATTTAACATTTGAATGTAGATATATGACATATGGGCCATGTTATAAATAGTTTCGATACCTAAAATGCCAAAATACCTTTCAAAAATATTTACTTTTAAATACATGCTTCAAAATACAGCTTTTACATTGGTATTGGAAATCTCATAAAGAAGATGACCACAAACAATTTTAAAATTTTTCCATATACTTCCATTTAAGGTTCAAATTTAAATATTATCACTTAAAGCATGTCATATAATCTCCAACAATTATTATAGTATTTTATAATATTATAATGGAATTTCAGAGCCAGGATAAACCTTGGACAGATGTGACCCATCCCCTTCCCCATTATGTACATGAAACGACTAAGTCCAAAGAGAAAAATAACACCCCGATGTACTGTAGTCCTTTGATAATGGAATATAACCATAATCCATGTTTCCCTACTTCCAATTCAATGTGCTATCCATCATATCACATTGAAACCTCTTCTTTAAGATGTATTATTAAGATGTCTTATTATAAGATTAGGTTGAGCCATCATTTTGATTGTCTTTGTAATAAGAATCTACGTTAATAAAGTTTTCAAGATCTTCCTTATATTTTAAAATTAACAAAGTCTAATTTTCCTTTTATGTATAAAGCCCTGTGAATAATAAGTTCAGTACCTACCTGTCAAAGGAATGAAACTGCATAGGAAGAATAGCTTGTGTTTCTCTCTTCAATGCTGGATCTGGGTATGGGATAGGTTCAGGGCCACATTCTGCTATTTCAACTGGAGCAGCCACAAGACTTTTCAGTATTTCCTTCACATTGATGCCTTTGGTTTGACTAATGCTAGATATGGATGTTGCAGGCTTCAACGTTTCACTAGGATTTTCAGTTAAGCTCTCTTGTGATTTCTTCACTTCGGATGACAAAGTGGATAAGAGTTCACTCATGGCATCAGGGCCTGTACTTGTTTCTAATTCTGCCCCATTCAGGATGCTAGCCACTTGCTCCTCTCCAATTCCTGAATCTGTATGGGGAATTGAACTTTCTACCTGAATATCTTCACCAGGAGTTGGTGTTTCTTTTTCTTTTATGGTGTCTGGAAATGCAGCAGGTGTTTCTGTAATGAAAGAAACTAGGTTAGAAAAAAGCTTTGAAAGTAAAAATCTTGTATTATTAATCAAATGTTTTCATATATTCAAATAAAGAAAACAAAACCTGTAGAAACAAAAAATTGCTAAACGGATGTGCATAGTAGTAACACAACTCAGTTGAAAGATATCATCCAGCCAGACATGATGGCTCATGCCTGTAACCCCAGCACTTTGGGAGGCTGAGGCAGATGGATCACCTGAGGTCAGGAGTTCGAGACCAGCCTGGCCAACATGGCGAAACCCCGTCTCTACTAAAAACACAAAAATAAGCTAGGCACGGTGGGATACGTCTAATCCCAGCTACTCGGGAGGCTGAGGCAGGAGAATTGCTTGAACCTGGAAGGTGGATGTTGCAGTGAACTGAAATCATGCCACTGCACTCCTGCCTGGGCAACAAGAGCAAAACTCCATCTCAAAAAAACAAAAAAAAAAACAAAAAGATATCATCCAATACACCTACTATTTTGTTCAGGGAGCATCAAAATAATCCTCTTGCTTCTTAAATCATCTGGCATTTCAAAACTGATGCCTTCAAAAGCATCAGGAAATAGTTCCTATAACAATTTCCTAAAGCAGCTTATAAATAATAATTATATGATGTTCCCCTCTTATCCTTTGATTGTTAGCTGCCAATCATAGAAGAGAAATTCTTATATTTCTCTATTAGTTTCCTTAAAAATATAAAGTCATTTTTATACTTTCTTTGGTACTTCAATAACTAATAATATCTGAAATATTCAAGATAATCGAAGATCATTTTAAAATTACAATACGTAAAATTCTGACACACTTGCAAAATGCAAAGCAAGTCAAATGATTAGTTCAAAAGAATAAATACATTAATAATATAATAATGTTCCTCAAGGACAAGGCCTATATTTTGGAATACTCATGCTCATTCTTTGTAAATAAATATAAATTTCAATTTGTGAAAATTAAATCAGAAACATATATGTGCATATAACTACACAGATAATGAAATACACATATAATATTAACAACTAAAAGTAATGAAATAAAAAAATCTTTAAAATGTTAAATTTCTATCAAATTTCATCATACAAAGGTTAATGTAATAAAGTTCTCCATATAATAAAATGTTACCAAATTCTAAACGATAACCTTGAAAAGTGTATCTCATCTAAGTATAATGGAGATAACAGTCCTTAACTTAATCGTTTTGAATAAAGTAAGATACCATTAAGCTACTATATGTAAATTCACTGCAGTTCTCACTTTAAAGTAGAAGCTCAGTAAATGTTAGCTATTTGTATTGCTTAAACTTGCATTTAAGTTTGAAAGTTTCATAATCTTTGAAAATGAGAAGCACAGACTAAATTATTTCAAAGATCTCCTAAAAATTGAAAATCAGTAAATTCTATATAACTTCTCTTAGATTTTGTTATTATTTGCTTGTTTCTTTGAATTCAAAGGTTGTTAGGACAAGAAACCAGGAAACTGCCCAACAGGAAAATAGGCTACCTTGATGTCAGCAAGACATCTCACAAAATCTTTTGTGAAATCTCTAGTAGAAGTGTTGTTCTGATGATAGAATTGTTGGGTGTGATCACAGCTTCTGAAAGTTTTGTACACACATACTAAAAAATTAAAAACAATATGAAGGGATTTTGTCAGTAACAGACTCAATTCTTGGGTGTTGTCTATTAGACAGTTTTTTTAATTGCTTGAATTTAAACTAATGGCATACCATTCAGATTTCCTGAGGGTGTGAATTTATAATACTTTTTCTAGGATAAGCATCAGAAAAATGTTGCCAGGTTTTGAAATAAAATCTCCCATTTTTTTCTCCCCCTTTTCTTTTGAGTCAAATTATATCAAATCTATACATTAAATTAGGAATAAATAACATCCTCATATTATTCAATATTCCTAATATCAAATACTAATTTAAACTGACTTAAAATATGCATTTATCACAATGCAATGTTATATCATAGTTTTCCTCATATTTGTTGAATAGATTTAAATTTTGTTTGTTTATTTGTTAGTTTGGTCAAAGATGATAGACTGAAAGAATAGATTAATCTGTGGAATATGATAATAATATTCAAACATTCATATTGGATGACCAATGTGAAAATCAGGGTAGATTCTTTACTGCTTCCAAGATTAAAAATTAAAATAACTGCATTTGACAAGACAATGTCAATAATAGTAGGCAAAGGACTAGAGAAGGAAACAGGTAAGAAGTAAAGACAATAGTTTGGCATTTTTAATAAAATCTTGTCAGAGAAGACTAAGACTTAAATTAGAATAGTAACCCTATAAATGAGAAGGAGGAGAAGACTAAGGGTATTTCTGAAATATCTAGGTTAAGAAAAAGAGTGGTAATACGTCACTAACTGAGAAAGGAAGAAAATGAGATTTCTTCAGGAAAATAATTAACTAAATTTTGAATCACTTTTAGTCTACAGAATCTCTAAGATATTTATATCTGTAGGTCAAAAGAAGAATAGCCGTACATTTTGGGATCATTCAAACTGAGGCAATAGCCAAAATTTTGGAAGTTGATAAAATAACCTACAAATCTAGAATGAGAAGATAAGATGACTGAGGCAGTTATTTTCACTATTAGAGATACCACTGAATATATTTTAACATACATTTGTATCTATGGATTGTACATTTTTTGAGAGAAAACAATTGCAGCAAAGTATCAGGAGAGAATTAAATAGTTTAAATAGTTATAGCGACAAGAGGACAGAAAATGTAAATGCAGAAACAAAAACTTTAACAACAACAAAAACAAAACAGTGTCATGGTTACTAGCATGGGCTAATTTTTATAGAGTTTAATTATCAGAAGTCATACAATCATATCTAACACTTAGTGTGAATTTAGCTAATTTACAGATATGGTCTAGTGTTTTGACTTTCCATTAATATAATGTCTAAGTATCGTTATATATGACATGTTACATTAACAGCTATACAAAAAGTTTAAACTTCTCAAGCTATATTAGACTGGAATATAAGCATTTCACTAGCAAACAAAATACCTAAGGAAATAAAATCTGATTTGGTGTTCACAAGCTACCACATCAAAAGACTTTTGCCACCAACTACATAATATTTTGCTTTTCTGCTCAACTATTTGACTTACAATGGATATTAAAATGTTTAACTTTCTAACTAGATAGTTGAAACTTCAATATAAATGTTGATCTCTAGATTACAAAACACAATTAGAAGTTTCTAGAAATCAAATATTAGAATATTTTCAAATAGCTCATCAAAATATTTACATAGTACTAAAAACATCTCAATTTTATTTTTATTGAGGCTGATAAAAGAATGATTTCAAAAAGGAAGTAGTAATTTTGATATTTCAATGACTTTTATTCAAATAAATATGTTTTGTAAAGCATACACGCTGTGATATTACATAGAAATAAAACTAAATGCCAATAGGATATTTTATAATAGCAATAAAAAAACAGATCAGTAGTCAAAAAACCTACATATTTCTCAGTATGCATTTACATCTTTAACAGAACATGCTCTCAGTTGATACCATAAACTTCAACTTAGATAACTCGTGTTTCCAGAATACCTCTTTGTGACACTAAAGTACTTTGAGGATTTAATCCATGATTCAAATAGGAAGTTAGGCATGAACTGCAGAAAAACTATAAATGATTGCATCTGTGTAGGTTATATTAATCACAGGCATGTAAGTTTTCAATAGCTCTTATCAGTTTCTGTAGCAACAGGCAATGTCAGTACACAGAGCAGAAACATTACTAGCCAGAGTGATCTTAACCTTGTCAGAAACAGGCATTTGGATGCCAGATGTCTCTTTTTCTTACTGTTTTTCATTGACTATAATGAGTTCATCTAATACATTTTGAGAAAAATATGAGGACAACTTCAGCAAATGACATGATATTTACACGGTGACTTCACATATCACATTCCTTCCTCCAAAAATCCTGTTTTACCATGATTTATGAAGAATTTCAATATGTCTTACATATTAAATTACTGAAATTGCCATTTTCCAAACTCTCTAAATAAGGAATATCATGAAAGAAACATACAGCACCTTGTTAGTATAGCACTAAAAATTATATTAAGCTTTGGCACTTCAAATAATAATATAAGCAAACTAAATCACTGTAATTTAAAATGAAACATAAAAAAGCTATATGTAACTAACTTACACATTTTGTTTATATTAAATCCATAAATGCAAAATTAATTAAATATCTTAACTCCAAAGAGGAAAAAAAATACACAAAAAGATTTTAAATCCTCATTAAAGTTCATTTTAAACAAAAATACTGCAATGAATTATTTGCGATTATTTATATATGATTTATTTTGTTTGCTTGCTACACTAAGTGTATGAAAAGAATACAACTTCAGGAATTAAATATTATTACTAACTTATACGCCCATAAGAGACAAAATGAAAATTAAGAGCCAAGAAAATCTTCTAATTGATGTTTTGACTACGCTGTGTCAACATGTGGGTCTCTCTTGAGTTTATCCTACTTGGAGTGCATTGAGCTTTTTAGACATATATATTAATGATTTTCATCAACTGTAGGGAGTTTTCAGGCCAATATTTCTTCAAATTTTCTTTCTGCTCCTTTCTTTTTCTCTTCTTTCCTCTGGGACTCCCAGTATACATATGTTGGTTCAACTTAATAGTGTCACAAAGGTCTGTGAGGCTCTGTTCACTTTTCTTCATTCTTTCTTTGTTCTGTTCCCCAGCGTAGGATAAACACAATTGAACTATCTTCATGTTGCTGATTCTTTTCCTGCCAGCTCAGATCTTCTGCTGAACCCCTCTAAGTGAATTTTTCATTTCAGTTATTACAATTTTCAACTCCAGAATTTCTATTTGGTTCTTTATTACATATATCTTTATTGGTATCCTCCTTTTGGTGAGATATCGCTCTTATACCTTTAGTTCTTTAGAAAATGCTTCCTGTAATTACTTGAGCATATGTAAAATAGCTGGTTTAAAGTGTCCGTCTAGTAAGTTCTGTATCTGGGCTTCCTCAGGGGCATTTTATATCAACTGCTTTGTTCCCCCTGTGTATTGACCATACTTTCCTATTTCTTTGCTTGTCTCATAATTCTTTTTGTTGTAAACTGGATATTTTAAATAACATAATGTGGCAATCATGAAAATCTGACCCCACCTACAGTTTGTTCTTGTTCTGTTTATTCATTTTCCTGAACTAATTCTGTAAAATCTGTTTTCCATCATCTGCAGCCACTTAAGTCTCTGCTCAGTTAACCTAGTGGTCAGCTAATGATTGCACAGACATTGTCTTAAATGTCTTGAACCAATAAATGTTCCACCCTTTGCCACAGGCTCTGTGTGTGTGTGTTTGGGTATGCTTGCAATGTTCTCATGGTTTAAAACTCTCTCTTAGCCTGCGCTTCCTTCTTGTGCTGGGCCTCAAGGTCAGCCAAAGGTGAGAGACTGAGGCCTTCTCAGGTCTTCCCTGGGCCTGAGGACAGCCCTGGGAATATGGATATCTCATTCTCACATCTGTTTAAGCTTTTAGGCAAGGTTCTTGTTTGCCCCAACTGGCACTGTCACTTCGAGCAGTTGCAACATTAAAGAAAAAAGCTGATTATTTTCAACAAATACCTTGGAGACAGGCTTTTCTCACTAAACAAGCTCTAGATTAGGTCAAATAATAATAAGCCCTGTGAATGGAGTTTTCCAGGAAGATTCCATACAGTTCAAATAGTTATAATGCTCTAAGGTCGAGACTTTCTAAGAAATTCTAAACCTAACCTACTCCCACTCCTATCCTCAGTGGCTGCTAGACTACTGGTTTTCAAAACTACCACTGGTGTCTGGCCTCTGGTTTTCAAAGCTACCACAGAGCTGAGGAAAGGTAGATGGCAACAGGGTGAGTTAAATCACTCTAAATCTTGCTGTTCTTATAAAGGTCTAGAGTTTTTCTTGAATTAACAGCCTCTGGGTTGTTGTAAACCTCTGATTGCTTTCCAAAGAACTGAAAAAGTTGATTTTGACAGTTTTTGCCAGTGTTCTTATTTTAAATAACATAAAAAAAGTAGTATTTTGAAAATACTACTTTTAGAAAAGCAGTATTTTGGAGGTTCTTACTTTGCTCTTCCCGAAGTTCCACTTACAAGTAATGTTTAGAACTCAAATTTTAATGTAGTTATAATTTTTATATTTTAAATAAATTATCGACTAGAGCTTACAATATATTCATATATATGTATTTTGCTTTTCTCTTGCCCTAGCTTGTTTTTACTCTTTTTCCTTTTCTTCTCATAAATCCTATTAAAATGTATCATGCACTTTTATAATGGAATAGAGGCAACCAATAATACTAATAATAAAATGCCAACATATATAATTATATATCTGATAAAGGTTTAATATCCAAAATATATAAGGAACTCAGCTCAACAGCAACAAAACAAATAACCCAATTAAAGCATAGGCAAATAACTTGAATAGACATTTCTCAAAAGAAGACAAACAGCTAACAGGTATATAAAAAATGCTCAACTTCGCTAATTATTAGAGGAATACAAATTAAAACTGCAAAGAAATATCACCTCACACAGGATGGCTATTATTGAAAATGTGGCCAGGTGCAGTGGCTCACATCTGTAATCACAGCACTTTGGGAGGCACAGGCAGGTGGATCACTTGGGGTGGGGAGTTCAAGCCCAGCCTGGCCAAGATGGTGAAACCTCGTCTCTACTAAAAATACAAAAATTAGCCCAGCATGGTGGGGCGTGCCTGTAATCCAAGCTACTCAGGAAGCTGAGCGGTACAATCACTTGAACCCGGGAGGTGGAGGTTGCAGTGAGCCAGGATCGCACCACTGCACTCAAGCCAGGGTGACAAAGTGAGACTCCATCTCAAAAAAAAACAACCAAAAAAAAAAAAAAAAACAAAAAGTAAAATATAGGTGTTGGAGAAGATGTGAAGAAAAGGGAACCCTTGCACACTGTTGATAGGAATGAAAATTAGGACAGCTATTATGGAAAATGGTATTGAGATTCTTCAAACAATTAAAAACAGAACTACCATACGATTCAATAATTCCACTTCAGGGTATATATCCAAGTGATATGAAATCAGTATTTGAAAGAGGTATGTGCACCCCAATGTTCATTGCAGCATTATTCACAATAGTCAAAATATGGAATCAAGTGTCTATTGACGAAGAGATGAATGAATAAATAAAATGTATATACACAATGGAACACTATTCACCCATAAAAAAAGAAACTCCTGTCATTTATGACAACATGGATGAATCTGGAGAATACTGCATTAAATTAAGTCAGACATAAAAAGACAAATATAGGTATAATTTTACTTATATAGGGAATCTTAAAAAGTTGAACTCACAGAAGTAAAGAGTAGAATAGTGGTTACTAGGGACTGGGAAGATGTTCACCAAAAGGACCAATGTTTCAGTTACAGAGACGGAATCAATGCTGGTGATCTATTTTCCAGCATGGTGACTATAGTTAATAATGTATCAGTACTTGAAAACTGCTGAGAATAAACTTTAAACATTCTTACCACAAAAAAAAAAAAAATGATACGTGAGGTGATGAAGACATTAATTAGCTTGACTTAATCATTCCCTAATGCATACAAATATCAGTATATCACATTGTACACCATAAATACATAAACTAAAAAAAAGTTAGTTATGATTACCCTCTTGAAGCATACATTCTAATAAACGATTAAACAAAGCACTGAATAGAAGAAAGGAAATAAAACAAGATGATATGAGAAAGAATAATAATGGAAAGGAAGCTACTCAGTTACAGGAGTAAGGGAAGGCCTCTCGGAGGAGGTGACCTGAAGAATGAGTAGGTACCAGTCACACAGAAAACAGGGAAAAGAGCCAAAAGCCAGGAACAAAATACAAACATCCTGAGGCATGAAAATGCTTGGCATGATTAAAAAACTAGAAGGTAGTCTGATGGTTTCATAGTGAGCAAAAGAAAGAATAGCATGAGATAAAGTTGGAAACGTAGTCAATAGTCATCTTATCTAGGGCCCTTGTGAAATGTTACTCTAAATACTACTAGAAATTTTATGTCAAGAAAGGACATAATCTGCTTTATCTTTTAAAACCATGAAATAGGCAGCAAAACTGTAAAAATAAAAGAATAACGATCAGTAAGAGAAGTAAGGAACCCACTTTGGAGATGATTATTGTAATTGAGTCAAGTCAGAATTAGAATAGTTTTGCCATGTTAAGGCATTTTAACTTTGTCCCAAAAATTACAGGGAGCCTTTTGAGAATTTTAGGAAGAAAAATTACTTTATTATAGTTATTATATATTATAAAATATTTATTATATTAAAATGGTACATAAATTATACTTACTGTTACTATGTTGTATTATATATTAGTGTTATTTCCAAAATTGTCAGTAATAAACCGAGAGAAAGCCTAGAAACTAAGAGTCCAATGAAGAAACTATGGCAATACTTCAAGAAGGGATTTGAGTCTGAACTAAGGGATTACATCAAAATTTAAAGAGAGAGACCAGAGAGCTAATTCAGAGTTTTCTTAAAGTCTCAAAAAGGAGCTGAAAGAAGGGAGTGGGGTGTGAAGGAGCTGAAGAGTAGTCCAGAAAAGGGTTTCTCAAACTATTTGTGAAAATTTACTTTTATGTCCTAAATCCATCATTCGCTGACACATTTAGAAAATAAAATATGAAATTTTATTTACCAATTGTAAATTACTGAAAAAATAAAAAATTTTAAAACTACTTTTAAACTTTAAAACTTTGTTAAAGTTTTAGTTTAAGTTAAAGTTTAAACTTTTAAAACTTTGTTTTGTTTTTAAAACAAAAACAGCACAACTGTTTTTGTTATTTGATTAGGCAGACATAAAATTACATATCAATAAATATAATTAGACAAAAATAGCACAAAGAAAAAGAATACAATTATAAAAATGGCCTGTGTTGTTCACCGAAAGTGAACTGGTGATTAATTTAGACAACTACTATTACACTTGTAACTTTTCTTCATTACACAACATAACTAAACAAAAAATTTTAGGTAAAGAGTGATCCTCACGTCCCAAATGCCTATATGAATATTTTGAACAAATACTGCGATTATAAATAAAGTTTATGATGTTGACAATGAGCTTTTTGCTTGTTAATTTATCTAATCTAAGGTGAACTGGCAATAAAGCAACTCGGGAATAATAAATACTTAAATTGTTTTTGTTTTATGTCAATAACACTCAAAGAGGAGAAAGTAGTGTCACACAGGTATGTTGATGGAATGAAAACTCTTCTACATTTTGTATAGTTAAAATAAGATGTAAGTTATATTTCAATGACAGAAATGGATTCCAGATCCATTAATTTGCTACCTGTGAATCTTCTATTGCTGGAAAATAAAATATAAAATAGTCTGCCCAATCCATAAAATGACAGGTGATAACTTGAAAGATGAACAAAATCAGATCATTCCTAAAGATCAGAATACTTAATAATTTTTTTCTTTGAAAAAGGGTCTTGCTCTGTTGCTCAGGCTGGAGTGCAGTAGGCACAATCACAGCTCACAGCAACCTAAACTTCCTGGGCTTAAGCAATCTTCCCACCTCAGCCTCCTGAGTAGCTGGGACTACAGGCACATGCCACCATGCCTGGTTAATTTTTTAATTTTTTGTATAGACGGGGTCTCACTACATTGCCCAGGCTGGTCTCAAACTCCTGGTCTCAAGCTATCCTCTCTCCTCGGCCTCCCAAAGTGCTGGGATTATAGGCATGCACCACCGAGCTGGGCCGATAATTATTATTAAATTGTGAAACATATCACAGAAATTGTGTACCTCTAAGATTTTAACTTTTGTTTGTGCTCTTTGATCATATCTATCATGAAAAAATATCTTTCCCCGTTTGGAAGCATTGAGTTCATGAAAAATATTTGACAGACATTTTCCCCCAATAACCACTGCACTACAGCATGCAATAACAGTTATGATAATCTGCCATAGTATCACATAATATAAAGAATAATAGCAAGTTTACCACATTGGCCTTAAAGTAATTCAAAATTTTATTATGCTACTAACACCACTGTTCAGTGTAACTGAAACTATTTTCAGTTTAACTGACACTATTTTCATAGCAAGACTTTCTTGACAACGTGCATTACTATTCTGATATAGGCTCCTTAATCTGGGCAGATACAACCGGATACTTCCCATAGCAGAGCCTTTGGAACACACTCCACCAGACAAACTCCAGGTGATGTTTGCTGACAATCTCATCCTTTTTTTGGTTTGCACAGTTTAGAGCTAGATGTGTTTGTCAGCCAGCAGTGAGGTTGAAAAAAATATTTTTCCCTTCATTTCATCATGCTGTTCAAAGGTTGCACATTTATAAAAAATAATATTTGTACATTCATCAAGTTGTAACAAAAATATTTTGCTAGCTTTATTTGTTCCAAAAGTGCTGTTCCATATGATTAGGCAGTTATGGAATACACTGAAGTATTGTATCACCTGGAGCACAGGGTCCTCTTCAAAACTCATTCAATTATTGGCAGAATTCAGTTCCTTCCTGCTGTAGGACTAAAGTCCCCACTTTCTTGCTGGCTGTCAGCTGGTGAGTGCTATTAGCTATGTGGTTTTCTCAGGTCCTTGCTCCTCCATCTAAGCAATAAGATGGTCACCTCCATCTAAGCAATAAAGATCCTCCTTCATGTCAAATTTCTCTCACATTTCAAGTCTCTCGGACTTCCTGTTCTGTGACCAGAGGAGGAAACTCTCTTCTTTTACAGAGCTCATGCGATTAGGTCAAGCCCACCTGGATAATCACCATTTCTTAAAGGCCAATGTGCCATACAGCATAACCTAATCACAGGAGTAAACACCATCATATTTATCATCCCAGGAATTTTGCAGAGTGCGTACACAGGAAAATCTTGGAGCTATCACAGAATTCTACCTCTTATAAATCCTTTGTTCTGAAGTCAGTAATCTCATGTTACTCCTACACAGAGATATTATCATTTTGGCTATTGTATTTTTCATCTCTAAAATTGTCATTTTTTTCTTTATATCTTCCATTTCTCTCTTCAATATGTTAACTTTTTCCATTACATTGAAAAACATCTTGAATATACATGTAATGGCTTCTATAATGTCCGTATCTGATAGTTCTGCCATTTCTGTTGTCTCAAAATCTGTTTCTATTCACTGATTTTTTTTCTTTTGCTTATGCATCACATTTTTCTCCTTCTTTGCATGTTTAATAATTTTTGTTGGATGTCTAATATTTAATTTTATGGTTTTTCATATGGACTTTTCGCATTCCTTTACAGTGTTGGGGCTTTGTTCTAACTGGAAGTTAAATAACGTATAGATCAGTTTGATGCTTTCAAGGCATGTTTTTAAGGTTTATTCTAGAGTAGCCTTTATATTAGGCTCATTTAGTCCCACTACTAAACTGTGACTCTCCTGAGATCTCTCCTGAGTGCTACCACTATGCATATTAATATACATATAATTAGGTATCCTTAATTTATAGATGATACTTAAAGAAATGTAATAAAATACAAATATAAAAGCTATACTTCGCTCTCAATAGCTAGGTATAAATACAACATATCATATCTCCATGAAACCTGAGGTATATACTTATTTATAAACAAGTATATCATGAATATTTATTTTAAAACAATTCATGAAATAAGAATACCCAAACAGGTCAGGAGATGAGGTCAGTATTACCTTTGTAAAATGAGTGGCCAAAGCTCTGCTCAGGAATTAACTTGGCAAGGAATCCATGGTTCAAACTTGGATGAGGGATAGATGGTATGACCACAACTGTGGAGAAAATCATGGAATCAAATTTGAGCCAGCATGTAACAACCTGCCACATGGTCCACTGAAGATCCATGACAATTCTGTATTACTGCAACATGCAAACAATACTAGCAATAACGAATGCATCTCTGAAGAAAAGAGTTTATGTATTAAGAGAAAGAAAATAATACATTTGTTAAGTAGAGTAATTCTAGCAACATACACAGAGACATACAAATACACAAGAAACTCAGAACTAGAAGGTTCACTATACTATTACTTTTTGTACATATAATGGATATAAAAGCATTAAAAATGAAGAAAAAGAAAATGATAAGTCTTAGTGTTTTAAATGGTGAAAAAACATGAACTGGAATGGTAGGATGATGTTTAATTTGAATAATAAAATTAAAAGCAAAAGTATATTATAATGAAATATTCTCATGTTTGTGTGTTAAAAGTACATGTATCATGCAACAGCAAAATACTGTAGCTAAAACATAATCCATATCTCCATGACATCAATAAAAGGTATATGAAATAGGATATGCTTATGAAAAACAAGATGCAGAGATTTGACCACTAATTTCTACTCACTTTTTGAAATATCCATTTTATTTATAAATCATATGCATTTATTTAGGAAAGAAAATTTCAACTACAAATTAATCCAGTGGTACATGAAATAACCATTAGGTTATCAAGGTTTCACTGCAAACAATAGAGAAACAACCTTGATATAAACACCTGGAAGGAAATGATAATGATAGAAGGTGTCCAATATTAAAATGTTAGTTGCCAGAAACTGTGTTTATGCTGTTCAAGTAGAGTGGGCAAAGCTAGTAATGCAAGAACTGCTGCAACATGAGCATTTTTTGCAAATGAAAAAAGGCAGCATGACCCAAGGTGGTTCATTGTTGTCCATGTTAACTTTCCACAAGTCTTTGATTTTAGTTGAGGCCACTTTGGTATAAAGTTTAGAACACATGTTTGATTATAAATCACTGATAGAATATTTAGATACTGAATTAACTGTATACAGCTAAAAAAGAAAAAAATCCAACTTTTGAGCTTGGCTACAAAGATTTGTATTTTGGCTTACCCTTGGCATTGAACAACTCTATAATGACTTTCTACTTTCATGTTTATAAATGTTAAAAAAGTAATATATTTAACAATATATGAGTTACTTGCATATTAAATAGTGGTATAAATTAATGATTTGTATTAATAAATGAGAAACACTGAAACCAAAGCTATACTGATAAAATGAGAATGTAGCAACTATATAAAAATACCATTCATACATTTTTGTTGAATTAAGGAATACTAAATTAGCATTTCTATACCAACCATTCATAAATATTTGAGGTGATTATGAAGAGGTCCAGTTTAAATCTAGATGTAAAGGTGAAAAAAAGGAGATACATCATGGTGAAAATTCAAATAATTATACAATGTTAAGTACCTGTACTTGTTGGTGAATTTATTTCTTGCCTGATGTTTCTACCTGGTTGGCTTCCAGTTCTTGTAGTCTCTCTCTGGGGTTCTAATATGTCACGATACTTGGAAACCATCAGAACCGAAATGAAGTAAACAACAGCCAGAGCTAAGAACTGTGCTTGTTTGCTATCATCCTATGAAAAATGAAAAGACAGTTTTAACACTCAAACTTTTTGAAGTATAAGTTCTTAAAGCACTAGAAACTGCTATTTTATTATCTTTATGGAGGCAAAATATGATATGTAACTTTTATGAAAACCTGCTAAATATATATATTTATTTAATAAGTATTATTTAACTATAAATATAAAACTCCTAAAATATATCATCTACAGGTTGGAATGTAATTTCCAAAAACTAGAATATTAAAATTTTATTCTTTGTCCATTTTTGTCCATTATTATCTACTACTTACATAACAACATAGTATGTGTGCTTATAAAATATGTAGATGGCACAAAGTTGAAAAGAATAATGTCCTGGATTTTAAAAAAATCAAGGGTTTTATATACTATAACTGAATAAAATTAGTAGGATAAAACTCCAACTGAAATACATATAAAATCCTAGTGTAACTGGAACAAGAGACTATATGAATACAAAATAGAGGAGAAATAAACAATGGGGGAGCAGAAAACATGAATTTACATAAGCTCAATATGAGCCAGAAGTATGATTATGGCAGCATAAGAAAAAGCTAATTCAATCTTTGATCGTATAAACAGGTAACATTTGACAAACCCTTCTAGACATTGGCTTAGGCAAAGATTTCATGACCAAGAACCCAAAAGCAAATGCAACAAAAACAAAGATAAATAGGCAGGACTTAATTAAACTAAAGAGCTTCTGCATAGCAAAAAGATCAGTTAGCAGAATAAACAGACAACTCACAGAGTGGGAGAAATTCTTCACAATCTATTCATCCGACAAAGAACTAATAGCCACAATCTACAAGGAACTCAAACAAATTAGCAAAAAAAAAAAACTCATCCAAAAGTGGACTAAAGACATAAACAGACAATTCTCAAAAGAATATATACAAATAGCCAACAACAAATATATGAAAAATGCTCAACATCAGTAATTATCAGGGAAATGCAAATCAAAACCACAATGTGATACCACCTTACTCTCACAAGAATGGCCATAATAAAAAAATAATAGTTATTAGCACAGATGGGGTGAAAAGGAAACACTTCTACACTGCTGGTGGGAATGAAAACTAGTACAACCACCGTGGAAAACAGTGTGCAGATTCCTTAAAGAACTAAAAGAATTATCATTTGATCCCGGAATCCCACTACTGGGTATTTACCCAGAGGAAAAGAAGTCAGTATATGAAAAAGATACTTGCACATGCATGTTTATAGCAGCACAATTTTCAATTGCAAAAATGTGGAACCAGCACAAATGCCCATCAATCAATGAGTGGATAAAGAAACTGTGGTATATATATACACTATGTCATGCTACTCAGCCACAAAAAGTAATGGAATAATGGCATTCGCAGCAACCTGGATGGGACTGGAGACTATTATTCTAAGTGAAGTAAGTAACTCAGGAATGGAAAACCATCATATGTTCTCACTCATAAGTGGAAGCTAAGCTATGATGCAAAGGCATAAGAATGATACAATGGACTTTGGGGACTAGAAGGGAAAAGTGTGGGAAGTGGGTGACAGATAAAAGACTACAAATTGGGGTCAGTGTATATTGATCAGGTGATGGGTGCATCAAAGTCTCACAAATCGCCACTAAAGAACTTACTCGTGTATTCAAATACTACTATTTCCCAAAAACCTATGGAAATAGAACATTTTTTAAAAGAAATAATAGTCCATTATTCTGCACAGGAAAAATGACCTCTAAAACACTGCCAATATTTCACGCTCCTCATTTCCAAACTCAAAGATAAAATGGAGTTCTTCCAGAGGAGAACAGCAAATGGTAAAAGGTTTGAAAAAAACTGGCCAAGGCAGAAAGCAATGATAGTTAAAACAACGGCTGTGGTATGGTAGAGAGATAACTTTAAAATAAGTATGCTTTCCAAAAATATAACAAGCTGCATGTAACCTTGAGAGCTCTATTCAAAAAGCCTAGATAAACTTATTTCAGGGAAACAATAAGTATCAAGTCTAAATTATATGACCTCTAATATACTAGAGTATATCTAAGGAATAAAATGTAAATCTTTATTAAACTTCTTTTATAAGCTAGGTAAAACTGATACTTTCAAACCAAACTGAAAGCAGTTACTGTGGCCCACAGATAAGAGGCAGAATAAGAAATAAGGAAAACAAGCAAGTAATAAATTCTAGTAACTCGATTAACAGGCACTTTATATTTATTACTTCATCTAAGCACAATGCAAACAAGATTCATAATTTATGTGCATTTGCAGGCAAAAAGCAAATAAGACATATTTACTGATGATTTAATATTGTAAAACAGTCTGGCTAATGGGGAAAATGACCAAAATACACAAAATCTGTTCTGAATTATTCCTAATTTACTATTTCATACATTGTGGGTTATAGCTTTTCTAGAGATACTTTGTCTTACAAACTGTTTAAAATGCATATTCCTTGCACTACAATGATGATACAATAAACACAGAGAGAAGTGAAGAAATCAAATGCCTAAGCAGTTATTACAAAGGAAAATGAAGCACAATCAGATTAAGAAAAGATACCAACCAAGAACAGATTCACACATTGCTCAAGCTGTGACAGACCATAATATCCCATAATACTTCTATTTCTAACACTAGAAACTCAGTACCAGGCAATCAGAAGGCATTCAACAAATATGTGTGGAATGAATGAATGAATGCCAACTACACAGTGGCAGCGCTGTAAATAACAGACACTAAACTGCTGTCATAGCTACACGAAAACCTCCTTTATATATGGCATGAAAAGAGTTAGCTTTTTTTTTTATTTTTTATTTTTTATTTTTTTTTAACCCAGATCTCCTAGTCAGTTGTGCTTCTTATTCCCAGTTCTGTCTTTGGAAATGAAGCTCAGTATACATAGAGGCTAAACATCTGGGGAATGACTAAATTTTTATACAAATTAATTGACTTGCTCAGGTATTTTATTACTGAGAAGACATGAGCTATATAATGTTTCTCCGGTCTGCTTTAAGTGTTGCCATGGTGTACCTTCCGAACAACATCAAGGTAATATAACTTGTGTTAATTGGGTTTATATTATGTATCAAGCACTAAATACATATTATCCTAAGTTTCCAGTTAAGGGTTAAGAAAAAGTTAAGACTCAGAAACACTGAGACCACACAACTGGTATAAGGTAGAGTCAGAATTCAAACCCAGATCTTTCCAAAGCATTCTCTTTTCATCACCATATTTCACAGATACAACCACTGCTGGGTTATCCAACATATTTATAAAATATCCATGAATTTAAGGGAAATGATCATCATTTACCATATAACCTAATTCAAAATTTACTAACAATTTAAACACTATGTCACCCTTAATAGAAACTCCTCCGGTATGTTATATATTACGTCTGACTGTGCCTTTGGAGATGAAGATGAGCTCCATGTTTTTAATCATTCATTCATTAAAAAAAATCCTTTTCACAACACATTTTTTCAGGATGACTATTCCCATTTCTAAATGGTTAAACTGTCAGTAAGAATGGTATCTTCTTTCCAAGTCTAGGTTAGAGTTTAGATTACAGTGAGTTCTTACATTGTGGTTTTTATACTTTAATGTAGTCTCCCTTTTTAAAAAAACCTTCATTATTTATTAATTATAAAAACAATATAGGTTTATTATAAAAAATTTAAAACTACAAAAAAGCATAAAAGGATAAATAAAATCTGTTTACCTAGACATAATCATTGGTGGAATACTGGTATATTTTTTCAGTCTTTTTTTAAAAATAAAGATGCACGTATGTATGTACATACAATCAGTATACATATGTAATACTTGTTAATGTAAGTACTTCTACATGCTGTTGCTTTCTCTTAAAATATATCATGATCATTTTCCGTTGTCATTAAATTTCCTTCAAAAATATATGCTTAAAGGCTGAATAGGTCACTGCTGAATGACTACGCCAAGAATTTTTAGGCCAAAATTCTATTACTGGATATTTATAATGCTGCCAAATTTCCTGTAGATATCTCTGATGAAAACATTAAGTTAAACAAATTCTGACTAGAACGACTGGGTTCTAGTGGTTCATTGGGACATCAAGATTTGTAAGAGTTTTAACCATATTGGCAAAGAGCTATTCGAAAGCTCAAACACCAGTGATATTTGACAGAGCAGCTTTCACTGCACCCAGACAATGCTAGGTATTATCATTTTAAAATTTTTAGTTTATTTAATAGTGAAAAATCTCTCACTCCTGTGTTAATCTGCATTCTGTTGACTACTAGGGATACTGAATTTTTATCATGTTTGTTGCCTTGTGTCCATTGCCTATTTTTCTGTTGGTATGTTTGGAATTTTCCTAGCATTTTATAACTAATATATATTAAACAGAGTGATGATTTTTCTATTGTACATTCCTAACATATAGCATTATGTTATATAACCTAAATATATTTTAATCATGTTCTAAAGTACAAAGCATGCCATTCAATTTACTGTTAAATATAAATTTAAAATATAAACTTTCTTCTACATTTCATATACAATCAACAACTAGATAAGAATCATCAACTAAAACAAGAAAAACAGAATTCAAAGTGGCTGGTTTATAATAACCATGTTAAGAGATGCTGTCAGCATTGAATCTGATGTGAAACACCATATATGTTTCTATGCAATTTTTGAAAAGGCCAATCTTATTTTTATTTGCCTGGAGTAACTGATCATAAGATTGGAGGGTTCCATGAAACCTCTTCATCTTTTCCCTTTAGCTTTATTAAGCTATCTTTCTAACTCAAATTCCCATAGATACCTGTATTTTTTAAAATGCAGATTATTCTTTAATTGCCCCTCCTCCAAAAGTAATTGTCAGTAACACCTAATGAATTAATCCCTTTCATCCATAATGTAAGGAACATTAATAATAACAAATTTTTAGTACCTGCAAATGGAGCAAGGAATACTAAGAGAGGAGTAGTTGATACAAGATAAAGTTAATTATAATTTTTCAGAGCTAGTCCTATTCTTAGTATGCAAGCAACTTACATCAAAATTTCAGACCATTTTTTAAAAGTAACATTATCAATAAGCTTTCAGAGAAAGCTAAGGTTCAACCATTTTATAATGAGAAGTATGCAATAAACCAACAATCCCAGATACTAGGGAATGTCGTTTTCATAAGCAGCTTTCTTATAAAACGTATTTCATACGAATGACAGTAGAAGGTTTATTTCAGGGAAACCAATCAGGTATAACTTACCACATCCCGAAAGACAACAGCACGAAGGCGATTGATATCAACATCCTGAAGAAGTCTATCCGGATCCTTAATAGGAGAAAGGTTACCTGGAACATTTTCCAATGGAGTCTTTGAAAATAAAAAGAATTGTGAATAGATAATATATTACAGATAATATATAGAAGTATCACTTCTTAATTCAGGCTAAACTGGTCACATCATGTATCTCCACCTCTCTGAGTTAACATTTATTGATCATAATCCTCTATTACAATGCATATTTTCTGCTCTCTACTCATGTCATGGTTTCCATACTAGCATTCTTGTTCTTTATTGGCACAGCTACCACTATAGACTCATAAAGGCAGGTAAAGTTATAGCAGAATAAAGATTCGTCTTGGACTTCAGAAGATTTCCTGAGCCTCATTTCTCTACCTCTAGTTAACAAATCTCTTTGAGCCTCTGGGTTCATTTATCCATCATGCTTTTATAATATATGAGATTATTATACTACACTAGTATATGAGATTTTGTATGTGTAACCATTTCATGGTCTATCCAAGGTTAGAAACGGTAAGATTAAAAAGAATCAGTCACAGCCCATTAAAGCTGAAAGACATTAAAGATTGTTACCAACAAAACATTTTATAGTTGGAGGAAAAACATCTACATATTTCAGGTAATGTAGTCACATAGTAGACTACTAAGTGAACTAGGGTCCCTGAAACTCAATCAAGTACTTTCTCACTTATACAGTGTGTTAAAAATTGTATGGATTAAATTAGATAATATGTATAATGCAAAATACAATTCCAGCCCATAATAGGTATGCACTTGTTGTTACTCTAACAATGAAAAATAAACAGGGTACCTTCTATTTCTCAATGAATGTCAATCATGATATTCTAGCCCAAAATTAAAATGTTTGATTCCTTGGCAGCACGCCATAGTAAAAAGAGCATAGTATTTAAAGGTTGATAGTATTTGGTTTCCATTACAATTCCAAAACTTCTGGCTATATGACCATCGGTGAGAAGTTAACCTCTCTGAACTTCAGCTACATCATCTGAATAACAGACTAATAATATTTACTACAGGATGGTTAAAGAAAATAATACATAATTTACAGCATAAATGAATTTATAACATAGATTTTAAGATTAGAAATATTTTCTTTTCTATATTTCTCTACCCCTAATCTAATTTGATCCTTATAAAGACAACATGATAGGAGAAGCTTGTGTAATTGTTCCTTTTCACACAGTATAAAAATGAGGTCACATGAAGGTATGGGATTCATGCAAGAAACTTGCAAGAAACTTTCCCACTGCATTCAAAAATTACTCGATTTACTTCCTAAAATGTCACATAAGAAACACATAACACAGGAAGGAAAAAAAAAGAAACACCACTCAGATCCATTCATTGTTGTGAAATGTCAAATCTTCCCCTAGTATTTTTACATTCATCGCTACTTACCCATTTTTCACTGCCAAAGTTCTTGCCAGATAAATACTGATTAGCTCAAGTAAGTTACTACCAATTTCCTTCCCACTGGGCTTTTCTGTCCATATTCTACAATCAGTGAAATACTAGTTATAAAAATCTTTAAGGACTTTCTATTATCTACTTTATTTAGTATATCTACAAATTACTAAATACATTACTATTTTGAAGTGCTTACATCTCAAAGGTGTCACCTTCAAAATACTATTTATTCGTTTCACGACAATATATTAAGTGTCAAACTGCTAGACAGGGGAACAAATCAGTAATAACTGAATGTTCACTGCATGCCAGAAATCAAAGCATGTCAGTCTATTATCACTTTTTGTCTAATTAATACAAACACTCTGTAAATTAAGATTTGTATCCATTTTAAAGATTAGAAAACGGAGGCACAGAAATTTAAGAGATTTCTCTCAGGTCGCAAAACCAGTTAAGTGGTAAAGCCAGAACACAAACTCAGAACTGTCTGATTCTAGAGTTGTCCTCTTTTTACAAAGTACTCATAGTGCTATAAATACTCTGAAGTGGCCGGGCGTGGTGGCTCATGCCTGTAATCCCAGCACTTTGGGAGGCCAAGGTGAGTGATCATGAGGTCAAGAGATCTAGACCATCCTGGCCAATGTGGTGAAACCCCGTCTCCACTAAAAATAGAAAAATTAGCTGGGCGTGGTGGCACACATCTGTAGTCCCAGCTACTTGGGAGGCTGAGGCAGGAGAATCGCTTGAATCCAGGAGGCGGAGGTTGCAGTGAGCCGAGATCATGCCACTCCACTCCACCCTGGCAACAGAGTGAGACTCCATCTCAAAAAAAAAAAAAAATTACTCTGAAGTTACAAAGATCTATAACACATAGACACTGCCCTCAAGTACCTATCTGTCTACTATGCCTACACAAATGATATCAGGCATTACTGATGATCCATTTGTATTTAATTTCCCAAACCAAATAAGAGCACTATGGAGTCCTGTGAGCAGTAAATAATATATAGTCAAATTACAAATGTTCTCTGACAGTAGTGAAAAAGAAAAAAGTTACAACACTGCAAATAACCAACGAATAGGATAAATATGTGGTCAGTCTGCTTGCCATCTGCAGAAGTTTAAAGCAATAGAACTTTTAAGATGAATTAAACTTCTATTTCATACCTTCACTTATTGAGCAAAAAGTTACTGTATCAATATTAAACATGTAATTACAAGTGTAATGAGTGATAACAGACCTATGTAATTTTATGAAAACAACAAACAGAAGGAACAACCCTAGACTGACTGGGGTGGTAGCGAGGGTGTCAAAAAACATTTTCCTGAGAAAATGTAGCATTTAAGGTAACCTAGTAGTTACATAGATTTTAGCTGGATAAAAAATAAGGATGAATACTTTATGGAAAGGAAATCATATAAAAGTCTGAGAAGTTAGGGGAAATAGCTTCTTTTGATGAACAGAATGAAGTCTATGGTATGACTAAAACAGCACAAGCAAGGGTAAAGGGCTGAGAGCTGCTGCTGGAGAAGTAAGCAAGGACCAGGCACAGAACCTCAAAAAGCATGTTAATGAAACTGGATGTGACGCCAAGGGCCAGTTAAGCATATGATAAAGAAAGCTAATTTAGAAAGAAAACTAATAGTATATTTCAAAATACTCCATTCATTGAATGGGCATTCAGTGAGTTTTTGTTGACTATTATGCCTACCCATTTAAAAGGAGAATTATTCATACATTAAATTCTGTGAAAATATATGACTATTAAAAATAGAAATAACAGTTTTTAGTGCTAATTATAATATTTGTAAGAACTTTATTAAGTAGAAATTGTTAGTAACTTCATTTAATAACCAAAACACACAAATCTCAGAGAAGTTAAGTAATCTTGGTAACAAAATTGTTAAGCAGCCTAGAGCTGCCTAATGACAATGTCCTTGCTCTCTATCACTGAGCAATACCATGGCACTTTGTTCTCATCAACTTAAAAAAGATTTTTTTCAGGTAAATTATATTTGGCCAAGAAAAAAAGTTTACTTACCTTCGAAGCTGCTGTAGCAGTCACACTTTGAGGAACTTCCTGAGGTTTACTGCTTCCATGGGAAGATTTATTTCCCCTGTCTCTCTGTCTTTGCCGACATTCTAAACAGTTTCTCACAGCAACACAACAAACTATTTAAAAATTCAAAAACATATTGTTAATATAAATTGTTGACTTTGATATCCTGGAAAAAGTTGCAAGTTTATTTCTTCTTCCCTTTCTTTCCCCTTGCTTCATAAACTATTAATCTTAAAATCAACTAGATCAATAATTTTCAAAATTATGAAATACAGTAGTGAAAGTACCTACAAAATATACATATAGTTAAAAATAAAACAAAATACCCATATACCACCAGCCAGCTGAAGAAATAAAACATTACCAGAGGCTCTGAAACCCCCAATGTATCCTTCCTTATTCTGTTACCCTCTGAGTTTCACAGTTCTGAATTTATGGATCAATAAAATATTTTAAACATAAAATTCATATTTGATTTAAAAATTTAATAAAGCTTCTGCCCTTAATTTGACTATCTTGTCGACTCTACTGAGCACAACTTCCCATTTCGGGCAATAATAGAGTACATCAGTATACTCAAGTCTCACAGGTCCCCAAATTCACCTTCCTTCATGGTGGGAAAGTCTCTGGGCTTTGTCAATAAGCATTCAATATGTACATGTTTTTATTTATTCATTTATTTTAAGAAGCAGTAGAATACTGTAACAAGTAGTACAGAGTTTGAAATCAGACCGTGACCTGAGTTTGAATCCTGTATTTTCCAGTTTGGAGCTGTGTGGTTTTAGGCTAGCTGCTTAAACTATCTGTGCCTCAGTTTTAGCATATGTAAAATGAGGATGAACAAAGTAACTGCCTTAGAGGGCTGTTGTGAGGATTAACTGAATTAATATATAGAAAGTGCTTAGAACAGTAAATAGCATAGGAGGTAATATAAGTGTTTTATTATTATTCACTTATAAAAGTTTCCTGTGGTTGATTAAACAACTAAATGTGCTAGTAGTATTAGGATAAAAATGAAATAGGGAGTAAAGTCTTGGACTATATTTAAAAATAAAAGTACAGAATAACCAAATAAATGCAGGTTTCAAGATATTGAGCCATTTTAAAAATATATATATATATCTCTTTCTCACACAGTTCATTTGACAGCTCTTGTTATATGTCAATGGAAATGTCTTTAATGGCCCACCGTCAGTTAACCCACACCTCTTGGTTGCCAGAAAGATCTTAATGTGGTCAATCTTTCTCTTATAATGAATACAAAATGATTCCTCTCAGCTTGCCTGTCTTTAAATAAATAATACGAAACAAACAAACAAAAAAAGGTTTCATCCCACCATTCTTAAACCAAGTCTTTGTTCCTTTCTTGAATCAGAAAGGAATTTTTGACATAATCTTTAAAAGTTATGGGTGAAAACAGTACATATCAGGAACGTCCTTCCTATTTCATGCCTTGCAGTTCTTATGTCCTGCTCATGATCTAAGGCAAGTACAAAAACAGCAGTTTTCTGGTTTTGAAAGTCTAAATAGTGTAAATAAATGTTCCTTTTAAGAGAGGTAGAAATGGTTCTTATCTAAAGAATTCATTCAGATTTACTAAGAGGTTTCAGTGCTAAAGTTTCACTGCCACACAGATAAAAGGTGAACAGCATGGGTATAACAATATTTATTAGGGACATTTGTTCACCCCAAGAAACAGTAAGATTGGGATAGTTTATTTTAACCTTCTAGCATTATGTGTATCTGACATGTTTGTGAGGCCAGGACACTACCCTCAGTATTGGTTTACCAAAATTGGATTCATAAATGGATTTGCATTAAAAATCACTTCAATGACAAATGTTAGTCTTACTGATTTTGAAAGAATTCCAAGTATATTTCACTCTTGATTTCAAACTATGAACCATTAAAGATGATCAGTTCTGTGAAATCTCCAATGTGAAGGCATAATTTTTTAAAATTTAGTAATTCTGATTAATTATAAAAATAATCTCTGTATCTCAAGATAATCTCCATATTATATAATCATCAACTTATATCATTAATATTTTATGTACCATAGTGCTTTATAAAGCTGCTCTGTAGATAATTATTTGACATGCACTATTGTTTTAACAGACTTACCTAATCTTAGGCACTGTCGCATTAAACCTCCAGAAGACATGTTTTTCTCAGCTTCAATCTCACTAAAATTTAGAGAGCTTGCAAACACAAGTACATCAACCATAGCCATCAGCCGGCTGAGGAAAGTTACTGCTGTCTCAGCTGACATGCCTTGTGTCACTTCAATATTTTCCAATTCCGTCTTTAAAAAAGTAGAAGATTTAAGTCTTGTTTAAAATTTGGAAATTTGGAAATATAATACATATACATACATACTACAAGTGAACATAAATTTAGTATATTTAC
Source organism: Homo sapiens (assembly GCF_000001405.40). Taxonomy (NCBI): domain Eukaryota; kingdom Metazoa; phylum Chordata; class Mammalia; order Primates; family Hominidae; genus Homo; species Homo sapiens. Next base: position 35,171,167 of record NC_000013.11, on the reverse strand, counting down.
CATATTTTATAAATAAAATAAATGTTCAACTAATTCCATATATCACCAGAGCTGGTTACCAAATTCGGTTACTTTACCTATCAATTATCCTTGAATAAAGGAAAAGCCCATTTTAAAATCAACATTAGTTTTAAATGTCTTTAGTTATAAAAATGACATCCTAAACTTAAGATCATTTCACAAAGATATTTAGACAGAACCACATATATGTACTTATACTAGTTTTGTTTTGTAATTTATAAAGATTTTAAATTGATATTTCTTTTCTAAAATCTTCATTCCCATTAATAAAAATATATGCTTTGATTTTTCTTTCCTATAGATGTATGATGAATAATAGGGAAAATACATGGTAATTTAACTTAGTATCAAAATGAGATGGCTGTCAAATTAGAATGCATAACAATTTCTTATCCATTTTAGAATAAACTGAAACTACTAGGTACTTTACATGTACGATAAAACTCTAGGGTAAAAATAATCAAGATCGCTAACTCATCTATAGATATTTAATTCGTGACTTATAAAACACTAGTAATAAAAAGAATCATAGCATTCTAGATTGGAAAACTGTACTTTCACTACATTTCTGATTTCAGAGGGAATATTACAAAGCATTGTGTTTCTTAAAATGCACAACTTTATGGTTTTTTAAACAATGTCAACATTTCTTATTTTGTTTTGCACCATGGACTATACAGCATTTTAATTATTTTTGTTCCTTAGGACTAGGCCTCATTTTATCAGTGCCTCAAGGAACCAAGGAAGGGAATACTTCATAAGTAAAAAAAAATTATTTAAATTTTCTGAAAATGGACACACTAGCCATTCCAATCAATATTAACTCTTAACCAAATGATAAATTCAACTACAAGGTTAGCATATGTAATAGGTATCTATTCCTATTTAATGTTCCATTTTGACACTGTTTATAGCCATCATTATACCTAAACTTCTTCCTGCTTGGAAGAAGCAGGAGCATTAACATGGAAACGTGAGCAGAAAACACTGAAAAAAGAACTCAAAATACTCAAAACATTTCTTGTGCACAAAGTGGGTAATAAAAAGGATAGGTGGCTACTACAAGCATTATATAACTAAGCTCAGTTTTAAATGATGTATAAAATGTAACAACCATTCCTCCTTCCATTTAACAGCAAAATAGGGTTAAAACCATTCTCTCTAAAATGAGCCTGGAAAGAGACAGAAATGTGTTTTCAGTTGTTACAACATTATGCCAATTCAGTACACATGGCATAAAGAAATGATTAATTCATTACTTGGATTTTAAAATGCAGATTCTTTACTTCTTAGCACTTCATGAATATACAGCATCACTTCATAATATCAATTAAAAATCTATGACCATGACATCATAGCTCATAAGAAAGAGCAAAAAATTCATTTTAAATCTGTTTTCAATTTAAAATGTTCTATAAAGGAATGAAGAACTTGGCCATTTCTTAGGTCTATCAAATACTATAAATAATTTTTCAAATGTTAGAATTTAGAATATCTAGATCTGTGTTCACAAATTCTTCATCATTTTGAATCACTGAAATTGCAGATAGCTATCTCTCTATATTCATTATTTAATGGTTTTGAGTGTTTTGACCTGTCAAACTATGCTTTCATTTTAAAATGAGTGAATTATAAATAGAATTATTAAGGTGTCCATATAATCCATCAAAGTGTTTTTTTGACTGAAAAAATTAAATTTTAGAGTAGAAGGCACTTTCAACACAACAGTCTAAAAGAGAATTTGTATTCCATTTTATATAAAAGTAATTTAAAAAATGAAGTATGTAAGCATCAAAAGATAGGGCTAAAAAATAAAGATCACTCTCATACAATTATTAAATCTTAAAATAATATATTTCATCCAATTTACTTTCCTTAGAACCAATTAAAATCTGATTGTACATATGACTGTAACACCATTGTGTTCAATATGATAGTTTAATCTAGGGATTATTGTGCATAATAAAATAGTAATACATCAATGCATTGGGAAAATAATCCTTTCAATGACTCTTTTAAATATACAAAAGATATGTCTCATGTTAAAGATGATATGAAAACTCAAAATATAACCAAGTCAAAAATTTCATAAATAAGTAAAAATAAAACTTGAAACTGAAAGCTGAAAATTACTACAAAAGTAATACTAACCTTAGAACCCTGGACATGCATTAGACAAAACAGACAACAGACCAAAAAGTACAAGAAAAGGAAATTATTAAATTAAATGAAAATACAATGTAAAATTGAAACACAAAATAATATATTTAAAAATTATATTTGATTATTTTATTAAAAGCAAAATTCTCAGAAGAGATTTTCATTTTATAAATTATACATGATCAAGGTTAAATATCAAATATTTAGACTTCAACTTATTTTTATTGTAGTAACTCTGCCCAAATAATATATATAAGTATAGTTCATATATTAGAAATAATGCATACTCTATTTTACAAAACAAGTATCTTTTCCTATAATTAATGGAACATTTTAATAAATAAGCTAACATAATGCCTCTGCAAAATCCCTACCTCAATTCTGGTTTAGGCAGAAATGACTCAGGGAAATGAACTATTTATACCAACCTCTAGAATTTTCTATAAGGAAATAATGTAATTTGTATTCTCAAATATACAGAAAGCTTCCTATAGTTGAAAATTCTGAGAAGTTAATAAAATAACAAAATATTTGAGAGATTATAACTTATAAACCACTTTTCCATGCTAGAAAATAACTTGATATACTAAATGAGGCCTGAATATGAATAAAGGTAATTAAATAGGTATTATACTAAGTTTAAGATTCTTATTACATTAATAATTATATTCATTATATTCAAATATCAGATAGAATTAGTTTTCACAATAAAAATCATCAACTATTCTTTCTAATTTTTGACAAGTACATGTGAGTATAAATCTTAAAATATGCTATTTTCATGGTACATTGTATAGGAAAACATATAAAAGCATCCTGAGAATAGTAAAGTATGATCAGTCCTATGACATAAACAAAAGAACAGCAAAACCAACAACATTATTCATAATTTTTCCAAATCTATTTATGATACATTCTGATAATAAAAATAAACTAAAATTAAGACTTTGTTATTTTTGGACAGAATAGAAAAAGCAGCTCTTCTTTCTTATAATTATGAAACTATTAGGAGAGCTAGAAATGTCAGTCTCTACTATTTTTCTGGGACAGAGAAAATTAAGCCCTGAATTAAGCTCCATAATATTCAGTGTTCTGGATGGCTGACTAAAGTGGTCAACTTAAAATCACAAAGTGTGCAATTTGTGGTTGATCCATGTTCTTTGCTTTTCTTTTTCTTCTCCAATTTTTCACTTTCATTTATGACCAAGTTAAACAATATATTAGAGAATAAATGAGAGGATTCAATTAACTAGTCACAGAAACATCAACTAAAAAAATCAACAACAACAAAAATAATGCTGCTTTCCCAAAGCAAAGATTGGCCAAACTACATACTAAGAGGTCTATTTTTTTTCCCTGAGTACAGTTAAAACTATTGGTCTAACTCGGAGATCTGAAACTATTTTTGTAATTTATTTTCTATGCTACATATGAATTTAAGTAATCTGGGCAAAACTGAAACTCCCATAAAGTGCTGCTTCTTCAAGAGTACTAAGTTCAAGGTGCTCAAACTATCATTATAAACAATATATATATGTTCTTTTTTTCTTAAGTTTCCATTAAGATATGTACCTTCCAACTAAGATTAAACAGTTCAAAAATTTTCTTCCATGATGATGATACTATAACAGCAATACAAAAATGTTATCTCTAGTATAAATTACTGTACTCATCTAAATTTCCAGGGCAGAAAAGAGACCACTTCTATGTCAATCTCACAGAAACAGCAGACAAAAAATATTTGTTTATGTATTGTCTATTGCTGCTTTTGTACTATCACAGCAGAGTTGACTAGCTGTGACAGATAACAATACTGCCAATGAAACCTAAACTATTTCCCATCTGGCCCCATACACAAAAGTTTGTGAACTACTGCCATAAACCATTATTATTCCTATTTCTTCATAAAATGCACACAAGAATATTCTGAAAAACTATATATATATAAACAAAATTACCAGCTCACTCAAACCTTAGTTTCAAATGTTTCCATCTCTCTTCATATATCTAGGATTAAAATTCTAAAAGCACCTACAAGACAATGTTTCCTTTCAGTAATCTTCACGTTGCCAATGTTTCCTTTTTTCACTTATCCCTTCCAAAATTCTCTTTTGGCTTTTTACACTTTAAATTTAAATATAAAAAGCCCAAATATTCGGTTTAATTTCCCTCATTATTCAACCTCCTCTTTCCCAACTTTTTCCCTCTGCTATGTTACAACTTCTAGCAAGAATATTATACAACCCAGTAATACAAAAACAACATTCATAATAGAAAAACAACATTCAGCAGTCAGCACCAATCATAGTTCTACCAGATACAAAATGGGAGAAAGGTTCGGCTATTTCTCTTAAGGAAGCAATTCATTCTAAAAACATAAAATCAGCTATGTTGTACAACCAGGCATAGGTCCAAACAGTTAATGGGCCAAAATAACAGAAATATAGAAATTGAGAAAATAAACAAAGGTTTCTATAATTGAATGAATTCCCAAGTCTGTTGAGATAGTCTAGGTAATAAATAATTTTAAATTCCAAACTACAGTGGTCAAAATTGAATCGTAATAATTTTGGAAGCCAACCTCAAAGCGTCAGTATCTTTACTGTACAATCATCATAAAACAAATAAGCAAATTTGACTGGTGCAATAGTATGTATGTTATAGTTTACTTCATTACTTTAATATTCTATCTTAATAGTTAAAGATCTTTTGCCTTTAAAATTTGGAAAACTATTTAGTAATGTGAATATTTTAAACCTATACAAATTGAAATAACTTATTGCTAAACTGTTTTTTTTACATAAGAAGCATTTTATGTTCCATGCAAAATTTAAAAACATTCAATATTACATTTCAAAGTGAATTTCAATACAACCTTTTAAAAATTTCTTCATAACAAATGATAATTTATAAAACAAAATGCAATTTATATGATCAAGAAAAATGTCACAAAGAAAATATTGATTTATTCAGTCTTCAATATATAAAACAAAAAACACGTTGGCCGGGAGCAGTGGCTCATGCCTGTAATCCCTGCACTTTGGGAGGTTGAGACAGGCAGATCATTTGAGGTCAGGAGTTTGAAACCAGCCTGGCCAACATAGTGAAACCCCATAACTACTAAAAATACAAAAATTAGCTGGGTGTGGTGGTGCACACCTATAATCCCAGCTACTTGGGAGGCTGAGGCAGAGGAATTGCTTGAACCCAGGAGGCGGAGGTTGCAGTGAGCTGAGATCGCCCTACTCTGCTCCAGCCTGGGTCACAGAATGATACTCTGTCAAAAAAAAAAAAAAAGAAAAGAAAAGAGAAGAAAAAAATGCCCTCTATGTCTCACTATTAGAAAGCATTTTAAAAATCATACACAACTCTCAATTTACCAGAATTTGGTATAAATCACCAGAGGAAAAGAGAGATTAAAGAAAAGGAGTGGTGTATGTATACTTGCACTCTTCACACACCATCAACAATTTATACTGTTCTTCTTAGCTCCATTTCCTTGGTTCAGCTGCTAATTTGATTAAGGCCCTACTGGTGACTTGCTCTGTTGCATTCCTCCTTCTGAACTGGAATGCTTCCCTTTGTGGACTTCTTGAGCAAATTCATGAATAAAACAGAAGAGTAAGGCCTGGGGAAAGTGTGTGAGGATATAGCCTATGGCTGCTAATGTTGAAGTTTCAAGGCTGCTCTGGTGATGGTGGTGGCATTAACAAAAGAACAGTAAGAAAAAGAGTCATGTAGAAAAAGCTTGTTAATGATGAAATACACTTAGAGATCAACTTGGAAACAGTGTCTCACCAACTAAAGCACATCTTAGTAAAATGAAATATTTCCCTCTGGCAAAGGTATGCTTTCTGAGCTTAAGGATGAGTTTCTAATACGGCAACAAGAACGTGGGTAATATGGGAAGCAAAATTCTATATTCTTTCCCATCTGAGCAAGTAGCTATGGAGTCTGCCTTGGTCTGAATCAAAGAATTTGTTTTTAATGACAACTAAAATACAAAGTTAACATTGACCTATTTTATTTTAAATGACATACACAATTAACATTAAATGCCTTTAAAATGTATTATATTAACACATTTCAATGTTTTATATAGAAACAAATCAAGACAAGGCTAGATTTTGTAAAATAAATGTTGAATCAGTAAATAAATGAAAATGTTAAATAACAAGGATTTTAAGAGTTTATTTATACTACAGATTTGAAGAGATATACAATATCTTTGATGAAGAATGCAATACTCTTCTGATGAAGTATTCATCAGAATTACCAGAGAAACATTTTCATAAGCACACACAGCTGGAACCCAACACTGATAAACAAAAGTGGTGGAAATAGAAATTTAAATGGTTAAAAATTTGCCTAAAAAGTACAGGTCTGGTTAAAATGTGTTTATAGCCTAGACCACCACTGAAATGCTAAAGTCATGTATTTATAAAATATAACCACTAGATGGAGGCAAAGTACTTACAGTTGGTGATGTAGCAGCAGAGAGCAAAGGTAAAATTCCTCCACAAGCAATGATGATGTTGTCTACCATTTGGGAAATGAGGTGAATTGTGTTATGTACAAAAATAATATTTTCATTGCTATTGACAAAATCCATTACAGACTTTGTAGAATGGCTAAAATACAGAAAACAGAAATGAGTATGTTTTGGCTTACTTAAATGAAAAGCTTAGACAATTAGAATAACAAGTGAAAAATTATAGAACTGTAGGAGCTAGCTATATTTAAAATTAAATTATAAAATAAAGCAATTTATAATTGAGATATCATATTACCAAAAACTAAGCATTCATCTCCACAGGATTTTGTTGTATCCAAGTATATTAACTCATTATATTATTACTTTGCTTGAAAAATACAGTACTAGATTCTAAGACATATGACTGACTCAACAAATTTGGCTAAAAATATTTATTTTGCCAAATCTGATTGTTTTTTGTTGAAAGGCAAAACCTTTTAAATATAAAAAGTATGTCTAATGTTAAAAATAATATGGAAACTCAAAATATAACCAATTCAAAATTTTCATAACCATAAATAAAATTTGAAACCGAAAACCTAAAAATTTAACTGAAAGTTCTATTTTGTAGGCAGTTTCAATTTGTCACATCCCCAATGACTTCAGCCCCACCTTTGACTAGTCACATTGAAATGTATACTGCTAAAGAAGTGACATGATAGGGGAGTATAAATAAATCAGTACAAATTCAAGAACTTATTTAATAAGAAAAGGAAAAAATCTCAAAGTAAGTTGGTAGTACAGTGTTCTCATACAAAACATACAATGTAGATGTCAAAAAAATACCCTGCTTTCGTTTGGTGTCAGTCAAGAATATAATTTTTTTTTTTTTTTTGAGAAAGGATCTCTGCTGTCACCCAGGCTAGAGTGTAGTGGTGGGATCATGGCTTAGTGCATCCTCAACCTCCCTGGGCCCAGGAGATTCCCGAGTAGCTGGGACTACAGGTGGACACCACCACGCCTAGTTAATGTTTGTAAAAACAGGGTCTTGCCCTGGTCTCGAACTCCTGAGCTCCAGCTATCCTCCCGCCTTGGCCTCCCAAAGTGCTGGGATTATAGGTGTGAGCCACCACACCTAGCCTGAACTGTTTTTTAATGGGAAAAAAATAAGATTAAAAAAAAGAAATTACTTCATGGTCAAAATTGAGTCAATAATTCTCACCCTTTTAGAGTTGTGAATTATTATCTATCACTGTGTATCTTAAATTTCAAGATGTTTCTCTCTGTCCTAAAAATAAAGTGTTACCTTTAAAAAATTTAAATTACATTAAATTCTACCTGGGTAATTTCATGAGAGCCCATTAAAGAAAACAAAAACACAGAGTAGGTGGTTGGAAAAAAAGCTGAGTATCACTCACTTGGAGGCTACTGATATTATAATTATCAAATTACATAATTTATCTCCATACATTGGTCTTCATGTTAATAGCAATGTATTTCATGGTATTTAGGTTTCCTCAGTTACCATCTCTAGGTAATTTATCATATAACAATTAGCAATGAAAGTATATGAGTAGTCTAAGAACAAATTGATCAAATAAAATCAAAAGTAAAATCTTTCTATGGCAGACTTTATTGACTTCTTCCACAACAGTCATAACTTTTTCCCTGCTAACACACATTTTATATTTTGTTTTATTATTGAGCTTGACTGGGTATAGGAAAGACTAGCCTAACCCTAGTTACTAGTTAATTAACCAGTATTAGTCTCTAAAAGCCAGTCATTATAATCCCATTTTCTTTTTCTGATGATTGATTTTGAAAGAGGATGTGATCCTGCTGGCTCACGAGATATAAGGGGGAAATTTCTTGACGGGCTTCCTTTAAAAAAAAGAAGAAAAGAGGAGAAGAAAAAGAGAAAGTGAAAGAGGAGAGAGAAGAAGAGGAGGCAGAGGAAAAACAGGAAGAAGAGGAAGGAAGAAGAGTCATCTCTGCCTTTTAATTTGGGCAGGTTTCTTATGAATTGAGGTTGGGAGCTGAAGCAGCCACCTTGAATCCTAAAAGGAAAATGAGGAGAAGCATGGAAGCCAACATTTCTAAGAATGTTGTGCTAGATCATTTAAGTTGCCCTTGCTACTTATATCCATCGACTTCCTAATTGTATTCATGCCTATGTAAATGATGTGCTCTCTTAATTAATTTGTTTCACATTTACTATTAAAAAATTAAATTGAAAATTTAGAAAGGCCATGGTTTACTTTATGTAGATTTGTTGTCTAAGTTATCATCTTTGAACTGATATCCACTAACTGCTTAAATACTACAGGCTCTGAATACACATGTCACAGGGTGATTTTAAACTTAAACAGTATATATTATTATCACTAATAAATTTAGTACATGGTATTAATTTAAACAAGATACAAGAAAAATGTGGAAATTCCTTTAATCAAGGCAGATTTTTGGTTTTGTCAAAACCAAATAGAATAGGCAATGGCATATTTTAAATATTTGCTTTTAATTTATAAAAAAGAAATATTTCTACCTCCTCCAAACATGTACATCAGTTTCTAATGCAAATAGTAAATCAGTGAGAAGCCGCTGGTGCATTGGAGACCATTTAAACTCAGGAATACGAAACATTGTAGTCCGTGGACCTGGGCTAAACTGGCGTCGCTGTTCCTCAGTCATTGGCATTCCTCGAAATCCTAAATCAACTCGGAGATCTCGGTCTTGTTGGGTGATAGACCGACCCTGCACAGCCTAAAGAAGGAAAAGATGAACTTTTGTGGAATACAAAAGAAATGCCTCATTTTAAAATGAAACTGTGAGTATAGTAAAGTGAATAATGCTTTAATGCTTTAGCATATGACTTTAGCAGTTTAATATATTTCACATATATTATTCACCTGGTAATTCCTTGCACAGGAAACTTTTTGGGCTGAAGTCTCCATTATTGCTTTTATTTTACTATTGCAGAAACTAGGCAAGATAATCAAATACCTAAAGTTAACACCAAAGTTCACACTGAAAACCAGACCCCTTTACCCCATTAAGAGTCTTTAAATTAGACCACATTACTTCCTTAATGAAGTGAGCATATACACAGTGAAGTATACTGGATATATGTCATCAACTAATTGTAACTAAAGCACAAGATTAGAAAAAATATTACTTGACAGTTTCAAGTTAACTTTGAAGTCTGTTTCACTTACAGTACTTCAATTCAAAAACACAAATGCATTTGATAAGTTAGAAAACAAACCAGAAAAATGTCTATAAACTCCAAATGAAAAACAGGCAAGCCTAGTGTTCAACAGGCAAGCCTATTGTTCAATAAACAACGCACGATGTTTTCCTTTATTTTACATCTGTATCTAATTCAATATGCTCATCTCCTGCCAATTATCACTACAATGCAACTGCCACAAAAATGGAAATTGGCAGTTAGAGAAAAAATAAAAATACTTTCCCCACACACGATATATTATGAAGGATTCTTACTGGAGTACAAAGACACAAGACAGGCATGGTTTACTCTTCATAGTATAAACCTAATGGAAACACATTCAATGTATTTTCAATGACATTAAAAGGCAAGTGGGGCACCCAGAGGATAACAAAACCCAAGTCATTAACGGTAAATGTATTCTTATTTCTTCAACTCTTAACCATAAGGTATTATTTATCCTAGAAAATAAAGAAACAGTCATAACTCAGAGCTCAACAATTAAAATCCATATCAGAAAACATCATCTGTTTTTAGCTTTATTCCAGTGAGGTCAAAACTGAAGCACTAACATTTCCTAACAACCAGACCTAAGAGTCTTTAATTGTCTTATAACAAATTTCTATTCATGTGGTTGAACAGAAAATTCTCACTGCTAACAATTCTAATTTTTCTCAGCCATATTACCTACCTCACAGGGTTGTTGTGAGGATTAAATCTGAAAACATATAGCACAGTGCCCGGAACATAGTAGGCACTGGATAAATAACAGTTCCCTTTTCCCTTCCCCTTCATTTATCAGTTCAATCTGGGCTCCAAGTCCTCTTTTCTATAATCCACAGAACAGGGTTGGGCCTGAAGCTTAAAAGGTTAAAATTAATCAAGTATTCAGAATGAAGATCTTGAGTACAAAATGTGTAAATGTAGTCACAGAGTTATAAAATGTTAGAACTGGCAGAGACCTTAAAGGTCATCCTTTAGTACAACCTCTTGTACTAGATAAGGAAACTTAGGCCCAGAGAGGTTGAGCAAAGTTACACAGAAGAATGTGGCAGAGTTGGAAATATAATTGAGATATTTTTAGTTTCTTACATACATGAAATTATACCGCACTATTTAGTTCCATAAATTACTATTATACTATAATTCAATATAAACATGAAGTAACTGATAAGAAATTACTCTGTTTTGGTGCTAACAACTCTTCAATGCATTTTTATTTATTTCTAGAACTCATATAAGGTAGCTTACTTGTGTCGTAGTAGTTGTTTGGATTTTTCGGATTTCTTTTCCTGATTCTTTGCCATCGTCAGACCTTTCAGTATCTGAAATTATACTTCCTGCATCAATATTTGGTACAATTTTGCTACTAGAAGACTCAGTTTCCAGAGTTGTAGCAGTCATTTCAGCATACTCCAGCCCCTTAGTTGATGACGCTAAGTCTCTTTCAGAAATACTGCTCATTCCATCTGAAGTTGTATGGATTTTGAATTCTTTTTCTTCTATTATACTGGATGTACAAGTTAAGTCTACGCTACCGGTCATGTGAGCAAGCAATCCAAGATCATCACTAACACCAAGATGTACTTGTGTGTCCTGAATATTTGGAATAATGTGATTGCTAGAAAGTTCAGGAAGTAGTTTTTCCTCCTGTTTGGGTATTTTATCAAAGAGAAATGATGTACTACTATTGGGAAGGTCTTCTTTCTCATCTGCTAATGTTATCAATGGACCATTATCCTTTTCTTCATTTTTTTTAATGATACCAACACTTCCATGTACATTGTTCTGGAGTTTCTCAACAGCAGCACTATATACATTATCCAACAGAGATTCAACCTCCACAAGGGCACCATTCTCTCCACCTACTAAAGTCTCCGGTGATAAATCCATATCATCGAGCTTTACTTCTGTTGCTTCCACTTTCTCTGCTTTTATATCTACTAAAAGATCATGTACTTCCACATGTACACCACTTCCTGGTCTATCTGAATTTCCAAGAATATCATCTGACACTTTTGTTGACATGAGTAAGTCTCGAGTATCTGTGCTGACAGGGTAATCGGTCTCACTTTCTGGGCTCTGGCTTTGTGAAAGATCTTCTATCTCTCGAATTTCCATTCCACCTTTTGCTCCTGTTGTCTGTGATGAAAGACCAGAGATGGTGCTCACATTCCCTTTCTTTCCCTTTTTAATGTTTTCCTCCTCTTGTCTTTGATATTCCTCATACATTTTGGCTAGGTATTCCTTATGAGCTTCATAAGTGACCTTAGGAATAAGTAAAGAAAACATTAAGGCATTTTGTACATATCAAAAAGAAAAAACTAAATAATACAAATTAAATTGTGGAAATAGAAAAAATAATGCCAGAAAGTTTAAGACTTCAAAGCTGGCATTTGTTAGTCCTAAAGCAAGTGCTTAGTTTCATTAAGTAACTGGAAATAATCAACAAATACAGCTATATATGATTTATTATAAGGATTGCCAAAATCACACAGATAACTCAGCAATATTAAAAGCTATTTTCTTTTAGGCTAAGTATTTCAATGTTACCCAAACCAAATATGCCAGTTAACTTCCACACATTTATGTAAGCTTAAACAGAGAATAAGCAGCTAATAATATACAATAACCAAAGTACTATTACTATGTTGGTTTTCACCATCTATTGCTCATATGTGCACCCTTCCCAACAACTGATGTTAAAAAATTCACACATATCATTAAATATATAAATTTACAAGCTATTAAAATATCACAGTTTTATCCTTATATAAGCTGTTTTGGCTTTGTTACTTTACTTAGGCTTCTTTATTAATAATCAGAATACTTTTTTTTTGCACAAAGACCTGCAATGTCTTTTTCTTTGCTATTTTCAAATTTGTTAAAGCAATGATAAATCTGAGGTGTCAATACTTCACAAAATGTAAATTTATAATTGAAACAAAAGCTTTTCTAATATTTTTTAAAGTTCACAGACTTTCTCTTACAGACATGGGTTCTATTAATGTATATTTAAATAAGTTAACAGAATTTTAGATTGGGGGGACCATCCTTTAAAGAATATCTCATAATACAAAAATCCCCTTAATTTTACAGAAGAAGAAAGCAAGTCCCAAAAGTGGGGGTTGGTAACATAAGGCCCATGGGACAAAACTGCTTATCACCTCTTTGGGTGAATAAAGGTTTATTCAAACAAAGCCATGATCATTCATTTACATTATGTATTGTCTTTCACACTGAACGGCAGAGTTGAGTAGCTGCATCAGAGGCTATAGAGCCCACACAGCCTATAATATTTACTATCTATCCTTTTAAACATTTTTTTCTAACTCGTGTTCAAGAAGACTTAATGAGTCTCCTAAAATCACAAAACTCAATTATGGCACAGACTAAATTAAAAGCCATACTTCTGACACCCATGCTTCTTCTATAACACTTCATGATGAGAAACCCATAACTCTGAATTTCCAGAATCTAATGTGTATATACTTGTACAGTTTAATTCACTATTTCATTTTACCAAAGATCAAATAATACTTAAAATAGACATACAGATTTTTAAGATTAAAAATAAAGAAAAGATAAAGCAATTAAAATACCACTAAACTTAAACACTGTATTTATGATTCACTTGGAAATAAAAAAATCTGACTTCTTAAAAAAAAGTCTTAAAAAGTATATTTCAGAGACTATTTCATAAAATATTCTTCCAAGAACCAGTTGAAAGAGCAAGTGGCTCAGATTAAAGTTCCCAGATTTGCTATAAAACAGATGTATGTCAGCTTTGGGTATAAAACTCCTGATTTATAAATTTGGGGTTTGAATTAATTCATCTATAAGCCACTTTCAAGTTCTAACAGTCTATGAACAATGAGGGAAAAATACAAAACTGAGATACAGGAATCTGTCAAAATCTAAGATGCCCACAAGATGGCACCAGATGCATGTTTGTAGCCATTTAATCCACTGCAATAACTCTGATGATGTTAAAATGTTAAATCCCGTGTTACCTTGGAATGGGCTATTGAGAGGGTATCCACCCAGACTCTCCAGCCTCCCCATTCATATTTTATTGCATGATACAAAAGAATCCGGAAGATATTGTAGACCATTTCGGTAATCTTCTGTTCCTCAGAATTTTTAGGATTGATATAGCCAAGAGAAAACATCCAATCCTGCCACACTGAACACTGCAATAAGCATCTAGGGAGAAAAAAATTTGATCTCATTAAAAATATCCAAATTAAGTTAGAATTTACTATTTTGAAACTTTGATAAATAAAATAGTGAAAATATGATCTGACCTCAGTAAAGCAAGGTGTACAGTCATGCTGCACGTTATATATTCTATACTTGGAATGACTTTCTCTTATTTCTCTACCAGGAAAAATCCTAATTATCATTCAAAATCATTTTCCTAACTTTCACAGTCAGATTTACTTATTGCTTCTCTACTTTCTCACCACCTTTAGCACTCACAATGTACTTAACACATTATACATTAATCATTGCTTTATGGTTTCCCACTGGAATGTACTGAGACTGTGTACTAAGACTATCTTGTGTAGCACAAAGTCTTACACTGAACACAGTAGGCACTCAATCAATATTTGTTAAATTATAGACTCAGGCAATGACTACCCCAGAGTTCATGGCCTCAGACTTTACCCCATGTTCAAGCTAACTAGCTTAAAAATGCACAACATTCGGCCATAAGAAATATGGGGTGGAAAGCATAGATGAAAATGGGGAAATCCAACACAATTACAACTGAAAGTTCCATTGGTGATAGATAGGTACCACTAAAAGGGATATTACATTCTAAATAAGAGTTTGTTTATATGTATATTCATATATACAATTAAAATATAATATCCACGTAACAAAATAAAAATAATATAAAAATAAATAGAAGAATACCGAATACAGATTATGTCAAAGAAACATAAAATGCCTTTTCTGATGATTAAAAGTATTTAGCAATATGGAAAAGATTTGAAATGAATTGAAAATCTAAAAGAGAGAAAATATTAATTATGGAATAAAGTGTTGTTACAGTATCCAAACTGCTTACCTTCTATTTTCACGGCTGTTACTGAAAAGTTTTATCATATCAGATAAAAATAAACGACGAACTTCCATCAGCTCTGCACTTGGTGTAGAGTTTTTTAACAAAGTTGCCACCACTTTAAGAATCACTGTAAACAAAGAAAAAAAACTTGTAGATTTGTAACCATATCCTATGTTCAACTCAAAAAGTATTACCAACTTTCAAATAAATACTTAACACTATAAAAGGTGAGTTAAAACTGTCATGAACTAGGTAAACACCATAATGATTTAAGGGGTTAGGAAAAGTTTTGATTTAGTCTCATATGTTGCCATGCGCCTACCACAATACAGTAAAGAACTGCCATTTGCTCACTTGGATTCTGAATTTTCACTGTAGAATCTGGCTCTGGATGTGGTTTGTGTACGACCTGAGTACATACTTGTTCTGTCAAGATCTGAAAAATGAAGAATTTGAACTTCATTTAGAAAACAATTTAAATAATAATTGCAAAATATAGATATACAATGAACCTGCAAAAGAAATGTCAATGCAGTCCAAACCAAAAGAAACATCTCTTCTAAAGGGACTTTTTTCTTTCTTTCTTTCAAGACGGAGTTTCACTCTTGTTGCCCAGGTTGGAGTGCAATGGTGCAATCTTGGCTTCAACCTCCACCTCATGGGTTCAAGTGACTCTCTTCCCTCAGTCTCCCAAATAGCTGGGATTACAGGCATGTGCCACCACGCCTGGCTAATTTTTTGTATTTTTAGTAGAGACAGGGTTTCACCATATTGATCAGGCTGGTCTCGAACTCCTGACCTCAGATGATCCACCCGCCTCAGCCTCCCAAAGTGCTGGGGTTACAGGTGTGAGCCACCATGCCCAGCCCTAAAGAGACTTTTTAATGAATTCCACATACTTCTAAACTCTTTAACTCTGTATTCACCAAATTTTATTTATTATTTATACATACAAAACCAGAACCAGTATCTATAGAAGGAAAGATTAGGAAATTAATGAATTTATTGTTTGAAATGCCTTTTCAGTGTTCCTAAAATTATTTATGAACTACTTTTTTTTTTTTTTTTTTTTTTTTTAGAGACAGAATCTCACTATGGTACCCCCAGGCTGGACTGCAGCGGCACAATCATGGCTCATTGCAGCCTCCAACTCCTGGACTCAAGTGATCCTCCTGCCTAAGTCTCCCAAGTAGCTGGGGCTACAGGTTCATGCCAACACACACAGCTAATTATTTTTCTCATTTTTTGGTAAAGATGGGGTCCACTTTATCGCCCAGGCTCATCTTGAACTCCTGGGCTCCTGAGATCCTCCTGCTTCAGCTTCTCAAAGTGCTGGGATTAAATGCATGAGCCACCACATCTGGCCCCTACTTCAGTAAGTGTGACAAGGGAAAGTTCTTCCTAACAATGTGGCTCATTGTCATTTACTAATGAGTTTTTTAAATTATTCCTTTCAAATACAAAAAAACAGTTGACCAAATAAAGGAAAGAGAAAATTCTAAAACATTTACTAACTTTCCCACTAAAATGTGGGAGCAGGATTTTGAACATCATCTTCACTGTTATATTCCTAGTAATCAGCACTAATGCCTGACACACAACAGCATTCAGTAAATATTTGTTAAATTAAAGAATAATTAACCTAATTATATATCAATAATGTATGTACAACTGCTCACTGTATTTTAGGCTTGAGTTTGTGTTTATCTCTTACATAAACCCTATGAGGTTATATTTAATACAGACATCATTTTATATCTGTGATTTAATTTCCTGTTTAGCTTTAACATGGCAAATTCTGAATAAACAGTTAAACCTAAGTCAAGTACAAAAACTGCTGCAAAACCACCAACGTTAGTTGAAAGGACAATTGAACATAGCTATATTGTAGAAGCTGAAGATGGAAAAAGCAAATTGAGAGAGAGGGATGGTCTCTTCTGATTAGAAAAGGACCACGACATCCAGAAGTTTCATTTTCCTTCCCCTTCTGCTCAGACTAAGACAGGACATTTACATAAGTATATTAGGAATGTTCATAAAAAAGATATTGACCTGAAATAAAAACTGACCTACTTTATTAAAGAATATAGCATTTAATTACCCCCGTTCCCCTCATTCTCATACCTCTGATGAAACTAAACACTTACTTGTTAAAACTAAACAGCATTTCACAACTTTCTAAACAAAGGACCCCAAACATGCACTCCTAATCAAACGGAGTTGACACGAGATAAAATTTATTTGAAAACCATATACTAAAGAACAATCACTTATTGCTTGGTATATACGTATAAGTAGTTTTCACAACAACTTGCCCCGAAGACCCTGGTGTGTACCTATAGCCCAGTGGATGAGATCCAAGAAAATTGTGGTTATAAATAAAGGATTCAAAATAACTTCAGACGAGCTTAAAGGAAATCAGGACCTACTCTCCCGTGATAGTTAAAGTGTTTTCAACCAAAAGAGAAGAAATCACATTGCACAGGAAACAAAAGTGTCACCAGTTTTTATATTGTCTTTTTAAGTCCCTACTTTATCATCTAACAATGAAAAGAATAACTGCCTTGCCTATCTAATAAAACTGCTAGGAAGATTAAATAAAGCTCCATATGTGAAAGTGCTTTGAAAACTATAACATATTCAAATATAAAGGTTTTTAAAATGACAAACATATACTCAGAAACTCAATTCAACATGTATTTATTAATAACCAGTTATGTGCCCTCCCTCTGCTAAATGTTTGCAGACTGAAAATACATTGCTAGGTGCAACTTCATTTCTAGTAGCAATTTATTTAATTATTGTTCTGGAGGCAGGCATAAATGCATGCCCCAATAAAGTAACAAAACATGATAGACTATCATTAAGAACCTATGTGGCCAGGCATGGTGGCTCACACCTGTAATCCCAGCACTTTGGGAGGCCGAGGTGGGTGGATCACAAGGTCAGGAGATCGAGACCATCCTGGCTAACACGGTGAAACCCTGTCTCTACTAAAAAATACAAAAAATTACCCGGGTGTGGTGGCAGGCACCTGTAGTCCCAGCTACTCAGGAGGCTGAGGCAGGAGAATGGCGTGAACTTGGGAGGTGGAGCTTGCAGTGAGCCGAGATCACGCCACTGCAGCCTGGGCGACAGAGTGAGACTCTGTCTCAAAAAAAAAAAAAAAAAAAGAACCTATGTAAGTTTAAAAAGGGAGAAAGGGAATAATGAAATATAAATAAAAAGAGATGAATGTAGACCCAAACATTCTAATGAAAGAGCAGGACTCAAGATGGGCCCCAAAGGTTTGACTGGATTGGTAAGAGATATGCATAGTAACCCCAAACCCCCACTAAAACAAAATTGTACAGAGGTTCAGAGCTGGATATGGACATGAAAACCAATGTGTATTTAACACTTAGAGCACATCTCAATTCATACCAGCCACATTTTAAGTGTTCAACAGCCACATGTCCCCAGTGGCTATAATACAGGTAATCGACAGGGAGGGAAACAACAATGAATCATAAGCATGGAGGTAACTTTACATGCTATTTACAGAGATACACCTGAGCCCAGCATTACACATTGAAATTTCATTTTATAAATGGAATTATTTTGCAATTCATGTGTTACAGAACTTTAGGCTGAAGCAGGGGCTACTGAAGCTATCTTTCTGATGCACCTGCTCCCCAGCTTCATCATGCATAAATTTTGTAGTATTAGTAGGCTCAACTTTTTGAGATGGGGTGGTTAAAAAAAAGGCAAACTATTAACCCTGCTGTTGCATCTAACTGCCACTGTATTTGGGTCAGAGAATCTTTACAGGTTTGGACAAGCTACCTAACTTTGTGACTTTCTTTTTCTGTGAATAGAAAGTTTGAATAAGATGGTATCTAACATACTGTCCACCTCTGAAATTCTATAATTTTGAGAAAAACTTTGATTATTAAGTGCTTAAAGTTGACTAACTCGTAAAATGATTGCACTCATAAATTGTTATATCCTTATAGAAACAGTTAATTTAAAAAATATATGTTTTCCTTTAAATTGGTTAGTTATTACTATAAGGAACAAAGCTCTCATTTAGGTTATAAGATCTTACATTTGGCTCCTTGTGTCACCACTACATGTTTAACTAAATTAAGGGAAGAGTATGCAAAGAGAACCCATAAAGCAAAAATAATATCACAATGAAGTAATGAAACAGATATTATTGCTGAGATTTACAAGTGTATTAAACATAAAAATCTACTTGTTTTGCCTGCAGAAAACATATTCTACAATCAAACAATTCTTAAGTGTATTAGAGAGTACTACAAATCATTAACAAAAGGAAAACATAATTACTCATAATTTAGAGATGGAGTAACAAAGCAAAACTAAAGATACAAATAGAATTTAAAAGATAAGTTTCATAAATATTACAATTCCTAAATAATATGTATATAAAATAGTTTTGAGTAATTTCAAAAAGAGGTCCATTAAAGTTAACTCACTTCTTAGTATATATCCTACAGAATAAATTCACCTCAGAAAACTATAGACATAAATAATTTATTAATTTTTTTTGGTTTTCAAAATAATCAAGATAGATTTTTACATCTTCACAACTTATACAATGTTGTCTGACATGTCCTGCTAAAAATCTGATTTTGTGCCTTAATTTTTTTTTTTTTTTTTTGAGACAGAGTTTTGCTCTTCTTGCTCAGGCTGGAGTGCAATGGCATAATCTCGGCTCACCGCAACCTCCACCTCCCGGGTTCAAGCGATTCTCCTGCCTCTGCCTCCTGAGTAGCTGTAATTACAGGCATGCGCCACCACGCCTGGCTAATTTTGTATATTTAGTAGTGATGGGGTTTCTCCATGTTGGTCAGGCTGGTCTCGAACTCCCAACCTCAGTTGATCCACCCACCTCGGCCTCCCAAAGTGCTGGGATTATAGGCGTGAGCCACCGAGCCCGGCCTGTGACTTCAAATTTATTGTTTATTATATTACAAGCATCTTATCAAACTTAAAAGTTTCAAAGGTCACTATAACATAGTCTTTATCCTAATAAGACTTCAAAAAAATTATTAAAATAACAAATTTCTTTTCTTTTTTTTTTTTTTTTAGAGCCAGTGTCTTGTTTGTCGACCAGGCTGGAGTGCAGTAGAACAATCTCAGTTCGCTGCAACCTCTGCCTCCCAGGTTCAAGCTATTCTACTTCAGCTTCCCGAGTAACTGGAATTACAGGTGCACAGCACCACACTTGGCTAAATCTTTTGTATTTTTAGTAGAGACTGGGTTTCACCATGTTGGATAGGCTGGTCTTAAACTCCTGATCTCAAGTGATCCACCCACCTCAGCCTTCCAAAGTGCTGGGATTACATGCATGAGTCACTGTGCCTGGCCTCCTACTCTACTCTACTCTACTCTACTCTACTCTACTCTAAAATATCATTATCAACACCATAAGTTGGTTCTTTATTATTTCTGCACTTAATCTTACACATTCGTAGAGTTGTAGTAATATTTATTCTGATGCATTGCTGAGATTAAGGTGATTTCCCCAAACAGAAAAAAGAAAATGAAGATTAAAAAAACATTTCAAACTCTGGATTATCAAACAACTAATTCTTGCTAAGAGTACACAACCTGGTTGATGCTAACAAGATGAATTAAACCTAAGCAGAGAGTCTGGAAGCGATTTCCTTTTTCAGTTAAATTTCCTTTACTATGTTAACAAAAATTAAATTGATACCCATCACACAAGTTAATCTTTTTGCAACTAGATGCGACACAGCAAAAGATGTGATGTTTAAACTCTGGTGATCCAGAAACAGTAATCCACTGCCCTGTCATTCTGATAATAAAATTTGGTTTGGCCATAGTATTAAAGCTTATGTTGAAGACTCTTTCTGCTATTTTGTAGGATTAACAATGATAACCAATCATTTATCATCTCTCTCTTTTGGCATTTTGTACACTTACATTAACTTTTCTTTTTAGAATATGCATTCATTATAAACTCAAAGTCCTTGAAAAAATTATTTAAAGTAACCATAAACATTATTCTATTTTAAAAACAAGTATTATTACTAAAATTGGTCAGAGGTCTGTAAGTTGGTTCCTTCATCATTTCAGGAGCTCTGCCTCATCCCACATCCAGTATCAGAGAATTCAAACTTATCTTGAGTTTTCCTCATCTAAGACACAGGACCAGCAATTAGTTGGCTTTGTTTTGTGTAGAATATCACCAGAGACCAAAATCTGGATACTAGGTATACACAGGAGTATAGGTGGTGGGTAAAAACGCTGCTGTACTTGTGTTGAGTCACTTTTCAGGAAGACTAATAGAAATACATATATGTGTGTATACATGTATATGAAATTTTCTTATTTAAAGGTTAGTACTACACAATGGTTTTTCAAATTCAACATATTATGTTATTATGCTACACTCAATATAAAGTTGCACTGACTACTCAGACTCTCTATTATGGATAAGAGGTCAAAATAAGCAGATGCTCAAAAATTCACATAGGTAAAACAATGATTAAAAACTTACATAGGCATCATTGACCAAACCAGTTAGTAGGTCCAAAAAATCAAAACATAAACACGTGTTCATGAATATTAGGCACTAGCCTTCAGAAGCCTAATCTGATATTGTAGCAGGTTTTGATTCAGAGGAGGATTTTAATGCTGTCAACTGAGGAGAGATTCTGACATTTTTGCATTATGTATATATATCATGGAACCTACCTATTTTATGATTATTTATTAGTGGCATGACATACAGCAAATTATTTAACCTGTGAGTCTTAGTTTGTCTGTTTTCACAAGCAAAAAAAATACCATTATCATAGGGTAGTTATAAGATCTGAAACAATGTACATAAAGAATTTACCATGTTTGTCATAAGAAGTGCCCAATAAAAAACAGTTACTATGATGAGGGAAATACAATATCAGAATAAAGAAAGAAAATGACCTCATTATACTCTGCATAGGGAAAAGCCATTGTGTTAGTACTTATTCAGTTCTGCATGCCAAATATTGAAACAATATTAAAACACTACTATAATTCAAAAAGGCATTGTTCAGAAAGGCATAGTCTACTAATCTTGTGATTTGTGGAATGATTGACACAAAGTCGGAATATTAAGCTCAGAAACAAACAAACAAACAATTCAGAGCAGTCAGTAGATTTCCTCACTAATCTAAAGAGCAGCCACTCTTAAATTTACTGATAAAATAGAGAAAAAATTAAGTAGTTAAAAGTAATATTATAGAGCAGGGGTCAGAAAACTATGGCCTGTGGGCTAAATCTAGCCTGCCACCTGTTTCTGTAATACAGTTTTACTGGTACACAGCCTGTCTGGTTCATACTGTCTATGGCTGCTTCTGAGCTACAACAGATTTGAGTAGTTGTGACAGATACTGTATAGCCCACAAAGCCTGAAATATTACTATCTGTCCCTTTACCAGAAAAGTTTGCCTTCCCAGCTATAGATAAATATTTTGTGATAAATATATTTGTAATTATAAGTGCAAAAAGCTGGACAAGAAAACTATATTTAGGATAACATTTTATAAAAGTTCTGTGTGCATATGTGTATGAGTTGAGAAATATATATATATATTCTTAAGTATTAATCAGTATTTGCTAAATTTTATTTTGGTGCTTTTCTACATTTTCCAAGTTTTTGCAATGATGAATATTAATTCTGACAGAAGACTATAATACAGCTTGTAATAAAAAGAACAACAGAGGGGAGTTAAATTTCTCTGTGCTGCTGTAGAGCAGTGGTCAACAAACTTTTTATAGATAAGATCAGATAGTATTTTAAGATTTGTGGATCATATAATCTCCATTACAACTACTCAACTCTGTAGTGTCAAGTGACCAATGGACTTTACTTAATGAGTTATGTTCTATAAAACTTTATTTGTGCATAAAGGAAGCAGCCTTAAACCCCCTTGCATGCAACTCTTTCTCTTGAGTACACCCACACTCCCCTTTCTTGAGTTTGTACTTTTCTCTTTGCAAGAAATCTCCATGCTATCACTATTTTGTGACTCATCCTTGAACTCCTATTATCAAGAGCCCGAACACCAGCTGGGGTCAAGGTCCCACCAGTGTTTGGAAACCTCGCCCAGCCCACCAGTATTATCTTTATGATGAGCCAGCCTGGAGCATCATCAGCCTCATTTTAGAATCACTGGCAGTTGGTTGTCCCAAGAACAAGTCAAAGCCAAGGGTAACTCTCTTTCAGAAAATGGGGTGCAACAGCCAAAGAACAGGACCCTAAATTTTAATACCATCTTGTAATTAGATCGTTTTTTGTGAACATCAGAAGAAATGGACTCAAATATTGTATGTACAGGCCTTCATAGCTCTTTATCAAAACCCTGAGCTTTGTAGGAATTCCTGCCTCTGTTATACTCACACCCTTTCCTTTAAGGGAACCAAATGGGGAACCAGATATCCTAAATGATCCCCTTTTGGAAAATATCAAACAACTAATTAGTTGGAATTAGGAAATATCAAATAACTAATCCAGAGCCTTCCCTCACCTCCTGACCCAGACACAGTCTGGCACCCACAGCTTCTCCCTCTTACCCAGCTCCACCTTTAAGTCCTCAGTCTTCTCCTAGTTCCACTGTCTCCAGCACCCAGACTCCTACTAGTCCGCCTCCTTAACATCCTATATAACCTTCCCTACCAAGGGAACTGAGCCCTGCTGGGGTCACCTGCAGTGGTGTTTCCTACCCTCCTAAGGGACCATTCTAAGTTATGTCCACTTAGGGAGGTAGCCAATGGGGATGCTGGGATCATTCATCAGGTGCATGTACCTTTGATTTTCAACTAAATTCATGAAGGAATTCTGGGCTTTCTCACTCTCATTTGAGTTAACTTGGGGAGATATTCATAACATCTTGTCCATGTGTTGCACCCCTGAAGAAAAGCAGCATATTTGGGCAGAGGCCCAGGCTTATGCTAACAATCTGTCATCTGGGGACTCTGAAGAATATGGTATGAGGGCCACATCTGTGCCTAACAATGACCCTAACTGGAACTATCAACAGGGCCAAGTTGATCTAAGAAAAAGAAATCATATGGTGACTTGTTTAGTGAAGGGAATGAAAAAATGTAACACCAAGCCTGTGGACTATGATAAAATAAGGGAAATAAAGAAAGGATGAAAACCCAGCTTTGTTCCAGAGATGCCTTGTGGAGGCCCTAAGAAAATATACTAACATTGACCCCCATACTGATGCTTGCCAAACTTTACTCGGGACACACTTTATCAGCCAGTCAGCACCTGACATCAGAAGAAAACCACAGAAATTGGCTTTGGGATCCCAAATGCCTATTAATCAAATGCTTGATGTGGCTTTTGTGGTATTCAATAATAGAGATAGGGCTGAATATGCTGAAAGGACCTAGCATGGCAAACAATGAGACAGCAGCAGGCCCAAATGATAGCAGTCACTATAAGCAGCATCCTGCAACCTCAGAGTCACCCAGAGGGATGCTTCACCCATGGACCAAGCAGACCTACCAGAAAACTTAAAGGTAATGGTTGCTGCTTCAAGTGTGGGGAGCTGTGACACAGGCGCAATACCTGTCCCAGCCAAGGGAGCCCAACCAGACCCTGTCCTCACTACAAGCAGGAGGGCCACTGGAAAAGGGAATGCCCTCAGCTCCAAAGGGAGAGAAGGAAACTTGAGGCCATAATGGTTATAACTGAGGACTGAAGGGACCCAACGTTCCTGGCGGCTCCCACAAAAGCATGGTCCTCACAACTAAGGAGCTTTGGGTAACTCGACATGGCAGGAAATAATATTAATTCCTTAATTGATACAGGGGCAAGTTACTCTGTCCTAAAGGCCACTCTTGGACCTTATCTTCCAATAACTGCATTGTCATGGATGTTGATGACACTCCAAAATCAAAACGCTTTACCTTACCCCTGAGCTGCAGGCTACAAAACTCTATGTCCCATTTCTTTATTGGAATGGGATTTCCTGGCCACAGTTGGAGTCACTTTATGTTTATCAGGCCCTGGGAAACATTTCTTTCAAGTATTGGCAATGCTTGTTTTTTCGATACCAGTATCAGACAAACAGAAGATTCCTTCCAAAGTAAGATCTGGAAATGGAACCACAAGTATGAGACCAAGAAACTCCTGGGAAAGTAATACATGGTCAGCTAGTGATCATCTCTTTAAAAGACAAAAATAATTTCCCACATAAGCATCAATATCTCCTCAAACAAGAAGCCAGGTGAGGACTCTAACCTGTAATTAAGAAGTTTTTAAAACATGGCCTCCCAGTTCCATGTCAGTCTCTTTGTAATAGTCCTGTCCTCCCTGTCCAAAAACAAAATGAAGAATATTGTCTAGTTCAAGGCTTATGAACCATTAATGAGGCTGTAATTCCCTTACATCCTAAAGTGCCAAATCCTTCTACCACATTTACCCAAATATCAGAAGACACCAATTGGTTAATGATATTAGATCTTAAAGATGCTTTCTTTTGTATCCCTTTATGCCTTGACTGTCACTATTTGTTTGCTTTTGAGCGAACTAATCCTGAAAATAGTATTTCCTGGCAGTATACCTGGGCTGTACTGCCTCCGGGCTTTAGGGATAGCCATCACTTGTTCAGAAATGCCTTGGCAAGAGAATTAAGGGAACTAGAGCCAGAAAGGGAAGCCACACGCCAATATGTGGATGACATCCTTGTATGCAGACCCACTAAAGAGGCCTCAGATAAGAATGTTATTCAAGTTCTAAACTTCCTGGGAGAAAGGGTATCCAGTCTCTCCACCCAGGGCCCAGACTTCTAAACTGGAAGTAAAATATCTGGGGTACATCCTAAGCCCAAGAAACTACACCATGTCCATCGAACAAAAGGAAGCTATCTTAAAGGTCAGGCCTCTACAACCGAAGAAGCAACTCAAAACTTTCCTGGGTATGACAGGAATTTGCAAGATTTTGATCCCATGATTTAGGCTCATTGCTAAGCTACTGTATGAAGCTCTAACCGTGCCAAAGCATGAACTACTTGAATGGTCAAGGAAACAACAAGAGGCTTTATGTTCTGGCTGAACAAAGAGGGGTTTGCACAGTAATAAACCACACCTGTTGTTCTTATATTAACAATTCAGGATTAGTTGAACTGAAAGTTCAAAAGATTTACTAACAGGCTACCTGGCTACATAATTTCAATATAATCCCACTGCTCAAACCATCTGGGACTCCATCAAAGGATACCTACCAACTGTGACATGGTTCCTCCTTCCTTCGACCTTTAATAGCTCTCTTATTACTATGAATCTTTGTCCTTACTTGTTTAACCTCCTTGTAAATTTTGTGTCTTTTACATTACAACAGTTCCATGTCAAAATGATGGTCATGCAATGATTCCAATCCCTGCTTTGGATTCAGAGTCTCCTGATGACTCACCCTTAGAACCCTCAGGCCAGGCAGCCAAAGATTTCCATACCCTTGCCAGGCAGGGCCAACATCTCTAATCAGCAGGAAGTAGATAAAGAAGACCGACCTTCTCCCTCATCAGCCCATAAGAATAAGAGATGGACATCTCTGAAGGGGAAGGGGAAATGAAACAGGAATAATAAGGGTGGTTGCAGGAGAACAAAAAACTCCAGGCAGCAGTTTCGCATGACTAGCAAAAGGAAACTGTTGAAATAGCTTCAGAAACTAGGGGTTGACAAGACCCTGAAAAGCCAGGATGAGAGCCAAGATAGCTAAGGCTAACTGCACCCAGTATGGCACTGGATTTGATGGAGGTTCACCTAGGACCTCATTATACACTCACTGACATACTAAATCACACACTCACCAGCACCATAATGGTTCCAGGAACACCCATATTTGGAGTAAAACTAGATAGCATCACAGTTCTGGGAAATATCTACCCTTTTACTGTAATCTTTATGAATATTCCATCCATCCCTTGGTTAGAAGAAATTCATAAAGGTAGCAGCCCCAAAAACCCTTGCATGCAACTCTCTCTTAAGTATACCCACACTCCCCTTTCCTGAGTGTGTACTTTTCTCTTTGCAATAACTCTCTGTACTTTTCCTTAAAAGAACCCAAAGAAACAAAAACTTTTATTTGCAGAGACCGAAATTTGAATTTCATATAATTGAACACATCCCAAAATACACTTTTTCCCCCATCATTTAAAAATGTAAAACCTATCCTGTTTGAGGACTGTGCAAAATCTGCAATTGACTTGATCTGTTCCATGGCTTACATGAAAAGAAACAGTATTAGAGAAGTGTAAATTTGTTTTTGTTTTTTTTTTTGTTTTTTTTTTTGAAGGGGACAGGGTCTCACTTTGTCACTCAGGCTGGAGTGCAGTGGCGCGATCTCAGCTCAGTGCAGCCTTGACCTCCTGGGATCTAGCAGACCTCCTGGGATCAAGCAGTCCTCCTGCCTCAGCCCCGCAAGTAGCTGAGATTACAGGTTAATTCAAAATTATAGTACAATTCCATTCAGAAGCTTAGCATCTCCCTTTCTCAATGTCTCTCATTTTTATTTTTAAAACATTTTTATAAAGAAATCTACAATGATGAGATATTCTGTTTAATGTTTTCTGACCACTGCTCTTCTGAGTTAGGAATAATATTATGGATATTTAGTAGTACCTGTAAGTCTTCTCTTAGCATGACTATAATGCCCTTGTATAACAGACGCAAGGCCTTGCCATCTAAATCTATAACAAAATAATCTACACTCTGCTGTATTTCAAAGTGTGAGATTAAAAATCCACTTTTCTTTTCTTGTTTTGACATGATGGGTATGCACTGGTATTTAAAAGCAGAAAACTTAGGTTTGGCAATACAAGTGGTACATGAAACACTGTTGAGGTATTACATCACCGTAATTTCTAGTTTGCCAAGCAACAGTGCAAGGTGAGGAGAGCATAACAAATATTCTTGTTACAACTCTTTAACTCTGCGGTCGTGGCACAAAAGCAGCTACACGCAACAGCTAAACAAATGAGTGTGACTGTGTTCGCTGAAATTTGAAAATCCTATACATTTTACAACTCATATATTATTCTTTTTTTGATTATTTTCAACCATTTAGAAATATAAAAAGCTTCCTTAACTTAGAGCCATACAAAAATGGATGCTGGCAGTTAGCTCTTGTGCTAGAGAAAAAGAACTGGGACCACTGAAGATCAGTTATAGGAAAGCAGAGTTAAGGTTAATGTAAGGGGACATTACTAACATTTTACTAGCATTTAAAAATGAAAGTAGCCACCCTGTGAGGTAGTATACCTATTTCCTAGAAAATACTGAACCCAAAACTGTCCCATTTGTTGGAAGTGATAAAAAAGGAACCTCTAAATTGAAATGATGAGATCCAAAGATGCTTCCAGATATCATTTTTACAAATAATTCTTACCGAAATTTATCCCAGTAGCAACTCCAGCTTAATACTGGCAGTGGATAGCTAATAGAAGCAGAAAGAGAGAGAGTAGGAACGAGAGGATAAAAACAGAGGGGTGGGGATGGGGAAGCAGAACTAATACTACATAACGGATGTAGTTTATGTGAGAAAGACTTTGTGTGAAGCCAGTCAGCCAACCCATACAAGAAGAAAAGCTCTTGGATCGACATAAAGAAATTGGCAAAAATTGTACATGGATATGTTTTAAAATAAAATAAAAATATAAGGTATATATTCATTTTTTACCATTAAACCATTTTCTGGTTTAATTAGCTTTTAGATTAACAGACCAACTACTCATCTCAATTGCATAGATTAAGAGGGTTTCCACTGTATACACTTAAAACTTTCATCACACATTTTTTATTTTTACCTCATAAAGTGTGTTGTATGTGGTGACAGTCACAGTGTTTGTATGCAACATCAGCCTTTCTCCAAGAAGAGTGAAAAGACTATGGGTGTGCATAATTTCAACTTTTCTCCTGGAGAGAAGGAGGAAAAATAAAACACCATGAAACACATTGGATTCTCCGATCACATGACTTTTAGATAAGAGAGAACAATTTATAAGCAGATACAGAATAATACAAGTAATTATTTTCATGAACTTCCATCTATAGAAACAACAGTTTGTAACACAACTGTATCCTAAAGTTCCAAGACTATTAGTTAAAAACTTTTCAAATAAAATATCTGTGTGAACTAAAATGTGAAATGTACAAATTATGGAATATTACATACATGTCATTGTTATTATTTTCAAATTTCAAATAACTATTTTGAAGTTATTTTATTGGGTTAAAATTATTGGTATCCCCTAACATACAGACCACATAATTTTTAAATCATGCCTGTACAAATTCAAAGTTTATAACATAGGCTGTAACAAACCTTAATATCAAGAACTAAAACTATGGTTAAAAATAAATACTCTAGCTTAATTTTGGTGTCATAAAACAAAATAATTCTGCATAATTAAAGAGAGTTCATCATTGCTTGTATTTGTGGTCTACCAATGGATTTAAAAAATATCTTTCTACTTAATGTTGCCTGATTTAATTGTGTCCCTCCCACACCCATACTCAGGATAGAAGGTTCCATTAAAGGCCTCCTGGAACTCTTAGCTCTAGCTCAAGAATTACTACAGGCCTCTCATTTGTGTCACTTCCTTAGAATTCAAGATCTGGGCCGGGAACAGTGGTTCACGCCTGTAATCCCAGCACTTTCAGAGGCTGAGGTGGGTGGATCACGAGGTCAGAAGTTCGAGACAAGCCTGGCCAATGTGGTGAAACCCCATCTCTACTAAAAATACAAAAATTAGCTGGGCGTGGTGGCACATGCCTGTAGTCCCAGCTACTCAGGAGGCTGAGGCAGAAGAATCGCTTAAACCTGGGAGGTGGAGGTTGCAGTGAGCCGAGATCGAGCCACTGCACTCCAGCCTGGGCAAGAGTGAGACTCCATCTCAAGAAAAAAACAAAAAAACAAAAAAAGAATTCAAAATCTGGATCATCTTCTCTCCCAATTCTCAGTATTTCATTTCTTCAATTTTCTATTGTTCTCTGGATTGGCAACTGTGACACAGCCTGACAAAGTAATCACTAAACTCTGGTTCCTTTCTTCCTTGGTCCACATCTGTATTACATTTCCAGCCTCTCTTATAGCTAAGTGTGACTATTTAACTGAGTTCTAGCCAATAAAATGTGAAGAGAAAAGTTGTAGATTATTTTTAGTCCTGACCCACAGGAAAAGCACTCATGCACATTTTCCATGCTCTTTCCCCAAGCCAGCAACACAGAATCCACAGAAGGAAGACAATGGAGCTACAAGGTGGGAGAAGCTGCCTGGGTCTCTAAATCACTGTAAGATAATCAACTGCTTGGGAAAACCTATTTGGATTTTAAGTGAACATGAAATAAACTACTAGCCTGGTAAGTGACTAGAATTTCATTATTTATCAGTTATGGCAGCTACTGTTACCATAATTAATACAGAAATCAAATGAACCATTTATGTCCGTACCATTCATCTGCAAAAGGTCTCTTCTAACATTAGCCTCCAAGAGCCACACTCCATAACAAAAGACACAGGATTGTTGATACCCTCACCCTATCTGCCTCAGTCCAGGGAAGGAAAAAGCAAAATGACCTAAACTCAAAAGGAAGCTAGGGCATCTGTTCTGCAGCTGTGTTTGCAAAACACTTAAATATGACTGAAAAAGGTCAAATGGCTATTTAAAAAAAATACAGGGCTAATGAGTATTATGGGACTATGGAAGGGAAGGTTTAAATCTCTTCCAACTCAAGCCTCGCCCAAGAAAAGGAGGCCTTAAGTGTTCCTTTGCTCCCAATCAGGAAAGAACAAATGACAAAGCATTGGCCTTGAAATAGATCTCTGCTACAAGGAGCTGGTAAACATATGTCTAAATTAGTCTATCTAAAGGCCAGCTCAGTGCCTCATGCCTGTAATCCCAGCAGTTTGGGAGGCCAAGGCAGGAGGCTCATTTGAACTCATGAGTTTGAGATAAGCCTGGGCAACACAGCAAGACTTCATCTCTACTTAAAAAAAAAAAAAAATTAGCTGGGCATAGTGGCAGGCTCCTATAGTCCCCAGTTACTCAAGAAGGGGAGAATGACTTGATTCCTGGAGATCAAGGCTGCAGTGAGCTTGTGCCACTGCACTCTAGCCTGAGCAACAGAGTGAGACCTGGTCTCAAAAAAGTGAACTAATTAATTAAGTAGGCTATCTGAAATTTAGAATATTCTCTTAACTGTGCCACTACTACTTCAGCTACCGAAGAAATCCATGCCCTCTTGATTATCTCCTCCAATGCAAACGTTTATACAGATGCTTAATTCTAGGTTCGGGGGAAACTTGAAGATGCTGTGCATACACCACAGTAGAGATGAGTCAACTTCCTCCTGTAGTTTTCTTTAAAACAATACTTACCAGTACATTTTGTTGCACAGCAGTCAAGAGATAAAAAAAAAAAAAAAAAAAAAAAAAAAACGCCATCCATCATCTTAGGCAGGAAATGGTGCACTGGCCCTGTACATCACATGATTTTGTTCCTTATAGGACTTCTAATGAAAGACCTAGCTCTGTGGGTTTAGTTCAGGAAAGGCTTCAGTGGGACATTTACTGGAAAAACTAACATCATAATTACCTTTAAGATCTAGAGACCTCAGTTTTTAGTGCTGATTTGCTTTATATCTTGAGTTTGACAGGATTTCTGCCCACATGGATCGACAGTGTAATCTATTTTTTTTTACAGAATCTTGTAATCATGCACATTATAGATGTATTAGCTTACTATACATTCCACTGAAATGTATTTAAATTTCTTTCTTCACAAAACAATCTTTTTGTGGGATGGCCAAAGATACTTCTTATTGCTGGGTGTGGTGGCTCATGCCTGTAATCCCAACACTTTGGGAGGCCGAGGCAGGCGGATCACTTGAGGTCAGGAGTTCAAGACCAGCATGGCCAACATGGTGAAACCCCATCTACACTAAAAATACAAAAATTAGCTAGGTGTGGTGGCATGCACCTATAGTCCCAGCTACTTGGGAGGCTGAGGTGGGAGAGTCAATTGAGCATGGGAGGCGGAGGTTGCAGTGAGCTGAGATTGCATCACTGCACTCCAGCCTGGGCAACAGAGTTAGGCTCTGTCTCAAAAAAAAAAAAAAAAAAAAAGATATTTCTTGTAACAAATTCAGAGTATATATGAAAACAGTAAAGAAAACAATAAAGAAAGAAAAGAAACCCCATAATTCTTCAACCCAGACATAATCATTATAAATATCATTTTATATACAGATTAATTACTATGCATATAAATCCATATATGACACACAGATATAAATGACAGGATGAGAGGAATACAATGGAAATTGTTCTATATAAGGTAATTTATAGTTTGTTTAAGTCAACAATATATTGTGTATTTTTCAGTGTCATAAAATATAACTGATAAGAAAAATGGAGCATAATTGGCCGAGCGCAGTGGCTCACACCTGTAATTCTAGCACTTTGGGAGGCTGAGGTGGGAGGATCACTTGAGGTCAGGAGTTCAAGACCAGCCTGGCCAACATGGTGAAATCCTGTCTCTACCAGAAACACAAAAATTAGCCGGGCATGGTGACAGGCGCCTGTAATCCCAGCTACTCTGGAGGCCAAGGCAGGAGAATCACTTGAACATGGGAGGTGTAGGTTGCAGTGGGTGGAGATTGCATCATTGCACTCCAAGCTGGGCGACAGAGCAAAACTCCATCTCGAAAAAAAAAAAAAAAAAGTAGCATAATTGTTTTATCCATTAACTAATGTTAGCCATTTATGTAATTTCCAATTTTTTTCTACCATAAATAAACTTTTCCTTTAGACACATTTTTGGGCATAACCATGGTTATTTCCTTAGGATAAAAACTGAAATGATTGGGTTAAAAGCTTTTATATTTTAATTTTTATGAGACTTTGCTGAACTGACCTCCAAAAATATGTACATTTATATTTCTACTATTAAGGTATAAATGCATTTTACCAACCCTATGTATTATAATAATCAGAAAAATAGTCAATTTGGTATGTAAAAAGTAGATCTTATTTTCATTGACAAGAATTGCTGATCAATTGAAACTTTCTAACCATTTATACTACTTCCAAGAACTTCCTGATACTGTCCTGTGACCCATTTTTTCCTTCTGTGTGTTCATCTTTTTTCTACTAATTATGAGATTCCTAATAATATCAGGAAAATTATTCCTTTGTCAACTCATTTACAAATATTTTCCACTTTCTGAATTTCAAGGGATTTTGTGGCATCAAAGGTTTTTTTTAATTTTCTTGAATAAAATCTATCAAGTTTTCATCCTGTCATTTCTTCATTTATACTTAATACTCATTCTTTCTACTATAGCATTTTAAAATGATTTTTATTTTAACTCATTTTTCATAATTATTTAATTGGTTGTGTTAAATCATATACAACATAGAAATTCATAAACTGTAGGGAAACAGAAAGTACAAGACTTAAAATTCTACTACCCAAAAGTAACACAATAAATAACAATAAACATTAGATATCTTTTTATGGAGAGTAAGAGAAGGTAATAAAGGAGAAGGGAAGAAAGAGGGAATAAAGAAGGATAGAAGAAACTCATACTAAATTTTATTTTAAATAAAAAGCATCAAATGTAATTTTACTCACATTTAACAGAAAATAAAGAAAAGGGCATGAAACAATAAAAAAATTTTTAAAACTTCAGATGACTTTCTTTACCACATGAAGGGCTTTTTTTTTTTTTGGAGACTGTGTGTTGCTCAGTCGCCCAGGCTGGAGTGCAGTGGCGTGATCTTGGCTTACTGCAAGCTCCGCCTCCTGCATTCGGGCCATTCTCCTGCCTCAGTCTCCCCAGTAGCTGGGACTACAGGCACCCGCCACCACACCCAGCTAATTGTTTGTATTTTTAGTAGAGACGGGGTTTCACCGTGTTAGCCAGGATGGTCTCGATCTCCTGACCAAGGGATCCACCCATCTCAGCCTCCCAAAGTGCTGGGATTGCAGGCATGAGCCACCGTGCCCGGCCAAAGGGCTTTTTTCTAATTAAAAATCTCTATGAGGCTTAAAAAATAATTATGAATAAAACAACAAAGTGTTACATAATTAACTAAACATTTCAATTTTAGAAAGTATCAATTTACTCTTTTATATTAAAGACAGATAATTACCATCCTCACACTTTATGTCATCTAGTTTTTGTGAGCTATATTGCTATTTGAACATCAAGGTTTAAAACACTTAAATTATTTTCATTGTAACACTGCTGTTATGTATGAATTGTTGGGTCTTCGTCTACTTCAAATGAATTCACTTCCTTGACCTTGTCTTTACCATTTGTGGTTTTTCTTTTGACTCAGCTCTCAATTGACTGGGGATGCCATTCAAGAGGAGATGAAGAAGTCTGTCTTCTGAATTCTGACCTGATGTCTACATACTTAACAATCTGGCAGGATATAATATTCTCGGGTCACACCTTCTTTCAGAACTTGCAGACACTGCATTATTTCTTTTGGCACTGAATTCAACTGGGAGAAGTCTGAGGCCAGCCAAATGTTTAACCATTTGAAAGTACTTCTTTTTTGCCTAGGTTTTCCATTTTCTTTTTAGGAACTCTCTTTTTTAATCACTAAACTTTTATTTAAATACTATATATCTTAGTGTTATCATTCTCTGTCAAATTTTCCTAGAAGATGGTGTGCTTTTTCCATACATTACTTAAGGGACTATATCTCATTTCCAAAAGGAAATTGTTTCAGGCCTTGACTTGATCCCTCAGTGTGATAAGTTAATACAAAAACTTGGAATCCCATTTTCATCACAGAACATCAATCTCAGTTCATTCTCCTTGTTTCAAAAAAGAACTATTTTCACTCACCAAAAGTCCTAAAGAAGAAAAACCAGGTATATCTAATCAATTCCTATCACTCTAATGTGGGGATTATTAAGGGAGAAATCTAGGAATTCCGTTGGCTTTGTAGGGATAGAAATGAGGGAAGGATACTTACGAAGTCACTCCAGAATCTCTGGGTTCTTTTTTTTCGCTGTCAATATTTTGCATGCATTGCTTTATGTGATGCTGCTTTCCTTGTCTGGTTACATTTGAATTTGTTGTTTTGGAGGGGGAGAGTCTCTACTTTACTATATAATGTTTATTTCATTAGGTTGGGACAAGGGATATTCTTTCATCTCTCTTTATCAACTTGATCTGGAAGTCCACAATTCCAAATGTTTATTCTTTGTAAAATGTTTGTGGTTTTGGTTTTCTTTTTTTTGAGGGGGGAGGGGGCTGGGTGTGGTGATATGGTTTGAAGGCTTCTTCTCCACCTTCAATCCAGAAGTTAAATAATTTCCCACTGCCAATTATTGAATAATTCATATTTTAATTATGTTTCTAGTATCTAAGCATACATATATATATATAGATATACACGTATATCAGGATGTGTTTCTGTGCTTTCTATTCTACACCCCTTCTTTAAGTTTATTCCTTGATATAAAGTCCACTAGACTTATTACAATAAATACTCATTATTCTTATTCTTCAAACTTCTATTGACATTTTTACTTATTTGTTCATCTGAGTTAGCTTTTGAAGAGTTTTTTTAACCTTTAAATAAAAATTATATTTTTTACCAGAATGACATGTTTACAAATTGATTTATTACAATTTTATCTTTATATAATTGAGTCTTCCCATTAATGTACACAGCATAGCTCTCCATTTACTGTATTTTTAATTTTTAATGGTTTTCAGGAAGCAATTTATAATTGTATTTACATTTCCAATTTCCTTTGGCTATCATTGTATATATTATTCTGTAGTAAGAAGCAGTAGTTACTCAACTAGTAGATATTATTATACTTTCTGATCTTCTTCAATCTATCAGGACAGTTGTAATATTATTTCAGATTTTAACCTACATCTCCCCAGCATTTTATTTTGAGGCTAGAATGGAGGATAAGGTATAGGAACTCAATGCTATATGCACCAATGTTTACACGGAAACTATATCAAAACACAGTTCTGCATTAAGGGAGCATACGATAGGTTTGTTGGTGATTACTAGTGAAGCAAAACAGGGCATGTTTTGTGCTCCTGTAGTTTTATTTTATTTATTAATGACTGGATATTACCCTTCCCATTTTTTAATTGATGGAAAAGTACTATGTATATGTGGGAAAAACCGAATGAATGAACACATAAAATATATAGAAAATGATATTACCAAGAATTAGAAGTGGACCTCTTATATGTCATTATAATGTACTATATTTTTCTTATAATTATTATAATCTGTCCTATAATTTGAAAAGGCTTTCCTTATTCAAAAGCTTCTATTTTATCTCAATGAGGTATGGGAAAGTTTGATTCATTTTGTTGGTTCCTTAAAAACATCAGCTTTGTAGTTAGTGATCCTTTCAACAGTTCGTTTTTATTTTTCTCGTTTCTTCATGTTAGCCTCCACCCTTACTAATTTGTACTTCCTACTTTACTTTATTGTACTTTAATTAATGTTGTAATATAAGTACAAAGTTCTTCTAACTTTAATCTTTATTTTTCAGTAATGGAGGTATTTATTTCTGATAAGAGTTTTTGCTATGAAGTACAGAAAATTTTAGATAATTTCTAATTTTTCTTTTATTTTCTTCTATTCTCTAAAGGATATCTTCACACTGCTTCTTAATTTCTAAGTAGGTAAGATATTTTTGCATAATTTCTTTTTTTATTTCCAATTTTATCACATTATGGTCAGGAGGCAGTGTCCAATAAAATGTCTACTCTGTCTGCTTTGTTCATTTGATGGCCCAGGACATGACCCGCCTTTTTTTTTTGTATATCTTCTTTAGCCATGAAGTATATCCTCAAAATATGTAAGATTGAACATATATCTGTTGAGCCAAGTTTTATGAATCTATTACTCAATTTCTCTATATCTGTATGTATTATCAATTGGTCCCATTCTGAGAGAGATATGTCATCTCTACCATTATTCTATTTTATCAAGTTCTTTTGCATCTCAAATGAATTTTGCTTTATATTTTTGACATCGCTATTTGATGTTTTCAGGTTTATGAACTTAACACCATCTACTTAAATTATTCCTTTCAAAATACAGAATGTCCTTCCACATTCTCTTTTGAACTTTTAACCTCAGGTTCAACTCATTGTGTTTTGGGCTTTCAAATCCCATCTGATTTTTACAGTGATAATAAATTTCTGCTTTACTTTTGTTTGCTATACGTTTCTTTACTCAGTTTTTTTTTTAAACATAATAAATATTCATGTAACCACCAACCAACTTAGTAAGTATTTCTGGATACCTGTCCATCATCCCATTCTTCACACTCTACTTCGGGATAACCAATAATCATAAATTTTGTTTTTTATTCCCATGTACGTCTTTATACTTTTAATTAGATGAATATCTATTCATACGCAATTTACAATTTTGTCTTCACGTATTTTTGAAATTGAAATAAATTGCATCATTATTATGTATCCTTCTGCAACTTGCTTTACTGCTTTATATTTGATTTGTGCAAGGTAACTTTACTTCATTCATTTTCAGTTCTGAATATATCCAACTGTATGAATATACCTTAGTTTATTTATCTGTTCTCCTATTCTATGTTGTTTCCAACTTTTAATATTAGCAATGTTATATTGAACACTGTTCACACACATGAGACTTTCTCTATGTCAAGGAGAGAGTTCCTTAGTCATAGAGTATAAGTATATTTATCTTTTTCAAAAATTGTAAATTGTTCTTCAATGTGATTGTACCAGTATATAATTCCACCAGTGACTGGAGAGTTACCACTGATGTACATCCTTTGTCAACACTTGATACTGTCAACAGTTTTAAAATTTACCATCCTGATAAGCATTAAATGCATGTTTTATTTGCATTTTCTTGATTACTACTGAAGTTGAGTATATCACCCATATGTTTACTGCTAACTCAAGTTTCCTCTTCAGTGAATTGTCTGTTTATATTCTTCATGATCCTAACAGATTTTCTTTTTCTAATTTATTTGCACAATTTTTTTCGTATGTTTAGGATACAAATCCACTGTATCCTAGATAAACTGCAAATATCTTCTTTCACTTTGTGCCTTGTCTTTTCACTTTTTATGGTATCTTTTAAAGTACTTTTTATTCTAATGGTCAAATTTATCTTTTTGCTGTATGATTTATGTGTATTTATTGTTTTAGAAATCCTTCCTTAATCCAAGGTGATAATACTATTATCCTGCACTTCCAAAGAGTTTTAAATTTTGTTTTTCACATTTTTACTAGCTTTACTGAACTATAATACACATACCACAAAATTCACACATTTTGCAAATGAACAATTCATTTAAAAATTATATAGAGTCATGCCACTATCATTACAATATAGTTATAGGTCATTTTTATCATCCTCAACAGTTCCCTGTGCCCACTGGCAGTTAATTCCCACTCCCATTGCTAGCCCCATTTAACCACTTATTTGCATTCTGGACATTTCATATAAACAGAAGCATATAGTATATAGTTTTTGCATCTGGCTTCTTTCACTTAGCATAATAGTTTTAGGACTCATTATGTCATAGCATGCATCAGTAGTTTGTTCCCTTTTAATTGCACAATAGTATTCCATTGTATAGACATAAAACATTTTGTTTGTCCATTCATCAGCTGATTGACTTTTGGATTGTTTCTAGTTTGGAGCTACTATTAATAATAGTACTGGCTGGGCACAGTGGCTCACGCCTGTAATCCCAGCACTTTGGGAGGCTGGGGTGGGCAGATCATCTGAGGTCAGGAGTTTGAGACCAGCCTGACCAACATAGTGAAACCCCATCTCCACTAAATATACAAAAAAATTAGCTGGGCATGGTGGCACGCACCTGTAGTCCTGGCTACGTGGGAGGCTTAGGCAGAAGAATCGCTTGAACATGGGAAGCAGAGGTTTCAGTGAGCGGAGATCGTGCCACTATACTCCAGCCTGGGTAATAGAGTGAGACTCCATCTCAAAATAATAATAATAGTAATAATAGTACTAAGAACATTCATGCGAAGTCTGGCTATGAACATGCTATCACTTCTTTTGGATACATTCCTAAGTATGGTAATACTTTTTAAGAAATTAGGAAATCCTTTTGGAACATGGCTGCAGGATTCTACATTCCATCAGCAATGCATAAGCATTCAGTAAGTAGTCTATGCTGTGGTTTTGTTTTCGTTCAGTTCTAACTAACGTCTAATGTTCTTTATGATTTCTTTTTTGACTCAGGGATTAGTTACGTTCTTTACTTCCAAATACCTTGCAATTTCTCAAACCTCTTTCATTCAAATTTAATTCTGTGTGGTCAGATAATACACTCTGTTTGATTTATTAGTTTTTAAATTTACTGAGACTTGTTTTATATTTTACACCCCAACTCATAATACCTTTTGGAGAATGCTGCATATGCACTTGAAAACAATTTTGCTAGCTTTAAGTGGAGTGTTTCATAAATGCCAAAATATTACCCAATAGGATGTCAAACAGGGGTGGTGAAAGCAGGCTTTTGTTAATTGTTAGTTTTTCAAAGGGGATGCTTCTAACATTTCATTACTAAATAGGACTGTGGAAAGTTTTCAGTAGACATATGTTACCAGATTGAATAAATTATTTTCTATTTGTGGTTTGCTAAAAATTTTTATGACAAATGATACTGAATTTTATGAAAATTTTTTGCACACATCATAATTATATAGCTATTCTCCTTTGTTAATAAATAGATGAAATGTTGTCCTGATGTTAAACCACCTTTACATTCTATGACTACCCTCAATTTGGTTATGCTGTATACTTTTAAAAAAGTAACTGATAGACTCATGTTCATAGGGGAGATTGACCATAAATTTCCCTTATAATTGGATAATCCATATCCAATTTTGGTATCATGGTTGTATGAATTATATTAGGTGAAATAGTGGCCGATTCCTTCTTTAGCTAGTCATGGAAAAGTATTTTATAAGTGAATAATACGGCTTTTTGGCCTTGCCGTTACTCTGTTTAATAGTCTTGCTTTCTGTTTCATTCACTTCTGCCCTTTACTATTTCTTTTGCCTTCTTAGGCTGACAATTAATGAGGTAAGCATAACCGAGAACCTAGAAAAATGAAAACCTAAGTACCTTTCTGCTTTTAATATAAATATTCACAACTATGAATTTTCTCTAGTATCATTTAGACCAAATCTCACAAGTGTAAATATACATAATTTTAAATATTTTTACTGCATTTTATAATTTGTATAATGAATAACTTCTTGTTATAGTTATTTAGAAGATATATATATTTCTATTTTCTAAGTTTAATTTTTGTCATTGATTTCTTGTTTAATTGCACTGTTTGCAGAGAAAGTCATCTGTATGACAATTTGTTTAAATTTCTTGAGCCTACTTTATGGTCTCATTTAAATAATTTCTATAGTTTTGTGTGTTTGAAAAGAACGTGTATGACACTCAAGCCAATGGATTTTTTTTTTCAAATTATACTTTTGAGATTTTTTGTAATTGATCTTCTAAGGAAAAAAATATGTTAAAATTTGTAAAATACTCTTCCAAATTTAGTCAATAATAGATTTCTACGACTCACCTACACTAAGTGTATACGCATTTGAAACTTTTACATTCCTAGTGAATTACACCTTTTTCATAACATGGTGGCCCCCTTCATCCTCATTAAATTTTTTGCCTTAAAGTTTATTTTTATATATTTAAATAATGCAATAACAGCTTTTATCATTTAATTTTTAGAATAAGTAATACACTTACCTAGTTAAAAATATATGACATAAAAAAATACATAGAGATTTTACACCCAACTCATCCTTTACATTTCCACATCACTCACAGCTCCCCCATACAAGTGAACACTTTATAATTTCTCATTTCCCTACCACTTTACCCTTCTCTTTTAAATGCACTTTATTTTTAGAGCAGTTTTAGGTTCTCAGTAAAATTGAGCAGAATGTAGGGAGTCCCATATGTCCCTACCCCTACATATACACAGCTTTCCCCACTGTCAACATCCCTCACCAGAGTGGTACATTTGTTATAACTGCCTATTAACTTTTTAAATGCAAATAAAAATATATCATTTGTTCCATTCCTTTAACAGACAGCATTTTTTAAAAGTAAATCATCACTCTATTCATCAGAGATGGCACCTTTATTAGCACTAAAATCACTAAGTATTTGGGTCAATCTATGGACTGCACTTTGCTGTTTATTCACAAATATGTACTATATTGTTTTCTTTACTAAAATATTATATTTCTTTTAATATTATATGGCTAACTTCCCTTTGTTGTTCTCCTTGTCCTTGTTGGGTTCTGGAGTTTCACTTTGTGGTAAGATTTCATACTAATTTTCCCTGATTAGAATTCATTTTACTTCCAAAATCTGAGAAATCAGGTCTTTCATCAATTTTGTAAAACTTTAGTAATTTACTTTGAATATTGCCTCTTCCTCATTCTCTCTTCCCCTTTTCTATAACTCTTATTAGCCATATTTGAAACCTTTCCTTTTTTCCCCCTCTCTTAATGTCATGGTTGTAATCTTGCTTATTGGTGTTGATTTCTAGGTAATTTCTTCAGTTCTATCCCTCAGTTCACCAATTCTTTGTGAAGCTTTGTCTAATCTGTTTAATGTTTCCATATAGGTGTTCATTGTAATTACTACCTTTACATTTTCACAAGTTACTTAGGGTTTTTTTAATTACATGGTTTATTTTTAAATTACCTTGTTTTTAAAGTCTTGTTTCTTTTAGTATGCTTGATTTTCATTTCTGGAATGTGAGAATTTCCCTTACTTTTGTGTGCACACCTATATATTTAATAGGATTTTTGACATATTTTTATCTAACATTTCTAAGTTTTTAGTAGATCAAAGTGTTTCAGGATATCTAGTTTTTACACTCATCACTTTTCTAAGAACTCTTTCTTTTATTATACTTTAAGTTTTAGGGTACATGTACACAACATGCAGGTTTGTTACATATGTATACATATGCCATGTTGGTGTGCTGCACCCATTAACTCATCATTTAACATTAGGTATATCTCCTAATGCTATCCCTCCCCCCTCCCCCCATGTTTAAGGAGAAACATCACACACATTGTTCAATTCCTACCTATGAGTGAGAACATGTGGTGTTTGGTTTTGAACTCTTAATAGCCACATGTGAAGTCTCTTATTTTCTAAGGCTTTATCTTTTCTCTCACTCTCTATTTTTCATCCATGCTTTCAGATCTTCCATTAAGTAGGGTGAAGGGTTAAAAAATCATCAGCTAAAAGAGCAGAATATTATCATTGGTGCTCTATTTGAATCTCAAAATCTCTTTGTATAAATGAAATTCAGATGTTCCACAACAGCCTCCACCATAGTTTTACTTCACTGGGTACACAGTTTGATGATTCTCTCATCCTGCCTCTGGCTAGTAGGCCCCTTTAGATGAGTTGCTATTTTTCACTACCCACAGAGTCAAGGTCAAATCTCATGGCTGTGAATTTTAAATGATGAGATCCCTGCAGGTAGTGTCAGGCAGAGCACCCTTTAAACTTACTGACTTGTAGTATAAAACTTAGCAAGCTATAAGTCCTGCACCATGAGCCCCTGGAGCCAGCATGATAGCACTCCAATCTTCCTACACACCGACCCACAAGTTTAAGGTCAAAAAGATTTATCCCATTTCAGATCTTCTTGGCTTTTTGTGGACTGAAATAGGTGAATTAAAGTTCGTTCTGAAGTCTTAAACTTTAAGTGACTGTCTGTTTCTCCTGTAATTTCTAGTTTATGAATGTTTCTATTTTATCATTATAAAGAATTCTTCTTTATCTAATGGTTATTGCTTTTTGGCTTGTATTCTAATTTGTCCAATACTAAGATCATGGTTCCTACTTTCTGCTTTTTTTTTTTATTATTATACTTTAAGTTTTAGGGTACATGTGCACAATGTGCAGGTTAGTTACGTAGGTATACATGTGCCATGCTGGTGCGCTGCACCCACTAACTCATCATCTCGCATTAGGTGTATCTCCCAATGCCATCCCTCCCCCCTCCCCCCACCCCTTTCTGCTTTCTTTGTACTTATATAATAAAACTTTACTCATCCTTTTACTTTCAACCTTTCAAAACCACTTTGGTTTTTGGGTATGTTTCTTGCATACAGAACTGGGTTTCATTACTGTGATCAATTGTGATATTTTTCTTACAACAGCTGATTTATAAAAGCTTTTACATTTTTTTTTAATGACAGTAAGACTGGTCTTAGATATTTCATAT
Organism: Homo sapiens; assembly: GCF_000001405.40. NCBI lineage: Eukaryota > Metazoa > Chordata > Mammalia > Primates > Hominidae > Homo > Homo sapiens. The sequence goes on along the minus strand of NC_000013.11, from coordinate 35,127,872 downwards.
TTTATGTTATGCTTACTGATCTTTACGGATTTTTCAAAGTTCCATTACATACATTGTTCTTAGTTTTATCCATACAGATCTTAAATATTTTGAAAGCTTTATAATTTTATAGAACTGCTTATCTTTTTAACTGTGAAAGAATAAGTAATCCTCCATCTGTTTAAAAAGGGTATTTCCCTACTATGAGAAATGTAAATGTCAGCATATTTACTCTTAATTTTTTCCTTTCATCTACATCATCAAATTTTAGTCAATAGGCCTATATTTGTAATATTTCATCTGTCCACTTACATGGAAATTCTGACTCTTTGCACTTGCTCTACTTTCCTTCTTTTCTCAGTCCCCTCCCAATTCATTACGGTTGTGTCATTTGTACATTATTAGCATATATAAAAAGTAAATTCTGGTCTGTCACAGTAATATGAACATTTATTTTAGTCTTAGTTTTATGGTTAAATTTATTCAGTGCTCACCAGCGGTCCTTAGCAATAGTTTCTCCAGTCATTCCTAGTTGGTTGGACTTTATTCCCCACAATTTCCTCAAGATTTAGTCACAGAAATAATTTGCTGTATGGCTAAAAAATATTTGACAGCATCCTTTTTACTTAAAGGATAGTTTGGCTCCCACTTTCTTCATTTAATTATGATTGTTATAGTTTTTTGTATTGAAGGTTATTTTAGAGTCTAAAGCCAGACTCATTTTTCTCCTTATTTGTGCACTATTATACAAAGTATTCTTCTATTTAAGTCCAGTAATGCACTTTGATGCTAACCATTCTAGGTCAGTTTTCCCTGGCAAACAATATGTCCTCTAAATAAAAATGGCAAAATCTTACATCTAGACTTCACTGAATTATAGATTTAAATATTCGTTTTGTTCCATTATTCTGCTTTTCTTATTTGGGAACTCCATTTATGCCATTATTATTATTTTGGCTTTTTTTTTTTTTTTTGAGATGGAGTCTCCCTCTGCTTCCCAGGCTCTGGAATGCAATGGCACGGTCTCAGCTCATTGCAACCTCCACCTCCCGGGTTGAAGCAATTCTCCTGCCTCAGCCTCCCGAGTAGCTGGGATGACAGGCACCTGCCACCATGCCCGGCTAATTTTTGTATTTTTAGTAGAGATGGTGTTTCACCATGTTGGCCAGGCTGGTCTCAAACTGCTGACCTCGTTGATCTGCCCACCTCGGCCTCCCAAAGTGCTGGGATTACAGGCATGAGCCAGCACACCTGGCCAATTTATGCCATTATGGTAATTTGTTTTTCTCCCATGTCGCTCATTTTCTTTCTAATCCTAAACTCATATTTTCATCTATTCATAATATTTGCTTTTTTTTCAGTTTTATCTTCTGTGTATTTCACTATGCTACTAGCCAGAGTTTTGCCTTTGAGCAATTTCCAATTTTATTTTTTTGTGTATAGTTATTTTCTTCCAGTATTTGTCCAATATTTTATTAACTCATAATTAAATACTTCCATGCTATCTGTGTTAGTCCATTCTCATGCTGCTATGAAGAAATACCCAAGATTGGCTAATTTATAAAGGAAAGAGGTTTAATTGACTCACAGTTCTGCATTGCTGGGGAGGCCTCAGGAAACTTACAATCATGGTGGAAGGCAAGGAGAAGTAGGCACCTTCTTCACAGGGCAGGAAGATGGAGTGAGGGAAAGCAGGGGAAATGCCAAATGCTTACAAAACCATCAGATCTCATGCGACTCACTATTACAAGAACAGCAGGGGGGAACTGCCCCCATGATCCAATTATGTCTACCTGGTCCCACCCTTTACAGGTGAGGATTACAAGTCAAGATGAGATTTTAGGTGGGGGGACACAACCAAACCATATCACTATGTTAACATTTCTTACAACATTTTTTTTTTCCAGATATGGATCTTGCTACATTGCCCAGGCTGGACTCAAACTCCTGGGCTCAAGCAATCCTCCTGCGTAAGCCTCCGGAGTAGCTGGATTACTTCTCCAAATTCTGTTTAGTGGTTCTTTCTCAGAAGCTATGTATGTATGTATGTATGTATGTATGTATGTATGCATTTGTTTATTTTTAACTTATGAAATTTTTAAATCAAAATGCTATGTATTCCATAGCAATATTTTTCTGCTAAGTGCTATTCATGTACTGGTTACTTTAACTTATTTTTTCCATGTTTTTTATCTGATTCACCTGCACTGATGATGTGCCAATTCTTTTGATGCAGTCTAATTTACGTGGACCATCTGTCTGCAGGACACTTCCATGCATATGTGTAAAAGAAGGGACAAGGGTAACCTTTTGCTTTCACAATCCACAAACTTTCCTTTCTCTATAGCCACAGAGATAGACTGCTTGCCACAAATACAGCTCATCTGTGTAATTCTTTGTGATATATCTTCTCCTTTTCTGAAACCAATCTGATTCAAATAAAACTCTGCTATCAGGCATGATATATGTATATCTATTATTTCAAACAAATGATCTATTTTTGTAATTTAAGGTGTGCCTCTCATCTTCAGAAACTCTACTTTCACTGACACTTCCTATTTGCTATAAGTGAACTCTCTCACCATTCTCTTTGCATTTTATCTTCTCTTTAGCCTTAACAGCTTTTACCCAACCTGAGCAACTTTAAGCAGCTGATACCCGTATTCTGGAGTTCATATTTTGCATCTATCTTCTACTTGTGATAACATTTGTGATAGAGAGTACATTTTTTACTTCTTGTTGTATCATTTATACATTTTACAGGAAAAAGGGGGAAAATAGGCTATCTCAAACAGCATCTTTATACAGGAAACTGCCTGCTTGTTATTTTTAATTTTGTATTAACTGAGTTTTCATCTTTTCGTAAATTTTTTAATGTGCTTTCTTGACATTTTTAGGAGGCTGCATCTTGGGCTACAATCCTTTAACTTTCTCCAGTCAGTTTATTTTAATTAACTGAAGTTAAAGAAGTGATCTTTATCTCTTAATATAAAAAGGGCATATGCTTCTTCACTCCCAGCACTCTGTCACCAAGTGTACTTACAGTTCCATATACCATATATATATATATCCATATGTGTGTGTATATATATCCATATATGTGTGTATATATCCATATATGTGTGTATATATATCCATACATATGTGTGTATATATCCATACATATGTGTATATATATCCATACATATATGTGTGTATATATATCCATACATGTGTATATATATCCACATATATGTGTGTGTATATCCATATATGTGTGTGTATGTATATCCATATATATGTATGTGTATATATATCCATATATGTGTATGTATATATATATCCATATATATGTGTATGTATATATATATCCATATATGTGTGTATATATATCCGTGTGTGTGTGTGTGTGTGTGTATACACACACATATATATCCTTTTCTACAATCCTGGCTTTGTTTGAACTATTCCTTATATCCATATCCATAGTATATCTAGTCTCCCTTACTTAATTATTCTTTGGTACCGAAATTTTAAAAATATTTAAACTTCTAGGCTATACAGCTTGTTAGACATGTCTTGTCTGAATTTTGTGCAGTTTTCATGATTATTACAAATAAGCGCTTTGCAAATTTAAGTAAGCACCAAAAAAAAAAAAAAACAAGGGCGAAAATGAGGTTCTGATAGGAACCTCATCTAGTAACATTTAAATTATAGTTGCACTACTTCCTTGGCTTCATTTGTAAGGAAAATATACTCTTAAAACATTCCTACACTGGATAGTGTAGCATGAATTGCAATCATTAAGCCAGCAGCAGTTTCTTACACAAAAAGTGTTCTTAGAAAGTATTCAAATTCTTGATTTGGGGAAAGAAATGAGGTATTCTAGCATCTTTAAGTCACAAAATTAATCAATAAGCCCTACTGTTAGAAACTAATAACAAATACTGACTCAGCATGTAAGCATAAGATCAACTCTGAGAAAGACCTCAGCATATACACAGTATTTCCTTGTCAAGAAAGCTTTCCTTGAAATCATACCTATATGTGCATCATTTTATCTTGACAAAATATTTTATTACATCTTCAGAATAGATAATGCTTTCTTTTCAGGAAGAATATAGAAATAAACTAATTACTTAAATTGTAATTTTGTTTCACAATCTACTATTAATAAAATATATTTTATAAAACATTTTTACAATTTCTACCACAGAAAGCTATTATTTTCCGCTGTTAGATTTTTCAAGTCAAATTTCATGCTACATTACATAGAAAACTCATAAAAACATAATCTCAATAGTTATTTCTAGAATGCATTATGACAAATATCAACTTACTTGTGACCTAAATGCTTCAGAAAGTATCCCAGAACCTTCAAAGCTTGAACCCAAATACTTTCACTTTTAGAAGCCAATAATTTGTAGATCACCCTACAAAATATATAAATTATCTTTTAAAAACTTACTAATATTAAAAACAAAAACACACTACATGCTTTACAGATAAATTATACATATGTGAAATATAAAACTCTGAAGATTTTCTTCTCAGGATTATAATTCTTTGGAAAAATTAAAAACTAGCATGCTTTAATAATTTTTCTTTAAACAGTCCTTCAGCCATACACTCAAAAGGGCAATGTGACTGGTGTTCATAAGTACTGCCTCCCAACATACTAACACATGCTTAGTTAGGCCACATGTCTTCTCTCTAAGAATTGGCCCCAATATTTAAACTTGATAACCCTATTTTCTTTTTTAAAATCTTTTTTCTTAATTTTAATATAGAGGTGAGGTTTTGCCAAATTGACCAGGCTAGTCTGGAACTCCTGAGTTTAAACGATTCGACCACCTCGGCCTCCCAAAGTGCTGGAATTACAGGCGTGAGCCACCTGCACCCTAACCCTGTTTTCTTGGTATAACTAATTAGATGATAGGTAGGCACCTGCCTAGTTCTTTCTCCTTTTTGAGAATTTGGAATGAGGTCTAAGAAACAATATCTCCTCTTTGCTGGGCTCTTGAATTCAAAAACTGTTTAAAATAGAAACTAGAACAGTAACGTTTTGTTTCTGTTCAGAAAGGCTAGTCAACATACAGAAGGAAGGATTAAACAGCTTACAGAAAGCAGTAGATAAAGCAAACTTGTTTCCTAACAGCCCTACAATTCCTGGTTCCTACTCTAAGATTTTGTTTTATATACTTTAAGTTCTAGGGTACATGTGTACAACGTGCAGGTTTGTTACGTATGTATACATGTGCCATGTTGGTGTGCTGCACCCCTTAACTCATCATTTACATTAGGTATATCTCCTAATGCTATCCCTCCCCCCTCCCCCGACCCCACAACAGGCCCCGGTGTGTGATGTTCCCCTTCCTGTGTCCAAGTGTTCTCATTGTTCAATTCCCACCTATGAGTGAGAACATGTGGTATTTGGTTTTTTGTCCTAGCGGTAGTTTGCTGAGAATGATGGTTTCCAGCTTCATCCATGTCCCTACAAAGGACATGAACTCATCATTTTTTATGGCTGCATAGTATTCCATGGTGTATATGTGCCACATTTTCTTAATCCAGTCTGTCATTGTTGGACATTTGGTTTGGTTCCAAGTCTTTGCTATTGTGAATAGTGCCACAATAAACATACGTGTGCATGTGTCTTTACAGCAGCATGATTTATAATCCTTTGGTAAGGTTTTTTTTAACAAGTATATTGTTCAGTTTTTACTTTAAAAGCTTTAGAGGTTTTCTGTTACTTGGAGCAAAATAGCCTCCACTAATATACAACTTAACCTATACAATCACTTCAAGTACTATATAAAAGTAGGGCCATATTCATTATAACATTTGTTTAAGTGTTTAGAAATTTTATTCCATTTTTTCTATTAAAAAAAGTAATTTGTTTCCATAAAGTAGAAGGGACAATGACAACTATATACACTGGCAACAAATTCTAGAATACAAGAAGGTTCTTTAGGGGCTGTAACATTATAGTGTGCTTTATTTTATTAAATATGTTTCTGAAAAAATAAAATGCCATGGCATATTTTGAGGTAAAGTACTCAGCTGAACAAGAGAATCTAGTAAAAGATGCAATATAATTTTCATAGTTTCAGTGATACAAAGGGGAACAAATAGCTTAAAGTCATTATTTTTAGTTTTGCCAAGAGCTTATACTATTAAAAAAGAAAAGATGTTATTGATACTGCTTCTTTTTCTCTTTTTTTCTTTTATGCTTTGCATTTCATCTATTAAAGAATAAACTATGAGAAAAGTGATTATTTCCTTTGGAAGATTTTTTTTTCAAATCCCACATTCATAAATATGTATGGGTTTACACTGAAATCCATTTTCAAAACTTTTAGGAACCAAGATCAGTAATGAAAAAAGACAAGTCTGAGAATAGCAAAGTCAGACATGTCAAAAAAAAAAAACACATTCAAGAAATCATAAGAAGCAACACTAAACAGCAAAAATAGTCTTGAGAACCAAAGTAAAAGCTCACAGTCTGGGCCAGGCATGGTGGCTCATGCCTGTAATCCTAACACTTTAGGAGGTCAAGGTGGGCAGACTGCCTGAGCGCAGAAGTTCAAGAGCAGCCTGGGCAACATGGTGAAACCCTGTCTCTACCAAAATACAAAAAAAATTAGTCAGGTGTGGTGGCACATGCCTGTAGTGCCAGTTACTTGGGAAGCTAAGGCATGAGAATTGCTTGAACCCAGGAGGTGGAGGCTGCCATAAGCCGAGATGGTACCACTGCACTCCAGCCTAGACAACAGAGCGAGACTCTAAAAAAAAATTAAAAAATTAAAAAAAACCCTCACAGTCTAAAAATGTGGCTACACTCAAATATAGAACTGGAAGTTCTCACAGAGTTTCTATTGTCTAGGAATAACTTCGAGTAGCAGGAAAAAAGGTATTAGACCCCACCCTGGGTCAAGAGAAATTATGACTAATGTTGAAACATGAAAATGTCTAGGTCCATCACACATCTACATACCTAGGGATGTGATACAGTATGAATAAGAAATTTACTTTGTTAATTAATGTTTACTTGTAATATACATTATTACTAAATAACAATAATCCTAATACATCTGCTTAAGCTCACTATATTCAGTAAGCAAATGGTCTAAGCTATATAAGAGAGGTAGCTGTCTATTCCTTTCTTTGAAATTTCCCAGATATAAAAACATCAAATTTTTAGCTGCTTACTTCAGTGTTCTGTTATTACAAGGGCTTCCTTAAGCCCAATTAGCATACCATCAGAATTAAACTGAGTTCATTCTTTTTGTTCAACTGTTATACTGAATTCAACTGTATGAATTACAACAGACTAGAATTTTCCTCCCAAAATACTTCATATACAACTGTTAGCCTTTAATGGCTATTTTCTAGAAAACAGACATATAAATTCGTTAGCCACTTTCAATATTTTCTATCTAATAAGCCTATTTTTTTCATCTTTTATACTATTCTGAACCAGCTTTCTCCACATTTTTGAAGTAGAAAAGCTGAAGTGTCAAGGAAAGGCCGTTTTTTAATCTGTGTGATTGTTTTTAACATACGGGTAACAATCTGACATGTTCTGCTCATGGTCAGCCATGAGCACAAGGCCTTTTAATCTGTTGTGCTTAATTAGTTCTTTCGTACCATACATTTAAAATACATGTAAATCCTAAAGGTCTTACCAAATAGCACTCTCAATTGTAGGATCATATTTCCGATGTGTCAAAATAATACAATTATATTTCTGCATTTCATCATACTAGACAATCTAAGTTTGGTATCTTCTACAAGAGTAATGTGGATATCTTCAACTGATTCACTAAATTTATCAAGTAATATAATAAACAAAGCAAAATCTAAGGACAAGGACACTAATTATTCAATCTAAATATAAGTTCAGAAGAGTGAGAGTAATTGTACTACATTATTAGATTGAGCTATATGAAATTGTCATTATTTTGTAAAATCAGTTAAGTATCAACAGTTTCATATAGCTCAAACTCTAGAGTAAAAAATTATAGGCTGGGCACGGTGGCTTACGCCTGTAATCCCAGCACTTTGGGAGACCAAGGCAGGCAGATCACAAGGTCAGGAGATGGAGACCATCCTGGCTAACATGGTGAAACCCCGTCTCTACTAAAACAAAATACAAAAAATTAGCCGGGCATTGTGGCAGGCGCCTGTAGTCCCAGCTACTCAGGAGGCTGAGGCAGGAGAATGGCGTGAACCCGGGAAGTGGAGCTTGCAGTGAGCTGAGATTGCGCCACTGCACACTGCACTCCAGCCTGGGCGACAGAGCAAGACTCTGTCTCAAAAAGAAAAAAAAATTGTAACAGTTGTTAATCACTAAATGTATAATCTTCTTCAAATAGATTGGCAGCCCTATGAATTATAAACTCAAAGGTAATACTCATATCACAACTGAGATATGCATAAAGAGATAGTGATTGCTTCTCTAATTTGAAAAGGAGTTCTTCAAGTCTAGAAAGTTGTTATTCATTGATATAAATGGCCAAGTAAAAAAGGCACTTAAAAAAGCCCTTGACAGTCACTGATATATTATTTCCAAACTCTTTTTCACAATAAAACTGTGGAAATTCACTGAGTTATACATGGCATAACCTCGATATCCTGCTCATCCCACTAATTAAAACTCCAGAAAAATAAAAACGAAGAATTCCTTAAAAAGCTAAATGATAGGGTTAAGTTCATAAAAATACTAATTAAGAAATTATATTTCACCTATCTACCAAGTTACATTTCAATTGCCACAACAAAAGTTGGTTTTCAGTTTCTTTTGGCTTTGGCCTGTTATTCCAAAACATCTTTCATCTCTATTATTTCCATTGCACTGCCACTGTCTCAAGTCATCATCTTTAATACTGATGAATAAAATAATCTCCCTGCTGATATTGCTACATCAGTTTGTCCTTCAACTCATGTTTCACACTGGTGATTGTAAATCTAACAAAATAGCAATCTGAGCACAACATTTCCCCTACTCAAAATTCTTTAATTTTCATCACCAGCTGAAAGAAAAAAACCACTAAAGTTATTACCATTCTATGAACCTTCCAAATCTGGCTATAATCTCTCTCGGGCCTCATATCATAAAATTTCATTGTATCCTCTTTTGGTAAAATGTGCCTTGCTTTTTCGTGTCTTCTTGGAAAAAAAAATGCTCTATTCACAATTTGTAATGTCCTTACTATAGCAAATACAATTTAATTACTCTTCTTGATTCCTGAGACTACTGTTTATACACTTCATCAGTTTCCTGAGTATTCGAGGATCAATAGCAGCATTCTCCATTTATTCTCTTATGTGCAAGACTTTGCTATATTTATTCAAATATTCATAGAATAGCAGTTATTCTAGGAGGAACAACTGTGCTCCATTAAAGTCTAATAGTAATACTAATATTATAATCATACCTTATTCCATTTCTTTGATCAAATGCTGGTATCATTGAGGCTGGGTGTTCCGACATTAAAGCCACCAGTAACTGTAGCACATCATGAATATTTTCATCCTGCATAAATCACCAATGTTGATTTAAAATTTTACTCTAAAGATTGGCTTAAATAATTAAAATAAAAGGCCCATAACATGTCCTACCTCATGCATCGTAAGTAGGTAATTTAATATACTCTGAAGTTCATCTTCCTTGACCCCTCGATCCTAATTTTTAAAAAATATTTTATTACTTTACATCTAAAATTAAAATTTTAATTTAAAAAAGATGTCAAAATAATCATTGTAAAAGAAAATAAGAGTTAGTTTAATGTAGTGATATTTTAATTAAAATCCCCACACATTTCACAATTTATAGACTGTATTATTTCAAGTTAAGTAAATATTTAGAAAATTATATCAATTTTTAAAAGTCATTAGTATTTGATTGACATTCACTATAAAAAGTTAGCATATTTTGACCATCTAAGTATTCTTATGACTATTTTCTAATCACTTACTCTTTCCTTAAAACAATATAAATGCAAGACTATACAGTATCAATTTTTGTGTACTATCTCACAATTTATATTTATTTTCACTTTGGTTTCATCTTAACATTTAAAAAATTCTACTACAATAAAATACATTATGTAAGCCTTATTAAACTGGCACACAGATCATTTTCTCGAATAATGGTCAATTACTATAAGAATAAGGGCTCAATTCTTATTCATATGTTCCTTGTCCATTTCTGTCACATCCCTTAATAGGGAAGATTTCAGAGAGCATTTAATCAGAAGTTAGTTAAGTTCAATAAAAGTGAATACTAAGATGTGGAGAATTTTGAAAGCAATTCATGAATTAAAGGTAGCTATTACTAATTTAATAATTTTAAAACATGCCAGAAATTCCTTTCTACCTAATATACTATTATTTTAAATTATATAAAATTATTTTACCTTTAGTATCAGCTGTTTCAGAAAAAGTAGCATAAATGCCCTCAGTGATATAATTTCTTTTTGTGATGGCCGGGGACCATCTAGAACAAAACAGAAAAAAAAGTAAAATAAAAAATACAAGATATTAAATTAGCTAAATGCAATTATCTTGGGATACTATGGCATTCTTGAATAATTATCTTTATTAAAATTACAATATTTATATTAATGCTATAAAATTTTAATAATATATGAGTATCCAAAAATTAACTTTCAAATTTTTGACAATTTCAAATTATTTACTGAATGTCTGATTTTGTGGAAAAAAGAACTTTTTAAAAAGTTGTTATATATTAATATCCATTTATAAATGTATAATCCCCAAGTATTTATATTAATGCTTTTTTTTCTGTTTTTATTACATTAATAGGTTTCCCAATATGTCTTCCACTCTCAATTAAACTTGTCTTCATTTAAGGACTCTCTCCATTTTCACCCCACACATTATTTAACAAAGCACAGAAAAAATGACACTCTGTTTTATTGCAATTATTTGTTTTGCAGCCTATTTCTTCTATGTCACTTGTATACAGAAAATACATATTATAGTGGGCATTTATGCTGCGTCAATAAGTGAAAATGAGTATAAAATATTAAAATGTGCATATCAGTTCTATCATAACGTACAAATTTTAAAGTAATTTCAAAATATTTAATTACTAATAAAAATGAAAATATAATATATTCTAATATGCATAATATACAATACAGAATACTTTTAAAAAATGAAGCTAGATTCATAAAAATCCTGTAACATTAAGCCTTTCTTGTAGCAACCAGTATTTATCTACTGCTTTACAAGTTTTAAAAGCATAATCCCTTCATGTATAATGTATAGCATCTGCTTATTCACTTAATATTTACATGAAGATTATTATATCTGCAAGCAAGTTATTATCCAAAAAATCCATCCCGCCTATTATAATAAAAGAAATATCTTCCCTATTTCCCAGACTGCTCTCCACCTTTTATTGCCCCACTGCCACCAAGATGCACAAAGTACTCTTCCCCTCCTATTGACACTTGGTATTACTTTAAAAAAACTTTTCATTGTAAAATATTGCCAATGTACAGAAAACATACATGAACAACTTAACGAATTATCATGAAATGAACACCTGTATAAACACTTCTTTGGTCAAGAAATTGAACACTGACAGTAGCCTGACAGGGAAACCCGTCAACCATTGGTATGCTGGTAAAGGAATTATCTGCAGAGTGGAGGGATGAGGTCCTGATTTTGAGCATTTATGTACTTCTGATTTCTATCATATTAATAATAATCTGATTTCAAGTTCAAGCTACCAATGATTTAACAAGGTGCTCATAAAATTCCTGAATATCTAACAACTGATTGTGGTCCCATCCTGCCCTGCATGCCAAAGCCCTCACCATGCTCCAGACCTCAGCTCTGTGCCACATTGCTTTTCCTGACCACACCCACACTCCATTCAAGAACAGACAGATACCGTCTTAGTAATAATTTCCTTATTCTTCTATTTCTGCTACCAATTAATAAAATTGGACCAGTTTTATAACATCTCTGTGCCTTAGGTTTGTTTTCTTCTTTATTGTTAGGGTAAGAATAATAATACTGCTTGTCATAGGACATCTTGTGAGGATTAAATAGATCAACATATGTAAAGGAATTAGACTAGTACCAGGCCCATTTTAATCACAAGCACTCAAATGTTAGCAATAATTATTTTTATTGTATACTGCATAATATAAACAGCATGTTGCAAAGAAATATATACATATTTGTGTGCTTTGTGCATGATATAAATCCATTTCTGCAAAATAAAATACAAACGGATTTATCTAATATAAAATTGAATGAAGAAACAAATCCCCAAATAATACTATTTATGTAAACTATAGAAGCTAAACAATAAATTAGTAATACATACATAAATAGCAAGAGTAAAACATAGTAAAAAATAATAAGCACCCAAGTAAAGAAAAGAAATAACGTAAAATTTGGGACGGAGTTATTTCTATGACAGGGAGTAGAAAAGAGGTGTGAACACGCATGAGAATATTCAGGCTCATTGGTAATATTCTGTTTCTTAGGCTTAGTGATGTTTAAATAAGGTTCATTTTATATTTATATTTATAATTATAACTTGTTTATATATTACATCGATATATGTAATTATACCACTTTGTGTTCATGATGTATTCAAAATAAAGCTTTGAAACACCTATATGTATGCATGAGTAAGCTCATGTTTGTATGAGCAGAGAAAAAGCAGTAGAAAGATATACAAGACTGGTAACATTGGCTACCTGGGAGAGTAGTAACATTTTATTTATAAACCTTTGTATGATTTCACTTGCTACCATAAATATGTATTACCTGACCTATAATATTTTTAATATATCTCAATGCTTTTACACTTAACTATATATAATAATAATTTAAGAGACAAAAGTGTTAAGTTACAGTTAAAGCAAAAATATCCTACTTCTCAAGGCGAGTGCCTACACATGAATAGTTCTACGAAAGCTAGTGTAGTGCAAATTATCTTTAGAGTGTCCTTAAAAGAAAGCATTTGTTTAAAATGGTATTGAAAAATGCTGTCATTTAGAAAAGTATATACTTCAAGTCAGAACCTTACATTCTACTATATAACAAAATTAATTTCAAAGTATTAAAATGTTAAAGTAAAATAATAATTTAAATGATAAAGGAAAATAAATGCTGATTCCACTTTCCTGTCATTTTCATTTAAAATATATGTACTGGTACTCTTCCTTTCCTTCTCTTTGATGTAGCTAGAGCCAGTGAGGCCTCAGGGGCAAGGGTTCTATGGAGGGAGCAGAGGCCCTGGTGATACCCAGGGTCTTACAGAGCCAGAGCCAAGTGAGTCTGGAAGGACTTTCAGGGTCAGGGCCAAGGAGACAGTAGAGGTCAGGAGGGTGGCAGTGCCAAAGAAACAACTGGGGCTGAGGAGACAACAAGGGCCATTCAGAGTCAAATCTGAGGGTATGGTTACAGATGACTAGCAATGTTAAAGCTGAGAAGGTTATGCCGTGTGTATCAAAACACTGGTTTTATAAAGTAGAATAAGAAAATATATAAATATATTAAAGACAATAGGAGCAAGATTTCTCACTATTGAAGAAGAAAGCGGCAAATTTAAAAAGTTTGAGGCTAGGTTGAGCCATGTGGCTTTGGACTGGAATTGAAGGTACTGCTGTGAACTCATGGTTTTAATACAGATAAATCAGTTGAGATGTACCTATATACATAGATATAAACATCATTTCCTAGATCTGTCCACTAAAAGTACGTAGAAGCAATGACATTCAAAAACCAAGAAGCACACCTCACATCCACATCTTGGTTTCTAAAAACCATATCCACCAAACAAACCAGGGCTTCCTGGAAAAATGGCTAATTTCAGGGCGGGATAAGGAAAGTGTAGGACAAGTCAGAAACATCTTGTTTCAGAAAGTAAAATAGTATTAAAAACTTATGGGCATTTGTCCCATAATCCATGTGAAGGGTCCTACTGGCCAAATCTTGAGCATCGAAATAATGATACAACCCAGGAGACAGACAAACCACAGCCCTAGGACTAAATCCATGAAGCCACTTGTTTTTGTAAGTTTCACTAGAACAAGCCACACCTATTCGTTTACATACTGTCTGTGGTTATTTCTGCAATACAATGTCAGAGCTGACTATGTGCAACAGAGACCTTATGGCTCCGTAAGCCTAAAACACTATCTGGCCCTTTGCAAAGAAAGTATGCTAACTGTTGATATAACACATTGAATACATGAGTCCATACTGATATAAAAGATGATAGACAGACAGATAGATAGATAGATAGATAGATAGATAGATAGATAGATAGATGAGTGGAGGAGTAAAACAAGTTCTTCCTTACAGTAGATATGCCAACTTAATTAATGTCTTAGAAAATATCATTTGTCAGTCATCACAATAAAGATAATCTAGTAAGAATCATCAACAAACTAAAACAAGTAGGTGAAACTTTGTTGAAGAACAGGCTATTTATATAGTTTCAATGTATTTCTCCACCAAATACTTATTAATTACCAAAGAGAAAGGAGTGATTTTGTAATGAAGAAACCTGGAAGATAATACCTTAATCAAATGTTTAAAGTTAACATCACTTGTAAAAGGACAACTCAACATCATGTGCCTCCTTGACATGATACAAGGAGACAGATACAATATGACTTCTGTGTTATTTCTTGTAAAAATGAAAAAACCTGAATCATCATGAACAAACAGAAAATTCAAATTTAAGGTTATTCAAAAAAATAACTGGTCTGTATTATTCAAAAATGTCAAGGTCCTGAAAGACAAGGAAATACTAAAAAACTATCCTACATTGAAGAACATTAAAAGTAAGAATGCAACTAAGCACAACATACGATCCTCAACAGACTTAGGGCAAAATAATTTTCTTTTTCCTAGAAAGGACATTATTAGTGTAATTAGTGAAATTTGAATGGGGTCTCTGAATTAGATGATAGTATCATATTAATGCTAACTTCCTGATATTAATGGGTGTCCTCTGGTTATTTAACAAAGTGCCTTTACCTTTCAGGAAATACACAATAAAGTATTTAGAGGTGACAGAGTATCATGTCTACAATTTATTACCAATCGAATCAGAAAAAAAATGTGTATATATCTGTAGGTGTGTTTATATATACATAAAAAGAGAGCATGAGAGAATAGTAAAGGCTAAAGTGATAAGATGTAAAATATTGAGAATCTGGTGAGGGACATATGAGAATTCTTTGTGCAATGCTTGCAACTTTGTAACTTTTCTGTAAATTAGAAATTAATATTTTAAGGCAGAAATTATTATGTGTGAATATATGATTTGTTTAGACTAGAGAAAACTCTATCATAGTGTAGCATTTAAGAACTAGGTCTCTGAGTCAGATGGATATGATTCAAATTTTGGTGCTGTTCGGTTTGTACCAACTTCCAGTTTCCTAATCTTTAAAATGAGGATAATATCAAAAACAAAGTTATATATAGATGCAGTCTTATGTATGTATATGAATATGTCTATTTATCTATAATTACATTATATGTATTATTAAACAAATTAACATGTAGAGTGCTTGGCAGAAAAATCCAATAAATTTTAGGCATTACTAACTTAAAAGCAATGGAAGAAGCCATAAAAGGACAAAACAACAGATCTGAGTATAAATAACTTCTAAAGCCCCATTAATAAAAAGAAATAAAAGTAAGCTTATATAAATATTAGAATAGTAAAATGGGAGGCCGAGTCAGGTGTATCACGAGGTCAGGAGATCAACACCATCCTGGCTAACACGGTGAAACCCTGTCTCCACTAAAAATATAAAAAAATTAGCCGGGCGTGCTGGCAGGCGCCTGTAGTCCCAGCTACTCGGGAGGCTGAGGCAGGAGAACGGCATGAACCCGGGAGGCAGAGCTTGCAGTGAGCTGAGATAGCACCACTGCACTCCAGCCTGGGTGACAGAGCAAGACTCCGTCTCAAAAAAAAAAAAAAAAAAAAAGGAAAGTGTTATTTTTCCTTATCAACGGGATTATTATAAAACTATAATATTCAATGCTATTGTGAGCACGCAAAAGGAAGTACTCTAACATATACTGGTAAAACTGTAAAATAATATGACATTCCTGAAAAAAATTTAAAATATTTGTCATTAGCCCCTTTCTCAGTAATTTTAAACAAATCAAAGATGGAGGTAAACACATATATAAATGAGAGAATGCTCTAACATTTACAGAATCAAAACTTTAGAAACGATGTAAATGGTACATCCCCTTACATTACTACATTGAGCTGAGAAAAGAACAACATAGAAAAATTGAGAAAATCTCAATCTATAATTAAAAAGTTTAAATATTTTTATATATGTATGCAATGAGAAACACTGGAAGAAAACATGCCAAAATCATATCAGTAATTATTCTTGGGGTTTGGGTCATAAATATATTTTTTCTTCTGTATTATTTTATTTTCTATATTTTTTGTATAATTAGAAAAACTGGCTATATTTTCAAAAAAAAAATCACAGTGAAGAATTAGTTTCCATTATAGTCAGAACAAAGGATAAATTTGGAATAAAATATAAAAAATTAACAATCTGAAAATGTTGAAAGCAACTGATGTACTAGAACACACCAGTTATAACCAATATCATTTATCTGTTTTTAATATTATGAATGTATCTTCCTGAATGAAAAAAAAGCATACAGGCTAAAATAAAGACTATTGTTGCTTTTTAACTGATTTTATTCCGAAATAATTTAATATTGAAAAGCCCTAAACTTCTTTACCACAAACAATTCTCAATATGCCAGTTTGCTATATAAGAAAGAAAACATTTCAGTGATTTCATAGTCATGTACACTGCTCACTTTAACAGTACTCAGAATACAGAATAATCATAGGCAAATGTAAATACAGTGGAAGTGGTATACATACCTAATCCTTTAGGTGTAATGCCACTACTGTCAGCAGGATTAATAACCCAGTAGTAATATTTTAAGGTGTGCATTAGCTGTAATACTGTTCCTACTCTGCGTATGGTGGTGTAGATGGTAGCAGTTCCAATAAATTCAGCAGACAAATATGTGTATAGGGAAAGCTGAACCTAATACAGAATATTAACAGATCATTAAAATGAATTTAAAATGCCTCAAGTGCTCATATTATATACATTCAGTTTTAATTTAAATGTGAATTAGTAAAGACCAAGAAATGACCATTTATTATGAGGTTAAAAATAACTTTCTTCTTCAATATTATTTATATTTAAAAAATATATAATCTGCAATTAACATATTCTAATAAACTCATAATAGAGGTAGTCCAACAGCTGTGGCAATTAAATAATTTTAAAATGATTTAATAATTTATTGAAATTAATCTGATAAAAAGATTAAAATATTTTAAAAGTCAACTAAAGCTCTTAAAGTACATTTCAGTAGCTTTCAATGTAAAAATTTCTTCATAGCAATAGAACATCAGTCAGCTAAAGCATATCTGAAAACATACATATTTTTGTCATATATCCTAAAAGTTCATGCAATTTCAAATTCTCCTCACCTATGGCCATAACATATAGTTCGCTTTCACAATCTGACCATGTGAGCATAGAGATGGCATGTCAGACACCTTGGTTAAAAGAGTTGTCAAAGATGATGAGCATTTCTTCATGTGTTTTTTGGCTGCATAAATGTCTTCTTTCGGGGGAGGGGGGAGGGATAGCATTGGGAGATATACCTAATGCTAGATGACACGTTAGTGGGTGCAGCGCACCAGCATGGCACATGTATACATATGTAACTAACCTGCACAATGTGCACATGTACCCTAAAACTTAGAGTATAATAAAAAAAAAAAACATTTAAAAAAAAAAAAAAAAAAGAGTTGTCAAAATTCAGATTTGGGCTTAGGCAATAATTAATAACTCGGTGAGATATTTTTAAACTATAAAAGATAGCTCAAAATCAAAATATCCCTCATTATTGATTTCAACTAGGACTAAATCCTTGTATATAAAACAATAAGAATTTTCTGTTATTATCTGGAAAATATTTAATTCATGTATATATTTATTTTTAAATTAGTATTATTTACATGTCATGATATAAATTCTACCTTCAAAATGAAAGCAATTTTCCAGCAAAATGATTACAGTCATAATACAATTAGTTATCTGTTCTCTTTCCTAGTCTTTCAAAAATTGGTATAGCAAATTTTCTTCATTGAAAAGTAAGTATCACATCTAAAGATGTTAGAATGCAGTGTTACACAAAGATTCTTTTTTACCTATTGTTTCATTTATTTTACTGCTTATAAATATTTTGATCTCCTGATACTGCCTAACACAATTGCCACAGATTAACTATAAAATAAGCTAAAATGTTCAAATGTTTTCCACTGAATACTATAGATCCAGCAACTATAATGTATAACATTACACTAAATCAAACTGAATAAGTATAAAATTCATACCTTTGCAGGTGTATGTATCCAGATGGCTGGGTTAAATAAAATGTGATCACAAAGCTGCTTCAGCAAAGGTGCTCCATGAGATAAACCATCAAGGTATTTTGCAAAAGATAAAAATTGCTCCAGGACAGCTCTAGTTATATGAACTCTTGATGACTAAGAAAGAAAACAGAAATTCTAGCTTGAAACATCCAGAATATCAAATTGTATAATTTCTGATTTAGCATAAGGACACATGAATTTTTCATATGCTATCCCTAATAAATATGAAATAAACATTTGTTTTCTTTGCTATTAAAATATAACTTTAAGAGATCTAAAATTTCAGCTATTTCTTTGAGTGATAGCTTGTTATTTGAAGCCTGATCTAAGACAATTACAGATAAATAATTCAAGTTAAATAATTCTACTATTAGCTAAAGAAATGAAATGTTATAAATAATGGCTTCATTTCATTTTTTGTAGAAATTGACATACAAGAAGAGATCTTAGACATAGAAATAAAAAGTGATAGTGTTTAAAATATGTAAAAATACTGCTTAAAAATATGTAAAATACTGCTTAAAATATTATTTCCTTGGCCTTCTCTTCTCCATAAATACTCTATCCTTGGATGATATAGTATGCTTTCACAGCTTCATATAACACTATGTCTATGCTGAACACTCGCTTCAAGAATTTTCAACTACTATCACCATGTACCTATTACCAATGGTATTTAAACAACAGACTCTCCAAAATTGAAACCAAACCTTAAAGCTGCACCATCTCATACAGTAGCCAGAAGCCCTATGTGGCCATTGAGCTGCTGGAATATTGCAATTGAAAGTGAGATGTGTCATAAGTATGAAAAAACTGGGTTTTTCCAGCTCAGAATATTTTTAAAAATCATATTTTCTTATTGAATAGATGTTGAAATAATATATTGCATATTATCAAAATAAAATACTAGGCTAAATACGTTATTAAAATTAATACCACCTGTATTTTTTTACTAGAAAATATTAAATTGCACCTGAGGCTTGAATTGTAATTTAATTGGACAATGCTATACTAGAATACAATTTCAGATAAAAATGCTATAATATTAAAAAAATGCTCTTCATAAAAGCTGATAATTCAAACTCAAATATCAAAAAATTTATCTTCCTACATAAATCTTTTCTTCCTCATCTAGTGATACTATTTTGTAGTATCACTATCCTTTCAGTCATAGGGTAAAGAATCACCTATCACTCAATCCTGAAGCACACATCACACAACACATCTTTCCTCGCTATTCTTCACTAACTGAAGTCTGAATATCAGTTTAAAACAATCTAAGTTTAAAAGGGATGAAATTGTCTTACCAATTTTACCTCCCATATGATTTAGCTACATTTTTCATGCTCATAATAAGGATAACTCAATATATTTGACTTAAGCACTTCATGAATTTTCACACTTCTACATAAACGGTCACGAACTAAAATGATTGCAAATAACTAACAACAATGTGTAAACTAGAGTAGGAGACAATAAAGATTGGTGAGGACCAAAACTAACCTCTTTGCTGAGTCCTACAGAATATTACTGTGGGCCAATTTCACCCACAGGACACGTTTGCTTCCCTGCTTTACCATGTTGCTCCCCCAGTTTGTAACACCCTTGCATACATTTCCTTTACCTTAAAGGTAGAACTCAAGACTTTTAGTCATTTAGAAAATATACATGTTGATTACTCACTATTAGTCAAATATGCTCCCTGGCACTGTCAAAAAAGCAGCTAGCAAAATTGAAGAAAAAAACTCTTCCTCACAGAACATATTCTAAGAGATGATAAGGCAGGAACACATAGTTAATAAAATAAAAAGGTAAAATATGTAAAATGTTAGAGGTTACTAAGTTCATGGAAGAAACTATGGGGCAGATAAAACATTTGCAGAAGGATGGTTAACAGGTTTTACTAAGAAGGGGGCCACTTAATTGGTTCAAATTATTATAAGGTTAAAAATGATTTAGTATTAATATAATAGAATTATGTGTCTGACAAAATTACCAATGGTGCTTACTACATAAGCAATAGCCTACAAAATTCAAACCAAACCTTAGTACATAATTTTCAATGAAAATTTTACAGAAGATGGTGGAAATGATCTAAATAAATAGCTGAGTTAATAAAGGGGGGGGAACCAAAACAAGTATTTGAGTTTAAAAAGTAAAGATCGGGTAATCATATTTAAAGGAATATCAATGAAAATAATATAGTACTTTAAAAAATATTTGTAAAGGGATGAAATTAAAATAAGAGATCACTAGTTATTTAAAACTGTAGCCAGCTCCTTCACTAATTATAATTTCACATAGCTTATCTTATACATTCTATTTTTATTCAGTAGTAATGATTTCAAGAACATGATCTGATACATTCTACTCTTACACTTAAAACTCTAAAATAGAATACAGTCAGATCCTGTTACTAGATAAACATGCTAGGTGACCAGACTGTAGCTCATAAAAATTATTCATCATGTCCTCATGAAGAACATTAACCCATATTATAAAATCAGGCTGACCATTATAAACATATCCACTTGATGAATTCATAATATAGAAACAAGTTTGGAACTTGGACCATGATATTAAAAGGTATACTAGAAGCATCACAAGGCCTTCTACATTACTTTAAAAAAAAAAGGCGGAGGGGGCCATTGTTTTCGCATACCAATTAATGCTGTTGGGTAGCAGATTTGCATTCTAAAATTATTCTTTGGAAAATATTTTTCTAAAATTGTGTCTTTTTATTGACCTACTCAAAATCCTACAATTTTGGATTGTAAATAGTATATAAATGCATAAATGAATATTCTCTTCAACAGCATGTTACCTTTACCTCTTAGTAGTACTTATCTTTCCTCCTTGTATTATTGTTAGTGTAAAAAAGAAATCTCTTTCCTAATATAAGAAAGGATATTATCTTATTCATCTTTTATCCTCCTGATCCCTACCCTAATTTCTCAGGAAATGTTTAACTGAATTAATGTCAAATTCAAAAACAGTAAGAATAGAATAGGTAGGAAAAAACACAGCCTGGGAAAAGAAGAAAGAAGATCTCTGACTCTGCTTTTAAATGTATTTCCTTTGATTAACGGTTTTAAAATATTTTTATATTTTGGTATTTGTTTTCATTTTCTCAAGTAAAGCTATTTTAGAAAGAGATCTATACTTGGATAATTTATAGTTATAAATCTGTAACCTTTAGATGGAAATACAATTTAAATCTTACAGAAAATGTAAGCTCTGGAATTTGATCTATATATTACTTTCATGTGGTGGCAGAATACATAATTTTTAAGAAGTACTATATGTGACATGGCTAACCATATTTGGAAATAATATCTAAGAAGTTATACAAATAGTTGCGTTATAGCATCCACTCCAGAATTAACTAAACCAAATAGGAGCACTAGAGGTTACAAAGAGAAACTTCTATTCAATAAAGAGAGATTGTTCCAACATTTAGATTAGCCCATAATAGAACAGGTTATCAGAAATGTTCATTTTTATTGTAGAAAGCATAATATACACACACACATATACATATAATGTGTATGAGTATATATTCAATAAATTGTGTAAAACTATTGTAATTGTAGAGGTACCTTATAGTCTATTATCCATTCTGCTCCTCCCAGGACTCCAAGGTTGTGCTCCAAATAGCCTAATCCAACCAGATTAATCATGTGTTGTTGTTTTGGTAGGGAGTGGAGGGGAGGGTGGCAGGCAATGATCAGCTCAGAGATTCAGTATCAAAGTTTAGCATTCTCATAGCAACAACTGGTTCAAAGGTAGGCTAGCCAAGCTCTAAGCTAACCAATCAAATTGGAGAGAAGAATCTTGCTCAGTAATTGACAGAAATGAGCTCGCTTTCTTCACCTGGATGTGAAGGTCTATAGCGCCAATTCTCTCTGGCAGCCTTGTGACCTCAAAGAGTATCAGCTTTAGCATAAAATCAACACTGTAGCTGGTACAGCAGAGATATAGATAAAACCTGGGTCTCTGATGACATTATTGAGACTTAGATAACCCAGCCCTGAAACACAACTTACTGTTTGCTGCTTTTCCAACCTTTTGCTGCCTTTCCAACCTTCCCTGTCCTATTTTTATGCTTGGGATGCTCCCTTGCCTACTGGTTTCCAGTTGGGTTTGACTAATTGAAGACATTAGCAAGAAATTAAAGGACAGAAAGAAAATGAAGTTGGGTATATATTTTCCAGATTTTACCCCTTCAGTACACTTACACTATACTCCTTTCTTGAAGACCACGCTCCCATCAGGTACCCTTCTCCTAATAGCTACAATAACTTTCTCTTTGGGTTATGCTAAACACTTATTTCCCTCATCTCTTCAAATCTTGCCAAGCTCCCTGCTTACAACTTTTTAAATACCCTTGCATTAAAGTCTTCTCAAAAACCTAGGTTGAGTATGCCATCTGTTCCCTGCCAAGAATATAACTGATATGCCATCTAACACTAGGCTTTCAGTTACATCAGTTAGTATATTTTCCTAATGTTTAAGATACTTTGAATCAAATTTTCTACTAACCACAATCAAAAATATCCTATTGAATACGCTGGATAACCTCTAAGTTTCCCACAAGATCACATTTTGGCAAAACAGAACAAAAACACCTAAAAATTTTTTCGTGGAACAGTAAAATTGTTATTAATAAAAAGGCCTCTCATATACTATCTTCCTAAGACATCTTCTATGACAAGGAGATATAAAAGCTAAGTGGCAGTTAACCAGTAACCTGTTATTAGTTAAGAAATTAAAAAATGAAACTTCTATTACCTATACTATTAATACTAACCTTGCCAGTGATTATTTAAAAATAACAAAATGTGAGCACTCCTCCAAGAAAGGTAAAAAAGTTACTCTTTGCAGGTAATCAGACAAGCATACAAGGACTTTTCATATACTCAATTCAACAACCATTTACTGAGCTAAGCACTGTTCTAGGTGCTGAAGATACAGCAATAAGGGGAGACAAAAATATATATACATTGCCCCTGCTTTCATAAAGCCTACATTCTAGCAGAAGGAGGCAGAAAATTAGTAAAAAATATAAAACATGCCAGAATGGTGCTGCAAAATTAGCAGCATAGGTAAACACTGATGGTTATGGAAGGAATACTAATTTATTTAGAATGATCGGAGAATATTTCTGTGATAAGGCATCATATAAGCAAAATCCTGAATGAAGCATAGAATCAAAGTCTGTGAGTATCTGAAGAAAGAGTGATGGAAACAATGGGGGAAGTAAATGCAAAAGTCCTTGGGTAAATGTTTACCATTTTAGTTCTTAAGGAAAAGGCAAAAAGACCTTTGCCTAAAATAGAGAAAGCAAGAAGAGTGGGAAGAGATGAAGTGAGGTATAAGGCTTATGACTTCATTATGAGAAGGATGAAGACTTGAATAAGATTTGGCACATTTTAGGATAACTAGTCTAACTGCAAGTGAAAAATGGATTGTAGGTAACCAATGGTGAAGGATGATCATGGTTTGAACTAAGATGATATCAACTGACATGGTAAGGAGCTGAGAAGTAAAGAGGAAGTAGTAATTGATTCTGGATACATTTTGACAGTAAGACAACATAATTTCCTGAGTTTGGATCTAGAGCGCAAAAAAAGTAGAGTCAAAAAGAATTAACTTTTTGGTTTCAACTACTTGTTGAATAGTAATGCCACTAAATAAGATAAAGAACTCTGAAGGATGAAAAATTAAGAGAAAAATCAGTTTGGATAATTTAGTCAAGAAGATTACCAGAAATCCAAGTGGAACTAAAAATAGGAGAAACAATTGAGAGTAATTAGTATTTACAGGATCATGGAAACTGTAGAAGTGGATAATCTCAATTAGAGTAAGGTACTGTGTAGATGGAAAAGTGAAACGCTTTCCAGGATTAATCACTGGGACAGAACAGTCATCAGAATTTAGAAAGATGAAGCAGAACTAATGAGAGAGAATAAGTAAGAAAAAAAAAAAGCAAGCCATCACAAAACACAATGCAAGAAAGCATTTCAAGAAGGAAAGAATGTTCAACTGAAATATTCACAGGTCAAATAAGATAAGAACTGAGAAATAATCACAGGACAGATTATGAAGGCCACTGGTGACAAAGACATGAGCCATCTTAAAGGACATGTAAGAATGAAAACCAGGTTGGAATAGGAGTAGGTTTAGGAGTAAACGAGAGTCCAGGAATATAAGGAAGGTTTAAAATCTGAAAAATAATCCATGTAATTGACTAAATTAAGAAAAATAAAGAAACATCTTAATCATCTCAAGTACTACAGAAAAGATGTTATATAAAATCCTGTTTATAATAAAGAAAACTCTTAGGAAACCAGAAATAGATAATTCCTTAATTTAACTAAAAAATCCACACAAAGTAATCTATTAAAAATATCATACTTAGTGTAATTATTAAAAGCATTGCCCATGAGATCAGGAATAAGACAGGGATGGCCACTATCACAACTTTTATCCCAACACTGTACTGGCACTTTTTAGGTGGCATAACAAGGCAAGGAAAAAAACCCTAAAATTAGAAAGGAAAAAAACAAAACTATCATTCTCCAATGTTATTATTGTCTACAAAAATTTTTCTGAAAAAATCTACAAATGACTAGATTTAATAGAGGAACAGAAAGACTGGTATATAAAAGTTCAACATAAATATCAATTATAATTCTATGTACCAGTAACAAAAATCAAAACTTTTAATTGCTTCTTGGCCTTTTGGGTAAGATCAAGTGTAAAATATTAAAATTTTAAGGGCATCAAATAATATCAAATACCTGGAAATAAATCCATCAAAAAGACAGAAACTGTTCCATACAGAAAAGTACAAAAGAAAATCTCAATTAGTAAAAGAATATACCAAGTATATAACCTGAAAGATTCAATATAGGAAAGATGTCAATATAATACAATAAAAATCCTCATGTTTTTTGGTGGAAGTTGATAAGCTGATATATATATATGGAAATGGAAAGACCCAAAAACAGCCAAGGCAATCTTCAAGAACAACAGTAAAGCTAGATGACATACTCTTAAATATCAGGCCATACTAAAAAGCTATACAAATTAAAATACTGTTGTACTGTCTGAAACACACAAAAAAAATCCCAGTCATACATGGTCATCTGATTTATGGCAAAGATTAGACTGCAATGCAGTGGGAAATCATCTTTTCAAAAAATGGTACTGGGCCAGCTAGATGACATACATGGGGGAAAAAAAGAACCTTGACCCTTATACCTCATACCATATACAAAATTCAATTCTAGATAGATTATAGAAAAAAAGAACCTTGACCCTTATACCTCATACCATATACAAAATTCAATTCCAGATAGATTATAGATCTAAATATGAAAGATAAAACAAAATTTTAAGAAGGAAACAGAATAATCTTATGGCTTCAGGATATGGGTCTAAAATGGGCTAGTCATAAAAGAAACTGAAAATTTTAACCTATATTAAAATTAGTAACTTGTTTATCAAAAATCACCATTAAGAGAGTGAAAAGTCACACCAAAGAAGAAGAGATAATTTGCAGTGTATATCCAATGAAGTAATCACATCCAAAATACATATATGATTTCCACAAATCAGTAACAAAATGACAGACAACCCAAATGAAAATTGGCACTCTAAAGAGGTATTTAACAAAAGAAGATATCCCAAAGGAAAATAAATATATGTTCAACTTTATTGTCATCAAGGAAATACAAATTAATGTGATCCAAAGAATGGAGAAATATATTTGTTAATCATCCGTCTATTAAGGGACTAGTATCCAGAATATTAAAAAAAAACTCCTACAAATCAATAATAAGACACATATCACAATTATTAAATGGGCAAAGGATCTAAAGATATTTCTTCAAAGAATATATATCAATAAATAGCTAATAAGCACATGAAAATAGACAACAAGCATATGAAAAGATATTCAGCATCACTAGTCATCCCAAAAATGCAAATTTAAAATTGATAAGCCATTTCACACCCACTAGGAGGGTCAGAATCAAAAAGACATACAAAACAAGAGTTGGTAAGGATGTGGAAAAAATGGAACTCTTAAATATGGTTGGTAGGATGTAAAATGCTGGAGTCACTTTGAAAAACATCAATAGTTTCTCAAATAAACATAGGACCCAGCAAATTAACTCCTAGGTATCTACTGAACAGAAATAAAAACATATGTCCACATATAACCTAGCACATGAACATTCATGGCAGCTTTATTCATAATAGCCAAAAGATAGAAACAACACAAATGTATATCAACTGATGAATGGAGAAGCAAAATGTATATACATCTAATGGAATACTATTTAGCTGTAAAAAAGAACGGAGTTCTAAAATATGCTATAACATGGATGCACACTGAAAACATTATGCTAAGCAAAATGGACCAAATACAAAAAGACAAATATTGTATGATCTCACTTATGTGAAATATTTAGAATAAGCAATTCATAAAGCCAAAAAGTGAATTATGGGTTGACTAGGGGTGGGAATCATGAAGAGACATAGGGAATACTGGTAAAGGAAATGAATAACAAAGAAGATAAAAGATTAATTTTCTATAATTATATATGAAAATGTCTAATCTTATTCGAAATCTAGGAAAAGTGCAAATTAAAACCACAATGAAATATTTTGCATCCACTAAATTGACATTATAATATTTGAAATATTAACATATGTCTTTATTTGAAGGCTTTTACAAATATTTCTAATTATAAGCTAAGTTTTAAGTAAAAGAATATTTACTTTAGAATTTTCTGATACATTCTCATCAAACAAATGAAAGCAAATTATTTAACGGGGTAAGTCCTCACAGAAATCCTGTCACACACAGTAATCTTACAAAGGCATTTCATATGTTATCAAATTCATGTTAAATGTAGCTTATCATACATCTTCTAAACAAATATTATACTCTAGATACAGAAAAAGAGTATTCTGTCATTCAAAAAAATAAGCCAAAGGACCTTAAGTTCTTAATAATGTTATGGAAAAAATCATCTTAATAAAGAAATGCTACCAATGATCAATCTACTTAACAATCTACCACTTTTCAATCATTAATCCTTAAAGAAAGGTCAACACTTGTTTCAAAGAAAAGACATGTTATATACACAATATGTATAAAGACATGTAATATATAAAATATAGCATATTTTAGAACTTGATTATTTTTGTGACTAAATAATATTCAATTGATGTATATACCACATTTTGTTTATCCATTAATCAATTGATAATATTTCAAATGTAAAACAATTGGAGGTAAAATTAAAACTACTTCAAAATATCTTCTCAATTTTTTTGCAAAGGAAATATGTTTATCCCTTAGTTGAGATCTCACTTCTATTACTTCTCCAACAGTTTCATTTTCAGAGCAGCTGAATATTATAGAGTTAACTAACTGATAAGAAAAGGTCAGAGAGTGCTAATAAAAGACATAGGTATTTGTTATAAAAAAACGCTTATTCATGAAATCCCACTTTAATTTTCAAAGGAAATCACATAATACAACTAAACTCCTGTGAGATCATAATCAGAAATTCAGCACTCATCATAAAAGCACAGCTTTGACTAAAGCAAAAGAGGTCATAAAACAACATAAATGACACAAAATGGGAAAAAGTAAACCCATCTAATTTTTATTGTTTATATTATGCGTAGATCAGAAAAACTACTTTAAATAATATATATTAAGAGCAGGGAAAAAGAGCACAAAATAATGTTTCTATTACCACAAAATAAAAATTTTGACCGCATAATTAAAAAATAACACAAAACTTAACAGGTAAATTCATGTATACTAAATATAGATTAAGATTTTTATCTTAATAAAAAAGACTTTCGAGATACAGTCTAAGGCCAGGCGCGGTGGTTCATGCCTGTAATCCCAGCACGCTGGGAGTCCAAGGCGGGCAGATCACTTGAGGCCAGGAGTTCAAGACCATCCTGGCTAATACGGTGAAACCCTGTCTCTACTAAAAATACAAAAAATTAGCCGGGCATGGTGGTGGGCGCCTGTAGTTCCAGCTACCTGGGAGGCTGAGGCAGGAGAATGGCGTGAACCTGGGAGGCGGAGCTTGCAGTGAGCCGAGATTGAGCCAGTGCACTCCAGCCTGGGTGACAAAGCAAGACTCCATCTCAAAAAAAAAAAAAAAAAACTTTAGCCAGGCATGGTGGTGCGCGCCTGTGATCCCAGACACTCGGGAGGCTGAGGCAGGAGAATCGCTTGATCGAACTCAGGAGATGGGGGTTGCAGTGAGCCAAGATCATGCCACTGCACTCCACTGTGGGAGACAGAGTGAGACACTGTCTCAAAAAAAAAAAAAAAAAAGTCTAAGTGAAAAGATAGCAAAGAAACAACTACAGTACTCCCTCCTTATC
The DNA here is from genome assembly GCF_000001405.40 of Homo sapiens. Lineage (NCBI taxonomy): Eukaryota > Metazoa > Chordata > Mammalia > Primates > Hominidae > Homo > Homo sapiens. The sequence goes on along the minus strand of NC_000013.11, from coordinate 35,098,975 downwards.
CTGACGCGATAGTTCCAAGACCCCTAGTGGATAATAAATACGATTTTCAGTCCGAGAACTGAGATAGCTACTAAATAACTAATGGAGAGACAGTGTATACAGCATGAAAAAGCTGAACAAAAGGAGGATTCATGTCCAGGGCTTGATGAAGAGGGACAGCATGAGATTTCATCACTCTCCTCAGAACAGCACACAATTTAGAAAGTTATAAATGGTTTATTCCATGCTATTTTTGAACTGCAGTTGACCATGGGTAAGTGACACCTTAGAAAGTGAGAGTAGAAATAAAGGGGGTACTACTTAGAAAACTTAAGAGAAATGATACTTATTGCTTGAATAGATATAGATGTAAATTTTTTATTTAGATTTTTTTATTCAAAATTTCTTAATTACACTTCCGATACCCAGTTAATTCCATGTCTACACTTAAATCTAAGACGTTTGTGAATTAGCAAATAGTATAATCTCTACACAGTCAATGGAAAGTGAAATTACAGAAAAAAAAATTAGTGATTAACAGCTGTCCAACTGTGAAGCTACACAATAAAACCATCAACACATATCACTTACCTTTTCAAGTAAGTAGCCAATGACTAAAAAGCCTTTTCCACCCAGCATCTGTTCTTGCATGGCTACTGAACTTTTAAGTAGTTCAACCAGGAATGCCAACAGAGTAGCACTGCATGTAAAGTACAGACATCATTATGTAATCATCACATGTTTATTATAAACAGTGTCCCACTTCAGTATTTTATTATGCCAAAAGATAACCATATTCAAATCTCATCTCTATTTTACTGACAATGACTATTATGCCTTATATTATGAAAGAATATATTTCCTCATAAGCATGAGAAAACTACTGTTGTCCTTTACAAATTAAATATAATAAACTGAATCATAACTGTGTAGTTTTTTTACATTCCAAAGTAAAACATCAAAGTTTATCTCTACGTATATTTATATGTCTGGCTTCAAGTAAACCTAAGAAACATATACACATCATTTATAATGTATCATAATAAAGCCTGTATCATACTATTCTTTTGAATAACAAGCTATTGTAGAGAATTTTAAATATAGATGCAATATTGCTTTGTAACAACAAACTCTATTTTTAAATAAACTTTTCATTTAGAACTATTCTTCAAAAACCTTTCATTAAAAAAAATCCAGAGAAATATGTAACATGTCACTTATGTCCAGGTATGCCCTAAGAAAAGCTCATGAGAGCAAATAAAATGATTTATGTAATATTGAAATGAAAAGTGACAATTACACAATATATAAACAAATACATAAAAGCAGACAAAGAGGTGTCAAAGTTAAGCACTTGATTTGTCTTTGGAATCAATGAAGAAACAAAATAAAAAGAAATGATTGCATTGAATTAAGCTTTGATAATGCATTACTTCACAGTTACATATAATGATTTTAACCAGCAACACTGATACATGAATATAGTATTCTAAATAACGGAAATACATATTCCTTCATTGTATATGCTTAATGTAGCTCAAAATAAATTGTTATAGACCAGATTTTATCATGAATTAAAATAGTATCAATTTACAATGTTTTATAATATACCATAAATTACCTATTTATATTCATAAGAAAGGGTAAAACCACAAATTTCTAAACATATTTTAAATGCAGAAGTACTCATTCTTACAAGTGATTCAGACAATCTGGTAATAAGGAAAACTTGAAAATTATTAAAGCCCAAAAGGAATCTGAAGTTATTCTAATTTTTGAATTATTCTAGCTCTTCCAGTTTCAATAGGGATAATACATTTTTCTCATAATGTGGCTACTTTTGTTCAAATTAGAAATGTTCTCATAACAAGAACCAACAGCAAAATTATCATTATCATTATTATAAAAATTCATAGTTTAATGAATTACATACCAGCTAGACAAAATATAGTATCTAGAAATAAAGTACTTCATTACAGGAAATTAAAATTCAATTATATTAACTGATCCTATATCCTTAAACCACAAAAAAAAGTAAACTATCACAAATCAATGATATTCTTTTACTTTGTCCTTAAGCCAAAGACAGACACTTACAAGAAAAATACAACTACCAAGGAATCTCTTGGGATTTAAAAAAATGTTTCTGTAAAGAAGCACAGCTGTTAAGCAATCTAGTCCATTTTAAATGAATTGAATAGTCAAGGCCACTTCACGAATAATTGCTAAGTACTATATTACACCTAACACTTCTGCCTAGATATTTAAAAAGAATAAAGAAAACTATGGGTAGAGATTACACAATTTCCTAATCTGTTCATAGAATTCTTACATACACCAAAGTTAGTGATTTAGGGGGAAAATGGATTCCTAAGCATGAGCACTGCCAAAAAGAACGACTAGAAATGCCTCACAATGGTCCCTATGATCCATGAAAAAAGGCAAAAAAGTATTTCTTACAGTAAATCGCCCTACTATATAGAACCATGTAAAATTGCAAGGATGACATGGATTTTCTCATTCTTTTATGTCAGAATAACTACTCACTCTCAAACATCTAATGAGTTAACTCAGACCTCTAAACACAGTGGAGTTCCATTACAAAAACAGAAATATTAATATTATTATTCCAAAATCTTAACACAGGACTCTGCTATCCATAAAGTGTTAATTTCACTTCAATATTAACCAGGACACCAATTGAAATGTCAAATGCATTCACTAACAAAAGTCGTTTTAATTTATACCTAAAACCCAATGCAATAGCAATACCACATCTTTGCAAAAAAAAAAAAAAATCTTTACAATAAGGTATAATTGACATGGTGGACGTAATAGTAAATAGATGGCCATCTTCGAAGAGGTACATTTTCAAACATAATTTAACAAACTTACCAGTAACTAAAATGCATCGGATTGTTGCAGGGCTCACAATAAACTTGCAAAATTCTGTGTACTGCCATACAAAATTTCTCTCCATTCTTGCCTATTTCCAACTCCCCTAGATACAAAGGCAAATATAAAGGATACTTCAGCCCATTCCTATATCTCCTACATACCACTTCCTGTCTAGAACACATCAGTTCATCTGCAGAGGATCTAAATATATACTATAGGATAAACCAAAAAGCAAGTATCTGTGTCAGCCAAAACTAATACAACATAGAAAATTCTCTTGAAAAGTATAGCAATACCTAGGAACAGATTTTCATAGGAGTATTTTACTTCATAGACCAAAAGTATGCTGATTATTATGTCATGATATATAATTGCTAAACTTTTCAACAGACAGTACCATAATACATGTTCTGTAAGTAGCAATTCTACTTCAAGAATGGATAAGAGTTTGTAATCCTGTATCTTTTTAAGGAAAATGATGTTAATAACCTAGTGGGTGTTTTTTCTTAAAAATAATTACCACCTTGTAATTCTTAATAAGCTTCATTTAAGTTAGAAACTAACATTTATTTCAAGTATCATATTTTAAAGGGCTAGACCATGGGAAAAAAATGAAAGAAATAGTATAATAATATCTCTTATAAATTAGCATATTTATTACTTCTCCAGAGCTTTTTGGCCTTTATTGATAAAGAATACCACAACAGTCTTGGCCCACAAATACCTGAGAATATTTATTAACTATGTATAAACATAACTAATTTGTTTATAATAAAATATATATATTTATATTCCATTAAAATTTAAATATAGATTTTGACTTATTTTACTGTAACTTTATCCATTTCAATTTGTATTTAATTTTTTTAATAACTAATGTAGATAACTCATGTAATGTGATCCATAAAGTTTTATTATCTTTGAGGTACTTATATTATTTAGAATTCAATATATCATAAAGATACAACTAATTCATAACTAAAATGATTAAGAGTGAATATATAAACCTAAGTTCTGTTCAAAGGTAGCTCTCTGAAGACATAAACTGGCTATTCAATTTGGTTTTTACTGAAAAAGCTAAGTACCACAGCTAGATTGGCTTTTTAAATAAACACCTTTTTATTAAGAAGACTGGAAATACCTTACATAAAAAGTAAAGATTCCCCCTAAAATCCAATACCTCCACCCCTTTTAAAAGAATGTTGCAAAGTAATTGATTAAGTAGATTAAGTTCCAAATCAGATTTACGGTATCAGTAAGGGGGAAAAATCTTTTGACATTTTTAAAAGGTTTCATCTCTTAAGCCTAATTTAGGACTGAATTACAGTGAAATATTTTAAAAGATGATTAAAATTATGTAAAATATTTAATATCATATTTCTATAGTATTTCTCTCACTACAAAACTATTCCTAAATGAGAGTGATCATAGCAGAAATAATTGATTTCACTGTACGTTAATCAATTCAAGTCCACACCCAAGACAATTTCGCATCCAAGATAATTTTCGGTGACACACAAAAAACTCACAATAAGTTGTAAGAGTTAAATTTCCTTCACAGTTCAACATTAGAAAGGGCTAAACCACATGTTTCTAACTCCAGGTATATTTAGCAGTCACTTTTAGACAACGCCCTCATGAAGATGTGATCTCAAAGAAGACCAATGCCTACATAGGCGGTAAATGCAGAATGAAATAAGGAAAACTGTGAAATGCAACACAGTAAAATACAAGGACAGATGGATACATAAGATAGCACATGAAATCACTGAGTCTGCCCGGAGCCATGAAATCTCTTCTCAGTAATTTCTACCTTTTTCTTCATCCTGATAAAAAGGCAAGGCAGCCTTATAAACTGAATTGCTACCACTGTCATGGATATTTAAGAGCATTCCTTAGAGACTCTATTAAAAGTGAGGTTATTACTCATTTATATCTTCCTTTGTCTTGTCAGAGATTTTTAATTTTATGTTGTATAGCGTATTTTATTTTTGACAAATATAGTTTTAAGAAGTATAAAAAAGTGCTTGAAATGTGTCAATTTGTCTTCTGAGGAAAACAAAATGTTAAAATTTTCATATGTAAAAAAATCATTATAAATCTCTTATATTACTATATATTAGTATATAGTATGTAACAAAATTTATATAGTTTGAGAGCAAAATGCCTTTTTATTATAAGCTCCTTTCATATATTTACTAAAAGCCTTCAAAGGTAAAAGAAATAACTTTCAAAGCCTAATAGTACCACAGATTAACCACAACTAACAAACCACCCCTTACAGTGCACTAAATGTTGTAGTCACTTTATGAAAACGTCCTGGACGTTTTACAAATGGCAGCCACCACTATAGTAAATATGGATAGATGAATGCTTTAGAAATTTAATAATGTAACTTCCTAACCCCTAAGGAGAACTTAAGTTCTAAATTGGAAACAGGTCATAATTACACATGGATGATCTTAACTATTTATGCATACTCTAATGCCCTTCAAGGTCAAAACATGCCACAGCAGGAAGGCCAAATGCCCAGTCCTTTATCTTGGTGCTGGCTCCACTTTCACCCAAGCCCCAACCTATTTAAGAGAAATAGGATTAACATACACTAGAAGTGCTGGAATTCGCAAATGCAAGAAAATAAACAGATAAACAGCTGAATACACAAAGTTGAAACAATTCTTTAATACTTAGGCTTTACACAGGTCAGGAATTTTCTATTCTTTTAATAGTTAATTTTATTTTTTAAATGACCATGCAGTGAAATTTCTCTTTTTTTTTTTTTTGGTGTACCAGTTTGAGAATGTTAAATAGATACATAGATTTGTATAACCACCACCACAATCAAAATATAGCCCAGTTCTATCACACCAAAAAATTCACTTGTGCTATCACTTTTCAGCTTTATAGCCACACCTTCTCAATACCCATAGGCTCTAGTACTTATCCCTTTTCTCTATCACTACATATTTTTACTTTTCAAGAATGTGACATAGATGGAATCATACAGTCTGTAGCCTTCTAAGTCTCCCTTTGTAAGCTCAGCATATTGCCTCTGAGAGGCATCCAAGTAAGTACATACATCGAGTCCATTCTTTTTAGTTGATGAGTATTAATGGATGTACCACAGCTTGTATACCCATTCATTTGTAAAAGCATTTGGGTTGTAGAATAGCAATTGTGAATAAGGCTACTATAAACATTCACATAAAGGCTTTTGTGTGGACATGATTTCCATTCATTTCTCATAAATAAATGCCGAGGAGTAGAAAGGCTGAACTATACAATAAGTGTATATTTAACTTTATAATAAACTGCCAAACTGTATTTCAGACTGGCTGAACCATTTGGCAATCCCACCAGTAACAGGTTCTAGTTGTTCTCACATCCTTGCCAGTATTTAGCACAACAGCTATTTTTTATTCTACTAGGTATATAATGGTTTTATATAGTTTTAATTTACATTTATCTGTTGGTTAATAATGTTGAGTATCTTTTCATGAACTATTTTGACATCCTTATATTCTCTTTGGTAAAGTGTCTACTCTTTTGTCCACTTTTAAAAACTGAATTGTAGTCTTATTGTTAAGGACTGAAAGTCCTTTATTTATTCTTGACATAAATCCTTTGTCAAATAAGCAATTTGCTGTTATCTTCCTCCAGCCTGTACTGTGTCTTTTCATTGCATCTTTAGCATAGCAAAAGTTTTTAACTTAGACAAAGTCAAAACGAAATTTATCCCTTTTTTAGTGAATTATGCTTTCGTCGTCACAACTAAGAAAGCTTTGCCTACCCTAAGTCCCATAAATTTCCTTATACGTTTCCCATAAAAGTTTTAGAGTTTCATGTTTTATATTTAGACTTAGTTTTTTGTTAAGTTTCATATAAATTGTGAGGTTTAGGTCAAAGCACATTTGTTTGGCATATGATTATCCTTCCTCCATTAGACTACTTTTGCACCTTTGCCAAAAATTAATTGTCCATATATGTGTGGGACTATTTCTGGACTCTATTCTGTTTCACTGATATATGTGTTTACTAATATTACTCGGTCTTCATTATTACAGCTTAAAAGTCAGTCTTAAAGTCAGTTAAGTATAATTCTTCCAACTTTATTCTTTTCCAAAACTGTTTTAACTATCCTAGTTACTTTGTCATTCAACATAAATTTTAGACTCATCTTGTCTACATTAATGAACATATTCAGCTAGGATTTTAATTGTTATTATGTTACATGTATCTACCAATTTAATGACATCTTTATATGTTAAGTCCATGAATATGATATAGCCCTAAACTTATTCAGATCTTTGATTGCTATCATCAGAAATTTGTAGTTTTCAGCATACACATCCTGTACATGTTTTGTGAAATTTATATCTCAGTATTTAACATTTTTGATGCTGTGGTTAATGTTATTTTTAAATGTGGTTTCACATTGTACATTGTTAATATAAAGAAATACAAGTCATTTTTGTATGAGAACCTTGTATCTTGTGACACTAGTATGCTAAACATGGCTTACTAGTGCTAGAATTTATGTGTAAGTCATTTCCTTGAGAATTTTTACATAGACAATCATGTCATCTGTGAAAACAGATAATTCTATTTTTCCTTTATAATCTGTATGACTTTCATTTTCTTACCTTATTGTAGCAGCTACAACTTGTAATTTGGATTAGATCCATGTATGCACAACTCAGGACTGAATTTCATTAAAAAATTTTACAGGGTTACTTTCTCATGTTCTTCCCTTTCCATGACATCCCTGATATTTTCAGTTCTGAGGCTCTTCTTTTCAGTTCTTCTGTCAAAACGCTGGGGCTTTAGTTTCTCTGCTCTGCAATGTATTCTACAAGTCTGTTCATATCCAGGGCCACTGGCAGAAAGGCAGAGAGATTAAGAAGAAAAGGGTGTTTGTCCCACCCTCTTAGGACTCTAGCTCCACTGATCAAAGAAAAGCCTCCCTCAGAGTTTTGGCTTCTATAGCCTTCCATTGGTGATAAGACCACATGAGGGCTGGGCCATAACAGAACAACGTGAAGAAAAGAAAAATTAACAGGGCACTCAGAACTAGAGGATTTCTCCCAGAGTTGTCTCTCACTGCACCCTGGTGCACAATTTCAGGTTTTCAATCCATTTAATTCATGTTAGGGGATAATAAAGGGACAAAAAGTATAGTGAACTCACTTCCAGTTCAAAGGCACTGTGAATTCTGCTCTTGTTCCCCATTCTACCTGCTATTATTCACTTTTCAGAGCTGTGAAATAGTGGCTGTGTGAATTCTGTCCATGTAGGGTGTTTTTCTTGCATTGAGTAGGAGAAACAGGGTAGAGTGTGCTCACTCTACCTTAACCAGAATTGGAACTGATTTTTTTGTATTCTTACTGACTTGAATGAAGCTCCAAACTAAGATGACTCAAAAAATCCTTCTGAGTCCCCACATCTTGATCTCAACATACTAATTAGACAGAGTTGTTCAATATGCCCAGATATTGGCATATAGCATCACATCAGTTAAAGTCAGGTTTAATACTGCTATGCCACCACATCCCTAATAGTTGTCAAATCCTTTCACACCAAAACCTATAATTCTAACCAAGAACCATTGCAACCCATTAATTTTACCAGCTAAGAAACCAAGTATGCTAGAGACAATGTTTGTTATTAATAATTCTCATGTCATTTTCCTACTTCGTGTGTATACAGAAGACATTTCCTAACCCCATTATAGTTAATTATGTGACTAAATCAACTAAATGTTATCAGAAATCTCTTGTGGGTTGCAACAATGAAAAACCTATGCATAATTCTCTAGTCCCTCTCCCCGCCTCCTACAATGAATACTGGGCTACTCTGAAATAGGATGGTGAAACCCAATACCTTAGATTGCTGAAGAAACTATATTTGATTACAGGAACACTACATAAACCTTTACTGTATAAAGCCACTAAGGTCTCATGGCTAATTTGATATCATATAACCTACACTGACTAATACAGCCAGATTTTTATTTATTTATTTATTTATTTATTTATTTTATTATACTTTAAGTTTTAGGGTACATGTGCACATTATGCACATTAGTTACATATGTATACATGTGCCATTCTGGTGCGCTGCACCCACTAACTCGTCATCTAGCATTAGGTATATCTCCCAATGCTATCCCTCCCCCCTCCCCCCACCCCACAACAGTCCCCAGAGTGTGATATTCCCCTTCCTGTGTCCATGTGATCTCACTGTTCAATTCCCACCTATGAGTGAGAATATGCGGTGTTTGGTTTTTTGTTCTTGTGATAGTTTACTGAGAATGATGATCTCCAATTTCATCCATGTCCCTACAAAGGACATGAACTCATCATTTTTTATGGCTGCATAGTATTCCATGGTGTATATGTGCCACATTTTCTTAATCCAGTCTATCATTGTTGGACATTTGGGTTGGTTCCAAGTCTTTGCTATTGTGAATAATGCCGCAATAAACATATGTGTGCATGTGTCTTTATAGCAGCATGATTTATAGTCCTTTGGGTATATACCCAGTAATGGGATGGCTGGGTCAAATGGTATTTCTAGTTCTAGATCCCTGAGGAATCGCCACACTGACTTCCACAATGGTTGAACTAGTTTACAGTCCCACCAACAGTGTAAAAGTGTTCCTATTTCTCCACATCCTCTCCAGCACCTGTTGTTTCCTGACTTTTTAATGATTGCCATTCTAACTGGTGTGAGATGGTATCTCATTGCAGTTTTGATTTGCATTTCTCTGATGGCCAGTGATGATGAGCATTTTTTCATGTGTTTTTTGGCTGCATAAATGTCTTCTTTTGAGAAGTGTCTGTTCATGTCCTTCGCCCACTTTTTGATGGGGTTGTTTGTTTTTTTCTTGTAAATTTGTTTGAGTTCATTGTAGATTCTGGATATTAGCCCTTTGTCAGATGAGTAGGTTGCGAAAATTTTCTCCCATTTTGTAGGTTGCCTGTTCACTCTGATGGTAGTTTCTTTTGCTGTGCAGAAGCTCTTTAGTTTAATTAGATCCCATTTGTCAATTTTGTCTTTTGTTGCCATTGCTTTTGGTGTTTTGGACATGAAGTCCTTGCCCATGCCTATGTCCTGAATGGTAATGCCTAGGTTTTCTTCTAGGGTTTTTATGGTTTTAGGTCTAACATTTAAGTCTTTAATCCATCTTGAATTAATTTTTGTATAAGGTGTAAGGAAGGGATCCAGTTTCAGCTTTCTACATATGGCTAGCCAGTTTTCCCAGCACCATTTATTAAATAGGGAATCCTTTCCCCATTGCTTGTTTTTCTCAGGTTTGTCAAAGATCAGATAGTTGTAGATATGCAGCGTTATTTCTGAGGGCTCTGTTCTGTTCCATTGATCTATATCTCTGTTTTGGTACCGGTACCATGCTGTTTTGGTTAGATTTTTTTTAAAAAAAGTTTGTATACTACTATGTATTTCAGAGACCCTACCAGCCTAATATCTAATTCTTAGTTATCTTTCATATCAAGTACTCCAATAAACTTGACCCAGAATACACTGGAAAAGCCAAATTTTTACTAAGTTCTACTAAAAACATCACCTTGCATTTTCCTAAATAGAAGCTATCTGGGATACCCCCAGACCATATAGTTTGAGAAATCCACATGGCTATGGCTAACCATGGAAATTGGATTATATTACAATAGCTCAACGACCATAAAAACTGGCAGGCTGTCATCACAGAACCAGAAAACTGAAAAGATTTATCAGTTTCCTAAATAACGTCTGTCCAAAGTCCCTATATTGAGTTTTCCTAATTATATTAAACCTGTTACCTTTCTTTTGAAGTATGGAATTATTTAGGGTACATTAAGGGAGATTCAAAAGAACAAACAATATCCAATTGCTCACTGAAGTTCTCCCCTTAATCTCATAGCAGCTTGCTTGCCTTTTGGATTGCATTCAGTAGCTATGGCTGCAATAATAATGGAGGATTTTTCAACCTCCGTAATAGATTCCTGTCTGACACTAACTATGGTAGGTGATACCTCAGTACCTATCCAAAATACCAAAACACTGCACCTTTCTAATGCCTGGAAAATATAAAGTCTTCTTCTTCCCTGTGTTACATTACTATTGGTGCCCCGTACCAACCCCTTTACTCCAAACTCCAGCTATAGAAAACTTGACCACTTGATGAAAACCAACATCGTTTAACAAACCTCCTACTTCAAAATCTTCATCTTATCTCTAATGTACGTCAAATATAGTCTACAAGGTTCTCTGGTTATACCATTTGTTCCTACATCAAGTAACAAAACGTTTTATTTTGCCTTCTGACTATTCTGTCCAAGTGTCTGAAATTGTCTAAAGTTGATGCTCTCTCTAGAGCATATATCCATGCCTTTCATAAATGTCTACTTTTGGGCTGTAATGTTGATAGATGCCATGACTTCTTTTACAGTTCTGAAGCTGTTCATGATTTTACACAATCATATAATAAGAATTCCTTGCCTACTATTGAAAAAAATCTCTCTGGAATATTATTTTAATGCTACTTTATGACTTACATCATTTACAACTTCCTTCTGCCGTAACTATTATAAAATTCATTGCTGACCAAAAGCTGTATGATGATGTTAATAGTGGCTCATGCTTCAGCCAAAGCTGTAATCCCTTCCACTTCCAAATTCATACTTTTAATGTTGTGCTGACTGGACTTCTCCAGAGTGTACTCTAAAATTTCCTTATATAAGATTAGGTACCAACTTTAGTGGAAGCATTTTAATATAAATATTTTAATTTTTAAATATAGACATGAAATCTCTTCCTAGATCAATATCTTGAAGTGTTTTCACCATGTTTTTTTCTAGTTGTTTTATTGTTTCAGTACAAATATTTCATGGTTAAGACCTCAAAAGTACAGACAACTATAATAAAAATAGACAAATGAGACTATATAAAACTAAAAAGCTTCTACACAGCAAAGGAAACAATCAAAAGAGTGAAGAGACAATTTGTGTTTGAACTGGAGAAAATATCTGCTAACTATTCATCCTACAAGAGACTAATATCCAGCACATACAAGGAACTCAAACAACTCAACAATAAAAAAAAAATAACCCCATTAAAAAGTGGGCTAAGGACGTGAACATACATCTCTCAAAAGAAGACACAGAAATTGTCAACAGGTATATGAAAAAATATTCAACATGACTAAGCATAAGAGGAATGCAAATCTAAACCACAATGAGGCATCAACTTACCCCAGTTAGAGCAGCTATTATAAGTAGAACAAAAAATAACAGGTGCTGGTGAGGATCTAAAGAAAATGGAACTTTTGCACACTGTAAATTAATACAACCACTATGGAAAAGAGTGTGGAGATGTTTCAAAGAGTTAAAATAGAACTACCATTCGACCCAGCAATCCTGCTACTGAGTATTTATCCAAAGGAAAGGAAATCTGTATATCAAAGTGATACACGCACTCACATGTTTAACACAGCGCTATTCACAAAAGCAAAGCTATGAAATCAACCTAAGTTTCCATCAACAGGCAAATGGCTAAAGACATTCTCACTCATATGTGGGCACTAAAACAATTGATCACATGGAGGCAGATAGTAAAAAGATAGATACAGAGTCTGGGAAGGGTACCAGGGTAGCAGGAGGAATAAACAAAGGTTAGTTAGTCGGTACAAACATACAGTTAGATAGTTGGTCAAAGTTCTCATGTTTAATATCAGTGTAGAGTGACTATAGTTTGCAACAATGTAGGGCACATTTCAAAGTAGCTGGAATAGAGGACTTAAAATGTTACCAAAACGGCTTAGGATTGACTTGGCAATGCGGGCTCTTTTTTGGTTCCATATGGACTTTAAAGTAGTTTTTTACAATTCTGTGAAGAAAGTCATTGGTAGCTTGATGGGGATGGCACTGAATCTATAAATTACCTTGGGCAGTATGGCCATTTTCACGATATTGATTCTTCCTACCCATGAGCATGGAATGTTCTTCCATTTGTTTGTATCCTCTTTTATTTCATTGAGCAGTGGTTTGTAGTTCTCCTTGAAGAGGTCCTTCACGTCCCTTGCAAGTTGGATTCCTAGGTATTTTACTCTCTTTGAAGCAATTGTGAATGGGAGTTCACTCATGATTTGGCTGTTTGTCTGTTATTGGTGTATAAGAATGCTTGTGATTTCTGCACATTGATTTTGTATCCTGAGACTTCGCTGAAGTTGCTTATCAGCTTAAGGAGATTTTGGGCTGAGATGATGGGGTTTTCTAGATATACAATCATGTCATCTGCAAACAGGGACAATTTGACTTTCTCTTTTCCTAATTGAATACCCTTTATTTCCTTCTCCTGCCTGATTGCCCTGGCCAGAACTTCCAACACTATGTTCAACAGGAGTGGTGAGAGAGGGTATCTCTGTCTTGTGCCAGTTTTCAAAGGGAATGATTCCAGTTTTTGCCCATTCAGTATGATATTGGCTGTGGGTTTGTCATAAATAGCTCTTATTATTTTAAGATATGTCCCATCATTACCTAATTTATTAAGAGTTTTTAGCATGAAGGTTGTTGAATTTTGTCAAAGGTCTTTTCTGCATCTATTGAGATAATCATGCGGTTTTTGTCATTGGTTCTGTTCATATGCTGGATTACATTTATTGATTTGCATATGTTGAACCAGCCTTGCATCCCAGGGATGAAGCCAACTTGATCGTGGTGGATAAGCTTTTTGATGTGCTGCTGGATTCAGTTTGCCTGTATTTTATTGAGGATTTTTGCATCGATGTTCATCAGGGATATTGGTCTAAAATTCTCTTTTTTGGTTGTGTCTCTGCCAGGCTTTGGTATCAGGATGATGCTGGCCTCATAAAATGAGTTAGGGAGGATTCCCTCTTTTTCTATTGATTGGAATAGTTTCAGAAGGAATGGTACCAGCTCCTCCTTGTACCTCCGGTAGAATTCGGCTGTGAATCCATCTGGTCCTGGACTTTTTTTGGTTGGTAAGCTATTAATTATTGCCTCAATTTCAGAGCCTGTTATTGGTCTATTCAGAGATTCAACTTCTTCCTGGGCTAGTCTTGGGAGGGTGTATGTGTCGAGGAATTCATCCATTTCTTCTAGGTTTTCTGGTTTATTTGCATAGAGGTGTTTATAGTATTCTCTGATGGTAGATTGTATTTCTGTGGGATCGGTGGTGATATCCCCTTTATCATTTTTTATTGCATCTATTTGATTCTTCTCTCTTTTCTTCTTTATTAGTCTTGCTAGCGGTCTATCAATTTTGTTGATATTTTCAAAAAACCAGCTCCTGGATTCATTGATTTTTTGAAGGGTTTTTTGTGTCTCTATTTCCTTTAGTTCTGCTCTGATCTTAGTTATTTCTTGCCTTCTGCTAGCTTTTGAATGTGTTTACTCTTGCTTCTCTAGTTCTTTTAATTGTGATGTTAGGGTGTCAATTTTAGATCTTTCCTGCTTACTCTTATGGGCATTTAGTGCTATAAATTTCCCTCTACACACTGCTTTGAATGTGTCCCAGAGATTCTGCTATGTTGTGTCTTTGTCCTCGTTGGTTTCAAAGAACATTTTTATTTATACCTTCGTTTCATTATTTACCCAGTAGTCATTCAGGAGCAGGTTGTTCAGTTTCCATGTAGTTGAGCGGTTTTGAGTGAGTTTCTTAATCCTGAGTTCTAGTTTGACTGCACTGTGGTCTGAGAGACAGTTTCAGTTTGTTATAATTTCTGTTCTTTTACATTTGCTGAGGAGTGCTTTACTTACAACTATGTGGTCAATTTTGGAATAGGTGTGGTGTGGTGCTGAAAAGAATGTATAGTCTGCTGATCTGGGGTGGAGAGTTCTGTAGATGTCTATTAGGTCCGCTTGGTGCAGAGCTGAGTTCAGTTCCTGGATATCCTTGTTAACTTTCTGTCTCGTTGATCTGTCTAATGTTGACAGTGGGGTGTTAAAGTCTCCCATTATTATTGTGTGGCAGTCTAAGTCTCTTTCTAGGTCTCTAAGGACTTGCTTTATGAATCTGGGTGCTCCTGTATTGGGTGCATCTATATTTAGGACAGTTAGCTCTTCTTGTTGAATTGATCCCTTTACCATTATGTAATGGCCTTCTTTGTCTCTTTTGATCTTTCTTGGTTTAAATCTGTTTTATCAGAGACTAGGATCACAATCTCCGCCTTTTTTTGTTTTCTGTTTGCTTGGTAGATCTTCCTCCATCCCTTTATTTTAAGCCTATGTGTGTCTCTGCACATGAGATGGGTTTCCTGAATACAGCACACTGATGGGTCTTTTAATTGGAGCATTTACCCCATTTACATTTAAGGTTAATATTGTTATGTATCAATTTGATCCTGTCATTATGATGTTAGCTGGTTATTTTGCCCATTAGTTGATGCAGTTTCTTCCTAGCCTTGGTGGTCTTTACAATTTGGCATGTTTTTGCAGTGGCTGGTACCAGTTGTTCCTTTCCATGTTGAGTGCTTCCTTCAGGAGCTCTTTTAGGGCAGGCCTGGTGGTGACAAAATCTCTCAGCATTTGCTTGTCTGTAAGGATTTTATTACTCCTTCAATTATGAAGCTTAGTTTGGCTGGATATGAAGTTCTGGGTTGAAAATTCTTTTGTTTAGGAATTTTGAATATTGGCCCCCACTCTCTTCTGGCTTGTAGAGTTTCTGCGGAGAGATCAGCTGTTAGTCTGATGGGCTTCCCTTTGTGGGTAACCCGACCCTGGAGGCATCACGCTACCTGACTTCAAACTATACTACAAGGCTACAGTAAGCAAAACAGCATGGTACTGGTACCAAAACAGAGATATAGACCAATGGAACAGAACAGAGTCCTCAGAAATAAGGCCACATATCCACAACTATCTGATCTTTGTCAAACCTGACAAAAACAAGAAATGGGAAAGGATTCCCTATTTAATAAATGGTGCTGGGAAAACTGGCTAGCCATATGTACAGAGCTGAAACTGGATCCCTTCCTTACATCTTACATAAAAATTAATTCAAGATGGATTAAAGACTTAAATGTTAGACCTAAAACCATAAAAACCCTAGAAGAAAACCTAGGCAATACCATTCAGGACAGAGGCATGGGCAAGGACTTCATGACTAAAACACCAAAAGCAATGGCAACAAAAGCCAAAATTGACAAATGGGATCTAATTAAACTAAAGAGCTTCTGCACAGCAAAAGAAACTACCATCAGAGTGAACAGGCCACCTACAGAATGGGAGAAAATTTTTGCAATCTACTCATCTGACAAAGGGCTAATGTCCAGAATCTACAATGAACTCAAACAAATTTACAAGAAAAAAACAAACAACCCCATCAAAAAGTGGGAGAAGTATATGAACAGACACTTCTGAAAAGAAGACATTTTTGCAGGCAAAAGACACACGAAAAAATGCTCATCATCACTGGCCATCAGAGAAATGCAAATCAAAACCACAATGAGACACCATCTCATACCAGTTAGAATGGCGATCATTAAAAAGTCAAGAAACAACAGGTGCTGCAGAAGATGTGGAGAAATAGGAACACTTTTACACTGTTGGTGGGACTGTAAACTAGTTCAACCATTGTGGAAGTCAGTGTGGCGATTCCTCAGGGATCTAGAACTAGAAATATCATTTGACTCAGCCATCCCATTACTGGGTATATATCCAAGGGATTATAAAACATACTGCTATAAAGACACATGCACACATATGTTTATTGAGGCACTATTCACAATAGCAAAGACTTGGAACCAACCCAAATGTCCAACAATGATAGACTGGATTAAGAAAATGTGGCACATATACACCATGGAATACTATACAGCCATAAAAAATAATGAGTTCATGTCCTTTGTAGGGACATGGATGAAGCTGGAAACCATCATTCTCAGCTAACTATCTCAGGGACAAAAAAACCAAACACCGCATGTTCTCACTCATAGGTGGGAAATGAACAATGAGAAAACATGGAAACAGGAAGGGGAACATCACACACTGGGGCCTGTTGTGGGGTGGGGAAGTGGGGAGGGATAGCATTAGGAGATATACCTAATGTTAAATGACGAGTTAATGGGTGCAGCACACCAACATGGCACATGTATACATATGTAACTAACCTGCACTTTGTGCACATGTACCCTAAAACTTAAAGTATAATAAAAAAAAAGTTACCAAAATGGAAATGATAAATACTCAAGGTGATGGTGATGATCAAATACCCTTACTTGGTCATTACACATTCTATGAATGTAACAAATATTCACATACACCTATAAATTTCGCAAAGTATTTTTAATCAACAAAATAAATTTTGAAGAAAAGAAAAAAATACTCTTAAAAACAAGATTCACTTTTTTATACTCCACAAATTGCTGTTAGATTATATAAAAAATCTTCTGTTCTTTGCAAATGAGTTGGCATAAAAGGTAAAAAATAAAAAGTTATGCAAACAAACATTGTTAATATCCTCCAAACTGTTTTCTCAAATGCCTCACACATATTGTCATTCCTGCCATATTTGCCTGTTGCAAAATGGAGATAAGCACTTAAAAAAAAAAAGCTTGCCCATCTTGAAAGCCATTAATAAATATTTAGATTGAATTTGTTTGTTTCTATGAAAAAAAGTTCAAAAAATAATATATGTATTTTATCAAGATAGCTAAGTAAATCCATTCACAAAAGCTGTCATATAAAATTTAATACCTAGATTCAGAGTATGGTTGCCCATTAATAAAGATATTGCAAAGGAAGTGTCTAAAGAAGATCAACTTCAACAATATTTTCACCACAAATACAGAAAATGCCAAGATAGAATTCAAAAATAATAAATAGCTAGGATTTGTACAAAAATTAGGCTCTAATAGGCAGATGCTCATAACCCTGATGAGATATACAGCCACCAGAAAAATAGGACTCCTGCTATTCCCCCATGAATTGCTGAGTGTGAGGCACATGAAACTTCCCTCTAGGCCTTCCAGCAGCAAGCCATACTACGAAGCATTTATGTATACATATTTCATTCGATGTTTTAAATCATAAAGTCATTGTGTTAAGGTAAACCTTTTAGCGGTATAAAAAGCCCTACTGATAAACTTGGGATGATGAATGCCAGCATCTTTGGTCTGACATTGGATCCTCATTAAAGCTCCACCAAGAGTTGCTGGAAGGGATCATACCTGGTCCTATTCACTATACATAAGATACCAAAGGTACCAACTCCTGTATCTCATTTCCATCTGTAAAAATATTTGGCAGTAAATAAATTTATGTGTCTCATGCCTGACTTCCACATTGATTTCACAGGAACCAATTAGTGCTAAACTTTTTACCCTTTGCTTCCTAACAGTGCTTATCTACTAGAACTCCTTATGTTTCTAAACCTATTTAAGTCTGGTCTTCAACTATATTAAAGATGTGCTACCTAGTGTACTTGGCTGAGTTACAAGGGATACATACCAAATACCCAAACTGCTATGAGTCAGCTTTACCGCCCCAAAGGTTATATGCCCTCCTCTCCATGGCAAAAATATTTTCTTCTTCCAGCTGAGCCTTATTGTAACCTACCCTCCAATTTCAGCTTGGACTTTCTGATAAAGAATATCTAGAAATTACATAATTAAAGGCAGAGGTTTTGCTCATAACCTCTTTGTCAGAGAATGTATGAATCTTCTTTTTCCATCAGATACGTAAGACCCCACTCAAGTCCCTGACTACTATCCTCAGTAAAGTAATGTCAAAATGATCCTGCAAAGGACTTCCCTGTTTCTAAATGCTGGATGCATTAATAGGCACCCATAGGCCACCAAGGGAGAGATCCTCAATGATATCAATTAAAATAATATGTACGACAGTTGTACTAGGAGGGACAAAAGTTACCTGCATGTTCTGGATATGGAAATAAACAATTTTTTAATTTTATATGGTACATGACCCCTATACTCTCTTGACAAAATAATTTGAAGGTGCCAACTCAGCATTAGGCAACCATTGAAAAGGGAGAATTGTGTTGTTCTAAAAACTACACAGTGCAGAAAGAAACAAGCATCTGTACCCATACTTCAGAAATAGGTAATATTACTATTATAATAATCTACTACTACTACTATGTCTTTAGTATGGGTACCTATACTATAGAAAATTTATCATTCAAGCCATGCAGTATGTCTTGACACTTCCTATAGAAAAAGTATAAAACCACCATGAATTACGTGAAAATGAATAGTTGCAAAAGGGCCCACATCCCATGAGAAGTAAAATTTTAGGGAACGTTTTGGAATAGCTTAGTAGTGAGTGACCTAACCTACTTTCTAGATAAAATGTAACAAACATGGTGGACTATTTTCTATTATTTCTGTGTAGCTTAACAAATGATTTTATTCTAACCAGCAAATGAGGAATATGTGCTTTCTTAGGTAAAAAGATACCATCCATGCATTCTATATGGGACAAAATAGCCACATTTTTATTAGTATACTATCTACACTTTTATTAGTGGTATACTAAGAAAAAAATTGCCAGACTACAGCAGACCAAAAATTGAGACCTATATTCTTTACCATTTAGTTTTAAATGAAACAGTTTCTCTTTAAAGCTTACATATTTGGATTCTGGCTTATTGAATGAATATGTGAGTTTCTGTCTTTTAACAGTTAATAGTATCTCTAGGTTATATAACCTGTTACTTTATATTAACAGTTGCTTTATGGTTCTATTCCCATTCCCTTGTTTTCCGTATTTTTGTAACCATTACATTTTTAATTTTTACTTTCTCCAGTAAATCCAAAAGAAGGCACATATACAGTTTTTAATTCAACGAGAAGTTACCAAAAGGAATTAGAAAAACATTCTTTGTTTTTTCCCCCACACCTGATTTTATATCAGAATATTCTACAATGTCTGGCAAAAATATAGACTTTGGCCATCATCTCTAAATTCTGATAGTATTGTCTCAATGTCAGCCTTATGGTATTCTGCTATTTCATACAGGGTCATTTTGTACCCTAAATTTTACCAAAATTTTCTTCTGAATTCCTCCTAGTAGGTTTTGTTTTTTGTTTTTTGTTTTTAAAGACACAATCTCGCTCTGTTGCCAGGCTGGAGTGCAGTGGTGCGATCTCGGCCCTCTGCAACCTCCGCCTCCCGGGTTCAAACAATTCTCCTGCCTCAGCCTCCCAAGTAGCTGGGACTACAGGCACGTGCCACCACACCCCACTAATTTTTATATTTTTAGTAGAGACAGGGTTTCACCATGTTGGCCAGGATGCTCTCGATCTCTTGACCTCGTGATCCGCCCGCCTGGGCCTCTCAAAGTTTTATAAGTCGGCTTGCCTCAAGTCTTCAGGATATGGGTTTCCTTCCTGTGCACCGTAATACTTTTTCATAAGTCCCATGGGAGATTGCATTATTATTCCCAATTACCGACTTTTCCATCTCAGTAAGAAGATTATAAATCCTTGCCTATGGCCAAAGACTTACTTTCCACCCCCACTTCCAGGACATATATTTTACAACCAAATCCCCTCATTGAAGTTGGGCTTGGTTGGTCATTCTTCGGCTAGCAGATTGAATATGACATTCATCTCATTTGACCAGAAGCTACAAGAGCAATTGTATTGTTTAACTCAGATTCTTGCTCTTCTTTGACACAAGAAAAACATATTCCATATCACAGCTAATCTTTTAGGACCCAGAATGAGAAGACACAGGGAACACAGCACAACCAGTTATGAAAAAACAATTAACTTTTGTTGTTTTATGAGGCTACCAGATTTTGAGGTTGTTTGTTACTACAGCTATAACTAGCAAATGCTGGATAATGTAAGTTCTATGCTGATAGGTTTCTCTGTGCTGATTATTAAACAAGATCTGTTAAACAGGGTATTGGCCAACAAATAATGGGTCATTTGGTATACAGATTACCTATGGCTTTGCTTATTGTCCACTTGCATGACAGCAGACACTCCATCTCTATTCTGAAGCTGAAAGCCAGATTTAAGCGCACAGAAACCTTCCCCTTTATTTATAAAGCAGGTAGTAAGACTCCAAGACACCTTAAATGAAGTATTCTGTTAAATCTCCTCCCTAATTCACTGACATTATAAATCCAAGGACTGCAGAAAAACCATGTTCCCAACTATACACTGTTGCTGAGGCCGTCCCTATTTGTAGCACCTTTTATTCATAAATACATGTTCTAGAATGTCCCTGCTAGCATTTTCCACCCTTTGTCCTTATTGCTATATATAGGAATTTGGGTTTGGAAAGACTATCAAGAAATGTGACTAGAGAAGATAAGTAAGCATGACCAAATCAGATAATGACTTTGTTCTGAGGCAACAGGAAACCAGTGAATGACCACTGGTGTGAAATAATTAGATTTGTATTTTAGAAAGATAACTCTTCTACCCATTGAAAATTACTGGAAAAGGGCAACAGCAATTACTGGATATATACTAGCTGAAGTAATTAATAATGGGAACCTAGACTAAGGCAGTAGCAATATGGATGGAGGGGAAAGGGTAGCTTTGTGAGGTATTTAAGGAATAATATCAATAGTTTATCATGATAGATTGTATGTGGGAAATACAGGAACAGCTAATATTTTAATTATTCAAAGGGAGGAAAGTAACTGATGAGTTCTCTTGGGGTTCTAATTTAAGAGACTGCCTGGAGACAATGTTCCTCAGTAACATTAGAAAATCAAAAGCAATAGAAATTGGGTAGATGAGAAGTTTATGAATTTTTATTTGAGTCATGTTAAGTTTGAGATACTTTCCACATGGAAATATTCCATCAATGGTTTATGTGTATAAGCCTAAATTGAAGGCAAGCTAGAGATAAGCACTGGAAGTTACCAGCCTAGGTAACAAGATTGTGGACCTAAAAATCTGAGTAGAATTAGAAACAAAAACCAATAAAATTATAATACTAAGTTAGCTAGAATCTCCTTAGTATGCTTTACTAAATCTTTTCTTGAAAATTCCATTCATTACATGTTATGGTCATCACATCTCACCCCTGGATGGAAAAAGAAGAGGGTTTAAACACTTGTGACAATCAGTATTATAGCTACAATCTATTAAAAGTATTCTGGGTTTCTGAGGATGAATTATGGCATGTGGTAATACTCTTTATAAAGGCAAATAATATTTATTTTAGTTTTGGGCTGATGCCATTATACCTGCACGACTGTCATAAAATCAAAATAAATGAAGGAAGGTAATGTAAGACAGTTAAAAGAAATGAAATCTATGGCATGAGTAAAATAACAATACTCCTGTTAGAAGATAGTAAGACTGAAAAATTAAAGACAACAGAATGTGGAAATGCAAACTAGAAGAAAATTAAGGCAACAAATTTAGTGAAGATGTGTCCATGGTCGCCAGAATTTCTGCAAGGAATAATTTGTAGTTAATCTTATTGCCAAAAAGGTGCCTTTTTTCCACAGCAAGAGAGAGGGAGTGAAGGGTCAAAGATAAAAGCATAAACCTTGTAACAAGACAAAGAAAAATTTACAGAGAAAAATTAAGTGTTGAAAACTAAACAACACAAAGTAGTATAGCATTGAAAGTGGCTGTCGCTAAATTTAAAAAGAAGAAAAAGCTATTTGAAAATTAAATGTAATGTTTCCTGATGTTTCAGACAGAATAATGTATTTTACTTTTTACTACTTATAAATTCATTTGCATAGTGAATTCAATATATATTTCATTTTACTCTGCTTAAATCTCACTAACCAAATTACTTCATTTTTCTCTTCTAAAAGTAGTAGTGCAAGTACATCAAATGTATTTTTTTGTGTCTATCACTTCAAAATGTTTTCAGTACCAATTTAGCAATTTTTTTAAAGGCAAACAAAGTGATATGAATCTTAAGACATATCAGTGGTATATTCTTTCCGAAAAACCTAAGTAAATATAACTGTATAAACTATAGCCTAATACAAATATTTTAAATGTTTTTGGAAACTAAATTAATAATTATATTCTATATATAAGAACCACCACCTCCATAAGATAAGCAATTATTATAAACAGGTACTAATTTTAATTATTTTCCCTATTAAAAACAATCACATATTATTTTTAAGTCAGATTAAGTTGGATTAAGAGTATGTAATAAAATTTTAACGCTGTATATAATAGATATTTTTTCTGAATTAAAAATCAGGAAACATGGTCAGATAAAGGATTTTCATGTCACTTCTAAGTGTATGAGGAAATCTGGCTAAGGCAGTTAGACGCTGAAATATTTAAATTTTCCAGGTAATTCTGTTGCTTTATGTATTACAATAGTGCTAATCAGAATATTAGAATGAAATACTTAATTATTAAGGGGCTGCTTAATTATTAAAGTGGCTGTAAAATTCAAGTTAATCACTGGAATAACTTTGATTAATTAGCAAGGTAATCTTAAAAAATAAATTGTGATTTAAGTTCACTAAACAAACTAATGAGTCATAAATATTCACATTACAAGAGGACTGTTCATATGATAGGACTGTTGACATAAATGCTTTATGGGATTCTCTAAACACTTTTATTTCTTACATTCCATCCTTCTAGCAAACAAACTGTATTTATTGTAATTTTAAAAAATGCTTTTCCTAGAAAAATATTCATATACTTAAGATAATTTATTTAAATTATCACATGAAATTTCTACTTTATAAAAATGATCATAGTTTACAATAACATTAAAACTAAGTTTTAATAATTAAAAAGTTGCATCTAACCAATAGACTAGTAACTCACGGAAGAAAGTAAAAAGAAAACTCATTAAATGCCAGATGCTATGTACAGACGCTATGACAGATACTTTACATGTCTTATTTTAATTCATATTACAATCAGATAAAGTTGGCACTTATTAAAATCATTCCACAGCTGGCAAAAGTGATTCTCAGAGTAGTCCACAGTGGTTTAGAGTCAGAGCTCTAGAGTCAGGCTTGCAGGATTAGAACCCTGGTTCTGCCACTTATGTCTCTGTGATCTTGAACAAGTTATTCAATTTTTCTCTTCTTCATCAGCAAATAATTACACTAAAATACATGACTGGCAAAATTCAAATATACAGAGATAAAAAACAAAACAGTGGCTATCAGGGAAAAGGGACACAGGGCTTGGAAGTGGGGAGATGTAGGTTAGAGTAAATAAAGTACCAGATATGTAGGTTGAACGAGTACATCTAATGTACAACATGAGGACTGTAGGTAACAGAATTATATTTTGTATGTGATTCATAATTAGTACGTTTTAGCCACTTCCCTCCCCCCAAAAAATAGGTAACTATGTGAGACAACAGACATGTTAATTTGCTTCACTATAGTAACCTTTTTACTATTTATATGTATCCCATAACATCATGTTGTATACCTTAAACATACACAATAAAATTTATTTTTTAAAAATAAGTGACTAGCACACAGTATGTATTCAATAAATGCCATGTACCACTACTACACACCCATGAATATCCCATCACCTAACATCGGACAGTATAAAACAGGACAGGGATTTGAGCCCAAATTTGTCTTCCACCAAAAGAACACTTACGCAATATATTACACTGGTTTCTAATGAAACTATTCTCCTGGTGTATTTTTAATTGTTTGATATACAAAACTCAATT
The DNA here is from genome assembly GCF_000001405.40 of Homo sapiens. Classification (NCBI taxonomy): domain Eukaryota; kingdom Metazoa; phylum Chordata; class Mammalia; order Primates; family Hominidae; genus Homo; species Homo sapiens. The sequence goes on along the minus strand of NC_000013.11, from coordinate 35,074,457 downwards.
TATACCTTGTTCCAGAAAACATAATTTTTTTTCAAAGCAAAACTGTCTTAGGTCACACAATGAGGAAGGTTTTATTTTGTATCACCTACATAATTACCCATGTTCTTAAAAACATAGCTCAATGTAAGAAAAATATGTACTCAATAAGATGTATGTACTCAATAACATGTACTCAATAAGAATATGTACTCAGTCTACATAATCATCCAATTCAAAGGAAAATAAAGTTTCTATTTAATTTCTTGAGTCATTCTAGACACAAAATACGAAAGCTATATTACTTCAGAGTTTGAGTTATGCTCAAAAAATTAATCACATACACAAAGTTGTACTAGTAATAAATACTAAATTCAAGATTTGAACCCATGTTTGTCTGACTTGAAAGTCCATACATAAAACAACTATAAGTGGCCTTCATAATTTAAAAAGTCACAAAAATTATCCAGCAAAAATAAATCCATCTTTGAAGACTCTAGAAAATGAAATTATTCCTTCAATAATTTGGGGTGGTTTTTTGATACAGAGTCTTGCTCTGTTACCCAGGCTGAAGAGCAGTGGTGTGATCACAACTGATGGCAACCTCCACCTCCTGGGCTCAAGTGATCCTCCTACCTCAGCCTCCCCAGTAGCTGGGGCTACAGGTGCATGCCACCATGCCCGTCTAACTTCTTCTATTTTTTTGTAGAAACGAGGTTTTGTCATGTTGTCCAGGCTGTCTTGAAATTCCGGACTCAAGCAATCTACCACTCTCAGCCTCCCAAGGTGCTGGGATTACAGACGTTAGCCACCACCCCCAGCCAATAATTTTTTAAAAATTCTAAATCCCCTATATAAAGTAAAAACTCATCAAAGTTGATAAAACAAAGTAGTAGTGCCAACAGAGGTAAGGCTTAAGAAACAATGAAAAGTTTCATTAAAAGGTACTACTTAGTAGAGAAAACTATGTGGAAGATAAAATGCTTCAGCTTGAAACACAGAGGGCAAAGAAGTAACTTATATTTGAGCTTAGCTCCATTTCTCAAAAAAGTAATTAAAAATTAGACAGTATTGCAACTTTCAGTCATCTATTTACCATGCAATCAGACTTCCAAAAAGGAGTATATTAAATTTTCTCTGTAAGATTTAAAAACTTCAAATTGATTATCCTTAATCTAGAACAATTTATTATCAACTAAATAAGATGATAAATCCTATTTCAAGGTCCCAATCATCGATATGAACTGATGATATAGCCATAAAACATAAAATTCTATCACCCCTGCATAGCCATGAATCTGTATTTTTCAAATAGAGGGAGAAATCCCACTTAACAGCTTGCAAAATCACAGACTATTTCACTGATGCACATACTTTTCTATAATGGTTCCCTATAAAACATTAAATAACAAAAGACTGTATTACTGATCCACACAATTGTCTGTACCAAAGAGCAAATCTCAGATATTTAGGATACTGAAATAATTAATGAAAAAGTAATAGATAAGAATTAAAAATAGTACATAACTAAATCACAGGGTAGCCTGGAATTGAGTACGTATTAAAGAGGAAAGCAGTATCATTCTTGTAATGTTTTCTATTGGCTAAACTATAAACAGGGCCAGGCATAGTGGCTCTCGCCTGTAATCCCAGCACTTTGGGATGCCAAGGCAGGTGAATCACTTGAGGTCAGGAGTTCAAGATCAGCCTGGCCAACATGGTGGAACCCTGTGTCTACTAAAAATAAAAAAAATTAGCTGGGCATGGTGGCAGGTGCCTGTAATCCCAGCTGCTTGGGAGGCTTAGGCAAGGGAATTGCTTGAATCTGGGAAGCAGAGGTTGCAGTGAGCCAAGAGATCACACCACTGCACTCCAGCCTGGGCAACAGAGTAAGACTCCATCTCAAATAAATAAATAAACAAACAAACAAACAAACAAAAGACATAATAGACATCACTGAAAAGGTTGGAATTAGTTAATATAGGGAAATATTAGGATGATTTAAAGAACTAAAATCAAAATGAAAATAGGTATGCTGACTCCTCACACTATCTTTTATCTCCACGATGAAATAAATACAATTTAAATACCAAGATATAATATAAATATTAAATGAGTTTTGAAGAAAGACAGTAAAAAGTAACCATGTGTCTTGGATGAATAAACCAAATAACCTATTACATATGGTTTTAGCAGTAAGATTTGATAATATATGTATTTCATATTATTTCATAAGAAATATTTAAATTAATACATGGATTTTTCTAGTGGCTACTTCATCTCCCACTTCTTTTCACAGTACTGACTAGATTTTAAATACTGATCATAATATGTCCTAGTTCACTGAGATGATAAATAGTAAAACATTTTGAATTTAAATAAAGGACTGAAATTTAAAGTTTGATTTTTCCACTAAGCTGAGCTGCCTTCCAATTAGATTATTTAAGATCTCACAAGCAAAATAGTATCACAGCAGGACATAACCTCAGGATTCCTTTTCACTTCAAAGCTTTTTACTTTCAAAACTCCAACCTTTACACTATATTGATATAAAAGAAGGCAAGACCCATAGACGGGAGGTGAATGTTATAAATGTACAAATCTCATATCCATATTTAGATTTATACTTTACATAAAGATGTTCCCAAAACAGAAATAATATTATTAGAAATACTAAAATGGAATTTCATTAATAGCTAATTTAGATAATAATTATGAGAAAAAGCATTTCATTGTACCTTAAATTTTTCTCATATCTTCATTCACTAGATTCGCCATCAATTCAAAATTAGATAACCCATTAAGGAGCTCATGTATATGTATATATATACACTAATGAAGCACTACTATGTTACTTTTGGAATAAAAATTAATGCTTATCTATATAACTTGCCCATTAAAATCCCCAAGCATGGCAATGTGTATAATCAAAATAGCTACTACAATTCATTTTTAAATTCTTGTATGTATAATTCTAAGATATAACATTAAATTAGAGTCTGGCACATAAGGTTTTTTTTAATAAAAGAGAAACTATAAAAATGTACATGAAATCACACTCATTAGAAGAGATTTAATTTTTACATAAACATGGATTTGCCTGGTTAGATTGAGTCCTCACATATAAACTATATATAAATAAGGGCTGATGTCAATTAATATTATGCTAGACTTATGCCATGACAAAAGCATTATAAAATAATACCATTCTTTAAGATATAAATTATGTAATTGCTAATAAATGTTATTCTTCTGAATAACTTTACCCTAGTAATTTTCTTCAACCTGACAGGGTTTCATGGTCAATTCAAACCATGAGTATATGCAAATGATAAGGTCAGGATTAATATTTTTCCCTCAACTACATATTATAATCATTATGCTATCTTTGGTAAGAATTTTCTATTTATTATCAAGGAAGGCATTCCTTTATGATATAACAACCTAAATGTCAGCGTTTTCTTTATTTATTGTATAAATATCTATCTCCATTAGTTCTAAAAAATTTTTTATTACACTTTAAGGGCAGAACCCAAATACTGTAATACATTTACACAGCACTGAGTACATCATGCATAGTCTTAAGTGTGTATAAAATACCAGCAATTGTACATGCAAAGAAAACTTACCAGACAGTTGTTTCCACTTGACTGTCATTGAGCTGCCTATTATCCAATTGGGCAAAAAGTGGAAAAAGCACTTGAATCCCTCCAATTGAATGAATTGCACTATGAATTGAATGTGTTACTATCGCTTTCACATCCTATGTCCAAAAACAAAAATGTTTATTAAACTTCTATAGAATGATTTCATCACTATTTCCTTGTTCCAAATACCTTTATAATAGAATTAAATAACATACTTGGACATTTTTAAGCCTTCAATTATAATTTTTATACACATATAAGACAAAAAAGTGAATACCTTTGCTAATCACTTTTAAATTTCAAATCTTAGGTTGAGGCATTTTCACACTAAAAATATTAAGTTAAAATCAAACGTTATTTTAAAATCAGAAATACTATTGATGGATTTAAAGACAAGTAATTTTAATGTTAGAGAATATTAGTAATACATTCTTAAAGCAAAGTATGTTTTTATATCTAACAACTAACTTATTCAGTTAATTGATTTAATTTCAAAGGCTATATAAGATAATGGATATGACAGATTTCCTACTAAGGAGACAAGGCCAGGGTAGAGTATATTGCTATAGAAAAGAGAGATATTCTTTAAAGTTTCACTTAAAAGATCTGCAAAAGCCAAAAAAGAAGCAAAAAAATCATAGATTTATAGATGAGCAATGTTTGATATATAAAATAAAGATACTGTCAAATTCTGACAAGAACATGAAAACAAAGCCACGATTCACCCACCTGAAGCATTAGAGCATGTGGGGAATGCACAAAAATTGATGCATTCTCTTTTGGTGATGATTCCAGGCAGAGCTGAGCATCAGTGGCCTTAGCATTATATGTAAAGGCAATGCTACTTGCAAGTTTCCCATCATATAACACCTGTTTATGATGTTCTGCCAAATGAATATCACTCTCAGATTTAAACTTGAAGGTACTCTGAAAAAATAAAACTAAGGTAAACACTCTTTTTAAAAGCAACAATTACACTCAAAAGTTTTAAAGCAGAGAAACATTTACAATAATAAACTACTTGTGTACCTTTCATGTGTCAGGGACTATTCAGTGGTATTACTTACTTTGTTATTGTCACTTCAATTCAATGAGAGTTAAGTTTTATTATGCCAATAAAAATGCTCAGATCTTCATTTTCTAATTTAAAGTTTTTGATTACTGGCAAAATCATTTCATTAGAAAAAATATCAAACCTGATATTATATATAAATAGGATGTTACTTGACTACATCAGAGCTTAAGTTGAATTTTTCTTGTTAACACTTTAAAAAGTATTTGTGTAAATAAACAGTGCCTGGCACATGAATTACTTATAGAGAAAAATGACTATCATTTGAGGCTATAAAAAGTTAACATGTAAAAATATTCACATCTTTACTAAAAAGCAAATCAACCTATGAAATACCAATGCTACTCAATAATAATATCACAATATACATACAAAACTCAGAAGAGAAGTTCATTAAAACATGTTATTACTTTTTATGAAACACAAGAACTAAACCTATGCCATCTATAACAAGAAAGGTATTGTTAGATGTGGTTAAAATTGCTCTGCAGATATGAATCTAATAATGATAAATAATATTTAACCTTTGCAATAATCACATATCAGTATTACTATTAATTTCAACTTACAACTATGAAAACTGAATGTTACAGAAATTAAGATGTAGAAGGGGCCAGCACGTAATTCTAAGTCTTCTGATTTATACTCCATATTCAATGTTTCGATAGTGAAATCATCTTAAAATCCTGACTCTGCCACTAATTATCTTTTTCATGCTGAGCAAATCATTAGGCTGATGTGGCTCTAATTTTCTTACTCTAATGTTATAAGGTTAAATTAAATGTCCCAAACTCAAGTTCTTACGGGAGGCATACAGATATGCATATAAGTGAATTGGGCCAGATGGGGACTTCCTCAAACTAGAGAAGATTTGTCCTTTCTAAAAGTGGCCCCCACTCCTCAGCTCAAGTCAACTGTTCAATGTTGCTAGTTCTTCCATATTTTTCAAGAGAAACATGAAATCTGAATTTTTATCTAAAATCACTATATTTTAAAATTTAATTCAAACATTTTAACACTGTGCAGACCAAACATGTCAGTTTTTACTTCTGGACTAGCGTGTAGAGACTATCTAAAAGAAAACTGGATGCAAACCATTAGTTATCAGGCATGTGCCAAGACAAGAGCAACATGAACGATTAAAAATTTGTGTATGCTGTAGTCTGAAGTATGTCATTGATAATACTTTTTTTTGAATGAGGAGGGTAGTGTTATCACTAGAATGCTTAAGAACTCAGCATACCTGCATTCAAAAAAACAGTGACTGAATTAAAACACACAGATAAGTTGTTAAACACTGAAATCAGCTTTCCGTGTCTGCAATTTACCACTGCTGAAACATTTGTACATCCCATTGTCTAGAACAAAACTCTTGCTTTCATTTTGTTCATACTGCTTACACTGGAATTAACAAATTTTAATATATTCTCTTAAAAGATTTAAAATCATTTTGTGGAAATGTAAGATATCTAATAAAACCTATTTTTATTTGGAAAAACATTGATTGGTCTTAGTTTTTCTGAGTCCATGATACATACCATACGCTATTTTGGTTTGTAGGAGGAAAACAAGTTTATGTAATAAATCTACAAGTTTTAGGTTTAAAAAAAGTGTATAATGTAATTTCAATATAAACATAGAATCCATTAAATGAAGAAAATTTTCTTATCTTTCCTTACTTGCAGTATTAGGTTATTTCTATGTCTTTAAATTTATATATAAAGGCGGACATGTACTATGCTTACACCTGTAATCTTAGCACTTTGAGAGGCCAAGGTGGGAGGATCACTTGAGGCCCGGAGTTTGAGATCAGCCTGGACAACACACAGAGAGACCCCATCTCTACCAAAAAATTAAAAATTAGCCAAGTGTGGTGTCACACGCCTGTAGTTCCAGCTCTTCATGAGGCTGAGGTGGAAGGATCACCAAGTCCAGGATTTTGAGACCACAATGAGCCATGATCATGCCACTGCACTCCACCCTGGGTGACAGAGTGAGACCTTGAGTCTTAAAAAATTTTTTTTAAAGAAAATATTTTACATAAAAGTATAAGCCTTTATATAAATATCAATGTTTACCGTATTATTTCTTTCAGAAGGATTTTCAGAGGAAGAATTATTATATAAATCTGTATGACTAGGAGGAGATGGATGAGAATGAGGAGTGACTGCAAATAGGCAGGTAGGATCCTTCTGGGGTGATAGAAATGTTCTAAAATTAAATTGTAGTGATGTCCGCACAACTTTGTAAGTTTATAAAAAAATAATTGACTTGTACACTTAACATTAATGATTTGTATGGCATGTAAATTACACTTCAATAAAACTGTTATAATTATTTTAAAAGAAGAAAAGAAGGTATGAATATATTTTGTACTAATTACACTCAAATAAGTAGAGTATGATGCATTCTTTTCAGTATGGACCACTTCAGCATAACAAAGAAGGTAGATGGAAGCAAAGTTGTACTGAGCTAAGGAAACGACTCCAAGTGGTAACTGAATCCACAGAAACAAATGAAGAGATTCATAAATGATAAATCAGAAGATCAATATAACAAAATCTATAAACATATACTGTATCTTTCTTCTCTCAGCTTCTTTAAAAGACACAATTATATGAAGTAATAATTACGTCATGTTGGGTTCGTAACATATACAGATACTATATGTATAACAATAATATCACAAAAACAGAGAAAACAAATAGAGCTCTATAGAAGTAACATTTATATAACTCACTAGGATAAAATTAATATAAATCTGGGGCTGATTCCAGTGAGTTAAGATGTATATGGTAAGCTCTACTGCAATCACTAAAGAAATGTTTTTTAAGTGAAAAAAATTATTTAAAAATTGAAAATGCTATATAAGAAAATAAGCACATAATCCAAAGAAAGCAGTAAAGAAGAAATAAAGAAATAAAAAGAACATGAGACACATAGCTAACAAAAAATAAAATGACAGATGGAAACCTAATTATCGATAATCACATTAAAGATGAATGAAATAACCAATCAAATCAAAAGGCAGAGATTGTCAGACTGGATAATAAAATAAGATTCAATAACATACTGTTTATAGAATATTCAAAGATAAAAACATATTTAAAGTAAATAAAATGGGAAAAAATCAAGAAACCACAAGAAAGCTGGAATGGCTGTGCTAATATCGGACAAAATAGACTTTAAAACAAGATATATTACTAGATATTAAAAAGACATTGGATAATGATAAAAGGGCCAATTATCAGGAGGATATAGCAATTGTAAACATATGTGCACCCAACAACAAAGCATCAAAATACATGAAGAAATCTCTGAAGAAATGAAGGGAGAAACACACAACTTAATAATAATAGTTGGGCACTTCAATACTCAACTTTCCATTCATAAGATCAAGAAGGAAACTGAAGATTTGAACAAAAACCAAACAGAACTAACAGACATCTCTAGAACACACCATCCTAAAACAGCTTAATACACATTCTTCTAAAGTACACATAGCTGGGCTCAGTGGCTCATGCCTGTAATCACAACACTTTGGGAGGCTGAGGTAGGAGGATCACTTGAGGCCAGGAGTTCAAAACTAGCTTGAGCAACAGAGCAAGACCCTGTCTCCATAAAAAACTGAAAAATTAGTCAGGCACAGTGGCTTGTGCCTATAGTCCCAGCTACCCAGGAGCTGAGGCAGGAGGATAGCCTGAGCCCAGGAGTCTAAGGCTCCAGTGTGCTAGGACTGCACCACTGCACTCCAGCTTAGGTGACAGAAGGAGAGACCCTGTTTCCAAAAAAAAAATGTACACACGAAACATTCCCTGAATAGACCAAACTCAGGTCATAAAACAAACCTGAATAAATTTATGAAGACAGATATAATACAAAGTATATTATCTGTCCAAACTGGGATGTTAGAAATCAATAATATAAAGGAATTTGATGAATTCACAAATATGTGGAAATAAACACATTCCTAAATAACCATCATGTCAGTAGTTACTCTCAGGGTTCAGGAAAAAAACTGACTGGGATAGTGCTTGTAGCTTTCCTGTAATTTTTATTTTACTTTTAAATTTTAAAATGAGAGAGAAATAAAGAAGGAGATAAAGATTTAAGAGAAAGTGAAATATGAGGAGTGATTTAAGAGAAATATTAAAGATAAGCAAAGTAAATAAACATGCATAGTCAAGTGTCTGGAGAAGAAAACCAAAGCAAGGAAATAGAAGAAATTCTAAAAGTATAGTACAAGAACAATTTCTTAAAATATGAAAAGATGCAAACTACATATGAAAGTGGACACCACATACCTGAGAAATTAACTCACAGTGACCAACACCAATACATATCTACCAAAATTACTAGATATAAGGAAAAAGAAAAAAAAAATCCTTTGAACATCTAACAAGACTAAGTGCCTTGTAATGGAGAAGATACTACATTGTCAACAGGCTTTCAATACCAATACCTCATGCCAGAGAAAAATTAGTAGCATATTTAAGACATCCAAAGAAAGAAAAGTCAGGGATTTTATAGCCAGGCAAAATGGCTTTCAAGTATAAAGTATAAAGCCCCTTACAAACTAGTATCAAAATGCATTTCTCAAGAAATACTATTTCCATGAACTCTTCCTGAGGAATCTACTACAGAAAGAGCTAAAACACAGCCGAAACACATCAATATAAGGAAATAATATAAGCCTTAAACACACAGGTACTTATAGAACTATGATTAAGTAAGAGTTAAGAGTCAATGGTATGTAGTGACTGTGTGCGCTCACAACACAGATAAGACCTTGTATTAGCTTGCTGGGTCTGCTATGAAAAAGAATCAGAGGCTGGATGGCTTAAATAAAAGAAGTTTAATTTCTCATAGTTCTGGAGGCTGTAAATCTGACATATGGGTGTCAGCAGGGTTTTCTTCTGGAGACTCTCTCCTTGGTTTGAAGACAGTCTAACCACCTTTTCTTTCCTGTGTCTTCACATGGTCTTCCCTTTGCGTGTGGCTGTGTCCTAATTTCCTCCCCTTTATAAGGATACTAGTCACATTGGATTAGGGCCCAATAACCAAATGACCTCACTTAACCTTAATTACCTCTTTAAAGACCCTGTCTCCAAAAACAGTCAGATTACGGGCTACTGAGGGTTAGAATTTTAGTGAATTTTAGGGGAACATAATTCACCTTGTAACATACCTCAACTATTTTAAAAATGGCAAGATGGAGAATGAAGATAACATATGCAAAAACAAATTAACTGTATTTTCAGTAATTATAACAATTGGGCATTATTGATATTGTTATTCTGAGACTGTTCTTTATGTATAATTACAGGATTTTCTAATCTATTATCCTGTGTCTATTTGACAATCAGTATCCTCAATGAAGAAGAAAGGAGATTTAACTTCAAGTAGGTCAAGTTAAAACACCACACTCTCCTGCTTTTTCTCCTTATTCCCTTGTTCTCCTCATTCTCCTTTGCTGGTTCCTCTGCATCTCCTCAACTTACAAACACTGGCTTTCCCAAGGACTCATTTCTCAGTTATCTTTTTCTCTGAACTCACTTCACTGGTACCTAAATCCAGTCCTTTACCTTTAAATCCTGTCCATATCCTGCCAATGCCAAATTTCTATCTCCAACCTGTATGTCGCCTCTGAACTCCAGACGTTCTTCATTTTTACATTTAGATGTCTATCAGGCATCTCAAACAACTATGTCCATAACCTATGTCCATAACCAAATATTTGATCTTCTCTGCCAAAACTTATTTCTTTATAGTCCTCCCCATCTCAGTAAATGACAACTCCATCAGCTCAGTTTTTCAGCCTAAAATTCATGGGGTCACTTACTTGCTCCTCTCAATCCTCTCTTGCTCCCTTACCCCATGTTCACAGTGACAGAAAATCCTACTGGCACTACCTCCAAAGTATATCCAAAAGCTGACCTTTTAGAGTCTTAGATATTTTAGATATGCTTTATCAAAAATCTAATCGAGTCTCAATACTTTCCAGAGCTCTTTCACTAAATAACTGCAACAGCCCCCTAACTAGTCTCCCTATTTCCACCTTTTCTCCCTATTTACCAAAGTAACCAGAGTGATCCTTTTCAAATTGGTATCAGGCTGAAAACTTTTCAATGGCTGTTCCTCTCACTCAAGAGCAAAAATAAAGTCATAACAATCCTCTGAAAGCATGTAATTGTTCTCTGAATTAATCTTCCTTGACTCTTCCCCTTGCTCCTTCTGTAACAGTCACAGGAAAACAGTCACAATGTTCTTTAATCTGTGAAGTAAGCTTCTGCTAATGGCCTTTATTCTGGCTCTGGCATTTGCCCTTAAAGCTCTTCCCCGTATATCCACTTGGCTAGCATCAACTTCCAACTTTTTTACCTGCTTTGTGTGTCTCATAGCTCTTATCACCATATAGACACTATATATTTTTCTTTTGTTTTGTAATCTATCTTCTCCCATGATACTGCACACCCTACTTCTCCAAAATACAGGCAGGGGTTTTGTTGGTTTTAATTGTTATATCCCTAGCATCTAGAACAGTGCCCAACTGCTTAATAAAAGAATGAATGGATGAATTAGTGAAGGCTAATTATTTGTATTTAGTGTACCTTATCTGTAGTAGCTAGCACTGATTTATTTTGTTTTTCCTTTCAACTGAGCTTTTGTTACCTTTCATTTGAAAGAGGAGTCTACAACATATGCTGTGGGTAAATGAAATACTGGATACATATTTGGCCTATCATTCAAGAAAAGACATGCAATTTTGACTTTGTTAATTTTGTTTTAGCCATTGAATTGTAGTCAACATCACTCTATCAAGATGCATTGTAAAATACAGCAACTTTTCAACTACGTAGGTGCATTTATAGCCTCTCCACAAATCTTTCTGTTAGTTGTCATATGTATTACATGTATATACTCCTAATCATCCAGGTTTTCTTTTTCAGTCAGTAATGACAGTCAAATAACAACAAATTTATTTAATTTTCTTTCAAAAGACTTAAAGAATATTTTCACCGGATAAAAAAATTCTAGGTTGACAGATTTTTTTTCTTCCTTTCAGAACTTTAAGGATTTTGTTCCACCTCTATGGCTTTACTGCTTTCTGATGAGATGTGTACAGATATTCAAATTATTGTTCCCTTATCAATGTCTAGTTTTCCTCTGCCTGATTTCAAGATTTTCTCTTTATTTTTGGTTTTCCACACTTTGACTGTAATGTGCCTACTTTGGTTCTCTTTGCATTTATTTTGGTTGGAGTTTTCGGAGTTTCTTCAATCTATAAATGTAAGCCTTTTACCAAATCTGAGAAGTTTTCTAACATCATTTATTCAAATATTTTTTCTGGCTTTCTCTTATACTGTGCCTATTAGACCTTTCAAAATTGCCCCATCCATCTCTAGGGTTCTATTTTTTTACCCCAATCTTTCACAACTCTCTTCAAAGTTTCTATCAATCTATATTCAAGTTCATTTACTTCTCTATCATATTAATTCTGCTAATAAGCCCATACAGCTTATTTTTAATTCCGATATATTTTTCAGTTCTAGAATTGCCATCTGACTTTGTTTTATTTCATGGCTGATACTTCCTGTCTTTTAATTCATTATAAGTAAATTTTTCTCTACCTCACTAGTTATAATAGACCTCATGTGATATTTCCAACATGTGAGTTATCTTGGTGTTGGTATATGATGATTTTCTCTTCCCTTGAGAATAAGTCACATTTTCCTATTTTTAGAAAAAATACTTTGGGATTATATGCTAAATTGTGTGACTACTACTCCGTACAATATTGTAGAGAAACTTTCTGGCCAGAAAGTCTCCTATAAAAGCAAAAAATAAGGATATCAGTCCATGCAGACTGACTGTTCCATATTTTGACTACCCTCCAAAGCCTGCCTGCTTTTATTCAATCTCCATAACCCTATAGATGTTATCTATATTATATGCAGAGTTTACAAATGGTTATTTGTGAGAAGATCAGTTTGTTAGGAGCTCACCCCTCCATACAAGTATTGGAAATCCTCTGAAGTGAATTTTAATTTGGAGGTTGTGTTATACTTTTTCTCTTATCAGTTAGAACTTTATTATGATATAGCAATTCATAAAACCATTGTTATCATATTCATAAATGAAGGAGAGAACTCAAAGCTAAATTTTCAAATATCTGGCAATGAAGACTAACTGCTTGCCACACAGGGTTAACATAACACTGAGAAAATATCTAGTAATAACTATAAAATATAAAAACTTTGTTAAAATCTGATTTGCAAGCTTATGTCAAAGGGCCACCTGATACACAAGATTTTATAATCTTGAAGACATTAAATAACCCCAAATAGAGATCCACAGTAAACTTATCTGATAGTAAATTTTACCATACTAGACAAATCTACAGTGAGATTTTCAGTATTTTAAATATTTTCTGAATTTCTGTATTTTATTTTCCAAACTGAATGATTTAGTTAATAAGTGACACCCTAACTTATTTACTGTTTCCAGAAAATAACCAAGTACAGAATATTTACTGATAAACTGCAACGCTCAAAACCAAAAATTCGACAGAACAAAAATTACCTAGCACTCCAGTGACCAGCAAGTCAAAATCATTTGTGATAGGCTCCATTGAATATACAGTTTGATGACATTATTTGAAGGTAGAATTAACTTATTTTATTAATTTCGAAGCCCGTATGTTGACATGCTATCTACACTAAGCTCAGAATCATAAATATTGTCTGACCATTACAATGAAAGAAAGTTCCATATAACTTAAGGCAAAAAAATATAAATACTATGTTATTATACAACACTAAGTAATTTAAACTCCATTTGTGATTTATCCAAATGTCCACTAGTTATTATATTCTCTACACCTTAAAAATTCCACTGTAGCCCTCTACCCCTTCACTCACAGAAAGTGACTTTACCAAGATAATTGTGACTATAATGTGTGAACTACTCAGGTTTTCTTCTGTCAAAACACAATCTGATCAAATGCATTCCTCCTTCCCTATATTCTCTGAATTTCTGAAAAAAAAAGCTTTTTAATATAAAAAATTTTTGCTGATGCCTGTCATGGTAGCAACTGTATTTATAATATTTACAAATTGAGAAAATGCATTTACCCGTGGATTTATCATCAACCCAAGCTAACAACAAGGGGTGCAGTGAGCTGAGAACTTTCAAAACTTAATAAAATACTCTCTGATGTAATGCCCAAATTTACAAGTATATCTCTTAAAAGTTCTGACTTTAGGTACTCTACTGTGTGTTAGGATACTAAGGATACACTATGTCACATGAGCTGTGTACACATGATGACAGGGTTACTGCTCATTATCACTGCTGTTAAAAAGAATGACAAGAAAGACGTGTGAAAAGAATACTACAAATTACAGAGTTTGCAAAGCTGTTCAGGACAAAGTTTGTTTCTTTGTGAATAGAAGAATTACAAAATTGCTTATATTCAGCCCTTTTCCTTGATGTTGCCAGGAAGCTCCCATCAATTCTAAAATTTAACATTAGCAATCATATTGGATTTGTATTTTCTTGATATTCTACCTTCTTATATTTCATTTGTTTGCTTGTCACTCTATTTAATATCATTCTATTAGAGCTTAAAAAGACACTGCAAGTATTTTATGAAAAAACTCAAAGAACTAGGAAAGAAAAGCATGCAGCATATTAATACAAAATGTGAATTACAAAAATATTCCTATGCAAGATCAACAATGGCAGAACCAGGATGCAAACCCAACAAAAAGACCCATGAAAGAAAAAGTAACTGTACAAGCACAAGTTCATTTCTAGAGCTAGTAAGACAAAACCAAAAATGATATGGAAAATACATGATAGCAAGTATTGTTACCTTGACATAAAAATAATAGCATTATTCTTCTTCAGTATTATTATGGTTATTAAAGTCACTGAGAACAAAAAGATCTTTTAATATGGGTAAATTCAAACTTTCCTCTCTCTCTCTCTCTCTCTCTGTATATATATATATATATGACATACAAAGAGAAATACCAATGCAAAAATACAAAGGCCAAAGAGGGAATATTTTTTAATATTTACTACTCCTTTCCATTACACAATCTTCACATTAATTATTTAAATTGAGTTCAATAAAAAACCACACTTCCATACAAGACAAGTACTCCTTCAGAATTATAAACACTTTGACTATAATGTGTAATTCTCTTTCAGCTCGAAGTAGTTTGAGACTTTACAATTCCCAATGTGATTTAAATAGAACCCTTATATACTCCCCTAGCCAGATGTACTACACACTTAAAACTAACTCATATATGTGCACGCTCTATCTTACCTAGAGTCTTTGTTTTTAAAGTTTAAAAAACAAAAAGAATATGATAAATTACATTAATTAGTTTTGCTAAATTAGTATACTCACTACTGTACCTACTTCCTCACTTAGTGCAATTAAAGCAAAACTATAAGCTAAAATTGAATAATTTTAGGCCCATGAAATATATTATCTTAGTTTCCTTCTAAATCTTTAACTCTTCTTTCCAAGTTACCAGTAATATTAACAAGTTCTTTATTATGTTCATTAAGTAATATGTATATTTCAAATTTTTGTATTTTAAATACTACATTAAGCAAAACAGTTTTATAAGATCTATTATTTCAGAATTGTTAACAAAAGGCATGCCATGAATATTAGAAAATATTCTGAAGAATAAAAGTTTATAAAATGGTTAAGAAGCATCTTTGAACCAAAAAGAAACATATAATAAAACTTGACTACATTCCAAAAAATAGAAATGACTCTTAAACCGTATTAAAGATTTTCACTAAAAATGATATTACACCACATTTTACATCTAAAACTCTCCATAGAATTTATAAAATTACAGTTATTACTACCTTATATCCAGGTCCTAACTGATGAATTGCAAATATCTGTGCTGGGTTGAGTGCTTCACTGAACACATACACGGCACCAAGTTGACCACAGAATACCCTATTTGCATCAGCAGTTTCTGATGATCCAAGAAAGCACTTGTCATAGCTCTATTTTTAAAAGTAATAAAGAAAAATGCATTATTTTTAATGACAAAAAGGTTTAAATCCTTAAATCGGCCTTCATTATCATGAATATTTTAAAATATAACAATAATAATAGAAGAAAGCATCAATTAAGACTTTATTATTTTAATAATAAATGCCAGTCAAGTTTTTTGGGAAAAATGATCAGTTACATGTTTCACACTTATGTTTAAGCAAACAAACAATAGCCACCTACTTAATCTTCAGACTTACCACTTTTCAAATACTATAGTTAAAGGCAAAATAGCTTATAATTATTTATTTACAAAAGTTAAACTAATTTAAAACTGTAATGATGTATAATGATCCATATATGGAGAGATTGATCTGAATCAAGGGAATGACTATTCCAAAATTTAATCATGAACACATAGGGTCTAATTTTTTTATTCTACTTTATTTTTCAAATTACAAATCTATTCCTCTACTTCTCCATATTAAGTAAAAGACACAAAGAAAATCAATCGCTTCTCATATATGAGTAGGAATTACACAGAATCAAATAAACAATAAGACTAAGATCTGCTGCTTAAAGCCGATGGTACAGTGCTCTCCACAAGAGGAATTCAGCACTGAAGAAGCCAAAAGCTTGATCTTTCCAGCCTCTACTTCTTACACCCCGCCCACCCAAACCAGGGAAGGCAGTCATGGCTCAGTTCCTTTCTCCTATCCCCACAGGCTATTTCACACCTTAGAACGAATAAGCAAAAATTATATATGTAAGAAGTACTTTTCGTACTGCAATAAAGTAACAAAAAAAATTGTGAATGGAGAACAAAGGCAAAAAAAATTGTCGTCATTAAATACACAATCTTTAATTAGAAGTATGGGAACTTTAACTGCATAAAGAATGTATATATGTGTTATAATCTAGAATTCTCCACTTCTTAGGGCACTATTACAAATAACCAAAAAACTAAGTCTTTTCTTTCCAAGATACTGTCTTCTCATTTAATGAGTCAAGAAGACCACTGGGATTTCCTCCACTCTAT
Source organism: Homo sapiens (assembly GCF_000001405.40). Taxonomy (NCBI): domain Eukaryota; kingdom Metazoa; phylum Chordata; class Mammalia; order Primates; family Hominidae; genus Homo; species Homo sapiens. The sequence continues at coordinate 35,057,688 of NC_000013.11, read as the reverse complement.
AATAAAAAGACTCTGGAGAGATCTCCTCTGGAGAGAAGATAAAAAGCAGAATTTCATCTGTGTATTCTAATTCTGAAAACAACATTCTATTAAATATTTATTGGTTGTGGCTCAACCATAAGTTTCTACGGCAGAGAAAAGTAACGTTTTCTATAAAGGGACAGACAGAAGATATTTTAAACTTTGCCTGCCACACCTGGTTTCTGTCCCATTCTTCTTTGATTTTGTTTGCGTCTCTTAAAAAACAAAAAAACAAAAACCTTTAAAAATTAAAAGCCAAGATTCTTAGCCCCCAGCTTACACAAAACCAGAAACAGGGGGAGGGTCAGATTTGGCTCATAGGGTGTAGTCTGCCCAGCCCCAATCTAGGGGACAAACTGTGGACCATATGCACAGTGCTAGTTAAAAGAATACAAGACAGGATAAGCAAATCCCTGCCCTTCGGGAGATGAAAGCCTAGAGAGATGCAAACAAAACTGAGAAATGAATTGTGTTTAAGAGGTAAGTTCTTATAAAACCAGGTATGCTTGAAGGGTTGTATATTATTGAGCTTGGAGGTACTTTCAGCATTAAAACAAACCTTTCACTTTGGCTCTGACAGGCCGGAATGTAGACAATGGAAAGCCCAAAGTAGAGAAACCGTAAGGACCCTTGAGGTTTTGATTCTAGTTATTCTCTACCTAGAATCCAACTGTGTCAATTCTTCCCCTGCTAATATACTGGTAGACACTAATAAAGTCTCTTTGTTTTATTATAATAAGCGATTTAAGTGATCTTCCCGCTTCTGTAATTTCCCTTCAAAATATTCTCAATACTGCAGGCAGACTGATGGTTTTAAAATAGAAGCACACATCACTTGTCTGCTGAAAACCTTCCAAGGATTTTTAAGCTGAGTAAGATGCGAAAACCCAGGCCTTGTTTGCTTATGAAGGCCAAAATGATTTCTGCCTAACCTCATCTCTTAATATTATTTTGCCTCTTCCTCCCTCTGCTCCAGACAAATTGCCTTTTCCTTGAACTTTCCTATTCTGCCTCAAAGCCTTTGCACTCACTGTTCCCACTGAATAGAAGAAGTTCCCCACATATCTTGCTTGCTCAACTCTTCCTACTAAAATCATCTCTGGACCATCTTGCTTCTCCCTTCCCTACACCTACTTCCTGTATCCCCAATTTATTTTCTCCATAGCATTTATCACTATGTAATTAATAATAGTGACTATCTGTTATACTTCTGTTTAGGGTCTTCTTTCCATATCTAAATAAGGGGTAAACCACATTTTTTAGTGCTTGATGCTGGAAAAAAACAGAATACAGGATTCATGGTTTTTGATCTAAAAAACTTAAAACTTTGGCTAAATGTTTCTGTTTTTTTAATCACTAATCATGTCTTTTAGAAATTTTCTTATACTAAATTTAACAATGAAAGATTTATTTAATAAAAAGAATAAACTTTCAAAGTTTTAAGCTTCTACCAAACTATTTTATTATTTAATTCATATTGTAATGATAGATCATACTCCCAAACAAATTAAAACACAGACAGAAAAATAAAGACTTACATCATTTGTGTTAACATGCCAAGCCATATCACCATAAGATACCAGTTGTCCATTAACATAACACCGAATTTCACTGTTCCTCCATCGATTGTAAATGTGGACAATGCTGATCATGTACCACTTAAATAAAAAAATTAAATATATCAATATGTAATGTTTGGTTGTTACAGTCTAAAATGCAATTGTAACATTCATAAAACCCTACAAGAATATGCTGACAGGACTATTAAGGATCATCTAATACCACTTGATCAAGTTCCCCCTCTCATTTCTCATTTCACAGATGGTAGAAGTGGCACATAAAGAATACTCCTGGAGAAGACAAGAACTACAACCCCTTGACCTCCAGCGTGACGTTCCTTCCACTATACCAAGATTCGAAATTGTAGAAATACAATTTATTTGTGTTCATTCATTTAAAATTTACATTGTGCCAAGCACTGCAGATACCCAAGGCTGACCAGTTCTCCTAGAATTTATGAGCTAGTAAAAGAAATATATATGACACAATTAAACAAATGTAGAATTATAAATCATGGTGATTACAGTGAAGAGAAAAAGAACAGTATAAACTGAAAAAGAATAAACAAGGATTCTACTTTGGATTGCATGGTCAGGAAGGATCTGTCAAAGAAACAACATTTTAGCATTTATAATAAGATTTAGGTAGCTTCAATTTCACCATTTAGATTTAGTAAATCCAGGATAATTATATATTTAATAACAATGTGGGAATATTTATTAAGAATAAATGAAAGAGTTCATATTAAGTGCCCATTTTATAGTTACTGGTATCAAAAAGCATTTTAAGTATCTATTTTAATATGGATGGTTTGATTTCTGTAGCAACCTTTAGTCTCCTGAGAGTTAATAGCCTAAAATCGAGAATATAGAAATAATTTTTTCTAAAGTATAGAAAAATACAAATGATTTGTAAACATTTGAACAAGTATGCTTTCTGAAGTTAAGGGGGGAAAATTAACTGGTTTCTCCCTCCCACCAAAATATAAAATACAAACTTTGTTCTACAGATTATTTAAATGCACTATTCAATTATTTCATATATATTTTCAGAAATAAAAAGTTACAATAATCCTTAATCACTAAAATATTAGTTATTTCAAGGTATCTAAAATACTTTGAGCAAAATTCAATTTTGTTCATTTCAACTTAGAAAATAAAAATAGGCTGGGCACGGTGGCTCATACCTGTAATCCCAGCACTTTGGGAGGCCAAGGTGGGCAGATCAACTGACGTCAGAAGTTCGAGACCAGGCTGGCCAACATGGTGAAACCCCGTGTCTACTAAAAATACAAAAATTAGCCAGGCCTGGTGGCATGTGCCTGTAATCCCAGCTACCAGGGAGGCTGAGGCACAAGAATCACTTGAACCTGGGAGGCAGAGGTTGCAGTGAGCCAAGATCACACCACTGCACTCCAGCCTGGGCGACAGGGCAAGACTTTGTCTCAAAAAAAAAAAAAAAAAAGAAAAGAAAACAGAAAAAGAAAAAAAAAACAGTGTATTAACTCAAAAAAGTCAGTAATACAAAACAACAGTGTGCTTCTATAAAAGCAAGGTCAGGTCAAGACATTTAACTGTCTAAAATGCACATCCTTTTTTAAGTTTTTTCATTCCAGGTAATCATTAATTTATTGGAAACTAAGTCTTTCACTTGATTTGAAACCAACATATATGTTAGCCCTGATTAAAATCAGAAGAGAAAATCTTTAAAGTATTCATTTAACAATTGTTTCTAAATATTACAAAATTATCAAGAAAAAACCGTAAAAAGAGTGTCAAATAAATTTAAGGAAAATCTTATAGAATTTTACAAGTATAAGAATTAAAGTTTGCATATATTACCTTCACTGAATTTGAAAATATTCAATCAGAATGCTATCTAAATAACACAGAAGACACAAACTTTATATTGTGGAATAAAATGTGTAAACTTTGCATTTCTAAAGAGAAGAGACACGAATAAATGCCTACATATAGGAAAAGATTTCCTGCCCAAAGACAGTTTTAAGATAAATACTAGATGTATTATTATACTTATTGGTGTACTTACTATTAAAAAAAGTACTCATTCAAACAATACTTACTGAGTTCTTACTACTCCAGATAATGTACTGGGCAGGAAGAATTTTACTTCATAAAGACATGAATTGGATTCCCAAGTTACTAGCTCTATGGCTTTTGGCAAATTACTTAGTATCTCTGAACCTATTTTCATCTCTGAAAAAGGGGAATAATAATGCCTACTTTGTGGATTCCTTGTGAATATTATAAATAGATAATGTATGAAAACTATGAGGAAAAGTTCCTAATGTATTTGGCACCCATACATAACATACCATTGACTAAACTGCTATTTTGTTTTTATCTACTATGTCCCATGATGAGGTTTGTTTATGCTAAAATTGATTATTATTTACCTTTCAAAGGCATTCATTCATTCAAAAAATGTACTGAGCCTACTTTATGCCAAGTACCCTATCCCAACCTTGGATCATGGGTATATAAAGACGGACAACATATACACACTCAAGGAAGTTTCACTAGAGAAACAGTTATGAGAATAGAGAGTATCTAAAATACAGATTTGGGAGTAATAAAAGTAAATACTATAAGTAACTGGGAAGGAAAGACAAATAGAGAAGAAAGACTATCATAGAAATATTCACTAAAAGAATAAAATGAACTGTAAGACTAAGCTTGAAGGATGAAAAGGAACTGTTCAGTAGACAGTGGTTAAAAAAACATTCCAGGCAGAATCTTAATACAATACAGCACAGATGCTTGACAAAACTTTCCTCAGTGTGTAGGTTTAGCAGGAAAAACACAAAAACAAAAACAGGCAAAGACCAGATTGTAAACAGACCTTTAGGCCTTTGTTTTTTGCATAATGTGGTATAACTAAATAATTCTGAGCAGGAAAGTGAAACGATCTGCTCCATAGTTAAAGAAAATAACTGGCAGCAATGTGGAGGTGAGATAGGCAGGCAAGTGTGGATAAAGATAAAATTGAAAAGCCACTGCAAAGATTTAGGTAAGACACCATAAGCTGCGGAACTAAGACAAAGGCACTCATAATTTTAAAATGAGGATGGGAATTAACTAACAGAACTGATAGGAAGTGTTAACATATAAAAGGGGAGTCTAAGATGGGAGTCTAAGATGGCTTCCAATTTTCACTTAGATGGGTAAGGGTACCATTAACTTAAGATAATTAATACAGAAAAATTAATCAGATTTGGAGTTTATCAAGGTTTGCTTTTGGTTGTAACAATAATATATGATAAAATTAAATGAATGAATAAACAAATGCACTGATTAATGAGCTGATCTCAGTAAAGACCATAGTACTTATTTACAAGAAAAGTAACTTTTCTCTTTCCTTGGTACACCAAACTGTACTCTACAGATAACAGACACAAATGAGTTTTTCAATGGTTAAAAAAAAAAGCCTAACTTTTGATCTGATATACTTTGACTAAAGAAAATAAAAATAAACTTGGAAACTATGTGTGCATAGTGATATTATGTATATATACTGAAGTCTGCATTTAGTTTGAGACTCAAAAAGAAATTTATAAAAGAAAGACACAACCAGTAATAAGGAATAAAAAGATCCATATTAAGAATCCACAAGATATGTATTATAAATTGAAGATATGAAAATAAATTGAAAATTAAAAGTACAGCATGATATCAATAGTAGCTAATATGTCTAGAGCACATATTACCATTAGGTAACATGCTAATGGTTTATATCCATTTTCACAAGTTCTAACAGCTGGTTAAGTGGTACAGCTGGGAAAGCAAAAGCTTTAATGTAAAGATTTCTTTTTGAAAGGCCAGTAAATCTCTTATTAGGAAGGATAACAACAACTTAGCTAGGGAATCTATGGAAAATTAAAGAGAGGAATAAACAAGAGAATGAATTTATTTTGAATAATGAAACACAGTAAAAGCAAATATTTATGACTTTTCAAGGTTTGTGAGAATCTTCACAAAAGACTTTTTAAAATCCACATCACTCTCTGGCCCTGCTCCTAACTAGACCCCTTAGATTCACTGCATATTGAGAGCTTTACAAAGGAGAATGTGTTTTCCAAAAGTGAACAGTGAAGAAGACACAAAATAGAAAAAGTGAGAACAAATGGGTTAAAGTGCTTTTTATTGGTTAATGACAATTTCATTTGGTTATAACTTCACTCTAATTGTTTGCCTGTACATTCTTTAAACCACCATTTCCTAAAATTGTCTGAAGAGAAAAGTTACCTAGAATATTTGTTAAAAACACACAATCCTAACATGAAAAATTATAATACCAACAACTGTACTTCTAATCTATTCCACTGAAATTCAAAATAATTTGGCACTTTTAGCAAACTATCTTGGTCTCACCTTAATTCTAATAAAACAGAATTTCCAGAGCAAAGGCAATGTGATTGGTATTAAAATAATCAATTTGTATTAAAAAAGAAAGAATACACCATTATAATGAATGAATATATTTATTCAGAATCATTGCTTTTTAAATCATTTTCTAAGTATATGTTAATGAATTACTGTTAAATTGATATTCTTTAACAGAAATGACAATAACTGACATTAAATATAAAGCAAATATTTTTATTAGAATCATGTAAAATCTAAACAAATTTTGGAAATACCACCCAAAATAATATATTTTTCCGTATATGGGAAGACACACATCAGATCATAAGCAACAACAAACAAAAAAGATACGAAAAAGAAATAAAGATCTCCCCCTCACCACATTTGGGTTCATCATATCTGTTATGATTGTACCATTAATCACAAAGGGTAAGGCAATATTTCTGTTAGGAGGAGGCAGTGTGCCCTAAAAAACGTTGATAATCTCACTGTCATATACCCAAGAAAGAACCCTGAACCTGGAAGGGGAACAAAGCCTTAAACATGTGTGACGGGTACCCCTATGCACTCTGTCCTGGTTTTCTTTCATCTGGATTTTCAGATGGTTTGTTATTCTGACACAAAGATGGAGTCTGGTACTCAGGCAGGAAAATCCCTCTAGAAAATGCCACCTGATTATGAATGAATTATCTCTTATAATTCTAATCATACAGTTGCACAGTTCTCTGCATTTTCTCTTTAGAGCAGTTTTTAAAATGTGTTTTGGCCTTGTCTCTGCTATTATTTGAGATATTAAGTAAAGATACATTTCATGAGCCAAAACTAACAGTACAGCAACATTCCTCTCCTTGAAGCCAGCATTATTAAAGCATCACAAATTAACAAAACCTTCAATCTCAGGAAACAATATTCAGAACTACTAGGATTAGGTTAATCTCCCACAAAAAAAATGTGTCTGTGCATTGCTTAATCTGGGGGTTTAACATTTAACTTTTTTAAAAAAAGGCAAATATTTATTAATCCCTAGTGCCTACAATGGTATCCAATACTCAGTAGATAATAAGTATCTATTGAAAGAATGCCATAAAACAGATCAGACTGAGATAATGAGAGAGTGTAAGAGAAATACACCACAAGATATCAAAACACTGATCTTACAGAAGACAAAAATTAGACATAAAAGTAAAAAGGAAATGCAGACAAGGATAAGAGAAAACAATTAAAAGCATAGGAAAACCCGTGAAAGAGAATACTACAGAGCTCATAAAAGGAGAGTTAAGAATTCTGTCATAACAGGTGAGTTATAAAAATATTTACTTTTACCTACCTTGCGTGGTTGAAAATCATATTTCACACAATGCTGAAAACCTTTTCCTTTGGACTTCAATGATGTGACTATTAAACAGTTGCCAACAAAATGAGCAGAGTAACCAACTCCTTTGCTAGTACGAAAACTGCAAAGACAACTGAGAATAGTATAATATCCTCTGATAAAAAGAACTAAACACCTAATGGCTATTAAACATTCTTATAAAAATAAAACTTATTTCCCTGTACAGTAGAAGCAGTTTAATATGTGTCAAATAAAAACTAAACAAAAATATAAAAGGTTAGTTATAAGTAAATATAAGAAATTTAAACTAGGAAATAAAAGACTATGACAGCTTTTAGTATTTCAATCTAAAATCTCAGAAATACTTAAAAACAAATTAATTGCCAACAAAAGCCTACCACCAAGTAGACTTTAAGGACCATTTGCAATCAGCAAATACAGAACACATTTACACAAAGTTCACATTTTAAATAACAACCTGCTCTCTAATTCTGGTATACCTTTGAAAATAGCTTAGAAATTAAAAAGAAAAAGAAAAAAAAACTTGGTCAGAGTCAAGTTTGATAAATGATACAGTTGATCAAGCAAAGCAGTACATTTTTAGTTTAAAAAATTAAAAAGATGTAACTATGAAATATAGTTGTTTTCTTCTACAAGAGCATTTCCCTTAGCTGTAAATTTATCACGATGTAGAAAAATGTTTAATCACTGAAAAATGCAGATACCACTGAAATTAATGTATGATCTCCCAAAATGACCACTTTGAAGTCCAACCCCATTTATGTTTGGAAGTTCAGATGCTTATTTAAAACTTGGTCTCATTTTATCCATATATATTTTATAATAGAGCTTAGAAGATAGTAATAGCTCACATATTTCTGTGTTCACATTTCTGACCCAGCCATTATACAAAGAGCTTTAAATATGATTCTCTCATTAAATCCTATGGGATAGACACTATTACTATCCTCATTGGTATAGTTGAAGACACCAAAAGTACAAGGTGAATAGTAGGTGGTAAAGCCAGAACTTGAACACAGGCCGTCTTATTACAGAGTATTGCAAGTATTAAATGAAATCATATATATAAACACTTACAATGCCTAGCATACAGTATGGCAATCAATGAATGTTTGATGTACTTATTGTTAAGTATGCTGTACTGTGTATTACTGGCATACTAAAATTATCAAGCTTTCAACCCTTACAGATCAACACATTGTTAGGTTGATCAACTCATTCTAGTTGTCTACACCAAATAATCTTATCTTATAATTTCTTACATAGTTATTATCAACAATTTTAAAGCATATGTCAGTTATGCTCATAGAACAAAGTAAGTGAAAAGGCAAAAATGAATGAAATCTGGTAAAAGTTTGGAATTTTTTTCAGGGACCAGCAATCCTCACTAAAAATCCCACAACTGATATACATTGAAGGAGACTGGGACAGAAAGTCTGTACCTTTGACTTTTAAACTGTAATTGGAAAAGAATGATAATCATGAAGCAGATGACCTAGAATCAATAGCAAAATAAATGCATATATACATACATAAATAAAACTGATTTACAGTGTCTTCACAGTTCTAGCATATATTATACGCACATATATACATATATTCTATCTAAGTTGCCTTGAGACTATACATTTATAGAATTCAAGTACTTAAAGAAAAAAGTACTAAAATTAAACATATTACTTACCAATAAAGATAAGGTTTATCCTTATCAACATTAATATTATTTAATGGATCCATACGAAACCAAGTGTTTAAGGTGAAGCCATTCTGATAAGGCCACTTTGCAATAGGAGGCAAGGCAATTGCCTACAAGGCAATGAGAAAAGGTACGAAAGTATCAGTTAAAGAAATGTGATAGTAGCTAAGGTCAAATATGGCTTTTGCAGATTAAATAACAATCAAAGTATAAATACCAGAAAATCACAAACAAATCCATAAAATAAGAGCTAGTATTTTATTAAAACAATCTCAGTACACCTAAATAGTATTTGTTGATTATAGAAACATTCAATTTTCAAATGCTCAGTGAATTAGATTTTATCTCTAGATTACATAGCGGGTTTCAGACTATACTCCAAGAAGTCGCCATCTAGTTTCATCAGTATACAGTCTCTTACACATAAGCCTCCCAATTTCAGTTTTCTGTGGTTTACACTAGGTTTTCAGTAGTAACCCATTTGGTTAAAGGAGATTGAATATTTAAAGCCAAAAATGACTGAGCTAGAAAATGTTAATGGAATCAATATTGAAGAAATGCAAGCATTAAGAGATAATGTTCATAATGCTAACAACATTGAAACTAAGAAAGGCAAAGTATGACATTTATTACTCAGAAACTTAACTACTGATATTTATAACCAAAAAGGATTCAGATCCATTCATAAGCAGAAAAGGAGTAATATAGGACTCCCTTGAAAATAGCAATCAAATAAAATGTAGCCATTCTAAGGAATAAATAAGAAAGTAGCTGATTATTTCACCTGACTTCAAGAAATGTGTGAATGTATTTATTTATTTTCCTAGACTTTATCAAAATTCTACATAAAAGATATCCTCAAATAGATCTTTCATGTTGCTGATAATGGCCTTTCTCAAATACAACACGGACCTTCCATGTCAAAAATCTTCTGCATTCAGAATAAAATTTAAATTTCTTCATGTTATACAGGACTTCCCACGTGCTATGGCTCCAACAAACCCTTCTGATTTTATCCTCCTCTACTACCCAACCCCACATTCCAAAGTACATCTAAATATACCAGCTATTCCACTAGTTCTTTTACAGTTCCTCTTCCTATACATCATGTTGCTTCTATCCAAATCATTCTTCCTTCTAACAAAATCTCATTTATTCTTTAATAGCAGACTAATATGTTTCCTCATCTGTGAAGCTTTTCTGGACTTCAACCTAGCATGGTTTCTCTTTTCAATTGTGTTCCCATAGTTTTGTTCCCATACCTAAATCTACAGTATCATTTATAACTCTTATTGTAGCAAGCTGTATTTGCATATCTAGCCATCAGAGTTCTTCAAGAGTAAGGAATGTAATCTACTCCAAGCATAATGACTGAAGATGCAGGTGGCTAATAAATAATCTCAAAGTAGTCAAAGATTTCTAAGTGCTTGCTGTTAAAAAAAATACACACACACACACACACACACACACAATTTCAAATGAAGAGTTAAACCCTATACTAACCTTTCGGATTTTAGTATTTAAGCAATTAGTTCAGGCAGTTTTATTATCATACAATATAAATAACATTTTATTATCAAATAATATATAACTTTTATTGACTTTTTAAAACAGGGAATATTTTACCTTGATCTAATAGATGAACTTACATTCCAAATATATAATGAACTCTTACGATAATAAGAAAAACAACCGAATTTTTTAAATGAACGGAAGATGTGAACAGAAACATCACAAATGAAGACATAAGAATGGCCAATAAACACATGAAAAAATGCTCATCATCATCAGTCATGAATAAAATGCAAAATTAAAACTATGATGAGGTACCACTACAGTAGATCCCCTCTTATCTGTGGTTTCATAGTTTCAGTTACCCATGGTCAACCACAGTCCAAAAACAGGTGAGTACAGTACATTAAGATATTTTGAGAGAGAGACAAAGAAGGAGGGGAGGCAGGGAGACACAACACTCACAAAAGTTTTACTATAATATATTGCTATAATTGTTATATTTTATTATTGTTGTTAATCTCTTACTGTGTGCAGTTAGTAATTTAAACCTTATCACAGGTATGTATGTAGAGGAAAAAACCATAGTATGTATTATATAGATGGTTCAGTACCATCCGCAGTTTCAGGTATCCACTGAGACAGTCTTAGAACATATATACCCCATGGATAAGGCGGGACTACTGTACATAACCATTTAAATGCCTCAAATTTAAAAGACTGAAAATGTTCAGGATGCAGATCAAGTGGGACTCTCATACACTGCTTATAGGAATGTACAATGTTCTAATACAGAAAACGAGTAGACAGTTTCTCATGAAAGTAAACAGGCAGTTACCATAAAATCCAGCAATCTCACTCAGGTATTTAATCGAAAGATAAGAAAACATATGTCCATAGAAAGACCTGTGCTCAAATGTTCACAGCAATTTTATTTATAACAGCCAAAAACTAGAAACCCAGAAGTCCATCAACTAGTGAATGGATAGGATAGATAAACTGTGGTATATCCATAAAATGCCATACTACTCAAAAAAAGAGAGAACAGAATAAAACAGTAATTAAAACTACAACATGGAAAAATCTCAAAAGCATCACGGGAAGTGAAAGAAGCCTGACACAAAAGACTATATACCAGGCCGGGTGCAGTGGCTCACACCTGTAACCCCAGCACTTTGGGAGGCCTAGGCGGGCAAACAGGAGGTTAGGAGTTTGAGAGCAGCCTGGCCAACATGGTGAAACCTGTCTCTACTAAAAATACAAAAATTAGCTGGGCATGGTGGCGGGTGTCTGTAATACCAGCTACTTGGGAGGCTGAGGCAGGAGAATTGCTTGAACCCGGGAGGCAGAGGTTGCAGTGAGCCAAGATCACGCCACTGAACTCCAGCCTGGGTGACAGCAAGCCTCCGTCAAAAACACAAAACAAAACAAAACAAAACAAAACAAAACAAAAAACACTGTATACTGTATGATTTTATTTATATGACAATCTAGAAAAGGCAAAACTATAGGAATACAAAGTAAATCAGAAGTAGTAAGGAGTGGGGATGGGTAGAGGGGAATATCTTCCAACAGGCACAAGGGAATTTTGGGGAGTGATGAAATTGTTCAAATCATTATATAGTAGTGGTTGTATGACTTCCAAACTCATCAAGTTGTGCTTTCTAAACTGGTAAATTTTATTATATGTAAGTTAAACCTTACTAAAGGTGACCTAAAAATAAATAAATAAAAATCAGCACATGTATTTAAAACTTACCGCAGCGCTACAACCAGGGAAATTGAAAAAAGTATCAGGACCGTGTCTCTGTGGCATCTGATTAAGAACTGATAATAATTTTACTGCATGTCTTGGCTGGGGAAACAATAAAAGAAAGAAATGTCATTGTACAAATTTAGCAATCATACTTAATATACCATGTTACCCATTGGACTGTTTTCTAACTAGAGAGAAAAATTAATTTTAAATCATTTACAAAACATTTACTAAATCATTTAAGAAGAAAGCAATTTCCATTATAAATTCAAGTATATAGCTCTCTAGAGACAAACTTTTGAACATTAAGTATTAATGGACTGATACTGAATACCTTTCCCTCCGACCACAGCTTACCCAGATTCCACTTTCTCCTCGAAGCATGCTGAACAAAAGCTTCAACTCCTTGACAGTGATGCTGTAGCTGGCAAGAACCCCCAACATATCAACTAGAAGATCTTCAAAGGAAAATAAAGTTATTCTGAACTCTAGTCATGAGCTGCCATCTGTCAAGGTAATATACTTTTTGAAAGAAAAAAGTTATCATTGTTATCTCTCTCTCTCTCTCTCTCTCTATATATATATATATGTATCTAATACAGCTAAATGTCCTCATGAATAGCCATTCCAATTAACAATTTTTAACTCATTAAATAACCAAAAGAATTTATTTGAATTACATGATTTTCCCCCATTAAATTACCACCGCAATTAAGCTGTCTTAGCAGAAATGTAAAATAGATTTTACATATTCCCAGAACACACACACACACACACACACACACACACACACACACACACCACAACACAGCCTGCTGTGTGCAGGGAAAGGTAGGTAAAATATGCAAATGTACAAAGATTTAAAATTGCAAACTGGTTATTGTCAAATGAAAAAGTAACAGCTGACTATATTGTCTTTCAGAATTATCTATTCTTAATATATTCTTGGTATATTCCTTGGCCCATTAGCAATTTTTACCACTTACTCCAAGTGAAACATTATTCCAAGTGGTTTACAGATACTAACCTCACAAATCCTCCTAACAAGCCTATGAGGTAAGTACCATTATTATCCCCTTTTAAAATGAGCAAATTGTGGCACAGATAATTTATTCCCATTGCCCAAGAACATAGACCTAGCAAGTGGTAGAATCAGGATTCAAACCCAGACAGTATAGCTTCAGAACCCTCACTCTTACACACTAGTCTATAAGTAGAAGTGTAATTTAAACACATTAATAGTGGTATCCATCATGCTAGTGTGAGTGTTTATGTGCATATAACAGACACACCAGCACACCTAATAATGAGAAAAATTATACATTTAATCTCTTGTCTCTGATTGCTTTCTCTACATATTGTGATTAATACTTTTTCTGTCATTGTTCTTTGCAAGAAATTGAACATCTAAACATTTATACTTCGTTTTCTCAATTTCTAAAGCACTTCTTAAGAATGAAACATACTACAAAGGTTATTACAAAGCAATACACATATATATTCTAAAAGCTTATAATCAATTAATAAAAAGGTTAGGTTAGGGTAAGCTGAAATACTTAGTACTGATATATAATGTATATTATTCAATATCATATCACAGATTAATAACTGGAATTTGAGACTTTAAAAAATATTTGTCATTTGTATATTTCAAAATGGAAACTTAGTATGCTTATCTTCATCAATTAATAATCAATTAATAATTAAATAATTTTATTTAACACACAATAATCTCTATGACAAAATTGTGACAGTGGATATGCCACTTTCAGAGTGATATTTTAATGAAATAAAACATGTCATCACTGAAGCAACAAAAATGTATTAAAATATTAGTACATATAGGTCAAAAAGTGTGTTTCTACAAAAAAATTTAAGTACTATAAAAATCCTAAGCTAATATGAAGTATTTTTTTCTTAGTCCATTTAATGTTGCTATAATATGAAGTATTTTTAAGCAATTAGCTGCAATGGCAACCTTTACAGAAGATTTCTTAAAGGTTTACATAAAATACTTTTAAAAAAACTTTAAAAAATATTTGCAACGTTTAAATTTTTTCAGGTTATACAAGACTTCATCTTTATCTTATCTCCCATGTATGTCACAAAAAGTAATCTATTAAATTTGTATTTAATTAGAAATTTTTAAAAATTCCTTGCATATTGTATATGTAACACAACCAAGCAGCTCAGTTTAATTCTATTACAGAAGGTCTTTTCTGGAGAACAAGATTAAAAGTAATCAGAAATCATTTTTAAAAGAGAAAAAATACGAATTACTTATATATTGTATATGTAACACAACCAAGCAGCTCAGTTTAATTTTATTATAGACGGTCTTCTTTGCTGGAGAACAAGATTGAAAGTAATTAGAAATGATTTTTTTTAAAAGAAAAAATACTAAGACCAAGAAATTTTCTCATCAATTTGTTATAAAATGTTTAATTTAGCCACCTTTTAGTGACACTTTTACTACATTATTAAATAAAAAGTACCCCATTGAATTTAACATACTACAATACATTCAGATATGAACTGTTAGTCGTGTTTTAGTGGCTACTGGTTCTTCCTTAGTATAATATGTAAAGTTTAATTTCTCTATTAAAAAGTAAGACAGAGGTATTTTTCTGACATTTATTCTCTTTTCTCATATCCTTCCATCATCAAGCTCTTTTGAAGGGAAATGCTAGAAATTACAAAAAGTGAAAAATTTTGTTATTAATATTATTACTGAGAAAAAGATAAAAGAATTAAGGAGCTTTATGTAACAGCAATGTCAAGATATGAACTTCTATGGTACAATCATCTTCACTGTCACTTTCACATTTCAGTGCTGATGAATTATGTACCAGTAAACTACTATGCATGTAATTTTGGCTCATTCTCTAAACTGCACTCCATAGAGTAGCAGCCAATTTACAAAAAAAAAATTAAGAGCTTAAGCTCAGATGTAAGAATTAAAAGATCATATGATATTCTATAAAACATGTGTACATGTAAGTCTATATTAATAAATTTCTATTAAGTACCTCTAGAATTTATAGAAATGCTACTATTAATATTAAAAAGGTATTTTAAGAAATAGATGTCTGAATCTCATTTTTCATCAAGTTAGCCATCAGTACCCAATACAGGGACTGCTAAATCATTCTAAAAAAAAGATATATGCCACCCTGAAGGTAATTAGATATGATTTTTAATATATTTTCTCAGAAAATCAAATTTTTTGAAATATTTAAATTCAAAGCATGCTTTTTGCAATTCTGCATTCTTTTTTAAGCCATTTTTCATTCCATTCTTGTTTAATGTTTTGTTCCATAAATTTTAAAAATAATGAAATGCATAAGCCAAAATGTTAAAAGAGTATTCTCTGGTATCTGAACTACTTTCCAGGATCAGGTATAATACTGTGGAGGGTAATATCAGCACTTTTATAATTATGAAAATGCTTTTATGTCAGAAGATACTTAGGCTGAAGATTCGTGGCTTACAAAAAATAAACATTTTAAACTTTAAACTTATTTTCTGGAATGATATTTGCTCTGGAATAATATTCAAAACACTTTTCTGAAATGCATCTAGCCACACAGGAGAATGAGCATGCAAGGTAGTAAACGGTTGGTGGTGAAAAAATTATAGATTTCAAAGTTATTGTTTGAAATCACCCAAACAAGCAAAACATTAGTATTTTTATCTTGAAATTCTTGGTGAATTTTATGTTCTAGCCCATAATATATTAGTTTATTTTAATACAAAAGTTTCTTCCAAAATGGACATATCCAAAAGATACACCATGCTTATATAAGGCTTTTAGTACCTCCTGTCATAGTTGCATATATGCCAGATTGAGGGGCACAGAACTAGAAGAATTTGGTAAAATGCTCATTATACAGAACTGTAATACCTATTGTGGTATTTTAATTATGTAAAAGCTTAATGAAATACTACATAAAAATAATGTTTATTTTTCTGATAGATTTCATAGCACTCCATGGTACTGAGATTTTCTAAAATTTAGAAAACAACATTAGTAATTATGTTTGTCTACTATAGTAAGTATGTTTTTCTTCTTGCACTCTTCAGGTTTTCCATTAATATAAAAAGTAAAATTTCCACACATTTCCATTTATTTTAAATCAAAGTAATGTCAACAAATCTACATTACCTATAGAATATAAAGAGAAGTATGTGAAACTTTATAAACATTTAAGTTATACTTTCCTGTCAGACAACCCCATACCTGCTATCATGTCATCTACAGCACTCATTTTCAGCAATACTTGTTCAATTAGCCCAACTTCTGTGCTAGTCTGTAAATTCCGAACACTTTTTCGTAGAATGGCTGTAAACATGCTCCATATTTCTGCTTGACATGTTACATCACAGTGCTCCAAAAGCTCTGTCATACATGTTATACTCTCAGCATCCTGGATAATAAAGTTCATCTCCAAGTCAAATTCTCCACCAACCAGCTGAAAGTAAACAGAAAGAAACAATAGTGTTAACATGGGAGGTTATCGATGACAGTAGAATGAAATAATAACAAGAATTCAAAGCTACTACTCTAAAAAATTTCAAGGATTCTGGTATAAAATTAATTTTGATCAAAAGTATAAGAGCTACAAATAAGTGAAAGGCATTGTGAGCATCGAAACTAGCAAACAGAAATCTAATTTTCACATAAATGGAAAAGGGTGATTTCAAATCTAGTAAAATAGAGCAAACTACAGCATGTGATTCCTGAGTGAGATTCAGGAAAAATTCCTAAAAAGAGGGTTTGGCCTTTAAAAGGGATAATCAACAGAAAATACAGAATTTACTAAGGATAAATTTTAAGACATGAAATTCATTTTTTTTGACATTACTAGTCTTACAGACAAAGAGATATAACTGGGGCATAATCTCAATATATAGAAGATAAAGAAATATGAAACTCATACAACTTATAAGAAATATTGAAATAATGAAATGAATGTTAAAAAATAAGTTGAACAGAAGTATGCAAGGTCTTGTAATGCTTTTTTTTTTAAAGCACAAATGTGAATTGGGTAAAAGAAAGCTGATTTAACAGCAACACATTTAACTTCAGCATTATGGCAAATGAGTCCAAAGTCATACTGCCCCTCCCATTTGGTATTTTAAGTACAGTAATAGACAAATACACATAGAATAAAATAACATAATAACACTCTTTACTCTCTGTTGATCGAATCCCATAGGAACTATTATATTCAGTTAAAAGCATCATTCTTAAAAAAGAACACTGTCAAACTGGATATCCTTTTGGTCTAAAGAACGATAAGATTTAGGAATAAAATAATAATCATATACAACGTCTGACAAATTTGAAGTCATTGATTCCTTAATAAATTATTAAGTTCTAGAAGTTACTGTTCTGGAACTAGAATATATGAATGTCCAAGATAAAAACCATGCACTAACAGTGCTAAATTCTAGGAACAAAGATGTATATGTATGTATGCATACATTACTTTATTCCAAAAAACATTGAAGGTGGCTAAAAGTTATATAAAGCATGAAGGAAGACATAAAATATGAGTAGATGAGAAAAGAGGAAGCAAAGGCAAAACAAGATTAGGAACAGACAGGGAGTAGAATTAGGATCAAGAAGTAAAATTAATTTCCTGTCACTGAAAGGTATTCACAAATACTGACAGATGACCACAGAATATGATGTAAATAGGATAAATAGTAATAATACCACCACTTAACCTTACATGGCATTTAGTATTGTTTTACATGTTTTACATCTATTATGACACTATTATTATCTTCATTTTACAGATAAGGAATCATAGGCACAGAGTTAAAAGTATGTTGAAGAATGTTACAAAATGGGTAAGAGACTCAGGATCCAAACACAAGAATTCTGTCTTCATGCAAGTTCATATAAACATTACAATCTCATATAAGAATATTTTTTAGGAGGGAGGTGAGGCAAGATGGCAGAACAGAAAACTCCACAGATCGTCCCTCTAACCCTACCGCAAGGACACTAAGTTAACAAACAACTACACAGAAAAAAGCTTCTTCATAAGAGCTAAAAATCATGTGAGCACCCACAGAACCTGGTTTTAACCTCGTATCACTGAAAGAGACACTGAAAAGATAGAAAACAGTTCTGAGTCTCTGACGCCACCCCTCCCTGACTCCAGCAGCATGGCTTGGTGCCAAGAGCATCTCTGGGTGCTGGTGAAGGGAGAACAGAGCAATTGTGAGGCACTGAACCTGGGGCCATCTTGCTATAGCATAAAGGAAAACCTGACCAAACTAAGCTGATGTCCACCCACAAGAAGGCATCTCAACCAGCCCTAGCCAGAGGGGAATCACTGATACCAGCAGTCCAAACCTGAGTGCCTGAAAACCTCAGTACCAAAGGCCAGAGTGCTCTTGGTGTTTAAGTAAACTTGAAAGGCAGTCTAGGCCATAAGGACTGTACCTCATAGGTAAGTCCTAGTGCTGAACTAGGCCCAAACACAGTGGACTAAAGTGGCATGGACACACTGAGATACCAGCTGGGGCAGCTAAGGGAATGCTGGCATCACCCCTCCCCTAACCCCAGACTGCACAGCTTGTGGATACAAAAGAAACCCCTTCCTTCTACTTGAGAAGAGGAGAGGGAAGAGTGGGGAGGAGTTTGTCTTGCATCTTGTTTACCAGTTCTGCCACAGAAGAATAGGGCACCCTGAGGTCATGAGGCCCTTGTTCCAGGCTCTAGCTCTGGGATGACATTTCTAGATACACCCTGGGCCAGAAGGAAACCCACTGCCTTGAAGGAAAGGACCCAGTCTAGGCAGCATTCATCATGTGCTAACTGAAGAGCCCTTGGGTCCTGAATAACCAGCAGTGATACCAAGGTACTACGCTGAGGGCCTTGGTGAGTTTCTGAGACTTGTTGGCTTCAGGTGAGACTATGCACATTACCAGCTGTGGTGGCTATGGGGCAAAACCCCTTCCGCTTGATAAAAACAGAAGAGTAAAGGGGACTTTGTCTTGTATCTTAGGTACCAACAACACTACAGTAGGGTAGAGCACCAAGTGGGCTCTTGGGGTCCCCAATTCTAGGACTTGACTATTGGACAGCATTTCTAGACCTGCCCTGAGCCAAAGGGGAACCTACTGCCCTGATGGTTGAGTCCAGGCCAGGCAGCATTCACCACAAGCTGATAGAAGAGCCCTTGGTCCTTAAGGGAATGTCGGTGGTACTCTGGCAGTACTCCTCATGGCCAGGAGTGGCAGTGGCTAAGGGGTGAGGCTCCTCAGCCTTTGGAAAGGGGAAAAGGGGAAAAGTGGAAAAGGGGAAGGACTGTGTCTTGTGGTTGGAGTGCCAGCTCAGCCACAATACAACAGAATGCCAGGTAGATTTCTAAGGTTTCTAAGATTTCTAAGACTCTAGTCCCAGACTCCTATATGGCATCTCTGGACCCACTAGTGGCCAGGGGGACTTTGCCACCCTGAAGAGAAGGACACAGGCCCAGCTGGCTTTGTTACTTGCTAATTGTAGAGCCCTAGGGCCTTGAGTGAACATAGGCTATAGCCAAGGAGCGATTAAGGCAGGCCTTGGGCAAGACCCAGCACTGTGCTTGCTTCAGGTGTGACCCAGCACAGCCATGGTGGTGGTGGTCATAGGAGTGCTTGTGCCATACGTCATACCAGCCCCAGCTTTAGGTGTCTCAGAACAGAAAGAGAGAGAGACTCTGTGTGCTTGGGAGAAAGTAAGGAAAGAGAACAAGAGATTCTGCCTGGTAATCTAGAGAATTATCCCAGATCTTGCCCAAAACCATCAAGGCAGTACCTCTACAAGTCTGCAAGAATCACAGTGTCACTGGAAAGCCTTCCCAAGAAGGGTGGCTATAAATAAGCTCAGGCAATGAAGAGTACAATAAATACCTAACTCTTCAATGCCCAGGCACCGAGGAACATCTACTAGCATTAACACTATCCAGAAAAACATGACCTCACCAAATGAACTAAATAAGGCACCAAGAATCAATCCTGGAGAAACAAAGATATGTGTGTGACCTTTCACAGAGAATTCAAAATAGCTGTGTTGAGGAAACTCAAAGAAATTCAAGATAACACAGAGAAGGCATTCAGAATTCTATCAGATAAATTGAACAAAGATATTTAAATAATTTTTAAAAATCAAGCAGAAATTCTGCAGTTCAAAAATGCAATTGGCATACTTAAGAATGCATCAAGTCCTTTAAGAGCAGACTGGAACAACCAGAGGAAAGAATTAATGAGCTTGAAGAAAGGCTATTAGAAAACACACAGAGGAGAAAAAAGAATAAAAACCAATGACACATGCCTACATGATCTAGAGAATAGCCTCAAAAGGGCAAATCTAAGAGGTACTGGCCTTTAAAAGGAGGTAAAGAAACAGATAGGTGTAGAAAGTTTATTCTGAGTAAACCTTCAAATAACAGAGAACTAACCAAACCTAGAGAAAACATCCAAGTACAAGAAGGTTATAGAACACCAAGAAGATTTAACCCAAAGAAGACTACCTCAAGACATTTAGTAATCAAGCGCCCAAAGGTCAAGAATAAAGTAAGAATCCTAAAAGCTGCAAGAGAAAAGAAACAAGAACATACAAAGGAGCTCCAATACATCTGGCAGCAGACTTTTCAGTGAAAACCATATATGCCAGGAGACAGTGGCATGACATATTTAAATTGCTGAAGGAAAAATCCTTTTACCCTAGAATAGTATATCCAGTGAAAATATCCTTCAAACATGAAGAGGAAATAAAGACTTTACCAAACAAATAAAAGCTAAGGGATTTCATCAACACCAGACCTGTCCTACAAGAAATGCTAAAGGGGGTACTTCAATCAGAAAGAAAAGGGCATTAATAAGCAATAAATGATCACCTGAAAATACAAACCTTACTGGTAATATAAGTACACAGAAAAACACAGAATATTATAACACTGTTACTGTGGTTTGCAAACTACTTTTATCCTAAGTAGAAAGACTAAATGATGAACCAAGCAAAAATAATAACTACAACTACTTTTCAAGACATAGGCAGTATAATGAGATATAAACAGACAAAAAGTTAAAAAGCAAGGAAATGAAGTTAAGGCAAGTTTTTACTAGTTTTCTTTTTGCTTGTTTGTTTGCTTATGCAAATAGTGTTATGTTATCAGGTTAAAATAATGAATGATAAGATAGTATTTGCAAGGCTCATGGTAACCTCAAACCAAAAATTATACAATGGACACACAAAAAATAAAAATCAAGAAACTAAATCACCAGAGAAAATCATCTTCACTAGAGGACAGAAATGCAAGAAAGAAGACCACAAAACAACCAGAAAACCAAAAACAAAATGGCAAGAGTACATCCTTACTTAATAATAACATTGAATGTAAATACACTAAACTCACCAATCAAAAGACACAGACTAACTAAATGGATGAAAGAGCAAGACCTATTGGTCTGTTGCCTAAAAGAAACACACTTCACCTATAAAGACACACAAAGACTGAAAATAAACAGATGGAAAAAGATATCCCATGCCAAAGAAAACCAAAAAAAGAGCAGAAGTCACTATACTTGTATCAGACAAAAGAGATTTCAAGACAAAAACTATAAAAAGAGACAAAGAAGGTCACTATATAAAGATAAGGGTGTCAATTAAGTGAGAGGATATAACAATTTCAATATATATGCACCCAACACTGGAGCACCCAGACATATAAAGGAAATATTATTACAGCTAAAGACAAATATAGGTTCCAATACCATAATATCTGGAGACTTCAAAACCTCACTTTCAGCACTGGACACATCTTTCAGAAAGAAAATAAACAAAGAAACATCAGAATTCATCTGCACTACAGACCAAATTGAGCTAATAGATATTTACAGAAGATTTCATCCAGGAGCTGCAGAATACACATTCTTTTCCTCAGCACATGGATCAACTGAAAAGACAGACCATATGTTAGGTCACAAAACAAATCTTGAGACATTCCAAAAAAATGAAATAATATAAAGCTCTTCTCTGACAACAACGGAATAAAACTAGAAACATCAAGAGAAATTTCAGAAACTATACAAATACATGGAAATTAAACAATATGCTCCTGAATGACAAGCGGGTCAATGAAGAAATTAAGAAGGAAATTGAAAATTTTCTTCAAACTAATAATAACAGAAACACAACATACCAAAACCTATGGGATACAACAAAAGCAGTACTAAGAGGGATGTTTATAAGTGCCAATATCAAAAAAGAGAAAAAATATCAAACAGACAATCAAATGCTGCACCTTAAAGAACTAAATGATCAAGAGCACACCAAATCCAAAATTAGTAGAAGAAAAGAAATAATAAAGATCAGAGCAGAAATAAATAAAACTGAAATGAAGAAAACAATACAACAGATCAATGAAACAAAAAGT
The DNA here is from genome assembly GCF_000001405.40 of Homo sapiens. Taxonomy (NCBI): domain Eukaryota; kingdom Metazoa; phylum Chordata; class Mammalia; order Primates; family Hominidae; genus Homo; species Homo sapiens. The sequence continues at coordinate 35,034,968 of NC_000013.11, read as the reverse complement.
TCATTTTTTGAAAAGCTAAACAAAATTGACAAATCTTTAGCCAGACTAAGAGAGAGGATCCAAATAAATAAAATCAGAAATAAAAAAGGAGACATTACAACTGATACTACAAAAATTCAAAGGATCATTAGTGGCTACTGTGAGCAACCACACGCAAATTATTTGGAAAATCTAGAAGAAATGGATGAATTGCTCCACACATACAAGTACCAAGATTGAACCAGGAAGAAATCCAAAACCTGAACAGATTAATAACAAGCTACAAGACTGAAGTTGTAATAAAAGTCTCCCAGTAAAGAAAAGCACTTCACTGCTGAATTCTAACCAAACATTTAAAGAACTAATATTAATCCTACTCAAACTATTCTGAAAAATAGAGGAGAAGGGCATACTTCCAAATGGAGGAGGAAGGAATACTTCCAAACTCATTCCATGAGGCCCGTATTACCCGGATACCAAAACCAGTCACAGACACATAAAAAATAAAATAAAATAAAGAAAACTACAGGCCAATACCTCTGATGAATATTGATGCAAAAATCCTCAACAAAAAACATAGCACACCAAATTCAACAATACATTAGAAAGATCACCCATCATGATCAAATGGGATTTATCCCTGGGATACAAGGACGGTTCAACATATACAAATCAATCAATCTGATACATCATATCAGCAGAATGAAGAAAAACCACAAGATCATTTCAACTGATGTTAAAGAAGCATTTGATAAAATTCAACATCCCTTCATGATAAAAACTCTCAAAAAACTAAGGACAGAGGGAACATACCTCAACACAACAAAAAGCATATACTACAGACCCACAGCTAGTATCATACTGAATGGGGAAAAACGAAAAACTAAAAGTCATTTCTCTAAGATCTGGAACATGATATGGATACCCACGGTTAACACTGTTATTCAACATAGTCCTGGAAGTCCCAGTTAGCATAATTATACAAGAGAAAGCTAGAAAAAGGTATCCAAATGGGAAAGGAAGAAGTCAAATTATCCTTGTTTGCGGATGATAGAATCTTATACCTGAAAAAAACCTAAAGATTTCACAAGAAAACTATTAGAATAATAAACAAATTCAGTAAAGTTACAGGATACAAAATCAACATACAAAAATCAGTAGCATTCCTATATGCCAACAGTGAACAATGTGAAAAAGAAATTTAAAAATAATCCCATTTACAATAGCCACACATAAAATTAAATACCTAGGAGTTAATGTACTCCAAGAAGTGAAAGATCTCTATAATGAAAACTATAAAACACTGATGAAATAAATTGAAGAGGACACCCAAAATAGAAAAATATTCCATGTTCATGGATTGAAAGAATCAGTATTGTTAAAATATCCACACTATCCAAAGCAATCTATAGATTCAATGCAATCCCTATCAAAATACCAATGACATCCTTCACAGAAATAGATAAAACAATGCTCAAATTTATATGGAATCACAAAAGACCTAGAATAGCCAAAGCTATCCTAAGCAAAAAGAACAAAACTGGAGAAATCACATTACCTGACTTCAAATTATATTACAGAGCTATAGTAACCAAAACAGCATGGTACTGGCATAAAAACAGACACAGAGACCAATGTAACAAAATAGAGAACCCAGAAACAAATCCACATGCCTACAGTGAACTCATTTTTCGCAAAGGTGCCTAGAACATACACTAGGGAAAAGACAATCTCTTCAATAAATGATGCTGAGAAAACTGGATATCTGTATGCAGAAGAATGAAACTAAACCCCTATCTCTCATGATATACAAAAATCAAATCAAAGTGGATTAAAGACTTAAATCTCAGACCTTAAACCATGAAACTACTATAAAAACACATTGAAGAAAATTTCCAGGGCACTGGTCTGAGCAAAAATTTCACCAGCAATACCCCACAAGCACAGGCAACCAAAGCAAACATGAACAAATGGAATCACATTAAGTTAAAAAGCTTCTGTGCAGCAAAAGAAACAATCAACAAAGTGAAGAGACAATCCAGAGAATGGGAGAAAATATTTGCAAACTACCCATCTGACAACGGATTAATAACCAGAATACATATGGAGCTCAAGCAACTCTATAGGAAAATATCTAATAATCCAAACCAAGATGAGCAAAAGATTTAAATAGCAATTTCTCAAAAGAAGATATACAAATGGCAAATGGGCATATGAAAGATACTCAACATCACTGATCATCAGGGAAATTCAAATCAAAACTACAATGAGATATCATCTCACCCCAGTTAAAAATGTCTTATATTCAAAAGACAAGCATAATAAACACTGGCAAAAATGTGAAGAAAAGGGAACACTTGTACACTATGAGTACACTATCAATGGAGTAAAGAGACAACCTACAGAATATAAGAAAATATTTTCAAACTATGCATCTGACAAAGGTCTAACATCCATAATCTATAAGGAACTTAAATTTACAAGAGAAAAAAAACCCCACTAAAAAATGGGCAAAGGACATGAACAGACACTTTTCAAAAGAAGACATAAGTGTGGCCAACAAGCTTATGAATAAAAAGCTCAATAAAACTGATCATTAGAGAAATACAAATCAAAACAACAGTGAGATACCATATCATACCAAGAAGAATGGCTATTATTAAAAAGTCAAAAATAACAGGTGCTGGTGAAGTTGTAAAGAAAGGGGAACACTTATGTGCTGTTGGTGGGAGTGTAAATTAGTTTTACCATTGTGGAAAGCAGTATGGCGATTCCTCAAACAGCTAAAAGCAAAACTACTTTTCGACCCAGCAATCCCATTACTGGGTATATATCCAGAGGAATACAAATTATTCTACTATGAAAACACATGCATGTAAATGTTCACTGTAGTACTATTAACAATAGTAATGGCATGGAATCAACCTAAATGCCCATCAATGACAGAATGGATAAAGAAAATGTGGTACATATACCAGATGGAATACTATGCAGCCATAAAAAGGAACAATACCATGTCTCTTATGGGGATATGGATGGAGCTGGAGGCTAATTATCGTTAGCAAACTAATGCAGGAACAGAAAACCAAATACCACACATTCTCACTTATAAGTGGGAGCTAAATAATGAAAACTTACTAACATAAAGAAGGAAACAACAGACACTGGGTTCTATTTGAAGGTGGAGGGTGGGAGGAGGGAGAGAAGCAAAAAAGATAACTATTGGGTACTGGGCTTAATACATAACCGAGTGATTAAATAATCTGTACAGCACACCCCCATGACATGAGTTTACCTATGTAACAAACCTTCACATGTGCCTACAAACCTGAAAAAAAAAGTTCCTGTCTAATAAAATTGTTGGGAGCATGAAATGAGATAATTGAGTTAAGTACTTAGGCACAATGGGAGACATACAGTTAGCATTCAGTTAAAGTTAGCAATTATCAGTTCTCTAACCACCCCAGCTTCCAGCTATTAAAAAAAAAGAAAAAAAGTAGTCACCAATCGAATACCTCTGAAGTATCATGAAATTCAGCAAGCTTAAGTCTTATGTTTCCAGCAAAATCAAATTTATTATGGATCATACACTCTATTAGATATCACTTGGACATTTACTGAAACCAACTCAAACATCACTTTTTTACCATACCATTGTCTTACTATAAAACTCCTTTTTGTTCATTATTATGAGCCCAACTGACTTCAGTCTGTCACTACTGTGAATCTTGTACACTAGTGATTGGTAACTCAGAAAAGGTTCTCGAGAAATAAACTATATAAAAACAAAAGGTTGGAAAATCAACAATACGGACACTTATTGATTGAACCAATAGAAGCCGATAATGAGGTTTATGCCTATGGGCCTCTGTATAAATTTGTAGAATAAAGGGTATACACTTGAATTGTAGAGTATTGGAGAATTTTTTTAGATGAATCTCCTAAACCAGTTGTAACTGCTTTAGCAGAGTCTGGTAGAGCCAAATAATTACATATGTAAATAGCAGAGATGGGCTCATTGCAGGGGTGCTGGTGGAGTCGGCTGTGAAAGGAATTAACAATTAATATATGTAATTCTAACAATCAGGCTCTGTTATGTGAAGCCTGAGTGTACATCTTTCGCAGCCAAAAACACATTGCCCCTTTCTATGTATCATTTAGCTCTCTGATTTAATTGCCGGAAGCAGTAAAAATATTTACTACAGATGTTGTAATGGGCCTATGCTTTCTACAGTGAGATGGTTTTATAACCTTTATTGTTAACTTTTAATACATTCGTGTTAAAGAGGCTAACTGCTGAATGAAAATATCATCCCAAGATTAGGAAAATATTTATTTGCTTGTAATGAGTTGCTTATTAGCAACTAAAGCATATAATAAGTAAAAAGAGTTGACCTTCATTATTTAAACAATTCTCTAACGATCCTATGAAGAACTACAGTGAGGCTTCATTATCCTCATAGAAAGAAACTGAAGATAAGTGAGGTTAAGCAACAAGACTAAGGTCACACATAAGTAAGCGGTAGATCCAGGATCCTAATATAGACTACAAAATGCACTTAATCACTTGCTATGAAGTCAGAGGTGTAGATTTAAGAAAGAAAGAAAGAGAGGGGATATTTATAAAGCTCTATGAAGAGTAAAATGAGGAAACAATGATTTTTATGGGTAAGAAATGAAACATCTACATGTAGTAGACCATAATTTAAAAGAATTTGTTAAAGTTAAAAGCAAGAAAGAAGATTTTGAAGGTTCAAATATAAGAAAATCAAATAAAAATACTTTAAAAACACGTAAGAAAACATCTTAAAAAGCAAAGGAAATGATGTAGCAAAGCTGAAAAAGCTAAATAAAAAACAAAGCTAAATACTAAAAATCTGTTCTTCGAAAAGATGTGTCAAATCACTGTGACCATATATAAAAGAGAAGGATAAACCAGTTGAGACATCCTACAAATCTGAATGCATCTTTGTGATACTCTATTTGCACAGTTAACGGTGTTCTTTTCCTCCAGGCCTTCAAAAAATTCTAAAAGGTACTACCGCTGTTAGAGAAGTGGTCCACAATGATGCTTGCTACTCAAGAATCAGTCTTAAGTGAATTTGTGTAAAATAAATATCACAGCTGAGCTTTTTAAACTGCAGTAACTTTTATTTACATAAAGTAAATAAACTTTACTGAATAAAAATTTTGAAATACAAAATGCTGACTTGGAAACATGTTGTCTTCTAAGAGCACTGAGGTTTATAAATACTAGCAATTTAAGTACCTTTTGTGTATGTTTTAGGTATAGAGTGAGTCTTTAAATATCTTGATTTGAAATCTTAGATTATTAGGATCATACGCAATAATTCAATGTTCATTATTTAAATCAAAGTGAACAATTGTTAAACTGCTGGATTTCTTTGCAATTTGTTATTTTGGATAAACTCTAAAATGGTAACACTTTTCAGAAAGCCCAAATTAACTCCCAGCCTCAGTTTTTTCTAATTCCCAGCTACTGCCATAAGGAAAGTTTCTACAATACCATCCCTCACTTCATAGAAAATCCTTTGTATGTGTTACTCCCTATGCATGATACAGGGTTCCCTCTCAAACTCTGGATTTGTTAACTTCCATTAAATCTACAAATATCAATTTAGATACCACTTAATCCAGAAACTCCTCCCAGTACCCACAAAGATGGTTTTTCTTGGACTCCCATTACAGCCATCCACACCACAGCAGTGGTGTTATAGACTATGGTGTTATAGACTAAATGTTTATATATCATTATATAAACACATATATATGTGTTATATATCATATATAACACATAATGTTATAGACTAATTGTTTGTGCCCTCAACAGTCAAATAGACAAGAAAAGTTTCTGAGAAAATTGTCCTCTCACCATTGCTGTAACTGAACAAAGGAATATGAATAAGCAGAAACAAAAAGAAAGAAGCCCAATACTACAGTCTTAATTATTAAAAATTTATAATAACTTTTAATAATATAGTCCATACAATGGAATATTATTCAGCCATAAAAATGAATGAAGTTCTGATACATGCTACAGCATGGATTAATCTTGAAACATTATGCTAAGTGAAATGAACCAGACACAAAAAGGCAAATATATGACTGCAATTACATGAAATATCTAAAACAGGCCAAGTTCATAGAGAAAGAAAGTATATTAGAGTTACCAAAGATGAGGAAGGGGGAAATGTGGGGGTATTGCCTAATGAATATAAAGGTTCTGTAGGGGGTGATGAAAAAGTTTTGAATGCAGACAGTGTTGACAGTTGTACAACCACTGCTATTCAACACAGTACTGGAATTTCTATGCAGAGTAATAAGGCAAACAAAGGAAATAAAAGATACAGAGATCTAAAAGGAAGAAATAAAACTGTTCCATCTGCATATGACATGAACCGGCCTAAAGAAATCACCAAGGAATCTAGGAAAACATCTCTGTAACCATTCAGTGAGTTTAGCTAGGTAACAGGATCAACATACAAAAGTCAATTCTATTTCTATATACTATCAGGGAACATGTGGAAACAGAAACTTTAAAATACCATTTACTGTCACTAAAAAATTAATTGTCTATGTAAATTTAACAAACTATGTACAAGACTATCATTCTTAACAACAAATCACTGATGAAAGAAATCAAAGACCTAAATAAATATAGAAACATACTATGTTCATGGAATATTCAACATAATAAAGATATCAACTCTCCTCAAATTAACATATAAGTTTAATGCATTTTCTATAAATCCCGGAAATATTTTTAGTAGATGTAAACAAGATAATTCTGAACTTTATATGAAAGGCAAAGGAATTACAATACCTTAAATTTTTTCTTGAACAAACAAAAATAAAGTGGGAGGAATCACTCTCTAATTTTAAGACTTGCTATAATAATTCAAGACCCTGTAGCACTGGTGAGTTGATAGACACATAGATCATGAAGCATAAGCGAGAACCCAGAAACAGCCCTAAATGATTATCAACAAGTTATTCTCAAAAAAGATACAAAAGCAATTAAATGGAGGATGAACAACCTTTTTAGCAAACAATGTCAGAGCAACTGGTTATCAACAGGCCAAAAAACATGAACCTCCACCTATAAGATATTTCATATCTTTTATAAAAATTAACTCATAATTAATCATAGTTTAAATGTAAAATATAAAACTTTTAGAAGATAACATAGCAGAAAATATTCAGGACCTAGAGCCTGGCTAAAAGTTTTTAGACATGACCCCAAAAGCAGGATCCATTCAAGATAACATTAATAAATTGGACTTCATAAAAATAAAAACTTTTGCTCTGAGAAAGATCATGTTAAAAAGTTGAAAATATAAGCTACAGACTGGAAGAAAGTATTTGTAAACCACATATCTGATAAAGGACTCATCTAGAATGTAACAGAAATCAACAGTAAAGAAGCTGGCCATTGAATCAGAAAATGGGCAGAAAACATGAACACGCATTTGATCAAAGAGGATCTATGGATGGCACAAAGAGTTATCCCTGCATATATATCAGAACAGTTAAAACAGAAAACAGTAGTAACAGCAAGTGCTGGTGTGGATGCAAAAAAAAAAAAGTGGATCTGTCATAAATTGCTTGTAAGGATATAAAATGGTACAATCACTCTGAAAATAGTTTGGCAGTATATTACAAAACTAAACATACAGTTAGCATATTATCAAGTAATTTCACTACTGGGAATTTATCCTAGGGAAACGGAAACATAGCTACAACAAAACCTGTACATAATTGTTAATAGCAGCTTTATTTGTAATAGCCATAAAGTAGAAACAACTAGATGCCCTCCCAAAAAGTACATGGCTAAATGAACTGTGGAAAGTCCATACCATGGAATACTACTCAGCAATAAAAAGGAACCAACTGTCAATACACACAACAACCTGGATAAATATCACAGACATTATGTTGAGTGAAGAAAAGCAGTCTCCAAAGATCACATAAAATACGATTCTATTTATGGAACATTCTCTAAATGACAACATAATAAAGACAGAAAAGAGAGTAGTAGTTACCAAGAGTTAGGGTTATGAGGGTAAGAGGATGGGTGTGACTATATTTGTAGTAATAGAATACTTCTCTATCTTGGCATTTTAGGTAGGTAACTGTCAAAATATCAGCTAACCACCAAAGTAGCAGATATACTGAGTTTAATATAATATATTATTAATGTTAATTTTATGTGTTTCTTTTGATTTTTAAATGTGGCTACTAGAAAATTTAAAACTATGTCTGGCTCATTTTATATTTCTATTGGTAGTGCTGCTTTAGAAGCTAACAATCTAGCTGGCCAATTGAAAGAATATATAAAACAATTATGGAACAATCATTTGCTAAAATGTATTAACCAACAGTTCAGAAACAAAAGAGGATAGTACAATAGCAGTCCAATAAAATACATCTTCATGAAAAGATGAGATTTGCAATGGGTATGGATAACTATGAAAGATATTGCCATGCATTTGAAAACAGAAAGTGCCCCATACTAGAGAAAAAACTGAGATATAAAACATAAAGAGCAGTGAACACACTAGCTAAACAAAGCAGGGAACAGTCAGCAAACAGAAAGCAGAGAAATACAGTGAGATTACAAGGAGGCTCTATATTAGTCTGTTCTCACACTGCTATGAAGAAATACCTGAGACTGGGCAATTTATAAAGAAAAGAGGTTTAATTGACTCACAGTTCCACATGGCTGGGGAGGCCTCAGGAAACTTACACTTATGGCAGAAGGCATCTCTTCACAGGGCAGCAGGAGACAGAATGAGGGCAAGCAGGGGAAATGCCAGATGCTTATGAAACCATCAGATCTCATAAGACTCACTCACTATCATGAGAACAGCATGGAGGAAACTGTCCCCATGATTCAATTATCTCCACCTGGTCCTGTCCTTGACATGTGGAGATTATTACAATTCAAGGTGAGACTTGGGTTGGGACACAGAGCCAAATTATATCAGACTTCAAGAAAAAAAAAATCAAAATGCAAAAGAATTTGTTCACTTAGAATAGGAATAAGGAGCTAATTAAAATTTTTTCCAAACAACTCAGCATGTCAGTAGTATGTAAAACAGATTAAAACAGAAAAGAACCTCTCACTGATCATTAGAATAACCTAATATAATAACCTGAGTCTGTAAAAAACAAAATGAAGATGGAGAAGAAAATGTAAGCGATAGCAAAATAAACTAGTGAGAGACAAGTGAGACTAGTAAGAGAGACAAGTGAGACTAGTGAGAGATAAAAGGATGAGACATCTCTTTTATTCAATTCATCACTCTCCCACTAGAGCTCTCAGTCTAAAACAAAGACGTCACAGGCATTAAAAAAAGAAGAAAACCAGAGGCATTACACTACTCAACTTCAAACCGTACTACAAGGCAACAGTAACCAGGTACTCATACAAAAACAGACACACAGACCAATGGAACAGGTTAGACAACCCAGAAATAAAGCCACACATCTACAACCATCTGATCTTCAACAAAGTCAACATTAACAAGCAATGAGGAAAGGACTCCCTAACTCAATAAATGGTGCTGGGGTAACTGGCTAAACATATACAGAAGATTGAAACTGGACCCCTTCTTTTCACCATACACAAAAAATCAACTCAAGACTTAAATGTAAGGCCTAAAACTATAAAAGCCCTAGAAGAAAAATCTAAGAAATAGCCTTCTAGACATAGGTCTTGGTAAAGATTTCAAGATGATGTCTCCAAAAGCAATTGCAACAAAAACAAAAATAAACAAGTGGGACTTAATTAAACTAAAGAGCTTCTGCACAGCAAAAGAAACTATCAACAAAATAAGCAGACAACCTAAAGAATGGGAGAAAATATTTGCAAACTATGCATCCTACAAAAAGTCTAATATCTAGAATCTATAAGAAATATGAACAAATCAACAACTAAAAAACAAATAACCCCATTAAGAAATGGGCAAAGGACACGAACAGACACCTCTCAAAAGAAGACATACATGAGGCCAACAAGTATATTTGCTCAGCATAACTAATCATCAGAGAAATGCAAGTCAAAATCACAATGAGGTAAGATCTCACACCAGTCAGAATGGCTACTAAAAACAAAAATCAGCAAATAATAGATGTTAGCAAAGTTGTGGAGAAAAGGAAATGTTTATACACTGCTGGTGGGATGTAAATTAGTTCAGCTACTGTGGAAAGCAGTTTGGAGATTTCCCAAAGGACTTAAAACAAAACTACTTTTATTTTATTTTATGTTATTTTATTTTATTTATTTTGAGACAGAGTTTTGCTCTGTCACTCAGGCTGGAGTGCAGTGGTACAATCTCAGCTCACTGCAAACTCCGCCTATCAGGTTCAAATAATTCTCCAGCCCCAGCCTCCCAAGTAACTGGGACTACAGGTGTGTACCACCACACCTGGCTAATTTTTGTTTTGTTTTTTTTTCAGTGGAGACAAAGTTTCGCCAGGTTGGTCTGGCTGGTCTTGAACTCTTGACTTCGGGTGATCCATCTGCCTTGGCCTTCCAAGGTGCTGAGATTACAGGCATGAGCCACCACGCCGGGCCCAAAATTACCCTCTGACCCAGCAATCCCATTACTGGGTATACATCAAAAGGAATAAAAATTGTTTTACCAAAAAGCAACACGCACTTGTATGTTCATCGCAGCACTATTCACAATAGCAAAGGCATGCAATCAATGCAGTGCTCATCAACAGTGGGCTGGATAAAGAAATGTGGTGCATATACACCATGGAATACTATGCAGCCATAACAAAAAAAAATCACATCCTTTGCAACAACATGGTTGCAGCTAGAGGCTATTATCCTAAGCAAATTATCACATGAACACAAATAAGCTCCCACTTTTAAGTCCATCAGAAAATGGAAGTAACCTGTAAGTGGGAGCTAAACATGGAGTGCATGTGGACATAAAAGGGGAACAACAGACACCAGGGCCTACCTGAGAGTGGAGCATGGGAGGTGCACAAGGGTTGAAAAACTACCTAGTGGGTGCTATGCTCACCACATGGGTAATAAAATCACTTGTACACCAACCCCCAAAGACACACAATTTACCCACGTAACAAACCTGCGCATGCACCCCCAAACCTAAAATAAAAGGTGGAAGAAAAAGAGCCTTGCGATTTTCTAAAGAAAGACCAAATTTCTTAATAGCATTCATGATCCTTCAAGATCTGACCTGCCCAGTCTTCCTAAGCTCACTTCTGCCATGTTCTACTTTGTGACCACTGCATTATTCTATATTTCCTTGTTTTTACTCACACTTTTTCTTTTGTATAGGTAACTATATTTACATACACACACAGATGTACGTACTTTTGTCTCTCTAAACCTTAGTAATGTCTTCAAGGCCCAACTTAACTTCCACCTCCTTGATGAGATCATCTGAAACATTTCTTTTCAAAATTAATACTACCCTCCTCTATGATCGCATACTTTTATAGGATCTACTATAGCTCTACTATAAATTATATTTAATATAACTTATACAGGACACAAAGATAAAAATTGAAAAAAGTATGAAAGCCCTTTAAAATATAAACAAGTTAAGAATATAGTATGAGATCAGTAGTATAATTTCTCATCTCCTTAGGCATCTGACCTGTAGGTGACTTCTCCCATCAGTTACACTGACAGTGTCCCTTTATAAAGAAATACATTTTTCTTATCATAAAATCTGGGGGAAAATGTTAAGCACCTTAATGAACTAGTATGCTTTCTTTTAATATACAATAAGAATAGTGTAAGCCACCATATTATCCTTTTAGCCTTGGTTTCCAGGAAATTAAAAATTAAGGATCAAATTTTGATAACTATATTTGTCTTCATTATCTCCTTTCTTTATTCTGTCTTCCTGACTAGTTTTTGCTTTCCTTCCTTTAGTATACTGCTATCTTTCACTGTAAGCCAATTCAAATTATTTTTCAAAGTAGGCACAATCTATATTATAAAGCTCTTGAGTTATTAATTTCTAAAACATAAATCTTCTTCTAGATAAAGCTATATGAAATTATACAGAGATAAAAATGTAAGCAGAAACATAATTAAGAATCACCATTTTGTGAACATTTATCACATGCTGAGTAATTTATGTGTATAGCCTCATTTAATTCTCAAAATTCTGTGCAATGGGTGTCTCAAATGAGGAAACTGAGGTTGGCATACATTAAATAACCAGCCCAAGATCCCAAAGCTAGTGTTAGCATCAGAATTTAAATCCATGTCTTCTCAATACCATAAATAAATATATGAATACCAGAGAAACCATGCCCAAGACATATATATTTATCTCCACCAAGCATTTAACCTTTAAGATCTGCCCCCATCAACATGTATAATAAATGAATTTTAGATAATTGTTTAGTAAATAACAGAAAAATACTTATAATTTACACATGAACATAATAAACATTAATGACCCTGTACCCCAGCTAAGAAACAAAGGCAAGTAAAATAGAAAATTACTTATTTGCTTCCTATTTCTTTTACACTGGTCCTCTCTCAAGTAATTCATATTGGCAATTTCCTGTGTTATAGAAATAACTGTACCCAAGAGTATATCAAATGCTGCTACAAATACAGTCTATAAAAACTCTAGGGAAGGGAAAACAAAGGGAGTGACTATCATAAAGTGCCTACTTGAAAATACATCTTTCAAATATATTTAAAGCAACACGCAATTTTTCAAAAGCTGTATAACCACCTTTATAATGGCTTTATATGTCTATAACAATAGATATAGTAAGGATACCTGACTGCCAGTAGTCAAGTGACAAGTAAAATGAGTTAAAAATGAAGTGTTAATGGCCAAACGACTATACACTTTTAAATTCTCTTAGTCTAACAAGTAAAAATCCTAATCTATTTCATAAATGAAAGCAAAAAAAGACTTCTGCAGCCAACTACAAGACAGAATTTGTTGCTCATAGACTTTTACTATGAGAAATGTAAGTAACTTCATCAGACAGAAGAAAACATACAGAAATTTTAAATCCACACAAAAAACTGAAGAGCACCAGAATGTTAAGTATCTTGTTTAGAAAAAATTCCACAGTTTGAAATCTCTTTAAAACATAACTATCTAAAGTAAAAATAACAACAATGTACTATGGGCTTAAGATAATGCACGTAGAAATAAAAACAGTAACAACAACAGCACAAAGGACATGGCGGGAGAAATATATGTGTACTTTTATAAGGTTCTTAACCCTAAACTTGAAGTAGCATATTACTTTTAAGTTAGAGAGCACTAAGTTAATGATGCATATGATAAACTCTAGAAAAACCATTAAACATGTAAAAAAAAAAGTGTAGTTAATAAATCAAGAGTATGTGTAAAATTAAGTCATAACAAATATTCAATTAATCCAAAACCAGACATAAAATAGGAAAAGGAGAAAGAAAAACAGATGTAATAAATACGGAATAAACAGCAATGATAACTGCCAGAATTGTGGCAATATTAATAATTACATTAAATGTAAATAATCTAAAACTATGACTCAAAAGGCAGAGATTACAAGAATGTACGAAATATAGCAAGACTCCATTACAATCTGTCTACAAAAAAATGCAGAGGGTCAGCAAACTTTTTCTTGCAAGGCCACATACTGAAAATTTTAGACTTGTAAGCCATTTGGTCTCCATGATAACTACTCAATTCTTCACCTGTAACTTGAAAGCAGACACAGGGAATGTGTAAAGACAAGGTGTGCCACCATTCCGATAAAACTATAAAGTCAGGCAGCCAGCAGATAGGCAATAGTTTGCCAGCCCATGACACAAAAATAACCCTATGCAGAAAAAAAAACTCCAAAAAAATGAGAGCTAAATTAATATCAGACAAATTAGACTTTATAAAAAGAACAGTAACCGGAAGAAGGGATGCTTCTCATATGAAGAAAAAAAATCAATTCATCAAGAAGGCACAGCAATCCTACATGTGAATGCATCTAATAATAGCTTTGTAAAGCAAGAAGCAAAGCCTATACAAATGAAAGAGAAATAGACAAATCTACAATTTTTGTTGAAATTTCAACACACCTGTCTCAGTAGATTAAAAAGACACCTCCCCCCATATAAAAAAAATCCACCAATAAGAATATAGAAGATTTGCCAGGCACAGTGGCTCATACCTGTAATCATAGCACTTTGGGAGGCTGAGGAAGGCAGATCACTGAGGTCAGGAGTTTGAGACCAGCCTGGCCAACATGGCAAAACCCTGTCTCTACTAAAAATACAAGAAAATTAGCTGGGTGTGGTGGCACGCAGCTGTAGTCCAAGCTACTCGGAGGCTGAGGCACGAGAATTGCTTGAAACCAGTAGGCAGACGTTGCAGTAAAGCAAGATCGTGCCACCGCCCTCCAGCTTGGGTGACAGAGTGAGACTCTGTCTTACAAAAGAATATAGAAGATTTCAGCAACACTATCAAACAACTTTACTAAATTGTTATTGGGGCATACATACCATCCAACAGCAGAAAATATAGCCTTCTAAAAGCGTACAAGAAACAGTCATCAAGCTAAGAGTATCTGAGATTGCAAAAGAAATCTCAATAAATTTAAAGGACAAATTATACAAAGTATGATATCTGATCACGGTAGAATTAAAAATAAATAAAACTATACATCAGAATAATAATACCTAAGTATGTGGAAACTTATTCCAAATAACCTATAGATCAAAGAAGTCACCAAGAAAATTAGAAAATTTTTGAGCTAAATAAAAATGTAACATATCAAAATTTATTAGATATAGCTAAAACAGTGCTTTAGAGAAATGTATAACATTAAAAGACTTATATTACTATAGAAGCTTTCAATTCAATGACCTTAGGTTCCACATTAAGAAACTATAAAAGAAGAGCATGTTATACTCAAAATAAGTCAAAGAAAAAATATAACTAGAACAAGAGGGAAAAAAACAAAGATACAAAACCCAATAAAACAATACTGGTGAAATCAAATGTTGGTTAGTTCTGTAATTTATCTAGCCCGATGAAGCAAAGAGGTGTGGGACAGCTGGAGCGGCTGGAGGGAGGCAAAGAGAACCAATATAAATTACCACTAATACAAATAAAAGTCATGACTATAGATCTGCAGACACTATGAAGAGATAAGTTATTCTTGTGAACAACTTTATACCTATGAATTTGACAACTTATATTAAAAAGACAAATTCATTGAGTGACATAAACTACCAAAGCTTAAGAATAAATAGCCAATCTAAATAGTCCTATATCTATTATAAAAATTAAATTTGTAGTTACAAGCCTTCCTGCAAACAAAACCCCAGATCTGGATGATTTCACAGATGAATTCTATCAATCACTCGTGAGAGAATTACTATCAATTCTACACAATCTTTCTCAGAATTTTAATCGAGGCAGGTGGATCACTTGAGGTCAGGAGTTCGAGACCAGCCTGGCCAACATGGTGAGACCCTGTATCTACTAAAAATACAAAAAATTAGCCAGGTGTGGTGGTGTCCGCCTATAATCCCAGCTACTCGGGAGCCTGAGGCACAAGAATCGCTTGAACCCAGGAGGCAGAGGTTGCAGTGAGCCAAGGCTGCACCACTGCACTCCAGCCTGGGTGACACAGTGAGACTCTGTCTCAAAAAAAAAAACAAAAAACAAAAAAAAATTTAATGAAAGGAACATTTCAAAACCCATGAGTCAACAATATCATGGTAACAAAATCAGAAAACCATTTCAAAGAAAAGAAAACTACAGCCAAATAACCATCGTGAACGTAGACACAAAAACACTTAATATATACCAAATTAAATCCAGCAACATATTAAAAAACAAAAAAGACATCATGACCAAGTTGGTTTTATCCCAGGAGTGCAAGATTTGCTCATCAATAAAAAAAAAAAACTCAAATGACATAATTCCCCATATCAGCTGACTAAAAATGAAAAGCCACATGATGATGTCAAAAGATACAGAAAAAGCATTTGCAAAATTCAAAAATATTCATTATAAAAGCTCTCAACAAACTAGAAATAGAATTTCCTCAACCAGATATTCATAAAAGGCATCTATAAAAAACCTATAGCTAACATCATACTTAATGGTGAATGACTGCATGGTTTCCACACTAAGGTCATAAATAAAGCAAAGATGTTCTCTCTGACTACTTCTATTCAGTGTTATCATGGATGCTCAACCAAATGCAAAACAGGAAGAAAAATGAATAAATTAAAGGCATAAAGATTGGAAAGGAAGATGTAAAACTATCTCTGTTCACAAACCTCATAATCATCTACACGCAAAATCCTAAGGAATCTACCCAAAAGTTCTAATTTAATAAAGAATTTTACCAAATTCTCAGGATTTAAGATCAATATACACAAACATATTACATTTATTTATACTGGCAAAGAACAATTGAAACAATAAATTAAAACTAAAAAGAATATCATTTATAATACAAAAAGATGAGATACAAAGTAGTAAGTACATCTAAATATTTGTAAAGTGTATACTCAAAACTACAAAACATTGCTAAGATTAAAAAATAATAACAAGAGAAAAGAAAAACCTAAGTAGATACAGACATTTACCATATTTAAGTATGAGAAGATGTCTTGGTCTTCCAAATTCATCTTTCACCATCCTAATCAAAATTGTGCCTGGTTTTTTGTTAGAAAAATCACAAATTGATTACAAAACGTATATGGAAATTCAAAAAGCCTACAATAGCCAAAACAAATTTGAGACTGAAGAACAAACTTGAGAGGCCCTAAACTACCAGATTTTATGACTTACAAGGAAGCCACAAAAATCAAGGCAATATGTCATTACCATAAGAATAGACATACACATTAACAGAACATAATAGAAAGTCCAAAAATAAACCCACAAATAAACCCACATAAATTATAAAACAAATCAATAGATGATCAATTGATGTGAGACAAAGGTGACAAGATAAATAATGGAGAAAGAACAGTATTTACAACAACAGAAACAACCACACAGCCACATGAACTTTTATCCTTACTTTATATCATATGCAAATATAAGGGTTAAATCTGCAAAACCTCTAAGAAAAAAATCTTTTCTTGTCTTGGATTATGCAAATATTTTTTAAGTAAGCCACAAAAGGACAAGAAAAAACATCAATAAATTAGACTTGTACAGAATTAATATGCTATTAAGAAAATGGAAAGACAAACCGGAGCCTGAAGAAAAATATTTGCAAATTATATATCTGATAAGACTTGTACCCAGAATATATAAAGAACTCTCACATCTTAATTAAAAATATAAGCCATTTTTAAATTGACAAATGATCTTAACAGATATTTCAAAAAAAGATATAAAAATGTTCTGTAAGCACATGGAAAAATACTTAATATCATAAGGCATTCAGAAAACACAAACTGAAACCACAGTAAGCTACCACTATCCATCTACCAGATTCAAATCAAAAAGACTGACAACACCAAGTATGGAAGAGGATGTAAAACAACTGGACCTTTCACACATTTCTTATATGAACACAAAGTGACACAGCCACTTTAGAAAACAATTTGGCAAATTTCTTATAACAGGCACTAAACACACATTTACCCACAGGTAGGTCTCAGCACTCTCAGTACCCAACGGAAATGAAAACATAGGTTTATGCATTTTTACTAAAAATAGTGTACAGATGGAAACATCCCTACTGGAAACAACTAGAAACAACAGATTCCTGCTTAATTCTAGTTTCTTCACTTTATTTAATAAAAAAAAATAACTGTGTCACCACTATAAATGAAGCACTACACTAGATCACCACTTTTTTGCCTTTGCTCCCTTCCCACTGCGGCAGATGATCTTTTTAGAACATAAAAGAAATTATGTCACTCCCCTAGCCTAAAGTCTTTCAATGGCTTCCCACTGCTCTTGTAACAGAATCCAAACTGTTTCTCACAGTCGACAAAACCTGAATAAATCTTACTCATGTCTACCTCACCAATGTAATCATGTTACTCTCCCCTTTGCTCATTAAAGGATCCAATCACTCAGATTTTAGTTGGTTTCTAAATAGGCACACTTTCTCCCAACTCCCAGGCCTTTTGCTCACTGTTCCTTCTTTCTAACATGCTCTTAACTGGCTCTTAGCAGGACTGACTCTTTCTTATACTTCTCAGTTTGAGTTGCTGCCTCTTCAAAGAGGCATTCACTGACTACACTACCTAAAATACCGTATGTCTCCATTATTCTGGATAAAAATACATTATTTCATTCCTAGCACTACATAATCTATACTTGATTTGTGTGTATACAATCTGTCTCAAATTAAAATAAATAAATGTGTGTGTGTGTGTGTGTGTGTGTGTGTGTGTATACACATACAAGCTGAAGGACGGTGGAGCTTGTATTGTAGCTCTGCACTCCATTATATACCCTAGTACCTGCCTCAGTGCCTGATAGATAACAGTTTGCAACTGTCATGCAAGAAAATGTCCCCTCCAAAACGGGACTCAACAAATGAGTTGTCAAATGTCCAAGATATCCTAGTTGCTGATGAATTAATTACTACAATGTATACATCCCAGTTAGATGTAATACTCAGATTCTAACAAAATAATAAACTCCATTTTTACCATAAAACTTAAGTCGCTTTACAAGTTATCCTCATTTTAACATGTATGTGTATATATGTATACACACACTATGTATACATATATCTACATACACACACATACACATATGGCAAAAAAATTATAGAATATAATTACAAAGAAATAAACTCAATCACATCAAAGTGTAACTCACAAAAGTTACATGAGAGTTAACATGCACATCATTTCTAACCTTTTATATCCTAATTGTAAACAATACTTGAATATCTGGGGTTTTAAGAATTAAGTGCTTTGATATAAAACATAACTTTATTCTAGTTATTTGCTTCAATTCTAATGCAACTGTGTAATGAATGACTTTCAAATGAATGAATAAAAGATAAAGATTATATGAGAAAAACTAATATCTATATTCCTTTTTTATCCGAATCTCAAAATTCAGCCATAATTATAACTGCACTTTGTGAAATAAAATCTGCCCACCTGAATCACTGTTATACATAATGTTAAATGAGGTTATTATGTAAGTTCTCAAATAGAGCACACTGAAGAGAGTATTTTTATATTATGAATATAACTCATAATATAAAAAGTTATTGTTTCTAGACGTTTTAAAATGCAGAATTTAAATATATACTAAAATATTTTTGTAATTATTCCTAATCTTCATAATGTTTTTCTGAAGGCTAATTTTCTCATTATTTTTGTTTTTCAAAAATAATGACTATATGACTTGAATTAAATAATATTTCATTATTGTATCATGCAATATTATCTTACTTGTTAGAGTAATGTAATGCTTTAGTCCACATAAAAGAAAACTGACAATATTAAAAAAAAATGGAAAGTAGTTGTATATACTGTTTGTTAGCTTTTGTTAAAGATATCTGGGATGGAACACAGAACCATGCCAGGCAGTTTCAAAATCCCTCTTTTTTGCCTCCTCCCATCTTCCTATGTCACCACTCAATACCACTGCCAAATTCACCTTCCTAAAACACCACTTAGATCACAATACTTAGTTTCTCAATAACTCATTATTAAATGAGTTTTATGATCTGAATAGCTACATTATTTCAATTATCTTATTATCTGAAATCCTGTAATAGCTTCTCACAGAACTACTAACCAGATTCAAATCAGATTCAATGGGGTTAAATGGAAAGAGATCTAGGCCCCTGCTTTGTGTGTGGTTTTTTTTTTTTGTTTGTTTTTTTTTTTTCAGATCTCGTTGCTTTTTGTTGAGAAGGGAGGCGGCAAGGCAAGAGCACGATGCTGAAGCACTGGAGAGTGGGGCTCTGGGGTCAGTGCTGGATCAGAGGCAAGAGGAGGTGATGATGCGGCCCTGTCCTGAGTGACACCAACCCCTCCCCAGTACTACACCTGCAGCTGTGTCCTGGGCTTCATTGCCTGCTCCATCTTCTTGCAGATGAGCCTGAAGCCAAAGGTCATGCTGCTGACAGTGGCCCTGGTGGCCTGTCTCGTGCTCTTCAACCTCTCCCAGTGCTGGCAGCGGGACTGCTGCAGCCAAGGCCTGGGCAACCTCACTGAGCCCAGTGGCACCAACAGGTAGGGCCCCGCCCCTGTCCCCACATTGGCCTGTTTGTCTGGTGTCTGCTCCCACCAAGAAGCTTCTGTGTTTGCAGGGAGTAGGCACCTTGCAGAGTGGGGCTGGCAGATGGCCTGGCTTTCATCTCACAGTAAGGACTGAGGCTTGCCCTGGTCCCAGTAGACCCCTGCTTTTAAGTAGAGATTCTGCTAAAACCTTTTAGCAGAAGTACATTAGTTTAGTGAGCTAGGTACATCAGTTTACTTCTTCTCCAAGCCCCAGTTTCCAGATCTTTAAAAAATAATATTCATCAAAATTATATGACCTCTAAGGCCTTCTGGTTCTATGATGCCAAAGTAGTACAATAATCTACTAAGAAGACAACTGTGAAGTATGCAACAACTTTGGCATCAGAGTACATAATGAATTTAGAATCTGAAGGCCTAAAAGTGGTAAAAATCAAACAAAAAAAATGTTTTAAGACTGCAAGTATGGCACAAATAGATTGCAAAAATTACCAGATGAGGTAAAGGAAAAAGAGAAGATTCACTTGTTCAAAACTTGTTTGAGAGAAATAAAAAATACGTGACTAGAACAACAAAATAATGTTCTCTGGTCCCTACAATTCACAGAACCTGCTTGAGATAAAAAAAAAGTTTTTTTGCTAATAACAGGAAAGGAATGTAACTTCCCAAATAACTGTGTTTATATCCTAATGAGAAGGTGTTTACAAAAATTTCTATTTTAAAAAGCTTTCAACAAAAATTAAAAGCAGCAAATAATAACAATAAACGGGTCAGGCATTTAACTCATGCAGTTGAGAATTTCTAAAAAGCAAAACTGAGTAAATAAAAAGAAATTATACATGTTAAAGCAGAATTTAATGGATCAGAAAATACAAAGATTAAGTGAGTCACAGGAGAAAAAAGAATGACATATATGACCCTGAGACAAAAGGAAAAAAAAGAACTGAAAATTAAAAACTAAAAGCAAAATGTAGCAAACAGATTTTTCTTATAAAATACATGTTTAGGCAGGGCACAGTGGCTCACGCCTGTAATCCCAGCACTTTGGGAGGGCAAGGCAGGTGGATTACTTGAGCTCAGGAGTTCAAGACCAGCCTGGCCAACATGGTGAAATTCCGTCTCTGCTAAAAATAGAAAACTTAGCCAGGCATGGTGGCACACACCTGTACCCAGCTACTCGGGAGGCAGAGGCAGGAGAATCGCCTGAACCTGGGAGGCAGAGGTTGCAGTGAGCCAAGATTGTACCACTGCACTCCAGCCTGGGCAACAGAGTGAGACTCTGTCTCAAAAAAAAAAAAAAGATACATGTTTAATTCATGCTAATAAATGTGTATAAAGGAAAAAGAAACTAAAGTGAAATATGTCCGAAGTGTATCTCTGAGCTGTGGGCTTATAAATCTTTTCCATTTATCTTTATATTTTTTCCTATTCCACAAATTTTGTAAAATGAATATTTTACAATCAGAGGGAAAACAGTAAGTTTCTAGGGGTGGGGGCTAGATATATCTCTCAGGGTTGGGTTATATACAAACACTGGACTATAAACTTCTAATGATAAGTTCCACATTGGTCTTGTTGACCATTCTATGAGAAGCACCTAAATAGTATGCACTGAAATATTTGAAACTATTATATATCTATTAAGCAAGTATTTCATATCATTTGTGTGATGTCAGTATATTTGTAAGTAGCTTTAAAATAACATTTAAATATTTAGTTTTCAACCATCTACCCCTTATAGTCTATTAACTATCTATTTGATAAAAGAATTCTTACTAACTCTTCCACAAAAATAACCTATCCCTAAAGTACACAATCAGGAGCCAACCTAATGCCATTCAATTCTCGAACTCTAGTTCCACTCCATAATATCCTAAGCAGTCTCTTACTTACAAAATTTCTTTTTTCAATAATGTAGAAATTATCAAGTTTCTAATAAGAACATAAAATAAAGGCTAATTAAAAGAAGGTGACTGAGTCCAGGAAGGCACTAATTAAAGATGATATACAGCCAGGTAAAAAAGAACAATTCACAGGCACAAGACTATATAACCATTGTTTTATTTTCAAATGTTATACAAAATATACTTTACTGAACTATAATTGATCATTAATAGTGGCACAGTCTTTAGATTTGGAATAACTTGGAAATAAATCCCAACCCTGTCACTTACTAAATCCATAATTTGGCATGGAACTTTTCAGAATAACACCGCCTATCTCACAGGATAGCTGCAGGACTAAAGACTCTACCACATGTAAAGTACTCAAAAGTGACTCACTTAGGCTATTTACTTGGTATGGCTTGAATGTGTTCCCACAAAAGACATATACTGGAAACTTAATCCCCAATACAACATTGTTGGGAGATGGGTCCTAAAGAGAGGTGATTAGGCCATGAGGGTGGAGCGAGTTGATTAATGCCACTATCATGTGAGAGGGCTCCTTATCAGAAGAATGGGTTCCCTATAAAAGGATGACTTAGGCCCCCTCTTGCTCTCTCTCCCACCCTCTCTTTGCTCTTCTGCCATGGGATGACACAGCAAGAAGGCCCTGATGAGATACCAGCACCTTGATATTGGACTTCCCAGCTTCCAAAACTGTGAGCCAATAAATTTCTGTTCATTACCAATTACCCAGTCTGTACTATTCTATTATAGTGGCATAAAATGAACTTTAAAAGTACTCAATAAATTTAAGTTGCCTTATTTTTCCAGTATGACATGGGCAGCCAGAACTAAATACGGAGGAAAACTTACTGGGAATAGTATCTATGACTTCAACTTCACTGGCACTATGCACTGATAAACAGATATAAATGACAAGTGATTAATACTGCTAAATATCAGAGCAATACTGTATTAAAAATTAAAAAAATTATAGATAGTAAAAAATCACAAAGAATGTTTTGGATAGTCATAAAATTTAGTTATTTCCTTTATCATACAACTGCAATAGCACACCTGTGAGTAATTAAGCTTAAGTAAAATATCAAGTAGCCTAAAATGAATATTCCCTGAAATGAACATACATACCTAAACTTAGCTTCCATAAATATGTTTTAGAAATTCTTAGGAGTAGTACGAGATCATTATGTAGTTCAAATGTGAACTACCAACTATGGGCATTGCTTCTGTTTTCCATAATCTATAGCTTAAACTATATATAGAAATTAATATCAAAAAATTTTTGCTAGCAATAAGATTTGCATTTGAATGTCATATTTATATGCACTAACATTAATAATTCTGTTTATATCAATATTATATCCATATCAAACACTTGTTTTTACTGTTTGACAACGAAGTCACAGCAAGTAATAGCAAGAATTTGTATATTATAGTATTCAAGGTGTGGTTAGTCAATTACTTATTCATTTAAAAGTCTTGAGATGGATCTAATTAAACTTTCTCAATTTATAGATGAGAAGGTGAAATTATCTCAGTGCTCCTCTACAATCCATTTCCCAGATCTATTTCCTTTTCCATTTACTATTTTGCTGCTTCTCTTCCCTGCTTAAACTTACAGGACCTCCTCCACCATTCTTACTCTTATTGATGAAAGGCAACTTTGATATGTTCTATCTATTAACCCTGTAGGGTTACCAAAATAATCTGCCTTCCCTTCTCTTGTGGATGAACTACCCTCAGGACTATACAGAGCCCACCTTCCACCTATGTCCTCTGCCCTCTACATTCCATACCTGTTCCCCTCCTCAAGAAAACTGCTACAAGACTCGTTCCTGACCTTTGACCTGCTAGATCATTCGCTTCAGCATGCAAACACAGTAAAATCTATCCCAACTTAAAAAAAAAAAATCATTGGCTCCACTTCATCCTTGAGCTACTAGCCCTTTTTTTAAAGAAATGGGGTCTTGCTCTGTCACCCAGGCAAACATGGCTCACTGCAGCCTCAAACTTTTTGGCTCCAGTCATCTTCCTAACTCAGCCTTCCAAGTAGCTAGGACTACAGGTGTGCACCACCACACCCAGCTTATATATATATATATATATATATATATATATATATATATTTTTTTTTTTTTTTTGTAGAGACCCAGTCTTGCTATGTTGTCCAGGCTGGTCTTGAATTCCCATTCCCGGACTCAACTTATCCTTCTGCCTTAGATTCCCCAAGCTGCTGGGATTACAGGCACGAGCCACCATGCCTGGCCCATCTATTTTTTTTTTTTTTTTTTGAGACAGGGTCTCCATCGCCCAGGCTGGAATGCAGTGGCACAATCTCGGCTCACTGCAGCCTTGATCTCCCAGGCTCAAATGATCCTCCCACCTCAGCCTCCCAAGTAGCTGGGACTACAGGTGAGCACCACCACACCTGGCTAATATTTGTTTCGCTTTTTGTAGAAATGAGGTCTTACTATGTTACCCAGGCTGGTCTTCAAACTCCTAGCCTCATGTGATCCTCCTGCCTTGGCCTCCCAAAGTACTGGGATTATAAGCATGAGCCCCATCTACCTTCTTTATTGAGTCCTCCTCAGCCCTGGACTTATAAAATTTGAATTGTCTCTGTTTTCAGTACTTGCATCTCTTCTCTATTCACATTCACCCCTAAATGACCTCATTCAATCTCAAAGCTTTTTTAGTATCAACAAGATACTAATAACTCACAAATGTATATATTAACCTCAGACCATTTTGCAGCCTCATATATTTAACTTACTTCTTGTCATCTCCTCTTAGCTGCACAACAGGCATATAAAACTGAACAGGGCCAAGAACAAACTCTTGATCTTCTGCCTATCCCACCTGCAAATTAGATCCTCTAGCGAGCTTTCTAGTTTCACTCAATGGCACTTCCATCCTTCTGATCAGTTAGGCCAAGAACTTAACTCCTGACTTTCTCATGCCCCCACATTCAAATGTCTAGCAAACTGGGTTGTCTGTACCTTCAAAATATATCTAAATTCTGGTCAGTTCTTTCTACTTGCACTGCTAGCACCCTGATCTAAAAGAGTATTCCTCCCTTGTCTGTGTTACTGAAAAAATCTCCAGGTGGTGTCTCTGCATCCACCCTCACCACCCAGGATCTGGTTTATTCCGAAATACCAGTTTTAACAGGATCAATGTGAGTGCTAAGCAGATCATGTCTCTCCTCTACTCAAGACACTCCAGCAGCTTCCCAACTCTGTTCTAATAAAATCCAAACTTGTACAGCACTCTACATGATCTGTCCAACCCCCAGAGCTAGGAGCTAATCTACCACCTCATTTCTGCTCCAGCCATACTCTTGCTTGGACAGTGGGACAGCTCATTTTTGACTCGGGGTCTTTATACTTTCTGTTCCCTCTGACTGATATCCATATGGCTCTCTCCCTTCAGTTAACTCTTCCCATGTCATCTTATCAAAGAGGTTTTCCCTAACTTACCTTACTTGAAACAGCTCTCAACACCCTAGAACTCATTCTATCTTTCCCTGCATTATGCTCTCCACAGAAATTTCCACCTTTTGACATACTATGTATTTCAGGTGTATGCTTTATTTCCTATCAACTGTCCCTAAAATGTAACCTGTGGGAGAGTAGAGAGTTTTGTTGCTTTGTACACTACTATACCTCCAGTACTTGGCACATATTTTCCATTCAATAAATAATGTTTCAATAAATGAATTTAGTCATTCAGCAAATATTTACATAGTCTAATTCCAATGAGCTGGGAATCAGAAAGATGGATAAAACATAAAAACAATACTTGAAGACATCAGAGAGCTACCAAGAAAACTAGGACTGCAAAGGCAGATCAAGAGAGAAAGGAAACCCAGAGATGTAAGCCCAGACTTTAGGCTACTTTCCCTCTCAAGATAAATGCCCACTGTAAAAACAACAGTTGGAGGGCTGAGAACCTGAACAAAGATTTTAATATGCCCATGAAAACAGTGAGACAAAGCTAGGGTTCACAGACTTCCAAGAATTGTTGCAAGTAAGTATACCCCAAAAGTAAGGGTTACAAAAAAAGGCCAAATATATTAAGTAGAAAGAAGGCAGTAGCAACAGACCATATTGTATGATTCCATTTAAAATATGTAAATCTGTAGATTACTGGACTGCCAGGGGTTGATGAGATGAGGAAATTGGGAGATGAGGGGTTTCTTTTTAATGTAATGGAAGTATTCTAGAATTAAGTAGATGATGATTATACAACATTGTAAATACAGAGCTGCATTATGCCCTCTGTATGCATAGAGTCTCTGTGTATGGATTCAAACAACTATGGATCAAAAATATTTGGGGAATAAATGGATGACAGTGTCTGTAATGAACATACACAAACATTTTTCTAGTCACTATTTCGTAAACAACACAGTATAACAACTATTTACACAGCATTTACATTGTATAGGCCATTATAAGTAATCTAGAGATTATTTAAAGGATATGGGAGGATATGCATAGGTTATATGTAAATATTAAGCCATTTTCCTTAAGGGATTAGAGCATCCGTAGATTTTGGTATCCATGGGAGGTCCTGAAACTAATCTCCCAAGGATACGAAGGGAAAATTGTATACTAAAACCACTAAACTGTATACTTTTAAATAGTTAAAATGGTGAACTATAGCTATTGTGAATTTCATTTCAATTAAAACAAAAACCGATATAGGTAAGTCCTTGCAGAGACCAGGCACAACTTCAAATCATCCCTATTCTTAGTTGGATTGTAACAATCTGTGACTGCCAGGGTCCCAAGCCTACACACCAGCACCAGCGTAAATCAAAAGTAATCTTCTCTCAAGGAAGATAACAGTATCCAAAGCCTCAAATTGCGTTTACAATTTTTATATACTTTATTCAGACATCAATAAAAAATAGCCAGCCATACTAAATGATTAGAAGTGAATAAAAGCTAAGGAAAGCAACAGACATATAGGGTCCTAGATAATGAAGCAGATACACAAATGACTAGATAATGAAGTTATCAGAACCAGAACATAAAACAATAATTACTAATGTGAAAAACAAGATTGAGGGCTGGGCACGGTGGCACAGACCAGTAATTCCAGCACTTTGAGAGGCCAATGCGGGCAAATTGCTTGAACTCAGCAGTTCCAGACCAGCCTGGGCAACAGGGTAAAGCCCCATCTCCACCAATACAAAAAAAATTAGCTGTGGCACAGTAGCATGCACCTGTAGTCCCAGCTATTCAGGAGGCCGCTGCAGGAGGATCACTTGAGCCTGGGAGGTCAAGCCTACAGTGAGGTGAGATCACGCCACTGCACTCCAGCATGGGTAACAGAATGAGACCCAGTTCAAAAACTAACAAACAAAAAAAGATTGAAGATTTCAGCAGAAAACAAAAAACCATAGAAGAGTATAAAACATACTTTCCACAACTGAAAAATAAGTGAATTTGATAATTCAATGGTAGGTTTAACAGCACATTACATACAGTTGAAGAAGTAATGAGTGAACTAGAATACACATCAAAAAAAATTCAGTCATATGGACATAGTAAGGACATAAGGATAAAAACAGAGGGGGGAAAAAAGGATGTGAAATACAATGAATAGGGCTATCATACCTATAATTACACTTCATGAAGGATAGGAGAAAGAAATAAAGAAGCAGTGTTTGAACACAGAATTACAAACAAATTTTCAAGGCCAGTTAAATAAATTAAGCTATAGATACCAGAATCATTTCTGATCTATCATCCATTTCACTAGTACAAAAAAAAAATCACATCTACACACATCAGAGGAAAAGTGCTAAAAATCAGAATTGTTTTAAAAAGTGACGAGAAAAAGATGTATTACCTTCAAAGAAGCAGCAACATATTGTTCGAAAACTGAAATAACAGAAGTCAGATGACAACACAAGTCCTCTACCACAAATACAAAAATCAGCCAGGCGTGGTGGTGCATGCCTGTAATCCCAGCTATTCGAGAGGCTGAGGCAGGAGAATCCCTTGAATCCAGGAGGTGGAGGTTGCAGTAAGCCAAGATCGTGCCACTGCACTCCAGCCTGGCCTGGGCAACAGAGTGAGACTCTTTCAAAAACTTTAAAAACCTAGGAAAGAAAATAACTGCCAACTGTTATTCTATATCTAGGAATATATCCTTTAAACGTGAAGGAAAAATTTAAAAATTGCAGAGAAAGAAAAAGAGACTGTAAAAAGTAGATTTCCAACAAAGAAAATACTAAAATCTATGTTTCAGGCAGAAAGTAAATGAGCCCAGATGGAAGCTTAGACATGCAGGAAGAAATAAAGGCTAGAAAAAGGAAAAACACATGGATAAATCTAAATACATATTTACTATGTTTATCAATAACAATGATGTCCAGAAGAGCTTTAAAAGATGGAAAAGATTAAAATATATCAAAAACAATAGCACTGAATTTGGGAGAAGGATAAATGAAATTAGTGTTTGAAGATCCATGAATTGTCCAGAAAATGATAAAAGTATAAATTTATTTTACCCTTTAATAAATCAAACATGCATGTTATAATATCTAGGGTTACCACTAAAAGAATAGCAAAATAATAATTTTTTAAGGTTAATAAAGGGGGATGCTGAATAAAAATAAAAGACATGTACATCCAAAAGTAGTGGGAAAAAAAAAGAAAAATGTACTGAACCGACATGACAAATAAAAAGCTACTTGGTAATATGGTATGTTTAAATTCAAACACGTCAATAATTACACGTAAAGAGACTAGACCCTCCAATTTAAAGACAAGAATTGGCAAACTGGACAGATAGATATATACATTTTTAAATACATATACTTTTTTTAAACAAAAGATCAACCACATGCAGCTTATAAGAAATGAAGAAATACACCTTATACCTAAGGAAAACTACAGAATGTAACCCATGGAGGCTATGAAATGGTTCCTGTCTCTTCCAAGAGTTTAAAATGTGCAAAGTAATTCATAAACACAAAACAAAAAAGGGAAGCCTAAAATAATTATGCATACACATATCTGGAAGTATAAACTCTTTTCTAATCTCTGTCTTTTGCCTAACTTATTCTCATTTTTCAGGTCTAAATATGTCACTTCCTCTGGTAAGCTATCCTTGACTCTTCCTTAACTAGTTAACTGAATTAAGTGCTCCAGCTAGGTGCTTCCATACCATCATAACAATTATCAAGGATACTGTAAGTAACTGTTTCACTTTCTGTCTTCTCCACTAGAGAAGAAATGCTCTAATACCAAGGAATCAATCTCCATTGGGTCAAGAACTACAAAGGGTCTGATATTTTACCCTACTTGCAAGCTAACAAATTAGCCTGATAGTTCCATAGACAGCAAAATATCTAAGTTTACAGGGTCAGAGATTAAAGGTTTCATTATTCATTGCACAACAGACATCATGACCTTCATGTTTGTATTGGTCCCCTCTCTCCTCCAAAGTCTCACAGGGTTAAAGCAGAAGCAAGACAGGTGGATGCTGCACACACACAGTGAGTTTGCATCACAGAGAAGGAACCACAAGCTTTGAAAACTCCAGTCTTTTAAAGGAGCTGCCAGAAAACCTGTCCAACCTTTGCCTCAGAGGGAAACATCTTTATTATCATGGTCAGAAAAAAAAAAAAAAATCTGCCCTGTGCCAAACGTATGTCTGTTTCTCAAGGCTGTTTCCTGCACCAAAATCCCTGAAAAGATAGTCCAGAACAAATGCTAATACAAGACATGCAAAAATGCCATGGGAAATCGTCTGCCCAAATACAGTTTACCATTTCACATGTAACAGTATAATGCTTGGCACATAGTTGATAATCAGTATCAACTTAATGCATTATAATATATAATAAATAAGGTAATAAAAAACTGGCAAAATACTGTCATCATAAAACATTAAATCATGTCTTAATTCTCCTAAGCTTTTAAAAAATAAGACAAAAGCTCTATTTTTATTCTATCATGTGCATAGCTGCATTATGTCTACTTTGGAAATTCACACTGTTCTATTAATATCCTTTTCGATGCTTAAATTCAAATGTCCAGACAAACATTATTTGTTATAAATCCTCTTCTTTTGGATCTTTAACCAGATAGCACCTTCATCTTCATCATGTCATATACCAAGTGGGATTACTATGATCATTTTATTAAGTAGTGGACTTGCTGAAATATATAAGCTAATGCACAGATCGAATAAATGCACTGGTATTTTCTACAGAGAGAAAAATACAGCGATATCCCCAATCCACAAGAACTGCTTCCAAAATGGGATATTAGAGCCTCAAAGGGCATAAATGAAAAAAGAAACTAGTCAAGAGGCAGTAACAAAGTTTGTCAGTGGTAGCAGCATACCAGAGTCTAGTTGTCCAGTGCTTTTTTCCCCCTTTAACTTCCTTTTCAATCACAGCAAACTATTTCAAACATTCAGCAATTTACAAAAGACTTGAAGACCATATGAATGATCTACATTAGAAGACAAAGCATCCAATATAACACCGTGGCAATTCCTCAAAGACCTAGAGCCAGAAATACCATTTGACCCAGCAATCCCATTCCTGGGTATACACCCAAGGAATATAAATCATTCTATTACAAAAATACATGCACACGTGTGTGCACTGCAGCACTATTCACAATAGCAAAGACATGGAATCAACCCAAATGCCCATCAATAATATACTGGATAAAGAAAATGGGGTACACATATACCATGGAATACTAATGCAACCATAAAAAGAAACAAGATCATGTCCTTTGCAGGGACATGGATGAAACTGGAAGCCATTATCCTCAGCAAACTAACACAGGAACATAAAACCAAACACTGCATGTTCTCACTAATAAGTGGGAGCTGAACAATGAGAACACATGGACACAGGGAGGGGAACAACACACCCTGTCAGGGTAGGGTGGGAGGAGGGAGAGCATCAGGATAAATGGCTAATGCGTGCAGGGCTTAATACCTAGGAGATGGGTTGTTACATGCAGCAAACCACCATGGCACACATTTACCTATGTAACAAACCTGCACATCCAGCACATATATCCTGGAACTTAAAATAAAATTAAATTTTCTTAAAAAAAGACGACAAAGCATCCCACCAAATCTAAATGAGATAAAAATTAAAGTTAAGAAATAAAATGTATATGGATGACAAATTCAGAGTGTAATGTTCCCAAACTACATGGGAACATATAAACAATCACAAACTTGATGCAATTAAAACCATTTAAATTATTTCCATATCTATGAACTGAAATGGAATTTTTATTTAGAGATCTCTTTATCCTTCCTAAAATCAAATGTGTGCACATTAAAAGTCACCTAGTATCTTTGGGGAGACAGGCTGGGCAGCTATTTGTCTAGTTCATGTTTCATCCTTTTACTACTTGGGCATTTCTTGTAAAAAGCATATACCTGCATTTTCTTTTTCCCACATTATAACCTCAGTCACATACTGCATACCCTTTCTTTCTTTTTTTAAGATGAGGTCTCATTCTGTTGCCCAGGCTAGTGCAGTGGCATGATCATGGCTTGCTGCACCGCATAATCAATTCTCTTACCTCAGCCCCCCTGAAGTAGCTGGGCCTACAGGCACACACCAGCACACAGGCTAATTTTTATTTTTGGTTTTTGTTTTGTAGAGATGAGGTTTCACCATATTGCCCAGGCTCATACTATTTGTTTTGATTATTAATATATCCAACTTTTTACCATCTTTATGTTTTCTGTTGATTCAAGTTTTTCTATGCATAATTTTCTTCTTTCTTGCCATCTTTGGATTGAGTGTGTGCATTCTTCGTTCATTGTACTGTGGCTGGAGAACGCTCTCTTATTATCCCTGTTCTATGAAATTTACTGAGGTTTTATTTGTTGGCTTACGGTATGTACCTTGCACAACCAACACTTCAAACGTTGAAGGAACTGGGCTACAAAGTTTTGCCTCATCCGCCATATTCACCTGACCTCTCGCCAACTGACTACCACTTCTTCAAGCATCTCGGCAACTTTTTGTGGGGAAAGTGCTTCTACAACCAGCAGGATGCAAAAAATGCACTCCAAGAGTTCATGGCATCCCGAAACAGATTTGTATACTACAGGAATAAACAAACTTATTTCTCATTGGCAAAAGATGTGTTGATTGTAATGGTTCCTATTTTGATTAATAAGTATGTGTTTGAGCCTAGTTATAATGATTTAAAATTCACTATCTGAAACTGCAATTACTTTTGCACCGACCTGATACAATATATTTTTGTGGAGTTTTAATACAGTCATTTTCTAATGCATATGTTTAAATGAGATCATTTCTCTTTAACTATTAGAAGAGGGGACATGGGGACAGAATAGAGCTCCTAGCTTTACTGTTGTTACCAAGAAATATAAAAAAGTAAGAGCCTCTCAAGCATAGCCTCATCTCCAGTACTTTCTAAGATGCATCTTTCCTGGTCATTCACCTATTAGTATTTGGAAGATTTCCCTCCTTTACTCACAGAGTTCCTGCCCTGATGAAATTGTGTTCTATTTCTATAAATTTTTCCCCATTGTAGGACCAAACCTTATTGAGTATGTCAGAGAACACTGAAGGCCCAGGGAACCCCTATTCTCTCAGACCTTTCCACAGTCTCCTTGTACCCACAAACTGTATGTAACCTGTTAGCTCCCTACCAACTGCAACTGCTGGTCTCAGATGGGACCCCTGAGCTCCCATTCTGAGGGTACCTTTTTTGGAGGTGAACACTTGCTTGTGGTTTCTGGTTTCCTCAGATCTTAGAATACACCATAGTTTATCTTTCCTTTAACCATTCCTGGTCACTGGCTATTCCCCCATAATTCTTGCTGCTATCCATTGTTTTACTCATATTCAGTGATACGGGGATATACTGTCACCTATTTTAATTTTTAATTAACATAATAATTGTGCACATGGGGTAAAGAGTGATATTTCAATGCATACAATGTATAATGATGAAATCAGCACAATTAGCACATCTATCACTTTCAACATTTTTCACGTCTTTGTGTTGGAAATATTCAAAATCCTCTCTTCTAGCTATTTCAAAATATACAATAAATTGTTAACAATAGTCACCCTACAGTGCTCCTCCTATCTAAATGTAATTTTGTAATTACAAAATTACAATAGCCTTTTACCAATCTCTTCCTATCCTTCCTCCCTTTCCCAGCCTCCAGGAACTGCTATTCTACTCTCTACTACCATGAGATCAACTTTTTTTATCTTCCACATATGAGTGAGAACATGTGGTATTTATCTTTCTGTACCTAGCTCATTTCACTTAACATAATGACCTCCATTCCATCCATGTTGCTACAAATGACAGGATTCCACTTGTTTTTATAGCCGAATAGTATTCCATTGTGCACATATACCATATTTTCTTTATCCATTCATCTGCTGATGGACACTTAGGTTGATTCCACCTTTTGAGTACTGTGAATAGCGCTGCAATAAACATGGGAGTGCAAGTATCTCTTTCATATGTTGATTTTCTTTCATTTGGATATATCCTATGTAGTGGGACTGCTGGATCATATGGTAGTTCTATTTTCAGTTATTTGAGAAACTTCCATACTGTTGTCCATAATGGTTGTATTAATGTACATTCCTACCAACCATGTATAAGAGTTCCCTTTTCTCTGTATCCTACCCAGCATTTGTTTCTTCCTTCAGTTACCCTAGTTATTATTTTTAATAGAAGTTTGAAAAGATTTAAGAACTACGCCACAAATCAGACACATTGACAAGCACCTATAGTCCCAACTACTCAGGAGGCTGAGATGAGAGGATCACCTGAGTCCAGGAGTTCAAGTTCAACCTCAGAAACATACTAAGACCTCCTCTCTTAACAACAACAACAACAACAAAAAAAAACCAACTATGTTATCATTGCTGCCAAGTGTTTCTCAAGGCTTTTTCTTTTTTGAAATTCAAAATTACACTAAAAAACAAAAACAAAAAAGGAAAGTAAAAAAACAAATTTAATTGCTATTGATATTTTTGGTATATCTGCTTAAACTTCTTTAGGTTTTTAAAAAAACAATAATATGTGATGGCATTTTTAATGTAAAAGCATTTATCTATAAAGATAAAGCAAAATTTTCCACTTGACCTTCACACCTCCCCATCTCAACCCCTTCCCCTCTATTTCCTAAAGGATACAGCTATTAAATGCTTGCTCGATCAGTATCCCTGCATTTGTGTATGCTTTTAAAACGTGTGTGTGTGTGTGTGTGTTATATATATTATAAATATATAATCTATATAACATATATAGAGTGAATGTGTGTGTATCTCTTATAATCCATGTAAAATGTTAACAAAGTATCTGGCACATATAAATGCTTAGTAAATTGTAGGTGGTATTATTATAGCAGTTTACATGTAGATTTATTCTTTTCCTAACCAAGTTTAACATTAGCAAGCAAGCATATCTATCTTCTCCGAAACAGGACCAGAACCATAGCTTACTATTTTACTGTCCTCTATACTTCCTCTCCCAATTCCCATGTAAATTTTTCAACTATATTTGAATTTAACAGCATGTTTTACTGCTTTCTTTGTGCATCATTACATCCTGTATCCCATTATTTTCTCCTGGTTCATTGCCCTTCTTGCTAGAGTATATCCATTAATAATTCTTTCAGCAATGATCTATGAAAAAGTTTCTGAGTCCCTGTATGCCTGAAATTGTCCTTATGTCTATCTTATTCTAAAATGTTAATGTCTGGATAGGACATTACTAAATTCAAAATTATCTTCCCCTGACCCTTAAAGATATTACTGTACCCAATTTTGCTGCAGATAATCTGTTGATAATCTAAATACATATAAAGGTATGTAGACAGACAGAAGGAAGATAGATACAGACATACCGACGGATGATGGGCATCACAGTTTAGTTTCCATTGTTCTGATTACCAGTGAATGTAAGTACTGTATACTGGTTAAGAGTCTGGGCTTTGAAATAGAATGCCTGTGTTAAAATCCAGACACTGTACTTACTGGATATATAACCTTATCAAGTTACCTAAACATATAACTGTGTTCAGTCCCACATCTGTTAAGTGTGGATAATAATAGTGTCTACCTCATAAGGTTGTTGTTGTTAAAGGGAGATACTCAAACAAATGAATTCAAACCCATAAGGCTGAGTCAAAAAAAGAAAAAAAATCACAGAAAAATTCACACACAGGCTTCCACTTTTATAAAGCTTATTTTTTTAAAAAAAATCACTAATGACAGTAAGCATAAGAACAATCATGGCAAAGCAGGTATTACACAGATTTCAAAGTGAGAACACTCTGCTGAAAGAAGGTGATTTTTAAAAAAGTGGTCTAGAAGCAAAATACCTGGAGAATGTCAAGCTCTTCACTCATCATAAGGTACAGAGGACTTGTGAGAACAAAAAGCACTTAGATTTCAGGTAAGGGGGTAAAGAGAGTATTGGGGGAGAGCTGTGAGAAAACAAAATTTTTTTATTGAAAAGGAGCCAAAGGATAAATGTTTGAGGTGATGGATACCCTATTTACCCTGATGTGATTACTACACACTGTACACCTGTATCAAAATATCTAAAGTACTCCACACATATATTCCCCATATTATATACCCACAAAAATTTTTAAAAATATATTTATTGACTGACCAAACAATAGAACAAAAGAAGGATTCTTACCCCAATTTTGTTTGTTATAAATATTTATAGTATGTCTCTATTTCTACCATAAGGATATAAGCTTGGTTAGTTGTTGAGGGAAGTCAGGGACCCCAAACGGAGGGACCAGCTGAAGCCATGGCAGAAGAACATAAATTGTGAAGATTTCATGGACACTTAGTAGTTCCCCAAATTAATATTTTTATAATTTCTTACGCCTGTCTTTACTGCAATCTCTGAACATAAATTGTGAAGATTTCATGGACACTTATCACTTCCCCAATCAATACCCTTGTGATTTCCTATGCCTGTCTTTAATCTCTTAATCCCGTCATCTTCGTAAGCTGAGGAGGATGTATGTCGCCTCAGGACCCTGTGATGATTGCGTTAACTGCACAAATTGTACAGCATGTGTGTTTGAACAATATGAAATCTGAGCATCTTGAAAAAAAGAACAGGATAACAGCAATGTTCAGGGAAAAAAGAGAGATAACCTTAAACTCTGACTGCCGGTGAGCTGGGCAGAACAGAGCCATATTTCTCTTCTTTCAAAAGCAAATGGGAGAAATATCACTGAATTCTTTTTCTCAGCAAGGAACATCCCTGAGAAAGAGAATGCGTCCCTGAGGGGAGGCCTCTAAAATGGCCGCTTTGGGGGCAGCTGTCTCTTACGGTCTTAGCTGTGGGATGAAATAAGCCCCCGTCTCCTGCAGCACTCCCAGGCTTATTAGGATGAGGAAATTCCCACCTAAAAAATTTTGGTCAGACCAGTTGTCTGCTTTCAAACCCTGTTTCCTGATAAGATGTTATCAATGACAATGCCTGCCTGAAACTTCATTAGCAATTTTAATTTTGCCCCAGTCCTGTGGTCCTGTGATCTCACCCTGCCTCCATTTACCCTGTGATATCTTATTACCTTGTGAAGCAGGTGATCTCTGTCACCCACACCCTATTTGTACACTCCCTCCCCTTTTGAAAATCACTAAAAACTTGCTGGTTTTGTGGCTTGGGGGCACATCATGGAACCTGCCAACATGTGATATCTCCCCCGGATACCCAGCTTTAAAATTTCTCCCTTTTGTACTCTGTCCCTTTATTTCTCAGACCGGCCAACACTTACAGAAAATAGAAAAGAACCTATGTGAAATATCGGGGGTGAATTTTGCCCAATAGTTAGTTACATGCCTTTAACAAGTTTACATAAAAAAAATACCTCCTAAGCCACTGGCACTCTGAAAAAGGTACTATGATGCATTTCATTGGTTTGATTATAATAAGGTCTCTTGTAAAAATTGTCACTAAGCAAAAAATAACATAACTCTGGGCTACGAGAAAATCCTTCTTAGTTCTTCATAAGTACAACAAACAAGCACCTAACAGTAGAAGTAAATTGGACATGCTGCCTGAAATTACAACAATGAATGCAAATTGGAATACTAGCTTCATAGTTCTCAGCCTCAAAAGTGAGAATCTTAAAAGGTAAAAAGATTTTGGTATGACAGTTTCAGTAACACTTGGTTGGGAAAAGACTGGTAAAAATACAAAGAATAACTTTATTCTTAGTTTTTCCTAAAAATGAATTATTATGCAAAAATATAAGGGATATCATGTCTGTAACTCATAAATTACTGACATTACACAGCATAAATATTTTTAAACAACTACATTTACATGTAAGAGTTTTTGATATATTAGCTTGCTGGTCTAGAAGCAAAATAATTACCATTTTGGGAAATAATAATAAGGAAGAATGAGTTCATATATCAATGTGCAATGGAATCAAAGTATCTGCATTTTAAAACTGAAAAAGACGTTACAAACCATCTATTCGAATTGTTCCCTCATGGAGAGCCCAGCTAGGCTTTTATAGAGTCAAATGGATACTGTTTAAACTACTTTAAATATTTCAAAAAGTATCACATATCATATTCTTGAGAACTAGAACTACATGAGCTAGGTGAAACATCATCTTTTATTCTTCACTGACAATAAAGGTAATGTTGTTAATCTAGTTATCTCACTGGAAAACAAAGTCATATTTATTTAATAGAAATAACAGTATAAACTGGAGAAGAAGGTAAGGTAAGAAATAATTTTAAAAATTAAATGTTGGCAATCACGGAATCCCTACACCAAGGTCAAAAACTAAGCTAACAGACAGGTAGAATATTCAAATTTCCTGACTAATCCAGTGATCTTGCCTACCTCCACACTACTTTGAATACAGGACATAAATAATAGATTTAACAAATGTCAGATGTTTACAATAGTGACCATGGAGCAATGAGATTACTGGCAATTTTTCATTTCTTCGTCACATATATTTTTAAATGATTTGCAATGAGCATGTATACTATTTACTTAACACATAATACATACATTAATCAAAACATACACACACACGCACACACACATTTAATAGTGAGTCTTCCTAAAACAAAATCTGGTAATGTACAACTCATGTTCAGAAATATGATTTTCCCATGTTTCCTTTTCCATTCACATGATCTTGGAGTATGTTTCCTCATTTATAAAAAGAAGATAATGGATGGTTCTTACATTACGTTTCACTAATTATTGCTGGGACCACTCAATAGATAGATGTAAAAGTAAATATACTATAAATCACTTCTAAAAACCAAGGTAATTTTGATTATAGTATAAATTCTATCATGTTGACAATTATATATATACACACACACACACACAAACGCAGAGGTGAAAAGCCCAACTCCTCTGACTACCATTTCAGATATTAGCATTCAATCAATATTTATTAAACCCTAATATTGGCAAAAGTTCTATATAAGGTGGCAAGTATCTATCATGGGATGTAAAATAAATATGAATGTAAAATAAATAATAAAGACTCTATCAACAGTTTTCTAAAAATTTTATGCAATTTTATATTTATATAACAAGATTTATTTAATTATTCAGGATTGCTTTTCCAAGTAGCAAGCAACTTTTTAAGCTTTACAGTAATAATCACACTTTGTGAAGTAACAAGGTTGTAATTTGCACATTCAAGATGGTATTATATAGCAAATCTACTAGATTAGGAATGGACATAGGCCTAGATCCCAATTCTGACACAATTTCAAATTAGTATTGTGATCTTGGGTAAGTCATTTAATTTCACTAAGGTGGAATCCTTGCTTTTCCAAGCTTCAACAGCTACAAGTTAACAAATGCTCAGGCTCTGAGCTAATTCTGGTCAAGCCCAGCAGAATATCTAAAGGCTCACGTCCCATTAGCAGGTAGGACTGAGAATTCATCTTTCTGCCTTATGCTCTAATTCAGATATTCTGGGACTAAACTTTTAACCTGTTAAATAAAATTTGCAGGAGGCCATTGATTTGGACTAGGCTCCTGTACTGAGCCCAACAGACCAAACTAATATGAAGTCATTCATGCTGAATGAAACTTGAGCGTGTACTCATGTAACAAAAAGCTGAGTTTATTAGTTACAGCATCTGAGCTTCAGTCAACTGTTGACAGTCAGCTGATTAAAGTGAGACACAACACCTAGCTGTAACCAATTAAGTTGTTTTTTTTTGTCCCACTCTGTTTTCTGTCCATAAATGCTAGGTGAACAGGTAGCAGATAGTTCTTGGAACCTGTTCTAGTTCTGAGGGCTGCCTAATCGCAAATCATTGTTATTGGGTTTTTTGGTTTGTTTGTTTGTTTTTTGCTCAGGCAACCTCTGATAAAGTTAAACATGCTTAAAGTTTTTCTTTTTTTTTTTTTCTTGAGACAGGGTCTCTCTCTGTCACCCAGGCTGGAGTGCAGTGGCACAATCTCAGCTCCTGCCTCAGCCTCCTCAGTAGCTGGGACTACAGGTGCATGCCACCATGCCAGGCTCATTTTCTTTTGTATTATTCATACAGATGGGGTTTCACCATGTTGGGCAGGCTGGTCTCAAACTCCTGACCTCAAGTGATCCTCCTGCCTTGGCCTCCCAAAGTGCTGGGATTACAGGCATGAGCCACCACACCCAGCCAGTTTTTCCTTTTTAATATCCTTAATGCTTACTTGGTTTACCTAGTTGTGGAAAATGGGCTTTTACCTTTGTTTCCTGAGCTAACTCTATTCCCCTTGCCAGAAGGTCGGGGCAGAGAGAACCTAGGACTGAGGTCCCAACCACCCAACAAGCTCTCAGCAGTCCTCTCACTTCAAATGTGTGCATTCATTTCCAGCCACTGACTGACCTTGTGTTTCAATGTATAATAATTCTTTGAAATCATTAAGCTATCAACTATTCAAATACGAACATTATCATTTGCCCATAATACCTACCATGTCAGATACTTCAGATAGCAGACCCAACCAAAAACCATCCATATGCACAAGAGTCTCAGAAAAAAGATGACTTGGACTTCCAGCCATCTGCCAAGATTCAGAATTAGCAACTTTAATATTTTAGCTGAATTCCCTGTTGTATGAGGTCCCTTCCTATGCCAACTTATCAACAAGTTACCTGGTGGTCACAGTTTACAGGACTAGTTATAATGAGTTTTATTGCTCATACACAACAGTAAAGGTAGGATTTTCTCCATATTCAGGAGATTTAAAAAATTAATGATAAAAATATGGTAAATTGTATCTGAAAAATAACCATTAAAAGTAGTTACATACATAGGAGGAAATATCAATAAATAGATATTTTCCTATTTTCTTAAAAGGTCACCAAGGATGCATCATCAACACTCTCAATTGCTGGAATATTCCTATGTCTGTCTCACTCTTAACTGTCAATATGTTTTTCCTTTCATTTGAAATAAATCTCCCCTATTTAAAGCTATATTTTAATTTTCCCATTTATTAAAACAACTGATTAGTATAAACTCGTTCCACATAATTAAAATTAATGTAAGGCATCCCTTTGAATTGAATTATTTCATATAAACCACTAAACTCCATTTATTTACTTTTTTCTTATAGAACTTTTTTTTTTTTTTTTTTTTTTTTTTTTGGAGACAGAGCCTTGCTCTGTCACCCAGGCTAGAGTACAGTGGCATGACCTCGGCTCACTGCAACCTCTGCCACCCAGGTTCAAGCAATTATCCTGCCTCAGCCTCCCAAGTAGCAGGGATTTCAGGCACCCACCATCACACCTGGCTAATTCTTGTATTTTTAGTAGAGACGGGGTTTCACCATGTTGGCTAGTCTGGTCTTGAGCTCTTGACCTCAAGTGATCCACCTGCCTCAGCCTCCCAAAGTGCTGGGATTACGGGCATGAGCCACCATGCCCAGCCCCTTATGAAGCCATTTTTTATAGTTTTAGGTAATCTTTTACTGTTTCTACATATCTTTTCAAAAGAACCATAATCAAAATTGAGCTAAAATAGGGAAAAAAATGTACAGGGTAGAAATACAGTATTTCTTACAAATGAAAATTTTTGTAACAGACTAAGTGCATATTGGACATAATGTTCCGCACTATAGCTCATTTCAGGGATAGACATTATAGCCTGTCGGCACTACTCTATGTTGTAACCAGGGGTCATACTCAAACCACGAAAAACAGTCATCATTTATCTTGGTTATTTAGTTTTGGAGACTAACTTCCTCACTCTGAGTCAGAAATAGGAACTGGTAGGGATAGTCTCCACACTAATCTTTGGCAGTTTATTCCTTACTGAAAATTAGCTGAATGAAATCCTGAATAAGCAATTCATCTCTGGATTTATTCCTTCCAGCATTTATTGAGCATCTACTATATGCAAAGGTCTGTAATAGATGCAGAAAATATACCAGTGAATACAAAAATACTGCATTATACATCTTACATTGTAGCAAGGTTAAACAGATATTCATAAGTAAACAACTATTTGCAACAATGAGAAATTCTACAAAAGAGAAAACGAGGATGCTATTGGTGCATATAATCTTATCAGGAGAGGCCATGAAATAACTGAAAAAATAATATTTCGGCTGAGATCATTAGGATGAAAAGAAAGTATCCAGAGGAAGATGAACGAGAAATGAAGAGGAGAAATTAAAGCAGAAATAACAGGGTCACCAAATGAATAAGCTCTAATAAGATACGATATAAGATGGCTAGTGTGTTTGCAGTATAGATAGCAAAGTGGAGAGAGGAGCGAGTAATGAATGCAACAGTAGCAGGAGATGAGACTCATTGGAGATCATGCAAGGGCTCAGAAGTCACATTAAGAATTTCCAGCCTTGGCTGGGCGTGGTGGCTCATGCCTGTAATCCCAGCACTTTGGGAGGCCAAAGCGGGTGGATCACAAGGTCAAGAGACCGAGACCATCCTGGCTAATACGGTGAAACCCTGTCTCTACTAAAAAATACAAAAAAAAAAAAAAAATTAGCCGGGTGTGGTGGCGGGGGCCTGTAGTCCCAGCTACTCAGGAGGCTGAGGCAGGAGAATGGTGTGAATCTGGGAGTCGGAGCTTGCAGTGAGCTGAGATCATGCCACTGCACTCCAGCCTGGGCAACAGAGCAAGACTCCGTCTCAAAAAAATAAATAAATAAAATAAGTATTTCTAGCCTTTACCTTAAAAAAAGCAAGAATAAACACTGAAGGGCACTATTCCCCTCAAATACCTCGTTACCAAGTCAAATGTTTAACTCTTATTTATGTATTTCATCCTAGCTCCTTTTCTCCCCATTAAGGGACTACAGATTCCAAAATTATTTGCTTCTTGGCCGGGCGTGGTGGTCAGGAGTTCAAGACCAGCCTGTCCAACATGGTGAAATGCCATCTCTCCTAAAAATACAAAAAAGTAGCCAGGCATGGTGGCATGTGCCTGTATTCCCAGTTTCTCGGGAGGCTGAGGCAGGAGAACAGCTTGAATCCAGAAAGCAGAGGTTTCAATGAGCCGAGATCATGCCACTGCACTCCAGCCTGGGTGACAGAGCTAGACTCTGTCTAAAAAAAAAAATATATATATATATATATATATATACACACACACACACACATATACACACACACACACACACACATATATATACACACACATATACACACACATTTTTCAAACACTTGGTGAAATATATAAATTTAAAAATTCAAAAAACTTGTCAAAAAGACAAGGTTCAGCAGCCAAATACCTGTAAATCAAGGGTAGAGGAAAGCTTAAAAAAAAGGCAGAGAATAAAAGTCATATTACATATAGAAAAACAATGACTGAATGACTACTTTCTTCTCATCAGGAAAAAAAAAAAAACAACCATAAGACAGTGGTACATTTTTTAAATGCTGTCAATTCCAATTCCTACACCCAAAATATATCCTTTAAAAGAACAGTCAAATAAACACATTTTTAAATTTAAAAGAAGAAACTTAAAAGAATTGGTTGCCAGCATGTTTTTTAAAAGTGCTTTTATAAGGTTCTTCAGGCTGTAGGGAAATGATACAAGACGGAAACTTATTCTGGAAGGAACAAAAAGTAAAAGAAATGGCATGCATATTGGTAAACATAGAATAATATATGTCCTTAGTACATCTTTAAAATACATATGACTGCTTGAAGTGAAAATTATAGTACTGTGTAGTGTATATTGATATGATCTGTCTCTGTGTCCCCACCTAAATCTCATGTTGAATTGTAATCCTCGGTGTTGGAGGAGGGGCCTGGTGGGAGGTGACTGGGTCATAGGAGTGGACTTCCCCTTGGCTGTTCTTGTGATAATGGGTGAGTTCTCACAAGATGTGGTTGTTTAAAATTGTGTAGCACTTCCCCTTTCACTCCCTCTCTCCTGCTCTGCCATGTGAAGATGTGCCTGTTTCCCCTTCACCTTCTGCCATGATTGTCAGTTTCCTGAGGCCTCTCCAGCCATGCTTCCTGTACAGTCTGTGGAACTGAATCAATTAAACCTCTTTTCTTCACAAATTACCCAGTCTCAGGTAGTTCCTC
The DNA here is from genome assembly GCF_000001405.40 of Homo sapiens. Classification (NCBI taxonomy): domain Eukaryota; kingdom Metazoa; phylum Chordata; class Mammalia; order Primates; family Hominidae; genus Homo; species Homo sapiens. Next base: position 34,991,284 of record NC_000013.11, on the reverse strand, counting down.
ACAGCAGTGCAAGAATGGGTTAATACAGAAAATTGGCACTGGAGAGTGGGGTATTGCTATAAAGATCCCTGAAAATGTGGAAGCAGCTTTGTAACTGGGTAATGGGCAGAGGTTGGAACAGTTTGGAGAGCTCATAAGACAGGAAGACCAAGGAAGGTTTGGAACTTTCTAAAGACTTGTTAAACTGTTGTTACCAAAATGCTGACAGTGATATGGCCAATGAAGTCCAGGCTGAAGTAGTCTCAGATGAGGAACTTATTGGGAACTGGGGCAAAGATCACTTTTGTTAACCATTAACAAAGAGGCTGAAGGCATTCTGCACCTGCCCTAGAGATCTGTGGAACTTTGAACTTGAGAGATGATTTAAGATATCTGGCAGAAGAAATTTCTAAGTAGCAAAGTGTTCTTCAAGATGTGGCCTGGTTGCTTCTAACAGCATATGGTCACATGCATAAGCAAAGAGATGATCTGAAACTGGAACTTATACTTAAAAAGGAAACAGCATAAAAGTTAAGAAAATTTGCAGCCTGACCATGAGGGAGAAAAGAAAAGCCCATTTTCTGGGGAGGAATTCAAGCTGGATGTAGAAATTTGCATAAGTAAAGAGGAGCTGAATGTTAATAGCCAAGACAATGGGGAAAATGCCTTGAAGGCTTTCCCGCAGCCCCTCCAATCAAAGGCCCAGAGGCCTAAGGGAAGAATGGTTTTGAGAGCAAAGCCCAGGGCCCTGCTACCCTACACAACCTCAGAACACTGCTCCCTGCATCCTAGCTTCTCCAGCTCCAGCTGTGGCTGTGGCTAAAAGGGCCCCAGATACATCTCAGGTCACTGCTCCAGATGGTGCAAGCTGCAAACTTTGGTGACTTCTATGTGTTTCTAAGCCTGTGGGGGCATAGAGGGCAAGAGTTAAGGCTTGGGAGCCTCCAAATAGCTATCAGAGAATAGAAATGTCTGGATATCCTGGCAGAAGTCTGCTACAGGGGCAGAGCCCTCATGGAGAATCTACTAAGCAGTGTGAAGGGGAAATGTGGGGTTACAGCCCCCACAAAGAGTCCCCACTGGGGCACTGCCTAGTGGAGTTGTGAGAAAAAAGCCACCATCCTCCAGAACTCAGAATGGTAGACCCACTGACGGCTTGCACCATGTGCCTAGAAAAGCCACAGGCATTCAACACTGGCCCATGAAACCAGCCAAGGAGGCTATACCATGCCAAGCTAAAGGAGCATAAATGCCCAACGTCTTGGGAGCCTACCCCTTGCATCAGTGTGCTTGCATGTGAGACATGGAGTCAAAGAAAATTATTTTGGAGCTTTAAAATTTGATGACTGCCTTTCTGGGCTTTGGACTTGCATGGGGTCTGTAACCCCTTTGTTTTGGCCGATTTCTCCCTTTTGGAATGGGAACATTTGCCCAATGCCTGTAGCCCCATTGTATCTTGGAGGTAACTAACTTGTTTATGGTTTTACAGGCTCATAGGCAAATAGACGTGCCTTGTCCCAGATGAAACTTTGGACTTCGACTTTTGAGTTAATGCTAGAATGAGTTAAGACATTGGGGGTCTGTTTGGAAGCCATGACTGTGCTTTGAAAGGTGACAAGGACATGAGATTTGGGAGGGCTAGGTGTGGAATGATATAGTTTGGCTCTGTGTCCCCACCCAAACCTCATGTCAAACTGTAATCCTCAGTGTTGGAGGGGGCACCTAGTGGGAGACGACTGGACCACGGAGGCAGACTTCCCCTTTGCGGTTCTCATGACAGTGAGTTCCCATAAGATTTGGTTGTTTAAGAATATGTAGCACTTCCCCCTTCACCCTCTATCCTGCTCCACCATGTGAAGATGTGTCTGTTTCCCCTTCACCTTCTGCCATGATTGTAAGTTTCCTGAAACCTCCCCAGCCAGGCTTCCTGTACACCCTGTGAAAATGTGAATCGATTAAATCTCTTTTCTTCATAAATTACCCAGTCTCTTGTAGTTACTTATAGTAATGTGAGAACAGACTAATACATTTATTGGGTATATATGTGTAGATATAATACACATGACAACTACAGCAGAAGAGGAAGATAAATGACTTTTAATTATTGTAAGGATGAACATTTCTATTTTTTAAGTGAAACAGTATGGTAACAACTCTAGACTGAAAAGCTAGAGATGTAGAAGAATCATTAAAATAATAATGCAGGGAGATACGCCTAAAAAACAAATATATAAAATAATGAAATTCTAATCAACTAATCCAAAGAAGGCAGAAAAGGAGGTACACAGGAAGAAAAAACAAATGGGACAAAGAAACAACAAATAGTAGTAAGATAGAAGGCCTAAATCCAGTATCAGTAATTACATTAAATACTACTGGAACACAAATTTTCCTATTAAAAGACTGAATGTCACAATGGATTTTTAATTTTTATAAAGACTCAGCTACATGCTGTTTACAGAAAAATAAGAAAATAAAAAATTCAGAAATTAATAGTAAAAGAACAGAAAAAGATATACCATGCAAATAAACAAGACAGATTGTGCAACAATATAACTATTAGATAAAGTAAACGTCGAGACAAGAAGTATCACCAAATACAAAGAACATTTCATAACAATACAAAGGTCAGTCCAAGATGGCCGAATAGGAACAGCTCTGGTCCGCAGCAAATGGCACAACAGGAGATTATATCCCATGTCTGGCTCGGCGGATCCCACGCCCACAGAGACTTGCTCACTGCTAGCACAGCAGTCTGATATCGACCTGTGAGGCAGCAGCCTGGCAGGGGCAGGGGGGTCTGCCATTGCTGAGGCTTGAGTAGGTAAACAAAGCAGCCGGAAAAGCTCGAACTGGGTGGACCCCACCACAGCTCAGCAAGGCCGGCTACCTCTATAGTCTCCACCTCTGGGGGCAGGGCATAGCTGAACAAAAGGCAGCAGAAACATCTGCAGACTTAAACGTCCCTATCTGACAGCTCTGAAGAGAGCAGTGGTTCTCCCAGCATGGTGTTTGAGCTCAGAGAACAGACAGACTACCTCCTCCCTGACCCCCGTGTAGCCTAACTGGCTAACTGGGAGACACCTCCCAGTAGGGGCCGACTGACACCTCAAACAGGCGGGTAACCCTCTGGGACGAACCTTCCAGAGGAAAGATTAGGCAGCAATATTTGCTGTTCTGCAATATTTGCAGAAACCAGAGTAGAAACGCTGAAAATTCTAAAAACCAGAGTGCCTCTTCTCCTCCAAAGGATAGCATCTCCCCACCAGCAAAGAACAAAGCTGCATGGAGAATGACTTTGACGAGCTGACAGAAGTAGGCTTCAGAAGGTCAGTAATAACAAACATCTCCGAGCTAAAGGAGGATGTTCAAACCCATTGCAAGGAAGCTAAAAACCTTGAAAAAAGATTAGATGAATGGCTAACTAGAATAAACAGTGCATAGAAGAATTTAAATGACCTGATGGAGCTGAAAAGCATGGCATGAGAACTATGTGATGCATGCACAAGCTTCAATAGCCTATTTGATCAAGTGGAAAAAAGAATATCAGTGATTGAAGATCAAATTAATGAAATAAAGCGAGAAGAGAAGTTAGAGAAAAAAGAGTAAAAATAAATGAACAAAGCCTCCAAGAAATATAGGACTATGTGAAAAGACCAAATCTACGTTTGATTGGTGTACCTAAAAGTGATGGGGATAATGGAACCAAGTTGGAAAATACTCTTCAGGATCTTATCCAGGAGAACTTCCCCAACCCAGCAAGACAGGCCAACATTCAAATTCAGGAAACACAAAGAACACCACAAAGATACTCCTCCAGAAGAGCAACCCCAAGACACATAATTGTCAGATTTAGCAAGGTTGAAAAGAAGGAAAAAATGTTAAGGGCAGCCAGAGAGAAAGGTCGGGTTACCCACAAAGGGAAGCCCATCAGACTAACAGCAGATCTCTCGGCAGAAACTCTACAAGCCAGAAGAGACTGGAGACCAATATTCAATATTCTTAAAAGAATTTTCAACCCAGAATTTCATATCCAGCCAAACTAGGCTTCATAAGTGAAGGAGAAATAAAATCCTTTACAGACAAGCAAAGGCTGACAGATTTTGTCACCACCAGGCCTGCCTTACAAGAGCTCCACTAAACATGGAAAGCAGCAACCAGTACCAGCCACTGCAAAAACATGCCAAACTTAAAGACCATCAATGCTAGGAAGAAACTGCATCAACTAATGGGCAAAATAACCGGCTAACAGCATAATGACAGGATCAGATTCACATAAAAATATTAACCTTAAATGTAAATGGACTAAATGCCCCAGTTAAAAGACACAGACTGGCAAATATAAAGAGTCAAGACCCATCAGTGTGCTGTATTCAGGAGACCCATCCCATGTGCAGAGACACACAGAGGCTCAAAATAAAGGGATGGAGGAAGAGCTACCAAGCAAATGGAAAACAAAAAAAAGCAGGGGTTGCAATCCTAGTCTCTGATAAAACAGACATTAAACCAATGGCCATTACATAATGATAAAGGGATCAATTCAACAAGAAGAGCTAACTATCCTAAATATATATGCACCCAATACAGGAGCACCCAGACTCATAAAGCAAGTCCTTAGAGACCTACAAAGAGACTTAGACTCCCACACAATAATAATGGGAGACTTTAACACCCTACTGTCAATATTAGACAGATCAATGAGACCAAAGGTTAACAAGGATATCCAGAACTTGAACTCAGCTCTGCACCAAGCAGACCTAATAGACATCTACAGAACTCTCCACCCCAAATCAACAGAATATACATTCTTCTCAGCAACACGTCGCACTTATTCCAAAATTGACCACATGGTTGGAAGTAAAGCACTCCTCAGCAAATGTAAAAGAACAGAAATCACAACAAACTGTCTCTCAGACCACAGTGCAATCAAACTAGAACTCAGGATTAAGAAACTCACTCAAAACCGCACAACTACATGGAAACTGAAAAACCTGCTCCTGAATGACTACTGGATACAAAATGAAATGAAGGCAGAAATAAAGACGTTCTTTGAAACCAACGAGAACAAAGACACAATGTACCAAAATCTCAGTGGCACATTTAAAGCAGTGTGTAGAGGGAAATTTATAGCACTAAATGCCCACAAGAGAAAGCAGGAAACATCTAAAATCGACACCCTAACATCACAATTAAAAGAACTAGAGAAGCAAGAGCAAACACATTCAAAAGCTAGCAGAAGGAAGAAATAACTAAGATCAGAGCAGAACTGAAAGAGATAGAGACACAAAAAAACCCTTCAAAAAACCATGAATCCAGGAGCTGGTTTTTTTAAAAGATCAACAAAATTGATAGACTGCTAGCAAGACTAATAAAGAAGAAAAGAGAGGAGAATCAAATAAATGCAATAAAAAATAGTAAAGGGGATATCACCACTGATCCCACAGAAATACAAACTACCATCAGATAATAATATAAACACCTCAATGCAAATAAACTAGAAAATCTAGAAGAAATGGATAAATTCCTGAACAATACACCCTCCCAAGACTAAACCAGGAAGGTGAATCTCTGAAGGGACCAATAACAGCCTCTGAAATTCAGGCAATAATTAATAGCCTACCAACCAAAAAAAGTCCAGGACCAGACGGATTCACAACCAAATTCTACCAGAGGTACAAAAAGGAGCTGGTAGCACTCCTTCTGAAACTATTCCAATTAATAGAAAAAGAGGGAATCCTCCCTAACTTATTTTATGAGGCCAGCATCATCCTGATACCAAAGCCTGTTCAGAGACTCAACAAAAAAGAGAATTTTAGACCAATATCCCTGATGAACATCGATGCAAAAATCCTCAATAAAATACTGGCAAACCAAATCCAGCAACACATGAAAAAGCTTATTCAGCACAATCAAGTCGGCTTCATCCCTGGGATACCAGGCTGGTTCAACATATGCAAATCAATAAACATAATCCATCACATAAACAGAACCAACGACAAAAACCACATGATTATCTCAACAGACGTAGAAAAGGCCTTCAACAAAATGCAACAGCCTTTGATGCTAAAAACTCTCAATAAAATAGGTATTAATGGAACGTATCTCAAAATAATAAGAGCTATTTATGACAAACACACAGCCAATATCATACTGAATGGGCAAAAACTTGAAGCATTCCTTTTGAAAACTGGCACAAGACAAGGATGCCCTCTCTCACCACTCCTATTCAACATAGTGTTGTAAGTTCTGGCCAGGGCAATCAGGCAAGAGAAAGAAATAAAGCATATTCAATTAGGAAAAGAAGAAGTCAAATTGTCCCTGTTTGCAGATGACATGATTGTATATTTAGAAAACCCCATCATCTCAGCCCAAAATCTCCTTAAGCTGATAAGCAACTTCAGCAAAGTCTCAGGATACAAAATCAATCTGCAAAAATCACAAGCATTCCTATACACCAATAACAGACAAACAGAGAGCCAAATCATGAGTGAACTCCCATTCACAATTGCTACAATGAGAATAAAATACCTAGGAATCCAACTTACAAGGGATGTGAAGGACCTCTTCAAAGAGAACTACAAACCACTGCTCAACGAAATAAAAGAGAACACAAACAAATGGAAGAACATTCCATGCTCATGAAGAATCAATATCGTGAAAATGGCCATACTGCCCAAGATAATTTATAGATTCAATGCCATCCCCATCAAGCTATCAGTGACTTTCTTCACAGAATTGGAAAAAACTACTTTAAAGTTCATATGCAACCAAAAAAGAGCCCGCATTGCCAATACAATGCTAAGCAAAAAGAACAAAGCTGGAGGCATCACACTAAGTGACTTCAAACTATACTACATGGCACAGTAACCAAAACAGCATGGTACTGGTACCAAAACAGATATATAGAACAATGGAACAGATCAGAGGCCTCAGAAATAACACCACACATCTACAACCATCTGATCTTTGAGAAAGTTGTCAAAAACAAGCAATGGGGAAAGGATTCCCTATTTAATAAACAAAAGGATTCCCTATTTAATAACTGGCTAGCCATATGTAGAAAGCTGAAACTGGATCCCTTCCTTACACCTTATACTAAAATTAATTCAAGATGGATTAAAGACTTAAATGTTAGACCTAAAACCATAAAAACCCTAGAAGAAAACCTAGGCAATACCATTCAGGAAAGAGGCATGGGCAAGGACTTCATGACTAAAACACCAAAAGCAATGGCAACAAAAGCCAAAATTGACAAATGGGATTTGTCAATTAAACTAAATTAATTAAACTAAAGAGCTTCTGCACAGCAAAAGAAACTACCATCAGAGTGAACAGGCTACCTACAGAATGGGAGAAAATTTTTGCAATCTACCCATCTGACAAAGGCCTTATATCCACAATCTACAAAGAACTTAAACAAATTTACAAGAAAAAAACAACCCCATCAAAAAGTGGGCAAAGGATATGAACAGACACTTCTCAAAAGAAGACATTTATGCAGCCAACAGACACATGAAAAAGTGCTCATCATCACTGGTCACCAGAGAAATGCAAATCAAAACCACAATGAGATACCATCTCACACCAGTTAGAATGGCGATCATTAGAAAGTCAGGAAACAACAGATGCTGGAGAGGATGTGGAGAAATAGGAATAATTTTACACTGTTGGTGAGAGTGTAAACTAGTTCAACCATTGTGGAAGACAGTGTGGCAATTCCTCAAGGATCTAGAATTAGAAATATCATTTGACCCAGCGATCCCACTACTGGGTATATACCCAAAAGATTATAAATCATACTACTATAAAGACACATGCACACATGTTTATTGTGGCACTATTCACAATAGCAAAGACTTAGAACCAACCCAAATGTCCATCAATGATAGACTGGATTAAGAAAATATGGCACATATACACCATGGGATACTATGCAGCCATAAAAAAGGATGAGTTCATGTCCTTTGCAGGGACATGGATGCAGCTGGAAACCACCATTCTGAGCAAACTATCGCAAGGACAGAAAACCAAACACCGCATGTTCTCACTCATAGGTGGGAATTGAACAGTGTGAGAACACTTGGACACAGGGCGGGGAACATCACACCCTGGGGCCTGGTGTGGGGTGGGGGTCAGGGGGAGGTATAGCATTAGGAGAAATACCTAATGTAAATGATGAGTTAATGGGTGCAGCAAACCAACATGGCACATGTATACCTATGTAACAAACCTGCACGTTGTGCACATGTACCCTAGAACTTAAAGTATAAAATAATAATAATAATAATAACCCAAAGGTCAATTCCTGAGGAACAGATAACAATCAAATGTGCACACAATTGCTAAGAATTTCAAAATACATAAAGCAAAACTGAAATATTAAGTAATTAAAAGGAGAAAGAAAATTCCACAATCATAGTTGAGACTCTTAAGACCCTTTCTCAATAACTGATAAAATTAAGCAAAAAAAACCCATAGGTGAAACCATAAAATATATGAACAACACTATAATTAACTTGACTTAATTGAGAGCTTAGAAACATTACAACCAATAATCATAAAACACCATTCTTTACAAGTGTTCATGGTGTTTTCACCAAAACAGGAAATATATGATGAGCCATAAGACGAGTCTCAATAAATTTAAAAGTACTGAAGTCCACAGATCCTGTCTTTGTACCACAATGGATTTAAATTCGAAATCAGGTGAGGCATGGTGGCTCACACCTGTACTCCCAGCACTTTGGGAGGCCGAGGCAGGAGGATTACCTGAGGCCAGGAGTTCAAGACCAGCCTGGCCAACATGGTGAAATTCTGTCTTTACTAAAAATATAAAAAATTAGCTGGGCATGGTGGCAGATGCCTGTAATTCCAGCTACTAGGGAGGCTGAGGCAGGAGATTCAATTGAACCCAGGAGGCAGGGGTTGCAGTGAGCTGAGGTAGGTCGCACCAGTGCACCCCAGCCTGGGCAACAGAGAGAGACTTCATCTCAAAAAAAAAAATCAATAACAACAAAATCTTTAGAAATGCCTTCAAAAACAACACTCCTAACTAATCTGATCAAAATTCTATTAAATTCTGTAAAATGAGCTAAAGCAGTGCCTAGAGGAAGTTATACAGTGTTAGAAAAGAAAAAGCTCTTATTGACCCACAGTTTCACCTCATAAAGCTAATCAAAGAACAAAGAAAACTCATAGCAGCAAGTAGGACAAAGTAATAATAAGAACATAAATTAATAAAATAAAAAACAAATAATAGAATTAACATAGCCAAATTTCTTTCTTTGAAATTAATAATATTAATAATGTTGATAAACCATAAGCTTAAGAGACAGAGAGAGAGAGAGAGAGAAGAGAGAACATAAATTATCAATATCTGGAAAGGATTATCAGTATAGATCCTACAGACATTAAAAGAATATCAGAGAAATGTTTATGAACAGTGTGCTAACAAATTCAACTACTTAGATGACACAAATAAATCCCTTGCAAAACACAATTTACTGACACAAGATGAAGGAAAATGCAAACAATCTAGATTAAAAAGAAAACCCCATTATAAAAAAAAAAAACCTTCCCACAAAGAAAAGTGCAGGCCAATGTTTTATTGGTGAATTCTATAAAAATCATTCATAGACAAAACCTGACAAGGACATTATAAGGAAATAAAATTGCAGACCAAAATCTCTGATGAACACAGACACACAAATCCTTAAATTGTTAACAAACCAAATCCAGCAATACGCAAGATGGAAAATACATCATGGGGTTATCCTAAGAATGCAAGATTGTTTATAACATTCAAAAATCAATTGTCAGTGGCAATGTAAAGTGGTATAATCACTTTGGAAATAGTCTGGCAGTTTCTTAAAGCAAGGATTTACCATATGACCCAGAATTTCACTTCTAGGTATCTATGAAAATATATATCCATATGAAGACTTAGATGCAAATGTTCATATCAGCATTATTCATAAAAGCCAAAAATTAGAAACAATTCAAATGGTCGTAAACTGGTAAATGGATAATCAAACTGTGGTATATCCACATAATATTACTTGGCAATAAAAAGGAAAATAGATGAGCCTCAAAAATGTTATACTAAGTCACAGAAGCCAGGCACAAAAGACCACACATTGTGTGACTCCATGGATACAAAATGTCAAGAAAAGGCAAACATGGAGAGGGTAAATCGGTAGTTGCCTTAGGCTGGGGGTGGGAATTGGAAATAACTACAAATTAGCATATTATTTATTTGGAGAGTAACGGAAATGTTATAAAAGTACATTTTGATTACAGTTAAATAACTGTAAATTCACTAAAATTCATTGAATTGTATGCTAAAAACACGTGAATTTTATGATATATAAATTATACCTCAATGAAGCTATTTTAAGAAAATACATATAACTATTATCATACTAATAAAAGGAGAAATACATAGGGGCACTTCAATCAATGTAGAAAAATCATCCGACAAAATTCAGATGGTATAAACTCTTAGCAAACTAGGAAGAGGAAAAACTTTTTCAACTAGATAAATAGTATCTACAAACTCCTATAGCTAACATCTTAATTGTAATCTACTAAATGATCAAATAGTAACCAATTTCCTCCTAATATCCTTAACAACCTAAGGATGCTCATTTTCATCACCGACATTCAACACTGTATTAAATATAAGGGTACCCATTCAACAAGGCAGAGCCCTCATTACTTAATCACCTCCCAAAGGACACACCTCTTCAGAATGTTGCATTAGGATTAAGTTTCAACATACATTGGAGGAACACCATCATTCCAACCATAGCAAATAGCATTTAAATAAATAAATAAATAAATAAATAAATAAATGTAATAAAAATGTAATAAAATGTAATAAAAAAAAGTTATACTTCTAAACTAGAAACCAGAAAACATTGCTGGAAGAAATTTTTAAAAGATCTAGTAAATTAGAGAGATACATGATACTAATGATTTGAAGACAGTAGCATGTAACAAGTCAATCTCCTCTTCCCCCTCATTAAACTATGTATTCAACATACCCAGGATTGTTGCTAGAAACTGACAATTGATTATAAAATATTTATATAAATAACAACAACAACAAAAAAAACAGCTAGACTCTAAGGCAATCCTAGGGCAAAACAACAACAACAAATTGGAAAACTTAAACTACCTGATTTCAAAATTTACATAAAACTACAGTAATTGAGACACCACAGTACACCACAGTACTGACATAAAGACCAACAAATGGATCAATGGAACAAGAAAGACTCATACTTACACATCATTCAACTTTCTTCAAAGGTACTACAGCAATCCAATAGAAAAAGCAAAGTCTCTTCCACAAGTGGTGATGAAACAAATGGATATTAATATGAAAAAAGAAATCTGAACCCTTATCTCACCAGACACAAAAATTAATTTCATATAGATAACAGACATGAGAATTAAAACTATAAAGCCTCTAGAAGAAAACACAGAAGAATATCTGTATGATCTACAGGGAAAGCAATGTTTTCTTAAGGATACAAAGTAATAACCATAAAAGAAATAGTTGATGAATTAAATTCTATCAATATTTAAAAGTGCTCCTGAAAATATAGCTTTAAGTAAAAAGAAAATATACAGACTTTTAAAAAATTTCCAAAAAACATACATCTGACTTAAAAATCTGTATCTAGGATAATGAACTCTTACATTTTAAAAAATTTACAAATTGGCAAAAGATTTGAATAGGTACTTCCCAGGGGAAAATTGTTTTTCTTTTTTTTTTCTTTGAGACAGAGTCTTGCTCTGTCACCCAGGATGGAGTGCAGTGGCTCAATCTTGGCTCACTGCAACCTCTGCCTCCTAGGTTCGAGTGATTCTCCTGCTTCAGCCTCCCAAGCAACTGGGATTACAGGTGCACGCCACCATGCCCAGCTAATTTTTGTCTTTTTAGTAGAAGTGGGGTTTCACCATGTTGGCCAGACTGGTCTCGAACTCCTGGCCTCAGATGATCTGCCTGCCTTGGCCTCCCGAAGTCAGGTGTGAACCACTGTGCCCAGCAACCAGGGGAAAATTTTTAAATGGTGCATAAAGGCATGAAAAAGGGCTCGACATCACTGGCCATCCCAGAAATTCAAATTAAAACCACAGTGGGGTATCAATACACAGCCATCAGAATGTCTAAAAGAGCTGACCATATGAAATGCTGGGGAAAAGAGATCTGTTATACATTGTTGAAAATACAAAATGTTTTAATCACTTAATAAAATGGTCTGTCAGGTTTCTAAAACCAAGCATATGCCATCTCTCTACCTGATAATTACATTCTTAGGTATTTACCCAAAAGGAATAAAAACATGAATCTTAAAATGACTCATGGGTGAATATTCAAGGAAGTTTTATTCATAATGGCCAAAAACTGGAAGCAACCTAGAGTTCCATGAGTAGAAGAATGGATTAGCTTACTCTGGTATATTTATACAATGGTCCACAACTCATCAGTAAAAGTAACAAATGCTGATAAGCACAACATGAACAAATTGCAAAAGCATTCTGTTAAATAAAAGAAGTTTTACTCAAAAGGGTTCATTGACACTGTTAAGACTCCATTTATACAAGATTCTACAACAGCCAATACTAATCTATGGTGGGAAAAAAAAACCTCTGACCATCTCTGGGAGTATGGAGGTAGGGATTAACTGGAAAGGAGTACGAGGAACTCTCTGGGATGACTATAATGTTCTAGGTTTGGGTTACTCAGGTACATGCATTTGTCACAACTCACAGAATATTAGATGTTTTCACTGTATGTAATTTTATGGTGGGGAGGTAGCCAAACATTGAATTTCAGTTAAAAAATATGCATGGCGTCAACCTGGTTTAAACGGATCCAGAAAAAATAGACAGATCGATGGATGCATAAAAATACAGATATGTGATAAAGTTATTTTAGTAAAATGTAAATTGTAGACTCTAGGTGGTACATATATGGGTGTTCACTATAAAATTTTTTCAATTCTTCCTATCAGTAAATATTAGTTATCTGAAGTCTGTGTGCCAGAACCAAATCTTGCCATTAATAATTATAGCTGACTTAAGAGTCTTCCAGAATTTCCCTGAAATCATTGATACTTACTTTTTGATCAGCACTGCTTAGAATATGCCCATCCCAAGGTTTGAAGATTGATTAAAGAATAACTTTAGGCAGGATGTAGTGGCCCATGCCTGTAATCCTAGCACTTTGGGAGGCCAAGGCAGGAGGATCACTTGAGACTAAGAGTTTGAGTCCAGCCTGGGCCACACAGTGAGACCCATTCTCTAAAAAAAAAATTTTTTTAATCAATTAGTCAGGCATAATGGGAGCTATTCAGGAGGCTGAGGCAGGTGGACTGCTTGAGTCCAGGAGTTTGAGGCTACAGTAAACTGTGATCATACCACTGTACTCCATCCTGAACTACAGAGCAAAAACCTGTCTCAAAAAAAAAAGAACTTTAAATTAAAAGTGTATCCTTCTGTCCTTCTACAAATAGTGATTGAATGCCTAGTGTATGGCAGGTGCAAGAAATGTGAAACAAAATCCTGAACCTCATTAGCCTTCATCTGGAGGGGAAAATGACTCCAACTATCAAAATGAATTAGATTACTTCTCAATACAGATTAATGTTAGCATCTATTCTGTTTAAGATAGTTATGTACAATCCAGCCAAGCGTGGTGGCTCACACCTGCAATCCCAGCATTTTGGGAGGCCGAGGTGGGAGGATCACCTGAGGTCAGGAGTTCGAGATCAGCCTGGCCAACATGGTGAAACCCAGTATCTACTAAAAATACAAAAATTAGCTGGGTGCAGTGGCACATGACTGTAGTCCCAGCTACTCAAGACGCTGAGGCAGAAGAATCGCTTGAATCCGGGAGACAGGGGTTGCAGTGAGCCAAGATCACACCCTTGCACTCCAGCCTGGGCGACAGAGACAGACTCCATCTCAAAAAAAAAAAAAGATAATTATGTACAATTCATATCCATTTATATTCAGTATTTACACATAAGTATATAAGCAAAGGTAATAGGTCTAGCTGGGCGCAGTGGCTCACACCTATAATTGCAGCAAGTTGGGAGGCCAAGGCAGGCGGATCACCTGAGGTTAGGAGTTCGAGACCAGCCTGACCAACAAGAAGAAATATCATCTCTACTAAAAATACAAAATTTGCTGGCCGTGATGGTGCACGCCTGTAATTCCAGCTACTTGGGAGGCTGAGGCAGGAGAATCACTTGAACCTGGGAGGCAGACGTTACGGTGAGCCAAGATTGCACCACTGCACTCTAGCCTGGGCAACAAGAGCAAAACTCTGTCTCAAAAAAAAAAAAAAAAATAGAGAGAAAAAGAAAAGTTCTCTAGAAGCAAAATAGCATTTAACTACAAAGCCTCAAAAATTTGAACAATCTTCCTGGAGAAAAAAGTAGCACAGAATGGTTTACGAGAGGTAAAATGAACAAAAGAAATAAAACAGCTCTATGACTCAAGTAACTCCTCAAGTTGTCACCTAACATTCAATGCCCTCCATGCTTAGGCCTCACCTTAGATTTTCACTTCATCTTATATATCTCTCCTTTATGAAGTTTTGTCTGAGTCTCTGCTCCATGAAAAAAAAAAAAAAACAAAAAACAAAGAAAAAAGAAAAAGATATCTATCCAATCCTTAGAAAGTCATAATTCTTTGTAATTTATTTTAAATTTTTTATTTCAATAGGTTTTCAGAGACCAGGTGATGTTGAGTTACATAAATAAGTTCTTTACTGGTGATTTCTGAGTTTTTGGTGCACCCATCACCAGACCAGTGTACACTGTACCCCATGTGCAGTCTTTTATCCTTTGCCACCCCCCATTCTTTGCCCCAAGTCCCCAAACTCCAATGTATCATTCTTAGGCCTTTGTGTCCTCGTAGGTTAGCTCTCACATATGAGTGAGAACATATGAGGTTTGGGTACCATTCCTGAGTTACTTCACTTAGAATAATAGTCTGCAAGTCCATCCAGGTTGCTGAGAATGCCATTATTTCATTCCTTTTTATGGCTGAGTAGTATACCATGGTATTTATGCACCACATTTTTTTCATCCACTCATTGGTTGATGGGCACTTGGGAGGATTCCATATTTTTGCAATTGCAAATTGCGCTGCTATAAACATACATGTGCAAGTATCTTTTTCATATAATGACTTATTTTCCTCTGGGTAGATACGTAGTAGTGGGATTGCTGGATCAAAGGGTAGATCTACTTTTAAGTTCTCTAAGGAATCTCGACACTGTTTTCCACAATGGTTGTAGTAGTTTACATTCCCACCAGCAGTGTAAAAGTGTTCCCTTTTCACCACATCCAAACCAACATCTATTAGTTTTTGATTTTTTGATATGGCCATTCTTGCAGGAGTGAGGTGGTATCACATTGTGGTTTGATTTGCATTTCCCTGATAATAAGTGATGTTGAGCATTTTTCCATATGCTTGTTGACCATCTGTATATCTTCTTTTGAGAATTACCTATTCATGTCCTTAGCTCACTTTTTGATGGGATTTTTTTTTTCTTGCTGATTTGAGTTCTTTGTAGATTCTGGATATTAGTCCTTTGTTGGATGTATAGATTGTGAAGATTTTCTCCCACTCTGTGGGTTTTCTGTTAACTGGTGATTATTTCTTTTGCTGTACTGAAGCTTTTTAGTTTAATTAAGTCCCATCTATTTGTCTTGGTTTTTGTTACGTTTGCTTCTGGGTTCCTGGTCATGAAGTCTTTGCCTAAGCCAATGTCTAGAAGGGTTTTTCCAATGTTATCTTCTAGATTCTTTATGGTTTCAGGTCTTAGTTTCAAGTATAAGGTGAAAGATAAGGATCCAGTTTCATTCTTCTACATGTGGCTTGTCAATTATCCCAGCACCATCTGTTGAATAGGGTGTCCTTTTGCCACTTTATGCTTTTGTTTGCTTTGTCGAAGATCAGCTGGCTGTATGTGGCTTTATTTCTGGGTTCTCTATTCTGTTCCATTGGTCTATGTGTCTATTTTTATACCAGTACCATGCTATTTTGGTGACTAAGGCCTTATAATATAGTTTGAAGTTGGATAATGTGATGCTTCCAGATTTCTTTGTAATTTTCTCACAGAACTTAAGAAATTATGTCTGTTAGGAAGAAAACCAGTAAAAGGCTTGAGTCTTGTGCAGCCATTTCTACCTGCTTGACCTAGGGAAGTTACTTAATCTCCTTTCCCCATATGTAAATTGTGGATAACAGGACTTTACCTCAAGGTGATAGTATGAGGACTACATGCTTAGCCTCATGCATGAGCTACTACCGGGTAAAAATTGTGAAAACTAGTGTTCTATTTTTTCTCCTGACAAGCCTAATTCAGTATCAACAATGTTTAATAGGTATTTAAGTAAAAACATTTCAATTGAACCAGCAAGTGAACAAGCTATTTCATGTGCTGCTAACTGGTAGAATATTGCTGTAGTCCACACATATAAACACATTTAAGTACTTGCCATTTGTGTTTAAAAATGATACTAGCAACTCATCTGTGGCTACTGACAAAAAGAATAAACTCCACTTTGGTTTTTCTGAATTTTGCATTTATTCTATCCCTAAAATATTATTTTCCCATTACCCTCATTTCATCATCATTTTTGTATGTACTCATACGGGCAATTCTCTTTATTCTCTATCCTCTGCTTACAGTAACATTACCTAAGCAACAGGATAGTAACAAACTCAAACTCTCTATCCCTATTAAAATAGTCAGTTCTGGCCCACTGCCAGTTTTCCTTGTTTGGAGGCCTTTTAAATGTTCATCTTTGTGACCATTTGAAACCTCACATATACTAAGAAATGAAACTAACAAGATAAGCTGATAAATTGATATCAGCTTGCTTATTCATTCCATTGTGAAACGTCCAGGTAAGAAGAGGAAACCACTTCTACTCTGGCAAAAAGAAAACAGAGGATTTGGGCCAAGATGGCCAACAAGAAGCAGCAATGGTGCATGGCTCTCACAGAGAGGAATGAAAGGGGCAAGTAAATACAGTACCTTCAACTGAAACATCCAGGTACTTGCATTGGGACTAATCAGGAAAGCAACTCAACCCATAAAGAACAATGAAAAGCAGATAGGATGACGGCCCACCTGAGAGTGACACAAAGCCGGAGGAACCTCCCCCACCAAGTGAAGTCGTGAGTGAATGTGCAACCCCAGGAAACCATGCCATGCTTCTCCCACGGATCTTTGCAACCCTCAGGTCAGGAGAGATCCCTTCATGAACCCACTCCAGCAGGGCCTTCAGTCTGACACAAAGAGCTGTGTGGAGTCTCAGCAGAGCAGCCACTCAGACATGCAGAGGGGCCCAGGAGTTTTACAGACTCTGGCTCTGGGTATCCTGGCAAAAGTGACTGCAACTCCAGCAACGCAGGAGGTTGGACTTCCGTACATACCCCTGGGAAGGGGGCTGAATCCAGGGAAGCAGGCAGTAACGGTCTGCGGACCCCACTTCCATGGCACCACAGAGGATAAGACCCACTGGCTTGGAATTCCAGCTAACCAGGGGCAACAGTGTCACCCCTACCTGGGACAGAGTTCCTGTGGGGAGTAGAGGCCACCATCTTTGCTGTTTGGATGACTCAGCTGTTCCAGCCTGCAGGCCCTGGAGAGTCCAAACCAACCTAGGCCAGAAGGAATCCCCCAGCACAGCACAGCTCCTCTACCAAAACATGACCAGACTGATCCGTTTTTCATCACTGGGCATGACCTCGCAAGGGGGACCTCCAGACACCCTGGCGAATGTTCTCTGGCCAACAAAGATTTGAAAACTTCCTGGGACAGAGCTCCCAGAGGGAGGGGCAGGCTGCCATCTTTGCTATTTGGGCAACTTAGCCATTCTAGCCTCTAGGTTTTAGAGAGCCCAAGCCAACTAGAGGCAGAAGTGGTACCCCAGCACAGCACAGCTGCTCTATGAAAGTGTGGCCAGGCTGCTTCCTTAGCAGGTCTCCAATCCTGTTCCTCCTGACTGGGCAAGACCTGCCAGTCAGGATCTCCAGCCACCTCCTACAGGTATGTTTGGGCCAGGAACAAGTCTGTACCTCCCTGGGATGGAGCACCCAGAGGAAGGGGTAGGCTGCCATCTTTGCTGTTTCATAGCCTTCACTGGTGATACCTTCAGGTAGGTACTGGAAAACCCGAAATGACTAAGGACTGCAGTGGACCCCCAGCAAACCGCAACAGTCCTGTGGAAAAGCAGCCAGACTATTAAAAGAAAAAAAAAATCCAAAGGTGAGCAACCTCAAAGATTTAAGGTAGCAAAGTCCACAAAGATGAGAAAGAATCAGCACGAGAACATTGAAAACTCAAAAAACCACAGTGCTCTCTTTCCTCCAAATGATCACATCACTTCTGCAGCAAGGGTTCGGAACTGGGCTGAGGCTGAGATGGCTGAAAGGGCAGAAGTAGAATTCAGAATATGAACAAAAACCAGGCCGGTGTGGTGGCTCACGCCTGTAATCCCAGCACTTACTCTACAATCGATCACATAATCAGAAGTAAAGCACTCTTTAGGAAATGCAAAAGAATTGAAATCATAACAGTCTCTCAGACCACAGCGCAATCAAATTAGAACTCAAGACTAAGAAATTCACTCAAAACCATACAATTACATGGAAATTGAATACCCTGGTCCTAAATGACTTTTGGGTAAATAATAAAATTAAAGCTGAAATCAAGACGTTCTTTGAAACAATGAGAACAAAGATACAAGGTACCAGAATCTCTGGGACATAGCTAAGGCAGTGTTAAGAGAGAAATTTATAACACTAAATGCCTATATTAAAAAATTAGAGAGATCTCAAGTTAACAACCTAACATCACAACTAAAAGAACTAGAGAACCAAGAGCAAACAAATCCCAAAGCTATCAGAAGACAGGAAATACCAAAATCAGAGCTGAACTGAAGGAGGCAGAGACATGAAAAACGATTCATTGGATCAACAAATCCCAGAGCTGATTTTTTGAAAAAAATAATAAAATACATAAACTGTTAGCTAGACTAGTAAAGAAGAAATGAGAGAAGATTCAAATAAAATAAGAAATGGTAAGGGGAATACTCCACAGAAACACAAACAACCATCGGAGAATATTATAAACACCTCTATGCATATAAACTTAAAAATGTAGAAAAAAAATGGATAAATTCCTGAACACATATACCCTGCCAAGACTGAACCAAGAAGAAACTGAATCCCTGAACTGACCAATAATGAGTTCTGAAATTGAGGCAGTAATAGCCTACCAACCAAAAAAAGCCCAGGGCCAGACAGATTCACAGCTGAATTCTACCAGACGTGCAAAGAAGAGCTAGTACCATTCCTATTGAAACTATTCCAAAAAATTTGAAAAGGAGGGACTCCTCCCTAAGTCATTCTATGAGGCCAGCATCATCCTGATACAAAAAAAAAAAAAGAAAAGAAAAATTGAAGCTGATATCCTTGATGAATATCGATGCAAAAATCCTCAACAAAATACTGCCAAACTGAATCCAGCAGCACATCAACAAACTTATTCACCACAATCAAGTAGGCTTCATCCCCAGGATACAAGGTTGGCTCAACATAAAAAAATCAATAAATGTGACTCATCATATAAACAGAACTAAAGACAAAAACCACATGATTGTCTCAATAGATGCAGAAAACGCTTTCAATAAAATTCAACATCCCTTCAGGTTAAAAATTCTCAATAACCTAGGTATTGAAGAAATATATCTCAAAATAATAAGAGCCATCTATGACAAACCCACAGCCAACATCATACTGAATGGGCAAAAGCTGGAAGTATTCCCCTTGAAAACTGGCACAAGACAAGGATGCCCTCTTTCACCCCTCCTATTCAGCAGGGAATCAGGCAAGAGAGATAAATAAAGGGCATTCAGATAGGAAGAGAGGAGTCAAACTAACCCTGTTTGCCAATGACATGATCCTGTATCTAGAAAACCCCATCATCTTAGCCCAAAAGCTTCTTATGCTGATAAACAACTACAGGGAAATCTTAGGATACAAAATAAATGTACAAAAATTGCTAGCGTTCCTATACACCAACAGCAGTCCCACTGAGAGCCAAACCACAAACAAACTCCCACTCACAATTGCCACAAAAAGAATAAATTACCTGGGAATACAGCTAACTAGGGAGGTGAAAGATCTCTACAGTGACAACTACAAACCACTGCTCAAAGAAATCAAGAGATGACACAAACAAATAGAAAAACATTCCACACTCATAGATAGGAAAAATCAATATCATTAAAATGACCATACTGCCCAAAGTAATTTACAGATTCAATGCTATTCGCATTAAACTACCATTGACATTCTTCACAGAACCAGAAAAAAACTACTTTTAAATTCGTATGGAACCAAAAAAGAGCCTGAATAGCCAGAGCAATCCTAAGCAAAAAGAACAAAGCTAGAGGCATCACGCTACCCAACTTAACTATAATACAGAGCTACATTAACCAAAACAGCATGGTGTTGGCACAAGAACAGACACACAGATCAACAGAAAAAAGAACCCAGAAATATGATGCACACCTACCACTATCTGATCTTCAACAAACCTGACAAAAACAAGCAATGGGGAAAGGATTCCCTATTCAATAAATGGTGCTAAGATAACTAGCTAGCCATATGCAGAAGATGGAAACTGGACTCCTTCCTTTTACCATATACAAAAATAAACTCAAGATGTATTAAAAACTTAAATATAAAACACAAAATTATAAAAACTGTGAAAGACAACCTAGGCAATACCATTCAGGACATAGGCATGGGCAAAGATTTCATGATGAAGACACCAAAAGCAACTGCAACAAAAGCAAAAATTGACAAATAAGAGCTTCTGCAGAGCAAAAGAAACTATCAACAGGGTAAACAGACAACCTACGGAATGGGAGAAAATTTTACAAACCATGCATCTTACAAAGGTCTCATATCCAGCATCTATAAGCCACTTAAACAAATTTACAAGGAAAAAAAACAAACAATGCCATTAAAAAATGGGCAAAGGACATGAACAGACACTTCTCAAAAGAAGACATACATGTGCCCAACAATCATATGAAACAAAGCTCAGCATCACTGATCATGAGAGAAATGCAAACTAAACCACAATGAGATACAATCTCACACCAGGCAGAATGGCTATGACTAAAAAGTCAAAAACCAACAGATGCTGGCAAGGTTGTGGAGAAAAAGAAATGCTTATACACTGTTGGTGGTAGTGCAGATTAGCTCAACCATTGTAGAAAATAGTGCAATGATTTCTCAAAGACCTAAAGACAGAAATGCCACTTGACCCAGCAATCCCATTACTGGGTATATACCCAAAGGAATATACATCATTCCATTACAGAGGCACATGCATGCATATGTTCACTGCAGCACTATTCAAAATAGCAAAGACATGAAATTAACTTCAATACATATCAATGATAGACTGGATAAAAAAAAAAACGTGGTATATATACAGCATGGAATACTATGCAGCCATAAAAAAGAATGAGATAATGTCCTTTGCAGACACATAGATGGAGCTGGAGGCCATTATCCTCAGCAAACTAACACAGAAAACAAAATACTGTATGTTCTCACTTGTAAGTGGGAGCTAAATGGTAAGAATACACTGACACATAGAGGGGAACAACACACACTGGGCCTATCGGAGGGTCAAGGGTGGGAGGATCAAAAAGAATAACTAATGTCTACTAGGCTAATACCTAGGTGATGAAATAAACTGCACAACAAACCCCCATGACACATATTTACCTATGTAAAAAATATCTCCCAAAAGCACTCTACCTGTACATGTACCCCTGAACTTAAAATAAAAGTTAAAAAATAAAAAATAAAACTATCAAGCCAGAAAAAAAGAAAAAACGGAAACCAAAAAATTTTAGTTTTTTTTTTTTAAAAACCAAAAAATTTTAAATGTTCATGCTTTAACTTATTACACAGCAGTAAGTGTCGAATTTCTAATCCCTCACTGGACAGCTCTCAGAATGTGGAACCTGCCTAGTCACAGGCCCATTAAGTCAGAGGAATAAAACTCCAACCCAAGGCTCTAATTCCTTTCACTATGTTGAAAACAAGAGTGGGATGCAAAATATAAATGCAAAACATAAACGACAGAAGGTAAACAGCATTCTCAACAGAAACATCACTAATCAAGGAATGTGATAAAAGTCATGATCACTCAGGAGAATAAAGCCTACCAGTTGTGATCCAGTAGGTAGTTTTCAAGCCCACCTACTGGAGTAAGAGGCACAAAGAGGACTTAACTGAAGTCCTTCTCAATTGATATTAAAACACATTAATAATCAATTGATATTAACAATCAATTGATATTAATAATTGATATTAAAACACATTAATCACAGCATATGTGTTTAAAAAAAGTTCCTTACTCACTCTCATAGCACCTTAAAAAAATCTATTAGTGCTACTGAAAATAAATTTTAAAAATTCTATAAAATAGTATCATATCAGCAAAAAGTTTAAAATAAATAGAAGAAACAGTTCAAATGTCACATTCTTTCAGCAGTTTTTCACATTTTTCTAAAGCAAGGGTCTGCAAACTACTACCTATAGGTCAGTTCTAGCTCAATGTCTTATTGTAAATAAAGTTTTATTATACGGCCATTGGCCATTCATTTACATATCAGTAATGGCTGCCTATCGTATAATTTAAAATATATTTGGTCTTTGCCCCCAATTCTTGGCACAGAACTTCAAAAATCTTTAGAATGTCCTGGGTGATAAGAGTGTCCTTTGCTATTCATAACAAGACCCTTTTGACCATAGCTGAGCTCATGCTAACAAGCTAACTCATGTTGGGGCCCTTAGATAGTTTCAAGGGAAGGGCTGGCCAAGTCAAAAAAAACTAAGCAAGTGAATATAAGGCTGGTACTTGAGTTCAATTACGTGGCCCATAAATCAGGCCACATAATTGAAGCCTTGATAAGAACTCAAACAACGAGGTCCAGGATGCTTCCAGGTTGGCAAACATATCAATCTGCTGGGAGGGTGGTGTGCCCAGTAAGGGCATGGAAGCTCTATAGCCCACTCCCTCTCAGTGCCTTCCTTATACATTTCTTCCATTTGGCTGTTCCTAAGCTGTTTCCTTTATAATAAAACTGTAATTGTAAGTGTAGCACTTTCCTGAACTCTGAGTCATTCTAGTGATTACAGAACCTGAGGGAAGTTGTGGGAACCTCTGAATTTGTGGTCAGTTGAGCAGAAGTGCAGGTAGCCTATTTCAGGCTGGTATCTGAAATGGAAGCAGTCTTGTGGGACTGGCTCCTTAACTTGTGGAGTCTGTACTAACTTTCAATTAGTGTCAGAATTGAAGGATTCTGCCTCTAATTTAAGAGGTTTGCACTAACTCTATGTAGTATCAGGATTGAATTTTAGGACACTTAATTAGTGCCAGAGAATTGGTGTTGAAAAATGATGTATTTTTATTTACATGGCTGCCTTTCCACTACAACTGCAGGGTGAGTAGTTGTAATAGACACCATGTGGCCCACAAAGGCTAAAATATTTGGATCCTTATAGAAAATGTTTGCTTACCTTTGTTCTAGAGAGTCTTTCACAGCCTCCTGTTTCACACATTTTTGGTCCATATCTCTAACACACTACCGATTTATGTATTTACATTTGTATGTATTTACTTGTCTATCTTTCCCAGGATATTACTACTTGAAGACAAAAACAGTCTCAATCATTATAGCCTTAGCATCAAATCCTTGCCATATGGTTGACTACAGCTTAATAAAACATCTATTCCAAAAAGAGGCTTCTTAAAGTATGTTTCTATTGCAGTGCTTCTTATCTACTACTTTGACGAGGTCTCAGTTTTGCTTTTTTAAAAAAAAAAAGGTAAAAGAAAAAAATAGTACTTAAAAAACATAATTATTAACATGTTAAAGCCTACAAAAACCACAGATATCTAACCCAACCTTCATTTTCCGTCAGGAAAATAAGGCCTAGAAGATTTAATTCAGTTGCCCAACTAATCAGTAGCAAAGACACGATTAGAATCCAAGTTCAAATTTAATAACCTTTTCACTAATAATAACAAACCTTTCTAACACCAAAAATGAAAAGTAATATAAATAAAATTAAGCTTTCTTCAAAATATCTTCCCAAAGCACTCTACATTCAGGCTACTCAGAGTGCCAGCCAATGAGGAGATAGAAGTAAAATATGAATCGACATTCTGCTTCCTTCATCAAGAAAGTCTTGTTATGAGAAAAAAAAAAAAAAAAGAAAGGTTAGTTGAAAGAAATAGTGTACTTAGCACAGATGATTTGCATTCTGGCACAAGTTCCTTATCTCCTCTTAGAACAGCAAATATTTCATGAATATGCAAACCTCATCTGTGGACCACATTTTGACTAATAAATGTGCTAAATGAACATGCAGTATAGTAGCAGAAACAATAATATAATGATCTGTTATATATAGAATTCTCTCATATATACAGTTTCCACTTATGAGGGAAATAAAAGGAAAAATAACATCATTTACCTCATTTTCATATATGTGAGAATATACAGGTACACACACATACACAGAGAGAGAGAGAGAGAAAAAAAAAAAAAACACAGGCTCAGAGATATGTAACATAGTTGAAGGTCACAAAGCCACGAAAAGACAGACCAGGATTTGGATTCAGATTAGTCATACCACAAAGGCCAAGTTATTTACAGAAAACCAGGACACAAAAACTGATTGGATTCTAATAGTATTTATTCATTAATCCTACAAATATAAATGTAGAGAGTCAAGTACATCAGCTTACAGTTATAAAAGACCTAAGAGAAACAAGCACAACTTGGGGCTAGAAAGAAGCACCTCCCAACTTATACATACTTCGCTACAGAAGAGGCTGTGCTCTCTGACAAGTCCCGTTTCAGGAAAAGAAATATAAGAAACACTGAAAGGATAAGAGGACACTACTCTATCCAATCAGATGAATCTACATGCAATGGGCACACTACTTCACTCATGCCACTCTCTTATAAAAGCCTCTTGCTCCATATTGCCCAAAGTTCTTAGCTTCAAATTCCACCAAACTTCATTTTTCTTATATACAAATGGGAATACAAATGCCTATGTCATAAAGTTATTAATTCAGAATACCATATTTCCTTTTTCCAATAAACATTTTTTCATATTTAACATTTCTGAAATAAACATGTAACTCATAATTGATGTATACCTTTAATGTAATAGTGTTTCTTCTCATGAAGAGCTCCTACTAATATTAAATCAAAACAGTCAACAGCCTAGCAACATACCTTACAAAAACTTGTAACTACATTATCATTTTATTACATTCGGTACAAACAAACAACAACAGATAATTCTGGTTTTGGAAACAACTGTTTTCCAGAACTTTTAGTTATGTGTTTATAAATAAATATACACATTTAATGCATTACCTTAATTTCTCCTCCTCCCACCCCTTGTCATCCAGGAGACCTTGATCATGGCAACTGCAGTTTTGCTAACCAAGTGCATTTGCCAACCATGTGACTCCTGAGGTTGAGAGATAGATGTGAGTTAAACAAGGATCCATAAAAAAATATAGAAGCTAAATCTAAAGAATATGTATGAATTTTCTGGGAAAGAAAAACATTTCTAGGAAGAAAACACTATTTAGAATACACTGTGCCAATTCAGATTTCTTTATCTGGAATGCCCTCACTCCACCAGTCTACTGTGCAAACTGCAGCTGACCCTTTCGAGCCAATCTCAGGGGAATCCTCCACCTTAATGTCTTTCCCAACTGCTTCAAATAGTTCATTGCTTTCTTCTCTGTGATACTGTGGTATCTAATACACACTTTCACTCAGTCACAAGCAAAGAAAGGGAAGAGCCAGGATTTGAATTCTGACTAGTCCTACCACTAAGGCCTGAACACATTATTTAGTATTTTTTAATTTACACATTAGTCTCTCTTATTAGATCTTGAAATCCTTAAAGATAAGAATCATCTTCCCAATCCTGTTCTGTCCTCAGAGTTGGGCATACCATCCCTATGCTATGCTCCCATCAACTACCTAGAAATACAAGTATGTTTAAACTAATCTGCTTCTCCTCACCAAAAGGTCTTTATAGTTCTGTCAGGGTTTAAAACCATACAAGAATGCTGCTGACATATACCATATAATGTTAATGGAAGACCATAATATGTATCACCAAGTCTGAAGAAATAAACAAATAACCAAGTTTACAGTAGCTAGTTTCCTAGATAAGTCATTGCTAGAACACTTCTGTGATGGGTCCTCTACTCTAGGCACCGCTATGGAGCACCAAAGTGATAGTCACCACAATAATCCTTTCCCCACTCACTGTTTCTATTGCCCTCTGTTCCTAATTCTGCTCCAGTGTTAACCTGATCCAGCTGGGATCAAGCACGTACCTACTAATGGACCCAGAGACATAGATAACGTTCTCCCCCTGCTCTTCCCTTTGTAGCCCTGCTCCTTGTGGCCCATTGTCATTTAAGCTCCACTTAGCAAAACACAAATAGGTATCTGCAGATTCTCTTCAGAACAGTCCAAGTCCACCTGTAAACAACTCCTTTTTGGTCTTTTGGGCCCCAACATCACTCTCAATAGTGCAGACAGAAACAAACAAACCTTGAATTGTGCGTTAGTAAGTAATCAATAAAATATTTCCTAAATGGAACTAAGGAACATGAGCAACCCCAAGGAGCCATAAGAATAATTAAATTCCAGAAAATAAGTGTAGTAGTTTATTATGACTAAAGAGTGTAGAGCTATGAGAAAAAATAAAATGTCACTAGAAAGACAGGCAGGGGCAAATTATGACATGCCATGTATATCATGCTACTGAATTAGCATTTATGTGCCAAGTGAAGATGCTGAGTGATTTTGTGCCTGGGTAAGCAAACAGATTCTTGAGGACTTCAAGAATCAAAGCTTCAATATATTTAAACATCCAAAGCTCAGTGTGCTGAATGCTTGCCATAGTAAACACGATAGTTACCACAAAAGCTATCAACATATGATGTTATTTCCATATCTTAATTTCAATCAGAGTATAGCTTGGATTCGAGACAGTTGCAAGTTAAATTCCTAAGAATTCTAAAAAACAGGCAGTAAGCATAGCAAGTACTGCCTGTGTCTGAAGCTTAATTTAACAATTATTTGCTCTGAAATCTTGGAAAAATTATTTCACTTTCTTTAACCTTTAGTTCCCTCATCTATAAAACTACCAAAGTCATAGGGTAAAGCATTTAGCAAAATCCCTGGTACCTAATATGCACTTAACAGAGGTTTATTATTATTTTTATTATTATTGATATTAATAAAGAAAAGTAAGACCTAGATTTTCTACAAACATTGCAGCATATATTTTTTAAAGGTGTTTTCTTTTAATTAGCTGGAGTCAAAACTATTTGGGCTTTTCCGCTGATACTACTGAATCAACAGTGCCTTTGGATGCACAGATGAAGGCATGTGAGAATAAAAATATATCGGGGGGGGGAAGAAAAGAGTAGAAGCATGGAAAAGGATGAAATAATTCAAAGTAAAAAAGCAATGGGTTTACAAATAGAAAACTGTCATTTTTACAGGAATTTAAGTAAAGCATTACTAATAAAAGACCTTACATTTTTATCACTATCACTCATTTTACCCTTATTTTCGCTTAGTTAAGACCAGCTGTTATGGGCTGCACTGTATCCCCCCAAAAATTCATATGCTAAAGGTGAGGACTTCAACATTATGAATTTTGGGGGGAACACAGTACAGCCTAATGGCATTGCATTTGGAGATAGAACCTTTAAAGAGATAAGTCAGATAAAATGAAATCATATGGATAGGCCCTAATCTAATATAACTGATGTTCACATAAGAACAGGAGATTAGGACATAGACACACAAAGGAAAGCACATATGAAGACAAAGGGAAAAGACGGCCATCTGCAAGCCAAGGAGAAAGGTTCAGAAGAAACCAGTCCTGCGGCCACTAGAACTGTGAGAAAATAAATTACAATTTTTTAAGCCACCCAGTCTGCAGTATGTGTCATGACACCTCCAGTAAACTAATACACCAGCCAAACCCAAGAGACTCACGTTAATATAACCAAAGAGATCATTGCTAGACTAGAAAATCAAACACCTGAAATCCAGTTCCACAGTATGGCAACTTAAAATCGGAGTATCCCACATTAAATCAGTAATTTCTCTGTGCCTAGGTTTCCACATCTGAAAAACTAAATAATCTTTAAAATCTTATCAAGCACCAGCATTCTGGAGTTCTAGTATTCAATTCAGAGTCCTGTTTAAAATATGGTGCCCCTGACAGTTAATATACAAAGTAGCAATCTAAATACCGGAAGAGAGACTTGTTCTGATAAGTCAAGTAAATCTTCACAAAACACATCTTCTGCTTTCCAGGTAAAGGTAGAATTCCTTCTTGATTTCTGGTTTCAATAAGCAGGGAATACAGGAATTTCTGTCGAAAGTGTACATTCACTTATATATATTTTTATAGAGCTCACAAAAAGCAGTTGTTTATTTCATTAAGAAACACAATATAGCAAATAATATATAAAAACATGTTGGGAATAAGAGTACTCTCATTGTACTTAAAACAAACTCCAACATTTGATTCTAATAATTGTTTCCTCAACTCTGTAACGTTTTCAATTTTCCTTTCAAAGTATTTGCTGACAATAAAATGTATTTTAAATTTGTTGCCATATTGATTTCCATGAATTATTTAAGCAATTTTTGCCAGAGTAGGGAGAACAAGTTTTTCCCCAGTGGTCTGTGGTTTTTAAATTGTTGCTATTAATTCAATGTATCTGTTAGGATGAGGTTTACTGACATATAACCAGAAAACCCAAAGTATGAATGACTTGAACAATATAAAGGTTATGTGTGTGTATATATAGACACATATGTACACACATATGCACACATAGAGAGAAAAAGAGGGCATGCTAGAATATATTTTAGTTTCTTTCTATACTTCTAATGGTTCATCTAATTTAAAAATCTTAAAAATTTCAGAAATCTCCAGACCACTGATAGCCAATAAAAATACAGCGCAAGTCACAGATACAAGCCATATACATAACTTCAAACTTTCTATTAGCCACATGAAAAGAAAAATGTAAAATAAAACAGGTGAAATTAACTTGTATTAACTCAGTACATATACCCAAATATCCAAAATATCATTTCAAAATGTAGTAAATATTATGAAATTATTGAGATATTTTACATTTTTTTTACACCTAGCCCTCAAAATTAAGTGTGCATTTTATATTCTAAGGACATTTTAAATGCTCACTAGCCACATGTGTGGCTAGTGGCCGCCATGCTGGACCACACAGCTGTAGCCAGATCTAGCTTCTAGCCATCTTTCAAAACTCAACTCAAGCTTCATCACCTTTATAAAGACTTACCTTGACTTACTTGGTAGATTTCTTTTTTCAGTGTAGCCCACAATACCCTAATTGATTTCTATGATAGAATTTACACATCTCATTGCCCATATTTGTCACCCTCTACAACTCTATAAACTCCAGGGCAGAGACCTTATCTTGATCATTGTATCCGAAGTGCCTAGCTTTACATACGGTAAGTAATCAATAAAAGTTTGTGGGATAAAATGGATATGTGACCAGATATGAAGTTAGATTGAAAATGAATATACATATTTAGATCCAATAGACTGGTATTTATATGGGGGTGCGTGCAGGAGGAGGGGAAGCCACAGAGAAATAGCTAGGAGCAAAAGAATAGATCATCTGTGAGCTAAATATAGTAACCCACACTGAATAACTGAGTCAAAACTGGACAATGATATAATTTAATAACTTATGAGTGTATGTTAAACATTAATATCTGATCATATCCTGATAATAATATAAAGCAAAACTTTTATTAGACTTGTGGTTTTTTCTCAGGAATAAGCTACATTAATAGAGTCCCTCTTTAACAACTAATAACATGCCACAAGTGTGACACATCTAATTATTAAATTTTATTCCCATAAACAATCTTCCCACTAATACCGCTCTAATCTTTTTACATACACAGATAATAAATTAAGGTTCTAAAATATAAAATGCATACCGATCCAAAACTACAACCATTCTTTCGTTGGAATTCAAATCTCTGTTGTAAATGTCTATATCCTATATTTTCCAGCCAGGTCATCTTCAATTTATTTCAGAGTTTGGCAGCATAATTTTTCAATGTAATTGGGTTCAGCTGTCACACTGAGTGACAGTTTGTCATACAGTAACTAAAATATATTAGTTTATCTTTCAGAGTGCACATCACTAATAAGGTTAAACATTATTTCTAGGATAAAATACAGTCATTCATCACTTAACAACAGAGATACATTTTGAGAAATGTGTCATTAGT
The DNA here is from genome assembly GCF_000001405.40 of Homo sapiens. Lineage (NCBI taxonomy): Eukaryota > Metazoa > Chordata > Mammalia > Primates > Hominidae > Homo > Homo sapiens. The sequence goes on along the minus strand of NC_000013.11, from coordinate 34,960,805 downwards.
TGATTTTGTTGTTGTACAAATATCAGAGTGTACTTAGACAAACTTAGATGGAACAGCCCACATACATAGGCTCTATGGTATGGCCCATTGTTCCTAGGCTGCAAACCTGCACAGCATGTTACTGTATTGCATAAACAATTATAATTCAATAGTATTAATATATCCAAACATATCTAGACACAGAAAAGATACAGTAAAAATATACTATAAAAGATAAAACATGGTACACCTGTAGAGAACACTTAACATGAATGGAGCTTCCAAGACTGGAAGTTGCTCTGGGTGAGTCAGTGGTTGTGTGGTGAGTGAATGTGAAGGCCTAGGACATTACAATAACTACCACAGACTTTATAAAATGTATATACTTGAGCTACACTTAATTTACAAAAAAAAGTTTATTTCTTTAATATTAAAGTAAACTTAGCTTACTATAAACTTTTTTACTTTATAAACTTTCATTTTTTTAACTTTTTGACTTTTATAATAATTAGCTTAAAACACAAACACATTATATGACTATACAAAAATATTTTCTTTGTATCTTATTCTATAACCTTTTTCTATGTTTACTTTTTAACTTTTTAAACTTTTGTGTTAAAAACTAAGACACAAACACACACATTAGCCTAAACCTACGAAGTGTCAGGATCTTCAAGAACACTGTCTTCCACCGCCACATCATGTCCCACTGAAAAGTCTTCAGGGGCAACAACACCCATGGAGCTGTCATCTCTTATCATAACAATGCCTTCTTCTGGAATACCTCCTGCAAGACCTGCCTGAGGCTGTTTTACAGTTAACTTTTTTTTTAAGCTTGAGTTCTTGCTAAAATAATGATAAAAAGTACAGTATAGCAAATACATAAACCAGTAACATAGCTGCTTATTATCAAGTATTATGTACTGTACATAACTGTATGTGCTATACCTTTATACAACTAGCAGTGCAATAGGTTTGTTTACACCACCATCACCACAGTGAATGATGCATTGTGCTATGACATTATGATATCTCTGACTTCACTAGGAGATAAGAATTTTTCAGCTCCATCATAATCTTATGGGACCACCATTGTATATGTGGTCCATTGTAGACCAAAATGTCATTATGCAGCATCAGCAAATCTGACCAAAACCTATTCGCTCAACATACTCCCTATGACACTTATGGAAATGAGTACTTTTAAAAAGAAAAAATGCTTCTTCACAGCTACTCAACAGACTCCTAAAATAAGTATGTCAGTCACCCTAAAAATGAACATTTTTTTTTATCCTAAGGCCTGGATGAGAAACTGTTAATAGTTCAAAAGAATTTTATGACCATTCCAGGAATCTTGAACTGCTATGTAGTATTAATGAGGCCAAGGAAATGGAATTACATTGCCATTGGAATCTATACTTAGTATAGTCCAGTATTGAAAGACTGCACCTCCAATCCCACCCAAGCAGAGCTTCCTGTCTGCCAGGTGGACGACTTCCAACAACAACAGCAATGAAACAAGCATGTGAACAGATTAACACCTACGAAAAAAACATAAAATTCACACCTTAGAATATTTTATTCATAGCAATAGATACTCTAAAGAAACTTACAATATGAAAAGTAACATTTTGGTAAAAAAAAGAATCATTAAACCTCAACTCTTAAAAAACACGACAAATAAACATAGCACTTCATAATTAGTTACTGTATTATTACATATAATACTATTTGACCTGGCTTCTAAGGTATTTTTTCTGTAACATACTTTCAATTTTTATTGCAGATTAATGGAAAACTGTAACTCAATTTGCAGGAAGGAAAAAAACAATTCCTTTAGGAGGTGGTGAGGGGACAGGATATCCTTACAGAAAAAGAAAGGTTTGACATAATAGTGCTGCTACCAAAACAGTTAAGGAAAAATCCATATTCATGGTGATCCTGATCTTAGAATACTGAACTGTATCAGACCAACTTGAATTTTCTTCTCAGTTTTAGCAAGCCATTTAACTCTACTTTGATAAACTATTGCAATTCTTGGAAATCAAATTTTATGAGACTGCAAAAATTAGAAATAAGTTCCAAACACTCTCAGTTTACTTACTCTCATCCCTTCCTCCACCTTTTCTCTTATTCATTTTTCACAAATGCCCGGAGTTCTAGCTCCTACTCTCAAGGGCAGGCAGTAAAAACCAAAAGCACCTCCAGTCTCCCCAGGGCCTAAACTTACACCTATGCATTTAAACTATAACTCTATTCATGGTGTGAAATATCCTATTATTACTATTTCTTCAAATCCTGACCCAATTTTTAAAAAATTAATATGTATCAAATGTTTACTATATAACAGGCCTGACTTTACCAGGCATTAGAGGGTCTCCTCCCATTGTCACTTCCCCCAGTCAAAACTTAATCTGAATCTGTCCTCCCCTTCTTACTGATGAATATCCTCTAATTTCATTATAAATAAAAATGAATCGTTTTTGCTCCAAAGATAAAGGACAAGTGACTATTATAGTTCATAAAATCATGTAAAATATGAATTTGTCTCCCAAAGTCTCCAATATAAGACCTAACAACTGACTTACCTCAGTTAGAACAATGCTATCTAAAAGAAATATAATGTGAGGTACATATATAATTTTTAAAATTTAAGTAGTCACATTAAAAGAAATATAAACAGGTAAAATGAATTTTAATAAGTATGCTTTATTTATAATAAAATAACCTAAAGGCAATATATCTACAACATGTAACTAATATAAAACATTATTAATAAGATATATTTTTTAACTAAGTCTTTGAAATTCATTGTGTATTTTACACTTAAAGAACACTCAATTCTCAAAAGCCACATTATAAGCGCTCACCGCCACAAGAAATGGGCTTCCACACTGGATAGTATAGCTGTACACAAACAAAAAGAAGCAAACAAAGAGACAAATAAAGCTATAAATAGACTCAAAAGAGTTATAAATATATCCATGGCTGATAAGTCTTGCGTAAGTTATTTAAGATTAGCTAGGACTATAATAAAGGTAATAAATTTATGTTGTTTCTTAAAAATACAAAAACAAAGGGGTTGTAGCGAAAACACGTATCTTCAGAAGTTATATGTTATATAAAATAAGTTCAAATAGATATTGGTCATGCTCTCTAGAAGCCTATAAATAGACAGGTAGTATGAAAGATAAATAGAAGTTTTTGCTTTACCTTTTTTTAATGTTAAAATTCAGATTGTTTAATGTAACATGTTTACAATCTCTTAAGGAAAAGATGAATTACAGGTATTTTGCTTTAGATAAAGGAGGACTTGGGATAAAATCACTGCTGAATATTCAGTAAGGAAGTGAAATCATCAGGCTTAATCATACATAACAAATTAGTTTTGTTGTCCACAAATCGATTTTTAGGTGACAAAACAAAAATTATACATGTGTGAGTGTTCGTGGTCTTTCTTTTCCTGTGCCAGAATTCTGGCTTGGCCTGCTGAGTCTCTTCACCTCCCTCACCTTTTAAGACTGTCTTCCCAGTTTAATTATTTTAAGCTTTGTAATAAAGATGAAGGAAATGGAATACTATGAAAATACAGGGTTAGGGCTAGGTGTGGAGCAATACATAGAAGTTTCAAGATAAGAGAATCAAGAGTAGCTCTACTATGAGAACAAAACAAATGCAAGGGAAAAAATGAATTTTTAAATAAATATCACTATGGTGGGTATATATATGTGTGTGTGTATGTGTTTGTGTTTATACATATGTATGTATATATGTGTGTGTGTATATATATGTGTGTGTGTGTGTATATATATATATATTCCACATGATATTAAAGAAACAGAACTAAAGAATCTGAGTCCTGTAGAAATTACTTTTGGCTGGGTGCAGTGGCTCACACCTGTAAGCCCAACACTTTGGGAGGCCGAGGTGGGCGGATCACCCGAGGTTGGGAGAGGAGAAATGGAAGTTACTATTTAATGGGCACAGGATTTCAGTTTGGGAAGATGAAAAAATTCTGGACAAGGATGGTGATGATGGTTGAACAACAACGTGAAATCACTTAATGCCACCAAACTGTAAACTTTAAAATGGTTAAAATATACAGTGACTATGATTAACAATATTGTACTGTGTACTTCAAAATAACCAGAAGATTTTGAGTGTTCTTATCACAAAGAAATTATAAATAGTTGAGGTGATGGACATGCTAACTACCCCAATTTGATTTTTACACAATGTATACATGTATCAAAACATCACATTAGACCCCAGAAATACATACAATTATGTGTCAATTGAAAACAAAATTTTAAAAAGGGTTGAAATAAATTATATGTTATGTATATTTTACCTCTATAAAAAGATAAAGATATCAAGAATTTGAACATATCAGGCCAGCCTGGGAATAAACCTAATGACCAAAAAAAAAAAAAAAAACAACTTTCACTGACTTTCAAAACCATTGTTTTTTTGCTCTTATAAAAAATTGATTATTTGTATATAAATTTCATTTTTTATAAATGGAAAACACTAATTTCCTTAAAAAGTTAATCATCATTCACCTCAAAGACTACTGAAAATAAACGTAAATGCCAAATGTTAAAATGTTAATTTTCATCTATTCATCTTTACATTCTCTTCAGAATTACAATATACTCAAAATTAAAGTCGTCTTTTTTCTTTGCCAGTGAGTCTCATTCATTTTTGTACTTCATTCATTTGATATTTATTAAATGCCTACCATGTGCACAGGTTTATAATTTTTCTGCAATGGGTATAACAATATATCTTTCAACAGTCAAATAAAAGGGAGAGTTGATAGAAAAAATACATACCTCTTATGATGGTTAATTTTAGGTGTCAACTTAACTGGGCCAGAGAATGCCCATGTATTTCATTAAATATTATTCTGAATGTCTGTGAGGGTGTTTTTGAATGAGATTAGCATTTGCATTAGTATACTGTATAAACAGATTGCCCTCCCTAATGTGGATGGGCCTCATTCAACCAATCAGTTGAAGGCCTAAACAGAACAAAAGGCTGACCCTCCTACAAGAAGGGGTAATTAACTCCTCCTAACTGAAAGATATGAATGGTCAACTGTACTACTAGAATTTTAAAAAAAAATGATTTCTACAAAAAGAAATAAAGTTGATTTAATTTACTGTAGTCTATAGTTAGCATTAAGGCAAAAAACCATGAAAACACTCTTTCGTGGCTCTTGTCACTGTGCAAGCTATCCCTTTGTGGAAAGCTGTTCTTTTCCTGCTCTTTTAATCCTGGAACAGTTACTTGTCCTTCGAGATCCCTTTCACAAGACGTCTACCCATGAAGCCTTCCCAACTCCTCCAAGGAAAGTTAGGAGCTCCATTAATGTTCCCACAGCACTTTGTTTCTATCTCTACAATATCACTTTCATCCATTATAATTTATCTGTTTATTCTTCCATTCCCTGTTCTGAATTTCAAGTTATTTGAAGGTATGAATTATGTTACTCTTTTATGTACCCAAGAAGTATCTTGACTCTAGCAATAGCACACTAGATTAGGATTAATCAGTAATTTATTTAACTATCATTTTAAGTATTCTGAGCCTGCTGGAGTAAAAACGGAAGTTTCCATATGAAAGTTATAAAGCAGAAACTGAGCTTAAGCAAAGTAGAACTACAGTCATCAAGATAAAATGAAAAAAGAACTGGACGAAGGGTCAGGGAATCTGGGTGTTAATTCCTAGTCTGTGAAGGACCATAGAATCTTAACCTACCTGGTTCTCAGTTTCCTCATCTATGCAAGTGAAAGAGTCAGGCCATTGACCAGATCCAAAAACACTCTGACTCCTTACCAGTCTCAAATATCCAGAAAACTTTTTTTAAAATATAAACCATGTATTTACAGTGGACCCTCTGTATCCATGAGTTCTACATCCATAGATTCAACCAATAGGGGATCGAAAATATTTCTTTTAAAAAATAGATGGTTGCATCTGTATTGAACATGTACATTTTTTCTTGTCACTTCCCTCAACACTGCAACAGAACAACTATTTACCTAGCATTTACACTGCATTAGGTATTATAAGTAATCTGGAGATGATTTGAAGTATATGAGAAGATATTCATTGGTTATATGCAAATACTATGCCATTTTATACAAACGACTTGAGCATCCATGGATTTTGGTATCCTGAGGGGTCCTGAAACCAATCTTCCATGGATACCAAGGGACAACTGCATACATGTAGGTACACCAATCATCCCCCACTCAAAAATAAAAACTGAAATGTTAAAGCAAGAGGAAAATGTAGAAATTAAAAGAATCAGAATAGCCTGCAAAGATAAGATTTGTGCCGAAGCTGAATATGACTGAAACAAGCAAACTAACTATACCAAAGATGAGAGAAAATATCCACAGTAAAGTTCACTAAACACCACAAAATGCCAGATACTATGTTAAATACTCATAATAGCAAGGTAAGATAATGTGCTGATCCTCAAAAGATTCAGAGCCTCTAGTGCAGTCTGATAAGTAAACAAACACAGTTGTCCCTTGATATCTCTGGGGGATTGGTTCCAGGGCCCCCTGTGGTTACCAAAATCCATAGATTCCCAAGTTCCTGGTATACAATGGTATAGTATTTGCACATAACCTATGCACACCCTCCTGTATACTTTAACTCCTCTCCAGATAATACCTAATACAATGTAAATGCTATGTAAATAGTTCTATACTATATTCTTTAGGGCAGCGATCCCCAACCTTTTTGGCACCAGGAGCCAGTTTCATGGAAGACAATTTTTCCATGAATAGGGGGGTTCAGGGGGAATGGTTTTGGGATGAAACTGTTCCACCTCAGATCATCAGGCATTAGATTTTCATAAGGAGCGCACAACCTAGATCCCTTGCTTGCGCAGTTCATGATAGGGTTTGCTCTCCTTTGAGAATCTAACGGCACTGCTGATCTGACAGGAGGCAGAGCTCAGGTGGTAATGCTCGCTCACCCATGGCCCACTTTCTGCTGTGCGGCCCAGTTCCTAACAGGTCCGTGGCCCAGGGGTTGGGAACCCCTGGTTTAGAGAATAATGACAAGATTAAAAAGTCTATACATGTTTAGTATGGATGCAACCATCCATTTTTTTCTCATATATTTTCTATCCAAACTGAATTCACGGATATGGAACCCATGGATACAGAGGGCCAACTGTAATTTAAAATAGAATGTGTGGGTACTAAATCTGAAATATGTATAAAATTCTATGGGAAAGTACATGTTGGGAGGAATAGCTTTTAGGGGAATATCAGGGAAGACGTCACTTAAATAGGGGTAAGAGCTAAATCTTGAAAGATGAGCTGTTCTTTAGACAAAAGATGGAAGAATATGATGACTTGAGAAATGTAACAACTATCAAGTAACAGTCAATATATTATAATAAAAGGAACATTCTTGTACTGATAACTCATATCTCCTAAGGTTAAAAAAATTTAAATACTTCATTTAAAGTCAAGGACTTTGAAAGGGGGATCAAGTTATAAAGAATTAGTATAAATTAAGTGAAATAATTCTATGACATTTTATAATCAAGTATCGTTTATATATTCAGAGTTGAAAACACTTGTCTTTTAAGACAGCAGACTTGCTTAGCTTAAAAAGACAATTACTTTATTTCACTGAATATTTCACAATATAGGTCAAGATGATTAAATAAGATAACATAGGTCATATGCTTAACACAGTGCCTGACATGTAAAGATTCTATCACTGTCATCATCATCATTATCAAAGGTAATGGTGTATTTAAATAGCAAAACTTGGAAATGGAAGATCCAACTTTGGATCTCATTCTGCTACTAAGCAATTTTGCCATCTTGGACAAGCTCCTTAACCTCAGTTATAGATTAGTTATTATTTCAAAGGAGTTGGAAGAGGACATTAAAAACATAAGATATGAACCCAAACCCAATCTATAAATGCCAATTCCCTTCCCAAATGTAAAAAAATTAAATAACATAAAAATATTTATATACCATCTTTTAATCTGCTGCGTTATTTTTCTCAGAAAATGAAAGTATTTGCTAAAGAGAAATATATCTAGATATTTTTACTCCCATAAAATTTGCTATTAACCAATGTTTGCTCTATCTTCATAAACTGAAAGAGAAATCACAATTATTAGAAATTATATTACCCAGATGCTAGTATAATTCCTTCTATAACTCATTTGTTTTATTCAAGCAAATATGGTATATACAGTGGTTCAAATAATTACCTCCAATATATAACAAGAAAATCACGAATTTACTTTTTCTGTATAATATATTAATGCATACTACTATTCTGGTTCAGAGTAATCCCTCAAGTATCCACATTATACCCAGTGAAAATGTATAAAATTCAAAGCCATTTACCACATAACCAATTATTTCCTAAAACTCAAATATTAATAACTCATGGTACAGTTCTTGCTAAGTCACTTTAGTGTACAAATCCATTCAATTGACCTGCATTCATTTTTAATTTCCTCTGAATAGCCTGTCCTAAGTTGTCTATGGGACACATTCCCTACCAGAGAATCAACTCACTGAGGCTGGCTGGTCCCTCCCCTTCCAACATCATCTCTTCATACATGCTGTTTTTGGGATAATTTCTAAGTACTAGCTACATTTGCTTAGTAATGGGAAAGAACTCTAGCTTTGGAACCTGAAGGTCTGAGTCCCAGCTGTGCTACTTAGTACCTAGATAACCTTGTCTAATTACTTCACATTTTCTACAGCCTTAGTTTCTACATATGTAAAGCAGGAATGGTATCTATAAAAGGAAATTATTCTGAGGGTTAGAGGACACTGCTGTGTTCAATTCCGCAAGTGTACTGTAAATAGTTAAGAGCTATTAAACTATAGGCTAATGTTAGTTTCTAAAATAGTCATAAATTAGTTTTTAATCCTTTAACTTGCCCCTTAGACTTGTTACCCAAGTAGTCTTCTAAATATTTAAGCAAATACTCCCAGAGGGAGTTACTATTTGCCTTGGATCACCATTCATGTCTTACTACATCAACATGTGAAAGTCAGCCCTGTGAGAGAAGAGATGGAAGAGACTCCACACAAAGGAACTGGTGTTACCTCTTGCCTCTTCCATCCCCAGTTTCTCACCCTCCTCATGCAAAGTAAGAAATCAGAAAAACTACCTCAGGCACTGATAAAGACTATGCAGGATTCAAGACAACAGATGTCCTGTGCTTCAGCAGGAGATCATGATCTGTGTGTACCTAAGAGTCCCCTCCCTGACAGGTCACTAGGCTCAGGTACTCCAAGCTAAAATAGGACAGATCACTTTCAGTTAGGTCATTACTTCTTTCTATGGTCAGGTGATTCTCAGGACCAAGGTAATAACTAAAACAACAATAGTAAGTACTAACTAAAGTTTACTATATACCAAGCACTTTACATATATTAACCCATTTAATCTGTACAACCTGTATATCTATCTTATAAGGTTGAAATCCCATTTTACACACAAAGAAACTGAGGCACAGAATGTTTTAATAGCTGTATGTTATTTCATAACATGGATGTAAAAATAATATATTTAATGTTTTCCTATTGTTGAACATTTAAGTTGTTGCCACATGTTATATCATAAAAATACACTTAATTTTCATACCTGTCCACAGGTATTTTTTTCCTTAGCCTAAAGAACTAAGAATAAATTATAGGAACCTCTTTAAAATCCTTGATACATATTGGTAAAATGTCACTCGGAATAGCTGTAACAGTTTACGAGCCCAGAAAGAGCATTTAAGATTATTTTAACTTGCCCTAGCAAACAATCATCATTTCTTTTTTTGTGAGACAGGATCTTACTCCATCACCCAGGCTGGAATGCAGTGACGTGATCACAGCTCACTGCAGACTCAACCTCCAGGGTTGTTGCTTAGGTTGGTCTTGAACTCCCTGGCTCAAGCAATCCTCCCACCTCAGACTCCCAAAGTGCTGGAATTACAGGCATGAGCCACCATGACCAGCTGGTCATTTCTTTTTAATCACTTCCTTTTCATGTTATCTGTTGCCTTATGTTCTTATTTAGCCAAAGTGAGTATTTTTATATTAATTAAACATGTATATTTCTTCTTTCTTGAAATATATCAAGTTCTTTGACAAGTAAACATTTTTCTTATGCTTCGTCCTGTAATATTTAATACCTAAAGTATTTAAAATTTTTTTAATTTAGAATATTAGAAATTAAATATTTCTAAATATTTAATTTAGAAAATTAGAATATTCTAAATTTTTTAATTTAGAATATTAGAATATTTAATTTAAACATTAGTATTTAAATATTTTTTAATTTAGAATATTGGGGCACAAATGGATAGAAACCCAACTCAAACTGGCTTAAGGCAAAATGATGCACTGAAACATCTGGAGATAAAACTGACTTGAGGGGATCCAAAGCTGCCATCAGCAATGTATGGCTTGGTTTTAGGTGCCTCTTTAACAGCTCTGTTCTCAAGTAGAATCTGACTTCATGGTGCAGACTGCAATCAATTCTAGACTTACATTCTAACATTTTCAGCAACCCCAGCGAAAGCACCTTTTTCTTTCTTCAGAAAGAAGTTATCAAGCTGTCTCAGAAATGCAGCTAAATTTTATAACCAATACCAGTTACTGTTGGGCCAGACGTCAGTTTCTCTGTCTGGTCCAGGAAAGCAGGATAAAGTCCAGTGAAGCCCCAGACCATAAAAATCAAGAATGACTCCCTAAAAGAGTATCAAAAAATCGAGAATGTTAACAGCAGAAAGAATGGATGCTAGGCAGCCAAAACCGTCAGAAATCTATAACATTAGAGTCCTTGGCTACCCACCCATCTCAGACACTCACTTCTTTTCATACATATAACTACTTAAATATCCATGTTTAACATGGCTATCTTAGACACAATAGAAAGTGTACTTACCACCTTACCAGAGGGTGAAAAAAGACAAAGACAAATTACTGCATCTAACCTCAAGTCTGAAATTTTTGTGTTATGACAATATTCTTCTTGGTGGTACCTCAAACCTGACCAATTATATAGCTATATAATGAATTTAACTATAACTTCTAATTAATATACAATGGTAAAAGAACATTAAGAAACAATAACTGCACTTAGAAGACTGGAGAAGGTTAAAGAAACACCATGATAACTAATTTCAAAGCATAAACCATATATCATTGGTCAGAGTAACAAGAATTCCCTGTCCTTGCTAATGGAATTCCTTGGGTCGGCCAAAATGAACACATTCACTACCACTATATCTCAGAAGATCTCACTTATTAGCCTCCATAACGCAGATTTTCCTTCTAGCAGCTACACTGCTGGAGCTTAGAATTGCCTTAGAAGTAAAAGAATGCAGGCCTTTGTTTACCAGGCTTGAGGTTTCTCTAGAAGTATGGCTTCCTTAAACTTTGGTAAGTTTTTCGTCAATTTACTTAAGTAAAAGGAGTTGAATTCGCAACCAAAACAGGAGATCCTGTCAGGATCTTGTCAGCTTTTAAGTTTCAGTCTCATAGCAATAGGCCTTCCCAGTACTCTTATCCCCTTAACCGTCAGCTTAATGATCTTCCTTGAAGCAATGTGAAACAATAAACTGGGTGAGGAGGCACAGCTATTCTATCACTTGCTCCCTGGTTGCATCCTATTTTAAAGCTCTTCACAACTGGATTACTGTTACTTTGGTCAGAAGGCTGGCGTATACTGCATGCGAGGCTTGGGAGAAGCTTATCAGACAGAACTTTATTTGGTTCTCATTTAAACTCTTGGCTTTCCTCTTGCCAACTTTAGCACGGGGTAAAAACTTAGGCCTTTATGACCTACAAAGCTTTAATATTCTAATTCTCTGCTATCTTGGATGGCAGCTACAGGCAGAAAGAGCCTCTCTGCCTTGGAAAGGCTACATTTTCTTTCTGCTTTGCTTTCAAGCATGCTAACTTGGACCGAAGTTAACTGCTCTCTTAAAAGACATTGTATCAAAGACCCCAAAAAGTGACCAAAACATTCCAACATCCCTAAAATTCCAACCTCAGTAGTTCCATTGACAAAGATAACACAGGTGACAATTTAAACAGCTGCTCTGTAAAACGGAACTGCTAGAGGACCACAAAGTTCTCACTGCCTTCCACTCCATTTCAAAATCTAAGGTCTGTTTCCTACAATGTGTCATTTCCAGATACTAATGTCTATGTTACTGGGGATTCCTTCTATTTACAAGTGACAAAAAACCCAACTTACACTGATTTGAAATAAATAACAATAGTAAATTTTAAAGGAGATAATTTAATGGTTAGAAGATAATCACCACAGACATAAAGAACTCTAGGTTCTCCAACAGAATCATGAGGTTGTTTGCTTTACACCTGATCAAATTCTAAGACAGGGACCTACAACTCTTAAGAATTTACACATTCAGCATCCCCATCAGAAAGCCTTCCAGCACAATTCCTGGAACCTACTCTGGCTCGCTACCCTTGGGTTAAATGTTTGTCCCTGAACCAATCACCACAATTCTTGCCACACCTAGGTTAGATGTCTGACCCTCAAGGCAGGCAGTGGGGTAGACCCACCTAAACCAGCTGAACTACAAATGGGGAATAAGTGAGTCATCAAAGGAAAACTGAGGTACCACTACAAAGAGGTGACATGTACGCCAGACACACAAAAACAAGAGATGTCCACTATTCTTGGCAATATGACAAATGCTAACAATATTTTCTACAATTTCTCTTCAATGCATTACGTATTTTCTTTGTTAACAACATGACCTTGTTATGTGATTATATTTGATTATACATAAAAGTTTACTGAAAAGTTTTTACCAGATTCGAACTTACTAACAGATGCCAGTTCAAAATAACATCTACATATGCAGTAATGCCTACACAGTCAGGTAATATCATACACATTGAACACATATTTCTAGTTTGAGGAATAAGAAATACATAAAGTTTATATGAGTTGACTTTATATATGAGTTTATTTCAGGATCCTAAGTCTGGACCGTAATGTTGAACATAACTTCAGAAACTGACCATAATCATTACTGCCTAATACAGTGTCCTGCACACTACAAACGCACTTAACTTATCCAAGGCCTAGAAATACAAAAAATAAATATACATAAAATCAATTCCTGCCCTCATGGAGTTCACAGCCTAGGAAGGGAAACACACATAAATAACTGCAATGCTACAGGGTGATATGTGATGCCAAAGAGATATGCTGACATTGTATAAAGACAAGAAATGGAAAACCTGGAACTAATGCATAACAATATGTTCAGTATATAGTTAAAAAAAAAATGCAGGTGACTGAATTTTATAATACAGCTATACCAGTGACACAAAACGGGCACTGGGTCTGTTAGACCCAATAAATTATTTCACACTGTTTGGGAAAAGTATAGCAAAAGAATAAAGAACCTTGAGATATTTTTAATTAGCAGCATAGTATTTACCAAAAAGCAGCTAGCAATACACAAAACATTTATTTAAAATTAATATAACTTGATCGTTGACTGACCACAGAATATTTGCTGCCTTAGTGTCATTATGTGACTAAATTAATATTTCTAAGGAAAATCTCAAAACTCCTTAAGATATTGAAACCTCGAGCATTTACATATGAATCCTGAATTTTATTTTCCATACCCAATCATGAGAATAAAATACAACTCAAATTAATATGAAAAGGCTTATATATCAACATAAATTAAAATGCAGGAAATTATTTTAATATAAATGTGGTTTTATTAGTATTAAGGACCTCCATGATTCTAAGATGCAACTGTATATTTTTTAAATAAATATAATTCAAATGCAGAAGACACCTTGTTTGTAAAATTCTAAATATCTTTAAAATGAAAATTATGACTATCAAGCTGCAAATTTAAAAAAACTCTAAGGAAGAAGAGTTACTGCCATATTCAAGTACAAAAAAAAAAAAAACCTTAAAGTTACCCTTTTAACAAAAATACCATGATCCATAAGCCAAGATGAGAGAAATTTGGTAAACCACAAATCCCTTCAAAGCATCTTATTAGGCTTCCAGTTCAGCCAACAGCATGCCACTTAGAATGTAAAAAAAAAAAAAAATCAGAGGAAATATCATTTTCTACAACTGGACACACTGATATAACTCACTGTAACTCATGAAAAAAAACTACAAATCCATGAAAAAATTTCATGAAAAAATTTCATGAATTCAGTTATTCATAAAAAATTTGTCTATAATTAAATTCCATAATTATAATCATAGAATTATACTATACACATAAGAAAGCCATTCCAAAAAAATTATGAATTCTTTCACTAAGTAAATATTAATCCTCTATTATAAACATATTTTTCTAGAAATTTATGTTTATAAAAGAAACTTCCATGTTATAAGCAACAATAACACGATACTTACATAGCTTTTACTTCAAATATGGATAAAGCTTATATAAACATATGTTAAGTGTGTTTACAAAAGAAGTAATAGATTAGGTAGTACGCCAGTTTTACAACTGAAAACAATCAACAAAATCTCTTCTCTGTAGTTAAATTCTCTTATATTGCCACTTTAAATAATTCCTCCAGAAGCCAAACTTTGTTAACGATCAGTTTCTTTCATTAGTAGAGCTACAATGCAAAATCCTTGACAATGCACTCTGACTGTAACTTTATTCACAAACTAATTTACCTACCTTCCTAACATTATCCATTCCATATTTCACTGTTTTAAGTCAACTATAACATCATTATACAAAATACATACATCTCTAATAAAAATGACTAATTTTATATCATATCACATTGGTGATTCCTCACCAAACTCCCACAATCCACCTAGTAGTAAAAATAGGTCTCTAGACCTTTGGGAAACAAAGCAGAAAAATTACAGCCACCGCTCTGTTGAAGAAGTCCTACACTTTAGTGCATGCTTAAAACTTCACTCTGCCCAGCTTTTAATTCTTTGGCCAAGGCATGTGAGAAACAGCACCTAAAAACCAAGTATTTATGAGTATCCTTACATAGGAAGAAAAAATAAACAGGAAAAAGAAAGAAAAATATACTGACAAAGGCGACTGAGACAAAGGTATTGTTTAAGGTAGAAACTCCTCTTTTTTTTGAAGTTTCATTAGTTCTCCTTTCTTTTCTGTCATTCAGGGCACAGTAATAGGTATTTCACTATTTCACCTTACATTTTTATTTAATGTGTTAAACTAAAACTGAAAATTTTAAAAAATCATTTTAGATTTAATATTAAAGGTTTCCAAACTCTAACGAGTCACTGAGTGTCCTATATGAATTTTATTGGTTTACTTACTAAATAAATAGAATTAAGTTTGATAATCAGTTTTTTAAATGCCCATGACTTCCACATATTTTTGAGAATCCACTTAAATTTTCATATGACATTTTCATGAGTGTATTGGACAATAAAGCCCTAAATCTACAGTTCAAGAAAATTACACTTCAAATGACTAATTTATACTCCACAATTAATATAATTAACAACTTAGTAATAAACAGCTCCTTTTGTCATTTATTCTTTTCTCCAAAAGTTTCTATTTAAAAATCTATTGCATTCTTTAAATACATACAAAGAAATTTTAAACCTAACTCTTTAAATTCCAAATATCATTGCAGTTACAAAATCTTAGGTAGATTTGGGGATATACTATCTCAGTATTACTTTATTTCTAGTGACTCTAAGCTTAATGGTAAAGTTCTCTAAAATAACGTCTGCATACTGAAACTTCATGTCAGATTTTCATTGCTCTGAAGAGTTAAATTTCTTTTTTATCTCAAGAGAAACATTTCACTTCCTTTCTTAGTCTACCGTATATCTAAAAAACCCCATCTGTTAAGAACTGATTCAGCACACATTGCTACTGCTGCAGAGTCCAAACTGGTTATACATTCAAATCAGTTTCCAGGTTGTGAAAGCTCTACTGCCTCTTACCAGGTTAAAATGTATTAAGTAAGCATAGGAATACTTACTAAAATAGCCTAATATAATCTAACTTAAAAATGATATTGGTTAGATCAAAACTGCAACTAAAAATGTGTTCCTTTAAATTACAGAAATACAGTTACCTGCTAACATACTAACAGTTTGAGATTTATCTTCTTTTAAAAAGAAATGGCAAGTACTGACCTCTTATTTGCAGCTAGTTAAAATTAAAACTCAAGAAAACTGTATTTCTAGTAGTGTTCTGAAAAGAACTTGGTTATATCAACTTAGTGACATTCCCTCAAACTTACACTGACTTTTCATGATGATTTATTTGAAAGGTACAAAAAAGTAAAAAGAGGTGTTTTGTTTTAAACAGCAATGAATATAACAAAGACAGATAATCTCCTTTGACCTGACACACTAGCAAAAGGAAAAAAACAGCTTCAACTTTTCTGTGCATTTACGAGGTTCATAAACCGTAGACATTATCTAATGCATGTCTCAGGACACCACTGATGTAGCTGCAGCTTTCTCTCAGTTTTCCAATAGAGTAAGTAAAAATAATTGCTTAGCTGAAAAATGACTGCATGGGTGTTACAAAGTACCCCTGTAAGCATATTGTTATATTCCTGTGACCCCACACCAAATACAATACTCAACTGATTGCTCTCGATTTATGTCTTGCCTCCCAAAGCCCAACCTTACAGTATGTCAAAGACTAGATCTATTGCAGAGAAAACTGTTTAAAAAGCTTGGCTGCATTTAAAAACAAAACAAAACAAAACAAAACCTCCATTTACAAAGCACTAAATATGAACTACTGTTAATTATCCTCAATGTATGATTCTCCTCTCCTTCTTTCCATTTCTTTCCCTGACATCTTAAACGCTTCTGAGCCTCTCTGTAGATAGCGCAAAACATTAAGTCATACACACTTCTGCAGTAACTCTTTCTTACCATGAAAGGAACCAAAACCTAGGGCTGCGTTTAAAACCTTTCCTTTAGTCTTTACCCACATGCCACACTACTGAAAGTAACCACAGAAATCAACCTGTGTGATTTGGTGTCCTCACACACCTTGTGTGCACAAAAAATGACTAAGAGATCAGTATATTCAGGGCAATATTACAAAGAAGGGACGGCTGCTTCTGAGATGGAGGGGGATGGATACAGACACAACACTCTCCATCATGGCCTTGGAATATTTAAAGACAGATGCAAAACTGCATCATTTTCTGTCTCCTTCGAAAACATCACACCCCAGCTGCTCAAGTTGGAAGCTAATGCGCTTCTCACATTTCAGCAGCACGGGGGAATTTAGGCTCCAGGGGCAAGGCTGTCATCCTCGGAGAGCGACACCAAGGACAATTAAGTGTGAGAAAAAGAACCCCAGAGAACAGGAGGCCTCCTCACCTCCTAACTAAACTCTAAAGTCGACCCAAAACCTTCACCGCGGGTACTGGGTTACTCGCGGTCCTAAAAAGTGAGAAGAAGCGGTGTTAAGTTGGGCACTGCGCTCAGGTGGCAGGAGAGGACCAGAAAGAGGAGAGGAGGGAGGTGGCGTGGCTCTAGCAGCGCGCAGGCAGGTCACCCGCTGGGCAATACCGGCTGAACGCTCTGCGCTCCCAGGGACGCGCGGCGCGTGTGACCCTGGGGGTGAAGGGTGGGAGGGAAAGGCGCTGGGGACGGTGTATGTGGGGACTGGGGAAGCAGATTGAGAGCACGCCTTTTCCTTACCAGGTTGAGCACCGTCTCCACGATGTCCCTGTTGCTGACCTCTCCGACCTGTATGAGTCCAATCAACACTGCGAATTTCATCCGGATGTTGCGGATCGGCACCGAAGGGTTAATCATCCCCGCGGGGAGCATCACCGAGCCGGAGCCGGACGCCCCCCTTAGCTCCCCCATCCCGCTGCCCCCGGTGCCGCCACCACCGCTGCCCCCGCCGCCTCCGCCAGCGGCCCCGACGGCAATGAGCCCCACGGGCTGAGGCTCGAGCCCCGGGCCCGGGCCCGGCTTCTCGCTAGCCATTGGCCCCCCTCCTGAGGAGAAGGGAAGAGCAGCGGCGCTGCCGCCGCCGGTACCGTTATACCTGCCTCGGCCCCCGCCCCCCGGCCGTCGCCTCGGAGCCCCAGCATCCACCAGCGCCGCGGCGCCGGGCCCGCTCCCCGCCTGCGCCTCAGCCCGGCCCGCTCCGGCGCTCTCCCCCGCGGAGGCGGCGGGGGATCCGCAGGCTTATTCTCGGCGGTGGCGGTACCGCTAACCGCTGCCGGGCAAGCGGCTGTGCCCGCCCAGCAGGTGTGCCGCTGCCGCTGCCGCTGCCGCCGCCGCTGCCTCTGCTCTCTCCCTCTCCCGGTCTGTCCGGCCCGGCCCGCCCCCCGCGGAGATGCTGCAGCCGCTCCGAGAAGCCCGAGGACGCGAGCAGCTGGCCACGACGCTGGCCGGTGCTGAAGCTCAGGCTGTGGCCGATGCTATTGACGCTGCTGCCGCCGCTGCTACGGCCACCACTGTTGTTGTGAAGCCCCGACGCCGCCGCTCACTCCGCCATGTTGCCGCCCCCTGCCTGCGGTAGCAGCCACTGCGCCTGCGCACAGCCTCCGGGGGGGCGGAGCCCTCGGTGCACCCCCTCTTTTGCCCTGCCCTCCTTCTCTTCCCACCCACCCACCCCGACACCCCTCGTCCCTCCCCCAACCACCCCGAACGGATAGACAGGTGAGCAGGTGCATGGGGACTGCTGCCAGACACTGGGGCAAGCTGGCAGAGGCGGGGCGGGTAGTGGCTTCCTTGTGGTTTTTCCCTTGAGGGCGGATTCTCCCTTTGGGGAAGGACACAGTGTGCATGTCTTGCCTTCGCTGCCACCTCCTCCTTCTCTCAATATCCTCTTGCTGGGAGGAGGTTCCTCATCTCAGTTGTTGCATCCAGCTGCTGCTACTGCCAGTGCCACGTGCCTTGTAAGGTAGGGGAGTGGCAGACGACCTCTTTCTGCCCCTCCTCGCCCTTCCTCGCAGTCCTGTCCGCCTGCCCTCCCTAGAATTTCCCAAAGAAAAAGTGGCTGGCAAAGCAGAAACAAACGCGCGGGGGGGCGGGGGGGCGATCCTGCATTGTCGGGGGAAGAATACAGACGGAGTGTAATGGTGCTTTTTCTACAGCCATGAAAGAGGCTGACACCTGCACACTCAGGCACGACTTAAAATAGAACTTGTCAAACAGTGATCCTCTCTGGATCAAGCTCGGAACAACAAACAGCTCTTGAACTCGCCTCCCAGCCTAAAAAGACTGCAGTGTGTGACACTGTGGGGTAGTTTGGTGGGAACGACAAATCCCACACTTTCAAAATCCTGACAATCCTCAGGTATGATGCCAATTATTAATGTTTCCTTTTTTCACAGGCACGTACAATTCAGAGGACTTTCGAAATTATCTAAAAACATGGGTGATTCTCACTGCCAGCCTTGTCTGTGAGAAAAGTACATATCTATGTCTGCACAGATACGAGACAAAAAATAAACCTTTAATTTTTAAAAATTAAAATGTACACAGTAATCTTGCTGTTAGTATTGAATTAAAACTAAATAGGCATGACTGTTCCTTGAAAGGAATGATATAATTTTCTTTAATATTTCATGAGGTCTTCCCTTTTCAATAAAGATTATTGCAAGTCACCAGAAATATTAGGTATCTTGAGGTATATTCAGATCGTTTTAATTGTCCTCTCAAATGAAAAAGGTCAATATACAAATCCACCATAATCAGTTTTGTTATTATTCATATTTAATTGGACCTGCCAGTCAAGTTAACTCCCAGGATATGGGAACACGGTAAAATTCTAAGTACCACAGGTTATAAAAAAGTTCCTCAAAACCAGTACTTAGGATGAATTCTTGGTTGCATGTCTGTTTGTTTAAACTTGCACCAAAGTGATTGAATTGTTAAAGTAGTTAAGCAAACACTTCTGAAAGCAGTGGTAACTAGCATGTCCATTTAAATTAAATGGCAATTGAATTATAAAATGCTAGAATGCTTGAAACTGTACGGGAAATTTACAAAACATACAAGTCATAATAGTATGACTTGAGATATACTATATAATTGAAAAATCCTGTAACGTTTATATCCTTCTACTACATTTTTGTCTGTCCCAAGTGAGTATCATCTGCTTTTAAGAGTACTGTTTCATTTGCAAATTTAAAATGATATCTTTGTAAAATACATAAATCTAGACTGAAAGGTTGTCACACTAAGTTTTTTTACCCACTGTGCATATATCTATATGGCAGCAGGTTCTACCTTTTGCTATTTTTAGACTTCTTGCATGAGTACTTTGAGAGACAGTGACAACCTGAACTTTCTATTTCCTTTCTGAATGAATAGCTTAACATCATTTTTAACATTTCCATTTTGATTTTTCTTGTATTTTTTCTTAAGTAGTATGTATATGCAGTTGGTTGTATTTTTCTGCTCATTTTTCTTAGTGAAGATAGTGAGTGGGTAAAGATAATATCACCATTTCTAAGTAGGAAAACTCCACTTCTTTTGCCTACTTAATTCAATTTCAGAGATATTTAAAAGAGCTTACCAATTAAAAATCTTTCTCCAGTAGACAATCAGCTCCTCGCAGGCGCTATGATACTGTGGAAAGTGCATGATTCTTTGAGTCATAGTTACAACTTACTACCTTTGCAGTCTACTCAAGCTATTTGAGTTTCAGTCTCCTGGTTCCTTAAGTAGGAATGATAATATGTGTTTCATAGGGAAGTAAGAATTCCATAAAATAATTTCAGCTGAGCAGCTAGCATATAGTCAATGTGTCTTTGTGTCCTTAGTATACAGGCATGTGTGTTGCATGACCTATAAACACATGTAATACCAATTATAACCACATACAAGTCTGCATAATTGCACAGTTATATGTCTTCCATACCATCCCAAAAGCATAAAGTTCAGAAAAGTCAACAGGTCTATTTCTTTTTGGCCTACAAAACCTTTTCCCGGAAAATGTGCAAATAACTTTACATTTACATTAACAATATTTTGAAAGAAAAGCTACATAATAATAGAAGATACCCAATATGTATATTTTTAAATCTCCAGATTAAAAAATATATTTTATGTGGTGAATATTAATTTTGTATGCATTTTTGCATACCCATACTTCCTAAGGACAATCATTCAAAGATAAGAAACCTGTGAATCTGAGTTTCAGGAAGCAATATTGCAGAGAGGTTGAGAAGTCATGCCCCAGATTCAATGGAAGCTGGATTTAGATTCTAGTTCCACCACCACTTATATGTGTGATGTTGGGAAAATGACTTTAGCTTCAAAGCTTCAGTTTACTCAACCCAAAGTAAGGATGATAATACTACTTTATAGGATTAAAGGAGCTAATACATTTAACGTACTTAATGTAGTAGTAAGTGGCAATCAATAATGTTTCCCTTCATTGGCTGCCGGAAAATACCCACAGTTATTTTGTGTCATTATTTTTGGGTTTTTTTTTTTTTTGCACCTACCTTGCCTGACATAATTTACATTGAATAAATATGTTCAAAAATGAATGGATGGAAACAGCCGTTCTCCACACTATTCCCGTTTCCTTCACCTGTTCTTTAAAGAACACATTTCTTGCTTTCCTCTAAACTTTATCTGAACAGAATACTCCAAATTCAATGTGGGTTTAGACCTGTATAAAACAGAGGGAAATTCTTACCTCACCCTCAACCTTTAGCAATATAGCTCCTGTTAATGTTGCCCCAAATCAAATTAGATCTGTTTGGTTTGTTTTGGTTTTGGATTTTTTTCTTAACATGACACTAATGATTCGTGTAATGTAGTAATGATTCACATTTGGCACGTAGTAGGTTCTCAAATAATTTTGGTTCCATTCTCCTCTCATATTGAAATTATTATCACCATTAAATTAGTTACAGATCTGCCCATTCTTCCTGGTAATAGGTCTCGCATTCATCCCACTTTTTTCATCCTCACTGCAGCCACCCTGATTCAGATCCCAGTCACTTCATACCTGGTCTCCTCTTTTCCACACTCACTCTTCTCCAGTCCATCCTTACATGGGTAATCTTCGTAAAGGTCCATCTTGATGGACAGATTAGACCATCAGGATTAATTAGGATTAATAAAGAGTTTTACTTTATTAATCACAATAGCTTCTGCATGAAATAATTATCGACCTGAAAAACTAAGGCGTTTTCTTTTGTTATTACTGTTTTTTTAGCAGCAGCATATCTACAATTTGTAGCTTTACATGTAGATTTTGAGATATAAGTACAAAATTGAACATATCAATTTAAATTTAAATTTTATTTTAAGGCCAGGCATGGTGGTCCATGCTTGTAATCCCAACACTTCGGGAGGCCAAGGCAGGTGGGTCACTTGAGGTCAGGTGTTGAAGATCAGCCTGGAAAACACGGTGAAACCCCATCTCTACTAAAAATACAAAAACTAGCCAGGTGTGGTGGTGGCCACCTGTAATTCCAGCTACTCAGGAGGCTGAGGCAGGAGGATCAGTTGAACCCGGGAAGCAGAAGTTGCAGTGAGCAGAGATCATGCCACTGCACTCTAGCCTGGGCAAGAAACCAAGACTCTGTTTCAAAACAAAAAAAAAAGATTATTTAATACAAATTTTCTATTTAATTATCCATTAAATTTCATCTGCTAGGAATTTCTTAATCCTGATTATATCATGCAAATAATTTATTGTCTTATTAGTCTATGTGTAAATTTGGGAGCATTCCTTCTATACCTCCATTCAAATGTTGATTGAACAGGATGAAAACAGCTCAGCAGTCACCAGTATCACTCTGCTTGAATCAATTCACGTTTTTCAAACTGTGGGTCCCATCCTAATAGGGAGTCATGAAATTGATTTAGTGGGTTGCAACCAACAGGGTTTTTTTTAAATGAAATGAATAGAAACACACATAATGAGAAATTTCAAAATCTATTTTGTAAGGGTAAGTACCATTTTATAAGATCTGCTTTAATTACACACACGTACATAAAAATACATATGTATGTTTACTAGGTAATGATGTAATATGTATTTCTTACTGCAAATTGTAGTCAAAAAGTTTGAAAACTGATTTAAGTTGTTTATAAGCACCTGTTTAGCATACTCCTTCAATAATAAATTAGCTACCATAGTGTGCTGATAACTAGCACACATATTCCTCTGGCTTTACCAAAGGATACCGTAAGGGACCTTGACAACTGTCTAGCTGCAGTCTGGATACTCTCTGTTTCTGTATCTGAGCAAAATTAAATGAAAATATATTGATGTGAAGTATTATTACTTGCTTTGGAGATATTAAGCTACTTGCTATGGATTTTCGAGAATTAACCTCACCCTGCCTTTAGCACTTCAATCCTCTGGCACTCCTAGTTCTCTATGACTCCTCAAAGACCATTGAGAGTTGTTCAGTGATCTAGTTTTCAGATTGTTTTAGGATCAGTGGATGCAATTTGTCCTGCCTTGGGGACTTGAATTCATTTAGCCTCTCTAGGTGTCTATTTAGAATTTCTTCATCAAACTTAAATGTCAGTTTCTTCCAACTACCACTACTTCTTTTACCTTTTTTGCTCCACTAATTTTCCTCTTAAAGAGGGAACACAAACACAAAATAGAAATTCTATATTTGTATCCTAAGTTGACCCAATTTGGGAATGGTTAAAATGTTGAAGCTTACCAACCAATACATATTTGTATGCCAAAAATTAAACTAATTGAAATGAGTGATTCTGAATCTTTCATTTAGGAAAAGATTGTGTTGAGACATGGAAAATTATCAGCAAGTAATTTTAAAATGTCAAATGGTACTGAAATAATAAGTATTCTGGAATCATAAATGAACTAGATATCATACAAGCAGCCTAATGCAAACATGTACCCGTAAACATCACATAAATATGCATACAAATGCACCATGCACACATACTTATTCACCATTAAATTGTCATACCTCTGCCCATTCTTCGTGGGAGTGGGTCTAGCATTCATCTCATTTTTTTCATTCTCACTGCAGTCATCCTGATTTAGATTCTAGTCACTTCATACCTGGTCTCCTTGTTTCCACACTCACTCTTCTCCAGTTCATCCTTACATGGTAGTCTTCCTAACGTTCCACCTTGATGGACAGATTAGTGGTCCAGGATTTTACTGTATTCATCACAATAGCTTCTACATACATGCACTGCATCTGTGAAAACATCACCAGTAATTCTCTTTGCCTAAGAAATTAAGTCCTATCGGTACCAAAGACACTTCATACTTTAGCTTATTTGCTAGTTTTATCTCATTCTCTTCCACAGGAACCCTATACCACAGATCCCAACCCTTCTCAGTGTGTACAACTCTTTTTATCATTAAAAAAATTATAGACTGTTAGACTCCTACCTGACAGATGTATTCCTTTAATATCCATTAATTGAGAAAATTTACAGTGATGAACTGCTACTTTCAAGTTAATAATGCTATTTAAATAATTTTCACTTAAAAAATCACACATCTACATATATTTGAAATACATATACACACCATTTTGGGTTGAATTGTGTCCACCAAAAAGATACATCCAGGTTCTAACCTCAAGTACCTGTGAATGTGACCTTAAGATGAGATAATGGAGTGGAGTGGGCCCTTCACCAAATATGTCCATGTCCTCATAAAAAGAGAGGAGACACACAGAGGGAAGATGATGTAAAGACAGGGAAGGAGGCTATGTAAAGATATAGGCAGAGATTGGAGTTAAGCAGCTGCAAGCTGAGAAAAGCAAAGGATTGCGGGAACCACCAGAAGCGAGGAAGAGGCAAGGCAGGATTCTTCTCTAGAGCCTCCAGAGACAGCATGAGCCTGCTGATGCCTTGTTTTCTGATTTCTGGCTTCCAGAACGATGACAGAATAAATTTCTGTTGTTTTAAGCCCTGTAGTTTGCGGTGCTTTGTTACTGCAGCCCTAAGAAACGAATTCACCTGCATGTGTTTAACTTTTATTCTGTCCACAAACAATACCTGATGTATGTAAGTATTCATGGATCACTTTGAATAATTCCGAAGTCCCCAGGTGGGAAAACAGGGCTTCAGCCAACATGAATTTCTCTCTATCCCCAATTAATGTACTGTGCTTTCCTCCTTTAGTGCCTTACTCATTTTCTTGCTTCTGTCCACAGCCCTATCCTTCTCATCTCCCCTACTGAAGTTCTTGCCAGTGGAAGTGCCGTTTTCATGAATATATTCATGTTCCCACCCAGATGAAAGTGATCTAAGGCAAGGCGCGGTGGCTTACGCCTGTAATCCCAGCACTTTTGGAGGCCGAGGCAGGCGGATCACGAGGTCAGGAGATTGAGACCATCCTGGCTAGCACAGTGAAACCCATCTCTACTAAAAAATACAAAAAATGAAAAACAAAAAATTAGCAGGGCGTGGTGGCCGGCGCCTGTAGTCCCAGCTACTTGGGAGGCTGAGGCAGGAGAATGGCGCGAACCCGGGAGGTGGAGATTGCAGTGAGCCAAGATCGGGTCCCTGCACTCCAGCCTGGGCGACAAAGTGAGATGTCGTCTCAAAAAAAAGAAAAAAAAGAAAGTGATCTAAAACACTGTACCCAATTCCACTTTTAAAAAAATATTTTTCTTTCAGATAGCATAGGTTGACAAATTTTCACTTAAATAGTTTCCCTCTTCTCTGCCTCCTTTGCCAAGAGTAAGAAATTCATGTTAATATATGTAGTCAACTACACAACTCCTTCAGTGAAATTCAAAAAGAAAGAAAAACTATATAAAAAATGTTTTCACACTAACAAACTTTGAGCAGTAAATTTCTTTTAGTTTTGCGCAGACATCTATTTTACCATAGTTGCCATTGTAGTTGGTATACATAGGCTAGAGAAAGAAAAGTATGTTAAAGAAAGGAGTTTATTTAATTTTTACTGGCTGCTTAATTGTTTAAAATTGTAGCTGTCACACACTGATTATCTCTTTTCTGCCACACACTTTTATATGTGTTATTTCTAAATCCTTACCATAGTTCTTCAAGTAAGTTATTATCCCCATACTAGGACACTGGTCTAAAGAGAGGTTCAGTCAGTTTTGTGAAGTCACACTTAAGGAAGTGACACAATTAGGATTTGATCCTAGTTGTGACTGGCTGAAGCCACAGCTCTACTCCTATCCCACACTGCCTATACTGGGACCCAGACCAAAGCCATTACTAATTTCTACCAAATGGACCAGACAGAAGATACTAATGAGACCAGGAAAGGTCATTTAAAATTAACATCATCATTTTTTGTATGTATATTTGAAAGCGCCCCACCAAGAAATGATATCTGGAGCCAATCTGGTCTTATATCTCTTATCTATGCCTAGAAAGGTTCAGAAAATGCTATTAGCCTTTCTATTTCCTGGAAATCATTTTAATCCTGGACAAAAATCACTTGGAATAAACAAATTATTTTTTATTCATTAAAATTAACCAAAATTTAATTTCATTCTCATATTAGTATATCGTTCCTTATTATGCTTTTCTGGAAAAAAATTTGTAATCTAGTCCTTGTTTAAAAAGGTTATGATTACATATCTATATATTTATAATAAAAAATCACACACCCTGGGTAATGGGAGAGAAGAAATGCTGTGAGGAAATATCCAAGGATCCTTTGGAATAGGTATCTCATTATTAGAATCTCTTCAAAATAGGTGACAGCATGTTTACCAAACTCTAGCTCAACTGAGAAACTTCATAGAACAATCTGAGCCTAGTAGTGGTGCATAAAGTTTTAGAATAGAGCCTTTCTCTGCTGCTAGCAGCCATGGATTAACTGGTGGAAGAATGGCTTGAAATAGCTACTTCATTGTCCAATTAGCAGGTCCATTGTCATGGAGACAATTGGAGGTTTATACTTTGATTTCCCAGAACTATAATGTATCTCTTTTCACTTAACAGACAGAAGGGTCAGGATCGGAAAAGAGAGGTAAAAAGAAAGAACACAGTATCTGACCCGTACCTTCTACCTGAGAGTCTAAACTTAAATATTCTGGATTATCCATTATATGTAACCCCTTTGTTGTTAATGTAAAAGCAAATCTTAAAGAATTAAGATGCTTAATCATATTTATTATTTAGGGTTCTGTTAAATACACACAAATGTGTATATAAAACTTCATTTCTGTCTGGCTGATCTAAAATTGTGAGAAGTAAATGAAATGTGATATGTTAGCCACAGCTTTATCACTAGTTTCTCTGTTTATATTAAAACAAGCTCAGCCAGATTTCTTTTGCAGTGGCAAGAGCACATAACATAATGTGTTTCAGGCTATTTGCATCCAGTGAGGCATAGTAAGCATAGTGGGCACCTGGTTTGCCCTGCCCTCATAATTCATACCACAGTGTTTTCTTTCATAAGCACAAGAGAGCTCACATGATTACATTATAAAATAAAACATTTCTCCCAAACATTTCACTGGTTTGTTTTGTTTTGTTTTGTTTTGTTTTTTGCCATCCCCATTCTAATCCCAAATAATCCTTCAAATTATGGTGTAGTGGCTAAAAGAATCGGTTTTGAATTTAGGTAGATTGGGTTCAAATCCAGAAAAATTACTTATGAGCTTATTTCTGAACCTGTAAAATATACAGTAGTTCTCCCTTATCTGAGCTAAAGACATTCCAAGACCCCCAATAGATGCCTGAAACTGCATATAGTACTGATCCCTATACCAAACACAGGCAGATAATTTTTTTTTTATTTTATTACTATTATACTTTAAGTTTTAGGGTACATGTGCACAATGTGCAGGTTTGTTACATATGTATACATGTGCCATGTTGGTGTGCTGCACCCATTAACTCATCATTTAGCATCAGGTATATCTCCTAATGCTATCCCTCCCCCCTCCCCCCACCCCACAACTGTCCCCAGAGTGTGATGTTCCCCTTCCTGTGTCCATGTGTTCTCATTGTTCAGTTCCCACCTATGAGTGAGAACATGCGGTGTTTGGTTTTTTGTCCTTGCGATAGTTTGCTGAGAATGATGGTTTCCAGTTTCATCCATGTCCCTACAAAGGACATGAACTCTTCATTTTTTATGGCTGCATAGTATTCCATGGTGTATATGTGCCACATTTTCTTAGCCCAGTCTGTCATTGTTGGACATTTGGGTTGGTTCCAAGTCTTTGCCATCACGAATACACAGGCAGATAATTTTTGTTTTTGTTTGTGAGAGCACATGGGTTCTCTCTGTACACTATGCCTGGCTTTATCGTATGCCCTGCAGCGTTGCCACATAGCACCAGAGTTAATCTGTTCTTCCATGTTTTATGCCCTGATGCCTCCTTTACACTTCTGTGAATGTAGGTTCTATTAGGCATCTCCTTCCAGATGAGCCTGGTTTCATCATAATTGAAGACTTGCTTTGAATGGTATCCTTTCTCCTTAATCAATTTCATCAACTCTGCCAGAAATGTGGCAGTAGCTTCATCAGCAGCAGATGCAGCCTCTTCAATAATTTTTATATTTTTCAGTACAAACCTATTCCTGAATCTGTGTACCCATCTTTTACTTGCTGTAAATGACTGTTACTCCTTTTAGAGGATCCCTTGCTGAAGTCTTCAGACAGGTTCAATGTTCTCTGATGGAACACGTTGTCATCAATTGGAACATGTTTCTGTTCATGTCTTCCACCCACAAATGTAATGCCTTTTCCATCTTAACTAGCACTTATCACCAATGTGACCATGACTTTTGCAGTTTGAAGTGTGACAACAAAACTAGCAAGAAATTCTTTTAACTTCAAATTTCATGGATAGAAAATTCATTCTTACAATAGATCTTAGCAAATTCAGCATACAATTTTTTTTTCTTTTCTTATTAAGAACTTTCACCATTTCCCTTAAAGGAAGCACTTTAAGTTCTCTTTGGCATACCCAAATTGCCAGCATCACTACTCTTGCACGTTGAGGTCAGTAAGTAAAATAAGGGTTCCCTGAACACAGCACTGCGATATTGTGACAGTCCATCTGATAGCCAAGATGGCTACTAAGTGACTAAGGGGCAGGTTGCGGGTACAATGAGGACACACTGGACAAAGGGATGATTCACGTCTCAGGCAGGATGCAGTGGGATGGTGCAATATTTCATCATGCTACTGAGAATAGCATGATATGTAAAACGTATTAATTGTTATTTCTGGAGTTTCCCATTTACTATTTTCGGACTATGGTTGACCATAAGTAACCATGGGATAAGGGGGAAAGCAAAACCATGGGATAAGGGGGTACTATTGTAACTACCTCACATGTATTGCTTGGAGGATTTACAGAGATAACACATATAAAGCATTTAGCCAGTGCCTGTAATAAGTGCTCAACAGGTGATAGAAGTGATTATAGATTCGTGCCAAAAGAGGGCTTAATACAGTTTTTGTGAGTTTTCAAATTACATAATTAAATACACTAATCTCCACTTATTTTCTCTTCATTCATTAACTTGGCTTTCCCTTCTTCAAAGAGCAAATAGGACATCAGTGTCTTCTTTAGTGTTTTGTTTGTTTAATGAATAGCCTAATATATATTCAACGTTAGTTTATCTTACGATAGCCTTAATGATTTCCATCCCTATCTCAAACTTAAATGTTTTATCCCTTTAATTACATTAAGTAAAATTGGCAATATAACTTTTCTTTTTGGTTTGCTAGTCATAGGGAAAGAAGGCATATTAGAAACTAAGTATTTTTCTCTGCAACTTTATAAAAATAAGAAGCCAAAAGAACAAAGACATAATAATAACAAAATACTTCCTTACAATTTACTAGCCCATGGAAGTAAACAGTCTACCAAAATGTATCTGATGGTTTAAACCAGACTTTTCAATATCTATTTCCTTTTCCTTTTCATTAAAAATATTTTATTACTGCTTTCTTTGTAAACAAGCTCAGTACTTTTAAGTTTATGCCAAGACAGAGGGTTTTCCCTGATTTCCTTCTTTAAAAGGACAGTGGCATTTCATGACATTAACTTTTCCAAATTATTTCATTGGTGTTTGTGTTGACATTGACCCACAACACTGTGGCAGCATTCATATGGTATGCACTTCCTAGCTATGGCTAAGATTATGCATATAGCTTCCAGTTTTTAAAATGGGAGTCAACAACAGATTTTTGTACCTCTACTTTCTTTTCCTATCTGTTACCTCTTTGGAATTGTCCTATCCAGAATATTTATAAAAGTCATAATGTCTTTAAGTAGTATCTAATAAGTAGCCTTCATTCACTGGAAATGTCATATGATTAATTTTTTCTTTAAAAAAAATCCCTCTACTAATGCCTAAACTGAAAACATCTTGTACTGAATCACTATAAAACATATATTAACTTTACACCTGTGGATATTACTGTTAACTATTTTGAAAGATAACTATAAAGACATAGTTTCAGCACTCTAAAATTGGGAAATGTAATCTGTTTGACGTTTAAGTAAGAAAAATGCCAAAGAAAATATAATCACATATAACACAGAACAGATTTAAGAGCAGAGATGCAATGGAACTTAGAAGGCAGCCACTACAAACAAAAAGTTGATATAAACAACAAATAGTCAATATAATTGATACATCAACCCTTTGAGCTTTGTGACCATAAGCCTTAACCTAAAATGAAATACAAATTTACTAAATAAACTAGTAAATTAATAATTTTTACAGTAGCAATTCTGTAGCATTCATTTTAGAGTCATCAGAAAACATACTAATGACCATCCAGTGAGCAAAACATGAAATGGGATAACTTTAAAGAGACATTATGTATTTCTAACAATACATGTTTGTTAAATACATGAATTCTATGTTTAAAAGATTGTGTGTCTATTAAGTAATAAAACATATATGGCCTTTTTAAGAAGGTTAGAAAAACTAAAAAGGAGTTCAACTAAAGAGAACAAAAACTTTAAGTGAAATACATTGAATTAATGTAGTATCTTATAAAGTAGCACGTGCTAACTGATTATGCAACGAGAGCCACTCATGTGGTATCTAATAAATAGTCTTCATTCACTAGAAACATAAGAGCATTTTGTAAAAGCCTAAAGGAGAACTAACATTTTATTCCTTACTACACGTATCTATTGAATGTATTTTGCAAGCCATGTGTCATTTCAAGGTACAGGAAATATAGTGGTAAATGAAACAAAGTCCCTGTCCTCATGTAGCTTATATTCTAATAGAGGTCACAGACAATAAACTAGTAAAATGTATATAAATAATATGATTTCAGAAAATGATACTTTTATATGGTATTTATTTTTATGAAAAAGAATAGTCTTGTAGTAATTTGTTATACAATTTTTTCCTGACTTTACATTAGCACTACTTGAAAGCAGGGACTACAGCTTATAAATAAACTCTGCAGCAATATACTATGCTCATTGGTTGATACATGGTAAGTACTTGATAAATGTCTCAAGGAAAGAAAGGAGGAAAGAACTTAAAAGGTAAAAATTCTAACAATTCAATACATTCAATAGTTTGATACAGATTACTTACATTGCAAGGCAATGTCACATATTAAAGGAAGAAAAAAACAAAAGGTTTTAAAGTCAGAATAAAATCATTCCTCTAAAGGACTGCTAAATTCCCTAAAACATGATTTTGGGGGAATAATAAGGTCCTCAAAACTAGCATTCAAAGTATTAAATCGTCACTGTGGTGTTAAGTAAATTATTTGGCCTTTTTGAGTCTTGATTTTCTTACCAATGAAATGGGAATGAACAGCTCTCATTATAGAAAGGGGCTGTAAGCACAAATGAGATAAATTATGATCCTTTGAAAAGTACAAAGTATTACAGAGAAAGCAGTAGCATTAATTCTGGCAGCAATCTGGAGTGGAGCAGTAATTCCAGTAATCTGGAAATACAGGCAGTAGTGAGTCACAGCTGTAGACTCAGAGCAGGGAACTGGTTTGGATAAAGTGCGTGACAAGTTGTGGGGATGTTAAAAGGAGCCAGGCAGGTTCCATGCCCAGAGCTAGTGGTCAGGAATCAATTGGCAAGGAATCAAAACTGGTCACACAAGCCACAGTTGGGGCAAACCTGAAAAGACAGTTGCAGTGACCATGGATCCTCAAGAATGGAATAGGAAGGCAATATAAAGTTTGGTAAACAGTCAGGAATCTGGAAATGTGATGAACAAAAAGAAGGATAATGTAAACAAGGGGCCAAATTTGAGATCCTCAAAAATGCGGCAAGGCAGTTTTGTGCATCAGCTCCAGTGTATGTATAAGGATCCTTTGAAGGAAAGCATTGACTCCTGAGGAGCAGGTGCTCAGGATTACATGGTTGAGGTAAGGGAATGTAGGTGGAGCCAAACCAACAGTTTCTCCTCAAGAAAATTCTGGCAATAAATATCTTAGCCAGTTTTTAGAAGAATCTTTCCAGTCATCCAATTTCTAATTGGACAGCAAGATAAAGCTTCATCAAATCTCTAGACAAATTTCCCTTGGGATTTACATCATGTTTTCATGGTACCACAAAATATTTTGAAAGTAAAAAAACTCAGTTGGTGATGTATGCACTCATTATTAGATCCTCAGTATGTATGGTTTCAGCTGTGAATGAAAGCCTTGCCCCCTCTCTTGTTGACATGAGTTTACTAAGTAATTGGCTAAAGTAAATTAATGAATCAATTGTACTGTAGCAACATGCATGTGAATGCTAGGCAAAACCCTCCTGTGGATGGGAGAGAATTACTGTCATTAGGTAACTGTTTGTTTGCTTTCTATCTCAACATTCAAAACTGACCAAGGAACCCCACTAGCTAGACATGTGTAGTGATTACCAGCAAACCTCAGGCCAGGCTCACTCAGGACTGGCTACCCCCAGGAAGGAGGGGTGGCATGCCAGTAAGGAACCTGGCCTCAGCAGCAAGTTGTTTTTTTCTGCAAGTATCGTGTATTTCTTCTCCAACCAATTTTGTTCCCCTTGGTTCCTGGGAACCATTATATCGTTAGGTTAATGGACCATTGGTTTATCCACCTGTATGTTGCCTGAATTTTGGCCATTCAACCATGCATTCCTGGTGATTGGGTTTACAAGTACTAGTTTCCTAAGTCCAACATCATGTTCAGATATCTCGTGACGATAAATTGGTGTAGTAACCATGGTATGTCAGCAAAGAGATGGCCCCACTCATTAAAAATATGTTGGTATTGGAGGCTTCAAAAACTTGTATATTTGTTACTGATATATAGAACAAATAAATGGCCAAATACAAAATTGTGCAGAACCCAGATTATCTAGTATCTAATAAAGAATTAATAAAGAATATGTATTAATGTAGATGTCTTTATTTACATATTAATGGCTTTTTTCAAATTGGCCAAATTTTTCAAAACAATTACATATTAAAAATTGAGATACATGGAAATTCTAACAATAGATTTATAGTCATTCTTGGGGTGGGCATTAACACTTTTTGGTAACTTCTGTAAGTTAATTATAGTTTAACTTCCTAATTAATTAATTCTGTATGTTAATTTATAGTTTAACTTCCTAGACGCTTTGGTGTCTTTTTTTACCCTCACTTTAAAATACACACAATAGTTTAAATATATCACATTTGGTCAAAAGTTCAAATTATTTTATTATTTAAAGCATGTAGAAAAAATATAATAGTTAAAATTCCTGTGAAAAATTCTAATACAGAGGAATCACATGGCTATGTTTGGAAAGATAATATTTCTTTAAAAATGTGTTGTTTTTTATGTTTTATGTTTGCGATAAGCATTACTGAAGTTTGATTGAAGAACTTCATGATTTTTATGTTTTACTTTCTTGTATTGAGAAATAGTGGTCCATTGTTGGGCTGTATTTAAAATTAATGTGTATAAAACAAGAAATATTTAATTAGAGTTATTAATTTTCCACATTTAATATGTGTATTTGACCTAAATCAGTATCTTCTATCATATCAGCCTCACATATAACAAGAATAATCGCAAGGACAACAACAAATTTGAATGTTTCCTTTGTGCCTATGCTCCTATCATGTTATATTCATTCTTATAAATCTAACAACTAACAATTAATTTGAAGTTAGACACACAGGATTTACTCATCAGTATTAGAGCATTCACTGCTAGCCAAGAAGGTTACTATCCCTGGTGCTGAAACTGCTCTGTGTAGTCCTTGTGGTTGAAGAATTAAAACAGTTTCTCTTAGACATTTCCTTTCATTGAAATTATGAATTGGATAAATGTTCATACCTTAAAGGAAGTATTAAATTTCACATATGTTAACATCTTAATTAATGTAAGATTAATATTCTACTTATGACTATGTTTTAGTATTGAAAAATGAGTTTCTGATGAGTTTCATTAGTTTCTAGAGAAAACAATGGTTTAAAAAATTTCAGTACATAAGACATTGAGGAGTCTATGAATGTTCCAGAAATCTGAAAACATATACCACTAATCAAAGTTTCTCCATTCATGTTGACTAGCATTTGCCTTAGGTGTCAGAATTAATGGATTTGTGTTAAAAATAAACACCTGAAATCTAATTCCCTAGCTGCATTATAACACACTAGATTACAAGTACTAAGCTTTTATTTAATGCTTATAACGGCTTTAAATTGTAGCAAAATGGGCTTCCCCCAAGAGGACTGCTTTGTTGATCCTAAGATGGGGTCATAAGCCAGAAGTTAACTATGCTTTCATATATTCTTGTAAGTAGAAGTACAGTGTTGGTGTAAATTCTCCTTAGATGGATAGGTAAGCCCAGAGGAAATAATGGTCATTGGCACCATATGACCGTATGCAATTCATATGCATATTTATATCAAGAAAAGAACATTATAGGTCTGGTGAGACCCTATTTTTTTCTGACAGTGTCATCTGTATTTACGTGTCTATTTCGGGAATTTGGAAGTCAAGGGATTCTATGCTGGATTGTGAAGCATCTGTTTCTGCTTGATGTAGCTACTCAATTTTGTATTCTTGACTAATAAAGTCATAAACATAATGCAACCTCTGTGTGTGCTCTCCTTCCATTAATTTATACTTTACCTAAAAGTATTGAATGTGTATGTTATATAACAGTTTCCTATAAATGATATTAAATGATTTATTAGTTTTATTCAATAAAGTTTTAAGTGTTTTCTTCTATGACTACATTACTTGTTAACAAGAAATTTCTTTATTTTTAACTGAAAACTTCAAGCGAGATTATCTGGGTAACTCTTTCAAACAGAATTGTCCCTGTATTTTGGGATTGAATATATTAATTTCTTTTACTATTTTAACAGGACATAATTTTACAAGACAAGCCACTTTTTCAAATCCTGCTTCTCCTCCCATTTTCCCTATCTGTGTGATTGGCACCTTCAACCCCTGTAGCCTGCCTCTGCTCTGTCTTAACCAAGTCCTACTGATATTACTTCCTAAGTATTTTTCAGCCCTGTCCTTCCTCTCCATCAGGATGGACTCATTTCCAGGTGAAATCCTTATGGTACCCTCCCTGGATTATTGCAGTAATCAGAGAGTTGGTCTCCTTACCTCAGGATTCACTTCTTCTCATCTGTTGTTCACAGTGACATCAGAAAGATATTTTAAAATGTTGAACTAGAATTAATTATATAAAACACACAC
Organism: Homo sapiens; assembly: GCF_000001405.40. Classification (NCBI taxonomy): domain Eukaryota; kingdom Metazoa; phylum Chordata; class Mammalia; order Primates; family Hominidae; genus Homo; species Homo sapiens. The sequence goes on along the minus strand of NC_000013.11, from coordinate 34,925,212 downwards.
ATACACATAAATAGCACTTAAATCCTTCAATGATGTTTCAATTATATAAAATATAATATAGGAGGCACTTTATGTTCTGGCCTCAATCTTTCAATTCAAACTTGTCTCCTGCCACTCTCTCCTTTGAACATTGTATTCCAGCTACTTTAGAATAATAATAATATATAATATTCATGGAGCCCTTCCTGGGTTCCTATCACTGGACAAAATGCTTCACATATATTATATCATTTACTCTTTGACAACTTTATTAGGTAGGTACTATTACTATCTATATTTTATAGATAAGAAAAAAGAGGGTAAAAACTTGCCAAAGTTACAAAGCTTAGAAGTGTACCAGTTGGGATTTGAATCTAGGCATCCTGCCTCTGCAATCCACAGTGGCTTTCTTGTGCCAAAAGGCTTGCAGTTCCCCAGACTTGACTTTCTCAAAATCTGTCTTTCACATGCTCTTCCAACTGTCTGGAAAATCTTTCACAACCTCGTTCTACCTGTGGTACTCCTGTTCACCCCACAAGACTTGACTCCATCTGTCCCCCCTCCATGAAAGTTTCTCTGAATCTCAGCACTTTGGGAGGCTGAGGCAGGTGAATCGCCTGAGGTCAGAAGTTTGAGACCACCCTGGGCAACATGGTGAAACCCCGTCTTTACTAAAATACAAAAAACTAGCCAGGCATGGTGGCGCACCCCTGTAATTCCAGCTGCTCAGGAGGCTGAGGCTGGAGAATTACTTGATCCTGGGAGGCAGAGGTTGCAGTGAGCCAAGATCACACCACTGCACTCCACCTTGGCTTACAGAGTGAGACTCCATCAAATAAAAAAGAAAGAAAGGAAGAAAAGAAAGGAAGGAAGGAAGGAAGGAAGAAAAAAAGGAAAAGGAAAGGAAGGAAGGAAGGGAAAGAAAGGAAAGAAGAGAAAAAGAAAAAAAGAGAGACAGAAAGTAAGAAAAAGAAAAAAGAAAGAGAAAAAGGAAAGAAAGAAAGAAGGAAGGAAAGGGAAAGAAAGAAGGAAAGAAAGAAAAAGAAAGAAAGAAAAGAAAGAAAGAAAAAGAAAGAAAGAAAGAGAAAGAAAAGAAAAGAAAAGAAAAGAAAGAAAGAAAGAAAGAAAGAAAGAAAGAAAGAAAGAAAGAAAGAAAGAAAGAGAAAGAAAGAAAGAAAGAAAAAGTTTCTCTGACTCCCTGGTCAGGGCTCATGCCTTGGCACTGAGGGCGTCTTGCAAAACTGAAGGAGGCCACTTGGTGTAGCAGACAGAAAATAATTGTGATATGAGATAGGCCTGAATTGGATTTATGGCTCTATTGCATATTGGTTTTGTGATTTTGGGAAAGTCATTTAATCTCTCTGAATTTTAGTTTCTTTAGGGATTAATAGTACCATTTCCAGGGAGCTGTTATTAGGATAAGAAAACAACCAGAACACAGCAAGAATTCATTAGTGCCCTCACCGCCCTTCCTCCGTTGCAGCCCTCAGTACCTGAATGGCAATCATGCATCTTCTCACTGGCCTGTGGATTGCTTCCCCTTTCATCTTTGGCTCTGCAGTATTCAGTGTCACTAGTAAAATGTGTGAAATGAATGAATCGACAGCTGATGCTTAGTACCTAATGACACAAGTGAATGAATCTTTTTGTTCATTTTGTGGCCAGAAAGATAGTGTAATTAAGTAATAACAACGGAAGAAAGAGAAACTCCAGCTATACTTTGTCCTTTTCTCAAGTAGCATCTAAAACTTTTTCCTTCTTTTAAAACATTATCACTGAAGGATCTCTTTGAATGTGTCTTGAATTTTACATAAGCAGATGATCACAACTCAACATAATATTAGAAGATTATATTATTTTAAAAATTGGTTCATAGTTTTATAGTCTTGGAATATCTATCTATCTAGGTATCTATCTATCTATCTACCTACCTACCTACCTACAAAATATATTTAGGCTGCTTTCCTGAGGCTATTTTGTTATTCCATTATTTCATTTTTTTCAAGATCCTGATATTCCCTGGTGTATCAGGTCTAGGTATTTATGATTAGGAGAAGAAATGATTCAGTGGCAGCTCTCCAGGATTTTGAATTATGAGATATGAAACCAGAAATTGCAACTTACATGGATTGGTTGGAACACTGTGTATTACTGTTTCTGTGTCAACTTCTCTTCTCCCTTGTTTATATGTGTTTAATATGCATTTCAGCACTATGTATTTGTGAACATTTGAACCCAAACCATAGAACAATTGAAGATGTCATAGTTGGAAAGGCATAAAAGGTCATTCTAAGTGTGTGAACAAGTTAGAGAACTACAAAATTAGAGATCATTATAGCTAGATTCCAGAGAGAGACTTCATTGCTTTTCAAAGAAATTAAGCCATAGATAATCATGACAGGTTGAAATAGGTCAGGATTTCTAAAAATAGTGTCATGTAAATTACCTATGTAAACACATTAAAATATAAATTATTTGAAAAATGAATAGTAGGTCCTCAGAATAACCCTACATATAAGTATATAATAAAAGTATGAGTTCAAGAGCAGAATGTTAAATGAAGCTGCCTGTCTTGGTTTCTTTACTAAGATTCTTCTATTCTGCTTTCTGAAACTGTTACGTTCCCATTATAAACTTTGTACCAAGTTAAAAGTAAGGCCCCTTTTCCCCCTTTATTCTGTCTTCCTGGCTCTCCAGTCCTAGGAAGTTAAAAAGACTCAGAAAATCCCATCTTTACTTCTATGAAGTTTGGGAGAAGAGTCAAGATAGGCTATAAAGTGTTGCACTTCATAATCCAAGCATCCTTCTACTGATAGTAGAGTTTCATTATCCTTCCTCAGATATATGCAATGACAAAAATAGGTAATGAGAAAGTGTGCACCCAAGTAACTCTTTGAGTATATAAGGGCTGATTAAGTTGAAAGAAGAATTGCCGCCAGACGCAGTGGCTCACGCCTGAAATCCCAGCACTTTGGGAGGCCGAAGCAGGCGGATCACTTGAGGTCAGGATTTCAAGACCAGCCTCGCCAACATGGCGAAACCCCGTCTCTACTAAAATTATAAAAGGTATCCGGGCGTGGTAGTGCACGCCTGTAATCCCAGCTACTCAGGAGACTGAGGCTGAAGAATCACCTGAACCCAGAAGGCAGAGGTTGCAGTGAGCTGATATCATGCCACTGCACTCCAGCCTGGGCAGCAGAGTTAGACTCCATTAAAAAAAAAAAATTGCAAAGTATCTACTAACCTAAAAAATGCACAGCCTCAGTATTCAAAGAGTTTCTGTTCTAGTATCATGTCAGTTTCATATATAATTTGTTTATCACAACTGCACACCCTTACGTAAAGGAAATGCACAAGTTGAGATGTTTATTTTGGCTAGAAAACTCAGAAACATAAATAGAGGGAATTTGTGAACTGTCTTTTCAAGGAGGTCTTTAAATGGAATGTATTCATGATAATGTTAATAATGTTAATGTAGGGCTACCTAGAGATAAAGGGAAAAATTAAACACTTTTTTTTTTTATTTAACTTTTGGAGTCAGTTATTAGGAAAGCATTTAAAAGTAAAGTCAAATTCAAATCTTCCTATCCTGTGAGCTCTGCCTCTCATCTCTGTCAGGTTGAAACTCCATCAAAGACTGGCAGTCACATGAATGGAGTGGAAAATATTCTCTAGTTTATTTGTTTGTGTATTTTTTCTTTAATGTTCCAACTCACATAATGATAAGTTCAACATGAAAATTAAAAGCAATCACATGTAATTCTCAATATCAGAGTAGATGAGTGTGGCTGCCTCCTCAGCAATACCCAGAATGCATTGCAGTTTTCCCAGCTGCCCTTGCACCTTCTCAATAGCCACATGACCAGCTTTGGTGACTGCTGTGTGTCAGTGAAGGGAGTATTTTCCCCTTTTCCATAGCTAACATGCAGATGTGGTGATAAGCTCTTTTGGGCCATAAAGGCCATGCCTTACTGATTGGATAAAAGAAAAATAGAAGATACCCAAGTACTGACCACCCTGTAAAGCTATGCCGCATTAACAACTTGTTCTATCGTGTGACCAGGAAATAGTCTCTTTTCTTGTCTAAGCCACTCTTATTTTGAACTTCTTTCACAACCACCAAACCTATATCTTAACTAACACAAAACTTTGTACCTGGAAGAGAAGCTAAACAGAACAGAATCTGAAATATGTGGCATTTACTCGGAATTCCCCAGCAAGTGACAGTGATACAGCTGGTGAGTTTAGCTAGGTCATGGACAAATGTTTGTTAAAACCACCATCTATGATGTCATGGAAGGTAGAGCACATGCCATCTGAACCTCTAACTCCAAAGAACATGGAGTAAAACATTTCAAGTGTTTGGTATAAGACGCTTGCTTTTTGCTACTTTTAGTAAAGGCTCCAAGAGAGGAACTCAAGCTGGAGCTAAATAACATAAAACAGGGCAGGAAAGGACTATAACTACACGAAGAAGACTCTCTGCCTGTGGCTTGAGATTGAAGTTGGCTAAAGTCTGGGAGGAGCTTCACAGTAAGCCTGTCAACTGCTTCCCCACACTGAAGCAGCTGTAAGAAGTGACTCTGAAGAGCCTGCCCTAGCAGGAGATAAAATTGTGGTCCCAAGCCAAGGCAGCCAAACAATGAGTATCCCTAATCTGAAAATCTTAAATCTGAAATACTTCAAAATCTGAAACTTTTTGAGCCCTTACATGATGCTCAAAGGAAATGTTCATTGGAGCATTTCAGATTTCAGATTTTCAAATTAAGGATACTCAACTTGTAAGTATAATGCAAATATTCCAAAATCTGAAAAATATCCAAAATCCAAAATGCTTCTGGTCCCATGCATTTTTGATAACGGATACTCAACAAGTATTTTAAAAGATCAAAATAAAGATCAGAGAATATGGATATTTAAACTTATGTTTTTTTAATATGGAACAGTTGAGGCCATTTAAAAAATGTCTAAGACATAGGCAGTGGAAGGTCGAACTCAAGAAAAAGTCTCAGAGCTGAGGAAATGAAGAACCTATGGGGTTAAGGTGTTAGATGAGTCAACCACATGAATGTGAAAGGGAAGCCAAATGAGAAAATGATGTCACTTGGATGGAGAGGAAGTTCTGGAATAAATGTGGCAGTTGTCAGAAGACATTATAGTTAAATGGATAGACAGTAAAGAAGGGGCTTTTATGTTAAAATAGAGGAATAGTGGTTGGGAATAGGAAATATGGAGCTAAAATTGTGCCAATGCACTTCTGTTAAATAAATTCTATGATACCTTAGCATTTGGGAAAATGACCAGCCTTCAGTTGAGCATATGTCAAGGGAAGCAATGTCCCCATAGAGATAGCTGAATGTTAATTAAAGCAAAGAAATGGAGTGGATGTCCTCTAATGAGGTTTCCAGACATCACAGTGAAAATATTTGGGAGGGAAGGAAGTTTGACTCAGAAGTAAAACACAGAGCAGTATGGAGATAAGACACTGGAGAGCATAAATGAGTTGAGTTTTCAAAAAAATAGAACAAAATTTTTTGAAGTCAGTTGCCTATTATCTTCCCTTATAGTTCTTAGGGAGCTATAACTAGAGGCCTCCAAAGAACTTAGCTTTCTCCATAGGGTACAGAATAAGTTTATCTCAAAGATCTTCTCCTTTCAGAGTTGATTATTTGACTTAGGGCCAAAGACTGAATGTAAATAGTAGGAAAACTCCTCTGATATTATTGTAAGGAATAAAATAATTTTACTCTGTAAATAAAATAGAATCTTTTCTAGAGAGAACTGACCCAAACTCAATTTTAGGACTGGTCCTAAAATTCAGAAATGCCTTTCCCATATTGCTTAACTGTGCCTTTTTCACTGGAAATAAAAGTGCTGCCTTCAGGGAGCACACCTCCCCAGAGATCAGTAAAATCAATGAGAAATTCAATGTCCATTTGTCAGTAAAGACATGTGAAGTTTGATGGGTTTCTTGGGACTGGACAACTCGTGAAAGATTCTAACACAAAATTAAGTGGAGCATAGAAACCAAAAATCTCAAGAGATATTTGAAGGATGAAACGTGAAAGATGAGGACAAATTTAGAGAACTGTTGCTGGCATAGATGTTAACTTCCAGAGTTAGGTGGGCATAGACTATCATACAAAACAAGAAAGACAGAAGAGAATATTAGCACCCTGTTGCAAAGGAGAATAGGGATGCTCAACTGGTAAGTATAATGCAAATATTCCAAAATCTGAAAAAAATCCAAAGTCCAAAATACCTCTGGTTCCATGCATTTTGGTTAAGGGATACTCAACAGGTATTTTAAAAGATCAAAATAAGGATCAGAGAATGTGGATATTGAAGCTTATGAGCAAAGGAGAATAAGAAAAAATGTTGGAGGACTTTTAAAAATGTATAAATGAATTAATGAATGCAATTAGTATTATTGCAATTAGTATTATTTTCTAAGTCAATCATTAATAGCCACTTGCCATGATTGCCAACCCCTTTGATGACTACTAATTTCAAAATTATTAAGGAAAGGCAAATATTTAGACTCATACAGATTAAAAGAAAATATTTTCAAAATTTCAAATTTAAGTTTATAAATGTTCTAAACTACTTTTGAATATGTATTCGTGACCCAAGATTGGTTTTTCCAGACCCTATCATTCTAATGACTTTTTTTTTTTTTTTTTTGAGAGACAGAGTCACACTCTGTCGCTCAGGCTGGAGTGCAGTGGTGCGACCTCAGCTCACTGCAACCTCCGCCTTGCCTCCCGGGTTCAAGTGATTCTCCTGCCTCAGCCTCCCACGTAGCTGGGGATTACAGGCAGCCACCACCACACCCGGCTAATTTTTGTAGTTTTAGTAGAGACGAGGTTTCACTATGTTGGCCAGGCTGGTCTTGAACTCCTGACTTCAAGTGATCCACCCACCTTGGCTTTCCAAAGACCTGGGATTACAGGCCTGAGCCACCACACCCAGCCTTCTAATGACTTTTTGATACTACTTCCCAATAGCTACTATGCGCTGGAATGCACATGTACTCACAGTGGTTCCTCTTAGATTCCCATGTGTTTCAGAGTCCTCTTTTTCTTTAATCTCACCCATAGGTAATAAACTATAGCCCTCTTTTGTTAGACTCATTAAAGGAGAAATACTACTTAAATACTACTTACTTAAAGTAGAAGACCGACTTAAAGGTAATCCTTTCGTCACAGTAAATGGGCTCACCCCATCAAGTCTAAAGTACTAAGAAATTTAACACAGTTTAAAAGTGGTAACACAGTTTGAGTCCAGACTTAACTAGGCAATTTACCAACTGTGCAGACAGGGTGTTACAGAGTCTTGGTCACATTTCTTGAGGCAGCAACAATTGTACTGCATATGGTTCCTTCAGATGTTCTATCTATTTTCCTGCTAATGTAGAGGAGATTCATGAACCTGCCATAATGGCATACTTATTTTTTGTTCCTGCTCATGGGTGATACTAAAGAAGATAAAATCTCCAACAAAGAGATGTTAGAAAGAATCCAGTCTATCATCACTGAAGTTGTAATCACTGCAACTCAGCTGTGAAAACAAAGGGCTGCAGGATTCTTGAGTGTATGCCTCAGGATTCACTAAAGTGGAAAACTGCAGGTAGAGAGAAAAACCCATGAGGATGTGAAAACTACCACAAAGGTCTTTATTTCTCAATGCATAAATCCAAATTAGAGCAAATCCAAAGGTTTTTGTAAATGTTCATGGCAACGTATCTGTCCCTTGGGGATGACCTGCTTCATTTATTAGTCAACAAATATTTATTGAGGGCCAACTTCTAGGCAGTAGGGATCTAGCAGAGCATGAGACAGAGGAGTTCTCTGCTCTTACAGACCTAACTTTGTGTGGGAGCAGACAGACAGTAGTGATACGTGCAATGAAGAAAGCAGAGCAGGGTGATAAGGTAAAGGGCTCTGAGTTGGGATGGCATTCCTTCTGATTGGAATGCCTCTCTGAAGAGATCGTATGAAAATAAGGAATAACAATGGAAAGATCTGAAGTAACATTCCAGGCAGAGGAACTTCTGTCTACAATCACAATCTAAAATGGGAGTTAGTGTGGCTGCTTTAGGAACAAGAAAGAACCCAATGACTGGGGAATATTGAGTAGATACTAAACTACCACTTGCCAATTGCCTTAAATATCATATGAATTACCAAATTTCTCAGAATATTCTATCAATCATTTAACAAAAATATTCATTAATTTCACTTCAATAAGTATTATTTAAGCTATGCTAACTACTGGGGATGTAAAGATGAACAAGTCATGATCTAGGACTTCATGTATAACAAAAGAGATGAAAACAGCAATAAAAAATATGATAAGTACTTTATCAGAAGTGGTATAAAATGTGTTGAGAACAACAATTACATATAACTCTGTTCATTTGGGTCAGTAAAAGAGAACATTTGGGTTGGACCATGAAGAATAAATAGAAGCTTAGTGTCAGAAAAGGAAATAAATGACCTAGACTTCTTTACTGAACGCCTGGTGCATACAACAATTGCCTCGCCTCCTGGGGATCTTCATCTGGATACCCCACCCCATCTAGATTTAACTGATGCCAAAAAGAAATCTTCTTGCACCGAACATGTTTCTCATCCTATATTCTGCATTTTAGTCAGGAGTCCCACTCTGAAAACTGATTATTAACTTGACTCCCTCCTCTCCCTAGCTTCTATGTCCACTTCATCATCAAATATTGCTGATTCTACCCTTAGATAGCGGATCAACCTTTCTCCCCTTCGCTATACTTTCCCTTCATAATCTTCCAGATGGAGTCATCTTTCTTTCTGGTATGCACCTCATATCTCCAAACCAAATTTCAAGTCAAGACGCCCAAAAATCCTATTTATGGTCACGTTTGATCAACAAGCACATATGGACTTAAGATATAGGGCATGTGGGTTCTTCCACTTATCTTCCAAGGCCTGTTTCTGCTGACCCTGTTCTTGATTCTTCATCTCTCTGAAGGAGGAAAGGAAATGAGGGGTCAGAGAAAGGGTCACTCTTTAGGTCACAGTTTTCTACTGAACAGGATTACTATAGCATTAAGAAGCTCTATACTTAGAGCTGGGAAGCTCAGCCTTATTTGTCTTCTTTACATTCTGTCTGCTGCGTCTGTCTCTAGGATGTAGACTAGATAGGGACTGGATCTTGCAGGAGATCACAGTCAGATTTCTCTCTTTTTCTATTTTGGATTCCTTATATATTTGTCCCTTGGCTAATAAACTAAAACAAATAGATAAATTAAACTAAGGCTTACCCTAGCTACTTAGTGGTAGTTCTTTCCTTCTTTAACTTTCTTCCTCAGTCTAGCCACTTGGAAAGGTCTGTATTTATGAGGATGGAGGGGTGGACAGGAGGTTAGGGTGGGGCTGAGTAGGGGTCAACAGCTCAGCATAGGTCACCAAATATAAACCTTAGTCTCCAATAAAAAATTTAAAAAAATGCTCTCCTTGATGTATCAAGCATTTGTTCAGCCATTAATGAAGTGATATTTTCCTTCCCATTCTATATCTCTTTCTGTTCAGAACTTTCTGCAATCTGGGGGATGGGATGTGGGAGGAAGCAGGCTGATAATGGATAAAGACAATTTGTAAAATGCTTGTGAAGCTCTTGTAAGGAAAACAGCATCCTAAGCAGGCAGGGGAGCTAGGGCTGGATTTCTGCATTCCTGGACCACAGCAATAAATCCAATATTATATCAACAAGCTCCTCTTGATCCCTAATTTGTAAAAACACTGTACAAAGCACTATACTGGACTGTAAGTGAAAGAATTTTGGTCCATTCTGCTGAAGCACTTGGGCCTATTTGATAAGTCTACAAATAAAGACATCAAAAGAAAATATTTCTCAATGAAGAGGACTATTAGCATTTTGGATGAGAAAATTACTTTGCTAGAGTATCCCAAGAACTGTATGATTTTTAGCATTTGGCATCCCCCACCCACACTAAATGCTGGTGACATCCCTCAGACATTGCGACAACCAAAACTATGACTCCTTCCTGTTTCTATAGAGATTGTACCACACAGGGTTGAGAACCACTGAAAGGAGGGAAGCAACCGTGAATCTACATTATGCTTCTAGATAAGATTTGGAAACACTACCAAATAGAAAAGTAAAGCCAGGAATGCAGAGAAATGCAGAATCAAATTTACCAATTTTAGGAAAAGCAGAAGTCAATGGATAGAGGTAGAGAAGATTCATAGGCTTAAACAGAGCAAGATAAAATGAACCACTTACTAATACATAAGAGAAGTGAAGAGACTTAAATATGCCTAAGCTTTTCTTCTTCAACCTGCCCCAGATTCACAGGTAAACCCTGTTCGATTAGCATTCTAGTTTCCACAATCAGGGTTCACTGGCATTTTGCAAGTAGTATCTGTCCCCTCTGAACTTGTATTTTTATCCTCTACCTCTTGTATCTGAAAAAAGTAGGTGGGAATAAAGCAAAGAATCTAGATTTGTGGCTCCTTGCTGAAACAGTGATGTGAGCCCTATGTAAAAGCATGAATGAAAAAGCCATTCAGGTCAATTAGAATTTTAAGACTTTCTTATGTTAACAACTCTGTTTCTTGAGCATGGCTGCATTCTTCTGCATCCCTGCCCCCTCCTGTGGCATGCTCCCATCTACATATCTTTTTTCCTCCCTCTCATTTCCTGTCCCGACTAATTCTCCAAGCTTCAGCTTTGGGACCATTTCTTACAAAAGCCCGTTCAAGCTCTCATGCTTCTTCTTCTTCTTTTGTTCTTGAAGCACTTTATTTTATAGTTTTTACTTGTGGTACACTAACCCCCCATGGACTAGAAACTCCTGGAAAGTAAGCCTGATGTCTTATTCATTATATTTACTTTCATACTTGCAATTACCTGCTACTTTAGAGATTCTCAGTTGCTGTGCTGATAACCTTCAGGGGTATGCTACCAACTTTTCAATGATGTGAAAACTTTATTTTACTATATAACTAAGAATATACATTGTTACAGTAATGTCTGCATATGACACACAGAGTCGAGTGGATAGTAGTAAACAGTATACAGCGAAGTATAATTTGCTGCACCTAAGAGGCTTGGCATTCCTAAAATTATATTTTTAAAAAGATCTTAATAATAGCTGAAAGAAAAAAACGGCCATTTAAGACAAAAATGGACTGCAATTGCTTTTGCAATGGCAAAATTCATATCTAGGGTGGATGGATATTTTATTTTAAAAAGTACCTTGATAGGTTAGACTGAGAAAACAAGGAAAGATAAATTGTTCTGTCAAAGAAAGACTGATTGGCAGCATTTCATGGGGCACAGTGAGTTGTGGGGCCGGGGTAAGGATGCAGGAAGTGAGTGGAGAGGAGATATGGGGCTGCAGGGAGCTGAACCAAGTAGATGGACTTGAGCAAGAGACACAAGCAAGACTGGGACCTGGAGCAAGACCAGAGAAAACTCCCATGGAAGTATTTACGTTTATGTTTTATTCTCTTGGTTTATGGAAATAATCATAATTAGTATCCAACTTTGAGTTTTTTTTCCTTATTTATTATATCCTCAATTACATAAAGCCTTCAAAAAAGTTTGCTACACACAGCAGCCTTTTTCAGAGCAAGGCTTGGAGAATAAAAGAGCAGAGCTGATACCCTATGTGGGACAAACTGTACAGCAAAATAATAGTGATCATAGGGTTAGTGTTACTGTTCTGGTGATATGGCTGTTGGCTTTCAGCCCCATTCCTATCCTCTCATGCTCTCCTTTAAATCACAGGAGATTGAAAGGCTGCAAATGGTATTTGCTAGATTGCCTTGCCTGAGAGCTTAGGGTTAAGCATAAGCAGTGCCCCGAGGGAGGCATTAGGTAGGATGTTAGGGGAAGGGTGGAAAGAGGAAGAGGCCATTTTTTTCCGCCCTGCTTGTGGCAGCACCTTGGACAGTAGCAGTGGCAAATGAGCAAGTGTAGGCTCCTGGGTATCCTGGTCAGGCAGTTTCAGCAAAAGAACTGGCAGCATAGCACTTACAGGTTCCGGCTTCAGTAGCAGCAGCAGCAACAAAAGTAGGCATCTTCTGGCCTCTGTGCTCCTGTGGTGTCAGTGACAACGCAGGTGCAAAACTTAACCACAGAGTACAGCAACACAGTTGCAACAGCGGCAGTGGCTGCTCTGGCAGCCTCGGCATCCACTCTAGGTAACTTTATTTCCCCTTTTTTCCCCTCCATCCCTAGGTAACTGTGTCTTTCCATTTTTGTTCTTTTAGCCATGCCAACAGTTTTCTGACACATTCCTTGCATTAAGTACCCTCTGTTAGAAAATGTGATGGTTAAATTTGTGTTAACTTTACTAGGTTATAGGGTGCCCAGATATGGTCAAACATTATTTTGGGTGTTTCTGGAAGGGTGTTTTTGGATGAAATTAACATTTGAATTGCTGGACTGAGTAAAGAAAATTGTACTCCCCGATGTACGTTTAGTTGAAACCCGTCTCTACTAAAAATAAAAGAATTAGCCGGGTGTGGTGGCAGGTGCCTGTAATCCCAGCTGCTCGTAAGGCTCAGTTAGGAGAATCACTTGAACCTGGTAGGTGGAGGTTGTAGTGAGCCAGTATTGAGCCACTGCACTTCAGCCTGGGTGGCAGTGAGACTCTGTCTAAAAAAAAAAAAAAGAAAAAGAAAAAATTGAAACTTTAAAACAGAAACAAAACACCAACTAACAGACAACTGTAGCTTTTAACTACATAACTGAGCATCAAACTAAAAAGGATTATTCTCCAGCCTGAAGATCTCATGGAATTTGCCTTGCTAGGTTTTAAACTTTCTTCGGACCTGTCACCACTTTCTTTTGTCTGATTTCTCCCTTTTGGAATGGGAATGTCTATCCTATGCTTGTCCCACCACTGTATGCTCTTGAAAACACATAACCTGCCTGGTTTCACAGGTTTATGGCTGCAGAGGAATTTTGCAGCCAGATAAAGCATACCTCCAATCTCACCAATATCTGATTTAGATGATGTTTAGATGGAACTTTGGACTTTGGAGTTGATGCTGGAATGAATTAGGGCCTTTGGGGTTGTTGGGATGGAATTGATGTATTTTACATGTGAGAACATGAATTTTGGAGGGCTGCAGAAGAAATGCTATGGACTGAATTGGGTCCCTTCCCCCCACCCAAATTCATATGTTGAAGCCCTGTGCCCAATGTGACTGTGTGAGGAGGTGATAAAGATAAAACAAGGTCACAAGGGTGGGGCTGTAGTCCAACAGCGTTGGTGTCCTAAAAGAAGAGACAACAGAGTGTCTGCCAGGTGAGGACGCAGAGAGAAGGTAAGACCAAGGCATCTTGTTCTTGAATTTTTTAGAGTCTAAAACTGTGAGATATAAATAAAATAGATAATAAATAAATCTCTGTTCCTTAAGTCACCCTGTCTGTGACATTTTGTTATAGTAGTTCAAGCTGACAAATACAGAACCCTAGACTGTTTTCTGCTTTTAACTGGATAACAACTAACATGGAAGCCACAAATAATGGTTCATGGTCAAACCACAGTGGGAAAGCAGCTGCAACATCTGAGAAAATGTGCACCTCTGAAAGGTGCAAGAAAATACTGATGGAGGAGAAGGGAGGGTGCTGGTATCCCAGAGAGTGTAAAGAGGAGGAGCTGTTTTATTTGGGTATTATAAAAAACAAGACATCAAATTTTAGAAAATTTTGGGATATCTGGATTATGTGTGTTTACTATAACATAAAATAACCCTTATGTCTGAGTATATAAAAGAGGATTGTCAAGGAAGAGACTATTTCTTCTTCTTCAACAAGGCCTCAGTGTAAAAGTGTAAACAACTAAATAGTGTGCTGACTGGACACTTTCACAGACACTATGAGCCATGATTTTCTGGGATTTCAGTGTAATTAGTGCTGACGTGTGTGGCACATTTAATCTCTCCAAGTTGTTGCTCAGAAGAGTTGGTTTTCAAGGTACACTTGGAAATATAAGAAGGCCGAGAGCCATAGTTTACATAGTAGACCTCCAATAAACATTTGTTCAATGACTTCTTAACCTTGTATAATCTTCGAGAAATATTTCAAGCATAACATCACTATCTTTTTCTGTGATCTAAAGAATGTTTCAATTAAGCCTCTGTTCAACTGACATTTATGGTGGACAGTAATATAAAATTATATCACTATGATAAATAAAAGGAAACATAAAATGTTATTAATTACAGCATATCTGTGGCATCAACTTGGATAGTTATAAATGTTCATCTTAAAACTGGGATTAATAGTCAAAAGGAACATTTGAATTGAACCGAAAGTAGTATAGGTTATTGTTTTGATTGAATGAGCTAAATTGAGACCATTATAAAACCAAAATAAATTATTTTTTAAAAAATTGAGTTTAGGGCCAGGCGTGGTGGCTCACACCTGTAATCCTGGCACCTTGGGAGGCTGAGGCGGGTGGATCACTTCAGGTCAGGAGTTTGAGAGCAACCTGGCTAACATAGTGAAACTCCGTCTCTACTAAAATACAAAAATTAGCCGGGTTTGGTGGCAGGTGCCTGTAATCCCAGTTACTTGTTAAGCTCAGGCAGGAGAATCACTTGAACCTGGGAGGTGGAGGTTGCACTCCAGCCACTGCACTCCAGCCTGGGTGACAGAGTGAGACTCCATCTCAAAAAAAAAAAAAAAATTGAAAGTTTAAAACAGAAACAAAACACCAACTAACACAACGGTAGTTTTTAGAGCCTATTAATTAATGACACAATACATCAAAAGAGTTCTGTGAAACTAGAGGAAAAGAAATATGAAACTGCTTTATGTAAGCTATTAAAATGACTTGCTATATAATCCTTCATACTTAGAAAATATAATTTTATTTGTGGACCTTCAAATAGTATAATAAATAACTCATGCTGTTTTTTTTCTATTGTCAGTATTTCCTGGAATATCACTTTTTTCTGACATATTTTTATTGCAATATAATTTAACATATCATAAAAATAACACTTTTAAAATGTACAATTCAGTAGATTTTAGTATATTCAAAGGGTTATGCACCCATCACCACTATTTAATTTCAGAACATTTTTATCAGCCCCAAAGAAACCCATACTCATTAGAAATCACTCCCTGTTCCCCAGCCCCTGATCCACTCACTGACTATGGGTTTGCTTATTCTGGACATTTCATACACATGAAGCATATGGGTTTTTTTGTCTGGCTTCCTTCACTTAGCATGTTGTATCATGTATCAAGATTTTAGTTCTTTTGTTGTCAGGCTGCCTTTTTATTAGTGATATTAGTTCAGTATTTCAGCTACTAGTTTAATTATGAAAAGCTTCTGGGTGCTTTTCCAGTCAAATCCCCTCATATAGTAGGCCATCAGCTTACCCCTACCAGTAGAGGCTGGATTCCCACTTGATGTTATTTAAGGAGTTCCAAGCAACTCTCCCATAAAATTTATTTTTTATTTTTTTATTTTTTCTGTATTTAATTTTTTTTTTAGAAACTGAGTCTTCCTCTGTGGCCCAGACTGGAGTGCAATGGCATGATCATTGCTCACTGTAGCCTTGAACTACTGGCCTCAAGTGATCCTCCTGCTTTGGCCTCCCAAAGTGCTGGGATTATAGGCATGCGCCACTGTGCCTGGGCAGAAAAAAATTATTCTTCCTATCTTCTCACACTACACCCTTTCCTCCTATTATATTTCCTTAAAACTCATCACTAAAATTCATCCTATTATCTTTACAAGTTCCTTGTTTGAAAGGGTAAATATACGCTTTAGAAGTATAAATGAATTGTAATAAATTTTCAGCTGACTAGCTTAGTTTCATCGCTGACAGTAAACTAATAGTGCCTAATTTCACAATTTACAAATAGGGACTTTAAATAGAGGAAGAAATGAGATAATAATTTTGAAGTAAGGTGCTTTTTGAAGCAAAGGTGTGCTAGAGTCTCTGAGCACCTGATGCAATCTTTTAATTCACCCAGCAGTCATTTACTGAATCCCTGGTTCAACATTGACAAGCCCTTTCGTTGGAACTCAGACAAAGTTGTATTCTGCCTTTAAGGAATCCACAGTCTTGTATAGGAGACAAACATGTAATCAAGCCCAATGCAGAGTTATTGAGTGTTGGGATAAATGTATTAATGAAGAGTTACAAAAACATGGAAAATTAAACCCCGACTGGAGCAAGAAGATCAAGGAAGAGTTTCTGGAAGAAGTGATGTGAGAAGGGTCTTTAAAACTAAGTACCTGTTAGCTAGATGAAGAAAGAGGGGGAAAGTATTACACACAGAGGAAGCAGGACCATAAGTAAGCCCAGGAGGATGAACTCACAGGCAATATTCAGAAATGTCAAGTAGACCAGTATGGTGGCCGAAGGGAAGGGAAGAGAAGGGAGGTGAGATTTTAAAATGGTAATAAAGATAGCTACTATCAAAAACAGATTGCTGGCTGGGTGCAGTGGCTCATGCCTGTAATCCCAGCACTTTGGGAGGCCTAGGCTGGTGGATCACTTGAGCTCAGGAGTTCTGGAGCAGCTTGGGCAACACAGTGAAAGCCCATATCTACAAAAAAAAGGAAAGAAGGAGGGAAGGAAGGAAGGGAAGGAGGGAGAGAGGGAGGGAGGGAAGGAAGGAAGGAAGAGAGGGAGGGAAGGAAAAAGGGAGGGAGGGAAGAAAGAGAGAGAAAGAGAGAAAGAGAGAAAGAAAGAGAAAGAAAGAAAGAAAGAAAGAAAGAAAGAAAGAAAGAAAGAAACAAACAAACAAACAAACAAACAAACATTGATTAGCTGGGCATGGTGGCATGCTCCTGTAGTCCCAGCTACTTGAGAGGCTGAGGCAAAGAGGTTGCAGTGAGCTGAGATCATGTCACTGTACTCCAGCCTTGGTGACAGAGTAAGACCCTGTCTAAAAAATAAACAAACAAAGAAGCAAAAAAACAGATTGCTTACTACGTGCCTAAGTACTTTATATGCCTTAGTTCATTCTGTGCTGACAATGATCTTATCACACGTGCTATCTTATCTCTATTTTACACATGGAGGAAACTGAGGCATAGTAAGGTTAAGTAACTTGTCTACACTCTCACAACTAGTACTGTGGAGTGTGATGCCAAAGTATTAATGATGGGCTTAGTGTGCCTAGCTGAGGAGTTTGACCTTTATCCTGAATGTGACGGAATCCTGAAAGGTTTTAAGCAGGAAGGTAACCTGACACGAGCAGATTTACAGTTAAAAAATCACTCTGGTAGAGGTTGGGTAGGAGAAAGGGCTTGTGTAGTCTAGAGGCTGAGAGAACAATAATCCTGGCAAAAAGCAATGAGGGCCTAAACCAAGACCATGGCAGTGCAATAGAAGGGAAGAAAAGAGCCCAAACATGTACATTTAGGAAGTAAAATCAGACTCTTAGGCAATGAGGATAGAAGAGGCAGACAGAATGGCTAGAATACTAGGTCCTTGGATGAATGTGCCTTCAACTAGGGGAATACAGAGGGAAGAAGGGCTTATAATCCATGTTAAGTATAAAGTGCCTAGGCAAGTTTCAGGCAGAAACTTTTTTCCATAAAGTCATCATTTCTCTTCAAATAAAGAACACATTATGTGGGTCCAGAACCCGGGGATGATGTCTGAGCTCAGTAGAAGGAGCTGGAGGCATTGGGTCATACACAGTGGTAGTTGAAGGAAAACAGAGGCTTCCATGTGGTCACCTAATGAGAACTATATGGATGGAAGAGCACAGTGCAAAAAGCAGGTCCTCAGCAGTGGCAGCACCATCACTGAGGGGAAATTGGAAGAGCCTGCATGCATGAGACAGAAAGATGCTCAGGGAAGGAGATGATACTTAGGCAAGAATGATGTCACTAACACTAAAGTGAGAGTTTTAAAGAGGGAGTGGGCAGCACATTGTGCCACACTGTAGTTCAATAAGGCCAGGACATAGTCATTGAATTTCACAATTTGAGGATAAATTATGACTTTATGGAAAGGAGTTTCAGGGACTAGAGTCAGACTGCAGCAAAGAGTGAATGTGATGGGAGGAAGTAGGGGAAGTGAGCATAGAACCATTCTTGAGGCTTGGCTGTGAAAGGAAGGAGAGTCAGGAGAGGACACTAAAAGGAGGAAAAGAGAGCATTTGAGTGAGAAGATTTATTCTGACCACATGTCTACACACGAGAAACATTCTAAAGCATCATTTTTAGTTTTGCAGCTGTAGGCAGATAAGTAAGAAAATGACACACAATTTCTAGAGTTTGCTGAGCAATAGAATCTGCAGAATCCTCTGTCGCCTTTGGAGCAAGAAGGACCCTGAGGAGATAGCAATATGAGGCAAGAGAAGGCAAAGATCACCTTCAGCTTCCTCTGGAGCCAAGCTCAGCTGGGGGAAATTTCTAGGTTTCCTGTAGGCTTGGAATTAACTAGGGAACTAGGTAGCTGAGGTCCTTGCTGGCTTGTCAGCCATCTCACAAGAAGTTTCTCAGTGGGGACAAGACCTCATGTCCTAAGCCTGTGAGGTAGACCTTGGAGGATTTAGCATGTAAGGATCACCTTATTGGATTACCCAAACCTGGAAGCCGCCCTAAGCCTTTCGAGGCTGTTATCCACCACCTACCAGACCACTCCAAATAGCTGGTAGTGATAAAACACCAGAGCCAGAGACTAGACTAGGGAAGGACTCTAGCTACCAGCAAGACCCACCTGAGGAAGCCACCTTACAGCCACCATGCAGCCGGTCAGGTGACGCATCTCCATTCCGTCCTGCTGCTTAGTGCAGGGTGTTTTAATCACCTCCTATTTACCCTTTGATGCTTTAGAGTTACTGGGATAGCCAAACACATGACTCCCAACACTGGGCAGAGGAGGTGTTGTAACTTTATTAGTTACATGTCCTCATAACCTGGGGAAGGAGAACACAGCACGCCATGCAGGGTCACATGAGAGTTCCACTCGAAAACTGAGTGAACGAGCCAGGGCTGGGAAAGGCAGACTGTAGTATCAAGAGGGTGAGGTGACTCCTGATTTCTGTGAGAGGATGTGATTGGTTTGTGTGAATAATTCCTTAGGTAGGCTGGGAACTGAAACCCACTACTTAGGGATAAGCAGAAACTGTGCCTGGTCCACTGGCTAAGGAGAATTTTTGGACTGGGGGACTTTAACCATGGGAGCAGGAGGTGAACTTGGGATCAGGCCATTTGAGGTCCTGCTGATTTTTCCAGATGTCAAGGCAGCACATAGTATTGGGTCTTAATTTTAGGTCTTCCACTGCACAGGTGTTGGGCCAGAGGCCTCTCAGAGGCCTCCTGAGAGTTGGATGGACAGTGGAGGGATTGTAGGAAGAGAACGAGCATTGAACTGGACAGTGACAGAATTACACTTGCATTTGATTGAATATTTACCTGAGAGATGCTCAATTTTAAGCTAGCAGAAACTGAAAAATTTACTAGGTTGGACCAAGTTTTCTGAATGGACCAATTTAGTTTTTCTGGTGCTGAGCAGTTACAGGGCTTGTCAAATAAAAGTATGTGTAGCCATCAAAACAAAGAGGTTTTATGTTTCCACAGAGCTGATTGGTGACATAGTGACATCTAATTCATATTCACTATGCCCATTGTTAAAAATTTCAAAGGCGCTGTAGAGAAGGTTAGGGTGCTTCCAGGAGAATGCTGAAAACTGCCTGCCAAGAAGCCTCACAGGTGGCATTACCTTTGGTGAATTTAGAAAGGCCCCCAGTCTGGCCTTCAGCCCTGTCAATTTCTCAAAGTGGAAAAGCCTCAGGAAAGAAGATTCATGGCAATCTACTCGCAAGAGTCCTGGGTAATTTATAGTGGGAGATATCCAGTTCTAGTTGCTGGAGTGCATGTATCCCCCATCCAGGATGTTCCTTTGCTGAGATTAGGGTACCCAGGAAGATACACTAATAATCAGAATGTTGATCAGTAAGCATGGGAGAGATTCATTGCTCTGTGGCGATGCTTATTCAATCAT
Organism: Homo sapiens; assembly: GCF_000001405.40. Classification (NCBI taxonomy): domain Eukaryota; kingdom Metazoa; phylum Chordata; class Mammalia; order Primates; family Hominidae; genus Homo; species Homo sapiens. Next base: position 34,905,233 of record NC_000013.11, on the reverse strand, counting down.
TTCTACTTCACCTACAGAGATGCTTTCCCAGTGACTGGAAAGTTCATTTTGCTCATATTTAGTGTTTCTCTCTGGATCATGTTGAATAAACAGTGCCCAGTTCCCCATTAATTCTTCCCTTTGTGAATACTCCACACTGACCCAGACTGGGATCCATTTACCTTCGGTGGGCATCCTTAGAATTCCCTGATCATCTACAGATCAGACAATATTGTAATTGCTTGTTTGTTGGTCTGTCTCCCTCTCAAGACTGTAATCCCTCTAGGGCAGGAGAGTAGTGCTGCCATCTTGCTTATCTTGCTCCCACTGCTGATTCTAGACTATTCTGCTATCATGCAAAAGCTCCTCTTTTATTTACTACGTCAACTGTTCTCAAGTTACTTTCCTACATTCATGGGAGTGTTACGGCCTCTGACTCTAGGTCTTCCTCAGCACTCTTAGTTTTGGTTTACCCTGGGGGATTCAATAGCTCTGTTTCTAAACAATAGAAGGTCTGCACCTCGAATTCCACTCCCACATCACGGCAACCCATTTCCTTGACCACCATGGATGTAGAGTCGCTCATCCGATTCCCACTGGAAGGCAGGACTGAGTGGAATGAGAGGCTGTCCTGGTGACAGGGCTGAGGTTGAAGGGAGAAGGGTTAAGCTGAATTAGAAGGCCGGGTCACTGAAGGAAGCATCAGACGTGACAGCCTGGGGAAGGGGCCCAGTCACCCTGCTGACAGTGGCTGTTACATTGGAGAAACACTTGGAGGGTGTGGAACATATTCTTTGACTGGCTGTTTTTCAGTAGATGCTAGAGAAATGAATTTGCTCTTAGATGGACTTTAAAAGGGCTTTTCAAAAGTGAGACGCATACCGGGATCCTTGGTCAGATATTTGAGCAAGTCTGGAATAGAGCACGTGCTCAATAATTACTTTTTAAATTGCTTTTTAATTGTTTATTTTCCTTATTACATTTTCCAAAATTTGAAGTTAAATAAGATTTTAAGGATAAAATAGGTCAGGACACATAGCTGTGGAATATACTTTTCAGAAACACATTTATCAACAACATTTTGGTAGAATAAAATAAAATTGCAAATTATTAATCAAGTTTCTTACTTTTTCAAAGGGTCTTTTTTCATAAATGTGGATAAATATTGGAATTACTTGTCAAGAATTTATATTGATCAAATAGGAAAATATCATTAAAAGATAATTTTCAAAAAGAAGTAAAATCATGACTCATACAGATATAAAGCAAACATGTATTAAAGATCTTACTTAACTCATTGTTCAGTGAGAGAACTAGGCAGATATTATAAGCAATTCAAAAGAAAATCCAAAAACAAACAATTAAACAGACACATTTCTAGATCAAGACTATTGAAATAAATGTGCAAATGGAGACAAAACTATTTTTTCCACAGCGGGAGAACAGTTCAGTTGCATGTCTATGGACAAAAATTATTTTGCAATGCCATTAGCTACCTACAAGTTACAATTGGAAGAAATCTATATAATCAGAATCAAATAAATGGAAGAATGTACTGTAGACAATAAATAGTTTATATTGAAGCACTATTTTTTAATAGTCTCAAAGACAATGACATTTTGATACTCCAATTAAACAATATTGCAATAATGAATTATAAAAATTCAGAAGGAGTCTGATTGCTGAGTTTCAGGCATCAACATCGTGTTGATGAAGAAGAGATTTGGGGCATTGTGGGGAGATTTTTTTATATCAAATCCTCTATATGTGGTCTAAAATCACATATAGGCCAACTACTACCTATTCTATTGACTCAAGTAGTTGATGTTAGTTACTGAGTTAGCAATTGTTGGAAACTGGGAGCTTGCAGACCATTGATTACTTTGACTGAAATTTTGTCAGAAGATTATGAGAAAACAGAGTGAATTAGTAGGTAAGAACTTATCTATTTGCTAGCATTTTTCTATAAGAAATTCCTTCCAAAGTAAACATAAGTGGACGTTTAAAAATATATATTTCTTAACATTCAAATGCTCTTACCTCTAAGATATACTTGTGGAGGATAACATTTTTCAATTACTTTCTTGGGTTCAGTTTCCCTATCAAGAACTAAAACACTAAAAATAATTAAATGTTGTAGGTTGTTTTCCAGTGTTGGTTTTTATTGTTTCTCTTTAAAATAAAGTATCTGAAATTTGTATTTAAGGTCATTTTTATTCCAAAGTAAACTCATTTTGATATATTAAAATGAGCTAGAATACCAACTCAGATTAAAATATTTATCATCTGGAGCCTGATTGGTCTAGAGTAGTACAACTTTGCTCTGATATTTTTACATCACAAGAAATCTGAAAAAATTATAACAGGTGTCTGAGTGATAGATCAGTTACTCTCCTCCTGTAGTGTTGAATGCATTGGCTTGATTTATGCCTCATGAGTTATAAGCAAAGACACCTGATGACCTGGCAGGACCCCCACCCCACCCCCGCCTCCGCCATTCGCTGAAAGTCAGTGCTCCATTTTCCCAGGCCTTGGGGAACAGTAGATGAGAGAAGCACACTTGAATTAAAGAGCTAAGAAAGGAGGAGGAGTAACTGAAATCATTTATTCAAGCACCAACACTAACCTTCATGGGGATTGTTTGGTTGGGGAATTGCAAATACAGGCCTTGTGTACCATCATTCAACATTGATAATTTAACACATGCTTTTTCTGCAGACCTAGAAACAGCCTCAGAATCCTAAATGTAGTGCTCACGGCAGCCACTGCTAATAAATCAGAGGTGACATGCAATTTAGAAATTATTTGCCATCCTTGTTCCACATCTTATTTAAAAAATTTTAAACTCCCACAAACACCATGAAATGGACAATGAGTGACAGGATCAAAGATGATTGTTTCAGAAGTCATAGAATGAGAGCCCCCAGGCAGAACCCAGGCTACAGATAGCTCTTGTTTGGTGTAATTCAACAGTGGTTTTGTTTGTTTGTTTGTTTGTTTGTTTTGGGGGGATTACTAGTTGTCAGCATTAAAACATCAGGAAATTTCATACAAATATTTGGATTGCTGTCTTGTCTTTTACGATAAGATTTGGAAACACTGGACTGTTATTTCCACATTTCAATGACTGGCTAGATCTGAGAATTCGCTCTCCCCTAAAGACACACAAGCTCACAATTGCTGTGGATCTCACTTATCTAACTTCTCGCTGACATATGTGACCGGAGTAGCCTCTGTAGGCATCTGAACGTACAGCCCTTCCTTGTTCAACCATGACTCTAAGTCCCTGTGGCACCTGCACTCTGTCACCAAAATTTGAGGTTTGTGAATAAAGAAAGGGACAGGATTTGCGGGCCCTTTTTGAGGTGCTAAGGTAGCTCAGAGATGAGCAATGAGGGCAACGAGAATTCCTAAGTTAGCTTCTTCCCTGAGGGTTCAAACCCTCAAAGTAGGGCACAGAGTTCTCAGCCAGGAATGAAGAGTCCAGAAGGCCCAGATCCCCTCAGGTGTCAAATGATTTCATTTCAGAGAGTCTGGCGTGGTGTCAGCAGCCTTGCATCTGTCAATGAGATGTCATCGTGAAGCAATTACGAACACAGCCAGGGGTAAGAAAAACAAAAATAGATCCAAAAAAGGTTTCATGAGGGTCTATGCATTTAGAAGAAATGGTTGCTCAGAATACACTGGCCTAAGCTTCAGGGAATGCTGAAGGATGCTTCTAACTCCTTTTGTGTGCTACGGAGTTCTTAAGACAGCTTAGAGATCTCAGATGCAACAGGGTCAAGAAAGCTTAAAAATGATGAGTTCACGTCCTTTGTAGGGACATGGATGAAATTGGAAATCATCATTTTCAGTAAACTATCGCAAGAACAAAAAACCAAACACCGCATATTCTCACTCATAGGTGGGAATTAAACAATGAGAACCCATGGACACAGGAAGGGGAACATCACACTCTGGGGACTGTTGTGGGGTGGGGGGAGGGGGGAGGGATAGCATTGGGAGATATACCTAATGCTAGATGACAAGTTAGTGGGTGCAACACACCAGCATGGCACATGTATACATATGTAAGTAACCTGCACATTGTGCACATGTACCCTAAAACTTAAAGTATAATAATAATAAATAAATAAATAAATAAAATAAAATAAAATAAAATAAAATAAAAAAAGAAAATGCGAAATCATATATTAGTCATAGGAGTTCTAAGTGCTGTAGTTTCTGGGTTCTTATCTTTAGCTTCCTTGCAGTTCTTCTAAAACCCCAGGCATGCTCCAGTCTCCAGGCCTGTTCCTTCCATTAGTCTTTGCCTGTAACACTCTTCCTTCCTTTGGAACTTTGCCTGAATGACTTACAGCTCTCTCTACCCTAGCTCCAAATCTCCCCTTTTTCCTTTTTTTTTTTTAATAGTATTCACAGCTATATAATACACATTTAACTTCCTCATTTTGTTCAGGACAGGTGCTCCTTTTACTAGTTGGATGAGGGGAGAAAGTTTTGTCTTTGTTGTTCATTGACAGACAGAGCCAGGTACACAGTCAGCACTCAATTGGGATGAAAACAACTTGAATGCAATAAATGCATAGCACTATGTCTTGCAGACTATGCAGAATTGTATCAGATTTCCCAGACCCATGGGTTTTGAAAAAAGCCGGAGGCATGGATGACAGAGTGTAATCTCCCCAGTCTCTCACATTTCATTATTTAAAAACTGCAAGAAGTCTTTATTAGGTGAGAAGTGGAAACTCCAACACACCTTCCAGGCAATGGGTTTCTTTGTTATGGAGATAGATACCTTTAAGTTATGCAAATGTAAAGAAAAGACCTCTTGAAATAGAGAAGCAGGTCGAAGGAGCTTAAATGGCTTTGGGGAGGAGAATGTGAAAGGCACAATGGTTCAAGACAGACTTGCCACTTTTCCCTGCTTGAAGGAAAAAGAAGCAGGAGGTCTTTTTTGTGTGTGTGAAAGACAAAATATAACAACCCATTTTAACCTTGGGAAGAGGCTCTATATTTTACAGTTATACCAACTATTCTCTATAGTTTTAATGGAGTAGAAAGCCAATGACAAAAGAAAAGACATTTCGTTTTCCTGCTTTAGGTGGTGAGGTAGATGGCTGTTGGAATGATACCCTTGGTAAGGTTAAAGGCTAAACTCTAACTTAGGTCGTGAACGTATCTACCTTCAGCAATTGCAGCTCCCCGCATCAAGGCAGAGGATGGCAGTTGTTCTGTGCTCTAAGAAAAGTTGCTCGGTTGAAAAAGATTGCCTCTAATTTACTCGAAATCCCTACTTGGAGGGATCTATGAGCATGAATTAGTTTATATTATGGGTCATTATCACTTAGTGTTCAAACCTTACACAGCAAACAAAGCCTGTTAAAGGCATGAAAAATACTTTTAAAATAATATGCTCATCTATTTTACTATACCGTGCAGCAATCATCATAGGAAGTTAACAAGAAAAAAATCAAGCACAACTATTTAAAAATGACTGTATTTTGTGGTACAAGTCTATGGCGTTCTGGAAAGATGGTACGGTAGAGGAAGTAACATCTAGTGTCAGGTTATTCCTTATTTCTATATGCAGTAAAAAAAAAATAATGTCACCTAAAAAAGGAAAATAATAGAACCCAAAAAATTAAGTTCCCAAACGAATGAGTACACCAGTTAATACTCCTTGGCTAGTGAACAAAAATTGCAACATCACAGGGGAAAACAGAGTCAATAACCTGGAAAGGAAACTGTATTCTAAACCTGTAATTCTACAGATGGAGTAAAGATATTTCTGGAAGCTGTGAAGAAGATTAAGTAAGCAACTGAAAGAAACTTGATGAGAACAACATGTGTTTCCCTATGCATGAAAACACTAACTGATTAATTACAACACAAGAGAAAACAAGAGACCTAGAAAATAGTTGAGGAAATCTATCAACAAACACTATGGGTAGATGAGGAAATTTTAAAATGAAGAAAGTCTCATTTGAGGGATAATTTAACTTTTTGAAAATAATTAGACTGGCAGCACATCTCTTCAAGGGTACATGAAGCTATTAAAATATCAAAGACAATTAAAATGCATTTGGCAATATTTACTGAAATATAATAGTGAAAGAAGAGTAACAAAAACTAACAATGTGGTTCATAACTGATGTTTTATCATAACTGATTAAAGCTTATTACTTAAAAAATAAATTAGGCCAGGCGTGGTGTCTCACGCCTGTAATCCCAGCACTTTGGGAGGCCGAGGCGGGCAGATCACGAGGTCAGGAGATCGAGACCATCCTGGCTAACACGGTGAAACCCCGTCTCTACTAAAAATACAAAAAATTAGCCAGGCGTGGTGGCGGGCGCATGTAGTCCCAGCTACTCAGGAGGCTGAGGCAGGAGAATGGCAGGAACCCGGGAGGCAGAGCTTGCAGTGAGCTGAGATCGCGCCACTGCACTCCAGCCTGGGCGACAGAGCGAGACACTGTCTCAAAATAAATAAATAAAATAAATAAATAAATAAATAAATAAATAAATACATTTATGCCAATTTTATATGTGAGGTTATGAATACCCACAGTCCAAAACGGTCAAGAGAGGAAAGATATTTTAGAATCTTGATTTCCTAAAGGGAGATGGCATATTCCCCTTTTTGTGTGGGAAGACACCAGAGATCCAAAGTGAGAAAAGAACGAAGGGTTAGGACAGAAGATGTTTTGAAATACCCATGAAGCATTCTTTCCTACCACTGGAAAATTACTGTGTGCAGTGAGAAAATTTTGAAGGAAATGGGTTGTGCTTGTGAACGATGTAAAGTCAGGAAAAAAAGATGAAGGATATCTGGTTTTGACACAAGTAAAAATGAACAATTAGAAGTATACATTTCACTGACTACTCTTATGCAAATGAACAGTTCTAAGGTAAAATGAAATTGGAAAAATAAATAAGGCTCATTATTTTAAAAGCATATATGCATGTAGATCAAGGATAATCAGAAGCAAATGGCAACATGAAAATATACCTACATACAGGTTTTTAATGTGTGTGTGTGTGTGTAGTTATATGATAGTGATACTAATCCTGAAATCGATACTATAGAAAAGGAGGACAAAGGATGGGGACGAAAATATCGCAGAGCACTAAAATAACTCCAGGATTGTTTGGGCTGTGGCCATGAGGCTGGACTTCTGAACATGTTTCTCTGAGATGCTTTGGGAAGAACTCTTAATATGGCTTAAAATTCATACTCTTGAAAGTTGCCCTTCTGATGAATTTGATCTTTCCTAAGGGAATATACACTTGTGAAGGGATTTTATAGTTGGTAGCAGATTCACAGACTTTTTAGTCATAAAGCAATGATCCAAATTTTAGCTTTTGGTGAATTTTAAATGGTGGCAAATTTGGGGAGTGGGGCATTGAAAAACATAATGGAGTCTAATTGGTTCATTTATCATATATAAAAATCATGTAAAAATATGATAAATATATACATATATTTAATTAATTAATTAATTTTTTCTTTTTTTGAGACAGGCTGGAGTGTAGTGGTGCAATCTTGCAACCTCCCAGGTTCAAGTGAATCTCAAGTGTCAGCCTCCTGAGTAGCTAGGATTACAGATACGTGCCACCAAGTCCAGCTAATTTTTGTATTTTTAGTAGAGACGGGGTTTCACCATGGTGGCCAGGCTGGTCTGAAATTCCTGTCTTCAAGGGATCTACCCTCCTCGGTCTCCCAAAGTGCTGTGATTACAGGCCTGAGCCACCGTGCTCATTTATCATATTAAATCTCATAAGAGAACCCAATAAATGCAAGGGGTAAGACTCATTCTTACTCACTTCTCTGACTGCATCTGCTGGAAGTTTCCAGCTCTTGGCTCATCTAAGATTTGTGAATTTAATCCTTGCAAAAAGTCTTCCAAAAATTAGCTACTTGTTTGTTTTGTTTTTTTGAGATGGAGTCTCACTGTGTCACCCAGGCTGGAGTGCAGTGGCTTGACCACAGCTGACCACAACCTCCACTTCCTAGGTTCAAGCAATTCTCCTGCCTCAGCTCCCTGAGTAGCTGGGATTACAGGCTTGTGCCACAGTGGATGCCTGGCTAATTTGTTTTTGTATTTTTAGTAGAGATGAGGTTTCACCATGTTGGCCAGGCTGGTCTCGAACTCCTGACCTCAGGTGATCAGCCTGCCTCGGCCTCCAAAGGTGCTGGGATTACAGGCGTGAGCACCATATCCGGCCAAGCTACTTGTTTTGACTAACTCTTTGTTTTTGTTTGTTTGTTTGTTTGTTTTTGTTTTGAGATGGGATTACAAGTGTGAGCCACCGCGACTGGCCTTGACTAACTCCTTATTGCAAAAAAAAATTTATAATCTTTTGTGAACTTATTTCTGTATCAGTTACACAGGATACAGCAAAAATGGTATTTTTAAAAAATAAGAGGAAATAACCGGCCATATTATAATAGGAAAAATAGAAACTACGTTTTTTAACTGATGAAAGATATTGTTATTAAAAAACAAAATGGTGTGCCCACACATTGTAAAGTACACAAAACAAGGATTAACAATTATCCTGAAAATGTATCTGCTATTATTTTATGTACTTTTGATTCTGTTCTGTATCTTTCCTTGAACTTGGACTGAGGGTGCTTGGTAGGTAGAAGAAATACTCATGGAGTGAAAGTAAGAACAAATAAGACTTAGTGTAAATATTATGGGATGGAAGAAGTTGGAGAGAAAAAGAAGGTTGCCAAAGAATTGCAAAGTATGCTTACCTTGCTGGGCAACAGATTTCATAGCTGCAGATTACAGTTTTGAATTTAAAAGAGCTAACTGAACCTTAGTGAAAATATAGAAATATTGGTCCAAGGAGATTTTAAAGAAAATCCTGAGTCATAAAAGCCAGAAGGGATTCCTAAACGAAGACATGTAGCAACAAGTCAAAAGATGAAATTTGTCTATACTGCTAACGCCTATGCTCAATAAAGTCACCTGGGAATTTATTGGAATATGCAAATTATTCTGGAATTTGAAAACTAGAGAAGTTTAATTTGTATAATTGATAGAAAAAAAAGCAAATGTGAACTGGGGCTGGCAAATGGAATTGCAGAGCTGTGGGTCTCTGTTTTTGCCTCAGAAACAGCTTCAAAATCATTTTTATAACTTGCATTGGTGGGGTTTGGGCAGAGTAACCTCATGCATTTCTGACAGAACAGGATCGCAGAGCATCCAGAGGCCTCAGGTTCTTGCCATTAGCTAAGACATGTGATTCTGGCCTTTATCAATTTTGGTTTCCAACCTGTAAAATGAGGAGCTAGGACTAGGAAATTTCTTTTCTTTTCTTATTTATTTATTTATTTATTAATTTTTGAGATAGAGTTTCGCTCTTGTTGCCCAGGCTGGAGTGCAATGGCGCAATCTCGGCTCACTGCAACCTCTGCTTCCCGAGTTCAAGAGATTCTCCTGCCTCCTGAGTAGCTGGGATTACAGGCATGCACCACCACGCCCAGCTAATTTTGTATTTTTAATAGAGATGGAGTTTAACTGTGTTGGCCAGGCTGGTCTCGAACTCCTGACCTCAGGTGATTAGCCTGCCTCAGCCTCCCAAAGTGCTGGGATTACAGACATGAGCCACTGTGCCCGGCCTAGGACTAGATGGTTTCTAAGGTTCTTGTTGGGCGTGACTCTATGTGTCTTGTTTTTAGTTTACTTAAGTAGACTTACATTGAAATGTCTGTTTAAGTTTAGCTAAGGAGAACTAAAGTGGACATGCCAGATTCTGTTAATGAAACCAATAAAAGGTTTCTGAAAAAAAAAAAAAAAAAAAAAAAAAGGCTCCTTATATTGCCTTCTGGAGTCAATAATGGTTCAAATATTTTCTTCTTTTAAATGAAGGTCTAGGGTTGATATTATAATTACAGAGATAAATTATGAGGACTCTGCATGGCACAGTACTTCACATAACCATCTAGATTGTTCAGTTGCAAACTGTTTCACCTCCAGCTGGTTAAACCTCTCTAAGCCATCATCCCTAAGCACATTTAGTCTTTTCTGGTGGGGCTCCAAGGTTCAATCTCCTGTTATTTTAAAATGAAAACTGTACACTTTGCAGTCACCTGATTAAATTCTTCACGCAGAAGAATTCTAAATTCTAGAACCAAAACACTTTAAGTTGTTCTCATCACTTAGATCTTTTAAGCTGGGTCAAGATTCATAAGGATCTTTTAGCCTTGTGTCATTTAGCCTTGACTCTTGAAGCTCCAATAAACTGCTCTACTCTTGTTGGCTTACTATAGCTCTTAAATGTGTGTTGATTGATTATTATCTTAAGGCTACTCCCACTGACACTCCTCCCACCGACACACAAAGGAAGTCTGTTACCTCTTTGTCCTCTCCCAGCAACTTCAAAATCCCTCTGTTCTGGGCCAGGCGTGGTGGCTCATGCCTGTAATTCCAGCACTTTGGGAGGCTAAGGTGGGCTGATCACCTGAGGTCAGCAGGTTGAGACCAGCCTGGCCAACATGGTGAAACCCCGTCTATACTAAAAATACAAAAAATTAGCTGGGCATGGTGGCGGGCACCTGTAATCCCAGCTACTTGGGAGGCTGAGACAGGAGAATCTCTTGAATCCAGGAGGTGGAGGTTGCAGTGAGTCGAGATTGTGCCACTGCACTCCAGCCTGGGCAACAAGAATGAAATTTCACCTCAAAAAAAAAAAAATAGTCAGGCATGGTGGCAGGTGCCTGTAATCTCAGCTACTTTGGGGGCTGAGGCAGAAGAATTGCTTAAGCCCAGCAGGCAGAGATTTCAGTGAGTTGAGATTGCACCACTGTACTCCAGCCTGGGTGACAGAGTGAGACTCTATCTAAAATAAATAAATAAATAAATAAATAAATCCTCCTGTTCTGGTATTATTATCTACATCCATTCCCAATGATCTGATGTAAGCAAGTGAAAGTGGGAAGAAGGCAGCTCAAATTCAGATAGATAGAACTTAGAATTATTTATTTTTAATTTTAAGTTTTCTTTGAGACAGGTTCTCACTCTGTTGCCCAGTACAGTGGCATGATCACAACTCACTGCAGCCTTGATGTCATGGGCTCTAACGATCCTCCCACCTCAGTCTCCCAAGTAGCTGGGACTACAGGTGGGCAACACCATGCTTGGCTAATTTTTAATTTTTTTTGGAGATGAGGTCTCAGTTGTATAGGCTGGTCTCAAACTCCTGGGCTCAAGCAATCCTCCCCGCTTGGCCTCCCAAAGTGCTGGAACTACAGGTGTGAGCCACCACATCCGGCCAGAAGTTTAAAAATCATTTAAATTTAATTTAAATCATTAACAAAAGTCGAGCTAGAAATTTGACTCTGAACTTAATGGTAGCCAAAATCACACGTTTGTCAGCGTTACAGAAGGGAAAACGTATTACACCTTTAGGAGAGAAATTCCTCTGGCTTTATGTTCTAAGTGAAATTTCTTGAGCGTGACATCACACTGAAAAAAAAATCTCCCGAAATAAAATATGTTTTTTGAGTTTATTATTCCTTCAGTATAAGTTAATGGCATGGATCTTAAGGGAAACTCTGAAAGAATTTCTGGAAAGCAAGACAAATAGAAGCATATGAAGCTTGATGTGATCTGGCCTAATCCACAGAAAAATAGAAAGGCTATTCTTCAGTTTGTACTATTTCTCTCAAATAGGATTTTTATATAAGTTGGTTTGAGGTTACTCAGGTCTATATTTCTGATTCTCAAATATTACTTATAAAGAGGATACGCACTTCTTAACATTCTTCCTTTTATATCCCATTCACTTTCTACTCCTCTGTAGGGGCTGCCAGATCTCTCTCTGTCTCTCAAAGTCTTCCTGAAAAGCTTGTCCCACAGCCTTAGTCTATATATATACCTTTTCTCCTTCTACCACTTTCTCTTTTCTGATTCTGCACTATCAAATTCCAAATAATCAACGGGCAAAGCAGAATCCTTCTCGGAAGGTGGGGAAGGGGGAGAAGATGAGACAGACAAAATCTTCTTTCACAAGGAAGTTGGTGGTGAAGAGCTATCCTGTTATTAATTTTTACTCAATCACACATGCATTATCTTTGTTAAACTTAATAATAATTCTGTGTGGTACTTATTGCTTTCCTATTTAAAACCAGGAACCTAAGGTTCAGAGAGTTCATGGAATTTGCCCAGGATCTCATAAATAGCAAATGGTTTACTGGGAATTGCTAACCCTTGTTCTTAGGTCTTGCAAGACCATGGAGGGCAAGTTTTCCGTGCGACTGGTTAAAGAGTGATCCACATCCTCTAAGGACTGGGGAAGCCCATGGTAATGTTGACATCATTTTATCAAATGGTAAGTCCTAACTTAGGCTCTCACGAGCTTCAGTGGCTTCCTCACTTACACATGGGCTTGGGAGTCTTTGCACACATGTCACAGTCTTTGCATACAGTGGGGCAGGGTACAGTGATTACACATATAACAAATGGAGAAGTTATTAATCACAATCTTATATTTTCTTTTCATGTATGTTTGCATAGTTATGTGTTTGGGAGTCCCCAAGAACACCCTCAGTTTCAATGACTTGCTAGAAGGGCTCACAGAACTGGCAAAAGCTGTTATACTCACAGTTATGGTTTATTACAGCAAAAGGGTACAAGTTAAAGTCACCAGGAAAGAACAAGTTCAAGTTTCCAGCTGTCCCTTCCCTGTGAAGTCATATGAGCAGTACTGAATTTTTCCAGCAATGATGTGTGACAGCACAGAGTATTGCCAAATGAGAGGTTCACCCAAACTTTGGTTCCAGGGTTTTTTGTTTTTTTTTTGAGACGGAATCTCATTCTGTTGCCCAGGCTGGAGTGCAGTGGTGCAATCTCGGCTCACTGCAAGCTCCGTCTCCCAGGTTCAAGAGATTCTCCTACTTCAGCCTCCTGAGTAGCTGGGACTACAGGCACGTGCCACCATGCTTGGCTAATTTTTTGTATTTTTATTTTTAATAGAGATGAGGTTTCATTGTATTAGACAGGGTGGTCTCTATTTCCTGATCTCATGATCTGCCCGCCTCAGCATCCCAAAGTGCTGGGATTACAGGCATGAACCACCATACCCAGCCAGTTCCAGGGTTTTAATTGGGACATGTAGGCATGAAGTTCATGGTGTGACTGACCTTTGTTACTCGGTTTCCAGTTCCTCCTGAGGTCAAACTGACACATCATGGCTCAAGGCCCCCACCATACATCACACCAATTAGTCTAATTTCATTCTGCCAATCAAAAACTAAGACCAAAATGTTAGGTAATTTGTGAAAAGTACCAACAAGTTAAGAATCTATGTGTATGGCTGGGAGTGGTGGCTCATGCCTGCAATCCAAGCACTTTCAGAGGCTAGAGGATTGTTTTAAGGCCAGGAGTTCAAGACTAGCCTAGGCAACATAGAGAGACCCTGTCTCTACAATTTTTTTTTTTTTTTTAATTAGCTGAGCATGGTGGTACGTGCTTGTAGTCCTAGCTACTCAGAGACTGGGGTGGGAGGATCACTTGAGCCCAGGAGCTGAATGCTGCAGTGAGGTATGATCACTGACTCCAGCCTAGGCAACAGAGAGAGACCCTGTCACAAACAAACAAACAAACAAACAAACCAACAAACAAACTGTGTGTCTGTTCAAAGGGTATTTTACAACTGTGTGTTTAAAAATGGATCGCATTATTTAATTAACAACAATAACAACAACAGCAAACTATCCCTCTATAGATACATCTCTTAAGAAATAGTCTGACTGATGAAACGAGGCTGCTGAAAGCAAAACGGAGCACATTTTTGCAACTGTGGAAAAGAGTGGGATTACATAGCAATTTTGCCGGCCTAAGTTAGAAGAAGACGAGCAAGCCGACTTCATTTATTCATCAGTTCATATCACTATTTTCACTGGAAGGAAAAAAGGAAGAGAGAAGGCTTGTGGATAGCAAACCACGTGTTTAGGAATTGACTTAAATTTTCAGTGGAAAAGGCAAAACACATGCAGAAAAAAGTCATAGTTCTATATTGAATGTAAACAGCTGTGTTTTGGGAATTTAACTAATGTTAAATTTAACATTTAAATCAATTAGTTGTTGCTATGTAGTAATCTATTCTAAAACTCAGTGGCTTTACAGAAATAATTTATTATGGCTGGTATATCTGCAGGTCATCCGGAGGTAGGGATTGGCTGGAATGGCTCTGGTTCAAATGTGTCTCATGCTTCTTAGACCAGCAGAATAGCATTAGGGCATAATTTTCTCATAGCAATGGAAGGTGGGTGAGACAGCAAGTGGAAAAACTCAAAGTTTTTTAAGACCTAGTCTACAGACTGGCATTTGCCACTTCTAGCCCAGCATCACTGGGCACAACAAGTCACATGGTATATTAGTGTCCTATGGCTGTCCTAAAAAATGTCTACAGACTGGGTGGCTTCAACAACAGAAATTTATTATCTCGCAGCTCTGGAGACTAAAAGTCCAAGACCAAGAGGTTGACAGGTTTGGTTCCTTCTGAAGGCTGTGAGGGAAGGATCTGTTCCAGGTCCCTCTCTTGCCTTGGAGATGGCTGTGTTCATGTTCACGTGGTGTTTTCCCTGTATGCGTGTCTGTTTCCAAATTTCTCCTTTTTACAAGGACCCCAGTCAGATTGGATTGGGCCTATCTTGATAACCTCATTTTAGCTGATTACCTCTATAAAGACCCTATGTCCACATACAGTCATATTCTGAGGTACTGGGAGTTCGGACTTCGACATATGAATTCTGGGGGGAAACAATTTGACCCATAATAAAGGGTCAAGCCCAAAATAAAGGACTTACAAACTGAACTCATAATGATGACATGGCAAAGGATGTGAATGCATAAAGGGATGAGGAATTGGGGTCTTAATAGTTTAGACTTTAATCAAGTGCGTGGTATTGGAAAAGTATTGGCTGTGGGTCAAACCTGGCCTGTTGCCTGTTTCTATAAAAACAATTTGATTGGACCACAGAATGGTCATTTAAAAAAATGTATTGTCAGTCTGCTTTTGTGGTACAATGCTGGGGTTGCATAGTGGCAACCAGAGACTGTATGGCTTACAAAATCTAAAGTAATTTTTATGTGGCCCTTTCCAGGCTTGCAAAATCTAAAGTAATTTTTATGTGGCCCTTTCCAGAAACAGGCTGCTGACCTCTGGTCTCACCAGATCAGTAAGGCTTAGAGAATAATGACTTTTCCTGAATTAGAGTAACTGTCCTAATGGAGCAATGAGGAAACATTGTTTTGGGAGCAAGGGTGTTGTCTTGTGGCATCAATTTTGCCAGTAGTTAGTTCTGTAACCTTGAGCAAGACCCTTAGTTTCCCTGTCTCTGTTTCTTACCTGGAAAATCAAGGAACTGGTCATGTTGCCCACCTGGCTGCTTCTCCTGAAGTATAACCAGACATTAAACCTTGAGCTACTAAAATAACTGTATTGTACAATTCAATAAAGAAGGTAGCATAATTGTAGAAAAATATTATTCCCCTCCGTGGGCCTGTATCTATTCTTTTAAAGAAATAAAAGTTGTATATTTTTTGTGAATTGGCAATTTTGCTTAACGTGGAATTGGATGATATTTAAGTTTCTTTCTTTTTCTTAATATTAAGATTCTATGAAATCAAACATGAAAGATTGAAATCAAACATGAAAGATCTTACATATGTAAGATGTAGCATCCTTAGACAGAAATATGCTTCTTTCTGATGGAATTTTATTAGACAATTTTTGCTGCTCTGAGCATCAGAATCTTAAGATGTTGTCAGAGAGGCCCCATTTGGTCCTGCTGTCCATACATAATAATCAGAATAATTTAATTCAGAACTTTATGAAGAATCAGAAGAATGTGTTAAGTAAGACTACAGCTCCACTGTGAGTGGCAGATTGAAAAACATAACTCCAGTATTTTATAGTGCCTCCTACCAAGAGGTGGAGTCTCTTTTCCTACCTCTTGAATCTTGCTTCGAATAGATTATGTAATTGAACTGATGTTGTGTAAGTTCAGGAATCTAGGCCTCAAAGGCCTTTGCTTTCTTGGAATGTCCCCCAACACCACTCTCATATAAGGAAGCTGATCTAGTACACTGGAGGATGAGAAGCCAGAGGAGAATTGAGATTTCTCGGTTAAAGCCAGTGCCAGCTACCAGTCATGAAGAATGAGACAGGAAAAAGTTCCGGTTCAATCTAAATCTCCTTTTGTGTGCCCCACACTTCTCTAGTCCCATACTAGCTGCCCCAAAACCTCTGCTTCAGAGTTTATTTTATGTAAATTATAGAAAAGTTTTTACTATTTCCTTTTGCTTAAGTTTAAATTACAGCCTTTAGCTATAGATTTTTTTTTTAATCAATTGATTTCTATGGGAATCTTTTCTTTCTTCCAAGCATGCTATGCAAAATGCTGACTACCTACTTTGGATAAGATGTGACTTGCTGCAATTTTCTGCATCTCTAACAAACATTAACATGTGATTCTATGCTTCCTCTGTAAGATCAGCACACTCTTCAGTGTGGTGGTGGGAAGGGCATTTATACCCTTGGAGCAAAGAATAATTTCCTGCACGTTGTTGGAGCTGGAAACACATCTCCTCTTGTGTTAAGAATGTCACATAGATTTCATCTTGTCTGCAAACTTTGATTTGTGGTGACTGCCTGGAGTAATAGTAAGAAGTATTGGGAGATCACATCCAGGATCAGGTATAATTGATTGGCAATGTCTTTCCTAGAGAGGAAAGTGGCCCTTATGTATATTTCATATTTTCTACTCTTGACTACAGTACTTTCTATGAAATACAATTAAAGAGCTCTTGTCCTCTAGAAGTAGTAGCACTAGGAAATTTCTATTTAATCACTTCATATCCCAGTAAGTATAATTTATAAATTATATTAGCTAGGCTAAATAAAGTTAAATTAAATTCTCTAAAAACCAGTATCTTTAGAGATGGTAATCTCATCAAAAGGGCAGAGGTTATTATTTGGTCATTTTTATTTATACTAACTCTTTATTTTTTAAATTTTATTTACTTATTTTTTTTTGAGATGGAGTCTTGCTCTGTTGCCCAGGCTAGAGTGCAGTGGTGTGATCTCGGCTCACTGCAACCTCTGTCTCCTGGGTTCAAGCGATTCTCCTGCCTCAGCCTCCCAAATAACTGAAATTACAGGTGCATGCCACCACGTCCAGCTAATTTTTGTATTTTTAGTAAAGATGGGGTTTCACCATGTTGGCCAGGCTGGTCTTGAACTCCTGACCTCAGGTGATCCACCCGCCTCAGCCTCCTAAAGTGCTGGGATTACAGCCGTGAGCCAACGTGTCTGGCTACACTAACTCTTTAATAATCACATATAATAGCTAGTTAGTGGTTTAATCCATGGCAATATTTTATAAACAAATAATATTTTAAACTATAAAATAAAGCTATAGTGATAAAATTGCAAAAAGTTGCAAAAATTGAGAGGTGATGTATTGCCAGGGTTGGCAAACTATGACCAGTGGCCCAAATCCAACATGTTGCCTGTTTTGGTAAATAAAGTTTTATTGGAGCACAGCTAGACATATTTGGTTCATATTGTCTGTGGCTGCTTTTGTGCTACAATGATAGGATTGAATACCAGCAGAGTTGAGTAGCTGCGACAGGCACCCTATAACCTTCTACACCTAAGGTATTTACTGTCAGACCCATTACAGAAAAAGTTTAACCTGATGGATTCAAATAGTTGAAGTTCTAACTTTTATTGATCATTCTCCATATTCTGGGAACTGTGATGGACATAACCCTTTGAAGTGCTCTTTTCTATGTAAAAAAAAAAAAATGCTTTATCTGAAGCAGTAGTTTTTAATTCTATCTGCACATTAAAATCAACTGAGTAGCGTTTTTAAAGAACTAATACTAAGACATGACCCACCTGGGACCTGGGTATTATATGTTTTTGAATGGTACTCTGCTGAATCTAATGTGCAACAGAATTTTGAAGCATTGATCAGAGCTACTATTTTTTGAACTATTTACCCTTCCAGAGGTTAGATGATATCACTACCCAGTTTGACTCATAGTGACTCAAGTGTCATATAAAAAGTAAATCTGAAATAGTTTAACAAAATAAAAAGAATAAAAAGTTTCAAGGAGTGTTCCCTGTTAATCCAGATTGTGTGAGCCCAGCCAATAGAATTCTTGCTGATATAAGTCCAAGTTTCTTATTTATAAAGTAAAATCATTTCCTCCACAGATCTTCAGATTAAAAAAGAAAACAAAAACTAATTATCAGGCTAACAAAAAAATCACTTGAGTCTCTTTTTTTTGCTTTACTTCCTTACATTCTTGAGTTATCTACTTCAGAAAATAAAACTCCATAAAACTATATCCTGTTTTACTGTTAGAAAATTTATTCACATTGCAATACTTAGAAAATATTTGGGAAATTGGGTAAGATACAAGAAAATTAAAGTTGAGTTAGCTAAAGACACATCATTTTTTATAGTTCAACGTGTGGCAAATTATAATAGATATCCCAGAAACAGTGGACCAGGAAGCTCTCTCACAGCTTTGGTTTAAATATGACAATCATGCACACTCTCATTGTCTTGTTTAGTGCACCAGTGACTTGCCATGGGCTTAAACAATAATTTTAATTAGTCATGTACCAAAAATTTCCATGGATATCTGAAAGCAACATTTGCATGGATTATTGGAATTACACATAGAAGGAGGTTATTTATAGCTCTAGAAACACACTTTAGGATACTTAATTTCAGAGTCATGTCTTGAGATCTTCCTAGGAAGTTAGTGCACCACTAGTAAAAATTATACATTTATGATTTAATATTTTATCATCCCAACAGCTATTTTGAGCATATACAGAGCCAAAAATTTCTGTCCATTTTGCCAAAATCATACTTTCATCAGTCTGTAAAATCTGTTTTGGCTCCACCCACCTATCCTAGTGCCAATTTTTCTCCTTTGTTACTATCATCGTCTAAGCCTGAAATTTCCTCTATCATCAAACTAAGAAAACTTGGAAATCTCCATGTTAGAGATATTCTTGCAGATCCTTAAAAACACAAAAGAAAACAAAAATGCAATTTAGAGAGAATATAAGGATGAGAAGAGTCCATGCTATTTTATTTACTTCTCTTCCTTCCTTCCTTCCTGCCTCCCTCCCTCCCTCACTTTTCTTTCCTTTCTCTTTCTTTCTTTCTTTCTTTCTTTCTTTCTTTCTTTCGTTCGTTCTTTCTTTCTTTCTTTCTTTCGTTCGTTCTTTCTTTCTTTCTTTCTTTCTTTCTTTCTTTCTTTCTTTCTCTTTCTTTCTTTCTTTCCTTTCTTTCTCTCTTTCCTTTTTTCTCTTTCTTCTTTCTTTTTCTTTTCCCCTTCCTTCCCTTCCTTCCTTCCTCTCTCTCTCTTTCTTTCTTTCTTTCTTTCTTTCTTTCTTTCTTTCTTTCTTTCTTTCTTTCTTTCTTTCTTTCTCTTTCTTTCTTTTTTCTTTTCCCCTTCCTTCCCTTCCCTCCCTCCCTCCCTCCCTTCCTTCCTTCCTCTCTCTCTCTCTCTTTCTTTCAATGAAGTCTTACTCCATTGCCCAGGCTGGAGTGCAGTGGTGTGATCTCCACTCACTGTAACCTCTGCCTCCTGGGTTCAAGTGATTCTCATACCTCAGCCTCCCGAGTAGCTGGGATTACAGGCTTGTGCCACCATGCTCGGCTAATTTTTGTATTTTTAGTAGAGACAGGGTTTTGCCATGTTGGCCAGGCTGGTCTCGAACTCCTGACCTCAGGTGATCTGCCCACCTTGGCTTCCCAAAGTGTTGGGATTACAGGCGTGATCTGCCGCGCCTTACTGAGTCCATTATATTTTAAACAATTATTTGTACTCTTCTAATCTTCTTTTCTATAGAATTGGCAATGGCACCATGAAAGCCATTGTACCCATGCTCCATGGATATCTGTTTTCTTTTCTTTCCATTTTTTGGGGTGCAGGGGCAGGCTCTCGCTCTGTCACTCAGGCTGGGTTTCACCAGGCTGGAGTGCAGTGAAGGGATCTCAGCTCACTGCAGCCTCTACCTCCTGGGCTCAAGCAATCCTCCTGCCTCAGCCTCCCGAGTAGCTGGGACTACAGGTGTGGTCCACCATGCCCGGCTAATTTTATTTCCTGTAGACACGAGGTCTCACCATGTTGCCCAAGCCATTCTTGAACTCCTGAGCTCAAGCGATCTTCCTGCCTGGACTCCCAAAGTGTTAGGATTACAGGCATGAGCCACTGTGTCCGGCAAATGTCTGTTTTCTGTGGACACTAGTTTTCCTCTAAATGACTCATGTCTGGGTGTGGTGGCTCATGCCTGTAATCTCAGCAACTCTAGAGGCCAAGGTGGGAGGATAGCTTGAGGCCAAGAGTTCAAGACCAGCTTGGGCAACATAGTGAGAGCCTGTCTCTGCATGAAAAGGGGAAAACAAATTAGCTGGTCATGATGGAGAATGTCTCTAGTCCTAGCTACTTGGGAGACTGATGAAGGAGGATTGCTTGGACCCAGGAGTTTGAGGTTGCAATGAATTATGATCTCACCACTGCACTCCAGCCTGAGTGGCAGAGTGGGGTCCTGTCTCCAATAAATACATAAATAACTGACATATAGTACCTTTTCCTTTGCAGAGTAAGTCAAAGTCCTTGGCCTGCTTCCCTGAATTGTTCCTGTCTTGGCGCAGGACCCCAGACACTGCCAGAAGCGGTATTTTCCACAATGAGATACATAAATATTTCCTGATCAACTGTTATTCCCATTTTTAAAGAGAAAGTACCAAGAAGCACAATGCAAGTAAATATGGTAATATACACAGGAAAGAAACTAATAGTATATGTGAAGCACTGATATGTACTTCACATATGTTATTTAATCCTCATAGAAACCGTCATATAGATATTACTCCCACTTTCAATCTGAGGAGTTAGGTCAATTTCTCAAGGTCACACAGCTAGTAAATAATCTGTTTTTTAAAATAGTTCTATATAGCTCACAAGTGGCCAATTAGCATTAATTAAAAATCAATAGATTCTAAATTAATGAGCTTTTGCTAAATTTGGAAATCACTTTTAATTTTCACATATATGTCTCAGTACATCATAGGCATTATGGATGGGTAATTTCCACCTCCACATCAGGAATATAAGTAACTTTCTAAAAATATCTATTCATACAGAGTAACTTCCCACTACTTCCGAAGAATAACTTAGGTCCCTTTATGGTGTCAGTGCTCTGAAGCTAAATCCTTTTTCTTTAGCTGAAGAGTGTAACTTTGAAAATTATGGCAGTTTGATGTCTTACAACTTATTGCAGTTCTCTGCAAGCTCAGACATTTTCTACAGTGAACACAGAATACAAATGTAGCTAAGTGTTAATTAGAAAGAACATCTTGAGTGTAAACATTAAAAATTGATCACCTTCTGTGAGCAATTTAATTTATGATCAGTAACATATTCTAAGCTGATGTCTTGAGTTTTACTAGAACATCCTTTGGCGCATAATGAAGGGGAAGAAGGAAGAACCCTTCACATAAACATATTCAAATCCCTCATTTCTCAGTCACTGTGGGAGTGCAGATTCTAAGGCCTTCAGCATCTCTCACAGCAACAGCTGCAGGGGCAGCAGCCTCCCCGCATCCCTGGCCTCCCACAGCTGGGTTCATGCCATCAGCCCTGACACACAGTAATCGCTTTTGGCAAAGTGGGAGACCTGTGGAGTGGCTCCAGCAGCTTTCCTTTCCTTTCGGGTTATACTAAATCATTAACGAATGCATTTATTTATTGAATTTTCAGCTTGTTCAGTAAGGTGTAGCAGAGTGTACGTATGAGAGAATGGAAAAAAGAATAAGTTAAATTTCATTGCCAAAGTCAGCCAACTACCTCCATGAGCTTAATTAAGGGAATATTTTTCCCCCTTAGTTTCAGAATCTATTTTCAACGTCATGATTCTGACATTAAATTTTGAAAATGTCACTAAATATAAATAATGCTATTTAAAATGTGGATTCAGTGAAGCTCGTGGATTTCTCTTTAGAGTGTCTTTTGACATTCCCTACCTTTTATTTAGTGCCTTCCCTACTCTCAGAAGTTTAGTGGCCCAGTGCTTTTCTGATGCTTCCTAGCTGCTCAGAGCTCCATGCAGTCATTCTGACCTTTCTTCCTGCCTGTCTTCTACTCTATGAAACTCATTGATTCTCTGTTCTGTTCCTTTAGTGTTTGACGCTAATAGGAAATCTAATTTGTTAATCTACCATGGCCAGGTGTTAGCAGTTGACAATAACAGTGCAAGGAGGTACAAAGGTCCCTACTTTCAGATAGTATTAAGAGATTTCAATGTTGAGAGTTGGACAATCTTTAAAATCAAGTTGTGTAGACAGTTATTTAGTCTGCACACAGAATTCAGTCTACTCTGGGGATATATTGTTTCATGCTTAATCTTTGTGTAGGAGAGATGGAAATAAGTTCAGACAAATTCTTAAATATATTAACCTTATAATAACCAAGGGAGGGTTTTAGAATGGACTTGGGAAATAATTTTTTATTTTTTAAAATTCATATACTAAATAGGGTAATATTTTAATGAAGAAATTTTGATTCATAAACACCAATATGGAGATTTAGTAAATAATCTTCATGTGTGTTTCTGTGTATAAATGGCACTATTTATATTCAAAATAAAGCTTTAATTATTAGCTCATTAAAAGAAGAGTGTATTGAGTAGTGACGGCCTCTCGCTTATTTAAGCAGGTGACTTAGTGGCAGGTTGCTGGTGCATAATCGTTGGTGTTATTCTTCAAAGACTGACCAAAAATAACAAGATAACATCCAAATGGAATTCTACAGGACTAAAAATATAATGGAGTTTGAAAGAGAGAGGTTAGTTTTATAAATTGTCAAGAAAATAAGTGTAATAATTTAACATCAGTTTAATCATCAGTGAAAAATTTTTTAAATGGTATTTTTAAATGTTCTCATTCAAATTTAATATTCCTTTGGAATGTTTTAGGGTAATGGAGCAAAAAATTATTTCTTTCCCCAAATCTTACAGGTTTAAGGACTAATCTCATGGCAGTACAGGGATTTTTTCATTTAAAAAGTAATTGCAATTTTTTTGTGTTTCATTTTTAGCTCTGGACTGCTGTACATTTAAGAGAAGAAGTTAATCTGGATAAAAATGATCTTTCTATCATCTGAGATATCTATGTCTGATTACTGCTATAACTATTTCTAGATATTTTTGCCAAGTTTTGAAAAATATGCATTTATTCACAGCAATAAAAAATAAGTTGGCAGGATTCAAGGTTCTTGAAAAATTGGATGATACTATTAATTTATCCAAAATTTGCATATGAAAATTAGACTTTAGCTGGGTAGTAAAATTTATGTTATGATTTTAATTTCTCAAAAAATAATTAAATGAATTCATAATGTTCCAGTGGGCATTTTCCAGTTGGCATATTAAGGAACTAGGGATGAAGCTGGAGGCTGAATATAGTAGCCACTGGCATGGAGGGACTGGCATCTGGGGGAGCAGGAATCAGAGATGTGGCAGAATGGGAATACACCAGACATTGGTGCCAGAACAACATTCCAAGTCCCAAATCAGCCACTTTGTAGCTAATCAACCTCAGAACACCACTGCCAAATGGGAATACTAATACCCATGTCACAGAAATGTTGGGAGGGCCATAGGAAACTGTGTGAGGAATTGTCGGGTAAAGCATTATACAAACGTGTTGTTACAACCTAGGAAGGGTAGGGGAAAGATAGGGCATGTTTTGCCTTCTCCACCCCTATCTCCACTAAACCATCTTGATCAGGGATTATTTGCACAGGGAACAGAAATTTATCCAGAATAGCTGGAATAAGGAGGATATTTTTAGTTTTGAGTGAAAGCAACTCATTTAAATTAAGGAGGAAAAAAAGAAATGTATTGGCTCATGGCACTTGAAACCTGAGGTGCTTAAAAAGTTGTCGTCAGGGATTTTTCTAATTTTCAGCACCTCTTGGCTCTGCTGTCCTCTGTGGTGTTTTCATGCCTAGGCAAGCCCTCTTCACATAGTGGCAAGAATGGCCCCAGTGGCTCTGACCTTGTAAGAAGCTTCATGCTTGAGATCCTAGGAGAGCAGAGACAGTTTCCCCCATTTCCCCATCAGTCCTCACAAAAGGAGTCCGAAGTCCAAGTCACTCAGAGTAGGTTGTGTGCAAACATCTGAGTCCGTCACTGTAGGGGGAACATGGGATATTTTGATGAGCGAGACTAAGGGTCAGGAGAGGTGGGACCTTGTGATCAATTGCATCACCAAGAAGAGAAGGGACAATTCCTAAAATGACAGCACCCAAACACATACTGGGCAGACAAAATGTATCAGATCTTCAGTATGCTGATTCAACTGAAAAGGGGGCTCATTCTTGAAGGGATAAAAAAGAATCTTACAGATGTTAAAGGACAGGAAATGAGATAGAATTGGGCCACGCAAGGATTGGAACTGAAAAGTCTGCCTGAAGACTAGACCATGTTGGGTTCCCTGTTTTATGTTCGCATGGCATCCTGAACTTTCTGTATCAGAACATTTGTGACTTTTCATCATAATCAGTTCCCAACAGTCCTTTTTATAGGACTTCAAGCCCGCTGAAAGCATGGACTTCTATTGTCCCATTTACTGTTGAATCCCTAGCACCTGTGGTAATGTAGGGATCCTAGTAGGTTCAGCACGTATTTGAATGGATGAATGGATAAATAGAGAAATGCACTAGCTCTCTTCATCTCTCATGGCACCAGGCAATCTGTTATCCCTGAACACCTGCTCCATTCATCTCTTTCTGTCTGCTATGCACAGACCCCTCTGCTCTCTCCAGGTATGCTTGTCCTTGGCTTTGTCTGGTTGTAGGACTGACTTGGCCCTGGTTTTATATGTCCTTTTAGCTCTAGAGTCTCTCAGTTTCCCAAATTGAAATTTAAGAGAGGCAATAAAATTAGTCACATTTTGGGTCAAGTGTCCATCCCTTATCTAAGCAAATGCAGGCCTGTGTGGTTAGCTGCTATCTAGGGCTGCGGAAACCCATCTCTACAGCAAGATCTCTAGGCATTAATATATCCATCCCTCAACACTCATGTGATCTGGGGAGGAAAAGTGACATGATCAATCTGTCTCAGATCAGACTTAAGCAAATAAGACACACTCCATCCCTAAAAGCCCTACTCATTAGCTCCCTTCCCCTTCAATGCCACTAAGTGGCCTGGCAACTTCAATATTATCTGAGTCTGCTGTAAGAAGTGGTTATACCCTTCATGGACTATGGCTATGATACTTCCTGTCATTTATTCCTATATTCAGTCAATCAATAAGTTCCTGCTGAGGCAAGAGACTCTAGACTACACTCTCTAGGAGTGGAGAGGGATACATAAGAAGTAAATGGCTTTGCTTATGGCCTTGAGATTCTTACAAGGAAATCATTCATTCTTTCAGTCAGTATTCATTGAGCTCTAAGCTCCTAGTTAATGTTAGAAACTATGCAAGAAGTCAGAATAAACAAGGCAGACAGCTCCGGTTTGCACAAAGCATATTTTAGTGGGAAAGATTCAAATAATTATTTTAACATGTCATGCGACCTGTGATAGAAGAAAAAGATGTCATAAGGAATTTAATAAGAAGAGAACCTCACCTCAGATAAGGGATTGGGGATTCCCTTCCGGAGAATATGGCCCTTAGGTGGGCGTTACCTTTTAGCATGGTAAAAGGAGAGAATTGGAGAAAGAATATTCCAAGCAGGAAACGCCAAGAGTAAAGGCCTGGAGGAAATATAACACATCCCACCCCCAACTCCATCCCGCCACATAGTGTATAGAAACCAGTTTGTTTTGTTTTGTTTTTGAGACAGGGACTTTCTCTGTCACCCAGGGTTGTAGTGCAGCCTCAAACTCCTGGAGTCAAGTGATCCTTCTGCCTCAGTCTCCCAGGTAGCTGGGACTACAGGCGTGAGCCAATATACCTGGAGCTTTTTTGTAGAGACAGGACCTCTCTGTGTTTCCCCAGATGGTCTTGAACTCCTGGCCTCAAGTGATCCTTCCCGCTTGGTTCTACTATATCTGACCAAGAATCACTTTCATTTTAGGATAATTATATTCTATTAAATATATATAGAATAAAATTTTCATCATGCCTTTCTTGTTTAGCAATACACCATGAAAATCCCTCCAAATCAGTTGGTATGGATCCAACTCACTCTTCTAAGGACTGTATCCTATTCCATGTTGTAGATGTACTGCAGTTTATTCAATGATTCCCAAATGGATGGATCTTTCTTTGTTTCCATCATTGCCACTAAAGCGATGTTGCATAAATATCATATTCTTCAATATACTGGAAATTTTTGTTTTCTGGGAGTGTGTTGCTGGGCCTGAGGTATGCGTATATTACATTTTAATACACATACCAATTGCTTTCCCAAAATGCTATTGCAATCTGTATTTTCAACTATTTTTTGAAGGCACTGTTTTTTAAACAATATCCCTAACAGCAGGGGATAGAATCACCATTTTAAATTATTGTTAAGTGATATTTCATTGTTACTTTATTTGTATTTCCCTGACTTTGGCAATGAAACTGTCTTTCATATGCATAGTAGTGATTTGGATTTGCCTTTCTTTGAATTGCCTAGTCATATCCTTTTCCTATTATATTTTCATGAATTTCTATGAGCTCTTTGTTTATTGAAGATATCAATCTACCATATGTGTACACATTTTAAAAATCTATTCATCAGTCTGCTGACTTGGTTTTGCATATCTTTTGTCATATAAAATTCAAAATTTGGATTTAGTGAAACATGTTCATTGTCACTCTTAGAGAGTTGGGCTTTCTGTTTGGTTTATTTGTTTATTTATTTAGAGATGAAGTTTTGCTCTTGTTGCCCAGGCTGGAGTGCAATGGCACAATCTTGGCTCATTGCAACCTCCACCTCCCATGTTCAGGTGGTTCTCCTGCCTCAGCCTCCTGAGTAGCTGGGATTATAGGCGCCTGCCACCATGCCCAGCTAGTTTTTGTATTTTTAGTAGAGATGAGGTTTCACCATGTTGGCCAGGCTGGTCTCGAACTCCTGACCTCAGGTGATCCACCTGCCTTGGCCTTCCAAAGTTCTGGGATTACAGGTGTGAGCCACCACATCTATCTCTTTCTGTTTTGTTTAAAAAGCCTTTCCAAACTCTAGTTTATACATACACGCCAAATTTCCCTTAATACAATAGTTATTATATCATTTTTTACATTTAAGTCCTTTATCCACTTAGAATTTTGTTTTAGGATTGTGTGAGACAGGGGTCAATCAAATATTTCAACATTATTGGTTATTTAAGCCATCTTTTTTTAAAAACTGAATTGAAATGTTATATTTATAATGGATTACATTTTCCTATAATTTGGGATATTCTTCAGGCTTTTCTGTATCATTGGTCTATTTGTCCATTTCTGTGTCAGCACTGTGCTGTTTTTGATTATAGTGGCTTCATGATGTGGTTTAATATCCTGTTAGGCAAGCCCTCCTCTTTACTATCCTTATAAATAATTTTCTTCATTATTCTTGGGCATGAACTCCTCCATATTTACTTTAATATAATATTATTTAAACCTTTCATCCTTTCAGAAGTGGAAGTATAATTTAAATTTCATTTCCTGCATATATTAATTTGAAGAGACTTGACTTTTTTTTTTGTGACAGAGTCTTGGTCTGTTGCCCAGGCTGGAGTACAGTGGCATGATCTCGGCTTACTTTAACCTCCTGCCTCAGCCTCCCGCGTAGCTGGGATTACAGGTGTGTGCCACCATGCCCAGATAATTTTTGTATTTTTAGCAGAGATGGGGTTTCACCATGTTGGCCAGGCTGGTCTTGAACGCCTGACATCAAGTGATCCATCTGCCTTGACCTCCCAAAGTGCTGGGATTACAGGCGTGAGCCACCACACCCAGCCAAGAGACTTGACATTTTAATGATAATATGTCTTCCTGTGCAAGGATATAAAATCACTTTCCATTATCTAGAACATTTTTTATGTCATTTACTAACATGTTAGAGTTTTCTTTATGCAAGTCCTACGTTATTTTTGTTAAATTTATTTTTAAATGTTTTATTTAATAGTTTTCATTGTCATTTTGAGTGTAATAGTTCTACTAGCTTTTGCGAATAGAGGAAAAACGTAATTATTGTTGGTACATTTATTATTCATTCAACTACCTTACTAAATTTCTTACTAAATTCTAGTAGGCTCTTACTAAGGTCTGTTATTCTTTAGGTATACAATAATGTCATCAGCATATATAAACTAAGTTTTTATCTCTTCTTTTTCAATTTATATGAATCATTTAATTTTCCTCTTGTATTGCATTTTCTAATGTGTTGCATAATAATGTTAGTATTAAGAATCTCTATTTTGTTCCTGATTCTAATGAAAAAGACTTTTATCATTTCACAATTTTGAAATGCTATTTTGCAATTTATTTTGGTGAGTGGTTTTTATCATATTTAAGTAGTTTCCTTTATTATTATTTTACTTAGAGTTTTTATTAGTAATAAAAAAGAATAGCTGTTGAATTTTATCAAAGGACTTCTAGCACCTACTGATAAATCATTTGGTTTTTCTTCTTTAATTTGTTAATGTAAAGTACTATATTAGTAAATCTCTCAGTTGTGAATAATTCTTGAAATCCCAGAATAAATACTACTTAATCAGAAAGAATTATTTTCTTTTGCTACAATACTGAAAACTATTTGTTAATATTTTAATAAGAATTTTTGCCTCTCAATTCATGTTTGATATCTTCCCACAAATTTTTGTATCCTATCATTATTATATTTTATTCTTTCACCTATGGTAACTATTACTTTTATTCTGAGGTTTCTTTTTCTTTTTCCTTATTTTCTGTAATTTGATAGTTACTATTAATTCCCTTTTCACCTTCACCTCCCCACTTTAATTTAGAAGTCCCTTGTAATTTTTCATTCAACTAGTGGTTATCATCCTTTTCGCAACACTCATAAATGTTTATTTATATATTTTGGTGTAACAGTAAGAAACTACTTTCCCCAATTACTACAAGGCTTTTGATACAACTAAAAGAGAGGTGGTTTTAGAATAATTTTACTTCCCTCACTCCTGACTCCTCCATGCAAATGGAACTTCCGGAAAACTTTTACCTCACCCATTTCATCACCTCTTTTGTTACTAACACCCTACTTCTTAGGTTTCATTGCGGTTTTTTTGTTTGTTTGTTTGTTTTTTTGAGACAGGGTCTGGCTCTGTCACCCAGGCTGGAGAGCAGTGGCACAATCTCAGCTCATGCAGCCTCAATCTCCCATGCTCAGGCTATTCTCCCAATTTAGCCTCCATACTAGCTGGGACTACAGGAGCACACCACCATGCCCAGCTAATTTTTTTTCTTTTTCTTTTTCTTTTTCTTTTTTTTTTTTTTCAGTGGAGCCAGGGTCTCACTTTGATGCCCAGACTGGTCTCGAACTCCTGGGCTCAAGTGATCCGCCTGCCTTGGCCTCCCAAAGTGCTCAGATTACAGGCATGGGCCACTGAGCCTGGCCCAAGACAATTTCTTACATTCCAAACTGTTATAGGCTTTCTCTTATAGCATAAAAGTTGTATTGCAAGAATACTTATTTAGGACACATTTTATTACATTCCTAGTTATCATCCATTTAATCTTAAATATGCATATTGCAGGTTAAATATTCGCTGCTGTTTCATCTTCATCTTTCCTTTTCTTGTGTTCTTTCTTCTTATTAGTTTGCCATCTGATTATACTCTTCTCAGTGGAATTCTCTGAATTCTTGCTTTTTGGCAAATATCTAACCTTTAACCTGGCTGGTAAATGGTATGTTGGATGTTTTTAAGATTATTAAGGGGCTGTCCTTTTCTCTCTAGGTCAGTAAATAGTAGTTCATCTAGTATTTTATCATTTTCTAGGTATGTAGAGGAGAAGTCAAGCTTTTCTGACATTTTCTTTGTTTCATTTTGTTTTTAAATTGTTCTTTTGGAAATCTTGTAAAAGTTTAAAAAAAATTTTTAGAGGTCAGAAATTTTACCTGGGCATGCTACCTGTGTGTCCTGCATGGAACTCAGGCGAGCACTTCACATCTATTCTCTTTCATCAACTTGGGGACATTATTTCTTTTTATGTTCATGATTATTGCCTTTCTCAATGATTTTTTTTCCTTGGAACTCCTGTCATTCTTGTGTTATATCTGCTGGATCTGTCTGCCTAGTCTCATGTTTCTTCCCATCAGTTTTAGCCCTTTACACTTTTTCCTTTTTCTTTTTGTCAACAATTTCTTCCACTTGATCTTCCAGGTTACTGATTTGAGTATCGTATTTTTTGTTTGAAAATTATAGATTTTAGTTCCTATTATGGGCTGACTTGTGATGCCCTTCCAAACCCTCCAATTCATGTGTTGAAGTCCTAACCAATGTGATGATATTTAAGCACGGAACCTTTAGGGAGATAATTAAGGTTAAATGTGGTCATAGGATGTGGCCTTAATCCAATAGGACTGGTGTGATTTGAGGCTAAATGTGGTCATAGGATGGGGTCATAGAGGGAGAAACAACATAGAGCTCTCTCTCGCCTCTGAACACAGAGGAAAAATTATGTGAGGACACAGCCGGAAGGGGGTCACCTGCAAGCCAGGAAAAGAGACCTCATCAGAAACCAAATTTATCCACACCTTGATCCTGGACTTCCTGTCTCCAGAACTGTGAGAATAAATGTGTGTTGATATCCAGTCTGTAGTACTTTGTTAGAACAACCCAAGCAGATTGATACATTTCCCAAGAATCTTTTTTTCTGTTAGGTATATGTGACGTTGAATTTCTCCCTGTATGTCTGTTACTGTTCAGTTGTTGTTATTAGTAGTAGTATTAGTAGCAGTAGGAGTAGTATTTGGTTTGGGTTGACATCAGTCTTCGTCTACAGTTCCATTTTGTCAGAAACCCTCCCTCCTGGATGTTCTACCTCAACTTCCTCTCTCTGGTTGAGGTGTCACTCTTGGATAGGTTTATTGTTTTCTTTGCCCTCTCACTGGGGTCAAGGCCTGTTGCTGGGGTAGCAGGATTCAACTTCTCTGCTCCTAGATCTCCATAGCTTTAAAGGCTAGCACTTGGCCAGTATCAGAGGCAAAGAGGGTGCAACACCAGGGAACTAGTCATTGTGGGAATAATAATATAAAATTCAGCTGGAAGAAACTGAAAGTGATGTATTTATTTCTGCAAATCCAAAAGTAGGTGGCAAGAAATTTCCCACCTGTAATTGTTCTAGATGTGCTACTGATACTGAAATTAGCTTTTATCTGCCTTTTACAGGACTCCTAAAGAAAGCACTAACTCCAGGGACCATTCTAGTCCAACCTCCACTGCTAACAACTGAGGATGGGCTGTCCCTTAACCTCAGCATGCCCTAGTTTCTTTATCTTTAACAAGGGATAAGAATACCTGCCCTACTTGCTTGATAGAGTTGTTGTGAGATGAAAATGAAACAACCGAGCAAATTTTAAAGTGGTGTAAAATATATGATATGATTTGACATTATCATAGAACATACTGCATTTTCAATATGAATGCATGTACAAATATTCCTTCAGATGTGAGGATTCTGTTTCATATATCTTTATTCTTGTGCTAAAGTCATTTTGCTTCTTTGTTCTAGCCTACAAAAGGAGAAAAAAAAGAAATTGGTGTGTGGTAATTTTTTGCTAGTTGAAAAGTGCACTTTTATACAGATAATATCAAAAAAGTAAGGATTATGCACATTTTACAGGTGAGGAAACTTGGTAGCGGCACAGCAAGAATTTGAACTCACTGGTTCTGACTTTCACAATGAGCCGTGCTTGTTTTGTCATCACTGGACTCATCACAGTTGCTCCCTCACTCCGATTCCTTCTGTCACTCTCTGATCATTATTGTTGTTATGTCTTGTCTTCTCAGTTACACCCTATCTTCATTATATATCTGCTATGGTTTTAACGTTTGTCCTTTCCAAAATTCATGTTGAAATTTAAGCCCTAATGTGGCAGTATTGGGAGGCGGGGCCTCTAAGAGGTGATTGAGTCAAGAGGGCTCTGCCTTCATGAATGGAGTAATCTTTTTGTGGCTTAATTGATTAATAAATTAAAAGGTTATCATAGGCATGGTACTGGTGGCTTTATAAGAAGAGGAACAGAGACCTTAGCTAGCACACTCAGCCACCTCACCATGTGATGCCCTGAACCACTTCAGGACTCTGCAGAGGGTCCCCGCCAGCAAAAAGGCCCTCACCAGATGCAGGATCTCAGCCTTGGACTTCTCAGCCTCTGGAACTGTAATAAATAAATTCCTTTACTTTATAAATTACTCTGTTTCAGATATTCTGTTATATCCCACAGAAAATGAACCAAGATAATGCCCCTCTTCACTGACTCTTTCCTCTCCTTCATAGGCAAACTTAGTGAATAAATGGTCCATCCTTGATCTCTCCATTTCTTCTTTTTACTCTTTCTCCACAAGGCACTATAATTTGTTTTCTACTCTTACCATTTTATTAAAACTGCTGTCTCCAGAGTCACTGGTGGCCTCTGTGTCCCTAAATCTAATAAAATACTTTTTAGTAATTATCTTGTTTGACTTTGCAGTGGTGTTTTATAATGTTAACAATGCTCTTCTTGTACATTTCTATGAATTTCACTCTCCTGGTTTGTCTCCTACTTCTCTAGTGGAACTTCTTGGTCTTCACCAAGAGCTTCCTTTCTTCTCTAATTTTTAAAATACAGTGTTCCTCTAGGGTCTGGCTATTTGCACTCTCCTAGGGACATCCCGGTGTTGCTATCTATATGCTAATGACACCAGAATCATTTTATTCAGTCCAGGTTTTTCTCTGGACCTCCAGCCATGTATATCTGAACTACTGGACACTTCTACTTAGAGGTCTCATGGGTGCCTCAATTTCATAAAGTCTTCAATTGAACTTCCTGAATCTTATGTCCCTTAGCTCAATAAATGGAACCACCAGCTATCTGAGTGCTTGGATCAAAAGCCTAAGAATTTTTCTTGACTCTTCCTTCTGGCTCATCCCCCATAATTGGTCAGCCTCTGAAACATTGATAAATAGCTCTCAAATCTATACTAAATCTATAATAAATAGCTCTCAGATCTATTTCCCTTCATCATTGTAGCCACCATCCAGTCTAGGCAACCATTGCTGGATTACTGCTCTTGTTTTTTTCCAATGTATTCTTCATTTAGTGTCCAGAATGAGCTTCCTAAAATGCAGATCTCAGAGTGGAGCATCAAACAGGTGGGGGCCTAGTTGGTTCTTGCAGGTCCAGTTGGAGAGAGTTCACAGAGGGCTTCTTTCCATTTGGGAAAGAGGGCCTGTAAGTCTGGAGCCAAGGGGGTAAGATCAGAGTACAGTGACTCCTGAAGAGACCATTGTAGGAGGATTTCAAAGAACTCCTAAAGCAAAGTGAAGGGTAGACTGCGAAAATGTTTCCAAAATGATCTAATAGTCACTCTTTTCCCAGAGGGATTACAGAGAAGCTGAACAGGTGGTATGAATTCTCTTTGCCTAAGGAGACCTGGGAGCAGAGTTTTTAGTCCTGTATCCCAGCGGCAGAACCTGAGCCACAGTGATAGAAAACTAACTTAGATAAAATACATTTTTCTATCCTTCTTTCTATTTCTCTTTCTTCAACGTTTGAATTTATTGTTACATTTATCTCCAGTTCAGGCCATAGTGACAGATTTTAATGTAGTTCTAAGTAAAGAGCATACTTTTCAATTAGATGCAGTGTAATTAGTGCCTTTGCCTGCATACCCCCCTCACCTTCTCGCCTCTCTCCTCTTGTTATGCAGCAGCATCACAGTCTCTCTAATTCATTGCTCTCTTTCTTGGAGCACCATATAGCATTAAGCTTTAGTACAGCTCATTTTGGGACTTAATGATCCGATGCTTTTCCTTTTGAAATCACCTTTTCATAGTCAAAAGTCATCTCAGGCCCCCAACATTTCCCATAAGAACTTTAACAATTGCCTCCTTAGCTGGCCTCCCTGCCCCCAGTTTACATCCCCTTCAATCTATCCCCCTCTTTGCTTTCATAATACTCATTTTAATCTGCAGATGGCTTCCTTGTTTAAATCCTTCAATAGCTATCATTTGCTTTCAGAAAGAAGTCAAAGGCTTAGATTGGCCAACAAAATCTTCCCCCACTTTCCTCATCACACTCTACCCTATTGCCATGTTGAAGTACTTGGAGTCACTGAGTACATTGTTATTGCTCCATTCATCTGAATCTTTAGACATCCCATTCCTCTGCCTAGAGTTCCCTTCCACCTTCATCTGCAAACCAGACTTCTGCTCAACCTAAAGTCTCAGGTTACAGATTGCCTTGGGAGCCTTCCTAAACCTCTGGGTTAGATCTGACCATTCCTTTCTTGGTGTGTTTACTTGTGTCTTGTTATTCCCTCTAAGGTTGCACTCATCACACACTGTAGAAATAAATGTTTACTAACATGTCGATCTCTCCTACCAAATCAAATGACCTTTGAGTTTTGAATGGGACCTAGTACACAGTAGATGCTCAACAAATGCTTGTTTTGAAAGCATATGAATATGATATACTTTTCAATGTTCCATTATTATTTCTTTATTTTTAGATAGATGTGATAAATGAAAGAATAATGCATGACTTGCTCCTATACTCTCCTCAATGATTCACACGAAGCCTGCTTCCTAAATCATTGCCTTTATTCTCCAAATTTGTCAACTAAAATTCAGCCTAGTATTTATAATCATGCTTAAGTCTAACTTTGTATTCACTTAGGGGTTTGGGCCTGATCGGAATAAGGAGCTGAATGGAGAGGGGAAGGAACATGTCAGCAAGTGAGAGAGCCTTTGCCTTTGAGTGCATTGTTCAGATAATTCTCTCAATCTGCCTTTCTGGTGTTCCAAGTCTACTACAAAGGTGGCCTGTTATAAAGAGTGGACATTTGGCCACATTGGAAAAGCAAGCCTATCTTCTTGGCCTAATACAGTATTCCAGGGTGTTGCACACTGTGACACTTCTGCTGAGATAGCACCAGTCCAAGGTGAGACAAGAGTTTCCAACAGATCAAGCCACTAACATAAACTATACACATGCCAAAGCCCAGATTCAGCCTCACCCCTGCCTGTATCTTCTTACTCTGCTTCCGGTTTGTCCCATTGATGTCCCTGCTGCTGGCTTGTACCCTTGCACCATCCCTGCTGCCAATTATGCTCATCCACGTGGCTGTAAGGAGTTCCTGCTGGTCTATTGAGCCTAAATGGTATCTTGTTGGCAGCAGTTTCAGGGCATCCTGGGGTAGGGATTTAACCATTGCTTGGCTGGCATGATGCAGAGGCACCTAACTTGCAAATGTAGAATCAAATCACATAAATGAATACACTGTAACCAATGTAAATAAAACAATTTCTGAATTCCCTGTGACTTGGTCTTAAGATGATTCAAGAATTGGCTCCCCTCCCCACCCCCCAGGGAAATCATCATAATACCTAGGAGTTAAGAGAAACAAAGGAGAGGGAGAGTTTAGATTTTGCCATTTCTTGTATGGAGAATGATATCAACTGGTTAGAAGCCTTCAATACTGAAAAAAAAAATTACTTGTGTCAAACAAACCAGAGAACAGATGGTTTGTCTCTAATAAATCAGTTTTAGTGGAAATAAATATTTTATTTTCAAAGACACACATACAAGGACAACATTTAAATTTTTTAAAGATTCTTTACTTTGAAAAAGTGCCTTTTTTAATGTTCCATGGTAACATTATTAAACTTTAGTCACAAAGAAATAGCTACCCTTGGGACAGAGAATCAAGCTTCAGCCATATCTTTAATTTTACATAAAATTCCATATCACATGCTTTCATCACATGCTTTCTTACCTGTATATATTTTTGGTTGGTGTTTATACTACATTTTTAAAACCTTTTCAAAGCAAAACTTTCCACTTAATATGGAGAAATAGATTATAGTTTAACTGTAAAGTATTTTTATATATAAAACCAAATTGTCTGGATTGTATTTCATTAAAATTTAAATTAGTACAAAACAAGACTCTTCATGCTTTAGGCTATTTGAGTTTAGATAATTATAAAAAAGACTCTACAAGCTGGAAATATAAATA
This sequence comes from Homo sapiens, assembly GCF_000001405.40. Classification (NCBI taxonomy): domain Eukaryota; kingdom Metazoa; phylum Chordata; class Mammalia; order Primates; family Hominidae; genus Homo; species Homo sapiens. The sequence goes on along the minus strand of NC_000013.11, from coordinate 34,869,039 downwards.
CTTCCAAAAGTGATATAATGCCAACAAGGATAGCTGTTGTCATGTTGCTCTTTTGTCTGTGTGTGAATAGGTAGCGTGTAGCACAGTGCCTGTCCAGAGCGATCATTTGTTAAATGCTGCTGGGATACAGATATGTGTAAGGAAAAAAAAGATAAAAGAGGTGATGCAATGATTTAATGAGGATCTTGATTTAGACTGCAGGGTCAGTAAAGCCTTCTCAAAGACAATATGTGTGATATTTTATGTTACTGATATATGGATATGATGATAAATTATGGCTATTACCTTGTCTGTTAGGTGTTGAAATTACTTTTCAGTTTGTGTTGTGTTTTTTACTTTGTCTGTACTGTTTTACTACAGAGGATAAAAGACAACTTTAGATTTAATGAGTCAAATCTGTCAAATTTTTCCCTGTGGATTTTGAGTATCTTGGCATATTTAGGTTTTTACCAAGAAGATGCTAGTTATTTGGATCTTATCCAATAACTAATTCTCAAACAAAGACTATTCCTTCTCTGAGCACTGGTGGTCCATCTTAACACTTGTTCTGGCGTTTCTAGGGACATGAGAGCATATCGAAGGAGAAGGGGAAGGCAAACATCAACTGTGAGCAAGGTGACAAATTCGCTCAACTGTGGTTGAATATGTACAAGTAGAAGATAATGCATAATTGTGCTCATGGATTTTAGGTTCCAGAGAATTGGGTGAGGCTGTGGGAAACTACCGAGAACATTCTCCCCCAAAGCTTCCTGTGGGCGGCACTGGACATCTTACTGATACTGTCTGATTCTGAAATTTGGGACAATCCCACTTAATTTACGTTGATTATAGAAGCTCAAATGTTGCGGACTGCTTGCTGCTAATTAACATCCTAATTATCAGTTAACATCTTAGGAAGGATTTGTACATGGTCAACTGGGAGTGAGACCCAGAAGGAAAGATAGCCTCCCATCTGCTTATACATCTCACATCTTTTACTCAATTTATCCTCATATATTTTGCCCTGGAGGGCAGTTATAGTATATTTTCATATTATAAATGTGGAAACTCTGAAAGAGAACAGAGAAAGTGACTTGTCTCAGGTCATAGAGCTAATCAAAGGGAGAGCTGCATCTGGGCCCTTTTTCCCTGACTCCAGGAAGCTTGGGGTTTCCAATTCTGAGACAGCCTCACAAAGTGGAAGAAATTCAGTCATGCAACCACGCTCACTCGCTTCTTAACCTGGTAAGTACTCTCTGCAAAGAAATCTGAGCTGTGAAAATATCAAAATCAGCTTCAAGCGTGGGAATGACTCAGCAGTATACAAGCTAGTAAGAGACATTAAAAGCATCACTAATTGGTTTAAAATTTTAAAAGCTCACCGTAACACTGGCACTTTCAAATGTGGTCTTATTAGTCCAGGCCCTTTGGCTATCTATACTGACAAAAATTGATGCTTTTTTTAAGTTCATTCACAGAAATCTTTTTTCAAGTGCTTGAATTTCTATAGGAGACAAAAGGTCACATTCTTTTTCATAACCAAATTCCAAGAGAGTTAGAACTAACCTGTACTGGGGAAGATATCCCTAACTCTGATAATACATTTTCCCTTCTGGAAAAGCAATGAAAGGACATACAAAATTTATTTTCTCTACAAAAATTATCCCCCACCCCTGTGGCTTTCCCCAGGGTGAATGTAATATTCTAGTTAAAATATCATCTGAACAGTTCGAAAATCTAAAACAAAAATTAATGTAAAACCAATATGTGTTTGATGTAGATGCAGGGGAGGGAAAATGTCTTCTTTGTCATCTTAGGTTCATTGGCTGCGGCTCCTGTAGCAAAAGATAGATTAACAAGACAAAAGCATGCACATTTATTTAATATAAGTTTTATGTGACATGGGAGTTTTCGTAAAAAAAAAATGAAGCCCCAAAGAAGCAGTGAAACCTGAATGTTTTTACATGAGTTTCGATGGAGGGTGGACAGCTGTGGAGAAATATCACAGGACAAAGGGGGTTGAGCAGAGTATAAAAAGTGGGGGAAATTTAGCAAGGCCTGTTCATTCAGCTTCCTTTCTGTGTGCCTTTATCTTCAGAGATTAAGATGTTCCTTTCCTCCGGGTATAGGAAGGGCACCTCTCACAGGGGGGTTTTAAGACCTGCTTCATGGGAAGGTCAGAAAATGCTTCCTAAGTTTTATGACCTGCTCCGAGAGAGAAGACCAAGAGAGGTCAGGAGGACATCCTTGCTTCTGTTGTTTTCACAAATTCCTTCAGCTTAAAATATTCACTATGTCAGGATGCCACATTTTGCAGTAGTATGTCCTGAACTGCATCATAGAAAACCTGAAAAATACTAGGCTGGGCGGATTACAGGCTCACACCTGTAATCCCAGCATTTTGGCAGGCTGAGGCCGGCAGGTCACTTGAGGTCAGGAGTTTACCAGCCTGGCCAACATGGCGAAACGCTGTGTCTACTAAAAGTACAAAAATTAGCCGGCGTGGTAATGGGCTCCTGCAATCCCAGCTACTCGGTAGGCTGAGGCACTAGAATTGCTTGAACCTGGGAGGCAGAATTTACAGTGAGCCAAGATCGTGCCACTGCACCCTGGCCAGGGCGACAAAGTGAGATGCTGTCTCAAGAAAAAAAAAAAAAAGAAAACTTGAAAAATATCAAAAAATCCAAATCACCCAATCTACAATCTGAAGAGAATTATTATTGCAATGTAGTGATTTTACATACACACACACACACACACACACACACATCCTCCACACACATATGCTGATAAGTGATTAAAGCCATATTGTATGTACTACACAGGATGGCATCAGAGGGCATATGTGGTGTTATTTCCCACCTTTCGGGCCAATAGCAGATATTTAGTGGCCACCGCCTTCTTTCCTGCTGAGCGCAGATGTTATTTCAGAATAACCTTCAATGCAGCACTCCACATAGCCACTACCAAAAAATTTCAAAAACTTTCCCTCATGTATATTGTTTTGTATCTTGACTTTTTTCTCCACTATTTTTTTTCTGGTATGCATTTTCCCAAATCATTAAGAACGGTTTGAAATTATAAAACTGCATAATTTTCCTATAAATATACAAAACTCTAACTCTTAGTATTGGGTGTGTGTTTTTCTGTAAATTTTGCTGTTATAAATAAAGCTGTTGTCCACATCTTTATACTTAAATTTTGGCTGAAACTCTTATTATTTCCTAGGGAAATTTTGCTAGTCTCACTGGGCCAAGAATTGAAAATATTTTCATAATTTTTACTTTATTTAACCAAGTTATTTTTCATAAAAATTAGACCAATTTCATGAGAAAATGTAAGAATCCTGGTCCTAATGAACTTTTACCAACACAAAATATGAACACATTTCAAGTATTTGTTAGTTTTCTAATGGGGAAAAATATACACAGTTTAAATTTGCGATTCTTTTTCTATTAATAAGGTAAATTATTGTTTTATATTTTAGCTCACATTTCTACTGGGATGCTAGAGTTTTATTCATTGATTTGTATAGATTATTTGTATATTATAAATATAAATGCTTTGTGGATGCTGTTATTTCTCAGTTTTAATTTAGCTTATAGTGTCTACTAACATATGGACGGTTTCAATTTTTTTGTAGTCAAATCTGTATACCTTTTATTTTGTGATTCCTTTTATTTATTTATTTGTTTATTTATGTTATGTTATGTTATGAATGGGGAATGTTCTTCCCCATCCAGAAAGAAGAAAAATATTTACCTAAATTTCCTTCCAGCATTCTTCCAGTTTTAAGAAGAATGAAACAGATAATAACAAAATATGGTTAAAGAAAGCCATCTATACCTTGTGAAATTTGTAATAGGCCAGGCAAGGGAGAAAGTAGCTTCCTATGAAAGATGCTTTAACTAAACTGAAAAATTCTGGCTTCAAAATGGCAATCTTCTCACTCATCTTTACAGTGGTATAGATATAGGCCCTGAGGGCTCTTTGTTTTTTATTCCCTCTTCATTAGTGAAAACTATCATATCACAGTTCTTAGCTATCATATTCATTACTGATTAATATTGCAAAGGATCTAATAACCCATTAGCACAGAGCCCAATAGGAATGGTGCCTGAAACCTGTACTTGGGGACAAAGGGCAGAAAGAGGAGCAAATGCTGCAGGCTGGGAAGCAACAAAGGTAAATGCTGCTTGGTTCACAGCTGCTTGGACCTGACACTACCAGGACAGTTGCCAGGATCCATAATGATTTAGTGCAGTTCTTACTCCTACTTCAGAGCCTATGTGAACAGACTATTAGAAGTCCTTTTGATTCTTTTTTTTTTTTTTTTGATACAGAGTTTCCCTCTTGTCACCTAGGCTGGAGTGCAAAGGCATGATCTCGGCTCAGTGCAACCTCTGCCTCCTGGGTTCAAGTTATTCTCCCATCTCAGCCTCCCAAGTAGCTGGGATTACAGGCATCTGCCATAATGCCCAACTAATTTTTGTATTTTTAGTAGAGACGGGGTTTCGCTGTGTTAGTCAGGCTGGTCTCAAACTCTTGACCTCAGGTGATCCACCCGCCTCGGCCTCTTAAAATGCTGGGATTACAGCCGTGAGCCACTTCTCCTGGCCGGAAGTCCCTTTGATTCTATCATCGAACTTTAAATATCACTTACTCTTTTACTGTTTGATCAGTGACAGGCTAAGACACTTTTGCTATCCTGTCCGCTACATGAAAGCTTTATTTTATGGGAGTAAAACTTGCTGACTTGTGCTTTCCATACTAGAAAGTGCAACTGTTTCACAGTAATAAAAATATTAATAATAGCTGCCATTTATTAAGCACTTGTTTGCTTATTATTTAATCTTAATCACCCCATGTGATAGATATTATTATCCTGGTTTTTTAGATAAATTCTAATTCCCAGAGAGGTAAAAACACAACCTGTCCAAGGACACATACCATTTCATAAGATATTTCTGGAGTGACTTCTCAGCGCCAGCGCTGTTTTAAGGGCATTATCTCATTTAATAACCACACTAATCGTCTCAGGCCATTTTAGGAATGGAGAAACAGAGGCTTAGGAAGGTTAAGTATGTTACTCTAGGTCACACACAGCTAGAAGGTGGTAGAACTGGATTTAAACACAGGCACACAAACTCCAAAAGCCTCTTCCGTGCCTTACTAATTGCTGTGTTAACCTTTAAGTAGCAAAGGTGAAATTCAAAACCAGCTCTGAGTGATTCACACAGGAGAGGCCCCCAGATGTGGTGACTAAGCAGTGATGTTTTGTAATCACTTGTGAGATATGTCACATCACTTGAATAATTAAAGCTAATCATTACAGCATGAAAGTTTATGATCTCATACTTTAAAGATCCTTAGAATGTATTGAAATTTTCCTATGTCATTTTACTTCATTCTAATGTATCTTCTTAATGTGGAAAAGGTGGAATAATTCCTGAATTTTGTACACTAGGAATCCAGAGAGAGAGAGCAGAGCAGAGAGGGTTTATCTATGCTCCACAATGTTAGAGTCTCACCAATGGTTGGTGGTTAGAATCAGGTAGAGTGGTGGTTCTCAAACTGTGGTCTCCAAATCACCTGGAAACTTAGAAAGGCAAATTGTCCAGTCCCACCACAGATCTACTGAATCAGAAACTCTAACAGTGGGGCTCAGTCATCTATGTTTTAATGAGCCCTCCAGCTGACTTTGATGCATGCTAAAATTTGAGAGCCAATGATCTAGAAGCATCTTCACTCACACATATGCATTATAGGGTGACTTAAAAGGAGGGGTCAGCTAGGGCTGTCAAGCAGAACACCTGTGCATGATCTCTATGCGGCTTAGGCTTCTCATAACATGGCACCTGGGATCCCAAAGGGAGTTTCTCGAAAGGAAGCATCCAGAGAGCAAGAATTTGAGAAGCAGGTGGAAATTGCATGGCCTTTTCCAACCTAGCCTCAGAAGTCACCCAGCATCACTTTCACTCTATTCTCTTGTTGAAGCAGTTACAAGCCTGCCCAAATTCATGAGGTAGAGACAAAGACCCCACCTCTGGACAGAAGTGCCAAAGAATTTGGAGCCATGTTTTAAAATCTCGAGAATCTGGCCTCTGGCCAGTCTCCCAGATGCAGACTCTGCTTATAGGCTCCCACAAAGTCTCATTGTATTTGGCATCGGGCTCAGACCCTAGACCCACAGGAATGTGATGTGAATAGTTAATATCGAATATGTTGTAGTGCAACATAGGTTGAGAACCATTTCTCTTAACCATTCCATTGTACTTCTCTTAAGAGGATTTTTTGAGAGCCTACTGACACATGTGATTAAAAATATATATAACATATAATATAGAACAGTACATAGGATGTGATTTCAGTGAGTTATATTATTATGTAGAGTTTTAAAATTTAATATTTGAACCTTTCCCTATATTCCATAACATTTATATATTTAGTTTCATGTAATGTTCATTCTCCACTTCTCTGTGTGTAACACACCGTTAACACAGCATAAGACTCTGATGAATCATAGAAGACATGACATAGAGAAGCCATTATCCTGGATATCTTTGAATACCATATTTCTTATAAACAATTTCCACTCAGAGCCTTAGGAGGCAATGGTTACTGGGAATAGTCTGGGATAATAGAGGCTAGTGACCTCTTGACGTGATCATTTAAGCTTAGATGAAAAAAGCATCTCAAGTGCTTTAAAGTCACACTTCCTAAATTCTAAGTAACAATTTAAATTCATCTTCTCTAGGAATGATACATGAATTTTCAGGTGTTCAGATTTCATGCCTATTCTCAGTTTAATTTAACAATACAATCTAAATGAGAAGGTTTAAGAAGGTGTACTAAGGGTTCATTCCATGTACAGAAGTTAACCTAATGCTTTGTTTTGATAAGGAAATGAAACTCTAATATTATGCTTTTTATTATTTAGCCAACTGTTATATTAACCTTTTAAAAACATTTCTAGTAAGTGGAACTTGGGGTTCAAACCAAGTACTGGTAGATCATCCCTTTGGCTTCTATGTTAGGATGTTCTTGTGTTGCTGTCAAGAAATACCTGAGATTGGATAATTTATAAAGAAGAGAGGTTTAGGTGGGGGGCGGTGACTCACGCCTGTAATCCCAGCACTTTGGGAGGCCAAGGCAGGTGGATCACAAGGTCAGGAGTTCGAGACCAGTCTGGCCAACATAGTGAAACCCCGTCTCTACTAAAAATACAAAAAATCAGCTGGGTGTGGTGGTATGCGCCTGTAATCCCAGCTACTCAGGAGGCTGAGGCAGGAGAATTGTGTGAACCTGGGAGGCAGAGGTTGCAGTGAGCTGAGATCGCGCCACTGCACTCCAGACTGGGAGACAGTGCGAGACTCCGTCTCAAAAAAAAAAAAAAAAAAGAAGAAGAAGAAGAGAGGTTTAATTGATTCACGGTTCTGTAAGCTGTCAGGAAACTTTCACTCATGGTAGAAGGTGAAGAGGAGAGCCTTACTCCTCTCTATCACATAGTGAGAGCAGGAGCGAGGGAGAGAGAAGACAGAGGTCCTAGACTTTTAAACAACCACAGCTCGTGTGAACTAATTGAACGAGAACTCGCTCATCACAAAGGGGATGGCGCTAAACCATTCATAAGGGATCCACTTCCATGATCCAACACCTCCCACCAGGCCCCACCTCCAACATTGGGAGTCACATTCCAACATGAGATTTGGGTTAAGAATTCCACTTTAATGAAAGAGTAACTGCAAGAGTAACTGTGCATTTGCAGTTACTGTAGGGATTCAGTATTCTGTCCACTGGTAACAGATTCCTGAAATACTTCTTAATCATTTGTTGTATTGTATCTGAACTCAGATTTTTCCTAGTCTTCAATAGTTTCCATTACCTTCCCAATTTTCTTTTATCCTTGTCTTCCACTTCAAAGAGTGAAATTGTTTCCTTAAATCAATCCATTCAGTTTTTCATTCATTCAGTTACTTATTCATGCATGTCTTTATTCCGTCAATAGCACCAAACGAGGAGCAGAAAGTCTAAAAATGAAGAAGGCATGGTTTTTTTTCTCCAGGAGGCAAGGACACAGATAAGTAAGCAAATAAATATTCAGGTGTGGTGGGTACCTTCATAGCGGTAGATACAGAGGTCAGAGTGTTATTTGCTATGTATGTTAAACTGTGGTTAGGAGTGGGGGATAAATCAAAGCTTCACAGGTTTAATCTATCTGTGAACACTTTTTATTTGACATCTGAGTTTGGTAAGAGTTGAAGAAGAAAATGTTGGGATAGGATAGAAGTATTGGGCATTCGTAATATTCCTTGGGAAAAAACATTTTGAATTTTGATTCTGCCATCTAGCATATTAGTAACCCCCTCTGCTAAGTCACATACGTGTTTTATGTCATCTATATGTTTCCCGGTTGTTGATAAAAATATTCAACAGGAGAAACTAAAGGCAAAATGAATTCTGAGACACACTACTAAAGTCTCCCTCCATTATTTCATCATCTATTAAACTTCCAAATTGAATTATCCTTCAATCCACATTTTCCATCAAATTCACAAAGATATTATGAGAGACCTCTTAAATGCTTTGCTGTGATTAACATATGTTCTATAGTAGTTAGTCTTTGGTTGCAAATAATGGATAACTCAGGCTCAATCAGCTTAAATAATAAAAATATGTATTCTCTTACATAATTATAAGCCAGAGGTATGGTAGCTCCAAGATTGGTTAATTTAGCAGCTCAGTGACATCGAGGAACTGGGACCTTTCTGTTGTTATGCTCTGCCATCCTTAGTAGACTGGCTCACCTTTAGGCTTGTTTTCCTTTGGGTCATAAGATAGCTATGGTAGTTCCAGGCATCACACCCAGAAAACACTAATAGGAGAGGTATAGGGCATCTTTTCCTGTGTCATTGTGTTTTTCAAATCAGTGAGGAAGACTCTCCAGCAGACTTCAGTCTTATATCTCATTGCTCAGAATTGTACACATGCCCATTTCTTTATTTTTTTCTAAAAAAAAAGTGGGGGGATACATGTGCAGAATGTGCAGGTTTGTTACATAGGTATACATGTGCCATGGTGGTTTGCTACACTTACTGACCCATCCTCTAAGTTCCCTCCCATCACTCCCCAACCCACAGTAGGACCTGGTGTGTGTTGTTCCCCTCTCTGTGTCCATGTGTTCTCAATGTTCGACTCCCACTTATGAGTGAGAACATGTGGTGTTTGGTTTGGTTTTCTGCTCCTGTGTTAGTTTGCTGAGGATGATGGCTTCTAGCTTCATCCATGTCCCTGCAAAGGATATAATCTCATTCCTTTTTATTGCTGAATAATATTCCATGGTGTATATGTACTACACTTTCTTTATCAGGTCTATCATTGATGGGCAATTGGGTTGGTTCCATGTCTTTGCTATTGTAAATAGTGCTGCAATAAACATACGTGTGCAGCACATGCCCATTTCTAAGATAGTCACGGCAAGGGATTGCCGTGATTTGTATAGACTAATCAGCATTACTACTCAGCTAGGAATTGGAATATTTTTCCTATGCACTTGACCACAGAGGTAGGGTAGAGAAGTGAAACGAACAAAGCAGTGATCTTCCGGGATGGAAAAAAAGTTGAGAAGGAATGAATTTGGGGTGGATAACCGATAGTGCTTGCTATACCAATGACAGTGATTCCAAAACATGAACAAATGATGTACCTCCTATACAATAGCATGCATTTTGCAGAACACCATTGACATTGTTATATCATTGTACAATAATTTTTCAAGTAAAAAAATTTGATGTTTATGTCTGTCTCTACATGTCAAAAGCAATAAACATAAAATTTGGGTGAGATGATATTTCTGAGTTTTTTTCACTTTATTTCTTTACTTAATATTTTATTATATGCCGGTGATTGGTGGTAGATAACTGGCTATGGCTATCAAATACTGTTTAAGTATAGGAAATAAATTCTATCTATAAATTTACTTTTTTTCATGATTTTAGCATGATTTTTAAACGTCCTTGGTATTATGGAGCAATACAGGCCCATTGCATTTCAGTAGTAGTAACTACCAAGTTGAATTATTTACAAATATTACCTCGTATCTACAATTTCTGCTTCTTTTTCTTAGTATGATTTTTAGACATACTCAACATTTAATTTGGTTGAAGGGTTAGAATACGAGGGTGTATATTGGAACATTTGTATTTAAAACATTTGGGATCAGAAAGCCTTACATTAAAAGCAAGAACAAAATAAAGAAAAAATCCCTCAGACAAATAAAAACAAAGGTTCTGACCAGACATGGTGGCTTGTGCCTGTAATTCCAGCACTTTGGGAGGCCAAGGCAGGTGGATCACTTGAGGTCAGGAGTTCAAGACCAGCCTGGCCAACATGGAGAAACTCTGTGTTTACTAAAAATACAAAAATTAGCTGGGCGTGGTGGTGTAATCCCAGCTACCTGGGAGGCTGAGGCACGATAATTGCTTGAACCCGGGGGTTGCAGTGAGCTGAGATAGTACCACTGCACTACAGCCTGGGTGACAGAGCGAGACTCTATTTCAAACAAACAAACAAACAAAAACAAACAAACAAACAAAAAACAAAGGTTCCTTCTAAGTGTGGAGTTTCAGACATCAGTGAATAGAGGTAAGGCTGGCCTCAGCCTTTCCAAATGTATGGCCTGTAGGATGCCTCCTTCTTCACTCACTGGGTAGGAGTGACCTTGCTGAGAATAATTACACATTGGCTAGGAAGAGGCCAGACTGTCAGGGAACACTGGGGCAACACTTCAGTGTTTCTTCCAGATTTTCAAAAAATAATTCTACATTTGGAAAGTCAATTTTATTTTTTTTTTCATTTTCATAATAATGGAAATGAAAAAGCAAGCATCCAAGTGATTTCAACCTTTTGTTGGAAGCTGAATGGCTGCTGATTGCTGTAAGCTGAATTCTGTTTTATTTACCTAGTATTACTGTTGTTACTAGGAAACCATGCTTCATCATTTAGCATTTTATTGTGGAAAAGAAAATGACCAATTATTGCAAAGCTATCTTGATGTGCTATTTAGCCTTTTATGTTTAAAGCCTCTGCATGTTTTTCTGAGTATTATTTTGTGATGAATTAGGTGACACATATTTAATTTCTATTCAAAAGTATTTGTGTTAGCCCTCCCAAAGCTGATTTATATTTTACATCTTAGCCAATTTATCTTTTATTTTGAAAATGTTTGTGAATCTGTTCCAGAATTGAGGAACTTCTCTAATGAGTCACTGGGTGGTTTAAAGGTCATTGTTATATTGCTCTCTACCTGCTACTGTGGAGCTATTTGGTGGTAAGCCCTAAGTGAACTTCTCTGATGAAAATTGCATGGACCCTAAATCATTCACTGTGTTAAGTGCAAAATGTATCTATTGTATCTGATTTATGGTGATTTATTATTCTTATAATGCTGCATACCTTTGGGAAACCACTTTACAGGCATGTATTAATTTTCATATCCATGCTGAAATTTTCTATATTACTGCAGATGAATTTATATGTTATTTTCCAAAGCTACTCTTCAGAGGGTTTGGAGGGTAAAATTATACTGGTGCAACAACAATAATTATTGTGCTATTTTAGATTTATGTAATTCTTTCCAAAGAATTATCTCACTTGATTTTATGCTTATAATAACCTTATAAAATATGGTGTAAGATGCTATTCTTTCTGTTCTTACAAGCAACAAAATGGATGTTCGGACAAGCTATGCAAAGTTTCTAACATCAGACAGCTGGTAAGTAGGAAAACTGGGACGTGAACTTAGATTTTTTGACTATAAATCAGTGCAGTTCTCTGCATACCTATACAATACTGTTACTGTGATACACACACATAAACACACACATGCACTTGCTTCTCTGTATTCTTTGAATTATGGTGAAAAATGTTTCCTTTTATAGGGATTTTGCAACAATCCCTTTGTTGCAGGGATTTTATCTGAGTATTTATTTTAAATCGACGACAAGTGAAATAGATTCAGTTCAAATGTTTGAGTGCCTACAACATTTCAGGTTCTGTGTTAGGCTCTTATATATACATTTCATCTATATTATCTCATTTGGTACTCCTACAGGATCTTCCAACTTCCTTCCAATTCTGGCATTAGATAATTATTGAGTGTCTGCCATATGCAAGACACATATTGTTTGTAGAGGCTCTAATTCTTCCAGATGGTGAAATTGTGTTTTAATGCCTATTTTGCTTCAAAGTTAGGTGAGCAACACTAAATTTTATAATAATGTAAATGATTTATTTGAAGAATCCTGTTAAAATGTGCAGATAGATTTTTTATATAAGCTTACATTAGCAACTCCATTTATGATTCTTAGTTTCTCTAGTAGGAATTTTATTAATCATTTAAAAATATTCTGTTTGCAATGGAAGTTGCAGTAGTGTTGAACAGTTTTGTGTCAGCCTTTGAATAAAAGTCTGGAATTAGGGCTTGAATTTGGCTATCTAGCTTTCATTTGCCTTATTTGTATTGAAAAATGTATTAATCTTGAAAGTGCAAACAGTAGTAATGTCTTTCCCAATGGTTAATGTGATCGTTTGTGATTAAGGTTACTTTTAGGACTCATCAGCATACCTTTGGCTGTGGAAACACACTGAAATCTGACAGATATATTTACAATTTGAGTTTAGTTCCTTGTGCTGGGCTACTGAGGCACGAAGAACAGAGTCAGAGATTCGGAACTCTATAGTATGAGGAAAGATAGTAAGTAGTAATGAAAACATTAAAGGGCATTTTTTCAGCAGGAATAATTAGGAGCGGCTCACCATTGGCATAGTGGCCCCATTGGCTATCTGATAAGGGGTGATATTACATTTCTCTGCCAGGTCAGGTGTGTGTGTGTGTGTGTGTGTGTGTGTGTGTGTGTGTGTGTGTTTAAGGACTGCAACTATTATGAGTTGACTTCTTTAAATAAATCCCCTGGACAATGGCTATCTGCCTATTTACAGCATTGTGGTTGCAGATAGACTAACCTTAACCAAGCAACACACACAGCAAAGGGAGTGATAGACCAAGGCTCTGCTAATCAGTGATGCAATATTTTACAAGAAATGGGACTGAGAAGACTTCAATAAATAGTTACTAATCTTCTGTAATTTATTTAATTTATTCTACACATTTATCTAAGAATCTACTGTGTACCAGTTTCTGTATTTGGCTTGGGGAAATAATAAACAATAAATATCTTCTGACCTCAAGCACCTTTTAGTTTGGTGTGGGAAAGACAGACCACAAAATAAAATATGATATAAATAAATACAATGGAATATTAAAAAATCACTCACCATTACCAAGTCAGGTTATTGCAGGATGCAAGAAGGATTTAGTCATTGAAAATAGTTTAATATAATTCACCATTTTATTAGATTAAAAAAGAAAAAACATATGATCATCTTCATTGATGCTGAAAAGATGTTTGACAAAAATTTAACATTTATTCTTGATAAAATATATTTGTAAAATAGAAATAGATGGACACTTCTTTAACATTATAAGATAAATATATAACAGTGTTAACTCCATTATTATGCCTCATTGGAACATTAGAAGCATTCCCATTAAAGGCAAGAATAAACTAAGAATCTTGACTATCAGCATTATAATACATTATTGTTCTGGGTGGTTCTGCCAACATGGTAAGGCAAGAGAAAGCGAATGGGGTGGAGAGGACCCTATGGCAGTTTCCAGTTTCATGCCTTAGGAAATGAGCAACTTCCTCTTCCTGTCTCTTGGGATTCACATTCCTGGCACCTGGCCACTCTGCCATGAAGACCCTTGAGCAGGCTGTGGGGAGGCCCACATGGACAAGGCCACAGCCCCAGGAGCTCTCAGCTGATGGCCAGCACCAACTTGCTGGGTATGCGAGTGAGCCATCTTCAACCTGGGCCTTCCAGATACCAATTAAGCAACCCCAAATGATCCTGTGGAGCAAAAATACCCCGACTCTCCCATCCCCTGCCCTAGTTGCACACCTGTGAGCGAAATTAATATTTGTTCTTATTTTAAGCCACTAAGTTTTGGAGTGGTTTATTAATGCAGCAGTGGATAATCAGAAGAAAGTTTCAGTACCCAGAAGTGGGGTCCTGCATAACAAACCCCTAAAAGAGGGGCATTGGCTTTGCAACGGGGCTGCAGTCAGAAGCCAAAAGGGTCTTGAGAAAAATGTCAGTAAAATCTTCAAGTGCAGCAAGGAAAGTGTAAGGAGAAGCCAAAGGGCCTGGTAGGATGATGGTGAGAGATCACATTACAGGATGAACATGCTTTTCCAACTGCTTTTAGCCAAGAAAAGAAAATTACTTAGATTAGAGGCTTCACTTCAGTGGCTAAGAGCAGAAATAATGTTGTTTTTTGGGTTTTGAACAAAAATATCCTACCTTCATTTCATTCCTGATTTTGCATAGCAGTTTCTTAGTTTTTCAAAGTAATTTCACATATATGATCCTATTACCTTAAATAGCCCACTGAAGTAAGCAGATCACATAGTATTGTATGATCCCATTTAAGATCAAGAGGTTTAATGGCAAGCACAAGTCACACAATTATCTGGGGAAAGAGGCAGTACCAGCCCTGGTTCTCATTTCTCCTGAATCCACAGAGAGTTGTTTCACCAAAGTGAGTGGTAATTTTACACTTGCTGCAATTTGCACAGGAGAAGTGGGAGTCCCAGGGGCTGGAGAACAAAAGAGATAGCTAGGCAGGACCCTGTGTGACTGTCTCTCATTATGTCCCTTTCAGGACACACACTCTGGGAGAAGCAGAACATTGTGGTTGCATTGACTTGTTTCTCTTTCCTGTCCTACATCTTTATATGCTAAGTGTAGCTCCAAATAAATGTTTCAGGTTCTGGAGGGTTGGTTTTTCCTTCAAGAACTTCAATATTTGATGAGTTTGGAAACTGAGAAGCAGATAAGAAACATATCCAACACAAGTTGCTATTAGATTGCTTTTATACTATTTCCCTAAAATTCACACTTAAAAGTGAATATAGGATAGAATTCACAGGTCCAATTACATATGATGTTCCTTTTGTAAAGAAGTGGAACCTGCTGACTAGAAGGATAGCAACATCTGTGGGTGGGTCTTTAAAGAGCTCACCTTTTGCAGGGCACCTGGTTCTTTAAGATAGCTGTCAGAAGACTATAGGCTACTTTTTTCACCATTGAGATGATGCAAATACTGTGTAATACATTACCCAATATTTTTTACCAATAGTGGAAGATATCAAGAGGTCTGAAATAAGCAAGAGTATGAGGTGACTTCTTACTCTTTGGATAGTTGAGAAACTACAAGACAGTTTCTGAACTACATTAATCTCTTCGGTTTCTTCCTTTACTTTGGGATTGGTGCTGCTTCTCCAGCCCCCTGACTTCCCAGAGCATCCCTGTTTGAATTTTTTTTTTTTTCAGTAATGGAAAAGAGTATCTGCCTGACCAAACTTTAGTTTGGCTCCTGAACCTTCTCCTAGGCCTTTCTGTGCACTTCCTTGTAAAATACGGTTTTATCTGAGGACCCTGTTAAGTCAGTTCATCCCTCACCCTCAATATCTAATCAGGTTCCTCAACCTCCACGCTGCCCCAGGTAATGTCTGAGCACTGGGACCTGCTTTTGGCAAGAATCTTGTGAGGTCAGCTTAGCCAGAATTCCCCTTCCTCGTAATGTTTCCTCTTAGTAATTTTCCATCCTCTGACCTCCACCCTGAGCTTTGGCTATAAATAACCACCCACTCATGTTGTGTTCAAAGTTGAGCCCAATCTCTGTCCCCCACTGCAAAATCCAATTGCAGTGGTCCTTATATCTATCGTGATGGTCCTAAATAAAGTCTGCCTTACTGTGTTTTAACAAATATTGTGAACAATTTTTTCTTTAACAGTTAACACTCGAGATCATCTAAGGAATTTGATTTTAAATCATTTTAAGATCAAATCATGAATCAAGCATGTGGTGGCCTTCAGCCTTAAAGAAGCAGCATTGGATTATCTGAGGCCTAGGTGAGATTCAGGAGAAACAGCCAGGCCTTGTCAGGAAAGTCTATGCAGTGTATGACCACCATAGATTGCCACCTGAAATTATGGTGCCAATCCTAGAGCACTTTGTAATCTATCAAATGTTCTACAAATATGAGCCATTAACAGAAGTAGGTTTCAATAAGGTGTTCCAAGAAGTCAGACAATATCTAGGTACTCTGGAGCCAATTCTTATGTATGCTAATATTGAAATGAAGATCAAATATGAAGGTAATCACCATCAGTAATGTCAATTATATTAAATGAAGTAAGTCAGTGCATTTGCTGAAAAAGCAATGAAGGGCAATATGCCACTCTAAGTTTACTTAAGTAGAAAGTCAATAAAATACCTCAATCCCAAGAAAAGTTTGTGAAATAGATTGCAGATTTTGCAGATGAGAAAATGAGATTGAGAAAGCATGCTAGAGACTTTCATTTCTTGCTGCCTCACTGCTGCCTGAGTGTTTTGAATGCACTTACTGCCTGTATGGCCAGGTTCCCCCTGGCTATATTTCCTGGGCTAAGGTGAACACTTGGCTCAGATTTGCTTGCCACTGACCTGGGACTTGAATGGATGATATGGCTTGAAAAGATGAGCTACCACAATATAATTTTTTTTCTCTCTGGACATGGAACCAAGAAATCTAGCAGTGTGCAGACCTGTGTTTATTGCAGCATTATTCACGATAGCCAAGGTATGGTAACAACCTAAGTGTCCATCAATGGATGAATGGATAAAGACAATATTATACAAGACACATATATGTGTATATATATATATATATATATATATATACACACACATATATATCCATAATAGAATATTATTTGGCTATTAAAAAGCAGGAAATCTTGTCACTTGTGACAACATGGATGAACCTGAAGGACATTTTGGTAAGTGAAGTAAGTCAGACACAGAAATACAAATACTGTATGCTTTCACTTATATGTGGAATCTGAAAAGTTTAACTCATATGAGCAGAGAGTAGAAAAGTGGTTATCAGGTGCTAGAAATAGGGGAAATGGAGAGTTATTGGTCAAAGGGTACAAACTTCCAATTATAATAAATTAATTTCCATTACTACCCATGCTGTACCTTAGATTCCCAGTCAGTTCTGGGTCACGTTTTTTGAATGCCAGTAAGTTCTGGGAATCTAAGGTACAGCATGGGTGGTGATGGAAATTAATTTAGTTGTAAAAATCATAACACTATATATACCCTATCAAATTATCATATTGTACACCTTGAATGTATATGATCTTTATTTGTCAATTACATTTTTTTTAATAAAAGAAAAAGATACTCAGCAGGAAGTCACTAAATTAAAGATCTGCAGGCCTAGTAAGTAGGCTGCCATGTATGGTCAGGTTTAAGATGGGTAAATAGAGAAGTCGAACAATAGAGAATCACCAAAGTGGCGAGAGGGGTGGGAATGAGAGAAGTGACTGGTCCCCACAGTTTCCTTGGATTCTGCCTGTCCTTTGGCAGGGATGTTTTTCCTTAGTTTTCTATAATACTTTGCTGAATTTACAATAAATTATCTTTCTTAGGAGAGTTTGAGTGATTATTTATAAGAGCCTGAAGTAGAGCAGAGAGGTTATATAACCTGCTGGAGATATAGCTAATAATTGGCGCAAAAATCAGGCGTGCATGATCTTTAAAATCGCTCCTAGCTCTAAGCTCCATTCTTTTCTCCTAAGGAACTTTTCAATATTTACTAGGAAACTCCTGAAAGATTCAAAGAATGGGTCACATTTTGTGATGCCAAGCACCATGGCCCTACATTAAAAGGGAGAGTTTGGAGCAACCTTCAAATTAAGCCACACAGGCAGCACCTACTTTGTTAATGAACATTGCTGTGGCATTGGTTTTAAGGTAAGACTAATTTCCATCAATGCCTTAAAGAGACATTATAAATTATCACTTGAAGAGTTTACATTCTCTTTCAAGAGCAGTCTCTATCTTCATTGCAATAACCTGTGCTTTTCCTGGAGAGACCATGCCTGTGGTTACTATTCCTGTAGAACATCATAGGCTCCTGTGTCACTTTTGTTGTAATGTAATCCAGTTCATGTTTATTCTGTTTTACAATTAATTTGAGGAAACAAGGAGCAGTTGAACAACTAGAACGGATTAAATCCATAAGAAATATTTCACCTTCAAGAAATTTGTTCTGAAGTGCATTTCTTTAGATTTCTGATATGTATTTGAATCAGACATTTGAGAATACCAAAGGCTCTGTCAGTTATCACCAGGGAATGCATTTAGAAATATTTTTCAATTTGGTGATCACAAAAGAAATTTGACACACATTTAAAAACTGTCAGTTTATCATCTTGTGGTTATCATGAAGGATAAAATACATTGTTACACAGTTTGCTATAAAAATCAATTTTGTCATTGTCTTTTGGGTATTGCAAATACAAAGACCATATTAAACTAAAGAATTGATGTAATCTTTATAAAGAATTCTGCAGCAAACCAGATATGTGAATTTGTATGATGTACATAAAATGTGCGACTATGGATATAGTTTTGTGGTCGAATGATAGAATCATTCTAATGTCTTCATTACATCTCACACTTTTCCATCCATTGTTTTGAAGATAGAATAGATGATGCCATGATCTGTTGTGCAAGAATGGCTTAGGGATTACAGTGACTACATTTTCCAGTCTGCAAGTTTCTTTTGGGTTGTTATACAATATTAAATTAAAATTCAATATATTAAATGTGTATTAGTCTGTTCTCACACTCCTAATAAACACATACCCAAGACTGGGTAATTTATGAAGGAAAGAGGTTTAATTAACTCACAGTTCAGTATGGCTGGGGAGGCCTCAGGAAACTTAAATTCATGGAGGAATGGGAAGCAAACATTTCCTTCTTCACATGGCAGCAGGAAGAGAAGTGAGTAAAAGGGGGAAAAGCCCCTTATAAAACCATCAGATCTTGTGAGAATGCACTCAATATCATGAAAACAGATACAAGTAACCACCCTCATGATTCAATTACCACCCACCAGGCCCCTCCCACAACACATGGAGATTATGAGAACTAGAATTCAAGATGACATTTGGGTGGGGACACAGCCAAACCATATTAAAACGTAATTTTACTTGGAAAAAAATCTGAAGTGAAACTTAAGAATTTTTTCTACATCAGATAAATGTTTTTTTCTTTTCCTAGTAAGTGGTACTGGCCCCTCAGAGATACCTGTGGCTTCTGGCTCTAGAGGACTAAGCATTATCTTCTTCCACCCTCTTACTAAATTTCATGGTGGTGCTTGTTAAAACATATACAAGGGAATAGAGTCATTAGAAGCAGAAAAGAAGGTGGTGTCCTCTGGAGCATCAGCAAGCCAGGCAATGTGGGAGAGGATTTCTGGAAGATTGAAAATATAATAGATGGGATTGTATTGGAGAATAAAGCATAATGGAGGGCACTTCATCCCAAACATGAATGGACCTTTAAAGTGGAAAATTATCCCTTCTGGGGAAAAGTGTTTCCTCACTTACAGACTCAAAGCCAGTATGTAGACAGGAGTTGTAAGGAGGAACCCATGAGAATGAGTATTAAAAGGGAAATCTTCAGGAGAGAGGTGTTAGTCTTGCCTCCTCCGTCTTTCTTTCCTGCATCACTCTGTTACCAACACACAAACAGAGATCCTGCTCTTGTGTTCACCCTCAGGCTAAACTCAGATAACTGCACTTTAAAGAAATTAATTGCTCTGTTGAGGTGCTGTATTGGTATAGACACAGCAGGATCCAGCTATTATTATTTTGGCTTAATGAGTGAGACTGTGTAGGCTGGGGAGGCATTGGGTGTGGTCCAAGTGTACTTGTCTGCTCCATCTCTGAGCACCTTGAACTTGCTTGCAGCCAGTCCTCCCATTAAGAGAAATAGACCTTTGTACTTGCAGAGAAAACCCATCCCAACAGGCTTCATTCACAAATATGAATGGATATCTTAGGATTGCCAGATATTTGAGGAAATAACATAAATAATAATTCTAAAAATCATTTATTTAATATTCACTCAACAAATGTTTATTAAACAGTCAGTGTGTTCCAGGCACTGTTGTAGGAACTTAGGACACCTCAGTGGGGAAGACAGACAACGATCTCTGCTTCATGGAGCTTTGTATTAGTTTGTTTTTACATTGTTATAAAGGAACACTGGAGCCTGGGTAATTTATAAAGAAAAGACGTTTAATTGTCTCACAGTTCTGCAGGCTATACAGGAAGTGTGGTGCTGGCATCTGCTTCTGGTGAGGCCTCAGGAAGCTTACCATTATGGTGGAAGGTGAGAGGGAGCCAGCATATCACATGGTGAGAGCAGTGGCGAGAGAGAGGTGGGTGGTGCCATGCACTTTTAGACAACTAGTTCTCTCGAGAACTCACCATCAGAAGGACCACACCAAGCCATTCGTGAGAGACCCACCCCCATGACACCCATGACCCCATGACACTCCCACCAGGCCCCACCTCCAATACTGGGGATTACATTTCAGCATGAGATTTGGAGAGGACAAACACCGAAACTATATCAAGCTTACATCCCAGCAGGACAGACAGATAATACATAAATAATACACATAGTCATATGTACTTTATGTAATGATAAACATGAAAATAGAACACAAAGCAGCTAAAAGAGATAAAATATAAAAGCATGCTTTTATATTTTAAAAAAAGGAATGAAAGTATGGGGTGGGCAGTATTAATTACAGCTTAAAATAGAGCAGTCAGGGTAGGCCTAATTGAGAAGATGCCAGTTAAAGATAGTGCGGGAGTTAGCCAAGGTGGAAGAGCTCTTCAGGAAGGTGGGTAGCCAGTGCAAAGACCCTAGCACAGAAACCTGCCTGGTATCTTTAAGACAAGCAAGGGCAGATCACTTCTGGTTAAGCAGGGAGCTGAGGCAGAGGAATAGGAGAGGAAGGAGATAGCCAAGGCCAGGCCATGTAAGGATTTGTAGGCCAGTGTAAAGGCTTTGGCTTTTACTGTGAGTGACGTGGGAAGCCCTTGCAGGAAAAGAGGAGTAATATGATCTGATCTCAAATTTCAAAGGATCATTCTGGCTGTTGTCAGGAGGGGCGGGGCAAACGTAGAAGCTGGAGATCAGATGAGAGGCTACTGCTGAAATCCAGGTGAGAGATGATGGTGAACTGGGCTACAATGTTAGCAGTGGGGCTGCTGAGAAGCACTTGCATTTAGGGTATATTCTGGAGATGGAGAAGGTAAAACAAACAAAAAAACCCCCATGTCCTGCTTAAGATGCCTTGGTGACCTATGGGAGGAAGTCCAAGCACAGTAACCAGAGCAGGTAGCTCAGGTGACAAGGAACTAATGGAAGACTGATAAAAAAAAAAAAGAACAACAACAAATAGTGAGAACTATCCAAGAAATGCAATAAGATCATGGAGGAGAGAAAACCTTTCTGGATATTAAAAAAAGGTCATCATTTCAGAATTAAAAACTCACTAGGTGAACTGAAAAACAGACTGTCTGTTTCTGAGAATTCTAAAAGGTAAATGAAAGAAATATCTTACTATGCAGAGAAAAAGCACAGAGATAGAAATCGGAAGGAAGCGTATCCACTTGGAGGATATGTTCAGGGAGCTGAACTTGTGAGTAACAGGGCTTCCAAACAGGAGAAAAAATACAGGTGGGGCTGGGGGAGTGTTGCAGGGAAAGCAAAAATTAAGCAAGTTCTAGAAGAAAGTTTCCCTACACTCAAAAAAAGAACAGTGAAAAAAAGACTTGATATTATATATTGAAAGGATTTACAGGGCTCCAACATAGTTAAGTAATTTAAAAAGTCACCTACTTGGACATATCCATTTTCATCAGAAAACCTTTTAGAGTTTCTAGAACCAAAGATAAGTTACTAACCAAGGAAAGAAGACCAATATCAAATTCCCATTTGCAAGACTAGAGCTGAAATGAAGTATTTTCAGAGAAATAGAGTGTGATCTAAGGTTTATGTATATGGATAAGATATTGTCCATCAGGGTAAATGCAGAGTATTCTGTTGTCCAGGCTGGAGTGCAGTGGTGCCATCTCTGCTCAGCACAACCTTCCCCTCCCAGTTCAAGTGATTCTCCTGCCCCAGCCTCCTGAGGCCTACCCAGCTGGGATTACAGGTGCCTGGCTAATTTTTTTATCTTTAGTAGAGACGGGGTTTCACCATGTTGGCCAGGCTGGTCTTGAACTCCTGACCTCAGGTGATTCGCCCGCCTCAGCCTCCCAAAGTGCTGGGATTACAGGCATGAGCCACTGCGCCTGGCCTGAAGAAAATTTTTGAAAAAAACAACCAGACATGAAAATAGAATGGGTAACTAGAAAATATTAGTGACACGTGAAGAAGGTAAATATTTCTCTTCTCAAAAAGGAGAAAGGTCAATTGATTATATATATCAATCTTTCTCAACGGATAATTGTAATATTAATGGAAAATGATAATTCAAATGCTAACTTAACCTTAAACCAGAAGAAACTTAAGGAAAAGCTAAGTGACAGCCAATGCTGAAATTCTAAACTGTCTTGGCAAAACCCAGGAAGAAGTTGAGGGCAGAAGTAAGGAAAGGGGGCTAGAGTTGGGAACAAAGCACACTGGAGTTTCATTTCTAGAGTATGGGGAATGTCTGCAATAAAAATATATCAATGGGAATAATAGTTGTTAAATTTTATATGTTCATTGCAAATGTATATGACAATTTGAAAAGCACAGGAGAACTTTCAAATTAATGTTGGCAGGGAGAGGAGACAGAATAAAAACAAATTGACCTAGACAACAGAAGTAACAAAGTGGATAAAAGGAAGCAACAAAAGTTATAAATAATAAATATAAATAAGATTGAAAGTAAAATGAACTTTACGGGGCATGGTGGTGGGCACCTGTAATCTTAGCTACTCTGGAGGCTGAGGCAGGAGAATTGCTGGAACCCTGGAGGTGGAAGTTGCAGTGAGCTGAGATGGCGCCATTGCACTCCAGCCCGGGCGACAACAGCAAGACTCCATCTCAAAAAAAAAAAAAAGAACTACAGTTGACTCTTGGACAACACGAGTGTGAATGGTGCAAGACTACTTACATGTGGATTTTTTTTTTAACCACACAAGGATTGAAAATAGAGTTATTTGTGGGATGCAAAACACCTATATATGGAGGGCTGACTTTTCGTCTATGCGGGCTCTACAGGGCCGACTGCAGGACTTGAGAGTGCGTGGATTTCAATATATGGGGGTCCTGGAACCAATCCCCTGTATATACCGAGGAACAATTTTATATTAGTTTTCAAAACAATTGTGAGCAAACTTAATTTACCCACTAAAAGGAGGAGATCAATAAATTGGGATAAAACAGTAAATGCAACAACATGTTGCTTTTAAAGGACCCACTGAATCAAACTGACAAAAGAAGGTCAATTATAAGTCTAAGTTTTTAAAAGATGGTGTATTTCTTTTCCTGATAGTGCACGGTAGACTGCCCATTTGTGTGTAACAGAATTCCCGTGTGCAGTTCAAGATACACCAGCAAGAACTTCCATTTGGAGAGAAGGGGTACTAAGTATAGAGTCTTCCTTGGGAATTTCTAACACTTAGTCTGATTGGAGGGGGACAAGAACTGAACTGATATTTAGCCAGAGTTCTTAGAGTTGAGAAAACAAAGGAGAGTTAAAGCGTCCTATTTTTTGTGGGGATCTGCTCTATTAGTGGATTTCACTAATAGAGAAGACTTTACCCTGGGTTCTATCTTCGTAGATTTGTCAATACAATCAGATTCAGATGAAGCCTGGGAATTTGTAATTTTCATAGGCTCTCTAGCAATTCAGAAATGCAATTGAGTCTTGGCCCAGATACAGCTTGTGTAAGTATTATGTGATAGAGGAAATATGGAACAGAACCAGCACCAGCCTGAACCATCTAAGGATCTTGACTATCTCTAAATATGCTCTTTGGTGGAGGAATACACAGTGGATATCTCCCATACATTGGCCTGGCAAGAGCTTCTGAGTGTCTCTCTGGCCTGGCAGTTGACAGTTGTACTAATGTTGGCAGCCTCTAAGGTTAGAAAGTCCCCTTCTGCTTCCTAAAACAAGTAGTCAAAGTAAAGCCTGTAATTACTGTTAGCAGGTAGAAAGCCTCTATATACAATGTTGATCGAATTCATATTTGCTTTCCCAATGGCAAAAAATCTAGGGACAGAAAATGTGTGTTACAAGTTAATTTTGCTGTCTATGTTAGCCAAGCGAATGCTGAAATAATTCTCTGTATTTTAGGAACCATTGCTACTTTCCAATAGCTCCTTGACATACTACATAAAATGTGTTTTAATTATGTTTCTTTCCTTGGCCTTTGCCCTTCCAGGCTTCTTACAAAAAGCAGCAAAATCCTCTACAAACACTCAATGCTATTCTATTTTAAGAAGCAACCCAAGATCTAGTTGTTTTGCCAGCATACAGTCATATTACAAAATTACGCTTGGCCTTATCTATGGATTTTAATTTTGAGTGGAAGGATCTATATTCTAGTTATCATTTAATTTCAGGCTTAGAATAAAAATGGAAGGGTATAATAATGCACATCCTTCTATTCTCCACAGTTCCCCCCTTGGAGCTCCTGCACTTCTAATAACAATGACTATCAATCTCCTTCTGTCTTGTGAGTCCTTCAGTGTTAAAAACTTCTGTAAATTCTGAAACAGCGGGTCTGTGTTTCAGAATTTTGTGTTTGCCTCATGTTTTTGGTTACTGAACTTTTTAGGGGGACAAAACTAAGAGGTTTACATTTTCAAAATAGCACATTTGCAAGGTATATTCTGGTTATTGTTTTCATGAAAATTAATGTTAGCATCAAAAATAGTGAGACAACTAGATATTATGTGGCTCCTGATATGATGCAATATGAAATTCACAGCATGGCCTACAAATTATTTTTGCCAGAAATGCTTAACTAAAACTACTAAAGCTTTTAGATCTGACTTCCAGCTTACAGAAAATATAGGGGACAGGAAAAGAGTTAAGTGATATCATGAGAAAACAATCAGATAAATCCAGAAGGTAGGACATTGTATGGGAGATCTGGCCTGGATTTGTATTTAACAAATCAATGTCATGAGAAAAAATAAATGTGTGTGTGTGTGTGTGTGTGTGTGTGTGTGTGTGTGTGTGTGTTTTGGGAGGAGGATTACCGTTCTTTACAAAGAGATCAAAGAGACATGGCAATCGAAAGCAATGGGTGGTTCTTGATTGCATCCTGCTTTCAGCAAACAAGCTCTACAAGATATTTTTGGAATAATTGCAGAAAATTAAATATGGGATTGGCATTAGATGATATTAAGGAATAATTGTTAAATTTTTTAGGCGTGATGATGCTGTGTTTATATGGGAAAATGTTCTTATTTTTAGAGGCATATGGATACATTTAAGGGCAAAGTCCTTGGCGTCTGAAATTTACTTAAAATATCTCAGTAAATAAATTAAAAATTAAAAGAGAAAAAATTAAAACAACATATATGCTAATATTTAGCAAGTTTTC
This sequence comes from Homo sapiens, assembly GCF_000001405.40. NCBI lineage: Eukaryota > Metazoa > Chordata > Mammalia > Primates > Hominidae > Homo > Homo sapiens. The sequence continues at coordinate 34,843,467 of NC_000013.11, read as the reverse complement.
AATCTAAGAAATTCGTATTTGGGTGTTCATTATACTAGTCTCTCTATTGTTCTCTATGTTTGAAATTTCTCATAATAAAATGTAAAACAAGCAGTAATTCTCAAATATCTCCAAATAAGACAGTAATAAATGCAAAAAATTGCTCTCTTAGAAAAACATTTTATATTGTCCAATTAATTCTGCCCACTCACCCCTTTTTTGTTGAAGTATCTATAGTTCTTTTAGTCACATTCACTCATTCAATGAATATTTTAGCACCTAATTCACTATTTTCCCCACCACTACCATTGGCATTAGGTGAAGTGACTTCAGACAACCACCCAATACTCTGGCCTCTGGGTTCCTTCATTTCTTCAACTATGATATTCCTTTCCTCCAGCCCACCTCAAACCCCTATTCCCATTGTCACATCCTAAACCTTGAATTCTACTACTCCCAGAATCACAATTTTGAACATCCTATCCACTAACTACCATTTCTTATCTTTCTGGTGTCCTCATTCCAACAATTCTTTGACTCTGTGCTAGGGACCTCCCATCCATTACCTTCTCAATTGTTTTGCTTACTGTCCTCCAATTTTACAATAGCAACCACACTTCCCATAGCTCAATACTATGATACTGCCTTTCCCTGTACCCTCAAATCCCTCCTCTTCATCTCCCTTTGTTGTACTTGCCTCACAAAATCCCACTTTAATTAAACCTAAGGCTCCAACCTCTGGGCCAATTGCACACCTGCCTCTGAGCAGCTGTGTGTGGCTAGTGGAGAACACACAGCCATGCTGACTGGTGTCATCTTAAATCTTGGACCACAAACCTCAAGTGAGCCCTTGAGACTCCCTGGTAATTCCACTCTCCTCAAACCTCCGAAACCACTTTCTTCTTTCTCATTCTCAGCGTGTCAGTTCGCTTCCTATTTTACTGAGAAAATAAGAGTCATTAGAGAACTTCCTCATCTTCCCACTGCAAAATCCATTCTTATGCTTTCACCTTTACTCATCAATTTAGCCTGTCTTTTTCAAGAGTGGATAACCTTTTCCTTCTCCTATTTGGGCCAATTCTTTCCTTTTGTGTACTGGAACTCATCCGATCTCAGCATTTAAGGGCTTCGGTCCTGCAACTTTCTTCTTTCTCCTGTATATTAGCCCGTTCTGTGGGCTGTACAGGAAGGGTGGTGCTAGCATTTGCTTAGGGCCAGGGAGCTTTTACTTATGGCAGAAGGCAAAGCAGGAGCAGACATGTCACATGGTGAAAACAGAAGCAAGAGAGAAGAGGGGAAGATGCCACGCACGTTTAAGCAGCCAGATCTTGGTGAGCACTCCCTGCCACAAGGACAGCACCAAGGGGATGTTGCTAAACTATTCATGAAAAATCGGCCCCCATGATCCAGTTAGCTCTCATGAGGCCCCACCTCCAACATTGGGAATTACAGGTCAACATGAGATTTAGAGGGGACAGATATCCAAACTATATCATCATGTGTCAAATTTCCCCCATAAACTGGATTAGCATCAAGAAGGCGACAGCAGCTCTTATTCCTCAATCCTATTGTAGGTTTCCACATTACAGCAAAATTCCATGAAAGCCTTGCTTCAACTTCTTAACTTCCATTCTTTGCTTCTCACTCCCTAAAATAAAGAGCATAATATAATGAATATCTTTGTCTCCACTATAAAATGGTAGAATCCAGAGCTTAGAAACACATTTAGAGATCTTTTATCTCTCTCCTGGATCCCATCTCCCTGTTAGTCCCTATCCCAGAGAGCACTAATGTGACACAATGAAAATAAGCTGCTCAGATCTTCTGCTGCAGGGAGCAAAGTTGATGATGGTTCCAGCTGACTCCCTTCTGGATTTACTGCTGTTAACCTGCCTTCCTCAGGCAGGTAAGGACTAAGCAGGATAGGGATACAAGTTCAGGTCAGTATCTGTTTGATGCAGGACTTCTCTAGTAGGTGACTTTGGCTCAAGGACTCCTCATTGGTCTGGCTACAACTTTCTAAGACCCCTGCTGTAGTCTAAGATTTTTCTCTCCCAATCCTTCTACCTTTCCTTTTCCCCTCACAGGGATCAGACCCACACTGTGGTGTGAAGCTTCTTTTGGTCTCCTTCTGCTTCTTCTCTTTATATTTCACAGCCATTTTCCCTCATAAGTTTCTTGCACACCTAATCCATCTTGGCATCTGCTTCTTGGAGAACCAAATGAACACAGGCACTATCGTGATTTGGGTGTTTATTATCTTCATGTCTGTCTGTCTTTTATATATGAATATGTTATTGTTTTATGTTATTAAACTTTGTATACAGCCTTCTGCAACTTACTCTTCTTTGTACAATGATATTTAAGATTTACCTGTGTTGAAATATGTAGCTCGTAATTCATTTTGACTGCTGTATTAATACATTATATAAAATACCATAATTTATTAATTCATTCTCCTGTTAATGCCACATTTATGTTGTACCAACTTTTTACTATTATAATGCTGCAATGAACACTCTTTTACCTGTCTCCATTGTGCACTGCTGTAAGAGTTTCTCAGGGATATATAACTAGGAGTTAAATACTGAGTCATAGGATAGGTGTACTTTTGACTCAAGATTGACCCAAATTGCTGTCGAAATTGAATTGTGTCCATTTTCATTCTTATTAGCAGTTGAATGAGATGTTCTTCTCTACATTCTGTTCATCTCTTGGTAGCATTAGACTTTTTTATTTTTGCTAATATCGTAGGTGAGAAACATTGTAGTATGGTTTTAATGTGCATTCTGATTATTAATGAGATAGAAAATCTTACTATCTGTTTATTGGCCCTTTGAAGGCCCTCTTCTTTGAAGTATCTCTTTAAAGCTTTTGCCATTTTTCTATTAGGTTATTTTTCTTATTGACTTATTGAAATGCTTTACATATTATGGATACTAATGTTTTGTCAGTTACATTCATTGCAAATGTATTATTCCAGGCTGTGACGTGTCTTTTGACTTTGTTTATGGCATCTTTTGACTCACAGAGGTTTAGAATTTTAATGTAGTCGAATATGTTAATATTTTCCTTTATCCTTCTCTTCCTCCTTCTCTCTTTCCTTCCCTCCCTCCCTTCTTTCTTTCGTCCTTTCCCTTCCTTCTCCTCTCCTCCCTTCCTCTTCTTTCTTTTCTTCCTTCTGCCTTTCTCTGTTTCCTCCCGGCCTCCCTCCCTTCTTTCTCTCGTCCTTTCCCTTCCTTCTCCTCTCCTCCCTTCCTCTTCTTTCTTTTCTTCCTTCTGCCTTTCTCTATTTCCTCCCTGCCTCCCTCCCTGTCCCTTCCCTTCTCTTCTTCTTCCTTCCTTCCTTCCTTCTTTCCTTCCGTTTTTCCTTCCCACCCCCCCTCTTTTGTGTCTTGCCTCAGAAATCCGAATCTATCTTGAGATCATTCATATATTAAATATACTCCCATAATTTATTCTAGAAGAATTAAAATTTGTCTCTCACATTTAGGGTTTCATTGTGTCTGGAACTGATTTTTGCATATAGTTAGGTAACAATCCAGTTGACTTCTTTTTTCAATTTGAGTAACTAACTCAGCATTTTATATTAGCTTATTCTTTCCTTGCTGATCAGTAATCATGTCATATGTCAGATGTCATATATCAAGTCTCCATAGGTATTTGGGTCTGTTTATGAGCTCTTTATCCTATTTCATTGATCTATGTGTCCATTCTTGCACCACTGTCTTATCTTTTAAAAATTATTACAATTTGATAGTCTTGCCATCTGTTTTTCTTCTTCAAAATCATTATGGCTCTTCTTGATCCTTTGCATAGCCATGTAAATCTACTATTAGCTTACCACATTTGATGAGAAACCCCATTGAGAATTTGATTGGAATTGCATTTAAGTATCCAATTAAATTGGGAGATGTGGACATCTTTGCAAAACTGACACATTCTATGCATGATTGTAGCTTATCTCTTGATTTATTCAGGCTTTTATTGTCTTTCCATGAAGTTTTACAAATTTATTCTTAAATGCCTTTTTTTGTTGCCGTTGAAAATGGCCTTTTTGAAAAAAATTACTTTCTGTTTGTTTTTGTGTATAGCAACCCTATTTATTCTTAATGTTGATTCTATATCCAGAATTATTGCTGATCTCTTTGATTATAATGCTTTGATTGTATATTCTTGGCTTTTCTATGTGACAATTATATCATCCATTAATAAAGCAGTTTTATTTCTATTTCTTCTCCTTGTGCTCAAACTAACACTCCAATATCAATCTCAAATTAACCCATTGAATCAGGGTTTGGTTCTAACCACTGCACTGAAACTGTTTTTACCAACGTCATGAATAGCCTTCCTGTTGCTAAATGCACAGTTACATCTCAGTTCTTGACTTACTTAACCTCTCAGCAGCATTAGGTAACAAAGAATATGCCTTCCTTTTTGAAAGTTTCTTCACTTTGCCTCTGGGACAGCATCTAGTCCTAGTTTCCTCTTACATCCTTGGCTACCTTATTCTCAGTCTGGTTTCTTCTCATTTCCTAATCTGTCAGTTTGGACGGCCCAGGACTCAGCCTTTCAAATTTCTCTCTTTTCTATTTGTACTCATTCTCCAAATGATTTCATTAAGCCCCATAGGCTGATAACTCAAATTTGTATCTCTGGTACCAGTCTCTCTTGAACTCCACACTCTTTTATCCAATAAACAACTCAGCCTCCTTACTTGGAAGTCTAATGGATATCTCAAAATAAACAAATGTAAAACATGTACTTTCTGTATCTTCACAATCAGACCCTTCCCGAGTTTTCTCCATTGTCGTAAATAGCACCACCATTTATCTCTTGCTCAGGCTAAATCCTAGGAGTCAATCTGGATTTCTTTTTCTCCCATATCCAACATTCAATTTATTTGCAAGTTATGTTGGCTCAATTTTAAAAATATATCACAGATTGGAGCACTTCTCATCACTTTCTTTGCCACTGCTTTGATCTGAGTGACTATCACTTTATTCTGGAACTGGTTATTCTGCAACAATCACCTAGCTCTTCTCCCTGTATTCATCTTGCCCGGTTATGATCTATTTTTCTTACAGCAGTCAGAGTGATTACAAAAAATGGAGATAGATTCTATTTTTTTCTGTCTCAAAACTTTCCAATGATTACCTGTCACACTTAGAATATAATTCAATGTGGTACATTGGCCTACAAGGTCTGATATGAATGAACCCTTGGTGACATTTTTAGAATTTATTTTTATTTATTTATTTTTATTTCAATAGTTTTTGGGGTACAGGTGGTTTTTGGTTACACGGATACATTCTTTAGTGGTGACTTCTGAGATTTTAGTGCAGCCTGCGTAACTTTTTGACTTTACCTTCTACAACCCCTTCACTTACTCTATTCAATTCAAATTGGTCTAGTTCTTCAAACTTAACAAAGTCACATCTACCTCATGACCCTTGTACTTACTATTTCCTCTGCATGGAATATTCTTTTTCCTCTTGTTCTTATCATAAATGTCCCCTAATTTAGGTCCCTCCTCAATTATTAACTTTTCAGAGAGGAATTTTCACTACAAAATTCCTGCCCCCTCCCTATTCTTCTCTTACCCTGCTCTATTTTAATTTTTTCTTTATAGTACTTATCCTTTGACGTATATTTTGTATCGTTACTTATTGTTTGTCTCTTCAGTGAGAACATAAATTCCTTGAGGGCAGGTGCTTTCTGTATCTATACTGCTGCATTGCCAGTGCCTAGGGAAGTGTCTGGAGCATGATAGGGGGTCAATAAATGTTTCTTGAATGAGTAAATGAGTAATGTCTCCTAGGACTTAAAAAAATGCAAGCATACCTCAGAGATATTGCAGGTTCAGTGTCCGACCACTGCAGTAAAGCAAATATTGCAATAAAGCCAGTCATGTAAGGCCAGACACAGTGGCTCATTGCCTGTAATCCCAGCACTTTGGGAGGTCGGGGCGGGTGGATCACTTGAGGTCAGGAGTTTGAGACCAGCTTGGCCAACATGGCGAAACCCCGTCTCTACCAAAAATATGAAAATTAGCCGGGCGTAGTGGCACGTGCCTGTAATCCCAGCTACTCAGGAGGCTAAGGCAGGAGAATCGCTTGAATCTGGGAGGCGGAGGTTGCACTGAGCTAAGATAGCACCACTACACTCTAGCCTGGACGACAGAGGGAGATCTTGTCTCCAAAAACAAACAAACAAACAAACAAACAAACAAAAATAAGTCATATGAATTTTCCCCCAGTGCATATAAAAGTTATGTTTACACTGTACCATAGCCTGTGCAATTATGTCTACAAAATGTATATAATTTAATTAAAAATACTTTATCGCTAAAACACACTAAGGATCATCTGAGCTTTCAGGGATTTATATTTTCTGCTAGTGGAGGATCTTGTCATGATGTTGATGGCTGCTGATGGATCAGGGTAGTAGTTGCTGACAGCTGGAGTTGGTGTGACAATTTCTGAAAATAAGACAACATTTGAAGGTTTACACATTGATTGACTCTTCCTTTCCTGAAAGATTTCTCTGTAGCATGCGATACTGTTCGATAGCATTTTACCCACAGTAGAACTTCTTTCAAAATTGAAGTCAATCTTCCCAAACCCTGCTACTTTATCAACTAAGTTTATGGACTATTCTTAATCTTTTGTTGTCATTTCAACAATGTTCATAGTGTCTTCACCAGGAGTAGTTTTCATCTCAAGAAAGTAGTTTCTGTGCTCATCCATAAGAAACAACTCTTTATTTGTTCAAGTTTTATCATGAGATTGTAGAAATTCAGCCACATCTTCAGTCTACACTTCTAATTCTAGTTTACTTTCTATTTCTACCACATCTGCAGTGACTTCCTGTAATAAAGTCTTGAACCCCTTAAAGTCATCCATAAGGATTGGAATCAACTTCTACCTCCTGTTAATGTTGACATTTGACCTCCTCTTATGAATCACGAATGTTCTTAATGACATCCAGAATAGTGAATCCTTTCCAAAAAGTTATCAATTTACTTTTGCCAGGTCCATCAGAAGAGTCACTATCTATGGTAGCTGCAGACTTATGAAATGTATTTCTTTATTAATAAGACTTGACAATCAAAATGACTTTGTGATCCATATAGTAGAGAATGGATGTTGTGTTAGCAGGCATGAAAACAACATGAATGTCCTTGTATATCTCTATCTGGGCTCTTGGGTGACAATGAGCAGCAATATTTTGAAAAGAATTTTTTTTTTTCTCTGAGCAGTAGGTCTCAACAGTGGCTTAAAATATTCAGTAAACCATATAAACAGATGTGTTGTCATCAGGCTTTTTCGTTTCATTTCTAGAGCACAGGCAGAGTAGATTTAGTATAATTCTCAGGGGCCCTAGGATTTTCAGAATGACAAGTGAGCATTGGCTTCAACTTAATGTTACCAGCTGCATTCGTCGTTAACAAGAGAATGAGGCTGTCCTTTGAAGCTATGAAGCCAAATGTTGACTTCTCCTCTCTGTGAAAGTCCTAGATGGCATCTTCTTCCAATAGAAGGCTGTTTCATCTACATTGAAAATCTGTTGTTTAGTGCAGCTACCTTTGTCAATTATGTTAGCTAGGTCTTCTGGGTAACTTGCTGCAGCTTCTCCATCAGCACTTGCTGCTTCACCTTGAATTTTATGTTGTGGAAACGGCTTATTTCCTTAAACTTCATGAATCAACCTCTGCTAGCTTCCAACTTTTCTTTTGCAGTTTCCTTACCTCTCTTAGCCTTCATAGCATTGAGTAGATTTAGGGCCTTGCTCTGGATTAGGCTTTTGCTTAAGGAAATGTTGTGGCTGGTTTGATCTTCTATCCAGACCACTCACACTTTCTCCATAACAGCAATAAGGCTGCTTTGCTTTCTTATCATTTATGTACTTACTGGAGTAGCACTTTTAATTTCCTTCAAGAAATTTTCCTATGCTTTCACAACTTGGCTAATCGTTTGGTGCAAAAGACCTAGCTTTTGGCCTATCTCAATTTTTGACATTGTCTCTGCCACTAAGCTTAATCATTTCTAGCTTTTGATTTAAAGTGAGAGAAGTATGGCTTTTTCGTTTACTTGAACACTCAGAGGTCATTGTCAGGTTATTAATTGGCCTAAATTCAATATTATTGTATCTCAGGGAAGAGGGGGGCCTGAGGATGGGGAAAGGTGTTGGGGCACAGTTGGTCAGTGGAGCAGTCAGAGCACGCACAACATTTTTCCATTAAGTTTACCATCTTATATGGGCATGGTTCATGGTGCCCCGAAACATTTACAATAGTAACATCAAAGGTCACCTATCACAGATTTTCACAAAATATAACAAGAATAAGAAAGTTTGAAATATTGCATGAATTACCAAAATGTAACACAGAGACATGAAGTGAGCACATGCTGTTGAAAAATGGTGGTGATAGACTTGCTAAAGACAGGGTTGTCACAAACCTGCAATATATAAAAAACACAGTATCTGTCAAGTAATCTGTCAAAAGCAAGTTTTGTCAAGCACAATAAAGAAGTGCAATAAAACAGGTTGTGTCTGTATCTAGAGTTTTCTTTTTTGAACCCAATTGCCTTTTGGCTCTCACAATTTGAATAGAACAATTTGCTGTCTTATTTATACAGGAAATATATATATGTACACATGCACACACAGTAAAATTCTTACCTTTTCTTGTAAAGATACAATCTTCCTTCAGTTGTGATTGGATGATTACTTTTATCTCTTTATTCACAGCAAGCGTTTTTGAAGTCCACTCTAGTGTATCACTATACATTTAACTCAACGTTTTATTTTATATAAAGCAAACTTGATTAGAAAAAAAAGTTTACACAGTGGTCAAAATTTGGTGGCACACATTGGAAGCATTGGCTGTCTAGAATGTCATCTTGGAGAAAATATTGTCTATGGTAAAGTCACATTTCTAAGAATGTAGGCTAATAATCTCTGCTGATTGAAAGAAAATCTCCAGGTGGTCTCTTCGCTTTACAGACTTTGTGTTTCATTGGTTGTCTTTGTAATCATACTGTAGTTGGGCTGCACATTTACTCACACAACTGAAGTGTGCAAAGAAAATATAGTTTGGCTCCTGAAGAGTTTACTTTCTAAAACAGATCTCATCATCATCATGAGCCTTACTGAACTGCAGAGAAGGCCTTGAGTGATTTCTCAGTGTCTGGGTTTAATGAGACAGTGTGTGCAGGGTGGTTGCTGTGTGTGTGGTGCATGAGTGGTTTTAATTGTGGATGTCTTGAAAACATTTGTTATTAATTCCTTTCTTTAAAGGACTGAAAAGGCGGTTGCTTATAGATAAATGTTCAGATTTCAGAGTCTTTCCCTCTGGGTGAAGATCTTTATGATGGCTCTGCATGTTGGGCTTTGGTTTACCCTCTAGGTCCCTGCTCACCTGTGCCATGATGATGTTGCTTGTTTCCCTGGTGACTGCTGGCACCTGGGGCATCTGCTGCTGGTGAGCTCCTGGTCTCTTCTCTGGGCTCAGAGGCTCCTCCCTGTTGATGGCCTCATCTGAGTTTCACACACTCACTGCTCTGTCTAGTGATAATGTGACTTTGCCCTTTGTGTAGCAGTTCCCTCTAGGAAGATTCCTGGTCAGAGTCTTAAATATTTTATTCAACAACCAAGAGCTATGCAGGGTTTCACACGACATGGAAGGCAGGCACGACTCAGGGGCATTGACTCAGACTTCCTTTTAGCTGAACTATGCTGCACAGCCTACCGACCATAGCAATCCTGTGAGGCTGCCCCCAGCAGGTCGGGGAGAGGGACAGCTAGGGATGCAGTCTCCTTTCTACAGCTACAAAGGCATCAGGGGGAAAACAATGAGAAAACTACAGAGGAACAGGCTATAAATCAGTGAAGATAGATTCTGTTCGAAGAGTCAATTTGCCTGAATCTTTGGGAAAAACACATGACTTCTCTCTGTTTTCTCCATAGATTAAGTGAAAATCAGGCCTTTTCTCCCTAACTGAGAAAGAATTATGATTGGTGAGATTATGGCCATGAAGCACTTGTAGATCTTAACAACACTGAGTATCAGTTTACTTAACCAATAATAGCTTTTCGACCTGTTCAGTACATGATGACCTCACTGGGATGTTGTCAGGCTGGGGCGTGGGGACACCCATGCTGAAAATTGAGGGGGAAACCCAGACACATAGATGACTGTGCCCCTCCTTCTCATCTCTTCCTGCCCCTTTCCACATGGGCCTGTCTCTTCTTCCTTGCTGGCAGTGGCCTTCCTGTATCATAGCCACTCCTCCCTTGAGATGGAACTATTTTGTTCCCTTCCTTTGTGTCATAATTTAGATCCAATTCAAAAAGGGAAGCCACATTACTGATTATATAAGTTTCAAAATCTTACTCATTTTACATTTGCAAATGATAGTATTAAAACCTTTTAATTGTAATTTATTAAAATGCTGTGCTGGGTATCTCCGAGATTTAGGCTTTCTATAAACAGTCATCAAAGGGCTATTCTGAGAATTCATGGAAAAGTGCAATGGACAGAGCCTAGAAGAAGGCCTGGCTCAGAGAACTTGGCTCAGTAGCGGCTTGTTGCCTCTTTTGCACCCTAGGAGAGGAATGGATTTTTTTCCCTGCTAGAGCATGAGTTGTTTTAATTATGGATGTTTTTAAAATGTTTGTTATTAATTCCTTTCTATAAATGATTTAAAAAGACTGCCTCTCTTCTCTGTGCACTTAGTTAAAAGCTTTCATCCTTAATGTAGGCTCTGTAGAAGAAAATGTTTGGAAGAGGAATCATGTACAGGAGATGCCAAAAAGTGTTACTAGTTAAGTAAATGGATACTCAGTGTTATTAAAATCTGCAAGTGCTTCATGACTATCATCTTGCCAATCACCACAATTCTGTCTCAGGAAGAAAATGCCTGATTTTCACTTAATCTATGGAGAAAGCAGAGGGAAGTTATGTGTTTTCTCCAAAGACCCATGCAAATTGACCCTCTTTTTTTTTTTTTTTTTTTTGGGACGGAGTCTTGCTCTGTCGCCCAGGCTGGAATGCAGTGGCATGCTCTCGGCTCACTGCAAGCTCCGCCTCCCGGGTTCACACCATTCTCCTGCCTTAGCCTCCCGAGTAGCTGGGTCTACAGGTGCCTGCCACCATTCCCGGCTAATTTTTTATATTTTTAGTAGAGACGGGGTTTCACTGTGTTAGCCAGGATGGTCTCAATCTCCTGACCTCGTGATCCGCCCGCCTTGGCCTCCCAAGTTGCTGGGATTACAGGTGTGAGCCACCGTGCCCGGCCTAATCTGACCTCTTATAGTCTGTATCTCTAGGAAGAATACTGAATTTGATCCATGCTTAAATTAAATAGAAAAGTTAATTATTTTTATTATTTCAAATTTTAGGGCTGGGCAATGCTTATTTTGATTTTGATATTTAACGGAAGAGAAGAAAATCTGAACTATCAGATGGAAGTAGTGTTAGACACAATTTCCAGGGCTTGCACCAACCTGCTTCCCCAGGCACTTTGTTAAAAGCATTTCAGACTTAACAAAGGCTCTACAGAAGAAAATGATGGAAAGAAGAATCATGTACAGGAGATGGCATGAAGCTATTAGTAAAGAGTAGTTCTGGAAGAATTGAAAGTAGCCTTCCAGAGATTCTAGAGTCTGGAAGTAGGTTTCCAGAGATTGTAGAGTCTGGAAGTAGGTTTCCAGAGATTGGAGAAGCAGTGAAGGCATTTTGCCATCTCTTAGTTGGGAACAATCCGTCAATGTTAGACACTGAGATTCCTTAAGTGAATTTTTTTCTATTCAGTGGGAGTAAATTGGGCTCGGAGGACAATTGTGGTGCTTTGCTAAATCTTGGAGGGAAGACTTAGAGTTAAGAATGCTTAACTCTACATTTGAAAGCAGGCCACTGAATCAGTGGGCTGGGCGTGGTGGCTCACTACTGTAATCCCAGCAGCCGAGGCAGGAGGATCACGAGGTCAAGAAATAGAGACCATCCTGGCCAATATGGTGAAACCCCGTCTCTACTAAAAATACAAAAATTAGCTGGGCGTGGTGGCGCGTGCTGGTAGTCCCAGCTACTCGGGAGACTGAGGTAGGAGAATCGCTTGAACCCAGGAGGCGGAGGTTGCAGTGAGCTGAGATGGCACTACTGCACTGCAGCCTGGCAACAGAGTGAGACTCCACCAAAAAAAAAAAAAAAAAAAAAGGAAGATTCAGTGTTGCTGCCTCTCCTACAGCATGGAACAGAAATTGAGTTTCTGTGTGTCACTTTGTTAGAATAATTCAATATTTATTTAATAGTCAATCATTTGTTTATTCCTTCAGCAAACATCATACTAACTATTGAGAATATCTAATAAGACACAAATTCTTCCTTTGAGGATGAATCTCTGTGTGTGCAAAGATTTATCTGTAAACGGGTAGATTAGGGAAGGCTAAAAGAGGACATCACTGATTGGAAATCTTATAGTAACAACATTGTATGGTGGCTACAGAGAGGTTGTATAGAGAGGATTTTTGATAAATTAGAAAGAAAATCTTGGTTCAGTAGGAACCCGCCTGGTCTAAAAGAAAACACCTCTTAGTTGAAGATATTGAACCAGGTAATCAGAGGATAGCATGAGTGGTCATGTGACCTAAACTTACACTTCACTGCGGAACTTCTTGGAGAAAAGTGAGTAGAACATGTTCTGCAGTGACCATCCCAGCAGACCCTTGTCTCATGGAAGAACTTAGTATTAAAATATTTCTCATACTAAGCCAGTAAGTGATAAGGAAGGACAGTTATTATGGAACTTTTGGGAATATTAGGTGGCTATAACTATCTCTAGATAATATATAATATTTATTTCATTTTTAGTCCTAGTAAAATAATTCTTCTGAGATTTCCTTAGGTTTCTGAGTGGGGTCTTAGGTCAAAAGCCAAGTATGACATTATCATACAACATGGACAACAAAGAATTTTATGAAGAAAAACTAAGAATGAGGACTATATAAAATTTTATAAATTCCTTACTCATTCATCCGTCTATTCATTGATTCATTCATAAAATATTTATCAAGTATCTCCTACATACCAGGCATTATGTCTACCATTGAAGGCATAGCAGCAAACCCTATCTTAAGAAGTGTGCAGTGGCCAGGCGCGGTGGCTCACGCCTGTAATTCCAGCACTTTGGGAGACCCAGGCGGGCAGATCACGAGGTCAGGAGACCAAGACCATACTGGCTAACACGGTGAAACCCTGTCTCTACTAAAAAATACAAAAAATTATCTGGGCGTGGTGGCAGGCACCTGTAGTCCCAGCTACTCAGGAGGCTGAGGCAGGAGAATGGCATGAACCCAGGAGGCAGAGCTTGCAGTGAGCCGAGATCATGCCACTGTACTCCAGCCTGGGGGACAGAGCGAGACTCCGTCTCAAAAAAAAAAAAAAAAAAAAAAAGAAGTGTGTAGTGTTGCTTCCTCAGGCAGGAATGAAGAAAAAATATTATGAAACCCCTTTCTCTTAAAGTCTATCTACTGAGGTGAGATTTAGAAGTAGGGCCACGATATTCACAAAAGATTGTTGCTCTTTGTCCTGCCCAAGCCAGCTTTATGAGAACTTACAGCCATCCCCTAAGAGTTCTGCATAACCCTGGGGATATCTTGCATCTGTTCCACATGGAATTTACAGTTTTCCCCTTCTTCTCCACAATACAGTGACAAGGTCTTTTATTTCTGCTTAAGTTAATAGCAGCAACTCTGCTGCCTTGTCACCTGCCATTTTGCTGATACCTCCAAAAACTACCCACCCTGTTCTCTTCCACCCTTTTCTTCTTATTTTGCTGAGAAACTAGAAACCTTCATAAGAGAATTCCTTCATGTTTCCAAAACCAAGTCTTCCAGTCTCTTAGCAATGTTACAATGGACAGACTCCTCCACTGCTTTTTAAGGCCAACTTCTCCACTTGAGCTCTGGATTCCATCCTCTCATAGTTTCCATTTACTTGGGCATTTGGCTCCAGGAATGATCTCTTCTTTTTTTTCTGTTTTTCTCTCCTGTGAGTATCATCAGTATGAAAACATAATGCACACAGAATGCTTAGGGGAGAGCCCGTGGACAGTGAAGGCTTACTGCATGTTGGCTATTGGTGTTGTTATTACCATCATTATCATTATCATCTTCTTCAGGATCTCTTTACTGAGCTTTGTCATAGTAAGAAGCATCAGACCTTTCCTATTCAAGTGCTGAAAAAGTTTACTCCAAAGATTGTCACCAGGACCAACAGTTAATTATACAAAGATCACAAGAATGGAAAGCAGACTCTTAGTATGTTCTGCCTTTATGTAAAATTTTTTTCAGGAAATAAATATGAAGAGAGAATGAGCCACACCATAAGGTACTCGTGCTTGCATGGTGGTTAATGGGGAGAGCCAAACAGAGAAGATATAATTTTAAGTGTTGCCTTCCATGACAATTTATTTGGAGAAATCCTAAAACTGCAAGTGGAAAAATAGCTAAAAAAAAAATCTTAGCTCAAGAGGAAGAAAAATTTTTTGAGTGTGAGGATAGCACAGGACATGCCTTTTCTCTTCAAGGAGTTGCTCTAAATTGTAAGAACATACAGAATTTAAAAAAATACAACAAGGGGATTTATTTGTGGGTTCTCATTGTTATTTACATGGCTAGTCCTAAAAATTTACCATTCTGAAGTAATACAGTTTAAAATTAAGTATAACAGTTACTTTGATTTGAGGGTCAGATATTCAAAGACTTCTGGTGCTCCTATGTTGCGAGTTTGGAATCCTTGTGGACTGGCTAGAAGGCATGCTGAAACTATATTCAAGTACAGAGAAAGGTATAGGCTGGGAATTCTCAGGACTGGGACTCTGAAAAATCACCCAGGAGCAAGACTGACCACTAGAGTGGATGCTTTAATTTTTGCAATACTGTGTCTACTCTCCCTTCTTGTTGTAACAGCATTCCAGCTGTGCTGTGGACAATCACTCCTCTTCCATTGGATATAGTCAATAGTGGTGCTTGTCTTCCTCTGGCCAGTGGGTGAGCACATGACCTAAGCTTGTCCAATTTGATGTCTTCTCCCTGGAATTGAAGTCTTGGGGAATGCATTCAAAGTAGAGTCACCTCAGTAGTGGCCTCCTCGAGAGCTTTCCCCTTCATTTCTGCTACCTCAATGCCCAGGACAGCTCTGGTTTTTGGCCTTCTGATTTTTGAAACGTTAGATTTTCTTTTAGCTCTGTGAACTACTCAACTTTTTTCCCAGTGTGCTTAATTTTTCTTCCACTAAAGAAGCTCAAAATGATTTTTGTTGTAAGCAACCAAAGAATCTTAATGGACACACACTCCCACCCTAAGTGAGAAGACAACTGGCAGTTAGCCAGCAGTAGTTGAGATGTGGGTACCTTCCCCAGGAAATGATGTTTTCTGGGGGTTCAATTTGAGGGTGAGGTGAAATGAGAGGCAAATCTTATGATAGAATAGGACTCCATCTTGCAGTGGAAGTTCTGAGGGCTGAGCCCTTTGATCCCTGGGAAGAGTGAGGATGGGAGTGGGAGAATTTGTAAGAGCTAGGCCAATGAATTGGGATCCTGGAAAAACTACTTGGGGTTAGGAGAGTACTCCAGTCTCAATAGAAATTGAGATTCACTCCTAAAACCAAAGCAACCAAATGGAGTGGTGGCGATAACATTACAGCTTGGGGTAGCACCTTCCTTGGGGCTCCCTCAGGCTCATAAAGTCATGGATTTAAGGAAGTAAGACCAATTCAAGAATGACCCATCCAGGGGCAACGGAGTGCCCAGCAGTATGATATAGAGGAGTCAGATGGAACTGGCTTCAAAACCTGTGCTCAAAATCTGGGCTCTTCCCCTAGTGATGATGAGAATTTGGGGAATTTTTGAGGGGTGAGATAAATATTTCTTCCTCTGGGATGTTTTTCCTGCATTTCCCCTTTTCCGTCTCCCAGTGCTATGCTGGAGACTGGGTTTTGATGCCTCTGCTCTGTGCCCTAATGGTGATCTTTGTGTTCCCTGTCACAATGCTTGTGAACTTCATGTTACTGCATCATTTGTTTATCTCCCCAACCAGATTGTAAACTTCACACAGCAGCAATCTTGTCTTTCTTGTTCGCCTTTGTATTTTCAACATCAAGCACAGTGCCTGACACATAACAAAAATGTGTTGACTATGGAATAACTAAAAAGGAAGCGGAGGAGATATAAGAGAGATGGAAGATGATCCTGCGCAAAGCAAATCCATGAAAAGTTCTTTTTACTTCCCGCTGTCTTACATTAAGTAGTGTATTTATGAAGTGTTATTATCTGAGGTCAATTCTAAGTGACAACCATAAGAGGCCCCCTGGCAGTAATTATGGGACTCTTAATAAGTTAAAACTTTCCTAAAGCCCGTGAAATATTTTCACATAGGGTGTTTTTTATTATACCAGACCAATCTGTAAGAAAATGTTCAACTTCACAATGACACATTACAATTTTAATAGCACCTATTAAAGGGCTTTGCACATAATAGTTGTTCAGCAACTATTTGTTGATGGAGCAAATATATTAAGCAAAATTGGCCACTTTTCATAAAACATTTTAAAGGCTAAGAATGTCTATTTACTATTTAATTATACAACAGCTCTTTATTGCAAAAGATTAAATGAGAATGTTTTAAAGGGAAAGAACTTTTTTTTCCTGATATAAACTTTGTGTCATAACCTATTCTTGCTCATTTAACCAATAAAGCTTGGATTTTCAACTGGATTGCAACACATGTTGTCACCTGACACATTCTTTCATAAAGAAGCTTTGATAAATCTGAACTGCACACATTAGCTGCGTTAAGGTCTTAATCCTACATGAAAGGATATGCCCATTTGCTTAGCAAGAAAGGGTCACTTTCTTCCTCTTGCTAGAAAAGCTTGTAATATGTTAAAAGGTAGATTTGCCAGCAGACTTCTGTCTTTATAAATCATCATAGACAGTGATTCTTTGCAAAACAAGTTTCACGTAATATTTATGTAAGCTGCACATGACCTCAGTGGAAAGCAAAGGTCAGAAAAAACAGCATCCCTATTGTTTGACAGAACTCTTCTGTATTTTTGTCTGTTATTACTTACTCAGTTTGTATTTTTTTTATGTTGTATGGAATAGAAGTTGTTTATTTTAAAGCTAGGCTACAAGGAAGTATAACATTTCTTTTTAGAGTCAATACTATTTTATTCTTTACTTGTAGAAAATCTCTTTCAACAAAGAGGAACACCAGTGGCAGAGCTGAGGATAGAATGAGTGTGGGTAAGTAGAAGAGTAAGATGTCCTCTAGCCACTCACAGAGTTGATTCTGGGGAGCGTTATGGCAGCAAATGGAGAAGATCAGTGTTCTAATGGTCGTGTTTAATAAACATGCACCGGCTGGGCGGAGTGGCTCACGCCTGTAATCCCAGCACTTTGGGAGGCTGAGGCAGGCAGATCACCTGAGGTCGGGAGTTCAAGATCAGCCTGACCATCATGGAGAAACCCTGTCTCTACTAAAAATACACAATTAGCCGGGTGTGGTGGCGCATGCCTGTAATCCCAGCTACTCGGGAGGCTGAGGTAGTCTCAGAGATTGCAGTGAGCTGAGATTGCGCCATTGCACTCCAGCCTGTGTAACAAGAGCAAAACTCTGTCTCAAAAAAAAAAAAATAAAATAAAATAAAAATAAACATGTACCTTATTCCAATGTTTCAGTTGAAAAGAAAATCTATATAGTAATGACAGACAATGATATGGGATTCTAGCCTGGCCTGTAGAATTTATTAGCTGTAGGACTTTGGGCAATTTATTTAACTTCTCAACTTCTTTGAACTTTTGATTGCCCATAAAATGAAATATAGAGTCCTGAGCTGGCTGTCCTGCAGGAGAAGGCTTCTGCTATCTTTCCTGCTTTCCACTCCCTCCCTAGCACTTTAAGATTCACTCATATTCATTCCATATTACCTCTGCTTATTTTCTTAATCATGCTTTCTGCAATAATCTCTTTTGTTTGTTGGTTTATTTATTTTGCTTGCCTTCACCAGAATATAGGTTCCATGACAGAGGGATCTTGGGTCTTATTCTTACCGTATACCAAACACTAGATCAATGCCAGGAAATTAACTGGTATATAAAAATAACTGGTGGATGACTTCTGGGTATATACTCAAAATAATTGAAAACAAAGACTAGAACAGATATCTATACACACATGTTCATAGCAGCATTATTTATAGTAGCCAAAAGGTGGAAGCAACCCAAGTTTCCACTGATACATAAAAAATGCGATATATACATACAATGGAATATTATTTAACCTTAAAAGGAAGGAAAATATGACACAAGGTACAACATGAATGAACCTTGAAAACATTATGAAGCGAAATAAGCCGGACACAAGTGGACAAATATTGTATGATTCCCACTTATGAGTAGATAGTAGAGTATTCAGACAGAGAGTAGAAAGGAGAATGGTGGTTTCCAGGGGCTGGGGGAGAGGGGAATGGGGAGTTGTTGTTTAATGTACAGAGTTCCAGTTTGGGAAGAGAAAAAAGTTCTGGAGATGGATGGTGGAGATGGTTGCACAACAATGCGAATGTACTTAATGCCACAGAACTGTACACTTAAAAGGGATTAAAATGGTGCATTTTGTGTTACGTCTATTTTATCACACTAAGGTATTGGCAAATGAATCAATGTGGAGGTCCTTCACCTAAGCAGTTGTCACTTCCTGGAACACCATTCTTTGTCATTGCTCCACCTCCACCATACTGTCCCCTCATTCTTCCACCTGGCCAACTCCTATTCATGTAGCAGCTTTTAGCTTAGATCAAGGTTTCTCATCGGTAGCACTTTTGACATTTTGGACTGTGTAATTCTTAGTTGTTGGGGGCTATCCTGTGGTGAGACTTGGAAAGGGGTTTAGTAGCATCTCTGTCTTCTCACCAGAGCCCAGTAGCAAGTGCTCGCCCAGTTGTGGTAATCAAACTTGTCTCCAGATATTGGGAAATGCCCTAGGGATGGGGTAGGGCCAGCAAAATTGCCACTGGTTAAGAAACATTTGTTTGGATGTTACTCTCGCTATCTCCAAAAGTCTGGGCTAAGAGCTGCTTCTAGCCTAGTGCCTCTGTTCCACCCTATATTTTCCAGTCAGGATATTCATTCTGCTCTGAGGCCACCACAGCATCTCCACCACTAGACTGGCAACCGTAGCACCTGACACAGGACCTGGAATTCAGTAGGTGCTCAATATATATATAGTTCTAAGGAATGGTGTAGGAAGGTAATAGACTAGGGAAGGGTTCACAAAAAATGTATTATTTGCATTAAATCTTTAGGAATGAATGAAGTATCTTAGGTGAAGAAAGTGGGAAGGATAATCAAGAAGAAAGAACAGAATGTTCAAGTTATGGAGTGATGCAACGGTATAGTACGTTCAGCAAATTGTGAGTTTTGCTACATAAGTAGGATATGAAATTGATGTCAGGAAGGTAAATGCAGGAAAAAAGGTGGGGCCTTTTTTCTGTGAGACTTAGAGGTTTGGCTTTGAGGGCTTTGAGCAGAGGAATGATATGTATTTCAGGAAGATTCCTTGGGAAGCTATTTGCAGAATAGGCTGGGGCAGGAACACTATTGGAGGCAGGATGCAGGGAAGATTTAAGAGACTACTGCAACAACCTAAGGGAGAAATGGTGAGCTGAGGTACAAGCTATGGAGAGAAGCAGATGGATTAGAGAGATTGTGGTTGCTCACTTGTGACAGGAACCCAATTAACCTTAGTTGAATGGGACACAATGTGGGGAGGAGAGAATTGAACATAATTAAGCATTCTTGGTTTGGGTGAACAGGAAGGAAGTGAGCATGCTTTTCAGTGAATGCAGAGAGTTTGTCACCGGTGTGTTTAGTCTCTACCTCTATTTAGGAGCAGAAAACACATGATAATCTATATTCTGATATATTCCTTCACTTTCATCCATCCACTCACCCATTCATTCAACAAGTATTTATTGAGTATCATTGATGTTGCAAGCACTGGGATAGGCACTGTGGACTCCACGGTGAAGTAGGCAACTTGCAGTCTAAGCAGGATAGCAGACATAAGACAAACAGTTACAGAATAATTAATACAGTCAGGATGAGCACTCTGATGAACAAGCCCAGGATATTTTAGGATAGGAAAGGTTTAGGGGGCATGTGGGCCAAGAAGAGAGGTGGTGTGGAATAGTGAGCATTATTGGAGTAGGGGGAATAAAACTTGTTTATTTCTGAAGAGCATTGCGTTAAAAAAAATCTAACACACTATCCAGGTTTCATCAAGGCCAGTGTACTTATGTCTTGCAGACATTATGCTAGGGTGTCATTGTTGTAAACTTTCCTCTATGCAGGGCAAAACCTATCCATTCATCCTCCCTTCTGCTGCTTTTAGTAGAGATCCTTCTGATTAATTATTAACTAGCAAATGTATCTCTAGAACACCACACTAAGTGGTAACATATTAAGGAAGATGAATTTGAGGTGCTATTCACACTTCTTGAGGGAAGGAAGCTGAACTTTGCTGACAACCAATCCCATTAATCACTTTGTTAGATTTACTATGTGGTTTAGTTTGTTTTTCAGTGGGGATTCTTTTCTCCATTTGAAAATAGATACTTTCTACAGATAAAGGAAATGCCTACAAGATTTACAGTGATGCCAGCCATACTAATTTATAGAGAAAGGCTACAGGGGTTACTAGGAGGAATGTTTATGTGTCTGTATACCAGTCTAAGTCCTACACTGGTCTTGGCTATCATTTCCAAATGACACGTCTCCAGGTATATCAAACTAATTAAAGAAACCTGAAATAAAGTACAATATTTAATTGGTCTACAGCAGTGTTTTTCAAGCTGCAGATTGCAACTCATTAGTGATTTGTGAAATCAATTTAGTGGGTTGTGATGAGCATTTTTTAAAAGAGAAAATAGGATAGGAAGAGGGCAACATATCAGAGAATACTGCACACATAAAAAATAACTAGTGTTTTGCAAAAGTTTGTTTTTTATATGTACATATACACATATATGTAATATGCATATGTATGTAATACATATTATGCACACATACATGTAATGCACATATGTGTATGTATTATGTGTTTTCACACATACAGACTTATTTATTTAGGCATATACTTGGTTAATATGTAAAATGTCACCGATGTTTTAAACCTACAGACCCGGGAAAAGAGTTCTAGAAAAAGCTCCTTTCAGTCAGATCTGCCATTAATATACCAATCACAAATTAATTTTTTGTTATTCCTTAAAGCATATTGGGAACTACTGAAACTGCTTCAGTGGAAAATTATGTAATGAATTTAAGCTGTAAATGAATGCTGGGTAAAACAAGAAAGTAAACTTTCTCTTGATTAGGTAAATATATATTTGATATACTAAATAAAGGTATTTAAAACCCTTAAGTCTTACTAATTTTCTTATTTTTGAAGAGTTCTATTTCTTTTTACATTAAGGAATTCTGTATCAAATATAAGAGAGGGGTTTTTATTTTTGTAAATACACTAAATATGGTAACCCAGAGGAGATTAGTGATTCAGGCTTTTGAGTTCTGTCTTTATACCTGACAACAGATTGGTTTGTATTCTATGATGGTACATTATGAATGCCTTTTTCTCTGCCCCATATTTAATTGTTTACGAATAGAAATACTGTTATTTATTTGATTTATTGTGCTTTATAGATAGATATTTTTAACATAGCCAATTGAAATTATAGTTTTCAGTCACAACTATTGACTGGCATTCTTTTCTATTTCTACCATATGAAAAGGCAAAGCTATGGGTAACATTTTGTTCTAAACAAATAAAACACATCAATGTGCCTATCTGTATCATCATGACCATTCTTCAGAGACTCCTGCTTTTGACTTCTTATGGAAATTTTAATTCATTGCTTTTTAACATCAGTCTCATCATTTTCACTCTTCTCTGCCCAGTCTCAAACACAGCCTTCTAGTACCATGACTAGGCCTGAAAAACAAGTGGCTGTTTCTATATAAATCCTCAGGGTTGATTCTACTTAATAGTATACAGATGCTGGTCATTTAATGCCTTCCTACAACCCCATTTTAGAAATCTTGCCTCACTCCTAGTCTGGAAGGGGCAACCTTATTGCTATCTGATTCCTCCCCCTGAACAGAGCTGATTGGAGATGGGTTGGTGCTTGACCAAAGCTGGGTCAATCAGAGTGGAGGCATTGTTGGCATTAAGATAACTTGGTCTTGTCAAGCTGGAGTGGGTGTCAGTAAGTGCTATGGCAAACCAGAGCTGTCTACCTATCAGGGATTAGGGGAAGAAGAAACAACAGTTTTGAAGAGAAAGTTAGAAAGCTAGAGGCCAGAGCAGAGAGGCAGAATTGAGGGAAGCCACGTGGCTTTGAGAGGTGGAGGGCAATGTAATGGTTAATATTGAGCATCAACTTGACTGGATTGAAGGATACAAAGTATTGTTCTTTGGTCTGTCTGTGAGGGTATTTCCAAAGGAGATTAACATTTGAGTCAGTGGACTAAGAAAGGCAGAGCCACTCTCAATCTGGGTGGGCACCATCTAATCAGCAGCCAGTGCTGCCAGAATAAAAGCAGGCAGAAGAACATAGACTAGACTAAGTCTTCTGGCCTTCATCTTTCTTTCGTGCTGGATGCTTCCTAACTTTGAACATTGGACTCCAGGTTCTTCAGCTTTTGGACTCTTGGACCTACACTAGTGGTTTGCCAGGGGCTCTCGGGCCTTTGGCCATAGACTGAAGATTGCACTGTCAGCTTCCCTACTTTTGAGGTTTTGGGACTCGGACTGGCTTCCTTTCTCCTCAGCTTGCAGACGGCCTATTGTGGGGCTTCACCTTATGATTGTGTGAGTCAATACTCTTTAATAAACTTCCTTTCATATATACACCTATCCTATTAGTCCTGTCCCTCTAGAGAATCCTGACTAATAGAAGAAACATTCTCTTCCAGCTCCTGGTCTTGTGTGAATTTGTCTCTGCTTTACTTTCATCTCTGGAGGCTCTGAGATCCCACTTTTACTTAATGATGTGGTTTGGCTATGTCAGCACCCAAATCTCGTCTTGAATTGTGGCTCTCATATTTCCCAGGTGTTGTGGGAGGGACTCTGTAGGAGGTAATTGAATCGTGGGGGCGGATCTCTCCCGTGTTTTTCTCGTGATAGCAGATAACTCTCACGAGATTTGATGGTTTTATCAAGGGGAGTTCCCCTGCACATGCTCTCTTGCCTGCCGCCAGGTAAGATGCACCTTTGCTCCTCATTTGCCTTCCACCGTGATTGTGAGGCCTCCCATGGCCTCACAGCTATGTGGAACTGTGAGTCCATTAAATCTCTTTCCTTTATAAATTCCCCAGTCTCGGATATGTCTTTCTTAGCTGCGTGAGAAGAGACTAATACACTTAAGCTACCTGAAGTGGTTTTGTTTCTGTAAACTGTGAATTTCTTAAATGTGCCCCAATTAAGATATTTCCCTTTGTCTCATTCACTTTTTTCCTCCCCCAACTCAATTTATTCATCTTATTTAATCTTGATCTATTTCTCTGGGATTTGCAACCATCTTATTTCTTCTCTCTCCCTGTAATTCATCCTGAAAGTCTTGTTTCTCATCAAACTGAAAAATATTGGCAATGGTAGAAAACCAAAATAAAGACAAAGAAGAATGATCATGTTATTTAGGCAAAGTTGAACGGAAATGTGTTCACATTTTTGAATTAAGAAATAAAAAAAAGAGTCAGGACTCACCACTTATTCAACATATGGTAGTAAAACTCATCTCTGTGTCTCTTTTTACTTCTAGAAACTATCCCAGTTCTTTTGTGAACACATCTTTTTAAAAAATTTTTGGTCAACATATAAAGTTGAAGATGTAATTCCTACAAAATAAGATTGTGTAGAGCAATGCAACTTTCGATTAGAACTGATCTTTCTTTAGAGTCTGAAATCACAGTTGCTTTGAACAGGACTTTGCCTTAAAAAAGGAGTTAATTTCATACCAGAATTAAAGGGTCAGTACTTAACATAGGATTTTCTCCTTGGTAAACAACTAGTCTCCAAGAAATATGATTTCAAATAACTCAGTATGCTGATAGTTACTAATGTTATTATGAATATTACCTTTATGAAAATTTTTATTCTGTTGATCAAATATACACTTATTTTAATTATTATCAATATTAAAAAATTTAAGGATTATAGAGGTTTTTGTGGCCTAGGAACATTAAGTGATAGCTTAAAGAAAAAGCCTAAATCTTCTGTCTTAGCATTTAAGAATGATAATTGTGTGTTATGGTTTGAATGTGTCTCCCAAAGTTCACGTGTTAGAAACTTGATCTCCAATATTAGATGTTGAGAGGTAGGACCTAATGGGATGTGTTGGGGTCATGGGGGAACCCTCCTCATGAATTGATGAATGCTATTGTTTTGGGAGTGCATTTGCTATCTCAGGAATGGGCTCCTAATAAAATGGTGAGTCTGGCCCCCTCTTGCCCTCTCTTGCCCTCTCTTGCCTTTTTGCCTCCTGCCATGGGATGACACAGCAAGAAGGCCCTTGCTAGATGCTGGAGCCTTGATCTTGGACTTCCTAGCCTCCATAACTGTGAGGAATACATTTCTGTTCATTGTAAATTATGCGGTCTCAGGTATTCTGTTAATAGCAGCACAAATAGATAGACTAAAACAAGTGCTCAATAAAAACCCTACATATAACCAAATTACAGTAATGATACTCGTAGAAAAGACAATTTTAAATCCATTTATCAGATTCTTTTTTAACAATTTCAAAGATCTTAAGTAATTATGCCATTAATTATTTTATTCAGGCCATTGGTGAAGAATATAAGAACAAATGATTTATAGAAAAACACATTGGCTGGGTGCAGTGGCCCACACCAGTAGTCTCAGAACTTTGGGAGGCTGAGGTGGGAAGATCGCTGGAGGCCAGGCATTCAGGACCAGCCTGGGAAACATGGCAAGTTCCCGTCTCAACAAAAGGTTAAAAAAATTAGCTGGCTGTGGTGGTGCATGCATGTGGTCCCAGCTACTGAGGAGGTTGAGGCAGGAGGATCAGTTAAACCCAGAAGTTCCAGTCTACAGTGAGCTAGGATCACACCACTGCACTCCAGCAACAGAGCATGGCCCTGTCTCAAAAAAAAAAAAAAAAAAAAAAAAAAAAAAAATATATATATATATATATATATATATATGTACTAAAAAATAAGAAAAAAAATTGGGAAGTAAGACATCTACAGGGTACACACTTTCCACTACATAAGCAGCCCTCATTCTATGGCTTCTGTGGCCAAGAGTTCTACGCATTATACCTACATTGATGAGAATAATGCACCTTAGAACTTCCGAATTCAGTTTCAGCTGTGTCATAGACTGTGTGTAGTCAAAGTTATTTTTTTCTTTATATCTCTATTCTTTGGTACAGTGATTGAAACTAAACTATTTCTTTCACATGATAGAAGGTGCTTTGAAAATAAAGAAATGAGATACATGTTAAATATTTGCATTGGGTTGTAAACATAGGGTAAGATGTGATTTACCGTTGTTTGCATGTTATGAAAAATGTCTGTATTGTACCTATGTGGAGCAAAACTAATATACTGAAAGGAATTAGGTGAGATTAAAAGCAATAGGTACACAGCAAGGTATTCCTTAAGGAGATAGTTATTTGCAGCTTATTGTGCATAAACAATTATTATGTGATCTATTGAGCTACTTTTATGCATTTTCTTTGCATAGTCCTTGATTGTGAGGTTGAGAAAGGCCATTTTTGCCTGTTGAGTGTCACTAGTAAAAATGGCTGGAATTTAACTCCAGGGGATTCTCTGAGTGTAGTTGATAATTGATCCACATTAAAATGAGCTTTGTGAATGAGACTGACGAAGTCCATTACACCAGCGTGTCTAAAATAATTATCCCACTGTTAAGAATACATTCCTGAAGAACTGGTCTTGTACATACCAAAGAGACAGAAACAGTTGGGGGTTCTCCCAGTTCATTTATATTCACTGTCAAAATCTGACCATCATAATAAAGCACTCCCTCAGTCCAAAGGAAAGAGATGTTATCGTGATTCCTGTTCCATTCTATTTAAAAGTACATCATCCATTCCATTGCATCTGCATTCACCATCACGCAACCTACAGTCCTGTTGATATTCAGTCCTTAGGAGAATACTAATCCTTCTATGAGACTTAGAAGTGCTGAGTATATGTTATTCTATGGAGTGACCTTGCGTTTATTTTTTTTTTTTCTGGTAAGTGGAAAGAGGCCAGAGGTGGGCACTCTGAAACACAACTGCACGGCCCAGGCATTGTAGGCACTATAAAGAAGAATGCTGAAGAGAACTGAATGTGCTGATTAACAAAGATGCCACAGGAAAGAAATTTCTAGAGTAAAATGTCCTGACTTTAAAAGGATCTTTTCTTTGGTTGGTTTATTTTTTATTTGTTTGTTTGTTTTAAAATAATTGAAATGGCTGTACTTGTGAGAGACAGCATCCTGTTAGCCACAATCTTTTTCAAGGAAGGAGAGAAAATGCATTTGTTTTGCCTATTTGACTTGAGAGCTGTGAGGCTGCCAAAGAACAAGACTGGAATTCCCCTGCAGCAATAAATATTGCTGTGGATTGAAGAAAGAAACATTTCTTTTCCCAAAGTGCACTCTTTATAAATAGAAAGCAGATGCAGAAACAGAAGAGTGAGATACTACTCTTTCTGAGAAGAGGAGCTCAGTTGGAAGCTCCAAGACATTGGAATCCAGAGATTAAGGCAGAAAAGGGGCCAATATGGTCAGAGATTCTTTCTCTAATAATAGGTATTCACATGAGTTGGTTGGCTCCGTTTGCGTGATACACATCTAAAAAGAATATTTATGTTCCCAATAGAAGGCATATTGTCTTCCTATGAGTTACAGAAGAGAACTCACTGCCTCAGTCACCTTTGTTTAGACACTTCAGTTTGTTCCCAGGATCTGACAAGGAGTGCTTTAAAATGGCTGTGAACTGAATGTGCTTTTTGGTAACCAACATGCAATGCAAATGAGTACCCCAAATATTCCTCCCAGGGGCAGAATTCAAGCAGTGTGGGTTGCCTGGAGTGCCTATTTGCATGTCAATCCCTGTGGTCTTCCTACTCAAAGTTACATCACTTGATAGCTAAATTTTAGTTCCAGAAGTAAATTCCTGACTTTAGAGAGCAGAAGCATAGACTTGGTGTCTCCTCCTTACTTTTGGTAACCTCTCTCATTACCTTTTTACTCTACTGTACATGCACTTCTGATAAGCACCAAAGCCTTTCCGTTTCTAGGGACCAATAGAAAACTTTGCCTTCACCCTCTAAATGTTTGCTGAAAATCAACTGACAAAAGGCAGATTAGCGGGAGAAAAGGCACACAAATTTATTAACATGCACAGGGGAGAATCACAGAGTGATTATCCCACCACGAATTGGGATAGAGATGCTGACATACCCTTCTTAGGGAAAAGGAAGATGGGGAAATGTGGATTATTTTAGGGAGGTAATAAATGATTTTTAGGGGAATTCAACGGTCTTGAAGAATGTACAAAGGCCTGGACAAAGTCTGTTGGGCTTGCAGAGCAGACAGTGGTTTGTGACAAATCTGTCCAGATATGTAGACAGACTTTGATCTTTCTTCCTGCGATGAGTTAATCAAAATTCAGTAAGGGACCAGAGGTCATTTTTTTCTTTTTGGCAAGTCTGGACTTGAGGCAGATAAGGGAAGTTCAGAGAATGACTTCCTCCTGTGCTTTGGAAAAGGAAGGATTGAGAACAGGCAGCAGGAATGGTTGGAGAGATCTTGAGGCTTCTGCAGTTCAGCAGGTGAAAGCCCCACATTTTGGGGTTATTGGCTTCTGAGCCCCAACAAGTTCCCCTGGGAAACTGTTCTATGGTTTCCTTTTTCTTACTTTACTATTTATCAGATTTTCAGAGTGCATGCCCCGCTTTGCGGTACTTCAAATAGATGTGAAACATGCTTCTTGTCACATCTCCAATGATTGAATTGTCTCAAGTGAGATCATTAAAAGTGAGGGACTGCCAGGTACAGTGGTATGTGCCTGTACTCCCAGCTACTCAGGAGGCTGAGGTGGGAGGATTGCTTGAGCCCAAGAGTTCAAGGCCAGCCTGGGCAAGATGTCTCAAAAAAAAAAAAAAAAAAAAAAAAAAAAAGGAGGTACTAATTGAAGATGGCTCCTGATCTTAGGTTTATTAGTTTTATTTACTAGTTATTTATACTATTCTTCACCTAGAAAAGATTTGAAGGGCTTGTTTCACTCACCTGTGAGTAATTAAGCATCTCCACTGTCCTTATTTGGACCTATTTTTATATGTCCTTTTTCTATTTGGAAATAGTTTGGCATTTTCTTTGGAATATGGATGCAGGGGTAGAGTGGAGATGTGGGCATCACAATGTCTTCAGTCGACAGGTCCTTATTTGAAGTGGTCTGAGGCATATATTTTCATTGTTCCTTTTGCAATTATTTTAACTGTTTGTTTCAGAGTCTATTAGATCTCAGGAGGATATAATCCAATAAAGATTTAATCATACATTTTATATATTCTTTTGACGTGCCTTTTTAAAAAAAAATTAGGAGAAAAATCTTGTTTCTGGCAACTGTGAAATGCCCACTCCATGGGTAATGGCTTATACATTATAGACCTGGTGGACTGAGTTCTTCTCTCATTGAATTGAAAATGACCTTTGAGGCCATAAGAAACCTTTAGTTGGCAACTTTGGGTGTTAAAAAGATTAAAGTATTTAGCACAAGAAAAACTAGAACTTTATTGTAACTTTTTATATTTAGAAATAGTTTGGCCTTTTCTTTGGAATATGGATGCAGGGGTCGAGTGGAGATGAGCGCATCATCATTTCTTCAGTCAACAGGTCCTAGCAAGGGTTCCATATTTGAAGGGTAATGTTATTGAAATTGAACGTGGGTTTTCAATATAAAAATATGGCACCTGGCAATTTAAAGTTGCAGTACATTCCAAGTTTGAAAAGCAATTATTCTGAAATACCTCACTCAAAATATAGCACTAGTTAAGCTACAGACCAAATAACCAACTTATAAGTGAACTAGAAATCACTGTAGGTAAATGTTTATCTGACTTCAATGTGGAGAAAGCTTTTTAAATTTTAACATGAAGAATATAGGTAGGACTCACTACATTAAAAAAAATTCTATACTTCAAAAAACACTATACTCAATATTAGAAGATAAATATCACATTGAGGGTAAAATTGTAAAATATGTGGCAGGAAAAAGATTACAGCTTTGAAAATATAAAGAGTACCGAACAATCAGCAAGAAACTAATTAAACCTGGTAAATTTAATACAGATGCTTGTCTTTGTTTATTTTTAAAGCCCCACTGAGTAACAATAAAGGAATATTTTAAAAAAGAACCTACAAGGACAAAAGGACGAGAAAGAAGACAACTAATAACTAGAGATATTAATCAAATTTTAGGAGTCAAAAAGCAGATGAACACGTGGGAATTGATGTCACAGAGCAGAGAAAGCTGACACCTAACTGTAAGAGACAAATAAAATAAGAAGTAACAATTGGCTTAACTGAATACTAGAAAGGCCAGGAACTGGAATCACCAAGTACTTCTGAAGGTAGAAGTGTGAACCTAAGTGGAAAACCAGTTTGGTTAAATGTCTTTAAAAGGATAAGCTTGAGACCCTCAGACCTACTTCCCCATATCATACAGTAATGAGACTCCCCTCCCTCGGTCTAGTAAAATATTCAAGTTTTACTTTTTGAAGACATTGAAACATGGAAGAACCAGCCCTAGTAACATCAGGGAAACCTGACGGAAGGGGCAATAGGCCATGGGGTAAGAAAACAATAAGTGGAACTTAACACATAGAAGTGTGAAATTTCTCTTGCCTTTTTTTTCTGCTTGCATCTCAGAAGGATGACAACCAGGTTTACTCCTGTGGGGTTCCCTACAAAATAACCAGGCCTTCTCAAAAACTTCAGAGTGGGATCTTACGGTCAATAAGCTCTTCCCGGACAATAGGCTTACTAGTCCTAGGTTTGCTGTCACACTTTTAAATTTGGATCAATTACCAAGAATCACTGGTATTTGAGAAAAATCTCTCATTAAATGAACCAACAGATGACAGAGGAGGTGATGCAGAAAGCAGAGAAAAGCTTAAAACAAAACTATCATTAGTATCTTCGGAGAGATAAGAAAATATTTTTATTCCAGTAGTAAAAAAATACAATCCAGCTGTATAAAGAGGGGACATATAAAGAACAATAAACAGCCCTTGGATATCAGAAATATGGCAGAAATAAATATAATGGAAAGATTAGAGGATACAGTTGAGGTCACATACCTCTTTAACAAGAGCTATTTGTAGCTCTTGTTAAATTGAGATAAATAGAACAAAAAGATAAAGAATTAGACAATAGGAACAAGTATAAGAAAATATGATTATTCTGAGGTTCTAACATCTGTATAACAGAAATTTCAGATGAGGAGTTCAGAGAAAATAGAAGAAATAATGCAAGAAAAACTTTTCCAAACTGAAAGATACTGACTATAACCACTCAACAAAATTTCCAACTACCCACAAAAGCAATACTACTACTAATAAAAGCCATACCAAGGCACATTTACATAAAATATCAATACAATTAGGATAAAGAGAAGATTCTGAAAGCTTCCACAGATGATGATGATGATAATAACAGCAATAATAATATTCACATACAAAGGAACAGGAATCAAAAGGAGATTTTTCAATAGTAACACTTGGGACTAGACAAAAATGAAGCAATACCTTCTAAATTGTGAAATAAAATGATCATGAACCTAGACTTTTATACCCAGTCAAACTGTCAATCAAGTATGAGAGTAGAATACAGAGCTTACCAGATGGTCTAAAAAAATGAGTCTTCTACATGTCTTTTCTCAGGGAGATTCTGTAGGATATGCTCCATGAAAATCAGTGAGTCACAGAAGAAAAAGTAAAATGAGATCCCAATTTAGAAAAGAGGAAATTCCTATAATTAGCACTTTATAGTAGACAAAAAGGGCAACCAGTATAGACTGGAACTGGAGGATGAAGAACCTTAGGGGAGAAGTTTCCAAGAAAAGAATAAAAGGGAAACTGTACAGAAAAGCCTTTTACAGAGTTGGAGAATGTGGTCAGATCAAGCCAGAGATTTAAAGAAAGCCAAGTACAGAAATAAATAAAAATTAACTCAATGGAAAACAAAAGTTCATATTTAGGAAAGGATATATAAGCATAGGATGCTTTCTGACTCACACATGAGCAGTGCTGTTGTTCTCTATCATGATACTCTTATTTGGTTTGAAATGGTCCTTCTGTATTCAATGTGAAAGATAAAATGCACATGACAATTAGGTGATGATTTTATTCAGGCTATTGCAACAGGGAGAACTTCCTCAATGAGGAACTTGTTGAAGAAAAGGAAGGGGAGCCTTGAGCTTTATAGAGGCAGAAAAAAGAGTCATCAGCAAGTCTTATCAGAATCAGGAGGAAGAATGGAAATGGGTCTCGGCTAAGTCACCGAGGAAAGGTGGAGGCAGAACTTACCTCAGAATGCAGGACAGCAAAAGGATCCTTTGCTGGTTGGTGGTTTCTCAATATACAAAGGGATAGGGGAGATTTCTCAATTTTCCCAATCTTCTCTGCTTTATGGAACACACTGCTCAGAAAAATTTCAACATTGTCAGTCTTCCCTCTTTTTCAAAAGGATAAATATCATTTGTCAACAAAGAACTCATAAATGATCATAAACTTCCTATATGGGGCAAAGTGGTGTCTAAGAACTTGTCTCCCCAAGATTCTCATTGGCATTGGTTCTGTAAAATTAGTTGAACCATCTGTCGAAAGGTGGTGGCAAAGGTCAGTTGTTTTAGGTTCCTGGAGATCAGGCCCTTTAAAGGAGACATGCCAAGAATTAAAATATATTGTGAAAGGTAAATGGGAGGGTAACCAATCCACTGGATTCCAAGTGGATTTCCAATGTGGTAGAGGAAAGTCTTCTGGTTATGTGGCACTGCCTGCTGAATATCTTGAATATCATTGCTGTTGGTGAAGTTATCTACAGTCTTGGTTTCCTCTCATTTAAGGACGTGCATGACTCAAGCCTGTCAAAGGAATTCCCTAGTGGCCCAGATAGAGGCTTATCTAAAGAGAAATCTGGCCCTTGCATGATCTGCTGTGATGGTGAGTCCATCAAGGTTAATACCGAGCCATCTTCTTCAGACAGGGGGTGGAAAGTGGGAAGCAGGGGGGTGGAGAGTGGAGGAATGGCCAATTGCAAGGCAAACCAGAGCCGTGATAATCATCTGGGCAGTTGAGTTTTAGTTATTAGTGGTGCTGAGTCAGGCAGGAGAGAAAAAAATTGAAAAAGATAGTGGAGAGGGTTATAGCCAGATAGTGAAGGAAACTAAAAGAATTAAAAAGCTGGTGTGTGTTGACATTTTGAGCAAGTAACAGGTTCCAGTATAATTTGCAGATAGATAACAAAACTGATTTTTCCAGAGTGGGGAGAAGTCAATTAAGTAGCCATTAGACAAGCCAGTTTGCATATCCATCAGTTACCTACAATATACAAATTGTGCAAATATGTGCAACATGCTTCAAAGACAGTGAACCAGGCAAGAATCTGATAACCTAGAATGGTATGCTATAGACTATGCACAGTTTTCCAAAACACAAAATTTCTCTCATCTCTCTGAAGTCATACCATCAAAGATAATGTTAATGGAAAAAACAAACAGTTTAAAGAGATTTATCCTGGACCTATATGAACAACTATAGTCCAGGGAAATACAGTCTCAAGATTCCTGAGAATGGGTACCTGAGGTGGTCAGATTACAATTTGATTTTATACATTTCAGGAAGGCAAGAATTGCAGGCAAAGCTGTAAAGCAACACATGGAGGGTATACATTGGTTTGGCCTGAAGAGGTAGCATATCTTGAAGCGGGGGCATACGAGTCATAGGTGGATTCAGAGATTCTTTAATCTGCAATTGGTTAAAGAAATGAAATGTTGTCTAAAATCCTGAAGTTAGCAGAATGAAATGTTCAAGTTAAAATAAAAATGCTATGTCAGAATCAGCCACAATATGACCTGCTTAGCAAGACTGATGGCTACAGATGTGAATTAACTCCTGTCTGGCATGGCCTTAGGTCTAGTTTATAATTTGGTACTTTATTGCATCTAAGAGTCTGTTTTGTCTGTCTTATAATCTCTATTTAAACATTAGTGCTCATCAGTTGTTGTGCCTAAAGGCCAAAAGGTGGGGGTATATTGAGGTGTGCCCAACCTCCCTTCCCATTATGGCAGGAACTCAGTTTTTCAGGTTTCTTTCAGGTCTTCTTGGCCAACAGAGAGTCCATTTGGTAGATGGGTGGCTTAAAATTTTCAGTTTATAATAATCTCAAAGAAAGATTATTTTTGATAATAAAATAAGGCTAGTCTCCTTAGATTTGGCCTGATTATTTACATTGCGTAGCAAGAATAGTAATTTACCATGTAGGCCTTCTTAAGTTTCTTTGATTAATGTTTTCAGAAGGAATTTCAGATTAGTCTTTGAAAAGCCTCTTGAGGATAGGAAGCCAAGCCAAGAATTTGCTCTTATATCTTACCTGTAGTTCTTATAAATCCTCCCTTCTGGAGGTCCACAAAATAAACTATAGTTCCTGGGTCTGCCAAGAAGTGACCTTCATTATTACCTACCTGTAAGGCTGAGAACTTATAAACCAGATACCAGGCCAGTCCCAAAAGGGCTTTGCAAAGCATTACCTCCATAAAATCAACCTTAGTTTCTTAAAAGTGTTTGGTCATATTTGATTAAATGAACATCATTTTCCAACATGACATTCCAGACAAAGCCTTGGTTGCACAATCAATGTTTCTCATTTTGTCCTGATAACAAGTAGGACAGATTCTTAATTAATCTGTGGAAATAACTATATTGAACAAGAATATTAAATAAGAGATTCCAAATTCTGGAGGGGTTAGTCATATGGAATAACATATATTATCATCTACAAATGTTTCATTTTGGTTTATAAAAGCTGAGTCTACTTGATTGTTATGAGTTCGAGGTAGCTTATGAGGAAAGCAAAGGAACTTCTTTATATATCCAGAAAATAGAACATTAAAATAGCAATAATATTCCAGAAAAACCCCCACAGCTATCTCTGATCAGGTCATCAGTCCTATGTAATTAATTCTTGTTTCACTTGATCTTGGGTTAGCAGTCTCATGAGCCCATCTATTTCTGAACTATGTTCTGGAAATCCTCATTCATTCCATGGATATGGTCTCAAAGTTGTGTAAGTGATGCCAGAAGCCTGTACTTTGAAGTACCTGGTATAGTCCTTTTCACAGGCTCTGAGATGATCCTTCTTTGTTGAAGATGAAGCAACATTATCAAACCATAGCTGACTTGGACCAGGACAAATAAGTCTCTTTCTGGCCTCTAGCTTGTTGCACTTTCAAGGAAACATCAGAGTGAAACAGAAAA
This sequence comes from Homo sapiens, assembly GCF_000001405.40. Taxonomy (NCBI): domain Eukaryota; kingdom Metazoa; phylum Chordata; class Mammalia; order Primates; family Hominidae; genus Homo; species Homo sapiens. Next base: position 34,808,854 of record NC_000013.11, on the reverse strand, counting down.
CTACCTGTAGGTGACAAGAGACTTAAAACTGCTGTGGTTACCTTCACACTGGTAAGTTCCAAAAGTGAAAGACCTGATAAGAGTTCATTACAAGAATAATGCAAGTGTACAAATATTTTTGATTGTTTCTGTGGCATGCAAAATAAGAGAATAATTTCAATTTAAAATGATTTAGATAAAATATTCATAAACATAATAATTAGACCTATTTTCATGAATAGTACACCTAATTAATGAAAACAGATGAACATAATCATCTTAGAGAAAAAAATATTGAGATATATAATAATCCTGACATAATAGACCATGAATATGCAAAGAATATAGTAAGAATACATCAATAATATATATCAAGTAAAGAGACTCAGTAAGTCTGAGTAGGTCTTAAATATCTGTGTATGTTAGTAAAACACTACAGGTAAGTAATATAAAAATCTCTATTTGAAAACCACGGGCTTTGAAGATGCTAGATTCAAATTAAAGAAGTAAAGTTGTGACAAGTCACATGTTAAAAAATAACTGAAATTATGATTGATAACACTAGACTGTCATTGTTTAATAACAGGCAAAGCAGTGCCAAGATTCAAATAAACAGAAACATATCATCAATGGTGAGGGCACTGGCAATTCTTTAAGAACTTCCCAAACAGCACATAATTACTGAAATCCTTATATTCATAAACATTTAGTCATACAAATTTAACCTAGGGAAGGCTGAGCATCTCTTCACATTTAACATCTCTTCCCATGCAACTCATTAATAGTAATATTCAAATAAACCTAATTATTTCTAGTACCTCTCTTTTCACATGATGAGCAAACAAATCCTTTGTGATTTATCTGGGGAATCTCAAAGATAGTTTTAAGATGCAAGAGATATGATTTAGGTTGTGATTTTGGAAAGGCAAAATATAAAAAATTATCAGAAAATTTGAATACTTGATTAAGATGAGATCACAGGATAGTTAGCTATCTACAATCATGGGATACCTACCTATTAAACCAAAGTGACAATAAAAATTATAAAAGTAAACATAGGAACTCTAATGGTTAATTGTATGTGTCAGCTGGACTAGCTGAGAGATTCATAGACAGCTGGGAAAACATTCTGTCTAGGTGTGTTTGTAAGGGTATTTCTGGGAGAGATCAGCCTTTGAATTCGTAGATGAAGCAAAGATCACTCACACCAATGTAGATGGGAATCATACAATTTGTTGAGGGTTTGAACAGAATGAAAAGGTAGAAGAAGGATAAATCTTCTGTCTGCTTGGGCTGGAACATTCATCTTCTCCTGCTCTAGGAGACTGGAGCTTCCGGTTCTGTGGCCTTTGGACTCAAACTGGGACTGGGACTTACACCATTGGCTTCCCTGGTTCTCAAGTCTTGGAGCTAAGGCTGGAACTGTTAAGTGGTAATTGGGCTTTCCTGGGCCTCCAGTGTGCAGACAGCATATTGTGGAACTTCTCAGCCTCCATAATTATGTGAGTCAGTCCCTATAATAAATCTCTTTCTATATATCTCTATATATTCTATTGATTCTGTTTATCTGAAGATCCGTCGCTAATACAGGAGGTAACATTATTGGAAAGAATCTGAGATTTTGTCTATGTGAGAAGTCTTTGTTTTCATAAATAGTCAATGAAATAAAGTAAACATAAACCATGGAAGTTATTCTGTAGGACATAAAATCCTTGTCATCTAGGCAGATTGCACAGAAGGTAAAAAATAAACTTTTATAATTGAGACTTGACCAATAATCCGAGATAATCTCATTCTTTTAAAAGAGAGAAACTGAATTCCAGTTTTGCATCAGTATAATATTTGATACTAAACCTTTTTTTGAAAATCTTAGAAATAACTCACCAAACCATAGGTAGCACTGATCAGGACAAATAAAATTCCCTTTTCTTGAGCTCTCTGTATCATCCTATATCTATACACGTCTTTTATAATACAGGTTTTCAAAGTGGCAAAAATGAACATATTCATTAACAAACTCCAAATATAGAGATTCTCTATACTCTATAAACATAAATAACAAAAAGTGTATAAACTTAAAATTACACTTGATAATTAATGTTTCAGTTTTTCATCTTACTTAGAGATGACCTAAGTATCTAATGAATATCCATTAATGTACTCATTTTGTATCAGTCCAAAATTTTAAGTTACCCAAAGATCTTGGAAACTATCTTCAAGCTGACATACTACAAAATATAACTACTGTTGAAATAAAGTTTGTTAGAATAAAGATTTAATTTGTTTAAACACAGATTGGCATCTTTCATAGCCTTAAACATTTAGTAGAAGTAATGTTAGTTTATTTAATCATTACACCTGTATAAGTTTAGGAAGAACATACCCAAGTAGAATAAATAGGTCATTTAACTCAGAGAAGACATAACTATTTTTATTAAACCAACAACATTAAATTAGTCTCATTTGCAAAATATTTATCCAAATTATGTGAACTTGAATTCCTAAAACACTTGTGTTAGTTTCATTAAGAATGCCCCCTTTGTGGCACATGGAAATTATTGGAACTTTAATTTCCAACATTGCTGGGAATTTTAGGAATATTCAATTACATAAGCACTTATCTCTGTAAGTCAATCAGAATAGAGCTCCTTTAAGATATTTTATAATCTAATTTAATATCACTTAGAGGTACGAAAATATACACTCACACAATGATATTTAAAGGCTTTTTTGAATTATAGGTCTAAATATTTTTGTGGTTGAGAAAGAGCTTATTATAGCTTAAATACTATGATTTCAGCCATGGATCAAACATAAATTAAGAAATAGAAAACTTACCAGTCCAGATGCCCACTTCTCAGTAGGTATAAAATTCTTAATTGATTTGGACTCAAAATAGACAAACAAAGAAATGCCTTGAACTCGTTTCTCCCTCTAACATGAGTTGTTTAAAAGCAAAAAACACAACTATGTGACAAAGGCTGTGTATGGCCTACAAATCCCAACATATTACTACCTGGCCCTTTATAGAAAATGATTGCCACCCTGCAACTCAAAGACCTCTAGATGTTCTCAGGAGAATTTGAATTCATTTCTTACAAATGCACAAACTAGAAAGGGTGTATAGTTTTTGAATCCTAAACAGACCTTGAAGACCACTAGTTCCAGAAATTAAGATGTTTCATTTACAAGAGCTTAGTTAAAAAAAAAAATCTCTTAAGAATCAAGAAAGAAGTTTGTACCATAATAATTTATTAGAAAAACAAGAGATGGTGACTCATTATGCCCTGCCCCAGGGAAATGAGAAGAATGTTGGTTGTGCTAGAATGGGATGGGTGATCTGTCTTTGGAGGAGGTCAGTGGGCCAAAAGGAGAAGAATCTTGTTGACCATCCCCTGCCAGCCCCATGAAGACAAGCCAGTGCCTAGCAGCCACATGCAATTGGAATGGCCACCGTATGATATTTGAACTGAGGAGTCAGGTGTCCTTTTCCTTTTTAGGAGTGAGGCTCTCCTTCCACAGCTGCCTGAAATTACCTGGGATCATCCAGCAGAAGGTACATCCCGACACTTTGTGGAGCTCCATTCAAACTGCCCCGTGTGGATACCCTTCTTTGTAATGGCCCAAGATGTATGGGTTAGGAACAGGTGGGGATGGTGGGGATAGGCTTTAATCCCAGAAAGATGACGATGGTACAGAAGACAAAATGCATGTGTATATTTTGGTAAGTTTCACAATGGTGAAACTTACTCCTGTCACATCTTGATAAAATAAGAGTAATAAGCCCATACAGCTGTTACAGAGATTAAATGAGATAATGAACGTTAAACACTTGGAACGAGGCCTGGCACATAATCAGTGTTCAATAAGTGATAGTAATGCCATCTAAAATGACTTTTTAAATTAAATTAGGGCAATAAAAAGCAGCATATCTGGGAAACGGTAATTCACTTATACCATAGAAAAGCTGCCTCAGTCTGTATTGTGCTGCTATAACAGAACACCTGAGACAGAGTCATTTATAATGAACAGAAATCTATTGGCTCACAGTTCTGAAGACTGGGAAGCACAATATCAAGATGCTGGTACCTGGCAAGGGCTTTCATTTTGCATCTAACATGGTTGAAGACATCACATGGCAGAAGGGTAAAAAGAGAAAGAGAGACAGAGACAGAGGAAGAGACAGAGCTGAACTCACCCTTTTATACCTGCATTAATCCCACCTGCAAGAGCTAAACCTACATGGGCTAATCACTTCTCAAAGGTCCCAACTCTTAATACTGTTACAGTGGCAATTAAATTTAAGCATGAGTTTGGAAGAGGACAAACATTCAAACCATAGTAGAACCCTTCATTGAATTTCATTCAATCTTCTATCATTTGGCCTACATATATTATAGGAAAAGTACTAGGTTCTATAGAGGGACTATGTCTTGAATTGAATAGGATAAAAATATGTGCAAAAAAGTGTATAAAAGACTGTGAAATAAATGCAATGAAAGTTATATAAGAATTTAAATGAAGTAACATTAAGAACTCCTTAATCTCCCTAGCACTTTATTTAACTAGATTCCAATTTTGTTTCCAATATATTTTTCTTAAAACTGAAAAAAATGCATTTTCTTTGAAAATAAAAATTATAATATATTTTATATCTTTATTGGCCTTATTGGGAGAAATTTTACAGCCTTCGCTAAATCAATCTTGCAAGCAAGGACAGTCCATGACTAGACATTTCTTCTCAAAGGTGTGTAGATTACACTGCATTGAGGACCTGTGAGAGTTAAATATCAACTTTTTTCCTAGTTTGTCATGATTAATTATTTCTAAATCCAAATTATGAGAAGTCGTGCTTTGGGTTCTGGGATAGTGTGGTTGCAAAGCTGACGTTTAAAGGAATTTATAGTGTGACTCATGCTATATATGGTTACCATGCTCTACTCGAAAACAAAAATTATACTTCAGTGGAAAGCAACGTATTATCCATAGCACACCCTTCCAGGTTGTGCTACAGCCAACTCTAGTTTTGATGGATGCAGGAGGCAGATAAGGGGAAAGGTCCCTGGAGAATCTTCAACTGGTCTATGCACTGGGAGGATGGGGTAGAGCCTTGAGAAGTTTATGCCCTTTGCAGGGGGAAGGAGCCTGGCCTCGCCTGTTTCTGGTGGTAACCGGGATTCAATCTGTGGGGAGGGAAATCTGTTAGCAGGACTGTCACTTTGCTGAGAGTCCCTGTTTCCCTTTTCTTCCTTTTCACCCAATAAACCCCACTCTACTCACCCTATAATGTATCTACGTGCCTAAATTATCCCAGTTGTGTGACAAGAACTTGTATTTTCCTACAACAGTTTGTTGTCTTTGAGCTATTTGGCATGGGTTTATAAACTGTAGATAACTGATAGACATGTAGGTTCCATCGTTTCCAGCACACTTCCCTGCTCCTTGTAAAAAAAAAAGAAAAAGTTTCGTTCCCATTAAAATTCGATTCCTTTTTATTTATGTTTTTTTTTCAATTTTTCTTTTTTTTTTTTTGTGAGCAATAAAGCTGTTTATTTCACCTGGGTGCAGGTGGGCTGAGTCCGAAAAGAGAGTCAGCGAAGGGAGATAGGGGTGGGGCCGTTTTATAGGATTTGGGAAGGTAATGGAAAGTTACAGTCAAAGGGGCAGGGGTGGATCTCACAAAGTACATTCTCAAGGGTGGGGAGAATTACAAAGAACCTTCTTAAGGGTGGGGGAGACTACAAAGTACCTTCTTAAGGGTGGGGGAGATTACAAAGTACATTGATCAGTTAGGGTGGGGAAGGAACAAATCACAATGGTGGAATGTCATCAGTTAAGGCTGTTTTTACTTCTTTTGTGGATCTTCAGTTACTTCAGGCTATCTGGATGTATACGTGCAAGTCACAGGGGATGCGATGGCCTTGCCTGGGCTCAGAGGCCTGACATTCCTGCCTTCTTATATTAATAAGACAAAACAAAATAGTGTTGAAGTGTTGGAGTGGCGAAAATTTTTGGGGGGTGGTATGGAGAGAGAATGGGCGATGTTTCTCAGAGCTGCTTCAAGTGGGATTAGGGGCGGCGTGGGAACCTAGAGTGGGAGAGATTAAGCTGAAGGGAGGTCTTGTGGTAAGGGGTGATATTGTGGGGATGTTAGAAGAAACATTTGTCGTATAAAATGATTGGTGATGACCTGGATACGGTTTTGGATGAATTGAGAAGCTAAACGGAAGATACAAGGTCCGAATAAAAGGAGGAGAAAAATGGGTATTAAAGGACTAAGAATTGGGAGGGCCCAGGACATCCAGTTAGAGAGTGCCCAAGGGGGTTCAGCGTAATTACTTTCTTGGTTGGCAAGTTTTTGGGCTCTATCCTTGAGTTTTTTTATGTTGTCATACACCAGGCCAGACTGATTTAGGTAAAAACAACACTCCTCATTTAAGAATATGCAGAGTCCTCCTTTTTCAGCAGTAAGTCAAGGCCTCGGCGGTTTTGGAGGACAACTGCAGCTAAAGAGTCAACTTGGGCCTGGAGGACTGATAAAGTTTGTGATTTTGAGGGCCTCTAAAAGTATTAAAGCAGCAGTAGCCGCTGCACGCAGACATGAGGGCTAGGCTAAAACAGTAAGGTCAAGTTGTTTGGACAGAAAGGCTACAGGATGTGGTCCTGGCTCTTGTGTAAGAATTCCGACCACGCTAACCATGCCTAAGAAGGAGAGGAGTTGTTGTTTTGTAGAAGGTGCTGGGGTTTGAGAGATCAGTCGGACACTATTGGCAGGGAGAGCACGTGTGTTTTTATGAGAATTATGCCGAGATAGGTAACAGATGAGGAAGAAATTTGGGCTTGATTGAAGTAATGGGGGCTGTCTGTGAAGCTTTGCGGCAGTACAGCCTTGGTAATTTGCTGAGCCTAATGGATGTCAGGGTCAGTCTAAGTGAAAGCAAAGAGAGGCTGGGACGAGGGGTGCAAAGGAATAGTAAAGAAAGCATGTTTGAGATCTAGAACAGAATAATGGGTAGTAGAGGGAGGTATTGAGGATAGGAGAGCATATGGGTTTGGCACCACAGGGTGGAAAGGCAAAACAATTTGGTTGATAAGGCGCAGATCCTGAACTAACCTGTAAGCCTTGTCTGGTTTTAGGACAGGTAAAATGGGGGAATGGTAAGGAGAGTTTATAGGCTTTAAAAGGCCATGCTGTAGCAGGCGCGTGATAACAGGCTTTAATCCTTTGAAAGCATGCTGCGGGATGGGATATTGGCGTTGAGTGGGGTAAGGGTGATTAGGTTTTAATGAGATGGTAAGGGGTGCATGATCGGTCGCCAAGGAGGGAGTAGAGGTATCTTATACTTGTGGGTTAGGGTGGGGGGATATAAGAGGAGGATGCAAAGGAGGCTTTGGATTGGGAAGAAGGGCGGCAATGAGATACAGCTGTAGTCCAGGAATAGTCAGGGAAGCAGATAATTTAGTTAAAGTGTCTCAGCCTAATAAGGGAACTGGGCAGGTGGGGATAACTAAAAAGGAGTGCTTAAAAGAGTATTGTCTAAGTTGGCACCAGAGTTGGGGAGTTTTAAGAGGTTTAGAAGCCTGGCTGTCAATACCCACAACAGTTATGGAGGCAAGGGAAACAGGCCCTTGAAAAGAAGGTAATGTGGAGTGGGTAGCCTCCGTATTGATTAAGAAGGGGACGGACTTACCTTCCACTGTGAGAGTTACCCAAAGCTTGGCGTCCATGATGGTCTACAGGGCTTCCGAGGCAATCGGGGAGCATCAGTCTTCAGCTGCTAAGCCGAGAAGGAGTCAGTCAGAGAGCCTTGGGCCAGAGTTCCAGGGGCTCTGGGAGTGGCTGCCAGGTGAGTTGAACAGTCCAATTTCCAGTGGGGTCCCGCACAGATGGGACACGGCTTAGGAGGAATCCTGGGCTGCAGGCATTCCTTGGCCTGGTGGTCAGATTTCTGGCACTTGTAGCAAGCTTCTGTGGGAGGAGGTTCTGGAGGAACGCCTGGCCACTGCGGTTCAGGCGTTTGGAAGTTCTTGTGTGCTGGAGATGTGGCTGGGGTTTGTCTCACAGTGGAGGCAAGGAATTGCAACTTTTTTCTATTATTGTACACCTTGAAGGCGAGGTTAATTAAATCCTGTTGTGGGGTTTGAGGGCTGGAATTTAATTTTTGGAGTTTTATTTAATGTCGGGAGCAGATTGGGTAATAAAATGTATATTGAGAATAAGATGGCCTTTTGACCTTTTAGGGTCTAGGGCTGTAAAGCGTCTCAGGGTTGCTGCTGAACGAGCCATGAACTGGGCTGGGTTTTTATATTTGATGAAAAAGCCTAAACGCTGTCTGATTTGGGATAAAGAAAAAGGAGCATTAACCTTGACTATGCCTTTAGCTCCAGCCACCTTTTTAAGAATAAATTGCTGGGCAGGTGGGGGAGGGCTAGTCACAGAACGAAACTGTAAGCCAGACCAGGTGTGAGGAGGGGAGGTGATAGAAGGATTATAGGGTGGAGGAGTGGAGGCTGAGGAAGAATTGGGACCTAGCTTGGGCTGGTGAGGAGGGGAGAGGTCAGATGGGTCTGTAGAAAAGGAAGATTAGAAAGACTCAGCGACGCTTGGGGTTGGGACTGAGGGGACAGGCGGGAGGGAAAGAAGGAAGATTTGGGACGAGTTGCACTGGGCACAGAGACTAGGAAGGGACTGATGTGTAAAAGAATGCCTGGACGTCAGGCACCTCAGACCATTTGCCCATTTTACGACAATAATTATTTAGATCTTGTAGGATGGAAAAATTGAAAGTGCCGTTTTCCGGCTATTTGGAACTACTGTCGAATTTGTATTGGGGTCAAGCAGCATTGTAGAAGAAAATAAGGCATTTAGGTTTTAGGTCAGGTGTTAGTTGAAGAGGTTTTAGGTTTTTGAGAACACAGGCTAAGGGAGAAGAGGGAGGAATGGAAGGTGGAAGCTTACCCATAGTGAAGGAGGCAAGCCCAGAGAAAAGAGTAGAGACACGGAGAAGGGGTGGGGGGTTCTTGCCCTCCAGAAAAGCAGAGAAGGGGTTGGGGCACGGAAATAAGAGGTCAGGGTGCGGAAATAAGGGATTGGGGCGCAGAGATAAGAGGTTGGGGTGCAGAAATAAGTGATTGGGGGGTTCTTGCCCCCTAGGAAAGCGGGACTTGCTGCTGAGGGTGAAGGAGAAGGGGTTGAGGGGTACTTGCCCCTGCCCCAGGAAAGCAGGACTTGCCGCTGAGGGTGAAGGAGAAGGGGTTGAGGGGTACTTGCCCCTGTCCCAGGAAAGCGGGACTTGCCGCTGAGGGTGAAGGAGAAGGGGTTGAGGGATAGTGAGGGAGGTTGGAGAAGAGAGTAAAAAGAGGCCGCTTACCGGATTTGAAATTGGTGAGATGTTTCCTGGGCTGGTTGGTCTGAGGACCTGAGGTCGTAGGTGGATCTTTCTCATGGAGCAAAGAGCAGGAGGACGGGGGATAGATCTCCCAAGGGAGGTCCCCCGATCCGAGTCACGGCACCAAATTTCATACGCGTCCGTGTGAAGAGACCACCAAACAGGCTTTGTGTGAGCAACATGGCTGTTTATTTCACCTGGGTGCAGGCGGGCTGAGTCCGAAGAGAGTCAGCCTCAACTTTTCATTTGAACTGTTTATAACATCTGCCTGTGCTAAAGAAAACATTATTCTGAGACTTGTTAAACAGTAAGAAGACTTCATTCAGGACTATTTCAAAAGATGTGGAGACTATCTCAATAGGGGAGAGGGATTGGGCTCAACTCTGAATACAATAAAGACAGCCAGGGATTTATAGTCAATGAGCAGAGTGAGGGGCCAATGGGATGGAAAATGTACTAAGAGGAGACATCAAGGGTCGGGGGGATTTTTGCAAAACCAACTTGACAGGAATGTTACTAAAGGCAGGCCAGGGTGATCAGAGATCGAGGATTATCCAGTATATTTTGGGATTCTCTCGAAACTGACTTAGAAGAATTCTAATTTCACTAAAATTGGGTTATAAAGGTCTGGCAAGGATGGGGAATCAAAGTTGAGACCTAGTGGAAAAGAGGCTTAGAGAAGCCTGACTAAGGTTTGGTCAAGGAGCAAGATTTTGACATCTGGTTCTCTAATAATGAAGAAAAAAAATTTTTTTGAGACAGGGTCTTGCTCTGTCGCCCAGGTTGGAGTGCAGTGGTGCAGTCTCAGTTGACCGCAACCTCCGCTTCCCAGGCTCAAGCAATTCTCCTGCCTCAGCCTCCCCAGTTCCTCAGACTATAGGCTTGCACAACCATACCTGGCTAATTTTTGTATTTTTTTGTAGAGGCAAGGTTTCACCATGTTGCCCAGGCTTGGTCTGGAACTCCTAGGCTCAAACAATCCACCTGCCTCAACCTCCCAAAGTGTTGCGATTACAGATGTAAGCCACCACACCCAGGCAGAAAAAAATAAAAATGCTTAACACGTACTCATTTTTGTATATGTATGAAAGATGTGATTTTATCTTTTTCTGAAAATTATCTTTTAATACAGAGAAAGTATTTATTTGTAGTGTTTACCAAATATATCTAAGAGATATAGTGACTGAGTTATCTATTTGAAAGCTCCAAATTCTCAACAATGTGAGGAAAAGAGGTATGCTTAGTTGTTATATCAAAATATTCAAGTAGTCCAGGAATATATTTTATAAACAACAGAGCAACAAAAATACCCCATCATTTTTTTCATTACATAGATACTAAATTAAAAAAATAATTTTAATTAAAAGGAGACTACATGTAACTTATGAATGCAACTGACATTCATATAAGATGAACATTTCAGGAAATAGAAGTTCTTAAATGTTGATTATGCTATTTCCATTCAGTAAGAAAATAGTTACCATGGAAATACTGTATATGGTATTTCACTTCCACATAAAAAAAGCTTCTAAAAATGCATTTAGTGAACACTTGTTCTTGACATAGTTTGAAGATGCAAGTCACTCGTAGAGAATATGACATTTTAGCTTAGATTCATTGTATTAATTAGTATGGCAATTTAAGATTTTCTCATTTCATGATAAAATAATTTGAATAAAACTGACTTGTTTTAGGGATCTGTATAGCCTATATACATTATGTGGTTTTACTCCTAAACTAAGGCCAAATTACTTGGGCATCCCCTTTTCTCTTTTGATTCCAAGTTTTTCTTTAGAATGTCAGGTCCTTGTGGATTCCTATTTTGGTCTGCGGACAATCACATAAGGTTAATCAACTAAACATTATCTGATAAAGCTGTTGATCCCATGTCAGAGCACAGCTAGAAGTGCTGGAGTAGGGAACTGGGTTTCCTGAAAGTTTTCAGACTCAGAGTTCTTAGTCTCAATAGTAATTTCCCATTTCCACCCCTTTCTGGGGCATGCCATCACACATGTTTTAAGGATTAGCTTGGCTAAAGCTGGCCTCTGCCCCTCATGTTGCATTGAAGGCTCTCTAACCTCCCCTAATTTTGCTTTTCTATCATCAACACCTTTTCTAGCTGCACTCACTCCTCTGGAGCCCCTTATGTTCTGTCCAAAAACAATCACTCATCTCAGCTAGGAAATATATTGATCCTGGGTAAGGAAGTATCTATTAATTTTATGATTTTAGCTCTAATGTACCTTTGGGGATAAGAATGGATTGTTTAAAGTGTGGTTTCTCTGATGTTCTGTAGATCTTTCCAGGGCTGTTTAAATATTTACAAGCAAATGCAAAGCTGAGAGACCAGCAGAGGTGCAGTGTGGTGGAAAGAGTACAGCAGCAGAAGCCAGAAGGTATTCCAGCTCCAGCTTTGCCACTGTATTAGTCTTCTCATGCTGCTAATAAAAGCATACCCAAGACTGGGTCATTTATAAAAGAAAGAGGTTTAATTAACTTATAGTTCCACATGGCTGGGGAAGCCTCACAATCATGGTGGAGGGGAATGAGAAGCGAAGTGACATCTTACATGGCAACAGGCAAGAGAGCTTGTGCAGGGGAACTCCCATTTATAAAACCATCAGATATCACAGAACTTATTTACTACTAGGAGAACGGTATAGGGGAAACTGCCCCCATGATTCAGTTACCTCCACCTTGCCCATCCTTGACATGTGGAGATTATTACAATTCAAGGTGAGATTTGGGTGGGGACATAGCCAAACCACATCATTCCATCCCTGACCCTCCCTGCCTTCCCAACAGTCCCCCAAAGTCTTAACTCATTTCAGCATTAACCCAAATGTCCACAGTCCAAAGTCTTATCTAGGACAAGGCATGGCCCTTCTACCTATAAGCCTGTAAAATCAAAAGCAAGTACTTCCTAGATACAATGGGGGTACTGGCATTGGGTAAATACACTGATCCCAAATGGAGGAAATTGGCCAAAACGAAAGGGCTACAGGTCTCATGCAAGTCTGAAATCCGGTGAGGCGATCAAATCTTAAAGCTTTGAAATGATCTCCTTTGACTCCATATCTCACATCTAGGTCACGCCGATGCAAGAGGTGGGCTCCCATGGCCTTGGGTAGGTCTGCCGTGGTGGCTTTGCAGGGTACAATCCCCCTGCTAGCTGCTTTCATGGGCTGGTGTTGAATGTCTGCAGCTTTTCCAGGTGCATGGTGCAAGCTATCACTGGATGTACCATTCTGGGATCTGGAGAACAGTGGTCCTCTTCTCACAGCTCCACTAGGGAGTGCCCTAGTGGGGACTCTGTGTGGGGGCTCCAACCACACATTTCTTTTCTGCATTTCCCTAGCAGAGCTCTCCATGAGGGCTTTACTCCTCCAGGGAGACTCTACTCCTCCAGGTAGACTTTTGCCTGGACATCCAGACATTTCCAAACATCCTCTGAAATCTAGGTGGAGGTTCCCAAACCTCAATTCTTGTTTTCTGCATACCTGAAAGCCCAGCACCACATGGAAGCTGCCAAGTCTTGGGGCTTGCACCCTCTGAAGCAATGGCCTGAGTTCTAATGTTGGCTCCTTTTAGCCCCAGCTGGAGCAGCTGGGACACAGGGTATCAAGGCCTGAGGCTACACACAGCAGCGGGGCCCTGGGCCCAGTCCATGAAACCAATTTTCCCTCCTAGGCCTCTGGGCCTATGATGGGAGGGGTTGCTGTGAAGGTATCTGACATGCCCTGGAGACATTTTTCCCATTGTCTTGGTCATTAACATTCAGTTACTCATTACTTATGCAAATTTCTGCAGCCAGCTTGAATTTCTTCCCTGAAAATGGGTTTTTCTTTTCTATCACATAGTCAAGCTGTAAATTTTCCAAACTTTTATGCTGTGCTTCCTCTTGAACCCTTTGCTGCTTAGAAATTTCTTCCTCCAGATACCCTAAATCATCTCTCTCAAGTTCAAAGTTCTACATATGTCTGGGGCAGGAGCAAAAAGCTGCCAGTCTCTTTGCATAGCAAGAGACCTTTACTCCAGGTCCCAACACGTTCCCCATCTCCGTCTGAGACCACCTCAACCTGGACTTTATTGTTTATGTCACTATGAGCATTTTGGTTAAAGCCATTCAACAAATCTCTAGAGAGTTCCAAACTTTCCCACATCTTCCTGTGTTTTGAGCCTTCCAAAGTCTCTAGGAAGTTCCAAACTTTGCCAAATTTTTCTGTCTTCTTCTGAGCCCTCCAACATACTTACCTGTTGGAGGTACTGGGTAACTGACTGTTACCCAGTTCCAAAGTTGATTCCACATTTTTGGGTATATTTATGGCAGAGCCCCACTACCTAGTACCAATTTACAGTATTGGTCTGTTCTCATGCTGCTAATAAAGACATCCGAGACTGGGTAATTTATAAAGGAAAGAGATATAATGGACTTACAGTTCCAATTGGCTGGGGAGGCCTTACAATCATGGCAAAAGGTGAATAAGGTGAAAAGTCACATCTTACATGGCAGCAGGCAAGAGAGCTTGTACAGGGGAACTCCCATTTATAAAACCATGAGATCTCATGAGATGTATTCATTAATGAGAGAACAGTATGGGGGAAACTGCCCCCATGATTCAATTATCTCCACCTAGCCTGCCCCTGACATGTGGGGATTATTACAATCCAAGGTGAGATTTTGGTGGGGACACAGCCAAACCATATCAGCCACTGACTAACTGTGGGACTTGGGTTATGTCAAAGGAAAAATAGAGCTTGATAATTCTTAAAGTAGTAGAAAACAGATTTTATTCAGGGCCATAGTGGTAGGGAACAAGAGACCTCAGTATAGAACTGGGCTTAATTCCAAATACAGCAGGGGAATGTGGAATTTATAGCCAAGAAGCAGGATGAGGGGTCAGTGGATGGACAACTACTAAGAGGAAATTTCAGGGGGGAAGGGAAATTCTTGCTAAGTTGACTGGACTGGATTCTTGCTGAAGGCAGGCGAGGCTGATTAGACATCACTGGGGGATGGTGCAGGGTGAGGATGTAGGAGGTGATCATATGTGGAGTATGGAGGTTCATGCTAAGCTGACTTAAACAGTTCCTGCTAAAACTGGGCTTTACAACAAAGTACACAAATGGGCCTAGTAGAAGGTTCAAGAATGTGGCTAAAGTTTGGTCAAGCAAAGAATCTTTGTCAGTAAATCACCCCATTACTCCCACAAAATGAGAGGGCTGGAACATTTCTTTGATTCATTTCTTGTATTAACGTTGAGAAGACTCTAGATATCAGAAGGGAAAAAGGAAATTAAAAACATAAGCCAAAGTCTTCACCATGCACAATTTTCTAGTTTGTGATAACTCATTCCATAAAAGCAATTAACATAGTTTTGGGCTTGTGTATAATTTTGAATAGTAGAGAATGAAGGGGAACGAAACATTTTACCTCCTAAATGCTCCTTGAATCTGTCACTTAGTCCCTGCTGTCACTGCCCCATTTCAGCCATCATCTTTTTCCTGCACTAGCAGCTCCCTTCTTAAGGGGTCTCCTTTTCCCTGCTACTATGTCCCCTTAAACTCATACTCCACATAACCATCCAAGCACCAGGCCTGCTTAACATCAGGCACTTATTTCCCAATAGATACAATATTGTACTCAATATTTCCTCCCCAAATCCTGTCTGTGTGCTACTAGCTCAGTGCAGAATGCCAATATGTGCAGAGTTGCCCAACAAAAACTGGGAGTTGACTTGGACCCTTACTTCTTTCTCATTCCAGAACCTTCTCCATTCAAATTAACCAAGTCCAGTTGATTCTCTCCATCCTTAATGTCTCTAAAATGTGTCCCCCATCCCCTCTCTTGATCCTGCCGTTACTTCAGTCAAAGCCACCACAGTCAGTCTCAGTTATTGCTGTTAACAGCCTCCATTCCAGGAGCCACTCCCTTTAGTCTTTGCCCTCTTTTCCCCTTTTGTGGAAATGCAGATGGGAGATCGTGATGCCAGATGAAAAGCTTATTTCATTACTCATCCACTAAAGGCTTCTTTTCTCAAAATGGACCAAATGCAAGCTCCTTACCATGACAAACTCAGTCCTCCAGGGCCTGCCTCTCCACCTCTTGAGGCTCATTTCTTGTCTCTTCTGGCCTTATACTTTGTTTCACCAGGGCTTCCCTGGTTCTTTTTCTTCCTGTTTTCCTTTAGTCCCTTATTTATAGGCACAGCTGCTTAAAGAAACCAGATGACCTGGCATGGTGCCAGGGCTTCATGACCCCTGACTGGATACCAGGGGGAGATAAGACCCCCAAACCAACCCAAACTGGAATAGATGACTTCTAGTTGTCTTTGGATCATTACCATATCATTATAGTGCTGAAATTCCCTCTCCAAAATGAAAATCTCCACAATTTTATATACATGGGTTGCATAAAGATATATGTTTATGAATTGAGCTTGTGTGCCTGGCACCCTGCCCTGAACATGCTAACACTCCTCTGCTCTCCCTGTACCAAGTCATAAAAAATTCCATGCCTTCTGTTGTTTGGAGAGTAGGGGTCTTTAGAGTGAAAGTTCACTACTTCTCCATTTCTGGACAGAAATAAAACATGCTTGCCTTTTGTTCCAATTGGGTGTTCTTTATTTGCAGCCCACACAAAGTAGGGAAAGAACTCAGTTTACCAGTGACATCACTCCTAGTAGTTCCTTCAAATACAACCCATAAAATTATATATTTTAGGTCTCTGCCAGTAAGATGGGATAGTTCCCTTGACCCCCTTGTAGGACTTGTGAAGCGGTGGCTTGCTTAATCAGCCCACAGCTTTCAAACCCTTTGCGGGAGGGGAAGCATGCAGGTGAGCAGGTACAGAGGCTGGGATGAATGCTACTGGGTGCTGGCAGGAGTGGAACTCTGTGTGGCCCCATGGCAGCGTCTAGGGGTTGCCTGTGACCCCTGGAGCCCCAGAAGATGTATGTTACAGTGTGCTCCTTTAGCTTTGTCATCCGTGGATGGCTTAAGTGTTAAATAGCTCAGTGGAGGGTCAGTGTGACAGCCCTTCGCACCTGCACCCAGGTCTTTGTCCAATGTCCAGGAGGAATGAGGTCACATGAACAAATTTGAGGGTGGTGAATTCAGAGGATTTTACTGAGGGTGGAAGTGGCTCTCAGCAGGATGAGGAGCTGGAAAGGGGATGGAGTGGGAAGGTGGTCTTCTCCTCTCTGGGGAACCCCTTTCTGATCGTCCGCAGCTGAACCTCTCTCCAACAGTAGTGTCTGATGTCCAGCTGCTGCTTCTCCTGACCTTTAGATGCTTCTTTTCTTTTCTACTGCTCTGCTACACCACTGTGCTGCTCTGTTGCTCTGCTGCTCTGCTGCCCTTCTGCCAGTGGAAACTGGGGGTTTTATGGGTACAAGATGGGGGGCACAGCAGGCCAGGCACCATTTGGGTGGGAAAACAGGAATGAATGTTCTTACTTAGGGCCATGGGTTCAGGCTTGAGGGCGGAGCCCTTGCCAGGGACCACACCCTTTTCGACCTAGTATTTCCCTGCCTCCTGTCCATATCACCAGGACTAGCCTTCTAGTCTCTCAGTCCTCAGCTCAAGTGTAACTTCTTTCATGCTCTTCCTTGACCCCTCTGCCTTGGGCCACAGGTGCTTCTAACCTGCCTAAAGTGTTCTACCCACATTTTTATCCCTGCGCTCATGGCCTGGGATTGTATAGTCATCTGCTTGCTTGTCTCTTTCCCTACTGGGGTTGTGTGCTCCTGAGGGTGACACCATTGCCTTCTGTCTGGCAGAGGGAACAGCATATCACTCCTGAAAGAGGACCCAGCCTTGGTAGGCTTGTGAAACTGAAGGAAATTTGGTGCAGAAGTTGCTCAGAGTTGTGGGAAGGGCTTAGGATATGAAATGAGACTCATGAGGTGGGCAGTGGCCAGACTCTGAGAAGCCTCATAAGTTGTGGACCCATTTCTGAACTATTTTTCCTCTTGTTAATATCAGTTGTTTGGCTATGTTACAGACAACATTGAGGCAGATAATAAATGCCATGATTTTTGTCTTTCTGGTAGAGAAGCTAAGGAAATGATTTCCCTCTACATTTGGGGGAAAAAACAGCTAACAGGGAGTGGTTGTAAACAATAGAATTAATTGCCTCTCCTAGGACCATTATTTGGTGTCTATTTAAGGCTATTAGATTTTATTTTAATTAATCCGTGGAGTACCTCATTTGCATACATTTGCATATGTCTCAGTGAAGCCTTTAAGGGATTGAAGATGACTTCGGCTGATAACAAACCTTGCCTTCAGAGCCTAACATCATTGAAATAGAAGGTAGCTTTTCAAATAGCTCATAGAGAACAAAAGGAAGTACCTTAGGACAGAGATGTGGCACAGAGCTAAAGATTCTCTTTCTGGGGAGATCCTGGAGAAAAGGCCAGTTTCCTGAATAGGAGGGACTTTGTCCATCCAGAGTTTGCAAACCAGGTACCTTTGAGTGGCCCAACCCCAAGGATGCCTGTCTAATTGGGTAGCTGGTCGGATGGGGCTAAATTATTAACAGTAACACTAAGTTTTATTCTTTTCCACAATGGAAGACAGGAGCTGCCTTTCAGACCTGATTAAGGGACTTGTTATTCTGAGACAGAATAGAAACAGGACGTTGCTTCAGCTCACCTCCACTAGAGAATTCTTTCAAGCATTCCCATTCATCACAAAACCCACACCACTACCTTGCTGACACCATACCTGTTAATCCTGAGGCTTTAGTCATACAAAGAAAATAACCATTCTACATTGTTCTTCTTTGCTCTCGTAATGTTTAACCATACCTTTTACTTAAAAAAATTCCAGGAACGGGCCTTAGGAGATCCAATTTCTTTCTTTTTGAGGCAGAGTCTTGCTCTTTTGCCCAGGCTGGAGTGCAGTGGTGCAATCTCGGCTAACTGCATCCTCCGTCTCCTGGGTTCAAGTGATTCTCCTGCCTCAGCCTCCCAAGCAGCTGGGATTAAGGGCACTTACCATCAAGCACAGCTAATTATTTTGTATTTTGTAGAGACGGAGTTTCACCATGTTGGCCAGGCTTGTCTTGAACTCCTGATCTCAAGTAATCCACCCACTTTGGCCTCCCAAAGTGCTGGGATTGCAGGTGTGAGCCACCGTGCCCAGCCAAGATCCAAAATTTTGAACCAAGGTTGTGGAATGTCCTACCTTGAGAAGGAATGCTCAACAATTATTATTATTTTGAGGCAGAGTCTTGCTCAGTTGCCCAAGCTGGAATGCAGTGGCATGCTCTTGGCTCACTGCAACCTTTGCCTCCTGGGTTCAAGTGATTCTCATGCCTCAGCCACTGGAGTAGATGAGAGAACAGGCATGTGCCACCACACCCAGCTAATTTTTGTATTTTTAGTAGAGACAGGGTTTCAACAATTAATTTATAGCCTTGTTGCCTCCAGCCAGACCACCAGGTAGCCCGTTACTCAAGATAACCATGGCAACCAGATCTGCTGACCTGCATCTCCTACCTGTCCTGTGCTTTGCCCAGCCCAGCCAGTATACCCTACCCCGATGTCAATTCCCGCACTTTGCCTAATAAAAAATCCCAACTGGCTCTTTTTGGAGAGTCAAATCAGGGAATTCTCTCTCTCTATTGTGCTGCCTCTCTTATTCCCAGGCGTAAGTTCCAATGAAGCCTTGTCTGGGAAAACTCTTTTGGCCTAATTTCAATTTCTATTGTATTGACGGCCCAAGAACTGGTGGTCCGTAACAATTTCATGTCAATACCATATTTTCTTTTTGAGATTCAGGGTCTTCTGGGAGCTGGTAAACTGGAGCCCCATGGGAAGAGTAAATGAGGCCTCAGAAGCAGTCCTGGGGAAACCACACTCACCTGTGAAGAAACTATTGGGAAAGTTGTACGCCTATCACAATGTCTTAGCACTAATGTGGCTTAAGTAGTCTGTTTAGAGGAAAGGGAGGAGAAATCCAAACTTCATAAGATGTGCTTTGAAGCCCTCTCCAGAAAGAGTTGAGAAGAGGGAAATCGTGGATCATAGATGTTGGAAAAGATTGTGGAAGACTTGGAATTGGGCTAAATAAATAAATGATCAAGTATTCTATCTAGTGCACCTTTCTGGGGTATCTCTCCACCTATTGTTGGCTTTGAACTATTTTTAACTCTGTTAGTTGTTGATAACTAGCAATTCAAATGACTCTGATTCATAAACATGCAAATGAGTTGTGTCTAGTAGAGAGATAATTGATTTTCTGTTCATTCCCCACCCCCAAGAAGCCAATTTGCATCTATTTGTAATTTAGTCTCAGCATTCTTTTTGCCTACATATATGGAATTCTTTGAATTTTCTTTTGACACTATTGGCATATGTTGCTGGTTCTCTAATTAATATATTAAATAATTTTTTTTTTTGAGACAGAGCCTCGCTCTTGTCACCCAGGCTGAGTGCAGTGGCTCAATCTTGGCTCACTACAACCTCTGCCTCCTAAGTCCTAGTGATTCTTCTGTCTCAGCCTCCTGAGTAGCTGGGATTACAGTTGCCCACCACCATGCCTAGCTAATTTTTGTATTTTTAGTAGAGATGGGGTTTTGCCGTGTTGCCCAAGCTGGTCTCAAACTCCTGGCCTCAAGAGATCCACCAGCCTCAGCCTCCCCAAATGTTGGGATTATAGATATGAGCCACCACACCAGGCTTTAAATAAAATCTTTAATATGTGTTCATTTTATATTGGTATGAATTATGATTTTACCTTAAGCAACAACACACTGTCTTTTAACACAGGGCAGGGGAGTTTTAAAGGGTGATCATAAATTGTTCCTAAGGATTGTTTTGGATCACAAAAAAGAGAGGCTGGCTACTTTTTGATTTGGCTTGATTAATTTACATAGGCTGAGTAAGATGTCTTAATTAAACATATGAGCCTCTCTGAGTGTGGTTAACCAATCTAGACTTACATGGTGCTGAACAATTATAAGACCAGAGAATTAATTTCTGTCTAGAAGTTTCATAAAGAATCTCAGGTGACATTTTCAATAGCCTCTGTTATTCTAAAGATTAAACAAAACAGCCTTATTAGTTCTTATATTCTGACACTAGAAAACCAACCCAAAGAGATTTTCCTCACAGCTGTCCCCTGCAGTGCCTATAACTAGGTTGGCTTCTTTCCTCCTCCACATCCCAGCAATCTGGGCTAAGCTTCCTAACTCTACTTCCCTTAAGTCTAGGAACTAGATAGCCACAGATCAGGTAGCAGCCCATTTCCTAGGAAAAATGTGTGGGCATTGCTTCCACATATGAAGTACAATCCTTATTATTTTTATTTTAAGCTTTGGTAGAGATGAGATCTGGCTATATTGCTTGAGCTGGTCTTGATTTCCTGGGCTCAAGTGATCCTCCCACGTCGGCTTCCCAAAGTTCTGGTATTGCAGGCATGAGCCACTGTGCCAGACCAACAATCCTTATTCTTTAATGGTGGACTTGTCACCACCCTTGGAGCCTAAAGCACCAGTAGAGAATCAAGAATAATTCTAAGAATTTCCAAAGAAATGAAATTTGTGAAATTTCCCTCATCAGTTCAGCACATCCTGCTCTCACTTATGTCTTGTTCTGCTGCCTTGCGGGTTTTCCTGAAAGTACTCTGCTTCTGAACTAACAAAGACCCTTGATATCCTGACTGAGTTCTCTAGTACAGCTTCATGATTGCCTAAGTAATGTTGAGTTGGGCTCCAAAGCCTGTACTCATGAGTTGATTTCTTAAAATATCAATAGTTATGGGTACCTGGTTTAGTTCATTCCATCAGGCTCTAAGACTGTTTTTGTCGAAGATCTATTTTATTTCTTTTTTCTTTTTCTTTTTTTTTTTTTGAGATGGAGTTTCACTCTAGTTACCCAGGCTGGAGTGCAATGGCAAGATCTCCACTCACTGCAATCTCCGTCTCCTGGGTTCAAGGGATTCTCCTGTGTCAGCTTCCCAGGTAGCTGGGATCACAGGTGTGTGCCACCATGCCCAGCTAATTTTTTAGTAGAGACAGGGATTCACCATGTTTGGTCAGGCTGGTCTTGAACTTCTGACCTTAGGTAATCAACCCACCTTGGCATCCAAAGTGTTGGGATTACAGGCTTGAGCCATCGTGTCCGGCCCAAAGACTTGTTTTCTATCTTGAGGCTCATAAGCTTTCAGGTGAGTAAGTGGGAAAAGCAGAAATCATCTCTTGATGATAAGACTAAATGACAGCCAAGTGATCTCAGCTCACTGCCACCTCTGCCTCCCAAGTTCAAGTGATCCTCCTGCCTCAGCCTCCTGAGTAGTTAGGACTAGAGGCATCCACCACCATGCCCCACTAATTTATTTTTATTATTATTATTTTTTAGATGGAGTCTTGCTCTGTTGCCAGGATGGAGTGCAGTGGCACAATCTTGGCTCACTGCAACCTCCACCCCCCAGGTTCAAGTGATTCTCCTGCCTCAGCCTCCTGAGTAGCTGGAACTATAGGTGTGTGCCACCACACCCAGCTAATTTTTATATTTTTAGTAGAGATGGGGTTTCACCATGTTGGCCAGGTTGGTCTCGATCTCTTGACCTCGTGATCCACCGTCCTCGGCCTCCAAAAATGCTGAGATTACAGGCGCGAGCCACCTTGCCTGGCCACTAATTTTTGTATTTTTAGTAGAGATGGAGTTTTGCCATGTTGGCCAGGCTGGTCTAGAACTCCTGACCTCAGTGACCCACCCGCCTCGGCAAATCCCAAAGTGCTGGGATTGCAGGCGTGAGCCACCACGCCCAGCCCATCATTCTTTCTTAAGTGTTTGACCAATGTTTTCTCTGGGCATAAGAACATACTGTGAATAGCAAAGGCACTGACAAATCTTCAGAGTCTTTCAATCTGCTTTGCAAAAGTGTACAATCTATAAAATATATTTATATTAATAATGTTTTATCTATACAACATTAACCTAAGGAAGGCTGAGTTTCTCCTTTATTTAACAACTTTTCTCAAACAACTCTCTTTTATTTAACAGCTTTTGCCATGATATGGAGCTACTTAAGAAATATGGAGTTTACTAGAATTCCTCATTATTTCTGGCACTTCTCTTTTGATAAGATGTGGTAGGCGAAATAATGGGTCCACCAAAGATCTTCATGTCCTAATCCCCAGAATGTATGGATGTGTTAGTTTACATGGCCAAAGGGATATTGCAGGTGTATGATTAAGCTTAGAATCTTGAGATGGAAATTATCCTGGATTATTGAGGTGGGCCAGTATAAAACCTCTTTATATAAGGGTTATATAAAATGTAAGAGAGGAGAATGTGGTGGGATAATAGAAGCAGAGATTGGAGTGATTTACTTTGGAGATGGAGGAAGTGTTCACAATCCAAGGAATACAGACAGCCACTAGAAGCTGGTAAAGGCAAGAATATGAATTATCCCCTCGGATCCTGCAGAAGGACCCAGCCTCACCAACACCTTGATTTTAGCATATTGAAACATTTCTGACTTCTGACTTCCAGGACTGGAAGAGAATAAAATTTGTGTTGTTTTAAGCCACTAACTTTGTGGTAATGTGCAAAAGCAGCAATAGGAAACTAATGCATAAATTTATAAAAACCACAAATATTTGTGATTTCTCAGGACCCCTCAGGAAAAATCCCAAAGGTAGTTTAGGTATAAAAGACATCTTGAAATTTTTTTCCCCTCAATTTTAGAATCTGATCTTGAAGAGACAAAAATCAAAAGAGCTATCAGAGGAAATTTACTAAAATAAAATCATAGATGCTGCAGTACATGAATAGTTTTAGCTGGGCTATGTATTAATCAAAGTGACAATGAAATATATTAAAGTAAATGCAGAAGTTATCATGATATTAATTCTGTCAGTGAGTTTTTTTTTTTTAAATCGAGGACATTACTAATTCAGCCAAGGGAAAGAAAATGATTCTAGTGACACATGGAATCTCTGCTACCTGAGAAGATTACAGAATAACCCTTCTTACCCCTTGATAAGAGCAGACAAAATACTTCACGATCAATTTTAATGGAAAGAAGACCAAATTCTGATTTTATATTAAGATTATATTTGGCTGTAAAGGATTCAC
Source organism: Homo sapiens (assembly GCF_000001405.40). Taxonomy (NCBI): domain Eukaryota; kingdom Metazoa; phylum Chordata; class Mammalia; order Primates; family Hominidae; genus Homo; species Homo sapiens. The sequence goes on along the minus strand of NC_000013.11, from coordinate 34,785,393 downwards.
AGAATTCTTTCTGTTTTTTTAAAATTTAGGAATTCTTTAATCAAAACTAAGCCAACTTTGCCAAATTTTTAACATGTGTCATGCTTATTTTTTCATTAATTATTAGTATTTATTATAAAGCAAGGCCACAAAATCATTTTTCACATTCTTCTATAATTGTACATATCTATTCAAGTTTTAATCTTCCCAATCTTTGTTCATGTTCTGGAGCAAGATACTTAATTTTAGGACAAAATTCTTTCTTTTTTTTCGTTGTAAACACTCCATTACCTTTTATCCAAAGTTATATTTCTCTGCCTCTCTTTTTCTAGCAGTCTTAGTCACACATATTAATTTTAACTTTTTTTTTTTTTTTTTTGAAATGGAATCTCACTCTTGTTGCCCAGGCTGGAGTGCAATGGTGTGATATTGGCTCACCACAACCTCTGCCTCCCGGGTTCAAGCGATTCTCCTACCTCATCCTCCTGAGTTGCTAGGATTATAGGCATGCACCACCATGCCCGGCTAATTTTGTATTTTTAGTAGAAATGGGGTTTCTCCATGTTGGTCAGGCTGGTCTTGAACTTCTGACCTCAGGTGATCTGCCAGCCTTGGCCTCCCAAAGGGCTGGGATTACAGGTGTGAGCCACTGTGCCTGGCCATTAACTTTAACTTTTAACTCAAGTAAGTAAAGTAAGCAAACTTCATTGCTGTCTTACTTTCAGACAGCCACAGCCACCTCAACCTTCAGCCACCACCACTCCAATCAGTTAGCAGCCATCAGCGTCAAGGCAAGATCCTCCATCTGCAAGATTAGTACTTGCTGAAAGCTCAGCAAGTTACTTACTTTAGTTAACTTTTAACTAAATAAGTGTTCTGTTCACTTTCTAAAATGCTCAAATTTTAGAAAGTCAGTGGAAGACACTCAATATGATTTTCTATAATCATATGTATCATTTTATCACATTCTTAAAATGGCAAAAATGATGCCTTCTTTAACACAGAGTTTTCAATTTTGACTTCAGGGAATACAGACATGTCTTGGAGATATTATGGGTTTGGTTTCAGACCACCACAATAAAATGACTATAGCAGTAAGGAGAGTCACATGAGTTTTTTGGTTTCTCAGTGCATATAAAAGTTATGCCTACACAAGATTGTAGTTTATGAAGTGTACAATAGAATTATTTATAAAAACAATGTACATATCTTAACTTAAAAATACTTTATTGTTAAAACTTGCTAATGATCATCTGAGCCTTCAGCAAGTCTTAATCTTTTTGAGGGTGGAGGGTCTTGCCTTGATGCTGATGGTTGCTGACTGATCAGGGTGGGGTGGCTGTTGCTGTCTGAAAGTAAGACAGCAATGAAGTTTCCTCCACTGATTGACTCTTCCTTTTGCGAAAGATTTCTCTGTAGCATGAGATGCCATTTGATAGCATTCTATTCACACAAAATTGAAGTCAGTCCTCTCAAACCCTGCTGTTGCTTAATCAACTAAGTTTACGAACTATTCTACATTTTTTGTTGTCATTTCAACAATATTCACAGCATCTTCACCAGGAGTAGGCTTCATCTCAAGAAACTACTTTCTTGCTTATCCATAGGAAGCAACTCCTCATCTGTTTTACCATGAGATTGCAGTAATTCCGTCACATCTTCAGGCTGTACATCTACTTTAGTTCTCTTGCTGTTTCCACTGCATCTGTAGTGATTTCCTCCATTGAAGTCTTGAAACCTCTTGAAGTCACCCAGGGGGTTGGAATCAACTTCTTTCAAACTCCTGTTATTGTTGTCATTTTGACCTCCTCCTATGAATCACAAATGTTCATAATGGCATCTAAAATGGTGACTCCTTTCCAGAAGGTTTTCAATTTACTTTGCCCAGTTCCATAAGAATCACTATCTATGGCAGCTAAAACCTTATGAAATATATTTCTTTAATAATAAGACTTGAAGGCTGAAATGAATTGTTGATCCATGGGCCACAGAATGGATGCTGTGTTAGCAGATGTGAAAACAACGTTACTCTCCTTGTACACATCCATCAAACTCTTAAATGACCAGTTGCATTGTCAATGAGCAGTAATATTTTGAAAGGGACCTCTTTTTCTGAGAAGTAGGTCTCAACAGTGGGCTTAAAATATTCAATAAACCATTTTATAAATAGATATGCTCTTATCAGGGATTGTTGTTTCATTTTTAGAGCACAGGAAGAGTAGATATAGCATAACTCCTAGGATTTTCAGAATGGCAAGTGAGCATTGGCTTCAACTTAAGGTCACCAGTTGCATCCATCCCTAACAAGAGAGTCAGCCTATCCTTTGAAGCTCTGAAGCCAAACATTGACTTCTCCTCTCTATGAAAGTCCTAGACGGCATCGTCTTCCAATAGAAGGATGTTTCATCTACATTTAAAATCTGTCATTTAGGCTGGATGCGGTGGCTCACACCTGTAATCCCAACACTTTAGGAGGCCAAGGTGGGCAGATTACTTGATGCCAGGAGTTCGAGACCAGCCTGGCCAACATGGTGAAACCCTGTCTCCACTAAAAGCACAAAAATTAGCCAGGCATGGTGGTGGGCACCTGTAATCCCAGCGACTTGGGTTGGGGGGTGGTGAGGCTGGAGAATTGCTTGCACCTGAGAGGCGGAGGTTGCAGTGAGCCGAGATTGCACCATTGCACTCCAGCCTGGGTGGCAGAGTAAGACTTTGTCTCAAAGAATACAATAAAATAAAAAAACCTGTTACTTAGCACAGCCACCTTCATCAATTATTTTAGCTATATCATCTCATAACTAGCTGCAGCTTCTCCATTAGCACTTGTGCTTCACCTTGTATCTTTTTGCTACAAAGACGTCTTCTTTCCTTAAACTTATGAGCCTATCTCTGCTAGCTTCCAACCTTCTTCTGCAGCTTCCTCACCCCTCTCAGCCTTCACAAAATTGCAGAGAGTTAGGACCTTGCTCTGGAATGGGCTTTGGCTTAAGGGAATGTTGTGGCTGGTTTGATCTATCCAGACTCCTCAAACTTTTCTCCCTATCAGCAATATGGCTGTTTTGCTTTTTCATCATTTGCTTGTTTGCTGGAGTAGCACTTTTAATTTCCTTCAAGAACTTTTTCTATGTCTTCACAACTTGGCTAATTGGTGTAAGAAGCCTAGATTTTAGCCTGTCTCAGCTTTTGACATGTCTTTGTTACCAAGCTTAATCGTTTCTAGCATTTGACTTAAAGTGAGAGACATGCAACTCTTCCTTTAACTTGAATACTTACAGGCCATTGTAGGGCTCTTAATTAGCCCAATTTCAATATTGTTGTGTCTCAGGGAATAGGGAGGCCCAGGGAGAGGTGGGAGAGAGAGAGAGAGAGAGAGACAGAGAGAGAGATATGACAGAAAGATCAATTGTTGAAACAGTCAGAATACATATATGTATGTGTATATACATATACACATACATATAGACATGCATATTCATAGATATGTGAAAAACTATGCTTGCTGACCAATGTTTTAGTATTCTCCTAGTAGAAATTATCCAGATATCCAAAGATTATTCATTAACTCAAGTTAATAGTCTATGTTCCTCATGTTAACTAAGGATCTTGAAAATTATGTGAAAACTGATGCACTATAGACCATAATCACTGTTGATGTAAAAAACATCAGAATATAACCATGCTTAATTGAATACATAATTTTGTATTTTTCATAATTCAAAACTTTATGTGAAAGTATGTTGGTTTGTCTGATTAGTAAAATAGCATAAGAGTTTTCAGGAATTCAGATTAAATAGTGTATTCAAGAGAAAACAGAGATTTATTGTGATAAGTTTTATTATATTATATTCTACATAGATAAAGTCAGACAGAAGACAAATAGCTGTTTTTAAACTAAAGTGATTAAACAAGTTTAATATGTCTAAAGAGTCATTTTGATTACATAAACCTGGATTCTCATATAATAATGTTTCTGAAACAGCAGTTTCTGATTTTCATTTGTTCGTTTGTTGGGGATGCAGGACAAAGCATATTTAAAGTATTAGAACTTTAGTTTTTTTCTAGGCATTCTGGGAATATTAGATTTATGTAAAGATTTATTATTCTCTGTAAAACAACCAGAACAGAGCTTTTGTGAGGCTTTATAGTCTATTTTATTAATACATTCCAAGTGTAGTTCAATATTTCAAGCTCACATAACAAGAGAAAAAGGGTTACAAATTATCTGGACTAAGAGGTCACTGCTTCAGTTCTACAACATCAGCCAGAGGTTAAAGGTAAACCCAGAATCACAACTGACAGTCTCAGATCTCAAAGAGTGGTTCCCCTTTCCAGCGGGAACATCTTAACATTGATTTGAGCTAACCAATAGTCTGACAATAAACAAAAGTTTAACAAACCAGATCTACTTCTGACCCAATCTGTATCATCCATTTGGGCACATTGGTGGGGAACCACTCTAAACTGTCAAAATCATCTTCAAAATATTAACACGTGATTGTCATACAAATATAAAATGAGCACACATTAAAGATTTATTTAAGTCATTGGTGAAGGAACCAGCAGGGTGATAAAGCCAGCTCAAAATGCTTTTGAGGTATTGAGTATTTAAAGGCAGTGAAGACAGAATGTTGGAATAAGATTACTAGGTTAGATAGAAACTGATTTATGTCTGATAGCACAATAAAAACATAACCTTTGGGTTTTTTTTTAAAATTCTGCACATAATTCATTTCATCACTATCAGATAAAAATCTCCAAGTTACCATGTAACTGCACCGAGTCTAGACCCTAATCAGTAGTACATAGTATGACAGAAAAAGATTCAAGGATTCACTCTCCTGAAGAACTAAATAATCCCTACATGGGCATATCATGCCAATGATTCAATATGCCATTGAATTAAGACGAGCAGCCATCCTTTTATAGTAATTCTTCTTATCCACAGCGGAATATGTTCCAAGGCCCCCAGTCGATGTCTGAAACTGTAGATAGTACTAAACCTTACATAGGCTATTTATTTTTCCTATGCTACATACCTATGATAAAGCTTAATCTATGAATTAGGCATAGGAGGTAGGAGATTAACAACAATAACTAATAATAAAATCGAATAATTATTATGTGCCGGCATCACTACACTTGTGCTTTGGGGCCATTATGAAGTAAAGTAAGTGTTACTTGACCACAAACACTGCAGTACAATGACATGATCTGATCACAAAGTGACAAAGTGACTAATGGGTGGGGAACATAGTGTGTAACTGCTGGACAAAGGGACAATTCCCATCCTGGGTGTGATGCAGTAGGACAGTGCAAGACTTAATCATACTTCTTAGGATGGCATGCAATTTAAAACATATGCATTGTTTATTTATGAAATCTTCCATTTAATATTTTCAGACTGTGGTTGATCCCAGATAATTGAAACTGTAGAAAGTGAAACTTAGGTAAGTGGGGACTATTGTACCTTATTTTCAAGTTTTTGTTAATTTTCTTAATATAAGTTGCTGTTACAGTAGGCTCCAGGGAACTTGCATGGACTTGTAGATTTCCACATTCAGGAGGGAAAGGTGTCTTTCCTGCATTCAACACAAATATTTGACATTTATTACGTACCAGGCACTGTACTAGTATGGCCCTGGATGTATAGCCATGAGCAAAACATACAAAAGTCTCTGATGGCCCTAATATTCTAGTAGGGGGAGGTGGGTGATAAGCCAGATGTATTCTGTATCAGCGGGAGATAAGGGCTGTGGCATATGTGCCCTTTTAGGAATGGTGACCCAGAAAGCACTCATGGAAGTGACATTTGAGTAAAGATCTGAAGGAGATGAGACATTGATGAATTTCTATCTGGCCCTAACCCTGCTTAAGAAACAGGACACCGGTGATAAAAATTTCCCTTTGTAACCAGGCCGGTTGAGACTGGTTAGAACCAAGATAACTGACCCAAAAACTTCAGCAAGACCTCAGGCTTCATTATAATCTCATTGCCATGCTAGATGAAACTCCTATCAGCACCATGACTGTTGATAATTGGCATGACAACAACCGGAAGAAGCCATGAAAGGACAGACAGGAAGGTGGCGCTCTGGTTCCGGAAAGTTCACCTCCCATTTCTGGAAAGATATGAATATGCTTCCCTTCACTTTTAAGGTCCAACCCCTTCGTTAGAGAAACCCTATATTTTAACCCACTCCTTAGTCAAGTTGACTTGTGAGCCTTTCTCCTGCTTCTGAATTCCATGGCCAGCAAATAAAGCCTGCACTGCTTAACACTCACTTTCAGTTTTATGTATTGGCTTTGTGACACCAAATGGGGAAAGATCTCATCTGTTGGGGGACTGGCTTTGTGAGTAACAGGAGAGTGCCAAAGTGTCACACAGGAAGAAGGAGTCGATGCTATCCTCCAGATTTCTCCTGAGTTTTGGAAACTTAGGAGAGAGAAACCCCTCACAGCCAGGGGTGGGCCTGGATGCCACTTGAGGCAGAGCTTTGGTCTTGTCACCGTCATCGTCTATGGTTCTAAAAAATTTGGTAAGGTTTGGGTTTGGTTGTAGCTTGTAGGAGACTTGGGGCTCACACTAATTACTTGTGATTTTTTACTTATAGATTATATTAGTTTTGAGTGCCAAAAATACTTAAATGACAAAATAATAATCAGATTCTCTTAGGAGTTTAATTTTTTTAGTGGAGTTTAAAAATTTTTTGACACTTGTATTTTTAATTGATAAAAGATAATTTATGGGGTCTATATTTGTGGGTTATGATGTAGTGTTTCAACATATCAATACATTGTGGAATGATCCCAAAGGTCTCTCCTTTTCCTCTTCTTCCCTGTGCCCCAACCAGCCTCTAGTAACCACCGTTCTATCCTCTACTTTTTTGAGTTCTACTTTTTTAGATTCCACATATAAATCAGATTCTTTTATGGACCTTAAAGTGATGCAATGACATGAATGCTATGTCATTCCTGCCTCAACCTGTTTCAGAAAAACAAAACAAAACAAAACAAAAATAGTAATTAAAAGTATGTACTCAAAACTACACCATGCCTTAGTCTTCCCTCATTTCTGGAAGTAAAGTGCACCTGTCATTGATTTGGGTCTTAAAAATCCCTATTTTTTCCATAATTTAATTTCATTTCTACAGGTGAAGTACCGCTAATGATATGTATGTCAGGCAGACAAGAGTGGAAATATTAATTGCCAGTGCTTCGGTCCAATTTTTATGCCGGCAAGAAATGTCAGTGATAGGCAGCATGCACTTCTTTTGATGCTGGTGAGTCAGCAGTACAGAGGGCTTGAATAGAAGCAACCCAAGTACATGATGGGAGATACTTGGGTGTAATTGGCAATGTTGGTAGTGTAGTGAACCAATTAGTTTGATAACATGAGGAAGATCTCTCAGAAGAGCATATTATCTTAAAAATACTAATGAAACAAAGTAGTCTTAAAATAGCTGGGTGCGGTGTCTCACGCCTGTACTCCCAGCACTTTGGGAGGCCAAGGTGGGCGGATCGCCTGAGGTTGGGAGTTCAAGACCAGCCTGGCCAACATGGTAAAACCCCGTATCTACTAAAATACAAAAATTAGTTGGGTGTGGTGGTGCATGCCTGTAGTCTCGGCTACTAGGGAGTCTGAGGCAAGAGAGTTACTTGAACGTGGGAGGCAGAGGTTGCAGTGAGCCGAGATGGCACCACTGCACTGCAGCCTGGGCAACAGAGCAAGACTCTGAATCAACAACAACAACAACAAACAGGCCCTTTGCATCTTTGAGTATAATTTTTCAGAAGCATCAGGTTGCAGCCTCTGCAGTGTCATGGTAGTAGTGGATCTGAGTCAGCAATCCAAGGGGATTTTCAATTTCAGTTAAAATTCCTGCTTGACATTAACCTCTTTTCTCCTCCCTCTTTTTTTTTTTTTTTTTCAAATCAAACGGACTCAGTTATTTGTGTACTTAAAAGATTATAAACTTCTCATAGGCACCTGTGTAGTACTTAGCATATCACAGGTATGCAACCAAAGTTTGCAGAATTGAATAACAAAGGGTGGAGGAATGTGCCACCCCCAAATATGCCACTTTGGCATAGTATTATTTTGAGCTGAAAGCAATTGAGAAAAAACAGATACAAGAAAAGCGCCCTGCCTTCCCCCAGTTTTTCTAAAAGCAAGACATAAATTTGTACAGGTGTCTCCTTTCTCCTCTCTACCAAAGAGGAAGTTAATCACCAGAGACAACTCTAGATGCTTGTCAGCTTTCAGATGTTTGACTGCACAGGGAATCTACATAACAAACCTTACTAACTAGCTCTTATCTTCCATCAGTTTCCCTCATATATTTGTTTGTTGCCCTAGATTTTTTTTTTTTTTTTTTTTTTTTGATAGAGATGGAGTCTCCCTATGTTGCCTAGGCTGATCTTGAACTCCTGGGCTCTAGTGATTCTCCAGCCTCAGTCTCCCAAAGTGCTAGGATACAGGCATGAGCCATCAGGCCCAGCCTGCACTAGAAATTCAGTCTTTTTCCTTTGTCTCTCTAAAATTTATTGTTCTTTTGTTGTGATACTATATATACCCAAGTCTTAACCACCTTTATTGAATTACTCATCACTGAGTATTCCCATGTATATGCAAGATGCTCATGTTAAACTTCTGTTTGTTTTTCTCTTGCTATTTCATTGTCAATCTAATTTGCCAGGTCCCAGTTGGAGAACCTATGATGAGTAGAATGTAGAAGAATTTCTTTTCCTCCCCAACAGTAACAGCATTGGCACTAAATCTAACACCACTTACGGACACTGATAATGATAGTAACAGCTACTGACAGCCATGTGGATGGTGCCAGACACTGAAAAGGTGCTCAGTAGGAGTGCTCTTACTTACTCCTCTCAGCCACTTTATGAGGGAAACTTAAAGGTGAATCCATAGCTACAAAGTTAAGTAGTTTGTCCAAAGTTATGTGGCATTTATTAGTCCTAAGCTTGAGGTTTGAATCCTCTTTCTACCACGCTACTTACTCTGACTCCAGATAATCATGGCGGTTTTTCATAACAACTGAAACAAGAAAAAGGAAAAACTATTTTAAAAGTTGTTGCATATTATAATCTTATGTTAAAGCACCAAATAAGGTCGCTCATGGAAAGAACCTTTAGCACAGATTGAAAAACGAGGACTTTTTACTTTTATAGCTGTGTCCCACTTAGAATCACTTTTCATCTAAAAAAAAAAAAGCAATTTCATGAAGTGCTAATTTTAATCAACTTACATCTGCATAAGGACTTCCAGCCTTCTCTTGCATATTCCAGTACATAATTCTCCCCTTTCCAGGCTAGACAGCACTGAAAAGATTTACAACTGGACTCGTGGTTGCATATACCGGTGAAAACATTAAACTGTCCTCTCCCATTTCAAAGACCTTCTCTTTTTCTGATTATTATTTATACAGAAGGCCTTCCTTAGTATAGCAATACATGTTAAATGAAATTAAAAATCAGAGTAAATTTAAGGCTCTTCTGCCTGTGAGAAAAGTTTGCCCATTCTGTTGATTTTCTCCTAATACGGTTATGAATTTCAGCAATTTCTGAGTTGAAGTAAAGAGATCAAACATTTTGTTTTTTTTTTTTACTCTTTGTAATTCTGATATGCTATAGTGGATCCTGCAATGGTTTTCACCACTCGATATAAATGATATAGTTGGACACGGTTGCTTTTGTTAAAGTAGATGGCCTTTACTGCCCTAACATGACTTTATTAAGGCTCAAAAGTGGAGCATTTCTTTTTCCACTCTCAGAAATAACTTCAAAAATACACCTTTTCATTTCAGTGGTTAGGAGCTAGGTAAGTTCTCAGTAGATATAAACCAAAATTCGGTTTTTTTTAGAAGCACGAATCTGCTTTCTAAGGACTCCTGACACCCCATCATGCACTGGAAATCAGAGTCGCTTCTCCATCCTCGTGTCATGAGATTGTACCTGCTCAATATTAGGAGCTCAGGAACCCTTCTAGTTCCTGACATTTAGTGAATGGTGTCCTGGGAATGGTTATGCATAGTTTTCCTCGTTTCAAACATGTATGTTCTCCTCTTCCTTTTCAGGATCCAGGCGCCTTGATGAGATTGATGGGTTTTCTTTCTTTCTTTCTTTCTTTTTTTAAAAAAACATGCGTTTGTGATACCATTTCATTGTTTTCCTGAGCAGATTTCATTGTTTGTTTGCTCCAGCCATGGAATTCAGTAGACTGAACATAAGTTAAGTCTCAGAAATCATACCTTTGAAAAATCATCCTGATTCCTCCCCTGTCTGAGTCATAGAACACAGGTCTCCTCCAAAAATGGTCCTTCTCCCAGGCTCCTCAAGGTTTCTCTGATCCTTACTCTCTCTCTTTCCCCATTCAGTTCTCCTTTTGTGTACACAGACTCACAGAGGCATGTACAGGTATTCTGCCTTTGTTTCTCTTTCTCTCCCTGTTGCCCCAAACTTCTGAGTGGTCACTGACAGGTATTGAGTGGCTCTTGATGCACCCCTCCCTTCATGGTGGTGGTGAGATATTTAACCAGTTGAGGACAGACATCACTGAGGGACTGGAAGAGGAAGGAGTTTGTGTTGCAGGCATAACTAAAAAATCAATCAGGTAATTTCTGGTGGACAGCATGTATACCCAAAAGTGATTTAGCCTGGTTTATCTTTATTCCCAAGGACTAGTCCTTTAAATATAAACCTCTTTAGAAGGTTTAAGACACCAACATGATTCTTCACTAAAGCTCCAGATAAATGATGCCCCACCTGTGTTTACAAAGGCAATAAAAATAGACTACAGGGTGGTTACCTGGTCAATTTAACAAATCGGAATGAATTGTTTTTAAACTTGTCTTTAAATTTGTCTTTAGGAAGATAAATTTAATTCTCTCTTTTCCAAATGTGGATTCTTAGTATCTTCATGATCTTAATTCAAGTTCTTCATCACTCAGAGGTCAATATATGGTATGCTTCTTTTTCTTTTTTTTAAATAAGAAATCTACATTTAAAAAACCATTTTAGATGAACTTTACAATGTGTAAGAAATTTGAACAAAAATTTGGTTATTTTGTTTACCAATGCCATTGAAGCAGCTAATTGTGAATATGCTGGGAGATGGGCCATTTCCAATTCAAATGGGTAATCATAGATATTTGGGAGAGATCCTTGCCAAGCTGTGATAGGAAGATAATAGCCATCACCAAGCATCATTAGGCATTTACAGTTTTATTTAAATAAGACAATAAGCTTATGTTTTCTGGACATAAATACTTATACAGAACAAGCATCTGTTCGTTTGACATTTAAGTTACATTAGTTACAACTACCATTTATTATGAGTTTTACATGTACATTATTGGCAGGCTAAATACCTTCATCATTCCCATTTTATAGATGAGAAAACCAAGGTACATGTATTTCGTTTTCTTCTCTATATTGTTTATGTGAGTCAAAGCTTTTATTTTTTTTAATTTTTTCATTTGTGAAATCATGTATATTGGAACCTTTGGAGTTGAATAGGGCTTAGTGAGTTAATGGACTATGTGATATATTTATTAAATCAAAAGAAAAGCACTCTAAATATATAACTTTATGCACAACATAATTAGAAATGGTAATCTCTTATCCTGTTTTTGGAGGCTCAACAGATAGTAAATGAAAAATCCTCCAATGCACAATGTACTATAGACATAAACAGGAGTGGAAATACATTTGTTTACTGCACTGAGTTTTACATACCCTGATGAAAGAGTATTTTACAAAAAAACTGACTTTAAATTTTAAAAATTCTTTTACTTATTTTACTCCATTTTGCCTTTTTGAAACCATAATGCATGAAAAATTATAAAAAATTTTAAAAATATGCAAAATCAAAAAACTAGTTTGCTTTCTACTATATCTTATCCTACCCAGTTTTCCTTCCTGAAGTCAACCACTGTAACGAGTGTAATCAATATACTGTGTATTCTTCCACAAAACTTTATGCAGAAAATATTAGCAGGACATACAAACTGCTTCTCACCTTATTTTTTTTCTGCTTGGCAATATATCTGATAGATTGTTCCAAATCAGTTCATAAGTTGTTTTTCATCTTTTCGACAACTGAAAATATTTTATTGTCTGAACAAATCATAATATATCTAGCTTGTCTTAGACTTAAACATCTTTCCCGATGAAGAAACAAAAAGACTCTCATTTTGTTTTCTCTGTTTTTTTCATGTGCTAGGGTTTGACTTTACCTAGACACTCACGTCACTTCTCTGCTCCACTATTCCTGAACAAACACAGCATGTATGACATGGATTTGCTTTTCCATATTTGCACAGTATCACATCTGCTTGCTAACTTGCTTTGACAATGAGTAGAGAATTTGGGATCTTTGTCATAATCTGCTGAAAACCAAATTGAGGTTTGGTGATCCTGGGGTCTTGAACCAACACGTCATTTAAGTAATTTTCATTCTGTCAGTCCTGTCCAGGAGGAATTCAGTTTTTTTCCACAACAATCTCTGTCTGGATGAATGGTTTAATCTATACAATTTTAAATAAATCTGTTTATTAAATCTAATAATGAGCTTTGTCAGAGTCAGCATATAAATATTATTATGTAAATATCTGCATTATGAAAATGCACTGAAACTTATTCTTTAATTCAACAAAAATACATTGAGTGCACTATTACAGGTGTTCAGCTAGGTATGGAGATACAAAGATAAATAGGGTATGGTTTTTGCCCTCAAAGGCAAAATTTATATCATAAAATTTCAGAAGCATATAAAAAGAGGTAACTTCTAGTATTTTGAAGGTAGAGGCTTGGTGTTGTCTTATGGGGTTTTACATTTGTTGAAAACTTACATACGTTAAATTTACTATGTTAAAAGTAATTGGGGTCTAGTTAGGTTATCTGATCTTCAAACACCTAAATGATTATAGTCCTCCAGACCAGACCAATCATGCAGGGAATTACCTTGAGGCAATGGTAGCTTCTAAGGGCACTATGAAGCATGTTATCTCAGAGATCAAAGAGCAGAAAGGTTTAGGGACCAATTAAGATACTTGTATCATAGTTTACTGAATCAATTTGAAAAACACAATGAGAGGCAAGGGTAAGGAGATAGGGTAAGTTAACATTCTTAGATTAAGTCCAAGTGGACGAAAGGAACACAGTACCTGAGTCCTAGATATCATAATGTTCATATATCTTCTCTCTTTCTCTTACTTGCCAATGCTGAGAAAATGGATAAAAAATGAGTGATGTCAGCCTTCCTTGCCAATAATGTGATTTTGAGAACCAGAGGTGAGGTTTAAGCTACAGGTTCACAGACAAAAGGAGTCCTGAGCCAATGATACATGCTTGTTCTACACAAGTGCACATAGGCCAGAATAAGACCAGAGTGGGTATCGTCAATAGGTGGCTGAATTTGAGGGTGACATAGCTGTCATCCTAGAGGTACTATGATTTGATTTTTCCATCTATTTCTATCTGATCTTAAACAAAACTCCTTTGTGCACCATTGTATTTTCAGTTTATTCTATTGATCAATGATTGGCAGGCCTTACACGTTACTCTGTCTATATATAACATGCCACATTAATTTTACCAATGTCTCACAAGTTACTTGCTTACCCATTATCTATACTTAACGCATTGTCTGAGTTTCACATATTTTTATAACTTTTTCTAAATATGCCTAATAATTCTTATGAATTCAGTCCATCCGGTTTCTTTTCTTGTCTTCTATAGCAGAATTGAATACTCTTAAGCAGTACAGAAAATGCACATTTGTAAGACCTTATTCTTGAATTCCAATCCATGTTCCACATGGTGTTGGCCTTAATTTCAATAGTTCCAAACTGAATTTACTGTCTTTCACTCTAAAAGCCTTTTTGGTTGTTCTCTACAATGATGAATAGTATGAATTTTCCCCCAATCATAAAGTTATCTTTGCTTGTTTCCTCTTTATCAGAATCACTAACACCTGTTGCTCTTTTCTTCAGTCTTTTCTCTTCTCTCCTTTCCCACTGCCACAGATTTAGTCCCAGGTTTTCATAATTTCTCTTTGGAGCTATTAAAATAATATATTAATTAGTTTATCTGTTCAAAGACTCTTCCACTTGCTGCCAGCTATTTTTCTCCAATACAATCTGATTCCTGATTCCCTGTCCAGTATCCTCTCAATATGGTTAGGCTTTGTGTCCCCACCCAAATCTCATTTTGAATTGTAACCCTCATAATCCCCATGTGTTGAGGGAGATAGCTGGTGAGAGGTGACTGGATCACGGGGGCAGTTTCCCCATACTCTTCTCATGATAGTGAGTGAGTTCTCATGAGATCTGATGGTTTTCTAGGTGTTTGAAAGTTCCTCCTCCACATGCTCTCTCTCTCTCTCCTGCCACCTTGTAAAGAAGAGGCCTGCTTCCCCTTCTGCTATGATTGTAAGTTTCCTGAGGCCTCCCAAGCCATGTGGAACTGTGAGTCAATTAAACATATTTTGTTTATAAATTACCCAGTTTAGGGCAGTTCTTTATAGCAGTGTGAGAATAGACTAATACACCTCCTATCCCAATCCTTCATCCAGGATTGTTATTTCTCCTAAAAATCATGCATGTTCATATATATGAACACTAGCATGTGTCCTTTTTTATTTTAAAAAAATTACTTTTGTAATATTACAGGTTCACAGGAAAATGCACAAATGATATAGAGAGATCCTAGTGTACTCTTCATCTAGCTTCCCCCAGGTACATATTTTTTTATGTTTGGAACACCCCTCCCTTGCTTAACTACCTGGTGTATATATTTTTTGGTGATGGGGTCTAACTATGTTGACTAGGCTGAAGTGCTGGCTATTCATAGGTGTGATCATAGCTCACTGCAGACCCTAACTCCTGGTCTCAAAAGATTCTCCTTCCTCAGACTTCCACGTAGCTGGGACCACAGGCATGTGGCACTGCACCTTGGTATAATCTCAAATATTTTTTAAGCTCCAGCTCCAATGCCATAATGTTATCTTGACTTCTCCCCATCAGTCTTGAATTAATCACTTCCTTCTTGATGCTGATATTTCCCTCATGACCTTATATCTATCTTCTCTGACAATCCTTTGCCACTATAAGGACAAGAACTATGTTTTATTCATCTTTGAGTCTCTAGCAACTAACTCAAAGCATAGCACATGTTAAGTGCTCAATAAAAATATGTTGAATTTGGCCAGTTGCTGTGGGTCATGCCTGTAATCCCAGCACCTTGGGAGGCCAAGGTGGGTGGATCATAAGGTCAGGAGTTCAAGACCAGCCTGGCCAATATGGTGAAACCCCGTCTCTACTAAAAATACAAAAATTAGCCAGGCATGTGGGTGCCTGTAGTCCCAGCTACTCAGAAGGCTGAGGCTGGAGAATTGCTTGAACCCAGGAGGTGGAGGTTGCAGTGAGCCGAGATCACACCACTGCACTCTGACCTGGGCGACAGGGTGAGACAAAGTCTCAAAAAGAAAGAAAGAAAGAAAAAAAGTAGAATTCAATTTAAATTATATCCCATTTCTAGAAAATAGGATGTAAAAATCCAGTTGTAGAAAACAAACGCATTTAGTGGTTGATGTTTTAACCAGGGCTGTTATTATGGATTCCTTTCTATATCATCTGTTCTGTGGTGAGCACGTCTATGCAAACCTACCCTTAAAAGCCGAGGAAGCTGAGAGGCAGAAGAAAGAGGCTGACAAATCCAGTTTATCAAAAAGAAACATAAATATTAAAATAGGGTCTTACCAACAGAAGCTCTAGTCTTGGGTAGCTGCCAGGAAAGATGGTGGATCTCTGCACTATTACCCCCAGACCCAGGACTCATATACCATAGGGAAGGAATGTGTAGGACAATTGTAGGGAAAGGCAAGAATGCTATGGGTATTTCCTAAGGGCAAGATTTACAGTAACAGTACATAAAGTAGAAATCTTAGAGAGTTTCCTGGAATGGGGAGTAACCAGAAATTAACGTGGTGAATTAACATCTAAGATGGAGTTGTGGCCTTCACGTGATCTTGCTTAGAGAAATGTAAAACATAATTCAATTTTCAAAAAATATTTACTATCATGTTCATGAGTCTGCCTATCGAGTAGTGTGAGATAAATATTGAAACACCTATTCAAATGGAAAATTCCAATCTGAAATATGAAAAGTTGTATTCTCTGTGCTTATTGTTCCAAATATATAGTAATAATATCACTCCTGGGATTGGGGATTCTGACTTGACTTATGCTTCCTTCTCTGGTAGAAAGGTTGCATGTGATCTGAAAGCACAGAAGCCCCTGCAGGCTCTGAGTTTAACTAGGAGGCCACATGAACACATTGGCCAGACCTCAGTCCCTCCTAAAGCTCTGTCTCACGTGTGCCCTTGATCAAGTTCTCTGATCTTTTCCTATCTGTCCACCTCAGCTGTCCATCCACAGGAAGCAGGCAGCTGGCCACAGTGGCTGCAGTGGCACCCATTGTGAGAACTTTGCTGCATTGGGAGAGTGGCCATAGTGCTTCCTTGCTGGTGTCCAACCTTGGCCCACAGCTCACCATTGCTGCACAGACGTTGTGACAGAAGCAATGATTCCACTGGCCATATCCTCCAAAATTGTTTCTATTAGCAGTTTTTTTTTTTTAAAGGCAACACATTGACAGTGAGGTTGTGAAGACTGTGATGGCAGCAGTGAGGAAGATGATGAAAGCAAGAGCATGATACCATCAAGGACATAGGTGAACTCAATGTCTTTCATATGGACACTCACTTCCTCAGCTACCCCTGGTGAGGGGCCCACGACCAGTGCCATGCCAGCCTGCCTTGGCTTGCTTCACCACATCAACACCTGGCCATACCTCTGGACTCTGGAGTCACATCCTGTCCATTAGACTCTCAAGCTTGAGTACAGTCTCGTAAGTTTTCTTACCAAAATGGCCTATCTCATTCCTTTCTGGGGAAGATTAGACCTAGTCCCAGAGGCTGATTGAGAATAGGTGCCACCCTGTCCTTTCTCTCTTTCTCTCTCTCTCTAGTCTTTTTCAAGTTTCTTTTCCCTCTGCACAGACTCTACTTACTTCCATCAGTCCAAATACTAAATGTTCCTGTGAATATGCCTTCTGCAACTCTAGGTGAGGCATAGCTGCAAGATCTTGCTGCAGGTTCATTAAGTTGGAGGTAGGGTTGTTATTCCTAGGATCACAAGCCCTATTAAAGAAAAATACCGTGTTCTGAACATTTCATACATCTTCTTTTTGCCTTTGGTCTTTCAGTAATTTAAAAAGAAAAAGGAAAGCATTTTGGGGGTTTTCTTTGTTTGGGTTTGTTTGTTTTTGAGGTGCAGGGGCAAGTGAAGTACTCTTTCACCTGTAAATTAGAAACAGAAGAATCAGACTTTATGTCTTCCTGTTGACCTCAGTAGCAACTGGTCTTCAGAAATGATCACACAGGCATTTCTATAACTGGGCACTGAGGTTAATTTTCTTTTCCTGACATCTTGAAAGTGAAAACAAGATTTATTTATATTTTTAAGAGACAAGATCTCACTCTGTTGCCCAGGCTGGAGTGCAGTGGCACCATCATAGCTCACTGCAGCATCGACCTCCTGGGCCCAAGTGATCCTCCTGCCTCAGCCTCTTGTGTAGCTGGGACTACAGGTGTGTGCCATGATGTCTGGCTAATTTTTAGACTTTTTGTATAGATGGAGTCTCACTGTGTTGCCCAGGCATGTCTCAACCTCCAGGTTCAAGCAATCCTCCTACCTTGGCCTCCCAATGTGCTGGGATTACAGGTGTGAGCCACCATGCCAGCCTGTTAAAGCAAGCATTTTTCACTGGTTTCAAGGTCCAAACCACTGGATTGAGTGACACAACACTTTTATTCTTGACAGGTGATGTTGAAAGAGCAGTGGGAGATAACTTTCAAGTGGGTCTTAGGAGGATTGAAAGGTGCATTCAGATATTCCACCTTTCTGCTGGGTGAAATATTTCTTTTGTGAGTAAATCATTCAAAACAATAGGCCGGGAGGCAGGTGAGTACTGTCAGTCAGCACATGCTCTTCTGTTCTGTGGAAGAACTTACAAGAATGGTGATTGGTTGAATAGAATAGTTCATTAAAGTAAATTTAAATGGCCAGAAAATTAAGTTAGGATTTTAGAACTGTTTCAGGAAGAAAAGCACTTTGTAATATGATGTTTTGGAGTTCACAGACTAACTCACTACAATAAAATACAAATCTATGGGGCGATGGGTATGCTAACTACCCTTATTTGATTATTATACAACCTACACATGTATCAAAACATTCACTTGTACCCCATAAATATGTACAATTATGATGTGCCAATTAAAAAATTCATTGGCTAAGTAAGATTGTCTTATCTGTAGAGAGCATATCAATGAAGAATCTTAGGAAGTAATAAGTGTTTTTTCTATAGAAGCTGTTCCCTCGTCTAATCCTATACCATGTTAGTACCCTAGGCTGATTGTAAAGGTGCAGCACTGAAGAAGTTTTCATCTAAAGAAATAATTTCAGGTGTTCCATTTTTTGTTCTTCACAGAGGTTATTTTTGGTCGAACTTTATTGCAAGTCTAGTTATTGTTTCTTATCTGGCAACATTCTCTTGTCAGTTCTATTTTTGGTCTTTTTCCCTCCTCCTACTTATAACTGAGACCACATCTTGCTTTCCATCCAAACAAAATCTTCTCTTTGAAATCAGTAACATTAAAATGAGAAAAGTAAGGAGAAAAATGTAAGTTAGACACTTTATTTTATTATTTCTAAATAGAGTCTTAAAACTACAATCCATGTTTTGGGATTAGACAAAATGCTTTTTTCGTTTCATTGAAATATCCAATACAAAATTTACATTTATTGGTTACCAGTATCATGGTGGTAGGTTTCTCAGAAGTCCAAAGCTGACAATTGCCTCTGAGGAAGAAAGTACTCTTAGATACTCTAAACCAGCAGTCCCCAAAATTTTTGGCATCAGGGACCGGTTTTGTGAAAGACAATTTTTCCATGGACCAGAGTTGGGGTTTGGTTTGGGGATGATTCAAATGCATTACATTTATTGTGCACTTTATTTCTATTATTACATTGTAATATACAATGAAATAATTATGTAAATCACCATAACGTAGAATCAGTGAAAGCCCCTGAGCTTGTTTTCCTGCAACTAGATGGTTCCATCTGAGGGTGATGGGAGACAGTGACAGATCATCAGGCATTAGATTCTCATAAGGATCATGCAACCTAGATCCCTCAAATGAGCAGTTCACAATAGGGTTCATGCTCCTATGAGAATTTAATGCTGCCACTGATCTGAGAGGAGGCGGAGCTCAGGTGATGTGAGTGATGGGGAGCAGCTGTAAATACAGATGAAGCTTTGCTCGCTTGCTCACCGCTCACCTCCTGCTGTGCAGCCCCGTTCCTAATAGGCCGCAGACCAGCACTCATCCATGGCCCAGGGCTTGGGGACCAGTGCTCTAGGCCAGTACTGTTCAATAGAAATATAATATGGACCTCATTTATAATTTAAGATCTTCTAGTCATTATGTTTAAAAAGCTAAAAAAGGATATGTTGATTTTAATAGTATATTTGATTTAATCCAGTGTATCTAAAGTATTATCATCACAATATGTAATCAAAATGTAAAGAATTGAAATATTTGACATTCTTTTGTATCACACTAAGTCTTTAGGATCTTGAGAGTATTTTATATGATCTCAGTTTTGACTGGCCAAATTTCAAGGACTCAATAGCCCTTGAAACCACATGTGATTAGTGGTTACCATACTAGAGAGCACAGCTCTAGAATATAAGTATAATAAAATTAGTACATTTTCTAAATATATACACAACTATATATAGTTTAAAAACATACTCCCAGCAATGTTAGATTTTTCTGAACATAAATTTTTTTTTATTAGGTTGTGGAATCTCACGGGTATTAAGACAGGCATGTTATAGTTGGTGGATATTTAAAACGAATCTAATTTAGGAATTATTTTTGAAAAGAAAGGCACAACTTCCTTCCATGTGTAGATTTATCCACATGTATCAATTGAGTTTCTCTGTCTTGTCTTAATTTTGATCAATAGCTTTCCATAGTCTTTATCACTTCTTAATGGCTTGAGTCTTTTCAAGTCAAGTTCACCTTTCGAGACTCAGATTGGCTCGTATCTTAAAACTTCTGCTAAAATAGACCCATAACATTTTTGGATTTAACACAGTCTTGCTCTAAGTATTTTAGATATATTTTCTTTAACAGTGACAGAAAGTCACTGTTCTCAGAGACATTGGAGGTCAGGGTGTGAACTTGGATTTCACTGGCTTTGAGGCCAGAATGTGAGACAGGAGAATCAACAGCCAGAACGCTGCGCCCCTCCCCACTTGTTTTCCCCACTCACCTTTGTAATGTACTAATTCTATTGCAGAGATAACCTTTTTTGTGCGCAAAATGTCTCTATAGTTAAGTGACACTCAAGTGTAACTACAAGGAAAGAAGTAGGAAATTAAAAATTCTCAAATAGTTCTTTAGCAGAAAATAGCATGTTTGAATAAACTGAAAGAAGAGTATTGAGTATATTAATACTTAGATGTGAGCAAACTACCAGATGGAAAAAAGAAAAAGTGGTATCTGAAATCAGTTAGCTAGAGTTCCCGTGGGTGTAAAGGCTGCCATCTTTGAAGACAGGAGCCAGCAAACTTTCTGGAAAGGGCCAGGTAGTAACTATTTTGGCTTTGTAGGCCATGTAGTCTTTGTCACGACTACTCAGCTCTGCCATTGTAACTTGAAAAGCAGCCACAGAAAATATGTAAATGAATACGCATGGCTGTGTTCTAAAACTATTTACAAGCACAGACTGTTGGTTGGATCCAGCCCATGGATCATAGGTTGCCAACTTTGATAGAAGAGATAAGCCTCAACAAAAGATCTGTTTAGTAGCTACATCACAACTTTCACCTCCTGTTATTTGGAAATACCTGCACCATGGGAATAACTTTCTCCTGAATCATGTCACATTTCCCACAAGGAAGCATGAATTTCTTATGCATATTCCCATACCCCAGGGTAGCTATTTTATTAGGTAAGGTATGTATTTGGTTGTTTAACAGAAGCTGGAAAAATAGTGCCTTAAGCAAGAGAGAAAATAGTTTCTGTTGCATGTAACTCCCGTGTGTAAGCAGGCTAAGGCTGATGGGTAACTCCCGGGTGTTACCTCTTCTTCATCCCATCATGGCTCACGCCACCCAGTCTGCATTGTGGCTAGAAGGAAGAGGAAAAGGGAAAGGGGTAGGCGTATCCCTTCTCTTTAGGAGTGTAGCAGCCAAAAGGAAAAGTCCCCTTTGCCCTCTGAAGGTTCACTGAGAAATCAACTGACAAAAGGCACATTAGTAGGAGAAGGCCTACAAAATTTATTTTAATGTTCAAAGGTGCAGGAGAATCACATGAGATTGATTACCCAGTAATCCAGTGAGGTGCAGACATATAAACGAGGTATACCCTTCTTCATAGGGAAAGAGGAGCTGGGGCAAATGTGGCAATTTGAGGGATAGTAAGGGATGTTTTGGGGAAATAAATGGACTTGGAGAACATACAGTGGCCCGGGACAAAGTCTTTTGGGCCTGCAGAGTAGAAAACAGCTGGTAAATGATTCTCTCTGAAAAACTAAATTGGACTGAAAGACAATGGTTGGTGACAAAAATCTGTCCAGGTGTGTTTACAGACTTCAGTCTTTCTTCCTGTGACCTGAGTTCAGTTAATGGCCACTCCTGGAAGGAACCAGAGATAACTGTTTTCTTCTTTGGTGGTTCCATACTTTTGGCAGATAAGGAGGATCCAGACTTCAGAGGACAGACAGCTTCATCCTGTGATTTGGGACAGACAGGATTGAGAGACAGGTGTGTATATGAGGGGGAAGGTCAGAGACACCTTGAGGCTGCTGCATATATATATATATATATATATATATATATTTTTTTTTTTTTTTTGAGACAGAGTCTCCACAGTTGCCCAGGTTGGAGTGCAGTGGCGAGAGATCTCGGCTCACCACAGCCTCCGCCACCTGGGTTCAAGTAATTCTCATGCCTCAGCCTCCCAAATAGCTAGGATTACAGGTGTGTGCCACCACGCCTGGCTAATTTTTGTATTTTTAGTAGAGATGGGGTTTCACTATGTTGTATAGGCTGGTCTCAAACTCTTGGCCTCATGCAATCTGCCTGCCTCAGCCTCCAAAAGTGCTGGGATTACAGGCGTGAGCCACAGCAGCCAGTCAAGGTTGCTTCTTTAGTCCAACATGTCAAAGTGCCGTATTTGGGGTACAGGTTTCTGAGCCCCAACAAAAGTATAACACTGAAGTTGCTCACATCATTTCTGTTCATGTCTCATTGGCTAGCACTTAGTCACATAGCCTCATCGATATGCAAGACAGGCTAAGAAATGTGTACATATTCTGGGCAGCCATGGGCCCACATAAAACCAGGGCTTCTATTGCCAGAGAAAAGATCAATGACAACTGGATGGTGGGTGGCAGTCTTTGTTGCAACTAACTTTTCTGTTTTAATCTGAATTGTAGAACAGTATTTCCACTGTTTACTGTTTTAGAACAGTATTTGTATTTGTAGAACAGTACGGGCCTGAAAGGATTTACTTACATTTTAATGTTATATTTTATTGTGTTTTATGTGCCAGATTATACGTTGTGATATTTGGGAATAGAGGCTGCCCTAAAGTTTTAGACGTATCTTCAGAAACTAGTAACAGCTATCTTCTATATATGGCTAGAATACTGTTTTAGAACTTATGTGGCAAGCATCTTGCAACACTGCCACTTTCCCTTTCTGAGCCTAAGCAGACATTGTTAATAAATCACAGCATTCTTTTCCACTGAGGCCAGACTGAGCCTTAGAATCTTTTATATCCTGCTCCAGACAACCTCTAACATTCATGGAGAGTTGGGATGCAGTCACCTATTTATTTGGACTTCTTGGCTTAAAGTTTTACCATTCTTTTTTGTATCTTTAACATCAAACTTATCTGTAGATGTTGATATGCCAATATATGAATGGAATGCTGTTTTTTGCCTTTTATGTAAGTCAACTCTCCTTTCTTAACTTTTGTCAGATTTTTATCTTGTTCTCATTTCCAGATCATGAACTATATCTCATTTTTATATAACCAACTTTAGTCACAAAACCAAAAGTGCAATCATTTTATTCAACCTCCTAATTTTACAAATAGAGAAACTGAAACTCCAAAAGAGGAAAGGACTAACTCATGGGCACACAGCTAGAAAATGGCAGGTTTGAAACCAGTCTCCTGAAACCCCGACTCCTATCCTAGAACTCATACTTTTTCAAGGCCAAATCAATAAGTGACAAGAGTAATTGATAATCAGTAACCATTGCGATGACAATTGGGTGAAGTAGATTAATAACAGAACTTTAATTTTTCAGGTTTCTATCTCTTGCATTTGTAGGCAGGAACCAACACATTTCACTTTTTCTTATATCAAAGAAATGGTATCCTGAGCAATATTTGCTTCCCATGTTTGACTGCTTCTAGAACTTTTCAGATTTTATAAAATGGATTTGACATTGTCAAAAATAGAATTTGAGGGCTGCTTTCTAGGACATCCTCATTTTGCTTAGGGTATAAAGAATGGTGCAGCTGTTCTTGTAATACCTTGGCATTTTCTGTCTCAGTAAGATGTCTTTATGTGATATCCACAGCAATGACTTTCATGTAATATTTTCCACATTAATTTATCATAGCAATTTTGAATTGTTTTTAGTCTATTTTGACCCATGGGTCTATCAGTTTATGTTGATTCGCATTTTACTTGGAATTCCTTGCTCACCCCAAATTGCTGGTACTCTCTCAGGCAAAGCTGTGCACTTCAGTTCTCCTTATGTGCAAACAGTTTCTCAGCAGGTGTGCTACTTATAACTACTGTACATGAAAGCTCTCATCAGTAGCCAAGTAGGGTTAGATTTTTCTCAGACTTTCAAGAGCAGAAAAAAAAATCTCAGCAAAAATAAGTACAAAAAAAGAGACTATTTATAGACAAGCAAATCTAACTATAGTGTGGACATCTAAGAAAGTATAATCTTTTTTAAAAAAACAGATTTTAAAAGATTGACTAAATCTTCCCATTAAAACTTTAATTGAATCCTCTAAGTATCAAAAATTCTGGCACTTTCACATGATAGAAAAAAATGAGTCTAGTACAGTAAACCAAAGGAAATTTTGATAAAGAACATTTCTTGATTTAACAATTAATTAGATTAAAAGTTTAAAAGACACTGAGGAATTTCCCTCCTTTCATCTTCCAATTTAAGGAAAGAACTTAAAAGCAGTTAACTTCATGAGTATAACCAAAAGACTGAAAAATAATTTGAGTACAATGTAGCTAAACCTTGGGCCCAGCTTCTTTTACCAAACCTTGAAAACGTTGTATCCTCTGAGACAATGCTCTCCTCTATACTAAAACCAAACTCAAGTAAATTCAGAAATGCCTGGCTGTCATTTACAGACTCTCCCGGGATGCATGGTACCCAATTTAATATCGCTACTTCCAAGTTGGCCAACAATTTATTTAGCTATTCAAAACCCCTCTGAATAGATAAGCAACTACTCACATGAAGTGGGGAAAGTGGGAGAAAAATATCACAGGATAAAACACAATACACACAAAGGCATGGAGGTGTGAGAGAGCATATGCCATTTTGGTTGTTTTGTGTGGTGGGGGTGTATAGTGAAGGGGAAGATGTGGCAGAGAATTCAGTTCAATAATTCAGGAAATATTAAGTGACTGTTTAGCTTGAGCAGTGTTCTGACACTCTTAGGATGCAGAGACGAATGTGGCAACGTCTTTGTCCTTGAGTAATTCACAAAGGAGACATGTGTCGGACATATATTATAATCAGGTGAGGGTGGGTAAGTACAAGAATAGAGAAAGCATCAGGTTCATTTGTTCATGCTCATTCATTTACAAAAAAGGCAGTGCCGGCCCTGATGCCAGGCATCATGCTGGTGGCAGAAGTACCTACAAAAGTGAGCAACAGCTCTCATTGCCTTCTCAGAGGGACCACATAGTATAATCTCAGCCGCAGATCTTGATCAAGCAATTTTAGCAACATGTATACACCAGCAACTGTGACAAGTGTCAGTCAGAAGTACCAAGTCCTAAAGAACCTATAATGTGGGATTTGTTCTAATTAGTGAGGTCAGAGAAAATTGTATTTACCACCGGTCCTCTTACACAATAATTCTCCATGCTTGAATTCTTAATTTGCTTTATCCTTTGGACGCTTAGAGTTCATTTCAAGTAATTTTTGAAAAGTTACCTGGGTAACAGATTGTCTGAGCCCTTGTATCTTTGAGAATATTTGTCTTCTGCTTTCATAAATGAATGACAATACTCATATAGAAAAGTCTTAATTACAGCTCCACATGAAGTGGAGCTTAAACTCTCTAGAATTTCAGTCCTTGTCTTTTGGTAATGTAATTTAAAATTTATATATTAGGTCTTTCTAATGTTTTCCTTTTAGGCAGCTTTATTTTTCCATCTGAATCATACAGTTTTTTTACATTAAAACAATTTTGGCAGTTTCTTACAAAACAAAACATACTCTTGCCATATGATCCGGCAATTGTGCTCCTTGATATTTACCCAAATGAGTTGAAAACATGTCCACATGAAAACCTGCGCATGAATGTTTATAGCAGCTTTATTCGTAATTACCAATATGTGGAAGAAATCAAGATGTCTTTGAGTAGGTGAGTGGATAAACTGTGGTACAACCAGACAATGGAATATTATTCAGTGCTAAAAAGAAATGAGTTAAAAAGCCATGAAAAGATATGGAGGAATCTTAAATGCATATTACTAAGTGAATGAAGCCAATTCGACAAGGCTACATACTATATAATTCCAACTATATGAGATTCTGGAAAAGGCAGAACTATGTAGGCAGTAAAAGAATCAGTGGTTGCCAGGGGTTAGAGGGGAGGGAGGGATGAATAAATGAGGCACAGAGGACAGTGAAACTACTCTGTATGATACTATAATGCCGGGTACATGTCATTACACATTTGTCCAAACTCAGAGAATGCACAACACTAGGAGTGAATCCTAATGTAAACTACAGGCTTTGGGCAACAATGATGTATCAATGTAGGTTCACTGACTATAACAAATGTCCCACTCTGGTGCTGGATGTTAATAGTGGGAGGGGCTATATGTGTGTCGGGGCAGCAGGTAAAGGGAAAATCTCTGTACCTTCCTCTCAATTTTGCTATGCATACAAAATTGTCCTAAAAAAGAAAGTCCATTTGAGAAAAATAAAACAAACAGAATTCCCTATGAATTAGAAAATCTTACTTTAAAATCAATATTTTGCCTGAAGTACTGTATCTTCATAGATATGTTAGCAGGAAGTTGGAAGCTCTGTTTCAAGGAATGCTAGGTAGATCTTGTTCTCAACCAGACCTGCCCTCAGACCATTATAATAATTGTATTGTGATATTTCTTCATGTGTCTTGAAGATAAAATGCATAGCTCTAGGAGAATGGTGTGTTTGAGTGCTGTCTAGGAGAAAGGTGTGTTTGAGAAAGGTGTGTTTACAGCTATAAATTTTCCTCTGAGCACTACTTTCTCACCATCCTGTAACTTTTGTTATATTGTGTTTTTGTTTTTATTTATATCAAAGTATTGAGTTTAATTTTTCAATGAAAACGAGCGTGAGTTCATTTTTATTCTATCTACAAATTGTATAAGAAAGGAGTCACAGCTATAAAGAAGTACAGAAATAAACTCATATATTTGTGATAAACTGACTTTCAACAAGGCTACTAAGACAATTCAAAGAGGAAGGGATACTCTTTCAATGGTGTTAGGATGAATGGATAGCTACATAGAGAACAAGGAATTTAGACCCCTACCTCACCCCATACACAAATTAACTCAAAATGGGTTAATGTAAGAGGAAAACATAGGGGTAAAGTTTCAATTTCCTTGGATTAGACAGTGGGTTCTTAGATATAAGTGACAGAACAAAAATATAGATAAACTGAACAACATTAAGTGAAAGCATTTGCGCCACATGTAAAATAATAAAGCAAGTAAAAATACACCCTAAAGACCGGGAAACATATTTGTAAATAATATATTTGGTAAGGTACTTATATCCAGAATATACAAAGCACTCTTGCAACTTGACAACAAAAAGATAACAAAAATGGGAAAAGGATTTTTTCTTTTTTTTGAGACAAAGTCTTGCTCTGTCACCCAGGCTAAAGTACAGTGGTGCGATCTCAGCTCACTGCAACATCCGCCTCCCAGGCTCAAGCAATTCTCCTGCCTCAGCCTCTTGTATAGTTGGGACTATAGGCGCATGCCACCATGTCCAGCTAATTTGTGTATTTTTAGTAGAAACAGTGTTTCACCATGTTGGCCAGGCTGGTCTCAAACTCCTGACCTCAAGTGATCTGCCTGCCTCGGCCTCCCAAAGGGCTGGGATTACAGGTATGAGCCACCATGCCCAGCTGGGAAAAAGTTTGAATACATTTCTCCAAAGACAACATACAAATGGCCAATAAGCATATAAAAGAGATATTTAAGTTCATTAGTCATTAGATAAACGCAAATCAAAGCCACAATGAGATACTGCTTCATTAAAAAAATACAATAGCAAGTGTTAGTGAAGATGTGGTGAAACTGAATTATTCTTTGTTGATAGAAATGTAAAACAGTGCAGTCTCTTGGGAATACAGTTGGCAGTTTCTCAAATTGTTAACCACAGTATTGCTATATGATGCTGCATTGTACTCCTAGATATTAATATGTATCCAGGAGAAAGGACTTGTTCACACAAAAACTTGCATGTGAATGTTCGAAGCAGGGTTAATCATAATAGTCAAAAGAGGGGAAACAACCCAAATGTCTGTCAACTGATAAATGGCTAAATAATATGAGGTACATTCTTACAGAGGAATATTATTTCTCAATTGGAATGAAATATCAATACATGCTACAGCATAGATAAATCTTGACAACAGTCTACTCCATGAAGGGAGCTGGTCACAAAAGACCATGTTTATTATGGTTCCATTTATATTATATCTATAGACTAGGCAAATCTATACAGACAGAAAGTATATTACATGTTTTGGGTATAGTTTCCTCTTCTTTTTCTTTGTTAACGTGGAAAATTAGATTTGAGATCATCTTCTTTTTTTGTTTTTTTTTTAAGAAAAAAGTGTTTACAGCTATAAATTTTCCTCTGACCACTGCTTTCTCAGCATCCCATAACTTTTGTTATACTGTGTTTTTGTTTTTATTTATATCAAAGTATTGTTTGAATTTTCTTTGTGATTTCTTCTCCTACCATGGGTTATTTAGAATTTTGTTGTGAATTTCCACATATTTATAAATGCCTCAAATGCCTGATATTAATTGATAATTTAATTTCATTGTGGTCAGAGAGCATATTTGGCATAACTCTAATCCTTGTGAATTTACTGAGATATGTTCAATGCCTCGTGTATAATCAGTCTTGGAGAATGTTTCATGTGTACTTGTGAAGAATGTGTAATCTGTTGTTGCTGGGTGGATTGTTTTATAGATGTCTGTTGGGCCTAGTTGGTTTATGGTGTTGTTGAAGTCCTCTATTTCCTTGTTGATCTTCTCCCTTGTTCTATTCATTATTAAAGTGAGGGGATTGAAGACTCCAACTATTATCGTTGAATTTCATACTTCTTTAATTCTGTCCATTTTTGCTTTGTGTATTTATTAGGTGTATACATGTTTTGTTATCTTCCTGATGAATTGACCCTCTTGCCATTTTGAAATGTCCCGTTTTAACTCTAGAAACATTTTTTTTGTTTTACATCTACTTGGTATGATATTACTACAGCCACTCTGGCAATTTGACAGTTGACATCTATCTCCTTTCAACACACAGCAAATCTCAATGTAATTGTATCTAGTAAGATATAGTAAAGATTAGTTCACCAAATGATTAAAAATTAACTTTTCATAACTGTACAACTTGGCTATGGTAAACATATTGTTGACTTTGGATGCATAAGGGTGTTTATGGCACCGTATAATTAAATTATGCTGCCATGTTGAAGAAAGAAATGAAGCATAGAGCTTGAACAATTCCCCTCGCGTGTTCTTACTGTCATTAAAACATTCTCCACATGCCTGAAGTGTTTGGGTGACATTCTCCTATTAAGCCTAGAGGGTATTTATTGTGATTTAGCACAAGACTAAAACTATCAAGAAAAGACTATATTCGTGCATCAGCTCAGATCGTTAGCTTATGACACTTCTACCTGATTGAGGATTCACAACATACTATAATTAATCAATCTCTATATTCAACAAATATTTACTGAACACCAACTACTTCTTGACCCTGATTTAAGCGCCTGGAATACAGTAAATGAACAAGACATACATGTTGTCATGGAACTTATATTCTAGGGTGAAGATTAAACACACAAATAAGAATTTTTCTTTATTACAGGTTATATGAAGAAAATAAAACATGATGGTGTGATAGTGAATGAAGTGGGGGATATGGATCAATTTTAAATGTGTTGGTCTGCAGAAGTATCTCTGCAGAGTTGGCATCTGAGAGGAGACCTAGTGATTAGGATCAGTTAGATGAGGAGCAGAGGGGAGAGTGACCCAGGTAGAGTGACTTGCCACTGCAAGTGCAAACTCCGGAGACCAGAATAGGGCTGTCTTATTTAGAGAGTATAACAAAGGCCATTGTGGTTGGAGCACAGTGAGCAAAAGAGGAGAGTTGGGAGAGGAAGTCAGAGAATAGACAAAGATATTAAGAGAAATCCCACACCTTAAGGGACACAATAAGGAATCTGGATGTTATTCTACATGCACTCAGAAGTCATTGGGGGTTTTTTAACTAGACAATTGATGTGATGAATGTTTTAAACACATTATTTTGGATTCGGTGTGAAGACTAGATATCAGGATGGAGATGGAGCAGGTCTGCAAGCAAGAGATAGTTCAGACAGGAGATCACACAGTGGCTGACACCAGGTATTTGCAATAGAAACTGAGAAATGGGTGGAATCAGGGTATATTTTGAAGGTAGATATGATTCCTAGGTTTGTACTCTAAATTGGGTCGTAAGTTTATTGGATTATGGCACTATTTACTAACATATAGAAGACCACTGGGAGGAAAAAACAGGTTTTGGAGGCCAACACACACACACACGCAGACACACACCCCACCAATAACAAAAAGGCAAAGCACACACATTCTGTTTTGAATATGTTAAGTTGGAGGTGTAAATGTTAAGTTTACATCTAAGTATAGATTTTAAGTAGTCCGTTAGATTAATTAGAGTATGAATCTCATCAAGGAGGTTGGGCCCAAATGTAAAAAATTGGATGCAATTAGGTGTCATCTATAGCTATGGGAGATCACCAAGAGGGAAAGCATAGATCAAAGATAGAAAAATGATAAAGACTGACTCCTGAGACCTCAGATGGGAGTCTTGCAGAAGAGGAGTGGCCAGTAAAGGAACTGAGGAAGAATGGACAGGGAAGTAGTAGGAAAGCTAAAAGGTGGGTTTCATGGGAACCAAGAAATAAAAACATTTCAATAAGGAGAGACTGTTCACTCTTTAAACTGTTGTTGAGAGCACGCAATAAGGTCGGCGAATTAAAGATTGTCTTTGGTAGTAAGGCAGTCACTGGTGCTTGGTTATGGGCAGTTCCGTTGGGTTGGAGTGAGAGAGAGAAACCCTACTGAAGGGGATCAAAGAGATGTCAGGAAGCGAAGCCATAGGGGAAGTGAATATTAGAGAGCTATTTTAATCAGTTTTGCTATGATAGGGAGCAGAGGATTCGGAGCAGCCTTTGTGGAGGATTGCAGGATCATGGAAACACTCGTTAAAAAAGGGAGATCCTACAGCAAATTTGTATGCTCATGGCAACGAGAGAGAAAGACACTAATAATTCCAAAGAGAGTCAGAAATAACCTTGAGAAGCATAGAGAGGATCCGATCCAGAGCACACTATGGTAGCCTATGCTGAGAAGACAAACATTTCTTCCATTGAAACCTGAAGAAAAGCAGAGCATATGTTTTCTAACACAGGTGGAGATGATGCTAGAAAGATACGGGAATTCCTATATGATTGTGTCTAGCTTTTCAGTGAAGTATGAGGTAATGTCATCAGTTAACAGTTACTATAACAGGTGGGTTACAAGGAATATTGGGGATCAGAAAACAGATGAAAAGGTGCTAAATGGACCTCTTGAAGAGTGGGAGAAATTTTCTTCTAGGGAGTATTTAGATTTATGAGGAATTTTTTGGTACCGTTTTGCATTTAAAGAGTACAGTTATAACAGCTACAATTATTTTCTCCAGGGCATTTTGTCAGATAGGGGGATAGTTCACGTGGTGTTGTGTCCGGAATTGGTTCCTTCCTATGGGTTTTTGGTCTGGCTGACTTCAATAATGAAACCGCGGACCCCTGCGGTGAGTGTTACAGTTCTTAAAGATGGTGTGTCCAGAGTTTGTTCCTTCAGATGTTCGGATGTGTCCGGAGTTTCTTCCTTCC
Source organism: Homo sapiens (assembly GCF_000001405.40). Classification (NCBI taxonomy): domain Eukaryota; kingdom Metazoa; phylum Chordata; class Mammalia; order Primates; family Hominidae; genus Homo; species Homo sapiens. Next base: position 34,753,790 of record NC_000013.11, on the reverse strand, counting down.
GGTGGGTTCGTGGTCTTACCTGACTTCAGCAGGGAAACCGCAGACCTTCGCAGTGAGTGTTAACAGCTCTTAAAGGTGGCGCGTCCGGAGTGGCTTCTTCCTTCTGGTGGGTTCGTGGTCTCGGTGACTTCCAGAGTGAAGCCGCAGACCTTCCCAGTGAGTGTTACAGTCATAAAGATACAGCGGATCCTAAGACTGAGCAGCAGCAACATTTATTGTGAAGAGCCAAAGAACAAAGCTTCCACAACGTGGAACTGCCCCTGAGCGGGTTGCTGCTGCTGGCTGGGGTGGCCAGCTTTTATTCCCTTATTTGGCCCTGTGCACCTCCTGCTGATTGGTCCATTTTACAGAGCGCTGATTGGTCCATTTTACAGAGTGCCAATTGGTCCATTTTTACAGAGTGCTGATTGGTGCATTTTTACAGAGCACTGATTGGTGTGTTTACAATCCTTTAGCTAGACAGAAAAGTTCTCCAATTCCCACTGGACCCAGAAGCCCAGTTGGCTTCACCTCTCAGTGTTGCTTATTTTCCCAGGTGTGTGAAAATTTATTTAGAGGATCACAAAGCAATAATGTGTTAAATGTGCTTCATCACCTTCCCCCATATACACACATATCTACACATACACATCATTCACATGTGTACTGCACTCTCGTGTGTTCACACACACATCACGCTATGCACACCCACCCACCACATTCACAAGCTTATCGCACTTACTTCTTGCAATAAACGTTTATTTATTTATTTATTTATTTATTTATTTATTGAGATGGAGTCTCACTCTGTCGCCCAGGCTGGAGGCACTAGCGTGATCTCGGCTTACTGCAACCTCCACCTCCTGCGTTCAAGCAATTCTCCTGCCTCAGCCTCCAGAGTAGCTGGGCTTCCAGGTGCATGCCGCCAAGCTTGGCTATTTTTTATATTTTTAGTAGAGATGGGGTTTCACTATGTTGGCAAGGCTGGTCTCTTATCTCCTGGCCTCAAGTAATCCGCCTGTCTCGGCCTCCCAAAGTGCTGAGATTAGAGGTGTGAGCCACAGCTCTCGGCGGCAATAAACTCTTAACACTTTACTGCTGTTTTTGAAGTATCTCAGAATTGAAGAGGGCTTGTAGTTTCCTCTCGATGAATCATTGTCCTCCCTGTTTTTCAAGTGTTTTAAAAATGATCATGAAATAGAGGCAATTTTAGGGTTCTGTTGTGTCACTTTGGGTCACCCCTTTGGTGGAATTTGTCTTTGGAGCTTTTTCCTTTGACGTCTAGCATCCTATGTCCTGGCTGTCACCAGATCCTCTCAGGCAGTGAGCCTTCTCTAGACTTTCCACACCCACGCATCACTCCTGTTCTCTCATCAGCATAGCTAGATTCAGGCTGTGCGACCTATTGTGTGGTATGGGAACAGTAATAATTTATTGTGAAGATTAAAAAATATACTGCACAGAGAATGCCCAGTTTCATGTGCAGAGTATGTTTTCAATAAATGCCGAAATAAACTCTCTTTCTCTCTCCCTTAATCTCTATCTCTGAATATCTCTTGCCTATTTTACCTGCTCTGGTCATATTTCCTCAAGTATCTTCATTTAGCTAAGCAGTTTTCACTAGTATTAGTTAACTATTGATAATAGAATTTAAAATTTTAGTTCCTCGGGAAATATTGTGCGAATCTATGTGGACTCCAATAATAGGGCTTCAGGTGGACAAAAGAGGTATATTTTGGGCATGCAGATCTTTTCAGTTGACTCAAATTCTGCAGAAGGACTGACTTTGAGCATCATGAATTAAACTAAACTCTAACACTGAGCAAAGAAAATTAGAATATTTTCATGTCTTGGCTGTTAGAGTACTTGATAAATATAAGGAATTATTAGGCCTTTTGAAATAGCTTTGAAATAGCACAGATTTGTGCTGTATCCAAGGATTCCTGACAATGTAACAGAACAACATTGCGGTATCATGAAAAAGGTGTTGTGTCACTGAATAAAGTCAAAGGCATTTCTTTAAAAATCATTCCCTTGGGAGTGTGGTTGAGACCATCACTTCATTTCACTTTCAGCTCCTGTGACAAAGACTGTCACCTCCGCTCCTCAAGTCCCAAGAGGAAAGTCATTCTTGGTCTCTAAGGACAGGGGGTTTTAGATAAATGCATCTTATTTATGAGCTTCTTCTCTCTTCACTGTTATTCTCTGTTTAGTCTGAAAACAATACTAATGACTAAGGTAAATCCTGAGTGGTGGTAGAAAGTAACAAAACATAATCGTGCTTTTTAAAAGTTGTGCTATTGAGCACATTAGCTTTTCCTGACTTGCGGCACATAATAGAATTGTTCAGAGGCAAATCTGAGACTTTGTGTTTTGATCTTTTACACTTCCCTTCTATTCCCTAGTTCTTAGAAATGCTAACAAATTATATGTTATCGATTATGTTAAAGTGTGTACTGGCAAGTGCAAGTAATACTACACTTGTATTGATCAGCAGCAATGGCTCATAATCTATGTAGGGTATAGCTGGCCCAGTGCAGGCATTGTAACCATGTCATATTATGCATGCAAAACCATGTTCCTATGGTTTTGATGATATGCGAAGTAGCAGACTCTTTTCTTAGTTCTCATAAGTTGAATTTCCCCCTGAAGACTCATTATGAAAAAGCATGTTAAAAAGTGGGGTGTCATTACAAGATTGTTCTCACTTGGCAACAAGCAACAAAAGGAAAAAAAAAAAACGTTTCTGACAATTTCTGAAATGTGATCATTAGAAATCACCCTCTGAAATTAATGAGATTCTAGAAAAAGCCAAGCGCTTAAGAGATCATATCATGTATACAACTTGATGAGGGGTTTAAATGGGGACTGATTATTTGCTAAGTGTAGGCAATGGTTTCCATGATCAACTGCTTTCTCACTACTGCTGCATGATGAAAATGGAGCAGATCCACAATTATAAACATTGAACGGATTACAGAACATTCTGACCTGGAGGAAATTATATGTAATTAAATGAAAAGCTAACGCTTTCGTTTTACTTATCCAAGGACAGTCTTCTCTCCCTCTCTGCGTCCCTCCTTCCCTCCCTCCCTCTTCCACCCCTTTCTCTCTCTGTCTTTGAGATGAGGAAATAATTTAAAAAACAGCTACAAAGGAGTAAATTCTCCCACCCGAACACTTCAGTCTCCCATTTAGTGTTTCTTGTTTTTCCCCATCTGTTGACTCTCGGTATCTCCCCCGCTGCTGTGGTCTCCACCTGGCCCGGTGTGAGTTTTCTCCGTCGCGTCGGTCTCCATGGAGACAGACTGCTCCAAGGGAGGGGCCCTGCACAGTTTCTAGCCAGGAGCCTCCCCGGACCTTTCGTGGGTGGGTGCAGCCTGTTTTTGATCACAGTACAGAAAGGAGGAGGAGTTACCTCATCTACAGAGGAACAAAAATGTGTTTGGGACCTAAATTCCTCCCTCCCTGTGGTCCTGCAGACGCAGTTGGATAAAACCCTGAGAGGAACGATGGGACGCTATGTGTTTCCTTTGCTTCGGTGTCAGGAGCGCTCAGACAATTGCCAGAAGGACCCCAGGGGGAAGCGGAGGCAGGGACAGAACAGAAGGATAAGAAAATTAAGCATCCCTCTTACCAACTCACATCAGCAGTCAAACTGTGCATGGGAAAGGTTGTTAACTAGAAACCTCGAGAAATATATGGTAACTGGGCACATATTCCACCATAAATTACACAATTATTTTGAATAGAAAAGTATTAAAATCCATAAAAATTTTGTCTGCTAATGACTAGAGAAACTGGGCCATTAAAAAAAAACTGTCCAAAAAATTGCTTATTTTACAGAGAAAGCTTACAGGTTTATAGGAAAACATAAATTCATTGAGAGCCTGTTGTACTCACACTGTGGACATTCTAGCATTTTAATTTGTTTCTACCAATGGTAATATTTTCACACAGGCATGATTGGAAACTTTTATCATTTGATTTTTAGAGCTGAATAAAAACCTCATCTTGCCTATGTGATAGAAGTTTTAATGTTTAGTGAAAAAAATAAGTGAATGTGATAGACGTTGAGCAAATGCCAATTCTTATAATTCCTGGGTATCAAAAATCACTCTGGTTTGGAGACACCAGAATTGAGGGCCAAATTCCTTAGTGTTCTAAACAGAGTTCTGTGGAAAGACATTATTAGCTCCTTGGTGTGCGCTGATATCTCCGGGCACCTAGCTAAATCCAGCATTCAGTTTTTGGTCACTGTCTTGCTGGAATTCACTCCCAATTTGCGGTCATGGTTCTCTGAATTACTGCTTTTAAATTGAGCATTTTTTTGAAGTTCACATCTCTACCTTTTGGATATGCAGAAAGAAGTATCTATAAAACAATAATGACTAGCAAGTATAATGTGTGTTATAGTTTGCAGTGCCTCTCTGAACATACGTGATTTCATCTGCGTCTTACAGGAAAGCTGAGAGATGGGAACTGCTATGATAATTGCGGCCCATAGAGACGAAGTTATATGCCCGAGGTCACAAAACTAGTAAGACCAGTTCTTTTCACTTCAGAACCTATGCTTCCCTACATGCTCGTTAACAGTATCTTAATGCTAACCGTAGGTGTTCTTTCCTTAAAGAGTCATGAAGACATTAGATTGCAAATCACTAGAGGACAGAAACAAGATTCTATAGTTCTCTCGGAATGGTGCCTCAGTACCTTGGTCACCTGTGTGTTTCTCCTCTTTAGGATACAAAGAATTCCAGCTGTACTCATGTACCACAAGACATGATGATTCCTATGAACTTTCTAGGAATGAAAATGATAAATCTCTTCAATTTCAGCACTGCTTCTTTGATATCTATGCAGTGCCTGCCAAAAGCAAGTAACCAGAAATAAGTGGGCCTTGGAATCTTAAGACTCTAACCAAGCTGCTTTTCTTTTTGGTTTGGTAGGAGGAGAGCATGTGTTACGGAGACAGCCCTGTTTGGGCAGGCTGCATAGCTCTGTGGCTAGAATGCCACCCCAGACTTTTCCATGTGACTCTATAAGTGATCTTAGGCTAGTCATTCCTAGCCCAGTGCTTAATAGTATCAATGGACAACCAGAAAGCTTGTCCAAACAGCTAATGACTAATAGGTCTCATTAATCATTTAGTTTTCTGACTGTTAATTTTTAGCAAATAATAGTTCAATGGCTACTGCACCAAGCATTGTGCTCAGTGTATGTAAAGAAGAAAACAATGTTCCTGGCATTAAAGAGGTCATTGTCCAATAAATTTGCCACTCATATGAACTTATAAATCCTGCCACTGATGGCTAGATTTGAGACTTTGCAAAAGAGAAGCTGAAACACTGGGAAGGCATTTAACCCTGGTTGTCTAAAATCATGTGAGCTGGTGACAAAGCTAGACAAGGGGTCTAGTGTGTCCCTCAGGCCTGTCTTCCACTACTGGACTGCCTTGTAAAATATGGTTGCATCATTTCAGGATGAAGAGTAGCGCTGATTATTGGCTAATTTTGGCTCACTGAGGCTTCGTTATCGAGTGTACTTCCTGAGAGCCCTGTATTTCCTGGTTTAATTGTGGCTGATGACGTACTTGTAACCAAGGCACTTGGCTCAGCCCAAGCACTTCTATCTGGCTACCAGGGTGCCTGCCAAGTAAACAAGCATTTTTCTGTGCTATGTCTAAAAAAAAAAAAGACGATGCAAAGATTAGGGGATCATGGAGGATGGGAGGCAGGACTAGATTGCAGCTCTGGATAGAGCAGCATGCGAAGGCTTGCATTGTGAATTTTAGCTCCAGATCAACTGCAAGAACAAACCAGGAATCCTGAGAGGACCCACAGAACCTCTGAAGGAAGCAGACTGCTCCTGTAGGGCCTGGGAGACACCCCAAATACTGTGAGTGCCCCAACTGTGGAAGTGGGAAAGGGAGACCCGCTTCTCCTGGACACACACCCCCACTGGAGAAGATGAAGATCTGTTTGTGGGAGAGGTTTCTGACTTTACCTTGAGCTCAGTCAAGGTAGCGAGCCAAGCCAAATGAAATACAGCAGTAGAGGAAGCAGCAGAAAGGCCCTGGGAGCTCACTGGGTCCCCAGGCAGCCCATTCCTGCCCGGCACCACAGGGATCTATCAGGATGGTGGCCAGAGGAGCTTGGGGCAAAACTCCAAAGGGATAAGGAATTCTGTAGCTGAATTTGTAACAATTTGAACAGGGCAAGAATCTTCCTGGCCAGAACTCAGGGGAGGGCATGAATCCTGCTTGCAGACTTCACAGGCGGGGGGATAAACCAAAGCCCTTTTCTTTCACAGCTGGGGTCCAGACAGCCTCAGGCAAGTTTTCAAGACCCTCTTGACCTCTGTCTGGAAACAGACTAGGGGTGTTGAGGGGGCACAGTGGGAGTGAGACCAGACCTTTAGCTTGCATGGGAGCTGGGTGAGGCCTGTGACTGCTGGCTTTCCCCCACTTCCCTGACAACCTGCATGACTCAGCAGAGGCAGCCATAATCCTCTGAAGTACACAACTCTAGTGACCTGGGAATCTCTCCTTCATCCCCCACAGCGGCTGCAGCAAGTCTCATCCAAGGAGAGTGAGCTCAGACATGCCTAACGCCTCCCCCACGTGATGGTCCTTCCCTACCCACCCTGGTAGTGGAAGACAAAGGGCGTATAATCTTGGGAGTTCTAGGGCCCTGCCCACCGCAGGTCCCACTCCACATTACTATAGTTGATGCTTTATGGAAAGCACCACCTCCTGGCAGGAGGCCAACCAGCACAAAAATAGAGCATTAAACCACCAAAGCTAAGGACCCTCATGGAGTCCACTGCACACCCTGCCACCTCCACCGGAACGGGTGCTGGTATTCAAAGCTAAGAGACCCATAGATGGTTCATATCATAGGACTCTGTGCAGACAACCTCCAGCACCAGTCTAGAGCTGGGTAGACTCACTGAGTAGCTAGACCCAGAAGAGAGACAACAATTACTGCAGTTCGGATCACAGGAAGCCACATCCACAGGAAAAGAGGGAGAGTACTACATCAAGGGAACACTCTGTGGGACAAAAAAATCTGAGTAACAGCCTTCAGCCCTAGACTTTCACTCTGACAGAGCCTACCCAAATGAGAAGGAACCAGAAAACCAACAAAACAAGACTCATCAACACCCCCCCCCCCCAAATCACACCAGTTTACTAGCAATGGATCCAAACCTAGAAGAAATCTCTGATTTACCCAAAAAAGAATTCAGGAAGTTAGTTATTAAGCTAATCAGGGAGGGACCAGCGAAGGGCAAAGCCCAATTCAATAATAATAAAAAAAAAATACAGGAAGTGAAGGAAGAAATAGTCAAGGAAATAGATAGCTTAAAGATAAAACAATTAAAAAATCAGGAAATTTTCAACACACTTTTAGAAATGCAAAATGCTCTGGAAAGTCTCAGCAATAGAATTGAACAAGTAGAAGAAAGAAAAACAGACCTCAAAGACAAGTTCTTCGAATTAACCAATCCAACAAAGATAAAGAAAAAAGAATAAGAAAATATGAACAAAGCCTCCAAGAAGTCTGGGATTATGTTAAACAACCAAACCTAAGAATAATCAGTGTTCCTGAGAAAGTAGACAATTCTAAAAGCTTGGAAAACATATTTGGGGGAATAATCGAGGAAAACTTCCCTGACCTTGCTAGAGACCTACACATCCAAATACAAGAAGCACAAAGAACACCTGGGAAATTTATTGCAAAAAGATCTTTGCCTAGGCACATTATCCAAAGTTAAGATGAAGGAAAGTATCTTAAGAGCTGTGAGACAGAAGTGCCAGGTAATCTATAAAGGAAAATGTATCAGATTAACAGCAGATTTCTCAGCAGAAACCCTACAAGCTAGAAGGGATTGGGGCCCTATCTTCAGCCTTCTCAAACAAAACAATTATCAGCCAGGAATTTTGTATGCAGTGAAACTAAGCATCATCATATGCAAAGAAAAGCTACAATCAGTTTCAGACAAGCAAATGCTGAGAGAATTCGCCATTACCAAGCCACCACTACAAGAACTGCTAAAAGGAGCTCTAAATCTTGAAACAAATCCTGGAAACACATCAAAACAGAATCTCTTTAAAGCATAAACCACACAGGACCTATAAAACAAAAATACAAGTTAAAAAGCAAAAACAACAACAAAAAAGAATACACAGGCAACAAAGAGCATAATGAATGCAATGGTACCTAACATTTCAATACTAACATTGAATGTAAATGGCCTAAATGCTCCACTGAAAAGGTACAGAACCGCAGAATGGGTAAGAACTCACCAATCAACTGTCTGCTGCCTTCAGGAGACTCACCTAACACATAAGGACTCACATAAACTTAAAGTAAACAGGTGGAAAAAGGCATTTCATGCAAATGGACACCAAAAACAAGCAGGGGTAGCTATTCTTATATCAGACAAAACAAACCTTAAAGCAACAGCAGTTAAAAGAGACAAAGAGGAACATTATATAAAGGTAAAAGGCCTTGTCCAACAAGAAAATATTACAATCCTAAACATATGTGTACCTAACATTGGAGGTCCCAAATTTATGAAATGATTACTAATAGACTTAAGAAATGAGATAGACAGCAACACAATAATAGTGGGGGACTTCAATACTCCACTGACAGCACTGGACAGGTCATCAAGAGAGAAAGTCAACAAAGAAACAATGGATTTAAACTATGCCTTGGAACAAATGGACGTAACAGATATATACAGAACATTTCATCCAACAACCACAGAATAAACATTCTATTCAACAGTAATGGAACTTTCTCCAAGATAGACCTTATGATAGGCCATAAAACAAGCCTCAATAAATTTAAGAAAATTGAAATTATATCAAGCACTCTCTCAGACCACAATGGAATAAAACTGGAAATAAACTACCAAAGGAATCTTCAAAACCATGCAAATACATGGAAATTAAATAATATCAGACAATGCCCCGAATGAGCATTGGGTCAAAAACGAAATCAAGATGGAAATTAAAAATTATTCCAACTGAATGATGATAATGACACAACCTATCAAAACCTCTGGGATACAGCTAAGGTGATGCTATGAGGAAAGTTCATAGCCCTGAACGCCTGCATCAAAGAGTCTGAAAGAGCACAAACACACAATCTAAGATCATACCTCAAGGAACTAGAGAAACAAGAACAAACCGAACCCAGCAGAAGAAAGGAAATAACCAAGATCAGATCAGAACTAAATGAAATTGAAACAAAAAACACTACAAAAGATAAATGAAAGAAAAAGCTCTTTCTTTGAAAACATAAACAAAATTGATAGACCATTAGCAAGATTAACCATGAAAAGAAGAGAGGAAATACAAATAACCTCAAAGGAGATAAAACCTCAAAAAGGAGACATAAAGATCATTCAAGGCTACTATGAACACCTTTACACACATAAACTAGAAAAACTAGAAGTTATGGATAAATTCCTGGAAAAATACGACCCTCCTAGCTTAAATCAGGAAGAATCAGAGACCCTGAACAGACCAATAACAAGCAGCAAGATTAAAAAATTACCAGCAAAACAAAGTCTAGGACCAGATGGATTCACAGCAGAATTCTACCAGACATTCAAAGAATTGATGCCAATCCTTTTGACACTATTCCACAAGATAGAGAAAGAAGAAACCTCCATAACTCATTCTATAAAGCCAGCATCACCCTAATACCAAAACCAGGAAAGCACACTACCAAAAAAGAAAACTACAGACCGATATCATGATGAATATAGATGCTAAAATCCTTAACAAAATACTAGCTAACCAAATCCAACAACATATCAAAAAGATAATCCACCATGATCAAGTGGGTTTCATACCAGGGATGCAGGAATGGTTTAACATATGCAAGTCAATAGATGTGAAACACCACATGAACAGAATTAAAAACAAAAATCATATGATCATCTCAATAGATGCAGAAAAAGCATTTGACAAAATCCAGCATCTCTTTATGATTAAAACCCTCAGCAGAATTGGCATACAAAGGACATACCTTAATGTAATAAAAGCCATCTATGACAAACCCACAGCCAACATAATACTGAATGGGGAAGAGTTGAAAGAATTCCATTTGAGAATGAGAACAAGACTAGGATACCCACTCTCACTACTCCTCTTCAACATAATACTGGAAGTCCTAGCCAGAGCAATCAGACAAGAGAAATAAATAAAGGGCTTCCAAATCTGTAAAGAGGAAGCCAAAACCTTAAGGACTCCTCCAGAAAGCTCCTAGAACTGACAAAAGAATAAGTTTCCATATACAAGATTAATGTACACAAATTAGCAGCTCTTCTATACACCAACAGCGACCAAGTGGGGAATCAAATAAAAAATTCAACACCTTTTACAATAGCTGCAAAAAAAAAATGCTTAGGAATATACCTAACAAAGGAGTCAAAAGACTTCTACAAGGAAAACTACAAAACACTGCTGAAAGAAATAATAAACACAAACAAATGGAAACACATCCCATGCTCATGGATGGGTAGAATCAATATTGTGAAAATGACCATACTGCCAAAAGCAATCTACAAATTCAATACAATCTCCATCAAAATAACACCATCATTCTTCACAGAGTTAGAAAAAGCAATTCTAAAATTCATATGGAACCAAAAAAGAGGCTGCATAGCAAAAGTAAGACTAAGCAAAAAGAACATATCTGGAGGCATCACACCACCTGATTTCAAACTATACTGTAAGGCCATAGTCACCAAAACAGCATGATACTGGTGTAAAAATAGGCACGTAGACCAATGGAACAGAATAAAGAACCCAGAAATAAACCCAAATCCTTACAGCCAACTGACCTTCAACAAAGCAAGCAAAAACATAAAGGGGCAAAAGGACAAGAGAATTGGCTAGCCACATGTAGGAGAATGAAACTGGATACTCATCTCTCACCTTACACAAAAATCAACTCAAGATGGATTAAGGAATTAAACCTAAGACCTGAAACTATAAAAATTCTAGAAGATAACACTGGAAAAACCTTTCTAGACATTGGCTTAGGCAAGGATTTCATGACCAAGAACCCAAACGCAAATGCAATAAAAACAAAAATAAATAGTTGGGACCTAATTAAACTGAAGATCTTTTGCATGGCAAAAGGAACAGTCAGCAGAGTAGACAGACACAGAGTGGGAGAAAATCTTCACAATCTATACATCTGACAAAGGACTAATTTCCAGAATCTACAACAAACTCAAACAAATCAGTAAGAAAAAAACAAACAATCCCATCAAAAAGTGGGCTAAGGACATGAATAGACAATTCTCAAAAGAAGATATACAAGTGGCCAACAAACAAATGAAAAAATGCTCAACATCACTAATGATCAGGGAAATGCAAATCAAAACCACAGTGTGATATCACCTCACTCCTGCAGGAATGGCCATAATCAAAACATCAAAAACAGTAGATATTGGCATGGATGCAGTGATGAGGGAACACTTCTACAATGCTGGTGAGAATGTAAACTAGTACAGCTGCTATGGAAAACAGTGTGGAGATCCCTTAAAGAACTCAGAGTAGAACTACCATTTGATGCAGCAAGCCCACTACTATCTACCCAGAGGAAAAGAAGTCATTATTCGGAAAAGATACTTGCACACATATGTTTATAGCAGCACAATTCACAATTGCAAAATCATGGAACCAACCCAAATGTCCACAATCAACCAGTGGATAAAGAAACTGTGGTATGTGTATATATATAATATATATGTATATATATTATATATATGTATGTATATAATATATAATAATATTATATGTATATATATAATATATAATATATTATATTATATGTACATATATTATATAATATATGTATATATAATATAATATATATATTATATATATAATATATAATATATATATTATATATGAATATATAATATACATATTATATGTGCATATATTATATATTATATATGTATATATTATATATAATATATGTATATATAATATATGTATATATAATATATATACATATGTTATATATAATATATACATATATATTATATATAATATATACGTATATATTATATATAATATATATGTATATATTATATATTATATATGTATATATTATATATTATATATTATATATGTATATATTATATATTATATATAATATATATGTATATATTATATATTATATATAATATATACGTATATTATATATAATATATAATATATAATATATTATACATTATATACGTATATATTATATATAATATATATATTACATATGTGTATATATAATATATAATATATATGTGTATATATATTATATAATATATACACATATAATATTATATAGTATATGTATTATATATTATAATATGTATTATATATTATATTATATGTATATGTATTATATTATATATAATACATATACACATATATAACATATATAATATATATACACATATATAATTAATATCTATATTATATATACACATATATATTATATATATACACACATATATATTATGGAATTCTACTCAGTCATAAAAAGAAATGAATTAACAGCATTTGCATTTACCTGGATGAGATTGGAGACTATTATTCTAAGTGAAGTAACTCAAAAATGGAAAACCAAACATTTTATGTTCTCACTAATATGTGGGAGCTGAGCTATGAGGATGCAGAGGCATAAGAATTATACAATGGACTTTGAGGACTTGAGGGGAAGAGTAGGAGCGGGGGCGAGGGATAAAAGACTACAAATATGGTGTAGTGTATACTGCTTGGGTGATGGGTGCACTAAAAGCTCACAGATCACCTCTGAAGAACTTACTCACGTAACCAAATACCACCTATACCTCAATAACTTATGGAAAAATAAAATTAAAAAAATAAAAATTAAAAACAAAAACAAAAAGAAAAAAATAAAAAGCAAAGATGAAGCCAATGATCTAATAGCTTTAATCCAATGCTTCACAAACAGTGCCATTTGGCTTTTAGTAAGTGTAATGGTATAATAGTTATTGTCTTTTATTAACCTATAATTATCTCTGTACTGTGTGAAGATGACAGTTGTAATCTTCTATTCATTTTGAGATGCTCACAGACCTTAGTATTCTAACTGGTTATGTGATATCACTTCAACACTTTCATAGTTAACATCAATATTTGTGACCATGTTGATAGCTAACAATGGTAGTGTATTTATTACATTTCACATAGTACTTACATATTTAATCTTCAAATGGTTCCAAGTTCAGAGGCAAAGCTGGGGAGTGAGATTGTGGAGAGGGTGGTGGAGAGGCTGATATGGTTTGGCTGTGTCCGCACCCAAATCTCATCTTAAATTGTAGCTCCCATAATTCCCATGTGTTGTGGGAGGGACCCAGTGGGAGATAATTTCATCATGGGGGTGTTTTCCCCTATACTGTTCTAGTGGTAAAGAGTAAGTCTCATGAGATCTGATGGTTTCATAAGGGGAAACTCCTTTTTCTTGGTTCTCACTCTCTCTTTGCCTGCCATCATGTACAACGTGACTTTCGTCTTCTATCGTGATTGTGAGGCCTCCCCAGCCACCTGAAACTGTGAGTCCATTAAACCTCTTTTTCTTTATAAATTATCTAATCTTGGGTATGTCTTTATCAACAGCATGAAAACAGACTAATACAGAGGCCATGGGGAGAATTGGGTGGTCCATCAAGCCATTATTCCCAGATTGAGGACTCTTTCAGCTAGCCTGTGTGGCAGTCATTCCAAAGATGATTTGAACCGACCTACTATGTTTCTTTGGCTGAAGCCTGTCCTGAACGGCCCAAGTTACCAATACACATCACTGCTTTCTAGAGCAGGTCCTTGTTATTCTAGGGTATAAATTCCTGAGTTCTCCACTGCATTGTTGTCGTTGCAACTTACATCATTGGCATGGAACTGTCAGGTAAAACTGATATTGGCCCAGCTACCACCAGAGCATGGACTACTCTCATTGCAGAGGCTCATAGCTATGTGTTTCTCCAGCACACAGGATCTCTCCTCCCAGTGTTCTGGCCTCTGCACTCTCATAGCTGGGGGACCTCATGAGGTACCTTGGGTACCACGTTATCTGTTGCCTCTCTTCAGCGCAGGGCTCAGACTAAGCCTGCCGCTTGCTTTACCTGTGGTATATTTCAGCACCATCCTCCAAGCCCAAAGCCACTAAAGTGGGGCACAGCCTACAGGTCCTAGTTATGCTGTAAGGAGACACATCATTTTCCCCATCTCCCCCTTTTTAAAAAGCCTCTCTTTCCTGTTGTAGTGACCACTTAGACTTTCCTTATTACCCCTGTAAGATGGGCTTCCCTCCTTCCAAAAGCTTGTCGCCTCACACAAATACATAACGAATTTTCAGAGTCTCTACTGCAACTCTGGGCCACATGTTATTAGTGAGTTATGATAGTGTGGTGGTTGTGATAGCCTAGAGAATAGCTAGTGATCCAGTGTGTAATATGCAGCTAGGAGTCATGGAACTGAGTGAAAGTTATTGCCCTTGAAAGCCTGAATTGAACTTGAGACTTTGAAGTCATGAGCTTTGTGTTTGGAGCAAATAGGAACTGATTTCTGTGTCAACCTAAAGTTTGTCCAATTCTTAAAACTTTTAAGATCATTTGATAAAAATGAGCTGAAATAGAAGCTCAATTTGTTTTCTGTGTAATAGATCATGTTCAAAGCTTTTTTTCCCCAGTACAGCTTGAAAACCACCTGACAGTAATTAAATTATTCTAACATCTCACTCCCACCTCCCACACACATTTTCCCCTTTTGTTTTGTTATTTGGTGGTGTGTGCAATTATCTTCTTTTAAGAAACAAGCACAGCCACCCACAACTACACATGTTAGCTGTGATTCTGAACTTGTGGCAATGGGAAGGAGGCATCCTTTCCCTTTTTCTCACAGGTTGTAAACTGGTTATTCACATTTTCTTTGATGAGAATTTTAAGCACCGAGCCCTGTCTTCATAAACGCATGCAGCAGATGGTTAGGAATATTGTGTGATAAGGAAAGCTGGCCAATTTCTTCGGTTATTTTCACCTCCTGAACATATTCCAAAGAAATGCAATGGCATATTTTAGGGTGTGTCTGTTCAAGGCCTCTTTCCTTAAGTATGAATATAATTTGCTGGTGTGTTCCCTTTAAGATGGATTCCTTTGGGGGATGTCTCCATTGTAAGTGATCTTGTAGCATTTTCACATGAAATTAGACTTATGTTGAAAGCTCTCCTGGGTGTTGCTGCCTAGGAATTAACCCAGCTGTTCTTCTCTGCACTCAGGGAGACTGTGAGGTAGGAGGCAATGAGGCACGATATTTAGGTAACTCCTAATGACCTTCATGTGTACTCTCTGTGTGGTGAGATCATCCGCATGGAGGAGGATAGAAGTTTCCAGGTCACCTTGGAGTCAGTTGCTCTGTGAACCGACTCCACCATTTACCAGCTTGGGGGCTTCAGGCGTGTTTCTTAGACTCCATATGCTTCTGTAAAATGGGAGTAGCATTACTACCACCTGGGGTTATTGTGAGACGCAAAAGACATTGGTGCAGGTGAAGCTGCTTTTTCATAAAAGAGCTCAGTAAAAGCTCATGAAGCCAGTGGATCGGTGATAGAGAAATAGAAGCACACATCTGGTTGCTATGCACAAGGACTTTTTTGCTGCAAAGACATTTCAAAGACATTCCTTTAAGGAGAGTCTCCTGCTAGCTTGTAAGACCCTAGAGGGCCTCAGCCCAACTAACAATGTTTCCTGCCCTTATATTCCTTCCTAATATGCTCCCTTGTTTGTGACTTTTGCTTCCAGAGAACATGCAGATTAGTAAATTGACTCAGAAGTTGTAGTTTCAGGGAAGACAAGTAACAGGCCTTTGGGGTCAGAAGAGAGCTCCCAGTGGGTATGGCAGTGGTGGTAGCTAGAGTAGCAGTGAACCTCCAGGGAAGTAGTGGGATACAGTGCTGACTAGATAACCGATCCCCCACTATTTTGGATTATCTTAAATATTGGTTAATTCAGTAATCAGTGGGTGAAGATAATATGCTATTTTACTACATCATCTCTATTTCATTAGCATACCCAGCTTCTGTATGTTTGTGGGGATTGTTTTTCTTTTTTAAAGACATGCAGGCCTCCTCATCTCATGATTTTTCTTTATATTTGTATCATTTATTATACAAAATTTTTAGGATTCTTTGTTTAGTTTCCTCTACTTATATGGATGTATATGTACATCTATAACTATAAGCTACAACTTTATGGTATGGTTTAAATTACTTGCAAAGATATGTCCCTGAATTTAGTCTGAATATCTGAATGCAACTTTAGATGACCTCTGGTAAATTCATTTTTAATTGTATAGACACTTCATCTCTCCAGTCCAATGGCCATACATATGGAGTTTTACATTTAAAATGTTTGGATCAATTCTCTTTAACTTTGGAAAAGTGGTAATAATTTATCCATCAAAACATCAATATTAGAGAGAAAGGGTCAGTTGCTTTAACAAAAGGCAGAGTGATTTAGAGGTAATAAACCAGATGCCTTTCCTGGTGTAGATAATGGTCAATCAGTTCATGCAAATATAAATTGAAAGAAAAATAAAGTCATGGACATGGAGGAAGTTAAAAGTTTTTATTCCTAATTACAACTCTGGCTTTACAAGTGTTTGGAAATAGAGGACTTTTTTTTTGTTTTTTGTGTAGGGGGCTCCTTGTTCCCCTTGTCCTTGAATCAGTAATGGTGCTTCGAAGTCCACTGTTAAAAGGCAGATGGCCTTTGCATTGTAAAACGTTTTGAGTTAATGTCTGAGGTGAGTTGAGGGAGGTGGAGAAAGACCTCAGTGGTCCTGGACTAGACATTCTCAAGGATCTGAAGAGTGGGGCTGATCTAGAATTCTAAGGTTACATTGCCTGACAGGGTAGCCACTAGACAAATGTGGCTATTTGAATTATTTAAACAAAATAAACAAATTTAATAATTTAAGATGAAATAAAATAAATTCAGTTGTGGTAGCTAGTGAATTTCAAGAGCTAAATAGACACACTTGGCTAGTAGTTGTCATATTGGACAGTACAGAGATGGATCATTTCTCTTTGCAGAAAGCTTGAACAGCACTGCTCTAGGGATTGTCCTAAGGAGTCACAGAGCATAGGTTAGTGTGAATCAAGGGTCTCTCCAAAAGGTTGATATTTAATAAAGTAAAAAATCAGTACTGTTTTATTAGGGACATTCTTAAGTGAAACTGGCATCTTTTTCTTCTCCTGTCTCCATCCCTCAGTGTGTGGCACTGAGGATTACAAGATCACAAGTACAATTTGGTGCATGCTATGTTTGAATGTGTACTCTCCAAAATTCAGATGCTGCTAATGTGATAGTATTAAGAGGTATGTCCTGTAAGAGGTGATTAGGTCATAAAATCACCTCCCTTGTGAATGGGATTAAGACTTTTATAAAAGAGGCTGCATATAGCATTTGGCTGGCTTGCCCTTCTGCTTTCTCCCATGTGAGGACACCACATCACCCGCCGCCTGATGATGCAGCAATAAGGTACCATCTTAGAAGCAGAAAGTAGCCCTCGCCAGACAAGCAAACCGATCAGTACCTTGATTTTAAACTTCCCAGTCTCCAGAGTTGTAAGAAAATAAATTTCTGTCCTTTATAAATTACCCAGTCTCAGGTATTTTGTTACAGCAGCACAAAATGGACTAAGACAGTTCCATTGCAACAAGGTGCCATTCATTACCTTGATATATGCTAAAACCCCAACAGCTTCATCTATCATTGTCTTTTTGCCATTACTGCAAATGTCAACGTGGTGAAAAAGTCAATTAATATTTCAGTATTATGAAGTTTTTTTTTTTTTCTTGAAGTCACAGCTTCGCTTTGCTGGACTCTCTTTAATGAACACTTTGTGGACCCCATGAAAAGATCTTGGAGACTCCCAGGGGTTCATGGACCACAATTTTAGAACCACTGCCATCAAAAGTAACGTCACCTTTTTTTGGAACACATTTTGAAGGATTTGTTGATATTTTAGGGAGTATGAGAAAAATAGAGGAATTGTAGAGGAATCTAAGAGAACTCCAAGGTTGATGGCCTGAACAACTGGAGAATGGTGTTACCATTTCATGGGGAAGACTGTGAAAGAGCAAGCGATAGAGTAGGGTGGAGAGAACAGGGGTGGGAAGAATGTGTTGGGTAGAGAAGATCAGGAGTTAGGTACTGAGGTTTTTTTCTGTCTCTGTACCTCCTTGTTTGTGGTTGTATTAAGTTTAGAGTATGAGAGGATTTAAGACTTGTTCTGCCTTTTAAGCATCTAAAGTGTCTGATAATTTACACAGCCATCTTTTTTTTTTTTTCAAGTTAACAGAAGCCACCTGACTGTTCTTTATTGCTAATGTGGCTTTCTTGGTTCTCTTTTTAAGAACTTTTGTTTCATTTGAAAAATTCTTTGCTTAGGACTCTATAGAACAGTTGCTGTAAGTATTTGGGTCAAAAAGTTCTTTGAAGATCTGACAACAGGTATGGACCTTGAGTGTGCTACAGTGCAATTCTGATGCTAACTACCTAGGCTTGGCATCCAACTCCACAGGTAAGAGCCCCACCCACACAGGAGTGTCCTCACTTTAGATGCCAGTTGCAGGCTGCACGTCCCCAGGCTACCTGCACTTCTGACCAACTGTTTAAAAATTTGGAGATTCCCACAACCCAGTCAGGTTTGATCATTCACTAGGATAACTCATAGAATTCAGGAAAGCACTAACAATTACAGTTTTATTATAAAATTTACAGTTGAGAGCCAGTCAAAAGAAGAGACATTTACCACGGGATCTGGGAGAGTTTCACAGAGTTTACATTGTCCTTTCCTCATGGAGTCAGGGAATGTCACCCCCTTGCTCCCTCTCCCCACCAATCGATGTATCAGTGTGTTTACCAACCAGGAAACTCGCCTACATCTTGGTGTCCTGTATTATTTGGGGGGTTTCATTACATAAGCATGATTGATTGACTCATTGGTCATGTGTTTGAACTCATCTCTATCCCTCTGTTCCTCCACAGAGGTTAGGCTGGCCCAAGCCTCAACCCTGCAGTCATGTGCTTTGTCTCTCTGGTGGCCAGCCCTCATCCTGAGTCCTCTCATTATTATAAACTGAGATGTGATCCAAGGGACTCACAAATAACAAATATACTACTATCACTTGGGAAATTCCAGGGATAGAAGCTCCATGCCAGTAACCTAGGATAAAGATCAGACAAGTTTTTGATTACATGATAGCTCTTTTTGTAGAAAATGTACACGAGCCCAGTCAAGTTTTGCTTAAAATGTCAAGGGTTAATGGATACCTGGAAAACCGCAGATTAAAAACTCCTGGTTATAGAGTCATAGACAGGCTTTTCAAATGCAGAGTTGAGCCCTGTACTCACTTCAGCCTTAAACTTACAAGTGCATAAAAAGATCCAAGCTTGAGGCCCAAAGACAGCATTCAGAGTCACAGGAATGCTTTTAATAATCCAGCCAAGGTTAACTACAGAAAATTTAATAGTTTTTAAATGCTGTAATATATAGGTTAACAAAAAGCATTAATTTGTAGGACAAAATGATTGGAAAGAAAGGAACAGTTTAGAAATTCTGATTGGGTGAAATATTAAGGGTTACAGAGTTTCTGCACGTGTAGCTTAGAGTAAGGGATTTTAAGCAGGATTTGCAGTAATGCTGAGTTTACTTCAGCAACCCCATATGAGCAAACCCCATTGCACAATAGATTAGGCTTTCTTCACACAATGCACTCAGTACATTTTTGCTGATTTATTGCAGCAGGAGTTTTTGGCAAATGAGATGAAAACTATTCTTTCCACTGGCCTATAACTGATGACTGGTAATGTGCATTAGACAAGGGATTGCATCTGACTTGAAGAGACCCTTTCTTGAAGCAATTTGTCCTTGAGGTCATGAGTAGCTATTGTATTCCCTAAGCTTATGGGTCTCGTGGCACATTTTTGAAAGAACGATGGTGTTAACTCAGCTGAACTAGCCAAATTCCAAGCAAGCTAATTACATTCCTTCGAACTTAAATTCCATGATTTTTCACAAACTCCAATGAGATAGGCTCTTTCAGTACTTGATTATTTTTTTATTTGACATTTTAGAAAACAGACACACTACATGTGCGAAGTAGCAAATGAAAGTTAGTATCCTGGTCAGATAATTGATGTAACGTTGTTTTAATTCTGCTTCAATTCCACAAATAATGAGTTTATTTTTTTATTTTACTTTCTCTCAAAAAGTGGATTCATTTTTTGTCTGGAAATGTTAGATAAACTCTTTAAAATGGTAAGGAGAAAATTTTACAGATACTATTCTAATTAAAATGCAAATACTAGTGAGTCTATGTAATGTAGGAGTCAATGAAAGAGGATGTACTTGTGTTATTATATCATGGAATAAGTACTTAGTTGGGCTTATGTAAATCTTATATTGGAAAGTTTTATGAAAACAAGTCTAATTTTCAGTGTCTTCTGTATCAGTCAGTATTTTAATGATTCTACACAAAGCAAACAGGTGGAGTAGTTCTTTAAAGAGAATCACTGGATCCCTGTTGGAGACATTCATGTCCAAAGATATACATGATTGTTCTTCTCTCCTTATTCTGATTTTCAAGAAGACATTTTGTGTATGTGCGTTTGTGTGTGTGTGCATATGCATGTGTGCGTGTGAATAAATCACTTTTACAGATGTTAACTTCCATCTCTCTTGCCTCATCCCCTTTCCATCTGCTCGCACACCTGGCCTTTCAGCCCCAGATTCGATGTCCCTTTGATGCAGAACTTGCAGTTAGGGATCAGAAATCTCAGT
The DNA here is from genome assembly GCF_000001405.40 of Homo sapiens. Lineage (NCBI taxonomy): Eukaryota > Metazoa > Chordata > Mammalia > Primates > Hominidae > Homo > Homo sapiens. The sequence goes on along the minus strand of NC_000013.11, from coordinate 34,732,912 downwards.
TGCTTCAGGATCTTTTTTTCACAGCACTCTAAACTGGCTGTATGTTTTAGAGGTCATTGGCATATACCCGCATGATGTTTCCATCGTAATTAGCTTATTTGATCAGAACAATAAATTCATATGCCAATGTGTGAGTAGACTCACATGTACACAATAAGAAATGCAATGTGTACCTTCTGGTTTTTTTACTGACCAGCCTTGATAAAGACATTTTCTTTTTCTGCTTGCTTAGAAATAAAGGAAAGAAGGAAGGAAGAAAGAAAGGCAACAAAGTGATGTTGCTGGCTTTTTTGGCATTCTGTGTAACTGAAGATTGTGATGGTAGAACAGTCGTGAGTTAGCTCATGTTTGTTCGTGAGCCAGGTGGTGAGGGCAGCCTGCTGCTCCTGCTGAAAAGTCAATGGAAATAGAAATGTTATTTTAGAGGAATTCTTTTCTCTTTTCATAATCCAATTCAGTGTCATTCCAGGAAGAATGGAGATGTAGAGGAGTTATTTTTCAATTATTTAAGATATATATTTAGTAAATGTTCTAGCCACTGATTTTCTTAAGCAGAAAGAACTGCTTCACCAAAATCATTTGGGGGACCCTCTCACTCTTGGGATTACTTGTATTAATTTCAACTAAATTTTAGCTCTTGAGGGCAGGGATGATGGTTTTAGTATCTTTAAACTTGGCTACTGCTAGATACTTAAGGGTAATTAATTGATGAAATAAATGACTCTTGAAAATGGATCTTTCATACTAAATAAAATGAATATGTAAGAAAGTTTAGTTATTATCAGAGATAAAATTTTTTGGCAAGAGTTTTTACTTGGTAGCTTTAAATCACATTGCCTGCTTCAATCATCCCTGGATTAAATACTTGCTCTAGAATTTTGGGTGTGCATGTAAACCTAGTGTCCAGATTTTTCCAACCTACAGAAGTTTGAAAATTGTTTTGGGGATTTATATTATTAAATGCAATAATGGCATCTGATGCAGTTTTAATTAAAAACAATTAAGCATGGAAATTATTATTTAAATCTTGCCTTCTAAAAATGGAATTTGAGGGGCTCTATGTGCATATGTAGGCAGCCTTTAAAAGCTTCATGATCCCTACCTTCTAATACTAATTTATGCTCTTGGGTAATCATTTCCTCCTGAATGTGGTCTAGACTTGTTGATTCCCTCATAATGAAAAGGATACAGCGTGATGGGATTTTGCTTGTGAGATTAGTTTATAAAAAGACTGTGGTGGCAGGGGCGGTGACTCATGCCTTTAATCCCAGCACTTTGGGAGGCCGAGGAGGGTGGATCATCTGAGGTCAGCAGTTCAAGATCAGCCTGGCCAACATGGTGAAACCCTGTCTCTACTAAAATATATATATATATATATTTTTTTTTTTCCACAAAAATTAGCTGGGCATGGTGGCATACGCCTGTAATCCCAGCTACTTGGGAGGAGGCAGGAGAATCCCTTGAACGCGGGAAGTGGGGGTTGCAGTGAGCCGAGATCACATCACTGCACTCCAGCCTGGGTGACAGAGTGAGACTCTGTCTCAAAAAAAAAAAAAAAAAAAAAGAAAGAGAGAGAGAGAGAGAAAGACTGTAGCTTATGTCTTGGGTGCTCTCTCCAGTTCTTTCTTGTGAAGGAGGCCAGCTGGCTACCATGTCATAAGGCCCATGTGACTGAGTTTGGAAGCGGATTTTTTTAGGCCTGAGAACAACTACGTGAGTGATCTTGGAAGTGGGTTCTCCCCTGTTGAGTGTTGAAGTGACACTGGCTTTGATCAACACCTTAATTGCAACCTCATGAGAGAACCTGAGTCAGAAGCACCTACTTAACATTCCTGGATTCCTGACCTACAGAAAGCATGACATAATGAATGTTACTGCTTTCAGCTGCTAAGTTTTGGAGTAACTCATTGCACAGCAATAAATAATTAATACAGTACATATCAGGCCTAGCAGTTCGGAGAGAACAGATAATCAAAGCTCATTCATCTATCTTTCAGTTGGTTTATCCTCATCTGAGCATCAGTCATAGCATCGACTATTACATTGTAAATTAAAAATATTTTCTTCATGTACTGCATATTTTATATCCTTAATGAACTATTTATCAATTATAGGAATTATAATATATTAATGCTTAAATTCTCAAATTTCTGATGATTTAAAAATGTTATATATATATATATATATATACCTCAAAATGACCAACTGATTTGTAAATTAGAGTCGTCTGATTCAAATTCATTGATTAATTTAGTAAGATTTATTAAGCAGCATTCTAGGCCCTGAGGATACAGCAGGGAACAAAACAGATAAACTCCTGCCACCGAGGAGTTTATATTCTAGCTGGTGGAGAAAGAAAATAGATCTGTCTGTTGCCACAGTAATGCTGCAAGACAAATCACACCAAAGCCTAAGAGCTTAAAACAACTACTACTATTATTATTTTTTAATAGGGTTAGGGTCTCACCCTGTCACCCAGGCTGGGGTTTAGTGGCACAATCATGGCTTACTGCAGCCTTGAACTTCTAGCCTCAAGTGATCCTCCCACCTCAGCCTCCTAAACAGTGGGGACTACATGTGCACCACAACACCCAGCTAATTATTATTATTATTATTATTATTATTGGTAGAGATGGAATCCCATTATGTTGCCCAGGCTGGTCTTAAACTTCTGGCCTCAAGTGATCCTCCTGCCTCAGCTTCCCAAAGTGCTGGGATTATAGATGTGAGCCACCATGCCCAGTACAACCACTCATTTGTCTAACGGTTGGCAGGCGGGGCTTGGCTTATCTCTTCGGGACATGCTTACGTGTTTGGGTCTGATCTGGACTTAGCTTATAACAAAGGTAGAGAAGAGAAGCAAAAGAGAGAGCAGAGGTGCATGATGCCTCTTGACCTCAGCCTTGACACTGAATCACTGTCACTTCCTCTGCATTCTCTTGGCCAAAGCAAGTCATTGGCCAGCCCATGTTCAAGGAGTGGTAAGAAAGACTCCCTCTCTTGATGGAAGGAGCTACAAATCATTTTGCAAAAGGTGTAGATACACGAAGGGCAATACATTACACAAATAAGTAAAATACATGGTATGCCAGATAATGTTGCATGTTAGGTAGGACAACAAGACAGAAGATGGGGTAGGGAGTGGAGATGGGTGACATTTGGGTAAATCCAAGCTGAGAAGTGTCTGGGGCATAAATGTTACAGGCAGAGCAAGTGAAAGGACTGGAGATGGAAGTGTGGCAGACATATTTGAGTAAGACCAGTGTGATGGGAGTAGATGGAACAAGGAGAGGAGCAGTACTTTGGGAAAGCCTCGAATGCCACTGTAAGAACTTTGGCTTCATAAAGAAGTCACTTCCAAGTCTTGAGCAAAGGAATGCTCTGGGGGTCTGTGTTAAGATAGGCTATAGGTGAGGCAGGGGCAGAAGGAGGGAGAACAGGTGGAACGCTATTGTAATAATCCAGGAGACAGATGATGATGGCTTAACTAGGGTTGAGTCCATGGAGGTGGGGAGAAGCAGTTACATTCTGGATCTTTTCTGATGGCAGAGCTCATGAGTCAGCCACTCAGTCACCTTTGTATTATGTTTAGGAATAGAATATAATACGCATAAATATAGGCCAGCTGATTGCTTTCTTTTCCAAGTAGAAAGATCCCCAATAAAAGGTCCTGAAGATATTTTTTCTCTATTTTTTATACTGTAACTAAGAATAATTAAATCTACAATTAAAAATGTATTTGTCTCCCAAAGTAAACATAATAGATTATTTTAAGTTTGTTAAAACATCATATTTATCTCTTGGAGTAAATTCAAAGTAAATAAACAATGTGCATCATCTGTTTAAAAGGTGAAATAGACAGTTGCTTTTATGTATGTTACAAATAGCAAAGGTTTTAAAGTAACTGTTATAATACTCTCCTCAATAATATGCTGATATCTTGAAATTATTTCTTTAATTTTTTTACAGCATTGTTGAAGTGTAATTGACAATAATATTGACAATGTACCTATTTAACTTGTACAATTTGATAAGTTCTGATGCACACACACACATATATCTATGTGAAATCATATATATATGGTGCCCGCCACTGCACCCAGCTAATTTTTGTATTTTTAGTAGAGATGGGGTATTGGCATATTGACCAGGCTGGTTTCAAACTGCTGACCTCAAGTGATCTGCCTGTCTTAGCTTCCCAAAGTGCTGGGATTACAGGCATGAGCCACCATGCCTGGCCCATTTTGGGGTCAGTTTTTATATGGCATGAAGTGTGGATCGAAGTTTACATTTGTGCATATGGATCTGCAATTGTTTCAGCACCATTTCTTGCAGACTGTTCTCTTCCCGCTGAATTGCCTTTGCTCCTCTGTGATGATATGTTTAGGTTTTGTGTCTCCAACTAAATCTCATCTTGAATTGTAATCCCCATAATCCCCATATGTCAAGAGAGAGACCAGGTGGAGGTAACTGAATCATGGGTGTGATTTCCCCCATGCCATTCTCCTGATAGTGAATGAGTTCTCATGAGATCTGATGATTTTATAAGAGACTCTTTTCCCTTTGCTGGACACTTTTCCTTCCTGCCACCTTGTGAAGAAGGTGCCTTGCTTTCCCTTCACCTTCTGCCATGATTGCAAGTTTCCTGAGGCCTCTAAAGCCATGCTGAACTGTGAGTCAATTAAATCTCTTTCCTTTCTAAATTACCCAGTCTCAGGCAGTTCTTTACAGCATTATGAAAACTGATTAATACATCTGTCAAAAATCAGTTTTCCACTTCTAGATTTTGGTCTATTTGTGCACTCTGTATTCTGTTCATTGATTTATTGTGTATCTATTTGCCAATACCACACTGTCTTATTAACTGAGGTTTGCAATAAATCTTAAAATCAGATTATGTTAGTCTTCCAATGTGGTTCTTTTTCCAAGTTGTTTTGGCTACTGTAGGTCCTGTTCATTTTCATATAAAATTTAGAATGATCTTATCAATTTCAACACCAAAAATCCCACTTAGACTTTGATTAGAATTGTATTAAATCTACAGATCTTTCTTGGGGAGAACTGACTTGTTAACAGTATTGGGATTTCTGACTTATACCTGAGGGATATCTCTTCATTTATCCATGTCTTAAGTTCTCTCAGCAAAGTTTCATAGTTTTCAGTGTATAAGTATTATACATATTTCATCAGATTTATCCCAAAGTATATCATATTTTTATGGTATTATAAATTACATTTTGTTTACATTTCAATTTCTGAATGTCTATTGTTAGAATATAGAATATAAATTGATTTCTGTAGAATGATTGATCTTGCATCCTGAAATGTTGCTAAACTCACTAGTTCTAGTAGGATTTTTAGAGATTCATTTTATTTTCTCCATAGATAATCATGATATCTGCACATAAGACATTTTTACTTCCACCTGTTCAATCTGGGTAACATATTTATTTATTTTGTCTTGTTGCACTTGTTTGAACTTGCAGTACGTTATTGAGTAGAAGTAGTGACAGTGGATGTCCTCATCTTACTCCTGATGTTAGTGGGGGATGCATTCAGTTTTTTATAATCAAGTATGATGTCAAGAGTAGAGTTTCCCTAGACAGCTTTTATGAGGTTGAAGAAATTCTCTTATATTTCTAGCTTGGGGAGAATTTTTTTTAATCAGGAATAAATATTGGATTAGGTAAATGCTTTTTCTGAGTCTATTGAGATAATTATTTATATTAATTATATAATTATATTAATTATATGGCTTGACTGTATTTTGTTAATATGATGCAGTGCATTGATTTTTAGAAGTTAATTATATGGTTATGTGGTTGTGTTATTATTGGATGATCGGATTCTTTTTGCTAAGTTTTTTTTTTTTTTTTTACTTTTTTGCATGTATGTTTATGAGGGATTTTCGTCTGTAGTTTACTTTTTTAAATACATCTTAGTCAGGCTTTGGTATCAGAGTAATGCTAGCCTCATAGAAAGAGTTGGAAATTATTTCCTCCTTCCTAATTTTCTGGAAGGGATGGTGTACATTTGATACTATTTCTTATGTAAATGAATGGTAGAATTCACTGGTGAAACCACTGGGCTTGGAATTTTCTTTGTGGAAAGTTTTTATCTACAAATTTAATTCATTTAAAAGGCATAGAGATATGTAAATGATCTATTTGTCCCTAAGCTTTGGCATCCAGTGTCTTTCAAATAGTTTGTCCATTTCATCTAAGTTGTGAGTTTATAATATTTCCTTATTTTCCTTTCAACATTTGTGGAATCATTCATGTCTCTTATTCTCAACAATGGCAATTTAAGTCTCCTTACTTTTTCTCCCAATCAATTTGGCTAGAGATTTAGTCATTTTATTAATATCTCAAAAAACCAGATTCTGTTTTTATTTCCCGTTCTCTAATTCGTTGACTTCCACTCTGATTTTTATTACTTCCATTCTTCTTCTACTTTGGGCTTCATTTTTAATTTATTTCCCCACTTTCTGAAGGTGGAAGTTGAAGTCATTGATTTGAGATATTTCTACATTTATAATATATATTTTTAGTGCTAAGTGTATTTATTTTAGTTGCAACTTACACATTTTGATATGATGATATGTGTTTTCTTATCTACTGTTTTAAAAATAAAGTTTTTTAGACAGGGTCTCACTCTGTTGCTCAGACTGGAGTGCAATGTCATGATCATAGCTCATGGCAGCCTCAACCTCCTGGGCTCAAGCAGTCTTCCAGCCTCAGCCTCCCAAAAAGCTGGAACTACAGGCACATGCCACCATGCCAGGCTAATATTAAAAATAATTTGTGGAGAAGGAGTTTCACTATGTTGTCCAGGCTAATCTCAAGCTTCTGGCCTCAGGTGATCCTCCTGCCTTGGCATCCCAAAGTGCTAGGATTCCAGGCATGAGCCACCACACCCAGCCTAAAGAATACTTTCAATTTTCCCTTTCAAATCCCCTTTGACTGATTGGTTATTTATAAGTATGTTATTTGGTTTCCAAACAATTGAAATACTCTGGAGATATTTATGTTATTGATCATTAATTTTATCTCATTTTAGCCAGGGAGCATGTTACTATTTTGCATGGCTTAGTTTCTTTTGAATTTACCACTTATTTTAATGCCCTGCATATGATCTATCTTGGTAACATTTTCATGTGTACCTGAAAAGGATATGTATTTTATTGCTTTTGGATGGTGTATTCTAAATATGTCAATTAGGTCAGTAGGTTGATAATATAATTGTCTGTTTCCTTGTTTAATCAATTATTGATGGAGGGTTATTGAAATCTCTGACTATACTTATGAATATGTCTATTTCTCCTTGTACTTCTATAAGTTTTTCTACATATATTTTGAATTTCTGTTATTAGATACATAAATGTTTAGGATTATTGTATCCTCTGATTGCAATGACTGCTTTATTGTTATAAAATGACCTTCTTTATCTCTGCTAAAACTCTTTTCTCTGAAATATACTTTGACTAATCTTAATATAGTAACTCCACCTTTCTTTTGATTATAATTAGCATGATTTTTATTTTTTACTATTTTACTGTAAACCTATTTGTTTCTTAATATTTAAAGTACATTTCTGGTAGGCAGCATAGAGCTGGTTCTTGCTTTTTATCCAATCTGATAATCTCTGCCTTTTACTTGGGGGAGCTTATACTTCTTACATGTAATATGATTATTGATATGGTTAGGTTTAAATCTTACTATTTGTTTTAGAGTCATCTTACTATTTGTTTTCTATTTGCCCCATTTGTTGGTTCCTTGTCTTTTTTTCCCATAGAAAACCAATAATGGTGTAAAATTAAACATCAGTGTAGATATCGCTGTGTAGATTAAGCTAACATTTAAATTGCTTTGTATTTCCTAAGCACAGCCATAGCTCATGCTGGAGAAGGGTATATGCTATTGCATAGGAATAGGAAATTGTACCTAAAATTATCTTTTTTTGTTTGTTTACATGTTTTCCTGCTTATACTACTGTAATGTATGCTACATAAAACCCAAATACCTTATCCTTCTTTTTTTTTTTTTTTAAATCGGAGCAATCTCTAGCACATATTAGGTAAACAACCAACATTTGTTCACTGATAGAAACTAAAGTTAGATTCTTGGAATAAAAGCAGAGAGATCACCTGAGTCTCGTACTGGGAAAATGAGGGCAGAGCTAACAGTTGAATCTTTTTCAGGTATCTAATGTCAGAAAGGAATTTTAAATAAAAGAATAAGATCACAGTAAGGAGTAAGGGCTGATAAAAAAATTGTGATTCAATTTGATAGGAACTGGCTAAGAAAGAAGACAGGAGATAAGAGAAATCACACATGAGTGTGTCTCCAAGTCTGCTTTAATACTCATATGTGTTGAGGAAACTCTCTTTTGATGGCCTATGACTCATTATCAAGGCTATGCCTCTACTGCTCTTAAATAAGTTAATTTATCAGTTCATTAGGTGAACATTTTTTGAGTGCTTTTTGTTGTTGCAAGATTAGTGTAGAGTTATCACAACTTAGTAAGGAGATCTATTTACATTTATAAATACTATTATAAGGCACTATGATGAGTAGAATTATGGGTGTGTGTGTGTCTGTGTGTGTGTGTGTGTGTGTGTGTGTGTGTGTGTGTGTGTAATCCGGGATAGAGCCACAGAAGACTGGAAGAAGTCTGATCACCTTTCCCAGGGAGGCAGGTCAGAGAAGACATAGAGAAAGTCCTAAAAAATCAGTAGAGTTTCTAAAGTGAACAAAGTGAACAAGGTAGTAAAAGGTGTTATAGTTAAGATGCAAGAAAATGTGACAAGGCCTAGAGCAATGGAATAGTGTGGCATATTTCATGTATAACAAAGAGGTAAGAGAAGAATCTTACCTCTGCTACTTATTAACTATGTATTCTTGAGCAAGTTACCTGCTGTTTGGGAGCCTTACTTTCTCTAGCTGTAAAATGGGAATAATAATATCTGTCTTCTGGTATTTTTATGAGAATATTTATGACACATTTAAATGAGATAAAATATTTAGTATTTTATCTCCTCATGTAATTGATGCTCAATAAATGGTCACTACAACTATTTCTACTATTACCATGTCTCTCAGTATTTCTGAAACATAAAGCATAAAAAGGGGACAAAGATCAACATGGAAGGGCAAGAAAAATTTAGGCCAAGAAAAAGAGCCTTGAATATAATGCCAAAAAACTCCAGTTTGACCCTGTGGCTTCTGGGGAGTTAGTTTTTAAAAGATTTTAGCATGGGATTAATATTTTTTGAAACTGGCTGGTGAGAGCCCTGTTCCTGACACCAATATATTGGAGGCAATTGCACTTCAGAGAGTAGTCAGCTCACAACTAAAAACTTGCTAAAGATAATATACAAAGTACGTAGTTACAGGTGGAGCATGTAGCAGGCAGAACACATGCAAAAAGGTAACCTAACAAACACATATACAGAAAGAGAAGCAGATAGAATTTCACTGCTGACTTATAGTCAATATGTGATTCACGATTGTCCCAAGCAAGATCTTTTTTCAGTGGAGTTAGACTGGTTATTTCTCATATTTCTGGCTTCTTCCACTCCCCCCAACCAATAAAAAAAAGATACCCTGTACTATGTTTTATTGAATGTTTGGCCACTTCTAATTGTAAACTTATACTTAATCAGCAATGCTGGATTCACACTAAGTAACTGACTGGCTAATTACTCTCCTGGGAATGTGGCCTTAGATTAATCATTATAAATCATAGGAAACCAGATAAACTGACTCTTGTTTTAGAGCTTGTATCCAAAACAAGGATGAGGAAACAGTATTATTTTTATGGTTTTAGCTTCCCTTACTTTCTAGATGCTGCAGCTGTGTCCTTATTGTATTTTACAGCCAGAAAAAAAAAATCACCCCTCAGCAGTTCCTATAATTTCAAATTTATAACTATGGCCAGGGTAATTCACCCATAAGCCAACTAGAAATAAAAATAGAGGAGATAGACCCATCTGTTGGAGTGATTTCTTAACTGCAGAAAACATTTTCCTTTCTTTAAAAGCAAAGCTGTAAAATCTGTATAAATTCCAATTCGTAAACCATGAAACTCTAATTTTTCCACTTCTCTAGTCACTTTGAGTAAATGATTTTGCATATGTGGGATGTCAAAAATCAACAAAATGTTCCAAGGGAGTGTGAGAGATTGATTTTGACTATACAAAAATCTTTTAAGTGATAGCAAGAAGATATTTCAGGTAAATTAGAACCAAAAAGAATTCTATGTTGCTTGGCACCAAAACTCTGTATCTTCAGTTAGTGTTTTTTTATGCCTTATAAGCACATTTCAACATTTTATTTCGTTGTTTTAAATTAACTATGTATTTTCTTAGTAATTTCAAAATTAACCTTCCCTTAAACCTGTGATCTCTATTTTAAAATAAAGTCTTACTTGGATATACTGACAGGGCTATTTAAATAGCTCTTATAAAAACATTATTTAAGCAGAGAAATCCCTTATCCTCAATAAGTCAGACAAGAGTAATTGTTTTGCTTGAATATTCTGGCCATGATTCTATCAAATTTCCTCTTCACTCTGCCTGTGTAGAACAAACTTTAGCTGACAAAACTGCTTTGTATTATATAGAGTGTAACCTCTGATTCTTTGCATGATAAATCCAAGAGTAAATCATATGGAGTGGTTTCCACTCTTGCAGCTGGAACTTCTCTGATTGAAATTCACACATGTATATTTTGGGAAATGAGAGGTTTTACCATCGAGTACCACATAACACAGTCCCATCACTTTCCACAAGCCAGTAAAAGCGAGCACAGTAAAACACAAGTGCTTTTCAGATAATGTCTTACATCATCACATAATCATTCTTCTTCAGTCTCAGATCTTCTAAATATGATGAACATGAAGGCTGAGAAACAGCAGGACAGCCATGCTATGGGTGCACTCATGCCATTAGTGGAAGTAGACTGGGAAGTGGCATTTTGTAATGCAATTGTCATCCCCTCTCCTGTGCCTGATGTCACAGTATGTCTTATAATGTGAAGGGCTCTGGAAGAACCTTTGTCTCTGGGTAAAGCCTGCAGCTGTGGAACCAGTCACCCATGGAGAATAATTTTACTATCATCAGATTGTTTGCTTACCAAGTTGCTTCCACTCTGTATATTCTTTTATTTCTTTGTTCTTTCACTTACTCATTCATTCAATAAATATTTTAGTGCCTCCACAGCTTGGAGGGTTTGGTTTGTGTTAGTGGTAACCAAGACCATTGGAGGAGGCTTGATTTCTTCTTTCTGAGCTTATCAAAAGGATAATTGAGTTGGGAACAATTGAGTTTGCATCATGGATATAACTTTGGAAACTTTACTGAACATTTAGTTTAAATATACATATATCAAACTACAGTGTCTATAAAGATTTGATAATATGCTTAGTTTGTAAATTGCAATCCTTTCTCACTGAAACTCAAGTAATTGACAGTAGAAGGATGGGGTTTAAGATCTCAAACTTTGGGCAAAAATTCGATCAACCCCCAAGTCAGCATCAATCCTTGCCAAAATTGCAAATAAGAATTTTGTCCTTAGTACCTCCCAAGTGCAAATTCCCCTTCCCTTCTTTCATAATTAATTCTTGCAGGTTACAGTCAGCTGTATGAGGTGCTCTTTAAAAAGTTCATGGAAAATGAATATTATGAAAAAACTGTGCATGAATTTCAAATTTTTTTTGCACCAAAATAAGTTTATACTAACTTGTTGTAACAGGATATACTTGGAGCCACTGAGAAGGATAAAACTTCAACTTGAAAAGAGCCCCAATTAGAACAAAATGAGTTCTGCTAATATTGAAGCAAAGACAAAGATCAAATGTATGGTGAAGCTTGGGTGGAAGAATGGTGAAATCATAAATACTTCATGAAAAGTTTACAGAGCCAGTGCCCCAAAGAATAATCACTTTACAAACGGGTAACTCATTTTAAGGAGGGATGAGATGATGTTGAAGATAAAGCCCATAGTGGCAGACCTGATTGTTTCCTCCACATCAATTTTTGAGAAAATGATTCATCTTGTTCGTGCTCTAATTTAAGAGGACTGATGATTAATAACAGAAACATTAGCCTACACCATAGATATCTCAGTTGGTTCAGCTTACACAGTTCTGACTTAAAAATTAAAATGAAGCAAATTTTCCACTTGATGGGTACCAAAACTGTTGTGCTCAGATCAGCTGCAGACAACAGCAGAGCTTTTAGTGGAAATTTTAAACAAGTGGTATCAAGATCCTGAAGCATTTCTTTGATGAAATGTAACAGGAGATGGAACATGGCTTTACCAGTACTATCCTGAAGACAAAGCACAATCAGAGCAATGGCTACTAAGAGGTGAATGTGGTCCAGTCAAATCACAAGTGGACACTGAAGGCAAAGGTCATGGCAACAGTGCTTTGGGATGCTCAAGGCATTTTGTGTGTTGACCTCCTAGATGACCAAAGAATAATAGCATCTGCTTATTATGAGAATGTTTTGAGAAAGTTAGCCAAAGCTTTAGAAAACAAACAAACAAACAAACAAAATGCCTAGAAAAGCTTTACCATAGAGTCCTTTTCCTCCATGGCAATGTTCCTGCTCATGTCTCTCATAAAATAAGGACAATTTGGTGAGAATTTCAATGGGAAAGTATTGTTCCTCCACCTTATAGTCCTTACTTGGTCCTTCTGACTTCTTTTGGTTTTGTAATCTTAAAAAAACCTTAAAGGGCATCAACTTTTCCCCCAGTTAATAATGTAAAAAAAGAATGCATTTATATGGTTAAATTCCCAGGACCTTCAGTTCTTTAGTGATGGACAAAAGGCTGGTATCATCATTTACAAAGTGTCTCGACCTTGATGGCACTTATGTTGAGAAATAAAGTTTATATTGTTTATTTTTATCTTTTAATTCTCTTTTTCCATAAACTTTTTGAAGTCCTCTTATATGAAAGAAAAACATTTCTTAGCAGTCTATGTAGTTACTTTTATTTTAGTGTGAATTTAGATCTGTGTATTACCTTTCCCAGAGCTGTTGGTATTTTATCAAGGATAAGAAATAAGGCCATCCTTTGTTAAAAGAAATTTTAGTTAAATGACTGTGTTTGGAGACATTTTGGGGATATGGGTCCCTTCTCAACAACAGCAAATGACTTATTTACAGAGGCGTAAGATTAGCCTTTCCCATAGCATTCCTTGATGGATTAACTGGTATAATGGGCTTAATTTCCTTTCTGCTTGAAGAGGAGCCAACCCTTGGGTTCACATGACTATTTGTGTCTTCTTTAAAGCAGTATTTGATGAGAGCTATTCAATGAATCACATTTCTGAATTAGTACAGAATATATGATTTGTCATAGATCTAAAAATAGTGGCAGTGATGTGTTACCAGAATGACTTCAAGGAGGAAATGATTGATTGTAATTAGAAAACAAACCACATACCAAGCACTCAATCATCACAAATCTTATAGAAAAGGAAACCTCTATTAGGACATAATTATACATAGCACTCACACACCTGTTATTCCATTTATAGAATCCTTTGTCTTCTGAAGAATGACTGGAGTGATACAGAAGAAGAATACAATGTTCAAACAAGAAACAATGGGAAATGGTCTGACTTCTCATTAAATACGTCATCAGTCTCCTGTTACAGCAGTTCTGTCTTCATTCAACTGCGTGAAAACTCTCTCATGTGCTATTTCATATGCTTACAAACCCTGCGCCTTATTGGTTTGTATCTTCAGTGCCATACTTAGACTCCTAGGACTAAGGTGCTTACCAAATGTCCCTTGAAGGCTGAATAAATGTATAAATGTTGAAAAGAGTCAACCAAAATGTGTATGAATAGTTAATGAGAGAATTAACACGACAAAAAAGAAGGAGCAGGAGATTAAAAAAATAAAATAAATCCTACCTACATTAGAATCTCATGTATATCTATCATTATCTGAAGTTGGAGAATCTCCAAAGTTCTCAAATAAATTGTTTTTTTCTGGTGAATTCTAAATGGAAAATGCAATTAGTAATTAGATTTTCAATAGTATATTATTCTCTCTTCATCATCTTTTTTAAAATACATAATTTTAGCTTTTGTTTTAGATTCAGAGATATACATTCAGGTTTGTTACATGGGTATGTTGGTGATGCTGAGGTTTGGGGGACAAATTATCCCATCGCCCAGATAGTGAGCACAGTATCTAATAGACAGTTTTTCTACCCCTGCTGCCCTCCCTTCCTCCTACCTCTGGTAGTCCCCGGTGTCTGTTGTTCCCAAGTTTATGTCCATGTTTACCCAGTGTTTAGCTCTCATTTATAAGTGAGAATACATGGTATTTGGTTTCCTGCTCCTGTGTTAATTCACTTAGGATAATGGCCTCCAGTTGCTGCAAAGGACATAATTTCATTTCAAATGACTGTCTTATTATTTCATGGTGTACATGTACCACATGTTTAAAAACTAATCCAGAGTGAATAGACACACAAAGGTTGATTCTATGTCTTTGCTAGTGTGAATAGTACTGCAATGAACATACAAGTGCATGTGTCTTTTTGGTAGAATGATTTATTTTCCTTCAGATATATATACCCATTAATGGAACTGATGGGTTGAATGGTAGTTTTGTTTTAAGCTCTTTGAGAAATCTCCAAACTGCCTTCCATAGTGGCTGAACTAATTTACATTCTCACCAACAATGTATAAGCATTCTCTTTTCTCTGCAGCTTTGCCAGCATCTGTTTTTTTTTTACTTTTTAATAATAATAATAATGGTCATTCTGACTGACGTGAGATGGTATTTCATTGTGGTTTTAATTTGTATTTCTCTGATGATTGGTGATGTTTAGCATCTTTTCATTTGTTTGTTGGCTGTGTGTATGTCTTTTTTTGAGAAATATCTGCTCATGTCCTTTGCCCGTTTTTGAATAGAGTTGTTTGTTTTTTGCTTATTGATTTGCTTAAGTTCCTTATAGATTCTGGATATTAGACCTTTGACAAATGCATAGTTTACAAATATTTTCTCCCATTCTGTAGGTTGCCTGTTTATTCTGTTGATAGTTTCTTTTATGGTGCAGAAGCTCTTTAGTTTACTTAGGTCCCACTTGTCAAGTTTTGTTTTTGTTGCAGTTGCTTTTGAGGACTTGGCCATAAATTCTTTCCCAAGGCTCATGTCCAGAATGGTGTTTACTAGGTTTTCTTCTAGAGTTCTTATAGTTTGAGGTCTTATATGTACACGCTTAATCCATTTGGAGTCAATTTGTGAATTGGTGAAAGGTAGGGATCCAGTTTATTTCTTCTGCATATGGCTAGCTAGCTATCACATCACCATTTATTGAATAGGAAGTCCTGTCCACATTGCTTATTTTTGTTAACTTTGTCAAAGGTCAGATGGCTTTAGGCATGTGGCTTTATTTCTGGGCTCTCTATTCTGTTGCATTGGTCTATGTGTCTTTTCTTATGTACACAGTACTATGCGTTTTTTTTGTTATAGTAGCCTTATAGTATAGTTTGGAGTTGGGTTATGTGATGCCCCCAGCTTTGTTCTTTTTGCTTAGGATTACTTTTGTTATTCAGGTTCTTTTTTGGCTTTGTATAAATTTTAGATTAGTTTTTTTTCTAATTCTGTGAAAAATGACATTGGTAGTTTGATAGGAATAGCATTGAATTTGTAAATTGATTTTGGCAGTATAACCATTTTAATGATATTGATTCTTCCAATTCATAAGCATAAAATATTTTTCCATTTTGTTGTCATCTATGATTTCTTTCAGCAATATTTTGTAATTCTCCTTATAGAGATCTTTCACCTCCTGGGTTAGATGTATAATGCAAAAAGCACATGATCATTTCAATAGATGCAGAAAAAGCTTTCAATAAAATCTAACAAACTAGGCATCAAAGGAAAATACCTCAAAATAATAAGAGCCATCTATGACAAACCTACAGCTAACATCATACTGAATTAGCAAATGCTAGAAACATTCCTCTGAAAAATGGGAACACAGCAAGGATGGCCACTCTCACCACTCCTATTCCACATAGGTACTGGAAGTTCTAGGCAGAGCAACTGGACAAGGGAAAGAAATAAAAGGCACCCAAATAAGAAAATAAGTTAAATTATGTTTCTTTGAGGATGATACTATTCTATACCTAGTAAACCCTAAAGACTGCAAAAAAAGTCTCCTTGAATTGATAACTTCAGTAAAGTTTCAGGATACAAAAGTCAATGTGCAAAAATCAGTAGCATATCTGTACACCAAAAACGTTCAAGCTGAGAACTAAATCAAGAATGTAATCCCATTGACAATAGCCACAAAAAACTTTGCATTTTCTTATAGACACAATTTATTAATTTCTCTCAAGAAAACAATCAACCAAGTATGCATTTTATACTTCCAGTTTTCTCAGCACTGTACTGATGTTGTAGAACACATAAGTAGAAATATAAAATAGTTTCTATTCTGAGATGCCTACGCTATTTGGAAAAGCAGAAGCAACACATGTTAAAGTAGAAAACCAGAGAAGGGAAAGAGTACATAACGGAGAAGGATGTGCCTTTAGCTGTCTAACCTTCTCTTATCAACAGCTTTTCTGGAAAGTCAGGTCTCTAGTAGCACTGGTCTTACTTTAGTTGTACAAATCATAAGGGCAATAGGATCATGAGACTGGAAATTATGTTGATTTTCCTTGCCACCCAGCTATCAAATTTAAACTGTCCAGTTAGGCCTCATTTTCTTCATCACTTTTTTTTTTTTTTTTTTTTTTTTAGATGGAGTCTTGCTCTGTCACCCAGGCTATAGTGCAATGGTGCGATCTTGGCTCACTGCAACCTCCACCTCCCGGGTTCAAGTGACTCTCCTGCCTCAGCCTCCTGAGTAGCTGAGGTTACAGGTGCCTGCCACTGTGCCCAGCTAATTTTTGTGTTTTTAGTAGAGACAGGGCTTCACCATCTTGGCCAGGCTGGTCTCAAACTCCTGACCTTGTGATCCACCCGCCTTGGCCTCCCAAAGTGCTGGGATTACAGGTGTGAGCCACCACACCCAGCCGTATTTATTTATTGTTTTTTTGAGACAGGGTCTGACTCTGTTGCTTAGGCTGGAGAGCAGTGAAACAATCACAGCTCACTGCAGCCTTAACCTCCCAGGCTTAGGTGATCCTCTTACCTCAGCCTCCTCGGTAGCTGGGACTACAGGTGCATGCCACCATGCCTGGTGAATTTTTTGCATTTTTTGTATAGACAGGTTTTTGCCATGTTGCCCAGCCTGGTCTCGAACTCCTGGGCTCAAGCAATCTGCCCACGTCAGCCTTCCAAAATGCTGAGATTACAGGCATGACCTACCACAACTGGCCCATTATAGTATTTTGTATAGATTTTTATTACAGGTTCAAACTAAGAGGCTGTCACAAAAGTAATAATTGAATTTATTACATTAAGAATATACACACATGCAAGGAAAGACTTGGGGCTCCATGTCTTTTTTACACCGATACAATTAGGGCCTTTGAGATAGATAACCTCTCAAGATGCAGTGTGAGAAGTGGATGCTTTATTTAATTTGTAAGTTACTTCTCATCTTACTGATGGAATTTCCTGAATCCCCTTCAGCTTGGATTCTTTATCTATCTTTTCTTTCTTTCTGTCTTTTTGTTTATATTAATTCATGGCAAACTTTTGCTTTCTAAATTTAGTTGTTCCAAATGTAGATCATTTTATCACTGATCAAATCATCTAATAATTTGCTTTCAAGTAACTTTTATATTTCACAATATGCATGTACGTATCATTTTCGTGAGGTTTTTATTCATCTCAGTAGTAGGAATACTAAACGTTAAATGAATAACAACTGAAACACTATGCCAAAAACATTTGAATTGACATCAATGGGCCACTGAATATTTCAACAAATGGCTAATGGTTCATAAAAAATAGACCCCCTCCTTTGGTTGCATAGTCTTGCTCATACAGCAAAGCTCCAACTATAAAATTGATGGTTTGAGCCCTAAAACTTCAGGTTCCTGTGACATGCAGCTTGAAGAGTCCTTGACAGCTTACAGAATGGCAATTTTTGAGAGATTGTCACATGATCAGAGTCAACATTCTATAACAGCTGCTAGATTCAGCTTCCTTTTTTTTTTAAAGAAAATGAACCAGCAAGTTTTATCTTCTGAATATTTTTCTGAAAATTATCTCTGTGTTAATCAGACACTCACTACCCACTCTTCCTCCTCTTACCTGCATCTCTATGTGTATGCTGTGGAAAGCCACAGAAAAGCATGTCAGCCTTTCTGTTGCTTGCAACCTTGCCATCTTAGCTAAGACCTAAATGGGCACGCAATCAGGGAACAATTAATGTAAAACGATGTGGCATTTATTGTGTATACACTTGGCATTCAGGAGGAAAATGATAACAATTGGTGATGTTAGCACAGGCTTTGTGACAATCCTGGCATCTAAACTGTATTTTGAAGGACCGGTAGATTTTAGCAGTCAGAAGAGAGGAGGATTGGCATTGTATGTGGTGAGATCAGCAGCAAAAGCCTGACTGGCAATGAGCAGAGGGCATGGGGAGCCAGGGTGAAGAACGCACTAACTGGAGGAGAGATTGTCTGTTGCGAGCTGTGGGAAATAATTTCAACTGGCCAGTTGTGTGCCATTATGGAGCCTTGGGATCCAGGCGGAGGAACTCAGGCTTGATGGGGCAGGCTAAAAAGGAGACACCAATGACTAAGTAAAGAGGCAACATAATGGAAGGCATATAAAATGGAGACCAGAGTGGCAGATGGAACAGTGGCTAGAAACCAAGTATGAAGCATTATTAGTAACCAAGGTACTGTGTGTCATAAATAACCAATACACCATGCTATGCACCGACTATGTCCTTTGATTTCACAATGATTTATTTATTATACCATCACCCTCATTATCTAAAACAGAACACTACAATTTCATATACCATCTGTGAGCCCCAAATGGTCATAATTAACAACCACAAATGTTCTAAAAAGGTGATGTACTAAAAATAGCTTATCATGCTTGTCAGCAGGCTGCTTCTGTGAGTACCATGACATTTGATGTACGAACGGCTACATTTTGCTATGTCTTTATGTAATTATATTTCTTACAGAGACTATAAGACTAGGAAAACATGCCTCTAATTAAACACCTTGATGGTTAATATTTTAACTTATAATCAGTTAGGGTCAAAAAAAAAAAAAAAGCAAGAGCATACTAAAAGTAAGTTTTCTTAAAATGAGTTCTGGCTAGTGTAGTATCTACAACATTAGGAAACATCCAAAATCCTTGTTGAATACAGGAAAATGTCAATTATTTGGATGTTTTTCTGGTGAATGTTAAAGGACATATAATTATTTTATCACCAAATATTGCCCTCCTTCTTGATTCCTTAAGGAGAGCCCCATTAAGAGGTCCTGCCCAGTGTGCTTTCACCATTCCAAGAGAAGCTGAGTGGTCTCAGAAAAATTAGGAGTTTAATTCTAACCATTGAAAATGACCGTCCTTATTATACATACCTACGGTTGTCCAAACGGTTACAGCTAACTAAGAAAGCAATGAGCCAAAAACTGCGCTGAATTTCATCAAATTGAAGGTGTCATTGATTGTAAGATGCATCATTATTTTATATACTACTCAGAAAGATAAAACACTGCAAGTTATACCGTGGCACAGTGCTTCCATCTAACTTAAAATTTTAAAAATTATTTTATACTGAAGGGTTCTTTTAGAGTTATTTAACATAGTTTAAAATATCACATGTCACCATTTCCTTTAAAAAGGAAAATATAATGAAATAGATGGGTTAAAGCATTCCTAAAACTCTTCCCATTTATGGTCTGACTCTTCTAAATCACTTTTTTGTTTGTTTGTTTGTTTGTTTTTGAGACGGAGTCTCGCTCTGTCTCCCAGGCTGGAGTGCAGTGGCGCGATCTCGGCTCACTGCAAGCTCCGCCTCCCGGGTTCACACCATTCTCCTGCCTCAGCCTCCTGAGTAGCTGGGACTACAGGCACCCGCCACCACGCCTGGCTAATTTTTTGTATTTTTAGTAGAGACGAGGTTTCACCATGTTAGTCAGGATGCTCTCGATCTCCTGGTCTCGTGATCTGCCCAGCTCGGCCTCCCAAAGTGCTGGGATTACAGGCGTGAGCCACCGCGCCCAGTCCTGTAAATCACATTTGACTCAGATGCATCAATACCTGCATTTTTCTTTGCATTATTATTCTCTATGCCATCAAGAGCCTTGTTGATGCAGCATTTCTTTAAGGAAAGCTCCACTGTATTCTCTAGGATTTTCTTCCAATCCACCAAGTTTGATATTGACACTTTATCATTTTGTTAAACAGGCAATAGGCAGGACTCATGCTTTTTCTTCAAATTGACATTAAATGATTTTAAATGAAAATGTTGCCAAGTTGCAGTTGTCCAATAAGGCCATGAGGGATAATAATTATCAGGGAGCTCATTCTTGGACTGTTTAGACACACATTGAAGTGCCAAGAACTAGCAGAATTGATGGGTAACTTAGTGCTTCTGCACCTCTCTTGGGGAATTTACTCAGCCCACCACCTGCTCTGCTGTTTTGCACCTTTTTTAATGGGAAGGGGGAATACACAGTAATACTTTTTGAGAAATACTTTATTCATAGATTTTTGTGGTTTAAAATTAAACATGAAGCCAACCTCTGGCCATTGGCAATTTTTTACAGTATCTAGTATCACAGATAAGCTACTTTTTGTAGCCCAAATGCATGACTTTGATTCCTGGATTTTATAACATTGATAGTTTAATTTCAGGGCATATCAAAGCATGCTAGGGATTCATTAGAGTTTTATATTTGACTAAATTCAATTTCATTTTTTTCTCAAATCACCTGCGTTGGAAGTTAAGTAGCTCCTGTTCCAAGTCAGATAGGAGTTTTTTTGACAAAATGCTGTTCAATGCCTTAATGATAGTCTTGCTTGATGCACCAGTCTGTCACATCAGTCTCTCATTGCTTTGAAAATTCCTTATCCATTCCAAAGGATGTTGCAATTTCTTCTGCTTTCATATGTATTGCTTAGGTGTGATTGCCAATTCTTTTCTATGTATCTCAGTAGCAAAATGTAACATAGATTCACCTATTTGTGAGTAACTTCTTTCCTTAATTCCTACAAAGTACATGGTGGTTGTTTTTGCAAGAAAATATAGAATTATAGTCATTCTTCCAATAATAAGTTTTTGATTTACTTAGATAAAATTTATATCCCACTGCCATTTTCATTCCTTTGTACACAGCAGCTTTTCATATAAATGCTGAATCATAGTGTGTAAACTTCCTGAAGACATTTTAAATGGTAATTCAAATAGATGCCTATGTATCAATGCACATCACTTACTTGAAATGATGACAACATGAACAGCCCTAACCAAATGTATATAGGCACAGCTATACCGTGGCTGGCCGTCAGCTATTATGACATAAGCCATGTAAGACTTGCATTGGAATGAGCAATCTCGTGGGGAAAAATAAAACTTGACCTGTATTCACAATAACCAGTTTGAGTGGGTCTGAGGATCAGGACTGGGGAATGAGAATGAAAGATGGGCAGTAGAAGTCAGGTTGCAGGAAGAGATGGTAACATCCCTGTACAAGAGCTCCTCCATAAGGTCTGGCAGGTATCACCAGACTCAGACTTAGCAATGAGGCATGTGGGTCAGTGCAGAGGACCCAGCAACCCTGCTGTGTGGGCCCCTCCACCTTGCCTAGGCCTCACATTGAGGAGAGAAGGGTTCTCCTCACTTTGCCTGAGCTGGTGTGGTAATGAAGATGGTGAAAGTTATGCTCACTGTGGGTAGATGCCTGCAAAGAAAGGGGTAGTTAGTGAGAACATCTTGACTCAGTATTCAATCTCTGGGCATTTGCAAAGGGAAAGCATAGAAATGCATTTCTTTTTAAATTTCTTTTCTCCTCCTCAATAGATTTTGCAATTGGATCCTGAATGTGGATGCTGCCCCTATAAGTAGAGGTGTTGTCTATGAGTGTATCCAGAAATGACAATAAAGTTTCAGACCCAACATATCTCTCCCATGGATGTGTTGTTGCTGATACTTGCAATTTTGCCATTACAGAGTCCTTCTTACTTTACTTTCTGAGATCTATTTTGTAATCAAATGATCCTGAGAGGGGTTAACACAACATATGTTAGCCACTGGAATTTGGTCGTTAACACCACAGTGAGAATTACTTTCACAGATGAGTTCCTTCTAGGATGGAGAAATGGACAGATATGAATGCATAGAATTGCTTAAGGCACAGGAGTGAAAGGACACTTGAATGACAGGGCTAATGAGAACTGAGATAAAACTTAGTTTGAAATTTTCTATAATAAAGAGACCCCAAAAGGCAGTGGCTCAAGGATTAGAAAGGGTTTTTTGTTTTGTTTTTTTCCTCCACATAAGAGTCCACAGTGAATGTCCGTGTTTACAGATGTTTGGTCATAAGAAGACTTATCACTCAGAAACGGGTTCCTTTCATCATGTAATTGCTTTCATCACCATATCTAATGACGTGTTCTTTGTAAAAACCCAGTCCAAGTCATAAGTACCAGACACCTAAAGCAGTGCTGTCCAATAGAACCTTCTGCAATGAGAGAAATGTTCTGCATCTGTCCTATCCAATAAGGTAGCCATTAACCACATGTAGCACTCGAAATATGGCTATTGTAACCGATACACTGACTTTCAAATTTTGTTTAACTCAAACTTAAATAATTACATGAGGCAAATGGTACCCTATAGGATAGCACAGATCTTGACAGTAGGCAAGTACAGTCATGTGCCACATAACAAGCTCTCAGTCAATGATGGACCATACCTATGAGAGTGATCCCAGAAGATTATGGTACCATATTTCTACTTTACTTTTTCTATGTTCAGACACACAAATAGTTACCATTGTGTAACAACTGGCTACAGTATTCAGTACACATGCTGTACAGGTTTGTAGCCTAGGAGCAATAGCCTATACCATAGAGTCTAGCTGCTTAGTAGGCTATACCACAAGGTTTGTTTGAGTACACTCTCTGATGTTTCCACAATGACAAAATTGCCTAATTATGCTTTTCTAAAAACATATCCTCATTGTTAAGTGATGCCTTACCATATTTTGAAATATCCAATACATTCTTGTTAACTATAGTCACGCTACTGTGCAATAGAACGCCAGAACTTATTCCTTCTATCTAACTTTAACTTTGTACCTGATGACCAGCCGCTCCCTCTCTCCCCTCCCCACTACTCTACCCAGCCTCTGGTAATCACCATTGTACTCTATACTGCTATTAGAATAACTTTTTAGATTACACACATGAGGGAGAGAATACAGCATTTGTCCTTCTGTGCTTGGCTTCTTTCACTTAACATGATGTCCTCTAGGTTCATCCATGTTAACCTAAAAGCTCAGAAGAGTGGAATTTGCACATGTGTCCATTGCATTCCCAGCGTGTCTCATGGAGCCTGGACCCTGAAAGAGAATCAGTTTACCATTTCATCTTGTTGTTACAGATGCACTTAGATGTGGTAACAAGGCCTTGGATTTGGTGAGGGGCAAAAATTTTAGTAGAATGGACTAGATAGAACTTTCACTTCCAGCAGCTGAGTCCAGTGTAAAAGAGGGATAGCTATATCTACGATTTTTTTCTTCTGATTTCCATTCTTTGTCCTTTGCAGACTCTATAAAAATAATCCCTAAAGTAAACCTAATAAAATATTACTTTCCTCATACCATTCTTAATGCCATGGCAAATAGAGGAAGTGCCTTGTGTTTTAATCTGTTGGAGTCACTTGTGTTTTGTTCTACAATAATTCATAAATAGAAGGAAATATTTTAAGCTGTGTTTTTATTTTCAGAAAACCTACACAATCTCTTAAAGAAGTAGAGTTAATTAGTACTAGTTTGCCAGGACTGTAGTGAGATATAGATTGGTTGACAAAATTAACTTCCTAGGACAAATGTGGCTTATCACATGAAAGAACACACACAGTTTTCTACCATAAACAATTTAAAGTAGTTTCCTATGTAAAACATTCTTAGTGTCAAAGTTACAAATCACTAGTTCTTGGAGCTATTAAAATAAACCCTTCTCTATTATAGGAAAACATTTTCCCCTTGTCAGCAAGCAGGCTTATATGGTCAACTTTATGATAACAAGTTAAAGGATAAGTATAAACATGTTTTAAATTCTAGGGTAACAAGTATGTAACATTTCACTACACTTTTCCTTATCTGCCTAGTAAGATGTAATAGCTAGCTGAATGACCATCCACCTTCTCAGAGAACTTATTTGAACCATATTCCATTGCTTCAACGGTTCACTAAATCTGTAACTTTTCTACCTTCACTTATGCTTTTTAGATCGGGGTGATGTAACACACAAAAATAACTAGCAAAGGGCACGAACGAAATAGGAGGCAAAGCACTCTCAGCAAATGCAAACAAAATAAAAGCCAGAATGACAATACAAATGTGTAAAAAGTAGAGTTCAAATCTCAGAAAATTAAATGGGACATAGAGGATTATAATATGATTAAAGGTACAATCTGCAAAGAAGAAATTATCATCATTTTAAACTTTTATGTAACAATATAATGGAAAAACATAAAATCTCCTAGAAGCACAAGAACTTGATAAAATAATCAGAGTATATAAAAATATATTTCAAAGTTAGAAGACAAAATATATAAGGATATAGATTATTATAAATTTTCATTTTTAATTTCAAATAAAAATGTAATGTATGCTTATTGTACAATAACTTCAAACAACATGGAAGTATAAAGTTAGAAAAGAGAACATCTCCATTACACTTCCCAATTCTACACCCTGCCCAGGGATGACTTATATTTCTATGTATCCTTCCAGGTCTTTCCTTACTGCAGTCATAGATCTTGTTAATTTATAAAAATAAATTTCCTTGGTCCATGGTAGGGACTTACTGTAATTTGTTTAGCTATTTTCCTACTGATAGATTTTAAGATGCTTCCAAAAGTTTATTGTAAACAATTCTTCAATGAACATCTTTATACAAATGTATTTGTACATATGTGGGATGTTTGTATGATAAAGACAAAAAGAAGTGGAATTTTTGGGTCAATAATGTGACATGGGACAAAATCAAACTTGATAAGTTGTTGCCATGAATTGTGAGCAATAAACCTATGTTGTAAGGCTCTGAGATTTTGGGTGTTATTTTTACCCTAGCACAACAGGTCATTGAGGTACAATGACCTTTTCTGTTGTTGTTGTTGAGATGGAGTCTCACTCTGTCGCCCAGGCTGTAGTGCAGTGGCGCGATCTCGGCTCACTGCAAGCTCCGCCTCCCGGGTTCACGCCATTCCCCTGCCTCAGCCTCTGAGTAGCTGGGACTACAGGCGCCTGCCACCACGCCCGGCTAATTTTTTTTTTTTTTGTATTTTTAGTAGAGACGGGTTTCACCGTGTTAGCCAGGATGGTCTCCATCTCCTGACCTCGTGATCCGCCCGCCTCGGCCTCCCAAACTGCTGGGATTACAGGCGTAAGCCACCGTGCCCGGCCACAACGACCTTTTTATATTTCTCTAGGAATCAATAGCGACCCCTCTAATGTTTCACTAGGTAGTTTGCTGAAGCCTCCTGCTTGTCACCTTTTATAAAATTAGCTGTTGTGGTTAAGAAAAGTCAAATCCATTTAAAAGTGTTATTGAACGGATTTATAGTGTTTCATCTTGTATTTTTCTCAATGAATTAGTATTAAGATATCATTCCTGCATCATGAAAGTGAAGTGAAATTTACTAAATGTTTTTTGCCATCTATCAAGATGATGTATGGGTTTTTCTCTTTTAATCTGTTCCTCTAGATTTCCCTAATATTAAAACATCCTGGAATCGGCCCTACTTAGTCATGATGTGTTATTATTTAACAGAAGGCTAGAGTTAATTTATTAATGCATAAAGTCCCATATATTTGCACTAGCTTCATAAGTCATATTTGTCTATGATTCTTTTTTCTGTTTCTGTCCAATTTGGATATCTAGGTCATGCTAGTCTTGCAAAATTATTTGGAAAACTGTATTTTTCTATTCTCTGAAACAGCTTAAATATGACAGGAATTATGTATTTCTTGGAAGGAGAGCCCCTTTGTAACGTAGCTACTTAAAATTTTCAGTATTGTCTATGTTGTCTACGTTTAAGGGTTATTCAGTATTTCTATTTCTTTTAAAACTAATTTTGATAATTTGTATTTCCTGGAAGAGGCTGTAAATTGTACCGTAAGTACCACCTTGACCTAGAAGTTTTAATGTGTAACTTTCTTGTTCATTTCTAAAACATATGAAATGTATTTCCTTGTCTCTTTAACCCAAGTATTACTTAGCAGGGCATTTTTAACTTTCTGTAGTGCGGCTGGGATGCTCCACCTCTCCATAAACCCTGTCTCCCTCATCCTTTTGTTCAAAGCTCTGTGGTCAGAGAATGGAGTTCCCAGTATTAGACCTCTTAACAATTGTTATTTAGCCGGAGTCCTAGGCCCACAGGCTGAGAACTGCCGTTCTGACTTCCAGTCCTCTACTGAGGCTGGTTACCTGCCCTTGATGCATAATGGGTCATTCTTTCTGCTTGGGATGCTCTTCTTACTGTCATCTGCTTTTCCATGTCCTAGGATCCTTTCCCACCCATGCCGACTCCTCCTGGAGCTCTTCCCTGGTCATTTTTGTTAACAAAGATCTCCCCAGTTCCTAACAAGGATGGCCACGTGATCACAGTCAGCAAATCATATCACGCTTATGTCATTAGCTCCTGAATGATTTTATGGCCCCATATCTTGTAGATTACAAGAACTCAACAAGTAGTAGCTACAATTATTCTTAGATTTAAAAAATTAAAATGTCGTATAATTTGAAACGACAGGTAAAAGTTTCTTGTCCACCGTCAGGATCACCTCTTCTTAACTTCTTGATTTCTATCAGTATTATGATTAGGTTAGTGTTATGTAAAGGTTTATAAAGCTTACTTTCGGTTTTGTAATTATAATTAAGTCCTTCATGCTTTGTCTTTAATTTGCTTCTAAATCAGCGGTCAGGCCGGATGCGGTGGCTCACGCTTGTAATCCCAGCACTTTAGGGGGCCTAGGTGGGCGGATCACTTGAGGTCAGGAGTTCAAGAGCAACCCGGCCAACGTGGTGAAACCCTGTCTCTACAAAAATTAGCTGGGCGTGGTGGCGGGTGCCTGTAATCCCAGTTACTCGGGAGGTGGAGGCAGGAGAGCAGGAGAATTGCTTGAACCTGGGAGGTGGAGGCAGGAGAGCAGGAGAATTGCTTGAACCTGGGAGGTGGAGGTTGCAGTGAGCCGAGATCACGCCACTGCACTCCAGCCCTGGGTGACAGAGTGAGACTCCATCTCCATAAATAAATAAATAAAATAAAATAAAAAATAAAATAAAATAAAATAAATCAGGGGTCAGCAAATTATAGCCCATAGGATAAAACTGGCCTCCTGCCTGTTCTTGTACAGCCTGTGAGCTATGAGTGGTTTTTACATTTTTAGATAATATAAAAAGTAAAAATAAGATGACTATTTCACACGTGAAAAGTATATGAAAATCCAATTTCAGTGTCTGTAAATAAAGTTTTATTGAAACACAGCCATTCATTCATTTATGTAATGTCTATGGCTGCTTTGGTGCTGCAATGGCAGAACTGAGTAATTGCAGCAGAGAGGTATGGCCTCCTAGACCTATGATATTTGCTCTCTGGCCCTTTACAGAACACATTTGCCAACCCCTGTTCCAAGCACCCAAAACCAATAAACACCATTCACAATATTAGCATCTCTCATCCACACTACTCAGGTAGCCTCCTCACTGGTCTCCGTGCTTCCAATCTTGCTTTCTTCCTCTCCATTCTGCACACAGCAACCAGGATGATCTTGCTACAACATCCCTGAATCCTGCATGTCGTTTCACGTGGGGTGAGCACCCAATGCTGAGAATTTTTGGTGGTGAGTAGCCCCACATTCTAAAGAGAGATGCTAGACCAGTTTTGCAGTTTTGCCCCCCTCCGCCGCCCATAGACCTAAGCAGGAGGCCCCAGCCTTGACCTTGCACTCCTGGCCAGTGTTCTGACCTGCCCCATCCCAGGGGACAAGGTGTCTGCAAGGCCTTGGAGACATATTTTTTTCCTGGAAATTGTATTTGTCATTCTTCTTTCTTCATGACACAAAGGTGGTCCAACTTACCGCATTGTTTGTTGAAATAAAAATACTTTGCTTTGAAGATGATTTTCTTAGCAGCATCCAATTGAGGGCAAGAAAATCCTGGGCCACCTCCATTTTTTTTTGAAGGCCCTGATATTTTTTTAAAAATGTGGCAGAAACATGACATTATGTATCTGTCAAAACCCATAGAACTGTATGACACAAACAGTGAACCCTAATGTAGACTATAGACTTTAGTAACAATAGTGTATAAATATTGCTTCACCAATTATAGCAAGCGTACCACAATAAGCAAGGTGTGAATAATAGGGGAAACTGGGTAAGTGTGAGTGTGGGAAGGGGTATATTGGAACTCTGTGCTTTCTGCTCAATTTTTCTGTTAACCTAAAATTGCCCTAACCATTAAAGTCTATTATAAAAAAGGAAGAAATACCAGAACTGGGTTACTTACATAATATTTTCCCTACTAGCATTACAATTTTATTGGAATGGCACTATACCCAGTTAAAAAACTACATTTCCTAGCTCCCATTGCAAAAGGGATTGACTTGAGGTAAAGACCTGCTCGGTGAGACTTAAGTGAATGTCATCTGGAGGTAACTGAGGGAGAGCTCTTTAATGGGAGGTCAAACCCAACCAGCATTTGTCCTTTGGCCCTTCTCTCTTCTCCCTTCTTGCCTGTAATGTTGCAAAGACGCTACAGCATGACCATGAGGGAGGGCCAGATATTCCCAAGAGTTTTCAGCTGAGATTTCCTTGTGCTGTTATGCTGGCCAAACTTAAGAATGACCAACCTTAGGATTGTTTTATTTTATTAAAAAAAAAGAGAAACCCTTATGTTATTTAAGCCACCACTGTTACTTGGGGTTTCTATGAAGGAAGCTCAAATGATTAAAAATCTCGAGTTCAACCACTTGGGTGGATCTCTGTGACCGTGGGCATAACCTGCTTTGAAGTTAAATGTGAAGTCCTTTGTGAAAGAGATCCCAAAGCTGCCCTTTCCCCCGCCCCATTCCATAAGTGGCCTCCCCTCACTGAGCCTTCCAACATGCATGATGCACTATGACAGTGGATTCCTAGATGTGTTGCATGGCTGGCATCCCAAGATTTAGAATGCTCTTTGTTGGACTCTTTGGTTAGTTGCATTACATTATGAAACTAATATCTTTCTTGAGCTTTTATTTTTTTTGATGGAACACATCAATTTTTGGGGGGTCATATATTAGGTAAACTTTTTTATTGCATGTATAAAAAATTTTTATTTAGGCCGGGTGCAGTGGCTCACGCCTGTAATCCCAGCACTTTGGGAGGCTGAGACGGGTGGATCACAAGGTCAGGAGTTCGAGACCAGCCTGGCCAATATGGTGAAACCCTATGTCTACTAAAAATACAAAAAAATTACCCTGGCATGGTGGCGCATGCCTGTAATCCCAGCTACTTGAGAGGCTGAGTGACGAGAATTGCTTGAACCTGGGAGGCAGAGGTTGCAGTGAACTGAGATCTCGCCACTGCACTCCAGACTGGGCAACAGTGAGACTCCATCTCAAAAAAAAAAAAACAAATTATTTTATCTTCTCCTTTGAGTGAAAAAGAATTCTAGTTTTATGTTTTTTAATCAAAATGTGGAAGATATTGTTTCTTTACCTTTTGAGTAATAAGGTTTACTGGCACCGCTGGTACTATAATCCAGTGTTTTTGATGAGAAGTATGATGCCAATTTGCTTATTATTCCTTTGAAGAAATTTGTTTTTTCATCTCTGTGGAAGTTTTTAAGTTCTTGTTTTATGCTTGTTATTCTGAAGTTTCATGAGGGTAAGTCTAGATATTTATTTTCTTTTTTCATTAGTCTTGCCCACACAGTCCGTCTGAAGATGCCTGGGTTTGTTGCCAGCTGTAAACCTAGTTTTTCCCTGTTGGCCTCAGTACTAGCCAGTACTTTAAGTTTGAGAAAAAGGTATTACAGCATACATTGCCAAAGGGAGAAGTTGCCAGAAATTTGCATTTACTTGTTCAACAGAGAGTTTTTAGATGATGTAAATGAGAGATTTCAGTAGGAAAGCAGCGAAGTTTTTTAGAGTTTGGCACCCTCAAGATTTAGAGAATAAGTGTTTGCATGAGAGTCGTGAAAACTGTGTTCTAGGCCTGTCCCTACTTAATAAAGTTTAGAATGGATTTCACTTTACTACAAAATGGAGATGTGGAACTTGATGAGCTTGTTGGTCCCTGCCAGGGATTTAAGATTCTATTCAGTGGTCCTCAAGGTGGGGTTGGGGTACTAGCATCTCCATTAGGGACAGTTTGGAAATGTGGGAGTTATTTTGGATTGTCATAATGACCGGTGGCCACTTCTGGCATTAGTGTAGGAATGACAAACATCTTGCAGTAAATGGGAAAGTTTCGCAAGAAAAAAAATAACTGTTCACATGAAAATAATGCAAGACGCAGAAGCAGCCGGCCACCAGGTAATTTCTTCTGCTTAATGGAATCTCTTGTATTAGCCCTTCATGTGGGAATACCCCCAGCTGGCTGACAGAGAGGTCTAAATTTGGCTGCAGATAAACTCCACTGCTTCTTTGCCTCAGACAGCTAAAATTGAGCCTCTCCATCTTCCTGAGTCGCAAAGTCAGCCTTCTTTTCTTTCCCTAACAATCAATAACCATGCCACTAAACAAGTTTGCATGTTTCTGTGTCATTGGATACATTCATTCTGTTCTAGCACTTTCTTCAAAAAGACTCTGGAGAACAGACGTCATTCCCTGTGAGTGAAGTGGAGAGGGTGCATGTTAAAGAGGTGTGCTCTTAATACCTGGAGCCCAGGGAATATTGACAACGGTTTAGATTCAGGAAGCCTCTAAGCAGGACAAGGTCATTGGCATAATGATTTTACATTTGCTCAGTTTACCTGAGGGGAAAGAACTTCAGATTGGGAAAGGCAAAGAGCAGAAGATTAAGGGCTACTAATTGGGGTTCAGCTTTGCTGCACTTTCATTAGCTTTGTAACTTCTATTGACTTACTTAATTTGAAGATTCACCATTTCATAGTAAAATATGTGTTTTGTATGTTGAAGCCTGCTACTGGCTTGGTTCAAATGCTCCTTAGAGACACATTTTAATGGAATCAGGCCATTTCAAGGGAAATCTAATTATTCAGGAATAAACTTACACAAGTCTCTGTATAGCACAACCTGAGATTCCAAGGAGAATGGGAGGCAGCGACCCATGGTCGGGCCCCTTTGTTCCTGTGCTCATAGCCCACCTCCAGCTGCCCTGGTTTTCTGTTTGCTTCTAGGAATCTAGGCCTTATCTACCTCTATAGTTATTTCCTCTAAGTCTTTTCCCCTCTACCTCCTTTTAGTTTAGTTACACCAAACTGCTATTTTTCCAAGTGATTTCCATCTCTCAAAAGTTTGATTGATTCTGTTTTTATATCTAAACTGTTCTCTCTTCATTGCCACTCTGCTTAGCCAACTCCCACTGATTCTTCAAAACTCAACTTAGGAATCATCTTCCTAGGAAAACTTCCTTTCTGTTTCTAAACCTGACTCCATTATAATCCTTCTCCAGGTGTTGTCTCAGAGAATTACCCTGGGAAGACTTGCTAAAAGTGCAGATTGCTGGCACCTAACCAAGATCTATTGAATCTGGGATGGGTCCCAGGAATCCACAGTTTTCACAGTGTGTGTGTGTTTGTCTGTCTTTTGTATTAGATGATCAACAACAGTTTGAGGGCAGTATTGACAGTTGTATTTCTAGAAACAAACAGGGCCTGACAATATAGTAGCTATTCTATACAACTTTTGTTGTTGTTGAAGTAATGGTCAAGTTACTCTGAAAGCACAATCTAAGACCTGGAATTGAGTCCCGGCTTTACCACTTGGTAGGTGTGTACTTTGGATAAATTATCAAAACTTTCTGACTCTCAATCTCTTAATCAATGAAGTAGAATAATTCCTACTTGCAAGTGCTTTGAAATGAAAATGAGACATGTATCATTATTATTAGCCCTGTCAAAAGCCAAAATCACAACAAATTTAGTTTAAAGATCTTAATTAGCTTTTAGTTGTGATTCTAGAATTGGGCAACACCTCAGCATATAAAATAGAATAAATGGTCTGATAAACTGAGCAGAGGAGGTTGGGTTTTAGACAGAGAGAGGCCGAGGAAAGCAGCAACAGAGAAAAAGCGTATTAGTCATTTCAAAGTTACTTTCCTTGTAAAGGTTAAAGCGGAGGAGACTTTCTTATCATGTTCAAGCTAACCTGGCCTGTTTGGAGATTTGGCTATTATCTCTCTCTCTCCTGATTTCTCAGAAGGAATACAACTTAGTTTCAGCTTGTTGGTGTGGAACTTCAGCATGAATCACTCCATTTTGATTTAGTCTCTTGGGCCTGGTGCAGGAGCTCCGCCCGCATCAGTGGACTCCTATAAATTTTATTTAACAGCCCAATAGATTTTAAGATAGAGATCTTTAAATCTCCAACACTAAGAGATATAGGAGAGGAAAAATTGTTCATTCTATCCTTCTAGGTTCTTTGACTGGTCTATGAATTAAATTGACATAAGACAGATTAACAGGAGAAAAACCATTTTAATTATATACATACACATGGGAGTCCCACAAAAATATGAGACTCAAAGAAGTGGAGTGAGGGTTTGGTGTTTCTGTGTGGTGGTGGAGGTAAGAAGTGGAGTAAGGGTGGGGTGTTTCTGTGTGGTGGTGGAGGTAAATTATGGGAAAGTAAGGGGTAGGGGAAATGCATAGTGAAGGAAGCTTGTCTTGTTATGTAGTTAAGTCTCTCAGGTGGCAAATTTTCTCAGAGTAGCTCTCTTCCTGGTACAGATAACTAGTTACTAATGTAAGTTTTCCTTATAAATGTAAATTTCCTATATGAAAGGGGAAATTTATATCTTATTTTAGGCAGTTGATGGGGAGGTAAATAACTTTTCTTGTGGTGGCTTGTTCTTCATTTCTTTTAGCTCAAAATAATCAATATGCCACATTTTGGGGTGACAGGTTCTGAATGCCTTCAGAGGCTAGGAGGGAAACTCCTAGGATTGAAGGATTTTTATGGGTTGACTTTTAAAACACTGCGTGGTTTGAAATTTGAGCACATTAAAGCCAGAACTAGAATAGCCAGCTTTTCTAATTATCCCAGTTCTTTTGCACTGATCTTCTGGGCTGTTGTTTTTCTGGGTATTTTCTGGTTCAACATTTCATAGTCTTCTCAGGCAGATAAATAATGGCAAACAGGTGGAACAAGAGACTTATGTCTATACCAATTGAGCTGTTTGCCTGCAGGAACTGTTTTCTTTTATTTGAAACAAGCATCTGTCTATCCAATCAACATCTGTGTGAAACACTATTTGTAATAATAATAATATCATTTTTTTAAGCACAGACTGTGTGCCAGCCATGATGCAAAGAACTTTATGTGCCCTCTCTCCATTCTCATAGCCAGGATTTAAACCTAGACTGTCTTACTCCAGAGCTGTCTGTGTTAAATATCACATTACTCTATGCCCACTGATTTCACAATCCTTAAATCACATGCCTCCAGAGATATTGCAGGAAGAAAAACAACAATGAATGAAAAGCAAAATCATTCTTCTTTAATTTAAAAACATCCCCCTTGATGCTATTTTTCAAGAGATTAACAAAGTCAGTTGCTTGTTCAGTATGCGCTTCTGATCTTCATTTTCATCGCACGATTTTCTTCTGATATTACCCGCCCTTGGTTCCTGCAATGGATTGAAAAAGGGGATTTTTCATAAAGGACTTGCACTGTATAGAAGAGACATAAACGTTTTGGAATTCATAGCTGATCTTAAAGTTAATAAGACAGGACAATAGTAGCCTACAGGAAGCCCCGAGGTGGTCCAGTCTTAGTATGGGTCAGATAGAGCCGGGTTGGGATGATTTCCAACCAAAGGTACAGCTATTTTGAAAGTGGAAACAGGCTTATATTTATTTTGGCTTTAAGAATGTTTTTGACTTTATTTAGTCACTACCTTAGAGAATGGTAGAGATAATTATTATACTGGCATTTCGATGTTCGATTTAAAGCATTGTAATGCTGTGCTGTATTGGTATAAGCACTACTAAATGGGATGGCTTTGAAATCTCGTGCCAGTTCCAATATGCTCATGAAACTCAGTTATTTTCCTTCTGTTATAGTTGAAAATAGTTCCCTACAGTTTCACCAGAAGTGGTCTGTTTATTCTTGGTCAGATTAACCCTTCACAGTCCAATTGATTTTTTGAAGATTGTCCTATAAATGCCTGGCTGTTTGCCGAGTAGAAAAGGTTGCAAATTTTGGGGGATTTCTGAGATGTTTAGAGCTAATCAACATCTTTGTTTTATGATTTCTGCGATATGAAAGCTGGCTGTAAAATGTGAAGTGTTACATGGATAGTGTTGCCTTTCCCTATGAGATTATTTGACACTTTTATCAGTCATGACCGAATAGGAGGGGTGAGGTTATCTAACAAATCTTTAGTACAGATTGAGGCCATAAATTAAAACACCATAGTGAGAAGCTTCCATACTGGTTTAAACAAATAATTAAATGATTGTAGGCTTCAGAGTAAACAACTCCACAAGTCAACATGCAGGCTGAAACACACACACACACACACACACACACACACACACACACACACACACAAATACATTAAATTCTAAAGCTTCCTTTACTATTTGTTTTTAGAAACCAGCAGGTTTTCCACTAAAATTGTTTTTTTATGAGTTTGAAGCTGTGAAGGATATATAACTTATTTGTAATCATTATTTTCAAGTGAATGATAAAGCATGAATAAAAATATTAGACACTAGTACATACTGAAGAGAAAAAACCCATTATCAATTAGTATGTATTGAATATCAGTAAATACTGAGCCCGGTAACTAAATAGGGTATCAATCATTTATCATCACATCTCAAGGCAAGTTACATTGAGGAAAAACTTGTAGATTGGAGGGAAAGTGCCTAAGCCCTGAAATTTCCATATAAGAATTAGTCACTGTTGAAAGAGTCACTGTATAAAACCATGATAAAATTTTGTTTTCTTCTTTAGTGTTACTTTCATAGTGGAAAACATGCCTTTAAAACGTATTTGATATTTATGATGGTACAATCACTACTGTAGGATGATCTATTAGTGTTGATAGCAACAGGAGGCAGGAAAATGCCTCGGCATATAGGGGTGGGTCCCTGGTGAAACCCCACCTCCAAGCCAAAGACAGTTTAAAGCCTGAAAGCCAAGCTGCAAGTTAAACCCTCCCACCGGATTGAGAACTTGTCTTCCTGTTTGGCAAGCTTTCCTCTGATTGGGCCCTACCCTTCACCTATTTTACATATACCTACCCTTTCTTAATTGGTTTTCTACACTGTCGTGCCCACCTTTGAGTGGTGTCTTTGCTTTAACCTTTTTTACATGCTCACAAACCAATCAGCATGCACTCCCCATTCTGAGTCCATAACAGGCCCCAGACCCAACCACTTGGGGGAACTTTCCTGCCTTTGCGTAGGGGGACCAACCATGCATCCCTTCTCCGCTGAAAGCCGTTTTCATTGCTCAATAAAACTCTTCTTCGCCCTCCTTACCACTTCAATGCCCAGCGTATCCTTATTCTTCTTGGGTGCAGTACCAGAGCTCGGGAACCACCGAATGCAGGTACAAGCTATAACATAGGTGAGCTGGGGCATGCCAGCGTGGCCGAGCGAGGCCCGGGTGGAGTGTCACTGGCCGGGGGTCCCCGGCTTGCAAAATGACCAAGAAGAAAAATCCTGCATCAGTGTTAGTGATAGTGAACTTAGTGAGATTTTAGAGTTTATCTAATTCTTACGTAGAAAATAGTCCAGTAACATAGGCTATAAGTATTCTTCCTGATTTTTATTGTAGGTTTGTTAGCATGTAACCAAATACTTTTCTAGAATAAGTAAGACTATGGTCTTCATCATGATAAGAACAAGTCTGACATCAGAATGCATTCTGACGTGGGAAGGTTGAAAGGCTCTTCCATCAAACTGGAGTGCTGGGAATAGAGTGGAGGGCTCTTCAGCAGGGCGGATACTCACGTGGATAATGCCAAACAGATCTTCGTGGTTTCAAAAAAAAAAAAAATCAGCTCCAGGTCACAAAATCAGAAATCATGTTACAACATGCATGGGGTGGTAGAAAAGGAAACAAAGAGATTTGCTAAAGCATTCATTTTGATGATTACACAATTTGCAGAGGTAAATTGGTTTTTTTCACAAATATGAGTATGTTAAACAAGGCAAGATAGTCTAAAAGGGCATTTTATATGATATTTCCACATCATACGTTCTTTTAAGTATTTTAGTGGGGAAAAACTTTTATATTTGAATAAACATCTGATTTGCTAAGGTTTTGCGGTACATTTATGTCATGTAATGAGTTTTGTTGTCAGGCAGCCTCGATAGCTCTTTTGATGTGTAACTTGTTTGAAACTATTAAAAGGGCTTTGCTGAAGGTTTAAAACGGTCTGAAATAGCCTCAGAGAATGTCAGGTATTGCTATTTTAATGAAGTGAAGTTTTGAGTTTGGGATTAAGTCTAGTGAAACCAAAATAATTTGGCACTTTGGGAAATGAAATCTGTGAACAGAATTGAGAGAAATTTACGATTCACTCTCTCTTTTGGCTTCCTATCCTTCACTCACTAGTGTGAACCCTTAGCTTAATTTGATAACATTTTTTTTTCTTAAAGTGTATGCTGTAAGAACGGTTTCCCTGTTTATCTATTTTATTTTATTTTATTTTGAAACACAGTTTCACCCTGTTGCCCAGGCTGGAGTGCAGTGGCATGATCTTGGCTCACTGCAACCTCCGCCTCCTGTGAGAATGAGGCATTCTCATGCCTCAGTCTCCCTGGCAGCTGGGATTACAGGCACGTGCCACCACACTCAGCTAAGTTTTGTATTATTGGGAGAGATGGGGTTTCACCATGTTGGCCAGGCTGCTCTTGAATTCCTGACCTCAAATGATCTGCCCGCCTCGGCCTCCCAAAGTGCTGGGATTACAGGCATGAGCCACCACGCCTGGCCGATTTCCTCTGTTTAAATCTGGTCTGTCTTTGCTTTCTCTGCCCCACCCAATGAGGCTATGAGTGCACTTTTAAGAGGCAAGTCAGGGAGTTTCCGTTTTTTTCTCCAACACACCTTCCCTGCTCTGGTCTTTATATTCTGGGGGCCACCGCAACATCTTAGGTATGCTTTTCACCTCTCTGTCCAAGCCTTGGTCTGATGCTTGGTGGAGACAATTTTTCAATGCTGATTTTGCTAGGAAGTTGTCTTTGGTTTCTTCCCATTCCTGTTTTAAGAACTCTCACCTACCTAACTCACCCTTGGGCTCAGGTCCCAGAATCCTAGCTGGCCAGGCTTTGGCAAGTGCAAAGTTTCTCTCTGCTTGTTACTAGGCGAGGGTTTCCAGGTAATCCCTGGTCTTGGGTGATCTGCAAAACCCCTGCTGGTACACTTTCTAGTTTCAGGGTTATGTGAAAAATTCTGTTCTATAAATCAAAAGATGGTTTTTGCCCCATTAATTTCTTCTTGGATTTATTAATTTTTTTCTTAGCAGGAGTTGTATGAATTACAGACAATCTGCTTGCTGTTAGACTGGGATTTTGCTGTGAAAGTTTGGAACATCACTACCTGCAAGGGTTACACTTAGTTAAGGTGTGTGAATATATTAAAGTTTTTTTTTAAATTTGTCTTATCGTGATCTGGAGTTTTCTTATGAAAAGGAAAACCAGAAAACATAATTAGGGTCCAGGGCATTAAAAAAAAACTACAGTTATTTCCCCATGATCACCACAATTTCTAATGTTATTAGTTTCACATAAAGTGATTATTTTGTTTTTGTTACTATGAATTCTGTATCACAAAAAATTAGATTAAAAATTAAAATCTACTATGTGAATTGTTTCTAAATGCATGTGGCTTGGGCCAGGGTTTCATCTTGTCCAAGATGAATGGAGTTGATGAAGGCTTTCATATTTTAACGTGAACAAACCAGGGTAGAACATTCAGAGTTAGAGATAAACGTCACATAATGCTTAGTACTCTAAAACCAGTGATTCGTAATAGCGAATTAAGGCTTTCATTTTTAAGAGTGGCCTATTAGTGCACAAATCCCTCAGTAAAATGATGCATTATACAACAAACCATTAATATCTTAGGGGGGATTCACTTATCAGATTATTTTCCAACATTAGAGTTGGCTGAGATGGAATAGTATACATAACTGGTGAATTTTGAAAAGAGCCTAAGAGAGAAGGTCAACCAGAAGTCTCATGTTGTATGCATGTCCTTACCCTCTTGCATTATTCTATATGCTGAAAACAGGTATTTTGTTCATATTGGGGTTTCCTGCAATATCCCCCTTCTTCCATAAAATATCGAAAATCCTTTAGTGCTAACAATCAGAAATGGACATGACTTACATGATTTTGGTCTCATGTAGAAAGATTTTTGAACTTCTTGTTTTAGGTAGGGGTTGACTTTATTTTGAGCAATTAACACTTTGTTATAATTATTTATTTACTTATTTCTTTCCCTACCCAACTGTGAACCTCTGTGAGCCCCTAGTTGGCAGGGAACATGATGCATCTAGCTCAACACTTAACCTATACTAGATGTTTAATAAACATTTTTCCACATAAATTTATTAAAAGATATGCAACATTCAGTCAAAAT
Source organism: Homo sapiens (assembly GCF_000001405.40). Taxonomy (NCBI): domain Eukaryota; kingdom Metazoa; phylum Chordata; class Mammalia; order Primates; family Hominidae; genus Homo; species Homo sapiens. The sequence continues at coordinate 34,693,940 of NC_000013.11, read as the reverse complement.
TATTACACTCTTGAGTTTTCTTTTCCACTGAAAAGGTCTTCAGTGGCCAAAAAAATACACTGGCTTCTAAAATACTCGTGTTCAAAATGTCTGCCCAGAATAAGTCGTCTCATTTTTAAGCAGGCGGCTTAGTCATTCTTCAAGAAAACAGCTTTATGATGTCATATAAATATAGTCAGAGCTTGATTGTCCAGTCTTTTGAAATGTGATGAATTGTCTCTTTCCTTCAGGGATGAATAAATCATTTCAACCTTATAAATCTTAGTAATCAGTTTTCTTTCTAGTTTCAAGAATTTCCATGAGTAGCTCACATGGAGCCCATCAAACCAAGATAGTAGGAGAGAAATAGGGAAAAATAGAAAGTGAGAGCTAAAGTGAAAACTGAGAAAAACGTTGGCAAGATTTTGTGTGTGCTCGGCTGACATGCATGCAACATGGTTTCTGGGCCATCTTTGTCACATGGGGCCTTTGGAAATAGACTCCCAGAGGAAAGATCTTAACTGGTGAGCATTAAGTAGAATGCTGGTTACCAGAAAGGGGTGCTGTTTGGCTGTTACCATTGACAGGGCTCTGGTTGAGTGACTTCTTGGGAGCCTTCATCTTCATCCCTGGGAGGAACAACCTAAAATTTACCTGATGAATGAGCTGCCCATCTCCCCAAACATATTTACATATTAGCCATGTTGATATCTGCTTTTGGTGTCATGTGGACTTGGGTGCAGAAAAGTATTTTCATGCAATTGCATGCAATTTGAATGCAAAGGAAGGTTGGATTTTTTTATTTTTTGGTATCCTTTTGTAACTGTATGCTGGCTGCTGCAAGGTTTATTTCTCAGAAAGGGAAAAAATGAAAGCTATAAAGTACATTTTCTCTAAATATTATAATGATAGATAAATATTCGCTTTGATGCAGTATTCAAATTCACATGACACCAAAAAGTATTTGAATTTTTCTTATAAGAGATTACTTAGGTGTTTTCAGTGGTCACTGGTTTATTTATGACAATATAAGAATTTAAATTTAAGTAAATTCTAAAGAAAATTATTTTCTTGCAGATAGAAGTTTTTTGTTATATGCTGTTATATACTAAAGTAATATGCTTTTATAATTCAACAACATTCATTGAAAATATACTTATTAAGAGTCTATTATGTGTCACACCCAATCCTGGGCATTGGAGATTGAGATGATGCTATGATTTGAATGTTCGTGACCCCCACCCCTCCAAATTCATATGTTGGAACCTAAGACCCAAAGTGATATTATTAAAAGGTGAGGCGTTTAAGAGGTGATTAAATCATGAAGGCAGAGCCCTCATGAATGGGATTAATGACCCTTTAAAAGGGCTGAAGGGAATTAGCTAGGCCCCTTTTAGCTTCTGCCCTGCCTCCTTGTGAGGACACAGCATTTGTCTCCTCTGGAGGATGCAGCAACAGGCGCCGTGTTGGAAGCAAAGAAAGGGCCCTCATCAGACACCACATCAGCCAGTTATTGGACTGTGAACTTCCCGGCCTCCTAGAACTGTGAGAAATAATTTTCCATTCTTTATAAATTACCCAGTCTTAGGTATTTTGTTACAGCCACACAAAGACAGATGCCAATAGGAAAGATTATGTTTCTGCTGTCCTGGAATTGAAGTATTATGGAAATCACAAATGAACATTTAACAATCCTAATAATATTGTCCATTTTGTTCACTGCTCTATCCTCACACTTTCAGTAGTGATGGATGTATAACTGGTGCTCAGGAGGTGTTCATTAAGCGAATATTATGAGGCCAGTGTTATGATGGTGGAAATGCAAGGGTGCCATAGGGAGTCAGGGATGTTTTCTTGAAGGAAGCCTTATCTCCAGTCTGCCCTGAATGTTAAGTTAGAGCAGCCAAATGACCTAAAACAGCAAAAACAAAAACACTTTTTATATAATATCAACACTTTTTCTGTGCTTACATGGAATTTTCAAAATTACTTAGTTATGTCATAGTTTTTTTGTAGGATCAACAAGCAGAATCTAAATTTCCAGCCATAAATAAATTTATACAAGAAGATATCAACCAAACAGCATATCATTAGAGCTAACAGATTGATTTAAAAAGATTCTGACATGCAGTTTAGTAAATTTGTAAAATGAATGATACAGTTTTATTTGCCATGTTCTTCTCTTTCTCCCACACTTATTGTGATAAACTTTGTTTCAGTTTACTCCAAGCACAGGGCTGAAACCAATATAAGAAATAATTGGATATTTTTGCTGGATATCATCAGCAAACTTTCACATCTTTTTGAGAGTTTTAGGTAAATGGTAAAAAGGATTAAAAATTATGTGAGGGTAAATGTCAGTAGAAAACTGTCCTAAGGGTAAGTTTCAACCAATTAGCCATGTTTATTGAGTTTCTAGTGTGGAGAGTGATTAGAAGCCCAGATTCTGGGGCCAAGCTGCCTGGGTTGAATTTCAGTCTCTCCATGTAGTAAGTGGATTCCTCAGCTGTGCCTTCCATTTCTTCCTTAGAAGAATGACAACAATTGTACTTGTTTTGAGGATTAAATGAATCAACAGGTGGATTGCCTTAGAATAGTGCCTGGAACATTGTAAGAACTATGTATTAATCATTATCATTTTTTCCTATATTTTGTATGCACGATTATGTGCCATATGTAAGATGTACATTCCAGCATGTACAACTTTGTCTTGAAGATCATAATCTAGTTGAGGAGAAAAAAACTAAAATACATGAAATAACTAAACAACCATAAGTGTTAAATGCTGTGATATAAATTTTAAGGGCAATTGAAGTTGAGGTAAGGGGAAAGATCTGTGTGGGTTAATAGTAATGTAGAAAGTAAAGAATTTATACAGTAAAACAATAGTGAGCATCAATGGCAACCTAAATTACAATATATTCTCAGCATTATTAAAATATCGATATGGGGGTCGGGTGTGGTGGCTCATGCCTGTAATTCCAGCACTTTGGGAGGCTGAGGTGGGAGGATCACTTGAGGCCAGGAGTTTAAGACTACCCTGGGTAATGTAGGGAGATCCCATCTCTACTAAAAATTTAGAAAAAAAAAAAATTAGCTGGAACTGGTGGCATGTGTCTGTAGTCCCAGCTACTTGAGAGGCTGATGCAGGAGGATCATTTTAGCCCAGGAGATCATGCCACTGCACTCCAGCCTGGGCAATAGAGCAAGACGCTATCTTTAAAAATATTTTTTTAAAATAGATGTGCTTTAAAAGAAAACACTTCCTCTGGACCAATAAGAAGTCTCAATATTCCTTCATTATTTATGTCTTTAAAAAGTTATTTATTTATATAAATTTATGGGGCACATGTGCAATTTTGTTGTATGCATAGGTTGTGTAGTGGTCAAGTCAGGGCTTTTAGGGCATCCAGCACCTGAAAATAATGTACATTATATGCATTAACTAATTTATCATCATGCTCTTCCTATTTATGCTTTTAGTGAAAGTCTGACAATGCATGTGGTGGGTGTTGGAGAAACAGATGAATAAACACACTGTCTCTGCTCACAGTCCATGGAAGGGAGAGGCTGAGAAACAAGATGCTGTGGTATAAAGCCATGAGGAAGACTGTTGGTGTTTCTAGAGCATGAGGGAAAGCCAGGGGAGGGGCAGCAGGAGGAGAAGGGGATACAGAGATGGAGGCTCCATCAGTCTTTCAGATGGTCAAAGTCACAAAAGTGGAACCGTTCACCCAAAGGACACTGTCTAGCAGAGAGAAGAGAGCTGAGGAGGAGGTTGATGCATCTGGTATGCACCTCGTGCCCATATTGGCACAGTAGCAGCACAGAGTAACTGAATGAGAAAAATGAAGGCTCTTAAATATGAAGGCTTCATTTCTGACAGGAATCTTCCTCTTTAAAGAAAAACATTGGCCAGGCGCTGTAATCCCAACACTTTGGGAGGCCGAGGCGGACGGATCACGAGGTCAGGAGACCGAGACCTTCCAGGCTAACACGGTGAAACCCCGTCTCTACTAAAAATACAAAAAAATTAGCTGGGCGTGGTGGCGGGCGCCTGTAGTCCCAGCTACTTGGGAGGCTGGGGCAGGAGAATGGCGTGAACCTGGGAGGCGGAGCTTGCAGTGAGCCGTGAGCCGAGATCGTGCCACTGCACTTCAGCCTGGGCGGCAGAGCGAGACTCTGTCTAAAAAAAAAGAAAAAAAAGAAAGAAAGAAGAAAGAAAAACATTAAATTTTGAATCAGTAGACGTGGTAAATTATTGTTCCTAATTCTTCACCTCCTTTCCCTTATGGGATTGTACATCCATGCTTTTTTACCTTGTGATCTAGTTCCTCTTCCAGAGTGGGCAGGACATATTTCTTATCCCCACGAAAATTGGACGTGGCCATATAATTTGCCTGGCCTGATAGCATGCTAGGGGACGTAACATGAGCAGAGGCTTTAAATTTATTTCCATGTTTTAGCTTTTCTTCTTGGGCTTTTTTGATTCCTCATGAGAGAAGAATACCCCAGGTGTGGCTACACTTTTCAACCTGGACCCCAAAAAAGAGCAGCCTACAGCTGACTAGAAACTTGGAGTCCAGCTTTTCTCGGCTATGCCTAGCCTAGATCAGCAGAAGCCCAGTCAACCTACACACGTGAGCATGAAATTAATTGTTAGTTATTATAAGCACAGAGACTTTCAATTCATTTGTTACAAAGCAAAAACTGAATGCTATAGCTTATATAATCTGGAAGGTCATACTTGACTTCTATTCAAATTAGCCTTTGTTTTTAAATAAGATAAATACTTATTTCACTGTTATTGAGAATTGAATGTGACTATCTTCAGGCAATCTACTTCTTAGCATCAAGGTGCTCCTGACAGTGCAGGAAATTAACTCAGGCTAGTAGGGCTGGTAGAGTGAGAGAGAACTAACAGTCAACCAACCAACCACTCCCCTACTCTTTCAAGATTGTTCAGGTGAGGGAATGGGAATGACTAAGAGGTTAGGCAGAGTCTCTTTATTTTATTAATTTTAATTAGATAACTTAGCAACAATTTTTATTAAATACTCATATTCTTGCAAAACATTGATAAGTACAAAATCATAATTTAGAAAAATGTGTAATATAATTTAGAGTTTCAAAAAGACTATACTACTACATTTGGGAGAAGATTTTTTAAGATTATAGAGAAAATATTTCTTTTTTTTTCCTACTTCCTTTTTATTATTATTATTATTATTATTATTATACTTTAAGTTTTAGGGTACATGTGCACAATGTGCAGGTTAGTTACATATGTATACATGTGCCATGCTGGTGTGCTGCACCCACTAACTTGTCATTTAGCATTAGGTATATCTCCTAATGCTATCCCTGCCCCCTCCCCCAACCCCACAACAGTACCCAGTGTGTGATGTTTCCCTTCCTGTGTCCATGTGTTCTCATTGTTCAATTCCCATCTATGAGTGAGAACATGCGGTGTTTGGTTTTTTGTCCTTGCGATAGTTTACCGAGAATGATGATTTCCAATTTCATCCATGTCCCTACAAAGGACATGAACTCATCATTTTTTATGGCTGCATAGTATTCCATGGTGTATATGTGCCACATTTTCTTAATCCAGTCTATCGTTGTTGGACATTTGGGTTGGTTCCAAGTCTTTGCTATTGTGAATAGTGCCGCAGTAAACATACATGTGCATGTGTCTTTATAGCAGCATGATTTATAGTCCTTTGGGTATATACCCAGTAATGGGATGGCTGGGTCAAATGGTATTTCTAGTTCTAGATCCCTGAGGAATCGCCACACTGACTTCCACAATGGTTGAACTAGTTTACAGTCCCACCAACAGTGTAAAAGTGTTCCTATTTTAGAGAAAATATTTCTATGAAATAGTTATTTTTTAGTTCAAAATAGCAAACTTTAAGAAAAACAACTTTTCAGAAGTATATTTAGTATAATTATTCTAGTATAGTCACACATTTTTAAGTCAGTATTGACTATTCCCAGGAAACAGGAAGTAGTAACATTCTTTCTACTGTCAACATCCTACAACAAAAGAGACATTAAAGATGTCAGAAAGTAGTAGTTTATAGTATGTTTAATTAATCTTTAAAAATGTTAAGTATGTGAGGTGCTAGATATATTAATTAGCTTAATTTGATCATTCACAATGTATACATATATCAAAACATCATATTTTACACCCTAACTATATATAATTTTTGTCTAAGAAGTTTACTTTAATAAAGCTGAAAGTGGGCCGGGTGTGGTGGCTCATACCTATAATCCCAGCACTTTGGGAGGCCGAGGAGGGTGGATCACCAGAGGTCAGTAATTCAAGACAAGCCTGGCTAAGATGGCAAAACCCCGTCTCTACTAAAAATACCAAAATTATCTGGGCGTGGTGGCACATGCCTGTAATCCCTGCTACTCTGGAGGATGTGGCGGGAGAATAGCTTGAACCCGGAGGCAGAGGTTGCAGTGAGCCGAGATCTCACCACTGCACTCCAGCCTGAGTGACAGAGAGAGACTCTGTCTCAAAATAAATAAATTAAAAAAAAAAGCTGAAAGTGGGGGAGGACTGTATCATGTTTAAACCTTGATTTAATGCAGTTAATTCATTTACTACATAAAAATGTCTTGTTGACAGAACTTTTCCATGTAGTTTCCTAAAACAAGCCAAAGCCTATCTTTTTCAACTACTGATGAGAATTTCCTTTGCATCATGGACTAGCCTCTAGCTCAGTTGAATTCTTGCTCAGAAAGTTTTATGAAATGGAAGAACCATGACAGTGATGCCAACCAAAATTTTTTGTTCATAGACTTAAGATAAAGCCAGCTATTCATTGAAAGTCTACTGCAAATTCTCACAAATAAACATATATGCACACACGATTCAAAGCTTAACATAGCTCAACTCAGGTTTAGCTCATCAAATGTTGATGGACACATGAAAGGTAAGAGAGTTTCTTAATGTGATTTTAAATTCGATGTGGGAACAGAATAGCATAGTAGTTTAAAAAAAGGGCTTCTGGAGTAAATTTGCCTGGATTTTATCCCTAACTTCTCCTGTTTTTAACTGGGTGACCATTTTTAGACTTATCGGGACTTTATTTCCATGTCTGCTAAGTAGAGATAATAATATCACCTACACCAAAGCGTTGTTGAGAACATTAAATGAGCTAATTAATGCAAAGTACTTAAAACAGTGCCTGTCACATAGGAAATAGTAAATGTCGACTAATGCATTTGCAGGACAAATGACTAAAAGCTTAGAGACAAATCGAATATATCCAAAATGTTGTTCCAGTTTAGTTTCTATGCTTACTCCTAATTTATGTCTATTTTATTCAGATTCACTCCCTCTTAAATGAAAACCTGAGGTCCAGGTATGCTGGTAAATAGCCTACTTCAATTCAGGCCATGTTGTTTCCATTGAACTAGTTATTGGAAAAGCTGGAAACTTTTGTTTTCCAGAGCATTTTGAAATTTGGAATTGCATATAAGCACTGGAGATCTGTAGAGTATTTTGTGATTTCCATTGGTTTGCTATTATCTTCAGTGAATTCCAACACATGGGCATTATTTGTATGGAACATAGTACCAAATGGAAAGTACATTCTGTCTTCATTTTTTATCATCCCGAGAACAATATCATGGTTATGGTAGAGACACTTGGTGCTCACTGAATTTCCATGTACTTCCCTGCACTTCCCGGCCTCCTTTGCCCTTGGTTTGGGGCAATCAACTGTGAGCAGAAGAGATGTGAATCACTTCCTGGCCGAGGCAGTTAAGAGGTGTGTGCCTCCTCCATTTCTCTCTTCCCCTGTTGTGGCAACTTTGGAAGACATGACTTGAGATGGAAGTGCCAGAAGATGAAGGGAACCTAGAGATATCTAACTGACTAAATGTAGAGCCTGGAAATCTGCATAAGACTTGACTTATGTGAGAACTATTTATGTTGTCACTAAGATTTTGAGTTTGTCTGTTGTAGCAGCCGCATCAGTTACTGAGAATAACAAAACAATGGTCAGCTGAGAATGAGCTCAGTTAAAGCCAAATAGTGATCCTTCTAATGACGATGGAGAAGGAAAACAGTGAGTGAAACTTGTAACCCTAATTAAAGACAGGGTTGGATGTGCTTTTATTTCTGCATGGAATTGCATGTAAACTATAGTCCAATAACCAAAATAATTTTAAAAGAAGTTTTCATCTTTTTCTTGGATCTTTTGAAGAGCATTAAATGAAATCCTGTTTATCTCCTCAAAGAGTTCTTAAAAGCTCCTTTTCTTTCCTTCTAAATTCTGATATGCCTTATAGCAGTGGACTGTGAGGTGACATCTGTCATGAAGATCATACCCCTCTGGTGGCTTTTTTGGTGTCAAAGTGAGGGGACAGTACCGTATTAGTTTTCCCAGCATAGCTCACCAAATATTTACCTAGACATTTACTCTCCTCACTGTCCTTCATAGTCACCTGGAAGCCATATTATCTTTGCTTATGTCACTATACACATGTGTGCACACACTTATACATGCAGATCTAGCTATGAATTATTTCATGACCTCAGTGGTGTAATGTATGTGCTTGCCTATCTATCTATCTATCATCTGATGTGATATATATCACACTGAGATCATGCAGTGATTCAATAAAACTGCTACCTAGGACACATTTACATTTAAAACAACTTCTGGTCCCAATTAATGCCAAGAATACCCATATCTCTTCACAAGCAGTGAAGCATAGTGTAGGTTAAACACTTAAAATCCTTCATTCCATTGTAATCAATGAGAAAAAATGCATAAGGCTATATATATGAGCCTTATACACTTTGAGACACAGCCTGGCTCTGTCACACAGGCTGGAGTGCAGTGGCATGATCTTGGCTCACTGCAACCTCCACCTCCCAGGCTCAAGCAATCCTCCCACCTCAGCTTCCCAAGTAGCTGGGTGCTGTAGGTGAGTAGGCATGCCCTACCATGGCCAGCTAATTTTTGTATTTTTTGTAAAGATAGGGTTTTGCTGTGTTGCCCAGGCTAGTCTCGAACTCCTAAGCTCAAGCAGTCTGCCCACCTCGGCCTCCCAAAGTGCTGGGATTACAGGCAAGAGCCACTATACCCGGCCAAGGCTATTATTAAAACCAGGAGAAAATGGATCTAGACTTCCTTTGCCATTCAGGAGCATATAAAGAGAGTGTAAGCCAGAGGGGTCAGGAGACCCAACCATGTGCCCTCTCACCTTGAGCTCCTGATAACTGCTTCTGGATCCCATTAGTAAGTTCCTGCTCACATCCTCAGAGACAGTGCCAACTCACCAGCTCTCTTTCTCTGTTCCTATTTCCGGGGTAAGAGTGTATAGCGTTATCCCTCCTGTGACATCCTTGCTTGTTAAGCATTGAAGGGAGGTAAAATCACATATAACCTCACATAAAGATAGAAACAAATTCCACATGCTTAAGAAGGAACATGACTTTCTTCATGGACAAAATATATTTAAGACAGTGAGGGGCAATGGATGAACCTAAAAGAAATTATGCTATGTGAATAAGCCAGATACAAAAGGACAAATATTGTATGATTCCTCTTCTGTGAAGTGCCTGGAATAGTCAAATTCATGGGGACAGAAAGTAGAAAGTCAAATTCATGGGGACAGAAAGTAGAAAGTCAAATTCATGGGGACAGAAAGTAGAAAATCAAATTCATGGGGACAGAAAGTAGACCAGTGGCTTGGGGGAAGGAGGAACGGGAGTTATTGTTTAATAGTTGCAGTTTCAGTGTGGAAAGATAAGTTCTGATGTTAGATGATGGTGATGGTTGCACAATAATGTGAAAGTATTTAATGCCACTCAAGTGTATGAAAAATGGTTTAAATGGCAAATTTTGTATTATGTATGTTTTACCCTCCACAAAAAAATACAACAAAGGACAGAACTAACCTGTTTAAAATATGATGAAAACTCTGGAGTTGGAACAAATTACTTCCCCTCAGTCACCAAAGTCCATGCTATGGGATTGCAGAGGGGGTTGCTTCATTTCCTCTGTTGCATCTAGGTGCCAATTACAGAGGTGACCCACATATGCTATTAGACAGGGATCAATGGAAAGACGGAGTGCTCTTCTCACTATTAAACACTGATCTCGAAGAAGAAAAAGTTCCAACACAGATATATCATTTTCCTTTGTTTATTTCCTATCTAAATAAATTAGGAGGCTAAATGAGATGAGAAATATTTCATTGATAGGATATTAATCATTAGATAATAGAGACCATGAAAACAGCTCATCGAAATTCATTAATGTTTGATTAATCCCAGTTTGGGGTAAGATTCTTTTGATTTCAAAAATAATGGCCTGTTTCAGTATCTGGTAGCATACTGCTGCACTGCATAAAAAACACTGGGAGATTTAATGCTTTAAATAGTATAGTGTTTCCAGTTTAGGTTTACAGGTGTTCTAGGGGTTGATTCTCATTATCTTGGGGTGCCTTCTGCACTTCTGTCTGTAATGGGATTTTTCATGAGGTTCAGTGAATCATAGATTCTAGTATCAAAGAGTTACAATTCTGAAGTCTAGGCAGGAAAACTCAGTATTATCTTTTCTTGAAAAATTTGCTGGGCCCCAAAAGTGGAAGCCTGTCAGAATAAAACTTAGCTGGCTTTTCTAGCTTCTCCAGTATGTCTTGTGGACAATTGTCTACCCCTCAGCCCGTCCTGCTACTTTCCTCAGCTGGAATGTTTTCCCAGTGTCTACCTGCCTGTTTAAATTCTAACCGTCCCTCAAGACCTGTTGGAAACCCTGTCAGCCACATCCCCTTTCCTCAGTAGCCCAGCCCCCCTGGGATGTTCTTGTATTTTCTGAATACTAATTTAGATTTAGCATTCATTGAACTTGCACATTTGATTTTTTTTCATTTTTTTTTCAGAAATAGGTGTGGTAGCCACTTTCCAAGGTGACCCCCAATAATCTCCACCTCCTGATTTTCACACACTTTGTAGTCCCTTCCATATTTTATCAGGGTTGGTCTGTGTGGCCAACAGTATGTGGCAGAAGTAATGGTATGTCCCTTCTGATATTAGGTTACAAAAAGACTGTGGCTTGAGTGAGACTTTGTCTCAAAAAAAAAAAAAAAAAAAAAAAAAAAAAACCTGTAGCTTCTATCTTGGGTGTGCTGGCTCACTCTCTCTCTCTTTCTCCCTCCCCCACTCACTTTCTCTTAGATCACTCTCCCAGAGGAAAGTCAACTGCCATGTCAGGAGACCACTTAGACAAACTATTGATAGGTAAGGAGCTGAGGTCTCCCAGTCAGCCAGGGAGGAACTGAAGCCTGACAACAACTTTGTGACTGAGATTGGAAGCAGGTGGAGCCTTTGAATGAGACTGCCGCTCCAGCCAATAGCCGCACTGCAGCCTTCTCAGACATCTTGAGCCAGATTAACCCAGTTAAGCTGCTCCTCAATTCCTGGCCTATAGGAACCATAAGGTAATGAAAGTTGGTTATTTTAAGCCTCTAAATTTGAATAATTTTTTAGGTAGCATTAGATATTGAATACAGTACCTTATCTCTCCAGCTAGACTACAATCCTTGAAGAAGGATGTCTAGCTTCCAGTTGATTCTTCAGGATGTCTGTACATATCCATTGGATTGAAGAGAAAGGTAGACAGATGGATAGCTATTTTTATCTACCTCCTTGAACTTTTTCACCGATACTAACCATTCTGAACAATGTTCTGTGAGGTGGGTAAAAGAAAATTGATAATACTAATCCTGTTTCAATATGAGTGGAATCAGTTGAAGAAAATACTTTTAACATGGAGCTAAAACTTGGCAGGGGCTGATGGCAAGGCCCTGAATTTACAATATAATCCACTAATGTAATTTTTTTCAAATCTTTTTATTCCACACACTTTCTGGAAGTCCTCTGGTGGCCTCTTCAGCTGTGGTGCCCTCTAGTTCTTTGCAGGCACCGCCCTCGTGCACCTGCCGTGCACCTGCTCTGTGGAGTTCTACTGCTCCAGGTTCCAACACCCAGCTATCCTCAGCAGCACCACACCACACATTAAAAAATGCCTGAGCGTGACCCATTTTATCCATCACTTCTTGTTTATTTGTCACAGGCACTATGGTGTCAGATAAAGATAACATAACAAGGCTGTTACAAAAGGAGAAGGGGAATATACCATCATATAGAAATGTTACAAACTAAAAATTGAAGAGTACTCTCTCTGCCTCTTTATCATCAATCACTTTGCTCCAAGGTGCTTTGGCAAGAGAGATATTTTGGGACAAACAGTAACCAATATGAGGAACACGTGTTGATTTGCTGCATCTATGAGATATAACTAATAACAGATGGATGTTATTTATAAACTCTTACATATTTATCCTAGTTCTTTTGAACCTGTTTCTATTCTGGGTCTATCAGCTGTTGCTGTTTGGATAATTAATTACACAACCAAACTCGATTTAAAATTTTGAAATATACATTTCCTATAGGGTCTGTGTATTAAATTTTATTGTTCGTGCTGTTAAATATTTTATATGCTGCATACAGCCCAAGGCTCTTGTGAGCACACACACACACACGCACACACACACACACAGACACACACACACAGTATGTTGATTGGATCAGTTTTTTAAACTTCATTTAAGTTTTTCTTTAGTTAAAATCCTTAAAAAATATTCCCCACTCCTAATATGACCATATCTGTTTCAGCAACAACAGAACCAATCAAAGAATGTGGCCTGGATTATCATGCACAGCTTTTAAATTTATAAGTTGCTCAGAATCATTTTTGAATGATTATTCATAATATGGTTCAGAAAAGAAAACTGTTGAATCAGTTAAGCTTAATTGGACCCAAGACAGCATTCCACTCCTAGCTTCTCTCTCTATAGAGGAATAGAACATTTTTGTAACCAATAAGCAAAGGGACTATTAAAACAGCAGACCTGTACTATCCTGAAGATCAAGGAAGGGAGGTGGGTTGGAGGGAGGGAAGGAGAGGGAGAAGGGGAGAAAGGGTTTTGTTTGTATGATTACATGTGAATATTGCTACAATCAGTACAGTTGAGCTTAAATTCCCCTTACCAACTCTGAATTCAAGTCTATCTGGTTAGGATAGAGTGAGTTTGGTTGGAAGAGGAGTATTTAAATGAAAGTCATAGAAAGCCAGGAAGGGTTTACCCAGTTCTAACTCGTACTTCTTTTTTCCAGCTGAAAAGCTCTCAGATTCTAAATTTCTGCCCTTTTTGAAATTATCAAAGAATGTCAAAGGAATTGTTTTTACATTCATCTTTATATCCAAATGGCTGTGAAAGAACCTAAGTGGAGCCATTATCAATGGAAATGGAGTTTTCTATTCAGCAAGAGTTCAAAGCTCTAAATAATCATTAAAATTGGCAGTGGGATAAATAAAAAAAACATATAGATAAAAACAAAGTGTAATGTATTAAACGTATTTGTTAAAAATAATTTTAGTCTCTGAAGGCAAGGTGATGACTAAACAAAAAAATAATAATTTTAGTCATACTCCAAAAAAATTCTGCATCCATAAAATTCATTGCTGGAAAAGCAATTCTTTTTTTTTTTTTTTTTTTTTTTTGAGACGGAGTCTCGCTCTGTTGCCCAGGCTGGAGTGCAGTGGCGCGATCTCTGCTCACTGCAAGCTCTGCCTCCCAGGTTCACCCCATTCTCCTGCCTCAGCCTCCCGAGTAGCTGGGACTACAGGTGCCCACCACCGTGCCCAGCTAATTTTTTGTATTTTTAATAGAGACGGGGTTTCACCGTGGTCTCGATCTCCTGATCTCGTGATCTGCCCACCTTGGCCTCCCAAAGTGCTGGGATTAGAGGCAGGAGCCACCGTGCCCTGCCGGAAAAGCAATTCTTAATATGGTCTTAACACTGATGTGCTTTTTTTAAAAAAATAAGAAGTTAAGCAGCATTATAGATGGTCAGAGTTAGGCTACACAAGGAAACAAATGGATATTTAAAAATTGGCCAATGGCCTCAACTCTATTTCTGGCACTTGTAGTATAAGAGTATCTTTGAATTATTCCTAGCAGGCCAGAGTCCTTGAATTATTGATGTTGAGTGATGTGGAGATAGACTGAGGCTCTACATAGGTTCAAATACTCTCTCTGTTCATGTCTACATGCCTTTTCTACTTAGTGATTTCTTAGCTAGGATCCTTTATAATTCTATGATTCTGAGATTCCCTCGTCCTTTAATTATCTATGTTTTAAATGTTCTTTTGTAAAATTAATTAGTTTTTCTATTGTTTGTTCCTCAAAACATGTAGATATTTAGTGCATTTATTCTTAAATATTTGCTGCTACAATATTAATACATATTTGTGTTATGAAGATGATCTTACTGTATCTGATTGGCCTCAGTACATACCTGGTAGCCAGGAGATGGTGCATCTCTGTGAGGTCCCTTTTTGAGGACTTCCAAAGAGGCAGTCCATAAGAGGGTAAGGGTATAGGCTTGAGAATGACCATGCCTGGGAGAAGGGTGGAAGTTAGGGGTTAAGAGCATGGATTCTGGAATCAGACTGTCTGGGTTCAATGTAAGTCAAGCTCCACCAATTATGTGTTGGATGATCTTGTGTATGTTACTTAAACTATTTGTGTCACAGTTCTCAAATATATATGGGAAATTAATAATAGTATCTACCTTATAGAATTGTTGTGAGATGACATACGTAAAATTTAGAGCAATATCTTGGCATACTTGCAGTCAGTCACTATTTGTTATTATAGTAACTATTACCATGAAAAGGTTCAAATTCCAGCTTTACCACATACCAGTACGATTTTGTGTAATGCCTTAACCTTTCAGTTTGTCCATCTCTCAAAGAAGGATTATAAAATCTATCTCACAGGGTTGTAATGGGAATTAATGGCATATCATTAAAAAGTGCCTAACAGAACTTAGAACTTGAAGTATGTAGGTGCTTAGTTAGTGTATACACTCCATTATTCTAACATGTTCAGTGGTTTATTTCTCAGAGTCCTGATCAGTGACGCTTGAGAGTGAGATTGAACTTGAGCTTTATAGCGGGGAGGTGCATCAGCTTTGAGAATCCTAGGCAAAGTTTTACTAGAGCTGAGGAAACTCAGAGGGAAACCCCTTCCCCCACCTAACTTCTTCCAGCCTGGTATAAGTCAGAATGCTAGTCCCAAAGATGGCGGGTGGCTAGACTATTGGGAGAGGTAAATTTCTCATCTCCCGTTGGAAGTTTTTTAAGAGTTGTTGAACTGGTGATTTTCCAGAAAAGTGGTCCTGAAGATGTACTCTAAGGACTACTGGGAGTCCTTAAGAACCTTTTGGGGTTCTGTGAACTCCAAAGTACTTTTATGATAATATTAAGAGGTTATTTGCTTTAATACAGTTTAATTTATAAATCAGACACAATAAGAGATTAACAATAATAACTAATAATAAAATAGAACAATTATAACAATATGCCAGCATCACTACTCTTGCATGTTGAAGCCATTATTAAGTACAATAAAGGTGACAAACATGAGTTTTGCAATATCATGACAGTAGATCTGATAACCCAGGCAGCTACTGAGTGCTGCAAGGGTGGGTAGCATAGATGATGTGGATATGCTGGACAAAGGAATGATTCATATCCCAGGCAGGATGGAATGAGACAGTGCGATATTTCATCATGCTACTCAGAGTAGTGGACAATGTCAAACATTTGAATTGTTTATTTATGGAATTTTCCATTCAGTATTTTGGGATCATGGTTGACCTTGGGTAAATGAAACGGTGGAAAGTGAAACTGGGTAAGGGGGATCTGCTGTATCAATAGATAAAACAACACCGAGTTTTATATAACTCACATAAAAAAAATCCCAGCTCTTAAAAAAAAAGCCGAGCTCTTAAAAAAATAATAATAATAATTTTTAAAGATGTAAACAGGTCATGAGACCAAAACGTTTGAGGTTCACTAACCTGGGCAAAGGGGACCATCCTATCTGAGAATTAACCGGATTCTGTCTTTAGGTATTTGATGTTAGAAACTGCCTAGAATACTCATCTGTTTCCCTGCATCTTTGCCTTCCCTTTTCCAAACTCTTCTGCAGCCCACCCTAGGTCTGTTGACACATTTTCCTCCTACAAATGGTAATACAGTTGATCACTTTGTAGTTTTCTTTGACTGCCATCATTTTTAGGCTTTCCTGAGTCTCTAGTGTGTTTGATTGGATTTCAGCGACATTCTGTTATTCCTGACTGGATTCTGGACACATCCTGTTTCTCTAATCATTACGTTTACAATGTACCTCTCAGGGTGGATCATTTGGTTTAGGTTTCTCATGGTTAGTGCCAGAGTGCATTCTTTTTTTAATTCAGTCTTTCAAATTTTAGGTCATTTTAAAAGCGTTCCTACTGCTGCACTTATTGTGCCAAATATATAAATAATAAAAGCTTAAAAAGCAATATGGAATTTGTTAAGAGTGGCCAAGTTAAATTTGGTGGCTGGTCTTTCCTATCCTGAATTGTTATAATCATAAAAGTCTGATAGGCTTATTCAGATACATGAAAGGACATCTGGAAAACAAAGCCGTGTGACTCTTCATTTGAAGTGCTTATGAAAAGCTATTAAAATGAATTAATTTGAAGAGCTTGGAAATATACCAATATTGTATGAGGCATTCATGCAAATTAATATGGGCCCAAGGTCCTGGGTCAAATTGGGTAAGGCCCAAAAGAAGTCTGATTTTGAACAAGTAAGAATGTTAATAAATCTTTAAAAACTATCTACATTTACCGACAGCAGGTGCTTTGTATTTTTAGATGCTTCTTTGCCCTTACCTACAAATTAGAAAGACTAGTAATTAATAAGGAGGAGGGAGGGATAAATAGGCAGAGCACAGAGGATTTTTAGTGCTGTGAATCTACTCTGTATGATACTCTAATGGTAAACACATGACATTATACATTTTTCCAAATATACAGAATGAACAACACCAAGAATGAAACTTAATGCTGATTTGGGTGATAATGATGTGTTAATGTAGGTTCTGGTGGGGGAGGCTGTGGTTGGTGGTGGAGTGGAGGGATTATGCATGTGTCAGGCAGGGGATATATGGGAAGTCTCTGTACCTACCACTCAATTTTGCCATGAACCTAAAACTACTCTAAACCATCGTTCTGAGCAAACTATCGCAAGGACAGAAAACCAAACACTGCATGTTCTCACTCATAGGTGGAACAATGAGAACACTTGGACACAGGGTGGGGAACATCACACACCAGGGCCTGTCATGGGGTAGGGGGAGGGGGGATGGATAGCATTAGGTGATATACCTAATGTAAATGACGAGTTAATGGGTGCAGCATACCAACATGGCACATGTATACATATGTAACAAACGTGCACGTTGTGCACGTGTACCCTAGAACTTAAAGTATAATAAAAAAAATTTTAAAAAGTCTATGAAAAACATAAGAAGCCTGTTAAGTTCTGAATTTTTATAGGCTTTGTATTCTACACTACAAAGTTTAACACTTAATTATATACAACCATATTTTATACTCAAATTAACTTATACTTTCAGTCTTTTTTTAAATATTAGACTACAAGTTCAAAGGTTTTCTAGTTTCAGCTCTGGTTACTAGTTGTACAAATCTCAATTTTTAACAATGTAAAGTGGAAATAATCCTTTCACTTATCAGATCATTGTGAACATCAAATTATTCATAAACAATAAAGTGTTCTAAAGTTAAAAATCTTGTTAAAGACTTCTTGGGAGAGCACTTTCTTGGAATTGGGTTTAAATCCAGATTTTACTAATTACTAGTTTATCGGCTATGTATTTTAGATAAGTCATTTAGCCTCTCTGAGCCTCAGTTACTTCATTGGTTTAAAAATAACCCTCAAAAAAAGAACCCAGTTCTCTCTTGAATTTCTCCCAACTACTTCTAGGGGTGCTTACAGAGGTGTCAAGGGAACCCCATGAAATTTGCTGTTGCTTATCCAGGGCTCCTCTCATTTCCCTCCTGTACCTCTCTACCTCCATGTGGTGATGTCTCCCATGACTCCAGCAGCTGCTGATACATTATCTCTTGTTGAGTTGCAAATTGCCTGAACATTTTGTGGTTTAAACAATAAACCATCTCACGGAGCCTGTGGGTCAGGGATTCAGAGGTGGCAGTGTAGCTGGGAAGTTCTGGCTCAGAGCCTTTCATGAGGTTGCAGTTAGTATGTTGACTGGGGATGCAGTCATCTGGAGGTTCGACTGGGCTGGAGGGTCTGCTTCCAAGATGGTTCACTCACATGGCTGTTGGCAGAAGGCTTCAGTTCAACAGTGTGTTGGAGCTGGCTGATGCCTGCTTCTGAGAGCCGGGTGTTAAATTTCAGGAATTTTGTAAGCCAATTGTTAAACACATCCATTATCAAAAATTAAATCATTATCCATTAAAAATTAAATCATTAAATCCATTATCAAAAAGTTAATTTAAGTAAATTATATTAAAAGCAAAACTAGTAAATACTTGTTAAAACCTTCAGCAGAATTAAATTTAAAGAAGTTTAATTGAGCAATGAAATGATTCACAAATCAGGCAGTCCCCAGAATCACAGCAGATTCAGAGAGACTCCAGGGGTGCCTCATGGTCAGAACAAATTTATAGACCCAAAAAGTAAAGTGAGGTACAGAAATGGGAAGTGATATACAGAAACAGCTGGATTGGTTTCAGCTCAGTGTTTGCCTTGTTTGAACAGAGTTTGAACAGCCAGCGGTGTAAGAGCCATTGAAGTACTGCTGCTGGGATTGGCCAAGACTCAGCTATTGTTTCAGGCACATACTCCTAAGTTAGGTGTTCAATCTTGTCTAACTATTAAGTTAGGTTGCAGTTTGTCTACAAGGACTCAAATATAGAAGTACAGAGTCCTTCTCAGGCCATATTTAGTTTACTTTAACGTACTCAAAACTCATCACTTCCTAATAAATTTACGTGTTTTTCCTTTATTTGTGCTTCTGTGGTTATTTATGTGTATTGTAACTGCCCAATGGGCTCACCTTGCCTGCTGCCTAGACAGAGCCGATTACCAAGACAGGGGAATTGTAATGGATAAAGAATAATTAATGCAGAGGACAGCTGTGAGGGAGATTGGAGTTTTATTATTACTCAAATCAGTCTCCCTGAGCATTAGGGGATCAGAGTTTTTAAAGATAATTTGGCAAGTAGGGGCTCGGGAAGTGGGGAGTGCTGATTGGTCAGGTTGGAGATGGAATCATAGTGGGTGGATGTGAGGTTTTCTTGCTGTCCTCTGTTCCTGGGTGGGATCACAGAACTGCTTGATCCAGATTACCAGTCTGGGTGGTGAAAGCTGATTCATCCAGTGCAGGGTCTGCAAAATATCTCAAGCATTGATCTTAGGTTTTACAATAGAGATGTTATCTCCAGGATCAATTTGGGGACATTCAGACACTTGCAGCCAGAGGCTGCATGACCCCTAAATCCTAATTTCTAATCTTGTAGAGCTAATTTGTTAGACCTACAAAGGCAGACTGGTCCCCAGGTCAGAAAAGGGTCTTTTTGGGTAAAGACTATTATCAATTTTGTTTCAGAGTCAAACTATAAGCTAAATTCCTTCCCAAGGTTAGTTCAGCCTATGCCCGGGAATGTATGTGTACAGCGTAAAGGTTAGAAGCAAGATGGAGTCAGTTAGATCTGATCTCTTTCACTGTCATAATTTCCTCAGTTATACTTTTTGCGAAGGCAGTTTCATTGTATCCACATGAGGGAGATTTTACATAGTTGTGTTCTATTGCACATCTCATTCCATTTCTGCATTCAGTGACCTTAAACCACTGCCTTGAAATCAGCCACAGTGGGAGTATTTACACTGTGGATATCAGCAAATACAACAAATCAGAACTTGATCTATTCTTTTATTGATTTTTAGACTTTAGAAAGTGATGGAGAAATATTAATAATGCAGATTAAACTAAAAATAGGTCACATCAGTAGCTCTTACTTTGTGAATGACACAAAAACTTGAAGAAATATTCTTCCTGTATTTGTAGCTACTATCCAGTTCAGCAAAGAAATCTTTCATGCTACTGACGAATGAAGCTACAACATACATCTTTGTTACTTCACTTTTTATTTGTGTAACTGAAAATATTAACCAACGTTTATGTCAGAAATTCAGCAAACATAATCAATGAAAATATTCTGTGAGAATCAATTAGCCATAGGTTATTTAAAATAAAGACTATAATTTATTTCATTATTTTAAAAAATTGTTTCCCATACATCTTTTATAATGGTAACATTACCAGTAAACACACACAGACACACATATGAGTGTGTGTGTGTGTACACACTTTTTTAAAGAAGAGGCAAATGTTAAATGTTTATCAGCACACTACTAATTCAATTCCTCTCCACATATCCTCTCCATAGGGCTACTTGAGTATCCTTACAATATAGAATCTGCTTTCTCTAGAACAGTGATCCAAGAGACAGTGTAAAGTTAGAAGCTGCAATGTCTTTGTGACCTAGCTTGGAAGTCCTACTGTCATTTCTGCAGTATCTTAGTGATTACATAAGTGAGCTCTGTTGGATGCTGGAGAAGACTACACAAGGATGGAAATTCTAAGTTGGGAAACATTGGGGAACATTTTGGAAGCTGACTACTATAGTCTACCTCCTGGATTCCAGTGATTCATACCTATCCCACGTGCAAAATATACTTGCACTCCTCCCAAGTCTCCCAAAAGTCTCATCCTATTATAGCCTCAGCTCAAAGTCCAGATTTCATCATATAAATCAGGCACAGATATAGACATGGGTCCTTAGGTATAGTTTTTCAAATAGAGCTCTGTGAGTACAGCTGATCTTGATCTGAACACCCCTGGGAAATAGAGACAAGCTATCTTCCTCTAAAATGCAACAGACAGTGGTGGGATGGGCATAAGATAACTACAAAAGACACTCCTGTTCAAAAATGTAGAAAGCAGCAGGCATATGAGAGTCAATGGTCTGAAGTCGAAATGGGCATGTTTTGGATATTGCTTGATTGGGATGCAGTCCTATTTCTTCCCCACTGTTCTTGGATCTGCCCACTGGGCTCTTGGTACTTGTCTCTGAGTCATTCGTGCATTTGCATGAAAGGACTATCAGCTGTTTTTGCAGCTGTGTCGTTTTCACAGCCTACTTCCTACCAGTAGAATTTTGGGGATCCAAAGTCCTTATTTTTGGTTCCTTTTGTAATGTTTCTTTCCCTTTCTGTTCAAAGTAGTGGTGTCTGTGCCACTATAATTGTCTTAAATATTTGTGGGCACCTTATTAGACAAAAGCCCTGTCTGAAAATCTTTCTGAGACAAGTCCTTCTTTAACTTGAGTTTCTGCTGAGATTGTTAAAGGAATTTACCCTTGAGCTTCTGAGAAACTTCATGGTTTGACTGAGCAGTTTTCTGTGGCACCATGTTAGATTTAGAAAAGGTCTTAAGGATTTATAGCCACACCTTCAACTTTATTACAAGACTATGTTTTCTGGGGAGTACCTTGGATTGTATCTTTGCCTGGAAGCAATTTCATAATTTTATAATTGTTAGTCATCTGGAGATGTTGGGGATTTTCAGAATCAGAAATTCCTGTTTCGTTTTTGTCTAAAAGTCTTTCATTAAGAACAAAGTTTCAGTTAGACAGGATGAATAAGTTCTGGATATCTACTGTACAGTGTGGTGACTCTAGTTAATAATGCACTGTACAGTTGAAAATTGCTAAGAGAGTAGACCTTAAATGTTATCACCACGAAACTATGATAAGTATGTGAGGTGATGAATATATTAATTAGCTTGATTAAATCATTGTATACATATATCAAAACATTACATTGTACACCATTTTTATTTGTTAATTATACCTTAAAAAGCTGGGGGTAGGGGAAGAGGACGAGTCTTTCCTTTAGCTTCTCTTTGTCTATATTTTGCAATATGCAGCAAGAAGCACACAAGTAGCACCTTCTACACTCCGTCTTGGAATCTCCTTTGCTAGGTCATGCCACTCATGTGGTACATTTTCTACTTTTCGCATAACTGCAGGAAATAGTGTTGTTAAACTTTCTGATGCTAGATAACAAGCATCCCCTTTCCCCCGCTTTTCACTAACTTTTTCCTATATCTCCTTTAAGCCTCTATTCATACCTTTCTCAAATACAAATGGCTTCTAATAACAGTGTTTTTACATGTGTTTGGTGTTTCATAATACTTTTCCTAAAGGCTTTCCATCTTCTGCTTACTGCCTTTTCCAAAGCCACATTCATATTTTGAGTTATTTATTTTTCCAGTACCTCAATTCCAAGTACTAAAGTACCCAAGTCTGTATTAGTTATCTATTGCTATATAACAATGTACTCCAAAACTTATAAACTTAAATTAATAAACACTGATCATTTCACTTTTTTTTGGTAAGAAATTCAGAAAGCTAGACTGAATGGTTCTGACTTAAAATCACTCATGAGGTTGATGTTAAATTTTTGGCTTGGGATGAAGGCTTGACTAGGGCTAGAAACTCTGCTTCCAAGATGGCTCACTTTCAAGGTTGTTGGCAGAAAACCTCAATTTGTCACTGGCTTTTTGGCAGGAGCTCTCAGCTCCTTACCACATGTCCTATCATAGGACTGTTTGAGTGTTCATGGCAGCTGACTTGTCACAGAGCAAGTGATCCAAGAGAGAGAAGGAAAAAAAATTATCTCTGCAATGTCTTTTATGACCTAGCCTGAGAAGTCATACACTAACATTTCCACAATATTCTGCTGGTTTCATAGGTCAACCTTACTTATGGAAGGGGATTGCATTATGGAACGAAAACCAGGAGGTGATCACTGCTATCTTAGAGGCTGGCTACTGTTGATGTCAAAATCAGCATCTATGGCACAGATGTTCCCTGAAGATGTCTTGCTCCTGGGGATTCCTGAATATACCAGAGCTGTAAGTGCTGCCCTCCATGCCTGGGCTGAGGCTGAGAATTCCTGAGGTTGAGACTGCTGATGTCTCATATATCCACAGTATACATAAGGCACTTAGCACACTACCTGGGGCCAAATAAGCATGGCAAAAATATTTTTTCTTGCTATTCTTGTTTTATAGAACACGCATCATTTTCCAGCACAGAAGAAGTAGCAGTCTCTGGCACAAATATAGGGGATAATCTTGCCGTCACCATGCCCATTAAAATTATAGTTAAAAAAATCTAGACCCTTGGGTTTCACTGGTCCCCTTTGGTTGAGTCCCTGGGGGAGCTGAGCCTGTGAGCTATCAGAAAAATGAATGCTGCTTCCTTACCATCCAGCGACTGGCCTCTTATCCTTGAACCATATTTCTGCCCCTCCCATCTCCTCTTTTTTCTCCTTTTTAATCGTGTCACCTCTCATCTCCAGCTAGAGTCCCTTTAAACCTTCATTCAAGTAATGCCTGCAGCCTCTGCTTTAACTCCTGGCTTTCTGGCACATGCCTGAATCATACTGTGCTTAAGCTGAGACACTACCTGCTAAAAACACTAGAAGCAACTAAAACCCTGGGGGACAAGGTGAAAATTAAGTTTGGAATACAAAACTCTTAGGTGACCAGACAAGCAATGCATGTTGTCAACCTCGAGGGCTGTGTGTTAGTCAGGGTTCGCTAGAGGGACAGAACTAATAAGGTATATATATATATAAATATGTTAATATAGGATTAACTTATATATATAATAGGATATGTTATAGTATATATATGTTAATACTTAATAAACTCCCCATTATATATGTATAGTATTATTAAGTATTATTAATAATACTATATATATTAATTTAGTTTATTAAGTATTAACTCACACTATCACAGGGTGCCACAATAGGCCATCTGCAAGCTGAGGAGAAAGGAGAGCCAGTCCGCGTCCCAAAACTAAAGAACTTGGAGTCTGATGTTCGAGGGCAGGAAGCATCCAGCATGGGAGAAAGATGTAGGCTGCGAGGCTAGGCCAGATGAGTCTTTTCATGTTTTTCTGCCTGCTTTATATTCTAGCCACTCTGGTAGCTGATTAGATGATTAGACCCACCCAGATTAAGGGTGAGTCTGCCTTTCCCGGTCCACTGACTCAAATGTTAATCTCCTTTGGCAACACCCTCACAGACACACCCAGGATCAATACTTTGCATCCTTCAATCCAATCAAGTTGATACTCAGTATTAACCGTCACAGGCTGGTTCCATCTTTTCTCATCTATAGCTCACTTTTGAGGAACCATAATCAATCTCAAAACACAAATGTTACCATTGTTGGATATTATTTTAAAAATTAAATTCATTTGAGGCAAAAGATTGCCTTGAAAGTGTCTACATTCAATTTATCTTGCTTTCTTTCCCACCTTATAAAAGTTAAATCTGATATAATAGACTCTTCTGTTTGATTTCTGGATGAAAATTAGAATGAGAATCAGAGAAATGTGGAATTGTTTGAAGAGTTTGATGCATGACATTAAAACAATTCTCAAAGCCCATTTGCTCAAGATGAAGAATGCTGCTCAATGCATTACTTACAGACAGTTCAGGTGCATCCTTTTGGAGCTGTCTTGTCATATATCTGACTCCACCACTAGAATACTCCTGTGATTCTGGTTTCTGAATCCATGCAGAGACCCACACTCAGGCACAACTGGATTCCCTGAACTGGGATCACTCCACAGAAAATAGATGGACAACAACATTTTATTTTTATTTATTTTTTATTTTTTGAGACAGGGTCTTATTCTGTCACCTAGACTGGAGTACAGTGGCATGGTCATAGCTCATTGTAGCCTCAACTTCCTGGGCTCAAGCGATCCTCCTGCCTTAGCCTCTCAAGTAGCTGGGACTACAGGTGTATGCCACCACACCTGGCTAATTTTTATTTTTTTTTGTAGAAACAGGGTCCTAGGCTGGTCTCAAACTCCTAGGCTCAGGGATTCTCACTCCTCAGCCTTTCAAACTGTTGGGATTATAGGCATAAGCCACCGTGTTTGGCTGACAACAGCATTTTAAAAATAGTGATAGTGACCACATAGACTGTAGGTTATGAACACAAATCCTACCATTGTTTTTGAAATACTCAAATAATTAATAAATTATTTCATAGAAGCAGCCTAGAATAGTTTAAAATGCCATAATATGAGAGAAAATTGATTGTTAGGAATAAAAAACTGACACTGACAGGGACTGTGATTTATGATTTGGCCCCATTATTTTAGGTTGTCTTTGAAGCAGATATGCTCAGAGTTGACCAACTCTTCATATGTCTCTTTGGAGGCATCACATGAGACCGACGGGGGTGGGGGTCAGGAGGAGGGGTGGGGTGTGAGGGAATTTCAGGAAGTTACGAAGGAACCACAGGCCTGGTGAAGAAGAGAGCCTGGGACCTGCAGTGAAGCTATAAAGGGAGGGAAAGGAAAGCTGAGCAGAAACAGGTGAATAGAAGCTGAGCCCCAGGCACGTAGAATAGTAAGTGCTGGGTGTTTGCCCCTCATTTACTATTTTGTGGGCCCAACTGGATTCATTTCTTCCTCTGTTCATTTATTCATTCTCACCACCTTTTCTGGACAGCTACTCTGTGTCAGAGACTATGCAAGCTCTGCAGAACAAATCACACTATTTTAGGCCTTAGGTTTCAGCTCCACTCTGTCTAACATCCATGAAGTCTAGTTCAAGGCATTGTCCATTCACGTAATCAATACCTTAAATACTAAATACAACACCCTGTAGCAATCCCCAAACAACCAAGTGTGTATGCTTTTAAACCACAAACCACAGTAGAAAGAGAGCTTCTGATCCACTCCTTTCAAAGCCAGGCTTCAGGTAGTCCTGTGTATTTCATACCTCAAAGGCAAAAGGATGTGTGCAGCCAAATAAAAAAAGGATAGAACTCTGAGAACATTACCTGGGGGGGTTATGTGAAACCAGCTGTAGCAGGAGAAGTGATACTGATCTTTTCTCTTGAGAGGTCAGAGCTGATTTTCAGCCTGTGCCTCTGAAATAATTTTCTCGGCTGACACGGTTGCAAGCTCTGTCAAAAGCAGATGGCTCCATGGAATCTATTTTATTGTCTCCATCTCTGGCTTCCCAGCATTCCAGTTCTGTAGGTGGGCCTCCCACTCCTGCTTTTTTCACCCTGGAGGTGTGCAGTAATAGGTGCTCTACAAGTGCAGTCTGTTTCTCTTCCACAGCTTGGTCTTTGCAATATTATTAAAGATCATATATAGAAAGGCGATAGTCATCGTTTTCCATAGCCATTAGACTAAAGCAGTCATTAATCCTGTTAAATACTTTCCAAAGTAAAAGGAAATAAGAGAACAATTCAAGCCATCCAGGCCTCGTTGCAACCCTGGTGATGAAGTTTGCAGACAGGAGCAGCCCTCACACCTCACGCCTACGCTGTGCCTTGTGTGGGATGGGGAGCTGCAGCCCTTGGAACTTATCATCGTGACAAAATGACTGCATGGAAATAAAAAGAAACTATTCAAAATGTGTTCCAGCTAATATTTCTTTGGGTTTGTGTTTCAGTATTGCTGTGCTGGTTGAAGTATATGGAAAAGGTTCCCTACTTTGAGTCTAAGTTTTGGGATGAAACGAATTTTTCCATTAAGTGACACCTTAATCGTCTTCGGCAACCCTTGAAGGGCTGTCTAGGATGAGAAAAGGAGAACTTGGAACTACTCTGCAATTCTGATTATCTAACCACCCACGCTTTATAACCATACTCTTATGTAATCATACTTTTAATTTTCAGAAAGGTGCTTAATTTGAACCCAAGCAACTGCACCAGTTTCCTTGTTTTAGATAAAGCTTGTTTTGTTTCTTTTTGTTTTTAGTTACTGTGTTGAGCATCAGGCAAGTCAGTGTATCAAAAGCAAAATATTGGTCTGTCTTTATATAAGAAAATGTGCTTATCTTTAACCTGAAAGAATCGAGCAATTAATTGAGAGTCGTTGCTGTGCATTTAATTACATTTTATGTTAATGATTAAAATAAACTGTGACAGTTTCTAGAAAAAAAATCTCACATTAATTATTTGCTAAAGTCAGAGGAAAGCTTGACCCATCTGAGAATTTGAGTCAAAGGTCTGCCCAGAGCGATTATATTAAAAAGAAGGATAAAAAAATCTCTGTATTTTGGCACATAAAGCTTGGAGGACTTTGCAGTTGCTTAATTTTGCTCTTTTTCTCAGATGGAAATGTACTTTAGGCAAAGACAATTTGTTTGTGATAATCTTTCTGCATTGGTTTTCCATGATTAAGTGTTATTCTCCAGCTATTTCAACTAATTATCATTGTCTCCCCAAAGGCTGATGAAACAAAGAATCTGAGCAGGATTAGGCTAATTTTACTCCGTGGCTTATTAGGCATCCACAGGCAAGTGTCACTGTGCTAAGTACTGTATCAAGCAAGTTAAATAGTTATGATCCCTGCCTTCCACACCATCAGTCCCGAATATTCACCACAACAGCCCACAAAATCACAGGCGAGGGTGAGCAGCTGTGTTCTCCGTGGAGGAAAAATCGTAGCTCAAAAGGAAGAAGGTGATATTGACATCATTCACCTGTTGAGTAATCTCATTTCTTTATGTGGAAGTATGAATTGGTACACTGGATTATTGGAAGGATGTAAGGGAGAGGTGGGCCGAGAGAACTGTCATTTCACTTGTAACAAGACCAGCCATACCTTGAGCCTGCCGTTTCCTGGTTCCTCCCTGAGCTCTGATGTTTATTTTAGTTTGTGTGCATTCTCCATTCTCTTTGGTATATAGGGTCTTTTCTGTGAATTGAGGAATGATGAAAATACTGGTTGGAGAGAATACCTACCTTTTGTTCTTAGTTGTGCTTGGCAACCTGTTGTCATTTTGCATGTGGTAAATAATCTAAAAGGCACACTCTCTGGAGCACACACATTTAGAATATGCAAGAATGAATAAAAGGTCTATATTTTTGTGTAAAATCACTTTTTGAAGTATCTACATCAGTAAATTTAATTATCGTCCCAGTCAAAAAAAATTATGGTGATAAAACTTTGCGAGTGGAAAGAGCTCAACGGAGATCTAAGAAAAAATTGAAAAAGTGACCCATTGCTCTGCCAGTGGATCAGTGGGTCTTTTCCTTAAAGATTTGAATTTAACTGGTTGAGGGTGGGACGCAGTCATCATTAGATTTTTTAAACTCCCCTGCTGATTCTCATGTGCAGCCAGACTTTCAGTATACAGAGAGTCAGGACCAAGACATACATTTTCTATTACAGTGATTAGTAAGAGAAACCCAAGAAAAATTTTCCAAACTAATTTGATTAAAAAATAAAAATACTATATAACAAAATCTGCTTAAGAAGTTGATCCAGTTATATATAGGTGATTTCATTTTATGACACTAAAATATTGTTGCAAAACTAATGGAATTCAAAATAAAAATTAAATAGTTATTCTGTAATTATATCACCTAGAGAAATCAAACTTTTTTCTTTTAATCCTGGTTCCCTTACATATCTGTCATCACATAGGAACCATACTTAAACCTTCACTTTGCTGCTTAAATAAAAACATAAGCATTTTCCTACATCAGTGCGTTTATTATGTGGCATTGTAATTGCTTCTGTATTTATCCACATCTTCCAATAGACTTTCCAAAGCTCTTTGAGACTAAGGATAACATTTTCTTGCTTATTCTTGTATTTCCAGCTTCTAGCATAGTCCTGGTGTGTGTGGTAGATAATATTTGTTACATGAACTAACGTTCTTACCTATGATTCATATTAAATTAGGTAGGCCAACTAAAGTGCTTACAATAGGGCCTAGGACATTGACAATTCACAATAAATGTTAGCTATTGTTTGTTTTAATGAATGTTAATGGCTAAATCGTATTTTATAGAGTACATATGATTTCTTGAACATTAATTTGTTTTTCCACATTTGGGCTCTTTCCCATTTTTCCAACATTGTAAGTCTGATTAAATGAGTGTTTTGATGCATATATCTGCTTTTTGATTATTTTCTATAAGTTTTTCAGAAGGGGAATTATAAGATCAATGAACAGATCGTTTTAATAATTTTGAAAATTATTGGCATTTTACTTTAAAAATGCTTACTAATATGGAAAAATCTCAAATGTGTAGAAAGTAAACAACATAGATGCTCTTTGATCTATGATGGGGTTACAACAGGCAAAATCCATCTTATGTTGAAAATATCCTAAGTCAAAAATACACCAAACATCATAGTTTAACCTAGCTGACCTTAAATGTGCTCAAGACACTTTCAGTAGCCTGCAGCTGGCAACGTTATCTGGCAACACAGGATACTGTAAAGTATAGGTTGTTTATCCTCATGATCACATGACTTAATGGCAGCTACTGCTGCCCAGGATAAAAAGAGTGTATCATATCACACATCATTAGTCCAAGAAAATTCAAAATCTGAAGTGCAGTTTCTACTGAATGAGTATACTTTCACACCATGGTAAAGTTGAAAAGTCATAAGTTGAACCATCATAAATTGGGGATCATCTGTAGCATAATGAAACCCCACAAATCTATTAATCAGATTCTACAGCTATCAACATTCTGCCTTTCATGTTTCATCTATGCCTCACCCTATTCTCTTATTGTATGGGTATACTCGCAATTTGTTCAGCTGCTCACTTAGTCATAGACAGTTGAACTACTTCTAGTTTTGGCTGTTATGAGCAAAACTGCCATATTCATTCATGTAAAAAATTTTTTTAAATATTTTCTACTTTTTTTCTGGGGTAAATTCCTGTGTGTAAACTTTTGAGTTTTTGTACAGTTACGTTTATAAGAATCTACAAAATCTTCTTCCAAAACAGTTGTTTGATTTTATATTCTCACCAGCAGTGTATGAGAGTGCTGGTTGCTCTATACCCAGCAATACTTGGAGTGGTTAGACATTTTCACTATTAGCCATAATAGTGGCTATATTGCTATCTTGGGGTTTAACGTGAATTTCCCTGATAACAGTGAGGTTGAATATCTCTTCGTGCTCTTACTGGCCATTCCTACATCTTCTTGTGTGAAGTAAATGTTCAAATCTCCCTATGATGTTACTGGGTTTTTGGCCTTCCTATCATGAAGTTTCTCATATGTTCTGGATGCATGTTATTTGTCGGAAATATGCACTGAGACCATTTTCTTCTGGTTGTTGGTCTCCTTTACATTTTCTTAACAGTGTTTTTTGAAGAGCAGAGGTTTTTAATTTTGATGAAAACCAATCTATTACATTTTTTATGGTTCACGTTTTGGTGTCCTAAGAAGCCTTGGTCTTCTTTAAAGTTGTATAAATTTTATCTTATATTTTCTACAAGAAGTTTTTTAGTTTTAGGATTTATGTTTAGGTCTATGAACCATTTAGAATGAATTTTTGTGTGATGTCAGTAGGATTGCTATGTTACTTAAAAAATACTTTTCAATTATAGAAAATAAACAGAATATAGATGTTCCTTGACCTATGATGGACTTATGCTTGGCAAAACCCATCATATGTTGAAAATATCCTAAATTCATTTTTTTATATGGATATCCAGTTGTTCCATTACTATTTGTTAAAAAGATCATTTATTCCCCTTGCACCTTTGTTGAAAATCAATTCACCATATATGGGATTATACATGTACATGTATAAACAAAGTAGCATATGAACCCTTCCCCCATTACCTAGCTCATCAATGATCAGTATTCTGCCATTCTTCTTTCATCTATGCTTCCTTCCTTTCCTACCACTGACTATTCTTTTAAATGTCGGGGGGCGGGGGGGGTGGTTAAAAAAATCAAATATCAAATGTATGGAGATAACATGTCCGTACATTTATTCTAAGTGTTTTATAGTTTTAACTCATATTTAGATCCATTATGCATCTCAAATTAATTTTTTGCATATGATGTGAGATAGGGGTCAAGGTTAATTTTTTTCCCATGTGGCTATTCAACTCTTCCAGCACATTTTTGGAAACCATTTTCCTTCCCCTATTGAGTTGCTTTGATACTGCTGTTGAAATTCAACTGGTCATAAGACTGTGGGTCTATTTCTGGCTCTTCTTTTTTTTTTCAATTATCTATTAGTGCCATGTTACATTTTAGTGCCAGTTTTGGAAACTGTATTATCATCAGCAATGAATATTGAAATGTCTGAGGTAGTTTCTTGTTAGATTTCCTTAGAAGATAAGTTTGAATTGGAGATACTAATGTAATTGATTTATTGAGGGTGTGCTCTCAGGAGCAACCTGTAAGAAACTGAGGGAAACAGGATAGGGCCGAAGAGTAAGCTAAGCAAAAATATAGTTTCAGGAGGAATCTAGCCTCAGCGTAATTCCATAGCAAGCTCTGCAGCATGAGTTGCACCCCAGGGTCTTTTGCCCAGAGGTAAGGGGGCTGAGCTGTTGTACCTCAAGTCAGTTGGTATTTGCCATTGGCCATCTTTGCGGGGAAGATGCTACCTCCCAGGAGTCCCAAGGTGAGTTAGCTCCAACCAGTCAAGGGTAGTCTCTGGAACAGGATGAGGGATGAGCCTTTAGCAGCCAACACTCATACAACAGGGGCATGGGTAGATCGCCACAGAGAAGCACATCTGGGGGCAGCAGCAGCATCTGTGACAGGAGCGTTTTTGAGGACATCATCAGCAAGAATAGTATCCAGGCTTTCCACAAAATTTTTATCATGCTTCTGTCAGAGCGCCATTTGTGACCTTGGAGAGTGCAGGTTGCCATTTTACCCATTTATTTCTTTAGGTCAGCACTTGTACTATCTTAAGGTAAGCCTTTTTTATGATTATGGGTAGAGTTGAAATTGTTCAGCATTTAGTAGGTTAATATTTACTTTTTTAATATGGCATGTAGGCAAATAAACGGCCTTCTCTGTCATCATGAATGTGTATATTTAAGATGTATTCTTGCCCATGAATTGAGAAGTGATTCTAAAACCATGATGCTTTTCATGGCTTTTAGAAATCAAAACTTAAATGTGGAACTTTAAAATTTACAGAGATCTGTTGTACTTAAAGCTTATATTTGTGGAATCAGTAGCTTTCTACTTGGTGTGAAACTTGACCTAGCAGCTTTCATCATGAACTCAACTTTTCTAGTGGACACCAGGAAATACTTCTGCTTGCTCAAATTTCTATTTGAATTTCTGAGTTCACTTTGAATGAGACCAAAAATAGAATTCTGTGTTGCTTTGAATAAACAAGGCAACTGTAACATTTCACTGTTCTGCAGCAATATCTGCTTATTAAGGAGACTGTCATGTAGGCAAGTGAGCATTCAGCTAGAGTGGCTCTATATTTTTACCTTTCAGCCTCATCCAGAGTTCTAAAATGTGGAGAACTGTAGTGAAAAATATATCCTCATAGGCATATTTACATTTTTAATTTTTTTGAACATATGAAATTATATCTAAACCTGTTAATATGACAAAGCATGCGAAATTGCTTTGTAAATAACAATGTCCCATGCAAATATTAATTGCTGTTAATATTATTACCTAAAACTGATCTATAGACACTGATGACACTTGAAGACAAACCACATCTGTTTCATCTCGTAAATGAAACAATTTGACTTTAATATTTTAGGAAGGGAATAGTTTGTCAAAGTATAACTCAGGATAAATCACGGCAAAATAGATACTTGAGATACATATATTTATTATATTAATGAATATAACTAAATAGAGGAACTCTTAAATAGGTTTAGCCAATATTTGGTCTCACTAGAGAAGGTATGAAAGGTTGCCTAGGAATAAAATCCATCTAGTCATATGAATTAGCTAACTGAGCAAAGAAATGAAATGGTATAGGAAATCAGTTTAGAAGAATAATGTCCATTTTTTAGCAGGTTTCATGGGGTTCAGTATTTCCCCTTTGCTATAGACCTGATAATCTTGTCCCATTGCCAGTTAAGGTTATTGCTACAGAGGTCAGTGTTAGCAAATATACCTTTGCCATCTTTTTCTCCATTCTGTGACTAGAGCAGACATTACCAATGATCATGGTTTTCCCCACTGATTTTCCATTCAGACTACCAAATATTTTAAACACCCTGCTTTAAGCCCACTTTGTTATGGGCTGAATGTTTATTTCCCTAAAAAAATCATATATTGAAATCCTAATCTTTAACGTGATGGTGTTAGGAGGTGGGACCTTTTGGGAGGTGATTCGGTCATGGGCGTGGAGCCCTCACAAATGATATCAGTGCTCTTAACTCATTTGTCTCTTCCATCATGTGAAGACATAGCAAGAAAGCCTAACTGTGAAACAGGCCCTCATCAGATGCTAGATTTGCCAGAGCCATACTTTGGACTTCCCAACCTCCAGAATTGTGAGAAATACATTTGTGTTGTTCAGAAGCCACCTAGTTAATGATATTTTGTTATAGTAGCCCAAACCGACTAAGACACAATTGAAGCATGTGAGGTAGACGCTTTTTACCATCCTTGTTTTCATTAGTTCTCTAAGGCAGTGTGAAAACAATGTTTATTTTGTGCAGTGTAGTCTTAAAGGATGTTGTTATTATGAGGGGGAAAACAAGTTTGGTGGACAAATTAATTTGAGTGACACTGGGTTAAACTAAGGTAAGCAGGGCTCAGGACTTCTCTCAACATTTCTAAGTTAATGTGTGTTGTAACACTACATGACAGGGTCATGGGATTTGACCAATGAATCCTAGACATTGTACTTTTTTCTCCATAAAGAATCCTACAGATGTAGGGTTTCAAAAACATACATAGTGGGAAAATTTGTTTATAGTGTTTCTGTATTACTATATGTGACTTATCCTTGGTATTTACAAAAAGTGTTAATGGCTTTTTGTGGCAGCTTTGTACTGTTTCAATTTATTTAAGACAGAGCTACATTTCCCAGAAATCTCCCTTCCTATGTGGTCCTGGTTTAACAACGGCCACAGAATCATTTAGCACACGATTTGGAGGGCAGAAGTAAAGATAAGCTATATTTTTAACACTCTGAAGATCAGTTTAGGGGCCAAGCACTGTGGCGGTTCATGGTCATCCACCTGCTCGCCTTGTGGGAATGGGGAAGCATCTGGATCTGTGGTTCTTTCATATCTGGAGACACTCCTTCAGCATCTCAGAGTTCCGGGCCAAGTGCATGTGCAATTCCACGGGAAAAGGTGCCAACTTCCCCTCAGGTCACTTACAGCATCAAGGTTGGAGTTGGTTAGAGACAAGTTCTAGTTTTCCTGTGAATTTCAGTACATTCCTGTAGGTTGCAGTGTGTTCATCCATATCCAGCTTTCTTTCCTGACTGGTAGACTGGCTCTCCTAGCATGGCTTTAGGCTCAACACTAGATGCAGAGGCATCAGCCTTCATAGACTGCTCCATCAAGTCCCACAACTGAGTGAGGTCTAACCCTATAATCACTTTCTTAGTTTGTATAGTCCAGAGTGGTTCTGTGTCTGTGGTCAAAGCTGAACTGATTCAGTAATTAGTACTAGAAATGGTTTCAGAGGAACAGAACTTTGAAAGAGAGGCCTCTGGGTTATCTAAATTGAGTTCCTGATCTGATGAAATCTAAAGGCAATAATGACCTTGTTTACATTGGTAAGGGGTTCACTGGCAGTTCATGGCACAGAGGGCAAAACCATCACTTAAATTATCACCTGCTCTGTCTTGTAATCAAGTGTTTATAGAAAGAAGGTAAATCTTAGGGTGACCATGTATTTGCTACTATAGAATATTTTGTTGTGAATAAAGAGTATAATAGGTTTGACTGGTTACTTCTATGGCCATTCACTAGTGAACTGGACACTTTTTGAAAAAGAAAATGATGGATTCAAAGATGTAAATTTCTAATTCAAGATGTAGACTGTCACAAGAAGTCTTCTATGATTTCCCTAAATGAAATTCTAGTTTTATGTAGCCACAGATTTCTAAAAAGCAGATCCAGAATCTAATCTGGTGAATGACTGAATTACCATTTATCTGTATGTGTAGAAGGGCAATGGCATGATTGGGGACTAGGGTGGACCTTTTTATACGGCATACAAGTCCCCTCCCTCCAAAGAACAAAATGATACTTCTTACTGATGTAGTTGGTAAGAGACTATTTTCAGGATTCCTGTGTAATTTTTAACTGGGATATTTGACAAGATTTTGAGACCATTTTATCTGCAACAACCATGGAAAATATTTGCATCTGTAAATTACTGAAATAATACATTCTGAAGTCAAGAGGAAAGGATATACCATCAGTGGACCTTACACAGCATGACAACAGCTCAGCTTGCTAAACCAGGGTATATGACCAACACAGGGCAGCCTTGGACACAAAACTCAAAAACATAAGTTACCAACCAAGTGATTTTAATAAATGGACTTTGATGTGAACTTCAATCTAAGGCCCATACTGAAGACATTTAGTGGTTCTAAGTGGCATTATAAAATGGGCAAGATAAGGGATAGTGTGCTATAATGGAAAAGAGATGGGAAACATTGGAGCCAGACATTGGCCTTCTTCTGGATCTTGGCTCCAACATTTATTAGCTGTGTAATCTTTGACAAGGCACTTAGTTCCCCCACTATAAAAATGAGAATAAATTCACCTGGCAGTGATTTTTAAAATGAAGATTAAATGAGGTAAATTCTAAAAGTATACATAGTAGGTGCCATAAACTTTTCTCTCCCAAAACTATTGCTCACTTTTCTTCTAGATATTATTTTAGGCAATTAGGAAAGAAATGTACATTTTTACGGCAATTAACTACATCAGTGCTTCTCAAAACTTAATATGCATTTGATTTACTTGGGATCTTGTTAAAATGTAGATTGTACTTCAGGAGATTTGGGGTAGTGCCTGAAATTTTGCATTTCTAACACACTCTCTTGTGACATTAACACTGCGTTCTGCAGACCTCTCTTGAGTAGCAAGAGCTAAATCATGGTAACTTGTTTTTTTTTTTCCCCACACAGAAGGGGTGCTATTGGTTAATGATTCAGAATGGGAAGGCTTTCAGGTCAGCTCAGATCTTGGGATGAGTAGTCTGCTTAATCATTGTTTAATAGCCTGTGGTTTGGATGAAATGATGAGTATGTTGACTATACCAGAAATTCACTCAAAATATACAGAGGCTTTTATGTGTAAACACAATCTTAACTCTTATTTTTAAAAACTGACATAAAGAGACTTAAATCTGTGACATACTTTGTCACTTAAAATCTATTTTACCTATTTGAAATGGGAGATTTTTGTTTGTTTTTATAAAATAAAGAATCATGTATATGGGCTGGGCGCGGTGGCTCACGCCTGTAATCCCAGCACTTTGGGAGGCTGAGGCAGGCGGATCACAAGGTCAGGAGATCGAGACCATCCTGGCTAATATGGTGAAACCCCGTCTCTACTAAAAAATACAAAAAAAAAAAAAAAAAAAAAATTAGCCGGGCGTGGTGGCAGGCGCCTGTAGTCCCAGCTACTCAGGAGGCTGAGGCAGGAGAATGGCATGAACCCGGGAGGTGGAGCTTTCAGTGAGCTGATCGTGTCACTGCACTCCAGCCTGGGCAACAGAGCAATACTCCATTTCAAAAAAAAAAAAAAAAAAGAATCATGTATATGGGTGAAGTTCTTGTTTCTGTAAAATAAAGAATCATGTATGTGGATGGAGTTCTTTTGCATGGTTTTTGTTTTTACCCTTTGACAGATGCAGTCAAGGCCTTTAGAAAATACAAAGACCTGATTTTAGTTGAGACTTTTTTTCGGCAATTTTGCATTGCGATCTTTTGATTTTTTTTTCACGGCCTGAATTGCAGAACATTGGTAATACCAACTAATTTCATGGTTTGTGATTGAACATAAGACTTTAATTCAATTGTGGACATTTAAAAGATATTTTAAACAGCAAGCACAGTTCAAATTCTTAATATTTAGCCAGAAATGAGGCATTGTTATTTATAATACTGGAAAAAAGATTTGCAATCACCTAGTCATTAGGTTTTTTAAAAAATCCGTCACACTGGAGAAGACTTAATCCATGCAATGTAGGAAGAAAAAGATTACTGTGAATTGAATTTTAGAGGGCAGAGATTACTAAAAGAAAACCTCAACCCATGCTGAGAAATAATCATTTTAGAAATAGTAGAGGCACACATACTCTATAAATATGAATGGGTCGATGATTTCATGAATCTTCATGATTCTTATTTATAATCTTTTGAGCTTTCATCTTGTAGCTAAATTCTACCTACATTTTATTTCTTGAAGAAAAACATTTCAAGCAAAAATGATTTTTAGAAAGATGGCTAAGGACCAATTTCTAAATGTATTCAGCAAAAGAAAAATATTAAACATCAAACCTCCACCTCTGGGCTTCCAGCTGTCTGACAAATCACACACATCTCCTAAGCAGAGTATAAGAATTGTAGTCACGTGGCTTTCCTTCGATCTATTTGACATCAAACATCTGGTTGGAAGCAGAAACACTCCATCACTCAGCTTTTTCTAAAAAATAGATATGAAGCTTCTTGGAGGTAATGAACCGGAAGACCAAACATTTTTCAGTTCTTTTTTGGAGGTCATAATACCAATTTAACTTTCTTTCTTGAAGTCTTAACAAATTCCAGCTTTAAATAGGAGCAATGTTAAAGATTTCGTCATTGAAAAGAGGGTTTCAAATAGACTGCCACAAGAAAAGTATTTTGCTTTTTGTAACTGAAAAGTTAAGGCTACAAAAATCAAATGTTAATCCTTTTGTTAATAAAGGTTCCAGGTTAGATGATTCCAATTTTGAATTCCTAATGCAGTTTTTCACTCTGTACTGTTCTCTGTAAGAGCTAATGACATTATGTTTATTCAGTTCCTAGCCCCTTCTGTCACGGAAAGAGTAGTGAAATTCACATCTGAATACCCGATTCCAGTCCTAACTCGACCAGTAACTGGTTGTATGTCCCTGTGTATGTCGTCCTGACCATAGCTTCCTTCTATGTAAAACAATAACGTTGATGATAATTAAAGTTCACATTATTGAAATCTGACTTGTTACATCTTTGTGTGTTATCTCATTTACTCCTCATAACCACACTATAAAGTAGCTTCAACTATTATCCCTTTTGTGCAGATGATAAAACCAAAGCACACTGAAGTTAAGTAGCTTGACCCAGACCATGAAGCTACCAAGTGGTAAAGTAGTAAGAAGTAACCAGTGAGAAGTGAAACTAGGATGAGAATGGCTCTCCTAGACTCCAAGCCTGTGGTCTTTACTACTGCACTCTTCTGACACAGCTAAGTGGACTGGCTGATATTTGCAACTCTAAAATGATGACTCCATTTCTATTTTCCTTCAGGCAAATGTCTACTCAAACTATTAAGCAAAATGGATTTTCATTTTATTTTTTAATATTTCTAGGGATAACATGTAAAAAATGTATTAAGAAAGTCTTGTATACTCACAATTATAAAAGATATTTCTTTGTGTTTTTTAAGTATACTCTTTGGATACAATTCCAGCACATCTCTTTAAGTGTGCCTATTTATCATAATGTGTCACATATGTGAAAATAAGCCATCTTATCTCCTTTCTTTCTTAGGATAAATATTCTCAACATTTTCCTCCCATGTTCTCACTAATCCATGTTTTTGCTCATAGTTTTGTTGCTTCCCCTCCCCCCTCTACAATATACCCTTATTCCTCTTGATCTGTCCTGTCAAAATGTATACATTCATTTATTCAACACACATGGAAGTGCTGCTGTCAGGCCTTGTCTTAGATGCTGACAACATCAGCATGAACAATTCTCCCAGAAATGTATAGGCTAATGACTAAGATTAGATAAGTAACTGATTGTTAACATAATAACAATCAATATATAATATATAAGTGTATGATCCTGTGTGCTATTCAAATAGCAAAATGAAGTCCTTCCTTCACTGGGAAGTTAAGGGAAAGTTCCCTGGAGGAGGGGATGCTTGAGGTGAGTCTTGAAGGGCGAGTAGATTTTGCAGGGAGAAGCGGAGGAAGGGAATTCGGAATAGATTGGACATTATGTGCAAGCCAAAGAGGCATGAGAGAGCACAATGTGGCTGGGAAATAGGTCATTGGAAATCGTTCAAAGAGCTCAGGTCAGGAATGCAAGAAATGAAGCTAGAGAGGAGGATGGAGTTCCAGTGATGAAAGGCCTGTGTGTTGAACAAAGAAATTTAAACGTGGCTCCAAACATTTTGGAGAGCAAGTGAATGATTAAATGCAGGGCAGCGACAGGATCTGAGTGCCATTTTCCAATCATCTTCCTGAGAGAGAAAGTGCCAGGATATATCAAAGATGGTGCAGAGATGAGATTTTCCTTTTTTTTTTTTTTTTTTTAGGAATGACTGTACCAATGCCAATTCCTGACATCAGCAGGGAAATTTCATTCAGAGCATGCTCTTTAAGCAGAAATCACTATTTCTCAGAACAGATCTTTTTTTTTTAATCAGGACCACCAGGTCTGATGAGGAGATAGGGCTGATGGGGAAAGGCAGTCACGTGGCAATGTGAACAGGCAGAGCTAGGGGAGTAACTTGACTGTGGGACAGGCTGTTCATAGGAACTGAAACCACAATTTTATTGTAACAAACTTGAGATGATTCAGTTTAGTTCAGTCTCCAAGGGAATACAACCTCTGTGTGGAGAGCTGATCAGTTACACCTACAGCTGCATTGGTAGCAATCTTGTGATTCCAGCTGTGGGAGTGGCTGCAGAGTCCTAGGACCCCTGCCATTGACTGGGGCTTTGCAGAGCAGGATGCAGCTTCCTAAGAGCTAGGCAGATAAAAAGGGCCTGAGCATAGGGGCCTGGCTTGAGGAGGGAACCACCAAAAGAGTGGGCGCTCGACTCTACTCACAAAACCAACACAGGCCCTGGCTGTGAGGTCTAACTAACATTTGGGTTAAAGGTGAGAGGAAAATCTCAGGAATCATGTCAGGACCTAGAAATATCAAATACTGCCTTAGACTTGCGGAACTAAGTCCCAACCCTTGTCCCTAATGGAGCTCTTATTCTGTCACACCTGATTATACTTGTCTCAGGAGCTGAGCTTGTAAAGGTCTTCAATGCCTGCAGCCAATTAGGGCTACACAGGGTGGATTTATTCGTAGAAAAGTCAGTATGTATCAGTCAGGTCCTGGCAGGGTGAATTAACCCAATTAACCCTGATTCAAACCCTGATTTAACTGGAGACCATTTAAGAAGGATTATTTTCAGAGATAAGGTTAAGGGAACCAGTATGAAATGCTGAAGTGCTCAGGTGCTAGCAGGAGCAGAAATCTATTCCTTCCCCTAGACCTGAAGGGCAAAGGGGACCACTGCTGTTGGACCTTATGAGAGCTGTAGCCAAAGGAGAGTGCTCACCCACAGGCTGTGTGATCCCAGGCAGAGGAGTCCAGCCCCAAACCATGGCTCAGTCTTCTATCAGTGCCTTCAATTAGCCAACCCAAGCCAGTTGGCAAGGCTGGTGAAGTGGTTGATAGAAGTCAGCCTCCCAAAGCCCAGTAGGACAGGAGAGGAGGACATCAGAGAATACCCAGCACATAATACAACTGAATATCACACATGGCCAATTTGCTCTTCAACCTGCTCCAATAAGGCTTCGTCTTCCCACTCCAGTGACCCCACTCTTGTCAAAGTTAACAACACATTTGTATTAGTCTGTTCTCATGCTGCTAATAAAGACATATCAAAGACTGGGTAATTTCTAAAGGAAAGAAGCTTAATTGACTCACAGTTCCACGTGACTGGGGAGGCCTCACAATTGTGGTGGAAGGCAAATGAGGAGCAAAGTCACATCTTACATGGCAGGAGACAAAAGAGCATGTGCAATGGGACTCCCATTTATAAAACAATCAGATCTCATAAGATTTATTCACTACCAGGAGAGCAGTATGGGGGAAACCACCGCTATGATTCAATTATCTCCACCTGGCCCTGCCCTTGACACATGGGGATTATTACAATTCAAGGTGGGATTTGGAAGGGGACACAGCCAAACCATATCATTCCACTCCCGGCCCCTCCCAAGTCTCATGTCCTCACATTTCAAAATCAATCATGCCTTCCCAACAGTGCCCCAAAGTCTTAACTCATTTCAGTATTAACTCAAAAGTCCACAGTCCAAAGTCTCATCTGAGACAAGGCAAGTCTCTTCTGCCTATGAGCCTGTAAGATCAAAAGCAAGTTAGTTACTTCATAGATACAATGGAGGTACAGGCATTGGGTGAATACACCTTTTCCAAATGGGAGAAATTGGCCAAAAGGAAGGGGCTACAGGCCCCATGCAAATCCAAAATCCA
Source organism: Homo sapiens (assembly GCF_000001405.40). NCBI lineage: Eukaryota > Metazoa > Chordata > Mammalia > Primates > Hominidae > Homo > Homo sapiens. The sequence continues at coordinate 34,652,655 of NC_000013.11, read as the reverse complement.
GCAGGGCAATCAAATCTTAAAGCTCCGAAATGAGCTCCTTTGACTCCATGTCTCACATCCAGGTCATGCTGATGAAAGAGGTGGGTTCTCATGGTGTTGGGCAGCTCCACTCTTGTGGCTTTGCAGGGTACAGCCCTTTTTCTGGCTGCTTTCACGGGCTGGCATTGAGTGTCTGCACCTTTTCCAGGTGCATGATGCAAGCTGTCAGAGGATCTACCATTTCGGGGTCTGGAGGACTGTGGCCCTCTTCTCAGAGCTCCACTAGGCAGTGCACCAATGGGGACTCTGGGTGGGGGCTCTGACCCTACATTTCCCTTCCACACTGCCGTAGCAGAGGTTCTCCATGAGGGCTCTGCCCCTGTAGCAAACTTGCCTGGACATCGAGGCATTTCCATACATCCACTGAAATCTAGGCAGAAGTCTCCAAACCTCAATTCTTGACCTCTGTGCACTTGCAGGCTCAACTGCATGTGGAAGCCACCAAGTCTTGGGGCTTGTACTCCTTGAAACAGTGGCCTGAGCTCTATGTTGGCCCCTTTTAGCCATGGCTGGAATGCAGGGCACCAAGTCTTGAGACTGCACTAAGCAGTAAGGCCCTGGTTCTGGCCCGCAAAACCATTTTTTCTTCCTAGGCCTCTGGGTCTGTGATGGCAGGGGCTGCTGCCATCCCAACAGTGCCTGGATGTCCAGGCAAAAGTTTGCTACAGGGGCTGCTGAGATTACCTCTGACATGCACTGGAGACATTTTGCCCATTGTCTTGGTGATTAACATTTGGCTCCTTGTTACTTATGCAAATTCTTGCAGCTGGCTTGAATTTCACCTGAGAAAATGGGTTTTTCTTTTCTATCACATCATCAGGCTGCAAATTTTCCAAACTTTTGTGCTCTGTTTCCCTTTTAAATGTAAGTTCCAATTCCAAACCGTATCTTAGTGAATACAAAAAACCGAATGCTTTTAACAGCACCCAAGTCACCTCTTGAGTGCTTTGCTGCTTGGAAATTTCTTCCACCAGTTGCCCTAAATCATTTCTCTCAAGTTCAATGTTCCACAAATCTCTAGGGCAGGTGCAAAATGCTAAAACATAGCAAAAGTCACCTTTGCTCCAGTTCCCAACAAGTTCCTCATCTCCATCTGAGACCACCTCAACCTGGACTTGATTGTCCATATCACTTTCCACACTTTGGTCAAAGCCATTCAACAAGTCTCTAGGAAGTTCCAAACTTCCCTGCATCTTTCTGCCTTCTTCTGAGCCCTCCAAACTGTTCCACCTTCTACCTGTTACCCAGTTCCAAAATCGCTTCCACATTTTTAAGCATCTTTCCAGCAGCACCCCACTCTACCAGTACCAATTTATTCTATTAGTCTCTTCTCATGCTGCTAATAAAGGCATACCTGAGGCTGGGTACTTTGTAAAGGAAAGAGGTTTGACTCACAGTTCCACATGGCTATGGAGGCCTCACAATTATAGCAGAAGATGAATGAGGAGCAAAGTTACGTCTTACCTGGTGGCATTCAAGAGAGCTTGTGCAGGGAAACTCCCATTTATAAAACCATCAGATCTCCTGAGACTTATTCATTACCATGAGCAGAGTATGGGAGAAACTGCCCTCATGATTCAATTATCTCCACCTGGCCCTGTCCTTGACACGTGGGGTTATTACGGTTCAAGGTGATTGGGTGGGGACACAGCCAAACCATATCAACATTCAAGCTGCTGAACCCAAAGAATACATCATCTCAACCTTTATCTTGAACTCTCAGAAGCATTTGCTGCTATCCTTCTTGAAACAGTCTCATCTCTTGGCTTTTGTGACAGCACTTTTTCATAGCATTCCTCTTTTTCTGTTCAAGAGCTGAATGCTCACAGGCCTCAGACAGAGGTACATCTAGGATTTGGGGGGCCTGAAGCTTATACACTGTAGGTACATTCTTTAAGTAAAACAATCCAAAATTATAAATGCGAAATTAAGTATGAAAGTAAATATTCAGAGAAAAAAATCATAACAGATTTTGAAAAGTTTATACATAGGACAATTTTTAAAACATTATACATAGGACAAAAGTTTAATACATAGGACATCATGAAATTTAAAAAATAACATACAGTAGGCCAGGGGTGGTGGCTCATGCCTGTAATCCCAGCACTTTGGGAGGCCAAGGTGGGTGGATCACAAGGTCAGGAGATCGAGACCATCCTGGCTAATGTGGCGAAACCCCGCCTCTGCTAAAACTACAAAAACAAAATTAGCTGGGCATGGTGGCGGACACCTGTAGTCCCAGCTACTCAGGAGGCTGAGGAGAGAGAATGGCCTGAACCTGGGAGGCGGAGCTTGCAGTGAGCCAACATTGTGCCACTGCATTCCAGCTTGGGCAACAGAGTGAGACTGTCTCAAAGAAGAAAAAAAATATTATTTATTAGCTAACTGTCTGACATGGCTCTTTAACTTTTCCCTTTTACAGTTTTGGCTGCCTAGTTTTTGGTCAACTCTATATGATGATAATTTTGGAATATTTTCTATAGACAGAACAGAAAAATAATTCAGTATTTCTTCTAGTGGAACAGAATTTGTTGAATATTATGTTTACTTTATTGACTTTCCTTTCAGCTTTCTAATTTAATATTGTTAATGCCACGTAACATTTTGGGATGGTCAACTTGTGCAATCTCTATCAAGTTTCTTTTGTAATTAAGCTGTAAGAATTTAGGGCATTTCAAGTTTTCTTGTACAGTAATTAGTCACAGTTACTCTGAAATGAAAGCAATGCTCATTAACTGTTTGTTATCAAATGGTTAATAGCAAAAGTCCTTGGATAGTTAAGTAAGTTACTGCTTATTGTAGTGGGGTAGCATGAGATTTATGTTATCTTGGTCATCCTCAGTATTTTGCACTAAATCAGCAAGAGACTTAGTATCTTTCTAATGTGCTGATAAGATTCACTCCTGGTCATTAATGGGATGAAGAAGCAATCTTTACTCCTATTCTGAATTTATCTTTTTCTATTAATGAAGACCTGCTTTGGTAGGTTCTAATATTATTTTTGTTAACATTTTATTTTTCATGTTAGAATAATTTTTATTGATTTCCTATCTTTATTATTTTTATTTCATAGTCCACTATTATTTTTACCAGAATTTCCCCTTATATCATTTTATAAATACACTTCAAAATTACAAAAAAGAAATTCTTTATATCAGTCCAATTAATTCTGGTTTTTTTTTCACTTATTTTACTGACATGTTACAGTTACAAATGTCTCAAAACTGCAGTCAAAATGGTACATTGGAACTTTATTAACATTTCAAATAACGCTTTTTTGCTTTTTATTTATGTTCAAGTTTCTCTTTCAGTTCCTCAGAAATAAATTTTAGAGTCCTCAAAACGTAATTTACTCCTGTTATAAGGCTTGAGAACAACTTTATAAAGGGGACATCATCTTGTTATACTTAGATTCTTAAAAAAACAATCAAGGTGGCATGCTTATAACTGTTGCAACCTATTGAAGTGGTCAACAGTTTTAGTGTTGTGGTGGCAGCTTTTTCTCCAGTGTGATTAAAGAAATAAACTGTGCAATGCACATATTCTGAATAGCTATTAAAGTTTTTAAACAGAGCTTCCAGCCCTTTGTCCTCACTTTTCAGTTATATTGTCATGCGACTGGACTATCTGTGAACTGTAGCTCAGTGGCAGTAACAATTGCTCAAAACTGGTTTCACTTGGTTGACTATAGAAGCATTTTACATGTCCAATGCCTTCAGATGGTGAAAAAGTTAAAAATTGCCATAGAGTTTTTCCTTATAAAAGTAAGACACAATAATTGCCAACTGGCCTGTGCCTGTCACATCTAATGTAGAATCTAGAAGTAAGATGGCAATCAGAGGGATCCTGAAAGCCACTCCTAGGCGGAAGCAGCTTAGCAGTAACTTATTTAAGTATCCAAGGAAGAGACTGAACCACAGAAACATGGCTTACTGTATCCATTACATATATTCATAACTCTACCTCCACTTAGTTGAGTTCTGGCCTCGGCCGCCACTCCAATACTAACTGATGATGTAAAAATAAATTGCTAGATCTGACCCTGGTTTGTGGAAGGACCCATTGCAAGTGAATCCTCTGGCCTTGAGACTCAGTTCCTAGTGAGATTTTTCTTCTCTACCCATTCTCTCTTCTTCCCTTATAAACTTAAACAGTCCCCCAATTTCAAACCCCTTCTATATTCCAACAAATTTCAAACTTTTAGCTGTAGACATAGTTACCAACTTGAGAATTTTACTTGGGTGTCTAATATTCCTCTCAAACTTAGTATTTTCAAAAGGAAGTCTTTGATAGCCATCTCCCCAACCCATCTCTTCACCCCCACTATTATGCCCAAAGTGGCTCCCTCCCCCATCTTCTTCTTCTCAGTATATAGAACTGCCATCCACTTAACTGACAAAAAAGTCTCCAATGTAGAGATTTTCCTTGCTTCCTTCTCTTCCCTCCTTCCCTTTCTGAATATGACTCCTTTCTGTTACTGAAGATGACATCAACAGCAGCAAGTTGATGCCACCAACTCCAGCCTGCTACCTTAAGCCAGGCTGCTATCATATCTTACTTCTTGGTTTTCCACTCATGATATTCTCTGATCTTTTGTTTACACAGTAGATATTACTTGGATTCTGTCTCTTCTTTGCTTAAGACCCTTCACTTGGCTTCTCCTTCCTGCAGATAAGAAAGCTTTAATGATTCACTGTGGCTTACCAGATCCTCCTCATCTAACCTTATCTCATTCCACTCTCCAATTTGTTCATGAAGCAATGGCATATTGGGGTTTTCATGTTCCTTAAACACACCAGGTCCTTTCCTGCCTCAGGATCTTGTGTTCGACTTTGGGCTATAATGATTTTTGCCACTTCTCTTCATCTTATTTTCTAAGCCTCAAGGCAAAGCTCACTCTACAGGGAGGCCTTCCCTTGGTCCAATATCTAAAGTGTCTTTCCCCAGGTACTCTGTTTCATCACCCTTCCTGTTTCCTGCATAGCACTCAAGTTGTGATTATGTCATTATTCATTGCTTATTTGTTGACTGTTTACCCCACAAGAATGTAAGTCCCATGAGAGGAGAGTCTTGGACAACATTACTCACCAGCAAATCCTCATGGACTAGTTTGGTGCTCATACCTAGCAGGTGCTAAATAAATACTTTTTTTGTTAAATGAATGAATATTTGGCCCTTATTTTTCTTCCCTGTAAAATGAGTAGCATAACTCTTACCAAATCATAAAAAAGGTAAGAATTAGTGAAATCAATATTTTAATTAAAATTATTATATATATATATTTTTTTTTTTTTTTTTTCTGACTAAAGCTGTGCTCTTCTGGCCAGGCGCAGTGGCTCATGACTGTAATCCCAGCACTTTGGGAGGCTGAGGAAGGCAGATCACTTGAGGTCAGTAGTTTGAGACCAGCCTGGCCAACATGGTGAAACCTTGTCTCCATTAAAAATACAAAAATTAACTGGATGTGGTGGTGCATGCCTGTAATCCTAGATTCTTGGAAGGCTGAGGCGGGAGGATCGCTTGAACCCAGGAGGGTGGAGGTTGCAGTGAGCCATGATTGTGCCACTGTACTGCAGCCTGCATGACAGAGCAAGACTCTCAAAAAAAAAAAAGAAAAAAAAGAAAAGTGCTGTTCTGTAAATTTCTCCTCTTCTTTCCCCTTTCCTCCCTCTCCTTTTCTTTCTGTTCTCCCTCCCTCCCTCCCACTATTCACTCCTGTGACGACACCTATTATCATGACTCTACAATCTACACCTCTAGTCCTACCTTTCACCCTGAGCACTAGACCTGAGTTTCCAACAAAGCAAAATGGAATGAAAGCTTTCCTTCAGATAAAGCTGTTACTTTCTTTGTATTAATAACATTGACATTTCTCCCAGACACTTGGAGTGTCATTCTCTGTTTTCACCTTCCGAAACAAAGTAGTTAACAAGTCTGCCTTACAAATGTGCTTTGGGTTTGTCCAGTCCTTTCCATTCCCTGGGCTTCTGCTCATATTCAGAACTTCACTATTCAGGACCTTAAGCCTCATGGCCTTCTAACAGTATTTCTTCTGATCACAGTGTTCTTTCAATTACTATCTGGGTTATCTCTTTAAATATACATCTTTTTTTTCTTTCTTTCTTTCTTTTTTTTTTTTTTGAGACTGATGCTCACTCTGTCAACCAGGCTGGAGTGTGGCACGATCTTCGCTCACTGCAACCTTTGCTTCCACATTCAAGTGATTTTTGTACCTCAGCCTCCCATGCAGCTCGGATTATAGGCATGTGCCACTGCACCCAGCTAATTTTTGTGTTTTTAGTAGAGACGGAGTTTCACCATGTTGGTCAGGCTGGTCTCAAACTCCTGACCTCAGGTGATCTGCCCACCTCGGCCTCCCAAAATGTGGGGATTACAGGCGTGAGCCACCGCATCTGTCTTAAATATAGATCTTAACACTCCCCTGCTTGGAGACATTTGAAGCTCTCCCTTAGCTTCAGATTATAAATCGAACTTCTGAGCAAGGCCGTCAAGGTTCTCCATAATCTGGCCTCCATTCATCTCTAGTGTTCTTGTCCATGATAACCCATTGCAGCCTGCACTCAGTCACACGGGATACACCTTAAGATTCCTTACTATTTGAATTAATGCACACTTTATGACAGAGTTACCGTCTTCTGAAATTTGTACCGGCTAAAACCTTACTATTTAAGAAGGTCCACTCGAATACCATCTTCCCCTAAAGCCATTCTAGTTGACTTTCATCTGTTCTTTGTTACTTTACTGCTAATGCTCTTATCACTTTCTTCCTTACAGCCTGGGTTGTTTGTTTGTTTTTCCCTTGTATTTAAAAATGACCGCAGAATACAAGTTCTTAGAGGATTTCAACAATTAAAGAATTCAGAAGTATGTTGAGTAAATAGACATATTTCCTCTTCTTTCCAAACCCCAATTCCAGCTTTCTCTGAGAGAAAAAGAGTGTAACTTCCAGAACTTTCTCCATGCCTTGATAAATGTCTGTTTTCAGAACCTTAGATGGGTGATAATGGACATATGACCTCACAACCTGCGTCCTCACTTGGAAATGTTCTTGGACATCTTTCTTGCCAGTAGATAGGGATTTGCCTACTCCTCTCCAACTGCTCCGTTGTAGATGTCACAGACACTACTGATTGTCCTCCAATCATCTTATTTTTTGGCTACAGTAATAGAATCCGAGTCTTAGCTGGGCACATGAATGTCAGGAATGAAGGCTACTTTTCAGTTTCCTTGTATTCAGGCATGGCCATATTACCCAGTTACAGCCAATAGAATTAAGAAAAGGTTTAGTCATAGTCAATAGGATTAAGGAAAAGTCTAATCGTAAGGAAAGGTAGTTCGTGTAACCTTTGGGAAGTCCTTAAAGGGAAGGGCATATTTTTCTTCTTCTCTTTCTTCCTTTGTGCTGGCATGAATATAGACGTGATGCCTGAAGCTGGCGCAGCCATTCAGGTTTATGATAATTTTGGAAAAAGAGGCCATATATGATAGGGGAACAATGAATAATAACAAAAAAAAGGCCTGGACCCTTGGCTCTCTAGAACACCACTTCAGCCTTGGACTGCCTAATTCCATATTTTTAAAAATAAATTTTTATGTATTATAACACAGGACTTATAAGTCCCCATTTTTCTTGTAGTTTTTAGTTTTTATTTTTTTTAGAGATGGGGGTCTTGCTATGTTGTCCAGGCTGGAGTGCAGTGACTATTCACAGGTGTGATCATAGCTCCCTGCAGCTGTGAACTCCTGTGCTCAAGCAATTCTTCTGTCTCAGCCTCTCGAGTAGCTGGGACTATAGGCATACTCCACCACACAGGGCTGTTTATTTTTACATAGATAAAAGATAAGCTTTCATCTTGTTTAAGCCACTATTATTCCTGTTGCAGTTGAACCTAATCTTTGATAAATGATCACATCTTAAAGACTTTGCTAGTTATTCCATATTTTTTTTTCTCTCCTAGTCCCTAAAGTCTTTGAAGGGTTACCTTTGGTCTTATTCATCTTTGTCTTTTTTTGTCTTTATCTATCATCTAAATCCCACAAATACCTAGCAGAGTATCTGGAACCTGGTCAAAGCTCAATCAGTATTTGTTAACTTGAATTAAACCTGTTTATTGCTGATCATAGGATTTGCTACCTCTTCACACCATATGAACAGGGGGAAAAAAAACAATGTGAAATAGTATAATTCCTAAACTGCAACAAATAAGTGGATTCCCTTCATCTTGAATTGAACCCATAATACTGCCACAACAGCAATGCTGATATGTTGGTGATTAAAATATTTATCTTAGTGAAGTCTGAAGGATTTTGCTTAGTTTTCAAATCTCCGTGTGATATAACTACACCTTACTTATCCAAATAAATGCCTCCTATGAATTTCTGTGCCTCGACAGCTTCTTCTATAAAATCATTCTACAATAGTTCTTGTGTGAAAGTGGAGGGTTGGACCAAATCAGTGGTTCTTATTCTTCTGTGAGTCAGGTAGGAAGACCATATAACTTGTCAATGGAACTAGGATACTTTTGAGAGTGAAATGGGGCATTATTAATAATCAAGCCGGGACAATGGGCATAAAGATGACTGTCCTCAGCAAACTGTGACATGAGCTCTGCTTGTCATAGACCTCTTTGAGAAATGAATAAAGTCCTAGGCTCTTTCTTCAGAAAATGCATTTGCCCTAAATTTCACATTCAATTTGAAGAGTCCATGACCCATGTCAGTCTATCTATGGGATTTGAAGGAATCTACTTTCCTAGACTAAGAACTCATGGGCCGAATAACCCCAACTTCCATCTTCATGAAAGTCCTGTAATTCCATCAGCTTAGTATGGTGATCAGGAGATTCCGCGAGTTATTGGCACAGCGAATTCTGGCAAATTCTCACTCTAACTGCTCAACCCTGGGCTGCAGATCAGCAGCGGGCATGCCTTTGCACTACATGAGCGCTATACTTTAAGGTCTTAAGGTGTAGCGTCTCTCCATGGCCACACATGAAAAGGGAAGAGATTAGACCAACCACCACAGTAAAATTACTTCAGTCACACAGCAGCTAAATGCCAAGGTAAGCTGCTACCAAGAACTCTTTGCTACCTAAGGAATGGAGCTGGATAGGGGCTGCATGGAAACCCCTCATCATGTGCTTTCCAACTCTGCTGCTCCTAATTTCCCCTCTCCTGGCATCCCCAGACCAGTGGTGCTGACAGACACAGTAACTATGAATGGTTTCCTGTGCAGGGGAATAGGGCACTCAGTCATATTCAAATTTCAGTGTCCACAACACTGGGAATTTCGAATGCAAATGTCAGTTTTTTAATTGCATATGAAATCATGGACTTGATTTTCCATTTCAATAGAATAGGTAAGAAATACTGGCAGTTTGAAAAGTATTTAGAAAATGAAAATCAGGACGACAAAGGAAGAAGTAACTTTAAATTCATAAAGATAAAAAAAGAAAGGAGAATATACCTGAATGAAATCCAATAAATAATGTGGAATGGAGATGGTTATCATTTTAAAAGGTTTGAACCCTCGTTTCTATTGCCAAGGCAACCATCACATTATGGAATTGCAAAACAACAAAGAAAAAGCAAAAATAATTGGAACAACAAAACTCTAAAGGAGGACAATTTGTGTAGAGATGGGAATTTAATAAATAAGAATATGAAAAGCTGCTTTATTCAAACTAACTTTTACTTGTAAGCAAAAGAAAATGTTTTTGGAAAATTAATATTCTCTTTTACATTTTTGGAAAAATATCAGAGAAAATATAACATGCTATTCAAACTATGTATTAGATCCTGCTGAATTCATATGGGATTTTTTTGGTCCATTCTCTCAAAGATGTGGGTGTTTCATACACATTACTATTTAATATTTATTTAAAAGTCTGTGTGATCAGCATTTTATTAAGACACTTCTTTCCTCCAGAAATTTTACTTTTAATTAAAACAAGTGGATAGATTGAACAACTCTTATTTCTTTTTTTATTATTTGTAAGAGGCAGTTTATCAAAGGAATAGGTACTAAGCATTCAAGATAAATATTGCATGGGTTAATTTCAGAAGGAATATGGTAAACAGCTACCTGGATATTAAGAAGTAATGGTCATCATCTGATTTTTACTCAAAGCTAAATAGGAGCTAAGCTTGTATACTTATGTAAAGTTTACATCAGGCTGTGTAGAAACACATACCTTTTTTCAAGCTATTTTCTAAAGTTCTTAGATTTTGTTATTCTTTTCTTTCTATCCATCCAACCTCAATCCTCAGCTCCAACAAACACACACACACACACACACACACACACACACACACACACACACACAGAGAGAGAGAGAGAGAGAGAGAGAGAGAGAGTAATATAGGAGGAGGTGACAGAGGCTAAGCTATTATTAACCTGAAAGTCTTTTTTAGTGTCCCTGGGCCAGTTTGGAAAACAATCATATAATTTTGTATTATTGGATGAGTTGTCAGTTGCTGCCCAATGTTTTAACCCTTATAAGGGCAGCCTCACTGATGCATTCATCCAAACACATTTTGTATAGCATCCTTACTTTCATGTCCAAAAGTTGTATCATTTGATTGTGTAGAGAAGAACCACAATGTAAAGGCAATTGGCTGTTCCAACAATTCATCATGCCAAATGAGAAGATTGCATTTCCATACCAAAAAGCCAGGCAAGACATGAAGGATTCAGATGCTCCCCTGAGGATCTGTGACTGGAGTAGGAAAACCCAGCAGAGATGGCAGTCAGTGCCACCCTGCGCCTGCTTTCTCTTTGTGTATCTGTGCCACAGGCGGACTCCCTTGGTTCCTGACCCAGTTTCTCCCTTAGACTTTGTTCTCAAGGACAGTCTAAAGCCCTGGCAGTCAACTTGTCCTGAGAACCATTGCATCGCTGTAATACACCTGCGGGACCCCCTCTTGCTCCACAAAATGATCAGCATAGAAATGAACAAATCCATTCTCCTTGGAAACATCCCCAAATGGCTCACTTACCCTGCTTGCAGCCAACCATGGGCTATCATATGTATCTGAAAACCAATTAGAAAGTCTGCCCACTTCCAAAAATTTCACCTTAATAGCATGCTTGCCAATCAGACATGGCCTCACAGGAAGCTCTCTTTTACTTGATAAAGCTTCCTTTCCTTTCTAACACCCTTGAACCCCTGCTGAAACGATGACAAGGCAGATGGGTTTCCTTGTTGCAGGTCTGTAAATAAGCAGTCTGTGTTCCTGTTGGCTTGGACTTGTTTTGCCTTTGACAACTTTGATGCTGCTCCTGTCATTAACGTCTGTTTTCACTTTAGCTTTGTCTACAGACTCCCCCATGGAACGGCCCTCCTGTGCCTGACCCCAGGCATACGTTCTGTTGCCATACTCTCTTTTAGGGACTGGCTTTTGGATATCAGGCTTGGGACACAACAGTGAATGCAGCCACCATGAGTCAGGGCCAGACTCAGTCTAAGGGGGATGGTGCAGTGGTCAGTTTCACCAGGTCCTTTGTTGCTGTTTTCGTGACTGTTCTGTCCTGTGCAAGAAAGGGGCATCTTTTCCAACTGTGTATCCTCCAGGCCTGGTTTTCTGATCTTCCTGATCCTGTGGGTTATGCGGCGGGTTTGATTAAATCTTTTCTGCCTACATTAGTTTGAGTGGGGTTGTTTCACTTGCCAAAAATCTCCTGATAGAGACAGTCTCTTTGAAAGGAAAAGGAGCTCAATGTCTGGTTCTCTTGGCCTCACTGGGCAAGCTGCTTCCTGAAAGTGCTGACCTCATTTCTTAAGGGGATAGATAAGCATTTATTCATATGATGGGATTTCAAGAGGGTGAGAGCAGAGCCCTCGAAGGTGATTGCAGGGCGCAGAAGAGGTGTCCAAGGGCTTCAAAGACTTCCCTTAAGGCCTGTCCTGCTTACAAGAAATGCAATCAGGGGGAGCAGAATGACGCAGAGGAGTCTGGAAGCTCAGGATTGCATTAAGCGACTTTCCCATACGTGAGTTATTTGTCTATTGGAAATAAATCTATCTGAATGTTGTATTGATCTCCTTGCCAGGCTGGCAAAAATCCCAGGGAGAGGATTTACCACTGAGGATGGCTCTGGGTCAAAGCCTTCATAATGATATCCACTTTTAGAGGATCCTTTGGAGTTTTGAAAATGCTTACATAGAATGAGTGGTTTCTGGATCACTACAGCAGTGAGATATTCTACTTTGGCTTTGCGAGTCAGAACTGCAGTTAATTAATGCCTTTCCTTCAGGCTGAGAGCAAGAATGTTACAACACCTGAGGCTGCATTCAACTTCAGATTAGCATATATTACACCCAGTGATCACTGAACATGCTCTAAAGATGTGCAGGGACAATTTCAAACCAAATCCAGTTTACGACTTCTTTGTTTTCTGTGAAATACATTCCAAAAGCAGAAGGAAAAGGCGGCCAAAGATAAATGACCCTATTTTATTATTCTGCATTTGTTATCAGTATATCTTAATTACTTTTCTTAAAGTATGTGTTTTTGATATCAATCTGTGAAGTATACTTTTTTGGGGCTTGCTTTTAGAGAGAATCTTGATTTTAGGTAAGATGAAGCTGAAGGAAATCATGCTAGAAAGTTTAGTGTCAGTGAAATTACGTTGTCTCATGCATATATGTATGTATATTCTCTAAACGAGTGCCTTTAATTTCTGGATATAAAATAGCTGAATTGTGTTGTTATTTTTTCAATGAAACCTTAAGGTTAAAAACACTGAAGGGAGAGAGGGGGAAAACGGGAAAAGCCGGGCATTCTTGGGAAAATGACAGTGACACTCTTTTTTTTTTTTTTTTTTTTGAGACGGAGTCTCGCTCTGTTGCCCAAGCTAGAGTACAGTGGCATGGTCCTGTGTCACTGCAGCCTCTACCTCCCCAGTTCAAGCAATTCTGTGGCCTCAGCTTCCCAAGTAGCTGGGATTACAGGAGCCTGCCACCAAGCCTGGCTAAGATAGTAATATTCTTCATCACTGGTTTATTCCCATAAAGATTTTTTAGTTGCTTTATAAGTGCAACATTATGATTGAGCAGCATGGAGAATTAAGCATGATTTGTTGTTGATGTCACACGAAACCATAAATAGCAAAGATCTTAAAGTAATTTGGAGGACAAAGACTAAATAGTTGCATTAATCTCTTTATTTCAGACATTCCGCTAGCATACTATCTGACTTGTAGTTGGCACTCGGCAAATATTTTAGTAAATAAATAAATGATATAATGATCTTGGAGGATTTGTGACATAGGTCAGCTTTTCACCTGGTTTTGAAGCCTTTTTTTTTTTTTTTTAAATAAAGTGATTAATTCCGCAAAAGTGATTTGAGGAACTACTCTGTTTCAGGGACCTCAGAGGTGGCATTGAATCAAACAAGAGTTCCTGCCTTCTGGGGCCTCACAAGACAGTGGAGACTGAGAACTTTTCTGTTTTCTAGTAATCTGGTGCCCCACTGATCAGTTTCCACCTGACATGTTGGAACGATGGTACTGTCTTTGGGGGACTGGGCCCTAGTTGCATGGATACCAGCTCATCAGGGAGGCCTTTGAATTTGAATACCTTTTGAAACAAAGGTACTAAGAAAAAAGGAATACAATTAACTGAGAAAAGAAGAAAGTTGCAGTGAACCAAATTAGACTAACCAGAAAGATGAGATGCTGGTTAACCCTAAATCCTAGATGCGCACTCAGTGTCTGCCCCGTGAAGCCGGAGGAGATTACAACCTCTTGAATAGAATGGGCAACCTCTCCTCATGAGGATTTTTCTAATTAATCATGAGGCATATTACTAAGAATCCTTGTTTAGATTTATTTATTTTAATACACTAATACAACCCAAGCAGAACAGAGAGCAAAATCAGGTCTTATCCAACAACAAAAGCAACCAGACAGCTGGCATTACTGCTAATGTTAAACAGAACTGTTCTACTTTAACTGTGACTCTCTGAATACTGTCTATCACGCATAACCTGTTGATTTAAAGCAGAATACATAACTGTTTACCAAATAAAATTATGTAATTATTATTGGCATACCCTTTTATTAATTTTTTTGAGGTCTTTCTCTCATTGAAAGTATATTTTCTTTTGTTTTTTTTTCTGATTTGTTTTCTCATTTTCGATCTGTCTTCAATCTGTTGAGGTTTACTAGTTTGAATCTCAAACTGATCATCGCCCCCACTCTCCAAACCCTTTGCCCTATCCTCCAACCACGCTATTTTCTTACTTCTCTAGTTCTTAAAATATCTATAACCTTCCATCTTGTCTGGGCTTAACAATGATTTGGTGGCCTTTGTTTTTTCTTTTTCTTATGGTAAATTCATTAAATCCAATCAGATTTAAAGAGCTCCATATTGTACATCCAAATTATTTTTGCTCTTGCTCACTTATTTGCATCTACATTCCCGTTATCCTACAGCATTCATTTCCTCTTGCCTGTGCTATTCCACTATGCTAAGCTGATCTATTACAATATGCTAACCAGTAGTTTCTTTCTTAGGTCCATTTTGCAGATTAAAACCAAATTAATCATTAGAAAACAAAAATGTGATCATGTAGCTTCCTGTCCTTAAATTTTCCATGATATTTAATTTATATCAATACGAATACAAATTCCATAGATTGGCACCCAGATTTCCACACTCTGGTCTTATCTCTATTCTTGGCTTCTTTTTTTTTTTTTTTCTAGTTTCCTGAAACATACCCTATGCTCCACCAGCTGGGTTTCATGCTACTGTAGAACTGCACAGTCCATTGCTGTGGCCACTAGCCAGCTGTAATGTAAGAGGGAATATATAAATGTGCAACGGCTAGACTAAAATAAAAATAGAGTTTTGCCCCATAATATGCAGCAACTAGCCCAGGAAACCAACTAATCATCTATAGTAACCAGCCCAGGAGGCCAGCCTACTGCCTATAAGTCAGATTTGTAGGAAGTCAGACTGATATCTCTAGCAACAATCCAGAAAGCCAAACAATAACCTCTGTAACAATCAGCCCCAAACAGCCAGGACTTGATTCATAACTGATAGCTTCTGTAACTTTTGTTTCCAGTTCCAACTTAAGACCAACCAGAAAAAGCCAAAAATGTACCCCTAACCAATAACATAGGATGCTGTGTTCTAGTTAGCCTGCCTACAGCTTCCACACGCCAACAGCCTCTGCATAGGGCACACCTAAAGCCTTCCCTTTTTTCTACTCTAAAGCTCTCCCACTCCTCTGCCTGCATTTGAGTCTCTGCCAAAACACAGATGATTCTGCCTGACTCCCTGCTGCAGCAAGCTCTAAGTAAATAGGCTTAGCCTGTTGTCTGTTTTCATTCAGCTGGTCTTCAACTATTTCCATATTTTATTAAAATTACATAAAACTGAAAGTTAAGGTCTTTAGTTACACCAGCAAATTTCAAGAGCTCAATAGCCTCAGGTAGCTAGTGGCTACCATCATATCAGACAGCATAGATGTGAAACATTTCTATTATCCCAGAACATTTCACTGGGCAACTCCACACATGTCTAGGGTTTCCCCACTGTATGTTACTTCTCCTACTTAAATTGCCTTCCTCTCACATTTTCACCTGTCAAATTTTTACTCAGCCTTCATGGCCTAGATTAACATGTCCTTCAAGAAGCCTTCACTGACTCCTCTATTTAGATGCCATTTCTAATTACTAACATTACTCTTTTCTTCTAGTTCCATGATCTCTTCCATCTTGCTGTATTGTAGACTCCTGTCTCCACAACAGGACTTAGTTACATTTTGCCCCACAGAATCTTGTGCTTAGTATACAGTGGGCCCTTAATAGCTTTTTTTTTTTTAATTTACATGTGGTTTGTGGGAAAATAAGGGTCATATTGACTTACTTTAAGTTGTCATGGAATAACAGAAGGAATTGCATCTTATGCTTTCCATTTGGGACATAGAATATACAAATAGCGTTGCACATGGCTTTGTTCTTTTCTCCCTGTTTCTGCATCTGTTATCCTCTAGACCACCTCGTTTGCCACTAGGAGTATGTTTATAAAGTTAGCTGAGGAGTAGTCTGGAGTCTCCTTTGCCGTTTCTTAAAAGTTGTGTATGCCTTTGAAGCCTTTCCATAGGGTGGCCGCTGGGAAGGAGGCTACAGGTCTAGGATTCTCAAGATACTTTGGAGGTGGATGGATTTTTAAAATGTCTGCAAATACCAGACAGAGCCGGAACTCGGTGACTTCTTCATGTTGTCCCCTTGCCTAGAATATGACCTAGAGCTTCTCCACCCTTACATCACCTCTGTGCCTGGTAAACTTTCTGCAAAAATCAGGTCAAATATCACATTGTCTGTGAAGCCTTCCCCTGTCTCACCAAGTGGAGTCACTCCATTTGGCTGTTTATCAATATCTGCTTGCACATCTCTTTATTCTCACATTATGGTGGGTAAACTTAAACACTAGTTTTCAAAGTAATGCTACTTGGAAGAATACATGCTGCCAGCAGAAGGAAATTTGCCTGCTTATACTTCCTTTTCAATGGTTGTTGCTGCTATTATTTTTAGATACTTTAGAATAAAAGGCACTAAAGCTCAGAGAGTGAACTCTGAGTTCCCTCAAGTGGAGGTAGCAAACCCTTTCCTCACTGCACACCAGCAGATATTTGTCTGAGGGAAAGGAATTGCTATTCAGTGAGTTCCTGAGATTGGGATATTTGCAAGAACAGAAATTGACCTGAGTATTGGAACTTAATTATTTGGCAGAGGGCATGGGGTATCCTGGAATGGGGGTAAGACTGTGATCTAGGTCACTAGTTGGGATGAGGCATAGAGGAAGGGAAAAGTAGGAAGAAATGGAGCCAGAGAAGAAAATAAACCATCCATATGGGACACTTACGGAAGGACTAGACAGAGGGCTTCCTTCTTTTGAGAATTCAAGAGAGTGAGATGCCTTGTGGAACAGTAATTTATTCCATCTATCACTGTCAGCTTCATATTCTGCCAGGTTTTGGAGAAATTTCTTGAACCCTTCAACAAAGAACTACCTAAATCTTTATTATTGTTCAGCGATATTTAAGCAAGAAAGCATTTGCAGTGGGGTAGGTGTGCCCTGCTTGGATACTCATAAAACGTTGGCCTACATTCTCACCTTGGGCCAGGATAGAGACACCCAGCTGGAGAAATAGTACGAATATGCTCTTTTATGTTGTTTCCTCAGAGAATGTGGGCAAGACGGGAAGAGCTGCCCTTTACACAAATTATCATAGAGTTACAATAATAATTCATTCATTTATTCAACAACACTTAGAATAGACTTTGGAAAAATGGTTGGCTTGGCCTAAGTGGTGCGTGACTTGAAGGCTGACACTGCATCCTGTCTCTTTCTCTGTATCCCGAAAGCAACCACAGTGCCTGATTCATGATGGGTGTTTTTAAAAAAATTACAGAATGAATTATTCGGCTTGTTGATTTCTGAGGCTCAATAGTTGGGCTAGAAGTAAATGCACTAGCCATTCTGTTGAAAGATAATATGAGAATTTATTTTCCAACTCATATGCCTTCTTTTTCAGATTAGAGGAAGGCTGGAGGAAGAGATACAGATGTAACTTGAAAAGCTATGGCCAGAATCCTCTTGAGAAGACAAATGATAGAATTATAGCATCTCAGTGCTGAGAGAACCTCAGAGCCCACTTATTCCCTTTCTTTTATTTTGTGGATGAAGATATCAAGATTCAAATAGTTTCCACATGGCTTTTAAAACGCGAAAATATTCTTTTAGAGTCTTGCCAACTGCTAGGTTAATTTAAAGGTTTAGGCTTCCTAGTTCATGTTCCCATTTCATCTTAGAGTTCATGAACCCTTTCCACTCAGATATAGGTCTGGGTGTGGTGCTCATTGTTTTCCCTCCTTTTATCCTGCTCTTTCAGCCTACTTACCAGGAACTCAGCTCACTCCCACCCTCTGCCTCCTCCTCTTCTGCTGACACTGAAAGAAACATACATTCAGCTCGAGCACTCCCTCTAATTTCTCCATTCACCTTTACCATCATCCCGGCACCTGGCTCCAAGCTTCCCCTGACATATAGAGGACTTTGAAGAAGAGACTGTCATTTAATTATGAAAACATGTAGGCTTTTCTTTTTGCATATCTGAACATTTTATAATAATAGGATTAATTAGACAAGTTTTTGAAAACCATAACTGCATTTAAAAAAAATTTCTTTTGCATTTTACCAGACTAATCTAGAATTGCCATGGGTTATTCAAGGAACAAGTATGAGAAGCTGATTTGTATTAGTTTTTGGAGTAGGATATGTAGGAGTTGATCACACCTTGAGGTGCTCAGATGTTGCTACAGTTTCTCCTGTGGTTCTTCTGGGGTCTAAGTGTCAGCACTATGACTCTTCCTGTTACATTTGGGGTCTTGTGGTTGCTCTGACCAGCCAGGTCATGCTTGGCATTCCTTCTCAGGAAGCCATCCCAGCCAGAGCTCCAGGGGAAAAGACAGACCCTAGATCCTGGCCCCCAGTTATCTTGTGTCCTGGCTCAAAAGACTGAGTTCTAATTTCTTGTTTAAGCTGTGGAAGACCTGTAACTGCCAAGGTTCTCCTTGCCCTCTTCCCAGATAGTGCCAACTTATCAAGATAGGAGAAAGAGTTTAATTCATGCAGAACCAGCAAATGGAAGATTAGTTTTATTACTTAAATTAGTCTCTCCAAAAATTTGGAGAGCTAGGGTTTTTCCAGGATAGTTTCATAGGCAGGGGAATGGGTGCTGCTGATTTGTTGGGGATGCCATTATAGGGAGGTGGAATATGCTCCTCATGCGCTGAGTCCACTTCTGGGTGGGGGCCACAGGACCAGTTGAGTCAAGAGTCATGGGTTTACGTGGGGCCATCTGTTTGGCAGAAATGCAAAAACCTGAAAAGACATCTCAAAAGGTTAATCTTGGGTTCTACAATAGTGATATTATCTGCAGGAGTAATTGGAGAAGTTGCAAATCTTGTGTCCTTCGGAATAACGGCTGGTAATCATTTACACCTACATTTTAGCAGAATCCAGGCTCCTTTCATCCTTGTATCCTAGTGGTCTTTTATTCATTTTACAAAGGCAGTTTGCTTCGTGGAAGGCCCATTCTTGTTTAAACAATAAACTTATTTTCTCCTAAAGTTAATGTGGCCCAAGCCGAGGAATGACCAAGGGCAGTTTGGAGGTTAAAGTCAACATGCAGGTTGGTTAGATCAGATTTCTTTCACTGTCATAATTTTCTCACTGTTATAATTTTTGCAATGGTGGTTTCAGAGCCAACTAATAATGTGTTTAACAAATTAGGGTTTTTTTTTTTTCCTTATAACAAGAATCCTGGAAGTGAGTGGTAGCAGGGTTCATTCAATGGCTTGGTGATATTGGAAGAAAACTTTTCCTTTACTAACTTAGTTCTGAGCAGTCAGGCCCTGAGAATTAATAAGTAGATTAACAGAAGAAAAGTTGATCACACATTGAGGAGTACTAAAATACACCACCCCAAAATATACCTCTTTGGCACATGAATTATTTTGAGCTAAAGGCCACTGAGAACCAGCAGACATAGACTCCATGGCATCTGTATCCTACTAGGCAGAAAGCCAAGCCAAACTTTCAGGACACAAAATGAGGAAAACAGGAAAGCAATACTCTACCTGGTGTCAACCAAAAGAGTCAAACACTATAAAATAATTGAAGATATTTATTTTGAGCTAATGTTGAGTGACCATGGCCTGTGGCACAGCCCCAGGGGATCCTGAGAACATGTGCCCAAGGTGGTCAAGCTACAGCTTGGTTTTATACCTTTTAGAGAGACATAAGACATCAATCCTATTAACAATACATGTAAGATATTCCTTGGCTTGGTCTGGGAAGGTGGACCTACTGGAAGGGCAGGGGAGGACTTCCAGGTCATAGGTGGATTCAAAGATTTTCTAATTGGCGATTGGTTGAAAGAGTTTAAAGACCTGGAATCAATAGAGGGAGTGTCTAGGTTAAGAAAAGGGATTGTGAAGGCCAAAGTTCTTACTATGTAGATTAAGTTTCCAGGTAGTAGGCTTCAGAGAGAGTAGATTGTGAATATTTTTCTTATCAGATTAAAGAGTCTGTTCTGTCAGTCTTAATGTCTCTGCTTTAATGTTAATGCTGGTCAGCTGTGCCTGAATTCCAAAGGGGGGAGGGTATAATGAGGCATGTCTGACCACCCATTCCCAACACGGCCTCAGCTAGTGTTTCAGGTTTACTTTAGAATGCCCTTGGCCAAGAGAAGGAGTCCATTCAGTTGGCTGGGGGGCTTAGAATTTTATTTTTGGTTTACATTTGGAGGGAAAGGATCAATAACCAATGAATACTCAGAACCAAATTCATGACAGTCACAATCCAAAGAAGGAATTCTTATGTGTTTTTCTCCTGTTACTATAAGTTTGGAAAGGAAAATACAAACTTTTACCCCTTCATTTGATTGATCCCTGCAGACAGAAGCCCCAAACCCCTTTTCCTTTAGCAAGAGGGTTAAGAAAGCCAAGGTTCTGAATGCCCCTTGAGTTACTGATCCCTGAGTACTCCAATGTGTTACATGCACCATGCACACATTAATAAACTTCTGTTTGCTTTTCTCCTGTTAATCTGTCTTTGGGCAGTCTAATTTACAGGGCCCCAGGTGGAGAACCTAAGGCGAGTGAGGGAAGACATATTTCCCTCCCTCAGACAAGCAAGCAGAAGCTCTCCCTGAGTCCTCTCCAAACAGCCAGGAAGGGTTTATATTTATAGATCAGCATAATAAGGAGTTGTTAGGGCTTTAGTGGGGATGTATGGGAGGCTCTGATAAGGCTTTACATGATTTCTCACCCTGGTACTAACAGTCATTCTCCTTTCTCTTTGGAAGCTCCCTGGAAGGCGAATTATTGTGGCTCAATGCTCACATCTAGGTGCTGAGGGTTAGCCTTCTTTCTTCTAATTGGTGGCTGAATTCTCAGAAAGCTCTGCTAAAACAAGGGAAGTTTAGAGAGGCCCTTTTCTCCCTCAGCTGCTGTGTGTTTAGATGTTTTTAGTTTAAAGTAATCTTTACGCCATTCTGGTCGTTGGTCCCTTTAGCATCTCATGTCATGGTTAGAGGAAGGTGTTGGGGGCTGCTGAGCATTCAGAGCAGGTAGTAGGGGGGTGATAGGGTTTGGCTTTGTGTCCCCACCTAACTCTCACCTTGAATTGTAATCCCTATAATCCCCACATGTCAAGGGTGGGACTAAGTAGAGGTAATTGAATCATGGGGGTGGTTTCCTCCATGCTATTCTCGTGATAATGAGTGAGTTATCATGAGATCTGACAGTTTTATAAGTTTCCGGCATCTCCCCTGCTTGCACTCACTCCATCCTGCTGCTCTGTGGAGAAGGTGCCTGCTTCTATTTTGGCTTCCACCATGATTGTTAAGTTTCCTGAGGCCTCCCCAGCCATGTGGAATTGTGAGTCAATTAAACTTCTTTCCTTTATAAATTACCCAGCCTTAGGTACTTCTTCATGGCAGCATGAAAAAGAACTAATTCAGGTGGTTTCCTTTTCCTTGTGGCTCTCTTTTGGTGGGGGAAATCCCCCCTGAAGGCAGTCATCAGAACCACCTGGAGAGCTTTATAATGTCGTAGAGTCTCAGGGACTTGTTCTGGAGATCAGAGTGGGTCTGGGATATCACTGTGTTGGGAAACATGTGGGGAGGGGTCTGGGATCTCAATTATAAGAGCATCAGTTAGGTCTGGGATATGCTCCAGGAGGGAGGAGGCAAGCACCGTGTCTTTGAGCAATCTTTGCACACAGCTCCTGGGTATCATTTGCATGGTGGCAGCTTTCAGAGTATTTAAACATTATGGAGTTTGTTTACTCAGATTACAAATTCATTCTGTAGTTCCAGCGCTTAGCCAGTTTTACCAAAGTTTATGGGTACCTGCTTGTGTGTACTTGTGTCTGGATGTAAGTGAGCTTTTATTTAGCTTGTTGGTCCTCATAGTTAAAAATAAGGTTTTAAAATCATTCTATCATAAACAGGGCCATTACATCAGTAAGATGATAATTTCAGAAGCAAAGGACACTTTGTCAGAGGTGTGTGAACCAGAGCAACTCCATGTTAAAGATAAGCTGGGTAAAATGAGGCTGAAACCTACTGGGCTGCATTCCCAGATGGTTAAGGCATTCTAAGTCACAGGATGAAATAGGAGGTCATCACAAAATACATGTCATAAAGACCTTGCTGATAAAACAGGGTGCAGTAAAGGAGCTGGCCAAAACCTAACAAAATCAAAATGGTGACAAGAGTGACCTCTGGTAATCTTCACTGCTACACTCCCACCAGAGCCATGACAGTTTACAAATGCCATGGCAATGTCAGGAAGTTACCCTATATGGTCTAAAAAGGGGAGGCATGAATAATCCACCCCTTGTTTAGCATATCATCAAGAAATAAACATAAAAATGGGCAACCAGCAGTCCTCGGGCTGCTCTGTCTATGGAGTAGCCATTCTTTTATTCCTTTACTTTCTTAATAAACTTCCGTTCACTTTGCACTGGGGACTCACCCTGAATTCTTTCTTGCATGAGATCCAGGAACCCTCTCTTGGCATCTGGATCCAGACCCCTTTCCTGTAACATCTTAGTATTCAGTTTCAGGTAACATTTTAGTATGATTAATAGGGGCTCTTTGGGCAAATGTGCATGTTGTGGATTTTGAGGGAAAAGAGAGGTGATGGAAGGTGCCAGCACACACAGACACTGAGGATATTGGACAGACAATGTGATGCTGATGTGGAGCAACTCTGGCCTGAGAGAGAGAATTTGATTCTAGGACCAAGGAGTAGCTGCACAGTTCTGCAGGCACTAGCTATGTCACCATGATCGCCTCTGCCTGAGTCTCAGTTTTCTCATCTACAAAATGATCATCACACTCTTTACTTTCCATGAGATTTTGGGTGCAAATATGCCGAATAAACTGTGAAAAGAAATTCTTTGTGATTCCCAAATACAAGGATGAACAAAAAGGGGGTCAAGTGAATCAGTTGGAGGGGTTCAGCCTCTGAATGGGGGACTGCTTTTCTGTCTGTCTTTCCAACAATAGACGTGATTCTACACATGCCCTCATGGGCTCAGCCTACAGTGCAGGGAGACTGGGCCCTCACTAGGAGGTAAGTTCTCATTATATTCCATGCTTTGCTTGGAGCCAGGACATTGTTGTATATTATTTCATGCACCAATCTGTTATAGGTAACCTTTCCTTGCAAAATGTGTGTGTGAAGTGAGATAAACTTTTATAAATATTTCCAGGGAGGGAAATAATTTAGACTATATACTCCTTATGTTTGGTATAGCTTATAAAGGAACTGAGTGATAGAAATGTAAAATTAGTCTGTTCTTTGGGTGGTAGAAATCTATAAGAAGAAACACAGAGCAGTCTATTCAAGTCCACCTTTGGGGAATCATAGATTAAGATGCAGTGGTCAAATGTGAATTGCTTCGTCTGAAAATGACACAACCATTTTAGTATAATATGGGCTGGCAGCTGTGTCTTATAAGCCTGGGTTTAAGAATATTTACAACCCAGTGGCTCTAGAGTCTTGAGGGATTTTACTTTCTTTCTACTCCACAGTTGTTGGTTTTTCTGACATTGATTTCTGTAGCTGCACTCAGCTTTATCCAGCAGAGATGGAACACAGTTTCACAAATTTTAGTTGGAAGATGCATTTCTAGATTTTATTTTGTTTCTGTTATTATGAGGAGCTTCTGACAAGTCTCAACCCAGTGAAACAGCTAATTTCCCTGCGATCTATTGAGTACATTGATATCAGGAGGAGCAAGAGGGATTTAAAAAAAAAAAGTCTTTTTGGTTTGTCTTACATTTCCAATCCTTACCTGGATTGAAAGTGCTGGGGAAGACCTGGAAATCCACAGCTCATTGGAGAAAGTGGAGAGGTGGGCAGCATTGCTTTGCAGAGACACCTCCCTGTTTCCTGACTTCTTATATTTACAAATCCTTGTGTTTAAAGAATCTCAAGAGACAACTTTTCGTGTAGTGTGTATCTAATTGTTCTAACTGCAGGTGGAAGCGAGTGAAGCCTGCTAACTTTGTTTTGTATTTCACCCTGTAAGTAAATTTACTTTCAAATCACTGTGTGTTTACCATTCTAAAATTAATCATATGTTGAAACCTCTTCTGATTCCTTAGCTGCTTTTGGCTGTAAAACACGCTGATATTTGGAATAGATAATTTTCCAGCACATATTTACCTCCCACTTTGGAATCCTAAGTACGTCAGGGAGGCTCTCCGAGTAAACACATGAGACTCAGGAACATAATTTTTATGAATGGAGCCCCCTCTCAATAAATTTTTGGAATATGAAAGCTGAAAGATGTCTAACTGTCAGGAGAAGGCGAGGAGCCTCATGCTTTGTGTACTTTGGTGTCTGCGTAAGTGCTGTTAAATCAGAGAGCACAGCCTTCAAAGCCATCACACCCTTCTGCTACAGAGGCAATGGGGCTCACTAGAATGTCTGGGCTTGCACAGAGGCCAATCAGCCTCACCCTTCCAGGTCTCCTAATTACAGGTCGAAGAGAGGAAAGCGAATCTAATAAGGGATTCCTTTCCTGGGCAGTTATTTTTAGAATCACATTTAGGTGACAGTGATTATATTCAAGTGTGTCCATCATGTTTAAACGTGACCTTAGGGATGGTGTTTTAGTTCTTTCCCACAGTAGGGCTGGTCTCTTGCTGTTGCAGTCAAACTTTTACACCTCGGTCTCTTGTGATCAGCAAAATGCCAAGGGAGAAAGTGACATTCACCGGCCCTGAGAATGAATCTAATCCATGACCTTTGCCTCATTAGCAGCCTGACCTAACCAATCAGAGAAAAGCCTGCCTTTGATTCTGGTAGCACAGGCTGTGACAGCGACAGAGACAGCCTCCTTGGTGTGGCTCTAAGATGCATCCCTGGTTCCCTTTGATCTGCTTTGTCAATGCAGACATACCAATTTAGGTTGTCTTTCTGACTCTCTGTAGCTCTTTCTGTCTGTAATTAAAATGACAAAATGTTTGTTATCCACTGACGTAAAGTAAATACCAGCAACTTTACAATCTTTATTTGCTTTTTCTCAAGAATATGCTCACAGATTCAGTGCTCACAGATATGCACTGAAATCTAATATCCAGATGTTTAGAATTGTTTAATTTAAAAAATTTAACTATTTATTTAAAATAATTTCAGACATACAACAAAGTAGTAGAATAGTACAAAGAATTCCAATATACCTTTCACCCAGCCTCCCAAATGTTAGCATGACACATAATATTTATATAATGATCAAAACCAGGAAATTAACATGATATGTTACTATTAACTAATCTATAGACCTTATTCAAAAATTTCTGAAGGATCACACATTTAGTTGCCCCAACCTCTTAGTCTCTTCCATTCTGGGACAATTTCTCAGTCTTTCTTGAACTTTTATGACACTTGTGAAAAATAAGAGTTAGTTGTTTTGTAAATTTTCCCTCTGTTTGGATTTGTCTGCGTTTTCCTCATGATCAAATTCAGATTATGCGTTTTCAGCAAGAATATGACAATAGTGATCCTGTGCTCTACTCGGTGCATCTTTGTTTTGTTTTGTTTTGTTTTGTTTTTTGAGACGGAGTCTCACTTTGTTGCCCAGACTCGAGTGCAGTGGCGCGATCTCGGCTCACTGTAACCTCAACCTCCCAGATTCAAGTGATTCTTCTGCCTCAGCCTCCCGAGTAGCTGGGACTACAGGCACGTGCCACCACGCCCGGTTAATTTTTGTATTTTTACTAGAGACAGGGTTTCACTCTGTTGGCCAGGCTGGTTTTGAACTCCTGACCTCAAGCTTCCCGACTTGGTGTGTCTTATCAGGGAGTATGTGGTGTTGATACATGTACCTGCTAGTGATGTTAGCTTTGCTCACTTTGCTAAGGTGGTGTCTGCCACTGTGAAGGTACTATTTTCCCCTTTGCTGTAAATAAGTAAGTTGTGGAGAGATCCTTCAAGACTGAATAAACATACTGTTTCTTATCATGCTCATTATCATACTCAAATCTTTGGACTTTTGCAGTTGAAAAATATTAATGGGATCACTGCCTATTATTTTAAAGACATGCCACAAAAAATTAGGATGTCAGGGTGAGAATAAAGAGTTTTAAGGTATAAATCCCACTTTGTTATTGTTATGATTGGTCTTTATTTTACTGGTATCAATACTGTAGTTTGTGATCTTTGGCACTTTCTTATGTTCTTTTCTTGGGTGAAAAAATTAAATATATAATACATGAACAAAGATATTGTTTCAAAAATTTACTGAATAAATTTTATTCTATATGTCTAGATCCAGTCCTCTCCCTCCCTCCTTTCCCTTCTCCCTTCTTTTATAAACTCACTGAGGCCTAGTATGCCAGTCCCAGGTGTAAAAAGGTGAGAAAACATAGTCTGACCTCCAGGAGTGCCATGCTAGAGGTACCAGGATAGCACATACTTAGAATGGGTGCTGGAGTATTGGTAAGCTGGGTTTGGCCTAAGATCCTTTTATCCTGAAAGCACAAAGTGAAAATCAAGGCACAGTTTTACAAAGGATCAAGGTGAAATCAGGATAAGGTTTGGAATCTGAGAAAAGTAATGCTATCTATAGGATACATAGCAAAGCCATCTATCTTGCCTTTGTGGCTTTTGCTGCTGTATGGTTTCCACTAAGGGCTAATAGCCATTGGATTCTAAAAAAAAGAAAGAAAGGAAAAAAAAAAGAAAGTAAATTAACTGAACATGAATGTGATCGAGTGGGTGTCCTTCCCTCAGAGATACTGAAAATCTACAGCAAGGCTGGTTGCTGGGAACCAGAGCAGAGAGAAAGAAGCCAGAAGATGACCCTCTTTGAAGTCTTTAGACCATGATTAGAGACTGGCTCTTCTCTGCTTAGTCCTCAGTCCTTTGGGAAATGGCAGCCCTGAACACACTTTATGCCATTAGAAAGGTTAGTGGAAGGGTCTCACGACCTATAAACCCTGTTGCGTTATTAAAGCATGCCAACTTTTAACCAGTAAATGATGTGTCTTTTCACTGTGATTCAAATAATTTCTCCAAATATCTGGTTTCCCAGAATTTTAAAAATAGATTTGAGGCATCTCTTCATGCTTTTTCAGTACATCATGTTATTTTGATTTTTTTTTTACTGTGATAAAACATATAAATGCATCATTTTTACAAAAACTGAAGAGGTCAATTCATCCTATAAAGCAATTAATTATAAGAGTGATAAAATTATGCCTTCACCAGGTAGATGTGCAGCAACGTCTCTAACAGCGAACTCTTCATGAAGAAAAACCTGTAGAGGCAGGAAAACCTTATTCAGTATATCTGTAAAAAATTAAATAAGATGGTAATTAGTTGTTTTAAAAACGGAGATTCTATTTCATTTCCTGAATTTCTTCTGACTACATAAGAACATGGAAAAATAAACACACCATTCTTTTCACTCTACTGAGCTATGTACCTGACAAGTCATTTAGCAGGGTGACAATGCATATTGTTGACCATTTCAGCTTCCTCTGCCCTTTTATTCTAATTTGGGTACCTCTTTCCTCTGTTTTTATTAGAAGACTAAATACACCTGGATTGGAGAATGAAAAGAGTCATGACAGCCAGTTGAATGACTTCATGGCCAAGACTTCAGAAGAAAGCTCTGACTTCTTGGGAATCCCATTTCCCCCAGTCCCCTGAATCTCCTTTGAGAAGCAGTTTTTGCTTCGTAAGCCATTTCTGAGCACCCCACTTGCTGCCAAGGGGGTTAACAGTTGCTAGGTGAGGAGAAGGAGCCATTTTTCCCAGTGTTCTCACTATGCTGTGTACATAGTCTCTCATGTGAAGGGCAGCAAACATGGTGGTCGGTCATCATACATTGTGAATCTAGCTCTTTCCAAGTCTCTGGGTAGATCAGCATATTGTTAGTTACTAGAAATCTGATAGCCCTCCTAAGTGTTTATTAATTATTTGTAAACGTTATTAAGGCTTCCCTCAATGAGTAAAAGGCTCTTTATAACATGTTTAAATTTAATTCAAACCAATCTTTATAGAAATGTTTGATGTAATTCAAATCCATTAATACAATGACATGCCATTTACAAATAAGATACTCATATCAGCTGAAGTCTACCTCATTCTCATCATACCTCTTCCCGTCTTCTTCTCCTTTTAGTGTCCTCTTTAAATATTATTCAAAAAGTATGACTTATTGGGTTGACTAAAAATGTTGCATCTCCCCACCTTGTTTCCTTCAGAAACATTTGGCTGCACCTTATCCGTTTAATCTGAGCCTATTACCAAAATAATTTATCAGTTACCAAGTGGGATTATACAAGGTCAGTAGCAAAATTAGGAAAAAAGGCTGGGTGCAGTGGCTTACGCCTATAATTCCAGCACTTTGGCAGGCTGAGGTGGGTGGATCATGAGGTCAGGAGTTCGAGACAAGCCTGATCAACATGGTGAAACCCTATCTCTACTAAAAATACAAAAAAAAAAAAAAAAAAAAAAAGGCTGGGCCTGGTGGTGCATGCCAGTAATCCCAGCTACTCAGGAGGCTGAGGCAAGAGAATCACTTGAATCCAGGAGGTGGAGGTTGCAGTGAGCTGAGATAGCACCACCGCACTCCAGCCTTGGTAACAGAGCGAGACTCCATCTCAAAAAAAAAAAAAAAAAAAAAAGGAAAAAAAAAAACTAGGAAAAAAATAGCCCAGATAGAAATGGGAATGTGCTCACCAAATCATAAACAACTGTAGGGCTCCTACGCCCGCCTTACACCTTCAGTCCATGTTCTTGAGTGAAGAGGGGTGAGGGAGCAGGGGGACAGTATATTTTTGGTGGCAGAAATGAGCTGTCCTCAGGGATACCGAGAACACAGTTTTTAGAGCCTGTGGGTGTTATCACAGGGGCTTCCTGTGGTGCCCAAAGTGACTGGGAAGCAGAGGCTGAGTCTCAGGTGGGCAGCAGGGTGCTGTCCTAAACAGCCCCAGAGGAGAGCTGCGGCAGTGGAGGCTCTCACCAGGATTGCTGTGACCCGGCCCTCCTGCTGGGGTGGCCTTTTGTAGCCTGTGTCCTCCTGCTAGGCATCAGCTGCATCTACATTGTTTAAACACACTCCAGTTCTTTCCCTGTTCCAGAACTGAATTTGAGTGATTTTGTTACCGGAAAGGGGTCTCCATCCAGACCCCTGGAGAGGGTTCTTGGATCTTGCACAAGAAAGAATTTGGGGGCCGGGGGCGGTGGCTCATGCCTGTAATCCCAGCACTTTGGGAAGCCAAGGCAGGTGGATCACCTGAGGTCAGGAGTTTGAGACCAGCCTGCCCAACATGGCGAAACCCTGTCTCTACTAAAAATACAAAAAATTAGCCGGGAGTGGTGGTGGGCGGCTGTAATCCCAGCTACTTGGGAGACAGAGGCAGGAGAATTGCTTGAATCCAGGAGGCGGAGGTTGCGGTGAGCTGAGATCGCACCTTTGCACTCCAGCCTGGGTGACAAGAGCTAAACGCAGTCTAAAAAAAAAAAAAAAAAAAGAATTTGGTGCGAGTCCATAGAGTACAGTGAAAGCAAGTTTATTAAGAAAGCAAAGGAATAAAGAATGGCTACTCCATAGGCAGAGCAGCAGCATAAGGTGCTGGTTGCCCATTTTTATGGTTATTTCTTGATTATATGCTAAGCAATGGTTGGATTACTCACGCCTTTTCTTTTTAGACCATATAGGGTAAAATCCTGACATTCCCATAGCATTTGTAAACAGGCATGGCTCTGGTGGGAGTGTAGCATTGAGGACAACCAGAGGTCACGCTCATCGCCACTTGGTTTGGGTGGAGTTTATCTGGCTTCTTTATTACAACCTGTTTTATCAGCAAGGTCTTCATGATCTGTATCTCCTGCTGACCTCCTATCTCATCCTGTGACTAAGAATGCCTTAACCTCTTGGGAATGCAACCCTGTAGGTCTCAGCCTCATTTTACCCAGCTCCTATTCAAGGTGGAGTTGCTCTGGTTTAAATGCCTCTGAAATGTTCATTTGGAGAAATTTACTTACCAGCTAGGTACGGTGAAGATTTCCAATGTAATATAGAGATGGGAGTGAATGGGATGTCCATAAAGAGGAGGCAAATGCTTTTAAAGTATCCTTGGCAAGTAAATTGATGCGTGAAGAAAGAGTGAAATAGTGAACTACTGTAAAGTGTGGCCCCATGGAAAGCCTTACTAGGGTAGAACTATTCTGATATTTTTCCATAACTGTGCAAAATAAAAAATTCAGAATGGTACATATACTATAATTATGACTCCACAGAAAAAACAAACATTTATGCATATTACCAAGACTGAAAGGAAACACAATAGAATGTTCAAAATGCTATTTCTGCATGGTGGGAATATGGATGAATTTTGTCTTCCTTTCTCCTTTCATTTCCCACATTTTCTATAATAAGCATGAATATCTTTTCATAATGAAACATAACAAATAAACTAAGACACACACCCACACACTGAAAAGATATTTTTAAAAAGAATTTTAAACTACAAACATCCTTATTGCTGGGCTTATGTGGAGCCTGAAATTCCCATTTTTGGTTTAAAGTCTTGTCTTTAGGAAGATCTCATTTTACAACATAAAACACTACCTAGTAGAAGCAATGTTAATCCATGAACACCTTAGTATAAAAATATATAAAAAAAGTTTCTGTTTTTCTAGCCTTGAGGACTGTAGAGAGTATGAACCCGAGGGTGGAATGGAGAAATGCCCAGGTCCTGGAATTTTTAACCTGTGTAGGACACCACTCTCCAGGTAAATGCCTAAGAGGACAGTGACACTGAAGAGGTTTTTATGGTGGAGAAAAATGATACGGGGTTTGGGGTGGCTTAAGGAGAATGAGGCAGGAGGAGTCACAAAAGCAAGCCTGCTTTACATCTTGTCTACATGTAATACTGCAGCAAACATATTTGTTCATGCATCTGCATAATTATCTGATTGTTTCTTCAGGATAAACCCCTGAAGATGAAAGCACTGCATTAAAGGGTGTGGATAACCTAAGACTTTTGATAGGCGATTTCAGGCACATTCTAGGTGCAAAGCGCTCTCTTTACTATTGCCTATATGCAGGATGGAGAACACCTAGTCCTAAATAATTTCCATGAGACTTCACATCAAAAGGAAATGCCAATCAGTACCCAGAACCTCATTGCTGACTCCTTTCTCTGAAATGTGCCAGTTAAACTCTTCTTTGGTGAGCGTTAGGACTTTCAGGAGCATTTAAACAGTTGAAGTGATTTTGAAGTCATTTATTCAGAGGAACAGATGAAGCCATCTTAAGGCCAAAGTGAAGCCTGCACCTTCACCAGGTTTCAGGCAGCCAGCTCTGGATCTCAGCTTGTATTGTAAAGCAAGCCTCTTTGTTTACAGCAGTCCAATATGACTGTCTACTAGGATCAAATTAACTGAAAATAAGCTCTGGAAGACTGACAGCTTTAATTGTCATTTAATAGGCCCCTTCCCTAAACTCCCTAATATCTTGTGTTGATTGTGATTACAGAGGGTCCCGTGAGTAAATCTAATTTAAATTGATGCTCAGTTTGGCCAGGACTGAAGAAATACTGGGTGGCAATTGTGGAACAAAACTGGGTAAAATTCTTTTTATCTTTTGGTGGTTAAAGTACTTGAACTTTAATACCTAAATACAACCCATCTGGAATCCTTAAATGAAAGCTTTAATTCTCAGAGAAAGGATTTGAAGGTCTCTTTGTCTTCCACTGAAGGTTTTAAGAGGCAGTCAGCAATTAATAAATGAGATCATCGGCAAAATAAAATTCTTCTTCAAACCGAATTTTAATAGGCTCATATCTCAACCTGGGCTTAGCGGTGTTTAGGATGAAAGGATGCTGGTTATTTGTATGACCTCAGGGAGACCTATAATGACTGGGGGGAAAGAAATTACAATCCTTCAGCCATTCATGCTTGGAAAATTACTTTCAATAGGCACATAAATTATCCATGTCTTGCTTTTCTTTTGGGGAATATTCAGAAATTACCAGAAAGCATATAATGGATCAATATTTGCTGCACTGGTTATCTTTTTTATTTTTTTGTTTCTCTTTCCCCCAGGTTCTCTGTTAGGGTCATTGCTGTCAGTTAAAATGTCTGACTAGATCGTCTTCACACGAGGTATTGCTCTGCTTTTGCAGAGCTGTCTGCTGTAACAGATGCAGGGTATACTTTTGACTGCATGTGGTTCTCATTAAATCTTCACATGAGATTGAGGCCTGCCACATAAATTGGTGGAGCTTCTCTTAAGGATTATGAATCACTTAAGGATTATGTCCTTTTTATCGCTGCAGTCTAAAGGCAGGTTCATTGCAAATATGAGCCAGACAAGAGACCCTACAGGACACTCCCATCAATAGCCTTAAGGCTATTTCTCCAACCTGTAAGAAAATGTAGTACTTAGGCCGTGTCAGAGGGTGAGAAATGACATCCCTGAATCCCCAACACACACGTTTACAGCACCAAAATACTTAGATATACTAGTGACACTAAAAAAATCACTCTCAGATAGAAAAATCTTTTGAGGGTTGATAAAGTGTTACAGTCTCCACAAATAAGGATTAAGGGGCACCCCAGGTTGTAAGAACAGGATGTTGTGATAGGAAAAAGAGAAATCAATAGTTAATATCTCATATGGAAAACAAAATGAGTTTCTGGATGGCAGCTCGCATTTTTTGGCACATGATTCTTTCTAGTTCTGTATGGACTTTACTACAAGCTCTTTTACAAAGAAACAATTGTGATTTAAATATAAAATCAACAGAATTTGCTGTGGTGAAATTTTTTGCCCTTATTTGCTGATTGAATAAGAGGCTAATATAAAAGAACACATTTCCTTTTTACTTATGTAAATAGATGTGAACATAATGCGAATCTGAAATAATTAAACATTTTTCAAACTTCCGAAAAAGACTGACGATACAGCCCTGTGGTTGAGAAAGATATCCGTTTCTTTTTCTGAGATTCAAAAGCAGGGGCCATGAGCTGGAGCTCTTTGCTCATTTGAAGTAAATCGTCTTGACAGTGCATAAGAGAGAGAAGAGCTCTGAGATAATTGGGTTCAAAACAAGTATTTGCAGAATGGAGACAGGAAGCTTTCTGTACAGATTAAAAGATGGGTAAATGAATGATTGGGTTAAAGGTTCTATCTGAGGGAAGATACAAATAGGAATCATAATTCAGTTAGAGAATCAAAGGGGAGAGAATATATATCTGAATATTCATTCAACAAACAAAACTACCCATTGTGTGTATAGCCCAGCATTTGCCTGGTTCAGGCACAGGCAGTAGGTAGCAGGCAT
The DNA here is from genome assembly GCF_000001405.40 of Homo sapiens. Lineage (NCBI taxonomy): Eukaryota > Metazoa > Chordata > Mammalia > Primates > Hominidae > Homo > Homo sapiens. Next base: position 34,619,194 of record NC_000013.11, on the reverse strand, counting down.
CATTGGGGGAGCCTTGCCTGTGTCCACTCAGTCCTCTCTGAAGATCACTTGCAGCTTTAGTGGGTACTCCCTAACCATTTTGCCAGAGGACGTTCTCTGGCCACAGGAGTGCACCCTTGCCTGTGCACCGTGCAGGCTGGAAGCTCTGCAGAATCAAGAAGTCTTGCAAGTAATCCCCCAACAACGTGGAACACGAGTTGGTAGATGAATGTGCCTTGGTGGGACAATCTGGGATGTGAAGTGTGGTATTTTAGAAGGTCCCCAGTTGGATCTCAGCACGGTTGCCCACAGTAGGAATTTCACTTGCTTTCCTCCCTTCCTTGTCTGGCTTCCCCAGAGTGCCCAGGTGCTTCCTGGGATCACTTCCCAAATAAACTACTTGCACCTGAATTCTTTCTCAGGCTCTGCTTGGGGGGAAATCCAAACTAAGATATAAGCTGAATGGATGTTTGATGGAGAAAAATTGGGGGACATTTGTATTAAAATATTGATCGTGTTTGATCCGCACTCAGAACAGAGTTTAATATAGAAAATGGGGGTATTTTATGATATGAAGGAATGAGGAAAAGTCATGAAGAAGAAAGTTTGAGGGAACTAGCAAGATTTACTCTCAGACTGGGTGTGATGTATAATTGATTAAGAGGTTGAAACAGAACACGGTCCTTGGTTTTGAGGATGGTCACAAAGTTTGCATCATCTATAATGACCAACAATGAAAATAAGGGTGAATGATTTTTGGGGAAAACCCCCCAGAGAGTAAGTAATTGTGTTTAGCATGTGAAGTCCTTAGAATTTCAGGTCTTTCCCTCAAGTTCCCATATCATTATATTCTTTCCAATTGGATGATGAAATATGCACATGCACATTTACATTTTTCTTCCTCTTTAGAAAAACACCAAGGTGGGGAAATGAGGGAAGGAGACCCACGTTTTGCTGGGGGCAGGCAGCTATTGACTCCATGGTGTGTAATGTGTGTTTTCTGCCTTCTTGAAAAACTTCAGGAAACAAACCAAAAAGAGTCATATTACAGGATCACACCTGCTATAAGCTTTAGGCTGACAAGGACATGTTAGAGCTGTTGATTCTTATAAGAAGTATCTTAATTTAATTGGATCCTCTTGGCATCCAACAATGTCCATTAACCTCAGCAGTTTTTGAAGCTGATGATACATCCTGTACCTCATATCATATCATATTTTAAATCTCTTTCCCTGCATAACTTTGTACAGTTTCATAGTTCTACTTTGCCCGAATAAGGACGTTACCTTTCTGGGGGCATCTTTGTGAGTCGATGACTCATAGGGTTCAGGTCTGCTTTCAAGGTTAGTTGAGCGAGGACATGACCGCATAACAACAGTAAAATGGAAATGATTTTTCCAAGGAGCCTCTCTCACCATCTGATGTGTGGAATTTTTTCCAGCTTTCACAGCTGAGGCATTGCTAATTGTTGAATTTACATTAAGATTGTAAGCTCTGGCAAGCCTGAAATTCATTTTGGCTCATTTCCTCAGCCTCATTCCACAAATAGTATCTCCAGCCCCAAATGCTAAGGCCAAAGGAGAAAGATCCCGAGCTGTGTAAGGCAGATCTTTGGCCTTTTTCTTACTATAGCAAGATGCTTTCTATAGCAGTGAAAAGAATTCTAAACATTGGAAAATGTCTCCTTATGTGTGCCTTCTCTGTGTCACTGTAGACCAAATTAGTTCACATTAGGGTAGGCGGGACTGAGATTTTTCCTACCAGGGCAATTTGTGCAAAGGGATGGTTAGTGCTTTTAGGGAAATTTTGATCATTTCCTTCCAGTTTCTTTCAGTTCTAGCAACAACTCAGATATGGTGGCTATGTGGGAGGTCGATCCATGTTTAAATCAACACTGATTTAACAATATAATCAAACCTTTCTTCAGAATTCATGTGGTGATAGCAAAAACAATTTCAAGGGTAAACAAATATTTTTTGAGGGTGGGGATTTTTTTTTTGAAGCTGAAAATACTTTGAATAGTGGTGCTTCTCTGAGTTATAAAGAACTAACTAGACAAGTTTAAAAGGCATGATTTCTTTTCGTATGATTTTAGTTGATTCCGCTAAAAGTGGGGTAAGAAATGTCATAGGAAAGAGTCACACTGAAAAGCCACTCTACTTTTTTCCTTCTTATTAAACATGTGCTGTCATTTCCTAAGGGCAATTAGGATAACCAAGTTTATTCATGTTAAAGTTAGCTTCCAAAAGCATTGGTCTGCATTTAGTTGTTTGGTAAACATATTCAAGTTCAACTACCTACATCGACCACGATGTTAAAAATTGATCATTTTTCCTCTGCATCTTTCCCTAGATGATGAGCTGTTATTATTTTACTTTTTTAATGAATGAAGTGCCTTTGGATGTCAGTTATCTAATTAACAAATCATCCAATAGTTAATTGCCAAGATAAGAACAAAGGAAAATGTAAAAACAAGACAAATCATCTCCTTCTCCAAATGAGAAACTCAATAAAAAATGGTTGGTTTAATGGATTCCAGCAGGAGAAAAATATAAAACCAATAAATAATTAATTTTATTCTCTTTTTAAAATTGTTTTGGGATTATGGTATGGATGCAATTATAAACAACTGGGAGAGTTCAGTTCTTAAGTATATTTGCATCTAAACAAGAGGAAAAAATTATACCAGGGTTATTTATATCTTAATGAAGAGAGCAGAGAATGACATTAAAACCTCATGACAGCCTTTTTCTGGATGCCTCAGTTTATAATAAGTTTCCTTTGAAGGGAAAGGACTGGATTTGTAGGCCTAACTTTAAGTACTCAGACTGGAGGCAAAACTGGGAAGTGGAGGTGAGGAAAAAAGGATGATGTTATGGGTTATTTGTTGCTGAATAATAATTCACTTCAAAACATATAACTTAAAGAACAGTCATTTTATTGTCTTTTATAACTTTTGTGAGTTGCGAATTCAGGAAGGGTTTAGCTGGGTGCTACTGTCTTGGAATCTCTCCTCTGATTGTAACCAGACAGTGGTTGGAGCAACAAAAGTACAAGGTTGAGGGTGGAGGAAAGTAGGCTGAGGGTGAGGTGGGTGGAGCAGCTGCCTGGTGGCTGGGCATCTCTCGCTCACGATGCAGCTTCAGTGCTTCCCCTTGCTATCTTTTCACTTAACTAGAAAAATAAAAGCAAGTCAAATCAAGTTGGGCACAAAAGGAATAGGGGCAGAAGAGGTGAAATCACATCAAGTTTGGGCTTCCTCACCACATGGCAGTTTCAGAGTAGTTGGACACTTGCTTGGTGGCTCAGGACTCAATGCCTATGTTCCTGTGAGGTAGATGAGCTTCATCATTTATAACCTCAGAAATCACTCCGTGTAATTTCTACCATGCTCTGTGGTTACCAGTCACAAATCTGCCTAGACTTAAGGGAAGAGGAAGTAGAATCCATGTCTTGATGGAGAAGTGCCAAATTTCTGGAAAATCTTAGGACGCAATTCTTATGCAACTGCAATATGCAAGAATAGTAGGAAATATCTTATGGCCAGTTTTGGAAACTACAGTATTCCATAGGTGGCCAGGTAAATCTTGGAAACAACCAGGTATTCCTTCAGTAGGTAAGGGATAAATTGTGGTACATCAAACAATGGAATATCATTTAATACTGAAAAGAAATGAACTATCAAGCCATGAAAAGACATGGAGGAATCTTAAATATATATTACTAAGTGACAGAAGCTAATCTGAAAAGGTAACGGACTGTAATATTTCAACTATATGACCTTCTGGAAAAGGTAAAACTGTGGAGGCAGTAAGAAGATCAGTGGTTGTTAGGGGCTGAAGGGAGGGGGAGGGATAAATAGTGTAGGAGTCAAAGAGCCCTCTGAAGTTTCGCTAAAAAATCAACTCACAGAAGGTAGATTAATTGGGAAAAGGGCATACAAATGTGTTTACTTTCACACAGGAGACACAGTGATTACTCCAACCCCCGATTAGGGGGCAGAAGCTTATACACCATCTTGAGGTTACAGAAAAACAGAATGAGTCCACAAGAATACCTCCTGGTCCTAAGGTTTTCCAAGAAATCTTAGGATCCCGGCAAAGCAAACTATGTGAGTAGGGACAAGAGGAATTCTGTTGAGGGGCAATGCATGATTCCTAGGGAGAATTCAATGGGCTTGAAGAGAATACAGTTGTCTGGGACAAAATCTGTTGGGTTAGCAGAGTGGACAATGGTTTGTGATAAAAGTCTGTCCAGGTGTGTTGACAGACTTCAATCTTTCTTCCTGGAATCTAGGTTCAGTTAATGGAAACTCAGGGAAGGGTGCAGAGGTCATTGTTTTCTTCTTTGGCAGGTTCGGACTTTAAGCAGATAAGGGAACAAGATAATCCTAGGTTTTGGGAAAGAAGGTGGGGCAGAAGAAGGAAGGTCAGAGAGACATTAAAGCTTCTTCAGTTCAGCATGTCAAAATGCCATATTTTGGGGTATTGGTTTCTGATCCCCAACTATAGGCAGAGAGCAGAAAATTTTTGTGGCAGTGAAAGTGCTCTGTATGATACCATAACAGTGGACACATGCCATTACACATTTGTCCGAATTCATAGAATGTACAACACCAAGAGTGAAAGCTAATGTACACCAGGACTTTACGTGATTATGATGCGTCCAACGTAGGTTCATTGTCATTTATTACACTCTGATAGGGGATTTTGATAATGAGGGGGCTATGCATATGTAGGGACAGGGGTATATGGAAAAAATCTTGGTACTTCTAACTTTGCTTTGAACCTGAAACTGCTCTTAAAAATAAAATCTTTAAAAAAGGAAGCAAAGAAATCAATGGTGTGTGCTGCCTGTGCCTACCCCCACCATTTGGCCAGGCACACCCATCTGCACATCACCTCTTCTGCCCCTATATTCCTTTTGAGCCCAACTTGATTTGACTTGTTTTTATTCTTCTAGTTAAGAATTTGTGGATCTGATGTAGAATTTGCTGCTTCTGACTCCTCGATTTGAACTCTTCCTAAACTGGGCATCAACTCCCAGTTCGGTTTCTGGCTAAGCCCCTTTCTTCAAGCATTTTGCGTGAGCTCCTGGCATCTTAGCTCCTGTTCTAAAGGATCTCTCCTTTCTCCTGCACTGGCAGGTAAGTCCCTGTTGCCCCATGAGTGACAAAGGAGATTCAGCTTGGTCAGGACTGGGGGCTTGGAGAAGACCACATCAGCTTGGACAGGACTGGGGAATCATATTTTAGCATGTGCATTTTGTATCAACTGGATCTTTGAAGAGTTGGTGAGGAGAAAGCTGAAAAGAAAAAAAGACAAAAGTTGGGTTTGTGCATAAAAGCTTAGACCTATAAGAACATTAAAGATCATCTCATCCAGCCCGTAGGTAAGAGAATTGAGGCTCAGAGAGATGTACTGATTTCTTCACTAACATTAGTACCAGGCACTTGAATTAAGGTCTCCTTGTTTCTGTGTAGGCACACATAGAAAAAGTTCTGCAAGCACCAAACACATAGTCACTAGCAATACACTTTTGCTTTATTCTTCCTTAGAAGAAACTGTCAGTGAGCATTCAAATACTTTTGTTAACATTTCTTTTTAATCTTCTAAGAAAATAGTACTCTTGGTATTTAAAATACAAGGCCCATTTAGGTACTTTGAAATGATGGGAATAGTATGTTTCCTCTTGGGCCAACTCTACCAGGGATTCAGGAACACATGTTCGTCTTTCAACCCCTCATCCTTGGGTCCATCTGTCTACTCTCAGATTTGGTTAGCACCTGAGGTTTGACAGAGATCAGTTGGGATCAACATTGGTGATGAATCCTCACCCTGCCACTATCTTGGGCAAATTTGCTTCTTAGCTGCAGCCAACATTTGGGACCCCTTTGAGAGTCAAGTTTTGGTCAGATTGTCCTCTAGCATCCCCAAAATCACGAAGTTCAGCTAGTGGGGAAAGGTTGTGGGTAAAGAGTAGGCTGCGAGAGGATTCTAGAACTTCCTCTCCTGCCCCCAGGCTTTCAAAGCAGAGATATATAAGAGTAGAGATGGCCAAATGAGTCCAAGGTAAATCTGATTTGCTTTTCTCAGGAGATTCAATGAGATGATGTGTCACATGTAAACGTTGAGAAGTTAAACACGAGTTAGTTATTGGAGTGGCTGCAGGCTGTAATGGCATGCCATTTGAATTCAGAGCTAAGTCCAATCTTAGCGACATCACCTAATGGCTGAGTGAGCTTGGCAATTCAGTTTTCTTTATTGAATTTTAGGTTCCTGGTCTATAAAATGAGACCATACCTGGGCTGAATTGTGTGCTCCCCACATTGACATGCTGAAGTCCTAACCCCCAGTACCTCAGAATGTGACTATATTTAGAAACACGGCTCTTAAAGAGATAGTTGAGGTAAAATGAGGTCATAGAGTGGGCTCTAATCCAACATGACTGGTGGCCTTACAAGAAAAACAGATTAGGACACTGATAAGCACCGTGAGAAGATACTGGCAAAAAATAGCCATCTTTAAGCCAAGGAGAGAGGTCGTAGAAGAAACCACTGTGCCGCCATCTTGATTTTGGACTTCTGACCTTCAGAGTTATGAGAAAATAAATTTCTGTTGTTTAAGCCCCCCAGCCTGTGGTACTTTATTATGGCACTTTGTTACGGCCCTAACTGCCCTAACAATCGAAAGATTAAAAAAAAAAAACTTAAATCACTACCTGAATATAAAACTGTCAGTAAAACACTAATGGTAGTTACTATCCCTAAACTTTAAGAGATTGAAGGAGTTGGAGACTTGGGGAATTGGGCAGAGCTAAAAAGTACACAGCTAAGGAAATTTCTCTAGGCCTCCAGGAAGCAATGTGTTGAGAGGGTGTTTCTTGACTTGGGCTCATCTAATAGCAAGATGCGATGGAAACTGACTTGCTATGTCTGGCCAGTCTGTGTCAAGAAACCCAGGCAGAAGAAAACAAGGGAACTCTTTGTACTTCATGTTTATATTAATGATTGTTGTTGGGCCCAGAAGGGGAATCTTGTCCCTTCCTTGTCACTCAGAATTCCCAAATATAGCCCAGTTGGTGGCAAATTTCTAAGAAAACGTTTTAGCCGTGAAATGAAAGTGTTATTCTTTAGGAAAAAGAAATTACCTTGGGTTTTGTAAGGAGCAGAATAACTGCACTGAATTCTAGATGCTCATTTTTATTTGTGTTGGATAGGAGTAATCTTTCTAGCCTATACTTTTCAACTCAATGTTTATTTAGTCAACCTCTTGGAGAACTGAGCACTGCCCTGGCGGAACATTATAGTGTGTATGGAATGCACAGAAAGCCATGAGCCCTTGCTTTGCAGCTGGTACAACATAATTGGTGTTAGACAGGCTGACAGCAGCCAGGCAGTCATGCATCAAGGGAGTTTGGAAAGTAAAAGAAAAGCATGTAAGGTTAAGCAGGGAAAGAGAGTTCTGCACTTTTGTCTTTTGGTCTGAGAAGGCATCTTCTTAGCATCTGTGTAGAGGAGTCAGTAATTTTCTATTCAAAAGACACAGAATCCATTATCTAAGGTTTCACAGCAGTTTTTAATTTAGTAACCTCCTCTTCCTTCTCTCCTTCCCCTCTTCCTAAGCCATGTTATATTTTCTTTGCACAAATTTTCATGAGCTCTGCCTTCATCAAGGGAACTGTAATGAGAACCCTCAAAAAAAGGATTATCAACTTGGAGGCTGAGTATGAAAAGAATACATTTTTAAGTAACTTTTGCTTGACATCTCAATTTGTAATTCAGTTTTTTTAAAAATAAATAAATAAACCTAGAAGGATTGAAGCACTTTGTTTGGTAGAAATGAGCCATGCAAAAATTATAGTGAATCAGAGTATTTTATCATCAGTAGAGTGCCTTGATCAACCTAAGATGAAGGTAATTCGTAACTATAAATGGTTCCTTTTAATGAGATTAATTGTGTGGCTATTTTGGGGGTGGAAGCTGCAGCATCTGAAATTCAGGATAGGTAATGATGGTAAACATTACTGAAGAAACAATTATCCTGGAGGATTCGTCAGGGCATTTCATTTCTATCACTTTACAGAAGCAATCATTTCATTAGGAATTTTTATCACTAATCTGATTTTTTAAAAATGAATCCTTTAGAAAAAGATGAATTAAAAGTGCTTTCATAGAAGAAGGCGTGGACTCAAATGGCTTTAAAAAAATGAGTTCCTAAGTTGTAACTCACTGAGGCGAAGGCAAGGTGAAATATGTAAATAAATTTGGCTGACGAGAGAGTAGCAGTGGTCCAGGCCTCGAAGAGATTTAAGCCAGACCTTCAAAAGGCTGGACGCCACTTCTCTATTGTACTTGACAGTGCCTGAGGCAAATACTACTCCTGCTCAGGAACTATGGCCATCATTTCGCCCTTCTCTTTCCTCCTGTTTCTCTTCCCACAAGGTGGAAGAACAGTCCGGTAATTGACATTTGTGGCTTTGGAAGACACGCTGTATTCTGCAGTCCATGCACTGAATGCCTGGACCCATTAGAGATCTTCTGGGAGCTCCAAGGGTTGCTGACCCCCCTTTAAATGACTTTGGAAGAGCAGGCTGCAGCTTTAGGCCTGCCAAACAGTGGCACTGCAGCAGGTGTAGCTGCTAGGTGTAGGTCAGTGCTGGTGTTTTTCTTTTGGATTCCTGTTAGGAGGGAAGTCTATTCGAGCTTTGGTAGTTGTGTGCAGAAGGAATATTAGGATTGGGTTAACCCAGATAAGTTTTTGCATGGATAAAGGGATGCTTTATTATTTTTTTTAAAAAAATCATATATTTCCATAGGTTTTGGGGGAACAGGTGGTATTTGGTTACATGAGTAAGTTCTTTAGTGGTGATTTGTGGGATTTTGGTGCACCCATCACACGACCAGTATGCACTGAACTCAGTTTGTAGTCTTTTATCCCTCACCCCACTTCCATCCTTTCCCTCTAGTCTCCAAAGTACATTGTATCATTCATAGGCCTTTGCATCCTCATAGCTTAGCTCCCACTTATGAGTGAGAACATATAATGTTTGATTTTCCATTCCTGAGTTACTTCACTTAGAATCATAGTTTCCAATTCCAACCAGGTTGCTGCGAATGCCTTTAATTTGTTCTTTTTATGGCTGAGTAGTATTCTATCATACTATATACCATATTATATACCATACTATATACCATAGTGTCTTTATCCACTCATTGATTGATGGGCATTTGGGCTGGTTCCATATTTTTGCAATTGTGAATTGTGCTGCTATAAACATGAACATGCAAGTATCTTTTTTGTATAACGACTTCTTTTCCTCTGGGTAGGTACCGAGTAGTGGCATTGCTGGATCAAATGGTAGTTCTACTTTTAGTTCTTTAAGGAATCTCCACACTGTTTTCCATAATGGTTGTACTAGTTTGCATTACCACCAGCAGTGTAGAAGTGGATGCTTTATCAAAGACTTGCTTGTATCTTCCCTAGCATACAGCCTCCTAACACATCTTCTAGTGAGCAGGAAGGAAGGAAACAGATGTGTAAATCCTGTTATAAGCACCTCCTTTAAGCACTGGGGTATAACTTATCCACAGAAGACTAGGAGGCCTGTGCAGAAAGTGGGGACAAATTAATGAGTTGGAGATTTAATAACCAGCTTTCTGTACAACATGCTGAGGGGCTATTTACTTATTTTTCTTTTTTTAAACTCTTACAATGAAATAAATATATGTCTATTTTATAATATTGAAGAAATGAAGATAAACAAAACTGAGCAAGTAAGAGTGAACTGAACACTTTTCACCTGAAGATGACTACTGTTAATATGTCAGGATCATCCTACTGAGCTCTTTTCTTTGCTTATACATCTACACACACAGAAAACACAGATTTACCAAATGTGATAGTTTTATTATAACTATTGTCATTTTTAATGATTGCATAGTAGTTCTTTTAAAGATGGTACCAATGTTTTTTAAGCAAGATTTTATTGCTGGACATCTCCATTGTTTCTGGATTTCTCCTAGTGTAAACCACATTGTCCTGAACACTTTTGTAAATAATTATGCGTATCCATCCCTGACCATCTTCTTAGCATAAATTCCTAAGGAAAATTGAGAACTTCTGATACATATTGCCAAATTGCCACCCTGAAGAGTTTATGAATTCAAAACATGTTTACTAGCTGAGCAGTCAGTTTATGTCCAGGGTTGGCTCTTAAATGGGGACATCCAGCTGTGAAGAAGAAAACACAATGTCCTCATAGAGATAGCCATTAAATATGTAAACACAGCAGGTTTGAATGTCACATAAGGGGAAGACCAGGAGCCACTGGAGATCCTGGGGGAAGAACCACTTCAGAGTCCCCCAGCAGCATGTGGACGGGCCTGTGTCCCTGGGTCCTTGCCGGTGCCTTCCACTATTGTTTTGCTGCATTTTATATCGAAGTAAATAAAAATGAGATCCTGGACTGCACATTTATACACACAAACAGCCCAAGCATAAGGCACAATATACCCTTTTATGATCTCTGTCCTACTTTGGATTCAGGCTTAAGAGATCTCGTTCAGAGATTTTAATTTAATCAATGGACTCAAACCTGGTGAGGAGACAGCTTCTCAGGCTACAAGGCTGGCTGGTGCTGTCTTCTCTCAACACTGTGAGGGGGGCCTGGTTTCCTTCTGGACTGAATTAGTCACTTGCACATCTGTGTGGGGATCATCCTTCTTTTGATCTCTTCTCTCTGGGAGCATAATGAATTCATTGTATTTTATTTTTTCTCTTTCTCTTCCTCCTCCCCCCGATCTCCCACTTTTCCCGTCTCCCCTTCCCCTCACCTCTTCTCCCCTCCCCTGCTCCTCAAGTTATCTCTTTCTTTTTCTACATCATGAACAACTTGATGGGGGGTAACCCATACTCGAGTTTCTGGGTTCAGTAAATGCTCAATAGATTGTTGACTAATTTACCGAGTGCCTGAATGATGTCACCCGACTCTTTTACTGCTACCTGGAATCATTAGTGGCATTAGTTAGGACTCTGGGTTTACATTATAGAATGCAAACTTGCTTAAAGGGGCTATTTTTGGTCATATAAATAATAAGCCGATCTATTTAAATTTTCTTAAGTCCTTATTGCCATTAAACTCTTACTTTATTGTCACCTTTGATGTAAGGGAAAGACAGTCACTGCATTAGCAGTATAACAGACTTGAATGTCAGGTTAGGGATGAGGGCTTAGGGTTTTATGTAAGGAAAGCCCCAAGTGGTAGAGAGGTGGAGAAACCACTCATTCCTGCTGCAGGCTGATGGTGGGAAGGAGAGAAGGGACTGAGTGGGGAGAAGGAAACTCCCTTGCATAGGCCTGAGAGGGGTGGGTGTGTTAGGCAGGTTGAGGAAAGTGCTGAGGATGATGATTTTCTGTCTGATACCACAGGAGGCTGCAGGGGTTGCAGGGAGACCCCCCTGGTTCAGAAGGTCTCAGGGAGAATGTAGCAAAGGCTCAGTGTTCAGCAAGAGCTTGGGGAGGCCTTGGCAGTGCAAGGCGGGGGTCACCGGGGTGCAGGCAGAGAGAGGCTTGTGCATGGGTTACACACTGCTGCATGGAGCTGCAGGGCCTGCAGCTGTGACTTTTGTCAGAATAAGCAGTGATCAGGCAGACCAAGGACACCCTGCCAGAAGCCAGAGGAGCTCTGGAACTCCAGGAACCGTTGTACTCCAGAGCCACAAGGCCATGAGAGTTCTCTCCACTGTTCAACCCAATATAGGAGAGATTGAGCAATTATCCCAGATTAGAGAAAACCAAGTACATATTCTCCCCACTAAAACCATATAAAATTTACATTTTCTTTGTATTTGAGTTGTAGCATGAGCAATATTGCAACTCTGTTAGGCTAGTTTATACATAAAGGGGAATTTACTGATTCACAGAATCCAATAGGTTGTAGAGGATGTAGCGGTTGTAAGTTATGAGAAGGTGCAGGCTCACCTGGAGGCAGGGGCTCTGCTTTCTGTCTTCACTAACCTCTGCTTTGTGCTGCATCTCAGCTTCTTTCTTTCTCACTACTGACCAGTTCCTTCATGTGGGGAAGTTTTATACTCTATATTTCAACCATTAGAGGAAGAGAGACTTCCCTCAAGTTTATTTGTCTGTTTTGGCCTCAAGTTCAAACTCTCAGGGAATGATTATATTGGCTGTGTTGCAGTCGGGTGTCTTACTCTTGCACATCTGTGAGAAGATCTTCCGTGTTTTGATCATTCTCTCTGGGAACATAATGAATTCATTGTGTTTCCTTTTTTCTCCTTCTCCTTCCTCTCCTTCTCCCCCTCCCCGACCCTCATCCTCAATATATCTCTTTCTTTTCCTGTATCAGGAGCAACTTGATGAGGGGTGACCCATACTTTAGTTCCTTGGTTCAGTAAATGTTCAGAACAATCAGTTGTAGCCTGGGGATGGAATCTTCCACACCTCCTTCCCTCTTGGGTCAATTGCCTACTCCTGGACCAACAAACTATGGTCAGTGTGGTCAGGGGTTTAGGGATACATGGTGGTTCATGGTGTCCATGTGACTGAGGGAGAGTTCCCAAGAGAAAGGTTGAGTGAGGGTATCTCAGTCTGTCTGGACTGCCATAACAGACTAACATACATTGGGCAGCTTAAACAACAAACATTTATTTCTCACAGTTCTAAAGGATAGGAAGTCGTAGATAAGGGTGCTGGTAGGTTCTGGTGAGGGCCTTCTTCCTGGTTTGCAGATAGCCATCTTCTTGCTATATCCTCATGTGTGAAGGGGCGAGAGAGAGAGAGAGAGAGAGAGAGAGAACTCTTCTAAGTGTACTAATCCCATAATCAGGGCTCCATCCCTGTGACCTAATGACCTCCAAAAGGCCCACCTCCAAGTACCATATTATAGGGATTAGGGATTCAACATATGAATTTTAGGGGGACACAAACATTCAGTTAATAGCATTTGGTGATGTTAAAAGCAAGTCCCAGTAATATACAACATGACATCAATCCTCTGCCAAGACATTCAGGACGCCCCAGGACATTCGGGTTTCTTAGGATTGTAGGGGAGGAAAAGGTTCATGGCTGAGGTCACTATAACAAAAGGCAGATTAACAAAATGAAACCATACAAATTTATTTTACTATTGTATTTTTATTTTGAGATGGAGATTCGTTCTTGTTGTCCAGGCTGGAGTGCAATGGCACGATCTTGGCTCACTGCAACCTCTGTCTCCCATGTTCAAGCGATTCTCCTGCCTCAGCTTTCTGAGTAGCTACAGGCATGTGCCACGACATCCGGCTAATTTTGTATTTTTAGTAGAGATGAGGTTTCTCCATGTTGGTCAGGCTGGTCTTTAACTCCCGACCTCAGGTGATCCACCTGCCTCAGCCTCCCAAAGTGCTGGGATTACAGGCGTGAGCCGCTGTGTCCGGCTGCAAGTTTATTTTTTATGATTTTATGTGACGTGGGAGCCTTCATAAAGAAATGAAGACCCAAAGAAACAGGTCAACTTGTGTATTTTCATGCATAGGCTTGCTGAAGAGTGGTCAGTCATGGAGAAGTATGATTGGAGGAGAAAAGAATATGATCTAATAGTAAAAACCAGGGGAATCTTAGCAAGCTCTGTTTTTTCTGATTCTTCCTGGTGTCTCTGTGTCTTTGGCTCCTTTCCCTTGGGTATAGGGAGGGCTTCTCTTGAATGAGAGTCTTATGACCTTCCTTAGGGAAGAAGGATGAAGGGATGGTAGGAAGGGCCTTCCTGCTTCTGTTTTCTCAAGTGCTGATGCGCCATCTTTTTGGGTAACATGTTTTAAATCCTATCAGGAGGGATGGAATGGTGAGTGGCTTACTCAGAGAAGTCCACAGTAATCCTACCAGTCTCCAAGATGGCCCCAATGGTCCTTCACACATGTAGTTTTATCCCAGGCTGAATCCAAGCTGGCGTGTGTGATTAATCGAAATTGAGCACAGCTGAGCCGGTGGCATGTGGCTTCCAGGGCAGGTCTTACGGGGCTTTGTGGTTTCCATTTGCTTTTACAGGTCCCTTACTCTTGCTGTGAGCACAGTCAAGCAGCCCTGTGAAGGGCTCATGTGGAGAGGAACCGTGGCCTTCTACTGACAGCCAGCAGCCCCTTGCCAGTCATGCGAGTGGGCCACCTTGGAGCAGACCCTCTGATTAAGGCTTCAGTTAATTCCAGCTTTGGCTAACACCTGACTGTAATTTCATGAACAGCTTTTTCAAGCCAAACTACCCAGCCAAGTAGCTTCCAAATTCCTGACCCAGAGAAACAAGTTGTCAAAGATAAGAAATATTTACTGTTGTTTTAAGCTTCTAAGTTTTGGGTAATTTATTATGCATGGTTAAATTAATTTTTGTACATTCCCAAATCAGGCAAGTCAGGGTAAACTTTCTCATCCTTCAGTAGCCATGCATAGTGCCCATCTAATGTGACTCAAATAGAGAGGAAATGGGCAGAAACTTCCACATTCTTTTCTTTGGATCCCATAGGTATTCTTTTAAAAAAGACAAAGGAGAAAGAATACAGGAAACAAAGAACATCTGATGTGTATTTTACCTAGTTTGCTAATATCACTGGAACGCTAAGAAAGGAAATGTCATAGCATAGCACATTGAAGAAAAAAAAAGACACTAAAAAAGTATTCAGAATATCTGAATTTTCATCCCAACTCTCGGCCAAGTCATTAAGCTTTTTCTGCTCCAACCTTCCTGGGTTGCTAAAGGATCACATGAGATAATGAACACGGAAGCTCTCTAAAACTTTTTACCACCTTGCAAATATCACATCGTCATTGTTGGAATCATGAGGACAAAGGGTGTGAATGTGGGTTAGAATTGGAAACTGGGAGGAAGAAATAAGAGAAAACCTGTTCATTTCCTTCTCTAATAAAAAAAATAAATTTCCTGATAATAGAAAAATACTTTTAGTCAATGTTGACTATTAACTTAATATTGTTTGGGAACATTTCTGTGTGTAGGAAACCTTGAAATAAGATCTCCATTTGGCCCATGAATTACAGAGTTGCTAATAAGCAGATTCCTAATAATTCTGTCTCCAGGCATTCTCCTGACATCCCGTAGCTGTGCGATTGCAGGGGGATCTGAGAGTTGCAGCTCCCGCCAGGGCTGTGCCACCCACTGATATATAACCTGCTGGAAGGTGTTATCTGTATCAGTCTTCCCATAGAGACCCCATACCTCAGCAGGTATAATTCATGAGTGAAGGTGTAACTGATGAATCTTCTAATTTTATAGTCTGAAATGGGATGATACAATGCTAGATTTATAGATATTGTTTCATTGTGTACAACACTCACGTTTCTTATTCCCATCTGGTGTGAAGAAAAGAAATTTGCTTTCCCTTTATCGTGTCATGCTGTTAAATGTATGTTGCTTAAGATCTTGAGGAGTGGAAGCATAGCTATCCACCAGCATAAAAGACGTGGTGCTGTGGGCGATAGTTTAATGCAAGCAGAGCTTAACCAAAGGCATTTTATTACCATTGCAGTTATTTTTTATTTTGGAAGGGGAATATAAACCTTTATGTCCCGTTTTATTAACAAAACCTGCCCTCAAATTAGGATGAGCTTTTTTAGATATGCAGTTGTCTGTCGATTCTTCCCCAAATTTCATGCTACTAAATGTGCAGACTGCTCCATTGTTGTAGAGCATTAGAAATTTTCTGCCCAAGGAGTGCATTTTCAATTGCACCCTTATCAGGTGACCTTCCTATGGCCATGCAAAATGGCTTCTTACAGATTTTAAGGCATTGAAAATAGAAGCTTCTCTCTTCTAAAACCAGAACCAAAAGTTCCTGCCTGTACCTGATAGAGACTGCCCTCTCTGACTTTCCAAATCCCATATAAAGAACATGTCCCCATGTATGCTCTTATATTTAGCATGCTCCCATTAATGTGTCACTTCTCTTATGGAAGAACAATTAGGCGTTCATCTCGTTAAAACAGAAGAGAAACATAAAAACATGAGTGTCACAAAGGAGATGAGAGAGTAAAAATACAAGAAAAAGAATGTGTCTGTGTTATTCAAAATCATGACATTCAAATAATACTAGTCTTTATATAAGGCCTTGGAGGAAAAAAAAGGAGAAGGCAATGCAAAATGAATTTCTAAAAGAAATTTGTGAAGGAGTGATATCTATCATAGAGCAGATCCTCTTTTAAGGATTGGCAAACATAAATATTTAAATAGGCAAAAACTTAATTACTCATTTTTATTTTTTATTTTTTATGTTTTCTTCTGAGACAGAGTGTCTCACTGTCACCCAGGCTGGAGTGCCGTGGCACAATCTTGGCTCATTGCATCCTCCAGCTCCCATGTTCAAGTGATTCTCCTGCCTCAGCCTCTTGAGCTGCTGGGATTACAGCCCGCCACCACACCTGGCTATTTTGTATTTTTGTATTTTTAGTACAGATGGAGTTTCAGCATGTTGGCCAGGCTGGTCTCAAACTCCTGACCTTAAGTATCCACCCACCTCGGCCTCTCAAAGTGCTGGGATTACAGGCATGAGCCACCACGCCCAGCCCATCTTATTTTTAATAAACCACTAAATATGTTCTTTATATATATGTATATATATGTTTATGTATTATGATAAATAATGTCTTCATTACAGAAAGAAATTGAAGCGCCTGTTTCTTAATTACATTAAGAAAGAATCTGGTTTCCCTTGAAAATTGGTGTATATTTCCCTTGAATATTGGTGTATATTTACCTTCGACCAAAAATATTTACCTATTAATTACAAAAGACTTTTGAAAGATCTCAAAGTGATGATAGGAAGAGGAAAATAAATATGTAGTAGAGAGATGTAAGGAAGAAAAATAATAATGGCTAAGGCTGGCAGTTATTTAGCACTTCTTTTGTGCCGGGCACATTTATGTATTTATGTGTCATCTCATTTAATACAAATGGTCTTATTTCAATGTCACTACTATTTTCACAGGGTTCCAACTGGATAGACAGAGAAACAGACACTCATGATTAAGATGCTTGATGAATAATGATAAAATGAACTGGGTGAAATCATAGTGACTTGGGAGATAGAGGGGACTGCAGGGTCAGAGGAGGCTTCTTTTAGGAGGTGACATTTGGAGAGAATGACTGGGGAGAGAATGGCATGAAATGGGATTGGGCTGGACATTGAATAAGTAGCTGCCTCTTCCTCAGATGGTGAACATCTTTCCATCTCTAAAAGCAGGGCTATGCATTTTACTGGCTGCATAATGTTCTACTTAATAGTTGTGACATGACTTCTTATCTCTTGTTTTTGAGCACTTAATTCCATGTTTTGCTGCTATAAATAGTGCTATAGGGAACTGCCATGTTCACACATCCTGAGCCCTCCGGATTATTTCCCTTAGATAAATCCCCAGAAGTAAGATTTTGGAGTCAAAGTGCACAGGCCTTTACCATTTTACCCCACAATTCTCTACAGCCCTATGTGACTTGCCATGGCAGTGGCAGGACTGAAACCCAAGGCTGTTTGACACAAGCCAAGGTTCCGACCACTAGAAGGCTCCTGTAATCCCATCGGGAGCCCCTCCACTTTACCTTTAAAGAGAAGCCCCTTCTCTTTACCTTTAAATATTTGCCAACCTAGAAATTTAGGAATTTCACAAGTTCTTATCAGTTCTCTTTCCACATGTTCAATACTGAAGTTATTATCTTCTTCAACAGCCCAAAATAAAAAAAAAAAAAATCCTACCTCCTGTTTTGTATTCTTGTTTATTTCATTGTTATCACCATCCTCCTGGTCACTGAGACTGGGGATCTTACTGGATTGTCCCCCTTTTTCGGTTTTCTTTTCTTTCTTTCTTTCTTTCTTTCTTTCTTTCTTTCTTTCTTTCTTTCTTTCTTTCTTTCCTTCTTTCTCTCTCTCTTTCTTTCTTTTTTTTTTTTTTTTTGAGACAGAGTCTTGCTCTGTCACCCAGGCTGGTGTGCAGTGTCACAATCTTGGCTCATTGCAACCTCTGCCTCCTAGGTTCAAGCAATTCTCCTGACTCAGCCTCCCAAGTAGCTGCCATTACAGGCACACACCACCACACCCAGCTAATTTTTTGTATTTTTAATAGAGATGTGGTTTCACCATGTTGATCAGGCTGGTCTCGAACTCCTGACCTGAGGTGACCCTCCTGCCTTGGCCTCCCAAAGTGCTGGGATTATACACGTGAGCTACTGCACCTGGCCTGTCCCCTCCTTTTCACCAACCACATCCCATCAGCCATCACACCTTTTCCACTCTACCTCATCTTTCTGGGATCTGACCCTCCCCTCCAGCTGCACCACCACTGACTCCCTGCTGGTCCTTTCGTCTTTCATATATTTTACCTTCAATGTTTCTTGGAGTCTAGTATTGCCAACCTTCACAGTGGCTCTGAGGGATCTTTGTAAGAGGAAATATGTGGAAAAGATCATGTGAAACCCCAGGTTAAACTCTTGGCATGCTCCTTGCTACCACAATCTATACACTATTAAGAGGACGAGGCCGTCACGTGGATTGCGGGTCCCCCACAATCTGGCCCATCTGCCTTCAACCTCCCTGTCTCACTCCTTCCATGACAACCACTGCAGTGCTGCCAGTCCCCAGGGGGTCTAGGCTGTGCTTGTTTTCTGATTTTGCTCTGCCTGGTGCGTCTTTCCTTCTTTAAGATGTGTCTTATTTTCTCCTGTGTGATGTCTTCACTAGCCTCCAGGGTCATTGCCTGGCAACTTGCCCTGTATTAGTCAGTTCTTGCATTGCTATAAAATAATACCTGAGACTGGGCAATTTATAAAGAAAAGGGGTTTAATTGGCTCACAGTTCTGCAGGCTGTACAGGAAGCATGGTAGCATCTGCTTCTGGGAGGTCTCATGGAGGAAGGCAAAGCAGGAGCAGGCATCTTGCATGGCAGGAGCAGGACCAAGAGAGAGCAAGGTGGGAGGTACCACACATTTGGAAACAACCGAATCTCACAAGAACTCACTATTGCAACTACAGCACCAAGTGGGGATGGTGCTAAACCATGAGAAACTGGCCCCCTGATCCAGTCACCTCCGGCCACGCCCCACCTCCCACACTGGGGATTATAATTTGACATGGGATTTGGGTGGGGACACAGATCCAAGCCATCTCACCCCCTTCGTGCCTCGTGCACAGCACCATCAGAGAAACATGAGAGAAATTTTCTTTCCTGGAGGCCAAATGGCAAACCTGAGTCTGGGTGGTGTGCAGAAGAAATACATTGGCATTCTCTTAGTAAATGTATCAGGTGGGGGTAACAAAAGTACCTGCAGTATGAGGTGGTTGTGACAGAATGCATGTAAAGCCCTTAGATCCATGCCTGGCTCAACATAAGCACTCCGTTTGTGCTAATTATTGTGGTTGTCATTGTTATTATCCATTCAAAAAGCATTTCTGGTCCAATGGATATTGTAATAAGAGAAAAGCACAAATTTATAGTGAGCTAATGAGTGAGTAACAAAAAGATGTAGAATAAAAGGAGGGCTGTTTCTTTCCCAAAGGATATCAAATGGTGCTGCTGTGCCTTAATATAGAAATGATATTTAGGTGTCTGAGATGATAGAATAATAATAATTATCTTTATTGTGATGATGATGATAGTAATAATAATAATAATAAGCCTGATAGTTATTCAGTGCTTCCTTTGTACAAGGCTTTATCAGACTAAGTACTTCGTATGAATTATTTCATTTAATTTCCACAAAAACCTCTCAGGGCAAGCATTTTTATCTCCTTTTGACAGATGAAAACCTTTGAAACAGAGGAAAGTCAATTTCCTTGCCCAAGCTTCTACAGTTGGAAAATTGTGGGACCAGGGTTTGAACAAGGTGTAATTCATTGTGATTTCACTAAGACCTGGACACACCTGTGCTTGACCTTGGATTTAACCCTCTGTTGGAACTTTATCCACAGTTTGCATGTGAAAAGATCCTCCCCTTTGAAGGCTGACAAAAGACACCCTCAACTCACATCTCCTAGTTGACGAGAATCAGAAATCGTCTCCTGCATTATCATCCATGTGCAAATTGAAAAATGCTTTAGAATATGATAGCGACAAATAGAGAACTTGCCAGAATTCAAAGATCAGCTACCTATGGGCTTTAAAATTCCTTTGTGATTTGGGGCCCTGTATTTGCTTTGGAGTGGACTTGTGTAGGTAGAGGGGGAAGATGTGGAAGTGTCCTCTTTGCAGGCTTTGCATTCAGTAGGTGCTGAGTAAAGGAAAAATGGGGAGTGAAGCTTATATTTTAGAGGTGTTATTCAGTAGCATTAAAAAGACCCAGGATATTGGGAACGCCATGTTGATGCTTAATAATATATCTACATGTTAATATATTATTAAGACTTTATAGTCTATTTCCAAAAGACTATAAAGTGTGCTATAGTGGAAACAGTAAAAAGGAAAAAAAACCTTACATATTACAATGTAAGTTTTCACTCTTTTCTATACTCATTAACTTTTTATATTATTAATGAACTGAGTAATTGATAATGCAGCTTCTACAATTTGTATGCCTATTACAGACATGCTTGGGAAATATATCTGCTCTCTACTGTCTATCATTGGAAAGTCAAGTTTCCCAGATAAACTGTCCATGGACACATACCAGTTCTTCAGAATTGTGGAATCTCATCTCTCTTCAAATCTCACCCAAATAGTGTTCCCACAGTTGGATTAGCACGGAACCCCACAGCTGGTCAGTGAGGATATGTGTGCTTAAAAGAAGCTTTTAATTTTGACCTTTAAGTCAAAATAATAATGTCATTTCATTTAGATAATTTAGGTCTCTTTTGCTGAATCCATCCAAGATCTTTTTATTCACTAGAGTCCCTGAGTAACTGAAGACCAGTGTTTAATGAGAGTGGAGATGGAGTGAGGTGCAGGCATTGAGAACAGGTGCATAAACAACTGTCTGCTGTAGCAGAAGGAGTTAATTCTGTTTGGAAAGTGTGAATGAGATGCTGGGCATTTGGACTTTTCTATTTTTTGGTTCTTGCAAATAATGCTGCTTTATACATTCCTTACATTTCTTTTGGTAGATATTTTTGTTGGGTTTATATCTACAAGTAGAATTACTAGGTCACAGAACAGGTATATGTTGAGCTTTAGAAGATACTGCCAAACAGTTTTCTAAATTCCTTGTATCCATTTAAATGCACCAATGATGATTCCAGTTGTTTCTCATCCTTGCAACACTTGGTATTTTCTTTTTCACTTTTGCCATTTGCCATTAATTTTGCCAGTGCTGTTATCTTATTGTTTTAATTGCTATTTCATCGATAACTAGTGAGGTTGCTCACCTTTTCAAATGCTTACTGACCACTTGGATGTCATATTTTATAAAATGTTTGAATACATCTTCTGACGATTATTTACAAATTGGGCTCTTGGTCTTTTTCTCACTGTTTCTTAGAAGCTGTTTATAGTTTGTAGATATGAATCCTTTGCCAGCCATATGGATTAAAAATAACTTTGCCCTGGGTAGGGCTTGTCTTTTTACTTTCTTAGTAACGTTTTTTGATTAACAGAAGTTCCCAATTTTATGAAATGGAATTTATTGTTTTTTTGTTTGCAATCTACTTAGAATAAAATGTTATATATGTCATGAGATAAGAATAACATTCTTTTTTTCACTTTCAGTTTTGAAGCTTATTTTCTCTAGTTATAGCATTGCAGATTGGCAGTTCCCCCCACCCTGCCCCCTTTCAACACTTTAAAAATGTCATTTCATCGTCTCTTGAACATAGTTTCAGTTGAAAAGTCAGCCATTGGTCTTATTATTGCTCCTTGAATGAACCGTTTCTCACTGACTTCAGTTTTCAGCAGTTTTACTCTGATGTGCCTAGGTGTGGTTTTCTTTGTATTTATATTGCTTGACATTGGTAGAGCCTCTAGAATCTTTATGTGTCTGTGGTTTTATGTCTTTTGTCAGTTTTGCAAAATTCATAGTCTGTCTTCACATACTGCTTCTGACACATTATTTCTTTCTTCTCTTTGGAGACTAACACTTGTCAGATTTTTTTAAATGGTGTCTGGTATATCTCTTGTAGTCTTTTCAATTATGGCCTTTTTCTACTTGCAATTGCTTATTTCTCTCTGTGATTTCAGCTGGATATTTTCTATTGGTCCATTTCCAGTTCACTAATTCTTTCTTGTACCATGTTTAACCTGTTGTTTAACACATCCGTCAATTTTTTTAATTTAGGTTATTTTATTTTTGATTTCCATAATTCCCATTTGATTCTTTTTATGCATTATAGCTGTCTGGTGAAGTTCACCATCTCACCATCTACTTACTTGAATAATAATCACAGGTATTCTAAAATCCATGTTTGATAACTCAAATTTCTGGGCACCTAAAAGTGTTGTTATTGTTTTCAACCTCTGTTGGGTTTTGGTCATTTAATCTTTTTGCATATCTGGACATTTTTCTGTGGGTTCCTCTTCCCCTTAGTTTTTGGTTATTTTATTTTCTTGCATACTTAGGGTTTTTAAAAATAAGTCTTTTGTCTACTAGAAACATATTTGTTTCCTCATCAGTGGAAATGTAAGTATGTAATTACAATCTCCACTCTGCTTCACTCAGCCTTTCTCCCTTTGTATCTCTTTGCTATTAGTCAAACACAAGTTTACTTTGTCCCACAAACTCTAAGGTTACACCTCAAACTCTATGAATTTGAACATTTCTCTTTAGCTTTGAGATGAGGTAGCTGAACTACCTCCTATTTCTCCCTGGGGGTGGAGAAGGAAAATGTCACAACACTTGAACAGCATTTTCCAATGAAATTCTCTTTTCAAGCTCAAACTCCCTTCTTGGCCTTAATAAACACCTTTATAAATAGTATATCACCTCAGTTTGGAATGAAAGTGTAATGGCACTTATTGTCTTGGGGCCTCAGTTGAAACAGACAAAAGTTTCCTTTTGGTAACTGGTTATAATTTGTAATAATATCATCATTTTTCTTGATATAAAAACATGAATATTAATTAAAAATGCTTGATTTTTTAATTGTTTAAAATTGCAATCAATCCATAAAAATTAGAAAAATTGTTGGTCCATGTTTACCCATGAAGCAGGTAGTCCACAGCTTACTGAAAGTTTGAAAAATACTGCTCTAAATTTTTTGTCATTGGACATAATCACACAATTTACCTGCTAAGAATCAAAACTACTTAATTTTTGACCCATTGTGGTCATCTGCTTTTGGATGTATTGAATTTATGATATCCAGATGACGTCAATATCTAATAGTAATAGGCAGTTAGAATTATGGGTCTAGACCTCAGAGATTAGAATATTATGAATATACAGAAGAAACTATAGCGATGACTGAGATGCTTAGGTAAAGGATGGCGAATGAAAACAAAGTGGAAGCCAGAATATGTAAGACTCAGGTGAAAGTAAGCTGATGGCCTTAGGACTTCAGTTATGATGAAGAAGACTTACTCCTCCAGGGGTTCCTTCATCCTGATGTATACAAATAACTTTATGTTTGTGTACCCTTATCATTCTGGTTGCATTCTTTAAGTCCATGTCCAAGACTTTCTAGACCTCCCCCTCCCCTCTGCGTGTGTGTGTGTGTGTGTGTGTGCGCGCACGTGTGTGTGTATACATATACATATGTGTGTGTGTGTGTGTGTGTGTGTGTATAGTTTGGCTCTGTGGCTCCACCCAAATCTCATTTCGAATTGCAGTTCCCGATGTTGGGTGGCGACCTGGTGGGAGGTGATTGGATTTCCCCCTTGCTGTTCTTGTGATAGCTAGTGAGTTCTCACGAGATCCGGTGATTTAAAAGTGTGTGGCACTTCCCCCTTTGTACACGCACTCTCTCTCTCTCTGTTGCTCTGCCATCGTAAGACGTGCTTGCTACCCCTTTGCCTTCTGCCATGATTGTAAGTTTCCTGAGGCCTCCTAGCCAGGCTTCCTGTATAGCCTGTGGAAATGTGAGTCAATTAAAAACCTATTTTCTTCATAAATTATCCAATCTCAGATAGTTCTTTGTAGCAATGTGAGAACGGACGAATACACACACACACACACACACACACACACACACACACAAACACTTAAAACCAAAGAAGAGCAGAGTTTGAGTTAGTTTAAACCCATTTGTATGTGCGTGTGTGTGTGTGTGTGCCTGTGTGTGCATGCATCCATGTATGTGTGTGTGCATGTGTGTATACATGCATGTGTGTGTGAAGTGGCAGTGTCCTGACCCTGTGGCTCCTGATAATAATGACATAGTGATAGAACAATGATGATGATTGTGGAACATAAAAGACATTTTAGCTAAACTAAGCCCTTTTTTCTTCCTGCAGAGGCAAAGTTCTGCATCTTCTTTTGCCTGTCACCCTTGCTGATGTCTCATGTATCTTAAACTATCATCACTTCGGCATTCTATCACGGCTACATGCCATTAGCATCCTGTTCCATAGCACTCTTGGAGCATCTTGACTGCCCTGTGAATTGACCCAGCAATTATGGCCAAATGCCTTAGGAATGGTCCTGTATATTATAAACACGTCAATGCGCATGCTGATGTGATAATGCTAAAATTACACTTTCTCGCTTTCAGTAGCTTCCAGAAAGTCACTTACAAAGGGATGCTTCCTGGTCTAAGGTGAAACTCCTCAATCACCAGTCCCTGCAATGTCTGGGGCCCTGGGAGCTAGACAGATTGGAGCCCAGAGGAATGATATCCTTGCCTTGGTCTTAGATTTTGCTAATTCTGTGAGAGACATTAGCACAATATTATTAGAATCCTCCAAGACCCTTCTACCCGTTGAATTGACACTATTTATGTCAGCAGATTCCTTTAGTATAAAGGCTTCTAGGATAAAGGCTTTCACTTGCTGCAATTGCAGGGTGACCACTCACATGTACTTAAAGGGTTACAGTGCAGAAATAAAGAAGAGTCGAAAATCCCCATCTCCACCTTTCACTCCCCATTGATATGATGGTCCCAGCTCCCTGCAAATTGACTACTTGTCCTCTCTCTGATGACATCAGTATCACTCAAGCACTGTCAACACTTCAGTTTGGTAGCGTCTGTGGGCTAGAGTATGTCTTGGGAATTTAAAGAAATAAGAGGTCAAATCCCAAAGGAATAATCCTTTTTGCTAGAGACTGATATATTTTGGAAAGCATGTAGGAGAGTTCACTGGAGTCTTTGCCTAGAGTTTCAGAATTTTAATAAACAATATTCCTTTTTTTATATACCACTGGTGGTATTTCTCTACCACATACTTGATTCTTGTCAGTGGTGGAAGCACACAATGGCTGTCCTAACACTACATATGTCCATGCAGCCGGTGAGGCTGTTCAGTTAATTCTGTGTTTGCAGCTTTGACAAGGTTATGCAGGGAAAGACTGAATTTCTCTGGGCTGTAGATTTTTCTTTTCTTTAAAACAAAAGACAGTGAAAGCATGAGGGAACAAAGAGATAGATTCTGTCTCTCTTTTGTTCACACATTCATTCATCAAACATTTAAAGAGTGGGTAGGGAGTATGTGAATAAGATACAGATCAGTCCACCAAAACTTCATAGTAGAGTAAGAGAGGCTCATAAACAATGGACTTTTACATATCGGGCAAATCTGTAGTGGGACTATTACAGTCTGCCAAAGATCACACTTTCAGGAATACATTCTGCTTAGGAAGGCATTTGGGTCTCCCCAAAGAAGAGATTAATTTGGATAGCCCTTGAACAATGAAACAATGAGTATAATTTGATCCAGTGGGGTTGCAAGAAAGCAAAAAAAAAAAAAAAGAAGGAATAAGTGAAGGTTTATGCATGTTTAAGGAATTGTGGACACGGATTTTGCTATACAGACTGTATGGGCGACAGAGACTTTCAGTGGGTGGAAGATGAGAGCATGTGGCACAAGGTCATTAAGGACACTGAACACCATGCTAAAGTGTTTGAGAGAATGAAAAGTAAAGTGATATTTTTTTCTCTTAAGTTTGAAAACAATATGACAGGCACAAATGCTATAAACCAAGATCATTCCTTAAAAGACAATAATTCTTGGTTGGATAATCTCCTAATGAAAAATAAAGAAAAAGAAATAACGTATCACATTGTCTGTCTCCAGTACACCGTGGGATCCTAGAGTAAGTCTCCTTATTGCAGTGTTGGCCTCATCTGTTCATGTTTACCTCCGTGACTGGTATTTGGATTGGCTCTTGAACCACCCTGGCATTGCTTCATCTTTCCAGACAGCTGCTCTTTTGAAGCATCTTTGCAAGAGGTGCTTCTCTACTTACCTAGACAGAGCATACACTTGTCAATCAAAACATAAATAGCACGCAAGCAACCTGCATGTCCAGAGGTTGGAGGAGAGACAGGGCTACTTTCTCACTGAGGACCTGCCAAGTGTGGAATGATTGGGCTTTTTGTGATCCCTCTGAAATCGCATACAGGGACCCCAGCATGAACACCTCTGCTTCTGCCCTCCGTCTTTTATACCCATCTTTTACTATTTTTAATAAGAAAACTCTGAAGGGCTTCCAAAGACTACAAAATTACACCACAGTTTTTTACCTGCTTTGTGGAGGCAACTGACTGTGATTTTTTCCCATTGCCTAGCATTCTTCTATATTAGCATTGGAATTTTTTTTTTTTGGCCTCTCCCTCTACAAATGGCCAGGCCTGAAGTTACTCATTATTCAAATGAGTTTTTGATTCAACAATAGAGTTTCTTGGGGTGTGAGAGATGATCTCTGAGGACAGTCAGTGGGTGGCTTCTATTCACAGTGTTGGAATCAGAGCTGTTTTGTATGCCAAGGGGGAGATTGATCCTGGGAGCTTATGCAAAAGCTTCAGTAGGGCTTATACTGGTCCAGTCACATTTCTTAGAATGCCTGGGATGATGTGAGTGTGACTCTTTCTGGGCTTCATCCACTCTCTCCCTTTTCAAAGAATGACTGGCTTGCAGAGAGATTTGGCAAAGCAGGGGACATGGAGCACCACTGGGACCAAAGGGTTTCTGGTTCCTATTTGTTTTCCTGTCAGGTGTTGCTGGGAGATCCGTTCCCTCCAAACTACTGCCAACTATGTGAACTCTAGTAATTTGGTAGGGCAAATAAATTACTGGCAAATCCAGCACAGCAAATTGTGGGCTAATAGCAAAAGCCCGAGATGACTCTGTTAATGGCTCTTGCACAGCCTTTTGTCAACTGAGGGAGGAGTCACATCTGAATCCTGAGAAGTTGCACTTGGGGCAGGGCCAGAAAGTCCAGGGAAATTGCAGAAGATGAAGATTTTGTTTCCACCCTGAGAATTGTTTTTTTTTTTTTTTTTTCCAAAAATAAAAAAAAAACAAACAAAAAACCAAAACCTAGGCCCAGTGTCTTTTATGGAAAACAAAATGATATGATTGGACATTCAGGCTGGGCATGGTGGCTCATGCCTGTAATCTGAGCTCTTTGGGAGGCTGAGGCAGGACTGCTTGAGCCCAGGAGTTTGAGACCAGCCTGGGCAACATAGACTCCGTCTCTATGAAAAAAACAAAAAATTAGCTGTGTGTGGTGGTACATATGTGTAGTCCCAGCAACTCAGGAGGTTAGGGCGAGAGGATCCCTTGAGCCCAGGGGCGTCAATCAGTTACAGAGAGCTATGATCATGCCACTGCACTCTGGTCTGGGTGACAAAGTGAGACCCTGTCTCCAAAAAAGAAAGAAAGAAAAAACGATTGAAACTTCAGAAGCCCTAGTGCTTTGAGAAATGGTAAAGAAGAAAAAATTACAGACTGTATGGTAACATCTGCCCTTATAATTTCACAGACCTTTCTCGTCAGTTTCTTTGGCAAAGAAGAAAAGATGTCACAATAATTCAAATGTGTCATTCTTTGGCTCTTTCTTGCAGAAAAGAGAAGAAGTAGGATTTAGATGCTGATAATGTCAGTTCTCAGAATGCATTGCTGTCATTGACTAACCGACTCTGGCAAATTTTTCTATGTGTCTTTAGGTGTTGAATAACACTGTGTTATGTTCAAGTACTATATTCTTACATTTGTATATATGTACTTGCCTATATGCAGATCAGGAATATCTGAATTCTGTTGAACATTTATTTACTCACAGGGAAAAAAAAAGTTAGTTTCTGTTTGTCAGGGAAACTCTTCACCTGTTATTAATTTATTCATTCCATCAGTCAATATTTAATGAAGACTGGTTCTGTGTCCATCACTGGACACAGTGCTGGGGTTATGGCAGTGAAGAAAACAAAGCAAAAATTCCTACCATCACAGAGCTTATATTCTAGTGGGAGGAGACAATCAACAAGTATATAAGTAAAATATGGACTTATATGTGTGATAATGGTGATGCATGTTAAGGAGGAAAATGAAGCAGGAAAAAGGGATAGGGTGTTGCAATTTTAAGTACAGTGGGGAGGAAAACCTCAGTGATCAGGAGCCATTTACACAGACTTGAGGGAAGCGAGGAAACAGTTCATGTCAGGGAGAGCCTTGTAGGGAGAGGGAGTGACCAATGCAAAGGCCTGGAGTCTGGAGAGTGCCTGGCGGGTTTGAGTTAGGGCGGGGAGTCCAGTGTGGCTGGAGCAACATGAACAAGGAGAGCGTATTGGATCTGGAGAGGAGATCACAAGGTTCCCGGCAGGGTGAGCCAGCAGTGGAATGCTGTGTGGGCTCTGTAGGCATTCATAAGGATTTTGGCTTTCATGCTAAAAGGATGGGTAGCCATGGAGAACATGGTATAATTTCCTTTTACAAGGATCATTCAGGCTGCAGTGTGTCAAGGGCAAAACGAGAGAGATGAATTGCAAGAATCTACTAGGTGAGAGGTGATGGAGGCCTGGCCTATGGTGGAACATGAAGGTGGGGAGATGGAGTTGTCCTTTGGAAATGATTTCAACCTGTGTTAATGAATCATTGGGGTAGGTATGGTCTGGAGATGCAGACCTTGGGAAAGGCTGAGGATAATTCCTAGAGGGGGACTCAGCAGAGGACCATCAGCAGTCAAAACCCCTAGTGCCATGCAAACGAGTGCCTTGGTCCTCAAGGGGGATCGGGACACAGTATCCACCACGTTGATTCCCACACCTTCTAGGAGATAAACAGAGTTAAGATTCTTATTCTCACTTTACAGATAAGAAAAATGAAGTTTAAAGAGAATTCACCACTCAAACTCCTAAGGTTTTAAGTGATCCCTCTAAGCTGCAAACAGGTCTTCTGATGACATGTCCTGACAACATTCTTTTCTCAATCACCTAAACCCCTACTACCTGCTAGCCACAGGTGCCTGCATTCCTAAGTGAAGACCAGATGTCACCTGCAGTGTTGAAGTGCTGGCCTTTACAGTGGGTGGCTGTGAATAAACTCCATGCCCTCATGTGTGACCAACCTGTAGATCTTTGTCCACAAACACGGATATGGGCTGGCACACACCCGAATTTGTGATGGGCTGTGCACCCGGCCTCTTCTTTCCTCCTTGCCTCCCTCCCTTCTGCTTCCCACCCTCCCTCTCTCCCTCCCTCCCTTCCTTGACCAGCTTGTAATAATAGATTCTGTGTAATAGTAGTACATTTTTTGCCCATTAAAGTACTACATGCTCTTTATGCAGTTTCATATTTATTTATTTTTGAAAAGTATGAATAAAAAAGCTAGTGCAAGGACCTGACTCTGGAGCCTTGGAGGAAGAGAGTTTTGAGGTGGCAGACATTTGAACATGCTTCTTCTGAGATGCCTGTGGGACATTTAAGTTGAAAGATACAAGGCTCCAGCTCAGAGAGACCTATGTGGAGACTACATTGGGTGTTTCTGAACATTCTACTCTAAAAATTTGTTTCCTGAACCTCTGACTGATAATCAGTGCATCAGTTTCCTATTTTACCTTATTGTTCCTGTTGTTTCTAAGTGTGCGTGAATCTATCAGGTAAGTTGAACAAACGAGAATCAGGTCTAAAACAAGCATAACTTTATTTTGCCTCTCATTACCCCATTAAACTTGATGTAGTGGAGCTTTTTTCCCTTCAATCCTGGATGCAGATTCTGGCATATCCCAGAGCTTTTCTTTTTATTCTTAGAAAATGTGCATCCCTATGGTGACATAAGGCATAGACTCAATTTCAAACATTTAATGTCCAGTCCAAGCTATTATTCAAGATGTCTGACTTGGCTTCATGTTAAAGCATCAACCTCCTGGCACCAGCCTGGGTCAGTTTGGAGACGAGGGGGTTAGAATGCCTTATCTCACAAGCTTCTGCTTCCTGCCTTGGGAGGAGGAGGAGAAGGGAGGCTAAAAGGATGGGGTAATTCTTACATTGCTGGGTGGTTCATACCCTGGGCCTGGCAGATGTCTGGTTCTTTCCATGGAGTATATTTGAGCTCCTGGTAGGTTATAGGTTGGACTCTCTCACCTGGTTTTACCTTAAGAAAGGATAAGCCTGTATTCTGGGTAGCCTTGTGGCTCCTTCCTTAGCCCAGGGGCATTGGTAAGACCCTCACCCTCTATCCCCAACCAGCCTCTTTCTACAGACATCTCCTTGTCCCTCCAGGCAGCTCTCCTGGCTAAAACAGGGTCCAAGTACTCACGCAGACTGTCCCTCTACCCTGCCCTGCCCACGCCTGGCGGGGCACAGCAGTGTGGCCTACGCCCCAGCAGTGTGTCAGCCCTTCCCATGTCTGCGAGATATCCTGTGCAGGAGTCAGGCTCATCCACAGTCTCTTCAGCTTCCTCAGATAAGAACGGGCTGCAAGTTCCTGCACTTCAAAATTTCAGGGGATGCAGGGCAAGCTCTCCAAGGAGAGGGAGAAGCTGCGTGCCCCTGGAGAAGTCTCTTCTGCTCCTCCTGTGCTCTCATTTGATAGAGGAGCCATGGGCAATTACCCTCCTTCCACGACATGTTGCTTCCTTGTTCCTCACACCCATGGGTAAAAATACCCCGAAGTGAGAAATCACAGAAGTGACATTAGGAGGCTGCTTAGGCAGCAAGCTTGAGGGAGGTCGTGAAGGGAGGAAGGAACAATGTGACATCCCTGAAGGAAGGAGCCTCCAGAGAAGCTGGGAAGGGGAGTGCGGAAGCAGGTGCTGGCACTTCCTTTGTCATTTCTCCCTTTACCTCAAATAACCTGGGCTGGGGATGTGGTGGCACAATGCCTTACTGGTGCCATGACATTCCCCAGGCTGTGGAATGCTCGTGCACCAAGGGGCAGCCAGTAGTGAGGAGAGGCTGTGGGGCTGCAGGTGGACTGAGGTCCTGCCTCCCAGAAGGTCCTTCTCACACCGCTCACACTTGCTCCTCCAAAGCTGCTAGGTAAAAGGAAGTAGGTCGTTTTGTGGGTGGGAGAACCATTCTCAATTATAAAAAAAAAAAAAAAATTTCTTCTAAGGTTCCAAGAATTTCAGCTTGTAAGTCAGAAATTTCACACCCCAAATGAAATTGGCAGGAAGCCCAGAACTCGCCATTTTCACTTTAGGTACTAAAATTCTCACATGGATTTACTTAAAGAGTAACCAGAGTATTAAAATGTCTTTTGAGCTTAAGATTTATTTGCCTGTGATCCATTGGCATGATTATTTATTTACCAAATAAATTGAGAGTTGGTTTTGTTATTTTGAAACTGTCCAGGAATCTCACATTTATGTATTTCTAATACGTCCTGTGATCAGAAAGCATTGACCTTCTTACAAATAAATTGTATACAATTAATGATCTGTTGGTACACTTTTATATCTTATGGATTCTTCATGCAAACACAATATTATAATGTTTTCTTCTAACTGGATGTACTGGAATCTTAAGTGGCTAACTCAGTTGAATAAAATAGTCTTAGAAGGCTTAATCCTCTCCTATTGGCTATAGTAGTATTTAGAGTTTGTGACGCTTCTATACATTGTTGAGAAGTGCATAGGATAAACCCGGACATTGTTGCGTGTTCTTCGTCTTCCGGTATGTACACATGCAACCCATACATACATGCTCCAAGTACACAACAATGTCTTAACAAATGGAGTCCGCCCTCATTATTTGTGGATTCCCTATCTGAGAATTTGCCTACTCACTAAAATTCATTTGTTACCCCCAAATCAATATTCCCAGCACTTCGTCATTTGCGGACATGTACAGAGTGGCAATAAAACTTCAAATCACTGGAGGAGCACATTTCCAGCTGGGTCAAAGATGGCCGCACAGCCATTTTGTTTCCGTTCTCATACTGTAGACAAGCGTCTTCTTCGCAGTCCAGTTAGTACTGTGTTTTTCGCACTTATGGGATCTTTGTTGGTAACTTTGCTATACAAAATGGCTCCCAAATGTAGCACTGAAGAGCTGTCTGATGTTCCGAGAAACAAGAAAGCTGTGATGTGCTTCATGGAGAAAATAAGAGTGTTAGAGGAGCTTCCTTTAGGTGCGGTTATGGTGCTGTAGGCTGTGAGCTCAATATTAATGAATCAGCAACACAGGTTAAATAGGGTGTCTTAAATGCACATAAATCAATGGTATGTATTGATTGGTTGATGAAAATGTGTGACTAGGGGCTTGTGGGAACATCATCATGTATTTCCTTTAGGAGCAAAGGTTCAGTATTCACTAATTCAGAGTTCTTGGTGACTTTCTAGAACATGACTCCTGTGAATAACAAGAAGCTACTGTATCTGATCTTGATTGATATGTTTCCTTAGAAGCGCCATCTCTTGTCACTCTGTCCTATGCCAGGACTCCCACAGCTAAGCGTCAGATACATCATGGTTAGTCTCCTGCTTCTGAGGCCATTCAGTATCCAGCTGCTTTAACTAGCAGCAACATGGCCTTCTCCACAGTTCACAACATATCTGCTCCTCATCCACCCACCACCAGGCCACCACATGCCACCAGCATGTCATGCATGGACTCCAGGAGAGCCTACTCCCTCGGCTTCTCATCTCCCCAATCTATTCTCTCCTTGGCAGCAAGAGTCCAGAGTCACACCCCGTTCAAGGCTCTGCCCATTCTCTGAGCCCTCTCCAAAGATCATTGAAGACTCATTTTTCTTTTCTTCTCTTCTTTCTTTCCTTCTTTTTCTTCCTTCCTTTCTTTCTTTCTTTCTTTCTTTCTTTCTTTCTTTCTTTCTTTCTTTCTTTCTTTCTTTCTTTCTTTCTTTCTCTTTCTCTTTCTCTTTCTTTTTTCTTTCTTTCTTTCTTTCTTTCTTTCTTTCTTTTCTTTCTCCTCTTTCTTTCTTTCTTTCTTTCTTTCTTTCTTTCTTTCTTTCTTTCTTTCTTTCTTTCTTTTTCTTTCTATTTAAGGGGCCTGGGTATGTCATTACTAAAGCCAGGACTTGGTTATATCTGTGTTTTTTTTTGTTTGTTTTTTTGAGACAGAGTCTCACACTGTCGCCGAGGCTGGAGTGCAGTGGTGTGATCTTGGCTCACTGCAACTTCCGCCTCCTGGGTTCAAGCGATTCTCCTGCCTCAGCCTCCCAAGTAGCTGGGATTACAGGCACCCGTCACCACACCCAGTTAATTTTTTGTATTTTTAGTAGAGACAGGGTTCCACCATGTTGGTCAGGCTGGTCTCGAACTCCTGACCTGGTGATTCACCAGCCTCAGCCTCCCAAAGTGCTGGGATTATAGGCATGAGCCACCGCGCCCAGCATATCTGTGTTTTTAAATACCTCTCTTGCTGCCGAGGAGAGAACAGATACCATGACGTGTTGGATGCTTAGCTTTGGGAGTGCTGACATAGGACAGGGTGACAGGATGTGCTGCTTCCCGGCTCCTATAGTGAAGATGCTTGTGAGACTCAGATGAAGAATGAGATACAGGGATTCCAAGCTCGGTTTCCACATTTTCATGTAATTCTCCTTTAGAACTGCCTTCTTTGAGTAAAGTGGTTTTTCTGTTTTTGAGAATGTGCTTTGAAAAAACACATAGGGCTGTGCTAATACTGATTTATTTTTTCACATTTTACAAAACCATACATATGCAGATATAAAATGCAGGTTTAGAAAATGTTAGTGGCTATTATGAATTTTTATGTGATAGAAAATGATACTATGTATATTCATATCTTCATGTCACAGCACCATTTTCTATTACTCTCTGATGTGTTTATAGGATATAAATTATATTGTTCCTTTTTTGGAGATTTTTCTTCATGTTGATAAAAATTTTTAAAGGCATTTAATGTTCTGAAACTACTTTCCTAATTGTTTGGTGAAAGGTTGACAATAATTCGTTCTTTAAAATCTGAAGATTAATGGATCTATACCTGCTTGAGGTAATTTTTACCTTAAAAAAGTCTAACTTGGAATTTCTTGACTATTTGTTTTATCATGTTATTTATGCTAAATGGATGTGTGAGAAATGAATTTGATGCTGCTCAAATATACCTTTTCCTTTTGTATTGTAAAACCTCTAAAGCAGGAGCTTCAATATAGAAATGGTCTGGAATTGAGTAAGGCGGATGAATTTACAAAATGAAAACATTACTCGAGATCAGAGGTTTCCATTTCCACCTTTATTTCTCTTGTCAATTTATTAAACATTTATTTAGTTATAAAACCAGGTAAGGTTCTGGAAATGCAAAGACAAATGGAACATAGTCTTTGCCCTTTTTACTCTACTGGAGGAGATAGACATGTAAACTAACTAAATAATTAATTGTAGTAAGTTATGAAACTTTCCATGAACTTCTGTAAGAACACAGAGAAAGAAAAGAATATTAGAAAAATTTTCCAGAGGAAGGGCCACTAAAGGTTGGAAGGAAGAGTCAGGATTGGCCGGACAGATGGGACCAAATGTGCCAGAGTAGACAGGTATCAAAACACGAATTTTGTTTGTAGAACTGCAAGAATTTGAAGGATGCTCAGGAGTGTGTGGAGGAAATGAAAATCTCATATCAAAAGGCTCATTCATTTTCCAGAGTCCACATTTTGGCATACAAAACCTTGTTGGCTATGCAAGGAGAGACCATAGGAATTAAGTATTTGATATCATTCTCTTTGATATAAATTAATCAGATAGTGAATTGTGTCAACAGTAGAATAATGTATTTGGATTAAAATCTGATACTTGCTGGGATGTAGATGAAATATAAGGATCTGAGTTTCTTGATAGAGTGCTTTCAGAGTTTTGAGTAACCTGAAACATCTTCTGTAAATAGGCTTATTTTCTTTCTCTTTGCTTTATTTTCTTCTCCAAGTTCAAACATAAAAGATCAATATTTTACCTTCCTCTTTTAGCTGTAAAAGTAAGATTCTGTTGGGTTTGACAGGTGGGAGGAAGCCATGCTTAGACACTTTCCTTCTAAATTCCTATTCAGATTAATGTCAATGTATTCTTATAATCTAAGAATTAAGTTTCCCTATAAATAATTTTTTTGCTATTTTAAAAATACGATAACTGATCCCAAATTTTCTCATATATTTTCTGAAATCAAGCCTTCAATAATAAGCTTGCAAATAGGTTACTTTAAACAGAATATTTCATAGAAAGCAATGTTAAGTATTAACTAAACCATATTAAATAACCATTTACATGCCTGCCCTGATTATAAAATTTTAAAGATTTTAAAATAGATCTCATGCAGAGCATAGGTCTTCTCATATGACTGAAAACAACATTCTATTATCACTAGATTTATTAGCCTAAAAGGTTTTAGGCTTTCTTTTCCAAATTGGATTGAGATCAAACTCCTAAATAAATGAAACATCTTTTTTTTCTCTACTTTAAGCTGTTCTGACTCTGAAGGGCTTGGTTTCCTTGGGTTGGAGCTGTTTCAACATCTTTAAATGAAACAACTAATTAAAGTGTTTTTGTTTTTGGCTGGAAGTCTTTCTTTTTCTCTGGCTGGAGTTCTGTCTTCTTTAGTTAAAGCTACTTCAGCATATCCCTGTTTCTAAATTTTGGTGTGGAAAATATCATTGGTTTGGGCAAGAAAAAAAATGAATGAAGCATTTGACCATTGATGATCTCCCTTGCTCTGCCTGATACCAATGGGGGGATATGGGCCAAGAATCCGTCATCACTTTCTCACAACTTTATATGAATCAGGCTCTGTGATAAAATATTTCTTTATGTGACCATTGACTATATGTAGTATTTTCTGCCCTATGTTTATGAGGGCTCATTGAGTTTAGAAAAAAATAACTTATTTTATCAACATTTGTAAAGAGCCTATATTTGCCAGGTTTTGAGGCTATAATGCACTTTGATCTATTTTTTTTTGTTTATGATTTGTTCTCCCCAGGACACTGTAACCTCCTTTATAGAGGGCCTATGACTTTCTTGCTCCCTGTTGAGTCACTCCAGTAGGGCCTGGTGTCTGATTCATGGTTGAGCACTAAATAAATGCTATCTGAATGAATGAATGAATGAATGAGCTGAATAAGAATAGTTTCTGCATTCTAAACAACACTGCTGTATGTAAAGTTATAATCCATTGATCTAAGAACTAACAGAAAAATGCATGCCTGAACAGTACTTTGAGGAAGAAGTAAGAGCTCCCTAGAAGGCCTGGGAGAAAGGGAGAGGGAAATATATGCCCAAAGGAAATCACACACTTCATGGCCTGCTCAATTTGAGGCATTCATAAGACATGAGAAAGAGATTCCCAGTGGGTTTGGAGCTCAAGATAAAGTCTTCTAATGTAAGCTCCTTACTTAATCAAATGTATGTGATTATTATATATGAAAATATTAAAACTGTAATATGAAAATATTATATATGTATATAATAATTATCCTAATATAGTGGTGGGGACACTGTGAATAGTAAATAATAGACAATTTGTAGGCTGATTAGATTTAGTTTAAGAATATCTATGTGCAATTGTGTAGAATGACTTAAAACTGTACTGTTAAGAGAGTGCAATGCAATTTGTAAAAATGCAGTTTTCAAATAGTGGTTACAATCTCAACCCAAAAGATAGCTGCCCATTTAGAAAGGGCTGTAGTCCTGTGGTCATGCATCAGTCATCTAACTCCTTTTACACACAGGAGGTGCCATTACTGCCAACAGTTTATTCTGTCATGTCAGATATTAGTGGAGAGGATTTGGGGGTGTTAGTATTCCTCTTGTCTAAGAACTTGCAATATAATGTGTACCTTTCCAATATTCAACATAAAAGAAGACAAGATAAGCAAAAAAAAGCATTGGAAGAAGGTTCACCTAGTGAGCTTCACGATGCGAAGGACGACCAAGAGTGAAGAGTGGAGGAAGCTCAGATACTTTGAGTCCAGCCCTGACTGTTGACCACATGTACAGTTGCTCTGTATGTGCTGCCCAGTGCACAAAAGCAGCATGGACTCGCAAAGCCTCAGCAGCCTGTTTGCCAGGAAGGTGGTTTGGGTGCAATAGCTGAGTTTGGAAAACTGAGGAGCTGAGAACCGAGGGGCTAGCTTAGTGTTGAAGGAGGGTGATGATGTACTTGTGGCCAAAAGAAGTTAAGTAATCTAGGACCCTGAAGGAGGAGTTTTTAAAGCACAAGGAAAAGAATCTGGATGTTATCTTTAGTGCAAAGGGAACTATAAATATTGAATAAATATTCCTTTTTGCTAAGAAAAGGATGTAATGATAAAAGTGTCATATTATACGATCAACTTTTGGGGTTAAAAATTCATCTATTGAATCGAGTCCTGCGTTATTTTAAAATATGTTTCTAAAATAGAGTCATTCTGTATGATCGAGCATGACATTGTCTACTTGAAAATTCCCCTTCGTGCATATTGTGCTGACAAGATAAATTCATGTCTTGACATGGGAATTCTGAGATCTGTTATGTGCAAGCCTCAAAAGTCAGCCTCTTCTGATTATACTTTCACCAGTAGATCCAGGAAGTATAAGAACTAAGAGTCCTGTTGCAATGACTTGTAGAGTATGGGCTACAGTTGTCTTCTCTGCTGCGATAGTCATCAATTATATGTGCTCTAAATGCATACTAATCTTTCCTTTAGAAGAAGGTTAAAGGATGTCAAGAATGTACCTCTGCACTCCAGCTTGCTAAGGAGAATGAAAAATCCCTGGAGAAGATGAGTAAAGAAAATAATTCAAGGAGCATGCTAAAAATAAAAATACACTCTGAAAAAGCAAGAGGAACTACTTACTGGGAAAATCAATACCAGTGTTAAGAAGTATAGGAGTGAATGAATGTGACATTGAGAAAAGAGATGAGGAAAAAGATTATCACTAGTGTGGCACAACATAAAACTTTGCTTGAAGAGAAAACAGTGTGCTATTTTTCTAGAAACATGAAGGAAGAATCATTTCCAAGCATTCATGAGTAAGCAGAATCCTGTTATAACCCCAGGAGAAGTGACTCCCTCTGATCCCTACCATTCTACACAGTGATGGATGGTGGTGGATGACTGCACACCAAGAACCTGTGTGGATTATAATATGAAAATGGAAGGAAGCCTGACAAAATCCAATGTCCCTTCCATTTTTAACCACCCAGTGTATTTGTTTCCTGCGTACCCACTTGGGGATACATGTTGCTGGAAAAGGGAACTTGGTACATATGTCTAGTGATCTGGAAGATCTGAGTGGGAAACAGATGGACTTAGAGGCTAGGATATGCAATATCTTCTTCTGAACTCATGACTTTGAAAGGTAGGTGGAAGGATATGGGAAGTAACAGGAAGTATGTGGGAAAATAAAAGAATTTGGTCCTTGGGCATGTGGTTTATGGTAACAAAATGATAAGAGGCAGATAGTATCCTATGAAGATTAGGAAGAAAAAGTTCAGGAAAGTAGCTGACTTGATCTCTTGAGAACAAGGACCATATGTTATTCATAATATGCATCTTCAGCTTCTAGTACAGTGATTTACGTGTAGCAGGAGTTTAAAATTCCAAGACTTTAAGAAGAGGGAGAAGAAAATATTAAGCAAAATAAGCCGTAAATCACAATTATATAAGGAATTATATATATGACCAAGCCCCCCCGCCCCCGCCACCAAACATCAACAATTGCAAGCAGAAGTACAAAAAGAGCTTAATCATTCTCATAAGAAAACAACAGGAACACTGGTCAAAAACAGTAACTTATGGCTGAACTTGTAAACATTTAAGTGCAAAAGAGAGAAAAAGCAAAAGGTGCTTGAAATGTTAATACAAGGAAGCAGAAACGATACAACTATCACTAAGTTTCAGTGAACCAAAATAATAGAGGAGTACATACACCCTGTTCCAGGGAAATAGACTTGATGTGGGCTTGCGGGATAGCAAGGGGTATCGAGGATGTAATTAATTCAAATCAATAGTGTGCTTGTGCAGGGGGATATGAAGATGACTAAGACATCATATATGATTTCAAAGGCCTCACAATCACAAGTGGAGATGGATACATAAACATTTAACTAAAGTAAAAAGTGACACAAACTATAACCAGTATGTCTGAAGTACCACACATTAGTTTCCTGGGCTGCTGTAACTAAGTATTATGGACCAAGTGGCTTAAACAATAGAAGTTTCTTGTCTCACCACTCTGGAGGCTGGAAATCCGAAAACAAGACATTGGTAGGTTGGTTACTTCTGAGACTGTGAGGGAGAGTTTGACCCATGCCTCTTTTCCCAGCTTTTAGCTTCTGGTGGTTTGCTGGCAATCTTTGGCATTCCTTGGCTTGTGGATGGATCATGCTAATCTCTGCCTTCATCTTAACACACTGTTCTCCTGGCTGTGCATGTTTGTGTCCAAATTTCCCCTCTTAATAAGAGCACAGTTGTACTAGATTAGGGCCCACTCTCTAAGATCAATTACCTCATCTTAAATTGATCATCTGCAAAGACCTAGTTTCAAATAAGGTCAAATTCACAGGTACTGGGGATTATGACTTGAGCATGTTTTGGGTCACAGTCCCACCCATATCAGGCTTAAGAACATTGGAATCATTGTGGCATATAGCACAACATGTCCAGCCTGCCTGTCAGATGACAGCAACAAGAGATTTTGAAAATTGCTTTTAAATGCAAAATTGATTCAAGGTGAGGAATAAAATGCTTGGGGAAGGAGGTCTGTCTATTCAGGGAAGAAATTGTGTTTTTGAAAATATCACTTGATTTATTGAATTCACTAACCACTCACTGACCATCTACTGTGGGCCAAATGCCATGTAAGATGCCAGAGATGCAAAATTGATAAGACAGTCACAATCTTCAGAATGCCTAATAAATGTTTAACTTTTTGGCTGACAAATTTCTCTCAGTATGTAGAGCAAGTTCAGTTTTGAGTTGGGAATGAATTCCAGTCACCTAGACAGAACTTACTTCTGATCATATAGGAAATTAATGAAAATTTAGGAGAAAGTGGCCACATCATTGAGAGATCATTACTGCAAGGGAAGGAATGTGAGGTCTAATCAGCCATATCCCCAGACTTTGAGAAAACAGATTCTTTTAGAGCTCAGGGAAATAATAGTTATAGTTCTATGATCAAGGAGCACCATAGGATGCTGGGGTCTCTGCACCAAAACCTCATCCCACA
The DNA here is from genome assembly GCF_000001405.40 of Homo sapiens. Lineage (NCBI taxonomy): Eukaryota > Metazoa > Chordata > Mammalia > Primates > Hominidae > Homo > Homo sapiens. The sequence goes on along the minus strand of NC_000013.11, from coordinate 34,578,751 downwards.
AGCAGCCCCGGGCCTGGTGAGATGCCTGCCAGATTACCTGTCTCTTTCACAACCCTTGGATATTGCCTTTCATATCCAGCATTTAGGGCATTGTAGAACTTGAATCCTTGTTGAGCAATTATAATTGTGAATCATCTGTTACAAAAGAAGAGTAGGAAATGCAAAAAAAAAAAAAAAGTGGTTGCACATAGAGCTCTCTGTTTAAATCAGATATTGAGAATATAAAATCACATTTTGTCATAAGAATTTGAAAGTGTGAGTTTTTGACATAAAAATTTTAGAAACATACATGATGTTACTTGTGGGCTTGTAAAAATAGAGAAAAGAAAATAAAAATGTTAAAAGATGAACATTTAGTTAGTTTTCTGGTTTGTGTTATTGGAAACAATGCTGAAGTGAACATGTTTGTAGACATGGGTTTTGGGTATTGGTCTGCCCATTTCTGTAAGATCTGCAATAACCTTTGACTATCTCAGTTTTACTTTAAATCTCTCTCTTCCATGCTGCAGACTGAGTGAGCCACCTGCCATGCACATCTCATCTATGAGTCTCTCCTTACTGCTCATCAGTGCCTCACCATTGCCTTCAGAGTAAAGGTTGACTTTTCATGACTTTTTGTGATAAGGCTCAGCCTCAGGGTCTACATTTCATCTCTGGTCAAACTCAATAATGGACAGAAACTTCTATCGCAACTCTGTCTGTGTGCATGTTCTTCCCTTTTCTTTTTTTTTCTCTCTCTCTTTCTTTCTTTCTTTTTTTGATGGAGTTTTGCTCTTTTGCCCAGGCTAGAGTGAAGTGGCATGATCTTGGCTCACTGCAACCTCCATCCCCTGGGTTCAAGCGATTCTCCTGCCTCAGCCTCCAAAGTAGCTGGGATTACAGGCACGCGCCACCATACCCGGCTAATTTTTTTTGTATTTTTAGTAGAGACGGGGTTTCACACTATGTTGGCCAGGCTGATCTTGAACTCCTGACCTCAGGTGATCTGCCCGCCTCAGCCTCCCAAAGTGTTGGGATTATAGGCGTGAGCCACCCTGCCAGGCCCCATCTTTCTTTACCTGACTCAGTCTTTTTTTCTGGAATTCCAGAAAGCTTCCTGAATTCCCAGCCTATGTGAAGTGCCCTAGTTTGACTCCACAGCATCCTGTGCGTACCCCTAAATCAGCAGAGACATCAAAACGATCCCTAGCTGCTCACTCCCAGCAGAGTATAAGCTCCTGAGGACAGGTACATGGTTTTCACCCAGGTGACCACACAGCATGGAGGGCAGAACCTGACCTGTAACATGGCAGGTTTAATATATGCTGGATTTTAATATTTATCACTATGGGAAATGAACTATCTGTGTCAAGGGAGCCATCACACACATCACTAAATAGTGATTTTTTTTTTCTTTTTCTTTTTTTTGGAGACAGTGTCTCACTTTTTTGCCCAGGCTGGAGTGCAGTGGCACAATCTTGGCTCACTACAGCCTAAACCTCACAGGCTCAAGAGATCCTCCCACCTCAGCCTGCCTAGTAGCTGGGAACCACAGGCATGCACTACCACATCCTGCTTTTTTTTTTTTTTTTTTTTTTTAGTTTTTGTAGAGATTGCCATCTCTCTATGTTGCCCAGGCTGGTCTTGAACTCCTGGGCTCAAGCGATCCTCTTGCCTCAACCTCTCAAAGTGCTGTGATTACAGGCATGAGCCACCATATCCAGCCTGATAATACTTTTTAATTGGTAAAATTTGACAGTTAGGAGAAAGAATGTGCGAGTGAATTGTGGGCCTTTCAGGATACTCTATGAAGGAGGTGATGTATGTAGAATCAACTAGAACATTCTGACCCAATATCCTAATAATGACCTAATAAACATTCATTGAAATTGAATTAAATCTAATCACCTATTTATTCATTAGTTCAAAAATCTTTTGTTCAAAAATTGCAATGTGCCAGTGCTGGTGCTGGGGAAAGCAAGAGATAAAAGTTGAGATGGATATGTAAGCAAAACACAGCCACGTGATACAATGAGTGTTATAATAATTTTCCACTTAATATGCTATGCGGTACACAAGAGGGAGAAGGCCTAAAAGAAGGTATATAGGTCACTTGCCTGTTTTCTTTCAGGTGCATTTTCTGCCCTTCTCTGCCCTGTGCTATAACTCAGAGACCAATATTTTCCAGCTCTCTTGTTTCCTGGATTTCAAGAAGGCCAGTGAAAGACACTGTGGAAAACCGAAGGGCCCAAGGAGGAAACAGGCCACATTCCACCTCCTCCGTCTCTCTGCCTCGAGTAGCATTTGCAGTGGTAGCTGCTGCGTCTCCTCCACACGGCTTCAGCTCTTGTTTGGGCAGGCTTTCTCCAGATGTTCCTGTTCCTTGACTCTGGTCACACAGCCTTCCCCCTGGATCTCTCTAGCAGTGATAGTACCTTCTTGCCTTTGCCAGTCTCTTCATTGCCTTCCTGATAGGCTCCTTGGCTCTTCATCATCTATGATATCAATACCCAATGGTAAATTCACGGAAACACCGAAAGTGCTTTGTTTCCTGACAGACATTGTCTGATTCAGAAGCTTCCCAAAGAGGGTCACATTGAAAAGCTATTGTAATAAGGCTGTTTCTGAAGATTTCATCCTTTTTTATATATAGTCTTCTGTTTTTGTCTTATTTGGGGGCTGTGGACAAAATTTTAATTTTCCCTGAACTCAGATTTTTTACCTTAAAATAATGAGAAAAATGTAATGTATTTGGCCACCTTATAATTCATTCATTGATTCATCCAACAAGTTTTATCGAAGCCCTGTTCCCTGGAGATGACATGCCAGCTCTGAGGGCATAACCATGATCAGGTCAGATGTGCTCCTTGTTCCAAAAACAACATAGACCAGGGAGATGAAAGATGCCAGCAACACATTCACTAAGGAGATGCCAGCTTTGATAGCAGTGCCCCCATTTCCTTAAAAATGTCTATTAAATTTTGTAGGTCAGTATTAGTAAATTACCATGTAATTGTTTTTGAGGATCACAAAGGATGTGGAAAGCTGTCATTAAAACTAGATGGAAACCACTGATGTTTTTAAACAGCTTTATAAATGAAAAGAATTGTAAAATTTACAGTTTTGAATAACCCCAAACTGATGTGCTACAACCTTCATAACCAACAGACCTCGAATTAGGGAACAAATGTGCCCTCTTTGTGACTCACTCTCTGATTGAAACATGTTTGGCAAAATTTCTTTTTAGAAATTGCTTTTGTTCAGGAAATGCTTGCGATTTCTTTATGCGCTAGGAGAGGGTCTTTTACATTTAAAAGTGAATGATTATCTCAAAGGGATGAAGGATGAACTTAATCAATCCCTTAATCTGTAGGTGGGAGCATATCAAATGCATTGCATTTTGATCAGGAGGAATCTTATTTTACATACTTTGAGAATATAGATTTTAATATCCTCCAGAAACACATTTCAGTGTCAGGAAGTTTTTTCATCTAATCTAAATCTTCCAGGCTGTTCTTAGCAAAGATGAAGGACAATTGGCTACAGTTCTCTGTATAATAGAACAAGACTGTAACTATGCATTTATTCACTCTTTTATTTAAAAAGGTTTTATTGAGCATCTACTACTAAGAGCCAAGCCCTGAGGATAAAATAGTGGGCAAAACCAGACAAAGTCCCAGCACTTTAAAATTACTTTCACAGCCAAAGAATCTTTGCTGTGTCTTTTTTTTCCCCTTAGATCAAAATTTCCAGACCTTAATTTCTATGTCTATGCATTCCACTTCCTTTACTGTGTGGTATTAGGCAGTTCAATCATATTTCGTCTCTTAGTCCATTGCATTGCTACCAAGGGATATCTGAGGCTGGGTAATATATAAAGAAAAGAGGTGTATTTGGCTCATGAGTCTGTAGGCTGTATAAGAAACATGGCACCAGTATCTGCTTCTGGTATGGGCTCTGGCTTCTTCCACTCCTGGGAGAAAGTGAAGGGGAGCTGCTGATGGAGCCTGGGGGGCCCATTACATGCATACGCTGGTGGCTGCCACCACCTTTAAAGGGGGCTGGGTCCTGGAGGTGGGCTTGAGTGTGGCCATTGCAGCCTTATGGTGTGGGAGGCCTCCATCAATGAACACTGGATCATCAAGTGTAGTGATGGTGACTTCCAGCAACTCCAGGGCTCAGCCAAGCAGCAGCCATGCAAGGTTGTCCCCTTGAAAGGCCTGTGGGAGAGAGTGGTGCCCCCTTGCTGGATGTTCACTTTGATGGGATCCCGTAGTACACATGCCCACTTTTGGAAGAGACCTGGCACATACGCCCGTTCAACTTCACTAAGAACCACACCTTTCACCTGCTGAAGCTGGGTGATGTCTCTTCACCTACTGCAATCTCACTTCCTGGGGGAACTGATGAAGTCCAAGCATCTTGGACATCACCACCGTGTTTGAGAGACACAGATTCCTATGCTGGTGGAAGGAGAACATTGGCAGGGAGGCGATGATGCTGGTCCCACCAGCTGACTGCAGCTACTGGTCTTCCCATGGATGATCAAGCCCCTGGTCATCAAGCACTGAGCCAGCCTGGACCTGGTGCTCCAGGTGTCTGCCTACTCTAGGGTCTCTGGGCTTCTGGACAAGCCCCATACACCCCTTACTCAAGGTCTTCATGACTGGGAGCCCAGGCTCTGGCCTGTCACCGCCCTGGGTTGATCCTGGCTTCATACCATCAGGCAGCTTTCTTAACCCTCTCTGTAAGGGGAACACTGCTACCTCCCTCCCAGGTTCATGAGGGTGAAATAAATGCTAACACTGGGCCATATGCCTCCTCAACAATGACAGCAACAACAAATGCATGGTGCATGCAGAGCAAGCAAGGATCGGGGGAGATACCAGGCTTTTTCTTAACAACCAGATGCTCTCTTGGGAACTAAGAGAGCAAGAACTCCCTCCTTCCCTCCCTCCTGGGCTTGGAAGGGCATTAATCTATTCATGAAAGATCCACCCCCATGACCTGAACATCTCCCATAAGGCCTCACCTCCAACATCGGAGATCAAATTTTAACATGAGATTTGAAGGGGTTAAATATCCAAAGTATAGCACTCTGTAAAATAAATTTTCTGAATTTGTAACATAAGGATAATTATAGTACTTACTACATGGAGTTGTTCTGAAGTTTGAATGAACTCCACAAATGTTAGCTCTTATATTAGCGATTATTATTTCAGCGTCTCTGCAGCTGCTATCTTTGATCAATATGGCTGCTAGCCACATGTGACTATTTAAATTTAAATTAATTTAAATTAAGTGAAGTTAAAAATTCAGCTACTCAGTTGCACAAACCATATTTCAAGTGCTCAATAGGCACACGTGGCTGGGGTCACCATATTGAGCAGTGCAGCAGATACAGAACATATCTATCTTTGCAGAAAGTTTTGTGGAATAGCACTTGTCCCTAGAGACCTTGAAAGAGAGAGACAGAGAGAGAGAGAGAGATGAAAAGGACACAGATCCCCTAAATATTGATTGGTGCACTGGGGCCAAGCTTATGTGATTGGGGACAAGTTTCTGAATCTCTCTGTCCCTCTATTTCCTCCCATATAAAATGGGAACAATATAGTACATACCCCATTAACAAATTCAGGTAAAGCACTGAGAACAGTGCCCAGATTTATGAAACTCTCAATAAAGCAATATTATGAGGAACTCAGGCAAGCACCTGTGGCCCGTTTGCAAACATTTTTCACAAACACTGAATATTGCCAGCTTTGCTCTTTCCTGGGCTATTTATAGAATGGTTCCTCCACTTACTTAACTTTTCTGAGTCTCAGGTTGTTCTTTTTTAATGTTTAAAATGGAAATATTATATGCTTCCCAAGATTGGATTGCATACAAGTAAGATCATGTATGTGAAAGCAAAGACACATTAGAGGCATTTAATAAAAGTTATTCCTTTCCACCCTTTCCACTAAGAAGTACGGATCCTCCTGAATATTAAGGTTGATTGTCCTGCAGGGTTATCTATCCTTGCATGTGAACAAGCCCCTACAAGATGCACAGATTTTGTGAAGTGGAGAATGCATTTTCCTTTCTGACATTCTCATTCTCGTTTTGCGTGCTCTTAGGGAAATTCAGATTACTCTACCTTTCCAATGACCTAACAAATGGAAGGGAGAAATGGTGAGAATAATCAAATGTGACAGATAACCCAAACCATGGATGGGTGCAAAAACCATTCATATTCATTTATTTAAAAATATTTGCTGATTCAATCATGTTTATCAAAAGTCTTCCAGGCAAAGCATTGTGTTGGGCACTATTTACCTTCAGAATAATTTTGACAGCAGATGTACCTTAGCAATTGTTTAGTTTGTGCCTAATTTAAATTGGTTTACATTTCCTGAACAACAGAATGACTGATTTTAGAAGATGGGGCAGCCCTGGGTAGGGTGGTTACAAGACGGAGTCAGGCTGATATTAGAAATTCACTCCATCAGTAGTCTTTGTGTAATTTCATTTGCAAAATGATATCTTCCCAGGAAGGAAGGAAAGTTCTTTATTAATATATATTTTTAGCATTCCATGAGCTTTCTGCCAGCCTCAGAGAACCTGAAGGACATTTCCATGTGACGGAGCACTGCCCTCTCTATACAGGCTTCAGTAATGACCTTCGAACAGGTGCCTCCAACAGACCACGAGAGAGTACTGAAGACAGGGGTACAGACATTTACACAGTGTGAACATACAAGCAGCATCTGGTGCCGAAATGAGGATGCAAAGACTTAGCCAAATCACCTTCTTCTTCACGTGGTTCTTTCCTGAAACTCAGGATGGCATGACCGGCCAACTCTGCTGAGAGAAGATCAAATGATATGCAAGGAACCTCTCCTCTACAATTTCGTGAAGCTGGCCCTAGGAATTTAAGATGGAAATACCTGTTTAGCTTATTAGATTTAAATTTAAGTCTCATTTGCTGGTGCTCCAAGGAGATTAGGAAATGAAGGATACTAAAGCCAGAGCAAATTCATGACATATGCTCTGGTCTCAGCAGGAAAGTTTCTGAAATCTCTCAGGGTGATTTCAGATGTCAGAGTGCCTTGGGGGTTGGGGTGGGCAAGTTCTAGTTATCTCCTTAGTTTTCCCGAGCAGCCTTTGAATGTATCCACACAACAACATACCATTTGCACTGAATGTTCTGGCAGTTAAGGGGAGCAAGTATTGGTGGATGCGAGAAGAAAAGGAACAAGAAAATGTGGAGTTAGAGGGAGAACACTGACTTAGCACCTCTGCACCTGTGGATTGGGTAGAGAATTTACATTTTGGCAAAATTATTGACAAAATTAAAGATGAGTGAATACTTTGATGAGGTATTTACATTCAGCTGAAAGTTCAGTGTAGATGGCAAATAATTAGGATATTTGGAAACGTGGTTTTGAACATTTTTCTATGTTACTTGTGAAGTACCGGGGGCAGGAGCCCTTTAAGAGGGCATGAAGAAGGGAATATTCATGTTTTTCTGTGTCATGCCAGCTAATCAAAATGCTTCTTTTTTCCTCTCAAAAATAATCAGTGTATCAGGAAAACACACATATCTCTCTCCATAATCTATCTGGAATCCAAATAGGAAAAAAAATGAGTCACCCTCTGTTGAAAAATGCATTTTGCTGCACCACGAAGAAATAAATGTCTACCAAAGGAAAATGAAGAGGAGCTAAGAGGAGAATATAATTGCCCACTTCAATCACTCTCATACAAAACGCCTGGCTAAAGGATGGGCAGGCAGAGCAGCAGTGTTTTGGCAAAAATTTTAAATAAAAAGAAAGGGAAAAAATTGTTCCAGCAAAAGTTCTGTAGAAAAATGGAGACAGCTGCTGCACTTTCTCCAGCCTGCTGTCTCTTTCAACCAGACCCAAAGACAATCCAGCTCTTGGCTTAATTAATCCCTTGCCGTTTTTGAGAGTGAAGAAAAATGGGGCTCACCTACTGCTCTCTTAGCTAAGGAGCAAAGATCCCAAAGAGGACTGGAATGCAAGTCAATCAAGGAAAAGTCCCACTTCCAAAGAGACCAGAGTGTGAATTCTTTCTGAGCATTTCCACCCCACTGGCTTTTGCAGTCATTATAAAGCAAGCTTGCACAGAGCCCCCTTCTCAATCCATTCCTACTTCTAAGCACCCACGCAAATGCAAGCCCAGATTTTAAAAATTACCCTCAAGTTGTGTTGTAATCTCTCTTTAAGATTTCCATGCTTTCATTCAAATAGTTGTTGTGATTCTCTCCCCTTCATGAGGCTGTCCTTGATTATTAATTAAAATATCCACATTATCAAAATCACTTCTTTTTTAAATTTTAACTTTAATTAAAAAAATTTGGCTGGGCGCAGTGGCTCAAGCCTGTAATCCCAGCACTTTGGGAGGCCAAGGTGGGCAGATCACGAGGTCAGGAGATCGAGACCATCCTGGCTAACACGGTGAAACCCCATATCTACTACAAATACAAAAAATTAGCCGGGCATGGTGGCGGGTACCTGTACTCCCAGCTACTCAGGAGGCTGAGGCAGGAGAATGGCGTGAACCCGGGAGTGGGGCTTGCAGTGAGCCGAGATCGCACCACTGCACTCCAGCCTGGGTGACAGAGTGAGAATCCGTCTCAAAAAAAAAAAGAAAAAATTTTGTGGGCACAAAGTAGGTGTATATATTTATGGATTACATGAGATATTTGGATATAGGCATACAATGTGTGATAATCACATCATGTAAAATTGGGTATCCATCATCTCAGGCATTTTCCTTTGTATTACAAACAATCCAGTTATACTCTTTTAGCTACAATGTACACTTAAATTATTTTTGACTATAGTCACTCTATTGCGATAGCAAATGTTAGGCCTTATTCATTCTTTTAACTTCTTTTTTGTACCCATTGATCCCCACCATCCCACCCCCTCACTACCCTTCCCAGCCTCTAGTAACCATCCTTCTACTCCCTTTCTTTATCAGTTCAATTATTTTAATTTTTAGCTCCCACAAATAAGTGAGAACATGTGATGTTTGTCTTTCTGTGTCTGGCTTATTTCACTTAACGTAATGACCTCCAGTTCCATCCATGTTGTTGCAAATGACAGGATCTCATCCTTTTTTTATGGCTGAAGTACTCCATTGTGTATATGTACCACATTTTCTTTATCCGTTTGTCTGTTGATGGAAACTTAGATTGCTTCCAAATCTTGGCTATTGTGAATAGTGCTGCAATAAACATGGGAGTGTAGCTATCCCTTCAATATACTAATTTCCTTTATTTTGGGTGTATAGATCCACGCGAGTTTGCTGGATAGCTCTAGTTTTGTTTTTTGTGAGGAGCCTCCAAACTGTTCTCTATAGTGGTCATACTAGTTTACATTCCCACCAACAGTGTAGGAGGAGGGTTCCCTTTTCTCCACATCCTTGCCAGCCTTTGTTATTGCCTGACTTTTCAATAATAGCCATTTTAACTGAGATGAGATGATATCTCATTGTATATTTGACTTGCATTTCTCTGATGATTGATTAACGATGTTGAACACCTTTCCATATACCTGCTTGCCATTTGTATGTCTTCTTTTGAGAAATGTCTATCCAAATCTTTTGCCGATTTTTAAATTGGATTATTATTTTTTTTTCTGATTGATAGAGTTGTTTGAGCTCCTTATATAGTCTGGTTATTAATCCCTTGTCAGATGAGCAGTTTGCAAATATTTTCTCCCATTCTGTGGGTTTTCTCTTCACTTTGTTGGTTGTTTCCTTTGCTGTGCAGAAGCTTTTTAACTTGATATGATCCCATTTGTCCATGTTTGCTTTGGTTGCCTGTACCTGTGGGATATTACTAAATACATCTTTGCGCAGTCCAAAGTCTCGGAGAGTTTCCCCGATTTCTTTTTATAGTAGTTGCATAGTTTGAGGTCTTAGAGTTAAGTCTTTAATCCATTTTGATTGGATTTGTGTATATGGCAAGAGATAGGGGTCTAGTTTTTTTCTTTTGCATATGAATATCCAGTTTTCCCAGCACCATTTATTGAAGAGACTCTCCTTTCTCTAATGTATATTCTTGGGACATTTATCAAAAATGAGTTCATGGTAGATGTATAGGTTTATCTCTGGGTTCTCTATTCTGTTCCACTGATCTATATGTCAGCTTTTATGCCAGTACCATGTCATTTGATTACTATGGCACTGTAGTATAACTTAAAGTTAGGTATTGTAATTCCTCCAATTTTATTCTTCTTACTGAGGATAACTTTGACTTGAACTATTTCTTGATATTGAGTCTCTGGGCCAAGGTTAGCCCTGATTGAGGAAGAATCCAGGTCAATCTTAGGCAGCTGAATGCATGAGGGTGACAGCCGGTCAGAGAGGTAAGGAAGCCAGAGAGCAGTTCTGAAAAGCAGCAAAAAGTTAAATTTGAATGCAGTTTTCACAAATTATAGATTCAGAGGGTATAAGTACAGTTTTATTACATGGATATATTGTGTAGTAGTGAAGTCTGGGTTTTTAGCATAGCCACCACCCACATAGTGTACATTATACCCATGCAGTAATTTTTCATCTCTCACCCCTTCCCACACTTCCTTGTCTCCAATGTCTATTACTCCACTCTCTATTTCGATGTGTACACATTATTTAGTTCCCACTTATAAGTGAGAACATGTGGTATTTGACTTTCTGTTTCTGCATTATTTCACTTAAGATAATGGAATCTAGTTCCATCCATGTTGCTGCAAACTATATGATTTCATTCATTTTTATAGCTGAATAATATTCCATGGTGTGTGTGTGCTGAGTCTGTCCCACAGACTCTGGCTGAGCAATGGATGAAAGAAGTACGCAGACACAAGTATCTTGCCTGAGAGCATGGCTAGGGGACTGCACGGTTCAATGCCGCTGACGAGAGTGCAGCCTCAATAAGCTGGACCTGCTTGTATTTATTCAGTATGGATTTAATGTCAAGTGCCTGGAGCCAGCACAACCTGTGGATTATTAATATTGTTGTCCCCCCCTGCAGGGAGCAGTGTTGAGTGCGGATGATCAAAGGTTGGTGTCCGGACAACATAAGTAAATAAACTTATCTAGATAAAGTGCCTTACATTCCCTTGCACCTACTTCTCGCCCTCTGCTTCAGGGTGAGATAATTAAGTGCCTTCAGCTTTTATTCTCTCCTGAAGCTTTGCAAAACCTCCCAGCCTTCCTAGAAGGTTTGTGTCTTTGCTTATAACTTTTCCCTCCACCCTGACCAATCTCCTATGTGTGTGTGTGTGTGTGTGTGTGTGTGTGTATGTGTATGTATATATTCCATGGAGATATATATATGTATATATTCCATGGAGATATATATATATATATATAATCACATTTTCTTTATCCAACCATCTTTTGATGGACACTTAGGTTGATTTTATATCTTTTTTTTTGTGAATAGTGCTGTAATGAACATTTGAGTGCAGATATCTTTTTGGTGTATTGATTTCTTTTTGTTTAAGTATATATCCAGTAGTGAGATTGCTAGATCGAATGGTAGTTTCATTTTTAGTACTTTGAGAAATCTCCATACTGTTTTCCATAGAGGTTGTACTAATTTACATTCCCATCAACAGTGTATGTGTTCCCTTTTCTCTGCATCCTTGGCAACATCTATTCTTTTTTTGAATTTTTAGTAGTAGCCATTCTGACTGATGTAAGATGGCATCTCATTGCGGTTTTGATTTGTATTTTTCTGATGATTAGTGATATTGCACATTTTTCCATCTATTTGCTGGCCACTTGTATGTCTGCTTTTGAAAAATACCTGCTCATGTCCTTTGCCCACTTTTAAATGGTGTTATTTTTTGTCGTTGTTGTTGAAATGTTTGAGTTCCTTGTAGGTTCTGGATATTAGTCTTTTCTTGGATGCATAGTTTGCAAGTATTTTCTCCCATTCTGCAGGTGATCTGTTCACTCTGTTGATGATTTCTTTTGCTCTGGAGATTTTTAGTTCAATTAAGTCCCATTTGTCTATTTTTGTTTTCAGCGCATTTGCTTTTGAGGCCTTGTCATGAATTCTTTGACAAAACCAATGTCCAAAAGAGTTTTCCTTGAACTGTCTTCTAGTATTTTTATAGTTTCAGGTCTGACATTTAAGCTTTAATTTATCTTGAATTAATTTTTGTGTATGGTGAGAGATGGGGTCCAGTTGCACTTTCTGCATATGGCAATCCAATTTTACCCACACCGTTAGGGTGTCCTTTCCCCAGTGAATGTTCTTGTTGTACTGACTTTCTTGAAGATTAGTTGGCAGTAGGTATGAGGCTTTATTTCTGCATTCTGTATTCTGCTTTATTGATCCACATGTCTATTTTTAAAGGCAGTAGTTAGAATATAAGGCTGGGATCAAGAACCTGGAACTGCACTATCAAATCAGGAAACTGGGATAATTCTGTTTAAAGAGGAGAAAATTAAGATATTGACCTTGAAAGAGATGTACTACACATGTGATGGTTGCTGGCATCATGTTGTGGAGTGAGATTTTTGGAGCCCAAGAAAGTTCTTGAACTGCTCTGCTTACACAAAGTTAGTAATAACAAATTTTCTGTTTTCTTATATAACTCAAGGGCTTCTGGTTTTTAAATTTTTTTTTAGTTTTCACTGATTATATCCACTTTTTTTTCCCATAAGATACTGGGATACAGGTGGTATTTGGTTACATGAGTAAGTTCTTTATTGGTGATTTGTGAGATTTTGGTGCACCTGTCACCTGATCAGAAGACACTGCACTGTATTTGAAGTCTTCTATCCCTTGCCCACCTCCCACTCTTCTCAAGTCCCCAAAGTCCATTGCATCTTTCTTATGCTTTTGCGTCCTCACAGCTTAGCTCCAACATATCAGTGAGAATATGCAACCTTTGGTTTTCCATTCTTGAGTTACTTAACTTAGAATAATAGTCTCCAATCTCATCCAGGTCACTGCAAATGCTGTTAATTCATTCCTTTTTATGACTGCATAGTATTTCATCATCTATCTATCTATATATATATGTATATCACTGTTTCTTTATCCACTCATTGATTGATGGGCATTTGGGTTGATCCACTATATTGTAATTGCGAATTGTGCTGCTATAAACATGCATGTGCAAGTATCTTTTTCGTATAATGACTTTTTTTCCTCTGGGTAGATAACCTGTAGTGGGATTGCCGGATCAAATGGTAGTTCTACTTTTAGTTCTTTAAATAATCTCCACACTGTTTTCCATAGTGGCTGTACTAGTTTACATTCCCACCAGCAGTGTAGAAGTGTTCCCTGTTCACTGCATCCAAATCTACTGTTTTTTGATTACGGCCATTCTTGCAGGAGTGAGGTGGTATGGCATTGTGGTTTTGATTTGCATTTCCATGATCATTAGTGATGTTGATCATTTTTTCTTATGTTGTTGGCCATTTGTATATCTTCTTTTGAGAATTGTCTATTCATGTCCTTAGCCCACTTTTTGATGGAATTGTTTTTTTTTTCATACTAATTTGTTTGAGTTCATTGTAGATTCTGGATATTAGTCCTTTGTCAGATGTATAGATTGTGAAGATTTTCTCCCACTCTGTGGGTTGTCTGTTTACTCTGCTGACTGTTCCTTTTGCCGTCCAAAAGCTCTTTAGTTTAATTAGGTCCCAGCTATTTACCTTTTTTTTTAATTGCATTTGCTTTTGGGTTCTTGGTCATGAAATCCTTGCCTAAGCCAATGTCTAGAAGGGTTTTTCTAGTGTTATGTTCTAGAATTTTTATAGTTTCAGGTCTTAGGTTTAAGTCCTTAATCCATCTTGAGCTGATTTTTGTATATAAGGTGAGAGACGAGGATTCAGTTTCATTCTCCTACATGTGGCTAGCCAATTATCCCAGCACCATTTGTTGAAAAGGGCACCTTTCCCCACTTTATGTTTTTATTTGCTTTGTCGAAGATCAATTGGCTGTAAGTATTTGAGTTTATTTCTGGGTTCTCTATTCTGTTCCATTGGTCTATGTGTTTATTTTTATACCACTTCCATGCTGTTTTGGTGACTATGGCCTTATAGTATAGTTTGAAATCAGGTAGTGTGATGCCTCCAGATTTGTACTTTTTGCTTAGTCTTGCTTTGGCTATGTGGGCTCTTTTTTGGTTCCATGTGAATTTTAGAATTGTTTTTTCTAATTCTGTGAAGAATGATGGATGGTATTTTGATGGGGATTGCATTGAATTAGTAGATTGCTTTCAGCAGTATGGTCATTTTCATAATATTGATTCTACCCATCCATGAGCATGGAATGTTTTTGCATTTGTTTTGTTGTCTATGATTTCTTTCAGCAGTGTTTCGTAGTTTTCCTTGTAGAGGTATTTCAACTCCTTGGTTAGGTATATTCCTAAGTATTTTATTTTATTTTTTTGCAGCTATTGTAAATAGGGTTGAGTTCTTGATGTGATTCTTCTCTTGGTTGCTGTTGGTGTATAAAAGAGCTACTGATTTGTGTATATTAATCTTGTAAACTTTGCTGAATTATTTTATCAGTTCTAGGAGCTTTCTGGAAGAGTCCAGAAAGGGTTTTCAAGGTAAACAATCATATTGTCAGCAAACAGTGACAGTTTGACTTCCTCTTTACTGATTTGGATGCCGTTTATTTCTTTCTTGTCTGATTGCTCTGGCTAGGACTTCCAGTGCTATGTTGAAGAGGAGTGGTGAGAGTGGGCATCCTTATCTTGTTCCAGTTGTCAGAGGGAATGCTTTCAACTTTTCCCCATTCAGTATTATGTTGGCTGTGGGTTTGTCATAGATGGCTTTCATTACATTAATGCATGTCCCTTATATGCCAATTTTGCTGAGAGTTTCAATCATAAAGGGATGTTGGATTTTGTCAAACGCTTTTTCTGCATGTATTGAAATGATCATGTGATTTTTGTTTTTAATTCTGTTTATGTGGTGTATCACATCTATTGATTTGCATATATTAAACCATCCCTGCATCCCTGGTATAAAACCCACTTAATCATGGTGGATTATCTTTTTGATGTGCTGTTTGATTCAATTAGAAGGTATTTTGTTAAGGATTTTAGCATCTATGTTCATCAAGGATATCGGTCTGTAGTTTTCTTTTTTGGTTATGTCCTTTCCTGGTTTAGGTATTAGGGTGATGCTGGTGTTTTTTTTTTTTTTTTTTCTTGTTGTTGTTTTTAAAAGAGGTCAAGTTGGAGAAGTTCAATTAGGTATCAAAATATAAATAACAAGAAAATCAATTTTTTAACCTGCATCTTTTAAAAATACTGTCAAGGGGATCTGAAGCCACCTTGGCCTCCCCTTTTCAATTCTTCTAGACCCTGCAGCCTTTCCCATAGCAAACTCCAAACCTTCCCTCACAGCTCAGCCTCACAGGGTTTTCTTCCCTCTGCCCCCACCCTGCCTGAGCCCTTTATTATACATGTTGTGAAATCTCTGATTACACTTGCAGGTTTCTTCTTAATCTCCTCTTCTATACCTCTCCAACTATTCTTCAGATTCTACAACAGAAAGACCTAGGCTCTGGACCAGCACCATCTTGTTAGCTGGCAGGGAGTTGGGGAAGAAGATAGCAGATAGTGGCTCATTTGTAAGTCTTGGCTCTGTCTCAGGGTTTGGTTTTTAAAGTTCACCCATATTGATCCTGTAGTTTTTGATGAACCCTTCTGCTCTGACCCCAGTAAATAGTCTGTCCCATCACTGTGCCCTTTCCAAATGTAAATTCTTAGAGGGTAAAGTCTAAAATAGTAGTCGCTTTTGAATCAATTATAGTGGGATGCAAATAAGCTATTAATAGTTAGAATGATGATTATTTATTTTTTAATGTAGTGGGAATTGTTAAACTACATTTAAGAAAATCATTTTTCATTTAACTTAAAGATACCCCTAGGGCATATGAACTCATTTTTAAAATGGGGAAGTTAAGAATTAAATGCAGAGCTTGGAATGTGGGCATGGGGGACAAAAAAAAAAAGGGAGAGAAGACAGTCTCATGGCTTCTTTCACTCACACATCAAGTACAACTGTCCATTTAATGCCCAAACATAGCAGGCATTTTGCTGAGAAGGAGGACATGAGGAGCTCACCATCTGGTACATAAATAATGAATTAGATGTGATTCGTGCTCAATGTTCTCAAGTCATGGGGATGCAAAGGAGAGAGCAACGCATTTTGTAGATGGAAGGAAGGATTGGAGAAGAAGTCAGTTTTCTGCTGTCTCTGAGGGTTGATTGGCATTTTAAGAATGAAAAACAAGGGATAGGACAGTTCTTGCTGGAGTTCCTGCATGAGCAAGGGCAGGGTACTGGGGAAGAGCAGAACAGATGTGGGGGGTGGGGATTCTAGACAGTTGAGTACTTGGGGTTGGGGAATAGGAGGGATGAAAGAAAGCTTGTAAGATTAAGATTATTCAGGGCCCTGTTCAAAATAGGTAAATATATGCATTACTTTGGGTTCTTGAGGAAAATGTGAAAGATGGTGCCCCTTTGGATCAATATTGACATGGCGAGAGGGGTCTTTTCTTTAATGATTGGGCTTCTCTGTCCAGGCCAGTTGAGGGAAGAACATACAATTCCTGTTGCTGATGAAAACAACAGAAATTGATTGTCTTAAAGCTCTGGAGGCCACAAGTCCTAAATGAGTCTTAGGGAGTTACAGGCCAAATGTCGGGAGGGGTGGTTCCTTCTGGGGCTCCAGGGAAGAGTCATTTCCAGCTTCTGATGGCTTGTCATTTCCAAGCTTCTGATGCCTTGTCATTTCCAGCTTCTGATGGCTGCAGCATTTCTTAGTTTGCAGCATCATCACTCCAGTTTCTGCTTCTGTCATCGCCTGTCTTCTCCTCCTTTGTACTCAAACTTCCTCTCCTTCTCTCTTATAAAGACACTGTGGTGGCAATTAGGATCCATAGGGATCATCGGGGATAATCTCCATCCTTACCTTAAGCACATTTCCAAAGTCTTTTTGCCAAATAGGGTAATGTCCACAGATCCCAGGGATTGGAGCATGGATACCTTTAGGGACTGTTATTCAGTCTACTCCAAACCTCTTGGCCTCCTGCTTCTCGTTCCTTCTCAGCTGGGCTGTTTGAATGTGTAGGCACTGCTGAGACATGCTTGGCTGCTTGGGCTGCGAGTTGCTCTAACAGTGAACTCTGCAGCCACCTGAACCATTCTGAGCCTTAAGGTCTGCATCCTTCTTAGGAGGGGAGAATCTGGCCGAATGAACTTTGGGTTTTAGGATTTGAAGGAAATAACAAGGAGCAGGGAATGGCAGTTGCCAATGCAACATGACATCTGAGAAATGCTAGCAATGACAAGGGCAGCATATATAGAGGAAAGTGCTAGGATGTTTTGAAAATTCGAGTGGTTGCTATCGGTACAGGATCAGATTAAGAAGAGTAGCGAATGGAGAAAAGACAGCTCTATACACACATTGCTGCAGACACCAAAGTCCCTCTTTCCTATTCTGCCTTGGTGCCGTCTTTATTTTTTTATTTTTTCTCCACCCACGTCCAATCTGTCATGTTAGCCTGCTGGTTCTAACATCCCAGTTTCTATTCTTTTTCCATTGGATCACAGAGCCACATCTATGCCTATGTTCTGATTTCCCCCACCTGGGCCCTGGAAACCTTAGCCCCTCACTACAGCATTCTCGCCTCCCCAGCAAGTACACTGGCTGCATTTCTCTCTTCATTTGATGCCTCGCAGGTCTCTCTTCTGGTTGAGTCCAGTGAATCCTCATCACTTTCTGCATAGAAATTTTTTTCTTCCCTTTGTCTCAAAGCATAGTTGGGCTCCCTGTACTGCCTAGTTTTACCTTCTTTTTCTTTTCAGTCAAAGACAGTTCATGCTCACCATTTCTGTCTCTTCTGCTTTCCATATCCCTGTGCCTGGCACAGCACCATCCTCTAAGCCCATATTGGTTAAAATACCACTGCCTCCACCAAACCTGTGGTTAAACAGAAGGTCCCAACCTTCCAACCCCAGCAGATGGAATACAATGCACAGCTTACCTTCACTGTATTCCTGATAGGTTTGTAGGAAGATAAAGTAATAAAACCAAGAATTTAGGATAATGTTGGAATGTAGGAAGTCCTCAATAAATGTTAGCAGTCAATATCATCATTATTATTACTTTAGTTTAGCTTAGCTTAGTTTTTTGTGTTATACTGTAGGTCAGTTTTCTTGCTTTTTTTTTTGTACTTTGCTTCATTGCCCTTTCCTGTAGCAAATCCATGTAAGTGTAGACTACTTTTGAATATGAGTTCTGCTTTCAGTGACTAATGTGTTTTGATTAGTGTGTGGTACAGCACAAAGTCCTTAAAGACATTTAAAAAATGTCATTCAAAGATGATAATTATCTAATAAAAAAGATTCTAAAGAAGAAACTATGGATGCCTCACAACACCTTTCTCTCATCCTGTAAGAGTCATTTTAAAGTCATCAGCATACAAAGAGTGTGCAAGGACAGTTTATGAGGAGGGTGCGAACTGGCAGATGGGACCAAAAGTGTTCTGAATTGATTGGACTGCATATCTTCTTAACCTACACAAACTCTCAGAGGTGAATGGATTGTTCATATAAGCAACTTGAATTTTAAAAGTTGTTTCTGTCTTTCTGACCTGATGTATGAATTTATCACCTGACCAGAGAAAAGAAAAAGGAGACCTTTGGTAGGCTAAGTCATGGGCAAGAGCACCTCAGGGTTGAATCTAGCATTCTCCTGACTCTAACTCTACCGATGGACAGACATTTGCCTCATCTGTCCTCACTGCATTAGGGAGCATTGTGTGCTCTTCCAAAGAAACTCATATCAGTGTCTGTAGGAAGGGGCCAGATATTTCCAAAAAGAAAAACATCAGAGGGAAAAGAAGGACCCTGTCCATCTTGCTCACCAGCCTATGACATTATGCACAACATGTAGAATACATTTAATTCATAAATAAGTAAATAATGAATGAACGAACGAATGAACTCAAGCATGCAGGGACATTCAAAGAGCTGTGACTTCTCTTTCTTTGAATGAACATAGTTCCTCCTTCCTTAATCTGTGCTGAGGCTGGCTGGGGGAAACGCGGCTCCTGAGTGTCCTCTCTGCAGAAGCCTTCCTTAGGTCTCAAAGCCTCAAAGAGTAGAGATAGAACAGACAGTGCCATAGTCACACCATGTTCTTTCTATTCAGGCTCCACGGAGGCCAATTTATTATACATTAGCTCATTAAAGCCTGTGTTCCAATACAGTTACTGTGTTTTTATTTTCTCCCTAATGTGAAAATTATGAAGATGGCTCAGGAGGTGAAAATTGGCCTTTATTTCTCTTCCAAAAAGTGTCCATACAATCAACATCTCTATGCAACATTATTTAGAAATACCTTTGAGGCATTAAAAAACAAAGAGAACTAGCATGGTTTCTCACACAGTTTTCTGCAACAAAATTCCTATCCACTTTTTTAAATGCAAAAAGATATTTCTATATCATTCCCAAGAACAGTTTTTAAATACTTATTGGGTGCAGATTGCTACCCTGTTGTGGATATTTGTTGGGATTAGCTGCCCAGCATCCACCTATCTTTCCTGCTTTGGGGAAAAATCTCAGGAAAGCTGAAGGGAGGCATATATTTCATTTCCCATCTCCTCAGCTGCTGGAGGGTGTGCAAGTGAACTTGCCCAGCCAATCAGATGTCCTTACTGAGTACTGAGTCTGCAGCCTGTGATGTTGCTAGAAGAGAATGGCTGGGAAGTATTTATGTGGTGGTGGCAGTGGTACCCTGGGTTAAGTTCCAGGGTGTCATAGTAGCAGCATCCCTTATTCAGTATTGGCCATGGTGTCAGTTCTACCAAGGATAATGTGCAATGAACAACAGCAATGACAGCCACAACATCCTGGCTTTTATAAGCTTATCCAGACCTTATGTAAGGCATGATTTGGGCTCCACTTCTGGCTGCCTGGAATTTCATGATTCCCAACATTTTCAAACCAGTTCTCCAGCCTTTTTATTGTTACTGGAAGTGGATAGTCTTGAAAAAACTTTAGTGCAAGTTAAATGACGTTAATAAAAATTAAACAAAAAAGCATGATGCCTGGCTCCTAGGAACTATAATTACAAGCAAGCCTATCTTTCTACAACCCTAACAGAGTACAAGAAATGTGGATTTACAGGCCTGATGAATTAAATAATGAGTATTTCTTTTATTCTAAAGGTTTTTCTATAAATAGTTAACTCCCTTATGAATTGTGAATGAAGTATGGGATAGACAATAAATTAAATCAAAATAGTCAAGAGGACACATTCAGTTAAACAAAGAAGTAGGGTTGTAATGATTGTTTTTGGTTGTGTCAGAATCTGGATTTGTAGGAAAGATGAACTGACCTGCATTGGGGAGCCTTGAAGATTTTCTTAAGCCCTTGGTCTTTCTAAGACCAGACCAATGGCTCTTTAGACTTCCCTTGTATGCTTGGGTTCCCAGGGTGTGAAGCTCTCTGATTCAGTTTCCAACGTCATTCTGCCTTGGAATGAAGCATTGCATCTTCTAAGGACAGAGGAGAAGCTGTGGTGGTAGTGGAGTCTATAGTCAATTTTAGAAGCTCCAGCTTTCTTGATTTGCCTTCATACTGTGTGCATTTCATTTTTCTTTGAAAAACATGCACTGATGATATTTTACCGTAATCAAGGAACCAAAAATAGCATCTCAATGGGCTTAGCATTTTTACTCCAGGTGTGGATTTTTTTTTTTGTCTTCAGGCCATGGTGTAAGAATCCACTTGGTTGATTAGGTTTCTGCTGCAGTGTTAGATGGTCTTATGCATCCCATCACTGAACCCATTTAGTCAATATCTTAATTTTTTAAATTATCTCAGAGACTTTAAAAGAAATCAATGGTGAAAATGAAGAAACATTATTAGTCTAATAATTGATAACACTTCATTACATAGAAATTTGAAAGTAGTATTAATAAGAATAGTAAATAAAAATATTGTCTCTATATTATTTGTGGTTTTCTTAAACCTTTAAAAGATCCCAGATTCGAGGGGGAAAAGATAAAAGGAAAGTTCGAGCTTTGATGTTTACATTTCCCCAAATCTACACACCAAAGGAAAAGTTCCTATTTTAAAAAGGTGCATAGAAAATGCATATGCATGACATAAATAGGCACATATTTAAATCTGATGAACTTTACCTTGATAATTGTGCTCATCTATTTTAACACTAATATTGACATTTTTCTATATTGAGTTGATTTTAATTTCAGAAGCTTTAAATGCAGATTTGACATTGCCAGAATCTTCCTTTTCTTGTGATTCAGGTGATGAACTAATTCTCCTCTGAAACCCAATCTTCTGTCTCAGATCCCTTCACTCCTTTCAAAACCTGACGTTGGTTAGGTTAAAGCCATTGGGTGAGTGTATTCTCAGATTCCTCCCTTGCTGCCTTCAAGCTCCTCTGCCTCCTACACCAAAATGTAAGAGGATTAAGGGGCTCTCCTCCTTTCCAGCTCTGTACTGTGCATTCTATCCCTTCTGCTTCCCCAGACCCCTCTGTTAGCCACCCCTCTCTATTTTCTTTAACCTCCCTTCTCACTGACATCCCCCTCAGTACCTCCCTTTGACTCTCAACATAGAATAAACAGACTCAGTTATTTCCCAGGCGAAAGCCAAAACAGTCAAAGCCCAAATACCAAAATTTTATTCAGTCCTAATCACCCTCTCTCTGTCAGCTCTTGGAAGGACAGCTTCCCTCTGATTAGTGACATTTTGCCAAAGCCAATAGATATATTCCTGTTCACACTCATTGGATCTCTTTGGTATTTAATCCCAGTGGCTGCACCTGGTATCTTCACGTGCTTCTCTTTTAGCTTCCTTGACATTTCTCTTTTGGGGTTTTCAAATGTTCTCTGTGGCCACGTCTTACCACTTTTGTAGATTTACTATTGTTGGCCAAACTTCGGTATTACCCAGGGTTATGCCCTGAACCTCTATTCTCATTGTGATGTATTTCCCATCTAAGGCCATGGTTTCATATGTGACTGTATTCTAATGCCTTCCTGGTCTGTATTGTCCATTTATATCTCTCTGCTGAGCTTCAGACTCATTTTTCCTATCACGTGTGAGATATGTCCGCAACTCCATTTATTACATTTTGTTCAAAGCATGCTTTCTCCTGTCCCATGACCCTAGGGAGAAACTGAGACACATGTTAGAGAGTTCTCTCTCACACACTTAGTCCTGATTTCCACCACATTTGTATCCATCACTATTACGTAGACTAAGCCACCAAGTCTGCTTTGGGTCAAATTCTCTAGTCCACCATCTTAATCCCACTTCTGCTTCCTTAGTTTTTGTTTTAGGGCCACATTTCTGCGACTCTCTATTCCTGTCACAGCCTCCTGAGTACTATTTTCTGTTTCCTCTTCTACTCTTTTTCCTCCAGGCTCTTTAGCGGTGCCAGAGTGGTTTTTTCTAAACCACAGCCCTTATCATGAGGCTTCTTTGTTTGAAAGCTATCAAGGTTCCAAAGAGCTTTCAGGGCAAAGAGAAAATTCCTTAGCTTAATACACAGGCCTTTATCCTCTGGATCCTCCCCACTTCTCTGGTTCAGTATTTTTTTCAATGTGTGTTTCTAAGAATAGCCGGGGAAAGGGAGAGAGTGGCTGTTTTCCTCCTGCAGGCCTTCAATATGCTAGTGTGCACTATCACTCCACAAGAGATGCGTATGCTCTACACGGCATTTCCCAGAGTGATGTGGGCAAGAAATCTCTTCTTAATCCAGGGATAATTTCAGAGTCCTGGTAGTCCATGTAACATAATTTGGGACATACTCTTGCAATATTATCTCCTGACACTCACCCTTGCACACTGTACTCCAGTCAAGTGGAGATCCTTGAGGCTGCCAGAATATATGATGCTTTTCCTCACCTATGTGCATTGCACTGGCCTTTCTTCTGCCTAGAGTATCTTTCCATGAGTTTATGATCTAAATTGCTCCCATTGTTTTAGGGCGAGTATCACAGCCTCTGAGCATTCTTCCTTGCTTTCCCTGCCTTCCTGGGTCTGCTTTTGAATGCTCTCCCCTGTGTGCCCGTTAAGCTTGGTTACAGCACATGCTATCTACTCAAGTCTGACTTTGTCGTAGTCAGAATATTGTCCTATTGGCTTTGTGTCACTGGCATCTAGCATATTGCCTAGCACAGAGTAGATGTTCAGTGACTGCTGAACTCACAAGTGAATGAACGGGTTGGATTGAAGAGGATGAAAGTCTGACTCAAGGGACAAGCATGGCATTCTTACCGAAATGTTTGTGATCAGGACAATGGCTGGAACTAGCTGGGCACTCCTTGGATGGTGAAGGCTGGGATTTCAGGGGAGAGGGTAGAGAGGCCTAGAGGTCCTCTCTGGAGAAAGGAGAGAGGGAGAAAATTCCTATTCAAAGAGCTGAACTGGTACAGGGCTTCCCTGAAAATGTAGAATAGATAATAGAATAGAATCAGATTTTTAATATGACTTGTTCCAGATGTTAAAAAGCTTATATGTTCAATATGGAAAATTTGGAAATCACATAAAAACACAAAGAAGACATATAATCTCATTATCTAAAAAGAATCTTTGTTAAGATTTGAGGTGGGCCTTCAGCTTAGATTCCACAAAATTGAATTATGGTGCAATGCTATTTTGAGACATGCTTTTCTTTATTTAATGATGTGCTATAATCATTTCTCCAAGTCATTTTATGTTCTTACGTAATGTGATTTTAAAAAATAACTGCAGTGCATTTGATTGTATCCTACCTCCAATTTTGTTTGATTATTATTTATGTTGGACATTGGGCGGTTTAAAATTTTTACTACTTAAATCACATTGTGATGGATATCCTTGTGTATAAAAAATTTCGGGGTCAAAGAGTTAGTATATTCTGATGATTTTGATTTACAATACCAATTCGTCCCCTAGAAAGATTATATCAATTTATATTTTAATCAACAGGATATGTGAGCAATCATTTTCACTGACTCTCATCACTTAGATTAAAAAAAATTTCTGAGCTATTTTGATAGAGGAAAAATGGCATCTATTTTAATTTCCATTTTTTTGTTGTTATTAGTGATGTTGGAAAATTTCTCATTTAGGTTTTGGCCGTTTGTATTTATTCCTTTATAAAGTGCTCTTGCCGTTTCATAATGGGATATATATTCTGATTTATGGATGAAGAGGTGATAAGGTTTAACTCCTAAATTATCTTTTGAAACACAGATGTTAGTGCTTTTAAAATAGTTAACAATAAATGTTACAGATGTTCTAATCTAAAAAGTTAGGTGTGAACATATCCCTAATACTCAATGGCAGCCATGTGAGAGTCTTGAAGGCTCAGGGATGAAGTGGTGGAACTTTCGACCAATTAATTGCCGCCCCCTCATCTGTGTTGTCAGAGTACATTTTAAGTAACTTTGTATGTACTTATTCCTATTGTGTTTTGACTAGTAATCTCTGTACATTTTAGTGAAAAAAACATAGGCTTCGGATTTAAAAAGGGATGGGTTAGAATTCCAATTCTACTTTTCTAGTTGTGTGAATTTCGAATTTAATCTTTTTAGGCCCCAGTTTTGCTTTCTTTCCTGTACAATTGGGTTAATATCTATGGGCTTGGGTTAGTGTTTAAATTTAGTGAGATAAGGTAGAAAAAGGGTCTAGGTGAAGACCAAGGACATAGTGGATGTGCTGTAATGAACATAGCAATTTATAGTGTTTCCTGGATTGCCTACTATACATGATTGGGCAAAAAAATAATGTATACGCTTTGGCAAAATCTTGCCTCCTCCACACTGTGGGAAAGTCTGTCTTACCAAGTTGTTTCTGGCTCTGCATACAAACCTGGGGGGATCAATGGAGAAGGAGTTGAATGGAGGAAGGGATCCATTAGTTACAGCAACAAAGGTGAGAAAGACTTCACTCCCCTGAAGGCTGGGAGGCAGTAGAGCCTCTTGGATTGAAGCAAGCATGCAGGGTCTTCCCACTCCAGAGCCTGTGCCCTGGCCAGGCTCAATCTATTTTAAACCAAACTTATTCTATATTTTCCAGACTGCATTTCCTTCCTAGTCATCCAGTGTCTCTGAGTGGCATCACTGAATTCATCTCTATGTAATCCTTTTAGATAACATATCTTGTTGGGCTTTTGAAATGTCGGTTTTCAATGTGTGTTTCTAAGAATAGTAGGGGAAAGGGAGAGAGTGGCTGTTTTCCTCCTGCAGGCCTTCCATATGCTAGTGTGCACTATCACTCCACAAGAGATGCGTATGCTCTACGCAGTATTTCCCAGCATGATGTGGGCAAGAAATCTCTTCTTATTCCAGACAATTTCAGAGTCCTGGTAGTCCTCTCCTGGGACTCTCCCATTTTCTCTTCTCACTTCCATGCCCTAGTCTTGGTTGGTACTCCTCAGTTTTGGGTTGGATTAACATAGCTGCTTGGCAGTGGGTGGCTTTATCCTCAGTTTCTCCCAATTCCAGCCCATCCATGAAGTGATTCCCCATCATCTACACTTCACAGAGTCCTCTTGTGCTTTTAAAGCCCTGTGTAATTTGGGCCCAGTGCTCAGAGGCGTTCAATCATAATTTATTGTACTCCTCAACACATCTTTTCTGTCCTGCAGAATATAAATAATGCTGATTTTTTATGCTTCTGGTGTTCTTCCTTTTGCTCCCAGCCAGCTATCAAAATCTTAGCCACCCTTTTTTTTTTTTATTATTATACTTTAAGTTTTAGGGTACATGTGCAAAACGTGCAGGTTTGTTACATATGTATACATGTGCCATGTTGGTGTGCTGCACCCATTAGCTCGTCATTCAGCATTAGGTATATCTCCTAATGCTATCCCTCCCCTACCCCAACCCACAACAGTCCCCGGTGTGTGATGTTCCCCTTCCTGTGTCCATGTGTTCTCGTTGTTCAATTCCCACCTATGAGTGAGAACATGTGGTGTTTGGTTTTTTGTCCTTGCGATAGTTTGCTGAGAATGATGGTTTCCAGTTTCATCCATGTCCCTACAAAGGACATGAACTCATCGTTTTTTATGGCTGCATAGTATTCCGTGGTGGATATGTGCCACATTTTCTTAATCCAGTCTATCGTTGTTGGACATTTAGGTTGGTTCCAAGTCTTTGGTATTGTGAATAGTGCCGCTATAAACATATGTGTGCATGTGTCTTTATAGCAGCATGATTTATAATCCTTTGGGTATATACCCAGTAATCTTAGCCACCCTTAAAGGCTTAGCCTGAGGTCTTTCCTCCATGAGTTTTTCTCAGATTCATGTTCATCTCTCACTTCCTGAATTTTTGTTTTCAGATTAATTGGTACAATGTTTAGGGTTTATGACTTCATGTGTGTTGGTTTCCTTTTTTGCAGGCCCACTGTGAAAACTCATGGAAATGCTATCCATGCACAATGTCTAGCCTTTGCAGTGCCTGGCATGGATCTGATCTAGCAAGGCCCACCATGCCTTCCATTAATCACTTGTTTACAGTACACGCCTGCAGCAGGGCTGCCACTGAAATCAGTGCTCTCCTTGTCTCAGAGCCTTTGCTTATGTGATGGCTGCTGAAAATGCTTTCCACCTCCAGCACTTACTATACAATTCTTAATGATCTTTCTTTCAAACCACAGCTCTTCCCCAGCCCCCCACCCCACCATTCTTGATATGCTTTGTATGTGTGTCCCTTCCAAAGCTCATGTTGAAATGTGGTCCCCGAGGTTGGAGGTGGTGCCCAGTGGGAGGTATTGGCTCATGGAGGCAGATCCCTCATGAGTGGCTTGGCACCATCCCCTTGGTGATGAGTGAGTTCTCATTCTATTAATTCATGTGAGAGCTGGTTGTTTAAAAGAGTCCGGCACCTCATTCTCTCCCTCTTATTCCCTCCCTTGTGATATGATATGCAGGCTCCCCATTCGCCTTCTACCATGATTGGAAGCTTCCTGAGGGCCTCACCAGAAGCAGGTGCTGGCACTATGCTTCTTGTATAGCCTACAGAGCTGTGAGCCAAACAGATCTCTTTTCTTTCTAAATTACCCAGTCTCAGGTATTCTTTTACAGCAATGCAAAACAGATTAATATACCTCTCATGAAGATTTTCCCCAGTGTATATTGATCTCTGCCCTTCCTACTTCACATGGCACAAATTGTCAACTTTACCCTTTTAATACTTAACTATATGCCACTGGTTATTACTGCCTCGGGGCTTCCTGTTTGGTGAGCCTTGACAATCTCTTGCTCTGCAGAGTTGCTTTCAGAACCCTGAGGCCTGTATACAGGCTGGGGTGGCTCTTTAGTCTCCCACTTCTTGAACTTCCAGGCCCTAGGGATTCCTCAGGCTTTCCCTCCCCTTTATGACAGCCTCTATTCATTTTATTTATTGGGTTCTTCTACTGCTAAGGCCTGCTGAGGAGTCACCTCTGCTATCACTGCAAACAAGCATATAGGCCACTTTGATTTTTAGGGTCCGGCTAATCATTAAGGGGAAGTATGAAATTGAGGAAAAATACAAAGGGAAGTCACATAGATATATGAAATAAGCTACATGCATATAAAGAATAATATAATTATTATACTTATTCATAATTTCTGATTTATTTTATTTTATTTTATTGTTTTTTTTTTGCTGGCAAGGGCTCAGAAATCCTGCTTGTCTCTAGCATTTCTCTTATATTAAATAATTTAACAACCTCTACAATGGCTTATTAGATATCAGACACTGGGGTTGGAGCTAGGAATGGACAGATGAATATGACACAATTCCTGCCATTAGTCTATAAATATGCTCAAGTCCTTGTACTGGAAAAAATACCACATGCTACTTAAAGCTTCTCATTTCTTCAGATCCTCCAACCTAGGTCCTAAAGTCCTATTTTCCATGGAGATCTTTATGCCTGAAAATATAATTACAAGGGGGAATAATAGGCTCTAACTAGAGTCTCATAGTTGCAACTTCAGCATAACTATAAAATCATGAGACTGGTATTTTAACAAGAATGGTGGGAGTTATACAGGAAAGAGATTTATCGTTCTAGGTAATTCTCTTGGGAGGCTACACACTTATTTCACTGATGCCACTTTTGCTCAAAACATTGTAAAACTTCTTTTTGAGTTCTGCTTTCAAACTATTGTGACCACCATCTAAGAAAATCATTATCAAAATATTTTAGCTGCACCTAAGTAGTGGACCCTAGCTTAATCACAGAATTTATTCCTCAGACTCAGTTTAGAGTAACTTTTGTCTCTTTTCTGAAAATATACATACATAACCCCAGATGGTAAATATTTGGTACTTTGGGGTAGACGTCCCCTAAAATGTGCTTCTGCTTTAAAAAGATTCAGAAGGAATTTTTACTGGGTTCTGAGCACAAGCAGAGTGATTAAAATTTGGGTAAAGCTTCTTGAGGGGACCACTTTGATTGACAATCCCATGTTAGATTGGGTTCCCAGACTCTGAGATGTAAAGTTGTTTGCAGAATGTTTACTGGGGAGTGCTCTCGGGAGAAGCACTGTAAGGAATTGAGAAAAGCAGAATTGGGCAGAGGGGAGAATCTGACCCTAAATGCAATTGCTACATGGAGATAAGGACTTAGGATTCAAAAAACTATAAAAATTTTCTTTATCTCAATAAGTCATATGCCTTAAATATCACCCAAATTGCACACAAGATCCAGACAGACAATTTGGTGAGCAATGCTGCTCCATGTATGCAATATAAACTGATACTCTGCCAGTAGGCTTCTCATTTGATATAGGCGGGCCTACTTCTTGAGACTGAATTATGCCATCTAATAAAATGGCCAACAAAAGGCATCCAGTTAGGGAATCCCAGTGTGATTTAACTTTCTTAAATAGATATTAATTTTACTCTAATTACAGGAATTATTTCTTAATTTCTCTCCTTAATTTAAGTTGATCAAATTTCATTGTTTAAAGTATACTTTGATTGACATTGAATCTACACTGGCAGGTTTAAGTAGAGGAATCAGAAAGGAATCCATGCTAATCAATGGAATTGAACTCCATCAGTGCTTGAGGATCAAAGGGCAGCTGAACGCTGCTTCAGAATGAGCATTTCAGCAAAGTCCTCAGCCTTGACCGAGGCTTGTAACTTACCCTGTCCAAATAGTAGCTGAATGAACAAATGCATATGCAGGTGAGTGTATGCTATTTTACTAGTTCCAATTCACCCTTCAACAAGAAACAGCACCATGGAAAGTCAACTTGTGCCTTTAGGCTGAATGGATGGGGTGTTCTGATAGGGCCTATATGGCTAAAGCCCTGACCCCTAAATCTGGTAAATTAGGATCCCATCTGGATTGTAGGCTTTTATACTATCTCCTATAAATTATTTACTATTTATCTTTTCCAGCTAAGTCTCCTGTGCCTCTACACATCTGCCTGTGTCTCTTTCACAGCATTTAGGCATCTATGTCCCTGTTTCTCTCCCCACTTGATTCTAAGTTATGAAATGGAAAAAACATCCACCAACCCAAATTAGAAGACTGGGATTATCCTGATTTTATAGATGAAATGGAGACAGTAGAAATTGATCAAAGTCACACAGCTGCTCGGAGATGCGGCCAGGAGTTTAACTCAGAACAATATAACTCTACTGATTCCTGTGTGTGAAGGGCCATCTTCTAATCATGCCTGTTTCTCCAGTGATGAGCAGAGCCCCGGGCACATAATGGATCTATAGCAGATAGTTTTTAACTCTCCACATAACTGAGAGGCCCCTGTGATAGACTCAGCTACCTTGAGGAACACAAGATTTCTGTCCGACTGAAGCTGTATCCCACACAGTCAAGCCAACAATATTTTCTGTCGACGCCTTGTCCTAACTCCTGAGAGATAGGTCCTATTATTGACTATTTGGAAGCTCCCCTTTGACCCGTAACAGTCTCTTCTCCTAGAGTTAGAAATCCCAGTGGAGAGACCTCCTTTGGGAGAAGAGAGCAAAGAAAAAAATCTATCAATTCATCTGGGACCCAAATTCTACTTGGCCTTCCAATTTGCCTTTCCTTTGACCCCTTTCCCCATGGGGACCAGTGACCACCATGGTAAGAATAATTCCTGACCCTTCCTTGGGAGAACACATGGTTAAGGAATGTTAACGTTAGTTCTCTGGCATAGACTTTGCTGTCACGGCTCCTGATCTGCTAATGAGTGCATAGGCTGACATGGGCTGGGTCCAAGATGAAGAGAAGGACAAATATCTTAAGGAGCAAGTTGTTATCCAAACTATGAGTACCCTCAAGGCTCCCCAATCCACCCACCTCTGTTAGGTTTACTGAAGACATTTGGATAGAATCCTTCAAGGTTTGGGTGGGCCCACCTACATAGAGCAGTCAACTCATCTACCAAGTTGTGGTCTTGTTTCAAGATAAAGAGATAGCAGCCAATTTGAATTCTCATTGGAACAAGGCTCACTGGACTGCAGATCACACTGATACACTGGTTTTTCTGTCAGTCGCCTAAGACATGCTGAACTTCTATTTTGTTATCATTGTGTTTCATGCTGCTTAGGCAGCAGAACTTTGTGACAGCTTCCTGGTTGGCTTCATAAGGCTCATGGAAATCTTTGGCTATCTGTTGGGTTCTCTGGCACGGGCTCCATATAACCTTGTACAACCCCAGTCCTCTCCAGAGTTATTATACCACCCCATCACCATGGCCTCACATTACATTTGTTACAATGCCTGAGTTCTTTTCCTAGCTTAGGTATGTTTAGGAGGATGAGGGTTGAGGTGGGATAAAAGACGTATTGCAACAACATAGGGATTATCATTCAGTACTTCCTGAATGACCATATCTAGAACTTTAAAATATTTCTAGCCTTTGAAGTTGAAGGAAATTTCCTGATGTATAAGGGCATATTCTGACACTTGCTTATAAATGTTTTGTACCTTTACGGTACAAAATAGAGCATTAGCTAAGATCACTCCATGTAGAAAGAACATGTGCATTTAGGTTGAATAGAGCAATGGAAACAAAGACCAACAAAGAAAGACATTGTATTAGTTTCCTATGATTGCTCTGACAAATTACCATAAACGTAGTGGCTTAAAACAACAGGAATTTATCATCTTAAAGTTATGGAAGTCAGAATTCTGAAATGGGTCTTTTGGGACTAAAATCAAAGTGAAATCAACAGAGCTGGTGTTCCTTCTGGAAGCTCATGGGGAGAATCTTACCCCTCTAGCTTTTTTCTTTTTTTTTCCTTTGCCCAGGCTGGAGTGCAGTGGCACAATCTCGGCTCACTGCAACGTCTGCCTCCCGGGTTCAAGTGATTCTCCTGCCTCAGCCTCCTGAGTAGCTGGGATTATAGACGCACGCCACCATGCCTAGCTAATTTTTGTATTTTTAGTAGAGACGGGGTTTCACCATGTTGATCAGGCTGGTCTCGAACTCCTGACCTCGTGATCTGCCCACCTTGGCCTCCCAAAGTGCTGGGATTACAGGCGTGAGCCACTGCACCTGGCCCAGGACGTAGACATCTTTAGTGGGGTATTGTTCTGCCCACCACAGATACTATTGCTTCTGGTGTTAAATAACATTTTATTTGAGTAGATAAGAAATATGACCCTGTATCTTCCCAAAAGACAAATGGAGATCATTAGTAAACAACTCAGTCACTTCATCTGGCTTCCCTCACTATTTCTTGTCACCTGTTGTCCAGCTGCTTCAGCTACGGACCATAGATTGGCATTCCCTGCATGCACTTGCTGGCTTCTTCTCTCTTTCCTTAGCTACGGACACTAATTAAGCACTTTCCCGGGTACTATGCCCACGCCCACTCATGAATACACAAACCCTACTGTGCTAAGGCATTATTACTGAGGCAAAAATGAACTCTCTTCTGAAGCATTTTACTGGTAGCATCTGTGGAGAGCTTGCAATTTCTCTAGTCTTGGAAATTGTTTAGACACAAAATAGCTACTTTCCATCCTGAGTATCTCCTGAGAACATTGTCAGATAAGATTCAAGTTTCTTGGATTTTCAGATTATATTGTACTCCAATGAGCCTTCTATTCCTGGGATATCTAATTTTGTCCTCCTCCACCCCTTCCTTTCACAGCTCTAGGCAGAATAGAAGCTGGCAAAGACCTCAAATGATTTATTTTTTAATATAACAAAGTTTAAAGCTCTAGTTACATTGATGCCACAAAAATGCACAAATCATCACACACATATACATATATATGAGAATGTTCTATTTATGTAAGTAGTAATTGTGCATTTCAATAAGACTGAATGATTCATAGGAATTTTCAGAAAGCAGCACAGACATGAATCTTTAATCTTCTAAAAGACCTTTATGTTTTCCCTTCAGGGAGAACAACAAATTTGCTTTTGCTAAATAGTCTTTAATTTCCTTTTTATTTTAGGTTTTTAGGATTTATATAATTTACAGTTTTCCAGATATTCATTATTTATTCCGTATGGAAGTGCTTCATAGTACCATATATTATTTTAATTGATGATGGAGAGTTAATAATTTTTTGTTTCAGCAACCAAACTATTAATTTCCAAAGTGGTTTCTCATTCAAAACCATAGTTGTAGGCTATTATAATGAAATTATTCACGAAATTAGTTTCCAAAGACTAAATATTAATTTGGCATTTTCTCAATGATTAGAGTTTTCTGAAATGTTTGTGGTATAGAGGAGCCTGAAATACAACCCTGTGCAATAATATGCATTCTTTGTTTTCAAGGGCCTTTTCTCAAGTAGAGGCTTCACATTCTTCATGACTTTGAGATAAATTGCTTGTGGCTATTTTTTGCTTTTACCACTTACAAAGTTAAAGGTACTGTGTTTTTTACAGTTTTTTGCTTTTACCACTTACAAAGTTAAAGATACTGTGTTTTTTTTTAAATAATTTGGACAGATTCATGAGGAGAAAATTACAATAATAATAATCAGCTGTTTCAACAAGTCTTAGAAAAATAGAAGACTGAGATATAGATTTCCTGTGTGCACCAACAGATTGATTGAAAATGAAGAGGCAGGCTTGGTATATGAAGATGATTCATCCGCAATGTGATCTGTGTTCTGATGAAGGTAAGGGCTAAGTGCTAAGTTAGCATTGAGGTGACAATGCCTTATCTTGTCTGAGAGAGTAGGGAAAGGGCAGTCTCTTCAATAAATGGTGCTGGGAAAACTGGATGTCTACACGCAGAAGAGTGAAACTAAACTCCTGTCTCTCACCATTTATTAAAATCAACTCAAAATGCATTAAAGATGTAAATGTAGGATGTGAAACTATGAAACTACTAGAAGAAAACATTGGGGAAATGCTCCAGGATATTGGTCTGGGCAAAGAGTGTTTTTGTGTAAGACCTTAAAAGCACAGGCAACAAAAGCAAAAATAGACAAATGGGATTACATCAAACGAAAAATCTTCTGCACAGCAAAGGATACAAACAGCAGAGTGAAGCGAAAACCCACAGAATGAGAGAAAATATTTGCAAACTATACCACTGACAAGGGGTTAATATCAAGAATAAATAGGGAACTCAAACAACTCAGTAGCAGAAACCCCCCAAGTTATCTGATTAAAAATAAGACAAAAGATCTGAATTGATATTTTTCAGAAGATGACATACAAATGGCCAACAGTTATATGAAAAAATGTTCAACATCGTTAATCATCAGGGAAATGCAAACAAATCAAATCTACAATGAGATATCATCTCACTCCAGTTAGAATGGATATAGTCAAAAAGAAAAAAATGACAAATGCTGGTGAGGATATGGTGAAAGAGGAACTTATACACTGTTGATGAGAATGCAAGTTAGATAGCCATTGTGGACAACAACAAAAGTTTCTCAAATAATTAAAAATAGAGCTACCATTTGATCCAGCAATACTACTACTGACCACATATCCAGAGAAAAAGAAATCAGTGTGTCAGACACATATCTGCACACGTATGTTTATTGTAACACTCTTTGCAATTGCCAAGATATGGAATCAATCTAAGTGTCCATCAACAAATGGATGGTTAAAAACTTGTGGCATATATACACAATGGAATACTACTCAGCCATAAGAAAGAATTGAATCCCATCATTTGCAACAACATGAATGAACCTAGAGGGCATTATGTTAAGTAAAATAAGCCAAGGACAGAAGGAAAAATACTGTTTTCTGTATTATCTCACTTTTGTATGAAATCTAAAAAAGTTGATCTCATTGAAGTATGGAGTGGAATGCTGGTTACCGGAGTCCGGGTAGCGTCACGGGGAGGGGATATTGTGAGAGATGGGTCAGTGGCTACAGAGTTAAAGTTAGATGGGAGGAATAAGTCCTGATGTTCTATTGCACAGTTAGGTGACTGTAGTTATTAATAATGTACAAGATATTTCAAAATACAATTATGCATTGCATAATGATGAGGATACCTTCGGTGAAATGTGTTCTTAGGCTATTTTGTCATTGTGTGAACTTCATACAGTATACTCATGCAAGTCTAGGTGGTATAACCTATTGCTCCTAGGCAATAAACCTGTACAGCATGTTACTATACTGAATATTGTAGGCAATTGTAACACAATGGTAAGTATTTATGTGCCTAAACATGGCTAAACTTAGAAAAGTTACAGTAAAAATATGTTGTAAAAGATTAAAATGGTACACCTGTATAGGGCAGTTACCACGAATGGCACTTGCAGGACGAGAGAAGTTGCTCTGGGTGAGTCAGTGAGTGACTGCTGAGTGAACGTGAAGGCCTAAGTCATTACACTACTGCAGGCTTCATAAACACTGTTCGCTTAACACTGCACTAAACTTATACAACATTTGTCTTTCTTCCATAATAAATTAACCTTAGCTAACTGTAACTTTTTAACTTTTTAAACTTTAAACATTAAAAAAACCTTTTAACTCTTTTGTAATAACAGCTTAAAATGCAAAGACATGGAATAGTTTTACAATACTATTTTTTCTTTATATCGTTATTCTATAAGCTTTTTCCTGTTTTAAAAACTTTTAATTTTTATTTTACTTTTTAACCTTTTTTTTTTTTTTTTTGAGACTGAGTCTCACTCTGTTGCCCAGGCTGGAGTGCAGTGGCATGATCTCGCCTCACTGCAGCCTCTGCCTCCCTGGTTCTAGCGATTCTCCTGCCTCAGCCTCTGAGGTAGCTGGGATTATAGGCATGCGCCCCCACCCCCGGCTAATTTTTGTATTTTTAGTAGAAATGGAGTTTCACCATGTTGGCCAGGCTGGTCTTGAACTCCTGACCTCAAGTGATCCACCTGCCTTGACCTCCCAAAGTGCTAGGATTACAGGCATGAGCCACAGCACACGGCCTAAACATTTTTTTTTTCTTTTAATAACTAAAACACAAACACATACATTAGCTTAGGCCTACACAGGGTCAGGATCTTTAAGACCTCACCAGGTGACAGGAATTTTTTTCAGCTCCATTATAATATTATAGGATGACTGTCATATGTGGTCCATCCTTGACTAAATGTCATTATTATGTGGCTCTTGACTATAGCTAGAGGAAAGGATTTTAGATGTCCCCACGACAAAGAAATGACAAGTGTTTGAGGTGATAGATAGGCTAATTACCCTGATTTGATCATTACATAAAGTACACATGTATCAAAACATCACACTCTACCCCATAAATATGCACTATTAGTATGTGTCAACTAAAAGGAAAAATAAACAACTAAAAAAAATATCTTCAGGTGTTTGTGGTTTTTCAGAGAGGGATGTGACTTAGGGGAGGGTGCTGTGGATTGACTGGCCAACCAGAGGGAAATATGGGGCTTTTTTGCTCACATAAATCATAAAATTGCAACAGGCGTGATAAAGAACCGATAGAGGACTTCAAATATATAGACATGTTTCGGGAGTCTCATGCTGCTGAAAGCGGAGCAACCGATAAGCTTTCGCCTGGTCTTGCTGGCAGGTTCATTTATAAGCAGTAGTGAAAGAAAAAATGTTAGTGAAATAGGCTGTCTGATGTGGAGTTTTCTGACTTTGTAGAAATAATTTATCAGATGTTTTGATGACTGCAGGTTTGCTCAGTGATAAAGCACAGACTTAAGTGTCAACTGAATTTGGATTCAAATTCAAGGTATGCCATTACCAGTAGAATTACCTCGAACAAGTTAGTTAACTTCTTTGGGTCATGAAATTTTCATTCGTGTAATAAGGAAAATATTAATTCATACCACAGAGGATTGTTGTCAGGTTTAAACAAGATAGTGCTTGTAAAGTGCATGGTAGACAGTGTACACTGGAATGCTTGTTTGATTATGACGAAAAAGAAATTTTAGAAAGAGACAAGTCCCTGAAGCCTATATAGACCCTTCTTTCTATGCTGTATTTCTCACTAACGTTACCTTGTTTTACAAACTAGATGCCTGCCATTAAAAAGGAGGAACTGTCTTTGAGGAGTTAGGATCAATTATGTGTTAACAAGACAAATGTGTATTTGAAATTTTAACCCTTCTGTCATTAATTAATCTGGGAGCTATGGTAAAAAAATTTAAGATTTTTCTTCTCTTAAAACTAGCTGACTGGACTGCATCTAAGTTTTCATTAAGTAGGCAATCAAAATCTTCAGTTTTTATTTAAAAAGACTCGTGGTAGAGAGAGACAGTTTAAATGCATAAGGAATGAGGTGGAATAATGATTTGGTGCATATATTCTGATAATTACTACTTCCTTTCTCTCAGCTCCCTTGCAATAAATGTGCTGTCTTTTTAAACTTCATTAACAAGAGATTACAAATTTTAATGGGGTACAATAATTCTACCTTAATTTCAGAGCAATGTAATGCAGGTATCTGTTCTTTCTAAGTAATTTTCCCTGAAATATTCCCAATGATTCAGAAAAGTTCTTTAAGGATTGAAATGATATATAGTGTTGGTACCAAATACATTTTATATTTTAATATTGAATGTTAGATATTATTAAGCCTTTAGTATTGCAAGTGAAACAACAGCTGATTGTGCTCTTGTGCAGAAACCAAATCTTTCTTTTTTTTTTTTTTTTTCCATTTAACCATGAGTGGACACAGCACATGTTTCAGAGAGCACAGGGTTGGGGGTAAGGTCACAGATCAACAGGATCCCAAGGCAGAAGAATTTTTCTTAGTGCAGAACAAAATGAAAAGTCTCCCATGTCTACTTCTTTCTACACAGACACGGCAACCATCCGATTTCTCAATCTTTTCCCCACCTTTCCATTCCACAAAGCCGCCATTGTCATCCTGGCCCGTTCTCAATGAGCTGTTGGGCACACCTCCCAGACGGGGTGGTGGCCGGGCAGAGGGGCTCCTCACTTCCCAGTAGGGGCGGCCGGGCAGAGGCGCCCCTCACCTCCCGGACGGGGCGGCTGGCCGGGCAGGGGGGGCTGACCCCCCCCACCTCCCTCCCGGACGGGGCGGCTGGCCGGGCGGGGGGCTGACCCCCCCCACCTCCCTCCCGGACCGGGCGGCTGGCCGGGCAGAGGGGCTCCTCACTTCCCAGTAGGGGCGGCCGGGCAGAGGCGCCCCTCACGTCCCAGACGGGGCGGCTGGCCGGGCGGAGGGCTGACCCCCCCACCTCCCTCCCGGACAGGGCGGCTGGCCAGGCGGGGGGCTGACCCCCCCACCTCCCTCCCGGATGGGGCGGCTGGCCAGGCGGGGGGCTGACCCCCCCACCTCCCTCCCGGACGGGGCGGCTGGCCGGGTGGGGGGGCTGACCCCCCCACCTCCCTCCCGGACCGGGTGGCTGGCCGGGCAGAGGGGCTCCTCACTTCCCAGTAGGGGCGGCCGGGCAGAGGCGCCCCTCACCTCCCAGACGGGGCGGCTGGCCGGGCGGAGGGCTGACCCCCCCCACCTCCCTCCCGGACAGGGCGGCTGGCTGGGCGGGGGGCTGACCCCCCCACCTCCCTCCCGGATGGCACGGCTGGCCGGGCGGGGGGGCTGACTCCCCACCTCCCTCCCGGATGGGGCGGCTGGCCGGGCGGGGGGCTGACCCCCCCCACCTCCCTCCCGGACGGGGTGGCTGCCGGGCGGAGACGCTCCTCACTTCCCAGATGGGGTGGCTGCCGGGCGGAGAGGCTCCACACTTCTCAGACGGGGCGGCTGCCGGGCGGAGGGGCTCCTCACTTCTCAGACGGGGTGGTTGCCAGGCAGAGGGTCTCCTCACTTCTCAGACGGGGCGGCCGGGCAGAGACGCTCCTCACCTCCCAGACGGGGTCTCGGCCGGGCAGAGGCGCTCCTCACATCCCAGATGGGGCGGCGGGGCAGAGGCGCTCCCCACATCTCAGACGATGGGCGGCCGGGCAGAGACGCTCCTCACTTCCTAGATGTGATGGCGGCTGGGAAGAGGCGCTCCTCACTTCCTAGATGGGATGGCGGCCGGGCGGAGACGCTCCTCACTTTCCAGACTGGGCAGCCAGGCAGAGGGGCTCCTCACATCCCAGACATGGGCGGCCAGGCAGAGACACTCCTCACTTCCCAGACGGGGTGGCGGCCGGGCAGAGGCTGCAATCTCGGCACTTTGGGAGGCCAAGGCAGGCGGCTGGGAGGTGTAGGTTGTAGTGAGCCGAGATCACGCCACTGCACTCCAGCCTGGGCACCATTGAGCACTGAGTGAACGAGACTCCGTCTGCAATCCCGGCACCTCGGGAGGCCGAGGCTGGCGGATCACTCGCGGTTAGGGGCTGGAGACCGGCCCGGCCAACACAGTGAAACCCCGTCTCCACCAAAACCAGTCAGGCGTGGCGGCGCGTGCCTGCAATCGCAGGCACTCGGCAGGCTGAGGCAGGAGAATCAGGCAGGGAGGTTGCAGTGAGCCGAGATGGCAGCAGTACAGTCCAGCTTCGGCTCCACATGAGAGGGAGACTGTGGGGAGAGGGAGAGGGAGACGGAGAGGGAGAGGGAGAGGGAGAGGGAGAGGGAGAGGGAGAGGGAGAGCGAGAACGCTCACATCTTCTATCTGTCCAAACTCAAACCAAATCTTTCTTACCAAGTTTTAACATTTTAATAGGAATTAAGGTTTTCTTAGCAGTGGTTGTGGCTTAGTGGATAACGCACTAAGAAAATCTGGCAACCAGCGCTTAACCAGACCTAAGTGCCAAAATGACTGAGCTATAACTCAAGTAAAAGCATTTTAACATTTTATGAAATATTGAAACATCACATCCACAATCAGTAGGCCTCAACACTGAAAATGGCAATTATGCAATTCGGAGACCACCATGGACATAATCCTGGCCTTTTTTTCTTTTTCTCACTGGACTGGCGTCTAGTCTTTGTAATACTGATTTTTTTTTTTCTGAATATGTTCCCTATCCAGTGATGTTTCTAAACCTCTGAATTTGAGAAGGGATAATTGAAGCAACTAAATAAATGGATTACGAAAAATTGTGCAAAATTTATTTCCAAAGTTCAAGAAAGAGCCAAAAAGCTTTCCTGGAATGGTCTTGGGTTTAGAATGAACTTTTAAGTTGAAAACAGAAATTTTCCCCCAAGAGAGATTGTCCTTTGAAACTGTCAAGAATAAACAAACAGCAACAATTATTCTCTGATTCTTGCTTCCTGAGAAACTAATAGTTCTTGAGATTGGTCCTGTGGGATAAAAGAAGCCTTTGCATTTTCTCTAAGTAAGATGTTTTGAATTTAACTTCACACTTAACAGTTTTTTTCTCTGTCTCATCATGTTATCAATTACATCCTGAGGCATGTTTTAGCTTCTGTTTTAATTGATTCCCATACTGTTCTGTAGAGACTATCACTAGTCATCAATTCCTTCATAGTTTAATTTAAGTTTTTCTTTTTTTTTTGGCAAGGGGGAGATAGAAGGACAGGGTAGCAATTTAACATGTTTCATTATGAGTCCCTGCTTTAATATTACTTTATATCAAGCTGATCAAGAGTCGAACACATGATATTTCCAGTTGGGTGTGTATGAAAAAGCTCAGGGATAGGGCACAATTAAGAGAATTTTTTTGTTGTTGTTGTTAATGAGAAGATCCATTCATCTCCCTGTCAGCCAATTTTTTTGACCCTTAGGGATTTTATCTGTGGAGAAATTACTGTAAAGCAATGTGGCAAATTGCTTTAGAATAATCCTGCCAGAGTCAGAGACTTCCTGGTTTTCCACCCCCTTCCCTCCTACCCAGCCTGGTAAAACTTTGTCTCCTGTGACTTCAGGGGAATCCATTCTCTGAAACCATTTCTTACCTCTGCAAAAAAGTGTAATCTAGAGGGAGCTTCATTGAAAGGGCAAGAAATTTGAAGTCAGATAAATTGGGTTTTCCTTGATTTTCTCATGGTTAAAATGCATGTTGAAGCTGGGCGCGGTGGCTCACACCTGTAATCCCAGCACTTTGGGAAGCCCTGGCGGGTGGATCACGAGGTCAGGAGTTCAAGACCACCCTGACCAACATGGTGAAACCCTGTCTGTACTAAAAATACAAAAATGAGCTGGGCGTGGTGGTATTCGCCTGTAGTCCCAGCTACTTGGGAGGCTGAGGCAGGAGAATCGCCTGAACCCAGGAGGTGGAGGTTCCAGTGAGCCAAAATTGCTCCACTGCACTCCAGTCTGGGTGACAGAGTGAGACTCAATCTCAAAAAAAAAAAAAAAAAGAATGTTGGGTGTTGGGGAGGAAAAAATTTTTGTCTACTTGCTTATGCTAAGTGCTTGGGGGCCTGCAAATTAAACTACAGAAGAAAAGACACGCAGGTTTTGTTAATATTTATTGGCACAGAGATCACAGAAAATATTAGGTTGGTGCAAAAATAATTGCGGTTTTGCCTTTTTTTTTTTTCTTTTTCTTTTCTTTTTTTTTTTTGAGAGGCAGTCTCACTCTGTTCCCCAGGCTGGAGTGCAATGGTGCAATCTTGGCTCACCGCAACCTCTGCCTCCTGGGTTCAAGTGATTCTCCTGCCTCAGTCTCCCAAGTAGCTGGGATTACAGGTGTGTGCCAACACATCTGGCTAATTTTTGAATTTTTAGTGGAGTTGGGGTTTCACCATGTTGGCCAAGCTAGTCTTGAACTCCTGACCTCAGGTAATTGGCCCACCTTGGCCTCCCAAAGTGCTGGGATTACAGGCAGGAGCCATTGTGCCCAGTTGGTTTTTGCCATTACTTTCAATGGCAAAAAATTGCAATTACTTTTGCACCAAGCTAAGAAGTGAAACAAAGAAATGATTAGATTTAGGAAACAGTGCTTGGGCTTCAAAGGATCATAAATTATAGGGGAAGTGACTGGGAAATATGTAGGGGATCTAATGGAAAATAAAGACTATTGTAGAAGATAAGTTTTTTTTTTTTTTGAGGCAGAGTCTCATTCTGTCTTTGAGCCTGGAGTGCAGTGGCGTGATCTCGGCTCACTGCAAGCTCCGCCTCCTGGGTTCACACTATTCTCCTGCCTCAGCCTCCTGAGTAGCTGGGACTACAGGCGCCCGCCACCACACCCAGCTATTTTTTTTTTGTTTGTATTTTTGGTAGAGACAAAGTTTCACCATGTTAGCCAGGATGGTCTCAATCTACTGATCTCGTGATCCGCCCCCCTCGGCCTCCCAAAGTGCTGAGATTACAGGCGTGAGCCACCGCATCCAGCCAGAAGATGAGTTCTTTAGACTCTTCAGCTGTCATGACATTTCTGCATTTTGCCATTTGACTCAAACACTATTAGTGGTTCCTCTTGGTCTAAGAGACAAAACCAACTTGCTAATTGGCATTTAAGAATCCTTTAACAAGGACTGATCAGGCTTCTCTAACCAGTTTATAAAAATGCCTAGTGGAACCTGGCCTTTGCATCTCATAATTTTCCTGCAATCTAAGTTCCAGTCTGTCTTCAATGCTGAAGTCAAGGTTTGCTGACCATACTCTCTGATTGGCCTAGAGCAGGCACTTTTTATACCTGTTGTCTCAGCATACTTATTAACAGTATCCTGTTTCTCATTCAAAAGTATCCAGGCTTAGAAGATAAATGATATGTCATCCTACTTATGAATCTTTCCTGTCCATCCCAAACTGCAATGGCTATTTCCTTCTTCTGAAATCCTTAGAGATGTCTGTCTAAAGCACTGCTTTAGCGTGTAGCACATGCTATAATTACGATGTGCCCACCATGTGCCAGGTACCTGAATACACTATCTATATAATCTATGAAACCTATTTTTTCAGATAAGCAATAAAAGACACAAACAGCAATTTAAAATCATTTCTTGTTCATTGTCTCAGAGGCAGTGGCAGCAGG
This sequence comes from Homo sapiens, assembly GCF_000001405.40. NCBI lineage: Eukaryota > Metazoa > Chordata > Mammalia > Primates > Hominidae > Homo > Homo sapiens. The sequence continues at coordinate 34,536,511 of NC_000013.11, read as the reverse complement.
ACTTTGATTTAAACATAGAGCCATCTGTCTCCAAAACTACGCTTGTTTCACCACGTTGAGTGACAAACTTATCTCAGTTTTCCTGGGACTGTCCCAGTTCTAACACTGAAAATCTCTCATCCCAGGAACCTCCCTGTTCCCCTGCAAATGGGGAGGAAGGGTCGTTCACCCTACCGTGACATCGTCGAGGCCTCAGCTGACTTGAACACAAAATAGATATTCCTATATTGGACCCTAGTTGTGTCATAAATAAGCTCTTAGCTAGAGGGGTCTAGACCATTCCTCCATTTAATCCTCAGAGTCTAGCACAGTGACCTACTAAAATGTCACTTTGTTTTCTCCCTCACATTATTTCATGAGTGTGTTTTGCTTTTATGGTTAACTGGTAATCCTATTTGGCAAGTAAATTATGTTTTTTTCCTTTGTCTCTCATGCTGCCCAGCCCTGTGTTTGACCTGCAGGGACTCAACCAATGTGTAGTTGCTGAGTAAGCAAGCTTGAGTCGCATGTTTTTCTGAACATATGGGTTTTAATGGTAGCCTGTTAAAGCCTGCTTCAGTGTTGTAAAAAATCCTTTCACTGCACCACTCCTGATCTCTTCAAAAACATCTTTCAGCACAAATGGGGTACCATACCACCGAGGACACATATCTGTCTTTGAGTAGTGCCCCTTTCTGATACACTTCTGGTTTAAATGCCCATAATCATTCTGTTTCCCTCAGCCTCCTGGTATTTCACCCAAGAGAAATCACCCTTTAGGTTTCATTCTAACGTAAATAGATGTGAGAATGAAAAGAGAGACTGAATTACTTTAGAAGATAAATTTCAGAATTCATGAAGAGTTTGAGGCTTAAAGAGATACTTAATTAACGTTCATGTTTTTTATTTTTTTGCAAGCTGCCACATCCATAATCCCAAAGACTTCTTTGGATGGTACTTGTTTTCTATGCTAAGACTAAAGTCTGCTTTAGAACAAATGCTTTTCTTCTAAAATGATATATTCTAGCTGACACAGTTTTTTCCTTTCTCCCCAAGTCACATCCAGGGATAAGGACGATCCTCGTCTTTTGTAAAGTCTCAGGCCTAGGTGCCAGGGATCTTCTAATATACGGTTCTGGAATTACAATAGATGCCTCATTTTTTACTCTATCTGTTGCAGTCCCCTATTACATCAGTTATTCCAGGGCAGGAGGTCAAGGGGTGGCGTGGGTCAACATCTCAAGGGTTATTTGCCTGTTGGGAACTTTATTTTTCTTTTAACATTTTATTGCTGACTCCCCAAGGGTTTTGAATTTATAAAAGAAACCCACCTACACCTCATCAGAAATTACTGATTTCAGAGATTGCTGAAGAACACAGCCATATCAATAAAAGAATGTGTATTTTGTAAGCTAATCTTTAAAATATTGCCAAAAGACAGGGTGTGGTGAATCATGCCTGTAATCCCAGTGTGAGAGGCTGAGGTGGGAGGATCACTTGAGCTTAGGAGTTTGAAACCAGCCTAGGCAACATGGCAAGACCCCATCTCTACAAAAAATCTTAAAGTTAGCTGGGCGTGGTGCTGCACACACCTGTAGTCCCACCTTCTTAGCAGGCTGAGGCAGGAGGATAACTTGAGGTTGCGGTGATCTGTGATTGCACCACTGCACTCTAGCCTGGGTGATAGAGTGAGACTTTGTCTGTTAAGAAAAAAATTTCTGAAAGATGGTGAGGTCAGCAATTGTCTAACTATACAAACTCTGTATATGAGTTGAAATAGTTCTCTTGTTCCCTTCAAATGGAGGTGGACAAAACTATTAACTTTCTCTTGTCCTTATGTCCCGTCACCTACCTTTCTATAATTTTTATTAGGCGCTTTAATGTGTGGGCTGAAATCAATAGAGGACAAGCTATTAAAAATTATTGGTTGGCTGTGGCTCCTCACTAAATATTAAAGCAGCCTGGCAAATTAGCACATACCTCTAGGCACTAGGCCTGAGAGAAATAATGGTCTAGGCAAATAGACACTATAATACAAGTAGAAAATTCTGCCAGTGTGTTGCTCTGGGTTTCTTTTGACTGCTGCTGTTCACTGTTAATATTATTCTGTTTTTTTTCTTTTAATAGTGTGAGGAGATGTGGTGGGGACCATTAACTGTTGGAAGGATTCCTTTTAAGGATGCATTATATCAAGAGCTAGATATCAGAGCCACTTGGGAGAAATAAGAAACAGGTGTAGAAACAGGTGAGTAGAATGTTGCTTATTATGCCTCTGGATTAAGTGCCTGGGAGGAGTGGGCAATTTTTCAGGGTGCTGTGTGCCTTTTATTCTTGGAGGATTGGTAGACAACATGTTCATGCAAATGATATGAAGAAGATTGGCACCTGGAAAATCAAGGAAGAGGTGGGGCCGTGTAGGCAGAGACTTAATTTTCTCAAGTGAATGAAGAAAAAAGCACATGGTGAGGCTGATTCTGTGGGGATGTATTTGAGCTAGAAGATTCAGGAGGGAAAATTAGTTCTAAGACAAAGATGGAGACATCAATAAGATTGGGAAATACTCAGACGTCAGAAGAATTTGGGTTTGAATCAGAATTCCTTTACATACTTTCTAAGTTTCAAGTTAAGCAGCAATTCAGTGTTTCAAACCTTACGATTGATAAACAAAAAATAAAATGAAATTCACCGATTTATTCATTATGCTTTTCTGATTATGAAAACTTAAGAATGAAATAGCATATTTTGGGTTCCCCATGTGTACAAGGAGGAATTTATAGTTTGTCATTCTGTCTGCACTCCAGCAACTCCCAAATCTTAGCTAACGTAATCTGGGGTGTGGAAGCAAAGAATACATTTTGTACCATGTATCATATTCAAGAAGAATTTTTCATGTTTACATTTTTATAACCTGTAACCATTTTTATAAAAACTATTGAGATTAACACGGTTTAACTCATTCACTGTTTACCTGCTATTTCCCACTTGGAGGTTCTAAACTTTGTTCACTTTTAGGTCAAATGAATTATGTTAAGTTTTTCTTATGAAGTTACGTGACAGAGACTGTCTTTATTTACTTTTGTGCATGAACAACAATTTGGCAGAGCAAATTGGTTCATGGCATTTTCCTCTTGGCGGTTTCATACGCGTTGTCTGTTATCTGACATTACATATGGCAGATGAGTACCCTCAGATCAACCTAACTTTTTCCTGTTTGCATATTGGGTTCTGTTTTTATCTCTGAAGCAAAACTTTCCTATAGAGTACAGATATTCTTCTCTTATAGTATAAGCGACGAACATTGGGTACCAAAAAGTCCCAGAAAAGCATACAAACTCCATCATGAAAAGGAAGGATGATGAAGACGGATGGTCACACACACAATCAGATAGAAGGAAGTCTAGCATTAAGTTACACAATGATGGACTCACCAAGTAACCCAAAAAGAAAGCTGAGCACCCAGCCCAGGTTAGCCCCCCTGTTTCCTGATAGATAAATCTGCTGGATGATTCTGTTGATTATAGTGAGAAGATAATGATACACAGTGAAAAATAATGATGCACCATAAAGTAATTATAAAACAGAGGTCAGACATCCTGTAACAAGATGATATGGGCATTTTAGTATAAAGTGGTAGTGCTAGGAATACAGTTTAAGGTGGAAAGGGGGTAGGAGGAAGGAGGAAGTGTATTTCTTTAGTCACATTAGCCAGATTCTCTACCTTGACATTGTATCTCCCAGATCTATTTAGAGATAAGAGATTTGGGCTGGAAGTCGTTCTTTTTCTTTTCTTTTTTTTTTTTAATGGAATCTGATATTTTTGCACTGAGGACATATAACAGTCTCCAAAATTGGATTTTCTTTTCTTAATAAATTATTCCCAGAAATGTATAATTTCACTGAATCTTCTTATTGCTATATTAATCAGACTAGACAATTGTAACACATTATAATTATTGTTACTGCAGTAACAACTCCCCAATCTTAGTGGCTTATAACAAACAAGGTTTGCTTCTTCTGCCTATCACAGCCAAATAGGATCCCTGCATCTTTTCTCCTCCCCTGTAACTTATGTAGGAAGAGCAATTCCCATCCCTGTACCAGTGGCAGAGGCAAAGAGAGGCCCTGGCAAACCATACACTACTTTTTAGAGCCTTCACTTAAAAGTGACCTGTCCCACTCATCCCATTTCATTGTTCTAAGTGTGTCAAATGCCCAAAGCTAATTTCAAGGGAGCAGTGTTGTGTGATCCTATTAAGGTGTCTGAAGGGGGCAGAAACAGAAATATCAGTGAACGAAGCAAATGACCACCATTGTGTGTTGTTTCTTGTTCTTCAAAATATTTTTCAGGCTTTCTATGACATTTTTTGTTTTGAGATAGAGTCTCACTCTGTTGCCCAGGCTGAAGTGCAGTAATACGATCTCGGCTCACTGCAACCTCTGCCTCCTGGGTTCAACTGATTCTCCTGCCTCAGACTCCCGAGTAGCTCGGATTACAGGCTCACACACCATGCCTGGCTAATTTTTCATACTTTTAGTAGAGACAGTGTTTCACCATGTTGGCCAGGCTAGTCTTGAACTCCTGGCCTCGAGTGATCCACCTGCCTCGGCCTCCCAAAGTGCTGGGTGCTGGGATTACAAGTGTGAGCCACTGTGCCCAGCCTCTATGTCATTTTTTCAAAAACAATTTTTTTCTCCCCTAAATGTAGAAAGGCTCCAACCAGGCCTAAGTGCTAACAATGTCAAGTTATCCTATTATATTCTCTTATAACACTATTGATCCATATCACAAAAATGTTATTAAGCACTGATTCTAGGCACTGAAAAAAAAGCATTAAAATGAGTTTAGCAAGGATAAATGTAAAACACTGCATACATTGTACAAATATAGAAGGGGTTATAGTTTTATGGTTGTTTTGATGATGAGCTCATTGGGAGCTAATAAAGTATCAGAGCTGCTAAAGAAAAAAAAAAGCAAATACAATGTCAGGTTGTATTAAGAGCAGCATTGTCCAGGTCAAGTGTATAGTGGCACTACTGCAGAGCCCAGAGATCTGACCACTTCTGGAATATCATGGATTTTTATAGGATATCAAAATCCATACGGGGATAGAATATCCAGTGGAACACAAGGGGATGATAGTGGGACCATAAACCATATGGTGGGGGAAGTCTTGTGAAGATGGGAGATGCTCAGCCTGATAGTTGAGGCACAAAATGCATGTAGTGCTACTCTTGAGAACAGAAGCAACTCCAATGAATGAAGTTTCCAGGAAGATACATTTCCACTCTGGTGGAAAAAGCAAAAGTTTCGTGATCAAAATAAATTCGACCCAGCAATCCCATTACTGGGTATATACCCAAAGGAATTTAAATTTTTCTATTATAAAGACACATGCATACATATGTTCATTGCAGCACTATTCACAATAGCAAAGACATGGAATCAATCCAAATGTCCATCAGTGATAGAGTGGATAAAGAAAATGTCATACATATAAACCATGGAATATTATACTGCCATTAAAAAGAACAAGATCATCATTTCCTTTGCAGGGACATGGATGGAGCTGGAGGCTGTTATCCTTAGCAAACTAACACAGGAACAGAAAACCAAATACCACATGTTCTCACTTACACGTGGGAGCTAAATGATGAGAATACATGAACACATAGAGGGTAACAACATACACTGGGTCCTATTGAAAGTGGAGGGTGGGAGGAGGGAGAGAATTATGTATTAGTTCATTTTCATGCTGCTGATAAAGACATACCCAAGACTGGGAAGAAAAAGAGGTTTCATTGGACTTACAGTTCCACATGGCTGGGGAGGCCTCAGAATTATGGTGGGAGGTGAAAGGCACTTCTTACATGGTGGTGGCAAGAGAAAATGAGGAAGAAGCAAAAGTGGAAATCCCTGATAAACCCATCAGATCTCATGAGACTTATTCACTATCTTGAGAATAGCACAGGAAAGACCAGCTCCCGTGATTCAGTTACCTCCCCCTGGGTCCCTCCCACAACACATGGGAATTCTGGGAGATAAAGTTCAAGTTGAGATTTGGGTGGGGACACAGCCAAACTATATGCTTCCACCCCTAGCCCCTCCGAATCTCATGTCCTCACATTTCAAAACCTTCCTAACAGTCCCCCAAAGTCTTACCTCATTTCAGCATTAACCCAAAAGTTCACAGTCCAAAGTCTCGTCTGAGACAAGGCAAGTCCTTTTCACTTATGAGCCTGTAAAATCAAAAGCAAGCTACTTACTTCCTAGATATAATGGGGGTACAGGTACTGGGTAAATACAGCCATTCCAAATGGGAGAAATTGGCCAAAACAAATGGGTTATAGGGCCCAAGCAAGTCCAAAATCCAGTGGGGCAGTCAAATTTTAAAGCTCCCAAAACTATCTTCTTTGACTCCATGTCACATTAATACAAGACGTGGGTTCCCATGGTCTTGGGCTGTTCTGCCCCTGTGGCTTTGCAGAGTACAGCCTCCCTCCTGGCTGCTTTTACAGGCTGCTGTTGAGTGTCTGTGGCTTTTTCAGGCACACAGTGCAAGCTGTCAGAGGATCTACCATTCTGGGGTCTGGAGAACAGTGGCCCTCTTCTCACAGCTCCACTAAGCAGTGCCCCAGTAGGGACTTTGTGTGGGATCTCCGACCCCACATTTCCCTTCCGCACTGCCCTAGCGGAGATTCTCCGTGAGGGCCCTGCACCTACAGCAAACTTTTGCCTGGGCATCCAGGCATTTCCATACATCTTCTGCATTTAGGTGGAAGTTCCCAAACCTCAATTCTTGACTTCTGTGCACCCATAGGCTCAACAACACGTGGAAGCTGCCAAAGCTTGGGGCTTCTACCCTCTGAAGCCACAGCCCGAGCTGTATGTTGGCCCCTTTCAGCCATGGCTGAAGTGGTTGGGACACAGGGCATCAAGTCCTTAGGCTGCACACAGCAGAGGGACCCTGGGCCTGGGCCACGAAACCACTTTTTCCTCCTGGGCCTCCAGGCTTGTGATAGGAGGGACTGCTGTGAAGGTCTCTGACATGGCCTGGAGACATTTTCCCCAAGGTCTTGGGGATTCACATTAGGCTCCTTGCTACTTATGCAAATTTCTGCAGCTGGCTTGAATTTCTCCCCAGAAAAATGGGTTTTTCTTTTCTGTCGCATAGTCAGGCTGCAAATTTTCCAAACTTTTATGCTCTGCTTCCCTTATGAAACTGAATGCCTTTAACAGAACCCAAGTCACCTCTTGAATGCTTTGCTGCTTAGAAACTTCTTCCACCAGATACCCTAAATCATTTTTCTCAAGTTCAAAATTCCACAAATCCCCGGGGCAGGGGCAAAATGCTGCCAGTCTCTTTGCTAAAACATAACAAGGAATCACATTTACTCCAGTTCCCAACAAGTTCGTCATCTCCATCTGAGACCACCTCAGCCTAGACATTATTGTCCATATCACTCTCAGCATTTTGGGCAAAGCCATTCAACAAGTCTCTAGGAAGTTCCAAACTTTCCCACATTTTCCTGTCTTCTTCTGAGCCCTCCACACCATTCCAGCCTGTGCCTGTTACCCAGTTCCAAAGTCACTTCCACATTTTCAGATATCTTTTCAGCAACACCCCACTCTACTGGTACCCGTTTACTGTATTAGTTTGTTTTTACGCTGCTGATAAAGATATACTTGAGACTGGGAAGTAAAAGAGGTTTAATTAGACTTACAGTTCCACATGGCTGGGGAGGCCTTAGAATCATGGCAGGAGGTGAAAAGTACTTCTTACATGGTGGCAGCAAGAAGAAATGAGGAAGAAGCAAAAGTGGAAACCATTGATAAACCCATCACATCTCGTGAGACTTATACACTATCACGAGAATAGCAGGGGAAAGACCAGCCCCCATGATTCAATTACCTCCCCCGGGTCCTTCCCACAACATGTCGGAATTGTGGGAGATACAATTCAAGTTGAGATTTGTTGGGGATGCAGTCAACCATACCAAATAACTAATGGATACTAGGCATAATACCTGGGTAATGAAATAATCTATACAACAAACCAACATGGCAGACATTTACCTATGTATCAAACCTGCGTATCTTGAACATGTACCCCTGAACTTAAAATAAAAGTTAAAAATAAATAAATAGTGGCTACAAATTCAAGTGAGCAATTGCCCAGCAGTGTGTGATCTTGGAAAAGTTATTTAACCTCTTAGAACCTCAGTTTTCTTATCTGTAATATAGGGGCAATGAGATCTATCTTATGTGGTATTCTATACTATTATATCCATTTCACTGATGAACTATTTGGAGCTGCTCTGCCAATATGATAGCTGTTGAGCACTTGAAATATAACTGATCCAGATTGAATTGTGCAGTAGGTATGAAACACACATTGGATTCTGAAGACTTCCTATGAAAAGAAAATTGTAAAATATTTCCATAATCAAAAAAATGACATTTTTGATACTTTGCATTACATGAAATATGTTATTAAAATGAATTTTACCTGATTCTTTTTACTTGTAAAAATGTGGTTACTAGAACATTTTAAATTATGTGTGCAGCTTGCATTGTATTTCCACTGGACAGTGTTGATATAATTTTTCATTATCCATATCTTTCTAGAAGCCTCAAAAATTAGGTTTCATATTTGTGCATGTGTTTTAGCCTAAAAGTTAGTTACTAAGAGGGAGTCATTAAAGGATGACTCTTTCCTAGCCCCAAGTAAATATTGGGGTTGACTTCCAAGGAAAATATAGCCCATTTGTGTTGAATTAAAGGAAGGGCAAGCTCCGGAAAACAGGAGCCTGTTCTGCACAAGTGGAAAAAGGGTATATGCAGAAAACCAGAGCAGGGAGGGGTAAAGGGCAAGTGTGTTGAAAGGGTGCTTTTATCCCTCAGCATGTTAGAGGAGTATATTCCTCAACCTTGTGAATGTGCCAGCCAGCCCTGGTCCTGGTGGGTAAAGACAAGTTCCACCTCTCTGACTTCATCCTTTTTGGTCTCTACTTGGTAAAGTGTCTATATTTCTTATAATTCTTACGATGAAACTATTGATAATGCAAATCTTCCAGAAGCTTTTGGAGGAGCTGTGGAACTGAGAAAAAGCAAATGAATTGTCTGTGAGTGAAAGGAAATAAAGTGAAATAAATAAGAGCCTAAGTTGAGAATGCTGAAAAAGGTCCATAACCATATATATGTAATTGTTTTCCATGATGAACTCAAGAATTACTCCCAGGTTTGTATACAAATATGTAGTGGTACATTTCCTACAAATACATATGAAAGTTATTCTCTTTTCGTTAGAAGTCCAAACATCTTGCTAGTTGATCTCTTTGCATCTGGTCTCTCTCTTCCCATCCAGCCTGTACACCACTCCCATATTAAACTTTCTAAAATTTCATGTTTATGCCTTCACTCTCTTGCTCAGTATTCCATTTCTTCCCTTTGCCTAGACTAGAAGAATTCCAAACATTTCAGTCTGATAACAAATAACCTTTCATAACTGAACCTTTTTAACCATCAGCCTTGATATTTCCCCATCAAGCCGACCTTTCTAGTGACCTGTTTTCCTTCCCTCACTACTCCTTCCCACAGGACTCTTGGCTTCTGTCTTTATTCTTCACCACCTGTCTCCATTCCTATCTGTTGCATCTCCACAAATGCATCTCCATCCCATGAAATCTCTGTCCACTGCAGCCCACGAACAGCAGCTCACATGGATAGCCATGTCTTCCCCAAGCTGTATGCAAGTGCGGGTCACAAGATACAAGTCATAAAGCAATTGAACAAAAATGGTCCGCAGCTTCTGCCAGCTGAAAGGTATCTTTCCCAGGAAGTGTCTAGATGACCATGTTTTGTGCAAAGGAAGAAGCTGATTTTATTGCAAATTCAAACAGAAAGGGAGTCTTCCACTGTCAGTGAGTATAAAATGCACTCCCCTCCCTCAGGAGTCTGGGAGGAAAGCATGGATTCAGTTAGATGCCAAAAGCACGAAATGCAGGCTGGAGCACTCAGGTTACAAAGAAAGGAGCTATGGTGTTAAATATTTTCATGAACAAGAAATCAGGCAGTCGACGTTTCTGAAACACACTCAAGAGGGCTAAAATCTTATACAGATATGTGTACGTATATTTTAATAATCCTATATTTTGCCAAGTCAAAGGCAAAAAAGCACCTTTGATTACTAAGAATCCTAAATGGAGAAATAGACAAACCAAGGTAGAACTTACAGAAGATGAACAGGACAGAACATAGAATAAAAGATCCAGATGGGGGCCCTGACATTTTCCTATGGCTGCACCGAAACAAGATTATCCAAGGAAAATTCCTGACTAAGAAGAAACTGGAAATTGGTATCAGAATCTCTGGTAAATCATTTTAGTTTTTTTGCTATTTAAATAGAGGGAAAGTTGTACCTAATTCTAGTAAATGTGTGTTCAATCTCCTATCTTTGATATTAAGGGTCAGCAAACTATAGCCTGTTTGCCCACAGCCCTAACTTCTGCCTTTGTAATTAAAGTTTTATTGGGACTCAGTCACATCCATTTATTTGCATGGTGCCTTTCACATTACAACCACAAATGTATTAGTTGCAACAGAAACCGTATGGCTCATAAGACCTAAAAAGTATTCACTATCTGGACCTTTATAGAAAAAGTGGGCAGATGGCTGTTTGACCTAAAGAACCCCTCCTGTCATTGGTTTTCATTAGCAATTATCAAAGTGGGTTCCATGTAATGATGTTACAAGGTGTTACTCGGTGAGAATAGTCTAGGCTTATGCTGCAGTAACAAACAACCTCAGAATTTCAGGGGCTTAACACACAGAGCTTACTTTTCACTCATGCAAAGTTTGCTGCAGTCTCCAAGTTGCTTGTCCTCTATGGGGTGACTCAGTGATCCAGGCTGCTTTGTTCCTGTGGCTGGAATGTGTCAATGTTCTACCCTCACAGCTTCCACTGTCTCTGAGGAAGGGGAGGTATGGCCCATAGACAACTCACACCTGCTCTCATGTCACTTCTGCTCACAGCTGCATTGGGCAGAACCAGTCATGGGGCCCTGCCTGCTGCAAGATGCATGGAAACTGTGCTCTTCCTGTGAGCCTAGGAAGAGAACTGGAGATTGGTGATCACGAATAACGTTTATCACAATGATAACAAAAGGAGGAATGTGGTCAAATAAGTTTGAAAAACACTGGGTTGACCAAAGTTCTACAAGTCTCCTCATGTTATAAATTCTCAGTGGCTTTGCTGTGCTCACATTGTTATGAATGACCAAAATACAGATACTATAGGCCATCTGTCTTTCCTGTACTGTATAAATCTTTCTCACACAGGAATTACAACTTTGCAGAGCACACTTGGGAGATGCTCTTCTCTCTCTCTATGAGGACCAGATGCTCCCTGCCTAGTATCAAGGATTTGGGTACCTTAGTGTGGGCAAAACAAATAGGAATTTCTTTCTAAAGAGGTTTCTGTCTGAGTGCACCTTAGGTTAAATAAGTTCTGCATAATGCCCAAAACCAGGGTACTGCTTATGCACAGCTGGACAGAAAACAGATGAGTTCTGCACTTCAAAATAAAGTACAAGAAAATTGTCTTAAAAACCCCTAGCCTATCCTTTTTGTACCCTTCGTGACCTCATGGTATCTCTTTCAGTTCAGCTGTCCCAAGCTGTGCTTTATTCTTTCCTTCTCTAGCAAAGCCTGCAATAATTGGACTTCAATTCATTCCCATCGCTTTGTTATTTTGACCACGTGCAGCTTCCAAACAAGGAGTTTCAGGTACACAGAAGAGTTTGTAGGAGTTGGGTGAGGAGGGGTGTGCAGAGAAGTGATGGCAGAAAAGGAAAAGGACCATATATTTTCCTTGAAATGTAAGCCACCCAAAGGCCTGCCTTGGAGGTTGCTATGACTGAAGCATGTCTTTCAAACTTCAGACATTGAAGCCCTAGCCCTCGAAGTAACTGTATTTGGAGATAGGGCCATTAGGGGGTAATGAAAGTTAAATAATAGAGGCTTTATAGGAAGAGGAAGAGAGACAGAAGTTGCTCTCTTTCTCTCTTTTTGCATGTCCTCAGAGGAGAGCTATATGTGAACTGCAGCAAGAAGGTGGCTCTCGGCAAGCCAGGGAGAGACCCCTCATTGGAACTTAAACCCTGCAGGACCTTGATCTTGAACTTTCCAACCTCCAGAACTGTGAGAAAGAAATTTCTGTTGTTTAAGCCACCCAGTCTGTGCAATTTGGTTATAGTAGCCTGAGCAGACTAATGCAGAGGTAAAAACCTGTTCTCCCCTCTCCAAAATCAGGGAATTTGGTTCTGTGGTATTGTTGGAGGTGACGTGCTTCAGCTGCTGAAGACTAAATTATTTGGGATCCAGTGACCCTGGCCTTGAAGTTCAGCTGCAGGATGGAGCTGACATCACCCAAGCTCAAGTCCATTCTGCTTCTGCTTCCTCAACACAGTGAGGTGGCCACTGTTCCTACCACTTTGACAGCAGGGAAAAGAGGCAGAGAGGATCTGGGGCTGGGGCTGGAGCTACAGCTGGAGGGAATTCACAAGCAAGCTGCATTTTAAGGTTGTGGTGAAGAAAGAAGAAGCCAGAAGAAGAGAGTTCCTTAATGCTGGAGAATACCATCCAAACCTTGTTATAAAGCACATGAGTTTCTGGGGTGCCTGCATGATTGAGCTTACACTTTATCAGGGGAATTGTTGCCACCGATTATAGATGTTGAAAAACTCAATATTTAGAGGAGAAAATTGATAAAAGTTTTATTTGGTTATATAAAAATAATACTGAGAACAGTCATTTATGTGGTTACTTAACAGTCACTTATGTGGTTATTTATGGCTTTTGCTGTGCAGAAAAATGAATACCATGCAGTATTTTAAATTGGTGTCGAATTAACTGTGTAAACTGCTGTTGATTAAACTTCACAGCTAGTGACTCATGGTTCAAAATTTTAAAAATTCCAGTGAACATTAACGTGTCTCACTCCGGTGTTGTCTTATACACTTTTGCATGTGTACTGTTTATTTTGTCTTCTCAGATACACCAGAAACAAACTAAAGGTATATTTTAATAATTTTCTTCTATACATATATCCAATAAATAAAATAGTATCCATAACAAAAATTAACTTTATCATTTGCACTTTGTTTCTTTCATACATGAGATTTTTAAACCCATCTTTAAATGTCAAAATAGAACTTTGAAAAATAGAAATACTTTTTGAATTAAAGCATCAAAAGGGACTTCAGATGTTATCCAATTCAGTCCCTCCATTATGGATTGAATTGGACTTTTAAGCCAATTGGTTAATTAAGCTAAAAAATAAACAATTTAGAGATATTTTTTTCAGGTCTCCTATTTTTTTGCCAGAACGACAGATGTGCAATTCTCAAAGAGATCGTTTACCAAGAGCTTTAAATATTACCGCAGTAAATATCTTTTCTTAATGACTTAGTCTATTCTTCTGCAATAAATCACTGTATTCTGACGCTTTCAGGAAACTTTGTTTATACACTGCTGTGGCTGTTAAGTCTTGCCTTCAATAGTGTTAGTTTTGTGATACAGTGAACAAAAATGTGAACTCCTTAAGGATAAAGGTTGCTCTTGTGCCTTCATAAAATATCTGTTGACTTCTGGGAATTCTCTAGGCTTTTAAAATAGTAATTAATTTTTTAAATTGATGAAAGTTGTGTATATTTATGGTACATAACTTGATGTTTTGATTTATATATACGTTGTAGAATGGCTTAATCAAGCTAATTAACTTATCTTCACCTCACATACTTATTATTTTTTGGTAAGAACACTTAAAATATACCCTCATAGCAATTTTTAAGTATGCAATATATTGTTGTTAACAATAGCCACCAGGATGCCTGATTGATCTCTTGAACTTATTCTTCCTGCCTAATGGAAATTTTGAATCCTTTGACCAATATCTCCCCTAGTCCCTGGGAATTTAGTCTTATAGGCCATATTGTGGCATGAGCAAGGTCACCTCAGATATTAGGGCTTCCAATTTATTGACTAGTCTCTCTTTATGACATCTTTAAGCTAAAAAGGCTAAGGAAAGTGAACTATGGAGCAATATTTATTTTATCTGAAAAATGTACACATATGATATTTTGGTAAAATGTATCTTCCTCTGATATACATATATGTTATTTTCATAAGTCTGTATTTTGTTCATATTTTAATTCCAAGTTTTAGTTCCATTTTAGATATTCTACTTTGTGTAGCCTCCATCATAACCCCTGCCCCCCGTATCTGTTGACTTTGATCATTGACATCCAAGTTCAGTGATCATCTCCTCAGCAACACCAGTTCTAAAAAAATAAAAATAATAATAATTTTAAAAAACCTCATCCATATTCCAGTCAATCTGTGGCATAATTGTGTATTTTCTTTGTTGAAGAAAAAAATAAGGAATTACCTTGTAACACTAACCCAAACTCACTATTAACACAGTATATCCATGTAATAAACCTGCACATGTATCCTCTGAATCTGAAATGAAAATAAAAATAAATAAAAATAAAAGAATAATCTGAGCTCTTAAAAAATTACCTCATTAATATCTTTTTTCTTTGTTCATTTTCTACATCCGTTTCCCACTCCTCTACCACCCGTCCCCAACAAGCCCACATGCTAGCATGTGAAGCTCCGTGGGAGACAGGTCCTTGTCTTTCTGGTTTCAAAGCTGAAGCTCAGAATCTGGAATAGTGCCTGTCACATTGTAAGCCATCAAAAAGTGTATGTTAAGTGAAGGGAGGATAAAATCACGCTCCTCAAATGTCAATGAATCTGAAGGGATGTGTTTGAGTTTATGGCGCAGGATGGGTTATCATAAATGATAAACCAACCCAAGACTAAGGCAAGCCTCCACTAAAATCCTATTAAAATAAATGAAGGCCTGAGGGCTTCCGTGGAATGGCAGCTGCTCTCATTTCAGAATGGGCCTAGTTTCTCATTCAGCCAAAAGTCCTGTACACAATCTCTCCCCCATAGCTCATTTTTTTCCGTAATCCTTTTTGACGGAGGTCCTTGCTTCGGTCCAGTACAGTGACATTTCTTTCATGTTTGGGCTGACTGCCAAGGGCCCAGATAAAGCAGAAACTTGAGTGGAATATTCTGTTCTGGAGTAGCTATTACCTTCCAGCTGCTCACGGTTGTGTTACCTTCTGGGAGAATGACAGTCTGTTCCTATCTTGGAAGTGGAGAGGCTTTTCCACATTCCAACAGCATGTCTCCAATGGAGCAGGGAACAGATCCTTAAGCATCTTGGGAAGGAACAGGTCTTCCTGGAATCCTGGATACTTTAAAGTTTCCCAGACCGTGCCATTCATCCTTTAGCTACTCAGTGGCAAAGTTATCTTACTCGTGCTTGAATTTTTTTTCCTGGCCGGGAAGTGACTTCCAGGACTCTCTGAGAAATAATAATAGGGAATTTTCTTCCACCTTTCACTTAGGCATCTCAGTAAAGCAATGGTCAGGGGCAACTAATTCCTGACTTCAGCAAAGCTGAAATAAAGGGTATTTGAAGTCACTCTGTTGGAAAATAACATTAGGGCTCTAGGGAGAGTACATGAGAATTATGAATAGTGCAACCCTCTGACTGGGAGTTTTGCCGGTGGCCAAGTCAATTTAAGGTAGGTTCTCTCTGGGGCCCATCTTCCAGGCACCCCGGCATGGGGGCTAGAGGAGGCCAGAGAGTGGAGGTAGCATGGGGAAGAGGAGGAGAGGAGAGGACCATATGGGGCATACGGATGTGGTTTCTGTTGCCTGAAGAGTATCTTCAATGTTGTGTTCTTTAATTTGATAATTCAGCCTCTTTTCATCTTTATGATATTTTAGAACCAAATATTTGAAAAGCAATATGCTACCAGCATTAAAGGTTCTATTTTGTAGAAACAAAACCAACCACTCTTTCTCAACCTGTTTTTTTGTTTTTTCTTTTTAGGAGTGGTCATTTTATGATTTCAGATTTCTTTATGTTCTGTTTCATACATTTACATTTTGGTCAAGCTTTCTGACATTCTCAAACTACTATTCTGGAGGGGATAAAAAGCTAATTTGAGTTTTCTGCTATTCAAGGCATTTTTTTCCTCTCACAAAATTACCTTGTGTCTCCTGTTCTCACAAAATGCTAGCAATCCAGATATTGTTGAGAATATTTTAGAGAATTGACCTTTCTAGATTGTTAAACTCTTTCAGCTCCTGGAAAAAATAGATTACTTTAGAGGAGGGCTAAAGGGCTGATGGAAGTCTTACACCTACTACAATTCCCACTGCTAATGATTTTTATAGATGCCTCTCTCTGGCTTCATTGTTGGAATGAATAACGAAGGGGGAGAAGAATAGACTCACTTGGTTATTTGTCCTCATGCATATTGATTCATAAAACTAAAGACCTCAAGGGAACATTGTGAGCTAAAACCCTTCATCCCTCTGTCTCCAGGGAAGAATTTATTTGGATACCTCAAGACAGAAAGTCAACTGCACTTAACAGCCACTATAAGAAACTCTGTCACTTTCTTTAGTAATGTGCCTCAGTGTCTTATCAATTCTTGCAGACAAGTGATTATTCATAAACTCTAACTTAAATAATTCCAAAACTCTGAAAAATTGTGATTGTCTGTTTTATTTACTCATGTATCCTCAATTCCTTGAGAGAATGATTGGCATCTAGTGGGCACTAAGTGCCTTTTTGAATGAATGAATAAATAACTGAATGAATAAATAGAAATTAAGTTATACAACAGAGAAGGTGGCATAATCATTCAAGTTACCAAGCATTATTGAGAATCATTCGACGCGTACTGCTGTTTCAGTACTGTATGGAATTCGCAGATGTAAAAGGGAAGAGTTTGTTAGCCCTGGATTTTGATTGTTTCTCACAATCTATACACAAGTAACCACAATCCAAAGTAGATTATAAAAGGTATAATCTAAATTATAATGAGAGAGTGTGAAATGAATACATGTATTTGTGTTAGGATGAATAAAGATGGCATAGAAATAAGATGATGACAGGTTTTAAATTACTGTGGAACTTGGAGGTTGAAGACCTTTCCGGGTAGAGGTGACACTCGCAGTAAAGGAGGGGCAGGAAAATGCAGGGTTGGATCCACAGCGATGTAATCTGGTGTGGCCTGATGGCCGTTCATGACTGTGTATGTATGTGATGGTGTTGGTGATGTGATGTATGTGATGGAGCAAGTGGGAAAAAGCAGGAAAAGTTTGCCGGGTCCTCTAAAGACAGCCACTAGTGAGTTCAGAGTAAGGAAAAATTTATTCATGTCATGCAATACCATATTGCAGGTACCATTAAGTCTAGATATTTTCTCTATTTTGTTTACAATTATATCTGTGGCTGGAACGATGCCTGAAACATAGTTCATACTGGATAAATATTTGAGTGAATATGAAATACTAGTACTCTGAGGATGGCAAACACAGGTCATGCCTTGTGAAACTGTTCAACTCCTATTTTGTTTATATTTTCCCTGCCAAAGAATCCACATTCAAACTAGAAAAAAATTGAACTGTTATCAATAAAGGGTATTTGGCTGGGTGCAGTGGCTCATGCCTGTAATCCTAACACTTTGGGAGGCCAAGGCCAGCCTGTGCAACATGGCAAGACCCCTTCTCTACAAAAAATACAAAATTTAGCCAAGCATGGTGGTGTACACCTGGAGTCCCAACTACTCTGAAGGCTGAGCTGTGATTGCGTCACTGCCCTCCAGCCTGAGAGATAGAGTGAGACCCCATCTTAAAAATAAGTAAATAAAGAAATAAAGGATATTTAAGGCTAAGGCAGTAAAATAACATCTATATTCTTGGAATAATTTCAATATTTTGGGCTACTGAGATATAATATATTTGGATACTGAAATAATTTCAGATATAATTTTATAGCTACTATGAATATTTTTTTGAGAACTCATGGGAAATAGCAAAGGTGACAGGAAAATGTATTGGATAACATTGGTCCAATTCTTGAAAAGCAAATTCTACCAAGCAATATACTAGATGTTGGTTGCTGGCTAGATCCTCTATAATTCTAGATTGTTAGTAATTGGATTATTTATAAGCATTTGTTGGGGGGTGTTAGTTTTAGTTAGGTTGTACCACTCCTAGCTGGAAGGTGGCTGGGGAAAGTCGCCATGGATAAGAGATGGGTCATAGATGTAAGTGTGTTCCAGCTATGCATTTTAAGAACAGCATAGCAGCAGTAAAATCAGCACGGTGTGTAGTCATTGGAATGAGGTGAGCCTTCCTGACCAATAGTAATAGATCAATCACTAAGACAGTGGTCAGGTTGTAAATGAGCTAAGTTCTGCAAGCATAGATGATGACTATAAAAATAAAGGATAATGTGTAGTTGAAAGTTACCTTGGAATCGTAGACTGGCAGATGGATATATACATAGTAGCAAGTAACAGAAGCTCTAGTCAGATCAATTTAAATGAGTTCCTAATATAGCTTCTAATATGTAACCCAGGCCACAAAACTCTCCATTGTAGAGAGTTACTGTGAATTTCACACTAGTTAATGCTTGGAAAGCTCTGAGAGCAATATCTGATACAAAGTAGAGGTTTAATATTTTCTATTATTAGTATGATAAAATTAAACATCTTCAAGTAAAATATAAACATTCAGTTGTAATTAGAAAACAACAATCATCTTGCATTTTATGAATTAAAAAGTGAGAATGAGCAACAGTGCAAATATTTGTTGATTTCTATAATTCATTCATACATTCAGGCAACAAACATTTAGTGAATACTTTCTATCTGCTAGCACTACCCTAGATGCTAGAGATGGAAAGATAATTATGTCACTGTATTCTTTAAGAGCTCTTTATTCTTAAAGAGCTTAATCTAGGGTAGGATCTGATAATTATAGCATCTATAACACCTTAAAATGTATTACATATGTCTGATTCATAACTATCTCTGTTAGATCATAAGTTTCTTGAGGGACAAACTGCTTCATTTCCATTTTTACATCTGTAATACCTAGAACACAGTGTGTTTCCTAATATATGTTCCATATATGAATGCTGACATTTGATCCCCTCAAAATGGACTCCTTGAAATGCAAAATGTGACACAGCAAACTTGTTTTTTTAATGTATAGCTGAGCTTGCAAGAGAGAAAGAAATGCTCTAGTTGCCAAGATCAAAGATGGACTGAAAATCATAGCTGTGAACTCATGAGGTGTTGCTGCAGCTACTCCGGCTGATGGTTCTGGTCCCAACAACAAAGGACTTGAGCTTTAATGCCATGAGACCCAGGAGTGAACTACTAAAGGATGAACTTCGTAAAAAAGAAAACTGAATCCAAGGAAATGATTCCTGGACAAGAAACAATTGTGAGCCAAGAAATTGGCAAAGTTAGGTAAACATAAATAAGCATTGACTATGGTACAAGAAAGTGAAGTGAATTAAAATATGGACACAAATAATGTGTAAGATGGTAGGAAAAAGTGTGTTCTGGAGAGAGAGGGAGATAATCATCAAATTAAGACTTTGTTAGGTCAAGTATGCAAAGTAAAAGTTTAAAGGTAACCTTTAACAGATAGATTATATGATTTCCAAGCCAGTAAAGGGCAAAACAAAAATGATTAAGGAAAACCCAATAATTAATAGAAGGCAGAAAAAAAAGAAAAAAGAAAAAATATATGGTAAATTGCAAACACTAAATAAGATGATAGAAATAAATCTCAATCACAATTCTTAAATAAAATGAGTACAGATGGCTTACATTTGCAATTAAAAGTAGAGATTTTCAGATTGCATTTCAAAAATCTAGGGTAGCTTTATTTAAAGACACACACTTATAAAAAAACAGCTCAGAGAAGTTGAAAACAAGTGGGAAAAGATTATTAAATTAAAAGGAAGTTGATAAATCTATATTAATATCAGAAAATTCTATGTATTGACAACATTTATATAATTAGATTGGTGCAAAAGTAATTGTGATTTATGTCATTACCTTCAGTGGCAAAAACAGCAATGACTTTTGCACTAACCTAATATAGTTATATAATAAACACATATAAAACGTTATAAGGTAAATTTTATTGCAAGCCTATGCAAGTTACACCTGGAATATAAATAAATATTCACTATAGAGGAATTACCATTTTTCAGAGCAAATATCATGAACTTTATTGGATTTAGAGTCCGAGTACGAATTTTAGTCGATTATACTAATACTTACAACAATAGTAAACAGACAATAATAATAATTTATATCATCTTCCAGCAACTCTATAAGTACATTTTATAATTTAAACTTCATCTTCTGAGTCACTCTTACTACTCCTATTTGAAAAATGAAGAAATTGAAGCTGATGGAAATTAAGAGATTTGCTCAATGACATGAGCTAACGTGGGACTCAGATTTACGCCTGTCTGACTTCCCAGTAGGGCTTTTAATCGTGATGCTCCTGTGGCCTTGGTTTGTATAGAAATTTCTTGATAGATGTGAAAAGAACTTTGGGGACAGGTGAGAGCAACTCACAGTGGAAGTGAAAATCTCAAGTTCCACGCAATTTGGCTAAGTGTCCACCGACAAGCCATCCAAGCGGTGTGGAAGGACCTGGGGAAGAAGGACCTGTCCGTCTTAGAGTTCTTAGTTATGGAAATAGCCAGTGCCGGCAGTAATTTCGATTTGTTCTGAAACATCCCTGCTATTCTTAGGGCCACACCCATAATTGCCCTCTGTGTAAGGGTGAGTGGACAAGGGACCAAGTGAGTACCTGGACATAGTACTCTATGTTCCCAGGAGGAATAGATGCATTTTTCTGATTTCCCACAGAGGCTGAATGGGCTAGTGGCATTTCTGGCTGTTCCTTTTTCCCTAGAGCCCAAGCTCTAGAGAGCAACCTGAATCCTAGTCCTTCCACACGTTGACTTTTTAGGGTTCTATAAAGGCCTTTTGGAAGATTTTTTTCTCAGCAGGATGCCTAGAGAAGTCTCCTTTGGTTGCAATATCTTAAAAATGGATGTCTCCTGATTGGCATAAATTCATTCAGGCCCTTCTGGAATTTCCACTGCAAATGTCTAACATGCTTGAAATTATGGCTGCCTCAGACAGCAGTGAGTGCTGCTGCAGGCATGTTGACCATCAGTCACTGGACGGGGGAGGGAGTTTTAAAGGTCTTGTACATCTGGCCTCCTCTCCTGACCCCATTTTTCAGGCATGAATCTAATAGGAACCACACCACTAACACATGGGAGGTCTTTCGGCATTTCAATTTCTAACATTGAACTTGCCTAGTTTCGCACTGAGCCCACACCCAACACCTCTCTGTCATTCCACTTCATTTGGTATAATGCTTGTTTTACTTAAAAGTAGTTGGCTTCATAATTTATTTGACTTGGTGGGTGATATGGTTTAGCTGTGTCCCCACCCAAATCTCATCTTGAATGGTAGCTCCTATAATTCCCATGTGTTGTGGGAGGGACCTAGTGGGAGATAATTGAATCATGGGGGTGGTTTCCCTTATCCTGTTCTCATCGTAGTGAATATGTCTCACAGGAGCTGATGTTTCTATAAGGGGAAACCCCTTTCACTTGGCTCTCATTCTCTTCCCTTGTCTGCCACCATGTGAGATGTGCCTTCAGCCTTCCGCCATGACTGTGAGGCCTCCCCAGCCACATGGTACTGTGAGTCCATTAAACCTTTCTTTTGTAAATTGCCCAGTATGTCATTATCAGTAGCGTGAAAACAGACTAATACAGTTGGGGCAGGGAGGATAACTGCATTTATGAATTTAGCAAATATTTACTGGGCACTTTTTTTATGCCTGGCACTCCTCAGGGTCCTGGGGATACAATGGCAAGTCCAGCAGTCAAGTTCTCACTGAGCTTACTTTCCAGTGGATAGCTACAGAAAGCAAATACGTGCTGTATGAGCTGGTGATAAATACTATGTGGGAAAAAAAGTAGAGTAAAGCAGACAGGGAGCTGCTGGGATGAGGGATGCTATTTCATACTGGGCATTCAGGGATGCTTTTCCTGGCATTTCGCGGAGAGGGATAGATGTAGGAGATCAAGCCATGTGGAATCTGGGGAAATAGCATTTCAAGCAGAGACAAAAGAAATACCAAGGTGCTAATACAGGAGCCTGCCTGACATTTCCGAGGAAAGACAGGAAGGCTGGCGTGGCTGAAAGGTGAAGGCTGGAATAGTAGAGACTGAGGTTTAAGAGGGAGTCAAGATATGCAAGTCCTGTAAGACCATGAGGAGACCTGGTGTAACAGAGCCATTTCAGCATGTTGGTTTCCAACTTTGACCTTGTTTTCAAGGTCAATTTCTATAAACCTTAGTTTCTTCATCTTTGATTTTCATTCTTTAATGAAATTCAAAGCCACCGGCGTATTTGAGAAGTGAAGTAACAAGACCTGACTTCGTTCTAGAAGATTCCTCTGGCAATAGTTCAGCAATGTTTCTATCCACCACTGGATAGAACAGACTGTTTTTCATAGAGGAGGTTGATTAAATAAACACATTAAATAAATGGGAAGACTAATTTTCTAGGATCATTTCTATGCACCCTTATTCTGGATTTAGCAGCAACATGTGCACTGTTATTTAAAATGCCTCCAAATACTTACTATTGACATAAAACAAGTAGTAAATACCTAAACCAAAATAATGCAGTCTGATCCTTTCAATTTTTAGGCCTTCATTTCTTATTTATAACGCAAACTGTCCTGGAAGAGGGTACTATGTGTTTCAGCTGAATAAAATGCATGGTATCAAATTATGAGGGTTTATGCTCAGTTATTTTTAGAAGAAGAGACTGTTGAAATCTGGGGTGAATCATAATTGAATTAAAGACTGAAAGATGAAACTTCAACATATACCTGAAAACAAATAAAATCTTAGCTATCAGTGACCATCAGTTTTAGAAATAGTGATTGTTCATAGTCATATCCAATTTGAAATCTAAATGGAAAATGATTTCTTTTCCTATTTGCTTGTATCAGGATGAAATATCAGAATACCAAAACATTTCCTGTCCTTTTTTTTTTTACTTTTTGATAATTTTTTATTTCTGTACACTTAGGAAGTTTATTGGAATGAAAAGTGAAATATGTGTGCCCCCAAAAATTTGTTAGTAAGATTATGATGATGCTTTCATTGACCTGAAGTTGAAGGGTATTATCTTTTAGTGGCAGAAAATTTTCTTCCGCATGTTCCTATTTTCTGAAAATATTTTCTTTCAATTAATTTAGTTCCACAAATTTTGGTTGGCATATTTGAATATTTAACTATATTACGGTATAGATGCAGGTAGAAGATTAATAAAAAGGGCAATTGTAGAGATCCAGCTATCTAGTGTTCCTCTGAGAAGTAAATTTTAAAACAAGAAACATTCAATTAGATTTCAAGATTGTCAAAAAAAAACACGCTGCCAATAAGCTGTGGAAGTGCAAACAACAGAATGTTGGAGCCCAGAGGAAAGAAAGAAGGTTGCAAAACTGCTGACTGTGCTAAAAAGAGCCAAGGGGATTAAGGCAAAAAAAAGCTTTTTCATATATATTGAAAAAAGAGTTACACCAGAAAGTAGGACTGAAAATAAATAGCGAGGGAGAAATCCATGTTACCGAAAGTGGCTCAAGACTGAACTGCTTTTAAAAATCTGTGTCTGACAAGGCAAACATACTTTGGGCAATTGGGACCTAATGAAGACTTGGTTTTTTAGAAAATGATTTTGGCAGCTGATGGTGTTTCTGCATACTAATGGGCGTACTTAGAATTTTCAAACATGCCTGCTGCTACCTGTACTAAAATGTCTATAAAGTAATCTGCCATCTAAGCTATTACCTTTACCCAGGAGTGAAGCCTGATTTTGCCTTCATTGCCTTCAGCTCCCAACGACTCCCATGAAATTGAAAAATCAGGTAGAATGTGTGAAGTCTCAAAGGACTGATAAGAAAACTGGACAACCAAGGCTGTGAGTTTTAACCTTATTCTTGCCATTGGCTTCCTCATGTCACCTTAGCCTTTGCACACTTTTATTTCTAATGCATGATGATTACACTCTCCTAGCAACAATATGTGGCTCAAGAGAGTTTAGCATGTGTCATAAACATAAAGTGTTTGTGAAATATACAATTAGGAAGAGAATGGGGTCAAGTCAGTAAGAATTAAGTTATTGGGTTCGATCAACCCACAAAGGCAATGTAGATGAGTAACTAGGTGCAGTCTATGTAGACAAACTACCTCGATTTGAACCCATCTTATTGTTTTCTAGCTGTATTACCCAGGGCAAATGACATAACTGCTCTGATTCTTCATTCATAAAATTAGACTTATCTATTTTAAGGGATACATAAGACAAGACAAGTAGTGCTCCATAATGCCAGTTACAATTATGAGAGAAAAATCTTCTTAGACTCAAAAAGAAAATGAGAAATCCTAAGACTACTTTTGCGCATGTGAGAAGAAAGTGAGCTTACAAAAGTTGGGCTGTAAAACATATTTTAAGAATATAGTAACTGTAAGTGGAAGTAGAATCAATGTCATCTAAATAATGAGTGTTGCACAGCCTGCCATATGTCTACAGCCCTCAAAGGTAAAGATTAAGTACTGAACTCTGCCTTATCATTCAGAAGGATAACTGGGAAGAGTAATGAGACTGAAAAGTTGAAATCATGTTTAGTGACTATAAGATGGACTGTGAACTCATAAACTTCACAGAGATCTTGAGAAGCCGTCTAGTTGAGTCTTAATGTAATCCATATTGAAGACATTAAAGGCTGTGTGTCTGTCTTCCCCACACTCCACACTCATGAAGATAGTACTTCCACAGTGATCAATTTACTTGCTCAAGGGCACTCGTAGTTAGGGATGGAGGGGAGGCACTGGACCCAGGTCCCCAGCTCTCCATTGGTCATGCCTTATATACTCTGTGGTTGGGGAATCCCTTAAGAGATGCAAAAAATAGGAGTCCTTGCCACTGAGAACAGAAGCCTTTGGTAGCCCAAGAACTCAAGGGGCTAGCCTGTGAGCTCTAGGGACCAGCGAAACTTAGACAAAATGCAGTAGACTAACAAAATCAGATCAAACAATTACTGAGCTTTTAGCCAAATGCCAGATAGTGAGAGAGGGCCTGGAGATATGGTGGGGAGTAAGAAAGTTTCTGTCCCAGGGGAATCTCAAGTTCTGAAATGATAGTGTGCCAGAATTGAGACCAGGAGCACTTATTCATTCACTCAATATGTATTTATTAAAGTTCTATGTACCAGGCACTGCTCTAGGCAACCAGAAGCAGAATAAAACAAAATATGGGTCCCTGCCCTTATGAAGTTTGCTTTCCATTGATAGTGGATGGGTGGGAAGACATCAGGGGATAAACAATAATGTGATTACCTCAATTGTACCAGTAGGATTTTATGGTATTTTAACATATAGAGGTGACTGAGTGATGATGTGGAGAGGCTAAAGCCATTGAAATAAGAATTTATGGCTCAGTATGGTGGCTGACACCTATAATCTCAGCACTTTTGGACGCCAAGAAGGGAGGATGGCTTGAGACCAGGAGTTTGAGAACAGCCTGGACAAGATCCCCATCTTTACAAAAAAAATTTAAAAACAAAACAAAAATTAGTTCGGCCAGATGATGGATGCCTATAGCTCCAGCCATATAGGAGGCTGAGGCAGGACAATCGCTTGAGCCCAAGAGGTCGAGGTTACAGTGAGCCGTGATCACACCACTCCACTCTAGCCTGGCTGACAGAGTGTGACTCTGTCTCCAAAAATTAAAAAAAAATTACTTAAGTTTTCCAAGAGGAGGGTGTATGTCACACCATGAAGGGCCACATTGGGATGCACTAGTGTTGAGCAGGAGGCAGAAAGGAGTGGCAAAGTTACTGTTTTTATTGTGTTTTTTTGTGAGAAAGGCAAAATATTCTGGAATGTAGTATTGCTTTAGGATTGGTTAGTTCGAAGAATTCTGTTGGGTTTTGGGGCAAAGGGTCTTTTCCTTATTGTCTGGTACCTGGCTACAGGTTGATTTAGAGCAAGGAGAATTTTGGATTGATGTGTGAGTTTGATGAAGGAGATTGTGAGGAATTTGGAATGGCTGGTTTACATCTGAAGGCAGGCTCTGGAGACCGCTTTGCTATTTCTAAAAATCAATTAGCCCTGATAGGCACAGTCTTTCCCCAGTTAGCGAGGCTGCAAATGCCACAGCATCAAGAATATGGAAAATAAGAAAATATGGTTAATACAATTGGTTCTGTGAATAATGGAAGCCAAATAGACAAATATGGAAACTAAGAAAGCATAGTTAGAACGATGATAAATAAGCAATTCTCTAGTGTGTTATGAGGTGGGGTAAATGAAAAAAATAGAGTTAGACATGGTTCTTAGGGAGTGCTGGTGGGTGGGGTATGAAGAGACTGCAGCATTAAATAGTATGGTTAGCGGTAGGTCTCAGTGAGAAGAAGAGTGTTAAGGAAAGACTTGAGCCAAGACTGGCCTCCACATAAAGATTCTAATATTTTAGAATTCTATCAAGACACAGAAAATTAACACATCAATGAACAGGATGCTTTCTTTCATTCATTCATTCACTCACTCATTCAGTTGGTTGGTTGATCAGTCAGTTAGATATTAAAGAAATATTTATCAAGCACCCGTTAGGCCAGGGACCAGATAGATGTTTGGGTTATAATGGTGAACATTGCAGACACAGACTCTACCATCACGTAGCTTATCAGTTAGTTGGGGAGACAGATATTGACCTAATGGACACACAAATAAATACAATCACACCTTGTTTTGTTGTGCTTCATTTTTGTTGCACTTTGCAGATATGAAATATTTTACAAATTGAAGGTTTGTGGCAGTTGTGTATTGAGCAAGTTGATTGGTGTCATTTTTCCACAGCATGTACTCACTTCATATCTCTGTGTCACATTTTGGTAATTCTCATGATATTTCAAACTTTTTCATTATTATTATATTTGTTATGGTGATCTGTGTGTAGTGCTCTTTGATGTTATTACTGTAATTGTTTTGGGGTGCCAGAAACTGAACTCATATAAGATAGTGAAATTAATAAATGTGTATGTTCAGGCTAGTCCGCTGACCAGTCATTCCCTCATCTCTCTTTCTCACCTCAGACCTTCCTATTCCTTGAGACACAATCATATTAAAATTAGGTCAATTAATAACATTAAAATGATCTCTAGGTCTTCCAGTGAAAGAAAGAGTTTCAAATATCTCACCTTAAATCAAAAGTGAAAACTTATTAAACTTAGTGAGAAAGGCGTGCTGAACCCAAGATTGGCAAAAAGCTAGGACACTTGCACCAAACAGCCAAGTTGTGAATGCAAAGGAAATTAAAAGTGCTACTCCCATGAAATATGGATTATAAAAAAAGTGAAGCAGCTTTATTGCTGATGTGAAGAAAGTTTTAGTGGTATAGACAGACGATCAAACCAGCCACAACATTCATTTAAGCCAAAGCCTAATCTAGAGCAAGGGTTTGACTCTCTTCCATTCTTTGAAGGCTGATAAAGGTGAGGAGGCTACAAAAGAAAAGTCTGAAACCGGCAGAGGTTGCCTCATGAGGTTTAAGGAAAGAAGCCGTCTCCAAACCAAAAAAGTGCAAGGTGAAGCAGCAAGTGCTGATGGAGAAGCTGCAGCACATTATCCAGAGCATTTAGCTAAGATAGTTGATGATGATGGCGACACTGTACAACAGATTTTCAATGTGGATGAAACAGCCTTCTACTGGAAGAATTATGGAGTAAGTAACTACAGATATGGTGGAAATTGTAAGAGAAATAGAATTAGAAGTGGAGCTTGAAGATGTGACTGAATTGCTGCAATCTCACAATAAAACTTTAATGGATGAAGAATTGCCTCTATGGAAGAGCAAAGAAAGTGGTTTCTTAAAATGAAATATACTCCGGGTGATGATGCCATGAACATTGTTGAAATGACAATAAAGGATTTTGAATATGACTATAAATTTAATTGATAAAGCATCAGCAGGGCTGGAAAAGACTGACTCTAACCTTGAAAGAAGTTCTACTGTGGGTAAAATGCTATCAAACAGCATCACATACTACAGAGAAATTTTTAACGAAAGGAAGAGCCAATTGATATAGCAACCTTCATTGTTGCCTTATTTTAAGAAATAGCCGGCCAGGCGCAGTGGCTCATGCCTGTAATCCCAGCACTTTGGGGGGCTGAGGCGGGCAGATCACAAGGTCAGGAGATCGAGACCATCCTGGCTAACATGGTGAAACCCTGTCTCTACTAAAAATACAAAAAAAAAATTAGCCGGGCATGGTGGCAGGTGCCTGTAGTCCCAGCTACTTGGGAGGCTGAGGCAGGAGAATGGCGTGAACCCTGGAGGCGGAGCTTGCAGTGAGCCGAGATCACACCACTGCACTCCAGCCTGGGCAACTGAGCAAGACTCCGTCACAAAAAAAAGAAAAAGAAAAGAAAAGAAATAGCCTCAGCCTTCGGGACCCACCGCCTCGATCCATCAGTAGCCATCAAAATTGAGGCAAGACGCTCTACAAGCAAAAAACAAAACAAAACAAAACCCTCACTAAAGGCTTAGACCATTGTTAGCATTTTTAAGCAATGAAGTCTTTTAAAATTTTATGTATATTGTTTTTTGTCAGTCATAACCCTATTGCACACTTTGTAGACTACAGAATAGTGTAAACAACTCTTACATGCACTAGAAAACCAAAAAATGTGTGTGACTCACTTTATTATAATACTTGCTTTATTTCAGTTATCTGGAACTGAACTGCAATATCTCAGAGGTATTCCTGTATTTAATTGGGACTGAAAAATGGCTACACAGTGTTAAGAAAGCCTGTAATAAGGGTATTGGATTTAGCTAAGGAAGTCAGCGAAGGGGCCATTGAGATCTGAAGAATAACTAGGTGTTGACAAGTCAAAGGAGGGAGAGACGATTATCTTTGTAGAAGAAATAGCTTGTGGAAAATCCATGAGATAGAAGTTTAAGGGGTAGGAGGCAAATGGAGAGACCCACGTGGCATGGGACAGATGAGGCTGGAGGTGTGTGTTGGGGGGAGGTAGTGACCAAGTAGGGCCTTTTACACCTCATGAAGCAGTTATGCATTTTACAGAGAGCAATGGACAGTGAAGGAAGAACTTTAAGCTGAGGTATCACTTGACCTTCCTTGGCTTTGAGAATGGGTGTAGGTAGAACATTGAGAAGGCCAGAGTCTAGGTGGGAGGTGGAGATTGCTTGGATCAAGAAGGTTTTGGCGCAGAGAAAGAAGAAGAAAAATGGCCTCGATGATGCATTTGACATGAGTGAGGAAAAATGAGTTACCAGTTATGAATTCTGGGTCTCTGGCTTGTGAGTGTGGGATGATGTGCTTCCATTCATCGAGAAGGGGAACACTGGAAGAGGATCAGGTCTTTGGAGAAGGTCATGGAATTGATTTTGGGTATAACATTGTTGAAATTCCTTTGATACGTGTGTGTGAAGAGTTCAGGGAGGCAGTTAGTTGTATGAGTCAGATCTTCTGAGGAGAGATGTAGCCTCAAGAAGCATGGATACACCAAGAGTATCTGTCCCCTGTAGAAACGGATTAAATCTCCTTTTCCAGATCCAGACTCTGAGCCAGCCATGCCAACACAGGAAACCCCACTGAATCCCAGGCTTTTTGTCTACTACCTGAAAGATCCCATTGTTTGTAAGTTGGCCATTGAAAAGACCCCTCTCTATCAATGCAGGCAGGGGACAAAGGCTGGGGGCCTTAGAATGAAACTTCATTTCTCTTATCTGAAGGCCATTCTGGAATGAGGACTATTTATTCTTCCCCACTATGAAGTAGTAATGTGCCTCTTGAACATTCTCAGCTTCTTGACCTGTTAAGATGTTCATTGTTTGTCTCTCTGCTTCCTACCAGGGGACAATATATGTTGCACATTAAAACAACTGAAAGATAGCCTTTGTAGACAGACAATATATAGTTGAAGTCTCAATCTGCGATGAATTTCACTACTTGAAGCTTCAATTTCTTCGTTAATAAGATGGAAGTTATCATATTTGCCTAATAGCTTTGTTTTGAAAATTAAAGAAGATAATGCTTTAGTACAGTGTTACAGTGCCGAAACATAGGTTTTCTTTCTTTCTTTCTTTTCTTTCCTTCTTTCTTTCTTTTTTCTTTCTTTCTTTCTTTTTTCTTTCTCTCTCTTTCCCTTTCTTTCTTTCCTTTCTTTCTTTCTCTCTTTCTCTCTCTCTCTCCCTCCCTCTCTCCCTCCCTCCCTCCCTCCCTCCTTCCTTCCTTCCTTCCTTCCTTCCTTCCTTCCTTCCTTTCTCTCTCTCTCTTTCTTTCTTTCTTTTTTTTTTGAAACAGAGTCTTACTCTGTTGCTCAGGCTAAAGTACAGTGGCACGATCTTGACTCACTGCAACCTCTGCCTCCTGGATTCAGGGGGTTCTCCCATCTCAGCCTCCCAAGTAGCTGGGATTACAAGCATGCACCACCTTGTACAGCTAATTTTGGTATTTTTAGTAGAGATAGGGTTTCACCATGTTGGCCAGGCAGGTCTCAACTCCTGACCTCAAGTGATCCACCTGCTGCAGCCTCCCAAAGTGCTACGATTTCAGGCATGAGCCACCATGCCTGACCTAAAACATGAAGTGTTTTCAATGAATGAAAATCATGGCTTTATTTATTCTTAACCATGCATTCTGATTTCGTGTCATGGTGACTCGATCTGAAAATTGCCATTATTAGAATTGAGGAGATGATATAAAACAAAAAGTCAATATTGTCTCTAACTGTACATTTTTATGAAAAAGGAGGAGAAAGCATATTTAAAAGACTAAATATTTGTGGAAAATTTATTCATTTCAGATTTCATCTATAGGCTTACATGCATACAAACCTACAGGTGCACATGTATATGTCCTCCTGCACAGGCAGTTCATGGTTACAGGATCCACCTGAAGACGCCAGCTCTGACACAGGTCTTTGGGTTGAACCTTCAGTAGGAATTTGATAGCAGGACCTCCAAGCCCTAAATGCTCTTGATGTCTCTTTTACGAGATCTAAGAAGCTTACGCAAATCTTCCCATTTAACTTTTTTTTTCATTTTATAGATGATAATTTTCATTTTATAGATGATAATTTTACTAACTGACCTTCAGCAATGTTAGAATCTGTTCAATCTTGGTTGACTCTATTAACCAATGCTTAGCCAGAGCTGGGATATGATTGATCTTTGGGAATCTCCTGAGCCTGGTGCAAGATGGTCCCAGTGTTTGTCATCCATTCTTTCCTACTTAGGTTTCAATTTCAAAAATTCATATGCTAAGCCATATGTTTTTAGTCAGTTTTAGAAAAAGAATTCATCAATTCTTTTTCCAGTCCTTCATGATTGATTATTAATATTGCTACAACTGTTGAATCATTATTCCCTAATCATTCTTATATTTGGTAACATGCTTTGTAAGGGTAATTGTTATTCTTAACTTTATTCTGATGATTGATCACCAGTGATCACTGCAATCATTGCTCATGTAAAATTAAAATAAAATTTTAATTTTATTAAAACAATTAACAATTTAGAGTAGACAGCATTCACCATGGCACACAGTTATTTCTTCTTTAATCTAGTCTCCTTTGCAGAAACTCTCACCAATTAGGTATGATATTTTAAGGTAGTAGAAGACACATGTTGTATTGTTCCTTTGATCCAATTATCATTTCAAGCCAAAAAGCCATTCAACCACTCCTATTGCCTGGTTATAAAATAGCTATTTTATTTCCTTTCTTACATCTGCCTATTATTCACGAAACAGCCTTCAGGTAAGTGACATAGTCTTAAAGGCAGCCCATAAAAGTGAAGCAAATCATAGCCTCCCTCTAAAATCTCTAGGCCCTGAATTTGGAATCAGAGCTCCCTGGCATTTAACTTTGCACAAATCACCCGACTAGTCCAAGGCTCATCAATAAATAGGAATGAGAACACCTGTTCTAACCTCTGAGCTGTGTAGAGAGTATTCACTGGGAAAATGTAAGCTTTGTAATTTGTGAGGGTGTTGAATACCTGTAAGCTGTTATTAGTCAATTTC
This sequence comes from Homo sapiens, assembly GCF_000001405.40. NCBI lineage: Eukaryota > Metazoa > Chordata > Mammalia > Primates > Hominidae > Homo > Homo sapiens. The sequence goes on along the minus strand of NC_000013.11, from coordinate 34,504,410 downwards.
CTTTTTAATAAATATATCAGGAATTTAAATCACACACACACATACACACAAATCAATGTAGTCACCACGCATATTGTATTAGGTTCATCCCTAATTGCCTGTATTGCTCTCCCTTTGGTCATTTCCTTCCATTGCCTCTGCTGCAGACACAAATGAACTGAAAAAACACAAGGATCTTCCTGGCACATACACACATGGACTCTCCTCAGCCAGAGTTTCCCATGAAAGCTTAACTACGAAGAAATTCAGAGAAGGAAGAGAATCTGAACTGTAATACCCTGTGTCTAGGCTAGATTTCTGATTAGCCATTGCCTTATGCTGGTTATTTTCCTCCTTATTTCTGGAGGCCTTGGGCTTATTCATTAGAGTTTTCTCTAGCTATTCATTTTCCAAATGCAGCCATTTTTCTGGTATGATATTGCCTGTGAGTCAAAACAAGATAATGTTCACTATTACCGATACATTTTTTATTTCTTTTATTTTTTCCATTCATCTTTTCCCATGGGCTTAAAAAAATCCTTCCTGTTAATAATGCTTTATGTTTGGATGATACTTAACACACTCTCTCAGGCACAGCATATTGGTTAATTTGAACCTCAAAACAACAACCTACCTAATGTGATATATAAACCAGGAATGGCTATTTGCTACTTTGTTTAGTGAATGCAGAATCTCTGTTTTACTTCTTTACCAGGTATTACTAGCAGAAAAGGGATTGACTTCTTTGCCAGGTACTACTAGCAGAAAAGTGATTTGACATCTTTGCTGACCTCAAAATAATGTTTTTAACTGGACATAGCACTGGGCTGGTTACTTTATCTCTCCTTGTTTCTGTTTCTTCATTTACAAAAATGGGGTAGATTTGATCATCTCCAAAGTCCATTTATCTTTAAATTTGGATTCTATGTCATAAAATATTTATCGTGCCCCTGTGTGGAGTACTGCTAATTCTAGAGCTATGAAGAGTCATAAGGCACCCTCACTGCCTTCTAACAGTTTATGATACAGCTGGAGGGTAGCAGATGCTAATGAGAAGACAAATGAAGATCCAGGGTTTAATTTTCTAAGTCCTACATGACTGACATGCAAAAATAAGTGCTACAAGGGAGGAGGGAAGGTCATTATTTCTCCAAACTATTGCCACATGGATTGACAGCTGGATCTTGGAGTTTCAAAGTAAGGGAGAAGCCCTTCACCTTAACATTGGCTATAGACCAATATAAAGAGGATACGAACAAAAATTGTGTCCATGGATAAAAGGGTAATGTTTACATTAAAAAAGTCAGTATAAAGGAAAAAATATTTGTGGGGTAGGGGAGCAATGTTCATCAGTTTAAAAGCTAGTATAAAACTTATCATGGAAATTCTATAATAAAGGACTTCAAGCAATTTTTTCACTTGTTTCAGTGTTTCTTGAGCATTGGAATGAAAATAAAAATTACAGCAAGGCTCTAAGCAGACAAAGATATGTAAGATAATGGACAATTTTGGGAAATAGCTTTTAGGGCTGAAATTTCTCTGTGCGTATTTTTCCTGAGTTCAGTGCTTTTAAAGATGGCGCCCTGTGAGTTACCATGACAACCTATAGATATCATCTTTAGAAGGCTAAGGCTACAGATCTCAACTCAAGTATTTTGTCCATACACTTTTGGAAAAAGCCTGTTGATGTACTGTAGATGGAATGAACAAAACGTGGAGCAGTCTATGCTGTTATGGCCCATTTCTTTGAAATAGGATTAGTCTGGTTGAAGTTGCTTCTATAGTTTTGAAGGACACTCTTCTTTCCATTTCGTCATTGCCTTTAAAGTTTGAAGCATACTTCATTTTCAGCTCCTTATTGAATGTCTCTCAAGACACAGCAAAAATAAAGGCTAAAGCTCATTTCCTGTGTTCATGATTCTTTTAAAAGCGAAAAAAGATTCAAGTGTTGTTGGTCATACTGTAATTTTAGAGTTGTTCTTTGTCCTTGGGCTGTGTTTTCTCAGGATACTATTTTTAGAAATAAATCCAGACAAAGAATTGACAACTAACTTGTAGTTATGAAGAAAAAAACTGGAAGATACAGATGACATAAAAGATTCCCAGAACATGGTTGTTTTCTGTCATGGTTGTAATGAAGGTAGGTGCCTGGGGTGACAATACTTTTGGCAGCTGCTACGCAGTCACCCACATAGCCATTCAAGTTTGGCAAATTCCTCAGATAGGGTAATGGTTCTGAGGATAGGGTGGGAAACTGAGATTCTCTGCTGAGTCATTGAAAACAAATATCTTCAACCAGTTCAGGCAAATGAAACCTTTAAAAGATACTGTTTCCAAAGGCACTCAGGATATTAATCGCTTAGTGTGATTATCATATAAACAATCTAAAACTCAAATTGAGGAATTGGGTATGTGACATCAGGTAGAATGACATGAATTTGATTTTTTTCCAAGTTTTGTTCTATACCCCAACTTGGGCTTGCGAGACATTTCTTAGCATATCTGAGGACAGATTTGGATTTTGGATTTCACACAGGCAGCTGAACCTAGACAGACCAGAAGCACCGTGCAGCCATGCTCACAGTTGTTGATGGACTGCTATGCGTTACATTGTCTCAGTGGCCTAGTGTTTTGTAGTTTACAGCAGTGATAATCTGATGCGCTGAGGATGTCAAGTTATTTGGTGAGTGTGAAATAATTTGTTCTTGTTTTCGGTGAGATTTCTGGTCTTTCTGTCATGGATGTTTTGCAATAAAGATTGAACTATATAAACATTGAGTATTCAACATGTTTTATTTGTAAGAATAATCTTAAGTATATATTGCATAATAGTGCCACAAGAACTTAATGAGAGTAAGTGAATAGCCATATTATGGCATAATTAATAAAGAGAAAAGGCTTTGTTAGGTTGTTTAACTAATGTGTCTGTTGAAGTAACTGAGCCAACTTTAATGGGCTTTGGTGTTGTCTTAGCATAAATCCATGCTCCTAAAAGTTAATGGTAATGATTTTTTTTACTTATGAAAATTCACTTAACAAGTGGTTTTTCAAGAATAAATTACCTGCATGGGGCAGAGTAAGCTTATACTCATCAAAATCACTCACCTAGATAAGTGAAGGAAGGCTTCAACATCCACATTCCATTTTAAAAGTTCTTACTACTGAAAAATGTACAGATATTGAATAAGTTAGGAGAATATATTTGAAATAATTTCCAAAATTCAACCCAGTAAAAGTTACAATACGAAATTATCACAGAGCTGAGTAGTATTAGGCAAGATAAAACTAATAGCCTGGAGTCATTCTCCCTCTCTTTGTCTCTCTCTCTGTCTCTCTAATGACACATCAAAACAATAATTTGATATAATAGAATCATTTTGTATAAGTGACCTGACCTATCAGCTGAAGAAAAAAAATAGAGCGAGGCATTGATAAAAGCAGTTTTTAATTCAGTCAGTCAAAGTTTTACTTTGAATTCTAAGAGGAAACATTATTTTTACCTTGTCTGTCTTTCTAAATATTTATGAGAAGTATCACTTGCAGTCCTAAAGTGTATGAGCCATTTCCATTTGCCACTGGAAAACTGAGCAGTTCTATCCATGTGAGGATGTTGACAGATGAATAAATGTCACTGGTGAGAAAGAAGAATGGGTTAGGGGTTAATGGGGAAGAGTAGGAGCACTGGTTTTGAAAAGAATTAATTTAAATCTATTTCTTTCATTTTATCTTTTGGAGTGCAGGGGTGCGACACTAACTCACTGCAGCCTCAAACTCCTGGGTTCAAGGGATCCCTCCACCTCAGCCTCTGAGCCTCAGTCTCTGGGTAGCTGGGACTACCGGTGCACCTCCATGCCTGGCTGATTGTTTTTAATTTTTTTTTTTTGTAGAGGTGAAGTCCATCTTTCTCTCTCTTTCTTTCTTTTCTTTTCTTTCTTTCTTTCTTTCTCTTTCTTTCTTTTCTTTCTTTCTTTTTCTTTCTTTCTTTCTTTTCTTTTCTTTCTTTCTTTCTCTTTCTTTCTTTTCTTTCTTTCTCTTTCTTTCTTTCTTTCTTTCTTTTTCTTTCTTTCTTTGTTTCTTCCCTTCCTTCCTTCTTTCTTCTTTCTTTTTATTTCTTTCCTTCCTTCCTTCTTTCTTCTTTCTTTCTTTCTTTCTTTCCTTCCTTCCTTCCTTCCTTCTTTCTTCTTTCTTTCTTTCTTTTCTTTCTTTCTTTCTTTTGTTTTTTTTTGCAAAATCCTATGTCCTCTAGATGTGTCCTGCAATTCTGATATTCTTGTACAGCAGGAGTGACCAGAGCTGGGCAGTTTTGTCACTGGCTCCATACGACCAGCTGAGGAATCCACCCGGCTGGAATAGCATGGCACAAAGCAGTGCTTTCCAAACATTCTGCAGGCCCAGATTCCTCTGAAGGTCTCAGCCTCTGTTGGTAGTGGGAGTAGCAGAGTGGACAGTCGGCTGGACTCCACCCTCAATTAAGCCAGGACAGCTTTACTCTTAGCTCTTTCCTATGTAAGAGCTGGCATGGAATTTTATGGGAGGTTGTTACCTTAATAAAATGAGGTGCCAGTTTGAAAGATTAAAAACATTTGAGAATCACTGAGGGTAGAGAAAAGCCTACAAGCTCTGGAACAAGACGGTGAGGAGTTTGAGTCCTACTCTGCCACAGACACTGTGGGCAAGCCATTTACTCTCTGCCTAGAGACTGTCTAGAAAACGGGGCTAATTCCTACTGTGCAGGTTTGCTGTGATGGGAAATAGGAACACATGTAAAATGCCTAGCGCAGTGTAAAGCACATAGAAGCTACTCTGTAGACAGATGCCGTGTATAATATTTTTGTTACTATTGGAAACAATTCAATATCCTGCTAAGAATGGGCCAGGATTTCCTTTTGGAAGTTACAAAAGCTAGAATATTTGTTTCCTAGGATTAAGCATTTTATTTTTGGCAGATTTCAATGTTATCAAAGCCTGGAGTCATGTTAATTAATCTGCTGGATTAGATGGTATATAGCACTTTTTTTTTAATTATTTTTTTGAGATGTAGTTTTACTCTCGCCCAGGATGGAGTGCAGGTGATACAATCTTGACTCACTGCAACTTCTACCTCACGGGTTCAAGTGATTCTCCTTCCTCAGCCTCCTGAGCAGCTGGGATTACAGGCCCCCACTACCATGCCCAGCTAATTTTTGTATATTTAGTGGAGACAGGATTTCACCATGTTGGCCAGGCTGGTCTTGAACTCCTGACCTCAAGTGATCTGCCTGCCTTAGCTTCCCAAAGTGCTGGGATTACAGGCATGAGCCACCACGCCTGGCTGGTATATAGTACTTTTTTTTTTTAATCATACTTTAAGTTCTAGGGTACATGTGCACACTGTGCAGGTTTGTTACATATGTATACATGTGCCATGTTGGTGTGCTGCACGCATTAACTCGTCATTTACATTAGGTATATATCCTAATGTTATCCCTCCCCCCTCCCCCCATCCCACGACAGGCCCCATTGTGTGATGTTCCCCATCCTGTGTCCAAGTGTTCTCATTGTTCAATTCCCACCTATGTGTGAGAACATGCAGTGTTTGCTTTTCTGTCCTCGCGATAGTTTGCTCAGAATGATGGTTTCCAGCTTCATCCATGTCCCTGCAAAGGACATGAACTCATCCTTTTTTATGGCTGCATAGTATTCAATGGTGTATATGTGCCACATTTTCTTAATCCAGTCTATCATTGATGGACACTTGGGTTGGTTCCAAGTCTTTGCTCTTGTGAATAGTGCCACAATAAACATATGTGTGCATGTGTCTTTATAGAAGCATGAATTATAATCCTTTGGGTATATACCCAGTAATGGGATGGCTGGGTCAAATGGTATTTCTAGTTCTAGATCCTTGAGGAATCGCCACACTGTCTTCCACAATGGTTGAACTAGTTAACAGTCCCATGAAAGGTGTAAAACTGTCCCTATTTCTCCACATGCTCTCCAGCACCTGTTGTTTCCTGAATTTTTAATGATCACCATTCTAACTGGTGTGAGATGGTATCTCATTGTGTTTTTGATTTGCATTTCTCTGATGGCCAGTGATGATGAGCATTTTTTCGGGTGTCTTTTGGCTGCATAAATGTCTTCTTTTGAGAAGTGTCTGTTCATATCTTTTGCCCACTTTTTGATGGGGTTGTTTTTTTCTTGTAAGTTTGTTTGAGTTCTTTGTAGATTCTGGATATAAGCCCTTTGTCCAATGAGTAGATTGCAAAAATTTTCTCCCATTCTGTAGGTTGCCTGTTCACTCTGATGGTAGTTTCTTTTGCTGTGCAGAAGCTCTTCAGTTTAATTAGATCCTATTTGTCAATTTTGGCTTTTGTTGCCATTGCTTTTGGTGTTTTAGGCATGAAGTCCTTGCCCATGCCTATGTCCTGAATGGTATTGCCTAGGTTTTCTTCTAGGGTTTTTATGGTTTTAGGTCTAACATTTAAGTCTTTAATCCATCTTGAATTAAATTCTGTATAATGTGTGAGGAAGGGATCCAGTTTCAGCTTTCTGTGTATGGCTGGCCAGTTTTCCCAGCACCATTTATTAAATAGGGAATCCTTTGCCCATTTCTTGTTTTTGTCAGGTTTGTCAAAGATCAGATGGTTGTAGATGTGTGGTATTATTTCTGAGGGCTCTGTTCTGTTCCATTGGTCTATATCTCTGTTTTGGTACCAGTACCATGCTGTTTTGGTTACTCTAGCCTTGTAGTATAATTTGAAGTCAGGTAGCGTGATGCCTCCAGCTTTGTTCTTTTGGCTTAGGATTGTCTTGGCAATGTGGGCTCTTTTTGGTTTCCATATGAACTTTAAAGTAGTTTTTTCCAATTCTGTGAAGGAAGTCATTGGTAGCTTGATGGGGATGGCATTGAATCTAAATTACCTTGGGCAGTATGGCCATTTTCACGATATTCATTCTTCCTATCCATGAGCATGGAATGTTCTTCCATTTGTTTGTATCCTCTTTTATTTCATTGAGCAGTGGTTTGTAGTTCTCCTTGAAGAGGTCCTTCATGTCCCTTGTAAGTTGGATTCCTAGGTATTTTATTCTCTGTGAAGCAATTGTGAATGGGAGTTCATTCATGATTTTGCTCTCTGTTTGTCTGTTATTGGTGTATAGGAATGCTTGTGATTTTTGCACATTGATTTTGTATCCTGAGACTTTGCTGAAGTTGCTTATCAGCTTAAGGAGATTTTGGGCTGAGACGATGGGGTTTTCGAAATATACAATCATGTCATCTGCAAACAGGGACAATTTGACTTCCTCTTTTCCTAGTTGAATACTCTTTATTTCTTTCTCTTGCCTGATTGCCCTGGCCAGAACTTCCAACACTATGTTGAATAGGAGTGGTGAGAGAGGGCATCCCTGTCTTGTGCCAGTTTTCAAAGGGAATGCTTCCAGTTTTTGCCTATTCAGTATGACATTGGCTGTGTGTTTGTCATAAATAGCTCTTATTATTTTGAGATACATCCCATCAATACCAGTTGATTGAGAGCTTTTAGCATGAAGTGTTGTTGAATTTTGTCAAAGGCCTTTTCTGCATCTATTGAGATAATCATGTGGTTTTTGTTGTGGGTTCTGTTTATACGATGGATTATGTTTATTGATTTGTGTATGTTGAACCAGCCTTGCATCCCAGGGATGAAGCCAAGTTGATCATTGTGGATAAGCTTTTTGATGTGCTGCTGGATTCGGTTTGCCAGTATTTTATTGAGGATTTTTGCATCGATGTTCATCCGGGATATTGGTCTAAAATTCTCTTTTTTTTGTTGTGTCTCTGCCAGGCTTTGGTATCAGGATGATGTTGACCTCATAAAATGAGTTAGAGATTCCCTCTTTTTCTGTTGATTGGAATAATTTCAGAAGGAATGGTACCACCTCCTTTTTGTACCTCTGGTAGAATTTGGTTGTGAATCTGTCTGGTCCTGGACTTTTTTTGGTTGATAGGCTATTAATTATTGCTTCAATTTCAGAGCCTGTTATTGGTCTATTCAGGGATTCAACTTCTTCTTGGTTAAGTCTTGGGAGGGTGTATGTGTCCAGGGAATTTATCCATTTCTTCTAGATTTTCTAGTTTATTTGTGTAGAGGTGTTTATAGTATTCTCTGATGGTAGTTTGTATCTCTGTGGGACCAGTGGTGATATCCCCTTTATCATTTTTTATTGCGTCTATTTGATTCTTCTCTCTTTTCTTCTTTATGAGTCTTGCTAGCAGTCTATCAATTTTGTTGATCTTTTCCAAAAACCAGCTCCTGGATTCATTGATTTTTTGAAGGGTTTTTTGTGTCTCTATCTCCTTCAGTTCTGCTCTGATCTTGGTTATTTCTTGCCTTCTGCTAGCTTTTGAATGTGTTTGCTCTTGGTTCTCTAGTTCTTTTAATTGTGATGTTAGGTTGTCAATTTTAGATCTTTCCTGCTTTTTCTTGGGGGCATTTAGTGCTATAAATTTTCCTCCACACACTGCTTTAAATGTGTCCCATGTTCTGGTATATTGTGTCTTTGTTCTTATTGGTTTCAAAGAACATCTTTATTTCTGCCTTCATTTCATTATGTACCCAGCAGTCATTCAGGAGCAGGTCATTCAGTTTCCATGTAGTTGAGCGGTTTTGAGTGAGTTTCTTAATCTTGAGTTCTAGTTTGATTGCACCATGGTCTGAGGGACAGTTTGTTATAATTTCTGTTATTTTACATTTGCCGAGGATTGCTTTACTTCCAACTATGTGGCCAATTTTGGAATAAGTGTGATGTGATGCTGAGAAGAATGTACATTCTGTTGATTTGGGGTGGAGAGTTCTGTAGATGTCCATTAGGTGGTCTTGGTGCAGAGCTGAGTTCAATTCCTGGATATCCTTTTTAACTTTCTGTCTCGTTGATCTGTCTAATGTTGACAGGGGGGTGTTAAAGTTCCCATTATTATTGCGGGAGTCTAAGTCTCTTTGTAGGTCTTTAAGGACTCACTTTATGAATCTGGGTGCTCCTGTATTGGGTGCATATATATTTAGGATAGTTAGCTCTTCTTGTTGAATTGATCCCTTTACCATTATGTAGTGGCCTTCTTTGTTTCTTCTGATCTTTGCTGGTTTAAAGTCTGTTTTATCAGAGACTAGGATTGCAACCTCTGCTTTTATTTTGTTTTCCATTTGCTTGGTAGATCTTCCTCCGTCCCTTTATTTTGAGCCTCTCTTTGTCTCTGCACGTGAGGTGGGTCTCCTGAATACAGCACACTGATGGGTCTTGACACTTTATCCAATTTGCCAGTCTGTGTCTTTTAATTGGAGCATTTAGCCCATTACATTTAAGGTTAATATTGTTATGTGTGAATTTGATCCTGTCGTTGTGATGTTAGTTGCTTATTTTGCTCGTTAGTTGATGCAGTTTGTTCCTAGCCTTGACGGTCTTTACATTTTGGCATGTTTTTGCAGTGGCTGGTACCAGTTGTTCCTTTCCAGGTTTAGTGTTTCCTTCAGGAGCTCTTGTAAGGCAGGCCTGGTGGTGACAAAATCTCTCAGCATTCACTTGTCTGTAAAATATTTTATTTCTCCTTCACTTATGAATCTTAGTTTGGCTGGATATGACATTCTGGGTTGAAAATTCTTTTCTTTAAGAATGTTGAATATTGGCCCCCACTCTCTTCTGGCTTGTAGAGTTTCTGCCAAGAGATCTGCTGTTAGTCTGATGGGCTTCCCTTTGTGGGTAACCCGACCTTTCTGTCTGACTGCCCTTAACATTTTTTCTTTCATTTCAACTTTGGTGAATCTGACAACTATGTGTCTTGGAGTTTATCTTCTTGAGGAGTATCTTTGTTGCATTCTCTGTATTTCCTGAATTTGAATGTTGGCCTGCCTTGCTAGGTTGGGGAAGTTCTCCTGGATAACATCCTGAAGAGTGTTTTCCAACTTGTTTCCATTCTCCCTGTCACTTTCAGGTACACCAATCAGACGTAGATTTGGTCTTTTCACATAGTCCCATATTTCTTGGAGGCTTTGTTCATTTCTTTTTACACTTTTTTCTCTAAACTTCTCTTCTCGCTTCATTTCATTCAGTCCATCTTTCTATGTTGCCCCGGCTGGTCTGGAACTCCTGGCCTCAAGCCATCCATCTACCTGCCTTACAAAGTGCAGGGGATACAGGTGTGAGCCACCATGCCCAGCCTAAATCTATTTCTTAGTTAAAGAAATAGTGTGCATTTGTACGGAGCATGTGTGTTTACAGCTCTCCTTGAAAATAGCTTGGATTTTTATTTGGAAATCTGTCTCTCCCTAATGTTTATTTAACTTGGCCTGGGTGGAGGTCCACAGGGGAGAACAGAATGCTTGATGAAAGTGAATTAATGCTTAGCATTCCCCTGCCATGCACTTGGTTCATTTTGAGCCCACGACTCAAGGCAGACCCCTCAGAAGGTATCTTAGGAATTTTGCTGTGCATGTGGCCTGGATTCTGGAAATATATAGCCCCTAGAATTGCAACTCCCAATGGAGAGCCTTTGTGAGGAGTCAACACAGGAAGTGCAACTTAGGAGAAGAGAAACAGAATTCTGATCAACTCTACTGAGCCTCTGTTTTTAGCCACTCTTGAGGCAATGCGTATCCCAGAAATTGGGATCTAAAACCCAATATATATCCTTTGTTTTTAAGTTAGTTGAGTTGAGCAGCAGCCAAATAAATATTGAAGATACGTTGCTCACTACGGCAAAATTGAAAAACAGAGAAAGGTGCAAAAATAAGTTACAATCACTTTTGATTTAATTTTGATGTATTTATTTCGGATTCTTTTTTGTTTATCTCTATAGAAAGAGGTAACAATGATTACAATTCTAATGTATTTTTCCATTATTTTTCTTCTCTCTGCAAATATATAATAATTTTAATTTGTATTAACTTAGGATTGTTTTTACCTATATAGGAGTATGCTTTTCTTTTTACGAAATAAGGATCAGATTATGTTAATTTTATATCTTTTTTGTTTCATCTAACATTGTGGCATGGGGATTTCCCTATTTTATTAACACACATTTTTAATAGTGAAATGATATTCCATAGTATGCATAACCATAGTTTACTTTTCCATTATTGTTGAACATTTTGACTATTTCCATTTTTTATAGTCTGATTGTTTATGTTATTAGTACATAATTTTTGTCTAATTTTCTGTTTCTCTCTTTGTTTTATTTTTGAGACTGAGTCTCACTTTGTTTCCCAGGCTGGCATGCAGTGGTGCAATCTCAGCTCACTGCAACCTCTGCCTCCCGGGTTCAAACAATTCTCCTGCCTCAGTCTCCTGAGTAGCTGGGATTATAGGTATGCACCATCACTCCTAGCTAATGTTTGTATTTTTAGTGGAGACGGGGTTTCACCATGTTGGTCATGCTGGTCTCGAACTCCTGACCTCAAGTGATCGATCCCCCTCAGCCTCCCAAAGTGCTGGGATTACAGGTGTGATTCACTACACCCAGCCGATTTTTCTATTTCTTTAGATTGGCTTCCTAGCAAAGGCTTTGTGAGACTAAAGTGGATACATTTTGGATTACAAATAGACTCTTGCTATACATATCAAATTTCTTTCCAAAAAGTTTTTAATAATTGTACTTTCCCAACAACCTTGCCAAACCCAGACATTATCATTTCTTGCCATATCTACTAATCTAAGAGGCAAAAATGCAAAACATGTTGTCATATTATTATATTAGAATATATTTATTTTACTACTGAGAGGCTGAATGTTTTCTTCATATGCTTATTGATCATTTCTATTTCTCCTGTGAATCATTATTCACATCACTTTTCCATTTCCTATTGTCTTTTTACTGCTTTTTTAAAAAAATATTGATTTTAGGCTTTTCTTTTTCAAAATCAGTGATTGTAGTAAGTAGTGTTGCACTGATGGTGATTTTAGCACTCACTGGTACATCACAAACAGGGACTTGGGACTGTCACCTGTCTTCATTCCAAACTAACCATGTAATATATTTTTCTTTCTTAAAACTAGCAGCAAAATTGGCTTCTGAAAACAAAAAACCAAAATCAACTTTTGGTAAAACTGAGGATAAGGCAGAGATAAGTTTGTCACCAAAGGCTAAAACATACAACTTTAGCATTGCCTATTATTATTGATTTAACTGCACACGAAAAAGACTTGTCTATTGTTCATTATGTGACATTGTATCTCACAGATGTGATTTTTATTTAAGGCACTTATTCAATGTAAAATCCTGCTGGAGGGTTTGAAACAACTCTTTCTTCCCATAAAGTGTCATCTACCAGCCTGCAACTTTATTTGCTGGAAAGAACACTTTCTGTTTTCTGAGAGCAGTGTTTATTTTTTCCAGAATCATAGCATAACACCTTGTCAATTCTTACTCAAAAGGTTGTTTCCTCATACTTGGATGCTAGATCATTTCCCAGGGATAAGAGTTAGGGAAGCAACTTTTAAGTTCAAGTCTACAAAAGCTGTACTTTCAAAACTTGCTTTTTATTGATGAGTAAGTAAACTTGGCAGTATATTTTACTGCTCTGTAGTAAAGCTATATCAACCTAAAAAAAGAAGAAGTAGAAAACTTGCTCAGCTAAAATCTTTATGAAAAAACAAAATTATTAGTTCTACTTTTCTTCCGATAATGAAATTTTAATTGCCAACAAAGACTTGCTGATTTCATGATGATAACACACGTCATATGGAATGGATCGTTTCCTAATATTTCTCCTTTATGATTTTCTTGACCCCACCTAATAATTAATAATCAAAAGGGTTTAAAAAGTGACATAGAGTCATTTTAGTATATATTTAGTACTGTTCCCCTATATCTAGATACATTAATGGGGTTGTAACACGGTTTCTTAGTGTTAAATACCACAAAACCTGAGCCATCCTCATTACATTTTTCTCACTATTTATTTAATGTCTTTGATTTCTTGGTTGTATTTAGTACAATATTTGCTAAAAGTTGCCTTTTGGAAAATTAAAAGGCACTTGTTATGAAGAAGTACAAAATCTTTTCTGCCTCACAGTTTAAGTATATATTTTGGCCCTGACTGGGTTAGTTTGCGTTTGATCATTCTTTGGCATATATATATATATATATATATATATATATATATATATATATATATACACACACACACACACACACACAAACACACACATATATAACAAACATGTAATATATACATTATACATGAAAATATATATGTGCCATTTAAAACTTTTTGAGAAATGGATAAATAAGCCAACAGTTACAATAACGTGTGAGAAATGTTTATCAATTCATTGAAGGAGAGGGCATTGAGCTACATGAAGTCAAAGGAAAGACACCGAAATACCCGTTTTCTCATCTTCTCCTAATTGTGGCCTCAGGCCTGTGGGTTTTCTGCTTTCTCCGCTTCTTTGTCTAGAACCACATTAGGGCCTGATTTTCCTTGAACAATCAGAAAGAGGTAATAATAGGTTGGGAGAGCTATAGGATGGTGATACAGACAGGGGTATCCAGAAACAGCAGATCTGTGGCCAGGTAAGGACATGAATTCATGGCCAGGTAAAGAGAAAGAGGAAGGGGAAACAGATGGGATATCCGCTAGGAATGAAAGGGAGGAAAACCTTAGAATATCCAGGGGTAGAAGTAGGCGAAGACTGGAGAGGCTCTGACTCGGTGCCACACAGAAGGGGACAAAGTTTGTGCAGAGACAGCACCCCTGCCTGCTGCCTGGAGACCAGCACTGTCAGGACAGAGCCTGAAACTTTCCCCTGCTCCACTTCCCACATTGCCAAGCTTGGGAATCCTGCCCCTCCACACATCCTAGCTGCACCCTCTCCTCACCATCCTGATCACCAGTGAGACTCCAGTTTCCCCATGTCCATCCTGGGCAACCTCTGAACCACAGTCCTTTCTGCACTTCTCTTTCTGAAACACAAATCGGATTATATCACCCCTTATTTAAAATCACTTTGGATGGGCAAAAGACTTGAATAGATATTTCTCCAAAGAAGATGCACAAATGGCAAATTAGCACATGAAAAGACGCTCATCATCACTTACCATTAGGGAAATGTAAATTAAAACTACAATGAGCTATCACCTTATCCCCATTAGGATGGCTACTATTAAAAAAAAAACAAGATAACAAGTATTGGCAAGGATATGGAGAAATTGGAACCTTTGTGCATTGGTGTTGGGAATGTGAAATGATGCAGCAGCTGTGGAAAACAGTATGGTGGTTCCTCAAAAAACTTCACAGAATTACCATGTAATTCAGCAATTTTACTTCTGGGTACACATCCAAAAGAATTGAAAGTAGGGACTCAAATTGGTATTTGTACAGCCATGTTCATAGAGGCATTACTCACACTGGTTAACAGGTGGAAGCAACCCAAGCATCCATTGTCAAATGAATGGATGAACAAATTGTAGTGTATACTTGCAATAGAATATTATTCAGCCTTCATGCCTGTAATCCCAGCACTTTGGGAGGCTGAGGCAGGTTGATCACTTGAAGTCAGGAGTTTGAGACCAGCCTGGCCAACATGGTGAAACCCTGTTTCTACCAGAAATACAAAAAAAGTAGCTGGGCATGGTGGTGCATGCTTGTAATCCCAGCTACTCCGGAGGCTGAGGCAGGAAGAATTGTTTGAACTCAGGAGGCGGAGGTTGCAGTGAGCCAAAATCACACCACTGCACTCCAGCCTGGGTGACAGAGCGAGACTCCATCCCGCCTCCACCTCCAAAAAAAAAGGAATGTTATTCAGCCTTAAAAGGGAAGAAAATCCAGACACATGTTGCAATAGGGATGAAGCTTAAGGACATTATGCTAAGCGAAATAAGCCAGTCACAAAAGGACACATACTTTATAATTTCAGTTATGTGAGGTAACTAGAGTGGTCAAATTTATAAAGACAGAGAGTAGAATGTTGTTTGCCAGGAGCTGAGAAGCACGAGAATGGGGAGTTATTTTTTAATGGGCACAGAATTTCACTGGGGAAGGTGGAAAAGTTCTGGAGATGGGTAGTGATGTCGGTTGCACAACAATGTGAATGTACTTAATCCCACTGAACTGTAAGTTTAAAAGTGGTTAAAATGGTACAATTTATGTTATGTATCTTTTACAATAAAAAATCACTTTGCATCTTCCCATTAATTTTAGTATAAAACCGCAGTTTCTCAGCGTGATAACACCTGTCTCTCATGATGTGGTTCCCAGCTCATCTCTTCAGCTTGTCATTTATCCCTTGGCCCAGATTCCCAATGCCTGGCACTTCTTTGTTTTGTTAAGACTCCGCTCAGCCTTCATCACCTTCCCTGAGAAACCATCCTTGACTCCCCACCACCTCCCTTCCCACCCCCGATGCTAGGTCCTACGCTCCTCTTGGGTGGGTGTGCCTCCTCCTTCTTATCATAGCACCTTATGTACACTTTCATCTATCTCACTGAATTCAACACTGTAAAATTTATTTTTTAGTGAACTCCCATTAGACTGCAAGCTACCTCCGGGTAGAGACTGTGTCTTTTATCTCTGTTGCTCTACTCTTCAGGACATGGCCTTATACATTGTAGATACTTAATCTATGTTTGATATGTGAATGAAGGAATGAAGTAATTGAGCAGGGAAGGAACATTCCTCATCTCATCTATAAATTCCAAGCTCATCTCATCTATAAATTCCAAGCTCATCTCATCTATAAATTCTCAGCTCATCTCATCTATAAACTGGAATAATGGCAACTATTTCTTAGGGCTTTTTGAGAATGATGTGACATAATAATATTTGTAAAACAGATAACACCTGACATATAGTAGTTGTCCAATAAATGTTAGATATTATGCACTTTTTTTTTTTTGAGACAGAGTCTCACTCTGTCACCCAGGCTGGGGTACAATGGCACGATCTTGGCTCACTGCAACCTCTGCCTCCCAGGTTCAAGCAATTCTCCCACCTCAGCCTCCTGAGTAGCTGGGATTACAGGCACATGTCATCATGACCAGCTAATTTTTGTATTTTTGTAGGGATGGGGTTTCCCTATGTTGGCCAGGCTGGTCTTGAACTCCTGGCCTCAGGTGTTCCACCCGCCTCGGCCTCCCAAAGTGCTGGGATTACAGGTGTGAGCCACTGTGCCCGGCCAGATGTTATTCACTTTTATTATTAAATGACCCATGAACCTTTTAAAATAAAGTTTTTATATGTCCTTCATAATAAGGATTGAATAAGGGGAAGATGGGGGAGAAAATGGGAAGGAAATGGCAAAGACAGACATCAATCCTTCTGGATTCCCGGGATGCCCTGCAGTCTGTCCTCCAAGTTGGTGACAGACATGCCTCCTTGATGTAAATAGATGGGTGGTGGAATGGGAAGGCGGGTTTATATTCTAAACCAGCTTATCACGATGAGACTGTTGATCAAACCACCCCCCAGCACATCAGCCTTGATGACTCCCAACCTCCCCCAGAGATGGCTCCTCCCTTGGGTAGGGGGGACCTTCCTTAGGAGGTTGATCTTGGAGGCAAATCGCCCTCCTCGTCTGCTTGCAACAGTGCCAAGGAGCCGAAGCCCCCTGCCCAACTCCACTCCCATGGCCTGACCACGTCAGAAACTGTGAGTGTCTCCTTTACCCCCTTGAGGTAGTTTCTTGGGTCCGATTATGAACAAAGAACACGCTTAGGATTGTGCCTTCTCTCAGGACATTCCTGAATTTGCCAAGGTGATTTTTCTCTTTTCTCCACAATATGCAGCTATCTAAGATACATCTCAAAGGAATATATACCAAAGAATATTTTTTTAAATTACACTGTTATTTAATCTGGTGGCCCTTTCTCCTTGCCAAGTTAGAGCAAGGAAAGTATAAGACATCCAAAAGTTTGTTTCCTGCATGGGTGTTATTTTGCCTAAAAAAAATAACGGAAGCTCTTAGAAGAAAATCTTGGAAGCAGGGATACCTTTAGATAAAAGAAGGATACATTGGAAAGAGATAACTATTTAGATGGAATTGACCTGGCCTTCCAGGTCTTGCCATGAAACAGAGGTAGGATCGACAGCCTGGGGACTGAGAAGATAAACATTTTGTATGAGTCTGTGGCATTATTGATTTCTCAATGATCGTTTTTCCAAAGTGATCAGAGTAAAAGTTTGAAAACAGAAAGGGTTCCTGTGCTCATCTTTGACACTGCAAAGAGAGAGGAAGCTGTAGACTTTAGCCCTTCACATAACTTCTCTGGGGTGTGTATGTGTGTGCGTGTGTGTGTGTGTGTGTGTTTAGCGGTGCCCAGTGTCAGTTAAAAAGTGAAAAGAAAGCAGACTGAGTTTTGCAGTCATGAGGAGGGGAAAAAAAGTGAATCTAAGTAGCCTCAGGGCTTAACTCCAGAAAGACATGAGGGGTTCCAGGCTGGGCACTAATAGACAGCTGGCTCAAATGCAGACCACAGTCCCAGAAGGCAAGAATATGTCTGTGTGCCTTTAGAAAACCTGTGGCCCTAACCATTTTTCATAGTTTGCCTTATAAGCTGTGACTAGTAGGAAATGTAATCACCTTTTCCCTATAATTTTCCATGCATGCTTTTTATGAGAGCAAAAGCCATGGTTCACTCTGCCTTTCCCCTATTAGGACACCCTTGGGTGGTGTGAGGTTCTGATGTCCCTTGAGCAGGCAATCAAAAATTGTTGGGAGCAGCAGGGGGCAACTCTCTCTCTGTGTGTGTGCAGGATATGTGGAAGATGGAGTTGAAAAGAAAATGAAACAGAAAGAAGGAACAACAGTCTAGAAATTTAAACTTGGATGTGTGCAAAAGCCATTTAAGAGGAGGATATTCGGCCCAGAGCAGGGACCACAGGGCTGGCACATGTCCTGCCCACTCACCTATTTCATTCTGACAGCTGTCATCTGTATTCAGCCTGACACGATCGAGGGCATTACATGCTTTATTTTATTAACCAGGCCATTGTTCCCTTCTCTTCCTAAGGACATTGACCATAGTTACATCTGGTGCTCTATCTATTCTGATTTAGACTCTGCCTTCATGAATAGAAGAATTGGGTCCTGTTGAAATTGTATAAGTCCTACAACCAAAATTGTAGTACAATCGTATGTATGTGTATGTGTATAAAAGGTAAAAATGTAGGTCATTGAAAATTAAAACAGGAGGAGGAGCCAAGATGGCCGAATAGGAACAGCTCCGGTCTACAGCTCCCAGCGTGAGCGACGCAGAAGACGGGTGATTACTGCATTTCCATCTGAGGTACCGGGTTCATCTCACTAGGGAGTGCCAGACAGTGGGCGCAGGCCAGTGTGTGTGCGCACCGTGCGCGAGCCAAAGCAGGGCGAGGCATTGCCTCACCTGGGAAGCGCAAGGGGTCAGGGAGTTCCCTTTCTGAGTCAAAGAAAGGGGTGATGGACGCACCTGGAAAATCGGGTCACTCCCACCCGAATATTGCGCTTTTCAGACCGGCTTAAGAAACGGCGCACCACGAGACTATATCCCACACCTGGCTCAGAGGGTCCTACGCCCACGGAGTCTCGCTGATTGCTAGCACAGCAGTCTGAGATCAAACTGCAAGGCGGCAACGAGGCTGGGGGAGGGGCGCCCGCCATTGCCCAGGCTTGCTTAGGTAAACAAAGCAGCCGGGAAGCTCGAACTGGGTGGAGCCCACCACAGCTCAAGGAGGCCTGCCTGCCTCTGTAGGCTCCACCTCTGGGGGCAGGGCACAGACAAACAAAAAGACAGCAGTAACCTCTGCAGACTTAAGTGTCCCTGTCTGACAGCTTTGAAGAGAGCAGTGGTTCTCCCAGCACGCAGCTGGAGATCTGAGAACGGGCAGACTGCCTCCTCAAGTGGGTCCCTGACCCCTGACCCCCGAGCAGCCTAACTGGGAGGCACCCCCCAGCAGGGGCACACTGACACCTCACACGGCAGGGTATTCCAACAGACCTGCAGCTGAGGGTCCTGTCTGTTAGAAGGAAAACTAACAACCAGAAAGGACATCTACACCGAAAACCCATCTGTACATCACCATCATCAAAGACCAAAAGTAGATAAAACCACAAAGATGGGGAAAAAACAGAACAGAAAAACTGGAAACTCTAAAACGCAGAGCGCCTCTCCTCCTCCAAAGGAACGCAGTTCCTCACCAGCAACAGAACAAAGCTGGATGGAGAATGATTTTGACGAGCTGAGAGAAGAAGGCTTCAGATGATCAAATTACTCTGAGCTACGGGAGGACATTCAAACCAAAGGCAAAGAAGTTGAAAACTTTGAAAAAAATTTAGAAGAATGTATAACTAGAATAACCAATACAGAGAAGTGCTTAAAGGAGCTGATGGAGCTGAAAACCAAGGCTCGAGAACTACGTGAAGAATGCAGAAGCCTCAGGAGCCGATGCGATCAACTGGAAGAAAGGGTATCAGCAATGGAAGATGAAATGAATGAAATGAAGCGAGAAGGGAAGTTTAGAGAAAAAAGAATAAAAAGAAATGAGCAAAGCCTCCAAGAAATATGGGACTATGTGAAAAGACCAAATCTACGTCTGATTGGTGTACCTGAAAGTGATGTGGAGAATGGAACCAAGTTGGAAAACACTCTGCAGGATATTATCCAGGAGAACTTCCCCAATCTAGCAAGGCAGGCCAACGTTCAGATTCAGGAAATACAGAGAACACCACAAAGATACTCCTCGAGAAGAGCAACTCCAAGACACATAATTGTCAGATTCACCAAAGTTGAAATGAAGGAAAAAATGTTAAGGGCAGCCAGAGAGAAAGGTCGGGTTACCCTCAAAGGAAAGCCCATCAGACTAACAGCAGATCTCTCGGCAGAAACCCTACAAGCCAGAAGAGAGTGGGGGCCAATATTCAACATTCTTAAAGAAAAGAATTTTCAACCCAGAATTTCATATCCAGCCAAACTAAGCTTCATAAGTGAAGGAGAAATAAAATACTTTATAGACAAGCAAATGCTGAGAGATTTTGTCACCACCAGGCCTGCCCTAAAAGAGCTCCTGAAGGAAGCGCTAAACATGGAAAGGAACAACCGGTACCAGCCGCTGCAAAATCATGCCAAAATGTAAAGACCATCGAGACTAGGAAGAAACTGCATCAACTAATGAGCAAAATCACCAGCTAACATCATAATGACAGGATCAAATTCACACATAACAATATTAACTTTAAATATAAATGGACTAAATTCTGCAATTAAAAGACACAGACTGGCAAGTTGGATAAAGAGTCAAGACCCATCAGTGTGCTGTATTCAGGAAACGCATCTCACGTGCAGAGACACACATAGGCTCAAAATAAAAGGATGGAGGAAGATCTACCAAGCCAATGGAAAACAAAAAAAGGCAGGGGTTGCAATCCTAGTCTCTGATAAAACAGACTTTAAACCAACAAAGATCAAAAGAGACAAAGAAGGCCATTACATAATGGTAAAGGGATCAATTCAACAAGAGGAGCTAACTATCCTAAATATTTATGCACCCAATACAGGAGCACCCAGATTCATAAAGCAAGTCCTCAGTGACCTACAAAGAGACTTAGACTCCCACACATTAATAATGGGAGACTTTAACACCCCACTGTCAACATTAGACAGATCAACGAGACAGAAAGTCAACAAGGATACCCAGGAATTGAACTCAGCTCTGCACCAAGCAGACCTAATAGACATCTACAGAACTCTCCACCCCAAATCAACAGAATATACATTTTTTTCAGCACCACACCACACCTATTCCAAAATTGACCACATAGTTGGAAGTAAAGCTCTCCTCAGCAAATGTAAAAGAACAGAAATTATAACAAACTATCTCTCAGACCACAGTGCAATCAAACTAGAACTCAGGATTAAGAATCTCACTCAAAGCCGCTCAACTACATGAAAACTGAACAACCTGCTCCTGAATGACTACTGGGTACATAACGAAATGAAGGCAGAAATAAAGATGTTCTTTGAAACCAACGAGAACAAAGACACCACATACCAGAATCTCTGGGACGCATTCAAAGCAGTGTGTAGAGGGAAATTTATTGCACTAAATGCCTACAAGAGAAAGCAGGAAAGATCCAAAATTGACACCCTAACATCACAATTAAAAGAACTAGAAAAGCAAGAGCAAACACATTCAAAAGCTAGCAGAAGGCAAGAAATAACTAAAATCAGAGCAGAACTGAAGGAAATAGAGACACAAAAAACCCTTCAAAAAATCAATGAATCCAGGAGCTGGTTTTTTGAAAGGATCAACAAAATTGATAGACCGCTAGCAAGACTATTAAAGAAAAAAAGAGAGAAGAATCAAATAGACGCAATAAAAAATGATAAAGGGGATATCACCACCGATCCCACAGAAATACAAACTACCATCAGAGAATACTACAAACACCTCTACGCAAATAAACTAGAAAATCTAGAAGAAATGGATACATTCCTCGACACATACACTCTCCCAAGACTAAACCAGGAAGAAGTTGAATCTCTGAATAGACCAATAACAGGCTCTGAAATTGTGGCAATAATCAATAGTTTACCAACCAAAAAGAGTCCAGGACCAGATGGATTCACAGCCGAATTCTACCAGAGGTACAAGGAGGAACTGGTACCATTCCTTCTGAAACTATTCCAATCAATAGAAAAAGAGGGAATCCTCCCTAACTCATTTTATGAGGCCAGCATCATTCTGATACCAAAGCCAGGCAGAGACACAACCAAAAAAGAGAATTTTAGACCAATATCCTTGATGAACATTGATGCAAAAATCCTCAATAAAATACTGGCAAACCGAATCCAGCAGCACATCAAAAAGCTTATCCATCATTATCAAGTGGGCTTCATCCCTGGGATGCAAGGCTGGTTCAATATACGCAAATCAATAAATGTAATCCAGCATATAAACAGAGCCAAAGACAAAAACCACATGATTATCTCAATAGATGCAGAAAAAGCCTTTGACAAAATTCAACAACCCTTCATGCTAAAAACTCTCAATAAATTAGGTATTGATGGGACGTATTTCAAAATAATAAGAGCTATCTATGACAAACCCACAGCCAATATCATACTGAATGGGCAAAAACTGGAAGCATTCCCTTTGAAAACTGGCACAAGACAGGGATGCCCTCTCTCACCGCTCCTATTCAACATAGTGTTGGAAGTTCTGGCCAGGGCAATCAGGCAGGAGAAGGAAATAAAGGGTATTCAATTAGGAAAAGAGGAAGCCAAATTGTCCCTGTTTGCAGACGACATGATTGTTTATCTAGAAAACCCCATCGTCTCAGCCCAAAATCTCCTTAAGCTGATAAGCAACTTCAGCAAAGTCTCAGGATACAAAATCAATGTACAAAAATCACAAGCATTCTTATACACCAACAACAGACAAACAGAGAGCCAAATCATGAGTAAACTCCCATTCACAATTGCTTCAAAGGGAATAAAATACCTAGGAATCCAACTTACAAGGGATGTGAAGGACCTCTTCAAGGAGAACTACAAACCACTGCTCAAGGAAATAAAAGAGGACACAAACAAATGGAAGAACATTCCATGCTCATGGGTAGGAAGAATCAATATCGTGAAAATGGCCATACTGCCCAAGGTAATTTACAGATTCAATGCCATCCCCATCAAGCTACCAATGACTTTCTTCACAGAATTGGAAAAAATTACTTTAAAGTTCATATGGAACCAAAAAAGAGCCCACATTGCCAAGTCAATCCTAAGCCAAAAGAACAAAGCTGGAGGCATCACACTACCTGACTTCAAACTATACTACAAGGCTACAGTAACCAAAACAGCATGGTACTGGTACCAAAACAGAGATATAGATCAATGGAACAGAACAGAGCCCTCAGAAATAATGCCGCCTATCTACAACTATCTGATCTTTGACAAACCTGAGAAAAACAAGCAATGGGGAAAGGATTCCCTATTTAATAAATGGTGCTGGGAAAACTGGCTAGCCATATGTAGAAAGCTGAAACTGGATCCCTTCCTTACACCTTATACAAAAATCAATTCAAGATGGATTAAAGATTTAAACGTTAAACCTAAAACCATAAAAACCCTAGAAGAAAACCTAGGCATTACCATTCAGGACATAGGCGTGGGCAAGGACTTCATGTCCAAAACACCAAAAGCAATGACAACAAAAGACAAAATTGACAAATGGGATCTAATTAAACTAAAGAGCTTCTGCACAGCAAAAGAAACTACCATCAGAGTGAACAGGCAACCTACAAAACGGGAGAAAATTTTCGCAACCTACTCATCTGACAAAGGGCTAATATCCAGAATCTACAATGAACTCAAACAAATTTACAAGAAAAAAACAAACAACCCCATCAAAAAGTGGGCAAAGGACATGAACAGACACTTCTCAAAAGAAGACATTTATGCAGCCAAAAAACACATGAAGAAATGCTCATCATCACTGGCCATCAGAGAAATGCAAATCAAAACCACTATGAGATATCATCTCACACCAGTTAGAATGGCAATCATTAAAAAGTCAGGAAACAACAGGTGCTGGAGAGGATGTGGAGAAATAGGAACACTTTTACACTGTTGGTGGGACTGTAAACTAGTTCAACCATTGTGGAAGTCAGTATGGCGATTCCTCAGGGATCTAGAACTAGAAATACCATTTGACCCAGCCATCCCATTACTGGGTATATACCCAAATGAGTATAAATCATGCTGCTATAAAGCCACATGCACACGTATGTTTATTGCGGCACTATTCACAATAGCAAAGACTTGGAACCAACCCAAATGTCCAACAATGATAGACTGGATTAAGAAAATGTGGCACATATACACCATGGAATACTATGCAGCCATAAAAAATGATGAGTTCATATCCTTTGTAGGGACATGGATGAAATTGGAAACCATCATTCTCAGTAAACTATCACAAGAAGAAAAAACCAAACACCGCATATTCTCACTCATAGGTGGGAATTGAACAATGAGATCACATGGACACAGGAAGGGGAATATCACACTCTGGGGACTGTGGTGGGGTCGGGGGAGGGGGGAGGGATAGCATTGGGAGATATACCTAATGCTAGATGACACATTAGTGGGTGCAGCGCACCAGCATGGCACATGTATACATATGTAACTAACCTGCACAATGTGCACATGTACCCTAAAACTTAGAGTATAATAAAAAAAAAAAAAAAAAAAGAAAATTAAAACAATAGGAATTGCCTAATTTCTGGTATTCATACATTATTTGAGTAAGTAAATCACAATAATAAATGTTATAACTGTATTTTTATGATTATACTTCCGTATATTCAATATATATATAGGAAAATTTCAGGTTCATATCGAAGTATTCATTTTAATACTGCCAATACAGTCAACCTTATATACATCATTGAGAGAGTAGTAACTACAGGATCCAAAGCTGAGGAATTTTTACTGTCGTTATTCATGTGATTAAAAAACTTCTCCTTCCTATTCCTCCAGATATTAATGTTATTTTAACCTACTTATAATAGTACAAATAGACAATTTAACCCTTAAAAAGCATGAGTTTCAATATATTTATCATTATATATTTGTGCACAGTCTTGAAATGGAAGACATTCTTATTCTTATATGCAAGGTTTCATTGTGATTAATCCCAGTCGTTCAATGTGTATAGAAGCAGAATGAAGAGGCTAGGCCAAGGATTTCTTGCTGTTTATTTTCCTTTTCTGACAAATAAAATAGTTTTGCATCTCAGAACATCCAAACAATTAACCAGACAAATAGAAAGAATTAAATGTGTACTTAAATGTGACTCTAGACCATCTGAGATAGAGAAAAGGGATCATATTTTGTGATGTCAGATTAGATTCTAGATTTCTAACACTTGTATCTGTAACTGAAATGATGGAAAAGATATTCAAAAGTATTAAAGAATATGCAGATTTTTCTACCACTTTGGCTTTAGAAGCAAGATGAGGGAGAATTCAAAAGACATTTAACAACATAATATCTTTAGTTTTTAATACTCGATAGAAACCACCATAAATTCAAAAGACACAATAGACTGGGGAATGCATTTGAAACAGATATAGATATGGCAGATAAAATAATATCCAATCTATTTCCTACTCAGCAGCAGAGAGATCTTTATAAATGAAATCATGTCACTCTTTGGATGGAAACTTCACCTGCTCATAATTTCGCTCAGAGTAACAGCTGCATCGTCCCTGTGACACAGCCCAGCATAACCTGGGAGGGGGCAACTACTACCTGACTTCACCTCCCTCCCCCCACACCTGCCTGGGTCTACGTGGCTCCAGACACACTGGCCTCCTGGCCAAGCCTGCTGCCACCTCAGGCCTCCCTGCCCTCGCTGACTCTCCTCCTGGAATGGTCTCCCCACAGATACTTGGCTCGACCTGAACATCTTATCAGTGAGGCCTGCTCTGATCAACCTACATAGAAGAGCAGCTCCTTCCCACCTGGGTTCTCCCTTTTCCCTGCTTTGTTTTCTCTATAGCACTTTGACATATTCCTCACATTCTTGTTTATTTGATTTTAGAGTGTCTCCCTCAGCTAGGAAGGAAACTGCATGTAGTCAGAGATTTTGTTCACTGCTCTATCCCCAGCTCGTAGAAGTGCCCTGAATATAGTAGATGCTCAATATTTGTTGAAAGGATGAACCAAGACATAAAAAGATTCTATAAACCGAAGAGAAAAAGGTTAAAATCCAATGGTGATGCAATTCATGGAAGAATTCTAAATGGTCAAAAAACATATGGCAAATGATTAAACTTGCAGAAATAAATAAAATATACATAGATGAATAAGACACCATATGTTTACCCATCAAATTGGCAGGCAGGTGGAAATGCAGTGACAGCCAGTGCTGTGAAGGACGGGGGCCCCTGGGCTGTTCCCTGTCTTGCTGGTAAAGGCATGAATTTCCACCACATTTTAGGACAACAATTTGTTAGTATATTTTAAAACTAAATACACATATACTCAGGGAGAGTCTAGGTTTCACAGGGGCTCAAAGCTTAAATTTTATTAGCTTCATTCATTTTAGCATTTCATTCATGCTTCTTTAAGAAAATTAATGCAAATCACAAATACAAAATGAAGTCTAGGACCCTTTAAAGGGCTTGTGTAACCAGGGCTTCGTTACCTTCCTGGCAAATCCTGCCCTATTACACACACCCTTTCACCTGCAACCTCACTTCTGGGAATGCACACTATACACAACAGAGTCCCAGGGCATAAAAGATGTATGTGCAAGGCTTTCTACTGCAGCATTGTGAATACTGGAATAGCAATTGGTTACAATCTTAATGACTGTCAATAATGAGAGGGTGAATATATATAGTACATCCATTCAGTGATTATTATTCCACTATTAAAATAATATCTATGCGACATTATATAAGAAAATAAAGTGATACAATAATATAACTAGTGTAATACATTTTGATAAAAGCAAGAGTAAAAGAGTAATGCCATGTCTGAGTATATATTTACAGATGTGTGTGTGTGTGTGTGTGTGTGTGTGTGTGCACGCGCATGTTTCTATGAGCCATAGAAAGATAGGGAAAGATATGCATCAACCTCAGGTTGAGGGTAGGATGGAAATGAATGGGGGGAGTGAAGAGAAAATTTTTCTTTATACATCCTTGAATTATTTGACTAGTTGCAACGAATACATTAATGCTTTCATAATTATAAAAGAAGTAAAAATGTTAAAAGTAAAAAGAAAAGGTCATCCTCTCATGAAATGCATTGATGATTTTATGGTGAAGATGATGATACTAATCAAACATTTTTGATTTGCTGCTCATTGGCATGGAGCTAGGCAGGGAGCAAACTGATACAAGAGATGTGATAAGAAAGGAAATGTTTAGTGTATCAAAGAAACAATGCACGCTATGCTTAAAAAGAAGAGATGACAGAGTCAAGTTATGTAACATTCCAGCAGAGAATAGGCATCATTATCAAAAGCAAACAAGCTGAAGTTTGAGAAACAACCTGGGTCCAGGGGCAGTGTCCTCAAAAGGGACAAATACCCAAAAAGTGTAGGGTCAAGACAGAGGCTGGCCAGATCTGATGATGATCAATACCAATATCAATAAGGGTGCACCATACGCCTGGCAGTGTGTTGATTACTGTGACCTAGCTCATCCCATTTTCTCATGTCCTATGAAGCGGGAGCTTTTAGGATGCCCATTCTACAGTGGAGGCAGTTAGTTCAGAGGTTCATGTTACTAGAAATTGGTGGAGCAAAGACTGGAGCCTAGACCTCTCTGATCCTAAGCCCTCATGCTCCATTACTATGATACCCAGCCTCTAAAGTGTGTGGTGCTAATTAGCATAGGCATTTTAGCTTATACACTTCAGGGCCTCTCTCAGGTAGGAGAAATTACACAGAGTTAATGAGACGCTAAGCTATGTAGGAAAACATTTTGTCAGTAAGAACTTGCAGTGTTAGAAATATCACATGTGTAGTTCTGTTGTAGAAGGTGGGTTCCATCTGGTTCATCATTTGTCCTGTGCCAGGGGTCTGATAATTCCACTACATCACAGAATACAGATTAAGTAATAGGTTTTATTGGAGAAGGGGAAACTTACACAAGCCAAAGACCAGCAAAAGAAGGGAAGGATCATCTTGTTTCCTGAGAGGCGCATCAGGGTCTACATGCTCTGGGCCTGCAGTGTGGTCTACAAGTGACTGAAGAGATGGAACCCTGTGTTCTCTCCATTGTTATAGGATAAGGTAGGAAGGCAGCTGTTTCCATTCATGTGTGTATATGTGTGTGCTGTGTGTGTGGGAGGGTGTAGGTTGGGTTACCACATAAAACACAGGATCCTCAGTTAAATTTGAACTTCAGATATATGAGGAATACATTTTTAGTATGTGTGTCCCAAACAGTGTAATGAATAAATAATTATTGGCTGTTTTTCTGAAATTAAATTTTAACAGAGAGCCCTGTTTTATTTTCATTTATTTTATTTTATCTCTTAAACACGAGCCCTCGTGGGGAGATTCACAGGCAGCTTGGTACCAGGTTATCCGGATTGGGGGATAGAAACTGTTTATGTATAGGAGTTATCTGGAAATCCTAGCTACTGAAGGCCTGATGAGGAAGCCACAGATTCTACAGGAAGCTGAATCAGCTATAGTTCCTTTCCCTGGTAGCTTTCTTGTCCCAAAAATCCAGGGCCCCTTTCAGGCAATTCCTGCTCATGACACTACATTTGTTCTAGGACTTAGAAATCATCTAAATCATCTGGGGCTGAGGTGTCTCACCTGTAAAAGCCATTTACCACATATTTACTGACAGTTGCAATGTGCCGGGCACACAACATGGGTACAAAGAAGACAGAGGAACTTCTGACTTCGAAGAACTTAAAGGCTGCTTGATGAAGAGTCAGACAAGGAAGTAGATGTTATATCTGGGATGTAAATACCAGGAAAAAGGAAGGCATTGGACTTCAGATGCAAAAGAAAGGCATCAATCTAGTTTTGTGTAGTTCTGGGGAGGCTTCCTAAAAGAGATTTTTTTTGAAGCAAATCTTGACCTGATCTATTTAAAGTCAGGAGACTGAACCAAATGACGTCTTTAGTCCTTCCACAAAGTTCTGTGCCACTGAGCATGGTGAATGAATCTCGCAAAAAGGAAGACTTCAACTCAGCTGCTAGGTTTACCTGCCAAAAATAAGAGCCAATAGAGAGATTTAGCTAGGGTGATGAAGTCTTTGGGCTTTGTTCAGGGACAATCTGGGTCTAAAAATGCTAGATTATGGATCTCTAATATTGCAGCACTGTTCACAATAGCAAAGACCTGGAACCAACCCAAATGTCCATTATTGATAGACTGGATAAAGAAAATGTGGCATATATACACCATGGAATACTATGCATCCATAAAAAGGATGAGTTCATGTCCTTTGCAGGGACATGGATGAAGCTGGAAACCATCATTTTCAGCAAACTAACACAAGAACAGAAAACCAGACACCGCATGTTCTCACTCACAAGTGGGAACTGAACAGTGAGAACACATGGACACAGGGAGGGGAACATCACACACCAGGGCCTTTCGGGGGTTGGGGGATAGGGAGGGATAGCATTAGAAGAAATGCCTAATGTAGATGATGGGTTGATGGGTGCAGCAAACCACCTTGGCACGTGTATAATTACGTAACAAACCTGCACGTTCTGCACATGTATCCTAGAACTTAAAGTATAATTAAAAAAAAAAACACCCTAGATTAGGCGGTTCTGATGGAATTGTTAACTGCAGCGGCAATTAACTGCGAGTGGCTATGGGATCTCTGACCCCTGATAAGGTCAGATATTCTAGAATTGAGGTGGTGATTCTCTGCAGGTCTGCTTAAGTGACTCCTGATTCAGAGAAGGGTAAGGAAAATGAGATCCTCCCACAGTCCTCCCTGAACTGTTAATATTCTATTCCAACTGCCACCGGGTTCTTTCTAGAGAATAAAAAATGAGCAGCCTTCTGGACCCCCAGAATGAGCTAGTGGTTGTTGCAAAGCCACCAGCCATGAAAATAAAATTATTTACACATCCTTTTTGGTGGTGTTTCTTTGAAATCTGTTGATTAGAAAAGAAAAAAAAATTCATGACCTAAGTGAACGCCAGAGTAGGACAGGGGGAACAGAACAGATGATATTTATGATTGACTGAGAATTTCAATCTCAGCAGCTACAAGGATGAACTTGGGATCACTGGAAATGGAAATAGTTGACTTCACAGATGGTAGGCGGCTCTTGTCAGTGAAGACTGTTCTGAGCATGAGCCTAATTGAGTAGCTCCTATCTGCATAAATTAACCTCTTTTAAAACTATGATATTCTCAGGAGAATTTTCAGAGTAAACATTTAGAGTGTTCCGGATCTCTTCAGTGGAAAACTTATCATATCACTGGACAAAGGTTAATTTCACTGGTTCAAAAATGATACATTGGAAATTCAAACAGACAATGATGCAGCTTAAAAATGATGCAAAAATTTGATAGCTGAAGATGTACTCTCTTTCTGGCTCTCGGGATGCTCTTCTGCATGTTCTGTTTGAACAGCTCCTTGGGGAAAACATCTGCCTGCTTGAAATCTTACTAGAAAAATAACTTCATTTAAATCTTTCCTCATAGCCCTCTCATGCAAATTTCAGTATACAGTAAAACAGGCTAAGAAAAATTAAAGCAATTAGGTATGTTTAAATTAACCTGATAACATTTTTTAAAAATCTATAGTAATTTTTATATGCAGCTACATGTTTAACACCGAATAGCTGCCATTTTCTTTAGACTCTTTTGAACTGGTCCAAAATACCTAGAGCTCATGTGATAATGTTGGGCCCAGTTGCTCCTGGGAACTGTAAAACTAGACACTGCTAATTAAATTGACATGTGTATGCCCAAGTATAGGGCTCACACAGTAGAAAAGAAAAAAAAAACACTTTTGTTTCTAAGGGAAGAAAATTCTGTCAGGCAAGGGAATCAGAAATATCTGTTGGGGCTGAGCCATAAACATGAGAAGGAAGAAAAATCCATAGTAGACCCATGATACTTGTAGTTTTCTTAAGAAGTCTTGGGGTCAACAAAGAACTCATTAGTAATGCTGTCAATTGAGCATTGAAGTGAAATTCAAATGCTCTTTCTTCCTACTTCTAAATTTCAATAGTAAATATTTAACCATTAAAAAGAATTCAAACGGATTAGGATACAATAAAATAAAAATATTTTCTCTCAACCTCTACAGTCCCCTACTCCACTCAAGCTTTATTCTCCAGAAGCCACAGTATTTAATCTTATCTGGTTTTATTCTTCTAGTGGCTACCTCCATATATATAAATTACATGATTACAGCAACACTTCTTGTACTTTAAAAAATGTAAATATATTCAGTAAATTCTCATTATGAAAGATGAGGAATTCGGCATACTTAATCTTCTCTTCATTTCATTTTCCACTTCTCACTTTTTCTTAGTTGTGCTATAAAGTTTGGATCTTACTGGCTGGGCCCAGTGGCTCACACCTGTAATCCCAGCACTTTGGGAGGCTGAGGCAGGCGGATCACAAGGTCAGGAGATTGAGACCATCCTGGTTAACATGGTGAAACCCCATCTCTACTAAAACAAAATACAAAAAATTAGCCGGGTGCGGTGGCGGGCACCTGTAGTCCCAGCTACTCAGGAGGCTGAGGCAGGAGAATTGTGTGAACCTGGGAATGGTGTGAACTCGGGAGGTGGAGTTTGCAATGAGCCGAGATCACACCACCGCACTCCTGCCTGGGTGACAGAGAGAGACTCTGTCTCAAAAAAAAAAAAAGTTTGGATCTTATTTTGGTTACCTGTATACGTCTAAAAAACATACTCCAACCTGTCTTATTCTGTCAACTTTAGACAGTATGTGCAGATACGACTTAGGAGAGGAAATTATGGTTCCATTCATTCCTTCTGATAGCAGTTCCATTACTTTCACACTGTTAAAGTTTCCAGTGTAGTTATCCCTTGATATCCCTGGAAGTTCCAGGACCTCCTTGGGATCCCAAAATCCATGGATACTCAAGTCCCTGATAAAATATAGCATAGTGTTTGCTTATAACCTACGTAAATCCTCTGTATACTCTAAATCATCACTAAATTATTATAATACAATGTAAATCATTTGTAAATAGTTGTTATACTGTATTGTTTAGGGGATAATGGCAAGAAAAAGGAATTTTTTTAAATGTTCAGTAAAGATGCAACCATCCATTTTTTTTTCTTCAAATATTTTCCATTCAGGGTTGGTTGAATCCACAGCTGTGCAAGCTTGGGATACAGAGCAACAATTGTATTTACATTCTACTCCTCTGAAATGAAGAGGGTCTTAGCAACCCACAGGCTAGTACCCCTAGCCCTTCCTTGATAGATAACAACCTTTTTATAGATCAGTTCCCAGTCTTATCCTGGTGATAAATTCCACCGCTGTTAGGGGCTTGAGAAAACAGAGGTGGGGGTGGGATATTGCTTCACAGACAGACCTTCAGTTACCCCTAGACCCCTGCCTGGCTGCCCACTGCCATCTTCACTTACCAGTTTGTAGCTTCAAAAATATGCTGAGCTGACTGGGAAGAGTGGCTACTACCTCTGATGCTGAGTGGAGACTTTCTGCATGCTTTCTTATCGATAAATGTAATCTTACCAACTGGCCATCTTCCAGAAATTTATCAAAATCTCTGTCTGGTTGATAGATTCCCTGTACTACTCTTGTCCTTTTGTCATTTTTCTTTTCTTTCTTTCTTTCTTTTTTTTTTTTTTTTTTGAGATGGAGTCACCCTGTCACCCAGGATGGAGTGCAGTGGCTCGATCTCAGCTCACTGCAACCTCTGCCTTCTAGGTTAAAGTGATTCTCCCACGTCAGCCTCCCAAGTATCTGGGAGTAGCTGGGACCACAGGTGCATGCCACCATGCTCGGCTAATCTTTTGTATTCTTGGTAAAGATGGGGTTTCACCATCTTGTGCAGACTGGTCTCAAGCAATCCACCCACCTGGGTCTCCCAAAGTGCTGCATTACAGGTGTGATCCACCGTGCCCAGCCTCTTGTACTTCTTTACTACTGACATTTTAGTGGAATTTTGGGGAAGAGAGGGAGTAAAACACATGGGCTTGGGCCATCATCTTGACTAGATCTTCTAATTCTTGCTATTTAGCCAAGGCATTTGATTCTCTTGTTTAAGTAAAACTTGGAATGAATGCAGTTCAGGTGAGTCATTCCCTGTTCAAGGACACAGAATTGCTTCCCAGAAAGTCTTTGCCCCTTCTTAGTTTTTTCAGTGCCTTCCCCACCTTAGCATTAACACAGCCAAGTCATAACCTTGCTTCCCACTACTTCCTCATGAACCCTCTGCCTAATCAAACAATTGATCACCATTTCCTGAAAATAACTTTATTTTTTCTGTTTATACTTTTATTCTGCCGTTCTCTTCCCCTGGAATTCTCCTCCACCCCAATACCTGATAACGGAAGTGCTATCTAGCCTGCAGAAGTACAGGACGATGATCAGCTGCTTCTAGGAGCCTTCTCCAACCTCAGCCGGAGGTCCTCCCTTGCTCCTCTGTGATCACATAGCAGTTTGTATCTTTCTATAGGACTTATCACGGTCACTTGGAATTTTGGTTATTTGTGCACTATCTTATTTTCCTTCACCCATAACCTCGTGGAGGACAGGGCATGTACCTTAATCACATTTGTATTCTCTACAACTCTTAGAACAGTGGCGGCTCAACAAAGCCTCACAGATTTCTCACTGGAGGAAAATGCCCTTTTTTTTCTGCTCCTATATATTTGCCAGACATGTTTCTTAAGATTCTTTCTATATCGTAGGCATTGTTTCCCCAACAGTATGTCTTAAGGATTTTTAGTATCCATTCCTCTTTGCACTTGAAGATGTTCTAGTTAGATGCTCTATGCAAACATAGATGAGGGTTTTAGTGTGGGGTGAGCTGGAGATGATTAGAAGTGATTGAGAAATAAAAATAACTTGTGAAGGTATTCCATTGTTTTGCCACAATGGCCTCCTCAAGATTCTGAACCGCCGAATATTAATACTATGGGAGGCTTGGAGTAGAACCTCTAAAGGCAGGTGGGATCATAGCTGAAATCTTTGCCTTTCCAAATTACCCCAACCCTGTAAATCAAGGGTATGTATTAGGTGTATCAGAGCCAAGTTATTCTTGGTTCTGCTGCAGTTACAAACAACTCTTAGTGACTTACAATACAGGTTTTTGTTCTAAGTTGTTTTACATGTCAGGTGCAGGTCAACCATGGCTCTTTTCTGTATGTACTCTTCATTCTGGTATTCTGATGGAAAGAACCTCCTATCTGGGATGTGCTGTCTTTGTGGCAGCAGAAAAAGAGTAACGGCAGCACTGCAGCATGACCTCAGAACTTCTACTCTAAAGCGACATGCATCACTTTCAGTTACATTTCATTGGCTCAAAGAAATCACATGGCCAAGCCTAATGCCAGATGGGCCAGGGGAATATAGTCCTTATTTGGAAAAAAATAATATAAATGACTTTAACTCCCAAAATAAGTGACAGTGGCAATAAGAACAACAATAATAAATTGTAAGTAAAGAAAAAAGCTACAAACTGGCACTTCCGTGGGCCAAACACTATGTCACATTGTACCTTATCCTTAAAACAGCTCTCTCTGGGAAATGGTAGGAAACATACTCAAGTTAATTTCTTAGCCGAAGGTCACCTAGCTAGTTAGGTAAAAAAACTAATATTCTGAACCAGGTCTCCTGATACCCGGTAAAATGTAAATAAGTTTCCTAGTAGTAAAGCCATCAGGGCTGTGCACAAACACATAAAGCATGCCAGCGGCATGTGAAAATGTGTTCTTAAAGCCCGACGTTATTCATACTTTTTGTTCCAACTCTTTATCTGAAGCTGCCTTGTCAGTCCCTGACCTTCTAGCTTCTCTCACCCAGGAAACCTGGGGGTCATCATCATTTATTTGACATTGTTTTGGGGGGAGAGCTCGCTTTTTTGGCTCCATTGTTTTCTGCTGTGCAGAGCAAATCCTCCAGGGCCTAACCAGACATCTCAAAATCTTCCTCCCATACACGGTGATGACACCAGCAAAACACAAATGCTATTAAATTTTGGGGGTGGCTCCTTTTAAAACAGGTTTGGCAAAGTCAAGCTACTCTTAGTGACCCTCTATAAATACTCATAGGCAGGGATCTTTAAGATAATTTATTACAAATAGAAATTGTTCCCCCTTAGTTTCAAACTGTCATCTGTTAGGCAGTCCTGGTATTTCATTTTAATGTAAAAAAAGATCTCTTAGTGATATACTCTGATAATTATTGAAATCTGTCACCTATCACAGGGAGAACAATATTGGCAGTACTCCAACTCTTACTGGAGGCAAAGCACAATGGGGCAAGAAGGTAAATATTTAAAGTAAGGAAGCTTGGTTTTTACAGTGAACAACACTGAATCATACATTGCAAAATGTTAATAAAATTAGCAGCCTGTTTATCAGCTTATCTGCGTCATGGGGTGTGGAGGGGTATTGACAATGAAAAGCCTCATTTATCTTCATGAGTTAAATTGCCTGTATAATTCATGAACCAAAAGCAAAGCAAAAACCAGAGCTGAGACCCAAGTTGGTTATATAGGTCAGCTCTAATGAGTTTAAATGCCTTCTTTCTTCCAGCCTCTGGCCTGCCTCTGTGTCAGGCAAATAGAGTTGATTTTCTTAGAGTTCACTTCAGCTCTGATTTTACATCAAAAGTGGAACATCACTTTGTAATCATTAAGTATTTTGCTTAGATATTAAATATTAAAGTTCCTCTGATTGCTAGGCCCATAATTAAGACAGAAAGGAAACCTGTTATGTTACAGATGTTTTCCCATTTGGTAATCATGTGTTGAAAGTAACCATGAATATAGATATAGCCGTTGCTCTGTATAAGTGGGAATTACTGGGGAGACTCTGAGACAATCAAGAAAGGCAATTGAGATGTGTGATAGTAATGCCAAAGGAAAGGGGAAAGGCACATGTGTGAGCAGGAGTTTTGGATGGTGGGGTACAGGCAACGCCGGGTCCCCTGCTTGGATCTTGATAACTAGCAGAGGTGAGTGGATCCAAATTCAGTTGCGGATTCCTTCCTGATTGCTGGGGTCCCTTGGGCATGCTATTTAGAATTTCACTTTTCTCACCTGTAAAATAAGGATATTAATGCTTCCCTCATATGACTGTGTGTGAATTAAAGGAGGTAATGAGTGTAAAGTCTTTAGCACTCAATGATTCTAGCTATTATTATCCCCTAAGCTATAAACTGTATGAGAACAGGGATCTTGTCTGTCTTTTTCACTACCATATCTTTGGCCCGAGAATGATTTTTGGCTTCTAGCAGACCTTCAACAAACACTTACTGAAAGAATGAATAAACAAATGAAAGTAGTAACTGAATAAAAATGAGAAGCTTGAAATAAAACAGTGTGTCAAAGAAACTTGTTCCTGAAAGAAAAGAAAGATAATTCTGGTTCTGTAAAGGAAACATGGATATGAAGAAGTAAACTCCAGAGTGGGGCAAACCTGTTTCAAATGATCTTATAGAATCAGCAGAAATAAGGGTCTCACAGGAAAATAAAATGTCTGTATTATATCAGAAAGTGGTTTCTTTTGACCTTTTTTTTTTTTTTTTTTGACAGAGTCTTGCTTTGTCACCCAGGCTGGGGTGCAGTGGCATGATCACAGCTCATGGCAGCCTTGACAGCCCAGGCTCAAACAATCCTCCCACCTCTGCCTCCTGAGAAGCTGGGACCACAGGCATGTGCTGCCCCACCTGGCTAATTTTTATTTCTTTATTTCTTTAGTAAAGATGGGGTCTCACATGTTGCCCAGGCTAGTGTCTAACTCTTGGGCTCAAGAGATACTCCTGCCTTGGCCTCTGAAAGTGCTGGAATTATAGGCATGAGAAACCCAGCAGAAAAGGTTTCTAATATTATACCTTATGAGTCAGTAGAGGGATGTCCTACAATGAAGGTGAGGGCCCCTTGTCACGAGGGAATGGTAAATGTCATAGGAACTTGTAACAAGGCAACACTGCACTGGGCTAGGCATTCCCAGAGACAAACTGACTATGTTGTTTTGTGCTTTTGACTTCAGTTCCCCGAAGTATAGGCAGCAAAAGAAGACAGCCTTCCTCCAAGAGCCCCAGGGACATAGACTTTCAAACAAGTTTTTCAGTGCTATACCTACATATACTTGTTTGACAGCAAGACACAGTCAAGTTTCATTACAATGTGTTTGTACAGCTATGGTTGGCTGCTATTGGAAAAATCCCCAAGGTTTTGCTGAAAGCTCCGTACTCTGACCATTTAAGGTGCCCTGAACAATCAGACTTTATGATTTAACTCTTCTAGGCTTTTAAGATAATGAGTTAGGTGTTAGAGGAAAGGACAGCAGCTAAACAACCCTAAAACCAACCTGAAGTGAAGCTGTGGCATTTCCAGCTATTGAAAGCCAAATATAAAATATAAAAAGCCTTGCTGAGGGTATTTGGGTCAACTCTGTAGCTTTCAACAGGGTTCTAGAATACAAGTTTTCACAAAACTGAGATTTCAGTAAGAGGGTTAATAGGTTATTATGATCCAAGTCAAAGTGACGTGATATTCTGGGATGTTTGCAGACTGCTTTTTGATGGGGTACAGTAGAATTACTCAGCGCATATTAAGTATTAGGTTATATAAAGCTTAAGGCAAAGTAAAATGAAGTCATCTGCATTTTGTTGAAAAACGAGTTGCTAAAGTCTCCAGAAATTAGTCTAGAAGGGGTGAGTGAATAGACCAGACAACAGCAGAACCAGTAGTTGCAGTTGACCCCAACAGCTTTGATCCCGTCAATCTGCGCTGCTCAGTGCTGCTATCTAAAAGACTAGCTCAGAAGGGCAGGTTTCCTTCTTTCTTCAGGTGGTTCCTCAAGCTTGTTCACCTTCAGTAAAATCACCAAAAGCAGGTGGAGAATAAAAAGTGTAACAGCCACTTGAATGGTGATGCTACTGAGAGGAGGAATAAAGTGCAGATGTCAGTTGGCTCCAGAATTTCTGTTTGGTGCTTTGTATGGGAATTGATCTTCCCACAGACCAACTGGCAATGATTCATTTCACAGTTACCCCAAACTCACTGGAGACCTCACAGTTTCTCTTCTAGTGTAAATCTGAGCTCCCCTCCTGAGCAAATTATGAAGTGTCTCATAGGAAAGACAATGTCTTTATTAGGAATATCATATTCCCTTCCAGGGGCCAAAGGAGGAGAGGTCTCCAGATTTTTACCAATCAGGAGGCATTTTCTTAAAATTGGGAGGCAAAGACTGTGTCTAGTTTCACTCACTGTCTACCCATGCCTAGTAGAGAGCCCTGCACATAACAGGCACTCAGTAATGCTTGCCGAATGAATCACGCTGAAATTCATGGGGCAAGTGATACTTAATCTCTCCAACAGGTATTCTCTAGAGAAGGTGGTTTCTTGAAGGAAGCAAAGTTTGTTTAAAGCTACTTCATGAGGGCCTTCTTTAGGAGCAAATGCCATGTTCTGCGCTTTTCCTGGCTTGACTTTATCAGGTTTCTTTTCTTATGTGTGAGGTTCCTCATCAATAAAAATACACACACATTATCCATCCAGTCATTTGATCATGTCTCAAAAACACAAGAAGGCAAATATCCACACTAGACCAATAACCAAGCAGGAGAAGACTGTAAGGAAAGATATCTCCTTTGTAAAACAAATTCCAGGGTGGGGCTTGTATTAGGGTTTTGTTGAAGGACAGAACTAATAGGATAGATGTATATATGAAGGGGAGTTTATTAAGGAGTATTGACTCACACATTCACAAGGTGAGGTCCCACAATAGGCTGTCTGCAAGCTGAGAAGCAAGGAAGCCAGTCCAAATCCCAGAACCTCAAAAGTAGGGAAACCAACAGGTCAGCCTTTTAGTCTGTGGCTGAATGCCCAAGAGCCCCTGGCAAACCACTGGTGTAAGTCCAAAAGCTCAAGACCTTGGAGTCTGATGTTTGAAGGCAGGAAGCATCCAGCATGGAAAGAAAGGTGAAAGCCAGAAGACTCAGTGGGTCTGCTCTTCCATCTTCTCCTGCCTGCTTTATTCTGGCCATGCTGGCAGCTGATTAGATAGTGCCCAACCAGATTAAACATGGGTCTGCCTCTCCCAATCCACTAATTCAAATGTTAATCTCCTTTGGCAACACCCTCACAGACACACCCAGGAACAATACTTTGCATCTTTTGATCCAACCAAGTTGACAGTATTAACCATCACAGGGCTGATAGGAGAGCCTCAGGTGGGCAGTGATGCTGATGTAGTCCAGAGCCCTGGGTTCCACTTTCCTCTGGAGCATCTTGTCACTGCCGTGGCTGTGGCTGACCAGGCTCTTGTTTGAGATCTCCCACCTCTTATCTCACCCTTCTTATCTCAGAGAGACAGGTTGGAGCTTTCCTCATCTTTCATAAATAATGAAAGAAGGATAAGGCAGGAACATGAGTGCTCAATACACATCTAATAACAGTACTTTCATTTAATGCCAAATTTATCATCCACACAATAACAGAGAGAGCCTTGAAACTTAGGGAGAGTGTGGAGGTGGGTGGGAGGTATCTTTCGTCTTAGAGAGAGAAGGACACTTCTGGAATGTTC
Organism: Homo sapiens; assembly: GCF_000001405.40. Lineage (NCBI taxonomy): Eukaryota > Metazoa > Chordata > Mammalia > Primates > Hominidae > Homo > Homo sapiens. The sequence goes on along the minus strand of NC_000013.11, from coordinate 34,465,235 downwards.
TAAGGAACTGCAGTTGCTGATTCAACACTGAGGGTTCCTGGTGACTTAGTGGCTTCCTCTCCAGGGCCTTGCCTGCTGCCTCCTGCGTCTGTCTTGTGCTTCAGCAGTTCAGTCCTCCTTTAGGGTGCTCCCTGACTGCCAGGCACAGCCTATTTTCCAGGCACCCAGAGTGCTCTCATGCCCATCCTGAACTGCTGATCCAGGGGGCAAGCTCCTGGCTCCATATGGCCCCTTTTATTCTTTTTTGTTCCTCCCCTATCTGCAAGGATATGCAGCCTTCTAAGATGCTGGATTGTAGCATTCTAACAGGCTCATTGGAGTAACGGGCTCAGATGACAGTGCTGGGCTGCGACCCTTCCCACCTGCTCCCAGCTGACATTATCTACCTCATCTGTAGTGGGAGTCAGAAATGTGCTTGGTTTTGATTCACAATTGGTTTTGGTCCAAAGACCACACTTAAGAGGGAAAAAAAGGCCTTGTCGTTGGTTATCTGCAGTTTCTTTCCACCCTTGGATATATTTAGTGGCTTTTAGAGAAGAAAGTAGGAGTTTTGGTAAACTGACTTTTAATAAGACCACTTATTGAACACCTTTTGTCCTCAAAGTCCTGCTCTAGGTCCTAGAGGTGGGGAAGAAAGAGATGGGAGTCAACAGGACTGGGGGGCTCCTACATTCAAGAAGCAAATGTAGTCATTCATTGTGCTGACTTAGAGGAGGACAGAACATTAATCACTGCATTTAATGCAAAAAGTCTGGTTTTTTTATGACTTAAATATTTTGGTAAATAAAGAAGTTCATATTTTTGCCTAAAACAAAAGTTATACTCAGCCAGATTTTTATTTTATATATTCAATAATCAGTCCCCAATGACCAATCATCCATGTGTCCAGGTGACAACTGCTGTCCAGGCCTGCTCTGTCTGTCTTTTCTTCCTTCTAGCAGAGGCCCTTGGCACAACCATAGGAGGCAGGGAAAACACATCCAACCTTTGTTTCTTTTAAAAAAGACGTGTGTAATTTCATAAGTAAAGAAACCATGGAGAGTTGAGTCATCTCAGGGGAGCTGATACAGAGGACAGAGTTCTGGAAAACCAATCTGCCCTAAACGACCTGCCATTTGATAGGGAATTAGGAGCTGAAAAAACGACTCTAATTGATCTCTCTCTCTTGGTGTTTGGAAATCTGTGCATCACTGCAGTGCAATATATCCACAATATGGTCTACTCTATAGGGGTGGTCACCTCAAGTGTGTCAGGCCCTGGGATACTTCCTCAGCTTATGTAATACGTTAACAAATACTCTTATGTTAACACCTCTTTGTGTAAAACCAACCTGTTTCGACGGTCTAAGCTCCTGGCAGGGTGATGGTATGTGATGGGCTAGTCCCATAGTCATGTGAAGTAGTTGGGCAAATTGTGCCCATCCTGAGCATCTGTGAGGGGCAGCTCTGAGCAGGGGCAGGTCCTATGATCACAGAGAGACCTCGGGGTGCAGGCTCTGATGGAGCAGTAGGTGGTGGGTGTGGAGTGACTGTGGGTGCCCTGCTTTGAGAGGTAGGTCTTTGGGAGGAAATCTGAAAGGTAGGAAACAGCTGAAGGGAGGAAGGTGAGATGAGGCTGAAGCCAAATTTGTCCTTTCTTTCTCTCTTTCTTTCTTCTTTCTTTCTTTCTTTCTTTTTCTTTCTTTCTTTCTTCCTTTTTCTTTCTCTCTTTTCTTTCTCTTTCTCTCTCCCTTTCTTTCTTTCTTCTGTCTTTCTTTCTCTCTCTCTTTTTCTTTTTTTTTTTTTTTTGACAGTATCTCACTCTGTCACCCAGGCTGGAGTGCAGTGGTACAATCTCAGCTCACTGCAACCTCTGCCTCCCAGGCTTAAGCAATCTTCCCACCTCAGCTTCCCAAGTAGCTGGAATCATAGATGTGCGCCATTACACCCAGCTAAGTTTTTGTATTTTTGGTAAATACATGGTTTCACTACTTTGCTCAGGCTGGTCTCCAACTCCTGAACTAAAGCTATCCGCCCACCTCTGCCTCCTGAAATACTGGGATTGCAGTCATGAGCCACCGTGCCTGGCCAATTTTGTCCTTTTTCAAAAGTTGTAAGAGAGCTCTGAGCCAGGAAAACCAGAGGAAGTCCATTTTCTCTGTTCCCTTGTCTTCCTTTCACCCAAATAACCTCCAGAGATAAGATTCAAGTGCATTTTGGGTTAAATAAGCATTGAGGAATTGGCATGGGGACTTAGTCACTATGTGGGATATTGTTTCCATGGGGAATATGTTCCAACTTCCAAATGACTGACTCACAGACGCCACTCCCCAAAGGTCGCCTGCCCCTGTACTGACTTTTAAAGGAACTCACAACTAGCTGTTCAGCATTCAAATTTTGAAGGTTTATGCCCTGCCAGGTACAGAGCCCAGGTATGACTGAGATCATACCTAGACTCTTTACTTCATTAGGCAATTTTTTTTCCCTCTTTTGATTTTGTGGCACTAAGCTCTGAATATGCTGTTTCAAACTCCTAAGTTGGCTTTTAAGAAAAACTCTTTATTTTACTAACATCATGGAAAATTTATATTTCAAAAAACAAATCTGAATAATATAATTATAGAGAACCCACAAGCAATGTGAATTAACTTTATTAGAGCTAGAAATACACGTAAGACAAAATGTGATCTGTTTAAGGAGCCTACAGTACCTTGCTGGACCACAGATCTCTACCTTCTCTAATCACGCAGACTGAAATTACTATCATTATTATTTCATTCTTAGGTCAGGAGTGCTTTATCTTCAAAGGATTCTTAGGTGGTATGGGAGTAAGAACTGAGCTCACTCTTTAATACGTCCAACAGTGACTGTCCTCCTAATTATTGATGAGATGAAACGAAGTATATGAATAGACATTGTGTATTCTGAAGTACATTTAAAGCATACATATTAGTGGGATCCAAATAATTATCCAGCAAAATCAAGCCACTCTACTTAGAAAAATTTTCTTCTGGTATGACATAGGAAATAAAAGCAATAATAACTTTTAGGCAATGAAACAATTTTAGTTACTGTTTTGTTTTATTATTTTGTCTTTGCTTTTATTTTATTTTACATTTTTGTGTTTTTTTCCCTGAAAGTTATTTTATTTCCTCTAAAAGCTCTCTCTCTCTATATATATAACCTTAGCCTGAATTCCCTAGAAACAGAGCCTGAAATAAGGCTTTTGTGCCAACATGTTATTGAAGAGTGAATCCCAGGAAGGAGGAGTGAGAAAGAGTTGGAGTGAGGCAGGGAAGGAGGGTGAGCAAATAGAAGGGTCTCCAAGGTGGCAGCACTTCATGAAGAAAGGACTGCCTAGTGTCCTGGGAAGCTTTGGAGAGGATGCTTGATGCTACTGTGTCTTTCAATCATCACTCCAGAGGGAAAAAAGAAGAACTATTATTTTACCGGCTTCTGTCTCCTATTGATTAAAATTTGCCTGTGTGGTATATTAGTACCCTCCACTTCACAGTTACACACTTCTCATGTATGCGCTGAGCAAAGACAGGGAAGCACTAGGGTATTTGCACGGCCTGTGTGGAAGAGGAGGCACCCAAGCAACAAAGGGAAACAGATCAGAGCCCTGCATTTGTAGCAGAAGTAGTAGCAGCAACCAAGCTCCATGGCTTTAAGCAACACCAAGGCAAGTACATGGGTCTGGGTGATGCATAAACCCATGCTCTGCAAAGCAGAACCTGGAAGGAAGCTGCTTTAGACTTTTCATCCACCACTTGTGCAGAGTACACTTGAGAAAGGAGGACATTTTTAATTCTAACACTGCAGAGAGCTGCACAGAAGCTATCAGTAATGGAGATAATTAGAGGTATAGAGTTGATCAAAACTTGACTTATAATGAACACTTTGAGTAGTTGCAGATAGAGAGAGCGAGACTTTTCTGTGAATCAGATATAATACAAGGCAGCAACCTGATATAGATCAGTGTGACAGGAGCAAGAATACAGCAAAAAGATGAGCAACATCAGTTGTAGAGAGATATCCCAAATAGCCAAGTAAGACAGTTCTTGTGCCAACTAAGCTTCATCAAGAATTAGAACCATGATTTACTGAAATTTTGATTTTTTTGTATTTGAATATATACTGATTGTATGCATTCCTACCATAGAGGTTTATTGAGAGCCTCCTGAATGCCAGGTTGTGTTCCAGGCTGTGGCCACACAGTAGTTTGTGCCCTCATGGTTCTTAGGTTCTAGTGAAGGAAGATGAATAATAATATGTTATAGAAGCATAGAGAAAAATAAAGAGGGATAAGGAAGACAGGGTATGTGGCAGAGGGGCAGGGATTGCTATTTGATAGAGGACAGTGATGGAAAACCTCTACAACGAGGCAACGCCTGAGCAGAAAGACCTGAAGAAGGGGAAGGAGTGAGTTGAGCATCTGGGGAGGAAGAGGCCTCCAAGCTGATGGACTAGAAAATGGCTATTTGGTATTGTAGGGGAGATACACATTCATGAGCTGAGGCTATGCACAGGCACATATTCTCCAAAGTAAAAAAATTAGCAAACTCCATATAGTTCATTTAATATTCTTATCCAGATATTCTTTATTTTATTGTCATCATAAATGTCAGAACTGACAACAACTCTTCATGCTATTATTCAAGAGATAACTCTTTATGCTATTATTCAATTGTCAATGGTAGAACAATTGACAATTGCAGCCAAGATCCCAGCTCCCATGGCCTGCTAATCGTGACTATGCAAATTTGATCATCTGAGCAGGTAGAAAAAACCTGCCTGCCCATGGATGGGTATGACAATCAACTAAGCATAGAGGGCAGATGGGGACTGGAAGGACAGGACACCAAGCAATTATAGTTTAAGGCTGGATTGGGATGGAAGAAAAGTCTAACCAGAGATTGATAACTCTACCCCTGAGAACTTGTTTTGAGGATGAATTGAATAATAACAACTTAGAAACAATTGCAAAATAAAGAAAATGAGTTGGAATGCCTTCTATGTCAGATGTTTAATGTTGTTGCAGTCAGCTGCAGTGGAGCTGCAGACTCATGGCGTACCAGCATGGTAGAGTCAGCATACGCAAGAGGAGGGTACCCTCGTGGATGAAGAAGGCTGTTGGTGTCACGTGCACCTGAGTAAAACACTCCAAAACGTGACCACAACAAGCTTACTCAACCTCTCTTAACATACTCTCTTGCTCTAATGCATGACACTTTGCTCATTTCCTGTTGCCTGGGACCTCGAGGTTTGTGTGATATGGCCCTCAGGAAGGGGAAATGGGGTGTTCACCACGGTCAAGGAGCCTGGAGACAAGGGGAAGTAGGGGAGCACCAGTGATAAACGGTGCTCATGCCAAACATGTTCTTTCAACATAAGAATGAATGTTAAACACATGGAAATAAGGCAAAAATCCAGATAACACACATGCATGTGGATATATGCATGAAGAGACCCCAAGTGGGTGTCCTGACAGCATTGAAGAAGCATTGCAGTGCATCTGTATTTGCTTGGACATCTAGGCCATTTTTCAAGGTTTATAACTTAGCTATGAAAATGTATTTGTGACATTTTAAGTCCCAGCCTGAGAGCAAATTTTGATTTTTAAATTCAAACTTATCATTCCAAAACTCATTCTGGCACCATTTTAGGGCTGGATGAATTGTTTCAAAGATGTTTATTGCTTTTAAGTCTCTGTTTTATTACCAAGCCTGTAAGATGTAAACTGCTTTGAATTTTGTTAAGATGGTGAGTGATTAGGCAGTGACACGACTTTAAAACAGAAAACACCAAAGAGATTTAACTGGATTAAGAGAGAATAGTACATTTTATGTAGTTAGGCTGTTTCTAAGAATTAAAATATGCCTCATCTGGATATGTATTTCCATCATGTAATATAATAAGGGCTTTCCAAAAATATCACTGTGTTCTTTAGAAGAAAGGATAACAGTTTGTTCTGTGTCAACAGCAATATTGTGTATTTCAAACAGCTTTCAGCTGGGATCTCTAAGCTCTGAACAAATATTATTCAAACCACCTAACACGGAATAGATTTTGCCATGGTTGATCATTGATTAGAGCAGTAGGTTGAGAACTAGATACTCTTGAAGTTGGCTCGCTTTCTTATGACCCAAAGTCAGGTGGCTCAGAACATCTGGGTGCTTCTGAAGCCAAGAGCCTCTTTAAACTGCCAAACTCATTGTCAAGTGTCTGGCTGCCTTCAAAAATCACAGCTGTGCAACTTGATACATCCTAGGCTTTTAGGATTCTGATTGCAAGTTATAGAAACCAACTGAGATAAATAAAGAAAATAAAGACAATTTATTATGAAGTACCAGAGATTTCACAGAACACAAAGACAGGAGTGCAGCCAGGCCTTGGGAAGGACTGGAATGGAGAACTGGCAAGCCACTGGGAACCCACTCTGTGTTCTCACTCACACTCTGCATCTGCTTCTCACGTGCCTATTCCTAAAGGCTTTTTTTCTTTTAAGACTCAGTTCTTTTCACCCTCCTCTACATGGCATAGTGTGGTCGTCCTCAACTGCTGTGTTCATATCTTTTAAACGTTGCTTCCAAAAGGGTCACTGCCTCTGTTTCTCTGTATTAGTTGCCTATTGCTGTGTAACAAATGACACCAAAACTTGATGGCTTAAAGCAACAAACATGTATTATCTCAGTTTCTGTGGAAGCAAGAATCTAGGTTTGTCTTAGCTGGTCCTCTTTCTTAAGGTCTCGTTCGAGGCTGCAATTAAGGTGTTGACCAGGGCTGCAGTCTCATCTGAAGGCTTCACTAATGAAGTTGCCAAACTCCCTCACTTGGCTGTTGGCGGGATTCAGTTCCTTGAAGGTTATTAAGCCCTCTTAATTCCTTGCAACATGGGCCCCTCTCTAGGGCAGTTCACAACATGACTGCTGGTTCCCATCAGGTTGAGCAAGTGAAAGAGATCAGAGATGAAACGCAAGATGGAAGTCTCTGTCTTCTTGAAACCTAATCATGGAAATGACATTCTCTCAGTTTTAGGTCTTCTATTTGTTAGAAATGAGACACTAGTTTCAGCCCACACTGAACTGATGGGAGAGACATCCACTCCAGTGGATAGAGATCACTGGGAGCCCTTTCAGAGGCTGCCTATCACAACTTCTCTGTCTTTGTTCTTTCCTGTCATCATTTTGTTTTCTTCCCAATTCCAAATTTATTGGCAAAGGTCTCTGACTTACTGACCCATCTTCAGTCAGGTGCTTATCGTTGTTCCAATCAGCTGTAGGGAAACCCAGAATCACAGTATCCATGGTTCTGTGGTGTTTGTACTAGGGCAAGACAAAGAGGACCATCACGGATGAAGAAGACAGTCACAGAGCATGGATCAGAGTAAAACACTCCAATGCGTGACCACAACAAGCTCGTTCAAGCTCTTTTACTTAATGGAAATAAAATTTCCGAGCAGATTATTCACCTCCACAAAAGACTGGTTCAATGCACGTAAATTTTCTGTGTAATTAAAGTCCTTAATTCTGATATACATATGTAATGAAGATTAAAGCATTTTTTTTTTTTTTCTTTTTTGAGGCAAAGTCTTGCACCATTGCCCAGGCAGGAGTGCAGTGGTGCAATCTCGGTTCACTGCAACCTCTGTCTCCTGGGTTCAAACGATTCTCCTTCCTCAGCCTCCTGAGTAGCTGGAATTACACGTGCGTGCCACCATATCCAGCTAATTTTTGTAATTTTAATAGACATGGGATTTCGCCACGTTGGCCAGGCAGGTCTTGAACTCCTGACCTCAAGTGATTTGCCTGCCTCAGCTTCCCAAAGTGCTAGGATTACAGGTGTGAGCCACCGCACCCAGCCAAAGTGGGTTTTTAAGAATTCATTATATGTACCATTACTCTTTTTCTTAAGAAAAGTGTTTATTATTTTTAAAATTGTAGTAAAATATGCATAATGTAAAATTTACCATTTTAACCATTTTAAAGTTGCAGTTTTGTGGCATTAAGTACATTCACATTGTTGTGCCACCGTCACCACGATTCATCCCCGGGACTTTTCATCTTCCAGAATTGAAACTCTGTATCCATCCAACTCTAACTCCTCATTTTCCTATCCTCCAGCCCTGGAAGCCACCATTCTACATTGTCCCTATAAATTTGACTACTCCAGGTACCTCACATTAGTGGAGGAGACACAATATTTGCCCTTTCCTGACTAATTTATTTCAGTTAACACCATGTCCTCGGGTTCATTCCAACTGTAGTGTGTATCAGAATGTACTTTGTTTCTAAGGCTGAATAATATTCTGTTGGTTTGTATATGCCACATTTTGTTTATACATCCTTCTGTGTATGCACATGGGTTACTTTCATCTTTTGACTATTGTGAATAATGTTGCTGTGAACATTTGTGTAAAAATACCTGTTTGAGTTCCTGCTTTTAATTCTTTTGGTTATATACTCAGAAGCAGAATTGCTGGATCCTATGGTAATTCACTGTTGAAGTTTTTGAGGAACTGCCATAATGTCTTCTGAAGTGGCTGCACCATTTTACATTCCCACTAGCCATGCACAAGGATTCTGATATCTTTACATCCTTGCCAATGTTTATTTTCTCTGTGTGTGCATGTGATAGTAACCATCCAATCAGGTATAAAGTGGCATCTCATTGTGGTGATAGGCATTTCCCTAATTGTATTAGTTCATTTTCACACTGCTATAAAGACTGAATAATTTATAAAGAAAAGAGGTTTAATTAACTCACAGTTCTGCATGGCTGGGGAGGCCTCAGGAAACTTACAATCATGGCAGAAGGCAAAGAGGAAGCAAGGCATGTCTTACATAGTGGCAGGAGAGAAGGGGGAAGTGCTACACACTTTTAAACCATCAGGTCTCGTGATAACTCACTCACTATCATGAGAACGGCATGGGGAAAACCTCTCCCATCATGCAATCACCTCCCACCAGGTTCCTCCCTTGACACATGGGGATTACAATTTGAGATGAGATTTGGGTAGGGACACAGGACCAAACCATATCACTAATTATTAGTGATGTTGAACATTTTTTCATGTGCTTATTGGACATTTGTATGTCTTCTATAGAGAAATTTCCATTCAAGTCCTTTGTCCATGTTTTTAACTTGGTTGCTTATTTTTTGTTGTTGAGTTTTAGGAGTCCTTTTCATATTTTGGATATTAACCCTTTGTCAGATATATTGCTTGCAAATATTTTCTTCTATCCTGTGGATCACCTTTTTGGTCTGTTGACAGTGTCTTTTGATACGGTGAACAAATGCTCACCGTAATAATTTATCTATTTAAGATAAACAAAAATTTTTACCATTTTAACCATTTTTAAGCATACAGTTCAGTCGCATTAAGTACATTCACATTGCTGTGCCACTGTCAGCGCTATTCATCCCAGGACTTTTTCATCTTCCAGAATTGAAACTCAGTATCCATTAAACATTAACTCCCCACTTTCCCGTCCTTCAGCCCTGGCAGCCATCAATCTACTTTGTCTCTATAATTGTAAATAGAGAAACTATTAGTTGCCTGTACTTGTGGTGTGACATCCAAGAAATCATTGCCAAAGCTAATGTTGTGAAGGTTTTCCCCTATTTTTCTTCTAACAGTTTTATAGTTTTTGCTTGAACATTTAGGTCTTTGAGCCATTTTCCCTTGTAGACATAATCAGAGGACCCTAGATCATTGGCATTTCCCTTTTGTCATTATGACCACATTCGTCATTTGTATTCAAAGGCATAAAAGAGAGAAAGCATTGTCCACACTCCTATGATCACTAAGATATTTGAGAATTCCAAAGGTTTGCAAAAACTTAACAAATGTCTTTCAATTCTCCAATTATCTCCCAAGGCATCCCAGACGGTTTTTAGGGGGCTGTTAGCTTATTTCAGAAAGTTTGAACTTTGATGTGATCTAGCTGATACTTTAAAAGTTTTTGGAGGGCTGGGCGCGGTGGCTCATGCCTGTAATCCCAGGACTTTGGGAGGCCTAGGTGGGTGGATCACGAGGTCAGATTGAGACCATCCCGGCTAACACGGTGAAACCCCGTCTCTGCTAAAAATACAAAAAATTAGCCGTGCGTGGTTGGCAGGCGCCTGTAATCCCAGCTACTCGGGAGGCTGAGGCAGGAGAATGGCATGAACGTGGGAGGTGGCGCTTGCAGTGAGCCGAGATCGCACCACTGTACTCTCCAGCCTGGGTGATAGAGCAAGACTCCGTCTCAAAAAAAAAAGTTTTTGGAAAGGCTGATTAAAATAAGTATTGTTTATAAGATAGGATTCCGCTAATGTTTGTGGTATTTTAAGTGTGTTTAACGGATTTGATTTACCATGATAGTTTTAGTATTCTATCTGACACACAGTGTGTATGTGAAATCTTTGGACCCTTGTCCATATCTTTTGCCTTCCCTTTGCTAGCTCTAGGTTTGTTTTCAGGATGGAGATATTCTCATCTTCACTGTAGGTGTTTGTCACACACCTAAACATCACATAGGAATTCCTCTGTCCCCCTCTGTATATCCACCAGTAAGAAGAGTCAAACATTTTCTCATAAAACAAAGTGCTTGCTGCACAATCAGGGAAGCTCCTGATGAAACCTTTATATTGAAACATCCCCACTCTAAGGACCTGGTGGCTCTGTCACTAGAAGGAATCGCTAGAAACCCCATGGGTGAGTGAGTGAGTAGATGAGTTATGAAATTGCTGGCCTTTATGATACAATTGAGGCATTGGAAAATCTCAGGCAAGTCCAAACCAATTCAGGTTATTTGTCTTCAGATATTTGGGAAGGTCACCAGAATGGCTTTAGGGTTCGTACCCTCTAGCAGTTCTGCCAGGGCTGGAGTAACATATGGTTCCTTGGGTCCATTTTCCAAGTGCTGCTGGGCCTGGGAAGGGGCAAGGTATGAAGGTACCTGTAGGAGTGGGGACATGGTATGTGGCAGGATCCAATGGTGGAAGGACTTCCTGGGCTACTGTGACTGATCCAGTGCACCATCCTACCAAACCATGTTATTCCCCTATGTGTTAGATAGGGTAGGCTAAACTGCCATGACAAACAGGCACAAAATATAACAGCTTAACAGAAGAGAAGCTTTATTTTTATTTTTATTTTTTTGAGACACAGTCTCACTCTGTCACCCAGGCTGGAGTGCTGTGGCACAATCCCGGCTCACTGCAACCTCTGCCTCCCAGGTTCAAGCAATTCTCCTGCCTCAGCCTCCCGAGTAGCTGGAATTACAGGTGCACACCACCACGCTGGCTAATTTTTTGTGTGTGTATTTTTAGTAGAGATAGGGTTTCACCATGTTGGCCAGGCTAGACTTGAACTCCTGACATCAAGATCCGCCTCCCTTGGCCCCCCAAAGTGCTGGGATTACAGGTGTGAGCCACCTCATCCAGCCGTATTTTTCTTACAAACTCAGATATATGCCCAGTGAAAATGTCTCCTGTGTTCCAGAATATTTTAATGAAAATCTAGGGGTCACTTGAAATGGAATCAATAGAAGCAAATACTCTTAGAAATGGGCCAAAGTTATTTCTTCATTCTGGGATATGGGACGAGGGTTTGGATGTGGGAATAAAACTCAGGACTATGCATGGAAGAGAAAGTTTCACCTAATATTCCTGTTACCATTTTCTGATTTTATATTACACTTACATACGTAAGTTTATTTGTATAAGCTCCCACTATAGAAATAGAAATACTTCAGCTTTTCAGCCTAAAGAGCTCATTAGGATTTCAGCCTACAACATTTTCACAGACAACTCATCATTTCTCATGATTTCACACTGTTCTGTACAGCTGTGTCACGACGATGTGGGGGTAGTGAAATATTAGGGTTCAGCTGTGCCATCCATTATAAATTCCTGCTTTAGCTGCTTATTAATGCTCTCTCCAAAATGAACGAATAACCCCCTGACATTCCATTGTTTGAGAACATACTCAAAATTATTCTTTAGAGAAACTGAAAATGCTGCTCCATTATGATTTTTCCCCCTAAGAGTGGTGAGTTGGTTGAACTGAGTGCAACTGTGATACACCTGGAGTCCCAGGGGACAGTCAGCTGTGAGTTTGGATTAATAAAGAGCCTGAAATACAGGTCACTGAGTAGCCTTTCTGTGGCCTACATTTAGGTTTTGACTGAGATCTTCCTAGTTCCAGAGGCAGAATGGGGAAGTTATGCTGCTTATAACATGGGGCATGGGAATTAGAAGTGTTGTTTGTTTGTTTGTTTTTGGCTGCTGAGCAACTATCCCTTCCATCTTCTCTCATGTCCCAGGACTGACTGGCCTGCATGATCTTGAGCAAATCTCTGAAACTCAGTTTCCTCCCAGGTAAATGAGCTAATCCTGTCTATCTCAGAATTATTTTGAGGATTAATTAAAATAGTCCTCTACAAGCCTTCACATTATGCCCAGAAGATACCAAGCACTCAATAAAAGTTTACTGGTTAATTATTATCATTGTTTGAAACTTGGGTAAATTGGAGTAGCTGGGAAAACAGATATTAAGATGTGAAAATCAAATGAATTTAAAGGGAAAAATTAAAAACAGAAATACTAATATTATCATTAAATAGCATTTTCAGAAGAGATGGAATTATGCCTTCACAAAATAGGTGACTGGCAGACAAGAAGATCTGCCTGGATCACTCACATGGTCTTGACATGGAGCCTGAAAATGTCACCACTGTAGCCATTAGTAGGCTGTAGGTGGGAAGTATTGCTTGAAACCAAAAGGCCCATTTTAGGAAGCATGAGGGAAGAAAGAATATTGTCCTGACCTACTGAAAAATCCAGGGAGCATCTGGACCATGAAGGTTCTGAGTGCCTTTGAAGGGAAATCTTGAGGGTGATGTTGAATAGAGAGTGGAGTTTGTTGCTGAAGGGTCTTGATGTTTTCTTTCCCTTAAATAGGGCCACATAACTCCTGCCATTAAAAGTTTCACCTTCTCTGGGGGAAGATGTACAACCTGTAGCAGCCATGTAGTGCCTTCCCTGAACCTGCCTGCCTCATGATACTCTAAGCCTGCCTGCCATATTGGTCAATATCTGTCAGTGGAGAACTTTGTCATCTTTGGGGTCCAAATGATATTGAGCCATCAATGAGTGAGACCATCCTAGACCATCCAGCCCAAGTCAAGCTACTACAAATTAGAAAAGCCCAGTCAATCTATAGATTAATGAGGAATCACAAATAATTGTGGATTTAAGCTACTACATTTTGTGGTGGTTTGTTACACAGTAGAAGGTAACCAATATAGAATCCAATTTCTCTTTACTACTGTTGCAGAATTATACACTAGCTTTATCTGAGCTGGGATGTAATGCTCCAGAAGCCACAACTATGATGATATGCTAACTCCTAAGAGCCAGAGGTAACCTGTGTTCATGATTGAAGTGAACTCCTGAATGATTGAAGTGAACTCCTTGAAGATTGTTTATCGTAGACCCCAAAGCTGGAGCCAGAGCTGGGACCTATGTGCTGAACAGCTGCATTCAGGAGAGGTCTCTGAGTCTCCATCAATAGAATGAAGGTTGAGAGAGAACTCTCCTGTTCCTCAAAGAGTACATGGGCTAGGACTTAGGCAACTGCAGACAAAGATAGTGGTACTCACAGCAGAATTGTCCAATGGGAGGCTGGACTTTACAGGGCACAGGTTAAGCCTGAAGGTATGAATTTAGGGGTGACTAGAACAAAGTAAAACAGTTTACCTTTGTGAGTGGAAGGTTTTCTGATGAGCCAAAACCATGAAAGAAAGATCAAAGAGCTCAAGGTTTATGGAGCGACTATGAAATCCTTGGATAAAGAATGAAAGGGTGATTAAAAGGCCCTTAGGCTGTGGGTTCCTTGAGGAAAAGGTTCATCTCTTACTCAGTTTTGTATCTCCAATTCCTCCACCTTGTATTAACACACAGTAACTTTTCAGTTTGAATGAACATAAACAAAGAATGAGATGAAAATTTGAAAAGAACAAAGGGAATGCATTATGTCAGAAGTCAAGACATGAGAAGGGTCTCCATACTCTTAAAATAATAAGAACTAACATTTTATTGAATGTGTGCATGGCCTTGTGCTTTACTAACCTCTTCTTAAGGATTATTTAATACTCATAACAATCATAGGAAACAGATAATATTTTTACTCCTATTTATAAATGAGGAAACTGAGGCATGGGCAGTTCAAGGAAATTGCCACAGTCCTCACAGTGGCTCTGGGAGTAAATTTTGGATTTTACATGATCAGTTCATTTACAAAGTTCATTGTTCAACCTCCCAGGATTGGGGTGGCCAATACTGTCAAAATCAGCAGGTAGTGTCAGGAGAATGAGCAGCTGGAAGAGATTATTAAATCTGGTCAGAAAAGGTTATGAGTTATATTGGGGACAAAGTAGGGGAAGCATGAGTGTTGGAAATTTAGTAGTAGAAGCAGAAATCGGGTCACAAGGAATTAGTAGTCAGGAAATGTAAGCAGCAAGTTTAAGCTGTGAGTTCAGAGTCAGGTGGTAAGCAGAAGGTCAGAATTTAAATATGAGTTGGATTAAGTGGTGATATTTAAAGAATTGTTAGTTATTTTGAGAGTATTTGATTATGTCTCTTTGGAAAATGGACCACAGTGATGAAGTCAGCAAGAGACAGGAGAGTAAACAGGCGGGTGGTGGAAGGGTGGGAAATTTCAGAAGTGCTGTCAAGAGGAGTGAGATTGGGAGCTGGTGGAGATGATACAGTAGGATTGTCCAGCATAGGTTAGCATCAAAGAATGACTGAAAAGGACCAACATCTCAAGAGTGAAGTCTGCTGTGTTGTATACCTTCTCCCAAATGCAGATCATCACAGACCCAGGAACAATACAAAGAGATGGTCATAAAGTGATTGGTCTTGTCTTTTCTACTCCAGTTGTGCCCTTGTTAGCCCTAAAACACAACAAGGACCCTCCTGCCCCAGGGGTCTGCACATGTTGTTTCTTTAACATTCTCTGTCTGTGTCTTTTCCTTCCCAGATAGCATCATGGCTTGGCCTCATTTAACTCAAATGTCACTTCCTCTCAGAGGATTTCTCTAGCCACCCTACCTAAAAACCACATTCCTCTTATGAGGTCTTATTTTTCCCCAAATTGTTTATCACCATCTATCATACATTTATTGATTTACTTTGTAAACATTTGTCTCCATCTCATGGGATGTCACTCTCCGTGAAAGCTGGGACATGGCTGTTTTTAATGTTCTATCTTGTTAACAATACTTCATAATGGTGTTCAGTGAGTATTTGTTAAATGAATGAATACATCCAGCTAGGGATTTGCTGAGTGAGTTGTGAGAAAGGTGGGAAAGGCTCATAAGTATAACCATAACTAAACCAAATAATATCGTGTTGTGCTCTATGTTTTCCAAGGTGCTTTCAAAGAGGGATGGTTAGATGGTCAATAATCTATGAGAGGGGATTTGGGGGAGTTTGATAGTTGAGGGCATCCTGGGTAGTTGTGGTTTAGATAGTGGTACAAATAAGAAAGTAAGATTAGGATTTCTGAGACAGTCATTCAATGTTATTGAAACAAATGGAGTTGAGAGTTGGAAGCTGATAACAGGTTTATTGAGAATAACCATCATAACAGAGCAGAGGAGCGTAGTAGTCTTTCTGCTAAAAAGAGCATCATAGTCCAGCATTCCCAACATCATCTTTCTCAGCATCTTATGAAAATGTTTTATAAAACAAAGGAAAAGACAAAAAGCTCATAATAGCGCTGGAAATTAACAAAAGCAGCCAACCACTCGCAAAGTTCTTAGAGTTTCCATGACCTATAGTATTGATGAAGTTGGATTGCAAATTACAACTAATGGTCTATTCACACATCACTGTCTGATAAAAAAAACTGCAAGTTGCTTCTTCCCGTCTCCCCTCCCATAAGTGCAGGGACACAGGATATCTCTGCAGCAAGAAGCAAAACCAAGCAGTCACCCTTATGCTAAAGGGCTACTGCCTTAATCAAGCAACCTGAGTCCCTGTATCAGCTCCCCGCAACACTGGACCAGAGGCTCTATCACCCTTTTCCACCTAGTTTCCTCTGTCTTTATTCATTAGTACCCATTTTGGCTGAGGGACCTGAAAGTGAGTGCATTATGTCCCTTTATATGAAATGTCCCATGGTCTTCTATGGATTTAATCATGAAACAATTACAGACAGCATCAGGTGAGAAGTAGAAGTTGTTATGCCCAGACATCTATGATTAGAAAAACTTCCTATAAATTCTGATGCCACCACTTCCTAACTGCATAAGCTAGGACAGATCATGTAACCTCTCTGCTTTATTATCTTTAAAATTGGAATAATGGCAGTACATTTTTAAGGCTAATTTAAGAATAAATAAGATAATACATGTAAAGGATTTTGTAGAGGACTAGGCATGGTATAGGTTTAATAAATGTTAGCATACAATCAATGAATGTAAGGAAATATTCCTGGGAACATAAGTTTTCCTTTTCCATAGCTAGGAAACTTGGCATGGAAATAGATGAAGATCTATTTAATCTATGTGAGCTACAGCAAGGAGGAAGAATTGGTTCAGTATTGTGATCACTGGCCTATGATTTGGGGGTCTCAAAGGAAGATTTTTGCCTGAACCCAAATGGAAAGTGAAAAAGGCCAAAGAGGTCAAGAAGGGAGTAAAGAAATGGATTTAGAAGCAGCTGATCACCTTGTCTATACATGGCTTTGGAAAGCTCTGCCAAGGGTCTAGTAACATACAAAATTAATATGGAGGCTACTAGAATATTTGAGATGGAAATATTATCTTGAAAACTCACATTAAAAGCATAATGTTAAAATTAAAAGAAAATGAGAAAATGTCTACTCTGGTTTCTCACCAAGCCACAGGAAAACATGACCCTTATGAAACCAGAGCTCATGTTTACAAGAAACCATCTAGATGAGATGAAATGACAGGTACACCAGATTCAGGAAGAGGTTCCTGACTGCCAGGCCAGATTTGACGGGGAGGCATAATTAGTATTTCAGCCACAGAGCAGGAGTTGATGGAGGTCCAATAAGGGCTAAGTAAACCTGTCCAAAGAAGTCAGCCTGGATAGGCTGGGCAAAATGGTAGACTCTAGGACCAAGAGCTTGGACAGAACACAGGGGAGAGCATCAACTGAGGCGCTGGATGCTGATGTTTCCCAAGGCACTCAATTGAAGCCCATCTGAACTCACCCACAGTCTAAGAAGCCTGTGAGGTTCTGAGCTGATTCAGAGGAGGACTGAAGTGCAGAGTGAGATCAAAAGTAAAGAATATAAGGAGCTTAAGAAGTGTAAACATAGAATTATAACCAAATCCATTTTAGATACAGCTAAAAGTCAATTCTGAGCTCTGCCATTACACAGCTATACCCTTTGGAGAAATCACATACACTTTCTGATTCTCAGTTTCCTCATGTGTAAAATGGAGCTTAGAGTTCAGTGGAATCCCTCATGTCTGACACAAGCAGGGCCACTAGTTGGTTAGTCAATCAGAAAACCAGTTCAAGTGGGAACAAGCAATAGTATGTATTATACTCGAAATCCTTTCTTAAGCACATAAAATGTGTTTATTATCCAATATTTTCATGCAAGATTAAGGACTTTTCTTGAAATGTGGCCCACTCCTTAGAGTCCTTCCTTTTCTATGTTTTCAAAACCAATATCCTTGATGAATTGCCAAAGTTTTCTTATTTTTCTTCTTGTTTTTAAATGGACTGAAATAAGTTTAAGTACAGAATCCTCCTAGACCTTTATTCCCACTTCCATTATCCTCATACCTGTTCTTTTATAGTTGTCTAGATCATGGCTAATTTGATTACAGTTTTTTTTTTTAATTTTAGTGACTCGCCTTTAAAATGAGTCCTTCCAGATTATTCAATTTAGTTTTCATAGAAATGACAGCTTTCTTTATTTTTCACTCTATTTCATTGACACATTCATTACTACTCTATTAAATTATCTAATTATAATTGCAACTGGTTTGTGAGGAAATGCAACTGGTGTTTGGTAAGCAAAGACCTCAAATGGAGAGAGCAAAAACTGGTGAACATTCAAGAAAACAGCCTCCCTGCTGGCTATGAACATCCAAACACATACAAAGAGAATGGAGAATATCAGTCATTTCAGTAAGTCTATTCATGTGAAGATATGTTAAGAATCCTCCCAAGGAACCTCATAAAATTGTCATGAGAATTGAAGGAAAAGGAAAAGTTGAAGGTTTGTCAAATGGCTCAAACTTCGTAGAGGTTGCTTTCTTTTTTTTTTTTTTTTTCCTTTCTTCTTCTTCTTCTTCTTTTTTTTTTTGTTTTTTTTGTTTTGCTTTTTGTTGTTGTTGTTGTTTTTTAGAAAGACCAGATCTGGCTCTGTCACCCAGGCTGGAGTGCAGTGGTGTGATCTCAGCTCACTACAACCTCTGCCTCCCAGATTCAAGCGATTTTCCCACATCAGCCTCCCAGGTAGCTGGGACTCTAGGCATGCGCCACCGTGCCCAGTTAATTTTTGTAGAAACGGGGTTTCACCATGTTGGCCAGGCTGGTTTTGAACTCCTGACCTCAAGTGATTTGCCCCAGTCTCCCAAAATGCTGAGATTACAGGTGTGAGCCACTGCACCCAGCCAGAAGTTAATTTCTTTCTTTGCCTTCAGAAGCCTCCCAGGCTAGCACGGTGCCTTGCAGAATGATGACCCCTGTCTAAGGATGTCATCTTGATAATACTCAAGGCTGTGATTTAAATGTTCAGTTCCTTTGTGGATCCTACCTTATTGCTTTAAGGCTGACCTTTCCCAAGTCAATTTCCCTCACAGGTCTGGACAGTCAGTCTTTTCCTCCCATGCCCAGGACCATCTTGTTCAAGCTTGACACCCATGACTTTGGCAATGCACAGCTTTCTGTGCAAGATAAACTGGGGGAGCACTAACATCAGGCTTCCAGATAAAATTGCTGGGTAGTTTGCTCTTTCGAAGCCAATGGCATTTGGAGCTCTGGATGATTTTATTCCAGGACTATGGAGATATTTATAGCTGATCTTGATGTTCTATTATATTGTACAGAATTTTCAAAATGTCAAATAGGATGAAATGTCCAACCATGTGTTGAGTGTGCAAAGATAACATTGGGGAGAAGTCATTCTCTTCATTTGTAATTTACTTTGATTTAAAAATCACTTTCATACTGGTACAACAAAAGACAAAACTGTGAGGTAGGCAAGTGTATTCCCTTTTCTAATGAGTCTAATTTTTTTTCCTGGCTCAGCAGAATATGAACTGCACACAATCCTGAATGCTACCTTGTATTCTTCTAGGGAACCTCCTCTCTGATACATTTATGTCTGAACAGAGGGAAGAAATATTGAGAGCCCCATGCAATTGCCCACCACACATCTAGGTGTTTAGAGAAAGGGTAGTTATGTTCCACCAATCAACTGAATTGTATTGGAGACCTTGGTGTTATTAGGCCAGAAAACTTACTTTTTTCAGTGTCTGTTTTTTTTTCCCCCTTCTTATTTTGTCACCATACCTTTCTGGTTATATATTTGAGGACTTCTGTTTCTCTGGTTCTTTGTGCAAGAGGTCTGGCTATGCCACAAAGGGCCTAATACCCTGTGTAAGGCCTTTCCAATTGCCTACCAAAGCCATAGAGAGAATCATTACACATAGCAAAGGAGCCACCCATGCCTGTTCTTCCTCTTCTATGCTGTCAACAGGAGCTGGAAACAAGCTCAGAGGTGGCCACCATCTCTTCTGGAGTGAGAGATAACCTCTTCCATCTAGAGTCTCTTGGGATGTGCTCGAACATGAATAAAGAATAGAGGAGTTTCTCACAAATGTGTGGCCTGCATGTTTGTGAGCAGAAGAATGTGGTATGTCTCCACTCGGGGATTAAACAAGCCCTCAATGCAGGAGACTTCAGAGATTTTTATGGAAAAAGCAATAACGTGTCTGAGAGGGGTAAGGGAAGAAGAGGAAATAGGCCATCCAGGCCCCAAATGCAAACTTCATTTCTGACATCATTTGCATGCATTTGGCTGGGATCAAACTATGGAACCCGGGAGGCTGAGGCCACACATTGAATCCCCCATTCTTTCCATAGATCTGACTGTAAGCTCACAGAATGAAGCTACTAGTCACAGGATGAAACTCTTGGAGTAACACACACCACCACATACAATCTCTATTTAAAACATAGAAACAAAACACCTGATAGTTTAAAGAGCATGGCTTCTGAGTAAGAAAACAGAATCTTCTGAGTAATCCTTACCTTCATGAGGAGAAACTCATCATGTTTGGCCCAAGTTTATCTTTTTTCTGATGGTATGACATAGCTCTTGGGAACTATATTATCTTGACTCAAAGAGAACAATTTTAATGATGAAACCAAGCCATTATCGAGGATGGCCTAGAAAGAAATAGAATTTTTATGGATCTGGAAAATAACTATTATGGTCTCCGCTTTATGTGGCATGATTGTCTTCTCTCTAGACTTTTCCCAAAAAAGGCCACCTTTTATTTCAAAGCACTTCAGGAAGTTATGGATATGTATCATTTTCTGAAGTCCATGGGAAAAAAAAGCCACACGGGAACAAATTTGATGACCTCAGAATGGTCTGGGTTCAAAATTGATTAACTGCTTATGTCAGTAAGCTTACCTTTGTTCTCTTTTACCATTAGTTAAAAAACAGATTTATAGCTGTCATAATGGCATAGCTCTATACTGCACGCCTATCTACTCTGTTGAATTAGAAATTTGAAGTGTAAGATTATGATGTTTTAGATCACAGAAGCAGCCAGGTAACCACAATTCTAACTTCTTTGAGAAGAATTGGCAGAAGGGACCTTTGCACTGCAGATTTCCCAGTATGAACTCCAAGTTACACCAAAAATTTCCAGTCCCATTTGTAACAAATCGTGTAGCCAATGTGGGACATGTCTAATTTTGGATGACCTAAAACTGCTAGATGGTTAATACTTCCGTGCTCAACCTACTATCCTAAAACAGGGATTCTTTTATTTCGAAAGGTTATTTTTAAATTAGTCTTTGGAACTGTGAGAATTGCAGTTTTTGAGTTTGTAGTTTCTAAGTGACTGATTATGGGTTTTTTTTAGATACTTTTCCTGAAATAAGATGTAACTAGGGGACAGCTGGGACCTGGTCATAATCTCACCTTCTAACCGCAACAGGAAGGGCTGACCATATTAATATCTTCCTTGTTTAATAACACATTGAAACTTTAAGCCTCTTTGGTATCTTTATTATTGTGTTTATTATAATAAACCTTAAATATAGAGTTA
Organism: Homo sapiens; assembly: GCF_000001405.40. Classification (NCBI taxonomy): domain Eukaryota; kingdom Metazoa; phylum Chordata; class Mammalia; order Primates; family Hominidae; genus Homo; species Homo sapiens. The sequence continues at coordinate 34,443,925 of NC_000013.11, read as the reverse complement.
ACAGATGTCCTATGATCACAGCTTTAAACTATTGCCCTGGCATCCTGTTTAGTACTCATTATGAATTTACTATTTTTAAATAGACTATTATAATTTATAGTTACATTAAAATAAAACTGGATGGGATAGATAGACCCTCACTTTGTTTTTCCAGCTAGTCTCATCTTTTGGTGTGTAAGCTGTATGTGCAGTAAACACAGTTCTCACTTTAACCTGTGGCCAAATGGGAAACAGGATCCATGATACCCTGTTGTTTTCCACCCTTGCTAGATGCACTCAGCTAGCTTCTCCACTTTATAGTCAGCCAGCAGGGCACTTATCAATAAAATGAAGGGTACTTGGTCATTGGTAATTGCTTGGATAGTGGTAGGAGAAGCAAGTTGTGTTGTGGCCTGTGCAATGCCCTGTGAAAAGCACGGAAGCCAGCAGACTATGAGTTGGTAGAGTCAGTGGAAATCAACTGGAAACAAGGAAAATTATAATTTAGATGTCCATAAAATATGTCTGGGAAATAGAGGTTGAGAAGTTCTGCAGTCAAGTGTATCATCAGCCATCTGAAAACACTTGCTTAGTGGTTTTGTCAATAATTTTAAGGTGTAATCCTATTATTGCTTCTTATTATTTGGTAATGATTTTTCACTAAAGCCCTTTTGACAACAAAGAGCTAAAAATATTGAAAGTACACATTTAGTTAAAATTAAGGACTGATTTTCTATTTCCCAAGAAAGTTGATAATAAATGTGCAACTTGCACAGATTCGTTATGAAATCTTTACCATCCATTGTCGGTGCCAACATGTTATCACTAATCACATGAAAAACAGAAGATACGAAGTTGCTAAAGAAGCAAGAACATATACTTCAAAAATTGCTAACTATTAAAAAATGCCCATGGATGCAATTTAACAGGAGCAGTAGCAGGAAGTGTGTTAAATTTTCATTACATAACTTTCATTTAGATCAAACGATTGTTCCTATAAATTTATTCTACACATTTTAGATTCTGTGGTTTCCTGCAAATGTATGAAAAGTGAAAGACAGCTGTTAGTAAGTTGGCCCTATCATTGAAAGAACAACTTGGCAAACAATTGAAGAATGCCAGTTTTTTATTAGTGTTTTCAGGGTGATTCTAACAGAAAATCAGTCAAATTACTTCTAATAATAGCTTAATATTTTCAACCAATTTATGAAATCCAAATACAGCTTTGAGTGCTCATTCAGAGACAATACGCCTGCCATTACTGCAAATTTTATTGTAAACTTACTTTAATTTTGTTTATTTTTTATTTACTTTGAAACAGGGCCTCACTCTCTCACCCCAGCTGGAGTACAGTGGTATAATTATAACTCACTGCAGCCTAGAATTCTTGGGCCAAAGTGATCCTCCTGCCTTAGCTTTCCAAGCAGCTGGGACTACAGGTGCATGCCGACACACTCAGCTACTTCTTAAACTTTTTTTTTGTAGAGACAAGGTCTTGCAATGTGGCTCAGGCTGGTCTCAAACTCCTGGGCTCAAGTGATCCCCCTGCCTTGGCCTCCCAAAGTGTTGGGATCATAGGAGTGAGGCCACCACTCCTGTTTTATTTTTATTTTTATTTTTAAACTTACTTTGAAAATCCAATATTTAAGATAAAATTATTCTAATATAAATTTTAGTGGAGTATAGTATCATGGTAAAAAAGTTCTGCCTAGTTCTATCAAGCTGAATCATATTTGGAACTGGCTGTAATGCACACAGTACACTGATACCTGCAACTCACAGATATCAATCTGAACATCTTTGATTCTCTAGTGATTGAAGTAGAAATCAAGAGTTGTTGAGGTTTACAAATATGTCTTATATTTATGGGTTGAGTAAATGAATTACCTCATATTTGTGAAGAAGCTAATGTTGAATTTTGAAAGAGAAATACTTCATCGTGACAGTACATGTTTTTTTTTTTTTATGGCCCAACACTAGTTTGATTTTAGAAACGCTGGATTTGAAGAGCTACTTTGTAAAATTCTTACAATCTTAGTGTCCCACAAAAAAAGTGAACTTTTTTTTGGTAAACAAGTTCAGTAAATTTTGGTTGTCTATCGTTTAAAATTACTTGGAAATCTTTCATCAAATTATTCAATGTATCAACTACTACAAAACTTTGTCTTTCAAAGTCAATTGCAATTGTTAAAAATATATCACGAATGAGAGGACACTAAAATTTATTACTATAGGAGCAGAGGAAGAGCTGCACAAATTAAAAACTGAGAGATTGAAAGGTTAAAGTTTTAATTTGCAAAACCAACAATGGCTATTTGAGTTTATTGACTTCTGGGAAGAATTTTTGTCAGTATCACTACTTTTAATGGAATGAATTTCTATTATTGACCACAATGGAATTAAATTAAGAATGATTATAATTTTCAGCATTTCTGTCTGATGAAACATTCAAAAGAATCAAGTTTTGTCTTATAAAATATTTGCCAAAGAAAGGTTCTTTGAATGGAGAAAAATGAATGTGTAAAAATACTTGCACTAAATAATTACACATTTCGAGGTTTACAAAAAAGAATTGAAATTATGTTCCATCAGTAGACTCTGCTGTAAGCTTACCAGATGCTTCAGCATTTATGGATCTTTTATTTTTTTGGTTAAATTCCTAGTAGCTAAAACAGAGAAAATCTAATTCAGAAATGGAGGTTTTATGTCCATCATCCTTATCAATCCTTTCTTTCTCTCTGGAAGGTTTTTTAATTTTCTCTTTGTCTTTGATATTCTTTTTTTTAAAACATATTTTTATTATACTTAAGTTCTAGGGTACATGTGCACAACGTGCAGGTTTGTTACATATGTATACATATGCCATGTTGGTGTATATCTCCTAATGCTATCACTCCCCCCTCCCCCAACCCCACAACAGGCCAGGGCCTGTCTTCGATATTCTTAAACTTCACCATAATCTGTTTGTGTGCTGTTTTTTCATACTGGAACTATATAAACCCTTTCAGCCTGAGGTTTTTTATCTTCTTTTAATTCTAGAAATTTATTTTCATTGTTTCTTCAAATATTTCCTCCTCTTTGTTTTCATTTCCCCATCCTTTAAAGCCTTCTATCTTTTGGATGTTGGCCTTCTGTTTCAATCTTCCATATATTTTAGCTTTTTTTAATATTTTACATCAGCTTAGTCTTTTCTCGTGATTTCTGAGATAGTATTGTCTTTCTGAATAATATATTCTTATTTTCACAGGATTTATATGACTACTTAACCCATCTATTGTATTCTTTATTTCAACTATTATTTGGTTCACATTTAATGTTTTCTCTTAACCTTTATTTTATGTGGCTATAAAGATGACCAATATGTAGTATTTTTCTAAAAGACTGTGAGATATTGTGATATAAAAAGAAATGTATATTTGGTCTCTGCCCCTGGTTTCTGGCACAGAGCTTCTAAAACCTTTGTAATTTTCTGAGCTATAAGGATGCTAAGCACTTTTTTCTCCCTTATATTTGATCTTTGACCATGGTTCCTGATACAGATCCTAATCCCTTGGAATTTCCTGGGTGATAGAAATGTCTTTTTATGAATGTGGCAATTCTTGGTGGGCTCCTGGATGGGGACTGATCACTAGAAAGAACACACCATGATGAGAAGCTTTGAACCTTCAGCCCCCTTCCCTGGTCCTCCAGGAAGGGAAGAGGGACTGACAATTTAGTTAATAATTGCTCAGGCCTATATGATGAAGCCTTCATAAAGATCCCTGAACTACAGGGTTCAGATAGCTTTCAGGTTGGTGAACAAGTGGAGGATATGGGGAGGCGGTGCACCCTAAGAGGGCATGAAAGCTGTGGAACTTGCCACATCCCTGGCCCTATGCATCTCTTCTATCTGGCTGTTCATTTGTGTCCTTTTATAATAAACAAGTAAATATAAGTAAAGTGTTTTCCTGAGTCCTGAGACATTTTAGCAAATAATTGAACCCAAGACGAGTGTTGTGGGAACCTCTGGTTTATAGCTGGTGGGTTGGAAGCATAGGTAGAACAATCTGGGATTTGCAATTGACATCTGAAGTAGGGGGCAGTCTTGTGGGACTGAGCCCTTAACCTGGTGGGGCCTGCACTAATTCTAGTTAGTGTCGGGATTTAGGATGCTCTGCTGGTGTTGGAGAATTGGTTGGTGTGAGAGGAGAAAAAAACCCACACATGTGGTCACAGCAGTGCTCTGTGTTTTTTATGGAATACTACTCAGCCACAAAAAGGCACGAAATAATAATGTCTTTTGCAGCAACTTGAATGGAGCTGGAGGCCATTATTCTAAGTGAAGTAACTCAGTAATGGAAAACCAAATATCAAATAGCATATGTTCTCACTTATAAGTGTGGGTTGGGGGCTAAGCTATGAGGATGCAAAGGCGTAAGAATGATCTAATGTACTCTGGGAACTCGGGGTGGGGTGGATGGTTAGGAGGGAGTGAGGGATAAAAGACTGCATATTGGGTGCAGTGTATGCTGCTTGGCTGATGGGTTGACTAAAATCTCAGAAATCACCAGTAAAGAACTTATCCATGTAACCAAAACCACTTGTACCCCAAACAAATTGAAATAAAAAAAGAAGTGTTCTGTGTTGAGAGAATAGTATATGAAAACAGTTTTTCCCCCTCCTATTTTACAGATTGTATTATGTAGGCAGTTTTCAGGTAACACATATAGATCTAATTTAATTCTTTAATCACTCCTTTTAAATCCATATTGTGCTATTGATCTTTGTCCCCTGTTATGTAATTTAGGCTTGAGTAGAATCCTTCTTTTACTTGGATAGTGGGTTAAGTTATCTGCCCCAAAAGATATCTTCAAGTCCTAGTGCCTGGCACCAGTGAATGTGACCTGATGTGGAAATAGCGTCTTTGCAGGTATAATCAAGTTAGGGTCATACTGGATTAGTGTGGCCCCTAAGTTTAATAGCTGGTGTTTCTATAAGAGAAAGAAGAGGGCTATTTGGATACAGAGACACAGGGGAGACATAAAGAAAGAAGGCCATGGGAAGACTAAGTCAGAGATTGGAGTGATGCATTTATATGCCAAGCAATGTCAGCAGTTTCCAGGAGCTACCCAAAAGAGGCAAGGAAGCATTCTTCCATAGAGCCCTCAGTGGGAGCATGGCTTGACAATACCTTGATTATGACTTTGAGCTTCCAGAACCCAGAAATAATACAATTTTGTTGTTTTAAGCAACTCAATTTGATTTGTTATGGCAGCCTTAGGAAACACACACTGTGGAAGGAGTTTTTAATAGTCAAAAACCATTCCAAGCAATATACAGATTGTGAGTTTCAGCAAGTTTGCATATAACAGAACTCCCTCAGGTTTTGTTCAGTTTTTTATTTCTCTGTGGAGAGAAACTTCATTACTTACTTAAATCTTATCAAAATACAGGCTTTGGTTTTTTATTAAACTGCCTTTCATACCTCCAATTTTTTCCATGTTAATTTTTTGTTTTGTTTTGTTTTGTTTTTAGTGTTCTCTTGTCTTTCATCATTTTTCTGGCACTTCATCCAAAGGACAAAGTAGAAAATTGTGAGCACTTTGGGTCAGAATATGGACAGTGGGAAAAACTGGCCTCTGAGTGTCTGACTTATGTGCACAGTGCCCGTCACAGATAGGGTGGTAAAAAAGGGAAAAACAAACAAACAAAAATAGTCATTGAATTGAATTTCAAGCTAGTAGGGTGTCTGTATACTCACAAGAGTATAAAACTATATTAAAACTACATGATATTGTCTTTTTGTAATTATCAGGGGGTGATTTTCTTTGTTCCAACTTAAGTCTGTAATAGAACTTTGTGTTCTTCAAAACATGTACCACATGGCCCCTTAGCAGTCCACAGATAGGATTAGATACAAGTTTGTTTTTGCTGCAGTAGTTAGTCACACAATCATCATCATTAATAATAGTACTTTCACCATCACTTTAATAATTTTATAATTTGTTAATGTTTTTACACATATATTATTAACCCTGTGGATTATTTATCATATTTGATTTAATATACCTCTCATCTGGTGTGGAAACCAAGACTCAAAAATATTTAGAAACTTAACCTAATTCACAGAGTCCACATTCAAGGACCTTTACAACACAGTACTTCAACAAAATGTTAAGAACTGTGAGGGATACCAAGAGAGTCATGGGTGTCTTTTTGCCATATTTCTGGCATATATCATATGCTATTGTTAATGTAGAATAGATTTTATTTTTCGCGGTCAAAAAATCTGTCCTCTTTGTTTTGCATTATAGAAAAAAGTGTACTACTGCCAGTGGACTAACTGGGAGAACTCAAATTGGATGATGAGGTGGAGCACTTTTTGCAGAAAATAAATAATCTGCTCAAATTTCTCTGGCAGGGTAGCTAAAATGAAATAATCATTTTGGCAGTGATGGACAAAAAAAAAAAAGAAACTTAAAAGAGACTTAAAAGAGGTCTTATTTGTAGTGACATTATTGATAATGTAGATAAGCTGCATTTGTAAGTTTAAAGAAATTGAAGAGAGAGAAAACTATAGTGGGAAGAAATGTTGGGTCAGTCCTTATTTTGAAAAATGCTTCCCAGAAATATGCTCATATCATTCATCCATTGACAATCATCATTTGTTGGACATCAACTGCTTGTACTACATTAGCTTATGACATGAATTTGAAATACTTTATTACACCCTAGAAATTATTATCATTACACCCTAGAATTTGAAATACTTTATTACACCCTAGAAATTATTATTACACCTGGAAATAATGGAAAATCAATAAATTGGTTTTCCATTTGAATTTTGTATAGATTAAAAGTACTTTCATGCTTCTAATTTTTAAAATTTTCTGTTCCAAATAATTTTCTTATGCTAAAAACAGCACCTACATCCTTGCTATCAATTGCTTTCTTTTTTAGTGACAACTAGACCAGTAAAGAGATAAAATAATAAAAATGGTATCAATACAATATGAACTGATACAGTGAAAATGCACATGATAAGATGAACTGAGTGAGAGGAGTATCAAACAATAGCTTATTTTTTGTGGCTACAACCTACCTTGCATTCCAGTAGCCAAGAATTTGCCCATTGGACTACTTGTATTTTTGCCCGTTATGTATAATTTTTCATATATCTAAATTTTTACCATATTCTTTATCGAATAACTTTAAATGACACTGAATTTGGTAAGGCCTACTGTGACTTTTCCTGAAGACATATATATTTGGAGCTGTGAAAGTTTAATTGAACCTTTCCTTTTATGGCATATAGCCAGTCATATACCTGTATAGTGCTGAGATGTTAGCCAGAATTGCCATCTTGAAGTATTTTCCAGGATTATGCTATAGTGAAAAGGAAGAATAAACTCACATGTATGAGATTTTTCTATATTACACTGATGACTTCCTTAAAGGAAAAGTCCAAACTCATCTTATTCAGAATTCTGAAAAGATCAGTGTTACTATTACAACATCAAACATAACAGTGTTACTATTATATAATAACATCAAACATACTAATTTGCTACTTACAAGAAGTTTTAAAAAGAGAAAAATGCAATAAAAATTTTTTGTGAAAAATTATTGCACACGTCATTGATAAATTCAACAAAGCTATAAACAAAGTGTTTATCTTTAATCAGTATAATTTGCCAGAGAAATGGCATTATCTGATTTAAAAAATTAAATTTCTTTTCAACTTAACTACTTCTATTTAGCGGCAATTTTAGTGTACTGATTGCTTTTATTTTATTTGCATATATTATACTGAAAACTAAGAAAATGAACCCATACTTTTTATAGGCACTGCTACCTGAATTCCTTCTAAATCACTGAGGAAAATGCAACTTAAACCATTCTCTGTCATAACCTCTTCATGGTTAAATATATAAACATTGTAAACTGGTAATAAAAATCATTTTGGGTTTGATTTAGTAAATGTAGAGGATTCTTATTCATTAAATAATGTCTTTCTGAAATTGGTAAACAAATAATATGTCGTCTCTTAAAAAATACTAGAAATATTTGTTTAATACATAATATTTATAGGTAGATGTTCCAAGTGTATTTTAAGAAGAATTTCTTTGTAAATATCACCTTATTTTTGATGATGCAGAATTTTATGATTGGATTTGCATAATAAATATTTTATTATGTAAATTTATAAATAATTTATTATATGCCATGATTCTGTCTACTTTTACCTAACAGAAAAAGTGCTCTATAGATTTTATTTATTTTCCTCAATCCCACTGTCCAAACCATCCCCGAATTTCTTCAGTCGCAGATTGGCATGAGCTGTGGAGAAAGAGTCTGGATTCTGGGTTGCTGTGTCACACACAGCCCACTTGCAGGATGACAGTGGAAGAATGAGTCATGATCTCTGCAAGCGCCCATCAAGAACAGCCTGAGAGGTCTGGAAAGTGCTCACCCCAGGACCCTTCATGTCCTTATTAAAATTGTATGGCAGAAAAAATGAGTCATAGGTGAAAAACAGGCTCTATAAAAAGCTTTTCTTGCCTTGGTATCAGACATAACATTTTACTTCAAGGAAGAGCAATATAATAACCTAGTGGTTAAGAGCATGGGCTTTGGGATCACGTAGCTCGAAGTGCAGATCGGACACAGCCATTTAACTTTGAGCAATTTGCTTAACCTTTCTTTAGCCTTCATTTCCTTATCTGTAATAGAGCTCTGAAATAATACCAACCTCCTAGGGTTGTTCTGAAAATTAATGAGATAATGCACAAAACAACTTTAAAAATCTGGTACCATATAGTAAAAACTGAATAAAGAGTGTAGGGTTATTATTGCTCTGATATCATTATCATTCATGGAAAATACAGGAGAAATAGAATCCCTCACCTTCTATGATTAGAAACATATTATCACTGACAAGAAGCGCAATTCAATATTTATTATGAATTATAGTACTAAAATTAAGGTACTATCTCGGTACTTTTCTCCTAGTATAGCTCCTTGATACTCATATATATGCTACTTATATAATTCATATTGTAGAGTAAAAGCAACAATGTTTATTGGAGTAATAAAAATACCACTATGCTAGAGGCTGGCAGACTTCACTGAAATATACGGTTTGCAAATTTTCACATCAGCTCAAAGTAGTATATCTCAGAGTAAGCGATGTTCAGATGCATGGAAGTGGTTATTGGCTTCTGAACAGTGAATGTCTTGAGCATCTTGTTTCCTGAGGTTTCCATATGGTGAAGTATCTCTAAGGAGACACCTTTACCACGTATGTAGGCTTTCACTGGTCTAAATTTCTACTGTATATGACATAGTTTAGATAACAGAGGCAGCTCTTCCCTTTATTTCTGTTTTTTATTGCATTTTAAAGAATGCTGAAGAAAATAGAGAGTCATCTGTGAAAATCTTTTAGATAATTTCTAATCACTCAATATCCCTTTTCTATTATTATTTGAGCATCTCTACGGGAGGTCATTTTGGCTAATGATTTTATGTTCTAAGATTCATCATCTCTGCTGTCAGAGTGTGATGAAAATGCCTAGAAAAGAATGTAAAATTTTTTTTAGTAATAGAGGATTTAGGGTAAAGTATCTCCATTAAATTTTGACTCTTAAAAATATAGCTCAGGCAAAAATTGATCTGTTCTTTCTGTTCAGCAATTTAGATCTCATTTTCATGAAAATAAGAAGGCTATTGGAAAGTACCATACATGGTATTACATTTTTGTATAATATGCACTATCTCAATGCATTACTATTAGGCAATTTATATTTCTTAGAAAAGCTATCTGGCCTTGTCTAATATTCATTGATGAAATTAATTTAATATAAAAGTTCTGAATTTTAAAGTCCTTTCCAGAATTATTTTTACAGAAATCATCTTCAGGACTGCTGTTGTTATATCTATCACAAGATCATATGATGTAGTTGAGAATAAGAAGCATTAGCCTTTGAGATTAAGCTGCTTGGTCAATGAGAAGGTCTTACATATTTGGAAATCTGGCTGAAAATTTCATGCAGAATTTCAACTGTTTCTGATGAGCTTCACCTGGCCCTTTTGGCCGACAATTCATCATGTCTATTACCTGCATCATTCAAATTTCTTTTGAAGGAGAACATTGATAAACGTTTTCATAACTTAATATCCTTGTCATAGTAGTGGCAGCCAAAAATCATTGACCTGATGAATAGAAATAAATGACTTTAGAAATATGTTCATATCTGATAAAGGCTTCAATGTTGGGCCACTGGCATTGAATAGTCTGATAATGACAGTGCTCACAGAAATATGTATGTGTATGTATATACATATGTGTGTGTACCTCTGTGTTTTCTACTTAACATATATATAGACATATATATCTAAATTTCTATTGCTTTTTAAACTATAATGCCCCCCACATAATTATTGTTGGCCTATTTCTTTGTCTCCTAGATCAGTAGTCTTCACATTTGATTTTGATTAAATATTTCATCAATAAATTTTTTAAAACAAATATCCTTTCTCTTCACATTTATTTTACAAATTATTTGTAAAACACTAAGATGTATGTTATAAAACATAGAGGAAGATAACTTACAAAGGATATTTCACTTTTCCTATTAACACTGCAGAAAAGCTCATACTTTTTGTCTGTGTGACTTAAAAATTTTGGAAATTTTAGTTTTATACTTCATAATAAATTATTTCAAAGCTCTTGCCTCAGCTTATTTTATTTTGTTGCTTGGTTTTAATGGTTACTACAATGGTTGTAGCTGATGGTTGGCATTTATTCTCCTTTCCTTCAAATCTTACGTAGGTACTTCGAGTGAGCACAAATTTATTTAATTAACGTACGAAACCTTAGCCTCAAGGAAATTTGGGAAATACAATTCGTTTTGCAGTACAATAAAATACACTTGATAAGAAACTATAATGATGAAATAGGTTTGTTGACACTGAGCCCACTGTGGGACAGACATGGGCCAAAACTCCACCTTTTTACGTTTTCTGCTTGTTTCAATGATGTCTACACTAAATGGTGTTAAAATATTAAACATTTCTTAGATTATTAAGGTACTACCTAGGTACTTTTCTCCTAGTATAGCTCCTTGATACTCAAATATATGTTCATATATATGTAGAGGGGGAATCCAAAGACATAAGGATATAAGACTTTTTAATTGATTTTCTGCTGTGTGACTCATTTATCTTCACCTTTACCAAGTAATCAGAATAGGGCTCAAGGATACTCCCTTAACTAAAGACTGGAAAATATATTCGCTATGAAAGTACGCATATTTTTGTAAAGTGCTTGGGAGCAAATGCTGTTATCTTTGGTAAGCCTATGATGAAGGCTTTGAAAAATTATGGCTTTGAAAGAAGCTCCCCAATTTAGGATTTGATGAAATCTCCAGTGTCAGTAATTAATCACCAGAAAAAAGTGATCTGTTGCTGAAATAATTAGTAGGCTAGAGTATAATCACAAGTCTGACCCATAGAAATCTTTGTTGGTGCTTAATTGAGCATGAGCTTCCCTAGGACTCTAGTAAATGGATAGGCTTTAAAGTCTTGCTTAATCTATACAACCCCAAACAAACAAGCACATCTAGATCTAGAAATGAAGCTATGAGTTGAGTCACTTGATTGAGAGTCATTGTCACTGTTTCAATTCCGTGACATGAACCAGTTCATAAATCCTTGCAGAACAACAGTAAGTCATTGAAACAAGTACATATACATTGTACAAGATTCCTTCTTTGCTTTCTTAAAGACATCTGCAGCCATTGATTAGAACAACTGGGAAAGGAAAATGCCAAGTAATTGTAGGGATTATTGACCACTGGCATTGAAACATGTAAATCTCTGAGGACATAAAACATGACTGTGGGGGCATTTAGAGATCAAGGGTTAAGTGGAGTTGGGGCCCAAGTCTGTCTGACAGTGGGTCCCATTGTCTGCAAGCCTACCCAGAAATGTCCAGCCAAGCCCTTTCCACTTGACTTGCGGAAACTATGAGAGCTAATAAAATGATTATTGTTCTTTTAAGCCACTACAATTTAGAGTGATTTGTTACACAACAACAGACAATCCAAACACCTGGTGAGATACATGCCTGTCAAAGGTGGAATACAAACACAAAGAAAACGATTATGTCTTTGGTTTCTGAAAGCCTGGCTATAACAGACAAACTTGGCTGCTGGCAGATTTCCTACAATAACTCTTCTGACTAAAGGAGTGAAGACTATTATGGTAGGAAGAGCCAAACATAAGAGTTTGGAATTGCACTTGTAACTAGAAAGTTAAATTTAAGCAATACTGAACCCCAAGGTAAATTGTAGCCAACATCCAAAAACATAAATGCTTCAGGAATATCTATTTTCTTCCCAAATAAGACATTTATTCCTTCACTCAGGAGATGAAGGGGTCTAGGAGAATAATAGGAAACTATTGTAAACCAATCAGGTGGTGATTTAAATTACGTCTCTTGTTCCAGGTGCAATCTCTTTTCTAAAGCAAAAAACATCTGCTCTGTCCTGGCTATGCACCAGTTATATTTCTGGAAAAAAATATACAATTATGCTAATAAATAGGGTACTAGAAACAATCTACTTTCACCTGAAAGGCATAGCAGTATACTTTTGCCATATTAGCTCAGGGCAAGGCCAACCCTTCTACACACTATCATAAACTAAACCATGATTGTCTCATCATTCTAATCACTCTGGACCTCTATATTAATTTCATGCTACAGCACCTGTTCAGCAGAAATTAGTAGATACCCTTGATACCTGGTTTGTCAGATTATATTTTCCTCAAATGGCTCAGGTATTGGGTGGGCTTTTCTAACTGCTTCAACCAGAAGAGCACATTAGAAGTGGTTTTGCATCCCACAAGGCTAGGTTATTGTATTAGTCTGTTCTTACTCTGCTAATAAAGACATATCCAAGACTGGGTAATTTATAAAGGAAAAAGGTTTAATTGACTCACAGTTCCACATGGCTGGGGAGGCCTCACAATCACGGTAGAAGGCAAAGGAGGAACAAAGTCACGTCTTACATGGCAGTAGGCAAGAGAGAGCTTGTGTAGGGGAACTCCCCTTTACCAAACCATCAGATCTCCTGAGACTTATTCACTATCACAATAAGAGCACGAGAAAGACCCATCTCCATGATTCAATTACCTCCCACTGGGTCCCTCCTATGACACGTGAGAATTATGGGAGCTACAATTCAAGATGAGATTTGGGTGGGGACACAGCCAAACCATATCAGTTAGGCAAGAGGAAATGGCTTTCATTTTATTCAGTAGAATCTTTGTGCTTGATGCCTCCACCTGTCGTATAAACAGAAAAATTGTCCTGCTGGAGGGAAGTGGAAGGATCATACAAAGAGTCCTGAGATTCTATGAAGGGAGAAATTCCCGGCCTTCCTCCAGATGCCTCAGCTCCTCATCTTTCCCACACCAGATGCAATCTGACCACAGCTACAGCAGAGGCCCTGAGTCAGAAGTGTCTAGTCAAGACATTCCCACTTGATGTGCAGAAAACATGAGAGGTAATACAATGATTGTTGTTCTCTTAAGCCACCACAATTTAGTGATTTGTTGTAGAACAATAGACAACCCAAACACCTGGTGAGATACATGCCTGTCAAAGGTGAAATACAAACACAATGAAAATTTATGTGCCTGTTAGCTCTGAGAAATTTCTGGCACTCGTATAGTTCAGGGCATGTCAGAATATTACATCTAAAGAAAGACAAGTTTCTAGATTTTGCACAACTCTTACCACATAAGAAAGGAACCCTGGGGTTTTTGAAGGAAACAATGTATCACATTTGGGAGCCGCTAAACCAGTCTGCATTTTAAGCACTTCTATTTACTTCTTGGACTTTATGTCACAGCAGACCCTAGGTTTTCAAATTCTCTATGGTAGATGGGGATACTCTAGGGATATTGTGGGAAGTCCCATCAAGATAATCATGGTGCAGGCCTTTTGGGTTTTGAAGCAGAGTGGTACCTTCTTCCAAAAATATTTATTCTTTTCTTTAGAAATAGCCCTTGGCTTGCTATTAAGTTCTAGAGATATCAAGTGACCATGCAAATTGAGCTTTCATCATAAACAGGGTATCCTATGGCCCACTGAGCCATAAATTTGAGAAGCTAATCATCATTAATTATAAAATTAGATTTCAGCAGATACTGAAAGCACCAGTATGTTGCATGATCATTTGGCACATAATCTTAGTGCAGCTAGTTTTGCTGCATTGTGTACAACTCCCTCACCCTACAACTATGTACTCATGGGGACTGAGAAAAATAGTCAAGCCTGACTTAAAGACATTTCTGTACAATGATCTGGAACCAGTCTGAAGTGGGAAGTTGCAAGTTTTTACCTTACCTGTGGGATACCCCTGGTGTGCAATAATGAAGGGAAATTCTTCCAGTAGTCAGAAAGTCAAGTGATACATCTGGATTGCCCACTTTGCCTAGAAGGAGAGACAAACACATGTGTGGTCTGAGAGCTATAAAGAAGAAGACTGAAGGACTAGTGTCAGTGGAAAAGAAGCAGAAAAGAAATATGTTAATGAAAGTCTAAAAAGTGACCCAGAGCATAAGAATATTTATATTCCATGTAAATTTTCTCTGGGGGAATTCTTGGGGGTTCTTAAGACCATTTCAGATGGTCCACAAGGTAAAAACTATTTTTGTAATAATATCAGGATGTTATTTGTAGTTTTCACTCATATGCTTTCACAAGTGTAGAGTTTGCCAGAGGGCACGTGATACGTGATATTTTAACATACTGAACGTAGAATCAGATATGAGACTCCAGCTGTCTTCTAGTGAGCCAGACATTAAGGAGATTTGCAAAAAGTAAAATAATGCCAGGCTTGTCAGCTGCTATTTTATTTTTCATAAAAATATGTTACTTAAGTTAGTATAAAATGGAATTTTTTTGCTATATTTAAATAAATTAAAAATACATTTCAAAATTTCTCAATTTTAGTTTATAATCTGTTAAGTACCAACAGATAAAATTCATATAAATTATAGTTTTGTACAGCCAAAATATTTTTTAAGAGAGTGAAGGGGTCCTGATACCAAAAGTTCAAGAACCACTCAACTAGTCTATCACTGGCTTTGTTGTATTTCTTTATGCTTTCTGGTCCTCTTTCCTAAGAGTTTGTCCATTCAATTGCATTCTATTAAATTTCAACTTCTTCTTCAACTTATCAGGGCCATTTGAATCTAGATCTTGATGATTAGTGTTCCACTCATTCTCTTTTCCCCCATTTTGATGATTCTACAAGTTAAAAGAGCTGCTCTTCATGATGATTCTACAAGTTAAAAGAGCTATTCACCAGAGAGCATTTTGATGAAAATGCTTTATCACCTGGCACAGACGGATCATGGCTGAGAATCCACTGGTAATTATTCTTGATCATCGTTCACCAAATTGTGATGCATCAGTGTATAGGCTTATATGTAGGCCACATTTGCCAACATTATTTCTCATCAGTTTTCTTGGGACAAGAACAAAAGCCACAACAAAGTCATATTGGCTATACCATATGGTAAACTTTAAATATCTCAGGTTTCTCTTTCTATTAAACAAGGTTATTGACAGGACTCAAACTCCAAATTCTTTCTTCTGTTCCAGGCAGCAACTGGAACCTGTGCTCAGATTTTTTTTTTAGCCTTCCAGCTGTTGCCTTCTGCTGGACTCTGTCGTTTTCTTTGGGCATACACAGTTCAGTGTTCAGCCAAGGATTTAATGGTCATTTATTTGTAATTTTGGAAGCTCCCCCCACTATATGCCTGTAGTGACCTCCTTCCTAGGATTTTCCCCCTTAATTTCCAGGTTCTCTGATAGCCTCAAACAACCTTCTCTAACACTGTAAGCCATAAGAATGTTGCCTTCTGTGAGTTCTAACCATCCTGTTCTACAGACAAGGCAAAGTCCTAAGAGAAAAGTCGCATAAATGTGGATCTTAGCCACTACAGTTCCTTCCTTCATGTGCCACCTCCTCCCCAGCCCCAGTGCTTGTCTGCTTTTAGGTGCTCTTGGTGCCTTGAAATAGATTTATGTTTTGAACAGAATTTATAGTAATCACCTGTGCAGAGGTTAATTCAGTACAAGATAATCCACCAATATCAGACTACCATTTGATTTGTAAAAAATAATTTATTTTATTTATATGTCAAGTCCTTGGGCTAAAAAGTACATGTGAATAAGATATTTCCTTTAAAATTTATAATCAAATTTTATAATCCAATCAAGATTATAAGTTAACGTCATTATTAGTCGTAGCTTTATTTTGTTAACTCACTTACAAATACACACACACATTCTTGAAGACAGAAATCCATTTCTTTGAGGACTAAATAATAAGTAGCGTTTCTTGTGGGAAAATAATAGTTGAGGGAATTACACAATTCTCACAATTCTCAACTTTGCTCTTAGCACACCTTCTTTTTTTTTTTTTTTTTTTTTTTTTTTTTTGAGACAGAGTTTTACTCTTTTCACTCAGGCTGGAGTGCAATGGTGATCTTGGCCCACTGCAGCCTCCACCTCCCGGGTTCAAGTGATTCTCCTGCCTCAGGCCTCAGCCTCCCAAGTAGCTGGGATTACCGGCGCCCACCACCATGCCTGGCTATTTTTTTTTTTTTTTTAGTGGAGACAGGGTTTCACCACATTGGCCAGGCTGGTCTTGAACTCCTGACCTCAGGTGATCCACCCACCATAGCCTCCCAAAGTTCCGGGATTACAGGTGTGAGCCACCATGGCTGTAATTCTACTTTTAGTAGCATGATGGTTAATTTTATGTGTCAATTTGGCTATGCTATGCTGTCCGGTTGTTTGGTGAAACACCATTCTAGATATTGCTGTGAAGATATTCTACAGATGTGATTAACATTTACAGTCTTTAAATAGATTGACCTTCACAATGTGAGCAGACTTCATCCAGTCAACTGAAGGCCTTAAGAGCAGACTGAGATTTCAGAAAGAAGAAGGAATTTTTTCTCTAGACTGCCTCTGCCTAAGTTCCAGCCTAAGGGCCTGCCAGACAGGCTTTACACAGTTCCTACGATTGACATCTCTCTCTATCTATGTGTATGTCATATCAGTTCTATTTCTCTGGACGACTTTGACTAATACAAGGAGAATCCTTAGCAACTCATATTTTTCAGAAATTGAGAGACTGATGTTTATTTCTGACATTTTTAAACTGCTTCATCATTATTCCATAAATGCCCTCCCAACTTTTCCATTGACTTTGTGATTACTTTTAGTGAACATTTGTATAACCATAAGCAAAGAAATTACATTAAAAAATTAACTTTTATTGACACCCTTTTTTTTGCTTTTTAAAACAAATGGAAGGATTTAGAGAACATAGTACTTATTTATTACTTTGCATTTAATTTTATATTAAAAGGAAATGTTCAAGATGTAAAAGAAATTAATGAATTAAACCCTTCTTTTCGTGGATTTTAAAGAATTAGAAGGAAACATGCCAACCTCACATTTTAACAAAACGTTCCAAATTATCCACAAACCTGTTTTGTTTGTGGTTAGTTTTAATCCCAAATCAAATATCGCCCATAATCCCAGTCAGTTTGCTTCTAACTACCAGATGAAACAGAAATCAAAGATAATGACAATGATTTAATGTTCCGTCATTCTTTTGCATGTTTACCATTAAAAAAATTAGTTACAAGATGCAAGATTGTAAAATTGTTTATAAGCAACAACATCGAGATTTTGAATTTAGGTCTGGCGTTAACACCAGTGGCATTGTGTCTCCTTAGTAGTATGGTAGAAGGAAAAACCTCCCATTAGCTCAAAGCAACTGTTCTAACTCTATCAACTCACATGGCTCTGCAGCATGTGGCTGGATTTCATATTCTCTTCCAGGCAGGGTTGGTAACACATGGTCAGTGTTTGAGCATTGCACAGATCATAACTTACAGGTAAATTTATCATTTGTGTGTGTGTGAAAACCAACAAAAAGAGGAAAGGCTTGTTACTTGTTCAAGGGAGAGGTTCTACAGCATTTGAATTTGTGGCTCCCTGCAATGAGTTAATTGAGAGGAGACTATCCATTTATTAGAATTTGAACCGCCCCACAGCCATGCATACACAACCCCCCACCCCCGACTCCCTGTGCTTGAGCATGCAGTGAGGTCATTACAACCTGTGCAGCAGGGCAGTGGGGTGGGGGCAGCAGCTCCTCTTGGGAGCACAGCCACAAAGGCTGTTACCTGTGATGTTCCTCCATTGCGCTGCTCTGGAAGGAAGGGTGACCTGATCTGTTATTTCTCATCAAAAGCAAAAAGATTGAAAGTCATTCTTTACAGCTTGAATGGAGAATTTCACAAACGTCCCCTTGCCAGAGAAAAGCAACCAGGAAATTAGCACAGCAGGGCTGAACTTGCTGTGAGCACAAAGCGGGCTACGGTGAGGCCAGGACTGCTCTGGAAAATGGCTGGGTGTGCAGATAACTGATCCCAAGCCAAGTGTAGCTGTGGCTGGTCTCATTGGAGCTGGAGAATATATCTTACCTCTTTTCTGTTTTTCAACACCCTGTCTGTTTTCTTAGAAAAGTTCATTCACCAGAGTCACCACTAGAAATCCAATAAAGCTTTCAAGATATCTGAGATCAAGAGATCAAGTCTATTTATTGTTTGTAAAACAGTAAGTATTGTTCTATGGTGGCATGAAGGTATGTTTTCTGATAATGGCCGTTTTTAAGAGTTGCCTTAATCTAAATGACATGAAGCAAGGGAAAAGGCTGTTGGCTTTTCGTTGGTCATTCCCCAGCCCATCCCCAGGATCCAGCTGCAAGAACCAAGGAAAGAAGCCAGCCTCCCCATTCTGGAATCTGACACCACAGGATTTCCATTTAGGTAGGACCTACAGGCTCTTCAGAGGTTATGTAATTTGCAACCCTGCAAGAAATGGTTTTCTAGATGCTAAAGACACGTACTCCAAAAAGGCACATTTTTCTGAGGCTTGTGGGTGGTGGACATCAACAAAAACCTGAAATAATCATGAACGGATGTGAAATACCCCAGGGATTCTTAGACTAATTGGTGAAGTCTGTGCAGATTGCCTGTAGTTATACAGAGGGCCTGTTATCATGTCTGCCAGCCCAATCTTTAAATGCATGTCAGTGTGATATCAGTGGAAGCCATAGTTTGAGGAGGCCTGGAGACTTTTAAATTACATATATTAATAAAACAGATGAATATTTGCTTTTTCCCATTACTTTACACAGATGATATTGAGTGAACATTCCCTGAATTGCCTTGTAACTTAATGTCACTCATCATCGTTTATACATTAACTGAACACACTTGATTGAATAATCTTACACTCGACTTATTTCAATTTATTTTCCTTACTGTTAACAGCTTTCACATTTTTTTCTGTTCCTCTAACACATATAAAGAGTTATTTATGAACTCACAGTGAAACAAAGAAAACTGCCTATTAGAGTATTCCTGAAAAAAAATTACTGGTCCTATTAACAATTTCTTTGAATATATATGTTATATTATTTTGGGGGAATTGGAAAATCTTTAAAAATAATGACTTGCATTTGTATTACAGTTATTGTTTCACAGCCCTTTCATAATGTGAATCTCAATTTATCCTCCCCAAACTTTAACATCTGCGTGAGACAGATCTTACTCTTGAATTGTAATAATCCCCACGTGTTTAGGGGGGGACCAGGTGGAGATAACTGTATCATGGGGGCAGTTTCCCCCATATTGTTCTTGTGATAATGAGTGAGTTCTCATGAGATCTGACAGTTTTGTAAGGAGTTTCTCCCATTACACGACACTCATTCTCTCTCCGGCTGCCCTGTGAAGAAGTGCCTTCCGCCATGATTGTAAGTTTCCTGAGGCCTCCCCAGCCATGAGGAACTGAGAGTCAGTTAAACCTATTTTCTTTATAAAGTACCCAGTCTCGGGTATTTCTTCATAGCAGCGTGAGAATGGACTCATACAGTAGTCCTAGAAGGAGTGGCCTTAGGGTCACCTGGGAATGTTAGAAATGTAAATGATCAGTTCCCACCCCAGATTACTGAAGCAAAAACTCTGGGGGTGAGGCCCAGAAAGCTGTGCTTTATCAAGCTGGCAGTTGATTCTGAGGTAGGCTAAAGTTTGAGAACATTGGCCTAGAGGAGAAAAAGCAAAGGGCTTACACAGCAGGCATTCAAGGACCTGCCCATCGGGCCTCTTTGTGGGTCTAAAGCCATGCCCTATCATTATCCCTCTGGCAGCCCATACCCCTAGGTCACTCAGGTTCACACTTATTCTATCATCTTTTGCTCTTATCCAGAACGCTTTGCCATATGTCCGTTGGTTCGATGTGACCCAATCGTCCAGACCCAGCCAACATGTCTCCACCTTGGTGCTCCCACAGCTCGTCATTCATAGACATCAGCCCAGTTCAAAACCACTTTCCTTAGAGCATGAGAGTTCATTATTTTCATGTCTTCCTTCCTTTCTAGACTGTGAATTCTCTGAGAACCAGGGCTATGTTTTATAAGCTTGGGCTGCATCAGCAGTGCCACTCACTGCCTGACCGTAGTGGCTTGTAATGCTCTCCTTGGTGTTATTGTTGAATTATTGAAGGGCAAGGAATTAAACCACCATCAGCTGCTGATATTTTAGCAGACCTATGTGACCACTGTCACTTCAGAAAGCCAACGGCAATGCTGACAGAAGGGATCTCAAGGAAAAGATGTTTGGCTGGAGTTGCTTTCTAGGGAGGATGAGTTCCAAAGGGGAGACCTCAGCTCTGGGCTGAGGAGAGGCCGTGAGGATACTGGACTCCCAGGATGAAACCGAAAGGCAGGAGCCTGAACTGAAATGGAGGTCAGGAAGCCCCAGAGGCAGCATTGGCCTAGATTGTCAAGGAGGCAGTCATGCATAATAGTCAACGCTGAGGGGGACAGAGCTTGCAGTCGGACAATCACAGGTTGAATCCTGTCCCGCACATTTCATTGTCTGACCAGAGCATGTTAGTTAGCCTTTCTGAAAGAAACCTTTGTAGAAAATGAGAATACTATACTCGCAGTATCTAATAATAGGAGCCATTGTTTATTGAGCACTTCATCAGGTTATCTCTTTTAATCTTCACATCCATGCTATGAAATTGGAATTTGGGTCTCCCATTTTACAGCACAAAGAACTTGCCTAGAGTCACATAGGGAGGTATAATGTGGGAATACAGCCTCGAGTGGAACCATCAGACTCTGGAGCCTTGGCTATCTGCTGCTATGCTGCATTACCTTCTTAGGGGTCTGTGAAGATTAAGTGAGATGTAAAGCATCCAGCAAGTGACTAAATGAAAGTCACAATTTTCCTAAGACCAAGTTGGGTTCAGGATGTGGAAAAAATAATCCCTAAACATGGAAAAAAACTTTGGGATGGATCAAGTCTCTCCTTTTATCTACTTCCTCCTTTGGCTGTAGGAATCACATTCTCCTATTTCATCGTCCATTATTGTCTTCTCACCTGAAATTAAGCATATCCTTATTTCCGGAGAGAAAATTGCTATTTCAGAGTCAGTGGTTTTCATCCCATTGTTAAGGGTGATGTTTCAAACAGCACAGTATTAGCTTCAGGCAGAAATCTTTGGAACTTCCTGTCTGTACTCCTGAGAGAAAGGGCACGAGAGGAGTGGCACAGCCTTCAGGTCTTTTATGTTTCTGAGAGTGGAATTCTCCACCTTGTAACTCTGATTCACAAGAAGAATACTTTTCCAAAGAGTTCTGGCAGGCTCCTGATATTAACATGATGCAAAAAGTTCTGTGCTAACCCCACAGGAACAGCATCCATTCAAAGACAGCCAAGGCAGGCACATCTCACAGGAGTATTTCCTCCTGGGCTGCTCAGGCTGAAGGATTCACAGAACTCAGAAATCTTTGCCAAGCCTAGAGGTCTTGGAGAGTAATACTGAACAGAAAACCAGGATATCATTCTATATGTTTTCCTGGTGACTGCGGTGTTGAGGAGGAAAAATCTTCTCCCTCTACCCATTTTGGGTTCTCCAAATGAGGGCCCTGTCAATAAGACTCTGGCAAAAGACAGCTTAACAAGAGAAAAGCAAACATAAGTTTATGAGCATGTGCATCGTGCATTCACATTAGAACATGGAGATGAGCAACTCAAAGGGTGGTTTGAATTTGAGCTTATATAGCACCTTTGCAAAAGGACACTAAGTTTTTTTAGAGAAGCAGCAACACTAAGGAAAAGGACTTTGGGCTTCCAGGGGCTGCAAATTATGGGAATGTAAGTATATAGGAGAAACTATTGGTAGACAAGGGTTGATTATGTAAGGTTTGTTATGTGGATTCCTCTGCACAGTCTGGATAAGGATTCAGAATTCTCTCTGGTGATTAAGAATCATCCTGCCCCTTCTGGTAGAAAAAGGGAGGGCAGAGAGTGTTTCTTTTGTCTGTTTCTTTTCAATTGCTTTCAGTTCAAAATAATTCTTATGGCACTGGTTGGGGTGGCACATTCTGCTCCCTTTGACAGAAAGTGCATCCCTGCCCAGTTGGCTTTATTGATGAGTTCCTTGTCCCAAAGACTTTCTTTTAGTCAGAGAAAAGGAGACAGGAGCAGTGATGGAAGCTGTTGGCAGGCTGGGAGTCACCAAGTAGACTTGATTTCCAAGGCCATGGGTTGCTCTGCATTTTGCCATTGTTTCTACGCCCACAGTTTGGCTTTGGTTGCTTTTCTTCTTGCCTTCAGCTAACTCAGGGCCTGTCCTGCTGCAGGCCTGGACAAGTCCTGTGTGTACTGATCGTTGTGCAGAATGAAGACTAGGCCTATTGTGGGTTGAATTTTGTCCTCCCAAAGAGATGTCTTCAAGTCCTAAGCCCCAGAAACGGTAAATGGGACCTAATTTGGAAAAAGGGTGTTTGCAATGAAGTCAAATCTTTGGAAAGATGAAGTCATTGGGTGGGCCCAAATCTAATATGAGTGATGTTCTTATAAGAAGAGGGAAATTTGCACAGGGACACACCCAGAGGAGAATGCCATGTGAAGCCACAGACACATGAAGGTGGAGGCTGCTGCACACCAAGCAACCTTGGTGCTAGGAGAATCCTCCCCTAGAGGCTTTGGAGGCAGCATGGCCCAGCCTATACCTTAATCTTGGACTTTTAGCCTCCAGAACAGTGAAAGACTAAATTTCTGTTGTTTAAAGCCACTCAGTTTGTGGTGCTTCGGTGTTTTTTGTTTTGTTTTGTTTTGAGATGGAGTCTTGCAACCTCTGCCTCAGAGCTTCAAGCAATTCTCCTGCCTCAACCTCTCAAGTAGCTGGGACTACAGGTGGGCATCACCATGCCCGGCTAATTTTTTGTATTTTTAATAGAGATGGGTTTCTCCATGTTGGCCAGACAGGTCTCAAACTCCTGACCTCAAGAGATCACCCGCATTGGCCTTCGAAAGTGCTGGGATTACAGACATGAGCCACCACACCCGGCCCAGTTTGTGGTGCTTTGTGACATAGGCCTAGGGAATTAATAGAGTTCCATTGTAGGATGGACAGGGATGCTGCAGCCTGGTGCTCTCAGAGTAAAAGATACTCTTTCTGAGTTTCGCAGCCTCTTTCAGATGTCAGGGTGAGGACAGGGAAGGCAGCATTCTTCTGGATAGTTAGTTGATAATACCAGCAGATAATATCAGAGAGAGCTGGCAGTTGATAATACCAGAGAGAGTTGTTCCCCTCTCTCAGTGGTCAGTGAGGGTTGTTGGACTGCTGGGCCTCACCTTGTGATCCAGCCACGCAACACAATCCCAGGGTGGGCGGCACTTGCCTGAGCGTAGAGGCTGCCAGCAGTCACACCTCAGGCTGCAGGCTACTCCTCTGCATGTCCTTTCCTGTGGCTCAGTGTTCATTAAGAAGTCCTGTCATTATGGACCACGGGAGTCCAGAGAGGTAGCCTGGCCAGTTACTTTGACAACCTCATGATGTCATGCTTTAAACTACTTCCTGGCTACAGATCTAATGCAATTCTCGATATTGTCCGCTCCTACCAGCCTGGGTGACAGCAGCTAAAGCAAGAGCTTACAGCTCACTTTTAATGATCCCCTTAGTGACATCTTTAGGATTCATTTGCATTAGCAATGGAAGGTGAGTCTGACTGCTACTAAGCTGCATGGAACTTTTGTCCAGGGGACCCAAGCCTACTGCTGGCATATCTGGCTCAGCCCCTGGGAGGCTTTCCTCATCCTCCTTGTTATGCTGTAGTTAGGATTACCTGCAGCAGTTCAGCAACAAAGAATGAACATGACCCTCAGTCAAATGGATTCCTGAGAACTTCCCCACCATGAGCTGGACCCTGAATATATCAGAAAATCTTATCCCAAGGGGTTTCTTAACAAAGCAGTTTCTCTGTCATCGATCATTCTCCCGCCTTTTAGATTTTCATCTTTAGAGTTTTGAAAGTATGTTTGTAAAAAGCAAAGGCGCTGGAGTGTAGTCAGCATCAGCACATGCACACATGCACACCTCGCTTCCCAGCTTCTCAGTGCTTTCTCTCCAGTCCTGGTGAAAAGCATCCTCAGGCAACATCCTGATTAGTAAGAGAGCAGAGCAGGCAGGCTGCTTTCTCCATGGAGAAAAGACAGCTGCGTTTACTCTTTGACAGAGGCCTAAAGTGGGTGCACGCTCGACTGTGTGTGAGAGATTTGACTTGCCTGTCTCTTTCAATGAGGATGTGGACTCTCATCTCCTAATGGCAGGCAAGAGGGGGGTTGAGCAGGAAGACTCCACACGTGGTGTCTCTCCAGTACTGGCATTGGAGCCAGCTGCAGTAAGCCCAACAGACAGAGCTAGAGAAGCTGAAGCTACAGCCTCCTGCAGGATTTCTGTGAGCTGGTACCAAGGGGCCTTCTGCACTGCAGGGGAATAAGCCACTTCATGAGGATTCTTTTATCTGATCAGATGGGCAAAAACTTTTGATGTACCCTTAGAAACATAACAGCCATTGGCTGACAGTCTAGATTTATGGGGTCAGGGGCTCCCCATCATCTTTGAAAGCCATGCTTCGTGTCAAAGCCAGAGAATTTTTTGTTAAGAAGCCCTCAGACCCAGAGGGTATTTTCTGGGGGGTGGGGGGGGGGGTGCGCAGTGGGTAGAAGGAAGTGAAGAGCGAAGGAGTCCAAAAATCTCCTCCAACATGCGGATGCTATTTGCTAATACCCATGCCAACTCCATGGCAGCAACTGCTTCCTAATGCCCACTGCAGTTCTGACCTTTTTGTTATGTCTTTGAAGTGGTGATATCTGGCTAGAACTGGGAGTCTCACAATCTGGAAGACAAGAAAAATACGAGAGAGAATCAGAAGGGGAAGCCTAAGATCTAGGCATGATCCCCACACTTGCAGCACAAATGGAGACAGGTGTTAGCAGTGTAGGCAATACTTGTGCTCTCCAGTGATCCCTTTACCCCCTTCTCTCTTTGGGTAACTTGCTGATATGCCTATAGATGAAGACAGACCCTTTTTCATCTGATTGAGGGTGTCAGCTTAAACTGTGGCCTCAGGACCCAGTTACATGTTGGAATAACATTCATCTCAGTACATCAGAAGTTGTGACCACTTTTCAATTTCTGTGACAATAATTAATATAAGCATGTTGTATGTCACTTAGAGATTTGCCTTAAAATTGAACGTTGTTGCACGATTTAAGCAACTGCTTTGCATTTTCTTTTATGATCGCTTGTGCCAAGTAAAGGCAAATGATATCATAGCATTCGAAAAGGAAAATTACACAGAGGTTCAAATTGGAAAGGGGGTAGGAGAAATGAATCATTTTGGGGCCTACAGAATATAGGCATGCTGAAATCCAAAGAATTTGTGCTGTGGCAGCCAGTACCATATTTTTGCTGGGAACAGATGTATTATGCAGATTCCATTTTTTGCACAAACTTGCAACCATCCATCAGCAAAAAGTGCAGCAGTAAAAAAGCAGTGCAGAATTTTCTGTTGATTCTAGCAGTAAGTGCATTAGATATCTATGTAATTCAGGTTTCAATAACCCTGCAACGTGAGACTTATCTTCATGTGAACAAACAAGACAGTTGCAGAGTTATCAAGGGAAATCTTATTAAAATTGGGATCTAAGAATTGACAAAGTTTTGGATTTTACAAGGCCTGATGCTTCTGAACTAGCAAATAAAGCTTTAAAAAGCTATAGCATACTTTTTGTGCAATTTATATATGCCAAAAAAGTTTGTATTTAGTTTCATGGTTTTTTGTTTGTTTGTTTTTTGTTTTTTTTTTTTTTGCAAATGCAAATAGTACAAATAATTTATACCAACACTGAAGATTTGTTGACTTTATTTTTTCTTCAAAAGAAGTTGTGGGAGACAGCTGCTAAGATGCCTCCCAATAATTTCTTCCTTCTGGTATTCATGCCCTGATTGTTTTGTTCCCACATGGTATAAATGTTGGGCTGTGTGGCCAACGGAATACTGCAGAAGTGGTCATTTGAAATAAAGTCATAAAATACAGTGTGGCTGTCTTTCTCCTTCTCTCCAATTGCTCAGTCTGGAAAAGCCAGCTGCCATGTCATGAAAACCCTCTGGTGTTCTGTGAAGAAGCTCACGTGATGAGGAGCTGAGGCCTCCTGCCAATGGCTATGTGAGTGAGCCATCTTGGAAGCTGATCTGCCAGCCCCAGCCTTCTGATGACTGCAGCCCGCTGGCCTGCAGCTTCACTGCAACGTCATGAGAGGCTCTGAGCCAGAACCTCCCAGTTAAGCCACTCTTGGATTCCTGACCCTCAGAGACTGTGAGATTAATATTTGCTTTTTTAAGCATCCAGTTTTGGAGTAATTGTGCAGCAATAGGTATCTGATGCAGGAGCCTATACACAACCAATGACTGAGAAACGCTATCAAATGTCACTTCCTGAATGGAGCCCATGAGTCGAGTAGTAAACATATTCATTACTTAGTCACTGATTTGGATTTCAATGTGTGCTTTAAAAAAAAATGCTGTTTATTGGTCTTGCCTCTTAGCATGAGTTAATTAGTGACATTCATTCCATTTTGATGTATTGTTTAAAATATATCTATATATCTACATAGATATATATATAGAAGCAGATTCTAGATATATATAGGAGCAGATTCAGCATCTAACCTTGCCATTTTTTTCATTTTTCTTTTTTTTTTTTTTCAGACAGAGTCTTGCTCTGTTGCCTGGGCTGGAGTGCAGTGGCACGATCTTGGCTCACTGCAGCCTTCGCCTCCCAGGTTCAAGTAGTTCTCCTGCCTCAGCTTCCCAAGTAGCTGGGATTACAGATGCACACCACCACGCGCAGCTAAGTTTTGTATTTTTACTAGAGACTGGGTTTCACCATTTTGCCCAGGCTGGTATCGAACTCCTGAGCTCAACTGATCCACCCGCCTCACCTTCCCAAAGTGCTGGGATTAAAGGTGTGAGCCACTGCTCCTGGCTGTCTTTTCTTATTATTGTAATAAATCCCTTCATTTGGGGGTTCATCTTGGTGAGGCCCAAATGCCCAGCCCTTCTATTTGTCCATCTATCCTTTCCTAGCTCTCATATGATGTAATTGCAAAGAAGACCGGCAAATTCCACTCTCACTGTGGCTGAAATGACCAGAGTATATATAGCCCTGCCATGTTTGCTATAATGAATCTGGCTTTCCTGCTTCTGGTTACCTGGGAGCAAACAAACAAACTGAAACAATACACAACTGACATTCATACTTGAGTTAAAATGCAACATGATTTGCAATTTAAAAAGATGTTCACCTCAGTCCTTTAGGGAAAAACCAGACATTGTTTATTTGATTGTTTATTTGTCAGTCTTCTGGCTAGCCCCTAGAACCCTTTCAAGAAGTCATCTGGGTATGTGGCAGGAATGGTAAGACTTACAAGATCTCACAACGAAAGCCAAATTCAGGGTCCTTGCACTTGGTGTCCTTGGGTTCCTTGGCTTCTGGAGTGATGTCCCTTGACCTGTGTGGTTCCATAGCTGCCTTCCAGCTGCTGTGTCTCCTCCCTTGCTTTGGTAAGTGCCTGTGATGCTCTGCAGGTTACTTTGTCTGTAACTCTTCTCCCACAGATGGGATGAAGCCCTCTGAGTCCTGAGGGCAACCCCCAGTTGCTGCCCAACTGATCATGTCCTGGATGCCGACCTGCCTCATTCCAGTGAGGATATGGCTGTCAGCCATGGCCCCAGCCAGATTCTCAGGTGTCCTTGGGTTCTGTCTATGTTACTTGGAAGCATAGATGACCCAGTGAAGCTAAAAAACAGGCCTGACTTCGCCAAACAACCAGGTTGATTTGGATAAGGTTGTGAATAGGATGGGTACAGAACAACTGTAACTCAGTATTCTTCTGTAGTTCCAGAAGTCCCCAACTGCCCTCAATCCCTGAATGTCAATTATTTAATATGCACTAAAGCTTAGAGAGTAACAAATCAGATCACACATGTCATGGCCTTCCCTCCAACCTTTCTTTTCTCTGGTTTCTTCTATCTCCTGGATTCCCATCCCTTTCTGCTATATAATGTCTTTAGTTGACCCAGAACTGCAGGTCCTATTGACTTGCTCCTCTAGCCAGAACTTATCTAGAAAGGCACACATACATACACACACACACACACACACACACACACTCACAATGGAGGAAGAAAATGAGTAGAATCCTTCAGCAGAGACAACAAAGAAATTTAGAGTATTAGTAATAAGCCATGTTGCTAAAATTTCCTATTTTCAGTGTCAGAAGCTAAGTATAATCTCAATCTTTGCTGGTTTATTCTTTATGGAACAAATCCCCATTTTCCATGCAGATGGTTGCCTTGGGTCATGTTGGGTAGAGATCATGAACTTAGACAGTTAAAAGAAAAATTCACATTCATGATTTTCAAAATATTCCCCATAATTTTATCTGTCTCTATTATTATTTTTCATAATTGGATTTCTGGTCATAGGTGTGGATGATAATCTGCAGAATGGAGACAGTCACACATGATTTAAATTCAGGTCTATTCAGTTTGCCTTGTAACTCTCAGAAAAGGCTTTGTGCAGCTTCTCTCTGTGACCCACTTTTCACCCACACGAGGAATCCAGTTTTCTGCAGGTGCTAGTGTGTCAGTGCGTAAAGTTCAGTTGAGCTGATGAGTAACCAAGCTGACTTTGGTGTTCCTGGGCAGCTGGGAGCACCTGCATAATGCATGCAGTGCCTTTAGAAGTACAAGATGTATTTCATAGGGGTGCTCCTTCGGGACACTCAATGAGACTGTGGAGTCTGTGTCTGTGTTTATTCAACGTCCCTGCTTATGTCTCCGTAATCATCTTCGGGGGATAAAGTGGGCCCCGTCAAGTCAATAAGTTGTATCTCAGAGAGTTCCTGTAGTGTCAGTGGATTGGTTTTTCCCCTCCAGTCACACTCCCACAGAACCACCTGCCACTGCATGCTCCATGGTGAGCGCCATGCTCAACAGTTTCCCCTGCGAGAACGTGATTCTATTACATTTCTTGACTTAAAGTCAGATCTGCCTTTCAAAGAGAACCAGATTTCTTCCTCTTGCTTTCACGTGAAGTCAAACTTTATAAAACACCATTTGGAAGAAAGCCACAGTGCATTTCTCATTGTGCCCCTCTTTAATTTCTTCCCTATCAGCTGCCCCAGCTGCAGTCCAGGTCAAGCTCCTAAAGGCTTTTTCTATCAGAACCCCTAGCCCTCTGGCAACTTGCTGCCATGACTGCAGCATCTATCTTTCCCTCTTTGTAGGTGACATTATTTACAGTCTGATCTAACTTTCATTTAAAGGCAACTTTTAGGGAATGGATTTTCTAAAGAAGACTTAATATGCATGTTAGGCATTTGCAGGCTTGCCTGTGTTTAAGTCTACTACATTGGTAGTGGTAGCCAACAGTTACTGACCACTTCCTGTGTCTGAGGCAAACCCTTGATCAGCATTATTTCATTGAGTCTTCAATGACAACTGTAGTTATTATTTTCTCTCCATTATGTAGATGACAAAACCAAGGCTTGAATAGACTTGTTAAGCAAATTAGCCAATATTACCCAGTTATGGAATGGCAGGCCAACATTAGCCTCCAGGACTCTTGGTCTCCAGAACTCCTGCTCTTTCCTGGTCTGCTTAGTTCACATGGGAAACCTAAGATTTTATCAGATTCGGGCAAAAGAAAGGAGTCAGCTTCCTGGAGCCCTCCCATTGGATGCTTTCCAGGCATTTCTGAATCAGCAACTGAAGGTGAACCCACCACTGTCCATCCTTAGCCCACCCTCCACCTTGGCAGTGAGCAGCAGGCAATGCCTCCTATTCCCCTCTGAAAGCTTTTATCCTGGGGCAAGAGCCCAGAGAACTTCTAGAAGCAAATTATTGCCTTATGCTTTGTTATAGATGAGGACTTTGACTTCCTAGGACTGATACTCAATAGGAGTCATCTTTTTGAGAGCCATTTCTTTATAGTTTCTACAGCATAACAACAACAGAGTAAGCCAGTGGATACGCCAGGCCAGGGCCCATCATTCCTCATCATGGATTTTCATTGCTGTGCTTGACAGCTTTTTCTGGCTTGATTTACTTCAGCTAAAGGAGGTATTTTGGGGAGAAGGGGGAGGGCTGAAGTAGTTCTGAGTGTTGAGCAGAAAGAGCTGATGACTGAGGATATGAGGGCAGGGCCATTTCTGTTTGACTCCTGAGAAACAGGAACTGTTTGACAAGAGATCTTGGTGACTCATGGCGCCCACAATACTGCATTAAGACCCAGGTGACAACATTGCACAGAGTTTGGGAGAAGGGCATTCTTTCTGTTTCTGTGCAGAATGCAATGCAGTGATTGCAACCACAGGGCCCTGGAAAATTTCAGAGGTGGAGGTGCTGGCTGTGCCTGCTGGAGTGATGGGGAAGCAGATTTCATTTTTATAGAATAGCAGCAGTGGCAGAGGCGAGGTGACTACCTCACAAAACCTGTGGGCAGAAACTTAAATGATGAGTCCAGAAAGTAAGAACATTAATGTGCTTTGGAATTCCTAAAAGCAGTTGAGGACATGATAAGGGACAGAGGTTGACATAGTAATTATGCTGGTGAGGACTTTCAGCTGGCTAAAGTTTAGTAAAATTTTTGCTGGGACTAATTTTGCCAGCAAACTGGAGTGGCATGCAATTATAAGTATCACGCAGACAAAACTGCAATGTTAGTAGCCTTTTCTCAATTGGGTATTGATAAATCCTGCATTCCTAATGGATTGATTAGCATCTCTCCCCAGATCCCTCTGTTCCTTGGTAGCCCCATGTTCTGTTTCAGCTTTTTCTGCTAATCCACACACTGTGTTGACCAACTTCAAGGCTTGGAGCTCATACACTAGAGGATTCTCATGTCTCTTTCTGTTGTTGTTTAAACTGAATTCCTCCATAAAGGAACTTTCCAGCTTGCAATGTATCACACAAATCTTATCATCTGCATTTTTGCTTGCATTGCTCATGTTTTTAATTCCTAATCTCCAAGATCTAAATACATGGTGGAAAGACAGGGGGTGTGGCTCTGCTCCTCTCTAAAAGAAGTGGGCTGGTGCTTTCAGCTAAAATATAGTCATGCACTGCATATCCAAAGGGGTCCCATAAGATTATAATACCATATTTTTACTATACCTTTTCTACATTTAGATGGATTTAGATACACAAATGCTTACCATTGTGTTACAATTGCCTTCAATATTCTGTACATGCTGTACAGGTTTGTAGCCTTGGAGCAATAGGCTGTTCCATATAGCCTAGGTGTGTAGCAGGCTATCCAATCTGGATTCGTGTGAGTACATTCTATGATGTTTGCACAATGACAGAATCGACTAACAGTGCATTTCTCAGAATGTATCTCTGTTGTTAAGTGATGAATGACTGTATCTGTAAATATTTTTCATGGATGCTGGGAAAGATTCTCCTAGACGTCTCTGCTTTTTATGGGGGAAAGATAAACAGCCAGGTTACGAATTAGCTGGAAATATCTACTCTTTTTCAGAAGCCCATTCATTTGTAGTTGATTCCATATCCCATAAATACTCTCTCCTCCTCCACACTCCCAGGTTGTATGAAATGTGTATGCTCCATTAAAACGAGGTGGTACAACTTGATTATTTCATCACACTTTTATATGGATTATGCTACAACTGTTCATGGAAAATAAAGTACCAATTCCAGGTAGTAGTCAGCTTTACAACTGTCATCTGAGGTAACAGCTTCTTCACAATAGCACTTTAAAACAGGAGTTGGCATTATTTGTTTATTAATTTGATTTGTGTGTACTCTAGATAAACTTGATAGGAAAAGGGTTTACATTAAACAAGGGTAACAACAAATATTTTCCACTTATCTTAATCATAGAAATTTTGATTATAGAAATGGCTTATCGGCAAATGCAGTTTGGTTATCAGCTTTGTTTCTGTCTTGAAAATTGGATCACACAAACCATGAAGGTCTCAGATTGATTTTGCAGCTATTGGATTATTTTAAACAAAAAAGGAAACAGCTACAGAATAATTGAATCAGTCTTGTTATATAGACATAGCTCCAGGCCAAAGCCCCAGGCATTTCCTTCATTCTACATTCTTGTTCTAGAAAGACTCCTTGGCTTTTCCAGGCACTATTTCAGTTTTTTTCCCCCTGTATCCAAAGTCATTGTATATTCAAGATAGCCTTCTCTATCTTTACATTTTATATTCTGAGACTTCATGTTTAAGCAACATTCTGCCTCTAGAAAATAATCAGAATGCATTAAGCTTCACTATGTCTCTTTTACACAGATTCCTTTAAGCTTTGAGATTGTTATTCAGTGAAGTCAAGTGGTAAATCTGTCCTCATCTGTGGTGTGTTAGGACTATTGACTGGAACGTTTTTGGCCGACATGATTAAAAAAAGGGCTCCAACTCCAATCTATTCAGCTTTACATTCCTTTGTTTTCAGTGATGTATGAAATTTATTTCAGGATATTACAAGATTTTTCCAAATTTTTCTTCCCTTGTCAACCTAAGGACACTTCTTTACATCACTCTTGCTACCGGGGCCAGATCATGACGTGCAGCTTCATTGAACAAATGCCTAAAAACATGTGTCTGACATCTGTTTTTAAAACCTGCAGCAGCCAGCTTTAAAGCTTCTCTCTGAAGAAGGCAGGAGAGAGATAGAGCATATTTTTTTGTCACATTAATCTTGAGTAACTTGGCTTTGTTAGCAATAAAAAAATAGCATTCTAAAAACCGTTTGTTGAATTTATGTCAAAATTTTAACTTAGCTGTTACTTTCTAATCACATTTTGAAAAACAGTCCCATCAAAACACACTTTAGAAGGATTAGTTTTTACTTATAATTTCATTTTATGGAATCTGGAAGTCATTTTTCAAGACAGAACAGAGTCAATTCTTTTTCACTTCTGACATTTTATTGATGACATACTTATTAATTAAGAGGCATTTGTGAAATTTGAAAAAGAAAATGATACAATGTCCAATAGTAATAAAAAAGACAATTGTCCTTCCAGTTCTACGAGGTTTTCTATACTTTACTTTTTGAAATCATCCCTTCACAGAGAGCTCACAGTTGGAAAATTCCAAATGCACTTTATACTTGTTCTTTTTTTTGAAGAGGGAAGATTTTGTCACTATTGCGAATGTGACTTTATCCTGGTTTTCTAGAGAAAGGCCATGACCAGAACAAGATAGCTGCTTTGAGACCTAAAGCAAAGATTCTAAGCTCAAATTTGCAAAACTAAAGGAGCCTGTACCTAAATATGGGAATGCTTCCTAGCTGGTACTGAATTTCACACTATGCTATTTATGTTTCCATTTATTATTATGATTTTTCTTTTTGAGATAAAAGCTCTGAGTTGTGGCTGTCAGAGCAGACAGATAATGGGACTATACGAACAGGACTGGGAACATATCTTGGCCAGTACTCCAGGCTACTCATCCAAATTCTATCTAAGGCGCTTGAACAGCTACAGATTTTGCACAACAGGACTTGAAATCTCAGCTATTCTCTTTCCATCCCAGAAGCAATCAGACTCAGGCCTAAGCGGGAGCCCCAAAAGAATGCATTAAACATGGGGTTTCAGTACAGCCTAAAATCACGCACACACACAAAAATAAATAGACATTTAAGAGGCTTAGCGGTTCTAAGAATGTTGTGATTCAAAAAGGAGTCCTTGTCTTTGGTTACTATATAGCATGCAGAAATAACTCATTATTTTGAGATTATACAGAGTGTGGTGGGAGAAATGAGTCAATTTTCTGAATGACACAAATAAAAACCAAACTACTTATATTCACTACGTGGTTTCTTCTAAGGGTGGGGTCGTTCCTAGGATATTTAGGTAGAATTATTCAGAATGGTGGCTTCCATTCTTTACATGGCATCTTTGAAGTAAATTTACGTAACACATATATTTGTACATAAAATACATATACAAAAATACTTGTCTTATATTTATGACTAAGTTAATTCTTTCAAAGGGCACATACCTATGTGACCATTTCCTAGGCCAGTGCGTAGAATACCTCAAGCACTTGAATGTCCTATTTACTCACATCCCTTTAAGAATGCCTGTTGTTATGAGACACCTTCCAGGTGCTCTACTTTCAGGACCCTCCAGAGCATTCACACCAACACAACTCTCTCCCTGAGCTGCCCCCAGCCAATGACCTCACATGGCCTAGACCCTAGAGCATCCCATTTATGCTCATTGCAGAGTTCTTGTAAAGAACAGTCTGTGCTCTGGGTCCTCTACAGGTCTGGCCAAGATCTTTTCAGAGGTGCAATGCAGACTGGGCGGGGGGGGGCTTCTGACCAAATTCTCATTCTGTGCCTCTTTCTCCTCATGGTGTCAAACCTGCATTGTGGTTTGAGGCTGTCCTATCTGTTCTCTCTCCCCTTTAGCCTTCACAGGCATTTTCCCTGATAAATCTCTTGTATTTCTAATTCTGTTGTGGTGTCTGCTTCTCGGAGGACCTAAGTAACAGTTGGTGCCAGAAAAGCAGTTGGTAAGATGGAGTTGGGGGACCAGGTTTTGCTTGCCAACTGGCTGGCACGAAAGGCCCTGAGTGGTATGTGGGGCACAGATGGTTCCTGGCACACAGCAGTGGCCCAACTGCTAAAACTTTCACTGATGGTAACCTGGGAAAACATCCTGGTGGGAGGGAACTCTCTTACTGCTGCAATGATTCTAGCATTGAAAAGGCATTGAGAGAACAGTGCTAAAGGAGAGTGGAGTTGGCTACTTATCCCAAAATTGTATTGATCCCCTGCAGAGGGATAATGGGGAATCAGAGGTTGTTTATGAAGAGTTAAAGGATGTGTGAGGACCTGAGGTCCTTTTTATAAGCTACCAAAGCTTGTCCTGCAGTAGACACAGCTGAGCAGCAAGCATAAGACTAAGTTAGAGTTGTAGAGCTCCAGACATTTAAATGCTGAGCCCAAGAAGGTCGTTATACAAAGGTCAGGGCCCTGAATTTAAAAAACAAACAAACCACTTGAGACCCTGAAATATGGGTTAGGTCCCTGAAGACTGTGCCTTTGCAGACTTTCCTGCAGCCAATGTGATTACAGAGATGGCCCCTATTCCTAATAAGAGTTAACACTTTCCCACTATGGAAAGACTGCAGAGGCCTCTCCCTTGCTAGGCAGCAAATGCCCTTTTCAGGAATTGTCCCACCACTTTTCCTGGATGCCAAACCAACCAGTAGGGTTAAGTCCCAGTATAATCTGCTGGGGATGTGTTGAATATGATAAGGAAAGAGGATACTACATTCCAAAGAAACTTGCAAGAATTAGCTTGCATATACTAACAGTAGCTAAGAAAGTACCCTTGGAACTGGATTTTGAGGGTACTCGATCAAGGCAGTTAGAAAAAGATTCCATAAGCAAGAATTCAGAGACTTGGGGGCATTGTTTTGAAACAGAGAATTTAACATTCTGGCAAGGACCCCAGAGATGGGACTCAATGCTAGGGTGAGTCCAAGAGGGTTGAAGTGAATGGTGGCCTTTGCTAATGAAGATGAAATGCCTGAGTGCCGTGGCAGATGACAGAGAAAGGAATAAAAAAGCCCAGGGGTTTCAGTGTGCTTGAATATACATTCAGGATATGTGTGAGGCAGAAAGACTCACCCCAGGATTACTTGCATGAAAAGACCCAGAGGCCGTCAGCAGTGCAGGAATGAAAGGAACACCAGCATCATTAAAGCGCAGTGGAGGCTCTCCTCTGCAGGCAAGTAGGAGAGGTGACCACAGAGTCAGACTTGTTACCATCCATGGGATGATCAGACCATGAAGCAATAGAAACTACCAAAGGCCAGAGAGCCACAATGACCATAATAACTAGCAAGATCAGAGGGTCTGCCTAGGGAGCACTAATTGTAGGAAGGTGTGAAGATGGTTGAAAGAACATGGTATCCCTAGAGGCAAAAGAGATAGTCAGCCATTAAGACGTTTGCTTTACATCGGCAATCAGAAGAAGAAATAATGAAGAGGTGGAAGGCTGAGGATTGTCATCCTAATAAAAAATCAAGGTCATTTCCCTAGGTTTTTGAACCCAAACTAATTTCTAGTTCTGGAACCCACTGATTTAGGAGAGGGTCAGGTCCCCAGGGAGAAGGACACTGCAATACTGCAGTGAGGATATACCTCAATACTTTCTGCAGTTCTTTCCTAAAGGCACTGTATTAGTCAGGGTTCTCTAGAGGGACAGAGCTAATAGGATAGATGTTTATATAAAGGATAATTCATTAAGGAGTATTGACTCACATGATCATGAGGCGGGGTCCCACAACAGGCTCTCTGCAAGCCAAGGAGCAAGGAAGCCAATCTGAGTCCCCAAACCCCAAAAGCCGGGAAGCCGACAGTGCAGCCTTCAGTCTGTGATTGAAGGTCCAAGAGTAGAACTTGGAGTTCCATGTCCAGGGGCAGGAAGCATCCAGCACTAGAGAAAGATATAGGCTGGGAGACTATGCCAGTCTAGTCCTTCCACGTTCTTCTGCCTGCTTATATTCTGGCCACACTGGCAGCTGATTAGATGGTGCCCACCCAGATTGAAGATGAGTCTGCCTTTCCCAGTCTACTGACTCAAATGTTAATCTCCTTTGGCAACACCCTCACAGACACACCCAGGAACAATACTTTGCCACCTACAATCCGATCAAGTTGGCACTCAATATTAATCATCACAGGCACATATGAGCATTTTTTTTGGAGGATTGTATACATGGAAATTGTATATGTGGGAATACCCAGATATTTCAAGGATTACCGAACAAACAGTAAAAATTGACATTGTTAACCTAGTGATGTAAAGTGTCATTATGGCTCCTTGTTAGAAAGAAGGCATATGCTGGCAGGGTAAAAAGAGAAACCCTAGCTAAAGTCTCACTTGCAATGGGACTATGAGGTCCATAAACCCACTGACAGCAATTTCCCCAATCCCCAAATATACAGTTGGGATTGATATACTTGGCAGAGAATGATGCTGATATTGGGTGACTCTTTGTCCTGTGGGGTAGGATCTATCATACTGGTGAAAGTAAAATGGAAGCCGCTGAAACTGCTCCTTGCCCTAGTCAAAACAGCAAATAAAAATCACGATTGCATCCGAGGGTGAATGGTAGAGATTAGTATTTCCATTAAAATCTAAGGGATGCAAGGGTGGTGGTCCCTACCATATCTCCATTTAACTCACCTTGTCTACCCTCCTGAAGAAATTACATGGATCTCAGAGAATTGCAAGCTCAGCCAGCTAGCAGTCCTGATTGAAGCTGCCATGCTAGATGATATCATTGCTAGAGTAGAATAACAATAATGGAACGTGGTAAGGTGCCATTGATTTAGTGAAT
This sequence comes from Homo sapiens, assembly GCF_000001405.40. Lineage (NCBI taxonomy): Eukaryota > Metazoa > Chordata > Mammalia > Primates > Hominidae > Homo > Homo sapiens. The sequence continues at coordinate 34,406,047 of NC_000013.11, read as the reverse complement.
ATATTCTTCAGCTAATGTGTTCATTAGTGAATGTACATAGGCTAAAATGCCTTCGCCTTCAGAAACAGTGCTTACTCACATTGATCCATCAGACTTATGACATCATGCTGATTAGGCAGAACAAGCAAGAGATGACTTGAAACCATGGAAAGACATATGAACTCCAGAGGGTGGAAAATAATTCTAAGGAGATTCATGAACATACTGTTTTAGCAAAGTTTGTACGGTTCCAAAGTAAAAGTCAAATTGCTACATCTTCTTTCTCCTACCATAAAGGACATCTGAAAGGACTGCTTAGGTTTTTGAGGCAACACATTTCAAACCAAGAAATATTGCTCAGGCCCAGATACCAGGTGACAACTTAGGCTGTCAGCTTTGACTGGGGCTCAGAGCAGGAAAAGACTATATAGCAGATCCAGACTTTGCAGATTGTGCTGCCAATTGTGCCACGTGATCCAACAGACACTAGGAGGTGTCAGCAGTAGAAGATAAATTATAGAGTTTATGGAAAATTTCAGTAGGAACATCACAGTGTAGGCCCCTGGGGTTCTAAAGCAATGCTATGCCATCTGAAGTCTACTGCAGGCATCATACACTTTTCTAGAAATAGCTCCTGGTGTGTTACTGGGCTGTGGTGATGATGTTATGCTTGAACATAGCACGCTGAGTCACAATGCACCTAGAAATACCCATCTTTGAGCTGGGTTATGATTTACCAAAACATAAAGATCTACCAAGTTATAAAGTTGGGTGTGCTGAGCAGCATTCCATTATAAGATTGAAAAGGTGTTTATGGGTGAGCCTGAGAAGGACCGGGAGGTGTGAGTAAGCTTCATGAGCTGGTAACCCAAATATTCCCATGTCACTAACTATGATTGCGGTAAATGTATCTTCTTTGGCTTGTTCCAATGGCAGAATAAGGAGTTCTTTACAATTAACAGTAGAGGAGAAAACCCACAAAGTTTGGCTTATGGATGGATGAAAGCCAGAAATAGATGGTGGTTGCATTACAGCCACTCTCTGTAATGGTTCTTAAAGACAAGGAAGGGGAGTTTTCTCTTCCAAATGGGAAGAACAGTGAGCAGTGCATTTGGTCATAAACTGTATGAAGGAAGTGGCCTGAAGTTATAAGCGTTATTATATCTGTCATGTCTTCTGTGGCCATAAGATCTCATTCTTCAGGCAAATATTGTGGAGTGGAATTGCTAGATCATGGGGAATATTAACGTGCTGTGTCAGTAGATATTGCCAAAATGTTCCCAAAGTGTCTATCTATACACACTCCCAAAAGCAATGTATGAAAGTGCCTGTTGCTCTACATTCTTCTCAAAGTATGGTATTATAAATCTTTTCGATTTTAGTCTTTCTGGTGATGTATGTTGGTATTTCATTGTGATTTTAACTGCATTTCCCTGATGGCTACTGAGGTTGAATGATACCGTATCTATTTAACTATCTATCTATCTCTCTCTCTCTCCAGAAAAATAAGATGTCCAAATATAAATGTATAACATATGCATGTGTGTATATATATATATATATATATATGTATATATATATATATATATATACACACACACACGTATATATAATTTGGACATATTTTTCATGCATCTGATCAATTCTCTTGCTCATTTCAAAAGTTTGGTTTATTCTTTTTTTGGAGATCTTTATATATTCTGGAGGTGAGTCATTTGTTACATATATGTAATGTAAATAATTTATCACATTCTGCGACTTGCCTTTCTACTATTTTAATGTTTTCTCTTGATGAAGCAAAGTTCTTAATTTTAATGAAGTCTACCCTATAAGTCTTCTCTTTATTGTTAGTGCTTTATGCTTTCTGTTTCAAAAATTTATGCCTACCCCAAACTCTTGAATATGTTCTCTCATTTCCTTCTGTAAGTTTTCCTATTTTACTTCATATATTTAGGTCTGCGATTCATCTCAAATTAATTTTTGCTTATAGTGTGAGGCAGAGGTTATGATTCATATGTATATCCAGTCAACCCAGCACCATTTATTGAAAAGGTCAACCTTCCTTCACTGAATTGCAGTGGCACCTTTGTTATGTATTAGAGGACTATATATATGGATCTTTCTCCATTCCATTCTTCTGTTTGTTGGTCATTGTCCCCAATGCACAATGACTTTCATATAAATATAGTTGATTTCATAATTGATGTTGTATTCTGATGCTTTATTAATTTGCTTATTATTTCCTATATTTATATTGGTGCAAAAAATTGCTTTTAATTGCAAAACTGCAATTACTTTTGCATCAATATAGTAATTTATTTGTTGAGCCTTTTAGATATTTTTACCTACAGAATTATGTTATCAAAAAATACTGATCTTTTTTTTGTTCTCCTTTCAAATATCTACAATGTTGATTTCTTTTCCTTACCTTATTAGACTGCCTAAGCACTCAAGTAAAATATTGATATGTTTATTTTGTTGCAAACTTCACGGAGGGACCAGTAAATATGTGATCCTTAAATTCCAGTTACATGTAGGGGGTTTTAAAGATATCATTGATCAGATTAGGAAACTTCCCACTGTTTCCACTTTGGTGAGAAATATTATTATTATTATTATTTTACTGAAACAGACATCACAGAAGCCAGAGATCTTATATTAAAGAAGGGACTTAATTTTGGCCGGGCGCGGTGGCTCATGCCTGTATTCCCAGCACTTTGGGAGGCCGAGGCGGTCGGACCACCTGAAATCGGGAGTTTGAGAGCAGCCTGACCAACATTGAGAAACCCCGTCTCTACTAAAACTACAAAATTAGCCGGGTGGGGTTTCACATGCCTGTAATCCCAGCCACTTGGGAGGCCGAGGCAGGAGAATCACTTGAACCTGGGAGGTGGAGGTTGCGGTGAGCCGAGATGGCGCCACTGCACTCCAGCCTGGGCAACAAGAGCAAAACTCTGTCTGAAATTAAAAAAAAAAAAAAAAAAAAAAAAAAAAAAAAAAAAAAAAAAGAAGGGACTGAATTTTAACTAATGCTTTATCTCCATTTGTTAAGACGATCATGTTTTCTCCTTTAGTCTAATAATGTGATAAATTATATTGATTGATTTTTTTAATGTTAAACCAACTGCATATTCCTGGAATAAACCTTACTTGATCATGATTTATTGTCTTTGGTATGTCATTGAATTTGGTTATTAGTTCATTCAGTGTTTTTGTATAATAATTGTCAACGTTTTCTTTCTTTTGTCAGATTTGGTATTGAGGTTATGCTGCCGTACAAACTAGGTTGAAAAATATTTTCTTTTTTTCTATTATTTGGAAGAATTTGTGTTATATTGGTATCATTTCTTCTTTAGCTATTTGGAAAAAATCATCAGTGAAGCTACATAAGCCTAGAGTTGAAATTTTTTTTTTTTCTGGGCGGAGAGAGGTGAGGGTTTTAAATTAAATGTCCAATTTATTTGACAAGTATGGGACCGTTCAAATTTTCTCTCGTTTTGTTGGTTCAGTTTTTAATTGTATTTTTAATTAATTTGCTCACTTCATCTAAAATTTCAGATTTACTGATGTAAAATTATGTATAGCATACTTTTATTGTTTTTTCGATGAATGTAGTATCTTTAATGATACCCTCTTTTTCACTCATATTACTGATAAATTATGCCTTCTTTTCCTAATCAGTCTTGCTAGAGGTTTACCTGTTTGATTAGTTTTATCAAAGAATTTGCTTTTGATTGTATTTATTTTTTCTATTGTATTTTGTCACTATTTTGTTAATGCTTATCCTTATTCATTTATCCTTATTTTGATTCTTCAACTTTATTTTAAAATTTATTTTGCCATTTTTTTCTCAATTTTTTGTGGTAGATACTTAGATCATTAATTTTCATCTTGTCTTATTTTCTCCTAGATATATTTAAAGATATACAACTTCAGATGCATCACACAAATTTTGATCTGTGATGTTTTTAGTATTATTTAGATTAAATATTTTTAATCTCCTTTATGATTTTGTCTTTGGATCTGAATGGGTCATTCAGAAGTGAATTGTTTATTTTTTTAAAATTTGCTAGTTTTTCATTTTTCGCTTTTAAAATTGGCTTAATTCCTGTGGGTTTAGAGAGCATTCTCAGCTTAATTCCAGTGGGTTTAGACAGCATTCTTGGTATAATTGTAATTTATAGAATTTATTGAAACTTGCCTTATGGCCTAGCTAAGGGTTTATTTTGGTAAATATTCTATGTACACTTTAAAAATAGTATACATTCTACAGGTAATGATTGCAAAATGAATTATTGAGATTAGATTTGATAAATGTGTTCAAATCTTCTCTATCCTTAGGAATTTTTTTTGTTCTTTAAGTTGCTGTGGGGAATGTTAAGACTGTCCACTATAATTTTGAGTATGTACTTTTCCCTCCAGATACTGCCAATATTTATTTAATTTTTTGTATTATGTTATTAATGGCATATACATTTCAAATTATTGTAATTTTCTCTGTTATTAGTATCAAATTTGGCTTTATTTCAGGTACAGCTTATTAACTGAAAGGTAAAGTATCAGTTAATAGGATTCTTTTAGCTAATTATTAACTATTTTATTTTTAATTGACAAATAATTGTACATATTTATGGGGTTTAGTGTGATGTTTTGATATATGTATAAATTATGTAATAATCAAGTCAAGGTATAGTATATGCATTATCTCAAACATTTATTATTTCTTTGTGTGAGGCCATTCCAAATCAGTTCCAGCTATTTTGAATTGTGCAATATATTAACCGTTTCACTCTACTGTGCAACAGCCACTGGAACTTATTCCATCTGTCTGTAACACAGTATTCTTTGACTACTCTCTCCCTTCTTCCCTTCCCCGCTGCCTTCCTCAGCCTCTAGTAGCCACTGTTCTAAACTCTAGGTCTATGAGATCAAGTTTTGTAGCTCCCTCATATAAGTGAAATCAGGTATTTAGCCTTCTGTGTCTAGCCTATTTCACTTAATTTCCTCTGGATTCTTCTATATATAAAAAATAACAGCATTTTGTTCTTTTTATGGCTGAATAGTATTTCGTTGTGCATAGATGCTGCACTTTTTAATCCATTCATCTGTTGATGGACACTTAAGATGATTCCAAATCTTGGCTATTGTGAATAATGCTGCAATGAAGATAGGAGTGCAGATATCTCTTCAACATACTAATTTCATTTCCTTTGGATACATGCCCAGTAGGGGGATTGCGTTTACCATAGGGGTTGTGCTAATTTACATTCCAACCAACAGTCTGTAAAAATTCTCTTTTCTCAACCTCCTTGCCATTATTTGTTATTTTTTTGTTTCTGATAATTGCCATTCTAGCTGGGGTGAGGTGCTGTGTATACATTGTGGTTTTTATTTTCATTTCCTGATGATTAGCAATGTTGAACAGTTTTTCATATACCAGTTGCCCATTTGCATACTTCATTTTGAGAAATGGCAACTCAGATCTTTCACTCATTTCTAAATCATGTTGTTTGTTTGATTTTGTTGTTGTTGTTATTGACTTGTTTGAGTTCTTTTATAGTTTCATAGTTTTGGGTCTCACATTTAAATCTTTAGCTTATTTTGAGTTTTTTTTAAGTGGTGAGAGACAAAGGTCCAGTTTCATACTTCTGTATCAGTTTTACTCAGCTCTATTTATTGAAGATACTGTCCTTTCCCCATTGTGTATTTCTGGTGCCTCTATGGAAAATCTGTTGGCCGTACATGTATAGATTTATTTTTGAATTCTCTATTCTATTACATTGGTCAGTGTGTCTGTTTTTTGGCCAGTAGCATGCTATTTAATTATTATAGCTTCATAGTATATTTTCAGCTTAGTGTGATGCCTCCAGATTTGTACTTTTTGCTAAAGATTGCTTTGGCTATTCCAGTTTTTCTAATTTCATATCAATTTCAGAATTTTTTTCCACTTCTATGAAGAATATCATTGGTATTTTGAAGGAGATTGCATTGCATCTGTAGATAGCTTTGGGAGTATGGGCATTTTAACAACATTAATTCTTCCAATCAATGAACATGGGATATCTTGCAATTTATTTGTGTCCTCTTCAATTTCTTCCATCAATATTTTATAATTTTCATTGCAGAGATATTTCACTTTCTTAATTAAATATATTTCTAGATATTTTGGTTTTGTAGCTATGGTAAATTGATTTTTTTAAATTTCTTTTTCCAATAGCTTGCCATTAGTGTATAGAAGTTCCGCTAATTTTTGTATGTTGATTTTCTATCCTGTGGCTTTACTGAATTTGTTCTAATTCTTTTCATGTGTTTGAAGTCTTTAGGGTTTTCCGTATACAAGATCATGCTATCTTATCATGATCTTATATATAGAAAACAACAAAGAAACAGGGACAGTTCAACTTCCTCCTAATCTGGATGCCCTTTAGTTCTGTTTTTTTTTTTTTTCCTAATTGTTCTGGCTAGGACTTCTAGTAATATTTTGAATAGAAGCGGTAAAAAGTGGTAGAACTGGGCATCCTTGCCTTGTTGCAGATTTTAGAGGAAAAGCTTTCAACTTTTCCCCATGTTAGCTGTGGGTTTATCATCGATGGTCTTTATTATGTTAAGTTATGCTCTTTCTATGACTAATTTGTTGAGAGTTTTTATCAAGAAGTGATGTTACATTATATCAAAAGCTTTTTCTGCATATATTGAAATAGTCATGTGGTTTTTGTTCTTGGTTCTGTTAATGTGATGTGTTAACGTTTATTGATTTGCCTATGCTGAACCATCCTTGCATCCTTGGGACAAAACTCACTTGATCATGGTAAATGATTTTTTTAATGTACTGTTGAATTTGATTTGCTATTATTTTGTTGAAGATTTTTACATCTATGTTTATCAGAGATATTGGCCTGTGGTTTTCTTTTTTGTGTGTCCTTGTTTAGTTTGGGTATCAGAGTAATGCTGACCTCAAAGAATGAATTCGGTAGAAATTCCTTCCCTTTCAATTTTGTAGAATGATTTGAGGAGAATTGATGTTAGTTCTTTAAAAGTCTGACGGAGATTCCTCAGGGATCTAGAACTAGAAATACTATTTGACCCAGCCATCCCATTACTGGGTATATACCCAAAGGATTATAAATCATGCTGCTATAAAGACACATGCACACGTATGTTTATTGCGGCACTATTCACAATAGCAAAGACTTGGAACCAACCCAAATGTCCAACAATGATAGACTGGATTAAGAAAATGTGTCACATATACACCATGGAATACTATGCAGCCATAAAAAATGATGAGTTCATGTCCTTTGTAGGGACATGGATGAAGCTGGAAACCATCATTCTCAGCAAACTATCACAAGAACAAAAAACCAAACACCACATGTTCTCACTCATAGGTGGGAATTGAACAATGAGAACACATGGATACAGGAAGGGGAACATCACACACTGGGTACTGTTGTGGGATGGGGGGAGGGGGAGGGATAGCATTAGGAGATATACCTAATGCTAAATGACTAGTTAATGGGTGCAGCACACCAACATGGCACATGTATACATATGTAACAAACCTGCATGTTGTGCACATGTACCCTAAAACTTAAAGTATAATAATAATAAAATTAAAAAAAGAAACATTATTTTATTTTTAAGATGATTTGCATAATTGTGTTAATATTTTAAAGATGATTTGCATAAATATCTGTTGCATAAATTTATTGATGAACAAAACATCAATAAATTAAATAATAAAGTTTTGTTTTTCTGTATGACATTAATGCAGGGTAACTACAGAAAACTTTACATTTCTTTTCTTTTTTTTTTTTAAGACAGGGTCTGGCTCCGTTGCCCAGGCTGGAGCGCAGTGGCTCAGTCTTGGCTTACTGCAACCTCTGCCTCCCAGGCTCAAGTGATACTTCCACCTAAAAAAACAACAACAACAAAAAAAAAAAAACAAAAAAAAGTTTGACAGGATTCAGGAGTGAAGCCATCAGGTTCTGGGCTTTTCTTTCGTAAAGAGACCTTCTCATTAAAAATTATTGGCCTGTTCAAGTTTTCTATTTCTTCATGATTCAATTGTGGTAGGTTGTATGTGTCCAGAAATTTATCTGTATCTTCTAGGTTTTCTAAATTATTAGCATATAGTTGTTTGTAATAGTCTTTTATAATCTTTTATATTTCTATGGTATGAATTGTAACATTTCTTTTTCATTTCTGGTTTTGTTTGAGTTCTCTTTCTCTCTCTAGCTAGTCTAGCTAAAGGCTTGTGGGTTTTTTTAAAAAAAACAACTCTTTATTTCATTGATCTCTTGTATTTTTATCTCTCTTTATTTCTGCTCTGATTTTATTACCTTTTCAAATAATTTGGGGTTTAGTTTGTTCTTGTTTTGTGTTTGTTGTGTAAAGTTGCTTATTTGAGATCTTTCTACCTTTTTTTGACAGTGTTTATAGATACAGAGGTCTCTGTTAGGACTCTTTTTGCTATATACCATAGGTTTTCTTACGTTATGTTCCCATTTTCATATGTCTTCAGAAAGTTTTTAAATTTTCTTTTTGATTTTTTCATTAACTTAGTTGTTCAGGAGCATGTGGTTTAATTTTAATTTATTTGTACAATTTCCAAAGTGCTTCCTGTTATTGATATTCATTATGGTCTGAAAACAAATAATTTCAATTTTTAAAAATTTTTAAGAATTTTTTTTTGGCCTAACATATGATTTATCCTGGAGAATATTCCATGTGGTGTTGAGAAAAATGAGTGTTCTGCAGCTGTTAGGAGAAACGTTCTATAAATTTCTGTTAGGTTCATTTTGTCTTGAGTGCAATTTTAACTGCTGCTTCTTTGTTGATTTTCTGTCTGATTTGTCCATTACTGAGATGATTTGCTGAAGTCCCCTACTATTATTGTATTGTAGTGTGTTGTGCCATTTAGAGTCTATTAATACTTACTTTATATCTTCAGGTTTTTCATTATTGGGTTCATGTGTATTTATATTTGTTATACACTCTTCCTCTATTATCATTATATAATGGCCTTCCCTTTGTCGTTTTACAGTGTTTGACTAGAAGACTATTTTATCTGATACAAGTATAGGTACTCCTGCTTATTTCTGGCTTCCATTTGCATGGAATATTTTTTCCATCTCTTCACTTTTAGTTTATGCATGTTATAGTTTTTAAATTTATTATTGTTATTATTTTTAATAAGTTTATCTTTTAATCTTCATACTTCATAGTATATATAAAAATAGTTTATGTGCTATTCCTGTACTACAGTATTCTGAATTCATCTATATTCTTATTTTCACCAGTGAGTTTTATACCTTCAGCTGTTTTTGTGTTACATATTAGCATTCTTTTCTTTTAGTTTGAAGAACATCCTTTATCATTTGTTGTAATACGACTCTGTTGGTGATGAATTCTCTCAACTTTGTGTCTGGGAGTTTTTATTTTTCCTTCATGTCTGAGGATGATTGTGCTGGTTATAATATTCTTGTTGGCTGTTTTTTGTTTGTTTATTTGTTTTTCTTCCTTGAACACATTGAAAAATATAATCCCTTTCTCTCCAGGACTGTGAAGTCCTTCTCTGCTGCAAAGTCTGCTGCCAAGTGTATTGGAACTCCCTTATATGTCATTTGCTTTTTTCCCCCTTGCTGCTTTCAGGATAATCTCTTTGTCTTTGATCTTTGAGGATTTGATTATAATGTATTTGGAAAAGTCTTATTTAAGCCCAATTGGTGGTCTTCAATCTTTCTGTAGCTGGATATTTATAACTTTCTCCAAGTTTGGAAAGTTTTACGCTATTATTTCCTTGAATAAGCTTTCTACCCTTTTATCATTCCTTACTCCCTCTGAAATGTTAATGGCATACATTTGCTCTTTTGATGCCACTGCATAGATCCCATATAATTTTTGTCATTCCTTTTCATTATTTTTTCCTCTTCTGACTGTGTGTTTTCAAATATTTTCTCTCTAAGCTTACTAATTCTTACTTCTCCTTGATCAATTCTACTGTTAAGTTTCTCTATTGCAGTTTTCACTTCCTTCCTTGTATTTTTTAGCTTCAGGATTTCTGTTTTATTTTAATAATTATTTTAATCTCTGTTAAATTTCTCTGATGAATTTCTAGATTGTTTTTCTATGTTCTATTGGTATTTGCTGAGTTTCCTTAAAAAAGACATTTTGAATTCTTGGTCTAAGACCTCACGCATCTCCATCTCTTCAGGGTCAATCACTGGCAATTTATTTCATCTATTTTGTGAGGTCATAGTTCCCTGATTGCTCTTCATTCTTATCAACATATGTTGATGTCTACACATTGAAGAAAGGAGTATTTATTTCAGTATTTACTGTCTGTATTTGTTTATGTAGATCTTTTTCTAGTGTCTCTGTCTAGAAATCTTGTGTAGATTGACTATTGTGTCACCTTAGTCTGAGATCAGATTGACTATTGTGTTGCCTTAGTCTGAGATCACTCTCTCCTTTTCAGTGCTAGATGATGCCTTAAGCTCAGGTTCACTGCTAATCTTGTGAGGGATTCAAGGTTGATGTGGCACCCAACTCAGATGGGCCTGCAGAAAACTAAAGGGGTACCCGGACTTTGTGGGAAAGCCAACAAGGGATTTATGTTCAAAGGACTTGTGGGCTATACTTCCTGTAGAGTGGTGCTGCTGAACAGCCTCTCTGAGTTGATGTCTCCTCTAGCTGTCATGAAGAGCAGGCTTTGAGATCCAAGGGGTGCCCACTTCTACTCCCATCTCTGCTCTTTGCCTCTAGCTGACCTCAAGTGTTCTAGCTTTGCAGGCGTTTGTAACGCTTCTGCCTGTGTGCTGAGCCAGAAACAAGTCTTCCAGGAGGATAGAGAAGCTGGAGGTCCATCTCCAACTCAATTTTTTCAGCGTAAAAATGGAATCCAAGGGAATTTTCTACATGTGGTGGCTTGCAAGCTTGGAGGAGGGGTATCTTGGTTAAGAAGAACAATTTACCTTACTGTCTGCTTGCTGTCTTTCCTCTGGTCTGCAGCCTAAGGAATTGTCACAACCTCAGTTTTGCATTCTGGTATATTCTGAATAATAATCTCCCACTGGATGGTTGTTAATTGGTTTTATGTGGGGGTGAGTGAAGCCAGATAGCTCTTACTCTGCCATTTTTCTGACTGATTAGTATTGCATAATGTATCCTTCTCCATTTTTTCAATTTTATTCTTTATGTGTCCTTATATTTAAGGTGTGTTTCTTGTAAACAACATATAGTTTTTTAAAAAAATTTACTTTAACAAGCTTTTTCTAATTAGAGAAAATAGTTTAGATTTAATATAATTACTAATATACATGTCTTTAAATTTAACTCTCACTATTCATTTTATTTTTGTTGCATATGCTTTTCTTTAATAGGGCAATTTTTATTTTTCAGTCTTACCATTCAATTACTTTTTCAGTCATATGATTTATTTTTATTATTTTTTATTATTTAATACTATAACATTTGTGCTTAATTTTTAAAGCTTTGTTTAAATTTATACTTGTTCATTTTCTTGGACAATGCAAGGCTCTTAAAACATTTTAACTCCATTTATCTCAGTTCCATATTTAGAATTATTGCTGTGCATTTTAATTCTTTGTATATTAAAGCTTATGATATCCTATTATGTTATATTATCAATGTTCATTTAGGTTTATCTACATAATTACCATTTTAAATACTCTTCATTCTGTCCTGCAGGCCTGTTCTTCTGTGTGAGGTCATTTGACCTAAATAACCTAAATAGTAAATTCCATTTAATATTTCCAATAGTACTGTTTAGATACTGAGTAAATTTGGATCTGCTATTTAGGTTCTTTAAGACTACAAAATAGGGGTCAACTAGTACCTAATTTATGAATTTTGGTGGTCTGAATGAGATAATGCACATATAGTACTTAGGCAATTACCAGACACATAGTAACCATTCAATAAATGGTAACTAAAAGTATAATCAATGTCATTTTTACTGTTTTTATTATTTTAGGTTAATTATATGCTTTTGCTTGTGTATTACCTTCTATTCAAGCTAAAAAAAAACCTAGATAATATGCCCATTTAACATTGTACTGCTCGCTAATTTCATTCACATTTTTATCCCAAACACTAAATCAATTTAAGTTATATTTTGAGACTATTTAATAAGAAAACACATTAGCTTATGTTACATTTCTCTTTCCAAATAATTATGGAAGAGAAAAATCAAACAGAAAAATCAAAAGGTTAAGTTGAAACATGGGCATTCTTTGCATAATCAACAAGGTGGTTGCAAATTTGTTGGAAAATATTTCACTCTGTGGTCCATAGGTTTATGTACTCAAAACAAGATAATACCATATAACAAATACATCTAGGGTAGAGAAAAATTATTTGATATTTCAGGTCACTATTAGCAGTTTAGGTTACTGCATGGTTGATTGGAAAATGTGATTATCATTTAGAATGTCAAAACAACTGTTAATTTGATGTCAAATGTGGGTGTAAAATATTAATTATTATTATTTACAATCTAAAGTGAAACACTTAGTTACTTCAGTTTACTTCAATTAACCTTTAAAGAGCTAAATGTTATAGGTGTGAGGACCAATTATTGTTTTGTTTTGACAGCTTGAATTTGGCTACATATTTGGGTACCAAGGCTAAATAATTGTTTATATTAGGTTTCCAATTTAATAGACTGATACATATTTTTAGAAAAATAGTAATTATGGGCTGGGTGCAGTGGCTTACGCCTGTAATCACAGCACTTTGGGAAGCCGAGGCAGGCGAATCACGAGGTCAGGAGATCGAGACCATCCTGGCTAACATGGTGAAACCCCGTCTCTACTAAAAAATACAAAAAATTAGCCAGGCATGGTGGGGGCTGCTTGTAGTCCCAGCTACTCAGGAGGCTGAGGCAGGAGAATGGCGTGAACCCGGGAGGCAGAGCTTGCAGTGAGCTGAGATAGCGCCACTGCACTCCAGCCTGGGCGACAGAGCAAGACTCCATCTCAAAAAAAAAAAGAAAAAGAAAAATAGTAATTATGCATCCAATATGTGCCAGGCACTCCATTAATTCCTTGGAGGTATAAGGATAAGATATGGCTCTTGTTCTCAAATATCTCACAGTCTAGCAGTTGTGCTGGACATTTCATTTTAGACATGTAAGTGTAAATTTTAGTGATTATTTACAATCCTCCTTCAAAAAGTATTCATATCTTAATGTATAAAAATAACAGCGGGTTATTTAGCTAAAGATGTAATAATCAAAATTCAAATTGAGGATGGGCCTGATACTACTACTTAGGCATAGAAGTTTAGGTAGTAATACCTTAAAGCCAAAACAAATGCATCAAACTACAAATTTCCCTTTTAGGTATTTAGGAACCTTATAGTGGCAGTGAAACAAAGCAGGATATGTCCATGTGAGATGGATATATCTACCATTATTGGAGCCAAAAGAACACAGACAGAGGCACATTGACATTGTTAACATTTTCATACTTAACAGCACTTTTGCAAAACCTTATAATTATCACATTATGGTATAATTTTATATATCTCTATTATCTATCTATCTATCTATCTATCATCTATCTATCATCTATCAATCTATCTTTGTCTTTGGTTCCTGGTACAAAGCTTAGAATCTCTTGGAATTTCCTGAGTAACAGAAACATCTTTCATTATTCATAACAAACTCCTCTCAACCATACCTGAGTTTATGCTGATCGGAGGGTCCTAGATAGCTTGAAAATGGGGACTGGTTGCCAGAGAAACCAATCATATGATTACAAGGTTGGAATTTTCAGACCCTACCCCACTCTACCTGCGGAAGGGAGAGGAGCTAGAGATTGAGTTCAATCACATGGTCAGTGATTTATCAATCATGCCTAAGTCATGAAATCTTGATTAAAATCTCAGTGAGGCTTGGGGGCTTTCTGATTGGTGCACATTTTGATGTACCATATGCTGGCTCTACTGGGACAGAAGCTCTTGCATTCCTCTCAAAATCTTGCCCTATATGTCTCCTTCCTATATTGTATCCTTTATAATAAAACTACAATTGTAAGTGTATCAGTTTCTTGAGTTCTGTGAATCATCCCAGCAAATTATCAAATCTGGCGGAGAGGGTGGGGGTTGTGGGAAGCCCCCAAATTGTAGTCAGCTGGGTAGGAAGTGCAAGTGGCTTGGGGTCACCCAGGACTTGTGGCTGGCGTCTGAAATGGGGGTGATTTTGTGAGACAGAGCCCCTTCACCTGCATGGTCTGTGCTAAATTTGCATAGTGTCAGAATTAAATTGAATCATATGACACCCAGAAGATTGGTGTAAATTAATTGATGTTGGAGTATACACATTAAAAAAATTATTTAGGGGGCCAATTATGGTGGCTCATGCCTGCAATGCTAGCACATTGGGAGGCCAAGGTGGGAGGATCCCTTGAGCCCAGGAGTTTGAGACCAGATTTAACAACCTAGTGAGACCCTGTCTCTATAAAAAGAAATTTAAAAATTAGCCAGACATGGTTGCTTGTGTCTTTAGTACCTGCTACATGGGAGACTAAGATGGGAGAATCACTTGAGCCCAGGAGTTCAAGGCTACAGTGAGCTATGATCATACCATTGCCCTACAGCCTGGGGGAGAGAGTGAGATTCTATCTCAAAAAATAAAAATAAAACCATATTGAAGGTCAGCTTATGTAAAAAGAGTAAGCTATTTATATTACTTTAAAGAAAAAACATTAAGTCCATTACAATGCAAGAAGAACTCAGCAGAGGTCATGGGTGTTATGACAGTGACTCAATGAGGAATTTCTAATTGAGAAAGTTGAGGTAGATATGACACCAAAACACCCGTAAGGCAGAGGCAGCGGAGCACTATGCTCTGGCTGGAAGCTGACATTTTACAATTCAACTCCAAATTTCTTGAAAGTCTTGGTTTAATTTTAAAAGTTTATGCAGATATTTCTTTTACCAACTCTTTATGTGCAATGTGTGCTTTAATATAAAATAAAATTTCTCCCAAATGTTCAAGTAATATGGACCCTGGAGGTTGATGTTCCTTGTTTATTCCATGGCTTTTGTTACCCCTTGTCGCTTTTTACCATCTAACTCCATGATTGTCTTCTTTGCACCCCAACCCAGTCCCTAGGCTCATGGGAAGCATAGATGGAGGGGGGAACACCAGGCTACAGAAAGTGGTTCTGAAATTTCAATGTGGGCAAGACTTACCCTAAGCAACACTTTTTAAAAATGCAAATTTCTGGGCCGGGTGCGGTGGCTCAAGCTTGTAATCCCAGCACTTTGGGAGGCCCAGGCGAGTGGACCACAAGGTCAGGAGTTTGAGACCAGCCTGGCCAACACCGTGAAACCCCATCTCTGCTAAAAATACAGAAATTAGCTGGGCATGGTGGTGGGCACCTGTAATCCCAGCTACTCAGGAGGCTGAGGTAGGAGAATCACCTGAACCTGGGAGGTGGAGGTTGCAGTGAGCTGAGATAGCACCACTGCACTCCAGCCTGGGCAACAGAGCGAGACTCCATCTCAAAAAAAAAAAAAATGCACATTTCTGGATGCTATCCTCAAAATTCTTATAAACGTTTCTGCATTTTATAGTGATAGTGGACCCCGGGAATTTGTATTTGTATTTTATTAAGTTCTCAAAGCATGTCTGATATAAATAAACTGTGGACTGGACTTTGAGCAAAGCTGTCCTAGCTTTTGGTGTCAGTGTTCAAAAGTGCATGACCCAAGTCAAGCAATTGACCTCCCTGTTCCTCCCTTTCCTTATTGTACAGTGAGAGAGTTGGTTAAGTATACTTGTTCATTTCTTCCAGCCCCTAAAAGTTGTAATATTCCTTGATCTGCCATATCTGATGGCAAATAAATCACAAGAAATAGAAAATAAAAAGTCACATCCTCTGTTCTCTGATCATGGGACTCAATCAAGGAAAGATAACCCTGCTTTATTCATAAATAATACTCAAACCTTCTTAATAAAATCCTTTTCCTTTTTAAAAACTGTACTTGTTCATATCAATGCATTGAATTTTCTACTTTTCTGGCTATGAGTCATTTAAACTAAATCTAAGATACTGCAAGAGTGTAGCAGGATAATTGGTCTCATGTATTTCATTATTGTGACTATCAAGGCTGTACCCTGAAATTTTCATCAGCATACCAAGAAATGCCTTAAGGAAATATAATTTATTTATTCGTTAGCTGAGAAACCTATGAAAATGTTTTATACTAATTACATTTTAAAAATTCTCATTACAGCATTTATATTATTTTCAAGGAGTTGTTTTATTCTTCTCCCCAACAAACAAACCTATATACCATTACACCTAGGATAATCACAAAGACACAGATATTTTTGCATTAAAATCTAAAACTTTGGCCAGAGCAAGGGGAGCATATGAGGAACAGATGGGAGCTGGTGGCATAGCAGCCACAGGATGAGGCATTCAAATTCCAAAATTTACTTGTTATTTTTTACTATTAAATGCAGTTGTTAATAATAGTATACAAAGTGTAGGAAAAAAAAAGAAAAGAGAAAATCTAGATGCAATTAATATCTAGCAGTAGTAGTCTGTGAAGACAAAAATCAGTGCTGTGCAAATGGATCAATATCCCTAATCTCCCATGTTTCCAGCACATTCAGATCTGGAGCTGAATCATCCCTCACTTCTTTTGCCCCAACAAGACTTCTAAGAGATATGAAGAAGAAAGAAACCACGTTGGAGACAAACCTACTGGGAGAAGCAGGGTAGAGAGGAGTAGAAATAGATGTCATAATGACCAGGAAATTTTGAAAAGCCTATGCTTCAAGGAACACCGTATCACTCCAGAGGAGCAGGAAGGAGAGTTCTTCCCTCTGTGCACACACATTCAAGGAGTCCACTTGGTCCTCAGAAAGAAATAGCAGGCTGCAGGAGTGATGAGCTTCTGCCAGTCCCTGCCTGCATCTTGCGGTGACACTCACCATCTTAAATTTCTTGCCTTCCTTCCACTGCCATCCACAAAGGATTGAGGGAGTAAGATGACATCCTCCCTTTTATTTAAAGAAAAGTGTCAATGACTAAGTAATGATAACTCCAACATCTAGAGATTTCACAGAAGAAAAGAAGCCCTCAAATTCAGAAATAGGAAAGAGCCAGATGAAGACCAGGAGAGGAAACATTTTGAGAAAGGAATGGGAGACAAGTTTTTGTGCCATGAAGATGTAAAGTAAATTGTTGGTCACTGACCTTTAGAAGGAAAAACAAGCTCGTGGTGGCTGACCTGATATTTTAAGAAAATGTGCCTGCTGCAAAGAAATGCCAGGTCAACAGAGTGGCCATGCCTGTTTAGTGTAGAAAGTGTACACCTATTTTATCTGTTATTAGCCAAATTTATCTCTGGTCCTGGGTTGATGAGTCAGAAAAACTGATAGTTGCAGTTTTTAAATTAAAGAACAATTACTATTAGGAAGTGTTGTCTGCCAATTCAGTGATTGAAGAGTTTCACAGGAGGAAGGGGCACTTCAAAGGCATTTCGTTGGGTTCATACCCTCGCTGCACCCACCTCATTACAGCAGGGATGACTTCCTTTCCTAGATTCCCTTTCCCACACTTGCATATACCAAGATTTCTTATGCCATTCTATATGGGATGTGGAGTTATCCTTAATAATATGAATAATAAGATGCTATAGTATTGATTACCTTGGCAGGAAGAAGATGGCACACTCAAAAGGGATTATGGCAGGAGATTTAAAGAAGGGGCTGTTTATAAAGACATGGGCAGTGTTTTTTTGTTGTGTCTCTGCCAGGTTTTGGTATCAGTATAATGCTGGCCTCATAAAATGAGTTGGGGAGGATTCCCTCTTTTTCTATTGATTGAAATAGTTTCAGAAAGAATGGTACCAGCCCCTCCTTGTACCTCTGGTAGAATTTGGCTGTGAATCCATCTGGTCCTGGACTTTTTTTGGTTAGTAAGCTATTAATTATTGCCTCAATTTCAGAGCCCGTTATTGGTCTATTCAGAGATTCAACTTCTTCCTCGTTTAGTCTTGGGAGGTTGTATGTGTCGAGGAATTTATCCATTTCTTCTAGATTTTCTAGTTGATTTGCATAGAGGTGATTATAGTATTCTCTGATGGTAGTTTGTATTTCTGTGGGATCGGTGGTGATAACCCCTTTATCATTTTTTATTGCATCTATTTGATTCTTCCCTCTTTTCTTCTTTATTAGTCTTGCTAGCAGTCTATCAATTGTGTTGATCTTTTCAAAAAACCAGCTCCTGGATTCATTAATTTTTTGAAGGGTTTTTTGTGTCTCCATTTCCTTCAGTTCTGCTCTGATCTTAGTTATTTCTTGCCTTCTGCTAGCTTTTGAATGTGTTTGCTCTTGCTTCTCTAGTTCTTTTAATTGTGATGTTAGGGTGTCAATTTTAGATCTTTCCTGCTTTCTCTTGTGGGCATTTAGTGCTATAAATTTCCCTCTACACACTGCTTTGAATGTGTCCCAGAGATTCTGGTATGTTGTGTCTTTGTTCTTGTTGGTTTCAAAGAACATCTTTATTTCTGCCTTCATTTCGTTATGTACCCAGTAGTCATTCAGGAGCGGGTTGTTCAGTTTCCATGTAGTTGAGCGGTTTTGAGTGAGTTTCTTAATCCTGAGTTCTAGTTTGATTGTGGTCTGAGAGAATGGGAGAAAATTTTTGCAATCTACTCATCTGACAAAGGGCTAATATCCAGAATCTACAATAAACTCAAACAAATTTACAAGAAAGAAACAAACAACCCCATCGAAAAGTGGGCGAAGGATATGAACAGACACTTCTCAAAAGAAGACATTTATGCAGCCAAAAGACACATGAAAAAATGCTCATCATCACTGGCCATCAGAGCAATGCAAATCAAAACCACAATGAGATACCATCTCACACCAGTTAGAATGGCAAACATTAGATAGTCAGGAAACAACAGGTGCTGGAGAGGATGTGGAGAAACAGGAACACTTTTACACTGTTGGTGGGACTGTAAACTAGTTCAACCATTGTGGAAGTCAGTGTGGCGATTCCTCAGGGATCTAGAACTAGAAATACCATTTGACCCAGCCATCCCATTACTGGGTATATACCCAAAAGATTATAAAACATGCTGCTATAAAGATACATGTACATGTATGTTTATTGTGGCACTATTCACAATAGCAAAGACTTGGAACCAACCCAAATGTCCAACAATGATAGACTGGATTAAGAAAATGTGGCACATATACACCATGGAATACTATACAGCCATAAGAAAGGATGAGTTCATGTCCTTTGTAGGGACATGGATGAAGCTGGAAACCATCATTCTCAGCAAACTATGGCAAGGACAAAAAACCAAACACCGCATGTTCTCACTCATAGGTGGGAACTGAAGAATGAGAACACATGGACACAGGAAAGGGAACATCACACACTGGGGCCTCTTGTGGGGTTGGGGGAGGGAGGAGGGATAGCATTAGGAGATATACCTAATGTTAAATGAAGAGTTAATGGGTGCAGCACACCAACATGGTACATGTATACATATGTAACAAACCTGCATGTTGTGCACATGTACCCTAAAACTTAAAGTACAATAAAAATAAATAAATAAATAAATAAATAAATAATAAAAATAAATAAATAAATAAAAGACATAGGTACTGTTAAGGGAAAGGCATATGGGGTGCCAAACTGCACCATCAGCCAAAAACAGGGCAGGGTGTGTCATCACCACCTCTTGGCCTGAGGGGCAAGGAGACAGAACAGCTACCAACACCTGAAGAAAGCTTAACTGTAGGAGAGGGCTGCCTGGCAGAAACAGCAGAGAAAAGCAATGGTTGTTAGCTCAGGCCCACTGTGGAGGGAGCTGGAAGTAAATACCCAGATCTCTCCTGCTCACTGCTGTCAGGAATCCTGCAGGCTCCTCTCTGCTTCCTACTGCACCCTCCATGAATCCCAGTAGTCAGACTCCAAAGGTACAGAACAGGGTGAGAAGGGCAGAGAGTAGGTCTGGAAGGCAAATAAAAGGAGGACACCCTGCATGGCTGGACAGTATATAAAACCTGACCTTCCAAAAGGAAAAGAAGATGAAGCTTTTTCCTTGTAGAGATCTGGTATAGACCTGGCATCTCCCTGATGCTTATCCACCTGTGCTCTAGATTGGCTGACTGTGCATTCTTCTTCACTGCCTATTCATGGCTCCCTTGCAGCTGTGAAAGAAGGAGAGAGCAATAAGTTCCAGCTCAGGGAACATAGGCAGAAATCTACTGTGGAAATTCTGAAAAAATTTTGTTTTCCTGATCAAACCTACAGAGAAGTTAGTGATGTCTTTCCACTTATTCTTGCTTATCACAGGTATATGATGTCAACAGTAGGGAAACCAGCTTGCAAAAAAGGTAACAAGAATGAGGGATGCTGGTCCTGATATTGTCAAGCCATTGATCTGATGCCAACCTTGTCTACATCCAGATATTTTAAACGTGGAGAAAAAAAAACCCTAACTCTGATTGGCTTCTAAGTCTTGGTAAATTGGGGACTTGGTGCTTGATCAGACGTGGACTAGAGTGAAGTTTGTGTGATTCTTACACTGCTGTCAGGAGCAGTGGGGTGAAAGATGCCATTTACTGATGTAACAAGGAAGTTGTTCCTTGTTCCTTGAAGAAACAAGGAAGATGAAGCAGATTTAGGGACGAAAGTCCAACATTAAGATTCATTAGGTAAAACTAGTGCATTTGTGTGTCATCTATGAGGAAATACAGAATGGTAAGTCGCATTTTTGTGTCTAATACAAATTAGGAATACAAATTTAGAAATGTGTTATATGATGATAATTCAAGCCCTAAGAGTCAGGTGAGATCTTCTATTTTACGGAGTGTCAATGACCCAGTTATGTCAACTCCAACATTTAGAGATTTCACAGAAGACAAGCCCCCAAAGGTAGAGGTGGCAAAACAAACCAACAAACAAACCAACAAAAAATAGGTGGAGGCCAAGAGAGGAAACATTTTGAGAAAGGAATGGGCAACAGGTTTTGATGGGCAACAGGTTATGGAGCTGTAAAGTAAGACATTGATGTTCACTGATCTTTAGATGAAAAAACTAGTTGATGGTGGCTGACCTGACAGTTCCAGGAAGAGTGTCTATTATAGAGAAAATACCATACCCAGCATAGCTCTTCTCTGTGGGAAATGTGCCCCAACATTATTTGTTACTGGCACAATTTAGATATTAACTAAGAATAAAGACAAGGATATTAATGAAGAATAAAGATAAGGAATTTTTTTTGCTCCTTGTTCCATCTGCCAATGTTCTTCTTATTATTCTTGTTTTTACAGTCTTCTGGGACATCTGGTCATGAAGAAGTTATGAAAAAGAAAGAAAGAGAAAACGTGTAAGGAAAAGAAAAAGAAATGAGGAAATCAATGTCGATTTCTTATTACCAGAATGTTATGACTGAGTTAAAAGCATGGCTTTAAACGTTGAGATAGAAATTACAACTTTTAATTGAAACTCAAATGCTTTCTCTATTCTTTGCCATTAGAAGGACTGACCAAGAACTAGAAAACATGGTGAAAGTGGGTGAGGAATGAAGGCTCTGACAGATGATCATTAAGATGATTGAAGCTCATAGACAAAGAGTTGAAGGTACATCTGCCTGCCACTTATTAAAGAGTAATTTTAGGCAAGTTACTTAATTCTTCTGAGCCTTGAAGGCTCATTTGTAAGATGGGGACAAGAATGACTGCCTTGAAGATGACTTGTGAAAATAAACTGCAAACTGAGGGCCTTGAACTCATTCCCAAGACTCTCCCCAAACTTCCCTCCTCGAGTCTAGGGCCTTCAGTACGGGGTCTTCTGTCACTTCATCATTCTTTACCCCTTGATTTCCCAGTCTACTGGTGTTCAGATATTCCTCAGGATGAGACCCTCATTGTTTTGAATTTGGCTGTGTTTCACATCACTTTCATGGCAAGTAAGATCTTGATTTCCTGGGATGGCCTGTGTGAAATAAAATTTGGAAATATAAAAAAAAAATCCTATAAGGGAAGAATATACTTCTGGCATAAAGCCATCTTAACCTGTGATGCGTTAGGATTTAGTGCGTTCAGCATCTTCTGCTGACACATCAGTTCTAACATTCATTGTCAGCTGCTGCTTTTGTCAGCACGACATAAAAGTCAGAAGTGATATTATTCTGTTGTTTATTTAGTGCTATTTCAAGCCACACTTAGGTTTAGTTATGGTTATATTTAACCTTATTCTAAGTAAACCTTTTAAAGTATAACAAGAAAGAATCCTTTTGCTCAGTCAGATGAATTTATTTTATTTATTTATTTATTTATTTATTTATTTTGAGACAGTGTCTCATTCTGACACCCAGGCTGGAGTGCAGTGGCGCGATCTCAGCTCACTTCAACCTCTGCTTCCCAGGCTCAAGCGGTTCTCCTACCTCAGCCTCCCGAGTAGCTGGGATTACAGGCGCATGCCACTACCGCCTGGCTAATTTTTGTATTTCTAGTAGAGATGGGATTTCACCACATTGGCCAGGCTGGTCTTGAACTCCTGACCTCAAATGATCCACCCCCTCAGCCTCCCAAAGTGCTGGGATTACAGGTGTGAGCCACCGTGCCTGGCCAGTGAGATGAATTTTTATGACTGCTGGATGCTTCAGGTTTGTTTGAAGCTTCAGTAGGAAGACAGTGTGCTTGGTAACACTAACCCCAGGTTCGCATTTTGAAACATAGCTCCCATTTTTCTTAGGTCTTCGACGGTAGCATCATCTTGAAGCAATTAGATGAAACTTTCTTATTTTCATTAGAAGAAACACTTAAAGTCACATGCATTTTAATGAAGTTATCAAGAGCATTATCTCTATAATGCAGAAGCAAGAAACACCGTTTATTTGACATACATAATTTTTTACTGTCTATATATTTATAGCCCTGGTTTAAATATAATGATGACACAGAAAATAATCAGTAGATTCTCTCTTTATGTGTTTATATTCTTTAGAATAGATAAGACAAACAAATGATTTTACACCAGCAGTATAGCAAATAACGTATAATCTGCGAAGGGAAATTAGAGAAAGAAAAGGTCATTTCTAGTGGGAAAGATTGCAGCTACAAGACGAAATCTAGGTTCATTAGAATCTAAACTACATTGCAGTCTTCATCACTCGTTTGCCTATTTCCCTGTGTACTGGTGTTTAGGTATTCCTCTAATATCTATTCCCAAATAACCATATACTTTTGTGTCTCTGAGTTCTTGCTCATTCTGCTTCCCTTCCCCGAAATGCCCTTATCCACCTGGTAAAGGCTATCCATTCTTTAAAGGCCAATTATTTTGTTGCCTCCCCTGTGATGGTTTCACTAACACCTCCCTTAATCATTCTGACCTATGGATTCCCAGGACACCTCATCAATAACTGTTAAAGCACTTATATTTCATGATGATTCACTTTGCATGATGGATGATAGAGTTATCATTTTAATGTGTGGATCTCCTCCCCCTACAATGAGACCTCTAATAAGGAAAAGATCTTGACCTATTTATCATTGTATCCCCAACAACCAACAAAATTCCTGCAGTATAATAAATGTCCATAGTAAATGTTTGTGGAATAAGATAGCATTTATATTAGGCTTTGACAGATAGTATATTGGCCAGATACATGTATATCAAATAATCAGGCTAGTCTCTGTCTACTTAGATCAGGAGTTTGTGTCTTCAGAATGCATTCAAAGTACATAGATACTTCTTCCTCCGTTTATCTAAGAATTGAGGGATGGTGTAGTAAAAAGAGACAGATAATATAAGCTGTAGGACTAAAATTTAGAAAATCTCTCCACCTCTCCTGGTTTAATTTCTCTCTTTCTTTCTTTTTTTTTTTTTTTTTTTACTTGAAGAGAGAAGGGACTGAAGACGGGGGACTTCACAGTATTTTTCTTAATCTCTGGAAGGGTACTATTCCAGAGTTTGAACTTGCCTCTGTGTGTGCACAGGCCTGTACCCTTATGTGTGATTGAGTTTGCTGTGCAGAAAGGTGAAACCAAATGGGGCTGGATAAAAGAAAGACAAATCAATGAGTGGCATCAAGGGGTGGGATACAAATTTCATGGGTATTTTTATAGTGGACTTTCTGTCTCCTGCACTTCAGGAAATCATACAGGGTAATAAAGTAGTAATAATCAACTGCCAATTTACGTTGTAATAATGAAATGTGCAGGGAATGGAAAATGAGCGATAGGTCTCCACCGAGGACATTTATCAATGTTGTGAAATTGTACATTTCAAAAGCTATAATACCTTTCTTGAATTTAGATTGTCAGAAGGCTGAAAAATCTTTTATTTTTGCATATTTTCTAGATGAAATAAGTCCTGAGTATTTATTTTACCCCAAGATGTAAAGGAAGAAGTCCTCAGTTGTTCTTTACGGGAATCCTAGAAGCCCTGAGATGGACAGCGTAACCTCGGAGCTGGTAGAATTGTTGTACAATTAGTCAAGTGATACAGGAAAAGATCTAGCCTCTTGGGATAAGAATAGGATCACTATAAAAGAAACAGAAACCTAGACAACTGCAGCTTCAGCTGGTAGAGATAGCTCCCTAATGATGCTTAAGAGACGTATGTCTCTTTGACAGATTCCATTGGGAAGAAAGGGTCTGCCTGTTAGCGTGTTCAAGAAGCACAGACCGGCATTGTATGTGAGACTCAGAGCTTGACATTGGAGACAGATTCCCCTCTGAAGAACCATTAATAAAGGCCTATGGCAAGGTTTAGAAGTTGTAAAGGGGGAGAGAAAAGAATACAGGTGCTGGAAGACTTTTGTGCATTCTAATAGTAAGATGACAATTACCAATTGTTAGAAAAGAAGTCCAAAGAAATTGGGGCCAAAGTTTAAGTGCTATAAGAAATAGAATACATTAAAGACTATATATGTTTCATAGATTCAAGATAGAAATTCAGATAACACAGTATTGTGCTATATGATATGATTTATTCATATGCATTCTCATTTTTAATAGGGTAAAAATAACTTTCTAATGGAATTGCAGGGGAAAGATTTAAGCATAAAACTACTTAAGTGGTGTCTGCTGTCATGTCACTGTTAGTCAGATATCAGGAAGCGGTGGAAATTTCTACAAAAGTGTTACTTTTTAGGTGGGGTTAACAGCTTCCACCACAAAACTCTACTATTGGGTAAATTTAAAAAAACATAATGAATGAATACATTATCTGAGAATAGGGGAAACAAAAGTAGCATAATCCTTTGACAACCTGTTCTTTTGCTTTTCCCAGCTTGGGTCCTCATTGCTCATATTTACTTTGTAAATATGGTCCTAAAAGCTCCTCGGCCTGCTGTCTTCACCTACCACATGGTGACCCTAATCATCATACCTGACTTTATCACTAATTCATTCTCACCAGAGCCCTTGGAGGAAGGTAGGGAAGGGATGATTATCCCATTTGGAGCCCTAGAGAGATTCAAGCCAGGGTCACAAAGAATGCAAGAACTAAGGCCAGAACTCAGATTTTCTGACTCATATATTTTTTCTGTCCTCTTTGCTGCCTGCTGTGCTTGAGTTATACACCCCCAAACATAACTGATTATGCCGCTGTTCTGATTAAACACCTTCAACGATTCCCTCCTTCATTTTGCATCACATCAGCCCTCCTGAGTTTGTTACATAAAAGCCGTCTGCACAGTGGCTCTGTCTTGGGAGTCTCACTGTGCTGCCCAGGCTGGAGTGCCGTGGCATGACCTCTGCTCACTACAATTCCACCTCCCAGGTTCAAGCAGTTCTCCCACCTTGGCCTCGCAAGTAGCTGGGATTACAGTCATATGCCACCCCGCCCGGCTAATTTTTGTATTTTTAGGACAGACAGGGTCTCACCATGTTGGCCAGGCTGATCTCGAACTCCTGACCTCAAATAATCCAGCCACCTCAATCTCTCAAAGTGCTGGGATTACAGGCGTGAGCCACCATGCCATGGCTGTGTCTTTGCCATCATTTTCCCTTATGCGCTTCCCATTGGAGAAGCCACGCCTACCCTGGACATCTCTGTTCCTGCGCTCTTGTATACATTCTTCCCTCTTTCTGAAACACTCCTCTCTCTTTCACGTCTCTTCCTCATATCCTGAAGCAAGACTCTTACTATTCCTATTGCTTCTATTGCACTTTGCAATAGCTTTTGTTTTAGCATTGGCCAGGGTCTCTCTTGAAATTAGAAGTATTTGTTTACATGCCTGTATACTTCACCAGACTGTGAGTCCTTGGAGCACAGATTCTCTTGTTTATTTTCTCAGCTTTGTGTCTCCATAGTTACTATAAATTGTGCCTTGCAGATAGATGCTCACTAAATATCTCTTGAAATCTAACATCTGTTGAACCGTTGTCAGTATTAATAGTTAACTTTCAGTCATACATACCTTTTCCATGCAATTAAATTACAAACTCTTTGAATACTATTCTTCTACATTGTAGGAAAATACTTGAAAGTATTATGATTGAAATTTTGGGTGATATGATGAGAAGTAATATATATAAAGGATGGCTTTTTTAAAGTTTTGCACCAAAACTTTGTATATGTAACTTATATAATGACAATTATTAAGTTGTTTCTACTACTACTGGGTTAGGTAATACAGAGAACAATTTATTTTACTTATCTTCATTATCAAATTCCAAAAGATAATAAATGTTTTAAGAAGAGAGTAACAAATATTTTACTTGAAAATGACATTCGGATTTTACCAAGATTCTTGTATATTTTGGAAAACGGCATCTGGAATTTACTAAGAGAATATAAGCTTCTTCATGCTACCAATGTGTAGGATATTGCAACTTTTAGAGGGAATATTCTGTAAAGCCTGCACATATTAATCACAGACATATTTTGAGGGCTTATGCATTAGTCACAGTCTTCTAAAGCTTACCACGTGTTACTTAATTATGTGACAACTTTTACATTTATTATTACCTTCCCCATGATTTTACAGATGAGGAAACTAAGACAGTGTTTATGTAACTTGCTCGAAGTCACACAGCCTCTAAATGGCAGAGGTGGGCTTTCAGTCCAGCCAGGCTGACTCCTGGTGCTGCACACTGGTTCACTAGTTGATATTATGGGAGGGAAGATGTGTGTGTAGGCAAGGCCAACCTTCCATAGAGGTCATTTCTGTCCCATATCAGCAACTTTGGGGTGGTGCCAGGCAGCAAGGAGGCCATGAAGTACACCTCGTGGAACTTGCTCCTACTTCTACACGTTCTGTGGAATCATTGCTGGGAAGCCAAGCAGTTCCTAGAGAACACATGAATTTAGTAGGAAAGTGATTCAATCTTCAAATGAAGTCCTGAGTTGACTAAAGTTGATTCAGCTTAACAAGGTGTCAAGGTGTCAACCAGGATATTAATCACACTTTGTCCCTCCAGCCATGACTGACACTTCTTGGGAAGCTGGGACCTGAAGGCCCGGGGAGGTGTGCTCCTGCTCCTGAGGGCTGCTCTGCTGGGTTTTCAGAGCACTCCCTCTTCTCACTGATTCCTTGCATTTGTCCCTAGTCTATAACACTTTCTGCTCTATTTAGCCCCAAACCACGTGCTGGCTACAGTCAAAATAGTGTCCAGGAACATACAGCCTTAAGGTGAAATTATACTGCTTCCATTTCAAATCTAGTCAGCTAATGTTGAATAATCGCAGCTCATGTCGTTTTTGTTGTTCTCAATTTTTAAGGTTGATCTTGGTTTTCCATATGATTTTATTACATATAATGCTATATAATATAAATATATATATAATATGAAAAACTATATGGTGTATGTATAATACAGCTGACTTGTTATAATAGTGTATTTATACATGATTGATATAAAGGCTGAATGATAGATATCAGATAAACAAATTGCCTTACCTGATTATTCACATCCAATACACCACAGCTAGAATCTCAGCTCTGCCATTTACTAGCTATTAACTATTTAAAGCACTTGAAATTCTTTAAATCTAAAATGAAGTTAATGCACCTATGTCATAAGATTATTGCATCTATAATTTAGAATTTTATTTTTTCCTGAGTTTCCTGGCTCTAAGAAAATTTGATTTAAGGAAATCCAGTATCTCTCATCTTGAAATCAAAAGCCTTACTAGGGAAAGGCACAGATGTCAACAGAAGCGGCAACCATTCACCAGCAATTCTCCCATGACTTCTATGACAAATTTCCTATAGTTGATCTGGAATCTACGTGACAGATTGTTGGTGCCAAAGGCTAGCAAACTCCATCTATGTGAAGTATGGTCCTTTTGAAAAACAAGTGAATCCAATTAAAGAAAAAAACAAGAAACAAACCCAGAAGGAGGAAAACAAGGGGTTTTGATTCTTCGTGTTTACTGTGTTAACCCAATTGTAATGCAAGAATCAGAAACTCTAGGTCTAGATAGGATAGTAAAAAGACACACATGTAAATAAGTCTCAAAGTTTTGCTCCTTTATTGACCTCCATGCCCAATTATATCCCTTCCCTAAAGTCAATGGATTCTTCTGTTTGTTTTTTTTTTTTTTCTTAGCCCTTGGAAACACAATCCAAAACAACAGGACCATAATTATAATATATTTCCATTTCAGACTTTTGTACATGTAATTATGTTTGTGTTAAATTAGATTAAATGTGAAACCACCAATCTGCTTCTTCCTTTGTAACCTTTTGCATACAAAGTTTATCATCCTGACAAATAAAAGGTCCCTTCAACCTTGACACCTAAGAGGAAGAGCAAGTTGCATTTTTCCAAATTAGAAAACAGCCATCAATCATGTCATTTAAAAATGAGGTTAGATACTCGATGTAGCTTGAATTCTGTAGTGGTTTGGAATTCAAAAGATTAAAATATGACTCAGTTTAACATTAAAAGAGGAAAGTTAGTGTATGTAGACATTACAATTTTGAATCTATGGATTCAAGTTAAGCAGATATGATTTGAACCCTTCTTGTTTCTCTGACGGTATGATTAAATGAAATATGCTAAATTTAAAAGGGAATAATTTGCCATCCTTCCAGGGGGAAGGATACATTCTTCCCTCTTCCTGAAACACTCACCTCTCTTTCACATCTCTTCCTCATGTCCTGAAATGAGACTCTTATTACTCCCGTTGTTTTCATTGCACTTTGCAATAGTTTTTATTTTAGCACTCACCAGAGTCTCTGTTGAAATTCAAAGTATTTGTATACATGCTTATACTCTTCACCAGACTGTGTCCTTGGAGCACAGATTCTGCTTTTTATTTTCTCAGCATTGTGTCCCTCTAGTTCCTGTAAATTGAGCCTTGCAGATAGTTGCCCACTAAATACTTCCTATTTGCATTTGAATACAGACATACTGAAGATAAAACTTAATGCAAAGGCACTGTGTGGGGACTGGAAGAGAGCTAGGCTGACAGATGGGGAGGGTCCTTTCAGATCCAGCTCTCAACATTACCTACACATTCAAGAAAGACCTAGTGCAGGGGGTACTTTATAGGAACTGCACAAGGCAGCACAAACAAACACAGCTACTGTCCTTGAGTAATGGAAAACTCAAATTCCTGCTATCAGCCTGAATATGTACTTTCTAGGCTTGCCTCTGTCTCTACTTCTCCATTATGATCTTTGCTCCATTGTTTTAGCTCTCTGTACTCTGGTTTTAGGACCTGTACAATGGAATCATATTTGCCTATAGGGAATTCAGGAAAAATGGTAATCTTGGAGATATTGATATTAATTCCACTCAGGGTGGGCCATGCAAGTCATCCTTTCTTTCCCAAAGTCTTTGGCAGAGCCCGGGAGCAGGGAGAGGTAAAGAAAGGCCTCTGATAAAAATAAAGGCCTGGAAAATCACTGGTGCCCCAGGCACATTCAACTATGGAGAGGAGATGAGAAATGAGGTCCTCCTCCCTGGGACTTATATCACCCAGGCCTGAGACTTCAGAAGATATTCTCTCCTTAGGAGTGAGTTTTATTCATTACATATTTTAGATGCCCTAAGGCACTAGGGCTGACTTCTCTCAGGGATCCCTGATTGAGAGAGTCTACACCAATGATTGCAGTTCCCCATAATTCTATTCCATGCATCTCATCTCTGATGACATTCTATCTTTCCAGCACATTTTCACTAGTAGCCTTCCTATCTTAAGACCCTTAATCACATCTGCAAAGTGTCTATTGTCACATAAAGGTAACACATCCACAGATTCTGGGAGTTAGGACATAAACATTTTTACAGACCTTAATTTTGTCTACAACACAGCCCAGTGTCAACAATCATTGTCAGGATGATAGATGATGTTATCTGCTTTCATCCTGAGGCAAAAAATGTCTATTTGTCTCTCTTTTGATGATGTTCAATGCCTAGACACATTAATTCATTGAAGGTTGCAAAATCGTGATTTTCAAATTCTTTTATTTTATTTAATTAGTTGGAATAATTCTATAAAGAGACACTGTTCTTCATCTACTATTTGGTTAATCATTAAAGTTTTTCTACAAAAGGGAGTATATGATGGATACTATCCATTTATTTACCAGGAAATAAATGAACTTAGTAGCTAACATTCTCCAAAGGTAACAATTTTTTATACGATAACGGACTCATGACTATAAATATATTTGGCAGGTTTAATCAATACCTACTATTGGCCTTTTTGGAGCACAGATTGTTTCTTATTTGTCCCATGTAAGCCTCTTCAAGTTAGCCCCTGCATCGTAGCAGTTTTTGTTTGCTTTCTTGCTATCTTCTATGAAAAGGTGTTTTAGGACCATTCTCCAAATCAGTTATTCTCCAAAAAGTATTGGTTTCTTTTAATGAGAATCACAGGATCACAATCTGTGCACTAAGAGATGTTTATTGCTTCTGGGTTTGTCATTTCTTAAGGTTTTTTTAGTGGACAGAGCTAAAAAATAGAAACTTTTGAAAAGACAAAATGCTTCACATTCTGACATTTCCAATTAAAATTTAAGACTATGGGGGTTCTACTCTTCAATACAGAAAATTCTGTTTCCCAAGGATGAGAGAATAATAGAACTGAAATATCCTGTAAATAGTCATTTGCTCTACCTCACGCTCCCCGCTTACAATCCAGAATATCCACACAAATACCATCACTATCAATGCAATTACTGAAAACACTTAAACATTTTGCCTTTGTTCTCCCAATTCCCCTCCTCTCATATTTTTATAGTAGTAGTTGTCAAAGCATATAGACATTAGACACTCTTCTTTTTCATAATTATTTTACTTCTCAGCTCTCATTTAATCTTTTTTTTTTTTTTTTTTTGAGACCTAGTGTTGCTCTGTCACCCAGGCTGTAGTGCAGTGGTGCAATCTTGGCTCGCCGCCACCTCTGCCTCCCAGGTTCAAGAGATTCTCATGCCTCAGCCACCCAAAATTACAGGTGCACACCACCACACCCAGCTAATTTTTGTGTTTTTAGTAGAGACGGGGTTTCGCCATGTTGCCCAGGCTGGCCTTGAACTCCTGACCTCAAGTGATCCACTTGCTTCAGCCTCCCAAAATACTGGGATTACAGGTGTGAGCCACTGCACCCAGCCTCATTTAATCTTAATTTTTCAGGTAACTATATATTTATTGCATCCCCAGTCCTTATGTCAATGTCTCCAGTCATTTTTATTACCTTAAACTTGCTTTCTAAAGTTTCTTCAGGAAGATCTCATGGAAGCAATATTATGCATGTTTATAATACATTGTAAACAATTTATACCAGAAAGTCAGTTCAGCTGTATGGAAAACATTTGTTCATATTTTCTTTCTTTGAGTGTAAATATGTCATTCTATCTTCTGGTAAAACCAGCAGTGTTAAAAGCCTGATGATAATCATATTTCCTTTGTAAGTCACTTTCTCTGTCTGACTAGATAGTCAAACGACCTTTTTTATTTATCACTAAAGTTTGGTAATTTTACTAGAATGTGCCTTGTTGTTGGTCATTCTGGGTTGATATTATCCATTACATGGTACGCTCTTCCAGTGTGTCTTTCATATATTTTTTAATTCTTATTTTCATTTTTTGGAGACAGAGTCTCACTGTGTTGCCCAGGCTGGAATGCAGTGGTGTGATCTTGGCTCACTGCAACCTCTGCCTCCCAGGTTCAAGCGATTCTCCTGTCTCAGCCTCCCGAGTAGCTGGGACTACAGGTGGGCGCCACCATGCCCAGCTAATTTTTGTGTTTTTTAGTAGAGACAGGGTTTTGCCATGTTGGTCAGGCTGGTCTCGAACTCCTGGCCTCAGGAGATCCACCCACTTTGGCCTCCCATCTTCTTATATTTTAATTTTAGTTTTCTTGAATTGCAGTTTTAGTATTTGTTATATGTCTTTGCTTTGGTTTTCTTCTTCAGGGATTTCTATTACCTGTATTTTGGATTTTCCTTGCTTATCTTCAATATTTGTCACTTTCTATTTAAATCTTCTTATCTCTTTTTACACTTCTTTTTTGGTTTTAAAATATTTTTCTTCTTTTCCCCTTCTATTTCTCTTACTGCATTATCTATTGTGCTTAATTTTTCTTATATGTCTTCTAATAGTCTTTATTAATTTTTTTTCTTTTATTTCTAATTCTTTACTGAGTTCTGTCACTTCATTTCTGAATTTTTATAAGTTTGAGTTTTGTTGTTCTTTCCTATCTTATGTCATTTAATCAAAGTCTTTTAACTCATTTTGAAATAGATAAAATTTGATCTGCTTGGTCAGCCTGACTTTCTGGCATCATTTTACTGTCTGTATGGATGTTATTCTACTCCTTATTCTTATTTATCTCATAATAGCTTTGCTCGGGATGTGTCTGTGATAGTTTTGATAACTTATTTTCTTTTGAAATTACAGAAAAATTTGTGGAACAGGCTAGTTTTTTTTTTAAAATTCCATAGAACATCCTCTTCTGTTGATTTTTTTTTTTTTTTGGAATAGTATTAGCAAATAGGGCAGCTTACTGAGATTTTCTGACTCTATTCTTTTGTCCTACTTTTATTTGGATCTTCTCTTTCTTTCATCTTAATTGTCTTTGCCTTGGTCAATTTTAATTTCACTCCTAGCAGTTTTTCCCCAGCAGATGGCTTTGTTATGGAGGGGAGCCCTGGTAGGTGTGTCAGCCTGGGGAGTTCATATGTCTGACTCTTCCCGACCCTTCACACCCTACTGAGGGCTCCTGGCACAAACGCACCCACTATTACATTAGGAAAACCTCTGTCAGTTTCAGCTGCTTTCATATTAGTTGGTCATGCTTTGCAGTAAACACCTGTTGGCCCTTTCGGGGTTTTCCTATCCACAGATCCATCAGTTGCTTGCCTCTGCTTCCTCTTGCACAGATTCTGGTAGCCTGCAGATCGGCTGGCTGTTGGTGATTCATCTCCACCTCTGGCATTTTGGGGTTGATAGAGATAATGTGTCACCTAGATTTATTATAATTTTTTTCCATTGGTTTTTGGTTTTACTACTGAGTTGCTTTGTCACCACTATCTTTCCAGAATGTTAGATTCTTCTACATATATAAAGAAAAATGTATTTATTGAAAATATATATTTATTTAAATTTATTTTAATGTATTACTAAAAGTTTTATTTATAAAAATTATTTTAAAATTTATTGAAATATTGTTTTTATTCTATGTATGTATTAAGATTGTATATGCTTTTTTTATAAATACAATTTTGAATACTTTAGATTTACTGAGAAATTACAAAGATGGTACAAAGAGCTTCCACATGCCTCTCACTCAGCTTTAGTGTCCCCAAATGTTATCATCTTACTCTGCCATGGCACATTTGTCAAAATGAAGAAGCCATCATCTTACATTCCTCTTGGCCAAACTCCAGACTATATTTGCATTTCACCAGTTTTTCCACTAATGACATTGTTCTATTTCCAGATCCAATCTAGGATACCACATTGCATTTGTTGTCACATTTTCTCAGTCTCTTCTGGCCTGTGACAGTTTCTCCATATTTCCATGTCTTTCATGGTCAATAACAGTTTTGAAAGGTACTGGGCCACGCATTTTGCAGAATGCTCCTCACTTCGAGTTTGTCTCATTCCTGACACATTATTATATGAGGGGGTTGAGTTTTGAAAAATACCACAGTGGTGCAGTGCCGTTCTCATCACATCAAGCACAGGGGTCATGAGATTCACATGACATCAATTGTGATGTCAACCTTGGTCACTTGGTTAAGATTCCATATATTTTTGTTGAATTATTAACTGAAAGTGTTTACCTTTCACTCTCCTTCACACAGCTCCAAATACCACCCACTGAATAGTTTCCTCAATCCCCTTTAAGACACTAGGAGGTCCCTTAGGGACTGCAGCTTTCTTCCTTCAGTCCCAGGCATACTATTTGAAATACTCTGAGTTTTGACCCTCCATCTGGAGAAGAACAGGCCCCTCTGTGTGTGACATGGTGTGGCTGAGGAACATACCAAACACTATTCCAGGAATAGCTTGACTTCTTGATAACCTTAAATTCACAATCATAAAGTTCACCTGAGGAGTATTCAGAGGTTATAAATTGTGAAATTAAGAGAATATATTGAAAAGTTTAAAGTGGATCATAGATTCCCTGCAAGCCTGGTTAAACTGACATCTGCTAGGATTTGGTTTGATCGTAATAAAGTACCAGCTCCCAAGGCATCTCTCTCCAAAGGGTATTTCAATGACAGAAATAAAGCAAAAATCTTATGTTTTCCTGACCTGTCAGATCCAGCTTGGCCATACATGATTTATTGCTAGCAATGTCTTTTCTTCCTCATTTAAAACAGAAACTAGAAAATTGCAAATACATGAACGTAGTTGGTTCATCAACTTAAACACATGAGGAAACAGAAAGGTAATGTTAGTAACACATCCACCCACATTAAAGACATCACAATAAAATGCACCAGCATTGGTGGTCCAGTGGGAAATTAAATGCCATGTTAGATAATAATGTTTGTATTAATCCTATTTGGTTTTGTGGACTTAAAATGATAATCTATAATAATAGTATTATATGTTTTCATTAAATTCCAAAGTCTATGAGATGCTTTTACATTTGGCTTCCTCATTTTATCCTTTCTTATCCTCTGTGGGGTATAGGTTCTTATACCTGCTTTATAAGTGAGGAAACTGAGGCTCAGAAAACTTAAGATTGGTATCCATAATCACATATCTTGCAAATGATGCCTGTAGTAGTTCATCAAATTGCTGTTTCCCCATTAAAGACTGATGCTCTGTTTTTGCTTTCATAAATATGATTTATTTTCCTCCACATGGGGTAAAAACACTTATTAACTCACCAACCATGAGGGAGAGAGACAGAGAGAGAGAGAGATCTAAAGGGACAACCTAAATAAAATATTATATAATAATATCTACTATTTATTTAGCAATTACTGTGAGCCAGATTCTATCATTGATTCTTAAATTACCCTGTAAGTTAAATCATATTCTTTCTTTTTGAATGAGAAGAAATGGAAATTCAGGTAGATTAGCTAATGTAAATGATACTAATTGCTGTATCACATTAGTCCCAATCTTAGTGGTTTAAGAGAATAAAAGTCAATTTCTTGCTCCTATAGAGTCTAATGCAAATGTCTCTGGCTGGCAAGTGGCCCTCTGTTGACCAGTAAGGGCTCTGGGCTCTGCCACCCTTTAAGGACGTAAAGTCTTCAACTGAATCCTCTGAATGTTCCTTTTAGAAATACTGTTTATACAATCAATAAAGGCTTTATAGGTGAGACAAAATTAGATTTCAGCTTGACTTTTCTGAGTTATATACATTTCAGATTGATGTTCAAATTAAGGCAAGCTTCCAGGGCACAAGAAGTTTTAATGGCCTAGACCTGGAAGTGACATATATCACTTCTGTCCACAGTGCATTTGCCAGAGCTTAGTCACACAGACACTTTAGGCTGCCAGAGAGGCTGGAAGACATCACAGAGTTGGGTTTTCAGTAGGGAGATGAAATGGGTTTTGGTAATTGTGTGGCATCTGTCACATTACATAACGTGTCCAAAGTCATACAGGTAATAATTGGCAGAGACAGAGTTTGAATTCAGTGCTGATTGAAAGCCTATGTTCTTTCTACCATATTATCCCCTTTCAAATATTTTAAAAATTAGTTTTACTATTTTTAAAGATAGCTGAAATGTTTCATGGCAGTATCAGCTTATGAATACAAATGCTGCCACTTTCATTGCAATAAACCCTATTTGGCTGAATCTTTAAGCCTCACTCTTCTGTATTGCCAGGCACCCTGTCTGGTCCCCACATTGTCCCTTCTCCATGATTTTCTCTGGGATTCCCAAATCTGTAAGTCCCATGCACGCACGTGCTCATGCATGCATCCCAACTACCACTCAGTGGCAACCACCTTCCATGTTCTTCCTTCCTCGAAGACGTAAAGTCACGAGATGCTTCATGAAGAAGGAAGACTTTTTCCTTACCCTTCCCTACATACTGTCACCTAATGAGTCATCTAATGAGACAAGAGCTCACAGTCTCAGAGAATCACTGCTGAAAACAGCTCCTTCAGGTTCTGTCTTCAAATAACCTCTATGAGGCTGCCAAGGAAGCAGATTCTAAGACTCATGCCTCCCCTCTCCCCATCACTTACTATGCAAGTGTACATGCCTTTCAACTAAGAGCCCCAGAGAGTCAATTCATGTAAACGAACTGCTTGTGGGCTCTCTGCAACAGCCTAGCTTGCATAGCCAGATAGTTCCCAATTGAGATAGTGGACATAGTCTAGCCTTAAGCGTGGTTTGCCTCTATTCAAGGGCACATAGTACTAGAACCATATTACTAGAAACCAGATAATCAACTGTGTTCACTAAACGTTTGTAGGAAACTTCTTTTGATAAACTAATAGGAATAGCTTGTTTAAAGAGAAAAAAAATTGCTTGTAATTGGTGTATCCATCATTTGAAATTGGAATCTTGAAGTTTTCTTCCCTTAATTCCAAAAGGATTTGATGCTTGCAGATATACATCTTATTTAGAAGATAATGAAACTGAACAAAATAAGAAATGAAATAAAACTGAAGGAGTAGGAATCTGCAGCCTCTCAGTGGCAGGGGAGATGATACACTTTGGTTGGGGGTCCCTATTGCTGCAGCCAAATCATCACATCGTAGGCCCCCTGTCAAAGTATTCTACATATGGACCCAGCTCTGGTCAAAAGCTGGGTTAATGTCCTACTTTGGCCTTAAGAGTGGGCCATTGCTGGTCTTGCCCCAACAGTCACCTCTACAGAAAATTCATGATTTCTCTTATAAAAGGATAACAATACAGAAGTGCCAGTGTCCCTGGATTAAGTCTCAGCCCAAAGCTGAAATGGCAATCACAAAGAGGCAAGTTATGAAATATAAGGTACCTGAGCATTTCTTCCTCCTTATTTTGTTTAATGGAGCAAAGAGGGTTTTGTCCTTTGCCTATAACACAATCACACTCTATATATAAAGATATGCAGAATGCTCAGGCTTGTCACATAGGTATACATGTGCCATGGTGGCTCGCTGCACCCATCAACCCATCATCCAGGTTTTAAGCCTTGCATGCATTAGGTATTTTTCCTAATGCTCTCCCTCCTCTTGTCCACCAACCCCCAACAGGCCCTGGTATGTGATGTTCCCTTCCCTGTGTCCATGTGTTCTCATTGTTCAACTCCCACTTATGAGTGAGAACATGCGGTGTTTGGTTTTCTTTTTTTATTATTATTATTTTAATTTTTTTATTATACTTTAAGTTCTAGGGTACATGTGCACAACATGCAGGTTTGTTACATATGTATACACGTGCCATGTCGGTGTGCTGCACCCATTAAGTCGTCATTTACATTAGGTATATCTCCTAATGCCATCCCTCCCCCCTCCCGCGATCCCACAACAGGCCCCGGTGTGTGATGTTCCCCTTCCTGTGTCCAAGTGTTCTCATTGTTCAGTTCCCACCTATGAGTGAGAACATGTGGTGTTTGGTTTTTTGTCCTTGTGATAGTTTGCTGAGAATGATGGTTTCCAGCTTCATCCATGCCCCTACAAAAGACATGAACTCATCATTTTTTATGGCTGCATAGTATTCCACGGTGTATGTGCCACATTTTCTTAATCCAGTCTATCATTGATGGACATTTGGGTTGGTTCCAAGTCTTTGCTATTGTGAATAGTGCCGCAATAAACATACGTGTGCATGTGTCTTTATAGCAGCAAGATTTATAATCCTTTGGGTATATACCCAGTAATGGGATGGCTGGGTCAAATGGTATTTCTTTCTAGATCCCTGAGGAATCGCCACACTGTCTTCCACAATGGTTGAACTAGTTTACAGTCCTACTAACAGTGTAAAAGTGTTCCTATTTCTCCACATCCTCTCCAGCACCTGTTGTTTCCTGAATTTTTAATGATTGCCATTCTAACTGGTGTGAGATGGTATCTCATTGTGGTTTTGATTTGCATTTCTCTGATGGCCAGTGATGATGAGTATTTTTTCAGATGTCTTTTGGCTGCATAAATGTCTTCTTTTGAGAAGTGTCTGTTCATATCCTTCGCCCAATTTTTGATGAGGTTGTTTTTTTTTTCTTGTAAATTTGTTTAAGTTCTTTGTAGATTCTGGATATTAGCCCTTTGTCAGATGAGTAGATTACAAAAATTTTCTCCCATTCTGTAGGTTGCCTGTTCACTCTGGTGGTAGTTTCTTTTGCTGTGCAGAAGCTCTTTAGTTTAATTAGATCCCATTTGTCAATTTTGGCTTTTGTTGCCATTGCTTTTGGTGTTTTAGACATGAAGTCCTTGC
The DNA here is from genome assembly GCF_000001405.40 of Homo sapiens. Classification (NCBI taxonomy): domain Eukaryota; kingdom Metazoa; phylum Chordata; class Mammalia; order Primates; family Hominidae; genus Homo; species Homo sapiens. Next base: position 34,367,249 of record NC_000013.11, on the reverse strand, counting down.
TCATACCTATGTCCTGAATGGTATTGCCTTGGTTTTCTTCTAGGGTTTTTATGGTTTTAGGTCTAACATTTAAGTCTTTAATTCATCTTGAATTAATTTTTTTATAAGGTGTAAGGAAGGAATCCAGTTTCAGCTTTCTACATATGGCTAGCCAGTTTTCCCAGCACCATTTGTTAAATAGGGAATCCTTTCCCCATTTCTTGTTTTTGTCAGATTTGTCAAAGATCAGATAGTTGTAGACGTGTGGTATTATTTCTGAGGGCTCTGTTCTGTTCCATTGGTCTGTATCACTGCTTTGGTACCAGTACCATGCTGTTTTGGTTACCGTAGCCTTGTAGTATAGTTTGAAGTCAGGTGTTTGGTTTTCTGTTCCTGTGTTAATTTGTTGAGAATGATGACTTCCCACTTCATCCATGTCCCTGCAAAGGACATGAACTCATTCTTTTTTATGGCTGCATAGTATTCCATGGTGTATTTGTGCCACATTTTGTTTATCCAGTCTGTCATTGATGGACATTTGAGTTGGTTCCAAGTCTTTGCTATTGTAAATAGTGCTGCAATAAACATACATGTGCATGACACAATCACATTCTGATTGGCCTCAGCATCTGGGGCAGGGCTGGACAAATTAGCCTGGAACAGGTGGTAGGGCTCCAGCAGCAGAATGGGGTTTGAGAAAGCCTAGGAAGGAGGCAGACGAGGCTGGCCCCAAGGAGAGAAATGGTGACTCAAGAAAATCTAACAAGCTGGCTTCCCCAGTACCCTGAAGGCCGGTCTGGCCCAGGACACCAGATACCACACTGCCTGTACATGAGGGGCTGTCCTACTCAGCCCCATGCTTCAGAGTCGCTGTCCTGTTGGCAAAGAGCTATCACAAGAAAGTCCACTTAGGTTATTCTGGCTTTCATAACACAAAAGGCTCTATAGGTAAATATGTTTTTAAACTAGTTGCCATGGAAATGTGTCTTAAAGATAGCTAATACTACCAGAGAAATCTGACTGGCAGTAATAGCAAATCAGATTTTGATTTCACCTCCTTAGGCAGCCTGTCGAGTAACTTCAGAACAAGTGTATGCGTAACATTGAGGTTTCACCGTCTTTGCTCAGTTTGCTGCAGAGTATGGAGAAAGCACTTTGTTTGTGGACCTTCTGTCAATTGCTGATTATTCAGGATGTGATTATGAAGCTGGAGGGTCTTCAGGGCCTTTGCTTATCCTCTCTGCACTGTGCTTTAGCCATTTCATTGCTTATTAGTGTTTCCACCAGAGGGTGGAGAGGATAGAAAATTCCAATCAACCTGTTAACAGCTTTCATAAGAGATCCGCTGAGGGGAGAAACTAAAACCACTGTCTGAGATAAGGTTTGCAGATTTTCTATGCATTTAATGTATGATTTCCATGAGAGTAATCTGACCATTTGTTGTTGGCTGCATGTGGCTTAGGTGGCAGCAGTAGCTTTGATGAAAACAGCTTATAAATATGCACATAGATTTCTGTCTACACTGTAATAAGTGAATAAATGTCTAGAAAACTCAATATTCAAAAATAAATGTGGGCAGAAATACAGATCATTCAAACTTTAGAATGTTTTTTGTGACATAAATTATTAGGTTGGCCATTCATATTGGTCAAATTTACCTAGTAATTGCCAAATCATTAGCAAAATCATACATAAATAGATTTCACAAACAAGAAACCAGAATGAGGAACTTCTCAGCTTCCTTGAGGCTCTGACTATATTTCTAGCTATACACACATACATATGTATACATATATACTCATATATAAGTATGAAAGTATAGATTTTAATAAATATATGTCTGTATATATGTCGTCACATATAAGTGTGTGTGTGTGTATATATATATGGTATAGGTTGGCAGGGTTTTCTATTGCTTTGATGAACTTTTTTCATAAGTAAAATTCTGGTTGTTTTTCTATATTTCCAGAAAGTAGCCATGCAAAATGAGTTAACATCTGCAGAGTACTTTGAAGTTAACATCTTTCTTTTAGTGTTCTTATTACTACCCCTCACTCTTCCGTGGAAGGTGACTTGCTTATGTATTTCTTGAGATGCAGACAACTGTACCAAAGAGCTGTGCATCCTCTGAAGATTCTTTTCCTCAATGAAAGCAATTCTCATTCCTTTCTTTTCTGGGCAGAAGACAAATTAGTGACCTCTGGGGAAATTCCTCACCTGAATTAAGAATTACCTGAGTCAAGTATCCTTCAGCTATTCCTTTTCAGAAACCTTTAAAGTTGGTCTTTGCCCAGAGTCTGACTGCCCAGGGGTCACTGAATGGTGAGGTAGGTGTTTGTTGTTTTGCTGCCTGGTACAGCAGTATCTTTTTCATTCCTTGCTCTGGGGAACTCCTCTCTCTCCAACACCCACGCAATCACACACACACATGCTATGTTTGTATGAAGCCACAGAGCACCAGCAGGGAGTGACTGTTTGCTGCATGTCAGCAGAATCATAAAAGTTCTCCTGGGCACCCCTTCCTTTAAAACACCCCAAATATATGATAGTTTATCAGAATTCTCACTACATTTTGCTCAGGTGAAGCATTCCCTTTTATCTAATAAATTTTGTCAATGAATTCATTTTTCCAGAAAATATTAAAGAAATGCATTATATGTAACTAAAATATTAAGATTATCAAATTAACATTTTTAATAAACTGTCTTTTCACTTAAACATAAATAAATCCAAATGGTACCTGCTTCAACAAAATGCATTAAGCTTCTCTCATCTGGATTTTAAACGAGCTGTCAATTCATCTGTATATAGTTGCATGGATGTGTGAATATAAAACATTTGAATCAGCAGTACATTCTTGTTTATGACATTTTCAACCTACATAACTCATGTACCTGAAATAAACATCTTTTAAAAGAAGAGAAAATGAAGCTCATGAAGAAAGACAAGTAGGTATTTACAGTTTACACTTTTCCTTCCTACAGCTTTTCTTTTCTCCTTTCCCTGTCTTCCTTTTGTCTCCCATTATCAAATGTTTCCAAAGGCATCAAATAGAGGTATAGAAAGAGTTGATGGTGAAAACAAAGTTCCAGGTTCTCAGTATTAGCAAGATTAAATTCTCCCATCATAATTTAGGTTATGACAATGACTGGCCCCCTTGCTAGAACTTGCTGCCATTTCCTGTAATGAACATCTGGATTCAGGTTTCTTGGCAGTACGTTAACACTGAGACTAGGGGTGTTTGTCCTAGAACAAGATCCTCCACACATACCCTTACATTCTCTCCATTTCACAGATGAAGAAACTGAGGTTCAGGGAAGTGAGGTTACTTATTCAGACACACCACTAATAAGCCAGATTTTTTTTTTTTTTAGATGGAGTCTTGCTCTGTTGCCCAGGCTGGAGTATAGTGGTCCAATCTCTGCTCACTGCAGCTTCAACTTCCCAGGCTTAAGTGATCCTCCTACCTCAGCCTCCCAAGTAGCTGGGACTATAGGCATGCACCACCATGCTCAGCTAATTTTTTATATATTTTTAATAGATATGGGGTTTCTCCATGTTGGCCAGACTGGTATCGAACTCCTAACCTCAAGTGAGCTGCCCACCTTGGTCTCCCTAAGTATTGGGATTACAGGCATGAGCCACTGTGTCTGGCCAATAAGCAAGATTTGATCCCAGATTTTTCTGGCTCAAAAGCCCTGTCTCCTGACTACCCTGACTCATACTCTCCTGGTGCAAGGAAGATTCTTGCTAGTTATTATTTAGGGGCTCTACCCTTTTCCTTCCTCTCTACTTCCATAGGGAATATTCATCCGCAAATGAAAGCAGAGCCTACCCAGGGATTTCCCCACCCTCCAAACTACATCACAACACATCAGGAGATGCTGGTTTTTTCCCTCAGTGTTTGCTGGTCTGGCTGTGAGCCCTCAAGCAGGAGCCTGGCGTTTTGTGTGGCACGCCCTGGGGAGGCTGCTGCAGCAGGCAGCAAGGTCAGCTAGAACCGATCGTGAAAATATCAATTTTTGAAGTTTGGGGAAATCAAACAAGTCATTAATTAAATCTCTATAGCAGATGAAATAACTTCAGTGCTGTCGAGGGTAGGGTGACTCTTTGCTCTCCTTTAAGTTCATTAAACTTTCTGAAATTTCAACAGACTGGATGTGAGGAACCACATTTTCTACCTGTCTGCAAGATTTAACAGTTTTACTGTTAATGAAGGTTTCAGCATTCAAAGGGATGCGATTCTCGACGTTTCTGTATTAATCATGTGATGAACTCTACAGATTCACAGTTATCTTTGTGACTCCATGATTTCCAGATATGAAATCTTTTTTTTTTTTTTTTTTTTTTTTTTTTTGAGACAGAGTCTCGCTCTGTCACCCAGGCTGGAGTGCAGTGGCGCGATCTCGGCTCACTGCAAGCTCCGCCTCCCGGGTTCACGCCATTCTCCTGCCTCAGCCTCCCGAGTAGCTGGGACTACAGGCGCCCGCCACCACGCCCGGCTAATTTTTTGTATTTTTAGTAGAGACGGGGTTTCACCGTGTTAGCCAGGATGGTCTCGATCTCCTGACCTCGTGATCCGCCCGCCTCGGCCTCCCAAAGTGCTGGGATTACAGGCGTGAGCCACCGCTCCCGGCCCAGATATGAAATCTTACTGCATATCTATTTCTGGAGGTCTGTGTAAATGTTTCTTTATAATCTTATTGCATATCTATTTCTGGAGGTCCGTATAAATATTTCTTTACAATCCTATTGCATATCGAGTTCTGGAAGTCTGTATAAATGGTCTGCTCTAGATAAATAAAAAATACAAACTAAAATGCATAACAGCAGAAAGGGAAAACTGTCAGATTGCTTAAATTTAGCTCTATTTACTAAAATTTGTGTGACTAGGTTAATTATTGTTTGTTTAAATGAGGCCAATATGTCTGGCATTGATGTCTCAGGCACATGGAAGTGTTAGCTGAGCTTGGCTTTCTGATATTAAATGCTGTAGTTAAAAATTTGCTGAAAAAAATTGCGTTTATAGCCATACTGTTAAAAAAAAATTAGCCCTCAACAAAGACATTAAACCAAAAAAACAGAGTGAATAGTTTTGCTAACTTTTTATAACTGTTGCAGACATTAGATAGCATCTGGTCTTGACTTATTGGAGATACCCATTTATTTTTATGCTTTATTAAGTGTAATTTATTAAACAAATATTTATTGAGCATCTACTTGGTGCCTGACTTTATGTTACATAGTGGATAATTGAAATGTTGTTAATTCTTCTGTGAAGGGGCCAAAAAACCCACGTAAGACTATAACAGATGCTTGGTTAACGTCATGTGAAGCTGGATACTAAGATACTAAGTAATCTCCAAGTGAACCGTGTACAAAAGCTGATCACCACCCTTCAACAACTCAAAAGAACAACTCCTCTCTTTCTGTTAAGCAAATAATAAGTCTGTGTTTTGTTGATGTCTGGCCTGAGGCCTCTTTCCAAGGTTTGATTTTATAGATGAGAATGTTGGCTTCTCAGATGCCTTCAGTTTCTGTAACATCTGCTGATGTTCCCTGCCCCGGGCAACATACTTTTAATGATTCTTGGGTCCCTCTGGAATAAAGCCATGAATCTTTCATCTGGCATTCATGGTTTTCCTCCATCTGATCCCAGCCTGCTTTCCAGCCTCGTTTCTCACTAAGAAACTTCCTGTACTTTATGCTCTGGCCAATTCTGGCTACTTACTTTCCCCACAAACAGGTCCCATCGCTTGCTGACATTGTCTCCTCAACACAAAATGGCTCACCTCCTCAGCCTTACCCTTGAAAACCCTATCCACTCTCTGAAAAAGACCGGGTCCTGAGCCCCCAGCCTGATGTGATTACTTCCTGCTCTGAGTTCTGACAGATCACGGTTTATCTAATTTTATACTATATGTTCCCTAGTTGGGTATATTTTATTATTGGAGTACTTGTTTTATTTTTGCTTTTAAATTGTAAAGTTTTAGGTGGGGTAAATGTCTGAATCTCAGTCATCTCTGGATCCCATGTTGAACTCTATACCAAAGCACTTCTAGAAGTTAAATGTTCTTTGAATGAATAAATAAATGTAGGCTTGACTCCCCATTCACCTTGGGCACTGTGTTTATGGCCTGGACGTGAGAGATATAATCAATGTTTAAGCTCCTTACTACCTTGCCTCCCTGCATCTGTGCAGAAGTGTTCCTGTACTGAATTTTAGGAAAGCATTAGACCAATTAGCCTATTTCAAATAATAAATCCTAGTGGTCAAGGTCTTCTGGCAGATCCCATTTATGCCAGCACCTCAGAGAATTGTGGCTTCCAGGTATTGCAGATGAAGTGACACATCATGACATGCATCATGCCAGTGGAATGGCCAAGAACAGAGCTGCCTCTGGGAAGAGGTAGATGAATTCCCTTCTCAGTTCACACTACAAAGGAACCCTGTCTATGGACTAATGAAACCCTTTCTGCTCACCTTGATAAAGAGAATTGGGTATTGCCTGGGCCAGCCATAGTCAAAAATAAGAAAGTAAAAGTATTTCTTTCATCCCTCCTTTCTGTAACCCTCTGTTCCCTTCCAGCATCCTACTTTTTAAGCCCACCTTTTATGTTTAAGTCATACTAAGGGATTAGGGATGCTAATTTAGTACACTAACTTAGAACCCCCCCTCAGGGCCTGGTGTGGTGGCTCACACCTGTAATCTCAGCACTTTGGGAGGCTGAGGCAGGCAGATCGCAAGGTCAGGAGATAGAGACCATCCTGGCTAACAGGGTGAAACCCCATCTCTATAAAAATACAAAAAATTAGCCAGGTGTGGTGGCGGGTGCCTGTAGTCCCAGCTACTGGGGAGGCTGAGGCAGGAGAAAGGTGTGAACCTGGGAGGTGGAGCTTGCAGTGAGCCAAGATCGTGCCACTGCACTCCAGCCTGGGCGACAAGGCAAGACTCCGTCTCAAAAAAAAAAAAAAAAAAAGAATCCCCATCCCAGAAGTATTTTCAATTTTAAAAAGTGTATAAAATGTATAAAAGGACAATACTTCATAGAAACTAAGGTCTCCCTCTGGATGGAATTTCAGTCCTATGACCCCCTGTGGACACGTCAATATAGTTTAGTGATAACATCTGTGAATCCACGTTGTGAAAATGATAGTACTTTCCTAAGGTTTTTCAGAGGATAAAATGAGTTATTGCTTTTATCAAGAAGTAGGAAGGATCTGAGATTTTAATCCCACTTGCAACCTCATAAGTTAGCCTGCCACAGTTACAGGACACTGGCAGAAGGCATGAGACTCTTGGATCAGAGACAAAGGACTTTGTTATTCACAGCAAAAGCAGAAGCCAGAGTATGAGCATTCTCTTGTACTAGTCCCCAAGTCCCAGTTCCCGCAGGGCAACACAAAAAGGCCAAGAAATACCTGTCCACATGATGGGCTCTGTTACAGAAGAATGCTGAACTTAGGAAAACTGAATATTTTGTAACAGGTGGTAACCATACTGTCCATTCCTCCAGAGTGAGATATTATGTTTATTGTACTGGACAGTAAGCATATACACTCCTAGCTCTGGAGGGAGACACTGTATCAATCTCACAAAGCTGTTTGGTGTACAAACATTTTGAAAAAAATAATCCAGAATAAAGACAGTCAATGCCTCTGCTGGAATCACTTGCAACAATGTGAGTGACCCATGGAGCATTGTCTCCCAACTTCAAAAGCATGTGTCACAATACCTGGCAGAGAGTAATGACTTGGTCTCTGTGATTATTACCATTATTAAGTCACAAAGATGATTCTACCTTAGTACCTGAAGGATGGTCTCATTCAGTTACAGTGAAAATGAAAGGCAAATACAAACAAGTCATCATGAATCATACATTTTAGGAATTGAAATAGATACTATTCATTCATGGGTACCCAAACAGAGTCAGAAGGCTTGAGAAGACAGTTTGTTTATTATGGTGCTGCTTCTGCAGTTCTGGCATACCCAGTGCTGTGCTGTTTCCTGGGAGAAAATAAATAAGCTGAGGCCACTGCCCCCATTCTTTGGAGAGTTTAATCTTTCCACTTTTGAGGTATTGCTCACTGATTCAGTATGCAGAGCCAGGACTTGCTTCTTTCTTGCAGAATGAATGTGCTGTGGTCTGTCTCCTTCTAAAAATAAACATGCACCCAGACATCTTGTCTTCAAAATGCCATTGGTTTTTCCCGTTAAGTTGAAATGACAGAGGATGATTTTGAATGGAAATGGAATCATCATCTCCACAACTTGGAAAGCTCTGAGAGACAAGTTTCTTCAGGATGGAGTGGAAGGTCATACTTGTTTGTCTTGGATGTTCCCTCTCTTCTGTCCCTTGAATAATCCTTTCCCCCAAAAAGAAGGCTGCTGTTCTCTTAACACTTGGCTTTCTTGTCTCCAGGGAAAAGTAATTCGTTTACACCAAATACATTTACCCCAAGTATCTCGGATATGTGGCAACTAATATGAGCTCAATAAAAAAATTTTTTAACCTTGTTACTGAGGGATCCCATATGTTCTCCCTCACAAGGAACATACGAATTTTTTTATTATTATTATTTTTTGAGATGGAGTCCTGCTCTGTCACCCAGGCTGGAGTGCAGTGGCACTATCTCGGCTCACTGCAACCTCTGCCTCCCAGGTTCAAGTGATTCTCCTGCCTCAGCCTCCTGAGTAGCTGGGAGTACAGGTGTGCACCACCACAACCAGCTAATTTTTGTATTTTTAGTAGAGACAGAGTTTCTCCGTGTTGGCCAGGCTGGTCTCGAACTCCTCATCTCAGGTGATCCGCCTGCCTTGGCTTCCCAAAGTGCTAGGATTACAGGCGTGAACCACTGCGCCTGGCTGGGAATATTTGAATTTTAATAAAAAATAGACCTGTTTAGACAAAAGAAGAGGATCGATGATCTAAAAGCGTGAATCTCTAACTGATGTTCTGATACTAGTGAGAAAGGTAATTTGGGGCAGGGTGGGGGTGGGTTTGTATTTCTGCTTCAATTCCTGAGGCAATAATGACTGCCCCGTTTATATCAGAAGATCATTTAGAGCAGCTGCTTCTCAAATGCAAAGTGTGCAAAGTGCATATGAATCACTTGGGGATCTTACAAGATGCACATTCTGATTCAGCAGGTCTGGGTGGGGCCTGCATTTTTGTGTTTCCATCAAGCTCTCATGGTCTCAAGGCTGGTGGTCCACCGACCAGAGTTTGAGCATCAGGGATGGGGAGAACTTTGCTAAAGAAGGCTCGAGGTGGAGGAGGGGATGGCAGATTCCTATGGCTGCTTGGGCTTCCAGACAGAGCCCTCTGCAGGCTTCCCTGAACTCAGGAGTCTCCCTTGAGAGGGCTTAACCCCACTGCTTACTCCCATGCCTCTGCACGCCCTCCCTACCCAGTCCACAAAAGCAAGTCAGGGTAAGTAGTGAAGGTGGGGAGGGCAGATGAAAATCTCCCTAGACAGCGCATCCCTGAACTCAAACAGCACCCAGCTCACTGCAACTGGTGCAGCTGTGGGCTCTAGGCTCTGAGAGCAGATGGCAGGTGGGCAGAATCCCATGGAGGACCTTGGCCTCTTTCATAACCCCCACCCTGGACAACTCTCACACCTCTCTCCTCAGCTCCTTCCCAGGCTGAACAGAGAGTCACCTGAAGAGCAGATTGTCTGCTGATCATTAATCATATCCCCAAGACCTTGTGTCCATGCCCAGACACCGAGCTGGCAGAAGACAGCCGGCTTTAGAGAAAGCTGCTCCAGCGTGAGTTAGGAGGCACTATGATGTGTCACTTCCTGTTCTCGGTGACATCGCTGGGCTTACAGAGCAAGAAGGAATGCCTTGATAGCTTATTTCCTAAAACAATAAAAAATGAACAAACTAAAGTAATTTTTAGAATGTTGCTGCAGATCAAAACTCCAGTGAATTTCAGCAGGCACATATTGGTTGAGGGGTTTCAGGTTACTAACCACAATCTGCCCAAGGTGGATTAAACCATTTTTTCTTTAGATTCTAGGGCAGAGGTGTCCCCAGGGCCCTGGCCAGTTTACTACCTCCTCGCACCCCTTTCTTACTGTGCTTCTCATGTAAACCACTGTGCTCAGCTCCCCTCCATGCCTGGGCACCTCTCCCAAGCCAGGCCTGTGTGAGTGAGCTTGCTTCTCCCGCTTCTCACTTACCCTACCATCCCAGTTCAACTCTTGAAGCTAAGCAGGCAAGTGAATTTGCAGTAATGTTTTAGTGAAAACAGTAGCTCAAGACATCCTCAGATATGCCCTATACAAATCATTCTGCATTGCTGGTTCCCACGGAAGAATGAGAGCTAGGGGAAGAATGAGAGCTAGGGGAAGAATGGACCAGGAGGGTCAGCTTCCTCTCCGCTTCCACCCAAGCTGCAGAAGTGCTGCCTGCTTGATGTAATCACCCAAACAAATGGCAAAGAAACATGCTAGAGCCATCAGGCATGTAAGACCAGCCTACAGACAGGGAGAGTAGTGGCTAAGGAAACTGTGGCTGCAACAATGTGACCTCAAAAAAATATCCACCCTGTCTCCCTGATTTTCTTATCACAAGGCTTTGTCCCCTCTTAGAGAGGACAAAGGGTTCCCAGATAACGAAAATGCTATGTTGTATAGACATGTCTATCCAAGGGTGGATGAGTGCAGAATTCTCCCGTGAGAAGCTTTTCTTTGGAAAAGAGATCTCAACCATGTGAAATAAGGGTGCCTGGAGGGGCCAATACTAGTGAGTTGGGAAGAGGCTGCCGGACATGGTGAGGATGGGAGAGGGATTTGTTGAGGCTGCAGCTTTGAATTTTTGTTGACATTTTCAGAAGCATGGTCTTCTATTGCTGTATGTCTTCTGTGACTCTTGTTTTGCCTTTTAATTAGACGTAGATGATAATCCCTCCAACTACCATCCTCTCAATGAAGAAGGCAGTGCTTTTGCAAAAGAAGGAGGCTTAAGGCCTGGCACGGTGGCTCACGCCTGTAATCCCAGCTCTTTGGGAGGCTGAGGCGGGTGGATCACCTGAGGTCAGGAGTTTGAGACCAGCCTGACCAATATGGTGAAACCCTGTCTCTACTAAAATTACAAAAATTAGCCGAGTGTAGTGGCGGGCACCTGTAGTCCCAGCTACTCGGGAGGCTGAGGCGGGAGAATCACGTGAATCTGGGAGGTGGAGGTTGCAGTGAGCCGAGATCCTGTCACTGCACTCAAGCCTGGGAGACAGAGAGAGACTGCGTCTCAAAAAAAAAAAAAAGCCTGGGCGCGGTGGCTCACGCCTGTAATCCCAGCACTTTGGGAGGCCGAGGCGGGTGGATCATGATGTCGGGAGATCGAGACCATCCTGTCTAACATGGTGAAACCCCGTCTCTACTAAAAATACAAAAAAAAAAAAATTAGCTGGGCATGGTGGCGGGCACCTGTAGTCCCAGCTACTCGGGAAGCTGACGCAGGAGAATGGCATGAACCTGGGAGGCGGAGCTTGCAGTGAGCCGAGATCGCACCACTGCACTCCAGCCTGGGCGACAGAGCAAGACTCCCTCTCAAAAACATAGAAAAAGAAGGGGGCCTAACAAGATGATCTAGCTGTGACATTTGAACACCAGTGAGAATGGGCTATTGGAACAGGCCAGGTGCACATTCTCACTATTCCTCAAATCACCTGACAAAGATGGCTCTGCCCTGTTTATATCAGGAGATCACGTTCTTGGGTTAAAATGCTGCTGAAATGAGTGATTACCAATGAGGAGAGATGTTTTCAACTTCTGTCCTCTTTCCCTGCTGCGTCTCTCTCCTCTACCATATGTCCTGGCTCCTCAGAATTCTGTGGCACACAGGGTCCCTTCTCTCCCCCGTGGCGGAGCACCACCCCAAGCTCTGCACCACCTGAAATTCCAGGGGGACTCTAGCACATTCAGTGCCATCATGGGACTTTCTTATCAACGTGTGTTGAGTGACCGGCCGTTTGGTGGAACTGCAGCACAATTTATGAGGTTGGGTTTCCCATTTCAACATTTGCTTCCCTAAGATGCCTGTGAATGAATATAAAGCATATTGGGAGAAGGGAGATAAAAATATATATATACGCACATAGCTCTTCCATTTCAGGGGTTGGGATCTATGAGGTCTGCTCAGTTCTAGACGTATTTCAGGATTTGGGTCAGTTATGCAGAAGTCTTAGAGAGGTTTAATGTGGTAGTCACGGTGGGGTGCTCTACAGGGTCCTAGACAATAATGTCCCCAGACTCACCTGGTCCGGGACTCACAGTTCCTGGGTCGAGCCATAACCAGACCCATTCTAAAGCACTGGGGAAACTCTGTGTATCAGTGTGTGTATGTGTGTATTCTGAGTGTATGTGTGTGTGTGTGTGTGTGAGGGGGGGATGTGTGTGAGTGTATTAGGGATGAGGTAGTCCTGGCTTGGTTATCTTCTCCCTTGCTAACTTCTGCCTACTTATCACCATGGTTATGTTTTCATTCTTCTCAAAATTTGCTATTGAATGACCTTATGCTCTTAATGACCTTCTCATTAAGAGCATGTTTTTGGAACCAGACGGGGACTGAATGTCATTTCCACCACTTACTCACTATGACCTGGGGCCAGTTGCCTGAACTCTTTATGCTTTAGTTTTCTCATTTATCAAATAAAGATAATAATAAGCTGTCATGAGAATCAAATAGGTTAATTCACACAAAGCACTTACTTAATCTCCCTGAGCAAAGGTTTCTCAAATAGTAAATAGTTTCTTGTAAAGATCGGGGTACATGTGAAATCGCCTCTCCAAGTGCCTTTACATTAGGCAGCATATGAGGGTAAGCTACTATATGTAAAACCAATAATCACACCTTATTTTGTGATGATGGACAAGTATCCTGATGAGTGCCTGCTATGTGTTATGACTTCTGGTGATCTCATGCAATTTACTCATGATTTTTACCATAAATTGTATAACAATTGGGAAAACTGCTCAGAGAGGCTGGGTCCTTTGTCACTGAGCTAATAACTGGGAAAGCAAGGATTTGGACTTGGATCTCTTTGGCCTCAAAGCCATGTATTTTTTCTTCTATACTGCAATGATTTTTTAAAATAAAAAAATATATTATTTGACCATAAGGTTTAAGACCCAACATTCACATTCTGGAAATCCGGTGAATATAGAAGTTTTAGCTTTGTTACTGGGGCCAACTATACGAATGAACAAACTGATCTCAGAAGCCTGTAGAAAAGGGTAAAATGATGAAATCGCAGATTTTGAGAAGAATAAAGAAGAATAATAGCCATGGTGATGAGTAGGCTAAAGTCAGCCTTAGGATAGAGAAATAGGGGAGGGAGTGGAGCACAGGGCATATTATGACTTTGGCACTGACGCTGTACAATGCATTGTGTAATGCTGATGTATAATGAATGCGCCCCAAAGCGCTCTGTGCCCCTCTGGGAGATTCTAGCTTATGTGACACAGCAATGTGAATTTCTGCAAACCCAAATCCAGGGATGCTTGATATTAAAAGGAAGACTGAGGTGGAATTAATATTCTGGGCTTTTATGATTCCATTTTCTCTTCATTGCCTCCATCTGACTAGGGTGACAAGGTTTTATTTTAATCTCTTTGCAGTCAGTGAAGTAGGATCCAGGTGTTCCTTCAAGGTGCCCTGATCTTGCCATGTAAGACCTATAATTGCCCATTCTAGTATCAAATGTAAATGAAATTTACAAGAACGTGTCTAATTTGGTAAAATGAATAGATTTGGAAAACCCGCTAAGGAGACTCCCTTATCCCAGGTTAGAGCATGCCTCATTACCTTGAGCAGTATTTTTAAAGGAATCATTTACATACTCCTCCAAATTCTCTTTACTCTTTTAGATGCCCTCCAGGAAGCATCACAGGTTGGAAAGATGGAGTAGCCTGCTCAGATGGGTCTTATACTTTGTTTATAAGTCTGTCTCCCTTCACAGGAATGCAACCTTTTGCACGGGCAGGCTCCGTGTCATATGTATGTTTTCATTTCTAGCACTTAGCACATTATCTGGCATATAGTGAACACTTAGCATTTGCTGAATGAATACATGACCAGGGGAGAGAAAGGAGATGACTCGTATTCCATTGCTATGGTGTGTCATACATGTGTTGGGCCCTTCACTTACTTGATTTTATTTATTTTTCACAACAACCCCAGCTCAGACATTATTTTTCTTTTTACATATGAGAGCAGCGATTACAACTCCAAGGGCTTTGAGAGCCAGCAGGTAACACTGAAGAGAAAGTAGGCAGTAACCAGTAGAAAGTGGAAGGGGTTATGGAGACGTGGCCCAGTCTAAAGGGGGCAGCCCTGACTCAGCTTCACCCAACGGGTGCTGTGTGGGAATATGGGTCCACTGTTGCTGGACTTTTTAAATTTTCCAAAAACTTAGAAATTGAGATGCTTTGGTGGAATTTCCCAACTTTAAAATCATAGTTCACATGTGCTTAAAAGAATTTGTGGCCCAAAGGAATCAAATCTGCTGGACAGTTTTGGCCACAGCAAAACCAGTTTGTACCACCTGCAATTAGGCTTAGAGAAGTTAAGGAAATTGCTCAAGGTCAGGCAATGCCTGAGCTGGGTTTCTAACTTCTAAGTTCTAAATACAATTTGCTTCCTCATATATATATATATATAAAATATATGAATATAATTCATAAGTGATAAAATTATTTTAAAGATTATTTTATTCTCTAACCAAACCAGTCATGGATATTTGGCTGTAATTCCTATATCAATTTTTTTTCTGAGAAATTTGTGTCTGGGCATGATTTCATTTTTAAAATTTTCTCAGAGAACTATGTCTTGGGTGTTATGGGGTAACCTTCATCCCTGTAATACCAGCAAGCTTGTCCAACCTGCCTTATTTTGTTGTTGTTGTTGTTCTGTTTTGTTTTGTTTAGGCTTTTAGAGTCTGAAGCCATGATTTTTAGTTTCTGTCGCTAGTAATAAGTGAAAAAGAGGGATGAGGAAGGGGCTTTACTGGCCCAACCAGAAACAGAAACTAAAAACAAATGACTGTATTCTCTCCCTTGGACATCCCTGCAGGGTCTAAGGTAATTGTCCTTTCCATTGCATTCCTGTTATCACTAGCAGATCAAGCCAGCTATGCAGTGGGATAAGCAATTCCTTGCAGAGAGACAGCATTACAGAGGCACAGATTAGGTCCCACAGCTAGTAAGTGTTGTTAAGTCCAGGATTCAAATCCAAGACTCTGAATCTAGAGCCTGTGTTCTGAACTCCTGTGATATATACCCTCTCTGAATGCAATGGTGATAGACAGAGATGCCTTTGCTTCAGGCTTCTTTTCACCAAGAATAATGAGGTGAGTGTTAGGTAGATTCTTCCCCCTTATTAATTGTTATAGAATTGTCTTCCTTTGGCTGGGTATGATGGCTCACACTTGTAATCCCAGCACTTTGAGAGGCCGAGGAGGGTGTATCAGGAGGTCAGGAGTTCGAGACCAGCCTGACAAACATGGTGAAACCGGGTCTCTATTAAAAATAAAAAAATTAGCTGGGCGTGGTTGCACCTGCCTGTAATCCCAGCTACTCAGGAGGCTGAGGAAGGAGGAATCCGGGAGGGGGAGGTTGCAGTGAGCCGAGATCGTGCCACTGCACTCCAGCCTAGGCAACAAAGCAAGACTCTGTCTCAAGAAAAAAAATATCGACTTCTTTCTAAAATTCTCCATCTATCCACCCATTCATCCATCCATCCACACTCACTCATCCATACATACTTTCCACTTATCCATCCATCCATCCCTCCATTCATCCAACCATCCATCCATCCATCATCCCTCTACTCATTCATCAATCCATCATCCCTCCGCTAATCCATTCACCCATTAATCCATCCCTCCATCGATCACTCCACTCATCCATACATCCTTTTATCTACCCATCCGTCTATCCACATATCCATCCATCCACCCATCCATTCATCCATCATCCCTCTACTCATCCATCAGTTCATCATCCCTCCACTCATCCATTTATCCATCATCCCTCTACTCATTCCTCAATCCATTATCCCTGCATCCATCCATCCATCCATCCATCCATCCAACCATCCATCTACTCATCTATCTATTCTTCCATGTACTTATTTACTTCTTCACCACCACCACCACCACCAAAAATGTAGCAATTCCTTTTAGTAATAGCTGCTTCTATATCATCATGAGCTTCATCAAGGTGACTAATTTCAGAGGAAGCTTTGAGAATCAGAAACTTAAAGATTGGCATTGGATGTCTCTGAGAAAACAGCAGACAGATGTTAACAGGAGCTCTGCTGTTCTGAGTGGTATTTTCCTGGAAGTCTGTCAAGGAGTTTTCCAACTAAAATTAATTTTGTGGCATCTGAGGCAGAAACACAAGCTGTGCTTCATTCCAAGCCTTCATGCATGTGCATGTGTGCATGTGTGTGAGTGCCTCTGTGTGCCTGTGCCCATGTGCACATGCTTCTGTGTGCCTACATGTTTGTGTGTGTATATTTGTATGCATATGCATGTGTATGTGTATGCGTGCATGTGTCTGTGTGTTGGGGATGCGATCGGGCATAGTAAATATTTTGGGGAATAGTAAGAAAATGCAGCATCGCATTAATTGGCACATCTTTCATAAGAATTTAAACACCATGTAGCTCACTTTACAGAACTCAAACATGCTTTCTGAACTGCATTGAATTGAAGGCAGAAACACACCTTTGCCAGGATTACTCCAGGGAATTTAGTCACCAGCAAACGTGGAGTGGATTCTTTATAATGTGCCTATCTTTAGTTATCCAGGTGATAACAATGAATGACAGATGAAATGGCAACCAGAAGGTCTGACTATTTCTGAGGCTGACTCTACAGCTAGAAATGCTCCCCAGTGGCTCCATTCTTTGAACTCCATTAATAGGCTTTCTTGCCTTCTGGCTTTCATTTGCGTTTGGTCAGTGGTGGTGGTGATAGGAATAGCCGTCAGGGGAGGGGAACACAAGCAGCAGGCTAGAAGGGGTATGAAGGAAAGTTAGGTTGGGTATTTATTCCCCTGGGTTCTTTACAAGGGTTACTTTAGGCTGGTTGCACCCCTTAACTGAAATACACACTTCTATGACAGCCCCTTGGGTATCTGCTACCTCTTCTTTCCCCCGCAAGGCCTAGGATGGAAACAGGAACTGCCTTTACCAGCTCTGGTCTCTTGCACTATCTCCTGTGATTTTCCTACCCCTTGCTCATGACTTTGTAATAATTCCATTTATTAGCCTTAACTTGTCCCAATTTTCTGCCAAGATGTCTCTGATACACAGACCAACTGAAGTAATGGGACCCTAAAGCAAGTCTAAACCCATTTGTATGTGATTTTTCTCCATTGAAAGTTATGTAATACCAGACTTCCTTGCTCACAAGAAAGTTGTCAAGGCACAATGAGAAAGTAGACGAAGAGGCTCTGGAAGCGTTAAAATAAAAAGGCAATTCAACGGTAAGATGCTAATGCACCTTATACAATATCATCTCTGTATCTTTTCAGCTATAATAACAGGCAAGAGTAAAATGCTTAGTCACTTACTATCCCAGGAAAGTGGATCCTGTGCTTTCTGGGATGTTCATTAGGCAGCATCTTGCTTTCTACCAATAATTCAGCTGAGCATGAAAAATGTGTTGCACAAATTCCAAACTTCATCAGAACATCCCCACACTTGGCTGGGTGCCCTCCATTTTGTGGACACAGATGTCCAGTTGCTGAGACAAATGAGTCACACTGGAAATCAGTAAGTGCAATAAAACCACACTTGACTTTCAGAGTGCAGCTTGCTTGGAATGCATGGTTTTTGACCAAACTCAAGGAAGAACTTTACTGGGCATTCCAGGAAAGAGCCTCTTCTGGCTTAGGATAAAACAGTCCTTGAGGTGCCTCAGCACCCAGCATTCACAACACTCTAGGGTATACATTCCCATTGGGGCACCTCTCCATATCCTTTGCCCTGGCCATGGGCTTGCCCAGTGAGGCACAGGGATGTTTGAAGTCCTGGGTGAGCAAGCATGAACACAAGGGTTAAGCCGTCCTACCCTGTTTTCTCAGGTGATTGTTCCATACTCAGATTTTTCAGTATTGTGTGTTGATTGCCACATACCCCAAGTCTAGGTTCATCCATTTAATGAAATGTACCTCACTGGCTACAGCACTCACAGGTTTGAGCTAAGCAGGAAGAAAATGTATAAGGTGTAGCAGGTAGGTACTTTCTTGCCTGATGCATTCCACTCCTTTGATAAACAGAAACAAACAAACAAACAAAAAAAAACAAAACAAAACTGAAGGCTAGGAATAGGGTTGGAGAGCAAAGAGGAAGATCGAATTTTCTTGGACATTTTGCTGTGGAGTAGAAAGTAGAGAAGTAGAGAGCAGGAACACAGATATTTGGCACAAAGGAGGCTTTGACTTGCTAGGTACATTCTACAAAGTTTGGGGGGCTCTCTCTGGAAGGGTTCCAAGCTTGGGTAGCATCTCTGCATATCAAGGTCTCCCTGGTCTTATGTCCTTCAGACTAGACTCGAAAGTCTGATTGTTTCAGCAATGCCTCAAGGCAATGTCTTACCACCCATTTCACACGCAGTTTCTGGAATAGCCTCCTCACCTCATCTGTCTTTCTTCTCCTCCTTTACCATAGCAATAGGGACCTGAGTAGGGAGGATGCTCTGTGTCCCTGGTTCCCTCCATCTTCTTGGAAGAGTCTGGTCCCTCTCCTGATAGAGTTTCAGGTTTGCCCTGATGATCTAGATGAAGCAAAGTGTGGTGACACTTCGCTGAATGCTCTGTCAGTGTGCCTAGAAATAGAGTCTCTATCAGGGCCGTTTGCTTCCTATCACACTCCAACTGGCAAGCAGGTGGATTCTCTCACTTAGCAGCTGGCTCCCATCTGCCCCCTGTCAGTCTGCAAATATTACCCGAGTTAAACGCAAATTTCTAGCAGTGATGTGCACAGCCACAAAAAACATATGGATTCAAATATATACTTTTGAAAGTGACACCTTAGTTCAGTCATTTAAATTCGTTAGCTCAAAGATCGGTTTCATTAAAACTCCCACTTCTGCTAAACAGAAATCATGCTGACGTCAGGCACTTACCTCAATTCTCAGAAGTTGAGCAGGTCTAAGCCATCCTGTTCAATACACAATTCCCTTCAGTTTCCCTTACAAGACCTCAAACAAATGTCCAGGAACTGATTCAGGATATATGTTCTCCTCGGAAACCGGTTACTCAAGTTCTTGGTGGCTAATTACAAATACAGTAAACAAGGGACTTCACAGGGGAATCATTCAGTCGAAGCCAGCAAGGGAACTGGTGACCTTCAGTGTCACAGAGCTGGACTTCAGCACAATTAGTTCTTACAAAACAGAAAGCACATGGATTAAAAGCCACAGACACATCCTGAAGATACTTCCCTTATTTGTATACTTTTTAACTTTTATTTTAGGTTTGGGGGTACACGTGAAAATTTATTACATAGATAAACACATCATGGGGGTTTGTCATACGGATTATTTCATCACCTGGGTATTAAGCCCAGTACCCAATCGTTATCTTTTCTGCTCCTCTCCCTCCTCCCACATGTCCCTATTTCCTTATTTTAAGAAAACAACGCAGGTCATATCCCCACAGCTCTTCCTAAAGGTAGATGAATGAACTACAGGGTTCTATCAAAGACCCTCTGGGTCCAGAACTATGTGTGTCAGCTCTAGTTTACTAATCCCTTACTGAATGCATTTGACAGGATCTTTGCTGTTAACAGGGGACAGAGCAAGGACACGTGACATGTGACTTAACCTGTAAAATAACACAGCAGCTCCCATCCCCTGCTCCTCAGAGAGCTCATGTTGGTCTACAGGAGCAAGGATGTAGAGTCCCTTTCCCCTGTGTCTCCCTGAATGACTCTCACTTGGCCATAATTTACAATGAGAGGGTATACATGCTCATGGAGGATGCATATCTTTGCCTCTGTCTACCCTGACACTGGCCCTGTGGACTGGAAAGTCTTTGAGAAAATTGTGAGATCCTGGAATTGTGTGATTTCCTTCCATGCACCCAGGCTCTGAATCAGAGCCTAGACAGTGACCATCACTGGCCAGGGAGAGTCTAGAGGACATGTCATGGCTGTCATTTTTGTATCTCTTTTGTTAGATTCCTGATATCATTTATGGTCACAGGTCATTTTGCTGAAAAGGAGGAACGTGGGATCAAGTTCTGTGACTTCAGAGAAGAGTTGCGTGTACAAAACTTTGGGAGAGGATCACCACAGAGAGGTGATAAGAGCCTACTTGATCTTTTTCTTCTTCTTCTTAAAAGTGATAATATGAGCATAAAACTATTTACAGCTTTAAACAGCTTCAGTACTAAAGCGTGCATAACACATTCCTCTCAACTGAACAATACACAAGCAGGCATTCTGGAGATTTTATTGCAGCAGATTGGTGTGATTATAAGTAAGAAGATTGGCATAGTTAGCTCTCTGGAAAAAGACTTAACCCAGGTTAACACTTTAATACGAATAATTTTTTCTCTAGTTAAAAAAAAAGGTTTCTGAATGCATTTTCTTTGCTTAAACTCCACTGCATCTTACTGTATCCAATCCTACATCTTTGTCTTTATTCACATGTGTATATTCAATCCTATATCTCAAATATGAAAATTATCTCCATCCCTTCTTGCCCTGTTGTTGCCATGACTTGCAGAGCATCATCGTGCAGCTGTGGATGAATGGCCTCCTGGGGCTGTTTTCAACCTTATTTCCTTTTGCTACTGGTTAGTTTGATGCCCTAGGTTTAAGTGTTGGGATATTTGTGGTTTGGAACTTTTAAGATTTCATGTTAGTTTTTTATGGACTCCTATGCTTGAGATATGCATTCTTATCTAAAGAAAAAGATATGTTCTTGTTGACCTTCATATGACCCTCAGGAACAAAATTCAGGCTCTGGGCATCCGGGATTAAGTTTCCTAAAAAGCACTACTTCATGGGTTGACAGTTATGTGCCTTTCACATGAAAATTTCCTCTGCTGCTGAAAGAAAATGCGTAATTACCAGAGGAAATGTCACTTCACATGATGCACAGGTGATATGAGAAAAAATGTGCATTTGTGTAAAGAAACAAACATTCCCAAATACGCCTACCTCATTTGTGCTTCCTTAAGGGCAAAATGCCCTTTTGGGAAACAGACCTTTCCTAGTAGCATTTTCAATGACTCTCAGTCCTTCTCACATTTGGCTTTGACTGAATTCAGAGTTTTCTTGTCAATTAAAAATGATAAATTTAACTTCTTGCAGGAAGACAAATGATCAGCCTGTGTCAAGCATATGAAGACCTACGATTTCAGATGCACTAGAATCATCCTGAAAAATTCATCTGACACACCCAGATGGATGACCAAATGACCGTCATCCAGGGAAAGTCTGGGAGGTCTCATGCAGTATGCAGGTATTCTGAAGAGCCATTAGCTTTTAGAATGTTGCAGCAGCGTTTCTCTAGTTTTTCCTTTCTTCCTGGATCTTCATGAGAATGGCCAACGACATTCACCTCTGCCTACCCTCTGCCAGGAAAATCCAAGACCAACTTCAAGACAGATGTTTGCCCTTTTAGCTTTTATTTTTAGAGGCTCATTGTCTGGGAGTGACATCTATTTACTGGTTATTCATTTTGCTTTCTGCTTCAGGGATGTTGATAAAGAGTGTGGATCTAAATAATTACTTCCCCTCAGCCATCTCACAGAAGGTGTCCTGGTGCATTTTATATCCTGAGGGCAAACGAAAGCTCTGTGTTCTGCTTGGCAATTATTTTCTATGTCGATGCTCCTTTTTCAGCATATGAATGTGTCGAGAGGGTGACTGTTTATTATCTAGAGGTAGTGGTGGGGGCAGATATGAGGGCAGATGTGGAGGGAGGTGGGAAATTTCTAACTCTCCACTTCCATCTGTAATTTCTTTTAAACAGATACTCTGATTTTATATAAAGCAAAGCTCTTTGCATAACCAAATTGACTGCTTTTCTCAGATATTTTCCTGAATAGAATTTTTACTAAGATGGGCTTAACTAATGATGGAAGGAATGTAATCCGTCTGGGAAAAACTTAATCTTCATGGAAAATAAAATCAGATGCATAGGGGCTTTGTAAATTTCATTTACTTCTGCTTCACTTCCTTTCCATTCAAAAAGTAGTTGATTGCATGTGCATGAGAGAGAAGCCAACCAGACACTTTTTTTGTTTGTTTTTTCACCGAATGCATCATACACTGTTGGTGTCCACAAGTGACGGGATAGGGAGCTCATGGAAAAAATGAGGCTGCCCCTTTCGGGAACTTTTCTGTTGACAAAGATAGTTTTGTGAATAATAATGTTGATAAGGAAAGTAACAATCAATATTTTTGAGTTCTTATTATGCACAAAGTTGTTGGGGGAAGCTCTTTATTTGCATTTGCTCATTTAGTTGGCCCAACAATCACACAAAGTAGCTACTATTATTATCTCATGCCTACCACAAAACTCCAAATTTCAACTTTCAACAATGATTCTTCCCTAGGAGTTGCCCATCTCAGTAAACGGTAAAACCAGTTACTAATTTGCTCTGACCTCAAACTTAGAAATGAGTCATCTTTAGTTTATCTCTTTCCCGTTGCCTGCCTGCCCCTCCCTCAATTTGACAACAAATTATCCCAAATTATTGGCAGCAAGTTCCTTAAGTTGGCTTCTTTGATGTGATTCTTGCTTACCTCTCAGACCTCACCTTCCCATCACTCTTTTCACTTCCCCAGCTACACTGGCTATTCTGTTCCTTAAATCTGTCATGCTTGTTAGAAATCCATATTTAATATATCTCAAGTTCTTCCTTTTTGTTCAAATAACTTTAGCTTAAGCACCATCATCTCCAGCTTGGAATATGGAAATAATCTCCTGATTTGTCTCATGCTTTTTTTCTGGTTCCTTTATAAAGATCCAGCATAAGAATGTGCCTTGAATCATGAATCTAATCACATCACCTCACTACCTTAAGCCTACAATGGCTTTGCTTTGCTCTTGGAAGAAACACATACCTCCTAACTTAGCCTTTGTGATCTGATGGCTGCCTGCCCATCAGATCTGCCCCCATCACTGTCCCCCTCACTCACTATGTCCCAGCTTTACCAACCCCTTTTCTCTCTATCTTGAACATATCCCTGTTTTTTCTGCCTCAGAGCTTTGTACTTATTGCTTCTTATCCTGGAAAAATCTTCACCAGTGTTCACTTGATTGGTTATGTATCGTGGTCATAATTTTACACTTTAAAGTGAAAAATAAATAGTAATCAACAAGGAATAACATGCTATCACATTCATTCCACCACTGGGGAAGACTGAGACTTGGGTGTGGGAGGAGTTTGAATGACAGACAAAATAGCAGATTTTGAAGGGAGTGACTATAGATTTTGTATATTGGAGTTGGGCTGAGCCCAACCTCTTTGGGAGACAGAATGTGCATCTTCCTCTGATTTTACCATAAGCATTATAAACAAATTAAGTATGTATGTATTCATATTGCCTCACCTACTCTGTCTGATGCCAACATTGCATGGAAGAAAACTTTGGAGGGCGCAGAATTGGCAAGTCAATAGAATAGATGAATCATCTCTACTGATAAGGAAGCTGAGGCATAGAGAGGTCTTTTAAAGCTTGCTTACAGTGAAAGTTAATGTGCAGAGGCAGAACTTAAACCTAGAACTGATTTCAAAGGACCTGCTGCTCCTCTAATTATGTGCTGGCCATGTCATTCTCACACTATCTCTATTCTATAGCATTTGATTTGAATCACATAATTGAGCACATGATTCAATATACTCTTTCCTAATGTTTCATGTATGCTTTATGATATTTCATATATGTTGTCATAATACTTTGTCTCATCTACACCTTTATAAGCTCCTGAGTCCAAAGAACAGTCTTTCATAGTTTTTGGCACACAGAAAGCCCTCTACAAACCTTTGCTGCTTAGGGAATTATATTTCTGTTGTATCTTTAGACAATCAGCCAAGTTGTTATTAAATCCTCACTGTAGATATACTGCTATTTCATATGCAAAGTGATACTATTGAAAATAGAGTTCTTAGGATACAAAGTGCAATCGAAACAGAATGAATATTGAGTTTCTCTGAATGAATTTGCATACCGTGATGGTTAATATTGAGTGTCAACTTGATTGGATTGAAGGATGCAAGGTGTTGTTCCTAGGTATGTCTGTGAGGGTGTTGCCAAAGGAGATTAACACTTGAGTCAGTGGACTGGGAGAGGCAGACTCATCCTCAATCTGGGTGGGCACCATCTAATCAGCTGCCAGTGTGGCTAGGATAAAGCAAGCAGGGGAAGATGGAAGAGCAGACTTGCTGAGTCTTCCAGGCTTCACCTTTCTCCCACGCTAGATGGTTCCTGCCCTCGAACATCAGACTCCATGTTCTTCATCTTTTGTACTCTTGGACTTACACCAGTGGTTTGCCAGGGGCTTTCAGGTCTTTGGCCACAGACTGAAGGCTGCACTGTTGGCTTCCCTACTTTTGAGGTTTTGGGACTCAGACTGATTCACCTTTGGCTTCCTTGCTCCTCAACTTGCAGACAGCCTACTGTGGGACTTTACCTTGTGATCGTGTGAGTGACTTCTCCTGAATAAATTCCCTTTTGTATATACATATATCCTGTTAGTTCTGTCCCTCTAGAGAACCCTGAATAATACACATACATACACACATACATTCATCCACTCTACCCTCAGATCCTTCATAAGGGGGTTTCTTAATGGAATCAGAATAAATCATCATTCATGTTATTACCTTTTTCAACTAGATGGGAAGCAGTTTAAAACACACTATAATATCAGAATTACAGTAGGAAATAGATCAATTGGACTCCATTATCCAAACTCAACAAGTCTTTCTAGACTCATCTTCCTGGGTTGTCTCAGATAACTGCTCGTCTCAAATAATCTGTGATGAGAAATTTTGCTAGTTGTACTCAGTGAAGCTGTCTTGCACCCACTGTCAATGGGTGACTCGGTGATGAATTACACAGTCAATGCTTTATTTTAACCAAGTGGTCATTTACTCATTTACCAATATATTCATTAAATATTTATGAAATTCATATAGGCCTGTTTTGGCCATGAGAAAATTTGAAGTAGACATACTAGAAAATTCCTAGGCCCTAAAGCATAAGTATAAATAAGGGAAGTTTGACCCAGGGCTGATGTGGTAAGTCATTTGAGGTTAGGGAACTTGGTCCTTAAGCTGGATGGGGCTCACCCATTTGAGTTGCAAAATTGATTTCTTATATAGTGTATATGATTTTTCTGGATGCTGACGTGGCTGTGGCTATAAAAGGCAGCAAAGCTACAGTTCTCAGGTTTTCTGATATGGTATATGTCTCACTTTGGTTGCTTGTCAATACCAGCAACTTTGGGCATACTATTGTAAGCTTCAAAGAGAATCAGTGGGAGCTGCATTTGTTCCCAGCACCCTTGCCTGATTTATATCTTATGCAATGCTCATTAGCTGCTTTGGGAGTAAAACAAAGAAAAAGTAACCTTGAACTGAATCCACATTGCTATTCTCTCCCATTCTCTATCTGAAACAGTCCTCTTGGTTCGACTCTTCTATGTGCTGGGAATGCAAAGATCACCTAGCTGGAGTCCCTTCCCCTAAGAAATCTTGAGATATCAATAAATGGAGCACACACACACACATACATACATACACACACACACACACACTCATCCACACATACATCAAAATACGTGTAACATGTCATGAGAGTGCTAAGGAGAGAGTAACTCATTCTCTTAGGGGTGGGTGGGGGGAAGAATAGAAAAGAAGAAAGGACATTTGAGAATTCTCCTTGATCTGGGTCTTAAAGATTGATAAGAAAGTCTTCAGAATGTCTAGGAATGAATGACACCTCAGGCAGAGGAAACAGGGTGTGAAAGACAGAGCCTCATAGGGTATAACATGTTCAGCCTGTGGTTGTTAAGATGTTAGTTGATACCTGGGATAAATGAAGTCCCCCAGGAAGATAGAAGGCAGTTAGAACTCACAAAGAAGAATTATTGGAAACAATAACATTCAGGAGATGAGAACCCTGATACACACTGAAAAGGAGCATTCCACAGGAATGGGGAGGACCAGTAAAGGGCAATATTGAAGAAGTCCAGGAAGGAGATGCTAAGTGGAAGGTACCCATTGAGTTGACACTGAGATGATCACTAGTTTCCTTGGCAGAATGGCAAGGTCATAATTCACAAAGTTGTGAGGGCTGGGAGAAGAGAAAATGCAGACAACAATGTAGGCTACTTGCTATAGGTTGTATATTTGACTCTCCTAACCTCATGTTGACATTAGATCCCCAGTGCTGGAGGTGGGGCTTAATGGGAGGTGTTTGGGTCATGGGAGTAGAAGCCTTATGAATTGTGTGGTGTCATCCTCATGGTAATGAGTCAGTTCTTGCTCTATTTGTTCCTGCCAGTGCCTGTTGTGAAAAAGAGCCTGGCACCTCCCCAGCCCCTTGCTTCCTTTCTCACCATGTGATCTCAGTACATGCTGGCTTTGCTTCACCTTCCACCATGAGTGTGGGCAGCCTGAGCTCCTCATTAGAAGCAGATGCTGGTGCCATTTTTCTTGTACAACCTGCAGAACAGAACTGTGAGCCAAATAAACCTGTTTTCTTTATCAATTACCCAGGCTCAGGTATTCCTTCAGAGCAATGTAAATGGACTAAGGTATTATTCTTGTAGAACGCTACTTTTGCAGAAGAAGCCCCCCAAAAAGAGAAGGATGGGACGATACCTGGAAAGGATGCATACAACACATGTCTTTTACATTTAAAGAATTCCTGTGAGGAAGAAGTCAGAAAGGAGGGCAAAATTAAAGATAAATGTAAAAAAGAAGTTGATTACTGGGGGAACACCAGGGCAGCACCAACTTTTGGTGGAGGACTGAGCTGGAGGGGAGGGGAGTGAGGCTCCAAGACAGAATTGAAGGAGGTAAACACAGGTGAAGGTGAAAATGATGGAAGATGCTAAGGGTCCTGGCCTGATGGCAGCTATTTTATATGACAAGGAGGAGGTAGAATAAGGATTATCTTAAGATTTTCAGACATTAGAAACAAATGGGGAGAGACTTCTGAAGGAAGAAGCGCATTGAAATAAGGCTAAGTCTGGCCCTGGAGATGAACAAGATTTTGTACCTTTCAAGTGAGGAAGAAGGAAGACTGAAAGGATCCCCTCTCCTGGCAAATGAACCTCTACTTTACAGGGAAGAAAAGCAGGGTCTGGACTGACTTTGCCAGTTGGACTATTTTCTGACAAACCTGAGTACCTTTGGTGTCTTTATGCACGAAGTTTTACATTTGAATAATTCAAAATACATTATAAAATATTTGGTTTTTTAAATACAGTATCACAGGAGTTGTAGTCAACAATAAAAAAATAGACTTTAAGGTACAGACATGAGTAAAAATTATTTACGAATGTAATTGAAGGGACAAAGGACAACAAAAAGCACACAAAGGCTTATTTTTACCTATCCAGCAAAGCTTTGGTAGATTTGTGCTTTCAATTCTACATATTTTACTTCCCATTGCAACTGATATTCATGAAATGCGGTGATAGCAGGATAACAGCAAATTTAAAAAGATGAAGTATCTTTCCCTTAATTAATGTCTACAAAGAGATTTAATGATGAAAAGTGTCATTAACTGCCAAGTATTATTAATTATTTTTGCAGCAAGAGGCATAGAGTCCTCATTATATTATATACTGTTTTAAATATTATAAAATATTTACAAAATAAGTTTAAAAATTGTAAACAAGCCAAATAAAAAGCCATTTTTGTTTCTATGTGAATAAAGATCAAAACACAAAGGAAAACTCATTTATATCATACACGAGGAGACTTCAATATATACCCCAAAGATACCCGGCACTCTGTTCTTTTTCCGTATTTCTTGTATGTCTGTGATTTGCATAAACTGAAGCAAGTTTCTATTTACACTTTGACACAAATGTTACTCCTGTCTGCTGGCAAACACACACTGGGATCTTACCTGTTTCAACTCTGTCTACTCACCTTCTGTGGGGTTATTCCCTGTGAACTGGGGTTCTGAACCAGCTTCTAAAATTCCCTGGTTTTAGTGGAGAAAAATCTCAGAACCATTTGTAACCTCTGGGTCAGGTCTACTTCGGAGTCAATTTCCGTTGCAGTTCCAGGTCTAGACTTAACAGCTCAACATTTATTTAATTGAACACTTATTCTATGCCATGCATTGTGAAAGCTCCTGCTCTCAAGCTATATACATTGTTGACCAGACAACTTTACTTCCCTAACTACTATTTTATTGTAGGCCACGCTTTATATTTTCTTGTGAGAGAGGGTCAAAGTAGGATACCAGCTGGCAGGAGAAAATATAGAACTTTTCATTTTTTTCTCTCTTTTTTTTAACATTTATTTTTCTATTTTAATAGGGTTTTGGGAAACAGGTGGTGTTTGGTCACATGAGTAAGTTCTTTAGTGGTGGTTTCTGAGATTTTGGTGTACCCATCACCCAAGCAGTGTACACTCTACCCAATGTGTAGCCTTTTATCTCACCCTTCTCCCTGAGTCCCCAAAATCCATTGTATCATTCTTATGCCTCTGCATCCTCATAGCTCAGCTCCCAATTATGAGTAAGAACATATGATGTTTGGTTTTTCCATTCCTGAGTTACTTCACTTCAAATAATAGTCTCCAATTCCATCAAGGTTGAACTTTTCATTTTTTATATTTCTCTGAATGCCTATCAACTCTAACCATTTATAGAATTAACTTGGCTACTCAAGGGATCAGATGTGTTCCTGGGGTTCCATCCCCATTGTTCCTGCATTTAGCTTCCTGGCTGGCTGGTTGTTTGCTTGGATTCCACCCAGTGCAGATGGCAGCATCTCTACCTCAGAGGCGGATGACACATGGTTTACTGATCCTCCCTCAAGTTGCAGCTTTGCTTCTGAGAGCTGATTTTCTGGGAGTCCAAATAATTATGCTTCACCTGTGCTATGTACTCCTTAATTACATTATTTTCTTAATTGTGCTTAATGACAAAGTTATCAAAATTCAGCACACTCAAAACCAAAATAAAATCCAGGAGCAAAATGTCTTTTGCTGTATTATCACAGTAAGGAGGGGAAGTAACTAGACCCTTGGTTAAAACCACTCTAAGAGTTGGCTGCATTTGGAACTAAATGGGGAAAGTTTTAGAAATACTATAGATTCTCTTATGTATTAGTGAGTGTGACCAGGGAATAACACCACATGAAGGCAGGGTGACAGGCAAGCGTCAAGTGATGGAGAAAACGTTCACAATAATGGTGCTTAATGAAGCTGAAGGAAATTTCCACTTTTTAAAAATTTTTCCTTCTTCTTACCTTTCTTCTCCACATCTTCCTCTTCCTCATCTCCCTTCCCTTTCTCTTCCTCTTTCTCTTCTTCTTCTTCTTCTGTTCTCCTCTTCCTTCTTCCTTTGCTTCTCTTTCATTTCCTTCTTTGCCCTCCTCTTTCTCCTGCTCTTTCTTTTGCTTGTGCTTTTCCTCTTTCTTTTCTGCTTCCCACTTTCTATTTTTCCATCTTAGTATGCACTCAATCAACATTTCTTGACTCGATGGGCATGAAAGCTTTGATATATGTACCAGGTAAGGTTTAGAGACACATTTAAAGACACTGATGTTTTGATCAAAGATGCTGCCCTCCACTTTTGCTTTGATTGTGTCTACGGAGTTTCAATGGGACTTGCTCACATCTGGACTATCTGGTATTAACATGAAGAGTTTCATTTCAAACATATGAGTAAATTTTCATTCAAAAAGGCACAATATAATATGGTGAGAGTCCTTACTATTTTCCAAGTGAAGCAGTGTTTCTACTCATGATTTGCTGGGAGTTCTTATTGGCCAGGCAATCCTCAGAAACCTGACTCTAATTTTCAGTTCTCTCTACTCTAATTTATTCTTACATATCCCATCATTGGAAAGTGACCAAACCTGCTAGAAAGTTTCTCAGCATAGGAAATGGCAATGTCTGCTTCAAATGATGAATTATCAGAACTGGCTTTACATATAGGCAGCATAGAAGTACGATTTGAATAACGTGATATAAGAGACATTGGGGCCCTATTCGGTCTCTCACTGCTAATTCCCCTTCCAAAATGTCTGAAATACCACTACGAAAAATGCGACTTTGGGGTCCCTCTCTCCAATTAAGTCTAGGTGAAATTGCCTGATCAAGTAACTCTTACAAGGGCAACAGGGGCTCATTACCTTCTTTTCTCTCCAGACACTGGGAAATTCCTACCTTCCTACAGAAGACATGAAATTGAGGGAAAAAGAAACAATGCCAAGTGGCATTAGGCACCACTAAAGGCAGGCTTTGCCAACTTTACAGTTTGGGGCAGATTGGCTGTTAGTTGGAATGCCATCTGGGTATTGAGGACCCTGCCCATTGCAAGGAGCTCCTGTTTAATTACTTGGTAAGAGGAAGCACCGCAATCACTATGTTAGTGCTTCCAGGTCAAGATATTTCTATCCTTAAGACATTAAGGTGCAGTTCTCTGCAAAATATTGCTGTTTTAAGCTGTCTGCGTGTGAGATTATGTATTACAACAGGGAGCCTCTTTTGCTTATTATCTTTTGTAAGACACCAAGCATGAAAGATACTTGCTTCATCAGGGTGAGTGAGCCATTTAGTGCCACTGAATATCTTACCCCTGTGGCTCACCGTAGAAACCCAGCCTGGATATTTTATTGCTTTCTATACAGATATATTGAAATGAGATGCTTATCACCACAGGTTTCTTGCCAATCTACGTATCTGTATTCATTCTCTGAGCTGGACTTGTCTTCCTAAGGGTAATATGAGAAGGATTTTCTTTCCAATATCCCCAGATTTATAGGGTTTCTATTTTACGTGGCCTTGTGGCACATATTTAGCTAGAGGCAGGTAAAATGAAAAAAGAAAAAAAACTCTAGCACCACTAGAGAAGAACAGGATTTAAATATAAGCAGGTGATTTGTAGTGTAGAAAGAAAAGTGGAACTTGTTTGTTGCTGATGGTCTGGGTATTGTAGCACAAATGTCTGTTTCTGTGGATTGAAGCGATTGCTCATTTGTACTGAGAAAAGGTGCTTTAGATTAATTTTAGAAACTTCAATACTGCAATGTGCTAAATTTTAATTATTTCACTTCCTGCTTGGTATATTAATGTTGTGATTACCCTTGAAAGAGTATTACCGATGATGATTTATGCAAAACCCGGTCAGCTCCACAGCTCCATCAGTTTCAATTAAAACAAGCCGCAGAGGAGGTGTGCTGCGGCCCGGTGCCTGTGATCACCATTGCTCTCACAGGCAGGTACAGTCCGTTTACTTAAAGCATTACCTTTGTTTACCGTTCTGGAACTGTCTGTTCCATGGCATAACTCACCACTGACAGAGGAAATTGTAGAGATTTAGTCTGCTGGACTTGGATTCAAACTGAAACCATCCAGGGAAATGTATTTCATCTGTACTTCTCTGCTGATATAGGATATTTGGGGCCAACCCTTCCCTTTTCTGAACTGTTCGAGGGCTGAACTGGCCAAAAGAAACTATTGAGCGAGTTAGCATTTTCTGATTTAAATGAACGGCATTTGGTCAGTCTCCGGGCACTGTGGTCATCTGGAGTTAATCATAAAGTATGCGCGTTCTCTAAAATGAAGCCCTGGCCTTGAAGCCCATTTATCTCAATGACTTCAACTATCGAGAGGTCATAGGGTTTTTCATGGCGCGTCCCCAGTACCCAGTGGTTCTAATTACTAATTTGGCTGCACAGTTATTGAAATCTCCTTTCTACCTGGCAGCCCTTCCTAAATCTAGTCCAACAGTGTCGCTGAGCTTGCCTGCCAGGTCCAGGAGGGGTTCTTCTTTCTGAGTACCAGAGAGACAGGCAGCAAACCTGATTTCAATGGCAGTTCCGTTTTAATCACATTTGGAAATTCTTGACTACAAGCTTCCCATTTACAAAGTCTGAGGAGCCTCCACCTGCCAAGTGAGAGCTCTCTGGACAGCTTGCCAAGATCAGAACCTGATTCCCAGCAAAGATGGGAAAATGCATGTGCTGTCCTCTTTTTTACATGGAGAAAAAAAGGCTGGGACGGAATCGTAGAATCCTGGAGCTGGGAGACTGAGGGCTCCCCAGGACTCACGCATGGTCTGCAGTGGACTCTTCTTTCCAAATTCATCCCCTGCACTCTCCTCTTCCTCAGTCTACACTGAGCAAACATACTTGAAGGTATCAAGAGCCTTCCTACCACATGGCCTTTGCCCTGGCTACTCTCTCCATGTGAAAAGCTTTGCTCCTATATGCTGAACAGTCAGGTTTGTTTGTTTGTTGTAATCCTTTAGGTCTGATGTCATTTGATTGTGTGTCCCCACCCAAATCTCATCTCAAATTGAATCCCCATAGTCTCCACATGTTGAGAGAGGGACAAGATGGGAGGTGATTGCATCAAGGGGGCAGTTTTCACAATGCTGTTGTTGTGACAGTGAGTGAGTTCTTGAGATCTGATGGTTTTAGAAAGCAGTTTTCCCTGCTCTTGCTTGCCTCCTCTCACCTGCTGCCATGTAAGCTGTGCCTACTTCCCCTTCCACCATGCTTGTAAGTTTCCTGAGGCCTCCTCAGACATGCAGAACTTTGAGTCAATTAAACCTCTTTTCTTTATAAACTACCTAGTTTGGGGCAGTTGTTTATAACAGTGTAAGAATGGACTAATGCAGCTAATTGGTGTATAAAGATACTTGAAAATGTGGAAACGACTTTGGAACTCGGTAACAGGCAGAGGCTGGAACAGTTTAGAGGGCTCAGAAGAAGACGGGAGATGTGGGAGAGTTTGGAACTTCCTAGAGACTTGTTGAATGATTTTGACCAAAATGCTGATAATGATGTGTACAACGAAATCCAAGCTGAGGTGGTCTCAGGTGGAGATGAGAAACTTCTTGGGAAGTGGAGCAAAGGTCACTCTTGCTACACTTTAGAAAAGAGACTGGTGGCATTTTGCCCCTGCACTAGAGATCTGTGGAACTTTGAACTTGAGACAGATGGCTTAGGGTATCTGGCAGAATAAATTTCTAAGCACTAAAGCATTCAAGAGTTTATCTGGTTGATTTTGAAAGTGTTCAGTCTTATGCATTCACAAAGAGATGGTTTGAAATTGAAACTCATGTTTAAAAGGGAGGCAGACTGTAAAGGTTTGGGAAATTTGCAGTCTGACTATATAATAGAAAAGCAAATCCCATTTTCTGGGGAGGAATTCAAGCCAGCTGCAGAAATTTGCATCAGTAATGAGGAGCCAAATGTTAAGAGCCAAGGTGATGGGGAAAATGTCTCCTGGGCATGTCAGAGGTCCTCATGGCAGCCCCTCCTGTCACAGGCCTAGATGCCTAGGAAGGACAGAACAAATGGTTTTGTGGGCAAGGCCCAGGGACCACTGCTCTGTAGAGCCTCGGGACATGGTGTCTTGCATCCCGTGGCTAAAAGGGGCCAAGGTGCAGTTCAGGCTGTTACTTCAGAGGGTGCAAGCTCCAAGCCTTGGCAGCTTCCAGGTGGTGTTGAGCCTGTGGGTGCTCAGATGTCAAGAATTGAGGTTTGGGAACTTCTGCCTACATTTCAGGGGATATATAGAAATGCCTGTATGTCTAGGCAGAAGTTTGCTTCAGGGGTGGAGCACTCATGGAGAATCTCTGCTAGGACAATGTGGAAGGAAAATGTGGGGTTGGAGCTCCCACACAGAGTCCCCATTGTGGCACGGCCTAGTGGATCTGTGAGAAGAGGGTCACTGTCCTCAGACCCCAGAATGATAGATCCACCAACATTTTTCACGGTGCACCTGTAAAAGCTGCAGACACTCAACACCAGCCATGAAAGCAGCCTGGGCAGGAGGCTGTACCCTGCAAAACTACAGGGGCAGAGATGCCCAAGGCTGTGGGAGCCAACTCTTTGTGTCAGTGTTCCCTGGATGTGAGATATAGAGTCAAAGGAGATCATTTTGGAGCTTTAAGATTTAATGACTGCCCCGCTTGATTTTGGCCTGGCCTAGGGCCTGTAGCACCTTTGTTTGGCCAATTTCTCCCATTTGGAATGTGAATATTTATCCAATGCCTGTATTTTCATTGTATATTGGAAGTAACTAACTTATTTTTTATTTTACAGGGTCATAGGTGGAAGGGACTTGACTTGTCCCAGATAAGACTTTGGACTTGGAGTTTTGAGTTAATGCTGGAATGAATTAAGACTTTGGGGGACTGTTGAGAAGGCATGAGTGTGTTTTGAAATGTGAGGACATGAGATTTGGGAGGGGCCAGGGGCAAAATGATATGGTTTGGCTCTATGTCCCCACCCAAATCTCATCTCAAATTGTAATCCCCATAATCCTCACATGTCAAGGGAGGGACCAGATGGGAAGTGATTGGCTCATGGGGGTGGTTTCTCTCCATACTGTTCTTGTGATGGTGAGTAAGTTTTCATGAGATCTGATGGTTTTATAAAGCAGTTTTCTCTGCTCTTGCTGGCTCTCTCTTGCTTGCCACCATGTAAGATGTGCCTACTTCCCTTTTCACCATGATTGTAAGTTTCCTGAAGGCTCTCATCCATGTGGAACTGTGAGTCAATTAAACCTCTTTTCTTTATAAATTACTCAGTCTTGGGAATGTCTTCATAGCAGTGTGAAAATGGACTAATACAAGATTTGTGCTCAAATGTTTCTTCCTTAGATGCCTTTGACCACCATACTATTCTCTATTGTTTATTTCCTTGACGCTACATACCTTGTTTTGCAAGTTTACCTCTGTGCTATCTGACCCTCCTGCTACAGTGTGGAGGAATTTTTCAGGAAGGCTCATTTGCCATAATGTGTCCAGCATTGAGCACAGAGCTGGGATGACGGTGTTACCATTTTTGTTCCCTATGTTCAGGAAAGTGGTCCCCTATGTTTCAATCTTGTTATAATTCCCATTCCTACTCATTCAACGGCATTTATTTATTTACTACTATAGGAACCATTCACTAAAAGGCACTTTTCAAAACAGATTCTGATTGATAGTTCTTATGGAGGGCAAGGGCATTTTGGTTTGCTCTGTGGGGACTTGGATTTGAGATCTGCTATGCTCATATCAGGGGTTAGCATTTGTTCTTAAAAAGAAGAGAAGTGTGGTTAGTTAGTGTGATAATAGTTAAAGCGCTCTGTCACCACTTTCCTGGACAAACTGTCATGCTGTATTCTGGTGAGTACCACCCTCTGCCTTGGGACAATGAGACCAGGAAAGCTACTGGCAAGTGGAGTTGACAAGTTAGGTTCATCACACTCACTCACATGACAACCTGTGCTATCCCTAAATTTGTTTCTCGTAATTGTCTCTTTTGTTAAAATTTAGTTGCAGTATGACCAGTTTTTGTCCTTTTTCTTCACCTATCAATACTTGTACAGTTTTCTTCTGTCTTTCCAGCCCAACTCTTGAAACAATGCATGCTTTTTGCGACACTCACACCGGTAATGTTTACTTCTCCTTATCTCTCTTTCCTTGTTCTATTCTTTACAGTAGCAGATAGTCAGGCCACCATTGAAGTTCTTTGCCCTTATCCACAGACAAGGAAGTCACCTTCTAGGTATCTTTAGTGTCCCTTCCTCTGCTTCCCCACTGGCCTGAACAGAAACCCCATTACCGTGTATCTATTTGTAGTGTCACCTGAACAAAGGGACAATGCCGGAGACCTATAGAGGGGCTAAGGATGCCATTTTTGTCATCAGGTAGATGCTGTAGTCCTGGTTCTCCCACCTTCTGGCTTTGTAAGCTGATGCAGGTCATAAATGTTCTGAGTTTTGATTTCCAGTAAGATGGAAATAATTAAAACCTCATGGTTCTTATTGTGAGAATTAAAAGGATAATGTATAATAAACATTTATACATAAACTATTTATAATAAACTATTAGCATAGTTTTGGCATATGCAATGTAGAAAACAAACACATCTATATCTTTAGAGGAGTGTAGGGAAGTTATTCATCCTCAATTAACCAAAGCCTAAATATACACCATTAGCAATTTTCTCCTTTGGAATAGCATTCCTTTTTGTGGTCCTTCATGGAAATAAATATACTATTGGGACATTGTATTCATCAAGGTTCTGACAGGAAACAGATGGCATGCTCCAAACATTTTCACTAGAAAGGTTTTAATAAAATATGCTAACAGTATTGAAGGAGCTCATCAGGAATGGGGAGGCACCCAGGGCACCTGACAGCAAGAACTCACACTTCCCTTTCAATTTCAATAGCAGTGAATAATAGAGGATGCAACTTCAGTTCATTGTTTGAGCCCCTAACCTGTGCCAAGTCAGGCACTAGGCTATTTGATGGTTCTAAAACAGCTTGTAGTTAAGCTGTGGGGAGAGAACACACAAGCAGTAGCCCTTAAACTTCAGCTTGCAGCAGAATCAGGTGCAGGACTTGTTAAAAGGCAGATTGCTGGGCCCCAGCCCCTGGGGTTCTGATTCAGTGGGTCTGGGGTATGACCTGAGTGTTTGCATCTCCATATTGCTGGCTGATTCTGATGCTGCTGGATCAGGAACACAATTTGGGGAACCACTAAATTATGACAGTATAACAAGATACTAAATATGACTGTCCCTATAGTTTCCAGGGAAGAAGCCACAAATTTGGAGAGAAATAGGTGGCAGACAACTTATGCAGAAGAGGCTAAGAGCATGTAAAGCTGGCTTTGTAACTTAGCTCACTATCCCCTTCAGGGTTGTTTTAGTTAGGTTAGGGAATGGATCAGAGAGGCCCACAGTAAGGACTGCTTTAAACAGAATCAGCAGAGTACCTTGGCCAAGAGAAAAAAAATTAGCCAATTTTCAAAAAACCCACCTGACAGCTGTGTCCTGGAGTTTGGAGGAGGTAAGACCTGATGCTCTGACTCAGGTCTGGAAAATCTAAATGTATTAGGCTCTCTAGAGAGTTCTAAGCAAAGGCACAGGCTGTGTTGAGAACAGCCTAGATTTCCAGAGCTTGCTGAGGCAAAGATGGGTGAGATTTCCCCTGGGTCAAATGGACCTGCAGAAGGCCGCTAGCCTGAAGTAGTCTTCAAAAAAGATTCTGTCGGATTGCAACCCAAGATATAATATGGTTATCCATGAATATACGGTGATATAAATAAATAACTGAATAAATCAATAAATGCATACATAAATACATGGCTGGGAATAGACTAATGTCCCATGCCAAAGATCCCAAATAATTTCCATAGATCTGCCTGAGGTAGAGCATACCTCCTTCTCTTCCTTCATCTGGGTTGCGCACAGTAACTTCCTTCCAAAGAGTACAGTCTGGAAAGGAGGAACATAAAGAGTAACTTTTCCAGTGGAGAAATCTGACAAATACAACCTCTGCCAAGTGGTCAAAGTTCACACCCGAGTGTTGAGTCTTGTTAATGGTGTGCACTCTTGGTGTGATAGTATGGGAATGGCACCTCACCGCTGTGGTCTTCCCTCCCAAAACCCATAATCCCACAGCAATCAGGAAAGGTCATCAGAAAAATCCCAGTTGAGGAATATTCTACCTGATCACTACTCCTCAAAACTGTCAAGGTCATTCCAAACAAGGAAAGCAGCCAGGTGCGGTGGCTCACACCTGTAATCACAGGACTTTGGGAGGCCGAGGCAGGCAGATCACATGAGGTCAGGAGTTCGAGACCAGCCTGGCCAACATGGTGAAATAAATAAATATTTATTTATTTATGTATTTATTTATTTTATCTAATAAAATTTAATTATTTTATCTAATAAAAAAAAATATATAAAATTAGCTGGGCATGGTGGCCTGCACCTGTAATCCCAGCTACTCAGAGGGCTGAGACAGGAGAATCGCTTGAACTCAGAGGCAGAGGTTGTGGTAAGCCAAGATTGCAACACTGCACTCCAGCCTAGGTGACAGAGTGAAACTCCATCTCAAAATAAAAATAAAAATAAAAATAAAAATAATAGAAAATAAAAAAAGAAAAGCAAGGAAAGCCTGAGAAACTTTCACAGCCAAGAGGAGGCTGAGGAGACGTAACACCTAAAGATGATGTGGTATCCTGCATGAGATACTGACACAGAAAAAGGACATTTGGTAAAAACTAAAGAAATCTGAATAAAGTATGGACTTTAGCTGATAATAAAGTATCAACATTGGTTAACTAGTTGTTCACAGGTACATGACTAAAGTAAGAGGATGAATGTAGAGGCAACTAGGCATGGGGTACATGGGAACTCTGCAGGCTCCCTGTAAATGTAAAAGTATTCTAAACTTAAAAATTTATTGTATAAATGATTCTGTCCAGTTGATCATCCAGTTGGGGAAGGTGATCATGTCCAGTTGGAGAAAGTGACCATCACCAGAGGGAGATTCTATGAGGTAGATGGCCAGAAGATGGGGGTGGAGGGTAGTCACTCATGGCCAGCTGGAAGAAGATGAGCTTGTTCAGGGAATTTCAGTAAATTGTCCTGGGTGGCAGAGGAGGGGCAGGGTGGCTCTCTGAAGACCCCACCAAATCCCTGCAAGAGAAACGGCCAACATTTGGTCATCTAACAAGCACAGTTGACCTTGGCCACAGGAGACACCACATTGGCCACGTTAAGACTATGACCTTTCTCCTAATTCACTGCCATCACCTTCATACCCTGTGCCCCCCAGCCCAAATATGGAGGGTCCAATATAGCAGTTAGCAAGTAAAGGAGAAGGAGGAGTGAGGAAGAGAGAAACTGAGCGACCTTGTTCCTGCTGCAGAATTCTAAGACCCCATGTTGCCTGAGCTGTGTGGAGAAGGCATAAGCATTAGGTTGAATCACAGAATTAATTGTTGACATTAGATTTGTCTAGACTTTTCATTTATGGAAGGAGAGACAATTTGATAATATCTGAGAAAGACTAGAAAAGCTATAAGATCGCCTCAAGATTACCCAGTGGAATAGAGGAGAAAACTATACAAATGGACAAGTTTAACACGCAGTTGTAAACAAAAAATCAAGTTACTTTCTGCTTGTATCCTGCTGTGTCCAGGTCGTTCAGATAACTTATTATAATTTACAGTGCTGTGTTCTACAGAATATATGGGTAAGAGAAGTAAGAAAAATTATAGAGACATTTAAGCTGGTTTAGAGTTATGAATAGGTTTCCACAAGAAAAGGCCATGAATACAGCTGAAATAAAGGAAAAGAGAAAAAATTCCTGGCCGTGTGGGTGTATGAATGCACATATGTGCACGCACACACATGGACTCTTTCTCACAGACACACACACACACACACACACACACACACACACACACACACACACTATAGCAGAAGCACAGAAGCATGGTCAATATAGGGTCCTGGAGCACTGCAGTGAAGGGGCAGCATTCATCATAGCAGGAGAGCAAAGAATACGTTCCTTTCTAAGGAGTGATTGGCAGTAAAGAGTGTACTGAATTTAGTTCAGGAGAAAGTTGACAAGGACTTGGCATGGAGAAGATGAGATGGATCAAATGGACATTTCTTGAGTAAAATGGATTTGGTCTGGTGATCATGTGATGTGGGGTGTAAAGGAAAAACAAGATTCAAAGCTAACTCTCAGTTTCCAAGACTAGATATGATTGGTTAATGATACCAAAAATCAACACAGAGAAATCAAGAAGGAGAGTAGGTTGGGCATGGGTCAGTGTGTGGTTCAGGCTAGTTAGCTCAGTTTCAAACTTGTATGAGACATGCAGAAAAACCATTATGTCACTTAGAGTATACATTAATTTATTAGCAAACTCCTGTGATTCCTCGCAAGCCTAGCAAAAACGTGCTTCCCTCTCAAACCTGCTCTAATACTTCTTCTTTCTTACTCTCCTCTGGTCCGCCATCTCCCCCCTCCAGCGGGCACAATTGTTTACTCCTTTCTATGTATTATCAATGCTTTTAATAAACCTCTAATTTAGTACTGAAGTCAATGTTTTATCAGCGGTTTCCATGTCACTTTACTTTGCTAAATAAAGAGGTCCTTGCAATAAGGAGCTAATTTTGAGCCTGGCACACATTAGGTGCTCAATAAATGTTTGTTGAATAAACAAATAAGTGAGCTTACCTTACTTGGTGATGAGAAGGCATGCTGAGGCATGAGAACATGAAAAGTGGGAGAGAGAGGGAGAAAGAAGGATGAGAAGAAGACTCACATGGGTCTCATCATACTCAATACTTGGTACCTTCCACAATTGAATACTGGTTAATGCTTGGCAGCTCATGTCAGTGTTTTCAACACTGCTCTAGTGGGTAGAGCATTGATATACCAGAGCACTCAGTGACCTCATCTTGTTTTATGTCACTGCTGCCTCCTGGTTAATCTTGATGAAGATTGATGGGGCTTTGGCCATAGGTCCAATGTGACAGTGCATGGAAGGCTAGACAAATGGTGTATTAGTCCATTTTCACACTGCTGATAAAGACATACTTAGATTGGGCAATTTACCAAAGAAAAAGGTTTAATGGACTTACCTTTCACATGGCTGGGGAAGCCTCACAATCATGGTAGAAGGTGAAAAGCACATCTCACCTGGCGGCAGACAAGAGAAGAGAGCTTGTGCAAGGAAACTCCCTGTTTTAAAACTATCAGATCTTATTCACTATCATGAGAACAGCCTGAGAAAGACCTGCCCCCATGATTCAGTTATCTCCCACTGGGTCCCTCCCACAACACGTGGGAACTAGGGGAGCTACAAGATCAGATTTGAGTGGGGACTCCGAACCAAACCATATCACTTGGTGTCATCTCCGAAGGCCTTCAGGGAGACTTAGAGCATGACAGTGTATCAAAGCTTTGTCTTTCTGAGTCTAAGACTGGTTAGCCTTTCCAATGTGATTCTCTGTATATCAAGCAGAGCCTTGCTGGGTGGCTGGGGACTGATAGAAGCCCAGAATCCTGTGGAGTGCAAACCTGAGAGTATGCAGTCAATCTGAATATATGTAGTGATTGTAATTTAGATCAAACCAATGTTTTCTTTCACTCTAAATTCTGAAAGAAATTGTTGGATAGGATTTTGTAGTTTTAAAGTAGCTAGAAATGAATTATAAATTTAGCACATCTAGGAGCTGTGTTGTAGAAAGTAGACAGATAGTCTCAAGCTTTTAGGTGTTGTAAACTCTTAAGAATGCACATGTTCATTAATAGATTTGCACTTAAGTGGCTGGGGTCTAAAGTAAGACCCCAGCAGAAATGAAGAAAATGACTAAAAGGCACTATATACATTCTAGTAGAGTTTCTTCAAGTTTGCCGCACTTTTTTTACAAAAATTAACAATATCTAGCAATGCAAACGTTATTTTAAAATTCATAGGCAATTGATTTCCCATAGCTCCAGTTCTTAATAGATTTAAAAGATGCAAAGCTTATTCATGATGTGATCAACATGTACTGCTTTAAACAGAGCATTTTGTACTCTATTTAGGATTTGTATTATTAGTTACTCACTTTATCCAAAAAGTATGCATTGCTGGGCAAATGGACCAGAGGGATATATATTTCTTTTCCATCCAACATGAAGTGTAATTTGAACCAATCTATTGTATACTCAAACTATGATAAAACAACCTAAGAACAGTAATTTTGTACATGGCATTTCTTGAAACTGCAGGGAGGGGAGACGGGTGGGGCTGCAGTATGGAGCCAAGACTGGCCTTCAGTCTGATGGACAAGTCTGATGGACACGTATAGGGGCTTGGAGCTCAAGGCTGTCATTGATGCTTTCAAGTAGAACACCCAATTCTGTCCTCAAAAAGCTTGCATGTGAATACACCATGGAGAAACAGGCATGCAAAATAAATAAAATATACAAAGATTCAGGATAATAGCACCTTTAAAAAAATCTTAATCAAAATATTAGGGCCAAAAATCCTACTAACTCCCTGTCTCTTATCATATTTCTTCTCTTTGCTGGTAACAACTTTAGTTTCCTATGGATAATCAGCCCAGTGGGATTTTCCCCATCAGGGTTAGAGACCCACAATCAGGCCTGGCTTGAATAAAAATTATCTGGTAAGTACAAAATCTAATAGGGCTGAAAACATTAGTTTTCCTTTTTCCACCTTTTTCCACCAGCAGCCCAGCTAGAGGACTAACCTTTTTGAGAGCCTGCTATGTACCATGCACTGTGAAACGCACTTTCCCTCTCACTCCTTTCCCTCCAGTTAAAGCCCTGCTTTTAGAGGAGAACACATCAAGTCTGTTTACTGTAAGAGGTAAAGAAATGAGGAAGAGTCACGTGTTGGAGAAACTATTACATTTCCATTTTAATATGACTTAACATTGAGCACTCTGGGGAAAACTATAATCATGTGGGAATGACGAGATTACCAAGTGTATTAAAGGGAGCATGGGTATTAAAGTGTTGAAAAATGCTGTCTTGAGCCCATGGCCTGATGTACAGTGATAGCATCACCAACCCCAGCTCACTGGGGAGAGGCCACACCACTCACAAGTTTGCCTTCACCGGAAGCACATGAGCATTCCTGCACCCGGCCGTAAGTCTTTATCTCATCTCTGTTGTCACTTGGGCTCCTTACATGTACAAGTCTCCTGGCTTTCCTCGAAACAGGAAGACTGTACTGTAAAGCTTTATTCCAGACCCCCATTCCCAGAAATACCTTCATTGGCCACCCAAGAGTAATTCTCTCTTCCAGGGCCTCCAAACTTGCTAGACCAGGATTTTAATAT
This sequence comes from Homo sapiens, assembly GCF_000001405.40. Classification (NCBI taxonomy): domain Eukaryota; kingdom Metazoa; phylum Chordata; class Mammalia; order Primates; family Hominidae; genus Homo; species Homo sapiens. The sequence continues at coordinate 34,324,421 of NC_000013.11, read as the reverse complement.
AATTGCAAGTCTATCTACAGAATATACACAGAAATAAAAATATTATTCCCTGTGGTATCCACTGCTCTTCTTATCCTCAGATTTAACAGTTAGGCTAGCTAGTAACCCTCTGTAATATTTAATAGAGTCTCACTCCAATGAAGCCCAATTTTCCCCTGAAATAAAATTGCATTTTAAGCACTAGAATTTTATGCCAAATTTGGCCCTTTAAGAATAACAGAAGGTATAAATTTTTGCCACTGAGTTATCGGCTTTGGAAAAGCGAAGGTTAGTAATGAAAAATTTCAAACAAACTGAATACCTAATGCCAATAATGAATGTCATCTCAATAATGCATCTTACACATGACAGGATTAGCATGCGGGTCACATTAAAGCTCAGCTGTGAAGGGGGCAGAAGCTTGCTTGCTCAGCCCCTTCGGTTTTCACACTCTATTATCTTGCTTAGTTAGTAAATGCAACGTTGTGCAATTTATTTTTTATTGCCTCATTTGTAAGTTTCTTTCTGTCTTCAAACCAAGATATCTTCAGGGGCTTAGACTGCCTATTATATTCAGATGTCCATTTTCATAATAGGGTACGAACTCCTGTTAAAGAAGATGAGCAGCAAACACTGCAATTTATTGGAGCCAAGAAAGAAGATGCCACATGTTCCAAAATTGCCAAGACAAGGATGGATGGAGGGTTGGAGAACAGCAAAAGCTGTTTAGCAGTGAATATTGCCTTCAACGAGACGACCTCTATCAGATTATTAAAAAAAAATGCATTCCTATCAACATTTTTCTCTCTCATGAAAGATTAGTGTCTTTTTATAACTGATTTGCTCAGATAATATTTTTCTACTCAGATATTATACGTGTGTATACACATATTCATTTAGCACGAATCCTATTCTTCGCCCTCTTTTCCATCTTCTTAACCCTCTTCCATTCTACTGCCATTAATGTGAAAGAACTTGCTCTTGTAAATCAGCAATGAATCACACCACTCACACAAGGACAAACATGAAGGAACACCTTCTACAGATTTGAAAATCCACAAACCCAATATCATGCTATAGGAAAATAAATAGTGGTAATTAGCAAATCCAGATAAGCTTAAGATCTAACCTATACAGGCAATATTATGCAAACACTGGGTACTTGATTAGCTGACAGCTAATCTTTAAAGTGATAAGACAGCTGTAAGAGATGGCCTTATCGCTTTAAAAATTAAATCAGAAAGCAAATTCGGATTTTTTTCCTAAAGCTCAACCTATGGTATGCTCAACGTTAGGAAGAGACATCAGGTGAAAATGATTTTTCTAAGACCTAGAAGCTGGATTGATGCTTTCAGGAATGAACCAAATGTGAAGGATAAATGTGTCAAACTCTCCCTGGGTCCTAGGCATTAGCCCATGAACCCTCTCCATGGGCATGCATCTGATAGAGACGGAATAACTCAGTGTTCACCTATAGGTCCTGTCTGCCTATGAAAATGAGGGCCTTGGAAGGCAGTGCAAGATTTTCCAAGGTCATATTCAGTGCTGGTGCCAGTGTCTCAGGAGACAGCCAATGTGTATTGGTCATGAACATGGGCTCAGGAGGAACCCACGCCTCCTTGTTTACTAGCTCTGCGACTCTGGGAGAGTTACTTAACATTCCTGTACCTGTTTTCCTCAACTGAGAAATGGGGATCATAATAGCATAGAGTTTTTGCGAGGATGGTATGAGTTCACTCATGCAGTGCACAGAGCAGTGCCTGCCAAGTCAGAAGCACTTGATAAAACAAGCTATGATTATTTTTATTATTTGCTTAATGATGAAAGAAGGCTAAAAATTGCCAGTTCTGAATGGAAAACCTTGCATCATCTGCTATTTCTGGAAACACGAAGGTTGCTGCTTGGTCCCCTGGTCACAATGACTTTAGAATCTAGAGCAGGGAAGTTTAAGGATGATGTAGTTCACGAGGCAGAGATGGGGCACCATTCTTTTTGTACTATCCTATTCTCTGTATGCTTTGATGGCCTTTATTTTTATTTGATTTGAATTCCTCACAACATCTTTCTCATTGATATGGAATTGAGTTTTGACATGGTTATTGTTAGGCCTGCTGTCCCCCGAGGTGGCTGTGTATTAACTGCCATGGCGCATCCTTTTGCAGCCCCTCTGTGGCTTTCCTTCCAGCCTAATGCACTGGGCTCATTTCGTCATCCTTCATTTCTTTCTAGCATGCAGGCATTCTTCCCTGCTGCTCACAAATGATATTCCGCTCTGACAGCCAGCTGCACCACTTCCTCCAAATCCTTCATGTAAAAACTCGTCTCATCCAAGAAACCTTTACAGAATGAAAATGGTACCTTTCAAGGAAGCCAGTGATGAACTGGAAAACTACTGTCTGACCAGCCCTCGCACTGACTGTCTTCACCATCATACCTCTCTACTACTCAGTGGCACCTCTTCCTAGGTTATACATTGCCCACTTCTCTTTATCTTTTTCCACTTCCCTTACTAACTTTTCAATGACTCTCTAATTGTTGCTCTATCTGAAATTGTATAGATCTTGATTTTCAACTGAATTATATTTACTCACATTTTCCATACAGTGAAGTAAACGTTGATTTTATTGGCTCATTCATGTAAGTAAACGAAAGACAGCCAGATGACTATATTGTTTTAATCAACATTTTTTATCATGTTCATAGTTTCTCTATGGGTCTCCCTCTTATTTCTTTCAATCAACTATATGCTGAGTGCCTGTTCTTTTAGGCACCGTTGCTTTTACATTTATCTTGATTAGCTCAACCAAAAAGGAAAAGCAAGGATCAATTAAGTATTGACACATTTGGGCAAGGGAGATGGCAAATTATATAGCTGATTTTTCTGTTCCTTATAAAATAGAGTGTAACGTTGTTCTAAAATTGTGTGGATTATGTTTTATGGGTTTACATGGAAACATAAACCCTAAATCATGTAAATTTCCATAAGAATGAACTGTGTCTTAGGACATGCTTTCTATGCCTAACAGACTGTGGCTCCCCTGTTCCATCAGTGCAGTCTCCACAGGCAGCAGTTTCTTCAGGATCACCATATCCAAGAGCACTTAGCAGTGGAAATGTGACCTTTATCATGATTCTTCTCCATCTGAAGAAAACAGTTATAAAGCCTGCTGACCAATGTTCTCTTAGAAACTAAATGACAGAGAAATTACAAAGGCCAAAAGAAAATGGTATACACTATCATAAGCTGAATAAAAATTTCAGTGGAACTTTTTTTCTTGGCGAAGTTTGCTTTTCAGTGTCTTACCAGTTTTCTGTGCAGCATATTTGCTGGCTTGGGCTTTTGGGGATTATTACATTATTGCATGATGTAGTATAAGGTGTTTTGGGGGCTCCTGTGCTGTATTTTCACTTTAAATCATCACTCATAGCTTGGTGTTTCATTGTTTACAATGGTGAAGTCAGTAATGACTTTTTGATCATAACAAACATGAAAAGAAATATACTAAGCATTTACATACTGTGCCAGTGCTCTGCACTGGGTTAGGATGGAAGTCCACAGCACTGTTTTTAAAAGCACCTTTCTCACCAGTTCTGCTCTTGCAGAATCCTTAAAGAGCACATTCCTACTGAGTAGGGGAAGGAAAAGGAGGTACCGTTTGTGGGGAAAGGTGAGGGGTCTCTCTGTAGGGTGTGTATCCTTGACAAACCCAGAATGAAGAAACTAGAGGGAAGTCATATTTTCCATCCCCAGTGAGCTTTCAGGCACTTGCAGTCCTCTGGGCCACTGCAGTAGTTTCTCTCCTTCTGATTCAACATTGTTATGTTTTTCACTCAAACATACTTGCATCTTGATGATTCTACTCTCTAAAAAAGAAGAAATGAAGAATTTTGAGACATAAACATTTCAGGGAGGGACAGGTATCAGGCAGACGGTTTAGGAGTGCATAAGTCTTAGAATGTGTAAAATTAGGGCACCAGGTTACAGAGGCAGGGCAGTCAGAGCATATTTCTTTTTTGAATGCAATATACATTAATATTGCATGGACTATTTTCTCCTCTGTCTGTTTTACTGATTTTCGGAAGTAGATTTGCAGTGACCTAGTACCCCAGTTACCTTGTTCTTCTGAAGACATTCTCCAGAGACTGAGGCTGTCTTTTTTCAGTGCTTAACTCAGTTAGCTATGTAGCTTGTGTTGAACTCTTGGAAGTTAGAACATGCCTTACAAAAATGATCCCAGGGCTGTCAGATTCAGTGATTTAAAACACTGTGATAATGCCTCCCTTAAGCTGTTATGCCTATATTGATAAATAATAAAGGAGAAACTAGTATGTTCTAAAACTAATTATATATTCTAATTTTAGCATATATTTGGGGAGTGGAGGGGGGAGAGGGAGAGAGAGAGAGAGAGAGAGAGAGAGAATGGGAGAGAATAAGAGAAAAAGGGAGATAAAGACAGATACTTTTCTTTTTACCATTATTTTGTTCTCTCCCCAATCAATGGCCACTGTGGAAATTCTAAGCCTAGCCTAGAAGTTTCTGGAATTTTTGTTTAAATCACTTCCTTTAAAAGGGAGAGGGGATGGAGAATATATAGGAAGACTTTTCATGTAGTATATATGCATTCTGTCTAACAAAGTGCTCTGTGGGGTGTTTCTGATACTAAGAACATTTAATATTTTCTAGAAAAATATATTTTAAGAGATAAAGGGTTTAATAGGTCTTTTGCTTCTGGTAATCAGGTCATCAGATAAAAAAAGTAATCTAGAGGAGCTTTGTCATGGGCTCCTCCTCTTGGTGATTAACTGATACCTCTGTTATTTTTGTAAAGGAGTGATATTGAATGCACCTGGAAAAAATTATAATAAGGTATGAAATTCAGTCACTAAATATGTCAGGTGTTTGTATGGCTGCTTCAAATGGTGTACTTTTCATTTTATATAGAAATATATTGATATTTACAGAACTTATCTATTGCAAAGTGCCTCCCTCTTAATAATATTTAGTGACTAAATTTTATTTTAACTTAACTGGTTTTTAGATTATGTAAAACATCTCAAAGAAAAAAACTGACACATCAAATATAAATAGCCAACTATAGAACAGTTCTAAAATAATGTTTTACATATTTTTATAATTATATATGAAATCTTTCTCATTTCTCTGAAATTTTCAGTGACATTCTGCCCTCCTAAGCTCTCTTTTGTATTATGGAAGCTGAAAGTCTGCAGACTCCATTTTTCAGATGGCTTTGGAATACTGTGTGCAAAGGCTCAGGTGCATGTTCTTTGTGTAATTGCAGTGGTTTGATGCAGTTAGAACACAAAGGACTGACTTGGGGCTTCAAAAGGAGAAATCATAACAGCAGCACCAGGCACTGTTTTAAGAATTTCACATTTATTAGTTCATTTATTCTTCACAAGTCTTCTTCAACAGACTAGGAAACTATGGCACAAAGATGTTAATGTACTTAAGGTGCCATGTAGAAGACAACAGATGGTTTTGTTTTATGGTGTCAGAATCAAGAAATGCCTTTAAGATGCCATGAAGTTTCTGCATTGAAGAAACCTATAAAACTGTTTTGAAGTGCATAAATGAAGACCCAAATAAATATTGAGAATAACAGGCTTCTCTATGGAAAAATATCAGGTTGTAAATGTTAATATTCCCCAAACTAATCTATACATTCAATTAAATCCCAATCAAAATCTTTTCTGAATTTTAAATGATGCTTTACAAAGAGATTATTATATTGAATTGGACTCATCTGGAAGATAAATTTCATCTGAAAGATAAAATTCTCAAGGATTGCCATAAAACTTTTGAAAAAGAGATTTGGATGGTGACTTTTACTAGAAATACTGAAAAAATACCACAGTAATTAAACCAAAGGGGTAAGAATGCAGGAAGGACGAATGAAACAACTGCAGAAGTCCAAAAATAAGCCCATACACATGACCAATATAACATTTCAGAGAAGAAAAGGTGGATTTTTGAAAAATAATGTTGAAACATCATATTATCCATTTTGAGAAAAATAAGTCACACACTTATGAATACAGAAAAGGCCACGTGGAATAAAATGTTAGTATTTATTATGACAAGATTATAAGAAAATAGTGAAGTTTTCTGTTCATTTTGTTTTGTAATTTCAAGGTAGAAGTGGAGCCTTCTTAAGAATGTACAAATTCAAGAATCCATACAGGAAAAATTAGCCAATCTGAGTTAACGGCACGAAGAGAAAAAAAAACTTACATGTGATTAAAGATGCCATAATTAACATAAACCATGCAGCTGGAGACTAAAAAAATGGCTGAATAAGAACACACCAGACCAACTTTAATGTGATCACCCATCTCTAGCTGCCGCTCAGGGTGCTTTGAAAAGTTTTGTACTGAAGTTACATTGCCCAAGTCAAACAGCCCATTCATTCCCGTTTCTTTACAAACCTCTAACACCCACTCCTTCCTTCTCATTCTCAGCTGATGATCTTCTTATTTCACTGAGAAAATAGAATTAATAAATTAGAACAATTCCTTGTTCTCTGACCAACACATCGACCAGTCCACCTGCTGTGCATTGGATATTTTACTTGTTGCTTCTTCTTATAAATGGATAAAAAATCTGTGCTCTTAGCTAAACTCAGAGTCTTTGCTTGTGCACTGACTCACATAGCTTCCAATCTGCTCGAGAACTTGTTTCTGCAATTGTCTGCTCTCTCTTTGACACCGTTAATCTATTGGCTCATTGTTATTACTATACAAACATCTTAGAAGAACATCTCCCATATTACAAAAATAAAGTAAACCTTCTTATTGCTTTAGAACAATTAAATTGCCCCGAAGAGTTTGGCTGTTCTCTAAGGCAAAATTTCTCTGAAATGGACTTGGTGTGCCCATCTCCTCTGCCATTCTCTCTAGAGACCAATTCACTTAGAATTTTGTCTGCCTTCAGAATTGTTGTACCCGGGAGGCAGAGGTTGCAGTGAGCCGAGATCGCGCCATTGCACTCCAGCCTGGGTTACGGAGTGAGACTCCATCTCAAAAAAAAAAAAAAAAGAATTTTGTGTCTCCCTCCACTAAAATCTTTTTTCTCAGAGTAACCAATGACCTTCGCATTTCCAAATAGAATAGTCTCTTCTAAATCCTCAATTTAAATCTATTTCTTGGTCACTTAATATTTGAGCTTGGAATCCGGTATAAACAATATCTCCTGCCATATTCCACTGGTCAAAGCTATCACAGATCTCAGTCCTAGTTGAAGTCAGAGAAGAAAGGACTACTTGGGGACCATAGGGCTTCAAAAGGATAAATACTAATAGCTACATAATTAACTTTAATTTACTGTGTACCGGGCCCTGTTCTAAATGCTTTCCTTGGCTTTTGGGACCCCACACTTTCCTGTGTTTTCTCCCATCTCACTGCTCATTTCTTCTAAGGCCTCCATGATGGGTCTCCTCCTATTCTTCCCTCATGGACATTGAAGTGCTGTGGTACAGCTTCACCTCCAGGCCTACACTGATTTCTAGAGTTCCATGGCTTTAAATATTGTCTATGCACTGGTGACCCACAGGTTCCTGCCACCTCCTCCACCGCCTCCCCCTTGAACTCCAGACTTCTTCGCATTTCTGCCTAGAAGACAGTGAGAGAGCAAATAGGCTTCTCAAGCTCAACATGTGTGAGGCTCTTCCTTGCTTTTGCTTCAAGTCATCATCTCAGCAAAAGTCACCACCACTCACCTAGTGTTCAGGCCAAACATCTTAGAATGATCTTTTCTCTCTTTCTCCTCATAGTGCATCAACTGTACTTGTCAGCTTTACACTCACAATATATTTGTAATCTGGTGACTTTTTACCACCTTTATTGCCAAAACTCCAGTCTAGTCATCTCTTGCCTGTACTACTGAAATAACCTCCTGTGTAAGGCGATGACTTTCCCTGTGATCTTTCAGCTCCCATTCTTCCCGACACCCCTTGCCACACGTGCACACACCCAGCCTATCTTGCCCAGTGGCCAGCCTGGTCCTTCTCAGATGGAAATCGGATTGCATTACTTCCCTATTCAAAATGCTGAATAGCTTTCATCCTCCAGTGAAGTAAATCTACAGTCCACAATTTACAGGACTGTGGTCCTCTAGCCAAACCAGCCTCCTTGCAAGTTTCTGGAACACAACAGTTATTCCTTCATCTCAGGGCCTTTGCATACACTACATCCTCAGAGTGAAATGTTTTGCCTCCAGATGTCAGCTCATTTTGGCACTCAAATGGCCTCCCTAACTGGCCTATCTAAATAGCACACTTCATCATTGTATGTCACTTACCCAACTCTATTACTCTTTGTAACACTTATAAAACATTACATCTGTCTTTCATTGTTTACTGTATATCTTCCACAATAAACTAAGTCCAAGAGAGTGGGACTCTGTCTTACTCACATCTGTATTCCCGGTATTTAGTAACAATGCCTGGCACAAAGTTTCCAATAAATACCTTTTAAATAAATTAATTAATGAATAAAGGACAAACCACAGACTAGAAAAAAAGTATTTGTGGCATATAGAACAGGCAACAAATTAATATTCAGAATGCAAAGAGCTGCCACAAAACAATAAACACAAAGAGACAATCTAATAAAATTTTTTCTAAAAAGGATTATCAATAGTGAATTCACTGAAGAAGAAACCCAAGTAGTAATAAACACATGAAAATATGCTACAAACTTCACAAATAATCAGAGAAATGTCAATTAAAACAATAAGCTACCACTTTTTTTACTCATAGTGGCAAAATCTAAATGACAACATCCATTGGTGGCCAGTATTTGGATAAATGAACACTATTGTGAAATATTGGTGACAATATAAATAAGCAAAGATTTTAGTTTTGAGGGAGAGCAATTTGGTGTCATGTATTATAATTTTAATAACTTATGCCTCAGTAATTTGACTTCTATGAATCTGAAATTTACAGAGAATATGTGCAAGGCTGTTAACTGCAGCACTGTTTTATTTAATAAAAAACTAGAAATAATCTAAATATTCATTAATAGGAGCAGTGATTAACTTTGAGATGGAGAAAGGGATGAAAATAGGGAATAAAAGAGAATCTTAAAATTTTACTTTATATAATTTTTTTTTTCGCGTTGACAGAGTATGTAAATATTTGTTAATGTCCCACAGCAATTGGAAAATGTTTCAGGGGTGAGAAATATGTAGAGCTCTAGGAGGCCCACTAAATAGCCCTGGAGAGGAGGGAGTTATATGGTTGTCTATCGTTCGATAACAAATTCAAAAACTTAGTATCTTAAAATCTTTTGTTGTATTTCATGATTTCTGGGTCAGAGATGTGAGCAGGGCTCAGTGCGTGATTCTTCTGCTCCACATGGCTCTGCAGGGTCTCCCAGTGGTCTTCAGCTGGTAAGTGGGTTTGTCTGGAAGGCTTGAGATGGTTTATTCACAGATCTGTCACTTTAGGGGCGTGGTTGGAACACTGGGTTAAGCAGAGACTGGCAGCCGGGGAAGCTCTACATGGCCTCTCCAGCATGGTGGTCATGAGGTAGCTGGACTCCTGATGCGGTGGCAGAACTCACAGTCAGGAGGTGAGAGCGAGGAAATGGAAGCCACTAGTGACTTAAGGTTTAGGCTCAGAATTTGGCACAGTGTTAACATTTGCCATGTTTTATTCATCAAAACAGTCATAAAATCCACACATATGCAAGAAGAAGAGTCATGGGCCCTACCTCTCAATGAGAAGAGGGTCAAAAATTTCAGAGCCAATGAAAAGAGTGTCAGGAAGTTAACGCCATCTTTAAATGAACTGCATTGATCAGTCCACGATTCTGCATCTTGCCTAGCTTCCATTTATAGATTACTAGTACTGACCCTAACCATGCCCATTCTTATGTTGGGTAAAACAATGTGTTCTGCTTCATGTAACTGGATAGAGAAGTCTAATAGCGAAGCTGAAGCCTAGCCTGAGGCTGAGTGTAGAGATTAGACTGGAGTTACACATTTGAGAGGCAAAGTGTATGGTGGTAATGAAAATTTCAGGAGTGAAAGATGTCACCCAAAGCACACAGAGATGGTTAAAGATGGATTAAGGCGCATAATAAATTAGCGCATAATAATCACTGCAGTGATTATTTTCTCAATAGCTGGGCTTAGGAAAAGAAAAATTTGACTATTGGTTTGAGCTAGGGAGAAAATCAAGGAGGATTTGAAGGAATGCCAAGAGTGTAGTATTCTCCAGCGGTTTCATACATTGATGTTTATTTTCAACATGTTGTGAACTTCTCAAAGACACATAGAAAACTACAAGTTCCTATGAAGAGGGGGATACAGCAAACCACCATATTGTCCAGTCAAACTAGGGAAGAAGTTGCAACAAAGAGGGAATTGGTGGTCTGAAAGAGACTGAATTTCTCTTCAAAACCCTCTGCTTTGAAGAAATTATAATGAAATTCATGCGAGTTATAGTAGTCAAACAACAAAGAACTCTTTTAATTTAATAGTGAAAGACAATCCCATCCCCAGTTCCACTTCCTTTATCTCTTTTCTTTCTTTTAATTGGCTTTATTTTAAAATTTATTTTATTTTTGAAAATATTTATGAATTATTTTAAGCATTCAGAAAATTAGAGTAATATAAGAAAAACCCATATTGTCATTAAGCTGCATTAACGAATGATAACATTTCTTCATATATGGTTTTACATTTTGATCAGAAATAAAATATTATGGATACACTTAGAGTTGTGTTTATAACTCTAGCATGTTTCATCCACTCCCTCTATTATGATTGTATGTATGTTTTTACTGATCTTTTCTTTTTTTTTTTTTTTTTTTTTGAGATGGAGTCTCACTCTGTTGCCCAGGCTGGAGTGCAGTGGCATGATCTGGCTCGCTGCAACCTCCGCCTCCCGGGTCCAAGCCTCCCGGGTCCAAGTGATTCTCCTGCCTCAGCCTCCCGAGTAGCTGGGATGACAGGCACCCGCCACCACACCTGGCTAATTTTTTGTATTTTTAGTAGAGACAGGGTTTCACCATGTTAGCCAGGATGGTCTTGATCTCCTGACCTCCTGATCCACCCGCCTCAGCCTCCCAAAGTGCTGGGATTACAGGCGTGACCCACCGAGCCCAGCCTTACTGATCATTTGTGATGTGATTATTCTATGTGTACATTCCAATTGGCCCCAAATAGTATTGTTTTGTGTGGTTACATAGTTTACACAAATGGTATGCTGTACATATTGTTCAGGAACTTGTTCTTTTTACACTGTATATTATTATTTTGATATATATCTGTGTCCATAAAAACAGATCAAATGTGTTCATTTTAATACATTCTTAATTGCTTTATAGTCTTCCATTACTTAATTATACTAAAGCATATTTAACTATTCAATTGAAGATAGATAATTGTTTGCAGTTTGAGGATTTTACAAAGATTGCTTCAAAATGCATCTTTCTACATACATCCGTTTATATTTGAGTGGGAGTTCTGAGGTATACATACCTAGAAATAGTCTGATATTGCCAATAAGAATGAAAACTTTCAGTGCAACCTAGCTTAAATGAAAGCATTTTTATTTTACTTAAAAGGAGATTTTAGGGTGGAGTTGGCATTATAGAGTTGGTTTATTCAAGACTCAATAAGGTTGTCAAGGAACCATTCCCTTCCATCTTCCACCCAGTCATCCTGGGTGTGGCTTCTTTTCAGGCTAGTAGTGGAATGATTAAAACATTTGCAAATGTGACATCCAAATAAAAGTGCCCACAAGAAGAGGGAAGGCTGTTTTTCCTAGGACAATCATTTAGGAATTATAATCTTTCTGCAGAATACTCCCAGAAGACCTCCCCTTATAATTTATTAGCTGCAATTGTGTCACTGCCAGTGGCAATATAATCATTTTAGAAAAAAAAATCAACCCCATTCCTAGAACTGGGGGTTATATCTTCTTCCATTGAAACACATAACTGTACTGGGGAAGGAATGGCTAGGCAAACAAAATCAGCTTTCTATAAAAAAGGTACGGGATTGAGAAAAGATACTAGTAGGCATCCAACGGTATCCAATGCTCAAACGTCCTAGCTTTACTAGGCGTTGCCAAATTGTACTTCAAAGTATGGATACCAATTTAAACTCCCACTCCTAATATCTGAGAGTTCCTATCAAACATCCTCACCAACATTTGGTAAATTTAGGTATCACATTATTGCCAGTTTTATAAAGTATGAAATGTTTCATTTTTGCTTTACTTTTCCTGATTACTTTTCATGGTTTTGGATGTTCCCTTTTTTTCCATGAATTTTCTTTTCATTCCATTTGGCCAGCCACTTTTCCATCTAGTAGTCTTTTTTTCTTAGCGATTTGTAGGAAACCTTTTTATTTCTGTACGCTATTCCTTTGTCAATATAGATTACAAGTATCTTCCCTCAATCTGTTTTTTCTCTTTTAACTTTGTTTATGTGAACAGAAAATTCCAAAGTTGTTGGAGACCAAGGTTAGGGAGGAAGAAAGATAAAAGCATAGCAGGTATAGTAGGATCCAGGAATATCAAAATTTAAATGTTTGAAAGTGGGTCATTCTGTGTACAGTAGAAGACCAAGACTTGGGAAGTAAACTGCTGAGATAGAAAGGAGAATTATATGGGATGGTCAATGAACTGTGAGACTGGGTATCTAATTTGCTGAGCACCTACAATGTGCCAGTTTCTGTTTTAAGTGCTTTAGATGTACTAGTCAACTTAACCTTTGCAAAAATTCTGTGAGATAAGTGCTGTTATTACATCCCAGATCTGCAGATAAGGAAACTGAGGCATAGAGTAATGTGGTAACAGGCACAGACAGAGTAGATAATGTTTTCCAAGACACCCAGTAGGTAAGAGGTTGATTATACTTTCAACTCATTAAGCTGGTTCCAAAGCCTATGTTCTTAACTTCTGTATATATAGTCTCTCATGTCTCATGTTTGCTGTTATGTTGGCAAGATTTGGGAGAGAGAAACACAGAAAGAGTTGTCAAAGGCTTCTCCTGTATATAAGCAGTTGGCAATGTGAATTTAGTTGTTTTTTATAGAATTTATATTCTCATGTTAAAATATGTTGGAAAAATAAGCATGTGAATTCCAAAGTTCTTCTTTGATTCAAAACCAGTTACTTTTCCCCCTTTCACCCTCCCTCCCTCTCTCCCTCCTTTTCTTCTTTGCTGTGTTCACACTATTTAAATATGCTTTACAAGTTTTCAGTATTAAACTCTATTATCATAGCCATTTTGCCTAGTATCATAAGCACAATCCATTAGCAACTTCAGATGTGAACACAACCAATTGACTTAAGTAATCATGAAATAGATAATTCTTTGTTTAAGTATGACACTCTGTCCTTTCATCTTTAGGTCTTTTACTATCCTCATTTGGATTCAGAAAAGTGAAGGAAACATTAAAAGCCTCTGAGTTTTCAATGTCTCCTGTAAACAGCATTCCCTCTTCATATAATAAAGGAATATTTTTTCATTTTTACCTTTATCCCCCAGTAAAAAATAATATTATGATATTTTTAGATCTAAAACCCCAAAATCACCATAAGGACAATGGGACTTGAAACTAACAACTAGGCGATGGCAGCATCCTTTAGCCTGAGAGCTGGTGTAAGCAGAGACAGCAAGACTCAGAATGCCAAGGACATCAGACGGGTTTGGCTTTTCTATGTTCAGCCTATCTGTCTAAAATCACAGTTGTCACAGTCACTCACTGGTCTTTACACACATTCTCAGTCTGAGTGAAAAATTGCCACATATGGGTAAAGCGAAGAAAAGCAGCTGTATCACTTGTATCAGGAAGGTGTATATTATTCTCAATTAAGAGACACCAGGAATTACTTTCAAATGCCACTTCTCCAATATATCTGAAAGGACTCTCAGGAGATCAAGTTCACTGATGAGGATAATGATCTTGCCAACCTGAGCCATGTCCCTCGGTTCCAGTGCTAGAGGACTGTTTTCAAACTAACAGAGTGGGAGTAACTAATCAGGAAGGTTTGAACTAGACATCTTCCCCTGGGATAGCTAAACAAAAATAGAGGATAATGAGGCTGAATCAGTTTTGTTGCGGGGAACAATTGTAATATCTTCTATCACTCATTGTCAAAATATTCCCATTATGTAAAGAAATATGTGATTTGCTTCTATCAGATAATTGCTTAGTTGTTCCGTTGCCTTTTTCTTCTCCTCTAAACAGATTTTAAATTTTGTTAAGGGTAAGGATTATGGCTTGTATTATATTTCATTTGTATACACACCACTACTCCCTTCTACCTGTTCTTCCCACTGTCGCGAATAATTGCCCCGTCTGCTTTCTGTAACCCAGACTTCTCTTTACCCTAAGTCTGAGTGCAGACAGACTCCATCAAGAACAGATTGATAATTACTCCCTAGGCATTGTTTAGTAAACAGGTTATCAGAATTGGCCCCCTGGTATTTTAGTGACTATTGACAGATTTCTAACTTCAGAAGTTAAAACCAAAATGCAATTCTCCAGAAAAGCTTAACACACAGACCGCCCCCCCACCCCCACCAAACACACACACGGATGCACACAGAAAGAGAAGATAATAAAGTCTGAAATAATTCAATTCACTTTTAAGAGTTTGTTAAAGCTTTAGTGTGTGATAGACATTGTGCTAGGGGCTGTCAGTGATACAGAATTGAATTATACCTGGCTTGGACCTGTAGGAATCCACCCCCTGGTAAAGAAGACAGACAGGGACATAAACAACTCCAAGATGAGACAGTCTGTAGTAAACACAACCCTGGAAAAATGAATAAAAGATAAGACTGTCAATTATATACATAACTGCAGAGTTATTAAATCACTATGTCTACATAGTAAGCTATATAAATAGGCATTTCAACTAGACCATCCCGCTTTCCACACGTAGGAGTCAACACAGATCCATGTACTGGTTGGCTTTTCTTCTAAAATTATCACTTTGAAGTGTGTGTTTTTTTTTTTGTCTGTTTGTGCGACGTAGTCAAGATACTCAAGATGAGTTATGTAATGTGGTTTTCTAAGTTGATCTGAAAATTGTACTATCTTTCCTGCTAAATTAGCATCTCTCTTTCAGAATGTCTTTGTTACTAGTTTTTCATTCTCAATCCTTCCACAATTCTCCCTGCTTTTTTCAGTTTTTAACAGTTTCTTCCCTTCATTCTATTGTTCCATTTCCTTCTTGTCCACTGTATCCTGTATCGGTGGTATTATTGCAGACACAATTCTTTAAAATTATTATCCAAATGATGGGAGAGGTAATTTTCTTTTGAAGAGAAAATATTACCAGGAGGACAATAATCTCCATCAAAATAATATCTACCATTCTGGAGAATGCTAGTTCTTAGAAGAAGGAGCAAGTGCATATTTTCCTTTTGAGCTTTCCATGGCTCTATTAACAAAACTGCTGGTCTTTCCGTATAATGAACAGTTGGCTAAGGCAAGAGCAGACATGAACTAACTACTTTTGACCAGTGGAATTTTGGGCATGTGGTAGAAATCAAAACTTACTCACTGACTGGTAAGTGAACTCCTCTGGTAAGAGAAACATAGTAAGAGTATGTAAACACCCACTATTTCAGATTGTAGTCAATTACCTAATACCTTATTCATATGTAGTTTCTTACTTGATCCCAATTGCAAGACTGTGAGACAGTCTAGGTCTGGAATTTCCACTTTTCACAGAGAAAAAGGCTGAGATCCAACAACATAAAGTGATATTATAGCTGTCTCTGAGCAACTGGCACAAGGGTCCTGGTCCTTGGACTGAAATCCATTGCTGTTTAAACCTAACATCTAACCATCAGTTCTTTTTTTCTTTTTTCTTTTGTTTTTTTTTTTTTGAGATGGAGTCTTGCTCAGTCGCCCAGGCTGGAGTGCAGTGGCTCACTGCAAGCTCTGCCTCCCGGGTTCACGCCATTCTCATGCCTCAGCCTCCCGAGTAGCTGGGACTACAGGCGCCTGCCGCCATGCCCAGCTAATTTTTTGTCTTTTTAGTAGAGACAGGGTTTCACCTTGTTAGCCAGGATGGACTCGATCTCCTGACCTCATGATCCGCCCACCTCGGCCTCCCAAAGTGCTGGGATTACAGGCGTGAGCCACCATGCCTGGCCCTCCCCAATCAGTTCTAATGTTTAGAACTTGAGGGAGATATGTTGTAGTCATTAAAAAAAATTTTTTTTAATGTTGGTTACATTGGTATATATATTTAAGAATTACATGAGATATTTTGATATAGGCATGCAATGTGTAATAATCATGAAGCGGCATCACTGGGGTAAATACCCAGGCTTTGTCATCTCATGCCAAGAGGATTAAAGACATGGACACGTGGGTGGGTTAAATAATGGAAAGTTTAATAGGCAGAAGAAAGGAGAGAAGAGAGCAGCTCTCTCTCTCGTGAGAGATAGGAGTCTGAAAAAGGGAAAAGTGGCAGACTGCAACCTATTTTATAGGCAGGCTTGAGGACGTGATGTCTGATTTATGTAGGGCTCACAGATTGGTTTGACCAGGCATGATGTTTACATAGTGCCCAGGGAAGGCTGTTCGCCCTACCCTGATCTTATTATGCAAATGGGCTTTCCACTTGTCTGCTCCTTACTGTACACGTGGCTAGCAAAAGAGAAGATAAAGCTGCCATTTTGAACTTGCCTAGTCCCAGGCAGTATATTCCTATGGGCACAACTGCTGGCATTAACCCATGCAAGCTTCCAGCTTGCTTGTTTATGTCTGAAGCTCGATTTTACAGGATGTTCTTTGTTAGAAAAGAAAATAATTTTGGAGCTGCTTTTCATTAAAAGGAAAACCTTACTGAGGACTTCCATACTCTTACTATCTGCCTAAGTAACTTCTTTTTAATTCCTGCATCAATCACATCAGGGTAAATAGGGTATTCATCACCTCATCCATTTATCCTTTGTGTTTAAAACTATCCAATTACACTCCTCTTGCTATTTTAAAATGCGCAATTAAATTATTTTTTACTGTAGTCACCCTGTTATGCCAGCAAACACTAGATCCCATTTATTCTATTTTTTGTACCCTTTAACCACCTTCCCTTTCCTCACAGCCCACTCACCCTTCCCAGCCTCTGGTAGTTATCCTCCTACTATCTCTGTAAATTCAATTGTTTTAATTTTTAGCTCCCACAGATAAGTGAGAACATGCAATGTCTGTCCTTCTGTGCCTTATTTCACTTAACATAATGACCTCCATTTCCAACTATGTTGTTGCAAACGACAGCCTCCCATTCTTTTTATGGCTGAATAGCACTCCATTTTATATATGTACCACATTTTCTTTATCCATTCATCTGTTGATGAACACTTAGGATGCTTACAAATCTTGGCTATTGTGAATAGTCTTTGATATACTGATTTCCTTTCTTTTAGGTTTATACCTAGCAGAGGGATTGTTGGATCATATGGTACCTCTATTTTTAGCTTTTTGAGGACCCTCTAAACTGTTCTTCAAAGTGACTGTAATAATTTACATTTCCACCAACAGTATCCGAGGGCTCCCCTTTCTCCACATCCTTGCCAGCATTGGTTATTGTCTGTCTTTTGGATAAATGCCATTTTAACTGGGGTGAGGCGATATCTCATTGTAGTTTTGATTGCAATTCTGTGATGATCAATGATGTTGAGCATCTTCTCATATACCTGTTGCTGTTTGTATGGCTCCTTTGAGCAATGTCTATTCAGGTATTTGCCCATTTTTTAATCAGATTATTAGATTTTTTCCTATAGAGATGTTTGAGCTCCTTATATATTCTGGTTATTAATCCCTTGTCTTATAGGTAGTTGCAAATATTTTTCCCACTCTGGGGGTTGTTTCTTCATTTTGTTGATTGTTTCTTTTGCTGTACAGAAGCTTTTGAACTTGATGTGATCCTATTTGTCCATTTCTGGTTTGTTTTTTGTTGTAGTTGTTGTTGTTTTGTCTGTTCCTGTCGGTATTGCTCAAGAAGTCTTTGCCCATTCCAATGTCCTGGAGAGTTTCCACAATGTTTTCTTGTAGTAGTTTCATAGTTTGATGTCTTAGATTTAAGTATTTAATCCATTTTTATTTGATTTTTGTGTAAGGTGAGAGGTGTCTAGTTTCATTCTTCTGCGTATGAATACCCCGTTTTCCCAGCACCATTTATTGTAGAGACTGTCCTTTCCCCAATGTATGTTCTTAGAATCTTTGTCAAAAATAAGTTCACTGTAGATGTGTGAGTTTACGAGTATATTTATGGGCTCTTTATTCTGTTCTACTGGTCTATGTGTCTGTTTTTATGCCAGCACCATGTTATTATTGTTAATATAGCTCTGTAGTATAATTTCAAGTCAGGTAATGTGATTCCTCCAGTTTTGTTCTTCCTGCTTAGGATAGCTTTGGCTATTCTGAGTCTTTTGTAGTTCCATATAAACTTTAGGATTTTTTTTTTGTGAAGAATGTCATTGACATTTTGATAGGAATTGTATTAAACCTATAGATTGCTTTGGGTAGTATGGACATTTTAACAATATTGATTCTTCCAATCCATGAACATGGAATGTTTTGCCATTTTTGTGTTTCGTCTTTGATTTATTGCATCAGTGTTATGTGGTTTACATTGTACAGATATTTCATTTCTTTGGTTAAGCTAATTTCTAGGCATTTTATTTTATTTGTAGCTATGATAAATGAAGTTATTGTCTTAATTTCTTTTTCAGATTGCCCATTGTTAGCATGTAAAAATGCTACTAACTTTTGTATGTTGATTTTGTATCCTGGAACTTTACAAATTGTTTGTCAGTTCTAATAGTTTTGGGGTTTTTTGGTGGAGTCTTTAAGTTTTTCCATATATAAGATCATATCATCTGCAAACAAGGATAATTTGAGTTCCACCTTTCCAGTTTGGATGCCCTTTATTTTTTCTCTTGTCTAATTGCTCTAGCTGGGGTTTCCAGTACCATATGGAATAATTATGGTGACAGACGACATCTTTGTTGTGTTCCAGATCTTAGAGAAAAGGCTTTCATTTGTCCCCCATTCAGTATGATGCTAGCTGTGTATCATAGGACACACAAAAGTTGTATAGGACTTTTATTATGTTTAGGTATGTTCCCTCAATACCAGTTTTTTTCAGGGTTTTTATCATGAAGGGATGTTGAATTTTATCAAATGCTTTTTCAGCATTAATTGAAATGGTCATATGGTTTTTGTCTTTTATTCTGTTAATATGATGTATCATATTGATTGATTTGCATATGCTGAACCATTCTTGCATCCCTGGGATAAATCCCACTTGGTTCTGATGAGTGGTCTTTTTAATGTGTTGTTGAATTCAGTCTGCTAGTATTCTGTAGAGAATTTTTGCATTAATATTCATCTGTGATATTGGCCTGTAGTTCCTATTTATTCATGTGTGTTTGTCTGGTTTTCATATCAGGGTAATAGAGGCCTCGTAGAATAAGTTTGGAAGTATTCCCTTTTCCACCACTTTTAGAAATAGTTTCAATAGAATTGGTATTTGTTCTTTTTTAAAGGTTTGGTCATTTAAAGTCAGCTCATAGGCTTTTTTTTTTTTTAAATTACTGGAAGCCTTTTGATTACAACTTAGCTCTTGTTACTTGTTATTGGTCTGTTCATGTTTCGAATTTCTTCCTGGTTCAATCTTGGTATGTGTCTAGGAATTTGTTCATTTCTTCTAGATCTTCAAATTATTGGCAGATAGTAGCCATAGTAGCCCCTAATGATCCTGTGAATTTCTGCGGTATATGCTGTAATGTCCCATTTTTTACCTGGGATTTTATTTATTTGAATCTTCTTTCTCTTTTTCTGAGTTAGTCTGGCTAAAGGTTTGTCAATTTTATTTAGTTTTTCAAAAAAAACACAACTTTTTAAATTGTTCTCTTCGTTTCTATTTCATTTATTTCTTCTCTGATCTTTATTACTTATTTTATTCCACTAATGTTGAGTTTGGTTTGCTCTTGCTTTTCCAGCGCTTTAAGATGCATCATTAGGTTGTTTGGGAGTTTGATGATTAAATGCCTTGAGATACTCTTATTTGGGTTAAATTTGCTTGATGTTCTATAACCTTCTTGTTCTTGGATCCTCATATTGTTCTTTAGGTTTAAGAAGTTCTCTGTTATTATTCCTTTGAATAAACTTTCTACCCCTATCTCTTTCTCTACCTCCTCTTTCAGGGCGATAACTCTTAGATTTTCCCTTTGAGGCTATTTTCTTGATCCTATAGGTGTGCGTCATTGTTTTTTATTCTTTTTTTCTCTGGTTTCCTGACTATGTATTTCAAAATAGCCTATCTTCACACTAATTCTTCTGTTTGATCAATTCTGTTATTGAAAGACTCTGATGCATTCTTCAATATGTCAGCTGCATTTTTCAGCTCCAGAATTTTTGCTTGATTCTGTTTAATTATTTCCATGCCTTTGTTACATTTATCTCATAGAATTATGAACTTTTTCTCTCTGTTATCTTGAATTTCTTTGAGTTTCCTCAAAACAGCTATTTTGAATTCCCTGTTTGAAAGTTCATATACCTCGATTTCTTCAGGATTGGTCCCTGGTGACGTATTTTGTTCATTTTGTGAGGTCATGTTTTCCTGAATGTCCTTGATACTTGTGCATGTTCTTTTGTGTCTAGGCATTGAAGACTTAGGTATTTATCATAGCCTTCACAGTTTAGGCTTGTTTGTACCTGCCTTTCTTAGGAAGACTTTCCAGGTATTTGAAAAGACTTGGGTGTGGTGATCTAAGCTGCATCTGCATTAGGGGGCACCTCAAGCCCAGTAACACTGTGGTTCTTGCAGACTTGTAGAGGTATTGCCTTATGGTCTTGACATAATCTGGGAGAATTCTTTAGATTATTATGCAGAGCCTCATGTTCTCTTCCCTTACTTTATCCCACACCTGGAGCTTTGGGTTAAGAAATATAAGCACCCCTGTGGGTACAACCACTATGACTGCACTGAGTCAGACCTGAAGTTAGCACAACACTGGATCTCACCCAAGGCCTGCTGTAACCACTCCCTGGCTATCACCTGTGTTTGCTCAAGGCTCTGGGGTTCCACAACCAGCAGATAGTGAAGCCTGACAAGCTTGTGTCCTTCTTTTCAGGTGGCAAGTTACCCCAGGCTCTGGGCATGTCCTGAGATGCCATCCAGGAGCCAGGGACTACATTAAAAAACCTTAGAAATTTACCTGGTGTTCTATTGTACTGTAGCTGAGCTGGCACACAAACCCCAAGATGTGGTCCTTCTCACTCTTTCATCCCCTTTCCAAAGCTAGAGGAGCCTCACCCCATGGCTACAGCCCACCACAGGCACATAGGGAGTACTGCCAAGCCACCTCCACTGTTTCCTTAAGACTCAAGGGCTCTTAAGTCAGGTTGGGATGAAAGCTTCCCGGTCTGGGACAAACCTTTCAAGGCAATGGGCTCCCCTTTGGTCCAGGACATGTCCAGAAATGTTATCCAAGAACCAAGGCCTGGAATCAGGGACCCCAAGGGCCTGCTTTGTACTGTACCTCCCTGTGGTAGAGCTGGTTCCTAAGGTGCAAGACAAAGGCCCTTTAATTTTCCCTCTGGTTTTCTCAAGCAAAAGGAATCTTTCCCTGTACTCAACATAGCTGTGAATGTGCTGATTCTCACCTGAAGCCAGAAAGTCTCCCTCAAGGCCCATGACATACTGCCTGTGTATTAGACTCACCCAAGTCTCATAATGTGCTACCTGTGTATTACTGCTGCTTATTCAGGGACCAAAGCCTCTTCAGTGCCAGTGATGAATCCTGCCAGGACTGAGTTCTTCTCTTCAAGGCAGTGGGTTCCCTTCTGGCCCAGGGTACATCTAGAAATGTCCTCCAGGAGATAGAGACTGGAAAGGGGCCTCACAATGCTGACCAGTGCCTTATCCTGCTGTGACTGAGCTGGTATCCAAGATGTAAGACAATGTCCTCCCCACTCTTTCCTCTCCTCTCCTCAAGTAGAAGGAAAATGTCTCTTTTGGAGTCACAAGCTCCAAAAGAGGTTGCATGCCCCTCTAGTGCACTGGCTCTGAGACCAGTTCAGCACTAGGACTCACCCAGGAGTTACAGTCCTTAAGATCCAGATTTCCTTTCAAACTTACTTACGGCCCCAGATCACTCCAGTCTGAGGTGGCCAGGGTTATAGAAACTGGAGTTCTGACCACTGGGATAAGCAATTCTCTTCTGGATAGGGCTGGTTTAGATACTCCTTCTGTGGGTGGGCATCTGGTGACTTTGGTCCGGTTTTACTTACTGCTATAATAGAGCAGCACTGAGTCCAGTGCAATGTCTCACAATTGCTGCACTCTTCCTCTCATAAGCACATAGATTCTTTCTCTGTGACAAGCAGCTGCTGCCAGGAAATGGAAGAGGAATGGCATTAGCAACTCAAGACTGCTTTGCCTATCTCTTCAGTGCCTCTTTCAGCACTATTAAAGTTTAAACCAGGTACTGTTAAAACCAGGTACTGTGAATGCTCACCTGATTTTTGGTCCCTATGAAGGTGCTTTTCTAAAATGTAGATAGTTGTTAAATTGGTGTCCTTGAAGCGGGGATGATTGGTGGAGCATTCTATTCTGCCATCTTGCTCTGCCTCTGAGCCCTCCATGTCTTAGTCATTTTAAATTCATTTGATAATACCTCGATCTTTGACTCTAAAATGATCACGATTTAAAATAATAATGAGAAACTCAAATTTACCTTTTTTCCCATTTCTTCATTCAAAACATGCTCACTGATTTTGATGAGGAGAAAAATACTATAATTTTGGTTTGGCTTGTAGTGGTTATGCTTCACCAACTGAGCATGAGATGGAAGTTCAAGAAACATCAGTGGAGGAAGGGGAGTTCACCTCATTAATAAAAGCAATTAGTGCATCGCCAGCTGAGCAGCCAGCTAGCCCAGGGTGTTCTCGGTGCACCACAGGCATCTTAGTGCCGTTTGTTAACTGGGCGAGCTAGTCTTGGCAGGAATCTAAATTTTGTCATTGATTTTAATTGTCCTCTCCACTTTTCAAACTCCCAACTTCCAGCCAATTATGCTTAAGGGAAGAGTGGATTCTTTGGAGAGGACTTCCACTGTGTCTAACCCTCTGATATGGCAAAAAAAGAAAAGCCTAAAATCAAAGTAGTACACTTAATTTCTTGAAAATTTCCATGCCCAGTGACTTATTTTGAGTAAATTATGTTTTCTGGGAAGTCAACAGTGAAACAATAGTACAACATTGATATCTTTTGCTATATCCTTTAAAATGAAAGTCCTAGAATAGCAATCCCATTGTAGGTGGAAAGATGTGGAGGTTCCCCATGAGATTAAGAGTGGGATCCCTCAGTTACCGAGACCAAAAACATCCACCCTGTTGGAGAGCTTCCAACATTTCTTGGTCCTTACATAACTTCCTCATTATTTGGAAAAGCAGGGTTTGTTCAGCTTTTTCAGATATCAAGGAGAAGATATACTCCAGTTTCTTTTTTCAAGGACAGGTTCACAAATACATATGGGAATAGAAAGGGAGAGAAATATGTCATATCTGTCATAAATCCAGTCCTCCTAAGCAGTGGGAACATCAGTCATTGCTATCCAGAACACAGCAGTAGCTCTAGTTAGCCTGCAACACTGCAAATGACATAACAACCACTCCAGTTGCTCAGAACTCAGTTCTCCTCTCCTTTTTGTTTATTTTGTTTCGGCTAATGAGTAACTGACTACTACTCTTTTTTCTCTGGCTCTTGAATGCAGCTTCTACTTTCTTTTTGTTTCTTCCTTTCTGTCATCTCTGTGAGTCTCAACTCTCCTATGCAATTGTAGTGAATTTTGTCATTTTTCTGACAGTGCATTATCTCTTCACAACTCTCCTTCCTAATCCCCCTTATAAACACTTCTTGATTCTGTGTCACCGTGGGAGAAATAATGCCTCATTTCCACTGCAGAAGTTAGGTCCTGGTTCCTTTCTCTTTCTGCCTTTGAGGACTCAGGAGGTGAGCACTGACTTAGATTTTGTTAATATGGCTCTTTTTTCTAAGACTTCAAATCTTGAGCAAATGATACAAGAATTCGTAGATGGTTAGAAGGCTATTCATCTCAACAGCAGTCACATGTGCAGTATATATTGCTCTTGTTCCTTGACTCCTGTTTATCTTCCAGACTCTCTGCATTTCCTATATATCTATATTTCCTCTGTGCCTCTTAGAGATATTGGTCCCATAAGTTCCTCTCCCCCCTTTTTTTTGTAAAACATTACAATGTCAAGTTCATGAGGCTGGGAAATTTTTCTACTTTATTCACTGTGAGTATTTAGTACTTCAAGCAATGCCTAGTACAGAGTAGGTGCTCAATAAATGTTTATTAAATGACTAAATTAAAAAATGAAATGTCAATTTCTGTTGCTAACTATCAAGTTTCCATGCTGCAATGCAAGAAGAAGAACTCAAGCAGAGCCAAGTAGGTTGCTTCTGCTTGAAGTGCTCCCTAATGCAGATGCAGTTTAGATCACCACACCCAAAGACTTGGCTGAGTTGAGACTAAGATTGAAACTTAAGAAAACCAAGATTATTAAAATTTGTGGGGTACAGTATTGGAGAGGAGGAAGCTACGTAGAGCAAAGGCTACACAGACCTGCAAGAAATGTTCTTGAATCTTTGAGCAAACCTTTTCAGTGCATGCCTGGAATGAAACTCTACAAGGCTGGAGAAAGGAGCTAGAAAAGAAGTAGGTTGAAAAATTCCCCAGGCTCACACATATTTTCCCCCATCACTCAGACTGAAGAGACCTTGTACTACATAGGGTATTGGATAGTATCTTTAGAAAGCTCTCTTTTCATAGTTAGGCTAAGTTATACCTAGAATAAAGGTTGCTCAGAACTAATCCTGACAAAACTTAAACACAAGCCTTGAAAGGATTAAATAGACTTGCAAGTAACTTAACCATATGCCAGAAATTCAACTCTTTAATGGGATCAGAAAAATTCAATGTAAAAAATGATAAATTTCAGTGTCTGGCACAAAAAAATTGTTAGGCATAAAAGAAAGCAGGAAAATATGACCTTTAATCAAGAAAATCAATAGAAAGAAACAAAGAACATAGTTGAATTAGTAGACAGGGACCTTAAAATACCTATTATAAATATGCTTAAGTATTTAAAGGTAAGCATAAATGATAAGAAAGATTAAAAATTTTTAAAAGATCCAAGTTAAACTTCTAGGGATTGAAAGCACAACGTGATAAAATAAAAAATACATTAGAAGCGATTAACAGCAGATTAGACACACAAAGAAAAGATCAGTAAACTTGAATACAATAGAAACTAACCAAAATGAAGTAGCACAATTTTTTAAAGACACTTAAAAAGAACAAACTTCAGGACCTGTGAGACACCATTGGTCACTCTAATAAATGTGCAATTCAATTAAGGGAGTGAGAGATAGAGATAGAAAGACAGAGAAAGAGAGAAGTTGAGACCAAAAAACACTTGAAGAAATAACAAGTCAAAACATGTAAAATTTGATGAAAACTGTAAATCCATGATCAAAGAAGCTCTATAAGCCACAAATAAAATAAACATTAATAAACCTACACCAAGACACATTATTATGACATTATTGAAAATGAGTAATTAAAATATTTAAAGCAACCAGAAAGACATAATACATTATATCCAGAAAAAGAACAATTTATAGTAGATATCTCATCTGAAAACATGTTATCCAAAAAGACAATGAAGTAACACCTTTTTAGTATTGAAAGACATTATCAACCTGCAATTCTATATGCAATAGAGGTGGCTTTGAAAAATAAATGTTAAATCAAGTTTCTTCCAGACAGGCAAAAGCTTAGAGAATTTATTGCCAGCAGTCTTGCATTACAAGAAATATTAAAGAATTGGGAGGCCAAGGTGGATGGAACACCTGAGGTCAGGAGTTCAAGATCAGCCTGGCCAACATGGTGAAACCCCATCTCTACAAAAATACTATTAGCCGGGCATGATGGGAAGTGCCTGTAATCTCAGCTACTTGGGAGGCTGGGGTGGAATAATCTCTTGAACCCCAGGAAGCAGAGATTGCAATGAGCCGAGATCATGCCATTGCACTCCAGCCTGGGTGACAGAGCAAGACTCCATCTCAAAACAAAAACAAAAACAAAAACAAAACAAATGTTAAAGAAAATGATTTAGGATGAAATTAAAAGTTATCAAGTGAAAACTTGAATCTATATGGTGAAATGAAGAGCATCAGAAAAGTCAAATATGTAAATATGTTTTTTTCCATTTTTAGTATTTTTAAAAGATGAATCACAATTCAAAACTAATAACAATATATTTGGGGTTTACAGCATATGCACAAGTAAAATTCATAAGAACAATAACAGAATCAAGACAAAACATAACAAAAAGTAGAAGAGTGGAATAAAAGTATACTGTTGAAAAGTTCCTGAATTATACATTATTCAGTATAATAGTGCTTGAAGATAGACTATAACAACTTAAAAATTTATATTATAAATCTCACAGAAACCACAAAATAATGAAACAAAAAATATAAATTAAAAGTCAGTAGTAGAGGTACAATGGTATGGCTTTTAAAAGTATAAGATAATTTTTTAGTTCTCTTCCATAAAAGGCACCAAATGATGAAAAAGAAAACCAAAGACAGATGGAAAAAATATAAGGAAAATAGCAAAATGGTAGCTTTAAATCCAATATATTGATAATTACATTAAATGTACATGGGTTACAACAACAATTAAAAATATCAATTGATTAGATTGCATTAAGAGAAAAAACTCAGCTAAATATTGTTTACAAGAAGTCTACCATTTACAAGAAACCCATTTTAAATATGTAGTCACCAATAAGTTAGAAAATGCAAAAAGATAGACCGTTCACACACTAATTAAATAAATGCTAAAGTTTCAAAAGTAATGTCAGACCAAAAGGAATTCAGATCAAAGGTGAATAATGAAGGAATAAAGAAGGATACTTAAAGGAGTTGATCCAACAAGAAGACCTAACAATACTGCATAAGCACCTAAATACAGAACTTCAAAATAGATAAAACAAAAGCTAATTGAAAGTAGAAGAGAAATTAAAAATTCAATTTTATTTAGATATTTCAACAGTCATTACTCAGTAATTTGGGGAAGAGGGAGCAAAATATCACTAAAGAAATAGAAGACTTAAGCAACATTGTTATGAAGTTTAACTCATTCACAATGGACTTCATCCAACAACAGAAAAATACACATTCTTTTCAAGTACATATGGGATAACCACTAAGATAGACCATATTCTGGCTCATAAAACAAGTTTCAATAGATTTAAAAGAATTCAAGTCTTCCTATGTATTTCTATGACCACAAAAGAACTAAACTAAAAATTAATAACAGAAAGAGGAATATTCTAAATAATGTGTCACCAAATCTACAACTTAGATTAAATGAACCAACTCCTTGAAAGATGCAAACTATCAGAGCTCACTCAAGAGGAAATAGATAACTTCAATTGCCATGTATCTATTAAATATATTGAATTCATAGTTTAAAATATTTCCATAAAGAAAACAATAGGTCAGATGTCTTCACTGGTGAATTCCATAAACATTTAAGAAATAAATAGGACCAATTATGTACAAATTATTTCTTTATATATATGGATAGAAACAATTTCCAACCCATTTTATGAGTCCACAATTATTCTAACACCAAAATCAGAAAAGACATTGTAAGAAAAAATAAAACTACAGATCAATATCCCTCATCAATATGGACTCAGATATTTATTTACAAAATATTAGCAAATCAAATCTAGCAATATATAAAAGGTGTAGTACACCATAAAAATATGGCAGAAAAAATATACCAAAAAGGTAGTTTGCTTAACATTGCAAAATCAGTAAATGTAACTCACTTGATTAACAGATTATAATAGAAAATATATATGCATGTTAGCTGGGTGCAGTGGCTCACGCCTATAATCCCAGCTCTTTGGGAGGCCAAGGAGGGCAGATCACCTGAGGTCAGGAGTTCAAGACCAGCCTAGCTAACATGGCAAAACCCCGTCTCTACTAAAAATACAAAAATTAGCTGGGCGTGGTGGCGGATTCCTGTAATCCTAGCTACCCGGGAGGCTGAGGCAGGAGAATCGCTTGAACCCGGGAGGCAGAGGTTGCAGTGAGCTGAGATTGCACCATTGCACTCCAGCCTGGGTGACAAGAGTGAAACTCCATCTCAAAAACAAAACAAACAAACAATAAAACAAAAGAAAAGGAAAGAAAATATATATGCATGTTAACAGAATAAAAACTAAAAATTATATTGTCATCCTAATAGATGCAGAAAGTATTTGAAAAAAGTCAACACACACTTATGAAGAAAACCCTGAGCAATCTAGAAACAGAATGGAGCTTTCTCAACCTGATAAAAGGCATCTGTGAAAAACCCAAAGAAAACAGCATACTTAATAGTGGAGTATCAAATGGTTTCTACCTACAATTGGAAGCAAAGCAAATATGTCCATTCTAATCCACTTTTATTCAACATTATATAGCAAGTCCTAGCTAATACAATAAGAAATTAAAAAGAAATAAAAATATGAAGATTGAATAAGAAAAAGTAAAACTATATTTGCAGGTAATTTGATTACCTAGATTGAAAATCTTACGGAATTTTTTAAAAAGCTACTCAACGAATAAGTGAGCTTAGTAAGGTGATAGAATATAAAATAAATATTTAAAACTCAATTAAATATCCATATATTTGAAATAAAAAATTAAAAATTGAAATCAAAATACAATTTATATTTTCAAAACATGGAATACTTAGAAAAAATTTAACTAAGTGCAATATTTATAAACAAAACTGTAAACGTTGTTAAGAGAAACTAATAAATTCCTATATAAGTGGAACTATATACTATGTCCATTGATTGGCAGGCTCAAATATTATCAAAACACCATTTTCTTCAATATTTTCTTAAAATCAATACAATTTTATTCAAAATCCCACAGGGCTACTTCGCAGAAATTGACAAGCTGATTCTAAACTTTATATCTGAAACTAAACGACATAGAATAGTGAAAATATATTTTAAAAGGAAGAACGTATCTTTAAAAGGAAGAACATACTTAGAGAGCATACACTACCTGCTTTTAAGACTTACTATAAAATTACAATAGTCAAGAGAGTGAGATTATCATAAAGTTAGATGTATAGAACCATGGAACAAGACTTTGGCTTTAAGATAAGATGGTGTAAAGAAACTATATGTATCTTCCTCCCTGAAACAATCCTAACACAGAGGAATCAATAGTTTTTATAGATCCTGAACATAATGCAATGCAAAACAGTAATTCCTGAAAGATGGGAAACAAAGTCAATCCTCCATTTCCCCCAAGCTACTGCACTGAGAGGGTGTGCAGGGAGCAAGTCGGCAGGGGAACTCTAAGCAGAGCCCAACAGCTGCTCCCAGCCGAAGAGCCAGTGTTTGCAGAGACAGAAGCTGCTAGCGTTCACTGGACAATGTTTCAGGAAGAAGAGAGCTACACAGGGGGAGATTTAAGAAAACTGTAGTGGATTTCCCTGGCATATTCAGTTGATTACTGATTAGTCCATTTGTGTGAGTAAATTATTCAAGGTTGGTGAAAGAAACGTGTGAAAGAACTAGAGACAACAGTACTCAATGCTCTTACAGGACTGGGAGTAGTGCCTATTCCCTCCAGCCAGTTGGAAAAACTTCATGATTCATACGGTGTTGGTAGAGTGCACAAAAGAGTTTTGCTTTAGTATTGGAGAATAATTATATCTAGGCTCACCAATGCCTGTAATGCCTGTAAATATTACAAGTTAGACCCAAAGGGATCAAATGATTTCAAAGTAACTTAATATGTTCTAGTATAAAAGTGAAGATTATTCATAATGTGTGGTCTTTTATGTCTGGCTTCTCTCTCACTTGGCATAATGTTCTTTTTTTTTTTTTTTTTTTGAGATGGAGTCTCACTTTGTCACCCAGGCTAGAGTGCAACCGTGCGATCTCAGCTCACTGCAACTTCCGTCTCCTGGTTTAAGGGATTCTCTCACCTCTGCCTCCTGAGTAGCTGGGACTACAGGCACGGGCCACCATGCCTGGCTAATTTTTGTATTTTTAGTGGAGACGGGGTTTCACCATGTTGGCCAGGCTGGTCTCGAATTCCTGACCTGAAGTGATCAACGCACCTCAGCCTCCCAAAGTGCTGGAATTACAGACGTGAGCCACTATGCCCAGCCAGCATAATGTTCTTAAGGTTCACCCATATAGTATCATGTATACTTCATTCCCTTTCATAGCCAAGTATTATTCCATTGTATGTATATACCACATTGGTGTATCTATTATCAGTTGAGGGATATATGGTTTGTTTCTACCTTTTGGTTATTATGGATAATGTAGCTATGACCATTTATGTACACGTTTTGGGTGGATGTATGTTTTCATTACTTTTGGATATATTCCTAGGAGTGGAATTGTTGGGTTAAATGGTATGTTTAACTTTTTAAGATACTGCCAGACTGTTTTTCAAAGTGGCTGCACCATTTTACATTCCCTCCAGCAGTGTATTAGGGTTCTGACTTCTCCACATCCTCACCAACACTTCTCATTATCTCTATGTTATGATAGCTGTCCTAGTGGGTGAGAAATGGTATCTAATTGTGGTTTTTACTTGCATTTCCCTTGACTAATGATGTTTAGAATCTTTTCATGTGCTTGTTAGGCTTTGTATGTTTTCTTTGGAGAAATATCTACACAGATCTCTTTTAATTTGGTTATTTTCTTTTTATTATTAATATGTGAGCCCATTGGCTCTTTGATCCATAACTAAGGATTGTCAGAAAGGCCATTGGAATTCTATTGGAGCTATTCTTCATTATTCACATAGTAAATAAAAAAACATTTCAATATCCCTGAGGAAATCATAGAGATTAGGACCATCATCAAATACTGCAAACATGCAGAGGTATAGAATCTTACTGTATTTCCATTTAATTATCTGGTATGAATAATACAAAATAGGTGAATCTAGTAGTATAACAGTGGACCACTTAGACGAGTGCACCTCCAATTGGATTGGACATTACAGATATGGTCATAATTGTTGAACACCTGATATCCAACCTTTGATTTTGTCTATTCTTTTTACTTTGTTCCAATAAGCAGGGAACAACAGAAATTTGCTTTCATTTGACAAATGTTTAACTCAGGGACATGTCAACCTACTAGTTTTGGACTTCAGTTAAATCCATATGAACCTTGGCTTTCTCAGTCTAGCATTTTGATGACATCATGCCAATAGGTCTTGGAAAGCAAGTGTTTTTAGTACACTAGATGCCTTGGCAGTAAGGTAAGAAATAATTTCTCAGCGGAATTTGTGGCATTCCAGTAGCCAGGGACATTTTGGAATATCTCCTCCAAAATGAAAAAAATCAACCGTGCTCTATATCAAGAAGCTAGGTGGCCTTACTTGGATTTTGAAAGCAATATGAACTATATTTGTATTTGATGTTCAAGGCATTTTCTGGGAAACAAAACTTTCTTCTGTTTTAAGAGTCTAGAGCAAGAGAAAATTCTCAACAGGTCTAGACTATGGTATTCAACTTTTATGACCCTGTAGGTTCAGTGTTGTTTGAAGCGTTTGTGCCAGATTGTGATGCTGTGTATAGCTGTGGCAAGCCTGTACAGGGAAATCACAGAAGATTCATATTTTTAGAACAAAGCTATGGCCTTTTGCAAGTATGTAATATTCTCTCAAGAAACAGTTCCTAACTCATGGTGAGTTTTAGTCAGCATGCAAATCTGGACTCCATTGGTTTCGATGTTTTAGTCCCTAAGCAAAGACTGCTTTTAACAGGAAACATAGCCATGATACTATTGAATTAGGAAGTTGATAATACTTCTTGGCCATTTGTGGCCATGATCCATCAGAAATTAAATTGATATTTTAATACTCAAAGAACACTGTCCATCTAATGTTCTTGCCAAATGCAGGGGGAATATGGTAAGGCAGGATGGGAGTCATAAATTCAGCTCATAATAATTTCAGAAACAAAAACTGTATCTGCCACCCTATTCCCTTCCTTAATAGTTAATGATTATATTTATATATTTTAACCAATTTCCCTTGTCTTTCCTTGTCATTCCTTCTATTAGACACAAGAAATGTAGGTGAATATTATGATGAAGTTGGTTTGATAATTCTAGAAAGTCAGTGAATGGCCAGAAATCCTCAACTCAGAGCTGAAGCAAGTAATTTATATGAATTTGAGTAGAATTCTTACAAAGCAGAGGTGAGCAGTTTACTGAAATGTGAAGCACAGTGGCATTGTATAGGCCATGGAGTTTTTTGTTTTGTTTTGTTTTCTAATTTTCATGTAGATTTGGGAAGAAGGGTGTAAGTGTGTATGTTAAGCAGCAAAAAGGAGTGAAGACAGTTGGCATTTCACATACAGAATTTGTAGGTGACAAATATTCCAAGCCCCTCTTCCAAATGGCACTTTGATCTCTCAGAATAATCTTTCGTTGTGTATGATCATTAAAGGGGCTAGTACCCAGCTCCTGCTGCAAAGACTGCTGGAGCCAGCCTGTCCCATTCTCTACCTGGATAACTAAGGAATGGATATTTGATGTAGAGTTTGGGGTCCTTGAATCTCAGAGAAAACCAATCAATGTTATAAGAGATGTCTGGAGGTCATTTCACAATCGCTACAGCACAATGCCTCAGGTGCACTGTGATCCTGCTGCATGGCTCCTTCTGTGTCTCCTGCCATCCAGTCTTCCACAGATCCATGGGTCCTGCCTATTTCCCCAGCCTAGTCCTCTAGTCTCAAATCAATCTTGGGCACTCCAACATTCTTCTAATAAATTCTTTTAGCCTATACAACCTAGTTGTTTTTTGTTTGTTTCTTATAGCTGTGTGTACTGATTTATACAATACTCTGCTCTCTGTGTTGAGTTATTTACAGTTTTGCATTCAGACTCCTTAAGAGACAGGAGATACAATTGGATTAGACAGCCATCATCCAGCAAGGAAGATTCTAGTTGGGTACATATGTTTATCATGTTCCATCCTTCAGGCCACTCACCAGCATACACATTTTGTTCTGTGGTCAAGGACTCAACCTAATTCAATTCTTCTCTTTGGCAGAGTCACACACCATCAAGCATGACGACCTATAAGGATGTTTATGAGAAGGAGGCTGTAACTCATGGATAAGGGTCCTTCATTGAGATGCTCTGAACTTCTCAGAAAGGGTTGGTATAACCAGTTTGAACCTTGTGTGGCTTTATCAGGACAATATAAAAGGCTCTGAAGATTTTCCTTTCTATGTCAGTGAATTCCAGCTGCTAAAAAAGAAACCCTCAAGTGATGGCCCTGAGAGCTTTTGCAAATACTCACCAGGAGAATCACAGTTAAAGTTCAGTCCTATTTCTCCTTACCTTCTTAATCACTACAACTTATTATGTGCAGTTTCAAGAGCTCCAGTTCCAGCCCAGGGGCTGTTGGTCACTGATCCTTGATTTTGTAGGGCACTGCACAAAGGTACAAATTGTATTCTCTGGCCTGAAAAGGAATGCAGGTTTTTGAGAGGAGAGGAAGTAGAGTTTTTTTGTGAACTGGGAGAGTTTAGGCATGGGAAGAAACAGGCTTGTGGAATGTTAATTACAGCTGGTGATTATGACAATGGGTTGAATATTATGTTCTTTCTCAAAAGTGATGGCTCAATGTGTGATGACCAATATTGATGAGGCCTTTTTACCTTAATTGTGATTCTGTAATCTAGACTATCTTGCATGCTGCTAGTTGCCATTCACCTTCATTATAGATTTTGCAAATTAAACAGTCACACTGTGGTATCTGGCATAGGTGCAGAAGGCAAATACTGCTTGGGGAAAATACATTATTAAATCAACAGAGTAAGCTGTTACAGGAACTGTGCCTCCAAACCACAGTCTCCATCTTCTATCCCTCCTATGATGAATCCAGGCTCCCCCATACATTAGAAACAGAGAAACTAAAATCTAATATTTACATATTAGCATAACAGGAATAAAATGCTCATAGGCAATTTGTCAGTGTTTATTAACTGCAACCTAAAACAGTGTAACCATGGCAGTGCCTTTTCATACATAGATGACAAGATGGGATTTCTTCCCTGCCTCCTTCTTTGTTAATTCTTCCTCTCTCTATCACTGGTAAAACAGGATGGAAGCATAATAACTCACAGGAAGTGGTCAGTGCCAGTAGGAAAAAAAAGTCCTCTTTGGTATATTTCCTTGGGAAGAACTTGAAGGACTTAAAGACTGCCCCAAGCAACTAACTCTTGGGATACAAGGAGTCCCACAGAGCCCCTTAGGTGCCTTTAGGAATCTCCAAAGAATGCCCTAGCAGATATTTAGAGCCCTGAAAGGAGGCAAGAGGCTTAAAAGACCAAGAACAATGCCAAGGGAGAAGAGATAGGACAATCAAAGTGAAAAGATACTCACAGGCCCATGTGAGGTTGATTCTGTATGAACCGATAGGTGACTTCATGCAAAAATAAAACAACAAAACATAGTAACCACCTGCAAAACAATTTTACCCTTCTCTCTGTACTTTGTTTGTGTACTTGGGGATCTCTTTTCAGTAAAGGACGTATCTGCATGTCCTTCCAGGCATTGTGGATATAACTATAGGATTCCCTGCTTCATGCTCATATTTTGTCAATTTCCTATAAGAGTTGAATACAACTTATATTGCAACGAGATCCTGGAAGACCAGCACAGTACCCATATGCTTTCATGTTACAGGGCATAGTCAGGCACACTAGGCTACCTCTCAATAGATAGAGATACATTCTATGGAAATATCATGAATTAAGGAGAAAGGATGCACTTTGAGAAGCTACCTTCCAGGCAGCCCAGAGAATTAGAGCATTGCTTATCAACATTCAAGATATAACTGTAACTCAACAAGTAAAATGGTCATTATGGTGGCCCCAATGCAATTCTAGTGCTTGTTCCCTCAGAAGGGAGCATTTGTTGCTTTTACTCTAGGTTCATGTAAGAACAAGGCTACTCTTATTCTTAGTTTCTACTGCTTAAGTTGCTATTGATTTTGGTAGGATAAGTGGAAATGGGGAAAAGATCATATTTGAAATATACTTCAGAGCAAGATCCAGCAGGAGCTACTGAATAAATTTCTTTGGGGATTGAGAGAAAGAGCGTTCAGTAGTCACGTCTCTTCCTGGTTCTCTGCCTGCCTGCTCTGTCTTCTCTCCTGCTACTTCCCCACTGAGTACTTAGCACACTCCTTTCTCTGCCTCCCTCATTATTGCACAGAAAATCTATTCTTGAACCCAATACCAAAGCCCAGGGACACACCTGTATGTCTTTCTAACAAAGCCATTCTCCTATGGTATAAATAATTTGTCTCCTCCCAAAATTTATGTGTTGCAATCCTATCCCCAAAGTGATGGTATTTGGAGGTGGGTCTTTAGGAAGTGATTAGGTCATCAGGGTGGAGGCCTCATGAATGGGATTTGTGTCCTCATAAAAGAGACTCCAGAGAGCTGCCTTGCTCCTCCTGTCATTTAGGGACACAGCGAGAAGGTGCCATCTTTCTATGTACCGGGAAGAGAGGCTTAGAATCTGCCTTGATCTTAGACTTATCAGCTTTCAGAAGTGTGAGAAATACATTTCTGTTGTTTATAAGCCACCCAGTTTATGGCATTTTGTTATAGCAGCCCAAAAGAACTAAGATGCATTTCCACAAGGGAATCCTTGAGCAATTTCATTTTATTTTCACAAAAAAACCCCTAGAAACTAGATATAATAATTATTCCTATTTCACAGATTAGGAAAATGAAGCTGCGTAAGATTAAATAATTTGCCTAAGGTCACATGTTAGGAAGCAGCAGAAATTGAGTATCTGATATGTATCTCAAATGTATCTGATATGCAAGAGATAGACTTTAAACAATTCTACCTGTGACAACAGCATCGATAATTTTGTTCGTGTGTGAAATGGCATCACAGCTTTCCTCTGTCATGACCCGTCATGACACATATCCACCCTCCAATACTTGCAACATTAGCCTTCATAGCAAAGAATTCCCCGCCCCCCCGCTATATCTGAACTCTTATTCTACAATCCAGTAGCTATTGGTTATCCATCACTTCACTGATAACCTTCTTAAACCCATTGAGAAATTCAATAGATAGATTTCACACAAATACTGAAAAGGGGGTTATAGTCATACATGGGAAATCAGGAAAGCACTAAAATAAACTGTAGAAACTCCATAACATACAAATGACATGCAATTTTCCAATCCAAATTTGACACCTTTTGGTAGAATAAAATTCTTATGATTCATGAGGCCTTCCTCCTTTTTTGAGTCTCAGCATCAAATGATAAGCCAAAGTAAACTAAGTAAAGCATTTACTGTTCTTTAAATTCACGCCCTTGAACAAGCCACCTCTGAACAACAACAACAACAAAAATCAGGTCTTTAACATGCTTGTGGCATAAACTATAAAGCACAAGTAATTCATAGACATCATGGAAGAAGTATCTTGTCTTTGTTTTCCAGACATTTGATGTTCCTTATCTTAAAGGATATTCAAGTTTTAGGTATATTTTAGGTTACAAATAATTTCATTTGTACTTGTTAAAATTCAAATATTTGTTGAATGCCTACACTATACTGAGTATTGTGATAGGTAATTTTCTTCTATTCTATAATATAACACAATGAAGCTAAATTGAGGGTAAATTTTCACATCAAATAAGTTTTATTGAAAACTTCATGAAACATTATAGTTTATTAGCTTCTTTAAAATAATTCAATGTACAATAAACTTTTTAAGGAACATATAACACACACACACACAAAGAGAGAGAGAAAGGGTACATATAAAGGATATTATAAAGTTCCCATTTGGGCTATAATTTTGGCCTGTGTTTACACTGCTTGAAGCAAACATTTTCCCACAATTATTTATAGGTTGCTTAGTTTAGTGAAATGGACCAAACATGTCACAGTTTAGGCCTGGAGGCTCAAACATGAGAAAATTCCATTTTTAAAATCTTTCACATAATCATTTATTTGGCATCTAACAAGGCCCAGGCACTGTGTTAGGCATAGAGAACAAACGAGTAAAGCAGATGAAGTCTGTGTCCTTAAATATCGTCCAAGGAGACAGGTGGGTCTTGGACTCGGCTTTCATTTCTCTGGGAAGAGGTCAAGAATCCTGAGTTGAGTTAGCTACCATAGTTACACTCGCACCTAATTTCTTCAGAACTCAAGTGCTATAATCAAGCAAGAGCCTTCAATTCTCTCTCTCAGCAGCAGAGATCCACACCACACTCAGCCTCATTCTTTGCACTGTTGTGTCCCTTGGGGATGAAGCACAGAAAGAAGTTACTTGTAGAGATGTTCCTTGAGCCCGTCTGTTCAAAGATGCCAGGATTCATAGGAGAGCCAGCCTAGTACCTGGGAAGCAGGGGAACTGGTTTAGGGGGTAAGAGGATAAAGAGAGCCTAGCAATGTGTATGTGGTTTCTGTTTACATGTAGGGATAACAACAGGGTAGGACATTGTTTAAAGTAAAATTTGTCTAGAAAAGTCTGCTTAGATCTTCATGATCAGGTGTGACAAACACTTGACATAAGATCTACATATATGACTTTCTTGCTTTCATTTAAGTAATTTGAAATTTTAATTTAAAAATAGCAATTTCACTAAATAGAGCAGAATCAAAAAAGACTTGACTTATGGTGATCTTCAACATTATTCAAAATGAAAACTGAAGTCAGAGACCTCAACTATAAATATGTGATAGGTCATATGGTAAATATGTTTAAAGAATGCAACTGCTCCACTTAAAGGCATTTTGGATTCTGGACAGAGAGCTGTGGGTTCCAAAATTTGACTTTGTAACTCTGGTAGAGTACTGGTAGCTCAAATGTCATATTTACCTTGTTCAAGGCTATTTGAGAGGATTAAAGGTAGTTATCTTAATAAACCTACCACATAGTAAATGCCCAATACATAATAACTTTTATTAAAAGATATTCAAGTGTTGGTATTCTTCAGACTCACAGATTGACTTCCATTTCAACCTTCACAGCCCCAAATATTTA
Source organism: Homo sapiens (assembly GCF_000001405.40). Taxonomy (NCBI): domain Eukaryota; kingdom Metazoa; phylum Chordata; class Mammalia; order Primates; family Hominidae; genus Homo; species Homo sapiens. Next base: position 34,286,248 of record NC_000013.11, on the reverse strand, counting down.
CCTTGCTTAACCTAATTTCTCAAATGTAATACAAGCATATTTTTCTATCATAATTAGTGGAAATGAAATCACTTTAACACATTGACTATTCACCTGTGTATGGTTGAAAAATTTGACTTCACCTTTCATTTTCAAATTCAAGTCCTTCACATTTTGAATGAAGAAAAAGACACACATAAGTCAGATGTTTGAATCCCTTATATCCTGCATGATACATATTTTCAAACATTCTTTAAAACTCTGAACCATTTAAATGAAAAAGAGAAGTCATGTATGCAGGTTTTATGTCAAGTGTTTGTCACACTCCTACCTAGAAGAGTAGAGGGTGATAATTCTTCTTGAAAAACTTTACTAGTTTTAGGGGAACAAGTGGTTTTGGTTGCATGGAAAAGTTCTTTAGTGGTGAATTCAGAGATTTTGGTGTACCCATCACCCAGGCAGTGTAAACTGTACCCAATGTGTAGTCTTTTATCCTTCACCCCCTCCTAACTTTTCTCCTACTCCCCAAGTCCCCAAAGTCCATTATACTATTCTTATGCCTTTGCATCCTCATAGCTTAGCCCCTACTTATAAGTGAGAACATGTATTTGCTTTTCCATTCCTAAGTTACTTCACTTAGAATAATGGTCTCCAACTCCCTCCAGGTTGCTGCAAATGACAATATGTTGTTCCTTTTTATGGCCGAGTAGTATTCCATTATATATATATATATATGTATATATATGAATACTACTGTATATATCACTGTATATATGTGTGTGCATATATATGTATATATGTGTGTGTGTATGTAAATATATATATATTTTATATATATATATATATATATATATATATATATATATATATCACATTTTTATCCAATCATTGGTTGATGGGCATGTAGGTTGGTTCCATATTTTTGCAATTATGAATTGTGCTGCTATTAACTTGTGCGTGCGAGTGTCTTTTTCTTATTATAACTTCTTTTCCTTTGAGTAGATACCCAGTAGTGGGATTGCTGGGTAAAATGGCAGTTATATTTACTTCTTTAAGGAATCTCCATACTGTTTTCCATAGTGGTTGTACTAGTTTACATTCCCAGCAGCAGTGTAAAAGTGTCCCCTTTTCACTGCATCCACAGCAACATCTGGTTTTTTTTTATTTTTATTTTAAAATTATGGTCATTCTTGCGGGAGTAAGGTGATATCTCATTGTGGTTTTGATTTGCATTTCTCTGATAATTAGTGATGTTGCACATTTTTTCATATGTTTGTTGGCCATTTGTATATCTTCTTTTGAGAATTGTCTATTCATGTTCTTAGCCCATTTTTTTATAGGATTTTTTTTTCTTGTTTGATAGGATTGTTTTTTTCATGATTTGTTTAAGTTCCTTGTAGATTCTGGATATTAGTCCTTTGTTAGAGGCATAGTTTGTGAAGATTTTCTCCCACTCTGTGGGTTGTCTGTTTACTCTGCTTAGTATTTCTTTTGCTGTGCAGAAACTTTTTAGTTTAATCAGGTCCAATCTATTTGTCTTTGTTTTCATTGCATTTGCTTTTGGGTTCTTAGTCATGAACTCTTTACCTAAGCCAATGTCTAGAAGAGTTTTTCCAAAGTTATCCTCTAGAAATTTTATGGTTTCACGTCTTAGATTTAAGTCTTTGATATCTTGAGTTGATTTTTGTATAAGGTGAGAGATGGGGATCCAGCTACATTCTTCTACATGTGGCTTGCCAATTATCCCAGCACCATTTGTTAAATAGGATATTCTTTCTCCACCTCATGTTTTTGTTTGCTTTGTTGAAGATCAGTTGGCTGTAAGTATTTGGCTATATTTTTGGGTTTCTATTCTGTTCCATTGGTTTATTTGCTTAGTTTTATACCAGTATCATGCTGTTTTGGTAACTATAGCCTTGTAGTATAGTTTGAAGTCAGGTAATGTGATGCCTCCAGATTTGTTCTTTTTGCTTAGTCTTGCTTTGGTGAATATAGCTGAAAAATGCTCCAGAGAAATAAATATCATAAAAATAAAACAATCACAATTTTTGGAAATTAACAACACACTTAGAGAAATACAAGATGCACTGAAAGTTTCAGCAATAGAATGAAACAAGTAGAAGAAAGAACTTCAGAGCTCAAAGACAAGGCATTCGAATTAACCCAATCTGACAAAGACAAAGAAAAAAGAATCAAATAATGAATGAAGCCTCCAATAAATTTGGGATCATGTTAGACAGCCATACTTAAGACTAATTGGTATTCCTAAGGAAGAAGATAAATCTAAAAATTTGGAAAACATGTTTGAGGGAATAATCAAGGAAAACTTCCCTGGCCTTGCTGGAGAGCTAGACATCCAAATACAAGAAGCTCAAAGACCGCTTGAGCAATCCAACACAAAAAAGATCATCACCCAGGCACATAGTCATCAGGTTATCTAAAGTCAAGAGGAAGAAAATAATCTTAAGAGCTGTGAGGTAAAACCATCAGGTAACCTATAAAAGAAAACCTCTTAGATTAACAGCAGATTTCTCAGCAGAAACCCTACAAGCTAGAAGGGATTGGGGCTCTGTCTTTAGTCTCCTCAAACAAAATAATTGCCAGCTCAAAATTTTATATCCAGCAAAACTAAGCTTCATAAATCAAGAAGATACAAAGTCTTTCAGACAAATAAATGCTGAGAGAATTTGCCACTACGAAGCCAGCACTACAAGAAATGCTAAAAGGAGCTCTAAATCTTGAAACAAAACCTCAGCATACACCAAAATAGGGCCACCCTAAAACATAAATCTCACAAAGCCTATAAAATGGTAACACAAAATTTAAAAAACCAAGGTATTCAGGCAACAACTAGCATGATGAATAAAACAGTACCTCACATCTCAATACTAATGTTGAATGTAAATGGCCTAAATGCTCCACTTAAAAGTTACAGAATGGCAGAATGGATAAAAATCCACCAACCAAGTATCTGCTGTCTTTAAGAGACTCACCTAATGCATAAGGACTCACATAAACTTAAGGTAAAGAAGTAGAAAATGATATTCTATGCAAATGAAAACCAAAAGTGATTAGGAATAGCTGTTCTTGTATCAGACAAAACAGACTTTAAGGCAACAATAATTTTAAAAATACAAAGAGGGACATTATGTAATGATAAAAGGAACAATCTAAAAGGAAAATATCACAATCCTAAATAAATATATATATATATATATATATATATATATATATATATATATAAATTTATAAATCAATTATTACTAGACCTAAGAAATGAGAGAGCTGGCAACACAATAATAGTGGGGGACTTCAATACTCCACTGACAGCACTAGACAGATCATCAAGACAGAAATTCAAAAAAGAAACAATGGTCTTGAACTATACCCAGGAACAAATGGATATAACAGATATTTACAGGACATTCTACCCAACAGCTGAAAAATATACATTTTTTTCATCAGCACATGGAACTTTCACCAAGATAGACCATATGATAGGTCACAAAACAAGTCTCAATAAATTTAAGAAAACTGAAATTATATCAAGTACTCTCTCAGACAACAGTGGAATAAAATTGGAAATTAACTCCAAAGGAACCCTCAAAACAATAATTCTTAACTCTAGGAGTTTTCTATCTTTGGAATTTTTAGTTGGATTTCATAGGGAATTATATCCCAATCCTATCGTTTCTACAAAAATGCTTACTTGCCACCTGATCCTATTTCTCTTCTTACATAAATAATAGAGGTCATTAGAAATTCATGAGCAAACTGTACCTTAAATTTTTCCCCCTGTGAATTTAACTTTAGAAATTAATGAGCTCTGCTGATGCATTTTCCTGGTGAATTAATGAAAGATTATGTAATTCTATTGAGGTAGACCAGGAATTGTAAGTTTTAACTTAATAGGACATCTGTCCTGACCTGGGCACTGAAGTCTCAAAAGTTCCTTTTGGAGTTTCTTAGAATAACATGCCACTTAAGTTTGAAACAGGAGTTGATGAGAAGGGTGATGGGCTCTCATTGGGAAAATGAAAATTAGGGAACAATGGTCAAATTGGGGATAGGGACTGAATGTGTCACCATTGCCTGCTGCAAAGTGAGTGCAGTAGGAGAGTTGGGAAAAGTTTCTGGTTTTTGTTCATTTGTATCTGAGCAAGTGAGTCCACGTGAAGGGTTCTCAGGCAGTATGGTTATAAGAAATATTCTGAATTGTGAGGATGGTGAAAATCTCTGTGAGAAGGAAATCTCTGTGAGTGAACTCCTAGGTGAACTGAACTTTCCACTTAATTGCATCTCATTTTAGTGGAAAGGAGCCATTTTCCAGAAGATTCCTAAGGCTCTTCTGCTTACATGTAGATTGTTGGTGTAGCTGTCAGTGCTTTGGAGGTGGAGAAACACCAAGAGCTAACACAGGCTACCTCACTGGCACAATGCAGATCACAACTCTAAAGTCTTGTGTGTTATTCATCTCTTAGTGTGTTGAACATCTACGCCACCCAGGTATGTTACTTCATTTAATCGTCATGACAAACCCAGGTGTTACTAATATCCTCATCAATGATATGGAAACTGAATCTCTCAGAGGATAAATATCTTATCCCAGATTGGACATCTAATGTGCAGAGGATCTAGAATTGGACTCCAGCAAGTCTACTAAAAACAAAAACAGAAACAAAGCATTGAACTGAGATTATATTTATTTATTTAGGAATAAACGTAGTTTTTTTTCAACTACCCAATACTGTGGACAATCAATTGTAAAATCCATAAATGAGTTAACATTTTCTTGAGGCTCAAAATTAGTTCAAAATAATAGCCGCTGAACACTAAGTGTTAAAAAGGGGGACAATATTAAAAATCCAAACTGACTAGAGCTGCTTCTACTTTCAAAGAAGAGGGTGACATAATTCTTATCAAATGACAAATAAATCTTTATATTGTTCTTTTCCCCACCGAGTATAGATGATCTATTGTTTAGCAGAGCACAACGCTGAGACTTAAGGGCAAAATACTACTTTGCTGGTAGGATTTAAGAAAGTTGCATTGCCTGAATAATAAATGACATGAGTGTATATTTTTGCAGGTTTACAAAACAGAAAGGAGAGAGCAAGCCAACTAATATGGCCACATCCTACAACCCATTTAGTGTAAACAATCAGGAAATCTTTTTTAAAGGGAAGACTAACACTGATTTTTTTTTTTGCATTTCTGTAGCTCAATTCAAGTTTGTATCCTAAATCTTTAGTAAAATTGGCAATACACAAAATATCTTGGATGAGTAATTTTTGAGGGAAATGAGGAAAAGACTGATTTCCATATCTACATTGCCATAAGGAAGAGAATAGGCAAAGCTCCAAGAAGTGAGGCATGAGCAAGTTCCAGGACCCTGCAGGAGCAGCAGGCCACAGCCAGAAATGACCAGAAGAATGGAAGCCCTCGAGAGAGGAATTCACTTAACTCTGGGTCTTTATAGGGCAACCTCATGATAACAGGGAAAAGATGGATTTTGACTATCAGTCACTTCCCATTTGCCTGATCAAATCTATTAATTTTGGTGGATTGTTTATTGAGACAAATCAATATCTTTGAAAATGTAACCAAGGCAGGAAGAACTATCAGGTGGACGTTTTTGTCAGAAACTTGAAGAAAGACCTAAAGGAGGGTCAGTCTTAAACTCTACACTGCAAAGCATGACTCAACCTCTGGGACCCCAGCTGCCTAAAACCATCCTGTAACAACCATCACAGTGTCCAAGATTTTCAGGGAAAGGATCAATAAAATGTCCTTCTTAGAAGGAAATGGGAGAGAATAAATAAGAAGGAGAATAGGAAAGGTGCTATTACACCCCCTGTGTCAGTTTGTCAGTTTGTCAATCCAACATAGCAAAACAACAACAACAAAAATGCTTAATTTACTTCCCTGTGAGGTTCCACCCCAAATAAAACTTCTAAATTAGAAGAGTAAACTTCAGATGAAAGATGCAGCAGCTTACATGACAAGAAAATAAATGTTACCAGTCCAGCTGATGTTCAGCTTCCAGGTCATTTCTGTGTCCCCTGAAAACACCACAGGGATGGTGGAGAGGGTGTGAATCTCCAAATAGGATTTTGGCATGGCTGGGGATACCTGTTATCCCATCCTATGTAGTGCTCCAGATGCTTTGAAATTGGCAATCCTTTGAAAACATAGACTTTTTTACTCATTTCTGTATCCCCAGAACCTGTCTTATGCCAGTAGCTGTCATATAATAAACCTTCATGATTGTTTTATAATAACAGTAAGCATACATTAAGACAGATTATTATGTGGTGCTAAGTACTTGATATGGTTTGGCTCTGTGTCCCCACCCAAATCTCATGTCCAATTGTAATCCCCAGTGTTGGAGGAGGGGCCTGGTGGGAGATGATTGAATCATGGGGGTGGTTTCTAATGGTTTAGCACCATCCCCATAGTGCTGTCTTATGATAGAGTTCTCACAAGATCTGGTTGTTTGAAAGTGTGAGCACTTCCCCATTCACTCTTTCTCTCCCGCCAGCCATGTGAAGATGTGACTGCTTCCCCCTTGCCTTCCACCATGATTGTAAGTTTTTTGAGGCCTCCCCAGAAGCAGAAGCCTGAACAACCTGTAGAACTATAAGCCAATTAAACCTGTTTTCTTTATAAATTACCTAGTCTCAGGTGTGTCTTTGTAACAGTGTGAGAATGAACTGATACAGTACTCTAAGTAGAATTATGTGACTTAATTCTCACAAAAGTGTTGTGATGTAGACTGTCTAATGACCATTTTATAGATGATAAAAAAGAAGCTTAAAGAAATTAAGGGAATTTTTCCAAGGTCATAGAACTTTTAAATGGTGAAGTCCAAATATAAACTCAGTCAGGCACTTTGACCTCCTCTAATCATTGAATTTCATTGACCAGAATGATAGAGGTATAAATCAAGAGATGAACTGGAATATATCTATTAATACATTCCTGCATCTCCTGCTTATTAAAAGTCTGTTTTATTCTTCCATTTCTTTCTAACAACCCACTACACACTATTTTCCCTTCCTAAGTCTCTTTGACCTTGAGTATTTATCAAGTGGGATAGTGATTCAATTCACTGCATTCTCTTCTATGTTGCAGATATGATATAGTGACTGGCAACTTGGTGCTAAAAATGCTAGGCACAAACTTCTAAAATAGAGTTCTAGTAAAATAAAACCAGAGATCAAAGCTGAAAATAGCTTACATTTATTTGGATTTCACCAGGGGAACATTAGCTCTTTATGACATTTGAAAGGAGATGCTTTTTATGATCTTTTTATAATCGGTTTACTAAAGCAGTCTGTCTTATTTAAATTCCAGTGATCCTGAAGAAAAATTGTGCATCCTTAGTTATCACGTAGTTGATGGACTTTAATCATTCATGACTTTAAAAATTTTTCAGTGCAAAGGAAATGTAGTTTGGCTGGATTCCATAAGAAAAATCTAGATGTTTGTTTGTGAATCACTATTTAAATGGCAGTGTAAGGTAATTGGCTAGATAGTTCACAAAGACAAATACTGCTTCTTAAACCTTGTGTGAGTGAATTGATTAAATTATCCTTTCTTTATGCTTGGATACTCCTGCCATAACAAATTAACAAAAACAACAACCAGCCTAAATTAAGTACTATATTTTTGAAGTATTTCGTTCTTTGGCGTATGTTAATGAAATTAAAATAAGAAAAGAAAACATGTTGACTACTCAAAAGTACAAATTGCTTATGTTTGCCTTATGCAGTGCAAAATGGGAATGATTAAACAAACGGCAGAGGGTATGGAAGTGAAGCCCTCTTCCACTATGTCCAAAAGGAGATGTCCAAGGGAAGTGCTTATCCTCTCAGTATTTAACTAAGGCTTACTATATTTAGATACAATTAAGAGGCATTTATTATTATCATTAATGATCTCATGTTAATTAAAGTATCCAAAGCATTTTAGCTAGGTTACTGATCACTGAAGCTTTAGACAAAGAACATAGCAATGGTGCTTTGTGTATCTAAACTTTCAGGACATAAAAGGGAAAGATTAAAATCTGTGTCGGTGCTGAACGCAGGCTCAACTGCTGAGTGAAAGGTACTTATCTTTGTATCTGATTATCAGGGCAGGACAGCATAAAGCAATTTCCTACTGGCTTCACCCAGGCCAGTGGTTTTCAAACCACGTTCCACGAAGCCCTGGATTATTTTTTGAGGATTATTTATTGAGACAGCTCATCCTGATACTAGAAAAAGGTCTCCAAGAATATCCAGGGCCTCCTTGGGTTTGGTTAAGAGAGGCTGAGTGAGCAGAGCAGAAGCCCTAAATAGCTTCCATCAGAGCAAGTCTATTTTACTTGCTTTTGAGTGGTATTCTACTAATGATTTCATTTTTAAAAAGAGTTCTGCTACTAATATATGTTAGAATTGTGTGACTGGCTCCTTTATTTCTTTAATTCTTCAGGTCTCAGCTTTAATACCATTTCTTTGGAAAGGCTTTTTCTGACCCTCCACCCATCCAAGATACCCTTTGCCTTAGAACTCTCTTTCTTACTCCTTACTATAAGCTTAATTATTCTTGGCTATTTATTTCCACACTTTTGAATTGTCTGACTCCTATATAGACATGTAAACTCTGCTACGGAAGATGCCTTATCCTTCTCATCCTCCATGATCTTTTCTATGTCCCCTGTACTTTCCATCCTGCCTGACACAAAGTAAGTGCTCAATAAATATGCCATGAAGAACTGAATGAAAACTAAATGAATGGGTAAATGTGGTCATAACTGTCTTCATTCTAGAACTCAGGCAAGCCTCATTATGTCTGGAGGACCAGAAAAGAGAATTCTGTACTGCCCAGTGGCCTATGTGTACACATGTAGCACTCTGAGCAAGAACCAGTGTATAAAGAAATTAAAGTCAAAAGTTCCTTTTTGTCCCATTCAGACACTTTGCTTCTCTGCATCGAGGCCTATTTCTGTAAGATGCTAGGATATGTGCACACACATGTGTCATCTGAAAGTCATAATTTTAAAGATTGTCAAACTAACATATTTTATTCAGGTTATCTATACAGCCTGGGGTACAATTATTATAAAACATTGTGGAATAAGGATGATAAATGCTACAAAGTGGGAAAATATATTTGTTAGAAACTGAGCAAATGGACTGTCTTACTGGAGGAGGAACAGTTATGGTTTTACATCTACAACATGTCAGGTGAAATATAGCAAGCAAGAGGCTACCTCTGGCGGCTCCACAAACCCGTCCTGTCCCCTCCCTTAAGCACACAGAGACTCTGGCCTCAGAAAGGAAAGAGATCCCCAAAGGTCTCTGGTTGCTTGTGATTCTCTGTGGGAACTTATGATTCTTATCTTATAGGCATTGACTGTGGCCTTGAAAGAAAAGGCAGGGGCAGCGATATAATTTACAAACTTATAAATTAAACAAAGTCTGCTTGAGAACTATTCTGACAGTTCAGGTTTGGCTAGGCTCTTTCAAGGCCTTTTTAATTCTGGGATAGTCACTCTTTTTCTTCAATTAAAAAACAAATTTTTTTTTATTAAAAAATGTATGACTATGGCTTTTTTCCCTACAGAAATTGCACCTTTCTTTGCCATTATTATCTTATTCAAAACACCTAGTATTCATAAGTCTTTTTAGGTCTTTGAACAACTTCAGGTAATCAAATATTCTATGAAATCAACAAAGATAAATGGAAAGTGACCTTGAAGTTTGATTAATTTACAAACTAACCATGAAGGATTTTAAGAATCAAGGGACTGAATTAACCTATGAGAAACCAAATAGTGCATTTTGAGTCCCACCAATGAATGAAGGTTGTGAATTGTTTATAAGGTCACCTGACTTGGTAATTATTCCCAGGTGAATGGTGTCTAATTAACCTCAGAGTTTACACCCTCCTAGGTAATCAGTTGGGGTGTGTATGGGGGTTGGTGGCTAACTGTAGCTTGATGGAAAGCCAATAAGCATTCACTCCACCCCACAGTATGAGGCCACTATGGCATCAAACTGCAAGCACTAGGATCTAGGACTTGGGTTCCAATTTGTTAAAACAAAACAAAACAAACCACAGCCAACCAATGAGCTAAGGAGGCCAAGCATTAAACACGGGGGAGTATTAAGAAATGGAAGTAGGCTTAGGGTGCTAAATGAAATCTTTATATAGAAAAATGGAAAATGCATCTAGTAATGTAAGTGGATCATAAAATGCTCTGCAGGAAATATTTCCTGCGTAAATGTTTGCCCTTGCCAGTTTGTACTTTTCAAGGTAAAGAATATTATTTAGATGCAAAAAAAAAAAAGTGCACACCAAATGAAAAACAAGAATAATAAAAATGTTAAGATTACAAAATGCAGTCTTTGTTATTGTGGCATTGAGGATCTGGATAATTATCCAGGGCTGTTAAAATCCCAAACTCCTTCCCACGATTTCTGAGAATTCCCAGGTCATGTCCTCACAGTCTTTCCGCCTCAGACTCCACACTCTCATACTGTGCTCTTACGTTGTCTCATGGGAAGCTCAGTTCTTTCACTGTTTTCTTTCTTTCTCTTTCTTTCTTCCTTTCTTTTCTTTCTTTCTTTCTTTCTTTCTTTCTTTCTTTCTTTCTTTCTTTCTTTCTTTCTTTCCTTCTCTTTCTTTCTTTTTTCTTTTCTTTCTTTCATTTTCTCATTTTGTCACCCAGGCTGGAGTGCAGTGGCAAGATCTCGGCTCACTGCAATCTCTGCCTCCACCATTCAAACGATTATCCTGCCTCAGCCTCCTGAGTACCTGGGATCACAGGCACCTGCTGCCACACCTGGCTAATTTTTTTCTGTTTTTTTTTGTTTTTTTTTTTTTTGACCAAGTTTTGCTCTGTCGCCCAGGCTGAAGTGCAGTGGCACAATCTTGGCTCACTGCAACCTCTGCCTCCCGGATCCAAGCGATTATCCTGCCCCAGCCTCCAGAGTAACTGGGATTACAGGTGCATGCCACCACATCTGGCTAATTTTTCTATTTTTAATGGAGACTGGGTTTCGCCATGTTGGCCAGGCTGGTCTCCTGACTTCAGCTGATCTGCCCACCTCGGCCTCCCAAAGTGCTGGGATTACAGGTGTGAACCACTAAGCCCAGCCCTAATTTTTTTGTATTTTTAGTAGAGACAGGGTTTCACCATGTTGGCTAAACTGCTTTTAAACTCCTTACTTTTGCAAGTGATCTGCCCTCTTCAGCCTCCCAAAGTGCTAGGATTTCAGGCGTGAGCCACTGCGCCGGCCTCTTTCACTGGTTAAGAAAAAAAAAAAAATCTCAGGTTCATCATTGTGTGAGATTGGTTGATATTAATAAGAGCCCTGTCAGTCTCTGATCACTGTTGCGACTGCTCTTTATTTCTATCTCACTTTCTATATGCCTGCTGTTCACTTCAAGGTTAAAAACGAGAAAATGCCTCATCAGATGAGTTTAATGATTATATTTTGTGACCAGTTATGTGAGTATTTAATGTAAAAGCAGTTAAGAAAGAAGCAAATACACAAATGAGCTGTGCTTTCCGTGAGAGGAATTCCAGTGGGTGAAAAATCATCTCCTTGGATGGACATGGTCTCTCACGCCTGTAATCCCAGCACTTTGGGAGCCCAAGCTGGGTGGATCGCTTGAGCCCAGGAGTTTGAGACCAGCCTGGGCAACATGCTGAAACCCAGTCTGTACAAAAAAAAAAAAATACAAAAATTACCTGGCTATGGTGGTACACGCCTGTAATTCTAGCTACTTGAGAGGCTGAGGTGGATCACCTGAGCCTAGGAGGCAGAGGTTGCCATGAACTGAGATTGCACCACCGCACTCCAGCCTGGGCAACAGAGCAAGACCCTGCCTCCAGAAAAAAAAAAAGAAAAATCGTCCCCTCCTCATTGCAAAGATTACACAAGATATATCAAGAATCTTATGTACTGTTTCACACAATGGGTCTGTTATAAGTTAATTTTTATGAAGCTCAAATTAGTTTTTATATCCTCATTCTTTAAAAATACTTTTATTAATGAATTCATTGATTTAGCAAATATTTAAAGCTCATGTGAAATATTAGGGGAAGACAATTGCCCTTTTCTTCTTGTGTCCATAACTACAACCAGAAATGTACAAGAATGTCCATTTTCCTGCACTTACCAGCACTAGAAAATATTATTTGAAAACATTTAAAATTTTTTTCAGATGCAAATTATAGCATATAATGGTTTTAGTGTATATATCCTTTAGTTCTAGCAATGCTGAACTTTCAGAAATAACGCTTATTGGCTGTTCCCATTTCTTTATGAATTGCCTGTTTATGTTCTTTATTGATTTTTAATTGAGGTGTCCATGTTTTTCTTGTTGATTTAAAACAATTCTTAATCTCTAAATAGCATTTATCTGTCTTACATTGCAAACATATTTTCTTCATTTATTCTTTGTTTTTTAATTTTTGATTTTATTTCTTTTGGGTTGCTCTCTATGGTGATAAGCGGATGAAAGCCTTTCTCATTCCAAGATCATGAAAATATTTAGCTATATTTGCTCCTACTCATTTCATTATTTTAATGTTTAAACTTTTGGTTAATATGCAATGATCTTTGGGATTTGATTTGAAGTAAATATCTAACTGTGTTTCCCTCAGTGGTTAGCGATTTATTTTAGCACTATTTGTTGAGCAATCCATCCACATTTTATCATCTAACATTATTATGATAGCATTCTATTGACAAATGCATCCATCTTTTCACCAGTGATATTTTAATTAATTTTTGTTTTCATCAAAGTAATGGGAATATATAATTATAAAATAAAATAGCACTAAGAGGCATAAACTATGAATTATGTCCTAGCCTCCTTTCCAGCTAGAGATAAATACCTTCAATTTCTTTAGCAATTTTTATGTCATTTTTCATCTCTCTTGCCTAAAAAATACTCAGTTGTTTCAAAGACTGTTATCATATGTTCAGATTCTGTAACCTCCTTGTTCTACCTCCTTGATATGATTATCAAATATTGTCTGGAATTTAGTGCCTGGAATATTGTCTTTCTTGCCACCACTCTACTTCCCAATGTTCTTCATGATTTCAATACCTACACAGATAATGCACATATGTTCTGCACTTTCATGGGAAAGGTGACTGATGAGCAAGAGTAAGGTCAAATTCCATAATACAGGGTTTTTAAATTATTAGATTATGCATTTGTGTGTTATTTCTGTAATTAAAAACAAAAGAGATACTTTTATTAAAGTCTGTCCTCTCCTCAAAATTATAATCAGATATTGATTAATAGTACATTTAATTTATGGACTAACTAGAAATGGAGAAGAAATATTGTTATAACATTAAGTCTTCCCATACAGGACTTGTTATCCCCCTCTTTTTATTTATGGGTTTATTTATGTCCTTCAGTAAAATTGCATAATTTCATTATACACCCTGCATATTCTTATTAAATTTATTCTTACCATTTTATGTTGTTATTGTTAAGGGGTTCTTTTCTCCATAGTATTTTCTAACTGGTTGCTTATTACAGGATATCTATTAAATAACTGACATATAATTCAGAGCTCTTTTAAGTTCTAATTATTTGGGGTTGAATCTATTTGTCCAGAGAGACAGTCATATATTTTCCTTATAGCCTATCATGATCACTTAACCTCTCTAAGACTTGGTTTCTCCTAATCCTTACAGACGGATAATCTCAGTACTCACCTACAGGTTTGTTGCAATGATTGAGTTAACATCTATACAACACTTAATCTGTGCCCAGCATATACTGAACACTGTATCAGTGTTAGATGTTGTTACTGTTACTATTACATAGTATCCCACTGAGCTTCTGCATCCAGCACATTTCTCAGCCTTCTTTTTCTGTAGGATCAAATTTAGAAAAACAAACCAACAAACAACCCCATTAATAAGTGGGCAAAGGACATAAACAGACACTTCTCAAAAGAAGATATTAATGCAGCCAACAAACATATGAAAAAAAACTCAACATTACTGATCATTGGAGAAATGCAAATCAAAACCACAATGAGATACCATCTCATGCCAGTCAGAACGGCCTTTATTAAAAAGTCCCAAGAAACAACAGATGCTGGCGAGGCTGTGGAGAAATAGGAATGCTTTTACACTGTTGGTGGAATGTAAATTAGTTCAACCACTGTGGAAGATGGTGTGGTGATTCCTTAAAGATCTAGAACCAGAAATATCATTTGACCCAGTGATCCCATTACTGGGTATATACCCAAAGGAATATAAATCATTCTATTACAAAGATACATGCACATTTAATTATCAAATGTTTTCTGGAATTCAGTACCTAGTGCATTCACTGCAGCAGTACTCACAATAGCAAAGACATGGAATCAACCCAAATGCCCAGCAATGATAGACTGAATAAAGAAAATGTGGGACATATATGCCATGGAATACTATGCAGCCATAAAAAGAAATGAGATCATGTCCTTTGCAGGGACATGAATGAAGCTGGAAGCCACTATCCTCAGCAAACCAATGCAGGAACACAAAACAAAACACTGCATGTCCTCACTTAGAAGTGGGAGCTGAAAAATGAGAACACATGGACACAGGGAGAGGAACAACACACACTGGGGCCTGTCAAGGGCTAGGGTTGGGAGAGAGAGAGCATCAGGAAAAATAGCTAATGCATGCTGGGCTTAATACCTAGGTGATGGGTTGATAGGTGCAGCAAACCACCATGGCACACGTTTACCTATGTAACAAACCTGTGCATCCTGCACATGTACCCCAGAACTAAAAATAAAAATGATTCTAAAAGTGCCATCTTATCTTATTCTCTTATTCATTCTTTTAAGCAGTACATTTTTTCCAAAATTTGTTAGGATGGTCTTGCCAAGACAAGAGTCCGCTCACTACACACAAACAGTCATTTCCCTGAAAGCATGGAGTCTCCAGTTTACTGGTTCTCCTCTCCCCTTTGTCTTTCTCGCACCACATCTTTTGTGATTTCCTCAATGTCTCTGAGGGTAAGTGACTCTCTTCCATTGTTGCCAGGGTTCATTTGCACTTCTCCCCTACCCTATTATTTGGGTCACTTCAATTGGCATTTGTAAGAGCAGAGTAATTAAATCATATGTTCTGATTTCCATCCTGGACCAGAAATTACCTTTCTTTTATTCCCTAACTACCGATTTAGCTCTGTCCAAAGACACCTTCCTCCTAATCATCCTAATTACCTTTGCCCGCGCTTGCGCATCTGCAGGTCCTCTCTTCCCCTTCCCCTTTCTCTCTTCATCTATAATAAGTAAGAATGCTTTAAAATTGCAGACATTTTCTATTAGGAAAGGGTTATATGCAAACACTGTTAGAAGCACACCTAAGGTAAAGATTCTAATTAACACCCAAGTGGAAGTATCTTGCATGTCTAGTTCTGTGCCAAGAGAAATCAATCAGTGGTTAGCGCAGGAAATTAGAAAGATCAAACTGAAACCAAACTCCATCTTCCCCAGTTTATAATAACTCCATGTCTTTCTGTGAGTTGTGTTTCACTAAAATTAAATTTTAGTAGCTATAAGCAATAAGTATTTAATTAATATCTATAAAAGAAAAAGAGAGCAATTTATTATTGATAAAATATATTTTCCTTTTAATCCTTCACTGACATTGCTAATGTCACTACTTTGGACTAAAATTTAGAAAAAAAAAAAATCATTTCCAGAGGCTCATTGTTAGAGTAGAATGGTGCATTTGCTGCACTGAAGAACTCAATGGAAGAATTACTTGAGATCTGTAACATAAAGACACTGGCGGATAAATTTCACACATGGTTCAACTTCCCAAGCTTTGTAGTGAGAAAGGTAAATTTGTGCAGGGATCAAATCAAAAGTCACACAAAGGCCTCTATTTGATGAACAAGATATGGAAACTACATTGTTCCCAAATATTTAAGTCTCTTGGCCCCAAAGGAGTCGAAAATTTGGATTGTTCTAATATTCAAAATTCCCTAACATAGAGTTAAAATATGCTTGGAACAGGCTTGTAAAAAATGTCTTTGGCCTAGAAATGTTATCTCAAAAGAAAATGACAATTTCCTTTTTAAATTTGCCAAGGGCAAAAGATCTTTTTAAGTACTTGTTTTCTTTCTTTTCTCTTATTTTCCTGCTATTGCTGGATTTAATTAAAAACTTTATTCTCATCTGCTAGTAGACTTCTATGTTTCCTTATATTAGGAATTCTACAAAGCTTAGAGTGGAGGAGGGCATTTTATCAGAAAAGCTTTTCTCCATATTTTTATTTATTTTATCCATATCCATATCTATATGAAGATACATTTCATTGTATCTACAATTTTAGATAAATTCTAACCATAAATGCTTTAGAATTGGGTTGTGTGGGATCAGGCATCAGCCTGTCACAAATTCCAACCAAATCTGAGCACAGTTCATAAGTCCCCAGATAATGGAGTTGACTTAGATTCAACTCCATTTGATGCATCTTTTTAGCGACTAACTGGACAGATATTCTGGGATTTGTGAAAATTCTGAAGGGTCTTCTGTGACTATGAAAAGCCCATAGAAGGTAGGTGGGAGAGTTCATAACTGAAATCCTCGCTCTTCAAGCCTCACTTAGGATTAAAGGGAATTACAGGTTTACTGTTCATTGAAGAGAAACAAATGCTCCATTACACAGAAGAGATTAGAGCCTGGAGGAGCATTTATACCTTTGAAATGAGGTTTGCTGTTTGCCTTGGAGTATACGGCTGAGATGCATAGACTGCATTGAAAACAGAGCCCTATCTATGAACTGGAATTACAAAATGAATGCTATCCAGGATGAGTCATTCTTTAGAACCTTTCTGTAATAATTGACATTAAAATCTTGATCTCAAAATGAATTTGAAAATTTTGTCTCAGAGCGAATCAAAGAAAATATGCTTATCATTCAACAGGAGAGTCCTCCTGAATTTTATCATTTCCCACTATACATCAGCCTCAAACTATAATGCAAAAAAGCATATAAAAAATAAAAAGGAAAAGCCCAGTTTGTATGATGGCCTGGATAACCAGCTGATGCTTTTCCTGAAAGACTGACTTGGAGTTTGTAATACCCAGGGTCTACACTCTGGCTTTGGCGCGAATGTGTAGAGGTGTTTTGTGAATTTTCACCTGCTGCCTCTATTTCATGAATAGATATTAACACAGGTGTTCAGGAATAAGGAAAATGAAGCCAAGAGCTTTTTCATGTTTTATGATTTTATATGATGCATGTGTATCTGTGTGGATTTACACATAACAATTTGAAATGAACGGGAAAGAAAATTATGTATAATTTTTCTATTTGTTATGCCCTGCAATCTAAACTGTCTAGAGTATGACTTTAAAATTGACTGCTAAAGAAATCATAAAAGGGATAAAGCAAAGGAAATTCACAGGTGGATAAAGTTCTCAAAAATGATTTATTTAGTCAATCACTAAATATATTTTGAGTGCGTGTATAGAAAGGGATTATGTAAGACACCATGAAGATGATGAAGAGGAATCACAAGTGGATTCTGGTTACGGCTATTCTCTCATAGGACACATAATCCATGTAAAAAATATTTACATACATGCAGACAGTAACATATACAAACAAATAACCATCATACAAAGTAAATGATTATACATATCATTAAGAGATGTAAATAAAACCTCCTAGGATTTCAGAGGAGGAATGATTTACTGGGTGTGGGGGAGATGATCATAGGGGGGTCTTTTATCTGGGCCACGAGGGATGGATGGTCTTTGGCCTCATCCAGATAGAGCATATGAGGGTAGTGTTCATTGGCCTTTTGCCCAGCCCTCCATAATCTAAGGCCATTCTCAGGCACGACTACAAATGGATAAAATTAGCTTTTTGTTCTTTCTTATCTTCTCTTCCTCTGCACAAACTAAATGACTAACTTGATAATTTGACAAACGAACTCATGCTAAAGTGTAACTGACTAATAAGGGTGAAATTCCACCTTTTCCAGCTACTGATGTTTTAACATGCTGTAATTCATATTACTGTAAAACAACTATTCATGAAATAAAGGATTATTCAGGCTGGGCACGGTGGCTCACGCCTGTAATCCCAGCACTTTGGGAGGCCGAGATGGGTGGATCACGAGGTCAGAGATCGAGACCATCCTGGCTAACACGGTGAAACCCCGTCTCTACTAAATATACAAAAAATTAGCCGGGTGTGGTGGTGGGCACCTGTAGTCCCAGCTACTCGGGAGGCTGAGGCAGGAGAATGGCATGAACCCGGGATGCAGGGCTTGTAGTGAGCCGAGATTGTGCCACTGCACTCCAGCCTGGGTGACAGAGCTAGACTCCATCTCAGAAAAAAAAAAAAAAAAGAAATAAAGGATTATTCAAATGTAACCCAGAATAAAATCTGTGGAAATGTATTTCCCTATTTCCATTTTACCTTCGAATCCCCTTTTAACTTGCAATTTAGTGCAGAACATCTTGGATAGTCCCATCTTTTGCTAGCACTGTTTCTTTATGGCTATTAAGTTACGTTAAATTTCTCCTAAATCTGCCCTGGTACATAGAAAACTGCAACCTAACAGTAAGTAAACAAACTGCAAACTAACTTAATAATATATCTTGGAACAGATAGCTGAGTTTCAGCCAATCACAGGCTAACAACTGATCAGGCTATGTCTCTCTAAAAAAAAAAGTCTCATCACACCATGCTCAAATAAGGCAAATGCTGAGTTGTAACCAATCAAGCTGTTTCTTTTTTTTCTTTTACTTTTTTCTTTTTCTTTTTTCTTTATTTCTTTTGAGATGGAATCTCTCCCTGTCACCCTGGCTGGAGTGCAGTGGCATGATCTTGGCTCACTGCAACCTCCGCCTCCCAGGTTCAAGGAATTCTTCTGTCTCAGCTTCCCAAGTAGCTGGGATCACAGGCATGCACCACCACATCTGAATAATTTTTGTATTTTTAGTAGAGACTGGGTTTCGCCATGTCGGCCAGGCTGGTCTCGAACTCCTGACCTCAGGTGATCCTCCCACCTCGACCTCCCAAAGTGCTGGGATTACAGGTGTTTCTTTACATCATTTCCCAGCCCAATCAAGTTGTTTCTTTACATCATTTCCTTTTTCTATCTATAAATAATGCCTGCCCACATGCTGGGGTGGAGCTCTCTGAAACTCTTATGTTTCTGAGAGCTGGCTGGTTCATGAATTGTTTTTTGCTTAAATAAATTTTGTTGTGCTGAATTTGTCTAAAGTTTTTCTTTTAATAAGTCATCATTAGAAGTAGGATCCAAGGCTGGGTGCGATGGCTCACGCCTGTAATCCCAGCACTTTGGGAGGCCAAGGTGGGCGGATCATGAGGTCAGGAATTTGAGACCAGCCTGGCCAACATGGTGAAACCCCGTCTCTACTAAAAACACAAAAAATTAGCCAGGTGTGGTGGTGTACACCTGTAATCCCAACTACTCAGGAGGCTGAGGCAGGAGAATCGCTTGAACTCAGGAGGCGGAGGTTGCAGCGAGCTGAGATCATGCCACTGCACTCCAGCCTGGGTGACAGAGTGAGAATCTGTCTCAAAAAAAAAGAGAGAAAAAAAAGTAGGATCCAAAGTAGACCTTCAGTGACCCCCACCCCAGAAGCAGCAAGTAACCAAACAAAAGTACCCTCTGGGGTCATGAGTGAGTTCTCTCTCAGATTTCAGTTCCACAAACATGTGCTTTGATCCCTCTGAATTTATCTGTAAAATAAAAAAGTCTGTACTGGCTTCAGAAGTGGTGACAGAAACAGTTCTGGGTCTTGTAGGGAAGGCCTCGGGTTTCTGACAGATCAGACCAAAACTGGGCTGGGTTCAGAATAGGTGGGTAAGTTTACTAGAATACAGGGAATCATCAGTTTGTCTTGATTGAAGGAGACTAGAACCCCTGCATCTGGAACTTCAGCCGATTTTATGTATAAGAACTATGGACCCAGAACCTGTGCTTCTCTAGAGAACCAGTCCAGTTTCTGCAGAGTTAGGGTTTTTCTCCAACTATGTAACTTTCTGCATTTGCCTTTGAAGTCTTTCAATTATCCATCTGGTTAAATAAATGACTATTATTATTTTTATTATTATTATTTTTTGAGACAGAGTCTCACTCTGGAGCCCAGGCTGGAGCGCAGTGGTGCGATCTCGGCTCACTGCAACCTCCGCCTCCCAGGTTCAAGCGATTCTCCTGCCTCAGCCTCCCAAGTGGCTGGAACTACAGACATGTGCACCACTACACCTGGCTAATTTTTTGTATTTTTAGTAGAGGCGGGGTTTCACCACGTTAGCCAGGATGCCAGGATGGTCTTGATCTCCTGACCTCGTGATCCACCCGCCTCGGCCTCCCAAAGTGCTGGGATTACAGGCATGAGTCACTGCGCCAGGCCACAAATGACTATTATTTTACAGTTACCTGTAATCTTATTTTGATCAAATGTTTTAAACCGTTGATATTTTGACAAACTTTCAAAAATCCAATTATAAATTGTCTTTTTCTTGACTTCAAATTAACTTTGGAATTTTTGAGATGGACCCTTAGAACATCTCAAAAGGATATCTTTCCTTATAGAAAAGAGATATGTTAAGATGATTGGGCTAATTTAATATATTAAATTATATGGGAAGCATTGTCAAATAATGAGTAATGCTAAACTTTCTTTGAGTCATATTTGTATTGGTGTATTATTAATGTGTGTCTCATAAATTGTATAAAATTCACAGAAATCTGATAGTCTTGGTATGCAATGAGTCATAATTCTAAGTATTATCCTAAAACATTGTGTATCACAGAAATAATTAGATCTCCTTGTCAATTGCATCATTATTATAGTAAATTGTCATTAGATCTTTAGCCATGACAATTTTAAGTATTATTATTCACAAATAATTAATTGTTTTACTCTAGTCTTTTCCTGAATGCTATTACAAACAACTATAAATCTGACATGCGTTGTCTTCAAGGGGATTCATGGAAAGGAATTTGACAAGTACAGGTTTCTGACAACTTTAAGATCATACCACTCATCTCAGTAAGAATTCTCAGAACTGTAACGAAGAAACTGATTGGTTCATACGTCTGCTAGCCCAACATCAAACAGAATGAGAACTAAGTGAATATCAAGGAAAAGCTTCAGAAGATTTTTATGCTGCCAGCCAGTACTGAAATTGTTAACATATGCAATTTGAATGAACTTTATAAGACTGACCCAAGTCAAATTACCTATGATAAACACCTGAATTTGAGAAACAAAACTTGTATTCAAAAGCATGTAAATCTAGTGTTAAGCGTGGACTCATAGAGAACCCAAATGGCTGACTGGTCCTTAAATCTTCCATTAAGCTCTATGACTTATCATAGGGTAGATAAAACTATACAAGTTGTGAAATAAATAGTGTGGTGACTGTTCTAAAATTGCTAAACTGGTTTATAACCAATGTTTTGTTTCTCAAACTCATAATTCTGATAAGATAACAAAAACCTCAGGTGATACATTTCTGGTACCTGCTGGATTATTTAAACACTTACAGATGGATTTCATTCAATTTTCGGCTTCAATTCATGCTTTCTGGTTATAGAGAAGCTTTCTCAGGCAGGAAGGCCAATGTTATAACAGCAGCTGAAAGGTCGTTGGAAAATGTGTTTCTCTTATGGAACATTACTGAAAAAATCTTCGGTGTTGGAGGTACTGGTTTCATTGGGCAAGTTGTAAAACAGATAAACAAAATATTACAAACACAACAACATTTGACAAAGCGAACTGAATCAATTGGATTGCCTTGGTCAAAAGTATTACCAATTGATGGTGATCAGATCCACTCCCACTAGAAAACATAGATTGACCTTTTATAAAATAGTTACTAGAAGGCCTGTTCTCCTAATAATAGAACCTCATGTGTCACCTGCTCTTACAAACTCTGACAGGACTCAGTATGGCAAAGCTTTAGTACATTAAGGCAAAGTATATCTTCACCAGGTAAAAGAAGCCCTTCATGACCCACCAAATGGTGACACCAGAAATTTCGTGATCTAGATCCCAGAGTTTGTGTCCTTTGGAAAAGACATCAGAAAAATGTTGCCCTTAAACTCCATTCGAAGGGACCGTACCAAGTTCTTCTCTGCAGCAAAATTTTAGGGACTTATGCTTAATAAAGCCCCTTTGGATTCTTAAAACTGTATACTCATTGGAAACCTCAAGGTAAAACTGACCATGATGTTTATTTTCAGAAGCAGACAGCATTCTAGATGTGGACGGCTTTCCCAAGATCACAGACCAAGATTTATCTCCTCCGTCACCGTAAAACCTTTGTTCCTTTTTTTCTTTGCCCTGTGTTTCTTTTCTATTTCTACTTGGCAAGATTATGCAACAATTAAGATTTCATAATGTATAGCTTCCACTGGGAACTTACTTGAATGTTGGATATGTCGCATTAAACCTAAATTCTTAAATGATGTTAGAGGTTCTCTGGTTCACCCCATAACAAATTTCACTGATATTTCAAGTATGACTATTTGTTCAAATTGCACATTTGGTACTTTCTATAGAGTTAGGTTTTTAGATTCAGGTATTTTAGATTCCTTAATTCTTAGAGTAGGCAAAACCTAGTGAGGGTTTGTTTTGTTTGGTTTGGTTTGGTTTGGTTTTTCTTTTTTGAGACGGGAGTCTCGCTCTGTCGCCCAGGCTGGAGTGCGGTGGCGCGATCTTGGCTCACGGCAATCTCCGCCTCCCGGGTTCATGCCATTCTCCTGCCTCAGCCTCCTAAGTAGCTGGGACTACAGGCGCCCGCCACCAAGCCCGGGTAATTTTTTTGTATATTTTTTTAGTAGAGACGGGGTTTCACCGTGTTAGCCAGGATGGTCTCGATCTCCTGACCTGGTGATCCGCCCACCTCGGCCTCCCAAAGGGCTAGGATTACAGGCGTGAGCCACCGCGCCCTGCCCCTAGTAAGGGTTTTGTAGTTAAATTATGCCATACATTGAATAAGAAAACAAACAAACAAAAAAGATAATTTGAGAGTTTTTAGACAAATTTATAATCCCAATTCCTTATCTGTTAGCCTCCAAACACATGATTATTCAATAATGGAGCCTTTGACAAATAATACTTGTGCTTCCCTACTGATGACCCCTAACAGACAAGGCATTCCACAGAGAACTCTGTGATGGGCTCTTCTCTCTGAGGTTCTGCCTACTTGTCTACTACATAGGGTTGATCATCTTGTTCAGGAAATATTTCTTTCATTTGCTCTGAGCTTAATATTGGAATTTGTATTTGATCTGCTGGGTCTTTGGAGTGAGAACTGGTTTTATCAGCAGTTTGATCTTCTGAGGTCTGGTACGTAGTTTGCTGGCCCACAGAATCTTCACGTAACTGTCTGTTGTGCCCATGTACAGAATATTTTTAATCTATGCAGAATTTAATAATTAACCATATGTGTTGTCAACTCTATGTCTCAGTAAGTGGAAAATAAGGGACCAATGTGGATTAGGGATTTTAACAGGACCATTGTCACTCCATAATCAATTGGAAACTGAACATTAGTTTATACGTGTTAATTTTCACTATGAAATAAAGAGAAATTTGCCAGCAGGCACAAAATCCCTTTAAATGGTCATCTTTTGGTAGACTGCTCCTTCCTTGGTATGGCATAAATGTAAATAAAGTTATGATTAGAAATATGTCTCAAATATTAGCTATTATAGACAACTTTACTGCAAAAGTTATAGCTGCCCACAAAGCTTCTTTAAATTCTCATGCTGAAGTTGTTATAGATAACATGATTTCTTTGGGCTATCTATTGGCTAAACAGTAGGGGGAATGTGCACAACAGCTAACTCCTCCTGCTGCACTTGGATAAATAAATCTGGTTTCGTAGAAATTCGATTGCAAGAAACCAACATACAAGCTACTTCGCTAAAGCAAGTAGATTCTTCTCCTGGCACATTTTTTATATACAGTTATGTGTGCCTTAACCATGGGGATACATTCTGAAGAATGTGTCATTGTATGATTTTGTGAACATAATAGAGTGTAGTTACACAAACCTTGATGGTATAGCTTACTACACACTAGCCTATAGGGCATAACCTGTGGTTTCTACTCTACAAACCTGCACAGCATGATACTGTACTGAATATTATAGGCAATTGGAATACATTGGTAAGTATTTTCATATCAAAACATATCTACACATAGAAAAAGTATAGTAAAATACAGTATTGTATGGAACCACCATCATATGCAGTCCATCATTGACTGAAACACTGCTATACAGCGCATGACTGTATTTGATTTTAATCAGTTTGATTTCTGGGGGCTCCTGTTAAGGAGTGTATTTCAGTCTCTTAGTATTATCCTCCTGAGAGCCATCATAATATTCTCCCTGGTGTGCCATATCCTCTCAAGAGTTTTAAATGTTCATATACTGCCACCCATTATACATAACATGGCCTCACTATGGTTTGAATTAAACACACACACACAAAGAGAACATAAAGATACATTCAACTAACCTGACATGGTAAATTCTGAATTTCATTTTGTGACAAAACCAGTCCATTATCATGGGAAAGAGAGTGAGGTCAATGTCCAAGATTTTAGTCAATTTCTCAAAATTAAAAAGACTGACAAAAAGGAGGAAATTGTTAAATTTAATTTGGCTTACAGCTGCCTCCTTTTGTAACAAATTGCAAATGATCTTTTATTTATTTATTTATTTATTTATTTATTTTTTGAAATGGAGTTTCACTCTGTCTCCCAGGCTGGAGTGCAGTGGTATGTTCTCGGCTCACTGCAACCTCTGCATCCCAGGTTCAAGTGATCCTCCTGCCTCAGCCTCTTGAGTAACTGGGGTTACAGGTGTGTGCCACCACACCCAGCTAATTTTTGTATTTTCAGTAGAGATGGGGTTTCACCATGTTGGCCAGGCTTGTCTCGAAGTCCTGGCCTCAAATTCTCCACCTCCCCTCAGTCCCCCAAAGTGCTGGGATTACAGGCGTGAACAAACTTTGTTAAGAGTATATTTTCATAAGAGAAAGCTGAGTCTCAGCCAATCACAGGCTGCCAACTGACCATGTCCAAGGCAAATGCTCCATCACACCATGTATAAATAAGGCACATGCCGAGCTGTAACCAATCAAGCTGTTTCTGCATGCCACCTCTTTTGCTCTCAGCCTGCCCACATTGCTGTGTGGAGCTCTCCAAACCTCTTCTGGTTCTGAGTGCTGCCTGATTCATGAATTGTTCTTTGCTCAAGTAAACTTTGCTAAATTTAATTTGTGTAAAGTTTTTCTTTTAACATGGCAAAGCCAGGATCTCAATTAGAATCAAACATTTGCACTCTAGTCAGGGACTGAATTCAATGGCCTGTGGGTTGGCATTTCTTAAGTTGGGTGAAAAAATAAAGGAGATGATTTAGACATCTTGCCTTTATTTATTTTAAAACCGTGGACCAGTACTAAGAATTTATATTGTTAGTATTAAAAATGGCTAAAATTGTGGGATGAAATAGAGCAGGAGGAGAGGATAGAGCAAAGGAGGCATACAGAACAGAAGTGATTCTCCTGTGATTCTGTGAGGAAAGAGCTAAATAGAATAAAATACACAATACTATGACCTTGGAAGTTCTGTTCTGGGAGCAGGAGAAACTCACATGTGGGTGATGGAATCATTTGGCTCCTCTGACTGCCATATTGCATTTGTACAATTAATTGGTTTCAGTTCTACCTCTGAATTCTCTCCCTTACTTCTTTTCTCCTGTTCATCTCCCCTGCCTCCAGTCTAGTTCAGCACTATGTCCTTATTGTAATAGACTCTGTAATAGACCCAAATCAAAGCTTCTTAAGAACTGCTCACTTCTTAGTCCATTTTTCCCGCAGTTGTCATCGTGTGCCTTCTTCACAAGCCTTCAATAGCAGGCTTACCTTCTGAATGAAGTAGTAACTCCTCACAGCTCTGTTTTAGATCCTCAATAACATTGCTAACATAATTTTTGCTTTGTCTCTTGCTATTCGTATGCTTATTTTTGTGCTCCTAATTAAACATGACTAATGCCACTATTATTATTACCATCACCACTAACCTCTATTGGTACTATTACTTATCTTTGATACTACAACAACTGCTGCAGTACCACTATGTATCTTAATGGTGAACATTTATTGAATGGTTAATATGTGCCAAGTACAGTGCTTAGGCACCTTCATTCAATCCAGTCACCAAATAATCACTGATCACCTGCAGTGTGCTCTGTGCTACAGTGGTTAGCACAATAAAATAGACAGGGATTTACCCCTCACGTTCATGGAGCTTACAGCTCCACACTTCTTATGTAAATTAATCCTTCCCATAAACTTCCGCAGGTAGGTAGGCTTGTAATCAACATTATTTTGCAGATGAGAAAACTGAGGCTGAATTTACATAACTCATGCAAGGACTTAAGGATACGAGGTGAAGCTTCCAGATCTCTCTGGTTCCAGACCCACATGCCATCTACTCTGCCCTTCTCAATGTTGTTCCTTCACCTTTCCCTTCATGCCCACTCTTTGGCCACAGATCCTTGGGGGTAGGGATTGTGTCATATTCTTCTGTGTACAATGAGTAGCATCTTTAAAGCTTAATACATGTTTTGTGGTTAAATGAAGTAGAAATAAAAAGCGTAGTAACATCAGCCCCTAAGGACCTCAATTACTTGTCAGGGTTGCTTTGTACTGAGCAAGAGCCTCTCCAGGAGTGATCAATGTTTCCTCACTGTTTAAAATAGAAGACAATCTGCCTCACCCACAGCATCTAGTAAAATATTTCATTGATTCATCTGTTCCTCTGCCAGAGAAGCAAGATTAATATTCATTTTAAATTCAACTGATAAGATAGTGTTACCAAATTTCATGTTCATTCTTTTTCCAAATGTGCACTACTGCACTCTACTAATGTTCCATCATGTCCTGCCGTAATGCATTAAGGGCAAGATTGGTGACATTTGTTTGGAATCAGACACCTGTTATCAATTTGGAGGGTGGCTTATACATCCTGCTTCAAAATGTCCAGGGGGCCAATGGAGATGAATGAGGCTTGGTTAATGTCACTGCTGCTTATTATACAGCTTCTCTTTACTTAGAAAACCATGGAGAAATACCATGCTAAATATAGTCTTAACACAATCATCATGGAAAGAATCATCTTTAACACAGTCTGAGTTTTCTCATTGTCACCTCTCATAGCACTTTCACGACACTTCTTTCTCATCTTGCAGCCTGGCCATCGTAGAAATCCCAGTCTCCCCAGTTAAGAGATAGAGATGCTGAGGATGAGTTCTAACAGTATCAAATAACACACAAAAGTCAATGATAATTCCAGAGCATTCCAAGAATGCAAAAATGTGGGGCAGAATGTGAATTAAACATTCAACAAATATGTATTGAGTGTCTACTGACCAGTAGCAATCTTCTGTGCTGGAGATACCAGATGAACAAGATTTCCTGCCTTTGGGGGCCGTGCAGTCTAGAGGGAAAGTCAGACTAGCAGTCAGCTTCCAATATGCTGTGATAAGTCTTCTGATAAGGAGCACCCCAAAACTATAGAGGTGCCCAGAAGGGGTACTTTGTTCAGTTTGAGAGCTCAAGAGAGCATTTCAGAGTGTTGGTAGCCAGGATATAAGAGTGGGGAGTGTATTCACAGTGAGAGTAAAAGAGCACAGCACTTGAGAAATGCAAATCAGAGGTAAATGATAGAATCAGTATACACAGAGGTTGTACGGAGACTACAAAAAAATCTATTTAAACTATATTTATAATCTTCAATTATTGGCCAGTGGTGCAATTTAATATATTACTCTTGAACTCAGAGATGCCAAAGTGCCCTTCATTCAGAATGTGTAATTTAATCTGCTGTAGTGTGCTACGACGGATTAAATTTGGCCACCGGGTCTTTGACACTCCTCCCCTGGAAAAATGTGGTCTACATCTTATCCCTTTGAATCTGGGTAAGCTCTGTGATTGCTCTGAGCTATAAATATAACAGGAAGTTACCCTATGAAGACCCGAGCCTCAAGAGACTTGTAACTTCCACTTTCTGTCTCTTGGAACTTCTGCTTTTGGAATCAAGTGTCCCTGCTGTAAGAAAGCCCAAGCCAACTGCTCATGAAGAGACCAACTGGAGGACAAATGGAGACCTTTGACAAGAGCTTCAGCTGGTATCCCATCAGACAGCCAAAACCTACTTGCCAGCCATGTGAGAGAGTCATCTTGGAAGGGCATCCTCTAGCCCCAGCCAAGCCATCTCAGCTAATACCGCCTGGAGTGGATACAAGCCAAACTGTAGATTAATAATTTAAGCCACTGGATTTGGAGATGATTTGTCATGGAAAAATAGATAAATGGAGCTAGCACCTACTTTAAGAACCTGTACATGGTGCTTGGCTAGCAAGGTAGAGATTGCATTGATGAGCCCATAGAAACATTAGCACTGTTGCACATCTCCCTCTATCTTGGTGGCTCACATATGAATAAAAGCAGTCATGAAGGAAGATGGGATTGAGAGGTGGATGTCAGAAAATAACTCTGCCAGATGCTGCCTTTCATGTTCCCCATTGTGATCAGCCGGACAATAATCCCAGCTGAAATGAACACATGTTCTCAATTAGAACCTATTGATAATAATTGGGAACATAGTACATGCCAAGCTTGATCTCTACTAATTGCTATTGAGAGTCTAAGAGATTGTAGCGAGAATGAAAGAGATGCTCAAGAATTTTTAAAATTTTTTTGAAAATCCATCTTCCGTATATTTGGTCCTGAAAACTAGTGCCACCCACCTCACAAAGCTTACAGGAGGATTAATCAGACTGTGCTTATGAAGTTGGAATCTAGAGACATAAAAATTACAGACTAATAGAAAATGTTGTTAACATTTACTGACAGTACCACTATTTTTTTGTTTTTTTAGATGGAGTCTCACTCTGTCACCCAGGCTGGAGTGCAGTGGTGCGATCTCGGCTCCCCACAACTTCCACCTCCTGGGTTCAAGCAATTCTCCTGCCTCAGCCTCCAGGGTAGCTGGGATTACAGGCGCCCACCATCACGCCTGGCTAACCTTTGGATTTTTAGTAGAGATGAAGTTTTACCATGTTGGGCAGGCTGGTCTCAAACTCCTAATCTCTGGTGATCCACTCACCTCAGCCTCACAAAGTGCTGGGATTATAGGCATGAGCCACCGCGCCCAGCCAGTACTACTATTTTTAAGTGAAGAAAAGCAAATATAAAAATGTAATAAGCAAACAAACACATATTGCTAGTAATTTGGTTTGTTTCTGTGACAATCATTATCCTAGTCACCCTGACTTGAAATCCAGGACTCCTTTTAAAAACAGTTGCAAAAATTGCAGATTCACTCTTCACATTTATTTTTGCCTATGCTCTCATCTCTCCTTCCCCACTGCCACTTATCTACTTCAGTATCTCAACACTTATCCTATTGTAAACAACCCAGATTGATCTCCCTGACTTCAATTTCTATCCTTCCCAGGTCAACTTCAACAGTTTCTAGATTCGTTTTATTTAATGTCACTCCGCTGCTTAAAAACTTTCAACTGTTTCCTATTGCCTTATAATAAAGTCAAACTCAGAAAAGCATGTCAGGGTTTCTAGGGAAAATCCAGAAATATGAGGCCTAAAACAAAGCCAAATGCAAGCTGAATGTCACAGGGTGGGCAAAGGATGCTCCTGGACCAGGGCAGATTGGCTCTGTGCTGCAATGATCTGATCTGGTGAGAAAAGCAGAACTAACCACCCTCCTCCACGCACACATACAGACACACACACACACACACACGCATACCCCAGAGACTGAGAAGGAGTGTAGCATCTTGTCCAAGAATTTATTCAGGCTTTTACAGGTGGCAAGTCCACAGCTTCTGCTAGGATCTTTTTAGCTGAGGGAGAGGCTATAAGAGGTATATAGCTGGAAATTTATCCTGCTGATCATTTTAAGTCAAGTAGATGCAATTTAAAAGAAGGGTAATGAAGGTAGAAATGCACATTGCTCTGGAAGATAATGCTAAATACTCACTGAAATGCTAATGGTATTTAGTGCTATGAAGGCCAGGTCAACCCAGGAAATGTTTCTCTCCTTCGGTGCTTACCACAGAAGTTTCCAACGGGAGGCTCCTGGGTTGGATTTGGGCTGGATACTCCTTTAGATCTGCTATGTAGCATTTACTTTTTACTTGGGTGTCATATTGAAAGTCTGGACTTGTCATCTAAAAAATCCCCAAATTTTTAACTTCCTTAATAGAAGCAACTCAGGAGATAAAAACATGAGACGCATATGATCAAAATCCACCAGAGCTGAGTGCTGGCTTCCCCATTAGGACAGGGCTTGTTACACTCATTGTCTAGTCTGCTTCACACTTGGTGTGCTTCCCTCAAGAAGCACTCATGTTTGTGACTCTCAGTGTAGGCTATTTAGTCTTTAATAGTTCAGGTTTGTCCTTGGAAGAATTGTATGAGAGAGAGAGAGAAAGAGAGAGAGAGAGAGAGAGAGAGAGTGTGTGTGTGTGTGTTTGTGTGTGTGTGTGTGTGTGTGTGTGAGAGAGAGAGAGAGGGAATGAGCCATTAGGTGGACACTCAAATGTGTCACATTGAGGCAATGTGTCACACTTGGTCATGGACACCCCCAAGGTGTGCCAATGGCCACTCTGATTCTCCTTTTTGAGCACCATCTCCACTAGCATGCTCTCTAACTCAGACTCAGTGAAATGTGGTTCTTGGACTAGAGTGTCCTATTACATTGTCTGCACAGGTAAACCAATAAGCCCAGAGAGGAATGAGACAACCAGACTGACTCCTTTGCTGGAGGAGCAGGGCTTCCCAAAAGATCAGGAGGAGATCTGCTCTGTAGCGGCATCTTCTTTGCAAGGGAGGTGGGCAGGGAGCAGCAGAACAAGGTTAGCAGCTGCAAGACGTTTGGGAAGGGCTTAAAATCTTGGGTGTTGGCCAGGCGTGGTGGCTCACATCTGTAATCCCAGCACTTTGGGAGGCCTAGAAGGGCAGATCATCTGAGGTCAGGAGTTTGAGACCAGCCTGGTCAATATGGTGAAACCCTCTCTCTACTAAAAATACAAAAATTAGCCAGGCGTGGTGGTGGGTGCCTGTAATCCCAGCTACTTGGGAGGCTGAGGCAGGAGAATCACTTGAACCTGGGAGGCGGAGGTTGCAGTGAGCAGAGATCATGCCATTGCACTCCAGCCTGGGTGACAAGAGCAAAACTGTCTCAAAAAAAAATGGTTTTTTGTGGCTGTTGTTATTTCTTACTGAGCTTTAGGGAAAGTCAGATGTAGTAAGCACTTTAATATATTTTCTGCTGTGTGTTGTAGAGACTGCTACTGGCTCCTCTTGTTCAGTCAGAGAACCCTGATCTTTGGCTGGGCACATGGTGTCCCTACTCTTCCAGCCTCCCTTGCAGCTAGGCATGGCCATGGGATTCAATTATGGTAAGTGAATTGTGAGCACAAGTTGTGTGTTCAGTTTCCTAGATGTGTTCTGCAATAGACAGTGCTGTTCCTTTCCCTCTCTTTTCATCTTGCTATGTACAATGTGACATAATTTAACCTCCAAGTGATGGTGTTAAGTTAGCATATAGGAATCCTAGTTTCCCAGGTGACTCATGGAGCAGAACTGTCATTTCTACTCTGGATTGTCTAACTCCAACTATTGCATAAAAACAAGTAAGTTTCTGACTTGCTTATACATGAACCTACATCCCAACTAATACACCCTCTTCCAAAACAGCCCATGTTGAGGGATTGAAAACTGAGACTGGGTTACAAATGTTGGTGTCCCCTGCAGAGGGGGCAGGTCATTGAAGGAAATGAATGTGTTTTCTGTGCAGTTTTATTGTCTTCCCTTAGCACCTCGTTTGGCAAGTAGTAGTTGACTAATAAATGCTGCTGGAATTAATGCATGAATAAATAAATGAATAATATACCCTTTATTCTATGAAACTGGGATTCCAACTCTTTAATTATTATGCTGAGCAAGTGGCTTTAATATGGGAGGATTATATGAGAGCCAGCCCTAAACCTTTTCTCTAGTTCCAGATTGAGTGCAGATTCTTTATGAAAGTTAAGTTAATCAACATTGAACCTTAAATGAAGCTTAAATAATCTTTGACTTGCCACAGCTCAGTTCCCTCCTTCTCTTCCCTTCCCTTCCCTTCCCTTCCCGTTCCTTCCTCCTTCCCTCCCTTTCTCTCTCTCTCTCTCTCTTCCTTTCTTTCCTCTCTCGCTCTCTTTCCCTTATTTTTTTTTTTCTGAGACAGAGTCTTGCTCTGTCACCAGGCTGGAGTGCAGTGGCGTGATCTCGGCTCACTGCAACCTCCGCCTCCTGGGTTCGAGTGATTCCCCTGCCTCAGTCTCCTGAGTAGCTGGGACTACAGGTGTGCACCACCATACCTGGCTAATTTTTTGTATTTTAGTAGAGTCAGGGTTTCACCATGTTGGCCAGGATGGTCTTGATCTCCTGACCTCATGATCTGCCCGCCTCAGCTTCTCAAAGTGCTGGGATTACAGGTGTGAGCCACCGCGCCTGACCTTTTTTTGTTTTTTGTTTGTTTGAGATAAAGTTTTGTTCTGTCTCCGAGACTGGAGTACAGTGGCAGGATCATATTTCACTGCAGCCTTGATCTCCTGGGCTCAAGAAATCCTCCTGCCTCAGTCTCCTGAGTAGCTAGGATACAAGGGCACACCACCACAGCTGGCTAATCCATAGCTCCTTAACCCTCACCTCTCACCCCTGTAATAACTGTTTAACCAGCCTAGCTCCGAGCCCATTTTTTCCCCATTTCTCCTTCTTTCACATGTACAATGCCTTTAGTTTGTGTACCTAAATTGCTGTTAAACAGACTCTTTCCTATTCTCCAGCAGAATTCTGGCTATCCCAGTGTTCCTCCAGCATGGCCTTTACTCGTTCTGATTCAATGAGGAATGGGAAAGTTACACTTTTCATTCTTTCCAGATATTTCTGGACCATTGTGTCACGAGTTACTTTTATGTATTAATTCTCCCAATATTTCATCTGTTAAAATGCAAATTATCCTTTTATACCGTGCTATCCATAAATATCTGGGTGAACTTATGCATCAATTAAAATTTATTGTGACTATATGCTAGCCACTTTACACATTTAATTACATTAAATCCTCATGATGATATTATAAGTTACTTATTATTATGCTTTTATCATAGCTGAGTAAACTGAGGCTTGAAAAGGTTAGACAGCTTTTCAGTGAAGAGTACCCTAGCCCAGGTACTCTCAGGGTCAAGATTTTCTTACAAATAAAATGAGAGGGTTGTATTGGGAAGTCTTTAAAGTCAGAGGAAACTCTGACTCCATGTCAGTTGGCTGGAACCCGCTCTGCACCCCATAGGACCTGCAATGGAAACAGCAGAGGCAATACCTAGAACAAGCCAGCCCAGAGAGGCCTCTGGAGCACAGCTTCTTCTCTTCACTTCTAATCTGCAGCCTCTTGGTAACATTCTCTTTTGCTTCTTTCTGTTTCTCCCTAGCCCTTGGAGTCACCCATCTTTGTTGATACCTCCTTTGATTTTCCTCTGCCATCTCTTATGCTGTCTTTCAAAATGAAAGCAGATTCTCACCCACATAGCCAGTTAGAAAATGAATAAGAACTTTTCATTAAAGGATGTATTTGCACGTGTAAATTTCTTCCTGTTATGCCAAAGAATAGAAAAATAATGACTTTATCTAGTATCGTTAGTTCCTGGGAGGAGTGGCTGTTTGTTTTGGTTAAATCAACGTGTATTGGTCAACTAGGGCTGCCATAATGGAATGCCGCGGACTGCGGGGCTTGACCAACAGAAATTTATGTTCTCGTAGTTCTTCATTGGAAGTCCAAGATCAAGATGTTGACAGGGTTGGGTTCTAGTGGGGCCTCTCTCCTTGGCTTACAGATGGCCATCATCTCACTGCGTCCGCATATGGCCTCTCCTCTGCATGCACATGCTCCTGCGTCTTCCTCTTCTTGTAAAGACAGCACCTCTATTGAATTAGGGCTCTACCCTTATGACCTCATTTAACCTTAATTACCTCCTAATGGCCTATGTCCAAATTGAGTCACATTAAGGGTTAGGGCTTCAGCATAAGAACTGGGGACAGAGGAGTGTGCACCTTTCAGTCTATAACACAAAGTATAATACTTAGCTCAATGTTTGCTAAATAAAGATAAAATGCTGTCTTCTAAGCTTTCATAGATGGGGCTAGAGAAGAGAATAGTAAACTGTAGCAATATTAAAAAATAAGACATTTCAACACGTTTCAAAATCTCAACTTTTAAATTATACAATATTTTCTATAACCTCTGCAAGTAAATTCTGTAGGTTTCCTAAAAACTTAGTCTGTGTACACTGTTTAAATTTATGATGCCTAAATTGCCTTAAGGTGAATAAAATTTTAAAATGTATATATAGGAAGAATTATTGATTCTGAAAGAAATTTAATATCTTACAACTGCTACTAAGCTCATTTCCCAGCAAACACATTTATACTTAGATTCACTACTGATACATGCAAAGAGGCCATTTCCAAGGCTCCTTAATTAAAATATTCCATCAAAGGTATTTTTTATCATATGAAATTTTCATTTTATTTCAATAAAGTGTATTTTTATTAGGAAGAAAAACAAAAAGCTCACTTCAAATATTTTACTTAAGCTTAACATACCTATTTTAAAAGAAGTCTATTTATAAGGGTGGGTCCTGCAATCTCACCACGGGACAGATAGATCTTTCCTGAGACCAAAAGAGGATACATATATTTAAGCACAGAAATGTGGCCTCTTTTGTCTACCTTCAGCTGCCGGTGGATTTTTGCAATGACCCTTGCTTCTCCCAGATGTTCGCACTGTGTATCTGCCTCCTTGCCCTTTGCTCCTTTCATCTTCTCTGCTGTCCATGGAAAGTTGAATGCACCTTTGGCCTCGTTTTTCATCCACCTTTCCTCCCATCTCATTGTCTTTTTTTCTTTCCTTGCTGTTCTTTGACTCCTCTCTCACAGGCTCTGGTGCTCAGTGCAATATGGCAGGGACCCCATTTGGTCAGAACAGTCACTTTCCAATAGGCTATACCAATGCATGTCAGTGCTGTACATTACCAGAGGGCAGTATTCACTTCTGGAATGAGGGCAAATCTACTCTTTTCAGGGGTCTCAATTTTTGGGTAGCTTCACCAACAAGACCCTTATCTTTTCTGGGTCACAAGGATTCCACTTTTGTGTAAACCTTCAGATGAAAATGCTTTTTATCAATACAAACATGATTGGAAGCTGCCGTATTGCTTTGAGATGAAGTTAAAGAAATGTAAATAATTTTAAATAGAAAAAAATGACCTTGGTGTAGAAAACAATCCCCACCAATTAGTAGCATAATAATTCTTCTTTCCTCTTTGTACTCAAAGAAATGACAGCTCAATATAACCTGCTAGCCATAAGCCAATGAGGCTGTTATCTTTAATAATAAAAGTGTCATAGTTTATTTGTGAGTGTAGTGAGGGTTTTTTGTTTTATCCTACTAGAATTAGCAAATAGGCTCTTACTGATGTGGTGTTTCTTTGCACAGATTTATCTGAGATTTTGCCCAATCCTACTTTCTCAGAATTCTTTAAAAAAAAAAAAAAAAAGGTCAGTGTGGTTTTTATACTGGGATAAAAAAAATTTAATAACAAAACCCTATATTATGTTGGCACATTCTCTACTTTACTGAGACGTAAGAACAAAATCTTTCTTTTAAAACCGCTATGGGAAAGTATTAAGTTCTACATGTTTAAGGGACTTACTATCTGCATGACACAGCTCCAAACACTTCACATAAATTTACTCTAATCCACACAATAATCACAGAAGCTAAGTACTATTATGCCTACTTGATAGATGGGAAAACAGAGGCCAATTTATATATAGTACATTCCAGAGCCAATATTCACACTTGGATAGTCTGGCTCTAAATTCTGTGTTTCAAATAGTGGTTTCTAGATTGCTTCAGACACACACATACTCACATATTAAAAGAAAGGCGACGGGGAGTAATTCACTCACATATTGAAAGAAAGGTAAGGGGAAGTAATGCTGAAGGCTGGAAAGTGTAAAGCATATAAGCTTTTGAAAGTTTAAAGAGACATCATTTTGATTAAGACTTCTGCCTTCAAAACAGTGAGTGCTTTAAGGTTCATGGCTATTAAATGTTGTAAGATATGTTTATCTTCAATATAAGAAAAGAAATGCAAATTAAGGCTGTGAAATTCCATTTCTTCCTTAGTAAGTTGGCAAAGAATCAGAAGGCTGAGGAACAATGTTTTGCCACAGGCTTGAGGACACAAACACTCTCCCTGTGGGTGGGGATGTAAATATATTAATAGAAGGAAGATTGATGCCGGGAAACAGAAGAGCTTTTAGAATGTCCAGCTCCTTTACCCAGTTAATTGCAGAAACTTCCTAAATCAGATGATCACATGAGGACCAAAAGATATATGCCCAAGCCTATTTACCCCTGGGATTCTCAGAAATTATCACACAGCTGAAGCAACCTAAATATCTCTCAGTGTGGGACTGGTTGAATAAATGAGGCACATCCACCAATGCAACCACGTAGCCGACAGAAATCATGCTATTAGTCTATGCTTATGCTGAGGAGTTCTGTCCATGTCATACGGGCGAGTGAGAGTTGCTGTATGGTATGTATGATATTAGTCAATGTATGTCACTTTGTACACATAGATCTATATGTGTGAATATGCATGAAGCAAGAACTAGAAGGCTGTCCACTAATAGGGGAAGAGAAAGTATTTCTTTGTACAGTACTTTTTACAACAGTACTTTTAAGAATAAAATTACACCCCCACAAAGAAGGAAACAAACAAATAACTGGCAAATGTTTGGGAAGCTAAGGGGGCTAATGTCTATCCGGTTGCTGGGACTCGATCACCGTGGTCCTCTCTCTCCTCTGATTACCTCCCCATTGCCATCAGATCTGGGCTCTGAAATCTCCTCCATTGCGTCCTTAGCCTATTGTCGTCAGCTGGCTAAGCTTGTGGACTTGATTATTTACCCAGTTCTATCTGAGACAACCTCTAGGGCCCCAGACCCATCAGCCTCCCAGGCCTCAGACCCCAGTGGGACCCCTATTTACTTCCCAAGAGCTCGTAGAACATTTACTGGAGACTGTGGGGTATGAGTTGAAAAGGCAGAAGAAATTGCTCTTTCCTTAAAGAAAAATGAGTCAAATCAAAGATACAGTTTCTGTGCAGTGCCTAGAACGGTGTCTACAGAGAGATGCATGATTAATTCCAGTGCACTGTATCTCAGCAGAGCTCCACTCACGTGGGCTGTCTCACCTTGATGCATTTCCTTCATCCTCCTTGGCACATGCATATTTATCTGTCTCTCATGTAGTGCTTAATATGTGCTAGGACCAGGAACTTAATTTTTAAATAATTCTTTATTTTGATATAACTTCAGATGTGCGGGAAAGTTGTGAGAATAGCACAAAGTATCTCTGGATGTCCCTCATCCAGACTTCCCAAATGTTCATATTTTACTATAGTTGCTTTACTCTCTCTGCCTCTGTCTCTCAGAATAAGCTGCAGATAGAATATTCCTTTATTTCTAAATACTTCAGGCATATTTCCTAAAAACAAGAATTAATTTACATAAGCATAGTACAGTTACCAAAATCAGGGAATTAAAATTATGATAACACTATTATTTAATGCAGACCTTATTTAGAAATTGCTAATTATCACAATAATATCTTTAATAGCAAAAGAAAATTCAAGAACATTTATTGCATTCAGTTGTTATGTATCTTTAGTTCTCCTTAATCTTAGACATTTCCTGTATCTTTCTATTTTATTTTGTGATATTGAAATTTATGAAGTGTACACATGTGGTGTCTTGTAGGGTGTTTTACCTGATGTTTCCTTATGATTAGATGAGGGCTATGTGCTTTTTAGCCAGACACATATAACCCTCAGTTTTATAGATCCTCGTAATAATTATTGCTATCATTTTACAGATGAGGACTTGGAGATACAGGGAAGCAACTTCCCCAAGGTCATGTAACTTATGATTGGCAGAACCAAGATTCACACCTTGGGCATCATTCCAGAGTCCAGGGTCTTGACCCTTCACCGTTGCTCTTTCACATGGGCAGGAGACTGAAGTTATTGTATAATTAATATGTAATTATTATGTGCCAGAACCTCTCTGTGGCTTTCACATGTGGTGTAGTATTTAATCTGAATACCACCCCACAAGAAGGTAATATCCACTCCACTATAATGGAGTGGATATTTATATTTATAGTGGAGTGACTATTACCTTCTTGTGGGATGGTATTTAAGATTTAGAGCCAAGGCCCCACCCCAGGCCAATCAAATAAAAATCTCTGGGCTGAGTTCCAATATCTATGCCTCGCTTGATTTTTTAAGCACCCAGGTGAGTCTAATATGCATCAAGGTTGTGAGTAACTTACAGGATTATAAACCTTCTGTGGCTCCTGGTAACTTCTTAGGAAGTTGGCTAAAAAAAAGATTGTTACTATGGTTTTCCTTTTCAGAAAATGGCCACTTGGAAATGTTATTTTAAATCAGCCCTTCCGGTAACAACATGAACATTCTGTTTCATAATCTTTACATTGGCTCTTTCCACATGCAGTCTACAGTCAAATCAGTCCAAAATTCCAGCAATATCACTAAGCTCTTCATGCACTCTCAGAATTTCTTGTGTATAGATTTACGTCCACTAGCAGATCGTGACCCTCTATGAGATCAGAGACTATATCTTATCTCCTAGTGCCCCCAAATCAACTTTAGCAATACTTCATAAATAATAGGCACTCAATAAGTGCTTGCTAAATGACTTCATTTTAATTTTCCCTTTTGCCCGTTTAAACCCTTGAAGGATTTTGTTGTAATTACCTTAAAATCAGTATTTAACCTTGAAAGTTTTAGTATCAAATGCAAGGTTGAAGATTTCACTGTGCACTTTCTTTCTGTATTATTTTTAGCAATAGAACATATGATATGTCCTGCATGAATCCCTGGAGGCCTCAATGTCAATGAATCTTTCTCCTAAAATATATGTGTTTATCCCTGATCTTTGTCTCGTTTCTAAATAATGTCTTCCTAAAACGTGTAAAGAGCAAATTTAAAGACCTTGTTGTATACAACCTTGGAAAAAGCTCATAATGGGACTTTAAGACTTCTGTCAGGTCTATTTTGTCCACATATTAATCTGCCCCTCTACTTCTGTAACACTCTAATGGGTTGACCAGTTATCATTTCTCCTTAAATTACCTTGCCTTTTTTTTTGTCTCCATGTTAGACAAATTGCCCACTCACCAGGCTAGAATGACCAAAAAGGTCCACTAGGATGTTTCTAGTGATGAAACTTACATTGGCTAATCCCCTGCCCTGTAACGAAGAGGGTTTTCCATTGGCTTGTAGGTCCTCACCTTGCCCTTGAGTGCCTTCTAGTTCTCAGGATGTGGTTAGCTAGCTCTGATGATTCATATGTAGTTTGTCAATCAGGCCTAGAGTATGCTGTTTTGTTTTGTTTTTTAAAACAAACAAAAAAAAAAAACCTTTTTGATCTAATCACTTATAAGACCTCCGCTTTGAAAGACAATTTTGTAGCAGGAATATCCCCCAAATTGTCCTTACTAGGGAGAAAATAATACATTAAGCCCTCTCACCACATTTCCCCCTTGAGTTTACTTCTTTAACAGTGAGTATCAAGAGGTAGCCTTGATTCTCTAGCCAGAGTGCTAACACTGATTACCTTAACAAATTTTTTATTTTTGTTTTGGAAGTTCATAAATTCCTTAAAGTATTTCTTAGTTTGTTTTTGCCTGATGACTTTTCATCCTTTTACACGGCTTACTTTGGGGGTCCCTTCTCTTCATGGAAGACATCTTTCCATTTTTCCAGTGATGCAAGGAAGCATTTCCAGAACTGGAATGTTGAAAGATACTTTGTTTTTTAATAAATGCAACATTCGAATAGGCTTGGGAAAAAATATATCTGGTGGCTACATAAAATTCAGCTTTCTTGAGGGAGGCTTCCTGGGGCCTTTGAGGTACAAACCTGCTTTGTGAGTCTCTGAAAAATAGAATTGATTTCACATGCCCCAAACTTGTTTGATTTTGAAACCCTTTTTCCTCCTGTCTTGCTCTGCCACAAAGAAGTGATAAGGACCACTGAAGAAGGAACTAATAAGGACCACTGAAGAAGGAACTATCATTGTAAAAGACTGATAACAGAATTTTGGTTAGAGCTCATGGATCCTCTGATCTTTGACACTTATCTGAGGTTCCCAATGAGGTGTTCTTTTAAAGCTGCTAAGATTTGTGTTTATTATTGGCTCTTAAAAACATCCTTTGCATTTTTCACCAAAACAATGCTAAAGAAGTTTTGGTATTAAGTGGTAGGCAGAATTATACCCCTTCCTCAAAAGATGTCCATGTTCTGATTTCTGGAACCTATGAATATGTTACGTTACAGGGCAAAGAGGAATTAAGGTTACAGACGGAATTAAAGTTGCTAATCAGCTGACCTTAAGGTAGGAATATCATCCTAGATTATTCAGGTGAGCCAATGCAACCACAGGGATCCTTACAAGTGGAAAAGAAAGTCAGAGAGAGACTGGAGGACCATGTGAGTATGGAAAAATGGTCAGAGAGATGCACATTGCTGGCTTCAAAGATGGAGGGAAGGAGCCAAGAGCCGAGGGATCTGGGCAGCCTCTAGAAGCCAGAAAAGGCAAGAAAATGAATTCTTCTCTAGAACTTCCAAAAAGGAAGGTGGCTCTGCTGACTCTATTGTAGCCCAGTGAAGTCCTTTTCAGACTTCTCTAGAATCATGAAATTATAAAATTGTATTGGTTAAACCCCTAAGTTTGTGGAAATTTGTTGTAGCAGCAATAGAATACTAATAAAGTAGTAAACATGAGTGCAACCCAATAAGCTTTTTTTTTAAATCAGAAAATTAAATACTCTAGTCCCAGCTACTCATGAAGCTGAGGCAGGAAGATCGCTTGAGCCT
Organism: Homo sapiens; assembly: GCF_000001405.40. Taxonomy (NCBI): domain Eukaryota; kingdom Metazoa; phylum Chordata; class Mammalia; order Primates; family Hominidae; genus Homo; species Homo sapiens. Next base: position 34,245,128 of record NC_000013.11, on the reverse strand, counting down.
AGGAGTTCAAGGCTAGCTTGGGCAACATAGAAAAACCCTGTCTCTAAACAAACAAACAAAAACCAAAGAAACAAAAAAAAGAATAATATTCAATAGAAATTGTCATTTTGGAATTCTTCTCTGGTACTCGTTATATGGCTCTACGAGTTGGGGCAGGTTAAACTTTCCGAGCCTTAAGTTGTTGTTTTTAATGTAAAATGAGAATGAAAGTAATTCCTGCATGGAGTTACCCTACAGATTATGTAAGGTCATCTCTGTAAACCAACATGGAGAACATTTTATTCTCTTAACAGATAGTACAATATTTCTTATGAGGAAGAGACTGACTTTGTTTTGGAAATGCTTTTATAGGGAAGAGAAAAGGAAAGCATTCAGGAGTGAGAGGGAGACAAAAAAAAATGTGATGGAAAGATAGAAAGATACTGTATAGTGGGTTAAAAAAAATCTTAGTGAAGTTTACAGAATTCTAAAATGGATGATGAGAGTTGATGTTTTGTGAAAATCGGTAAACAGGCAGATTTCTGTGTGGTTGGTGCTGGGTTGGGCGAAGCAAAGACAGCACAGGTGCCTGCAGGGGCATGGGCAGAGAGGCCCCTGAGACTGTTAGGCCACAGGACTTCCCAAAATTTTGAGAGGATATTAACTATGCTTAAGCTGCGTGGGACTTAAAGTGGATGGAGTATCAAAGAAATTTCAACTGCAGCTTAAGGAGCAGGCTCAGGACAGTTGACATCTGAGTGAAGCATATGAAGTTCTTTGTATAGTGCCAACCACCACAGATTATTACTTTTTTTCTTTTTTTTTTTGAGATGGAGTCTCACTCTGTCACCCAGACTGGAGTGCAGTGGCATGATCTCGCTCACTGCAACCTCTGCCTCCTGGGTTCAAGCGATTCTCCTGCCTTAGCCTCCTGAGTAGCTGGGATTACAGGTGCGTGCCACCACGCCTGGCTAATTTTTGTATTTTTGGTAGAGACGGGGTTTCACCATGTTGGCCAGGCATGTCTCAAACTCCTGGCCTCAGGTGATCCACCTGCCTCGGCCTCCCAAAGCATTGGAATTACAGGCATAAGCCACCACACTCGGCCAGATTATTACTGTAATAGCGTTCATTGATATACAGTAGCCTGTCCACTTATGTATCAATTAACCATACACCGCTTCTGGTCCATTCCCCAGCATCACGTCCAATAGACTTTCTTTCCCAGTGAGCTCAAAAGTCACTTTAACAGGAAGGAGCCATATGTAAAATCCATTTGTTTATGTAAAGCCTGTTTGATGTACCTTCACAACCCCATGGATGATTGAAAGCCCCTGTTATCACTAACAGACCAAGCTGGTGTTTTTGAAAGGTAATAAACTTCATTCTGTTGACATAAAGCCATGAGAAGAAGGTCCTAGGAAATCAAACTCTCTGGAACCTGGACAGGTTGTGAGCAGCGTTTGCTTCTGTGACTGCAGCTTGGCTCTAATGAATGGGAGACAGTTCCAGAGCTGCTTAATGGCCATGTCAGGCTGGGTATGCCCGGAGCAGCCCTGGCACCTCCCTCCAGCCTCTAATGAACAGTGCTGCTGGCAGGCACTGGTGATTCTTTGGGCTCCTGTCTCATTAGAATGTCAACCAAAGCTCAGCTGCCTCAAGCCCCTTGTGGAAGTAGGCAGGTTGAAATTATAAATAAATACAATCACAAAAGGTTCGTGCATACAGACTAACTCTTCTTTCTCTGAATGAAAGGGGCTTTACTCTTTCTAATATATATGTCATTTAGTACCAAGTTCAAGCATGCAAGAAATCTGACAATTTTTTTCTATAACTGAACTTAATTTCTATTTTGAGCCCACATTCTTTCAAGTTCTAAACATTTTCCCTAGAGTTGCATCTAAATGATGAGGTGTCTAGAATAGTAGTGACACATGGAGAGAAGTGTCTGCTTATCAGATGTTGCCACTGCTCCACACCGGGGCATCCTCTGAGGTGTTTTCATTCCTGTCTTGTCTTCAGGCATTGACCTATGCAAGTCCTTGTCCCAATAGCAAGGCTTTCAAGTGTGCCAATAATCTGTGCTATGAATGTCTGTCTTTATAAATATGCTACTGTTCTCCTCACCCCTCCAAGGCACATATATAATGAGACAATCTGAAATTGATCCAACCCATCTGCCTAGGTACCTCATGCAACAGACACTGTTCATCCTGTTCTATAATAGTTTGGATTACAGATTAAGTATTTGAAACTGATCCTGGCTATTGAACAGAAAAGGGATATATAGGTTGAGCATCCCTAATTTGAAAATCCAACATCTCAAATGTTCCAAAATACAAAACTCTGTGAGCACTGACAGGATGCCAGAGGTAGAAAATTCCATACATAAGTACATAATACAAACTTTGCTTCATGCAAAAAATAATTTAAAATGTTCTATAAAATTACCTTCAGGCTATGTATGTAAGGTATATATGAAACATAAATGAATTTCATGTTAAGAGTTGGGTTCCATCCCCAAGATGTCTCATTATATATGTGCAAATATTCCAAAATCAAAAAATCCCCAATCTGAAACCCTTCTGGTCCCAAATATTTCATAAGCCTGTATCAGAAGTTTAGCAGGTGGCACACTGAATTAATGGATAACAAGAAGAATCACATGAAGGAAAATTGGCCAAATCTGGGGAGGTAAGGCAGAAAGCCCCACAACCACAGAGACTTGCTGGGGAAGGATCAGACTGGCTATGGCTAGGTCATGCGCTCTTGTATGCTCTTGTATTGTCAGCAAAATGGGATTATCTCCCACTTTACCTTCTGTAAAGGGAGAGAAGGAACTACTACTCTCCAAATGTACACAGTCTAGGGTATTTCCCCCAAAGCGGAAGGAAATTGAGATGCTGGACTGAAAAAATTTGGTCCATTCTATACACCAGCTCTGGGTGGGATAACTCCAGGGATCACATGGTTCCACCCAGGTGTTAAGCCCTGGGCCCTGGCTCTCAGGCCATAAACTTGAGGGCAGAATCTGGGCTAATAATCATGAGATGACCTTGAAGAATCTACACAAACCCTTATGGAAAGTGAGGAGCATGATTACTGGTAAAACCAAAAACAGCGTGCATATGACACATATGACACAGAGAACTGGTGGCCATTTAAAAGTCATGAATAGGACAAGAAAGCAACACCAGCGACCTGCTCAGACAGATGGCTAAGAAATGGATAAGTATGCAGACATCTTATCACATGCCAGTAATGATTTGAGACAAAGATGACCAGAGGCCTCCCCTACCCCAGCACCTCAGTACCATTGAAGTCCTACCCTAGGAACCTAGAAGTAACACTAAGGAAAGGAGAGAGACCCTGGAATGACTGAGATGTTTCTGTTCCCCAGTGAGGTAGGACATCAAAATAAAAATTAACTCTAGTTAAAAAAAAACAAACAGAAAGAAAATTGAATCTATTTTACCCACTAGAATTTATAAACAGAAGGTCAAAATTAATTATTAAATTGTGCACATTTGAAAGGTAACTGCTGAAAGGAAAAGTGAAAGGCAGCAATTCTGTCTACCTATTGACTAGGAAAGGAGAGGGGCATGATTCATGAAATGTAGTCATTATGGAACCCTGTGGGACGACAGAACCAAGAGAGGGAGGGTGAATTTTCAGTCTCTGACAGAGGCAGGCCAGTTCTGATCAGGGAAGAGGGTTTGGCTGACGCCGACGCAGTGATAAAATGCAGATGATACAGGCAGAGCACTTCATCAAATCCAGAGTTACGAATTAACCTTTACAAAATGAATGGCTTTTTCAGTGCTGAATAAAAGTCCCAGTGAAACAGAAGAGAAAAATGCTGGAACCATGCTCTAAATCTGTGTAAGATGGTGACCTTTGAATTCTAATTGCTTGCAGCTATCTTAATATGACGTTTGGCATTTTTTAACCTTGTACATGATAAAATAACAAATTCTTAGAAAAAATGTTGAGGTTAATAAGCTTCCCCCCAACAAAACTAGACTCCCTCTAGCTGAATAATATAAAAATTAAGACTATACTTTGGCTGTTTGACTTCCACCATGATATAGATTTTAAATTGGTAAATGGTTCTGGACTATGAAAATGTCTTATTAAAAGGGCATTCATTACCATTTCTTTATTCATGAGACCAGAGTTATGATAGAGTAAATTTACCAGCTTTCTGTCATTACTAAAACCTTAAACAAGAAAGCATGAGAAACAGTGACACGCAGGAGAAGGAGCAAAGGACTAGGAGTCAGAGCTCCCAGGGCCAAGAGCTGAATATAATATTCATATCAGCATGTTCTCAATCTGTCTGAGTCTCCATTTCTTGCTCTCTAAAATAAAATGCTTGCCCAGATTATCTCACAGGATTGTCTATGTTGATCAAACTAGACAATGCTTGTTTACATATTGGCTGTATCAACTCCATATAAGGAATTAAATTTATAATAACTTAGAATTCGTGGCTTAGTAAAAAGGGCACAGATTTAAAGTGCAGCTTTCCATCTTAGTAGCTGTGTGAGCTCTCTGACTCTCACTTTCCTTATTTACAGAATGGGAATAATAATCACTACACTATAGAGTTGTTGGTGAGTGTTGGAAATATAAAGTGAGACTACTTCACAAGCTCACATTTACCAAATAAATGCATAAATATCCTTGAGTTGACCACATAATATTTTCCTGTTGTATGCAAGGTGTTTCTTCTAATGCATCATTATGTGCTTAGGGCTTGTTTTTGGGATATACAAAATATCATGCAAAGACTCTGGAGTGGCAATAACAAGTCAAACTGAAAAGATGGCTCTGTGGGGTAAGAAGGTGATGGGTAATCCTTGCATCCAAACTTGGCTTTATTTTAGGGAAATATAGGGAAATAGCTTACAATGGAAACATACTTAAACATACTTTTCATCTTAAAAACCTTTGGTTTGGGCCAGGCGTGGTGGCTCATGCCTGTAATCCCAACACTTTGGGAAGTGGAGGCAGATGGGTCACGAGTTCAAGAGATCAAGACCATCCTGGCCAACGTGGTGAAACCCTGTCTCTACTAAAAAATACAAAAATTAGCTGGGCGTGGTGGCACATGCCTATAGTCCCAGCTACTCGGGAGGCTGAGGCAGGAGAACCACTTGAACCTGGGAGGCAGAGGTTGCAGCAAGCTGAGATCACACCACTGTACTCCAACCTGGTGACAGAGCGAGACTCCATCAAAAAAAAAAAACAAAAAACAAAAAAAAAACCTTTGTTTGGGGAACTAGTGTGCTCTTTTCTTAATTCATGTGTTCATCCACTCACTTATTTATTATTCAATCAAAAAATGTACTGCAAGCCATTGTCTTTTCTATGAAGAATAATCTCTTTATATCTACCAGGAGGTTGTGGGTATTTTAAAAATTTGGATAACATCTAGAACAAGTAAGTTAATTTACAAAAACAGAGCTTTTAAAAAAAATCACCAGATGGCTGAGTATGAAAAATTTAAAACTTCAAATGAACTATATTCCATAAGGTGACAAACTCTCCATGGCTGCTTTCCTTGTTGGCAGAATGATGGAAGCAGAAAGAATCCTTCATAGAAGGGGATACAAATAAGTCAGTTGGGGGACTTTAACAAATTTTTAATACCTGCTTGTGAAATACCATACTGATCAAAATTCCCAGGAGCTGTAGACATAATTTTCAACATACTCGAACTCTTTCTTCTGGGTCTTCTCTGAGTTGATGGGGACAGTATGCCAAAAGCACAGGGCAGGGAAGGAGAAATGAGAGAGGCCCTCTCAGGCATTCCAGGTCTTACTAAGTGCTTTGCAGTGGCTCTACAAAGACAAAAGAGTACAGCAGAGTGGAGAAGTCTTGCAAGATACAGAAGGCTAGAGAGAAAAGAGCTCTCAGTGACCCAGAAAAGCTGATAGCCAGGCCATAAAGCAGAAAATGATATTTTGAGTCTTTGCCAGTGCTCAGATATCAAGCCTTTATGAAAGTAAAGTCCTGATATCTCTTTAAAATCTTTGAAGATGTAGTCAACTGTATTAAACTAAAGCTGCAGCAGAGCCAAGAAGCAGCTCAATTACAGACTAAATTGATATAGCACAACCCCCCCCCCCCAACACATGCTGGTACCCTATCAGGACTTTTCCTGCTCTTTTCTGGGGTTAAATGTTATTATAGCATTTCTTTTATACACAAAGTCAAATATACAATAAAAATTTATAGGACGCATGTGGGAGCAAGGAAATGGGAGCCATAGTCAAGAGAGGAAGTAGTTAATAAAAGTAGACTCAGAGATTCCCAATATGTTGCAATCTTCAAAGAGGACTTTTAAATAACTATAATAAAAATGTTAAAAGATATGGTGAAGTGAACATGCTGAACTGAGGGGAATTGCAACAGAGAGGAAGTACTAAATAAGAGAGATTGAGACCATCCTTGCCAACATGGTGAAACCCTGTCTCTACTAAAAATACAAAAATTAGCCTGGCGCGGTGGTGTGCACCTGTAGTCCCAGCTATGCAGGAGTCTGAGGCAGGAGAATCGCTTGAACCCGGGAGGTGGAGCTTGCAGTGAGCCGAGATCATGCCACTGCATTCCAGCCTGGGCGACAGAGCAAGACTCCATCTCAAAAAAAAAAAAAAAAGAAAAGAAAATGGTAGAAAATATATCATAAAATTGGATTAATAACACACTAGTCAAGTCAAAACACATTTGAACAACTGAAAGATTGATGAATAAAAATTACCCAAACTGAAAACAGAGATAAAATTAAAAATAAGAAAACAATATAGCATCTGAGAGACACAGGACAATATCGAATGGTGTATCATATGTGTAATTTGAGTCCGTAAAGTAGATTAGAAAGAAAATGGGCTGCAAACAATTTTTTAAAGATTAAAAAATTGTTGGCAAATATAAAATTTTGCCAATAATTTTCTCAAATTGACAAAAGACATACATCCACAGATACAAGAAATTCAGTGAACTCCAAGTGAGAATAATGAAAAGAAAACCATATCTTGTTGAATCATAGTCAAAAATCCAACTATGACTTTTGCTAAAAATGAAAAATTAAGAAAAATATCTTAAAAGCAGTCAGAAAAAGGTGTACCATTTTCAGAGGAACAAATAAAATTTAAAGCTGATTTTTCAGAAACAACAGAAGTTTCAGGACTACAAAACTACACCTCTCAAATGCTGAAAGGAAAAATAAACTGTCCGCAAGTGACAAAAGTAAAAATTGACAAATGGGATTGCATCGAACTACAAAATTCTACACTGCAGGGAAACCATCAACAGAGTGACAAGACAATCTGTGGAATGGGATACAATATTTGCAAAACATATCTGGTAAGCTGTCAATATACAAAATTTACAAGGAACTCATACAACTCAAAACAAATAAACTAATTTAAAAATGGGAAAAGGACTTGAATAGATGGTTCTCAAAATGGCCAATAAGTATACTAAAAATTCTCAGTATAACTAATCATCAGAGAAATACAAATCAAACCCACAATTAGATATCACCTCACACCTGCCCACAAGGCTATTATTAAAAAGACAAAAGATAACAAGTGTTGGCAAGAATGTGGAGAAAAGTTACCTTTACATGCTGTTGGTGGGAATACAAATCTGTACAGCCATTACGGAAAACAGTATGGAGGTTCCTCAAAAATTTAAACATAGAACTACTATATGATCCAACAATTCCACTTGTTGATATATATTCAAAGAAAATGTAATCTATATGTTGTTAAAAATATATCTTCACTCCCATGTCATTGTAGCATTATCCACAGTAGCCAATATATTAAACAAGCCTTAGTGTCTAATGCCACTTAAATGGATAAAAAAATTCCATAAAAATTCCATACACACACACACACACACACACACACACACTAGAATATTACTGCCTTAAAAAAGAAAGAAATTTTGTCATTTGCAACAACAAGAATGAACCTGAAGGACATTACACTAGGTGAAATAAGCCAGACACAAAAAGACAAACACTGTATGATCTCACTTATATGCAGAATATAAAAAAGTCAAATTCATAGAATCAGAGAGTAAATGGTAGTTTTCGGAGGCTGAGGGAAATGAGGAGATGGTGGTCAAAGGGTACAAAATTTCAGTTAGGAAGGATCAATAAGTTCTGGAGATTTAATATTCAGCATGATGACTATAGTTAATTATACTGGATTATACACTTGAAACTTGCTAAGAAAGTAGATCTTAAATGTTCTCAACACACACACATGATAACTGTGTGAGGTAATTGATATATTAATTAACTTGATTTTGGCAATCATGTCAAATGTATCAAAATCAGAACATCACATTGCATGCTAAATATAAACAATGTGTATTTGTTAATTATACCACAATAAAAGTAGAAAAAAAACAAATGTTGACCTAGAATTTTACATACAATACGATCACACTGAAAAATTAAGACAAAATAAACAACTTCAGACAAACAACGAAATAATACGTTGCCACAAAAACTGTACTAAAGAAATATTCAAAGAAGTTTTTCAGGGGGAGGAAAAGTGATATCAAAAGGAAGCCCGGAGGGTGGGGTCAACATGGCCGACCAGAAGCAGCGGCACTAGGAGGCTCCCGTTGAAAAAAAAACATAATAAGCATGTCAGTCCTTCACTGATAACCAAGGTATCCAGGTTTTCTCATCAAAATTGACCAAAAGGCTGGCGTGACCCATGGAGAGAAGGAAGAGCAATGTGGTGAACCCACAGATCAAAAGATCCCACTCATGAACCCATCCTACAGGGGCCTAGCATCCCATCCCTGGAATGCATAGATTCTGAAAGCCTCTCAGCTGGAGTCTGCTTAAGCCTACCAAACTCCCAGAGGAAGGGGTGACCAGCACCCACTGCCACTGCCTGCTGTGTAAGCCTTTTGGGCTCCTTGGGGGAGGTGCAGTAGCAGCCAGCACTGGGACTCACAACTGCCTAACACAATAAGCTCCCTGGGCGGGAGCTAGGGCAGCACCCATTTCTATAGCTGTGCTTTTCCTCTCCTGGAGCCAGGGAGGCTGGACAGCTTGGTCCCAAGACTTTTCTCCACAGCCCAACACACCAGCTGTGGCAGTCCGTTGACAGAATGCCTCTTCATGCCTAACCCTGACCCATTCCTCCTCAGTGGACTGGGCTTACTTGCAGGATCTCCAGTAACTCCAACCAGAAGCTGAGGGACAGAATTCAAATCTCCCTGGGCCTGAGCCAATTGGCCTGAGCCAATTGGGACAGTCTCCACAAAGCAACAGACTTAGCCTCTCCTCCTGGTAGTTCTCTGGAATTTGGGCAGTCCAGACGAGTGGGTTTCCCCCCAGGAAAACATGCCCTGTCAACTAAAGGACAAAGCACTTCGTTAAATGGGTCCTGCTCCCCATGCAACCCAACTGGGTGAGACCCTCCAACAAGGATTGTCAGACACCCTATACAGGAGCAATGCTACTGGCATCAGGTTGGTGCCCCTCAAGGTCAGAGGTCCCAGAAGAAGGAGCAGGCACCCATCTTTGCTGCTCTCCAACTGCCTTGAGTGACATCTCCAGGCATGGGAGCAAATCAGACGAGCAGAGCCTGAAGTGAACTGCCAGAAAATCGCTGCAGCCCTACAGAAGAGGGACTGACTATTGAAAGAAAAACAAACAAGCAGAAAATGACAACAGCATCAACAACAACAACAAGAAAAAGTCCCCACAAAAACCCCATCCAAGGGTCAGCAGCCTCAAAGATCAAAACTAGACAAACTCACAAAGACGAGAAAGAATCCACAAAAAAATGCTGAAAACCCAAAAGGCCAGAGTGCCTCTTCTCCAAATGATCCCAGTCTCTCCATCAAGAGTGCAGATTTGGACGGAGGATGAAATGGATGAATTGACAGAAGTAGGCTTCAGAAGATGGATAATAAACAACTATAATGAGCTAAAGGAGCATGTTCTAACCCAATGCAAAGACGCTAAGAACCTTGATAAAAAGTTAGAGGAATTGCTAACTAGAATAACCAGTTTAGAGAGGAACATATGCGACCTGATGGAGCTGAAAAATACAGCATGAGAAAGTTGTGAAGCATATGCAAGTATCAACAGCTGAATCAACCAAGCGGAAGAAAGGATATCAGAGATTGAAGAAAGAACACTTTCCTGAAATAAGACATGTAGACAAGTATAGAGAAAAACGAATGAAAATGAATAAACAAAGCCTCCAAGAAATATGGGACTTCATAAAAAGACCAAACCTATGATTGATTGGAGTACCAGAAGGAGATGGGGAGAATGGAAACAAGCTGGAAAACACACTTCAGGATATTATCCAGGAGAACTTTCCCAACCTAGCGAGACAAGTTAACATGCAAATTCAGGAAATACAGAGAACACAATTAAGATACTCCATGAGAAGATCAACCCCAAGACACATAATCAGCAGATACTCTAAGGTCAAAATGAAGGAAAAATTGTTAAGGGCAGCCAGAGAGAAAGGCCAGGTCACCTATAAAGGGAAGCCCACCAGACTAACAGCAGACCTCTCAGCAGAAACTCCACAAGCCAGAAAAGATTGGGAACCAATATTCAGCATTCTTAAGGAAAAGAATTTTCAACCCAAAATTACAATTTTATGGAAATTGAACAACCTGCTCATGAATGACTCCTGGCTAAATAATGAAATTAAGGCAGAAATCAAGAAGTTCTTTGAAACCAATGAGAACAAAGAGACAACGTACCAGAATCTCTGAGACACAGCTTTAGCAGTGTTAAGAGGAAAATTTATAGCACTAAATGCCCACATCAGAAAGCTAGAAAGATCTCAGATTAACACCCCAACATCACAATTAGAAGTGCTAAAGAGGCAGGAGAAAACTAATCCAAAAGCTAGCAGAAGACAAGAAATAACTAAGATCAGAGCAGAACTAAAGAAGATAGAGACACAAAACAAACCTTTCAAAAAATCAATGAATCCGAGAGCTGATTTTTTGAAAAAATTAACAAAATAGATTGACAGCTAGCTAGACTAGTAAAGAAGAAGAGACAGAAGCATCAAATAGACAAAATAAAAAATGATAGAGGATATCACCACTGACCCCACAGAGATACAAACTACCATCAGAGAATATTATGAACACCTCTATGAAAATAAATTAGAAAATCTAGAAGAAATGGATAAATTCCTGGATGCATACACCCTCCCAAGACTAAACCTGGATGAAGTTGAATCCCTGAATAGACCAAACACAAGCTCTGAAATTGAGGCTGTAATTAATAGCCTACCAACCAAAAAAAGCCCAGGATTCACAGCTGAATTTTACCAGAAATACAAAGAGGAGCTGGTACTATTCCTTCTGAAACTATTCCAAACAATTGAAAAGAAGGAACTCCTCCCTAACTCATTTTATGAAGCCAGCATCATCCTGATACCAAAACCAGAAGAGACACAACAAAAACAGAAATCTTCAGGCTGATAACCCTGATGAACACTGATACAAAAATCCTCAATAAAATACTGGCAAACCGAATCCAGCAGCACATCAAAAGATGTATCCACCACGATCAAGTTGACTTCATCCCTGGGATGCAAGGCTGATTCAACATATGCAAATCAATAAATGTAATCCATCACATAAACAGAATCAAAGACAAAAACCACATGATTATCTCAATAGATGCCGAAAAGGCCTTTGACAAAATTTAACATTTCTTTATGCTAAAAACATTGAATAAACTAGGTATTGATGGAACATATCTCAAAATAATAAGAGCTATTTATTACAAACCCACAGCCAATATCACATTGAAGGGGCAAAAGCCGGAAGCATTTCCTTTGAAAACTGGTACAAGACAAGGATGCCTTCTCTCACCACTCCTGTTCAATGTAGTATTGGAAGTTCTGGCCAGGGCAATCAGGCAAGAGAAAAAAATAAAGCGTATTCAAATAGGAAGAGAGGAAGTCAAGTTGTCTCTGTTTGCAGATGACATGATTTTATATTTAGAAAACCCCATCATCTCAGCCCCAAAACTTCCAGAACTGATAAGCAACTTCAGCAAAGTCTCAGGACAAAATCAATGTGCATAAATCACAAGCATTCTTTTACATCAACAATAGGCAAGCAGAGAGCCAAATCATGAATGAACTCCCATTCACAATTACTACAAAGAGAATAAAATACCTAGGAATACAGCTAACAAGGGATGTGAAGGACCTCTTCAAGGATAACTACAAATCACTGCTCAACGAAATGAAAGAGGACACAAACAAATGGAAGAACATTCCATGCTCATGGATAGGAAGAATCAATATTGTGAAAATGGCCCTACTGCCCAAGGTAATTTATAGATTCAGTATCATCCCCATCAATCTACCAATGACTTTGTTCACAGAATTGGAAAAAAAAAAACTACTTTAAAGTTCATATGGAACCAAAAAAGAACCCGCATTGCCAAGTCAATCCTAAGCCAAAAGAACAAAGCTGGAGGCATCACGCTACCTGACTTCAAACTACACTACAAGGCTACAGTAACCAAAACAGCCTGGTACTGGTACCTAAACAGACATGTAGACCAATGTAGCAGAAGAGAAACCTAAGAAATAACACCAAACACCTGCAACCATCTGATTTTTGACAAACCTGACAAATACAAGCAATGGGGAAGGGATTTCCTATTCAGTTAATGGTGCTGGGAAAACTGGCTAGCCATATGCAGAAAACTGAAACTGGACCCCTTCTTTATACCTAATACAAAAATTAACCCACGATGGATAAAAGACTTTAATGTGAAACCCAAACCATAAAAATCCTAGAAAAAAAACTTAAGCAATACCATTCAGGACATAGGCTTAGGCAAAGACTTCATGAAAAAATGCCAAAAGCAATTGCAACAAAAGCCAAAATTGACAAATGGAACCTAATTAAACTAAAGAGCTCCTGCACAGCAAAAGAACTACCATCAGAGTGAACAGGCAACCTACAGAATGGGAGAAAAGTTTTGCAACCTACCCATCTGACAAGGGTCTAATATCCATAATTTACAAGGAACTTAAACATATTTACAAGGAAAAAACAATCCCATAAAAAGTGGGCAAAGGATATGAACAGACAACTCTCAAAAGAAGACATTTACATGGCCAACAAACATATGAAAAGAAGCTCAACAACACTGATTATCAGAGAAATGCAAATCAAAGCTACAATGAGATGGCATCTCATGCCAGTCAGAATGGCGATTATTAAAAAGTCAGGAAATGACAGTTGCTGGCAAGGCTGTGGAGAAATAGGAACGCTTTTACACTGTTGGTGGGAATGTAAATTAGTTCAACCATTGCAGAAGACAATGTGGTGATTCCTGAAGGATGTGGAGCCAGAAATATCATTTGACCTAGCAATCCCACTACTGGGTATATACCCAAAGGATTATAAATCATTCTACTATAAAGACACATGCACGTGTATGTTTATTGCTATTTACAATAGAAAAGACATGGAACCAATCCAAATGCCCATCAGTGATAGACTGGATAAAGAAAATGTGGTACATATACACTGTGGAATACTATGCAGCCATAAAAAAGAATGAGATCATGTCCTTTGCAGGGACATGGATGAAGCTGGAAGTCATCATCCTCAGCAAACTAACACAGGAACAGAAAACCAAACACCACATGTTCTCACTCATAAGTGGGAGCTGAACATTGAGAACACATGGACACAGGGACGGGAACATCACACACTGGGGCCTGTTGGGAGGTTGAGGGGTGAGGGGAGGGAACTTAGAGGACAGGTCAGAAGGTACAGCAAACCACCATGGCATGTGTATACCTATGTAACAAACCTGCACATTCTGCACATGTAGCCAGTTTTTTTTTGTTGTTGTTGTTGTTAGAAGAAATAAAGAAAATAAAAAGATCTTTTTTGCAGGTTGGTGTTTTTGTCTTGTTGTTCTAATTAAAAGAAAAAAAAAAGGAAGCCCGAATCTACAGGGACAAATACAGAGCACCAAAAAGGGTAAATATGAGGGAAAAGATTACAAATTGTTTTAAAATTATTAAATAAAAATTATTTTAAAAATTTAAAACTTTATACAAATGCACACACATATATACACTGGTATATATTTTTAAGAGATTATTTACAGTTTAAAGGAATATTATTAATGTATCTTGAGTTTTACAGTATATATATATGTAAATTATAAAATAAAAAGCAAAAAGGGCAGGAAAGGGATATAGAATTGAACTGCTGAAAGATTCTGAATTTTTTATGAAGTCATATAAAATTATTTGGACATGGACTGTGAAAAGCTAAAGTTGCATATTGTAATCTCTACAGAAACCAGTAAATAAATAAAGTAACACAAAATGTTATATTTGGAAATTCCACGGAATATATAAAATGGGATATTAAAAATATTTCACTGGCCCAAAAGAAGGCAGAAGAGAGAGAATAAAAGAACACAGAACACTTGGAACAAATCTGTATGAAATATACCAATGATATCAATAATTAGATTAAGTGGGAGTGGATTAAACTATAAAGCATTCTGCAAATATAAGCTTCACTAATGGTGAAAATAGTGGCTAAGATTTTTTTAATGTTTATCACATGCCAGACATTCTGCTAATCCAATTAAATGTTTTAGCTTGTTTAATCCTCACAAGAACTCTGAGGTCTAAGCATTATTTATATCCACATTTTGTGCATGTGAAAATTCAGACTGAGTAGAGTCATTTTTCCAGTGTTACACAGCTTAAAAGGCAGGGTTCAAACCCAGAAAGTATGATTGCTGAGATTATACCACTTACTTATTCTGAATGTGTTGTTGATAATGGATAATGATGATGATGATGATAATGATGATAAAAACAGTAATTACTGCCAGGCTGTCCCTTTGGTGCTGGATAACTCATAAAAGGTAAAATATTTGACATGGTGATTCTTATTCTAGGAATGAGATTAGTCTTGAGGCCCATAATAAAAATATAAGGTGTTTAGCAAATATATTTCATCATGCAGTATATACCAGTGTGTGTGTATGTGTGTATGTGTGTGTATGTGTGTATGTGTGCGTGTGTGTCTTGGTTTGATTTATGATTTTTGTACTTAAGGATGTTGAAAAATGATACACATTCAGTAGAAACCATATTTTGAGTATACATATAAGCATATAGTTTATCACTTTCAGCAACGTATTCAATAAGTTACATGAGATATTCATGTATTATAAAATAGGCCCAGTGTTAGATGATGTTGCCTAACTGTAGGCTAATATAAGTGTTCTGAGCACGTTTAAGGTAGGCTAAGATAAGCTATGATGTTTGATAGATTCGTTGTGTTATATGCAATTTCAATTTATGATATTTTGAATTTATGATAGGTTTATCAACATGTACTCCCATCATAAAGTGTCAAGGAGCATACACACACACACACATGTACAAATGCACAGAAACGTTTATATATATATATGTATATATATATATATACTCATTGATCTTAATTCCACCTATTCAGGATCAGAATAATACTGGATTGTATACTTGAAATTTGCTAACAGAGTAGATCTTAAATGTTCTCACCACACACACACACACACACACACAATAACTATGTAGGGTAATTGATATGTCAATTATATGAATTAGCTTGATTTATGCAAGCATTTCATAATGTATCAATATCAGAACATCATAATGCACATTAAATATATACCACTTGTGTTTGTTAATTATACCATGATAAAACTGGTTAAAAAGGAAAAAAATTGTTGACCTAGAATTTTATATCCAATAAAATTAAGTTGAAAAGCTAAGGGAAAATAAACAATTTCATTCAGAAAAACAATGAAATAACACCTTGCCAGAAAAACTGGCAATGAGTATATATGATAATATATAATTTATATCTGATACATGTTATGATATATGTTACATCATTACATATAATATATATATCATTATATATTATATAATATATATATCATATATAATATATATGATATATATCATTATATATTATATAATATATATTGATATATATCATGTTATATAAGATATATGCTATATATCTAATATACAGTACATATATAATATATAATAATATATTATATATCATATATATCATATATGAATAGGTGAAATTAAGATATATCATGTATATCATCATATATGATATACATGATATATTATATCTCATATATGACATATGATATATTATATCATATCATGATATACACATATATAGTATATATTATATATCATGTATATCATATATGATATATAGTATATATTATGATATATCATGATATATTTGCAGAATGCTTTATAGTTTATATATAGTTCATATATATAATATATATCATGATATATATATTATATATCATGATGTATATGATATATCTTAATTTCAGCTATTCAGAATCTGACACATGCTAAGATACAATGCCACATACGAATAATTGTGAAGAAAGGGTTTTGCTAGAAGAATTGGTAAATGGCTCAGAGGCTTCTTTGGTTTCCTTTTCTGAGACAGAGATATTGCTGCACATGTACCAGAATCACTGTCTGGGCTCTGCCCCTGTTCCATGGAGTCTGGTTCTAATTTTGTTGTAGCCTTTCAGTCACTGCTGTAGCTTTAAACCTTCCCTCCTGGTTCAGCAAGACTGTGGGCTCTAGCCAGGCTGTAATCGTCAGAGATGAAGGAGAAGCAGGCCTGGGTGTATGGCTCTGAGCTTCCCTATGTACATGAGGGCTAGGTGGGCTGCAAGGGGAAGTTCAAAATGAGTTGTCAAAGGCAGTAGGCAAAAAGAAATGTGAACAACAGAACACTTGCAGATATAGGGAAGAAGTGAGGAAAGTTCAGACATCCGATTCCTCTCAGGAACAGGAGAAAGGGGAATTCACTATTCAGAGTCCCTTAGAGAAACAGAAATAACAGCCAATTTTACATGTGTGTATATGTAGGGAGAAATGTATTTTAAAGAATTGGCTCACATGACTATATAGGCTGAGAAGTCCCAAGATGTGTAGTTAGCAAGCTGGAGACCCAGGAGAGCTGATAGTGTAGTTCCAGTCTCAAAGCCAGCAGCCTTGCAACTGAAGAAGAGCCAATATCTCAGTCCAATCCAAAAGCAGGAAAAAAAATAATGTCCTAGCTCACAAAGTCAGGTGGGAGTTTTCTCTTACTCAACCTTTTGTCATTTTCAAGCCTTAAACTAATTGAATAAGCTCCACCCATCCACATTAAGGAGGCCAATCAGCATGACTCAGTCTATTGACTCAAATATTAATCTCATTCAAAATACCCTCACAAACACATTCAGAATAATGCTTGAACAAATATCTGGGCATCCTGTAGCCCAATCAAGTTGACACAGAAAATTAACCATCACAGGGAGGAAAATTTTTGATGCCCTTGTGGCTTTGTCCTCAAATGAGAAAGTGAGGAAAGTTTGAAGTCATGTCTCCTAGACCTATATGGTTCTCTTGGTATTTTTTTTTAAATTTTTTGAGTCAGGTTCTTGGTCTGTCGCCCAGGCTGGAGTGCAGTTGTGTCATCACAGCTCACTAGCTCACTGCAGCCTGGACTTCTTTGGCTCAGGTGATCCTCCCACCTCAGCCTCCCAAGTAGCTGGGACTATAGACATGTGCCACCACATCTGACTAATTTTTTAATTTTTTGTAGAGATGGGGTCTTACTATCTTGCCCAGTTTGGTATCGAACTCTTGGGCTCAAGCAATCCTCCTACCTCGGCCTTCCAAAGTGCTGGGATTACAAGCATGAGTCACCATGTCCAGCTTCTCTTAGCATTTTTATTAGTAACTCTTTGATTTACACAAATGAAGATATTTGATACATATAAATTATGAAGCATACTCATCCTTCCCAACAAATAACAAGTGTAAATGTCAACTCACATCTAGATATGCATTACTAAGCTCCTAATGTCATATTATGGGGGAAGAAAAACATCACTGGTAATTTTCATATTAAGCTTTGAAGGCCACAAAAATTTGATTTAGTGTTTGGGATCTTTGATTTAGGTTGCAGGATCAGAATTCCCAGAAGATAATAAAATATTTGTTTAGATACCTTAGAGACAAGCTTAGAGCCGTTTCCTGGAAACCAGGAGTTCACAGCATCAGTTATCACCTCTCTGGAAACTCCATGGACAGTCATGCGATGCCATAGGGACTCCTTCTTGTACCACCGAGTGGCAAATGTGCCTACTCACGTGATTTTATTGATCAAAGCTAGCCTCAGTCGTCTATTAATAAACGTAAAGTGTCGGAGCAGTGCTAGGCTACATAGTCAACACTTTCTAAATGCTTACTCTTACTATCATTATTTTGCTTGAATACAAATATCAGGCAGAGGAAAAAGGTCCTTGCCAAGGGTCTTTATCCAGGATCTACATTTCTCTACAGAGGAAAGACCATCAGAAAATATGTAATGTGCCCTTATTTCAGGTAGCTTTATGGTGGGGGTGGCTGGGAAGAGAGGAAGACCATATTGTGACTGCAGTGGTAGTGTACAGTTTCCCAAGAAAGCCATGGGAATTAAGAGCAATGTGCTCTGCCACCTTTGTGCAGTTATAGCAGGTTTTCAGAGCAGCACACAAGGTGGTGACCAGACACTCAATAAAATATTTGCTGGAAAAAAAAATGAATGAGTTGAATTTTGGAAACTCCCAAAGTGTAAATTGCAAGTATTTAATGTTTCTTACTTTCTCCCACACTCGCCACGTCAACTCAAACTTAAGGCACTTGGAGCTTGAGAAGGGATCCAGGAGTTTGAAATGTAGGTCCATTAAGAATCATATTTAAGTACGAGACAAGAGAGTCAGGGCTGATTTTCCTGCAACAGTGAAAATGTCCATCATATCACATTTGTGATACACAAATATGTGGATAAGCTAGAATATTTGAAGATTCTCTGGTTTTGAAATGTTGCTGCTAAGCGATGCCACTTTCTTTTAGCAACGTGATTTTAGAAGTCTCTTCCCCACTCTCATTTCACCTCACAAATACCTCTGAAAGTTACTAGGAGAGACTGTTTTAGAAAATACCCTTCTCAAATGGTGATAGTATACTAAGTTGCCTTATATTTTCACCCCTTTATAATTTTTAGAGCAGAATTTTCCAAATGAAACCGTGAAAACATTCATGAAAGACTGAATTGGAATTATTTCTGAAATGGATAGGCAAGCCAAGTATTAAGGCATTTATCAGTTATCTTTTGCCTTGTAACGCACCATGTCACTTATTCAGCACACAAGTGTGCAGCTCAGTACCTTGGAGCTGAGCTCAACTGGGCAATTCTTCTGCTCTGGGCCTGGCCTGGCTGTTCCTAACTGGGTTTATTGCTGAGACTGATGAGTTGTCTAGAGTTGGCTGGTTTATGAAGGCTTCGGATGGGATGGCTGGGATGATAAGGGCCTCTCTCTCTATGTGGTCTCTCATTTTAGAGGAGTTTATTCCAGGCTTATTCACATGAGAGTCACGGAGTTCCAAGAGAAACAAGTAAGTAAGCCCCAACCCACAAGCCCTTTTCAAGTCTCTGCTTGAATCGTATTTGCTACCATCCCAGCTCCGAGTCAGTGTGGAAAGGATTACCTAAGGGTGTGGATACGGGGAGATGTGGACAAATCGGGGGCCATTACTGCAATAACCTGTTTCAAAATGAGGTCTAAGACATACGGAGAGCCAGAAGGCCCAGGTTTGTCACTGCGAAGGCCTCCCATCAGAAGCAGAATTATGACGCAGGAGCCTGTCCTTCCAGGGACTCAGATATGCCTGGTTCCGTACATCCACCCCCACAGCCCCCTTCTGCCCTTCCACTCCTGAGTCTCTTCTTTACCTTCGTCACTGCCTGCTTTCAGATATTTTTCTCTTCAGGCAGCCCTGCAAGTGCCTAGCAAGGATGACAAATGAGCTTGACTTCCGCGGCGACGTGACTGTCCACAAACATAGCCTGGAGCATGCACAATGCAGCGGCGTCCACGGCACAGTGCAAATGCCGGAATGTGCTGTGGGGTTGGACAGAGATCATTGCTGCAGAAACAAAATGCAGTTTTAGATTAGCATTCTAGGCTATAGATAGCTTTGCTTAATTAGAGGAATAAGCAAATAAGTATCCTGAGTAGCTTCTGGATTGTCTCAACAGAGGAAAATGTATAAGTGAACAAGTTGCACGTAATTAAATAAAATTCACTGTGATCTGGCTGTCTGGTTTAGTTCACTCAATTTATATATAAGTAATCAAAGAACCAAAAGAGAAACAGAAGCATGGGTTGTCATTATAATTCTGATCAGTGACTTTGATCAAGGAAAGCTTTTTTACCAAACGGACACTGAGCTCCTGATTACCTACAGATTTATTTACAGGGAGAAATGAGCTCTCATTAGTCTCATTACAATCTTGCTAGATTAAAAAATCAACTAATCAATGAAAAGTGCTGGTTACACATGGTATAGTAGAGATAAAATTAAATTATATAGACCTTTTTCTCAAAGATATGACATGTAAGCAGATCACATTGGTATAAAATGAGTAAACAAGAATAATACTGAAAGCAACAATAATAAAATGCAATATTCAACATTGACTAGATACTAGGGCTGTATCAGATGCTTTACATATATTATATAGTTTAATCTTTAAAGCCAGTGATGAGGTGGTTATCGCCATCTTGAATTACCAAGAGTGAAAACTAGATCTCCAATAGGATCTGCAAGTACTCAAGGTCATAGAGGTGAAAAAGTGTGTATTCTGGGCTCAAACTCAGGATTGTTTGACTGTAAGCTTTTAACTAGAGTATGCTTCCTCTTACAATAAATAGAGAGTACAAAGCAAATATTTCAGTGACTCATGTGAGGGCCAACCTTGATCCAAGCATGGATGCTGGGGATATAGAGAGTTGATCCTTAAGAAGCTCATAGTCTAGAGGGAAGGACAGGCAGAAATGCAATGCTGTATCATCATTGCAGTGTTATTCACCGTTGAGGGTGACACATATGGAAGACGTGAGCAGAAACAAAGAGTAGCATAAACAAGTGAGCTTGTTTTTACTTCTGACTTCTACCCTGACTACTCCCTCCAGCCCTTTCTCTAACACAGATATGATATCTCCTTCCAGGAAAAGGCTTGGGATTGTGAGCTGTGTTACCCAGGTATTAAACAGGACCAATCCCAGAGTTCTTGCTGCTATTGAAGGCAGGAGAAAGAGGCAAGAAAAATTAAAATCAACCACTGTGACTATTTTTAAGATGCCTTCTAGTCTTAAATTTATTTCAGTTTTAGAACTTTAATGACTATTGCCTCATTTGATTCTTTTACTAACTTGTGATGTTATCAATACTTTGCAAATGAGAAAACAAATATAGGTTAAAATTTTCAAGGTAACTGTGTTACTACATTGGGTGGCTTAAACGACAACAACGAAGAGCTATTTTCTCACAGTTCTGGAGGCTGAAAGTCTAAGATCAAGGTGTTGGCGGGGTGGGTTTCTCTGAGGCCCATTTCCTTGGCTTGTAGACAGGTGCCTCCTCCCTTGAGTCCTCACATGGTTTTCTCTCTGTTCCTGTGCATTCTGGTGCCTCTCTGTGTGTGTCCTAATCTCCTCTTCTTGTGATGACCCCAGTCAGATTGGATTGGGACCCATCCTAACAGGCCCTTTTTAACTTAAACACCCTTTTAAAGGGCCTGTCTCCAAATATAGTCATTTACTGAGGTCCTAGGTGTTAGGACTTCAACATATGAATTGGGGGAGGGAGATATAATTCATCCCATGACAGTAACTCAGATACAGCATGTTGGAGCCAGAATATGAAACATTTCTGATTCCACATGAAGTCATCTACCCACTTAAGCAAACCTCAGTTATTGTCTCTTCTCAGCCTTTCCTCAGGACTTTCCTGTAACCTTGGTGTCTCTGAAAAGACTTAGACCACCTTTCCCTTCTATCTTTATGTAAAAATGTACCCATTTCATCGCACAGTTGAAATAATAATACCTTTTTTGATAAAGCCATCTGATTCTGCAGTTGGAAACTAGTCTTTCCTCATGGGAATTGCTGCTAGCATTTCCATTCTCTTGAAGGACTTTCTACTTCTACTTTATAGAATAAATATATATTTTATCTCTCTTATTCTAAATTTATAAGCTCCCAATTACGTTTTCCTATGTCTTTTTGAGTACATACTGTGAGTGAGACATAGTCCTAGATGCTGATGTAAACCAGACACACGAGATTCCTCCTTTCTCTGCAATTTTTGTTCTACTTTGGAAATAAGCAATATATAAGGAAGTAAACTAGACTATTTTAAATAGTGGCAACTCATAAGAAGAAAATAAAACAGAGGAAAGGAATAAAGGATGACTGTAGGTGAGTTTGGGAGGGTCCAGTTCCATTGGCCATGAACTCTAGAGTTGAGTTTCAAGACGAATCTTAAATGATAAGAAAATGTCAGTCTCAAAAAGAGTGTTTCAGACAAAGAAACAGAAGATGTCAGCCTCAAAAAGAGTGTTTCAGACAAAGAAAAGGCAAATATGAATATCCTGAGGTGGGAAAAAATCTTGGAGTTTTTAAGGACAGAAATGATGTAACTGGAACAGATCAAGTGAGAAAGACAGAGACAAAATTTAGCAGGCACCAGACACCTAGGTCCTGGTGGGTCCCAAGAAGGGTGCTGAATTATGTTCTTTATGTCACGAGAGCACCTGTTGGATGAGATAGGTGTTTACTAAATGTCTTTGGGCATTAATTAAATTAAGCCTGCTTAGGATTTGATTGTTCTGGTAAACTGGGTGAATGAATCTACATGAAAACAAAAGATTAATGGCTAATTGCACCATGTATTCATTGTTTAAGTAAAAACTTTTGATTTTACTCAGTTGCAAGGAGCAGGATCAAATAATTTCCCATGTCTTTTACAGGAAGTCTTATTTTTCATTAGTGCTAAATCACTTAACATCATCATATTTTTACTAATGAGCTGAAGATTTTTAGATAGCAAAATCTTAAGATATTAATCCTCTTAAGATAGCAATAAAATATCTCCTAAATACCTGATGGCAACTAGTAGGCTCTCTCTCTAGTACAAGATGTGAGTGCATGATTTCATGCAACACTTTTTTATAACTGGAATAGCCGATGTGATTATCCATCTCTGGAATTGAAATAGCTTTGGTACTTGACGTGACCTTCATTTCAGGCTGGGCTGAAATTCTGTTAGGGAGGGGAATGCAGATGCAAAGTAGTATTTGGGGAAATAAATAGCAGCATCTTTTCTATTCTCTTAAACACAAGATAAAATATATTGTGCAGCAGGTGTAAAGTTCTCTGTGCAGTACAAGTAAAGCTAGAGAAAAATAATTTCCACATTGGAATTGAAATGATTCATCATTTTTCTCATGACTCTCATAGAAATGTTTTGCCCTGAATATCTTCTCTAAGCAAAGTTGCAGGGTTAGTAACAACTAAAAGTCTTGAAAATGAAGCTCATTTGTTCTGAAAATTAGAAACATATCTTCATCCATTCACATTTCCTGAAAGGAAATTTGCACATTATCTATACTTCACTGTCCTTAGCACAGAAATCTTTTTTTAAGCCAACAAAAAAAAAACATTGAGTTGAGAGACAAAATACGTGAATGGTAAAAGACATTTGATTTCAAAATTTCATTTGAATTCCTTAAAAACACAGCTACCGAACTATATAAAATATTTTTCATTCTTTGCATCCTTTAATTTAATTACCTCATTTTTAAAATTCTACAATTTTATAATTCTATTTGGATGGAACTGAGGAAGAGTAGGGTGATCTCTTTTACTATAGGTGGTGCTGAAGGTGGACCCAACTAATTGATCACTATTTAAGTCTGCAGAGGCTCTTTCAGCAAGTAAAGATTGCTTCATATAAAAGAGAAACAAAAGGGAAATCAGAATGTCATAAAAATCCAATCAGATTGACAAATTAAGGGCATATGTGAATAATGGCTACAAATGGTGTTATTTTGGGTTGCTGTTTCATATATCTTGCTATATTTAACAAGCCTGGCTCATTTCACTTTCAATACCTTTCTCATGTCCAAACCAGCCCATTTGTTGGGACCACCTGGTGTCAATATCCACATCTACCAATGCCCAATTACCTGCCACTGCATAGGTCCTTCCTCCTGCTACAATACTCCAGCCCATGAGTGTAAGAGTAAAAGCTAGGTGCTCATCAAAGAGTGTCAAAATGAAAACAAGAAAGAAAGAAAGGCAAAGCTTGCTGTGTCCCAAAGACTGTTAAGCTTGAAAGTACGATCCTGCACCATAAGCAACTTTGGCACAGGGTATCAATGTTCAGCACCTTGTTCAGTCTACACAGGGGCTCATCATCCTGTAGTGTCTATAGCAGGTTAATCACAATGTGAATGTAGAATGAGTTCAAGTGATATTGAGTAACAGAAAGCACATAGTCTTGGGAAGAAACTAGGATTGGATTTAGGTTCTACCACTCATCAGATATACGGGACCAAGCAAGTCACTTAGCCCTTTGTGATCTCAATTACTTCATCTGTGAATGGTAATACTTCATAGAGCCCACCAGGGTACTGTGAAGATTTGATAAAGTTAAGAGTGTTAAAGTACCTAGACAGCATAATGATTCTTCCTTTTTTTTTCCTCTGTGGTAATTTTGTTCTTGGCCATGCCCAGAAAAAAAAGGTTCTCTTCACCTACCTTCCAGAAAGAAATAAGAAACCTAGAGAAGATCTAGTGAAAAGCAGTCAAGAGAAAGAGGTGGTTCCTAAGGGGGTCAAATGTAAAAAAAAAAAAATTAAAACTTTTCTGACATTAAAGGTTGAGTATGGTGTGGTACATGATCTGAATTCAATAGCACAATACCGGAAAAACAGAATTTTGAAGCATTCCTTTAAACTTTAAGGAGATAATGCAAAGTCAAATAAAATATACAAAGTTTACAGAAGTAAAACATGAATTTAGAAAATAGACCAAACAAAGAAATATGAGTAGGTTTGGGAAATGCTAAAATAAATAAATAAATGTTGAATCCACAATGAGGTGACATAATTATTAAAGCATAAGTTTCAAAAAGGTAACATCATGACTCTCATACAGATATAAAGTAAACATGTGTCAAATATATTATTTAACATATTAAAGAGAGGACCAAGGGCCAGGGATGGTTCCTTACATTTGTAATCCCAGCACTTTGAGAGGCCTAAACGGAGGATCACTTGCCCCCAGGAGTTTGAGACGGGCCTGGGCAACATAAAGAGACCCCCATTTACAAAATATTTAAAAATTAGCCAGGCATGGTAGTGTGTGCCTGTAGTCCCAGCTACTCTGGAGGCTGAAGCGAGAGGATTGAGCCCAGGAGGTCCAGTCTGCAGTAAGCTGTGATTGGTGATTGCGCTACTGCACTCCAGCCTGGTGTCAGAACAAGACCCTGTTTCAAAAAATTAAATTTAATTTAAAAATAAAGAGAGAACCAATACAATGTAAAATCCAGTCCAAAAGCATTGTAAAAGCTAGAATTTCTAGAGTAACTTTACTGCTATGTATGATACAAAACTGATTAAAGTCTTAGAGAGCAATAAACATACTTTTGGGAATATTTGAACAGAAATTAGTTATATTTCTACTGGACAAAAATCTATCAGTTGACTCTTGTTTCTACAAGATGTAAAATAATCCAACGACAGAAAGTCAAGCCTAGAAAGAACATATGGTGATTTCTTTTGCTTCTAAGCTTCAGATAATTGTTTTTTTGGATACTATAAATTAAGATCATCTGGGATTCCTCACTTATCTCTCAAAGTAGACTTTGTAGTCTGTGGGAAGAACAACTGCCTCTTCCCACAAAATACCTCTTGGTCCACTCTTAGTCCATGGGACTTCCCATGGTTTGAATGTGTCCCCCGAAAGCTCATGTGTTGGAAATTTACTTGCCATTATAACAGTATTAAGAGATGAGGCCTTTAAGAAATGATTAGGTCATAAGAGCTCCATTCTCATGGAGTAATTAAAGACATCATTGCCATACTGGGCTAGTTATCATAGGAGTGGACTCTTGATAAAAGGATGAGTTTGACACCATTTTCTGTCTGTGTCTCAAGCTTGCTTGCCTTGTGATGCCTTCCACAGTGGGATGACCCTGGCCAGGTGCTGGCATTATGCTCTTGGACTTCACAGTCTCCAGAGCCATATGCCAAATACACTTCTGATCTTTATAAATTACCCAGTCTGTGGTATTCTATTATAGCAGCAGAAAACAGACTAAGAGAGGACTAGTCACTATACTTGGCTGCATGGCTATTAATATGATTGTAGAAATGAACTCAGGTAATGGCGACAAAGCTGAAAAAATCTGGTAAAAGTTATTATAATTAGTTTTTTCTCATGCCTAGAAAAGTCTTTTGGGTATCAGAGGCCCATAACAATGTTATTTTAACTTGTTAGTTTGACAGGAGTGGGATCCCCTTTGAAACTTAAAAGTCAGTCCCTTGAAAACTCATCGACATGTAATTTATCTGAAAGAAACTATCAAAGTAGAGCAATGAATATGGGGCATATATGGAGCATATATGGATATGAATATAGGAATTTGGAGTTTAATGGTAATTTTGTTACATTATCACACAACTTATGAAAGAAAAATCGTAGAAGGAAATAAAAAAGTAATAAAAAAAATCAAAGCTGGAATAAAAGGTTTCAAAAAGCTCCCAGAAAGCATAAGAACAAAATTCTTTCTCTCTATACAAGTCTGATAAGTACTAAAAGCTGGGATTCACTACTGCTCTGATAATAATAAATTTTATTTATGTTGAAAATAAAAAATAAGCAGGCCTGTAATTTAAGTTGTGCAGAGACATAAAGAATGTCATTTCTCACTGGAACATTCTAGGAAAGAAAGACTGACTGACAGCTAATAAAACTATACCTTAATTTGTCAGACTTTTAAAATCATTTCTGTATTACATAAAACAGGCTAATTCTAAATGCTTACATTTTCGGGATCACACAGAATTCCTGGAACAATTAATTTACAGAGGAGAGAAACAGGATTTTTATTCATATAAATAACTCGAATTGACACTGGCCTTTTTACCTAAAGGAGTTATTGAAATGGCTAGAAATGGAAGACTCAACTGATTAAAGCCTCTCCATCTTTGTCACTCTGTGCCAACCAGCGGTGGTGCGCTCAACAGAATTCGGAAGGAGAGAGAACAGCATATGGCAGAATGAGTTTTGAGCCCCATAGAAATTTGCCTCCATTCCCACTCCATCTGTGCATTGTGTGGGATCTCTCCCCATCGCATAAAGATGCTGAGCTAAAGACAGTAGAAATGTACGATGGGAAAATGCAGAAACAGCTTTCATGTCATGCTAAGCATTAACAAAACACTTCCGTTCCACAGTACACATCTTAAACTGAGAAAGATGAGTAGTGTTAAGTTTATCTGAGGGCACTCAGTGATTCTTCGAGTTCAGTGCACAAAGAAAGCTTCCTGGATGGAGGCAATGTGAGCTGATTGCTGGAATATGTCAATGTTTGGCTTTGGGGTCTGGGGAAGGATGTGTTGTGCAAATCATTGGCCTCCTGGGAAACAAGAAATACATTCAGGCGGCCAGCGAGTCCCAAGAGGACTCACGGTAGGCAAACAGTTTGGGTATTTCTCATGTGCACCTCAACGCAAACAATTTTGCTAACAGAAGCTGAAAAAAAGAAAAATGAAGCCAGTAATTTGTGTTTTATTATTAGTTTTTTTGTGTGTTTTATTATTAATCAGTAGCCATTGTTTCTTAAAATTTGTAGGGAAACCTAGAAACACATTCCATCCATTACTCTCTCTGTACCTATCCCCTTTCCACAAATTATGTTGAGGGCTCTGATTCCCTCCCCATCTTGATTAGGGGAGCCACTGTCCTGTGCCTGTGCTTCCAGCACAAAATAGACATGGGCCAAGGACAGGGAACAGGACAGGAGGCAGGATCTGGGGAGATGCCATGCCCATTGCAACCGTTCACCTCCCTTTTCCTCTCTCTCCTCTGTTAGACACACATACACACACACACACACACACACACACACACACACACCAAGGAGCATTCTTCAGCCATTGATGTAGGACAACTTCGTGCTGCCTCCATCAGAATCTACTCCTAATGCTGGAAGGCCTGATTAAAACTCCAAATTGATCAAGAATTCTTGCTTAGTTTTCAAGCTAGAAATCCTGTTTAGTTAGAACATAGTTAACTCTAACCGAATGCATCCTTTTTACTGTTATAATAGAGAGCCTTTGGGTGTTTCAGTGAATGCTACACAGGATACAATTAATGGAAGGGCATAGTTTGTGCCCCCTGCGCCCTCTTGGCCATGTTGTATTAGAAGTCACTAAACCTTTTGATTTGCCTTATTTATTTTTCTGAAGCATGCTCAATACATTTTTCCTATTTATTTCTGAAGAATTTCAGAGAAATAAACTGGTAAAAAGAACATTGGAATGATTTCCAAATATTTGGGAAATATTTTACATATTTCCAAAATACATTTGTCTAGACTCACATACCGATTTCCTAACTTGGCTGTAATTTTACGTATGTAAAGCGATGAGAAAAATTCTCTAGATTGTAACCAAAGGCAATATCCATGGCATGATATGCAGGAAATCCTCAGGAGATCTGGGGTGAAGGAAAGAATCTTTGTTCTCAGACCATGGCCCAGCCATATGCTTGCCTCCTTCCCAAGCTGTGGTGATATGGTTTGGCTGTGTCCCCACCCAAATCTCACCTTGAGTTGTAGCTCCCATAATTCCCACGTGTCATGGGAGGGACCTGGTGGGAGATAACTGAATCATGGGGGTGGTTTCCCACATACTGTTCTCGTGGTAGTGAATAAGTCTCATGAGATCTGATGGTTTTATACATGGGAGGACCCCTGCACACGCCCTCTTGCCTGCTGCCAGTAAGACATGACTTTGCTCCTGCTTTGCCATCCACAATGATTGTGAGGCCTCCCCAGCTATGTGAAAATGGGAATCAATTAAACCTCTTTCCTTTATAAATTACCCAGTCTCAGGTATATCTTTATTAGCAGCCTGAGAACAGACTAAAACATGTGGCATAGAATAAAGATGGAATTTCAAAACTTAAACTTCTGTGCAGGGCCATTGAAAACTTACCCAGGTGGAGAAAGAAGTGAAGTTTTTGCTTTAGTGAGCTGAGGCATAACTCAGGGAGACCTGGAAAGAAAGGCAAGGCCTGTACACATGCTGGAGACAAGTGGGCAGTGCCTGTACATCACCATGACTGCCATCCCACCCTGAGACGCTTGCAGGCAGGTCACCAGGACCACGGTTATTCTTAGAGTTAATATGTGTAGTTGAAAGTCCATGGAGTTTGAAATCAGGTAAACCTAGGTTGAAATCTCAACTCTGCTACTGACTATCTGAGTGAACTTGTATAAGTTGAAGCCTCTCTGAGTGTTAATTGTATCTTGGGGTAGCAGAACCCTTATTCCATGAAAATATAAAAGAGAGAGAAGAAAATCAGTCCCAGGTAGTTCACATAAGTGGGCATCTCTTCCACTGGAATAAAAAAGTAGAAGCAAGTACTACACTAAGTATCAAGACACCTTGCCACTAAACATGGCAGTCCTGAAGGAGCAAGTCACTCCAGCTCTCTAGATTTCCACTTCACCATCTAAAAAACAATCAACCCTATGATCCTATGGATGAAACACCTCCACTCCACACAGAGTCTTTGTATGTTAGTGGCAAAAAGGTCTTTGAATGTTAAAACATACTTCAGTGTTAGCATTTATTCCTGGTCTTTCACTTTGGTTTGAGCCTGGAGAGGGGAGTAAGGGCTGTTGTAGAGGGAGGGTTTTCTTATCTATGGAAGAGGAGCACAATCTCATTTTCTGTTTAGCAAAAGAAGAGTGGGATTGCTAAGCCATGGATTCCGGTCATCCCTGAGCTCTCCTGCCTTGGGAACATTGTTCATTAGAGTTCAGTAAGGTGGCCCAATATCACTACGCTTCAGAAGTACGTCATGATAAATAGTGCCACCTGCAGCATCTTTATTTAGCCTTGGGGACTTTTCATATTAAAACTCTTATAGAGTGACATAGTTAGAATATTTGTTAGTGACATTTCTCCTGAAAGCTTGGATAATGCATATGCTTACAGAAGAACAAATGAAAGCAGAAGGCTGGTGAGTCAGCAGTATCCCTTAACAATGTACTGTGTGACTTTGCAGAAGCTCATAGGAGTAGTTTTCTTTCTATGGAACTTCTTTGCTTTTCCTTGATCATTGTACTCTATTAAATCAGAACATTGTACTCTATTAAATCAGAACCCAAGGGTATAGTAATTAATCCTTCAAAGACAAGGGACCTTTCACAATATTATAATCCATTTCTTACTTTTGTACATAATTCATTCCTGAAAATATGTATATATGAATGTTGAATATAAAAAGTAGATATTCTCATGAGTGGTGTTTCCGTACCTGTAACTCTAAAAATATAAGAAAATCCCCAAATGTCATGCAATATTACATGATTATTTAAAATATAACTAATAAATCAAACGTTAACATCCAACAACATAAATTCACTTCCCAAAGTTAATAAGAGGTGAGATTTAGGAAACATACCAGCCCTCATTTTGCCAGAATAATGAATACATTTTTTTATGCTGAAAAATGTTGCTAAAGAAGGTTGAATACTGGTTTTATATTTTGTATCAAGCAGAATCTTGATCAACATTTCAATGGAAATTTACTCTGTGTCTGGATCATAGAAATTTTATATAGCTTGGTTTTAACTTATCATTTTTATGACATTTGATAATGTTTCCACAATCATATGTTTCATGTGTGTCTTTTAGGTTTTGTGAGTTCTCTTCACTGAAGAACAACTGGTCAGGTAGTTGAACTCAAATGAACACTGACTCTAAACATGGGCTACTCTCAGTATCCCCTGATGACTCCTCTTCTGGAATAGTACCAACCTGAGAGAGTCCCTGTTAAATCTTTAGGAATTATGTGACCTGATTGATATCACAATGACAACTTGAAATCAACCATGGTGATAATATTTACACCATGGGAGCTGGTAAATACTACAAATCAAGGTGTCCTTCCCATCCTCAGAGAATTGCTTGTTGAGCATTTACCCACATACCACTGGTAAGTCCATTTATCAGACACAACTAGGATTAGGGACTGGTCTGTTAATAAATACAGTTGATTAAAGTGGTGAAAAATAGCTTGAAACGAAAACCTACATTAACTTGCCAATCTTTTGGTATAGAGCCAAGGCTTTTCGTTGAATGAATTCACTTTGTTCCTAAATCATATCTATATTGCACCCCCACCCCAACCATTTCCAGTTTCTGTTTCTTTAAAGAGCAGCAGGAACTTAAAAATACTTGTGAAGGAAACTGCATGCCAAATACTTCTAGATTATCTTTCCAGTTTTTTACAGTTGTGTCACTTTCACCTAATTTGATATTATTTTAGTGACTTGTCTATATTCTTTTCAAAATATTCCATTTATTTGTTATACAAATAATACTATTTTAACACTAACAGATTACAAATTGCATAATATTTGATTAAATTATGTAATTATAATGATAAGGAACATTGACATAAATAGGTTTGTGAACAAACACCACTGATTCTTGATATGCAGAATTTTAGATATAGCACAGGCCAGCCTCAGCCCTAAACATCAGTCATCACATCAGTCATTACAATTCCAGGCAGCATAGAGAGTGATGATTAATCCCATTAATTAATTAAGCAGAGTTTAGTTGAAATTTCTACTGTATTATCATTATAAGCATTTTATTTTTCTGGTATTTAATCACTTAAAAAATAAAAACGACAAACATAAAATATATTTGAAATATTGTATACAAAATGACATATTTAAAAAGCCTTGGCCGGGCGCGGTGGCTCAAGCCTGTAATCCCAGCACTTTGGGAGGTCGAGGTGGGTGGATCACGAGGTCAGGAGATCGAGACCATCCTGGCTAACACGGTGAAACCCCGTCTCTACTAAAAATACAAAAAAATTAGCCGGGCGTGGTGGTGGGCGCCTATAGTCCCAGCTACTCGGGAAGCTGAGGCAGGAGAATGGCGTGAACCTGGGAGGCGGAGCTTGCAGTGAGCTGAGATCGCGCCACTGCACTCCAGCCTGGGCGACAGAGCGAGACTCCGTCTCAATAAAATAAGTAAATAAATAAATAAATAATAAAATAAAATAAAAAGCCTTATACGAACACTGATATAATCAAATTGAATCAAAGGCCACAAGATAACATGAAGTGTTTGTTATTTGATTCAAAGAAGCCAGAGTCTGACATAAAAAAGGCCAGAAATTGGCATAGGAAATACAAATTATGAGTGTCGAGGTATCATTGTCACTATCACAGCAAAAACAACTACCACAATAATAACTAAGGTTTATTGAGCTCTTCTTATATGTCAGCACTATTATTCTAAAGAGATTTACATACACTTTGTCCATTACGGTTTAGGTGAGGAAACCTGAACACAGAAAGATGATGTAAATTACCTAGGAACCCATGGCTGGTAGGGATTTGTGCTAGGTTTTAACTAAGGTAGCTCTGACTCCAGAGCCCAGGATCTCACAATACTATGTGCTACAAGCTGTAGGCACCAATGGGTATCAGCGGTCTCTAAATTCTCTACTATGTCTTTCAAGTGTGTTTATCTGAGGCTTGTTCTCTGACCATACTTGTGCTAGATGTTCCCATTCACTTGTGACTAAGGGAAGATGGGAGGGAAACAGGAAAGGAGGAGGCAAAAATCTCTCAAATTTATGATACATTTTCATTGCCCCTACTGCTTTAGTTATCTATAGCTACAGTACAATTTGCTGCACAAGTTAATGGTGCAAATGATAATTCATGATTATCCCCATGGTTCTGTGGAAAACCTGGGCTCAGCTGAGCAGTTCTTGCTTGGTGTTCTTTATGCCATGTCTGTCTGATGGTGACTGGGGCAGAGTCAGCTGAAGGCTTGACTGGGCTGGATGTCCAAGGTCACTGGACTCATTTACATGGCTGGAAGTTGATGCTGACCCTTGGAGCAATTTCACCTGTTCACAAGAGCACCTACATGTGGCCTCTCCATGCGGCCTGGGATTACTTGGAGAAAGATTGCTTCAGCTTAATCAGTGGTTCCAGAAAGCAAGGTGGAAGCTTCTGATCCTCTTAAGTGCTAGACTGAAATAGCATAAGCCTCACTTCCTCCATACTTTATTAATCAAGCATTTCAAAGGTTAGACCAGATTCAGATAGAGGAATATTGGGCTCTTCCGCTCAGTGGGAGAACTAGAAAATAATCTGCAGCCATCTTTAAGCCACCATATCTACCAGAGTCTGCCAATCTAAGACATCCTCAGAGCCTAGGTCACGGGAAGCATCAAGTCTTACCCAACAGCCTTAGGAGTTTATCAATGGACACAAAGAAGAAAATTGCCTCTGAGGACTAAGAAAGTCTGTGGTAGTGCACATGGCTGTACTTGGCCTTAACATTTAAAACACATTTTGTTAGAGACCATTCCCTTTTTAGTGTAACTCACAAAATGTGCAAATAAAGAAAATGCATATTTTGAAGAAGACTTTTTTTCTTATTTTCAAAAAAGCAAAATCAGGAAAAATTTTGCAGTAAGCACACATCTTGCTTTCTGATTGGCTTTAAGTTGCCCTAGGCACATAGTGGACCACCAAGGTTTGCATCCCCAGATTCTATACGTATTCAGTTGCTTACTACAAATTAGTGTATTTTCAACTTGAGAATACCTGGCATTCTAACAGGGCACAAATTTCTTTTTCACATATAAAAAATACTCTTCTGTAATGCATCAGTCTCTTGGATAAATCATGGCTATTAGGCCTATTTCAATTCTCTTTATAAAAACTCAGTATTTAATGTCCTGGGACATTTTAACGCTGTATGTCAAGCTAATATGCAAAATACAAACCCATTATTACCTATTTACTTGGGTTATTATTCTGGCTAAGGTGTAATTTTCCACCAGGCATTTGTTTAGAAATTTGGCAGCACAAAGAGAATATTTCCATACTTAAAAAGCATCCAGAATTTAGAATGACATCCAGCGATATTAAGCAAGTGCAGATAATGCTCTCAAACTTCATCAAATATTCATGGTTAATTATACTCATAATATTTATGTTGCTGTGAAAATTAAGGTTGTGAGCCTCTTGTACACAGGCTAAAAATACAAGCTTACAGGCTGTGCTGTTGCTTACCCCTTTCATTACCGGAATTTCTCGTTGTCATTAAATACAAAGAATGGCAAGCATGGTGTTCTTTGGCTCTCTAAATCACACTGCAGATCTGCTCACTCCCTAGATAGACCTGAAAAAAACATGATGAAAGAACCACTTATGTGATACTGCAATACTTGTGTGATTGGAGGCCCAGTGACTACCTTTTCTGGAAAAAAAAAAAATCAGGACACATAGACTGACAAGTCTGAGAATACTTTGGGCAGCCCAAGATAGATTATTTGAAATTCAAAGATTCTTGGAAAAACATGAGACATATGGTCATTACATCTGAAGGGAAATAGGATCACATGGTACAGAAGAAGGAAGGTCTTGAATCATCTCCTCTCATCTATTTTCTACTCAACCGTAGTTGAGAATAAAAATGTAGTTGTAAATTTTAAAGACAGTTATGGGAAAAATCTTTCCAATATATCTCTGTTGTTAGTGTCTGTCTCTAAAGACTATCACTCAGAAGTAAAGTTCAAACTTCCCAGATAAACTTTCACCACTTCTTGCCTCCCCTCCTGCTGCTTGCTCTGGATGTTTGACTTGCTGGGTCACAGCATTTCTCAGTCGATCACATCTCTGGGCCTTTCTTATTCTATTACTTCTTTTTTCAGTATGGTCTCTCAGGAGAAGTTCATCTCCTCTTTACTGATAAACATCAATATCACCTTCTCTGCAGTTCTTGTACCTTCTAGAATCTACAAGGTGAGCCAGATGCATGTTCCCCAAAGTTCCTATCCCTGTACATAGCTTCCCTAACATACTTGTCTCACTTACACCCAATTATAGGCTTATATGTATGCCTCCCTTATCGAGTCATAAAAGACTCATCAAAATTGCAGATATGCAAATTTTAGATGACTAGTGAATGTATTGGATGAGGAAATTAAGTTTCAAAAAAAAAATCAAAGTATTGAAATGATGGACCAGGATACATATGATGAACTTTATTGGAGTAAATGAAACATTCTTCATTCAATTTCAGAATACAACTGTATAGTTTTAGTATAGACCTAGCTGAATAGCAGAAGGAGGGAAATAAATTGTTCTTGTTCGTTGTTAAGAATGAAATAAACCTATAGTAGCAATGAGGCACCTTAAAAAATACACCCAATCCTCAATTACCCTAATACATTTACATAAACAGAGAGAGAGAGAGACAGGCTGTGTTCATACTTTGTTGGGCTCATCAGGAATATAATATATCGTCTAATCTAGAAGCCTTTTTTTTTTTTTTTTTGAGACAGAGTCTCACTCTGTTGCCCAGGCTGGAGTGCAATGGCACAGTCTTGGCTCATTGCAACCTCCACCTTCTGGGTCCAAGCAAGTCTCCTGTCTCAGCCTCCCAAGTAGCTGAGATTACAGACACCCACCACCACGCCTGGCTAATTTTTGTATTTTTAGTAGAGGCTGAGTTTCACCATATTGGCCAGGCTAGTCATGAACTCCTGACCTCAGGTTGTCTAACTAGAAGCCTTTCTTTTAAGATAGTCACAGCAAAGTTCTGCTCATTGAGACACACTACTAGTTGCCTATCAATATCAATATTTATTCTCCTCTTCTCATGTACGGTATTTTCAAGAAGATAATGTGCCCAGCTAAAATATGATGTTTCCCAATATCCCTTGCAACTCCGTGACACAATTATGTTCAATCAAATGTTCATGAAACTGTGATTCTTCTGAGAAAGCCCTTTCAAGAGAGCATATTTCACAGGAACATACATTCTTTTTGTTCTTTCTCTTCTGGGATGGGATAGAAATGCTGTTCTCAAGGCAGATTGGCCATGTAGAAGCCATGTGACAGCAATGAAAGGAGAAAAGCCCCATAGTAAGAATAATGAGAGGAGCCTGGGTCTTTGATGGCACCACCAGGGCAGCCTACCTCTGGATTTGTTTACGCAGAAAAATAAGCAGCCATCTTGTTTAAGTCATCGTTGTTATGCTTTCTGATACTGGCAGCCTAAAACAACACTGACCAACACAGATGGTGACTGGGTATGGAAGGCTTAAAAAGGCTGTCAATGAAAAATTGACAAGAAGAGTTCATTTAGTCTGCGGAGGAGGGGACTAAATGGAAACCCACTCACCAGCATTAACTATCTGAAACACTATTACATAAGAGAGACAGACTTTATCTCATGACTCCAGAGGGCAGAATGGGGCCTTGTGGTAGAAGTTAAGGGAAGAAGATTGGACTCATCAAAGAAAGACTTGTCAGAGAGACAAGTCTACCTAAAAATAGAAACAGTTAAAGCATCACCACACAAGAAGTGGGGATTACACTGTTGGACTGAAATTTAAACCAGATGGGGACACTCAGCAGACCTACATTTCTATTTGCATTTCAGAACTTATCTATAAATTGGCAAACATTTCTGGAGCACCTATTTTATTCCACATCTTCTGCAAATTTCAAAAAAAATAAGGATTTAAAAATTGTGTCCTTATTGACCTTACTGTTTAGTAGCTGAGACATACGTATAAACAGAACACTTCGATAAAAACATTAAATGCTAAGATACAGATATTCACAAAGTGGAGAAGGGAATAAGTTTCCTTAAACTTGAGGTTTTCAGACGGGGGAAAGTAGTCTGAGGAAAAAACAAAGGCAAACAAATGGAATACACAGAGGCATCCTCTAGCAAAACAGAATGTTATGTGTGAGGAAATCAGTGGCGTAGAAATATTGAGACATAAGTGCAGAGAGTTGTAGCAGGAGAAGCAGCCACAGAAGGAGGTACAGCAGGATTATAGGGGGCTTTGCGTGCAGGCTGATGAAGCTAGACTTTATCCTATAAACAGTAGTTCCCTGACTTGCAAATTTCAAAGCAATACTTTTTAAAATGTGAAATGGACAGAGATTATTAATTTTGCCTTTTTGCAAGTCAGACTATTAAGAAAGCATGAGCCATAGTGTGCTTTAAATATAATTTCCTAATAGAGTATGTTTGCACCAAAAGAATAGAAAGAATATACTCTTTAGAACAAAACAGTGTTTTAGAAGAAATAATTTTAAGTTTGTGTCAAGCTCATTTGTTCTATCTCAATTTTCTTCATATTGCCTAGAAAAACTCGCCAGGGAGTTTTTACCAAAACTTTGGAGGTATAAAACATAGCAAATATTTATTATCTCTCGTGGTATGTGGGACAGGAATTTGGTGACTCAGCTCGGCAGTTCTGGCTTCTGTCTCTCATGAGGAGGTTGCAGCCAAGTGGTGACTGGGGCTAGGGTCACCTCAAGGGCATTTTCACTTACATCTCCTACCAAGAATGAATAATGGCCGCCAAAGATACCCAGATCCTCATCCCTGGAATCTGTGAATTTAACTTACAAGACAAAAGAGACTTTGCAGGTATGATTAAATCAAAACTCTTAAAATGAGGGATTATCCTGGATTATCTAATTGGGTCCTAAATGCAATCACAACTATAAAAGGGAGGCAGAAGGAGATTTGACATTGAAGAAGGAGGTAATGTGGCCCCTGGAGCAGGATGCCATGCTGCTGGCTTTTAAGGTGGAGTAAGGCACCACATGCCAGGGATTGCAGTTTTAGAAGCTGGAAAATGTGGCCAGGCATGATGGCTCATGCCTGTAATGCCAGCACTTTGGGAGGCCAAGGTGGGCAAATCATTTGGGGCCAGGAGTGTGAGACCAGCCTGGGCAACATGGCAAAACCCCATCTCTACTAAAAATACAAAAATTAGCTGGGTGAGAGTGGCACACACCTGTAATCCCAGTTACTTGGGAGGCTGAAGCACAAGAATCACTTGAACCCAGGAAGCAGAAGCAGCAGTGAGCCGAGATCACGCCACTGCACCACTCCAGCTTGGGTGACAGAGTGAGACTGTCTCAAAAAAAAAAAAAAAAAAAAAAAAAGAAGCTGGAAAAGGCAAGGGAGCCTCCAGAGGGAGCAGGGCCCTGCTGACACATTGACTGAGGCCCAGTAAAACTAATTTCAGACTTCTCTCTCCAGAACTATATGAGCATATGTGTGTATTGTTTGAAACCACAAATTTTTTGGTAATTTGTGACAGCAGCTATAAGAGAGCAATACAAATGAGAGGAATTAGACAGCTGGGGCTGGAATTGCGAGTGGGGCTCTTTAGACATCTCCCCCATTTCTGTGTGGTCTCTCCACATGGTCTCTCCAGCAGGATGGCCTCCTGATAGCCAGGATTCTTACGTGGTGGCTCGAGTATGCAAAGGCACTTGTCACCTAGGAACCAGGCAGAAGTTATTTTGATTTTTAAAAAGCTTGCTGTAAAAGTCACAGAGCATCACTTCCAGCACATTCTGTTCATTAGAAACAAGATGGTAAGTCTGGCCCACATTCGAAGGGAGGGGAATCAGACTTCACCTTTTTAAGTGAGGAGTGTTGAAGAATCTGCTGAGATATTTTAAAACTGCAATTATTAATACAGGCAGTTATTTAATTCTAGAAGCTTCAGTGCATGACCTTTTATATTTAAGTGTATGATCCAACTCAAATCATCTTTTATGAATAGTGTGAGGTAGGGATCAGAGTTTATTTATTTTCTATATGAATATCTAATTGACTCAGTGTTATTTATTGATAAGAAATCCTTTTTTCTTTTTACAGCTCTATTTTGGTTAAAAAAAAAAGGGGGATGACTTTATATGTATGGGTCTGTTTTTGGACTCTTTATTCTCTTTTATTGCTCTATTTGCCTATCCTCAACCAATACCAATTACATTAGGGTTATAGTAAGTTTTAATATCTGATTGTTTTAAGTTTTTATCTTTGACTTCTTCAATATTGCCTTGGCCAGTCTAGATCCTTTGAATGGAACTGACATTTTAGCAATATTGTCTTACAATTCATGATACGTCTCTATGTTAATTTATATTTCTTTTTATTTCTTTCAGTATGGTTTTGTGGATTTTTTTTTGCATTTTTTCACTGGAATTATTGATACAGGAGCTAGATATAAATTATTTAGACAGATAGTGATGGTAAGAGAGTCTTCAGTAAGATTTCCTTTTAATAAAAAGCAGCCCCCCAAATCATTTCTTTTCAAACAAAAAGCAGCCTGAAAAATCAAGCTGTGTGCACAGATAAGCAAGCTAAAAGCTTGCATAGGTAAATGCCAGCAGCTGTGCCAATAGAAAAGGGATACCTGGAAGCCAGGCATGTTCAACATGGAAGCTTCATCTTCCTTTCTCTTTGTCAACCATGTGTGCAGTACAGGAACAAGCAACTTGGCACCGGCCAGGTAGACACCTCATCTGCATAATAAAAGACTAAGATGGGATGGCCAGCTTCTTCGTGTGCTATGCAAACAGCACACTTGGTCCACCCAATCTCTCATGCCCTATGTAAATCAGACACCGCCTCCTCAGCTGGTCTATAAAACCCTGTGCATTTTACCATGGAACAGAAGACACCCCTCAGGAGCCCCTCTCTCTCTTTAGGAGGGAGTGAGATTTTCTCTTTTCTCTTGCCTATTAAACCACTGCTCTTAAACTCACTTCTTGTGTGTCTGTGTCCTTGATTTCCTTAGCATGAGATGACGAATCTCTGGTATTTACCCCAGACAATGATGTTGCTTCATTATCTCCAAATATTTCATCTTTTAAACACTATTGTGAATAATTTCCTAAATTCTATTTTTGATTATTTATTGATAGTAAACAGAAATACAATTTATTTTCATTGTATTAAGAAAATACACTTATTTATTCTAATGGCTCCTATATTGTTTTAGATTTTTAATATACACAATCATGCCATTTACCAAGAAAGATAGTTTTACTTTATATATCCCAGTCTTCATACCTTTATTTCATTTTCTTTTCCTGCCTTATTGCACCAACTAAGATTTCAGTCACAATGCTGAATAGAAGATGTGATAGAAGGCACCTTTTCCTTGGTTCTAACCACAAGAAAAAAAGTGTTCAATACTTCACCACACAGATGATGTTAAATTAAATATTTTCTTGACAAACTTTACCAGATTGAGGAATTTCTATTCTTACTTTACTGATTTTTAAGAACCTAGAATGAATATTACATTTTATTTAAAAATTCTGTGTCTATTGAAAGAAATTGTATTTTCCTTCTCTTTTGTTAATATGGTAATTTTCACTGATTGGTTTTTAAATATCAATTAATCCTGTATTCCTGGGGAAAAAAAAAGCTCATTTAATCATGTTATATATAACATATTTCATATGTAACAGGATTCAGCAATATTTACTCATACTTTGTTTAGGATTTTTGTGTTTATGGGGAATATCGACCTGTGGAAAGTGTTACATTCCTCTGTTCTCTGAGTAATAATTGTATATTATTGCTATTACTACTTTATTTTTTAAATTAAGGATTCTAGTCTTTTAACAGAAATTGGACTATTCATTATTTCTGTTTCTCTATACTTTTCAGTTAATTAGTCTATTCAATTTGAGCTATTAAATTTATTGATGTAAAATTTTTCATAATATTTTTTTTAAGATCTGTAAAATTATCATTAATGTTTTATTTTATATTTCTAATAATGTTTTTTGCTTTCTATTTTTTCTAAATTAGTCTTGCTAGAAATAGATCTACTTTGAAAGTAAAAGCTTCTGATCTTGCCTATTTTTATTAACAATTTTGTGTTAGGTTTCTGTTTTATCATTTTCTACACTTATTTTTCTAAGTTCCTATTACACTTTCTTTGGGTTTCATCTGATTTTTTTTTACAGAATTTTGAGATAAAATCTTGAGAATGATCATCAATTTTCTTTTCTAATATATTTTTTGTAGCTATAAATTTGTATCCTGAAATTTTCTAGTTATCTTTATGTTAATGGTTTCTAATTTAAGTACATTTTGGTCAGAGGATGCACTCAGACAAAAACTTTCCAAGAATTGCAATTCTTGAAAATGTATTAAGACTATTCTTGTGTCCCAGAATAGAATCCATTAATGTAAATGTTTCATGTGGATTTTTAAAATGTGCATTCTATAATTATTGTTTATATGTTTTATCAAAATCAACTAGGCCTAACTTTTAATACTATTGTTCAAATTTTCTTTATCTTTGCTAATATCTTTTTCCCTTATTCTATCAATTAGTGAAAAATAATAAAATCTCCAACTATGATTGAGGGTTTTTTGTTGCTTTTTTAAGGTTCTGTCAATTTTTGCTTTGTATATTTTAAGTCTTATTAATAAGTTTATATGAATTTAGAATAGTTATGCTTTCCTATTGACATTTTCCTTTTGTCATTTCTAGCATCATTCTACCCTGAAAATTTATTTTGTCTCATAAAGCCATTACAGAGTGCTTTTGATGATTGTACAGTGTGTCATTTTCTAACCTTTTATTTTAAACGTATGCACATAAATTTATAGTATCTTTACTGTAAACAGCATTTGATTGGGTTTGGCTTTGTTCTGTTTTGTTTCCGTTCTCTAATAAACTTTGCCTTTTAGTTGGAATGTTTAGTCCTTTTACAGTTAACGTTATTGATAGAGTTGGGTTTAAGTGCACTATCTTACTTTTTGTTTCTCTTCTCCGTTCTTTGTTTATTAATTCTCTTTTGATCTATATCGGATGAGTTAGTTGTTCTTTGTTTCTATTTTTCTCATCTTTAGCTATTTAGTTTGCTATTATTATATTAATTTTATAGTGACTATAGCAGAGATATCAACTGCATAGCAGATTTGTAATGGTTAATTTAGCTTAGTGATTTTACCACTTTCTAATGGTAAAATAGAATACAGCAATTTAATGCCATTTAGCTCCCTATTTTCCTTTGAGCTAATGTTGTCACATATTTTGACTTCAACATAAGTCATAAACTGCATAAAACTTTATTATTCATAATTTAGAAACACTCAATATTCCTTTATATTTATCCAAATGTGTGCCATTTTCAGTACTTTTTAATTCTTCAATTTATTCCATGCTTCCATTTGGGATCATTTTTCTTTAGCATAAAAACTTCCTTCACTATTTTTTATTATGCATGTCAACTGATGACAAAATTGTTCTACTTTTATTTGCCTGAACACATTCCTTTAAAATTCCATCTTATTTTTAAAGACTTTCTTAAACCAGGAATAAAATTCTAAGTTGGCAGTATTTTTTGTGGGGTTTTTTTTGTGTACTTCAAAAATGTCTTTTCCTAATTACTGACTTCCATAGTTTGTTTGTCTTCTGTTTTTTCAATCATATGTCACAAGTTGTGCATAAAATAATGTAGAAGCCCCAGATAATATTTTTCACCAATGAGTATTTCTTACTTCCTCTGTTAGGCAGAAAGTGTGAGCTACTGATCTCACCTATCAGATAAAGAACAGATTGGAGATATCGCTGAAAAAAATTCAGTTTCTCTTTAGTTTTTCTTGTTCCTTGGGAATTCCTGCTTCCCTAATCCCTATCTAGTGTTTTTTATGTATTTGTTTGTTTGTTTTGAGAACTTGATGGATCTCCCTTATTTCTACCCTGGAAGTTCCATCCTTTGGAGATTTGAACTGAAATCTCTGGACTCCTACTTTTTACAGATTTAAAATCTGGCAAATATTATGAAGGGGACATGGTACTTTTCCTAAGCACCATGAACTGCAGGAAATTTCACTAGGCCTTTCTGATCTGAAATCCTCCATGAATATGGCCCTCCAAGGCCATTGAAAGCCTGGTGGAATTTGTCTCCACATTGAACATTCTTTTTTCCAAGATTCTGAGCTCTATTCGTTAGGCCCTGGCTTCAAATATGTTCAAAATATGTTAAGAGCATACCAATTATATGTTTCTTGCTGACCTTCTTCCTTCAGAGGAAGTTTTGTCTCCTCCACACCACAAAATTGGGGTAGATTTTACACGGCCTCTCTAGCATAGCTCTCTCCCTCTTGCAATGCCTAAGAACTCAATAAAGAACTGTGGGTAAAATTAGCCTTGTGATTGGGGCTTCTCTACTGTCTAGTTTGTTCTGCCAGCTCTGCTTGATATCCAAATGCTCTTCTGATTGTTCTCATCTCTAGCAGAAGCCCTCTGCTTGTGCCAAGTCTGAGTCAGCCTAAACTCAAAATTATCACTTGACTTCATGGAAGAAGACAGAAATTACTAACTTACTTAGGAATGAATTTTCCATCTCTGGAATTTTAGATAGTCTAATTCTTGTTGATTTCAAAACCTTTTATATGATCTTTGCAATGTGTCCAGTATTTTATAGTGTTTGCAGAAGGAATGTTTACCTACTATTGCCCAATGCAACCACCCTACAGCAAAAGCACAGAGCTGGCGTTTTTAACCTACCTCTCTTAGTAACTGATAGAACACAAAGACAAAGACATTAAGAAGAATATAGAAATTTGAACAAAACAATTTACATTTTGTCTCTTTTATATATAAATATTTTATATATATTTATTTACATATAGAGGGCCTACACCAAACAGGTGTCAGATATTCAGGTAAAGACTATCTGATCATTTGTTTGCTTATGGAATATTAAAAAAACCAACAGTATGCTAGGTTGTATAAACCATATCCCAGCACATTTCAAAGGGTAAAGTTAAATGATATTTGTATGTTCTGTAATAAAGTTGGAATTACATTCAAAAAAAGATAACTAGAGGGAGATGAAGAGGAAAGTTGAGGCTTAGTATAAGAAGTTGGTTTACTAGCCAGTTTACCAGTCTCTTTGCCATTTCTTCTTGCATCTTAGACTTTCTTTCTGGTTTCAATTTCTTCCTTCAAGTATATTATTTAGAGTATCTTTAATAAGCCATTTATTGGTGGTGGGCTATTTCAGTTTTTATTTTTCTGAAAATGTCTTTATATTGCTATTTTAAATGACAACGTAGCTTAGAATATAATTATTGGTTGATACT
This sequence comes from Homo sapiens, assembly GCF_000001405.40. NCBI lineage: Eukaryota > Metazoa > Chordata > Mammalia > Primates > Hominidae > Homo > Homo sapiens. The sequence goes on along the minus strand of NC_000013.11, from coordinate 34,200,923 downwards.
TTCAGCAAATTAAAGATATAATTCTACTGTTTCTTGGGTTTACTGTTACTAGTGAGAATTCTCCTGTTAAAATAATATATTCTTTTAGATATTTTGCTCTCTCTGGTGCTTTTAATATCTGATTGTGAAACAGGTTCACTGTGCACTGGTTACCAACTTGTCTAAATCCGGTAAGACAGAACACATTTATATGTAACAAGATACATGAAACAATTTTATTACTTACAACCAAGTAGCAGGAGACAACCAAAGCTGAAAATTCATTGTGAGTTGGTCCCCCAAGGTTCAGAACGCTGCACAGGATGGATGGAGTCTTGACTGTGTGTGCCCACTTGCACTGCAGATGAGGGACCCTGAAAGGCAGCCCTTTGAGGTTATGTTTCTGATAGTCACATGACTCACTGGCCTAGAGTATTGAAGAACTTCCTGTTCTATGAGAGGACTGGAATAAAGCTGAGGCTGTTATGGCCAGCTCCCCCTCATCTATGGATATTTCATCTCAGCACATTCTACGGTTTTTATTGAGAATTATTAAAAGTAACGGCAAAAAACGCAGTTACTTTTGCACCAAGCTAATACATGCAAGAAAATGGGGAATACTGGGCTGTTCAAGGCCACCTGGAGAATTGTCCCACACTCATTGTCTTTCGTGTTCTGATATTGCACTGTGGTATGTCTAGTTGTAAACTGTGTTATGTCTCTTGAATCAGAATATGAATTTAATCAATTCTAAACAATTCTCAACATATATCTCATCAAATATTACCTCTTCCTAATTCTCCCTGATCTCATCTTCTAAAGGTAATTTGATGTACATTTGTCTTTATTCTACTATTCATGTCTTAATTTCTGTTTCTTATTTTGTGTGCCTTTGAGGTTTTGTCCTGTTTTCTAGAAATTTCCTCAGATCAATCTTCCAGTTATTTAATATTATCTTATCCCATTGAGGTCACCCATTAAATTTTAAATTTCAATGATAATGTATTTCATGTCTAGAAGTTCTCGTTCTATTTTTTATATTACTTTGCTTTTATAAATCTTTCTCCTTTTTCTATTTTTTCCCATAATTTATTAGGCATTTCAATACATCTGTTTCATGATCTGTAACAGTTTCATTGTTATTGAATAATCTGATGATTTTTAAAATTTTGAATATATTAAATTATATTCTGTCATTGATTTTGTTTAATCTTGATAATATCTAATTTATTTCCTATGATCTTTGTGATTATAAATTATGAGCTCCTACTCATCTGTGATTCATATTTATGGGAGTTTTGAGCAGTCTGTGTTGAAGGCACACCTGTCAAAGAGTATTTGGATTGATTTTTTCCTGATACTATTGTTGCTCTCAAACAGTGTCACTGTTTACCCCCCATCTTTTCTTTTTTTTAATTGTGCAAAATCATAACATAAAATTTACTATCTTAACCACTTCTGAGTGAACAGTTCAGTAGTATTAAGTATATTTACATTGTTGTGAAATCGATCTCCAAAATTTTTCATCTTGCAGAACTGAAACTCTATGCCAATTAAATAATTTCTCTTTCCCCAATACCCCCCTCAGCCCTGATAACCACCAGTCTACTCTTTCTTTTTATGAATTTGACTATTTTAGATACTTTAAGTGGAATTATACTATATTTGTCTTTTTGTGAGTGGCTTATTTCACTTAGCATAATATTCTCAAGGTTCATCTGTATTGGAGCATGTGTCACAATTTTCCTCCTTTTTAAGGCTGAATAATATTCTGCTATATGTATATATGTTATGTTTTCTTTATTCCATTCATTTATCAATGCATGTTTGTGTTGCTTCCACCTCTTGGCTATTGTAAATGGTACTGCCACAAACATGGGTGTGCAAATAGTCACTTTTTGTTTTGTTGTATTCTCAGCCCGGGGTTTCTTAGGCCACTTAGGAAGTAAGAACTTCCAAGCGACCATGTTGGTAGTTACAAACTCTTTGGGGAATTTTTTCACCCAGAACTCAGGCCTAATCTGGCAAGTTTCTGTTACACCCCTACACCAAAAGATTAAATTTTTTTTCTAGTCCACCCTTTCTCTAGAGGTGTAAGTATCAAAAGTCTTAGATTTATATGTCATCATCACATTGAACCTCTACCAGGAGTGGTCTGACAGCTTTATCTCCTGTCTTTCTGTGCCAAAACAACAACAACAACAAAAAACATCGGCCAGGCGCAGTGGCTCACGCCTGTAATCCCAGTATTTTAGGAGGCGCAGGCGGGCAGATCACGAGGTCAAGAGATCAAGACCATCATGGCTAACATGGTGAAACCCTGTCTCTACTAAAAATACAAAAATTAGCCTAAGATGGTGGGTGCCTGTAATCCCAGCTACTTGGGAGGCGGAGGCAGGAGAGTTGCTTGAACCCGGGAAGCCGAGGTTGCGGCGAGTGGAGTTCATGCCACGACACTCCAGCCTGTCAACAGAGTGAGACTCTGTCTCAAAAAAAAAAAATCTTGTTTTCCCAGGTTTACAATCAACTCCAGGTAATACCACTTCAGTTTTTTTAGCTTTGCTTTAATTTTCAGCATCTGGAGAATACCCTTACCTTCTTGAGAGCTCAGCTATGCATTTGAGAGGATGTTTGTTATTTTTCACCTATGTTTTGTAACAATAACTATTTTTCTTAATTTATTTCATATATACTAACTACCTCAAGACTATGCATAAGCTAATCACTTCTTTCTGAATATTTAATAAGCTTATCATGTATGTGTGATATATATACTACATTTCTATACATATAAGGTCTATTTTTTCAACCAGTAAGTTCTTATACTGCTCTGTCAATTCTGGCATCGGTGGCATCAGTACCACAACAAAAATTTTTATTTTGTAGCCTTAGAGTACATTTCAATACCTGACAATTCCCTTGTTATTATTCTTTTTTTAGGTATTTTATTTGCTATTCTTTCTAGATGATTATCCCAGATAAACCATACCTCTTCTAACCATGTCCTAGTAATACACTACATTGATAACTACTTATGTTGCATGGAAAGTCACATATATTTTATTTTTTAAAATATCTACAGATATATACAGACCAAATTTTTAGAAGAATCTCTAAGATCTACCCAGCTCTCAGATACCACTTTTCAGTCCTTTCTTCTTTTTATATGAATCACTGTCCCCAAACCAAGTGCTCTTGCAATCTCATCCTTTTTATCAAAATGTGCCATTAAGAGAGAATCTGACCCAAATAATTTGTAATAGGCAACATGTTTCCTCTCCCAGTAGTAGCTGTGAGTTTTGCCTTAGCTCAAAGAGTAGAATAAAAAAATTTACCCTCAAATATCATTTTAGTGAGTGAGAGAGATTCTTTCCCATTCTTGAATATCTGGAAGCTTATCTCCACTTTTCTGATACATAAAGTACATTCCCACAGAATGCAGCCTTAAGCATGGCCATAAACATTTATGGTTATCATTCATCTGTCTGATTCTTCTTCCCTTTGCCATCTGGGGATTTGACTGCAAACTTCAGCTGAAAGAAAATTGTCCTCTGTATCCCTCTCGGATTCACCCTGATGCCAGGACTGCTCATGTGGGATCACATTGTACAGCCATGGACATGTGAGTGCTGTTTTGCAGCTGCATGCTGCACCCAGACTATGCCCATCCATGGACCTCTCCTCTCCCTCAGTGCCCACTTGGTACACAATCAGTCTTCCTACTCCTTTTTTCAACTACCACAGAAGATTGTAAAGCTAATAACATAATCTATTCCTAAATACTTAGTACAAGAGGAAAGAAAGAAGAAAGGAAAAATTACTTCCATATTTAAAAAAAAAAAAACTATGGGGAAAGAGATCCAGTGGAAGATACCAGTCTAATTGGGCTTCCTAGACAATTATACCTAAGGTGATTTTGAAAGTTCACTGGGCAAAGATAGTAGCTGAATCTATTCAGCAGCATCCCATGAATGCTTAAGAAATTATGTGAATGAGCCCTTCCTGTGACCTTTAGAACTCAAGGAAAAAGATTGCAGAAGCATCAACATTTTTCAGTGGTTCCAAAATAATTCATTTATGCTGTGAATCGGTGCTTCTGTGTACCTAGACTGACCAGTATTTGATAGACTGTCTTGATATCCATTAAAGGAGGAATTATGTTTATTAAATGGGGTAGTTATCACAGGATTTCAACTCTTCGGCCTCATATTTTCTTCCCAACAAAATAACCTCCACTTTGGAGAAGACAGCCTTCTATTTCATCACTTTTTCTTTACAATTTTTAATATCCATGAAAGGAAAGACAAACTACATTTGAACAATTTCTTTTTTAAAAAATGATACAATTTTTAAGAAAATGTGGCACATATACACCATGGAATACTATGCAGCCATAAAAAATGATGAGTTCATGTCCTTTGTAGGGACATGGATGAAATTGGAAATCATCATTCTCAGTAAACTATCGCAAGAACAAAAAACCAAACACTGCATATTCTCACTCATAGGTGGAAATTGAACAATGAGAACACATGGACACAGGAAGGGGAACATCACACTCTGGGGCCTGTTGTGGGGTGGGGGGAGCGGGGAGGGATAGCATCGGGAGATATACCTAATGCTAGGTGACGAGTTAGTGGGTGCAGCACACCAGCATGACACATGTATACATATGTAACTAACCTGCACATTGTGCACATGTACCCTAAAACTTAAAGTATAATAATAAAAAATAATAATAATAATAATAAAAAAGATACAATTTATCGAAAGCATTTTAAGCAAGTCCAAACCATGTATTATATAGATAAGAGTACAGAAAAATATGTGACTTGTTCAAGGGCACAGAGCAGAGCTTTAACTTGATATATCCTTTTCCACGTCTTCATCATCTGTGCTGCATTATGCTGACCCTGTTAATTTTCTCTGATGGTTTCCAGGAGGCTACTTAATGAACTTAATGAACTGCCACTCTATTTTCTCTTAAAATCCTTATGTTTTGTAATTGTCTTAAAATAATTCATTTGAGAGAATATTTTATCTATAAGATATGTAAACAGTAATATTTTAAAAGCAGGCATCAAAATATGAATATTAAAATTCACATATTCCCATATAGTTTTGCTTTTCAAAGTGGTTTTTCAGATAATTGAAACTCTATTGATAGTTTCTGATTATTTATAAACTACCACCTTGGCCAGATAGCAATTTTAGTAGCATGACCCCTATCCTGCTGTGATGACTATAAGGTGAATGATTACAAGGTGGGATAATAAATATCTGGAGAAGATTTGGACCAAACAATAAAGTGCTGATCAAGTAATAGATACACAAAATTTTCTGAACCAGAAAGCCTCAGAAACTGAATTTTGTAAGGAAGGAAGAGATTTTTCTTCGTATCAAGAGATTAATTGATGAGAGATAGCGTTAAGAAAAAACAGCCTTCTTCTTAGGTCTTTCTGTGCAGTAAATGAATTGGTGGTATCATGACACATTCATTCTTTGGGAGACACTTTCACAGTTGATGGAGATCCCACTGCAGTTGATAGCTGCAGAAATCATGATGGAAACCAGATAAACTCACTAACTTGCTAAGAAGCTTCTGTCAATTCAAAGTCTAGTCTTAATCTTATCATAAATATTATCTACAACGTGCTAATAAGATAAATAATTATGATCATTTACTTTGGCAACTTAGAGTTCTCATGGAGATTTCAGATATGTAAATTACTCTTACCTTTATCCACTCTTTTTTTCTGGATAACTGGCATATCTCTATTTGATACTATAGAAACAAATGCTTATTCTATAAGATCATTTATTACTAGTCTTAGAGACAAAAAAGTCCCTCATTTTGTTACATATAACTTGATACTAAAAAAATAATAAAGTTGAGTTTTAGCTAACTAACTACATTTGATAGGCTCTACTGATGAGGTGATTCTTTGTCTCAGGTAGCAATCTTGTTGACAGCCATTATGTCATCTCAGATAAAGTGTTGAGCTATTAAAAATCTTCAGGGAGTATGAACATATTCGATTCAGCTTTACATCTTATAACTACTGCAATATGGCCCTACTCTGTCAAAGTACATCAATTCCAGGAAAAGTCATCAGGGGAAGCAAAAACCTCTCAACACAAGAGTGTTTTAATTAATGTTGTAAGCCAAAAATTATGACCAATTGAAAAGCTAAATTACTAGGAGGCATCTAGACTGACTTTAAAAATTCTATTTTGTAATTTAATGAACATTAGGGCTCTCTAAAATCTGAAACATCAAAAAATTTTACACCCATTCATAATTTAAATACCAATTTATTTTTTTGAAGTCAATTCTATAGCAGGAACTAATAATGAAAACGCAGTTTCGGCAACATAACAGGCTCTGATGAGATAAATCTTTTATGTTCTTTCTAATAAGGTATTAATGGACAAATTTATATTATTTATAATACCAAAGTTTTTCTGTAGAATCAAGCAGAACAACAATATTGGGTGTTTATGATGAAATAAGTTGTGATTTTGAAGCAATAAATTAAATTTTTTAGATATAAAATATCTCATGTAAGAACGAGCAATCAGGAATTTGAGTAATATCAAAATATCAGCAGTCCAAAGGGGCACATGTAGGAGTTTTGGTGCTTTGCTGCACCATGAGAGGCAAAAGAATTAAAATATTTTGAAATCAGTAAGTATATTTTTAAAGCTTTATGTATAGTGTCTTGCACAAATAAGTGATTGATTCATGATTACTGAATTGGTTTGAACTGAACTGAAGAAAAAATTTTTTTCTTTTCTGGTTTTGAATATATTTATAACCAAGATGGTGAGAATAAACAAGAGCTCTTAACATACATTCCTATTAATGGGTCAAGAAGAACTACGGAGGCCTAATTTCCTACTACTCATCAGAAGAGCCGAAATGCTTTTTTTAAATTCATTACAAGCATTTAAAGCTTAATGATTTAAAGTCAAATACTTAAAAGTGAAAGTCACATCTTCAGTACATGTTCATACTTGTTTAGTGGTTTCTAAATATGTGCTTGTAAACAAAATTATTCTTAGTCCTTTGACAACTGCTATTTGTCCTGTAGGAAAATTACTCCCTAAGGAAATGCAAATTGTTTGGTGGTACTTGATGGCTTTGTAGTAATTACCATGCTATTAGATAGCTCAGAATTAAGATAAGTCTTGGCATCAAAATTCCATATGGTTGATTCTAAAATAAGATGCTTAGATGGGCAGAATACTAAATGACATGCGTTGAATAAGTAAAATCCTGGGCCAGGTTTATTTCAAACCTGGGGCCATCACAAGTTGTATCTGAGATCAAACAAAGGTCAGTTGAATGCCTGTAACGTTTAATAAATAGTTGACAAAGTTGTACTTTTAAAAAAAGAGCACATCAGTAACATTACTTGCTGCACAATTACTATTACTATAATTATGATAGTCTATAAGCTTACCAATCACAACTTATTATTGTGGGAAATGATAGGAGGAAGAATACATTAAATATTTTTGAATTTTCTACATCTAATCAATGATGAAAACCACAGCAGCACTAAACTAACCTTTCTCTATACATTCCCTCATGTACAGAGATAATTAATTCCCATGTACTCGACCATCATTTTTATGGGAAATATTTCTAACCTTAGTTCTGTAGATTTGATACTTTGCTTAACAATAATCACTCGTTCCTTACAGAAGTATTTATTCAACATATTCGAGGCCCTGTCCTAGCTGCTTCTTGGATTTTATCAGAAAACCATAGAGGAAAAGCCTTACTTTTTTAATTCTTACTTTTGATTTTCAAATAACTTCAGAATTAGAGAAAAATTGAAAAATTAGTACAAAGAATTCTCGTGTATACTTTTCAACCAGATTACTCAAGTATTAATATTAATTACATGTGCATTACCATTTTTTCTTTAAATATATTTTAATGATGTTCTAAAATATACAATTGCATATATAATGTACATACAACATATATAATAACATATATAATATGATATACATTTATTTCTGTCTTATGAAGAAAATAGTTAGGTTAGATAAGATTCATTTAGGCATGAATTATGATTCAGTTGGCCATGAGTCCAATGTTGATGAATCAACGATGTATATCAAATAAGGTGTCTTTAAACAAAAGCACACATACAACAATATTATGTATTAATTGGGGCTATGGCTTGGCTATGTAACCTCCAAAATTCATGTTGAAACTTAATCCCCATTGTTGTCGTATTAAGAGGTAGGCCTTTTGGGAAGTGATTAAGTCATAAGGGCTCTGCCCTCACGAATTGATTAGTGCCTTATAAAAAGGTTGGCGGGAACAAGGTTAGGCCCTTTTTGCCCCTTTACTCCTCCATTCTCCTGCTTTGTGAGGACACAGCATTTGCCCCTTCTGGAGGATAAGAAAGAAAGCACCATTCTGGAAGCAGAGAGCAACTCTCACCAGAGATGGATCTGCTGATGCCTTGATCTTGGACTTCCCAGCCTCCAAAACTGTAAGAAGATAAGTTTGTGTTCTTTATAAATGACTCATTCTTGGGTATTTTGTTATAGAAACATAAAAAGACCAACACAATGGGTTAATTAAATTGTATAATCAGAGACTCACGGGAATCTAACCCTGTATTTCTCCTAGAAGCAATGGTTACAGGAGAGTATTCATCAACTTAGTATTTTTCAGCAACTTTATATAACACAACTACTGTGAAAAACAAGAATTGACTGTAAGTTACAGTAATAATACCCCTTTATTCTTAAATCCTTTGTGTGAGTTTCCTAAAATTATAGGTATTCTTTTACATAACCACAGTAGAATTATCAAAATCAAACCATTATAACTGATATAGCTTATTTATATCATCTATAAACCATATTCAGGTTTCCCCAATTATCTCACTGATGTCCACTGAAGCAAAATAAAAATATGTACTTTTCTTCTTGGTCCAGTTCAGCATCATACATTGCATTTATTTACCCAGTTTCCTTACTTTCTTTTAATCTAGAACAGTTTCTTCTTTACAACATTGACTTTTTTTTTTTTTTGGCCTTTTTTTTATTATTTTACTTTAAGTTCTGGGATATATGTGCAGAACATGCAGGTCTGTTACATAGGTATGCATGTGTCATGGTGGTTTGCTGCACCCATCAACCTGTCATCTACATTAGGTATTCCTCCTAATGCTATCCTTCCTCTAGCCCCCCACTCCCTGACAGGCCCCAGTGTGTGATGTTCCCCTCCCTGTGTCCATGTGTTTTTCATTGTTCAACTCCCACTTATGAGTGAGAATATGTGGTGTTTGGTTTTCTGTTCCTGTGTTAATTTGCTGAGAATGATGGTTTCCAGCTTCACCCACGTCCCTGCAAAGGACACAAACTCACCATTTTTTATGGCTGCATAGTATTCCATGGTGTACATGTGCCACATTTTCCTTATCAAGTTTATCATGGATGGGCATTTGGATTGGTTCCACATCTTTGCCATTGTGAACAGTGCTGCAATAAACATATGTGTGCATGTGTCTTTATAGTAGAATGATTTGTAATCCTTTGGGCATATACCCAAGTAATGGGATTGCTGGGTCAAATGGTATTCCTGGTTCTAGATCCTTGAGGAATCGCCACATTGTCTTCCACAATGGATGAACTAATTTGCGCTGCCACCAACTGTGTAAAAGTGTTCCTATTTCTCTACATCCTCTCCACCATCTGTTGTTTCCTAACTTTTCAATGATCACCATTCCAACCAATGAGATGGTATCTCATTGTAGTTTTGATTTGTATTTCTTTAATGACCAGTAATGATGAGCTTTTTTCAAATGTTTGTTGACCGCATAAATGTCTTCTTTTGAGAAGTGTTTGTTCATATCCTTCACCCACTTTTGGATGGGGTTGTTTGTTTTTTTATTGTAAATTTGTTTACGTTTTTTATAGATTCTGGCATTAGCCCTTTGTCAGATGGAGAGATTGCAAAAATTTTCTCCCATTCTGTAGGTTGCCTGTTCACGTGACATTTTTGAAGTGGTTTAGCTAGTTAGTTTGTTTGAATTTCCCTTAATTTGGATTTGTTTGATGTTTCCTCATGATTGGATTCAGGATGTTGGGGCAGGAGTAATGCAGAAGTGACAGTGTTCCGGAGGCATTATATCAAGATCTACATGATTTATCTATTTGTTCCAGCACTTGGTTATGTTGTTAATATAATGTCTGTCAGGTTTATCCACTGAAAAGCTACTATATTTCCATGTGTAATAAAGTAAATGTCTTTTGAGGAAAGGGTCCAACAATCATGAAATTAATACTAAAGGGAAAGGAAGAGAAAGAAATGAAGAAGATAAGTGTAGGCACTGGTAGTCTGTGAAGAAAATCAGTTAAGATAGTAGAAAATATGTGTATTCAAGGGCAGAAGTCTCTCTCTTTTTCTCAAATAGTTGAACATAAATTCTATATTAAATGGGAAAAAAAAGCATTCTGAACCTTTGGAAGGATGGCAGCAAAAGTGTGCTTTTTAATCTCCTCAAATCCCCACATAAAAATAGAGCAATTAGAATAACCAAACCGCAAATCCATGTCAAACACTTACAAAAATCTAGGTAACAAAATATGCTCATGAACCCCAAAATATGAGTAGGTAAGAGCCAACCAGTGACAGATACATACTTGTATAATATCAGCATCTTCACAGGTGAAAGCAGAGCGAGTCAACATGACATCTGACGGACCTGATAAAACCAAAATAAAAAACAGATCTTCACTGCAACCTTCAGGGAGCCAATGTGAGAACAGAAGCTGAAACTGGGAGGGATTTCACACATTTCAACATCAGATAAGAGAAAGAGGTCTGCAGTGAGGTTTGAAAGAGCTATAGTTTTGACCTCTCAAAACTAAAGAAACAAAGATTCATTCAAGGAGAAAGCTACACACAGCTGCAAAAACTGGTGCAAAAAGATTCCAAATTAAGCATAACTGGGATAAAAAAAAAAACTAAAGAAAAATAAGTTTAGATAAAATTGAGGTGAGAAATAGAGATGTTAGAAATACTAGAAGCTCTAGAATATGATGTTAAAGAAAAATCCTGAACCATGCCTTCCTCCTGAAAGATTAGGAAAACTGATTTTATATAAAATTAAGTAACAAAGAAGAATTGAAGTCACACTCCATACTAAAACTATGAGGAAACTAACTGAAAATTTTTAAATGCTGGAAAGGCACAGCATAAAAGATGAAAATTATAGCCTAATATTTGAAAATAAGCTAAAAGATTTTAAGAAAATTATATACAATATAAAAGAACAAAATAAAAATTACTCTTGAGTGTGGTGGTAAAAATCAGAAAAGAATTAGAAATAAAAGGAAAAAAGCATTTCATAAATGAAGACTTAACTGATCAGAACATTAAAGCAAATAAATACAAAAGACAATAATATAAAAATACAAGAAAAGGCCGGGCACAGTGGCTCACACCTGTAATCCCAGCACTTTGGGAGGCTGAGGCAGGCGGATCATGAGGTCAGGAGATAGAGACCATCATGGCTAACGCGGTAAAACTCCATCTCTACTGAAAATACAAAAAAAAATTAGCCGGGTATGGTGGTGGGCATCTGTAGTCCTAGCTACTTGGGGGGCTGAGGCAGGAGAATAGCGTGAACCCAGGAGGCGGAGGTTGCAGTGAGCTGAGATCACGCCACTACGCTCCAGCCTGGGTGACAGAGTGAGACTCCATCCAAAAAAAAAAAAAAAAAAAAAAACAAGAAAAGAAAAAAGATTTTATTTATGTTTTTAAAAATGATATATTCTTTATTTGTACAAATTTATGGAGCACATGTAAAATTTTGTTATATGCATATAATACAGAGTGATCAAATCAGAATATTGACAGTGTATATCACCCAATTAAAATACATTTTGAACTGTAGCCTCCCTCCTCTGCTATCAAACATTGAATTCATTCCTACCATCTAACTATATGTTTGTACCTTTTAATCCACTTCTCTTTATCCTCCTTTCTTCCCTCACTCATTTTTCCCAGTCTCTGTAATCTATCTTTCCCCTTTTTTCTCCAGGTAATCAAAATTTTTAGCTCCCATAAAAATTTAAAACAAAATGATAAAAAGGATTTGCACAATTGTGGCAAATACAGAAGAAAAGCAAAGAAGATCCAAATACATATAATAGGGTACCACAAATTGGGGTTGGGGTGAAATAAAAGTAAGATTACAGAACAAATACTAAGACTATAATTGAAGAAAATTATTCTGAAATATAAAAATGATTTGAAATTACATATTGAAAGGGCATGGTACACACTTTACAAAACTGAAACAAAATAACCAACCCTGAGACATTCCTAGAAAAAAAAATTAGCACAATTTAAAGATTAGAAAAAGAAAAACTTTTGGCCAACTGTTTACAAGACCAAGCCATTTATAAGAGAAAGAAACTTTATTGTTACCAGACTTTTTGACAAAAGAAGAATTGAGTAAGGTATTTAAAGTACTGAAGGAAAGAAAATGTAAGCTAAGGATGTTTTATTCAGTAAAACCAACTTTGGAGTGTAAAGGGTATAGACAAACTGTCATCAGCATGTAAGAACTCAAGATATTATTCTTATGAACCTTTCCTGAAAAATTTACTATAGAACAAGTTTCAGGCAAAAATAGGTACAGAGACAAAAGGGCTAATAATGGCCATTAAATATACATTTACTTGTGGAATGAAGACAAAATGAATGGAGAATGTAGTGTATATATCCTCTGACAATGAAGATACAATTAAGCTATAAAATAATGAAGAAGGCATATGCAAAAAATGTTTTAACTATATTAAGTCATCACTGTGGGTCCTAGTATTGGTATTGTTATTCTGAAAATGTTGTATATCAAATGTGGGAGGAGTCAGTAAATAATTCTGTGATATTTTAACTTTCTCATCTCCAGTGCTTTTGAGAGCTAGGATTCTCAATGTGGGAAAAGGCAATACCAATTTAAGATAAAAGAGGTTGGCCAGGTGTGGTTGCTCACGCTTGTAATCCCAGCACTTTGGGAGGCTGAGGCAGGAGGATCACTTGAGGTCAGGAGTTCAAGACCAGCCTGGCCAACATGGTGAAACCACATCTCTACTAAAAATACAAAGATCAGCCAGGTGTAGTGGCACACACCTGTAATCCCAGCTACTTGGGAAGCTGAGGCAGGAGAATCACTTGAACCTAGGAAGCGGAGGCTGCACTGAGCCAAGACTGTGCCACCACACTCCAGCCTGGACAACAGAGCAAGACCCCATCTCGAAAAAAAGGAAGTTAAGTAAAACCATTGCAGTCTGGAGTATGAATTGGAAGTTTCTTATTCCCCAGTCAGGTGTGCTGAAATGGCTTAGAAACAATGACCAATCAAATAGCAATGAGTGTGTCCAGCACACAGATTCTGTTCTGAACTGTTTTCTCCTAGCAAAAGAAAGCAATATTTTCTGGAGAAATAGATTATTCCAGATTTGGAGGAGGAAATGCGCAAAATGAGCCTGAAACATGTTCCCATGACATACAACAACGAATGCATCAAAAACGTTGAGTTGTGCCTGAAAAACTCAGAAGAAAACCTGAAGAGGTTTGCAGTAGTCAAAGATATGGCAATTTGAGCTTTCAAATGGATTTTAACTGCAGTACATAGAAACACATCAAATATGTTTCACAGAAATACATCGAATTATGTTTAATATACAAGTAGTTCCTGAGTAGTTTAAAAATCTACTTATTCTCTTTGCATGATCTCTTTTGTAGCTCATGGAATCTGTGTTGTAGGAGGGGGAGATATTATACTTGTTATTTGAGGCTACAAAAAGATGTCTAGGGAACAGGCCTGAAGTTCTTCTGTGAATTTTAGTCTTTCTAGATAGCTCGATTGGGGAAAAATAAATAAATTAACTTAGGGGAGCAGTGAAGCTCTACAAGAACACATATATCTCTGGATGAGAAAGAAAAGGGATGTGGAGCTGCAGATATGTCCTTGGATAATGACAGGGCCACTGGGCACGGAGGCTCATGCCTGTAATCTCAGCACTTTGGGAGGGTGAGGCAGGCAGATTGCCTGAACTCAGGAGTTTGAGACCAGTCTGGCCAACATGGTGAAACCCCACCTCTACTAGAAACACAAAAAATTAGCCAGGCGTGGCGGTGCAGGCCTGTAGTCTCAGCTACTCAAGAGGCTGAGGCACGAGAACTGCTTGAACCCAGGAGGTGGAGGTTGCAGTGAGCTGAGATCATGCCACTGCGTTCCACCCTGGGCAACAGAGTGGTAATGGGCTCTGAACTTATGGATGAGACCTGAAGGGGAATTGAACTTACTCCTCTTTTTGGAGCATCTTTAAAACTGGATTTTGAAATTTTGAAAATAATGCCTCTAACACTATCCCGAGTGGCCATGGTTCTGTGCTGTGGAAGGACTCTTGTCCTGGGGACAGAAACGTGGTCAGAATCCAAAGGAAAGGCTGCCGCCCCCTCAACACACACACACCCCATTTTACTTCCTATGTATTTTCCTCTACCTTCTGTTTTTGCTTCACTTCATTTCGATCCCCACACTGTTTATCCCCCATTCTTAGACAGCTTCATGAAGAACCTCTGGACATATACTGAGGGCTTAACCTTGAATATGGATAAAATCAAGATGATCAACAAACATGATCTTTGGTGCCATAATGCTTTCTATATCAGTTCCTCTTCTGTGCACATTTTAATGCAGTTTATATCTCTATTTCTATATCAGTTCCTCTTTAATTCAAATTTTAATATAGTTTATATCTCTATGAGCATTTCTTAATGCATAAATAATTCAGATTTCTAAAATACCAAAATAATGGCATGAAATCAACAAAAAGGCCAATATTGTACGCCTAAAATTAGCAGAGAACAGAAAATATTGAAAACTTGTGTAACAAGCAGAAGTAAGTGATGAAAACATTAAATTTGAGAATTATCTGCTTTGGTGCAAGGGATCTACCAAATTAGAGAAATGTTTAGAGAAGATAGAAGTTGTCTGAGGAAATAACCGCTTACCATTATTTGTTGTATGGCCTTGGAAAAAATATTCCTTGAAGCTCCGGAAGAATTTGGAGGATATACTGACACAGAAATTAAATTAAATGAAAATCATAAGATGAAAATGAAAGTCAACAGTGTTATGCATTCAGAAAATTCAGGGAGAAGGACCGGAAAGAGAACTCTAGATTGAGTCAATTAAAGATGACAAGTGAGAGATGAATAAGGGATTTTAATACAGGGTTAGAGGAGCTTCCAAATAACAGAATTATGGAGTAATTCAATGATACAAAAATAATAGTAATACCTGTAGAACACTGATGATATATCTGAGGGTACAAGTCAAGAGGGAAATTGAATGATGTGTTGGTAAAAATAGCAATGAGATAATTTTTTTGATGTAGAGGAGAGATGAGCCCATCTAGATGAAGGAAAAGAAGCTTGCAAAGGATGAGAGTTTCAGTATTTGAAAGGGATAGAACATTGATGGATCAGGGTACCTGGAGAGACAGAAAGCAATGGTTGGAAAGCCGAGATGAAGAGCTGGCCTCAGGACCAATGTTTCTTCTTCTAGCTGGAGTACTCCTTTAAAGATATCCTCTAAAATGTAAAAATATTTGATTTCATGTTCTCACTTGAGCAAAATAGTGATAGTCCTGATATTGTGATGGTCCTAATAAAAGCATATAATGTGACCCTGCCCTCTAGGTGCTTACAGTCTAGGTGGAAGAAAGGATAACAGACATAATATAATAATGATGGTGATAGTTAACATTATTTGAGTGCCTACCATATGTCAGACATTTAAGCTCTTAACACACAGTATTTCACTAAATGTGTGCCTGACCTTATAAAATAGTTATTGATCTGAGATACAAAGTTTGAGAAACTCATCTAAGGTCACAGACAAAATGGCACAAATATCATTCAAATCCAGTTCTGCTTGACTCCAAAGCCAGATGCTGTACTACTCTATATGCTACAGAGTAGATGATTAAAGGCTAAGGTTGGTTCTGATATGTTATATGTGTTCTGTGCAGTTGAGAGAATAAAGATCATTATAAACAGAATGAACAGGGTTTTCAACAAAAACTTGTAAAGCCATTGATTATTGCTTTCTTACTTGACAGCCTTTGAGGACTAGCATGGCCAGGACTGGAGTAATGCCCTGGTGAAATAGGTAACTGTGACCATGGATATATGACACAAGTTTGCCTGAAGCAGTGCGTGAAATGAATTTATTAGTCAGATTTCCTCCGATTTTGGACAACTTTCTTGTTGAATGTATTTCTGGCTTTCCTTCTCAAAAGGAAAGATTGTAGGTCACATTGTCATGGGAACAGTGGGAGGAAAAGGAAAGGCAATCAAATCAGGGTACCCAAAAGAATGGATAAAAATAGCTCTTCCCAAGACAACAAAACGGGGAAGACTGACTATGTGGCAGTGTCCCAGTGAGAGTGGACATCTGACTTCCCTGGTGTTATATACAGCAGCTCTAAGGTGTCCATTTGCTGGGTCTCTCTGCAGTGACCATCAAAACTTCTTCACTGGTGTCAAACATCCTGCCTCTCTGTTATTCTTTAAATGACAGGTATTTCATTTATTTGCTACTCACCATAACACAGATCTGTTTTCATTGCCTAAGAATTAAATTTCTTTATTCAAATGGGATACAGGATGGTTCTCCATCCATATGGTGGGGGGTCTTTACATCTCTTCTGTTAAACTTCACAAAACAAGGCCTGGCATTTCAACTTTCTTAGATCTTCCTCTTTCTTTCTTTTTTTTTTTTTTTTTTTTTTTTTGAGACAGAGTCTCGCTCCGTCACCAGGCTGGAGTGCAGTGGCGCAATCTCGGCTCACTGCAACCTCCACTTCCCAGGTTCAAGCAATTCTCCTGCCTCAGTCTCCCGAGTAGCTGGGATTACAGGCACATGCCACCATACCCAACTAATTTTTCTATTTTTAGTAGAGACGGGGTTTCACCATGTTGGTCAGGCTGGTCTCAATCTTGTGACCTCGTGATCCACCCGCCTCGGCCTCCCAAAGTGCTGGGATTACAGGCATGAGCCATCGCGCCTGGCCCCTATTTCTTTTTAGCAACTGGGAACATGATCTCTCACAGTCAAAGCAAGAAGATTAACTGAAGTCCCCTTCCATTTACTCTTACCTGAAGGTTAACTTTCCTCCCCACTCATAGTACTTCTGGGGGTTGGGATCAGTGATTGTTCTCTCTTTAATTAAATTTCTTAATCCTAGGAATGACATTAGCAAGATAGTGGAACAGGAGATTTCGTCCTTCATCCTCCACGAAATGCCAGTTTAGCAACAATATATGGACAAAAATATCTTTATGAGTAGCCCATAATTTGCAGTAGTCCAGATGGGCACAAAAAGGAAGACAGCCATATTAAAGTTAGTAAAAAGAGCAATTTTATTTTACATCAGCCCTTCCCCCAACTTGACACAGCTTAGTACCGAAAGAGATCACCTCTGCCTATGACTTCTCCCCCTGGGAGAAAGAGAGAGTGGAATATGCCTTTAATGTGCTAGTTTTTCAGCACGCTGCCCAAGGGGTTGGTTTCTGTCTCATCCCACACAGAACACTGACAGAACTGACACAGATTAAATGCCTAGGGGCAGTTAAGACCAAAGTAGAAAGGATAGGGGCTTGCTGCAGCTGGCAGAGCTCTGTGAGACTGAGAGAAGGTGAGAACCTGAGGTTTCTCCCACAGGAAGGATGGAAAGGAGTAGAGCATGTCCATGTCTATGATCTTACAATGCACTGTTTAGAGGCCTGTTTCTACCTTGCCTCACATGAAGCATTGACAGAACTAGCATACATCAAACACCTAGGGGTAGTTAAGAACAAAGAAGAGGAGGTAGACAGCTTACGGTGGCAAGCACAGCTCTGTGAGACTGATGAAACGCACAGAATCCAAGACGTCTTCCCCCAGAGAGGAGGGAGGAGCGGAACATGTCTTTAACATCTCTGGCCTTTCCACGCACTGCCCAAAAAGCTGGCCTCTGTCTCATCTAATCCAGTGTGCCAACAGAATTCTCATAGTTTGGTGGGGGCAACTAAGAACAAAGGGAAAAGGGCAAGTGAACTGTAGTACTCACCACAGCTTAACAAAATTGGAAGAAGACACAGACTCAAGGCTTCTCCATAAAGAATAAGGGAGAGAAATGGGATTATGCCACATCCCAGCCTGTGGTTCAAACACCAGAAGTCAGACACCAGAAGAAGCAAGAGATTATGAGCTCTTGGAAAAGAAATAAAAAGAAAAAAGAAAAGGAAGAAACCAGTAAATCCCCTCTAATTTGGAATCTACATGCACATGTCAAAGGAGACATATTCATAACAAATAATTAAAAGACTTTCAGAATCTCTAGCTGTGTTGACTGTGAAGGTCTTTCCCTGATGAAACCAGACAGAACAAGAAATACAAAGAATCAGGAAAACCTGACACAATCAAATGAACAAAATTAATTTCCAGTAACCTGCACTGAAGAAATAGAGATTTGTGACTTGCCTGACAACTAATGCAAAATAATTGTCTTAAAGAATCTAAGTGAGTTACAAAAGAACATAGATAGACAATGATACCAAGTCAGGAAAATGATACATGGACAAAATGAGAATATAAATAGAGTTAGAAACTTTAAAAAAGAAACAAACAGAAATCCAGACCTGAAGGAACAATAAGTGAACTGAAAAAAATCACTAGAAGGTTTTTTTTTTTTTTAATTTAATTTAATTTTATTTTATTTTTTATTGATCATTCTTGGGTGTTTCTCACAGAGGGGGATTTGGCAGGGTCATAGGACAATAGTGGAGGGAAGGTCAGCAGATAAACAAGTGAACAAAGGTCTCTGGTCTTCCTAGGCAGAGGACCCTGCGGCCTTCCGCAGTGTTTGTGTCCCTGGGTACTTGAGATTAGGGAGTGGTGATGACTCTTAACGAGCATGCTGCCTTCAAGCATCTGTTTAACAAAGCACATCTTGCACTGCCCTTAATCCATTTAACCCTGAGTGGACACAGCACATGTTTCAGTGAGCACAGGGTTGGGAGTAAGGTCACAGATCAACAGGATCCCAAGGCAGAAGAATTTTTCTTAGTACAGAACAAAATGAAAAGTCTCCCATGTCTACTTCTTTCTACACAGACACGGCAACCATCCGATTTCTCAATCTTTTCCCCACCTTTCCCCCCTTTCTATTCCACAAAGCCGCCATTGTCATCCTGGCCCGTTCTCAATGAGCTGTTGGGCACACCTCCCAGACGGGGTGGTGGCCGGGCAGAGGGGCTCCTCACTTCCCAGTAGGGGCGGCTGGCCGGGCGGGTGGCTGACCCCCCCACCTCCCTCCCGGACGGGGCAGCTGGCCGGGCAGAGGGGCTCCTCACTTCCCAGTAGGGGCGGCCGGGCAGAGGTGCCCCTCACCTCCCGGACGGGACGGCTGGCCAGGCGGGGGGCTGACCCCCCTACCTCCCTCCCGGTAGAAGGTTTCAAAGCCAGACTTGATTAAGCAGAAGGGATAGTGAACTCAAAGATAGGTGATTTGGATTTATCAGAGGATAAAAAGAAAAACATGATAAAAATGAGTGAATAAATCTTAAAGAAATTATGGAAAACCATCAAACAAACCAATATACAAATTGGGAAGTTCTAAAAGGAAAAGAAGAAAGAGAAAGGGGCATAAAAATCATTTAAAGAAATAAGGATGGAAAACTTCCCAAATTTAGGGAAGGAAATGGACATTCAGATTCATAAAGCCCCAAGAGTACTAAATAGGATAAATCCAATGAAGTCTACATTAAAGACACATTACCATGAAGTTGTCAAAAGTCAAAGACAAAGAGAGCATCTGTATTGGGTTAGCTGATCTTCAAAAAGGGTGCCAAAAATACCCAATGGGGAAAGGATAGTCTCCTCAACAAATGGTGTCAGGGAAACTAGAGATTCATGCAGAAGAAAGAAAGTGAACCTCATCTTACACCATACACAAAAATAAATTAACATGGATTAAAGATTCAAATATAAGACCTGAATTTATAAAGCTTCTAAAAGAAAACCTAGGAGAAATATTCCATGACGTTGGCCTATACAAAGATTTTGTGGATATGACACATAAGACACAAACAACAAAAGCAAAAATAAATAAGTGGGACTAACTCAAACTAAAAGGCTACCAAACAGCAGAGGAAACAATCAGCAGAATGAAAAGGCAACCAAAGGAATGGTAGAAAATATTTGCAAAGATGGCCAGCAGATATATGGAAAGGTGTTCAACATTACTAAATATCAGGAAAATGATAATTTAAACCACAATGATACATCAAAAAAGCAAAAGTTCATTTTAAAAACTCCAAAGATTATCCAAAAACCAAAAAGTATCCAAAAACTGAAAGATAACAGGTACTTGTGAGAATGTCAAGGGATTGAAATTTTTGTACACTGTTGATGAGAAAGTAAACTGGAGTTTCCTCAAAATTTTTAAAAATAAAGTTACTGTATGATTCAGCAATCCTAACTCTGGGTTACATGAAAAGAATTAAAATTAGGATCTCAAAGGGATATTAACACTCATGTTCACTGCAGCATTCCTTGCAATAACCAAGATATGGAAGCAACCTAAGTATCCATCAATGTATGCATGGATATGAAAA
Organism: Homo sapiens; assembly: GCF_000001405.40. Classification (NCBI taxonomy): domain Eukaryota; kingdom Metazoa; phylum Chordata; class Mammalia; order Primates; family Hominidae; genus Homo; species Homo sapiens. The sequence goes on along the minus strand of NC_000013.11, from coordinate 34,180,228 downwards.
TATGGTAAATACATACTATACGATATTATTCAGCCTCAAAGAAGAAGGAAATCCTGCCACATGAGACAACATGAATGAATCTGGAGGACATTATGCTAAGTGAAATTAGCCAGGCACAGAAGGGCAAATACTGTATGAGCTCACTTATATGAGGTATCTAAAATAGCCAGACTTAGAAACAAAGAATAGAATGGTGTTATCAGGGACTGAGGAAGGGAAAAAAGGAGAGTTGCTATTTGTGATGTAAAAAGTTTTAATTATACAAGATGAATGACTTCTAGAGATCTGCTGTAAAATGCGGTGTCTGTAGTTAACAATACTATGTTGTCTACTTAAAATTTTAAGACTATAGATCTCATGTTAAATGTTCTTAATCAATTTTTTTTTTAAAGAATCTTAATCCTGGTACCCAAGGCCCTGAGTCTCAGTCTGAAATTCCTTGAATTCCTTTCTCCCAAGTCGTCTAGACCCTGGTCATGCAGAGAAAACCCTTGCAGAGTGCCCTGGGTGAAATGCAAGTGAAGCCTGCCTTCCCACTCCAAAACACTCTTGATTCAGCTCCTAAGAGCATCAGCCAACCTACTTACAAAGACTAAACAGGTACCCCCTGGAGAGACTGATGCTTTGTGAAGTGGTAGATACATCAGGTTGTACAGAAGCCCAGTCTTGGGTGCCCCACTCTACTTTAGGCAAAAGCCCAGTATCAAGGGTTCTCCTGGCCCTCCTCTTTGCCTTGTAGGTAAGAAATCTAGAAATAGTTACAACTCTGTACCTCCCTCACTGACTTCTCCTTGATATCCCACTTGTAAAACAGGACTAAAAATAATATCACTCTGTTAGACAAAGCATGTAAAAACACTAGCGCCTATATTCTTGGAGCAATGCATGTTTCTACAGGTCTAATTCTTAATAGATTGATGGGGCCCATAGACCCTGAACTGGACTTTATAAATAAAGTCACTGATCATGCCCCTTGTCTCAGCAGAAGCTGGAGATGATGAGTGTGTGTGTGTGTGTGTGTGTGTGTGTGTGTGTGTGTGTATCTCCTGTGAAAGGGTAATCAAATCAGAGCCTGGTGCAGGGCATATGGGAAGAGTGCTTGATTGTGCCCCAGCAGGAAGAGCATTACTCATTGTGACAAACCTTCTTCTCCCTGGGAGGTGATAATGCAGCTGTTATTACTTTTTATAATCTCGCCAAAAAGTGCTAACACTGAGATTTTTATTCAAGAATTTAAACAAATTCAAAATAATGGAGCAGTCTAATAGACCAAATTGTACATGCAGTCAATGCAGTTTTATTCAGAGAACTAGCATTACGTTTTTTGACGTTAGGTGATATATTGGGGTAATGAAATTTTTAGTCCTTGGTTTTTCAATTTTAAGAATATTGCTATTATTTTGCATTCTTGGGACTCTGCACTGACTTAGAATCAGTGAGATTCACAAAAGAACTTGATGAATGCTGCTAGGCCCCTGCTGGTATAATTTAGATTCAAATTAAATATATGTGGGGTTATTTTTATTTAACAAACTGGCCTTAACCAAAAGTTTCATTTTCTATTTCCCTTCAATAACTCCTCTCCTAACAAAACTAGAAATGAGAAGAGATATGTGTTTGTATTTTACTTTAATTAAAATGGCCAGTGAGGCTGTGGAAAACTTCTTTTCTGTGGATGTGTTGGGATAGGGGGGCATATTTATGGGTTTAAAATTTGTGTTGAAGAAGGAAAGTGGAAAACTCAAGAAACAAAAATAGCAATGAGAACATGTAGCTGGAATCATGAACTTTTAATTAACGCCATCACTCGTAAGAACTTAATGAATACACAAACACATACAGCGTTTAAATGTTTTTATTTTGGTTTAGAATTGAAACCAAAATGTTAAACACTTTAAAAATGGAAATAGACATAATTCTCCTTCAAGAAACTTCAGATTAACATAAAATACTATCACTGTCATTTAGAAAATGGCTTTAACATTTTCAATGCATTTTTAACCTATGTAATCTTATTTTATTTCTATGACTCCCTGGAAGATAGGTAAAATTATATTATTAGCCATTTTTCCCTTCAGGAGACTGAGGTATCTGAGAAGAGAGCAAACTATATTCACTGAGGTACCACTGTTTTTACTAGCTATATATTGAATCCTTTTTAATTTTCAAAACTGGCCTATAAAGTAAATATTACAAAGAACTCTGAGGTCCAGAAATATTAAATTATTTGCCCAATGTCACATAGATGGTAGATGTTGCAAACAAGATTTAAAGTCTAAGTTGGGTCCAGGCATGGTGGCTCACACCTGTAATCCCAGCACTTTAGGGGGCCGATGTGGGAGGATATCTTGAGCTCAGCAGTTCGAGACCAGCCTGGGCAACATAGTGAGACCTGGTCTCTAAAAAAAATTGTTAAATTACTTGGGTGTGGTGCTGTGTGCCCAAAGTCCTAGCTGCTTGAGAAGCTGAAATGGGAGAATTGCTTGAGCCCAGGAGTTTGAGGCTGCAGTGAGCCGTGATCACACCACTGCATTCCAGCCTGGGCAACAGAGTGAGATCCAGCCTTAAAAAACAAAACTCAGGTCGGTATGATTTCAAAATCCCCTATACCAGATTATCTACATAGAATGTTAAATTACATGCCACTAAAAAGGCTAAACTACTCAGTTGAATAGTGTTAAATGAATTCAGGTTTCCTGAATCCTAACACCATCCAGAGGTAGAGGACATAAGAATCTAAAATAATAAATGCTTTGGCAAAGGTTATATGCCTCAGATTTAAAGTATAATAACTGTCAAACAGCTAATAAATTCAGTTGTAATTATGAAAGGTTATGGAGTTTTGAGGGGTTTTATATTTGAGCCTTAAAGAAGGAGTGAGTGAGACTGATCAAAAGTTACGAAGGACTATTATAACTTCAATTTTATGTATGTCTAATACAGTGTTTCCCAAACTTTGGTGCACATCAGAATCATCTGAGGAGCTTGTTAAAGAGATAGCTGCTATAAATCAACTTGTAGGAATTTAGCCTAAGGTAGCATTACTTGAATGGTAATGTGAGAAGCTAAAATATGATCTGGGAAAGGAGGGCTTCATGGACAAACAAGAGTGGGAAATGGTGTTTGTGTAAATCCTACAAGTTGGTTTTACATTCAAATAAGCTTCAAATTTGTGCGTTGAACAGGAAGGACTAGGACAGAGGTTCCTAAAGATAACACACAACCCTGGGAGAGAAGGATCCTGGAGATTTAGCATCTCTGAGCTGCAGAGAAAAGAAAAACATGCAACCAGCAAGCTAAAATAAGATCAGAGGCTGACACAATTCGATTTCTGCATCAGACTGAAAGGACTTAGCCAGAGGCAAAAATGCAGGCTGGGTCATGAGATGGCGAGAAGCGAGGAGCAAGGTATAATGTGGGTGAAGCTGGGTGGTTCAGGCTTTTAATCCAGGAGTTGGATTTTTTGTGCATTAATGTGCATGCTTGCTGCCTGTCTGGCATGTAGTGGACAGCCAAGTGAGTCTGCCGTTGTCTACCGGTCCACATACTGTGCTTATTTCAAAGTCTGTCTGAAGGTTCTCCTCCTATGGGAAGCTTTCCCTGAATTTCTTCACCTCCCCAGGGGCCTTCTGTTTTTTAAGTGTCTTTGCATTTCACTTTTCCAATTTTCCTCTTATTACTTGATTTCAAAATGTTCGATACTAGTCCACAGAAAGATGATAGCAAAACTTTATGGTTATCAAGCGCCTTGTAATAAACAAACCCGACACTTAACAGCTCAAAGCACCAACTGTTTTTGTATTTCTCGTGGCTCTAGGGGGTGATGGGGTGGTTTTTCTGCTGGGGCTCTGGGACAGTCACAGGATCAAAATGCCCTCATTCACACAGTTGCCATCTTGAAATTCTTAATAAATTTCATCCTTAAGTTTGTATTTGGTAGGTGAATAATGAGGTGACAATGGAGCAGATGTTGGTGGCTCGGAGCCCATTGCCCCAGGATAGCTTCCTGGCTGCACTCTCCTGCTGTCTGACTCCTTGGGTCCCAAGTGGCTTCCCCTCCCCACACCTGCCCCATGACCACTGCTGCTCTCTGCCCTGTTACATTGGTGGGTGGAAGGCCAGGGTTCTGCTGCTGCCAACGCCCCCTGACAGGAACCTGGGAGCAGATGTGGGGAAGATCAAGGTCAGGGCTTCACAGCATATTGGGACATTCAGTATCTTGGGGTATGGCAAGGGGTCTTTGGTCCCATGTGGGCTGGCGACATCATGGCATGTTTGGCAGATTTCTTGTGACCACAGCCAGTCAGCTCCTGAGCCAGCCCAGGCACAGAAGCATTGGACCTAAGGAAAGCGAGACTGACTTCCCTGCCCCTGGTTGGGGTATGAGTTTTTCTTTTGCACTGGACTTGACAAATTATGTGCCTGGTCCTGGGTGCTGGCCTCCTTCTGGGAGCTCAGCTGTGGCTGCTGGCTATTGTGGGGGTGGGGAGAGGTGTCTTTGTTATTCTCCATATGGACCTTCTGATGTTATAGCAGCTGAGGTCCAGAAAGAGTGGAGCAAGAAGCCAAAACAGAAGCTGGAAATTTCTTAAGGATCATCCTCGAAAGTTACACAGCATCACTTTTGCCACATTTTATTCATCAAAATAATCACAAGGACCACTCAGAACTAAGAAGAAAGGGAACATATTCTACCTCTTAAAAGGATCATGGCAAGAACACAGGTAGAAGAGCATGTAGGACCCTTTCAAGTACTATACAGCTGAAAGCATCCAAAGAGTGTAATATTTAAGAACATGCCCTTCGGAGTGAGTCAGTCAGACGTGGGTTCAGATCTCTGCTCTACCACTACCTGGGAACTAAACTCTAGTTTCTTTAGTTTCCTCATTTGTGAAATGAAGGTTGTTGTGATGGTTAAATAGGATATGTACAGTGTTTGGCAAATATGCAATGTTCTATGGGACCTACTGTTACAGGTGGAGTCACCTGTGGTGCTACAGGAGAGATAAAAGCTTCTCCTGCGAAAAACTCTAATAACCATAAATTTATTATTCATTCCTTTGGTTTATGGGTTTAATAGTGAATGAAAGTCAAGTTGGCTATGGCTAAATATTTACTGAAGGCTGTGTTTGCTCTTGGTTAACCAAGAAGTGCTCCTACCATTCAAAAATACAAGTAACAATGATGAAACCAACCTTTTAACATGAAGCAATTTTTGGAAACTTGGCCAGTAGTCAATTTTGATAGAGGGAAAGAGAACATGAAGATGCTACATATCCATCTCAGAAACCAGGGTCCCACTAAATAAACAAAAGGAAAAACTGGGCACTGAGGACCCATTTCTCTTCCTGAAGAAGGGTGGTGATGAAGAAATAGGCGCTGGGCAACCCATCTTTTGCTTAACTTAACATAGTGCAAGAGAAACTTCCTCAGTAAATGTTTAAGCTGATGTTTTATTATCTTCTACATGCTCTCTGACATTATGTGGAATGCAAACAGTTGTTGCTAAATCTGAGAATATCTGACATTTAGCCTCTGCATAACCACGGCTTGCTTAATAGTAAAAAGAATTTATACCTCCTCAGTGAACAACAAAAATATGCTTTCCTCTAAGCCTAAAATCACATTCTGATTCTTACTTTCATTTGAGTAATAATAGTTATTGTGATGATAATAAAATTAATATAACATCTCAGGGAATCTGTCATTGTTATAACTGGAAATGAACCAGTGAAGAAAAGGTGAAGAGAGACCCTTCTGGCTAAATTGACTGAAACATTCTGCAACAATGGAGAATAATAAAATACAATTAAGACTGAAAGTGACCTGAGGCTTTAAATCAGAGTATTTAATGGAACATGAAGACCAGATAAAGGTCAGCAACTCAGAAGTGACCTCCTGGTTATAATAGATAGGTTAGAAAAGATCCCAAACCTTTTTAAATGTGTGTAACTTATCACTTGTGAAATGTGAATTGTTGCTCAATTCGCATTGAAGTAAAATCAAATTTTTCATTTATTAAATTGACAAAGATTGTTACAAGGTAACACTCAGTACTGGCAAGGGCATAGTGAAGAAGGAAATGGTACTTGTGGGAGTTCACGTTTCTGAAAAGTAGTTAGCCCAGAATTTATCAAGTAGAACACGAAAATTTATATCTTCTTATCCAGTGATTATTATCCAGTGATTATCCTTCTAAAAGATCATCTTTTAAAAAATTAGAGCTATAAAAAAAGATATGTGCAAAAAATGTTAAAGACAGCAGGATTTTTTCTATCTATCTATGAATGAATTTATGTTGAAAAGATGAGGCTGCTACAACAGTGAAACTTTCAGAGCAATGTAAATGGCCACAACAATAATATGATGGTTTAATCATGACACATCCCAGGAACAATATATGCTGCCACTTAAAACTAGGTTTTAGAAGACCCCTAATAGTGCAGGAAAAATTTTCACAAAATGATATTTGGTTAAAAAAAAAAAAAGAGCAGCCATAAAATTACAGAGCATTACTCTTTTCTCTAAGGGCCTTTGACATGAAACAAGTGGAAGAGAGAAAGATGGAAGTTGGCAAAGAGCATGTAGATCTATCCAGAAATGCCTCCTCCACTCTAAGCACCTCCAGATAATAGAGCTCAGCTACAGAGAGGAGAGATACAGACAGTGGGGACCAAGGCCAACTTCAGAAGCAGTAGTGGGGTGCAGAGGGTCTGCCACTGCTGGTTGACTGAGACTGAAAACAAACTGTGGATGAAGGGTCAGGGCCTCGAACAGCGACGCATCTAGAAGCCATGCTAGAAATCAAGCGACTTTTGTCTGTTTGTGCTTCTGTAAAAAAATACCTGGGACTGGGTAATTTATAACAAAGATAAATATATATCTGAGTTCTGGAGGCTGGAAGTTCAAGATCAAGGTACTGGCAGATTTGGTGTCTGGTAAGGGCTCTGCTTCGAAGATGATGCCTTGTCGTGGCATCCTCTAGAGGGGATAGGCACTGTGTCCTCACATGACAGAAGGGATGGAAAAATAAAAAGGAGCCTAGCCAGGCAGACCGCTTGAGTTCAAGACCAGCCTGGCCAACATGGTGAAACCCTGTTTCTACTAAAAATACAAGAATTATCCAGGTGTGGTGGTGCACTCCTGTAATCCCAGCTACTTGGGAAGGCTGAGACAGGAGAATCACTTGAACCTGGGAGGCAGAGGTGACAGTGAGTTGAGATCACACCACTGTACTCCAGCCTGGCCAACAGAGCGAGACTCCATCTTAAAAAAAAAATAGCCAGCTAGTTTCCTCCAGTCCTTTTATAAAGTTGATAATCTCGATGACATGAAGGTGATGAAGTCTGCACTCCGAGAGGTCCCACCTCTTAATACTCTCACATTCGTCATTAACTTTTAACATATGATTTGGGGGAACGTGACCAGACCATAAAAAGGAGGTTGTGATTTTTTTTAAATAAAATTTGGAGATCCATTTCAACTCCTTTTTTTCAGAAAGCTAGCAAGCCATAATCCCATAATTGCCATTAGACCAAAAACTTGGCCAAGAGTTCTGCACATCAACATGTCTTCCAATTTGCATCTGATAGGCAGATTGTAGAAGAATTCAAAAGACATGAACAGGAATCAAAATTCACGAACCCAACACATTGACTCAACAAATATTTAGTGAGGTCTTACTATGTACCAGGCCTTCTCCTAGTCCTGAATATCTGGCAGAGAATAAAGCAAAATCCCTCCTCTCTTGTGCTTGTATTCTAGCAAATAAACAAATATATATGTCAGGTGGTGATAGTGGCTATGGAGAAAAAACAGTAGAGCAGAGTGAAAGTAGAGCAGAGTAATAGAGGCTGGTGTGATCATAAAAGGCTTTTCTGGTAAGGTAACAGTTAATAAGTTTGAAGGCCTTTCTAAATTGAGTAAAGAGTTAGTCATGTGGATGCCTGAGGAAAGAGCATTGCAAGCTAAGGGAATGATATGTGCAAAGGCCCTGAGGGAATAGTGAGTTTGGCATGCTTGATAAACAGCAAAGAGGACATTGTGACTGGCACAGTGAGAGTGAGACAGAGAGTGATAGAAGCTCCAGAGCATCCAAAGATAAAGCCAAGGACAAGATCACACAGGGTCTTGTGGTGTAGGTTAAGTTTACATGGGATGGAAAGACATCAGAGGTATAAGCAAACTAGATTAAATAAGAGACTACTGTGGCTGCTGTGTGGCCAATAGAGAGATGAAGAGCAAAGGAGGAAGCAGGGAGATCCATTAGGAGATTGCTGCAGTTGTCCACAGACATATCATGGTGGTCTGTTAGTGGTGGAGGTCATGAAAGATGATTAGATTCTTGCAAATGTAGAGCCTTAGGCTTGGCAAATAGATGAGAAATGAGTTGAGAGAAAGAGAGGAATCAAGAATGACACCAAAGTTTTGGAAGACGGCATTTACCAAGATGGGGAATTACTATGTCAGACAATATGAACATTTCTAAGGCTTTCAATATATTGCCAAGGCATTCTCAAGATAGATTATATCTTGATTGGTTCTAAGACCATCTGATTTGGAAACATATTCCAGGCTGCTACAAGTTTGGACCATTAAGGAGTTGAGAGTATTTGTGATGCTTGGACTTTTTAATTTGAACCAGGGATGTGGTTTTTCTGTATAGGAGAGTCACATATTTCAGTATTATCTAGCATGTAGTAGACACTCTGTTTTCATTTACTGAAATATTGGGAGATAATGGAAGGATCACGATCTTCTTCATTAAGATTTAATATTCTCCCCCACCTCAGTGATTCTACTCTTCCTCCATTCCACTCTTCATTCTATTTTCTCTTCTCTCTCTTCAAAAACACTGTTCTAGGATTTCAGGCTAGGAAGATCCTTTTTTATTTATTTTTATTTATTTATTTATTTATTTATTTATTTATTTATTTATTTATTTTTGAGATGGAGTCTCACTCTGTCTCCTGGCTGGAGTGCAGTGGCACGATCTTGGCTCACTGCAAACTCTGCCTCCCGGGTTCAAGCGGGAATCTCTCTTTTTAAAAGACCACATCAAATGGTCAACTACTGTTATTTTGACAACATAGTAGGCAGAAGGCAGAGAGCAGGGTGAGGAGAACATGAATAACAGAGTCCTAGCACTTTGCATATCTGCAGACTCAACTGGACACAGATGGATTTAAGAGGATGTGGAAGACAGAGCCTTTGGAACTAAACTAGACCCATCTGATATGTATGGCACAAACCAAAGTGTCAGACTCAAGAGTAAGCACTGAAAAAGAAATCCAGTCTGGCTCCCAAGAGTGTGATCCAATCCTGTTCTGGTTTTAACCTCAGTGTGACCTAAAGTTTAGAGCACCATAAGGCATCACCAGAACCTATGTCATTTCCAATATTTCGGAACCTGCACTGCAGTTCAGCTTCCGGACATCTCATTTACCTCAAACTAGACCACCAAGCTGCTGCACAAATCTAATCATTATTTGAAAATTTCAGCTATATGTGAGACTATAGCCTCTGGGTTCAGAGTCCCTCATATAGTGAAATGTTGCAAAAATATTAAAAAGAAAATATCTCTAAAATCCCAGTTTAGTGCTTAGGACCACATCAAGTTAGAGTCCAAACTGAATCTAGTCATTTCTTCATCAGTTTTATAATCTTTGGTAATTATTTTAGTTATTTGTTACTTGCATTTGTCTGTCCTCCCCACTAGGAAGTAACCCAGAGGAAGTCAGGAAATATGTGTATCCTGTTCAGCATCAAATCCCCAGTGCCTAGCACATAACAGACACTCCACAGTTATTGGCTATTGAATGAGTATATAATTCACTCATTAACAGAAGTTGGGTCAAAACTAAGGACAAAATTGTCAAAATATAGAAGATCACAATAATATTATTTAACTATGTTATTATTCATTTAAGTTTTCACCATTACTATATCCAAGAGGACTTGAGCTGTCTCCTAGAGATGAAAATATGATTCTCATAACACATTTATTTGCAGGATATAAAGATGAACATTTTAATACATTATTTTATGAATATTTAACTAAGCAATGCTCTCATTTTTGCCAAGAATATATACAATTTGTGTATGTGATCCTATAAGTCATTTTTCAGCCCATTCTGCTCAAGAGTGATGCTGTTTATTTGAGTTGCAATGATCTCATCTTTTCAAGATAAAATCCAGGTGACACATTTATTAGAGTGTTATAGGCTTTCTGGCAAAAATGCTGTATTCCAGATTTTTTATCTCCATGTATTTTTACAAGTCACTTGTGGAATTGAGAACTGACAGGACTTTATCTTTTAAATCCAACATTTCCTAATAGGCATTTGAGAAACATCCGATTTAACATGTTGGTTATAATGATGTTTGGTCTCTTTTGATCAATATTCAACACTTATTGGGTGTTCGGAATGTAGTGTTAATGTTCCAGGAGAACAAACATACACTATCAGGAAATCTAGATGCTTCTTATGAAAACTGCTGACATATTCTTTGGATACTACTAACCCATTTTAATTGACTGAGAAACAAAAACTGGATTGCCAAATTTATATTTAATTTAAAACCTATCAGTGGGCCTTATCAAACCGAACTTCTGATAGAAATAGCTATTATTTATGACATTCAGGTTTGGCCTTTGTCTTAGTCCATTTTGTGCTGCTATAACAGAATACTGCAGACTGGATAATTTATGAAGAACAGGAGGCTGAGGAGTCCAAGATCCAGGTTTGGTGTCTGGTGAGGGCCCAGCCTCTGCTTCCAAGATGGCATGTTGAACACTGCATTCTCCAGAGAGACAAATGCTATTTCTCACATTGCAGAAGAGTATAAGAGCAACGAGAGAACAAGAGGTAAACAAATTTCTCCATTTATAATGGCAATAATCCCACCCATGAAGGTGGAGCCCTCATCACCTAATCATTTTTTAAAGGTCCCACCATACTGCTACAATGGCAATTAAATTTCAACATAGTTTTGGAGGAGGCAAACATTCCAAACATGACAGCCTTCTTTACAGACTGTGGTACTTCACCCATCTAGGGGTGGACACGCTTGGCAACAGCTCTTTCTAGAGGTCTGCTATAGTCTGAATGTTTGTGTCCCATATAAAATTTATACATTAAAATTTAATAGCCATGTGATAGTATTAGGAAGGGGTGCCTTTAGGAGGTGATTAAGTCCTGAGGGTAGAGCTCTCATGAATGGGATTAGTGACCTTAGGAATAAAACTAGAGGAGACACTCTGGGTCTCTTTTTGTCTTTCTATCCCTTCCTCCTTGTGAGGACATTGTATTTTTCCCCAATGCACCGTCTTGGAATTAGAGACCAAGCCCTCAACAGATACCAAAACCACCAGCACGATAATCTTGAACTTCCAGCCTCCAGTACTGTGAGACATACATTTCCATACTTTATAAATTAGCCAGTCTCAGGCATTTTGTTGTAGCAGCACAACTGGGCTAAGACAGAAATTAGTACAGAAAGCATGGTGTTGCTATAACAAATACCTAAAAATGTAGAACTGACTTTGAAACTGGGTAATCAGTAGAGGCTGGACAATAAAGATATGTGGTATTTCGTTATAGCAGCACAAATCGACTAAGACACTCCTGCTTTCAGATTTCCCTTCTTTTTCTTGTAACACCTCCAACACTATTTAACATTGACTTCAGGGTCAGTATAAAAGTCACTTTCTACAAAAACATTTCCAGGTCCTTGCTTCCCACCCCCAGAACCCCACATGTATATTTCTTCCTATGTACCTGTAGTATATATTTTTTTCCTAACAAAGCACCTATTACACTTATTTTAATTCATATTTAACTGACTCTTTCTCATTGTTGGACCGTTGTGTCATAAGAGCAGAGACCAAATCAATCCTGCACATCTGTGTCACTCTAACACCAAACATGAGGAAATTTAGACCGTTTTTGTCAAATGGATTTAAAAAATGATCGAATGAATAAATTCCTCAATGAATAAAGAATTTGCCTCCACCTCTAAGAACAGCATGCAATACACAATGTCCTAGTACCCTTGCATGCCATGCCATGCTGTGTTATTGATTACTGCAGCCTCTTTTGGAGTCCAGAGCCCCTGTTACAAGGCATACAGTACACGGTAGCAGAAGCCAGATCTTGCCTTCATCCCTGTTGCAGGGAATACCTCAGGAAATACTCCAGGCTTCAGAATGGGCCATTCACACAGATACAATCCAACCCAAATACATTTTACCTTAGAGAAATTTCTCCAAGTGTTTTCAAATCATTGATCAGTTTGCTTAGTGACTAATGCTGTGTGACTTTAGGGCTTTCTGTATGTTTTCATGGATATATCAAAGCAAAGTTAAAGATAGGACAGAAAATAAGGTGCTTTCTTTGGCCTTACCTGGTCTGCTTTCAAATATTCTTTTCCTTACAGAAGGAATAACATGTAATGTAAGAAATTCTCCATCTTTCTCTTGTGAGAGCAATGTCTCTAACAACTTTATTTCTGTTTCTGTCTTGTATTTCTTCTCTTTATAATTAGTTTTTGAATAGATTAATAGAAGGCTAAAACATTCAATGTGTCCCTCGCCTTTACCTGAACAAGTCTTTCTGTCTGTTTCTCTCTCTCTCTGTTTGCCTCAGTCTGTGTACTCTGTCTTTGTGCTGAAGTAATGGTGAGAATTATATGGGTCTCCCTGGCTTTTTGCCTAGAAGAGAACAATTTACAGATTGAATTTACTTGAAAAAAATCTAATGTCCACAGAAGTTATTGACCATGCTACCGTGCTTCCTACAGTATGATCAAAAAGCTCCAGTGGCTGCAGAGGCCTTGGGCTTTGCTGCTTAACCATTTCATGCCCAGCACATGTAGATTATATATACTCCTTAATGCTGACTGACCCTAAACTTCATTCTCAAGAGCGTTAGGGAAGGTTTTAAGGTTGTAAGCTAAATGCAACTTATTCAAAATTTTTGCTTACTTGAAGCCCTTAATTTGCTTAAAATATATTTAGTCTATATACTATGTGTCAGACACTAAATCCTAGAATTACAAAGACCAATAAGAAAGAAATTACAGGCTAATGCAGGAGATGGAAAAGAAAAGAACCAATTAAAATGCAGGATAAATGTTATAACCAAGATAATTATAAGGCTTGGGGCACTTAGACTGGGCATTTCCCTAAAGAGTATTGATGAGTTTTTTGTTTTTTGTTTTATTTTTTAATTATCTTAACCATTTTTAAATGTACAGTTGAATGGTTTTAAGTATATTCATATCAAAGAGTATTATTCTGAGAAAAGAATAACAGGAACTGATATCTTTTTTTTATATTCTTAGAACACCAAGTTTGGTGACGTGGGCATATTTGCTTTGAGTGATGTTTGCCTGACTCTTTGGCATTTATTATTCTTGCCATTTTGTGCTATGAAAAATAACTTTTAAGTCCAGTAAAAGAGATTTGTTTACTAATCTCCAAACAAATTTCACATTTCCAATCCCATGTCTCTGATCATGCATTTTCTCTTATCTAAAATGCCTTTCCCTTCTTTTCCACATACCCACAGCTTTGGTCAACCTTCCCCTCAAGGCATAAAACAAGCCGCCACTGAAATCTGCTTTCTTAGATGCTCAGACCGCCTACTTCCAGAAGTGCTTCTCATATCTGACACCCATAGCACTTGTTTGAAACTTAGTATATGCTACCTTGGAATGTTATACAATAATAGACCCATATAATTCTCACCATTACCTCAGCACAAAGACAGAGTACACAGACTAAGGCCAGCAGAGAGAGAGAGAAACAGACAGAAAGACTTGCCCAGGTAAAGGCGAGGGACACATTAATATGTTTTACATATATATATATATAAATGTTTAATGTATATATCTTATCTAACCACCTAAGTTACAAATCTCTCAAGGGATGGGATTGTGCTTTGCTAATAAAGCACATATGCTAAGAACCTGAAGCATACATTTAAAATTCATTGAGCAGTTAGTATGTACAGATATTATTTTCCTAATTTTATGACAGGAATACTGAGAATGAAGAGACTAAGTGGTCTGCTAGAGGCAGAGCCGAGACCAGTGCAATTTCCAAGGAGGTGCCACACGGCATAGTGGAGTGAATATGGGCTTCCACAGAGATAGAACTTTCTATTCCAGCTCTGGTATCTGAATGGTTTGGGCAAGTTATTTAACATCTCAGAGCTTCAGTTATTTCATCCATGTAATCTGATGATAATGCCTACTTTGTAGAGTTGTTGGTGTAGAGTTGTTGCAAAAACTCAATGAAATGAACAGCACTCAGTGCCTAATAGGGCCTCAACAAATGATGGCTATTACTACTACTCTTACTGCTACTCCTACTGCTACTACTACATGTGGCTATACTGATCTTACAGGCTTCTATGCTTATTACATGTCTCTAGTGCCCCACATAAGTGCCTAGCACATGGTAGGTTCTCAGTAATGGATGTTGCTTTTGCTATCTACACACTTATCTATAAGCCAGGCTGATATTCAGGCAGTGCATTTCAGCTATTTCAGCACAGTTACCAATTCTTTATGGCTGATGTCTATTCTGTCCGTTTTGATTGGTCAGTTCCTTCCATATGCGTTATAAAATATTTTGCACAACACCTCTACCAATAATATTGTGGCGGCATTGTTTAAGTGTTTTACCCGGTGTGGGTAACTACCCATGACTAGTGGTTCTACCTTTCTTCGTCGGTCAACACAGGCCAGAGAAAAGCCTCTCACACAAATAATTAGTAGGCTAACATGGTTTCGAAGGCTGTTCACAGTCTGTATAACATTACTCATTTAGAGCCAACCTTGGGTAAGCGTTCTCTGCAAATACTATACCAGGAAGCTGGATATCAGGAAGACAGCTTGAAGTTGGGTTTAATCAACCACCAGCTATGGAATTGATTTCCTTGTCACTGTGGTTCAGGAATTCCTATTTGGCCACATTTCTGACATGTCAGACATTTTCTACATGTCATTTAATTTAATTTATGACCCTTTCTCAATAATTGTGATTCCCGGCTCACAGACGCTTTAAGAAGAGGCACAGCGTAGCAAGTTGGCTACTCAGTCATCTCAGATAGAGCTGCTCTTCAGGTCTCAGGGAATTTTGCATTGTACCTTTGACCTTAACACAACTAGGTAAGTTTTCTGAAGAAGTGGGCATAAGCAAAACTCCACTAAACATCTGGAGGCTATGAAAAGGTAAAACCGCTGAGCCAGATAAGACTGTTACCTGCATTATCATTATTCTTTTGAGTAAGGCTGTGTGCACCAATGGAGCAAGTGTAAATGCACACAGTGGCTTTTTTAAGTACCTCCGCCTCAGGTGCCAGGGAACTGTTCTGGCAATAGCAGCCCCTTTCACCCTCTTTGCAGCATTCCTCTGACAAAGAACGTATTGTCAAAATCCAAGCTGAAAGAATGTGCTGCTTGGGAGAGCAGTAACAGTGATTAAGGGGCATAAAATGCAAGCGTGCACTTGTAATGAAATTGCCCTGACTTACCGCCAGGTTAGTGTCTGTGATTGCCATAGTATGCCTCTGTGATCAGTCTCAGCATAATGAAAAATAGCAACAAATCTTAGCTTTTCACGTGGCTTATATTAGGAGTAGATAGAAGTGTTTTCAGGGCTAAGGTGGTAATGGAGAGGAATCCATGATGTAGAGAATAGCAACTGATGCTTATTCATGGATAAAGGAGGGCTTCTCTGGTTGAAAGATATGTCAGTTGGAAGACTCACTACACACAGGTCTTAGTGATTTAATGTCTCTGCTCAAATGTAAAAGTTGCCCTGTGTTTCTGACTATCCCATATTTCTGAGAGATTATATCATTTTCTTTGAGAAGTAATATAGCTCTACTGCAGGTGGGAGTCAAGAAAGGTATAACTTTTATGGAATAGAATTAGACTACACACACACACACACACACACACACACACACACACACACACACACACACCATGAAGTAGGAAGGTCACTTCTTGTTATTTATCCTAAGGAAATATTCATGGATGCAAGCAAAGGTTTATTGTAAGGCTGTTCATTGCTAACCATAGACCACCCAGATGTCTAACAATAGGAAATTGGTTAAAAAAATATTGGCACTTCCATATAATGGAATATCATGCAGCAACAGAAATAGAAATACTTGTAAAAAAATCTTTGGTAAAAAGAAAAATGTTTCTAATATTTTAAAACATATTTATATTTATATAGTAGATGATAAAGCTGGAAGAATATACATAAAATGTGAACAATGATCATTTTGGGCAGTAGATTTTGGTTGCTCATTTAGTTTTTTTTTTTGGTTTTGCTTAATGATAAAAGAAAGTGCATTATTGCTAAATAAGGAAACATTTTTTGTTCCTTTATAGGAAAAAAAGGAAATATAATAGCTATAAAAATAGGAGTGTGAATCAGTTGTGAACATATATAATTATACTCAGAGCTATATACTTGTCTCTATATATAACTATGATTTTATGTTAATATGTGGCATAGGTTTAAATTTAAATTTTATCTGAGGTTTTTTTTTAGGCTGTGCACAGAAAAAAATTATCAGAGCCACATAAGAATGTCATTCATTTAGGTTTCTTTTTTTTTAAATCATCTGTGCTCCTACCATAATGGATAACTTACCACTTCCCAAACACATCCTATATATTCCCATCTTGCATGCTATTTTTCCTCCTTGGAATGCCTTTTCTCATATATCTTTGTAAAGCCCAAGTCAAACCTTACTTTGTGAGGGTTGCTCTAATTCTCCTAACTCAGAAATAGATTTTAATTCTCATCTCTCTAGACTTTTGATATTTTGCATCTTAAGTGTTATGTGTGTACCTTCTCATCTTTAATAGAGTATAAACTTATGGAAGGCAGAGGTTTTATGAATCTTTGTATCATCTAAAAATGGGAGACACTGACAGAGTAGGTACTTAAATAGTTACTGAATATATAAATGAATTCACCTAATTTTCAGAATATACAGATAGGCATGCCTGACTTTGCTTGAAAGTCTGACCAATTTTAGGACTGATCTGAATGTGAAACCAAAATGAGATACAGACTTCTGACTATTTTGTGATTTAAAAAACTATTTCCAAGTTTAATTAGTACTCACTTTTTGAAACCTTTCCTGATGTAGTATATAACTCAGTGAGTATTTATGTAAAACAAGTACTGCAAGGGAGGTACTCTGAAGGACTATAACAACCACATTTTATATTCCTTTCCAGGAGAATCTTATTTGTAGGGATTCACAACAGCAAAGGCCAGGAAAATGGTAGCTGAAAAGGGCAGTCTTTTGACACTTGCTGCTGAACAGTCTCTCCCTTTCCCCACTCCTACAAGGTCCATGCTGAGAACTTCTGAAATGACGTCTTGGGTTGGAAGCACTTTGCAAACCATAAAGGGCAAGGCAAATGTTAGTTATAATTACTACTATTCCGAGAATGCTGCTACAAAATGCTTGTGGCATGAAATCTTCCAGTTTGAGAAGGTGAGTTTGGTATGCCTGAGTTGGTGCTGCACTAGTTGTTTTCCTTTTGTATTCAAGAACGGACTTCAGGGACCTGCCCTCTGTGGCAAATGACTTGTTTTGTAAATGTCAATGATTCAAAAATGTTTCTAAGAGAGATTCTCACCACATACAAATCAGAGGCTCGGCCAAAATACAGTGATACTTGAGGCCAACACTCAAGTGACTTTTACGTTACAACTTTCACTCTGACCTAACATTTCAAAGAGGGCTTACAAATGACGAACTGACACCCTTTCCAGAGTTCTCATTTGCTTCTCAGAATAAAGCAAACTCTGATTAGAGCTTGCGATTGGCAAACATTTTAGTAACTATGTTTGCATTTGTTCAAACTATTGTTCCATAGAGCTGATTCACATGTGGTTTTGTTTGCAGACAGTTCTTAAGTCGTTGGTTCTAAATTTAGCTTTAATCCCTTTGGGAATGAGTTCTGTTTACAGTTCACAATGTGACTTCCTAGTTTGAAGGAGGAGGGAAAAGTAAGCAAATCCTCTAAGATTTATAGAAAAGCACTTTCTATCTCATAAGCTTTCTTAAAAGTTCTGGGAGCCTGATTAAGCTGCCTGCTTCTCAGCATGATGCCATGTAGGGGAAGCCAGAGGTGATAGAATTTGAAAACCCCTCTACAGTATAAACCAAAAGAAAGAGAGGGCAAAGAAGGAGATTTATGGCTTCTATAGCTGTCAGAGGCTGTGGAAATAAAGGAGTAGGTCAGTGTATTTTAACAACAAAGAAAATCCGAAGCAAATTCAGTCCTTTAGACTTATTCAGCTCGTCTAGTTTTGAGAAATGATAAATGCAGACTATTACAGCCATAGGATGGTTGTTATCCTGTCCTTTTCTGCTCTCACTCCCTGATCAATGCATACTCACAAATATTATTGTGGGCTTTTGCTTTGGAGTATTACCAGAAAACACAAAATGCCTTATGTTTTAGAAACTGATGTTGTCCAAGCATTGGGGCCATCTCCCACGATGAGAAGATCCAATGATCAATGGAATCAGAGACTGACTAAATTCATCCAGATGGATGGTTTAGGGTTCATGTTTAGGAGACAGCCTAGAAAACAGCTATGGCTGTTCCTGGCTGTGCTGCTTTCAAAACTCACATGGTTGATTTGCTGCTATAGCCTTAATAGCTTCAATGTAAAGCACTAATTATTAAATTGTTTTGAATCCTTCAGAGCGTAGCTCTATCTCTACTACATGCATCTTTTGGTTATATGTTATAAGGGGTATTAAGTAAATAATAATGAAATGACAGTGAATTCCAAATAGGGTGACTATACATCCTATCTTCCAACCAGGACATTTTTGAGAGAAAAAGACTTGCTATTAATTATTTCTCAAGGAAAACACATAACCCATAAACCAGCACTGTCCATGAAATCTTGGTTTTATTTACCTTTTCTCTCTTCCTTTCTTCTTCCCTATGAAAGAAAAAAATTGTGAAAGCCTTTGAAATGAGACAGAAAGATTACTGGGTATCTTCAATGGAAAACCAGGTATTATGTAAGCACATCTTTCTGGATTAACTGATTCTATAGGGTTTCTGCAACTTCATTGTCTTTGAACAATTGTATATCTTTGTGAAATAACTGAGTGCAGTGGAGATCTTTCTTGTCTATAGAGACGCAAATAAATTGTATCTGGTGGAAATGTAATTGATCTTTTCTTCTCTCTGTCTCCAATAATCCAATTTTGCAACTGCTTATTAATGTATTTCAGCATTATTTATAAATTATAAATGTGCAATAGTTTGAATTCATCTTTGAACAGGCTGTGACTTCTGACTGGGTCCCTCATTAATAAATGAACTAAAATCTTTGACATGTGTTTGGCATGTGTTGACATTTATAAGACTTACCCTATAAAAATATTCCCTAGTATGCAAAATTTATTTATTGTCTTCTTTTTTTTTTTCCTTAGGACATCCAGAGGCCAACACATTCTCTATTTCTCCATAAGAGTGGTCCCTCTATGGCTAAAGAGATTACACCTTCTGAAATCATTCATTCACATATTTTATATGTATTGCGTATTCCCTAGGTCCCAGGCATTGATATGATACTATATACAGAAAAGACTGTAAACAAGCAAGAGTGGAAACAGGCAGACCATTCGGGAGTCTCTTGTCCCAATGGCAGATGAGGGGGCATGAACTAGGATTAACATACTCTTACTAGAAATAGATGAAACCTTGAAGGAGGAGCTGACAGGATTTTACCAGTGGAGTGGGTACTGGGTAAAAGGAAACTGAGAAGCCAAGGAAGTACCCCTGCTTTTGGTATGATTAACAGGGTAGTTGGTGGTGCCAATTTCTAGAGATTGGAAAGACGGGTTGAGGATTGATCTGAAACACCCATTCCCCCAGGTGTTGATCATGGTGACAACTGGTAGCTTGCAGCTTAGTTCTTCTTCCTGTTGACTGACCTCAGCTGACCAAGGTCACACCCTCTTCTTTATCCAATGACTAGGTGATATGAAGATAAAGTCTCACCTCATTGTCTCAACTTGATACAACTCTACATGCCATCCGAGCTCTGGGCGGCTCTCTGGAATAACCTGAAGCTTTTGTTGTGATGGTAGCAGCAACTTCTCCCCCTGCCTAATCCTGATGCCTGCACCCTAGAGCAATCTCCAATAAACTTCCTACCTGCAAATCTCCATCTCATAAGCTCCTTTCCAGGAACTCAACCTACAACAGGGAGCTGTAGTTAAAGAATAGGTAGTCTTCCCACACATCTTCCACACTCCTGTAATCAGGTGTCTAAAATAGACACTTGACAGCAGATCCTTACTGATGATTCTCCTTCCCACGACATCCCCACCCCACCAATCCCCCAAAAAAGAAAAAGTAAATTAATGGCTTTGTTGTCTATGGCCAGCCTCTATCAGTACATCTTGCACCATGGCCTCTATATTTTCCGCCTCTTCTTTTACGACTTTGCCATAACTTCCACCATAACTTATGTTTTTAATTACAGCACCTATTCCCTGTTGTCTGGACACTGTGCATTTTCATAACTCTCTCCTTTAATAAAAGTTCCTGATAACTCTCCTTCGACCTAACCTTCTTCTCTTAGTGGTGAAACTACCTATAACCCAAAACCTAGTTCGAAACCATACTCCAAAATCTATCAATTTTTCATGAAATCTTCCCCAAAGTTTTCCAAAAGGACATGCCTCCTCTCTCTGTCCTCATAGCATTCTCTCTTATTTTTTATCTTTATGTGTCTGCACAGTTACTCCATTAGCTCCTTGGGGATGGAGAATGCCCGGCTATCACAAAGCCAGGAGCATAGCAGGATTAAGACCTACTTCTTGATCGTCTGATGAGCCCTTGTTAAGCTATTCATTCTCTATCCTCATATATCTAAAAAAAATAGAGTGAATGCTCTTTGTTCTAGATTTGGTCTTTGGCCATCAATTGGTTCATTTTTCGCAACTTCTGAACTGGGCAAAAGAATGAAGATATGAATGTGAAGAATTATCTCCTTCCCACTTAAAGCCTAGATCTGGCTCTGGGAAACTCCAATAATTTTATTCCTTTTCATGGCTCCAATCTGGTCTTTTTACTTCTCACAAAACTATATCTACTGCCAAACTTTGCCAGCTGAAATGGAGTTTTAAAGTCTAAGTGTGTTGAAGAGATGCACTTGAGTCTCCACTTGCCTCTTTCCTGCCCACCCTGCTATATTCCCAAGAGCATCTACCATCTTCAGGTCTTGTAAATGTATGATCCTCTCACTACTAATTTGGTGAAACTTGTAACTAAGAATAGGACATCATCTTTCTCCATGTCTTCTTTGCCTCCTTTTCATGTATAGAGGATCTTCTCTGCCTTGACTCTTCCAGGGACCTTGAGATACCATCTTTGTATGTATCTTCCAAAGAAACCCAAAGTAAAGGTAGAAGAGCAAATATGTGGTCAACTCTGGGGTTCAAAAAACGCTTATTAATGGCAAGAAGAAAAAAAGAAGGGAGGAATGAAGGAAGGAAGGGAGAGAGAGAAGGAGGGAGAAACAGAAACAATCCAATCCAGAGATCTATTCTTGCTGCCTTCCACGCCTATAGAAGGTGTAAAAAGCTTCCTCTGCACAGAGAATAGGCTCGTTCAATAGGGAGCAATTTCAAAACTCTGAGGAAAATGTAAAGGAATGATATAAGAAGTCAGTACTTCAGATACTCCTTCATACAGCTATAATATCAAGTCATATTTTTAAAAACGACTCCAGGAAAAAAATGTATTTTTTCTCAGGAAGATTTATTTTCAGATAAATTTACTTTAGACTTTCTTAAAAACTCTGAATCCATGAAAGGCTGATTTTTATGGTAGAATTATGTACTTCCTTTGCAAGGATGTGAGCTTATTGAACATAAGGTTAAAAGGAAAATAAGACCTCAGAATTTTCTTACCCTTTAAAAACACACAATGTTTTCATGCCCTTTTGATGAAAAGTGTTGGTGGCGTAAAAAAACTAAGGGTACAAAATACCTAATAGAAGCTCATGAAAATTTAAAATTCATTAGTTGGGAACTTACGATAGTTTTGACACTGGCTAGGTTGACGTTGTTGTTGTTGTTGTTGTTTTTCCATTGCCTGTGATAAGGTATTTTGAAGCTATTAAAAAATACAAATAGGTATTCAGGGGAAGTAGTTAACTCTTTAAGAGCAGAAACTTTTGGAGTATTTTGCCAGCATCTCTTTACTGACAAACAGTATTACCATTATTTTCAAACTCATTCAATGAACCAAGTTAGATGAGAGCTTCTACACCATTGTGTGGGACTAATTGAGATTCTGGGTGGCCTGAGAATGGAAAGGCTCCTGTAGGTGCCATCTGTGTCTCTCACTTTGGGTACATTAACTTCTCTCTCCACCCTCCATGAGTTGCAGAAAAGCTGCTCTCTGAGAAGCTCGCTGTCTCCACCGTCCTGGGACCTACTAGCTCTGAGAGGGGAGGAACTGGGCTTACTGATCTTTTATTGGCAATGTCCATCATACAGTGAGTACTAAACATGTGAGCCACTATTATGTAAGTATATGTCATAGATTTACTTGCATTTTATTTTGAAATATCAATTCCATTTTTCTCTTCTTCATTCCTGCATCCTTCCCCTATCCCCCAGTCATTCCAAATGTGCCCAGCATTTAGCACAGCTCTGTTGGCCAAAACATGGATCAATTGCTTATTTTGGACAAACAAAGAACTTCATTCCTTCCTAGCAGATGTGTGTCTGTAAATAACCTCAAGAATAACCTTAAGAAATATTTTTTCTCTCTCTCTCTAATGACATTTAAAGAAATGAGGCTTTCTAGATAACAGGCTCCACGGCCATGTGAGCACAGTGTCTACACAGGTGGCTACTGCCCAGCCCTCAGTGGTCTCCTTAGAAACCAGCCTCTCTGCACGGTGAGTCAGAGGCGGCAGGAGGAGCTGGGCAGTGAGTCATGTCAGGAAACGGCATGCTCCGTGTGCGAGCAGATGCCGGTTTATTTCACTGATTCATTTCCACCTACTTCCTCCTACCTCTGTCTGCACTCTCAAATGAACAGAAAGTTCATTCATCTCGCCTCTTGCCTGTGATGCTACATGCTCCCCCTATTTCTCGGAATGCTTACCATAGGCCCCACAATGCTGGATGCCGTACAGATCAAGCCACCCCTGTTCTCTGCGATGGGACACTCTAAGAAGGAGGTGTCACCCACATTGTCATCCCTGGTTTTCAAGTTAACTGCCATGACGGACTTCATGATGAATTTGTGGATTTTCTCACAAGCCCTCACACCTCTGTCCTTTGAGCATTTTGTCAACAGTGGACAACTGCTGTGATTCTTAACACATTTAAAAAAAAAAATGTGATCGCCTGTAGTCAAGTTTCCCTGCTTTGGAAGGGAAGGGGATCCATTTTTCAACTCAGAATTAGAGGATGAACCTGTTAACAGGGAGAGGCTGAGAAGAGAAAAAATGGGGAGTTAAATTCAGCTCTAAACGCTATGGAGAATCAATAAATATCGACAGGCAAGGGGGCAGAAGGAAGGAGAGAGGTTTTGCCAACCTCAACTGATATCTGTTAATAATACCAAACAGCAATCTGTCATCAGCCTGGCAACACTGGATTTTCCCCAAGGAAAATCCAGGGTCCCCTCCCAGCAGTTCTTGGAGAAAGAGCTTAGAGTTCTGAGTTCCTGGGAGAGGATGGACTGTAGGCGGGATCAGAGTACTGAGATCCTGACAATTAAACCTGCTTACATTTTCCCTGCGTGCAGACATGGTGTTTGGAAACAGCAACCTCCAGTCATCTTGCTTAGCTCTTTGGGGTTCTGGTCATACATACATCTTTCTAAACTTCAAAAGTCTATGCAAGCACACTGACCTGGCAGGTTATTTGAATTCTTGTTCTGGTTTACAAGTCTTTCTAAGACATTTACACCAGAGCTAGAAGAAAGAGACCGGATTTTGGAAATTGCTCACAGGTTCGAGAGAGGATTACCGGAGCACAAGAGCCGGGCGGAGGTTGTCTACTTTTTCTGCTAAATTGCACAGTAGATTCTTTCAGACCTTGAGGAAGAGATTAGAGAAAGATAAATCAGAGTGTTATAACCCTGTGCTGAGTCACAGCTCTGAGGTTCTTTTATATTGCTGGAGGCAGCTTTCAAAATCCGCTGTTTGCGTGTGGCTAGAATAAGGATTTGTCCCTCAGTCTCAGGACGTATCCTGGTCGTGTCTAGTCCTTCAACCTATAATTCCAAATCAGATGAAATTTCTCTCCAGATATTGTGAAAAATACTCTCTATATCGCAAGGTTTTTTTTTTTTTTTTCCTAATGTGTAAACATTTCTCTACCTGGCATATCAGCAAGGCAAAGACCCAAATATTAATTGTCCTTCTCCTGATTGTGTGTGAGTCACAGGACTAAGCTCTGTGGGGTAAGAAACAAATTTTTGAAGACACAGTCTCTTGCTTCCAGGTAGTTGGTCCCAAGCTAATAATAATAGGTACCATCTATTGCAGTCTGCTGTGAGCCAGCCATTTCACATTCATTATCTTATTTAATCTTTCAAATAAATAAATCATGTGTTGTGATTTATGCTATCTTAATGGGTTAAAAAATCATAGTCAATTCTTCTGGTTCTGTTGAAATGTATTCATGCAGGTAAACATCTTTAATCCCATATTAAAAAATTAAGTTATTAAAATAAACGCAAATTAAAATGTAAGAATGTGAGTAGCTTGCAATGTAACAGGGCCAGTTTCTTCTTCATTTTACAGCTATAGAAACTGAAGTTCAGAAAACTTAAGTAAAAATGGCAAAATCCCAATTAGAACTAAGCCTTTGAGTCCAAATTTGAGTGTTTTCCTTTATACCACATTGCTTCCCTGTTCTAGTTTTAGAAACAACATAAATTCTTGAGAAGTTAAATAAAAATACAAAATTTAATGTTATGTCAAGTTAATTCAGGACATGCTACAAGACAGCAGAAAATAAATTTCCAAATGTGCAAGTAAGAGGATGCAGCCCCTACTGAGAGGGAGCCTAGCAAATTTGAACTAGGCCTTGAAAGTAAAATTTGGATACCTTGAATGCAGGGGTGGAGGTCAGTATTTTTCAAGTTTCCCTTTCTTTTTTTTCCTTTTTTTTAAAGAAATACTATTTGATATCTTTTATGCATTGCAAAGTATCTATGGATGGAATGAGATGTCTGGGATTTGCTTATATTACTCAAGAAAAAATAAGTAAATCAATACATTGGGGGGATAGATTAAGCGATGTTGGCAAAATGCTATTAGAGGTTTATGATAACTTCAACAGTGCAAATTATTCGATAAATGAGAGTTCATTGCTCTATCTTCTCTTCTTTTGTGAATGCTTGTAAAGTTCTACACTCACAACTTCACAAAGAAAGTGTAATTGCTGCAGAAGTCTTTGTGCAACTGAGGAAGCCCATCTCTAAGAACAATGATAAGAAACCCACCCTGAACTTTTTCAACAGGTAAGCTCATTTAAAGGTGATAACCAACAGCAACAGGAAAACAGGAATGTCCTCAAGAAATAGTCTAAATTTTAATGACAACATTGTGATTTAAATGAAGATAAACCTAAAAAGGCAGAGAGATTTCAGATATCAAAAGATTGATTCCATGACTCAAAAGCATAATGTGTAATCTGGAGTCAGAGGCAGGTGATATTGACTGAAGCATACGTCTCAATTATTTCTTGAGTTAGCTGGTTCTCCTCCTCTGCTGCTGTACTCTTTCTGTGCCAAATGAGTAGCTTTTCTTATTTCATCACCGCATTTTGACTCTAATCTGAGAACATAATCCTTATTTCAGTTCTAATAAAATTATATTTTTATTTCCATTCATAACAAAGCATCGCACAACAGTGTCATAATTACTATGAATTTCTTGCTTACTTTATTTCTCTTTAATTGGAAATTTCAAAGGATTTAACCTATTGTTAGTGTCTTGGTTATATCCACACACAATCAAATACATATTTAACCTCTCCTGGAACACAGCTAACAAAGGCACTTGTTTCAGAATTGGCCGGTGGGGGGAGTTTTTCAATTAGTTCATTATCCCAACATTTTATAAGCAGAATCTGTGAAAATTCATGGGCCAGATTTTATCAGCTCATGTGTGTAATGAGGAAGGCACGGAAATTATTAAATTAACTGATAGATTAACATACACTTGGGTACAAAAAAATGCACCAGGGCTTTTAGGATTTAACAATAGCTCATTATTTTGACATGACACTGTGGGATATGATGAGGTTTCTCTTCAAATAATCTGATCAATCTTTTATTCTTTAATTCATAGTACCCTCTCCTTTCTCCTTTTTCCCTTTCTGCCTTTGTCAGATGCCCAGGCGCCACAGTACCAGGCGTTATCAGTACCAGCTCACATTCCTTTCCTTATTTGGAAAGAGGACTAACTTTCCAGCTCATTACAGACACCGCTTCCCCTTTCCTCTCCACTTTCTTTTGCGTGCCCACCTTATCTTAAAAAATCAAATGTTTAGCCAACCGGGATTAGTTTAGGTTGTACGACCCGACCCCGGCCAATGGGGAAAGGTTACAGGGGCAGGACTTGAGTCAGGAATAAAGGCTCTCGTGCCCATTTGTTTAGGTGTGCTCTCATGGTGACTGGCCAAGGAGGAACCCCTCTGCACAGAGGTAAAATTGCTTTGCTAAGAATCCTTTGTTCGAGTGTTCAATTTTCTTAGGATTTTGAGAATTACTCCTAACAACACCCTGTGCCTAAAAACTACAAATGGGTTAGGAAGATAACTCATTTTGTCTAATTTAGTCTCTGAATTAGGAAGTTTCTTACTTGGGCTTACTTAGCTGGAAAAAGACCAGAATCTCTCCCAAGTCACCTGGAAGGGCAGAGCTTCCATGCAGGACTGCATGTTTTTTTGGCAACTAAAATGGTGTCAGGTCTGGGCCTGTCCTTTCCCTCACAGCAACCAAGTCCTCTCTACACACCTTCTCCATGTGCCTCTCTCTACCAAAGGCATTTTTCTAGCTATGCTGCCAGTATCAAGATACAAAATGAATACTGGCTATTTCTTGTTAAGCATATCCTGAATCCCCATCAATTTCTAAGTATTTCACACAAATTAATTTATTTGATCCTTTCAACAACTGCTGCCGAACTTTGACTTGCATGTAAATTGGTCTCATCTTGATCCAGAGTTAAACATATAACACAATTTTATCTTTGGTTTCACTAGTAACTCACTCAGCCTCTCCATTTCCAACTTCAGATTATAGAAAGCAAAGATCTGATTGCACCAGCTCATTTCTTGAGCCATGCTACACAAAGTCATCCTGTGGGTTAGCTTCCCTTCTACCCACTACAAAGCACTGCAACATTCAGCTATGAACTGCAGGCAGTTCACTTTGTTCAGAACATAGGACCAAAGCCAGCTATGCCTGTGAGTTGGGTGGAATTCCTGATAAGGAGTTGTAGGAGGGACAGGTATTATTGACATCACTAGGGTCGGGGAAGAAGCAGGATATCACACGCCTAGGAAATTGACCTATGATCTGGGAAGCCTTCTCTTGCCATTCACACGTGAATGGTGTGTGTTGGGACCTGCTCACATTTGGGCTGAGAGATGCATGAATGTGGTAACTAAGCAGCCCTCAGAGTCTGTGTCAGAGCCTGGCTATTACGTAGGTAGATCAAGGAGTTACTTACACAGTGTGGTTTGAGGGACCTCAAAAAATTCACTTCTTCCAAAATTTGTCTCCCACTGGCTGTAACTATGTCTTACATCCACCATTAAAAGAGTTCCTTTGGGTTAAAGTAGATGATAAGGAGGTTTCCTGCTTGCCTCTGTGTTCACCACTCCACCCTTCTCATTCTGCTTTGCAGTTGCATTGCAGCCTCTTAGCTCCTTCCACATGCTCCGTTCCTTTTCATTTACTCACAATGGAGAGTGCCCCATTCTTAAAGCCCTCTGATGCTTGACTAATTTCTACTTGCTCTTCAGGTTTCAGAAGACACTAACTCCAAAATCTGGCTCCACTAGTTATGTACTCTGGCCAATCTCCCTTATCAAAGCTCTATCTACCTACTGTGTACTTCATGTTTTATGAGTAGCCTTGACTTCAAACTCTCCTCTGAGTCAGGACAGCTGATGATTAACCTGGTTACAACTACATAATCAAACCCAACACAGTGCCTGGTACATGTTAAGTGCCAATATATATTTGTTAAAATGAATCAAAATAAAACTGTTACTTATAAGTGGAAAGTCATTAATCGTTGTTAAGCTGCAGACACAATTTACATCGGAGATTCCCTAGAAGGGTGGTGGGGCACGGTCCATAAGTCAAATGCATTTGGGTATTACCTAGAAAAGCTAAAACCAGAGAAGATAAGACCTAGCGATGAATACTCTAGGTTTGTATACTGTGGAGAAAGAGGGCATCCCCAAAGGTGAAGGTTGCATGTCAAACAATGCTGCCCATATCTAAGTTAGTCCCAGTTCACATAAGCTTTATTCTGGACCTGGTGTGACTTTTGTAGCAAAGCCTCATTGGCCTGTTGGTTCTGTTGGTGAAAGATATTGCATAGAGGAGTCTGGATAGGGGCCACAGAACCAGAAATGAGACCTATTCTACCTGCCAAGTCTATAAAAGGGGTGAGTGAAAATTCTAAGTAAGTAGACTCCCATTTCCATATTTGAAGTAGGTGATTAAGCTCTAGAAATGGACTCCAACTACTTGGGGGTCGATTAGTTCTTATGAACCTTTTCTCTTTTTCTCTGGTGAGGAAGTGTACATTTATTAACCAAATAAAACAGAAAAGAATGTTCTTCAGAGGAAAATAGATGGTAATGACCCCAAGGAGATTCAGTTTTTCATAAGACACAGTAGATTTTGAAACACAGAGGAATGCTTGATACTTGATAGGGACTCATTTGTCTTAAACTGAGTTTTACATTCATGTTTTACAGGGCTTTTCTATGAGTTACAAAGTAGTGGCTTAAACTGTTAAGGTTTGACCTGTGTTGATGATTGAGCTTCTTTTTTATTTGTTCGAACAAGAGACTAGTTTTGATTCACCCAGTCTTACAATTACATTGTGAAATCATATTTGAAGACGTATAATATAATAATCATTGTTGACAGATTTGATGCTATATGTCAGTCCTTTTTAAAATGTTTTTATTAATAATGTTCTTGAAAAATGTGATCAGGTGAAAAGAGGAAGGGAATAGATATGGAAAAGAAACAAGACAGAGGCAAAAATGAAGGAGGGGGGAAGAAAAAGGGGGATAAATCTCTCTGCCTTACCTCTCTCCTCTCTAGGCAAGACGGTTTACAGTCCCATTATGGTTTTCAACAGAAACTTTTACATCTCTTGGAGAGACATCTTCCACCCTGAATCGTACAAATGTAAGGTTTGAAGAGTGAAAAAAAAAAAGAATTTAGCTAGGATCTAAAAATATAAATTCCCCAATTTAAAGTTAGAATAGGAAAAAATGTATTTCAAGAAGAACCACCTCACTAACTGACTTTTAAAATATAGTTTTGCAATTTTTTTTTAACCTCAGTTTATTGATGGACTAGAGAGGAAAGATAACTATAATCTTAGAGAACAGAATTTTTTAAATCACATTTATATTTTAGGATGTTGCGGAAAACATTAGAAAAAAATCTTAGAGAGGGCCAGGCACAGTGGCTTATGCCTGTAATCCCAGCACTTTGGGAGGCTGAGGCGGGTGGATCACCTGATGTCAAGGGTTCGAGACCAGCCTCACAAACATGGTGAAACCCTGTCTCTACTAAAAATACAAAATTAGCGAGGCATGCCTGTAATCCCAGCTACTTGGGAAGTGAAGCAGGAGCATCTCTTGAACCCAGGAGGTGGAGGTTGCAGTGAGCCAAGATCATGCCATTGCACTCCAGCCTGGGCAACAACAGCAAAACTCCATCTCAAAAAAACATAAAGAAATAAAAATAAAAATAAATAAAATAAAAGCTGAGAGAAAGACAAATCAATAAAGAAAATTCTTTTAGCTAGGGAAAAAGCCTTTATGAAAAAAAGGAGTTGAAATCCAGGTACTAGGAAATATGTTTACAGGCACTGGAGGATGGTGTCCTTTGAATCTACCTTTTGGCAAGCAGGACTAAAGCACCTGAGGACTCGAATTAGTGGGGTTTTGTTCATGCTGTCTCTTGTAAAAGGTATTTAGATAAGGTGCCGTGAGTATTCCCTGAACCATGTTCACTCAGAAACAAGTAATTCAAGGGACTCATAGCCCTCCACCGTCTCTTTAGAACTAACAGGCAAGTCTCTGAATAGGAGGGAGGAAACAGACTGCCTTCAATAATGGATTCTGAGAATAGCTGAACAGCGTGGGTCTGCTGACAGCGCCCCCACTCCCTGGTAGACTGCTTCTGAAAAAGACTAGGGGAGAAAGAGTCCAAAATATAGTTCTCTAGGCCACCAAGAGATGTGGAATTGGATACGGCTCATGAAGAACTGCCTTTCACCCCAAAGTATATTACTATGCAGCCTCTATTTCACTGGAGAAAGAAATTGCATATAAAGATGGATGCTAGCGATCAGACTTCAGGTGCTAAGTCATGCCGTAACCGTTGGATCACCTGGGAGGGTAAGACCTGGGGAGGAGTCTGGGCAGAGATAATGAAAGGAAAAGAGTTGTTTCATTTCATCTGGAAGTTATCTTTTATCTACAGTTGTCACATTTTAACTGCTTTGATGCCATTTTCCCTCTAGAAATTAAGAACATCTTTTACTGGAGTCAGACAAAGTTGGACAACTTTTCCCATTTACAGAGTACGTGACTATGGATAAAGTACTTAACCTCTCAGTGACTCGGTTTAAAATGGAAATAGCAATGTTATCTGCCTCTCAGGGCTGTTATGAAGATTCAATGAGATAATGCTCATGACATGGATAACCTTGGATGTGGCTTTGTTTAAGCCCCGCAGAGACATTGGCACTACTGCTGTGGTGGCTGCTGCTCTGTGTCCAAGGGCCTTTCATTTTGTATTTAAGGATGGGGGAGAAGGAGTAGGTACAGGTGGGTGGTCAGCACCAGAAGCTTACACGTGACTAGTGTGTGTCTGTAATAAAAAGGAAAATAAGCCGTGAATTGAAGAAAGAAGATTAACATTAATGTTGTCTACAAAGGCCAGAAAACCAACAGAGATTTACAACAACAACAACAGCAACAAGAAACCCTAGAAAATATTGATTAGGTTCTGCAAAAGTAAATAAAAATAGTGTCAGTCAGCTAGCCGCTAATTCTAAGCAGTCCTATCCCCCAGCGTAGGACAGAAACGATTCTGCATATCATTAATACATAACAGATTCATTTTGCTGTAAGTTTAATTTGATTACTTCACTAAATTCTGTTATTAATACTCAGCCTTCTGCTGCTCGTGTAGCAGGGCCCCCTGTTCATGATTTTTAGAAATAAAAGGATGTATTTGCTCAATATCCACCCAGAAGGAAGGGACATGATGTCTCCCTACAGCTAGGATGAGAACGGGCTACTGTGGAACGTGAAGGGGAGAAGGCACGGTGGGCGCTGCTCTGGGACAGAGATGCTAATGCCAACAGAGCCACTTCCCGCCAACCTAAGGTGGGGAGTGATCCCCTCATATGCATTTCACAGGTCCAGTCAGATAACAAAATCCTCTCCAAGTCCTTCCACAAACAGAATTGAATAAAAGAAATGGGTTACAAAGGTGATGAGTTGAGATGGCAAAAAATAAAACTTGGAATAGCAGCATCCAGTCACCACCATGAATCTAAGGGTGGAGTGGCAAGAGGATGGGGTAGCCTTCATTCCCAGAGCCCAAGAGCAGGAAACAAAACTGTGGGAGAGGGTGGCACATGGTAGGTGTTAGAACCTCAGGGAGAGGTACTACTGACCAGTGTTAGAGCCATGAGGAAGATGCAGCTGCTGCCAGATCTGCAGATGGCTCCAAAGCTGAGCAAGATGGAAAAACCTACCCTATTTTTCCCTCTTCCAGCCTTGCAGCCTTCTGCCAATGCCTCCCATTGGCCAAAACTACCAGGAAGCCAGTCTTAAGGGAGCCTAGGAAAGGTAGTTTCCTAGGATACAAGGCAAAAGCAGCGAAAGGAACAGAATGGAGCTGATGAAAGCAAACAGGCCAGCACATCATGTTTGATTGAAACACTTTGTGAAAACTGACCTGTGGTTGGATGTGAGTTAAGCTGAACACCCTTACCCAGGAAGCCCACAGAGAGCAGAAACAGCCAAGTCACACCCCAGACCCCTCAGTCTAGCCAAGTCATGGAAGTCCCCACTGGTGAAAGACAAGGAACTCTGGGTTAAGGAGACTTTTTCTCTCCGCTCACTGTTCTCTGTTGTCTCCTCTCTGAAAACAACTATGTGTTAATTGATGGTTATCAGAGTTGAAATAGATAATAACATATTCATACAATGCAATCTAATTTGCTTAAATCAATGGTCCTTTGTTTCGGATTATCCATTCAAAGCTTTTCCTCATCATCCTTAATAATTGAAAGTTACACCTCATGATTCTCAGAATAATTAACTTCTTAGATTTCTGACTTTACGACTAATACAGCTTTGTAATAAGAACATGTTAGATTTGTATAGATCTTTGCAGCTATGGCTCCCAGTCACGTGCATTATCCCATTTTGCTTTATACTCTGAGGGTCTGAAGTGAGGGAGAGAGAACTAGCATTTGTTGAATATTGATGATGTGCCAGGCACTGTGTCGAGAACTTTCCAAGGATTAATTCAGTTAATCATCACAACACCCCAATGAGGCTGATATTATTATTCCCATCTTACAGACGAGGCAACTCACTTGCAGGGAACTGTTCTGTTTAAGATCACACAGCCAAGTCCAGGACCCTATCAGAGTAAAAAACTTACACCCACACACGCCCCTATCACACACACATAATCTTGTTATATATATGATATGTATGTATATTATAAATTTCATATATGTATATATTTATAAAATTTACTCCATAATTTTGTGATTTTTACAAAAGCCTATATTTACAATTCAGTCATTTAGAAAACTTTAATATTTGAACAATTTCTTTGATGTTACATGTGCTGCTTTGGTATCAGAGATGAAAACAAAAAGGCCTCAGGATGTGACTACTGAATGGCTCTGGTTTTGTATGTACAAAGTTGAGTCCTCTTTAAGCTTCATTTACCTTCTGTGAAATGGGAATAATATATATTCAGTTGAAACACACAGCAATGATATATATAAACACATAATAAAAGTGCCTACTCCATGTAAAGCTAGATGATAAAAGTTGTCATTGTGCTTAGAGTATTCCATTGACAGTTACGAACTCTGTACCCATTACTGCACTAGGTGAGATTTTTCCTTGCACTTCATTCATGAAATAATGCTGAAGGGTGTGCCTCTGACATGTGTTTAACGCTGCAGATGTTCTTAGTGCTCAGAAACATCCCGCTCAATGTTTCCATTTTTGTTTAGCAGAATGTAGTTCAGGAAAAAGTTCTTGTTAGGATCCCTTTCTAATGTCAGGGAGTGAGCACATTTGTAAGCATATAAACCCTGCCTAATTTAAGAGAACTCTGTTATATTTGGATAAAAACAATAATAATATTGATAATAATAGTGAAAGCACAATAACAAGTCAGTTTGCAGAGTCCCAGCCCCAGCACTGCAAGGAAGAATATTGAGGAGTGGCCCATCGATAATACCTCAAACACTGGCACACACTGTATTATAATCTTACTTATTGTAAGATTGATAATACAAATTTATATTCTGTGTATATAGCCAAAAGAATTGAAAGCAAGGTCTTAAAAAGAGATTTGCATGTCCACGTTCCTAACAGCATTATTAACAACAGCCAAAAGGTGGAAACAACTCGTGTCCATCAACAGATGAAAGGATAAGCAAAATATGGTTTATGCCTAGAGTGAAATATTAATCAGCCTTCCAAAAGGAAGGAGATTGTGGCACATGCTATAACATAGATGAGCCTTAACAACATTATGTTAAGTGAAATAAGTTGAGCACAAAATAGCAAATATTGTTTGATTTTACTTATATGAGGTACCTAGAGTAGCCAAATTCATAGAGACACAAAGCAGAATGAGGGAGTTCCTATTTAATAGGCACGGAGTTTCAGTTTTGCAAAATGAAAAATGTTCTGGAGATAGATAGTAATGATGTTTGCACAACCATGTGAATGTACTTAATGCTACTGAACTTTATATTTGAAAATGGTTAAGATAATAAATTTTACGTTATGTGTATTTTACCACAATTTAAATTTTTGAAAAAGAAGACATACACGCACACACTTACATACACACACACACACACACACACACACACACGTGCAAGATAGTAAGACAAGGCATTTTACCCAGCCTGTAATCCCAGTATTTTGGGAGGCCAAGGTGGGTGGATCACCTCAGGTCAGCAGTTCGAGACCAGCCTGACCAATATGGTAAAACCCTGCCTCTAATACAAATACAAAAATTAGCCAGGCATGCTGGTGTGCACCTGTAGTCCCAGCTACTTGGGAGCCTGAGATAGGATAATCGCTTGAACCCGGGAGGTGGAGGTTGCAGTGAGCCAAGATCATGCCACTGCACTACAGCCTGGGCAACAGAGCAATACTCCATCTCAAAAAAAAAAAAGAAGTATTATTTTCCATAGTTACAAAATACTATGTGAACCTCTGAAGGCGTTTATAATCTGGTGATGTCAGGCACTAAATAAATAAATTGATTACAAATTATGATAACCTATGAAATATTTCATTCTATTTTCTTCCCCACTGTAAATATTTGTTTTTCTAAAGTTCACATATCCTGCGAGGTCAATTTCAAATGCTACTTCCTGCCCTGTTCAGCAATCAGAGAGCTACTCCCTTCTAAGCCCAATTAATTACACGCTACACTCTCTTGAGACTTTCAGCATATTTGGCTGTATGTTATGCTCATTAGATTTGAAGCCAAAAGGTAAGGTCTACATTTTATCTCTCTGTGTCTCATGGTACCTAGCACAATATAAGTATTCAAAAATATTTTTTGGTAAAAGCTGTGATATCATCAAAGTACAAAAATCACAGATTTCGGAATTTGGGGTGCAAAGAGGGTGAAGGACCCCCTAGGGCTAAGGATTTCCTGGGATGTCCTGAGATGCAGTATGTCCGCTGCTAAAAGGAGACATACTGGGCAAACCAAGACAAGCAGGTATCCTGGGTGTAAAATGCAGTATCTTAAAACAAAATGGGTGCTTCAGTTTGTAACTCCACTATATACACCTGACAAAATACACTTCTCAAAAGCAAAATAGACATGAACACCAGAGTAAAATAACAAGAAACAATTATATGTAAGTCTTAAGCCTTCTAACCGGAACTCTATTTCTGATATAGTCACAGTTTCTGCTCTTAAACTCACAAATACTGCATAAAAGAGAGTTTGATAATTTCCCTTTCAATATAATTATGAAATCAACACTTCTTTTCCCATTTTGGAGAGAAAGAAATAAATCCATAATAAAGATGCTAATTAAAAATTCCTACATCTCACATTAAAGCCATGGCAGGTATTAAGAGTACTGAATGTTCCGATTAAAACCAGGATGCATTTGCCTTACAATATCCAGTTCCACTCCCTCAGGCATCAATACAAAATTAAAACTGGATGCTGGGAGCCTGAGTGCTTTCATCTAAGAGCATGTGCAGTAAGACATCACAACGTGCTCATAACATGCTGATCTCATTTCAGCCTCCAGCAAAGGGTTGTCGAGAGATGCTAATGACCACTTTATCCTCCCCTTGGACTTACTCTATAGAAAGCTATTTGTGCCATCTCAGAGGGCCAGCATGACCACCACTCCACTGCTCTGGGACACCTAATAAGTCAGGAGCAAAAACACCAGGGACTTATTCATCATTCACTTGTTCATTCCAATGCACATTTGTTGGGCACCTAACTAAGGATGTCCATGGTTCTGCTAATGGCCATGAGTACAAAGAGGAATAAGACTATTTCCAAGGGGTTTACAAACTGATGGGGAAATAAAGTACAAACCAATGGGGGAATAAGGAGTAAAAGGGGGCAATTACTTTATCAGGGAAGGTCAAGGGAAACATCATGGGAGAGGTGACGTGTGTTTTGAGTCCTGAAGAATCCAAAAGTTGCAAGTGGAGGAATGGAAAGGAAAGAGAGATGCATCCTCTAGAAAAGAGTATAGGATATTCCCTGTGTACACTTTCCTGGACCTGTTGTAACAAAGTACCTCCAGCAGGGCAGCTTGTACAACTATTCATTGTCTCACAGTTCTGGATGCTGGAAGTCTGAGATCAAGGTGTGGTCAGGGTTGGTTCATTCTCAGGGTTATGACTGAGAATCTGTCCCATGCTTCTCTCCTAGTTCTAGGAGTGTACTGGCAATCTTTGGCATTGGCTTTGTAAAAGGAAAATATCTTGGGCCCTTTCAAGCTGGGACCCACTCAGGGCAAATCTGCCTCCCATTCTATTCAAGTCATCCCTTGAACTCACAGAGCTAGATGCATATTCTGATTGCCTTCTTTGAAAAGACTTATCCCAAACCAGAAGAATGCAACCATCTGTCTCTCACCTATATGTGACCTGAAAGCCCCTAGTGGGGGTCCTTGCTTTGAGCTGTCTCCGCCTTTCTGGAATTTTCAGGGTTCACAGCTTTTAGACGCATCACTCGTATATCTGCCTCCGCCTCTGCATGGCATTCTTCCCATGTGAACATCTATATCCAAATTTCCCCTTTTTCTAAGGACATCAGTCATATCCAATTAAGGGTCCACTCTACTGCAATAAGACCTAGTCTTAATGTAACTGATGACATCTGAAATGACCCTGCTTTCAAATAAGGCCACATTCTGAAGTGCTGGGGAGTAGGACTTTAACATATGAACTTGGAGGGGGAACATAGTTCAATCCATAATACCCCGGAAAAGGAGTCAGACAAATTAGCACATGGGGGAGGGGATATTTTTAAGGTAGCAGCATATATAATTTTTTTTAAATGGTAGAAGAGAAAGGTGAAGGCAAGGCTTTGAAGCGATTCTAGAGCCATGCTCAGGGTTAAAGAAAGTTGAAATATATGCTCAGATCTTCTGGGAAACATTGATAATTGGTGATGGGATGAAAAGATTCCCAACCATAAATTAAGGGAAATGCTGCATTAAACAAACGTTAATAGGTTTCTTTATAATATAAGCTTCTCAGAGGCTGTAACATGGCAACGTGCTTTATAAACCTAGAAAGGTGAGAGAGAGTATGCAGTGCTTATAAAACTTCTGTCTCTACAGAGACTTTTTTTTCAGTTACTTCCCATTGAAAACTGATATGGACATAGTCGCTGCATGCACTTTCCACCTGACTCCTTTTATATCTCTGAGCTCCCATTCCCTTATTGGTAGAGCTGGATAATCATAGCTTTTCGTAAGTTCAGTCCCCGTGAAGTGAAGAGAATGCATATGGAAGTGATTACGAAAAGGTAAACCACTATGCACATGGGAATCCTTGGAAGCCTCTTGAGCAGCGAGTGGGAGTTTGTAAATTTATTGGAAATCAGGTAAGAAAGCAGAGTAATCATTTGGGAAAATAAAGGCCCCAGGGAAGTGGAAATCCATGTTTTCATCCAGTCAGTATCAAAAGCCTGATGGAAGCATCCCTTGCTTGGGCTACTCATGCCTTTCCCACCCATTCTCCCTATTTGTACTTCATTTACTCATTCAACTAATATTTACCAAGCCCATTACTATGTCCTAGGCTCACTGCTCAGCATTCTTCAGCATGTGCTTTTTCCAAGTAATCTCCATAAATTACTTGAATTCAATCTGTGCTCCGCTTCCTGTTATCAACTTGGCACGTATTGTCTGCATCACATGATTTGACATTTGCGTATGCATCGGCTCAAACCATTAGCTCTTTGCTTCCATTTGTATTTTATGTTCCTCCTAAATGAGACTAAATCTACCCTAAGCAATTACTAATAATACCCCATGGACCCCCAACTGCACTGTACACAATACTAAATATATAGAAGATAATAAATATGCAATGCATGAAGAAAATTTTGCGTCTTGGAGAATAGAATTTCTGTAACGTCATGCTGACTTATCCTAATGTTACACAGACATTGACAACAAAACATAGAATGTGAGGATACACAAATTACATATTTTTATGATTACCCATAATCATAATTGTTCAATAATTCCTAAGTGCTCATGTATGTAAGAAAACCACTGTGTATAAGACCAGCTTTGATTCAAAAGAGTTGAGCTTGCCTCTCACCAGCATGGAGCTATCATAGACAATAAGAAATGACAAACAAATAACATGAAATGGGAAGACAACATCTGTTTATAAAAATGATGATTCAGGCATGGGGGAAATTAAGACCTGATTTATTTAAATAAATGGCTCTTACCACATTATTTGACCATTGGGCTCTTTCTGAACAATTTTTTTTTTTTTTTTTGAGGCAGAGTCTTGCTCTTTCGCCAGGCTGGAGTGCAGTGGTGCAATCTCGGCTCACTGCAAACTCCGCCTCCCAGGTTCAAGCGATTTTCCTGCCTCAGCCTCCCTAGTAGCTGGGATTACAGGCACCCACCACCGTGCCTAGCTAATTTTTGTATTTTTAGTAGAGACAGGATTTCATCATCTTGGCCAGGCTGGTCTCGAACTCCTGATCTCGTGATCCACCCACTTCAGCCTCCCAAAGTGCTGGGATTAAAGGCCTGACTGAACAACTTTTAAAAATTATTTAAGGAAGTTCAAAAGAACAGTTTATTTTCGTTTGAACCCTAAATTAAGGTCATTTGCAGATTACATAATATATTGAATTGCTAAATTAAAAAATCACCAAATTTGCTGTGAAGATCTAATCAGTGCTTCTAAATCTCCAATTTTGTGCTATTTGATGTGTTTTGTTAATTTGTCAGGTTGATGCACTGCATTAAGGTTGAAAATCATTTCTTTGGGAGGAAATTTTACTTTTATCAACTTTAAAAAATGACCATAATTTGTTCAGAAAATATTTTGTCAAGAGTTTAGCTCATAAAAATACTGAATGTTAGCTTGGTGATCTAATAAGTCACTCCCCACATTATGGTTGAGAAAAGACACAATAATAAACCAAAATATGGAGCCAATAATAATTTCCTTCAAAAACCTTGCATATCTACAGATGAATCAAAGGGGAAGAAAACAACCAGACAACAAGCAAGTCCCTGGAGAGTGCCTAGCTGTCTGACAGTCCATGTTTACTCATTCAAAGATGCCCTTCACATATCCTGACCCTCTTTCCAGCACTTCCACTGCTCAATGCGGAACATTATTCTGACTAATGATTCCCTTCCAATCAAGTTTAATAGTTGTTTTCATCTCTTCAGCACTGAGAACTCCATATATCTGTTTCTTTTCAAATATGGTTTTAATTCAGGAAATACAAAAATGTACAAGAAAAAATGATAAATCGATGCCTCTTGTGAGTATAGTAGCATCAGTATAATAGAAAGAACACTGACCTCAGAATTAGAACACTCTGGTTTGAAGTCAAGACCTTCTGAGCCTTGGTTTCTTCCTCTAAGGATATTAACCTCTCAACATTTTCTAATTCATAACATTCATCTAATGACTAAGTGA
Source organism: Homo sapiens (assembly GCF_000001405.40). NCBI lineage: Eukaryota > Metazoa > Chordata > Mammalia > Primates > Hominidae > Homo > Homo sapiens. The sequence continues at coordinate 34,140,443 of NC_000013.11, read as the reverse complement.
ATGAATCTCACAGGATCATCTCTCTCTGTCCTATTCTACTTTGTCATCCCTCTTTGCCTTTTCTTATTTAATACCACTCCTTCATACTACCTCCTACCTCCTTCCTTTTGTACTCCCAATTACGCAGTGGTTTCCTTTTCTGTGACTTTTCACTTGCAGTCACTTCTCTTGGTTTCTTTATTTACTTTGTATCTCTATCTCCTTTTCTCTTTTCCCACACCCACCTTATGCTTGGAAAAGCCTCCTGTTTTACATTTCCAAAGTCAACTTCTTCCTGTCACACAAAACCTAACAAAATTCACTCCCTCTGCCTTTTATATGCTCGCAGCAAACAATAAATGATTAAAGTGCTGATGGTAAACTCATCTGCAAAAAACATGTATTCTGAGCAATGGATTTTGGCAAAGAAAAGATAGGGAGGAACTGCAACCCACTTAGTAATTTCTCTAACCAACCGTTAACACATTTGTGCTACCATAATTATTGCTCTGGCAAATACTACATTGTCATAGAAACATTGTTTCCCAAACACTTATTTATAGATTTTATTGGTGGCATATGTTAACCGTGAAGCAGTTTCCATAGTGTTGTTGTGAGCTTTGACAATGAAGAGTGATAAGGAACACGATTCAGCTTCCACAGTTGACCCACTAATTGGAAGTCTGTAAAACAAGAAATTTTCCCAGACTTTCTATATGTCAAGGTGAGTAGAGCTGGTGATCCCCCAGATGCACTTCTTATCATAAGGTTTATTGCCCCAAGGAAGAGAAGTAAATGAACCACCTAGAGGTAAGAAGTTCACAAGGGAGAAAATGAGGCTAGAACACAGGGTTTGATCTCATTTGACCAACTGTGCAAGGGAGGGAAGGATATCCTGAGTCTCAGGAAAGTAGCATCTCAATCTCCTTGGACTTGATTCTAGGAGTGAGAGCAATACAAAAAAGGGAAAAAAAAAAAAAAAAAAAAAAAACAAGAAACAAAGGGAAGGAGAGAGGAGGGAAGGGGAAAGGAGGGGGATAAAGGGAAAGGAACGGAAAGGAATGGAAAGACACAACAAAAGCCCAGATAGTATAAAGGGGCAACAGAAGTAAAGGGGATCTGTTACCATTTCCTATTTCAAAACTGGCTAGCAGGCTGCCCCGGAGCTGACATGACAGGTAAGGCAGAATAAAGTGGTGGTGTGGCAGAGGGAAGGCAGGAGAGCACCTCTACATCCTTTTAGCACAAATGTGACAGGCCCACTTGCCAGGGGTTATGGGGAGGTAGCTGACAGTTGAGGTCCAAACTGTTTTGCCAAAGAGCCACTGAGGCGAGGGATAAGATGACCTCCTAGCAGAGACTTGGAGCTCACAAGCCTAGGCCGGGACTGGATAGAATGTTCCTCTAAGATTCCAAAGATCTGCATGCCAAAAGAGCCAAGGTGAAGCCAACTTTGCTGTAGGCCTGCATGAGAACCATGGGGTCCCCACCATATTAAGTGGATATAGACTGTGAGGCACACAAGCCTTGGATACCTCATCAGCAGAGGCAGAGAGGACAAAAGCAATTCTCAGACATCCACTGTGCCTCAGCAAGAGGTCAATAGGTGCTTGCAGGGTAGGACAACAGGTAGATTAGTTGCTTCCCACTAATGCTGTGGGAGCTGTGGAAATAAAGACCAATGAAATGGTGCTATAGCAAGGGAGTCAGCCACCATCACTTTTGTTTTGCTGACACTCAAAGTCAGGGAGAGGACTGGGAAAGCTTTGTAGGGGAAAAAAAGGAAGGCTTCAGGTGTGCCTCAATTAGAGGCTGTTGGTGTGGGAAAGCTGTAGGCAGGCTAACCAGAGCCAGGCATGCTATGGCATTGATTAGGGGTGCATATATTTGGCTTTCACTGGGTTAGTCCTAAACTGGAAGTGCTTACAAAAATTAGGGAAGCTGTCAGTTGTTAATCAAGTCCTGGTTGTCTTTGGCTGATTGTAACAGTAGTTATTGTTAGGTTCTTGGATTGTCACTAAGGATAACAGTCTGGCTTCCTTTAAGTCGGACTTACATAGCAGGCTGGCTTCCTGGGCTGTTTATTGTAGAAAAGGGAGTCGGTTTCCTGGGCAGGTTGCTGCAGACTGTTGGTTGAAGTTCTAATTTTTATATACAATCTGGCCAATGTCAGTTTGTATATTCAGTTTCTCAGAGCACAAAGTATCCCCTGCCACCTGGGTGGCATCTTGGAAAGCAGGTTGAGAAGGAACAACTCGAGAGAAGAGGAATAGCTCTTTTGGAGAGTTCAAATTTTGAATTGATTGGATATTTATTTTTTAAAAAGACTGTGTTAGCCATCAGTAGACTGTGAGGTACACAAGCCATGGATGCCTCATCAGCAGAGGCAGACAGGACAAACAGAAAGAGACTGTTGCCTAAAAGTGAGGGATTTACCACTAACGATCAATTTAGTTTTTGTTGTTTGTTATTCTGCTAGCAACAGAACTAGAGAATCCAAAGCAAGATGAAATCGGGTTAGGAATATAGAGATTTACATTTTTTGCACACACCATCTGTAATGTGCAAATTTTGACCCTGTTTTATTACACATAGTTTACGAATGAAGACTCTGACACTAATAAGTGTTCAAAATAACAATCATTAAAACCATATATTTCAAGGTGCCACTTTCTGGGATACCCAGGACACTTGAACAGAGAAAGGGGCAGTTATGCCACTTGAGGGTCCAAACAATGAACACAAACCCAATAGACTACAGGTTGAGAATGTGGAGAAAACACCCATTCCCAATAAAACTAACTCATAGATTTTCCAGTTTTGTGAAATTTCAGATTTTGCATGCCATTGTTCTTATAAGCACATACACATGGCAATCCAAGAGTTCCCAAGTTTGACCTCGATAACATGGACAGAATTACTGAATAAAACGATAACAATTTGGGATCAAATCACCCAAGCAAGCTAGGTGCTCTTGTCCTGGAAAAGAGTTCTCAGTGAGAACTTAGTGAGAGGCCCACACAGGCCTGTGGACCAAGCTTTCCACAACAGCACCTCTGTAAACTAACTTGGCTCACTTTGAAAAGCTGCAGACAAAGTCAAGGGAGCAGAGGTTATTTAAGTAAAGAGAATAAATAGCTCTGGGCTCACTGTGATTAGTTAGAAAATAAAATGAGATTTGATGAAGCACCTTTGTATTCATTCCAGAACTCCAAATCACTTCTTATTATGAATATAGGGTAATACAAGTTGAATATCATATAATTAATGTTCATTTTTAACACTCTCTGGAATTCTAATTTTTAAAAGCCTCCCTTAAGATGTCTTCCACCCTGACAGCCACATTCTCAAATGTTCTAATGCCACCTAAAAAGACCATGTTTCATAAATTCCACATTGATGTTATAATAAAGTAGCAGAATAATTTTAGGATTTATTTCCATTTGATGATTGCCCTATTGCTTTTGAAAATAATGACTCTCAATTATTCCAATGTGAGATGCATTCACTTTATTACATTACCTAAATTTGTCTAGATATTGCAAGGCTTTAGGCAGCTCCTAGTAAAGACACACAATGTTCCTATTTCTTTCAATTACGCTTTTTAATATTAATTTCCAAAAATGGCATTTTCCCTTATTCTCTTATTTACTAGAAAATAAACATTAGTGTGTTGTTCTTAAGCATGGTGGTTTTACATTTACACATACGGTCCCTATTTTTTCTTCTTATTCGATTAAGGATAGAGGTAGGTAATTAAAATGAGTATTTGACCACTTAATTATCTACTGTGTGCCTTTGCCACTTATTGTGCTTACTCTTTTCATTTTGCAAGAAGAAAGGCTCAGAAAAGCTAAATAACTTGCCTATGACAACACAGTAGTAAGTGATAGACATACTGGGTTTGTCTGAACCATTGCCTCTCACTGCCATTCCAGAGAGGGTGAGAGGGCCTGGTTCTCTTCACATCACATCAAGTCAGTACCCTCTCTTTGTCTTCTTTTTGTCCTCTCTTACCTGATGCAGGAAGCTGCTCTTTAAGAATACCGGCAATGAAGCCAAGAGTTCTAGGTTCAAACTCTGTACCCTCAACAGGTATTAGCTATGTGATAGAAAGTGCACTACTCCCAATGCACCAAAATTAATACTAGTTTGGGTTATAAATTGCTCCGTAAATCTCAGGGCTTAACCCAGTAAAAAGGTATTTCTTGCTGCCATCACAGTATAACACAGGTAGGAAAAATCTCCTCCACATAGTGACTCAGGGATCCAGGATGTCTCCACCTTCTGGTTGCAAAGATGTCCTCCCATGACCCAGCTGACAAATGAGAGGGAAAAGAGGGCATGTGGGTGAAAGGCACTTTGACATGTAACCATTGGCCAGAACTGGTCACTTTTCATCAGCCAACAGGTTTAAACTAAATGCAAAGGAGACTGAGAAAATATCAGTGAGTACATGGATATCAGTGAATAACAGTTTCTGCCACATTGGGCTAGTTTTTTTATTATTTTTTGTTTTCTTGATTTGTCTAGGTCTCTGTTTCTTACTTCTATGAAGTAAAGATAAAGCACTTAGCAGTATGCTTGGCACATAATGTGCATTTACTCCATGTTTTTAAGTTTAATACATTATATAAGTGTGTAAATAGGCCCTCAATAAAGATGAAAAACTACGTTCTTTGGATCAATGAGAGGAAAACTGAGAGAAGAAAGTGGATTTGCCAAACTAAACTTCAACAAAGATCCCCAGGTAAGTCATATTTTAGAATTCTAAACACAAAATTCTCCTTATAACATTATATGCTGGAGAAAAAATAAGAATCTCAGCAGAAGAATAAGTAAGTACTTCGAAGGAAGGAAAAAGGGCAAAAAATGTAGAGTGGGAGGGTTACGAGACAGAGAAGATCATTTGTTTTTGTTGTTGATAATATTTTTCTTCTCAAAATTAGAAGGCCAGGAGATAATAAATAAGTAGAGGAAAATCCACTAATAACTATGATGTCTCTCTGAAAATAGTAACTAGAATTGTTTCTGCTTCCAGTTTTCTAAATTCCCTTTTACACAGGAATGAGTTATTCATTTAATAAACTGAGATTTTTGTCCCAGCTTTTCAAATCTCCTCACTGATCTATATCTTTCAGCTGCATGTCTTATGTGTTCCAGTATTTTAGTATAATTTAATTATTATTTAATGCTTTTTCATATCTCAATCCATTTTTCCTCCCCAAATTTCCTAAATTATCAAACATATTCTCAGGCTTTCCATCTCTGTAAATGATCTTTCTAAGGTCAAGCATGATAGCTACTCTACTTTGATAGAGATGTAGGAATCGTTTTCTGAAATGTAATGCACATTCTTTGCAAGTGCAAGAGTAGCATAAAGTTCAGGGGAAAAAAATTAGCTCACGTTTTAGTAGCTTCCTTTTTACCTTATTGCTGTTAGACTTTTTGTTTGCTTTTTGTCTTGCTTTTAAGAATAATATCTTTATTATTTTGTGTAAACAGTTATTATAAAAATGATTATTCTAAAAATATAAAACAGAAAGTTTTACTACTACAATATGTTTGACAAAATTAATTTAGACATGTTCACATAGAAAATAGGATAAGCTGATAAAGATATATAAATGGAAATAATCAAATTATCGATTAGACTACTTATTACTTTTCAATTAAAAACGATGGCTTTCCTCTCAAAGGTAAGGCACACTCTTTTTCAGATTGTAGCATCTCTGAAATCCAGACATTCTCATAATGGAAAGCATCTTATGTCATCGTGGCCAGGAAGTGGTCCTGATGTGATGTTCATTGCTTGGACCTGCACGAACTTGACTGCCATTCTTGGTGGCCTGATCGACCAAATGCAGCCCTTCAACACTCAGGCAGGAAGGAAGTCTTGCTTATTGTCTAAAAACCTTTCTTTGACACCTGGTTAAAAAAAAAGATACACATACTTGCAATTGAATAACACTGATTATCTCTAGATTATAAACATTTTCAATTTCTTCTTTATATCACCCATTCCTTTACAGCAGCACAGAAATAGACTAATGCAGGGGATTATATAAATCTATGAAGATTTACTGGGGACTCTGAGTTGATAGTAGCCTAAATTTTCACCTCCCGACTATTCTCTGAATCATGAGAAGGTTTTCTATGAAAAAAGAAAACGGAGATGAGTCTGAGCACAACTTCTCCATGATCTCCAGGGGAAGAAAGTGTGGGGTGCAGCAGCAGAGAGGAAGGTGAGCCTCTACTGAAGCTCAGGGTGAAGATTTCTTGCTATGTGGAGGTCCCAGGTCATGTGGACCTACTGATATCGCTGTGAGGAGTAGGGTCTGCTTGCCCCCTAAGAAGTCTGAGAAAAAAAAGATTTTTTTTTTTTTTTCAGATGGAGTTTCACTCTTGTTGCCCAGGCTGGAGTGCAATGGTGCGATCTCAACTCACTGCAACCTCTGACTTCCTGGGTCAAGTGATTCTCCTGCCTAAGCCTCCTGAGTAGCTAGGACTACAGGCGTGTGCCACCATGCCCGGCTAATTTTGTACTATTTTTCTTTTTTTTTTTTTAGTAGAGACAGGGTTTCACCATGTTGGTCAGGCTGGTCTTGAACTCCCGACCCCAGGTGATCTGCCTGCCTCGGACCCCCAGAGTGCTGGGATTACAGGAGTGAGCCACCGCGCCTGGCCAACAAAAAGATATTTTTTAATGTCCACAATACAGAGTTAACAATTTTTCCGACTGTGCTTTAATCTGTTATCCACAAAAGTGGCATGAAAACTAAGGATATAAGAATGATAAAAGTAAAGTAGTGAAAAAAAGATTGATAACTAAATATAAACCAAAAAAACTATAAAAGTGAATATATTATGATCAAGTAGATATATCAGCATGGTTAATCTGAGAAATGCAAAGATTGTTTTAACCCAGGAAATTAATTGACATTTACTACAATAATGATATAAAAGAGAAAACTCACATACTATCTCAACAAATTTTGAAAAAGTATTTAGTATAGTTTAACATCTATTTATTACTTTTTAAAAATCTCTGAAAGATAATTAATAGAAGGGAACCTTCTTAAACTTGACAGAGGAACTTTCTTAAACTTATCAGTAAGCATCATACTTAAGGGGAACACTTTAAATACATTCTTTTTAAAACTCAAAAGTTAGACAAGAATATGCTGTATCACAGAAACTGTTTATATTATGGTCAATGCAAAAGTCAAGAAGAAGAAGAAAGAGTTCTAGTTCTAGCTATGGTGGAGTAGTTGGGGTCCTATGTAAACCACTATAATAGCTGTGTCAAAACTATTACAACAATTCTTTCTAGACAAAATTCTTGAGAGAAGCAAAGAACACACACACACAAAAATGGAAGCTGGAAGGCACTAGGATGACATCTTTTTAACACTGAAATTTAAAAAAAACCACAAAAACAAAAAGCCTGTCAACTTCGAGTTCTATACCGAGTGAATTTATCTTTCAAAACTAGAACCAAAATAAAGATGTTTTTAGGACTATAAACAATCAAAGAACCTGTTGCCAGGGGATGTTTACATGAGAAATAAAAGAAGATTTCCAGGGTGAATAAAAATGTTACTATCAGAAGCATAAGACTGCAAGAAAAACTAAAGTGCACCTGAAAGAATACACAGGTGAGCAAATAGAAATAGATACGAACTGTTTAAAACAACAGCAATAATAATATCTTGTGGGATTTGGAACATATATGAAAGTAGAATATAACAAAAATAGCACAAGGGAGGGAAGGAGTACTAGAAGTTCAACTTTCTAGGCTTCTCTGTTTGGGAAGTGGTAAAATACTAATCTAACAGGCTGTAATGAATCAAACATAAGTATTATAATTTCAAATGCAACCAATACACTCATAATAACAAATTATATAACTGAAGAGCTAATAGAGGAGAAAAAGAAATAACAGAAAATACTTGCTAAATCCAAAAGCAAGCAAGGAAATAAGAAGAAAGGGTACAAACAGATGAGAAAATAGAAAGCAAATATCAAGGTAGTAGACATAAATCCAATTAAATCCATCATTAGAGTAAATGAAAATAGCACGGAAAATGCAAGATGAGCCTGGAGCATCTTCTAACACCAGAACGTAAGGCAGTGCTTAAAAAACAAGAATACCGGCATAGCAAATTCACAAACGCCAAAGCTGGAACAATTTAAGCAACTAAATAAAATAGCCATATTTTCTCTTTGCCCTAAAAGCACTCACATTGGCTGGCCGTGGTCCCTTGCCTGATAATTGACCCAAAGCTTTAATTTTAAAGGACCTAAGCTATTAATAGTCCTGCCTACACTGCATTGCTATAGTTTTCATTTTTCGTAACACCTTTATTGAGATACTCTTCACATATCATACAATTCACCCATTCAAAGTGTAAAATTTAAAGGCTTTTAATATATTTGCAAGGTTGTGCAACCCTAATCACAATCAGCTTTAGAACACACTTATCACACCCCAATCCCCTGCCAAAAAAAACCTGTAACTATTAGTAGTCACTTCCCTACTTACCCCTAAGTGTCTCAACTTTAGGTAACCACTAATATAATTTCCATGTCTGTAGATTTGCCTGTTCTTAGCATTTCATGTGGGTGAAGTCATAAGTAGTTGGAGTCATATAATATGTGGCCTTCTTTGTCTGGCTATTTTCACTTAACTTAATATTTTTAAGGTTTATCCATGCCATAGCATGTGTCAGTACCCCATTTTTTATGCCTAAACACTATTCCATTCAGTATGAAACATATAAAATATACCACATTGTATTCATTCATTCTTCAGTTGATGGACATATAGACAGGTTGTTGCCACATTTTGGCTACTATGAGTAATGCTGCTATGACCTTTGTGTACAAGTGTTTGTGTGGATACATTGATGTTATTACAGGACCTAGGAGGACTGAGAGGCAGGCCAGAGGAACTCCTGCATTGCAGACATACTCTTCATTATCTCCATTGCATGGTAGCAACCAACTTTCCCCTTCATTAGAATCCATCACTCCAGCTACTACAGTAAATTTTTTTTGTCAATTTATTTTATTTAGTAATTCAGAGCCCCAAATGGTTAGGTGGTAGTCTCGACTTCTAGTTAAATAGATCCATTGCTATATCTTTTTGGAAGTTTTCCTTGCTTAGGAAACCCATAGATCAACAATACCCAAAGTCACGGGGGTAGGAAACAAAAACTTTTCTAGTGGATCACTAGAGCTAATAGAAAGAAAAGCCACTCTCATTTTCACCCCTTGATTCTCAGACCCATGATTCTTAAACATAGAAAAACTGAACAATGGAATAGGGAACGATTAGAGTATATATTGTGGGCTGGAAGACCTGCCAGATGTTGAAACCCAGCTGGTACCAGAACTGAATCTTTAAAAAGCGATTCCACTTTCTATCAGATCAGATATTTCAGAGTAATATTAATGTGCTATATTAAAATCAGGAAATTCTACAAGCATAAATCCATTGCTATATTGAAAATGAGTTCTTTGGTCAAAAGCAATGTTGTTAGCATAGCAGCCTTGGTAGATGCACTGTAATTAGGGACAGCAGAGTAAGCATTATATTCTAGTGAGAAGAAAGTTCTGTCCCTTCCATGAGGAAAATAGTTCAGCGTATCAACCTGCCAACACGATCCCCTGAGGAATAATGCCATATTAACGCCTTATCACTACTTTCTGCTGTTGGCAGGTGGGACATTCAGTAGCAGTTGAGCCAGACTGGCCTTAGTGAGTAGAAGTCCACATTATAGAGTCTATGTGCAACTTCTGTCTCTGCTGCTATGACAACTTTGTTTATGAGACTTTGGGGTGAGTTTAAGGTAAGATAAGAAAAGAAGCTGACTGACATCCACAAAATATGTCATCTTGTCCACCTTATTATTAAGACCTTTCTCTGCTGATTTGTCCTTTGGTGAGCATTCACATGAGACATGAATATCTTCAAACTCTGTACCCATTAGGTGAGAGCAATCCACAGACCTCTTCCCTAGACTTCCTTGTCACCTGTGTTTTAATTCTTCTTCTTCTTCTTCTAAGTCCATAACCCCAAAGCCAAACCATTAATCACTGCCCATGACATGATGTAGATCTGTACTTTTGGCCATATTTCTTTCCAGAAAACAACCAAATGCACTTCTCAAAGCTCTGCTGGGAGAATTTTTCTTTATCACTGTCCTTCGGGGCCACCTGGATGGGGCTACAGTGCTGCAAACATGTACTTTCAGGTAGTGACAGCAAATAATGCAGAACCATGTGTAATGCAGATCTAAAGGTTTTCTTCTACAGTCAACTAGATATATAAAAACTCCTCAAAGGCCCAGCATGGTGGCTCACGCCTGTAATACCAGCACTTCGGGAGGTTGAGGTGGGAGGATCACTTGAGCTCAGGAGTTCAAAACCAGCCTGGGCAACATAGTGAGACCAGATATCTAAATTTAGGGGAAAAAAAAAGAAGAAGAAGAAAACTCCTCATAAGGACATAGATATGAGTTGAAGGCAAATGTAGCAGTTTTGGGCAACTGGATGCTTGCTCATTGCTTTCAGGACCTTCTCAAACTCAATATTATATTATGTTTGAGATAATAATAATAGTATATGTTATATACTCATATAACCATATGTATAGTTAAAAGCAATATTGTTAGCATAGTGGCTTTAGTAGATGCATTGTGTTTAGGGAAAGCAAAGTATTGCATTCTAGTGAGAAGAAAGTGCTGCCTCTTCCATGATGAACATAGTTCAATGTATCAACCTGCCAGCAAGATGTGTGTGTGTGTGAATCACTTCTATTTGATGATCAAGGGTTGCTGTGCATGCATAACTTTATGACTTGGTGCATCAGATAACATTCATTCAGGATGGGCAACTCAGGTTATATTGCAAATTGCTCCATGGTCAAGCATTCAGGCTAGTAGCAAGTCAGAAACTGTTTCTTAAAAAGTAGCTATCTGCACAGATTGGCATAACTTTTATCCCAAACCATAAAGAAGTGCACTGTCATTCTCCTATTGAGACTTGCCAAAGGCTCCAAACAGCATCTCTATCTGCCACAGATGCTTCAAGCACCATGAGATCTGGTAGGTCATATGGTCCAAATGAGAGAGCAATTGCACAGCAGCAAGACCTGTTACAGAGCCTACTCTTGTCCTGAACCATGCTAAGAATTGGAAATCTTTCTGGATACTGAGTAAATGTATCAGAATTGCATATTCAAATGAAGTATATATATTGCTTTTAAGATCTAAAGATGCCCCCTAGGGTTACTGCCTCTCTCTTCGTGGTAGGAGTATTCAAATGTACCAACTTGTTCCTTACCTTGAAAAAACATTTCAACATGGTCCAGATGAGAAAACATTTTCTAAAAAGAACCTGATAGTAAATATTTTAGAGTTTGCAGGCCACATACAGTTTCTATTACGTAGTTGTCTTTTAAAAAAAATATGTGATCATTCAAATATGTAAAAAAATATTTTTAGCCCACAGGCCATATAAAAACTGGTCTCTGACCAGTGTCACTGTTTGGCCTGTGAGTCACAGTTTATAATCCCTGCCCTAGAACACCAGAACTCAAATTATTTTTGTCAGGTGGCAAACATCTGGATTTTTGTGGAATTTATTTTATGCCTTCAGGCATGCAAATATCTTACTTAGGCATCTACTAAGGAATACTTGTTACTTTCCTGCTCACCAGGTCTAATCAACACCATCACCCCCACGCCGTGGACCAGTGTGATTTTCTATGGGATGGAGGGATGAACAAGGCTGCTATAGATCAGGTTATGACAGGCCTGGAGAGTTGAGCACATTTTTAACAACAGCTGCAATTGAATTCATCACTGGACGAGTTTTACGATAAGCCATGGTCATTCTTCAATATCCATTTGTCTTCTACATAAACCAAATAATGAGTTTAATGGGGATGTGGGGAGAGTCGCCACCCCGTATCCTTAAAGTCCATGATGGTGGCACTAATCTCTGCAGCCCCTCTAGGGATGTAGTATTGCATTTGATTCACTATTTTAGAAAAGGAATAGTTCCAGTGGCTTTCACTTTCCCATCATAATAGCCCTCTCTCCTAGAGTCATGGAAGCAATGTGGAGATTCTGCCAGTTCTGCACATGTCAATTTTAATTATGCGTTTCAGAATTGGAGAATAACCACAGAATGTGTGCAATGGGCCCCCTGTGAGACAAACCCAGCCAAACTCCATCGATCACTTGAACTTCAGAATTTCCTACTCTGCCTGGTGGATCAAAGTGACATTGGAATCTCTAGGAACTGGTATCAGTTCAGAGCCAGACTATAGTGATCCCTAAATAGTCTGGTTATTTTGCCTTCCCTAATGCATAACCACCCTGGTAAATGGCCACAGATCCCCTCGGAGAAAACTACAAAATGACAGCATCAATTTTTAGCTATGTTGCGTTGTCCCTCCTCAAGGGGACTTGGTCTCCTCTTCATTTAAGGGACTCTGGACCTGTCATCTGGCTCGATTCTTGTAATTGAGGGATCATGACTGCCTTTCGTGATTCAAGTCAGTCTTCCAGATAAATACATGCAGCTTTTTACTTACACGAATCAAGTAAGCCCTTAATAAGCCAACTATTTCAGGTCTAAGGACACCATGAATAATTAGGCAATGCTGACAATCTCTGTGGGTAAAACTACTATGGTTAGTGCTTTAGTTCTGCTATTTATTATGGTAACCAGCCCATCTTGTTATGGTGATGAGTGCATTGCTGCCCCTTGGCCCCCGCCACAACAGGATCCCATCATTTCCATTGAATTCAAGAATGAAAGTATTTCTTTTGCCCCATGGAAATCATCGGCAAAGTTAAAAGATATACAACAGACTGACAGATATCCAAGATCAACATAGATCAAATAATTTGTTCATACAAAGAACTTCTACAAATCAACATGATAAAGAAAAGTAATCAAATAGAGACATGGAAAAGGGATATTAATAAGCTGAGGAAAAATCTTAGTGGCTAAACATGTAGAAATATTCAATTTCACAATTAAACTCAACCTTTTAATTTGCAAATAAATGCACATTAAAATAATGAGAGACCACTTTACACCCATGAGATTGGAAAAATTTAGAATGTTGCATGGTGCCAAGCATTAGCAAGGTTATAGGGCAATGGAAATTCTGAGGAGTGTAAGCAGGTGTAGTCATTCAGATAACCATCCAGGTATATCCTACATCTTAACATTTCCATCCAGACAAATTATCTCACAAGCTGATGAGGAGATATGTATAAGATTTTCAACATACCATTACTAGTGGAAGTCAGATATTGGAAGCAACCTAGATAACCATCATTAGAGAAATATATTAATAATTTTTGAAAAGTAGAATATAGTTGTGAATGCACACTATGCAACATAATGCAGAAAGTCTTGCTGAATTTTCTTGCCAAAATAGATTTTTTTCCTAACTTTTCATTCTATATCCCTATTATCTCTTTGGTTCAAGTGAGCTTTATATGCTGAGAGATGTCATGTCTGTAACAGCCAAAATCAGATCTCCATATTCCACTTTTGGAGTATACTTAACATGATAGCAAAAATGACCTTAAAATATATGTGTAATATAAGTGTTGCCAAATAGGAATTATGGTCCATCTTCCCGTTGATTAAATTTTCATATTATGTTCTCAAATAAGATTTTACAGTTTTCTTCACTTATTCAATCATGTATTAATCCAATAACAATTTATTGCTCACTTACCATATATTCAATCACTGTTCCAGACACTGGAGTACAACAGGGAACGAGATGGACAAAGGCTTCTACCCTAGAGAAGGGTGCTTTCCAGCATTTTAGATAATAATCATGTATTCAAATACATATAAAACACAACATTAAGAAGTCAGATGTGCTTTGTAGAAATAGAACATTTGGCTAGAGAGAATTTGGAGAATATATAGGGCAGATCCTATTTGCACTTGTCTATTCTTTTTTAGTTATTTTTATCCCCAGCTAATTTCAATTTTTTTTCACTATTCTTAGTGGAGGAAACAGAGTGTAAGGAGTAAAACAATACTTCAAAAATTATTATTATTGTTCTCCAAAACACTATTTAGGTAAACCCTTGAAATAAATAAACTAAAAAAGGAGAACTCAGAGAATGAAAATAAACTCCTAGAATATTAAAGATGTGATAGTAGAAATATAAAACCCAACCTCATAATGGAATATAATTTTAAGAAACTAGAACACAAAGACAGAGATGAAAAACTGAAGATAAAAATAAAATAGAGAATCAGTATAGTAAAGGAAACATAAAAATAAAAGATACCAGAGGAGAGAACAGAGACCATACAAGGGAATAATTGTCAAATAATTCAATAATAATAGCAGCAATAAACTACTCAAAATGCAGGGTGTGATTTATTTCAGGTGGAATGAGCCCACCTCCCAAGTGCTTAGCACAATGGTTGGAAAATACCTCACACCAAGTCGCTTTAGTGGGAAATTTCAAAGCATTGGAGACAAACAGACATTTATGGAAGCATCCATGGTGAAATCAGGGATGAGGTGGACACATTTTACGTTGTTTGTAAATGTATCGAAGGATTTTTCAATCTTGCAGAGGATTTGGGGATGAATAAGTAACAGGCTCACAGAAAACTCAGCAAAAGAAAGAAACACAAAGACTACAAGAAAATGTTTAGATTACTTGAAATAAACTATATTTTAACATAAAAGGAGAAGAGCAGGTTGGAATCCACCATAGTGTTCTTCATTGTCATCTCACTTTCTGCTTTACCTCCTCCCCACTGTCAAAGAATTGGTTTGAAGGTAAATGGCAGAAAATAACTCCTGCTATCACCCTGATTTTCATTCCTCTTTCATTTTTTCTGGATTTTGAGAATAAGAAAACTCTTACTTTGGGTTTTCTGTATCCTCCTCATTCCTCTTGGTTTACCATTACTCTTACAATGGTGTCTCCTCTCTGAAAGGGAAATAAAAGCTTTCTCCAGTTATTTTTCCTATATTTCTATGTCTGATGATTTCATGAAAAACAAACTGTCTCAATTTCTTATCTGCAAAATGGACACCATAATTTCTCTATTTCCAGGTAGTTGAAAGCAATCTTGGCTATAAGGATGTTAGAACACTGTCTGACCCTGGTGCAGGGTCAGTGGTGGTTGTTGCCAGTAGTAATAGTAGTAGTAGTACTAATAGTAGTAGCAGCAGCAGCAGCAGCAGCAATAGTGGTTGTAGTATGAAATACTAGTCCTTGTTCACTCGCCTTGTTGCCAAAACTGAGTCATGTCACTGTGTGCACAAAATGTAATTGATGGACACAATATGCCTTGGACAGCATATGCACTCAGTAAATATTTGTTAACTGAATAAATCAATATATATGGGAATGAGTGCTAGGTGCTGGAGGCTTTTTTCTGTTAAATTGACTGGCCTATTTACAGAGAAGTGATCTTTCTGGTTAGATTTCTCCCCAGAGAATTCTATTTTTATTTTAATTGAAGAGTAGTTATAAAAGCTAATTGACTATTTGCATTTGCAGGAAACTATTCCTACCTCCCACCAACCCCAAACCCCAAGCGGCAATCAATATTTAGAGGTTTACACGTATACCCATGGCTTAAAGGAAGTAAAGCCCAAGATTAATGTATACAGCTTGTCAGATATGTACTTAGACATTTTTTTAATGAATCCAACTCAGGCAAGTCAGTAATTAATGCCATAAAATTCAACTCAACAGAAACTCAATTGAAAAATGAGAACAACATAAGAGAGTTCTATTGAAAGAATGGCTGTCCAAGGTTGCTATTTTTAAAAAGTAATTCAAGGTACTGTGTCACTTAAACAAAAGCAAAGATATAGGCACTTTGGCTTATATGGAAACATAAAACTATCCCCTCATGTCTTTAAAACTATGTTTCATATGGATGTATTAGATGCATGTAATGTTTAACAAAAGTGCTGAAAGTTATTTTGCTGGCAAGATATGAAAATAAAATTAAAAATGAAGAAAAATGTCCTTATGTATATAAGCATAGCAGAATTACATATTTAAGGCATTAAATTATTTGACATATTTTAGTAAACCAATTATCCGAAAACATAGTTATCAGAAAAAATGAGTTAATGAATGTGGGGAAAAAAACCTTGTACTAATTTCCAATTTGTTATTTTTTTAAATGTTACATAAATTAACCTATTTTTTTCTACATTGAAAGAAAGAACTGGTAAGGGAAGAAAAACGTTATTGAAAATTTAAAATTAGATAATTCCATAGACATATTCATTACAATAAATCATTTTTATCTAAAAGTATGATGTCAGATAAAATAAAAACATATAGGAGACAGAAATTTTAATCTATGAAAGAGGATTTCCTTAAAAATAATGCTGACTAATTGGTAAGCAAACAAAATATTAATGTAAATTGATATGGTTCACATATTAACATTTAAAAAAAATTTAACTTACGTTTCAATAGCATTCCACTGTCAGGTACTTGACCATGTGTGACTGTGTATGTGTGCTATGCTATTATTTTATGGATTGCTCAAATATTTCATAATACATGACACTATTTAGAGTATTGAGAATAAAATTTAGAAGCAAATATTGTCATATGAGAAATCACAACTAGCTATAGTTTGATTGATGTTTATTTTATACAGTATTTCCCGGGCACTGTTCACTAAAACAGCATTGGTTCCAACCCAGGTATTCCTAGTTCTGTATTAAATTGCTATTTTTATAAGTACTATTTGTAAGTTTTCTTCAAAAATAAAAATGAGCCAGAACAGGGGCTCATCATGCCTGTAATCTCAGCAATAGCAGAGAATGAAATAGGAGGGTTGCTGGAGCCCAGGACTTTAAGACCACACTGGCAACATGGTAATGTAGCAGGACAAGCTGCAAACAAAACCCCTCAGACACCGAGTTAAAGAAAGAAGGGCTTTATTCCGCCGGGAGCTTCGGCAAGACTCATGTCTCCAACAACCGAGCTCCCTGAGTGAGCAATTCCTGTCCCTTTTAAGGGCTCACAACTCTAAGGGAGTCCCCGTGAGAGGGTCGTGATCGATTGAGCAAGCAGGGGGTACGTGACTGGGGGCTGCATGCACCGGTAATTAGAACAGAACAGAACAGAACAGAACAGGATAGGGATTTTCACAGTGCTTTTGTATACAACGTCTGTAATCTATAGAAAACATAACCGATTAGGTCAGGGGTCGATCTTTAACTACCAGGCCCAGGGTGTGGAGCCAGGCTGTCTGCTTGTGGATTTCATTTCTGCCTTTTAGTTTTTACTTCTTCTTTCTTTGGAGGCAGAAATTGGGCATAAGACAATATGAGGGGTGGTCTCCTCCCTTAGTAAGATCCCCATCTCTACAAAAAAAAATTCAAAAATTTAGTCTGGCATGGGGGTTAACTCCTGTGGTCCCAGCTATTTGGGAAGCTAAGGCCCAGGAAATCGAGGCTGCAGTGAGCTGTGTTCATGCTACAGCACTTCAGCTTGGGTGACAGGGCAAGACCCTGTCTCAAAAAATAAATAAGCAAATAAAATAAAAATAAAAATAAGTGCAACCATGCCTCTATCAACATATTTGGCTTTCTGACCTGGCCAGTGAAGATTACATTAGTATTTCGGAGCATATATGGGTTTTTCAGTTCATGCACGTCAAGAGCTTTTCTTTTTTGCTACATGACCAAGTTCAAATTCAAAAAAGGTAATATTCAGATTTTTCTTGAATATTTTCCTAAGTTCCTAAAACTACCAGAAACAGACTCCTCTCTTTGCCCTCACTCCCACCTACACCTCATGCATCTAACCTTCAGCCACCAACACAATGGCCAATGCTTCAGCTGACAAACCCGAGGTGGCATTCCTCCTCTGTGGTCTTCCAGGAATGATGACCAGCACCCATCTCTCCCTACCCTTGGAGAACTTATAACCTTTCCTACACTGCCTACCGACTGATGACTTACTGCCTTTATTGTCCTTTATATATATGAGAACAAGTTTTTATTATATAATATTCTTTCTCACTTAATCAGATTACAAGTTACCAAAATGGACAAATTTAGACTTAACCTCTTTTGTATCTTTTATTTATTAAAACAACAAAAATAACAACTAAAATAATACTGCAGTTAATTTTCCAACTTGATAAATACATAGTGGCTTTTCTTCCTGCTAGAACCCTTTGTATCTGCTGACAAGTTCCAGGATGTCAAGGTGGAGGTAGGAAAAACCTAGAACTCAGGGTAGGAGATAGAAAAATGTAATGAATGGCTGGGGAAATTGGTTTAGCTTGAGGATTTTGAATGAAAAATTTGTTCTATTAGAGCTCAGAACATGCTACCCTAAAATGTGGCACCTTGGCATAGTGAGTGTTTTGAGTTGAAGAAAACTGAGAAAACCACAGAAGCAGGAAAGTCTCTCTGAGCTTCTCTTATTCTTTCTCTCCTGAAGACCCTCATATCACAGTGTCCTACCCTATACCCAGAGGAAGAAATGTCACACAAGGACACAGAAAAGGATAGGAACAAACAGGTCTTCCTAAGTCCCCATCCACCACCAGCTTATTATCAGTAGATCCTACCTTTTTATCCTCCAATCATATTTCCACATGACTGTGCATAAATTACAGTTTTCCCTGGGTCTTTGAGTCTTCATTTCTGAGGGTTCCCATGTCATGTAAAACTTTTATTAAATAAATTTCTATGCTTTTATCTTTTGTTGTAGGGGTCTCAACCATGAACCTCGTGGTGGGTAAGGAAAAGATATTACATTTCTCCCCTACAATTTACTCATCAAACATTTATTTAATGCCTTCTGTGAACCAGGCATTATGAAAGGTTCGAAGGTAGAATATCTGTAAGCCTGTCTTGCTTTCTCTTGAGGGAGACAGCAAGAAATCAATATGAATAGCCTAGTGGCATAAGCACTATACTGTAAGTTTGCATAGGATGTGATGGGAACATAAAATAAGGGAAGGAAAATGAGTCTGACTGGGAGAGTCTCAAAGAAGGACATCTGAAGGTGACTTCTGTGCTGAGTCTGAGTAAAGAATAGAAATTAGCTAGATATAGGAGGAAGATCATCAATACAAAGAACATTCTTGGAAAGAGCATGTGCCCAAGAATAGAGGCAAGAGAACACAGGGTGTGGTCAAGGAATTGCACATAGTTTAGTATGGCTGGAGAGTAGGAAACCTGTAGGAGAGTAAGATGAAAAAGGTAGGAGAATGAGGCAAAGACCAAATCCTTGTATGCCATGTCATTCAGCACTAAGATTCGATCCTGTGGAAGATAGGGAGCCATTTGGGGATATTAAAATAGAGCAATGAAATAATTAAATTTGTATCATAGAAAGATCAGCTTGACAGCTGTGCTTAGGATAGATTAAAGGGGAGGATTAGAAGGCAGGGAGACAATTTAATAATCCAGAAGAGAAATAATGACAGCTGAGCTGGCAAAAGCAGCAGTGAAGACAGAGAGGAGGGAGCCAAATTAAGTAAAAGGAGAGGAGAGCATGAAATGAATAGTGTTCAATCAGTTTGCTGTAGGAGGTGAGCAAGAGGAGCCTAGATTGATTCCTGGAATCATGGCTGGAGTGAGAGAGTGGACAATAGTGCAATCCATCAAAAGAGAAACTCAGGAAGAGGAATGTGGTGTCATGGTGGCAGAAAGATATGATTTCTGTGTGGGACATATTAGATTTTCAGTGTCAAATTTGGAATGGTCATTTGGCAGTTCATTAGAATATATGTGTCTTGAGGACAAGAGAGAGACTTGGGCTGGAGTCATTAGCATATGTAGGGCAGCTGAAGCCAATGAGACTTCTCAGGAAGAATAGAAAAAGTGAGAAGAAGAGGAATGAGAACAATTATTATCATGTAAGATGATAATGAAAAAGGAGGAGGTTAGGTAATGGATGAACCAAGAGGGAATAATGTCAGGATAGCCAAAGGAAATATATTAGAATAAGGAGTAGTCAGTTATATCAAATTGTTGTCAAATTCTGCAAAGAATTAGAATAATCTAAGACAAAAATATTGCCTACTGAGTCTGGCATTTGGAAGACATTAATGACTCTAGTAGAGCCAACAGAACAGAGGTGGGGACAAAAGCAAGACATCAATGGGAAGAAGAAGAATTGAAAACAGTGGACTTGGCCCACCTTTTCAGGAGGCTTGATAACAAAGAAGGCATGTGTAACCTTCCAGGGTAGGCAGCTTCACAAATGACTCCCAAGGACTCCCATATGCTGATGTTCATGCCCTATGCAATCCCTTTTCCTTTGATGGGGCTAGACTACCTAGTGACTTGCTTCTAATATGTAGAATGCAGTAACATTGTTGGGAGTCAATACTTAGATTACCGCAGCTTCTATCTTGCTTGTTCTGTGTGGACTCTCTCCTTTATTCTCTCTCGGGGAAGCCATCTGCCATACTGGGAACTGTTCTATAGAGCAGTCTATGTGGTAAGTAACAGAAATCCTAAGTCCACCAGCCAGTGAGGACCCCAGACCTTTCTCCCACATGAGGGAGCTTGAAAGGGGTTCTTCCTTAAACTTCAGATGAGACTGCAGCCCCATATGACACCTTGATTACAACCTTCTGAGAAACCCTAAGCTGTGTCCATATTCCTCAACTACCAAAAATATGACATAATTCATTTTTTAAGCCTCTAAATTTGAGAACAATTTGTTACACAGCAACAGATTATCATTATACCTTCTAAGAAAAGACGATGGTGGACATGGAGTGGCTAAATAAATAGCAAATAAAAGGCTCCAGGCCAGGTGTGGTGGCTTGCGCCTGTAATCCCAGCACTTTGGGAGGCTGAGGTGGGTGGATTACCAGAGGTCAGGCATTTGAGACCAGCCTAGGCAACATGGCGAAACCGTGTCTCTACTAAAAATATAAAAAAATTAGCTGGGCATGATGGCGCATGCCTGTAGTCCCAGCTACTTGGAAGGCTGAGACAGAAGAATTGCTTGAATCTGGGAAGTAGAGATTGCAGTGAGCCAAGATTGCACCACTGCACTGCAGCCTGGGCAACAAGAGCAAAACTCTGTCTCAAAAAAAGGAAAAAAAAAGGCTCTAAACAGATAAGTGCCTGAGAAGAAATGAGTTGAAAAGTTTTACTCTGGAGAGGAAGAGAAACAGATATTCACTGATTTTGGAGAGAGAAATTAAGTAGGCAGTGTATTTCCTAGTGGGCTTTCTGTTCTTCAAAATAATGTGGATGTCTATTAAGGATGGTGAAGTTGCCGAGTAAGAGATGGGTGGAAACTTGTTATTCTAGGTACTGAGAGGAATGAGAAAGTGAGTCGGGTGAGGAAAAAACTGAAATATAGCTTAGGAGTGATAAGGAACTATAGAAATCGGAAAGAAGAAAGAATGGAAGGACAAAATGAAGGAAGAATAGGGAACTGAAGAACAGAAATATGGAAGAGTGGAAGGAAAAAAAAGAAGTGGGTTAGGTGGTTAAAATTACAGAGTGGATATTGGGCTTAGCAATTACTACAATGTAGATAAGGACAAGAAAGAGCATGGTAATATCATCAGATTGATCAAACAGAATGGATATGCAGGCAAATGAAATTCAGACTCAGGAAAGAATAAATATTTGAATTACTAGTCTACTATGTACAGAAAGTTTTTCTGTGATGATAACAGAATTTATGGTTGAGGAAAATATTATTATTAATAGAAGTAATATTTTTAGTATTGCTTCATAATAATAGCAAGTTACTATGTATGGTGTGCCTATGATACATCAAGTCAGTAGGCTAGGAATATGAACTTAATTCTTCCATTCTTGTCTTATCTTGGTCCTAAAGACTCACTAAGTCTTACTATTTTTTAGTTTTGACGAGCTAAGTAATTTTTCCTCCATCAGACTGTGAAGTAAGGGTAGGAGAGACTGCTCCTTATTCCTTAACATCTATTCTCTCTTTCTTGTATAGCTATAGACTATTTGGTTTGCCTATCCAAATAATGTACCCAGATAAAGAGTACATTTCTCAGTTCCCTGATAGTTGTCTGTGCTTCTAGATTCTGGCCAACAGAACATGAGTAAGAAATAATGTGCGCAACTTACTGGTTATGCTCTGAAAGAGAAATTGTGTGCACATCCCTTCTCTTCTCCTCTTTTCCATTGTCTGGAATGTGAATGTGATGGCAGGAGCTGGAGCAGTCATCTTGGGTCATTTAATGTAAACTGCTTGTTGAAAATGGCAAAATTGCAAGATGGAAAGCATCCAGGTCATTGTTTAGTAGCTTCTCAGCAGAGTGTAGGAATGAAGCCCTCTTTCTAAAATTGAATCAGATATCAAGACTGATACGTGCACACACACACACACACACACACACACACACACACTCCTACACACATTGAAAAGGTTTATTATTCACACATTGAGGCTTTTTGTTGAGAGCTGGACAGGCACCCAAGCAGGTTCAAAATGGCTTCAGCAAAAGGTAGAGTGAATGGCTTTGGTTTTCACTGTGATGAGGACATGGGGTGAGGGTTCTCAAGCTGGCCAGCATTTGTGTGGATTGAACTCCCTGCTGATTCCAAAGGAGGGAGCACAGAGGCTTCCTTATTGGCTTGCCCAGATGTATGGTAAAAGGGAAAGAGTGAGGGGTGAGGTAGAACAGCAGTCAGTCCCACATCCAAAATAAAGTCAGACTGTATTACATCCTCAACTCTATCAGGCCTCATGCTGGCTGTGGACCACCTGCTCAGATATTTATATGACAGAAATAAACTCCAAACTTATTTAAGCCATGGCATTTGGAATTTTCTTTTTGACAGCAATCTAAACTCTACCCTGCCTAATGCAGCAAGTGATGCTGTGGAAACCGTGAGAGGTAAGGTCCTCAAAATACATAAAAGGGAGATGAAAAACATGACTGAGAAGGAGGGAGAGAAAAAAGGAGAAGGCTATACATAGCTGCTATTCTCCTCAAAAATAAAGAAAGAAGAGATTTTGGAAAAGAGTGCAGGTCTGATAATAGGAATGAGAGAGAATGCTGAGCCCCCTCCTGCTGGCTTAGCTCCTATGTGAGCTGTGGACCTCAAGGGTAAGAGAGAGGGAGCAGCCCCTTCTCAAGGGGATTGCAAGAAAGACGAGGCTTCAGAGAAAGTGGTACATTTCACTTAAGCAGAATAGTCGAAGGGAGAATTACGTGAAGATGTGTGAGTTGAAATGGTGGGTTTACAACAGAATAGAAAGACTTGTTATAAAAGGCTGAACCAGGGAGGAAGCATCAAGTTGGAAAACGAGATTACTAGAGTGGGTAAACAATTGAAGGTGGTGCATTTTATGCACTGGATGAGAATAATAGCAGTGGAGTGAAGGGAGGCAGTGGGCTCCGGACTAGATATGAATCACTGATGTAAACGGTGGTGTTAAATAACAATGGAGATTAATCTGTATGTGATGGGAAAGTTGTGGGCTACCTTTGAGGAGAGGTCTGATCAAAATTGCCTTTTAGAAAATCCATTGTAAGAGCAGAGGTGGGTAGAGGAGTCAGGAGGCAGGACGATAGAATTTTCCTTGCCTGAGGTGTTACATTTGCATAAAACCTATAAATTCAATGGTAGGAAATGAATCCTTTCTTCCTCTGGGTTGCCAAAGCACTTGTTTCTACACTTAACCAAATTTTCTTAACACTTTTTCTGTTTTCTTGTTTGCCTTCCCCTACACTGAGAGCTCTTTCTGAGCATGTGTTATCTTTCCATTCTTGTATCCCTAGGGCACAGTCTGGGGATTTGAAGGCATTCAGCAAATGCTGTTCAACGAAGAAATGAATAAGAAGCTGTCAGAATATTTAAGACATATGGTGCATAGGCCTCCCACCAAAGAAGTGACAGCAGGAATGGAGAGAAAGAAGGACATCAGAGGTATTTAAAAGAAACAATCGTCAGGACATGGTGACTGGATGAAGAAATGACAAGACCCAGAAACAATTACAATGTCCAGCCAGAAAGGTCCGGTGGCACTTTGGTACAATTGAAGACACTAGGAAATGTAGATGCGTAGGTAGATTCCCCACGCCCTCTTTTTTTTTTTTTTTTTTTTTTTTTTTTTGGGATGGAGTTTTGCTGTGTCACCCAGGCTGGAGTGCAGTGGCACAATCTCGGCTCATTGCAACCTCTGCCTCCTGGGTTCAGGCGATTCTCCTGCCTCAGCCTCCTGAGTAGCTGGGATTACAGGTGCGTGCCACCACGCCTAGCTAATTTTTTATTCTAGTAGAGACAGGATTTCACTATGTTAGCCAGGCTGGTCTTGAACTCCTGACCTTAAGTGATCCACCTACCCGGCCTCCCAAAGTGCTGGGATTATAGGCAGAGCCACCACATCTGGCTTTTCCCACCCCCTCTTATTTCACCAGTTGATAGTTCTTGGGGCCTGGGAGTGGAGTGGAAGAAAGTGAGGTGGATGGGACAGTGAGAGCAATGTATGATGTCCTATTCTAAAATATAAAATAATAATAATGCAAATAATAATGTAAATAAGTCAACCACATGCTCAAGAATTAAAGATAAGGCTTAAGATACAGATACATAATTAAAACTACACTAAGCTATTGATTCTCTGGCAATACTTTTAAGGATACCTCTAATTCCAAAGGCCTATTATATTTGACAAAAAGCCTATACGATATGCAAGAATTGTATTTTCTCAATATCAACCATCACATTTAGAAAACCTTCAGAAAGCATATGTACATAGTATCTTATGTGTAAGTGAATGAGAATTTTATGAATAAACTTTTTAAGGGAATTAAGACAATACAATCGTCTGTATCTGAAATAAAGCAGAGACAAAGGCAAAGATTATAGCTATGGATGAGGTGAACTGAGTATCAATACATTCTAAGATAACATAGAGTTAATGAAATTTATTAAATGATCAATACCAGTATAATAAATATCCTGGCAATAGTAAAACTGATAGCCCATAATAAAGAGGAAAATATATTCGAATAGTCTTCCAAGAAGACAAAAATATAAATACATGGAGTTGTTTTTTTTTTTTTGAGAGATGGAGTCTTGCTCTGACACCCCAGCTGGAGTGCAGTGGTGTGATCTTGGCTCTCTGCAAGCTCTGGCTCCTGGGTTCACGCTATTCTCCTGCCTCAGCCTCCAGAGTACCTGGGACTACAGGTGCCCACCACCACGCCCGGCTAATTTTTTTGTATTTTTAGTAGAGACGGGGTTTCACCATGTTAGCCAAGATGGTCTCGGTCTCTTGACCTCGTGATCCACCCGCCTCGGCCTCCCAAAGTGCTGGGATTATAGGCATGAGACACCATGCTCGGCTGGAGACATTTTTTACCAGAAATTATTTTGTTCTATCAATTACTTTGAAGATACACTAAGCAGTTATGAATTAGATGAAATTAGCAAAGGTTGCAACAATGTTAGGCATGAACTGGTGATAATGCTGAGCCCATTTCAACCAGAAATAGATGAATTTAGTTTTGCTTAAAGGAAAGATGATCAGCCCAGCCAGGCACTGACCTCAGTAAACCATTTCTAAACAGAGGAAGCTCTAACTTCCTCATTTTGCCCAAAAATGCTGCATTATGGGAAGTCAAGCCTAGGTATTTCCAGGGTTCTCACTCCAGCTGTCCATTCAGCTGCAGCCTGAGCCACCTGTTGCTACCCACAAACCTCCTCAACCAAGGACAGTGGGGATCTAGGACCGTGTCTTTTGCATTGCTTCGTGTCTAAGGAAGGTTGAGACTGCTTAAGAATAGGAATTTCACTCTTGCAATGTAGCTAAGTGTCAAGGTCTGGGAAAGAATGCTGCTACCAAGGGTGGCTCCGCAGGCTTTTATTTTGTCCCACAGCTTGGTTCCAGACACCAACTCTTTATCCTTCAGTCACCCTAGGGTGACTAATGTCTATCAGATGCCTCAATGTATCTTTATATTGAACCTAAATCTTCTTGGGTTAACTTATGGAGAATGGACAGAAATGACTTGGGGAAGAATGAGTATAACAAGTGAGCATGTATAGAACCCAAAAGATCTGAATATGAAGGACTTTTGGGAAATAAATCACTCTTTTTCAGTTTATTGCTGTAAACAGTGTCAAGCTTGCTTTCCAACTACTGCGTCACATAAATGCCAACTCATTTTCATGTACTTTCTGAAAGAGATAACAGAAACAGCAAAACAACAAATATGATTATAAAAATGGCTTTGAAGTAATTAAATGTGTGTCAATTTATTTTCCCTGTACCAATTAATGTAAATGTGTAGAAAGAAAATTGTATCATATTTATACATCACTTCTGGTAAGACTATTGGGTCAAAAGTAATTGAGTCTTATTTCAATCATGTACTAGAACACACAAGGCGTCCATGGGCTTCACCAGCTGCAGTTTGTCTATTCTAGTCAGGTTTGCTTCTGAAACTCTGGTTCCCTAAGGAGAGAAGGCTTGCCTAAGGCTGATCTAGTTCTCCCAGAGGGAGCAGCCAAAATGGAAAACTTCACATCAGCAGTCCAAACAGCAATTCAACCTCCCATGAAGAATAATATTTTTATTTAGCAGATTCAATCAAAGCAGTAATCCCAAAATTCTTCATGCATTTCTTGGGCTTTTCAATAAAAGAGAGGTTATAGTTAGGACATGGATTTAACTATGGAGGAAGAGAAGCTACTATTAATTTTGCCTGCCAAAAAATCAATAACTAATATTTTAACCTTTCTATCTCTTTCTTTCTCACTCACTCTTTGGCTTAAGAAATAAAGCCTGTGTATATTCTTTGCTATGATTTATGGGCTGGTTTGAGACATTAGGAAAGTAAGTCAATAGCCCCTTTAGAAAATCCTGGTGGGAAAATTTTCTGATCCAGGAGTCAATCAGAACTCACACTTCCAGCAAGGACTTCTCTTTGTTATCTTCAAATCCGATTTTTTGGTGACTATTACCTACAATTACCAGGTAACTCATTGCAATTGGAAAGTAAGTTCTCAGATTTCAAGACATTTACAGTATTCTTTTGGGACATCAGCTTCTCCAACAGAATGCATTTGCTGATGTATATAAATAAGACCTCAAAGCTCTATTGAAATGGAAGAGTTCCGTGACCCCCCTTTCAGGATGTGCAACAGGGGTGTGGCTTGTCTGTTTGGCTGCCACTGCTGCTCAGACCCCTAAGGGGAAGAGGAGCACACAGATGGGCAAGTGCAGGAGCCAGGGTGAGCAGTTTTGGGCTCCAGCCCCAAAGTAGCATCTAGGGGTGGGTGCCTGCAACTCCCAAAGCCCCAGTGGGCATGCTACAGAGCTCTTTTAGCTCTGCCATCTATAGATGATCTAAGTGTTAATCAGCTCAGTGCCCTCTTAGTACCGAGTTCTTGTCTGGTGTCTGGCAACCAGGAAGAATCAGGTCACACACAGACTTGAAGGATAGTGAATGCAGAGGTTTAACTGAGTGACGGAGGTGGCTCTCAGTGGGATGGGTAGGAAGCTGGAAAGGAAATGGGGTGGGAAGATGATCTTTTCCTGGAATTTGGCCATCCAGCGGCCGGTATCCTCTCCAACCATCCCCAGATGAACTCCTCTTGATGTCAGACTCTCCTCTCCGTCTGTGCCATGCCGTTCTGCTGCTCTTTTGCCCTTCTGTTCATCTGCTCATGGAGACTGGGGTTTGAGGTTCATATGGGTACAGGATAGAGGGTGTGGTGGGCCAAAAGGCAACTTTTGGGTGCGAAAACAGGAACACTTGTTCCCATTTAGGGTTGCAGGTTTCCAAGCTTGAGGGTGGGGCTTTTGCCAGGGAACCGCCCGCTTCTACCCAGTATTTCCGTCTCAAGTTTGTATCACTATATTTGTCGTTTCTGATGACAGACAATAGGAAAGAACAATAGGAAAAGGGATGGATGGATCCAAGGAATATTCCCACTGAGACTAGCAATCTCAGAATTTGGGCTTAGAGAGTAGCAGCATCACACCCCTTTTGCCTTCACTTTGACCATCTAAGGTTTTAAAGGCTATTTCTTGAAGCAATGTCAACATTAAGAACCTCCATTTGCTTCTTTTCACTAAGAATCTTACAAGTGGTAATAAAATTGTCTTTATTTCATTTAAGATCAGTCAAGTTTTTATTATATTTAGAAAAATTGCCATCCAGCTGTTTGGAGACCAAACACATATCAATGGTAATGACAGGCAAAGTCAGATGGAGCCAGCTTAGGAGACCAGACCTTCATATCCAGTTACTGGATGCCAGTCTATTTTTGCTGTAGAATCTCAATGTTAGAATGTTTTCTGCATCTTAATCTGTTTATGGCCCAGGCTAAGGTCATAGAGAGCTCCCTTCATTTCTATTTCTTCAAGCCAAGCTCCTTCTAAATGAAAAACTTTCCTCCCATTCTTGCATATGTCTAGGGAGCTCATATGCTTGCGTTTTTGTTTGATCTTCAGTTTCCCTAAACCCACAGGCAGTATTTCTCCTTTAGGGTAGGCAGAGAGGTGCCTCATATTTGCTTATGAATAATTTGTCTCCTATCTAGATGCCCAGAAGTACTAAATGATTTTCACAGTATAGCATCACAAAGGATGACATAGATACATGCATCTCTATGCCTGTATATGCATAGGCCATCTCTAGAATGATACACAAGAAATGAATGAAAAGAGTTTTATCTGGGGAGAGTAACTGAGGGGATCAGGATAACTGGTTAGGAGGAAGACTTACTTTACACTGTCTTCTCTTTTGTGATGTTTGAATCTTTTTACAATGTATTGTATTACTCAAATAAAAAATGGATTTAATTGTTTAAAGAAAAAGCTAATATATAGAGAAAATGTATGGTATGGAACAGTACACTTAGTATGGTTTCATTTGGATAAACAAAAGGATCTGGGCATATACATGGAAAATTTCTAGAAGGATACAAAGAGTTAATATTGGTTAGCTCTAATGAAGGGGCATGGATTCTGGAATAGGTAAGAGACACTTCTTATCCATAATATTTTTAATTACAAAGGAAAATGTAAATATAACATATGGAAAGGGGGTGGACTAAGAAAAAGGGAGACATGATGTCTAATCTCACGATTTCTAAAGGATCATGTGTTCTTGAACTAAGTGAGATACTATCATTTCAATAACCAAGGCTGCCCCCAAACACGCATGCGTGCGCACACACACACACACACACACACAGCCATACACAAAGATCGCTGGCTTTACTGAACATGACTTTACATTTTATCAGTAAAAATGAGTTATGCAAGTAACATGCTTAGTTTTTCACAAAACTAAATCATTTTTCTAACTCTTGCATCATTAATGACATGTCAAACACAATCTGCTGCCATTGTCAAGATTGCATGAGAGAAACATAACTTTAGTTTCTAATACGTGTACTGATAATTTATGCAGCATCTTTCCTTTTAAGACACCCATGAAATTTGATTAAAACAGAGACACATCTATCTATAGGCCTGAATTTAGAGTTACCTAGAGAAATTAGGTTTGAAAAAAGGAAAAGAAAAAAAAAAAAGAAATATATCCCCACCACTCTGCTCTCTCCTCATGGGAACTTGAGTATAGGAATGACTGTTGGGAAAGTACTCCGCTCTATTGCCCTGTCCCTATATTCTTCACAGCAGAATCACCCTTGTTCCCAAGACCATGTCAGACTTCACTAAATAATGAATTCAGGAATTCCAATGTTTGTGTGAGTGTGTATGTGGCAGTTAGGGGGATTCTTCATATCACATTTACTTTGTGTTTTGTAAAAAATAATAAGAAAGGTAATGTTTCTTATCATATAGCCATGAATAACCCACAGCAGAATAATCAATTAAGTCTTTAAAATGCAGATTTATGTTATACCACCCTGCCCTCAAAACATACTAAGCCACTGCCCTGGAGGGAGAGCCTCATATCTATATTTAAAACAAATTACTCAGGCAATACTCACATGTATAATTATTTGAGATTCGTGGATCTAAGAAACAAAGGCAATAATAATATTATGACTGACATTGATTGAATGCTTTCTATTTTCCAGTGACTGTTACCACCATCCTGCAAACAACCCTCATCACTCACCAGGACCACTGCCTCAGGCTGTCACTGGGTGTCCCTTATTTTACTTTTATTTTCCCACCTCCATCCCCACAGCAGCCAGACCCTTTTCAGAGACAAATACTCTCTGTGACTCCACTCCTTCAGGTCTTCTAATGACTTCTAATCTCATTCAAAATAAATTAAGAATCTCATCCAAACATTTTCCCATGACTTTCAAGACCCTGCATGAATCAGCCTTTCTAACTTCTTGAACTTCTTTCACCCTTTGCTTCTCCCCTGCTTCTTCAGCAACTCTGGTTTTCATCCTGACCCTTGGACACATCAAGGACACTCTCACCTCCAATTCTTTGCACTTACTATTTCCTCTTCCACAGAAAACTCTTCCCTGAGCTATACATAAGCTTTACTCTTCCAATTAATTTGGTATTCATTTAAGAGAGATATAAATATTTTCTCTATAGGGAGGCCCTCTGTGGCAAGCAGCCTCTAGGATCATGTCTACAGAGTCCCACTTCTTGGTATTCATAATTTCCTCTCCTGGAATAATTTACTTTTAACCAATAGCAGCTAGCAACACTGGGGTGTTGCCACATAAATAATTTGGTTATAAAGATTGTTACTTCTGCCTTGTGTCAGGGTGTCTCTCTTGCAAGCTTTGATGAGATAAGCTGCCATGTTGGAGAGGCCCATGTGGCAAGAAGCAGAATGCAGCCTCCGGCCAACAGTCAGCACAGGCCTGAGGCCCTCAGTCTAACAGCTCTCAAGGCATCAAATCTAGTCAACCACCACATAAGAGAGCTTGTAAGTGGAGCTTTCCCCAGTCAGGCCTTCAGATAAGACCTCAGCCCTTGCCAACTCCTTGATTGCAACCTTATGAGACATCCTGAAGCTAATCATTGTCCAGATTCTTGATCCACAGGAACTGTGAGATAATTAATATGTATTTTTTAAGCTAATAATTTCTGGGGTAATTTTTTACTCAGCCATTGATAGCTGACACAGCCTCCTTACCTGCCATTTATAAAATACCACCTTGCCATCCATCCTGTCTCCTGGCCCTGCTTTTTTTCTTCCTAGTCCATATCACCACCTGACATTATGTATGTATATATGTACTTTGTCTGTCTTCACTTACTGGACTTTTACCCCCTTTTGTTCATTGGTATATGTCCATGGCCTAGAAGCAGTCTTGGCACATTGTAAATTCTCAATAAGTATTTACTGAATTAGTGAATTCGTCATTGAATTTTTCGAACCAATGAATTATATATGTGCATTACTATCTATTTTTTTATGAGGAAACAGAGACATAGAGATTTTAAGAACATGTCAGATCACAACTAATAAGGAGTTGAGACAGGATTTGAATCCAGTCTGTCTGACTCTTTTTCCATTTATAACAATGTTTCTTAACTGGGGGTTTCTTAAACTGGAGGTTCACAAGTCGCTAAGGATTTCAAGCTAACTCTTAGTAGTTTAAATTTGTTTAATTAAAAAAACTGTGTTGATAATCTGAAAATATAAATATATTCTGAGCCACATGGATGTCGATTATTTTACATAATGTTGCCACATTAGCACGGAAGCTTGTGTAAGTGATCAGGTGAGCTCTATTTTAGTTATAGTATCCTTCCTGATTCACAGCCTGTAGACTGTAAATTCCAGCAGCTGATGTGAGGGCAACAGTCTCACAGAGACAGTTTAACCAGCTGCAAAGTTGCAAAAGATCAGACCCCAGCAACAAAGCCCTTGATAAAGTGGTTCTTTTCTTCTGATTGAATGAACAATGAATGACACACTAGCTCAGTATGTATCAAAATAGGGTTGTAAAATGGACAAATACAACCAGTAAAACTTAGTGATGACTTGCCTAGAATTTCAAACAAATGATATCTTATCAAAACAGTTTGTTGCTAAGCGGTCATCAACATCTTCTCCAGATCTATCTCTTAGCCTTTACTCTTCCCAGCCCTTGACTCCCTTCCTCCTTTGCTCTCTATCCTGGTCCCTTCTATCTCAGGGGTCAGAGTGAGTCTGTTTGTGAACAGTGTCTTCCCTAAATAGGAAACATGAAGAACTGTAAAAGAAGTTAAACCAAGGAGTTTTAGCTAGGCACCCACTGTCTACAGCATGGAGGAAAACCACAAACCAGCCTTCCTATATGTTCTGACCCACCTGGAATGCAGGCCAGCACTGTGGGTCCTGGACTTACCACCTCTCCAAGTCTTACAAACCTGCCTGAGCACCAGTAAAGCAAAAGCAGTATTTACCGTGTGTGGAATCACTCTCCAGAAGCCTTGCACTGTCATTTCAGAGATGTATAGTCCCATAGGAAACATTTTGGCCTTAATATAAAAGAAAAGCCAAACCTATGAATCAGGGTGTTACATCAGGCATGCTCTGGACACTCCTTTAAATTTCTATCACACCACTTTGAGAAACAATGGACAGTAATGACCTTTTGAAGGAGCAAATTCACATTTTAAATGTCATCAAGACAGGATATTCCTTATTCCTTTAGCTTTTTAATCTACACCTAAGTAATATGGTATAGCTTTTAGGCCACTGGATCTCTGCCTCCCAGACAGGAGCAGATGGGAAACACACACATTCTATTATGCAGATAAGATGTCCTGAGTGAGAACAGTTCAATTAATATATTACATATTTGAAATTCAAAACTATTATTTGGATTATTTATTATCTATATTACTATTATCTATTAATATTTGATTTGTACTTTAAAAACATATTCTACAGATTCTTTGTATTTTAACATCATAACCTTGACCCTCCAAGGTCAGGCAAGCTCAACATTTTTCTCTAACCATTTTCTTTGTTTTTTTTATTTTTTATTTTTTACTTTTTATTTTTTACAGAGAAATAGCAGTGACTACCTATGGAATACCTACTAATGCCTCGCTCCACGCTAAGTGCTTAGCATGATATTCTGTTTGTCCTCATATCAGCCTGGTGAAGTAGGTATTACTATCTCTAACTAGCACAAGGTCACAGGAGTGGTAGAAGCTGTGTGAAGCAAGGCCTTAAACTCAAGTTATCTGTTTCCAAAGTCAATAATCTTGACCCCATTTTTTAATCTACTAACAGTAGTTATGTATTTTGCATTGCAGAACTCCAAGGCTTTCATTAGCATGTAAACAGAACTAAAATTATTTTACAATATTTGGGTTTGATTCTACCTCCAAATATCCTGTGATAGTATAACCAATTTGGTATGGTCTTCCATATGGGCAAAAATTTGATTTTGAAGATTTTTAAATTTTAAGATTTTTTAAAAGTACAAAAATGTCACCCTTTTTTTTTGTTGTTGTTGTTGTTTGTTTTGTTTTTTTTAGAGACAAAGTCTCACTCTGTTGCCCAAGCTGGGGTGCAGCGGTGTGATCTTGGCTCACTGCCACCTCTACTCCCAGGTTCAAGCAATTCTCATGCCTCAGATTCTCGATTATCTGGAGGTAAAGGCATGCACCACCATGCCCAGCTAATTTTTGTATTTTTAGTACAGACAGGGTCTCACCATTGAGGGGTGAAGTTGGCGGGACTTCCTGGGCCAGTTCAGGGACTTTGGCAAAAGACCCCTGTGACTCAGCGTTTTGAGTTCTTAACCAATTGAGTGAAGGATTCAAAAGTAACCACTCCAAGGGAGGACTGAAAAAAGAACCACTCTCAATGGACAAAAAAAAAAGAAAGGGGAGGGGATAGCACAGGGGTATAAGCCCTAGCCACCCGAGCCAGCAATGGCAGCTCTTCCAGGTCCCCTTCCACCACATGGACGTTTTCCTTTCACTTTGTTCAATAAACTGCGCTGCTGCTCACTCTCCTGGTCTGTGGACTCTTTCTGAGCTGTAACACTCACTGCGAAGGTCCTCAGCTTCACTCTTCGAAGTTACTGAAACCACAAACCCATCTGCAGGGAAATCTCCTGACTCACCATGTTGGCCAGGCTGGTCTCGAACTCCTGACCTCAAATGATCCACCCTCCTCGGCCTCCCAAAGTGCTGGGATTACAGTCAGCCTTGTTTTCTATGTGCTTAGAATCTAAGTTATTATGGATCGTTTTTCCGGTCAAAAACAGAGAAAAGCTGTCTCTACTTTAAGTACTCACTTATAATTTCCATCTTCAATTACTGACCATCCAAATCTTGACAAAAACCTCCTGAAGAAAATCAAGATTTCTGATGACTTTACTAATAATGATTTCCCCTATTTCTAAGCTCTGTCCAAAATTATAATTAGTCAGAGCATCTAAAAACTTTAGCCTGGATTATATTATTTTGTGCCTCACAGAAATACTTTCCCAGATGTACAATTGACTATTAAGTCTTTAAATATGTTAGAAAATATGTTATTTATGCCTGATCATTATTATATTATTTATTCATTCACTTATTAATCAATATCTCTTCTGGACACTATGTTTATTACTAAAGATATGAAGACAAAAAGAAAGTACACATAATCCTTGATCTCCATGATTTAATAAAGCAACTGGGAATAAAAAGGAATAAAGTAAAATAATTGTAACAAGAAATTGTGAACTTAAAATTATGTCACAAGAAACAGGTGATCTTTCCTGATAAATTGATACTCTTTCTTCTATTAAATAATAAAAGCTGTTAAAGTCATCATGAACTCTTTTTGTCCTACCTCTTTATCTGACAACCACATTTTGTGCTCAGGTGCATCAATTTCTCTTTACTTGGATATTCTTATACAAATATTTATCATTTTAACACATCTTTCTCTTTATTTTTATTTTTTTCTTGAGACGAAGTCTTGCTCTGTCACCCAAGCTGGAGTACCATGGCGCAATCTCGGCTCACTGCAACCTGCGGCTGATTCTCCTGCCTCAGGCTTCCGAGTAGCTGGGATTACAGGTGCCTGCCACCACACCCAGCTAATTTTTGTATTTTTAGTAGAGACGGGGTTTCACCATGTTGGCCAGGCTGGTCTCGAACTCTTGGCCTCAGGTGATCCACCCGCCTCGGCCTCCCAAAGTGCTGAGATTACAGGCGTGAGCTTCCCAAAGTGCTGAGATCACAGGTATGAGCCACCACACCCGGCCACATCCTTCTCTTCAATATCTTGACTCTTGTTCTTTTACCCTTATTTCAATTGTTTTACAGGTTTTGGTGGCTACTTTTTAAACAATTCTTCTCCCTGCCAGTCCCCCAACACTCACAGACTTGGCTGAAGCCCCTATGTGTTCAGCCAAAGCTACAAAATGATTTTAGAACCAAAGTGGCCCCAGGACAGGAGCAGATAGAGCAGATCTCAGCCTGTCCTTGGCAACCAGTCTCTGCTGTGGGAACAGAGTGGCCATGACCCTGTTCATGTACGACGGGGTCTCACTGGAGCTGAGGGGCCAAGTTCTTGCCGCATCACTGTTTGTTTTTTTTTTTTTAATTGGGCCTTTCATCACCATTCTAAAAAGACTTACTCTAGAAATACCTGAAAAAGATATAATTACGAGAATAAAATGTTTCCTTGTAGAAATTTTCTGCCTTTTCAAATGTGCAACACATTTCTACCCAGCTCCTCCATAAAACTGCTGCAAAATTGACCCAATACCCATCAAAAATCCATCTAAAAAGTACTTACATTTAGTTTCTTGGAGTTCATTCCCCTTCTCCTGGTGGTTTTACTTGTCCCATGGGATCTAAATGTTCAGGTTGTTGCCCTGGGTTTGCCATTACTTCGCTGTGTGGAAGACACACGTGGAGAGAGTTTCACTTGTAAGAGAAAAACGCCCCAGCTGGGTCCGAAATGGAATTTCAGGGTCTTGCTGTTTTCTGATCTTATGAGCTAGATGTCTATTTTCACTACAGAATTAATTTTAGACTGAGGCAGCAAAGGGAAAGCTTTTTTTTTTTGCCAGGTTGTTTGTTTCTTTTTAAGTCCTGGGGCTTATAGGAAGGAGACAGGAAAGAATTAGAGGAAGACTAAGAGCTGCTTTTATGAAAGACTTTGGAGCCTGATGTCTGAGGGTACAGGAATAGTTGCCTCAGAGGTCCTGCCATCTAACTATAGGTCAGGCCAGTCTGAGGACTCTCAGGAGTAGAAAAAGCTATGCTTGGACAAGGATGGGAGGGAACAGCCCCAAGACCATCCCTTCCTGTAGCAATGACCATGAGGAGAGGCCTTCATCAACAGGCCTCTGTATCGTAGTCACAGAAAGCACAGGCTTTGCCATTAGAAAAACTCTACTGGTGAGTTCAGGCTCCACTCCAGTCTACTTTAGTGGAGTGGCCAATTGCTTAACAACTCCAGACTTTCTGTTCTCTCACGTATACACCAAGGAGAATAATGAATGGCTCCTGTGTCATAAGCTCAGTATGAAGATTAACTGAGATAGTGCTTGCCAAGCTTTGATCACAATATCTGACGCAAAGCAAGTACTTAATAATTATTAACTACGAGAAACAGAAATGCAAAAAAGAAAAAGAAGCAGAGCAGGAGATCCAGGAAGACTAGACCCTGCTATGAGCAGCTTTTAGAGAAAAGGAAATTTCCAGGTGATAGAAAGTGCTAAAGTCCCCTTTCAGGGGTTTAACAGAAGCCATACTTATTAATACTAATATGAATACTACTATTACTTCATGTGTACACTCATGGAACTTGTGGATATTTGGGTTGCTTAAGATCAGTATGAAAAGTTACTTTTCTATGTTTAAAAGAATTTAATACGGCTGATTTTAATTGGATCAAATAATTGGTTGAATCCATTTATATATCCTCTAATTAGTATGAACTTTTATGCCTCATCTTGACCATTGAGAGTCTCCTTAGACGTGTTGGTCCCTTAAGTGACCCTTTTCTTGTAGTTGCAAATTCCAGGACCCTCTGTACAACTGTCCTGATGCACTCTTTTAGGGAATATGTATCTAGCAGCCTGGCTTTGAACTGTGACTCAGAAGGTTCCCACCTTTCAACTCTCCCTGAAGGTTTCATGATAGCCTTTTTTTACTTTCAGTATCCTACTGGCTATATCTTTGGGAAACTAAAATAAAATCTAAGAAAACTTTAAACTTTCTTATAGCAACAAGCTTTAGTCTACAGCGCCCAATTTTCTAAAATCTTTAGAGCTTCGTATTGTCTTTATTTCTGAGGATAATTTTTTTAAAAAAACTTTGTACCATCTTCAGGTTTCCACCTTCCTCCAGGTAAAGAATGGCAAATAGGGATCAGCTTACAAGTCAACCCCAATACATTGTTAATAGGTGCCAACCAAAAGAAAGATTCTGAGGTTTTGATCTGAGTTCAGAGGGAATAGAGTGTGGAGGAACTAAACTGGGAACACAGGAGTCCAGGATGATGGCCCAGAAGCCACAAATCTACTGGGTGCTGCGGTGTGCTACGCTGACCTACCTCCGGAAAAGCCCTTACCTCAAGCCATGCCCAATAATGTAGTCAGAGCACAGGAAGAACATCAACAAGCATCAACACAGCTGACTAGTTTGTTGTCGTTGCTTATAAGAGAATTTCAGTAGAAAGACTTCCAACTCATTAGCTTTTAGACTCCTCCAAGAAAGGTATTTTGGGGGCATTTTCTATAATATAGCAACATTTGAGTCTTTTTTAGACCTTCTGAGGTTAACCCACAGTGGTAGCATAATGACTAACTGCATAATATACCAGCCATGCCCATGATACTTTATATCAAACATGATGGAAATTTTATTAAACTCATAACAACTGCACAATAAGAGGTTGTCATGATATATGAATATTGAGACAAATAGTGTGAAACAAAAAAAAAACACCTCTTCTTCTCTATCCTTGAAATTTTCCACACCTTGACCATAGTTTCAAGGTCTTTATGATTCTTCATGGCTGTCATTTGATATGAAAATTACCTTTTCAAAAATAAATCTTGTCCATGATATTGCTTTAATCTCTAACTTAATGCAAAATTATGCTACTTGGTGCATGAGACTCTCTTCACATTTTCAATGAAGAGAATTCCCCAATACTTAGGTTTTTCAAGAGGTACACTACTATTTCCACATGTCAGGACTTCTAGTTAACAAGACGATTGAACACGCAGTCTGTCTCCACTGCCTTTTAAATTACATTTAAAATAAAAGACATAAGAAAGAAAACCCAGGAAGACAAGGAGAATAGGAACAGAGACAGAATATAAAAGAGATAAAAACAAGATCTAAACACTGGAAGATAGATTATGAGCAATAACTGACTTCCAATCTTAGAGAAAACTACAATCTAATTATAAAGTGGAGGAGGCTAACGAGAAGCAAATTGATGTTCACCTGAAAGACCTCCAAAATGCTCTGGAAATGGCAGAAATAAGTTATTCTAAAAGGGGAGGGACAGTGTCTGAAAACAGAAGGATAAGTTGAAGGACTGGTTAAATTTTTCAAGGGAGAATTGAGCTTCACTCTTGCAATCATCCTTTCCCAATACAGC
This sequence comes from Homo sapiens, assembly GCF_000001405.40. NCBI lineage: Eukaryota > Metazoa > Chordata > Mammalia > Primates > Hominidae > Homo > Homo sapiens. The sequence continues at coordinate 34,101,917 of NC_000013.11, read as the reverse complement.
TAAAGCCTGGAAGTTCACCCTGGAGAATTCAACCTGAAAGGATGTTAGGTTGCTCACAAGACATATAGCTGAGGGCGAATATGAGGGGCTGTATTAAAAACAGGGAAGTTATGTGAACTTTGACATACGGAACCTTGAGACATTCAGCAACCTTCATCACTCAGCTTCCAGGAAAGGAGCAGGTGGATTTTATGTCTCTAAAGCAACAAACTAAGAAAACTGATCTGCCCATGGGAAAAGACCTACAAAAATACACAAATGAAGGCCTGAAACAAAGTAGCTGGGCCACCACCAGTCACCCTATATTGAAGCTCAGCAGTTAACAAGGCATACTCATAAACATGTTTTTATGTCTGTTTTAAATGTGATCACTAGAAAAGTCTAACGTAAAAGAACAAACTGATTTGAAACAAAGAAAAAAGGAGAACTCCAAGACAGCAAATAGAGCAGAAAAAAAACTTTTTAGAACTTCAATATTCTCAGAGATGTAAGAGAAGAAATGGCATGCAGGAAGGGATGCTATTTAAAAAGGATTATTCAGACAATACAGAATTCTTAGAAGATAAAAACAGAATGAAAAAATTTAAACAACAAAACTCAACAGAAGAGTTGAAAGCCACGATTTAATAAATATTTCAGAGAGAAGAAAAACTCACAAAGAGATACAAAATACAAAGAAAAAAGGAATGCAAAATACAAGGAAAAAAGGATCAGGACTTCCAATAGTATACTAATTAAAAACACCAGAAAGAGAGAAGAGTGAAAACAGAAAGGAGGGAATGATTACATAAAAATCTCAAGAAGATCCCTCAGAGTGGAATAACACAAATTTCCAAACTGAGTGCTCAGAATAACAAAATAAAAGTTCTTATCTTCCTAAAAGAGCATGTCTTTATGAAATTTCACAACACTAAGGCAAAAGAAAAAGCAAAAAGCTCCCAGAAAGAAAAATTATGGGTAACATATAAAGAGTCATGAATAAAAACAACATTAGGAAGTATCCCAAAAACAACAGTAGAAATTAGAAAATAGTGGTGGGAGACCTTCAAAATTATGAGAAAAAATTATTTCTAACATGTAGATAACTTCAAAGAGGGCTTGCGGAGCTGCAAAACCAAGAGCTTTTAATGTATTACTGAATATTGAAGTTCTCCGTAGGATGCCATAGTCACTCAGTAGTGCTATATCTTCCTAAGCAGATATAAGACTTAGCTTCTGATAATCATGACCTAATAACCCATGATTGGTAATGTAGGAAGTAAATGTCTCAAAGTTAAAAAAATATTATTTATAACATGGAATGTTATATCTGGGAAAACTATCAATCAAACAATATTCCAAAAAGTTTATCTTTTAGGCACCTTACCTTATGGAGTTACTGGAGGATGCACTTAATGAAAATAAGGGAGGAAACCAAGAAAGCAAAAAACTGGGTTTCAGAACACAAGAAGTCTAACACAGCAGAAAGAAGGGTATTCTAGTGATGACAGCTTGTAGTAAGCCAAAGGAACAGCCACTATCAATTGGTGCAAATGGACAGAAGGCTCCAGGAGTTATATCTCTAAGAAAAAATAATAACACACACACACACACACACACACACACACACACACCACAAGTGAAGGCTGTATTACCTGTAACATTGAATCTACTGAGGGGAGAGTTACATTTCTGGCAATGACAAACTACCCCTAGGGCATTAAGAACCAAAGCAAAAATTAAACGGAGGCAATTATCAACTGAAGACAATTCAAGAAGCTTTACCTAAAAAAGGAAATATAATCATGGACGTCATGTGGTTGAGGAGTGAATAATAATTTTGTAGAATTTTTGACATAGCTGTATCGGGGAGATAAGAGAATGCAATTACCTGGGGGAGGGGAAGAGAGTATATTTTTAAAAGCTAAATCCTTTCTAACCAGATACAAGACTGGGGTACTGGTATTTCTTTATATTACATTCTATAGTGCATTTGTCTTTAAAATCATGTACATGTATTCATTGAACAGAAATAAAACATAACTTTCAAATTGCTGTATAAGCTATCACCCAAATAATTATCTTTTACAATAACTAACCCTAGTAGTGAGCATTTTTACATTTCTAGTTAAATTTTTCTTCCAGTTTTATTTAAAATTTCTTCATGAGACCAAGTGCTCATTGTTGAAATTAATTTGAAAACTGAGATAATTAACAAAGGGAAAAGGCTGCTTTTTTTTTCCCTGAAGGATAATTAAGTGCTCTGATTCTTTTATACACTTTGCCTTTGTAAAATTCATCATAGAAAAAGTAACACCATAATATGGAAGAATAACTTCTCTTGGGAAATCTTGACTATCACAGAGTTGAGTTTCAAATTCTCAGGATAGTTGCCTGAGTATTCCTCCCTAAGAGAAAGATCTGTCCCTTGACAAGGAACTTGGCACTTGAATGATAAATAAAAGCCTTCTCTTCATTAAATCCACTCTTATTTAGTAACTGAGAAGGTCAAGTAAACAAGACAGCAAGGAAAATAGGACAGACTCCTCTAAAATCATCGGGCAAGGTGGATCTTTTTAAGGACTTGTCCTCTAACTGATTCAATCATTCTTGGATAAGTGCTTGCCTCAAAAAAGAAGCCAGCTACTAAGTGGGAAAGGAAGGCTGAAAAGTGATTGCAGAATTATTTTTGTATAGGACTTTATAACCTACACAGATAACCCATCTTATTCTTTCCATTGACCTTGACTTTTTGGTTAGCTCAAGTAATTTTTCAATAAAAGAGTTCATATAATGTAAATCTTTGTAGAAATGAAAACAAAAAAATGTTTGAACTTAATTTGAATGTAAATGTGTTTTACTCTGTTTACAAAATGCTAACCTGAGTCTGAAAACTGTATTATTTCTTTCTGGTCTATAATGGTCAAATAATTGTTTTTGTCATTTTTAGAGCAATTTTCAAAGAGGTCTCATTTCAAAGAGAAGTGTCCAATATCTCGATTTGTTTTTTCATTAGACAATCTCTCTAGTTACAAAAGAGTATTTAATACAAATTTCTGGTGGAGAGATGTTATGTTGGTCCTCTCCCAAATTCTCTTAATATTTTTATTTTTTCATACATCTGAACAACTCATTAATGTAACACCCTATGGGCAATATTGAAGGCATCAAAATAATGCTTAAAGAGTCTCAGAATTTACTGTTGTCTGTTAGTTAAGAGGCAATACTAGCGATGTGTGCATGCACAATTTAAAAGACCAGTACAAAGGGTTTATCCCCACACTTTGTCCACATAAAACCAGAACTTTGATTTATAGCTGCAAACACTGTTTTCCAAACCCACAGGTGTCTGAGAGTTGGCCACTTAGACTCAACTCAGCCTGAAGCCTTTGTTCAAAGGGAGCTCCTTCATCTTCACAGATGCCTAATCTGTTTGCTGCTGCTGTTTCTCAGCAGTTCATAACTGTGCCACATGGTTTAAAATTGAGCCTCAGAGCTACCTTAAACTCTTTATTCTCTCCTGATTGAGGTAGCCCCATTTGCGCACACTATCTAGAAGCTGGTGAGGTGTTCTGCTGTCACCCATCCTGTATCACCTCCAGAGGTGCCCAGTCAGGGCAACTGACCATATGCTACAACTGGGGCTTTCATTCCTAATGATTTTCTGAAGCTGCATTGGTGAAATTACACAAGAGACCAGGTCAGCAGGCTGCTTCCAATCTTTCAAGGAGCTGTTTGTATCACTCTCTTCACCCTCAGCCAATTCTGGAGTTCAGTACCATATTGGCACCTCATTGTCATTCTTGGTATGGGGTTTAGGCTTTGTTTTTCTCAAGGGAGTGTTGGGTTTTGTGCGTCAAGAGCAGACTACTTTCAGGTTTAGGTTGCCTTTAAACATCCTTACATTGTGGGTCTTATGTGACCAACATTGATACGTAATATTGGTCTTTTAAGGTTTATTGTAGATCCATTTGTAACTTAAGACATGAAATAGTCCATGATCACGCCATAGGTGTGTCAGACTTATAGGAATCACTCAGGATGGCAGGAAACTCTCATTTGTTCATGTTCATGGGTACTCACATGAAACTTGTGAGCTGTTCTCCTCCAGAATCTCTTTCTCGCCCATGTGTGGTTTCTCCGTTCTAGATCTTTTCCATTGAACAATCCCATCTAACATATGTGTGTGTGTGTATGTGTTCCCATGTAACAATTTTTCCTGAAAATAAGCAATTTCTAAGGTACAAATTTTTACCTTAATTATGTAAGAGTCTAAATATTTGAGTACCAGTGATAATAAGACACTTTATCACAACTTAAAAATGAGTGCATTCAACTAAAACTCTCATCCACCATAACCTAAAAATTGCAAACCTTTTTATACATCCATCTTTTGAAAAGATCTACATCATAATCAATGTCCAATAATTTAAAAAATATATGTAAGCATCTCAAAGCTATAGCATTTTTAAAATGCTATTGACCAAATGTGTACTTATATTGACTTATCTTGCCAGGAAGTATTATAAATCAAAATAAGACAAATAAAATTATTTTTATAACAGCTTGATTGAGATAGATACTCATTTAGGATACATTTTATGGTATCTAAACTATATATTTATGGTATTTAGATACCATAAGATGTATCCTAAATGAGTCCATTTTATAGTATCTAAATTATCTCAATCAAGCTGTCATAAAAATGTACTCATTTAGAGGTCATTTGTAAAATTCATTACTTTTTGATATATTCACAGAACAACTGTACTGTGAATTTTATTGAATTTTACACATGTATTCTAAATCTACTCATGTACATGTGTTGAGTAAACTGTGCAGCCATCAACACAACCAATTTGAACATTTTCATCACCACCACCCCCACCAAAAAAATCATGTCCCGCGAATTGCTCTCCAATACATCCATCTCTGCTCCCTCCCCTAGCATTAATCTACCACTACACAACCACTAATCTACTTTATGTCTCTATGGATTTGCCTTTTCTGAACATTACATATAAATGTAGTCATATAATATGTGGTCCTCTATACCTGGCTTCTTTCACTCAGCATGATGTTGTCAAGACTCAAACATGTTGTAGCATGTGACAAAGTCTCCTTTCTTTTAATGACTGAATAATATTCTATTCTATGCATATACCACATTTACATTTTGTTTATCTATTTGTCAGTTCATGAACATTTGAGTTGTTTCTACCTCTTGGCTATTATGAATGATGACGCTATGAGCACTCGTGTACAAGTGTTTGTGTGGATATATGTCTTTATTACTCTTAGGTATATAGCTAGGAATGGAATTGCTGGATCAAATTACAATTTTATGTTTAACTTTCTGAGGAAGTGCCAGAATGTTTTCCAAAATCACTGCATCATTTTTTTTAATCCCCACCAGTAGTTTATGAGGGTTCTGATTTCTCTATATCCTTGCCAATATTACTTATTACATCTCTTTTTGATTATAGCCATCCTAATGGGTATGAAGTGGTAACTCATTGTGGTTTTGATGTGTGTTTTCCTGATGACAAATGATGTTGAGCCTTTTTAATGGCCTCATTGGTCATTTCTATGTCTTTTGAGAAATCCCTATTTGAATCTCTTGCCTATTTTTAAATTTGGTGGTCTTTTTATGACTGAGTTGTAGAAGTCCTTATATATTCTAGACACAAGTTCCTTATTGGATATATAAATTTCAAATACTTTATCTCATTCTGTGGGTTGTCTTTTAACTTTCTTGATAGTGCCCTTTGAAGCAGAAACATTTTTAATTTTGATAAAGGCCAATTATGATGATTATTTTTATGTGTCAGCTTGAGTGGGTTAAGGGATGCCCAGATAACTGGCATTATTTCTGGGTGTGTCTCTGAGGATGTTTTCATAAAAGATTATCTTTTGAGTAAATAAGTTTGCCCTCACCAATGTAGGTGGGAATCATCCAATCTACTGAGGGCCAGAATAGAACAAGAAGACAAAGGAAAGGAAAATTTGCTCTCCTTGCTTCTCCTGCCCTTGAATATCAGTGCAGTTGGTTCTCAGGACTCTGGACTAGGACTGGGATTTACACTATTGACTTCCTGGTTCTCAGGTATTTGGACGTGTACTGGAACTGGACCACCAGCTTTCCCAGGCTTCCAGTTTATAGATGGCAGAGCATGGGACTTTTCAGCCTCCATAACCGCATGAGTTAGTCCTTCATAGTGGCTCTCTTTCTGCATATACTTCTATGTCTCCTATTTTTTCTTTTTCTCGAGAGAACCCTAATACACCAATTTATCTATGTTTTATTATTCATGCTTTTAGTGTCATATGGAAGAAACCATTGACAAATTTAAGGTCATAAAGATTTATCCCTAAGTTTTCTTTAAAGGTATTACCTTCTACATTTACGTCTCTGATCCTTTTTGAGTTAATTTTTGTATGTGGTGTGAGGTAAGGACCCAATATCATTCTTTTGCATGTGAATATCAATTTGTCATAGCATCCTTTGCTGAAATTAAATAACACTAAAAAAAGCATCTAATTTCCCCATATAAAAGATTAAAATCCTGATAAAGATATTGTATTCAAATTCACTGAGTCATCATCATAACACTGGTTTAATCACCAATTTCATATGTTATACAGACTGTTAGTATAATTAAGCACAGATGCTTCTTGACTTATGATGGGAATTGGTCCCAATAAGCCCATGAAAATACCATGTCAAAACTGCATTTAATACACCTAACCTACCAAACATCATAGTTTAACCTAGCCTACCTTAAACATGGCCCAAACACTTACATTAGCCTACATTTGGGAAAAATCGTCTGACACAAAGCCTGTTTTAGAATAAAGTATTGACTATCTTTTGTCATATATTGAATGCTGTACTAAATGTAGAAAACAGAATGGCCGTGTGGATACTCAAAGTACAGTTTCTATTGAATGTGTATCACTGTTGCACGATTGACAAATTGTAAGTTGAACCATCCTAAGTCGTGGATATCCATATTTTTTCAAGTAAACACTGGGCAACATAGTTACCAAGCTCAAATGTCATAAACTTATATTTAACAGATAGCAGTATCATAATGTATTATGTAAAATTTCTTACATCCTCTCTTTCTATTTACTGCAACAAATTGTTTAATTAAGAAAAGACTTTTGGTGTCCAAAGTGTCCAGAACACTTTGAGTGTTAATTGAGGATAAATTTAATAAAGGTCAATATTCAAAACTCTAAATACATCCTCACCAACACTTGGCTTTTTCACTTTCATCATTCTCCTGGATGCGCAGTGGAATCTCTTTCTGGTGCTCATTTGCATTTTTCTAATGACTAATGATGTTGGGCATCTTTTTATCTGCTTATCAATCATTTGCATATCTTGTGACATTTCTACTAACATCCGTTACCCATTTTTGTTGCGTTATTTTCTTCTTATGATTGAGTTATCAGAACTCTTTATGCATTTGGGATACCTGTCCTTTGTTACATGTGCATATTGTGAATATTTTCTTTCTGTTGGTGGCTTGCCTTTTCATTTTCTTAATGTTGTCTTTGCCATTCAAACAGCAGACATTTTTAGTAGTGATGAAATAAGATTGAATATATAGCAATAAAACAAAATTAGTTCCAGAAATAGACCCACATATTTATGATAACAGATTGTTTAAGTACATAGGTTGTGTTTTTGCCAACATTTTATAGTTTCAAACCTGAAAAATATTATTTCAAAATAAATGATACCACTGTAAAGCTGAATCAATTGGAAGCATTGGAAAATACTTGTGGTTCTAATAATGAGCACTGGAGCTTGCCCATGGTCAATAGATTTTTAACAATGATTTCAAGGTAACTCCATGGAGGAGGGAGGAATAGACTTCCAACACATGATAGTGGAACAAGTAAATATTCATTTGGGGGAAAATCATGTTTTAATTTTATACCATACATAAAACAGTTAATTAAGTACAGATTATAGGCCTCATCATAAAATCTAAAGCCATGAAATTCTACAAGTAAATAGGAGAAAATCTTCACCACTTTGGTAGGCTAAGATTTCTTAGACAGGAAACAAACAACATAAAGCAGTACATGTTTAAAACATTTCAATATTAGTCCAAAGTATGTCCATGAGGAGATGAGACTTATTTTTCATACCTATAACATGTTACATGTTCAAATGAACATTGCTTATAAGATTAGTCACCCCTTGCTGGTAGAGAAGTGGGGGGTCTACAGCACAAGGGTAAGGTACCCATATGCAGAGGGAAAGGAGATCTCGCCTCTGCCTGATACACAGAGGAGTGTTGGGCTCTGTTCGGTTTTAGTCTGTTTTTGTAACTATGCTTACTTTACCTCCTTCTTTCTCTAGGGTGATGGCTTTCTTAGAGTTGGCCCAATTTCCATTAGGTTTTAAAGAAATTCTAAGCACATTTCTCAGCTGTACTTACACTGAAATCATTTTCTAATGTGACTTCTAAGGAATGCTGTAGTTGTGAGAGGAGAGGATGTTCTTGCTAAGAGTGAAGCAGTGCAGTACCAGCAAAGAGGTGACTACTAAGAAGACACTGTATCCCACAACTGAAAGTTGCAGGGCAACAATGTCATCATCAACATTTTCTTTCTCTTTTCCCTATAGGCATTTTAAGAAGTCTTTTATTTTCAGTATAAAATGTTACGGGAATACAGACAAGTCCTGAAAATAATCTCATAGTATATTTCTACCTACACGCTACATTTACCAAATCTCTTTGAAATTTCAGTTGCTTTCTCCCATTCATGGGCTTTGGTAGTATTTTCTTCTTTTACTGTGCTCAAAAGATTTCTTAATTTCCAAAACTGAATACAATTTGTTCTCCCAGCTTTCTTCTTGGATGTTTTCATCGCTGAGGTCTGTGATCCCATTTCTTTCTGTGCTGAATTTGAATATCTCTTAGTCACTGATAATAAGCTCTCCCATCATTTTCACACTTGAAATCAATCTCTCTTAGCAGTAAACAGCAGTCCTAGTATTCTTTTTAAGTTGTAAAAAAATTTAAAAAGGTATGCTGAAGTAATCCAGCATGCAATACACAAAACTAGAGAATGAAAGAAAACCCTGGTGCAGATTGATTCAGCTAAAGGAAGATATAGTATGATCAATAAAGAACAGACAACTCCTTGTTTCCTTGTCTTCCACACAGATTTATAAAATTGAAAATTAGATTCCATAACCCATTTCCAGGGAAAACAAAAACCGCTTTGAAAGCTAACTCTACTAAGCTCTGCCTATTACCTTTCATCTCTTTCACTAAATCTGATGCTCTTCACAGAAGCACTTTGGAGTTTTATAAATCAAAGAACTAAAAGGAAAATCTACCCTCTGAAAATTCAGCATGCCTTTGTACATTAGCTTTGTCACTATGCTAATAGGAAATATGTCAGCTTCTTATGATACACATTTTACTCCTAGTGTTGTATCTGGGCAATTTTAGGAAGTATATGAACAACTCTTTTAGGCTTAATACTAAAGCCAAGAATATAACAGAGGCATGAAATATCCAAGAGAAAACATAATGTAGAAGTACAAAAGTAACATTGTCTTTTGAACACATTTTTAATACATTTTTGTAATATAGTTGAAATCTTATTATATAATAACTGGGTATATCTTAAATACTTTCAAAATTGGAATTATGTGATAATGAGTTTTATTTGAAATAAATGAGCTGTCACTTGGGAACTGAAATATTTTGTAATTCAAAGATACTTTTGAAATGTTCTTCGGTCTACATTAAAAGTGTTTATGCCTCACACTCAAGTTATTTGTGCTGTGAAATAATGTGCAAAAATGAGATTTTGTGAAGCAAAGGAAACAACCTAAAATGTAACAATTATGAACAATACTGAAACTGGAGCATCTACGGGCTATGAATGGTTGACCCCATAATGGTTAATAACAATTGAAAAGAAATGAACCAAAAACTAAGAAACAAAACTTGCAAATGTACCAACACCAATAAAGACATGTTTAGCCTCACTAGTAAGTCCAGAAAACCAAATTAAAGCAACAGTGAGATGCCATTTTTCAACTATTAAATTGAAATATATAGACACTCACATCTAATAAGGATGGTTTAGGGGGATTTCCAGCAAACTGTTAATACTGGCTACCTCAGATGGATGAAATTAGAAAAGCGAAAAGTAAATTAATTACGCGTTAGGGACTTCTGAAATTCCCTGTTTAAAAAAACATGTAAAAGTTATAACTTGAAAAATAGAAATATGCTAGAAAAGTAATAGAAAACACATATGCACACACACACATAATTCTCCATGTTGGGTTTCCTTAGGTGCTGCTGTCTAAACTGTAAATTTCTGGAGTGCAATTTGGTAAATCAAATAACTTAAAAATGCACAAAAATGTAAACTTAAAAATCTTAAAAAAACTTTAAAATCTTCTTTGACATACAAAAATTTACTTTTAAGAATTTATCTTACCAAAAATAATTATGATGACAGGCAGAAATAACTACGGGAGAGTTTACTAAAGAGCTTTCACCATAGCAAAATGTTGGAAATAATATAAATGTCCAATAATAGTAAGCCAATTAAGTAAATTACATGTTATCTGTATGATACACTACTGCACAGAAATTACAAATTATGCTATAAAAGAAAACTTAATGGTGTTAGAATGTTCATTATATATTATTAAATTAAGAAGTAAGTTGTAAAATAGGATTGCAGTGAACCTGCTTTTGTTTAAAATTACACAGTTGTAATTTTCAATATACCATATATATGATGGCATTATGAATTTACATCGTAATATTAACAGTGGTGATGTCATATTGTTAGGGGATGTGGAGAGTTTTAATGTATCAATGCAATCTGGACATTATTCAAATAGCAGTTAAGATCTAAGAAAAAAACTGTGCAAGGAAGAACCAGTTTGAGTGGTAAAAATATGGGAAAATTTTTCTGTCACTAATATCAGCAGAGAGAAATGAACAGACTTAAAGGAGAGAAAGGAATTATGAGAGCCAGAACTCTAAAATAACCCCCAGTGAATCATGGTATAATCCCCTCCCCTTAAATGTGAGAAAAACCTGCAACTTGCTTCTAGCAAATAGAATATGGCAGTCAGTCCCATAATTATGTTCTTTATGTAAGACTTCATCTCAGTAGACTAGGGCAATGGCTTCTCTGGCTGGCTTTACAGAATCCAGCTGCCACATTGTAAGAGCTATGAACAGGCCACATGGACAATAAGTGCAGGAACCTCTAGAACCTGAGAGGTGGTACCCAGTTGGCAGACAGCAAGAAATTGGGTCTTGAGTCCTACATCCACAAGGAACTGAATTCTTTGTTTTTTTTTTTTTTTTTTTTTTTTTGAGACAGAGTCTCCCTCTTTCTCCCAGGCACCGGACTGCAGTGGCGCTATCTCGGCTCACTGCAAGCTCTGTCTCCCGTGTTCACGCCATTCTCCCGCCTCAGCCTCCCGAGTAGGGGGGACTACAGGCTCACGCCACTGCGCTCAGCTGATTTTTTGTATTTTTAGTAGAGACGGGGTTTCACCGCGTTAGCCAGGATGGTCTCCATCTCCTGACCTCCTGATCTGCCCACCTCAGCCTCCCAAAGTGCTGGGATTACAGGTGTGAGCCACCGTGCCCGGCCAGGAACTGAATTCTTCCAACTACTTAAGCTTAGAAGAAGACCTCGAATTCAATAGAGAAACACAGCTAGTATGACACCTTGAAAGCAATTTTGTGACACTCTGAACAGAGAACTCAGTTAAACTGTGCTTGACTTCTGGGCCACAGAAACCAGGAGATAATAAATACATGCTTTTAAAAATCACCAAATTTGTGATCTTTTTTTAGCAAGTATATAATCAATGCCATGCTCCATGCTTGGCATTGATTATATAGTGTCAGCAATCAAGAAGATTATAGTTAGAGAGAAAGATGGGCAGAGAATAAGAAAAGACAGTGCATTATAAGTGTGATGCAAGAGTCACACACGGGACATGTCAATTACATTATGCTGAGGTGGAATGGTGGTTAAAAGCACAGGCTTCAAATTTTGACTCACTTGGACTTGAATTCTAACCCGACAACTTACTAATTTTATGCACTTAGGAGAGTTGCTTAAATGAAAGATCCTCTTTTTCCATATATAATGGTTATATTAAGGCCAACCTTGTGGAGTTATTGTGTAACTAAATTAAATAATACATAGCTTGCCAGGCGCGTTGGCTCACACCTGTAATCCCAGCACTTTGGGAGGCTGGGGCAGGCAGATCACGAGGTCAGGAGTTCGAGACCAGCCTGACCAACATGGTGAAACCCTGTCTCTACTAAAAATACAAAAATTAGCCAGGCCTGGTGGCATGCGCCTGTAATCCCAGCTACTCAGGAGGCTGAGGCAGGAGAATCACTTGAACCCAGGAGGCAGAGGTTGCAGTGAGCCAAGGTTGCACTACTGCACTCCAGCCTCGGTGACAGAGTGAGACTCCATCTAAAAAAAAAATACAGAGCTGTTTAGAACATAATACATGCTTACTGACTGTGAGCTATCATAATTATTATTTTGCTTCAAGGAGGTAACACCTGAACTAAACTTTGAAAATGAGTTAATCTACTAAATGCTAGTGGGGAGTTTGGAGAGTCTAAGGAAAGGTAAAGGAGTTAAAACTAAAAAGGTAATTGTATTAGTCCATTTTCACACGGCTATAAATAACTTCCTAAGACCAGGTGATTTATAAAGGAAAGAGGTTTAATTAACTCAGTTCCTCATGGCTTGGGAGGCTTCAGGAAACTTACAATCATGGTGGAAGGGAAAACAGGCATATCTTACATGGCAGTGAGAGAGCTTGTGAGAGTGCAGGAAAAACTACCGTTTAAAAAACCATTAGATCTGGTGATAATCCACTCACTGTCATGAGAACAGCTTCCTTCTCTGGCACATGGGGATTACAATTTGAGATGAGATTTTAGTGGGGACACAGAGCCAAACCATATCATTTTGCCCTAGCCCCTCTCAAATCTCATGTCCTTTATACATTTCAAAACCAATCATGCTTTCCCAACAATCCCCAAAGTCTTAACTCATTCCAGCATTAACTTAAAAGTAAAAGTCCAAAGTCTCATCTGAGACAAGTCAAGTCCCTTCTGTTTATAAGCCTGTAAAACCAAAAGCAAGTTAGTTACTTCCAAGATACAATGCGGGTACAGGCACTGGGTAAATATTCCCATTGCAAATGGGAGAAATTGGCCAAAACAAAGGTGCTACAGGCCCCATGTAAATCTGAAATCCAACAGGGAAGTCATTAAATCTTAAAGCTCCAAAATGATCTCCTTGAACTCCATGTCTCACATCCAGGTCATGCTGATACAAGAGGTGGGTTTCCATGGTCTTGGGCAGCTCTGCCCCTGTAGCTTAGCAGTGTATAGCCCCTCTCCCAGCTGCTTTCACAGGCTGGTGCTGAGTGTCTGGGGCTTTTCCAGGTGCACTGTGCAAGCTGTTAGTCAATCTACCCTTCTGGGATCTGGAGGATGGTGGCCTTCTTCTCACAGTTCCACTAGGCAGTGCCTCAGTGGGGACTCTCTCCCACCCCACATTTCCCTTCTGCACTGCCCTAGCAGAGTTTCTCTATGAGGGTTCTGCCTCTGCAGCAAAATTCTGCCTGGACATTCAGACATTTCCATACATCCTCTGAAATCTAAGCAGAGGTTCTTAAATCTCAAATCTTGACTTCTGTGCACCTGCAGGCCCAACACCATGTGGAAGCCACCAAGGCTTGGGACTTGCATTCTCTGAAGCAACAGTCTAAGCCATACCTTGGCCCCTTTTAGCCATGACTGGAGTTGAATGGAGTAGCTGGGATAGACACGCCAAGTCTTGAGGCTGCACAGAGCAGTGGGGGCCTGGCTCGGCCCATGAAACCATTTTTCCCTCCTAGGCCTCCAGGCCTGTGATGGTAGGGGCTACCATCCAGATTTCTGACATGCGCTGGAGACATCTTCCCCATTGTCTTGGCAATTAACATTTGACTCTTCGTTACTTATGCAAATTTGACTTGAATTTCTCCCCAGAAAATGGGTTTCTCTGTCTTACTACATGGTCAGGCTGCAAATTTCCCAAACTTTTATGCTCTGCTTCCTTTTTAAACATAAGTTTCAATTTCAGATCGTCTTTCTCAAGTTCAAAGTTCCACAGATCTCTAGGGCAGTGGTAAAATGCTGCCAGTCTCTTTGCTAAAGCATAGCAAAAGTGACCTTTACTCCAGGTCCCAGTAACTTCCCCATCTCCATCTGAGACCACCTCAGCCTGGACTTCATTGACCATATCACTAGCAGCATTTTGGTCAAAACCATTCAACAAGTCTCTAGGAAGTTCCAAATTTTCCCACATCTTCCTGTCTTCTTCTGAGCCCTCCAAACTGTTCCAACCTCTGCCTGTTACCCACTTGTATTAGAGCCTTGTCCAGGTCTATAATAAACTTTGAGGGAACAATAAACTTATGCTGTATTAAACCACAGAGTTTTCTGTTTGTTTGTTTTTTAATCTCAGCATAATCTTGCCTATCTGATTGATACAGATATTATTACCAGAAATTGGGTAATTTCATAACAAAGAAAATTAGTTATGTGTATTAGTCAAGGGGCTGGATGACAGTGGTGAGAAAACTGATACTGGAGGTTACAAAAATGGTAACCCATGTTATGTAATAGAAAAACAGTTGGAAAAATCTGGCCTAAATGAACGTTTTAGGTAGATTACAAACACAATGAACATGTAGCAAGATTGAGAAGAGATTGAAAAACAGTAAGTAGTATGTGTCAGTTCCAGTTGACTGTGCTAGAAATGGTTCTCTGAGAAAGAAATGAGCTCAAAAAAGTAGTGGCTCGTTTGTAAGTATAATGTAAAAAACATGGAGAGGGCCCAGAAATTCAGAGAATTTGGCATCAAATAGGCAACTGCTTCTCAAACTCAAACAGAAGAAAATGAGTAGGACTTTGGGCAAAGATGGCCCATTAAAACTGAATGTTTCATCTAGGAACAAATTAAGGATTTGTCATGAGACCCATTTTAAAAATCCATGGATAAATTAGGGTACCCAGGGTAAATATCAAATTAAGTTGTAGTATCCAGTAAGTCTTTTAAGTTGGTTAAGATAGCTCAGGGAAAAGAACCTAAAGGTGATTTTTCCACCCACGTCTGATAGGCTCAGGCAGCAAAAATTAATTCAAGGATAGGAGGGAGTGGTAGTTCATGACAGCAAGAAAGTAAAAAATTATAGCTAATATGAAAATTAAGACTCTTGAGTCTTGAGGACTGCTAGTATGGTTATTGACATATGAAACTGACTGTAATTGAACAGATAAGAATCTCAGTGTTTGAGAGTCATACAGCAAAAGAATTATCAACCTGCACTAAAAGAAACTTTTTTGAGTTTTGGGAACTGAAAATGACCCATAGGCCCTCGAACATCAACAGGCAAGAAGTAGACTGAGAAAATGTTACAGCATCTGCTGAAGGCATATTCTAGCAATACCCAAGGAGGAAAATGAAAGGAAGAAAACCTCACAGGAGGTGGAGCGAAGAACTACAGAAAACAACAGACTGTAGAGCCCTTTCCAGGGAACAGAATCTGAAACCTAATCATATACAGTTGTCCTTCCATATCCACAGGTTCTATATTTCAAATTCAACCAACCTCAGATGGAAAATATTTAGGGGAAAAAAGGGATAAACATAACACCACCACAATAAAAAATACAAACTTGTAAAACAATGCAGTATAATAATTGTACAGGAAGATGTACATAGGTCATATGTAAATACTACACCTTTTATATAAGGGACTTGAGCATTCATGGATTTTGGTATTTGCAGGGTATCTTGAAACTAATCTCCCACAGATATTGAGGGATGACTGTATAGCATGCCTTGTTCCAAGGGTAGAGAGCCATTGCAACATCTTTACCCTTGCTGTATACCAGTGATGAATGTATCTTGCATTTTTCCTTCATCTGAATATCTACTGGGGCCATCCTAACCTTGGTATATTGTTATAAGGGGTGTAAGGAGAGACAAACAACTTACCTTATGAATGTATAGGTCTCTGTAATAACAGGGTACATGTCAGGACCAAGGTGACCAAAGGCATCACTCAGAGATCCTGGACTTGAAATAGAATCCAGTTGGTTTGGTTAAAATTTTGGGTTATAATCCCTTAGGAAAGAGGTAAGTATTTTTTGCATGTCAAAAGGAAACTAAATTAACTACTTGTTGTGTGATAGGACTGGGTAGTCATCAGGGCTATTCACCGAATATTTCCAACACTCCTCTAGGTACATGGAAGGAGAAAAATGCTCTGCCCTCTTGAAATTGGATGTGGCCGTATGACCTGATTTAGCCAATGACACATTTTCAGAAGTAGTACCAGTGATTTCTAGGCAGAAGTTTTAAGAGCCAATATGCAATTCTGTCTTCCATCCCCTTCTGTCTGGTTTGGCAACAGGCAATGTTTCAGATCAAATCTATTTCATCAGCCTGGATTCCTCAGTCAGGAAGACAAAAAGCAGAACCTCCCAGCTACTTGTGGAAGATGTTGCTGTGAGCTAGTTCTTGTTGTATGAAGCCAATAAGTTTGTTGAGTTGTTTTTATACTAGCATAACTATTCTATCAAGATCGATCCATTAACATGGGTACAAGGTGCCTGTAATTTTGTTCCTGTCTGACTCTCAAGGCATACGCCAACCATTCTCTGAAATGCTTGTACTCCAGAAATTCTAGTAAGCTACTTTAAAATAAAAGAACAATGGTGTGCAGAGCATAAATCGGAGAGAGGAAAACCAGAGAATGATATTGAAGTCATAGGAACAGATGAGCCCAGGTAAATACACAAAGGAGTCTAAATATGAAAGGCTAAGGACAAAGCAAAGGTATTTAAAAGCTGAATGGAAAAAGGCATGGAATGCAACAAGGGAGGATGGAGGCAACTTAAATCTGTTAGAGAAGTTCTAGGGAAACCAAGGGAGAAACATTACAAAACTGAAAGTCTCATAGCATCAAACTGGACAAAAAGATTAAATAGGATAGAGATTAAGAAGAAACGATTAAATCTGACTATTAACAGGACTCTGTTGTCTTCAAGTAGAGTTTCAATGGAAGAAAGGATCAATAAAAGGACTGAAGAGGCCTGGAGATAAAATGAGAGGAGAGGAAGAGGGAGTTCAAGAAGAACAAGGGAAAACTTGCTTCTGGCAGTCACTGCCTCATTCTTTTTTAAAAAGTAAGTCATCTTCTAAGGCTCCTCCACTTCCAAATTCCAAGGACCCAATCCAGAAAGTGAGGTCTAGATTAACCCCAGACATGTGTTGGTTGACCTCCATGCTAAATCTCTACAAGAATCAATGTGGCGTTGGGATCTAAGCCACTCCAGACTTGACAGTGGACAAGTCTAAACTCCTGGATAAGTCTCTCCAAGCTGCTATGTCTCTGAGTGTAGTTTGGTGCTTGAGGAGGAGCCAACATTTGTTACACTTATTATATCAGTCATCTCATTTAATCCCCATTACAACCCTCCAAGGTGTGTCTGCACTGGATAGGTAAGAAAACCAAGGCTCATGGCCCAGCATGGTGGCTTACGGCTGTAATCCTATCACTTTGGGAGGCCAAGGCAGGTGGATCACATGAGCTCAGGAGTTCAAGACCAGCTGGACAACATGGCAAAACCCAATCTCTATAAAAAATACAAAAATTAGCTGGGCATGGTGGCACATGACTATAGTCCCAGCTACTTGTGGGGGCTGAGGTAAAAGGATCACTTAAGCCTGGGAGGTCAAGGCTGCAGTGAGCTGAGATTACGCCACTGCACCACGGCACTCCAGCCTGGGTGACAAAGTAAGACCCTGTCTCGAGAAAAAAAAGAAAAAGAAAAGAAAATCAAAGCTCACAGTGTTTACATTACAAGATCAACTTGTTATAGGCAGCAAGGCCACTATATCTTTCAGACTCCAAAGCCTGGGCCTGTGCCATACTGGGTGTATCAGTCACCATTCGGGTACGCATGGTCCTATGCCATAACATCTAGTTATGCCACAGAATGTAAAATTTGCATAAATTTTTAAGATGAAATTCAAGACATCCCAAGATGTCCAGGCATCAGTCTGCATGCTCTTTTGCCAAGGTGGGTCCTTCTTCGGAAAAGTTTGAGAAATACTGCATGTTCATACCACCTAGAATGGACCCAGGCTGAAACAGAAATTGCTGAAGCCAGAGCCACTTCAACTCCGGTGAAAGAGAGGCTAGAGACTGTGACAGAGCAAATTCCTCCCTGCATTACATCTTTCTTTGATGCCAGGCTCCTATGTGCACACAAAGCCACTGGTCACTTGTGAAGATTACCCAGTGATGAGATGTGGCCTTCTCAGTTTTTGGAATGGGGAGATGACAAAAAGCAAGCTTTTCTCCAGGTTTCAAATGAAATTTTTAACCTTCTTCTCTCTCATCCCCCAAAATAATTTTGACCTATTGAAATATAAACAGTCTTAATACAAATAGGCAAATATCCATACCTTCCCGCCATGGCTGCTGGAGGCCATCATCACTACCTCTGAGCAGAGGATGGCTGTGCCACTCGCACATGGCAATCTTGGCAAATCTACCAGGGATCCCTTCACCGAAGCTATGGACTTGGTGTAATGAAACTTTATTTAAAAACAAAATCTGGAATTTACAAGTTCGGGTTCAGTCCACACTGAGACCACCAAAGTGATGGGCAGCCTGGAAACCAAGTACAGAAGCATTGAGTGTGGTCCGGCATTTATGGGGAAATGGAACACTGACAACATGTGAGGCACCAAGACTGCCATGAAGATCAGCTTGCATGTGGACTGAAGCTGACCTTCCATTCATCTTTCTTACCTAACACTGGGGAAAAAACGTGCTAAAATCAAGACAGGGTACGATCGGGAGCCCATCTGCCTGGGCTGCAACGTGGATTTGGACATCACTGGGCCTTTAATCTGGGGCATGCTGGTGCCGGGTTAGGAAGGTTGGCTGGCTGGCAACCAAATGAATTTTGAGACTGCAGAGTCCTGAGTAACCCAGAGCAACTTTGTGGTTGGCTACAAGACTGATGAATTCTAGCTTCACACATGTGAATGACAGGACAAGAGTTCAGTGGCTCCATTTACCAGAAGGTGAACAAGAAATTGGAGAGCGCTGTCAATCTCTCCTGGACAGCAGGAAACAATAACACTCATTTCAGAATAGCAGCCAAGTATCAGATTGACTCCGAAGACTGCTTTGCAGGTAAAGTGAACACATCCAACCTGGAGGTGTTTCTACTCCAGTTCATCAACACCTCTTTTACACCAAGCTGATAGGTGTAGGATACACTCACAACCCTAAAGCCAGGTATCAAACAGACACTGTCAGCTCTCCTGGATGGCAAGAACATCAATGTCAGTGGCCACAAGCTCAGTCTAGGACTGGATTCAAGCCTAAATGAATACTGTACAATTGTTTAATTTAAAGTATTTTGAAGCATAGCTACCTTCAGAATTTAGTGTATCTTTCAATGTTGTATGTCCAGGATGCAAATATTGCTAAATATCATATCAGACCTTCAGGTTGTAAAGACAATTCAGCTTTAAGGTGTTACCCTTTCAGAAGTAGAGAAGAAACCCAATTCCACAAAAGATCCTTTCAGCTGTAGACTTGGGGAGCTAGGTGGCCCCTCTAGAGATCAGGTTCCTTTTTTTATCTAGAAATGACTGCAATTGGAAGCTGATGATATGTAGGCACTTTGTAAATGCATATTGAGTAAATGAATGAAATTGTGACTTCCTGAGAAATGAACCGTGGTTACCTAACCCTACTTGATGAGAGGCTCCTTGCTAGATGGTGTGTACAAACTCACCTGAAAGGGACTTTTTAAGACAGCTCTTTATGACCTGTTTCTACTCCAGTTCATCAACACCTCTTTTACACCAAAAGGTCTGCAGGGTGTGGTAACTGTTTCTTTTTTGCCATTTTGAGGTGGAAGAGGGTGCATGTGATGAAGCCAATAATTCAGGACTTAATTCAGTTTTACATTGTGGTTTTTGGTCCTTGGACCAGAGTAGGAAATAGCTACCGGGAGCTCCAGCTATAAGTTTGGAAGAGGCTGTGTGATTGTAATAACATGGTGACAACACTCAGAATCTAAATTGGACTTCTGTTGTATTCTCACCACTCTATTTTTTAGCAGTTTAATGAACACACTTTATATTCTTCCATTTTGTGTGGAATTAGAACCTTCCCTTCAAATACTGTAATTAACATCACTTAAAATAAAATTTGAAGAGAATACTGAAACCTCATCCTTCTATTGTCTTTATTAATTAAATGTAAATAAACAGGAAAAAAACAAATAGGCAAATTCTACTATCTAATTTATTCATTTAGTTTCACATACAGACTTAAAAGAGTAAGTTTATATTAATTTAGCAACATTGCATTTGAAACAATTTTATTCGAATGCCTCATTCGCATCTTGTCTTTATTGCTTTCACCATTGCTTGACTCACTTTTCGAACAGGGTCCAGGGCCCATGTCTTTCTTACAGTCTAAATTGATCGAGAGATGGTTCTTTTCCATTTGTGTGGAGGCCGTCAATGAATACCTCATCTCAAGCCACAAGAAGCCAATTTGTGTATATTTTTTTAGAAAATTGTTTTGTGTGTCTTATAGGTATTTATTTGCAACCTCTACATTATCATTTACTGTATTCCTCCTAAAAGTAATCTTTGAAACTTTAAGCCTTCCTTATATTCAACATTTGAAATTGCATGATCATATACACAGGGGTACAAGTGAAATGTTACAATTTAAATTGTGTTTAAAATAATTTAAACTTAAACTATGCTAAATTTTTGTCTTAAAAAATTTTATCAGCTGACCTTAAAAAATTTTCAAAATTAGCATTGTTTAAGGTATTTTCAGGCAAATGTGTCTTTCCCAAATATATCTTTATTATTCAAAATTAAGTATTAATAATAAAGCCCATACCATGTAATATCAAAGTCCCTCTTCTCTAAGTGATAATTGTTTAAGAAAAAATGATAAACTCACCTTATAGTCAGACATATATGGCAACTATTTTACTAGTGCAAAACTAACCTCAGAACCCAAGAGTTCAGAAGGGATTCATATAACTATTAATGATTCCAAATTATGTCTTACCTTCACAGCATAATGAAATTGGCCACAGCATAATAATAAGTTTCTCTTCCTCCTGTCTCCATATTCGTCTCTCCTCACTTGCCTATGCTTGATTTCTACTCATAATTCAATTCTAGAGCAATTTATATCACTTGCTGGGCCTGTTGCAAGCCCCAAATTAATTACAACTTGGTAGTTTGGGGTCATCTCAACATAGCCCTTCTCTAAGGGAGTGGTTCACAAATGAGGGAGAACCTAATTTCATGTGACTAAAAAAAGTAAACTTGCATCAACAAATTCAGTACCCTTTGAGCATATCACTTGCAATTTAATAAAAGTACATTCAGGGGGTCTTCATTAAATGCTGGCATTCTTTGAGTGATTTTACCTAATAATATTAGCTGACATTCCCGGTGGTGCTGTTTTTCTGAATTATGTGTGAGCTCTTCCAATTCCTAATAAAAATGTCCTTCTATGCTGCTCATTTCCACATTCATATTTCCAGCCCTGATTCTCACCCAAGCTCCACTCCAACCTGCTCCTTAGAAATCATTTCAAACCTAGGATGTTCCACCATCACCTCAAACCCAACATGCACAACGATGAATTTATTTTATTGCTTGTCTGAAGAGTTTTCTAAAAGTTTTGGGTCATTCACCACGGGAAAGAGGGAATGAAAGTTACACTTAATATAGGATGTATGGGTCTATATAAATTAATTGACATAGTGGTCAGAAAACCCTGGCCATAAAATAGTTCCACTTCCTTGTATTACTAATTTTGCACACCCGAGCAAGATTTTATAAGTTGTGCTAATAATAAGTACATGTTTTTCTCTGCCTGGGTTTTGTGTATCAAGTGAGAAGTAAACACCTCCTGCTGCTTCTGCTGTAATTCCCTCTGAGTAAGCACTGCTGTGTTGTGTGTGTACATGTGTGTGTTTGTGTATATGTGTGTGTATGTTTGTGTGTGTATGTGTGCATGTATGTGTATGTATATGTACCTGTGTCTGCATAGGTGTGTATTTGTGTGTGTGTGTTTTTGTGTGTTTCCATGTGTACATATGTGTTTATATGTTTGCATGTGTGTATGTGCACATGCGAATTTGTGTGCTTGTGTTTGAATGTGCACATGTGTATTTGTATATGTGTGAATGTGTGTGCAGTGCACACTGTAAGAAGATTAAACCTGGGTCACAAAGTGGAAACCTTACAGTTGGCCTGTCTCCTTTTTGCCGTCAGCTGGAGCTCTGCCCTTGTAACTTTCAAGTCATTTTCAGGGTGGGTCATTCACATGGTGTCCACCACCAGCCCCTTCAGTCCAGAGTGGGGAATGTCTTGATTGAGACCATTTGCCTTGAAATCAAAGGAACATAATAAGGAAAATAGGATGTTGGTTCCAATTTTTGTTTTCTTGTCTACCACATCCAATAAAGAGACACCTTTTGTTTTAGTTTATATAAAAACATCTCTTTAGAGAGCTCAATCTGCTCAAACAATATGGGTTAGAGAAAAGAAGCTGTTTCCCATTTCTACAAACAACTCAGAGACCAGGTACAACATTCTCCTGATAGATCTCCATACACACACACACACACACACACACACATGCTCACACACATTCACATTCACAGACACATATATTCAGTCACACATTCCCACCCACCCACACACTCACATACACATGCTTATTCACACACACACACTAACATCCACACTTACATACACATATACACATTCATGCCCACACACACACACACATACTCACATACACATACCTTCACACATGTGCACTCATATACACACATATTCACACATATCCATGCCCACACACACTCACACATACTCACATACACATACCTTCACACATGTGCACTCATATACACACATATTCACACATATCCATGCCCACACACACTCACACATAGATACACACACTCATTCACACATATACACACATTGATGCACACACACACACACATTCACACCCACACTCACACTTGCACACTGCCCCACACACAATCAAATACACATCTGCACTCACACACCTACTGTCACACACACCCAGAAGCACCCACACAGCCTTTTCCCCTTCTCACCAGTCATATTTGTTCCTCATCTTTCAAGGAACAGGGCCCAATTACTCTCTCTGGTTCTTTTACAGTGTCTGGCCTGTCAGCTCGTCCTCTCCATCCCCACAGCTGTCTCTTCATTTCAGTGCATCTCCTGACACCCGAGTGACTCACAACTTCCTCCTAATGAATCTCCCTGGCCCCAGAATCTTTACTCTAGTCCACCTTGTCCTGGCACCAGATCCATCTTCTTGATCACAACATTTTCTTACTCCAGCAGGTGCCACCTCATTGATGATCAACAAGTCAGGCACATTTAAACATCATTCAATGAGGAAGGAGAGATTGCGAATGATTCTGGGTGGCTTGGCTGCCTATTCATATGGGGATAGGGGAATTGACGTCTCAGCCTGTCTCTTAGACTCAATAGCCTTGTCAGCAATCTCCAGAAACATAACCATCTTGCACAGGCCCTCATGGTATATTTCTATTTTTGTGCATGTCCTACCTTCCTAAAAATATCATAAGCTTTCTGAGGATAGGGACGGTGCTGAAGCTGTAAGTTCATCCTCCACAGTGGCTGTCAGATACCTTCCCGTGCGAGTGACTCCCAGCACGACCTCCATGACCTCTGTGATCTTGGGCAAGTCATATGAGTTCTCTGAGCCCCACTTCTCTTTTATATAAATGAGACAAAGAATACCTGCCTCAAAATGGTCTTGAGAATCATATTAGCCAATGCAGCTAAAAGGCTCACCACAGTACCTGGCACACAGTAGGTATTGAATAAACCATAGCAATGACAATTATTTGCTCAGTGGAATGCAGATCATCAACTAAAATCCTTTGGAGAAATGTCATGCAAGCATTTGCTGCTCTGAAACTCTGCCTAAGATACAAGGAGGCAGGTGTCACAAACAACAAAGTCTCCAAAACCAATTGCCACAGCCAGAGTTTTATCCAGGACTTGGATTTTGAATGGCAATGTTTATAAACAAAGTAGCTGGTTTTCAGGAAACCCCCAAACTCTCCCAGAGATCAGCAGCACCATTCCTTCCCACAAGAGACAACCAAACAGAAAATGAGCTATGTGTGCAATTTTATGTGCCCCTATCTCAGGCATTGAAATAAGCCCATCTCGAAATGCAGCTCAATCTCTCTCAGCTGTCTTCTCTCTGAAAAGCGTCCTGGCATTGAGCCACTCTCCAGCTCCCATGGACAAAAATGAAGCTCTACACCTTCGTGGTAAACCATTCATGTCCCCAGAAAGGAATGGATGGTTTCAGTCTCCCCCTTTCCGCATTTTAAAAGGTCATTTTAAAAGTTATTGCTTCTTTGCTACCACTAGATGGTACTAGCCAGCTGCTTGTCATGTATATATTTTTTTATTTTGTGTTTTGTTTACTGCCTCTGAGCATTAATCCAAGAAGGCTGATTACAACAACATGCTTTGCAGAAATGGTACTTTGAGAGACCTTGGGCAGTCATCAGAAAGTAACTTAGCTGCCATTTGTTAACTATGTTACCACTTCCCCTTGATATTTATTTATATAAAGTTCCTCTTTGCCCCATCCTGGATAAAGGAAATATTTAGTGTCATACAGATTATTCATACCACACTTGTCCACATTTGGGACCTTAGGAAGGCCTGAGAGAGATGTGGAATGCAATGACTGAATTGAAGGCAGCCAGAATAAACATTGGCTTTTCCACTCTCCTCAGGAGTCATGTCTTGCTGCCCTTTACTGAGGGTACCTCAATACCTCTGAGGGTATCTCAGTCCTCTTGCTTCAGACTCCCAGGAGACCCCCAATGCCTTAGGTTTTCCATACAGATACTTGGATCATCTTTCTCTTTTCTAGAATGGAAAGACAGCAGTGGATATTAGAAAAAGTCATGGGACGTGCTGAGAGAGACTGGGGAGTATGGCCCGGCACCAGATCTCTTTCTTCGCCACTCTGGCTTAAGACAATTGAAGGGCAGACTTCTCCTTGACCCCCCAAGCTCTCAAGACATTAGGTGTCACTAAATCCATACTCACAGGAGATGAATGGATTGTCAAGAGTGGGGAAAGAGTACTTGACTTTGCAATCTGTAGTCAGGCTATGAGAATAAGTGAGAAAGCACTGTAGCAGTACTATGCTAAGCCAAGATTAGTCATGAATAGTCATTTGGAGATGGTTATCAATGAAAGATTAAAAGATTCATGCAAAATTTTAGTTAAACTGAAGGGATGTTTAGCTATGATCCAGACCTCATTTTAATTACAATGCAACCTCTGTTTAAATATGGGCAGTTGGAACAATTGCTTAATCTTTCTGAGCCTCAGTCTTCTCATCTGGAAAAAATAATACTTTCTGCGAAATTATTGAAAAGACCAAGAAAAATAATGGCTGTAAAGCTCCTGACATTTAGCAGGAATTTGCCAAATGTCCCTCTCTCCTCCAAGTAGCTACAATGGAAAGTAGCCCCGCCCCACCCCACCCCCCAGCATCTTCACCCATACCTTTTCCTAGAGTAGAGGCTAAATTCCCAGGAACTAGCCCCCAGACACTGAAATTATTGTGAAATGCAGGAAAACCCATAATGCCAAATCTTTGATTTCCCCTGCCAATAGCAATGGCTTCCACACCTTCTATTCATATGCCAGTCACGTTGAAAAGAGGCACCTTCTAATCTTGGAAGAGTTTACCAGCAGTGAGACAGGTATATTTTTTCATCTGTTATCATAAGGAAAATACTTTTATTTCCTTAAACAGAATTTTTCTATTGAAAAGAGAAACAATTTTGCTTCATTGCTTTTTTTTCCAAAAGTAGTTCCTAATGCCCAGTGTGACAAATCAAAGAGACACTGTGAAATGATGGTATAATCTTTTCTGTCTACATTGAAGGAAAGTATAGTGAAATTACCGGGTAATTCCATACAAATAATTGCTACAGAAACACAGCATGACATTAAGCTAACATATAAAAAAAGGATATTTCATCTCTAGGTATAGAGAACAATAGATTTAAAAAGCAATAATTTGAGTTGACTATTACACACTCTCAATATATAGAGATTCAGGAAAAGCTATTAAATAGCAACCTTACTACCATGTACCAAGCAAGTAGCCAGAGTGAGTAGATTCTCATGTTGGAGCAAGAAATTTAAAAATCTTCTGCTTATCATTAAAAATTATAGTCATCTCAATGTTAGTAGCATCTACAGAAACACAAAAGGAAAAAAGAAAGCTAAAGAGGAAGACTATATGGGCAGGAAGTAGAAAGAATAACATCTATTGTACTACAGTGTCTGCTTTGCGCTTTTAAATGACTCAAATCCTTTGGAGTGTTTTATTTAAAAAACATCAAAGTTAGAATAAAAACTTTGGTAGAATTGGTAATAATCTAGTATTGTGTTGGAAATAATTCTAAAGCCATTTTGGGGTTCTGTATCAAAGACAGCCAAAATCAATTAGTAATTTCTGCCATGCATGCCATAGGCACAATTGAATAGTTTAGAATCTCCCCAGTGTACCTCTAGTATCAGATATCTGGGAGAAATTAGAAGATCACCACACATGCCCAGGAAAAGGCACGGGGTCACAGAAGCGCTAGAAAACTTTAAGTGTACACTTCAGGCTTATCCTCAGTACAGAGACAGCCTGTAACAGTGTACACACACACACACACACACACACACATAACCAAGAATGGTGAAGTAGGAGAATGTAATTTCCAGAATTACCAAACTATTAGATTCAAATATCCAGTTTTCGACAAAAAATAACAAGTCACACCAAGAAACAGGAAAGTATGACCCATTCAAAGAAAAAATATATCAACAGAAATTGTCCCTGAAAACAACCTGATAAAAGTTATACTAGCAAAAGAGTTTTAAAAAACCATATTAAAGATATGGAGAAAGTCCAGAAAATAATGTACGAACAAAATGGAAATACCAGTAAAGAGATAGATAGTCTAAAAAGACAAAATATTTCTGGAGCTGAAAAGCACAATAATAAAAATGAAAAATTTACTAGAGGGATTCAAAAGCAGATTTGAGTGGGTGAAAGAAAGAAGTGATAAACTTAATGATAGGACAATGGAAATGATCAAATCTGAGAAGTAGAAAAAAGATTGAATAAAAGTAAACAGAGCTTAAGGAACCCATGGGATAACATCAAGCAATCCAACACACACATTTTGGAAGTCTCAGAAGAAGAGAGAGAAAAAGATAGATAAATTGTTTGAAACAAATGATAGTCAAAACTTAACTCAAGTTTGATGAAAGACACAAATAGAAACATTCACGATATTCAATAAACTCCAAATAGAAGGAACTCAAAGAAATCAACACTGAAACACATTTTAATCAAACTGTTGAAAGCCAAAAGCAAATAATCTTAAAAGTAGCAAGAGAGAAGTGATTCATCACATACAAGGAATTTTCTATAATATTATTAGCATATGATCATCAGAAACTCTGTGGGTCAGAGTGGGCTAATGTATTCAAATAGCAAAGGGAAAAAGAAAACCAGTCAATATTTTGTGAATTATACTTGTCTCACAAGATATGCTAAAGGGAGTCTGGCAGGTTAAAATAAAAGGACACTAGACAGTAATTTGAAGCTATATGAATACATAAATATCCAGTAAAGGTAAATACATAAAAAATTGTAAAAGGTAGTATTATTGTAACAATAGTGTGTAACTCTACTTTTTATTTTCTGTGTAATTTAAGAGGCTAATAACTTTTTAAAAACCGCAATTATTAGCCAAGGCAATATTATTGTAGTTTTGGTTTATAGCTTCACATTTTGTTTCATATATAACTTAAGAGGCTAATGCATTAATAATTATTAGTTTATGTTTTGGGGCACCCAGTATGTAAAGATGTAATTCTGTAGCATTAACAAGTGAAAGGGGTGGGGACAGAGCTGAAGGAGCAGAATCTTTGTATGTTATTGAGGTTAAGCTGGTATATGTTCAAATTACAGTGTTATAAGTTTTGGTTGTTAATTCCCATAATAACCACAAAGAAAATGGCTAAAGAATATATACAAAAGAAAACAAGGAAGAAATTTAAACATTTCACTACAAAAAAAAAACCTCAACTAAACACAAAATAATAGTCTTGCAGGAAATGAGGGACAAAAAATCTATAAAGCATATAAAAAATAAATCAAAAGATGACAGAAGTAAATCCTTCTTTATGAGTATTAACTTTAATTATAAATGCATTAAACTTTCCAATCAAAACATGGAGATGGGCAGAATGGATTTAAGAAGCATGATCCAACTATATGCTGCCTAAAAGAGACTCACTTTAGATTCAAAGATGAAAATAGGTTGAAACTGAAAGGATGAAAAAGAGTATTCCATGCAAACAGTAACCAAAAAGAGCAAGGGTAGATATAGTAATATCGGAAAAAAAACTTTAAATTTTAAAAGTTTACAACAAACACATAAAGATATTATATACCAATAGGTTTACTACAAAAAGAAGTTATAACAACTGTGTGTAATATTTATCTGGGAGGTGATACCAGGATACAGGATTGGAGGAAGTGAGAAGAATGGGAGAAGAAAAATCCCCCTTCATCTAGACTGCTTCTGTAGACAATGTAGGTTTGACTCTGCACACTTCTATCTATTTTTATAAGGAATTGCTCCATGTTCTTCAACAGTATTGTATATAGAATGCCTCCCAGCACTGTCCACATAAACAGAATTAGCATGGCATGTGGGTGTGGGGAAATGTGAAAGGGAATGCAAGAAAACTTTTTTCTCCCATTAGTTGAAAGTTTTTACATGGCATTCTCTTGGGGCCAGTTTCTATGGCTTTGGAGAAGACCCTGGAACAGAATAAGGAAGGGTGACTATAGCTTCAGAGGTAGAAGGCTGGCAGTTTGAGGGGAGTCTTAGCTTGGAGTATATCTTACAAGTGGGCTGAAGTACTGGTATACTCACTGAACAACTCAGTCTAATGACACACATGAGGTAATTATCAAATGGTGGTGAGTGCACAAATAGAACTTTGCACAAGGGTTAGGGAGTTCAGGGGAGGGCACTTAACTGAGCCTGGGAGTGGGAAGAGCGAGATGTCAGAGAAAGTTGATATTTAAATAATGAGTAGAATTTGGCTAGAAAAAGAGAAGAGAAGGACATTTTAGCAAAGAAGTATGTACAAAAGCAAAGGCATTGAGGCAAGAAACAGAGGTGGGGGGTATGGGATGTGTGTGTGTGTGTGTGTGTGTGCACGCACGTGTGTGTGTTACAGGTGGCCACAGGCAGTTACTGGTGAATGAATGTGCTAGCCAAACATTGAAAAATGACAAGATTAGAGAAGTATGAAAGTGTCACATGAGCCCTGAGTCCCAGGTTAAGGAGTATTGTTCTTTATGCAGAGGACAATTGGCACCTAAAGAAGTATTAAGCAGAGAAGTGACCTGGATGTAGGACAAGATACTGAAGGAGACAGATCAGACTGGCAGCCTCTGCAGTTGTCCAAGCAGGATATAGTAGAGACCTGAGCAACCTTTTTTTTTTAAGTGAAGTCAGTTGATGTGTAATTTGAAAGTCAGGTTTATTGAGGTATAATTTACCTTTTTAAGTGTACAGTTTGATGAGATTTGACAAATGTATGCAGCTGTGTACTTACTGCCACTATCAATAGAGAACGTTTCTGTGATAGGTTGAATCGTGTCACCCCAAAATTCATATTCTGAAGTCTGTAGGAGACCAGAATATGCCACCCCAAAATATGCCTTTTTGGCATAAGAATTATTTTGAGCTAATTATTTTGAGAAACAGCAGACACAAGAGAATCTCTAAAGACAGAGCATAAGTTTCCATTTATAAAGGAAATTTACATCTATAAAGGAAATCTCCATTTAAGGGTGTCTCCCTCTTTATACCAGGAAGACAAGGAGGACTGTTTATCACAAGACACTCTTATCAATGGAGAAGACACTGACTTAAATCTGCATAACATTTAAATCATACCCTTGTTTATCATACTTTTCCTGGTCACCTTCCTACAACTTGCTTCCCTAGACCCAAAACATCTTTCCTTTGTGTTAGCCCAAGTTGGTAAATCCAAGTTCAATGACCCCTTTCAATTATTATTCATCCCTGTTTCTCTTCTCTATATATGAAATAGACATGTAAGTAGACTTACATGGTTATTTTTCTCTTGTTAATCTGTTTTGTTACAGAGCCCCAGCCAGAAACCTAGAAAGGTAAAAGAAAACATATGTTTTACTCCTCTTCAAGTCCTAACTTACAGTACCTCCAAATATGACCTTATTTGGAAAGAGATTAATTGAAGATGTAATTAGTTAAGACGTGGTCCTACTAGAATTAGGTGGGCCCCTCATCAAATATGACTAATGTCCTCATAAAAAGGGAAGAATTTAACACAGACAGGGAAAATGCCACATGAAGATGAAGGCTGAGATCAAAGTGATGCATTATCTGCCATGCAGGGAACCACCAGAGAGTAAGAGAGGAGAGTGGAACAGATTCCCCTCCCAGCTGTCAGAAGAAATCAACCCTGTCAGCATTTTGATCTTAGACTTCTAGCTTCCACAGCTATGAGATAATACATTTCTGTTCCTTAAGCTACTCAATTTGTGGTAACTTGCCATTGCAGCTCTAGCAAACGAACACAGTATTCAATTCCCAAAAGTGCTCTGTCCCCTTGCAGTCAATCGGTATCCCATTCTTGGTCCCTGGCAACAAATCAACTGATTTCTGTCTGCATAGTTTTTCCTTTTGTGCAATATCCTATAAATGAAGTAATAAAGTAGGTAGTAACATTTTGTGCCTAGCTTCTTCCATTTGGCATGATGTTGAGGCTTCAATTTTGTTGCTGCATGTGTCAGCAGTCTGTTTCTTTTCATTGCTGTGTGCTATTTCTTTGCATGGATGTACCACAATTGGTTTATTCATTTACCAATGAATTGGTTTATTCATTTACCAATGTCATTACACATTTGGTTTGTTTCCATTTTGGGGCCTTATGAATAAAGCTGAGATTAATTAATACATAGATGTAGATCTTTTTGTGTGAGGCATTTTTGATTTTTGAATTAATTTTTTTCTCTTTGATTTTCTGGTGTTCCAAGTAGTTGAGGATTAGAGGTCATGTCAGCCACTGCAATTTAGGAAGTCTCAGGAATTGAGAAGGGCCAGCTCAAGTGGTTTCAAATGGATATGTCACTCCAAAGTCTCCCCTTCTGCTTTGGTGTTTCATTTAGTTTCATACTCAGCTTTCTCATCTGACTCAACATCTTAATTCCAGGCACTTGTGAGAAATTACATGGGTTGCAAAATGGCAGGAAGAAAAGATCAAATCTCTTTTGAATTTAAATTTGGAATAAAATGGGACTTCTGTTTAAATTCAATAGAAGCAGTTAACAAAGGAATACAGACATTAAAGATGTTTCATTAAAATTGCCCATAGTGCTACATTGAGTGATTCATGGTTTTGAACATTTAAATGAGTCATACTCATCCAGGGCCTAAGCTAATTTCTATTGTAAATGAAGTACTTAGAGAAATTGTGTTTACCAGCTAAGAACCATGTAAATTCTCCCCAGCTTAGGTTCTACCTCCTTCATGAAGACTTTCTCTAAGGCTCCTGCCTCAATATTTTACACCCTAGATTCCCCCTTGAAAATTATAATACTACCCATTTGATCTCTCATAACAAAATAACACATGCATCTTTATTCAATAGATTTGTGTGTGTGTGTGTGTGTGTGTGTGTGTGCATAAAATATGTTATGAGATTTAATCTCCAAAATGTCAGAGAGTACTCAAACAAAAAGAGCCAGGTAGAGATTTCTTAGTCTGTTTTGTGTTGCTATAACAGAATACTACAGGCTGGGTAATTTAGAAACAAAAGGACATTATTTCTCATGGTTCTGGAGGCTGGTAAGTCCAATATCAAGGTGCCAGTGTCTGGCAAGGGCCTTTGTGTTGTGTTACTCCATGGCAGAAGGCAGGAGGGCAAGAGAACATGAGAGAGCAAGACAGGACTCACTTTTATTTATTTATTTTTTTTAAAAACAAACCACTCCTGTGATAACAATGTTAATCCATTTACAAGGGCAGAGCCCTCATGCACCAATAACCTCTTAAAGGTCCCACCTCTTAACACTGTTGCACTGGGAATTCAGTTTCCAGCACATGAACTTTGAGGGACACATGCAAACCATAGCAAGAGATAATTTTACTATTCATGATTAAACAATTATAAAGCACCTGCCATTTTTAAAGTTACTTCTATGTGCCAGAACTATGCAGACCAATTTATTTATGCTTTCTCACTTATATCAATTTAATTTAACCTAATTCTTATAACAACCTTACAGCATATTAAGGTGGTACAATGTAGTGGTTAAGAGAGAAAGTTTGGGATCAAAGAGAACTGGATTCTCATTTTGGCTCTGTCACTTTCTGGCTGTGTGATCTTGGAGAAGCTGCTTGATGTCTTAAAGCCTTTTTGTTTGTTAAATATTAATACAGGCATCACAATATCTCATGTTATGAAAAGGACAAATGAAGTAATGCATTTAAATAAACACTCAAAAATAAAAATTATATAGGTTAAGCAACACTAATCTGGAAATCCAAAATCCAAAATGCTCCAAAATCTGAAACTTTTTGAGCACCAATATGATGCCATGAGTTAAAAATTACACATGTTAGTTACTGAACACAAACTTTGTTTCATGCACAATATTTTTGTTTGTTTTTCTGAGACAGGGTCTTGCTCTGTTGCCCAGACTGGAGTGCTGTGACATGATCACAGCTAACTGCAGCCTCAACTCTTCCCAGATTTAATAGATCCTTCCATCTCAGCCTCCTGAATAGCTGGTACTACAGGCACATGCCACCACACTTGGCTAATTTTTATTTTTTGTAGTGATGGGGTTTTACTATGTTGCCCTGACTGGTCTCTAACTCCTGAACTCAAGTGATTTACCTGCCTTGGCCTCCCAAAGTGCTGGGATTACAGGCACGAGCCACCACACCTGGTCATTACACAAAATTATTTAAAATATTGTATAAAATTATCTTTAGGTTATGTGGATAAAGTGTACGTGAAACATAAATAAATTCCATATTAAGATTTGTGTCCCATCCCCAACATATCTCATTAGGTATATGCAAATATTCCAAAATAAAAACAGATTACAAAATGTGAAACCCTTCTTGTCATAAGCATTTCAGGGATACTTAACATGTATTGCATATATACATATATAATGAAATGAAGGCTCAGAGAGGTGAATTAATCTGTTCAAGATCACACAAGAGCGGCAGAGTTAGGTAATGAGACAAAGGACATTCATCCCAGACCTGACCTTATAAATGTCCACATCTTACACTTTTATTTTCTCCCCTGTAGCACTTGTCATACCTAAGTATTTATGCTAGATGCACTTTTAAATTTGTTTGGAGCAAAGGAATTAATGCTCATAGTTAGAAAGGACTCTCTCTGACTACGCAACTATCTAGATAAGATTGGCTAAAGCATTCAATCCCATACCTTCAGGAAGCATAAATTGCACTGAGATTTCCAAGTAGTCCTAGAAGATCCATATTCCTATGGCTTCCTCTGCTCCTAGGTCTCTGCTTATTTGTGGTATCTTGACTTCATACATATGGATCCAAACGAGATGCTGAGTTTCTGCATCGGCCTTTGTTGAAATAAAGTGTGGAGACTCATCCAAACTCTAGAGTTGATACGAAGATTATTTTAAACTGAAGACATTTTAGTTTCAGATGCAGAAAGAGCTTTGTTGGAGTTTCTCATATCTGACTAAAAGCAGAGACTTCCAAGAGTGAATCTGCCATAAATCCTCTTGCTGGGGGTGCTTCACTCCAGGTAAGACCACTCACTCACTGGGATGAGAGATTGCATAACAACATCATCACAAACTGTCATATGTTTCATTCGATCTTCTTAAAAGCCAATTTGTTTTTCCTAAAGCCCATTTGTTTTCCCATCGAAGCCCTTTCTCCCTCCTCTCTTTTCTTTATTAAGTTGAGATATAAACCCCTATATCTAGATGTTCAGGAAGCCTCTTAATCCGAATGCTCCTGGATGCATAATAATCTTTTTCCCTGTTAATCTGCTATTGCCCATTAATTTTCAGGCCCCTGATTACTGGAATTAAGTTGGTAAAGTTTTTCCTCTTAACAGAAGTTTCACGTGTCCTCACACGTGTAAGCTCAGCCGACTTTCTTAACAAGTAGGAAGCCACAGGCATGGTTCACTCTCAACTACTCCCTCTGTTATGAGGAAATTCATTCTTTCCTAACTTCTATGTGCAGACATTTCCAAACAAGCCATCAAGCATCCCAGGAGACAAAAACTCCTGTCATTTTAAGGAACACTCTCCTTCAAAGGTAACCATGACTGCAAATAAAAATGTTTTCTGTTAAACATGCGTATAGTTATTGCGTTACTTGTGGGCTTGTGCTGCACCATATTCCATTGTGACTTTATTGTTCTCTACTCTTCATGGCATAAGTAGTAATCTCATTAAGGGAACAAAAAGGTTACGACTTTTTCATATAGTTTAGTTGATTTGGGGATGGATCACATGTTGTGGAGATATCTTCATAGTTAAAACTTTGTGAGGAATTTTCTGAGCACCTTCCTCTCAAAAGCTGAGGGTCTGCAGTATCTTTCATATGCTGACATTTGCCATTTCTTTCTGTCTCTGCAATTGGTACCTTGATCCAAGTCACCAGCATCTCTCATCTGGACTACCACAATAGTCTCGTAACCGGCCTCCTTGTTTCCACACACCAATTAGTGATCTTTTAAAAGTGTAAGCCAAATGAGGTCACTCCATTACCTTTAGAATCTAAACTCCCAATTCC
The DNA here is from genome assembly GCF_000001405.40 of Homo sapiens. NCBI lineage: Eukaryota > Metazoa > Chordata > Mammalia > Primates > Hominidae > Homo > Homo sapiens. The sequence continues at coordinate 34,066,767 of NC_000013.11, read as the reverse complement.
AGCCTTCAAATCTTCCTCTTCAGCCCCATTCCATACCACTGTAACCCCTCCCACTGTTGTCAAATAAAAGGTATTTTGTGCTAGAAGCCAATGCTATGACACCAGGTTTTCGAGAAAAGAAAAGCTTTATATTGCAAGTTGACTCACAAGGAGACAGGAGTGTCAAGCTCAAATCTGTCTGCCCTGCTGGCTTCAAAGCAGGCAGGGGGTAGATTCTGAGATTAGTAGGTGATTAGTGGAAGGAAAGGGGAGGTCTGTAAGGTCCTTGAGCATGTGTAGTTCTCTTGTCATACTATCTCATGGGTCACATGTGCAAACTCAGGGGGAGTTATTATAAAATAGATGGTGGAAATTCAGGTTGTGACCTCAGTAAGCTCATTCTATGCAGACACCAGTCAGCCATATTGGTTCCAACCAATTTCACCCAGTTCTTTCATCTCTTAAGCAGAGGGAGTTTTAGTGTTTCAGCAAGTTGTTTCTTTTTTCATCTGCCATCCTGCAAACTGAATAATTTCTGTCTAGTAATTGGTTTCTTTATCTCTTTGGTTAAGCACAGTTTCATCATCACCTGCTCCAGCTACTTGTACTCTTCCTCCGACACACCTAGATCCTTAAGGTCTCTACACTGGTGGTTTCCTCTGCCAGGAATGCTGTTCCCCTAGATTACATGACTCACTCCTTGTCAGTCAAGTCCTAAATCTTGTGTCACTCCCTAATAGAGGCCACCTAGCCCAGTCACTCTCCCTTTATACCCAGTTTTATTTTCTTCAAAGAACTTCTCTCTAGCTGAAAGAATCATGTCATTAATCTGGGTGATTATTTATTATTGTTTTTACCGCTAGAATATAAACTCCTTGAGATCAAGTAACTGGTCTGTTTTATTCACCTCTGTATTCCTTGTATACAAAACTTAGCAGCTAGCACATAAAAGGTATTCAACAAATATCTGTTGAGTTGTAGAATGAATGGCCTATCTTCTTCATTTCTACTGTCAGTGGTCTATCACAATCTTTCATCTGACTTATTGTTCTTTTCTCCTTAGTAATAAATATCAGTTTCTTCTATTTATTGTTATCAGTATTTTCTTACACATACAGTAAGTCTGCTTATTTTACATCCCACTTTAAAGACTTCTACTCACTTGCTGTTGCCTGAAAAAAAAAAAAGAGAAAACTCTTTAGGTAGCATACAGGGGCCTTTGTGATCTGGGCCCTGCTCACCTTTTGAGGCTGCCATTCAATGACTGCGCCCCAACATGACACCCAGGGACCCTATGATTGAGTGAAACTGAACATCTTTCCAGCCAATTAATAAACTAAAAGTTGTTAATTCGCCCCCAAGTAACAGAGATTACATTTTTCCACTAATATATAATAGCTTCCTAACTCTTTTGTGCAGCTATTCAAGCCCTTCTTCACTCTCCACAAAACCCCAGACCTTCCATTGAACCTCAGCCTCTCTCAGAGTATTCCACTTCTTCCAAGAATTTCCATCCCAGTTTTTATCCTAACGTTCTAGAATTTAAAGCCCTTAATTCAGAGCTTCTTACCATGCTAATCCAATCTGCTTCTTTGCTGAGTTAATTTTGATTAAAAATCCAACCCACAAATTAATAATAAACAACATGAGTGACCTGGTTCCTAATGGTACCATCTTAGACTGAAAGAGTCAATGTGGCTTGCAAATTGACTACAGGGGAGCAGCTATGAGCTTGCAGTCCTGTTCACATGGACATTAGGGATTCTGGCAAGTATTTGTAGCTACAAATAAATGAGTTTCCTGCTAAGTGAGCCATCTGGGATCGCCCCCAGGAAGCTTCTCAAAGTCAAGAAAGTCTCTTGATGAAACAGCCTCTGCATCCCTAACACCAGCTGCCAGGTTCCCACCAGGTGATCTCCAAGTGTACCCCAAATAATGCACACCACAATCTGACAAGCTTCAGTGTCCGAACAATCCACTTTCCCTTAAAAACCTCCTTTTTTTTTCTTGTCCAACACAGCTTCTAACTTCTTTCTAACACTGATATTTCCATGGCAACAAATCCTTCATTGTTCCTTAGGTAATGCTTCCCCAAACTTGTTTGTTTAGCTGTGGCTCTTTTCCCTCCTACTCATATCTAAAATACTAAGAAAATATATTAAGTAACATAACCCAAATGCCTGATGATTCTTAATTGTTTCAATGCCAATTTCCACCATTTCTTTTAAGATGTGTTTCTTCTGGTATAGTGAAATGAAAACCAAGTTCCTGGAAATTCTGAGGACTTGGTAGCACTGCAATCTTATCTTCTCTGCAGTTTCTACATACTGATTTTGGACCTCAGGTTGATCGTCTGTATTAAGAAAGACATTTGGATTTTTCTGGATTTCCACACATAGACCGAATTCCCACAATTAAAGGACTATCAAGAATCACTAGATCCATCCAGATAAGTGACACAGGATACTTACCTCATTCTTGAATTTCTCTGTACTTTTGGAAACAGAGTAATATTTGACTTATGTAATATTCCTTCAGGAAATAATATAACAGAACACTACCTTAGACCAAAACAACAACAATAACTTTTTTTAAACCTGTACTATGGAAAAAATCCTGAACATTACTGGCAGTTTATTCTTTAGTTAGATGCAAAATATATGCACAGTAATGCTAAGATATTTTAGCTTCTGCAATTTCCACTGAGGAAAGAGATGTTAGTACTACTCACTGCATCTGGTGGTTAATTTTGTATCAATTTGGCTGGATTAAGGGATACCCAGATGACTGGTAAAACATACCTGGGTATGTCTGTGAGGATGTTTCCAGAAGAGAAAAGCATCTGAGTTGACACATTAAATGAAGAAGATCCCCCTCAAATATGTGGAAGGACAGCATTTAATCTGTCAGATGACCAGATAAAACAAAAAGGTGAAGGAAGGACAAATTCACCCTCTCTCTGGAGCTGAACCATCCATCTTCTTCTGCCCTCAGACATCAGAACTCAAGGTTCTTGGGTCTTTGGACTCTGAGACCTACCCCAGAGCTTCAGGTCTCAGGCCTTTGGCCTTGGACTGAGAATTACATCATCAGTTCCCCTAGTTCCATGCCTCTGGACTCAGACTGAATTACATTAGCTTCCCTGGTTCTCCAGTTTGTAGCCAGCATATCATGGGACTTCCTGGCCTCCATAATCATGCAAGCCAATTTCCAATAGATCCCATCTTATATATTTCTCTCTATATGTATTCTATCGGTTCTCTTCCTCTGGAGAACCCTGACCAATAAACACAGAATCTCATTGGTATGTTTTGTGAAAATTGGTTGTGCTATCAAACATCTTAGCAGAGCATAGTTCATAAACTGTGTCAGAGAAACATTTGATTACAGAGATACAGAATATTAGTTTTGTGAAATTTTGAAGGGCTTAACTTTCTAAGACCTCTTCCAGGAATCCAAAATATCTGGTTGCTAAATAAGTCCTGTCAAATCACGTATCTGGTATCTCAAAAATCTTTGCTTTGCTGCATACAGGCAGTAAAATTTATATGGCTTCTCAAATACATAATGTGTTAAATTCATGGCTTCATGGGAGTCTGCAAATGACTGACAAGCCTTAAGGTTGCAGGCTGGCAGATATCTCATGCTACTGAGGTTTTTCTTGAAGAGGTGAGGATTCCACAGGAGAATTCTAATAAGCAATCAAGTTTCAGCCCTTGAGCTTCTTAACAGGTGAGCCTAATGATTAGAGGAGGTATGAGAATGCCAGCAGATCCACACCTGATTTGATTCTATGCATCAAATGTGGGTACATTTTTCCTTCCTTATTTGTGTATGTGTGTGTGTGTGTGTGTGTGTGTGTGTGTGTACATGCACACACAGGAATAATGTACTTATATTAGGTAAAGACAGCAGCTGGGGGTGGAAGGGAGGTGTGCATAGTTGGAGAGAACATGTGTCTTTATATTTAAATTCAAGGTAATATCGTATTTTAAAAGGATGGTACTATAGCAGCTAGATTAATGTGTGCAAAGTGATTTCAACTTTTTAGATGAGCCTTTCCCAACTGAGAGTCTGTGGCAGAATTAAGCCCCATATAAAACTGAGTAACTATTTTCTCAACTCTCCAGAGGATGGTACTGTCTAAACAGTACCATTCTAGGTACACAGAAATAAATCAATTCATTACATACAAATGATGACATAGGGTATATATATGTATGTGTGTATATATATATGTGTGTGTATTATATATTTATAGATAAACATGTATTATATATTTATATATAATATACAATTACATATATAGAATTCTACAAAATATCAAAATAGTGTATAATTATACATTTGCTATTTATAAATAAAATAAGACACACAATATTCATAAAATGGAAATGGTAGTAGAAGGGTCTGACTCAGGTCATCTAATGTAATGCAACAGAAATGCAATATTTTCAATTTCTTTTTTACATCTATTCCATGTGAGTATCACAAACACTTTGTAATCACAGCCAATTTCATCGAGGCAGGAACTGAGTCTCAGTGGTTGTGGTAGCTAGTCCTCCAGGACAGCCCCACTGTGACCCATGGTTCATGGTATTCTGGGCTGGCCTTGGGACTGACTCTCTTTTCACCAACAGAATGTGGCAGAAATGAAGGTTCATGTCTTGTGAGGCTCGGTGGTAAGAAGTCTTTCAGCTTCATCCTTGATCTCTTGGAAACACTCTGTCTTGAAGCCTGAGCCTCCATGTTAGAAGTCTGACTGCCCTGAGACTGCTGTGCTTGTGAGGAAGTCCGACCTACCCAGACGCACAGGACACTAGGTGGAAAGAGCAGTGCCAGCTCTAAGGAAGAAAAGCTTTTCCTCTACCGTCTAAGGTTCTATATCTGAGTCTGAGAATTTAATTATATTATTTATGTTTATATATATTCACATATAATATGTAATTGCATACGTAAATTTTCATATAATTACATATTATATATAAATATATACATTGACAGAAGATTAATAGTAGAAAAGCATACAAATTGTAATATTTTTATATGCACATGGGATCCTTCATACGAAAAATGAAGATCCAAAAAAGCTGTTAGGACTGAGAGCTTATATACCAATTATATCAAAGAACAATAAATTTATGGAGAAGTGACAAGACAGAGGAAATGGGGTTTAAACTTCTAGGGGCAGTATTGTGGGGAAGTGACTCAGAAATAGATGAAGTAAACTAATGGACGAGAAAGTGTATTTTAGAAGGCTTGTCTGTACAGATGCATTTCAGCATCAACTCCCAGTCTCTCTCCCTGGTGCAGGGGCAGCACCTTTCTCATGGGAAGTTTTATGACCTGCTTTTAGATAGAAAGAGAGAAGTTCTTTCCTGTATCTATTGCTTCTGAAGTGCCTTCAGCCCAGAATAAGCCATATGTCAAAGTGGCATGTTTTGGATCATATATTTTGATCCTTTTCGTAGCCAGTCCATAGGCACCATGTATGTGGGTGAAGCTGTCTCAGACCCTCTAGACTGGAGCAGCCACCAGCCAATACCACCAAGTGACCTCATGTGACTCCATGTGGGAAAGAATCCCTCCGCAGATCCACGCATGAATTTTTGATGCATGAAATTCTTAGATATGATAAAATGGTGTTTTTTTTTCTTTAACCTTTAAGTTTTGGTTAGCTTGGTATATGGCGGTAGATAACTGTGGCAAGGAAGTTAAATGGCTTGTTCTAGATCCACAGTTTTATAGTAGCTGTCATGAGTGGTACAAGGTTAGAGATAACCAGGTCCACACATGTTTGTGTCTTTCTACAATGTCAAGCTTTTATTAATGTTATTTCAATCACAAAAGTCCCAAGCTCCAAGGAGTTCCCAAGGAGGGCATTCTCCTCAGTACTTATTTACTCGGTAGTCAGAGCCATGGGCACACAGGCTGAAGCCATTCCACAAGTCAACACGGCAAATCATACATAATAGTATATTTAATCAATATATAACTATTGTAAGTTAAACATTCCACAATAAACAAAGTAACATTTAACATCAAGAGGAAAAAGAGATATGAGAAAAGGTTAATGAATCAGTTCAGGGGGAGGGAAGAAGGCAAAAGGAATCCTGGTCTGGGCTCAGTGTCAGTAGGTCTTGAAAGAAAGAATCTTCGAGGTTGCAGAGCCTTTGGCAGCAGATGTCAAATTCTTAACATGAGTGACTGCAAGACGGTGTCAGTTAAGATGGTCACTTTGAGCTGCTGAAGGCCTAATCTTTTATAGTCACAGGGTCCTCTATTGAGAACTGATAGTGGAAGAAATGTGCTTGTATCCTTATCTGGTTAGAGGCAGTCTTTATTTTTTTATTTGTTTATTAGGCACAACATCTTATCCTTGTTGGCAAAGTGCCCTATGAAATATAAAATTCAGCCTTTTTCTAAGATGGAGTTATTTGTGTTAATGGTATTCTATACAGTTGCCAAGTCAGAAGCAAGGTAAGATTCCTAATCTGCAGTTCCTGAGTTAGCATTACTATGGAGGCCCTGAAGCTGTTCTTACAGTTGGAGTTCAGGGGAAAGAAGTCATCTCTACCCCAGGCTCCTGACCACCATCCTGTTGACCATTTAAATTCTCCCATGTATGGCCGGGCGCAGTGGCTCACGCTTGTAATCCCAGCATTTTGGGAGGCCGAGGTGGGCAGATCACGAGGTCAGGAGATTGAGACCATCCTGGCTAACACGGTGAAACCCCATCTCTACCAAAAAAATACAAAAAATTAGTCGGCCGTGGTGTCGGGCACCTGTAGTCCCAGCTACTTGGGAGGCTGAGGCAGAAGAATGGTGTGAACCCGGGAGGCGGAGCTTGCAGTGAGCCAAGATAGCGCACTACTGCACTCCAGCCTGGGCAACAGAGTGAGACTCTGTCTCAAAAAAAAAAAAAAAAAAAATTCTCCCTTGTAACATTCTGCTTTCACTAAAGTGAAGATGACTATGATGACCATAATCTCTACTTATCTTTTGATATCTTAGTTTGAATGACTTTACAATTCTTCCATTGGGAGTAAATTTGATAGAGAAGAAAGAAAAAAGTTAATGTAAGTTGAGGTTAAGGCAGATTTAGCAAATTAAAATAAGGAATGTCAAGTGAAATTTGAATGCTAGATAAACAAAAACATTTCTGTAGTATAGGTATGTACCATTTAATATTTGGGATATACTAAATTAAAAGAAACTTAGGCATTTGATATAGTTTGGATTTGTGTCCCCCCCCAAATCTCATGTTGAATTGTAATTCCCAGTGTTGGAGGAGGGCACTGGTGGGAGGTGATTGGATCACGGGGACAGATTTCCCTTTGCTGTTCTCATGACTGTGAGTTCGTTCTCACGAGATTTGGTTGTTTAAAAGTGTGTAGCACCTCTTTCTTCTTTTTCCTCCTCTTGTTCTGGCCATAGGAAGACATGCTTGCTTCCCCTTCACCTTCCGCCATGATTGTAAGTTTCCTGAGGCCTCCTCAGCTATGCTTTCTGTACAGCCTGTGGAAGTGTGAGCCAATTAAATCTCTTCCCTTTATAAATTACCCAGTCTCAGGTGTTTCTTTATAGCAGTGTAAGAATGAACGAATACAGCATTTATATCAATTTCTAATCTAACTGAGATTCTTATATTTAATCAGGCAACTTTTGGTTGGAGGGAAGGTTTTGGAAAGAGGAGGCTAGAGGTCTAGAGAAAAACATTTTTATCCTTCACATTATTACCTAGGACCAACCCTTCCCAGTCCATTGTTTTTTTTTTGTTTTATTTTGTTTGTTTGTTTGTTTGTTTGTTTGTTTTTGGCAGTGCACACCTTAATTTTAACAACAAGAAGATATGGCTACATCAATGCTAAAACATTTCTGTGGTTAGAAAAGCACTTGGCCGGGCGCAATGGCTCACGCCTGTAATCCCAACACTTTTGGAGTCCGAGGCTGGCAGATCACGAGGTCAGGAGATCGAGACCATCCTGGCTAACACGGTGAAACCCCGTCTCTACTAAAAATACCAAAAAAATTAGCCGGACGTGGTGGCGGCGCCTGTGGTCCCAGCTACTCAGGAGGCTGAGGCAGGAGAATGGCGTGAACCCGGGAGGCGGAGCTTGCAGTGAGCAGGAGATGGCACCACTGCACTCCAGCCTGGGTGACAGAGAAGACTCTGCCTCAAAAAAAAAAAAAAAAAAAAAGAAAAGAAAAAAGAAAAGCACTTGGAGTTCCCACTTTTCTGAAAGTAGGTTGGGAGCATCTATTCCACATATAAAAAAACAGCTTATGTCATTAAACATAATTTATTTTAGCAGTTAGAGCACAGCTTCAAATTCAAAAACAAACAAAAAAAGTCACAAAGCCTAAGTACTTGACTTCTAAAAAGACTTCAAAAAATTTCAGAACAACTTAGAACAGTGTGTAAATTAAATGAGCAATTCAAAAATTTGATAGAAACTAAGAATAGCAAAAAAGGACAATGACAAAATTAGGTGACAGTAAAATTATAAAGACAAATATACCAAGAATTCCAAAGTCAGTGGGAACATTCCCCCTACCCCACCACCATCACACTTTATCCCTGCAGCTGTGTACAAACACCAGACACGTCACGGTGACCTTACATCAAGGGGAGATTACACAAATTGGTGTATTCTGTTAAGAAGAAAAAGTAGTACACAGTACATTTTGAACAAAAATTTAAAATTTAAAATTTTCATTAAAAAAAAGAGGGGAGGCAGTGTGGTGGCTCACAGCTGTAATCCCAGAAATTTGTGAGGCTGAAGTGAGAAGATTGCTTGAGGCCAGAAGTTCAAGACCAGACTGCCATAGCAAGACCCCATCTGTACAAAAATAAAATAAAATAAAATAGAATAAAATAAAGTAAAATATCCAAGTGTAGTGGTATGCTCTTGTAGTTCCAGCTACTCAGGAGGCTAAGGCAAGAGGATTGCTTGAGCCCAGGAGTTCGAGGCTACAGTGTGCCATGATTGTGTCACTGCACCTCAAGCCTGGGCAACAGAGCAAGATCCTGTCTCTTCAAATAAATAAATAAATGAATGAATAAATAAATAAATTTTTAAAAGAGGGGGGCTGATGCTTAAAAGATAAACTTCTTTTTATCTGGAAAGTTTACATATGTGAATTGCCAATAAAAAACAGGTATTAGTGTTTTAATTTGCTAGCTCTAAAATTATTGTAGGGGACAAAAACAATCTTCCTTCTGCCCTTCTAAGTTCTCAGCTGGGCTCCATGTAACAAAAAACAGATTAACAAGAAAAAAACAAGTTTCTAATTGTTATTTTATTTATTTTTCTCTAGACAAGGTATAGCTTTGTCACCCATGCTGGAATGCCATGGCGTTATAATAGCTCAGTGCATCCTCAGACTTCCTGGTTCAAGTGATCCCCCCACCTCAGCCTCCTGAGTAGCTGGGACTACAGCATGCACCACCATACTTGATTAATTTTTTAAAAATTTTTCGTAGTGACAAGGTCTTGCTATGTTTCCCAGGCTAAGCTTGAACTCCTGGCCTCAAGTGATCCTCCTGCCTCAGCCTCCCAAAGAGCTAGGATTATAGGCATGAGCCACCACGCTCAGCCAAATGAGTTTATTAAGATGTGTATTATGCATATAACACATGGGAATGCCCAGAAATGAGTAACTCAAAGAGGTGGCCTAGAACTCTGGCTTACACAGTGTCTTCAACACAGAACAATAAACTTAAAGAGAAATGACAAGGTGAAAGAAAGGGACCCATGTCTCCAGGGACAGTAAATTGTGGAAATGCAAGTATAAAGGAAACTAATGGTAGCTAAAGGCTAAATAGTAAAGTTTATTATGTGGACTGCATTCTGGTATAGTCTCCAGGGTGATTAATTTTGTTCTTCCTGGTAGAGAGAGGAGGGACAGTTTTGTAAATGTAAGTCCTGCTTTGAAGCAAATAAAGGGAGGGCAGGGAGCTTTTCTTGTATCTTCTCAATTGTCTTCAACTTAAAAAAGTCTTTCTGTCACAGTGGCATATTTCAGGCAGGGTGTCATATTCTGCCACCCTTCACTGAGTTTTTGAACTACAACACTAACACACTTCTGTGACAGTCTCTCACCAAATTCTTCTGGCATGTTTTCCAGTGGAGACATTAAAATATTGGAAGAAAGAAAGTGAGGCAGGAGGAAGGGAAGAAAAAGGCCCAGAAGAATGTCGGGAATGTTATCAAGAGCTCCAACTTTGCCATCTAAATATGCCATTTTTAAAAGGTTAATTGTATGATGGGCCACTTCAGCAGGAGGACTACTGTGAAAACAGGAAGGAAGTGTTTGGGGAAAAATGAGTTCCAGGAAATATTCTTCTGCTTCTTGCACACTAAAGAACTCAGACCTACAGAACAATGATATTAAGAAGAGTTGCCTGGGTGGTTATTCAGGCTGTGATTCTGCAGCATGGTAAGCATAGCCTTAGGTGATAATAAACGATAGTGAATGAATGTGTGCTCACCAGCAGACACACAGAGTTGTGCCTTGGCTCAGAATGGAAGGATATGCAAGGGACAGTTGTACAAAGCTAATTTTTCTTTAGGGGATTCATTACAGTACAGCCTACTAACAATAAATGTGCTCCAAGGAAGCTCTGGACAGGTGTTAGGAATCTTTGTCTTAGCATATCAGTCAAATTCAAGTAGCTACTGGTGACCTCATCGCTAATTTGACTACTGTTGGAAAGAAGCTGAATTGTGTATGGCAACTGGGTATTTCCTGAAGTGATAAAGCCATGATTCTCAAAGTATGTTCCCTGGACCAGCATCAGGATCACCTGGGAACCTGTTTAAAATAAAAAATGCACACACACACACACACACACACACGCCCCTACTGAAGTAGAAACTCTAGGAATAAGTCCCTACAATCTGTGTTTTCTCATGTCTTCCAGTTGCTTCTTATGCTTGCCAAGGTTTGAGAACTACTGATGCAGAGAATTAAGACTAATTTTGGGTGTATTAGTAATTCCTCTATCTTTTGAACAACATGAATTATATTTGTGTTTGTTGAGATTTTTTTTTTTACCTTTTTTACCCAAAACTTTCTATCCTCCTTTTCTTCTTTAGTTATATATAAGCATAATTGCTACTTTTTCTAAGAATTAGAGCAGAATTCAAGGCACAAAGATAGTCGTATGATTAGCCAGATAATAGTGGCACATACTAAGTGGGGCTATTGTTGTCAAGAAGGGTTCCTGGCCAGGTGTGATGGCCTATGCCTGTAATCCCAGCACTTTGGGAGGCCAAGGCACACAGATCACTCAAGGCTAGGAGTTCAAGACCAGCCTGGCCAACATGGTGACATCCTGTCTCTTCTAAAAATACAAAAATTAAGTTGGGTCTGGTGGAACATGTGTGTAACCCCAGCTACTTGGGAGGCTAAGGCAGGAGAATCGCTTGAGCCCAGGAGGCAGAGGTTGCAGTAAGCTGAGATCACACCACTGCACTCCAGCCTGGATGACAGAGTGGGACTCCATCTCAAAAAAAAAAAAAAAAAAAGGTTGTGGGGAAAGCCAAGATGACTGAATAGGAGCAGCTCCGGTCTGCAGCTCCCAGCGAGACCAATGCAGAAGGTGGGTGATTTCTGCATTTCCAACTGAGGCACCCAGTTCATCTCATTGGGACTGGTTAGACAGTGACTGCAGCCCACAGAGGGTGAGCAGAAGCAGAATGGAGCGTTGCCTCACTTGGGAAGTGCAAGGGGTGAGGGAACTCCCTCGCCTAGCCAAGAGAAGTCATGAGGGACTGTGCAGTGAGGGACTGTGCTATGAGGGATGGTGCTATCCAGCCCAGATAGTATGCTTTTCCCATGGTTTTTACAATCTGCAGACCAGGAGATTCCCTCGGGTGCCTACACCACCAGTGCTCTGGATTTCAAGCACAAAACTGGGCAGCCGTTTGGACAGACACCAAGCTAGCTGCAGGACTTTTTTTTCATACCTCAGTGGTGTCTGGAACCCCAGTGAGACAGAACCATGCAGTCCCCTGGAAAGGGAGCTGAAGTCAGGGAGCCAAGTGATCTTGCTCAGCGGGTCCCACCCCAATGGAGCCCAGCCAGCTAAGATCTACTGGCTTGAAATTCTTGCTGCCACCACAGCAGTCTGAAGTCGACCTGGGACGCTCAAGCTTGATGCGGGGAGGGGCGTCCACCATTACTGAGGCTCGAGTAGGCCATTTTCCCCTCACAGTGTAAACAAAGCCACTGGGAAGTTCAGACTGGGTAGAAGCCACCACAGCATGGCAAAGCCACTGTAGTCAGACTGCCTCTCTATATTCCTCCTCTCTGAGCAGGGCATCTCTGAAAGAAAGGCAGCAGCCCCAGTCAGGGGCTTATAGATAAAACTCCCATCTCCCTTGGACAGAGCACCTGGGGGAAGGGGTGGCTGTGGGTGCAGCTTCAGCAGACTTTAATGTTCCTGCCTGCCGGCTCTGAAGAGAGCAGTGGATCTCCCAGCACAGCGCCCGAGCTCTGCTAATGGACATACTGCCTCCTCAAGTGGGTCCCTGACCCCCGTGCCTCCTGAAATATGGAACTATGTGAAAAGACCAAACCTATGATTGATTGGTGTACCTGAAAGTGATGGGGAGAATGGAACCAAGTTGGAAAACACACTTCAGGATATTGTCCAGGAGAATTCCCCAACCAGGCAAGACAGGACAATATTCAAATCCAGAAAATAGAGAGACCACCATAAAGATACTCCTTGAGAAGAGTAACCCCAAGACACATAATCATCAGATTCATCAAGGTTGAAATGAAGGAAAAAATGTTATGGGCAGTCAGAGAGAAAGGTCAGGTTACCTACAAAGGGAAGCCCTTCAGACTAACAGCAGATCTCTCTGTAGAAAACCTACAAGCCAGAAGAGAGTGGGGACAAATATTCAACATTCTTAAAGAAAAGAGTTTTCAACCCAGAATTTCTGATCCAGCCAAACTAAGCTTCATAAGCAAAGGAAAAATAAAATCCTTTACAAACAAGCAAATGCTGAGGGATTTTGTCACCACCAGGCCTGCCTTACAAGAATGCCTGAAGGAAGCTCTAAATATGGAAAGGAAAAACCGGTACCAGCCACTGCAAAAACATACCAAAATATAGAGCCAACGACACTGTGAATAAACTGCAACTAATTTGCAAAATAACCAGCTAGCATCACAAGGACAGGATCAAATTCACACATAACAATATTATCCTTAAATGTAAATGGGCTAAATGCCCCAATTAAAAGACACAGACTGGCAAATTGGATAGAGTCAAGACCCATCGGTATGCTGTATTCAGGAGACCCATCTCACATGCAAAGACACATATAGGCTCAAAATAAAGGGATGGAGGAATACTTACCAAGCAAATGGTAAGCAAAAAAAGCAGGGGTTCCAATCCTAGTCTCTGACAAAACAGAATTTAAACCAACAAAGATCAAAAAAGACAAAGAAGAGCAGTACACAATGGTAAAGGGATCAATGCAACAAGAAGAGCTAACCATCCTAAACGCATATGCACCCAATACAGTAGCACCCAGATTCCTAAAACAAGTTCTTAGAGACCTACAAAGAGACTGAGACTCCCACACAACAATAGTGGGAAACTTTAATACCCGACTGTCAATATAGACAGATCAACGAGACAGAAAATTAACAAAGATATTCAGGATTTCAACTCAGCTATGGACCAAGAGGACCTAATAGATATCTACAAAACTCTCCACCCCAAATAAACAGAATATACATTCTTCTCAGCACTACATAGCATTTACTCTAAAACTGACCACATACTTGGAAGTAAAACACTCCTCAGCCAAGGCAAAAGAATGGAAATCATAACGAACAGTCTCTCAGACCACAGTGTAATCAAATCAGGATTTAAAAACTGACTCAAAACTGCACAAGTGTATGGAAACTGAACAACCTGCTCCTGAATGACTACTGGGTAAATAACGATATTAAGGCAGAAATAAAGATGTTATGAGAAAAAAGACACAATGTACCAGAATTTCTGGGACACAGCTAAAGCGGTGTTTAGAGGGAAATTTGTAGCACTAAATGCCCACAGGAGAAAGTGGGAAAGGTCTAAAATCAACACCCTAACATCACAATTAAAAGAACTAGAGAAGCAAGAGCAAACACATTCAAAAGCTAGCAGAAGACAAGAAATAACGTAGAACTGAAGGAGATAGAGACATGAAAAACCCTTCAAAAAAATCAATGAATCCAAGAGCTGGTTTTTTGAAAAGATGAACAAAATAGATTGACTTCTAGCCAGAATAATAAAGAAGAAAAGAGAGAAGACTCAAATAGACACAATAAAAAATGATAAAGGGGATATCATCACTGATCCCACAGAAATACAAATTACCTTCAGAGAATACTATAAACACCTCTATGCAAATAAACTAGAAAATCTAGAAGAAATGGATAAATTCCTGGACACATACACCCTCCCAAGACTAAACCAAGAAGAAGTCAAATCCCTGAATAGACCAATAACAAGCTCTGAAATTGAGGCAATAATTAATAGCCTACCAACCAAAAAAAGCCCAGGACCAGACGGATTCACAGTCAAATTCTACCAGAGGTACAAAGAGGAGCTGGTACCAATCCTTCTGAAACTATTCCAAACAATAGCAAAAGAGAGACTCCTCCCTAACTCATTTTATGAGGCCAGCATTATCCTGATACCGACACCTGTCAGAGACACAACAAAAAAAAAAGAAAATTTCAGGCCAATACCCTGATGAACATCAATGCGAAAATCCTCAATAAAATACTGGCAAACCGAATCCAGCAGCACATCAAAAAGCTTATGCACCATGATCAACTTGGCTTCATCCCTGGGATACCAGGCTGGTTCAACATATGCAAGTCAATAAATGTAATCCATCACATAATAGAACAAATGACAAAAACCACACGATTATCTCAATAGATGCAGAAAGGGCCTTTGATAAAATTCAACATCGCTTCATGCTAAAAACACTCAGTAAACTAGGTATTGATGGAACATATCTCAAAATAATAAAAGCTATTTATGGCAAAGCCACAGCCAATATCATATTGAATGGGCAAAAGCTGGAAGCATTCCCTCTGAAAACTGGCACAAGACAAGGGCATACTATGCCCTCTCTCACCACTCCTATTCAACATAGTGTTGGAAGTTCTGGCCAGGGCAATCAGGCAAGAGAAAGAAATAAAGAGTATTCAAACAGGAAGGCAGGAAGTCATATTGTCTCTGTTTGCAGATGACATGATTGCATATTTATAAAACCCTATCGTCTCAGCCCAAAAATTCCTTAAGCTGATAAGCAATTTCAGCAAAGTCTCAGGATACAAAATCAATGTGCAAAGATCACAAGCATTCCTATACACAAATAATAGACAAACAGAGCCAAATCATGAGTGAACTCCCATTCACAATTGCTACAAAGAGAATAAAATACCTAGGAATACAACTTACAAGGTATGTGAAGGACCTCTTCAAGGAGAACTACAAACCACTGCTCAAGGAAATAAGAGAGGATACAAACAAATGGAAAAACATTCCATGCTTATGGATAGGAAGAATCAGTATTGTGAAAATGGCCATGCTGCACATTCAATGCTATTCCCAACAAACTGCCATTGACTTTCTTCACAGAATTAGAAAAAACTATTTTTAATTTCATGTGGAACCAAAAAAAGTGCCTGTATAGCCAAGACAATTCTAAGCAAAAAGGACAAAGCTGGAGGCATCAGGCTACCTGACTTCAAACTATACTACAAGGCTACAGTAACCAAAACAGCATGGTACTGGTACCAAAACAGATATATAGACCAATGGAACAGAATAGAGGTCTCAGAAATAACACCACACATCTACAACCATCTGATCTTTGATAAACCTGACAAAAACAAGCAATAGGAAAAGGATTCCCTATTTAATAAATGGTGTTGGGAAAATTGGCTAGCCATATGCAGAAAATTGAAACTGGACCCCTTCCTTACACCTTATAGAAAAATTAACTCAAGATGGATTAAAGACTTAAACATAAGACCTAAAACCATAAAAACCCTAGAAGAAAACCTAGGCAATACCATTCAGGACAGAGACACGGGCAAAGACTTCATAACTAAAACACCAAAAGCAATTGTAACGATAGCCAAAATTGACAAATGGGATCTAATTAAACTAAAGCGCTTCTGCACAGCAAAAGAAACTATCATCAGAGTGAACAGGCAACCTACAGAATGGGAGAAAATTTTTGCAATCTACCCATCTGACAAGGGTCTAATATTCAGAATCTACAAGGAACTTAAACAAATTTACAAGAAAAGAACAACCCCATCAAAAAGTGGGCAAAGGATATGAACAGACACTTCTCGAAAGAAGACATATATGCGGCCAACAAACATATGAAAAAAAGCTCAATCAAATCAAAACCACAATGAGATACCATCTCAGGCCAGTTAGAAACAACAGTCAGGAAACAACAGATGCTGGAGAGGATGTGGACAAATAGCAATGCTTTTACACTGTTGGTGGGAGTGTAAAATTAGTTCAACCATTGTGGAAAACAGTACAGTGATTCCTCAAGGATCTAGAACCAGAAATACCATTTGACCCAGCAACCCGATTACTGGGTATATACCCAAAGGGTTATAAATCATTCTACTATGAAGACACTTGGACATATATGTTTATTTCAGCACTATTTACAATAGCAAAGACTTGGAACCAACCCAAATGCCCATCAATGATAGGCTGGATAAAGAAAATGTGGCACATATACACCAACAAATACTGTGCAGCCATAAAAAAGAATGAGTTCATGTCCTTTGCAGGGAATGGATGAAGCGGAAATCATCATTTTCAGCTAACTAACACAGGAACAGAAATCCAAACACCACATGTTCTCACTCATAAGTGGGAGCTGAACAATGAGAAGACATGGACATAGGGAGGGGAACATCACACACCAGGGCCTGTTGGGGGCTTTGGGGGAAGGGGAGGCATAGCATTAGGAGAAATACCTAATGCATGTGGGGCTTAAAACCTAGATAATGAGTTGATGGGTGCAGCAAACCACCATGGCCCATGTATACCTATGTAAAAAACCTTCACGTTCTGCACATGTATCCCACAAAATAAATATACTTTATATAATATTTATACTTTATATATATAGTATAAAATCAAAGTAGTTTAGTAAAAACCCAGTCTTCAAGATTGAGATCTGTAATCTTAAATCTGAATTTTAAATATTACTGTTAACCAATAATTTTCTCCCTTTTAAAAAAATATATATTTCCTATCTCTAACTGAACCAGACTAGAAGAAATGATAAACCTGCAGCAATAAACATCCTAGCATCTGGATTGTGGTTTTTCCACTTAGTCTGTGTACGGTATGCTGCTATAACAAAATCTGTAGTTAGGTAATTTATAAAGAACAGAAATTTATTTTTTCACAATTCTGGAACTGGGAAGTCTAAGATCAAGGCACCAGGAGGTTTGGTTGTCTGGTAAGGGCTGCTTTCTGCTTTTAAGATGGTACCTCATTGCTGTCCTCCAAAGGGCAGGAACACTGTGTCCTCACACACATCTATTCATTTGCTTATTTGTTTATTTAATGAGTGCCCTAGTAAACTTCAGTGTTGACAAATCAGTTTATTTTCTTTTCTCCTACTTTTTCTTTTCTTTTTTTAAGACAAGGTCTCACTCTGTCAACCAGGCTGGAGAGCAATGGTACAATCATGGCCCAGTGCAGCCTTGACCTTCTGGGCTCAAGAAATCCTCCCAACTCAGCCTCCAAAGTAGGTGGGATTACAGGCATGTGACATCATGCCCAGGTAATTTTTTTTTTTTTTTTGTAGAGACAAGGTCTGGCGATGTTGCCCAGGCTTGTCTCAAACTTGTAGGCTCAACCAGTCCTCCCACCTCAGCATTCCGAAGTGTTGGGATTACAGGTGTGAGCCACTGCACCTGGCATCTCTTACTATGTTCTAAGAACAAAGGCATTATTTACTCACATGGCTGCACATTGGCTTATTTTGTATAACTTTATTGAGATATGATTCACATCCCATGCAATTTACCCATTTAAAATACATCATTCCATATTGTTTAGTAAATTACAGAAATGTGTAACTGTCACTACAATCTCTTATTTTTTAACGTACTTTTTCTAGTATTATTTCAGTGCCATCTCTTATTATATATTAAATACATTGTGATATATTGAAAGTATTATTGATTTTGATGCTCAAATTGTTCAATTTAGCCATTGTCCCTTTCCCCCAGGCCTGGCAACCACTGATCTACTTTTTTTTGTTGTTGAGATGGAGTCACGCTCTGTCACCCAGGCTGGAGTGCAGTGGCATGATCTCGGCTCATTGCAAGCTCCACCTCCTGGGTTAATGCCATTCTCCTGCCTCAGCCTCCCAACTAGCTGGGACTACAGGCGCCCACCACCACACCTGGCTAATTTTTTGCGTTTTTAGTAGAGATGGGATTTCATCGTGTTAGCCAGGATGTTCTTGATCTCCTGACCTTGGCCTCCCAAAGTGCTGGGATTATAGGCTTGAGCCACCTCGCCTGGCCTAATCTACTTTCTATCTCTATGGATTTGCCTATTGTGGAGACTTCATATAAATGAAATTATATACTATGTTGCCTTTTGCATTAATTCTTTAACTTAGCGTAATGTTTTCAAGGTTCATTCTTATTTGTAGCATGTATCAGTACTTCATTCCTTTTTATGGCTAATAGTTCATTATATGAATATGCCAGATTTTATGTATCCATTCATAAGTTGTTGGATATTTGAGTTGTTTCTCTTTTTTGGCTATAATGAATAATGATGCTATGAACATTTGTGGGCACTTTTTTGCATGGAAACATGTTGAGTATATACCTAGGATAGGAATTGCCAAGTCACATGGCAATTGTATGTTAACCCTTTTAAGGAATTACCAAAATGTTTTGTGAAGAGATCGTGCCACTCTAGAATCCTACCAGCAATATATGAGCATCCCTACACATTCTCACCAACACTTGTTATTGTCTTTTTTTTAATAGCCATCCTGGTGTATGTGATGTGGTATCTCATTGTGGGGTTTTGTTTGTTTTGTTTTATATTTTATTGCTTCTCTGTTGTTCCTGTAGATCACTGTGGCTTTGATATGCATTTCCCTAATGATGTTGCACGTCTTTTCTTGTGCTTAATGCCTATTTGTAAATCTTCTTTGTTGATTGAAAAGATTCAAATCCTTTGCTCATTTTTAATTGGGGTATTTGTATTTTTATTATTGAGTTGTAAGAGTTCTAGACACAAGTCCTTTATCATACATATGATTTATAAACATGTTCTCCCATCCGTTGTTCCCTTTTAACTTTCTTGTTGATATTGTTTACAGCATAAAGTTTTATAAATTCTGATGTGTTCCAAAAAAAAAAAAAGCATTCCTGACATTGTGATCAGTGGCCTAGCAACTTCTCAGACCACTGGGTCACATGGTCTCTTCCCTCCAACAGACTTCTACTTCCATGCCAGGTGGGGCTGCCAGATTTAGCCAATCAAAATATAGGCCACCCACTTAAATCTGAATTTCAGATAACTAACATTATTTTTTCTAGTATAAGTACATCCTAGGCAATGTTTAGGATATACTGATACTTAAAAATTATTCATTGTTTATCTAAAAATCAAATTTAACCAGGTGGTCTGCATTTTATTTGGCAGCTCTAACTCCAGCCCTCTAACCCAGGGACAATGAACAGCATAAGAGAAAGCTCTGAAGTTTAAGACTTCAACACACATGTACTTTCCCTAGGAAGTAACGAAAAGTAAATGGTATCTCTGGCATTATCCTTCACTATGAAAAAGATTCACAAATAGGTGGCCCTTGGAGGTGATGTACTAGATGGTTCCCATCCCCTTCCTTGCCACAGGCTACCCAGTTGGTGTACTCGTTGCCCTGAAGCAAGGCAAGGCTGGGGTGCGGGGTAACTCTCTGTGTGTGCATGCGTGTGTGTGTGCATACTTGAGGTAGAGAAGAAAGTGCTCCAAGGCCATTTTCTACTGTATTATTTGTGGTCAGTTTTTAGAACGCTCAGCTTTCTCAACCGTAAGAAAGGGAATTACCTCATAGGGCTTCTGGTGTCTCAAATAAAATATTTTTGAAAGTGCTTGGTAAACCATGATACAGTAGAAAGTGCATGGGCTTTGGCATCAAATAGACAACAGAATGAATTTCAGTTCAGAGACTTATAAGCTGAGCAAGTTATTTAAATCTCTGAATGAGTTTCCTCATCTGTGAAGCAGGGATAACAACACATACCTCCAACGCTGTTATCTGCAGAAATAATGTATAAAAAGTTTCAGGAAGTAAGGAGGCACCACAGACAGTACCTGGTCCTATATATTATGGGCTGAAGTTTTGGAACTTTGGGTAGTATAAAACTCAATCTCTTTTCCTGCTCCAGGTTATTAAGTGCCCATGATTTGAATTTTATAAGATCAGGGTCTGACTCTATTCTTTCAAAAGTAATTAAAGCCAGCATAGATTTCTTTTTTTAAATTTGCCACTCAGACTGCAGGATCTGATGCCCTCATTAATGATTTCAAGAACTACTTAGAATGTATTAGAGCAGGGTGACCAGTTTAAATAATTTACAATCTGCTTAGATTATGCTCTTACATCCAGGATGGAAGAGAGTCTTGGAAGACCTGAGGCTGAGGGTATTTGATTTGAATAAATTAAGCAGGAAAAAAATCTACATTAATTTGCAATGGAGTAATTGATACAGTAATATATATTATTAATTTCCATTTGCAACTGGATTAACTATGTAAATATATACATGCCTTGCAGTGTGTCAGGATGACAGGACAGGTAGGGAAATGATTTCTGGTCCAGTCTACCTGTACAGATTTCTTGAGAATGATGGCCTTAACTGTCAAGTTAACTACACAAAGCAATTACGTTGAGTTACCATATTTTACAGACACATGTTTAGCCATTAATTGGCTCATCCTCCTGCATCCAGTCCTCCTGAGTAAAAGGAATTTTGAAAAACAGATTAAGAATTTATGTCAGAGGTATATTCTTTCAGTGGAATCTACTACAAAATGCAATCTTAGAGAAAATCACACCTGACTTGTGGCTAATGAATATTTTCTTTTTCAGTTTCCAATTTTGGACCACTTACCCATTTTAGTTTCTTTCTTTAATGAGTTGCCTTTCATTCAACTCAGCAGGACAAAAAATGTAAACACAACGAGTTCTGAATGTTCAGATGTGAAGGAATTAAAAAACAGGCAGCCACACCACCAAAAACCTCAGTGAAAACTCTACGGAGAGCCCCAGAGTACTCATTAGTCCTCCATGCCACTATCAAGTAATGCAGATTTCAGTCGTGGCAATGCCACTATGTGACTTGAGCCATTTATTTTTCCTACTTTGAATCTTAGAGCCTTAATCTAAAAAGTGAGGAAAGTGAAGAAAGTGAAGAATTTGGGGCCTATATTAGTTTGCTAGTGCTGCCCAACCAAGTACCACTGACTAGGTGGCTTAAACAATGGAAGTATAATTCCTCACCATTGCGGTGGCTACAAATCTGAGTTCAAGATGTCAGTAGGGTTGGTTTCTCCTGAGGCTTCTCTCCTTAGCTTGCAGGTGGCTGCCTTTTCCTTCTGTCTTCACATGATCTTTTCCCTGTGTGTCTGTATCCTAATCTCCTCTTCTAACAAGGATGCCAGTCATACTGGACTAGGGCCTGCCCATGTGACCTCATTTTATCTGAATTACCTCTTGAAAGGTCCTATCTCCATATATAGTCAAGTTTCTGAGGTACTGGGGGTTAGGATTTCAATAAAGGAAAATTTTGCAGACATAATTGAGCCCATAACAGGGTCTGACTCACCCTTCTCTCCAATATCAACTAACCTTGTATTAGTCACTTGTTTCTGATGTAAACAAAGTACCAACACATCCATTCTCACAGTTCTTGTGGTCAGAAGTCTGACATCAAGTGGGCAAAATCAAGTGTTGGCAGGGCTGTGTTCTCTCTGAAGGCTCTAGGGGAGAATCTATTTCCTTGCTTTTCAGAGGCCACACACATTTGTTGGCTCATGGCCCCTTCTTCCATCTTCAAAGCCAGTAATATGGAACTGAGTCCTTTTTACCCCGCCATCTCTGATTCTTTCTTTTGGTTCCTTCTTCTACTTATGGGGTCCCTTGTCCTTACAGTGGACTGCCTCAAAACTGTATTTGTCTCTAAGAACAGCCATAACAAATTACCACAAATAGGGCAGCTTGAAACAACAGAAATGCATTCTTTCACTGTTCTAAGGCTAGATGTTTATTTATTTTATTTCTTAAAATTTCTTTTATAGAAGGCTAGAAGTTTAAAATCAAGGTGTTGGCAGGCCCAGGCACTCTCTGAACACCCTAGGGGAGAATTCTTTCATGCCTCTTTCCAAGTACTAGTGGCTGCCAGCAATTTTTGGCATTCTTTGCTTGTAGAAGCATCCCTCTAATCTATGTCTCCATCTGCACATAGCACTCTCCATTTGCATGTGTTTCTACATCCGAATTCTCCTCTTCTTATAGGAATATAAGTCACATTGGATCCAGGACTCACCCTAGTCCAGTATGACCTCATCTTGCCGTGTTTACATCTACAAAGGCCCTATTTTCAAATAAGGCCACATGCAGGTGGTTTCAGGTGGACATAAATCTGGAGGGAGATACTATTCAACCCAGTACAGCAACCTCAAATTCCATCTGCAGCCTTAATTCCCCTTAGTCATGCAATCTAATATATTCATAGGTTCCATGGATTAGGATATAGACATCTTGGGGGATGGGGTGGTGGAGGGATTCTTCTACTTACCACAAACCTGATAAATAGATCAGCACTTGCTGTATCTCCAAGAAATCTGTATATTTTATCCCACCTCCTAATGATAGTCCTCCTCTCACTAACCTCTGTTGTACAGTTTTGCAATAAGAGATACAGCCATCATTAGCACCCTGGGGAAATCACTTTCCTCAAGTAGACACTCACATTGCTGCTGTTCAATGTATGAAACTGATCACCAATCCGTGATTCCTTAATGGTCTTTTTCTGCTTCTCTCCTGCTTCTCTCCTGCTGCTCTGTGACACTGTTTCTCTACTGCTGATTCTCTCCTGCTGTGCTGTGACACTCTTCACTCACCACCTCCATTTTTTTTTTCCCCCAAGACAGAGTCTTGCTCTATCACCCAGGCTGGAGTACAGTGGTGCAATCTTGGCTCACCACAATCTCCGCCTCCCAAGTTCAAGTGATTCTGGTGCCTCGGCCTCCCAAGTAGCTGAGACTACAGGCACCCACCATGCCCAGCTAATTTTTGTATTTTTAGTAGAAACGGGGTTTCACCATGTTGGCCAGGTTGGTTTTGAACTCCTGACCTCAAGTGATCCACCTTCCTTGGCCCCCAAAGTGCTGGGATTACAGGCATGAGCCACTGCGCCTAGTCATCACCTCCATTATTGACATGGCAGAACCTTTACTTTAGTCAGTTCCCTGTGCATAGAATTTCTTATTATTCCCACTTAAACTATTCTAGCTGATCATGCAAAAACCATATATTTCAACTTTTTCTCCTTTAAACTTGCCCTAAGTAGGTAGTAGACCACCTAATTCTGACACACAATCCATACGTTCATTATTCATAGAAGCTGCCAGAAAATTATTACAACTTCTTTGACAGTCCTCCCATTGAGAGTTGGAGCCTGTATCCCTTCCCCTTGAATCTGAGTGGGTGTATGATTGCTTTAGCAGGGTCATGGAGGTGATCCATGTGAGCCTCACAAGGCTCAGTCATAAAAGGGTATGCCACTTCTGCCTGATTGAGTTGGAATGCTCTTTCTCATGAGGGCCTCTCTCAAAACATTCCTTCTTGGATCTGAGTTCCATGCTTTGAGAAGCCCAAGCCACGTACAGAGGCCACATGTAGCTGATTAATTCTCAAAGTCCCAGCTAAACTCATGTTCAGCCATCCCAGTGCAGGGGCCAGATATGTGAGTGAAAAGGTCTTGGAAGTGGATCCTCCAGCCCGCAGCCATGTGGGTCTTCCCAACTGAGGTTGTGAAGAAAATCTCCTTACTCAATATTTGATTTCTAAAGATGGCTTCTTGGTCCCCTTCTGAGGAAGTCTCACTAACTTCTATAAAGATGCATTTCCTTTCTTTGTGGATAAATTTCAACTCATTACGCTGAGTGAGGAAAGTCAAACTCAAAAGGGTGCATACATACACTATGCATGATTCCATCGATATGAAATTTTAGAGCTGGCACATTAATCTATGAGAAGAGAAATATGATCAGTGGTTGCTTGGAGAAGTGTTTGTGATTATCTGGGAAGGGTCACAAAGGTGATAAGGAGTTGGAAATAGCCTATATCTTGATAAGGACGTGTTTTAGTCCATTTTCTGTCGCTTATAATAGAACACCTGAAACTGGGTAATTTATAAAGAAAAGGAATTTCTTACAGTTATGAAAGCTGAGAAGTCCAAGGTCAAGGAGCCACATCTAGTAGGAGCCTCCTTGGTGGTGTGGACTCTGAAGTCCTGAGGTGATGCAGGGTATCACCAGGCAGTGGGGCTGAGCATGCTAACATGCTAGCCCAGGTCTCTCTTCTTCTTATAAAGCCGCCAGTCCAACTCCCATAATAACCCATTAATCCATTAATCCATGAATAGCTTCATCCATTCATGAGGGCAGAGTTCTGATGATTCAATCATCTCTTAAAGACCCCACCTCTCAATACTGCCACATTAGGGATTAAGTTTCCAACACATGAAATTTGGGGGACATATTCAAACCATGGCAGGCTGTACATTATATGGGGGGGGGGGTCTACATTTTTAAAATGGATCAAATTATATTTTTAAAATCAGCATATTTCACTGTAAGTAAATTATCCTTCAATTTTATACACTAAAAAGTATGTAATAGCCTGAAGTCTGAAGTATATAAAATATAAATGATTAGCTTTTATAAAAATACAGTTAGCTTGTAAAGAGTTGGGAGTTTACATGTTTCCTTCTGTTAGCACTGTGCCTATTGGATTATCAATGGAAATTATGATTTACTGAGATAATTAATAGCTAAGAAATACAAATATTATCCTTTAAAATTTTTTAAATATGTCACTTTGCTCTTCAATCATGAATATAATTCCTGTTCATTGTATAAATGTTAAAAAACATAAAACAGTTTAAAAGCAAAAAACATATGTGATCTCAGTCACAGCCTTTGGGATAAGCAAATGTCTATGTTTTCTTAGTATCAATCCAGAAAATTACAGGTGCAAATATTAGTGCAATGATACCACTACCTTCTTGCTATGTGCATATGTGTGAGTAGGGGGAGTGTATATTCAAAGATGTGTACATCAGCACAGCTCCGCAGCCCTGAGAATGCTGTCTAGTCAGGAAACTAATTTCACTCCATCCCACTGTGGTCTCTACTTCAAGGGCACTGATGATCATTTTATTATTTTGAATCTGACCCAATGAGCCTTAACTGAACTTCACATTTACCCAACAATTCAGGGTTGATAGGTTTTCGTGTCATCAGTTCCTCTTCCACAGAAGAAAAATAAAAACATTAAGCTATAATTTTAAGCATCTGGGGGATGAGAGTAAGGGTCAGGAATGACCTCATTGTATCTGGATGACTTCTCACACGTTTCCTGTTTGTTGACCACATCGGCTACTCAATTCAACACTACTGTGCCTTGGCCAACTTAATGTTGCATTGATCTTGATTTATGTGTCCTAACGGTCATTTATGCAGATCATTCAGATAAGAAAGAAAATAATAATTAGTGAGCCCAGACACAAATATTTGATTTTCTAAAATTTTTATAATTTACCTTACTGTAAGCCAGTAGCAACACCCTGCCTTAATGCCTGCTTGGTTTTTAAATATACACTCTGATATGATAAATACTGGGTCTACAATGTTAATACAAAGTAGATGTGAGTGTAAAGGGATGCTGCTGTGAGAACACTGATGACGGAAATAAAAATTACTATTATAATAAGATGTCACCCATGGCTAACAGGTTAATAAAACACATCTCTTCATTTCAAATTGCATAAAAGCAGAATTTACTTGGATCCTTCCTCAGAATACTAGCAAACAGAGAGCGGGAAACAACATACTGATTTTTAAAATCCTGAATGTGATTAATTGTCCAGCATGTCTATAGAAAATAAAAACCTTAGATTGCACCACTGCACTGCAGCCTGGGTGACAGAGCGAGACTCCGTCTCAAAAAAAAAAAAAGAAAAGAAAAGAAAAGAAAAGAAAAACCTCAGCCATTGCCCACTGATAGTAGAGGAAAAGTAAGATTTAAAAAAATGTTTAGGAAAAGATCCAGTAACCGTGTGCAATGAAATACGAAAAAAGAGAAGTTTGGGAATGCCAGATTCACCCTAAAATGCAGAAGAAGGCACTACCTGTTTCATTGATTGTCCTTTTTATGTGTAGTTCAGCTTCCATAAAATCCCTTTAAAATATACTAGATCTAACTGATCCCTCGTCTCTTATGAAAAGACCAATCCTTTAAACAAAGACTGCTCAGATTTCTTATTTGTAAAGCGCACTAATAATGCCTGCCCCATAGGATTGTGCTTAGAGCACATTAATAAATACAATTTATTCATAAAGTCTTTGTTGAGCCCTTCTGTATGTTTGTACTGTTCTCAGTCCTGAAGGTGTGGTGGTGAGCAAGGCAGATAAGATGCCATCTATATTCTAGAAAGGGTGGATCAGTGAGGAATGTGTTTGTCTGTGAGTAAAAGGATCCTCACCAAATAGTGGCTGCACAGCAGTGCTGGTCTAGAGTGCCTGTAGAGAGGCCTGCAGAGGGCTGTTGAGGTGGTGGCTAAGACCGGGGTGATGGCAGTGGAGATGTATAGGAAGTATATCATGGATTAGAGTCAATGGGACTTGCTGATGGACTGGATGCTGGGGATAAAAGGTAGAGAGGATTCACAACTGACTTTTAGATATTTGTCTTGATAATTAATCAAGAAGGAGAGAAGAAGGAGGAGGAGGAAGAGAAGAAGAAGGAAAAAGAGAAGGGAAAGGACAGGAAGAAGAAGGAGGAGGAGAATGTTGTGTTGTTTCATAGTTTAATGATATTTTATCATTTTAAAAGCATTTCCAACCTATAAAGGCACTCAAAATAATTCTGTAGGCAAATAAAACTGGTATCAAGTCAGGAAACCAGATAAATAGCATGCCTCCAATGTTGATGTAATGTAGGTATGTTTATACCACGTCCTGCAAATAGAATATTTGTAAAAAGCATCTAATTTAACTTTTACAACATCCTATGAAATGAAAATTAATAATCACATTATGAAGATAAATAAACTGAGGCTCAGATAGATTAATTCACTTGTTCAGACTTACATAGTGAGTTGGCCATATCAGGATTCTATCCTCGGTCTCCTTAATGTTCTGCCTTCTTTCCAATGACAAGCATGTAAATTCCTAAGAGCTTTTTTAAGCTCAATGATGGCATTACTTCCTTCTCTGAGTTAATAAAACCCATCCTCGGAAGGTTACCTGGGGGGAAGGTTGTTACCTTTGGCTGCTTAAAAAGGAGAGAGCAAGGCACTGAAAGAATGGGACATCCATTGAATGGGTCCACCTGGACAGAAGTGTGGTGGGAGAAGGGAAAGGCGGGGACATGAGCTTTAGGACACACTGGACCTAAGGCAGATCGAGACAGAACAAAGATGCTGAGAACCTGAGTGGGGGTGGGGCAGGAGCCAAGGAGTAGTTGTGTCCCCACAGGAAACCAGAGCAGCAACAACCGCTTCTTTTTATATCTCAGGTGAGCTCTGTTTCCATAT
This sequence comes from Homo sapiens, assembly GCF_000001405.40. Taxonomy (NCBI): domain Eukaryota; kingdom Metazoa; phylum Chordata; class Mammalia; order Primates; family Hominidae; genus Homo; species Homo sapiens. The sequence goes on along the minus strand of NC_000013.11, from coordinate 34,038,858 downwards.
ATAACTAAACAGAAGACTTGGGGTCAAATATCTGAAATAGAGATATTTTAAACATTCCTAATATGCCTCTGTTCAGAACAACAAAAAAAAAAAAACAAAAAAAACTCTGCCTAAACTTTACATTCAGATATACCCAGGGCCACATGAAAGAAAGCATTTGTGTTGACTTTGCACTGCTCCTCTTGGGTAATACTGCTTTGCAGTCTGTTCCTCTTAGGTCATTCACAACCAAATAACGCCCCCCTCCTTTGTGGCTCCGGTTAAATTTCATATTTGCTTAAGAAAAACACAGAATCTTGGGAAATTTTAGCCTATTACAGACATTAAGGAGGAACAGTCTATCTGCTTCTTATTTCTCTTAAAACACACACAAACTGCAGTGTGGGCGGCCAATGTTACCCTGGTGATTTCCTTCCCTCTGTTCTCAGCTAAAATTGTGCAAAGCTAATATGAGCACCTGAGTTCTACAAGAGAGGACACAATTTAGAAAGGGAAGCTATTAGAGAGCAGGGGAAGGAATGGGGACTTCCATAGGCTGAATGCTAATCAGATTAAAATATGTGCAAGGAAATTATACTTATGCATTTTAATCTGAGGCAACTGAGCTGGTGCACATTTTCTTAGCTGAAAGGAATGGCGGAAATGAGCTCATTTGAGTAGTGTGGGGACAGTGGCCTCACTCTTGTCTTCCCGTGCAGTCCCCTTACGTTGCACAGTATCCTGCAGAATGATCATTTTTCTCCATCGTGGAAATAAGGTTGCTTAAAAGGGCCAGAAGGTACTGCTGATTCCAAGTCAAGCTGACTCAGACTGAAGGAGGAAAATGAAAAGTAAATGCAATTTCATTTCAGGTTTCTGAAAGCTATTTACAAATGAGAGCAAAAAACACCATAGAAATCATGACCAATGCAGTATGCAGTGTCCCCAAATAGATGATTAAGATGGAATGGAATCACTTAGTAACACCAACTGAATATTCATGGACTGTCAGGGAGCCAGCCTAGAGGAGGTGAGATGCTGCCAAGCCGAGCGGGCCTGTGTGTCCTGGAAGAGGAGGGGTCTCTCTGCCTCTCCTCTTGGGTAGTTAGTGGTGATGTTGGGCTCCCAGCTTTGAAGCTTCCTAATTCAGGCTTTGATTTGGAGGCTTTGCACTAGCCCCTAAAAGCATGAGCCTCTGCATTCCAGAAATCTGATGTCACCCAGGCACAGTTGTGTAGGGGCTTTTCTTTTGTGAACCTTCCTTGAGAAATCTGGCTGCTATACCTGGGAGGTAGGAGAGCTTTTCTATGCCTGTCTTCTCTGTGATGATGTGAAAGCTCCTAATTCCAAAAGATTTCATCTACCCAGTAATAGCTACCAACCCGCTTCCTTCTACTGTTCAACTTATTACTGTGTTTCCTTAACGCTGAGATGCACATTATTTTCCATTTTAAAACTCTGAAATTGAGGGTAGATCTTACAATTGATATTGCCAACTGATCTCTTGCAATCTATATTGTAGTATTTCTTTCCCACTCTTTTTCTCTAAACAGGGGCGATTGAATAAATACAGTATCCTAGTCAGGAAAAATGAAACTCTGCCTCCAGCCTCTAAAGGCCACAAAGAATGAAATTGACAGAAGTAAGTAGGAAGAGAGTGCCCAGGGCTGAACCCTGATGGTTCTGGGTCAAGTAGCCAAGACAAGTGGAGGTCAAAGAGATGTGGCCCTCAGACCTCTACCGGACGATCCATATGGGCTCTGCCAATCTGTGACCACATGGCAATTGTCTTAGAATAAGGGAATCAACCCAAATTTGTCCCTGTTCTTTCTATTGGTTTGTTTTAGCTTTTGCCATCATAGCTATACTAAAAGAATAAGGGTCTTTTTCTACACAAGAGTGGTGAGAAGAGCACTTCACCTGTTTACTTTTTAATGTCCCTTTTAAATACATGCCCCCAGATGTCTAATATGCACATTCTTCCTGCTGCATAATGTGCCTGAAGCACTGGGTTTGCCATGTGCCTCCCCAAAGCAGCCCAACATCCACATGCCCACCTCCCCATTGGCCAAGCAATGTCTGTGTCCTTCTGCCCCTTCTTTCAGGGCTCTGTTAAGTGATTAAAGCCACTTGGAGAAATAAATTTAGGCAAAAAGGTTAATGGATCATAGTATCTGCTTTACTCGGGTATTTGTATTTTAAAGGGTTCTTTAAGAAGTACAGCATCTTAATCAAAAATAATTGACTTTGAATTGAAGGATTTTTCAGGATGCAAGGAAGGATATTTAGGGCAAGAAGGATTTCAAGTACCCATCGAATCCTATCATGTGGGCACACACACACTCTGCCTGAGCCCAAATGGTCTGGGCATCAAGAAATTTAAAAAAGCTACTTCTTTGCTCCTGGCATTGTCATCACAGCTTTGGGGATCCTAATAAGAGAAGAGTTAAAAAAAAAAAAAAAAAAAGAAACCAGTTTTTCATTTGCAAACTGCTTACCAATTAGCTTTTTATGAACACTTTAGTCTTCTTTCATGATGACACAGGCTGAGGGTATTTACTCAATCTAACTTCTCCTCAGCTTAATGGGAGTATTTGACTAGTCTCTGTAACAGATTCACCAAAACAAACATTTATTCTGCTACTAAATGAGAGACACTCTGCCAGTCACTGGGAGAGATTAAGGAATGTATAAGACATGGTCATGCTTTTCAAGGCCTTACTATCTAGCTGGAGAGAAAAATTCATATGAGCCAGACGGAGAGCTAAATGACAGACTCAACACAATGACACACGGATGACACAATGGAAATGAATCAGCAAATGCAAGGTTGAGTATTTCAGGAGAAACAGTTTGCACAAAAAGCCCTTGGATGAGCTGAATCTGAAGGATGGTATTTGGGCCACCTGTTATCTTTATTCCCCTGGTGCCCTCATCTCCTTTGGAGAATTTTCCTCTTTCCATTCCATCTGGTTGTGGAGGCTGTGAGTCCCACATGGTATGATATCTGATTCAGCTTAGAGCAGTCAGAATTCTTCACCCCTCTGATATAAAGAACGGCTCCAGGTAAACACATGACTCAACCTGGGCCAGCTGGAGCCCTTCCCTGCATTGACTGATTCACAGGCAGGGAGGAGCTGTCCTCTTCTCTTAGGATCTCTAAACTGGGGGCTGTGAAGATGTTATTGTTAAATGACATTCCTCTCTCATGGAGAAAGCTTCCCTGCACAGTGAAGCTAAAATTCAGGAGAAAACAGAAATGAGAGAAGAAACAGGGATGTTCCTGACATCTTTTGAGCACTTACACGTAGGTCCACCTTCTAGTTTCACAGGCCAATAAATCCCCTCCGCATCTTATTCTTCAGACACTTCTATCCACCCCACTTCTGGAGCTCAGTTGTTTTCATGTTAGTCCACGTGATGTGGTCCCAAAGAATCACTAATGTTCGGTTCTGTTTTTTCCAGTCTTTCATCTCTGTGTTTAATTTTCTGTAGCTTCTATTGTTATGTATTCAAATTCACTGATCTTTTCTTCTGCAGTGTTTAATCTGCAAGAATCCCATCAAATTTTCTTTTCAGATACTTTTTTAATATTTTGAAGTCCTATTTGAATCTTTAAAAATATACATATTCCATTTATCCTCTCAACATGTTTGTCTTTTTCCCTATACCTTGAATATATGCAGCATATTTATAGTAGCTATTTTTAAATCCTTATGTGCTAATAATATCATATATGAAATTTCCAGGTTTGCTTCTTTTGAATGAACTTTTTTTCCAATTACAAATCATATTTTCCTACTTCTTTACATTCCTGGTAATCTTTATTAAGTGGTAAATCTTGTACATTTAATATTGTTGGACTTTGGCATACAGCTAATTTACCCGGGATCAAGTTTGATTCTTTCAGCATTTTCTTTTAAGCCTTAGTAGGGCAGGTCTAGAGTAGCCTTTTGTTTGGGGCTAATTTAGCCCAATTATTCAGGCAACATCTTCCTGAGTAGTCTACCTGATGCTCTGTATATTGTGAATCCTGTGTGAATTCTAGGAATTATTCTGTCTCCCAGCCTCACAGAGTCCTATACCTGTACTTGTACTTGATATTCAGCCTCACAGAGCCCTGTACCTGTACTTGATATTTAGCCTGATAAAGGAAAAACTTCGGCCGAATTAAATTTAAAATGGTTTAATTGAGCAATGAATGATTCGTGAATCGGGCAGCCTCCTGAGCCACAGCAGGCTCAGAGACTCCAGTGCAGCCACATGGTGAAAGATTTATGGACAGAAAAAGGAAACATACAGAAAATGGAAGTGAGGGACAGAAAAAGCCGGATTGGCTACAGCTCCACATTTGCCTTAGTTGAACATGATTTGAACAGTTAGCTACATTTGATTGGCCAAAACTTGGTGATTGGCACAAGTGTAGGGTACAGTCTGTTTACACTTCCACTTGTGATAGTTCACAGTGTACAGAGAAACCTTTAAGCCAAACTTAAAATATGTAAGGAGGCAGCTTTAGGCTAAACTTGATCTAAAAAGCCAAAGATTTCAGAGAACTCTGAAGATTTCCAGAGCATGTCCTCTCTCTTTCTCTGTGTATATGTGTGTGTGTAGCTTTCTCTGCTCTAGGATTCTGTAAATACTGAAAGTTCTAACTGCCTGGATTCTGAAGTCCACCTCCTCGACTCTGTAAGACCACTGGGCTTTGCTTGGGTTCCTACCCTGTGCTATGCATCGAAACTGCCTTCGAACCTGGACAATTACAGGACTCAGTACATTTACTTCCCTTCTCTTGGAGTCATGGTCCTACCTCTTGTTCAATGTTTGAAAGTTGTTATGCTCTATATTTTGTTTGGTTTTCTAGTTGGATATGGTGGAAGGCAAATCTCAGAGCACTTAATCTTTCATGGATAAAATCAGAACTCCCAAACTCTAACTTTTTATGTACTTTTTATCAAAACTTTTTTCTTGGCTGGGCACGGTGGCTCACGCCTGTAATCCCAGCACCTTGGGAGGCCAAGGCGGGCGGATCATGAGATCAGGAGATCGAGACCATCCTGGCTAACATGGTGAAACCCCATCTCTACTAAAAATACAAAAAATTAGCCGGGTGTGGTGGTGGGCGCCTGTAGTTCTAGCTACTCAGGAGGCTGAGGCAGGAGAATGGCGTGAACCCAGGAGGCGGAGCTTTCAGTGAGTGGAGATTGCACCACTGCACTCCAGCCTGGGTGACAGAGCGAGACTCTGTCTCAAAAAAAAACAAACAAACAAAAAAAAAAAAAAAAAAAAAAAAACCTTTTTTCTTCAGAAACAATCTATAATTTATACTTAGGAAAAAATAAGATCGTGCCCAAATATTAACTAGTTTATGCTTATCCCACCCGATTCCTTATTAATATGCCACATCTCCCCACTTTCCTACTTGAACTGATCTCAGGAGCCTCAAGTTATGAAACTTGGTTCATCTGTCAAATGGGGATAATAAAAGTATTCACAGTTTGTGGTGAAGATCAAATGAGATAAGTTATATAAAGCCTGGAATATAATAATTGTTCTGCAAAGGGCAACTATTAGTACTACTGAATGAATCACAGAAAGTGGAAATACTGATTTAGTTGAGTGAGATGGCAAGATTAGTGGGTCCATTTCCCTACAAATAAACACAGACAATAACACACAAACACATTTTCAGCATAGTTTCATTTGGTGACAACTTTTAGTCCAACAGGCCTTGTTAACTTCTTTACAAAAGTTCCTCAAGAGTTCAAAGGTTCATTGAAAATGCATACCATTCAGTATTTTATGTTCTATAAATCTAATTTTAAAATAATAATTAAAACTAAATATGAGTTGCATAATTGTTATTGAAAATTGATGCCATAAAAATAACCAGTTCTGGTCATCTGAGTCCTAGGGATGTCAGAGTCTCAGAAGAGAGAGCACGGGAGGAAGGAAGGGTTAGGTTGGTCTTGAAATTGAATGATAAATTACAAAATTTGCACATCTCCTAAATCCTGAAAACAGAAGTAATGAAACTTGGTGTCTGTCTTTTGTAAATATTAAAATGCATTAATTATCTGTGGAACATTTTGTTCTGGATTTTGATTTCAAGATACCATTGCTCTCATTTTGAAATAGCGTTCCCATCAGATATTTGTATTGCTAGATCACAAGTATTCCTCAGGAATATGATCGGTCTCTTTTAAATATTCAGGCCTTTTTATTCCTTTACAGAGCAAAGATTTACTAAGTATCTGTATATTCCAGATACTGTGCTCAGTTCTTTCACATGCTAGATTATTTATATTGTTTTCTTACAACATAGATAGTTATTGCCATTTTATAGTTGAGGAAATTGGGGCCAAGAGAGGGGTTATGCTTTACATAAAATCACACAGCTATTAAGTAAAATTTCTAGAGAAATAGGACTGAGCTATTTATCCTTAAGGAACCCTTTCCTTTAGTTTCAAAAATATCTATTAAAAAATGAGGATGATGCCTCAGTCTCAAAAAGACCATGAAAACACAGGCTATAGTGGCAGATGGATGCCTTTACCAACTGTAAGAGAAATGGGAATGATGCTGCCAGCCCCCGGTGAACTGAGATCAGTGAATTCACCCAGCATCTGATCCCAGGAAGACGACCTCAGGGGGTACTATATTGCTTCTTCAAGAAGACTTCTGAAATTTGTCCCAATGTCTAAGGAATTAAAATGTGCTTTAAAGAAAGGGTAAAATTGAAGCATTTTACTTCCTATTTTGCTTCTGTCTATTTGCTCAGGAATTTTCCATAGAGGCTTGAACAAATAATTTACTACAGGGTTTATATATTCATGCAAATAACATTATTTCTCTAGAAGACTACACTCTTTGTTCTTTCAGATGCTGGAATATTTCTGTTTCCTCTTGCAGTTGGTTTAAAAGGATTTCGATGCAAATACATGGCAGCAAATATTCTGTAGTCTTCCCAAGCTCTTCCTTATATACTGAGTAAGAAAAAAACTGTGCTCCTGAACTTGGGTTCCCTGTTGCTTCCAGCAGGTATAGGATTTGACACTGCCAGAGACAAAACAGCTGTGCAGCATGAGTTCCTGCCGGAGAGATATACAGTCTGCCTTCGGCCAAAGTGCTTTGAATTCACCGTGTGCTTTATGACCAGCTTTTCTGATTCTACTATTGTAAGTTGTGATTTCATCAGCTTTTGTTTTGTTTTGTTTTCCCTTTTGATTTAGTTGAGGGGAAAACTCTTTTATCCCCCTTGATATGGCTTAGCATCATGGTTTTTGGTACATTGAGGCAGTTTGAAGTAATAGCTGAAAAATTTCAGGTGTTGATGCCATCAGGGTGTTCTGAGAGGAACTGGTGAGGGAGCAGGCAGCCTGGAAATAGCCCTGCCCTGAAATCATCCCCCAGGACTGCGCCTTGGTTGCGTGAGCTGTGCTGGAGTGGAAGACCCCATTATGTGGGGAGTCCCTGTATCTGGAGGGACTCTCTGGCGGTAGACCTGTGACCAAAATCACTCAAAGTAGAAACACACAAACTTATGCCTTCTTTCTCTATTTGTCTTAGTCCATTTGTACTGTTTTAACAAACTATCAGAAACTAGGTAATTTATAAAGAACAGAAATTTATTCTCACAGTTCCAGAGGCTGGGAAATCCAAGATCAAGGTGCCAGTGGGTTTTGTGTCTGGCGAGGGTCCAGTCTCTGCTTCCAAGATGGCACCTGAACACTGTGTCCTAGCCTGGTGGAAGGTAAAAGAGCAAAGGTGGGAGAATGTTGTATCCTCACATGAAGGAACAGCAGGAGAGCAAAGAAGGTCCTACACTAGTTCCCTCCAGCCTTTTTATAATGCACTAATCCATTCATGAGGGCAGATGCCTCATGACTTAATCACCTCCCAAATGGCCTCATCTCTTAATACCACCACAGTGGGGATTAAGTTTCAGCATGAATTTTGAAGAGGACACATTCAAACCATAGCACTATTGTAGGAAGTCAGCAAATACATTTTTATAAAATAAGCACACATTTTTCTTTATCCTTTATAAATTCTGATTCTGCCTGTGCCATGATAAATGATGCCACTGATATCCTCATGGACTCCAATGGACTCACTTAGCCCACAGACAGACATCGTCTTTCTTCCTATGGTAGACTGTGGAGGCTGTGCTACAATAAGGAAATGGCCCATTGCTTTTTCTGTAAGTAGAGTGCAAGTGCCTTTCCTGAACCACTGTTGAATGAACATAATGTTCCTCTTACCACCCTAGCCATTCCTTTTCAGTCTCCTTTGCTGGTTCAGCCCCATCTCTCTGACCTCTAAATACAGGAGTGCTCCCAGGCTCGGTCTTTGGCCTTGTTTTCTTTTCTATCCACACTCATTGCATTGTTGACCTGATCCATCCTCAGGGCTCTGAAGACCACTTAAATAGTGATGCTTCACAGATTAGTATCTTTAGGAGGAAGCTTCTTCATGAATATCAGACTGATATGTTCAATTACTTACTCACATCTCCACTTGGACATCTAATTAACACCCAAACCCTAACATTTACAAAGCTAAGTTCCTGATATTTTCCCCAACCTTTGCTCCTGTAATCCTCTGCATCTCAGTAAAAGTCACACATATTCTTCTAGATGCTCAGGTCAAAAGTAGTTAAGACTGACACTATCTTTCTTGCACACCCCATATATTATAAGCCATCAGCAAATCCTGATAACTTAGTCTTCAAAATGTATCCACAACCTGAACACTTCTTACCAGCTCTACTGCTCCCACCTTAGTCAAGCAACCATCATCTCTCGCTTGAATAAGCATGCAGCCTCTTAGTTTATCTCCATGCTTTCATTTTTTGTCTATGTCATTTGTCCAAAACACAGCAACGAGGACAATCTTATTAAAAGGTCAACTAAATCATACCACTCCTTAGCTCAAGATCTTCTGATGGCTTCTGATCTCACGCAGAGTAACATCCAAAGCCCTTTCCATGAGCTAGAGGGTCCTACACGACCCGCTCTCTTTTCTCCCCATTGCACTTCTGACCTTTTCCCCTACTACTCCTGCTACCCTCTCCCTCTCCCTCTGTTCCAGTCCAATAGCCTGTCCTGCTATTTCCACTTCAGAGTCATTGCACTTGTCTTTCTCTCTGCCTGCAATGCTCTTCCCCAGATATCATAATGGCTCCAAGTCCTTGCCCGAAGGCTTCATTCACATGTCACCTCGCATGGGAATAAAGACCAACCAAATTAGAACAGGCCACAGCTGTTTACTCAGAGCTTGCTATAGCGATGGGGTCAGCCACCATCAACTTTGAGTTCTTCCATTTTGGCAAGAACTCAAAGGCATGCAGAGGAGTGGGAAAGCTTAGTAGTGGAAAAAAGGGAAGGCTTTCCGTACACCAGGATTGGAGGCTGTTGGTGTGGGGAAGCTGTAGGCAGGCTAACTAGGAGTGGGGCTCCCTATGGGATTGGTTAGAGCTGCATATTTGGCTTTCTCTGATTTGTCCTACATTGGAAGGGGGGACAAAAATCAGGAAAACTGTCAGTTATTAATCAAGTCCTAGCCACTTGGGGATGATTATTACAGAGGTTATTGTTCAGCTTCCTGAATTGTTATCAAAGATAGTAGTCTGACTTCTTATAAGTCTGACTCATAGGTTGCAGGTGGGCTTCCTGGGCTGTTTATTGTAGATGTCGATACTGGGGTTGTTTTTCTGAGCAGCTTGCTGCAGCTTGTGGCCCTGAGTTCTACTTTTTTATGTGGTCCGACCATTGTCCATCTGTATATTCAGTCTTTCACTTCTCAGGGAGGCATTCTCTGACAAGCTCACCTAAAATGCCAACTCTCCCCCACTCCCTTCCTTTGTGTTTATCTTTAATATGAGTCACTATCTATATACCTCATATTTTTTTATTTATCTTATTTATTGTATGCCTCTCCTTCTAGAATATAAACTACTTGAGAAAGGGAATTGGGGCTCTTTTAAAAATTATTGTATTCTAATACCTAGACCAGGTCTATCTGGCCTATTATAGAAAGTCAATGACTACTGCTGAAAAGAGCAATGCAATATTTATTAAGAATCTATTATTAAGGAGGAGCTATACTAGTTAATAACTTTACCATGGAGAAATCTGACAGTCACCATGTTAACCAAGTGATCAAGATTAATGTCACCAGGAATGAGTCATATTGATATTATGTACACCTTGATATTAAGTGATGAGATCACCACATCTTTTCTGTAGTTTTCTTCCCCCAAACCTATAGCTATGATCTAATTATTAGAAAAACATTCTTTGGGAGGCTAAGGTGGGTGGATCACGAGGTCAGGAGATCGAGACCTTCCTGGCTAACACAGTGAAACCCCGTCTCTACTAAAAAAAAAAATACAAAAAATTAGCCGGGTGTGGTGGTGGGTGCCTGCAGTCCCAGCTACTTGGGAGGCTGAGGCAGGAGAATGGCGTGAACCTGGGAGGCGGAGCTTGCAGTAAGCTGAGATCACGCCACTGCACTCTAGCCTGGGCAACAGAGCAAGACTCCATCTCAAAAAAAAAAGAAAAGAAAAGAGAAGAAAAACATTAAACAAATCCAAATTGTGGCACTTTCTGCAAAATACCTAGCCAGTCCATCCAGTACTCTTCAGAAGTATCAAAGTCATGGAAGACAAGGAAAGACAGAGAAAGTATCACAGATTGGAGAAGACAGTTAAATGCAATGTGGTGTCCTGGGTTAGATTTTGTAAAAGAAAAATGACACAGTTTTTCCATGGAACACTGATGAAGTCCAAACAAAATCTATATAATATTGGTTAATAATATATTGTTGGTTAATAATATATTGTATTAGTGTTAATTTCTTACTGTTGATCACTGCATCATGGTTATGTAAGATATGAATGTCAGGAAAAGCTGAAAGAATGGTATATAGAAACTGTACTAATTTTGCAATATTCTATAAATCTAAAATTATTTCAAAATGTAAGATTTTTTAATTAAAAATATTTGAATGAGAGAAAAGGAGTTACATTAGGAACTGGTAGGGGTATTTCAACTCCACAGAACCATTCCAAATGCCTTTATTAAACATCACAATGCACTGAGCATTGTTGAAAATGCTAGTGATGGAATATCAAATAAAATTAAGGGCCTGACTTACGGTCAGGTAGAAAGGACACTATATGCTAAAGTTGCTATGATGGGCCACTGGGCAAGAAAAGGCAGAGGCAGAGAGTTTAATTGTATGGAGACAATTGTGTACAAGTAGGGTCAGTATCAGGAGATGCTTCTTAAAGAAGGTGATGCTTGGGCTGATTCATAAGAGATGAGTGTTTACCTCATGAGGAGGAGCTTGATTGGATGAAGGGAGATGGAAGAGCATGGAGGACAGTACAGAAGCCCAGAGGTAGGCAAGACAACTTCACCCAGGAAGCATATAAAAGTGAGTGCAGAATACCTCTGACACAGCAATGTCCTCCACCAAGCTGCACTGACTTCGGAAGACATATTTTCTGTTTGTTACACAACTTTAAAACTGATATTTTAGTCTTTTTTAATTTTGAATTAAACCAATATACTTGAATCTCATCTTTAAAGACAGACATGTGTCTAAAAGAATTCCAGTTACTCTTATATTTTGAAGTGTTTGTTCATAATTTAAAACTAGCTCATAATTTAAATCCTTATTGTGTTCAGATGGTATTTAATTTTTTGAACGACATTACTGAGGGGTTATTTAGGAAACTTTCCATTGCCAAGAGAGTGAAGTGATATATTTTCTCGAATGGCATTTTTGAATGTGTGGAGTGAGTATAAATTTTGCTGGTTTGTGGTCCCTGGAGCTACTGAAATGTGGTCTGAAGTGTATTGTAAGTATATATTTTAATTTTTTTGTATAATGTCATATTGTGACATCCTGAAAACCCTTTCTGGCTGAGGAGAGACTGCCCTTCTTGGGACTAGCCAATTTTTAAAGATAACAAATAACCTAGCCAGGAGTATGTCTTTGATATACAAACTAATCAATCTAGAGCCATACCTCCTCTATCTGGTTTATCCACCCCAGGAGGCAATATTCCTCTCACGTGATCATCCCAGAGCCAGGTGCCAGGCAACCACAGACCACTGCTATAGCTCAAAGCCCACCAGAACCACCCGAATTATTCAAATGAGCCAATCCTAGTCTGTTTGCCCTGCCACAACTTGCATTTCTTTCAGAAACTGAAAACTGTGGCCTATACCTTCCCCTTGCTCCTATTTTCTGCATCCTGAGCACCATGGTGTTTTTCCCATGTGGCTGTGTCTGGTACATGCTGTGCCTCTTGTTTAGTGGGGAACTGCATTAAAAACCTTCTTTCAATGGAATTAGGCTCACCATGCTGTCACTCAGTCACCCTAATACACTAAGACTTGGGCCCAATAAGTAGAGATCATTTATAAATCTCAATGGGATATAGACAACATTTTAACCAACTGAGTTTAATTCTGTTCATTGTTTTTGATTGTTATGGAATGCCAACTGATGCAATGAGAGTAGGCAATTATATCCCTAGTGATGAGGACTGTGAGAGGTGTGAGTTGAGTTAACCCCAGCCTGGTTTGAGACAGGTCAGGTGAGCCATCACCTAACAGGAGAGTGAAATGCTGGCCGCAAGGTGTATGGATCCTTTCTAGACCTGGGTAGGGGCAGTGTGGGGAAGCAGAAACACTTGAACCAAGTGTCACAGAAGCCCTTCCTCTCCTGCTGCCCCATAGATGAGAAATGTTCTGTCAGTTTGTGCACTGCTGATTTGTATATAAGGAGGTCCCCTAATAGTATCAGAACTTCCTGTTTCCTTTGGCTGGAGCATTTGGGGCAATAAAGAAAAATTCTTGAGACAAAAATGGAAGGCCACAGGAATTTCTGCTTCTATAGCCTGGTGATTTATTTGCTTTTGTTCTCCTTTGTATATCTCTGAGTCATCTGATCTCTGACGATTAGAAAGGACATGGGGGCTGGGCATGGTGGCTCATGCTTATAATCCCAACACTTTGGAAAGCCAAGCTGGGTGGATGCCTTGAGCCTAGGACTTGGAGACCAGCCTGGACAACATGGTGAAACCCCATCTCTACTAAAAATACAAAGAATCAGCTGGGTGTGATAGGGCACAACTGTAATTCCAGCTACTTGGGAGGCTAAGGTGGGAGAATCACCTGAGCCTGGGAAATCAAGGCTGCAGTGAGCCATGATTGCACCACTGCACCCCAGCCTGGGCAACAGGAGTGAGACCCTGCACCCCCGCCCCACCAAAAAGAAAGAAATATAAAAGGACCTGGGGGAGTCTTAACTTGTACCTGTATGCATTCTTTCATCCCACATTAATTCATATCCTTCATCAATATCTCAAGTGCTGCAATGATGGCTATAAATGATCAAGAAAGCAAAAAAAGCCCCTATTGACCTAGAATTTTCTGTAAGTGTCCAGCTAGATTATTATAAATTATGTATCTTTTCATCACTGGCCTTTTCCTTTGATATTTTACTGAAAATTGGCCTGAGGCTTCAAATCATTTTGTACTGGTTTGAAAAAAAATTTCAAGTAATTAGTTGCAGTTTACCATCTATCAACTGCCATCCCCACTCAAAACAATTCCTCCTGCCCCACAGCCACTCCAATGGACAATGTCTTTCTCTTGGACCAGATGAGTTCTGAAATCCAATCTAGTGTAGCCATTGATTCATTTGGATAGAGAAGACAAGATTGAGAAACAGTAAGTTAAAATTCCTGATTGGTGGAAAATTGTTTATAAATATATCAGTGCTTTATTATATTTGTTTAACAGTGGCATACTTAGCATTTTTACAGATTTCTTGAAGTACAATCAACATAGAGTAGACTGCACACATTTAAAGTATACAATTTGATAAGTTTGATATGTATATACACACACCCGTAATCCGTCGCCTCCAAAGTTCCCTTATTCCTCTTTATAATCCCCGCCTCCCACCACTTTCCGCCCACTCCTAATCCCAGGCAACCACTGACCTGTGTTCTGTAACTATAGTTTAATTTACATTCTCTAGAATTTCATTTACATAGAATATATGCAGCATCTGCTCTTTTCTGATGGCTTCTTTTAGCATAATTATTTGGAAATTAAGCCAGGTTGTTTTGTGTATCATTCCAACAGTATCCCAGTATACAGATGTATCACAATTTGTTTCTGTTCTGTTTCTATGGTATTGTTTGATTCATCGCTTTAGAAAAAGGGCCAGAATTGAAGTAATTCAAGTTCTGTTTATTTATTTGCATCTTCATAATCCCCATCCTACTATTGTTTATGTAGAACACATGGTTTAAATGCAGGGACACTAATAAATACAGGGGTTGTACCAAAGCAAGCGTAAAGGATTCAGAGCCATTGTAGGTTAACATGTGTCACTGAGGCTGCAAGGTAAAGACTCTCTGTAAAACAGAAGTTCTCCCAATTAACTTCTACATAGAACACAAGGTTTATTTAAGGCTAAAAAATAAAATGGGCTAATTTGAACTGTGTGTGTGTGTGTGTGTCTGTGTGTACACGCATGTATGTATCCACAAGTAACTATAGCAATTGTCTGGAACTTAAACCAACAAAAGCTATTTGGAGGGGGAACATCTTATATCTGACATTATTTAGAATTGCCAACCCATGGTGATAATAAAAAGGAAGCTGATTTTTAGTCAGTTTGTTTTTTCTTGTTTTAAAATTCTCTACAGGAAACACACCCCCTTATTACCTGCTTCTGAGGTACAGTACTTCCACAAATCTATTCTCAGTAATAAATCATATACTGTTTATTATTTATGAATTATGATACATTTATGGTTTTTAAACATACAATATACTAATAATATCAATATGAATCATTTAAAATTTCCAATATTCCACATTTTTTACATACCAATTGGCATTGTCATGTTTAAACCTAATATATTTATAACTAGTCATACTATAATAGTGATTATAATGGTAAATTTTATTACTGTTATTCAGTAGGACTAACAAAGCTCATCTGTAATGGTCTTATTATCTAAAGGTATAAACCAGAACACGTAACTGCCTTCCTGTATGCCTCAGTGTCCTCAACAAAAGAGAAAGAAAGCCAGAAGAAAAGAAAGAGAGAGAGAGAGAGAGAGAGAGAACAAGAATGAGGTAGATATCATTTCTTCCATCAATTTGCATTGCTGTCATCACAATGAAAATGTGCTGGTCTTTCATTTACATTTTTGTTGAGTGTCTTATTCAATGAAAAGACTTTCAAATATGTGTAAACTAGAGTTTCTCACAAAAGGTGTTAAAATGTAGATTTTCATAGACATGAAATAAGAAAAGCTTTCTAGCTTCATTAATAGATGTAACTATAATTGCACATTGCCATTGGAATAAGAGGCAAAGTTAGCATCATTCTGACAAGACCAAGGATCTGAACAAATCCATAAAGAGAGACTAATGTGACCTAGCCACAAACCAGACATCTAACTCAGCTGGTCAGTTAGTCTACTGGTGTGTGCTGCCTTGATAAATGTTTCCCATCCCAGTGTCTCTCAAATCTGGATTAGATGCACTGCTACATACTCACATAGCATCCTCTATTTTCACTCCTAGAATAAAATTATACAATTGTATTGCAAAACCCTACTTATTTGTTTTCTTTCTCCAGTAAATATCAAGAATTATCTTCATTCATCAATGTATCTCTGATGCAATACCTACCATGTAGCAGAGCTCAAAACATTCTTGTTAAAGAGAAAAATAAGTGTCTAACTTTTCACGAAAACAACTGAGCAGATGGTTTGCTATAACCCTTTTCCATGCAGGAAAGGATTTAAAGTGCTTGACTGACTAACAGTGGCTCAGTAATATCATCTTTAAGTCTAAAATAACATACATCACCAATCAGGAGTGCTTAAATCACATCCTACCAAACACTGTCATCAACGATAAATTTTTTTAAGGTCATTTCTTTATTGAACTATATCTAGTTTGCTGAAGAAAAAAAAACAATATTGGAGGGAAAACAGATAGAAGGCAAGCTTTCTTTTTTCTTTTATAATTAACCATGAAGAGACGCATTTGTTTGCCCAAGCATTCTAAATATTGCCTACATGGTTTTTGGAATATTTTATTTTTCCTTTGAAATCATTTTTAAAAAGAAAAGCATTGCTTCTGAGAGTTACGAAATCTCAAAGGCAGTTACAAATTCATTTATCACTTTAGTGCAGGAAGATAAACAAGGGTATAGAGCAAAGACACTCCATTATGCTGTAGCAGAGCTACATTTTAGCTTTGGCTTTGACTTTACTTGAGGATCCTGTGCTAATAGAAACATTGATCTTATTTCCAACATTGCTTTCCAGCATTCTCCTAAGATGCAAATGCCTCTTCAGCTTTTGTATTTGTCTCTAGGCATGGAGAATTAAATCCACCTTGTGGTTATGCATAAACATCACTGCCTATTGGATGCTTTTCTTGATCACCATGCTGATCACACTTCACAGCAGACAGCCAATCATAGCCCTCCTCAAAGTGTGCTGTAATTGTTTATATGTTTGAATAAGTGGACTGTAATATGTGTGAGGTTTCCTTCAACTCACATAGAATTTTCATAAACTTGCCTGGATAGAATCAGCTCACAAGAAAATGAATTAGAGTCTTAAAAGCAGGAAATAAATCCAATAGCCTAAAGTAGTTTCTACATATTTCTTCTGCCCTTTCAAAGAGAACTTAAAAGAATTCAATCTATCTTTTTTATATTAGGTCAATCTAATCTCTTTTAATTGAATTCAAGATAATTCAACCTAACTCTCTCCATTTACTATTATACTTCTGTTAGACAATTTTCCTCATGTACTTATTTGTTCCTTTAACACATTCTACTTACAGTCTTCCTTTAACCCACTTAAAAAAGATACTAATACAAATATACTACAGCCAGACTATCAAGAAGCTTGAAGCACAGTGGAGAGGACATGCACAAAAACTGCAGTACAAACAGCCTGTACAAGTAGACACTTAGACACAGGGTGTTCCACAAACCTGGAGGAAAGCACAGAAATCTTGCAGATTGTGGGTTGGCTAGTTATGCTTGCCAGGGAAATCTTCCAAGAGGAGCTAATGCTTGAGCTGTATCTAAAGGCTGAGTAGGGATTTTCTGTCTGGATAAGGTAGGAAGGGGAATACAGACAAAGAGTATCACATAGGAGGTCTTGGAGAGCAGAGTATGCTTTGAAAACAGGTGAAGTATGTGTCAGGAAAAGTTTGGAAGTTACTTAACGTGTAACTGGGGACAAAAGCATGAAGGGCCTTGTATCCCTGCTGGGTAGTTTTGAACTTGATCTTATGGGGAATCGATGGTCAATGCAATATTTAAGCACAACTGGGACATATTCAATTTGCATCTTAGAATGATCACTTTAACATAAACATATAGCAATGTTTTGCAAAGAAAATTTCTAGGGAACTTTGTATATTAAAAGTCATGACTTAAAATTATTTCTGGTCAAATAAACTTTGGAAATGATAGGTTAAGCATACTTAACAATTTTTAAGACTTCTCAAAAATCTTTAACTTCCCTATCTTTGTTTTGTTTCTCCAAGAAAAAGAACATGTAACTTTTCCCAAGCCCATTTCATGAAGAAATCTTTGGATTTTTCTCTCACCAAATATCTCATGGGATTAAGGTTCCAAGTAGACACCTTGGAAAATGCAGGTGTATAGGATAAATTGGGGAGTTTCAATGAAGTCAATGAGATCACTTACAAGAATATTATATGAGTTCTATCAGGAGATTAACAGTAGTAAGAGATTAGCAGTGGTAAGGGCATGGAAAAGACAAACCAAATGAAGTTCGGTTATAGGAATGGCAAGAAAGGCCACAATGGTCCCAGGCTTGGTTTGGTGAATCACTTTGATCCCTGAGGTACTAACTTCTTAGAGTCTCAGAACTTAACCTGCTGGAACTTTGTTAGAAGGGGCTACTTTAATCCTAACTATAACATCTCCCTTCTTTTTAACATAAGGAAATCGAGTTCCCAATATGACTGATCAGGATCAAGAATCATCAGCTCTCCACGCTTTTCATATTTTCCCTGGAGAAGAGCCAGGATGTGAATATTTATAAACACTGAATAATCACCAAACAAGGTATGTTTGTCTTTGGATTATATTTCTTTGCTGGTATTTGAATAGAGCTCCATGTGACATTTAGGGAATTGATGATGCTCTAATAAAACTAATGAAGTCCACTGTCAAGACTTGCTCTGAAGGAGCTGGAAAGCTGCCTAGCATTTTTATCCTGTCCAGCTGAGTTCCTTCTCACTTCCTGCTCTGCGTTGGGGAGAGAGAGTAGCACCTTCCAGGCAAGGCTGCCTGAGTTCGCACTGGGCACAATGCTTTTTCTCAGTTCAGTCTATGAGGCACATAACATATTTTGGGAAGGGGATCAAGGGATAATTATGTATTTTGGCTTTAGTAGAATTGTACCATGGCTATGCAATTATTCCTTCAAGTGGCCACTTTTAGGAATATTGGGTGCTAAATGATTGCATATTATTATAGTTTCTATTGTAAATATGTATATGAAAGGGCATTTAAAATCCAGTAGCAAACCACTAGTAAATTTCTGTGATTTTAGTTGAAATGATACACAATCTTTCTTTTTGAGCACAGTGGACACAGAAGGAATATTTTTCGGTGCTCTTCTTCCTGCTCCAAAGAGCCGCATCAACAGACCCATGTCAGTGCTCTTACTCACTGGCCGAATGGGACTTTGATCCTGCCACAGTTAAGATCAAAGGGTTGAGATGCCTTTGAAACGACTCTCCAGTCATAAATTCCACATTTGAAATATCTTGATGTCATAGTCTCCCGGCTGTTCTCTCTGCTCTGTGTTTTCTGGTAGCTTTCAATTTCCTCTGACAAAAATATTATTTTGCATAGTGTATCCCGGGCATTTTCATTCATTGGTGGCAGTTTCTGAAGGGTGTTAATTGGAATACAAGCCACTTTCCTTGGCTGTTAAAAATTACTCAAAGTCAAAGACAATCAACTTACTCTATTCTCATGCATTTTCCATTCTGGTAAAAATGTTTATGACTTGCTTTTACTCAAGATTAATAAGAAGGCAAGGGAACTATCATTGAGACACACCCGATTCACTTAAGGATCTGCAATCTTCATACTAAAGGACTTAATTTGGTTTCTCATTGGGAAGGAAGAAAGGGAGGGAGGGAGAAAAGAAAGGACTGTCTGTAAATATTGAGAAAGGAAGTATAAGAACTAAGAAGCAAAAACATTCTAGGAAACAGCCCTTGTACACTAGGAAAAACATTTCACATTGTTATTCCATAAACCTTGAATCACTTATTTTTAGTCAATACATTATTAAAATGAATATCTTCCCTACTTAGAAAAAATGCTTTTTTAAAAAAACTACCAATTTTTTATCAAGAAAGGTAAAATCTTTAATTATTTTGAAATGTTTTACTTCATTTTCTGGATGATCATGGCTATACCTAAAAAAGAAACTGAAGCAAATAGGTGAATATTTTCAAAATTTAGCTGTTAATTAAATGGTTACACTTAGGAATGCTTCTCAGCTCCATAGGTTAAACTTATTCTGGAGTCATTGACAAAAAGTGTGTGTTTCATGACTGAACATTATTCAATACCTGGATTAAATACAGCCTGTCTATAAAAATTTTCCAAATTCCTAATCTACAGAGGGAAAATTGTGCCTGACCTATTTTGGGTTTATATTCCACCTGGGAGTATCCATAGATAAATACACAGATAGATATATAGATAGCATTAATTATACTTCTTGCAAAACTGAAATGAATGTCTATATCTATAGGAAACTACCTCTAGATGTTCCACAATGACAGGAATGAATCATTCCTACTTCTATCCCCTGTGCCTAAACAGAGCCTAGTACCATAGTAAGTACTATATGTGATAGGTCATTTACTTTTTAAACATATAGTGAAATAAATGATTAGATATATTTGGTATGATCACAACTGTAAAGTTATCTTTTTATAAATTTTTGTCATAAATTTATAATTTTTACATTAAAAATATTACTACATATATTACTACATATATTAGTCAATATATTAACACATCTATTAGTCAATACATTACTACATATATTAGTCAATATATTTATACATATATTGAATGTATTAGTCCTCTTTATTTTATGTCTGTTTTCCATCTAGATCCATATAGGGAGAATACATCTTCCTTGAAGGATCTTTCTATGACTATGACATCAAGATATTTCAAAGTTTTATCTCCATTAGCATGGAAAAACTGAATTATCTTTCATCTCCTAAAATACAACACTTACAAATATTCTGAACTATTTTGGACACCTTAACAAAATGAATACAAATTCTGAGCACATAAAATGGTGAACTATTTTCAAATCCAAGCTTTTAAACTTTCAAAGTGTTGAGCTTCTCTCTCATTTCTTGCTTGAAATAGACTTTAAGAAGGCAGAGTTGTTGGAACAATTAGAAATATTTTTACAATATCAAGGTGTGATATGAATTAAAATTGTTATGCCAAAGAAGCTCCTGAACTGTTTTCCTCTCTTTACATATAGAGAAAATGAGAATCATTTTCTAAAAGCAAAAGAAAATGATGATATCAGGAAAAGACCTGAGAGATTAAGAGACACAGAATAGCTAGATAAATGTAAGAAAAACTTGGTAAAGATGCTATGAACTGTACTAAGTAATACACTAGCACTAACCTCATGTGACATTGAACACTTAAAACAATGTTGTCCAATCTGAGCTGGACAACAAGTATAAAAATACACATTAGATTCTAAAGATGTAGTGCAAAACAATGTAAAATATTTTATTAACAATTATATTACACTGAAACGGTAATATTTTGGATATATTGGATTAAATGACATATATCTTTTAAAGAACCATAGAAATATATTTTGTAAATTAAAGGAAAGATGATGTACTTACATGTTAAAATATATATGTATTATTACAATTAATTTCATATATTTCTTTTTCTTCTTTTTAGTGTGGTAATCAGAAAATTTCAAGCTATATGTATAACTCACGCTGTAGTTCCTTTAAACAGCACCACTGTATAGAATCATTTTTTCTTTTCTAACTTTTATTTAGTTTAAATTGGTCTTTAATTAAATGGACTTCAGCTTTTAAGCAGCACAGAGCCTTGATATTTTTAAATGCCTTTCTATTATAATATCCTCTGGATACATTATAAGAAGCACATTTTAAAATTTATTGATGGGTTTGCAAGACAGCATATAAAACACCTACAAGGAGGAAAAAAAAAGAAAAAGAAGCTGAAAGCAAATGAGTGAGTAATAACCTCCTAACTTGAATCTGTTTCTGTCCTCAGGGCAAGAGGAGAGCTTGGGAGATGAGCCATTTCAGGAGGGCTGGGGTGAAACCAAGCCCTGGTGCCACTCAGAGTGGAGAAGCTGGAGGTGAGAAGTGCACCGGGTCGGGAGCCACGAAGCTGACTATACTACTGTGAAAAAAATAGGCCAGGAAAAAACCTACCTCCCAGAAAGAAAGACCCTTCAAGGAAAACGTATTCTCCCCATATGGTTCCAGAGGGAAAACGGACATACAATAAAGAGGACTAATACATTCAATATATGTATTAATATATTGACTAATATATGTGGTTAGGTATTGACTAATAGATGTGTTAATATATTGACTAATATATGTATTAATATATGTAGTAATATTTTTAATGTAAAAATTATAAATTTATAACAAAAATGTATAAAAAAATTGGTATAAATAAGCCATATTGGGAATTTTTAAAAAGAGGACTTAATTACAGAGGTAGCAGAGATTATAAAATTCAGAAAGAATACTGTGAACAACTATGTATCATTAAATTTTAAAATTCAATTAAAAGATCAGAGGCCTAGCAGGAATAACTTACCAAATCAGGCTCAAAAAGAAGTAAAAAGCCTGAAGAATCTTATAATAATTAGATAAATTAAGTCAGTAGTTTAAAACCTTCCCACAAGGAAAGCATCAAGCTGTGAGTCCTTCCCACCTTTTAAGAAATGAATTATTCTAATATTTTACATATTCTTTTAGGGAATTATGAAAAAGGAATTCTTTGTAAGTCATTTTATGAGATTATATTAACCTTGATCTCAAAACCTGGCAAAGACAGTATGAGAAAGGAAAGTTATGATACAATCTCACTCATTAATCTGTATGTGAAAATTCTAAACAAACTGTTAGCAAATCCAGCAATAAATTTTTCAAAACAAAATCCTCATCAAGTTGAGTTAATGCCAAGACTACATATCCTACAATTTCACTTATATGAAACTCTAGAAAAAGGCAAAACTGGAGTGACAGAAACGGATCAGAGGTCAGCAGGGGTCAGTTATCTCGGAAAAGAATCCGTTGCAAGGAACACAGAAACATTTCAGGATGTGGGTACCCTGTTTATGGGAGACTTTTCTTGTACACACACAAAAAAAACTCCTTTACAGAAAGAGACCTAGAGGAAAGATGGAAAGGGCTGCTGCTTGCCAAATCTGGAGAAATTTGAGGAACAAAATAGATATCAATAGTGGCAAATTGCAATTCGTTGAATAAAATAAGAGCCCATGAGATGACACTGATAATGAATGAATGAGAGAAAGAGAAGGAAAAGCTCTTTTTTGTAGCATAATTTTGACTAATAAATATTGAAGGTGTTATTGAAGTAGAAACCTCAGTATCTTGCAAATACCATTGTTAAAACTGATTGAGACAGGAATCATCAGTGGATGCTAAATCTAGGTGGAAAACACAATCTCAAGCATCTCCCCATGAATTACTTATTACAAAAGAAGAGTTACTAATTGTACAGTGGAACAATGGGACAGTAACTTAATCAAGTGATCAAAGTTAACATCACCAGTGAGGAGCAAACACATCCTGTCCTTGGACATGAATCCCAAGATGGGTGCAATATCACTTATGTCACATTACAGCAAAAAACAGGAACTATCATACAAACCCAAATCGAGAGACATTCTATAAAACATCTGGCATATATTCTCCAGAAGCATCAATGTCATTAAAAATAAACAAAGGCTGAGATTTTTGTTTCAGAATAAAGGAGAACAAAAATACATCACGAACTAAATGCAATTTTGCATCTTAGACAGAATCTTGTACAGAAAAATATGTTATAAAGTACATTTGGAGACAGTTGCTAAATTGGAGTATTGACTCTACAATAGATAAAAATGTATCGACATCACATTTTCTGAATTTGACAGCTGAACACTGGTTATACAAACAAATAGCTTTGTTCTTAGGAAACACATAGTGAAGTATTAAAAGGTAAAGAGTCATATGTATGCCACCTACTCTTGAGTGGCCCAAAAATGATAATAAAAATATTTGAGAAACAGAATGCTAAAGCAAATGGGACAAAATGTTAAAAACTAGTGAATTTGCTAGAGATTACAAGGGATTTCTTCATACCATTCTTGCAAAGTTCTGTTAAGTTTAAATTTATTTTAAGACAGATTTTTTTAAACTTACAAAGTTTATTATATACTAATATCAAGCAATCTCCAAACTTTATCATTGAATAGAATAACCAAGGTGCAGAATGGCATGCTGCTATTTATATAAAATAAGGTGGGTGTGTGTACATATACATTCATACATGCACATACACATGTACATATTTTCTTGGATATGCATGGACTATCAAAAGATAAAAAGAAATTGGTAACACTCTTGGTCTCTAGAGAGAAAAATTGAAGATGAGAGGGAATCTTTGCTTTACAGCCTTTGATCCTCTGGAAGTGTAAATCATCACTCAATCCAAATAATAAATAAATGGGCAAAGATGTAAGTGTCTGACAAAGCCATATATTGGTAAGAATGTGGAACAGTGACATCTCTCATATACCACTGAAGGAGAACACAGGGAAGGAAGGTGTGTGTTCATGGGGAGCAGAGACAGCTTTGAGATATGAAGCAACAGGCATGCCAAGCCTCGGGGAACTGTTCCTGTCCTTCAGGTCAGAGTTCTCCCACCTTCAGGTCCTGGGAGACTGGGAGATAATGGCAAGTTTTCATTTATTCATTCAGCAAACACTGTTGTGTGTTTAGACCCAGGGAGGCACAATCAAATCAACAAGAGGCACCCGGCCTTCTTCCTTTCTCCTCCTCTATGGACCCTTCTCTATCTCCTCTGTGGGCACTTTATTGTGGCCTGTCTCTGTCCTCAGGGATTTAACCCCATTTTCCTTCTCTTTCCACGCTAGGAATAGTGTCTGACATTTTACAAGTCAATGACATCAAGTCCATACATTAAACGTTTTCTGGACATCTCTGTTTACATATTCCATAGCTACCTCTTGAGGAAATAAAACAATTTTGCCAATGGAAGACCCCTCCGTACCAATACAGAAGAGAGAGAGAACAATTTAAGATCAAGTAACTATTACCCCAGGCATATGTGCATGTAAAGGTAGCAGGAAAGTATCTACAGTGTCTGTATAGAATTTCACACAAATTTATTTGTAAAAGTAGAAGATAGAACAATTACAATTCTCTTATCTCCATGAGAGACAAGAAGACACACCTGTTGTGTGTGATTGTCTAGGTATACCCCGTGAGAGGCTTCTAAGTTCATCATGGATGTGTGTGTTTACAGTCTCAAGGGGCGGAAGGCTTATGATCTTGCCTTGTGAAATCCAAGGTCAGATGTTTTATGGGGACCTTAGTGTTTTGAAGGAGATACCCTAAGGAAGAGAACATGGATGAGGCAGTCACCTCTCTCCTCTTTGCTAAAGAAAATGTGATCATCTTGCACTGACATTTAACAGCTTGATCAGTTTGTCCTTCCATTCCACAAATGAATTATTTCCTAAACTGCAGTCGTCTCGTTTGCCTCCAGGGTCAGCCTTCTCCTTCCTCTGAATCCTGTCCCTCAGCATGGCAGTGAATGGCCCTGCCAATCCAACAAGTCTCTGCTGAAGCCACAAATTAAGACATTACCTTTGACTCTTTTGACTCTATTCCAGATTCAAGTCCCCTCTCATATGGCATTAGAAATTCCTGGCATCGTACCTCCTAAATATCTATGAAGTCTGTCTCTTCACTCTGCCCTCACTGCCCCGTGTAATTTGGGCCACACCACCTCCTCTCTACTCTGGGTATCAACAGCAGCCCATTCTCTGGCCTCCCTGTTTCCAGGCATGGGCTCTGTAGGCGTGAGGAGGGGTTGCAGCAAACAGACATGGAAGCAGGAACAATTTATGTTTATTTCTTTTCATCAAAAGAAAGATTTAATAGAAAATAGAGCCATAAAAAATGATTCTTCAGTGCCCTCCTCATATTATTTTACCCGTTTCTCAACTTCTCCATTTTAGAAATAAAGCATTCTTTATTTTACTCCCTTTTCACATTTTACAACCTATTTCTTCTCTCTCACTTTTCTGTTCCATGTAACATTCACCCAAACCCAAATATTAACAAGAATGTAAAATATCCTAAGATAACAAACAGTAATGTGTGGATTTCATCTGGCCAAGTGCCATTCCCTCCGGGGTCATGGTTGGCAGCTTCTGTAGAATGGGAAGGTTCGTCCTGGTGCAGCCGAGTCCCCACAACGGACCAAGGTATTGGGCTATGCAGTAAAGACTGCACTGGTGATGAACAATAGATGAGACAGCCTGTAGAATAAGAAAGGAGCTTTCGGGATTTAAGATGTAAAATCAGTTAGTGTCTCGTACATTTGTTTGTCTCTCCACAATTTGCAAAGCCCTTATTGAGAGAGCAGACTTTTTTCCTCGGAAATGAATTTGCCAAAGGCTTGTACAATTGGGAGTGCACTGGGGCATTTTTGGAAGGGAGATTTGGGGTAGGGGGTGATGAAGCAGTGAACAGCTATGGCTACAAAGGGGAACAGCGGCAAGGCAGGCAACTGGGAAAAAAGCGATACGATGACTTGGGCAAATGGCTTAAGCCAGGTTATTTCTCGCTTTGCTCACTTTTGGCTATGCAAGCAGATCCCTGTGGCTGTGATTTGGTTATTGTTGTTGTTCTTTAATCACTTATGGTAGTGGCAGCTCATTTGGTTTCTGAATTTCAAGCCCTGGTGGGGATTTCTTCAGTGCTCCAAGTGAAGAAACGAAATTGGGTTGTTGTTTTTTATTTGAATCCTTTAAATCTTATGAGAAGAAAACATGTCATGTAGCTGTAATTTTATGGTGTCATTCATACTGCTATTCTGAAAGCTGTGTTGGTGTTTCCATTGCAAATCAGTCCTTTTATAGGTTGATATCTGTCAGGAAATACTCTAGGGATGGAAATGTGCCACCAACATACGTTTTGGTTCACCTGCCTCAGAGCTTAATTAAGATAGCTACTTTTGCTTTTACTCAGTTTTTATCACTGAAAAAATGGAAATATTAAACATAAATATTTTTAGCCTAATGTAGAGAAAAAAACGTCCCTCTCTCTGGCATGTGGCACTCTTTTTCATCTTACAGAAAGAGGAAAAACAAGTCCAAGCGTAGTGTGTACACCTGTCACTTGTTCATACAAAAGCCAGATGAGACCCCAGAGGTGACAAACTTACAAGGTGCTCTGTGAAAACCACCAGATCTATCTCTTCGGGACTCCATGCACTGGATCAAAAGTCGGGCTATTTAGCAAGAACAGTAAATATTCTGTGTGTATATTTGATGATGCATCCACCTTTCTCATATTGAAGAAGGATATTTTCCTGACCCCTTCCCGGGACTCACGACAGGGGTGCTTCATTTACTCAGCTGCTGCCCTCAATCCATGTGGGAGGGAGTATGTAAGCAAACAAGGTGGGAACTGGAGTGCATGAACGCTGGCCATTTCAGCGCCGGCGGGATCAAACTCCACTGACTCAGACCCACTACATTCCACCCCTCACAGGAGAGAACACTTAGGTAAGCAGGCGCAGAAGCTGGAGCAACCTCTTTTGGACACTGACAGGAGCAAACTTCATGCATGCACTGCAGCAGTGTCCAGGCAGGGTGCCTGCAATTCACAAAGTCCCAGAGGGCATGTTACAGTGCTCTTTTAGCTCTGCTGCCCGCAGGCAGCTTAAGTGTTAACAGCTCATTGGGCTCTTTGCCTTTTCACATGAGGCGGCTGACCTCTGCCAGTGAAGGCAAAGGGCCAGTGTGACAGCCCTCTGCACTCGTGGCTCCCAAGCTTTTGTCCAGCATCAGGGAAAAACGAGGTCACATGATCAAATTGAAGCTGGTGAATGCAGGGGATTTTATTGCCAGTGAAAGTGGCCCTTAACGGGGAGGGAAGCTGAAAAGAGGATGAGGTGTGTAGGTAATCTTCCTCTGAAGTCCGGCCATATTCGGCTGATTCTTCTCCGAAGTTATGCCATCAAGCTGTCCCTCTGAAGTCAAGCCCGCTTCTCTCCAATGTCCAACCATAGTCCCTGATGTACAGCTGCTTCTCCCCTCTGCCAGCTGGTTCTGGGGTCTTTATGGGCACAGGATGGGGGGTGGGGTGGGCCATGGGTAGTTTAGGAAAAGACAACATTCGAGTGGGAAAACGGGGAGAGAAGTTGTCACTTTGGGCCATGGGTTTCAGGCTTTTCAGATTGAGAGCTGAGTTTTGTCAGAGACCCGCCCTTTTCTCCCTAGAATTTCTCTGCCCCCTGTACCTATGAATATGAGAATGTCCTTATGAGTGCTAAGCTCTCCTAATGTCCTGTGAAGACATCAGAATCTCATGGATAACTGCTTTCGGTGTTACTGTTCATTATCTAAAAATTTGTTTTTCCCCTGCTGATACAGATCTTTAATAATAGTGATTTATGATTTAGATGCCTGAAAGCTAAGTCTAGAAGGAGCTCTGAAAGAAGATTTATTTCACTTGCTTTCATAAATAAGTACTAAACTACTTGGAACTTGTTTCCTCATTTGCGAAATACCAGTAATGATAGGGCTTTATCTTTATTTTATATAATCTTAAGTAACACCTGCGTATGATAAAGTGAAAAATATTCAAATAGCACATAAGGAGATACAAAAGGGGGAAACATGTCTCTTTTACTCGTCCGAATTCTACTTCCACCGTTCACTCCCTCCCTAATCCAGTCTCTTATGAGTCCTTCCAGAGTGATGCCTTGCTGTGTATATTTGTATACGTATGTGCATACAAGGATACATGCATATGCATATGTCCTTTCTTTTTATTCCAGACATTTGCAGAACATTATAGGATTTAAATTAAAAATTAAATTATACTAGTTCTAATGATTCAGTTTCTTCTTTATATTTTACTCTCTTCAGCTCTTATATGCTAAGGAGTCCTGACATTTTTTAAAGTAGATATCAATCATCTTTTACGTGGGAGGGTGTTTCTTTCACCAAAGAAATCAGTTTCTGAGAGTGTGTCTCTCAAAAATTAGAATAATGCTACGCTCTGTGCACACCAATGACACTTGATGAAAACTGTGTAATGACTGAAAATATGGGTAGATAATATTTTGGTTGTGACATTCTGATGTAGCTTTTTTGATGGTAACTACTTTGACTACTAATTTTTAAATTTTTGCATGCCAATATTAATTTCGCACAATTTTTCACACTTCCCAATTTAACATTTTTTCCTCTAGAAGACTCTTCATTATTTTTGATAATGATTTTTATGTCTTTTCAACAACAACCAATTCTCCAACACCAAACGGCTATCCCATAATTCAATTTAATTCTGACATTCACTGCACAGAGATAGAAATGATCCTAAAGGTTAAGGCATCAGTCTCACAGACTGCCCCACTCCAGATGCTAGCTGCAAATGGGAACCCTAGACTATTCACACTTCTGAGCAGCCAGCTACATATTTAGGTGTTTCCGGGACCCCCTCTTGGGTTAGATAACTCACTAGAATGACTTAGAATAACACTATACTTACACTTATAATTTTATTTTAAAAGATACAACTCAGAAACAGCCAATGGAACAGATGGATAGGACAAGGTATGGGGTGAGGTGTGGAGCTCCCATACCCTCTCCAGGCAAGCACCTGAATGTATTCACCAATTTGGAAGTTCCCCAGATGTCATTGTTTAAGAGTTTCTATGGAGGCTTCATTATGCCGGCATTATGATTAAATCATTGGCCATTGGTGATTAAACTCAATCTCTAGCCCTTCTCCTCTTCCCAGAAGTTGAGTGTGGGGCTGAAAGTTCTAACCCTCTAATCACATGGCTCGTTTTTCTGGTGAGCCACTTAGAACTTCAGTTTTCTCACTGTGATATGCCAATAACAAGAAAGCCTTATTTTTTCTTTAGTTTATTTAATCTTAAGGTCATAGCTGCATATGATAAAGAGAAAAAAATTAAAATAGTATGTAAGGATATACAAAAGGGAAAAATCCCTAATCTGAGGGTAAGACCTCCATCATGAGTAATCTAATTAACCATACCAAAAAAAAACACTCTTGCTTGCATGGTGGGTCACTCCTGTAATCCTAGCACTTTGGGATGTCAAGGCAGGAGGATCACTTAAGCCCAGGGGTTTGAGACCAGCCTGGGCAACATGATAAAACTCCATCTCTAAAATAAATAAAAAATAAATTAGCCGGGCATGGTGGTGCATGCTTGTAGTCCCAGCTATTCGAGAGGCTGAGGTGAGAGAAGTGTTTGAGCCTAGGAGGTCTAGGTTGTAGTGAGCTGTGATCATGCCACTGCACTCCAGCCTGGGTGACAGAGTGAGACCCTGTCTCAAAAATAAATAAACAAATAAATAAATAAATAAATAAAACAGTCTTATCACTCAGGAAATTTCAAGTGTTAGAAGCTCTGTGATTTTTTTTATATATCACAACCATATTTTTGCTATGACCAATTTTCATTTTCTTTAAGAAAATTATGGAGTTGTTCATTCTCTTAATTTAAAATACCACCAACAAATATCAAATTTATAATCATGCATTGGTCTGGTTTTGGACTATTACGTTCACCAATTTATTTATCAACCTCTCCACTTAACACTAATAGAATACTATTACCGTTTTAATATGTTGATACCTTATGACAAGTCCTTTCCCTTTTTCAAAATTTTCTTGATTATGTTTACATATTTAGTCTTCCCAATGGTATTTAGAATCAGCTTGACAAATTCCATGAAGAATCTATTGGAATTTGGATTTGAAATGCATTGAATTTATGGGTTATTTTAGAGAGTCTAGACATTTTTTATTTAATCTTGGTGAAGAGGTACAATATTTTAAACAGAATTCTAAGGTGGCCCAAAGAGTCCTGCCTTATAGTGTACATGCCCTATATAAACCCTATTCTTTGAATACTGGCAAGGCTTGTGCATATGATGGGATTTTACTCCCATGATTATGTTACCACATGTGGCAAAAGGGATTTTGCAGATGTGGTTAAGGTTCCTGATCAGTTGATCATGAGCTACTAGAAAGGGAGATTATTTGGAGGTGGGCCTGATCTAATCAGGTGAGTCCTTAAGAGAGACAAGAATCAGCAGCAGATACTCTTCTGCAGGCCTTTAAGAAATAAATTGCTGTTGTGAGCAGAGGGAAGTCACATGACAAGGAACTGAGAGCAGCCTCTAGGAGCTGAGTACAGTCTCTGAACTCACAGCTATAAAGAAGACAAAGAACCAGTGGGGCTCGGTGACTCATGCCTGTAATCCCAGCACTTTGGGAGGCCGAGGTGGGTGGGTCACCTGAGGTCACAAGTTTGAGACCAGCCTGGCCAACATGATGAAACCCCATCTTTACTAAAAATACAAAAATTAGCTGGGTGTGATGGCACGTGTCTGTAATCCCAGCTACTCAGGAGGCTGAGACAGGAGAATCGCTTGAACCTGGGAGGCAGAGGTTGTAGTGAGCCGAGATTGCACCACTGCACTCCAGTCTGGGTGACAGAGCAAGACCCCGTCTCCAAAAAAAAAAAAAAAAAAAAAAAAAATACAAAGAACCGCAAGAATATGAATTTTGAATTTTGAGAATCACTTGAAGGAGCTTGGAAGAGAACTCAGAGCTGCAGAGGAGAAAACAGCCTGGCCAACACCTAGATGTTAGCCCTGTGAAACCCAAGGCAGACAACCCATTTACACCATGCCCTGACTTCTGATCTACTGAACTGTGAAATAAAAATTGAGTGATGTTTTGAGCCACAAAATTCGTGGTAACTTGTTATGGAGCAATAAGAAATAAATATGTATACCTCTAATGTTGGTAGGCACTTCTAAGTTTTTTCCTTAAAATATTTCCATATTTTTTAAATCTATTTTTAAAGTTTTAAAACTTTTATTACTAGTGGGAACGAGATGTTTTTATTTATCATGTAATTAATTATTGTCACTATAGAAACTAGTGATGTTAACACTCGTGATGTTTTAAGTTAATCTGGTATCTGGCCACCTTGCTAAACATAATCATCTTATTCAATTCATTTTCTTTTATTCTTGCCAATATTTATACATATTTATTCATTTTCTCATCTTACTGCACTAGCTAGAATTTCCCATATAACATTGAAAGTTGTTGATGATAATAGGCTTTCTTTTCTTATTTTATAAACTAAAGGGAGCACACCTAGCTTTTCACCATGAATTTCGATATCAGTTCTGGATTTCTGGTAGACACTTTTATAATATTAAATAAATATTCCTCTATGCTACTTTGGAAAAAGTTTGTTTTTTTGTCATTGGAAATCATGGCTAGGCATTCCTCTTTAGCAACTATTGAATGATTTTTTGTGCTCTTTAGATCGGTTAATGTAATGAATTACAATGATACATTTCTCATGTTAATGTTTCTTGAATTGACTAAACACTTCTTGGTCTTTTAATACATTGTTAATATTTTATTTTGAATTTTTACATGCACTTTTATAAATTAGAATGGCATAGAGTTTTATTTTGTGGTGCTGAACTACCTAAAATATATGGCTAATGGATTAAAATCTTCAGATATACAAATTTATCCTAATTGATTTCTCAACTGTATGCACTTATAAACACAAACACAGATTCACAGTTTAACAGGTAAACCCCATGGATGCAAGCTCAAATGTGTACAGGAACCAGGCAAATATACATAAGTGAAGCCACTTCAATAGGTCTGTGTACAGTGGACAAGTGCTAGACACTCTGGCAGAGAAGCCCATGATCTATCTAAAGAGAGCAGCCTCCACTCAGGTCCAGGCAATGACTGCTGGCGGAAATATGACTACAGTGTTGCCAGATCTACCAGATATTTAATTAATTTCTAAGATTTGACCCAAATGAAAAAAGAAAAGAAAAAGAAAAACCACCCCCTGGGCCTCGTTTGTAACTTTTGAATTAGGCAATCAATTTTAGGATTAACATAGTCAGGCACATAAAAAAGGTATCACTTATTTCTTTAGACAATCAGAATAAGAAGAAAAAATTATGTCCTGTGAACTTTCCATCAATAAATAGACCAGCAAACATCTTTAAAGAGTCCCCAAGAAAGGCAGATTCCTTTAAAAATTAAAGTGCAATTTAAAATGTAAGAAAGCAGAGATGCTTCTGAAAGACAATAAGATCACTGAAGAGTACTTGTTAATCAGATTTTTATGTACAGTGATAAAAATGAACATCTCAAATTGCTTCCAGATCTCGTAACTAGCCAAATAAACCTAAGCAGGACAATGAATCATTGTTTTTTGCCTTAGATGGAAACTATAATTTTCTCTAGGTTAAAAGCACAAAGTTAGAAAGCAGAAAACTTCAGACATTTTTGTAAAACGGAAGCATATCAGCTACATAACTCTTGGTTGATATGAAGTTCACATCTTCCAAAACCAAAAAAAAAAAAATTATACATACTCTCTTGAGATCTATCTTCTGCTTTTACAGGATGTAATTAATATGCAACCCTTGCATCCCTCAGGCATATCTACTTGGGGACAGCCACGAAACAGGGCTAGTAACAAAGGTAGTGGTAAGAAAAGGTAAGGAAAAAGGTCTACGGTTTTGAGTGCCCACCTACATACACTGTCACACCGACACATATACACACAGGGATATCATTGGCACTGCAGACTCTCAAGTCCCCTTCCTATTCCCTAGAAGAATCACAGACAGCTCACATATTCATCTGGGCCCCATATTACTTTTCTTGCCGAAGTCTAGAGTGTTGCTCTTCCATCCGTTATCATTAATTTGGCACTGAAGCTTCTGCAGATTCTATGGTCCGCTCAGCTTCTGATCTGGAGTTTTGTGGAATGGCATTTTGAGAAATGCTATGGCAAAGGAAGGGCCTTTAAAATTATGTCAGCATTGTCTGTTCTGTCTCTGTGGATATGTGCCTTCCAATGTTACTGAGAGTCCTAGTCCAATGATCTCTTTGTTTTCAGCTACAAGTTGGATTTATGCTGATCCAATAGGTGCATGGTGTAGTAATTAGAAGATGTCAGGCTGCAGTAACAAATACACCACACATGTAATGATGCAACATAATAGAAACTTCTCTCTTGCTCTTTTTTTTTTGAAACTGAGTTTTGCTCTTTCGCCCAGGCTGGAGTGCCGTGGGGTGATCTCGGCTCACTGCAACCTCCCGCCTCCTGGGTTCAAGCGATACTCCTGCCTCAGCCTTCCGAGTAGCTGGGATTACAGGTGCCCGCCACCACACCCGGCTAATTTTTCTGTATTTTTAGTACAGACGGGGTTTTATCATGTTGGCCAGGCTGGTCTCAAACTCCTGACCTCAGGTGATCCACCAGCCTCGGCCTCCCAAAGTGCTGGGATTACAGGCGTGAGCCACAGCGACCGGCTGAAACTTCTCATTTATGTGATGAGTCAGAATACTCCTGGGCGGCTCAGCTCAGCGAGGGCTGTCTGCTCCCTTCGCGGCATCAAGCTGGTCATGACCCTGCCTTCTCTGCTGCCTGTCTTCCACAGCCAGCCAAAACGGGAAAACAGTATGGAAGAACATGGGTGGAAGATGTTTATGCCAGGCCTAGATACGACAAACGTGACTTCTGCGCACATTCCATTAGCTATAATTCAGTCACGTGGCCATACCAAACTGTAAAAGAAACCGGGAAATAAGTTCTAGCTGAGTGCCAAGGAGAAGCTGGCAGCAGAAGCAGATGTAGCTAGCAGTCTCGGCTACAGATGGGATGAAATATTATCTAGACCAACAGCTGCAGGGTACCCCATAGAAAAAATAGACCCTCTTTCTCTATAGATTTCTTTTCTCACTTCCCATTTTTGGTAATACTCATCCCACAGGTTAAAGGACCAAAAAGCTGTCTTTGAATATGAGGCATGTATTTTGTAGGTTATAGCATTTGGGCACTTGAAGCCTCTGCCAGTCTCCTGCCTCCCAAACGTGAGATCCGTTCCTGCTACATTCAAAGCATGGAGACTACAGAAGAAACTTAACCCATGATCTCTGTCCTTCGGACGTGTATAGTTAAGTTTCCAGAAAAAAGGGAGACTCATTATATTGACAGACATGATAAAAGTGATCTAAAAGTACACTATTAAATCTCCTCTCGTTACAGAAGAGGAGAAGCAATGCATCACTGGGAAGTTTCTGATTCATCGCCATATACACAGCATGCATGAGTGGTTTAGGGATAAAGAGAAGAAACTGTTGAGGGTTGACTACATTTTTATCAGAAACCACTTTATTAATTGTATAACCAGTGGTTTTAGATACAAAAAAAATCTCACGCCTAGAAAGCTTGACGGTACGCCATTTTAATTTTTTTCTTTTTTGTCCTCTAGTTCTCTCTTGTGACACACTGGATGAGCGAAGAACTCATTAAATTGTATTTCACATTTCTTCTGTCTTCCTTCATAAAATAATGAAATCAAAATTGAGAATTACCGTGGTTAGAGAAGGGCCTGTGATGAGTGCAGGGAAATGGTTTATGTCTAACAACTATTTAATCAAAGCGTTACCAAGATCCATCTGTAGATTTAAAAGAGATTTTCTTCCAAGTTTTGCTGTATTGAAATGCAGTGCAAAACTCTGCATTAAACCACGAATTCTCCAAATTCAATAAAAGGAAGTGTAAAAAGATATTTTCTTCAAATGCCTCCAGCTGGCCATCTGCCTTAATCACATACAGGCCTCAAAATTGTTTTCTGCTGACAATAATAGGCTTTATAAAGAGTATTACTGTGGAGTGATTTGAGAGACTGTGGAGAGTACTGTGACCCCTCGCCTCGGTGGAGTGGAGCGCGCCTGGATGGGAATACAAAGTTAGAAACCAAGAGAGAGGCCGACCCTTTGGTGTGCGGATTCCTCTTTAGCTGCTATGGCACGATTCTGAAATCTTTCCGAGGAGCAAGGGACAGCTGATTAGCTGCTGGTCTTCTGCCCTCTGAGGGCAACCCCACACAGCATAGATGGCGGTGCAATGATTGCAATAATTCAACAAAGCAGGAACTTTAAAAATAGCTACCTTGAGCTGCTACTCCAATCATGGCATTCACTGTGCAGTCCCACGTGGCCATGCTCAGGGCAGCGTGGCGGGTGAGCCCTGTGAATCTGCACAGAGCTAGGGAAAATAGAGGCAGTGAGGAGTGGGGAATGCAGTGAGGTCCCCATATTACTCAGATGGTGTTTCTAAACTCCTGCCTTGCTAAGGAAACTGCCCTAGAGCAGCCCAGCCCCTGGCACAGTCCAGATTGATGGCACAGAAGACCGGGAAGCACTTACAGGAGACAGCCTTTTAAAGGAGGGGAGAACACATACCTTGGAATTGAAAAATCTAGGTTCATAACACAGATATGCCTCCTCTTTCACCCTTCCTGCCGCCTCCCAGGGATGCTAAATAAATTATCTCCTTGAGCCCTAGTTCTCTCATCTGTGAAGGAAGAATTACAGCAACATGCACCATTCAGGATTGCAGTGTGGAGTGATTGAGATGGCTTTGAAAGGGCTTTGAAAACAGCAAAATGACATAAATATTATTGAGTGATATTAAAGAACAGAAAGGAAATTCTACACAGAGATCCTAACATTGGGGTCTTATTTCTTTAGGGAGAAATAGCATCATCAAGCAATTTGAGAAAAATGAGCAAGTAGATTAGAAATGTGAAATCACAGGATAATGACAGGAGTGGTGCTCATTTACCTAGGCACAGATGCACACTTGTATATGCATGTGAAGTTTTCAAAGGGCATCCTTTAAACAGATAGTGGCAACAACTGTGGAACAGAACAATCCCCCCACCATGCCCCGCAGTTGTGTCCATAGAACACATTTATTGTGCCATGCCCTGCTGCACACGCCTGTATGTGTCGTGAGGGGCATGGCATTCTTACAGGGACACAGAGAGGTAGCCACTGGTATCATTTTCCCTTTAGAGACAGGGAAACTGAGGCTCAGAGAAGCTAAGAAACATGTCTGAGGTCATTTAGGTATTTAGTGCTTCAAGGCAAGTTAAAAATCTAGGGAAACAGCCTACACTACTGTCTCAGGTGCAAGAGCTGACGTTCAGAGACCAAAAGGATTTTCCAAGGTGACTCAACTCATAAACAAAGGAATATTCAATACTAAAACATGAGTCTTTTAACTGCTGGCCCAATGATCAGAGACAAAATGTTGGAGTGAAGAAGGGTAACAGACTTGCTCTATTTCTTCCCTCAATTATACATTTTTAGGTAAAAGGGATTGATTAGAAGAGTTGAACATTTACAGTGTTATCTGTATTGACTTGGATAATTTAGGGCCTAAAATTGAAAGTCATGGAAAGATCTGAATTGTATTAGAAAACTTGGCTGACTAATATTTATATTGCAGCCACTATTCCTTCTTCCACATTTCTCCTCATTCTTGATAATTCTCTTGCTCTGGAATCTGCTTGTTTTAGGCATTCGGGTCCCTTAGCAAATTTTGTCATGAGCCAAAATCCCTGCAGCTTTTCCCCCTTGGTTGCCTTCCCCCTGGCTAGCGTGTCTCATCTTCTTATCAAATTCCCAGACAAATGCACAGCTAGCTCAGCTCTTGTTTCACTGGGACTTAAGAAAACTGTTTCCTTCACAAGAGAAACTTTTTAGCTAATTCCAGAAAAGCCCCTACCCCATCACAAACTAACTCCCCAAGTAGTCAGGGCTGTCACATCTTTTTGTCTGCCAAAGGCAGAGAAGAGAGAACGTGAGGGTCCACCTATCTCTCAGTCACAGAGGATGAATGATCTACGCCAGCCTCTCTCCTGCCAAAAATAAATCAGTCACTCCCCACTTGGGTGTCACTGAGTTGCCATTTCTGCCTGCCATGAGAAAGGGTTCTGCGTCAGTACCAGGAAGACTCAGACTTGTGAGTTGGGAGACAGTGTGCCCTAGCAGAACAAGCACACAGGCTTGGAAACCTGTCAGTAATGGTGTCCACTCGCAGAGGTGCTGAGGGAAACAGGAGACATGATCTACAGGAAATGCTCTTCACTGTTCTGGTCTCAATAGAAGGGGGCTGGGATTGGCCTGAATTCTAACCCACCATTTAATAACTTTGAGACCTGAGCATGTCACTTCATTTTTCTGATCTTCAGTGTCTTCAGATTGTTCAGTTCAACAGTTAAACATCCAACTGAAGGCCAGAGTTAATTCAACAAATATTCATGAGGTTCCTATGATAAGCAAGACCTATGTTTGCTCCCATCAATACAGCAGTGAGTAAATTGCACCCTCTAGGCTCCAATAGAGATTATGGTCTAGAGACAGGCATCTATAAAAAGGAGGGCTAAATGCTTGACTGTGGGGTTATTTTGAGAACTGGATGAGAGAAGGGAAAAACAGTACATAGGCACTCAATGTACATTGTCCCTGTGTTTAATCTTCAGAAATTTGCATATATAACAATCAGGTCAATTTCAATAGCTTCAGTAGAGTCTTACCTGAAAGCTTAGTGAGCTCTCCTTATGAGGACCCTCTCATTTAAGAGGGACCCTCTCTTCATAAATTGTACAACATTAAAAACTCACCTGAACTTCTGGACTATGCTTATCCAAGTTGACAAATATGGGAACACCTAATTATCGCATGGTACTCTCCATTTTCCCTTTTGCATATCGAATCCTTTTGAAATTTGACAAGTAGCTTGGGCTGTTCAGAGGGAAGAAGCTATCAAAGTCCAAAGCAATATTCTGGCAGCTAAAATAGGCTGCAGTGACCTCACAATGGCGTTTTAGCAATGGCCCTGCAGGAGGCATTCAGTAATGGGCTACTTGGGCTAGACCCTCTCAGCTAAAGGCTAGGCCTAGTCTAGTAAAAAATGCAAAAGGAAATAGAGGCAATTTTCCAAGTAATTCAGGAGAAAAGCACTTTCATCTCAACTCTCAAGGTACAGTAATTGGCACAAACCTTTGGGCCCTGGCAGTGGAGACCAGGCCATTGGAACCAAGGTGGAGTCAGTCATGCAGGAAACGTGGAGTGCGGGCTGGGAGTGGAAAGGAAATCATGAGGAGGAAGGCACATTCTTGTTTCTCCTAAGATCTGGATGGGGCTCCACCCACTGCATGGATTTGCCCCTCTTCCAGTTGCATATGACCAACTCAACGCTCCAGTTTTGCTGAAAGAACATATCTAGTTATTTTAATTCATACAGCATCTTTCCAGTCATTACTTTCTTCACTTTAAAGTCAGCAATGGAGTTATTTCTGAACCTAGAGAGCAGTGAGCATGCAAAGTCAGAGAGGAGGGCAAACAACTCACAGCAATCATAATAAAAACTCTGCAGGAAAACGGCATCCTCCCCGGGCTGCCAACCAGAATTACATCAAACAATTTTAAAGGAACTAGGAATTTATTGTCATCAGTCTTCCCTCCCTGTGTGTCTCTGGCAAGATGTTTACTTATGGCTCAGCCTGAGTAATTGCACCAATTCATTAAAAATGAATAAATAAAACCCCTCCTTGGTGACTGCTTTATCATTCTGAAACCCAGCCTCCAGGAATAATTTTGCCAAGTTGAACACGGGCAGAAAAGGGAGGTGCTGATACAGTGCCCAGCTCCTGGCTCTGTCTTTTCTGGGATATACACACTCAGTCACTTCAGATAAATCATAAGGAATTGTACTTTAACCAGTGAGTAGCATGTTGTATGGGGAAAAGTATGGATTTTGGACACAAAGAGAAGGATGCTAAAAAAAATGACTTCAATTACTGTGTGATTTTTGATAAATTATCCAACCTCTCTGAATTTGAGTTTCTTTACCTACATAATGGCTGTTGATGAGTATTACTTAGTTAACACAAGGGAAGCACCTATCACAGGGCTAGAGAAAATATTTGTTCTTAGTAAATGTACCTTCCTTCACATTAGTAAATATATCTCTTTCCCTTTCCTCTTGTTTTCTAGGGCTTGCTACGTAGGCCAGAACTACACCAACACGCTTTGATGCTGAAGCAGAATTTGGTACAAGGTGGCTGTAAGTCAGATCTCCTGCTAATTGTGTGAAACTGTTTATGTTGATTCATCTAAGCAGCTGGTCTTTTGAGAGAGATGCAACAGACCAAAGAACAAAGACAGAAGCTTGAGAAGCCATGTTAGGTACAGTTTCCCTTAGCTCCTACTCCTCTTTCCTCCACTTACAAGTAGTTGAGCAGCGTAAAAGCAGAGGTATAACACAGCTCTTATCTTTTTAGTCTCTCAATTTTAGACCCCCCGGTTGGGTTACTGTTAAACAATAAGGTTAACTCTGCAACCTGAGGTGACTTCTTTTATTTGTTTTGCTATTTGTTTATTATAAGTCAAGTGATGTCTATGAAAAAAATGAAAACAATACAGAAAAGTAGTGTGAGGGAGAAAGTGAAAGCCTTCTGAAGACCCATTCCCTTCTCCCTCTACCAAAATGCTGACCCCACACACACAACAGATTTGGAGTCTGACGTCCAGACTGAGGAGGTGACATATTGAATTGCATGAACTGCACTTCTTTGGAAGCCAGTTTCACCATTCAGAAGCCTCAGGGTTGTGATATTTGGTGGGAGATGGTTCTAATGGAAAGTGAATTTTAATCTTTATATTGGCTGAGGCTGCCTTGAGGGGCCTTGATAGCCACTTCTGTCACTCCTGCATAAACCCCTGTGAATATGCCTTTTGGTTCCATTGCAAACAAATTTAGACTCTGTAGAAATTACCAAAGTATTTTTATTATGATATATTAGTTAATAAGGTCTTTCTAACTCCTAAATTTCTTATTACCTTTTTTGAGAGTTACCCAGTAAGAATAATAGCTATCACTTTTTCAACCCACATGATACTCCTCAATTCACTGAAACAGTAAGTTAAAAAGTTTTCCAGTCCTTTAAGGATGGTCAGCAAATAACCAAGATGTTAAAAGAAACTGCTTGAATTCTGTATTTATTATTCACATTTAATGCATACAAAGAAACTCCAGCAATCATCTTCCTATGGATTTTTCTTTCTCCCTTTTCCCTCTTGGCCACGCTTGTCAACTTCATCCTACTCATGAGATTTCTCCCTACAGCAAATTCAAAAAGATGAAAAAAAAACCTACTAAAAAATCATCGTTGGTTCTCCATTACTCACAAAAGTCCAAATGCCTGTCATCCAGGCCTCTTTAGCCTTCTTCTTCCCTTAATTGCCTACATGGATGTAGCACAAGTGGGGCTGCTTCCACAACACTCTCCCAGGATCTTTGCCTCTAAGTATGGACTCTGGTGACTTATTCTATCCACTGAGAATGATCTTCACTCATCTGCCTGAGATATCTTATTTATCTGTATCAGAAATAAAAATGTTTTTTAAAAAAAAAACTACAGAAGCAAAGTGACTGTAGCTACTCCTGCTTTGAATGATGGTGTGGGGATGACAAGATGTGAGATGTAGCATTGGCAACATTCATATTTGAAGAAGACAGTCCTATCAAAGCATTTGAGCTCAGATTAGGAAAACCCTGTTATTTCAATATTTTGTGCTGCTGAAGTATGCAGTCCTAAAACAGAAATTTCATGGTTTAGTATAGTCATAAATTACTTAATGGCGAGAATATGTTCTGAGAAATACATTGTTAGGTGATTTCATCATTGTGTAAATATCATAGAGTGTACTTATACAGACCTAGAGGGGAGAGCCCGCTACGCATCTAGACTGCATGGCATAGCCCATTGCTCCTAGGCTGCACACCTGCACAGCATGTTGTACTGAATACTGTAGGCAACTGTAACACAATGGTAAGCATAGATGCATCTAAACATAGAAAAGGTACAGTACACATATGGTATAAAATATAAAACTGATACACCTGTATAGTGCAGGTATATCTAAGTCAGCTTAGAATTGAATTTTGGGTAAGGTCTGCAGTGAATTGTTCTACAAGGCCTGGGAGCCTTTTGTTGTTTTTTGAGAGGCAGCCAAGGTGCAGTGGAGAGGAGAGCTTTGTAAGATCAGCAAGGACTTAAGTGGAGAGACTGTCTAGAGAAAGGCCCATTAGGGAATGTGGCTGAAAGACTGTTCATGACAGAGCTGTCTAATATTTCCTGTCACATTATCTGCAGTGTGGTATGTACAGTCAGCCTCTCCACCTTCCCAACGTTTTAGTAAAATTTATCCAACTCCCAGCCTACTGTGTGTGTAACTTCAGAAGAGAGAAGGAAGAGGCAGGGGCTGGCCAGTAGGGCAACATGGTGTGGAAGGGGAGAGCATGTCCTAGGCAGAGCTGCTCAAGGGACAGCAAGAATGCAGCAGTGGTTGGGACCCCTGTGAATCCCCGGAGTCAACAGAAATGATGGTGGGTTCCCTTTACATATATAATGGGCATAAACCAGTTTGAGTTAAATCTTAAAAACGCATGATAGTCCTGGAAAACTAAAGGACATGGATCATAAGCAAGAAGGTCATATGTGGGCAAAATATCCACTCCCAAAACTCCAACTGAGAGATCACATTTCCTACAAAGTAAAAAAAAAATTAAGGGATGATGGAAGGAAACAAGAGGAGGGCATGGAAGGAACTGCACAGCTGCAACGAGAAGAGGTGGCGGCTAACAGACACAGTATTTCGTGCGATGACTCTGTCAGCATAGCCTGATGAAGCAATGGTGCACTGCCTGCAGCAGCTCCCTTCATAATCCCTGCACTGGGTTTCCTTCCCATCGCTCCCCTATCCCCACCCATGTCACAAAATCCCCAGGCGTAGCAGTCCTTGTTGTCAAGGAGAGGTTTTGGGCCTGGCACA
This sequence comes from Homo sapiens, assembly GCF_000001405.40. Classification (NCBI taxonomy): domain Eukaryota; kingdom Metazoa; phylum Chordata; class Mammalia; order Primates; family Hominidae; genus Homo; species Homo sapiens. The sequence continues at coordinate 33,996,649 of NC_000013.11, read as the reverse complement.
GTGGCCGATGCCTTAATCCCAATGTTTCGGGAAGCCGAGGCAGGATGATCACTTGAGCCCAGGAATTAGAGACCAGCCTGGGCAACATAGTGAGATCCCACCTCTACAAATAATAAGATAATTAGCTAGGGGTAGTAGTGCATGCCTGTAGTCCCAGCTACTCAGGAGGCTGAGATGGGAGGATCATTTGAGCCCAGGAGTTTGAGGCTGCAGTGGGCTATGGTCGAGCTACACTGCACTCCAGACTGGGCAACAGAGTGAGACTGTGTCTCTAAAATTATAATAACAATAATAAAAATAACAATAATATGGAGAAGTATGGGAAGAAGGAGGGGTTCCAGAGCTGTAAAAAGTTTCATGTTGAGGTTGCCCAAATGTATTTTCTCAATGTTCTGCTATTTCAAGAAATGCTCAAAAATTCTCGGATGTTTGCTAAAAGAGAACTTTTGAACTATTGGGCTTCACAATAATGATATTCCATCCATATTTTCCTTCATATAAAGTTGATATTAAATATGTATTTAGGGACAGGTGGCTCCAAGGTCTTAGTTGTGATTACCCTGTGAAGAGTATAATTTTTCTAATCAAAACTGACATTTCAACTTATAATTGGAATCCTTCTAAATTTTCATATAGTTTCCCTAAGTATTTCTCCATTAAGTTGTTATAGACTATACATTCAATCGGAAATTTCTCTTGACCATGTCTATGCATTTATCATTTAAAGTAATATGAGTCTAGAAGCCTAGGATCATAGAGTTCAAAGGGCCCATAGAGATTATCTAGTTGACACCTTTCATTCTATATATGAGGAAATCAAGGCCCCAGAGGCAGGGAATTAAATTTTACTCTTCTCACTATATTATCATCTTTGGGCTTAACTAAAAATAATAACCTCTCAAATAGAACCTATAAATTCAAAACCACTCAGTATTTGACACAGTGGTAATTCATGAGGATGATGACAATTTTATTTTTAGCCCCATTCTTCACCCCTCCTTATGGTCACACACTTTGACATGTGACTTTTCAGTTCCTCTCAGGAAAAGGATGGAGAATATTTCCCTGATCCTTCAAGTTTAACTTTAAGTTTAGCCAAGTGATTTATGCTGTTCAATAAACTGAGGTGGAAGAGACAGTGAGGGAGCCATATGCAAACCCAGACCTTCCAAAGTCTGTGGGTTTCGGCTTGCTGTCTGGGGCCATGCCCATCACAATGAGAAGAACATTTCTCTTCTAAATCATTGATCCAAGGAAGATGAGAGGCACATGAAGCATGGCTTTCCCATGCAGCCCACAGATGTGCAGTGAGAAGCTGAGCTGCCCAGCAACTTGGGCTTAAAGTAAAACCACCCAGCCAAGCCCAGCCATCCTGCTGATATATAAACAGTCATAAATGACGGTGGGTTTAAGCCAGTGAATTTGAGTATACTTTGTTGTGAGCAATAGCAAGCCATACAATGATGAATCATTCATAACCTCCAAATCTATTTTGAAATTATTGTTAACAGCTTTTAATTGCAACATGGCTTATTTTCATTCCATGTTATATACATTCTGGGATGAATTTTACCCAAAATCAGTTAAAGTGCTGCACTGAGTCATTCCTGTGCTCAAAAACAAATGCTTCAGATGCTTCCGAGTGCCTGAAAAACAAGTTTGAGTTCCTCAGTCTTGCTTTGAGCCTTTGCAGATTAGCTCTCACTGTCTCCTACAGGTTTCCTGCCTTCAGCTGGACCTCCCTGGTGTGTACGTGTATATAAAGTATGGATTTTGGAGTTATGAGTATGAATTAAAATATTGGGTGTCCTCACTTTCTTGTCATTTAATTTTGGGCAAATTCCTTCACCCCAGCCCCAAGTCTCATTTTACCTGCAACGCGGAGCCAATTACACCTCTATCGTTCAGTTACTACGAAGATCCACCTAGGTGGCATATGGAAAAAACCTGCCTTAGAGCTTAGCTTTAGGCAGGAATGAGGGTAGGGAGAGAAGAGAGAGCAGCTATTTCCCTTTTTCCTTTCTTCCTGTCTCCACTCTTGGAGGGTAATACCCTAAATCCCTACTCTCTACCTAGGAGAGCATCAGTAGTAAAACTCGCAGCCTCTCTGATGCCCACATTCCTCACAGAGGAAAGGGCAATGGTGAATGTTGCTAGAATTTGGCATCCATTGAACCATTTTTTTGGTGGTCATGGTGATGGTGCCTACAGCCAGACCAGGTGCACGTTTCCTTTTTCACTCTCAGTACTCTGTCAAACACGAGCCTGTTATTGAGAGGTAACTACCTCACTTCACTTCCTGCCCCTAAATGAATATGTAAGACTTTTTGAGGTCCTCCTTCCTCCAGCTGAGTGGACACAGAAGTTTTCAGTCCATTTTGCAGGCCCAGTAGGATTCAGAGTAGAAGGTAAGAAGCTTATTTCAGCCTTGACTCTAAGACATGGTGTCCAGTCCAACTCTCTATTCCATTCAACTACTTTCTTTTGTGTACGATCCACTGGTGGGCACTCAGAGGAGAAGAGGGCTTCCTTTTCCCTCTTCTTTGCATCTCTCTAAATTCAGCCTGTTCAAAATCTAGCTGCAATTGTGGTCTCTGATTCTTTGCCTTGAAACTGCAATAAGCCTAATCTCTGTATAATTCATGTGGCTTTTGTGTAATTAGCCACGTTTTCACGTTGACATATTATCTCCTCTTTCAGTTGATTCAGTTGATTCTATATGTACCTTTATCAAGGCTAACATAGCACCTGTCACAGGTAAATGTCCACAAAATATTTAACTTATTTATGAATAATCTTTTCTTGTGAATTCATGCCTATTGTCCTATCCAAGAACAGACTATACAGATGAACTTGTAAGTGACCCTTGGCTTTGACCAGTAATGTTGGTTTGTTGTTTTAACTAATATTAGAATTAAAATCGCTCACCTATTGCACAATGGCCTGTGTTTGCTGCTACCTGTCCACCTTTCTTGCTTCTCTTCTCCATTCCTGTTGCCCTGCCTTCCCTACCTCCCACCATCACCATATAGACAGTACATCTCCAGATCCTGAACTAACATAGTTCTCTGATCACACCTCTTTTTTCCCATCTTCCTTAATCTGTCTTTAAGGCAATTTCCCTTAACTGTTGATTTATTTAATTTCGTGGGGCCTATGAATTGACCCTCCAAGCTCTGGTTATTTATTTCTTCTGCTATACTTTCCTTAAGTAGAAAACAAGTAAACCTCTGATTTTTGTTTGTTTGTTTACAAAGCAACTAAAATTTTGCTAGCTACTAAAATTTAGTAGCAACTTTTCAGTAGACAAAACAGTCTATAGACTGTTGGGTATGTCTATAGACAATCTCTGTAGACTGGCTAGCTGCTGAATGCAACGCTAGGTAAATATTGACCAGGTTGGATTGCATAGGGTTAACATAAGCAGTGGTTCTTTTGCAAAGAAAGACAGGGAAATTGGAACACTAAACTTTAGCAGTTGCCAAATGAAGGGCCTCAGGAATCTGAAATGCCCTCTCCCTGACTCTGTCAAGAGGCTCATACTGTTACAAGCACCAAAAAATAAAAATTTCTGTCAAATGTGACGTTTGATCTTGTAGACTAGCTTGTGCCTGACCTGCAGTGGTCAGTGGAGCATGACATTGTAAATGGAGGACAGCAAGAGAGACTGTGTACCCAAAACCTGAAGCAAAGCCTGTGTTTGGAAAATACAGGATGGAAAAAATATATCACCATGGCAACAAATTACTTTTATATTCACATAAAGCAAAAATAGATCTCTCTCTCTCTCTCTCTCTCTCTCTCTGTTTCTCTTTCTTCCTCTTTGAGAAGCACATATTTTAACGTGCATGGAAGATTAAAGGTGATATGCAGAAACAGCTGCACGAATATATTTTCATTTTTCTTTAGTTTATACTAATGTTGGTATCAATCTGAAAGACAGAATTTTGATCTGAAAGTATCTCAGTTTCAGAGAGCAGGAGCAGCTTAGAGGAGAAATGTATAATTTAGTCAAAAGCTCTATTTTGTCTTAATATAATGATGGCAGAATTGAGCTTATCAAAACAAAATGTTCCTGGCATCAGTCACCAGGAAAAATAATATTCCTTCATGTATTTTTTCTTTCTATTTGAAAAGCCCCAAAATGTTTTGCCCCTCCTTTTAGCTAACAAAGAAGAATTCTTCAGCTTAAATTACATGAAGGTAAATGATATTTTCAGGAGTTATTAGATCAGGTTCTTCTTTTTCTTTAAATTCCCAGGACTTGTTGCACAGCATGGTGACTGCTATGGAACATTGGTATGGAGTTTCAGGAGAAATAAGGGTGATAGGATCCAGCTCCCCCCAGCAGAGTTCTTGGATGTCAAGTCCTGATAAATCCCCGCCGCCTCCTGGGTCCAAGCTCGGGTACCACTAACTTGTCCCAAGAGAGTGGGGAGTGAGACCTGTAAGTCAACTAATATAAGGTAGATGTTTTTGATGATACATTTTATCACATTTTATTTCTCTTAAAACATTATTTTCAACACTTAACAATAATCCTTATTTCCTTTGTGAAATCTAAGGAAGATATCTCATAAGTTTCTTCCCAAAGCCAGCAAACTATTTGATCAACCCTGTGAAACTGTCACTTCTTGTAAAACAAAAATGGCCCAATATTAGCAGTTGCATAAGGTTTTAACTTAGTAGGTATCATATCCACTATAATGGTCATGGGACTACCCCCCAAATCACTGAAGTTATTGATGATTCACTTCAAATTCATCACCATCTACTTTTTGCTTTCATAAATGAGAGGTGAAAAGCCTTCACGTTTAGCGATCAGTTGTGTTTCTACCCATCTTACTAGGTACAGCCAAATCTAAACTCATTATCACCACTCACAACCTAGCAAGCTTACTTCTCCTGGAATGTCTGTTTCAGCAATTGGCACTCTTACAGAAAAACCTGGGAGCAATCCTCAATTTCTCTCTCTCTTTCCTTCAGCGCTCAGCACTTACAGTCACTGAGTTTCATCAACTGCAACCTTCCTTTCTCAGCCTCAATGATACTGACTGCTGCTATAATTCAGGACTTTATCACACCTGCATTAGTGCGCTAGTCACACAAATAGTCTCCACATTTGCATCTCTTCATACACAAATTCAAATTCCACTGCTGCCAGAGTAACTTTGCAAATATTACAAATCTAAATAACCCTTTCCTCATCAGAAATTTCATGTTTCCCTATCGCCTAAGGATAAACTCTCAATAGCTAATTGTACCCACCTGGGAGCACCATGCACTTTTATTGTTGGCTTCATTTGCTTATCCTGGCTACCAACCCTGGAATAGCTTACCTCACCCTATTCCATCTTGCCCAGCTTGGAAATCCCTAATCATCATTTAGGACCAAACCCAGGGGCCATGAAAACTTTTGGCGGGGAGAAGAATGAGCTTATTTCATTTGTTTATAGTTTATTTCTATTTCTTCGGCCTACTTATAATCTTCATTTATTTATAGTAAGTTTTTGGACATCTTCTTATTTATTTACAACAGCTTATTAGATATATTTTGTGAATGTGTTTTTCAATTTTATTTACATTCAGATATCTATAGAATATACTTGCATATATAGTATGGCTTAGGGATCAAACTATTTTTTTCCCAAATAGAGTTACTTGTCCTGAAGCCATCTTTTCTTTATGGTTCTGATAAAAGTTTTATAGAAATCTCTAATATTTTTCATTGATTTCCTCTGTCTACATAAATCAAACTATACCAATAATGCTTTAAAATGTTTTTTAGTATTTGATAAAACAAATTCTTACTACTTGCTCTTAACTACCTAAATTTCCTTCATTATTTTCCTGCATCTTCTCTTCTAAGTAAACTTTAGAATCAGTTTATCAAATTTCATTTGGGTTTTAATTAGAATTGCTCTCTATGTATAGAGTAATTTGTTTTTGTTTTTTAATTTATTATTATTATACTTTAAGTTTTAGGGTACATGTGCACAATGTGCAGGTTAGTTACATATGTATACATGTGCCATGCTGGTGTGCTGCACCCCCTAACTCGTCATCTAGCATTAGGTATATCTCCCAATGCTATCCCTCCCCCCTCCCCCCACCCCACAACAGGCCCCAGAGTGTGATGTTCCCCTTCCTGTGTCCATGTGTTCTCATTGTTCAATTCCCACCTATGAGTGAGAATTGCGGTGTCTGGTTTTTTGTTCTTGCGATAGTTTACTGAGAATGATGATTTCCAATTTCATCCATGTCCCTACAAAGGACATGAACTCATCATTTTTTATGGCTGCATAGTATTCCATGGTGTATATGTGCCACATTTTCTTAATCCAGTCTATCATTGTTGGACATTTGGGTTGGTTCCAAGTCTTTGCCATTGTGAATAATGCTGCAATAAACATACATGTGCATGTGTCTTTATAGCAGCACGATTTATAGTCCTTTGGGTATATACCCACTAATGGGATGGCTGGGTCAAATGGTATTTCTAGTTCTAGATCCCTGAAGAATCGCCACACTGACTTCCACAATGGTTGAACTAGTTTACAGTCCCACCAACAGTGTAAAAGTGTTCCTATTTCTCCACATCCTCTCCAGCACCTGTTGTTTCCTGACTTTTTAATGATTGCCATTCTAACAGGTGTGAGATGGTATCTCATTGTGGTTTTGATTTGCATTTCTCTGATGGCCAGTGATGGTGAGCATTTTTTCATGTGTTTTTTGGCTGCATAAATGTCTTCTTTTGAGAAGTATCTGTTCATGTCCTTTGCCCACTTTTTGATGGGGTTGTTTGTTTTTTTCTTGTAAATTTGTTTGAGTTCATTGTAGATTCTGGATATTAGCCCTTTGTCAGATGAGTAGGTTGCAAAAATTTTCTCCCATTTTGTAGGTTGCCTGTTCACTCTGATGGTAGTTTCTTTTGCTGTGCAGAAGCTCTTTAGTTTAATGAGATCCCATTTGCCAATTTGGCTTTTGTTGCCATTGCTTTTGGTGTTTTAGACATGAAGTCCTTGCCCATGCCTATGTCCTAAATGGTAATGCCTAGGTTTTCTTCTAGGGTTTTTATGGTTTTAGGTCTAACATTTAAGTCTTTAATCCATCTTGAATTAATTTTTGTATAAGGTGTAAGGAAGGGATCCAGTTTCAGCTTTCTACATATGGCCAGCCAGGTTTCCCAGCACCATTTATTAAATAGGGAATCCTTTCCCCATTGCTTGTTTTTCTCAGGTTTGTCAAAGATCAGATAGTTGTAGATATGCGGCGTTATTTCTGAGGGCTCTTTTCTGTTCCATTGATCTATATCTCTGTTTTGGTACCAGTACCATGCTGTTGTGGTTACTGTAGCCTTGCAGTATAGTTTGAAGTCAGGTAGCATGATGCCTCCAGCTTTGTTCTTTTGGCTTAGGATTGACTTGGCAATGCAGGCTCTTTTTTGGTTCCATATGAACTTTAAAGTAGTTTTTTCCAATTCTGTGAAGAAAGTCATTGGTAGCTTGATGGGGATGGCATTGAATCTGTAAATTACCTTGGGCAGTATGGCCATTTTCACGATATTGATTCTTCCTACCCATGAGCATGGAATGCTCTTCCATTTGTTTGTATCCTCTTTTATTTCTTTGAGCAGTGGTTTGTAGTTCTCCTTGAAGAGGTCCTTCACATCCTTTGTAAGTTGGATTCCTAGGTATTTTATTCTCTTTGAAGCAATTGTGAATGGGAGTTCACTCATGATTTGGCTCTCTGTTTGTCTGTTCTTGGTGTATAAGAATGCTTGTGATTTTTGTACATTGATTTTGTATCCTGAGACTTTGCTGAAGTTGCTTATCAGCTTAAGGAGATTTTGGGCTGAGACAATGGGGTTTTCTAGATATACAATCATGTCATCTGCAAACAGGGACAATTTGACTTCCTCTTTTCCTATTTGAATACCCTTTATTTCCTTCTCCTGCCTAATTGCCCTGGCCAGAACTTCCAACACTATGTTGAATAGGAGTGGTGAGAGAGGGCATCCCTGTCTTGTGCCCCTTTTTCAAAGGGAATGCTTCCAGTTTTTGCCCATTCAGTATGATATTGGCTATGGGTTTGTCATAGATAGCTCTTATTATTTTGAGATACGTCCCATCAATACCTAATTTATTGAGAGTTTTTAGCACGAAGGGTTGTTGAATTTTGTCAAAGGCCTTTTCTTCATCTATTGAGATAATCATGTGGTTTTTGTCTTTGGTTCTGTTTATATGCTGGATTACATTTATTGATTTGCGTATATTGAACCAGCCTTGCATCCCAGGGATGAAGCCCACTTGATCATGGTGGATAAGCTTTTTGATGTGCTGCTGGATTCGGTTTGCCGGTATTTTATTGAGGATTTTTGCATCAATGTTCATCAAGGATATTGGTCTAAAATTCTCTTTTTTGGTTGTGTCTCTGTCCGGCTTTGGTATCAGGATGATGCTGGCCTCATAAAATGAGTTAGGGAGGATTCCCTCTTTTTCTATTGATTGGAATAGTTTCAGAAGGAATGGTACCAGTTCCTCCTTGTACCTCTGGTAGAATTCGGCTGTGAATCCATCTGGTCCTGGACTCTTTTTGGTTGGTAAGCTATTGATTATTGCCACAATTTCAGCTCCTGTTATTGGTCTATTCAGAGATTCAACATCTTCCTGGTTTAGTCTTGGGAGAGTGTATGTGTCGAGGAATTTATCCATTTCTTCTAGATTTTCTAGTTTATTTGCATAGAGGTGTTTGCAGTATTCTCTGATGGTAGTTTGTATTTCTGTGGGATCGGTGGTGATATCCCCTTTATCATTTTTTATTGCGTCTATTTGATTCTTCTCTCTTTTTTTCTTTATTAGTCTTGCTAGCGGTCTATCAATTTTGTTGATCCTTTCAAAAAACCAGCTCCTGGATTCATTAATTTTTTGAAGGGTTTTTTGTGTCTCTATTTCCTTCAGTTCTGCTCTGATTTTAGTTATTTCTTGCCTTCTGCTAGCTTTTGAATGTGTTTCCTCTTGCTTTTCTAGTTCTTTTAATTGTGATATTAGGGTGTCAATTTTGGATCTTTCCTGCTTTCTCTTGTGGGCATTTAGTGCTATAAATTTCCCTCTACACACTGCTTTGAATGTGTCCCAGAGATTCTGGTATGTTGTGTCTTTGTTCTCCTTGGTTTCAAAGAACATCTTTATTTCTGCCTTCATTTCGTTATGTACCCAGTAGTCATTCAGGAGCAGGTTGTTCAGTTTCCATGTAGTTGAGTGGTTTTGAGTGAGATTTTTAATCCTGAGTTCTAGTTTGATTGCACTGTGGTCTGAGAGATAGTTTGTTATAATTTCTGTTCTTTTACTTTTGCTGAGGAGAGCTTTACTTCTAAGTATGTGGTCAATTTTGGAATAGGTGTGGTGTGGTGCTGAAAAAAATGTATATTCTGTTGATTTGGGGTGGAGAGTTCTGTAGATGTCTATTAGGTCCGCTTGGTGCAGAGCTGAGTTCAATTCCTGGGTATCCTTGTTGACTTTCTGTCTCGTTGATCTGTCTAATGTTGACAGTGGGGTGTTAAAGTCTCCCATTATTAATGTGTGGGAGTCTAAGTCCCTTTGTAGGTCACTCAAGACTTGCTTTATGAATCTGGGTGCTCCTGTATTGGGTGCATATATATTTAGGATAGTTAGCTCTTCTTGTTGAATTGATCCCTTTACCACTATGTAATGGCCTTCTTTGTCTCTTTTGATCTTTGTTGGTTTAAAGTCTGTTTTATCAGAGACTAGGATTGCAACCCCTGCCTTTTTTTGTTTTCCATTGGCTTGGTAGATCTTCCTCCATCCTTTTATTCTGAGCCTATGTGTGTCTCTGCATGTGAGATGGGTTTCCTGAATATAGCACACTGATGGGTCTTGACTCTTTATCCAATTTGCCAGTCTGTGTCTTTTAATTGGTGCATTTAGTCCATTTACATTTAAAGTTAATATTGTTATATGTGAATTTGATCCTGTCATTATGATGTTAGCTGGTTATTTTGCTCGTTAGTTCATGCAGTTTCTTCCTAGTCTCGATGGTCTTTATATTTTGGCATGATTTTGCAGCGGCTGGTACCGGTTGTTCCTTTCCATGTTTAGCACTTCCTTCAGGAGCTCTTTTAGGGCAGGCCTGGTGGTGACAAAATCTCTCAGCATTTGCTTGTCTGTAAAGTATTTTATTTCTCCTTCGCTTATGAAGCTTAGTTTGGCTGGATATGAAATTCTGGGTTGAAAATTTTTCTCTTTAAGAATGTTGAATGTTGGCCCCCACTCTCTTCTGGCTTGTAGAGTTTCTGCTGAGAGATCCGCTGTTAGTCTGATGGGCTTCCCTTTGAGGGTAACCCGACCTTTCTCTCTGGCTGCCCTTAACATTTTTTCCTTCATTTCCACTTTGGTGAATCTGACAATTATGTGTCTTGGAGTTGCTCTTCTCTAGGAGTATCTTTGTGGCCTTCTCTGTATTTCCTGAATCTGAATGTTGGCCTGCCTTGCTAGATTGGGGAAGTTCTCCTGGATAATATCCTGCAGAGTGTTTTCTAACTTGGTTCCATTCTCCTCGTCACTTTCAGGTACACCAATCAGACATAGATTTGGTCTTTTCACATAGTCCCATATTTCTTGGAGGCTTTGCTCGTTTCTTTTTATTCTTTTTTCTCTAAACTTCCCTTCTCGCTTCATTTCATTCATTTCATCCTCCATCGCTGATACCCTTTCTTCCAGTTGATCGCATCAGCTCCTGAGGCTTCTGCATTCTTCACGTAGTTCTCGAGCCTTGGTTTTCAGCTCCATCAGCTCCCTTAAGCACTTCTCTGTATTGGTTATTCTAGTTATACATTCTTCTAAATTTTTTTCAAAGTTTTCAAATTCTTTGCCTTTGGTTTGAATGTCCTCCCGTAGCTCGGAGTAATTTGATCATCTGAAGCCTTCTTCTCTCAGCTCGTCAAAGTCATTCTCCATCCAGCTTTGTTCCGTTGCTGGTGAGGAACTGCGTTCCTTTGGAGGAGGAGAGGCGCTCTGCTTTTTAGAGTTTCCAGTTTTTCTGCTCTGTTTTTTCCCCATCTTTGTGGTTTTATCTACTTTTGGTCTTTGATGATGGTGATGTACAGACGGGTTTTTGGTGTGGATGTCCTTTCTGTTTGTTAGTTTTCCTTCTAACAGACAGGACCCTCAGCTGCAGGTCTGTTGGAGCACGCAGCCATGTGAGGTGTCAGTCTGCCCCTGCTGGGGGGTGTCTCCCAGTTAGGCTGCTCGGGGGTCAGGGGTCAGGGACCCACTTGAGGAAGCAGTCTGCCCATTTTCAGATCTCCAGCTGCATGCTGGGAGAACCACTGCTCTCTTCAAAGCTGTCAGACAGGGACATTTAAGTCTGCAGAGGTTACTGCTGTCTTTTTGTTTGTCTGTGCCCTGCCCCCAGAGGTGGAGCCTACAGAGGCAGGCAGGCCTCCTTGAGCTGTGGTGGGCTCCATCCAGTTCGAGCTGCTTTGTTTACCTAAGCAAGCCTGGCCAATGGCGGGCGCCCCTCCCCCAGCCTCACTGCCGCCTTGCAGTTTGATCTCAGACCGCTGTGCTAGCAATCAGTGAGACTCCTTGGGCGTAGGACCCTCTGAGCCAGGTGCGGGATATAATCTCCTGGTGTGCCATGTTTTAAGCCCGTCAGAAAAGCGCAGTATTCGGGTGGGAGTGACCCGGTTTTCCAGGTGCCGTCTGTCACCCCTTTCTTTGACTAGGAAAGGGAACTCCCTGACCCCTTGCACTTCCCGAGTGAGGGAATGCCTCGCCCTGCTTCGGCTCGTGCACGGTGCGTGCACCCACTAACCTGCGCCCACTGTCTGACACTCCCTAGTGAGATGAACCCGGTACCTCAGATGGAAATGCAGAAATCACCCATCTTCTGCGTTGCTCACGCTGGGAGCTGTAGACCACAGCTGTTCCTATTTGGCCATCTTGGCTCCTCTCTGTAATTTGTTGAAAGACAATTATTTCCCCCAGTCAATTTCCTTTAGAAAAGTTAACTGACCATAAATATGTCAGTTCATTTCTGTAGACTGTTATCACTCTGCCTTGATAACTGTGGCTTTATACCAAGTCTTGCAACCTGATAGCATAAAAGCTGCAATTTCATACTTGTTTCTCAAGAATGCTCTGACTTTTCTAGCTCACTTGCATTTTTATATACATTTTAGAATCAGCTTTTTAATCATTCAAAACGCCCTATTAAATTTTGATTGGGATTGTATTGAATTGTTCAACTAATTTGAAGAGAATTGATATTTTGACAAAATTGAGTCTTTCAACCCACAAGTATGTTTCCATTTATTTCAGTCTTCTTAAATGGTTCTTAGTAATGTTTTGTAGTTTTCAGTGTAGAAATCTTGCAGTTGTTAAATTTATTGATTTTTTTCCTCACAACCCTAAATTTTTAATGCTATTATACATCATGTTTTTAAATTTCATTTATATTTTTATGTGAATAGTTTATAGAAATTCAATTGATATATTCATATGATACAATTTGTCTTCTGTGATCTTGCTGTATTCACTTATTAGTCTTAATATTTCTGTTGCAGATCTCTCAGGATTTTCTAGCAATACAACCATGTGATCTCTGAATAAAGACAGTGTGTGTGTGTATACTGCATATATATGACATATATACATTTATATACTGCATAATGAATTTATACAATGATAAATAATGTAATAATACAATTCATTTTTCTATTTATTTATTCTATTTCTTACTTCATTAGCAAGGACCTCCAGGGCAATTTTGAATAGAAGTGATGAGAATGAAACCCTGTCTAGTTCCTGATTTTAGGGTAAAAGTGTAAACTATTTCACCATTATATATAGTTGTGGCTGTATGATTTCTGTAGACATACTTTATGAGACAGAGGATCTTTCATTCTATTATTGATTTTCTGGAAGTTTTTTTTCTTCTACCATGAATGGGAATTGAATGTTTTCATGTTTTTTTCTATACCACTTGAGATAATAATATAATGATTTCCTTTATCAGTTGTTCAATGAACTATGTTGATTGGTTCTTGAATACTAAACATATTTTGCTTCCTGAGATAAACTTCACTTTCAATACTGTATTCTAGGTGTTTAAAAAATATTTTATTCATTATATTTATTATTAAATATTTTAGACATCATATTATAGATTTTAATATTCAATGGTTACTTTAAATATAGTTCAATTTATTAAATTTAATGTGCTGGTTATTAAACCTTTTAAATTGATTATACATCCAAATAGTATGGAATATTTATTAAATATTCTATTTTTATTTTTATTCAAAATACTTTTAAAAATATTTTCCAGGATGTGATTGTTTATATTGCTAAGGATTTTTGCATCTGTATTAATGAGACACATTTGTCTCTCTTTTAAAAATGTCTTTGGTAGTCTTCTAGACAAATAAGAAAATGTTGTTCCTGCCTCTTTAATAATCAGCAGAGTCTGTGGAAGACTGGCATTGTTTCTTTCTTGAATGTTCCTTCGAATTTACCATTAATGCCATCCTTTAAGGAAAATTTCAATGTCTTTAACGGATATGGGGGTATCCAGACTTTCCATTTATTTTTGTATCCATTTCATGGGATTTGGTAAATTGCTTTTAAAGGAACTTGTCAGTTTCGTTTGAGTTATCTAATTTATTGCCATAAAGTAGTTCATAATATTTTGTTATTATCACTTTAATATCTAGGGGATCCCTGGTGAAGTCCTCTATTTCATTTCTATACTGGTAATTGTGTCTTCTCTCTTAGTTTTTTCTTTGATTAATTTTGCTAGGGGTTTATCATTGTTATTAATGTTTGCTAAACCTACTTTTGTTCTTGTAGATTTTGACTTTTGTTTGCTTGTCTTCTCCACTTTTAAAGTGTATTAAATTTGGACCAATAGACAATGATATATTTCTCTATTTAGATATTCTTTAATTTATCTCAATAATGTTTCATAATTTTCTGTGTAGAGATCTTGTGGCCATTAAATTTATTTTTGTATTAGTTTTTGTTATTATATATGGTATCTTTTTTACAATTAAAACTTATTCCTGATGAATTACAGAAATACAAATAATTTGATATTATCAACATATCTAAAGTGATGCTGGGAAACTCACTTTTAAATTCTCAGTTTATCTGTAGAATTTTTGGGTTTTCTACAGGCACAATTTTGTGATTTGTGAGTAATAACCTTTATTTCTTTGTTGACAACCCTTATACATTTAATATCTTTGCTTGCCTTACTGTTTATATTAGAATTTCTAATAAAATACTGAAATAAATGATGTTAGTAAACATGTTTGCCTCATATCAATCTCAAATGGAAAGTATTTACTATTGCACCATTATCTATGATGTTTACTAAAGGTTTTGAGCAGATATTTGTTTTCAAATTGAAGAAATCCCCTTTCCCTCCTAATTTGTCAGAGGAGTTATTTTTGAATAAAAACTTGGAGAAATTAAAAACTTGAATAAAACTTGAGAAGGAGGGAAACTTATGCAAGTGTGGAGAAAGGGCGTCATGTGAGAGAAAACAGTCCATGCAGGCCCTGGGATGGGAGTACACCTGAAATGTTTGAGGAACAGCAAGAAAACCATGGTTGCTGGAGACAGCTGGGAATCAAGAGGGGGCAGGAGAACATCATGGAAAAAGGATGGGGATTGGGAAGGACAAGATATGACTTTTGTATTAATACAAGCATTGAGATTTCTCTGTTGCTAATAGGAGTCGAAGATAGAAGGAGGGAGGCAGAAAACCTGAAATCATTCAATACCTCTATTTATAATACTGAAACAGTCAACATTGCAGAAATGTCCCCAAATTAATCCATAGATTCATTGTAATACTAATAAACATCCCAGCAAGGTTTGAGGGTAGAAATTATAATCTTATTCTAAAATGAATATGAAATTTGAAGACTAGCCAAAATAATCATGAAGAAGACCCATGTGGAAGCACCTCCATTGCCAGAAATCCTTAAAGCAAGGAAATACAGCACAGTGATGATGCAAGGATGAAAATATGAAACAATAAGCCAGAAGAAAATGGCCAGAAATAGACCCACATATACAGACATTTGGTTTGTTACAAGAATGCCTCTGCAAGGCTGTAGCAAAACAACGGTCCTTCCAATAACTGGTGTTGAGCCAGGTAGGTATCTGTGTAGGAACCTACTTCATACCATTCCCCAAAGCAATTTTTGATGAATTGAAGTCAAATTAAGAATGACAGCCGGGCGTGGTGGCGCATGCCTGTAATCCCAGCTACTCGGGAGGCTGAGCAGGTAAATCACTTGAACCCAGGAGGTGGAGGTTGCAGTGAGCCGAGATCGTACCATTGTACTCCAGCATGGGCAACAAGAGCAAAACTCCCATCTCAAAAAAAAAAAAAAAAAAAAAAAAAAAGGCAAAATCATAAGACTTTTGCAAGGCTACATAAGATAATATCTTTATGACCTTGGGATATGCCAGGGTTTTTTAAAACGGGACAAAAAGCATTAACTATAAAGGTAGAAATTGCCTTTAAATAAGTCATTAAAATAAGAACTTTTGTTCATCATAAGACACCCTCAAAGACTGAAGCCTATATATATGTATATATAGATATATATAGAGAGACAGAGAGAGAAAATATATATAGTGTATGTATATATCTCCATACAAATGTATATATAATATATATACTTCCATATGTGTGTATATATATACTCTTTAGTCTTTTATATATACATACATATATATATATATATGTATATATCTCCTAGTACCATTTACTCTTCTAAGTGTTGATAACTGATTTGATTTGTATCTTTTCATTGACTTTTTTTCTTCATAGGCTATGGTGTTCAAGGTAGCCTTTTGTTTACAGTAATAATTATCATAATAAATGTGACACTTCTAGTAACATACGAAGCATTCTATTTCATATACTTTTGGATATATTTTTGGATGAGTATACTAAATATGTTCTTTTTACAGCCCTTCATTTCTCAGTACATTATTAACAATTATTAATACTGGCCTATATTCAACCTCAATAGCTTAAATAACTGAAAAATCAGTTTTAAATGGCACCTTCAACTCTTGAGGTTTTCTTCAGCCAGTCACTCCTTCTCATAGTCTTTTTTGCTTCTGTCAATCACGAGCAGCACATAGTCTGGTAGGAAGACCACAATGGTCATGCCAATAAAAAATGACCATTAAAATTAAAGGCTTCTGACTTTTTAAAAAATCATCTCTTTCTCTCCCTGCTTTTGACCTCTTCCTGTCCATCATTACTCCTAAATGGCTGCTGCTTATTGGTTTCTTCTGAGCATAGCTTTGATAAATGGGACAAAATCATCTTTTTCTCTTGCCTCAACTTCCACAATTTGATTAAAATTCTGAAGATTGAATAGGGAATTTTATGAATGACCATCTATCATATACAAGATAACCTTGCTATTAGTAGCAGCGTGAATTCATTTGTTTCCTTTCATTATTATTGCTTGGCTGACTAAATAAAAGCTCTTTGGTTACAAATTGTTCCCTATAGAAAAAAGAAAATCAGGACTTGTTGAAGTAGATAAACTGAGATGATAAATTGTATAGCATGTGATGTGCTTCTCTTTAAAAAATAATAATAATGTGCCTATTTGTGTCATTCAGTCAGCAAAGATTTTTAAATGTTGGCTACGTATCAGGCAACTGAATTATGTGTTGGGAATATAAAGTAAAATAAGACACATTCCTGACCTCAAGGAACTTAGAGTCTAATGAAGAGTTGAAATAAGTACATAAGTGGTTATATTTTACTTTGGTAAAAGATATGATAGAGAAAGAATAAATAAATAAGATGGGGCCAGTTAGGAAAGGCTAGATGATGAAAAAGGGGAGTAGAGAGAGATCTCAGAGATGTTTCAAACACATTATATATTTTCAAATAGCTAGAAGGGAGGATATTAAATGTTCCCAACACAAGGAAATAATAAATATTTCATATAGTGAAGATGCTGATTACCCTGATCTGATCACTATACATTGCATGTATCAAAACATCATTATGTACTACATAAATATGTACAATTATTATGTGTTGATTTATAAATAAAAATAAAAAACTATTTTCTAAAAACAACAGAGGGGTGGTGGATTCTTGGTAGATGCCACATATAGGACTGTGGTGATGAGTTTATGTCCTAAGATGAAGAAGAATGACTATTCTAAAGTATCCTATTGCTGGATGTTATTAAGAAATGGCTTATATTTTAGAAAATTCTTTCTAAAATATAAAGATGGATTGAGAAAGATGGATTGAAGGGAGGTCAGACTGGGAACAAAGAAACTAGTTGAAAGATCCAGGTGAGAATAATAAGAGTGTTATACTATGGGTCTGGAAATGGAGAAGCAGGAGGAGCAAAACAGATGTCATAGTAAGTTAGCACAAGACTGTGCTAATTTATTCTAAAATGCTCCTAGGCTTCAGGTTTGCTAGGTGAGGGATATAATAATATGCTGGGAATTGGGTGTGGGTATGATACAATCAGTTTTAGACATGAAGAATTTGAAATACCTGTGAGACAACTAAGTGGAAGAATTTAGCAGACTTGAATAAAGACTTGGAATTCACTAGAGTAATCCTGACCAAAAATCTAGGTTTCTCGAGTTATTTGCATGCTGCCTAATAGTCGAAGCCCTGGATATTGATTATGTCACCCAGGAGGGTGTGAAAAGTAAGAAGAGTAGAAACTCAAAATGGGCCCTAGGGAGCGTCTGCTGTTAAGGCCTGAGTCAGAGAAAGAGGAACCACAGAGGACCACAAAGGAACAACCAGAGATGCAGTAGAACCTAGGAGACAGCTATGCCATGGAGATAGGAAGGGGAAAATTAATTCTCAAATATTACACAGGCCAAAAATCACATCTGACTTTCAAACAAAATTATGGACCAATAGGATTGGGGGATGCAACTCATTAGGTTTGGAAGTATTCAGGGTTGCTGAAAAGAGTAAAGGATGTAGAAAAGATGCAATAGATGAGAAACTAGGAAATGGAAGAACAAAAACAACTTGTTCAATTAGGATAGCACAAAACAAATGCAATTCTTTATGCCTGATCATTTGGTAAATTGGATAAAGGCAAAAACATTTTTGATCTTAGAACCATGAGGGAGTCTCGGGGCCTTTGGTGTCCCCGCCCTTTCTCTTTTAGGCGGGTCAGGTATTTTCATATCTACATATAGACACATTAACTGAGGCTCACAGAGTGATTCATGTGATATTTAGTTAGGTATAAAAAACATCACCCAACACATCACAATCAGGCCTTTGCCTATCCTTTTACCTCTCCTACCAGAAAAGAAAACACTGTTTACTGGTAATTGGTTTGGGAGTCTGAGCCATCTTGCTTGTTAAGTTTCAGGCCTGTTTCTTTTTGCATGCAAGCTTTAATTCTGAACTTGGAGAATTTTTAATGAAAACAGCCATATGTGACAAGGGTCATAAATGAATTATTTATTATATCAATTCCTGGCTGCAGTAGAGACTAGGTTTTGTTGTAGTAAAGTAGCTTTCAAGGCTTTTTTTAAAAAAAACCAACAGAAACGCCCCTTATAGTTAAATAATATAATACATAGAACCAATATATAAAACAGCATTCCAGGATATTAAACAATAATATTTATTAATATAAATGTACTTTATAACATTGAAATTATAGAATATATTTTTACATTGTATTTTTTAAAGTCACTTCATGAAGTTGTTTCAGTAAACACAAACAATTCAAAATTGAGATTATACCGGAAAGTTGAAGATAAATGAACCTGCAGCCAATATCTGTCATGGCTTTTGCTTACATAACTTGGAGAGAGTCCATATTCACACAGATAGGGAGATGCAAGTGGTGATTTTTTTTTTAAACAACTTACCTTGCATTATCACAATACCCTCTGCTTATATAGAGGTGGTTAAGGAAGCACTGCACAAACATGAATCCAGTAGATGGGACAGGATAACATATCAGTTGATTCCAATGTTGAGATGTGCTATGTAACACATTTTAAGAAGCATGTTGGTTTTATTTCTGATTTTGAACAGTGAGAATATATTTAAATATAATTTATAGTAAATTTCTGTCAGATCCCTGGAGTACATAATCTTTTGTGTAAAATAAAGCCTATTCAGGTCTCATTACAAGGTCTGCTAAGCCAGGGTGGAGCAGTGCTTTTTAAAGTAATAGAAATTTTTATAAAACCCTTATTGTTTTTAAATAAAACCTTTATTTCAGAATACACTAAAGTTGGAAAGGTAACAGAGCATTCTCATATATACCCCACATCCGATTTTCCTCATTATTAACATCTTCTATTGCTATGATAGATAGACCGCAGTTAATGAACCAAGACTATGCATTATTATTAGCTAGTCAATATTTATTCATACATCATGCATTAGTCACCGTGTTGCCTTAGGTTCCTCTTGCTTGCCACAGTTTCTCAGACTTTCATTGTTTTTGATGACCTTGACAGTTTTGAGGAATACTGGTCAGGAATTTTGCAGAATGTCCCTCACTTGGGATGTGTGATTTTTTTTCTCACGATTACATTGGTATTGTGAATTTTTGGAAGGAAGCCCACAGAAGTAAAGTGCCATTCTAATCACATCACAATCAACAGGACTCATCACTATTGCTAACCTTGACTACCTGGGCGAGGTAGTGTTTGTCAGGTTTCTCCTCTATTAAGTTACAAGTTTTTTCTCCCTTTTTCATGCTAAACTCTTTGGAAGGAGGCCACCATGCACAGCCCACACTTAAAAAGTGGAGAGTTAAGTTCCATCTTCCTAAGGGCAGAATATGTATGCTAATTATTTGGATTTAGTCTACACGGGGCATTTATTTCCTCACCCCCTTTTATTTTTCTAACCTTATTTTTATTGCTATATAATTGTTGTACATATTTTGGGGGTACATGTGATATTTTGATACCTGTATACAATGTGTAATGATCAAATCAGGGTAATTGGAATATCCATCACTTCAAACATTTATCTTTGTGATGAGAACATTATGAATCTTCTTTTCTAGCTACTTTAAAGTATAAAATACAATGTTGTTAACTATAGTTATCCTACTCTACTAATACTAGAATTTGTTTCTTCTATCTAACTGTATTTTTGTACCTCTTAACCAACTTCTCCTCATCTCTGCTCTCCCCGGCTTCCCTTCCCACCTCTGATAACCCCCATTCTACCCTCTGCTTCCATGAGATCCACTTCCACATATGAATGAGAACGTGCCATATTTGTTTGTACCTGGCTTATTTCACTTAACATAATGACTTCCAGTTCCATTTATGTTGCTACAAGTTACAGGACTTCATTTTAATATTCCATTGTGTATATCTGTTCCCAGATGGATAGTTTGTATTCCATAATTTTCTATATCAGTATGAGTTTGTGAATTTTTATTTCATATGTTTATAATCCAATGCTTCTTTCACTGGGAACCCTTTCAGTTACTTCCTACGTTCTTTGGTATACCCCATCATTGTGGGGTTTTCAACTACTTTTTGGCACTTTCTTATTTTCTTGCAGCACAAATTACTCCAAGTTCATCTCGAATATTTCCTGTCCTCATTCTACAATCAGTCGCTTCTCCAAAGAACCTTGGTTCATTTTATTAGAGAATAATTATCAGAAACCAAAATCTGGGGGCTAGGTAGGCTCTCTGCTCCCAGAATATCATTGCTTCTAGGCCCCCTCTGCTGACAGAGCAAGAAAATATATTTGTAATTCTACATGCATATACATTAAATTAATTTAGTTTTTGTTCAATTCTAGTATACATGTATAGGGGTTTCAGAATCATTAATCCACATACCTGTTGGGCAGCAACTTTATCAGCCACAGTGCAGTGCTTCTGTGTGCTTCTTTCAGCCTTTAGTCTCATAGATTCCACTCATTGTCAAAGTTACTTAGGTCAGCACCTTTACTCCTATGCCCATCAGTGAGCTTGTTTCGTACATTTGTAATATGGTGGGATAATTTTGCCACATTCTATATTCAATCCTGGGATTTCCAGACCTCTTAAGAGATATTTAAAGATTTGCATAAATTACTTTTTTGCTGTAAAGTTCTATGGGTTTTGACAAATACATTATGGCAAGTATCTACCATTAGAATATTATATGGAATAGTTTTACCAGTCTAAAAAAATTCTTTATGCTCATGTACTCAACTCTTTTCCTTTCCCCTATGGAACTTCTAGCAACCACTCATCCGTTTACTATCTCCATAGTTCTGCCTCTTCCATATAGTCATGTAATTGGAATCATATAGTATGTAGCCTTTTTAGACTAGCTTCTTTCACTTAGCAATATTAATTCAAGATTCATCCATACCTTGGCAGGTTTGATAGCTCAGTCTTTGCATTCTTGAATAGTTTCCACTATATGAGCATACTACAGTTTGTTCATCAATTCACCTTTGAAGGACGTCTTGGTTACTTTCAGTTTGAGGTGATTATAAATGAAGTTGCTATAATCATTTATACGAGGTTTTTAAGTTTTCAAATCAGTTAAGTAAATATCTAGTAGCATTACATTGCTGGATTATATGGTAAGACAATGTATAGCTTTACAAGAAACTTCCAAACTGTGTTCCAAAGTGGCTGTACCACTTCTCATTTACACTAGCAATGAATGAGAGTTCCTCTTGTTCCACATCATTGCCATCAGTTAGTATTATCAGGGTTTTGTTGTTGTTGTTGCTGCTGTTGTTTTAATTTTAGCTATTCTAAAGGTATATAGTGATATCTCGTTGTTTTAATTTGAAATATGCAAGTGATAAATGAAGGGGAACTTTTTATATGTTTATTTGGCACCTTTATTTCTTCTTCAGTACAGTGTCTACACTTTTGCTCATTTTTAATTAGTCTGAGCCTTTTTCATCTTTAAAATCTATTCTGATAAATCAAATAATTTGTATAGTTTTCCACTAATTGACATTGCATATTCTTACTTTCTTAAAATTTGGAGAATTGTTCTCGGATGTACTTGAGGTGGTCACTATTCTCTCATTTTGTAAAGTTAGCAAATACAGTCAGGTAAGAATCCTTAATTCATGACAAAAATAAAGACTCAGGGACCATCATTCCATGCTGGGGAAGAGGTAGAGGTTAGGGAAGGAAATAGAGTTGTTTAGCAGCAGAGAAAACAGCAGTCTGGGCCCCAGATGCACAAAGATGTGACTGCTAATGGGCTACTTGTGAGAGCCAGGGCAGTGTGTCCACACACAATCAAAGTGAGACTGGAGATGAGCAAGTGGAAAACAATGTTCCTTATTACTACAACAGTTTGCCTTAAGTCAAGTAAATAAAAAGAAAAAAAGAAGCATATCATGTGCTAACTTATTTTCTAGGCACTTTCATGATCGTTTCCCCCAAATGAAAGATTTAAAGCTTGTTTTGCGCCAGGATGATTTCTGCAGCCACGAGTGCAAATTCACCAGACCTTGGCCAAAAATCAGTGTCTTCTTCAGATACCCTCAGCCTCTGCACTCTTATTAGCCATGTGTGGTACCCACTGTTACTGCCAGTCCTGTATCTCGGCCCTTAGAGCACATGGCCTATGGGAAAGAACAAAATACAGATCTTGGTTTCCAGAATTACTATGCTGGAGAGACAATCAGAGGTGCCTTTGAGTCTTCTACTGGGATACAGCCTAGAAACAAAAAGAGAGGTTGCAGGTCACCTGATGTCAGGAGTTGCAGACCAGCCTGGCCAACATGGTAAAACCCCATCTCTACTAAAAACACAAAAATTAGCCAGGCGTGATGGTGCATTCCTGTAATCCCAGCTACTCAGGAGGCTGAGGCAGGAGAATCGGTTGAACTAAGGAGGCAGAGGTTGCAATGAGCCGAGATTGCACCACTGCACTCCAGCCTGGGCAACAGAGTGAGACTCTGTCAAAAAAAAAAAAAAAGAAGAAGAAGAAGAGGGAGAGGGAGAGGGAGAAGGAGAAGGAGGAGAAGGAGAAGGAGAAGGAGTTGAAAATGACTTTTATAGTCACCAGGTATTACGCCCTATGAGATGCAGTCTTCACCCTTCCTTTCAGTATCTCCCACAAAATGTGTTTCCAAGCCTCACTCGTTGCTAGGTATGCCATACTATCTCCCTTTCCAGATGTGGCTGCAAAAGTAGAGAAGACTGGGCAATATTCAGCGGTTTCAATGAAGGCAGAAATAAATCACCTCCATGACACTGCACTGATTTTTATCTGCTGAGCTTTAGCCATGTACTGTTCCCTCTGCCAGGAAGGCTCTCTCTGGTGAGCTATCCAAATGCTGCCATTCTGGGAAAAATCTGACCAAATCTCTCCTCCTTTAAGATATCTTTCCATAGGGATCTCTCAAATTCTCAAACTTTTATAGAACTTGCAGTTTAACCATTACTACAGTCTATTACTTATGTATATATATATATACACACACACACACAGTCTGCAATATTTGATATGTGTTGTCTTTGCTCTTTTATGAGACAGCAAGGAGTCTATGGCTTTTGCAGAGTAAAATAATTTGTGTTATTTTCTATATCATCCTTCAAAGCTGATATGGATTTTACTCACAATAGGCACTAAATGAATAATATTAAGTAAATTTATTCTTAGTATCCAGTCCAGAAATCACTGTGGCGATTCTTATGCCCTTCTGCAAGGTAGGTCCCATAAAGCCTCTTGACATTTTTCTATTTCATGCACTCTTTATGTATACATTTATCAAGTACCTACGACAATGTCATATTATTGTATTATATGTGTAATACATTAGCATCTAATACTCTGTGATAGATGCTGGAGATAAAATGATATATAACGTATTGTCCCTTCCCTCAACAAGTTCACAATTTAGGCTTAACGGGCCATAATGTGGTACTAAGTAGAGCTAATATTGCCAGCTACATTTCCAGGCTACCAATTTTATTATGAATCTTGCAGGTACAGAGTTTGGTGTCCATTTGGAGAAGCACAATGTGAATAGATTGTGACAGGGACTTGCAAACATCTGGTAGACCCAAGTAGAAATGAAAAGCTTCCATTCCTACTCCAAAAGATAAAAATACTTGGTAAAATACAACAAAAAACATAAAGTCAAACTTAATAGCAAGAAAGAGGAATCTTCAGGTGCTAAACATGAGAAAAGAACTCCAATCTAGGAGAAGTGGAGTTGTCTGTCTTTGAGGACTGAACACACACTGAAGACAGTTGGATTTCAGCACCAACCCAGGGCTGGAAGTGGAGGTTGTGGGCCCAGAGATAAAGGAGAAGCTGTAGTTGGACTCTGTGCATAGAAATAGACCCCAAGAAGGGGCTGTAATAAAGGTAAACTAAGATTTGAATATTTTATACTATCTTGAGGATTTTGAAAAAAAAGTTCAAAAACATAATTTATAAAACAAATTGAAAAAGTTGGCTACATCAAAAAGTATTACCATTTTATTTTGCATTTCTCTGATTATTAGTGAGGACAGAGTCCTGCTCTGTCACCCAGGCCGGAGTGCCGTGGTGCGATCTCGGCTCACTGCCAACCTCCATTGCCCAGGTTCAAGTGATTCTCTTGCCTCAGCCTCCAGAGTAGCTAGGACTACAGGTGCACGCCACCATGCCCAGCTAATTTTTTTTGTATTTTTATTAGAGATGGGGTTGTGCCACGTTGGTCAGGCTGTTCTTGAACTCCTGACCTCAAGTGATCCACCCACCTCGACCTCCCAAAGTACTAGGATTACAGGCGTGAGCCACTGCACCTGACCAGGAATTTTTAAAGTAAACACCAAGAGAAATTCTTACATAACTATTAAAGAGACATATATATTTATTTAATCATGACTTATAATTGCAAAATATTAGAAATGATCTAAATGGCCAGCTGCTGAGACATAGATAAATGCAACTTGGTATGTTCTTGTGATGAAATGCTGCAGAGAAGAAGCAGAGCCCACTGACTGTTTTTGTCAATAAAGTTTTATTGGAGGACAAACATGCTTCTTCATTTGCCTTATAGCCTATGGCTGCTCTTATGCCATAACGGCAGAATTGAGTAGTTGTGACAGAGACTATGTAGCTCACAAAGCCTAAAATATTTATGATCTGGCCCTTTGCAGAAAATGTTTGCTGACTCTTGCTGTAGAACAATTGAAGATAAATGTTTCTGCATGAACAGATTTCAAAAATAATCTTGAGTGAAAATTACAAGTATTCAGAATGACGCACAACATTTATTTTATTCCTATTAATTTGTAAAACAAACAGAACAGCAGTATAAGTTGGTTATAGAAACTTTCTTGGCAAAACTTTTATAAAAACTCAAAGGTCAAAATTTTCATCCAATTCATGATAATGGTTCCAATTCTGAAGTGAGAAAAGGAAAAAGGACTGAAATGATCGCAAAAGAGAGTTCAGCTGGTCTGAAGGTTTTTTTCTTCTGTTTTCTTAAAATATATTTAAAAGAAACTTAACAAATATATCAACTTTGTTAATTCTGCATAATGGATATTTGTTATATTTTCTCTGTTCTATTCTATATTTTTTTTAATAAAAAAGGGGAAAGATCATCTTAGTAGGTTACAGAAAGCCTGGATTCTATCTCAGAGATGTCAAGGCTTGGCTCATACCCACCTGGCTGTTGCCATTTAAGTGTACACCAAGCCCCTTCCAACTCCCAGGACTGACATCTCTTTGGCTAGCAGCTTTCTCTGACTTTCTCTGAACCTGATCAGTCTCTGCATGTAGTAGGCTGAAGTGTCAAGTATTAACTTCCACTCACCCACAAGACCCTTCTCAATGGCTGAAGAGAGTTGGTGTGTATGCGCTCAGCAGGACCACCAGTGAGAGAACCCTGAGGTATGTGTCCTGTGTTGCTTCCCAGAGTTCCCACCCAAACGAAGTCAGTTACATACAGTAAGAATTTATTTGATATTATGCCCAGTACTGCCTCTTTTCCCTTTCCCCTACTGGTGTTTCCTGGAATTATTTTCCAAGTGAACTACTGCACTCAAATTCTTGTCTCAGCATCTGTTTCTTCGGGAATTCAAACTAAGACAGTCATTTACACTTTATAAAATATGATCACACAGTTGGTTCCTCAAAGATCTAGAAGCAGAAACACCATTTGGTCCAACAATCCCATTACTGGGTATATGCCCAAAGGGACATAAAGCATTCTGTTTAAAAATACATGCATGTTTATGTTCATTGCAGCATTATTCTCAATAGCAAAGACATGGAATCGACCCAAATGCCCATCAATGATAGATTGGATAAAGAAAATATGGTACATATATACCATGGAATACTATGCAGCCATAAAAAGGAATGAGATCATGTCTTTTGCAAGGACATGGATGGAGCTGGAAGCCATTATCCTCAGCAAACTAACACAGGAAAAGAAAACCAAACACTACATGTTCTCACTTATGAATGATAGTGAATGATGAGAACACATGAACATTTAGGGGGAACAACACACACTGGGGTCTGTTGGAGGGTGGAGGGTGGGAGGAGGAAGAGCATCAGGAAGAATGGCTAAAGGATGCTGGGCTTAATACCTAGGTTATGGGGTGATCTGTGCAGCAAACAACCATGGCACATGTTTATCTATGCAAAAACCCTGCACATCCCGTACATGTACCCCGGAACATAAAATAAAAGTTGAAGGCAAAAAAAAAAAAAACAAATCTGACAATAAATAGCCACTTAATATCTTTGGAATAGCTTACATAAAAAGACTGATAATACCAGAAATATGCTCACATATAATTTCTATAGTTATATCTTTGTGAAGTAGGTTGGACAGGGCATATAATTTTCTATTTTACAGGAGAGGAAACTGGGGGCTGAAGAAGTTATCTCCCACCACCACCAACAACAAAAACCAGAACAAATAGAATTTGGACTAAGATGCAAGTCTCCTGACTTTCAGGTCGAATCTTTCTATTGTGCTCTTCTACTTAAGAACATCACTCTCAGCCCTCCATTTCCACTGTGTAAATGTAGGCTGTATTAAGAGACCTTGAATCTGTAAAAAATGGTGCCACTTTGATTTTATTGTAACTGCCTTGGAAATAGTCACACATGTGTCCTAAAGGGGCTTTGTCTCTGTGTTCAGAGGACTCTGGGGTTTTCCTGAGTGCCAGCTGGTGAAAATGCTTATTTAGTCTACTCTTTGGGAGCAACGAACAAGGTGCAAAGGCTCCCAGTTTCTGTAGGAAAATCGCTGGTGAAACAGACTTTCTTCCAGTCTCCTGTCTCTAAGTTGCCAAGGTTCACCTTCAAAGGGTGGCGTGTCAAGTTTTGTGAACTAATTGCTTTAGCTTTGAGGTGCTGAGGCTTGTTAAAAATTCTTACTCCTTATTGATTCCCTGTGGCTTTTCAAAAAGAAAGGACACTTTTCATCCAGCATGTGAAGAACCTGTGATACAATATCATCAGGAGTTGAAGGCAATCAAAGTACAGATTTCAAAACCCATTGCTGCAAAATGTTTACTTGTCAGATCTCATTTGTTGACAGTGTTGAAACGTGTGTAACTTCTTGCTAGGCAGACTTTTAAAATGTGAGGACATGGCAGTAATGAAGAAAATTTGTACGGTGGGTGAACTGTGAGCTGGAGTGTTTGAGTTTGACCTGGTAAAGTCAACACAATGCCGGCATTAGTATTCAGATGAAATCTCAGCTCCTGTGAACAAGCTGCCATGCGGTCAATTTGTCAAGATAAAACTTCAGAGCCTTGTTCTGTGTCTCTTCTCTTTAATAACCAGAACTTCCAAGACAACGTAAGAGGCAATTTCAAGGATATTGACGACAATCTTCTTTCTGAAAGGGTTGCACTGAATATACTGGCAAAGTGCTTAGTCAAGCACTTTATAATTTACAAAGTGTCCTCTCCGAATTTTGCTGTTTGGTCTGCACAATCATTTCTTGGAGTTGAGAACATTTTTCAACAATGTTGGATACTAATTATTCTACTGATTATTAAGTACTTCATGCATGGAAAGCACACAGAAAAACTTTTGATTGTTTGATTGGCTAAAAACAAGGCAACCTAAGCTTTGGTAAAGTCTGGTTGTCCTTCATTCTGTGAACTTACTCGTTGATCATTTAGTTAAATTACCATCTGATCCCCATGTTCTCAGCTACATTTGTAAAGAGTAAATGCTGGGCCAGGCGTGGTGGCACACCTGTAATCCCAGCACTGCAGGAGGCCGAGGTGGGAGGATCACTTGAGGTCGGGAGTTTGAGACCAGCCTGGCCAACATTGTGAAACCTCGTCTCTACGAAAATTACAAAAATTAGCCAGGTGTAGTGGCGCACACCTGTAATCCCAGCTACTTGGGAGGCTGAGACAGGAGAATCGCTTGAACCCAGGAGGCAGAGGTTGCAGTGAGCTGAGATCGCATCACTGCACTCCAGCCTAGGCGACAGAGCCAGACTCCATCTCAAAAAAAAGGAGTAAATGCCTATTGCACTAGAGCTGGCTTTAGAGAGGTAAGGTGTTGACCCTAAGTAGTGGTTAAGGGGCACGATCAACTCAAGATAACCCTTCATGGGTGACAATAAAATCATTATACCTTTGTCTTTCTGTAAATTCACATTTTTATCTCAGTCTTCATTACCCTAGCAGAGAATTTGTCAAAGTGTATTCCAAAGAGCTTTATGGATGTCAATGGGTATGACTTGTTTTTTAAAATAAAATTAAGATATCAATAAGTATGATTTGCTTTTTAAAATAAAATAAGGTTAGTGGTCAAATAAGTTTGAGAACTGCTTGTTTAAACCAAGTTTAAGAATTGCTGGTGTAGGCCGGGTGCAGTGGCTCACACCTGTAATCCCAGCACTTTGAGAGGCCGAGGTGGGTAGATCACTAGGTCAGGAGTTCAAGACCAGCCTGGCCAACATGGTGAAACCCCATCTCTACTAAAAATACAAAAATTAGCTGGGCGTGGTGGTGTGTGCCTGTAATCCCAGCTACTTGGGTGGCTGAGGCAGGAGAATCGCTTGAACCCAGAAGGCAGAGGTTACTGTGAGCCAAGACCGCACCACTGCACTCCAGCCTGGATGACAGAGCAAGACTCCATCTCAAAAAAAAAAAAAAAAAAAGAATTGCTGGTTTAAACTAAGTTGAAAATTTCTCAATGGTAGGATTCTGCAGAGCATTTAATGGACTCATATATATTGTACTCTCCAGAAGAGATCTTAAATAGTAGTGTTTCTTAAACAAACTTAACTCATTAAGCTCCTTTACCTGGATCATCTCAAGGACTGGCACTCCGCAGAATACAGTATGGGAAATACTAACTGGGTATTAGAAAAGGATAAAATTTCATTGGCTTCTCTTAATTAGGTCTTTATCCTCATGCTAATAAATTTGTTAACTTTAGTTTATCCCTAATGTTTTCCCTTTTTTTAAATTTTTTTTTTAATTTTTTAAGGTAGAGTCTCACTCTTGTCACCCAGTCTGGAGTGCAGTGGTGTGGTCTCAGCTCACTGCAACCTCTATCTCCTGGGATCTAGTGATCCTCCCACCTCAGCCTCCCGAGTAACTGGGACCACAAGCGGCACCACCACGCCCAGCTAATTTTTTGTATTTTTAGTAGAGACGGGGTTTCGCCATGTTGCCCAGGCTGGTCTTGAACTCCTGAGCTCAGGTGATATGCCTGCCTTGACCTCCCAAAGTGCTGGGATTATGGGTGTGAGCCACCACGCCTGGCCACTTTCCCATTTTTCTATGAAATTTTCCTGGAAAACAATATAATTTACTTGCATGTTGGTTTGTCCAAGAAATTGAGATCTTGTATCCTTGCTGCTATAGAAATTCATGCCACTCTGTAGGGTTACAAAGTATTGAAGAGGAAAGCTGAGAACTCAAAGTGCTCATTTCCAAAAGTAGTATTTTTCATTGAGTCCATTAAGTTCCTAAGCTGTAATTTGAATATAATAAAAGTATAATATACATGTCAGACATTTTACTCCCTGACAAACCAATGTGCATAGAAAAAATATTTGTGAGAAAATAGCAGACCAAAGCTAAAGAAGAGAAAGTAACAATATCATTTTATTGCAGGGTGGCATAGGTAGTTGTACTTATTAAATACATGACAAATAGGTACCAGCAGATGAGTTAGATGTAGGGATACAGATGGAAATAAACTTCCATGGTCCCCATTCATCAAATTTATTGTCCTCTGAGAAAGACATGAGTTCATCTGATCATTACAGAGGAGATGAGTGTTTTGAAGGAGAAGCAGAGGGTTTTGTGGATGTGATTAGCAGGTGGACCTAACCAGCACAGTGGGTCAGGGAGGGATTTTCTCAGGAAATAACATTCAGGCTGGAGTCTGAATCTTGAGCTCTGAAGCAGGTGTCAGGACATTCAGAGCAAAGTGGATTATATTTGCAAAACTTCACATGCTAAAAGATGAGAGAAGTCCAGTCAGTAGCAAGTTGTTCTTTGGAGGTCCTCAGAATATGTCACAGCTTCTTGATTCCTCCTTACATGCCTGTAAGAGATATTCACTATCCAATCAATTGTTTATCACAGACCCTACTATGAATGAGATTCCATAGAGGATACAAAGGATGTGTAATACACTTCAAAGTAATTTAAGGCTCAGGAGCAAGCTACGAATGAATTAAGAAAATAAGGCAAAGACAAGTAAATATTCAATGTCATTAAAGAGCATGCGGAATATAAGAGATGGTGGTCAAACTAGGTCCACTCAATGGGTCAAGCTGAGGGCATATGTCAAGGACACCTGCAAAGCCCTGTCCAGGTGCTTAGAGAAAACAGACTCTAGGGTATTTCAAAATGTGCTAGGTACACTCTAAAACAGAACCACTGTTTAAATGCTGAAGATAGTTTCTATCTGATAAGAGGTGGTGATCCAATACACCTTTAGAGGACTGTCTTCCCTTCTTCAGGCAAACCCCTTTCCTTGGCCTTTTCATTATAAAAATGCAATAACAATAATATATAGACATCTTATTTAAATCTCACAATACCCGTGTGAGGAACATACAGTCTTACATTGCTTCATGATAGAGATACTTTCTGAAAAATGCACTGTAAGGGGATTTTGTCCTTGTGTGAACTTTCTTGGGTGTACTTACACAAAGCTACATAGGATAGCCTACTACACACCTGTACTATTTATTTGGTATAGCTCCTAGGCTACAAACCTGTACAGTATGTTACTGTACTGAATACTCTTGGCAATGGTATTTGTGTATCTAAACATAAAAAGGTGCAATAAAAATACAGTATTAGAATCTCATAGGACTACCTTGTCATTGACCGAATAGCTCATGACTGTATTATTTTTATCATCCCCACCTTACAGATGACTGTAGAGGTTTATCAACTTGCCCAAGGTCATATCGAATTTGGGACTATAGTCCTCATTTGCTAACTCTAGAACCTGCTTCTCTGAGTTTCCTGAAGTAGCTTTGACAAATTATCTTAAACTAGATGCCTTAAAACAAGAGAAATTGACTCATAATTCTAGAGACCAGAAGTTCAAATTCAAGGTGTCAACAGGGCCAGACTTTCCCCCAGAGACTCTAGGGGAGATTGTTTCTTGT
Organism: Homo sapiens; assembly: GCF_000001405.40. Lineage (NCBI taxonomy): Eukaryota > Metazoa > Chordata > Mammalia > Primates > Hominidae > Homo > Homo sapiens. Next base: position 33,965,005 of record NC_000013.11, on the reverse strand, counting down.
CTCTTCCAACTTTTCCAACTTCTGTGGCATCCCTTGGCTTGTGGCCACATCACTCTAATCTCTGCCTCCAGGTTTACACTCCCTCCTCGTTGTCTGTCCTCTTTGTGTTTCTTAAAATAACACATTATGTTGGACATAGAGACCACCTGTATAAGCCAGGGTGATCTTATCTGAAGACCTTTAACTTAGTTATATTTGCAAATATCCTTTTTCCAAATGAAGTGACATTCAGAGTTTCTAGAGAAGTGGACATAGACCTATATTTTTGGGGGTCACCATTCAACCCACTATTCTGCCCTTACCCAGAACATCATACTATTCAATTGGTGATGTGGTCCAGGCAGCTAAAACTACTTTGTGGTAAAAATGTAAAAGATTGTCTATGCTGGAGGCAGACAGCCCAGTTAGCATTTAGGGGAAAATGTGTTTTGTCTCAGGAGGAGACGGGGATGATGGGGAAGATGCTATGGCGTTTATTTCCCACTGTGATTCCCATAGCCAGAGCTGGTGGGAACATTTTCAAAATCAACCTTGTGAAACTCTGGACAAAAACAGAATGATTTGGGGATCCAGGGCTCAAGTGAGGTGCAAGCTTGGGGACTATGCACTACTTCTGAATGGAATCCACACCCATCTGGCTCACAGAAGAACCACTGTTGTGAATCACATTCTTTTCATTATAGCTTATGATTGATAATTGCTTTTAAAAAGTCTAGGCTTTGGAATACCCATTTTCTATCTCTTCTATTTTTCATGAGCTCTCTAGACATACTGTCATTTCCTCTGAAAACAATAACGGTATTGCCTCCTTTATAAATACACATTTTACTAGTTCATGTTTCATGATCTGTCACATTATGTAGATTGTGAGCAGTAACTAGGGTAATGGACATAGCATAGTTGAGCCTCAGAAGAAGGGCTAATTTGTGTACAGTGAGGTCAGCAGCAGAGCAAACAGCCCTGAAGTTACTGCAGCGATTTCATCATTTGAAGGACGACAATGATGGTCAAGACCAGCTTGAAGGCGGAGGGCAGAGGACAGAAGGTGGCTCTTTTCATCACCCCACACTTTAACATGTAGTCCATCATAAATAAAGTAGATTATCACATTTTTCACATTTCACAAACAAAATTGCCTTTTATTTTAGGTGGTTTATTTCCTCTTTGGTGAGGCTTTCATATCTTTCCTGTGGCTTTCATATCTTTCCTCCTGCAATCTCAGTGTTGGCCGTGATAACACGTTCACTTTCTCTTCATTAACTGTCATTCCACAGAGAGACATGAACACAGAAGAACAGAGACAAGTCAGGGAAGCCCAGAAGTCCATTATAGAAACAGAGGATGGAGGAAATATCAAACAAAATTAAAATGTCCCTAAGTAAATGCACACTGCTCTATAGAGCATCTCGAGGTTTGTAATCAGGCATGTGAGTAGGGAAAGGTGTGTCTGGAGTCTCTAAGTTTTGCTCTCACTAACACAGCCTTTCATCAACGATAATTAATTTGGTGTCCTCACTGCAGAGCGTGATTCTCAGCAACTACAGTATCTTACTGTTTAGGTAGTTTTAAGTTTTATAAATATAACACAAACTGTTCCTACAGACCTGTTTTCTGAATTAAGGTTTTGCTTAAGTAGGCAAGAGCCATCCTGAGCCTTCATGTCTGCCAGGAAATATTAGGTCACACAGAGTCTCCTATTTGACCTTGGCATGTTGTTGGCAATAGCCCTAGATCTTTTTATCTTGTCTCTAGCAAGAAAAGAAAATAAAAACGAAAACAAAATAAATATCTCAGCTGTTGCAAACTTTATGTCAATTTACTTATAATATTTTAATTATAATTGTAAAAGTAATATATACTTACTATACATAACTTAAAAATAAAGAAACATGGAGAATAAATTGAAAAACCTGTAATACCACTACTTAGTGGTAACCTGTGGTAATAAGACTTTCATATATTTTGGGTAGTAATATTTTAAATTTATATATGTATATACCATTTATTGAATTCCTGCTGTGGGTAGGACTAGAGTAGTCATTTGACAAAGGGTCTCTCATATAAATTCACAAAAATGTTCTATTAGACAAATTCTATTCCTCTGATTTTATAATGACATCCTGATGCCCAGTGAATTTTCAGAGAATCTCAACTAAAAAACAGTAAAAGTGCCACTAAAAGAGTCTAACTCCAAGCCTCATGCCTCTAACCTCAATGCTTCATTGTGTCTTATGTATGTATCTATACATACATACATACATAACACTATTTGGAACTTAGAATCTTTTATTTTGATTTTCATGATGGCAATCACAAGCATTTCCCTCTGTTATTAAATATTCCCAGAAAATGTTATTCTGATGGTTGGATAGTATTTTGTTGCATGAGCATCTCAGATTGTAATATTGTAATGCACATCAGTGAACATAAATATTTGGCCTCTGATTGGTTCCTTAGGATATGCCCCAGAAGTATATTGTAAAAGCTGTGACTATTTGTCAGACTCTCAACATTTATTCTGAAAGTGTAGGACAGTAGCTTATCCATTAGTAAACATTCATTAAGCCAAAAGCCATTCACTTGGGGTGTGGGGCTGGGGGTTAGGTTGATAAGAAGCAAGAGGAGAGTAAAGAACAGAAAAATGGGGGAAAGCTTCTGCTGAAGAAGTGAAGGAGACAGGATGAGCTGGGACCCTGAGGCACCGACAGGTTAATGGCCTGTGTTTTTGATCTCCTTTCTTTGGCAGATCCATCAAATCTTCCTTTACATATCCCCCCTCATAGCTCTGGCTAATTCTCAAATTAGGATTTGAAGTGGCATGAACAGTCTAGAGAAAGGAGAGGAAGTTTGGGAAAAGGATCCTACAGAGAAAACAGGAAAGTTACCACCTGCCTCTGCAAGCTCTTGCTGCCTGCACTGGCCACACCATCACTTTGTACAGCCAGAAGAAGGGCTTGCCTGACACTCCCAAGCCACTGTTCATGACTCCTCTGGGGACCATTGCTGATGAGATCAGTTTCTTTAAGACAGTTGTGGCCAGATGGTCCCATTCCTTCTCTTTTGCTAAAATTCTTACAGAGGAAAAGATTTCACGGTATAGCCTTTATTTGTCAGCCAGGTCATCAATCTTTACTGTCAAATTCACATTATCCTAAGGCTTATTCTTCCATGGGGTTACTGAGATGCAAGGCTTCCAAAGCACTATTTCCAATCTCTGGTCTCTATGTTCTCAGTTACTGATATCTGGCCATGGGCTTTCTGACTGTGCTGTCTTGAGTGTTCCTCTTGTATCTGCAGCCTGCCTCCTAACTGCAGTCCCCTTAATTGTCTCATAAATATGGCCATCCAGAAATGAGTTAGCAGCTTTGATGTCTGGTATCTTCTTCTCCTTTACCCTGGAAACCTAGGCCTCTGCCCATATGTTTTTCTTTGTGTGCTTTCAAAAGCTAGTAAATGACATCATTTGATTCATCAAACAACAATATTGAACAGCTATGATGTGCCAGCCATTCTGTTATTCTATTTCTGTTTCTAGGAATAGATAAAAGAAGAGGCCATGATTCCTGCCCTCAGGAAATGTTCAGTGAGTCAGAGAAAAATACAAATAAATAATTACAGTAGGTTTGTATAAATAAATTACTAGACATAGGCCCAGGGTAACATAGAGAAGCATTCAAATTAGATTGGAAGTAATGGAGGCTTTGACGAGGAAATGGAAGGAGTTCTGAATGATGCACAGATGTGAAGTAGGAGGAGAGGGAGAAAAATGTGGCCGTGGAAGAAATGACAGCAGGGGAGCAAGCAGGGGTCTTTGAGACCATGTGTGTAATAGGCGGGGTGGCCAGATGTAGCAAATAAAAATCCAGGACACTCAGTAAAATTTGAGTTTCATATAGACAACAAATAATGTTTTACTGTAAGTATAAATACCTCCCATTTAATATTTGGAACATACTTATACTAAACCATTATTTGTGATTTATCTGAGATTCAAACTTAATTGGGTGTCCTGGATTTCACTGGACCACCCTAAGTTGATAGGGAATGGCTAGTGATGTAGGGACTGCAATAAGAAGTGAATAATGGAGTGACCATAGAACAAGAGGGGGGGATCAGATCATGATTTAAACGTGGCCCCAAAAGCACCAGAGATCATTGGCAGATTTCAGGCAGGCAATAATGATCACATTTGCATGTTCAGGGTCACCTGGGTCTCCATCTGGGGCATGAGTGCAGGAGGCCAGTCTGCTGGGGTGCCCTAGGTGAGAAATAAGGGTGTGTGAATTGAGGCAGTGGGAGAAGGGGAGCCTGCACCTCCCAGGGCTATTTGTCATTCTCCTTCTGTGTACTGATTTTCCAGTGAGGTCCTGACAGTTAACCTACAAGAAGAACTGCCCAAAACACCTTTGATATTGACCCAACATGACCAGAAATCTTAGATGAAGGATGCCCAGTCCTTGTAGGTGGAGAATTCACTGACAGTAGAAGGAAGGTAGGTTAACACTGGCTGTGTGTCAGATGGGCCTAACAATGCAAATTTAAAAAATAATTACAGTGCATTTTTATACAGATAAGGTCAGGCATGGGCTCAAGTTTCTGCGGAGAAGCTAGACTCGGGCAAGACTCTTCGTTTATCCTTTAAGGTACCAGAGCCCCTGATCTTATGGAGTGTGCCCAAGGCCATATATCTGTTCAGGTTCAGAGACCGGCCTGAAGACCAGATCTTCTGATTGAGTGCCCTTTCAATACCATCACTTGATTTTTGTTTTTTGGTTGTTTTGTTTTGTTTGTTTTTTGGTTACTGATATAGTTTGTCTATTTGTCTCCACCCAGATCCCATGTTGAAATGTAATCCCTAGTATTAGACGTGGGGCCTGGTGGGAGGTGACTGGATCATGGGGGTGGATTTCTCATGAATGGTTTAGCACCATTCCCTCGGTGGTGTCCTCACAACAGTGAGTTCACATGGGAGCTGGTCATTGAAAAGTGTGTGGCACCTCCCCTGACACTCTCTCTTGCTCCTGCTTTCACTATGTGACCTACAAGCTCCCACTTTGCTTTCTGCGATGAGTAAAACCTTCCTGAGCTGTCCCCAGAAGCTGAGTGATGCCGGCGCTATGCTTCCTGTACAGCCTGCAGAACCATGAGCCAATTAGACCTCTTTTCTTTATAAACTACCCAGTCTCAGGAATTTCTCTATAGCAGTGCAAGAATGGCCTGACACAGTTAGCCTAGGTTGACAAAAAACAGGAAATGGGTGCAAGGTATAAAGCCATACCTTGGTGGTAGAGGAAGGGGCAGGGTGGGTCATTAGGAGATGAAGACCATGTAGTGCCAGAGATCACTGTCTGGTGGAGACCAAAATGGACAAGGCTAACAATAAATAAGTACAACTGGGCCTGAGATAAATGTTCTGGATGTAAACAAATTGCCATGAGAGCTGAGAGTGGGGAGACTCACTGGGAGTGAGGAGATTGAGAATGATTTCATAGGAAGAATGCAATTTATGCTGGGGTCTGCAAGATCAGGGGTCTATGGCAAGGGAATCAAGAGGAAGCCAGGAGCTATGAAGTCTTTGCTGTGTTCAAAATCGTCATTTGTGTCTAGGTCACAGGGGCCTTGAGGGAAGAACTGGGAATAACAGGTGTTGACGTGTGGAGAGGTAACCATTTGCAAAGAGTCTTGGAAGCCCTTAATAAGGAGTTTGGCCTGTATTCTGCAGGTATGAGAAGTTATCGAGTTTGTAAGCAGGGAAATAACCTAATCATAGTTGTGTTTTAGAAGGAGAGCAGAGACCACAGGGTGGAGGTGGCTTACATGTGGGAGGAATTTAACACAAGAGACATTTAAATAAAGTCACTGAAGCAGATCAGGAGTGTTACCAAAGGGCACTCTGTGGATCTCTAGGTCCCTGAGCAGCAACTGGGGTGAAAGAGGCTCTCAAGCATGTCTGGAGACACAGAATCTTATGTCTTTCTTGTATCTCCAAAGCTATTTAAATGCAGAATTTTTTAAAATAATAGTTCTGTGGAACTAATATAAGTGACATTTAAAATATTTAATAACCAGTAATGAATAAATACCAACTAGTCATAATGAATGCCAGTATGGCCTTGGAGGCCCTCTGCAATACCAGGCATGTCCTAGATCATGGAGGCAAATGGGAAGTGCCAGGTAATCATGGGGGTAGGGCAGCCAAGATGCAGAGGGCAGCCAGGATGCTCATGGTATTCATCTCTGCAAGTAAGGTCAAGTGGCTGGTGTCAACATTATGGTGGATTAAAAACATACTTGACATTCAGAGCTTTCCACAGTCTTCCCAGAAGCCACATCAAGCCTTACCTGAAACTCCAGACATCATCCCACACTCTCCCTATAGTAAACAAGATTATTTCCTATTTCTGAAAAACGCCTTCTGTTTTCCGTCTCTATGCTGTTGCATAGAGTACGTTTCCAAAGTATGTTCAGAAAAACTCCACCTCTCAGGGGTAACACTCATCCAGTTTGATCTGGTACAAACATGTCAGTTGTGAAAATACTGAAACACATCCATCTCAGTTTGAAAAGCTTCACTTGATTATAAGAACAGGAGCAAAGTGCAAATACCTCCAGAAATCCCCAATCACTTGTTCTCCTCACTGCTCCTGGGGCATGGGTCTATGACAATTCAAAAGCTACAGCTGTACTCCCTAGACGGGACCCTGCCATTACACTCCAAACGGCCTGGCCCATTCCCACCTCAAGGCCTTTGTACTTGACGTTTCTTTTACTTGCGATGTTCAATCACCCTCTTCCAGCAGAAACTTCTTCATGCTCTGGCATTTAATCTGAGACCTACTTTGATGTCTTAACTTCACTGTCACCTCCTCAAAGAGTCCCTCTCTGATCTCGCTATCCATGGAACCACCTGCTTTTTATTTGTTCTTTCAGTCTATTAATTTCCTTCTTGGCATTTATAATAATTTGGAGTCTAATTTTGTTAGTATGATTTTTTTAAAACTCTCGTCTCTACTAGGATATAAGATTTATAAAGACAGGTGCAGCATCTGCCTGGTTCACCATTGTATTCCTAATTTCCTACAGCAGAGTATGGTACAATAGTAAAAGTTCAGGAACAACCTGTAAAAAGAAAGAGAAGCAGGCAGACCAGCTGCCACCTGGCCAGCCTGGGAGACTGGCAAGACTGGAGAAAGACTCCAGGCTTTGAGGGATTGCCCTCCTCTCCCCACCATCCACGGTGTACAGAAGACCTTCACGTTTGACTACATTGGGTTCTGGGCCAATCAATGCAGTGGGCTTGCGCTTGTGCTAAAGATCAGCCATCACAGTGACATGTTTGTCTAAGTGAACTTAGAGCTTCCGGGCCTCACAGTTATGTACTTGGCTTTCAAAAGAACTATTCATCCTTTAGAGCAAGCAGAATTGGGCCTCATCCTTCCAGGTTACTCCAAAACAAATGTCGCCCATTTCTCTGCACATTTGTAGAATATTCAGTAGTCATAAGTGGTACGGAACAGGGCAAAATGCACACCAACCACACTGCTCTGCATCCTGAGCAACTTCATCCCATGTTTTATTTTGCATTGCCATAATGGTACCTGTTATATTATAAAATTAGGTGACATTACAAAATATAGGTCCTAAATAATCCAATTATGTTTTTCTCCTCTCTGGAATAACTAATACTTTATAACAATAAAGAAGAAAAGAAATGCAGGCTTGATCATCCAATGAGGTTCTGGGAAAATTGACGCAAATAAATTACTATCTTCAGCTTTTCACCATAATTTTTTGACGTAGTCTTTGGGATGCTTCAGAATATTAAGAGAAAGAAATAAATAACCTACACATTTATAGTCATCTTTGAAACCTGTAAAAAAGTCACCAATACAGTTGTATATATACAGAAGCATAACAAAAGGACATGTTTAAATATAGATCAGTAGATAAATAGATAATAGTTGACGATGATCATGGATAGATAGATGATAGATAATAGATAGTAGGTAGATAAATGTTAGATGATAAATGATGAGATGATGATGGAGAAGATAAATAGATATATACAGACAGATATTAGATCTCTGCATAGACCTAAACATATAGACAGAAGGAAAGGAAAAAAGAGAGATGTACAAGATTATATCCTATTCGCAACTAACACACATATACAACTTTACTATTTATTAGGTTCTAAATTTTCTCATTTGATTATCAGGACATATGTGTGGATACTTAAAGCAGGGATTATTTTCCTGTTTTACAAACAATCAAAAACAGCCTCACTAGACATCTAGTGCTTTACCCAGCTTCACACAGCTAAGAGTGGGAAGAGCCTCCTGGGACTCCACACTCTTCTTTATGTGTTCTTGATACAGAAGTTCTAAGAAACAAAATCCCTGAACTACATAACAGTCATGCATTTAAGGTTTGGGCATATGGAAATACTTTTTGGTATGAGATAATGTATTTTATTTGTAGGTTAGAACATCTCCTGTAGCATATGTTTCTAGTTTAGCAGAGTTTAGGGAAATTTATTAGTTTGGGCTTCAGTATTCCTGAGATGATGTACAATTTGCTGTGTTCATCTGTATTCACAAGCTGCCATCAGGAAATATCTTATACCAACGTGGGCCCAGAAATCACTGCTGTGATTACGTCTCAGATTAAACTAATACTTAGGACTTTAACCTACCCTTCCTAGAAATCCAACCACTAATTTCCAATCCAATGTTCTGATTTTTATGTTTCAATATTTCTGATGTATTTTTAATTAACCTCAGTGCAAGAAAGGAAAATACACTTTAATCTTTTCTCTTTATTTTGTGTCCTCTCTGTGTCTTTCCAAGAGGAGGCAAGATAGAGGGGGATTTTTAACACATTGGTGGACACTGGCAGAGAGGTCTGCATTTATTTAAAGAGTTGAATGCAAACAAATAGATTAAAGAAGAGGAGAAATAGTAGATATTTGGTGAATGATACAGTTGTTAAACTTTGTTAATTTTTTCTATTTGAAGAATGCTATAATTTATTTATATTTTGAGAGATGCATTATTAACCAACACTTTATAGATTAGGCTCCTTCTTCAACATTTGGAAAAGTTGGGGCAGTGATAGAAAGTTGTTTAGGACATGCTGCATTCTCCTGCACGTGGCCTGCACATGCGCCTCCTGAAGCCCCTGAGACATCTGGGTGGTGTGTGGGGCAAATTTTTTAACTGGTTTAGCCCAGCATCATGAAGTTATTTGGCTGTGAAACCTATTTCTTGAGGAAAACCCAAATTAGCCATAGAATATACTTTAAGCTACTGCTTGAAGTACATTCATGTTTAAGTTCAATCACTTTCTTATGTTTAAATTGGCCAGCTAATTTGATATTTTTAAAACTTACTGGACAACACTTATGTTGAGCAAAATCAGTGTTTTTGAGAGGCAGGGTTAAGGACTAGTCAGGAGGGAGTGAGATCAGGATTAGGTTTATAGTCAAGGTGAATAAAAGATTTATTTCCCTTTCACGCCCCTCCTTCAGGTAAGCGCCTGTTTATCATGTAGATATACTCTTCCTACCTGACAGCTAGTTGCACTGTAGCAAATTTTTTTTAGCTGTTTTCATTCTACTCTTTCACTTGTAGCTTGTACTAGTAGCATAAGGAAAAAAAATACCCACAAATATCGTTGTTAAGCAGAGTTAAACCTTTTTTTACAAGTCCTCCATCATTTATCTCTTGCAACTGCTTCCTTAAACTTGGTTAGTTTGTAGAATTTCACACATTAATCTTCCTGTAGCTTGCTTCTGAGAAGGCTTCATTTCTCCTTCTTCACTCTTGTTCATTAACCCTATAATTTTTCCGTCTTGGTAGCTCAGTGATGTCATCATTCTTTCTGAAACCATTTCTAGACACTGAAGGGGAAATTAGCACCATAAGATTTAGAGTTTTTGCCACACACACGGCCATGTAGAGAGGCTGCATGAGAAATAGCCAAACCAAATTGCTGAGCCCCATTCAAATGGTTTGAGTCTCAACTGAAGTAAAATGTTTGCTGGAGAGACATCAATATTAAGCTTAGTGCTGAATTTTGAAAAGAGGCAACAGTAAGCAATGGGCTTTGCTGTGGACTGAAGGTTTGTGTTCCCCTAAAATTCATATGTTGAAGCCTTTATCCCCAGTGTGTTGGTATTTGGAGATGAGGTCTCTGGGAAGTAATTAGGTCATGAGGATGGAGCCCTCGTGAGGAGATTAGTGATTTTATAAGGGAATTCAGAGACCTGAGCTTGCTCTCTAATCTCTGCCTTGTGAGGACACAACCAGAAGATGGCTGTCTACAAACCAGGAGGTGGGTCCTCAGCAGACACCTGATCTGCCAGCACCCTTAATCTTGGACTTCCAGCCTCCGGACTGTGAGAAATAAATGTTTGTTGTTTAAACTACCCAGACTATTGTATTCTGTCATAACTGCCTGAACGAACTAAGACAGGCTTCATGAAAATGGAAGTAGATTGCGATAAGTTGGCCCTATCCTCAAATTTTGCACATAATGGCCTGATTAACCTCAAATCATAGTAGGATTATCATAGTCCAAGCACTGTAAAGGAAGACCTCTGTTGCCTGGAATATAAAGCTCATGGACATTTGATGAAATGACCATCACTCAGGGGTCTTCTATGTTCTCAAAATGACAAAAATTTATATTTGTGAATTGTGATCTTTTTCCTTAGCTACACTTATGAAACTCTAATAATTGTGCCCTCTATTGATGTCATGTAAATGTAGCTATTCCATTCTTTTCCCCCAAAATCTGTTTACTAAAATGTATATTTTGCTTGAGAAACAAAGATAATGAGAGGTTATTCTTTTTTACCTTAACTCTTTACAAGGTTGCTATCAATTTTTTTGGTCAATTATTTTCTGGATTGGGAGCTAGGTGAAAGGAAATTACAAATTTTAAACTATTTTCTTAGCACCATACTTGACATTCCTTTAAAATCTTGTTTGTAGAACATGCCTGAGGTCTTCTCATCATCCCAGATTTTCAGAGTTATGCAACACCTATCTTTTAAACTTAAAAGGGAACAAGTAAAATTCTCCAATTAGTAAAACTCTGCTTAACACTGTATATGTTACCTAACATTCATAATTCTCCAAGTAGGTTTTTAGTTTTATGCTTCTTTAAAATTTATTCTAAAATGTCGCATCAAAATTCCATTCAATTTTTAAGCAAAAAATGAACAGACTAAAGAGAAGTATGAAAAATTAGGGAACTGGGCAAACCAAAAACGTCTGGAAATATAACTGGCCTGTTGCATTTGTTCTCTGTAATTAGATTTCAGTTTCTTCTTTGATTCTCGGAATTCTAGCTGACTTTGGGAATTATGTCATCATGAAGGCTACAACTTTATAGGGATAAAGTTGTAAAATGGCAATCATTTTTGTTCCTTAGGAAATAAGCAAATAAAACAAGAAACTGTTTTCCCAATAGTTTTCTTAAGACTATATTTATGACATCTCTAAAATTTAAAAGATTTTTCTACTCACTGTTGAGAAGATGGCTTTAACTTTTCTCATTATCTAGGAGCAACAATTTCAACCACAACATTGCCATTGAGTCACTATTGAAAGGCTTCCAGGAGAAATGACTGGGTTTTCCTTTTATTCACTGGGCTTTTTTTTTTTTTTTTTTTTAAAGAGCAACACCACACTCCAAAGAGGTATTTTTTTATTTCATATTTCTCAAAGTCCAGCCTAGATCTAGACCGCTAATAATTCAGAGCAACAGAATATTCACAAACCCTTCCTACAGGTTAATACGGAACATCCATCCATTCTAAAATAAATACCTTCCAAACAGTCATATAGGAATTGTAAACTATGAGCTAAAATTATAGATAAATTTTCCCCCAAAATTATATATTTAATTTCTTCTAAACTTTTTCTTTTCAATGTGAGCTAACGACTTCAAAGACAACTGTATGCATGTTTATTCTACACAGTCAAAGAAGAATTTACTTAGCCAATTTTTTATAAGAGCAGATTTGTGATTTCAAATATTTGAATGTCTCCCCATACAAAGGAATGAAATATCTTCTAGGTAGCTTCTGCGAACAGATCTGCAACCAAGGGCTGGAAATTACAAAGATATTCTGATAGGAATTAAATTGTGATAGGAAAAAAAAACCTTTCTAAGAATTTGCCTAGGAGGATACTTTGGGAGGAGTGAAATCCTGTCCCTCATGATTTTCAAGGAGTGGCCCAAGCAAGAATGCCACACAGGTTGTTCTTGAGTTTTTATTGGAGGCTGGAGAAAAGGGCCATCATCTCCCTTTCAACTAGGACCAAAACATTCATTTCTCATATCCAAGGTTGTGGTTGTTAAGAGGGTGATTTGAAGAGATCACCAGGGAAAGTAGTGGGATTTCTACTTAGCACCAACTCTGTATGTGAACAGCATTCTTTATTCCTACTTACTTAATCAGCTCAACATTCCTGTGCGACAGATATTACAGCATCTGCAGATGAAAACCTGAGATTCAGAACTGGCTAAGATATAGTCTAATAAATTGAACTTTTTCCCACTTTCCAAAAATTCCTATTTCAGATTCCAAAGTATGTGTTCCTTCTACACATTATATGGTTCTGGTATTCTTTCTCTGCAGTTGCTTCCATTATCAGTAGTCTTCAAGATCAATTCAGAAAGAGATTTAAAGAGTACTGCTTCTAGATGATTTTTCAATAAAAATGAATCCTCAAGGCACATGTCATTCCCTTCTGCTTCTTGGGAGCTGGTTACCATATTTTAATGAGGATTGTGCACTTACGTGTTCAAGTCTATTGACTGCTTGCTGAGAAAAATATTCTCCAGACATAAACAAGCTAAACCATGAGCTCTTTTCTCATTTCAGAATCTCTTGTGGCACCAAGTACAGTGCTTTACATTAGTAGGCATTCAACAAATGAATGTTCAATTGAATCCAATGTTATTCTTGGGAGTGTTTACAACATATGTAAATGGAACTATTACATGCCTTAAAGCCAATGACTTTGTGAATCTTGACTTCCAATTGATAAGCTATGCCAACTTGGAATAGTTATTTAAGCTCTCCGGATCAAATTCCTCAGCTATAAGATAATGATAATAATATTTCCCTTTCATGATTATTGTGGAAATTAAAGATAATTCATGCAAAGAATCTAAGCTACTGCTTATCACATAGAAGTCACTTAGTAAATAGCAGCTATTATTATCTTTGACTTGTCAACTTGTTATTATATTAAACACCTGTATGAGTTTGAAACCATAGAGATTTGCCAGTAGTTCTATTAGATGATTTACTCTAAACCTTTCCTTTATTCCAGAAGGCTGCCTGTGGATAGCTTTCGAAAGGTAATTTCTCCATTTAGTCAACTAAGGAAAAAATTTTTCTAAGAAATGTGAGAAAAACAAAATCCCCTGGGTTTAAAAAAAAAAAGTTATTTACAGCTGGGTGTGGTGGCTCATGCCTGTAATACCAGCACTTTTGAAAGGCCAAGGCCAGCGGATCATGAGGTCCAGAGATGGAGACCATCCTGGCTCACACGGTGAAACCCCGTCTCTACTGAAAATACAAAAAATTAGCCAGGCGTGGTGGCATGCACCTGTATTCCCAGCTACTCGGGAGGCTGAGGCAGGGGAATCGCTTGAACCAGGAGGCAGAGGTTGCAGTGACCCGAGATCGCGCCACTGCACTCCAGCCTGGGCAACAGAGCGAGACTCTGTCTCAAAAAAAAAAAAAAAAATGTACTTATAGTATACCCAGTGATATGCAAAGAGCACTTAAATGTGACCTCTTCCATTAAGAAACTAACATTCTAGTTAGAATGACAAGACCAAAACCCATTAGAAAAGAAAACCAGAGAGTGATTTACCACCAAAAACTTTTCTATTGATAACAGTATGACAGATTTCCAAAAAAAAAAAAAAAAAAAAAAAAGAGCCATCAGAGTGGGCTGGAGACATCAGGGAAGTCTTCAAGAACTTTGGCAGCCACAGGTAGAAGTTGTATGGCATGGAGAGGAAGAACCACATGAGGAATAAGTGAAGGGAAGAGTAAACATGTGGGTGGAAACCTTGGAAGAGCTTATGGTGAATACCAAATTAGAGGAGGAAATTGGGTGAATGAGATGGGACCATCTTATAGAAACATTTTGGCTACAAGGAGAAGAAACCTAACACTGGATTAGGTTCAAAGAGAGAGAGAGAGAGAAAGAGAAGAGAGAGAGAATACATTGGCTCTGTTAAGCAAAAAGTCCAGATCTTGCTTCAGGCAAGGCTAAATCCAAGACAGAAAAAGATGTTATCAGAGCTATCTCTTCTTCTCTCAGCTCAGTTGACCTGTGTGTTGGCCTCATTCTTTCCTAACTACAGACGCTTTCTTCCATGTTGCCAGGGAACATGGCTGGGGCAAGCCCAAATTATCAAGTTAGAAACTTAGAAATTTTGGTGAAAGGAGTATTTCTTTATTCCACTGGTTTTCTAAATATGGTTTGCAGACCCCTAGAGAGTCTCTAAAACCCTTTTAGGGATCCACAGGTCAACACTATTTTTATAATAATACAAAGACTTTTTTCCTTTTTCATTATATCGATATTTTTACTAATAGTGCAAAATCAATGTTAGCTAAAACTGCTAGTTCCTTAGCCAGAGGCACCAAAATTGTACTAGCAGTCATTTTATTCTTTACTGCTACACAGTTACAGTAAAAATTTTAAAAACCACTTTTATTTAAGAACATCCCTGAAGAAACAGTAAAAGTTATTAATTTTATCAAATCTAAACTCAAAGTACATGAATTTTTAATATTCTATGGAATTAAATGGGAAGTGCACTGTACTAGGTTTCTCCAGAGAAACCAAACCATAACGGGGTGTGTGTGTGTGTGTGTGTGTGTGTGTGTGTGTAGAGCGAGAGAGAGAGAGAGGGAGAAAGAGAGAGAGAAAGCAGAGAGAGACAGGCAAGTCCCACGATCTGCAGTCAGAAGCTGGAGACCCAGGAAAGCTCCTGGTTTAGTTTCAATCCCAAGGCCAGCAGGCTTGAGACCCAGGATAAGCCAATATTTTAGCTTGAGTTTAAAGGCAGGAAAAAAGCTTATGTCTCAATTTGAAGGCTGTCAGGTAAGAGAAATTCTCTCTTACCTGGAAAGGTCAGTCTTTTTGTTCTATTCAAGTCTTCAATTTATTGGATGAGGCTCAACCCCATTAGGGAAGACAATCTGCTTTATTCAGTCTACCTATTCAAATGTTAATTTTATCCAGAAACACCCTCACAGAAAAACCCAGAATAATATTTGACCAAATATTTGGGCACTCTGCGGCCTAATCAAGTTGACACATAAAATTAATCATCACGTGCACCTAAAGGACTTCTACTGCACACCACAGTACAATCATGTCATGAGGAAAAGCACTCAGCCAAATGTTTGAGTTGTGAGCCACATTTGCATGGAATACTATTTTAATTTGAAAGAATAACCAATACATAAACTATTGTTATTCAGAATTGAGTACGGTGCTTAACGTAAATGATAAATTTTTAGCTTTCTAATTGCTGATTTTGGAAAACGTGTATTAGTCTGTTCTTAGGCTGCTATAAAGAACTGCCTGAGACTGGGTAATTTATAAAGAAAAGAGGTTTAATTGACTCACAGTTCCGCATCACTGAGAAGGCCTCAGGAAACTTACAATTATGGCAAAAGGCACTTCTTCACAGGGTGACAGGAGAGAGAATGAGTGCAAGTGGGGGAAAATGCCAGGCACTTATAAAACCATCAGATCTTGTGAGATTCACTCATTATCATGAGGGCAGCATGGGGGAAACTGCCCCCATGCTCCAATTACCTCTACCTGTTCCCACACTTGACACGTGGGGAAAGGTGAGATTTGGATGGGGACACAGAGATGAACCATATCATTCCACCCCTGACCCTCCCAAATCTCATGTACTCACATTTCAAAACACAATCATGTCCTTCCAACAGTCCCCCAAAGTCTTAACTCACTCCAGCATTAACCCAAAAGTCCAAGTCCAAAGTCTTATCTGAGACAACACAAGTTGCTTCTGCCTATGAGCCTGCAAAATCACAAGCAAGTTAATTACTTCCTAGATGCAATGGGGGTACAGGCACTGAGTAAATACACCCATTCCAAATGGGAGAAATTGACCAGAACAAAGGGGCTACAGACCCCATGCAAGTCCAAAATCCAATAGGGTAGTCATTAAACCTTAAAGTTTCAAAATGATTTCCTTTAACTCCATGTCTCACGTCCAGGTCATGCTGATGCAAGAGGTAGGCTCCCATGGCCTTGGGCAGCTCCACCCTTGTGGCTTTGCAGGGTACAGCCCCTCTCCTGGCTGAATTCACAGACTGGCATTGAGTGTCTGAGGCTTTTCCAGGCATGCAGGGCAAGCTGTTGGTGGATTGATAATTCTGGGGTCTGGAGGGCAGTGGCCCTCTTCTCACAGCTCCACGAGGCAGTGCCCTAGTGGGGACTTTGGGGGAATCCAACCGCACATTTACTTTCCACACTGCCCTAGTGGAGGTTCTCCATGAAGTTTCCACCCATGAAGCAAACTTGTGCCTGAACATCCAAGCGTTTCCATACATTCTCCGAAATCTAGGCAGAGGTTCTCCAGCCTCAATTCTTGACTTCTGTGCACCCACAGGCCTAACACCACAGGTAAGCCACCAAGGCTTAAAGCTTGAACCCTCTGAAGCAATGGCCTGAGCTGTACCTTGGCCCCTTTAGCCACAGCTAGAGCTGAAGCAGCTGGGACACAGGGCACCATGTCCCAAGGCTGCATGGAGCAGGGGGTCCCTGGGCTCAGCCCACAAAACCATTTTTACCTCTTAGGTCTCGGTCTGTGATGGAAGGGGCTGCCATGAAGGTCTCTAACATGCCCTGGAGACATTTTCCCCATTGTCTTGGTGATTAACATTTC
The DNA here is from genome assembly GCF_000001405.40 of Homo sapiens. Lineage (NCBI taxonomy): Eukaryota > Metazoa > Chordata > Mammalia > Primates > Hominidae > Homo > Homo sapiens. Next base: position 33,948,034 of record NC_000013.11, on the reverse strand, counting down.
ACTCCTCATTACTTATGCGAATTTCTGCAGCAAACTTGAATTTCTCCCAAGAAAATGGGGTTTTCTTTTCTATCACATCGCCAGGCTGCACATTTTCCAAACATTTATGCTCTGCTTCCTCTTGAATGCTTTGCCACTTAGAAATTTCTTCTGCTAGATACCCTAAATCATCCTTCTCAAGTTCAAAGTTCCACAGATCTCTAGGACAGGGCCAAAATGCCACCAGTGTCTTTGCTAAAGCATAGCACGAGTCACCTATGCTCCAGTTCCCAAGAGGTTCCTCATCACCTTTTGAGACCACCTCAGCCTGGACTTCATTGTCCATATCACTATCAGCATTTTGACCAAAGCCATTCAACAAGTCTCTAGGAAGTTCCAAACTTTCTCACATCTTCCTGTCTTCTGAGTCCTCCAAGCTAGGAAGTTCTGAACTTTCCTACATTTTCCTGTCTTCTTCTGAGCCTTCTAAACTGTTCCAATTTCTGCCTGTTGCCCAGTTCCAGAGTCGCTTCAACATTTTTGAGTATCATTATAGCAGCACCCCACTCTCAGTACCAATTTACTGTATTAGTCCATTCTCACGCTGCTATAAAGAACTGCTAGAGACTGGGTAATTTATAAAGAAAAGGGGTTTAATTGACTTATAGTTTCGCATGGCTGAGGAGGCCTCAGGAAACTTACAATCATGAGAGAAGGCACCTCTTCACAGGGCAGCAGGAGAATAAGTGCAAGCAGGGGAAAATGCCAGATGCTTATAAAACCATCAGATCTCATGAGACTCACTCATTATCATGAGAACAGCATAGGGGAAATCACCCCCATGGTCCAATTACCTCCACCTGGTCCTACCCTTGACACATTGACATTTGGGGATTATTACAATTCAAAGTGAGATTTGGGTGGGGACACAGAGCCAAACCATATCAACATGTATGTTGCATTATAAGCTTGATGGTATCCCAATTTTCAGATGAGGTCACTGGTGATGTTACTAAATGTGGTTTAAGACATCATAAAATGAACACATGTCATCATTTAGCAGATATGCATATCTTGATGAACGTATACTTTCCAAATAATCAGTGCATTTCCAAATGAAATCATGAACATGTAAAAGATCTGTACAAACTGCCAACAGATTTTATTATAGCTGCGTACAAAAAGCTCACCGACATGGTTTCAGATTTCACATTGCAACTAACCTTTAGGAAACTGCCACTTGTCAAGTTTTAGTATAGTCTCAAAGAATAATATCCATAATATCTATAAAGACTATTAAAATGATTCTCCCTTTTCCAACTACACATCTGTGAGGCCAGATTTTCTTCATACACTTCATCCGTAGCAACATATTTTATGAACTGCATGTGCAGTAGATTTGTTTATTAGGGTAATTATTAAAGAGATTTACAAAAATATAAAACTATGCCATTTTTCTCACAAAATATTTTCATTTTAGAAAAGTTATATGCTTAAAAGTATTTTATTTACGTTAACATGTAAAGGGTTTACTATTTTGTATTTAAATGAAATAATAAATGTATTTATCATTTTTAATTTATAATATGGAAATGTACAGATAGAAGCCACATTAACAAAAGCTCTTGGGAGTCCTCAATAACTTTTAAGAGTAAAAAGAGTTTCTGAAAGAAAAAAGTCTGGAAACTACTGCTGTATACCAATGTATACAGCAATCCCAGTAATCCCAGGGCACATTCCAATTAGACTGCCTGAGTCATGTGTCTTGACAATGGTTGAGCTGGTTTGGATCACAGGAACATTTATTTGATAACGATGGAAGGAAAAAACAGTGCTGTAATAAGTCGCTTCTTAAAATGTGGGGTGTTATTAAAAGAATAATGGGAAAGTGCTACTGGGAAGGCAAACACAGCAATTGTACTCTACAGACAGGGATTCTCCTATTGGCCATTTTAGAAACATTCCCCAGGCAACATGAGATTATCCAAGTGGAGAGAACCAGAGTCAGAGCCATTTCCTAGGCCGACAGAGCAGCGCTCCAGATGAGATACTGAAGGTTTGAACTCAAGTGATGGCAGTAAGATCAGAAAGCAAAAGGCATATCACAAAGAAACCATAAGATTCTCCATCTGGATATATAGAAGATAAATGGAAAGAGGAAACAAAGATGACTCCAAGATGTCCCGCCTTAGAAAGGGATACAAATGTGGTGTTTGCAGGTAGTAGGAAGAAGGTGCTGTTTAAAATAGTAAGTCAAGAATATACCATCTCATTAGGAGTGTTTGCCCTTTCTAAATTCATATCAGGTTCATCTGAGCGTGAACTAGTTGAAACCACATGGTGATTATCAGGCAGCGTATATCCCTAAAGGCATGTAGTGTTATCATTTGCCAATCTCTCTGCTTCCAAGAGAACAGATGGGGTCTGTGGGTCTGTATTTTAATATCACTTGAGAAATTAAAAACATCATAATGCCTCACTGACTCAACTTTAGGGTGAAGAGAGATGTACAGAGCCTCGTTACCCAGACAGGCCATTTTCAGTTCATTGAAGTTTCCTGGAGCTGTGGGCTCAGGCCAAGAACTCCACTTTGTGCTCCCAGAAGTTAATCCTCTCCTGTCAAGTTTGTTACTATTGTGTTTTTTTCTATATATATTTATCTTCCTTAATTTGCAAACTGTATCTAAGAATCAGAATCCCTCGTAAGGATATTTTGAAGTCTCATGAGTTAACATGTATGAAGTGCTAAGTACTATATGAATATGGAAAATCATAAGGACATAACCTTAACCCTAGGGCTCTATTTTTGTATCTTTCTTGCCAATGGTTTTCCCAATCACACTACAGAATTAGAATATAATGGTTAAAATGGAAATAATAGTATGAAAGAATATGAGGCAAAGGCCATAGAGATGAGCTGGGATCAGAAAGCAGGATGTTAATCAACAAGGCAGAGAAATGGGAGGAGTCTGATCCACAGGGCAAGAGCTGACAAGGCTAACAGATTAGCCGGGATCTGAGGAGGAAATAGGTCTCAGAAACTCAAGATGAGAGGAATAACAACAAAAACAAAAATGTGTTATGCCTGGGAGCCCTTTGGCTCTATGACAATGATTTTGATCTTTCTGAGATGCTGAGTTAAGTCTTCTGGTTGTTTCCAAGGGGTTAATCTGAAGTTTCTTGTACCAATCATGGACTGTTGCTGTTGCATTTGCCCCCACTGTTTCCTTGAATATCCAGGGCAATATCTTCTCATCTCTTGGCAAAAAGAAAGGAATATGTGGAAATTTGAGTGTGTGCGTGTGGGTGGGGCAATACAATTCCATTCTCAAGTGCTAACTTTAGTCGCAAAACTGAAGATTCCTGCACCTTGAACTCAAACAAAATGATTTAAATGTATTTTTAAATGGCTGATTACTGGTATTTTTCAAGGGTCAGTCTGTGACTTCACAAAATTCTTGTGTTGAAAGATTTTCATCCCGTGTTTAAAACAAGCAGAATAGAGGATGGTGATCGCAAATGAACCACATAACCAACAGTTTCTAGGGCTTAAACATATGTGTGACTAAATGGGTTCCACATCCTTGCATTCTTTCCTTCACCTAAAAGTAGATGCTCTCAGAGCATTATCAACAGCACACTCATCGTCATCACTCATTGATCAAAGATTTAAATTTCACACATATAATGAGCAGCGTTGGAAGGAATTGTTACTTAAATGGCATAGCTGCTCACTTTGTTCAATATTACAAATGTAGGGATTTGCAAAGGATGTGTTTTGGATTGAAATAAATTTAGCACTTTTAATTGCACAAGAAAAAGGATGTCACTTGTCACAGAAAGTAGAAGGGTAGTTTATATAGAGAGTTCATAACAACCAAATGAATAGAGGACACAAATACACAAAATACATGATCTTGAATGTCTGCAAACAAATTCCTATCAATCCTTTCTCAGGCTGCAGTGTATGAGAATGGATAACCCTGAGAAAGTAAGCAACAAAGTGCTTATGCTCTAGGGCCAAGCAGCTTGGAGTCAAATCTTACCCTCTACCAATACTGACTAGAAGCAGGTCAATTAATTTTGGGGGGCTTTGTAAAAGACATACCCTAAATTGACAGCCAATGACTCATGCCCTTGTATGTTTACCTCCCCTTGAAAGCTTGCTTCTGCCCAATAGAACCTGCGAATTTGCTTCTAACCAATACAATATGGTAAAAGTCAAGGGATTATTCAGATATCATTAAAGTTCTAATCAGTTGACTTTAATCAAAATAAGAGAATCTCCTTCTGGCCTCAAAAAAGAAGCAAGCCCCCCATGAGTTCTACAGATTCAAGAGAATAAATTCTGCCAACAGCCATGTGAACTTGGAAGAGGACTACAAGCCTAAGATGGAATTTCAGCCCCATCCAACATCTTTTATTTTTGACTGATACGTATTAATTGTACATATTTATAGGGTGCATGTGATATTTGAACACATGCACACAATACATAATGATCAAATCGTGGTAATTAGGATATCCTTCACCTCAAATATTCATCATGTCTTTGTGCTGGAAACATTCCTAATCTTCACTTCTAGACAGCTTTGTGAAACCTTGCAAAAACCATGTAGGTAGGGCATGCTCAGACTCCTGACCATGTAAATGTGAGATAGAAAATATGTATGATGTTTTAAGTCAGTAAGTTTGTGGTAATCTATTAAGCAGCAACAGAAAACTAGTACAGGCTTCTATTTCCTGTAGGCTAGAAATAAAAATAGTACATACCTTATGCCGTGTTATGAAGTTAAAAGAAGTTAACATATGTAATATGCTTAAAATAGAGACCCTAGGTCTATTTCTGAGGCAAGATGCCTCAGAAACTTGCAGAATCTAAGGCAGGGCTTATCCCTGCCCATCAATGAAAAATGAATGCTAAAGTAAATTATGAAATGTCATTAATAAACATACTAGTTCACATGCTATTTTTTGTTAAAGGCCTTGACTAAAATTATGGAAACAACCACATATTGACCTTGACAATCAAAATTATGAAATTCTCCAATGATTATTGATGGGAGCCACTCTGAAGGTGTTTCCTATGCCTCACTCCATTCACCAAGGCAGAAACAGCTCTGCTTTATGGCACCTTAGCAGTCAAGGTTTCATGTCATTGGAACAGGCCAACTGCTAAAGGTGGGCACCAGACTTCTCAAGATTTTCTCCAGGGAATTTAGAACCATTGGCATTCCAATTCAATCTACTCACTACATAAATTGACTACAAGTATACAGCTAACGTGATAAAAAAAAAATAAGATGTTAATTACCCTATCATTCAAATAGCAGGAGGATCTATGAATTAGTACCATGTACCCCAAAACAACAATAATGGTGCTGATATTTATTCTGCTCCTGTATTGTTTATAAACTTATTATGGTATAAAACTACAAGAGTTTAATCAGACATCACAGGAAGTCTGTAAAAAAGGGTGAAACAATTAAGAAGAGTATGTGAAATATGGATGAGCCCACTGCCATTGATGTTGAAACTCTAAGTGCATAATGTACCTTAGCATTAAATTAAAAAGTATGGAATGTTCCTAACACAAAGAAATGATAAAGGCTTGAGGCAATGGATACCCCAATTACCCTGATTTGATTATTATACATTGTATGCCTGTATCAAAGCATCGCATGTACCCCGTAAATATAGACAACCATTATGTACTCGTAAGAATTAAAAATAAAAATTAATAAAATAAAATAATACCTTCAGTCTTCAGGCCATTAGTCATTATTGTTGCTAATATTAGTTACTAAAAAACAAAAATAAAAGGCAAAAAAATTACAATGCATACCAAGAAGCATTATTAAGAATATAAAATAGGATACAGAAACAAACCAACAAGTGATGCAGGCATTAGATTTATCAAACACACACTTTAAAACAGCTATAATTAATGTACAAAAAAAGATAAGAGAATTTTAGAGAAAAAGTAGACAATATTTTAAAAATCAAATAGAAATTTTATCTAAAATTGACAATTCAACAGATCATTAGATTGGGCTCCCCTGAACAAATGATATTACTGAACAGGAAGATAGAAAATATGCAAATTAAAGGATAAAAACATTTTAAAATGTATAAAACAACATAAGTTATGTATGGGAGATATTTAAAAATTCTAAAATACACATGATCAGTGTCCTCAATTGATAACACAAAGAATGAGGTGGAAGCAATATTGAAGAGATGTTTGCCTATAATCTTCAAAATCGGATGGAGGCTCTCAACCCATACATTCAAGAAGTTTCATAAACACTAAGAAGAAAAAAAAAACCTTAAATCTACACTTAGTCACATAATTGCAAACTGTTAAACACCAAAGATAGAAAAATCTTAAAGATAGCCAAAGAAAACAGGCAGCTTCGAAGAAAGAAAACAAGATTGGGCTGGTTTATTGACAGAAACAATGGCAGTTAAAAGACAATAAAAGTATATATTTATGGTGCCAAAAACAAAGTGCCAAACTAGAATAATATAGCAATTGAAAATAACCTTCAGAAACAAAGGTAAAATGAATATGCTGCAGACAAATACAAATTAAGAAAATTCACCACCATCAGACTTTCCTAAAATAATTACTAAAGGAAATTCCTTAGGCTAAAGGAGAATATTCCTAAACAGAAACACAAAATGCAAGAAGGAATAAAGGGTGGCAGTGTTGTAGAAAAAACCAGGTTCTTGTCATATGACCAGAAAGGATTAGGTGCGCAGACACATTGAAGGGTGATTAGAGAGGAATGTATTGGGCAAAAAGGAAAAAAAAAAAATCTCTCAGGAAAGTGAGACGGAGTCCTGCTAACAGGCCCGCCTCCTCACAGACTGATTCCCAGGTTACTACCCCTGCTGAAGAGAACAGCCTCCTCCCCTGCTTAAGGCAGGAATTCCCCATAGCTCCATCCACTTCCCTCAGTACGCATGTCCAGCTCCCATCCACTGTGGGCATGCCCTGACAAAACCCTGGGCAGGTTTCCTCATCTGCACAAAAGCATCTGATGTAAACACTTGTGGGTTGGGTCGGAGATTCTCTGGGGACCCATTTTTATCTGCCCAGGCATTTGGCTGTCTCAGCAGAAAGTTGTAAATATGTGGATAAATATAAATTAAAGTTGGCTATACAAAACAATAATAGTAACGTGCTACAGAGTTCATAACGTAATAAAAATATATGATGGCAATAATGTGAGAGGCAGAATGTAGATGAATGGGGTTAAACTATTGTAAGGTTTCTAAACTATTATAAGGTTTCTAAACTATTGTAAGGTTTCAGCATGATCAGAGAATTGATGAAAGTAATTTTATTAGACTACGGTAAGTCAGGGTAAGCATTAAATAACAATAAAATAAGATATGACAGACAAGGTAATAGAAATTGAAATAAAAACATAAAAATATTTGATGACTTCAACAGAAACATTATAGTAAGATAATGGCTATGACAACAGCATGATGAACATACTTGACACACTTGGTATATACAGACTACTATGCACATCAACTGGAGAATATGCATGCTTTTCACACGCACATGTAACATTTACCAAAATTAGCAACATGCTGGGCTATAAAGCAAATTTTTGAAGAACCAAAACTATCCAGAGAATATTCTCTGATGAAATCATCCCCATGTGTCTGGCAATGAGGCAACATAATCTTAAATTGTTCCATGGATCAAGAATAAGTTGCAATGAAAAAACAAATAATTTTTGAACCTGATAGTAAATATCAGATATAATAAAATTTGTGGAGGGCAGTTGAAGTCATACTTAGAAAAAAAATTATAACATTTGATTAACATATTAAAACAGAAGAAAGGTTCAAAATTAATGATGTAAGAATTCAATTTAGGAATTTAGATAAAAATTCAACAAATTAACTCTCCCCCATAATAAAAAGTAAGGCAGTAGGAAGAAAACAATAAATTAGGAATAAAAATTAATGGAATAAAATCCAGTTATTCAATACAGAAAATCAGTAACATGAAAGTTTTTTATCAAAGTATTAATAAAATGGATAAACTTTTACGAAGATGGATCAGAAAAAAATAGAGTGAACATAAATTGCTGATAACAGAAATATACAAAAGAAGCACCCTCTCAGATCTTACAAATATTAAAAAGACAAGAGAAAATTATGACAATTTGGTTCTCTGGGGTGTTTTCTCTGACACCAACAACCTATTCTCTGATTCTCTAGATACTAGCTGGGTGTCCAAAACTTCAATCCAATTCTGACACTATCTACCCAGAGTTAGTACAGACTCCATAAAGTAAGGAGCTCGACAGGACAAGACTGTTCCCGCTTCCGACACCAGTTTCAAGCCCTGAGCCACCTGTACTTCTGATGAATCAGCTGTAAAGCAAGTGTTTCCACCACCCCTCCTCGGGTTTAATACTTTGCTAGAGCTGCTCACAGAACTTACTTATTTACACTTTTAAACTTACATTTACTGGTTTATTATAAAGGATACAATGCAGGAAGAACCAAATGGAAGCAATGCACATGGCAAGATACAGAGCGAGGGAGTCACACAGAGAGAGCCTCCTTACCCTCTTGGGTGCACCACCTTCCGAGCACCTTGGTGTGTTCACCCACCTGGAAGCTCTCTGAGCCTCACTGTCAAGAGTTTTTACTGAGCCCAATCTCCAGCTCCCTCCCCTCCACTCTTCCCAGAGGGTGGTGGAAGGGCCTGAAAGTTCCAACTCTCATGTCAACTTGGTCTTTCTACCTTGAGTCATCTCATTAGCACAGACTCAGGTGGGATGGATAAATTGGACTATATTTAAATTAAAAATATTTGTTCATCAAAATATGTGATTAACCAAGTGAAAAAACAAGCCACAAAATATATATTCATATATTTTAAAACTACAAATTAATATTATAATGGTAAAATCCCTACAGAAAAATAGGCAAAACACCTTAGCATGCCCTTCATGTTGAGGATCTACAGAATCAATACATACATGAGAAGATGCTCAATTTTATTAATCATCATTATAATTAGCATATCAAAACCATTAATATGATACCACTACACACACACCAGAGTGGTTAAAAAGAAACTAACTGAAAAATCCCAATTGTTGGCAAAAACCTGAAAGATTGAAGAGCTTATTACACTGCCAGTTGGAGTGTAAATTTGTATAATCACTTTGGAAAACTGTTTTGTTGTAGCTACCAGAGTTGAACACATGCATCCCCAATGACCCAGCTTTCCACTCTTCAGAAGCACTCAACAGAAATGCATACATTTGTCCACCAAAGGATATGTACAAAAATGTTGATAGTAGCACTGATTGTAATAGCAAAAAAAAACTGAAATGTAGTGAATTGTGATATATTCATACAATGGCATACTATTTAGCAATGAGAATGAAGAAATCACAAATATATGACACAATGTTGAGAAAAACAGAAGCAAAATAGTACATACTGTATGATTCCACTTGTATAAGTTTCCAAAACAGACCAAATAAATGGATTTTTAACACCATAGTGTTAAAAATCAGAATGGTGGTTATCCCTGGGAAATGATGATATGCTTCTTAATCTGTTGCTTCTTCATGGTTTTTACTTTGTGAAAAATTATCCGGTTGATTATTATGATTTTTATACTTTTCTGAATGTGTGTCAAACTCCAATAAAAAGTTAAAAAATATATTTATGATTTTTAAAAACGGGATAGAGCATATTTCCTTGAGGAAGTGAAGAATATGCCAACATAGTTAATTTGCAAACTTGCAATTACTTTATATTTCATTGCTTTGAAGTCATTTTCATTTTCAACTCTTACTTTTTTTTTTTTTTTTTTTTTTTTGCAGTTGGACTTTATCTTGAGCTGTGGCTGTGAAAATGCCAGATCCTAGCTACTAGAATATTCCTTAGGACATTTGCAAACATCCTTGGACTTAGTGGGAGGGATTTGAGGGAGAGGAGAAATACATCTAAACTAAGTCAGGTAACAGAAACTGCAGTTCAGCCCATGGCGTGCTTCTCTTCCTGATTGATCTTCTGGATAAGCAAGCACAATGGGGCATTGTCTTGTGACCAAGGGCAGAAAGCTGCCACCCCTCTGACTGTACAGAGAGCTGAGACACTAGGAGAGCCAGATACTCCACAGGCACCCCACAAATGTTAATGGCTAGTGGTTTGGAAAACAATGATAAGGGCTACCTGCCCTGAGGAGCACATTAGAGGAAGAAATTTCATTGCTCTCAGGCAGCCACTTAGCATTTTTCAAGTAGCAAAGTTAATCTAAAATACAATTTCAGTTAGATTAATTTTAGATAAGGAGTCCGGCTACACCTTTTCAAAACTCATTTCTAAGTTATGTGATTATCTTCTGTGTATTTCTAATCTGTGTTTCTATGCGCATGCTACATGGTAATTGTGCACAGGAGCAAAAAAGTACAGGAAAAGCACAGACCAAGAGTCAAAAGACAGAGGCTTTAGTCTCAGACTTGCCACATGCTAGCTAGGTGACCTCAAGCAATTAATTCATTTGACCTTTCTAGGCCTCAGTAATTCATTGGTAATATAAGAGGTCTCAACTACACAATTTTTTAAAAAATTGTATATATAAGTCATGCATCTCTTAATGACAGAGATACATTCTGAGAAATGCAATATTAGGCTATTTCATCATTTTACAAACATTGTAGAGTGTACTTACATAAACCTAGATGGTATAGCTTACTACACACCTAACCTTTTGCTCCTAGGCTACAAGCCTGTACAGCATGTCACTGTACTGAATGTTATCGGCAATTGTAACAGAATGGTAAGTATTTGTATATCTAAACATATCTGAACATAGAAAAGGTAAGGTGAACATATGGTATTGTAATCTTATGGGGCGACTCTCACATATCTGATCCCTCGCGTATCTGAAACATTACATGGTACATGACTGTATTTAAGATGTACAACCTGATGATTTAGTATACATATACACCATGAAGTTATCATCACAATCAAGATAATTAACATAGTCATCACATAGTTTTGCTGCTGCTCTTGATTTTTTGTGGTGAGAACATTTAGGATCTATCTCTTAGGAAATTTTAAGTATACAGTACAGTAGTGTTTCCTATGTCAATTATACAATTTCTAGGGTTTCTTCTAGTACTAATATTTTCTGTTAACCAAACCTCCAATCCTCTAGCACCTGTATTCATTCTTTATGGGTGCCATAACTGTACCAGAAATTGAATGGCTCACAATAACTGAAGTTTACTGCCTCACAGTTCTGAAGGAAGTCCGAGATCAAGATGTCGGCAGGATTGCTTCCTTTTAAGGACTTTGAGGGGAAATCTGTTCCAGGGCTCTCTCCTGGCTTCTGGTAATTTGCTAGCAATCTTTTATATTCTTTGGGGCTTGCAGATGCATCACCCCAGTCTCTGCTTTTATCCTCACGTGCTGTTTTCCCTGTGTGTGCTTCCAACTCTATGGACAAATTTTCCCCTTTTTTCAGTCATATTGGATTAGGTCCTATCCTAATAGCCTCACCTTAACTAATTTCATCTTCAAGGACCTTATTTCCAGATAAAGTCACATTCACAGGTACTGGGGTTTGCAACTTTTATGTATTTTGGGGGGTACAAAATTCAACCCATAATAGCATCCATGGTTATAACTAAATAGTAATTTAGTCTAGGAAAATTACTCCATACAAATCCACCCCTAGGATCTCCTCTAAGTCCAATCTAGGGGTTAACGGTCTTGTCTCCCAAAGCCACTGTGCCCACCTGATAGTAACCCTCACCTGCCACCTGGGTTACCTGTTATTATGATCTGCCCAGTGATTACACTTCCCAGATTTCATAATAATGACCACCTGTGGCTTCCACACCTTGGGGGCAGTATGCATAAGACCAAGGCTTTCTGCTTCTTCCTGCCTCCTTCACCTGCAGTCACCCCAACCCGTCATCCCATACAAGTGCACACACTGCACCTGTCATACCATCGCTCTCATAAGGGGAAGATGAGACCAGCTCAGTGGACCCGGAGCCATACATAGCTCCCAGCATGTCATTCAGGGGACCTGCCCATGCTGTTCATGCAGCAGCTTGAGCTGTGAAACAACACTTTAGGCCCAGCACATTTTCCCCTACCAGGTCATTCTAACATAATTATGTAGATTCAGCCATAGATTTAAGTTTTGTCAAGTATTCTTAAGACATTGTTGATTGGTTGGTTTTTTTGTTTGTTCCTAACAGACCAGGTGAAATGCTAATGCTGTGTCCTCTTCCCACAAAGTCAATCAGAACATGCTCATGAGTGACAGGATGAGCAAAGGAACAAAAGTTTCAGAAACAAACCAAACAAGGTTTTATATTACCTCTTTTTTATTTAAAGGTGAATTATGGTGAAAATCTAAGTTCTCTCATCTTACAACCTTCCACAAATTAGGATCAATGGAAAGTGCTGCTACCAGCAATTATGTGAACCACTACAGACAGTAAGTTGATTATGAAAGAAAAAAAGCCTAATTTTTAATTAGAAAGAAAACTTCAATTGTGCCCAACACTTGTACTCACAAGTCAGACATGAAATGACTTCAGATCAGCAGCTATTTAATTTCATCCAATCTCTAGCAAGCAGCTTGGGATATTATTTGCAAGTACAACTTTTTTGCATTATGGAATGAGAGAGCTCTAATTTCTCAAAGAACAAACATGATATATTTTTGGCATCATTTCAATGTCAAAGAGACTTTTGGGAATAACTAGGAAGTTGATGGCATTTTTACATTTTCCAGTTACATTTCTAAAACCTCAGTTGTTTCCTCATAATCATTTCCAGAATCTCAATGGAAAGTTTATTTAAAACATTGTCCCTGCCCCCTTGACATTTGAAAAAAAAAATCTCAAGGCAGAAAATAATATATTATAACATTTCAAAGGAAAAATTGACATATTTTTGGACCTTGACATGATCCAGTTATCTGGTAACCAAATAAGACTTTCCAAACAAGGAAGTCAGCCAAAATATCCATAATGTAGAGTTTCAGGCAGTCTTCATGACAGGTTCAGCAGGGTGCATCACAATGTGAGCAGACCATCAGGAATGGGGGGATTCGGCCATCCAGGCTGATGGTTCCCATCATGAGAGCACTGGATATAGGACATGGGGCTTGGGCTGCAGTCAAAGGTTCCCAGGCTCAGAAGAGACGCTTATAGGAGAAAGGGAATACCTTGCATTTAGAAAGAAAAAAGTAGTAGGGAGATTACCAAAGACAGATGCTTGGCATAGGAAAACAAAACAAAACAAAAACCAGATAGACCCAATGACAGAAAATGAAACACAAAATCAGGGCTAGGCAAGAGGCAAGACTGGTGGCTGCCGAGTCCAGGTGGGGTCAGCATTGACCATAAAGACCAAGGTTATAGTAATAAGCAACTGGGAATCTGGGACACCAGCTATAGAAAGAAGAGACTCCCAGGCTGGGCTGTCAGAGGATCTGGTAGTAACTGATTCGGACATCCAGGGAAACAAGATAGGAACCCAAGCCAAGACACACAGTCATCTCAGAGCTTGGAAAGCCCTCTAAGCATTTCTCTTTTTAGTTCCAGTTGCAGTTGCTTCCTTCTCCCTCTTACTGTCTCATCATGTGCCCTTATCACCTTCCTTCTATCAATTATTGTTTTTTGTTTTTGTTTTCATTTTTGAGACAGGGTCTCACTTTGTCACCCAGGCTGGAGTGCAGTGGCACAATCTCATCTCACTGCAGACTCAACCTCCAAGAATCAAGCCATCCTCCCACCTCAGACTCCCAAGTAGCTGGAACTGTAAGTGCTCACCATTGCACCCAGATTTTTTTTTTTTCTTTTAGTAGAGATGAAGTCTTGCTATGTTGCCCAGGCTGACATACTCCTGAGCTCAAGCTCAAACTCCTGAGCTCACGCCATCCTCCTACATGCTCTTTTCTTTGTCCTTTGGCTCTATTATTAAACATTTAATTTCTCTTTCCTTTCTTTCATTTCCCTTTTTTTCCCCACCACCTTCTCCTCTCTCCTCTAGTTTCCCTGCAGTCTCTGTCTGCCAGTCTCGCCCTCCCCCATACCATTCATCTCCCTCCCCCAATCCTGCAGTCTCCTGTTACTCTCACATTAAATTACATATTTCTCTTAATTTAACGTAGTTAGCCAATGAAACTTTAAAACCCCAAATTTTAACTTTAAAAGAATATCTTTAGTTGTTTATATTTCTCTCTCTTAATAAAAATATAAATGCAAACAAATTATTTTCCTTTTACATGACTTGGGATTTTTTTTTTCCAAGCCGGTCAGTGATCCTTAATAGGAGAGGGGAAAAAAAGTTTCTCCCTTCTTATTTTCAATTTCACAGGTCATCATTTGAAAATGCATCACTAACAATGAAATACTTTGTACATTATTAAATTTTATCATCTCGATTTATTATCTTTGTTACACGGAGACAGAGAAGATGAGAATCTAACCTACTATTATAAATGGTAACAATTATATTCACCTAAGCTAGGGTTTCTTAAAACATCACAGTTAAAGGAAATGAGCATCTAACCCAATCATAGCAGTGGCTATAGAACCCATGATAACAAAAAACAATCACTAAGCCAATAATAAGTTCTTGGGATAAATTGTTTCCACAGCACTGACCAGCAGTTCATTTTAACACAATAGGAGCTCATTCCCAAACAATGTAGGACAGGTAAAATGTGGTTATTGCACATTCTTTGTTCACCCAGATCTCTATGTGTTTTCTGACCTCTAATACTAAAATTGCAACTGAGGTCCATATTCTGCATCATCAGCTCGGCATTAGCAAGCAGGAAAAGAAAAAAGAAAGACGACCACAGATCTGAAGAATGTATTGTTTGCCATAAGCATTTGCATCAATGAGGCTGAGCAGCTGTCTCAAAGCTCTTATGATATCACCATCTGTAACTCAAAGGGAAAAACCAGTATCTCAGATTTTTCAAAGGGTAAAGGGGGTATAATTGTATTTATTAGGTGTTCAAAAGCTTTGACAAGAGTGGCCTGTCAGATGTTATCAGCATGTGCCAGTTGGCATGCAGATTATGGACATATTGTCCATTTAGGCTGTCAGCCTACAAGTCTCAACCAATGTTTGCAAACATGTACAGCAAAAGCCAGTCGTTGTTGTCACAATGTCAGGAATATTGCTCAGAGACTGATGTCCTCACTGTTTAAAACTTATATGGCAATATACTTTGCAAGAGAAACAGACATTTCAAGAAAAAATACATAGACTAGCATTGGATGTGGTTTATGCATGTGGACCATGCATTATTTTACATGACTATCTTGATAACATAAAAATTTTCCTACTGTTTTTGCTTTAGAGTAATTCTTTCTCTGTACTTTCCCTTCTCTGTTTGATAACCTCAAGCCTCATTCCTTCCTTGTGGGCCCAGTTCTACAGTTTCATGGAATTTCTCATATTGCTGATAAAAAGCATTCCAAAAAATTCAGCAGACTAACACATTTTAGTACTTGCATGTTATTTTATAATACAGAGATATGAAAGAAGATCCCAATAAATAAAGGCATACAAAAATGGTTTGGGAGGGAAAACTGTTTTATAAAAGATATCAATTCTTCCCAAAATATACTGCAAGACAATTCCAATGAAAGTCACAAAGAGTTTTCTTCCCCTTTTTGAATTTCTGAAAAAATTATTCCAAGGTATATTAAGAAGAATAAATAGACAAAAATTACTAACTTTTTTAATGGCATTAAGGAATAATTTCTCTACAGCAGATTAAAATGTGTTCTTTAGCTACGACAATTAAAACTAATGTGATGCTTGAGCTAGAATAGACAGATGAACAATGGAACAGACTATTGAGATGGTAAATTTCATGCTGGCAGAGTCCACATGTGTTTTATTCATGACTGTTTCATTCATACTGATATCTCTGCAGTGCTTGGAACATAGTAAGCATTTGTAGAATTAATGAACTAGCACAACAAAGGCAATATAAATAGTCTCAGAATACAAACACACACACACAACATACGAGAAAGATTCCACCATCAGTGAATGAAAAACAAATGTATATTCAAAAAGTATGGAGAAAATTGTCACTTAGGAAAATAATATGCTGTTTTAATCATCACCTCACAGAATACATGAACAGAATTTGACTTTATAATGAAGGTGTTAAAAAGAATTCATTAAAAAAAGCAAACGTAGGTGACTATAAATTTGATCTTTAGATTGCAGGTAGGAGACTCTTAGAGGAAAGGGAGGAGGACTTTCCATGTTTAAAAGTAACATCAGATATCACAAAGGAAAATGTATTTCCACTACCAGACTTCAGGGCCTCTGTATGGTCATGTACCTTATACACAACTTCTAAGGCAGTCATTCACAAGGAAATGGCACCCCCTGGAGGTAACATTATATCTTTGTTGGACCCCCACACTGTGACAGTAATTTTGGTCTCCTGTTCGCAAGATTTTAGAATTTACACATCTCATGATATGAGTCTACACCATGGAAAAAGGTAATATCTTGTCTCACACTCAGCCCCCAGATGGCTTAGATCAGTGGTCTCAAGGTGTTGTCCCCAGACCAAAAGCATCAGCATCACGGTATCCACACCAGACCTATACAGAAACAAAAACTCCAGGGTGGGGACCCGCTCCTGTGTTTAACAGCCCCTCTAGGCAATGCTGTTGTGTGCTAAAGTCTGAGAACCACTGGTTTAGATGAAACGAACTACCATCCACATTACAACTAAATCCATGACTTCTTGGTTCAACTGTACTTTCATTGCCATCGTGAGCAGCATGTAACATCAGCTCTTGAAAATTCTATTTTGATCTGGATATTCTCACTATGTTGCTTTCTGGGAAATTTTCTACAATTCAATATGTCCAAGATCCAGGATCCATAAATCAAAGGTGAGAACATTAATAGCATCTAAGTCCTACATATCATGTAAAGACACATTGAAACACTTCAACTCTAAATTTGCCCCAATCATAAGCTGTCACTAAAAAAAACTCTAAGAAAAAGGGAGAGAATGTAATATATCACCTAGATGCCTTAGAAATATATTAAGAAATGATAGATTATACCAAATGATGGTGACCATTTTCCAAAAGAACTAAAGGAAGAGAGAAAGGCAGGGATCATACTGATTATAACAAGCTTGAGGTTTATCTATCCCTAAATTTTGCCCCAAGCTGTTCATTTTATCACCATTAGTACGTTACATCGATACATATAATTAGTAAGAAAACTTCCAGATCATCAACAGGAAAGTGTTTGAAGGTCAGGAGTTGACAATTCACAGAAGAGGAGATTAAAAGAGCTATGTGATGGTTAATACTGAGTGTCAACTTGATTGGATTGAAGGATGCAAAGTATTATTCCTGGGTGTGTCCGCGAGGGTGTTGCCAAAGGAGATTAACATTTGAGTCAGTGGACTCAGAGAGACAGACCCATCCTCAATCTGGGTGGGCACCATCTAATCAGCTGCCAGCCTGGCTAGTATAAAGCAGGCAGAAGAAGTTGGAGAGAGCAGAATTGCTGAGTCTTCCAGCCTCCATCTTTCTCCTGTGCTAGATGCTCCTTGCCCTCAAATATCAGACTTTAGGTTCTTCAGCATTTGGACTCTTGGAGTCACACCAGTGGTTTCTGAGGGGCTTTCAGGCCTTTGGCCACAGACTGAAGGCTGCACTGTCAGCTTCCCTACTTTTGAGGTTTTGGGACTTCAACTGGCTTCCTTGCTCCTCAACTTGCAGACGGCCTATTGCGGGACTTCACCTTGTGATCATGTGAGTCAATACTCCTTAATAAGCTCCCCTTCATATATACATCTATCTTATTAGTTCTGTTCCTCTAGAGAACCCTAATACAAGCTGATAGATGAATTAGCTAATAGATGAAAGAATTAAGTCTCTTTAGTAATAAAAGAAAAATAAAGCTATACAATTCAGTATTTATTAAATAGTCAGAGATTAGGAAAAACAGTAACACTCAATGCTAAAAATATAAGTATCAAATTATCACAAATATTCAAAAGGAAAGTTGGCAAGCTACATTAAGAACTTTAAAATGCTTAATCTTTCTGACTCGAGAATTTATTCCGGGTCTCTGTTCTAAAGAGATGAACAGAAATACACACAAAGATTCATAAAAATGTTTACCTTAACTTTATTTCTAATAGCATAAATTGGAAATAATCCAATTGTCAAATTATAATAATATAGGGGAAAGTTCAGAAAATTACTTATGAAAATGCAGAATATTGAATTGAAAATATATTATGAGTTCAACTGTATAAAATATAATAAACATGCATCTACCAAAATGTTAGCACTGTTCATTTATAGAGAAAATTATAGGTAAGTTTAAAATTTTTCCATATTTCAAAATATTTTGTAATGAATTAAAATGACATGACATTTACCAGAAAAAGAAATTCCTAAGGACATTACATGAATATCACATTTGAAATATTTGGGAGCTATATGAAGTTGTATGATCTTTCTTAATATCTATAAATCTCAATAACCTTTAGTAAGCTTTATCAACACAATTATTCCATTAAATTTAGTGTTAATTAAATCTCTATAAAGAAAGTATAGTTTTTCCATTGACTTGCAATATGAAGTCAGCGATGTATTTAGATGGCAAAACTCTTCTATTACCTACAATTAAATTTTTTTAAAGCCCACAAGTGTACTGGCTGTGGTTGGAAAAGAAGATACATCAACTACTCTGGCAATATTCTGTGAGCCATGATAGCAATGTCTTCTTCTCTTGCCACCTCATCAACTCTCTAGGATAATTTCCTCATGACTGGGAATGTCTGTCAGACTTCCTTTACCTTTCGTGGTAAATTTACAGTATCAAAAAGGTAAAAGGTAGTAACATATTTTACGAACAACTAGGTAGCCCTCCTTTAAATCCTTTTAATCTATGGTTTCAAATAAAATCTGGAAAAAAAAGAAAAAAATTATTTGTCCATTTTAGAATGGGCAAAGGCCAAATAGATTTTGAAACTTTTTGGCATAATACTGTAGAAAAAAATTGTTTTAAATGGAATCCCAGATCAGGGCCAAAGGTGGGCATATTCTTCTACAAAGAATCCCAATTCTATTTTCTAGGGCAACTAACCCATTTCAGATAGTTTTCACTTCCCCCCCCAGACATTGGTTCTCTTCATTCAAACGCAGTATTTGCTGTAACAGACATATACCTGCCTAGTTCACTGAATGGCGTGCAACTGATCAACACTGTACAGGTTTAAACACAGGCAAGCTGCTATTGGACTTGTATTAAGTATGTGGATAAGATGTAAAGCAAACACCAGAGAAAGTATATTCAGTAATCTAGCACACATCCACCTATGCAGCCTCTTCTAAAGTTAGAGTTGGGAAGAGGCAAGGTGAGCTGATCAATGTAATAAGGCACGGTGAACACCTTTAATTTAACAAGCAGCATATTTAACTCACCTCAACATGCCCAATTTGTGTATACCCGTGAATATCAAGCTCAGAGCATGGTATTTCCTCCGAGTGAACTCTCTCTAAGCCTCTGACTTCTGGTTTATGAGAGGTGAGCAATCCTGCCATCACTATACAACTTGATTGGAAAATTTAGGACTCACATTTGTAGCAGGTATCAACCTTTACAACCATGGATATAACTGCGTAAATACATAAGTGTATGTCCCTATTTTTGCGTAGTACTTGCATCTCAAGTTGTCATTTCTGCTACTGAGTCACTTTCATGATTGACTCAGTCTTTCTTGGATACCTACTCAATCTTGTCTCCTCACCCCTTTCCTGAGAGAAGTGGTTGGGAATACTAGGTAAGCCCACGATCCTGACACTGCCTGCATTCAAATACCAGCAGTCACTTCACTGCGGTGGAAATTTGAACAAATTATTTTACTTCTCTTTCTTCAGATTCACCCTCTGTCAAATGGAGATGATAATAATTGTCACCCACCTTACAGGGCTGTTTGGAAGACTAAATGAGTTATTAGATGTTAACAGTGCCTTGCCCATGGTAGATGTTATGAGAATGTTAGCTGCTATTCTTACTGCTGAATTAAGTCCCTAGAGCTTCTATTCTACTGTCATATTGGTCTTTCTCATCTGAAACTCCTCCTTGGTATTATAGGGCCACCCACTGCTGATGTAAATCAACCTATTTCTCACTCAGTGGCCTTTGTTCCAGGCAGGACCACAGAAGTCACCCACACACCAGGCCTCTCCAGTTCCATAGCTCACCCTCAGCCCCTTCTGAATTTACAAGAGTTGCAGCTGTGAAAGTTGTCAGAATCAAAATAGAGTCACTCGTGTCAAACTCTGGCAAAATGGAGCCAGGGCCATGATGGGAGGGCTCTCACACAGGGCTGGCCCAATAACAAAAACTGCTACAAGAAACTTTTCCAAGCCTTAATTGCTACATGAGTCACACATGGACAACAGCACAAGGAGAGTTGGCCTCTTAAACAAAAACACTCACCAGATCCACTGTTGTGCAAGCCCCTTCCAAGAAAACAGCCTGCTGTGACTTTAAGATGACAAGTTTTACCTAGCAATGCCACCACTCACCAATCAGAGCTCACCAGCTCCTGGAAGACATCACCAGAACCAATGAATTTTCTTTCAAAACAACTTGCATAACCCCCTCTTTCCCCCAATAAAACCCTAACTTTCCCTTTGGTCTTAGGACTTATGAGAGGCCATCCAGGTCTGGGCATGTGCCCCAAATTGCAAATCTTTTTTTTTTTTTTAACTGCTTTAAAAAGCCTTTATTATTTTTCATTACCAAGCAATGTGAACATCAGGTGCCCTCTTATTTTATTCCTGAGACTTACGCCACTCCCGATCTTTTTCTCAATTTTGATCTTTGCCAGGGAAGGTCAAGGATTGGGTGAGATTTCAAGAATGAGGTCAGGGAGGAATATATAATATATTGATATGATATATAATCTATTATCAAAATATTTAAAACTTTCCTATACTTCACTTTCACTGAAGCTTAATTTTCATGTTTTCACTTTTTTCTGGTGTATCTCATTTTATCAGCTCAAATGCAAAATTCTCAAAATCAAATATAATCATTTCCTCTCAGAATGAGCCATTATTTCCTAATTAATACAGAGCTTTGAAATGAATATAATCAAAGCATAGGCCTATACCATATCAATGTACAATGACCAAAGCCTGGTTGGCCTTTTAAAATGTTGACAAAAGTGTATCCCACAGTTGCAGATCTCATTTGACCTTATTCAAGTAATTTCCCCAAAAGTAACTTTATTTCTTTCATATGGTGACTATAGAGTACCACAAAATTAAGAATGAGGGTACAAGTTTTAACCCATATAAACCATTAACATGAAAACTACAGTAAAACTTACTGAATTTGAACTAAAGTAAAACTTACAGTAAAAATTCCCTGAATTTGTTTACTGTGAAAGAATGAAATAAAATCTGCTGGGAATGGGCTAATACATAAACAAATACATGTAGCTAGATAAGAATATTTATAATTACTTTTTAAACTATTGGGGAATATTCAAATTTAATGTGGATTTCCAATTACAACCGACATTTGTTATGACGAATGTGTGCTAGGGTATTTTTTTTTAATTTATTTATTTATTATTATTATACTTTAAGTTTTAGGGTACATGTGCACAATGTGCAGGTTAGTTACATATGTATACATGTGCCATGCTGGTGCGCTGCACCCACTAACTCGTCATGTAGCATTAGGTATATCTCCCAGTGCTATCCCTCCCCCCTCCCCCCACCCCACAACAGTCCCCAGAGTGTGATGTTCCCCTTCCTGTGTCCATGTGTTCTCATTGTTCAATTCCCACCTATGAGTGAGAATATGCGGTGTCTGGTTTTTTGTTCCTGTGATAGTTTACTGAGAATGATGATTTCCAATTTCATCCATGTCCCAACAAAGGACATGAACTCATCATTTTTTATGGCTGCATAGTATTCCATGGTGTATATGTGCCACATTTTCCTAATCCAGTCTATCATTGTTGGACATCCCAAATTGCAATTCTATCATTTGTGTATTCCCAAATAAAACCTTTGGCTTAGAGATTAGTCTTTACATTCTTATTTGATATTGATACAACAATGTCAGACACTCTGCAGTCTCATGTCACTTCAGGATTTCAGGAGATATGTGGTGGTGGTTGGTCGGGGGGTTCATTCCATAGTCTCTTTCTTGGCCTAAAATGCCACATCATCATTTTCTATTTCCACCCTACTGACATACATAAATATATATGTATATGTGTGTGTGTGTGTGTGTATATATACATACACACTAACTTAATTGTGGTAATCATTTCACTATATACATATACATATATATGTATGTATATAGTACACTATATATGTATGTATATAGTACACTATATATGTATGTATATAGTACACTATGTATGTATGTATATAGTACACTATGTATGTATGTATATAGTACACTATGTATGTATGTATATAGTACACTATGTATGTATGTATATAGTACACTATGTATGTATGTATATAGTACACTATGTATGTATGTATATAGTACACTATGTATGTATATAGTACACTATGTATGTATATAGTACACTATATGTATGTATATAGTACACTATATATGTATGTATATAGTACACTATATGTGTATGTATATAGTACACTATATGTGTATGTATATAGTACACTATATGTGTATGTATATAGTACACTATATGTGTATGTATATAGTACACTATATGTGTATGTATATAGTACACTATATGTGTATGTATATAGTACACTATATGTGTATGTATATAGTACACTATATGTGTATGTATATAGTACACTATATATGCATGTATATATGTACACTATATATGCGTGTATATAGTACACTATATATGCGTGTATATAGTACACTATATATGTGTATATATATATGTACACTATATATATGTATATATATAGTGAAATGATTACCACAATTAAGTTAGTTAACACATTTATCACCTCACCCATGATTAAGTTAGTTAACACATCTATCATCTCACCTAGTTATTTTTTTGTCTTTTGTCTTTTGGTGGGAACATTTAAGATCTAATTTCTTAGCAAATTTTAAGTATACAATACAGTATTGTTAACTATAGTCACCATTCTATATATTAGATCTACAAAACTTATAAATAAAAGTTTGTACTCTCTGAACAACATCTCCCCATTTTCCCCTCAATCACCAGGCCCTGATATATATATATATATACACACACACACACACACACACATACACACAATGATGGTATACATATATATATAATATATATATATACACACACATTGATATATAATATCAATAAATGATGGTGTGTATATATATTTACATATATATATATAATCATTTCTTTATCTGTTCATCTTGCTGATGAAGCAAACTTTTTATATATAGGGCCAAACAGTAAATGTTTCAGGCCTTGCAAGCTATACCATACCTATTACAACTACTCTACTTTGTCATTATAGCAGGAAAACAGCTATAATAGCGGTAAGTAAATGGGCATGGCTGTTTTCCAGTAAAGCTCAATTTACAAACACAGTCAGCAGGTAGGATTTGACCTGCCAGGCATAGTTTGCCAACCCTGATCAAGAACAGAAACTCATTGAGAAGGAAGATTATACCTGAATCTTCTTACACAGATAATTTGCCACCTTCCATTCATAGAAAACCGGTGATGTTTGTATAAAAATAAATAAGTGAAAAAAAGAATAAGTGAACTAATATGCTTCCACCTAATACATCTACACTTGTCTTTTAAAGTCAATTATCTGGTTTTCAGAGGACTTGATTGCATCTTTTAGAGTTTAGGTCTGTAAGCACACTTCCTCCTAGGTTTTCTACAAGTTATATTTAGTCTCTTTTTAATTTGATTTTCAAAACCTTGTCAGGGCTGAACCAGAAGTCTAAGAAAGCGCTGAGCCCTGGTGCCAGCCCTGACAAAGAAAGCTTTTGGATCTTGGGAAATCAGCTTCCATCAAGCCTTCAGAGATAACTCCAGCTCTAACCCGAAGGAAAACCAAGGAGTCCCACAAGTGACTTTCTCTACTTTTCCTAATGTGTACCACAGACACATGGAACTAAACTTTCTCTGGCAGCCTGGGACACCTTGGGGCTTAGAAAGCTCTCCTTGGTGTAGAATGGGCCAGGAAAGATTAAAGCACCTTCAGATTTTAAAAGGATGTGAATACCAACTAGGAGTGATAGAGCCAGCTATCCACAGACCCTGGTTCCTGGCCTCTCGTCATTGCATCAGCCTGCCTCACCTCCTCCTGTGGTTGTCTTTCCCATTTACAACCCCATCTATAATTTGAGTTGTTATTCAAGCCCTATGTTCAAAATCCCCAGAATCACAGGGCATCAGCCCTAGTCAATATCACCTCTTCATTCAATCCTGCAAGTGACCATGTGGCCTGAAGACCCCTGGGAACCAGGCCATCCCACTTGTTCTGAATCCACTAGTTTTCGTGTTAATATCCTCACCCCCAACTATGCACCAGCCACACTACAGCCAGGAGCAAGGATGACATTCAAACTGCCAGTCATGGTCTCCAGCCTTTTGTGGCTATTCCTGGCATTTTTTGGGCCCAGCTGCAGATGGATGACCCCCTCCCTGTGTCAATAAACCTAAGTAAAGGAAAGGCTTCAGGGTGTCTGTCTAGGAGCCTTTCTCCTAGCAAGATCGGCTGTCTCTTTGGTCTCTCTCATCTCCTCTCCTCATAGCTAAAAGAACAAAATCAGATTACAGTGCAATAGCTCTATCTCTATGTCACAAAGAATACACATCAAGGGTTATTATTATTTAGTTCTTTAAAAACTGTCATTTTCCAGTCAGAGCGGGGGCTTTTTTGATTCCCTACTTAAGACGAAAGCAACCTCTTTCTCTACTTTTCCTAATGTGTTCTTAAACTTTAATAAATGGTCCCTTTTATCAATTCCCTGGGAGTCTACACTCAATAAAATTCCAGCAGTGATTTATTGAACACTTACTGTATGCCAGCTGCAATACTAATGGCTTTACATATATCATAAGTTAATTCCTGCAACCCTACGAGACACCTACTATTACCTCTATTTTACAAATGAAGAGACTGTGGGCCAGAGAGTTAAGGCATTTGGTTTCATATTCCACAGCCTATAACTGGCTGAATTGGGTTTGAACTCTGGCTCTATAGAGCCCTCGTGCCTAATCCCATGGCCTCTCTACTTAACTCTGCCCTTTCCAATGAGTTTCTGGTAATATATTCAAGATTATTTGACTAGCTACTTTTTCATAACAGCACAAACTAAAAAACATATTTTTCCCAAAGGTTTTATGGCAAGACTTTTTTTATTTATTTGAATAAGTACCACCAGTCATCATTAACTGTTGTTTGCCCAAAAAAAGACCATTTTAACATTTATTAATAATATCAACAAGTAAATTATCTAAAGTTGTAACATACTTAAATAGTTAACATTCTTGATGATAATTATCACAATATGATGATATATGACAACCTGTGGTTATTAAGTAAACATGATGATTAGCTTGGGTCCTTAAATTGAATATTTCCTGAGCATAGTTTAGAATTCATAGACACAAAAAAATTCAAATATTTTCTTTCTAGGATGATGGGAAAGTCCTAAAATTAGATTGTGGTGTTGATCACACAACTCTAAATATACTAAAATTCATTGAATTATACACTCAAAATGGATGTGATGGTATGTAAATTATGTTCCAATAAAGCTGCTTTAAAAAATAAAAAAGAAAGGAAAATACAGCAGTAAAAAAAAAAAAAAAAAGCAATGAAGCTGAGGCTTCTAAAGATTACTCTCTTTCCTAATTCTCGCTTGTGGATGATGCCAGGCACCACTTTAAACAGGTAATAAGTGTCATTTTCACTCCATCTTCCAGCAGCCCTCTGGGCAGGTGTTCCTATCCCTGCCTGACAGATGGGAAGAAGAACATGCTGAAGTTTACCTAGACCTGAGAGAAGGAATCAGGAGGCAAAACCAGATTTCTCTGACTGGACTCCAAACACCATGCTGTCTCCTATAATTCCCTTAATTCTATATGTCCCTACTACACCTTATTTAAAATTAGATAATTAGTTCAAATCCTTGTCTACTTGGCATTTGAATGAGCAACCCCTAGAGAAACCAAAATGTGTTTGAAGTCTGGAGGAAGAGATAAGCAAATCAAAAATCTCAAAGAAACCCCAGAGGGTGTCTTTGTTCCCTCCCAGGGCTCCATTCCAGGGTGCACTGGGAGGGTGCTGTGTTGCTGCAAAGTCATCGTGAAAGGCTGCACCATCAGGGACCCTCAGTGGTGTCACCTCAGCCTAAGAAACACAGATCCCAAGCTGCTGATGCTGCAGTTTATGTAACAAATGCAATCTCCTCCTTAAAAACAGCAAATTCATGTCATCAGTGTATGTTTCATGCAGGGGTTGAGACCCTTCCCTAGGAACGTGTAGGCACAAGAACTCAAGAAACTGTCTTTTGACCTCTGTGTCCATTTACATTTGTTTTTCCCTCGGTTTGGAACACTCTCCCTAACCCTCTAAGTTGTGTGTCTTCAGTTCTCTCCTTCAAAGCCGTTGCCTTCAGGAAGACTTACTTGACTCTTGGGCAGTCCCAAGCTCCACTTACGGAGCCACTAAGTGCTACAGAGCTGGAAGTTCACTGCTGACAGCACTTAGCCGCTGCCATAGTAGATGTGAGCCTCATTGCCTAATGAGGAAGGAAACATGTCTGCCACATTCACTCCTGAATTCCCAACAGTTAGTCTAGCACAGGGAAAATAGTAGAAGCTCATTAAATAATCACTGAATGAGTGAAGAGCCTAACTTACTTGATACTCAAGATTTCAAATTTTAGTTTTGTTTGGTTTCAGAGAATGCAGTCATCTCTAAATTGTTTAATCTATGGGGGATGAATATATGCAAACAATTATAATGCCACGTGGTAAGTGCTATAACTGAGGCATATACGAGGTACGTTGGAAACATAAATTTGCCTCTATATTCACTTTAATTAAAATAAATAAGACTCATAATATGAACCAACTATGTAGTAGGGAAGATTTAGTAAGATAAAGACTCATTTAGTAAGATAAAGACATGCTACCAATACTTCATGATCCCAAGAAGAAAGATTCTGTACCGGTGTAATGAGCTGAGAAAGTAGCTCTATTACTGCATTAAAAATGTTTGGTTGGCTGGGTGCAGTGGCTCACACCTGTAATCCCAGCACTTTGGGAGGCCAGGGTAGAGGGATCACTTTGAGGCCAAGAGTTTGACATCAGCCTGGGCAACATAGCAACATCCCCCTCAATCTCTACAAAAAAATTTAAGAATTAGCTGGGTGTGGTGGCATGCACCTGTGGTCCCAGCTACTTAGGAGGCTAAGGCAGGAGGATCACTTGAGCCTAGGAGGTCCAGGCTGCAGTGAACCATGGTCCTGCCACTGCACTCCAGCCTGAGAGACAGAGTGAGGACCTTGTTGCAAAAAAAAAAAAAAAAAAAAAAAAAGTGTGGTTGTACAAATTCTAAAACTCACACATGCAAGGGTGAACTATTGACTATTGCTCCTAAAGAGCTCTCTCCCCACCCCAACTCAATCATCCAATCAACAGGATATTTGTTTTGGAAGAATAAATTTCTTGAGAGGGTATTTGGTTGGAAGTTACTGTGATGGAACTTTTTTAATCCTTGTGAAGATTCTCTTTCCAGGTCAGGCTTGTCCCGGAACATTGCTTTTTTCCCATAACATGGGGATGCTGTAAGGATGCTAAAAATTTATTGAGGTTCTGCTAGCCAAACATTCTCTCCCTTCAATCCAAACACATAATTCCAGAAACCCAGGAGTGAGTCCCTGTGAGAGGGTGCAGAAGGGAAGGTTGATTAGGGAGACTTAGGCAGGAACAAGAGTAAAATTTCTAGGGCATCTTTTATATGCCTGCCACCATATGAGCAGTATGACATGTATAGTTACGCTTCATCTTTAAACAACCCAATGAGGTTATGACTCTCATTTTACATGTGAAGACTACAACCCAGGTTAAGTATGCACAATTAATAAATGATGCATCTAGTATTTTATCTACGACCATTTAGACTCAGAGGCTTTCTTCCTCAGCCTATATCCTCCATGTATATCTCTTTTCCCCCTGAAATCTGCCAACAGGATTAACAAGAAGCAGACATGACTCTTCAATATAATTTTGACATTTTTCAGAAAAGTTACAGCAAAATGACATTTGAAAAGCATACACACAGACATTAAATAATACCAAAAGTTTAAAGCAAGCAGAATATTTTTGAAAATCATCTAGGCATTACATCACTACTTTCAGGAAAATAAAATAAAAAAACAAGCCAACTGGTTTATTCACTTTTCTAGGTGATCAGTTTACATCTCAAGCATATTGATTCTCATAACCACAGTACAAATATAATTGGTGTAACAGATTTATCGAGCATCTTAACTTAGAGTAAATGTCTTGTGAGCGTATGCATAATAGCTTTCTAGAAGAACTTCAATATCAGCCAAAGAAATAATCACTTACAGAGAAAAAAAGAAATACATTGAGCAATTCAGCCTAACTACTTTCAGGGTTTCCATGACAACCACAATTAGCATCATTAAAAAAAAAATGGATTTGCTGGTGCAGAATAGTAGTCAAATACATGTCTTCTAATTTATTTCTACCAATTAGAAATACAAAAAGATAATTGAAAACACTGCTTTGACTGCGCCCATGAATGTACTGCAGCATTTCTGAATGGGTGAGGCAAAAACATCATCAACATAAACAATAATGATTGTTTGGGACGACTCAGATAAATGTCCTCCAGAAATCTCATCTGAACACTTACCATCAACCCAAATCAATTACTCTATAGAATAAAGAAGAACGGACAAGGTCTTTGTTCCAAAAAGACCAAAAGGTAAAAAGGATTCCCTTGATAAACCTTCATTTTTGGCAGGGTGATCACTTCGAATTACAGAGGTTAACTAAAGGCAAATCAATAAGCTGGAGCTGTCACCATTTCATGATGAGGCCCATAAAAACTTTCTGATCGCCGTTTTCTCTTGGCTTTGCTTTTGAGAATGTGGAAATATGGCCACATCAATTCTGAGCATATAAACTTGGCTGTGATTACTGCCTGCCTTTGGCTGAGTCAGCATGAAGTCACAGCTCCAGAGTAATGGGATGTGACAGCCTCGGCCTTCCTGTCGGGCGGTTTTTGTCGCAATGCCCTCCACTGTTGGCAAATTGTGTACATCAGCCTTCTTTATTTGGTGCTATTATTTGAGGTTTCTTGCAAGTCACAAGTTGATTTGCTCCCCCAGTTTTTTCCTATGGGCAGGGAGGCAGCAACATTTCTATGTCATTTTGGTAATAATAACAGCTACTTTGTATTAATTACCCAACAGCATTTTGCAAGCATTCTCTCATTTACTCCTTACAACAATGCTGTGAGGAAGGTATTATGTTACATGTGCTCATGTTTCTGCTCAAGAGACCTCACTCCAGAGAAGTGACAACCCTGAATGCCACAGCCAGCCAGGGGCCATGAAAGGGTTTGAATCCTAGCAGCCTGGCTCAGGACTGGTACTGTAGCGAAGGTACTCCAGTTGCTGAGGTCAGAAACCCTAGTAATTCTCCAATCCAATAACTGTTGTTAACAGTGTGTATTCCATGCAAACTAAGGCATCTGCAGCATGTCTGTCTGAAATTTATTTTTTTGAGCAAGTATTGCCTTGAGAGGCAGAATGATGCAGTGGAAAGAACAGAGCCACAAGGACCTAGGTTGAAGCACTAGCTCTGTCACTCTCCTGCTCAATGACCTTGGGCAAGCCTCTGGACCTTTCTGAATCCAAGTTTCCTCAACTGTAATAGGAACCCCTGTAGAGCTGTAGGAAATTCTAGCAATGGCATATGTTACATACTTAACAGAGAATGGGTACTCTGAAAATGAAGTGGATAATGATTCTGAGTTTCTTAAAACCAGATCCTTCAGATTCATCTCTGACACCCCCTTACTGGCTGCCCCAACAAGTGAAGGTTTCCTGTTTGTTTGTTTTTTTTTAAACAAAATTCAAGTGGATTGTCTGTGTGCTCTGAAAGCTGCTAGTGGAGTAGACAAAAGGGTCTCTTTTCATTTTTAAGTGAGAAAAATCTTTCACAGACACCTTTATACAGAGTGTTATCAGGAAAGGTTTGCAATCCCAGAGAGCCTGTCATTTTCTAATGAGGAAATTTTACAGTCATGAAAAGGTCAACTTACATAAAACAAGATGGTTTGAGAAGGAAATTAAATGGTGTCTGAGCCACGACCACCAGGTTGTGCTTTGCCCAGCATGTGGAGGGTTGAGAAAGGGCTTTATGAGGCCTACAGAGAGCAACTAAGGAACCAAAATGGCACTGCTGGCAGCATTAGCTTAACTCTAAGGAAACAGGAGGGCTCTTTAGATCCTAATTTATTTAAGGAGATCCTGAAGAGGCCCTGGAAACAGCAGCGTGTGCTGCAATATTAAAAGGATGCTGCTGAGATTCCAGGTCCTAAAATTAGCTCATCAGACTAACCATCCTTTCCATGCCTCGGATTATCTTTCTGGAAGCTAAGGCTCTGGCTTATTTAAAAGTCTACTCTGTTTGCAATAAAGAGGCCCACGAGAAGCCAGGACACTCTGGACTCGCTTACCTACACAAGGGCTACACTTGTATTCTGTGAAATGAGGGGGCTGGCAGGGAAACTGCCTTTGCCTGTGATAGTGTCTTACGACTCAAGGCCTTTACTGGGGAAATGTGGATCCTGGATGTCTTGCAATCTATTCGCATTTTAAGCAAATGAAAACAGGAGCTTATGTCCAAGATCTCACCCTTCTTTTCTGAGTTTTAAAGTTTCAGGAGCTTGAAATTTAGCACAGTAATATTTCTGAAGTCTCCTGCACTCATTTAGAAATTGCATCTTTAATTTTAAAAAAGTCAAAATAACAACTCTGACATATGTTGGGTGTTAAATTATGTCAGTAACCTTGGAAATGTGGGAAGTTATATAAACCAAAAATGCATTTGGCAAATGTAATTAAAAACATTTAGTGCACATACATACACATGCATACACACATATATACACACATATACATACGCATACATGTATATATGTGTATGTACATGCACACTCATATGTACACACATACACACCTATGTGTATATGCATATAAACATGCATATAAACATGCCCATGCTTATATATACACACATGCCTACATATACACAGACACACAGACATCTACGTACATACATTTGTGCAGCTGCTCCCTGTGAGTGGCCTTGGTCAGTCATCACTGGTGCTATTAGCCAAACATCCATAAGTATTATGAGACAATATTCTGCATCATCACATTTCATCTAGTTGAAACCCAGATGGTTGTCAATGCAGAATGCTTTCTACCCAGGTGAAATCTGACTTTGTGTGATCCAGTCCTCTTTGAGACATCTGTTTCTGTCACCAAAGGCCTACAGTGATTTTTATCTAAAGTGAAGATTGAATAGAATAATATACAAGCAAAAGGACCATTGCTTTCTTTTTTTCTTTCTTTCCATCTCTAAGGGGATTTTCAAATAATCTTTTTCAGATCCTGGGTCTTAAGGAAAACAGTTTTGGAAATTGCACCTTTCAGTTTATGGCAGATGGTAAGAGTGGCTCCAAAGTTCAGATGTGCACTATACAACATGCAAATGGCAGGCACCTGCAAGCCAAGCATCTCCAGCAAGCAAGCATGTTCCTCACAAATGTCTAACCCTAATGAAGCTCTGTCATTTAGAAATATAGTTATTCCCAGCTGGGTATGGTGGCTCACCCCTATAATCCCAGCAGTTTGGGTGGCTGAGGCTGGTGGATCACCTGAGGTCAAGAGTTTGAGATCAGCCTGGCCAACATGGCAAAACCCCCATCTCTACCAAAAATACAAAATTAGCTAGGTGTGGTGGAGTGCGCCTATAGTCCCAACTACTTGGGAGGCTGAGGCGTGAGAATCACTTGAACCCCAGAGGCAGAGGTTGCAATGAGCCGAGATCGCACCGCTGCACTCCAGCCTGAGTGACAGAGTGAGACTCTCTCTCAAAATATATATATATATAGAAATATAGAAATATAATTATTGCCTCACAATGTTAATATGAATCATTACGAATAATTTTAGTCATTGTTTTCTTTTTTAATCACACTAAAATAACAACCACATAATATTTATAAAAGCAGCCAGCACAGACTTCCATCTCTCCTACCCAATTCTGACTGGGAAACTATTCTGACATTGGAAATTAGGGTCTAGGAAGTTGAAAGAAAAAGAAAACAAAATTCTGGCATGGGCATGAGGAACATTACAGAAATCTACCCCCAAGGACGGCAGCATTTTCCTTCTTCATTGCTAGTGGATATTCTGATTAGTGAGTACATTTATTTTCTTCTGTAATAATAATTATAGCATGCAAAGCATGTTTTCAGATTAAATAAACCTTATGGTCCACGCACTGAACAAGGTTGGAGTTTAATAGGACAAATATATAGAAAGAGATATACACATATGTACAGTTGGTAATATCAAGAAAAGGGTGCAAGTGTACTGGCATTTACAAACCTCTTCATTTTATCTCCTGAATTCTCTGTTGGCAGCATCATAATTCCTGCAGTAGCAACTATGACAGCCAAACAAAGGATTAAGGCTGTTTGTTGAAAAGCAGCAGCAGTTGAATTCATAAGCAAGAGAAATTCAATATACTTGTAAATGCCTCTCACAGTACAAAACAAGGAAGATAAGACATGGAGAAACAACTATTTATTGCTCTAAGATTACTTGAATTCTAAAAGCAAGGAAGGCTTTTTATTTGGTGTTTGGAAGGTGCCATCTTGGATTTTGACTACATACAGAACAATTCTTTGTGGTGTTCACATTTAATATATCATAAAAGAATATCAAAATGAGTTGTTGAAGACTGAAAAAAGAATATTCCACTCTTCTAACACAATTATTTTCAGTTTTGTTTGCTCTTTCTCAGTCATTTTCCTATTTTATACTTATTCTTTGCATAGCTATAAACATAGAACTGGTGAATTCTTGCAAACTACCTTATTTATGAGATCATAAATTTTGTTCAGATTTCTAAGAAGACTGTAAACATTATAAATAGCTGCATAATGTTATGTAGAATTCATAAATGGGATTGTCATTCTTAATTATTATTTAGCATTGGACATATAATTTGTTTCCAATTTATTCTTATAAATAATTCCACAATAAATATCTTCATACAAGCAGCTTTTTTCTTTGGCTGAATTATTTTCTCCACATAGTTTCCAAGGAGGTGAGATTCCTGGACCAACTGGCATAATACTTTTGTGCTTGATTGACAGAAGCATACTGTTTTCTTAAAATATTGTTCCAATTTACCTTGTCATCAGCCATGTGTGTACACAGGGTGCCCACTTCTACATTTTTCTGGTAGTTTGGACTTTTTAGGAGCAAAGTGGAGGAAGAAGGTAGAGTATGGAAGAAGAAAGTTTGCATGAAAGTATAATAGTGGATGTTCACTAAATGTTGGTTGGCAGAATGAATGGATAGATAATTACTTTTCAAATGCTCATCTTCCTTGGAAGAAAAAGTAGCCTAGAATAAAGCATTTGTCTAGCACAATGAGTGGTTCCATTTTTCTTCCAAAACTTGACTCAACAATACAGAAAGCAGTGGCTTCCTATTAGCTTAAAAGTAGAAATAAGATGCTCTTTTCAATATGATTTATATTATTATAATTGACCATGAACCGCCTTAATATCACTATCATAAGGACAACACACTTTTATCATCATTTCCAATCTTTAACTAAATCTATTTGTAAGGCAATTAGCTGTCTACTATTGATTGGCCATCTGTTTCCCCAGTAATTACATGAGCATATCACTTAGCAACGGGATGCACTCTTCTTTCATATTTTCATAAAATTACATGGTTATGGTTTTAAAGCAAGAAAATAATGAAGTCTTCTGTTATTATAAATACGTGTATAGTCACATGTTCTATACACATATATGTGAATGGGTGTGGCTGTCTGCTCCTTTCCTCCCTGCTGCTGTAGTAAACATGGCAACAAGGATATTTGCCTTCTTGGGATATCTCATAACAGCAACAGTAACTACCAGAGATTGAGGGCTCACTATTGACAAACACTGAAACTTGCCAGAACTTCATATACGATATTTCACTTAATCCTTCAGCAATCCAATAAGCTAGGTGTTTTTATATCTAACTAGGTAGTGTCATCTCATTTAAAGATAAAGAAACTGAGGCTTAGAGAGAGTGAGTAATTTCCCTAAGGTCATATAGAAAGGGACAGAAATGGGAGTTTAAACCAGAATTATCTGCTCAAAAGTCCATGTTTTTAGCTTCTGTGTCCTTTGAGCTTATCACAAAATTAGTTCATTTACTACTCAGGCAACTTGGTGTTTCATGAACAATTTTACTATTATTCCCATGGCTATGAAGAAGAGATTCCGCAGTGCCTCTGGCTTTCTCTCTGAATTCTGGCCTTACATAAGCAGCCCCATCTAGATTTTTCTCTGCTCCTCCTTCTCCCGTTCCCCCAGTGCCTGGCTAGGCACTCTGAGCTCAATTAGAGCCTGTTGGGACTGCTTTGAGTGCTGAGAAACCACCCAGCTCCTAGGTGGAATTTGATCTCCTTATCCAGGGAGTGTATTCATAAAATAACTAGTTATTAAGTTTACATACATACACTGATATTTTCACTGGCCTGCTTTATGCTGGACAGACACACCTGGGTGACCCACAAACATTTCAAATTCAAATGGTCTAAAGCTAAACTCACTCCTTTGTCTTCTGATCCTCTTTATATCCTCAGGCTCTCCCTCTCCCAGTGTCCCCTGTTTCTGTGAACAGGACTAGCAGAGACAGATAGATTCAGTAGCATCTGGTGAGTGCAATTTATCTATGATTTCTCTCTCTCATCCACCCACACACCCAGTTATTAAGCTAATTACCACTCCCATCCTTCCTCTTCCCTTCATCCCTAGGCCACCCTTATAAAAGTCCCCAAGCTGATATTCCTGCACCCACTCTTGGTTATGGCAATCTCTTCTGTGACAGCACTGCAGCAGGAAGGACCTTTCTAAAATCCAATGTCTGATCTTTTTCTCCCCTGCATAAATACTGTATGATCCCACAGCGTTCATAGAATTAACTTTCAATTCCTTTCTCAGGTTCACATGGCCCTTCATATCCGGCTTCTATACCTCTCCAGCCTCCTCTCCAGAGATGAATGAATCCCCTACATTCTAGCCACACTGCCTCTCTTCTGATTCCTCAGTTACAGCCTCTTGCCTCCAGGCCACTGCCCTGATGTTCCCCAGGCCTCCTTTGCCTAACTACCAGTTCTTTCCAGCTCAGTAACTTCTAACCTCTATCTATTTCAAAGCTCAATGCTGAAATTAGTGCCTCTAGAAAGCCCTTCTTGATGCTCTGGATCAGAATAAATGTCCATCTTAGGACATTTATTGCATTTGTCACACTATTTTGCAGTCACTTATTTACTTGTCACATTACCACCATCACTGTGGGGTGGGGCAGTTCATCTTGGTCATTATGGTATCTCTAGGTCCTAGGACCCAGAGTTAATGAAAGCTCCATTTGTCGAATGACAACTAATGGACTAAATAAATACTAATGATGAGAAATTGGGACCTGCAAAACAGTATATCTAGATTTGGACTTTTTTTTCTTGATTACAAATCATTAATTCTTCAGATCCCTTTCTTCATCTTGACCAGATCACATGGCTAAGAATTTGCAAATATTAGGTTGGTGCAAAAGTAATTGCAGTTTTTGCCATTACTTTTAATGGCAAAACCATGATTACTTTTGTATCAACCAAATAGTTCTTAGATTTGCAATGAGGAGAAGTGGTAGTATCAAGTGTGGATGAGCTCTGACAAGAAGAAGCATTAATGTCTTTGCTATAGTTTGGATATGGTTTGTTCGTCCGCACCAAAGCTCATGTTAAAATTTGATTCCCAATATAATGGTATTGGGAGGTGGGTCCTAGTGGGAGGTATTTGGGTCATGGAAGCAGATCCTTCATGAATGGCTTAGTGTTGTTCTTGTGGTAGTGAGAGAATTACTCTGGCAAGACAGGACTAGTTCTCAAAGGAATGCATTAGTTCCCTCAAGAGTGGGTTGTTGTAAAACCAGGACACACCTTGGGTTCAGTCCCTCTTCAGATGTGTCTGCTTCCCCTTTGTCCTTCTTCACCATGTTCTGATGCAGTACAAAAGCCCTCACCGAAAGCTGATCAGGTGCCAGTGCCATGCTTCTTGAACTTTCCAGCCTGCAGAACTGTAAGCTAAATACACCTCTTTTTTTTATAAATTACTCAGCCTCAGGTATTCTGTTATAGCAACACAAAATGGATTAAGACGGGTGTCTAACAATAATACACCCCAAAATACTTGCTTTAATAACCTTAAATACACAGCTAGTTAAGAAAGAGTATAAGTCATGGAGAGACATAGCTGCTGACACAAACTTCTCTACATAAACTCTTGCCTCCTACATGTACACTTACAGCAGGCTGTTCTCCCACTTGACTCTGCACTGGTGATGGAGGCTGTGGTGTAAATGAGCTCTCTCATTCACCAGCTGTTTGACCTTAGTCTATTCAGTTCAACAGAGGCAGCTGGGCCTCAGTCTTCTCATCTGTAAAATGGGTGATTGAACTGTCCTGACACTGACCCCTACAAAGTCTACTTCTGCCGTTTAATAAATAAAACCTTTCTTCTTCAGTGCTCTTCTCCAAGCCCTGTGATGTGGTTTGCTTCTGTGTCCCCACCTAAATCTCATGTCAAATTGTAATCCCCAATGTTGGAGGTGGGGTGTGGTGAGAGGTGATTGGATCATGGGTGTGGATTTCCCCCTTTCGTGCTGCTCTCATGAAAGGGTTCTCATGAGATCTGGTTGTTTAAAAGTGTGTGGCACCTCCCTGCCCCACTTCCTCCTGCTCTGCTCCCCCTTTGCCTTCCACCATGATTGTAAGTTTTCCTGAGGCCTCCCCAGAAGCTGAGCAGATGCCAGCATCATGATTCCTGTACAGCCTGTGGAACCATGAGTCAATTATACCTTTTTTCTTTATAAATTACCCAGTCTCACATATTTCTTTATAGCAGTGTAAGAACAGACTAATACACCTACCTCGAGCTCTTATAGCCTATTGCGTTTTTAAGTGCTGTTCTTCTTTGCCTGAAATATCCTCTTCTAGACTCCTTGCCAGGTAGCTCCTATTCTGCCTATGGTCTTGACTCAAGTGCCATGTCTTCCAGAAAGCCTTCGGTGATCTCTCTAGCTGGGCCAAGTGCTTCCCTGCACTGACATTTGTTACACTGTTCTCTGTTGTTGGTTTACTTCCATAAATCTCTGAGCCAGCTGTCAGTAATAACAATGATGAACATTCATGAGTGCTTACTATGTGCCAAGCACTCCCAAAATGCCTTCAATCTTCACCATAGTCCTATTAATAATCCCCACTTTACAATGAGCAAATTAGGCTTAGAAAAGATAATGTCTAAGTGAGTGACAAAAACTGGGCCTCAGACACCAGCTATCCAATTTCAGAGTCCAAATTTTTAGTCCTTATGCTATGTTATCTCTTTTTGAGAGAAAAATCTGTCTTATTTACTAATACATGCCCAGAACCGAGTAGGAGCTAAGTAAATGTTAGATAATTGGGTAAGTAGTTGAATGAATAAACAAGTGAATTAATGTATGTAGTCAAAGATGCAATAATAACACAATAAGAAGTGCAATAATAAAAATGAAATTAATTAATGCCAAACATTGAGATAATACAAAACTTGAAAAACTTATATAAGCATCATTATCATTATTTCTAGTCTACAATTTTTATGTCCTTTGCTGAAAAGGTTACTACCTTTTTATGATAGACCTTCCCAGACCTCTGTCTTCCTCCTACCTGAGCTGAAGTGCCTAACATAGAACCCAACACATAGTATGTGCTAATTAAATGTGAATCTTACTGAGCAAATGCCCTGAACAATCTTTCCTACGAGATGTCAAGTGTCACCCAAAGGGGCATTACATATGCAGTTACCAAGTCCTCAGGTACACTCTTATTTTGATTATGTCTCTGGGAGCATGGCTCAAAAGAGGAGCCATCACAGGGAGATGACGCCTTCACCTTCAGGCTGAAGAAAGAACAACCTAGGGCAACCTATTTATTAAGTTTATCCCACACTAGAAAATAGAAGACAGAGCAGGAAGAGCAGAAAGAAGAATAGAAGAAAGAGGAAGAGGTAAAGAAGGAGAAAGAGAAGAGAGAGAGGGGTAACAGGAAGAATAAGACAAGGAGTGAGAAAAGTAAGAGGAACAATAGGAGGAAGAGCTTAGGGTAAATGACGAAGAGGAGCAGAATAAAGAGCAGAAGCAGATGAAGGAGAAAACAAGCCTCCCCTCAGGTAATGCCTTCCTTGGCTTTGAGAGGGGTTATGTGGACTGTAGGAGAAGCCCGTGTCTAAGAACAGGAGGTCAGGGACCAGGGTGGCCTCTCATTACCTCAGAGGCCCCAAGAGAGTCATCTTTATGAAGATAAAGTGAAAGAGTTGTACTAGAAATTTAAAATATCTCTTCCAAGTCTGAAACATTAATGGTTCCACATAAAGCCCTGCTTTTAATTCTCTTAAATCTCGCCTGAAAAAAAAAATGTATATTACAGGTAGTTTCAACATCTTTTAGGCAATGTGAGAAAAGCTATTAGATTGGGATGGTTAATTTTATATGTTAACTTGAGTGGACCTGGGGTACCCAGACATTTGGGAGAACATTACTCTGGATAAGATTAACATTTGAATCAGTAGACTATGTAAAGCTGATGGCTTTCCCCACTGTGGTGGGCCTCAATTAGTTGAAGACCTGAAGAGAACAACAAATGTTGACCCTCCCACAAGTAAGAGGAAACTCCTGCCTGAGTGCCTGAGGTTGGACATCAATCTTTTTCTGCTTTTAAACATTGACTAAAACTTTGGCTCTTCTTGGGTCTTGGACCTTTGGCTTTCAGGTTAGAACTTATGTCATTGGCTCTTCTGGTTCTCAGGCCTTTGGACTTAAACAGGATCTAAACCATTTTCACTTCTGAATATCCAGCTTGCCCAAACTATAGATTCTGAGACTTCTTGGCCTCCATATTTCTTGAGACAATTCCTCATATTAAAGCGTGTGTGTGTGTGTGTGTGTGTGTGTGTGTGTGTGTGTGTGTATCTCCTGTGTGTTCTTTTTCTCTGGCGAACCCTGACCAATACACAGACTATTATAGAATACAGACTAACAAACCCTGACAATTGCCCTCCTTCTCTGCAATAATAATAATTCTCCAGCCAATTTTGTGGAGCTGATGATCTCCGTGAGAACTAGGGTTCAAGCTTTCTACATCATAGAGAACCCAGTGAGCTGCCTCTGAAATCACAGATAACCACAGCTCTTTTGGCACTCAAGTTAGAATTTCCAAAAATTCTAGGGCTCTATGCCACAAAAGCCTACTCTATGGCTCCTCAGTGTGATGCTCTGGATGGTTTCCAAATGCTGAACCTCCAAGTCTGCATCATGTCTCTCTCTTCTAATAGGTTGTTCAGAAGACATTATCCTTTTAAAACAACTGCCAAACTGATTAATGTAGCACTGTGTGTGTGTGTTTTTTTTCAGATAAATGCAGTGCAAATTATTAATCTTATTAATGAAAATATTTTGGGGTGTTCTTTGAGTAGTTTAATACTTTAATACCCTTTCTCACTTTCAGCATATCCTTAAAAAGAAAATAAAATTTTATTACCTAGAATTCTTTATTACGAACACATTGAAGACTTTCTATTACAAAAGATCTCAGGGAGAGGTGACATATAACATGTATATCCTATGAAAAAAAAAGAAAGAATTTTTTAAAATATAATGAGGTTATTCCCAAATACTTTTCAAAGGTTTGTAAAAGGCCTTGACTTTAATGTTGAAATGTGACAGAAGAATTATTTCTGATTACATGCTTTCCTTGCTATTTAACAGAGTTTAAATTGGATCACTGATCTAAAATATTCATTTTGAAAATTACTGTACCAAAAATTAAAAGATTAATAGTTGGTGCTTTCAACTGTGGTCTTTAGAGACAGCCAAATGGTATTAAAGCTTGTTCTTCATTGTCTTTTTGTTCTAAATAATATCTATTAGGATGATTAGTATCAATATTTAAATTAACCAAAGAGGCAATTTTAATTCTGTTCTTCTAAAATGAGAATGAATTAAATCTACAAGAAGTTTTTCATTCTAAAATTTTATGAAACATTTAAATGATGTCTTCTTCACTAAAGAAAAGTATTTTCAGGTATAGATTTAAGTGTAATTTTTGAAATAAGCTACATTCACAATTAACTTTTCATTTATTTTATTTGTCTTGGGAAGATTTAATTTTTGATATGTAATAATGGGGTAATAAAATATGTTCTAGGATTTATTATTTTTAAGAACAAATGGCAAACACAGCAATCCAGGATTTCTGGTCCTGGTTTAGGTGTATAAAGATTGCAACTCAATTGTTTCCACTTCTAAATAGTCTTCCATTTTCACAATCCAAAAGCAAGGGTTTAGGAATAGAACATATTACCCAAAGTCTCTACCCCACAAATGATTAGAACTAGAACTCAGTAAATGGTTAGCACTACAGTGGTATGTGAGCAACAGAAAAATACAGATCACAGCTAGTGGCAGTGGCTCATGTACGTAATCCCAGCATTCTGAGAGGCTGAGGCAAGAGGATCATTCGGGCCCAGTGAACTCCTGGGCAACATAGTGAGACCCTATCACTATAAAAAAATTTTTAAAAATTAGCCACGCATGGTAGCATGCATTTGTAGTCTCAGCTACTTTGGAGGCTGAGGTGGAAAGACCACCTGAACTCGGGACACAGAGGCTGCAATGAACCATGATTACTTCACTGCACTCCAGCCTGGACAACAGAGCAAAATCGCTTCTTTGGTACTAATCATCCTAATAGATATTATTTAGAACAGAATGACAAGGAAGAACAAATTTTAATACCATTTGGCCCTCACTACAGACCACAGTTGAAAGCATTAACTATTAATCTTTTAATTTTTTGTGAAGTAATTTTCAAAATGAATATTTTAGATCAGTGATCCAATTTAAACCTTGTTCAACAGCAAGAAAAGCATGTAACAAAAAAATAAAGATCACAAGTGAACCAAGGAAAAGGAGTAGCCCTTTCATAAAAGGGAATATATGCAAATGAAAATAAAAGTCAACAGTTAAACAGACTGCAAGATGATGGCTGATTCTATTAAAATAATAATTTGAGACTTGCGTCTTCATGGAAAGTGATGATCAGAATAGGTAGTGTCTACATGAATCTTAGAAGTCCATATTTAGTCATATGGAGATTCTGGGTATCTCCCGGAAAGCTGGATCCAATGTTACTGAACCTACAACTGGTCAAACCAACATTCTTACCTTGAAGGTCAGTGGACACAATGACTGGGGACTTTCTTATAAATCGGTTTATTAAACTACCAATCAATCTCTCTTGATTTACTATAAGCCAAATAAATAAGAATCACACACTACAGAATGACTTCCAATTTAGATTCACAGGTAGAATTTTAAGATGCTGTGGCAATAAGAACAGAGCTGAATTACAGCCTAAGAACTGTGTTTTGAGGATATGATCAATGTGACACTTACACAAACAGAATCATTAATCAAACAACAGATTAAGTAACACTGTATGCATAGCATTATAAGTAGTGCTAAAATATAAGCCACAATCCCTCAAGGATATTATGATTTTTATGTTAAAAACAGAAGTAATTTGTGAAGACAAAATTCACTACATGGCACATCATAGAAAACTAAGCACAGAAACAG
Organism: Homo sapiens; assembly: GCF_000001405.40. Taxonomy (NCBI): domain Eukaryota; kingdom Metazoa; phylum Chordata; class Mammalia; order Primates; family Hominidae; genus Homo; species Homo sapiens. The sequence goes on along the minus strand of NC_000013.11, from coordinate 33,905,938 downwards.
TTCAGAGAAGAGTAGTATCAATATGCCTTTAAGACTTCTTCCTATTAGCACATAGATATGGATTGTCTTATCAGGTCAGACATTTATCAAAGTGGGCTTTCCAATCACTGTTCTTGGTTTGTTTGTTTTGTTGTTGTTTTTATTTTTTATTTTTTGAAAATGACCAGATTTGGTGAAGAATGTTAGTGAATCATTTGAGTTCAATATTAATATAGTCACTGGAAATCCAATAAATAATATTTAGAGTGCACTTACTAGGTGTAAGACACTGAGCTTCATATTGTAGCAATCATCTGTACCATGAACATTGACTATTATAGGGGAAGAGGTTGTGGGAAAACTGCTTCAGCCCTGAAGACCCTATAGTTTCCATAAAACAAGAATGTAGATATTGTTATAAACTCATAGATGAATTATTTTCTTGCCATTTAGATTTTTATTTTATACTTAACAAAAGAGGTCTTTCAGGCTTAGATTTTTTGCCTTATGACACTCATGCATGCAAGAAAAAAAAAAGAGAACACAAGTGAAAGAAATCAGCGATGATGTTTTTAAGGTAAAGACAACTACAGCACAATTGTCACCTGGCTATCTGTGATTGTAGGCCTATCCTGATTTCAGAGATGTTAAAATGTGAAAAGCAACATAATAACAAATAACATGCACTCGTATACCCAGTACCTTGCTTAAGATACAGAACAATTTCTAACATCATTGTGCTGTAGTTGTAAAGACAACTACAGCACAATTGTCACCTGGCTATCTGTGATTGTAGGCCTATCCTGATTTCAGAGATGTTAAAATGTGAAAAGCAACATAATAACAAATAACATGCACTCGTATACCCAGTACCTTGCTTAAGATAGAGAACAATTTCTAACATCATTGGAGCCACTGATATATCCCTCTCTGGTCACAGCTCTCTCCTTTCCACCAAAGATAATTGCTGCCTTCAATTTTGTATTTATCATTCCATTGTTTTTCTCTACAGTTTTGCTAAATGCGTATCCCAAACAACATATTGTTCGGTCTTATTTTTCAACATACTTAGGCTCTGAGAAGTCTCACCAGCTGTTTAGGCCAGCATTGCCTCCCCAGCTTATTTGGCCATGGGGAATGTGTTCAGTGCAACCTCCATTACTTTCTGAGGAAACGGTGTTCTGAGGAAGTCACCTGGGAGACGTGGGCATGTTAAATGTGGAAGAAATTGCGGCGAGAGAAGGGCGGGCAGGCAGATTAAGGCCAGATTGTGGAAGGGCCTGAATGGCACGTGAGGGAATCTGGACTCTATCCTGACGCTTTCAGAGCCATCTGGTCCATTTTAAAGGATGTGACATGATCTGGCCTTGCTTCGGGAGGGTTCCTCTGACACCAGGAAGATGGATTAATGTGAAGAAAGACTGGAGGTAGGAAAACTAATTAGAAGAGAGTTAACAGTAGCCTAGTGAATGATGATAAGGCTCTGAGATGGGCCAGTGGCAGAGTTAAAAAGAATTTACAGGGGCCAAGGGAGAACACATGTTGGGACACTACCAAGACTGGTGACAACTGGGAGTGAAAGAAAGATGCTCATAAGAAAACTCAGGGTTTGAGCTTTGGCAATCAAAAAACGAGTGGTGCCATTAGGAAGAAAAAAACAGGAAAGTCAGGCAGAACAACTGATTTTTTAGAAACTATATAGTTTTGGGCATGGAAGAAGATGCAGTCATCCATTTAGTCAATATTTTCTAAGTGTCTACCACATGCCAGGAAATGTACTAGAGGCTGGGCATACAGTTATGAGAAAGACAAAGTCCCTAAGGTACAGCAAATAAATAAGAGTTAAAATTGACCATAAACAATTTTAGTATGTTCAAATTCAGATAGCATTTCAGAAATAAGTATTTTAAACAAAGGGATATAAAAGAAGCTGGTACTGAAACAGCCTTGTGGGCATGCACACATAAATTCAGGGAAGAAAACGATGTTAGTGTAATAAACATGATGTTTACAAGACACAGCAGGAAATAGATACCTATTTCTTTGCATAATTTTGGACACAGGTGCATAATTGGAAGACAAAATGAGATACTGAGTTTCTGTTTCAGTCTTGGAAGATAACCAATTAGCATCAGAGTTATCACCAAGGAAAGAGAGCACAGGGGCCAAACAAAGGGACTTCAGACCCCAAACCATTTCCCATAAGAGAAAGGTGACATAATGAAATAAACCTAACTAATAAGGCTCCAGGGAAAGTAATACAACTGCAGGAAAGGTCTGGGCTAAATCTCATGGGACAAAACATAGAGGCATTTTCTTGGTTATGCATAAATATGTGAATCCAGGGAAAAATATTGAGGACATCTGGGGTACATAGAGTGGTTGCTGGAGCCCACTTGTGAAACCTATTGTAAAATGTTCAGGAGTTTCATGAGCTAGGTATGAAACACAGATGTTATTTTAAAATAAGTTACATAAACTTACAAGTAAATACATTTCACTTAAAACAAAAGGTAATACACACTCAAAACTTATCACGAGTTATATTACATTGTACTATGACCTATGCTTCTGAGATTTTTTTTACACCTACTGTTTCTGTATGGTGGAAATACTTATAATGGAGTGTGACTGCACATTTCTACCCAAATTCACCTTCAGTGACATCATGTTGCTATCTAGGAGTATTTATACCACAGAAATTGCAAATGCTACAAATCAGTGTTTGATCTATTTCTCTGATTGCCTAGACCTGAGAAAGTGACAGAGAACTTTCTCTGTAGTAGGCTGAGCAAGATGGAGAGAGAGTAACCGGGATTTGGTCAAGAGCTTGGCAGGGGTTGGATTGTGTGGAGCCTTTCAGGCTACAGAAAGGAATCTGGATTTTATTCTTGGTGGAAAAGGGAGTTATAGTAAGGTTGCAAGCTTGTCCAACTGGTGGCGCACAGGCCACATGCGGCCCAGGATGGCTTTGAATGCAGCCTAAGACAAATTCATAAATTTTCTTAAAACATTACGGGATCTTTTTGCAATTTTTTTTTTTTTAGCTCATCAGCTATCGTTAGGGTATTTTAAGTGTGGCCCAAGACAATTCTTTTCTTCCAATGTGGACCAGGGGAGCCAAAACACTGGACACCCCTGGAGCAAGGGAATGACAGGATCTAATTTACCTCTTTTAAAACTTCCTCTGGTGGTTCTGTGGATAACGGACTGTCAGTTCACAAAAGTAGACATAGAGGGGCTACTATAGCCTTTCAGATGAAAAATAATGTTGGCTTGGACGGGGAAGAGTGTCAACAGCAATTAAGAAGAGTAAATGAATAAGGGGTAAACTTGGGAAGTATAACTGATAGGCTTAACATTATATGCAACTAAACTATCTGATATACACAGTATAATATTATTAAACTATAATCATTAAATGCTTTTGAATAAAATACGGAACAATTATCAATAGGCTTTACTGCCAGATGCAAATCCTTTTTTACCACTGATTTCCATATAATTAATAAGTGACATGGACAATGATCCACTAGTTATTTCACATGGTCCTTCAGATGCTAATCCTTATGAGACCTGAGAATCCCATAGTATGTCACCTGCAAAGACAGCCCCATGTTTCTCCACCTACATTCATCCTGCCTTTTCAAATTGCTGATTCTCAAACTATGGCAGGCAGACACTTGCTTCTGATAGAACCACACTGGCTTCAGATAGGGTCAGCGTTATGCTTGAACAAACAAGAAGACTAATTATAATAGGACCTATGAATCTCACCATATTCCATCAGCCTCCAAATATATTCTCCATATTTCTTCACCCACGTCACCCTGTCTCCTGCCCATATATTCACCATTTTTTTAACCTGAACTGATATTCCGTCATCAGTGTTATTCCACCATCACAGCTTTTGCCTTATGTGTGGGATGGCAGAATAGTAATTTTAAAAATGTACCCATAGCAGGGCAGGGGTCAGGGTCTAGGGTGGAAGTGGATATTTCTCTTCTAGAAATCATCATGCTTTTTTCCACTAAGCAGCTTTAAATGAATTAATTTATCACATTTTAGAAGCTGCAAAGAGTCTGATCATGAGATTTTGTTTTTTTGTTTCTTGTTTATTTTTATGTGTTTTTATTTATGCATAAAAGATATATTAATACATAGTTTGGGGTACATATGATAATTTAATACTTTCATGTAAAGATCAAATCAATGTACATGGGATAACCATCACCTTAAATACTTTTCTTAATGCTAGAAACATTTGAATTATTCCCTTATAGCTCACGTGAAACGTAAAATAGATTATTATAAACTATAGTCACCCTACTGATCTATCAAACACTAGGTCTTATTTTTTCTATCAGGTCATATATTTGTACCAATTAATTAACTTCTCTTCATCCTTCCTTCCTCTCTACCCTTCCCAGCCTCTGGTAACTGCCAGTCTACTCTCTATCTCCATGATACCCACATTTTTAGCTGATATATATGAGTGAGAACATGTAATATTTGTCTTTCTGTGCTTGGCTTATCTCATTTAAAATAATGACCTCCAGTTCTATCCATGTTGCTGAAAATGGCAAGATTTTATTTTTTTATGGCTGAATAATATTTCATTGTGTATATATACCACATTTTTTTATCCATTCATCCATTGATGGGCACTTAGGTTGATTCCATTTTTGGTTATTGTAAATAGGGTTGCAATAAACATGAGAATGCAGACATTTCCTCAAAATGTTGATTTACTTTCTTGTGGATACATACCCAGTAGTTGAATTCCTATATCATATAGTAGTTCTATTTTATTTTTGTGACGAATTTCCATATTGTTTTCTACAGTGGCTGTACTAATTTACATTTCCACCGGCAGCGTATAAGGGGTCCCCCTCTCTCCACATCCTCACCAGCATCCATTATTGTCTTTTTGATAAAATTCATTTTAATTGAAGTGAGATAATGTCTCATTGTGATTTTGATTTGCATTTCTTCGATGATTAGTGATGTTGAGCATTTTTTCATATACCTGTTGACCATTTGAAAGTCTTCTTCTGAGACAAGTCTAATCACATTTTTTGTCCATTTTCAATTGGATTATTATATTTATTATTTTTTTTTTTTTTGCTATTCAGTTGTTTTAGCTTCTTCTATATTCTGGTTATTAATACCTTGTCAGATGTATAGTTTTCAAATATTTTCTCCCATTCTGTGGGTTGTCTCTTTGTTGATTGTTTCTTTTGTTGTGCAGAAGCTTTTTAACTTGATGTAATCCCATTTGTCCTTTTTTTGCTTTGGTTGCCTGTGCTTTCGAAGTCTTACACAAACAATCTTTGCCCAGATCAATGTCTTAGAGTGTTTCCCCAGAGTTTTCTTCTACTAATTTCATAATTTCAGGCCTTAGATTTAATACAGGTCTTAATACGTTTTTTTTTCTATATGGTGATAGACAGAGATAGGAATCTAGTTTCATTCTTCTGCAGATAGTTAACCAGGTTTTTCAGCACCATTTATTGAAGAGACTATCCTTTTTTCCATTGTACATTCTTGGAAACTTTGTCAAAGACTAGTTGGCTATAAATGCATGTATTTATGTCTGGGCTCTCTACTCTGTTCCATTGGTCTATGTGTCTGTTTTCATGCCAGTACCATGCTGATTTGGTTACTATAGGTTTGTAGTAAATTTTGAAGTCAAGTAGTGTAATGCCTCCCGCTTTGTTCTTTTTTCTCGGGATTGCTTTAGCTGTTCAGAGTCTTTTGTGGTTTCATATACATTTTATAATTGCTTTTTGTATTTCTGTGAAGAATGTCATTGGCGTTTTGATAGGGATTGCATTGATTCTGTACATTTCTTTGAGTAGTATTGTCATTTTAACAAGATTAATTCTTTCAACCCATGAACATGGAATGTGCTTTCATTTTTTGTGTTCTCTTCCATTTCTTTTATCACTGTTTTACAGGTTTTCTTGTATAGATCTTTCACTTATTCAATTAAATTGATTCCTAGGTGTTTTATATTCTTTGTAGCTATTGTAAATGGGATTTCTTTCTTGACTTATTTTTCAGATTGTTTGCCATTGGCATATATAAATGCTACTAATTTATGTATGTTGGTTTTGTATCCTGCAACTTTACTGAATTTATTTATCAGTTCTAACAGTTTTTGGTGAAGTCTTTAGGTTTTTCTAAGTATAAGGTCATGTCATCTGTGAACAAGGCTAATTTAACTTCTTTTTCCCAATTAGGATGCTCTTTATTTTTTTCTCTTGTCTAATTGATCTAGCCAGGACTTCTAGCATTATGTTAAATAAAAGTGGTGAAAGTGGGCATCCTTGTCTTTTTGCAGATCTTAAAGGAAAAGCCTTCAATTTTTTGCATTCAGTAAAATGTTATCTGTGGGTTTGTCATATACAGGCTTTATTACTTTGAGGTTTGTTTCTTCTTTATCTAGTTTGATGAGGCTTTTTATTGTAAAAGGATGTTGAATTTTATCAAATGCGTTTTTAGCATCTATTGAAATAATTATATTTTTTAAATCTTTGTCTGTTGATATGATGTATCACATTTACTGATTTGCGTATGTTGAACCATCCTTGCATTCCTGGGATGAATCCCACTTGATCATGGTGAATGATCTTATTAATGTATTGCTGAATTCAGTTTGCTCGTATTTTGTTGAGAATTTTTTTGCCTCTATGTTCATCAGGGATATTGGCCTGTAATTTTGTTCTTTTTTTTTTTTTTTTTTTTTTTTTGTCTTATTGTGTCTTCGTCTGGTTTTGTTATCAGGGTAATGCTGGCTCCATAGGAGTTTAAAGTATTTTCTCCTCTTCAATTTTTTTGAAGAGTTTAGTTTGAGTAGAATTGGTGTTAGTTCTTCTTTAAATGTTTGGTAGAATCCAGCAGTGAAGCCATGAGGTCATATACTTTTATTTGATGGGAGACTTTTTATTACAGCTTTGATCTCATTACTTGTTATTGGTTTGTGGAGGTTTTTAATTTCTTCATGGTTCAATCTTGGCAGGTTGTATGTGTTCAGGAATTTATTTATTTCTTCCGGCTTTTCCAATTTGTTGGCCTACAGTTGCTCATAATAGCATAACAGTCTCTAAGGATTTTGTGTATTTCTGAGGTCTCAGTTTTTATGACTCCTTTTTCATTTCTGATTTTATTTACCTGGATTTTCTCTCTTTTTTCTTAGTATAGCTAAAGTTTCGCTGATTCCATTGTTCAAAAAACCAACTTTTTGTTTTGTTGATTTTTTGTTATTTTTTTAGTCCCAACTTCATTTATTTCTCCTGTAATCTTTATAATTTCTTTTCATCTACTAATTTCAGATTTGATTTGTTCTACCTCCCTAGTACATTGAGGTACATCATTAAGTTGTTTATTTAAAGTCTTTCTACTTTATTGATATAGGTATAAATTGCTATAAACTTTCCTCTTAACACTGCTTTTTCGGTATCCCATAGATTTTGGTATGTTTTATTTCCATTTGCATTTGTTTCAATAAATTTTTAAATTTCCTTCTTAATTTCTTTATTGAGCCATTGGTTGTTCAGGAGCATGTTGTTTAATGTACACATGTTTGTGTAGTTTCCAAAATTCCTCTTGTTAATTGATTTCTTGTTTTATTCCATTGTGATCTGAAAAGATTGAAATGGTTTCTACTTTTTTGGATTTGTTGAGGCTTATTTAATGGTTAAAGATATGGTTTATTCCAGAGAATATTTTATGTGCTGATGAATAAGATGTGTATTCTGCAGCCGTTGGGTGAAACGTTTTGTAAATATCAGTTAGGCCTATTAGGTTTAGTGTGTAGTTAAACTCTGATGGTTGAGTTTTTAAAAACGTTTTGTCTGAATGATCTGCCCATTATTACAGTGGGGTGTTAAAGTCCCCTACTTCTATTGTATCACAGTCTATTTCTCCCTTTAGATCTGTTAGTGTTTTTTTAAAGTTTTAATGTTTATGAGTACATAGTAGGTATGTATATTTATGGGGTACATAAGATATTTTGATACAGGCAATTGTTAATGTTTTTATATATACTTGGGAGCTCTGGTGATGGGTACATAGATATTTATAATTGTTGTATTTTCTTGGTGATTTGACCCCTTTATCATTATATAGTGAACTCCTTTGCTTCTTTTTACAGTCTTTGATTTGTAGTCTATTTATCTGATATATTATAGATACTTCTGCCTTTTTTTGGTTTCCAGTTGCCTGGAATATCTTCTTCCATTCCTTCACTTTCAGTCTATGTGTGCCTTTACAGATGAAGTGACTTTTTTGAAGGCAGCATACAGTTGGGTCTTGTTTTATCCCTTCTGCCACTCTATGCCTTTTAATTGGAGAATTCATTCTATTTACATTAAGTGTTAATATTGATAAGTAAGAACTTACTACTGCCATTTTATTGCTTATTTTCTGGTTGTTTTCTAACTCCTTTCTTTTTTTCTTACTCTTTTCCTTTATGGTTAAGTAATTTTTTCCCTGGCAGTATGTTTTAATTCATTGCTATTTATTTTTAGTGACTCTATTATAGGTTTTTATGTTATGAGTACCATGAGGCTTATCAAAAAAATTTCATATATGTAACAAGTTATTTTTAAAGAGTTGATGACTTATCTTAGATCACACAAAAAATAGAAACAAAGAATAGAAACAAAAAAAAATCTACAATGTAACTTCATTCCCCCACATTTTGACTCTTGTCCCAATTTACATATTTTTATATTGTCTATCTCTTAACTGGTTGTTATAGCTATTATTGTTTTTGATATATTTGTCTTTGGAGTTTCAAACTAGAGTTATAAATGGATTGCACACTATAGTTACAGTATTAGAGTATTCTGGATTTTTACATGTACTTAATTTTACCCATGGGTTTTATATCTTCAAATTTTATTTTTGTTTTCCTTTTCTTTTTGTACATTAATTTTTTTGTTTTCTTTCAGGTTGAAGAACTCCCTTATAATTTCTTTTAAGATAGTTCTACTAGTGGTGAATTCTCCCAGCTTTTGTCTCAATAAGATTTTATCTCTCTTGCATATTTGAAGGATAGCTTTGCTAGATACAGTATTTTTGGATGAGAGGTTTTTTTCATTCAGCACTTTAAAAATGCAGTTTCACTCCCTGTTGGCCTATATAGTTTCCATTGAGAAATCTGTTGCTAGACAAAAAGAGGATAGAGCCTCTTTATATGTTACTTGCTTTTTTTTTTTTTTTTTTTTTTTTTTTTTTTTGAGACAAAGTCTTACTCTGTTGCCCAGGCTGGAGTGCAGCAGTGCAATCTCAGCTCACTGCAACCTCTGCCTCCTGAGTTCAGGTGATTTTCATGCCTCAGCCTCCCAAGTAACTGGGGACCACCACTCCTAGCTACTTTTTGTATTTTTAGCAGAATCAGGGTTTCACCATGTTGGCCAGGCTGGTCTCAAATTCCTGACTTCAAGTGATCCACCCTTCTTGGCCTCCCAAAGTGCCAGGATTACAGGCATGAGCCACCAAACCTGACCAAATTACTTATTTTCTTTTGCTGCTTTTACTATCCTCTCTTTGCCTTTGAACATTGAGAGTTTAACTATTATATGCCCTGGGGATAATCTTACTTGGGTTGAAACTATTTGGTGTTCTCTGATGTTCTTATACCTGTATATTTACATCTATTTGAAGATTTGGAAAGTTTTCTTTTTGTTTTGGTTTAAACTATTTTATACTTTCTTTTTATATTAGAATAGAAACTTTTGCAATCAATCCTTTTTTAAAATTATATATATACATATATATATATTTCTTTGTTTCAATAGCTTTTGGGGTACAAGTGGTTTTTTTGTTATGCAAACAAATTGTACAGTGGCGAAGTTAGAGATTAAAGTGAACCTGTCACCTGAGTAGTGTACCTTGTACCCAATATGTAGCTTTTTATTCCTTTCACTCCCACTCTCCCCCATTCTGAGTCTCCAAAGTCCATTATACCACTGTGTATGCCTTTGCATACCCATAGGTTAGTTCCAAATTATAAGTGAGATTATATGGTATTTGGTTTTCCATTCCTGAGTTACTTCACTTAGAATAATGGCCCCCAGCTCCATCCAAGTTGCTGCAAAAGACATTATTTTTTGTTCGTTTTTATGGCTGTGTAGTATTCTATGGTGTGCATATACCACATTTTCATTATCCACTCTTTGGTTGGTGGGCACTTAGGTTGGTTCCATGTCTTTGCAATTATGAATTGTGCTGAAGTAAACATATGTGTGCAGCTGTCTTTATGATATAACGACTTTTTCCCTGTGTATAGATATCAAGAAGTGGAATTCCTGGATCAAATGGTAGATCTACTTTTAGAAATAGAGAAATATCCAGACCTTTAAGAAATATCCACACTGTTTTCCATAGAGGTTACACTAATTTACATTCCCACTAGCAGTGTATAAGCGTTCCCTTTTTACCACATCCATGCCAACATCTATTGTTTTTTGACTTTCTAATAATGGCCATTCTAGCTGGAGTAAGGTGGTATCCCACTTTGGTTTTAATATGCCATATTCCTGATGATTAGTGACGTTGAGCATTTTTATATGTTTTTTGGCCATTTGTACATCTTCTTTTGAGAAATGTCTATCATGTACTCTGACCACTTTTTGATGGGATTATTTGTTTTGCTGATTTGAGTTTCTTATAGATTTTGGATATTAGTCCTGTGTCAGATATATACTTTGTAAGTGTTTTCTCCCACTCTGTGGGTTGTCTGTTTACTTTGATGATTATTTATTTTACTGGGCAGAAGCTTTGTAGTTTAATTAGGTCCCATTATTTTTGTTTGTGTTGCATTGGCTTTTGGGGTTCTAATCATGAATCATTTGCCTAGGCCAATGCCCCAGAAGTGTTTTTCCTAGGTTTTCTTCTAGAATTTTTATGGTTTCAGGTCTTACATTTAAATCCTTGATCCATCATGAGTTGATTTTTGTATACGATGAGAGATAGGTGTCCAGTTCATTCTTCTACGTGTGAATTATCCAGTGTTCTCACCATTCATTGAATAGGTGTCCTTTCCCCCATTTATGTTTTTTTAATACTTTGTCAAAGATCAGTTGGTTGTAAGTATTTGGCTTTATTTCTTGGTTCTCTATTCTATTCCATTGGTCTATGTCTCATTTTTATAGCAGTAACATGCTGTTTTGATTATTCTCACCTTGTAATATAATTTGAAGTTGGGCAATGTGATACCCCCAGATTATCCAGGAACACCTGCAGTGTTCCACTAGCAACAGCTAGCTAGGTTCCAGACAATCTGCGCTCAGAACCCAAAATTGCCCCAGGCCATAAGCCTTCCTAGTGGTGACAGCAACTGGAGCTTTTAGGCCACACTCCTCCCAGTCAGCCAACAAAGGTGGGATATCCAGCTCCTGTACCCTTGGCTGAAGCACACTTCCCACTTGCCCCTCAGTTCTGGCCAAGGGTTTGTCCCCACTCGAGATTATATCATGAATCACAGTTGGAAGCTTCTCTCAACCTATGACTGTCACTTGAGTTAGCTGGCAGACTTCCACGAGGTCTCCTGTGAGGTAAGATCAGGAACGACTTCCCTCCATTCCCACTGGAAACTGGAAGTGCATGCAAAGCACATCCTGATGCCACTCCTTCTCATATACTCCCCACCACTCACTAAATCAGCTCCAGTACTGGGTAGGGTTATGGCCCTCCCCCATATCCTGGATTGCCAGGCTACCCAGTGGAGGTCTATATCCCAGAGGCAGCTTATCCCCCTCTCACACTCTGGGGACTTACAGTTTTTCACCTGGCTCATTGTGTAGGGTTCTGCTTCTTTCAAAGGGTCTGTGGTTTGTTCCTGTGTTGCTTATTGGAAAAAGTTCACAGTGTGAATTTCTACACACTTTTGTCTTTCCAAGTGGAAGAGACATACTAGCAATGCCTCCAAGCTGCCATCTTGGCCCTTTGGAAAGTTGGGGTTTTTTGTTTGTTTGTTTGTTTTTTTCCTTTCAATAACCTTTCTACTCCTTGCTCTTGCTGAACTCCCTCTTGAATAGCAGTATTTCTTAGATTTGGTCATTTGATGTCATTTTCTATATCCTGTAGATGGTCTTCATTCTTTTTTCTTTTTTCTCTCCTAACCATATTTTCAAATAATCTGTCTTTGAGGTGACTGATTCTTTCTTCTGCTTGATCCATTCTGCTGTTGAGAGCCTCTAATAAATTTTTCAATTCAGCAAATGTATTTCTCAGTTCCAAAATTTTTGTTTCTTTTTTATTATTATTATTTCAGTCTTCATAAAATTAGTCTGATAAATTTCTGCATTGATTTTCTGTGTTATCTTGGAGATTGCTGAGTTTCCTTACAACTGCTATTTTGAATTCTTGGTCAGAGAGCTCACATATTGCCTTCTCATTGAGGTCAGGCACTGGTTCCTTATTCTGTCTATTGAAGAGGTCATAGTACCCTGCTTGCTGTTTTGTTTTGTTTTTTTCTTGTGAATGTATGTGTATGTCTTTGTATTAAAGAGTTAGTTATTTATTTCAGTCTTCTTTGTCTAGATATTTTTGGTTTTATTAGATATATTTTCTGAGAGATTCTTCAGTGCTAGGTTGTTGCCTCCTTTTTGGCTCTTGGTGATTCCTTAATCCAAGGTTCACCTAGGTTCTAGTAAATAATTGGGGTGCTACCTGTCCCAAGAGGGGGTTCCAAAGGGGATATCCTGGCAGTGTGGGAAGGCTGGCTAAGGGTTCATGCCCAGGGGTCCTGTGGAATGTACTTCCAATGGTGTGGTGCTGCTGAACAACCACTCTGATTTGGCATCTCCCTTTTTCAAGTTACAGATCAGAGTTTCCAGGGCTGGGGATGGTAGTTCCACCTCCTTCCCTTCTCTCGGCCTGTCCTCAGTGATATTGTCCCTTCTGGCATTTGAAATGCTTTCCATGAGTTAAGGCAGGGACAGTTCTCCTGCCAAGGCTCCCAAGATGGTGGAAAACCTGCTTGTCCACCTTGATCTCACTTTTTTGAGTGTAGAAATTGTGAATGGAGGGAAATACTTTGTGCACTTGGTGCTGGACAGAAGGGGCATTACCAATATAGAAATTCAATTACCTTACAGCCTTCTCAGAGATTTTTCATTTCTCTGTGGCCCCAGGGACTGTCTCCTTTTTGTACTTGAGCTCTGAGATATTGCTGGTGATAATCTTGGTGCTGTCTATTTGTTTTTGGTTTTTGTCTGGGGGAGTGAGGTCATCTTGCTTCTACACTGCTATTTTGGAACTGCCTGAGGTTTGACAGTAAAGAAAAAATGTTCATAAGTGAAAGTGTGATTGGTGGTAATGGCTGGGAGTTGGGAGACACAAAAACACTAACTTGAGAATTATAGGCTCAGATGTTTGGATAAGGTGAGGTAACAAATCTTAAGTGGAAAGACTGATGGGGATATCAAAAAGAAAATAGAGATAGAATGAAGTAGGGAAACAGAAATGAGACGGCACCAATACCCAGCTTTGGAATGCTTACAGTTTTATTTGGAGCAGAAAGGATATAAGATGTTTTCAGGCTGAGGCTGCCTTTCTTTAAGTCTTAAGGCCCTCCAGTTTCAGTTGGATGAAACCTTCTATTAACATATGAGGGACCCACATCCCTTATTCTGGCTCCTGGAGCTCTGCCTTTGATGTTCTCTCTTGGATCCTTTCTTCAACTTTCCTCTAATTTTTGTCTTAGTTAAGCTTAGCTTACCTGCTTCATTCAAGGCAACACTCCCTAAGGAACAGCAAATTTCTGTATTTCAGATGTCTCAGCTATCTCTCAAAGCTAAATCAATACATTTACAGCATATGAACTGTTATGATGATGGAGTTATTGGATTTTTAAAATATTCATTTGACTTGCTTGGATAGTTATCTGACCAAATTGTTTGGTTATTTTGGTATTATGTAGAGACAGTTGAATAATGTTATTAAATTATATCTAATCTGTTTTTTTTCCTGGTTGAATTGTCCTGCTATATTTAACTTCTGTGCCTAGAAATTATTTTCTGATGTCTCGTTAATTTTCCTTGCATTCCTCTGAAAGTTTTCACAACTATTCTTATTCTTAATATATGGGACATAGGACTTTAAGCACATTTATATGATGCAAATATATATATATTCTTGATGTATTTATGTGATTATATGTGTTATGTGTCTATACATATATATTTGACATTGTAGAAGTAGAGCATCTGGTATTTTCATCCACATGTTTGATATTATATAGTTGTTATAATCCAGTTGGCTGTGTGCTTAGGTCACTTTTTTTGTTGTTGTTCATTGATGGGTGTAATATGCAGATAATCAAGATTTGATGCAATTAAGATAAAATACATCTATCATTTCTCCTTGATCTACCATATTAGATTAGCTTAAAAGGATTTGATTTTAAGTAGGACACATTAGTCATTATCCACTAAGTACCTTTTTGTCTTCAAGTTATTTGCAAATTTATTGTATCAGGGTTTCTGCCAGTATTTTCTTAAGCATCCATGTGAAGGTTACTTGTCTGCTCTGCTTGTTATATGACTTGTGACTTCATTTAGTCCTCTACTGGTGACAGATTTCCCTGTTAACACCTCAAGATAAAACCTTTAGGGAACCTTGCATATGAATAAAAAGAATGCATTAAAACCAAGGTTGGTAGAGTTGCTTCTATTATTAGAATTCCTACTATGATTTTCTGCCAGCATTTTGAGGGCATAATGAATGCTTAAAAATACCATTGCCACTCTTAGTTGTATATTTAATATTAGACTTAGCAAGCAAGATTGTAAAAATGCTTAGTTTCTTATTTTTTACAACCACTAAACGTGGTGGAGTCTTCAGTTATTTTAAGTAGTGATGACCTAGAAGGACTAAAAAGATAAAAATTATTGGAAATTATAACCTTTTTCACCTTGTAAGTGAATTAAATTATATGTAACACAAAGTTTATGTTATTTCATGAGGTATGTGATTGATACCCAATAATATTCTGTCTCCTAGCTATGACATTTGCATGTTTTAAAAATTAGGTTAATTTTACATATTGATATATCTAGAAGAAAGCATGGTATAAAAGGAATAGGAATGGATTAAGGAATCCCATTGGCCTAGTTTGAATCTCAGCTGGCCCACCTACAAGCTGTGTGACCTTGGACAAGTAACCTAAGCTCTTGGAGCCAATGTTCATCATCAATAAGATGGTGAAACCATCTCAGTTTCATCATCAATAAGATTACCTATCTTAAGAGTTTGTAGTAAGCTTAAAGGGGATGATGTAATTAAGCTCAGGACAATGCCTGACACAAACATAGTAAATGATAAATAAACATGAGGGTCCAAAGATTCATAGATTTTCCGAAGAGAGGTGGGAAACTGCTAAACCATTTTAGGGCAATTATTTTGCTCATTTCATCACACTGGGTCAATACGATTGCTCATTTCATCACACTGGGTCAATACGATGGCATCCAAATCACCATTGTGAGGTATCTAGGATATAATCCCTTCTAGTCTAATGAAGTCAGATTAACATTGCTATTATCAGATAAGGCAGAACTACCCATATAGGGTAGTAATGGCACATACATGAGCTCTGATATTGCTTCTGGGCATGGATGGAACCAAATTTAGATCATCAGCACAAATGGAAAATTGGTGTAGGCTCTGGCCAAATGACTGAACTCATAAATTAACATCATTTGCTACACAATAGTTCTATTGAGGTGACACATTACCAAGGGTTATGCAGGCCTCAAGTCAAAGCTGGGACCCTACCCACCCCACACAGTTTACATACTGAACCTCAACACCCTCGGAGACTTTAACAGGAGGTCGTAAGGCTGCTCCTGATCATAAAGAGTCATTATCTCCATCATCACCAACGTACTAACAGATACATATATAAAATATATAGGGTCCATGAAGTCAGGACCGTTGAACCTATTGACCACCAGTATATCCCTAGCACTCAGAAAAAGAATCTAATCCATAGTAGGCTAACAAAATGTCTTTGTTCTCCAGCTTCATCCATGTTGACACAAATGACAGGATGTTATCCTTCTTTATAGCTTAGTAATATTATATTGTGTATATATACTGCATTTTAAATAAACCAGGCACAGGCAGACAAATACTGCATGGTTTCATTCATATGTGGCATCTAAAAAGGTTGCTGTCATAGCAGTAGAGAGTAGAATAGTGGTTACCAGAGGCTGGGGATTGGAGGAAGCCTGGGATAGGAGGAGAGGGTGGTCAATGGTTGCAAAGTTATAGTCAGCAAGGAAGAAAAATTTCTGGTGCTCTATTACATAGTATGGTGATTATAGCTAATAACAATTTGTGCATATTTCAAGATAGCTAGAAAAGAGGATTTTGAAAGTCATTAGCACAAAGAAGTAATAAAGGTTTGAGGTGGTAAAAATGCCAACTACCCTGATTTGATCATTATACAATGCATACATGCATTTACACATCACACTACCCTCTAAACATGTACAATTATTATGTGTCAACTATAAAGAGAATGTTAAAAATAAATTTTTAAAAAGGGTATTTGTTTACTAAATTTTCAATTGGCAAATTTTTTAATTATCAACCAGCCTGTGGAGTTATGGAGCTAAAAAATCTTACTAAAGGTTAAAAACTAGCCCAGCCCTGTTGGTTCAACGCTTATGATTTCTAAATGTTCCTCAAAATATCTGTATATTATTTCTTGCCTTACCAAGAATAGTGTAGTGAACATAACTGCATTGTTCAGTGATGTGTTGGATCAATGAAGCTTTGGGTTATCATGCTAAGTCCAGTCTCGTCTTTCAGCTGCAGATACAAATGCAGGAAAAGTAAGAGTTGGCATGAAGAAAGTATGATCTTGTAATACAAATTTAAGATTTTCTTTAAAGGGCCGGGCGCGATGGCTCATGCCTGTAATCCCAGCACTTTGGGAGGCCGAGGTGGCTGGATCACAAGGTCAGGAGATTGAGACCATCCTGGCTAACACGGTGAAACCCCGTCTCTACTAAAAATACAAAAATTAGCCAGGCATGGTGGCGGGCGCCTGTAGTCCCAGCTACTCAGGAGGCTGAGACAGGAGAATGGCGTGAACCTGGGAGGTGGACATTGCAGTGAGCTGAGTTTGTGCCACTGTACTCCAGCCTGGGTGAAAGAGCAAGATTCCATCTCAAAAAAAAAAAAAAAAGATTTTCTTTAAAATAAATATTTGCTATCAATGAATGTTTTCATCACAGATCTTTTTTTCTAAATCCATATGGAGAAAAATAGTATTTTCCAGGAATCTGCTATATGAGATCTGGATAATTTTTACTATACAAAACTTTCATTGTCACTAACAGTTATTTTATTCCAGAAACTGTTTGTGAGCATCTATTGTATACAGGAATATCATTCATTGTATCCATCCATAGAGTAACGCAGCATTGTGGCTACTCGGCTTCCGCACTTGAGAAATAGTCATAGATATTTAACTGCAATTCAATATATTATAAAATTACAATCTTTATAACAATATATAATTACAGGAAACTGTGGTTAACTAGGAGTGACTACTCTGTTTAGGAGGACTTCCCAGAAGAGGCACCATGTGAGGTAAGTCTTGAAGGGTGAGTAAGAGTTCAGTAAACCAAGGCCACTGTGTTATAAAACTCCAAGAAGCACCATTCACGTTGTATGTAATGGTGCCCCCTGAACTTGCATGCCAGTGGAAGAAACTCTTTGTATATCAGTTATGATGCTTTCACCCCATCAAGCTACCAATGACTTTCTTCACAGAATTGGAAAAAACTACTTTAAAGTTCATATGGAACCAAAAAAGAGCCTGCATCACCAAGTCAATCCTAAGCCAAAAGAACAAAGCTGGAGGCATCATGCTACCTGACTTCAAACTATACTACAAGGCTACAGTAACCAAAACAGCATGGTACTGGTACCAAAACAGAGATGTCGATCAATGGAACAGAACAGAGCCCTCAGAAATAATGCTGCGTATCTACAACTATCTGATCTTTGACAAACCTGAGAAAAACAAGAAATGGGGAAAGGATTCCCTATTTAATAAATGGTGCTGGGAAAACTGGCTAGCCATATGTAGAAAGCTGAAACTGGATCCCTTCCTTACACCTTATACAAAAATTAATTCAAGATGGATTAAAGACTTAAACATTAGACCTAAAACCATAAAAACCCTAGAAGAAAACCTAGGCATTACCATTCAGGACATAGGCATGGGCAAGGACTTCATGTCTAAAACACCAAAAGCAATGGCAACTAAAGCCAAAATTGACATCTAATTAAACTAAAGAGCTCCTGCACAGCAAAAGAAACTACCATCAGAGTGAACAGGCAACCTACAAAATGGGAGAAAATTTTCGCAACCTACTCATCTGACAAAGGGCTAATATCCAGAATCTACAATGAACTCAAACAAATTTACAAGAAAAAACCAAACAACACCATCAAAAAGTGGGCAAAGGACATGAACAGACACTTCTCAAAAGAAGACATTTATGCAGCCAAAAAACACATGAAAAAATGCTCACCATCACTGGCCATCAGAGAAACGCAAATCAAAACCACAATGAGATACCATCTCACACCTGTTAGAATGGCAATCATTAAAAAGTCAGGAAACAACAGGTGCTGGAGAGGATGTGGAGAAATAGGAACACTTTTACACTGTTGGTGGGACTGTAAACTAGTTCAACCATTGTGGAAGTCAGTGTGGTGATTCCTCAGGGATCTAGAACTAGAAATACCATTTGACCCAGCCATCCCATTACTGGGTATATACCCAAAGGACTATAAATCATGCTGCTATAAAGACACATGCACACGTATGTTTATTGCGGCACTATTCACAATAGCAAAGACTTGGAACCAACCCAAATGTCCAACAATGATAGACTGGATTAACAAAATGTGGCACATATACACCATGGAATACTATGCAGCCATAAAAAATGATGAGTTCATGTCCTTTGTAGGGACATGGATGAAATTGGAAATCATCATTCTCAGTAAACTATCGCAAGAACAAAAAACCAAACACCGCATATTCTCACTCATAGGTAGGAACTGAACAATGAGAACACATGGACACAGGAAGGGGAACATCACACTCTGGGGACTGTTGTGGGGTGGGGGGAGGGGGGAGGGATAGCTTTAGGAGATATACCTAATGCTAAATGATGAGTTAATGGGTGCAGCACACCAGCATGGCACATGTATACATATGTAACTAACCTGCACATTGTGCACATGTACCCTAAAACTTAAAGTATAATAATAATAAAATTGAAAAAAAAAAGGATGCTTTCAGATGCAAGAAAACAGGATACTACAGAAAGTGGCTGAAATAATGATGGGTTTTTTTTCTTTTTTTTTTTTTTCTTTTTTCAGATGGAGTCTTGCTCTGTCGCCCAGGCTGGAGTGCAGTGGCTCACTGCAACCTCCGCCTCCCAGGTTCAAGCGATTCTCCTGCCTTGGCCTCCCGAGTAGTTGGGACTACAGGTGCCCACCACCACGACCGGCTAATCTTTTGTATTTTTAGTAGAGACAGGGTTTCGCCATGTTAGCCTGGATGGTCTCAGTCTCCTGACCTTGTGATCCTCCCACCTCGGCCTCCCAAAGTGCTGGGATTACAGGCGTGAGCCACTGTGTCTGGTCCGGTTTCATTTTCTTAAAATCTAGAAAAAAGTGGTTCTAGGGTAGTTCAGGCATGTGGCTATGTCTACGCGGCTTTTTCCATCATTTCACTTCTGTCCTCAACATGCAGCTTCTATCCTTGGGCTTATCACTCTGTGGTCAAAAGGCGATTTCTGAAGTCTCAGGTTTACCACATGCAATTACAAGAAGAGAGTCAGGCAGTTGAGAAGACTCTCCTTGAATGTCTTTTTTAAGCTTTTTTTTTTAAGGGAGAAAAAGTCCTCCATGGCAGTCACCCAGAAAATCTACCTGTATGTCTCATTGGCCAGCAGTTATCATATGACCATCACTAGTTGCAAGAGAGAATGGAAAAGCAAGTAAATAATATCTTTAATCTCAATTGTGTGACTCAGTGTCTACTAGAAGGAAAAAGATGGCTGGTGGAGCTCTGGGGTAGGCAACTCACAGTGACTCCAGACTATTTAAAGGTTAAAAAGGGATTATGACTTTTGGTCTCCAGAACCAAACATTCTGACAAACACTAAGGTTATTTTGTCTGTTTCTTCTAAAACTGCACTTGAGTGTTAATAATTTCTAGTAGATAATTATTTTTCCTTTTACTTTCTCAAGAGTAGTATGCTTCAGCTAAACATCCTGTTTTATTCTATCAAGACACCTCTGAGATCAGTATAATTATACTTAATTTTTATTTGCAGAGGTGGGCCAAGAAGGAGTTAAAGTTAAGCAACACAGCTAGCAAATAATTAAATAATGAAACCTAGATGGCTGGGAGGGGAGGAGGGGGTAAGGGCTGAGAAATTACTTAATGTGTATAATGTACATTATCCAGGTGATGGTTACAGTAAAAGCCCAGACTTTATCACTATGCAGTATATGCATGTAACAAAACCGTACTTGTACTCCTTAAAATTACGCAGTTTTTTTTTTTAAAGAAAGCCTGGAATTGGTTCATGGTACTCTGACTATTAGATCAAGTTTTTTTCCTATGATGTCTCAAATATTTATATTTTCATAGTATGATATTATTCTATGATGTGATAATATAATGTGATACCATGATAGAATTCCATACACTAGAATGCAGTTTGATAATATAACATAGAGTTAAATTCTGCCATGTTTCAAACTGACTAGTGCAGCCCAAGGCCGACTAATCAACTTTGTGGGCATTTTTCATTATAGGCTCAAAGGTGGCTCCGTTCAATAGGGCAGTCTTTGTTCCAGGAGCCCACTGTGCCTCTTCCCAGCACGGTGCAGTGCCTGAGAGAAATAAAAGAGTTGGCTCTCACACTAAGAGGTCGAGGAGTTCAGGAAATGACCTGGGTATGAGAGCAACGGAGCATAGGAAAAGTTGATCTTGAAAAGCAAGAACTATACTTTCCTTGGACTCCTTTCTCTTTTTCTTTCCTCTGGTCTGCATCTGTCCACATGAAATAACAAAATCACGAGCAAGTCAAAAGAACATATTGTGCCAAGAGATAAGATGAGCCTTTGGAAACCCATAAGAAGCTCAGATATACTTCAGCCCTGGGGAAAGAGACTGCACGGACCATTTGAAAACTGAGATGGACTCTGTGCTCAAGATCAATAGATTTAATATTCGATAGAGTGGCCGCTGTCGCCATGGTGAGCGGGCTCTGGATGTAATTACAAGGTTCAGCTGGATGGATTGCTGGGAGAAATGCTTTATGAACAAAACAGGGTTGGTACCCTTACACAGTTCATCTCCAGCATATTTCTGACGGTCAGAGACAATTCAGAAGACGGTGCATTTGAAGACATAGTAGAAATGAGAATAACTGGGTCACTTCATTCTGGGGCTTTCAAAGACTGCTCTTCTAAATCAGGCTAGATTCTAAACAGCTCCCAGTGTCTATAGCTATAATTCAGGATTGTGGCTAAATGTTTACCTGACCTCATTTCCCAACTTGAAGAATTAGCTATTAGACAAGTGAATATAAAATTTCTCCAAAGCAAGCACACTTTGGTCAGCGCAGAACCCAATCAAGTAGAACTCTATAGCACGCATCTAAAGAATGGGAGAGGTCGAGAATAGAGTTTGCCTAAGATGCTATCGTGTATCCTTGAAAACAGTGAGCTGAACAAGGGGTGGAATGTCAGGTTTCCACGTTATAGGTGGTTCAGTACATTTTGATCATGCTAATTATCCATTTGTGTAGTTGCTCAATAAATGATGTTTCAGGATACACAGTTGAGCTTTCTGACTGTGCCATATGCACTCTGAATATTCAGAGATTATTCAAAGGCTACACATTGGTGACAAACCCCAGAAATAAAGCAAATGGTGGAGGTGGCTTTTTTTTTTACTTTTAAGTTCAGGGGTACAAGTGCGGGTTTGTTACATACGTAAACGTGTGTCATGTGGATTTGTTACACAGATTATTTCATCACCCAGGTATTAAGCCTAGTACCCATTAGTGTTGTTTTCCTGATCTTCTCTCTCCTCCCACTCTCCACGCTCTGAAAGGCCTCAGTGTGTATTGTTCCCTCATATGTGTCCATGTAGCTTTTTTAAACATAACTTTTTATTTTTGAAATAATGGTAACTTCTCATTCCACTGTTAAAAAATAATACAGAGATCCATGTACCCTTTACCTATTTCTCCCAATGGTAATATCTCACATAACTATAGCACAATGTCACAACCAGGATATTGATAGTGATATGATCCTTCAGCCTCATTCAGATTCCCCCAATTGTTTCAGGTGTGAGTGTTTGTGTGTGTGTATGTGTGTGTGTAATTTTAGTTATATATAGGTTAATGTAGCTACCACCACAATCAAGATGCAAAACAGTTCCATCACCTCAAGGGTCTGTCATGTTGCCTTTGATGTGGCATTTTAATAACCCTTAAAGGAAAGGTGAGAAATATTTCATTATTTCAGTGAAGTGGGAAAAGCAAACTAACAAAAATTATGCAATTTTAAACACTCATTTTCAAGTTTCTTTCATTTTCCATGTCCATATTCTCTCCTGGATTGGACTGCTACAAAATACAATTAATCTGACTTCACAGAGTTCCAATATTTTTGCAGGGTCATTTTAAGATATATAGTTGGTTGTTACTCAGTTACTTCCATTATAACACACATGACCCATCAATTACATGCCTGGGTATTTATTTTAGAGAAACAAAAAGTTACATTTGCCCACAAACCTGTGCACAAATATTCACAGCAGCTTTTTATGTAGTTGCCAAAAGTTAGAAGTAACTCACATGTACATCCTTGAGAGCATGAATGTGTAAACAAACTGGAACATCCACACAATGGGGTACTACTCAGCAACAGAAAGGAATAAAAATGGACACAAACATCAACTTGGATGGATCTCAAAGGCAAGGTGGTAAGTGAAAAGAGCAAATCAAAATATATCCTGTATGATCCCACTTATAAAACATTCTCAAAATGACACAATTAGAATGATGAGAGATTAGTGGTCATTCAAGGTCAGGATTGGGAAGAAAGTGTGAATATAAAAGAAGTTTTATGGAGTTTCTTTGTGGTGATGGAACAGTTGCTGTCTTAGGGCTGCTTTAACAAAAACACAAAAGATTGGGTGGCTTAAACCACAAACATTTACTTCTCACATTTCTGGAAGCTGGGAAGTTCGAGATCTAGGAGCTAGCAGGTCCACTGTTGGGTGAGGTCCTGCCTCCTGTTTGTATCCTCACACGGCAGGCATAGAGACAGACAGAGAGAGGAAGCAAACCCTTTTCTGTCTCTTCTTATAAGGGCACTAATCCCATCATGAGGGCTCCACCCTCATAATCTAATCACATCCCAAAGGCCTCATCTCCAAACACCATCACACTGGAGATTAGGGCTTCAACAGATGCATTTGGTGGGTTTGGGAGGACACAAACATTCAGTCCATAGCAGTTATGCGTCCTGACTATGGTGGAAGTTACATGAATCTACACGTGTGATAAAGTTTTACAGAACTATATAACCCCCTCCCAAACATGTTTGCACATAAAAAACAGGTGAAATTGGAATTAGGTGTATAGTTTAGTTCATAGCACTATATTATACTGTGCCAGTTTTCAGGTTTTGATAATGCATTATGTTTACATAAGATGCTAACATCAGGGGAAGCTGAGAATAGGATACAAAGAAATTATCTGTTCTACTTTCGTAACTTTTTGGTAGTCTAAAATTATTTCAAAATAAAAAATGAAAACAAAACAAAAAGTTCCCCCCAATTTGCAGAGAAGTTAGCTAAGATTCAAACAGGTTAAATAATTTACACTTATTTTTAAAAACCCTCAAGCCAGTAAAAGGCCAAACTGAGATTTGAGCTCCAGGACTTCTGAGTCCAAATTCAGGGCTCTTTATACCACAGTGCTCCTATTAGCCATGCGTTTAGCTTGAGCAGATAAACATTCAAGTGACAGTTGAAGGTCATTTAAGTAGATAGAAGAACATGTTCAAGGTCAGGAGGTAAACAAAAGCAAGGAAAGAAAGTACAAACCATCAAAGCCTGATGGGCAGAGGAAAGCACGGGACTGAGAGAACTGGAGCCATGGAGGGTACAAGAACAGGGACAGAGGGAACGAGAGGGTGTAGGTTGTGAACAGGATATCCTGATTTGAAGATGGAGTGACTCTTGATGATGATAGACCCTCGAAATAGCCCCCGAGAGGAGACAACTGGCCGGATCCTACTGAAAGTAAAGGTCTGAGTATGAGATGGTCAAGGAATTGCGAGGCCTGAGAGTCAAGTGAGTGGTCCATTGGGACATTCAGGTGAGCCAGAATGATGCAAGAATGTGATGGACAGGAAGATGAAGCTCTATCCCTCCTCGCAGTGTAAGCATCCTGGGGGTAGGTACTGTGCTTTATCTTTGCTCATCACAGAGCCTACAACAATGCCATGGACTTAGAGCGCCAATGATGTTTGCTGAACTAACGAATGAATATTCTCATGCCCTAAGAAACTGAAACAGTTATTGACTCTTATTTAGCCCCTATTTTCCCATGAGGGAGTAGCTTTGGTTGATCAGCATGAACCAAAATGACCATTAAATTCCATCTAAAAATATGTTAATATCATTTTTCATAACAAAGATAAAACATCTTACTAAATTTTGTTTAAACAGTTATCTTAAGTGTCATATATTATAAAGTAAATATTAACCCATAGAGTTCTGATTATCACTAACATCTTTTTTTGTTTGTTTGTTTTTGAGACTGAGTCTTGCTCTGTCACCTGGGCTGAAGTCCAAGGGCACGATCTCAGCTCACTGCAACCTCTGCCTCCTGGATTCAAGCAATTCTCCTTCCTCAGCCTCCCGAGTAGCTGGGACTACAGGCGCCCACCACCACGTCCAGCTAACTTTTGTATTTTTAGTAGAGATGGAGTTTCACTATATTGGCCAGGCTGGTCTCGAACTCCTGACCTTGTGATCTGCCCACCCCTGCCTCCCAAGTACAGGCGTGCGCCACCGTGCCCAGCCACTAACATCTTATAATGCGTGCACATCTGTATGTGCACACCTATACACACACCTTTCCATTTAGAGAATTAAAATGTAAGGTGGTATTCAGAGTTGATCTACCATGGTCTCGATTCTAGAGTTGTGCTGTGCAATACAGTAGCCACTAGCACCATGTGGCTGTTGAGATTTAAATTAAATAAAATTTAAATAAAATTAAAAATTCAGTTCCCCATTTGCACTAGCCACATATCAGAGGCGCAATAACAGCCTGTAGCTAATAGTTACCTTATTGGACTGTGCAGTTATAGAACGCCCTCATCATCTCAGAAAGTTATATGGAATAGTCTTGCCTAGAGCAACCCACAATGACTCACTAATTCGTCTTTTCTGACCCTTTCCTACCTCCCTCACACCATAGTGTCACCTAAGTTTAGTACTCTATTTCTCAATGGGCACCTTACATCCAAAATGCTGCACTTAACATTTATTAGGTTACTTTTCAGCACAATTACATAAAATTTGACTATATTAGAATCCTGTTGTCTTTTATATAAACATATCAGATTGACTATTAATATGTCATAATATGTGTTTAATATGGTAAGAAGTGTGTCAGACAGAATAACAATGCCCCAAAGATTCTATGTCCTAATCCTCAGAACCTATAAATAGGTTTTATATTACACGATAAAGGGGAATTGAGGCAGCAGACGGAATCAAGTTTGCTAATCAACTGATCTTGAATGGGAAAGATTGTTCTGGAGTATCCAGGCAGTCCCAATATAATCACAAGGTTCCTTATAAGTGGAAGAGAAGGGGAAAAGAAAAGTTAGTGTCAGAGTGATGCAATATGCGAAAGACTTAAGCCATGGCTGGCTCTGAAGATGGAAGGGGCCATGAGCCCAGAAATGCAGGCCATCTCTGGAAGCTGGGAAAGGCAAGAAAACAGATTCTGTCCTAGAGTCTCCAAAAAGGAACAGAACCCTGCCAACACCTTGGTTTTAGCTCAAAATCAGCGCGGACTTCTACACTCCAGAACTGTAAAAGATAAGCGATATGTAGATTTAAACCGCTAAGTTTGTTGGTAATTTGTTCCAGCAACAATAGGAATCTAATAGAGAGGTTTCCTAAAAGTCAATATAATTGATGTAATTGTTAGTTATTTAATTTTTTATTTATTTCTTTTTTATTTTGGTAGCTGTGGGGAAGTAGATTGTAAAAGTATTAGTGATACTTTAAGTCTTGGAAGTTTTTTGTTTTAGTTTTTGTTTGTTTTTATTTTTCCCCTAAGACTTTGAAGCTTCAAAATTGGCCTTGTAAAACTTCGTGGGAGTGAATGGAAGAAAGGTTTGCAGAGGCAGAGAGCAGGTCTTGAGCTGAGTATCCAAGCATAGAGTTGCTAATGTAGTACAGTTGTTTGCCTGGAAATGACTGAGGATAAAATTAGCTAGCCTATTTTGCTTCAGGAAACGGGCAAGGAAATGATATAATCTTTAAGAACATTAGAAAAGGAAATTCATAATTTATATTACTGAGTAATTTCATTTATGATAGCAATAATACAATTGTTCTATTGTGTCTAGTCACTGAGATTTATGTTATCAGATGAGTTTTTAATCTCCATATGTCATTTTTTTGGTTTAATGTGTTTCTGCAGACAATAAACATAAGAAAATAAAGCACTGAATTTCACATCAAAGTAGTAAACTAGGTCTAATGTATTTGGGATGGGAAGAAATTTATAGGGACCTATGCTAAAATACAACCTAGAGTTCTCATATGTACCAAAAGATTATGATAACGATAAGTGCTAAGAAATCACTTCTAAACCTTCTGAAAATTCACACACTCATCCCCTTTTATGCTTGCCTGAAATTTTCACATTATGAACTGACAGGGTTTTCTTGAAGCTTTAAAGGCCAATGTTAAAATGCAACATGGAATTGAAAAAAGTAGGAAAGGCCAAAAATGAATAAACAAAGAAAAGGTTTTGACAGATGACAGAAGAAACCAAGCAGCAGATAAGCTCATGGAAGCTGGTATGGAAATTATAGACAATTTCTTGGTCAGTTTTTTTCAGCAAATCTATTCTGAATGAACCTGCCAACAGCTCTGAACATCCTGTGTGCACTCTCACACTCTCAGAGCCTTGGAGACCCGCTACATTCCATCTCTTCAGATGCATGTGTCCAGCTGCCTACCACACACCTCAAACTCAACATGTCCCAAACTGAACTATTCGAATTCCTTTCTACCCCATACCTGCTCCTCATCACATTTTTCCTGACCCAACCATTCAAGCTGGAAAGCTCAGTGATCCTTGAATCGTTCCCTCTTCCACCCCTCACCATTTCCAGCCCATCATCAAATCCTCACCATCCCTCCTCCTCTGACCTTTAAGGTACACGCACTTCACATCCATTTCCAGAGCTCATTTCCAAAGCTCGTTAATCTCATGGGTTCTTGTGGAAACTGTAATTGGTCCCTCCTAACTAGTCCTGTCAGTGAAAACGATGTATAACCACTGGATATCACTCAAATTATTTTATTTAAAAATATTTTTGTATGCTTGTTATCTGAAAATCACTGTACAAAGACACGTCCCTTGATATCAAAAAGTTCTAGTGGGATCAGGAACAATAATAATACAGAACAATAATAAAAATAACTGCAGTTACTACTTATTGAGCATCTTATATATTTTTGGCATTGTTACAGATGCATATATTGCCCCTAATAATCACAACAGCCCTACAGGCAGGAATTACACTCATGGTATAGCTGTAGATATGGAAAGCTCAGAGTCAGAGAAGTTACTAACTTGACAAGATCTCACAGTCCTGAGTAGAAACCTGAATTTCTTGAGGGCAGAGGCTATAATAGCCTATATTATATAATATTGTAATAAACTATATTTAGAAATATATTTAATATAAACTTATTATAATCCATTATAGTGAAATGTTTATAATCTAACAACATATTCATATATTATATAAACTATATTATATAATAATAAAACCTTTTCATTTTCTTTTTAATCTCGGAATTTAAAAAATTCAAAGCACCATATATTATATATTATATATAAACTTATTTTATTATAATCTATTATAAAATGTTTATAATCCATCATAATACAATGTTTATTATATAAACTACTATGTAATAACATAATAAAAGCTTTTCATTTTTATTAATGCCAGAATAAAAAAACATCAGACAAAGTAGTGGCTGGCTTTATAATGACAAACAGTCTAAGTCAGAGGAAAGCTATAGCCTGTAGAATGACATTCATATTCCTTAAACAGCTTCCATATCAAAGTGTCAGGTTCTTCCTGTTTATGTTTGTGAGCTCTAATTCTCCTTAATATACCTTGGTCCTATCATTTCTTACCGCTTTTACAAAGAAAATGCATGCAGTTAATGAGATTCTCTCCATAGGAGCACTGTGATCATTTAATGAAAGAATGTCTGTGGAATGCCTGCCACAGAGCCTGACAAAGAGTAGACCCTCTATAAGAAACAGTCAATACAGCATAATGGCTAAGACAGTGGGCCGCATAATCAGCTTACCTCTACTCCTTAATGCTGTGTGACTTTGGCTAAGTCACTCAACCTCTCTGAACCTCAGCCTTCTCACAGGTAAAAATGTGGCTGCTAATAATACTACCTATATCATGAAGTTCCTATGAATCCAATTGGATAATGCATGTAAGCACTTAGCCTGATTTAGTAAGCCATCAATAAATAGTAGCTTTCAGCTGTTATCTTGCCTCCTCCCCAGGAAAGCAAAATTGCAATAAAAGTGTTATAGTGAAAAAAGAAATCAGTGTCTGCTTTTCATCCACTGCATTTATATAGACACCAGGCTTTTTTGCGAAAAGCGCACTGGTTTATCATCTGAACAGAAAGAGAGCAAACCATGGGATTTGGGAGCTCAGAGAGAACATTAGCTGAAATCTAGCTCGATCTGGCCAAGTTCAGAGATAAGATAGAGGTTCATAGAAGAAAATCGACTTCCCAATGCTGCAAAGCTTATTTAAGGCAAACCCAAGAGTAGATTCCAACCTCTCCTTTATAATCCCATGCTCGTTCAACTACGACAAAATGTACACATTTTTGGAGGTCAGTTCAATACCTTCTCATGTGTTAGAAATTCTAAAATAAATTGCTAGTCACATTGTTCCCAAATGTCTAAGTGATTATATTAATTTAAATAAACTATCTATGGCTCAGTTTTCTAAAATTCAAGTAAAAGGGAATTTATATACTACTAAACACGTTTCTAAATTACCTAAAATGGATTAAGATAAAAATATGAATACTCTCACTGAGTTAAAGTTTTTAAGATTAAGTGAGTTTCATACAACCACTCAAATTCAGAAAGCAATGAACATTGATTAAAATAAGGATTGTCAACAAAAACTTTGAAAAATAAAGTGAGGATATTAAAATTGAGTCAGGGGTGCTTTTTGCCTTCAGGGAGATCCCATCTGCCAGTTCCCTGATAGGACAGACCACGGAAGCGCTTCTCTAGCAGCTGTATCTTCAGCTGTATCACCTGGGAGCTAATTGTTTAAACTGTTTGAATATGCTGAGTATGCTCATTTATTGGGTAACTATTGATCAAAACTTCCTTTACTCCAGGCATGGTGGTAGGAGTGGGAACTGAAATAATACAATAAAATAAGGTCCCTGTCTTCAAGAATCTTTGGATACAATAGGAGAAGCAGACAAGTGATTAAGAAGCTGCAATCCAGGATAACGGATATCAGTAGTTAACGCTTAGGATAATCAAAATCAATAGCTAACATTTATGAAACACATACTATGTGCCCAGCAATATACTAAACACTTTCAAGTTGTTTCACAAAACCCTCTCAGAGGGCTGCTATGATTAGCTTCAGGAAACTGATGCCAGGAATCTGCCCAAGGCCACCGAGCCAAAAAGCAGGACTCAAACCTGTCAGCTGAGCCCACGTCCCGTCTGTAAGTGACAGTTGCTCCATGAGTGATTGACGGGGAACATATAACATGCAACGGCACCCCCAGGAGAGGCTCCTAACCCAGGCTTGGTGGATCAGTGCCCATTTCCTAGAGGGCCCCCGAGCCTTGAAACCTGAGGTGAATTGGGATCATGCTGGTTGGAGGAGGGTAAGAAAGACCTTTCAAGTAGGCAAGTGAGTGAAAGAGGACTCGCCTTACCACTGTCCTAAGGATTGTTATGTGGCCTTCAAGTCCCTTCTTGGTTTGGCCCAGCCTCAACTCTTTACCATTGTCTACTCATAGGCTTCTGAAAAGTTAAATGAAAAGTTTAACATTTTTCAGTTTATTTAAAGGACCAAGTTTGCTTTCCCTGCTGGGTCTCTGGGCATGCCACTCCTCTGCCTAGATTATAGCTACTCCTGGGTAATGCTTCGTCATTCTGCAGGTCTCAGCTTACATATTGTTTCCTTTAGGGAATCTTCCATGAGTTCTCTCCAGGCCCTCCCCAAACTGGCTTTTGGGTCCCTACTATGCACCCTGTGGCCCCCTCTATTTTTGTCATCGCAGTAGTAAGTATGCTAATAAATCCACCTTCAAACATCTGCCTTCTCTATGAGACTCCATAACCTCCATTAGCAAGGTTTGTTTTATTCATCACTGTATTACCAAAGCGTGGCACAATGCCAGGCACATAGTAGGTGCTCAATAATTATTTGTAGAATGACTGAAAAGATCTAAGTGTATGGAGTAACATCCCCATCTTGTGGCCTTTTGGAAGACGCCGGGTAAATCTTAATCCGCTGTTGCATTTTCAATACCAAAAGCACAGGTGGACTTTCAAGATCCTTACTCCATGCACTGGATAACATTAAAATAAAAATGGGATCCTATCTCCAAGTTCAATGTTTCCCATGGTTAGTTAACACAAAGCAGGAGAAATAGTTGGAAGGGAATCAACCTGAATATATGGCTCTAAACAGAAGTGAGGCACTTAAACCAGACAAGCCAGTTGCCTTGTCTACTTCCATTATGGAGCAAAGGATTTTATTTAGGTTTACCATCTGGAGGGTCATTTTCCAGGTATATATTTCCTCATGGCCTGAATCATTCTCAGTTGGATTTACAGCCTACTTCCAATCATAGAGCTCAGATGGAAGGAGAAAGCAGATAGTTTGGAGAGGAAGCACCCAGCTAGTGGCCGGGCATGGTGGCTCACGCCTTTAATCCCACAACTTTGGGAGGCCAAGGCAGGTGGATCACCCGAGGTCAGAAGTTTGAGACCAGCTTGGCCAATGTGGTGAAACCCCGTCTCCAATAAAAATACAAAAAATTAGCCAGGCGTGGTGGCGCATGCCTGTAATCCCAGCTACACAGGAGGCTGAGGCAGGAGAATCGCTGGAACCTGGAAGGCGGAGCTTGCAGTTAGCCGAGACTGCACCACTGCACTCCAGCCTGGATAACAGAGTGAGACTCTGTCCCAAAAAACAACAACAAAAAAACAAACAAAAAGAAGCACCCATCTAGTTAGTGGCATTGCTGGGCCAGTGTCCCCATCACGCTGCCTCTGCTGTCACAGTTGAGTTTGTTAATAATTGAGCTATGATTAGTGTGTGGTAGAATAGAATGATGGCATGTTGTTATTTAGCTCATTTCATTATGGAATAATCATAATTAGCATGCAACTTCTCTCTTTATGTGTGGTCCAGAAGAGGATGATGGCGCATAAATTAAAGTTATTCCCAAAGTAGGATGCTTTGAAAATGTTGCAGAGAAAGAGCAATAACATTAAAGTTTTATAGAGAGATTAGAATTTGAGTGAAAATTTTTATATACAAAAGCATTAAATTTTGATGGACAAGTCTATTCATCCCCAAAATAATAATCTACAACTTCAGAATCTTAGACTATTTAAAGAGGAAAGATGCTTAAAGGAAGACTGCCTCTGATTAAAATGAATAAACATTTTTAAAGGACTTTGACCGCCTCAAAGTAATTATTTCAGGCAGTTACCGGAGCATTTCCTGTGAGCCATGAACTGAGCACATCACATAGACTATCCTATTTACCCTCATCATCAACAACAGGGGCCTGGTCTAAAGATGAGGAGATGGAGCAAAAGAGGGTGAAGGGTCTTGTTCAAAGTCTCATCATGAGTAAACAGTGGACCCAAGATTCAAGGCACCAGAATCTAGAGTGCCTGCTTTCATGTCCCTTTGCAAAACCAAAAGTTAAACATATCCTCTCTCTGTCAGTTTGTTACCCTAAAACGTTTTAAAGATGTATCAAAGTTATGATCTCACTTCTCAGACACTCCATGGATGTCTTCTCTGTCCCTTTGCCCAACAGAAATTTCTGGTATAATAATAAGCCACAGTGAAGTCAAAACAGCAGAGTATTTGGAGTTGAAAAACAGGCGCTTTGAAATAGTTTAATCTTCCACTTTATCAGGTCACTTAATCTTCCTCGAACTTTTCTAAATCTGTAAAATGGGTGCAACATCTATTTCACACAGTTGTTGAATTTCATGAAATAATATCTTTAAAAAGGCCTGGGACATGAGGGTTGCTCGAACATTTGTTGGTTCTGACTCAATGACTGTCCCTGGGCTCCACAACCCCCTCTAAACTTGGCAATGCCTCCTCCACCCCATTGTATATAAGCCTGGAGGTGTAGAGTTGGTCACTGAGACATTGGATTGATAGGATAAATTTCTTTGCTAATATTTGAAACATTCTCGAGGACCCTATTAGGTTCATAGAAATCTTTTCCCTCAATTTTGTCTCCTAAACAAACCAAATCTAGCCCTTTCTAGTCACAGGCCTAGGTTGTTTAGCCCAACTTTAAAAGTTAATTGGCTCTTTCAGTCATCACTGAATGTAGAGGAAACATACAAGCCCAAATGAAAACATTCTTCATTTATTTTTCAGAGAGAAACAATCACCAATGATTCACTCATTCATTCAACACCCTGCAAACATTCAAACATTTACTGAGTGCCTACCATGTATTTTGGGGGGGGGGGTTTGGTTTCTTTCTTTTTTTGTTCTGTTTTGTTTTTCATTTTGTTGTTTGTTTGTTATTGAGAGGTAGTTTCACTCTTGTTGCCCAGCCTGGAGTACAGTGGTGCCATCTCAGCTCACCGCAACCTCCACCTCCTGGGTTCAAGCGATTCTCCATCCTCAGCCTCCCGAGTAGCTGGTATTACAGGCGTGTGCCACCAGGCCCGGCTAATTTTGTATTTTTAGTAGAGACGGGGTTTCTCCATGTTGGTCAGGCTGGTCTCGAACTCCCGACCTCAGGTGATCCGCCCGCCTTGGCCTCCCAAAGTGCTGGGATTACAGGCGTGAGCCACCGCACCTGGCCGTTTATTTTTAATAAAATATAATGCCAAATGTTCAGAATATTTGGAGACTGGTAAAGTTCATATAAGTTGTAAATATTTTTACTACCTCTTTCAATCATTTCTCAAGAATTAAATTCCAAGAGTGATGAGTTTACACTGTATGTGAATAGCACAGACGTGTCTGAACTCTCCACGCTGACGACCTTCCAGCACTAATAAGGCCTTCTCCCCTCCAGTGCCTTTGGTAATGGGCATCTCCCTTTCCAATTCAGCCACTTACATCGTATTTAAGATTATGAATAAGCTTTCATTACCACACACTCTGCCCTTTGTCACAGCCAGGGACATGAAGTCGAACAAACAAGTAGATATTAGGCAAGAGTTCTCTTATCTCTTGCCACAAAGATAAAAGAAAAAAAATTGAAGAAACAAATGAAACCTCCTGTCTGAACGTTAATAAAATGATTAAGAACCAAAGGACTTTGAAATACTATTGTAAATACTGACTACTACTAAATACTACTTGGTACAAGCAGGTATGCTTTAAGAACTCTAACTGAACCAGTCTCTAACTGAACCAAAATCTTAAATGTTTTGCTTTTACTAATCTGTAAAATAGTGGGGATACCGGCCCTTCTGCTCATCCAGAGGTCAGGGAGACTGAGTGGCACAGCTGCCATGCCAAGTGAAGAGAATGGCCCCAATGTTACATAAATGTTACTACATGGTTTAGGCTCCAGAAATCTCTTCTGCCTTCTATATTGTTTGTTTTCAGAGAATGGGAGAGGCGATAATGCAAGGTAAAGGGATATGGTGAGCAGAATAATGGCCTACAGAGATGTCCACGTCTTGCTCCCTGGAACCTGTGAATATGTCACCCTACATGATGAGAGGAACTGTGCAGATGTGATTAAATGAAGCATCTGGAAGTGGGAGATTATCCCGGATTAGCTGGCTGTGGCCAATGTCATCACAAGGGTAGTTGGAAGAGGGCAGCAGGAGGGCAGCAGAGTCAGGAGGTGGGATGATAAAAGCAAGAAGTTGGAGGGATACGAGGAAGGGATCATTAACCAACGATTGCAAAAGGCCTCTGGAAGCTGGAAAAGGCACAGACACGGATTCTTCCCTGGAGCTTCTGGGAGCAACCAGCCCTGCTGACACCTTGACTTTAGCCCAGTGAGAATGACTGCAGACTCTGAGCTCCAGAACAGTAAGAGGATAAATGTGGGTTGTTTTGAGCCACTTGATTTATGGTTATTTGTTATGGCAGCTATGTAAAACTAATACAAGTACGAAGCTGTGTTCTCTAGTTACAAAGACCAAAGGACTGAAAATCAGAACACTTCGGTTCCAATTTTGTCTCTGACATTACTAGCTGTGTGATTTTAAATAAGTCACACTGCCTCTCTGGGCCTTGATTTACCATATACCAGAGGGCTCCACTAGTTCACTCTTTAGTGCCTTCTAACTCTGAGGGTCTACAGGGGACACAGTGTGAAAAGCACAGAGACACTTAAATCAATATCCTCCTTGTCCTCCTGATGATATTCTCAATTTTAATTTATATTCTCCTTCGCCTATTATACCTCAAGCAATGATAAAGCCAGATAATAAACTCCAGACATTGGTACTGAAGACATAGAGGCATATTAAATGCATTTATAAGTCCTGGGATCTGTTTGACTAGTATACAAGATTTTTTTGGAAAAACAAAACAAAACAGAACAAACAAACAAAAACAATGGTCCTACCTTAGGTAGGTTTATTTTAGAGAAAGACCTTAGTTCTAGCCAGACATATGGGCCGGCTGTTCCATTGCACCCACTGAGTGTTTATCTTCTCCACTCCTGTGCAATAATTTTAATAAAAGTCCTGCAGCAGCCTTCACCCCAGGTGGTGAGCCAGCCCCACCTGTCTCTCTTCCTGACAGACTGTTGAACATGGATGCCTTCCAGAGACAAAAAGTCATTATTCTGCCTTCTCAACCTTTCTGTTTTTGCTCCAGGTGGCTGTTGCAAAATGTTGTATATTTAGAAACATGATGTCAGCTATTTCTTATTTTGCCATCATTGAGATGTCATGTGCCTTGAATTTTCCAACAAAATAGATCACTTTTCACACCTGTCCCCATTCTGTACACACCAGAGAAAATTAAATGGATTAAAGGGATCCTGCCAATTTATGTTTCATTTCTTCTGAATAAACAAGCCCACCCAGGCACCTGGCACTGGAAGTGAGCTGAAGACAACCAGGCAATGCTTTGCCCTTCACCAGTTCCATGCAAATGATTTTTTATGAAGCTGAGCTGTTCATTGCTTTCAATCTGTCAGATTTTATGAGGATTTTCACCAAAATCAAAACAGAATCCAAAATATTCCGAGCACACCTTTAAGAACTAGATTCTAGGTACTTAGCAAATCTGACAGTAGCTCACTCATGGTATTTTGTCCATTTGATCAAGGATTGCTCGTTCCCTTTGTGGAACCACCAAACAAGGATAAGCAAGTTAGACTGGTATACTTCTTTCTCCGAGATTTGTACAGCATCAGGTTTTTTACGCTGACCATCTTGCTCAACTTGCTCAGCCTCTGAAGGCTTAAGTAATCCAATGGAGGCCTTCTAGGATGTGACTTGAAGTTAAGAAGGTGATAGTCATTATTTTAGCATATTAAGACACCGGACATATGCTAGGAAAAGATTAACTCTCGCAATGTGAAAAGGTCTGAATAATGAAGTCCTTGTCTCTCTCCCCACTTTCCCTGCAGGATTTGAAGCACCCACTTCTCCTTCCCCTTTTCCTCCCAGGCCAGCCCCATCCAGTAGCAAAACTAGATGAGGAAAAGAAAGGCAAAGAACTCACACTGGAGGTGAGACAGAAGGGAGAACTTTGGGAACAGATGGCACAAGAGACATTCAACAATATCTTTCTTTGCAGATAAACATTAATCTTCCTGAAAAGGATTGTATTTTCTATTGATAGAAGTCATTCCATTTTTATATTTTTTAGTTTCTTCTGTGAAAAAAAGCAGTTGAGTAAACAAAACAACAATCATGCCCCCTACCCCTAAAAAAAAAAATCTACACAGTTTTTTATACATCTCTCAATTTTTTGTGGTTCCCTGTCCCTAGATGGAAATCAAATGTTATCCATGAATCAGTCTTGTAAAGGTCAAGGCTCTTGGTTACAAGCAATGGAGACCAAATATCACTAACTTAATGAAGCAGAAAAGGCATTTGCCAAAAGGATATTGTGTCATTAACTCAATCAGCAAAAAGGCCAGAGAATCCAGGCTGAGAAAATGGGCAGGACCAGAGTAGAGTGAACAGCAGGGAACCAGGCACATTTTGTCAGGAAGCCACCTCTGGTGACCACCACTGCTGACAGTAAGAACTCAGTGTCACCACCACCAGACACCTCCTGTTCTTGCCTCCAGGATTCTGACACTAGCCACTGCCCTTGCTGGATTCCACACTTATTCTCAAACTAGCACCCAGAAGCACTTCTCACCTGGCTTTGTACCACTGGAACATTTGAATATTTAAGCCTAGGCAATGCACACATATTCCAGGAGCAGAGGCCACGGGAAAGGAGTGTCTGGCCTTTTTGTTACCTGTGGAGTGTCTTGACTTTGAGTCATCCAGGTTCTTGATATTTTGAACAAGGAATTGGGCAATATTCACAAATAAAGCAACAAAACAATGAAGCAACAAAATCACAGAGCTATTGAAATGAAAGTACACTCCCGTACACTCCACAGAGTGGGAGCAGGCTCCAGCAAGCCACTCAAGAGCACTGGTTACAGAATTTTCTGGGGTTTAAATATCCTTTAGAGGTTTCCCACTGGTTACTTAGTTACACTCTATGTAAATGAAGGAGTGGCCCACAGCCAGTCTGATTAGTTGTGATAGGTGACCAATCAGAGGCTGAAGTTACAAAGTTACAAGTGAAGACTTGCCCCATGACCAGCCTGATTGGTTGCAGGAGGGAACCAATCAAAGGTACTTTCCATTTTTCATCTGTGAGGCGGTGCAAAGTTAGTAGCCTCTTATCCCTTTGTAAGTTGGGTGTGGAGAAGTGGGGTTTTCCTTTTGATTCAGTTCTAGGAAGTAAGTGTGAATCAGCCTTAGTTTCCCTGCCTCCAGACCCTACTCTCCTGCCTCAATTTCAGCTTCTGTAATGGGAAGTGAGGCCTCCCTTCCACCAAGACTCACATTTTAAAGGTCTCTGCACAAATGGAAGGGAAGGGTGTTGGAGCTTGACTTTCCGAACAATAGCTGATGTCCTGCACAGGTCCAGTTATCTTCGTACCTGATATCCACATATGTTCTTCACTTAAAAACACTTATGCCTCATATGATGCAACGTTCCTTAAACAATCAAGACATTTTCAAGCTCTCCCAGCAAAGGAAGGCAACCCTAAGCCTTGTCAGTTACTGCCTCCAGCTCAAAGTCTAAGAGCTCTGAGTGATGTTATTTTCCTCTCTATTTCTGTTGGATTCCACCTTAATATTCTGTAGCCAGTGGCCTGAAATGTAAAATTAACCAACAAAACTCATTTTTTAAATGGCATAGTAGGGAGGAAGGAAAGACAAAGAAAATTAGTCAAAATATACCAATGTATACATAACGTGGTAAAGAAGGAAATATGAGTCCTGGGGTTGTAGCTGATAGTTGTGATTTCTCCCCACTACTGTACAATTCATCTTCCTTTCATCTTCAGCCAACATAGTAACCGGTGTGGGGTCTTTAGCTCATGGGTGACACAAACCTTCCTTCCCATCTGGGAGATCGCAGCCCTGGTGGGTCTGGCCTGTAGGGGGCAGCTGTAATTTTTCATTAATTTTCACCACTTGATAAAGTAATAATAGGATGCTGCCCAGGGAATCATCTACACTCATCTCTTTTGGGTAGTGAGGCCCTATTTCCTCCTGACAGTTAGAATCAATCATCCCATGATTCTTATTTTCCCCTCTTCTCTCAGAAGCATGTGTGGCTTAAAATGATTAAGTTTACTTTCCAATTCTTCTGAAAACTGTTAGTACATCCACTGGAAGAAGCATTTCTCCTTGAGGTACTAAAATGATTAACAGAATCACAGGGAAAGAAAGCAAGCTTTATAGGTGGGTCATTACTTTACCAGGTAGAGAATCAATTCCCATTTCCAATTCATTATTCCTGGACATGCACATCTCTGAGTATGGAAGAAAGAGTACTGTGTTTCAGTTGACAGTTTAGAGTGTATTCTGGATTTTGTAAAATCGGGTATTGGCACTATTATTAAGTATTCCACTGTCCACTGCACTATTCTATAAAGCTAACTGCTTCTAGTGATGGGGATGAGATGAGATCTGGGAACTCCAAGAGTATTAGCATTGCCTTGTTTCTTTTATTGCACTTAAACTTCCAGTTGGCCCTTCCTACTGTAACAGTCCTTCCTTCGTAGATCAGGAAACTTATGAAGATATTTGCCAATTACTCAGGAAATCTATTCCAATTGTATAGAATATGCACACTTATGTATACATATATATTTATATGTACACATATGTACAAGAATGAATAACCATGTTCAAAAACATGATTATTTACCCTATTTACCCTAAACTGGACCCTAATTATCATCTGGCTTTTTAAATACCTATTCCTCCTGGTAGGCCTTAGTGGAATTTCAGAAATTAGTCTAGATTAGAGCCATTGGAAAATCTTCCCTTAGAATATTTAGGTATTTCCTTTTTCCCAGGGCCCAGTTACCATGGTAAATCACTACCAAGAAGGCTTTTAAGGAAAAACCAGTAGAAATATAAAGAGTATCCCCTTGTGACTTTCTATCGGGCCTTTTCTGAGGGGGCTCAGACCTGCCTTTACTCAAGGGGCTCCAGCTTTTTGATGTGGCTCAGGGCTGAGAACTGTATGAGGCATAATGACTCTCCATTACAAAAGCTCAAGTCAGGACTCTTTGCAACACCTAGAGATGGTTTTATTTCTTATTTGAATTCATTAAGAAAGCTATAGTGAGCTTCCAATCAAAGAACTCATGATCAATTATCCACCTCCAAACTGTATGGATCACACCCTTCCAGCTGACCATGAAGGTAAGCACACCATGTTACCTCTCCCAAATAACTGCTAGTACTTGCTTGGGTCTCTGGGTGCTTCCCATTGAGTTTATGAGACCATTGCCCCTGCAGCACTTCCCATTGGCATCTCTGCCTACAGAAAAAACCCCTGGACCACATCTCAAAGGTGCTCACCTCAACAATATATTTGTGAAAGCGTTGGTGAAGACAGTTCCTTCTAAGACCTCTTGGAGGATGTAGTTAGGGGAACCACACTTGATTAGCCAACCAAGAACTACTGTCTCTGGTAGACATAGTCTATGGTACACCGAGTTTCATTTTGTTTTGTTTTTTTTGAGATGGAGTCTCACTCTTGTGCCCAGGCTGGAGTGCAATGGCATGATCTCGGCTCACTGCAACCTCCACCTCCCGGGTTCAAGCAATTCTCCTGCCTCAGCCTCCTGAGTAGCTGGGATTATAGGCATGAGCCACCACGCCCAGCTAATTTTTTGTGTGTATTTTTAGTAGAGACAGGGTTTCTCCATGTTGGTCAGGCTGGTCTGGAACTCCCGACCTCAGGTGATCCACCCGCCTCAGCCTCCCAAAGTGCTGGGATTACAGGTGTGAGCCACCATACCTGGCCACACTGAATATTTTCTGACAGATAAAGTTTATTTACACCTCTGTAGAACCTAGGTTTTATTCAACTACCCAAGTCAACAATGAGAACTATTTCTTGCTGTTTGGTCTAGTACATTGAATCCAGAATCTCTGGGATGTGAGCCTACAATGATAAATGGGTTGATTTATAATTGATTGATTGATTGATAAATACATTGGTCTATAATTATGCTTTTCCCTCCTTGGTAGAGCTTCCTCAGAATTCATTTCCCTGTAGATTTTGCTCATAAGAATTTAGCAAAGTCCTGTTACTCTTTTCTTATGCCAGCTTTCTCCACCTAGGTTTGCCTTTGTAATTTCTCAGGCACCAACTCCTCCATCACACACACTCAATCCATGCATTCCCATTCCAGACCTAGAGCTGTCACTAGAGAGGGTGAGCACAAAGGAAACAACAGCTTCTTACAAGGCAACTCCCTCAGGCAAAGGCACCATGCAACAAATTCCCCTTACTTTCCCAATTTCCACAATCATTATAGAAATATTTTTTTTCATATTTTTTATAGAACTTTCAGGTGTTTTGAATTGGGAGGATTACTGTGCACTGTGAAACCACTATATCCCTGGAAACCTCTCCAGCAACAACTGATGCTGGTGATAACACTCCTATTTAGAAATCCTCCTTCTATGTTTCTATGTCTTCATTCTTCTAATTTTGCATCTTTGTCCAGTTTCTGACTGTTCCTCACTATTCCAAAATGAATTTTGTTCTCTTTCTTCTTCTCTCTTCTATTTCTACAGTTTGAGCTACAATCAATCGATTATTTTCATCAATACATCCCTAGGCTTTACCTCTCTTTACATCTCAAAATCGCCTCTGCAACATCATATGTCCAAGACAGAACTCCCCTTCCTCCTGCATAACTCACCATAGCTCAGGTTAGGTTCTTGGAATCATATTTGAGTTGTCCCCTCCAAATCTCATGTTGAAATGTGATCCCCTATCAAATAACTCCATAAAGTATCTAAAATCTATACCATTTATTGGATTATATCACTTTCTGCTCAATAATTTCCAAAGGCTTCTCATTACCCTAAAGAAAAAAATTCTATAGTTTGAAAACTCGAGACTACTGGTGATCTCTTCAACTTACTCCCAGCCCCATAACTCTCCAAACAGATCTCCAGGTCACCCCTGACCTCCAGTCACACTCCCCAACATAATCACAAGTTTCCACTCACTCTCATATCCACCCTTCATGAGCTCACTTCAGCATCACTGTTCATGCTATTCCATCTTCCAATTCCTAACCCTCTACTCTCAGCTGAACTAACTAAAAAATCCAAGAACTGAAAGAAGACAGAACAAGAGAAAGAGGATACAACAATTAGATGCCAGTCGTGTTCTTGAGAGGATATTCTAGGTAGGCCTAGCCTTTCCATTCTTTGGCTAAATGATATGGTTGGATAATTGTCCCCTCCAAATCTCATTTTGAAATGTGATCCCCAATGTTAGAGGTGGGCCTAGTGGGAGGG
The DNA here is from genome assembly GCF_000001405.40 of Homo sapiens. Lineage (NCBI taxonomy): Eukaryota > Metazoa > Chordata > Mammalia > Primates > Hominidae > Homo > Homo sapiens. The sequence goes on along the minus strand of NC_000013.11, from coordinate 33,864,257 downwards.
GGTGTTTGGGTTAGGAAGGCAGGTCCCTTAGGAAGGTCTTGGTGCTGTCCTCAGGGTAATGAATGATTTATCATTCTACGAGTTCACAGGAGACCTGTTTGTTTAAAGGAGCCTGGCACCTCCTCCCTCGTTCTCTCACTCCCTCTCTCACAATGTGATACTCCAGGTCCCCCATCGCCTTCCACCATGAGTGGAAGCTTCCTGAGACCCTCACCAGAAGCCACGCAGATGTTGGTGACATGCTTGTACAGGCTGCAGAACCATGAGCCAAAATAAACCTCTTCTCCTTATAAATTATCCAGTCTTAGGTATTCCTTTATAGCAGTGCAAATGGACTAAATACGCTAAGTCAGAGAGAGGAGGGGGCAGAAATGACAAAAACCTCGGGAGAGATGTTTGGGAGACTGAGAGTAGAGGAAATCTGTGCCCCATGCCCAGTAGAACTCTGAAAATTGGCAAGATCCCAGGGTTCTCAACCTCACATACAAAAAGCATAGAGTACTTATACAGCAGGGCAGTAACAAATCTGGAACAAAGGACTTAGCGGTTTCATGGAAGGCCTGTGTATCCACGCAGTATCAAGCAAGAGAATGATGTCATTGTACCAGGGAGAAGCCAACCACATGGACAGCATGGACAACCTCTGTACAGAGACAGAATTCTTATGGTTGGAACCAGGAAAACACAGCAATTACCTGGGTAAAATGACTCAAGACTGATGGGAATGAGAATGGCTCAGCTGATGCAGGTGTGGTTAAATGACACAGACCCACAGAACATATGGCTCCACTCAGTACCTGAATATTGCAAAGCCATGTTGCCTTCTCCCAAACACCCTTCCTCCTCCCATAAATGCAACCTAGGCGGGGTGGGGAAGAGTGCTATGTGCATGAAGATGAACTGTCTGTTACCTAGCAGAGTGAGGACCCCAAACAGAAATTAAACCCAGAGACAGAAATAATGAAAACAGTCTTTTCTTAACTGCCTGATTTTGTGCATGAGATTCATATCTGCATATGTGCATTGTGTATATATGTATGTATTGTTTTCATTCATTATATTACTGATGCAGTTATAACTATTGTGATGAAAAACTGTCTATCAGTTAAAGGCACTTTATGACTGGAAGGAACATCATTCCAAAGACTGTACTTCTAGGTACAAAATCATGCTAACCAACTAACCAGCAAAACAGACGCACACATTCTCTGTGGGAAACACTATATGTAAGGACCTCCAGAAAATTATTTTCACAACTTTTCTTAGAAATGCATGTAAGAATTAATTTATTATAAACAATAGAATCTGACAGCATTGGGAGGCAATTTGTAAATTCCATTCTATGATGAAACAGTGCAGCTGGAAACTTGGGAAATGGACTAAGTAAGATGGCCTTAGAGGTGTCTCCAAAACAGCAACCCTCATTATATTTTTAGATCCTGATTTTCCTTCTCCTTGTATAATTTGGGAACATTTAAATTGTCAATTGCAGAAAGTGATCAGATCAAAATACTTGAAAATTTAAGACACAGCTATAGAAGATATGCTTTTCAATATGTATATGAAGATATATGAATATATCAAAATATAGAATGTCAAAAATACATGAATATGTAATACATACATATTATATTTACCTGTATATTTTAACCTATAACATGTCTCGCTTTTAAAATATTTTGACATGTGTGTGTATGAATCAGTGGGAAACATACTGATTTACATAAAATCATTGACAAAAGCAGCTTATTAATGTAGAAAACCAGCAGAAAATAGATGAATAAGTCTAATCATAAAGGATGGGAAGCATTAATGGAAAAAGTTGCATAAAGACATTGAAGCTGATTCAAGTCACGGGAAATCTCTAAGCGTTTTCTTCAAAAATAACTGTTAAATATATTTCATTGCAATTATACTTCACAACATGTTCATTCTCTGTCCCTATGGGATTCCATTTTGCATAAAACCTAAATAAAGTGTCAGACAAAAAAAAAAAAAAAAACTTTGCTGAGATTGGATTTAATTACCAGACCTAATTCTTCAGTATGGCACTCAGCCAAATATCTGGGAGAAAATGCCGACAGGGCTAGAGACCTGAGCGACTTAGCTAAGTGGAAGGGAAAACATTTTTGATTAATTGAAAGGACAAACACTTCATCTTAAAATGTCTAAAGGTGAGACGTATAGAACTAAATAAATCTATACTGCTGTTCAACAGCATTGTTTTGATAATCCTGTGAATTACTGTATCATCTGAAATTGCAAGAAGCATATTTTCACAGGCAACTTTCTACACCTGAAGTAAAATTTAATGTTTCTTAGAGCTTCCAGAATAGGCATTTCTATTGCTCATAAAAACAATTTCTTACATTTTCAGGGTTAGTTTTACTGCAAAGGGTATTCTGCAGTAAATACCTGTAATTGGTTGCAGTACTTTGGTATGGCACAGTGTCGGTACAAAATTGTTAAGTGAAAAATCATTTTGGGAGCCTCTAAGTAGAGGTGTGCGTGTTCTCACAGGTTGAACTACCTCCTTGCCATTGAAGTGCAGTGATTGTACATGCTATTTCAAACACAAAAATGTGATCATTTTTCCGTTTTTTTTTTTTTTTGAGATGGAGTTTTGCTCTTGTTGCCTAGGCTGGAACGAAGTGGCATGATCTCGGCTCCCTGCAAACTCCACCTCCTGGGTTCAAGAGATTCTCCTGCCTCAGCCTCCTGAATAGCTGGAATTACAGGTGCCACCACCACACCCGGCTAATTCACCATGCCTGGCTAATTTTTGTATTTTTAGTAGAGACAGAGTTTCGGCATGTTGGCCAGGCTGGTCTCAAACTCCTGACCTCAGGCGATCTGCCCGCCTCGGCCTCCCAAAGTGCTGGGATTACAGGCATGAGCCACCACACCCAGCCTCCCTTTTCAAAGTCATCCTGCAATCAGCAACAATTAATATGCTTGTAAAATAGAGAGATCACTTTACCGATATTATTAAATCAACACCGCATTAAAATAAAGTTTATCATCAATGCTCTAAGAAATCTTGAAATTGACATGCAACCTCTATTTTTATATTTTACAAATCTTTTTCCCCTTAGTATTTTTTAAGGACAATGACATGAAGCTTTAACTAGTATATTTCACTTTTATGCCAATATATTTTAAAATGTTATGTAATCTGTTCAAATATGTTTCTCAGCTGGGTATGGTGGCTCTGGCCTGTGGTCTCAGCTACTCAGGAGGCTGAGGCGGGAGGATCACTTGAGCCCAGCAGTAGCCTACAATGAGCTAGGATCATACCACTGCACTCCAGCCTGGGTAACAGAGCAAGACCTGGTAAAAAAATATATATATATATTTAATATGTTTCTTAAGTAATGAGAAAGGGGAAAAAAAGGGATTTGGCTACTTTAAGACATCTCTGCGGGACTTGCTGGTTTTATGAAAATGAAGTATCACTAACCAGGAGGAAGTTATTTAAAGGGACGTTAATTGGCGGTTGCCAAAGTAACCTTCCCTGATTGGAGGAAAATCATGACAGGGACTCATGCTGCAGACAGAAATATAACACGGTTCATTTCCCTTTCTTCTCTCCTTGCCTTGGCCTGCAGGGAAAGAACGAGTTTCTCTCTCCTCACGGCTGCCTGGGACACATGCGGAGTCGATTGTCACATTAAAAAGCCGAGGGATAAGCAAAAACACATCCAAAGCAGGCAGCCAGAAGGAAGAGAAGTCTGGGGTCCAAGTCACAGGATGCACATTGGAGGCAACTGGGAATGCCTCCTCTGCAGAGGGGACAAGTAAGGAGCAATACAGTCACTGATTCAAACATCTGGAGCACTCAAAGGTAGATGTCTTTAAATGTGTTTGTGCAGTCATGGAGGGCAAATTCTAGCCCTCCAAGCAAGTGAGTGTGTGGTGGCCAAAAGCCTCCATCCTCCTCCTTCCCTTGGTTTTCCTGAGTCCCCATTTTGCTACTTCAAGTTTCTCTCCTGGCTTTTTTCCTTCTCAAAAGAAAAAAAAAAAAGTGCAACACACTTAGTCTTCTCCAGCTGCCAAAACAAAATGCCACAGGTGGAGTGGCTTAAACAACAGAAACATATTTTTCTCATGGTTCTGGAGGCTGCAAGTCCAAGATCCAAGTGACTGCAGGGTTGGCTTCTCCTGAGGACTGTCCCCTTGGCTTGCAGATGACCACCTTCAAGCTGTGTCCTCACATGGTCTTTCATCTATGCATGCCCCTGGTGTCTCTTCCTCATCTTATGAGGTCACCAGTCCTATTAGATTAGGGCCACACCCTTATGACATCATTCAACCTTAATTACCTCCTGAAAGGCCCTATCTCCATGTATAGTCATATTCATATTGGTGGTTAGGGCTTCAACATATGAATTTGGGGGTGATGGGGACAAAATTCAGTCCATAACATGCCCAGACAGAAGTGAGTCATTTATCCACCATTGAGGACAAAATTCAGTCCATGGCATGCCCAGACAGAAGTGAGTCATTTATCCACCATTACGTATGGGATGGCAACTTTATTTTTTATTTCAAACTGTAAATATATGCACACACATATATATGTGCATCCTAATAATGCTTTATTATAAAAATAATTCATGTTCCTCAGAGGGAAAATTTAGAAAACAAAAAATAGGAATTATCCATAGTCTGCCACCCAATCACTGCTAAAATTATGCTCCTTTTCCTCATGACTTTTCTGAGTATACTTCTAAACTTGTCATCTCTATACATAGTCACTTTTATATACTGTTCTCTTCACTCATTAAAATATAAATGTTTTGATATTATTTACAATCCTTCAAAATATTTAATGACTTTATACTTTTTATCATAATGTTATGTCTAGTTTTCATTATTGGGCATTTAGATTGATTATCGTCTCTATTATAAGTATGTTGGGTTGGTTTGTTATTAACCAATGCATTTATTATCCCTCAAAATTCTTGTTTTGCATCGCAATTCTCTTTTAGGCCTTTAGATGTTGCCTTGGGGAAAAGACGATACACAGATTTAGAGTTCATGCTCAGCTTCCGAGTTTTATAATGGAGTTTTGACTCTCACAGCAAACATGAAGCAAAAGGTTATTTTTGAGTCTCAAAAGCCTGACTTTTGAGTGTCAAATAAAATCATGGTGTATTTGTGGCATTTCGTTTATACCAGGAACAATAAATGTGAAAGGATGTGAAAACAGTCAACACAGTTCATCCAAAGTCCCAGAAGTCAGGGAGAGAAGGATGCTGTGGACACATACGACTGAGTGTGCATTCAGCATTTGAGGATGTGTATACTGTATGTTGTGAATGGAGTTTCAAATTCAGGGACTGCGATGCTACAGTTGAAAGAAAAAGAGATGTCCAAGAAACAGAATTAGAAAAACAATTTTGGGGATAAATTCTTTCTCTAATCTTTGAAAGCCTACCATGTTCATTTCCACTTAAATAGATAGATAAATATCTCATTTTTCCATGGATAGAACAGAGATAGCTAATTGTCTATCTCAATATTTATTTTCCACTTTTTCTCGATAAAAAAAATTAATCAGTGCAATCATATGCCCCACTGTTCTCCAACCGTAGGTATGACCGTGGGTCCAAATTCTTGCCATTGAGAAATAAGTAAAAGTGTATCAGGTGCCTCTAGGAAATCTTCTCAAAAGTTTCCATCCTGGAACATGAACGTGATTATTTGGGGTTTCAGCTGCCATCTCAGAACATGAGGACAAGTTCATGCTCCTGGGCTTGTGAAGTGAAGAGTGGGAAGGGACCTGGTTACCAACAATTTTGCCAAGTTGCCAGACTAGCCGCAGAATTGCTTTTACCTGAGGAAAACACAATTCTGTCATGTTTAATCTACCGTTATTCTTTATTATGGGTTTTTCTGTTATATGCAGCCAAACCTAACCCTACCAAATGCGGTGTGGTACCTGCTGATTTGGAATAGCTGAGAATTAAGTATTCTCAAGCTACAGTAGGAGACCAAGACACAAAACAGAAGACTGTGAAGCTAAAAAGAAATGGAGAAGTCATTTGGCCAAGCTGCTCTATTTTGTAAACTTCATCAAATCTCTCTGGATTAAGGCTGGTCATCCATAAAATAATGTCCACATCTCAGCTTCCGAGATGGTTATGATCTGGTCCCTTCCGCTCCATCCTTATTTCACAATATAGAAATTATCCTCAGGAACTGTCAACTCATGTTAGTATCTTGATAAAACATGCACATCATTTCCCCATGTGTTAATTATGTGCCAGTCCCTCTGTTAAAAATACGCTTTCTCTGCTTAACCATTTTGCTCAAAAATTCCCTTTTTGATGAAAGCTGTCTACCTCCAAACTCCCAGACAGGATGATCACTTTCTCTTCATGCTGTCCTTAAGATTTATGTACTTTTATATTATTGGACTCAAACATGTAAATAAAGTCAGCATCTAATGCAATATTATTTATTTCTATATTCCTAGTACCCAGAACAGAAATATACAATAAGTGCTGAACAACTGTTTGTTGAATTGAATCACATTTCATATTAGGAAATTAAGGACTCTGAAAAGGTTACCACACTGGGTTTTAATGAGCAAAGAGAGCCAAGATTTATATCAAACGTTCAAACAAAAGAGGAGAAAATGAAGCAAAAATATTAATTTTAATGTTAGCCCCACTAACACTCCCCAGTTTTTCATCTTCTTAATTCATTGGGCTTAAACATGAAGCCTATGGTCAGCCAGAGATGCTGATTGCCTTGGGAGAGCATTGCTCCCATCTCCATGAGCCCACACCCTGCACTGAGCTCTGCTGACTTGTGTTTCCTTGAGGTTCCAAGGGCAGGCGGCTTAAATGTCATCCCCAGAAGAATCTGCAGTGAGTCAGAACCATACATTCCATATGTCAGCTTTGAGTCCATTCTGTAGGAAGAGCTGAAAATGTATCCCCTATTCTATTTTCTGTCCAAAATTATGTCCAGGCATACTGTCTAATGTAGCATGTCAGAGATTCCGCAATGAGATTGGACGCTATCTTGAAGATATTCCAATAACCAAACATCTATAAAGAGATGCCTCTTATTTGAAGACAATTTCCTTGCTATTATTAAATTCCAAGGAATAAATTTATGTCTAAAGATTAGATTGCTTTACAAGTTTAAGTTCAAAGACATGAAAATCTAAAAGTACTAAAGTTTGAAATAAAATTCTCTTGCCCCATGTATTAAAATTCAAAGTACAAAGTCCACTTACAAAACAAATACCCTTCCCCTTCATATCATCTTTTCTGCAGGCTTAGTTGGCAGGATTTGCTGTCTGGGTAGAGTTGAGGTTCCTCCAGTAACCACCTGTCTCTCTCTGGAATGGGTCTGGAGCTTCCAAAGCCTTTCAAGTCATAGTAATTCAATGCCCAGTCTCTCAGGGGCCTTACTTTTAAAGAATCAAAACAGCTAACAGGACTCACAAAATTACCACACCTCTTTGTCACACGCACCCAATTTAGAAAGCCAATCTCCTGTGCATAGGTCAATTATTCCAGGCAAAATTGCATTTCCAGAACCAGAGCTACCAGGACCCCAGTAATCCTGGTATCTGAGAGAAAAGGAAAATCTTTCTGGAGTCAATCTCAACAGACGTCTCTCATTCAAGACCAATTGTCTGTATTCCATGACTTGCTTACTTAAGCCCAGTGGAAAAATATTCTCCCAGGAATACGTTTATTTTGCATTTACCATTTACAATTACATTTCCATATCAGTTTTTTAACTTTTATTTTAAGTTCAGGTATACATGTGCAGGTTTGTTACATAGGTAAATTTGTGTCATGGGTGTTTGTTGTACAGATTATCTCATCATCCAGGTATTAAGCCTAATACCCATTCGTTATTTTTCCTGATCCTCTTCTCCTCCCACCCTCCACCTTCTGGTGGGCTCCAGTGTCTGCTGTTTACCTGTCTGTGTCCATCTCTTCTCTTCATTTAACTCCCACTTATAAATAAAAACTTGTGGTATTTGGTTTTCTGTTCCTGAATTAGTTTGCTAAAGAAAATGGCCTCCTGCTCCATCTGTGTTGCTGCAAAGGACATTGAGACTGTTTTACTTCCTTATACCATATATGAAAACCAACTCAAGATGGATTAAGACTTAAATGTAAAACCCAAAGCTATAAAAACCCTGGAAGACAACCTACGAAATGTCATTCTGGACATAGGAATGGGCAAAGATCTAATGGCAAAGATGCTAAAAGCAATTGCAACAAAGGCAAAAACTGACAAATGAGATCTAATTAAACTAAAGAGCTTCTGCACAGCAAAAGAAACTATCAGCAAACTAAACAGATAACCTAGAGAATGGTAGAACGTTTTTGCAAACTATGCATCAGACAGAGGTCTAATATCCAGCACCTATAAAAAACTTAAATTTACAAGACAAAAACAAGCTCATTAAATATGGGCAAAGGACATGAACAGACACTTTTCAAAAGAAGACACACATACAGCCAACAAGCATATGAAAAAAAGTTCAGCATCACTGATCATGAAAGAAATGTAAATCAAAGCCACAACGAGATACCATCTCACATCACTCAAAATGGCTATTGTTAAAAAATCAAAAAATAACCAGTGCTGGCAAGGTTGCAGAGAAAAGGGAATGCTTATACACTGCTGGTGGGAGGGTAAATTAGTTCAACCATTGTGGAATGCAGTGTGGCACTTCCTCAAAGACCTAAAAATAGAACTATTATTCCACCAAGCAATCCCATTACTGGTATATACCAAAGGATTATAAATCCTTCTATCATAAAGACACACACACATACGTTCACTGCAGCACTATTCACAATAGCAAAGACATGGAATCAACCTAAATGCCCGTCAATGGTAGACTGGGTAAAGAAAATAAGGCACATAGACACCATTTCTTTACATTTCCATTTTTGTGGGAAAAAAAATCCATCTATGTTTCCTGTGTGCTTGCTCGGAGCATTAAGAAATATAAAATCAGATCAACTTAGAAAAAATGTTAAAAGTTTATTGTGCACACTAAGAACAGTTCTCAAACTGGGAGACTTCAAACTGAAAGTAGTAAGAAGCCTCAAGAAAAGCAGCCACAGCGCAGATTATAAAGCACAAAGGAGGAGTATTTTAACCTTTTTTTTCTTGCCTGTTGTATATTACCATCCCTTTTAGGGAAGTAGAGTTGTTTAAGCTCATTTGTCGCTAGTCGATTGTTTTGATTTCAACTGAACCATGTTCATAGAGCTTATGTTTTGTTTCCGTCATGATTAGAGCATTATGGGGAAATCAGGATGACTTAAGTTTTGACTACATGGTTATGGGCAGTTGGCCCTGGGGTATATCTAAACTATGGCCTTGGTTCTTCCTTCTTTTTTAATAGTATCATTTCAGGCATTTCTGTCTCCTTGCAAACTTGAAATAGACACCTGAAATAGCAGCAGCCAGTCCCCAAAATCACTGTGGGTTCTTTCTTCCCATCAAGCATACCCAGAACCTCTATTTCCATTTTCCCATAGAATCTTAGGTTTTTAAGCCCTTGATGGTGCCCTAGATTCAGTCTCTAATCCATGCCACACCTGCACCATCTCTCAGGGGCAGCCATTCTTAGTCCTGTGCCACAGGGGCTATTTCCACCATCTGTAGCTATGGAACTACTTGGGACATGAAACCCATCTGCTAGGAAAGACTTCTTCATTCATAATTCATCTTAGCTGAAGAATCACCACTAATAGATTCCTGCACTAAAGCAGTTTTGTTGCTTCTGAAATTAAATTTTTGATGCATTGGTATTTAATTTCCCTGTGCTAGTCCCCAACCCCTTTCAAGGCTACTTGAGTTTCTTAACAATTTAGTCTACTTCTTAAACCAGTCCTTTTTCTTCTCTAGTCTATGTAAGAGCTAATGCTGCCTGCAGGAACTGAGTGGCTCCCTTCCATTTACTTTGTCTTTGCTTTCCGTCTCAGGCAATTATTTTTATAACTACTCTGGATTCATCTGTGAGGTCTACCATAGTAAGAGAGAAGAAATCAACAAGCTCTCTGTTCACCGTTCAGATTTTGTTTACCATACTCTCAATGACATGGATAATCTCCCCAAGAGAGATTCTTCCATCAGACAGTTAACAAAAACCTGAACTTGGTCTCTGATTGTCACATCTACATTTCTTCGTATCTTTCTACTACCTTCCATTAAGATCCTAATTTCATAAATTCATCAACTAAGGTCAATAAGTTCTCTCAGAGTAAATGCAATGCTTGTATCTCCCCGTGATGACTGTGTCACATGGAAACTCACGTAAGAAATGCTTTGAATATCTCTTATGCATTTTCTAAGTCTGTCCAGATTTCTACAACTCCTTGGTACAGCTGTTCCAGTCTTTAAGTAGTAGTTCCCCAGTTGCTCCAAGTGAGGTCCTGTGGGTTTAGAAAGTCACCTCTCAGTGACTTGGGTTTTCTTAGGGTTATCATCCTGGACTTCTCTCTCTTGGGTTCCATACACCATTTATGATTTAGTAACAACAAACATGTATTTCCCTCTTTAAAAGCAGTTAGAATTTAGGTACCTTTTTCTGCCCCTTGTATGTTGGTCTAACTCCATCTTCAACGTACCTTTCTCCCTGTATTCTTTCTTAGTGAATAAATAATCTCTTCCTCCAGCGTATCCTGCCTACTTTCCTTTATTAATCTTCCTCTGTTTCTGGATTTAATGGAACTGAAGTACCATCTTTTAACCACTCTAGTTTTTTCTTTTCTTGAGCAAATGGGATAATTGGAGGCAACCAGTTGCAGGCACAGAACACTTTGATATCCTTGTGTTTGGGTTTCTAATAATGTCATTTAGTTGATTTTCTGTCTCAAGGGGATAGCAATTTCTTTCTAATAAGAGTTCATATCTCTTATTTCCTAATTAATAAAGTCTAATGCACATCTATGGTGAAATCACAATTTGGGTCTCAGATAGCAAGTCAGGGTTAGAACTTAAGATATTAATGTATTCAGAGCCAATTTGGGATTCTATAATGGGAGAGGGAGTCTTAAAAGTCTGTGGAAATGCCACATGAAAGGTTAGCAGGTGCCTTCACAGCCCTCCTTGATCCTGAAAGAGGTCTTCTCTTGAATCTGGAATACCCAATCTAGATTATCTAGCTGGTCTTGGTACTAACCATGTAGACCTAGAGCCCCTCTAGTGCTCTGTTATACATGCAGAGCTAGTTGCCTTGCAGTTTAAAAGTGGCAAATATTCTTCTGACCACCAATGTTTAAAATGCCTGTAAAACTCTTCTCTACAATGGAATCTTGTCTCAATTTAGGACAAGGTTGGTCTGTGCATTAAGCCAAAGCAGTCTCTACCTGAAGCACCCAACACAGCTAAAGGACTGTGTCTTATTTTCTCACGAGTTGCATAAGTCATAGGTTGCAGTCACCTGCCAAGCTTAAAATTCCTCATGACAGCCAGAGCTTTCTTCCCAGGCTACAGAAGTTCAAAGCCAAATGCAAACAAGTAAAAATCAGTTTGACCTAAAATAAGTCTCTATAAACTATTATAAGTCTTTATAAACTATTATACTCAATACATTTAATCCCTAAAGTCCAAGACCCACATTTGTAGGCCTTGGATGCACAAAAACTTTCTCCTTCCAAACTTTCTCTTTTATTATTATTTCTCAATGTTCCTGGTGAATATACCAAATTTTGAGGTTTCTGAGGGTTACTCCCCAATAAATGGCACCATTATTCTATGCTCTGCTTAGAACAAGTTGAGATCAACAAAACAGATTCAGTGGGAAGCCAAAATATAACCTGTTACTGATAGAAATTAGGCCAGAAGACACGGTTTTAGGTGGGGGCAGTGCTAGACTTTAGGCCTCCTTACAGGCAAGAAGCCTGACTACTTACACATAGGCTCATTCTCAACAGAAAAACAGTTGGAGCCACGTCAAGTAGGTTCACTGATTCTTCTCAAAGATGAGAATTAAATAAAATACTCCATCTCTCTAAGAGCTGGATGAATAAAGACAGGCCTGCAGTAACACTACTGAAGCTTACTTCCAGGAAAGAAAGATTAGAAACAGGAAACAATTATTCCTGGATGACAATAACTTACAGTTAAAATCTTTGCTTACTGCTTTTTATATTGAAAGTAACTTTTCTCAAGATATTTGTGCAATTCAGATAGTGCAATACTCTCATAGTTAGTTTTCAATACCATGTTGCACCTCAATTTAATATATCTCATTTGTGGAATATCAATGTTTCACAATATCAATGTCAATTCATTTTTTATAAAATTTGATATCTGAAAGCCAATTTTAAAATTCAGTCTTCAACTTCACAGTTTGGGGAATGGATTCATACTTAGGTCTGTTATTTAAATGTCTGGGTATTCTTTTCCCACAAGATTGTAGACCAGATTATTCCCAGACAAATAGTTTCCTAACGAGCCAACTGCAGAATGTGTGAATTGGATCATATGTGTGTGCAATGCTTTAAGAATGACCTTACACAAAAAATAGTCACTGTTTAGATGGGTTATACAGTTGACCCCTGAAAAACATGGGTTTGAACTGCATGGGTCCATTTATATGTAGGTTTTATTTTGCCTCTGCCACCCCTGAGACAGCAAAGCCAACCCCTCCTCCTCAACAGCCTGCTCAACACAAAGACAGAAAGGATGAAGACCTTTATAATGATCCACTTCTACTTAGTAAATATATATTTTTAGATAGTAAATATATTTTTTCTTCCTCAGGACCTTCTTAATAACCTTTTCTTTCCTCTTATCTGACTTTATGGTAAGAATGTAATATACACGACATACAAAATACGTGTTATCTGAGTATTTCTGTTGTTGGTAAGGCTCTGGTCAACATTAGTCTATTAAGTTTGGGGGAGTCAAAAGTTCTATGTTGATTTTCAACTGTGACGGGTTGATGCTCCAACCCCCGACATTGTTCAAGGGTCAACTATATTATAAACTAAGGAATCCAATCTTTGTAAAGCAGGAAATGGGGGTAGAGAAAAATTAGTAGATTTTCCCTTGGATGACATGAACAATTCAAAAATCATTTGCATATATCCTTGTGTAACTACAGCAGACGCTTTAATTATGGACCCAATTTATCAACAAAGCATTATGCTCTCAAGCCATAAGAATCAATCTAGTTCATGATGTTAATTTCTCATTCCATGGAGGGTTTTGGCTTGCTTTTCAAAGAAATTCATGCTGAATCAGGCAATTAGTAAATTTAAGTTTTATACCCTTCCAACTGAATTTATTTTGTGAGGAAAAAAATCCGAAAGTAATATCAACTACCACAGAAGAATTGTCTTAGTTATGTTTTCTAATTTTGATCAATGTATATTAAGCTTATTGACTTCCTTTCAAAATTAAAAAAAAGTTGTGACTCATGAGCACCAAGTTTTCAAATCCTTTATTAAAATTATCATGTACAAAACTAACTTAATTCAGTGATGTATTTTAAATATCTGCACTTTGATCACTATTAAAAACAGCATAAAATGAGTTTGTCCTGTAAGTTAACTGTATTTTCAAAACAATACTTATGTTTAGATATACTTTTGCTAATGTTTGTTTTTCTAAGTCAATATATATTGTACTCACTCATTTATGAAACTGACATTTGCAAATTGTTTTGCTATTCTGACAATTTTTCATACAGTAAATATTAATTTTACAAGAACATAATTTATTTCAATTAATTTAAAATCAAAGCCTGATTAAATTTTGATGTTTTCTCAGTGTATCAATTTAAAAATCATCTTCATACCTAATCATAACCTGTTGTATGATGTTTCATAATGATATATTAAGCTGTATTCCTTCAAAATAGATACATTTTATTATAAATTAAAAATATCCTTTACATCTATAAAGAAATACGCATGCTCAATTTTTCTTGAACCATATAACCCTCTCTTACCTCTCATTTTACACCAATTTTGATAAAAGGTTTGGTTATTAGAAAGTTTATTTTTCTCATCTCCACAATTTAAAAACAAAGAAAAAACTGTGTAAAATAATAGCTAAAACTGGTGAGAAATGGAAAATGCATACCTATGTAAAAAAGATAGCCACTCCACAATTCAAATTAGTAACATAAAGATCAAATTTGATTTTTTAAGAAAATCAAGAAGTTAATGTTTTTGAAGTATTTCTATATTTTTAAATATTGACAATTAATAATTGAAAACAATGTGTAAGCTAGCACTATGTAAATCAAAGAAAACAGACAAATGTTAACATGTAATTAATATTCTCAACCCAGGAGACAGTTGATTGTTGAAACAGAAACCTGAACACATCATAACTCTAATACTTTTTTGTTTGTTGGTTTGTTTTTTTTTGAGACAGAGTCTTACTCTGTAGTCCAGGCTGGAGTGTGGTGGTGCAATCTCGGCTCACTAAAACCTCTGCCTCTCGGTTCAAGTGATTCTCTTGCCTCAGCCTCCTGAGTAGCTGGGATGACAGACACGCACCACTACTCCCAGCTAATTTTTTGTATTTTTATTAGAAACAGGGCTTCACCACGTTGGCCAGGCTGGTCTCAAACTCCTTACCTCAACTGATCTGCCAGCCTCGGCCTCCTTTGGGATTACAGGCATGAGCCACTGAGCCTGGCCTACTCTAATATTCTTTAGTGGCATCCTTTCTCACTTAAAAAAAAAAATCACTGCAATTGTCCTACAAGGCTCTATATCAGTGATGGCCTGGAGAAGGGTTATACTAGCTCACAAGAGCTGACTGTTATATTTTCCATTGCTAGCTTGAAATTGGCCATGGTGAGAGTGTTTACACCAGAAAAACTGCAAACACTACAGATCAGGACCTTTTATTATTGATTTTTTTCCCTAGAGAGCCAGCTGCTAAACATTTACCAGAATACCAGTACCCTATATGATCTATCCCACCTCACCTCCATGTTAGCTCAATGTTCTCACCTCATCTTTTGCCACTTTCCCATTTGCCCAACCTACTCCACTGGCATATTCCTTCCTGCTTCAGGTCTTGCATATACTGTTTAGTTTGCCTGGACTATGTAAATTACTGTGTAACACAGTCTACCTAAAACAACAAACCAAAATTCTCCACCTCCACAGCACACATGACATAGAATATTTTATCAGTTTATCTATCTGTCTGTCTGCCTGTCTGTCTGCCTGTCTATCTATCTATCTATCATCCTGCATTCATCTCTTCGTGATAGGCTGTAAACTCCACAAAGGAAACTGATGTCAATTTTGTCCTGCTGTATCCCCAGTACCTTAAAAAAGCCATGGCAAACAGCAGGTGCTCAATAAATATTTTTCTGAACAAATGAATGGATAGAAGTTGCCCTTAGTGGTCTAAATCTAAATATTTACATTTCTATCTCTTTTTAATAGAAATTACTTGCCATGTTGAGTATGAAGAATTATTGATTTTTAAATGCACAAATAGCTGTTTTGAATGACACCCATGCTTTTGGTTTAAATCTCTTATGCTCATCTGAGTATACCTAGCCATGAGTCCATCTAGTCTGCCTGTTATGGTTCATTTGATGACAAATACAGGGAGAGATGAAAGCAACATCCATCTACAAGGGATAAAGGCCAGAGCTTGACAAATGACTGTCAAAATGGAGAGAGGGGTCAACTTACATGCTAAAGGTTTACACCCGGTATCTAGAAGAAAAGTAGTACCCTGACACAAGCAATAAGCTAAGAGAAGTAGCTGGTTTAACAGATGCTGGTGAATTTGTTTTAGATAAACCAAAATTGAAATGGCTGATGGTTGTATTAGGAAAAGCACCTCATGTCTGGATGTGGGAATCATCAACACATGTACTCTTTTTGAACTCAAAACTGAGTTGTCTCATGAACAGAAGTAGAAAGGGGGAAGGAGCATGGAAAAGACAGATATTAAGCTGATCATTGAATAAAGAAAATTAGGTAGAACCCCAGATAATCCCCACTGCTGTAGAACATGGAAAAGAATCAGAAAAGATGACATCGAGAAAGGAACAATGGGAAAGGTCTACTTTGGGCTGGAAGAGATCAAAAGCTCAGTGTGGAACATGTTCAGTTTGAGATGTCTCTGAAGTATCTGTGAACGAACGTCAGATAGGTGTTTAGATGCATAAGTGTGAAATTCAGCTAAAGTTTGAGCTCATATAAATGGAGTTAACAGCTAATAGATGGTATATAAAGCCTTGGGCATGTATAAGGTCACCCAGGGAGAGAATCTTATGAGCAGCAGAGAGTCGAGAATAAAGCTATATTCCACATTTGATGGCTTGGTAAGAAAAAGCCTGTAAAGTGAGCAGCCAAAGATGTAGGCGAAAAAATACAAGAGAATATTTGTCTCAGGGAAACCATGGAAAAAGGAGATTCAAGAAAGGGCAACACATATTGCTGAGGTCAATTAAAAGTTCACTGGATACAGAGCAAGAATTCACTGGATGGAGATGCACACATACATACATCCCTTTTAGACTAAACTGTATTTTTGAAGTTATAAGAAGGAAAACCAGATTAAAATGGATTGCAAACTAAGAAAATGTAGGCAATATGAACAGAAAACACTTAAAAAATGTGTAAAGAGTAGAAAGAGAGGGTGCAAGATGAGGATGTGAGGTATATGAATGATTTTTTTTTTTTAAGAGATACTTGACCATATTTATAAAACAATGAGATGGAATTTCTGCTTCTGGTATGGCTGACAATCTTACAGTAGATAACAACTATAAGCTTTGAACAAACTTATAAAAAGCAACTGCTGGAGGAGGAGGTGAAGCAAGATGGCCAGATAGCACCTCCTAGAGATTATCCCCCTCCCCCACCGCAGGAACACCAAATTAGTACCCACACAAGAAAGCACCTTTGTAAGAACAAGAAATCAGATGAGTGATCACAGTACCTGATTTTAACACTGTATTAAAGAAAAAGGCACTGTAGAAGGTAGGAAAGACAGTATTGAATTGCCTACACACCCCTCTCTCATCCCCCATCAGCTGCAGCATGGTGCAGAGAGAATCTGTGTAGGCCAGGCATGGTGGCTCACGCCTGTAATCCCAGCACTTTGGGAGGCTGAGGCAGGTGGATCACCTGAGGTCAGGAGTTCAAGAGAAGCCTGGCCAACATGGTGAAACCCCGTCTCTACTAAAAATACAAAAATTAGCCGGGTGTGGTGGCAGGTGTCTGTAATCCCAGCTACTCGGGAGAGGGAGGTAGGAGAATCGCTTGAACCTAGGAGGCGGAGGCTGCAGTGAGCGAAGATCGCACCACTGCACTTCAGTGCCTGGTCAACAGGGTGAGACTCCACCAAAAAAAAAGAAAAAGAGAGAATCTGTGTGCACTGGACAGTGCTTCCCCGTCACAGTGGAGAGCAACACATGACAGAACCCACAGAGAGAGTATTTAGACCAGCCCTAACCACAGGGGAATTGTCTATCCCAGTGGGCAGAAACTGAGTTCCAGCTAGCACCATCATCATGGGCTAAAGCACTCTGGGGTCCTAAATAAACTTGAATAGCAGTCTACGCCACAAGACTGCAATTCCTGGGCAAGCTCTGGTGCTGTACCGTGCTTGAGTCAGCCAACTTGGGATACACAAGACCCAGTGAGACACCAGCCAGGGCAGCCAAGGGAGTGCCTGCATCACCCCTCCTCCAATCCCAGGCAGTACAAATTGCAGCTGCAGAAGAGATTCCTTCCCTCCACTTGAGGAGAGGGGAGGGAAGAGTAAAGAGGACTTTGTCTTGCAACTTGGAGACCTGCTCAGCCACAGTAGGACAGCACACTTGGTAGAGTCCTGAGGGCCTCATTCCAGGACCTAGCTCCCGGATGACCTTTGTAGACACACCCTGGGCCAGAAGGGAACCCGCTGCCTTGAAGGGAAGAACCCAGCTCTGGCAGAATTCATAATATGCTGACTAAAGAGCCCTTGGGCCTTGAAAAACATCAGTTGTACCCAGGCAGTATTTGCTGTATGTCTTGGGTGAGACTCAGAGATGTTCTGGCTTCAGTCCTGACATAGCACAGTCCCAGTGGTAGTGGTCATAGGCATGCTTGTATCACCTCTCCCCTAGCTCCAGGCAACTCAGCATGGAGAGACAGAAACTCCATTTGTCTGGAGAAAAGGGAAGAGAACAAGAGTCTCTGATTAGTAATCTAGGGAATTCTCTTGTATCTTACCCAAGACCACCAAGGCAATATCTCTATGAGCCTGAAAGAGTCACAGCATTACTGGGGTGCCCCCTAATGCATATATGGCTACAGTAACCAGACTTAGATCACAACACTCAATTTTCTCTGAACACTTGGAATGCCTTCCCAAGAAGGACAGGTATAAACAAGCCCATACTACAATAAATACCTAACTCTTCAATGTCCATACATCTATGAACATCTACAAGCAGCAGGGTCATCCAGGAAACATGACCTCACCAAACAAACTACATAAGGTATCAGTGACCAGTCCAGAAGTGAAAGAGATATGTGACCTTTCAGACAGAGAATTCCAAACAGCTGTTTTGAGGAAGTGCAATGAAATTCAAGATAACATAGAGAAGCAAGTCAGAGTCCTATTAGATAAATGTAACAAAGACATTGAAAAATTTTTAAAAATCAAACAGAAATTCTGCAGCTGAAAAATTCAATTGGCCTATTAATAAATGCATCAGAGCCCTTTAATAATGGAATTGATCAAAAAGAAGAATTAATGAGCTTGAAGACAGGCTATTTGAAAATATACAGAGGAGACAAAAGAAAAAAGAATAAAAAAGAATGAAGCATGCCTACACGATCTAGAAAATATCTTCAAGAGGGCATATCTAAGAGTTACTGGCCTTAAAGAAAAGGTAGAGAGAGATATAGAGGTAGAAAGTTTATTCAAATGGATAGTAACAGAGAACTTCCCAAGCCTAGAGAAAGATGTCAACATTCAAGTTCAAGAAAATTATAGAACACCAAGATTTAACCCAAATAAGACTATCTCAAGGCATCTAATAATCAAACTCCCAAAGGTCATGGATAAAGGATCCTAAAAGCAGCAACAGAAAAGAAACAAACAACATACAATGGGGCTCCAATATGTCTGGCAGCAGATTTCACTATGGAAATCTTACAGGCAGGAAAGAGTGGCATGGCATATTTAAAGTGCTGAAGGAAAATATATTTTATCCTAGACTTATATCCTGTGAAAATATCCTTCAAACATTTAAGGAGAAATATAGACTTTCCCAGATAAACAAAAGCTGAGGAATTTCATCAACACTAAGCCTATCATACAAGTAATGCCAAAGGGATTTCTTCGCTCTGAAAGAAAAGAATGTTAATGAGAAACAAGAAATCATCTGAAGGTACAAGACTCACTGGCAATAGTAAGTACATAGACAAACATAGAATATTATAACACTGTAATTGTGGTGTGTAAACTATCCATATCTTGAATAGAAAGACTAAAAGATGAACCTATCAAAAATAACTACAACAACTTTTCAGAACATAGACAGTATAATAAGATATAAACAGAAATAACCAAAAGTTAAAAAGCAGAAGCGATGAAGTTAAATTGTAGAATTTTTATTAGTTTTCTCTGTTAGTTTTTGAAATTAGTGTTAAATTGTCATCAGTTTAAAATAATGAGTTATATTATTTGCAAACCTGATAGCAACCTCAAATAAAAAATCCTACAACAGATACACAAACAAGAAAAAGCAAGATATTGAAACACACCACTGAGAAAATCACGTAAGCAGGCAAGCAAGAAGGAGGGAAGGAAGGCCACAAAACAACCAGAAAACAAATGATAAAACGGTAGTAGAAAAAACAACTGCTGGAGAGAGAAGAACAGCAGAAACTGGAAGGTAATCAACAATTGGAAGGTGGGCAGAGCACTAGAGTTTTTCATTTTTAAGGCATTTAGCCTGAAGGCAGGCCACAGTCATCACTAACATGGGCAGCTAAAACTCTTATGAAAACTTTACTGTCTTATTGGATTAAAGAACCAGAAGACTAGGGGGCAGCCACTGCTGCTACAAAATGATAGAGGCAATCCTTTAAAAGAGAGAACAAGAGAGCTTGAACCCTAATTCTGCAAATACTTTCTTCTGTAATCTCTAAAGCCCAGATCATTCATAACCACTAGATACTATTCACAATTACTCAACAAAGAAGTAGAAAAACATGATTAATCATCAAAAGAAAAAGACAATCAACATAGAACAAACCCAACAAGATGGGAAGCTTAACAAGGAAGATGGGCAGCTTCTCTACCGTATTAGGAGAATATAGGTTGCATATAAATGTAGATATAGTCAACAGGATGCATACAAATGAGGATATGGTAACATAGGCTGCATATGGATTTGGTTTCGGTAGCTAACAAGAAGGTAAAATTATTTGCTCCAAATTAAGTTTTGAAAAAGGCATTGTGGAGACTTGATCATAGAAACATATGTCCGTTGGGCAGTGTTGACAGCCCATTTCTTGGTTGGTAGCTGTGAATTTATTAGAGTGGCACCCATGATCAGCTGGATCCAGTTTCTCATCTGCAAAACAAGATCATAATGTCTAGTTCAAAGAGTGTTAGGAGAATTAAATGAGAGAATGCCTGTGAAGAATCTAGCATAGTGCCTCACATAAAGGTACTTAATGTTATTCTAGAGAAACTGTGTCAAGCTCTTTCCATGCCTACAGCTAGTAATTATTTTGCACAGCTGCTCTTCAGGAAGTTGCTTAAGTTTCTGGTGCTGCTATATTAAAGAGAAGGTAACTTCAGTGGGCCATCAGCTAATTAAACAACTGCAAAAGGAGCATAAGCTACTAAGCCACAAAGGTACCATATAGTGTTTGTAAATTGGCATTAGGCTGCAATTTAGATAGGAGCTGAGGTTTGTGGAGACCACTATTTTTGCAAAGCTGCAGAGAGGAAAGTAATTTATTGTAAATCTTGTACACTATAATCAAACTGATAGAGAACATCTTGTGATAATGCTCCAAATTTCCATAGAAATTGTAAACAGGAAAAAAAAAAACAGGAGCAAATAGCTAGAGAAATCTGTTCATCAATTTGAAAAATATGAGATGACTATGTTTTACTTGGGAACAAGGTACAAAGAAAATTGCTGCCAAGAGTTGAGGTTTTTTTTGTTTTTTTGTTTTACTTTTTAAGGAATGTGTTTTGTGATTAAGTGCTATAATTTGGAAATAATATTTAATGTACTATTACTCAATTCTGATAAATCTCAGAGTGTAAAACAGCACTTAAAACTACAAGTTTCTGTTGTGATGTATACTGCACAACTACAAATCCCATGAACAAATTTTTAATTTATATGAAACATAAAATCATAGATTTTTAAAGAATGGCATAAAACACTGATTCACACATGGAAACCAGGGCCTTAGGTTAGAATCCTAGCTTCAAGACTTATACTGCCACTAACTGTTAATGGGCTTGCCCTCCCACTGTACAACTAAAAAACTGGACAAAATATATAAAGCAACCAGTAAGGTCAACTCTATACCATCATTCTGGCTTTCTGCCTGGAAGAAAGTGGCTGCGGGGTGGGAAAGAAAAACCTTCCTTCCCACCCTACATTTGGCTGCAGGGTAGGAAGGAAAAACCCAGGTAGAGAACTGTGATAACAGTGAGTTGAGGAAAAGGAGCAGAATTCAGAGAGGCTGAGGTGGCTGCCTATGTTGGGCAGAGATCTGGAAAGAAGGGAGTTACACAGAAAAGCACTCCTACGTTAAGAGTTGCCTTGTTATCTTTGGTTGATTACTAACACGCAAGTAGCAGATACAGTCTGGATCCACTGGACAAAGAGGGTTCACATCTTAGGTGGGATGGAGTAGGATGGTGGAAGATTAGATCGTATTACATTACTCAGAATGGCATGCAATTTGAAACTTACAAATTATTTCTGGATTTTTCTTTTTTTTTTTTTCCTGAGACAGGCTCTTGCTCTGTGGCCCAAGCTGGGGTGCAGTGGCACGATCATAGCCCATTGCAGCTTCAACTTCCTAGATTCAAGTAATCCTCCCACCTCAGCCCCACTAGCGGCTGGGCCCACAAGCACATACCACTACACCCAGCTAATTTTCTATTTTGTTTATCATTTGTAGAGACAGGGTCTCAATATGTTGCCCAGATCATCTCGGGCTCCTGGGCTAAGCAACTTTCCCGCCTCAGCCTCCCAAAGTGCTGGAATTACAGGCATGGTCACCGCACCTGGCCACATAATATTTTCAAATTGCAATTGACCATGGGTAACTAAAACCATGGAGAAAATAAAAACTGCAAGCTGAATAATTTCCAGAGCTCCCACAAGGCTGGAAGATATTTGAGTTCTGGTGACCCAGAATGGTTATACCCCAATGATCTCCAGGACATGCAGTAGAGACCCTAGAAATATCATGCCCCTATTTTAAAGCTAAATTAGGACTCAAGACTACGCCAGGCCTACTCCAAAAAAGTTTACAAACAAGCATGAAAAACAACAAGCTGATAATCAAATACAGTTGACCCTTCAACAATGCAAGAGTTAAGGGCATAGACCCCTATGCAGTCAAAAACCCCTGTATAACTTTTGACTCCCCCAAAATGTAATTACCAATAGTCTATTGTTGACTGAAAGCCTTACCAATAACATAAAGTCAACTCATTTTGTATATGTCTTATATACTGTATTATTATATAAGCTACAGAAAATATTGAGTGATATGGAAGAGAAATTACACCTACAGTACTGTACTGATACTTCAAAATGAATACACTGTCTGAAATTGAGGGCAACCACAGCTTTAGACCTCAATCTGTAAAGGTACCACATGGCATTTTAAATGAATACAACACTTAAGCTCACTGCAATACCAACAGGAGGTGGCTACAGAAGTATTCAGGCAGCATAGTATGTACTGTAATTTTATGCAGTTATGATTTAATACTGCACTCCCCAACCTTTTTAGCACCAGGGACCAGTTTTGTGGAAGACAATTTATCCATGGACCCCAGAAGGCTGGAGGAAGGGGTGGAGAAGGATGAAACTGTTCCATCTCAGATCATCAGGCATTAGAGTCTCATAAGGAGTACACAATCTAGATCCCTCACATGTACAGTTCACAACAGAGTTCCCACTCCTATGAGAATCTAATGCTGTTGCTGATCTGACAGGTGGTGGAGCTCAGGTGGTAATAGTCTCTGGTGCTCACTGGTTGCTCACCTCCTGCTGTGTGGCCCCAGTTCCTAACAGGCCACAGGGGGCTGAGGACCCCTGAATTTTACATTTGTTTACATTTCTCTTGGCTGTGAATGGCACCATGTATGGTCTGAGTTTGTGAAAGTTTTGATAAATTTTAACTTTTTGTACTAGATTTGTATATATTTTATCACAGTAAATGATGAAACAGACTAGTAGCTACACATATTTTAGGCATTTATGATGTACCTTTTTAAAATTTTAAAAGATATTTCTAGGTTATGCATTTTTCCATGAGTATTTTCAAATTAAGTCTCAAAAAAATTTTTTGTTTATTGAAAAAAAAACTACGTATAAATGGATACACACAGTTCAGACTTCTGTAGTTCAAGGATCAACTGTAATTGTCTGCCAAGACAAAGTCCAACAGTTAAAAAAAAACACACACAAAAAAAAGAATTCAGACACTTGATAATGTAACATGACAATGTAATAATGAGAGAGCCAGAATCCAATCCAAATTAATGCACATACAAAAAGGCAAGAAATCTAACCCACAACCAGGAAAAATATCAGTCAATAGAAACAGATCCAGAAATGACAGATATAATAAGCAGACAGACTTCAGAAGAGCTATTATAAATATGTTCAAAAGATTTAAAGAGAAACATAAAAACAATGAGAAATATAAAAAAGCAGCAAATGAAACTGCCAGAGCTGAAAACTTGAAGGAAACTATTCAAACTGTAGGACAGTGAGAAAAAAGCTAGGAAAAAGAGAGACTCTGTGACTTATGCAACACTACCAAATAACGATGTAATTAGTCTTAGAGGAAGGGGCAGAAAAATATTCAAAATCAGTTTTTCAAAATTTAATAAAATACAAAAGCCCATAAATCAAGGACTGCAACAAACCCAAAGTAGTGTAAAGCAAGATAAACACACACACAAATCGCACCAAGACGCTTCTTACTCAAACTGTTGGAAACTAGTCATAAAGAGAAGTTGGAAATCTTAAAAGCAGCCATAGTAGCAAAATAAAATTAAAAATATGATGACTACATATCTCTCTTCAGAAACAACACAACCCAGAAGACAAAACACAGATGGGGAAGAAAAACTGTCAAACTACAGTATTTAATCTGTATTTTGTATTTTGAAACCATCTGTATTTTGTCCATTGAAAATGCTTTCCAAAAGGAATGCAAAACAAAGACATTTTTAAGCCAAAAAACTCTTAAGATAATTCACCAGCAGACCTGCTTCACAAGAAATGATAAACTTTTTCGGGCTTTAAAATAAATGATGCCAGACTGAAATTTGAGTCTACAAAAGCAATGAAGAAATCAATCAGTGGATGGCTACTTCTACTAATGGAAACAGGAAGATATTGGGTGATTTCCCACTACAGTTAAGTAGAGAAGTGAACAAAATTGTCAAAAAACAACCAATTCAGTACACTGAAGCTTGATCAAAGTCACACAACAAATTGAAGAATGTCTATTATTTCAAAACTTATCAGCTGCAGGTAAAAATGGCAGCAACATTATGACCCTCTATGCCTAGTGATACAACCATACACCTGTCACTTGGCCAGTAAAAAATGTAGCTTTATAAGTTTAGGGCTGGATGCAGCCAGAGCAGTGGACTTGATTCAACATCGGGGCAAGGAAAACTCATTGCTTTGCTGGATAAAAATGGCAGACTTGGTTCAAAAAGGATGGGGAAAACCCATACAATAGCTTTGCTAGCCCTAAGTTGCAGGCCTAGTTCATGGCCATTGACAGACAAATCAGAAATTAAACTGAGAGATCCTAGAAGTGGAAGAACCACAGAGGGGTTAAGCTAAGCTCACACATATAACTGACGGACGGCTAAACTAGAAAATAAAAACCAAGGGGTACTGAGGACTGGTTGCAACCTTGAATGCATTCCTCATTCCACATGTAGTTCAGTTGTCTTGTAGTCTCATGATGTCTAAGTATAAACTCTGTTCACATCATTGGTTGGTCACTAAACTACACAGACAGAAGGATAAAGCCAGGCTAAAATAAAAGCGACTGAGCAGAAACATCAGTGATTGCACAATGCGGTGGAGACAAATTACACAGCTGACATCTAAGCAATCCATGAAATAAAAAAAAGAAAAACCATCAGGAGGAAAAAACGTCAGAAAAACAAAAGAGAATCCTAAGTTGCTAAAATATCTTACCTAAAACGTCAAGTTTTCAGCCAAAAATTACCAGACAGGGAAAAAAGGGAAAAGTGTAACAGTACACAGGAGAAAAAGCAGCCAAAAGAAACTGACTCTGAGTGGAGCCAGATGTTTAACAAATACTTCAAAGCAACTAATACAACTCATAATAATCTGATTCAAGAAACTCAACAAAGCCCAAGTAGGAGAAATACAAAGAAAACTACATGTAGACATATCATACACTACTAAAAGCCAAAGAAAAAAAGAAATACTGAAAACTGCAAAAGAAAATTGGCTCATTATGTAAAAGGAAACAACCTCAAGACTACTGGCTAACTTGTCATCAGAAACAACAGAAACGTGAAGGCAGCAGAATGACATATTCAAAGTGGTGGGGGTTTAAAACACCCAAATCAACCAAGAATCCTATAAATGGTAAACTACATTCCAGAGAAACAAAAACTGAGAAAATTGTTAGCAGACGTACGCTATAAGAAATACTCCTACCATGCAAACACTAATCAAAAGAAAGCTGGAGTGTCTACATAAATATTAAAAAAAGTAGATTTTCACAGTAAGGAATATCATTAGAAATAAAAAAGGGCATTTCATACACATGATCTTAGCCAAAAGACAGAGAAGCAACTGGGCACTTCATAATGATAAAGGAGTCAATATATCAAGATATTATTCAAGTACCTAAGAACGATCTTCAAAATGCTTGAAGTCCAAAAGAACTGAATTAGACAGATGCATAATTATGGAGGGAGATTTCAATATTTCTCTCAGTGAAAGACTAAAAACTAAGAAAGACAGAGGAGGTGTAAAAATATATTTGGAAAATCCCTAAGGACTTGGAAATTGAACAACACAATTCCAAGTAATCCATTGGTTAAAAAAAAAATCACAAGTGAAATCAGAAAAGTTTGAACTAAGTAGAAATGAAAACCTAAAATATCAACATTTGTAGGAGAATGTTAAAAAGCTTAATCAGTACTCAGAGTGAAATTTATAACTTTAAATTATATTAGAAAAGAATAGTCTAAAGTTAATTATCTAAATTTCCAAGTACATAACCTAGAAAAATAAGTAGAGGGAAAAAGTAGAAGATAAAAAAGGTAATAAAATATAAATGGACAACAACATAGAAAGTCAATAAAACCAATACTATAGGAACAACAGGAATTCTCTTATATTGCTGGTAGAAGTGTAAAGTAATATAACTTTAGGAAAGTTAAGCAACTTTTTAAAAGTTAATGTTTACAATATTGTATGCCCAGTCATTGCACTCTTACGTAGTTACTCAAGACAAATAAAAACCTGTCCACAAAAAGACTTACACGTAAGTATTCACAGCAACTTTATTCATAATAACCAAACCTGGAAACAAACCAAAGATCCATCAGCAAGTGAATAGGCTTTAAAAGTATATACAAAAATATTGAACAATAAACATTAACTAGTGAAACATTCAACAATATGGATGAATCTCAATAATGAGAGAGAATGAAGTATTACACAAGAATGCTTACAATATCTGATTCCATTAAATTCTTGAACTGGCAAAACTCATCTATAATGACAAGATCAGTGATCATCTGGGCCAGGGTAGGGATGAACTGACTGCAAAGGGATATGGAGGGAACTTTTTGGGGTGACGGCATCTATACCTTGATTGGGATCATAGTTTCACTGGTCAAAAATCAAACTGTACCCTTAAAATGGGTATATTTTATTTTATAAATTATACTTCGTAGTAAAGGAATTGTTCGGAGTCTGTCACACAAATTTGTCAAGTAAACCCTTTGGTCCATGAACCAAAATATTTAATTAAAAAGGGCAGAGCTAATGACAAAACACAAAACCTGTTCAAAGAGTAATTACTACAGTAACATACCTTTCTCCAGAACTTCATTCTGAATTTTCTTCAAGAGTCTCAAGTACTTAAATTAGTGAAAACATGCTTATTTCTTAGTACCGACCTAATACTAATCTGAACCACTGAAATAAAAGTTGGAAATCTGCAGCCTCAACAGAAATGGTATCTGCAATTTTGTCCATACCAATAATTATGTTTCAGAATGAAATCTTACATTTCCTACAAAAATACAATTATTCATTGAGAGAAACTAGAATTAAATATAATGGTGTGTCAAACAATCATGTTACCTGTGGCAGAAAATGGTCATCTGGATAAATGAAAATAATCTTTGCTTTCTAATGTGTAAATCTCCTTTAGCAGGTGAGAGATTAGACGGAAGAGAATAGGAGGATCAACAATGAATACTTGAATAACCAATGCTTAAAGTAAATTAAGATCATTTTCTTAGACTCTAAAGTCTCTAAGTTATGTACAAAACTACATACTTCAATAGTATAGGAGCAATTATTTAACTCAGAGGATGATTAATAGTTCACAGAGAAGTTATTACCAAAAAAACGCAAATACGACATGATTAAGTTCAGTTAATTTACCCACAGCTCTTTTAATATAAGCTGTATGTAAATACTGATACTGAGAAATCTTTGCAAGAATAACTGACAGAAGTCAGAACATCATGCCTTCCAATCCATCCTCCATGAACTTCTTATAAAGTGCCATGAATTTGGCCACAAACGCTTCCAAGTGATAAATGGCTTTGCTACCCAGCTGTAGACGATGCTCATAGTAAGCTGCCATTTGTGCCACCTCCCCTTTCAGTTGTCCATCACAATTATGTAACAGTTCTGAGAGAAGGCCCTAAACAAAAATAATCAGTAATTTAAAAATCATTAATAAAAACAGCTAAGCATGCCTTATTTCTCCCATTCACAAAAAGACTAAAGTTAAACATACTCTCTTTATATGTGTGAGATCTTTAATTTTTTATGTGAATCAACGACCTTCATCCAAAAGCAAAAACTTTGGGTACTTTTTCCATGACATAAAAATGTGGTGGGTATCAACCACATTCTAAATTCCAAATATTTAACTGCACAAAGTGCAAGGATATAAGTGTAAGGATGCTTTCTGCAGCACTATTTATAATAACAATAATAATTTGTAGACAACCTAAAGTTCCACCAATGGAGGTCATATTCGGAAAAGCTATGATACAGTCACACAACAGAAAACCATTCATCCATTAACAGAACGAAGTAAATCTATACATATGGTCATGACACAACATCCATACTAAAGTGTGGAAAACTGAGAAGTTTTGTGAAACCACATATATACACGTACTTGTTTCTATGTGAATAGAAAAGAGGTCTGTTAAAAGTGGTTACCTTTGTGAAAACGGATGGGTGGAACTTCACTTTTTTCTTTGTAGCCCCACCCTCCATTATCATCCCTGCACCTTGGTATTTCCTTTACAGCACTTACAACACTCTGAAATTCTCTTCTTTATTTGTTCTCCTTTTCACACCACTAGAATATAACTTCACTTTAGGCAGGCCCTCCCTTCTTTTCTTCAGCATTCCTCTAATAGTGCCTGGCACACCATAGAGGTTCAGTAAATACGTGCAATTAATGCGCTGGAGAGAAAGAGGTGATATCTTGATACTGCAAAAAGCCCTATGATCACACACCCAGCGTCCAAATTTTATAGCTGTAAAAAGTTCAAGATCTGAAATTGGGTTACCTTCATTATTATCTCAGGAGGAATACAATGAGTTAGAAGCTCATACAGCCTTCCACGAACTTCAAGGAGCCTACATAAAACAAAATAATTGGTATTTTGTGAAGAAAATAAGAGGTAATTTTTCCAAATTCCCACTGTATGGTTTTACTTTATGAATTAACAAACAATCCAATACAGAATTAACAACTTTATGACCTAACTTTATGAATTAACAAACAATCCAGTAAGAAATAATAACTGTTTCTTAAATAGTTTACCATACTTAGGATAAACATATGGAGGCTTCTCCTAACTTCAGTTCATTTTTGAAACAGAACATTTTCAGAACTCTTTTAAAATGAGACGTCTATATTCAGGGTTCCTAATTATATCAAAACACCATGAAAATACCAGATAGAAATTGAGACTTCATGAAGAGCGCGGGTTGAGCTTATTCACACCATGGAATTTAACAAACTTTAATGACATGTCAAGTAATATGTTTTTCTTTTCTCCAGACAGATACCTGAAACATCCAGGAAATGGTCATGAAAAGATTAAAAAGTCAATTACATAGGTGACACAAGATAATATACGCATGAAATATAATACAATGCCACTGCCTAGATTGCACAGTAAAAAAGCAATGTGGCAGGGATACAGAGCTGTCCCTGTCATAAAAGGGGCGGCACAAAGGTTTACAGGTAAGCACGCAACCAGGCTAAGCGAATAGGAACATTCAAACCTCTGAGTCCTTCATTCTAGGCCCTTCTCATATTCTAGGGAGAGAAAGGGGAAGAGGAGGGAAATGTACATATGACGTTTTAAAACAGAAAAAAAAAAAAAAGAGAGAAAGTTCCAAATACACATTCTTAAAGGGAAAAACTTCTGAATTTTTACAGTACAGATATATATATATATATATATATATATATATATACACACAGTACAGATGTTCCATACTTCAGATAAATCCAGGTAGTGATTTATAAGAATTCTTAAAAAGCAGAAGTCAATCCTAAGACGTCAGGAATATGAAGCCCTGGCACATTAAATCTTAAAAAAAGTGGGGGAAAAAAAAAAAGAACTAGCATTTCTGGGGCATCTGCTATGTGTAAGAATTGAAACAAATAATTTAACTCAGTACTTACACTAGCCCATTTATTTCAGATGAAAAAACTAAGGCCCAGATGGTTTAAGTAACTGACAGAACTGACCACAGCAAAGCATGATTTAACACAGATCTATCTTTCTTACTCCAAAGTCCACACCCTTTCCAATGTCTGTGAAAGTATTTAACACCTTAATTCTGTACTAGGTTCGCTGCAATACACTATTAATTCCCCACAACAATGATGCTCTTTTACTGAAACAAACCTGAAGTTCAGACAGGTCAGGCTTCCATCAAGACTTGTGTATTTGAGCCAGCATTTGAATTCAGGCCTGACTCAAAAGCCTGTGATTTCTCTGACATCCCAAGAATAAAACTTGATTATTAAAGCATGAATAATAAAAATAATTTCATATGGTATGAAATTATTTTAATATATGTATATAGCTTACTTCTGAAAAGTTGATTCAGGATGTAGTTACCTATACAATTGAAGTAACTATACTGTGTGTAGTGCATACATGTTAACATGCATCTTGTGTTAGTCTTGAGTTAACTTCTAACATTACTGTTTTACAAAATTAACATATTCTACATTTACCATGTCTGTGTCATTATTTCCTAATAGCTTACAAGTGATTAAGAGTACAAACTCTTCTGTCAGAGAAACATGGGTATCCTAGAACTGTCTCTATTATAATAATGGAATGTACCTGAACAAGGTACCTAATCTCCATAAATGTCAGGGTTTTTTTTTTAATCTAAAAAGTTAATATTTTTCTCATAGGTGTGTTATATCAATTAAATAACACGGTGTAAGAGCTGACATAATCATTCATGAAATATTCGCTGCTATTCAAATTAGAAAATTATGACTGTTCTAAGACAGATCAAATGAAAAATCGAGACCACAAATATTCCAGCAAGACAAAGGAGTCAGAAATCAGAAGTAATCATTTGGAATTGTGTAGCCCAGTGATCAGAAAGATACCAGACTTCCAGGATTTCTGGCCAGCCCCAAGGCTTTCTGGAATTGAGCAAAATTTCTTTTTATGTAGCACAATGGAATCAATTCCTACAATTGTTGGTTTAAACAGGAAACAGGAGCACCGCTTCCTGCACAAGTTCATTTATAAGCCGTCAAAATGTGTTAGGAAAACCAGAAGAAATTTGTAACAGCAGCTAGAAGAATTAAGCAAAGGAATAATCAAGTAGTTTTATAAAAGCACGTGATAATTATCAAACATTACAACCTCAAGTACCTAAATCCCCTAAAAGTAGGTAAGTTATATTGCTATCAATTTTTCTTCTTTAATATCAGAACAAAAACAAGAAAGTCATCTTCAGTGTAGAAATATTTTATAAAAGTAAAAGGCACCTAAGACATGCTTTATTTGAATTTTATCTCTTTAAAGGGTGAGGTCTCTTTATTGATAATCAACATTTTACAAAATAAAATGAACATATTTTTCCTAAAGATGAAGTTTCTTTTCTAATGAGACTACTTATAACATTTGGTACTTCTTGGAGAAAACTATCGATTTCTTCAACTAAAATAATTGAATTCTGAGAATTCAAAGCAAACCTTAAATGAAATACTAAGTACCCACTATGTATGATCCACTATCCACCTCCACCAATCTATATGGTAACCAGGGAATACATGTTACAATACCTTTGAAGAATTTCTTAAAAAATTAGAATTCATCAGATGTATCAACAAAAGGAGAAACATGGCATATTCCTCTATTATTTTCATTAGACCAAGGAAGAGTAAGCTCTATTGGCTGCAGTCTATTCAGTCTATAGACTGAACTCAGTTTATTCTGAACCCTAAAATGATCAACTACCCTCTGTAAGGTCCAAAGATCATTTCTCAGTTCAGAAACCCAACAAGGATATGAGACTGTGCTTTAGCCAAGTCTGAGGAACCTTCTTCATACTCTCCAAAGTTAGTGGGCCTTAACATTGTCATTTTTTATTTGGAGGAAAGCAAACTGTGTTTCTCAATCGAAGCTGCCATAAGTCAAACAACTAGCAGCTGAGGTATTTTCAGAATGGTCAACCTACAAATAATAGACCTACAGAAGTAACGGAAGCAATTTTGAGCAAATGTGTCAAAAAATACTTCCTGAGTAAAAATGGTATATACACAATGCTATCCTTAGTAGAACGCATGGTCATCTATAAGCACAGGGTTTTTTAGTTTTCAAACCATTAATAACTCTTTTGCTCTTCACAACAAATGCAAAAGTACCCTTGGTGAGGCAATAATAATATCTTCAATATACAAATGAAGATAAAACTCTAAAATGAAGTTACCTGATCAAGAACACTTAGCTAGGAGTTCAGGACAAGAACTAGAAGTCTGACTTATAGTCTGGTGTCTTTCTAGCACATGATGCATCATTGATTACAAAGTTTTACATTGTCCTTTACTAGAAAGCTACGCACATTATCTCTAGCTTTGTGTTGTATGTTAATGTTAAGTAATCTGAGATCCTAAAAGGAAAATTAAAATTAATATAAATTCCACTTTTACATGATCACATGTAAGCCATGATATTACAGCTTAATAAAAGCCATAATATCACACACCAACTATTCTGAACCACTAAATTTCTGAAGTTAAATGCTACATTTTCCTTAAAAAGTTAATACATAGATTCAGGATTTAATTATAATTCAAAATGACATTAGCATAAAATAGTTAATATGTGTCCTATGATATCCTGATAATGAAAGCTTTACTGTCATCATTTTATACTGGTACCTTTGTGGAGTTTGCTGACTGACAATAGCATTTGCAGTCTCCCTCAGATACACCTCCCAATCTGTCTCAGGGATTTCTTGATCTGCAGTAAAAGGATATCTACATGACAAAAAGAGAACACAAGAAGTTAAACAGAAGTGTGCTTATGTCCTAAAACAGGAGTCCCCAACCACTGGTCCGTGCGGTTAGGAACCGGGCTGCACAGCAGGAGTGAGCAGCGGATAGGCCAGCATTATGGCCTGAGTTCCACCTCCTGTCGGACCAGTGATGTTATTAGCTTCTGATAGGAGCGTGAACCGTATTGTGAACTGCTTATGCAAGGGATCTACGCTCCAAATGAAAATCTAATGCTTAATAATCTGAGGTGGAACAATTTCATCCTGAAACCATCCCCCACCCCTGCCCAGTCCATGGAAAAATTGTCTTCCACAAAACTGGTCCCTGGTGCCAAAAAGCTTGGGGGCCAAAGTCCTAGAATGTAACTACCCCTTCCACTCACTGTTGCACTCTGCAGGCTTCACACATAAGCAGGGCTTTTCTGAGATTTCTACAAGACTTCTCTGCAAGTCTATGAGCCAGTTGTGAAGGAAGATTCAGACCTTCCTTCTTACACACAGTAGATAACACGTGGCAAATCTACAAATAAAATTAACAAAAATGGGCAATCCATTAAAAAGCAGATTAAGATTCATTTCTGTTGATATCCTCCTAGACCCTTATAACTGTATTACTCTCAAAATTCTTATAAGTGAAACTTACACTAAAAGTAACTTACCACTCTGCATCTAACACAATGTTGCATATTATCCCTACTTTGCATGAAATCTCCCAAAATCTATTAAAAGCTGGAAAGATATTTAATGTGAGGAATCATAATTTTTGCTGATGGCTGTTAAGAATGGAGAAAAAAATATATCTATGTATATATATTCATATTAATGTTATTTCATACTAACTTTAATTCCCTTCCTAGGGACTAGGTATTCCCACATCATCTCTTTGCAAAATCTGTTTCCTCAATATTCCAGCCTCCTCTTATAGCCAACTAAATCAGCTTGAGAAAGAAGACAGTAAATAACTAGCCCTTACCTAGTTTAGTAGAATTCGTAATACCTACTTGTTCAAAGTAAAGATGGTTTAAAGGGAAAAACACTTTCTATATATTGGCATCTGGTATTTACAACTATACGCTTTGGTTTGTTCACATATTAATGCTTTGCATCCAGGTCTGTAGGTGTTCTTAAATTACTGATACGATTCCCTTCTTTTACAACAAGCATACAATATTCAGAGAATCTGAACTGATTTATTTTTCAGAAAAGTGTAACTTGACCTACATCTTCAATGCTGGGAGCAGGCACACGAACCGCCAAGCACCTACTACGAATAGGTGGGATCACTTTAGATGTAGAATTGCAGCACAAGATCAATCTGCAGGTAGACATATATTTTTCCATGGTTCTTCGCAAGGCATGCTGAGCATCTTTGGTGAGTTTGTCAACTTCTGTCAATAATACCACTGAGTCAAAGAGAAACAAAACAAACTTTAACTTGAGTTCACTCAAACTTTAACTTGTCTCTTTCTTCCTTCTCATTATCCAGGATGAAATCCTAAATAATAAGCCTGATATACTACTCTTCCCATTGGCAAAGATAAAGTTATAAGTATGGTAAAATTACTTTATTATTTTAAAATGCTACAATCATACTCCAGTTTCTCTTCAGATCATATAAATATTTTGCCTTTTACTAAAGACTTCTATAGAGAGGAACAGCTCTGAGTTTTTAATATTGTGAGACCTTGCGTTGGCAGGGCTAGT
Organism: Homo sapiens; assembly: GCF_000001405.40. Taxonomy (NCBI): domain Eukaryota; kingdom Metazoa; phylum Chordata; class Mammalia; order Primates; family Hominidae; genus Homo; species Homo sapiens. The sequence goes on along the minus strand of NC_000013.11, from coordinate 33,829,534 downwards.
AAAAAAAAGAAAAGAATCTATAATCAAACAAGACCAAGAAACACTAGGCTAAATGAAGTTAAAAGGTCACTTTGTAGTAGAAATCATTGCAACCTTTATTATTTATATGCGCTAAAATTTACCAAGACAAGGAAGTACTGTGCTGCATTTCCCCAAAATAACTTTACTCAGCAGCACATTTCTGTGGTACACCTTAATCTAAAATATTAAATTCCAAGGAATAGACTTTGGAAGACAGTGGTGCAAGAGATGTAGGCAACAAGGCATGAGGATATCTGGCCACCATAAAGTAAGATTCCATCTGGCCACAATCACAGATCAGCCTTAACATAGTTCAGGAATAATGTATACACAGAAACTGAATCCAATATTGTATTTTTCATTATATTAACAAATTATTTCTAGAAGATGAACTGGCAGCATGTAGCATTTAGATCTGCCCCATAAAAATAAACAGAACAACTAAAGATTCCAAAACAAAGAACCCATGAACATTATACAGAAACCAGGCAACAAGCTTTACCCAAGAACCCCAAACATGAGCAAGTGAGAATAAGCAACTAAAACTGGAAAGGCCCACATAGTATCAGCAACGGTGTGGGAGGAAGATTTTGACAGACTTTATGACAGGAAAAGCTCAAAATCACCCACGGGAACATACTAGAAACCATGGTGCGGCCAATTTGAAAGCAGCAGTTGGCCAGGCACAGTGGCTCATGCCTGTAATCTGCCTGTAATCCCAACATTTTGGGAGGCTGAGGAAGGCAGATCCCTTGAGCCCAAGAATTCAACACTAGCCTGGGCAACATAGCAAAACCCCATGTCTACAAAAATACAAAACATTGCCGGGCATGGTGGTGTGTGCCTGTAGTCCCAGGAGACTGAAGTGGGAGGATTACTTGAGCCCAGGAGGTCAAGGCTGCAGTAAGCTCTGATGGCACCGCTGCACTCCAGCCTGTTGCCACACAGTGAGACACTGTCTCAAAGAAAGCAGCAGTCTTACCGAGGGGGGAGATTCGACAGAGCCCAATTTATGGGTGAGAGCAAGGGAACCCTGATGCAGTAAGGTTTGACAGAACAGCAGACTCTGAGAATACCAAAATGAAGTTCCCTTCTAAGACAGTGTTCCAGGTGGCTGTGGCTGGTGCAGTGGCTTGTGCCTGTAATCCCAGCACTGTGGGTAGCCGAGCTAGGAAGATGGCTTGAGGACAGGAGTTCCAGACTAAGACAATGCTCCACAATGAGAAGAAATCCCAGACCAAATTGAGAACAGGTAAAAGAGAGACAAAGGAAAGAATCCCAATAAAGGTGACAGAAAATAAGATAGGGAATAGAGCTCAGAACACAAGGTCATTTATTTACTTTATTTTTTTATTTTATTTTTTTAGAGACAGGGTCTCACTCTGTCACCCAGGCGGGAGTGCAGTAGCTTGATCATGGCTCACTGCAATCCCAAACTCCTGGGTTCAAGCAATCTTCCCACCTCAGCTCCCAAGTAGCTAAGACTACAGGCATGAGCCTAATTTTTTTTTTTTCTTCCTTTGGCAAGATCGGGTCTTGTTGGTCTCAATTTCCTGGCCTTAAGTAAAGTGTCATATATTTTTTATCACTTTGTAAAAATAATACAAGAGGTAGCTGTAGAGCCCCAGACCTAAAAAAAACTCTCTGGCCTTCCTCTCCTTCCCTAAGTACAGGAAAAATCACTTTACTTTTAACAAAATGACCAACACAAAAGGATCATGGCCAAATTTCAACAGTTATGCAAGAAAGACGAGCAGAGGAGCAGAATAACATCTTTATGGATATGAAAGAGACAAATTATTTCCTAAACTGTTACTTAATTCATAGTTATTGTTCTTTTTAAGTAACAGTAAGCTTCATGTAAGAATAGGTTAATTCAACTGTAATTGGGTGGTAAAATATTGTTCACATTTTTAATGACCCTACAACATTTCACTTTTAAAGGTTTGTAATTGTAATCAGGTATTATTAATTTTGATTAAAATTTTAAATTTCAACTAAATTTCTTATAATAACCGATGTTCAACATTTCTCTTATAATATTAATAACAGATTGAGGATAATGGCACAATATTTCCTATATTTACATACACATATCATTATTTTGTATAGTGATGTTTGAAACAGTGACTAAGCAGTACTTGGTAGGCAGAAAACAGCAAATTCAACATGACAAGTCATGTTTACTCTAGAAATGCAGAACAGTTTTGTTTTGCCTTTTTTTGGAGATATAGTCTCGCTCTGTCACCCTGGCTGGAGTACAGTAGTGCAATCACAGCTCACTGCAACCTTGAATTCCTGGGCTCAAGCAATCCTCCTGCTTCAGCCTCCCAAAGCACTGGGATTGCTAGCATAAGCCACTGTGCCTAGCAAAAGTTTTAATATTAGAAAATCCAGTAATATAACCTATGATATTAATGAACTAAAGAAAAATCATAAAAGCATATTCATGGATGAAAAAGAAGCATCAGACAATATTTAACACACATTTGTGTTAAAGACACTCAATAAAATAGGAACTTGAGAATATTTTCTTACCATGATCAAATACATACACCTCAGACCAAAATCCAGCAATTAATTATGGGGAAACACTAAGGCTTTACTTCCAGAGTCATGACATGGACATCTGCTATCTCTATTACTATTAACCACACTATTGGAGGGTTGGCCAACATAATTAGAGAAGAAAAAGTATTTAGAGCCATAAAAATTGGAAAAAGGAAAAACAATTTACAGATTACATTAATATACATCTAAAAAAACTCAAACTACCAAAATACAATTAAAAACAGTAAGAGAATTTAATAACATAGCAAGATATAAAAGTAGGATATGTTAGTAACTCACATATATAAAACATTCAGAAAATATAAGACTCCATATATAGTAGCAAAAAATAAATTCATAAATGTAAATTTATTTTGAAATATGGAGACTGAGGAAAGAAATCAGCTGAGAATATGTACAGCGAATTCACAAAACAATAAAAATGAGCAATAAAGGAAAAATTTATCACACTCACTAAAGAAGAACAAAACACTATCTTCTCCACTCAAACTGACAAAGATTAAAACAAATTATCCTCAGTGTTGGTAAATGTCACGGAGAAATGAGCACTCCCAAACACTGCTATTGGTAGTATAAATCTATACCCTCTTTCAGATAGAGAATTTGGCAAAATATATCAAAAGCATTAAATGATGGCATATTTATTATCACAAAATCTCACCAGTAAGAATGTATCCATATATATAGAAAAAAATGCTTGGATGGTAAAGTCTAAACTGTTATTAGTAGCTGTCTCTGGATGGTGGGAATATAGCTGATATTATTTTCTTTTTTATCTAAATATCTGATAATGAACATATGACTCGGTCATAAGAACAATTATTTTAAAATCATGTAATTTCTGATTTTAAATCACGTATTTTTATTCATCTTGTTCTAAAATATCAAATGGATGGCACAAATAATCCTCTTTCACATAAAATTCAATTCCATTAGACTATAAACTCCCATGAGCCCAGAGATCAGGCTTCTCTCCTGTTCACTTTCATAACTCAAAAAAAAGAGAGAGCACTAATGCTTGGCAGCTTCATAAAAAGAAGTCTTTTGATCACCTACCTTTAAAATCCCTTTGAGAGTTTGTTTCAAGTTGTTGTGATTGTGCCACTGTTTTCAACATCTCCTGAATGACTACTCGGTCACTATTTCCAGCATCACTACACAAAACAAAAATAATGGTATATAGTATGCCCTTAATATTGTTATTATAAGAAAAATGGTGAAGTTCTTAAGTGGTCAAAATTTTAATCAAAATTAATATCACTTAACTATAATTATAAGCCCTTCAAAAGTAAAAAGTTTTAGGGTCATTGAAAATACTAACAATATTCCAATTGGATTAACATCACTGAAAACACTAAATATGTTGTTACATTAAGTTTACTGTTAACATAAAAAGAGCAACTACTAATAATTAGGTAACAGTTTAGCAAATACTTTGACACTTCTGTACCGACTATAGAAAATTAATACCTAATTATAGCTAATTTCTCAACTATCTATAATTGTTGAAAATACAAAACGTAACTCTTTGAAACAGAAATTCAATCCCTAGTCCTCTTCCACATCCCCAAAATAGCAAAGATCTAAGAGAGAACAAACAAAGAGAAGTCTGCTCCCAGCACTAGAATGAAACTGATTCAGAGACTCAGTAAAGCGATGAGATAAGCAAATTGAGTTTAAGACACAAAGTCAAAACTCCGTAAACTGATGACTTATTATAGGTATTGAGCTGTCATTTACACCAATATTATTGCTTTGGCACTTCAGTCAAAGACCTCTCAAGCCAAGAGAAGTCAATTTAGGCTGATTCAATGTTAATTTCAATCACCCCAAAAGCAATCGGCTTATTCTCCAATTGCTTATCTATGCTTCAGAAGAACTCACGATGAGAAAAACAGGTCAAAGCAGTTAACTTTATTTTCTCAAAGAGCCACTAAGTTTTCCCAAGTCACTACTATTATTATAGATCAATATACCTACAGTGTTGCTCTTACGATCATTTTCCTAGCCAAGAATCCAAAACATTCTCCATTTGTATCTGGAATTAACATTCCCTTTGTTTCTTTGATCAAACCCATTCCCAACAACCTTATTTCTCTTAGTTTTCTTTGAGATGCCTAGAGAAAATAATAAAACCTATCTGTTAGGGTTGTTTTAAGGATTAAATGTAATAATACAGGTAAAGCTTCTCACAAAGTGCCTGCTACTGAAAACAAGATACACATTAGCTTGTAATGGTATTCCTCCTGCTCCATTCGGTCTCCTCCCTCTCCCTGAAATGGATGTTCACTCTTGCCTCTATGTCACTGCCCATGTTGAATATGACTGACAATATCCTCAATTCTGTTCTCCTTTAAGAACTCATACAGCCCCACAGATCATAGCAGCTTACCCAATTTAGCTCCCAGAATCATTTCTACACCACTTAATGCTTAATAGCTATTGCATGAATTTTCAACGCCTCTCCAACAAGTTCCTAATTCTTATTACTGCATGATATAGAGAATAAAGATATTGGTTGGTGAACTATTATAATACCTCTAATCAAGAAATTTAAACAAAGAGAGTGACAAAGAAAGATTTGGCAACCCAAAGTCAATTTCTGAAATATTTACTCCAAACACTGTAAACTTTTTAGACACACTGCTCATCAGTAATGAATGAGCCAACATAATTAACAAAAATTTACTGACAATACAATGTACTGTGTGTACATCAATGAGCTCCCTAGAGCTAGAAAAGGTAAATACATTGTTGAAATTATTTGACACAGAAGGCAAAACAGGAAGGGCTCTAGGATTCCCATTTCAAGCAGGGCAGCTCCACTTTAGTCTGTTTTATAAACTGTGCTTCCACACGTATCAATTTATTTCAAAAAAGGGTTTCAATCTTTTAAAAAAAGAAAGCCCAAAACCAATTTCTTTAAAAATACTTAATTTCTATATAGTAGTAACTTACCTAGGATTAACTTCAAGGTGGTAGTTACTTGCAATGGTGCTAATTTCAATTTTTTTTTTAGATGGAGTCTGTGGACAAAGAAAAAGATATTTTTAACATTTATTTATTGCCTATTTCCCCACTCTTTTGTATTTTCATTGGTTTTCCTTTTATTACACAAAGTAAAACTTGAGATAACCACCATTCATGTTTTAACTTTGTTAATCCCACTCTTTTCTCAATGTGCAGATAAACATGTTTTTATATAAATTGGGTCAATCACACATCCTGTTTCATTGTGACTACTTTTTTCTTTTCCTTATCTCCAGAAATCCCCAAACCAAATCTGTATACCATCTGAAACACAGATCATTGCAAACGATCTGTTCCTTTCAGTCTTTCCCATGTTAACACAAAAATAAACATACACAAATGTATTTTCATGGAGTGTCAATGTTTCTTGTAAAAAATAAAAATTAAAAAAAGGAAATCATACACGTCTCTGTGTTTTGCTTTTCCTACTTAATATATCTTGGCAATCCCTCTCAGACAATTGGCACAGTGTTATAGTCACACACCAACCTATGGCATGGATGTTGCAAAGCTGGTCATACTGATGGACATTTTGTTTTCTGAACTCAAACAATTCCACAATTAATATCTCTGTACATATGTTGCATATACTGCTTTCATTTCTATGTAAGAGATTCCCAGTTTTCTGGATTGAAGGGAATGTGTTTTCTAACTTTAATATAATACATGTGTGTGTATGTGTGTATGTATTGACCAGTCTGCTTCATAAAACAGTTTAACAATTCACTTTTCCACTGGCAACACTCTTCCCCAACATTCCCCATCTACAGTAGGTTTTATCATGCCTTTCAATTTTTCAGTTTGGTGAGTATATAATAGACTCACACTGCTTGACTATCACAAAGGTCAAACATCCTTACATGTGTTTAATGCCTCTTATATTTTTCTCCTGTGACTATTTGTTACAGAAGAATCTATTTTTCAGTTTTCTACCAGATTGTCTTTCTGTTGCCAATTTGTAAAAATCTCTTATTTACACAGTCCTTTCAAATTTTTGTGACAATCTTTTTCTATTGATTTTATGTATAATTTCTGTCATAGCAATTTTTCAAATTCATATATCCAGGTATCTACTTTTCTTCTATAGTTTCCATGTTTTCCTACAAAAGGTTTTATTGACCCAGGAGCAATTCATATAGTCTAAAAAATTTTAATCGAAGATATTTAGTGTTTCATTTTAAGTCTTTAATTCATCTGGAATTTATCTCTATAAATTGTATGTCATAGGGACTCAACTTCGTTTTCTCTGGATAGATAACTAGCTATGATGACACACTGCTGGCTTATCCTCTTCCACTGATTTGAAATAGCACCTCTATCACATTTCTAAGCTCTCTTTCCAGTTTCACTTGTCTAATTCTCTATTTTCATGCCAATATAATACTGTTTTATTTACAATAGACATACAATATGATTTACTACACATTAACACAAGCCCTACTTCACTAATCTTTTTTCATAATTACTTTAGCTAGTCTCAGAAATGTACCGTTCCATATGGACGGACTTTAAGATCATTTCATACAATTGTAACAACCACTTGAATTTTAATTAGAATTTCATAGAAATTTATAGTGTCACCTGGGGCAAACAGATAATTTAAAATATTAAGCCACCCATCTGGGAAGATGCTGCAACATTCCATTTGACTGGCTGTTTATTGTCCCTCTATAAGATATTAGTTTCTTCTGACACATCCACACCATTTTTGTTAAATTTGTCCCTATATATTTATACGAATTTCCACAACATACAACCAGCATCTCAAACTCAATGTATCTAAATATATGCTAATCAACATTAGCCTAAAACCCAGTTACCTTCCTGAAGATTCTGTTTATAGCACTACCATCCACACTCAGCATATGATTTTTTCAATGCCTAATATGTAAAGACATTTTACCAGAAGATATGAAGGATATGAAAATGAATATATGTTCTCGACATACAGTCAAAACAAATACAATCTTTTCAAAGTAAAAGATGTATAAACTACTACAACCAAAGCAAAACAAAATAAGTACTATTAAAAGTACAAACTACAAGTTGTAGAAGAAAAGTTAATTCTAATGGGGTATGAAAAGGAAGGATACATTTCAGCTAGATCTTAAACATCATCCATAATGGAAGAGCATAAGAATGTGCTACACGGTATGCAGCTGGACATCTTGGCAAGGGCAAGATCACAGAAAGCCTCTCAACTTCCCAGAGTTGCAGGCCTCCTTTCCCAGTCAGTCAGTTGCCCACTCTTTACCAAGTCACTTGATACCATGTTTAACATTTTTCTCAAAATCATTCTCTTTCTTTCCATCCCCACTACTGCTCTCAGAAAAATGAAGTCTGGAAACCTGAGTTCTAATTTCAGCTAAGACATTGTCTTATTAGGTAATCTGAAATTAATCTCACCCTCTACATTTTACCCCAAACCCTCTGTTGCTCTTATTTCCTATCTAACATAAATGGCTTTGCTCTGGTTATAACAGATCCATATCAGTAGCTCTCAAATCCTGTGCCCCAAGACTACCTGTGGAATTCTTATTTAAATCATACATTAGGAAGCAACTGAGTTGGGGGGACATACATGACCAAGACTGAAAGTCCCCGCTATAAATTACTTTCAGGGCCTCAAAGTGAAATGCTTACTGTGATGGTCTGATGTTCAATTCTCAATTTTTCCACTCCAACACCATAAAGTTCACGTAGAATACACATAATTCTTGTCTTTTTTCCAGCACCTGATGGTCCGTACACTAACAGATGAGGAAAGTCACCACACTGCACCTGAAAAAAAAGAACAAGGCATTTTTCCCTAGTCAAACTGAACTGCTCTAGGTAGAACCAAACTACTTTTTAAGTAACAAATATTTTATGTGTCTACCCATGAAACTCCCAGTTCATGAGTAGATACACCCAATTTTTTATATATGTGTAAAACTTGGAGTTTCATGGGTAGATACACAAAATATTGTGTATCTTTTATATATATATATATATATATAAATATATATATGCTGAAAAGTTTACTATTCGCCTGACACTAATTTTGTATAACTTATATACGTGACAGCACATGCAAGATACAAAACTAAATGCTAGAAAGCGGGAACTCCCAAACCTGACTATCAGAATCTCCTAGAAAACTTTTTAAAATAAAGGACTGACTAATGAACAGACCCTATCATCCATGAGATTAGGATTCTGTAACTCTGAGATTCAGGCCTTTCTTACTTCGGACTATTAGAAACAGTCCCTGTGATAACAATTCAGTGCATTTGGTTTCTTTGGGAGGTTACTTGTGAGATAAAGGAAAACTTCATAGGAGAGTGGGGATGCGAAACAGGGAAAGGAAGGCAGCCAGTAAGAGTGTGTTGTCAAGTTGAATGGCTCTAGGTATCTGTGTTTGATCCTGCTAGGGAAACTCTTAAAGCCAACATAAACACCCACCAGAGTGTTAACCCACCCAAAGGGTGGGGAAGCTGCCGTATGATTATCTCTGATGAGTTCTTTCTTGAAGCCTGCTTAGAAAAGTGGATGGGGGAAAAGAAAGAGCATTAATTCCAGGCATTTCAAATCTACTATGGGTGTCACAGAGAGAAAAGCCCTCAGGCAAAGTACAGATGTACAAAGTTAGAAGTCAGAAGTCAGTCTGTGTGCACTTAAAAGCAAGAGGACTGGGTAGGGCACTAACAGTATCTGCTGATGATGAGTTTTGCAAAAGCTTTTCGGGTGTTTCTGATGATCAGTCTGGTTTGGGAACCAGTGCTATGAAGGCTATAAAGATGAGTGGGTGACAGACCTTAGCCTCGGGAGCATAAAGTCTTGTAAGGTGAAGTTCTGTAAATAACCATTATTGAAAAAATGGAATACGTATCTTAAGAGAAGCGCTTATTGCAATGAATTTTAATACTTTGTAAACTCATCCATCTCTGTCACTAAAAAGTCCCAAGGAAAAGAACTATTCAATCTAATATACTGCCTGGAAAATGGCAAGTGTCCCACAGACACTTACTGCCTTGTTTTTTCAACTTCAATCTAATCAAAAATAAGGGTTATGCTTTAAATGTTTCATAGTTTGATTAAGCTGCAAATAAAAGAGTAAACAGGTGAACATTTCTTAAAAGCAAATTTAACACATAAGACCATTATATTAAATTCATGTCCAAAATATACATTCCAAATTCTGTACAACAAAATGTGGCCACAGAAAATAAAATGTATTCTATCACTAGGAAAACTGAAGACAAAGCTATTGACGGAAAATGTAATTTGTCTATAAATGATGGATACTGCAGTAATCAATTTATTTTAAATTAGTATACATGCAGTATCAATAAAGAGACCAAAAAAAAACCTTCAATGTCACAACACTATCAACTAGTCTAATGATTTTTACGTGTACAATCTTTTCTTATTATTTCTTATTTTTAAGACGCACTTAATTAAATAGTATCTGTAAATCTAAGAAAGGTCGGAAGGGAAAACCAGGGTATTGGGCAAAAACGTTTCCATCAGCATCATATATTAATTTGAGTTCCTTAAAAGGAGTGGATAAATGTCTTCCACAGACACTTTATTCTCCTAAAGATCCTTCTTTACTCTCTACTCCCTGGAAGATTCAGTTCGTTCTCACAAAATATTGCCATTGGGCACTTTTATCAACTACAACAGACAAAGAGGCATCAGGATAGAGGGGAGAGGATCTTTCACAAAGCTCTAATCTCAGCCACGCACGGTGGCCCACGCCTGTAATCCCAGCACTTTGGGAGGCCGAGGCAGGCGGATCACCTGAGGTCAGGAGTTCGAGACCAGCCTGGCCAACGTGGTGAAACCCCGTCTCTACTGAAAAATACAAAAATTAGCTGTGCGTGGTGGCGGGCGCCTGTAATCCCAGCTACTCGGGAGGCTGAGGCAGGAGAATCGCTTGAACCCGTGAGGCGGAGGTTGCAGTGAGCCGAGACCGCGCCATTGCATTCCAGCCTGGGCGACAACAGCTAAACTCCGTCTCAAAAAAAAAAAAAAAAAAAAAAAAAACTAATCTCAGGAACGTCCTAATACAATTTATTTGAGAATTAGAAACGATCTTTGGAGTAAATACATATTTACAACACTTTACTTGTAAATGACAATGACATCGAGAAATCTTAAGCCAGCTAGAAAGTAAATCACATGGTGTCATCTCCGCTCAAAATGCTCCAACGGCTTCTCGTCTTATTCTGAGACTGACTGGGTCTGCACTCCAACTCCATCCCAACACATACACCCATCTCCGATTACCCTTCCCGCTGGTTCACCACTATCGGCTACGCCGGCCTCCTGAGGTTCTTAGAACATGCCGTGCACATCCCTGCCCGGGAATTTTGCACTTGCTGTCCCCTCTTACCTGTTCCACTCTTTGCTCGGATTTCTGTATTTATGACTTTTCAATTTCCTTCAAGTCTCGGCTCAGATGCCACTTCTCAGTGGAGCTTTTCTTGTTTAAAAATACAAGCCAGCCTCCCACACCTCTTCCCCCTTCCCTGTGTTATTTTTCTCCATAGCACTTATCACCTTCCAATGCGGGCGGGAGAAGCACTGCTCCTCAGGGGGGCGCGAAACCCCGAGCCGGGGGGCCTCCCCTCTCCCACGCTCCCGGCCCCCGCAGACTCACCAGGTTCCGCAGCTGGGCCGCCTGCTCCTTGTGATAGTCCAGCCGTCCCAAGGAGCAGGGCCGATACTTGTCCACCCAGAGGCTCATGGCAGCTCGAGTTCCCGGGGGCCTACGCTTGAAAATCCCGCGCGAGCGCGCGTCCTCCCCACAACGCAGAGACAAGTTTTCCCGCGAGCTCCAAATCTCGTGACGTCACTACCGGTCGCGGCCGCGTAAATGATTTTGGACGGAAAGGCTACGGGGGCCGTGTGCAGACAAAATCAGCTGCCGCGTCGATGCCCTCTAGTTCTGAAGTTCACTGCTTTATTTATTTTCTCTTTGTTCGCACCGTCTATTATATTCTAGAAATTATCAAGCGGAATTGAAAATGTGGTTCTGACCCTTTTGGCGTCACATCCAGATACCTCAGAGAAGACCGTTCCTTTCATTTATTCATTCTTTCATTCACTTAATTCATTCAACAAAAATTTACTAAATATCTGCTAGGTGTGGAACTCTGTCCTCGGCACTAGAATATATACATCTCAGGGTTTCACTCACTTGGCAGGTACCCAGTAAAGCTTCATTGGATGAATCGCTTGAAAATGTCTGATCTTCACTATCCTTTGTTACCTCTATTCCTCAATATTCTTATTGGATTAGAAACAAAAGAATCAAGAGCATGGAAAAACTACCCAAATGTGGTCTGTAGGGGAGAAGACACGAGGTTAATATGCATTCTAAGTCTAGAATATTTGAAAGCCCTCCAATTAAAATGTGTAGAAGCATCTGAACCCCTCAGAAAAATATTCTGCATATGAAGTTGATATGCAACTTTTGAAGTTCTCTTCAAATAGTGCCTCTCAAAATGCACTTTACTCATTGTACATAATATTAATTCCTTATTTAATTTATGCTTTTATTTTATGTATTATTAAGAACCCTAAGTCCTGCCATTTGATTGCAAGGTCTTACAGGCAGGAAATGATTTCCAAATATACTTAATAACCTTTCACCAAGGTGCCTCTTACTCATTTATTAATCAATAATTTATCATGTTCTTCTATGAATCGTCATATTACATGAATTACTCCTGCAGGTAAGGTATTATCCACACCACCAAGTATAAGATTTAATCCCTGTTCTCGAGAAACTTTCTATAATAAGCCTGGAAGGCTTCTGCCTCAGGGCCTTTGCAATTACTGTTTCCTCTTCCTGGACTATGTTTCTCCAGTCAGCAGAGTTGGGTCCCTCATTTCCTTCAGGATGTTGGCTCAAGTATTATCTCCTCACTGAGGCTTCCCTGACCACCCTATTTAATATTGCAAAAAAGCTTCATCTTCTTTATGCTTCTCTCCTTTGGAATTGAAATGGAGGAAGTGTTTGAAATGAGAAGGTAAAGGAAATCAGAAGCAGGGATACTGAATTGTGGTCTATGTGTATATCATAATCATAATGAATGATAATGGAAATAAGTACTGAGAGGAATAAAGAGAAGAACCAAGTGCTAGAATGATCAATAATTTGGCAAGAGTGACCACAGGCATGACAGACAACTTCAATAAGGAGCAGTGGTTGATGGTCTCTACCGTGAAGACATGTCTCTACCATTGAAGCACATGAAGACATGTGCTTCAATATTGTTGGGGGTTCTGAGGAAGGAGAAATAGTGTGGTGACCCAGGAAGTCCAGTTAAATTTGAATTTCAGAAGCTTTTTCATATGTCTATGGCAAAATTTATTACAAATGATTTTTTTTCTCATATAAGTATGTCCCTGGCAATATTTGAAATTGTAATAAATATTGCCAGGGACATACTTATATGAGAAAAAAAATCAGCCTTTATCTGAAATTCAAATGTAACCAGGGCCCTGTATTTATCTAGCAATTTTACTCCAGACTCTTGAATATATAGGATATGAGAAATTGCTACAGAGGAAGTAAAGTCCTCGGGGTTGGTAAACTACAGCTGCAATCACTTTAATGTTTAATGACTCTGGCCCTCAGGTATCTTAGCTCTTTTTTTTTTTCTTGAGATGGAGTCCCAGTCTGTCTCCCAGGCTGGAGTGCAGTGATGCGATCTCGGCTCACTGCAACCTCCACCTCCTGGGTTCAAGCGATCCTCCCACCTCAGCCTCCCATGTAGCTAGGGTTACAGTTGTGCACCACCACGCCCAGCTAATTTTTTGTATTTTTAGTAGAGACAGGGTTTTACCATGTTGACCAGGCTGGTCTCGAACTCCTGAGCTCAGGCAAGCCAGCTGCCTCGGCCTCCCAAAGTGCTGGGATTACAGTAGCGAGCCACCACGCCCGGCAATCATATAGTAATTGTAAGTTTAATTTTTTGAGTAACTGCCATACCGTTTTCCACAGTGGCTGCACCACTTTACATTCCCATGAGCAATGCAAAAAGATTCCAATTTCTCCACATCTTCACCAACCAACAACCTTTTTAAATTTTAGTCATTCTGGCAGGTTTACAGAGAAATCTCATTATGATTTTAATTTCCCTAATGATAAATGATGTTGAGCATCTTATTAATTATTAGAATATTCTTTTGTAAAGTGACTATTCAAATATTTTGCCTATTTTTATTAGATTGTTTGTCTTTTTCTTATTAATTTCTTTCCTTTTCATGCATGTATTTTAAATAATCTTTTTCCTACATGTGGCTTGGCTTTAATCTCTGTTAATGGTGTCTTTTGATAAATAGTTCTTAAGTTAAATATAGTTCAGCTTGTACTGTTTTACAAAATCTTTACCTACTCCAAAGTCTTGAAGATGTTCTTCTGTGAGTTTTTCTTCAAGTTTTATGGTTTTGCTCTCACATTTAGATTTTAAATCCACTGGAATTTTTTTTTTGTATGCCTCCATACAAAAAAAAAAGTCTAAAAGGTCAAGGTACATTTTTTTCCATGTGGATATCCAGTTACACCAGCAGTGTTTATTAAAAAGACCTTTATTCACTGTACTGTAGGGTCACCTTGTCATAAATCATGTGACCTTGTATGTGTGGATTTGTTGCCGAACTCCCTGTTTTGTTCCATCAATCTATTTGTCTATCTATGCACAGGTACCAGACTGTCTTGATTACTATAGCCTTATAATAGGTCTTGGTTTCTGGTAGTTTGACTTCTATTCTTATTCAAGATTATCTTTGCCAGTTTTTGTCCTCTGCATTTTCATATAAATGTTAGAATCAGCTTGTTAATGTTGCAGAAATCTTGGCTGAGTTTCTGTTTGGTATGGCTAGTTACAGGGAGTTAAGTCCATGTCTGAACTTTGTGGATTTCACCTTGTTGATCTTCAAAATCATAAAACATAAATTGTTCCACTTGAGCATATTACAAACCACCTATTTTACTGATGCTTTTATATACGCAACTACAATTCTAAAACCAAAAAAAAAACACTTTACTTTCTGTATGATTTAACTGTGATATATATTTAACACATCTTCAATTACCCTTGCTACCTTCTTAAAAGGTAATATGTTAAAACTGAAAATACTCATTCATAGGCATTTAAAAGGAAATTTTATTTTAAGTGAAATGGCATGAAAAAACAATTAAAACTTTAAAAACACAAAATGTGATTAAATATCCTAGGGGTAAAAAGATAGGGTCTTTATTCCTTCGGGGCTTTGTTTCTCTCATCGCTGATGTTATTATCATCTTGATGTTTGAAATATGACTAATCTATGGCCTGTGAGAGACAAACCTTGAACACGGGAGATCCCACAGTGGAGCAAAGTGAGAGGATGACCCAGGCGACAAAGACAGAACAAGCTTGGAAAACCACCAGTCCAGGCAGAAGCAGGAGGATTACTGTCTTCAAGAAGATAAAATTAATACCTGATATGCTTGCACATACTGAGATGAGATTTACTCCTATAGAAAAGAGTTTAGTAATAAATTAGCAAGGTGTGTGTTAAACACTAAGTCAAAGACAAAACAAGACAATTACTAATAGCAGAGTACATAAAAGGTACAGAGTTGTTCCTCCGTGTTAATGAGGAATTGATTCCAGAACCTCTACAGATCACCAAATCCATGGATGTTCAAATTCCTTATATAAAATGATGTAGTATCTGCATATAGTCTACACACATCATCTTGTATACTTTAAATTATCTCTAAATTACTTACAATAAGTAATGTAAAGAAAATGCTATGTAAATAGTTGTTATTGTTTTTTATTTGTATTATTTATTGTTGGTTTGTTATTTTTTGTTGTTGTTTTCTGAATATTTTCAATCTATGTTCGGTTGAATCTGTGGATGTGGAACTGGGATATATGGAGGGCTAACTACATAAGGAATAGATAATACATGAGAAAGGAAATTTTATAGCATTAAAATATGCTCAACTGTGAATAATATTTACATAATCCAAATAATGTAAACATTATGGGCTGGGCATGGTGGCTTACATCTGTAATCCTAGCACTTTGGGAGGCCAGGAATTTGAGACCAGCCTGACCAACATGGTGCAACCCTGTCTCTACTAAAAACACAAAAATTAGCCAGGCAAGGTGCCGTATGCCTGTAATTCCAGCTACTCAGGAGGCAGAGGCAGGAGTATCACTTGAACCCGGTGTATCACTTGAACCCGGTGGAGGTTGCAGTGAGCCGAGATCATGCCACTGCACTCCAGCCTGGGTGACAGAGCAAGACTCGGTTTCAAAAAAAAAAAAAAAATTGTGTATTTCCCTATGAAGAAATTATAATATAAAAATAGGGGGAAATGAGAGGAAAGGAAGTGTGTACAGTTGTGAGAATGGAATTGTATGAGAGGTGAGACCTCATCTCCACAGAAGGAAATTGACAGCTAAACAAGCAAAATCAAGAAGTAGTAGTATTAGCATGTTATTAAGAAACATGGAATTGATGCCAGAATACACATGTGTGCATGCACACACGCACATACACACGCACACAAAAAGAGTTGAAAGTGTTTTCTGGGCCGGGTGCAGTGGCTCACGCCTGTAATTCCAGCACTTTGTGAGGCCGAGGCAGGTGGATCACCTGAGGTCAGGAGTTCAAGACCAGCCTGGCCAACATGGTGAAACCCTGTCTCTACTAAGAATAAAAAATTAGCCAGACGTGGTGGCGGGCGCCTGTAATCCCAGCTACTCAGGAGGCTGAGGCAGGAGAATCGCTTAAACCCAGGAGGCAGAGGCTGCAGTGAGCCAAGATCGTGCCACTGCATTCCAGCCTGGGTGACAGAGTGAGACTTCGTCTCAAAAATAAATAAATAAATAAATAAATAAATAAATAAGAACGTGTTTTCTCTGGGAAGCAGACATGAAGTGTCAGGGCAGAGACCAGGGGCAGAGGATGTCATTTTTTACAACAAGACTTGTGGAAAGTTTTGACTCTTTTACTTTGATAAAAGTGAAAGGTAAGTAAAAAATTTTTAAAAAAGATTAATTCAATGTGAATCCCATGAAAATACTAGTCTCTACTACCACACATATTAAAGTTATTTATTTCAATGTTCATAACAAGATTTCTAGAGGACTCACCTACCTATTCAAGGAAGTCAGGAAAGATTTTTTTGAGGAAGTAACACTTAGAATGAGGCTGGAGCAGTAGAATAGGCCAGAAGGAGAGATGGAGAGTGTATCTTAGGATAAAGGACCAAAAACAGCATAGTTCTGAATGGGGAAGTGGCTGGACTTCTACCTTAAGACTTGCAGGACCTGAGAGCAGTGCCCATGGAGGAGGAAGGAGGAGATGGGGTGGCAGGCCAATGAAGAGACATGTCGGGCACTCTTCTAGGTTTTAGTAAGGATTTTCTGGTCTTCCTTTGGAGTTTCCTCATGTTACCTCACAGGTAATGTAACAGGATTTAGCCATTTTTTCCCAGCTTCAACATTCTACAATTCTAAAACTCTGAGCAGTTTTCCCAGGGATTTTGCGTGGGATTTTGTAATAAAAATCTCTCTGCCTGGACTCAGGAGAAGTTTCCACCCTGGCCCAGGCTTTGTCCTTGCCTCTTTGATTAACTTTGGGCCAGTCCCTTTTTCCACTAGGTCTGAAAGGACTCATCTGCAAAATGCAAGGTGGCTCTAGATAACCTCTACGTGCCCTTCAAGCTCTCACACTATCACTTTGCTATTATTCTCTGTGCCTTTGCCGAAAAGAATATCCAGTTCTTTAAAATATTCACACTTTTATGTGAAACTCCTACCTTGCCCAGGATCTTTAACAATTGCTTAACATTCCAATTTTTTAGATATTTCTATAAAATGGAATAGCTATACCAATAAATGCTAGTTTTAGCAAATGGGACGTGTAGACAATTGGTCTAAGATGAAGGACCATCAAATATTATTTCAATCACTTTTTTACAAATATATAATTTGATTTCTTTCTCTTAGAAATTAATAATTACAATGCTAATTTTATTGTAAACTTGATAATTTTAGAAGCATAATGCTTTTATTATAATCAGCAGCTCATTGACTAGTCAATTATTTGATGATTTTTCTGATTCCCATATATCTTCTGCATCCTTTTTTAATGAAATGTTTCTTTATTATTATTACCACTAACTTATATTCTGAAATACTTCAGCCTTTCAGTGTTATGGAACAATCTGGCTTGATTTAGATGGATCTTTGTTTATTCCGTGGGTAAACTGGACAGGAAAAAGCCATTCACTCACCTCCCGATTACTAGACAGCTGAGGCCTAGTAATGTGCTTAACACTGAAAATAGAAATAATAGTAAGTTTCACGTACCAATAACAAAAGAACTTTAACTTAGATCTCTATTAATAATTAAATGATATGAATTTTTACTCTAGGCATTCAAACTGAAATCTAGTAGGATGAGAACACAGATATGGAGAAATGGAGTCATTTGGGATTTGACAGAATCACAGCAACATGAGCATAATAGGACCATTCCCACTTGACTTTTTAGTCCACTGTCTCACCACTGAGCCACTGTGCAAGTCCCTGACTGACAAATATTTAACTATTACTTGTGTTAATGGCTAATGCCAGACAGTGAGTAACCACCTCCAAGTTACATTTGCTGCTTTTTCTACAATACTCGAGTTGGAAATTGTTCTACTTTTTTTCTGGTTATAAGGCAACAAATGTTCGTTACGGAAAAATTGAAGGAGAAAAAAGAGACAGGTATATATTTATCTATATTTATATTTTTTAATTTATTTTCTATTTTTTGAGACAAAGTCTCCCTGTGTTGCCCAGGCTGGAGTGCAGTGGCACGATCTCAGCTCACTGCAACCTCTGTCTCCCAGATTCAAATGATTCTCCTGCCTCAGCCTCCAGAGTAGCTGGGATTACAGGCATGCACCACCATGCCCAGCTAATTTTTTATTTTTAGTAGAGACGGGATTTTGCCATGTTGGCCAGATTGGTCTTGAACTCTTGACCTCAAGTGATCCACCTGCCTCGGCCTCCCAAAGTGTTGGGATTACAGGCATGAGCCACTGTGCCCGGCACTTTATATTTATATTTTAACCTGCAGAATCTCTAATGCAGTTAAGTTAGCTTGAGTCCCATATTTGCTTATATATATGATAAAGAAATCTGGGATTCCAGTATCATTGCTATTGGATTTCCAGAGTAAGAAATCACTGAATCTATAATGAATGATTGAATAATGAATATATGTCTATAATGAATATATGATCATTTGTATAATGATATATAAAAATGATGAATATATAATTCTATAATGAATCTATGATCATTTTCAACAATATTTCTGTCCAGCAACCTAGGCACTATACCAAAACAACTTTTATCTGCTTAAATTGCTGCTACACACTCTATGTTACTTTTTCATTTTGTTGGAATTTGAGTAACTATATTGCTGTCTCTGGGATTAAAAGAAAAATTTACTTTTAGATTATCTAAAATCATATTCCTTCAGATTTACACATTGTTCTCTGTCAGTTGTAATATGCCCTTTGTATCAAACTCCCTGCAAAAAGTCAGAACCTGAAGCTTTTAAATCCCTTGGTTTCTATAATTACCTCTTGTTTAGAGTTGCTTTCATAATTTTGCTTGCTTTCATATTTTGTTGCTATTACTGTTTATAACTGCCTCCTACCACATATATAATAGTAACAATACTCTCTCAATCACCTTTCTTCTGTAAAAATTCAAAATAATACATATTTAATTAGGAGGTCTCTAAATAGTACCTTTTCTCTGAAAACTATAAAGATTTGGTTTTAAAATATATTACAGTAATGAGTAAGAGAAGACAGTAAGGATCAGAGAAAAGAGTGAAATACAGCAAAGAATTCCAGTCAGCTGCAGAAAACCTCAGAATTTAATTATAACGTTCCTCTACAAAAGGGCCACCCTTGAGTACTATCAATGAGTAAATCAGTTTATGCATACCGTGAAGGGGGTGCAAGATGAATTAGATACAGGCTCTGTTCTCAAGGAGCTTATGGAATGATAAGCATATATGCAAATAACTCTCATGAAAGCAGTAAGTGATAAATGCCTTAATGTAGCTTCAAACATTTTTATAGAGGTTTAAGTTCAATTACAGTTTGACTGACTTGGGAAGGCTTCATGGAGGATCTAGCATTTAGCTGGGTTTTGAAGGACACATAGGTAGGGTTACAAAAGCCATCCCAAGGGAGGATATTACTGGGGTAGAAGATTGTAATGAGCAAAGACCCAAAGGTGTCAAAACACAGAGCAGGATTTTCTTACGGTAGAAAATATAAAGGAGAGATGGGAGAGAAGATTGGGAAGAACATTTAGGGCAAATGTTAGGAGATGTTTAAATGGCAATTTTTAATGAGTTTGCCTTTATGCATACACAAGAAGCCATGGGGGGAATGATATGTCTTCTTGCCTATAGGAAGAGCTTAGTAAATACTTGTTGAATTCAATGGTGATATCTGGATATAGGAAGATGAAATGTGTGAATAGACATAAATAAGGTATGGGGAGTGAGATATTAAAAATAAAGAGACCCGCCCAAAGATTTACAGTTAATAAGAATTGACTGAGATTCCACCCAGAGACTAACTCCAAAGTCTACCTGCTCTAGCACTATGTACACACTGCCTGCCCCTGGCTGTAGTCATACCTCATGATATTGAACACCATGTTCTAAGCACTTCACCTGTGTTATTTTAGCCTCCCAATAATTCTATGAGGTATGTACATCTCTTACAGCTCAAGAAACTGAGAAACAGAGATTTAAAATTGTCTAACAAGTGATGGAGCAAGGATTTCCAACCAAGTCAGTCTCAATTCCAGCACCACTGGGCCTACCTAACCACTGCATACATTCTCTCGGGCTGTGCCCCACACCTTGACACACCATGGTTCCTGACTCTTACCCACAAGTAATACTAAATGACTTTTGGTTTCCAGGAAACTCCAGCTTGCTTATATTTCCATCCCTTAGTATATGATATTCCCTCTTCCTTCACTTCCTTTCTGCTCTCCACCCATCCCATACTGTAGTTCCTCTATGACACCTGCCTTGATGCCCCCAAGCAGGCTCAGATGGTTTTTCTTTATGGTTTTTGCATCTTCTACAAACACCTAATATTGCTATTTCCACATTGATTTGTAACCAGTTATTTTTTCCGTTTAGCTTCTTTAGAATATATATGTCTCTATGCCTTGCTTAATATCAAGAGCTTTTTAGAGACACAGATTCCCAGGCCTTACTTCTGAGGATTTTAATTCAGTATGTCTAGAATGAAGTGTAGGTATCTGTCTTTTTTAAAACACCACAGCCTTTCTGACCTGTCACACAGTTGGAGAATCACTGCATTATGTTTTCAGGTTCCTTGAGGATCATCTTTACAACCTTAACATCTATTACGGTGCCTAGAACTGTCAGGGCTTAATTCATATTGAACAAACAGATGAATAAATGTGGGGTTTGATTGAAATAATAATAATAGAGATAATAGAATAATAGAAATAATAATTTTTTGATTAACAAGAATAGGGCAAACCAGAAGAGGAATTTATTGGATCATGGAGAAAGTAATGAATCTGGTGTTAGACTTGTTGCATGGAAATATTCAGCAGGAAGCTGAGAATGTGGAAATATTATTTGGGAGATGTAGAAACATTATTTGGGAGAGGTCATGAGTGAGCCTGGGAAGTTGAATACATTTCCCAGTCACTGTAGACAGAAAACAGAAATGGACAAATAGTTGAACCTGGGGAATCCCCACATTTACAGAACATGAAGGACAGAAGAAAATAATACATCAACTAATACTACCACATTGACTGACAGCAACAATAGTGGTAGTAACAGTAAGCATGAAAGTCACAATTTTAATGGAGTACCTAGTCTATGGAAGTCTTGTCAGGAAGGGCTCCATACACGTCCACATTAAATCTTCATAGCAAGCCTAGGAGCTAGGTCATTTTTAGTCTCACTTCACAGATGAGAAAACTGAGCTTCAGAGAAGTGGATCAACATGCAATTAATGCTCAATGTCTATTAAATTTATCTGGTCTAAAGTTTTCTCTTAACAAGCCATTAATGGAAACAGAAATAAGAAGAGGATGGTTTAAATGGTTTGAAAGGTAAACAACGTAAACATAAATCCAGCTATTTAGACATTAAGAATTACAAAGTATTTAGAGAGATTGTAAATCTTTTGACTTATTTTCTACTTAAGATTTCTACATTCTGATTTGCAATTTAGAGTTTCATTGTGAAAACTATGAAGTCACGAATATAAAGATGAAGGTGTACTTTTCTCAGTTTGTACCTTATTAACTAAACAAGACAGAAGATCCTGACCAGCAGGGTAGACGAAAAGATAAACACATCGGTGCTAAATTAAGGTGTTACATCTTTGTCTCAGCCTTCCTTATCCATCTCATTGAAGGAAAACTCAACAAAGACTTAAGGTATTGTAGGGTTTCATAGCAAACAAAAGAGTATTTTTTATTGTCTTTGACTTTTAACTTACCTGCTCTGGGTGATCAAATCTGTTACAAGAAAAGATACATTTGTTTTGAAGTGGTATTAGTGCCATCAATTCTCATTTTTCCTCTAGAGTGAACATCCAAAAAGTGGATTTTTAATTTTTTTCTGTTTGTTTTATTGTCACTATCACCTGCCCTCTGCCCTACACCTCCACCTGTCCCTACACAGCAATTACAACCTGAAATGCCATCAGGGGCTGGGCAGGCAAGGGCATGATCTAAATTTTGAGAGAATAAACAGGAAGAGAACACAGGAGGTTTCTCTTCACCAAAAGCAGGTGGCCCCCCAAGCAGGATGCTGGCACACTGGTAATAGATCTTCAAGTGTTTTGCGAAAAGCCCCAGTCTGGATTTTTATATCTAATTCCTTGAGAAAATCAATGACACCATGCAGGTCAACAGGACACTTCCATGGTCCAGATTCAGCCTGTATTCCTTGGCTGACTGACTCTGCTTAAACCTTGTAACATTTCGTTCGAACCTTCTCAGAAAGAGAAGAAACGGTTTTGACTCAAAATTCAAATCATGTAGTATTACGGCTTATTACTTGCTTGGTGCTTGAAGGAAATCTTTGGTGCAGGTAAAAGCTGAAACATTTGACTAACAGGATGCTGAGGAGGTCATTTCGACTGTCACTAATGCAAATGTCCCCTTTTAGTACCCTGGAGCCTCTGACAGCTGATAAACGATTATCTGAAAGCCTGTCGCTCTGGATAACAGGTTAATAGGGTTTTGCTTGTTTTGGTTTTACAAAAAATGTGTGATATAAGAAAATACATTTATTCATGTTTTTCACATTTGAAGATTAACCAAGTCTTTCTATAAATAATACCTTGGCCACAAATAGATAAAAAGCAAAGCACATCTGACGATTTAATAATTTATTTCCACAATAATCTGTTATACGGAAATCAATTCTCTGTTCCATTCCTGGAATGAAAGGGCTCAAAAATCCCTTTAGTTTCATCTATTTTAAGAGATGCACAATATGTTTTACAGCTAGTAGTTATAATCTTATGAAATATGAAAGGCTTTTATACAAACAATGTGATTATACAAGTGAAAGTACAAGAATTAGTGGTGACTTCTAACAGAATCTATTGCGTTTCCCTGTATTCCTTGTACTCTTTTCTTATGTCTCTGATACTTTACAAATGCTCTAATCTACATCCCTCTTACTTTCCAATTTAGGAATGATTACATCTTGTAGGAACCACTTACCTATAGAGGGAATTTTGAATTGTCATGTCTTTTCTTATGATGCTTTCGAATATTAATCATTAGAAATTTAGTTTCAAAAGGCAGTCTATTCATCAGTTTGAGGGCATCTCTATTTATAGGTAGTTTAAAGAGCAATTAGTATCATGAAATTTACTCATAATATTGCTATTAAGTTTTACAAAAAACAAAGTTCATGCAATTTCTATGTAGCATTTCATTGGTAAAACTAGATGCATTCTAAACACTGTTTCTTATTCTGAATAAAACAGCAACTATTCAAATTAGAATATGAATTATTTTATGGCCTACAATTAGCCTGGTTCATCTAATAAAAGAAAGCTAATTTAACAGTAATTTACATTTACAAGCACACATTTTTATAAAATGTTTTATTTAAGAAAATTGAAAACCATAGCCATTAGAGCAAGAATAAAGCAATATTGGCATGCACTGATATTATGATACCCTTCTAGGGTAGGAATTCTGCTATGAAAACATATCATAAGCTGGGTGTGGTGGCTTTTGCCTGTAATCCCAGCACTTTTTGAGGCTGAGGTGGGCGGATCACCAGAGGTCAGGAGTCCTAGACCAGCCTGGCAAACATGGCGAAAACCCGTCTCTACTACAAATACAAAAAAATTAGCCAGGGGTAGTGGTGCACACCTGTAATTCCAGCTACTTGGGAGGCTGAGTCAGGAGAATCTCTTGAACCCAGGAGGTGGAGGTTGCAGTGAACTGGTCGCGCCACTGTACTCCAGCCTGGGCAGCAAGATCGAAACACCATCTCAAAAAAAAAAAAAGAAAAGAAAGGAAAAGAAAATATATCTTAAAGTGTATAATGGCTCATTAATTACAGAATTTTATATTTCACTTACATAAGGTAAAAATGAGTGATCCCGAATAGCAGGTGACTCTCCAACATGCAGTCACACAGAATCACAAGCTCCTTTCAGTCTGCATCTCTGTCATTTTAACACGTGGTTTCCAGGTGTTGCTCATCTGGAATGGGGTTCAGAACATCCTACCCCAAGATATGGCACCTTGGCATATTGAATATTTTAGGCTAAAGGAATCTGAGAAGTGGCATATGCAGGAAAAACTCCCTGACCTTCCCCTGGAGCAGATAATAAGACCCCTATGTAAGAGATGCCCTCTCCATACCCAGAGAAAAGCAGCAACGTTATCTCTGAAAAAGGAGGGATGCTGAGAGGAATCTGAGTGAATAGGCCTTTGTGAGGTGTCTCCAGATTACTACTCTTAGTTCATTCCCCTTTTGTCCTACCCCATTTTTCACAACACTCCTCTCTTCATCACACCTTGTATAATAATGCTTAGGCCTAACCTTTTCTTTGGGTCTTCCTTTCCTTGTGAAGGCTCCCATGTCACAGATAATGTATATGAAATAAATATGCATGCTTTTCTCCTATTAATCTGTCTTTGCTTTAGTCACAGTCAGTGAACCTAAAGTGGGCAGAGAGAGAAGTTGTGTTTTCCGCTTTCTACATCTGTATCAAATCAATGGAAAGGGAAAAAGCATGGGAGATCGCATATGGAAAGTTTGTTTGGGCCAGGACTGGTAGTAGCATATATTACATCCATTGGCTTGACTTAGTGATGTGGCCACACCTAATTCAAATAGAAGTTGGAGAAAATAGTGGGACTATATGTTTTATGTTTTAGAATAAGAGAAAAAGAGCTTAGAGAGCAGGCAGCCAACCTCTGCCACATCAAATATTTGTGATTGTTCATGGAAAGCATGATCTCTGCAAAGATTTAAGTGCTCCATGAGAAATAAAACACCTAATAGAATACTAGATTTATCATCAGAAAATTCAAGAATGTGCTTGTTTTTTGTTTGTTTGTTTATTTGTTTGTTTTGAGACAGATTCTCACTCTATCACCCAGGCTGGAGTGCAGTGGTGCGATCTCGGCTGACCGCAACTTCTGCCTCCTGGGTTTAAGCAATTCTCCTGCCTCAGCCTCCCAAGTAGCTGGGATTACAGGTGCCCACCACCACGTCCGGCAAATTTTTGTGTTTTTATTAGAGACGGTGTTTCACCATGTTGACCAGGCTTGTCTTTAACTCCTTACCTCAAGTGATCTGCCTGCCTCAGCCTCCAAAAGTGCTGGGATTACAGGCATAAGCCACTGCGCCCCACCGAATGTGCTCGTTTTAATACATAAGCACTGAATTTTAGTTAACATTAGAATGAACTTAATAGATCATTAGTAAGTAGCCCCTAGTCATATATAAAGCTATGTCTGTATGCCCAGTGACCATTTTCTAGAAGAAAGGATTGAATTTTAGACCAAACCTAGCTTTTCTTGAGAACCCTTGCAATCCAAAAATGAACTGGCAGACAACCATACATGAGAGACACTGAGAGTCTGTGCGTGAGAGAAAAAAGCTTTATCATTAATTGCATTTTTATTGTGCCGGGCACTGTGGAATACTTTGCCTCCATTGTGGGTAGGTACACATTGTACAGATTAAAAAAACTGAGGTTTGGAGATGTCAGTTAAGGTCACATAAACTAATAGTGGGCAGAACTTGATTGCAAACTGAGGTCCATCTGTCTGTAGAACTCAGGTGCTTAATCACTATACTATATTATCTTGGGCGTTCAACTCAAGCATTCAACTCAACCAGAAACACTCCATTGCTTCATTGTCTTGATAATTCTTATCTTCATATAGGTAAATCCATTTTTTTATTTTGGCATCATGAGCCTTCAGGTTTAGGATAAGCCGGGTGGAAACATTCCTGTTGAGGTGACAAATAGGGTTGAAAAAGCCATGGTCAGGTAGAACTGAGAAGCCCATTATGCAGGAAATAAACATAGCTTAAAAAAGAAAAACTACATGGGAAGCCCATAATTGTATCAAGTACAAAATTATGATCTTTTTCCAGGTGGTTTCCTTGGGTGTCCCTCTCTGGCCAAACAACACTAGGTGATGGCCATACCAAAAGTTGCCTGACACACACTCTCCAGTGTCCGGCCAAGACACAAACTGCTCTCATGGTCTTGCTACTCATTTTCCCTTCTTGTCTCACCTTCATGGGTTTGAAGACAGAATTTAGTCCTCTGTCTTTTCTTGCAGATTAAGAAGCCCAATTTCTTTGAAACAAGATGGAATAATGAAATATGTTTAAAATCTAATTTCTTGAAGGGTCTAAGCCTTTTCTGAGGTTACTCTGTTCTAAATCCTACTGGATGTTCAACCCAGTAAGAGAGACAGGAAGGAAGATCTACAAGGCTTCATAGGAGACGATATTTCCACAAATAACCCTTACTTCCTTTGAGCAGACTTTCTCAACTTTTCTGCCTACCAATGCTGGCCTGATGTACATGATGATTTTTGTTTTCTTACATCTACTGCCTCTTTTCCTTTTCCACTCTAGTTCAAATCTTTTTCTTATGTACATAAATTATGTCAATACTTTACATTGCTCCTGTCTCAAGTCTTACTGCTCTCTGAGCATGTTTTGAATTTTCTATTCATATAATTCTTCTGACTTCAATGACATCTTCCCAATGTCTGCTGTTGAAAATCCCATCTATCCATTAGGGAACAGTGCAAAGACATCCTCTTTCATAAAACTTGCCCCCTCTGGCAAGCTCCTTTCCTCCTTGGCTTCTTAGGACAATGTCTGTGTAGCCCATGTGGTACTTAACTCATGTAACTTTTTATCATAGTGGTAGACAGTGTGAAGAATGACTGCTAAGTGCCAGGCATTGCACTAGATGCTGCATGATGGGTCCAATGATGGAGAAAATGTGGTCCTTTTCTTTGAAGAGTTCACTCTCAAAGGTGGATTCTCAGTGGAGAAGATAACAGAGAACCAAAAACGAGATAGGAGAGGACCCCCACCTGTATTGAGATAGAGACATTTATCTTAGATTTGATGAGCTTAAAGCTTCACTACATCCTTGCTACTCAAAGTGTGGTATCTGGCAACATCTGGGAGCTTGTTAGAAATTCAGAATCTCAGGCCCCACCCCAGCTTCCTGGTGTGCGTTTTAACAATATCCCCAGATGATTTTTACAAACATTAAAGTTGGAGAGACATTATCCTAGGTTAAGAGAGATTCGTATTAGTTTAGGATTATTGTTCTATCTATATAGAATTTACACTTTGTGTGCATGTTTATAGCTTTCATATATGTACATGAACAAACTACACAGACTGTATGTCCAGATATGTGTATATACATATATACAACTAACTATAATTATATATATTGTTCATTTCTTGGTATAAAAGCAATTCTTTTTAAATATTATTTTCTTTCTTTAACATCACAGATTATGAGTTAAATTTTTTCATACTTTTCTAAGGGGAGAGTACCTAAATCAGGTGGACACACGGACAATTTCAGGTAAGGTTTAGATTCCAGACAGTCCTATGAATGAAGCAGCATTTTTCACAGAATGAAGCCTGAATTGTAAATATTCATTTTAGGTTATACCCCCTGCTGGTAGAAGCACCAGGAGAGAAGTTGTGAAATGCGTCTATAAAGTAGTACCATTTGAGGTGGGTCCTAAGTGATATACATATATGTAAAACTCTCACAGTAACGCCATAAACATAATGGTAGGAATGATGATGTCCAGAAGTAAATTGGAGTTCTAAGAATAAGAAAAAAGGAAAGATGAGATGTTCAGTAGGCAACTGTGCACATCTGCCCAAACCAGCACAGCGTGAGGGTTGGGGGGTTGTTAGAAATGACTGGAAATCTAGGCAGGTGCCAGGACAAAAGATCTTTGTACCATTGTATTCAGATGATGTGATTTGTTTTAGAAAAAATATAACCTAGAAGTTATGTGGATGAAGGATGAACTAGAACAAATAGGTGATAAAGCTGGGAGAGCAGTTAGAATGTCTGGTCATGAGATGGCATGAGCCTTTTCTAAGACAGTGGAACTAAGAGGAGATATTTAAATGAGAGTTGCAGAATTGTTACATATGGGGGTGAAGAGAAGTAACCGTCAGGAATATTTCTAAAATTTCTTGTTTAAATGACTGAGTAATAGTAAAGTTATGTACTGAGCTCTGAAAGATCAAATGCATTTTAAACAGAATAGCTTCTAAATGTTTACTTTGTGTATCATAAATTTAATATATAGCCTAAGCCCTTAGTGGATGTTGTAAACACTGAAGAAAATGAACTATCAACCTCCCTTCTCTTCTACTTTCACTTTTTTTTTAAGAGACATTCTCACTCTGTTGTCCAAGCTGGTCTTGAACTCCCGGGCTCAAGCAATCTCCCCATGCAGCTGGGAACTACAGGTACATGCCACTCTGCCTGGCCCTACTTTCTCTTATTATATGGGTCATTCGAAGTTTAATTTTCATATGGCACATTAAAATCAAAATATCACAGCACCACTGAACAAAGAACAGCTATGCCAAGCAATCATTTCAAAGAAAATTTACTTTTACTTCCAAAGGAAATGGTTACTAAATGATAACGTTTTGTTCCCTAAGAATATTATGTGTTATTAAATGGGAAACTAGATTTTCCCTGGGCCCCAAGGTAGCTCAGATTTTTTTTTCCTGAGTCTTGAGTTGTCACTGTTGTTCTCTGAAATAAAAGCTCTATTGCGGCAAAGCCTACAGAACCTTTTATAAGATCATTCAAAGACTACTTCCCAAAGATACAGATTATAGTGCCCCACAGTGGTCTGCAGAGTAACAAGACGTCTTTTTCTGCAAACTTTTCCATACCACAAAAGAAAGCCTATTTATAACAATATACAACTGTATTTGGACTGGCATAATGAATGACCACAAACTTGGTGGTGTAAAACAACAGAAAGGTATTCTCTCACGTTTTTTCTGGAGGCCAGAAGTCTGATATCAAGGTGTCTACCGGGCTGCTTTTTCTGGAGGCTTGGAGGAAGAATCTGTTCAATGCCTCTCTCCTAGCTTCCTGTGCTTGCTGGCAATGCAGCATTCTCCAGTGTGCAGAGGCATCACTCTCATCTCTGCCTCTGTCTTCACATGGTCTCCCTCTCAGTCTTCTCCTCTGTGTCTCTGTATCAAATCTCCCACCCATTTCTCTTACAAGGACACTAGTCATTGGATTTAGGCCCTACTCAAAATCCAGGATC
Source organism: Homo sapiens (assembly GCF_000001405.40). NCBI lineage: Eukaryota > Metazoa > Chordata > Mammalia > Primates > Hominidae > Homo > Homo sapiens. The sequence goes on along the minus strand of NC_000013.11, from coordinate 33,799,973 downwards.
GTCTCGTCTTGGGATCCTTAACTTGATTATATCGGCAAAGACCCTGTTTCCAAATGTCACATTCACAAGTACCGGGGTTGGGACATGGACATAATTTGGGGGGCCGGGGAGACACAACGTAACCCTTCACAACAAGCTTTACTTGTTATTACTTCCAAAGGAAGTAGTTACTAAAACCAAGCTTTTGTGCTGCCCAGGAGGCCAGGGACAATGAGACTGGAACTTGAATTCATTGATCTAACTGTGAACCTAAGAGGAGTAGCAGAGCTCTATTCAGATGAGTGCTTTTGAGGTATTCTATCCAGAGTTCTTTCTAAAGTGTCTCTGATGGAGAGACCCCTTTTTATATTTTTTCTACATGCTACATTCTTCTACTTAAAAATATTTTTTCATTAAATAGTTTAAAATGGATGAAGTTTTTTAGAATTGTGGAATCATCATTACACTTTTCTTTCTCTTACAGCAATAAATCAAAGAAAGACAAAACGTTGCCTATTTTGATTGCCCACTTTTCCTCTCTTCATTACAACTTTATTCACTAGGTGACTTCATCCTGAAAATTTCCACATTTTCAGTTAACTTTTATTTACAGTTTTGAAAGAAGACTCTCTAAACCATAAAAAAAGGCAAAAAATTATCTGAAGTTCTTTGATGTATCCATAAAGCAAATGTGTGTATCTGCTTGATAGCTAACTAATGTTAAATACATCACTAAGACTAAACTTTGATCTTGCATTAAGAATTTTAAAATTCTTTTGAAAGAAATTAAAGTTTAAAGAAAGCAATTTGCATGTTAGTAACTTTTGTCTATAGCGCTCTCATTAGTAGCTTACAATAATATGAAACACAATTTTATATTGTAAGCAAATATTGCCAGGTGCAGTGGCTCATGCCTGTCACCCCAACACTTTGGGAGGATGAGGTGGAAAGATTGCCTGAGCTTAGGAGTTTGAGACCAGCCTAAGCAACATAGTGAGACCTTGTCTCTACAAAAAATACAGAAATTAGCCAGCCATGGTGGTATGTGCCTGTGGTCCCAGCTACTCGGGAAGCTGAGGTGAGAGGATGACTTGAGCCTGGGAGGCAGAGGTTGCAGTGAACCAAGATTATGCCACTGAATTCTAGCCTGAGTGAAAGAGCCAGACCCTTTCTCAGAAAAATAAATAAATAAATAAATAAATAATTACTGGTTAAGAATGTGAATAGAGGCCAGGCGCCGTGGCTCACACCTGTAATCTTAGCACTTTGGGAGGCCAAGGTGGGCAGATCACCTGAGGTGGGGAGTTCTACGTCAGCTTGACCACCATGGAGAAACCTCGTCTCTAATAAAAATACAAAAAATTAGCCAGGCATGGTGGCACATGCCTGTAATCCCAGCTACTCAGGAGGCTGAGGAAGGAGAATTGCTTGAACCTGGGAGGCAGAGATTTCAGTGAGCCAAGATTGCACCATTGCACTCCAACCTGGGCAACAAGAAAAAAACTCCATCTCAAAAAAAATAAAATAAACAAAAAAGAATGTGAATAGAGATGTTTGAAATGTTTGAAAGAATTTAAATGTAGATTCGACCTAACTTTTTTTAAAAAAATTTATTCTTATATTGTATAGTTAAATTCACTCCAAAATAGTCCTTGAGCTATTACCCACTTGAGCTAAGTACTGTTTCAGGATACTATGAACAGACAGACAAGTTCCCTTTTTCATGGAGATGTCATTCTAGTAGGACAATACAGACAATAAATATGCAGCAGGATAATTTCAGATACTGATGAGTGCAATGAAAATGATAATATAAGATACTGTGACTGAGTGTGACATGAGTGTAGGGTGAGAGATAACTGCTTTAGCTAAAGTAGATACAGAAGCCCACCCTAAGAGGATGATGTTTGAACTGAAATTGAAGGCTGAAAAGGTACTTTTAATACTGCTAAAACGGCTCACGTTATTAGGGAAGAAAAATTCATCTACTGTCGCATGAAGCATAAGCAGTCTAAAGAAAGAAGGAACTATGTCAAGTGGCTTCAGGACAAGATTTGAAGCCAGAACATTTATTTCTGAGCTGATGATTCATCAGTGACCTGACTTCACCTTATTTATATGGCCAGAAACCAAACGGTATTATTCCAGACTCAGATCCGTGTTCCTCTACCAGATGCAATTTTCTCCCATCAATTCTGGCTGCGAGAGAAATATCTCAGCAGCAAATAGCTGGAAGTAAAGGCTGAAACTGAAACTCTACAGAAGCGTTCTGTAAACGCTTTCTCCAACCCACCGTTGCTCCCTTTTTCTTACCCACAACCTGTACACAGTTTCACATGTGACCAAGTATTTTGTGGTTCCTGAGGCTTGGAGGGGTGGATCTAGAAAAGCCTGACAATAATGAGAAGATTGGGAACAGAGCCGGATTTTTAGTAGAGAAGCAGGGAGAGGCATTCCAGTTAATTACCTAGTCTGTCCATGCTGTAAAAAGGTTGCCTGGATAAATCAATTCAGCAGAATACCTACCTTGAAGTTATGGTCAAGTTTTTATTTTGTGTTGGAGATCAAGTTTCTCTTGAAGTCCAAACTAATGGTCATCATTACTAGTATTTATTAGTTCCCTTTCTTTTTCTGTTTTTTTGTTTTGTTTTGTTTTGTTGTTGTTGTTGTTGTTGCTTTTGTGGAATCTTGCTCTGTCACCCAGGCTGGAGTGCAGTGGCGTGATCTCGGCTCACTACAACCTCTGCCTCCCAGGTTCAAGTGATTCTCCAGCCTCAGCCTCCTGGTTAGCTGGGACTACAGGTGCGTGCCACCACATCCAGCTAATTTTTTTGTATTTTTAGTAGAGATGGGTTTCACCATGTTGGCCAGGCTGGTCTTGAACTCCTGACCTCAGGTGATCTGCGTGCCTCGGCCTCCCACAGTGCTGGGATTACAGGTGTGAGCCACCGCACCCAGCCCCCTTTCTTCTTTCTTTTGTAAAATCAAAAACTGAGCTATAATTTACATGCTATAAAATGTGTACGGATTACTCAGTGTTGACAAATGTACACATCTATATAAATGCCACACAATGAAGATATCAAGTATTGCCATCACCTTAAGGGTTTTCTTCTGCTTCTTCCCATTCCATTTCTATTCCTCTATCCTCCATTCCAAGAATACTGATCTACTTTCTATCACTATAAATTTTTCATTCCTAGAGATTCATATAAATTGAATAATATAGTACGTGGTCCTTTTTTCCTCTTAGGATGATACATGGAGATTTATCAGTGTTGACTTTGTTCACTGAGAAATATACCATTGTATAGATGTACCGCAATTTATCCACTTGCTTCTTGACGGACACTTGGATTGCTTCCAATTATTTGCTAACATGAATAAATATGTTATTAATATTCCAGTACAGGCCATCTGTTTTCACTTTTCTGGAGTAAATATCTGAGAAATTGCTGGGTTGTAAGGTTAAGGGTATATTAAACTTTGTAAGAGATTTCCAAATAGTTTTCCAAAGTGGTCAAACCATTCTGCATTCTCACCAACAATGTATGAGTGTTCCAGATGCTCTTGTCTTTACCAACATTTGGCATTATATACATATATATATTTACATACATGTATACACACGTATAGCCATTTGATTGGGTGTGTTGTGGTATTGCACTGTGATTTACGTTTTCATTTCCCTGATGACTAAGCATTTTTTCATGTTTATCGACCATTCACATATCTTCCTTTGTGAAGGGTCTAGTCAAATGTTTTGTGCATTTTAATTGGGTTGATTCTTTTTATTGAATTGTGAGAATTCTTTACATATTGTAGATACAGTCCTTTGTGAGATAAATGTATTGTGCCGATTGTCTCCCAGTATGCAGTTTGCCCTTTCATCTTATTAATGTTAATTTTCAAAAAGCAGAAGAGTTCCCTTTCCTATTATGTTGCTGATTTTTTACTTGTTTTTTTCTACTAGTCATTTCCCTAATTTGTGAATATTAGAAAACTAAATATACAATTTGCAGTGATATATATTGCTAAATATTCAATGGTAAAAAAAAATTGTCCTGTAGCATTGAAGGAATGTTCAATATTTGTTGTTGCCTGTATTCATTTTATTAGTTTTCTATAGCTGCTGTCACAAATTACCACAAATAGAGCATCTTAAGATGACGTATTTATTATTTCATAGATGTGTAGATAAGAAGTCTTATTACAGCATGGTTCAGGTGGTTCTCTGCTCCCAATAGCTTAAGGCCAAAATCAAGGCATTAGCAGGGCTGCATTTCTTTCAAGTTCATACAGGTTATTGGCAGGATCCAGCCCATTGCAGTTGTAGAACTCAGGTCCCTGGTGCCCTGCTGGCTGTCGACTAGGGCTCATTCTCAGTTTCTAGGGGCTGTCCACATTTCCTGGCACATGACCTCCTTCCAAGCTTACAGTGGTGGGCTGGGGTGGCGGGGGTCTTCCTCAAGGTCTCTAAGTCCCTAAAGAGAACATAGAATTCTACTTACCGTGCTGCCAAACCAATATCTATACTACCGGTGAAGGGAAATAGATCCAGCTACAGTTTGGAACTAGAAACCCTAAGAGGATGTTTACATTAGAAATTGGGACACCAGTCCTATCATAAATAATTACACCAATGTTAAACATTAGCTTATAACTTAAGAGATTGTGGGTGAGGTTTAAGTTATAGACATTCTGCATCGGTAACTTATCAAATTGTCACTTTTTACCTTTTTTTAATTACTGTCATATTGGGTATGAGAAAGAAATTTTTTTTCTTTTGCTATTTTTTCTTTATTTAGCCATTAATTTGAAGGATACTCTAAACAATTATTTATTAACAACTTTTATCTGGAAATCTACAGCCCTAATGAATCTGAGATATTTATTGAGAATTTGCTAACACTGGTAATGTAAAGAAATCATAACAGCCACAGGTACTAAAAGACTACAAATGATTCTTCCTCTTTTACCCTTTCATTCTATTCTATATCCTTTCAGCTGTTTGAAGACTGATATAGGATATGTGAAAGGTACAAGAAAATATATATGGTGTTTTCATTGTTAAGTTGTTGTATTAGTTGGCTAAAGCTGCCAAAACAAAATACCACAGACTGGGTAGCTTAAACCACAGACACGTATTTCCAAGTCCAAGATCATGGTGCCAGTGGCATTGTTTTCTTCTGAGGCCTCGCTTCCTGGCTTACAGATGGGGCCTTGTCGTTGTGTCCTCATGTGGCCTTTTCTCTGTGCATGTGTGGAGAGAGAGGGCTCTTTTGTATCTCTTCCTCTTCTTATACGTACACCAGTTCTATTGTATTAAGGACCCAACCTATGACCTCACTTAACCATTATTACCTGCTTAAAAGCCCTATCTCCCAATATAGTCACATTGGGCATTTGGACTTGAACCTATGAATTTAGGAGGGGACACAATTCAGTCCATAACAATTGCTTTAATGACATTTTTATAATGAACAAATGACAAATTGAGGTTATGGTTAGATTGTGGCCCCTACTCAAATAAAAAGATATGTTGAAGTCCTAACTCTTATAACTTGAAATGAAATCTTATTTGGAAACAGAGACTTCGTAAATTATTTTTCAAGTTGGTTCATGGCCTTTACTTTAATGATTTAACATAAGGTGGATCTTTAATAATCTGTAAGAGTAAATCATTACTAAAAAACTAATTCATATTACTTTTTTATTGTGGTTAAAAAAACACAAAACATGAGATCTACCCTCTCAACAAATTGTTAAATGTGCAATACATTAGTTAATTATAAACACAATGATGTAGAATAGATCTTTAGACCTTTTTCATCTTGTATAATTTATACCCATTACATAATTCCCTGTTTCCCCAAAGCCCCAGCAATCACATTCAACTTTCTGCTTTGATGATGTGTTAGGCTGTTCTTACATTGTTATAAATACCTATAAATAAGACTGTGTAATTTATAAAGAAAAGAGGTTTAATTGGCTCACTGTTCTGCAGACTGTACAAGCATGATACCAGCATCTGCTTGGCTTCTGAGGAGGCCTCAGGGGAGCTTTTACTCATGGTGAAAGGCAAATGTGGAGCAAGCATGTCACAAGGCAACAACAGGAGCAAGAGGAAAGGACAGGTCCCAGACTTTTAAACATTTAGATCTTGTGTGAACTGAACAGGACTCACTTATCACCAAGGAGAGCTAAACCATTCATGAGGGATCTGCTCCAATGATCCAATCACCTTCTACCAGGCCCCACCTCCAACACTGGGAATCATATTTCTACATGAGATTTGGAGGGAACAAACATCCAAACTACATGAGATGAGTTTGACTACTTTGGATATATCATGTAAGTGGAATCATGCAATATTTGTCCTTTTGTGACTGGCTTATGTCACTTGACATACTGTCATCAAGGTTCATCCATGTTGTAGCATATGACAGATGTAATGGTTAATTTGACTGGGCCAAGGGGTACCTAGACATTTGTCTAAGCATTATTCTGGGTGTGCCTGTGACAGTGTTTCTGAATGAGATTAACATGCGAATCTGTAGCCTGGGTAAAAGAGACCACCCTTCCCAATGTGGGTTGGCCTTATCCAATCAATTGAAGACTTGACTAGAACAAAAAGGCTGTTTCTCTTTCTCTCAAGATAGTTTTTAAATTTTCCTTTTGGTTTCTTCTTTGACTCATTTAAGAATAAATTTCCACATACTTGTGAATTTTCCAGTTTTATTTCTGCAGTTGATTTCTCACTTCATTTTATTGTGTCCAGACAAGATACTTGTTATTATGTCAAACTTCTTAAAAGCGTTTACTTGTTTCATGACCTTATACGGGATATATCCTGGAGAATATTCCATCTGCTTGTGGTAATGTGTATTCCACTGCCATTGAGTGAAATGTCTGTTAGGTTAATTTGGTCTATAGCGTTATTCAAGACTTCTGTTTCCATATTGATCTTTGTTCTCAATGTAATATTCATGATTAAAAATGGTGTATTAAAATCTCCTACTATTGTGATGCTGTCTTTTTCTCCCTTCAGTTCTGTCAACATTTTCTTTGTATGTTAAAGTGCTGTGATATTGCATACATATATATTTAATATTTTTATATCCTCCTGCTAAATTGGCCCTGTTATCCTTATGTAATGATCTTCTTTTCTCTTGTAACAGTTTACAACTTAAAGTCTATTTTGTCTGATATAAATACTGCCATATCTGCTCTCTTTGGTTACTATTTGCATGGAATTTCTGTTTGCATCCTTTCACTTTTAGCCTATGTGTGTCCTTCACTCTAAAGTGGGTCTCTTGTAGACAGCATATAGTTGGACCTTGATGCTAGTCATTCAGCTACTATATGTCTTTTAGTTGAAAGTTTAATTTACATTTAAAGTAATTATTGATACAAAAAACTTATTATAACCATTTACATTTTTTTACATCTGCCTTGTCATTTTTGTCCCTCTTTTTCTCTTGGCTGTCTTCTTTTGCATTTTATTGATTTTTTTAAGTGCTATAATTGGATTTTTTCTTATTTCCTTTTGTGCATCTTCTACAGGTATTTTCTTTGTGGTTACCATGGCACTGTTATAAAACATCATATAGTTGTAACAAACTATTTTAAGTTGATAAAAACTTCCATAGCATACAGAAACTACAATTTTACTTCCTTCTACACACACTTATGTTATTGATGTCACGAATTACACATTTTTGTATTGTGTATCCATTAGCATACTTTTATAGTTTTATATGCTTTGTCTTTTAACTTCTGTACAAGAATTTAAAGTGATTTAGGCACCACTGTTACAGTATTACAGTGCTCAGTATTTGTCTATGTATTTACCTTTATGAATAAGCTTTATACTTTCATATGTTTTTGCATTGCTATTTCAGCTTGACGATCTTCCTGTAGCATTTCTTGTAAGACTGCTCTAGAAATGATGAACTCCCTCAGCTTTTGTTTATCTGAGGAAGTATTTGTCTCTTTTTACTTTTGAAAGACAGTTTTGGCAGATGTATTCTTGATTGGTAGTATTTTTTCTTTTAGCACTTTGAATGTATCATTCCACTCCTTTCTGAGTTACATGGTTTCTGCTGAGAAACCCACTGACAGCCTTATGGGGTTCACTTTATGAAACGAGTTGCTTTTCTCTTGCTGCTTTCAAATTCTCTCTTTGTCTTGACTTTTGACAATTTTATTATAATGTCTCTAAGTGTGGATTCCTTTGGATTTAGGGATTTAGGTGATCCTATTTTAGGTTGTTTGGGTTTTTTAAATCTAAATGTAAATTTTCTTCCTCAGATTTGGCAAGTTTTTAGCCATTATTTCTTTAAATAAGCTTTCTGTACTTTTCTCTCTCTCTGTTCTCCTTCTAGGACCCTCATAATGAGTGTGTTAGAAACCCTAGAAGTGCTTAGGCTTTCTTAACTCTTTCATTCCTTTTTTCTTTTTCCTCCTCTGACTGGTTAATTTCTAATGACTAGTCTTCAAGTTCACTGATTCTTTCTACTGCTTGATCAGATCTGCTTTTGAACTCATCTAGTGATTTTTTTTTTGAGACCAGTTATTGCATTCTTCAGCTCCAAAATTCTATTTGGTTATTTTTTACATTTTCTATTTCTGTGTTGAAATTCTCATTTTGTTTATGCATCATTTTTCCAGGCTCATTGAGCATCTTTATGATGGTTGTTTTGAATTCTTTGTCATATGATTAATATACCTCCATTTCTTTAGGATCAGTTTTTGGAGACCTATTTTGTTTTTTTGATGGGTTATATTCTCTTATTTCTTCATATTTATTGTAACTCTGTGTAGGTATTCATATATTTGAAAAAAAAAAAAGGCCACCTCTGCCAGTCGTTATGGACTGGTTTTGTACAGAGGAAGACGTGTACCAATCAGTTATGCTAGAAATTATGGGGTCCTCTTAAACTGTTTTTGTATATGTGACTTTTCAGAATGTGTGCTTGTAGATTCCTAACTAGGGAGATTTGCCAGTTTCTTTTTTCATCAGTTTTCAATCTCTTGCTCCCTCTGTTGACTGTCATTCAGGTATTATTAGCATTGGGTTTTTTAATAATTAATTTTTATTTTTATTTCACTAGTTTTGGGGGTACATGTGGTTTTTTAATAAAGAACTTACATGGCTAAGTTCTTTAGTGATTTCTGAGATTTTGATGCACCCATCACCCAAGCAGTGTAAACTGTACCCAATGTGTAGCCTTTTATCCCTCACCTTCTTCTCGTCCTTCCCCTCAGGGTCCCAAAGTCCATTATATCATTCTTATGCATTTGCATCCTCATAGCTTAGCTCCCACTTATAAGTGAGAACATATACTATTTGGTTTTTTATTCCTGAGCTACTTCACTTAGAATAATGGCCTCCAGCTCTATCAAAGTTGCTGTAAAAGGCATTATTTTGTTCCTTTTTATGACTGAGTAGTACTTCATGGTGTATATATACCACATTTTCTTTATCCACTCTTTGGACAGTGGGCATTTAGGTTGATTCCATATCTTTGCAATTGCAAATTGGGCTGCTATAACCATGCACGCACATGTGTCTTTTTCATATAATGACTTCTTTTCCTTTGGGTAGATACCTAATAGTGAGATTGCTGGATTGAATGGTAGTTCTACATTTAGTTCTTTAAGGAATTCATAGTGGTTGTACTAATTTACATTCCCACCAGCAGTGTAAAAGTGTTCCCTTTTTATCACATCCACACCAGCAGCTATTGTTTTTTGACTTTTTACTCCTTCTTGTAGGAGTGAGTTAGTATCTCATTGTAGTTTTAATTTGCATTTCCCTGATAATTCCACTGTTTGTACAAAACATAAATTCTAAATACATCTTCCTCACTTTGTTTTTACATGCATTATCAGGACTAGTAGTTGGCTTTCTTTCAGTCTCTTTTTTTTACAAAGGAATAAAGTTGTATCATTTCAGAAGAGTAGAGAACAAGAAACCACAGATATAGCTTTGCTCAGGAGCCAAGCGATCGACTCCCATACCCTAGCCTCAGCCTGTGTGGTGTAAACGTATGCAAATTTCCAACATGTCATCAACCTCTGAGGTCAAAACTACCGTGGTAAATGGTTATTCCATAAAGGCCCTGGGTGGGGGTTATAGTAATTAAAGCTAAGCCCTAAATGCCAGTAAACATAGATGATGGGACTACATTCAAATCATACCAAGAAAGGGATATTGTAGCAATCTGTGGGATAGCTTTCTAAATTACTTTCATCAAATGATATTGGATTCCTACAAGATAAATCCACCCTGAACATTATTTGGAAGATACAACACTCAATATCATGCGTTAATACTAATTACAAATAAAAAAATTAAGGGAAAGTAAGCACATTTTAGAAGAAAATATGTATTATTTAGGAAGTATTTGAATTTATGGAGCAGTTGAAAACATAATACTTCAAGTGCATTAGAACATAAAAGCAATGATTTCTGCTCCAGTCAGATGTCATCACGGGAAGCCTCCTTTTGGTGTATGTTCTTTATTAGGAACATTCATCTTCATGCCAATCAATGCCACCAGTTGATTTTAAATTCCATAGTAACAGTACTAACTATTAGGAATATGAAGAGTAGCAATAAAAATAATAATTATAGTAAATGTCTGCTTAGGGAAAATTTTCAGCTCCTTCAGGAGTTTGATTTCTTCTTTGTCTCATGGAGGCAAATTATAATGATTGTTTTGTCAGTTGCTACTGGAGATCTTTTAGCTTCATACCACATCAGCTCAGAGATCCCAAGTCTGTCACTCACATAATGTTAATTAACCATTTGGGGCCCTGCAGGGAGCTGCTGTTTTCTGATTCCTTCCATTGAATTATATAGAATAAAATTCAGTGTTCTCTTGACACAGTACTCCTTTAATCCCACAATGCTCTGTGGTAATTTTAAATCAGATACATTGAAAGGATATTAACTTTTACAATAATATTGTACAATTAAAACTATATATGTAAATCCAAGAGACTGGAGGAGTCTACATATACTGAGTTTCTTATTTAACAATAACTGATGATTTTTATATAATTGAGAATAAATCTTTATCAGATGATGAGACTCAGAGGATAATAGGTCAATTATTATGGTAATTTTTTAAATCTCTTCTATCGTATCTTGTGAGTGAATAGCTGTGTAGAAACAAGAAGAAGTAATATAGGTCAAATGACAAAAAAGAAAAAATTCTAGAAATTCTTCTCTCATTGGGAGATCTGTAAAAACAGTGTCTCTCATGTTTGTCATTACTGTATCTTGGGGCACAGTGTGTGACATGTGGTCATGCAATAAATAACTGTTGAATGAAGGAAAGGCATGATGACTATCACAGAAGATCTTTCTGCAGTCATTTTGACATCATCTTACCTTGGTGCTTTTATTTCCATCTGCACATTTTTATTATAGTACAAAATTTTTTTAATGGGTGAAAAAGGATGAGTATAACTGTTTTCTCCATTAATTGCACATGGTATTTTGGAACAACATTGTGCTAGGGGTCAGATAGCTTCTGGTGGGATGGTCCCATTCCTGTCGTGATGTGACCTTGAACTACTCAATATCTGCAGTCCAGTTGTCCCATTGACAAAAATGCAGAGAATCACATCTGGCAAGATTTTATTACAGATGGAATTATTTTAATAGCAAAATACAATCATGAAAGATGCATGCTGGGATTAGTAAGAGAAATATTAAACTATGTTGTGTTTATACAGTACTGTAACATTTTAAAAATTCCTCCATTTTTAATCACCTGATTTGCTGATAACAACACTACCAAAAATATTTAACTTTTCCATCAAATACAAATATATTAGCCTTGGTCATCTAAAATAAAACATGGGCATTTTCTAAGCTACATTTAAGTATAATTTACACATCATACAGTTCACCCATTTGAAGTGCAAAATTCAGTTTTTTTTTGGTAAATTTTCAGTTACAGAATCACCACAATCCAAATTTAGAATATTTTCGTTGCCCCCAAAAGATCCCTTGTGCCCTCCCCCTTTCTACCTCCAGCTCTCAAAACAGAAAAACAACAAATACTCTTTTAGTATAAGTATGTTCCACATGTTGAAAGGGACATACTTACAGTAAAACATTTTTTATTATTTGAAATTCAGATTTAACCAGACATCCTGTATTTTATCTGGCCATCCTACCAAAACATAGACTCCAAAATAATATTTTAAGAATTGTTTTTGGAAACATGCTTATTCACAACCTCTTTATTGGTAACCCAAAGTATAGTTTTATATGATGGCTGACCAATGACTTATGTTTTTACAATTTTTGCTACATAAATTACCATTGACACAACCAAGGAGATCTGCGAAAAAAAAAAATGTTTCTAAAGAAATTAACCCTCACATCCTTTTCAGAGGTGAATGCAATTACCAGAGGGCTGCAGGCAGACGGCCAGGCTTAGTGCTGTGCTGTGATGCTGCAAATGTTTGTGATTTTCTCTGCTGTACCCTGAGGCAGTACACTTTCACTTTTGGCATTCTCTAGGAATTTGTGCATTTTAGAATTAGCTGCAGTGCACTGTATATTTGCCCCAACTAGTGAAGGTGTGACCCTCACTCAGTGGGGACTAGTACGTGTCAAGCCACGTGGAAATCACAAAGAAGAGGGTTCACTCTGCTTTATTCATACTCCATGGTATTGGAGACCTGAGCTCTCAGGCTGCAACTGTTTAGTAGCCAGAGACCCATTTTTTATATCAAATAGAAGGTCAGTTGAAACATAAATTTTGGGTTTGGAAGACTACTCTAGATAAATATGAGGTGAAGAAGAATATTCTATCGTGGGTTCTCTTTCGGTTTCAGTTTCTATCATGTGGTTCTTCTTCTTCTTCTTTTTTTTTTTTTTTTTTTTTTTTTTTTGACGGGTCTTATTCTGTCTCCCAGGCTGAAGTGCAGTGGTGCGATCTCCATTCACTGCAACCTCTGCCTCCCGGGTTCAAGCGATTCTCCTGCCTCAGCCTCCGGAGTAGCTGGGACTACAGGCGCCCGCCACCACACCCGGCTAATTTTTGTATTTTTAGTAGAGACGGGGTTTCACTATGTTGGCCAAGTTTGTCTCGAACTCCGGTCCTCAGGTGATCAATCCACCTCGACCTCACAAAGTGCTGGGATTACAGGCGTGAGCTACCACACCCGGCTACGTGGTTTTTGTTTCTCTGATTCTACAACCTCAGCCTAGTCATTCAGTCAATCTGTCCACAAATACTTCTTGAGGGTAGGATTTGAGGGTCTCCTCTCTGCTAGCTGGTAGAGTAGGGATACAGAGGTTCAAAGATTGTGTGTGTCTAGGTAGCTCAGTGCCTGGCAGCATGGGCACTCAATTCACATGGCAAACTCATGTAGCAGTGAATGAGACAGAAACCGCTCTTGCCTCGGTGAGCTTACAACCCATTCTATTGACCGTTCTCAGAAAAGTTTGGAAGCTCAGTGGAGAAAACCAGGCTACAATAATCTCAGCAGTCCTAGCTTTTCTTCTCCTATGGTCTCTTGCTTTCATTGTGAGTGCTAAAATGTCTTAATTTCCTATTATGGATCCCTGGCTTGAATGAGAAGCCAAAATATGAAATGCTTCTTCCTAAGCTTAGAAGTAGAAGATACTACTTCAGGCTGGAAGAGTCAGTGAAGTTTCTCTGAAGAGACAAGAAATGTACAGTTTGCGGAAATGGCACTGCAAACAAAAACCCAGAGGCAAAAGAGGCTGAAATCAATAAAAATATGATTTTGTGCTAATATGAGGCATAAAGTGCTTTTTAAAATCGGTTGAGCATATGTGTGTGGTTTATTTCTAGGTTCTCTGTTCTGTCCCATTGATCTATGCATTTATCCCTCTGCCAATGCCATACCGTCTTGATAACTGCTATATAGTAAATCTTAAAATCAGGTACAATGATTCCTCCAACTTGATTCTTCTTTTTCAAAATCTTCTTACCTATTCTAGGATTTGTGCCTTTCCATAGACATTTTAAAATAAGCTTGTTTTTGTCTATAGAAACCTTGCTGAATTTTGATAGGAATTGAATTAAATTTATAGACTAATCAAAGGCTAAAATGCTTTTATATGTACAAAATCAATTTCCCACCTTGAAACCCACGATAAAGTTCCCATATTGACAACACACACACACACACACACACACACACACACACCCCACACACAAATTCAATGACAGTTGGGCATTGTTTTTTCATATAAAGCAAGGAAGACTGCAGAACCCTTTGCAACAGGAGTGACCCTTTAACACTGGTTCAAATAGGAACTAGAACAAGAAGTGAAGTTCTATAGTGAGATGTAATGCCAATCCTAGGTTGAATGTCAACATAAGGAGTCTCTTATCTCAGCAGGAGGTTACAGCTGATAGGGTGGCCTGACTCACTTTGTGGGGCATTATCAGTCAACCTGAACCATAGAAGCTCACTTCTAATTTTCCTCAGACTGAGGAAATAATTTAGAAATGGCAATTTTCTTCCTAGGCTTATAATTTTCTTTGCACTACATGAAAATTTCATTTCAATTGGCTTATGATAGAGCAGCGTTTTGACAGTTCAAATTCATGAATTAAAACAAAACGAAGCAAAACTTGGACAGTGGCAAAGCAGCACATTACTAAATTTACTGTTACAAACTAATGAAAGCTACTGGCAGCTCAGTTCTATGGCTGTCTAACAATCTTATATGATTAGTATTTTATTTTAAAATAATTACTAGTATTATTCAATATTTAGCTAATATAATCTGTCATAAAAATGGCATTAGATTTGTGGGAGTATAAAATGGTGCTGCTGCTATGGAAAACACTATAGAGATTCCTCTGAAGATAAAATATAGTATTACTATATGATCCAATAATCTCACTTCTGGGTATATATCCAAGGGAATTGAAAGCAGGATCCCAAAGAGATATCTGTATACCTGTGTTCACTGCAGTATTATTCACAACTGCCAAGAGGTAGAAGCAACCCAAATGTCCATCCACAGATGAATGGATAAAGATAATGTGGTATATCCATACAATAGAATATTATACAGCCTTCACAAAGGATATCCTGTCACACATTACAACATAAATGAACCTTAAGGATATGATCCTAGATGAAATAAGCCACTCACAAAAAGACAAGTACTGTATGATTCCATTTATATGAGGTATCTAAGATCCTCGAACTCATCAGAACATAATGTAGAATGATGGTTGCCAGGAGCTGAGGGTAGAGAGAAATGGAGAGTTGTTATTCAATGGGTACAAAGTTTCCCGTTTGCAAGATGAGAAAGTTCTGGATATCTGTTATGTGACAATGGGAATATAGTTATCACAACTTTACTAAAATTTTATGTTATGTGTTTTTTTAACATTTTTTTTAAAAAGGACAAGAGTAGTCATGCTGAGACCAAATACTTTCTTACTCATAAGAAAAAGAATTGAAGGTTTAGCTTTTAAAGCTTGTTATCTCCATATAAAATGAGTTTGTTGTAGACTGGACATGGACTATTTCCAAATTTGCATTGGAGATTGACGCTAAATATGCATCACTATGTGCAAAGCTTAAAAGGGAGAATTATTTAAAATAGATTAAATGATGTGGAATAAAACTTCCAAAAGCTGTAATTGAAAGTGTCAGAAACATTAGCTTTGCAACAAGTAACATTTAATCACATAGATTATACAGAAGCATAAATTTTTGTAGGTTGCTTTCTTCAATCAAATTTACATTTTAATCTGCCAAGACTGTTCATCACTTTTGACTGTCTGGTACCAAGCAGCTTGTCAGAACTTATAAATGCAAACTGCCTGCATTAGGAATAGGACTTCTCCTTTAAACACTAAGATAATGAAAGTTTAATTAGAATACTTCAAGATCGCAAGTGTCTGAGTGCAGTGAGATTAATATAAAGGGCATTTTGTCTATCTGCATTTCTTTAGTTACTGAAATTATAATCATTTAAAAATTATGATCATTTATGCTCATAAAATGATTTAATTAAGGTTCACTAAAATGTAAAACTTTTCAAAGTTGGACACTTGCCAAATGAGAGTGTGACAGGCAATACACCGTTGCTGTCAGAGGAAGCTGTAAGATGCACGTGAGTTCTCTTCAAAGGCCGGATTGGGAGAGGATGCTTATGGCCACTTTGGTGGATCTGCTAAAATGAGAGGGTTCCGAAGAGAAAGAACCCCCATGTGTCTGCAGGCCTCTGCAGCTCCCTCAGTGTATGTATTAAATCCCAACTCCTGGTCGGGCACGCTGGCTCACGTCTGTAATTCCATCACTTTGGGAAGCCGAGGGAGGCAGATTGCCCGAACTCGGGAGTTCGGGACCAGCCTTGGCAACGTGGTGAAACCCTGTCTCTACTAAAATACAAAAAATTAACCAGGCATGGCGGCATGCACCTGTAGTCCCAGCTACTCAGGAGGCTGAGGTAGGAGAACTGCTTGAACCTGGGAGGCAAAGGTGGCAGTGAGCCCACTGCACTCCAGCCTGGGTGACAGAGCGAGATTCCGTCTCAAAAAAATAAATAAATAAATAAATAAATAAATAAATAAATCCCAACTCCTCTTCATAGTTGTCCAGGGAATGTATTTTCCCTATGAGCAGACTCTGAAGCAACCTTCATCTTGATTTTCCCAGTATCACAGAGAGCTGCTATCTCAATAAAGTACAAATGTGTGTGCTTGTTAATATCACTGTAACAAACTGTAGTTTGTAGTGTATGTATTTATTTGTATTCTGTTTTATGATACAAATGCCATCAGGTACAGTACAAATGTCACAAGGAAGATTAGTTAAGAAATGAGGGTGAATCCATGCAAGCACAGAATCTTCCTAGAATATGCATTTTTGGCCAGCAATGACAGTGACCCAGATAAAAATATTATAATGATTAAACATTTACCAAACCATGAGGATTATACACTTCCCCCAAAACACCTCAATGGGTTTGCATTTGTTTACGTAGAGCGACGGAACAGAAGATGTGGCATAAATTGCTCCTGTTGTTATTTGGTGCCTTAGAAAGCAATGCTTTGGGACTAGCCAGCGAGGAGACCATCACACCACCACTGTAGTGTGACAGGTCCCCCATCAGGTTGCTTAAGGGTGTACATCCACTGCTTGAATCATGAAGGCCAGGCAGTGAGCCAAGACCATGTTGCCCAGCCAAGGAGCAGGTGTCCCTGAGAACCCAAATATCCCAGAATGTAGGTGGGAACATACCAAGGAAAATATTCTCATTGCAAATACACAGTAAGCAAATAGCCAGAAAATTAGCTTAAAAGCAGCTGAGAGATGGGTGACAGGGGAGATCTCTGGAGTTGTGCTGCTGCCACCCAGGATTGCCCTGTATATGTCTTAACAAACTCATCTACTCATCAAGCTGGACTCATCCAAGTCATTCCTTCGTCTCTTGGCCCCTTCCCAGGTTGGAGGTGGGGGGAAATTACAATCCCAGGTTTTTCTCATAACAACTGCCAAGCATGCACTGTGAATCTACCACTCATGAGGCATCATGCTGCTCAGCAAGGGGTCCAAACATAAAGAAAATCATCCCTGTATCCACATAAAGAAATATATACCCAAGGAATTAGATTAAAGGTGTTATGAAGATTTGAAGAAAGAATAAATTACTTCCAGTTAGAAATTATTTCATATAAAGCCCCACTGTTATTTTTACTACTGGGAATCTACCCGTATGAGGTAAAAAAATATGGTACTTATGTTTTATGGACATAAAAGTGGTAATAGCTCCTTGGGTCCATGCAAATAATGCACACTGAAAAATCTATTTACTTTAGCATAAGGGCAGGACAAATGTTATTCGTAAGTTGATTACTGTGTGGTGATCGTAAGGGAGACCAGGAGAACATAGTTAGAATGTAGAATTCTTTGTTATTTAACATGGCTCTCTGGTTCCCTGTGCTCAAACGATTCCCTACGGCTCGGATGAGGATGAATGAGTTAACCAGATGGCATCTATCAGTAAAAATATGGCTCAGTCCTGATAATAGCAGGCTTGCAGGTGAACTTGAGGGTGGTTCAAAATGAATTCAGTCCTGGTTGTCTTGAGTCTAAGGTGTCTATGGGCCATCCAAATAGAATTGTAGAGGAAGAGCTTGAATATTGCCATCCAAACTTCAAAGTGGAGATCTGGACAGGAGACACAGACTTTGGAATACTAAGAATAATTAATGTTGCCACAGTGCAAGTAGATGATATTAAGAGTTTACAGCTGCCAGAAGAGGTTCTGAATTTAAGGAGCCATAGTTTTTACATGAGGAAGAAGGACAAATGGTTCAAGAGTGGCATGAAGGTCGGGCACGATGGCTCACACCTGTAATCCCAGCACTTTGAGAGGCCAAGGCGGGTGGATCCGCTTGAGCCCAGGAGTTTGAGATCAGCCTGGGTAACATGGTGAAACCTCGTTTCTACTAAAAATACAAAAAATTAGCTGGGCGTGGTGGCACATGCCTGGAATCCCAGCTACTTAGGAGGCTGAGACAGAAGAATCACTTAAACCCAGGAGGTGGAGGTTGCAGTGAACTGAGATCGTGCCACTGTACTCCAGCCTGGGTGACAGAGTGAGACTCAGTCTCAAGAAAAAAAAGAAAAAAAAAGAGTGGCATGGAGAATACAAAGATTACTGAGATTAAATCTCAGCCTGAATCTACTCGAGGCTGGAAAAATAGACCAAATCCATTTAAAAGGGCCAATTAAGATTCTGTATCTTCAAGGGGATGCCAGCTTTCAGTTCAGGCAAGAGGTGCAAGGGGTTCTCAACAAAGAAGTTGAAGATGTTGATACTGTTTGGATGTTTGTCTATACCTGAATCTCACATTGAAATGTAATCTCCAGTGTTGGAGGTGGGGCCTGGTGAGAGGTGTTTAGGTCATGGAGAGAGATTCCTCATGAATGCCTTGGGCCATCCTTTTGGTGGTAAGTGAGCTCTCAGTCTGAGTTCACACAAGATCTAGTCTTTTAAAAGTGTTTGGCACCTCCTCCCCCACACTCTCTCACTTGCTCCCACTTTGCCTTCCACCATGAGTAAAAGCTCCCTGAGGCCTCCCCAGAAGCTATGCAGATGCCGGCACCATACTTCCTCTACAGCCTGCAGAACCATGAGCCAATTAAATGTCTTTTCCTTATCAATTACCCAGTCTCAGATATTTACTTATGGCAATGCAAGAACAACTTAACACAGATGTCAAGGATTTCATTTACTACATTAAATGCTCCAAGTTCTCAAAGGGGAAAGTGGGGAATGAAATGGAAGGGAACAGAAGGAAAAGGAAGAGCAATGAACTATATAATTTTAAGCCAGATGAAAGAATTCACACAGTGACACGTGGCATGAGATTATGAGAGAGGAAAGAAGCCCAAAGGGCTTATAATACTTTGAAAATAAATGTGAAGCATGGTGGAATTTTCCAAACTCAATATTGCCAAAAGACTTTGTCCCAGCAGGTCCAGTCTAAGAAAAGGCACAGGTCTCTCTGGAAGGAGTTGATCATTTTGCTTGATTGAGAGCAGGCCAAGGGATTTGTATCTCAGGTGAGCAACAGTAAGATTAACTTGTTTTCAGGACTCCCACAAACACTAAACACAGCAGCACCCCTCAGTGGATGGGAGACCTCCATAGAAGCCACCAACAGGTGGCATTCATAAAGGTCTGTCACAATGTCAACGTTCCCTTCTTTTTCTTCTCCTTTATTTTGTTCTATAGTAAATATTTATTGAGAGTTTATAATTGCAAGTAGCTGTCCTGGGGCTTGAAGACACAGAGATAAATAAAGCATATCCGCTGCCCTCCAGATGCTCAGAGCAAAATTATGCTAGTAGTTATATCAATCAAGAAAAATTCTATGAGACAGCCATGAAGATGAACACCCGCAACCTGAATATATCAGAGCCAGTCAGATATCAGATATCAGCTCTCGATGCACAAAAATTTTAACAAAAGTTGAGAAATATCCCTTGGTACCATTCTCCACGTATTTCCTACGACTGTTGTTCACTGCTGTCAAGTATAACATTGCCAAGATAATCAAGTCAGGAAAGCATAGTGAAAATGATGTTAGTGATAGATTTTAGAAAACATACCTGCGTAAATATTATTCCATTTATTAAATCATCATTGTATATGAGCAGAACTTGCCAGTTCTGTTAGCATCTACTCTGTAGTCCGACCTGTCCTCACCAGGTGAGGAGGATCTTGTCCTCTATGGAGGCCAGGCCCTTCTACCCCTCACTGTTCATGCCTGCTCTATCCTCTGCCTGTTATCTTCTCATCAACTGACAAGTGTCAGTGAAACAGTTCAATCTAAGGGCTGGTTTTGGGTCCCATCACAAAACAGATCCAGCCTCCCCTACTCCCCACGATCCACAGTCACTTCTCACCAAAACCAAGTTCTCACCAGCATATATTGCTCTAGCCTAGCAACTCAATAAGAAGTTTCAGCCCTCATTACCAGGGCACACAGTACATTGCCATAATTTATTCATTACACCTTATTGAGTGCCTGCTAAGACCTGGGAATTCAGTATGAATAAGACATGGTTTCCTTCACTAAAAAACTGAGGAGGGAAAACAACAAAATATTCTCTGAGAGCTAAAGGGACTGCTTAGAGAGTGAGCATGAGGCATGGACAAAATCATTTTATTTCCTTCTTTCATGGTACAATAAAAGCCTGGAAATATTTAATAGCTAATGATGTAATCTTTTCTCTATCATCCTTGCCGGAGGAGCCTGGTGACTCTAAATCAAACTCTATTTGCATAAATATTTAACATGCATAAACATAGCATTCATTCATATAGTAATCATACAAACAGGGACATTCAATTCTGAAACTGGCACATTGGTCTACATTTCCTGCAGATAAGAGGGGATTACTGTATTCTCATCGATCCTGCTTTCCTTCAGTTATCATTCTTGTCCTGGTATAGAAACATTTGTAATCATTTCCAAAATATCGGATTTAAAATTTGGAGGCCAAACTGAACACAATATTCTCCAGAGTGAAATATAATAAATGGTTCAACCTAGCCACGGCAAGCAGTAAATAAAGAACCCAGTTCATAGGTTCATGGTACAAAAGATTTAATCATTTATTGTCTAAAATTTACCTTAATTTTTAACCTCTCTTCCATCAGTCCCTGGCATGTGGTAGGTGCTCAGTTACTGTTCATCAAACAAGTATGTGAATGAATGAATTTGTTAGAACAAAACTAAATGTCAGCACGTCCAACTCTCTACCCTTTGCGTTAATCCTCTCTGACAACGAGGCATCCAACCCTTTAAAACCATTCTAGTTTTCTGTTACCTTTAAAAACTATACTGGACATCTTACAGTAATTGTGGCCAATAAGGAGACCATGCATTCTGGTCTTCCAATCTAGTCTTGATGTTAAATATTGTATCCTCTTGTCAGACTGCAAATTGCAATTTTTGTATCAGGATCTATGATCACTATATATAAATTATAGCACTGCTTTTGTCAACCCTAAATAACAAAATTCATGAAATATAATGAATTTAGAGTTTAATTTAAACTCAAAGTTTGAGGCTGGCACCTGGGAACATAGATTCAAGTTGCCTGGAATATATCTTTGGATCAGCAGCAGTTACAAGTGGGTTTTTAAGGAAAAAAAAAGAGGCAATTCCTAAGTTGTTTACCAAGAACTTACACTAAAATAACATAAGCTGTTGATTGGCTAGTCATTGTTTTTTGTACTACAAATTTCACGGATATTAAGATAATACATGAGGTAGCTAGTCAGCAACAAAATGCCTTTGAACAATTGCGCACAGACACGGGTGCAGGGGCCATGACTGAAGTCTCACACTCGTCTCTCTGGATCTGCTAAATTTTGCATACCTTACATAACTTAGACTGCTCTGAGCTTTTAAACTCTTTTTCTCATTCTCATACCTAGCCTATGCCTATCACTTTTGCTTTCCTTCCTTTCTTTTTCATCTTCTAAAACTTTGGAAGAAAGTCAGGAGAGAAGCTGACTTCATGAGTGAATGGAGCAGATGACAGGAGAAAGAGATTATCCCAAAGCTATCTCAAAAGATAGTTTTTGCAGTAATCCTCTGCAGCACTGAACACAACCTGGCTGTGCAGGGAAATGGGCAAACTACCTGTGGAGCCTCTGGGCCAGGTGCTCTTTTGGAAAAGGGATAAGCCCCAACAACATAAGAGTCCAAGAGTCAGCCCAGAACACCGCTCTGTTACTGTATAGTTGCAGTAATGAATGCTGTACTCCCAAGTCATGGTCCTTTTTGAATTCCCCAGTAGGACAATTCCAAATCGATAGCTGCATACCAGGATACCACATGACTTAAGTCTGTGGGCTTTGGAAACATTTGATTTGGAGTAATAGGGAGTATTACTCCAAATAGGGAGAGTAATAGGGATTATCAAGACATTGCTAATCTGAAGACAATGAACAACACAAAAAGCACCAATTAACTTGAGGATGATTTTAAAGAAATTTTTTTTCTATAGTCACTCTGCCATGTGGTTCAGTTTCATGTTTTTTAAATATGTGTAAATTGCAAATGAGTTTCCACACATGTCTCTACGTCAACTAAGCAGGAGACAAACTCACTCAGGTTCTTCAGGTTCATTCCAAACAGCCTGAGAGTAACGGTCTCATATCTGAAGTGACAAAAACTAAATTTGCAGCCTGCCTAGGACCTCAAGGTCACACTCTTTGGGAACGCATTTTTTTCTTTGAGATATAATCAGGACACGTTTTATTCCAAAATTACAACTGTGGACACAGGTTCCAAGAGGTGACAATACTTGTCCAATGTCACTGAGGTAGGTAAAATACCCAAACTCAACCCACACTTGCTGGTCACATTATCTGTTCTCTCTCTATTTTCGAACCCAAACTGGTTTCCTATGATCCTCTTGTCTCTCCCAGGAGGAGCGGTTACAAGGTTAAGGGTAAATAAAGAAAGATTGCAGGTGAGAATTTCAATTAGAGTGAGGATTTCCTCAAATTTAGAAATATCTAGCCTCTTGAATAAAATAAAATAAAATTCAAATTCTGAAATTTTGACCTCTATAAACTTTCTCTTTAAGACAAATCTACACAGTAAGTAGTCAGAGTTTTATAAACATCAGAGGGCTCTGAGCAGATTCTGTCGAAGTATTATTCTTTTTTAAACCACCTATTTCCTGGTTTGTAGCACGGTGTTAAAATGATTGATTGAACAAATAAGTTCGTAGTGGTTGAGAAAAAGCAACGCTTACCCAGCTGAACCAACTACAAATCATACATCATTTTGTAGCATTACATCCTTTGCCTGTTGTAAGAAAAGCCACAATAAATAAAAAATAAAAACACACGCACCCACAGTTCTTAATGACAACACAGAGAGAAACGGGTGGGAGATTTTTGCATCAATCAAATGCTGCTGTTTTTCTTAGAAAAAATTCTCAACACGAAGGCCTCTGGAACAGTGAGCTGTGGGCTAGATATCTCATTTCTCCTTTCTGGGCTACTTCCAGCAACATTTGCAGTAGTACAAACACATCTTTCATCCTTAATATACTTACAACCGAAGATGAAAAAAGCACAATGCACTGCTACCAAGATACTCACATCATCTGTCTTGGAAAGCTATTGAAGTAGCTCATGGCTTTAGCTGTGTCATATAGAACAGTTTGCAAGTCGGTTTTGTACACATTCATTAAGCACCTATATTTTCAGATTGTGCAGCAGAGACACAGAGATGAATAAAACTTAACACAGCCCTTATAAATTTTATTTTACAGTTGTGGAGATATGAGAGCTAGTCAGGAACAAGTGACAACCCATTATGATAAATGCAAGAATAAGTGTGTACCCAAGAGACAGAAAAGAGGTCCTTGGAAGCAGGTGGTGAGCACCTACTTAGAGAGCTCAGAGGAGGCTACCCAGAGGAGATGACAGCAGAACAGGACTTTGAAGAATCAGTAATTCTCATGAGAAAGAATTTGGCTGCAGGCAGTCTGGGCAGAGGGAGCCACATCCACACTGGCATACAAAGCCAGGAACAGAAGCAGCTGGAGCTTGCTGGAATCTAAAGGAAGAATGCAGGAGGTCAGTCACAATAAAATGGCAGGGAGACAGGAGGGAGCATTTTTAAAGTGGCATGAAGTACTGAGACCTTTGTTTATGCACATCTTGCAAAAAGGAGCTAGACTCTTTCCCTCTGCCTTTTGAAAAGCCCCTCATATTTATCCATTTGGTCTGCAACTACCTGATAGGAAAAGCTACCAAACGTTAGAGGCAGATATTTTCCCCCAATTAAATATACATACATATTTTTCTCTAAGAAGTCTGTCTGTCAAACTCAAGATTAGCATGGCCTAGCGATTAGAGCATTGGCTTAGAGTCAGGCAGGTCTGAGTGCAATATCTGATTCTTCCATGTGAATTCTGGCAAGACTGTAAACCAAAAAGTGACTGAAGCAGACCTCAATCTATCAGAGGTTTATTTTGCCAAGGTTGAGGATGCACCCAGAAAAAAGCAACACAAGTCACAATAGCATCTATGACCTGTGCTTTTTATAAAGAAGATTTGGGGAACTTCAATATTTAAAGAGGAAAGAGCAAGCAGGAGGGGAAGAAAAAAAAGGAGGGGGGCAGGCAATGAGGCAAGTGATTACATTCTGATAAGGCTCTGATTAGTGCTCAGTGAATCTACATTTTACATATAAAAAGGAGGGAGTGAGGGAATGTCAATTATGAATTCTTCTTGTGGCTCGGTAAATCTACATTTTTCATAAGATAAAGTAAGCATGTGAAATTACAGCTATCTGTTTGGGAACAAAAGGAAGATAGTTTTTGCATGGCTCAGTTACCAAGTTAACTTTCCCTTTGGCATAGTGAGTTTGGGGTCCTGAGATTCTGTTTTTCTTTCGCATACTTAAACCTCAATGTTTCCATTTTTCTACCTGTAGGATGATTGCTATGGGAATTAAATAACACGTAGTTACCAGTGTCTGGAGAGTGGTGTCAAAACACAATAACCACTGCTGCTGTTATTATTATTATTTTTTTTTTTTGAGACGGAGTCTCGCTCTGTCGCCCAGGCTGGAGTGCAGTGGCGGGATCTCGGCTCACTGCAAGCTCTGTCTCCCGGGTTCACGCCATTCTCCTGCCTCAGCCTCCCAAGTAGCTGGGACTACAGGCGCCCGCCACTAGGCCCGGCTAATTTTTTGTATTTTTAGTAGAGACGGGGTTTCACCGTTTTAGCCGGGATGGTCTCGATCCCTGACCTCGTGATCCGCCCGCCTCGGCCTCCCAAAGTGCTGGGATTACAGGCGTGAGCCACCGCGCCCAGCCTGCTGTTATTATTTTTATTGGCAGTTTCTTAGCATCATATTCCGTTAGTGTCAATTGAATAAATGAGCCATCTCATTATAAATCCTTCCAACCAAGCCCAGTGACAAGCAGGTTGTATATCAGCAAGCAAGCAGCACCTCTGGGAGCCTTGAGATGGGCCAAGAAGAGAAACCATAGGATCCTGAAAGTAGAGAGCGTCCTTTTCCCAACTTACCCCATTGCCTGCCTCCAGTGCGAACTGGGCAGAGCAGCCCAGAAGGTTAGAGGAGTTTTCACATAAACTCCTGACTGTGCATATGGAAATGTGGCCTCTCCTATCCTAGGGGCATGCTTGCCTGGGAAATTGTGAACCAAGGTTATTAGGTCATCTTCCTTATGCGGCCCTCTGCAAAGGCATTTGGTAAAGCCTTGAGCCTGGACTCCGGAGAGCACAATAAAAACAGCTTGATTAGCAAGAGCTGAGAATATTTATTCCCTCCAGAAATATTTTCTTAAACAACCTGAGCTATTTATTCAATCTTGCATTTTAGAAGCAAATTAGATGTTGAGGTGAAAGTACCCTGATGAGAATATCAGAGCTGATTTCCCAAGAAGGAAGGATTTCTTCAGAGTAGAGAAATGGAAATGCCTCAGGCTCCTGTTCCAATAAGGGAATCATATGTTTGTGGATGAGAATCCGTTATCTATGAGATTGCTCTGGAGTTTTTACAGTCCTCACTTCCATAATTTCTATTTTGAAAAGATGCCAGTCTTATTAACTAGAGGATACCTGGATATGTCAGAGATGAAAATGCCTTTATCACATCTTGAGTACATTCTGCATTGCTAAAATGTATATCTCAGGCCGTCTCTGCCAGTCATTCCTCATTACATTCTGGGGCAAGGTTTTCCTACTGTCCTCGCAGGCACAAGCTAGAAGCATGAGGCTACTGAGGAAGGCCAAGATTTAACTCCCAACTTCATTAAAGGTAACTGATGAGTTAAATTTCATAGCTTAGTTACCAAGTCTTTACCTCCCTCATCATAAACAAAGGACAAGTATTTTGGGAGTGTTTCATTAGTGTGCAGATCTATCCTCAGCATTGTACCTAAAGCTAAGAATAAACTATGCTCTTTACAATTAAGAGTTTTGTAACATTGAAGCGAGAGGGAAGGTCACGGAAATTAGCATGCCAAATCAAGAGCAAACAATAAAATCAAAGTAATGTAGAATAATTGAAATAGGTCAGAATATGAAACAGAGTATCCTGCTGTGCAACTTAGTATTTGTGAAATCACAGCTATTAATTTTATTTCACTAAGCCTCAGTTTTCTCATCTCTAAGATAGGGGTCAAGCTCACTGGAAAGTCGTAGGATCAAGCAAGATAACGTATGTAGGTAAGTGTTTTGTAAGCTTCAAAGCACCCCCAACGTTAGGTATTATGAGTACCAAATTCTGTAGTATAGACTTGATATTCCCCGTTACATTTTTCTAACATGGTGACCACTGAGTTATTTGTGATATCTAGTTTAACAGTGTATCATAACACAAGATATAATGGCTGAGTAATGCAGAGAAAATCTATGAAATCTAGAAAATGCATTGCCAAATTGGATTTCTCACTGCATTTAGTCATATTCTTATGATTTTGATTTTGAGTCCCTAAGATACAAAATATTCTTGAGAATTTATGTTAACAACTCTAAATATAACACATTATTTTTTCAAGCTATTATAAATTAGCTATGAACATCACCGTAAGACAATAGCTTTAGAAGATCCCAACTGGCTGCAGTGGCTCACGCCTGTAATCCCAGCACTTTGGGAGGCTGAGGCAGGCAGATCGCTTGAGCTCAGGAGTTTGAAACCAGCCTGGGAAACATGGCAAAACCCCATTTTTACAAAAAATACAAAAAATTAGCCAGGTGTGGTGGTGTGTGCTTGTAGTGTCAGTTACTCGGGAAGGCTGAGGCAGAAGGATTGCTTGAACTGGAAAGGCCAAGGCTGCAGTGAGTTATGATTACACCACTGCACTCCAGCCTGGACGATAGAGTGAGAATCTGTCTCAAATAAATAAAAAATGAAAATCCCAAAACAGAAATCTAGGGAGAGTGATCACATTAAAAACATGATCTTGCCCATAAGGATTTTACTTTGTTTCAGGACTATTTTTGAAAACCAGGGTTGATTTTTCAAGTACTGTATAGAGTAATGAAGGATCATGAGCAAGTTTCAAATAAGACTCTAATACTAGTCATGCAGATTTGCACCTGCATCCATTTATACTCAAACGATGCCATTTGCATGCACAAATTGAGTAATTAAACAGCTAACTACAAGATCAGCAAATGTAAATGCTTATTAGCCCATCAGCAAATTGGTGCTCATAAAAAATTTCCAATCATACCTTATAGTCCAATTTCTTTTCACCTTGCAAATATTGGCAATATTCTTATACTCCCCAAGTTTCCAAGATTTAAAAGACCTTGGGTTTAAAAAAAAAAAAAACTCCCTGAAGTGTTAATTCCCCGTGAAGTTTTCAGAGTTTCATAGATTGAGTTTCTAATATTAGCAAAAATGATTAATTCTCACAAAATACAATGTTGTACAAACATGTGTATAGTGCACATATGTATATATGTGTATATTATAGATACATATACACATACATACATATATATACATACATATACACTATGTTTTTCAATTGAATTTTATTACTAAAATAGATCTTACCACTTTCTCATTTCCTTATTTTTCAGACTATAAAACTAAGAACCAGAATAAGCAAACACCTCTCATTAGTTTGTGCAGCTAACTAGGTTTGGTTCTCCTTCTCCTGATTCATTCACGTTAGCTTCTTTCCTCTTAGGGAATAAACTTTCTTCTTAGAAAAGGCAGAATACCCGAATAAGCCAGAAAGTAAAAATCAATATATGCAAACAATTTTCCAAAATTATTCAAATAAATTTTTCCTTCTTATTTTTTAACAAGATAAACAACTTGAAAATCTGACATCATGTGATGCTTGGAACAGAGTTGAGCAGTTAGGGGAACGGGGGTTGTCAGACTTTATGGACATCTGGGTCTATAAAATTTCAAATAATGTGTTTTCAGCCTTTATTTTGCCGAGTAAGGACATTTAAATAAAACTGCTATAATTCACTAATGTCATAATTTCTAAAAGAAAAAATATTTTCTTACCAAAAAAACTGATAAGATATGATCTCAGAATAAAGGACTATCTTGTAAGTCAAATCATTTGTTTTATGTAAAACTATGTAAATGAAGTTTACATAAACACCATTTTTTCAATCTGTTTTGGGCAACTTAGGACATTCTTCCATATGTTGAATCAAAATTGACCTTCCAAAAACTTTCTCCCATTCTCATTTGTGTGTCCCGGAAGAAATGCTAGTACCGGTGTGGCACCAGTTGTGTACAAACAAGTCCGGTGTCAGACCACTGGATTCTTAGACAAGCACAGCATGGTGGCAGAGACAACCAACGTTTATAAAAAGAACCCATGTCTTAAAGGACGAAGAACAGACCAAAAGATCTGAAAGACATTACTGAGGATTTCAAAAAACTTCTGACAAAATTCCACGCCAAAGACCAAATAATAATGCCAAATAATCATGTCACTATGATTTTTAAAGTGATGACAAAAGCAGAACTACTTGAGCACTGCGTCACCTACAAAGTAATTTTACACTTATTATTTCATATATTATTGATTATGTGGGGGACAAAAAATATCTTTTCCTTCTGCTCCAAATGAACTTTTCCTTAAGTTCATTGGCTGCGGCCCCATATTAAAAGAAAGATTAACAAGATGAAAGCATATGAATTTATTTAATATAAGTTTGACACGACACAGGAGACTTCTTAAGGAAATTAAGACCCAATGAAGCAGTTGAACCTGGGGGTTGATTTGCTAGTTTTGATGAAGAGCAGAGTCATGGCGAAATGTGATAAGACAAAGGGTGTGAGTGAACTGGAGGGAACTCGGCAAGGCCTGTTGGTTCAGAGTCCTCTCCATGTCCATTCATCTTTGGAGACAGGGATGCTCCTTTACTGTAGGTATACGGGGAGCACCTGTCACTCACATGAGGGTCTTCTGAACTGCTTCAGGGGAGGAGGCTGGGGGAACATCAGAAAATCCTTCCTGCACATGCCGTTTCTCAAATTTTTTCAGCTTAAAACATTCACTATGCCAAGGTGTTATATTTTGGCATAATGTGTCCTGAGCCATCACATACATGTATTATAATATTTATGTATATTATTTCCCATATTATTTATGTATACGATTATACATATTTGATCACTATTTTATGTTTGGAGTCAAATCAGAACATTTTTATAAAAAAAAATTACAGGATACAATGGATACAGTTAAGTGTACACTGAGAGAGGTAAAGTGAAGTTCATGAGAATCCTCAAATATCATAGATTTTAACCCATGTGTCTTTGCTCTTGCTCTTCTTTCTGCCCCAAATGACCTTTATCTCTTTAGAAATGCATGAAGGGCCTAATTTCCAGGTCTAGTTCATTGCTTTTTCAAACTCATCTCATTTGTGCTTTATACAGAAAAGTATTATTGCACCTACTGTTGAGTTTTATTTAAATCTGTTTCTGTGGTATACCAGAAGACTCTCAAGGGAAAGAACTGAATCTTACTATTTTATATATTTTTTATCTCATCTCAGGTTCTATGTCACTTTCTTCAGGAAGTCTTCCTTCCAGCTAGGGTAAATATTGGAACATGGTTGGTGTTACCTCAGCACTCAGCACCATATTCATTACCTTAACCTTTGTCAACCTCTACTGTTGTTATCTTATCCTTGTCTGTCTCACCCATTAGAGAACAATACCCGCCATGGTGAATGGCACATGGTAGAGTCTCATTAAGTATTGTGACCAGCAAAGTGACTTACACAGAGTAAATAATAAATTTTTTACATAGGATTATTAATATATATATATTATATAATATATACAATATATATAATATAGACTTCCTGGAATTATTTCTGGAGGTGCAGCTAAATGTGGACATTTCAATTGTTACCTCAAATCAAATATTGTGAATTGCATAATGCATCATCACCTTCCAAAACAATTTTCCCATTCAATTCTCTATATCTGTCAAGATATGATCGATCCTTCTCCATGCCACGCATGTCTCCTAAAGGGGAGGGGAGGGACATTGCTACATCTCCAATGCCAGGACAGAGCTTTGCAATTAGTAGGCACTCAAAAAGTAATTGTTGAATAAATAAAATCTTAAAACTTTGGGGTTTTACTCAAACAGTGTCAACCGTATTGATAATGTTTAGTTTTACAAATGATGAGTACCTGATGTTTGCCATGTTACTTTAAACTACTTTTTGTAAATCTGAAATATTTCAGAAATTTTTTCTTGTGGTAAAAGAGCATAAAATTTACCATCTTAATTTTTTTAGTAAAAGGCAAAATATTTATTCCATCTTATATTTACCATTTTAAAATTTTATTTTATCTTAATGTTTTTGATATATACATGTGTGGGGTACAAGTGTAATTTTGTTACATGCATAGATTGCACAGTGGTTACGTCAGGGCTTTTAGGGTATCCATCACCCGAATAATGTATGTTGTACCCATAAAGTAATTCCTCATCCCTCATCTCCCTCCCACCCTGTCATACTTCTGAGTCTCCATTGTCTGTCATTCCATTCTCTATGTCCAGGTGTACACATCTTTAGTGCATTTTTTATCTTAACCATTTTAAGTGTACAGTTCAACAGTGTTTACTACATGCACTTTCTTGTGCAACCCATCTCTGGAGCTTTTTCATCTTGCAAACTGACACTCTTTATACCTGATGAATAAACCTTCAGTCACTGGTGACCACCGTTCTCCTTTCCTTTTCTGAGTCTGATTCTTTTAGATACCTCGTATAAGTGGAATCAGAAACGGAAAGGAGAATGGTGGTCACCAGTGACTTTTTTGTCTTTTTGTGACTGGCTCATTTCGCTTAGCATAATGTCTGCAAGTTTCATTCATGTTGTAGCATGTGATGAGATTTCCTTCTTTTTTAAAGGCTGAATAATATTCTATTGCATGTATATACCACATTTTTGTTATCCACTCATCCAGCAGTGGACATTTAGGTTGCTTTCACCTCTTGGCTATTATGAATACTGCTACAATAAACAGGGTGGGTCAGAATAAAGTTCTTAAAAACCCAAGCTCATCTTTGACTCATGTGTTATCATGTTCTAATTATTTTCTCAATCTTTCTTCTGTCTCTGCCTTCTTTTCTCACTGACATTTGTTTCAATTTGGTTCAGCTACTCACTGCCTCAGATCTGGATCACTAGAACAGTGCTCTGATTTTTCTCTCCCTCTTCAGTCTCTTCTTACTTAATCAGTTTTTACACTGCCCTCCAACTGACCTTCTTAAAACGGCCACATTAATCACATTAATCTCCCAGTGAATCCTCACTCTGGAAGGAAGTAGGACCTGAATTATAAAGTCCTCCTCTTTCAACTTCATCAATGATTCCTCCTAATCTTTGCTTTTGCCAGTTGCTAGGGTTCCACTAGGCAGGGAGAGCACAGAGAAGTGGCAGAGGGAGGCCCTGCAGAAAGGGGCAGGTGAGACCAGACATGGTGGATCATGCCTATAATCCCAGCACTTTTGGAGGCCAAGGAAGACAGATCATCTGAGGTCAGGAGTTTGAGACCAGCCTGGCCAACATGACAAGATCCTGTCTCTACTAAAAAAATTCAAAAATTAGCCAGGTATGGTGGAGGGTGCCTGTAATCCCAGGTACTTGGGAGGCTGAGGCAGGAGAATCACTTGAACCCAGGAGGCAGAGGCTGCAGTGAGCCAAGACTGTGCCACTGCACTCCAGCCTGGGTGACAGAGTGAGACTCTAACTCAAAAAAAAAAAAAAAGGAGGCAGGGGAGGGCAAGTGAGCTACTCCCTCAAGGAAGATGCCAAAGGAATTGTTTAGAAATATCATTTGATAACCCATTAGGCTGAGATGGCTCCAGTACCCTGGCTTCTTATGTAAGCAATTCAATGTAAACACTAAAATAAAACTTAAGCTTAACCAATCAGAAACAAACAACTAACCTCTAACTAGGAGGATTCCACTTTAATCAATCAAATGTGTTCTTTATCTTGCTTCTGCAAACACCTCATAAAAGTTTTTCCTGCACACCCCTTCCATGAAGCCCAAACCACTTGTGGTTTGGTGCTGCCCAATACATGAATCACTATCTCTTCAAATAAACTCTTTAAAATTTCAGCGCACCTAAGTTTATCTTTCAACAGACTGTAGTCAAGATTTCGGGTTCCCAGAGTAAAGCTGGTGAAACACATTTGGGGTGAAAGTTAAAGCAAAATAGGAGGATGAGCAAAAGGAGTCTCTCTCATGCACACATACACAATGATGAAGTAGAGAGTCACAGGACTGGGGTAGAGAAAGAAGTCACGTCCATCTCCAGTCAGTCAGTCAATATTCCCAGTTCAAAACCAAAGGCAAGAAACTAAACCAGCTCATCCAGGAGTCAGGGACAGGGAATTCAGAAATCTCAGAGAGGGGAGCAAGGCGTGACTGGTTGGCGTGTTCCACCTGCCCTTGTTCATCTGATCCTAACTTGTTTTTAAGTAACTTTTATGCTTTAAACTGCTGACACATTATATTCTTGTGTATGTGGTTTTTAAAAGAATAACCAAAAAATCTTCAAATAAATAGACACATATAAATGAATAATCTTTCCCATAATATTAAAAATTCATTCCAAACATTAATGCTACATAATATTCCATCAAATGTATTTAACTAGTCCTCTATTTATTTGCATTTATGTGAATATCTTTGTGCATAATCTGCTTATTTCCAAAAAGATGGATTCCTAAAAGTAGGCCTGTGTGTCAATAGATTCGAACAACTTTGAGATTCTTTATACATGTTGTTCAATTTCCCTCATAAATACATACCAATGTACAAGACCCTGGTTCTCTAGTCTTCCTAACACTAAGCATTGTGAACCACTACTGTATTTACCATCCTAACCTCATGCACAAATAAGATTAGGCAAGAAAGTAAATTTGCACAAAAAAGAACAACCAAGATGAATAAGCAGAACAACTAGCCGCAGAGAAAACAGATGTAAATCAGAAGACAGAAGGGAGTTTTAAAATTTCTTGTTGATATCCTCAGAGAAATGTAAGAAGATATTGAAACCATAAAACAAAACCGTAGGCTGCTATCAAAAAGGAGCAATGCTAGAAAAATATATTCCTTGGTAATTAAAAAATATTATTGCCAAAATGAAAAATTTAATAGAAGTACTGAGAAAGATGTGTAAACCTCTCATAAGGTGTAAACCTCTCATAAGGTAGAGCAAGAGAAAAAAATGGCAGAAAATCAAGTGGTTAATATCTGGTCTGGCCTTTCTGAACACTGAAAATAACAATATAGTTTTCAGACACTGAGCTGGGAGAGAAGGGATGGGAAGGTGAAGTATAAGGATCAAAAATGTCCATCTGTTAAATCAATGGGTCGAGAAAGTTGGCAAAGCAAAGAAGACAGGATAACATATATTACTTAGAGAAGGAAAGGTGTGAACCAAAAGTATCTGTAGACAGGTCTCAATCAATTTAGAAAGTTTATTTTGCCAAGGTAAAGGACAGACCCGTGACACAGCCTTAGGAGGTCCTGACAACACGTGCCCAAGGTGGTCAGGGTACAGCTTGGTTTTATACATTTTAGTGCAATGGTGCGATCTTGGCTCACTGCAACCTCCGCCTCTCGAGTTCAAGCAATTCTCTGCCTCAGCCTCCTGAGCAGCTGGGATTACAGGCGCCCACCACCATGCCCAGATAATTTTTTTTTTTCTATTTTCAGTAGAGATGGGGTTTCACCATGTTGGACAGGCTGGTCTTGAACTCCTGACCTCATGATCCACCCACCTCGGCCTCCCAAACTGATGGGATTACAGGCATGAGCCACTGCACCTGGCCCAACAATTCTTGAAGAGAGCCAGAGGCCAAATTCAACAGATGAAATACTTAAAAATTATTTTCTAGCTTTCTCCCAACACATTATTTGACATGAACATCTGATGATGACTTGACCCCGTCTATCAAAAAAGTCATTCATTTCTTCTAAGATATTAAGGCCCATAAAATTATTCAACCCCCACAATATTCAGATATGCATATTTATTCTATGAATTACTCCTCTGCAGGAAGAAAAATCTTTGCCTGAAACAAACATCTGTTGCCTGCCCATACAAAGCTATTCTCCCATTTGTTCAATTTAGTGAGATCGTACATATAGGAACACTTTTTTTATGCCTTTATTATGGTTATCCATATTACAAGCAATGCCCCAGAGTCTCACTGTCCAAAGTATTGAGGAAGAAACTACATTGTGGCTGCCATTGTATTCTAATTACACATATATTTGTATATTTTGGAAGAGTATTCTCTTGCCTGTTGTACAGAGGTCTCTTTTTTGATTTAACCATCTTATTAAGTGAAATGGATAATTTTAAAAAGCATCACTGTCTGCTAAAAAGGGAGTATCCTGGTAGAATGGGAAAGTATGTTGCCTTGAAGAGACAGTATTGCTTCTGAAGGCACCTTGCTTTATGCCCCAGGCAGCTTGCCAAGTTTTGCTCTCACACAGCATTTCCTCCCTCTCCCACACCTGAGGCACAAAGAGAATGAGAGAAAGAGGTGGGGCACGGTGGCTCACACCTGGAATCCCAGCAGTTGGGGATGCCAAGGCAGGCGGATCACCTGAGATTAGCAGTTTGAGACCAGCCTGGGCTACATGGCAAAACAGCATCTCTACTAAAAATACAAAAATTAGCCGGGTGTAGTGGTGGGCACCTATAATCCCAGCTACTTGGAAGACTGAGGCAGGAGAATCGCTTGAACCTGGGAGGCGAGGTTGCAGTGAGCCGAGATTGTGCCACTGCACGTCATGCACTCCAGCCTGGGCAACAGAGCAAGACTCCACCATCTCAAAAGAAAAAAAAAAAGAAAATGAAAGAGAGAGAAAAACCTAAGTAATCAGCTCCTCTGCTATTTCAAACAGGTATTCGAAGGTAATCAGAATTGTTCTAGAAACTATTGATAGCGAAAGGTTAAGTGACCTCTTTCATCTCAGAACCTCCAGTGACTACCTCCTCTGTTGCAGGGGCTAAGAAACACAAATGCTTTTCAATACAGCATCCCTTCTAAGTTTACTCTTACGCTTAATCAAAACTAATGAACTAAATTTACGTGATTGTTTTAAAGAAAAAGTGCACATGTAAGCAATCCAGAGGGTCACAAATGCCAGTGAACATGAATCTTTGCTAAGGCATTGGGAAATTCCTTTCTTCTTTGTTTCAAAGACTAAGAGAAGGCTTAGTTCAGAAGTGACACTTGAAATGGCAAAAAGCTTTTGTTGTCATCCCCCTCCTTGTCATCTCATTGACTACAGGGCCATTGTTCCTACCTGGCAGCCAGTGAGAGCCAAGTTTGTTATATAATCTGGAAGGCTTTTGGGTATTTTAGATTAGGTATAGATAGAGGCTAGTTTTTAAAGTGATTTATTGAGTTTGAGCTTCTCAGCTTCTTTAATATGTCTCTGGAACACAATAGTGCCTGCAGCTAGGTACTAGTAGGTATCAGTTAAATTTTACTTCCAGAAAATTTTTAATTAAATGAGAAATATCTGAGAAGAGTGAAATTTGGAATACAGATGTTTCTACCAAAATTGGCACCTACAGCATTTCAGTTGGCAAATTCCTCTCGGGTTTTTTTGTTTTGGGCTTTTTTTGTTTGTTTGTTTGAGACAGGGTTTCACTCTGTTGTCCAGGCTGGGGTGCAGTGGCCCAATCTCAGCTCGCTGCAACCTCTGCTTCCCAGGTTCAAGCAATTCTCCTGCCTCAGCCTCCCAAGTAGCTGGGATTACAGGCACTCACCACCACGCCCAGCTAATTTTTTGTATTTTTGGTAGAGACAGGATTTTACCATGTAGCCTGGGCTGGTCTCCAACTCCTGACCTCAATTGATCCGCCCACCTGGGCCTCCCAAAGTGCTGGGATTACAGGCATGAGCCACTGTGCCCAGCCAATTCCTTTTCTGTATTCACCCCCACCCCCAGCCCTTAACCCTTTCTCCAAGATCAATAAATTACAGACTCTTTTCACCACTGTACTCTAGGAATAACTTCACTTACCACAAATGCAGTGCTCTGTGAGTGTTCACCATGATTGAACAAAATATCAGCAAACTACCTTTTGTCAGCAGACTGAAAAAAACAACAAAAAAAACAAAACTCCTAAACCCACTGCCTGTGTAGCTTTGAGTCATCGTGAATAATTTTAAGAAAATTGGCCAAAATGTCTCATAAGTATGTTATCAAGATGGCAGCAGCAGTACTTTGGTGTCCATTTCTGGGAAATTTAACTTGGGTTATAAAGTTGCATAAGAACGATGTGGGCATAACCTCATCAATCTCATTTTTGAAAACAACAGGAAAGCAGCACTTCCATCTTTTTAAGGAGTTCTAAGAAGCTATGCTATTAAAGAATGGAGAATTTTATATACCAATTCTGGAGAATTTATCTTGTATCTGTGAGAAATATTATGCTTTAATTTTTAGGACAACAGCATTCTCCTCTGATAATTTTTAATTCTCTCACTACTGTCACTAAAAATAATTTGCATAGAGAGCTTAGGTTCATACTCTATCACTTACTAATGCCCATGCAGGGCAGGAAAAACAATTGCATATTTAATCCTTTTCTTTTCTAGCCAAAGAAGGAAGGAATGTTTAAGAGAATGGGCTGGAGGCTGGGCGCGGTGGCTCATACCTGTAATCCCAGCACTTTGGGAGGCCAAGGTAGGGTGGATCACGAGGACAGGAATTCAAGATCAGCCTGGCCAAGATGGTGAAACCCCGTTTCTACTAAAAATACCAAAAAAAAAAAAAAAAAAAAAAAGCCGGGCGTGGTGGCAGGTGCCTGTAATCCCAGCTACTCAGGAGGCTGAGGCAGAGAATTGCTTAAATCTGGGAGGTGGAGGTTGCAGTGAGCTGAGATCGCACCACTGCACTCTAGCCTGGGCAACAGAATGAAACTCCGTCTCAAAAAAAAAAAAAAAAAAGGAATGGGCTGGAGTTGGACTGACCTTGTTCAGCCCATGGTTCTGCAGCTTACAAACTCTGTGATCTTGAGCATGAGACCTAACCTCTTTTTGCCTCAGTTTCCTCATCTTCAAAATGAGGACTGTACTAATACCTATGGTATAGACCAATTGGGAGCTAAACAATATAATACCTGAAAAATGCTTAGCTAGATTCCTGTTCCTATTGTTATCATTTAACCATTTTAAATTTTTTTCTCTTATCTGTGAAAAGAGGATAATTATTTTGACTAACTTACCATGTTGATGTGAACACAAGAGGAAATAAAACACTTACCACACAGCTTGGTACCTAATATGCCCTCGATAAATAGTAGTTATAATTTATTACTCTGACTTTTCAATAAAACAGCAGATGTCATTCCAAATATGGCTCCTTCCCAATGAACTTCAGAAACACTGCCCTCTAGCAACACATCTTAAACCTCCTCCGAGGTTCCCTCTATTTTAGAAGCTGGTTGTAGCACCGTTGTTTCTGGCTTGCTGATGAAATAGGCTCGCTCTGTCCTTTGAAGGTGCACTTTGAAGAGATTGGTCACGGCTGGCCTCTGCTGCCTGCCCCAGGCTCAGGCAGCTGGATACAAAAGGAAAGAAAACACGTTGGAAACATCAGCTCTGTGTGTTCTTGGGTCCTAACAAGCCATTTGCTTCTCTCCTAACTGTTCATGTTGACTCAACCATGAAC
Organism: Homo sapiens; assembly: GCF_000001405.40. Lineage (NCBI taxonomy): Eukaryota > Metazoa > Chordata > Mammalia > Primates > Hominidae > Homo > Homo sapiens. The sequence continues at coordinate 33,761,721 of NC_000013.11, read as the reverse complement.
ACCGTGTTTCCTTAGCAAAATCAACCTGAATGTTAATGAAAAATCAACACAAAAAAGCACAGCACAAAGAATTAGCTAGGGCATTACTTCACAAAGTCACAGATGGGCAGATCATCTTGGAGTGGAGGATAGTTAAAACAGCTGGCCGGGTGCGGTGGCTCACGCCTGTAATCTCAGCACTTTGTGAGGCCGAGGCGGGCGGATCACGAGGTCAAGAGATCGAGACCATCCTGGCTAACACGGTGAAACCCTGTCTGCACTAAAAATACAAAAAATTAGCCAGGCGTGGTGGCAGTCGCCTGTCGTCCCAGCTACTGGGGAGGCTGAGGCGGGAGAATGACGTGAACCCGGAAGGCGGAGCTTGCAGTGAGCCGAGATCGCGCCACTGCACTCCAACCTGGGCCACAGAGCCAGACTCTGTCTCAAAAGAAAAAATAAATAAAATTTAAAAAACAGCTAATAAGGAGCTCTGGCAGTTAAACCCCAGGTCCCCTGTAACTGGAGGCCAGAGGAGAAGGAGTGTCTTAGCTAAACCGCAGTGAACTGGGGTGCTGCCGAGACCACCGAACCCCAGTGGCATTCCTGTGTTCATGAACTAGAACAGAAATTGCTCCAAAACATGCTGGGCCGGCTGGCCCTCATCTAAAGAGCAAACGAAGAAAGGTGATAAATAGTGTCCTTTGTACCATTCACCTGAGTGTCTTCCATAATATTTTTATAGTCTTGCTGCTTTTTGCAGGCAAGCAGATTTGGGGAAATAATTTCTCCAGCTTTAGATATTTAGGACATTTCCCAGTTTAGTGATGACCTTCAGAATCTTTTGTTTCAATTACCTAGATAATACAAGTAAAATGTCCAACAGTAGAGATATAGAAGGAAGTCAGGCCTCAACTGCCTAGATTTCTATTTCTACTTTGTGCTTGACCTTTCAGTACGAGACCCCGGTCTTCAAATCTTGGCCTCGTCCTCATTTCTTCAACAAGCCTCGGTTGACCTCCTTAATGAGGTCAGATTTTCTAGCAATGTTTTCATTGAACCAAGCATCCACTTTCTTAGCACTTACTTACATTACATTATATTTATATGGCTGATTACTTGATTAATGTCTCTTTGGTGCACTTGACTGTAAGCTCCATGAGAGCAGGGGTCCTGTCTGCTTTTGCCTAACATTGCATGCCCACACTTAGCATAAGCCTGGCCCAGTGCAGATGCTGAATAAATGAAGAAGGGGAAAATCACTTATTGCTGATATTTAATGACCCCCAAAGCTAAATCTGTTGCTGAACAGAAATGGATGTGGCCTGTGCTAGAGGACCTTAGGACCCATTCACTGTCCATCTGCATGCTGGTTAAAAATGACTTTCTCACACAGATCAGAGGTCCTCTTAGGGGGGAAAATGAGAACTATAGTACAAGAAGAGGGAAAGTAATACCTCACTCCTCTTTCTCTCTAAAACCAGATTCCACTTAGGGCTTATGTCAGAAGGTAACAACTTAATCTCCAAAAGTAAACTTTGGATTAGGTTTAAATGATCAAAATTCAATTTTATATCTGTGGCTTGAAATCAGGTGAGATACAAGTTTTAGAAAAAGGATAAGATGATTTTGCTACTTCCTACTATATTTCTATTTCATTGCATGATCATGGTCTTTAAAAAATCATCTTACGCATGAATTTGAATTGAAACAAAACTTCTTATCTGGTTTGGGGAAAAAAGCAAGATGTGAGCACTTCTATGTAATTATGTAAAACAACCTCAGAAAATGTAAAGTCAAATTAGGGTTTTCAAATTAAATAGAAAGATAAGCTTTGTGAGTAGAGGGAAACATTCACTGAGGAGTCTATTTTCCCCCTTAAAGTTAATTAAATATTGTTTCATTTTTTATTTTTTTGAGACAGAGTCTTGCTCTGTCACCCAGGCTGGAGTGCAACGGCATGATCTCGGCTCACTGCAACCTCCGCCTCCCAGGTTCAAGCGATTCTCCTGCCTCAGCTTCCAGAGTAGCTGGGATTACAGGCGCCCACCACCACACCTGGCTAATTTTTGTATTTTTAGTAGAGACGGGGTTTCACCATTTTGGCCAGGCTTTTCTCAAACTCCTGCCCTTAGGTAATCCACCCACCTCGGCTTCCCAAAGTGCTGGGATTACAGGCGTGAGCCACCGCGCCTGGCCAATTAAATACTGTTTTACAGATTTAATACTGAGATAATGGTCCATACAGAACAAACTGCTTTCAGGTCAGTACCCAACATACATGGAAGTCAGGTTTCACTGCATTGATAGAGGGAAATGGGAAAATGAGGCACAAAAAACATAAAAAGCAATGGAAAGTTTCAAAAAATAATCCTCGTGTCAAGAAAATATCCATTTGTTTCCAGATTATGCATTACAGGATTTCAGTCCTAGCCTTGTCCTTTCAATTTAAAACCATAACATTGAGCCAAGGCTATTCTTCTCTGTGTAGCCAGAAATTCATCAAGTATTTTTAAAATGATAACAGAGAGTGGAGAAATAAAAAAAATGGCCCTTTTTCTGAAGGCAATTATATTATATTTCCATGAGTAACATGTTACATTTGTTATTGTAAAAAGGAAACTGACTTTTACTCTACAAAAAAAAATTATTTTCAGAATACTTTTGTATAAGAGAATTAATCTGATCTTCTCTCATTGGCGGGTGAAGAGGGACATGGAAACAAACAAACAAATATATATATATATTTATATATATATACATGTATATATATATATATATATATATATATACTCTACAAAAAAATTATTTTCAGCATACTTTTGTATAAGAGAATTAATCTGATCTTCTCTCATTGGCCAGTGAAGAGGGACATGGAAACAAACAAACAAATACATATATATACATTTGTGTGTATATATATATATATATTTGTGTATATATATGTATGTATATATATGTATATATACACAAATATATATATACACACACACATATATATTTCTTTTAACATTCAACATTCTGATACATGGCATATTACAGTATATTTTGGAGGGCTACAGTGGATTATGGAATTTGAAAAACTCTACTTCCTTCTGCCTAACGAAATACTTGTATGGAGTCAGGTAAAATTACGGGGGCAATTAAAAATCTGATGGCAATAGTTTTATAGGTTTTGTTTGATTTAAGGAGTACAGTGACAGTCTGGTTATCATAATCTAGTGGTTGGAAATTAGCTTTAAACACTCTGGCAGCCATATCTCCTGAAAAGTGTTCTAAATGGGCTTGAAAAGCCATGAGCTGGGTAGACTTAGGAGTTTTAGAAAAGAAATCTCTCTCAGTAATGAAGGCAGGACCTTATACTACACTGAGCCCCATAATATGCTGGTTCCTGAAAGATGAGATTCATGTAATCACTCATGGTCCTTATTCTTCAGTGTGTTCCTCTGTGAACATACACAGAATGAGAGTTCACTATGGTTCTAGCATACTATCAGTCTCACATCTTAATATGAGTTCTAAGATCATTGTGCCATCTCAACAGTATGCATTTTATTTCTATTTTTTACTAGATTTAAAAAATCTTTATACTGTGATGGGTTTTTGGATACAGTTAGGACTTCTAGGACCCTTATAAACACTGTTTGCTAAGCTGTATAGGTGTCCAATCTGCCCTTTGAGACTAATGGCCCTAATTACATGACTGATGTACTTTGCAGATTAAGTGAAATCTCCTCAGTATAATGACCTTAGCTCATTCATACCTGGCATGTTCTGAGTAATGTAGTTACTTTCATTTATATGTGAGTGTATATTTTACATTATCATTATCACCACATCTTAGCCCATTAATCCGTAGTGTGGTCTTAGGGAAATGAAAGGAAATATGGGAAGGTTCAGTGCTGATAAAGGAACTGAAATTAGGGTTCCTACAAATGCAATGGTAGACTGATTCCTGTTTCAGAGTCAGATCGACAAAAATAACTGAGGGAAGAAGATAGAATTGGCATCAAAGAAGTAAAATTACAACTATTTTCTTACCCTACACTGGCAACAACAGTTAAATTTGAGTTCTTTCCAATTCCCTAAAGGACCAGGCTTTCTCTTGGTTACAATATGCATGGATGTATTCCTAAAAAACTATATAATCTAAATTTTTACAAGACTAAATGTATCACAAATACACAAAGGAAGTAGTTCTCTTTTCCTCCTAAAAAAATAGGTAATGTGACACTCCTATGTCTCTTGTGTCTTGCAATTAGTTCTATAGTATGTCACAAGGAATTTGTTACTACTAACAGCTGAAGTATCAAGGTTTGTGAATTATTTACTTTAAAAAAATGTTGAGTGTGTGCAAGATTTTCCCTACAATAAAATCACTTTTATTAATTTCCGTTTGACCATGCTTCCTTGAGTGGGACAGAAAAGGATGACATTTCAGCCATTATACTGGGAATTGTCTTAATCCATGGCCTAAGTTTGCCAAAGCTGAAGTGGTTGATTTGTCAGTGTGCTATTTATAATCATGGTGTGATAATTAAGTGATTGTGATGTTTCACTAGCCCCACAAAATTGTTTTCAGTTTTGTCAAGATCTAGGTCTGCTCATGGGGGTGTTGGGTGTGTGCATGCCAGCACTCGTGTGCATCAAGGTGGAAAAAGAGACTGAAATAAATATTATTAAATAATTATGCACTCTTCAACGTTTTTAAACTCGTAGAATTCTGATACCCAAGAGATGGTTAATTGACCATAAAAATAAGTCTGTGCTTATGCCTATCACACCATTTTATCATTCTACAATTGTAATTGCTTGTTGACCTATCTGTATCTCTTGAGTTCCTTGAGGACGACAACAGTGTCTTACACACAGAGCACACCCAATAAATATTTGTTCAGTCAACTTCAATAAACATTATTTTAAAAAATCTATAAAATGTGAATTTATACAAAAGCCAAATAGGGAGTCAATTAACTTTACAAATTCCTTGACAGAATGTGTGCTTAAAATTATCTCAGAAAAAGTCGATTTGAGGAGTCCACCCATTAAATGGGCTTTTTTTTAATTAAAATTTTTTTTATTTTCTTTTTTTCTTTCTTTTTCTATTTTTTTTTTTTTTTTTTTTTTTTGGAGATGGGGGGTCTCACTATGTTGACCAGGCTGATCTCCAACTCCTGACTTCAAGCGATCCTCCCATCTTGGCCTCCCAAACGGCTGGGATTACAAGTGTGAGCCACTGCGCCCAGCCGATTCTTTTTTTTTTTTAAGCCAAGCGTATTTGTACTTACTCTTAAGGAATTTCAAACTCTTTACTAACATTAATTCAGTTTAGTTCAACCAAGGTTTTTAGTTTCTACTCTGTGCAAGATTTTATGATGTGTGCTAAGAAAACATGATGAACTAGACATACTTCTTATTCTCAAATATTAGGTGTGCAAGTAAGTAATTGTAATATAGCATGAGAAGGGTAGTTATATATATATATGCACATATATTATATATACATACATATTTTATATATATATACATACACATATGTAAAATATCCAGTTATCATAAAGGAGGGAAGATCAAGCCTACTAAGACAAGTTCTGGAAGTTTTCCTGACAGAAATGACATCTTAGCTGAAGCTTCAGTGATGAATAGTTGGTGATTAATGAGCAAATCATGGGGAAGGAGAAGATAATTATCCTAGGAAGATAGCACAGCATCACAAGAACAAGCACAGAGACATGGAACATCATGGATGGAAATAGATGTGCCAGGGGAATGTGTTGAAACATGTGGTTAGGGAGGCAGGCAGGTTGCAGATTACGTAGGGCCCACCCAGCATGACATTCTGAGGAGCTAGCACTCAATTCCACAGCCAAGAGTTCTAAGCCTAAAGTCAACACAATTATATTTGTGTTTTTAGAAGCCCACCAATGTGGCAGGAGGATGATCAGAGAATGAGAATTGTCCTGACACTTATTTTGCAAATGATAAGGCAGGAACTTTTAAATAATGCCAGACAGTGCCACAAGAAATTCAGAGAAAGAGGTAGACGTAAGAAAGAGTCATGAAGCAAATCCACAGAACTTGGAGGTGAGTAGTGATGGGGTGGTGATGAGTATTACACCAGGCTATTAGCATCTCATTAACACTTCTTAGATCCCCTAGACAAGTTCTTCTGCACTTCAGCATCTCAAAATCACCTGAGGAGCTGTTTAAAACCCTCAAGCCCAGATGCATGAAGTCAAAAATCTCTGGAAGTGGGAGGCCATGTCATTATGATTCCAATGTGCAGTGAAGGCTGAGAAGTACTGGTGTAGATGAAGACTCTTCCTCTAAGTTATTTGGGAAGAAAACGAGAGCTTAAATGACCCATCCAAAGTCACAGATAATGGGAAATAAAATCCAGGCCTCCCATTTCCCAGCCCAGTGGTCTGACCACCAGATTGAATTACACCTAAGAACATCAGCAGATCGTTAACCAGCACTGACAAACCAGGTCCACGGCATTTATTCATTCACACTCCTGTGTGCCCAATGCTAGCAGAAACTGACCATACTAAGAAACAGCAGATATTTTACTTCTTGAGATGATGATGTTGGTGATGATGACAAATTGCTTAGAAAAACATAATACTCCTAAACGTAAAGCCAAAGAATATACAATGCAAGCTATAATTAATGCTAGAAGCACTTGCTGAAAGAGCTACAAGGAGTTCAGAAAAAACGAGAGTTAACTCTGGAAAAGATCATTCAAGGAGGAGACAAGACTCAGCAGAATGTAAACTTGACATTATGAGTATTTCAAAAGGCAATGAATGACATTTCATAATCTTTCACTAGCAATCCAATTAATTCTGACAGGTATGCACATAAGTTACTTAGTATTGCTTTTGCTAGGGAAGATTTAGTAGATTCAGGGGGCGCTTACTGCCCTTGCACAACTTTTAGTCATAAATCAAAATGTAGATACAGTCATTTTATTAACAGAAGGATTGGGTCAATTGGAGAAAAAATCCAATTAACAGTGAAGGAAGATGAATTATTATTAACAAGTTCATGCAGTTGTGAAGAATACCTTCAAAGTGTTTCTTCACACAGAGTAGATAATCTGTTTAACTGGCATAGTGATAATATTCACTGTGCCTACATGTAAATATCATGAAAGTACAAATTTAATACTCAAGAGTTTATCTGGAGAATCTAAAAAGACCAATTTCCTATAATATTACAATAATTCATCATCCCATAACCATCAGTCCTTCATCCCTCTCTCCTTTGTATGTACATTGAACATAGTTTCATCTTTCCTGTGATATCCTCATCCTTTGAGTTTTAGATGTCAAGGTACAATCTACTGCCTTGTCCACTCCCACAAATACCCACTCCTGTTGGGAGAATCCATGGTGAGTGGTGAAGAGCATGGACACTGGCCTCAGACTACCTGGGTTCAAATCCTGGCTCTATCATTTACTAGCTAGATGATTTTGAGTAATTTATTCAAAATTATTCAACCTCTGTGTGTTTCAGTTTCTTCATCCTTAAAATGAGAATAATAGTATCTACCTCAAAAGGTTGTGGTGAAGATACTTCAATCAGTTAAGACTTGCAAAGTGCTTATAACAATGCCTGAATACAATATGTACTCAATAAATATTGGTTATTATTAGAGTGTCCTGTGCTAGCAAGTGTTCAGTCAATATTGCATGGAACGGTTGTTAAGAGACTGATGACATAGAAATAACGCGAAAGATAAAAGCATAACAACATACACTACAACCAACAAGTCTTGGTCTTGACCAGGCACAGTGGCTCATGCCTGTAATCCCAGCACTTTGGGAGGCCAAGGAGGGTGGATCACCTGAGGTCAGGAGTTCAAGACTAGCTTGGCCAACATGACGCAAACACTAAAAGTACAAAAATTAGCCAGGCGTGGTGGCGTGCACCTGTAATCCCAGCTACTCAGGAGGCTGAGGCAGGAGAATTGCTTGAACCGGGGAGGCTGAGGTTGCAGTGAGCTGAGATCGTGCCACTGCACTCCAGCCTGGGTGACAGAGTGAGACTCTATCTCAAAAAACAAAAAGTCTTAGTCTTTTTCCTGATGAATTTCATACTTGGAGTAAAATTCTAGAGAACTTCTGTAACTTCTCTTTGACTTTTATAGCTATAAAAGAATAATGTTAGTACTTTTTTACCCCTTCATACTGACATTAGGATTAATTCTATAATATTTAGTTTGGTGCAAAAGTAATTGTGGTGCAAAAGTAATTTCCTTTTAACGGCAAAAACGGCAATTACTTTTGCACCAACCTAATATTATAGAATTAATATTTTTGAAACATTTGAAGATTGTGTTTTACAGGTGCAAAATATTATTTTTCTCAATATCTCAATTTCTGTACAAAGCTTTCCAGAAAGAACAGGGAACTATTTCTGATGGAATCCTCAAAGAGCTGAATACCACATTCTTTGTTCGACTTGGCAGATTTGGAGCTTCGTGGGTGCTAATTGTCTAATATTAATGCACATAGAGTGAAGACAGATGCAAGCCCTATCAAGAGACTGTGGTGGAAGAACAAAGGATTGTGACAGTGCCTTTTAAGGAAAGTGGCATTGTCCTGTGCTATCTTTTAAAATGCCCAAATAAACCGGCATATGTCTCATGAGATTCTTACCTATGTCAAAGCATTAAATTGATGCCTCGTTGAATTCAAAGTGATCCCATCTCTAAGCTCAATGTCTTTAAGAGTGATAAACCCAAAAGCTGTGGAGGATATTCAGTGCACAACCCCAGGGAATAAAAATGTATGTCAAACACTGATTTATTAAGTAATTTCTGTGAAAGCTGCACCTCGGTGATACATCGCGGGGGCTGAGTTATTGGCGGAGGATGTCCTAGGCCACGTGGAAGCATCCCAAGCTTCTTGAATTTACAACTCACTGAAAGAAAGAGGGGAAAGAGCTGCTGAGAGAAAACCACCATTCCATTTAGGTGGTTTGTTAAATTGTGATTTGTGGCAAGCACTCATTTCAAAGCCACTGTGTTTTGTTTGATGAGTTCTTGCCTTTGCCTGTGACATGGAACCACATGTTCTCTGAGGAGGCTAACGGAGGGCTGCAGGAGCTCTGTGCCTGCCTCCAGGATGCAGAATGGCCAAGTGCATTTTCCACACAGTGGCTTCTTCTCCAACAGATCACTGTCACTGATCTAGACCCCAAATCTGTGAAAACGGATATTAAATTATTCCAAATGACAGTTTCTGTATGATTTCACTTCAAAGGCTTTTAAAGCTAAAAGGAGCCTTAGAGATCATGTAGAGACAAACTTCTCATTTTATAGATTAAAAAATGAAGACTCAGAGAAATGATGAGCCTTGGCCAAGAACACACAGCCAGGCCCTGGTTAAGTCAGGACTGGAGTCCAGTGCCTCAGACTTAGACCAACACCCTTCCCCTGCTTGAGCTAATGTCTGCATCACTGAGGTTGGATTATGCTAATGCATACTGCCCTTTGCTTGAGTGCCTGATATATTACCTAAACACAGCTTAGGACATTAGGAAAACTCAAACACACAAACAAACAAACAAACAAAAAACAACAAAGGAGTGATGTGCTAGGCATTGTTGCTTATAGTAAAGTTATGGGCAAAAAGCCTAAAATGCAGGCTGCTTTTAAATAGGCACAGAATAAGCCAGGTGCGGTGGCTCACACCTGTAATCCCAGCACTTTGAGATGCTGAGGTGGGCAGATAACTTGAGGTCAGGAGGTTGAGACCAGCCTGGCCAACATGACAAAACCCCAACTCTACTAAAAATACAAAAAAATTAGCTACTCGAGAGGCCGAGGCAGGAGAATCCCTTGAACTCAGGAGGCGGAAGTTGCAGTGAGCCAAGATTGTGCCACTGCACTCCAACCTGGGCAACAGAGCGAGACTCTATCTCTGGCGGAGGGGGACGGGGGGAGAAGGCAGAGAATAATATGACTAAACGGCTTGATTAAAAAGTGTTAGTTTTCTTGGGAGACCCAGGCAGGTGGATCACCTGAGGTCAGGAGTTCGAGACCAGTCCGGCCAACATGATGAAACCCCATCTCTACTAAAAGTACAAAAATTAACCAGGTATGGTGACAGGCACCTGTAATCCCAGCTACTCGGGAGGCTGAGGCAGGAGAATTGCCTGAACCTGGGAGGCGGAGGTTGCGGTGAGCCAAGATCACACCACTGCACTCCAGCCTGGGTGACAAGAGCGAGATTCTGTCTCCAAAAAAAAAAAAAAAAGTGTTAGTTCTCAACGAGGTAACATAGAGCATGCTACAGTGAGCAGTAAACATACTGTTTGCAAAGATTTCCAACTCATTGGCCTTATCTAAAATATTTACAACCTATTTCCAAATCTTGTGTTATTTCACTCACTTTCTTATGATTCAACCAGAAGCACATGCCTAGTCAACCACAAGTATTTCTTTCATGCCTATTATGTACTGTTTAATATAATTCTCAGTGATAAGCAGAATACCAATTCAAAATTTCAATTGGTTTGAAATACCAATGCAAAATTAGCTGCTAAAAAAGCAACTTTATAATATCCACCTAAGATTAGATGTGTGTCCAACACAGGATGCTAATTAACATAGAACATTGACTTTCTGTTTTCTCTTTTTCTTTCCCACTTTCTCTCTATATAAATATTTATGCTCACACACACGCACAAACATATCTGTGTAGGTACATATGTATATATAGATACATCTCTTGACATCAAGTAGTATGTGTTTGTGTATATGCATATATACATATACTAGGGCGTGTGCGTGTGCGTATTGCAATAGTCCCATCAAAGTGGTGAATATATAGGTACACAGACTGAGTATGCTTGGAGTTTAGTACACTGGAGAAATTGATAGATATCTACATATGTATATGTGTGTATCTATCTATCTCTCCACCTATCTATACCACCTCCCTTGACCTTGGCTTTGTTCCTGGAGCATAAAGTAGCCAAGGTACCAAAAAGTAAACTTTTCTTTGATTTTGGAATCTTAACTCATTAAAGCTACTCAAAAGCTTGGAAATCTTTGAATGGAATAATCTCCCAACAAATAGTGAATGAAAATGCATGACCAAATGTCATTGCTGTGTAACAGACCACAAAAATAAACCTTGAGTCTAATCAACTTTTATTTAAGTTCACATCTTTCAGCAGCAAGTTCCAGTTTTCCTAAACCATTTGCCTTCTGATGCTTAGAATTACATGAAGCGAGGAGATTGGCTTCATATTCTGCAGGGTGGTGTATTGTAGAGAATCAGAACAGGGCTGTTGCAGTAATGGGAGAAGGCAGCACCTACTTGAACTTCTTCAGATACTTCAATGTTTGTCTGGACCAATGTTAATATCTGGAAGTCTACTGGTAATAAATTATTTATGTGGATCCTCTTAAAATAAACTAAACAAACAAAAGCTGTTTTTCCTCATTGCATAAGTAATTTTATAGGGAAGAAAAGACTGACTTTCTATTCACTTTCCTAGACTCCATAACTGACTCTTTGAAATAAACTGACAGGCAGATTAACAGGAGAAAAAATATACAAACTTATTAATTTTTAATTTCATGTGCATGGGGATATCACAGGAAAATAAGGTGAACACCCAAAGAAATGGTAAGGTTTGGGAGCTTGTATACCATCTTAATAGGGGAAGAGGTGTGGGGAGAGGTAGGTCACATGGGAGAGACCAAATGATTTTTAAGAAAGAAGAATGGGCTTTTAGAAGCATAAATATGATAATGTGATCACTTGTGACAAAATTTGCCTAGGTGTGGTGTCAATTTCCAGTGTCCTCTTTTTTTTTTTTTTTGAGACAGAGTCTTGCTGTGTCACCCAGGCTGGAGTGCAGTGGTACGATCTCCGCTCACTGCAACCTCCGCCTTCCGGGTTCAAGCAATTCCGCCTGCCTCAGCCTCCCAAGTAGCTGGGATTACAGGCACCCACCACCATGCCTAGCTAATTTTTTTTATTTTTTAGTAGAGACAGAGTTTCGCCATGTTGGCCAGGCTGATCTTGAACTCCTGACCTCGGGTGATCCGCCCTGTCCTCTCTTTTAATAAGCGTCAATCTTCTTCTGTTGATGAAATTCCCAGGGAGGGGATTAATGACAATGGAGTCAATTTTGAAGGATCTGTCTTTAGGCAGATAGGAGAGTTCAGAGAAAGCCTCTCATTGCATTTGCTGCTTTTCAAGTGCCCTCAGCTCAAAATAATAAATATAGTTGTCCCTTGGTATCCCTGGGGATTGGTTGCAGGACCCTTGCGAATACCAAAATTCACCAATGCTCAAGTTCCTTATATAAAATGGTGTAGTGGCCAAGCACAGTGGCTCATGCCTATAATCCTGGCACTTTGGGAGGCTGGGGCAGGAGGATCACTTGAGGCCAGGAGTTTGAGATTAGCCTAGGCAACATAGCAAAACCCCATCTGTACAAAAAAATTTTAAAAAATATCTGGACATGGCTGCACATGCCTGGTGTCCCAGCTACTCAGGAGGTTGAGTTGGGGGAGGGTGACTTGAGCCCAGGAGATCATGGTTGCAGGGAGCCATGATTGTGCCACTTTACTCCAGCCTGGGCAACAGAGAAAGACTTCCATCTCTTTTAAAAAAACTAAATATATATACACATATTTTATATATATATATATACACACACACACACACACACACACACACGTATATGTAGGATATATGCAAATACTATACCATTTTATTACATTTATATATACACATATTATATATACACACACATATATATACGTGTGCGTGTGTGTGTGTGTGTGTGTGTGTGTGTGTGTGTGTATATAAAATATGTGAGTCCCTGGAGAGGGCCCCACCCTGGAGCTGAAAAGCCTGATACCTTGGCCCAAAGTGAGAGCTTACATCCATGTTTCCCCACTTGAATGTTGCCTTTTCCAGAATCACCCATGGCCCACCCCATAAAATCCCCAGACTCAGCCAGCAGAGAGGAGGATAAGTAGTTGGACATTGGAGACTATGGTTGGATGTTGGAGAGAAGCAACTTGATTTCAGAGGGACAGCTTGATGGCATATCTTCAGAGAGGAGTCTGGCCAGACATGGCTGGACTCCAGGGGAAGATTATCTTCCCACTTTGTCCCCTTTTCAGCTCCCCTTCCCACTAAGAGCCACTTTCATTGGCAATAAATTCTCCTGTGTTTGCCATCTTCAGTTCATTCCTGCAACCTCATTCCTTCTGGATGCTGGACAAGATCTCGGGTGCCATGAGTGTAGGTGCAAAGGGCTGTCACACTGACCCTCCACTGAGCTGTTAACACTTAAGCCACCCACAGGTGGCAAGGCTAAAAGGGCACTGTAACACTCCTTCTGAGTCTACAGGAGTCACGGGCACCTCCACCCCCAGATGCCACTACAGGGCTGGTACAGAGTTTGTACTTGCCAGTGCCCAAAAGCACTCACCCTGGCTCCTGTACCTGCTCACCTGCCTGCTCCCCATCCCAAGAGAGGTGGAGTGCAGTAGGTCAAGTGAGTAGAGTTTGCTCCTGCCAGTGCCCATGCACTCCAGTTCCCACCCATGAAAATGTCAGGGAAATATCCTCCTTCATTAGGACCCCAAAATCACTACACTGATGGGAAAAGTCAAGCCAGGAACTGCTTTGGGCCAACCTGCCTCCCTTTCTATTCAAAGTCATTCCTATGCTCACTTAGATAAATGTATATCTGACTGCCTCCTTTGGAAAGGCTAATCAGAAACTCAAAAGAATGCAATCATTTATCTCTCACCTACCTATGACCAGGAAGCCCTCTCCCCACTTTGAGTTGTCCCGCCTTTCCAGATGGAACCAACGTACATTTTATATATATTGAATGATATCTGGTGCCTCCCTAAAATGTGACTGGACCACCTTGGGCACATGTTGTCAGGACCTCCTGAGGCTGTGTCATGGGCTTGCATCCTTAACTTTGCCAAAATAAACTTCCTAAATTGACTGAAACCTGTCTCAGTTATTTTGGGTTAACATGTGTGTGTATGCATGATAAAATGGTGATAAAATGGTATAGTATTTGCATATAATCTATATATATCCTTCCATATACTTTAAATCATCTCTAGATTAGTTATAATACCTAATACAATGTAAATGTTGCAAAAAGAGTTGTTACAGTATATTAGGTTTTTATTTGTATTATTTTTTATTATTGTTTTGTTGTTGCTGTTTTCTCTTTTTTGAATATGTTTTGATTTAAATTAGCTGAATACTTAGATACAAAACCCATGGATAAAGAGGGCTGACTGCATACCAAAACAGTATATTTTGGGGTAGCATATCCTGAACTCCTTGACAGTCATACTTTGGGGTAGTATATTCTGGACTCCAATAATACATATTTATTTCAGACTAACATAAGATACCAATAAACAAAAACAGAGAAATAAAAATAACTCATAATCCCATCACCCACAGATAAATACCATTATGTATATAGTCCCCAGGCCTCATTTCTTTTTTCCTAAGAAGGAAATGTGTACCATATTGTATGTTTTATAACCCGCTTTTCTTATTTCTCTCCATATATAGAAATATTCTGCCTTTACAACATTTTCAATATCTATTCCATAGTCCCTTGGAAAGATGTATGCTTTTATTCTACAAATCCCCTTATGTTGGACATTCCGTTTAGTTTCAATCTTCTAATATGATAAGCAATGCTGCAATGAACTTCTTTGTAGGTAAATATTAGGACAAATTAATGATTTATGCTGTTGCTTAGGATGTTTTAGAATTGCTGGTTTTAAAATATGCTAATTTTAATCCTTTTGGTATTTCCAATCTGCTTTATTTATTTATTTATTTATTTATTTATTTTTTGGAGATGGAGTCTCACTCTGTCACCCAGGTTGGAGTGCAGTGGTGTGATCTTGGCTCACTGCAAGCTCTGCCTCCCAGGTTCACGCCATTCTCCTGTCTCAGCCTCCCGAGTAGCTGGGACTACAGGCGCCTACCACCATGCCCGGCTAATTTTTTGTATTTTTAGTAGAGACGGGGTTTCACCGTGTTAGCCAGGATGGTCTCAATCTCCTGACCTCGTGATCCGCCTGCCTCCACCTCCCAAAGTGCTGGGGTTACAGGCATGAACCACCACGCCCGGCCTCCAACCTGCTTTATTAAAAGGCAATACTAAAGTGAAATCTCAGCCATACAGTCTACGTACCATGACTCCTCTTTAGCCACTTTCTATTTCACAATGAACTCCTACATTTTCCATACAGCTACTTTGAACTCTAAATAGGTTCATCATTTCTCTCAATACTGCCAATGCTGGTTATTATCATTTTGTTTCATCTTTGGCAATGCAATAGTAGGAATTCAACAGAGGGCATTGCAATATTATAAGTCCTCTTACTAAATGGAGCATTTAATGAGTACTTGCCCTTCCGAATGAGCATCCGTTGTGGGACAAGCCTGTACTACATGTTGGATATGAAGGTGGATGTGATGTGGTCACTGCCTCCAGGAAGCTTTAGCTTTAGCTAAAGGCATTAAGCCCCCAAGGATGAAGTAGTGGGGGTTTAAGCAGAAGCTGTTTTAAAGAGGGTGAGTGCAAAACGTGTGGTGAGCCACAGGACCATGTGTATTCAAATGTATGCCATGGGCTGCTGCTGCTGCTGCTGTTTCATATCACTTGGCACTGCTGAGAAGGCTGGCAGTGAGGCTGGTTAAATTTGTAATAAGTTGTTCATTTCTGCATAAAGGAAAAATGGAACAGCAATTTTTCTTTTCTAATGTTCAGTTACCACTGTCCTTTATGTGAAACGATAACAATGGACTCCCTCCCATCAGCATCTTTGAAACACTCTCCTCCTGTGGAGACGACTGGCCTGTGGTTGTGCAGCAGAGCAGACATGCTCATTTCTGTCGTCAGGTCACCATGTTCCCTGCAGGTGTGTGGCTCATCGTAATCCTCTATGCTTGCACTTAATGGGTTTTTTTTTGCAAGATTAAAAATGCAGGTGTAGCACACATCATTAATCCCCAATTTCAGTTAACTGAACTGTGTGTGTATTTATGCAGCTGCTGACTCCTGAGACACCCACTTGGAAAGAAGACAAAAGTTCTGAATGTACCTTTCTGTAATTCAGTAAACATACAGAGTACAAATTAAAAAAAAAAAATTAAGGATTTTTAATTCAACAGCCTTGCCAATGGGGGCACTGGCCACAAACACACTTGTTCATGAAAAGATCTATTTCAAGTATTCTCCTGGAAGCAAGAACCAGTATCTGGAATGTAGGCAGCATTTGTTCTTTAAACAAAATTAAAGTTTTACAGGAATGCAATGCTGTGTACTCATTAAAAAAAAATTACAAGTAGAAAAATCTGGAAAGAATCCATTTTGTGCTGTGTCTTTCCGACTGGAGGTTGTAAGTGGTAGCCCCTCCCCTGCCCTGGAGGACTTCCCTGCTCCACCCAGCTGCTCTAATCCCATATACTTCCTGCCTGGAATCCTCCTGAAGCTGCTTCCATCTTCTACCCCACTTCCTCTTGCTGAGCAGCATAGTAACTACCGTTCACATCACCTCCACTATGTTCATCATTCTGTGAAGTAAATAAAAGTGGAGGAAAGGCCCCACTACAGAAGATGAGGTGCAAAAAATGCCACCTCAGAATGTGGCATATTGACATACTGAGTGAAGCATGCTGAAGGAAATTGAGAAAACCTCAGAAGCAAGATAGTCTCTCTGACCTTCTCCCACCCCTTCTCCCCTACAGTGGGACATAGAAACTGAAATTCCTCTTGTCCCTCTCTCCCCTGAAGTGGGCCTTAAAACCTAGGAAGGTTACCTCTGACCTACTCCCACCCTCCTCCCCTGAAGATTTTCATGTGACAGGTGTCTTGTCCTATAGCTGGAGGGAAGGAATGTCACACAGAGAGGCCAAGAGGAATCTGAACAAGCAGGCCTTACCAAGTACCCCCCGCTTATTACCACTTGATCATATCCTTTTGCCTCCAGTCATACTTCTGCATGACTGTCCATAAAAATCCACACTTTTCCCTGGGTCTTTGAGTTTTCATTACTGAAGGTGCCTATGTCACTTAAAACTTGCATTAAATAAATGTGTTATGCTTTTCTCTTGCTAATCCGTATTTTGTTATGGGCCTCAGCCATGAACTGTGAGAGATAAAGAAAAGATACTAAGTTTTCTCCCCTACATAGATGAGGAAGTTGCAACTCAGCAAGAATCAGTGACTTTCCAAGGTCCCATCTTTTCTGAAGGATGCTCCAAGCACCCTGAGTGCACACGCAGGGAACTGGAAGGCCACAGCTCACTCTGCACCCAAACCTGCAGGAAGAAGTTTCTCTAGGAACCAGTCAGGGGCAAGTTGTAGGACTCTTAGCAATAACCTCTGCTGCAGGGTGGAAGAAGCTTCTGCCTGGAAGGCCAGGGGAATGAGGGAGGCTGAATGAGTTTGCCCTCTCCACCAACTCGCCCCACTCTGTCACCACAGCTCCAGTTGTCTCTTTCAGTTCTCATGAAGAGCTCCCAGTTACATGTTAGCTTATTCTCATTGTTTCTAAAGTCTGAGGTGACAGACAGGAAGTCTGTTGATTGTGAAAGATCAGATCCATAATCATCAAAACATACTTGCCCTGGCAATGTCAGTGTGCGAGAGCAGTACCATTCGTTCACATATCCTCCTTCTCTAAACCACCCTCTGTTTCACAATGAAGCCCCGAATTTTCCATATGGCTGGTCTGGACCCTGCATGAGTTCATCATTTCTTGTTTTACCCACTCAGCAAACATTTATGGAGCCATTACTCTGCTGGAGGCTGTTTACAAAGAGTCAAATAAAGCAACATCTCTTATCTCTCCCTTTCCCCCTTCTCTTCCCACTGAGAGCTCACAACATAACAGGTTCTCCAGCTTTCTTCTTCCTGGTTGAGCTGAGCCATTGCAAGCCCCAGGCATCCCAGGGCCTCACCTGGGACTCTACACACACTGATGAATGGGTGGAGGCCGAGTTCACTGTCAGTGTGGAGACTACTCTATGTGGGGCTGTAACACCTGCAAGGGAAAGGGATGGGGCGTCCTGAGTGAGTTACTGGGCTGAGCCACCTGGGAAGGCTAGAGGCTGGAGAGGAGCCATTTCAGCCTGGGTGGCTTGTGGCATTTGTGGGTAAAACTTGGGTGACCAGCAGTATGCAGAACAAATTGCAGAGAAGAGTCAGCCCTCAGATTTCTGATTTGTTAGCCTGCAAAAAGGTGGATAGCCACTCTCACCCCTCATATTTGTACCTGTAAAATCATTCAACCAGCTGGCTGGCTTCCACACTTGCTCCCTCTCAGTCTCTTTGCTACAGGGCAGCCAACATAGCCTAGAAATGCACCAAGCCCTTCTCAATACTTCCATGGGCTTCTCACCACAGTTAGAATAAAATCCAGCTTTAAACTGGACTACAAGGGCCTGAGTTACTTGGCCCTCAGCCTCCATCCTAACTCCTAACACTCCTCTGTCTCCCTCTCAGCCACTTTAGGTCCTTGCTGCCTTCAAGCACTCCCATCTCATTTTCTTTGTCCAGTTCCTCTTCCCTCTAGATGTTCTTGGTTGGATTTAGAACTCAATTCAGATCTCACCTCTTCAGAGGCTCTTTCTGACCACCACTGTTTAAGATAACACTCCCTGCCTCCCTTTTCCTCTTCCCCTGCTTTTCAAAAATATATTTCATAGAATTTATCTCTACCTGATTCTATTCTATACCCATTTATTGTTTGTCTATCATACCCACTAGAATGTAAGCTTCATGAGGGCAGGGGTCTAATCCTAATCACTGTTCTCTCTTCAATGCCCAGGATAGTGCTCTCACAAAGCAGGGGATTGATAAACATACGTTGAATAACTGTGTGAATTAACTAACTTGGAAATGCTGTCAGGCTATATTAAAAAGCGTAAGTCCACTAACAGATTTGGATTTACACATGTGATCAATTACAGAACAATCCAATGAGCACACGTGCTGAGCTAATCCAGCCACTGATTTTACTTTATCTCCAACTAACCAATTTAATGAGATTGTCTTAGTCTGCATGTGTTTCTATAAAGGAATACCTGAGGCTGGGTAATTTGCAAAGAAAAGGGATTTATTTGCCTCATGGTTCTGCAGGCTGTACAAGAAGCATGGCGCCAGCATCTGCATCTGGTGGGGGCCTCAGACTGCCTCCACTTATGGTGGGAAGTGAGTGCAGAGATCACCTGGTGAGAGAGGAAGCACAGGGACAGGAAGAAGGTAGTCTCTTTTTAATAACAAGCTCTCATGGGAACTAATAGAGCCGAAACTTACTCATTACCTTGAAGATGGCACCAAGCCATTCATGAGGGATCTGACCCTGTGACGCAAAAACTTCCCATTAGGCCTCACCTCCAACATTGAGGATTATATTTCAATCTGAGGTTTGAAGGGTCAAATATCCAAACTATAGCATTAACTAAAACAATACTAGGAAATTAATTGATTAAGTTTTTGATAAGTACTAAAAAAGATGGCTTACCATGTGCCATGAAATTAATTAATGGCAACTCAATGTGTTGTGGGATGCCAGAATGGCTTCCCTGAGGAAGTGACATCTAAGCCAAAGTCAAAAGGGTGAGAAGGAGTTATCCAACTTAGGAAGAAGAGATGAGTCTTCCTGGAGGTGAGCAGCACATGCAAGGGCCCTGGGGTGGCTTTCAGTTTAGTTTATTGGAGAAAGTGAGAGAAGAATCTGTGTGGCTAGGTGAAGAGAAGGAGTAAGACAGGAAATGAAGCTGACAAAGCTGGGAGGACCCACACAAGCCTCACACAAGCCCACTAAGAGATGTAAGAAAGGTGACGTGATCAGATTTGCTTTTTTAAACATCTGTTTTTATGTAGCATGGAGGAGAGACTGGAATACGGCAAAACTGGAAACAGGAAGGCCAATTAGGAGGCTATTGAAGTAATTAAGACAAGATATCATGACAGTTTGGACTACTGAAGTGATGCCATAGATGGAGAAACACAGTAGATTCCAAAAGTGATTCAGAGATAAAATAGGCTGTGTTGGTGACCAGACCTGAGAGAGCAGGGAAGAAGGAGGTATCAGGAATGGTTCCTATCTGTTATGAGTTGAATTATATGCCCTTTCCAAATTCATGTGTTGGGGTTCTAACCCACATCAAAATGTGACCTTATTTGGAAACAAGGTTGTTGCAGATGTAATTAGTGAAACCAAGATGAGATTATCCTGGAGTATGGGGGGCTCCTAACCTGGTATGGCAGGTACTCTTATGAAGGGGAAATCAGAGCACAGACATGCACATAGGGAGAACACCCCCTGACACATGAAGGTGAAAGCAGAGATAGGAGTGATATTTGCAAGCCAAAGAATGCCAGAAGATTGCCAGCAAACCCCTAGAAACTAGGGGAAAGGCCTGGAGTAGATTCTAACAGGCCTCAGAAGGACGCAACCTGGACAACACCTTGATCTTGGACTTGAAGCCTCCAGAGCTAAGAGACAATACATGTCTGTTTTGTGAGTCTATTCAGTTTGGGGTACTTTGTTACAATATCCCTAGTTCAAATGAGTACACTCTCATTTTTCCACACCATGACTCCCCACAGGTTCTATGCTAAAGAACAAGGGACAGGCTGGAGATACCTTTCTTCAACTCCGTTACCCCCAAAAACCTGTCGCTACCAAAGACCTTCAGAAAGATTGAGAAATCAAATGCGCAGAGTACAGAATAACTCATCTATTCATCCATCCATTTGTCTAGAGATATTCACGCAACCACTCTTGTCTTTGGGATCTACACTGTTTCAAGTGCTGGATGAAACTTGAAGTATTATCCACTTATATGAAAAAGAGAGGCTGGGCACGGTGGCTCATGCCTGTAATCCCAGCACTTTGGGAGGCCAAGGCAGATAGATCAAGAGGTCAGGAGTTCAAGACTAGCTTGACCAATATGGTGAAACCCCATCTCTACTAAAAATACAAAAATTAGCTGGGCATGGTGGCGCATGCCTGTAATCCCAGCTACTCAGGAGGCTGAGGCAGGAGACTTGCTTGAACCCGGGAGGCAGAGGTTGCAGTGAGCCAAGATCGTACCACTGCACTCCAGCCTGGGCAACAGAGCGAGACTCTGTCTCAAAAAAAAAAAAAAAAAAAAAAAAAAAAAAAAAAAAAAAAAAAAAAGAGGCCTTTGTTTGAGGGTGGTCAGTAAAATTATAGCCAAACTCTTGAATTCAGATGAACAATAAGAAAATTTGGCTGACCTTCAAAAATGCATTCCAAATAGTAAAGGCCATTATTGTGCAAAGAACTTTCCAGAGAATGTGGTAATAATCCCATAGTTTGAATCAGAAGCTATTTTGCTGGACAGGTCATTCAATAATACACTTCGGGGAGCAATCTTAAATAATAAAGGCAAGTAGGCAGGGCAGGATGACTTCATTGTTTCCGTCTTCATTTTCTCTAAAAGCTCCTTGTGGAGACTTCATGACATGGGTGGCCAAATTACAACCACTGAATCATACAGTGGAAGATGAATCAAAATGTCATGATTGTTCCTTCTACTCCTATTTCTGACTTTTATTTGCCAACCTTATCCTCTGGACTTTTTTCTACTTAGCATTTTCAGTTAATCTCCATTTTGCAAAGTTTTCTCTTATTGTCTTTGTGCTTAAACTGCAGGAGTGTTAATTAAGATACAGAAGCTACAGACAGACCAGGTTCACACATCTTTTGGTGTCACCATAGAAAGTAGGCTTTCAGGTGCAAACTGCCAAGAGCATTTGCCCAGTTCCCATGTGTTTTAGTAAGTATTACTTTACATTGTTAGCAGGAAATTAGCAGCAAGATTATCCTCACATATTTTCTTTTGAAATGCCTACATTTTGTATTTAAGAACTGAGTTTTAGTTTCCTGGCAACTTTTAAATTGCTTCCTATTTCTGCAGTTTCACGTGTCTTACTGTATTGGAGGTCAGAGCCAACCCTAGGGTTGCTAATTAGCACAAAGCAATGAATGAGATAGCTTTGAAAAGGCTGTCCTCTTCTAGCCAAATTGGCTTTTTATCAAATATTCATTGATGTCTGATCAAGCCAAAACAGCCTGCACCTAGGAGAATGTAGAAATTGGTCCCATCAGAGGGGACCAAGTGCTTATAGAGCATGCAAACTCAAGCCCATCTTTATTTTTCTTAGGTTCATCACAGAGGCACAGGGCTCGTAAGACACATGGGCCTGCTGTGATACCTCCAAAAATGCCACATCCTGCGGCTCTCATATTACAATGGTTATTTCTGCCTAGAATTCAACTAGTGCTTGGTTTAAGCGTTGCAGATTGTATAGCACTGTATACAGAACCGTTGAGGCAAGAAATCATTTTTCAGGTAAACTTCTTTTCTGGGAAGACTTTCCATAATCCATTGACCTTTCCATCAAATCCTAGTTCTTTTCTTCTTTAAAATCCTGAGCCTATCAGTCAAATTTCCAGCAACAAAAGTCCTTTTCATCCTTTTCTTGCCCCTGAATACAAAAATACAGAGATTCATCAGATAGAGCGCATGAGGGAGGTCACAGTCCTCAGTAAGCAAAATGAACAAGAAAAGATAAAATTTTGAGTACACAAGTTTTTTTTGTTTGATCATTTTGTTGTTGTGTTGTCTTAAGAACTCAAGAGGCTGCAGTGAGTTGTTTTTATTTTTTATTTTATTTTATTTTATTTTTGAGGCAGAGTTTCACTTTGTCACCCAGGCTGGAGGGCAGTGGTGCAATCTTGGCTCACTGCAACCTCTGTTGCCCGGGTTCCAGCAATTCTCCTGACTCAGTCTCCGAGTAGCTGGGATCACAGGTGCCTGCCACCACACCTGGCTAATTTTTGTATTTTCAGTAGAGACAGGGTTTCACCATGATGGCCAGGCTGGTCTCGAACTCCTGACCTCAAGTAATCCGCCTGGCTCAGCCTCCCAAATTGCTGGGGCTACAGGCATGAGCCACCACATCAGTGAGTTATTTTTAAGTTGAAGAAATACAGATAAGGTACTGTCATTGCTGCACACAGCTGTGGGTTTCAATGTCTGTTAAACTTTCCATTCCCTTCTTCACTCCTCCCAAGCACAGCCAATAAAATAAGTCTCACACTTGTCTCTGGACCCTCATAAGCTAAGGAAGAGGAAGAGGGTCAGAGACCCTGGAAGCACATGGCCAGCAACATTGAGATGCATCTGTTTCCCATTGTTGATAGAACAAATTATCACAACTTCAGCAGCTAAAAAAACACACAATTATTATCTCTCATTTGTGGGGTTAGAGATCCACATTTACTTGGTTGGTTTCTTTGCTTTCAGTCACACAAGGACAAAATCAAAGTGTCGGCAAGTTAAGCTTTTAATTCAAAAGCTCTGGGGCAGAGTCTGTTTCCAGGCTCATTCAGGTTGCTGGCAGAACTCAGTCCCACCTAGTTGCAGGAAAGAGGTTTGGATTATCTCTCTGGAGATTTGATGCTTCCAATCTCTTTGGCTCTCCCTTTCAACTTCCTGTCTCTTGCTTTCCTCTTCTGCTGCATCTCCTTGACTGACTATTCCACCTTTTTCTTCTGCCTCCCATTTGAGGTGTCAGAGCCCTGGCACTGGGAAGTGGTCGACTCATGGGTTGGTAAAAGGAATTTACCGACAACAGTATAGGTTTGAAAAAGGAAAGTGTATTAGGAAGAATGTTGCAAAAGGGTGCAGTGGGATGCCTCGGCGAGAGGACTGAGTGCCCCGTGGTGGATTTTCCTTAGGAGCATTTATGGACCTTAAGGCGGGAGCTTAGGGTTGTAAAGTTAGTTTCAGCATGGCATTCCAGATACATATAGAAATTGTAGTTACATATAAAACTTGAAAGAAGCCTGGAATCAGATGCTGACTTTAGATACTAGGGAAATTTGATCACTTCTAAATTCCCAGACAAGGAGTTTTGCCTCCAGGTGTCCTGTTTGATGGTCACCAGGTGGTCTTCGCTCACTTCTAAATTGCTCAAATAAGAAGTTTTTGTCTCTGGGGCCTGTTCACTGGTCACCATATGATTTTTCTCTTCTCACTGCCTTTAAGGGTTTAGGTGATTACAGTGGGCATACCTGGATAATCCAGGATAATATCCCTATTTTAAGGTCAGTTGATTAGTAACCTTAATTATATCTGCAACATGTCTTTGAAGCGGTACCTAGATTAGTGTTTGATTGGATGACCATGGTCTTTCAGAAGTAATTTACAGTCTGCTACTATATAGAATATAATGGGGGGCATGGCCTTGGGCCATCTGTGCACAACAGATTGTTAAACCAATTCTTCGGCTATCTTGGAGTATCAACAGAGGCCTCAAAAATTGAGAACAAAATAGTAGGTGTCAATACCCCAACATGATTTGTTGGAGACATGTTAAATATTACAAGATAGATTTAGTCACCGTTAGCCCATCACTCATTCCAGTACAACGAGCCGCGAATTCACTGGTAGTGAGGACTGTTTGAGAGAGTGCTGTCAGTGTGCTTTGTAGGCTGAGTATACTAGCATGCCCAATGAAGGTGTGTCCGGAATTGGTTCCTGCCAGTGGGTTCGTGGTCTCGCTGACTTCAAGAATGGAGCTGTGGACTTTCATGATAAGTGTTACAGCTCTTAAAGATGGCACGGACCCAAAGAGTGAGGAGTAGCAAGGTTTATCGTGAAGAGCAAAAGGACAAAGCTTCCACAGCATAGAAGGAAACCCGAGCAGGTTGCCACTGCTGCTGGGGTGGCCAGCTTTTATTCCCTTATTTGTCCCCTCCCATGTCCCATTTCTGTCCTGTCAGAACGCCCTTTTTTCAATCCTCCCTGCGATTGGCTACTTTTAGGATCCTGCTGATTGGTGCATTTTACAGAGTGCTGATTGGTGCATTTTACAGAACACTGATTGGTGCATTTTATAATCCTCTTGCTAGCTACAGAGCGCTGATTGGTGCGTTTTTACAGAGTGCTGATTGGTGTGTTTTACAATCCTCTTGTAAGACAGGAAAGTTCTCCAAGTCCCCACTCGACCCAGGAAGTCCAGCTGGCGTCATCTCTCAAAAGGACGAAGCACGCTTCCTTCTACCTGCAGCTGAGGGAATGTGGTTTCAAGACAGCCACTCAGAGAGCTTGACACTTATTCCCTAGAATTTGAGGAAAGCAGAAACAGATATCTGATGCAGGCCTCAAAAGTCAAGGATGTGACTCCCTGGCCTAGTGGAGAGGGAAAGTGCCACAGCTATGTAAAAGAATAGAACACTCCAGAGTTTGGTGAAGCAAGGAAAGATGCTTTGGTTTTCCCTACAGCTGATGGTAAACCTATGGGACAGAACCAGTCTTGGGTCTTTTTAAAAGGGTCTGTGCCCAAGATCACCTTCTAAGAGGGATGAGAAGGCCCAGCAGAGGAAGCCGGTGATTGAGGGTAAAAAGTATCAGCAGCCACCCAGAGGGGGAAATATAGAGGAAAAATCTCCCATCATTGGGGAGACGGTCTCCAGAGAACCCCTAAGCAGCCCACAAATAATTAGAATTTGGACACTGCCACATTCAGAAAACACCAGTACCAGATCACAGCCATATCAGTTAAGGGGAGAAAAAATATCTTTCTCTCCTATCTTAGGTTCATGGCTGAGGCCCGTATAAACAAAAGACAGATTAACAGGAGAAAAGCATACAAATTTATTTAATGTAAGTTTTACATGACACCAGAGCCTTCATAAGGCAATGAAGACCTAAAGAAATAGGTCATAGAAACAATTAAGTGTTTTTATGCCAAGTTGGATGAGGAGTAGAGAGTCACGTAGAAATATGATAGGGCAAAAAAGGGTGTGAGCGAAGGGTAATAAACGGGAAATTTAGCAGGACCTGTGTCTGCAGATTCCTCCCCGTGTCCCTCTATCTTCAGGGATTAGGATGTTCCTTTCTCCCCAGGTATAGTGAGGACACCTCTCACATGAGGTCTTATAAACTGCTTCAGGGAAAGGTCAGAAAATCCTTCCTAGGTTTTATGACCTGCTTCAGGAAGAAGGGTTGGGGAAGGTCAGCGGGACTTTCTTATCTTTGTTGTTTTTTCAAATCCCTTCAGCTTTAAATATTCAGTATGTCTTTTGGGGCAGTGTGTTCTGAGCCCCATGGCAGCCAAACTAGATCATTTTATGCCTTATCTACCTAACACTCCCCTGCCTCTGCCAGCCCTGCAGAGGTGGTGAAAGAAAAAGCAGAATAAGTAGCCTATGCCAACATGAGCTGGAGGATGGGAAAATGTACTTTAGGGGAGAGTCTGCAATGTGGTAATTATAACATGAGACTGGCCTAGACTAGAAGAACTATTGTTAATTCCCTAAGGTTTCATTTAGGGGTAGCAAAAGAGTCTTCAACAGAGAATGGTGATAAAGAATAACAGTGCTTTTTTGCCCTCTTAAATCTAGCTTGTTTGATAAAATAGTTACACGTTATTTATTAAATGTCATTAATTATTATCATCATCTTAATTGTGATGAAATTATCTCTCAGCCTTTCTCTTTGCCTATTTAAATAACATCAGTTCATTTCATTGAGTGTTTTAGTTGTTATTGAGCATCTCCTGAAAATCATTTCTCTGTGGTATCAGGCAAGAGCCAAAATAATTCCATACCCTTAGGTTCTAGTTTTGCTTTTTTTTTTTTTTGTTTTGTTTTGTTTTTGAGACAGAGTTTCACTCTTGTTGCCCAGGCTGGAGTGCAATGGAACTATCTTGGCTCACTGCAACCTCCCCCTCCCGGGTTCAAGTGATTCTCCTGCCTCAGCCTCCAGAGTAGCTGGATTACAGGCATGTGCCACCATGCCTGGCTAATTTTGTATTTTTAGTAGAGATGGGGTTTCTCCATGTTGGTCAAGCTGGTCTCGAACTTTCGACCTCAGGTGATCCACCCTCCTCGGCCTTCCAAAGTGCTGGGATTACAAGTGTGAGCCACCGTGCCCAGCCTCTAGTTTTTAAATATGCAATCTGAGAAAAGAACAAATTACTGCTACAGTTATTTCCAGCAGAGCCATTAGAAAATGAATTGTAGTTTTGTTATTGAGCAAAAGGGTCTCACTGCCCGATGTGCTAGAAGCCAATGCTATGACACAGGGTTTTTGAGAAAAGAAAAGCTTTGTATTGCAAGTTGACTCACAAGAAGACAGGAGTGTCAAGCTCAAATCTGTCTCTCCATGCTGGCTTTAAAGCAGTATTTTCAGTGGAAAGTTTCAGGGTGTGGATTCTGACCCTAATAGGTGATTGGTGGAAGGGAAGGGAGGTCTGGAAGGCCCTTGGACATGCAGTCATCTCTTCATGCTATCTCATGGGTTGCATGTGCAAATTCAGGGAGAATTAGTATAAAATATGTGGTGGAAATTCAAGTTGTGACATCAGCAAGCTGGTTCTGCATAGACTCCATTCGGCCATATTGGTTCCAAGTGATTTCAGCCAGTTCTTTTACCTCAGAAGCAGAGGGAGTTTCAGTGTTTCAGCAAGTTGTTTCTTTTTTAACTGCTATCCTGCAGACTCAAGAATTTCTGTTAGTCATTGGTTTCTTTAACTCTTTGGGGAAGGGTTTCAGTTTTCTCCAAGGTCTCTTTGCCTTATTTAATAGGTTGGTTGTCTGTTTAGTTAGGTTTGAAACTGATAAAGCAACTAATAGTTCTTTCCCCTTCACAGGGCACCTGGTTTTGTGTAGATACAACTCAGGGAATTATCTCCACACTGCATCTGCCATGATCACCTGTGAGCACCTCCTCCTGAAACCCGTCTTCACGTCACCTTTTACCAGGCCGACCCTACTTTTCTCCATCTGCTAAGAAGTGCAGCTCTACCACTGGAAGCATCCACTTCGGTCTCACTCCCATCCCTAGTGCTAAAGGACTCTCTAAGAGAGAATGTCAGCACAGTTTTGACAGAAACACTCTAAAACTCCTGGATATTCCAGAAAAATTAACTCTGGGCAAAAGAACATTGGCATCAAAGTAAAGCTCAATTTATACACCATAGCAATTTTTGATAGCTATAAACCTGACACGCAAATAGAATATTTTATGGCATAACACTACGTTTACATTAAAGTGCTTTTTAATAGAATATGTAATTTAGAAATATAAAAGTGCATCTTAATTGCCCACAAATGAGACTTTAAAGTACTTAGAAGTATCAAGAATATAAAATGCAAGTGATTAGATGAACTATGCTGTGAAAACTAACACTTAATTCAAATGTCAATAATTAAATAAAGAATAACGGTAGCATTAAGACAAAACTCTGTAAACTGTGCATAAAGCCTGTCCTGTGACTTTAAGTTATATCTTATATAGGCACATTGTCACCTTTTATATTTAATGCTGTCATTATGCATGATGTGGGATCATGTAGGTGTGTGTCACAGAGATTTAGGATCGGTAGACACCTTTGTCACTTCTTCATACACTTCCTCACCCATTATTGAACAAAACATTGCCATTCACAGATCTCTTGACTTTACTCAGCACAGAGCATGCTATTTCTAATTTGTTCATCACCTTACCAGCAACCTGTCTACCTCTGTTTCACCTGACCAGAGCAACAGCTTAAGGTTAAAATCTATGGGGACTTTCACAGCATCTGTCTCTTGCTTTGGCCCCATCAGGCTCATCAAACTTCCCCACTGCAAACTTTTGTGTCACTATTAAGTTCAAAACGAGTGAACCAGCAAAATTACAAGCTCATGGACCTGTGGTCCTTCCCGGCCACTGGATGTTAATGATGGCTTTAAGTGATGCTATAGAATGATTATATTCAAATAATGTCAATATCTAATGAAGTCATGTTGTGCTACAAAGCAAGATTGGGACAACAATTTTAATAAATGCCTCAAAAGAAGATTATAGGGAGCCATGAAAGACAGGAAAACTCAACCTACTTTAGGGGGTCTCAAAAGCTTCTCTGAAGACAGGACATCCAATCTCAGACCTAGAGGATGAATGAGTTACCCAGTATGAAGAAAAAGAACATGTTAAGCTTCTAAAGTAAGAAGAAAAATGGAATGAGGAACTAATAGACTAGTAGGGATGAAGAGAGAGGGGGAAAGAACATTGAGCTAAAGCAAGAGAGGAACAGATGTGGCACATGACAATTAGGGAGTGGCAAGAGTAAAAGTGAAGAGAGAGTTTCGAGGCCATTATAATAATTGGGGCAGAAGTGATGTTGGCTTGGACTAGGATGGTGGCAGAAGAAAAGAGAGATGGACATTTAGAAATACACATAACACTGTTTGATGATCAATTGTATATGGTAAGTGAAGAAGAGGCATTTGTTTCCTACATTGTTGTAGGAAATAATGTATATGGTGGTCCATTTTCAAGACAAAGTGCTTTAAATAGGCTCGGGCCTGCAAACTATGGAAAAACAGGATACACTAGGCCCCTGCTTTAATAGCCAGTGCCTGTTTGTCATGGCCCCCTTAGTTACCCTCACCCGAACCAAAAAGTTTAGTCTAGAATGAAAGTGTACTAGCCTGCAAAACAGCTGCTTTATCTATTCTTATCAGCTTGCCTGACTACCTGGGTCATAACTCAAGTACTTGTAAAGTCACGGAGCTGACCATCATTGCAATGCATTATGGGCTGCAACAAAATGCAGCAAGACAACCCTAAAAAAAACACCTAAAAGCCCCAACCCAATGACCAATAGGCGACGTCCGGGAAGATTGTAACCCCATAGTACTCAGCCTGTGAGGAACGGGGAAGGGACTTGTGCACTAGGGGATAAATTGCTTGTTGTAACCGTACTGGGTGTGCCTGCCCATCAGACACCTGATCTTGTAAGACCATCATTAAAAGTCTCTGCTACTCTCTATATCTCTAAGTCCATTCCTTGGGTTTAGATGAGTGAGCGTGTTTCTCACGTTTCTGACCTACACACTTGGGTGGAGGGCAGCACCATTTACTGTGCTAGTGGTCATTAGGAGAAAATGGAGTTGCTGGGGATGGGAGGAGGAGATGAGTTTTAGGCTTAGTGAAATTGATATTCCTGTGAAGTATCCAAGCAGCGATGTTGAGTAAAGCACTGGCCTGGGGCTCAGATCCAAGATCTGGAGTGGGAATGCAAATTTTATGGTAATTAATTTAAAGACCTTATGTGAAGCCATCAGGAGAGATGAGGTTCCCTAGTGAGAACATATAGAAATAAATAATTTTTTTTCAATAAAGAGGGTCTCTGGCCAAGCCTTAAGGGGCTCCAGTACTTAAAAGTTGAGTAGAAGATTATGTGTTAGAAGAACTAGAAATAGTTTTCAAGGATAACTAGTGTGGTACTGTATCCCAAAAGCCAAGGAGATGCAGAGTAGCAAACAACGGAAGTCATCAGAATAGTCTAATAAGTCAGCACAGGGCGGTGGCTCACACCTGTAATCCCAGCACTTTGGGAGGCCAAGGCAGGTGGATCACTTGAGCTCAGAAGTTCAAGACCAGCCTGGCCAACATGATGAAACCCCGTCTCTAATAAAAGTACAAAAGAAATTAGCCGAGCATGGTGGTGCACACCTGTAGTCCCAGCTACTCTGGAGGCTGAGGCAGTAGAATCGCTCGAACCTGGGAGGCGAAGGTTGTAATGAGCAGAGATCACGCCACTGCACTCCAGCCTGGGCGATAGAGTGAGACTTGGTCTCAAAGAAGGAGGAGAAGAAAAAAAGAATAGCCTAATAAGTCAAATAAAAAAGGACTAAAAACATCTTTGTGATTTAGGGACATGGAGGTCCTCAGTGATCTTAGCCAGAGCATTTAGAGAGTGAATAGCATAAGTGTAGTTATTAGTGCTTGAGGGCTGAGGAAGCTCAGAGTGTAGATAACTCTTTTGAGTGGAGTGAGTAACTGTCCAGTGTTGCCTAAGACAGTGCTGGTTTGGCCTGTTGTCCTGGAGAAACAGCTCCCTCTTCGAGTCTCCAACGTCGCCTGGTTTGAATGATAAATTATACATCATCTATATGAAGGGTGAGGAAAGGGAGGCAGCTGGAGGAGAAATTGGCATCGCATAAAAATCCTGAGCACTGTGATACAGCAGGGTGGCGGCATGCAGCTGTGAGTGAACCCCCATTTGAAGGTGGAGAGCCCTAAGTACAATTTTTAGTTCTACCATTTATTGGCTGTGGGACCTTGGGCAGGTTTATTTAAGCTCTCTGAGGCTAAAAGGACTTAAATTTCAGGGTAGAGTAAGGATTTTGTGTCAAGTGCTGACATATCATGCTCAGCAAGCATGAGTTCCCTTCTTTTCGTTCCCTCTCACTTGTTATTTGGCCCATGTTGTAATGGTTCTGCATCATTTCCTTCCCCACCTTCTACCCCCCACTGCTCCCCTCTTCACCCTCAAGTATCTCACACCCTTTGTGACAGAGGAAGTTCTTATTTCTATGTTTCTAGTGAAGCACTCTGTGTGTGTTAACATGTCTCTCTCTAGAAAATAGTTGGTGACCTTGCCTCCCTGCTCCATTATCCTAGCTGGGAAAATGTACTGATGCCCAACTCATTCATGTCAGTACATTTCAGCTAGCACTGATTGTTGCCTGCACCCCATGCTAGAAATGCTGAGAAATTCCACTGAAGTGTATGATATGATTCTTTTTGTCAAGAGCAGTCTCTTTCAGAAAGACAAATACTGTTCATAACATTCTTGCTACTTCCATTCCCACTACTTCGGCAGCTCTCCACCATTTATGGAGCACTTAGATACTCTGGGCTAGGCCTCTAGCATATGTGACAGGAAAGTTTTTAGCTCGTGCAAGGTATTGTTATAATGATTCCATTTTACAAATGAGGAAAACTGAAGTTTTTGTTTTGTTTTGTTTTGTTTTTGAGACGGAGTCTCACTCTGTCACCAGGCTGGAGTGCAGTGGCACAATCTCGGCCCACTGCAACCTCTGCCTCCCTGGTTCAAGTGATTCTCCTGCCTCAGCCTCCCAAGTAGCTGGGACTACAGGCGCCTGCCACCACGCCCAGCTAATTTTTGTATGTTTAGTAGAGACGGGGTTTCACCATGTTGGCCAGGATGGTCTCAATCTCTTGACCTCATGATCCACCTGCCTCGGCCTCCCAAAGTGCTAGGATTACAGGCATGAGCCACCGCTCCCGGCTGAAAACTGAAGTTTTAAGAGGTTAGGCAAACTGCTCAGAATTGCACAGCTCATAAGTATCTAAACTGGAGTCTGAATTTTGATCCATTTGACACCGAAGCCCTTAACCTTTCCATTTCTCAATAGAACAAAAAACAAATGAAATGTCATCTCGACACTTTACAATTTAGACAATATGCCATTTATATAGATTGTTTAAAACTTTTCATTAGAAAACAAAACAAAATCAATTTATGAAAGGGTAGACTTGACTCTTATCATGGGTCCAGATAAATGGTTCACCATTAATAAAGTCAAAGTGTGCACTCACTGAGCCGACATTCAGTACTAGGAGTACTTGCATAGCCTAGCAGGATTTTGGTCAGGACATTTTTTATGGGTGATTGTCTAAGATGGGCAATGTGTTCTACCACTTATTAAACTAGAAATGCTCCCCAAGGATTAGATTATAGATTTCCAGAGTCTCTTCTCTCCTCAGCATTGACTGTTTAAAGCAAATTTTCACTTAAATGCCCTTGAAGTCAAGTTGGACAGATTCAGTCCTGCCATATTCCAATAGCTCCATGTTCCCTCGACATGAACTCTCAGCTTTACAAGTACAAACAGGTGCTCAGGGTTCAAAATGACAGAGTTCACCGCAGTTTCCCAATAGCACATTATTCGTTTTCAGTTCCTGTTTCTAGCACTGAAATGGCACAGCCTTTAGCATGATTTAAACTGCCTGCTTAGAACCTAGCTGAATAATATTTGACTTTCAGCACTGCTGAAAGGATACTTAAAGCACAGACCTGGCATCTGTGTCATCTTCTGCAAATCAAGGTTGATTAATAACAAAATCACCTCGCCCTGGCATCCTGCCTTTCATCTGAGCAAGACTGAAGCTATTCCTGGAAAAAATCCAGCTTTCTTTTGCTACAGTCCTGAGACATGCCAACTGACACAGCAGGGGCAGGAAGGAAGGTCAAAGTTAGCATTTGAGTTTGGGCTGTGGGGAGGGAGGAGACAAGATGGCAACTGGTCCTTAAGAAACCCAGTGTGAAGGTTCTGTACGGTCAGGGCCCAGGGCTGACATCATGGGTGGGGCCACCATCATGCTTTCTCTGTCCAGCCAAGCTGGCACCCTTTTTATGGGCGAGCCTTCCTTCTGGAAATTGTTGATGTCATTAGTGGGTGTGGTTTCAGGCACTTTTCCCGCCTTTCTCCTGAAAACAAGTAGGTTATTCTTCTACATGAGAGAGTTCAATCTGTGCTCCATGGAAACTTGCCATGGCTCTAAGGACTTTTGAAAATGTGGAGTTTAGACTACGGGAATTTTTGTAGAGGAATTTTTTTCCTTCACAATTTACATTAAGAGGAAAAATATTCTGTCACTACTTTCTCCTAATTTTCACCTCACTGTGTCTTACAGCATTGCTGCCTACCTAAGAACACTGCAAGAATGTGCTAGAAAGTAGTAAAACCCATGCAAAGAAGATGCTTTGTGTTGTACTTGACATATATTGGACTCACTTGTATTGCAGTGCTTTCAACTAAATGTTTTCCTTCATGGCTCTTATCATATTTGTATCCATCTGGCCATTTGTGTAGTTTTTAATATTTTTCTGCCCCACCAATCTGTAAGTCCTGTGCCAGCAGGGCCCGTACCTATCAAGGTCACACTGTACAGTTCTAACAGTGATTGTGGTTTGTGGCATGTGATTATGTATGTGCATTTCATATGGGTATATGAAAACTCTATCCTTCAACCCCCAACCCCTCCACAGGCTCAGAACTTTACAACTTGGTTAAGAGTATGAAAAAATATTTAAATCTGGAAAGTTCAATCTTTCAAAAACATTGAAAACTTTTTTAAAAATTGCCTTTAGATACCGAAATTTAAAAAGTTTAAACCCACCTTTTGACCAAGAAAGAGGAGGTTGGCTTTTCTTGAGCAGACTTACTGATGATCTTGATATAACTAGAAGCGATCTGAGCATTCCAAAGGATGTTATAGATAAATTTACTATGAGGCAATAGAGAATTTAAGGCTGGCTACCATCTCCTTGATTTGCATGGTTTTACTTTCAGAACTCCAGCCAGTTGTTGAGTCAGATATCTGTATTATAGTTATAGTTAAATCACCACTTCATCCAAGAGTGGGTGGCATGTTCCTCCTCAAAATAGAAGAAGCAAACATCAAACTCTATCAAAATGCACAAGTGAACTACTTTACTTAAATATAGTTCGGATGGTTTACAGAATTAGAGATTTCAGGCAATGGAAAATCATACTATAAAACTTAGTAAGACAGAGGATAACATTGTTTCTGTTAGAAGTCTGCTATGTTCTAAAAACTTGCAAATGGCAAACTTACTGCTGTGTCCTCATGGAACCTTTTATATGTATATTCTCATTTACTCCTCAGGTCAACTGTTTAAGATGGGGACTATTAATCATATATTTTCAAGGGAAGAGCCAGGTCTCAGAGAAGTGAAATAACTTAGACTATGGAGCTAGTGTGAAAAGCTCTAATGGAAACACATAATGGCTTAACAGGGGTGATTATATTGACTTTAATTCCTTTCTGTCATTTTGTCTTCTTGTTTATCACATATATAACACTTCAGCGTATAAATAAGAAAAAAAAACCTAGTTCTGAAAATTGCCTCTAAAAGCATAATGTTGAAGATTTGGGAAAATAAAACATAGTAGTTAACGTAAAATAGGCACTTGGAAGCAAGAGGTTGCAATTCTAACTCTAAAACGTTTTTCCTATGTGACACTGTCAGAACCAAGTTAGGACAGGGCTGTGTTATTACATCCATTTTGTGGTTATCCAACTTCGGTGATTTTTTTTTTTTTTTTTGACAGAGTCTCGCTCTGTCACCCAGGCTGGAACGCAGTGGTGCAATCTCAGCTCACTGCAACCTCCACCTCCCAGGTTCAAGTTATGTTACCATCTATTAGGGACTAAATTGTGTCCCCTCTAAAATTCCATGTGTTGAAGCACTAACCCTAGGGTGACCATATATGGACATAAGCTTTTCAAAGTAATTAAGGTTAAATGAAATCATAAGGGTGGGGTCCTAATCTGATAAGACTGGTGCCCTTATAAGAAGAAGAGACACCAGCGTTCTCTCTGTCTCTCCATGCTTACAGAAAAAAGACCATGTAAGGACATAGCAAGATGGTGACCATTTGCAACCAGAAACCAACCCTACTGGCACCTGGATGTTGGATTTCTATCCTCCAGAACCTGTAGAAAATAAACTTCTGTCCTGTTCTTTTCTTTCTTTCTTTCTTTCTTTCTTTCTTTCTTTCTTTCTTTTTTTTTTAGAGACAGGGTCTCACTCTGTCACCAGGCTGAAGTGCAATGGCGCGACCTTGGTTCACTGCAATCTCCACCTCCCGAGTTTAAGCGATTCTCCTGCCTCAGCCTCCCAAGTAGCTGGGATTACAGGTGTAAGCCACCACGCCTGGCTAATTTTTTTGTATTATTAGTAGACACAGGGTTTCACCATGTCGGCCAGGCTGGTCTCGAACTCCTGACCTCAGGTGATCCACCTGCCTTGACCTCCCAAATTACTGGGATTACAGGTGTGAGCCACCTTGCCCGGCCTAAACTTTTGTTCTTTAAGCCTCCCAGTCTGGGGTATTTTGCTGTGGCAGCCCAAGCAGACTAATACACAACCCAATTAATAAACACTAATAGTGTCTAAAATTATTCCACCATTCTAGAAAATTATTATTTTTTCATTATCCACAGTCATTGCTTTGTCCTGTGACAAAAAAGCCATGTAGCTGGAAGCCATCTGGGTGGCAGTACAGAATTAAGAGCCACTAGAAATTAAGTCCATACTCTCCCTGGAACTCAAATTCTACCAAAAAATAAATTTTAAGTGAAAGTCTAATGGAAGGAAGAAGAACATTTGGAGCAAGTGTGAAATCAACATTCTGCTCCAGGTAGGCACCATTTGATGGGGAGTGATCCTGAGTGCAGGGTTGGGGAACGGGGTGGAACTTTCCTTTGTGCACAGAACTGGGACTAGAAAACAGTGATTAGGAAAGCAGTCAAGTGACTGATAAGTACACAAATGGAATAGCCCTTGGGAGTTTTTGAGATTGCGTTTGTTTGAAGAAAAGAAGAGCATTTTCTTCATATTGATATGACATTGTATTTGCCAACTGGTATTTACTAGAAGCCCTCCAAGTTCATGATTCACACCTGAACATTCCACATTCTTTAAAATTGTAGTGCACCCTTCATAACTATATATTTAGTATTTTTATAAATTAGATTACAATTTAATTGGAGAATACAATATCAGAAAAATTATCCAAAACTTAGAAATATTGCCTAATCAAATGTGCTACTTGTCTGGCCTTCCACAAGAAAGCACATGAGGAACTAAGACATAATTTTTCCTTCTTATTTGTAAAGTCTAATTCAAAGTTATTAGCTCAGCACAGTAAATATACGTGCTAAAGACTGGGTGAACAATGGCAAATAAACTTTGAAGACCAAATCCTCTTTTACAACTAAAAGTAACATTACTGAGCTTTCTGCAGGATTTTCTGGGTAAGTTTTTCTGCATGGCCAGCCCCAGCAAGGCCCCGAATGCCTGGTTTGCTACTTTCTAATCCTGTAACTTCTCTTCCCATAATAATGTGTAGCTTGTAAGGCCTTAGCTCAATTTTCCAGATGATTTCAGAGACAAAGAATTGCTGATTTGTTACACTAATCTTGACATTTCAAATTACAACTGGAAATAATCTTCCTTAATTAGTCATGTTCTTTCTGTTGAAAATATCAGACATTTGACATATTTGTTTAGCAAATATGTCGATTTTCTGGTCTTTATGGTCTTTCAGTCCCATGTTGATATTCACATATTAAATTTTTAGCTTGCTCCACAGCAAAGATGCAAATATATATGTGCATATGTATATTATATATGTACACATATAGTATATGAATCTACAACCATGCTTGGGGAATACAAGGTATAATATGAATATTATATATATATTCATATATATCTATATATATTTATATATGTGAATCTACAACTATACTTGGGGAAAACAAAGACTTTATCCAGGCTCACCCAGAATGGTTATGAGAAAGTGAAACATTCTTTTCTTCCCTTAATAGGCAAATACATAGTTTAAAAGCTACCTCCCCAAATATGGGAGAATCTTTAGAGAAAGTGTTAAATCACAATAGCATTAAATGTACATTTACTATCAAGTCTTTTGCAATAAAAGCTGACATTAACTTTTTCTCTACAATATTTACTATAGCACTGTGCTTACCCAGGCTTTTATTAATATATGTTTATTTCTGCATTTCCATTTCTCAGCTACCTTTTATATTTTAAAAATTACAGAATTTATAGAAGAAAATTGTAGGCTGATAACAAACAAAAAGGTTTTTCGAAATGGCTAGCATTTGCTCCCAGCAGGGAAAGTAAAGGAATAGTTGCTGTATCCTGAGCCACCCATCCCGGCCCAAGTCTTTGTCCTGCTGAAGTGGTAAATTCTCCCAGAAACGCAACACAAGGTGGTGCTGTTGTATTTATCCTAAACCAGCTGCCAGCCTGGCCACTTAGGCTGTCGGTTTGATCTGAAAGTGGTAGGTGTGTACCAAAGGCATGGGTTTTGCATATGTAGATGTTTAC
Source organism: Homo sapiens (assembly GCF_000001405.40). NCBI lineage: Eukaryota > Metazoa > Chordata > Mammalia > Primates > Hominidae > Homo > Homo sapiens. Next base: position 33,723,909 of record NC_000013.11, on the reverse strand, counting down.
AGTGTAGTCCTCCTTTCAGATAAGAAAAGATAAATAGAAGAAGGAGGAAGAGAGTAAGTTTCTCCACACATGGAAGCTTCTGGAGAAACTGTCTTAAAAAAAAAGAAAGTGCATGGGTTCCTTTTGTTACTAAATTATAGGAGCATGGAAAGTTAGGGCTAGAAGAGATAAAACATTATCTAGCCCATCTTCCTATCTTCAGAGAGGATTTCATTTATAAATTATCAGCCAGTTAAACTTTTTCTTTTGGTTTTAAAATTTTCCAGGGAGGGAGATGCCACTTGCTCCCCCAGCAAATCAATACTCCCTAGTGTTGGGAAATTGTTGTGGACATATGTGCACTTCCTCTTGTTCTGAATCCAGAGGGTATGGGAAGGATTTGATCAGCAGATGTGCCTAGTGAATGAGAAGCACACAAAAAAAAAATGAATTACAAGTCAGGGCTCTGGATTCCTCTCCCTCACTTGCTTAGCTGGGACAAGGTGGGCCTCAGATTTTGCATCTGGAAAACAAAGAGATTGGACTAACATCAGTGGGTTTCCACAAATGGCTGGATCTCAAAATCACCGGGGAAGCTTTTTAAAAAAATACAGATTCCAGGGCCTTGCCTATAAATTTGCTCAGTCAGAAAATCTAGGGCAGGGCCCAGAAATTGCACTTAAAAAAAAATCCAAAAGAACTGTTTTCCTTGGAAAACATTTTTCTTGTCTGAAGACATGGAAATTAGCTAAAAATGTGTAGGCAGGCAGCCCAGCACAGATCTAATGACTGGTGCATAGGTACCACTAGATTAAATAACTCTTAAATCCCATCTGATTTTATGATTTTCCAGGTATCCTTAAAACAAAAGCCCTTGAAAAATAGAAGTGAATTATCCCAGATCTAAAGAATTTCCTCTTGAATCATATTCCCAAGCCTTTGAGTAATCTGCAGTATGGATTTACAGCAAGATGTTTTCTAAATTTTTCAAGCACATGAAATTGGGAAGTCCAGGAATATTATTATAGTAAAGAAAATCCAATAAAGTCCTTGTGTTCAGTCCAATGCCTACACGCTATTCTATTTTCTGGTTACTGTAACTATGAATTAGTTGACAGTTATGAAAATAGTATTTGGACTCTTTCACTTTCATTTTTATAAAACTGGAAAGTTAAAAAACTAGTCAAGTACTTGGCCCATGTATAAATAGATAAGTCACATACTGGCAAATTGAGCTGTATAAAAGTTACTTACACAGACAAAAATGTCTCTAAAGTCTCTATGTAAAACGTTGGCTTTCTGACTCTGAGACTGTCTAGTATCAATGTGAAATTCAGTAACAATGCAATTCAGATTCTTATACCTCAAATGTCTCATTTGAAAGAATCAGATAATTGAAGTATCATTTGTTTATTCTCGTTTATAGTATCAAGGTAAATAATTCTGCCTTCCATTTCCCCTTGCTAATGTAATGTGACCTCAATGTTACATGTTACTAAGTAAATCAATTAGGAGATTTGGCCTGTGTATGTGACTCTTGCAAATGGGTAATTACACCATCAAATAGAAACTTATACACTCTTTGCAAGCCAGTCTTGAAGTCACTTCCAAATAGTTGGTTCTCATTATTTGTACTTTAAGAGCCATTTACAGGTCTAATTAAATTGTTTCTCAGGAATATAAAGATCAATGTTTCCAACCTCATGAATTGAATATATAAAAGAATGCATGAGGCCCAAATTAGCATTTCGTTTATTAAAATAAGTCAGTGTTGGAGCTGAAATCCATTAAATGACTTTAAGTAATCTGTCTGTTAAAGCTTTCAAACCACCTCTCAAAATCTGGCCCAGCTACCACCATTTATCAGTTACAAATTTCCATATTCCTCTGCTGCTCAATCATGCTGTACTAAATTATCTCTGAGATCATGTCTTGTGATTCTCATACAGTAATAACATCTGCATTTCCTGGATTTTCCATGAGCTGTGTCATCCTTTCAAGATTGTTCAAGAACATGTTTGTTCCTTTTATCAGAAGGACAGCAGCACTGCAGATCTTTTCCTACCAAGAGTCCCAAGCTCCACTGAATAAAAATAGCCTTGTGTCCTTTGGAATGCTCTGAACCACTTGGGGAAAAAGAATGTCTGTCATCGAATCACTATCATTTGTAATGTCCTCTCCAAAAGAAAGCCAAGGGGGAAAAATGCTAGAACTATTTGTGACCTCATGAAATACAAAAGAAAATTTACTTAGAACAATACAGCTTTTCTTTATTGTATAGTCCCCACTTCTTTGAACCACACCAATTTTTGGTACCAAACTTTGTTCCTCTTGTGTACAGGCTCTGAGCATGAGGAAATCAGTTGATGTCTCAGTAGTTGGTGCTTTGATAAGCAGATAACCTGTTTTGAACAAGGTTTATCTGCTTTCACTGCCATTACTACTGCTGTCTCCCAAAGACTCAGGATGCCTTCTCCTTGGAGACAGAAAACTTCATTCCTTATTTACCCACAACCCCTATTCAGTGTTGTTATTGAACTGTAGACTACAATGAAAGATTGCAATTCTTCAGTCGGCTCTGTTTTAGTTTTGTCCTTAGTCAAGGTACTGAACTTCTCTGAACTTGAGATACCTCATCTATAAAATGGAAACTGCATGCAAGTGTTGCTTGCGTGGAATTAAGGATTCCAAAAGATAAAGCAATCTTTGCTATGGACTAAATGTTTTTATCCTCCCCGCCGACAAATTCATATGTGGAAATCCTAAGCCCTAAGGCGATGGTGTTAGGAGATGGGGCCTTTGGGAAGTAATTAGGTCGTGAGAGTGGAGCTCTCCTAGTGGGATTGGCACCCTTATAAAAGGGATCCAGGAGAGCTCCCTCATCCTCATTCCACCATGTAAATACAGAGCAAGAATATACTGGTCTATGAACCAAGAAGTGGCACCTTGATCTTGGACTTCCCAGCCTTCAGAACTGTGAGAAATATATATGTTTGTTGTTTAAGCCACTATACTATTCCATGGTATTTTTGCTATAGCAATCTGAATGAACCGAGACACTCTTTCTGAAAACAGTCTGTAAATTGTACATTGCTATACAGATGTAAGAAGTTGTTAAATACTGGTTGTTTACAGCAGTGACCTCCAACTGGGGGCACCCAACTTAAGAGGTACAAAAGCAATACACTGAGGCATGGAAAGAGAATATTAGAACTCCTATGTGTGATTGTGTTTAAACAAACAAAAACTCCAAAAAGACATTAAGCCCTACTGATATTTAATAAATGAATTAAATCTGATGCCTTTCTAAGTGTGCACAGGAAATGGTCATGGAATTGGTACCTGAGATATCCTGAGAGCAGTGTACCGGAAATATTATAGTACCACACAATAGAGTGGCAGTGGTATCCTCACACATCTGTACACATTCTGCACATGGCAACATGCTGCAGTATATGTATGTACTGTTGGCAAGCAGAATAACGCTTCCCTCACTGCCCCACCCAAAAGATGTCCTAACCATCAGAACCTGTGAATATGTTACCTTACATGGCAAAATGAATACTGCAGATGTGATTAAGTAAAGGATCTTGATACAGGGAGATTATCCAGGTAGCCCAATGTAACTACCAGTGTTTTTTATAAAGAACAAGGGAGGGAGGAGGGTCACAGTCAAAGAAAGAGATGTGGAGATTGAAGCAGAGTCAGAGTAATGATTCTTGGAGGGGGCTTTGAAAGAGGCCACAAGCCAAGGAATGCAGGAAGCCTCTGGAAACTGGAACAGGCAAGGAAACAGATTCTCCCTAGAGCCTCCAGAAAAACACAGCCCTACTGACACCTTGAGTTTAGTCCCATGATATCCATTTTGGGCTTCTGACCTCTAGAATGGTAAGATAACAAATTTGTATTATCTGAAGCCACTAACTCTGCTATAATTTGTTACAGCAGTGATAGAAAAATGATATATCCTGTTAGGCAGATTTGTGAATTCTATTATCTAGTTTTAACTGACAGTCATAAAATTGGGAAGTGTCTTAAAGAGATCCCTATAGGCAAACTGTGGCTGGAAGACAGTTGTAGTAATGCAAGCACAAGTGAACAACAAGAAACAGTGGAGTGAACTTTACCTTACACCTCAGTTCATTTTGAGGTCATGGTGATGATGATCTGACATATTTAGTTCCATTGTTTAAATGAGGACAATGGTTTTTTGTATCATAAATATATAAATTTAAAATAATAAATATTACTTTAAAATCTGTTTTTTATATCTATTAAGCCTTTGTTAAATTAACTTTTTTATTTAGAGATAATTATAGGCTCACATCTAGTTCTAAGAAATAATAAAGAAGTCCCTGTACCCTTATCCCAGTTTCTCCCAATTGTAATGTCTTGCATAACTATAGTGCAATATCACAAATGAGATAGTGACAGTGATATTGACATTATTCAGATTGTACCCACTTATATGCACCCATGTGGGTATACGTGTATGTACTGAGCTCTGTGTTAGTACATTCTCACACTGCTATAAATAACTTCCTGAGACTGGGTAATTTATAAAGGAAAGAGGTTTAATGGACTCACAGTTCCACATGGCAGGGGAGGCCTCAGGAAACTTACAATCATGGTGGAAGGGGAAGCAGGCATGGCTTACATTGTGGCAGGCAAGAGAGAGCCAACAAGAGCAGGGGAAACTGCCTTATAAAACCACCACATCTCATGAGAACTCACTCACTATCATGAGAACAGCATGGGGGAAGGAACCTCATAATCCACTCACCTCGCTACCTCAAAAAGTAGGAATTACAGGTCCCTCCTTCAACAAGTGGGGATTACAATTCGAGATGAGATTTGTGTGGGGACACACAGACAAACCATATCAAGCTCCATGCAATTTTAGCACAAGGATAGATTGTGTAGCTAGCCAAGTTACACAATAATTCCATCAGCACAAGGATCCTTCATGCTACCCATTTACAGTCAAATCCACCACCTCTCTTTCCCCCCCAGACTTTAGCAACCATTAATCTGTTTTCCATCTCTATAATTTTATCATTTCAAAAATACTATATAAATGGAATCATTCAGGATGAAACCCTTTGAGTCTGGCTTTATTCACTCCGCATTCTTCTCTTGGGATCCATCCAAGTTGTTGTGCATATTCGTTTTTTAGTGTTACTGTTCCAAATCACCACAAATTTATCTACTTAAAACAACACACATTTATTGTCTCACACATTTCTTCTCTTTTTTATTGTTCTCAAAGTCAAAAGTCTGGGAACAGTGTGGCACAATGGGGCCCTCTGCTTAGAATCTCATAAAGCCTAAAACAAGCTCAGTGTTCCCTCATAGAGACTTGGGATGAATCCACTTCCATGTTCATTCAGGTCGTTGGACAAGTTCAGTGTCTTGCAGCTGTAGAACAGAGGTCCCCATTTCCTTGCTGGCAGTCAGCTGGGAACTAATCTTTGTTCCTAGAGCTTGTCTACATCCTTTTTATACTTAATGTGGTGCACCTCTAGCAATGGCAGATAGGGTATGTCTCATGAGTGGGATCTCTCTAACTTCTGCTGCATCTCTCCCCGACTCTAGCCACAGAACATTTTTTGCTTTTAAGAGTTTCTGTGCTTAGACTGAATCAACCTGAAAAGTCCAGAATAATCAGCAAAGACCCTTTTGCCATGTAATAGGGATAGAGAGTATACATCTTTTGTGGGGAGGTGGGAGCATTATTCTGTCTACCACATTGCATGTATCCATAGTTTGTTTCTTTTTTGTTGTTGTTCAGTAGTGTGCCATGGTATGGATGTAGAACAATTTGTTCATCCATTTACCCATTGAAGAACATTTCAGCTTTCTCCAGTTTAGGGCTAGTGTGAATAAAGATGCTATGAATATTCTTGCACATGGTTTTATGTGAACATAAGTTTCTTTATTTCTCTAGGATAAATACTCAGGAGTGCTATTGCTGAGTCATGTAGCAAGGACATTTTCAGTTCTATAAGGGGAAACTGCCAAACCATTTTCCAGAGTATCTGTGTCTGTGTCATTTTACATAGCCACCAGCAATGTATGTTTTCATTGTAGAAATCTTTTACTTCTTTGGTTATGTTTATTCCTTGGTATTTTATTTTATTTGTAGCTATTGTAAATGGGATTACTTTCTTGATTTCCTTTTTAGATTATTCAGTGTTGGCATGCAGAAACACTACTGAATTTTTTTTTTTTTTTTTTGACAGAGTCTTCCTCTTTTGCCCAGGCTGGAGTGCAGTGGCGCCATCTCGGCTCACTGCAAGCTCCGCCTCCCAGGTTCACGCCATTCTCCTGCCTCAGCCTCCCGAGTAGCTGGGATCAAAGGCACCTGCCACCACGCCCGGCTAATTTTTTGTATTTTTTTAGTAGAGACAGGGTTTCACTGTGTTAGCCAGGATGGTCTCGATTGCCTGACCTCGTGATCTGCCCGCCTTGGCCTCCCAAAGTGCTGGGATTACAGGCATGAGCTACCGCACCTGGCCCCAACACTACTGATTTTTATACGTTGATTTTGTATCCTGCAACTTTACTGAATTCACCAATTCTAATAGCTTTTGATAGAGTCCTTAGGTTTTTCTAAATGTAAGAGCATATCATCTGCAAACAAGGACAATTTGACTTCTTCCGTTCCAATCTGGATGCCCTTTATTTCTTTCTCTTGTCTGATGGCTCTAGCTAGGACTTCCAGTACTATGTCCAATAGCAGTGGTGAAAGTGGGCATCCTTGTCGTGTTCCAGATCTCAGAGGAAAGGCTTTCAGTTTTTCCCCATTCAGTATGATACTATCTGTGGATCTGTCATATATGGCTTTTATTGTGTTCAAGTATGTTCCTTCTACACTCAGTTTTTTGAGAGTTTTTATCATGAAGGGATCTTGAATTTTATCAAATGTTTTTCAGCATCAATTGAGATGATCTGTTGATATGCTGTATCACATTTGCATATGTTGAACCATCCTTGAACCTCTGGGATAAATCCCTTTTGGTCATGATAAATGATTATTTTAATGTGTTGTTGTATTTGGTTTGCTAGTATTTTGTTGAGGATTTTTGCATCTATGTTCATCAGAGATACTGGCCTTTAGCCTTCTCTTTTTCTGATGCGTTTTTGTCTGGTTTTGGTATCAGGGTAATATTGTCGCCAAAGAATAAGTTTAGAAATATTTTCTCTTCTGTTGTTCAGAATAGTTTGAATAGGATCAGTATTAGTTATTCTTTAATGTTCGGTAAAAATCAGCACTGAAGCTATTGGGTCCTGGGCTTTTTTATTTTTCTGGGAGATTTTTATTATGGCTTTGGTTTTGTTACTTGTTATTGGTCTATTTAAGTTTTGGATTTCTCCATGGTTCAGTCTTGGTAGGTTGTATGCTTCTAGAAATTTATCCATTTCTCCTAGGCTTTCCAATTTATAGGCATATAGTTGCTCATACTAGTCTCTAATGATCCTTTGAATTTCCATGGTAACAGTTGTAATGTCTCTTTTTTCAGCTCCAATTTTATTTATTTGGCTCTTCTCTCTTTTTTTCTTAGTTAGTCTGGCTAAAGGTTTGTTCATTTTATTTATCTTTTCAAACATCCAACTTTTTGTTTCATTGATCTTTTGTATTTTTTAATTTCAATTTTATTTTTTTCTGCTCTGGTCTTTACTATTTCTTTTCCTCTACTATTTGGGTTTTCTAGCTCTTTAAGATGCATCATTAAGTTGTTTATTGGAAGTTCTACTTTTTTGATGTAGGCACTTGTTGCTATAAACTTTCCTCTTAGTAGTGCTTTTGCTGTATCCCATAGGCTTTGGTATGTTGTGTCTCCATTTCCATTTGTTTAAAGAATTTTAAAATTTTTCTTCTTAATTTTTTCATTGACCAATCAGTCATTCAGGAGCATATTGTTAAATTTCCATGTGTTTGTATAGTTTTCAAAATTCCTCTTGTTATTGATTTCTAGTTTTATTTCATTGAGGTCAGAGAAGATACAGAAGACTATTTCAATGTTTTTGAATTTATTAAGACTTGTTTTATGGCATAATATATGGTCTATAGTTGAGAATAAATTATGTGCTGAGGAGAAGAATGTGTATTCTGTAGCCACTGGATGAAATGTTCTGTAAATATCTATTAGGTCCATTTGTTCTAGAGTGCAGATTAAGTCCAATGTTTCCTTGTTGATTTTCTGTCAGATGATCTGTTCAGTGCTGAAAGTAAGCTGTTGAAGTCTCCAGCTATTATTGTAATGGGGTCTATCTCTCTCTTTAGCTGTAATAATATTTACTTTATATGTATAGGTGCTTCAGTGTTGGGTGCATATATATTTACAATTGTTATATCCTGTTGCTGAATTTACCCGTTTATCATTATATAATGACATTTTGAGTCTATTTTACAGTTTTTGTCTTGAAATCTATTTTGTCTTATATAAATACAGCTACTCCTACTCTCTTTTGGATTTCCATTGGCATGGAATATCTTTTTCTATTCTTTTATTTTAGTCTATATGTGTCTCTTCAGCGGAAGTGTATTTCTTGTAGACAACAGAGAATTGGTTCTTGTTTTTATATTCTATCCATTCAATGATGCTACATCTTTTGATTGGAGAGTTTAGTCCATTTACATTCAATGTTATTGTTCATAAATAAGGACTGTTACTGCCGTTTTATTTGTTTTCTGGTTGTTTCTCGTTCTTTTTTTCCTTCCTTCACTCTTTCCTTCCTTCCTGTATTTCCATTTTAAAAGTGATTTTATCTCATGGTATGTTTCAATTTCTTGCTTTTTATTTTTTGTGTATCTGTTGTAGGATTTTTAATGTGAGATTACCATGAGGCTTGAACATAACATTGTATAGCACATTATTTCAAACTGATGACAACTTAACTCTGATTGCAAAGCAAACAAACAGACAAGCAAAGAGAAAAGAGATTATCTATTCAAACTTCTTCATTAGCAGATGAAAAACCTTAAATCCACAGACTTATCTTTATCTCTTTCTTGATGTGCTATGCTTCTACCCGTTGCTCAGTCAAGAGCCCTTTTCCCAACCACCTCATGCTTTTTATATCAAAATCAGTCAAGGAAATGTATAGACTTCATTCCTTTATGGTGGTATTTTCTGACAATGACCTTCCTTTCGTCCATTATTTTATGGTTCTTATGCCCCTGCCCAGTCCTGTCTCCCTGCTTTTTGTTACTTGTCACCCACTTGTAAGTTATGATCCTTTCTCGTGAGCCTAGTCAGTACTTTTGTTGTAAGACAGTACAGACTCATTTTTTTCTTCTTCATCACTGATTACATATTAGAATATATGAGCATCTTCTTTTTAACAAAACAGCATTTTTCACAATCCCCACTGAATAGTCAGGAAGAATATACAAAGTCCTAGATCATAACATTGTTTAGAGTGACACAGAGAGAATTCAGAATGTCATTTGGGTTAGATTAGACAGAGAGATATCTCTTTATATTATAAATGCCAGTATTGCAGTTTCATATTTAGGCAAGTATTCACTGCAGAAATTTTATGATTAAATGGAATCAAGAAGAATGTCTGAGTATTGCTATTGTTTTCTTATAAGCATGCTGTTTCTAGATTGATCCCCAAAACCAAGACCCACTTTAGGCCTGCTCCTGAAAAGACTCCCAAAGCACATACAATAAGTAATAAGTTATTTGTGGATGGAATAAATTGGTGCCCTGAATGATGATAGCAAGTAGCCTAAGATCAGATATATGTATTTTTATATTATGGATATCTATAACTCCTAAAGACGTTTTTTAAACCCGATCTAAGAGCAACTCAAGGGAGTATGATCAAAAACTTCCCTGGGGCTCAGAATTATTCAAAGAGCTTAATAGAAACTAACATTGAAATTGTGTTGGCAGGTCGGGCTCGGTGGCCCAGGCCTGTAATCCCAGCCCTTTGGGAAGTTAAGGCAGGCAGATTGCCTGAGCTCAGGAGTTTGAGACCATCCTGTCCAAAATGGTGAAATCCTGTCTCTACTAAAAATAAAAAAATTAACCGGGCATGGTGATGCACACCTGTAATGCCAGCTACTGAGGAGGCTGAGACAGGAGAATCGCTTGAACCTGGAAGGCAGAAGTTGCAGTGAGCTGAGATCGCACCACTGCACTCCAGCCTGGATGACAGAGCAAGACTCCATCTCAAAAAAAAAAAAAAAAAAAAAAGAAAAGAAATTGTGCTGGCATCTGGGAATCTGCATTTTTACAAACTTCTCCAGGTAATTCTGCTCTTCAGTCAAGTAAGAAATCAAAGTCCAGCTACAAAACAAAATAATAGAGTTTCTTTCAAAAACTTCTTGTTCTCAATTTATGTATTGACAACTGCTCTCTATTTTTACTACCTTAAAGTGGGAAGAAGGAGAAGGAGGAGGAGGAGGAGGAGAAGAAGAGGAAAAAGAAGAGGAAGAAGAAGAGGAAGAAAGAAGAAGAAGAAGACCCTGAAGGCTTTCTTAGAAGAGGAAGAAGGAGAGGAAGAAAGAAGAAGAAGAAGGAGGAGAAGGAGAAGGAGAAGGAGGAGAAGGAGAAGGAGAAGAAGAAGACCCTGAAGGCCTTCCTAGGTCTCCAATGTGATACTAGTTGATATTACACAAATTCATTAAAAATAGGACAATACTTCCTAATTGAAGATTTTTTTTTCTTTTGTTGTACATTGCACAGCTGTATAGAATCAATGGTTATGAACTGAAACATTTGACAGCCACAGAGGAGAGAATGTCCCATGATCCACCCAAGCCAAGTAGCATTAAAAGGAGTTTTGTAAGAAATCATTCACTAATTCAATAAATATTTATTTTCTTACATGTTCAATGCACCATTCTACATGTTGTGACCTAATACATATAGTTTTTGTCCTAATGGAGGCACAGCCCAGATAAGAATTCTGTTCAATAAGTAAGTAACTGCAAGGCAATGGAAAGTGTGATGCTTGAGGAAGGACAGGTGCTATAAACATATACAGCAATGTCTTAGTCAGGAATCATTTGGATGCAAGCAACAGAAATCCACTAACAGTAGCAGAAATTGGTAATTTAACACATGGCTACAGGTAATTCTCACAAAACCCAGAGATTAGGAAGTGGAGCTGTAAGGAGGTATGGCGTCTGGTTTTTGTTATTTATCTTCCTGAGGATACATGATCTTGCACATTTTCTTCATTCTGGGCATTTTTTTTTCATTCTCTTTAGCCTGGTTTTCAGGTTTATGATTATTAATTCTCCATGCTCCACAATGGCACTCCAACTGAGTTTATCTCCCTTCCAATTTTTAATACTAACTTAAAATGGATTATTATTTTAGTTTCCAAACCAAATTCCCAGGAAAGAAGCAGACTGGCCTCTTTCAGCTTTGCACCCACGTGGGCTAAGAAAACACCTCAAGTTAGGTCTATTTTAAAGGATGCCTTATAATGATTAGGGGGATAGTATCCTAGAGGAAATGGCAACTAACTGAGGCTGGATAGAGATAATATTATCAAAATCCTGCGGAGGAGGGTCATAGCACCTTTGGAGCACTGAAAGAAGTAAAGGATAGCTAGAACTTAGAAATGGTGGGAAGAGGGAGGGGACAATAGGTTAGAAGTTGAGGCTGGAGGGGAAAGTAGAAGCCAAATGACAAAGGATCTGGAAGGCCATGCTAAGGGACTGGGCTCTAGTGAGGTGGTCCTCCTGGATGTAAACTTCAGCAGTAAGAATGTCCCTACTCCTCAAATCACATCCTTCATACAGCTATGCCAGAATGTTTAGGTTTGGTTTATGGCCATATGGCTTTCTCTCCTGTCTCTTGCTATAAGTGTCCTTTTTTGGGCCTTTCCTGGATCTTGCCTGACATGCAAGTATATAGAGTCATGTTTTTTCACATAAATGGAAACATGTTTAATTTATATTACTTTTCTAGTGATGCCCAACATGTCTTTAACTTCTTTGATGTGTACACACAAAATAAAAGCCAAGTCCCTTGGTTGAGCCACATATTTTTATTTCCAGAAAGGGATATAAATAAAATGAAAGATAAACTAGGCATTAGAATAACTTATCTATTTTCACTTTTCTTTGAGATTTGTCCTCAAGCATGACTAGGAAGGTCATAATGTGACAATTTGGAAAATCTCATTTCAAAGCAATTATCCCAAAAATAATAAGGGAAAATAAACACTAAGATAAGGGACACTGACAAACGAGATGCCAGCTCAATGAGTTGAATTTGGCTTTCACAACGCATTTAAGCAGGACATTCCTGTATTTTGAAATGTTTTACGACAATCCCCACTCCCAGCCCATTTGTTAAACCATGCAGGTTTTTCCAGGCTGTTTCTTCACATCCATCAATTGTGGTTCCAGAACTGAAAACCTGTAACTGACTTCCTCCCACTAGTTCCCTCTCTTTCATCTGCCTGAATTTTCCTTTTGTGCTTCTGATTACACTTTCTCATTTTCACCATTCAATAAGCCTTGCTTAGAACTAACTGTCTTATTGAATTCCTTTTCCACTAGTTTCTGATCATTTTAATTCTGGACTGCTGAAAGATCATTTGCTTGAGTCAGACCAGATATTCAACCTATCTCTAAAACCTGACTTGGAAAAAATAAACAAGTTGTGTGACTTTAAATGGAAGCCCCCTTTCTCGGACCCAATGTCATTGATGTCCTTTTCTTTCAGAGGCTTGAGACAAAGGCAAAGTCAGGCTTATGTAGGAAGTTTGCTACTTTGAGACAAATAAGGGTACACTAGGTGGAGAGGATCCCCTAGAGGACAGCATGTGTGGTTGTCACCTCTTTGTTCTCTGAAGCAAATGAACACACCAACTGTGGACTGTTTTCTAAGAGTGTGGTTAAATGCACATCTTGGAGGGGCTGAGTGGGTGATTACTCTCTGATTTCTGTCTGACTCCCTGCTTAGGACAGGGAAAATAAAAGTTAACTAATTCTCAGGCAAAATGCCATTCTTTTTTCTTGGCAGATCCTAAAGGCCACTGTCTTTAATAATTTAATGTGAAGGGTAAATTCCAGATTAGAAAATATTGTTCTCATTGAAATTTTAACTTGCACACTTTAAGAATTTGAATTCTAGCAGATACTCTTTTTTTAACTGCTTGACTAAATTTTAAGGCTCTAGTATATTGCAATTTTCCTTAGCACACTTTCTGCTGCTGGCTCAAATCTATCATTGAGCTGACTTCTACCGAAACTGGCACTTCATGAATAATTCACACTTACGGAAGTACGAAGTCCATAAAAAATTATTATTTTTGCTACTGACTTGAATAGCCAAGATACTTGTCATCTCTCAACATTAATTTTTGATGGCTTGTTCCAAGAATAACAAAAAATGAAGCCAAAGAGGCTGAAAGGACAATAACAACATCTCTTTTTGTACCTGGAGATATACAACTCCAGTTTTCTCTGACACACAAATTAGCATCTCAGAGGAAGGAACCGTGGCACCAAGGGATGACAGATCCCAAAATGGTAACACTAAAACCAAAATGCAATGAATATTTTGCCATTAAACAAGATAGGTTCTAAATAGATTAAATGTTTATTAAACTAAATTAGTGTTTTTAAATAGTTAAAAGATTTAGAACTTAAATCCCAGTAATATTTCTCAGCAGTTAGAACCAAAAATAAATTCAAGTCCTCATAATTACCTATAAAGATTATAGTTTGCAAAACAAGCACACTGATTTTTAGAGAAGGGAGAAAGAATAGACTTAACAATCCTCCATATTTTCCAAACACAATTTTGCATTAAGCAATCTTCTGGACCTATGTGAAAGTTATTCATCAGAATATTTGCATTTTTATTTTTTGCTCTTTTTATATATCTTGTGACTATATAATATACCTGATGTCAGAAGAAAATTCTGCTTTGTGTGGTTCACAGCAACTTTTCCCCAGAGGAACTTGCAGGACTTTCTAGATCTAATGTGTATAGCCAGCAAGCTTTCTGTTACGTTGTAAAGTGGAATAATATGTAAACATCATTAACACCTTTTTCATTCATGCACCCAGCTGTATTTTCATTTCCTTGATTTATTAGATATAGTGTTCACTTTTATGGTCTCCATTGTCTGAAAATAAAAGGACAATATAAAAACACAGAAACAACATTATAGAGTTTTTCTGTCTTCTAGTTTCTTTATTTAATCAAACCAGTGCTAAAATGGATCATTTAACTATTAGCAGCTTCTAGAAAAATATAAATACATAATTTTTTTTTCTGTCCTATACTAAGTTGTAGATCTTGTCATGCTGTGATATATACTCTTCTCCAAGGTATGATTAAGGAGTTCCTTCATTAAAAAATTAATTTTTCCAGAGTGAGATCACCAAGATGGTAAAATAGAAAGTAAACCATGGCTGGGCGCAGTGTCTCATGCTTGTAATCCCAGCAGTTTGGGAGGCCAAGGCAGGCGGGTCACTTGAGATCAGGAGTTTGACACCAGTCTGGCCAACATGGTGAAATCCCATCTCTTCTAAAAATACAAAAAATAGCTGGGAGTGGTGGCATACCTGTAATCTCAGCTACTCAGGAGGCTGAGGCCGGAGAATCACTTGAACCCAGGAGGCGAAGGTTGCAGTGAGCTGAGATCACACCACTGCACTCCAACCTGGGTGACAGAGCTAGTCCCCGTTTCAAAAAAAAAAAAAAAGAAGGTAATCCATTTATCGCCCCCAGAATATGAAGAACTGTATACCCATCCACAGTCAAAAGTCTCTCTATGGGAGCCTCAGGATGTAGGTAGGAGTTTGTGAAATCACAGTGGAGCCCAAGACCTAGGAGAGTTGTTTTGAGACTACAGACTGACATCTAGTTGGCAGATCTACCCTGGCACACTTGTTTCTGGGTTCAAGCCCATAAATAGCCTAGTCTCCCAAGGGGCTTGGTTATAGCTTCATTTAGCCTTGAGTCTACAACCAAAACCATCTTCCCAGGCATCCAGAAGAAATCATGCACACTAATGCCTTGGTGGAAAGAATTGTTGGTTGGCAGACTGACATCAGTCTCAGCAGTGAACCTGAAAGTTGTCCTGAGGGGCTGCCCCAGGCTTCCCCAGCTGAGGTCCCAGCTCAGAGCTACAAGAGGACCCAGAGGGAGTCGTAAATCCTATATCACCTATATATCCCTGCCTCAGGGTTTGAGTCTCCCTGATGGGCTCACCAACCTCTAACCCACAGTAGATCTCAAGGGGACCCAGTGTCAGCTCCAGCCCCTCTCACTGCAGTGAGGGAACTATCCCATCTGTGCTGAGATCTGCTGGGAGATATGTAACTACCTGCACCAATGACATGGGCTCTCCAGTCTCTGTCCTACAGAAGATCGTGAGGGCCCAGTCTCAGCTCTGGCCCTTCTTGCTGCAGTCAGGTAACTATTCTGTCTGTGCAGCATCCTGGTAGGAGACAGGTGCCCCTCTGGAACAACAAGACTGGGCTCTCTGGCCTCAGTCTCATAGCAGATCTTGAAGGGGCCCAGTCTCAGCTCTTGCCATTCTCACTGAAGTTGGGGAATAATCTTATCTGTGCTGAGACCTGCTGGAAAACATGTACCTGTATGGGCAAAAAAGAGATTTTCCAGCCTCTGTTTCACAGGAAATCTTGAGGGGCCCAGTTCAGCTTCAGCCCCTTCTGATGAAATCAGGGAATTATACCATATGTTCAGAGAACTGTTGGAAGATGCATCTTTATCTAAGCCAATGTAACAAGCATGCCATCCTCCATCCAGAAGAGATCCTGAAGTGGTATAGTCTCAGCTCTGGCCACTTCTGCTGCAGCTGGGGAACTATCCTATGTTTGAGAGAACTTGCTGGGTGATGCATACCCCTCTGAGACAAAACAAGGCTCTCTAGCCTCTGTCTAACAGCAGATATCAAAGTGGCCCAGTCTCAACTCCAGTCCTTTTCACTGCAGTAAGGGACCCATTTTCTCTCTGCCGAGACCTGCTGGGAGGGACACATGTCTAGGTCACCAGGACAGTCTTCTGGACTCAGGTCCCTGACCAGCACTCCCATACAGCTCCAGTACTTCTCTGGGTCTTTGTCAGGTCCACGTGGGCCAGAAAGCTACATCAACCTTGGAGCCCCTGTGAGATTTGCAACAAGCCTGGACTTAGAATATCTCTAGTGCTGAGACAGCTGCAGTGGTCAAAGGCTCAGGGAACAAAACAGTCAGTTGCCCAACAGTCCCTTGAAGGCCCTCTGAAGAAGGGCAGACAGAAACAAAGCTAGATTACAAAGACTAAAATAAATAACGGATCCCTCAATGTGCAGACTTTCACAAGCATGAAGAACATTCAGGGAAATATGACCTCACCAAACAGACAAAATAAGGTGCCAGAAGGCCAGGTGTGGTGGCTCACACCTGTAATATCAGCACTTTGGGAGGCCAAAACAGGAGAATTGCTTGAGCCTAGGAGTTTGAGACCAGCGTGGGCAACATAATGAAACCTCATCTCTACAGATAATTAAAAAAATTAGTTGGGTGTGCTGGCATGTGTTGTGGTCCCAGCTACTTGGGAAGTTGAGTCAGGAGGATTGCCTGAGCCTGGGAGTTCAAGGCCACAGTGAGCTGAGATCAAGCTATAGCATTTCATCCCGAGTGAGAGAGTAAAGCCCTGCCTCAAAAAAGAAAATGATAAAGATAAAAATGTGGGATCTCTCAGACAAAGAACTCAAAAAAATAGCTGTATTAAGGAAGCTCAGCAAACTTCAAGAACACACAAAGATTCAATTCAGAAATTTATCACAAAAATTAACAGAGAGATAAAATGTTTTTTGAAAAATTCTGAAGCTGAAAAATGCAATGCATGAAATTTAAAAATGCAATAGAAAGCATCAAAGCAGAATTGATCAAACAAAAAAATCAGTGAGGTAGAAGACAGAGTATTTAAAAATACACAGTCAGAGGAGAAGAAAAATAAAAAGGAAAGAACAAAGCTTACAGGATCTATGGGACAATATCAAGAGGGCAAATATTTGGGTTCTTGGAGTTAAAGAAGGAACCAAAGAAGAAAAGGGGTAGAAAGTTTATTCAAAGAAATAATAACAGAAAACTTTCTAAATCTGAAGGAGAATAAATATCCAGGTACAGGAAGGTCAAATGTCACCAATCAAATTCAACCCAAATAAGAATACCCTAAGACATAATTAAACCCACAAAAGTCAAAGAGAGGATCCTGAAAGCAGTGAGAGAAAATAAACAAATAACATATAAGGGAGATCTGCTATGACTGGACACAGATTTCTCAGCAGAAACCCTACAGACCAGGAGAGAGTGGAACAATATATTCAGAGTGCTAAAAGAAAAAAAAGAAAACAAATTGTCAACCAAAAATACTGTACACCGCAAAGCTAGCCTTTAAAAATGGACTAACAAAGACTTTTCCAGATGAACAAAAGCTGAGGGAATTTATAGCTACCAGGCCTGTCCAACAAGATATGCTAAAGGGAGTTATTAAAAATGAAACAAAAGGATCCTAACATGATTGTTATGGTAATACTGTACTCATGATGTTTAGATTGCTTATATCTTTAGTCTAAGAAGACTCAAATACAAAGCTATTAAAAATAATAACTACAACTTAAGAGGTGGGCAGTATAAAAAATGTAAATTGTGACAATGAAAATTCAAAACGTGGGAGAATGAAGTTAGTGTGTACAGGTTTGCATTTTGAGGTTTCTTTATTTTCTTCTTGCAATCAAAGTTAAGTTGGTATCAGTATTAAATACTTATTATAACTATAGAATGTTTTTTGTAAGGTTATGATAACCACAAAGCAAAAACCTATAACAGATAATGTAAAAGTAAAAAACAACAAATTTAAACATATACTACAAAGGAAAGTCACTTAACCAAAAAGGAAGACTGGAAGAAAGGAAGAGAGGAGTTACAAAACATAAGGAAAATAAGTAACGAATAGGCAGTAGTAAGTCCTTACCTGTTAATAATAATATTGAATGTAATTGGACTAAATTCTCCAATTAAAAGACATAGAGTAGCAAATAGATTAAAAAACAGGACCCAACTATGTGATGCCTACACAAAACTCACTTCATCTATGAATAAACACATAGACTGAAAGTGAAGGAATGGAAAAAGGCATTCCACACTAATGGAAATCCAAAAAGGGACAAAAGTAGCTACACTCATATCAGATAAAGTGAACTTTGAGTCAAAACTGTAAAAAGAGACACAAATAGTCATTATATAATGATAAAGGAGTCAACTCAGCAAAATGTTTTAACAATAATAAATATATGTGCACCCAACACCAGAGCACCCAGACATATAAAGTGTATGTTAATAGATCTAAAGGGAGAGATACACTGCAATACAATAATAACATGAGACTTCAACACTCACTTTCAGCAATGGACAGATCATCCAAGCAGAAAATCAACAAGAAAAATTACAATTAAACTATACTCTCAAACTGACCTAACAAACATTTAGAGAACAAGTCATTCAATGGCTACAGAATATTTTTCTTATCAACACATGAAACATTCTCCAGGAAAGATCATATGCAGGACCACAAAACAAGTCTCAAAAAATTCAGAAAAGTCAAAATCTATTTCATATATTTTCCAACCACAACAGAATAAAACTAAGAATCAATAACATAATGAATTTTGAAAACTGTCCAAATACATTAAAAGAAAATAACATGCTCCTGAACGACCAATGAAGTCAATAAATAAAAGAAGAAGAAATTTTAAAATTTTCTTGAAACCAAGGAAACACTACATTCCAGAACCTATGGGATACAGCAAAAATGGTACTAAGAGGGAAGTTTATAGCAATAAATGCTTACATCAAAAAAATAGAAAGACTTCAAATAAAGAACCCAACAATGTACCTAGAGGAACTAGAAAATCAAGAACAAAGCAAATCGAAATTGGTAGAAGGAAGTAAATAATAGAGATTAGGGCATAAGTAAATAAAATTGAGACTAAAAAAATACAGAAGATTGACAAAAGAAAAAGTTTTTTAAAATACAAAATTGACAAATATTTAGCTTGACTAACCACAGAAGAAAGAGGATTCAAGTAAATAAAACCAGAGATGAAAAAGGAAACATTGCCACTGAAACTACAGAAATACAACAAATCGTTAGATATTAATATGAGCAATAACATGCCAACAGATTAGACAACCTAGAGGAAACGGATAAAGTCCTGATATTAATACATATAATCCATCAAGTTTGACCCATGAAGAAATGGAAAACCCAAACAGACCAATAATGAGTAACAAAATCTAAGGAGTAACAAAAAGTTTACCACCAATGAAAAGCCCAGGAAATGATGGATCCAGTGCTGAATTCTACCAAACATTTAAAGAAAAGCTAATACCAATTCTACTCAAACTATTTCAAAAATGGAAGAGGAAGTAATATTTCCAAACTCAACATATTAGCCACCTGATACCAAAACCAGACAAGGACACACACACACAAAAGAAAAATACAGACCAAAATCCCTAAAAAACATAGATACAAAAATCCTCAACAGTACACTAGCAAATAGAATGCAACAACACATTAAGAAGTTCCTTCACCATGATCAAGTGGGATTCATCCTAGGGATGCAAGAATGGTTCAACATATACAAATCAATTAATATGATACATGGTGTCAACAGAATGAAGGACAAAACCCATATGGTCATTTCAATAGATGCTGAAAAAGGCTTCAATAAAATTAAATGTCCCTCCATGATGAAACACGGAAGAAATTGGATTTAGAAAGTCAACATGATAAAGATCATATATGACAAGCCCACAGCTAATACCACACTGAATAAGTAAAAACTAAAATCCTTTCTGCTAATGAGTGGAACAAAGCAAGGATGCCCACTGCCACTACTTTTATTCAACATGGTACTGGAAGTTCTAGCCTGAGCAATTAGGCAAGAAAAGGAAATAAATAACATCAGAATTAAAAAAGAAGAAGTAAAATTATCCTTGTTTGCAGACTCCACCAAAGACCTCTTAGAACTGGTACACAAATTTACTAAAGTTGCAGGATACTGACAAAAGTCAGTAGCATTTCTATATGCTAATAGCAATCAATCTGAAAAAGAAATCAAGAAAGCAATTCTCTTTCCAACTTTATGAAAAATATACCTAGAAATAAATTTAATCAAAGAAGTAAGATCTCTACAAGGAAAACTATAAAACATTAATAAAAGAAATAAGAACACACAAAAATGGAAAGGTATTTCATGCTCATGGATTGGAAGAATTAATGTTGTTAAAATGTGTATACTACCCAAAGTGATCTACAGATTCAGTGCAATCCTTATCAAAATTCCAATGACATTCTTCATGGAAATTGGAAAAACAATCTTAAAATTTGTATGGACCCACAAAAGCTAAGGCAATACTGAGAAAAAAAAAACAAAGCTAGAGGCGTAATAGCATGGTGCTGGCATTAAAACAGACACATAAATCAATGGAACAGAATAGAGAACCCAGGAATAAATAAACACCCTTACAGCCAGACAATTTTCAACAAAGGCAGAAAGAACATACATTTGGGAAAGGACAGTCTATTCAATAAATAGTGCTGGGAAACTGGATATTCACATGCAGAAGAATGAAACTAGATCTCCATCCTTCACCATACACAAAAAATCAACTCGAAATGGATTAAAGTCTTAAATGTAAGACTTGAAACTATAAAAGTACTAGAAGAAAACATTGGGGAAATGCTCCAGGACATTGGTCTGGGCAAAGATAATTTGTGTAAGACCTCAAAAGCACAGGCAACAAAAGCAAATCTAGACAAATGGGATTACATCAAGTTTAAAAGCTTCTGCATAGCAAAGGAAACAATCAACAAAGAAAAAACTCACAGAATGTGAGAAAATATTTGTAAGCTATCCATTCCATAAGAGATTAATAACCAGAACATACAAGGAACTCAAGACAACTGAACAACAAACAAACAGATAATCTGATTAAAAAATGGGCAAAATATCTGAATGGACATTTCTAAAAAAAGACACACAAATAACTAACAGGTATATTTAAAAATGCTCAACATCATTAATCATCAGGCAAATGTAAATCAAAACTGCAGTGATACGTCATCTTACACCAGTTAGAATGGCTATTATCAAAAAGACAAAAAATAACAAATGCTGGTGAGGATGCCGAGAAAAGGGAACACTCATATACTGTTGGTAGAAATGTAAAGTAGTACAGCTATCATGGAAAACAGTATGGAGGTTCATCAAAAAACTAAAAATTGAGCTACCATATGATCCAGCAATCTCACTGCTGGGTATATATCCAAAAGAAAGGAAATCACTACACCAAAGAGTTAACTACACTTCCGTGTTTATTACAGCACTATTCATAATAGCCAAAATATGAAGTCAACCTAAGTGTCCATCAGTGGATGAATGAATAAAGAAAATGTGGTATTAATGAACAATGGAAAAGAAAACAAAATGAAATCCTGTCATTTGCAGCAACATGGATGGAAGTGGAGGTCATTATGTTAAGTGAAATAAGCCAGGCCCAGAAAGACAAATATTGCTTGTTCTCCCTCATAGGTGGGAGTTAAAAAAGCAAACCTCATGGAGATAGAAAGTAGAATGGTGGTTACCAGAAGCGGTGAAGGGAAGAGGGAAGGGGAAAAACAAGAGAAAACTGGTTAATGGGTACAAAAATACAATTAAATAGAAGAAATAAATTCTAATATTTAATAGTACAGTAGGAAATTTTAGTCAATAGTAATATGTTGTACATTTCAAAATAGCTAGAAGAAAAGAATTGTAATGTTCCCAATACAAAAAAAGATTAATATTTGAGTTGATGGCTATCCCAATTACCCTGATTTGATTATTACTTATTGTTCACATGCATCAAAACATTACATGTACCCCCAAATATGCACAATTATAATATATTAATAAAACATTCAAACAAGTATTTTTTGAATCACTATGCTATAAGATCATTTCCTCAGGAGTAGAGCAAAGAGGAGCCAAAGCATCATGCAATCATTTAACAATTTGCAGTGTTCCCATAAAAGATAAGATTTTGAGATGATTCTAAATGCTTAGTTCTAAGCAGACTCTGATTTGACAGGTAAGATAGAGAAACTGATGAACACCCCTCTTTCTGGCATAGTGTTGTCAAAATGTTTCAAGGCTATACAAATGAAGATTCCAACAATAAGTTCCAACCGTCTACCGTTCTCCACAAAATTCTTCTTGTGTTAAAAACTTTAGTCTGTCGTTTATTTATCAGAACATATACCACACAACTCTGTGGAGATGCTTCCCTGTGCCAGTGACACTCTGGGCTCTCCATACTTTTACTTTTTAGAAGTTCTGAGGCAAAACACGCTTACACTTCTCAAACAAAGCATTAGTCCCTTGAGATGAGGAGGAAATAAGTACTAGTGTCCTTTTTTTCAACAGGGAAACTGGACAGGGAAAAGTAATGTGTTAGCTAAATCTCTGTTTGCTGAAGCAAAAGGCAATAAATAAATAAATAAATAAATAAATAACATTATCCTTTTATTTATAAGGATAATTATAAATAAAGGGTAAAGGGGCAATTTTCCAGGTAATTTGTACAAAACCATTTGATGTCTTGAATAATATGGGAATGTTTCAGTACTACGTATTTGCAATCTCTATTTTAGTTTTAGAGATAGAGACACAAAAGGATTAGAAGATTGAGCACCATATTTTTATAACTCCACATTTCAATTTCCAGAGATCCTTAAGCTATTGTAGGATGGAAGCAAAATCAGTGCTGGTGTTTTTAACTGTATATTAATTTACCTATTTCCAAAATCTGGAAGAAAACAGATAGAATAGTGCTTTGCTTGAAAGAGTGTTTTGTGAAAAGAACAAACATTCATTTGGGAGTTCTCATCTCTAGCTTGCTTTTCTTTATGGAACTGACAGCATAGATAATATTGTAGAAGCAGAAGTAAAGTGACAGTGAATTGAACCACATGGCATCATTAAACAGGTGTGTCTGACCATCCCAATCAGCAAACTGCAATTTAGATAAGGAGAATTGTGGAAACAATATATGTGTAGTTTGCTTTCTAAATAAGTAAATATGGGTGAACAAGGTACCAGTCATAGACATAAATGTAAGAACTAAAATTATAAAACTTTTGGAAGAAAAACTAGGAGCAAATCTTCCTGACTTTGTGTTAGGCAAGGGTTTCTTAGCTATGCCATCAAAAGTGGCAAAAGTAATAAATAAATGAATAAATTGGACTTCATCAAAATCAAAATATTCTGTGCTTCAAATCATCAAGAAAGTGAAAAAACCACAGAATGGGAGAAAATATTTATGTTTTATATATAGTAAAAGACTTGTATCCAAACTATGCAAAGAACTCTTAAACTCAGCAATGAAACCACAAAAAAACCTATCTTGCAAATGCACAAAGGATTTGAATAGATATTTCTCCAGAGAAGATACACAAATGGCCACCAAGCTCATGAAAAGATGCTTACCATCATTATTCATTAAGGAAATGCAATGCAATGAGATCCCATTCACAGCAACAACGAAACAAAACTTCACACTAAGGACAGGGCTCGGTGGCTCACGCCTGTAATCCCAGCACTTTGGGAGGCTGAGGCGGGTGGATCACGAAGTCAGGAGATTGAGGCCATTCTGGCTAACACTGTGAAACCCCGTCTCTACTAAAAATACAAAAAATTAGCCGGGAGTGGTAGCGGGCGCCTGCAGTCCCAGCTACTCGCGAGGCTGAGGCAGGAGAATGGCGTGAACCAGGGAGGCGGAGCTTGCAGTGAGCCGAGATCGCGCCACTGCACTCCAGCCTGGGCGACGGAGCGAGACTCCGTCTCAAAACAACAACAACAACAACAACTTTACACTAAGGTGGCTAAATTAAAAAGACAGACAGCTAACAAGTGTTGGAAAGGATGTGGAGAAATTGGAAACTTCACATATTGCTGGTGGGAAAATGAAATGGCACAGCTATTTTGGAAAAACAGTTTTGAAGTTTCTCAAACTCTTACACATAGAGTTACTACATGACCCAGCAACTCTCTGCTCAGTAAAAACTCAAAAGAATTTAAAACATACGTCCACACAAAACTTTCTCCCTGAATGTTCATAACATATTCACAATAGCCAGAAAGTGGAAACACCCACATAATCAGTTGGAGGGTACATGAACAAATAGTAATGGAAATTTGTTTGTGGATTAACAGCTGTGCCGTGAAATTTTATTTGGCCCTACAAAGTAATGTGATAACTGTTACAACATGATGAACCTTGAAAACATTATGCTAAGTCAAAGAAGCCAACACGAAAGTTAATGTATCGTATGATTCCATTTATATGAAATGTCTGGAATAGGTGAGTTCATAAACACAGAAAGTACATCCGTGATTGCAGGGGCTGGATGGAGGGTGGTATGGGGTAAGACTGCTAATGGACATGGGGTTTCTTTTTGGATGATGAAAACTTTCTAAAATTAGCAATGATAGATGCAAAACCCTGTTAATATACTAAAAGCCACTAAATTGTACTCTTTAAAATGATGAGTATTTTGGTATGTGACTTATAATAAAGTAGTTATTTTTACAAGTTGTGAATAAGGAGTACAGTTTGGGTGGCTGGGAAGCAGGGAAGCAGGAATGACAAAGAAGATGTGATCAAATTCTCTGCAGGTCATAGAATCTTTACTGAGTTTTTTTTTTTTTTTTTTTTTTTTAGAATGCTCTTTTCATGTTTTGTGTTCCTCCACTGGACTTAATCTAATGCATCCAAAGCATGAGAAGAAAGAGTCCTGTTCCCAAGTACCAGGGAAATTGGGCATTGCTTCCAGAAGACATGAAGAAACCTGCAGCAGATTCTACTCTGGATTTTGCACAAGATCGTGTTTCAAGTCAAGGTGAACCCCAGAAACTGAGAAAGTCAATCCACTCAAGAGAAAATGCTCAACTAAGGAGGAGATAAAGTTCATTTCTTCTGTGATTTGATTTTTTTTCCCTTGCAAATAGAAATCACATTCATTCAAAATCAAAGACATTGAATTAGCTGCATAAGAAGTCATGGATAATTCTTTAAAGATATAGAATCACACAGATAATGGCAAGTGTTGGTGAGGCTTTAGAATAACTGGAATTCTCATACTTTGCAGGTGGGAGTGAAATATGGTTCAGCCTCTTGGGAAAACAGTTGGGCCTTTTTTTATGAACTTATTCGTACACTTTTAGTGCATGACCCAGCAGCCCTACTTCTAAGTACTTACCTCAGAGAAATCAAAACATATTCACACAATAACTTGTATGTGAATTTTTTAAAGGCTTTATTTGTAATCACCCAAAACTGGAAACAAATATCCCTCAGTTGAGGAAAAGATCCCTCAGTTAAGGAAAAGATAAACAAATTGTACATTTGTACCATGTGATACTATTCACCAGTAAAAAACAATGAACTGATTCCTGCAACAAGGTGGATGAATCTTAAATCCATTTTTCTAAGCGAAAGAAGCCAGGCTCAAAGGGTTACATACTTATATAAGATACCACTCGTATAAGATTCTTTTAAACACAAAACTACAGGGACAGAAAACATATCAGCACTGGATAGGGGTTAGGGTGGGAAGAGGGGTTGATTACAAAGTACAAAAGACATTTGGGACAATGACAGAACCATTCCACATCTTGATTGTGGTGATGGTGACATGGCTGTATACATTTCTCAAAACTCACAGAAAAATGCGTGACTTTTACTACATGTAAATTATACCTTAATACAAATATGGGAAAAAAATTCCAATGGACTTACTCACTTTTAAAGACAACATTACTTGATTATGTGGGCCTGGAACAATAATTAAAAGTGTTAGTTTGTGATCAAACAAAATGCTGTTAATAAAAAATCTGTGAGATTTCTGAAAACATGTATATATTATATATAATATATAACTACATATTTTACACACACACACACACTTACATATAACATCTGTAGGTAATTTTTTTTTTTTGAGACGGAGTCTCGCTCAGCTGCCCAGGCTGCAACCGTCTCCTGGGTTCATGCAATCCTCCCGTCTCAGCCTCTAGAGTAGCTGGGATTACAAGCACCCGCCATCATCCCTGGCTAATTTTTGTATTTTAGTAGAGATAGGGTTTCATCATGTTGGCCAGGCTGGTCATGAACTCCTGACCTCAGGTGATCCGCCCACCTTGGCCTCCCAAAGTGCTAGGATTATAGGCGTGAGCCACCATGCCTGGCCTTCTGTAGGTAATTCTAAGTGAATCATCTGGACTTGCTTCAGATAGAGAATAATTTTGGTTAAACTAGGGCTAAAAATGATTCATTGAGTTTTTCCTTTGGAGAAACATAATCATTGTACTTAATCAGAAAACGTTATTAATACATTGCTGAGAATGAAGAATCACAAAGATGTTTTTGTTTATTTTTGTCCCTGTTACAAAATTCTACAAGTCTCTGCAAGCATGTTACCTTTATAGTTATGTTCCAGGGAAGGAAAAAAAAACTGAGGTAGAAATTTTTAGTCCTGAAGTGACATTAGCAAAGATTTCATAAATTTGAGTGACAGATGGTATATGGTATTTATGAGCCCAGTTGTTGAATGCTTACAGAGTGACTCATGTTGTTTATCCAAGGGGAAGGAATGGCATTATCTTGTATAAAACGTTGCCGTGCTGCAGAAAGACTACAAATCTCACTCATCCTTGAGCCCGTCTCCTTTCTAGTTGTATTAGTAATAGGCAAAGTTTCTTTTGTTCAAGTTATTTACCACATCTAAGTCTTTTAATGTAGCTTTTATATGCTGGACCAAATGTTTATTCCAAATGGAAAACAACTGAATTGTGTTTGCACGAATATGTTTTAACCTATTGTTTGTCACGTGTAGAAAGAGTGTCCGTATACATGGATACATTTATGAAATTTGCTTACATATGGTATTTGGATTTGAGTAAACCAGACTTTTCATGTTTTGGTTTCCCTTAATCAAAAAATAAAATTCTATTAAAGTAGAGGGAAAATAAAGAAGCATTTAATGGTATTCATGGATTTTGTATAATTGGTAACAATACCTGTGGTAGTGTAGCAGAAAAAGAGTTTTAGCAACTCTTAGTCATCACAGTTTGTAGATCAAATATTACATATATGATGATGATGTGATTCAAATTTGGAACTATAGCTGGGGACTGCTGAAGGTTGCCTGCAGCTTATGAGATATTTTGGAATAGCACTATTACAAATATTTTAGATGCATTTTTTTTCATTTTCACTATTAGTTTTGATTGTTGAGGCCCGTAACAGATTTCAACTGAGTGGATTACAAGCCTGTAAATGTAAAAAGGGCAGGGAATTCCCAGATCTAAAGTTTAATTTTTGGGGGGGAAAAGTGTTCAGATGAAGAGCAAAGATAACAAGTTTGAGGTACAAGACTGAAATTGGAGCTGAGGTCTTTGGGACATGGGGTTTTTCCTGTCACTCAAGAGTCTGGGCATTTTAAGGAGAATCAAAGTGGAATCCATGCATGTGAATCTGATGGTGGCTCTTCTGGCTGTTCTCACCCTGCTGTGCAGAGATGAGGTGGTCTGTGGAGAAGCTCTTGGAGACTGCTGTGGGGAAAATTGCTTTATGGAAATGAGGTTGTCATTTTTTGATAATAGCAAAGATACCTAGATATTTCACGTTTAAAAAACTCCAAACAGTAAAATTTGGTTATTTGTCACTACCCTA
Organism: Homo sapiens; assembly: GCF_000001405.40. Classification (NCBI taxonomy): domain Eukaryota; kingdom Metazoa; phylum Chordata; class Mammalia; order Primates; family Hominidae; genus Homo; species Homo sapiens. The sequence continues at coordinate 33,696,149 of NC_000013.11, read as the reverse complement.
CACTGCTTCAGTTCACTCCAACATCTTCACAGGAGCTCTCCACCCTGGCCTGGAGTCAGAGGAAAGAACAGTGTTGCTGGAATCCATGTAGTTGAGGCTCAGCTTGATTTTACCTTCTTTATGGATGCACCTTAGTGTGTGTGAGTATGGCTGCAAACCAAATTCAAAATGAAGGGGAAAAAGCCAATTTGAGAGCCTTATACTAATGAGAACATATATTATGAGAGATTCCTGGCAAATTGTATTTTATTTCTAAGATGTCACTTCCCCATGGTAGAAAATTGCATAAGGGCTCTAGGTCTGAAATCTAAGAGTTACCATATATTTTTGGATGAAATGTTCTGAATCCCACTCTGTAGAGTCTATTCAGACCAAAGTTAAGGACCACGTTATTTACCATTTACCACCCAGGCAAGGGAAATCCAGCCTTCTCCTTGGGGAAGCAGATGATGATTTGTTGGTGGACCTGCAATATTTGCCATCCTATTGACTGGCGTGGTTGATCCAGATTATCTAACTGGATGGGGGTGCCCTTTCTTCCTGAACACTCATGTGGGCACTGCTCAAAGCTGCCTGATACCTGCTAGACCAAAGAAAGGAATCGAAAACTCATTCCATCCCTAAAAAACCAACTAGAGTCAAAGTGTAACAGCTTTAACTATGACATAATAGTAAGATCAGAATTCTTATTCTGCCATAATCTTAGAAAACCAGGTCAATATCTTGATTGCATCACTAGATTCTGGGTCGCGTCTGGTATATGAAGAAAGAACAGTGTAAGTTCAGTGTGCTCAGGGATTGAGCTCTGCCAAAAGCACCAACTGAAAAAGAAATTCTACACACTAAGGACTCTTGGGGAAAGAGAATGTTTCTCCCTTACCTAATAAGCGGTGCTTCTCAGGCATGGATAGAAAACAAATATCACCATTTCCTGTTCCATAAAATGAAGATAATATAGGATGTGGAGGAGGATAAACTGGCTGGGTTGATGTATATACACCCTTAGCATGGTATATAGCTAACAGTAAGTGTTCAAAAAAGGGTAGCTCTTTCTATTTCATTTTTCTCGTTAATGAAATAGAACACAGCAACAACTTATTATGGAAAAAAACATTAGGAATAAAGAAGCAAAGTGTATGTAATTCCTTGCTCTATCTTTTGGCATTTTGTTGACTTCAAAATTAGATGAGTCAATATTAACAGATTCCAGAATTATAAAATTTGAGAGTTAAAAGGCACCTTGTTCATCTGCTTATTGGTTTATTGAGTACCTACTATGTATTAGAAATAGAGATGTAAAGATGACTTAGACACTGCCTTGCCCTCCAGGAATATACACTCTAAGAGGAATGACTTGCAAACAATGTTAAAACAAAGAAGAAATACAGTGAGACAGACATGCAAAATGTATTAGGAAAGCATTGATGATGAAGACTTAACTCACTGAAGAGGTGAAGTCCTGGTTGTTAGGGAAAGCTACCTGGAGTCTATAAATGATGATGGTTGATTCAAGTTTTTATCTACAGCTGGTTAGTGAGGTATGGAATTTGTCCAGTGTCATGATAGGATGGGTTCAGGGCTATTGACAAGGCCTAGTGAGCTGAGGCCAGGAAAGGCCCTACTCAGGAAAGCAAGGAGTAATCCACCCACTTGCAGCTGTTGGCATCTGTAAGGCAGAATTGAAGATCAAGACAAAATAATATCCAAAGGACAGATATTATCTCAGAAAGTATCAGTACTAGGAATTTCAATCTAGTACATAAGGCACAGGAATTGTGGGAAAAAAAATAAATATTAGGTAGTGGTTCTGGGATATCAGTGCACTCACAGCCAGACTCTAGCCAGTGATTGAGGAAGCACAACATGAAATTCACCTCCTGGAAAGATCTGAAAAAATTCGAAAGGAAATCCCAGCCCCAGCTAAGAGGGCTGTGGTTTAGCTCAAGCCTTAGAGGGTCACCAGGGTAGACGGCATTGCATGCAGAGGTTGTGGTGTCGGGAGCAGGTTGGAGCCCCTGCTAGGTACTGGGCCAACAGTGTAAGAACGCAGAGCAAGTAGGGAAAGCACATACTCTGCAGCTGTCTCTGTGTAAGCTGATGCTCTGGGTGCACCTAATCTCAGCTCTTGATGGTGGTATGGATTAACCAACTGACCGGTTGCTTTCTACTTCACTTCATTTTCAATAAGACTTAAACTGACAATCAGCATGGCTAAAACCCATAGACCACTCAGATACTGACAGTTTATCCAGAGTTGCTGTTTGAGTTTAGATTGCATCTCCAGCTTGTATGTAATGGAAACAATTTATGTGGGTGTCTCATGTATGATGGAGAGACATGTAATGGGAAATTGGGGCACTTGACACTTCTAGGGGATAAGGAATTCGTATCTTGAGAAATACGATGGTTATGAATATGCCTTTAAATCTGAGTTCTTAGAGGCCTAGGTCAAGAATACCCAGAAATTAATAGGCCTACATCAGGGCTTGCACACAGTGGAAGCATGACTGATTTCTGCTATTCATGAGCACTCTACCACTTGCCATGCATGGTGTGTCACAGCTACTGTGGGACCAATCTTTCTTCCTGCAGTGGACAGACATTCTCCTCTCCCTCAAGGACATGGAAGATCAGAGAATTTGGCTGAGCCATTCATGGGCTGAGGCTCTCACAATGTCACATACAAACATACTTTTATGCACGAAAACTGTATACTTGCTGCTGATCATGATTATCGATATTAACACAAACTATTATTTTAGTGACTGCATCTATGGCAGATGTGATGCTGAGTATTTTATGAATATTATTTCCAGTCTTCGTAACAACCTTTTGATTTAGGTAGCACTGCTAGCTATATTTTTTTTAATAAATAAACCATGGCTCATAGAGGTTAAACAAATTTTCCTAGAACATAGAACTGGGAAGGGACTAAGGTTTTATTCAAATCTACTTCTATTGGATGCAAAACCAGTGCTATCCCCACCACCATCCTGTGTCTATATACCTTTGTCACAGGGCCTACTGCACTTCCAGGCAATTCCTGTTCTGTACCAAGTTGTCATTTAATGAATTTAAAGACATCCTTCATTTTCTGACATATCTAGCAAAAGGAATCAGAAAAGGGAGGGGGAGGTTAAACAGAAAAAGTCCAGTGGAAATAGCACATAAAAAACCCCTATATGTATTATAAATATATACAGTACCTGTGTGAGTGGAATGTAAACCAAAAATAAAATTTTGAGGCCCCCCTGCCAAACCATCTGAATGGACTCCCTCCTCTCAGTCAGGGCACTCCAAAGTTAACCTGAAGGACAGCTCAGGCCATGACGAGAAGTGAGGGTCAAACATGCCTCCTCATGCCCTCTTCTCTTTTGGAATTCAGGAAAAGCCGACCAGCATTGACATCAACACAGACCTTAAGTATGATGAGAAATATTTACAATCTATTCTTTTTGAAGCCTGCCACCTGGAGGCTTCATCTGCATGGTAAAACTTTGGTCTCCACAAACCTCTTTAATGCAGACATTCCTTTCTATTGACAAACACTCTTTCAACCAATTGCCAATCAGAAATTGTTTAAATCCACTCATGACCTGGAAGCCCCTACTTTGAGTTGTCCCGTCCTTCCAGATGGAACCAGTGTAAATCTTACATGTATTCATTGACGTTTCATGTCTGCCTAAAATGTATAAAACCTAAGTGTACCTTGATCACCTTGGCGCATGTCATCAGGACCTCCTGAGGCTAAGTCATGGGGACATTCTTAACCTTGGCAAAATAAACTTTCTAAATTGATTGAGACCTGTTGAGAGGTGAAGCCAGCAGGGCTTCTGGGTCAGATGGGGACTTGGAGAACTTTTGCATCTAGCTAACGGATTGTAAGGGCACCAATAAGCACTCTGTAAATGGACCAATCAGCGCTCTGTAAAATCGACCAATCAGCGCTCTGTAAAACTGACCAATCAGCCGGATATGGGCGGGGCCAAATAAGGGAATAAAAACTGGCTACCTCAGCCAGCCCCGGCAACCCGCTAGGGTTCCCTTCCGCTGTGTGGAAGCTTTGTTCTTTCACTTTAGACAATAAATCTTGCTGCTGCTCACTGTTTGGGTCCGGACTACCTTTATGAGCTGTAACACTAACCGGGAGGGTCTGTGGCTTCACTCCTGATGTCAGCAAGAGCACGAACCCACCTGAAGGAAGAAACTCAGGACACATCTGAACATCTGAAGGAACAAACTCCGGACACACCATCACTGTAGCACTCACCACCAGGGTCCGCAGCTTCATTCTTTTTTTGTTTTGTTTTGTTTTTTGAGACGGAGTCTTGCTCTGCCGCCCAGGCTGGAGTGCAGTGGTGCGGTCTCGGCTCACTGCAAGCTCCGCCTCCCGGGTTCACGCCATTCTCCTCCCTCAGCCTCCCGAGTAGCTGGGACTACAGGTGCCTGCCACCACACCCGGCTTATTTTTTGTATTTTTAGTAGAGACGGGGTTTCACCGTGTTAGCCAAGATGGTCTCGATCTCCTGACCTCGTGGTCTGCCCGCCTCAGTCTCCCAAGGTGCTGGGATTACAGGCATGAGCCACAGCTCCTGGCCGGCAGCTTCATTCTTGAAGTCAGCAAGACCAAGAACCTCCAGAAGGAATCAGTTCCGAACACACTGTCTCAGATACTTTTAAGTTCACAGCCAATTATACATGCACATACATATTTTATATACACACACTGTCAAAAATTATAAAACTTCAAAAGTACTGGACAATAAAAAGTTGAGGGGCTTAATAAAATTCTATGGTTCTCTGAAAGCAAAGAAAATGCAATTTTTCACAAGAATGGTCTCAGAAGTAGGTCTCCAAGGCAAGGAATCTTGCCCTACCTTGTTCCTTCAATGCCATTGAGCTGTTGGTGTAGAAATGCAGCCACCATCCCTGGAACAATTTACTTCACAAAGGATTCTACAATACGGGGCAAACCACTATGTAAAAGTCAGATGTCTTTTACTTTTTAGAAGTGCCTATCCTATGCCAAGGAGAGGCATAGGATACTATTCTCATTTTTGAAAATGTTCCCTTTTTGATGAAAAATGTTCAAAGCTAGGACAAAGCACTCTTAATTGAAATAATTCAGAAAAAAAATAGCTCCGGATGGTGGGCGTTGAGAAGATGCTTGAAAACTGCAGAAAAAAAATTCCAGAAATATAATTTTAGTATCGTTTTTTCCTAACTATTTTTTTTTCTTTTTGAGACAGAGTTTCTCTCCTGTTGCCCAGGCTGCAGTGCAGTGGCACGATCCCGGCTCACTGTAACCTCCGCCACCCCCACCTCCCCCCCCACCGCCCAGGGGTCAAGAGATTCTCCTGCCTCAGCCTCCCAAGCAGCTGAGATTACAGACACGTGCCAACACATCCAGCTAATTTTTGTATTTTTAGTAGAGACGGGGTTTCGCCACGTTGGCCAGCTGACCTCAGGTGGTCCACCCGCCTCGGCCTCCCCAAGTGCTAGGATTACAGGTATGAGCCATCGCCCCCAGCCCTTTCCTGCCCTTTAAAAATCTCTTTGTTGTGTGGCCGAGGCAGCTTTATGGGTTCTTTATGACAAGTAAGGGGGAAACCTGAATGACTGTTTTCTTGGTAAAAGCTAGAGCTGAGTGCAGATGCAATCTGTTATCCAGGGAGCCAGGGCAGAACGGTATATTCCATTACATGTCCACAGCTGCGTGGGATGTAATGGTTTCTGGTGTCAGAGGTGAAGAGCTTCAATTTAACGGAGACTTCTTGCTGCAAGATTTGCTACAAGGAGTTTGTGAACCTTTTGATATGTATATTTCCAAGTATGTAAGACCCAGAAATAGAAAAGCCCCCATTAGAAAAATTCTCACAGATCACAAACAGCCCAGGAAAGCTAATGGCCTGAAAGGTATCCTCCCCATCCACCTTTCTCCCATCCCACCCCCAACACACACACACACACACACACAAACATCAAATACATACATTTGGAGAAGACAGGAAGTGTATGCTCCAAATATAGAGAGGGCTTGTGCTTATGGTGGGACCTGATTTGATGGACTTCTGTGTTTTCTGTCGTTCTGTGAAAGGGATCTTCCTCTTTGACCTCTATCCTGTTAAAAATTTGTGTTTTCCTGCTAAAAAATTTTGTTTTCTAGCTTTTCTGAGGAGACAGATTATACACTTAGCACAGTAAAGATACATACAGCACTTCCTGAGCCACTGAGGACAGGAATTTTTTTTTCCTAGAAAATAAGCAAACCTGAGTGTGTGTGTAACTGGATTTTTTTTCTTCTCTTAGCTGGAAGGTGTCATGTTTAATGAGTGGCTTTAACCGTTTTTTGCACCCAAATCCACACCTTCATGTCTGTACCTTGAGGCCTCCAAGGAAACAATAATATGGCAGAAAATACCAGGATGGCAATAATGTATCAGATCAGGGATAGGATTCTTTTTCTTATGAAGTCAGGTGAATTGGTTCTCTCTGAAAGGAAAGCCTTCAAAATGTGCGAGGGAAATACAAGGGATTTCAGAAAAATCTGTTGAATTTTTAATAATCTTTCAAATCCCTCTGAGCAGGGAACAACGTTACTTTGCATCCACAAGGACAGCAACTGCAATCTTTCCAGGCCCTAAAATGTTATAGTCAGAACCTTCACTCTGGGCCAGAAGGCCTCTGCAAAACTTCCAGAAGAAAAATCAAAAGTAATTTTAAAAACCTTCAGAGTAAACTATAACATCTACATCTCCACACAGACTGAGTTTCTGATCATGAAAACAAACACTATTCCACTGTTGACTTCATTTTGGAATCATCAGATTGTTATCTTAACAATAAACAGTTTCAACTAAACCATCTCTTATTCAGATTTTTGAAACAGCCAGTGCAAAAAAGGACACACTCTCTCTACACATGACAAATATATCTTTCTTAGACTTTAAAAGGAATTTCTTCAAATTGTTTGCAATTAAATACTGTTCAGAACAATACAAGAAACTCTGACAGGGTTCTAGAAATACTGAAAATCAAAATAGCAAGAGTGAACCTCTTTGATCTAGGGATTCTACAATTAAAGTTTCTTGAACTATACAAGATTTATAAGCACTGTTATCAAACATGGCAACAGGTAGAATTTGATCAGAGAAAGCCATACAGATACATCTAGATTTGTAAAATCCAAGGACGAAGGCTTTAATCGGGTGCTGCAGCCATGGAGATGGGAGCTCAGTCTCAAATCCATCTCCCCTGACGGACTAAAACTAGGGATTTATATAGAAAGGAAAGGATGTAACAATGTGTAAGAAAATAGGAGGGGCAAGGAAGCAACAATGATAAATGAGGGGTCAGACTTGAGAGGCCTGACCTGGTGAGTTTTAGTTCTTTGGCACTTTTTCTGAGAGACCTGAAGGTTGTTTCCTGAGGTAGGAACTCAGATGAAACAAATGTAAGTTTCAAGCTTTAAGACTAGGGGTCAATTTGCAATTAAATATTGTATGTTTATCAAACAAACGAACAAAAACAAACCTATCTATGGCAATGGTCCCCAACCTTTTTGGTGCCAGGGACTAGTTTCATGGAAAACAATTTTTCCATGGTCCAGGGGTGGAGTGGGGGGTTTGTGGGGTGGATGGTTTCAGGATGAAACTGTTCAACCTCAGATCCTCAGGCATTAGATTCTCAAAAGGAGCACACAACCTAGATCCCTCGTATGCGCATTTCACAGTAGGATTTGCACTTGTATGAGAATCTAATGCTGCTGCTGATCTGACAGGAGGTGGATTTCAGGTGGTAACACTTGCCCACCCACAGCTCTCCACCTCCTTTGTGGCCTGGGTCCTAACAGGCCACCAACCCCTGATCTATAAGATTATCGGGTCAATTTCAAGAAGACACTCCAAGTGTTCAACTTCCAGTGCAGCTCATGGCATCTTCAGAGGGAGCTTTTTCAGGGTCATCACTCTGGAGAGATAAAGGAGTGAGCAATCTGGCTTTTCTGTGTCTGGTGTGTCTTGGACTTTAATAGGGAAGATTAAACTTTTTAGAAACAACTATATCTCTCCTAGCTGCAAATAACCTTGAGAGCTCTCTTGAGAGAAAGGATCTCAGCCTTTACTGAGGAGAGATGTTCATTGGAAATGTCAGCGATGTTTTCATGTTTCAGCTATAGGTTTAGTTGTAGTTACACTTAGTTCTACTAGCTTAACATCCATGGTAAAAGTTCTAAGTGGCGAATATTATTTCTCCTTGCCCTGAAGACTGGGTCCCATAGGAGGAGGGTGGACAGGCTTCCAAATTCCTTTCCCATCCTGCACCCTCCTTGGTGCCCCCCTGTATCCCTTCCATCTTGGAGCACTCTTGCTTTGTCTTCTTAGCCCCCAACTTTGCTGGTCAGATGTCCTAAGACCCGCACTTGGCAATCTTGTCTTATCTCTATACCCACTCCTTGAAAAAATGTATCCCATGGCTCTGCAATTTAGCAGCTCCTAGATTCCCAGCCTCAGATCCCATCCCTACTCTTCTCAACACAACAGTGTGGCTAAGTGGAGGGCCCTGCAGTCATACTGTCTGGGTTCAAAACTCCATCCATCAACTTGCAGACTGTGTGACTTGTACAAGTGACTTAGCCTGTCTATGGGCCTCAGTGTCCTCATCAGTAAAATGGTGAGGCTGATAGTGCTTGAGGTTATTTCGAGGAATGTGTGTGTTAAATGCATGGAAAACACTTGGAATAGCACTGGGCATATCAGATGTGCTCAGGAATGTTAGTGGCTATGGCTGCTACTGCTGCTGCTACAATTTAAGACATCTACCTGAATGTCTTGCATGCACCTTGAAACCAGTATTTCTTAATGCAATTGTGAGCCAGGTAGATAATACATTGTGTCATTTAACCCGCACAACAGCTCTCAAAGTAGTATTCCAGGTATCTGACCGTCTACTGCTTCATAACAAACAACTCCAAACGTGGTGGCCTTAAACAAAAACCATTTTATTAGGCACATGAATTCTCTGAGTAGGGAATTCCAACCAGCACAGGGAGGGTGGCTGCTTTTTCACCACATCTGGGACCTCAGCTGGGGGTGATGCAAGCAGCTGGCAGTTGAAATCAACCAGAAGCTTCTTGATCTACATGTCTGGCACCCACAGGGGACTACTTGAGAGTTGGCTTTGGCTGAGACTGTTGACCAGGTCACCTACACGTGGCCTCCCCATGTGACTTGAGCTTCTCAGAGCCTGGCAGCTGGGTCCAGGAGGTAGCATTCTAACAAGACATCTGGAGAGTAAGAGACAGAAGACAGAAGCTGAAAGACCTTTTATGAGCTAGCCTCGAGACAGAGCATTGCTGCTACCATACGTGGTTGGCTAAAGCAATCACAAGCCTGCCCAGGTTCAAGGTTAGGGAAGATAGACTTCACCTTTTATTGGGAGGAGTGTCAACAAATGTATGTTCCTTTTAAAAAATTGCTACAGGCAGGTATCATTATGACTATCCCTCAATAATGAAGAAATAGAAGCTTAAATGGATTAATACAGTAACTTAAAGAAGGTGACATAGTTAGAAGGTGGACGAATCCAGATGTGAGCTCAAGATTTTATGTTGAGCATGAGTTTATTCTTATTTATTCTGCTAGGCACTTTACACAGTTTCAATAAAAGAACCAATGTTTCTGTTCAATTATTAAAAATTCTCAGCTGTTTTCCCTTGAAATATTGCTTATCTTCCAATTCTATTCTCATTTCAAGAATTTACTAATTCTCTTTTTAACTAGATCTCAGTTAGAGTTATGACCTTTTTAAATGTGTTTCAAGAATTTCTAATTACTTATTTTTCATATATACCTGTTTCTGTTTCCGTTCTGCTTATTTTTGCTTTATAATTTTTAAAAGTTTTTAAAGTGAGTTTTATTCTTTTATCTCTTTTGGAACTCTAAACTCAACTGGAGAACGTATCAGAATCCTATTAACTAGAAAGCTCTTGTCAAAATGCATCTCCCTTATTTTCCTCCTTCCTATCCTCCCCTACCCAAACAATAGATTTAGGCAGTTACAGATAGACCCCAGACATGTTTATTTTAGGAATGCTTCTGAGGTGATAATGACCCACTGCCCATCCATCTTCCCCACCCTCTTTCTGCTGACCCATCCCTCAATGCACACACTCCACCCAAGTTTGGGAATCATCACTTTAAAACATAAATTTAAAAAGTATCATGCATGGTAGGTCTTGATTGTGTGTGTTTGTTTACTACCAATCCATCCCAATACCAAGCAGCGCCATTTTCAATTATACTGGAAATATGGATTCTTTGGGGTCATGTAGAACATACTACCTGAAATTTGGGGAGACCCAGATACAACCACCACCCCCTTCATCCTCTTCAAGTAACTAAGCTATTTCAGAAAAATGGAGGAATTGTGATGGAAAAGGAGAGATTTCACAGCCCTAAGCAGGACCAAAATGGGATAGGTGCATGGCAGGTATGTTCTAAGGCTCGAAGTTAAGTCAACAGAAAACCCAAATGCACTGTTATTCAGCAGAGGCCTTAAGTGATCAAGGAACAACTTGAGGCACTGGGCACCATGGGGAAGAGATTCCAGGAGAACAGGGGAAGGTTGTGGAAGGGGCAGTGGTGGGGGAGGGGGAGGAGTTCCTCCTTAAACAGTTTAACTAATTGGTCATATTGTTACTGGTGGAGGGTGTCCAGGTTCTTCACAACTTGAACAAAGAATTGGACAAAACGGATAAACAGAACAAGGAAAGAATGAAGCAATACAAGCAGAGATTTATTGAAAATGAAAGTACACCCCCCAGGGTGGGAATGGGCCGAGCATAGGGGCTCAAGAGCCCCGTTACAGAATTTTCTGGGGTTTAAATACCCTCTGGAGGTTTCCATGGATTAGTTGGTATATGTAAATGAAGAGGATGTAATTGGAAGATTTCATATAAATTGCTTTTGCCTTTTAAAAAATCAAATCAGGACTGAGCATGGTGGCTGACGCCTGTAATCCTAGCACTTTGGGAAGCCTATGTAAATGAATACATACTTAGGAATGCCTATGTAAATGAATACATTTACATAGGCATTCCTATGTAAATGAGGAGGATGAAGTAAATTTACAAAGTCATTTACTTGGTGTACGCCCTATGTAAATGGTGAGGATATTTCCTGTCATAGCTGAAGTGTTTCCATTCGATTTAGTTCTAGGAAGTCAGTGTGAATCGGCCTTATGTTCCCTGCCTCCAGATCCTATTCTCCTGCCTCAATATTGTTTCTTGGGGGCAGGAGGGCGGGGTGAGGGGCGGTTCTTACTGCCAATTTATAAGACAAAAAAAAAAAAGGTTGCCAATCACCTTTTAATGTATACTCTGCATTTTAAAAAAGATTTTTTATTTTTTTTTGGAAGAAAGCAAAAGTCAGACAGGTCTCAAAACCTTACATACCCATCCTGAATAGCATTCTTCAATTGATAGCAAATAACTACTTTTCTAAATTGGACTCAAAATATGACTGGAGATTTTTGCCCTAATATGCAGTGGTGTGCTTCTTTATATAAATCTGATCAATAAAAAGATTCACTGATGAAATGTCAACAGGTAATGGTTTTAATCACAAAGAGATTCACCATAAATTTTTTCTAAATAGCAAGTTTCTTTAATAAAGTATGATTTTTTTTTTTTTTTTTTTTTTTTTTGAGACAGAGTCTTGCTCTGTCGCCCAGGCTGGAGTGCAGCAGCATGATCTCGGCTCACTGCAAGCTCCACCTCCCAGGTTCACGCCATTCTCCTGCCTTATTCTCCCAAGTAGCTGGGACTACAGGTGCCTGTCACCATGCCCGGTAATTTTTATATTTTTTAGTAGAGACAGGGTTTCACCGTGTTAGCCAGGATGGTCTCCATCTCCTGACCTCACGATCCGCCCGCCTCAGCCTCCCAAAGTGCTGGGATTACAGGCATGAGCCACCGCGCCCAGCTGATTTTTTTTTAAAGACAAGGTCTCACTCTGTCACCCAGGCTGGAGTGCAGCTGTGTGATCTTGGCTCACTGTAGCCTCCACCTCATTGGCTCAAGCAATCCTCCTGCCTCAGCCCCCCAAGTAGCTAGGAGTATAGGTGTGCACCACCAAGCCTGGCTGATTTTTTGTATTTTCAGTAGAGACAGGGATTCACCATGTTGCCCAGGCTGGTCTCGAACTCCTGAGCTCAAACAATCTGCCCTCCTTGGCTTCCCAAAGTGCTAGGATTACAGGCGTCGGCCACCATGCCCAGTACTGATTTGATTTTTTTAAAAACAAAAGCAATCTATATGAAATCTTCCAAGAAAACAGTAAATTCACGAAGAACAGTATTCCAACATTTTCTCTTGAATCCATTGTTTAAAAACATTAAGATAATTTATTTTTAGAGTAGTTTTAAGTTTCCAAAACCGTGGAGCAGAAAGCGCAGTTCCATATACCCACCTCCCTCACCTTCTCCCCTCCCCACCCCAGGTTTTCCATTAACATCTTGCACTGCTGCGCTACGTTTGTCACAACTGATGAACCAGTGCCAAAACATTATTACTAACAAAAGTCCATAGTTTGCAATAAGGTTGTTCTTTGAGCTGTGCACTCTCTGGGTTTTGACACAGGCATAATGACATGCATCCACTATCACAGTGTCACACAGAATAGTTCCACCTCCCTAAAAATCTCTGTGCGTCACCTATTCACCCCTCCCTCTCTCCCACTGAACCCCTGGCAACCATTAATATTTTTTACTGTAGCTACAGTTTTGCCTTTTCTAGAATGTCATATAGATGGAATCATATTTATTGTAGCCTTTTCAGACTTGCTTCTTTCACTCAGCAATATGCATTGAAGTTTCCTCCACATCTTTTCATAGCTTGACAGCTCATTTTGTGTCCAGAATTGGTGGGCTCTTGGTCTCGCTGACTTCAAGAGCGAAGCCGTGGCCCCTCCCTGTGAGTGTTACAGTACTTAAAGGCGGCAGGTCCGGAGTTTTATTCCTTCAGATGTTCAGATGTGTCCAGAGTTTCTTTCTTCTGGTGGGTCCGTGGTTTCGCTGACTTCAGGAGTAAAACTGCAGACCTTCGCGGTGAGTGTTACAGCTCATAAAGGCAGCATGGACCCAACGACGGAGCAACAGCAAGATTTACCAGGAAGCAAAAGAACAAACCTTCCACAACGCGGAAGGGTACTCAAGTGGCCCACCAGTGCTGGCTGGGGCAGCCTCCGTTTATTCCCTTATCTGACCCCACCCACATCCTGCTGATTGGTCCATTTTACAGAGTGCTGATTGATCCACTTTACAGAGAGCTGATTGGCCCATTTTACAGAGAGTTGATTGGTCCATTTTGACAGGGTGCTGATTGGTGTGTTTACAAACCTTGAGCTAGACACAGAGTGCTGATTGGTGCATTTACAATCCTTTAGCTAGACACAAAAGTTCTCCAAGTCTCCACTAGAGTACCTAGACACATAGCACTGATTGGTGCCTTTACAAACCTTGAGCTAGACACAGAGTGCTGATTAGTGCCTTTACAATCCTTTAGCTAGACACAAAAGTTCTCCAAGTCCTTACCTGACTCAGGAGCCCAGCTGGCTTGCCTAGTGGATCCCACACCGGGGCCTCGTCTGGCACCGCATGCCCGCACTCCTCAGCCCGTAGGTGGTCAATGGGAACTGGGCTCCCCGGAGCAGGGGGCGTGTCCATTGGGGAGGCTCGGGCCTTGCCGGAGCCCACGGGGGAAGATGTGGGAAGGGGGGGCTCGGGCATGGCGGGCTGCACGTCCCCATCCCTGCCTGGGGGGAGGCGGCTGAGGCCCTGCCAGAATTCGAGTGCAATGTGGCGAGCTGGCAGTGCTGGGGGACCTGGTGTACCCTCCGCAGCTGCTGGCCCAGGTGCTAAGCCCTTCACTGCCTGGTGCGGCACCAGCGGGCGCTCTGAGTTCCGGGCGCGGAGCCCGTGCCCACCCGGAACTCACACTGGACTGCGATCGCTGGCGCAGCCCCAGTTCCCGCCCGTGCCTCTCCCTCCACACCTCCCGGCAAGCAGAGGGAGCCGGCTGCGGCCTCCGCCAGCCCAGAGAGGGGCCCCCACAGTGCAGTGGCGGGCTGAAGGGCTCGTCGACAATGGCCAGAGATGGCCAGAGTGGACGCTGAAGCCGAGGAGGCGCCCAGGGCGAGCGAGGGCTGCTAGCACGTTGTCACCTCTCAGTTTCTTTTTATAGCTGAATAATATTCCATTGTATAGATGGACCATAGTTTATTTATCTGTTCACCTACTGATGGACATATTGGTTGCTTCCAAGTTTTGGCAACTGTGAATAAAGCTACTATAAATATTTGTGTGCCTGTAAGTTTTCAATTCATTTGGGTAAATACCAAGGACAATGATTGCTGGCTCGTATGGTAAGATTGTATTTAGCTTTTTAAGAAACTACCAGATGGCCCATTTTTTAAGCCTGTCTTTTAGACTTTCTAATGTAGAAGACATTTTTTACAATTCCCGTCCATATACGAAAAAGAAATCAAAATAGAGAACAGAATCAAATAGATCACCACACATTGCCCATTGAAGAGTAAAAAAGAATAACTGCAACATCTGTTCTTTCTCAACAAAGGAGATGGTGAAATGGCAACATTGTGATGATGAGAACACAGCTGGGATAGCTCTCCCCCAAAACCGGCCCCAATGCCCCACACCTCCCATACTGAGTAGTCCCCTTCCACCTTGAATCTGGGATAGCTTTGGGACCACTTTCACCAACAGAAAGTAGCAGAAGTTATGTTGTGACAATTCCAGGCCTAAGCCTCAAGATGATCTGGCAATTTCTTTAGTACTTTGGAGAAACTTGATCTGCCGTGTGAGAAGTCTGGCTATTATGACAGAGAGGCCATATGGAGACAGAGAGTGAGAGGGAAAGGGAGGAGGAGAGGGAGAGACCCTAAGGCCACAGAAAGAGAAAGAGAGGCCTATTTGTCTTAGTATCCCAGCTGAGCCCAGTTGAGCCCATTTTCCTGCCATCCCTGCCAAGGCGAGGACATGCCAGGGAACCTTCTTGAATGTTCCAGTGCATCAGTCCCCAGTTGCCTACAATGTTAGCAAATAGTACATGGAGCAGGAGAATCATTCACTTGGGCCCAGTCAACCTAAAGAACTGCTGAGATAATAAGACAGACGCTTTAAGCTACTAAAATTTGGGCTAGTTTACTATTCACCAATGGATAACAGAAACAATCATCTGCACTGCTTTTCCTTCATTTCTTTATTTCCCTGTATTTGCTAATTTCTCAAGTAGTTATAAAATTTTGTGGTTGAAGTAAATGTAATTCAAAAGAAAACTTGCTTATTTTTATTTATTTTATTTTTTGAGACGGAGTCTTGCTCTGTTGCCCAGGCTGGAGTGCAGTGGCACGATCTCGGCTCACTGCAAGCTCCGCCTCCCGGGTTCACGCCATTCTCTTGCCTCAGCTTCCCGAGTAGCTGGGACTACAAGCGCCCGCCACCATGCCCAGCTAATTTTTTGTGTTTTTTTTAGTAGAGAAGGGGTTTCACCTTGTTAGTCGGGATGGTCTTGATCTCCTGACCTCGTGATCTGCCCACTTTGGCCTCCCAGAGTGCTGGGATTACAGGCGTGAGCCACCGCGCCCGGCCGCTTATTTTTATTTTTAAATTTTATTTTAAAATTTGTGGTGGTGGCTGTCTCCAGTGATTTCTATCCACTCTTGTTTTTGGGCCCCCAAAGCCTTCCCAGCAGTGTGTGCTGCCGCGGTCACGGGTTGCCACGTAACTGTTCGTAGCTAAACGGATTCCCTTCACTCCCTCTGTTGCACTTGGGAGAGCAACATGAGATGTGAAGGTGGCCAATTTATGTTAACTCTCAGCTGTATGCTAATTATTGGCCAAAACATCCCCACAGATGGCCATAGGAAACATAAGTAAGAATGCCTAGATAGCTCAGATCATGGCATGGTCAGTAAATATTGCAGTGGGGAGCAAGGTTAGTAAATACTGCAATGGGGAAAGTTACAGTGAGCACTGTACAAACTAAAAATCCACAATAGTATACAATTAAAAAAAAATTAACTATACCTTTGAGAAAACATAATCCTCATAGGAAAAAGCACTATATCTAAATCTAATTTTTTTTCCCAAAAGCTAGCCTTAACACATTAATTTCACTCCATATATAACGGACATTGTACCTCTCTCAGTTATTAGCTTTCTGGCTGTTTACTAATTTATCCAACCAACATTTCATAAGTTCTTTACATGTGCCAAGCATGGACTGTGCTAGAAATAAATGAGAGAGAGAATTTCAGAATACCTGAAGCAATTTACAGTTTAGTGAGGTAGACAGACAAGTGATAAGAAATCAAAATGCAGTTGAAATATTGTAGTAAGATGGAGCAAAATAAGAAATAAAGGGTACTCTATGAGAGAAAGGCACTGTGAGAGGCCAAGGGAAATTTCCTGGCATGAAAAGATTCAGATTGAAGCCACGTTGTGAGAGATCTGAGGCCAGGCCTACCGTGCTCTGGGCTTCCGTGCACAGCCTCTGCTGGGTTCACCGGCCAGGGCAAATATTAATTGAGCATTGTTTGCAGGTCTCTGGCCCGGGTTCTCAGTGAGTCAGCACTCTGTTCACTCAACAAGGGTGAATCCCCCACTCACAACATGGGATTTCCCGCCCAGCGGAAGCTCATGCAATGGCTCAGGAAGAATTGCACTAGTCAGACTTTTCAAACCACAGTTTTTCTAATTTTACTTTTGCACTTTGACGTAGAAGAGACTCATGTAGTCACCTTGTTTTGCATAGATCTCCACCCCTGCCGGGATATCTCTCCTGTATTCAGCAAGTCAATAAACCTTTCTTCCCCTCGGTTCCCAAATGCAGCTCCTTATCATAGCCCTGTTGTACCTTTTGCTTTTACTTTCGATGGCTGAGTCTTGAGATAAGGTAGCAGCATTGCAGTAGTTTTCCTATTACTCAAACAAATATTTCCTTTTCTCCCCAGTGGGCCTTTCTCATGCCTTTTTTTCATTTATCAGATTTTAGAATGTTAATGATACCATGGGTTCCACACCACCCCTTCCAAGGAAGGTCACCCCTTCCACATGAGGTCATCAGTCATGAGGTCATCACCATGAAGAAGAGAAACAAGAGTGCTCAATTTCACTACAAAAGTATTGGGTACAGCTTCTTCATGAAGTCCTACCTTGGCCTTTTAATATCCCAAAAGACAGTTTCTTTTTTTGAGAGTCTTGCTCTGCCACCCAGGCTGGAGTGCAGTGGCACAGTCTCAGCTCACTGCAACCTCTGCCTCTCCGGCTCAAGCGATTCTCATGCCTCAGTCTCCTGAGTAGCTGGGATTACAGGCGTACACCACCATACCCACCTAATTTTTTTTTATTTTTAGTAGAGATGGGGTTTCACCATGTTGGCCAGGCTGCTCTCAAACTCCTGGCCTCAAGTGATCTGCCTACCTCAACCTCCCAAAGTGCTGGGACTACAAGCTTGAGACAGTTTCTTTTAGAGACTAATCTCCTAGGATTATTTTCCACCAGGATGAAACTCAAAATAATGTAGTCCAAAAGTCAAAAAATGATGGGCAGCAGGACAAATTTGACAGGCAGATAGATTTCATTTGGCATTCACAATGTTTTCAAATATTTTGAGTAAGTTACCCACGTATGAAATCTAGGAGATTTCACATAAAAATCTGAAAGTCTAGCTTCTTCTAAAACAGCAGACAATGGGACATAATGCAGCCCCCATTCCAACTGCGAATCAGCTATCACCGAGTGACAGCCATGCTTGGATACATGAGCACACGGTCTCCATCTCCCCTTAGCGCCCACCCAGGGAAGTGCACTCTGCACTCCGAGCCCTTGCAGGTAATCAATTTTCCATCCCTAAACTAGTTCAATTCCCTCACTCGACAGAAAAAGCAACTGAGACCCAGGGCTGGGAGCAGTGGCTCACGCCTATAATCCTAGCACTTTGGGAGGTCACGGAGGGCTGATTGCCTGAGCTCAGGAGTTCAAGACCAGCCTGGGCAACACGGTGAAACCCCGTCTCTACTAAAACACAAAAAAATTAGCCGGGCATGGCGGCCTGCGCCTGTAATCCCAGCTACTCGGGAGGCCGAGGCAGGAGAATTCCTTGAACCCAGGTGGCAGAGGTTGCAGTGAGTCTCGATTGCGCCACTGCACTCCAGCCTGGGCGACAGACTCGGTCTCAAAAAAAAAAAAAAAAAAAAAAAGAAAAGAAAAGGAAAGAAACTGACTGAGACCCAGAAATACCCTAAGAGTTCCCTGGGCTGAGAGTTTATTATTTGTACAACCAAAACCAGATCTCGAACAAACACGGGTCTCTGCAGCACTTTCTACTTCCAGGTGCTATCTTTCTCTCTTCTTCACATCTATGACCAACTGCTCACCATGGTGAACTGCTTCAGGCTCCTGTCCCAGCAAGGAGGATAGAATGAACAGCATCAAGCTCTATGCAAACAGTAATCAGGACTTAAGTCTTAACATTTTGATTTTAAGAAGTTTAATTATTTTGACTTGGCTATATATTTTTTCTACCCAATATCCCTTTTCTGTGTCACATTGTAATCGGTAGATAAATACACAGGTGAGAAAGCAACAGGCAGATGTTTTCCTGGTCATTGTATGTCTGTGTCCTGTAAGAAGGTGTGGACTTCCTCCTCACAATGACTTCTAGTTACCTTGATGGGGAGAGTCCACTTGAAATATTATGTCAATATCACAGATTGATTTTATAACCCAGATGCAGTAGATTTTCATTTTACCCTTGGTCCTGGTGGAACATGGTTAGCAAACATTATTTTACATTGTACACTGATAATCATGAACTTCATTCCAATAAAACTTCCTGTCAGCTCTTACAGAATAGGCACTTTTCTAGGTGGTGAGATGAAGCTTTATAAATTACTCCCTCTCACTAGCCTGAAACAGTAGTAGAATTCCAAAAGATAGCCTTCTCTCTTATCTTAACATGTTGGTGCCGTCTTACTTGTACCTCAGGAAGCTAATTAACAGGAAAAAAAAATTGTCTCTTTTATTTTTAATGAATAAGAGGCACATCTCAGCAAAAGTGTGAAAACTTTCAATTGGCTCGAACATTTTATAACCTTTTTCTTCCCCTAAGAGGTGCCCAGGACCTCACAATGAGGTGCATTGTGAGCCTCATGCCAAGGTTAATTTGGCACCTCTGTCACAAAGAGCATGTGCAGACTCTGACAGGCTTTCAGGGAAGCCACGTCCCCCATGTGCTCTTCTGGTTTCCTCATTGGTGTTCAGGAAGAGGAGGCTGGGCTCTTCTCGGGGAGTGGAGTGCTATGACAGATGAGACTTTCATGCAAGAAAATAAATCCTGCACATTTGATGTACTGCTTTAAACTTAAAGACCTCTTTGGACCCGAAATTGTAAGGTAAGGAGTGCTCAGCCACAATTCTTGAACTTTGAAACTGTGAGTGTAATTTGAGGACGCTCCTTAAAACTCTTTGTTGTTTAATATGAAACTCTAACATGCTGCCTAACCTCCTGCCTTTAGGAATAACAGCTCACTGTCAAACGTGCACGCACAGCTCTGACTTAAAAGGAAAAAACTCACCACTGTTTAAAAAATAAAATGTCTTCCATAATGAAACGGTCATGTAGATTTGTTGTACTTTTACACATGTGTGGAAGTGTCCAGAATAGACTGGGTTTTCTCTCTGCTCTCTGTAAATCAGTATGCTTAAAAATGGGATCAAATTATCCTTGCCAGTTGAAAGGGGGTCTGGGTGCAGGTCCAATCCCATAGAGAGAAAACACCAGTGCAACTGTAACCAAATGGCAGTCCCGATCCGCAGGACTTTATCCTGAATGTCGCTTCCTGCTTGCTTAGGCATGGGAGGGGATTAAACTCCGCCGCTACAACTTCATTGGCACTGCTCTGTAAGATGTGAAAAATCTGTTGGGATCAGGTGTTAGTGTGTACAGTCCAGTTTCCTGTGATTGCGGCAAATTAAATTGGAAAGTTGAAAGTAATTATAGTACAGACTAGGAGCCAAGGATTTATCAGACATAAAAGGAGGTAGAACAAGTTCAACAATATAGAAGGCAATTATTTGTCTAATGTTGTTAACAAAATCCGATCTTCCTGTAGAAATGTACAGGAACTTTTAATATTTTTGTTCAAGTCTGATCTGCCTCCAGAGGTAGAATACTCGATGCTTTTAGCTAGCTCATTGATCTGTTCCTAAGAGGGCATCACTGTATAATATTTCTCTCTCACTGGGGAAAATAAGATGTTGAGTCTTCTTTTTGTGCCCTAGAGAACTTAAAAGAGAAGACGTAGATGATAATCAAACTGCATCTATTTTCTTAAATCTTTGTCCACATGTTCCTACTCTCCTCCTTTGCCTTTATCAGATATACAGGGACTAAGTTAATTGTTACTTCCCCTGAGATCTCCAAACCCTCACTGTACCCTTTTCACAGAGAGCACCAATCTGCATCCATATCTCCCTCCACAAAAAGCAAACCATATTCTTGCTCCATATCCTTTCTCATCCTTGATAGGGGCTTATATTTCCATGTAAGTCCCCAGGGCATATTCCCATGACACAGGTTCTCTCCTACCTACATATTGAGTAGGTGAACCCCAAAGGACATCCTACCTAAAATCTGAGGGTGCAGCAGTAGTGGAGTCTTGGCCTGAAAACTCTCTCCTCCAGACATTTTCCTTTCCAGAACTAAGCTGCTTCACCTGACTTTAGGTATTCTCATGGCTTTATGCTTTGAACCACATGACTGATTAGCTGCGCACAGATTAGGGTAGGTGCTCATTCACTCTAAGGATTAGAATGTTGAAGCTACCTTTGTCCTGGAGGGAAGAAAATTTCCCCAACAGGCATGCCATAAACATTGTGGGGGTCTCTGGAACTGAGAGTGGCTCTCTGAGGATTTTTCTCTTTCTCCTGTCACTCTGTTTCTTGCTAATCTTGGCACACATTTTAAAAATGGCTCTAGCCGAAAGGTGAAGGTTCCTAAGGAAGGGAAGCTGGGCTGTTTACTTCATGCAGCCAGGACACCCAGGATGTAGGTGTGAAGAATAGCAGTGGGCTTGGATTAGCATTCCAGTGTGCCATTGCCTTACTGAAAGAGTTATTTTTAACTTGACAACATTTCTCCACATCTGCATCCAAATACTATGTATGTGAGGATAAATATTTAAGTAATGTGTTAGTTTCATTAACCAGACACGACATCAGAGCCATTCTCGGCAATTTCTTTTCTTGTTTTAATAAAATGAAAAGGAATAATAGGGGGGAAACAAAAATATGTTACTGTGTCAATTTAGAAAAAAAATCACCAGAAAAAAATTTCAAGATTTCTCTGTTTCTTTTACTAAAGATGACACTTTCTTTATTGAAAGATTCACTCAGGTTCTGGTGGTTTTCATCTTTGACAGTCTGGGGTCTTTCCCTCGTGGCTGCACTCAGACCCTGATTTCTCAGCATAGGAATGCCTGGGGGACAGTCCCCAAAAGGTAGAGAAATGCACTGGAATTATAAACTCGAGGAATAAGATTATTCCTCTTCATTGGTCTTACTGCTATTCCTATTCATTGGTCTATGCTAAGAACCAAATCCTGATGAAACCACACCATTACAGAGCTCACATTTAAAGAATATGTCATTTGTCTGTAGAGCTAATAGTTTTCTTTATTTTTCTTAGTTTTACTTTTCATTTTTTATTGAATGAATGAAAGGCTGAAGAAATAGCTGAAATTAACTATTATGATTTCATGTCCCATTTGAAGAATATTTCATTGTAGAAATTTTCACTAAGATTAGGTGGGAATGCAACTCTTCATGAACAAACATGAAGAGATGCAATTAGACCGTTGTATTTTAAACCCTAAGACAGTGAGGAATATGATATTTAAAGATAATAATTCTGGCCTGGTGCGGTGGCTCACGCCTGTAATCCTAGCACTCTGGGAGGCCAAGGTGGGCAGATCATCTGAGGTCAGGAGTTGGAGACCAGCCTGGCCAACATGGTGAAACCCTGTCTCTACTAAAAATACAAAATTTAGCTGGGCATGTGGTGCATGCCTGTAATTCCAGCTACTCGGGAGGCTGAGGCAGGAGAACTGCTTGAACCCAGGAGGTGGAGGTTGCCATGAGCCGAGATCGCACCACTGCACTCCAGCCTGGGAGACAGAGCGACTCTTCCTCAGAAAAAAAGAAAAAAAAAAAGAGTAAAAGAGTTAATAATTCTGGGCCTAGCTCAGTGGCTCACACCTGTAATTCCAGGACTTTGGGAGGCCAAGGCAGGCAGATCACAGGACAGGAGATGACCATCCTGGCTAACATGGCAAAACCCTGTCTCTACTAAAAATACAAAAATTAGCTGGGTGTGGTGGTGTGTGCCTGTAGTTCCAGCTAATCAGGAGGCTGAGGCAGGAGAATTGCTTGAACCAGGGAGGTGGAGGTTGCAGTGAGCCAAGATTGTGCCACTGCACTCCAGCATGGTGACAGAGTGAGACTCTGTCTCAAAAAAAAAAAGAGTTAATAGTTCTGACTGCTTCCATCTATAGACAAGAAAAAAAACTAATGTATATATTCTGTCTTATCTAATATGGCAAAATCATGTAAGGTGTAACTTACTACCTATATGCCTGGTGTCAACACTTAGAGGACTCACAAAGAGTTTATTGGGAATTTCTAGGAGTTTTGCAACTCTTATGCACCTGCCCTCTCAGATGGCCACAAATGTAGGCCATGAGCAGAGCCAAGCAGTACTCACAGCCCTAGAATCACACTGATTTTTAAATAATAGTAAAATAGGTCAAAGGGAAATAATATTGGGAAACCTCTAAGGATGGAGTAAGAAAATAAGAACATAAGAATATTAAACACGTGATATTCTTGAATTGATTCTGTAGAGATGCCAGAGGATGGAGAAGTCAAGCCATTTCCTTGAGAATCAATCAGCACAAAACACTTGGAATAAAATGCGTGGATAGCATCCTAGCTTCATTTGTCAGTGCTTAGCTCAAGCAGGAGGTTGTCCCCCACTGGGGTCTTTGAACCACTCTAAAAGGAACTTATGCATATGCTTAAATTGCCTTAAATTGGCAATATTCTAAAATAGATTATTAAAGGAATGGCTTGTAAGACATCCAAAAGAGATGCCAATGGATCCTAGCATTCAGAACAGATTCACTAAAATGGAAATAATCAATATAGTTATATTGTTTTGTTCTTGTGTTACTAGCCTGTAGATGGATAGCATGTTATTTAGTCGAAAGTAATTTCATCAAAGCAAATTGGTCAACGTGATAAATTGGTTGCAAATAATTATTTCCCATCATTATATATTCAAGTATGGGTGATCAAACATGGGACAGCTTTATAACACTGTATCTTTAAATATTGTTTAACAGTTTTCAGAACTCTTATTTTTGTCATTATGTATAATGAATTCATCTTCAAGTAATTACTTTGTATTGTGAAAAGTTTGAACAACTAAGGAATTGCTTAGAGGATAAGCTAAGGATTTTTTAAATTTTATTTAGTTATTTATTTTATTTTAAGTTCTGGGATACATGTGCAGAACGTGCAGGTTTGTTACATAGGAATACATGTGCCATGGTGGTTTGCTGCACCTGTCAACCCATTATCTAGGTTTTAAGCCCTGCATGCATTAGGTGTTTGTCCTAATGCTCTCCCTCCCCTTGTCCCCACCCTGTGACAGGCCCCAGTGTGTGATGTTCCCTTCCCTGTGTCCATGTGTTCTCATTGTTCAGCTCCCACTTATGAGTGAGAACATGTGGTGTTTGGTTTTCTGTTCCTGTGTTAGTTTGCTGAGAATGTTGGTTTCTAGCCACATCCATGTCCCTGCAAAGGACATGAACCCATTCTTTTTTATGGCTGCATAGTATTCCATGGTATATGTGCCACATTTTCTTTATCCAGTCTATCATTGATGGGCATTTGGGTTGGTTCCAAGTCTTTGATATTGTGAACAGTGCTGCAATAAACATACATGTGCATGTGTCTTTATAGTAGAATGATTTATAATCCTTTGGGTATATACCCAGTAATGGGATTGCTGGGTCAAATGGTATTTCTGGTTCTAGATCTTTGAAGAATTGCCACACTGTCTTCCACAATGGTTGAACTAATTTACACTCCCACCAACAGTGTAAAAGGGACAAGCTAAGGATTTAATAATAGAAGCAAATTATTTGAAATTGATAGAGTGGTTGAACTATAATTGTGACTATAATTGTGACTTATGTATTATTTTAGGCTTTTCATTCATTATTAAATTTAATTGTATTTATTTATTTAATTATTTAATTGTATTTATTTATTTATTTAGAGACAGGGTCTTGCTCTGTTTCCCAGGCTGAAGAGCAGTGGCCCAGTCATAGCCCACTATAACCTGAAATTCCTAGATTCAAGGGATCATCTTGCCTCAGCCTCCAAAGTAGCTGGGAATAAAAGTATGCACCACCACACCAAGTTAATTTTTGTATTTTTTGTAGACAGGAGGCCATGCTATGTTGCCCAGGCCGGTCTTGAACTCCTGACTCAACTGTTCCTCCTGCCTCAGCCTCTCAGTGTTGGGATTACAGGTGTGATCACGACCATCCTATTTTAGGATTTTAAAATAACATATGCATTTTACTGGGAAATAATGAATGCAAACCAGAAAACCAATTTTAAACATAATCCTATTCAAGAAGGGCTAGCCAATGATTGCACATTAGTGCATGGTAGGCTTCCATATTGGAAGACATATGGTCTTTTAACTACCATATGGTAATTGGAAACTATCATAAATTTAAAGCAATCCATCAACTGTTGGACATTTGCATTATTTTAATTAATTGCTGAACAGTTAGATTGTTTCAATTATTCTACATTATAAGCAATGCCTAATAGGAATAACCAGCTGGAAAATAATTAGAAATAAAAAATCAAACTATTGAGGAAAAGCAATACACGCACAAAATACATAGGGTGCAAAATGGGTGGCAATTCAGACCAACTTTGAAAAAATACCTATCAGCATTATTCCCTTTTAACTAGACCATAGTTTTGAAGAAATTATCTTTTTAACCAAATTGCTTTTTGTCAAATTGCTTTTAGGCAAATTGAATTTGGGCAAATTAACGGGAAACAATAGTTCAAGGAAATGCAATAGACAAAATACACTTGAACTTCAGTGGGGCATTTTTGTAAATCCTTCATGGTATCATGGGAGACAAGATGAAGAAATATGGGCCTAGCTAATGCAATGAGGCAGATTAATAACTAGTTGAATGAACTTACGTAGAGGGTGCTTATAAGCAACTCGGGGGAGGGGATGTCTGGTGACTTACTAAAAACCTTGTTCTTGGTCCTGTCCTGATAAGCATTTCTATCAGTGTCTTGGATAAATGCACGTTTAGTAAATTTCTGAATATAACGCCAAAAGGAAGAATGCACTTATGTGACGACAGCATCAAAACAAAAACAGATCTTAACAGGTTGGAATAATGAGCTCAAGCTACCTAGACCTAAGTAACTGTGACAAATATAAGATTATTTATTTTGGTTCATAATCATAAGTGCACAAGCCCTCATTGGAAGAATTTGTACTTGTGAAATAAGACTTTAGGATTTTAGTTGATAGTAAATTCCATATGTTATAGACAAAAAAATGCAACGCGATCTTTGGTGACATTCTCCAATTATGTTCGTTCAATGAGTTATTAATCTGCCTAGTTGCATTAGCGCTGCCCATATTCTTAATCTTGTCTGCAATGATACCATGAAGGATTTTCAAAATGTCCCACTGAAGTTCAATGTGATATTTGGTGACATTATTAGAAACACAGAGGAAGAATATAAGATACTTGGCATACTATATGCCAAGCCCTGTGCAAGTCACAGCCTGTATCGTAGTCTCATCCCCCTGTGGCTTTCCTTGCTTGTGAATACATATGTAATCCTTGAGCTACCCTCAGGATCCTGCAGCCCAAATGATCAGCCAATCCAGAAGGTGATTCCAACACTTCCCACTCCAAAAGTTCTATTTATTTAAATGTTACTCAGGCATTTGTGGGTAAATATGGAGAAGGTGGTAGTAGTTGGCCTACCAGGGCAGGAACAATCTTCAAATCTGCACAAGTGTAAAGAATAATGATTAGATTTTGTAACAAAGTACATTTGGACAGATAGGGCTCTTAAGGGACATACAAGAGTAGGATAAGAAGAACATCCTCTTCTGGCCGGGTGTGGTGGCTCACGCCTGTAATCCCAGCACTTTGGGAGGCCAAAGTGGGTGGATCACGAGGTCAGGAGTTCAAGATCAGCCTAGCCAAAATGATGAAACCCAGTCTCTATTAAAAATACAAAAGTTAGCCGGGTGCGGTGGCAGGTGCCTGTAATCCCAGCTACTCGGGAGGCTGAGGCAGGAGAATTGCTTGAACCCAGGCGGCAGAGGTTGCAGTGAGCTGAGATCACACCACTGCACTCCAGTCTGGGTGACAGAGTGAGATTCTGTCTCAAAAAAAAAAAAAAAAAAAAAAAGAACATCCTCTTCTTATCATAGCAGTTAGTGAGCATGGGTAAGATTCCAGATGGAGGTGAGCAAGCGGTGGAAGTCCCAAAGGACCACTGGCGATGGTGTGCCACACACCAGTGAACCCAGGCATGAGAGGCTGGAGAAAGCATGAGCATACTCTGATAAGGTTTAAAGACTCAGGAGGGGATGAAAATCAGAGAAGCCGGCCTCTTCTGTCTGTCCTGGACAGAACTACATTTATCTACTTAGTAGAGGTTTCTGCATTCCTTTTTTATTTGTTTCTATGAGGGTCATTTCCTGTGTCTGTGTTCCTTTACACCCATCTGCTTCTGCGGATTATAGGCTGAAGGCTGAGTCTTTAGTCCTATTCTGCAAGCCATTCTCAGTAGGATGTGCTTTCCATTGCTCTTAACTTGGTGCAACAGAAAATAAGGCAATACATGGCTGTGACTTAGAGCACAAGTTTACATTGTGATCCAGGACCTGCCACTTGCCAGTTTTGGGAAATGCATTTAACTTTTCTCTGTCCATTTTCCCATGGGTAAAAGTAGAGGTAATATTAGTATTACCTGTCAGGGTTGTTAAGACAATTAAATAAAACAATATGTGGTAAACTACTTAGCACAGCTGGACCATTCAATGAAAATTTTAATTGCTATTTTTGCTGTTTTTAGTTAGCCTCTATGCCAGCTTTCTTCACTCCCTGAAGCTGAGCAAACACCAATGTAAAATAGCATGTGATCTTCAGGGCTAGATGCAATTATGAGGACTAGCCAACCATCCCTGTAACAAAAGGTAGGACCCAGTCAGCTTTAACAAAATAGGGCCTTCAGAAGGAAGGTGAAGAACTAGCGGTGAGCATCATCTTTCACTCATCTTCTCACTCAGGGTTCCAGGAAACACGTTCTCTTTAGTCTCCATCTGTAATCTACTACCTTGGGCATAGAGACTACCTCTTGGGCACATGGGAGCACAGTCCTATTCCTGTTCTGTCACTACTATACAGGCAGAAACTCTTCTTTTCTTGGAATTTTAAGTGAATACTATCATAAGCCCCCCTGTCCTAGCAATCCAGTTTGACCAATTGTCAACTCATAGCCACCCTCACCCATACTCTCCCACAATGCCCACCACCAGGTTGCTGGTGAAGTGAAACTAAGACATCATCATTTCATTTATTCAAATATTCAAGTTTGCATGTCTAATAAAAGACCTAGGACTTGGTTTTAGCAGTTCGATTTTTCCTAGAGGTCCATTTTTGAACAGATATTTGCCATTTTTTAATAGATATTTGAAACAATTAGGTAGGTGCAAAGTGTTTCAGTTCAACAACTGATAAAAGAAAAACTTCAGCCGAATTAAATTTAGAACAGTTTCATTGAGCAATGAATGATCCCCGAATTGGGCAGCCTCTTGAACGAGAGTAGGCTCAGAGACTCCAGCGCAGCCACATGGTGGAAGAAAATCTATGGACAGAAAAAGGAAAGTGATGTAAAGAAAATGGAAGTGAAGGACAGAAACAACCGGATTGTTTATAGCTCAGTGTCTCCTTATTTGAACAGGGTTCAAACAGTTGGCTACATTTGATTGGCCAAAACTCAGTGACAGGCACAAGTGTAGGCTATGGCCCGTGTCTGTTTACACCTTCACATGTTATGGTTCATGATGTACAGAGGAACCTTTAGGCTGAACTTAAGATATGTAAGGAGGCAGCTTTAGGCTAATGCTCATTTAACATGACTCTTCAGCATCCATTGAAAGGGATGTTTTTGTAACAGACCACATGAAAAACATTGTTACCAATGAAGAGTATTCAGGATCTTTTCACATTTTTACATCTCTGAAATTGAGATGCATTTTACAACTGATAGCAAGTGGTAGTTTAATTGACAGTGTTGTTTTTCTTTCTTAATGATACATTATCTAATGGTGCATCTCACAGAGGATGGTGTCTTAGAAGTGAAGAGATGCAATAGTTGAGAAGATAAATGGACACATTCACACATACACACAAATGCACCTAAAACTACTTGCTTAATTGCCTACATGTGCATCTATATGAACTAGAAAATGAAAGTAAATTTAAAGTAAAATGAGTACATGAGTTCTGAGAGAGCAAAGTAGATATTTTTGAACATTTTTCTGAAAAACCAGATAAAAATCATATAGACATTCTATTCCCACAAAGAGATAAAAACCACATAGGCATTCTATTCTCTTCCAACAGGTACAGCAGCATCCCTACCATGGAGGGTAAAGCTTGAGATTCTCAAGATAATGCTGTTTGTCCCTCAATAACATTTCCATAGTCAAACTCTCCTTTCCATATCATCGCTGTTGTCTGCACTTATCATCATATCTTTCAGAAGCTTCTTAAACAGAGATAACAGAAATGGCAAGAATGAACAATGTGGTCAGAGAGGAAAATATATGTGGTTAATAATACATTTTAAAAAGTGCTAAGTTATATATAATGGAAGCATCTATTCAGTCTACATGATGTTTGGTGAACATTCTTGGGTTATTTGTGGTTAACGGAAGTAAATTCTGTCTTCACAGCATTTGTCCCAAAGTTTGGGACCTAAAATTTATCCATCTATTCATCCATCCACTTTTTAAATATATGTGGTTAATAATACATTTTAGGCTGGGTTTGGGGCTCCCGCCTGTAATCCCAGCACTTTGGGAAGCTGAGGAAGGTGGATCACATGAGGTCAGGGGTTCGAGACCAGCCTGGCCAACATGGTGAAACCCTGTCTCTACTAAAAATACAAAAAATTAGCCGGGTGTGGTGGTGGGAGCCTGTAATCCCAGCTACTTGGGAGGCTGAGGCAGTAAAATTGCTTGAACCGGGAAAGCAGAGGTTGCAGTGAGTCGAGATCGCGCCACTGCACCCAACAGCCTGGGTGACAGAGCGTGACTCTGTCTTAAAAAATAAATAGGCTGGGTGCAGTGGCTCACGCCTGTGATCCCAGCACTTTGGGAGGCTGAGGCGGGCAGATCACGAAGTCAGGAGATCGAGACCATCCTGGCTAACACAGTGAAATCCCATCTCTACTAAAAATACAAAAAAAATTAGCCGGGCATGGTGGCATGTGCCTGCAGTCCCAGCTACTTGGGAGGCTGAGGCAGGAGAACGGCGTGAACCTGGGAGGTGGAGCTTGCAGTGAGCCGAGATCGTGCCACCGCACTCCAGCCTAGGGGACAGAGCGAGACTCTCTCTCAAAAAAAACCAAAAAC
This sequence comes from Homo sapiens, assembly GCF_000001405.40. Taxonomy (NCBI): domain Eukaryota; kingdom Metazoa; phylum Chordata; class Mammalia; order Primates; family Hominidae; genus Homo; species Homo sapiens. The sequence continues at coordinate 33,666,295 of NC_000013.11, read as the reverse complement.
AACAAAAAAAATTATTTCCAGCCTATGAATGTAATTTTATATGATAAGTTCTAATCAATGTATTAGTAACATTAAAACAACAATGCAAAATGAATTCAGAGAAACTTTGGCTATTTCTCCTGAGATCCATGGAAGTGATCTAGAAATTTTCCTCCATTTAGAGATTAGGAAGCATGCCATAGCATTCCCAGAGATTCTGTAAGAAGGCTGGGGTCAAAGGAATGTGTAGACATTACCACATGGCCTAGTCTCATGTTAGCAGCAGCTTCTCTTTCTTCAGGGACAAGTCAGAGGTCTTTTTGTGCCTTGGTTCATTCCAGGTCCCTGTGGTCAAGCATGGATTCTACTGACACGTGCAGCCCAAGAATTTACACTGAGCCAGCTGAGTGACATTGACTTAGGATCTTCCCCCTTGAGACTCTCATTAATCAAAAGTTATGGCACCGAGGAGACCCCAGGAGAGAGTCAGAGCTTGGAGTCCATTTTATTTCTAGCTTAATGTTTCCCTCTTCTCTCATTTAACATCAGCCTTTTCCGAATGGCTGCCTCTGAAAGCCAGAAAGCTTTCAGTTGATTAAACAGCATTAGTTCACCTCATTATTGGAAGAAAAATAGGAAAGTCAAAATAAAGATGCACGTTCTCCTATAAGAGAAAAAATTATCCTTGATAGTAATTCCTCCATTGTCTGAAATAATCCTATTAGGCATTGTCTTTCCATCAAAATTAACCAGCACAAAGCAACTGGCAGGAGAAGGGAGCTGGTGAAAGAAAATATTGCTGTCATTTAACTGCTCATCGAGAGATAACTTAAATGGTCTTATTTCTTAATTAAAGGTACAAGAGTAGCCATTAATTCTTGACCATAACAAGATTAAATATCTGTGTATTGTTTTTTCTTATGTTCTATCTTCAACTCGATAGCTTCTTGCATGTCTTGTTGCATCTGGTCAAAAGTTTATTTGGATTTTTTTTAATTAAATACTTCTTCAGAATATGAAAAATGCCACAGAGGCACTCCTTTGAAAATTTATTGCATAAATTGCATAAAACGTCAAGGGATTCAGGTTTTCTCCAGTTCAGTCACCACTCAACAAGGGAGCATTAGGTAAAACATGATCAAGAACTTCCCTTAAATAAGAAGCAGGACTTTACCTTTGAGCAATCTGGATTCTGTTGTTGGATGCTTCCTTGACAGGCCCCTGACCCTGAAATGCTCGCCACAGTAACAGGGTCTCCACTTCCTCTGTCCCTCCTTCGTTCTCGTCATTGTGACGTTTGCAACACAGTTTACAAAACATTTCTCACACAGGATCTTATTTTATCTTTTCCGTCAGGATGAGTAAGGTAAGTAAAAGAGTAAGTAGTTTTTGGCCGGGCGTAGTGGCTCACGCCTGTAATCCCAACACTTTGGGAGGCCGAGGCGGGCGGATCATGAGGTCAGGGGATCGAGACCATAGTGGCTAACGTGGTGAAACCTCGTCTCTACTAAAAATACAAAAAATTAGCCGGGCGTGGTGGCGGGGGCCTGTAGTCCCCGCTACTCCGGAGGCTGAGGCAGGAGAATGGCAGGAACCTGGGAGGCGGAGGTTGCAGTGAGCTGAAATTGGGCTACTGCACTCCAGCCTGGATAACAGACCGAGACTCCATCTCAATAAATAAAAGAGTCAATAGTTTTTTTAAGTTCGGTAACTGAAGTTCAAAGCAGGCAACTGACTTGTGTCAATTTCAACAAGAACAAGACATGAAGCCAAGAGTGAAATCGATTTCTTCAAGGTGAGAAAGAGCATTGCTAAGTTTCATCACATGCAGCAAACTGTGAATGCATTAAAAGGTGTTTTCACCAAGTCCAAAGACAACACAGTTCTGTAAGTTTTCAGAGAGAAAACCCTCAAGTGAGAAGTACTATTGATGCGGAACCCCTGCTGCCGATGTATTCTGTCAAGCTGTGACACCAAAAACTCAACAACAATTGTAAAAACAAAATAAGTGTGTCTGCTACTAAACCCTATTTAGCGTAGTGTTGTATGTGATAGTGGACCACAAAAAAGGAAATGGGAAGAGTGAAAAGAGCCTCCCCGAGCAGGTTCGCTGAATGGAGTGGAAATGTGAAGTTGAGAAATGAGTGTCTCTTCAGCATCCCTACGTTTTCCCCCTCAGATCCTGAGTGGCAACTGGAAAGGATTCGTGGTTACTTGGATCTAGGAAAATCCTGTTTTATCTCTGATGGGACTAAGACAAAGCACTCCTGTTAGTACAACCCAGCTTGCGTTCCTCCCTGCCTGCAGAGGAAGCATTTGGATGCTTCCCTTCCCGTTGGAAGTTGCCAGTCTCTCTTCAGAGTGATGAGGGCAGAACTGGTCATTACGGAAAGAGTCGGAGGAACGGTGCCACAGCATCAGGTTCAGGCAAGTAAGGCGGAAGCTGAACTCATTAAGAGGCATTTGGAACCCGGGGTTTCTTGTTTTCCTGTTGGAGAAGCTCTAAACTCTGAGAGTGTCCTAACCCGATCTGAGAGAGCCTTTCTGACTTGCTCCCTCCTGCTCTGCTGTCCACTTGACCACTCAGTGTCTATTTTTTTCTGACTGTCGTAGAACACTTGGGCAATGTAGAAAACAGTAAAACACAAGTAAAATTCCCTTATAGTCATACTCCCTTATTAGATAACCTCTGTTAACATTTTGTATGTCTTTGTAATTCTTTTCCTACTATTTTAACATAATTGATCCCAAACTAAATATAATTTGCACTACTCTTATTAGCTAAATATATGACAAAGGCGTTTCCTTATATTTTTAAAATTCATCATAAACATTGTTTTTGTTGATTGCATACTATTACTATTTCAACTTTTTTCACGTACAAAATGAATAAACTATACCCTAGCAGCTAAGCATTTCATTTTCTTACAGTATTTTTATTTTTCAAAATGCTGATATCATTATTTTTTGTCCATAATAATTTTTGTCCATAATATTTTTGGATCTTTTAAGTATCTTTAAATTTTAAAACAGTTTTAAGATTTTTATCATTGAAAGAATATCGTTGGCCAGGCATGGTGGCTCATGCCTGTAATCCCAGCTCTTTGGGAGGCCAAGGTAGGAGGATCAATTGAGCCCAGGAGGTTGAGGCTGCAATGAGCCATGTTCTTACCACTGCACACTACGCTCCAGTCTGGGTGACAGAATGAGACCCTATCTCCAAAAAAAAGAAAGTAATATTGTTTGATATTAGAAAATTATTTTCTAGAAAGGTTGCATCAATTCAAACTACTGTTAGCAGTGAATAGGAATAAATACCTCACCTCACTCTCACCAACACTGAATTTGATATATTCTCAAGACTTTGCTAAGTTTATAAAGAAAACAGTGTCTTATTTTAACTTGCATTATTGTTTACTGCTATGGAAACCAAATTTTTTTAGGGAGAGCGTATTCATTAGCTTTTTATATTTCCTCCTTGGGAAAATTTTATGTCTCCTTATGCATTTGACCAATAGGGTTGTAGCTGTTTTCAAATTAATGGGTGTCAGCTTTAAAAATTCGTTTTAACCTTGTGTGATCTTTAATCTCACAGCAAATAGAGAGGGGGTATAGTGCATGGTATACTCCCTGCTCCCACAGATTTGTCTTTGTTGTCTGCAGTCTGATAAAGAGGGGGAGGTTTGTTTCCAATAGAACTGGATTGGCTTGTGACCATGGCCTGAAAACGGCAGAACGTGAAGTTAAAGTGCAGGGTTTGATTTGTGGAGAGTCACAGACAAAATCAGATGTAACTTGCACCTTGACCAGGTGCACACTTCACTTGGGCCTCCAACAAGGCTGTTTGGGAAAGGAGTGGTAACATATCCATTCCGGTGGCCTTTCCATTACAACATTTTCAAAACAAAGCAAATTTTTACTTCATTTTTATACAACCTGTAAAGTGTCTATATACAATCAAATTAAGAGAAATGTAATAACTCTAAACTGATTGGGAAACCCAGACAGATAGTTTGGTGGTTGGGCAAGAAATAAATAACTTTTTTTTTTTTTTTGAGACGGGGTCTTGCTCTGTCGCCCAGGCTGTAGTACAGTGGCATGATCTCGGCTCACTGCAAGCTCCGCCTCCGGGGTTCACGCCATTCTCCTGCCTCAGCTTCCCGAGTAGCTGGGATTATAGGCGCCCACCACCACGCCCAGCTAATTTTTTGTATTTTTAGTAGAGACGGGGTTTCACCGTGTTAGCCAGGATGGTCTCGATCTCCTGACCTCGTGATCCGCCCACCTCGGCCTCCCAGAGTGCTGGGATTACAGGCATGAGCCACCGCGACCAGCCAAAATAATTACTTTAATGATGACATATTTGTGAACCTATATGTATATTAGAATATAATCATAATTTTTTTTTTTTTTGCCAGGAGATCATATTCCTGATTCTTCCCCTCCTTATCCCTTGCCCTCCCATACGTAGATACACATATATGTACACTCCCCAGTTGATATGGGTTGGCTCTGTGTCCCCACCCAAATCTCACCTTGAATTGTAACAATCCCCATGTGTTAAGGGCAGGACCAGGTGGAGGTAATTCAATCATGGGGGCGGTTTCTCCCATGCTGTTCTCTTGATAATTAGTGAGTTCTCACGAGATCTGATGGTTTTATAAGCGCATGGCATTTCCCCTGCTGGCACTCATTCTCTCTCTTGCCACCCTGTGAAGAAGTGCCTTCTGCCATGACTGTAAATTTCCTGAGGCCTCCCCGGCCATGCGGAACTGTGAGTCAGTTAAACCTCTTTTCTTAATTACCCAGTTTCGGGCAGCTCTTTATAGAAGTGTGAGAACGGACTCATACACCAGTAGAGTACCTACACACACTACAGTTTTTAGGACTAACAAAATTGAGTATGTGTCAGATCTGGACGTGCCTTCTTACTTCCTCTTCCCTTGGCTGGTCTCACAAATCCTGCATTTCAGGTTAACCACCTGGGACGGTAAACTACCGAAGTCTGCTTCTGCTTCCAAAGGAGAACCGCAGTGAAAGGCAAGTCCTCATTATCTCTTGTCCTGTATCCTTGACATTACAATTTATCCTCCAGTTTAGGTCACTCCATATCACCAAGTTCAGCCCCTATCATGATAAGTGGCATTTGTTGATAACACTATGAGATCCTATTCTTTGAGTAATGTTCATGGAAGAAATCTAAGGAATAGTGTTGCCAGATATAATACAAGCCACCCTATTAAATGTGAATTTCCAGGTAAATAACAAATAATATTTCAGTATAAGTATGTTCCAAATGTCACATGGAATCTATTTATAAAAATTTATTTGCTGTTTATCTGAAATTTAACTTTACATGTATGTCCTATGTTTTTCTTTGCTATTTTGGCAACCCTACCAAGAAAGTGAAACCATTAGGAATCTAACAGCACAGGCCAGGCACAGTGGTTCACATCTAGAATCCCAGCACGTTGGAAGGCCAAGGCAGGAGGATCATTCGAGGCTAGGAGTTCAAGACCAGCCTGTGCAACATAGTGAGACTTTGTCTCTACAGAAAATAAAGAATGTAGCCAGACATGGTGGCTCTCACCTCTATTTCCAGCTACTCAGGAGGCTGAGGTGGGAGGATGACTTGAGCCCAGGAGTTCAAGTCTGCAGTGAGTTATAATTGCACCACTTCACTCCAGCCTGGGCAACAGAGGAAAATCTTGTCTCTTGAAAAACAAACAAACCCACAGTACAAATCAAGTAGTTACTTAGTGTCCTACCTCCCTGACAGTACAGAGAGAACCACCCCCAAATGTTACTATCAAAGGAAACAACTGTACTTCACCAATGGTCTGCACCTGATCAGTACCAGCAAGGGAAGGCCAAAGGCAAACAAGTCAGACAAAATGTAAGATTTGGCAACTTTCCTACTGATGTGGAATTATTGTAATTAGAGAGATTTTTAACAATTGGAGAAATGTTAAAATTTAGAGAAGTTCTAACTGATGGAAATATCTTTTTAAATAGTGAAAAACTATGACAACTAACACAGATAATAGCACTATTTCAGAAAAACAGAATCTCACTTACTGTCATTGACATAAAAAAACATGAATTCAGCTAAGAAAACCCCCACAAGTACAAATCAGTAAAAATAAAAACCATGGTTCTGCTTGTGCTGGAGTATTGTTGGGAAGGCCCTCGTGAGCAGAGCGTAGCTGGCCTGGCCACACCTGCCTACCTGGCCTCTTCTCTCCTCCCTCAATGTTCCTCTGAGGACCTCTCAACTTTTCAAACTCTCTATTCAAACATGGCATTGGCATCTCTGCAATTTAATGAAGATTGTTATCAAAGAATAGCATGTAAAACCATATCAGGTATGATTTAAGCCCATGAGTAATCAAGATTTAAATCCTTTATTTTGGTTGTAGACATAGTTTCCCAGCTTGTAGCATTAGACAAAGTTTGAATTTTCTCATAAATGGCACAGTTGAGGGGTAAGCGAGAGACAGTCTGGCTTAGCTCAGGATGTCATTTTCTTGGAGAAAAAACAGCTGCAACTGATGCCTGAAAGATAAATTTTAAAACATAGGTTTCCCCCAAAATATGAGCCTACTGACTTCATTTAGCATGGGTTTTCCCCACGCACCAAGCAAGCAAGCGAGCAAGCATTTCTGTAGCAGACACCAGCTGGGTGTCTTCCAACTCAATTCAGTTCTGGTGCTATCTGCCTGGAGAGAGTGTTAGGTCCCATAGGTTCAGGGCTCAGTCCCACAACTGCTCCGACTTCTAATGCCAATCAAAAGCCACAGGTTGGCTGGGAGCAGTGGCTCACACCTGTAATCCCAGCACTCTGGGAGGCCAAGGCGGGTGGATCACGAGGTCAGGAGATTGAGACCATCCTGGCCAACATGATGAAACCCCATCTCTACTAAAAACACAAAAATTAGCTGAGTGTGGTGGCATATGCCTGTAGTCGCAGCTACTCAGGAGGCTGAGGCAGGAGAGTTGCTTGAACCCGGGAGGCAGAGGTTGCAGTGAGACGAGATGGCACCACTGCACTCCAGCCTGGGCAACAGAGCAAGACTTCATAAAAAAAAAAAAAAAAGAAAAAACCCAGGTTGTGACCTGTGCTTCTGACCAACAGGCTATAAATTGGAGTTCACATACCCACCTTTTCGTGTTACATTAATTTGCTACGGTGGGTCACAGAACTCAGGGAAATGCATTTACCAGTTTATTACAAAGGATATTACAAAAGGATGCAGATGAACAGATGCATAGGGATATGAGGAAGGGGGCAAAGAGCTTCCATGTGCTTCCTGGGCTTGCCACCCTCCAGGAACCTCCACATGTTCAGCTATCAGGAGGCTCTCCAAACCCTGTCCCCTGTGCGTTGTAATGACAGCTTCATTATGTAGGTATGATTGATTAAATCACTGCCCATTGGTGACCAAGTTAACCTCTAGCACCTCTCCTCTTCCCAGAGATTGGGGAGTGGAAGTGAAAGTCCCAACTCTCTCTCTAATCATGCCTTAGTCTTTCTGGTGACCAGCTCCCATCCTGAAACTACCTGGGAGCTGCTAGCCACGGTCTTAGCATACTAAAAGACATCACTTTGAAGATTCTAAGAATTTTAGTAGTTGTTTCCAGGAAAGGAGGACGAAGACCAAATATATATTTTGCAATATCACAGTCTCTGGTATCTTCAGCTGGTGAAGGACCATTGGGATGAAAAGTGAAAGGTATGTTGAGAAAAAGATACTCCAGACTAAGAGTCAGAAACTGTCCCTAAATTGACAAGTGATTTAACTTTTTAAAATTTGGATTTCTTATTTACCAGAAGAGGAAAATACTAACTAATCTATCTCAGAGGGGTTATGATATTATAGCAACAAAAACATTTTGCAAAGTTAAAAACACCACATAAACAAAACAATCATATTTGTACTCACCCATGTTCATGGCAGCATTATGCGCAATAGCAAAAATGTGGAAGCAACTCAAGTGTCTATCAATGGATGAATGGATAAACAAAATGCGGTATGTACATACAACGGACTGCTCTTCAGCCTTCAAGAGGAAGAAAATTCTGACAAATGCTACAACATGGATGAACCTCGAGGACATTACGCTAAGTGAAATAAGCCAGACACAATAGGACCAAAATTGTAGGATTTCATTTAAACGAGGTACCTAGAGTCATCCAATTCAGAGAGACAGGAAGTAGTATGGTGGTTACCAGGGACTGGAGGAAGGGGCATGGGGAAGTATTATTTAATGAGTACAGTTTGGGATCATGAAAAAGTTCTGGAGATGGCTGATGGTGATGGTTGCACAACAATGCAAATGTATTTAATGCCACTAAACTGTACACTTAAAAATAGTTAAAATCATGTATTTTATGTAATGTATATTTTGCCACAGTCAAAAAATACACTATACACCATAAAATAGAAAATCTACTTTATAGAAAAACACCCATAATCATCAGAAGTAATAGTAGATTTACTAGTGTAAGTGGTAGTATGAATGCATAGGTTGAAAAAAGCCTTCACATTGATTGGGTTTATGTAGAAGAGTGAGCACAACTACTCACTGACTTACAAAGAGAGGAGGCAAGACTGCCTTTGGACAGTTACATCTAAACATTTCGAAGGATGTTAATGACACTAAAGGAAGTTTATATACCTATGTTATAAGAATAAGTTAAAGAACTACATCCGTTTCTCTATAATTCATCCCAAACATGTCCCTAAGTTCAGGAAAAGCTTAGTATATTTGCATATTTTCTACACTTTGAACTTTAAATCTGCAGTTTCAGAGACCAGACTAAGTCCTCTGCTGCCTGTAATACCTCCTGTGCTTCCAGTGTTCCCTGATGATTCTGTAAGGTCTGTAACGACAGGGATCATGTTGACTCCTTCAATACTGAACATACAGTGCCCAGCACAGGGCCTGGCACTTACTAGATGCTCAACAAGTATTTTTTGAATGAATCAGGTATTGGGGGACAAACGGTGGAATCCTATTTTTGTTTTTTTTCTTTGTTTGTTTGTTTGAGACGGAGTCTCACTGTCTCCCAGGCTGGAGTGCAGTGGCACAATCTCTGCTCATTGCAAGCTCTGCCTCCCGGGTTCACACCATTCTCCTGCCTCAGCCTCCCGAGTAGCTGGGACTATAGGCGCCCGCCACCACGCCCAGCTAATTTTTTGTATTTTTTAGTAGAGATGGGGTTTCACTGTGTTAGCCAGGATTGTCTCGATCTCTTGATCTCGTGATCCACCCGCCTCGGCCTCCCAAAGTGCTGGGATTAGAGGCGTGAGCCACCGCGCTCAGCCTAGAATTCTATTTTAAGAACATGCTTTGTGATTCTATCACTCCAGTGGTGGACATGTCCTACCATCTGTAAGCTCAAGATCCTCTAGAGAACTGCAGGATTCAGGGTGCTCTACTGACAGTACCTGGGGCAGCCGGATCAGGAAAGAGTTTGTCTAGCCACAGTTGTCCCTTGCAGGTAAGTTCCAGGGATCTCTGGTTTAGATGAACAGATTTAAGGATCTGAGTATTCTCTTCGCATTAGAAGTTCACCCCTTGGGAATATGAATTTCCATAGGAATCTAAATTATTCTGAGGACTTCCTGTGCTACATATCCATAACAAGATTCTCAGAAAATCCAGGAATGATCCCAATTTCCATTCCTGGTTTAAGATTCTCCGGCAAATTAGGTGACTCTGGCCCATGTCCCTACTAAAGCTGCCATTAATGTCTACATGACCAATGAGGAACGAGAGCTAGACCTAGTTTAACCAGACTTATTGGGAGAAACTCATAACCTAATTTTTTATGAGAAGTGTCCAGATTTTCAATTTTTTACAATATTTTTAAGGCAAACAAAAAAATCTGTGAAACAGAAGCTTACCTGAATATATTAAACATCGTAGAAAGCTTTCAAGACTTTTAGATATTTCTTAGATTGATCTTCCCTTTCTTTCCTTTCATTCTTCTTCCATTCCGTCTTCTCTTTCCCTCCCTTCTATCGCTTTTCCCTTTCTTCCATCCATAAATATTTATTGAGAAGCTACTATGTCCAATGACTATTTCTAGCACGGGGTATAGAACAGAGAAACCAGACTATATCAAATCAGAGTTTAGATTCTGTTGAGGTAGGAGGGGAGACAGGTAATAATAAATTTTAAAAAATCATTAGAATACATAGTGATAATTGCTGTGGAGAAAAATGAAGCCAGAAAGTGGGATAAGGAGTAGGAGAGAAGTTGCCCACTTAAGTAGAAAGGTGGGGAGGAGAGTAGGTGCAAAGGCTCATGGCTGGTGTGGACCAGAGTGGTGGCATTGTTAGCTTACTTAAATTCTTTGCCACTAAGAACCTCTGCTTCTAATATGTTTCCCATTTTCAAGCATGTTCTTGCAAGTTTCTCTGGGGTCAGCTGCAGTATTTCCCTGAGGATTTCAAACCTGCAACGACAGCAGCAGTTCTGGGAACCAATTCCAGAACCTCCTTCTAGCTGTTGCTATCCTGTGCTCATATAAAACTTTGCCAACAATTTGCATTTGTGAATTCATTCATCGATGCATTTATTAAATATCTACTATGTTCCAGTTACTATATAGAATTCTTGGGAGTCAAAGATGGAAAAGACACAGCCTCTGTTTTCCAAAGGGCTTACATCTAGTACTAAGGAACAAAAATTATCATAAATAGGTGACATAAAGTGTCTCCGGTCCAATAAAAATATATACAAAGGGAATTAAATGAGGGAGTGATCACTCATACCTGGAGAGATTAGGACTGGAATGGACTGGGAGGGGAGAGACTAAAACTAAGTATGCATTAATTTGAGAGCATCACCATGATCCACAAAGTCACCGTTTATTATGGACTTGCCTCTCATTAAATTATGACTAGTATATTGGCCTCCTGGATTGATGTATTGGAACTGGTCATAGAAAAATACCATCAATTCTTGCCAATAATTATATTTTTCCTCTGAAGGAACTATTCATTGTCTCAGCTCTCATTTCAGTTGCATAATGTTTAGCCAGAATTTTAGTCCATGCAATTCAAAAGAAAAGTTTATTATTGTTGTTTATGCCCATCCACTAAAGAGTAACATCTACATTAGAGTTAACCTCTCACTAATAATTACTTCTGAATTTAGAAAGACATTAGGGATTAGGTCTGCTCGTCCCATTAAAGTCAATTAAAACAAAGAAGGATTCTTAGCTTGTATTTCTAAAGCATTCAGATTTGTAAAATGCCATGCAGTTATTTTGTGTATCTAGTTCTTAACACACCTCCAGGGGTGAGGGACGGGACTAGCAGACTGAAAAAACTCAAAAGAGAGAAATAAGTCACACCATGAGGTGCGGCTTGTCAATGGCCACAGGGCCAGGCACTGGAGAGACAAGACAAGAAGCAGCTAAGTCTGAGGCTGGAGTATTATTCTTTCTATCAAAGTCTCCTTCTATTCAGTCAGCTACAGAAGACCCAGTGCTGTGAGAAAATCAGACAGAAGTATTTCCAAGACTTTCCATGTCTGACTAACCAAGGTAAAATCAGGAACTAACCTAACAGCTTCTGCACCATGGCAGAAGAGTTTGCAGAAATGTACCTGTTTTACTTTTCAATAGATTATATTTTAACACTTTTTATCTTACTCTATTTGAGTTTTTGAGATGTGATTCACATTCTATAAAATTCACTCTTTTAAAGTGTACAATTCAGTAGTTTCAGTATATTCCCAACATTGTTAAATCACCACCACTAACAAATTCCAGAGCATTTTCATTATCCCCAAGAAGATGCCTGCCCCCATTAGCAGTCAGCCCCCATTCTCCCCTTCCCCAGGCTCTGGCAACCACTAATCTACTTTCTGTCTCTATAGATTTGCCTATTTTGCACATTTCATATCAATGAAATCATACAGTATGTACCCTTTTGTGTTTCGCTTCTTCACATAGCATAATATTTTCAAGTTTCATCCATGTAGTAGCATGTATCAGTACTTTATGCTTTTTTATGGTTGAGTAATACTTTAATTCTATTTGTCAATTCATCAGATGATGGACATTTGGGTTGTTTACTCTTTGGGCTATTATAAACATGCATGCACATGTTTTCATTTGTCTTGTGTACATACTTAGGAATGGAATTGCTGGGTCATGTGGTAACTATGTTTAACTTTTTGAGGAACTTTCCCCAAAGTGGCAGCACCATTTTACATTCTCACTAGCAATGTATGAGGATTCAATTTCTCCTCATGTTCACCAATGCTTGTTATTGTCTGTCTTTTTTATGATAACCATTCTAGTTGCTGTGAAGTGGTATCTCATTGTGGTTTTGATTTGCATGTCCTTAATGATTAATGCTGTTGGAAATATTTTCATGTGTGGGTTGGCCATTTGTATATGTTATTTAGGAAGATGTCTATTTAAATCATTTGCCCATTTTTTAAATTGCGTTACTCATCCCTTTGTTGTAGAGTTGTAAGAGATCTTTGTATATTCTGGATGTTAATCCCTTATCAGATAAGTGATTTACAAATATCTTCCTCAATTTTGTGGTTTATCTTTTCACTTTCTTGATAGTGTCCTCTGCAGCACAAAATATTTAATTTTCATAAAATCCAATTGATCTTTTTTCTGTTTTGCTGCTTGTACTTTTGGTGTCATATCTAAGAAACTAGTGCCTAATTGGCCACAAAGATTTATTCTTCTACATTTTGTTCTAAGAGCATTATAATTTTATCTCCTACATTTAGGTATTTGGTCCATTTCGAGTTAATGTTTGTATATAATATAAACTAGTTTTCCAACTTCATTCTTTTGCAAATGGATATTCAGTTGTCTCAGCATCATTTGTTGAAAAGGCTTTTCTTTCCCCCGTTAAATAGCATTGGCATTCTTGTCAAAAATCAATTGACCACAGAGGTATGGGTTTATTTTTGGATTCTGAGTCCTATTCCATTAGTCTATATGTCTATCCTTACTGCCTCTACCACACTGTTTTGATTACTGCAAGTTTATAATAAGTTTGGGAAGAGGGAAGTTTGAGTCTTGTAACTTTGTTCGTCTTCCTCAAGAGTGTTTTGGCTATTCTGTATCACTTGAATTTCTCCGTGAATTTTAGGATCTGCTTCTCAATTTTTGCAAAGCACATGTCTCGGAATTTGATAGAGATTACATTGAATCTCTATATCAATTTGAGCAGTATGGCTATCTTAACAATATTAAGTTGTTCAATCCAAGAGGCATGAGATATCTCTCCATTAACTTGCATCTTCTTAATCTCTTTTAGTGATGTTTTATAGTTTTTCCACTCTAAAAGTCTGGCACTATTTTTGTTAAATTTATCCTAAGTATTTTCTTCTTTTGATGTCATACCTTATTGTATATGATGGTCATTTTTAATGTATCAAAAATTAGAAATATAAGTAGTATCATTAAGAAACAGATATCACTACCTACTAGATACCAGATATTTGACCAACACATTGTCTCATTGAATCTACTCTACAAATTTTGGTAGTTGCTATTACTATTCCCAATCTACAGAAAAAGAAACCAAAGCTCAAAGAAGTTAGGGAACTTGCCCAACATTTTTTCTCCTAAGTAGTTCATTGAAATTAAAACCAGATATAACTGACTCATTAATTTCATGTGTATGTCATTAATGAAAATATTTTTGTGCTCCATTATATTGGCTTTGAAGACAATAATGGTTTGGGAATTCATGTGTTTTTATAGCCTATGGAATTATGAAGCTGTTAAGAGTTTTACTTTCTGTACCCATATGAGGAGTAGATTGTGAATAAAATGTATGGGGAAAAATTACAGAATAACTTTCAATGATGTTTATTGTTTAGAATCTAGAGATTTTGATTTATTAAAGTCCATGTGTGACTTTATCACATATGCAATCATCAAATTGTGGCTTAAATTCGTCTTCACCAAAATTTGAACTTGGTATTAAGTTAAACTTAGTGTTAAGTTAAATTATCAAAATTCCTGCCTCTCATTTCTATGTTGTATGAATCTAATTAGGCTGAGCTGAAGCTGAGGAGGGAGAATATCTGTACAAATGTCATAACCAAAAATTCCCAAATGCTGGGGCATTTTGGTCAGTTCAGTTCAAGAAAGATTTATTGAGGGCTGTGGTTCTGGTTTTCTATTGTTTAGAACAAATATTTGATGGATTGAAACAATAAGCATTTTATTATAGATCATAATCTTGTGGGTCAGGAATTCAGGCAGAGACCAACTGGGCAGTTCTGCTCAACGTGGCACTGCTCAACATGACACTGTTCTTCTGCTCAACATGACACTGTCATTCATTCAAGTCACTTGTTGATATTCGCCAGACAGCTGATCTGGCCTGAAGGGTCCAGGATGGCTTCACTCACATCCCTGATGCCTTGGTGGGGAGAGAGGAAGGTGAGCTCAGCTAGGCCCATTCTCATTTCCTCTCTACTTTCGCCAGCAGAGTGGAAGGACTTCTTGCAGAGTGCTTCAGACTCCTAGAGAAGGGGTGAAAGGTAGCATAATTCCAACATACTCTATTAGGCACAGTAGTCACAGTCTGGCTAATATTCCTAAAGAAGGGAACTGGAGCTCACCTCCAGATGAGAGTAACACCAAGGAATTTACAGCTATTGTTAACCAGCTGTAAAAATCTTGTGCCAGACATGGCATTAGGCTTTGGGGAAACAGAGATTAAAAAGACACTTTCTCCTTAATCAAACATCTCAAAGTTTAATGAGCTGTTGTTAGAATGATCAAATCATATAATTTATTGTCCAAACCAGATATTTTTAAGAATGACAGGGGGTGTAAGTAATTACTATGCTTGGATTAGAGGCATGAAATGGGACTATCCTATGCAACCCGGAATGATGATCACGCTAGTTTATGAACACATTGAAATGTAATACTTCGAAAGTGATAAAAAGCTTAAATTATTTTTCTTTGATGTCTTACAACTCCTGTAGTGCGTACATTTTCATTTTTTAATGAAAGTGAGTTGGGGAATAATTCGAGACAATAACTGTGAGATACCTGTGGGAATTAAAAGTAGTTAATTTTTAAAAATCATGATTTTTTATTAAGAAGAACAGATCTCAGATCTAAAATATTATGTTTCTTGCTACATCCCTAGCTTTTTAAAACATAATAAGGAAGTTGCTTAGTAAAGCTTTGTGATAAAAGCCAATGTTTGTGGACATGAACAAGCTCAGAATTATCCTTGATATTATCCACCTTGTCTTAGTCCATGAGTGTTGCTATAACAAACCACCAAAGACTGGGTAGTTTAGAAAAAACAGAAATTTATTTTTCACAGTTCTTGAGGCTGGGAATTCCAAGATCAAGGTGCCAGTAAGATCAGTGTCTGGCGAGGGCCACTCTCTGCTTTTAAGAAGGCCTTCCCCCAGAGGGGATTGACACTGTGTCCTCACATGGTAGAAAGGCAGAAAGCGGGCTCTGGAGCTCATGCTAAGCTTTTTATAAGAGGACTTACTGCATTCACAGGGGCAGAGCCCTTGTGGCGTAATCACCTCCCAATTGGCCCACTTATTAACATCATCTCTTTGGGAGTTAAGTTCCAACATATGAATTTTGGAGGGACACACACATTCAAATCATAGCATGCACACCTTCATCTGTGGCTTCTGTTTTATCCCTCCAGGACCAATTACTGAATTTTACTTTTACACAAGTTCTTCTTTAGAGTAAAGATTAAGAATTCAATTCTCAGATCTCTCTAAGTTAAAGCGCCAAAAGGCTTATGACTTTAAAATGTAATGTTTTAAAAATTGGAGTCGGCCGGGCGCGGTGGCTCACGCCTGTAATCCCAGCACTTTGGGAGGCCGAGGCGGGCGGATCACGAGGTCAGGAGATCGAGACCATCCCGGCTAAAACGGTGAAACCCCGTCTCTACTAAAAATACAAAAAATTAGCCGGGCGTAGTGGCGGGCGCCTGTAGTCCCAGCTACTTGGGAGGCTGAGGCAGGAGAATGGCGTGAACCCGGGAGGCGGAGCTTGCAGTGAGCAGAGATCGCGCCACTGCACTCCAGGCTGGGTGACAGAGTGAGATGCCGTCTCAAAAAAAAAAAAAAAAAAAAAAAAAAAAAAAAAAAAAAAAAAAATTGGAGTCACGTCACATTCAGGTGTGGGACCAAATAGGCTCCACCGCCAAATAAAAAAGTGACTGTTTGTCACTCTTCATCCCCAGTCAGAAGCAGTTGAGGCTGCGGTTTGTTTCATGTGAGTGTCTGGATTTGGCACTCAAGTGGCTGAGAGTAATTCCTGTGAGCCAGGAAAAAAGGGAATATGAAATTTCCCTGGCCAAATGTTTAGAAGGTATGACAAATACTAAGAATAAAACCTTAGACAAACTATATTTCACAACGACTATTAATTTTTATTTTTTATTAATTGGGGTGGTTTTGGTTTTATTTTTATTGCTTCCAACTGTCTTTAAAGTCAGAGTCACTCACAGCAATGGAATGTGCTGGCTTCTTCCTATTTGCCTGAGAAAAAGATTTTGTTACCTCTTTTACCCTAACTACCAAGGTCAATTTTTTTTAAATTCAGAAGTTAAATTACCAAGCCCTCATCTCTATTTTAGAGTGTTTTGACATCAAGTGTTTTGAGGAAAGGTAATGGATGGAGATAGTCATTAAACCAATATTTATTTTGAACCTATCATGTGACAGGCTCTGGCTTAGGGCAGGAGATATTACAATGAAAACATGCTGACAAGATCCCTTTATGATGTTTATATTCGGTATAGCCAGAGAAATGACAAACAAGTAAATTATAAACACTAAAAAGGCATATTATATTAAGTATCTCTAATGAAATACACAAGATGACGTTATGGAAAGTAACTGGGGGATGTGGGAGGTAGAAGGTGATTAAGACTATCAGAGAAGGCCTCTCAAAGAGAACATATTTGAGCTTAGACCTGAAAAATGAGAAACGGAAAGCCAAGAAAAGTCGAGAGAAGTGCATTTCAGACTGAAAAAACAATAACTGTGAAGGGCCTTTCACCTAGCAGTAAATATGCAATAAACGTGTGTTAGCTAACCTGGGCCAAACTCCCAAAACAAACAAAATACAATAACTACAATTTTGCTAATTATCTGGACTCTAGAGTATCAAGATCCTAGATAATTTGTTCAAATTAGGTCCAAGTCTCATTTTAAGAGCATCACAGGCTGGGCGCAGTGGCTCATGCCTGTAATCCCAGCACTTTGGGAGGCCGAGGCAGGCGATCACCTCAGGTCGGGAGTTCAAGCCAGCCTGACCAACATGGAGAAACCCCATCTCTACTAAAAAAAATACAAAATTAGCTGGGCATGGTGATGCATGCCTGTAATCCCAGCTACTAGGGAAGGCTGAAGCAGGAGAATCGCTTGAACCTGGGAGGCGGAGGTTGCGGTGACCCGAGATCACACCATTGTACTCCAGCCTGGGCAACAAGAGCGAAATTCTGTCTCAAAAAAAAAAAAAAAAAAAAAAAAAGAAAGAGAAAAGAAAAAAAGAGCATCATAAAAACTATTGCTAAGAGAACACAAACTCTTTGGTAAGTAGCTGTGATTTGGGGAAAGCCACTTCTCTTTTAAATTATAAATTGACAAGATTGAACCAGCTGTTCTTTGATGTTTTGAAAGCCCTAAGGACCTCCTTAATACACAGAGAAGGAAACTGAGGCCTAGGCAAGAAGGAAAATTAAGGAGTTAATGTTGACTTAGAAACTACTACATGGGAATCCTTTCCATACTATGCCACATTTCATCCTTCCAATATTCTGGACTAAATAGCAGTATTCCTGTATTCCAAACACGAAAAAAAGTAAAGTAACTTACCTAGTCTGCATAGCTGGTAAGTGGCAGAGCTACGATTTGACCCCAGATCGGCTGAAACCGCTGTACTAGAACCCAAAGTAGTAGGTAAGAGCTTGGGCTGCAGAGTGTGAGAGACATGGATTCAAAGCCTCTGCTCATCCAGCTAGTGAGCCTCGGCAAGTCAATTAATTTCTCTGAGACTCAGTTTCCACACAGGAAAATAGAAATCATATTGTCTACCTCTTACCTTCCTTAGTTACTTTCCATAATGTCATCTTGTGTATTTTGTCAGAGATAATATAATATGCCTTTTTAGTGTTTATAATGTACTTGTTTGTCATGTAGGCTTGTTTGTCATGAGGCAGTTGGAAAGATTAAAATAAAACTCAGCTTATAAATATGCTTTTATTTCATTTCTCCAAGGATGCACAGCACATAGAAACAGACCTTAAGTCTCCTATATCCTAGAACAGAGCACGTATCATTGTCCTTTATGAGATAAGACTATATTAAAAATGAGTATATTCATTCACTGAATACCTGATTATTTAATTGTATATTTATTTAATTGTATATTATTTGATTATATATGTATTGTATATTTATACACAACAATGTAAATGTTGAGGAATGAAAACAATAAAGAGAAGCGTCAGCTTATTTTCCGCATGTGTCAGAATAAGCTTTTAGAGCCTATTCTGCCAAACACTAAGGCAGAATTCAATGGGACCAAAACCTTTGCTAGATCTTTCCCATTTACTGTGTCTTGAATACATAACCACATTATGAACAGGGATTCAACAACCTAGATATGTCAAACTCTTTGCTCAAGGTCCTTCAAGATAGTTTCCAACTAATGGGACTGTCATTGTTAGTATTAAGAAAATAGGGTTTAGGTGAGTATTTGAAGAATTAGATCAATTTATGGAGCCAAACTACATGAATCAGTTTAAATATTTTATTTGAGATAAGGAGCAGGGAGGGGAAGGGGCTGCTGAATGACCTCTGTTGACCTGAACTACTAGACAGTCATCCAGGACAGTGTACAACTGGGAAAAAGGCACAGTGGAAGCTGTTTTCTTAGCCCTAAATATTAAATATATGCTTTTTCTACAATGAAGTAAATTATAGAAATTACTAGTATGATTGAGATAAATGTTTTGGGAGATAAAATTTTTTTGAGTCCCATGGGATGTGGATGTAAAGAAAAACATATTTTGAATTTCTGTGTGATTCTACCTTTCTTCCAAGGACATCAAATCCGTTCACATGCCATCAAACCCTTCTAAGACAGCTACAGGCAGGGCCCTTTTAAACTGTAGACATCAAAGTTAAGGAGGAACTAGTCAAACATTAGTAAAATGCAAAAACATTTTAAGTTAATTGTTGGAACTGGTGGAAGACTTCCTTAAAGGAACATTTCCTTTTAAATTTTTTATTTTATATTTTAGGGGGGGCTGCATACTTCTCTATGTAATTGTTAGATACAAAAGGAGAACCCAATGTGTATGAAGTAATTTCTTTTTATCATTAATTTTTGTACCAATGAATTTTTAAATTCCTCATAAAATATTACTCTTTCAAAAATATTTTATTTAAAATCTAGCAAATAAATAAAATATTGTATTATATAACACCTTCCACTTTTTAAAAGAATTTGCATGTAACATTTCACTGATTTGAATTTTGCAGGAATGTAATATCTTAACACTCTCCTCCTATCCTTTTGCCAGAATTTCAGAATAGTTACAGTTGACCTAAATTTCATTAAAAAAAAAAAGTCAAACTTGTGTGTGATTTCAAAGCTGCAAAATGACAGCTTTGATTCCTGTGTCTCATCCCTATGGCAAAGCAAAATTCTATGTGTGACATCACAAACTAGCCAATAGCAACTTTATCCCCAGAGACACCATGCCTGACTTTTCCTATTGCTGAGGTCTGCTAGAGCTTAGGCAAGTGCTGAGCAGCCGACAGCCATGATGTGTGGGAATTCGCAGAACTTCCCAGAGTCCTTGTATTCCTCTATACTGAACCCATGAGTGCTTCGTGTCCTCTCCGCCACTTACCTCTGTATATCCCGAGGCAGAATGTTTTTCCCTTACAGGGACCACTGATAGAAAGATTCAAACAAACAAAAAGAGCAACAGGATATTTATTTTACCATGTCGCGTTTTAAGATCTTATATGAATACCATGGAGATTATTTTCCTTGGCCAAAAAGGAAAATGAGTTGGGTGAGGACTAGTTATAGACCAGTGTAGTTATTTAATGAAAAAGAACGGGACCTATCTGACAGTCAAAAGCATGCACCTGGGACATGCTCTCTGAGTATGTGCAGTCATTACAGGTTTTACTCTTGCAATTGGACTTAACCAGATTAACTGATTTTGCATTTGCTTTGATAAGCTTTTTGTCCGTGTTAAAAACATTACTATCTCTGTGACAATAGCCTGTGTCCGTGTGTCCCTTATTACTCAGATGTGTTTTCTGGGTAATATTCTCCAGCTAAAATGTCACAGAATTCTTAATTAGTTGCAATAGTTGTCAGAAGGAAAAGAAAAGGGAAATCCCCTTGGTGATATTGCTGCTGATACTTGCAAATAAGATCCACCTTAAGTGACACCCTGGCTTAAGGAGAAGTTGACCCCCACAGGCATTCCTGTGGGCAAGCTTTTGGACAAATCAAACAGCCCCAAGAGCAAGCTCTGCCACCCCACTCTAAAGCCACTTGCTTCTATCTTTAAGAGATAGAACTGAGGGCCAACACCTGCTGTTCACATGGCTAAACAATCATTTTTTGTTTAATGATAATAAATTCCTAACACAATAATCCCTTTAGACTTTGGCTGCCCAAATTCTACTATAGGTTGGTTATGTGAATGTGCTGCCCTCCTTCCTACTTCATAGTTAAAAGAGCACCTGCTTACAATGAGGAAAGTGGTATATCCTTGAGTCCATGATCTGTTTCTGTGTAACAGAACACCCCTCACTTTTGTGGCTTGAAGACACTATTTACTCACAATTCTGTGGGCAAGTGATTCGGGCTGAGCTCAGCTGGGTGAATCCACCTATAGACACATCATCTGGTAGCTTGGCTGTCTGTGAATTGTCTAAGATGGCCTCACTGATGACAGTTGATGCTGGCTGTTAGTGAGGCCTTTCTCTCCCTGTGGTTTCCAGGCCTCAAGAAGGCTAAGCAAGGCCTTTGTACATGGAGGTCTCAGGGCCTGCAGGAGGGCCAAAATGAACACTGCAAGACATCTTGTAACGGAGGCTTGTAGATCACCCACCTTCACTTCTGCCACATCTTATCAGTCAACATAAGTCACAATGCCAGCCAAGGGTCAAGGGGAAGGGAAAGAGACTCCCCCTCTTAGTGGGAGGAACGGCGAGGTCACGTTGCAAGAGACTCCTGCTTCCATCTTTGGAAGCAATCTACCACAAAGAACTACTACCAAAGTATTTGTAATAAAACCACAGCAAGATTCTGCCCAGAAAGAAAATTTCCATGTGTTTTAGCTTACTATTTCTGACTTGAAGGTTTTGTACTCTAATGATGCAAGTCTGTCACATGCATATTGTTATATTGGAGCCATCTCAACATTTGAGTGTCATTATTCCTAGAAAAGCCCATATTTAAGATCTGTCCAGAGAAACTCCCAGGGGAGGGAGTGGAGCATTTCAGGAGGTTGCTCATTGGTTTAGTTCTGCTTTTTTGGAACACAGACTCACCCACAAGTAGTTGCTAGTGCTTTTTCGTTTTGTTTTGTTTTGTCAATTATAGGCTTGGAGTGGAAGAACAGCTGGAAGTAGAAATCTGTCAGCTCTAGGAACTGACCTCCCCCTCTCTTTCATGGCCGCATGACGCCTCTTCAACTCTCTCTGCCTCTCATTGTATCTCTGTTTTTCTCTGTCTCCTCTCTACCAACAAGATCTTCCTAAACTTCTGTCATCTCTGTATGTGTATGTGAGTGTTGCGTGTCTCTGTGTGTGCGCTGTGCAAAGTACCCAATTCATTTTCCCGGCATTCGGGAATCAGGCACCATTCACATCTCTGCCTATGTGATGCTACCCCCAAGGGCCAGGGCTCTTCCTGTTATAGGTAGCTTTTGCTTACTTGGACTAACTTTGTGATAATTATCTGAATGGACTATTATTTTCTCCATTTTACAGGTGAAGAAATTAGGCTAGAAAGATGTTAGTGTTGTCCCAAGTCACACACCCAAGAAATGGCCAGACCAGGCCTGAGTCCAGTACTGTGGGGCCCCTGGAGCCCATGCTTTCAACCCTCTCCGATTCTCCCGCACTGCCTTGTTTTGCACATGGGTGGTCCATTCTTGTCCTTAAAGCTTCTCAACTGTGCAGGTTCAGCTCCCATCCTTTTGTAAAAGGTTGCCAATTGGGAATTTCCCTGTTGTTTCATAATTTTAGTTAAATCCTCAAAACTGAAGCTAACAAGTAGGAAGAGTCCTCAATTTTTAAAGGAGAACCTGGAGGAGCAGCCAGATATCTCCTACCTGCAGCCCTTGCTAAGAGGTGTCCAAACTGGAGTTTTGAATCTTAGCCCATCTCCCCATCCAGCCTCTCTCAGCAGATGTCTAGAATCTCCTGGGGGAAGCAAGGAGGGCATGGAGAGTTCACTGATGCAAGAGAGTAGTCTGAGTTAGGAGAGTTGTTGGGGAAGTTTAAGAAGCGTGCAGTGTGAGCTGCTCACCAGCGGCTTAGACCAGGTGAGAGAGGCGCTGGGGGGAAGTGAGGATGCCTGCCCCATGGCAGACTGGCACCCGTTCACCAGCTGAAAGTATGCTGACCTGCAAAACCAAACTGAACCGGGTGTGCGACAGGAGAGTTCCTGACAAAGAACTTTCTCCAAAGCTAATTTCCTTTATTGTGTCTCGTGAACAAACTGATCTCAAGTCTATATTTCTCAATTCACATTCCCAAGATAGAGTCTGGTTGACTCAGCCCTGACTTTATTCTGGGCCACACTATGAGTCTCCAGCCGGCTGTTGGCTTGGCTGCTGGTGCTGAGTGCCCACCCCTAGTCCAGCTGGCTGTGGCCAGGACAGGGTCAAATGGAACCAAGGACAAGGCCTGAAGGCCATTCCTTTTGAAGGCGTGGTGGGCAGGACACTTCCCTTATGGAGGCAAAACAGGCAAATACGCAGCGTTCTTTTAGGCATCAGGGACTGCTGAAGATTTCTGCAGGAGGAACCAGAGAAGACAGTCAAGCTCTTCCTAAAAGTCCTCCTCTATCTGTGTGTGTGTGTGTGTGTGTGTGTGTGTGTGTGTGTGTGTGTGCATGTTCTATGTAAAGTACCCAACTCACTTCACTGGTATTTAAGAGAATCTCAAGGTACAGCAATGCATTTCGTATTATACATGCATGCATATTTGTGAGAAAGCTGTATGGCTCTCCTTTCCCGAGCAGCTGGAAGCAGTGATCCATCTCTTGCAGGCCTTCATTGC
Source organism: Homo sapiens (assembly GCF_000001405.40). Classification (NCBI taxonomy): domain Eukaryota; kingdom Metazoa; phylum Chordata; class Mammalia; order Primates; family Hominidae; genus Homo; species Homo sapiens. Next base: position 33,642,991 of record NC_000013.11, on the reverse strand, counting down.
AGGGCGATTGCTTAATAAATATTTATTGTGTGGAAACTCTGTCCTTGTGTATGAGTTCACCCTGACCTCTTGCCTCAGTCCAAACCTGGCTTCCTTGATCTCAGCTTTATTTGTTCTGAAGCAAGTAGGGAGGTTTTTTTTTTTTTTTTTTAATGTTTGTTTGTTTGTTCCCAGCATTCCTCTGCAGTATCTGGGGATCTCACAGCCCCCACTGTCATCCGGCCTTTGAGGAAACACAGGGCGATAGACAGAGCAGGAGAGGCTGGAGTCAGCCAGATGTTACTAAATCCCACCTGCGCCATTTACTGACTGTGTGACTCAGGGCAGGTTATTTAAGGCCTCTTGGATGTTTGAGATCAGGAAACTGAAGTCCAGAAAATTAAGCAGCTGGATCTTGTAAGCTTCTGCTGATTAACTTGTAAACGGGGCTCCTGGGAGTCACCCCTTGGAATGTTTGGAAGCCTTCAAGAAGAGACAAGTTTCTGCAGGGGGCCTGAAGCACAGGAAGTGCCTGACTCTTGAGTGACCAGACCCACAGCCGTCCTGTGTTCTTGCCACAGACTCTTCTCCCTGGCTGGAGCTTTGCTCCAGGCCCACCAACTTTTGCTCAAATTCTCTTTGTCTTGAAACTTCTCAAGCATCTTTCTTAAATTGGCTGCTGAATGCAGCCTTCTGTCTGCATTGCTGATCACACCTCCCTCACTTAAGCATTTGTTAAATCCAGGTGTTTATTTTTTGAGCTCTAATTTATTCACATTCCCTACCTCCCAAGCTTTACCCTCTAGACTGTTATCCTTTTCTCCTAGGTAAACGTCAGAAAAGATCAATCACCCTCATCAATTCATTAATTTAGTCATTCATCCAACTACCCTCTTGCCAGTACTCTGTATCAATACAATGTTTTTCAGTAGGGTGACGGGAAAGAAAAGAAGGGAAGACACAAAGATGAAAAAGACAAATTACTATTTTCAAAGAGCCTAGAGTCTAGAATGAGCACCACCATTGGTAGATAATAGTTGTATCTATCATTGTTATGCAATAGTTATAGCTTAAAATTAACAGAGTCAGTATTTCTTTTTCCTTTTTACATTAGCATGACAAAAATATCACAATCCTGTTCATTTCTATTCCAGTAGTTTGTATGGGACAGAGTAGACAAAAACTTTTGCTACCAAAAGTTACACGATCCAGCTGCTCGATTTTCTGGAATTCGGTTTCCTGATCTCGAACAAATGAGAATAATAATCAGTATATCACAGGCTTCTTCTGGAAATTAAATGAGAGAAAACAGCCATACAGCACGGTTCCAGGAGTACAGTAGACACTCAATAAAGTATGGGCTTGTTGGGGCTCAGAAAACAATACCCCAAAATGAAGACCTCAGAAGTAGTTTCATAAGCAAAACTTTTTCTCTGATCTTCTCCTGCCCTCCTGTCTCTCAATCCCATTCTTTCCCAAAGCTAGCCATAGAAACTAGAATCACTCTTCCCCAAGGTGGGTCATAGAAACCAGAACTCTCATTCCCAGAGCTAGCCATAAAACCTAAAATATGACTCTAAGTTTCCTTCCACCTTTCTGTGTAAAAACTGGCCATAAATAAATTACCTGAGCTGTGTGTGGTGGCCTCACACTTATAAACCCAGCAGTCTTTGGGAGGCAAAGGTGGGAGGATCATTTGAGCTCAGGAGTTTGAAAGCAGCGTTGACAACATGGTGAGACCCTGTCTCTGTTTAAGAAAAAGAAAAAAGAAAAGAAAGGAAATGATCTGACTTAGTTGTTTGACTGTAGGCCATAAGAACCCTATTCTAGAGAGAGTCCTGCCCCATACTCAGAATGAAGGAATGCATGCTCATAGAGGCCAAGCAGGATCTAGACACACAGGCTTTGCTGGGTTTCCCCACTCAGTCTATCAGCATTAGATCATACCCTTTGTGTCTAGTCCTATTTCTACATGGCTGTGCATACTTTGTTGAACCTAAGCCTAAAGATGAACAATTCCCCCTGTGTCTTTGGGTCTTCATTCTGAAGGCTCCTGTGTATACACATTAAATAAATGTGTATGCCTTTTCTCCTATTCATGTGCCTCATATCAGTGACCTTTGAACTTCAGGGAGGCCAAGAGATTCCTCCCAGCTTCCCTTATATTAGAAAAGGAGGAAAAAAGAAAAACAATTCCTATTCTCCACCTACTATCAGTGTTTTTCCCTCCCTTCACTCCTTGATCTGAGATTGGGATCAGTCCCAACCAGGAGATTCTCATGTACTCACTTCCTCTTGGTGCCTTAAGAGCTTTCCTCAAATTGTATTTCTGAGCAGGGACATTTACAAGCCTGCATGGAACTGAAGGATCTCCTGTCTGAAGATTCTCACAAGTAATTGATAGAATGAGATTTATTTGACAAATAACAAAACCATCTGCCAAATCCATGATTAAATGGCAGGGACTCTGGGTCTCTTGTGCTTAGTGAGGGAAGGAAGGAGGTGGTATGTTTTCAGTGAAACACTCACTGAATGGAACTCCAGGCTGGAGGGAGAGTGAAGAGGGAAGAGAATACAGTCCTTGCTATTTTCCTCAGCTGATTCATAATACATTAACACCCTCATTTACATGGCCTATTAGAAGTTATTTATATTCCAATTACAGGCTATTTGAATATTGCATTTGTAGTCGAATTACAGGGTTTAGGGAAAGCTCATTTGTTTTCAAGAAAGGATTCTGGTTTAAAGACAAAGATATGGGCAGCTTGCAGATACGGGCAGCTTGCAGAAGCTCTGGGCACACCACAACCTGCTGTGTAGAGATCACAATGAGAAATGGTGCCTAAGACACAGAAATCACTGACACCCTTGTGGGCCTGTTAAGGGAAAACTAGGCAGAAGCACAAGGAGAATATCTTTCTCTATGACTGAAAACAGCAACTCATGGTAGATTGTACACCTGCTTTAGGAAGCCAGCAATGTGACTCACTATCCCCAGGCAAATTCCCCTAGAAGGTCTCCTCTCACCCATTGCTCTACCCAATGTCGAGAGAAAAACCCATTGACAAGTACAATTTAACAAAGTTTCATTGGGCAAAGAATGATTCATGAATCGGGTAGTCCCCGCCACCCACCAACTAGAATAGATTCAGAGAGACTCCATGTGGCCATGTGATTGGAAAGGATTTATGAACAGAAAAAGGAAAGTGATGTACAGAAAACGGAAGTGAGGTACAGAACAGCTGGGTTGATTACAGTTTGGCTTTTGCCTTATTTGAATGAAGTTTGAACAGTTGTCTGCCTTTGGCCAAAAGTTGGTGATTGGCACAGGAGTAAGTGACAGTCTGTTTACACATCCAGTTAGGTTACAGTTCACTACATACAGAGAAACCATTAATCTAAACTTCAAATATGTAAGGAGGCAGCTTTGGGCTAAACATAATTTAACACCAGGGAAACTGGATCATTCCCTTCTTTCTGCTTTCATGTTGGTACCTACTAGGAGAATTTTTCTATATTACAGTGACTTACATATCTATTTTCTCAACCAATCAGGACTTCCTTGGAGGCAGGACTTTATTTTCCTGCAGACAATAAACTTCACAAGGGCAAAGACCACGGCTGTTCTTGTGCAACTTTGAATCATCCGTCTCCCAGACAGCCCTGGCAGATAGCAGATGCTCAAGGCCTGGGACCTGCTTCTCCCTCAGTCCCACATGGCCTTGGTACAAGTATTCCCATGACTGAATTCCACCCTAATTCTTCTTGAGAGGCCTCTCAGACCACTCGAACTTAAGCAACCTCCTCCTGTTAACTCTCCAACTCTTCATCATCTCACCCTTGTTATGGCTTTGCAGCATTGGTCATCATCTGGCATTATCTTATTTGTCCATTTGTTTCTCATTTCTTCCTTTCTTTTCCCCTTATGCTGCAAACTACTTGAGAGCAGAAAATTTTCACTTTTATTCACTACTTTATCTCCAGCCCCTAGAAAAATGTCTGGTTCACAAATATCTGCGGAAAGAATGAATTTGTAAATTGAGGTCATTAGATGCCAAAAAAAAAGGTTAGCTAAAAAAAGTATGTAAGTGAATGAATGAATAAATAAAACATAACCACAAGTTTGGTTAGAAGTTTAAAACTAACAGCTTTGAACAAAAAAATTATAAACCAAAAATAAAATTCTAAGACCCCCAAGTGACTGATGGGCCCTACCCTCAGCCAAGGGCATTCCAAAGTTAATCCAAAAAACTAGTTCAGGACGTACTGCGAAGTGCGGGTCAGACATGCCTCATTATGCCTTCCTCCTTTTAGAATTCAGGCACAGATGACCAGCACTAACATTAAAACAGAGACCTTAAGACTGATAGAAAAGACTTTTTAAGTCTGAAAAGAAACATTTACAATCTATTCTCTCTGAAGCCTGCTACCTGGAGGCTTCATCTGCATGATAAGGAACTTGGTCTCTACAATCCCTTATCTTAACCCAGACACTCTTTTCTATTGATTTCAGGTCTTTAGATAATAACTCTTTCAACCAATTGCCAATAAGGAAATCTTTGAATCTGCTTATGACCTGGAAGGCTCCCCTCCTTCCAGGTGTCCTGCTTTTCTGGAAGGAACCAGTGTATATCTTACATGTATTGATTGATGTCTTATGTCTTATGTCTCACTTATGTCTTATGTCTCACTTATGTCTTATGTCTCACTAAAATGTATTGATGACATGTATCTTACATGTATTGATTGATGTCTTATGTCTAAAATGTGTAAAACCGAGCTGTAGCCCAACTACCCTGGGTACATGTCCTCAGGATCTTCTGAGTCATGGAGAGAAGCTGCTGAGCCTCCAATTCTCTCCTTTCTAGGAGAGCCAGGGCTCTGTCATGGGCCATTAGTCACTCATATTTGGCTCAGAATAAATCCCTTCAAATATTTTACAGAGTTTGACTCTTTTCATCAACAGAATAAAAGACAGTATTGGTACTATGACTGAAGCAAATCAAGTGACTAAAGAAATCTGGAAAATTGAGTTCAATAGCTGATGTTTCATGAATTTTTTTAACCTGTTAATAAAGTTGACTCTGCAAAAATTAAAATTCAAAACTCAGACCCATTTATTTTACATTTTATAAGAATTTTACTTAGCAATATAATTCAAGTCAATTTAACTCCTGTTTTTAATTATTTCCTTGAAGCAAATTATCTGGGTTAGCATTAATTGTAACTTCCTTGAATTTCTTTCCATAGGATAAAATGTGTGAGTTGATTAGAAACTATTTTTCAGTCTTTGACAAGGTAATTATCATAGCCCTTGAATGAGCTGCAAAATAGTAAGTGTGAACTGCTAAGAAGCCTGATAGAAAATGCCATGTTAGTTGAAAGTTGGATCACATGTTGGTCTGCAACACAGATTGGTGAGCCCTTGAAATGAGTTCCCAATGAGCACAGAGAGAAATCAAAATAATATTGATATTCCAGATCTTTCCAGTTACACAATGGAAACAGCATTCTTCAGAGGGCTATGTGTTAAAACATACCCTGTGGCTGTTTATCCTTCTCACGACAAGTTTTGTTCTCATTTACCCCCTAGGCCAGAAGGTAGCACTTTGAGGGTATGGGCCATGCAAATGACTATTTCAGCTTCTAAGATCAAAATAAATTTTGTTTCCTGTAATGTGGTGGTGGAAATGTAGAGGCCTCTTCCCCTCCTTCAGGCCACCCGACTTTGTTGAATGGCTCAGAGTTTAGAACATGGCCAGAGAAGTCACACTCTCTCCATTTAAAGCCATGCTTCAGCTTACTAGTCGTAAGACCTTGATTAGTCATTTACCTTCTCTCTGTGTCTCAGTGACCCCTCTTTCCAGATGATGACAGTACCTACCACAGAGGTTTGCTGTGGGGATTACATGAAATTATAGTGTCTGGCACATAAAACATTCCAAATAAGGATGAGTAAGGGTACTATTCATTCCTTCATGGTGCTTTCAGGAGTAGTGTGTTGCTCACAACCTAGATTGAACTCTACTTCCAAAAGGAGGCAAAATCTGAGTTTAGAAAAGATAACACCACTGACATTATTACATAATAATACTCCAGGAGATTAAAAACAATTCTAAACCCTTAGAGGTCTCAGAGGTCCCTAGAACCAGCTGCCTGGTTGTGTAAGTGGTATAACTTGGACGAGGATTGTGATAATCCAAGCAGGGCAATGGATCCAGGGTCCTGACGACCCAGCCAAGGTTTTTGACAAAGGAATATAAAAGTAGCAATAATGCTTTCTTGTTGTGACTCATTTTTTAAAAATAGTTTCTGGGTAAAATGGCAAGTATAAGATAAAATAGCAAGTGCAATTATCTCCTATTCTTCTGGAGATACAGGAATAGACTTCTGAGAAAATTATCACCTTAGCCTCCAGTTGAGCTTCAGACTTTGAAACAGGAAGAAGGTTTAGAATTTCAGTTTCTTGAATAGTCCCATAATTAGGGTAACCAAACTCCCAGTGTTCCTGGGAGAGTCCCGGTTTATGCCTATTGCCCTGGTGTCCCATCGCATTCACACTCCATTTCACTCTCCAAAGTAGCCGGGTTTGGATAATGAATTTTACACGTTCCCTACTCAAAATGCAATCACAGCAAGAGTCATGGCGAGAAAAGCTGCTGAGCCTCCAAGTTTCCCCTTTCTAGGAGAGCAGGGACAAATCATGTTTCTTGTGTTCTTTAAAATAGAAGACTAAGGAGAAAGCAAGTGTCAGGGGCTACAAAAATCATCGCAATCAGTCTTACTACCATATACTGAGCATTTAGTGTATTTACTATGAGTGATGATCTCTGCTAAGTTCTGCTATGTGCTTTTTTTTTTTTTTTTTTTTTTGAGACAGAGTCTCGCTCTGTCACCCAGGCTAGTGCAATGGTATGATCTTGGCTCACTGCAACCTCCACTTCCTGGGTTCAAGCTATTCTCCTGTCTCAGACTCCCGAGTAGCTGGGATTACGGGTGCCCACAACCATGCCCAGCTAATGTTTTTTTGAGATGGAGTCTCACTCTGTCGCCCAGGCTGAAGTGCAGTGGCGTTATCTCAGCTCACCGCAAGCTCTGCCTCCCGGGTTCACGCCATTCTCCTGCCTCAGTCTCCCAGGTAGCTGGGAGTACAGGTGCCCGCCACCACACCCGGCTAATTTTTTGTATTTTTAGTAGAGACGGGGTGTCGCCACATTGGCCAGGCTGGTCTTGAACTCCTGACCTCAAGTGATCTGCCCACCTCAGCCTCCCAAAATGCTGGGATTACAGGTGTGAACCACTGCGCCCAGCCTGTGCTAAGTGTTTTTTTTGTTTGTTTGTTTTGTTTTTGAGATGGAGTCTTGCTCTCTCGCCCAGGCTGGAGTGGTGCGGTGGCACAATCTCAGCTCACTGCAAGCTCTGCCTCCCAGGTTCACTCCATTCTCCTGCCTCAGCCTCCCGAGTAGCTGGGACTACAGGCGCCCACCACCACACCCGGCTAATTTTTTCTATTTTTTAGTAGAGATGGGGTTTCACCATGTTAGCCAGGATGGTCTCGATCTCCTGACCTCATGATCCACCCACCTCAGCCTCCCAAAGTGCTGGGATTACAGGCGTGAGCCACCACAACCGGCCTGCTAAGTGTTTTTATATCCATTTTCTCACAACTCTGTGAGGTAGGTATTTAGTTTCCATTTATTAGGGAAACTAAATCAAGGATATAGAGCAGCACATGTTAGAAACGGGATTTTAACCCCGGGCAGTCTGGTGCTATGGTCAGTGCCCTGCTCTGCTGTGCTGTTCTTTTGTACATCCTGTACATGAAGTGGAGGGTCCACAGAGTGGGCACTTTAAAAGGTTTCTCTGAGCCTAGGGAAGCATTTTCTAAAGCGAAGGCAAGAACTGGCTTTACTTCGTAAGCGATCCATATCCACTTTGTTTGGTTCTTTAACATATGGTTTAAAAATGCCTTTAAAAAGACCTGAATGCATCTCAAATGTTCCCCTTTGGTAGTATCTCCAAAGAAGAGCTGGTGCATAGCTGCCTCTCTCCTGCCCTTCACTGCTGATCTTCCACTGCCAGGCATCTGCAGGGGACATTCTGGGGAAATGACAGAGCCAGAGCCTTTGCAGCCAACACAGAGCATGTCTTCTGGTTCACCACCTCTATCCACCCTTCATTCGCAGCGACACCACTTTCCCTGGAGGCCAGTGAATGTTGTTTTTCTCTCTGTCAGTGGGGTAATTCAACCAAGCGAGAGAGAAGTAGGAGAAGAAAACTGTGTGTGTGTGCATGTGTGTGTGTGGCGGCGGGGCAGGGCGGTGTTTATCAAAACGCAACAGTAATTTGAACTATTCAGTTCTGGTACAACATAGAAGCAGTGTAGTGACCTCTCGAGGCTCCTTTCAGGATTTTGGATGTAAGAAAGGAGAATTTTGATTTCAAAAAATGGCTTTGAGGTATCTATTCAAATCTAATAACTTCTGCAAAAAGAAAAAAATAGCTTGGGACTAAAATCTCTTTTAGATGTCTATTTATTTTGTAAATCAAACTTTGAAAACACCCTGGGGCTATGGGTTTAGAAACGGTTCCAAAGTTCTGGGAAACACCCCCTGATGACAATGAGAAATATTCTATGCATTTACTGAACAGCTTCTCCCATTGGATCATGAAGGCATACTTTAACTGTGAGGTAACTGAGGCTGGGTAAGTCAGTAATTCATGGGGTGATCTGCTCCTTAAAGGAGTTCTGACATGTCTTTGGCAAAAGCTTTCAGATGCTATGATGCCACTCAGAATTCTTAGCTCAGGGATATAAATCAGGTTGTAACATGAATAAGGTATGTAAGAAATCTTCCTTTCTGTTATGAGGTAAGAGAAAAATGAGGTTATTTAAACAATCCATGTTTATATGATGGCCATCTTTTAACAAAAATTCTTTTCAATACATTAAAAATGATCATTGAATCATCAAATGTAGTTTTGTCCTCTGATAGACAAAAGAGTAGTGTCTAGACTGTCTGATGAATCTATTTGACTGAAAGATAAAAACAAATGTGGTCTTGTTGTCATCTCTGTGGCCTTCTGAAAGCCCAGTGTACAGAGGTCACACAGGGAGCCCCAAGAGGGTGGTCAGGAGGGAAAATGAGCCCTCCACTGTGCCTACTCATTTAATAACACCGCCCTGGGCAGAGAGGCAAGACTGGGGGTGCTGTTTGCAGAGTCACGTCACCTTCTCCTTGTGACCTTAGAAACCATGCTAAATTCTTCCATTCTGCAATTGCCTTTCACATAAAATTGTTGAATAAAAAAACCTGGAACCAGCCTGAGAGGAAAGTACATGATAACATCTGCCTTTTACTTTTTAAACATTATTCAGAAGATGCAATCAAATATAACCTAGTTGTTATGTGCAGTGATTACATTTTAAAAGTTATGCCAATCATTCATGTAGAGCTAAACACAAAAAAGGAAGCTGCAGATGCAATCTGTGAAGGACATTTAGCGGCAAATGTGCGTTTTCTTCCACTTTTTTCCTGCAATTTAATATCCACTAAACTGGATAATGACTAAGTATATATGTATATCTTTAGAGGCCAGTATATGTTGTTTCTTTGTGTTAGGTACACTTGGAGTCAATCTTGTGACTAAGGCAGAAGTGAGATGATCTACGATTCCATTTACAAGAATCTAATATGAGGCTCTAGCATTCATTTAGAACTTCCATTTATGTACCATAAAAAAGAGGATATCAAGTGAATAAAGGAAACCATCAAATCTTTCCTTAGCACTAGGCAGCATTTGGATGACAAGAGGAATTTAGAAGGTGAGGGCTTTCTAAGTACCCACAAGGGTCAAATGCAGTAAGTGGCATGCTGAATACTACAGCCAATATTATCAAGCACTTTTTATCATTATTGTTATTTACAACATACCCCTCTTAGTAGGAATTAAATAAATTTTTGGAGAATTTCAAGATAAGTCCATTGAACAAAATAAAAAATAACAGCCTGGTCTAGTGACACTGTGCCCTTTTGAAGTGACAGCACTGACATTTTCTAGCATTAATGCTATGTTTATTCAGGTCTTGGGTTATCATTTCATTGATCATTATTCAGTTCCATGAATGATCACTGTGCTCTTGAAAGAAATTACGTCTTGCTTATTGCCTCTTAAATAGAAATGAAAAAAAAAAAAAGAATATAGAACATCATGGCATAGTGATCAATCTGTAGAAAAACAATGAGACTTTATACTTATAGGAAAGTAGGTAGCCAATTGATTTATTTCCCCTGAAATACATTTTTCTAGCAGAGTAAAACCCACAAATCAGAAGGCTAGAAAATAAAATATATGCCAGTGAAGAGAAGTGGTCAAGTTTGGTGATAATTTTGTGAATATCTTTTTTCTACGAAAGCACCAAAAGCTTTTGCTCCCACTTAGATTCCAACCCATTTTCTGAACTTAAGGGATACTTTGGAGCAAAATCCCTTGAATACACCCAAGTTGATATAAAGACATGTAGGTACAATATAGACATAGTGGAAAGGAAGTTGGCTTACCAATGATATTCTGAATATGATTCATGGTCACCTTATAATTTATATCAAACTATAACTATATAATTCTGGAAGAATACCATAGACTCATTCACAAGGTTCTACATAAAATATTGGGTCAAAGTAGTGCTGAATATTGGTGATGAATTGGCTCACTAGGCTAGAATGTACCGGAACATTTTCCATAGGGAGCAAGCAAGAGGAATGGCTCAGGAAATGTGATTTTATGAGAGCTCAAGAGTTCATGTCTTAGCCTATCCTCAATTACTCATATGTGTTCTTTGGCTTTAAGTAAATTGCCTACAGTGTGTTGATTATATGTATTAACTATAGATGGATAGTATCACTATCAACTTGTATCATTGAGCACCATTTGCTAAATAAAGCTAGTAAATGCAAAGTAATGATTCCATTAAATGGCAAAAACTGGCTTCCTTTGACAACACTACGATCAGGAATTTTTATTGTGACCATTACCTGATAAACTCTATTTAAATTTTTATGATGGGTGATTTTCTTCTTATTTCAAATTTAGTGGAAGTGTGTTACCATGAAGCATTCTTTCTTCCCATTACTGTAACCAAAATTTTTAACGCAAATTACTTTTATGTGCTCACCAGATATCATGAAAATATTTTAACCTGATCTCTGAATATGGTATTTTGAATACTAGAAGCTTTTGTATTTACATAGATATTTAAAGAAATAAAGTAAAAAATCATAGCATATATTAATAGCATCTTGTTGTTGTACTCCAGAAATCTACATTTCAATTAATCAAATTCAACAAATATAACTATCATAGACATTTGATTAAAATAAACAAACACAAATCTTCTAGGTTATTCCCTAGTTTCGCACTGTTGAGCCCAAAGCTCATAACTGCATTCACATGTCTTGTACCATGAGGTATAGGCATCAGCATTAGGACCTGGAATGCTCAGCACTTCCGTAATCACCAAGAAGATGAAACCATATCTCTTATACATGATTTACCAATGTAAGAACATGAAGAGGCTATTCTAAGTGCTTTTAGAAAAGAAAATGGAAATCATACTCTTAAATGTCTACCTGATTTTATGAATACTCCGGACAATTTTGGTTTTAGTTCAGCACAATACCTGCTTATTTTGAGAACTGGATAAATGGTTTTAGATAGATAGGTGTCAACCTGCCATTTCTTCAGAAGGAAGGAGGGTAACATATTTTGGAAGATCACTAAAAGTACATGTAGTGTTTATAAATCCCTAGTGCTTTTATTAGTAAAAGATTATTGGGTAAGAAAGAGGCTACCAAGTGAGTCTTGTTGTAAGCTCATAAAACTGTGTGATTTATTTAACACTTTCCAGGGCTGGACAGAGCACTGATTATTTCCACCGGTATATAATGCACACTGGGCTGACAGCAGAACATGGGATCTAATTTACAAAGACTGAGTTTTTTGGTTTTTGTTTTTAAATGCAGGCTCATATCTCAAAGGGATTCATAATGAATGCCAATGAGTTAATTACTGCTTAGGAAGATCTGAATCTTTCTATCTCAGTAACTATACCAGTAAGACAAGGATGGGAAACGTGTTAGAAGAGAAACAAATGTCTTTCTTGCATCTACCACATAATGGCCAAGGAGATGATGAGGGAAGGTGAAGGAGGATTAGGATGGTGGGACTCATGGGCTCTCAGTACCAAAGGTGTACAAGAAAACTTGTGTTTCAGTAGGTGGCTCTACCGGCTAGCACATATCCAGCACTATGAAGAACAAGATACAATTCCACAGACTTGGGTCTTTACAAAAATTCTTCCTCTTCATTTAATTTTTCCTACCCATAACTCTTGGATAAAATTATATTAGCAAGTCAAAGTGGCTATAGGTCACTAGGGACTTGGTGAAATGTGGTTCAGAGCCTAATATTGCATCTTGCAGAGTGACTACGTTGAATCTCTGCACGCAAGGTACGCAATCTACACCTCTGAAGGGAAAATCATTATGTGGTGGCGGCAGCAGGCCAATTTGGAAGAAGTATCAGCAAATTAATTTTTTCCTAGGCTTAAAGAAAAGCTTCCTAGGGGCTAGGAAAGTGGTGAAGAGGTAGGAAAGCTGGCCAAAAGAGGGTCTCAGGGGCCTCATTAAAATAGGCAGAGGGAAAGGAGTGTCTGAGGATGCAAAAAAATGAGAGGAGCTGGGACCTAGTGGCTAATGAGGGAGGGACGCAGGACCAGGAATTTGCAATCTGGATCAGCAGCTGCTTTGCTGAGTCGCTCTGGGAAACACTTCATTTTTCTATTCCTCTTGCACTTTGCTTTAAAGCAAGCTACTACACCTACTTCATAGGGTGGCTGTGAGAAACAGTCCATAAAAGCAAGCTTGAAGACTTTTGTAAATATACAAAAATTATGTAAATGTGAAAGAATAACAAGGACTATCAGAACATATTATGTAAATTATATCAGATTCAATAAAAGGCTTTCATTTGCCTTTGACGTGCATTTTATTTTTTTATATTCATAAACTAAATGATATTGAGCTTGTGTTACTCATCTAGAAAACTGCAAACCTGAGATTTTTGCCACATTAGAAGTAAATTAAACATTTACAACCGGAGATAGTGTTTCAGATAGAAAGGGGTCAGGGAAAGAGGCAATGAGACAGTATTGATTTTTTGCCCAGCTATTCCTTGGCTCTTGACAGTTCAAAAAATGATGTTAAAATTCAGCAGTATTTCTTTTCTGTTTGCTTTATATTCTTACACATCTAAAGACACCAGCTTATAGGTTATATGCTTATAACAAGGAATGCCATATAGTCTCATACATAATTCTCACATTTATCTCTTACTTAATTTAAAATAGATTTAATCTCAAAACTTAGTGTTTTTTCTAGAACACATGCATATTAGTTTCTAGACAAAGTGAAAGCCCAGTAAAAAATCCTTATGAATCATTTGAATATTTATGTTAAGGCCAAGCCACAAATTTGGCTCTATCTAGAAATCTCTAACAAACAAGCTAGAATCTAAAAGACATATGGCTGGCAGCATTGTATTCACTTCTAAACAAGACAACACATAAGCTCTTGGCAATTTTCTTATAAGTTTAAATGGAGACACACTTTAGAGCCCTCTTCCAGGACAGTCTAAGTAATAGTGTCCAGTAATTTCCAGTTAAAGTGTTATTTGTTGATTTGCTAATGAGCTGACATTATTGTTGTCTTACCAATGAAGTATAGTTAAAAGTGAAATCAGGACTTCTAAATGTAATATCTGCTTTCCTATGGCGTTTGGCCCGTGGAGTTGGGGTAGCCTCATGTAGAGGAGGAGTTGAACTGGGGACCTGGCCTACAACCCAAGACATACAAGAAGTAGAGCTGTCTCTTTATGCAGCTACCACCCAGGCCTCTGCCTTCACAGACAATCAAGCTCAACATAGCTAAGAAGCTGCTGGCGACCCTCTTTTGAAAAGATCCCACAGTAATCGTAATCACATAACTGCCATCTGCTATTGATCATTGGCACTGAGCAAATAGCATCTCATGTAACCCTCGCTACCATCATAGCTATTTCCATTTCCAGTTGACAGAGAATGAAACTCAGGGTTGGAACTCTGGTGAAGAGTGATGCAACTTTCCTAAGATCAAAAGGCAGTAGGAGACTGATCTGGGATTTGAATGCAGGTCTATCTGATTGAAAAGTCTCTGTTCATCCCCTACAATGCGGTGCCTCCCTGGGGCAGATGAATGCTCAGCCACGTCAGTCATTCCCATCTGCTGTGCCACGGAGGTTCAGGTGCCTGTTAGAGTGAAAGAAAGAGTGTATCAGGTGTACCTTCTTCTTAGCCTTCCTACTTCAGTCCTTCAAAGAGATTTGATTTCTCTAAGGTGTCTCTTGTTTATACAGAATGGATTGAGTTTTGTCACATTCAATTCTGATTATGTGAGATTCCTGCTGAGTGAAGCCAAAGCTAGTTACTTTAATGCCTATTAGAATAGGTTCCTTACAATGTAATTCTGAGAAAAAGAAGGACCCATTCTGACTCGTACACATACCTGAACTTGAATTTTGATGTTGGTCACAAGAGTTCTTTCTGATGTGGAGGGAACAAACATGACTGGATGAAAAGTGACCAGGCTTGTTATTAATACTAATGAATAAATTAATTAGTACCAGGTACAGAGCAGAAAGAATAGAGACAGGGGCATCCCTAGTTCAATTTCTGGGATAAATAAAAGAAAAACATTAGAAGTATATGTGTCCATGATGCATGTGGTGTGTGTGTGTGTGTGTGTGTGTGTGTGTGTGTGTGTGTGTGTTTTACAAGAGAGAGAGTCCAGGAATGAAAAAAGATATATTTATCCCAACTCATTACCTTGTTCAACCAAAAGATGACTGTCTTAGAAATAGCCTAAAATTAGGTTGCAGTGAGTCGAGATCGTGCCACTGCACTCCAGCCTGGCAACAGAGCGAGACTCCGTCTCAAAAAAAAAAAAAAGAAAGAAAAAAAAGAAATAGCCTAAAATTACGCAAAGTAAATCTAGGCTGATTTACACTATAGTGGTGGGACTTTCTCCAATAGCTTCGATGTTCATCTCACTATTGTGGTTGCTGTACGTCAGAAAAGGCAGGAGCCCCACGGTGCAGCCCTGGAGGATGGGCCATAAATGACACATGTACATAAATTAAGGGCTAGGCCAATGGGCAGGCTTGGGTGCTCACATTCAGAAAGGACCACTGAGGCCTCTCCACCTTTTGGACCATGTCCAGGGCCATGAAGGACAATCTCAACCTATCTTGAGGCAGAAAAGAACATTTTTTTTTTTTTTTTGAGATGGAGTCTTGCTCTGTCACCCAGGCTAGAATGCAGTGACACGGTCTCAGCTCACTGCAACCTCCACCTCCCAGGTTCGAGTGATTCTCCTGGCTCAGCCTCCTGAGTAGCTGGACTTACAGGTGCCCGCCACCGCACTCGGCCAATTTTTGTATTTTTAGTAGAGACGGGGTTTCACCATCTTGGCCAGGCTGGTCTTGAACTCCTGACCTCGTGATCCACCCACCTCAGCCTCCCGAAGTGCTGGGATTACAGACGTGAGCCACCATACCCAGCCAAGGACATAATACATATGTTATAGCATAGATGTACCTATCTACAAGTGGAGAAACTAATCCTACCTGGATGTTGAAGACAGTTACCTTACAATACAGCACTATGCTACACACATAGTAACTACTTACATAATGTTTGCTAATGAAAGAATAGATAAATACCCTTTATATCATTCAAAATATCACTAATTCTGCTACTTGGGAAAGTCAATGCCAAGCTAACACTGTCTAGATTTAAGCAGAAAATATACAATAAAATATTAGTGTTTGTGATTAAAAGCTGGTTTAATGATCTGAAAATGATAAAGGGAACAATGATTGATGAAGTTTGAAGCAGGTTTATTCTATTTCCCTTTATCAGAACCAATTTTGTAACTATACTATTCTAAGTTTTATGGATTCTTTAGTCCTGATGGCCAGAATTTTTATTTTATTTTATTTTTTTGCTAGTGCAGGACAAATCTTGTCATTTACAAATAGGCAAACATGTAATCAAAAGTGTAGACTTCTCAACATGGACCCACAGACAGGTGGGCCTCCACATTCCAGATTTGTTATTCTGAATTTGGGATGTGTGCTGGATTAATTCATACTCTTTCTTACAGTAATGACAATGCTCAGCCTGCTGGCATATAGCACCACTTGCAAAGATGAGGAAGGGGAGTGGATGACATGTTTCTTAGGTTGGCTTCCAAGAGTAGGTAAAGATTATATAATCCCACTCACAGAAAAATACTTTCCTACACTTTCTAAAATAAGAGAGTCACTTGCAGTAATAGCTTTCTCTGGAGATGCATGTAATAACAGCTTTATTTTCTTTATTTTGCTCATTTTTATTGATTTGGTTTTCATTTTATTAGACAGATGGATTAGAGAGATAGATAATAAGGTAGGTGAAGATTTCACCAACAATTTTCTCAAATATTGGAGGTTCAGCCCATGCATTTGATCATTATGCATTATTATCTTTTCTATAATTAGATTCATGTATAGCTAAAGATAAGGTAGAAATAATAGAATGGTTTGAGAGATGGAGGTCAAGCGTGAGGTACTGAAGGAAGACAAAATCTGTTTAGCTGAGAGGATAAAAAGATTAGATAGTTTGACTTTGTCCTTACACTAATCTCCCATTCCTCCCTTTCTCCTCCTGTCTTTGAAGGGGTCACAGCTGTTTCTCAAATAGCTACTCTGTGTGTGTATGCACATGTGCAGATGTGTGTGTGTGTGTTTCTGATGTAGCTATGGTCTATCTATAGACAATGCCAAGAGTCTCTCATATAAAAGTTTTATATTTACATTCATGAGAGGCAGAATAAAAGGCCAAGTCAGAACAGAATAATTTTAAATTGGATTTTCTTAGTGACACTGGGAGAAATATACATTTAAGAATTCTCTTGTTGGGAGGCCAAGGCACACGGATCACGAGGTCAGGAGATTGAGACCATCCTAGCCAACATGGTGAAACCCCATCTCTACTAAAAATACAAAAATTAGCCGGGTATGGTGGCGAGAACCTATAGTCCCAGCTACTAGGGAGGCTGAGGCAGGAGAATCGCTTGAACCTGGGAGGTGGAGGTTGCAGTGAGCTGTGATGGTGCCACCGCATTCTAGCCTGGTGACAGAGCGAGACTCCGTCTCAAAAAAAAAAGGGTACCATTAGGTTAATTCTCTTTCTAACCAAGAGAATTAACCTAATGTTTAACTGTGCTCTCAGACATTATTGTCGATTTTCTGTGGAAGGCCAGACACCCAGGTTTTGACAACTTCTTTTTTATTTTATTTATTTATTTTTGAGACAGTCTCGCTCTGTCGCCAGGCTGGAGTGCAGTGGTGCAATCTCAGCTCACTGCAACCTCTGCCTCCCGGGTTCAAGTGATTCTCCTGCCTCAGCCTCCCGAGTAGCTGGGACTACAGGCGTGTGCCACCACACCCAGCTAATTTTTGTATTTTTAGTAGAGATGGGGTTTCACTATGTTGGCCAGGATGGTCTCAATCTCTTGACCTCATGACCT
The DNA here is from genome assembly GCF_000001405.40 of Homo sapiens. Taxonomy (NCBI): domain Eukaryota; kingdom Metazoa; phylum Chordata; class Mammalia; order Primates; family Hominidae; genus Homo; species Homo sapiens. The sequence continues at coordinate 33,625,346 of NC_000013.11, read as the reverse complement.
GCCCGCCTCGGCCTCCCAAAGTGCTGGGATTACAGGCGTGAGCCACCACACCCGGACTTGACTACTTCTTAGAGTACTGCCAAGGTCACCCTTCTCGTTCAGGACAGGCTGGGCTTCTACCTCTGCCCTTGCCTCTGAGAAGATGAGTTCTCATTTCTTTCTCAAGCATGAAGAGGCTAAAATGTCTGTGACCCTACCCCTCCTCCACTCACTCTTGTGCCTAGGCTTGCTCTGACTTGATTCTCAGAAAAGGCTCTGCTCTGCCCCTCAGAAGGGACAGGAAGCAAAAGAACTGCCACTGCTGCCCTCAGGATGGCATGTGGGAGGGACTCCACCTCCCACTGCTTCCGAGGTACCCCAGCCAAACAGGATGACATCTTCCTTGTACAGATTCTGACAGCTTGCAGTTGTTCTGCATGGAAGGAAGTACCACTTTTAGGCACTGACTCCTTGAGCATATTATGAGAGGAGGCAGCTGCAGTGAGGTGGGAAGAACAACTAGTCAGTCACCCACATCTGACACCTGACCAGCTGGGTGGCCTTGGGCAAGTTGCCTTGGATTAAGTTATCTATAACTAATCTAGACAAACTGCTGGCAAGATAGAAACTTTATCCAATTACCTACATCCAAATAATGACTCTCACTTGCTATTTAACAGACACTGTTGAATAGCTATTGTACTGGCCTTAGGAGGCTCAAAGGAAATAAAAGCTGCATCTGAGTGTCCGTTGTTCTTTCATAAATGTTGGTTGAGTCTGTGCTAGATCTCCAATGCTGGGCAGGACATTGGGTAATTAAAGATGTGAGGAAGACCATTGCCAACTTGAAGGAACTCTTGGTGTAAGGAGATGGGGAAGTAAACAAATACATAAATGCTGATAGTGCTGTTTTCAGCACCATGATGGTGATGAGCACAGGTGGGATTCAAGCACTGAAAAGCACAGAGGCAGTGCCTCACTCTGCCCGCAGCGGGGCCCACAAGTGTCCAAGATCACCCTTACAGACATTTAGTCAGTATCTTAGCAATGCATGCATCAGTAGTTCATTTGTTTTTATTGCTGATTAGTACTGCCTTGTATGAGTATACCACAATTTGTTTATCTGTTCTCTTGTTGGAGGACATTTGGGTTGTTACTAGTTTGGGTTGCCTGAGTTTTTTTCCAGCTCATAACTATTATGAATAAAGTAGCTATGAATATTCTTGAATAAGCCTTTTTGTAGGCGTACATACTCATTTCTAGGAGCAGATTTGCTGGAAGGTGTAGTATGTATGTTAGTTTTACAAAAACACTGCCAAACTTTGCCAAAATGTTTGTAATTTATTTTACATTCTTCAACAACATATGACAGCTCCAGTTATTCTACAACTCTCTGATACTGGGAGTACTGTTTTATCAATCTCTTCAATATTCCGCCATTCTAGTCCATGTAAAAGGCTATCTTGGTGTCTTTAATAGCATTTCTCTAATAATGAATGGTGTTGAGCATCTTTTCATGAGTTTATTGGGTCTTCTTATAGCTTCTATTGTGAAGTCTTTTTTTAACACTTTTTTTGGTTGTTGTTGATTTGGTTGTCTTTTTAGTATATAGACAGGTAGATGTAGATAATTAAATACGTAGATGTAAATTAAATATGTAGATGTAGATGTAAATAATATCAGCTCATTTGTTGATTTGGTTGTCTTTTTAGTATATAGACAGGTAGATGCAGATAATTAAATATGTAGATGTAAATTAAATATGTAGATGTAGTTGTAAATAATATCAGCTCATTTATGGGGCGAAAATAACCCTATTACCAAAACCTGACAAAGGTTTTGTATGTATGTACATACATACACAGAAAACAAATATTTTCTTCTGGTCTGTGACTTGCCTTTTCAGAAGCAGACTTTTTTTTTTTTTTTTTTTTTTTTTACTTTATTGAGGTTCAATTTATCATTGTTTTATGTTTAGGGCTTTTTGTGTCTTTTCTAGGCAAATTTCACCCACTTCAAAGTTGAAAAATATTTTGTATTATTTTTCTACAAAATTTGTGGTTTTAAGTTTTATGTTGGGGTCTCAAAATAATGTTTGTGCATGTTATGACATTGAAAATGGCATTAAAACATTTTATATCTCATTTTCAAGATGTTTCTGCAATATTATTCTTTAAATGTGGTAAATTATCTGATCGATCTCACTGATTGCATTTCTGAGATAAAATCCATTTGGTCAATTTATTTTTATTTTATTTTATTTTACTTTTGAGATGGAGTCTCCCTCTGCTGCCTACACTGGAGTGCATGGCACAATCTCAGCTCACTGCAACCTCCGCCTCCCAGGTTCAAGCAATTCTCCTGCCTCAGCCTCCTGAGTAGCTGGGACTACAGGCGTGTGCCACCACACCCAGCTGATTTTTGCATTTTCTTTCTTTTTTTTTTTTTTTAGACAGAGTTTTGCTCTGTCGCCAGGCTAGAGTGCTGTGGCGTGATCTCGGCTCACTGCAACCTCTGACTCCCTGGTTCAAGGGATTCTCCTGCCTCAGCCTCCCGAGTAGCTGGGACTACAGGCATGCGCCACCACGCCCGGCTAATTTTTGTATTTTTAGTAGAGATGGGGTTTTACCATGTTAGCCAGGATGGTCTCGATCTCCTGACCTCGTGATCCGCCCGCCTCAGCCTCCCAAAGTGCTGGGAGTACAGGCTTGAGCCACCACGCCCAGCCTTTTTTTTTTTTTTTTTTTTTTTTTGAGACGGAGTCTCGCTCTGTCGCCGAGACTGGAGTGCAAGCTCCACCTCCCGGGTTCACGCCATTCTCCTGCGTCTGCCTCCCTAGTAGCTGGGACTACAGGCGCCTGCTAGTACGCCCGACTAGTTTTTTGTATTTTTAGTAGAGACGGGGCTTCGACATGTTGGCCAGGCTGGTCTCGAGCTCCTGACCTCAAATGATCCACCCGCCTTGGCCTCCCAAAGTGTTGGGATTACAGGCGTGAGCCTGGCCCATTTGGTCAACTTATTATTCTTTTTACACGGTACTGGAGTGATTTACTAGATTAAAGTGTTAGATTTTATGTCTATGTTCATACAGATGGTGGTCTTCATTTCTAATGTCTTTGTCAGGTTTTGGTAATAGGGTTATTTTCGCCCCATAAATGAGCTGATAAATATTTCCTCTTCCACTATGCTCTGACAACATTTGGTGGAATTGGTTGATTTTTTTCTTTTTGTTTTTTATAAGGTTTGACAGAAATTGCAAGTGCAGGCCTCCACAGTGGCTCACACCTGTAATCCCAGCACTTTGGGAGGCTAAGGCGGGTGGATCACCTGAGGTCAGGAGTTCGTGACCAGCCTGGCCAACATGGTGAAACCCCTTCTCTACTAAAAGTACAAAAATTAGCCGGGCGTGGTGGTGGGCACCTGTAATCCCAGCTACTCAGGAGGCTGAGGTAGGAGAATCGCTTGAACCCGGGAGGGGGAGGTTGCAGTGAGCCATGATCATGCCCCTGCACTCCAGCCTGGATGACAAGAGCGAGACTTCGTCCAAAAAAAAAAGAAAAAAAAATTGCAAGTGCAACCATCTGGGCCTGCAGTTTTTCTTTGTGGAAATGTTTTGAATTATAAATTCAATTCTTTTAATATATATAAGCTTCTCAGATTTTTGAATTTTTTTTTTTTTTTTTTTTTGGAGACTGAGTCTCGCTCTGTCGCCCAGGCTGGAGTGCAATGGCGTGTTCTCGGCTCACTGCAAGCTCTGCCTCCCGGGTTCACGCCATTCTTCTGCCTCAGCCTCCCGAGTAGCTGGGACTACAGGCACCCACCACCACACCCGGCTAATTTCTTTTTGTATTTTTAGTAGAGACAGGGTTTCACCATGTTAGCCAGGATGGTCTTGACCTCCTGACCTGGTGATCTGCCCACCTCGGCCTCCCAAAGTGCTGGGATTACAGGCGTAAGCGACTGTGCCCGGCCAGTTTTTAAATTTTTTTTAGTGTTTTATTAAGATGAGTTTTTCAAAGAGTTTGTTAATTTTATCTATTATCAAATTTATTAAAAGAAACTTTTTTCTAATATATTTTCACTATTCTTCTATATGCAGCAATAGTTCCTCTGTTACTGCTGATGTTAATAATTTGTTTTCACTTTTTCTTGCTAAGTGCTTACCAATTTTATTATTTTCAAAAAACTGTTTGACTTTATTAATTTTCTTTATTGTTTACACATTTTCTACTTCAGTTTATATGCTTTTTTAATTTTCACTCTTCTACTTTAAGTTTAGTTTGCTCTTCTTTTTCTACTTCTTAAGATGGGACTTACTGGTTTTACATCTTTTTTCTAATATAAACATTTAATATTATAACTTTTCTTCTAAACACTTCTTTAGCTGCATCTCACAAATTTTAGCATACTGTGTGTTTTCATTATTACTTAATTCAAAATATGTTTTAAGATTTCTAATATTTCCTTTTGGATTTATTCTTTGATCCATAGGTTTATATAATGTGTTTTTAAATATCCAACTATTTTTGGCATTTCTATGTATTAAATTTTTTATTATATTTTATCTATACAAATATTTGTATATTCTGTTATATATGTTATATAACATATAGCTGTTATTTCTATATTGTTTCTTTTTATTTCTAGATGTATTATTATTTATATATTTTATTGTCATTTATTTTTAATTTAATATTACTCTAAGATTTTAAGTGTGTGAAATGTGTTAAGACAAAGTTTATCTTGGTGAATGCAGCATGTGTACTTGAAAAGAATGCATATTCTGGCCGGGCATGGTGGCCCATGCCTGTAATCTCAGCACTTTCAGAGGCCGAGGTGGGTGGATCACCTGAGGTCAGGAGTTTGAGACTAGCCTGACCAACAAGGTGAAACCCTGTCTCTACTAAAAATACAAAAATTAGCCAGGTGTGGTGGCGGGCACCTGTAATCCTTGCTACTTGGGAGGCGGAGGCAGGAGAATCACTTGAACCTGGGAAGAAGAGGTTTCAGTGAGCTGAGATAGCGCCACTGCACTCCAGCCTGGGCGACAGAGTGAGACTTTGTCTCAAAAAAAAAAAAAAGAAAAAAGAAAAAGAATACATATTCTGCATTGTTGGGTATACTGTTTTTTGAATGTCAATTAGGTCTTGTGGGTTGATAGCATTTTTCAAATTTGCTGTATTCTTTACTGTTTGTGTTTGTGTCTATTTGTCTATTAGTTGTATAAATAACAGAAAGAGGGGTGTTAAAATCTCCAATTATGGTCATGGATTTGATGAAGAATATTCCACCCACTCTTTTTTTTTCTTTGAGACAGAGTTTTGCTCTTGTCGCCCAGGCTGGAGTATAGTGGCACGATCTTAGCTCACTGCAACCTCCGGCTCCCTAGTTCAAGAGATTTTCCCACTTCATCCTCTTGGGTAGGTGAGCTGTGCACCACCACGCCCAGCTAATTTTTTTATTTTTTAGTAGAGATGAGGTTTCACCATGTCGGCCAGGCTTGTCTCAAACTCCTGACCTAAAGTGATTGGCCGACCTCGGCCTCCCAAAGTGCTGGATTACAGGTGTGAGCCACTGCAACCGGCCTCTAACGTATTTACATCTAATATTATTATTGATATGGTTTGGCTCAAATCTATCTTCTTATTGATTAGTTTTACATTTGTCCCATCTATTTTGTTTATTTTTTACTCTTCTTACCCTTTTTTCACTACCTTTTTTGTAAAATCAAAAATTTTTAGTATTCTTTTAAAATTCTCTATTGGCTTTTTATCTACACCTATACTTTCAGCTAGCTATCTTTTTAGTGGATGTTCTAAGAATTACAATAATGTAGTCTTATCAAAAAACTATTAATTTAAAATTAAGTTAATTAGGTTCATTTAAAGTAAAATCAATTATTATACTACTTTACTTAAGAAGCTAGGACAAACATGGGGCTCAAACATGTTTCCTTATCTCAGTTTTCCCTGCTGTTCAATGATGGAAAAATTCATATTTTTTCTGCAGCTTTACAGTATGCTAGAGAACAGAGCCAGTCTAGTTTGCAGTGTCTTTTATTAAAGAGAGTATTATTTTGTCTGGCAAACAAGTAAACTACTTGGAATCTTCCCTGTTCTGTCAAGCTCGGTTTGGTTCTTTGTTAGGGCTGTTTGAGTACAGTTTTGTCTTTAGTTCTAAGTTAGGTCCCTTATCTGAGGTGTGGTCTTTGCTTATAGGTTGTGGTGCTTTTGGGGTCTGAACGAAATGCCCACGGTTTTCAGAGATGCTTGTCAACTGACTGTTCCAGAAATCTGTCTTCTAACTTTACATGGCTTCTAATATTTCATGGTCTGCTCTCAGCCCTGAAGCAATCACTTTCTTTTAGGACTCATGGAATTTTTTCCTCTGAATGCACGGTATATCCCTTGGCCATGAATCCACAAAACACACACACACAGATTCTTATGGTCCCAGCTCTCCTCAGAACCCTCCTTTTCAGTACCCTGCCCTGAGAGTTCCAGATGCTTCTGTCATCTTGAAGTCTGATCTTAGCCTTCTCAGCTCAGCAAAAGCACTGTGCACTGCTTGGGCTCTATCTCCCTGCACTGCAGTTCAAAACATGCCCCCAACAAGAAGCTAGGACAAATATGGGGCTCATCTGACGTTTCCTTACCTCAGTTCCCCTGCTGTTCAATGATGGAAAGATTCAGTTTTTTTCTCTCCAGTTTTATGATATGCCAGAGAGCAAATCTGGCAGCAGTAACTGTATCATAGCTAGAAGAGGAAGTCTCACAATTTATTTAATTTGTATCCTCAATATCTGGCTCATAGTAAGCAAGCCATCGATGTAAGATATATGGGGCATGTATGAATGGATGTATGCACATTTGGATTACTGAAGGGATGGGTAGAAGAAATTTGTTAAGTCTTTTCTCAACATTATTTTTTCTCCTTAGCACTTTTCACAGTCTAACATACTTTATATTTTACCCATTTTAAATTTTCTTTTGTGTTTCACTCCCACTAAAATGCAAGTTCCATGAGGACATGACATTTTGTTTTGTTCACTGATTTATTCAATGACTGACATATAAAAGTTGCTTAATAAATGTTTGTTGTTAGAGTTGATTGATAGATTTTTCAGGATGATCTAGCATACTATTACTGAAATTTGATAATGAAAAAAGTCTAACAAGTGTAAAATCCATTAATGGAGAGTTAATACTTTTATGGGAGAGTCATTTTAGAGTATCCTATCATTTTTGATTAACAACTAGAATGCTCACTTCAGCAACACTAATCCTTTTTCTGTTCATCATTTACATATGTGACGCTTTCTCCTGCCTTAGAAACTTTGCTGTTGCATCTTTGCTTTTTGCAAGGATGGTTCCTTATATCATTCAAAATGCAACTCCAATGTCTCCATTTCAGAGAGGTCCTCCTGCTCTAAAATAGGACCACCTATGCCAATTTTCTATCATAACATCATGCTTTAATTCCTTGAGAGAACATATTCCTCTCTATTTTATGTTTACATATGCATCGTCTTATCTGTCTTCCCAGGTGACAAGCTCTGTGAAAGCTGGAATTTCATGGGGGCTCTTCGAGGTAAAGCCCAGCCCCTATACCAGTGCTTGGTCCTCAGTAGACACTCAAAAAATCTTTCTGGTCATAGGCAGAATTCTAAGATGGCCCCATGATCTCTACCACCTGCTGTTACTACTATGATTATGTTATCCAACATTTCAAAGGTTCTTTGAAGATGTAGTTCAGGTTACTAATCAGTTGGGTTAAAGAAAAAATGATGATATGGGTGAGCTGAACCTAATTATTTGAGTCATTTCAAAGCAGATAATTTTCTTTTGCAGCACAGGACAAAGTAAAAAAGATTCAAAATACAAGAAGGATTTATTGTAGTACAGTGTGAGTGTAATGTTTCCTGAATATAACATTCTGTTCCTGTGCCCTTGATAGTAATATAAGGGCTAAGTCAAATGCCTCTTCAACTATTAAGTAGTCTCAGATATCACCTCTTTGCTGTGCAGTTTACAAGCACTGATTGCTTATGTATGGGAGGAGGGAACCAAACCTATTGAGTGCCTAATATACACTGTACATGGTACCAGGCACTATTAACTCGTTTAGTCATCACAACCACCTTATAGTGTTATTGAGTCAGCCCATGATCACAAACTAAGTGATCAAATTATGATTCAGCCCCCAGGCAGTTTAAATTATTTTTAAAAATCAAAACCAAATCAAAACAAAAACCCAGGGAAAGGAGGATAAACTAAGAATAAAAGCACTCAACGCTTATAGTTCCATTTTAAACCACGCTAATGGCACTAATAACATAGGGTGCTGTTCCACCTGTTGACAGATGTACCCTATCCTCATTATCTGGAGTCACAGTTCCTTAGGGACGCTCCCTACCCAAGTCCCCTTGCCTGGTCCATTTTACTTATCACTCAGGTCTCAAAAGACACATTATTTCCTTGAGGAAACTTTTCCCGACCTGTCCTTTCTCCCAGACCCATGTGAGTTCCTCTTGTTATGGATTCTGATTCAATTAAAATAAAGACTATTTTTCTAGTTATGTATTTTGTGATTTATTAATACCCATGTAATTACTTAATTACTACAGCATAAACAAATTTAAAGGCAGAGGCTATATCTATCTTTTTCTGAAGTGTATCTTCAGAGCCTAACCATGTATGGCTTGTAGTAGGCACAATATAAATACGTAAAGAGAATGAACAAATACCCAAGTGCCTAAGACAGTGTTTGCCATGGATGGCATAGACTTTTCCCATGCCTTGTCCCCACCATGGCTGAAAATATTTTCTCCTTAGTGACTGAATACATGGATGGGTAGAAGGATAGATGGATAATTCTCAAAACTCTTCCAGTCTAGATTTCTGAGATTCCCATTCAGAGAATGGAAAATATGCGGAAGAGCAGAAAGTCTTTGTTGTCTATTATCTGCTTCTTGCTGACTACTAAAACCACCAGCACACTGCTGTCCCTAGAGATCTCACTTTACGTGAGGGTGCTAGAGAGGGTCTTTCTTCTTTTCTTTCTTTCTTGCTTTATTTTTTCCCTTCTCTTCCCTTCCCTGCTCCCCTTCCCTTCTTCCCTTCTCCCCATTCCCCTCCCCTTTTCCCTCTCCTCTCCTCTCCTTTTCCCTCCCTTCTCCCCTCCATTTCCCTCCCCTCCTCTTTGCTTCTCTCTCTCTCTCTTTTTCCCTGTCTTCCTTCCTTTCCTCCTTTTTCTTTTTTAAGCAAATCTAATTCTGTCAAGAAATGTGTCTTTAATATGCTTTGCCTGGCTTCCTCGACAGAACTAGCAAATGTTAAATAATACAACACAAAATAAATAATACAAATTATACAAATGATGGTATGACATTCTCAACATCAAGCTGATTCATTTAAGGACTGGCAACATCAAGCATTATTCCAAAGAAATTAAACACTTGGCAATACTATAGGTACGCAATTAGTATTAATTGGTCTGAATAGTACTTTGAGCCCTTGAGTAATTTATTTTCCCACATAGTTATTTCCATCTGAGGTTAAACACAAACCACACTGAAAGGCTTCTTTGGGTGCAGAGCGATGCTATTGGAAAGGAACCTGGATGTCATGATGATATCTCTAACACTGGATTTGCACAGCACCATGCTTTGCAGAAGCTTAATTGTGTTGTTGTTTTAAAGACAGATTTGTGCCAAAGATCTGGCATGCTGCAGAGGATGCCAGATGGTTACCCTGGAAAGTTTCTTCTCGGTAACAGGTGGGGTGTTCCATCTCACTATCCAGCCCAAGGCACAACCCAGTTCTGTCTTAGCTCTGTGCTATTCTGGGAGCCAGTTCTCAGCAGAGAAGCACTTCTCCAACAATGGAAAATACTTTTTATGTAAATCAGTGGTGCCAAGCACATAGTAAGCACTCAAAGATAATGCTTGTGGATCTTTAAGTTTAAAAATCCATATGTCCAGTCCAGTTTTCCTCTGAGTATCAGCAACCAGCTGTCCACACTCAGCATCTCCTCCTGTACCTCTGCTACTTAGGAGCCAAAGCAGAACCATGGCTTCTGCCCACAGTCCCCAACCCTTGCCTTAGGCCAAATTGACTCCCACCCTCAAGTCCCCCCATCTCTTTAAATGACACCACCACCCACTAAATTGCTCCAGGCAAAAACACAGGGGTTTTTGCGGATTGCTTTTGTTCCCTGACATCCCACTTAAATTCATTAGTAAGTTCTGTTGACTCTACCTCCAGAATATATCTCTAACCCTATTCTCTTGTTGATTAAATTGTTGTCCAAGTCAGTATCCTCCCTCTCCTAACTGGCCTCTTTTCTTCTATTCTTGTCCTTTAAAGTCCCTTATGCACCTGGCAGCTTGGGTGAGCCCTACCATGTCAACTGGACCCTGACAGTTTCCAAAAACATTTAGAATGAAATCCTACTGGTTGGTCCAGCCAGGCCCCATGTGATCGGTGCCTGCCTAACGAGAATCCTATCTTCTTTCCCTCTTGCACTCACTCACCCCTCCCCAGCCTTGTCTTTGACCCTCTAGCACACTGAGCCAGCACCAGGCTCATGCACTTGATGCTTGCTGGCCTTGCTGTTTGAAATGTATGTCCCCCAGATCTACTTGGGAGCCTCTGCTTCTTGAAAATCACAGGTCAAACACCACCTTGTCAGATTGTCTGGCCTCCTTGGCTCTCAATCACATTACCCTGTTTTGTTTTGTTTTTTTCATGGCACTTGATTATGTTTAAAAGTATTATTTGCTCACGTATATGTGTTGCCTGTGTCCCCCACTAATACAGAAGCTCCTTGAGCTCTGAGACTTTGCCAGTCAGTGCAGCACCCCTGACATGCGGAAGGGTGGACACAGAATCCACACTCAGTGAACACCTGTGGCCCACCAGCTGGCTGAAAATGCAAGTAGGGTCAACATTGGTCTCAAAGGGACCAGTTACTTTTCTGGATCCTGAAATTCTGAAACTTTTACATAGCAATATTTGGCTGCAATCAATCACAGACAGTAGGAAAGACTCTAATTCCAATTTTCCAAGAAACACACACACACACACACACACACACGGAGAATGTATCCATAGAGATACGGTCTATTTAGGCAGCCTTCGGGTCCTGCTGGAGCACTGGAGCTCTGGTTTTCAAGCTGAGCTGGTTGCCAAGGGCTCTACCTCAGGAAGCTGGAGCACCAGGCATCCAAGCACCCCTCTTCGGCCAGATCAGCTCTGCTTTAATCTGCTTTAATTTTAAAACATTTAATTGGCTTCCACAAAAGGGGATGTCTGAAAGCTAGGATCCCTCCACTGGAAAAGAATACAACTGACTATGTTCATGTGCACTTAGAAGTCCCCATCTGAACACCCTAAAACAGCTGAGGTGTGTTTCTTTGTAATCTCATGCTTCTCCCCTGCCTTCTGCTCCCACTGTTGCTGCCTGGGTTGAGATCTCACATCTGCACTTTTAGCCCTAAAAGGACCTGGAAGTTCTTTTGTGTCCTTTCCCACCCCTTCTGATAATCCCTTCCTCACCCTGCTGCTAAATTAACATTTCTCCACCAAACACAAATCTGAGCTTGTCACTATCCGAGTGGCTCCCACGTCCACTGAAATCACTTTATGCTCAAAGCCTGTCCTGTCAGGACCTTCATTCTCTCACTCCTTCAAGAGTTTGACAGCCTGCAAGCCTCCAGACCAGCCCTCAAGCTTCCAGACCAATGGTGCTTGGTTATCCACTCAACATTCACCAAGGCCTGACTTTCTCCTTTCTGGGTGCTTGGCTAAGCCAGGCCATTCCTGCTGCCATTCGCCCTTCCTCTGGGACTCACCAGTTGCAACCCTATCTCTTCTCTCTTCCATTTCCCCATTCCTCACACCACCTTACTGCACCCTCAGGGAAAACTACTCCCTCTAATTCTGTGCCCACAACTTTGTTTGCACTACTAAGGTGACACTAATCACACTACTTTGCTCTGTGGACTATAGCTTCAGCCTGGGGAAAGATAAAATTTAGAGCAGAGTTTCGGGTGTCACTTCAATTCACTACTGTGTAAGCTTAGACTCACCCTTTCTGAGCCTCATCCACTTTACCTATAAAATATATGTAATAACATCTCCCTCTCAAAGCTGCTGTGGGTGTTGTGATATATGTGAAAACAATTTGGAAACTACACATGCAAAGTATTTTTATTCCTATTGGCTGCTTGAAGGCAGGAACCATCCTATTCATTTTTGACCTAACCCCCATCTCCAGTGCATGCCAGGATGCAGCAGAGCACATTCATTTCAGTATAATTCTGAGAAAAAGAGAAAGGACCCATTTCAACTCAAACTTAATACCACAATTTGAACTTTGAAGTTGCTCAAAAGAGTTCTTTCAGATCTAAAGAGGAAAAAATGACTGGAAGACGAGCCTTTAGGCAACTTATTAACTGTTTTTACTTGCATAACAGATTATCTGGGGGGCCACATGAGCCTTTGACAGAACATCTGTGAAGTTAGAACAGTCTTCGGTCTTTTGTGTACTCTGAGAAGTCCAGGCCACAGGAGTTTGCCATTCTCTGATATTTTCTGCAACACATTAAACTGTTTAATGCAAATTTACTCCATTCTAAATTTGCATGGGGCCCAGGAGCCCTTTGAGAGAGAGCTTGAGTGAGACCTTGGGTTGACATATACAGGGCTGTCTGATGGCCAGGGTGAATGGGTATATTCCCAGAAGGGGAATAGACAAGAGAAAAAGAAAACAGCCTCCCTGAAGTGATGCTTCATGGAGAAGTCTTAAAGGATGGTGCGGTTTTTGCAACAAGGTGTGGATGAGGCAGGGAGTAGGGGCTTCCAGGAGGCTGTGCCCCTGGCTTTCTTTCCCATCTTGAGTGTGGATCACCGTGTCTGATGATCAGACCGGTCAGGTTGTGCCCTAAACAAAGGCACACACACACAGGAAGGCATCATTCACATTGTAGGTTTGTGCACACTTTCTTTGCAATTTTCTGCCAGAGGAAAGTCAAGTGTCTTAAGGACTCGCCTAATTCTTACCAAGGCACTGTTGGAAAGTCAAGTGTCTTAAGGAAGGGGTGACTTTCCTAATTTTTACCAAGGCACTGTTTAGGGTAGGGGAAGCCCTGGCAGGGACCCTTGGAAGAAGAGGGCTGTCTATAGTGGAAAAACTATCACATTAGGAGCCCAATAGTTCTACTTTAGTTCAGTATCTTAGTTATTTTAGCCCCTTAGAACCTAACACAACACCTGGTACATATTTATTCAGTAAATTGGATTGATCAATGCCTATGGGTTTTTAAAGTTTTATCCAGGAGGCATCACAGATCTCATTTGTTCTTTATTCCTTTTGTGTTCTCTTCCCAGACTTGTGGTTTTGTCACAAGGAGATAATATTTTCAGCAAAAAATATAAACTTTCCCTCAAGACACAAATTAGAAAATATGGTGGTGCGGTCCCTGGTGAGGAAGCCATCCTTCCAGGCCCAGAATTTCCTGCCCTGTCCATTTCCAACTTATCATAAATACTTTCCTGACCCCTAAAATGCAGGACACTGATCAACTCAGTTAAGAAGTTTTTATTTCAAGCCTGCTGGGCTTTACAAAGGACTGCATTTGACTCTGGGCATGGATTCAAAGTCCTTTTGAATAAATGACCTGCTTATCTAGCTGTCAAAATGTGGACCTCACTGGCACTCTTAACTATAGCCCTGATTCAAGTTTATGTGCCAGAAACGGAACTTCTGTCTTTCAAATTCAACAAGGTCTTCAGACCATGGCCGCCTTGCACAATATGGACCAGCAGTTGCTATTAGAGCAACTAAGGGTATTTACGGTTTATTCAAATAATGTAGTGCAAAGAATAGGAGGTTTGAAAGCCTGGCGAGGAGTGGAAGAATTGACTTCCATAAATCTAGGGCCCTAAAAATACCTTTTTTGTTCAAGCGTTGGAAAGAATTTTGTCGACCTTTCTGCTTCATTGGCATTTCTTTACGTTTTCCTGGTAACCAGAGACAAGTTGCACAATCGGTGTGGCATTTGGCTCCTGATTCTGGGGGAGAGGGAGCGCTGTCTGCTTTTTCAGCAGGCCCAGCACAGTGGAGCGCGGAGCATTCAGCACTGGGGGAGCCTGCCAGCAGCTGGCCCTGCCAAACTAAACAGGAATCAGCGCGGACAAAGGGAAGATTATGTGGTGGAAAAAGGATACCCCGAATTAAGGCAGGAAAGCCACGTCAATTATATTTGGAAGCGGTGTCTCTCCCCCGGGTTACAAAGCCGTGTCTCTAAGATTTCTGAGGATGTTGCTGTTTCACCGAAAGCTCACCCACAAAAGGTCAGTGGGTGGAGTTCAAACAAAATGCTTTTTCTCTTATGACTTCCTGTGGATCTTGATATCTCGCCACAAGTCTTTCTGCCACCACTGTGCCCTTCCATGCACACTAGTCACAGCAGGAGGAGGACAGGAACGCGCGCCAGGAGCGGATTAGGGGACGTGAGCAGGCGACCCTGGCAGAGGTTCTCCGCGCAGTGGCCCGCGGTGGGCTGGGCGTGCTGAGCACTGCGTCCCTGCTTCAGTCCTGATCTCAGCGGAAGAAAAATAAAAACACAACAAAACTCAAACCAACAAAACACCTGGGATTTCCCGGCCACCAGCCCCAGTGAGTGCCCCCACAGGATAAGCTCTTACTAACTCCTCCTGGTGGCCCCAGGCTGACCTCTGCAAGGTTACTGTTGGGAGTTGAAGGCAAAGCGGCCTGGCCCACTGCTGGTGATACCCAGGCTAGGCTAAGTCTCCTGAGGACACGTGGAGGCTCAGCGCAGGCGCAGGAGCAGCGCGGGGCTGGGAGAACTGGCAAAGCCACCTGCGGTGCTGTGCCCAGGGAGTCCATGATTCTTCTCTCCTCCTGTCTCCTTTTTCAAAATGCAAAATAAAATGAGAAATTTTGTTTTTAACAATAAAAGTAACAAATATATCATCACCAAGATGTTTAGATGTTAGTATTACTGGAAACAACTTGCTTTTTTTTCTCCTTAAATAAGTAAGACTTTGAAGATACAGTAAGGCCCCACCTTCATCCCTCCCCTCCCCAGAGTGAACCTCCTTAAATTTGTCTATATTGTTCCCACGTGATTTTTCTTATTTTTTCCATGCATAGTTTTATTTAAATATGATCTTGCATGGTTTTTAAATTTATGTAAATGATATCCTTTAAATATCTTTTTACAATTTACATTTTGCACTTAACCGGCCACTTTAGGAATTTATCATTGTGAATATCAATGTAAATCTAGCTTTAAGATTGTTTAATAAACTTTTCAATAAAAACAATTATTTTTTAAATCGATTCTATTCAGGAGCATGACTTTTTTCCCCACTTTTTAAATTACAAAGAATACAATTAGCATGTTTGTACATTTACACTAGCACACATGCCTAGTGTATATGGGAGTAGACCCTAAAGAACGAAGAAGTAGAGGCCGGGCGCAGTGGCTCACGCCTGTAATCCCAGCACTTTGGGAGGCCGAGGCGGGCAGATCACGAGGTCAGGAGACAGAGATCATCTCCTGGCTAACACGGTGAAACCACGTCTCTACTAAAAATACAAAAAATTAGCCGGGCGTGGTGGTGGGTGCCTGTAATCCCAGCTATTTGGGAGGCTGAGGCAGGAGAATGACGTGAACCCGGGAGGTGGAGCTTGCAGTGAGCCGAGGTCCTGCCACTGCACTCCAGCCTGGGCAACACAGCGAGACTCCATCTCAAAAAAAAAAAAAAAGAAAGAAAGAAATTAGAAGTAGAATTCCTGGGCCATAGGTCAGTTTCAACATTGCCAAATATTGACAAATTGCTCTCCAAGAGGGCTATGTTAATTTTCAAGCTCACCAGCAATGATCAAGATTTTCACCAAAACTTAGTGCACCCGATTAATTGTATTTGCTGACATGACGGTTTCAAGTGGTACCTGGCCGCTTGACTTTTCAATTCCGTGAGAACTAGTGAAGTTGAGCATATTTTCATATGCTGTTGTCCATTTGAGCTTTTTGCTTAAGCTGCGTATTTACATACTTTGCGACATTTCTATTGTGTTATTGCAGAGTTTTTAAAATAAATTTGCAATTTATATGTGGTTTCTACACATTTTCCAGTATATGATTTTCCTTTTTACTTTGTTTATGGTGTCTTTTAAATTTTAATATAGTTAAAATTTAATTTTCAATGTAGTTAAATGTATCAATATTTTTTTTTTTTTTTTTTTTTTTGAGACGGAGTCTCGCTCTGTCGCCCAGGCTGGAGTGCAGTGGCGCAATCTCGGCTCACTGCAAGCTCCGCCTCCCGGGTTCACGCCATTCTCCTGCCTCAGCCTCCCGAGTAGCTGGGACTACAGGCGCCCGCCACCACGCCCGGCTAATTTTTTGTATTTTTAGTAGAGACAGGGTTTCACCGTGTTAGCCAGGATGGTCTAGATCTCCTGACCTTGTGATCCTCCCGCCTCGGCCTCCCAAAGTGCTGGGATTACAGGCGTGAGCCATCGGGCCCAGCCTGTATCAATATTTCATCCTTTTTTTAGTTCTATGAAGATTTCTCCATGCTTCACTCTAAGACTTTCTTTTTTTTAATTTCAATCTTTAAGCCTGAATCTGGGAATGTGAATTTGTATATCATGAAATAGGGATTTAACTTTTTCATGTATGTAATGAAC
Organism: Homo sapiens; assembly: GCF_000001405.40. Classification (NCBI taxonomy): domain Eukaryota; kingdom Metazoa; phylum Chordata; class Mammalia; order Primates; family Hominidae; genus Homo; species Homo sapiens. The sequence goes on along the minus strand of NC_000013.11, from coordinate 33,608,645 downwards.
TGTTCTACACTATCTGTTGAAGAGTCTACCTTATCACCACTGAATTATGATACTACCTGTCATATTGTTTCCCTATTTTGTGTGCTGATTTCTATGTTTGCTCATTGATTTACTTTTCTATCTCTGAATCAGTTCTATACTTTTAAAATTACTAAATTTTATAAAGTCTTATGGATTTTTCCCCTATTTTTCCCTCTTCCTATTTTTCTTTCTTCTAGATTTTCTTGGCACTTGTTGGCCATTTACTCTTTCATAATATTTCAGAATCAGCTTGTCCAGATCCCTAAAAATGCCTATTGAGACTATGAGTGCAATTATATTAAATGTATTAAGTAATTTTGGGAGAATGGACATCTTTATGATATTTAGTCTTTCCATTGTGAAAGCAATGCATCTCTCAATAAGTTCTTCTTGCATGTCTTTTAAAAATGTTTTCATGGGCTGGGCACAGTGGCTTGCACCTGTAATCCCAGTACTTTGGGAGGCCAAGGCAGAAAGATAACTTGAGGCCTGGAGTTCCAGACCAGTCTGAGCAACATAGTGAGACCCCATCTCTACAAAAAATAAGAAAAAAAGGGCATGGTGGCACATGCCTGTAGTCCCAGCTATTCCAAAGCCTGAGGTGGGAGGATCGCTTGAGCCCAGGAGTTTGAGGCTGCCAAAGGCTAGGATTGTGCCATTGTACTCCAGCCTGGGTAACAAAGTGAGACTCTATCTCTAAAAAACGGTTTCTTTAGAGATATTGGACATTTTCATTACTTTTTTTTCTGGGCAGCTTTTAGATTTTATTATTAACATAAATTGTGTCTTTCAAAATTATGTCATCTGATTATTTGTTGCTTAGTTATTGTAATGCAAATAATATTTTATATTATATCTTGTATCTAAATACAATCCAACATTTTTTATTTGTTCTAATAGTTTGCATAAATTCTAGGATTAACTGTGTGGACGATAATATCAAGAATGAATTTTTTTTCTTCCTTTCTAATCAGTTTAACTTTTTAACCTCTCCTGCCTCCAATTTGCACCATCAGAAAAGAAACAATGGGCCAGGCGTGGTGGCTCACACCTGTAATCCCAGCACTTTGGGAGGCTGAGGCAGGCGGATCACCAGGTCAGGAGATCCAGACCATCCTGGCTAAGACAGTGAAACCTCATCTCTACTAAAAATACAAAAAATTAGCCAGGTGTGGTGGCACGCACCTGTAGTCCCAGATACTTGGAGGCTGAGGCAGGAGAATCATTTGAACCCAGGAGGCGGAGGTTGCAGTGAGCTGAGATTGCGCCACTGCACTCCAGCCTGGGTGATAGAGCGAGGTTCTGTCTCAAAAAAAAAAAAAAAAGAAACAATGATAGCTGACAAACTAACTCACTCGTAATCTTAAACACCATGTTTTTGTTTTATTTTTGTTATTATTTTTATTATTAGTGCATTGTGTAACTTCAGTGCTTTAAAATTAAAAATCAAAATCAACCAAAAATTTCACATATATTGGGACACTTAAAAATGTATAAATCAGTTGCGGTAGGCAAAAAAAAAAAAACAAAACTGTCCCCCAAGTATCCACTTTGTAATCCCTGGGAACTGTGAAATGCTAGGTCACGTGACAAAAGGAATGAAGGTAGCAGATGAATTAAGGCTGCTAATGAGCTGACCTTAAACAAAGAGATTAACCCGGATTATCCAGGTGCACCCAGTGTAAATGAAAGGGTCCTAAAGTGCCTGGGAGAGAGGCAGAAGAAGCGGTCTGAAAGATGCAGCATACCAGGGAGTGCAGAGGGCCTCGAGAAGCTTGAAAGGTTAAGGAAGAGAATTCTCCCCGGAGCCTCCAGAAAGGAGCGCAGCTCTGCCATCGCCTGGATTTCAGCCCAATAACACCAGTGTTAGACTTTTGATCTGTAGAACTATAAGACATTTGTGTTATTTTAAGCCACTACATTTGTGGTAATTTCTTTACAGCAGCAAAAGAAAACTAATACACCAGTGGAAATTAAAAACTACATAAAATAATAATGTTACATATCAAAGCTTTTGAGATTCTGTTAAGGCAGTAATTATAGAAAGTAGACAGCCTTAAAATGCCCATACTGAAAAAAATTTCAGATAATAAAGTATACAACCCAAGAAGTTAGATTAATAGCAGAGTAAATGCAAAAAATGGAAGAAAAATCATTAAAGGAAAAGCAGAAATTAATGCGATAGTGAAAATAAAGCTAATATTTTAAGAACTTATAATATCCTGAGAAATATTCTACATGTTTTACACATATTAACCCTTTTCTTTCTTACAATAACCTTATATATAGGTATTATTATTGCATTTTTTCTTTTTTTCTTTTTGAGATGGAGTTTTGCTCTTGTTGCCCAGGCTGGAGTGCAATGGTGCGATCTTGGCTCACTGCAACCTCCACCTCCGGAGTCCAAGCAGTTCTCCTGTCTCAGCCTCCTGAGTAGCTAGGATTACAGATACCTGCCACTACACCCAGCTAATTTTTGTTATTTTTAGTAGAGATGGGGTTTCACCATGTTGGCCAGGCTGGTTTTGAACTCATGACCTCAGTTGATCCACCCACCTAGGCTTCCCAAAGTGCTGGGATTACAAGCACGACCCACCGTGCTTGGCCTGTCACCTTTTTTCAGTTGAGGCATCTGAGGCATGAAGAGATTAAGTAACTTGCTCAGCTAGTATGTAGAGAAATTGGGGCTCAAGCCCATACCCCAGACTCTAGAGTCCATGTCCTTAACAAGCACATTAGTCATCTAACTAAACAAAAATGCAATAAAGAGAATCGACATCCCAAATTTGTTTCTTTCAAGAGACTACCGAAGTAGAACTATGGCCTGATATATCTAGAAAAACAGTGGAAATAAACAATATTAGGACTGGTAAAACAACATAACTACACATCACTAACAATGTTTAATATGAAAATATTATGCACAGTACTCTATTAAGAGATTTGAAAACTTTGACAACCAGATGTTTTCCTAGAACAGCGCTATTCAAAGTGTGGTCAGCTGACTGATCAGCAAATTATTTCTTGCCACTCTGCCACAAAGTAAGTACAGAAACCGAGAGTAAGTGCTTAAAACCTGTTAAAGCATTTTTTTGTTGTTGTTGTTACCCTACTGCAGCATCCAAGCACATAATTTTGTATTTTACAAAAGTGTTGGTCTTTGATAAATTTAGAAGCTCTGTCTTAGAAAACTATAACTTAAAACTGACTCAAGAAGAAATACTAGATAAAAAATAAAACAAGACTGGATGTGGTGACTTACTCCTGTAGTTCCAACACTTTGGGAGGCTGAGGCAGGAGGATCACTTGAGCCCGGGAGTTTGAGAGCAGCCTGAGCAACACTCTGGATAAAATTTATCTTTTTCTTCTTTTTTTTTTTTTTTTTTGAGACAGGATCTGGCTCTGTCACCCAGGCTGGAGTGCAGTGGTACTGTCATGGCTCACTGCAACTTCAAACTCCTGAGCTCAAGCCATCCTTCCACCTCAGGCTCCCAAGTAGCTGGGACTACAGGCTCACACCACCACACCCAGCTAATTTTTTAATGTTTGGTAGAGATAGGGTCTCACTGTGTTGCCCAGGCTTGTCTCAAAATCCTGGACTCAAGCAATCCTCCCTTGGCCTCCCAAAGTGCTAGGATTACAGGTGAGAGCCACAGCACCCAGCCAAATTTGGTATGTCTTTGGGCAAAGATCTGTGAGTAGAAAACTCTCTATATTTTTGTCTGGACTGGTCTATATTTCAACTGTACTCATAGTTATTGTTTAGTTAAATACAGAGATCTAGCTTTTTAGACATTTTCTTTTAGCATTCTTTTTTTTTTTTTTAAAGACAAAGTCTTGCTCTGTCCCTCGGGCTGGAGTGCAGTGGCCCAATCTCAGCTCACTGCAACCTCTGCCTCCCAGATTAAAGCAATTCTCCTGCCTCAGCCTCCTGCATAGCTGAGATTACAGGCACACACCACCATGCCCAGCTAATATTTGTATTTTTTTAGTAAAGACGGGGTTTTGCTATATTGGCCAGGCTGGTCTCAAACTCCTGACCTCAGGTGATCTGCCTGTCTTGGCCTCCCAAATTGCTGGAATTACAGGCATGAGCCACTGCACCTGGCCTCTTTTAGCATTCTTAAGTTATTCTATTCTTTTCTAGCCTCCAGTATTGCTTTGGAGAAGTTTGCTATTGATAAAATATTTGTTCTTTTTCTTTCTGGTTTCTCCTAAGATCTTCTCCTTGTCTTTGGTGTTCTGTAATTTCACTATCATGTGTCTAGATGCAAATTTCTTTTTATTATGCTTGGCATTAATTGTACTACATGAATCTGAGCATTTATGAATTTCATAAATTTTAGAAATTTCTGCCTCTCAGATCCTTATCATTTCTTTCTGACATTTCTGTCTGACATGTATTGCTGATTTTCATTCTACCCTCCACATTTCTTCACCATTTCTTGGTAGTCCACTCTGCATAATATCCTCAGAACTATTTTGCCATTCACAAATTCCTGCTTCAGTTCTGACTTTGTTATTTAATCTGTCAATTTAATTTTTAATATAATGATTGCTTTTTATTTCTCAAAATTTTACTTGGCTTTTTATCTACCTATTTTAATCTACTTAATTGTAAGAGTGTCTTATTTCTTTGGGTTTTATTTTTTGTACTTTTAATCCTTTTAAAAATTATTATTTTCTCATCTGCCAGAATGTTATGTTATCTGGAATTTTAGGAACTCTAAATGTGGTATTGCTTTGTCTTCTTTTTCTACTGGTGGATTTTTTTCTTCCTAAAGTTTTTTAAATGGGGTTTGTGGGATCACACAGCACACACAGGTCTGAGGCTAAAACAACTTCTGTGAGATTTTAACTATGGGAATCCAGTGAAAAATTTTTAAAATTTTTTTTTCAAAAATGTGTTTACTTCTGCTTCCAAAATGTACTCTTTTAGATTTATCACTTGGCTGAGATCAATTTTTTTTAATTGACCAGGTTAGGGGAGTTCCTGATGTTTAGAAAGCATCAGTTTGTACTCTAAATCCATAAGGCCCATACTTATGAATTCTCAGAGTAGAATTTTCATGCTTCTACCTGAAGCCTAGCCAGGAAGAGAGCAATCTCCTTGTCTTCACCCTGTGCTGAATTTTTCTGGCTTACCCTTTTGTTGTGTGTGTAGTCCTCATAAGTCCCAGCGTTATGTATGTTAGGGGTTAGGAGCTTGTTCAGTTCCAGCCTTCTGTTACCAAAACACCAGGGGCTTGGTTTAGGTCCTGCTGCTTGCCACACAGATAGCCAATGCCTGAGACAACGAGTATTGCCAAGGAAGAAGGTTTTAATCATGTGCTGCAATGGAGGAAATGGGAGATCACTCTTAAATCCATCTCCCTGACGGCTAAAACTTGGGGTTTATATAGCAGGGAGAAATGCAACAATGTGTAAGAAAACAGGAACTAGGGAGGGGTAAGAAAGCAATCATGATGAATTAATGGGTCCAGTATCTTATTGTCTGGATGTGGTGATCTGGTGAGTTTTGCTTGTTTGATACTTTGAGAGGCCCGAGGGATCCTTGGCCCGAGGGATCCTTTCCTGAGGAAGGAACTCTTAAAACAAATATAAGTTTCAAGCTTTAAGACCAGAAGGATCAATTTCTATGTTTATCCCAAAACAACTGTCTATGGCAGTGGTCCCTAACCTTTTTGGCAACAGGGCCTAGTTTCGTGGAAGACAATTTTTCTACAGCCAGGGGTTGGGGGACCAGGGGGATGGTTTCAGATGAAATTGTTTCACCTCACCAGGTATTAGTTAGATTCTCATAAGGAGCACACAATCTAGATTTCCCATATGCACAGTTCACAACAGGGTTCATGCTCCTATGAGAATCTAATGCCATCAATGCTCTGACAGGAGATGGAGCTCAGGCAGTAATGCTTGCTTACCTGTTGCTCACCTCCTGCTGTGCCGCCTAGTTCCTAACAGGCCACAGACCGGTCCATGGCCCCAGGTTTGGAGACCTCTGGTCTATGGGACTATTGGGTCAGCTTCACCTCCATCTTGAACATGTCTCAACTGCTGTCCTTAAATTGACATTGACACCTGAATTGGGTTAATAAACTGCCCCCCACCTTCTTAAAGTAGCAAAATCAGATCATATCTATGTGCTCTGGCTTTCTTTTCCTGCTTTGCTTTTGAACCTTTTTCAGTCTTCTGAGCTCTGCTAGGCATTTTTTAAATGCTTAAAAACATTACTAGGTGTTTTGGTGGCTCACGCCTGCAATCCCAGCACTTTGGGAGGCCAAGGCAGGCGGATCACGAGGTCAGGAGATCGAGACCATCCTGGCTAACACGATGAAACCCTGTCTCTACTAACAATACAAAAAATTAGCTGGGCGTGGTTGCACGTGCCTGTAGTCCCAGCTATTCGGGAGGCTGAGGCAGAAGAATCGCTTGAACCTGGGAGGCAGAGGTTGCAGCGAGCTGAGATCTTGTCACTGCACTCCAGCCTGGGCGACAAGAGCAAAACTCCATCTCAAAAAAAAAAAAAAAAGAATTACTAGATGTTCGTCACAGGAGGTGGTTCAGATTATATCATCCCCAGTATTGCTGAGCCAGATCCTCCTATTTATTCTCAGGAACAAGTTCCCAAATGCTCACAGCCACAGTAGAAAAAAATGTTTTTCCATACGACTGCTTAAAGCCATTCTCTCTGAAAGGAACCTGGGGAAAGTGCTGTCAGTAGTTAACTAGAGATCGCAGCATCCTCAGGAAAATATCCAGGGGTCAACAGTTTTGGGCCCACTACAACACTGCCCTCCAGGGTCTACTGTCCTTCACAGTTCTGGGCACAGAGTCAGGCCAGGGATCTCCGGAACATGGTGAAAGGAAGGACCAGGTAGGCATGGTGAGGAGGAGCAGGAAGTGTGGGGTAATAGAAAGAGATCTGGAATCAGAACACTCAGGTTTAATCCCAGTCTTGGTGTTTGGGAACTGGGTAACTTTGGGCAAGTCACTTCGCAGAAATTCAGCTTTCTTGTGTGTTAGATTAGGTCAAGGCTTTTCAAATACTCCCTCCCATAAAGCATTTTCTTCAAAGAAAGCCTAACATTAAAGCAGATCAAAGTAGAATTGCTCTGCTTGAAGTGGGGAGGGGTATTGCCCCCTGGCTCCCACCCTTTCCTATCCCCAAGAAACCCCTGAGGCACTTCCACAAAGTCCCCAGGGCTAGCGCAGTTTGACACGATCAGGTTCACCTTGTAAGGGTTTGATGTGAACCTTCTTTGAGTTGGCACCAAGCAAAACAGCCAATAAAGAGTCATTGAAAGTGATTGCATTAAAACATGGTTTCTATGAGGACTAAAAAGTACCTTCCAGGTTTCCTAGCAACAGAAATCAAGGTCTGCTGGCCACAGCAGAAAAAAAAAAAAACAAAAACATTTTTTGAAACCTGGAAAAAAAATGGTTGAATTTAACCCTTATCCTCTATTGTGATGCAACAATAGAAATGATCATAGGGCGACCATGTTTTAGCCCTTCCACCTCAAATCTTCTACCCTGTGAGCTGCACGTGTCATCACACACCAAAAGACAAGAATAGTAGAATTCCCATGTTAATGAAAAATGAAAATAACATTTTCCATCGTTTGATCCAAGTGTTGCTTGAGAAAGGAAAGGGATGAGAGGAGAGAAGTAATGTGAGCACTTTTCCCTTTCATACCATAGTACGTAGGAGAAGATAGCAAACACAAGTTTTAGGATCTTCTTGGTCTCTTTATTCTTCTTTAAAATGAGCATTATCTCCTCATTTTACAGATTAGAAAAATTTATTCAGAACTTAATAGCCCATCTATGGTCACACACATATGAAATGGCAGAGACAGGAGAAATAAGACTTTTTTTAAAAAGCTGATTTATAATTTTTATTAAGGTATTGACAGCCATACAATGTTTCTGGTAAAAAGTGTACATCCCTTTTCTTATTTTTCCCCTACTTTTTACTTTGAAAAAAATTAAACCTGCAGAAATATTAACAAATTGAATAGGAATACCGTATACCTTTCACCAAGATTCACAAATTAACATTTCACCCATTTGCTTTCTTTCTATGTATATGTATGTATGTGTTTCTGTGTGTACATACAAATGGATCTAAAACAGACAGATATGCATGTTTATGCTGAACTGTGTAGTTACTTAAGAGTTAACACTTTCTTCTATATAACCAAAATACCATTAACTATTCATAAGAATTAAATACATGGATTACCATTTTACACGGGCTATATTTAAATTTTTTGATTGTCTTAATACTATCTTTCATAGATTTAAAAAATCCTGGGTCAAATCAAGATTTGTACTTTGCTTTCTGCTGTTGTTGTTTTGGTCTGTTTGATCACTTTATCAGGAGCAGTATTCTCCCTATTCTGTTTCTCATGACATTCACTTTTTTTGAATCCAGATCAGTGTCTTGAAGAATGTTCCACATTCTAGATGTGTATGATTATTTCTTCACAATTTGATACAGGCTCTGGTTTTTAGCAAGAAAACTACATACGTGATATTGAGTACTAATTGCATCCCATCAGGTGGCAAATAAAGTCAGATGGGTTCCCTGTGGGTGAGAGCAAGTTTGATCACGTAGTTGTAAGATGATGCATGCTGGATCTCTTTGGTATAAAGGGGCGTTTTCCATTTGTAATTCGTAAGTAACATGCATGGAGAAACTTTGTGACCATTTGAACACTCAGTTTCAGAACAACATTTCAGCTAATGGTTGTAATCCATCATTGATCTTAATCTTGCCTTAATCATTTATTCATATTGAGAAGTATAAAATGGGAATTTTGTTTTAGTTATATCAATTCATTCCACATTTATTAAATGGCATTATGTTTATAAAGAAGTCTTTCTCTGTCTCTCTCTCCCTCTCACTCTCTCTCTCATAGCGCTAGTTCAGTAGTCACTGTAAACTGTAAACTCTTTAAATTTTGCTGCTTTTGACCTAAATTTCTCCTTAAAAAGGCCTTCTTGTGGAAAATATTTGCTGTTGGCAGGCACGGTAATTTAGGCTCATTTGTCCAAGGTGCCTTCCAAAAGCTTAATGAGGAGGAGGATAGAGGCAATTCACTTCACCTAAGCTCCTAGGAATGAAGTTTTCTTTTATTAATAAGGAAATTGATAAACAAGGTTATTAAGTAACTGATGAAACTGAGAGCTGAGAAAAGTATTAACAAAAGAAATAAAAGGGTAAAGATTGTTGTTATGGTGTTACTGAGATCCTCAAACTGCTCATTTGATTTCAGGTTAAGAGTTTCAGGTATTCTTTGGAAGCCTCTGAGTTCTATAAAGGAAATAATCTAGTTCCAGTGTTATAAGTATAATTAGTGCAAAGGGAGTTCCTGGAACACGTGAAAAGTTTTAAGGCTGGGATGTAAGATTTCTTTACTTACTGCTTTTCAAATAAACTAATGAGGGGATAAATAAACTTGGTTTGGGTTAGGATGCCTAAAATAAAACCCAGCGCAATATGATATGGTTGAGGCTGTTTCTCAAGGAAGTTTGGAAGAGAAACCAACTGCTGGATGAATTTTTTTTAAATTGAAACTCTCACAATTGAAATTCCCTCCTTGTAGATATCACTCCCAAAAGTTTCTTACATCATGGCAAACCATAAATATTTCTTTTAAAGGAATGAAAGCTCTTGATACACAGATTTCTCTTGAACCTAAATTTTTTAGGAAACATGTAAGGAGAGCCTACTGTCTTCTTGGCATGAATTTACAAGTTAGTGATCCAAAGATGAAAAATGCCCAGCTCCCGCCCCATGGCATCTCCAGAATTTCTGTTTAGAAGTTTAGGGACGGTAATTTAGGAGCTAAGGGATTTGTCATGAGGCTGTGTTTGCATTTCAAGTGAAGTTAGTTTAAGATTATATGTTATAGATTAATTTAAAAAACTAGCAAAGTTTTATGAAGATGTCTTCACTCATATTTTCCATAAAACTGAGAAAATATCAGTTGTATTAATATTAAAATGGCAGAGGAGAGTTACTGATGGAAATTATGAAAATGCTAAAACTTTTTCTCACATATTGTATTATACCAACACTGTTTCTACACTTGCAAATCTTGGTCTAAATAGGAGTGATAGATGCATAAACAAATAACTGTAATAAAATATAGTCTTAATAGGATAGATTAATTTAAAAAGAGTCATTTAGTACCCAAATAGGGCTAAAATCATTCATTTGAGTTACAGCCTAAGAGCACAACCATGAGATTTTCCCTTCAGAGACAGTTGAGAACAGTTTGATTCAGAATTTGATACTTCTTTTTATCCTCAAATTGAATGTTCCTGGAGAACATTCACAACCATCGAACCAGACTCATCTCTTACTGTGCAATACGAGGGAATACTAAGTTCGAAGGGAGCCATATGAGTAGCATGTAGGATACCAAATCTCTAGGAGTAGAAGTCAAGAAACAGTGAGACTACTGGCTTAGCAAAAAAGGACATTGACATTAGGGTAGAAGAGACCATGAACACCTTGATGGCTATGTCAGGAATGTCCTAAAGGCTGGGGTCAGGTGGCAAAGATGACATGATTAATAAGCTCTTGAAGAAAATTTGTAGAACAAATAGCATCATTCAGGCACTCACTTATTTTTCTGTCAGTACAATATATTATAGTTCAAATCTATCAAATAATAGCCATCAACATTTATCCAACTTCTGCCTAATTAGATGTTGAGTGTCTTGAAGACAAAAGTGCAATCTTTTTTTTTTTTTGAGACGGAGTTTCACTCTTGTTGCCCAGACTGGAGTGCAGTGGCGCGATCTCAGCTCGCCACAACCTCTGCCTCCCAGATTCAAACGATTCTCCTGCCTCTGCCTCCCGAATAGCTGGGATTACAGGCATGTGCCCCATGCCCGGCTAATTTTTCTATTTTTTTTTTTTTTAGTAGAGATGGGGTTTCTCCATGTTGGTCAGGCTGGTCTGGAACTCCCGACCTCAGGTGATCTGCCTGCCTCAGCCTCCCAAAGTGCTGGGATTAGAGGCGTGAGCCACCGCGCCTGGTTGCAATTTTATTTATCTATATTTCACCAGCACCCACTACTCTGCCCAACACATAGTAGAATAAAGGTTGTATGATGAAATGAGAAAAGTCTGGATAATTCTGTTAACCAAGAATGTAGAAACACATTAGAGTAATGATTAGTAATAATATAGATGTTGAACAGCAAAAAAAAAAGAGAAACCCAAACAATTCCATTTAAAATGGGCAAAGGATTTGAATAGACATTTCTCAAAAGAAAACATAAATGACCAACAAGTATATGAAAAAAATATTCAATGTCACTATCATCAGGAAAATGCCAATCAAAACCACAAGATAGCATCTTGCCCCAGTTAGAATGGCTATTGTCAAAAAGACAGGAAATAAGAAATGCTGACAAGGATGCAGAGAAAAGGATATTCATACACTGTTGGGAATGTAAATTATAATAGTACAGCCATTATGGAAAAAACCATGGAGTCTTCTCAAAAAACTAAAAATAGAACAGCAGTACTATGCAGCAATCCCACCACTGGGTATTTATTTAAAGGAAAGGAAATCAGTATATCAACAGATACCTGAACCCCTATAGTTATTGCAGCACTATTCACAATAGCCAAGATGTGGAACCAACCTAAGTGTTCATCAATGGATGAATAGACAAAGAAAATGTGATATATATACACAATGGCATACTATTCAGCCACAAAAAAAGAATGAAATCTTATCATTGCAGGAACATGGTTGGAACTGTAGGTCGTTATGTTAGGTGAAATAAGCCAGGCACAGAAAGACAAATATTGCATGTTCTCACTCATATGTGGGAGCTTAAAAAGTTGATCTCATGGAGGTAGAGGGTAGAATTATGGTTATCAGAGAAAGGGAAGGGTCAGGGAATGAAGAGAGGTTGGTTAATGGATAAAACATACAGTTAGAAGGAATAATTCCAGTATTTGGTAGCACAGTGTAGTAACTGTAGTTAACAATAGTTTATTATATGTTTCAAATTTGGCAGAAGATTTGGAATGTTCCCAACACAAAGAAATGATAAATATTTGAGGTGATAAATGTCCTAAATGCCCTGATTTGATCATTAAGCATTGTATGCATATATCAAAACATCACACGTACCCCATAAATATGTATAATCATTATGAATCACTAAATATATATAACATGCATGTGTGTGTATTGATGACATTTCAACTATACCATATATATTGTGGGTACGAGACTTAAACCATGACATAATGGAGTGTGTTAGAATAAGTATTTAATACTTTTTATAAGGATAAAAATATAATTTGATGATTTAACCCTTTCACTTGGGGCGTTTCGCCTATCATAGAAATGATGAAAACACCAAACAATTAGCCTTTGAAACAAAGTGAAACAAATATAATTTTTCAATTCTCTATGCTGAATCTATACTATTACCATACACAAGCAATCCTTAATGACAATAGCCACCAGCTTAATAAATCACAGCTGAGAACAAACTATGAAATCACATATTGGATAATGATTCCCTGATATCTCCTGGAAGTTAGTCAGTTGGTTCATATCTGGAAGAGCATCTGATTTCAAACTGAGGCTACAAATACTCAAGATCCAATACAATTTAAACAGTAAACAGCACAGAAATAAAGAGTGGGCTCTTCTCCTAATGCTAAGCTTCAGGACAATTAGCAGAAATCCAGTTAGAAGCTGTGGTTCTTTGTTTGTTTGTTTTAACAGAGCTGTCTTGCAACAATTTTTAAGAGAGTATTTTAATACGTGATTAAATCACAAGATTTAAAACCTAGCCATTTCATAATTGCTAAAAACCATGCCATGCTGACCCAAGACTTTTCCAAATTGCAGATTTATTATTCTGCAATAAACCATAACTTGGTATTTGGTTCCCCTGAGTGAATCCATTCTTTAGGTACACAGTAAATCATTTTGTAAAAGTAGATTTCATCTATGTGTGCACAACCCATGTATCTTAGATTGAAGATTTTCACTTTATTTTTAGAAAGACTTAGGTATAATTTAAATAAGGGTATCTTTCTCTATATTAACACATTTTATAATCTTTTAAACTCTGTTCTCATTATAATTTAAATTTTCTCTTTTAAAAAAGCATTTAAGCCTAGTGATCCATTTAATTTTTAACTCCTACTGTCCTTATCTAAAAAACATCATATTATGCCAGTGAGACAATGTGGATTGCTCTAGCTGACATGTTCTCTAGATGATCCACATAGTTAGGTCTTAGTAGATAGAGTTTTTTGTTTTGTTTTTACTTTCTAATAGGCTGTAACATACTTTTATTTGCCCAAACTTCAACACACATAAGCTCTATTTTAAAGATAATGAAGTAAGCTTCTCTCTTAACCCCAATAAGCATGCATGCATTCAAAATCATTTTACTGTTACCTCCGAAGTACATCTATGTGAAGAAGTGGAAATGGTAAAATGTTTTTGTTCAATGTCAGGTCTAAAAGGTAGTCCTAAAACAGTTTGGAAGTTTCTCAGAAAATTAAAACTAGAATTACCATATGATCCAGCAATTCCACTTTTTGATATATATCCCAAAGAAACAAACCAGGGATAAAATATTTGTGCACCTATGTTCACAGCAGCATTATTCACAATAGCCAAATGGTAGAAGCAATCCAAGTGTCCATAGACAGAGACACACATAAAGAAATGCAGTATACACATACAGTCAAGTATTATTCAGCTTAAAAAGGGAGGAAATTCAGACATATGCCATAACATGGATGAAACTTAAAGATATTCTGCTCAGTGAACCAGTCACAAAGGACAAGTTCTGCATAATTCTGTTCATAAAAGGTGCTTAGAGTAGGCAAATTTATAGACAGAAAGTAGATTGCTGGTTGCCAGGGCTGGGGAGAGGCAGGAATGAGGAATTCATGTTTAATGGGTTGAGTTTCGGTGTGAGAAGGTAAAAAGTTCTGGATATGGATGATGGTGATGATTGCACAACAACGTTAATGAACTTAATGCCACTGAACTACACACTTTAAAATCATTACAATGATAAATTTTGTTATGTATATTTTACCACAATTTTTAGAAAATAAATAATTTTAAAAAGTAACCCAAATATTTTAATAAGGTCTAACAAACTTCAAAGTTCATGGTTTTAGTAGATCATCCTCCTAAATCTTTTGTGAGATCCTGTGATGCAACCAGATATGAGATGATTCATTATGGCAGAAAAAGCTTGGCAGAGCTGGTCCTCTGAACAAGACCTCTGATGGCATTTAGTTGGCAGATCTGGCTGAATCCAAAGCCTATAATATTTCAGCAAGTTTCAGATGTAATGGGTATCTTCATGGCTAGACAGAATAACACCATGAGGATTAGAAGTAGGTGCTATTCATTGGCATGCCTGTAATCCCAGCACTTTGGGAGGCCGAGGCAGGAGGATCACAAGATCAGGAGATAGAGACCATCCTGGAAATATGGTGAAACCCTATCTCTACTGAAAATACAAAAAATTAGCCGGGCATGGTGGCGGGCACCTGTAGTCCCAGCTACTTGGGAGGCTGAGGCAGGAGAACGGCGTGAACCCGGGAGACAGAGCTTGCAGTGAGTCGAGATCGCGTCACTGCACTCCAGCCTGAGCGACAGAGCAAGACTCCGTCTCAAAAAAAGAAAACAAAAACAAAAACAGAAGTAGGTGCTATTGGAAGAGCTTAGGCAACTGCCACCAGGGGACTGTGTCAGCCCTGGGTAAGGGAGATGGGGACTGATCCCATCTCTAGAGAGATGGGATGTCCTGTCAGGTGAATCCTGACACAGAAATCCAATGTAGATATTGGGACCTGTGTAGGGATGCAGCAATTTGGGAGGGATTGATCTCAGGAACAAGGAGAAACTGTTATTGGTATTTAATACCCCGGTCAAAGGATGTATTTTCTTAGGATTGAGTATGGCCTCTTAATTTTTCCTTAGCTAAGGCAAGACTGGCATGGGGCTGAATCTGTGCATAAATGTCCTGTGGGTCTCCATTATTCCAGAAAAGAGAGTCTCGAGGTTATGAGTGAAAAAGCTCATAGTAAGTTCTGACAGTTTAAAAGTAAACATCTGGCAGGGCACGGTGGCTCATGCCTGTAATCCCAGCACTTTGGGAGGCCAAGGCGGGGATCACCTGAGGTCAGGAGTTTGAGACCAGCCTGGACAACATGGTGAAACCCCATCTCTACTAAAAATAGAAAAATTAGCTGGGTGTGGTGGCAGGTGCCTGTAATCCCAGCTACTCCGGAGGCTGAGGCAGGAGAATCACTTGAACCCGGGAGGCAGAGGTTGCAGTGGGTAGAGATCCTGCCACTGCACTCCAGCCTGGGTGACAGAGCAAGACTCTGTATCAAAAATAAAAAAATAAAAAATAAAAATAAATAAATAAAAGTAAACATCTTCCACATCTTCTACTCCATAATCTGGCTGAATTGACATAATTGTCAGCCTTGGCTCATAGAGGCACATGTATCAGATCCTCAGCCCTGGCATATTGACCTAGTGCACCCATGGAGCATCTCTGGAGCTCTTCCCACCCCTCTCCTAGGTGCCCACCTTCATTCCTGCATCCAAGTGGTCTTCAGCCTCTCCCCATGATATGTTGAGCTCTGATGTCCCCAACCCAGCCCTCCTGCCTTCTTTATAATCTACTCCAGCCTGTTGTCCAGAACTATTTGAGGGAGCTTGGGCTTTAGGCCTACATTACCCTCTCTCTGTAGAAGGTACTCAATAAGCATTTGCTAAATTACATTGAAAACTTTCACATCAATTTAAAACTATTTCAACTCATTAAGTTACTCAAATTCTCAGTGTATGCTTGTGTCAGAAAATTGGACTGGGAAGGAATCAGGAGTTAGTTCTTAATAAGCCCTATGATCTTAAGCAAGTATCTAAGCTCTTCGTTGCACTCCTTATAAAATAAAAGACTTTTTTTAAAGTCCTCAAAAGGGAACTTTCCAGGCTTATATCTCATTCCTCATTGTGTAAGACTGTATCTTAGGTCAGGATCACAACTATATATCTGATCTCTGGAGTATCTCATTCTCCTGTAAACAGTTGACCCCTGGCAAGGGCATGAGGCCCTAGAATTCTCTCCCATTGCTGACCTCCTAAGCAATGCATTGTCTCCTTCTGATCATCTTAGCACCCCAGATCCTCCAGATCTCAGGTCTGAAATAACCTGTTGGGCCTATTTTTTATGGCTAAAACAAATAAACATATTATACAATATAGTAACTTGAAAACTGATACAAACTAAAGGATAATTTTTATTCTTTGAATACCAAAGGGGATTTGATTCATACGCATGGAAAACCAAAAACTTATATTTTAAGGCAGAATTTGAAAATCGATCCACTGGACTCAATGCCAACGTAAAGCAACAAACCATTTGCCTTTGTTGCTTTTAAACTAAAATGACATGAACTAATTCTAATTGCGTTTTGAAGAAAAATACCCACTTCAGCATGAATGACAAATTGTATGCCAGATTTCAGCTTCCTATGATTCAAAACCGTGTTGCTAAAAAGCAGGTTGCCAACAGATCTTTAATTACTAGCATTAGTGCTGCGGGCATACAAGCCTCTAACAGGTAATGCATAATATGAATATAAAATACATAATTAATATAAAATTCATATTAGAAGAATTTTAATTAATGAGTGAACATCACTATTGCATTAGCTTTGTTGAGTAGGTCAAAGCTTAAAGCTGTCCAAATAATAGATTTTTATGTTTCTTTTTTTTCCTTCCATATTTCTCAGGGCAAGAAATTAATTTTGTCCTGTTCCAGTGTCACCGCTAGACCAATGACTGTCGTGTGTAAAGCCTAGCTGCAGGGAACTCCCCAAATGCACAGCCATGTGTGGCTCCAGAAAAATGAGCAGAATCCCTTTTCTCCAAAGATATGATTATACTGGGATATCAAATAGATTATTTTTCTCAGAAAATAAGGAATGTTAAATTTGTTGTGATGATAGTGATGAAATGAGACTTAGAAATAAAATGCCTCTCCCTTCTGTCATGCCTAGCTTATGTGGTCATAGATTCCATTTCAATTTAGAAAACTTTCTTGTGCATAATCTGGGGAGTACAATGCTGAAAAAGACAAGAACTTATATTATGGCAGGGGATATATGATCCCATCAAGATACACTGATATATGCATATAACACATGCAAATACACATTTTTTACTGAAAATGAGTTTCCAAACTAGCATTTCATCCTTTTTTTACATGATAAATAAGGTAAAGTTCCAACAGACAGAGTTTTCTTTAATAAACGTGGCTTCAGATAATCACTATTAGCTGGACCTTCCTATCTGGAAGACAGAGTAAATGGATGCATGAGAACAACAGGCCTGAGTCGTTGCAGACAAGGATTTTGACTGAGCATCTGCCCTCGCCTTGCAGTGAAACTGCAGCTCTTGCGTGGGTAAGGTGAAAATATGTAGGAGAATGCTACTGGCAAGAGCCAGGCAAGTCTTAAAAATGAAATGAATGCGAAATTCCAAATGTTATTAGAATATAACAGTTGCATATGTTAAATTTTAAGGTACTCTTTTCCATAGTATTGCTCTGTTATACAAGTACGAGGAGACTTTTAAAAATTGCAGATTGGAAAATAATAAGTTTAAATTCTCAAAGCGACTTCAAGATTAGATATGTTAAAAAAAACTTAAATTATTTTTTTGTTTAATTATACTTTAAGTTCTAGGGTACATGTGCACAACGTGCAGGTGTGTTACATATGTATACATGTGCCATATTGCTGTGCTGCACCCATTAACTGGTCATTTACATTAGGTATATCTCCTAATGCTATCCCTCCCCCCTCCCCCCTCCCCCCACCCCATGACAGGCCCCAGTGTGTGATGTTCCCCTTCCTGTGCCCAAGTGTTCTCATTGTTCAATTCTCACCTATGGGTGAGAACATGCGGTGTTTGGTTTTTTGTCCTTGCGATAGTTTGCTGAGAATGATGGTTTCCAGCTTCATCCATGTCCCTACAAAGGACATGAACTCATCCTTTTTTATGGCTGCATAGCATTCCATGGTGTATATGTGCCACATTTTCTTAATCCAGTCTATCATTGATGGACATTTGGGTTGGTTCCAAGTCTTTGCTATTGTGACTAGTGCCGCAATAAACATATGTGTGCATGTGTCTTTAGGAGAGCATGATTTATAATCCTTGGGGTATATACCCAGTAATGGGATGGCTGGGTCAAATGATATTTCTAGTTCTAGGTCCTTGAGGAATCGCCACACTGTCTTCCGCAATGGTTGAACTAGTTTACAGTCCCACCAACAGTGTAAAAGTGTTCCTATTTCTCCACATCCTCTCCAGCACCTGTTGTTTCCTGACTTTTTAATGATCGCCATTCTAACTGGTGTGAGATGGTATCTCATTGTGGTTTTGATTTGCATTTCTCTGAGAGCCACTAATGATGAGCATTTTTTCTTTAAAACAACAAAGATCAAAAGAGAAAAAGAAGGCCATTACATAATGGTAAATGGATCAATTCAACAAGAAGAGCTAACTATCCTAAATATATATGCACCCAATACCGGAGCACCCAGATTCATAAAGCAAATTCTTAGAGACCTACAAAGAGACTTAGACTCCCACACAATAATAATGGGAGACTTTAACACCCCACTGTCAACATTAGACAGATCAACGAGACAGAAAGTTGAAAAGGATATCCAGGAATTGAACTCAGCTCTGCACCAAGCAGACCTAATAGACATCTACAGAGCTCTCCACCCCAAATCAACAGAATATACATTCTTCTCAGCACCACATCGCACTTATTCCAAAATTGACCACATAGTTGAAAATAAAGCACTCCTCAGCAAATGTAAAAGAACAGAAATTATAACAAACTGGCTCTCAGACCACAGTGCAATCAAACTAGAACTCAGGATTAAGAAACTCACTTAAAACTGCTCAACTACATGGAAACTGAACAACCTGCTCCTGAATGACTACTGGGTACATAACGAAATGAAGGCAGAAATAAAGATGTTCTTCGAAACCAATGAGAACAAAGACACAACATACCAGAATCTCTGGGACACATTTAAAGCAGTGTGTAGAGGGAAATTTATAGCACAAAATGCCCACAGGAGAAAGCAGAAAAGATCTAAAATTGACACCCTAACATCACAATTAAAAGAACTACAGAAGCAAGAGTAAACACATTCAAAAGCTAGCAGAAGGCAAGAAATAACTAAGATCAGAGCAGAACTGAAGGAGATAGAGACACAAAAAAACCCTTCAAAAAATCAATGAATCCAGAAGCTGGTTTTTTGAAAAGATTGACAAAATTGATAGACCACTAGCAAGATTAATAAAGAAGAAAAGAGAGAAGAATCAAATAGATGCAATAAAAAATGATAAAGGGGATATCATCACCGATCCCACAGAAATACAAACTACCATCAGAGAATACTATAAATTCTTTATATGATGATACTAATGTGTAAATGATTGGTCAGAAAAGTAGAGCAAACTACCAGATTTAGTTTAGAGAATAGTAAGCAAAGAGGATGGTCTGAAAACTCCCTTTTACTTAAGAAATTATATGTGTCTGTCTCTTACACTAGACTAGCTTATGAGTGCTGAAATCACCAGCACTTGGTTTATTGTAGGTGCCCAGAAAATTGCTTGTTGAAAGAATGAGCCTGTGAGTTAAGTGAGGGGGCGAATAAGTAGTAAGCAAGTGAGTGAGTGAATGAATGAGTGAATAAGGAATGAATGAAGATGTGCCAGGAAGTACATTTAACTCTAAGAGGAAGTGACCTTTGAACCTCTAATTGAAGATGAGTAAATGTTTCTTAAATCCTGTTGGACATAACATTTGCGATGTGCCCCTTACTTCTAGCCAAGTGCCTTCTCAAGATCCACATTTCAATCATGACAATGGTACTGAAAAAGAAACAGTCACCTTCTTTATTTTTAAGCAATTCTCTTTCAATCAACTTTTAATTATCCTGAAGGAGAAAACCAGTGGTGCAGATATAATCCCCAAATCTCTTTTAGGAATGCATTAGATGATGGCTTTTTTACAGTAGTTTGCCTTCTAATTATGTTTTGATTAGGTTTATATTATAGTTATTGAGAATTCCCTTAGTAGAGAGTACAGCAGGTCAGGCAATCCATAAACACTGTAAGTAAAGCACTGAAGTTGGCTGGAACTGACCCATACCTTAATCTAAGACCTTCTATTAGAAATGCATTGTGCTAAGCACTGCAAAATTTCAAAAGGGTTCAAATTTTATTCAGTGGTGATCATTGAGAATCTATTAGAAGGTAGGTACTTTTTTGGGGGCTGTAGATACAAGAAGGAATAAGATATAGTCTTACACAATGAGGAATGAGATACAAGCCTGGAATTTCAAGAGCTCACTGCATAGCCAGCAAGATGTGCATATGTGACTTTTATCACTACAAAGCAGTATGTGCTAAATGATAAATGGGTAGAGAAGATTTAGGAGAATTCTCTAAAGCAGACTGTCCAATAGAAATATAATATGAAACATATTTGTCAATTTAAATTTTCTAATCTTCAATTTAAAAAGGTAAAAAAGGAGACGTTGATTTTAATTATACTTTTTATTTAACCCAATATATTCAAAATATTATTTCAACATGTGATCAATATAAAAATTGTGAGATTTTTATACACTTCTTTTTAGACTATGTCTTCAAAATCTGGTGTGTCATTTACACTGAAAGCACATCTCAGTTCAAACTAGTACATTTCAAGTGTGTAATCACAATTTGTGGCTGAAGACTACCTTGTTGGGAAGCACAATTTATTATCTGGATTCAGACGCATTGGCTGGAAAAATGTTAGAAATGCAGAATCTTATGCTCCATCTCAGACCTAATGAATCAAAACCTGCATATTATCAAGATATTCAGGTGATTCCCATGCACATTAAAGCTTGAGAAGCACTGGTCTGGACAAGGAAAAGGTGTGAATGACCATCTGGAGTTAGGAATGCTGAAGGAATGATTACGGGCCAGCCATGATTAGAATGTGTGAGAGGCTAGAACTCAAGGGTATATTGATTGTTTATAAGGAATTTGATGAAACTTATTAAATCTGAGTCTCTGTTTCTCAATCTTCAAAATGAGATTAAGCTTGCAGAACTGATCTTAGGAGTAGAGATAGAGTAAAGGAAGCTCCTTAATGTCTGGCTCCTAGATGTGGGGCTTTACATAATTCCACTACTGATGGGCCATAGTCAGATGAAGACTCCAATGTTGCAAGATTTTAGCTACAAGGGAAATGCCTGAAACTAAGAGAATTTTTTTTTTTTTTTTTTGAGACAGAGTCTCGCTCTGTCGCCCTGGCTGGAGTGCAATGGCACAATCTTGGCTCACTGCAACCTCTGCCTCCCAGGTTCAAGTTATTCTCCTGCCCCAGCCTCCTGAGTAGCTGGGATTACAGGCGCCTGCCACCACACCCAGCTAGTTTTTGTATTTTTAGTAGTAAGACGGGGTTTCACCATGTTGGTCAGGCTGATCCCGAACTCCTGACCTCAGGTGATCCAGCCGCCTAGGCCTCCCAAAGTGCTAGGATTACAGGCGTGAGCCACCGTGCTCGGCCAACTAGGAGAAAATTGAACAGGGGTACTCCTGAATATGACTGCTGTCACATACCACTATTTTGTATGATTGGCAGGAGTCTCCCATGAGAACCAATGTCAGAATAGGTTCACCCAAGTTAGGATGGGGCAGGGGAGTTTCACAGGGATTAATGAAGGTGCTAGGATTCACCTATCAGGGTCATAGCTTGCTGTGATCACCCCTCATCACAGTGTGTTGCAAGACTTTGGTCATATAGTTTAAAAAGAAATTAACAAGACAGGAAAAGATCAGATCACTGGTCCTTGTGCTTATTTAACACCCGGCTCTTTCACTAAGTTGGCATGCTGGTTAAGACACCTTACCAGATGTCAAACTATGCTAGCCTGTCTCAGAATATTATCCAGCCATAAGTAATAGTATTGAGAATTGGAAATCCACTAGTATTTTTGTTGAAGATTAGCAATCCTCCCCTTCTTCTAGAAAGGGCCATGTATCAAGAATGTCAACCATCACCAAAAAGAGACCATAGTTATGTAGAGTCATGCCTGGGGACACACCAGAGCTTTGTGAGAAGGCCAGAAATCAAAGTGGCTAAGTGAAATAAGCAACTTAGCAGGAAAGGGCGATAACCCTGGGATAATGGAAATATCCTGGTTTTGGAGTCTCAGGATCATGAGGTTCTTGTTTTAGCTCTGCCATACTAACTAGATGTGTTTTCTTAACTCAGAAGTTTAATCTCTTGTGGCCTCAGCTTCTGCATACACAAAAATCAAGGAGCATTGATATGTGAATCTTTTTGGTCATTTCCAGTTGTATTTTTATTTGATTTTTAAATTTTTATTATATTCTTATTGCAGTAAAACATATATATCATAAAATTTACCTTTTTAATCATTCTTAAGTGGCATTAAATACATTCACAGTGTTGTGCATCCACTACCATCACCGGTTTCCAGAATTTCATCTGCCCATACTAAAACTTCATCCCCATCAAACAGTAACTTTCCATTCCCTCTGCCCCCAGTTCCTGGAAACTGCCATGCTCCTCTCTCTGTACACAAAGTTGCCTACTCTAAGTAATTCATATGAGTGAAATCATACAATATTTTCCTTTTATATCTGGCTATGTAACTTAGCATAATATCTTCAAAGTTCATCCATGATGTAGGATGTGTCAGAATTTGAATTTCTCTCCTTTTTAAGGCTAAATAATATTCCATTGTATGTATATATGTATACTACATTATTTTTATCTTTGAGACAGAGTCTGGCTTTGTCACCCAGGCCAGAGCACAGTGGTGCAATCTCAACACACAGTAACCTCTGCCTCCTTGGCTCAAGTGATCCTCCCACCTCAGTGTGCCAAGTAGCCGGGACTACAGGCATGTACCACCACACCTTGCTAATTTTTGTACTTTTTCTAGAGTCTGGGTTTCATCATGTTGCCCAGGCTAGTCTTGAACTCCTGAGCTCAAGCAATCCACCTGTCTTGGCCTCCTAAAGTGCTGAAATTACAGATCTGAGCCACAATACCTGGCCTATAATACTTTTTTTTCATTCATTTGTCAATAGACATTTATTTCCATCTTTCAGTTATTATGAATAATGATGTTATGAGCATAGATGTACAGATACCTGTTTGTGTCCCTGCCTTCAGTTTTTTAGGGCATATGCCCTGAAGTGGAATTGCTAGATCAAATCATAATTCTATCTGTAATTTTTTGAGGAACTGCCATACTATTTTCCATAGTGATTGTACCATTTTACACTCCCACAAGCAGTGCGCAAGGGTTCATTTTCTCCATATCTTTGCCGACACTTGTTATTTTGTCTTCTTTTCCTTTTTGATAGTAGCCCTCTGTATTAGTTCATTCTCACATTGCTATAAAGAAATACCTGAGACTGGATAATTTATAAATTATGAAGAAAAGAGGTTTAATTGGCTCATGGTTCTGCAGGCTGTACAGGAAGCCTGATGCTGGCATCTGCTTGGCTTCTGGGGAGGCCTCAGGAAACTTACAATCATGGTGGAAGGCAAAGGAGGTGCCATGGCCAGAGCAGGAGCAAGAAAGAGAGAGGGTACCACACACTTTTAAACAGCTGAATCTCATGATAATTCACTCCCTATCATGAGGACAGCACCAAGGGGATGGTGGTAAACCATTCATGAGAAATCCGCTCCCATGATCCAATCGCAAATGTTGATGCCAAGGGATATGAGGAACAGGGACAGTCTTAAGGTACTTGTGAACGGTGCCCATTTTGCTAATTTGATACAATTCCTATTGCTCAAATTCAGCATTTAAAATCAAATAAAGAAAGACATGCTCGACATTTGTAACCAACAGGGAAATGCAAATCAAAACCACAATGAGATATCACTTTACCCCCAAATCTCATGTGGAAATGAAATCCTCAGTGTTAGAGGTGGGGCCTGATGGGAGGTGATTGGATCATGGGAGTGGATTTCTCATGAATGGTTTACCACCATCCCCTTGATGCTGTCCTCATGATAGGGAGTGAATTATCATGAGATTCAGCTGTTTAAAAGTGTGTGGTACCCTCTCTCTTTCTTGCTCCTGCTCTGGCCATGGCACCTCCTTTGCCTTCCGCCATGATTGTAAATTTCCTGAGGCCTCCCCAGAAGCCAAGTAGATTCCAGCATCAGGCTTCCTGTAGTCTGCAGAACCCCATGAGCCAATTAAACCTCTTTTCTTCATAATTTATAAATTATCCAATCTCAGGTATTTCTTTATAGCAATGTGAGAATGAACTAATACAGAGGGCTACTATCAAAAAGGAAAAGAAGACAAAATAAAATAACAAGTGTTGGCAAAGATATGGAGAAATTGAACCCTTGTGCACTGCTTGTGGGAGTGTAAAATGGTACAATCACTGTGGAAAATAGTATGGCAGTTCCTCAAAAAATTACAGATAGAATTACGATTTGATCTAGCAATTCCATTTCTGGGCATATGCCCTAAAAAATTGAAGGCAGGGACACAAACAGGTATCTGTACATCTATGCTCATAACCATTATTCGTAATAACTGAAAGATGGAAATAAATGCCTACTGACGAATGAAAAAAAAAACATTATAGGCCAGGCATGGTGCTGAGCGAGATTCCATCTCAAAAAAAAAATTGTTATGATGATTAGTATTGGTCATGGACTGCGGATAGATTCTTTCTGTTTGGGTACAGTGGCATGTGGTTTGGAGCTATGAGTTGCTACAGTTCACTGCAATGGTTCCTGAACAGGAGAATTCATGCATCAGCTGATGTTTTGTGTCTTTTGGGACTAACTGTGCCTTACCCTAAATATCAAGAATGGAAATAAGGAAGTGGACCAAGGTAATAACTTAAGACTGCCAGCAGCTGACTGAGGCCAGACTAGAAGGACAGAAAAAACCCTGTTAGTCAAAAGGCAGGGAAAGTGTAGACTAAAATATAGGAGCCACCAAAAAAAAGGTCTAAGACGGAGTTTTGCAAAGACTGGGAAGATGCTGAAGTCCCCAGGGGCTGAAGAAGTGGGAAATGATAGGCATATTTTGGTCCTAAATGAGTATGTCAGTCAGACTTCCTTCGGTAGGATAATCATCCTTGCTTGGCATAAAATTTCAAGTCTTAGGCAGATGAGTTAATCAGGGTTGAAAGGTTCACACCACTAATAGGGTTTGTTTCTATGTTCCATGTTTGGATTATGATAAACCTGTGACTATCACTGAGTTTTTGAATTAGTAAAGGTGACTAACATTGACAGTGTCTGTAAAGTAAGTCTACTGACTTCTACAGCTCATGTCAGTTCTAAGTAGCAAAAGAAAACTCACAGCAACTGCAACAATTTTCCTAGTGTCATTAGGTCAATAAAATTAGTTTTGAACAGCCTTCCAAACATGCAGTTCACAGAGAACCTTTGGGATTGGGACAGTGGATTGGAGGAGATGAGGTGGAGAAAAGTGCCTATGCTCATCCCTACTGTCTTGACTTTCAGGAGAAATTTGATGAATTGGTGGAAGCCGAAATTGGGCAAGCAATATGAGAAATGTGATTCCAGTTTTTGTCAAAATCTCACCTCTGTTTTATGTCAATGAGAAATAGATGCATGTTAACAAAGCTCTCTTTGAAAATAAAAATATTTCCCATAGCTTAGTTGAAAATTTTGTGAAAAAGTGGTTAGGTTGATGACCCATCTTGGGGTCCTCTGGACATTATACCTTATCTGCTGTGTTGTACCAAAGAAAAGTCAAAATATGATTTATGTTCCAGAACAACTCAGGAGGAATTATTATTTTTTGTGTCAAAGTACTCCAAGGCAAAGGTGATAACAAATATCAAAAATAAATGATGTGATGAAGAGCTATGTTTGATTACAGCTGTGCTTGGCATGTACATATTAACAGGTATTCGTAGATATACTCACTGCAGTATTTTAAGGACTGTTAGCATGCTCTTAATTCTACCTTCTTCTGTTGGGCACAGAGTACATCCCAAAACTTGGAGAAGAGAGGGTTTTTTACCCAAGTTTGAGGATGTTATGATTTCAAATTTTCAGATCTACAGACCATATGATTCCAACTACTCATCTCTATTAGGCAACATAGAATGAGTAAAAGTAAGAACAGGGGTCAGAAACATTCCCAGTTTGCATTCTAACTCTGCCACTTAACAGCTGTGTAAACTTGGGCAAGTTACTTAGCCTTTTTCATCTTTTTTTTCTTTTTTTTTTGAGATGGAGTCTCACTCTGTTGCCCAGGCTGGAGTGCAGTGACGTGATCTCGGCTCACTGCAAGCTCCGCCTGCTGGGTTCACGCCATTCTCCTGCCTCAGCCTCCTGAGTAGCTGGGACTACAGGCACCCACCACCACGCCCAGCTAATTTTTTTTGTATTTTTAGTAGAGACGGGGTTTCACTGTGTTAGCCAGGATGGTCCCAATCTCCTGATCTCGTGATCTGCTCGCCTCGGCCTCCCAAAGTACTGGGATTACAGGCATGAGCCACCATTTTCATCTTTAATTGTTTATATAATGGTAGTTTGCTGTGCTGTTTCATGATAATGTGCAGACTGCCTAGTACATAGTAGATGTTCAATAAATGTAGTAACCTTCCTTTATTGTTTTGTTAAGT
This sequence comes from Homo sapiens, assembly GCF_000001405.40. Classification (NCBI taxonomy): domain Eukaryota; kingdom Metazoa; phylum Chordata; class Mammalia; order Primates; family Hominidae; genus Homo; species Homo sapiens. The sequence continues at coordinate 33,581,823 of NC_000013.11, read as the reverse complement.
TTAGGAGTATATATTCACCCAGTCTTTCATTCTACAAATACCTGTTAATATATACATGTCAAGCACTGTTGTAATGAAACATAGCTCTTCATCAAATCATTTATTTTCGATATTTGTTATCACCTTTGCCTTGAAGTACTTTGACACAAAAAATAATAATTCCTCCCGAGTTGTTCTGGAACATAAATAAGTTACCTGGTATTTATAATATTTACAATATTCATAGCTTAACATTAAGTATGTACAGTCTACGTAAATAGGATGAAGAGTACACAAATTGAAACACCAGTTTTACAATGCAACAGAAATAAAATCCTACTGAGGACTAACAAATTCAAATGAATGTTGCTGCACAAGTCTTATTTTTATATAGAATGTAATATAGTTAGTCTATTATGATAATTAACTACCAAGACAAATTATAGAGTTGATCTTGGGCCCACTGGGAACTCATTCCACCCTAAAAAAAAATATTGATTTGAAATTCTTTGAACATTTTTATTTAGAATTTTATAGATCTACTATATTTAGATCTGGGAATGTATGTATGGTGGGAAAAGTCTTGGGTGATTGTCTACACAGATTTTCTTCTATAACTGTTATATTTTAGGACCAGAGTTCTAATAAAGGATTGATAAATACTGATTACTGAAATGTTCTGACAATCATCCTCTGTTCTCAAAAGCTAAATTATGGATAAAATAAGCATGAGAAAAAGGCTAATTTCAAAATTAATTGTCCAGAAAATTTTCTCTTTGTGGTTAGGACATATTTAATAAATCAAATTCTCCTTATTTAAACTGGATTAGTAAATACTGAGTTAAACAGAAGAACATAAATACAATGTCTTCAAGACAACTGAAACTATACTTTTGTAAGAATATTCTAAATCTTTATGGTTTGGGTTTCTTAAGAAGTAGTCATTTAATTCTTACAGTTTTGATACTTTTTTGTATTTTCCTGGGAGAGATAAACAAATATATATGTATGTTTTCTAATTCTGAATAATCACACTATACTAAGTCTATCTTGCTTATAAATAGAGATAAAATGTTTGCCAGCCTGGCCTTGAATCATGTAGATTTTTGAATAGACTTTATTTTTTAGAACAGTTTCAAGTTTACAGAAAAATTAAGTGGAAAATACAGAGTTCCTATATACCCTTCTCTTACTGCTGCCCTCCACAATACTGCTCATTTCCTCTATTATTAACATATTTTATTCGTGTGGTACATTTATTAAAATTGATGAGCCAATATTGATACATAATTAACTAAAAGTCCATAGTTCATATTAAGGTTCACGCTGTGTTGTGTGTTCTGTGGGTTTTGACAAATATATTATGTACCCACCATTATGGTATTGTACAGAATAGTTTCACCTTCCTAAAAATGCCCTCTCCATTCACTTATTCATCCCTTCTCCCCTCCCCACTAAGCCCACGGCAACCACTGATCTTTTTATTATCTCCATAAGAGTGCCTTTTTCAGAATGTTATATAGTTGGAATCATATGGTGTGTAGCCTTTCCAGATCCCCTTTTTTTCACTCGGCAGTATGTATTTAAGGTTCCTCCATGATTTTTTGTGGATTGATAATCACTGAATAATATTCCATTGTGTGAATTTACCATAGTTTATTAATTCACCTACTGAAGGACATCTTAGTTGCTTCCAAGTTTTGGTAATTCTGAATAAATCTGCTATAAATACTCACATGCAGTTTTTTGTGTAAATATAAGTTTTCAATTCATTTGGGTTAATACCAAGGAGTGCAACTGCAGGATCTTATATTAAGAGTATGTTTAGTTATGTGAGAAATTGTCAGACTGCATTCCCAAGCAGCTATACCATTTTGCGTTTCCATCAGCAATGAATGAGACCACTTGTTACTCTACATCGTCACATTCAGTGTTGTGTTTGTGATTTTAGTCATTCTAATAGATGTGTAGTGGTATTTCATTATTGTTTTAACTTGCAGTTTTCTAAAGATACATGATGTTGGCAATTTCTCATGTATTTATTGGCCATCTACATGTCTTCTTTAATGAGGTGTCTGTTCAGATTTTTCCCCATTTTAAATTGAGTTGTTTTCTTACTGTTCAGCTTTAAGAGTTTTTTTTGTATATTTTGTATACCAGCCCTTTATCAGATATGTTTATATATAATATATAAATTATATATATATATGATATTTCAATAGCTTTTTGAGTACAAGTGGTTTTTGGTTACATAGGCAAATTATACAATGGTGCAATCTGAGATTTTAGTGCACCTGTCACCCTAGCTGTGTACATTGTACTCAATATATAGTTTTTTATCCATCACCCTCCTTCTGAGTCTCCAATATCCATTATACCACCCTGCATGGTTTTGTGTACCTGTAGCTTAGCTCCCACCTATATGTGAGAACATACAGTATTTACTTTGCATTCCTGAGTCACTTCACTTAGAATAATGGCCTCCAGCTCCATCCGAGTTGCTACAAAAGACATTATTTTGTTATTTTGTGGCTGAGTAGTATTCCATGTGTATAGTAGCACATTTTCTTTATCCACTGATTGATGGGCACTTAGGTTGGTTTCACATCTTTGCAATTGTGAACTATACTGCGATAAACACACACATGCAGGTGTCTTTTTGACATAATTATTTATTTTCCTTTGAGTAGATACTCAGTAGTGGGATTTCTGGGTCAAATGGTAGAATTACTTTTAGTTGTTTGAGAAATCTCCATACTATTTTCCAGAGAGGTTGTACTCGTTTACATTCCCCCCAGCAGTTTATAAGCATTCCCTCTTCACCACATCCACACCAACATCCATTGTTTTTTTTGACTTGTTAACAATGACCATTCTGGCTGGAGTAAGGTGGTATCTCATTGTGGTTTTAGTTTGCATTTCCCTGATGATTAGTGACGCTGAGCATTTTTTCATATTTTTGTTGGCTATTTATATATCTTCTTTTGAGGATTGTCTATTCATGTCATTTACCCACTTTTTGATGAGACTATTTGTTTTTTCTTGCTGATTTGTTTGAGTTCCTTGTAGATTCTGGATATAAGTCCTTTGTCAGGTGCATAGTTTGCAAATATTTTCTCTCATTGTGGGTTGTCTGTTTACTCTGATGATTATTTCTTTTGCTGTGCAGAAGCTTTTTAGTTTAATTAGGTCCTATTTCCTTATTTTTGCTTTCATTGAATTTGATTTTGGGGTCTTAATCATAAATTCTTTGCCTAGGCCAGGGTCCAAAGGAGTTTTTTCTAGGTTTTCTTACAGAATTTTTTATGGTTTCACGTCTTAGATTTAAGTCTTTAATCCACCTTGAGTTGATTTTTGTAATATGGTGAGAGAGAGAGGGATCCAGTTTCATTCTTCTACATGTGGCTATCCAGTTTTCTCAGCACCATTTATTGAATAGGATGTCCTTTCCCTAATTTATTTGCTCTTATGCTTTGTCAAAGATCAGCTGGGTATATCTGACTTTATTTCTAGATTCTATATTCTACTCCATTGATCTGTTTATCTATATTTATACCAATACCATGCCGTTTTAGTTTCTGTAGCCTTGTAGTATAATTTGAAGTCTGGTGATGTGATGCCTCCAGATTTGTTCTTTTGCTTAGGATTGCTCTGGCTATTGAAGGTCTTTTTCTATTCCATATGAATTTTAGGATTATTTTCTAATTCTGTGAAAAATGATGTTGGTATTTTAATAGTAACAGTACTGAATCTGTAGATTGCTTTGGGAAGTATGGTCATTTTTTATGATATTGATTCTTCCAATCCATGAGCAAGGGATGTATTTCCATTTGTTTGTGTCATCTGTGATTTATTTCAGCAGTGTTTTGTAGTTCTCCTTGTAGAGACCTTTATATGCTTTTCAAAGATTTTTTTGTCTTGTCTTTTCATTATCTTAACAGCATCTTTCACAAAACAGAAGTTTTGAATTTTTAATGAAGTTCAACTACCAATTTTTCTTTCATGGATTTTGCTTTGGCTTTGTATCTAAAAAGTCATCATCAAACCCAAGGTTACCCAGGTTTTATCCTATGTTATTTTCTAGGAGTTTTATGGTTTTGCATTTTCCATTGAGGGCTATAATCCTTTTTAGATTAATTTTTGTGAAAGATGCAAGCTCCGTGTCTAGATTCATTATTTTGCATGCAGATGTCCAGCATCATTTGTTAAAAAGACTGTCCTTCCTCCATTGAATTGTCTTCACTCTTGTCAAAGATCAGTTGACTATATATGTGTGGGTCTATTTCTGGATTCTCTATTCCAGAGTTCATTTTGTTAGCAATAACTCCTATTACTGAGTAGCTTTTACCTCATAGCATTATTGGTTATTAATAATTCTGTTAATCTTTTCATTCAGATAAAATTTACATACAGGAAAAGGCAGATCCTTTCCCTTTTTAATACCAGATAAGACTTGATCTTTTAAGTGCAACAATGTGAAAGAATGGAATTTTATACTATGCTATTTATAGCTGAGGGAAAACCTGTTAAACAGTGAAAGCCTGTCTTAAAGTGAACTTATTTCTCTGTAGAGTAGAGGTGGTTGCCATCATGATTATCAGCAACACGATAAAACATGATGTAATTGGATGTGACTAAGTTTAGTTTGAATCCAAGGTCTGTGCTGCACAAATCTGTAGTACATTATGAAAATCACTCAATCAAGAATAAGTTTCTGCAGTAAAGACATGGACATAATTAGGCATACTAATTAGGATTGTGGTAATGATTAAATGATAAAAATGTTTTTAAAAGGGCTTTTGTGAAACGTGAAATCCTAAATAAATGCTAGGTCTTGTGTTTATTGAATCATAAAACTTTAAGGGAGTTTTTTAAAGATCAGTGCATTCGGCTGTCATTAGACAGCTGGTGGCTTTAAACCGGAAACTAAAGCATTAAGTTATTAAAATCACTAAGAATGCCTTTATAATGACTTCCAGGGAAGAGGATTTTACAAAATTTTATCAAACTGTATTAAGGTTTGTTACTATGAACATACCTTATTATATGGTTTTAAAATGTCTAATTAAATATTGTAATATGTCTAATTGAAATCCCTCACACTATATTATTTTTATCCCACCTATCTTTGGTGAAAAAACTAAGTTTCCTCTCAAATTTTGTAACTGAGAAGAATAATATTTGGGGAATAAATTACTGAGATGGGCATGTGGATGACTGATATGTGGTTTTTTGTTTTTCTTATTGAGAAAATTAGCCAATCAAAGGCAGATTAATTTATTAGTTCTCAGCCTTCAAGAGAGAAGCGTTAAGCTGGGCATGGTGGCTCATGCCTGTAATCCCAACACTTTGGGAGGCTGAGACAGGAAGATTGCTTGAGCCCAGAAGTTTGAGACCAGCCTGGGCAATGTAGCAAGACCTTGTCTCTATTAAAAAAAAAAAAGAAAAATTACAACTAGCTGGGCATGGTGGCACACTCCTGTAGTCCCAGCTACTTGGGAGTCTGAGGCAGAAGAACTGCTTGAGCCCAGGAGTTCAAGGCTGCAGTGAGTTATGATGGAGCGACTGCACTGCAGCCTGGGTGACAGAGCAAGACCTTGTTTCAAAAAAAAAGAGCAGAACCAACAGTAATTTTAAAAATATTTAAACCCAAAATAGCCAACTGGCGTAGAAACAGTGTGTTCCCTTAACTGGCCTAATTTTATTAATCCACTCACTAGTTCATTAATTCATTCAACAAAGAGTTAATGAGTAATATTGCTCCCTATAAAGCTCCCTCTGAGCTAGTTGTTGTAGTAAAATCAAAATACATTGAAAAAGATGTGTCATCTCAAGGTCTTTGCAGTTAAAGAGTCCCATATAGATTTTTTTTGTTTTTACTGCAGCTTGTATACATTACATATAATTCCTGAACATTATTAGGCAAGTGTCTGGCATAGAGGGAGAGGGGCTTTGCAAATTTCTTGTACATTAGTCTGTTTTGGGTTGCTATAGCAAAAATACCTCAGACTGGGTAATTTATAAATAAAAAGAGGCTTATTTAGCTCACAGTTCTGCAGGCTGAGTTCAATGGCATAGCCCTGGTTTATCTTGAGGGCTTTTGTGTGGTGCCACAGAGACCAAAGGGGAAGCACACAGGAGCAAAGAAGAGGAAACCTGAGTGGCGTCCTGGCTTTACAACAACTCACTCTCAAGGAAACTCATCTATTCCCCTAAGAACTAATCCAGTCTCACAAGAGTGAGAACTCATTCACTACTGCAATGACAGCAGCAAGCCATTCATGGGGGATCTGACCATACAACCTAAACACCTCCCATAGGCCCCACCTCCCAACATCACCACAGCAGAAATCAAGTTTCAACATGAGTTTTGGTGAAAACAACCATATCCAAACCATAGCACTTGGCCATCTCTATGTCTATTTCTTCTTTTCCCTTTCCCCACAAAATGTAGAATTTGGCCAATGTGGGCAGGATATCTGAAAATTGATGAAGTCATTTATATGGTAAAATAATTTGTCCAAATTATATTTTAGACAATTATATTTTAGATAAATTATATCAGGATCTTTGGGGTTCATTTTTACATATTAGAGGCATATACGAATATATTTAAAATACGTAGGTATGGCCGGGCGCAGTGGTTCAAGCCTGTAATCCCAGCATTTTGGGAGGCTGAGGCAGGCAGGTTACGAGGTCAGGAGTTGGAGACCAGTCTGACCAAAATGGTGAAACCCCCATCTCTACTAAAAATACAAAAATTAGCCAGGTATGGTGACATGTGCCTGTAATCCCAGCTCCTCAGGAGGCTGGGGCAGGAGAATCACTTGAACCTGAGAGGCAGAGGTTGCAGTGAGCTAAGATTGCACCTCTGCACTCCAGCTGGGCAAAAGAGTGAGACTCTGTCTCAAAAAAAAAAAAAAAAAAAAAAGTAGATGCATATAACATCACTGTGAAACTGATTTTAGGTTGAGAGTATAACAACAAATTATGCTATTTAAGTCTGCATCCCTAGTAAGTAAACAATTCAAGCAAGTTGGGGAACACATTTCAACTATATTTTGTCTCTTTTTCATTTATTTTCCCATATTTCTTTTTTTTCCAAGATAGGATCTTGCTCTGTTACCCAGACTAGAGTGTAGTGGCATGATCATGGCTCACTGCAGCCTCGACATCCCAGACTGTAGTGATTCTCCCTCCTCAGGCTCCCAAGTAGCTGGGACTACAGGAGCCTGTCACCACACCTGGCTAATTTTATTTATTTATGTTTTTGTAAAGACAGGGTCCCAGTATGTACCGCAGGCTGGTCTCGAACTCCTGGGCTCAAGTAATCCTCCCACCTGGGCCTCCCAAAGTGTTAGGATTACAGGCATGAGCCTGACCTATTTTCTGATATCTCTAAATACAGTGTGGAAAACTTTTTTTAGTCAATCTAATTTGAAAGTATCTATAATCTGATAAATACTAGAAATGGTCTAACTGATGTCTAAATCTCCAAAATCCTCCCAGTGAGATGATCCATACTTTCACTTACTGTGTTCTCTCATGTGTTAAAAAGTTTGTCGATTTTTATATTCCACATCAATATAACAAACTTGATGGCAGTTTAGGAAGAATAACATTTACTACTGAAGATGTACTCTGACAGTGCTTCACACTAATTATAGATTTCTGCAGCATACACTGAAGCAAGACACATCCGCAGCTCCTCACACTCAGCGCCCCTGTATGCCTCTCTTCCATTGCTTTCCAAACTCCTGTCATGTTTTTAGGCAAGGATCATGATTTTTGTCACACTCCTGTATCATCTATACTATTGTTCATTTTTTTAAGGACAAGCTTCAAGCTTTCTTTTTAATTTTATCTTTAGCTAGTAACTCTGAAATCACAGTTTTATGTGTTATTTTTGAATATATTATAAAAATACCTGTAAAACTTTTGTTCATGTTCACCAGTGTACACAATTTGTTCTGGGAATTAAATGCCTGAAGACAGGGTCACAGGATACTGGTGGTAAGATAAAGGTAACACCCAGCGAGACGGTCCTATGAATCTAGATACTTCTTGAATCCAGTTTCCCCAATTGAACAAGGGAAGAAATAATTGATTTCTTTATAAAATTTAACATTATTATGAGATGATTTATAGATTTTCTGCTTATACTCCCTGGAACATTCTCTGCCTGAATACCTATTTACTTTAAAACATGTACCAACAGAACCTTAATATCTGTCACCATAATATAGTCTGATTGTTTCAGAAATGTGCAGTGGATTTTCAGGAAAACTAGGTGTTTTTGTACACCCAAGTGTAAGCTTTTGAGCCATGTAATTTGTGTTATCTGTCTAGTCCACCAGGATCCCTAGCCTTATGGAGACTTTAATAATATTGTTACATAGTTTATAATGGAATAAATACTTTCATATTTTGCATATATACAGCATCAATACAATGGTGCATGGGCCTCATACTTTTAAGATCTTTAAATAGATAGGTTGGTATGTACGATATCAGATACTTAACTAGAGCACATGTTTTCCATGGACTTCTAATTTTTATGTGAATCCAAACAGTAACACTTTTTTCTATATAGATATCAATTATAATTTATAATTTTAATGTTTATAGTGTATGAGCTGAGATGTTTTCTTAGGTAAATGCATTATCTAGACATCTCCGTAGTTGTCTGGGGCTACCGTAGTCTAGACTGTTCCTGTAATTAGGGAAGGAACCCACATCACCATCACCTTTCATGTAGAGCCCTGAAGGATCACATTTTAACTTGTGAAAGAGATCAGAGGCCACCAAGCCATGATTTCTTAATTGTTATAATAAAGTAGAAATAAGACATATATCCTGGGTCATCTTGTGCATTAAAGTTGTCCCTTGATATCTGAGGGGAACTGGTTTCAGGATCCCCTACAGATACAAAATACTCAAGTCCCTTATATTAATTGGCCTAGTATTTTCATTCAACCTATGTGCATCCTTCCATATACTTTAAAACATCTCCAGGTTATTTATGATACCTAATATAATGCCTATACATCACTTAATTCTTGTGGATTAAACATAATACTTGATGTGTATCCAGTTCCGTTTTTGCTTTTTGTAACTTTGTGGAATGATTTCTCTGAACATTTTTATGGTTGGTTGAATCCATGGAGGTGGAACCCCTTGGATACAGAGGGCTGGCTGCATTTAGAACATAGTATAAAAGATATTTGAAAAAATAGTTTGTATTCCAATGCCATTTGAAAATGTAAGTTGCATTTGATATAAGAAACACTTCAAACAAATTAAAAGAGTTTGAGTAATGAACAAGTCATGGATTGGGCAGCCTTCAAGCCAGAGTAGGCTCAGAGACTCCAGCACAGCCACGTGGTGGAAGAAGATTTATGGACAGAAAAAGGAAAGTGACATACAGAAAATGAAAGTGAGGTACAGAAACAGCTGGATTGGTTACATCTTGGTGTTTGCCTTATTTGAACATGGTTCGAACAGTTGGCTACATTTGATTGGCCAAAACTCAGTGACTGGCACAAGTGTAGGCTACAGTCTGTTTACACCTCCACTTGTTATAATTCACAATGTACAGAGAAAAGTTTAGGTTGAACTCAAAAATATGTAAGGAGGCAACTTTAGGCTAAACTTGATTTAACGCATTATAAGTAAGAAATTCTGGTACCTGGAAAGGGAGACTAGGGACAGTTGATGGTTGACGATTAGGATGCTACTATGCAGGCAGAAAACAAGAAATCTTGCAGGTGCTTGCTTATTGAAGCAAATATATAGTTCTTTATCTCTGTTTCTGGTGTGCAATTTAATTAATATTTACCAGGCTTTGTTGTTTCCCACACACTGCTAACTTAAGGTCCTGAGGACATTGGCCTAGCAAATTCCCTGGTTATTTTCTTTCACAGCTATCCTTGCAGTGGGGTTTTCTTGGTACCTCCTCTGCTCTCAGAAGCCCACACACTCTTAAGTCCCAGAAGAGACATGGTTTCAGGTCCTCTTAAATATTCTCCACTTCATAGCATCCAGTTATACATATAGTCAAACAGCAAGCAGTTATTTCTGTGACTGACAGGCATCTGGTACAAAGCAGGCTACATCTCATCCCTGGACCCTGCATAGCACACTCACCTCTTAGAAAGCGGGACAGGATATTGAGCCTGCTCTCCTTCATTAGAAACTGTTCAAGTTTCTTTATCTGATGAACTTGAATATAGGATATAGAATAACTGCTGGCAAGGCAATGATGGGGAAAGAGTGTGGCCTTGCTGGCTCAGAAGACTCAGAAGTACAGACCAAGTCCCTTCCAACACTCTGACTCTTAGACTTGAGTATTTGAGTTATGTAACTAATATATAGCATAAGGTATGCAGAAAAATGCAGGCATTATAAATAGCTACTGCATTTAATTTTTAACTATCTACACACTAGACATTTTGTTCTCAAAAGCAAAATAAATAAACTCAAAATAAGTTGAATTGAGATACTAATTTTATGGATTGAAAGACCTTTGTTTACTTTGTGAGGAGTTCCTCACTTTGATAATTGTGATAGGGCACAACATGAATTATAATTGCCAAGCCAACTTAAAATAAAGGTAATTCTACTTGTTATTCTCGAACAATTGAAATCCGTTGTGATGGAATCTCAGTTCTTTGGAGAGCAGGAGATGTCTTCCCCTCAGGAGTCTGACACATGCCCAGTAAATTCAAAACGTGCACAGGAGGAGCTGTCAGACACCAGACTGGGAATTTCTGCCAATCCATAGGACTAGAGTCTTTACCAAAGGATTTCTCCTCAAGGATACCCAAGGTGCAGCATGATGCCTCCAACTCTCAGGATGGTATGAACATGGGAGTAGTTGAGGATAATATTCATATTTCCTCCCTCAAGCCATATCTTTCTGTATATCTTTCAAATCAGAGCTTCAAAGAAAAATCCAAAACATATCATAAGCAAAAATCCAACACAATATTTGTTTCTAACCTTGACTAAATAGCCTTTGCTGTTGGTAGAGAACTCCATATGTGTGACATGACAGACGCTTCATTTGATCAGTCTGGAAAAGAGTGAGACAGTGATGCTTCTGCACAGCTGTCCCTCCGTTAAACGCATCTAAAGAACCTCAGTCAGGAGCTTTCTTCCGAAATGAGCAAACTGTCTGTGGACTAACAAAGAAGAAAGATTTGCATTACCAAGACAGTCTCAGTAAACAGGTTGGAAGTAAACCAGAAAAGAGCAAAACTGAACAAAAAGCAATCCACCTAGTAGTGAGTTGTTAGCGAATTACAGTAGGAATGATCCTTATAAATGTTCCAATGATGATTTCTATGCATTTCCAGTTTAAATATAATGCTCTTGCCAAGAAAAGTTAAGGGTTAAAAGTTCATTAGTGAGTCTTTGAATGGGGGTCAAATGGGTAACATAAATTACAAAGTTTAAATCATCTATGAGTGTCCTGGTATGTCCAAAGTTTTGCTTATTAATATCTAAAACATAAATGGTATGACTACACAATGGATAGAAAAATCAAATCCCCAAATAATCTAACTTGTACATGAGAATGAGTAGCTAGTTTTTAGAGATTCTGACTTCCTCCCCCGTGCTCTTTCATAGATGCCTTTATTGATACACAGTGGCACATGGAAGCCCAGCTTTAAATGGGTCAGATGAGAAACGATATTCATTACTTTAAACTGGATGTACTTAGAATATAGCCACACACTGATATTTCCCTTTGGCTCATAAATTTTTTTTGTATTTCATTAGTTTTTGTGGTACAGATGGTCTTTGGTTACGTGGATAATAAGTTCTTTAGTGGTGATTTCTGAGATTTTAGTGCACCTGTCACCCAAGCAGTGTACACTGTACCCAATATGTGGTCTTTTATCCCTCATCCCGCTCCCACCCTTCTCCCCAAGTCCCCAAAGTCCATTATATCATTCTCATGCCTTTGCTGGTTAGTAAATTTTTAACACGAACAAGCATAATTCTCCTTATTCATTTTATTTTATCTCTATCTTAAGCTATTGATCAAAGGGAAAATTAATATTTCTGTCTGAAAGTTAATAATCTACTCTGTTGCCATTTCATCACAACAGTAAGTCAAAAAAGTCAATCAATTACGATTGAAGTTAATAATGAAATATTAGTGTAATTACCACTTCCTAACTGATGCGGGTCTTTTTTTAACCTTCTTTCTTCTGATTGAGATGTTACCTCTATATGCAGAAGATTTCTTTCTGCTCACTTTCACCTCATTTAACATCTTTTCCCTTTAACTTCAAGCTCTAATTATATAAGACTATTAAATCCTTAAAATTTCTTAAAGATTGATCTCACAATTGAACATAAAAACCCTCCTCTAATTACAAACTATTTATTTATTTATTTGGAATAGAGCATTTAGCCCAGGCAAGGGGTTCGATAAGGCTTACTGCAGATGAGTTTTTCTTGTTAATTTACATAAGGTCTTCATGTTACAATGGTTATGTATTTTTACAGCTCATATTCAATATTGCCAAACTGCTCTTCGAAGTATTCAACCAATCTACATTTTTATCAACAAGGTATGAGTAGGAAGTAGCCCTGAAATTTACACTGTCCTTATTACCTTTTCACAAAGAATAACATAGTATAACATCATATACAAGATTATTTGATAGCTCTAAACTAGCCATTTAACAGGCCATGCATATAAATTAATATCTTCCCACTTCAACACTTAAATTTTATAGACATAAGCTTAAGTAAACTCTGCCTTGGTGTTATTTGCACTCAGATCAGAATGGCCAGTCTACCCACTGAGAAGTTCTCCTATGAGTCTTCTCCTGTACTGTCATATTTGTGAAGCCATTTTTAATAGGGTAATGGTTATTGGTAGTTTAAAAAAGTATAAGTTTTCTATAGGAGAACTCAATTGTCTAGCTTACTATGTCATTAGAATAATTCTGTCCAATATAAAGCTCAAATGTATAAGCCTACTTTGAATTTGATGTACACATATAGTTAGTAAATCTTTCTGAAATGTAGCTTAACAAATCTCTCTTGGATAAATACATAGCTAAATGTAAATTCTATAAATTATGTTGAGGCCTTATAAATATACTGAATAAATAACTTTATACCTTTAGTGTGTTCACTGTTTAATCCCGTTTATAACCTGGGACTTTCTGATATAATCAACAACCCAAGAAACTAATTCTTAATTATTTAGTGTCCAATGGCAGGCAGAAGCCCTACGTAGTCAGGGAACATCATGGTAACACAACTAGATTAGATGTCAAGTGAAATTAAATTGATAGCTTACCTCTGTTACTACACTATTTCTCCTAAACATTTGATATCCCTGGGACAGATATATTTAAGAAAATCTTTAGAGCTCTTCCTTCCAGCATTTTGTTAACAAATAATTGCCACAGGAGAATGCTAAGTATCTTATAGAATTTTGCAAAAGTCATTTGACCCAAGTAGGCTAGGTAGTACCACATCAGGGTACCCAAGCATCGTGAGCATTTCTGAAGTCGATTCCAGGTCTTCCATACCTGTTTGCTACCTCTCCACAAGTCCAAGCAGACTGGTGTCTTTATCTTGATTTACTGTAACTACCAAAGCAAGATAGCAGTAGCCCCTGTAGAAATATACATGGTGATAAAAGGATTTATAGTGCAGAATAAGAAGGAACTACTTCTCAGGGATAATGCCTGTTTGGCAGAGTAAACTTAATTTTCCTGTTATTTCCTCCCCAACACCTAATCCTTTAAAATATATTGACTATTAATTTAAACAATAGAAAAAAAAATCCCTAAATACCATTATCCATAAAAACAATCTCTTCATTTTCTAAAGAAGAAAAGCAAACCCACAAACACTTTCTGTTATTAATGGTGACATATGGCCCAGTGAAGTCCCAAATCATTTACATACAGACTTCTAAGGGAAGCATCAGTGGTTATAATGGAGGAACTTCTGGCATGAAATGGGCAAACAGCATTTTGATCCAGCTATTTTGACATGGAGATGTTTTGACCCCATGCTTAAAATTACAAGTGTTTCAATAAGTATACTGACATAGATGAATTTTTGTGGAAAAGGTATATTCCAGAGTGAATTTCATTAAATGAATTTAACTACTAGATGAATTGTCTATTCAATGCACTTGAACCATTTTCACTTTTTGTTCACCTTCATTTTTATCTTTCTAAAATGCTCCAATGCTATCATTTTTCTGTAAATTAAATAGGGGTTTGATTCATGGAAAACTTTTTGCCCATATCAAGTTTTATCAATTATAGACAAGAATTATCAACTACAATTCTACCATTATAAATGTGTACGTTTGGCCATTAATTATATGAAATTTCACTGTACATGATCTAAATAGTACCAAGCTTTGATTCTTCTGTCAATTTGTGTTCCACAACAAATGACACCTTGTTACTGTTTTAGTTGGTGTAAGTTCTATTTTGTGTTCATTACTTTTACTAAGATCTGATTTTCCCTGGGCCACTGTTGTTTTCACAAAGACGTCATGATTCTTTACTGTCCTCTCCAGGTAAAATTCAGCCATTGTAAGTTTTATTTTCTTGTTTGTTATTTCTATCAGAATATTTGTTATGAATTTGAGACAAAAAAGTTGGGCCTATTTATTTATTGGAGCAAAGGGTATTTGAGTGAGTGTGAGTACCTAGTAGGGTCAAAGCATTCTGCTTCAGCAATACATATTTAAACCAGGACCAAGTGAAGCTTCAACAAAGCTTTGGAGAAAGGCTGATGAGTTGGGTAAAGCATAGGAATTGCACTATGGGAATATTAGAAGGGCATGCTGTGACTTGTTTAAGGTGTAGAGGAGTAAGAAATTACTGAACCATCAAATTAGACAACTGGAAAGAAGTGAAAACTGAAGCCAAAATACAAGTATTTGGTATGCATGCTAGAACCTATGTAATATAGTAAGTGATGGTAGGCCTGCTGTAAGCTAGATGAAATAGGAAACTGACTATGGAAGGATGGAATTTAGACACAGCAAGGATCACATAGTAATAGCCTGCACCTGAGAGCAGTGATCCCCATACTGCCTAATTCTATAAAAGACTTGCGACTGGGAATCTAGGTTTCTCTGACTTACCAAATTTCTCACTTCTCTCTAAAAGATTTCAAGAGGCATGGGAAGCTGGCTGTCTATTCACTGTGTCCTTGATCATGTGATCTTTTACACTTCTTTGCAGGTTTCACAGAAATGAAAATTAGAAAAACTTTAAAAGATGAGAGAATATGTGTACCATAAGATGAAGTACTATGATTATAATGAAAGGGAAAAGTCACAAGTGCCAAAAACTATGCTAGAAGGTAGACTTGTACAGAAAACTAGACTTTGTCTCTGAGTCTCAGGCAGTTAGAGATCATGCAGAGATATAAATAAAGCAGTTCCTTCTTATCAATGGGGCATACATTCCAAGACCCCCAGTGGATGCCTGAAACCGCAGATAGTACCAACCCCTAAATATACTATGTTTTCTTCCTATATGTACATACCTATGATAAAGTTTAATTTACAAATTAGGCAGAGTAAGAGATAACCAACAGTAACTAATAATAAAACAGAATAATTATAACAATCCTGCATACTATGTGAATGTGGCCTCTCTCCAAATATTTTATTGTACTGTACTCACCCTTTTCCTTGTGATGATTGGAGAAGATAAAATGCTGATGTAATGAGATGAAGTGAGGTGAATGTCACAGGCATCATAAGATAGCACTTAACACTTATGAATTGTTTATTTCTGGAATTCCTCATTTAATATTTTTGAACAATGACTGACCACAGGTAACTGAAACTGTGGAAAGTGAAACTACAGATAAGGGGAAAGCTACTGGATTAAGTTATTTTACAGATATAGGTAGAAGTGCTTTAAAAGCATAAAGGAGAAAGTAATTAATTAGGCTTGGGAAAGCTTTCCAAAGAAGGTGACATTGATTTCAACCTTGAAGGATGAATAAGTAGGAAGGTGTTCATTAGAGTAGGAAGAGAATAGCCAGGATATGTTGGATCAAGTTCCTGGCCATTGGCTGATGTTAATGCCAGTAATCATGCCCTTCTGTGATATATGTTTCTTACCTGTTTGGAGGCAGCGTCCTGGGCAAGGTGAGTGATCTGTATGAGCCTACAGGTAATTGATGTTCTTCTCTCAACTTATGGATTAGAAGGCCCAAATTATCCATCAAAATGGTATGGAAAGGTCACAAAATCCATGGTAAATTTGCTTTCCTTCAGGTTTACCAGTGTAGCCCTCTATTTAAAGTTGCCAAATATATTACACATTTTATCAAAATACATATTTTTTCTTTTTAAATTGATTTATATTTTATTAACACATAGTTGTACATGTTTTTGCAGTGTATGTGATAATTTGATATATTCATATCAAATTTGGGTAATTATTTATCACCTTAAATATTTGTCTTTTCTTTACTCTAGAAACATTCAAATTGTTCTCTCCTAGCTCTTTAGAAATGTACAATTGATTAATATTAACTGTAGTCACTGTACTGATATTTGTGCCCATTAATCAATCAATCTTCATTTCCCCCCTTCCCTCTACACTTCCTGGCCTCTGGTAAGCTCCAATCACTCTCTATCTTCATGAAATCCACGTTTTTTTAAGCTCCCATATATAAGTGAGAACCTGCAATAGTCATCTTTTTGTGCCCATTTCACTAAATTTTGTGCCCATTTCACTTTTTGTGCTAATTTCACTAAACATAACGACTTCTGGTTCCAGCCATGGTGCTGAAAATGACAGGATTTTTTTTTCTTTTTTTCTTTTTTTTTTTTTTTTGAGACAGAGTCTCTGTTACCCAGACTGGACTGCAGTGGCGTGACCTCGGCTCACTGCAACCTCCACCTCCCAGGTTCAAGCCATTCTCCTGCCTCAGCCTCCCGAGTAGCTGGGACCATAGGCGTGTGCCACCATGCCCGGCTAATTTTTTGTATTTTTAGTAGAGACAGGGTTTCACCGTGTTAGCCAGGATGGTCTCGATCTCCTGACCTCATGATCCGCCCACCTCAGCCTCCCAAAGGGCTGGGATTACAGGCGTGAGCCACCGCGCCCACCTGGATTTCATTCTTTCTAAGGCTGAATAATGTTCCATTTGTAGGTATACATTTTCTTTATCCATTCATTCACTGATGGACACTCAGGTTGATTCCATATTTTGGCAGTTGTGACTAGTGCTGGAGTAAACATGGAGTGTAGATATCTCTTTAATAAGTTGATTTTTCTTTTGGCTACACATCCAGTAGTGAAACTACATATGGTAGTTCTATTTTTAGCTTTTGGATAAACCTCCATAGTCCTTTCATAGTGACTCTACTAATTTACATTCCCACCAAGAGTACATATATGGTTCCCCTTTCTCCATACCTCGCCAGCATCCATTTTTCGTTGTCTTTTTGATAAAACCATCTAAACTGGGATAACATGATATCTCCTTGTTTTTGATTAGTATTTCTCTGATATTAGCGATGTTGAGCATTTTAAAATATACCTATTGGCCATTTGCATATCTTATTTTGATACATGTCTGTTCAGATCTTTTCTTTTTTTTTTTTTTTTTTTTTGAGATACAGTCGCAGTCTGTTGCCAGGCTGGAGTGCAATGGCACGGTCTCTGCTCACCACAACCTCTGCCTCCCAGGTTCAAGCAATTCCCGGGTTCAAGTGATTCTTCTGCCTCAGCCTCCCAAGTAGCTGGGATTACAGGTGCACACCACCACACCCGGCTAATTTTTGTATTTTTGTAGAGACGGGGTTTCACCATGTTGGCCAGGCTGGTATTAAACTCCTGATCTCAGGTGATCTGCCTGCCTCGGCCTCCCAAAGTGCCGGGATTATAGGCATGAGCCACAGTGCCCAGCCGTGCCCTTTTTAAATCAGATTTTTCGTGTGTGTGCTACTAAGTTGTTTGAGCTCCTTATATATTCTAGTTACTTATCCCTTGTTGATGGATAGTTTACAAATATTTTCTCTCATTCTGTAGGTTGTCTCTTCACTTTGATTCTTTCCTTTGCTGTGCAAAAGCTTTTAGGCTGGATGTAATTCCATTTGCCTACTTTTGCTTTTGTTGCCTGTGCTTTTCATGTCTCATACAAAAATGTTTTGCCCAGACCAATGTCCTGAAGCATTTCCCCAAAGTTTTCTTTCAGGAGTTTCATAGCATCAGGCTTATATTTGAGTCTTTTATACATTTTTATTTGATATTGGTATATGGTGAAAGATGGGGTCTAGTTTCATTATTTTGTGTATGGTTATCCAGTTTTCCCAGCACAATTTACTGAAGAGACTGTCCTTTCCCCATTGCATATTTTGGTGCTTTTGTTGAAAATGAGTTGGCTCTAAATGCGTGGATTTATATCTGGGTCCTCTATTCTGTTCCATTGGTCTATGTATCTGTTTTTATACCACTACCATGCTGATTTGGTTACTATAGCTTTATAGTCTATTTTGAAGTCAAGGTAGTGGGTTGCCTCCAGCATTGTTCTTTTGCTCAGAATTGCTTTGGCTATATGGGGTCTTTGGTGGTTCCATATACATTTTATGATTTTTTTTCTATTTCTGTGAAGAATATCACTGGTATTTTGATAGGGATTGAATTGGATCTGTGAGCTGCTTGTCATAACAATATTAATTCTTCAAATTCATAAGCATGGAATATCTTTTCATTTTTTTGTGCCCTCTTCAATTTCGTTCATCAGTGTTTTATAGTTTT
This sequence comes from Homo sapiens, assembly GCF_000001405.40. NCBI lineage: Eukaryota > Metazoa > Chordata > Mammalia > Primates > Hominidae > Homo > Homo sapiens. The sequence continues at coordinate 33,563,059 of NC_000013.11, read as the reverse complement.
CCCTGTAGAGATCTTTCACATCTTTGATTCAATTGATTCCTAGGTAACTTATATCATTTGTGGCCAAAAGCAACAAATCTAATTTTTAAAAATCAAACCTTAATAAAAATTACCTTAGCAATATCTTACTACATTCATTCTTAGATCCTCCAACAGCTTATGCTAAACATAATTTTACATTGGTGGCAAGGGTTTCTTTGGTTGTTTGGCTGTTTTCTTTTTCCCCCTCAACTAATGCTAGGAAGTTGTCTGTAATATATATAATTTTGCTTTTAATTATTGATATTTTAACACTTTATATAGCATATTTGTAAAAATGTTTTTAATCAACCAATTTAGGTAAGATCGTTCTTTTCCCCCAAAATGACCACCGTTTTTCTATATACATTATTTATTTGACAAACATAGATTGAGGACCTACTTGGTACTCTAGGGCATATGAAGATGAATAAGACAGGACCCCTAGACTTTAGAATATTTAGTGGTATGTACATTATTTATTTGAACCTATTTAGAAAATATGCACAGTTAAAAATATATATATAAATTACCATATAATTTCAGATGAGAAACAGACTTATTATTGTTTGTGGGGGAGTCCAGGAAGGTTTCCTGAAGGAAGTGTCATATGACCTGAGCTTAAGTGTTAGATAGACATTGAACATGGGGGAATGGAAGTTATTCTAGGCAAAGAGAAAAATGTGAGGAAAGTCATATAGGTAAAAAGATGTAGGCAGCCAGATTGGAGAATCAACAGAAGTTAAGTCCTTTGAGGACACGGCCATAAAGAAAATTATGGATGATAGAAATAAACTTTTCTAGTTTTTTTAAAGGCAGTAAATAGCTAAAATAAATGTGAAGATTTGACTTTGGATCTTGTAAATTTTGATCCCATATCTTCAAATATTACCACACCAGATACATTCAAACAATATTTACACTGGATCTATATCTCATATGAAAAAGGGGGCATTTAAATGATGTTCAGAATCAACCAAGTAACATTCAAGAATATAACTCATTCACTATCCTCAGCAATGGAGATGTTATCTCAGATATGAATATTTTGAAAAACCTGAAGTGAAATAAGCTGCTAAATTTTTAAAAAAATAACCAGTTCTTTCAGGCTAAGAAAACTGAAGGCCAAAATGTGTTACTTTTTACTTTCGGCTACAGTTTAAGCAGAAAGAAATGACAGCACATTAATCATATTATGTAGTAAAATAATGGCCCTAGGGTGGGGTCATTATAAATGATGACATCTTTGGAACTGTTTGACTAATGCTGTAAATTATCTCTGTGCTGTACTAAGTGTTAGAGTATAATATTTTTTATATCTCTGGATTGCAAGGGATTAGCAATACCTTTACAAAGCAATTAATTTAGGAAGATTTAAAATGAAGAGTAGACTGAAGTTATTCACGGCTGTTCATGGTATTAAACTTGATACACTGGCAGAGGCAGTAAAGAATTTCAGGCAGGTACACTGGCACAGATCTTTAAAATCCAATTTGTAACACATATCTAAAGACACTCACACAGATATTTTTTAAAAAGACAAGAAATGCAATAGAGGAAATGAAACATTTCTAAGTAACACAATTAGAAAGTAAGAAGATAGACTATTTCTAAAAGTGATCACAGAGGATCACAGAGTCTATCAGGGAAAAACATCTTCAATTTGGAAGTAAATAGTTGCAGGATGAAAATAAAAATTCAAGCAAATAATTTTTATTAGTGTGACCATAAAAACTCCATGTTTTTTGCAAAAATTTTAAGCCCTAGAATAAATCCTATAGACTTGTGTTTTCTTTTTTTTTAACCAAAATCAACAATGTTCTGGATTTCCTCTTCATGCAAGGCTAACATCTATCTGTTAGAAATCCAGAATGAAAAAGAAAAATCATTCCAAGTTATCTGGATTAATACTTTTACAAGCTTATGAATTTTTATACAAAACTAAAAGAAATGAAAAGGTTAAAGAAGTAACATAGACAAGATTCTTACACATTTTTACTGCAATGCTGGCAACAGTGGCCTCTGAGAGATATAACACCTTTATAAAGCTTAGTAATGCCAACACTGAAGGGATTTAAAAAATATGCCATCATCAGTCCAAAGAATGTAAGTTGGCTGGCTATTGTCAACAGATTGCAGAATAAAGAGAGATGGAAATAACTCAAACCAAACACAAGATTGCATTTAATTATGTGAGGCATTATTTGAAGGGCTCTGATTTTGTATGCCTGCAAATCCTTTCAGTTTAACCAAAGCATAACAACAAATACCTGAAACTTACCTGAAAATATTACTGATTTTGAAATATTTTTAAATTAAAGATGGGCAATGAGATGTTTTAAGAATGTAAAAATGGTGGATAGCTTGTGGGCTTACAAGTGAATTTTTAAGTTATGTATTCTGAAAGGTGGTTATTTTCTCTGCTCTGTTGCTGCCAAAACCCATTCAAATTCATTTTGCAACAATGTTTACGATGCTGAAACAGCTCCTTTATTGTGACCCACGGGATGTAAGACTGATTATGTATACTGTCTAGATTTTGAGGTGGCATTTCCTATGTCATTTTGCCATCCTAGATTCTGTTGAAAAGGGGAAAAAATGAACTCAAGTTTTTCCCATTTTGAAGACTAATCCTTTTCCCTTTAAAATAATTTACTTCGTTTTCTTAGGATATTATGCTTTCCAGCAGTCCATATAAGGACAGTTTAACTTTTTAAAAAGTTTAAACTTACAACCTATGTATTTAAGTTTTCAGACCAATTTGAAGTTCCACTAGAGAAAAACAATCATTTAAAGGTAAGAACTAATGTTGCACTAATATTTAATGTCCTGCTTGTAAGTATAAGACAATAGTGTGGGGTAGCTATGTGGACAGCCATAGGGAAAAAATACAAACCATCCTTAAAATATTACCTACCATGTCAGCAACAGTTTTTTATTTCATATTAAGCTCTCAGAACCTGAAAATCTGAATGTCTTAGCACAGTTGCTATACTACAAAATACCACAGACTAGATGGCTTAAATAACAGGCATATATTTCATAGTTCCAGAGGCTGGGAAGTCCAAGATCAAGGTGCTAGCACATTTAGTTCTTGTTGAGGGCTCTCTTCCTGCCTTGCTGACTACTTCTTGCTGTATCTTCACATGGCAGAGAAGAAGCTCTAGTGTCTCTTTTCTTTTTTTGAGATGGAGTCTCACTCTGTCGCCCAGGCTGGAGTGCAGTGGCGTGATCTTGGCTCACTGCAACGTCCACCTCCCGGGTTCAACAGATTCTCTTGCCTCCACCTCCCAAGTAGCTGGGACTACAGGCGCATGCCACCACACCTGGCTAATGTTTTGTATTTTTAGTAGAGATGGGGTTTCACTATGTTCAGGCCAGGCTGGTCTTGAACTCCTGACCTTGTGATCTGCCCGCCTCGGCCTCCCAAAATGCTAGGAGTACAGGTGTGAGCCACTGAGCCTGGCCTCTTCCTTTTCTTATAAGGACACTAATCTCATCATGGGAGATGTACCCTCACAACCTCATCTAAACCTCATTGCCTCCCAAAGACCCCAAGTCCTAATATCATCACATTGGGAGTTAGGGCTTCTATATATGAATTTTGGAAAGACATCAATATTTAACACCAACTATATAAAGTTTGAAGGTCCCTTAATTTCTTTATTCTCCAACTTTATTCCAATTCTTTCAAGTCTAAGGTATATCTGAGTTTTATGTATTACATATAAATAGAACTTTTAGTTGAATAAAATAGGTGATACTTTTGGGAAAACAAAACATAACATTATTAAAAACTCATTATAAATAAATGTAGCAGGTTAATGTAGTTTAGAAAATAGTTACATAAAAGTATTAGTCTTCAAAAGCATTTTCCAAACCTTTCCTCTAATTTTTTGAGACAGGGCAAAGGAAGAAACCGAACAGTCTTTGCTAATCATTTGAAAAGATTTTTTGGGGGAAAATAGAGAATTCAAATGACAGATTAGTTAAAAATTATAATATAAACCTGCCTATCATATGCCTAAAAACATGAAATTGAAAAGTCAACTATTCTTACTTTTAACACTGTATTGTCTTCAATTCTCAGGATATGTACTAATTTCCAGATGAGTAACTTGGTTAGAAAGGGATGACACTGAACCTGAGGATTACTGATAACAAAAAATAAAACTCTAATATTGGGAGAATTCTGTGCATGACAATAGCAGTAGCCTTATATTAGCAGACAGAGTACTGCTATAATCATTTTATTATATTTGTCAGAATAAACATTTAGAATTATATGGGAGTGACTTCTTATTGTATTTATAACCATTTTCAGGCCCTAGGATAGCATAACAGAAAGTAGAAAGTGAGAAGAATCAGTGAAACATTAGCTTCTGAGCAGTGTCAAAGTTTTTGCCCCTTTTCCTAAAGAAAACTTAGTAATTCCTTTCTATTTCTTTCACTTCTTTCCTTCATTTTTTCTGTATCCTTCTTTCTTTCCCTTCTTTCTCTCTACCGTACAGATAGGCAGGTATTTTTTTAATTTCAAAAAATAAATACAAATAGTTCAAAGCAAGCTGGGAAAAACACCTTACCAACAGGGCCATATTTTAAAAGAAAGTATATAAATGTGCTTTAGTAAATATATTATTTTTAAATTTTATTTAACAAGCATTTATTGTCCCTAGTACTTTCCAGGTACTTTTTTGTTTTTAAAATATTGACTTATTTAACCTTAACAACCTGTGAGGCAGATATCACTATTATCATCCCCAATTTATAGATAAGGAAACTGAGGCATAGAGAGGTATGTACCTTGCAGGTACCTTGCTCACAGTCACAGAACAAGCAAGTGATGGAAAGAAAGATTATGAGTGAAAAAAACCTTGGGAGAATTTGGAAACTATTTTTTTCCTCTTAAAGTATTACTTTGTTTCTGTTCTATACATGAGATTGTATTTCCACCTTTATTACAAAAGGACTTTTTACTACATTTGGCTTTTTACAATCTTAAATGGTTTTTATTTTCATGAAATAGTTTGTTTATTGGTTTAAATGATATGGCAGCTTACTCCCTTGTGCTTCTCTGTCATTGCCCTTGAGAATGTTCCGATGCACAGAAAAGGAAACTCTCACAGCTATAATTTCAAGTTAGGGACCAGGGTCATGTCAACATCTCGTTCTCCCTAAATTCTCTATGGCCTCTGAGGAAACCTTCTATAGGTATACCTTCCTGCCTCTTAGCAACGGTTTATCTAAACTCCTTTCTCTTAGCAAGGACTTATACCTTGGCTTACTAAATGAGTGGTGGGAGTGGAAGAGAAAGGATTAAATCATTTCTACAAAGGTCTCACCCTTTCCAAAGTTTCCCATTCTGAGTTTTCAGTAAGCAATAAAAACAGTTAAAAAATCATTTACAGAGCACCTTCTAGGTAACACATACAGTGATAGTACTAGAAATATAAAGAGAAATAAGATACAATTACTGTCCTGCAGGAAATACGGCAAATAATAAAATACTAAATCTTATGAAGAATGTAAATTCTTCATAAATTTCAAGAAAGTGAGCAATAATTTCCCTGAATAAGATCATTTGAAAACTAATGGCTGCAAGATTTTTAAAAACGTATTTGTAGAATAACATGAAAATTCAAGAGGAGATTTTTTTCCCAGATTTATACAAGAGTATTATGCTACTTGGAAATAATACTTTCTTGGAAATCATCACAAGTCATTACATCGCCCGGGTGAAGTCTGAATTTAAAAAATCAAGTTCAATGTATGTAAGCTTCTGAAACAAAAGCAACACATTATCCTAACTTTAAAGAAGAGAAGGAGGGAGAGAAGGAAGAGGGACTAGAAGGAGAGGAAGTGGAGGGGGGAAACAATATTCTTTCAATCTAAGGGGTTAAAGGAGCAACAGTAAGGATTTCTTTACAGAAGACTTCTTATCTCTTGTGAATTTAGTACACTCATTGGTGCTCTACAGATTGAATGAGAGGTGGAATGATATCATCCAGCTAGGTACTGTTTGATGAATCTGCTTTTTTCAAACTGGTGAATCACCAAATGGCTGCTTCAGGTAAAAAGTTGCATGCTTGACTAAACCTCATCTCTACAAAAAATACAAAAATTAGCCAGGCATGATGGTGTGTGCTTGTGGTCCCAGCTACTTGGGAGGCTGAGGTGGGAGGATCGCTTGAACCCAGGAGAAGCCAAGATCACACCACTGCACTCCAGCCTGGAAGACACAGTGAGACCCTGTCTCACACAAACACACAAAAAAAGTTGTATGCTTTCCTTACCAAAATGAATTAGGCCCTCCCTAAGTCTTTAATGCATTATTAGGAAGATAATTTAAACATGTGAGAGAAGTTGGTAATCCACCATAAATCCAGAATGTTTAAAATGATTTTTATAAAAGTAAGTTTTAGAATAGGAATAGAAATGTGAAAAGTAGGAGTAAGGAAAAGACAGTGGGCAGTGGCTTATGTCTGTAATCTCAATGCTTTGGGACACTAAGGTGGGAGGGTCACTTGAGGCCAGGAGTTTGAAACCAGCCTGGGCAACTTAGTGAGACCCCCATCTCTACAAAAAATAAAAAAGAATTAGCTGGGAAAGGTGGCGCCCCTGCGGTCTCAGTCACTCAGGAGCCTTGGGTGGAGGATTGCTTAAGCCCAAGAATTGGAGGCTGCAGTGACCTAGAATCACGCCACTGCACTCCAGCCTGAGTGACAGAGTAGGACTCTGTCTCTTTAAAAAGAAATTTTAAAAAAGTGAGAAAGGAAAAGAAAAGGGAGGCGGGAAGGAAATGAATAAGCATTGAAAACATTCTTCATGAATATCTGAACCCTATTATAAAAAAGAACAATTAAACATCATCTTGATTTTATTTTACCTTACCTTATGAATTTTTCCATAAGAAATCTAACGTATTAAAAGTCCATTACATTGTGCAAAATGCCAGTTTTAACAGTAAACATGACAGCATTAACTTTTGTGTGTTCCTACTTTGCCAGTTCTTGCTTCACTAGCTAAAGAGCCCTGTGTCTATGAAAGCTCCACAGCCATGGCTCTGTCATTTATTTTTCTGAAGAAGAAATATTATTATCTCCAAACCTGGGGCCTCAGGAATACCACATCAGACAATAAAAATGGGTCAGACTATAAAATGGGTCTAATACTAACAAGAGATTGAACATCATAGAAGAGTGGGCAAAGTCCATTTACCTAACTTATTTCATGTGATTCTCATAATTCTGATGTTAGATACTAAGACCTTATTATCTCAATTTTTTAAGTGAAATAATTGAAGTTTGCAGAGGATCAGGGACTTTTCTAGGTTCACTTAACTAGTGTCTAGCAGGACAATGCTTAACCAGTATTTCCTAACTCCAAGTTGTTTACTCTTTCCATTAGATCACCATCCATTCTCTCAAAAATCTAACTGAGGTTAGGTTGGACTACAGAGGAACGAACAGCTGTTTGGGATGATCAGCAGCTTAGAGAATAGCATTAGAACTTACAAGAATGTACCCAGGGTATTGAAATTTATAATAAAAACAAACCTCCCAATTACAAAATAATTTCAGGATAAAAAAGGTTTACACCTAATAAGGCCATTCTCTTCTTTCCCAAAAACTTCATGAAAAGTTAATGCAGACAGTTGGAGCATTTTAGCTCCTCTGCTGGTCTGGCCTCTGACTAAAAATAAACAAGCCCTCTCCCCTGCAGAAGCTTTGCTGAAGCCCAGCAAGAGGTTAGAGAAATAGCAGACATGGGCTTAGCTGATTTGATGCTAGGCTAAGAGAAAAATCCAGGCTTAAGGTCTCTGATGTGAAAAAGAGGAATGGATTGAGAGGGCACCTAACACCTAGTTTCAGTTCAGATACTAACTAGTTACATATGACCTTAAACACATTTTGAAACCCTTTATGATTACTTCCTACATCCTTTCTTAGTTATCTCAGAACATGACCTAGTGCGGAGTTTCTGACACTGTGATCCTTAGACTACCAGCCTCAGAACCACCTGGGAGTGTTTGTTGTTAAATGCAGATTCCTGGGCCCTACATCCAGACCTACTAAACGAAAATGCCCTCAGATGAACCCAGGAAAACCAAGGTATGCTTTCAAAGTTTGCATGCTTAAAATGTGCCAAACACTAGGAGGGCTTTTGAAATAAATTACACATAATTTTGATCCCAACCCCAACATTTACTGGAAAATTACTTCACCTTTATCTCTGTGGAGTTTGCAGCCCCAAGCCTTTTCTTCTCAGTCACACTCAGCCAGCTAAGCCTCTCTGGACCTCACTTTTCCAACCTCTGAAATGGGTAAGACAACATTCAGCATATTGAGTGGATATGAAAAATAAATGAGATCATGCATTTATATCTTCAGTGTGCCTAACAATTTATAACACGTAAAAAATAATAAATATTAGGTAACTTTACTTTGTAATAACAGGCCTTAGCATAATAATAGCAGATATTTGATACTTACTATACATAGTACCTGGCACATTCCATGTCTTAATTCATGTAACTATCATAATAATCCGATGAAGAAGGCACTATTATTATGCTCAGTTCTTCTAGAGAGGAAGAGTCTGAGGCATGGAAGGTTAGGTAACTTGCACAGGGTCACACAGACAGTAGGTGATGGAGTCACAAGCCCTCTATGCGAATCAGCTACAAAATTGAGAATTTCTCTTTTAGAATCACTGCCACCATCACTGCCTTCAACAAATACATGGCAGAGCTGCATCCCACTTAGAAGTTATGAAATTGGGGCCAGATTATTTTGATACATACCACATTTTGAGATACACTGCCAAATTAAGAGGCTAAAAAAATTACATCTCCTGAGTATTTAATGTTCCTCCCTATATAAGTATTATACTATTTTAATTATTATAGCTTTAAAATGTGGTTAAATATCTATTAATATTGATTAGGCCAGATACCCAATGGTGAAGAGAAGATATAATTGAAATTCATAAACTCATGGAAGGGAGAGGCATTTAGCATATTCACCAAACTCTAATAATAATATAATGAATATGTTAAAAATAGAAATCTTTTAAAAAATTTGCTGTGAATCCTGAAAACTAAACTATAAATTCTAAAATTTTGATATAATTATTGGGAAATTTTTAATTAAAATAATGCTTGCAGCCAGGCACGGTGGCTCACACCCGTAATCCCAGCACTTTGGGAGGCTGAGGCAGGTGGATTATGAGGTCAACACATCGAGACCATCCTGGCCAACATGGTGAAACCCCGTCTCTACTAAAAATACAAAAATTAGACAGGCGTGGTGGTGGGTGCCTGTAGTCCCAGCTACTCGGGAGGCTGAGGCAGGAGAATCACTTGAACCCTGGAGGCGAAGGTTGCAGTGAGCCAAGATAGCGCCACTACACTCCATCCTGGCCACAGAGTGAGACTCCATCTCAAAAAAAAAAAAAAAGTGCTTAGTTTTATAATTGTAAATTATAAATATTTAAAAATTCTACTCAAACTATGATCAAATACAAAATTACTATTAACATATTGGTATATTTCCCATTAATCTCCTCATGAAAAGTTATTTTTGTTTTGCTTATATACTTATATTCACACTATTTATATACCTTTACGTCCTATGTCATTTAACATAAAATTTATAAGCATTATTTCTTATATTCACATGCTACTTAAAATTACTTTAATAACTGCATAAGATGCCTACTTCTGAGTTGTAAGTTAAACAACTACAATTATGATTATTTTGACTAATCTCCTACCTAGGTGTTTAGGTTGTTTCCAATTTTGTACATTTACGAATGAAACTGGAATTCATATTTGCCTCACCCAGTTTCAGGATTATTTCCATTAAAAAAATTCCCAGAAGTATAACTGCTAGATCAAATGCAACTCTTTATATCAATAAAAATTATTGAATTATCCATTTCAAAATGTTTGGCAATGTATTTTTAATACATACTAAAAACAAATAAAATGTTTTATTTCTTATTTTGTTTAATCTTCTACTCCTATATCCATATTATATTTTAGCTAGTACAGTGTAGCTTTAAAATATGGTTCAGTGTCTACCATAGCTTGTGTAATTCATTTCTCTTCCTTTCAAAATATTCTGTGAATTTTTGTGTGTTTTTAATCTTCCAGATAAACTTTAGAATGATTTTAAGTCAGAAAATCAAACTTTCATTATGATTTTTACTAAAATTGTGTCAAATCTATAATTTGGAGGTAACTGACATTTGGAAGTATTATTTTTGATATATGGAAACATAGTTTGTCTATTATTTATCTCTTTTTAATTCTTTCAAAGCTTAATCACTTTTTATTCCTATAGGTCACAAATATTCCTTAGTAAAGGTATTCTTAAAGTTTTGTTGCTATAGTGAATGTGCTTCTCCTTTCATTCATTTCTTAACAGCTTTGAGGTATAATTTACATATAAAATTTATAGTTTAAGTATATAATTCAATGATTATTTTTAGTAAATGAGTTGCTCACTTGCACCACAATCTAGTCTTAGAATGTTTCCATCACCACAAAAGGATTTTACCTTCTGTTGGTGGTTTCTCATTTATCTGTTACAGTCAAAGAACGTACTTTATGTGATTTTATTCCTTTTAAATCTATTCAGATGTGTTTTATGGCCTAGAATATGGTCTATTTTGGAGGACAGTCTGTGTGTGCTTGTGAGGAATGTCTATTCTGCTTTTGTTTGGTGGATAGAGTTGGTGGATCAGTAGTCTGCTGATCGTGTTGTGTAAGTGTTAAGTGATACAAAACATATCCTTGCTAATTTTGTATCTAGTTGTTCATCAATTATCGAGATTGGGGTGTTGAAGTCTCCAATTATTATTGTCTATATCTCTCTTTAGTTCTGTGATTTATTGCTCCATGTACTTGGGGAAATCTGAGGTATATATATAACTTTTCTATTTTCCTGTTGAATTAACCCCCTTATCATTATGAAATGTACTCTTTGTCTCAAGTATTTTATTTATTTTTGTCTCAAAGTGTATTTTGTCTAATATTAGTGTATTCACTGCAGGTCTTTAATGGTTACTGTTTGTATGATATATCATTTTCCATCCTTTTAACTTTCAGACTAAATTTTTGAATCTAAAGTCTGTCTCATGGCAACCTGTGGTGGCTCATGCCTATAATCCCAGCACTTTGGGAGGCCAAGGTGAGTGGATCACCTGAGGTCAGGAGCTCAAGACCAGCCTGGCCAACATGGTGAAACCCTGCCTCTATCAATAATACAAAAATGAGCCAGTATGGTGGTGGGCACCTGTAATCCCAGCTACTTAGGAGGATAAGGCAGGAGAATCACTTGAATCCAGGAGGTGGAGGTTGCTTGGAGCCAAGATCCCAACACTGTACTCCAGCCTGGCTGACAGAGTGAGACTCCAACTCAAAAAAAAAAAAAAAAAAAAAAAAAAAAAAAAAAAAAAAAAAAAAAAGGGAAAAGCAAAAGCTTGTCTCTTGTAGACAGAAGATAGTTGGATCTTGCTTTTCAAAATCCAGCCTGACAATCTCTGCCTTTTGGTTGGAGTATTTAATCTATTTACTCATAATGAAATTACATCTTAACCATCCCTAATCTGAAAATCCAAAACTGAAATTCCCCCAAATCCAAAACTTTTTGAGTGCTGACACGAAGTCACAAGTTGAAAATTCCACACCTGACCTCATATGATGGATCACAGTCAAAATGCAGATACACAACACACAGTTTACTTAATGTCTCCAAAGAGACCCTCCCAGCCCCCTTCAGCTGTGAAGTATCTTTTCCACACATGCCCCAGACTTCGTCATGCAGGCACATCCACAAAGGGTAATAAAATGGCACATGTCAGGCAAGACACACCAATGGCGGGTTGCCTGTGATGCCCTACATGAGGCCAAGACCTACATGCCTTACTCATTATGTTGTTTTGTTTTGCTTATTCTCTTCTCTGTGGTATAAAGGTATTGTGGAAAATGTAGAAAGATCTGCAGATACCCTTATGAGTAACAGTAGTAAAGAAAAGAGGAAGCATTTATACTTATCTATAGCACAGAAAGTCAAGCTGTTGAAGAAACTGGATGGTGGTATAAGTGGAAAATGTCTTATAGAAGAGTATAGTGTTGGAGTGACCACCATGTATGACCTGAAGAAAGAGAAGGATACATTGTTGGAAGTTCTATGCTGAAAGTGATGAACAGAAGTTAATGAAAAATAGAAAAGCAATGCATGGAGTGAAATATGAAGTCCTTGAATATGTATTGAAAGAATGGAACCATCAGTGTCACAGTGAATACATGCCACTTAATGGTATGCTGAACATGAAACTTGCAAAGATCTATCACGATGAACTGAAAATTGAAGGGAACTGTGAACATTCAACAGGCTAGTTGCATAAATTTAAGAAAAAGCACAGCGTTAAGGTTTTGAAGATTTGTACCATTTCCTGATCATGAAGCAAGGGAGATATTCACTGATGAGGTTACTAAGGTCATCACTGATGAAAATCTGATACCAGGACAGGTCTGTAATGCTGATGAAACATCACTGTTTCGGCATTATTGCACCAGAAAAACACTGACTACAGCTGGTGAGACAGCTTCAATAGGAATTAAGGATGCTAAGGACAGAATAACTGTTCTGGGATGTGCTAATGCAGCACGCATGCATAAAGAAAACCTTGCTATGATAGACAAAAGCTTATATCCTTGTTGTTTTCAAGGAGTAAATTTCTTTCCAGTAAATTATTATGCTAACAAAAAGGCATAGAGAATTAGGGATATCTTTTCTGATTGGTTTCACAAACATTTGGTACTAGTGGCTCTTGCTTGCTGTAGGGAATCTAGACTGAATGATTAACGACTGCAAGATTTTGGCACTGCTTGATAAGGATTCTGCTCATCATCCAGCAGAAATTCTCATTAAAAATGTTTAGGTCATGTATTTTACCCTAATTGTGACTTCATTAATTCATCCATGTGACTAGGGTGTTCTTGGATCAATAAAGAATAAATATAAAAAGTTTCTTGATCAGCATGCTAGCAACAGTGAACAGAGGCATGAGTGTGGAAAGTTTTCAAAAGGAGTTTAGCACGAAGAATGCCCATGTTTGGAATACAGTGACAAATACACAGTTGTGCATGCCTGGCACAACCTCTGGGCTATAACTATGTTCAGTGATGGTGATGAACAAAGTGGTGACTTTGAAGGTTTCTATATGTCACATGAGAAAAAAAATAATGTCTGACCTCCATACATATACAAAAAAATACACCTTCAGAGTCTGGCAGTAAGATGGAAGAAACAGATGTCATGTAAGTTTTTACCAGCAATAATGCGGCTCTAATTATTCATTCATTGATCCATGGGGAAATAGCCAAAATGGTTCTTAATCAAGGTGATTATGATAATAGTGATGATGAAGATGATGTTAACACCGTAGAAAAAGTGCCTATAGATGACATGGTGAAAATGTGTGATGGGCTTATTGAAGGACTACAGCAGTTTATTTAGTATCCCCAAATGGGTTAAAACATGGATTTTTAGATTTTAAAATGCTGGGCTTCACCCTCAGAGTTTCTCATTCAATAGATTTTGGTCAGGGGACAAGAATGTGTATTTCTAACAAGTTTCCAGGTGATGATGATATCATCCTGGGATCCACACTTTACAATTCAATGACCGAGTATATTTATTTTTATGAGAGAATGTGTATTACTTGATTTCAGTTTATTCTCAATTACACAAAAAATAAATGAGGACACTTAATATTTTGAAAACATAAGATGGAAGAATGTATAGCTATAGCAACACATCTAACTAAACTATTACTCAGTAACCAAAAAAACTCAATAGATTCTCCAAAGCACAAATCAAGATGTCCTTTGCTGAACTGTATGAAGTTTCTGTGTTTTATTTTAATTAACTGACATGCTAAGGACAAACATTTTCTCGAACTTATTTGTTCTATAAATTGTTAACACATGAGTTTAAAAATATTTATATGGTAATAATTATCAGTCATCTTTTCTTTTGATTACTGATTGCTTTTGTGATTTAAAAAAATATTTTTCTATCCCGAGATTAGATATTCACCAGCAATTTCCTGATTTTTGATTTTGTCTTTCTTTACATATATCACTTTGGTCTACCTAGAAATTATTTTGATGCATGTATATTTTACTCAATTTTTAACTAAAATAAATACAATTATTTTTATACAGAAAATTCTTTAGGCATACTATATTCAGGGCATTGCAGTAAATACTCTCAGTGTTTATAATTATCTTTGTAAGATGCATATTAAAACAGCAAACATTGTTGAATTCTCCAAGTTAGTTTTATTTTATAGCATGAGGTGGTATAATCTTCTTAAGCATTCCTGGAAATATTTTTTTAAAAAAAATCACAAACGTATCACACATATCTAAAATTAAGTGTGCCAACTATATACCTTTGATGTTTCCTGAGAGTCCTGAGTTTGCAAAACCTTACCTATATAGCAACATTCAACTGTGTACAATTTTATGAATCAGGCATCACATTTTCCACGAGTCCACTCCACAGAAATGGCTTCAGTCCATTTCATCAAACTGCTATGTTGTGTCAATAAGCTTTCTATGCACTATTCCACTTTTAAGAACTGATGGCCCTTGTACATTTGGGTTTTTTTCAACCAACAGTTGCATGCTAAGAACATCTTCCAAATTCTGTTAGAAGACTGAAGAGGAACTTGGTCAGTTTTTCAGCAGTCATCCATGTCCTCTTGTTCTCATTTCTGTTTTCTTCCTCCAAAAAAAATCACTTCCCCTATCTTTGGCTCATTTATTTTTCTATGGTATATCACTGCCTAGCATTGGAGTTGTTTTAACTTTTTCCTTCACCTAGCATTACTTATCAACATGATAGTTACATTCCCAAAAACTATATTGTAAAAGAAAGCAGGGATGAAATATTTAAGACCTGATAGGAAAAGCAGGTTTAGGAGATCAGAGTTATAGTGAATCTAAAATAAAGGCTGATGGCTCATTAAATAAATCAACTAATGGCATTTTAAATATTTTTAAATAGAAAAAATTGGCATTGTTCAATAACTAGTATTCCTTCTTCCTAACAAACTTTTTATTTCATTAACCTACTAATCATCTAAGATTCTTATGAATATGTTTTTCCTTCTTGTAAATAAAAATTGTTATGAAATATTTTTTCTTGGATCTTCATGAAATGAAAAATGCTTTTAAGTTTTATTATTCAATTACCTTATTTAGCCCTGGAAAATTGAAGAAGAAAATGCCAGTGCACTGTGATATAGTCTTAAAATCCTTCTAAATGCATTGTTTTATATTCAAAAGAACTTAATGCCAAGGCATAAATGACCACAGCAGAGCACTGCTCTACCCTAAAGGTTTTACATCCCAATTCCTTTCCTTTGGCTTATGTTGTCTCAGTTTTCTATATTTCTCTCAAGGTTACGTTACAAAATTATCTATACATACTTGCTCTTCCATATATTTTACCTCTTCTTCTCAGGGCCCTATGTTTTGCTGTAATTTTAAAAATTATCTTCAAGAAAAATTGCCCAATTTTTACAAACATAGTATCCTAAATTCCCACATTTGTGAAAAAAGTATAAATATGTAAATACACATATGTAAAATTTTGTACAGTAGGAATGTTCATTGGGGAAACGTTACTGAAACTGACACAAAGTGTTTAACAGAAATTTGCTTAAAGGGATCAAATTTCACCTGGCATAGGAACATATTTAAAACAGTGGGGTTGACACAATAGCTACATCTGTGTAACCAAACCATCAAGGCTGACAAACTAAATCCAGTTGTTAGTAAAGTTAATGACTAATTCTGATCAATACATGGCCAAAAGAAAAAGAAAACACTGTATCATAAGAGCTGAAAAACATCTACTGGGAAATGACTATTTTGTGAATACTTAAAAGCCTTATAAATGTACTATTATATTTTCACTTTTTCTAAAGTATTATAATTGGCAGGGCTCAAATTAGTAAAGTTAAATATATTTCAACATTTTATTAAACACTGAAAATATTTTATCCATATCAAGTATCAGGGGCTTAAAATGAGCTATTCCAAAAAAAAGTATCTCTCATCAATACTTTCACTTTAAAAGAATTATTATAATTTATCCATATATGAAATACAAAAATTATTAGAACATGTATTAGGCTTAAATTGATTACAAATAAAAAACATTAATCTTGCCTGTAATCCCAGCTACTCAGGAAGCTGAGGCAGGAGAATCACTTGAGCCCGGGAGGTGGAGGTTGCAGTAAGTGGAGACTGAGCCACCGCACTGCAGCCTGGGCGACAGAGTGAGACTGTCTCAAAAAAAAAAAAATTAATACGACAACACAATAATAAATAAATTTAGCTCATCACAAGGGAGCATGGTCATTAAAATGAGTTTAGCAGAATAGTCAATTCAAACTTATTTCCAAAGACTAACAGTATAAATTATAGGCAGTTTGAGATTTAAAATGTGGCAAACCAAAAATAGGGCAGTATAAAGGCTACAGAGACTCAACTACCAATGAATGACAAAGAAAAACTGGCCCAATAGTTAGTCAAAATGTGACTATTAGTACTATTAGGCTAAAATTAAAAGTATTAATAAGTCTATTGATTATAGCAAATAAACCGCCAAAAAGCTCTAACAACTAAGACCCCTTTAACAGCTGAATCAACTTAATTCTTCTTAGACAAATGCTTTTTGCCACAAATATTCATTATACATCCATTTACATATTATGTTCTTAGAAAATAAGAGAAAAAAATCAGAAAAGGAGGCTTCCACATAATAATAGGAATTATTTTTGAAAGAAAATCTGACGTGGGAATCCTAATCTAATTACTGTATCAAAGTCAACCAATTCTTGGTTGAAAGTAAACTACAGTATCATTTCATAAGAGTGTTTACTGATGAAATTAGCCAGGATAAATTGTAATGTTAACAGCCATAATAAATAAATGTCATAAAATACTAATTACTTTTAGTCAACAAAATAAGGTTATTTAACAACTGTCTTAGTCCATTTATTTTTCTATAAAGGAATACCTGAGGCTGGGTAATTTATGAAGAAAAGAGGTTTACTTGGCTCACAGTTCTGTAGGCTGTACAAGAAGCATGGTACCAGCAGCTATTTCTGGTGAGGGCCTCAGGCTGTTTCCACTTGTGGGTGAAGGTGAAGGAGAACCAGCATGTGCAGAGATCACATGGTAAGCGAGGAAGCAAGACAAAGCAGCAAGAAAATCGATAGGAGGGAGGTGCCAGGCTCTTAACAACCAGCTCTGACAGCAACTAATAGAAAACTCACTCATTATCACTAGGAGGGCATCAAGCCCTGTGTCAGGGATCCACCCCCATGTCTGAAAACATCTCCCATTAAGCCCCACCTCCAACACTGGGGATCAAATTTCAACGTGAGATTTGGAGGGATCCAACAAACCAAATGATAGCAATAATGCTCCCAAAATACAGCAGGTATATGAAATATAGCATTACTAATGAAGTGTCCTTTACATCTTCTCTGCCTGCTTCATTAGTGAATTTATTACAATAAAGTTTAAAATAAGGCAAAGAACATTCACCTTTCGGGCCAGGCACAGTGGCTCACGCCTGTAATCCCAGCACTTTGGGAAGCCGAGGCAGGCGGATCACGAGGTCAGGAGATCGAGATCATCCTGGCTAACACGGTGAAACCCCGTCTCTACTAAAAATACAAAAAATTAGGCCAGGCGCGGTGGCTCACACCTGTAATCCCAGCACTTTGAGAGGCCAAGGCGGGTGGATCACCTGAGGTCAGGAATTCGAGACCAGCCTGACCAACATGGAGAAAACTGATCTCTACTAAGGAAAATACAAAATTTTAGCCAGGCATGGTGGCACATGCCTGTAATCCCAGCTACTCAGGAAGGCTGAGGCAGAAGACTCACTTGAACCTGGGAGCAGAGGTTGTGATGAGCTGAGATCGCACCATTGCACCCCAGCCTGGGCAACAAGAGCAAAACCCCGTCTCAAATAAATAAATAAATAAATAAAACAAAAAAATTAGCCAGGTGTGGTGGCACACGCCTGTAGTCCCAGCTACTCAGGAGGTTGAGGCAGGAGAATCGCTTGAACCCGGGAGGCAGAGATTGCAGTGAGCTGAAATCTGGCCACTGCACTCCAGCCTGGGCGACAGAGCAAGCCTCCATCTCAAAAAAAAAAAAAAAAAAAAAGAGAAAAAACAACAAAAAAACAAAACCATGCACCTTTCCCTGATTTAAATGATTCATCAGTAATTATCCAAATACATGGTACTAGCCTATTAGGGAAATACCATGGTTTTAAGACAGTTGTTCTCAATCTTTTTTTTCTTCTTTTCACGAAGGCCCATTCAGGCTAGAGCAGAGAGGGGGAAGCTTACATCCAGTAAACAAAATAGCAGTGATTTAAATAAAACTGAGACCAGAAAACCGACTGCTTTCTACATTTTAGGAACTGATTATCATAAACATAAACTTATCTAACAATATCTGTATTTCTATTTGTAGCAAGCACAAAAGTTACAGTGTGCAGCACACTTTAATCACTGCGTGATTTAATTACTGTGTCAATAAAGGCAGTGGCACAGTCAGAATTTGACAGAATTGAGAAAAGTCCTGCTGAAAAGATGAGACAAGTTCTGAGATGATCATTTTTTATAATGTAAGCACTGTGTACATTTATAAATGGCACGGTAGGGATGGGAGTGGGCTGGGGGTAGAGAATTCCGTAAAACAAGGGAACTTGAGGAAATGCAAAAGACTGAAAAAAACCTGGCATCTTCCAAAGGGTAAAATTAGTATGATTGTTTAAACTATTTTGTCCTTAATTTTAGTCATTTCTAATTTAACAGCTAAAGAACAATTACTGTATAATAACTGAAATATTTAGTATACTTGGTATTACAGCACCCTCTATCACATGATCATATACAGAATACATTTCTATGAACTGGTTGCTTTAATCTGTGAACATTTATGTAGCTCTCTACTGGTTCTAGGGTTTAGTTTACTACTTCCCATCCACGGAGTCAAAAGGACTACTAACTTGTGCAGGCTTAGTATCACCAGTATATTTTAGTACCGTCTGTCCTGCAACAGCAAAAAGCATTATTGACAAAGCAATCCTGAACTCTAAATTATTCCAGGTGTGGTCCTAGTACCAACAGCATCAGAATCACCTGAGATTTTACTAGAGCTACACTAATCCAGCTGTATCCTCAGACCTTCCCTCCCAGTTATAACCTCTGGTGTTGAGGCCCAGCAATCTGTTTTAACAAGCCTTCTAGAGAATCTGGATGCATGCTCCAGTTTGAGAAGCATTACTATAGGAGAAATACAATCAAAGAGTCAAGTTAACATGTGCTATCTAAACTCTAAAGGAAATTTGTTTCATTATATATTTTGATATCCACAGCACCATTCCAATAAAACATTTAGAACAACTCTGTTAGTACTCCAAGATTACAGGAAAAAAAGAACATTATTAAAGGAAAATGTGTTGATTTTACTAACTTTGGGGAAATTACTTTTCCTTTCTCTGATTATCTAAAAGAAACGTGACATGCAAACGAATCTACATTGAGCATTTCTGAGGCTACCTTTCTGAAACTTCCATGGCCTATTTTAAAGCAAATTACTACATTCTGCTTCTCGATGGGTTCCTAACATACACAGCAGGCTTTTACAACAGCGCTTTAATAGGCCAAAGGAAACAAAAGCTTTTACAGCAGAGGCCAATGTAAGCCACAAAGCTCGTGTCATCTTCCTACCAGGCAATTAATACAGGGTCCCAGTCCTCAAAGATTAAAGAACTGATACGGGGAAGACTGAGAATGACCCAGCAACAACGCATAAGGAAGCAAAAAATAAAAGGACGCCGTTTCTTCTGGACTTAAAACTAGAGAAAGAACAGTTTCCGCTCCATTTTGGGTTTGTAAAGCTCCTCCTACAGGCAGCTTCCGCTTCAGAGTCGCCACAAAGTCCCTCCCGCGCGGGAACTCGGCGGGGCGGAGACTCGGGTCCCTCCCCGTCCAGGGCGGGAGAAAGGAAAGCAGGGGCCACGGTTTCTCTGGAAGGTTCCGAGAGAAGGGCGCGTGCCACCTCCGCGGGTGGCGGGAGACTCGGCACCAGATGGCGCTGCCGCACCGAGAGCCAGAGCCTGGGCCGCTGGGGAGACGGGAAGAGGCGTCACCGGATCCCTTCCTTTGCGCTCGTTGCCGGAAATGTGCGCTGCAACCAGCCTCTGGTCCCGGATATTAAGACTTCTGGAGGGTTCCCGCGTGAGGGCGGGGCCAGAACCGGAACCGAACGGCGACCGACGAGCCCCGGAGCGGAAACCCGGGGCGGCGCCAGCGGGCCCTGGTTGCTGGTGCGCGCGCCTCGTCTTGGTGGGAGGGCGAGGGGCGGGGTCTCGCCGTGCGCTTGCGCACTTTGGGGACGTAGGCGCGGTCTGCGTGTGCGTCTTTTTCAATGTTTGCACGTTTGCTAGGCAGGCAAGGCGGAAATGGTGGCGTAATGGGTTTTGTTTTAAATCCCGCCCACGGGGTTTGGGTTTCTGGCTGTGAGTCAGGTTTCTGGAAGGCTTTATGGAAAATTAATGGTATAAGAGGTAAAACTGGATCTGTACTGTTTTCTTAGTCCTTAGCGATCCAAATGCAGTCTGGGTGCGGTCTCAGTGCTAAGATGGACCCAGCCTTCCCCTCTAAATCTTAGTGAACCGGCTTGATCCCCCGGTCTGTTCATCTTTCAGTGTTTATTCTGAGAAGGTAGGGGTGTCACAAGGAATAAAAAAGGCACGCAAACAAATAGACTACTCGTGTGGAACCAAAAACATTTTCAAATTATTTAAGAAAGCATGTCTTCGTGTTTTTTAAACTTTTTAGCAAGCGATTCTCTTAAGGAGTTTAGTTTTTAATTTTTGTCGATACACAGTTTTATATTCTGTGTTTTCTGGTGTGGCCTTGGTCTTTTATCAAATTTTAAAGGAAAGCCTCTTGTGCAGATGTGTTACAAAGAAAAATTTTGTCATTTTTTCACTTTTGAATTTTGGAGGACCATAGTAGTTTCTGAAAGTGCATTGGCTTTGTTTTTAGATGCTGCAAGGAAACAACCAAGTGTGTTGCAGAAATAAAATCTGTATGAATCTGCATCCGCTCCGTTTAATTTTAAACTAATTCCAAAAATGTCATCTGTGCAAAGTGCTCAGTTCTCCTGGAAAATTTCTTCAGCCTTGGTAAACACTTTTATCTGGATTTCAAAGCTCTTTGCAGTCCAGGGCCTATATAAAAACAATCCTTGTAAAAGCCAGAGGGAAAGGAATACAGGCTTTTAAGTAGATATTTTGAAAGAAACAGCAGTGGGCCGGAGGATATAAGAAAGATTGTCCGAAATTGCCAAATAAGTGTATTTCATTGTTTTTTGCTAAAACCGTTTGATAGTCTGGGTAGTTGGTACTGGAAAAAACGCTGCTGTGACGTGAGGAGTACTATGGCACCTGTTTATGTAGAAGTTAGGGGGATATTGCAATATCATTCAAGATTGGTCAGAAATAGGGCAAGAAGGAGGCAGGATATCCAAAGGGGAAGAAAAGGGGAAAATGTTGGAAGATACTAGAAAACACGTGAAAGAGGTCAGAGCTGAAGCTGTAATAGGTCTTCAAAGAGTGATCTGGAAGATTGCAAAATAGCTTTTAGACCCTAAAATCAAATGTGTGGAATATGGAATCAGTTTATTTCATCATTGCATACTTCAGCTTTGGCTATATCCCATTTAGTTGCTTACTTTTTTTTTTCGACTTTCCCATCTTTCTCTACATCGTATATAACCAACCTTAAATTGAGGGATTGCTTCATTTTGCTACCATTATACTATAAAGTTACAGTAACATAGCCCTTCACAGTTCAAAGAGTACACATATATTCAGAAATAGTGGCATTGACTCCTTTGCAAATATCCTCAACTCTTATCCCTCACTTTTAGCACTTCCCTGGCAAAACTCAAACCATGGATGAACTCCTGCATGCATTTATCTTTTCTGAGCTTGGGCTCAGCCTGTTAACTGTTGGGTGGACTAGTGTGATCTCACACCTAAATTGGCTCTGCATATTGATCAGCTCTCCTACTCCTTTGCTTTACTGACTTTGCCCTTTCCTTCTGTAATCCAAATATCTCATTCTTTTCCTTCCTCAAATTATCAACTTCCTCAACTAATGACTTTGCCTCACACTTTATTGAAAAAAGAATTGTGAGCATAAGCCAAGAATTTTTGTGTATTCCCACCATCGAATCTATTTGTGTCTGCACTCATCAAACATCCTTGTATAGGAACCCCCTTTATACATGGTATTGCTTTCCATAGTTTCAGTTACCAACTGTCAACCGAGGTCCAAAAATATTTAATGGAAAATTTCAGAAATATAAATTTTAAATTGCTAGAAGTTCTAAGTAGTGTGATGAAATCTCATGCTGCCTCTCTCTGTGCCTCCCAGAACGTGTATCCTCCCTTTGTTCAGCATCCACTATCACAGTTATCAACTATCACCATATCACTGAGCTTGGATTCAAATAACCTATATTTTCCTTAATAATGTCTCCAAGGCCCAATAGTAGTGATACTGGCAATTTGGATATGCCAAAAGAAGCCTTAATGTGCTTCCTTTAAGTGGAAGGTGAAAGTTCTCGACTTAAGGAATCACCTAAGGTCACTAGGAACCAAGTGGTTGGTAAGAATCAGTCTTCTATCTGTGAAATTATGAAGAAAGAAAAAGAAATTCGTGCATAATATATTTAGGGTAGGGTACTCTCTGAGGTTCAGGCATCCACTAGGTTCTTGGAACATTTCCCCTGAAGCTAAGGGGGAACTACTATAGTTTAAAAGGGTGACAGGTCTTTTTATCAAATGCCAACACTTGCTATTTTTAGTTTTTAGTTTTAGCCATTAAGTGGGTATATGTTCAAAACTTTTGCCCATTTTAAAACTAAGTTGTTTGTAATTGAGTTGTAGGAGTTATTTACATACTATGCGTATGACTTTTTTGTCAGAAGTATATGTTGTGAATATTTTTCTCCCAGTCTGTGGCCTGCTTTTTCATTTTCTTAAAAGTGTCTTTTAAAGAGCAGCTTTTGTTTGTAAGTTGTATATTTGTAGGGATTTGTACGTATCCAAATATTCATTAGCATAAAGCTGTTCATAAAATCCTCTCATTTCTGAGATTCACAATATATCTTATTTATGTTTACGATCCACTTAATTTTTAGTATGGCACAATAATGGTTGATAGTCATATTTTTCAAAATAGAAATCCTGTTATTCTGGTAGCATTCGTTAAAAAGATTATCCTTCATTGAATTACCTTGGCACCTTTATTAAAAATCTGCCGATCTTCTGAATTTCTATTCTATTCAATTTCATTGATAAATATGTCTGTTCTTAACCCAGTCCCACACTGTATTGATTACTGTAGCTTTATACGTCTTGAAATCAGATAGTGGAAGTATTTTTTTCCTCAAAATTACTTTGGCCATTCTAAGTCCTTTGCATTTTAATATAAATTTTTAAATTGTCATTTCAATTTCTAAAAACATCTGCTGGGATTTTGAATGGGATTCTGTTAAATTTATTCATCAGCTTGGAGAGAACTGACATCTTAAAAATACTGAGTTTTCCAATCTATGAACATGGCATATATCTCCTTTTATTTTGATCTTTAATTTCTGTTTGTAATTTTCAGCATACAGGTATTGCACATACATTGTTAAGTTTCTTCCAACACATTTCATGGTTTTTATTCTAAGTGTATTTTTTTAGTTTAAGTTTTCAGTTGTTGAATCATTTTATTTTAGTTCTAGAATTTTCTTATGCATAGATTCTACGTCTCTAGTATTAATAAATGCAAGGCCGGGCGCAGTGGCTCACGCCTATAATCCCAGCACTTTGGGAGGCAGAGGTGGGCGGATCACAAGGTCAGGAGATTGAGACCATCCTGGCAAACACGGTGAAACCCCGTCTCTACTAAATATACAAAAAATTAGTCCGGCATGGTGGCAGGCACCTGTAGTCCCAGCTACTCAGGAGGCTGAGGCAGGAGAATGGTGTGAACCCGGGAGGCGGAGCTTGCAGTGAGCCGAGATTATAACACTGCACTCCAGCCTGGGTCACAGAGCCAGACTCCGTCTCAAAAAAAAAAAAAAAATTAAATAGTTTGTGCCCATTAACTCCAGTATTTGGATCATCTGTGGATCTTGTTTCCATTATCTTTTTCTTCTGTTTCCTGGTATGCCCAGAAATTCTTTATGAAATGTTGTCTTTGTTTATGAAAAAAAAAAAAATACTGGGCTCTGAGTGGTGTTTTTTACTTTATGGAAGTATTTGTAGGATTTACTTTTGCTTCTATTAGGAAGCTAGGCTAAGGGCAGAGCACCTTAATCTAATATGGAAGTGAGATTATTTCAAACTGGTTTTTAGACTTTGTTAGGTCTCGTCTATTTCAGGTTCTTTCTTACTCCTGAGGTGACCCTTTCTGTGTCCCAGCTAAAAGCCGAGGTGTTAGGCCTTCCCTCTTTCGTGGGCCCTGAACTCGCATTTTTATTTTCTCAATCAGTGGACTCCTGAAAGCAATCTCTTCTCAGCTTCTCTGCTTCTTAGTTGCCATTATCTGTGTAACTTCTCAGCCTCTGAAACAACTTCCAAATTGATGAATAAGGTAAGGGGAAAAAGAGAGTCAAATATGGGCAGAATTTTCTGCACCCTTCTTCGGGATCTTGCCCTCTCAAGATCCTTTTTGTATTTTACTCAGATTTCCCTAGTTCTTCACGGTTCAGAGGCGGGGTCATTTTTTTTTAAATCCTCGTAATCTGAGAGTCTTTATGCTAATAAAGATAGGCTCATTTTTCTGAACTAGTGTCAATACTTTTTGTTTCTAAACATCAGAAGCAACACAGAAGACATGGAAGTGACTTTCCGTCTTAATTCCAGAGGTGTTTGTGGGGCCTCCTGGCAGTGGTACCCCCTTGCCACAGATGGGTTCCTAGGCAATGCCCTAGTTCTCTTTAGAGTTGGCCTGACTCTGTCTTCTGTATGGGGAAGCACCCTCTGTTCCTTTTGCTGAGAGATCAGGGTAGTTCTGTTTCCAGGCGAGCTAAACATGACTATGCTGTAGCTGTAAATTCAGTCTGTCACCTTTGGTACTCTTAAAATACAAGCATATGTTCTAGTCAGGCAAGAAGAAATACATCTTTTCTTTTCTTTTCCTTGTTGGTTTTTTAATTTTTTTTTTATGCCAGTAAAGAAATATACACTTCCCGGCCAAGCCCGAGAGTGGATTTGATTTTTTACCGTAATTTCAAGGAATAATTATATAAAACATTGCCCACAGGTCTGTGAGTGTACTGTAGAAAGATCGAATGATCAGGACTTAATCCAAGACCCCTCACTTTCTGCATGGGTGTAATTGAGCGTTATTTAACTTTTCTGAGCCTCAGTTTCCCTAAAGTGTCAAATAAGATACCTACTTGCCAAGACTGGGTTTTAATAAGATTGTTTGTAAAATGTCTGATACATAGTGGGTTCTTTATTGTTTTTAAAATTATTTATACAAACAGTTTTAACTTCAAGGGGGAATGTTAGTCATAACTTGTCTGCGTAGCAGCAGTATTTCGGAAACCACAACATTTCCAGATTTCTGCTCATCACTTAGTTTGTTTTATTCAGTAAACACTGATTGGACTCCCACTAAATGCTGAATGCTGCACTAGGACGCAAAACCAATGAAACAATAACCTTTCTCACAGCTATGTAAACAACTTGTTCATTTTATTGAAAGCCGTGCTCAGAACTGTTCTGGAAGTTTACTCATCTGTAGTGCTCAAGTCGTGGTATTTGCTCTCTTGCTGCTATTTAATGAATCCTGAAATTGTTTTTGTAACCTAAAATAAAATTTTTACTATGATAAAATAACCTAAAAGAAAATCTGATTAAAAAGTTTATTTAATGTGGAATAAAATTTAAAGCAGCTCTAATATGAATAGCAAGGGAATTTTGTTACTAACAAACCGATAGAACAATATAATGAGGCAGTTTCACTAAGACTGTATGACAAAATGGAACCTGAACTCTGCTCCAGTGTATTAATAATTAGTGTGACTTTTACAGAGATTGGAGTATAGGCTGTTATCAGACATCACAGGGAAGTTCTGTTCAGTAAGCTGGCAGAAGCAATTTCTTCTTTCTTTAAAGAGGAAAACCAGGTGGTTTTACAGTTGAGTGTTCGTTAAAAGAGGTATCTACCAGTTTTTCCCTTTTAATTCTGCTTTTCAGATTGTGCTAGCCCAGAGAGAGTTATAAATCCCTTGAATATAAGACATTGACTTCAGTTTTTATTGTCACCTCTCATATACATCCCTAATGTTTATCTAATTTTTATCTTACCAAGACAGCATAATCATTATGCAGTAAATATAGACTGAGTAATATTACAACATTCTCAGATTCAGGAGACTCTCCCATGATGGGAAAATATATTTCAGAATCAAATACTCTTATTTCCTAAGCTTCGTTTTCTTTATTATTTTTTATTAGTTTTCATTTTCCTAACTTATAGAATAAACAAATGCAGTTTGGAACAATTAAAAAGTTTCTTACAGTTATTGATGATAAAACAGTCCAAATGATGTTACACTAAATTTCATAAATTCCTGGCTTTAAAAATACGTATGATGTAATGGCATGTTAAATAATGGCCAGCACAATTTAGTTGTCTTATTTGCCATTTCTGTTTTGCTTCACCATTTTACCATTTTATTTTCCACCTTTGAGTCTTCAGTACTCTTAACTGTATCACTGAGGATTGACAATCCTATATATTTAATTTATTTACATGCACACACGGAAAATGGAATGTCACATCTAGAGTAGCTTTCCCATAACCCAGCTCTATTCATGTCCCCCAAATCACTGATGCTCTTATTCCAGATCATGATGAGGACCAACTGGGGTGTAAGCCTGACCTCTGTGTGTTCTATAAGGGATCACTCAGTCCTCTTCCATTCCAATAATTTAAGTATAGATTTTCGGACTGCCATCTCGCCTTGTATAATATGCTTAGATGGAATCAGTAAAACAAATGTGCCTTTTATTTCCCTGAATGGGATTATTGTAAAGAAACAAGAAGCCATCAATAAGGGGGCAAAGTTCCCTTTATCCCCAAAACACCAATAGTCACATTTGAGGGCTAGAACATATTTACTTCAGCTTTTGTGGTAAGAGAAAGAATGTAAGTTTTTTATGTTCAAAATAAAGTTGACCTTGGTGCAAAACAACCAATATGTTCTAAGAACTTTCTCCTCCTTTGGAGCAGGCCTTTGTTATATCTCTAATTAATATAATTAAGTTATTTTGAAAATCAAAACAATTAATTGATGTTTTTCTTTCTCATCTGCTCCTGGAAGTTGTATTTTTAAGTTACTAAAATACAATTTTATCTTTAATTGATTGCCTTTGATTCTCTGTGGTAAAACTTAAAATACAAAATATATTTTACTTAATTGTATCAATTTGAAATTGTTATAGTTCAAGAATATTTGTATGTAACTCTTCTAAACTTTGAAATCATCAATATTAAGTTTAAAGGAAGACTTGGGGCTAAAATTTCCAGTCAGTGCTTTTTTCACTTTTGCTTTTATTTTTGGCCAGTCGTATTCAGATTTATGTAATGAAGAAAACCCATTTGGTTCTCCTTTTTTTTTCTTTTTGAGACAGAGTTTCGCTCTTGTCATCCAGACTGGAGCACAATGGCATGATCTCGGCTCACTGCAGCCTCTGTCTCCTGGGTTCAAGCGATTTTCCAGCCTCAGCCTCCTGAGTAGCTGAGATTACAGGCATGCACAACCACACCAGGCTAATTTTTGTATTTTTAATAGAGATGAGTTTCACCATGTTGGCCAGGCTGTTCTCGAACTCCTGACCTCAGGTGATCCGCCCGCCTCAGCCTCCTAAAGTGTTAGGATTACAGGCGTGAGCCACAAACGGCCCGGTTCTCCTTTTATTATGTCCAGAATTTGGACATAACATCTTCTTTCATCAAGAAAATGGTACATTTTAATTTGTTCTGCTTTCCCTCTTTGGGGTTAGTGTTTCATTTGTCATGAATAGTTTGGATGGTAGATAACCATAACTTGAATAATAAAAGGAAAATAAGTTTTTATAAAATAATGTTAAAACAGGCCCAGTCCTTAATCTCATAGTGCTTATACTAGACACTTAGAAGAATTTAAATATATCCAAAGGCCACTGAAATGTTCTATAATCATTTTAATAGTGTTTCAACAGTGTATTCTATATATAAAAAAATACATTAGAAAAGGTTCCTTTTCTCCTGCTTAACATAGTACATGATCACAAAATACATGTATGAAAAAACAGCATGTAGTTTCAAATATCTTTAAAACAAGGATAAACAAGAGACCTTTTTAAAAATGTTGAAATCCAATGTCTACCTGTTGAATTACATTTAAAACCAGACAGAAAATACACACTTCTTTCTGTCCTACTTCTTCAACTATTTTCCCTGTCTGGTGCATAACATTCTTAAACTGCTTAGAGGAAACTTTACACAGAGCAATGCATCATCCAGTTAGTTCATGTGGCTCTCCCTGAGCTTGAATACCATTCCAAAGAAGATACTCTAAAAGTCTGATAACTCAAAATAATATAATTTGTAAAGGCCTAGTATTTTATGGTAGGAGACTCTAGGACATAAAATAGACATTCTATTGATGAGAAATCTGAGAGTATAGAAAAAGTGAAAAGTACACCCAGCTAACAAAAAGAGTGATTTCAGGGTTGCTAGTAGGCTTTCCTTGCTTGCCCCAGAGCATTCCTATTGTGATACCATCACTCCACTTATCTCTACTTATTGATCAGTTGTCAGTTACTTTTGAAAAGTCCTAAGCACAACGTTCTGACCAGAATTCTGATGAACATAAAGTAAGTATAAGATATGTCCTTCATTTCTAGGAACTTTGAGAGTAATTGAAGAAAAGAGACACATTCATGTAATGGAAAACACCTTCTGATGATGTGTGCTGTGAGAGCAGAGAAGAGCATAATTAACACTCAGCATTTGTTAAGGGCTGAACATGTGCCTAGAGCTTTATATCCAGTCCTCACAGTCATGATCAGAGTGGCTGGGGAAGTCTCCATGGAAGAGGTGCTCAGGTGTTTGAAAGTTTTATTGACATCAAATACAAGGAAATTGTAAGCAAAGGCTTTGGTTTAAATTTGCATGTGATCTTACCATGTACTTCCTAGCCTTTTTCAGTTTATATAAGCATAAATCCACTTACTTACCAGATGTAATAATTTTATTGAATGGAAACAACTTGATAGGGTGAACAAAAAAAAAAGAGCTTTGTTTTTTCTTTCTGTTGTTCCTTCAAATATGTGCAAGGAATATTTCTTCTCTACTTTGAATGATTTATCAGGTGGGTGCCATAGTATTTCCAATCATTTTAAAATAAAACATCCTCTGGTTACCTTTTGGCACAAGAACAGTTTCATTTAAATATTCAGAACTTTCAGACCATTTATAATCACATAGCTTCATAATCTTACCTAATTTAAAGCTGCTTCCCACTGCTGAGACCTGCTATGGGCAGAAAGGCCTGTGGGGGTTGGCTTCTCTTTTGTTTTCATATCTTGCTCTATTGCTCCTCACCCAGTCTGCTACCTACAGTGTCTCATCCTCCAGGGTCTTACTAGGTAGAAAGGACTGGGGGAAAAGACCCAGGTTTACATGGTCACTACTCTGACAATCTGGAACTGGCATTCTTGGGGCTTTGATTGACACTAAAAGTACCTCTTTATGTTCCTCTGCCTGGAATCTCCAGTGACACAATTCTCGGATTGGCCTTTCTCCCACTGGCCACTTAGGACTTAAGCCAACATTTAGCCATGGGTGACTGATATGTTTGCCTCACCTGGGTTCTTTCTGTTGGGGTCCCATTGTCCCAGCCCCTTTGGAAAAATTTTGTGGCTGATTTCTTCACCTGGAAGGTGCCCATCTGGTCCACAAGAACCACTTGTACTTCCTTGACCCAGTTTTGTGTGGAAATACAGTAATCATCTTACAAGACCACTGCTACCCTTTGGATTCCTCATGTCGGAATCAGACACCAGGTATGAATCAGATTAGTTCATAATTACTTGAGATATAAATAAACAATTGCTCAGAAGTACAACTTTTTTATACCCAAATGACATAAATTTCTCTCCTGTTTTCATGAAAGGAATTTTGTACACACAGTATCCCAGGTATATTAATAGCATACAAGTAAAAGTCAAAGCATTACAACTTTGACAAAAATAAACAGAATGTTTTCAGACTTCAAGATAGAAAAATTTCTTACAAGCACAGCCATAAAGGAAGAAAACTAAATCCAGGGACCAGAAGAAATGCTAAAAATTATTATTCAAGAAAACTTTCCTGAAATAAAAAAGATTAGAAGTTACATATTGAGAGAGTTCTCCATACACCTAAAAAGATCAACCCAGAATTATAATATCAAGACACTCTACCACAATTACTGGGTTTTAATTTTTTAAAAATCCTTTGACTATTTAGAGGGGAAAAGAGCACATGATTTATAAGAGATCATAATTAGATAAACTTCAGTTTTTTTCATTAGCAATACATTAGGCTAAAAGAAAATAAGGTAACATAATTAAGATTCTCAAGGGAAAAAAGTATGTGCCAAGCACTTTGTGTCCAGAAAAACTTACTTTGTAGCAAAAAGGGCACAATGACTATGAGATCTTCCTGAAGAGCCTGCTAGAAAATGAGCTTCAGGTAACAGGTGAGCAGAACGACAGCCTATAGACTGTGCTGAGCTGCAATAGAGACTTCGTAGGAGAACTAAGACTAAATGAAGGCTAAGAGGAAGAGAAAATAGTATATAATCACTAAAAAGATGGGGACGGGGGGACAGCACATGCAAAACCTTTTACAGTGTTTTCAGTACTTCTGTTGGTGGTAGCATTAGGATTGTTATTTTGAGACTATTAAGTGTATAATATGAGATAAAAAACAAATGAGTAATTATGGAATATTATAATTCTGTCATAGTCTGTGTCCTTGAGAACCAAGATTCTCAGTTTGGAAGAAAAAAGATACAGATGTAATAGATTAGAGACTAAGTAAAAGTCCTGTAGTCTTACATTCAAACTGGAAGTATTGGATATGAACTCATGAGGTTTCTCTCTCTCACCACTCTCTTCTCTCCCTTTCTATCTCTATGTCTGTTGAAAACACCTAGAAACAATGACCAACACAGTGGTAATGACTGTCCCTATTGCTTGGATTGTGTTCTTGAAATAATTCCTTATTTAAAGAAACCAGGTCTTCTAGGAGAAACTTCTATTTCTAGGCTTAAGGAAGGAAATGTACAAGACAAACAGCTTGACATACCATGGCAAAGTAGCTATCAAACACTACCAGGGTCTCAGAAACCAAATTGACAAGGCACCCACTAGCTAAGGACAGAATAATTTGAATGGCATTCACAAGAATAATTGCAATGGATTGAAACTTGTCAAATATATTTAAATACATGGTTCATAACGATACTTTTTTAAAAAGAGCTGATTGCCTTTAGAGCATGATAAGTATATTTGTCTGTTTTCAACACTGCTGATAAAGACACACCCAAGATGACAATTTACAAAAGAAAGAGGTTTAATGGGTTCACAATTCCACCTGGGTGAGGAGGCCTCACCATCCTGGTGGAAGGTGAAAGGCACATCTCACATGGCAGACGAGAAGAGAGCTTGTGCAGGGAAACTCCCCTTTATAAAACCATCAGATCTCATAAGACTTATTCACTATTACAGGAATAGCACAGGAAAGACCTGCCCTCATGATTCAGTTACCTCCCACCTGATCCCTCCCACAACATGTGGAATTGTGGGAGCTACAATTCAAGATGAGATTTGGGTGGGGACACAGCCAAACCATATCAATAGGGAACCAATTCATTATCTTGAAAACTAATAAATAAAGTGAAAGGATGAAGTATTCTGCTTTCCTATATGAACTGTAACACTAGGTAGCCAAATAGTAAATGAGGGAAAATATCTCTGTATAAACATATTCCAATTCATAGATGAAAAAAGAATTAACATATCACTGTGTTGCAGCCTCTAATGAATGAATACATATAGGTATTTCGCATGAATAGCTGCTAATATCATTAAAAAGAAAGACAGCCAGACATTATATACCTCTTGATGGAAGCACACAACACTACCTATAGTCATGCCAAACGGATTAAACCCAAATCTTAATTCGCTCCTTGTTTTCAGAAAAACAGAAGACAAGAACAAGTTGAAATATGCAATTGAACATGCAATTTGCAAAATTCAGATTGGGAAAACTCTTGGATTTTTCAACAGATAAACTATAACAAAAATAAATTACAGATGAAAACACAAAAGACATAAAAAAATGTATGAAGGGGCAAGACCACACTTTAATGCCTAAGGATGCACATGAACACATAAAGATGCATCTCAGTGATAAAGAATGAAGAATGCAAGGAAATAATTACTGTAAAAGCCAGAATAATGGTTACTTATGGTGGGAGGAAAAGAGAATTGCAATTGGTATGGGATATTTGGAGGGGTTTGGCTCGGGGAGTTCTTGCAAAGTTTGACTTCTTGATGTGGTGGTGGTTAAAGAGTTGTTCACCTTTATTTATGAAGCCATGAATCTGTTTTGTGTGCTTCTCTGTATTTCTCCTTTATTTCACAATAAAAATAAGGTGTTGAAGAAGCATTCACCAAAAAAAAAAAACATGAGTAGAGGCAAGGGAGAATTAAGTTTAAATTTAAAATGTTGGGATACCAGCAATTATTATGCATGTTTTTTAACTCTTTGATATTTATGTAGGCTCCTTATCTTTTCTAATTTTCTCAATTGTAAAACACATCAATAAAAAATTTCACAGGGCTCCCATTACCTACAGCAAAATTTCAAACTCCTTAATATGTGGTTTCTTATCCGGGGTTCCCCATTTACCTTCTACAGATCATTTGCTACCGGTACCCCCTAGGCATCATTGGATGGACTCAGATAAAATCCTCACTATTCTTTGAACATGCTGTATTGTTTTTGTGCTTTCATGCCTTTGGATTCCCATCCCCTGAAATACTGCTATTCTTCCTGCTAAATTTAGTTTAAAGGTTACCACCTCTATGAACACTTCCTTTTCCCCTAAGCAGAATTACTTGCTTTTTTTGTCTGTTTTCCCATATCGTTTTGTACATACTTTGGCTTAAATCCTTTTGATAGATCTGTCTATATGACCCTTTCTCCTTAGTTTAGAGGTCTTGAGGAAAATATGTTATATTTATTTTTGTTTCCTCAGTCCTGGGACAACACTTGGCATATGAATGAATGAATGACTGGCTGGCTGGATGAATGAATAAGTGAATGAATGAGACAGGAATTGAGGGCTCCAAAGATATACTTCGTTGTAACACCATTGGGTTCAGTAACAAGATGCAGATTTCTAAATCAACTATGTACAAGTGAAAAATAAAGGCATGAAACTACAAAAGCTTGTTCCATATGTAATTTTTAAGTAGAACTGGACATCATGATGACTCTTCTGTGTTCTCACATCTCATGCTTTATTCCGTTAGTTTCTATGCATCTTCAACAGATCACATCATGGGATTTGGAAGAGATATTTGGGTTATTCAATCAACAGGGCACTAACTTTCGTCTTAGTCTGTTATGTTTGGTCCCTGGTTCCTTTTTTTTGCAGTATTCAATCCATCAGAAAGAGCATAGTCATGGCTCTCATAAAGTATATAACACAGTTAGATCTCTGGCTTCCTGAAGTTCTGTCAATATCTTGTGTAAAATATGAGCCAAAAAATAAAACAGGAAGTAATAAATAAAACCCTATGAATAAATATAATTAGTATCCCCATTTATTCCAATGAGATGGCAGAGGCATTGGGAGGTTAAGTAATTGGCTGAAGTCACAAGTTACCCTCTTTACATGAAATTTTGGCAAAAATTAGAATGATAATTTTATTACTGGTTTCCTGTACAGTAAGCAGAGGAATCATGATATGAACTTAGGCAGCAGCCCACTTTCATTACAGTAAATATAAGCACTGAAAAGATGATCGTTACTATGATGAAAAAAAGAAATCTCGTGACCAGCACTAGGAAGTATGAAAAACTGGAAGGCCTCTTATTTCTCAGATGTGGAATCAGTGGTGTCTTTCTTGCTAATTTAGCAGGAGAAATAAATTCGTCTGTTATAGGAAGATCTGAGATTAGAAACATTTTTAAAGATAAATTCAATACAAATTATATTAGCTCAGGGCTGCGTGTGGTGACTGATGCCTGTAAACCCAGGACTTTAGGAGGTTGAGACAAGAGATCCCTTGAGGCCAGGCGTTTGAGATCAGCCTGGGTAACATAGCGAGACCTCATCTCTACAAAAATAAAGAAAAAAAAGTTGGCCAGCCATGGTGGCACACCCTACGGTCTCAGCTACATCGGAGACTGAAGCTGGAGGATGGCTTGAGCCCAGGAGTTTGAGGTTGCAGTGAGCTATGATTATGTCACTGTACTTCAGCCTGGGTGACAGAGGAGACTGCATCTCAAAAAAAAAAAGAGTATATATATATATATATGTATATATATATATGTATATATATATATATACACACACACACACATGTATCTGTATATTGTGTGTGTGTATATATATATATATATATAATATTAGCTTAGCTGGGGAAAACTTTGATA
Organism: Homo sapiens; assembly: GCF_000001405.40. NCBI lineage: Eukaryota > Metazoa > Chordata > Mammalia > Primates > Hominidae > Homo > Homo sapiens. Next base: position 33,528,139 of record NC_000013.11, on the reverse strand, counting down.
TGTGTTTAAACTTCATCATGTTTTGAATGTTCTCTGGAGGTTCATTACACAAACTACTTTGTTGAGATATAGGACAAATCTACTACCTGAAGAATAAATGTCAAAGACAACTTTCAGTCTATGCTAGGCTCTGACATTCAGCCAATTTCATTTATATTTGGGACCAAAAACTAGTGTTACATTACTTATGGCTTTTGGATATTAATGGTCAGTTAACGGGTTCTTAATAGTATTCCAAATGTTTTAAAATATGGATATTTCTTTATAAATGTGCCTTCCTCTAGAAAATTAAACATGATGGTCTTAGTTTTCAAATCATCTGAGTAAGATTCTTCTTTGCAAATCAGGAAATTTAAAAATAGCATGCTATAATTTTAAATATTATATAAAATTTAAATTTGTATAATTATTTCAGAAATGTCCTAGAATTTTTTAAACAAAGGGGTTACCTATCTGTATTTTTATTTTTTTCTTTTATTCTGAACAGAACAGGATGAATAAAGGAATCAACTCTTTATTTCTCCTGGCTTGGACAGTCCACCACCTGATTCTTTGCTATATTTGCATCCATATAAATATCTTAACTCAGAAATTTTTTCCTAAGTTCTCTTTATATGAAATTTGGGCAAAGATTAGGAGGAGAACTTTATTATTGGTTTTCTATAATTCATAATTGATTTCCTTTTATTGCTCAATTGTATGTAGTAGAAACTATTCAGTAATGTTTATTACATTAGTAAAGTTGACTGTAGTAGACTATTACCTATTCATAGCAACCTTACAGAATGACTATAAGGATGGCATTTTTAAATTTTTTGTGTGGGGGAAGGGGTCTGGGAAAGGAACAAAGGAAGAGGTATTGTTTGAGTAATATATGAACTACAAAAAGTAAGTAATGGATAAAGACCCATAAAAAAAAAGTTTGAAAAATCAGGGATTACATTCCAAGAAGAATGAAGTTTGATGGAAAACTCTTGTTCACTTATTTTGCAATACAAAGATATTAAATTAAACCCTTAAAACTATGTATTTAAAATAATATAGAAGAGGCTAAAATATAAAAGAAAAATTCTAAGGAATAAAACTTAATAAATAATATTTTTCTAGCTGTGTCGCTTTCTTGTCAAAGAACAAAACAGTTCTCTTCTTTTGACCACTGGGGCTCCCCATTTGTAATGGTTCTAAAAACAACACTTCAAACCACTGTCATTATTTAAAATTCACGTCACATGATCCTCAGGACAGCTCAGAGACACAGGAAGTATTGTCTTCCTGTTCTCTATCTTTACATTTTCATTATTCTTTAATCAATTTACCTGTCACGTACTAACATAATAATAGTTAATATTAACTCCTCACTTAGTATGTGCCACACACTTTTAAAAGTGCTTTACCCTTATAAACTCCTTACAGTCCTTACAGTCCAGAGAGTACAAAGCATTACCACTTCTAGTTTTACAGAGGAGGGAACTTAGGTACAGAGAGAAAAAGTAAGTAGTCTGTAGTCTGTAGCTTGTTAAGTGTCAGAGCCTGGCTTTGAACCCAGAACTCTAGCTCCACAGCTGGCATTCCTAACTACTCTTTTGCTCTCTTGGTATGGTGGCTACAAAAGTCAACTAAAACTTAGGGTCCTAGGGAAGAAGCACGCAGAGAAAGCCATGGAAATAAGCAATTCGGTCTTCATTTAACAAATATGTATTGAGTGTTCACCCTGTTTCAGTTGCTGTGCTAAGTGCTCAGCTACATATTACAAATATAACTTATTTGTAAGGATTCATAGCTTCCATATTTATTTTATGAAACTAATATCTTCTTGAAAGAAAAATTAACACAGGGCATAAATGAATATGGCTGCAAAAATACCAAAGAAAACACCAGCTAACAAAATTCAATAGAATTGAAAGGAATTGCATGTCACAGCCAAGCACAGTTGCTCTCACAAGCATAAGGATGGTTTAATAATTGTGACAATTATTGCCGGCCACAGTGGCTCACGCCTGTAAAAAAAAAAAGTACACAGCAGTAACTATCAGAAAATATTAGCTACTATAATCATCACCATGTTATTGTCATCATAAGCAACATCGTAAGCAAGAGAAATATAATTTTTAAGCAGCACATTTAAAAATTCTCATCAGACTTGGCATGCTCCTGTGTACTCACATTCTGGCAGATGCCAAATCTGCCAGGCACAAGGAAGTGTTGAATAAATGTCAAAAAGTATTGTTTTACAGGCGAATTAAGATTTGAGGAACTTAGGTCCACTGTTAGGTAGCTAGTATTTGGCAGTGCTAGATTCATGTACAAGTAGGTTTATTCTACATTCCCCCTCCCACCAAAAACAACCTCTGATAATCTATGAGTAAAATTAGTTAAATAACAGATTTACATCTCCAGCCTTTCCTGCTTCCGCAGATCTGATACTTTCTCCAGACGGAATATGCCAAGACAGAACATTGCAGTAGAGGCTTCTAGATAACTTGGACATAGAGAGATGTGGAAGACTTCCAAGCAATGGGAGGAATTAGTAAAGACAAACTTATTACTTCAATTTGATAAAAATTCATCCAACTTTCTTGAAAAGAACTTTTATTGTATTTAGAAATTTTAGGATTCTCTTTATACTAATATATTAATATTTTTAAATAATTTTATTTGCATAGTTAACCTTCAGAAATATAATCTTATAAATTGTTCTCCACTATTACCACATATGGTCTGAAATCATAAGGCTTAAAAGACCATTGTGGCTCTATATGAACATCGTTTTATTATTTCAGTTTTTCAATATTACTTCAGTTTTAAAAACACATTTGGAGGCAGGCAGGGTGACTCACTCCTATAATTTCAGTGCTTTGGGAGGCCAAAGCAGGAGGATCACTTGAGCCCAGGAGTTCAAGACCAGCCTGGTCAACGTAGCGAGACCCTGTCTCTACAAAAACTAAAAAAATGTAGCCAGGTATAATGGCAAGTGCCTTTAATACCAGCTACTGGGGAGGCTGAAGCAGGAGGATTGCTTTAGCCTGGGAGTTTAAGGCTTCAGTGAGCTATGATCATGCCACCGCACTCCAGCCTGGGTGACAGAGCGAGACCCTGTCTCTAAGAAAATAATCATGAAATAAAACTAAACTAAAATAAAACACTTTTGGTGATCAAAGAATACAAAATTTTGGTTAGGCAGGAGGAATAAATTCAGGAGATGTACTGCACAACCTGGTGACTACAATCAATACTAATATACTGCATACTTGAAAATTGCCGAGAGTAGATTTTAAGTGGTCCCACCGCACACACAAAAATAAGTATTTGAGGTCATGCATATGTTAATTAGCTTGATTTAACCATTTTAAAATGTATACATGTTTTAAAACATCATATCGTACACCATAAATATATACAATTTTAATTTGTCAATTAAAAAATAAAAGATTATAATAAATACATAAAATACCTCTGGTTTTGTTTTTAAAGTTTTAAAAAATGCCAATATAGTTCTATAATTTATCTTGAGAGTTTACAATCACTTTTAGTTTATAAACTTACATTATCAAGTCCTTAGGCTTTACTGGGGCTGATCTCACTAACCAAAAATGTCTTTGGAAAAATTATTAATATTTAAGAATATTCTTACATTTTATGTCAATTTTCAAAATGATTGTAGTTTAAAAAAATTTTTATTGATGTAACAGTCTTTAATTAACTTGAACTATTGCCTAAGGATAGTCCTTTATATATGAAAAAAACCTCTTTAAAAAATTTTTTTACAGGATTCTATAAACCTGGAGAGTAATCCTAAGAAAAATCATCAGAAGAAAGGAATTTGTAGAACTAAAACTGCAAACATCCAGAATCTTGATGGTGTGCCAAGCCAAATGTCAACTGGAACTCAACCAAAAACTAAAGTAAGTTTTAGTTTTCTTACATATGCCCCTGGTGTGAGTGTCCTGCCCTGTTCATACGGTGTAATTCACCAAGGTAAAAACAGCACTGTGTTCACAAATTATCTATTTTTCTTGTTTGTTTTTTCAAACTTAACATTAGCATTAACTAGTGTTTCATTACAACATGAGAAAATTTGTAATGAGAACATATATAGTTGTTAATATTTATAAAATTAGAAAAAAATGCTCTTGCTGAAGGTAAAACGGTTAGTCCATTGTAACCATGGCAGTGGATTGTACATACTTCAATTCATCTCTTCATTTTTAGTAAAAACTTATGCTGCAAATGCAAATCTCCTTGAACTATGTTTAAAAGTCTCCCTGTCGGGTTAGTCTGTCTCCCACTGTTCGGAGATCCAGAAAAGAGGCATAAGAGTGGGAATCACATCTAGAAAACATCAGCTACTAATATTCAATCCACTTTGTTTCGAAAATTGCCTTTGTTCTACCAAGCTCAAAATAATATACAGAGTTTTGTTGTTGTTGTTGCATTTTGGGGTATATTTTTAATGAGGAAAAAATTGACCAACCTTTTCTATAGACGTTTTACAACTTTTCATTATATTTATAACTTTTTTGAATCTTTTAAATTTTTTTCACTTTTTAAAAATTGAATCTGAAAGTAGGCCTTCATAAGTCCTGACCAGTGTTAGATATAGAAGGATTTTAAGTAATAATTTGCAAGGTTGTATACAGTTGCTTATAGTTCTTGATTTTATGATGCCTTGTCTGCTTTACAATGTAAAAAGGTAATAATAATTTTACAAATAAATATGAAAGGCAAACATCATGTGTCCTTCTGACAGTAAACAAGAGAAACTTTAAAAATTACCTAGAAAGGGATAATTTAAGAAATTACTCAGCAAGATATGGGCAGGGTTAAGGTAAATCAACAATTCTAAAGTGTTGGTGGCTCAGCAAGATCTTTGACCTTCACAGAGAAATACAGCCACAACCAAACTTCTGCCTGACAAAGAAGAGGCTCAGGGAATAAATACCCAATTTCTTCCTCCTCCCATCTTCTAACCTCCTCCTGGGACTTCCTGCTGGCTGAATCCATGGAGAAGTCAGGAGGAAAGGAGCTAAGTTGATCCATTCTTTAGAAACTGTGCCCCACAGAACAAGGTGGAAAAAAGCAGAGAGTAGTTTCAGATAGTCAAATGGAAAATATTCAGCACACGTGATAATAAAATAACATTGTTAACTGCCATGATTGAACATGGAATATGTTCCACGCACAATGCTAAGCTCTCACACACATTGCCTATTTCATCCTTACAACAGCCCTGCAAGGCATTACTACCTTAATTTTCTAGAGAAAAAACCTGACCTTCACAACATGGCAAAGTTACCAGGGTAGCTATTCATGTTATGCTGAATTTACAAATGAGAAGACCAAGGCCTAGCAAAGGTAGGTGACTTGCCCAAGGGGGCAAAACCAGTACTCAAGTCTGGGTCTCCATGCTGTCTGTCACTACCAATACACAAGAGAGCTTTTGTAATGCCTTTATAAAAAGGTAATGCATATTACCAAGGGAAATAAGGCAATCTGAAAAGGCTACATACTGTATGACTTCAACTGTTAATACATGAAAAAGACAAAATTAAGAAGACAGTAAAAAATCCGTGAGTGCTGGAGTTAGGTGGAAGGAAGGATAAATAGGCAGAACATGGAAGATTTTTGGGGGAATGAAACTACTGTGTATGATACTATAATGGTGAATACATGTCATTCTACATTTGTCAAAATGAATATACAATAGAATATACAACACCAACAGTGTACCCTACTGTACACTATGGGCTTTGTGTAATAATGATGTGTCAGTGGAGGTCCATTATTTGTAACAGATGTACCACTCCAGGGTACAGTGGGCTATGTTGATGATGGGGGTGCTGTGCATGAGTGGAGCAGGTGCCATATGGGAAATGTCCGTACCTTTCTCTTAATTTTGCTGTGAACCTAAAACTGCTCTAAAAAGTGAAGTTTATTTTGTAAAAACATTGCTTTCAATTAAAAAAAGAAAAATATAGCACATCTTAATTATATTTACTGTGATCCACATTTTGTTTCTTTTTCGTAAAGAATGCCTGATAAATAGTATTAAACTTCTACACAAGACTTCCTACTTGGAACATTCCTCAGCCCAAGAAGAAAGTATTTATTAGATATTTATTGATTTTCTTAAAAATTAACAATGAAAGTTAAAAAGGAAAAAGCCATTATCTTTAGTTTAATGCTATAACTCATTGTCTATTGCCTCTTAAGGGAATGTAATTTATTAAAGAGGCATTTGGGACTTGCCTTAGCTGCTTTCCTAATAGTATTTTTTTTCATCTTGTTTCTTTGTTTTTGTAGTAAGCTCTTAATTATCCTTGGATAGATAATTTCTTTCCAAATTAGCTCATTCATGATAGGGACAGAATAACTTTATAAATTATTGTGTAAAAACATAGGGAATATTTAATTTTCCGGTCCGTTCACAAAATCATAATCTGTCAATTCTTAGTGGCACAGAGTGGAGAGGAGAAATATATATCCTCAGGTGTTAATACTGACATCTACTTATCCTCTGAACATCTTTTTCTATTATCTGCTTTCACTACCACTGTCTATAATAGGCATTCCTTCCAAGATGGTAACATGTAAACAGGCAGCATGCAAGCTGGGGCCCATGTGGCAGAGGAACCCATTTGATGCTGTTCTAGCTGTGAATCTTTAGGAAGATAGACAATAGATTCTGTTTCCCTTGCTGTTTTCCTATTCTAGAGAACAACTTCTAAAGAGTCAACTCACTTCTAATTCTTTCAACTATCATGAACTCAGAAGCTCCCACAGAGAAAAATTGCCATTGGCTGAATTTCTGTCAAGATAGAAAACAAATTCTTCAATCTAGTGTACCTTCATTCATCTGACATTATTTTCTTAGTTTCACAGGCTAGCCTGCATAACCCTATTTCAGCCATAAATTACCTGATGTGTAAAATTCACTGCCCTGTAGAACATGTCTGAGGAACATGTGCTCATTTGTGAATCTAGGCCTGACTGCCAAACAAGTGACTCTCAGTTCCTGACAAATACTGAGGGCATGGGCTCTCCCAGCTCGAGTCGTTCCCATGGGGCTAGGACTGTGCGTTGGTTGGAGATGAGACAGGTAGGTGATGGGTCCTGAGTAATGCTTATCTATCCTTTCAAGGCCACCTGTGCTCAGTGAACTTCCTAGACTCTAATTGGGGAAGCTAAGTAAGAATGAAGGAATATCTGGAGGCTTTGTAAGAGTTGAGACCTAGTGTGGGGGATAGAGATTTGACAGATGAGCCTGTACTTTAGCTGGAAAAGCCTGTACTTTAGCTATGGAAATATGGGAGAAGAGAAGCCCCAGGTGGTGGGGGCATGGGGGATCTCCTGCCTCATGTAACTTCTTCCTCGCCATTATTTCCTGCATGACAATCACAGGGATCCCTGCTTGGGATGCACAGTGGGGAAGTTCCAAGGATTTTTGGAAGAACAAAGGGATCAGAAGTGTATGTGAAGCAAATCCTCACGACAGCAGCTGTGGGGAAGGCAGAATGACTTTGACCACCAGGCTGAGGTAGCACTACCCGAGGGGCAAGCTGAATGTACACAGTGGTCCAGCAGATGAAGTTAGACTGGCCGCTATTGTTTAAAAAGAAAAGTAACGTCTTGGAGTATAAAACACAGTACTTTATACTGTGTTTATGATTAAATTAGGATGAACTATTCTAGGCTATTTAGGTCCTTATGTCTTCTGCAGCTTTGGGAACTATTTGCCAGGACTAATACCTACTAAGCCATGTCTGTGTAAAACAGCATCTGTCTCAGGAACACAGCCCAGTTGTGTGGGTGAAAATATGCAGTCACAACCGCATGTGGCCACTGCATTCTTTAGGCCTTGACTAGATATATCCACCCATGAAATCACCCCAGCTACCAGACAAACATATTTCTCCTCTGAATTATTAAAGAAGTACTTTTAAACATGGCATTTCTGAAAAATTCAAGGCTTTCATTCTGGTTTGTTTTATAGCCTTTACTGATCACATGTTTCCTCTGTCTTGAATGGATAGCAGCATCGACTGTTGCAATAAATTCTCCACTCCGCAGACCTGGGCAGCCCACACCTGTGCCAGAAATTATGCACCAGATGGCAACTGAAAATGACTGGATATCTATGAGAAGAGGATATTTAGAGAAAATACACATTTACAAGTAAAGCAAGGTATACATTTTGCAGTGCTCTTAAAAACACATTTGAACAAGTCGGCCTGCAAATATTTATGGAGTGCCTTCTCTGTGTAGACCTTCAAGAATTGCTGTTTTTGTGTTGAGTTGGCTCTATGCAGGACTTGGAAATATTACGAATACCTCATCTCTTACAAAAAGACGGGAGAAATAATGATTTCCTAATGTTTCAAGGTCTCTCCACTGTTGATTTTCTGTGTTATGAAGTTGGAACAGAGATTAAGGGATTAACCATCAACGATGCTTTCTGTGGCTTTTTAAGTTGGTCATTGCTAAAAAAATTATGTAATGGCGCTTGCTAAAGCACTTCAAGATAGGTATAGGAATCACAGTAATGAGATTTTGCAGTGGGGAAGAGATTGGGTTCAACTCTAAATGCAGCATGGGCAAGTTGGAATTTATAGCCAAGGAGGAGGGTGGAGGCCAGTGGATAAAAAAAATTCCCAGCTGGGCACAGTGGCTCACACCTGTAATCTCAGCACTTTGGGAGGCCGAGGTGGGTGGATCACTTGAGGTCAGGAGTTCAAGACCAGCCTGACCAACATGGTGATGGGGTTCCATCTTAAAAAAAAATGAAAAGGAAAGAAAAAAGAAGGAAGAAAGGAAGGAGAGAGAGAGAGAGAGAAAGAAAGAGAGAGAGAAAGAAAGAAAGAGAAAGAAAAGAAAGAAAGAAAGAAAGAAAGAAAGAAAGAAAGAAAGAAAGAAAGAAAGAAAGAAAGAAAGAAAAAATTACCAAGAGGAAATATCATCAACAGGAGTGGGAGTCTGCCTAAACCCACCTGAGAGGATTCTTGCTGAAGACAGGCCAGGGTAATCAGAAATCATCACCTGGGGGCTGGTGATGCATAATGAATCTGATCAGATATTGAGGGGCATCAGGTATGCAGGCTTGTTAAGCTGACTTAGCAGGGTTCTTGCTAAAGTGCTCAGATGGGCCTAGGAGGTTTAGATGTTTGGTCAAGCAGAGAATCTTTGTCATCATGTGCCTTGACCTTATATGACTCATGGAAGACAGGACCCATTGGAATAGCCTAGCCCATGGCAGGAGGCTCTGACCAGGGGTAGAAATAGATTTGGTTCATACACAAACAGCAGGGTCCTACAGACTTTAAATATCCAGAAAAGTCTCCATCAAGGTATGCAAAGTGCAGAAGTGACTGTGAATTCTGGCCATAAATATCAGCGTCTTGAAGTTCAGGTTCTTTAGTGATTACACAGCTGTTCCTGGAGAGTGAGTGTGACAGGTGAGTTATCAAACTGTGCCACTTGCCTCTACTCAGCCCTATCATCCTCCCCACCCTCCCCAAACAGCTGTCACCTCTTGGGAAATTTCCTTCTCTACAGTTAAGACCGCAGGACCATAAATTGGTGCCCCACCTCCCCTCCCATATTTGCATAACAAAAATGAGGTCTCCTGAATCTTTTTAGTTTTCAAATCATTTTGCTGGAGAAAACTTGAGAGGCAGTTTGGCATAGCTTTTTGAGCTGCACGAATGTTATCTTGGTGGATTTCAGGAGTAGCCACAGGTAGGCGGCTTTCTAACCCTTCATATTGAAATTAGATTGCTGTCCTTACTGTTGAGGAATACAAGCAGTGAGTCCAAAGTAGAAGGGCAATTCGATGGATAAATTTATACTTTAACACTCTTGAAGTATCTTCATTTTTAACAGATCCTGTCTTGCCCAAGTAAATCTGGGATGGGGGGTAATTTTGGCAGTGTAACAGTAAAATGAAAGCAAACCAAGTAATGCACAAGAAACTGTTTCAGAAATGGGCACAACACAGGCTGACTAGCCCTGTCTAGAAGTCTGTGCTCCTGGAAGTTGTTTCTGCTTTTTCAGAGCCTTTTCCTGCCCCCAACTTCTAGTCTCACTGATTCCCTAAAAGCTTCAAGATTGTTGTTGTTGTTGTTGTTGTTGTTGTTTGTTTTTGCCATTGTTTTTAAATAATGAGTCCCAGAAGCAGATGTAGAGGAGGAGAAAGAGTGTGGCAGGGAGCAGCCAGTAGGTAGACAGGACACAGAGACAGGGCAGGCGGTTCTCAGTACAGTCTGGTTATTGTGAGGCAGGTTTGTATACATCATGGATTGACAATGGTTTGTTATAAACATGTCTCTGTATGGATTTATTTGTCCGAAAAATATCAGAAGCGTAAAAAGAATGGCAAATCACAATTGCAAGAGTATGTCCAGCTGTTGATGGCAAACGCTTGGAAAATATCCAGCCCCATTGCTCCCTTGAGCTGGATTGATACTGCCTATGAACTTCCTTCAAGACAAACACAATCAGTTTGGCCATCCCTTTTAATTAACTCCACATTATCAGAGGAACCTTTATGCACTCCCTTGAATATCAGGACTAAATTTGTTTCACTCCATGTAGAACTGTCTTACTGGATGTAATTTTCCAGAAAGTCAATTCTGCCTTCAGGGCCAGTAGGAACATCTGTGAACATTCTGCCCCTGTTCTGCCAACTTTGGTTTAAGTCTTCAGACATCATTTTAGGAATAAGGAAAACCATTTTTTAAAATTTCTAATGGAATAACTTCAGGACCAGCATACTTGCTATATGAGTAGCATCAAATTCTTACATCTATCCTCCAGCAAATGAGGGCCAAGGAACTCTTCTTTGGTTGAGGTAGAGGTAGGCAAAACGAATTGGGTTTTAGCTGTTCAGCGGTGATGTTAATGCCCATGGGACAAAAAAAGAGGGCAGGATGAGCTTGAATAGGGTGGGGGGAACATTGTGATAAAAACCTATGATGCAGAGTTGAAAGTTCAGCATTGCCCATCAAACTGAGCCCCATAGGTAATTTAAAATATTTTAGCAGCCACTTTAAAAAAAGTAAAAGGAACAGGTATAATTAATTTTAATAGTATATTTTATTGAAACCAATATATCCTAAATCTTATCATTTTTGACATGTAATCAACACACAAAAATTACTGACATATTACTTTTTTTTCTTCTCCCTCCTTTTTTTTTTTTTTTCTGAGACAAGGTCTTGCTCTGTTGCCCATGCTGGAGTACAGTGTTGCAATCATAGCTCACTACAACCTCGAACTGCTGGGCTCAAGTGATCCTTGCTCCTCATCCTTCCAAAGTGCTGGGATTACAGGCATGAGGCACCATGCCTGGCCTGATATGTAACTTTCTTTGAGGGGTTCTAAGTCCTCAAAATCTGGTTTGTATTTTACACTTATGGCACATCTCAATTTGGACTAGCCACATCCCAAGAGCTCAGGAGGCATTTGTGGGCCATGGACAGAGAAGCTCTAGGTGGTAACCCAATAGGAAGGACTTTATGATGACCAAAGCCATTTGTTATTGTTTAACCAATAAAAAGATAATCTTATAGAATCTAAGTCAGAGAGCATTAAAAAGAATAATGAGAAAAAATTAAGCAAATTAACTTTGGATATGGATTCCCAAGAAATAGCCTGGCAAAGGAAGATTTATTTGACCAGTAGAGTTTACTGAATAGGCTTCAGATGCATGTAAGGGGATATGTTTTTTTACTTTGAATTAAAATATGATGATGGAATTCATTCAAAAATGTTCTCGGTGTTCTTAAGGTAAGTAAGAAAAGCTGAAACTGATATGCTTAATTATTGCCCTGGGTTTCAGTAATACTCCAACTATATATGAAATTTCAACTATATATGAAATTATATATAATTCATTATATTATGAATTATAATGAATTATAGATACTGAATATATATTATGACATAAATATATATAATTCATATATATGAATTATATATACATTATATATTATATATAAATTATATATAACACTTCTGAGAGTGTTATATATACAAAGTTAACATATATGTGTGTGTATGTGTGTGTGTATATATATGTGGATATATATATAAAAACTGCTTTGCTAAGAGTGAAAGTCATATGCATACCTGGGTTACTGTCATTGGCTAACGAAAGGCTATATATACTGTGGAGATAAGCTATCAGATAAAATCCATCATCACAGAGAATCGCTAATTGTCAGAAACTTGCTCCCCAGGTGGGCAACAGAGAATTAGTGGAGATGAAGAAGGGCTGTCTTTCTGTCGAAAGCATCTTAGATTTGTTTTATCAAAACATTTACTACCCATCTCTACAGCCTTCAGCCCATTACTCTCATTATGTATTTAGTGTGAGGACATGTACTGCTCAATAATTAGTTTTATCCCTCACCGTGGACTTTCAGTGGCTTCATAAAAGTGATAAATGGTTCTTCTTGGACACGCAAAATAAAGATTGGCAGGCAATTTAAAGTTAAGATTTCCCAGTAGAACCATCACTACCAACAAGCTGATACACTGACTCTTCTATATTCTGAGAAATGTTAAAATAAGGCCAAGATTTTTATGGTCCCCACTTTCTAGTGCCCCAGAGGCTTTCCTGTCCTTCATTTCTCCTGTGCCAGCTATCTCTGCACTTTCCTTGTTTCGTCTCCTTGGAGAACACGGACAAAAGTGGATGCTCCTAAAATCCTTCATTTCAAGAGGCTCTAGGTTTTGCTGAGACAATTGCTTATGTGAGAAAAATTACTTTCTTGGGAAATGGCTTAGGAAGACACAAAAACATTTTTACACCAGCAGACAGCTGAATTATTTGGCAGCATATCTTGTAAATCAGTGCTCTCAGAACCTTTTCTAAATAGCCTGCTCCGCAATACTCCATGTAATTATAATAATAACTCTTCATTAGAGTAAAGGGTTTTCTCACACATTGGAGCTTTACCACAACCTTGTGAGGACATTTGAAAGATTCCACTTTTTTGATACAGGAACTGAAGCCAGAACATTTGAATAATTTGGCCAAGGTCACACAGCTGATATTTAACACATCCAGCCTCTAGTACTCTGGCCTTTACTCTACATCACCTCCTCTTCTACATCTTTGTAAGTGGTGTTTTCCAGGCCACATAACCTGGAAGCGGTAATTGTAAAACCACACACTTTCCGAGGCTCCACTCCCATTTATTCACACTCCATCTACAATTTCTGCCCACCAGTTCTAGAAGCCTTGGGCTCTTTTTCTCCCGAGGAATCTTGGTGGGAGTGGGGTGCCGGGGGAGAGGTCCACGTATGTCTAAAACTTGGATTGGTAGACTGCATCATGGCAGGCTCCTTTTTTGTTTGTTATGACTGTTTGGAATCCATGGTATCATCTGTCACTGTCCATATTGTGGTGTAGCTGAAGCCCTCCAAAGATCCTGATGCTGCCCCTGTGTTTTGCTCTGTCACTTGCCTGGTCCAGCTAGAGGCTGTTCTAGCGTGCAGCTGCAAAGGTAACAGCAGAGTAGGAACATGCCCTTGGTCCCACCCTACCCTCCAGCCTCCATTGTGGCACCTACTGTTAAACACTGCCCTCAACAGAGTCTTTAAGGAAACTGCTCTTTCCACTTTTACTCACTTTTGACCGCCACCCTCTCTCCCAGACCAGCTCACAGAGGCTGAGCCAGATGCAACTGGTAACTAGATAACTAGGTAACAAGCCCAACAATTTCTCCAGCAGCACCCCATGGCCGTCCTTCCTTTCGATGAGTTATTTCCCTGAGTGTCTTTAGATCCTTCAAGCAAACAGACCCTGCTGGGCCTACCCTGCTCCTCCTTCCCACAAGCCAGACACATTATCTCATTTAGATCATTAAGCTAAGACCTCTACAATTCCTCCCAAACACTGTGTCCATTTTCTCCATTACACTTTGTGAACATCTACTGAATCATAGCCAGATTTTTCTGCCTGAGCGTCAAGGTATTTTCCCAACTGTTTATTTAATCTTATTATCTTCCATGCCCTTCCATCTACTGATGTCAGAGAGAATCATGTGTGTAATGGGTATTTTCCATAAATATCAATGGGTTAACTTAGTTAATTACAAGCTACAGGTGACAGATTAGAGGCTGACTTTCTCAGGCACATTTCTAGATATATTTTATTAGAGGTTAAAATATTTTTCTCTCAATCTACAAAGCTGTTATTTATTATCAGTGTCTTTTTCATCTTGAAAATTATCTTCCTTGTTACGTTACGTGAATAAAGTTGTTGGTGGATTAGTGGGGACTTCATTAATGGGGGAAACATATTAACAGCATAGCACTGTGTTGCTATTAAACAAACCAGAATGCAAGTTGAACAAAAATCTGCTCAGAAGCTCATAATCTAAGAAAGGTTATAGTAATTTAGATCTATAAAAGCATACACAGAGACTCATAAATACATAATGGCATAGCATGAAAAAAAATCTAAACTTTGTGAGCATGAGTGCAAGTATAATAGTTTTATGTGCTATGGAATTTAAAAATTAGTCATGAGAATTGCATCTTCAGAGAGGATATGGCCAGGTTAAAAACAAGTCAGCACTCACTTCCTTTTTGGGAAAACTTCAAGAGGGAAATAAGATTTCCAACACCTTCATACTATGAGGAGGAAGAAGTTGAGGTTCATGGAAGTCAGTGAATCACGTATGTCTCTCCTCCCAGATTTGAAATCAATTGAGAAATATGTATAGCTATCAGGAAGAGAGAAAATAAACACTTTATTGCTGATAAAGCTAAATTGGAGACCACGCCTCAGACCCCAAGTGTCTTCTTATTTTCTTCTACTCTTATCCCAAATAGAACTCAGTGATCCCAGGTGAGTCAGCCTGTGTGAAAGAGAGAGGGGCTGAGCAAGGATCATCAAACAGTTCTCAAAGGAGAAAGACAAGGAGAATAAACCTCATATGCCTGGTGACCCTTTACCCTATCTCACTCATCAGATAAGTCAACAGTCAGCACATTTTCTGTAAAGGGCCAGATAGTAAATATTTTAGGCTTTGAGGCCATGTGGTTTTGGTTCCAACCACTCAACTCTGCTGTTGTTGCATGAGAGCAGCTGTAGACAATATATAAACAAGTGAATGTGGCTGTTGTTATTATTTTACTAGGGTTGCCATAACAAAGTACCACACATTGGGTGGCTTAACCAGTAGAAATTTACTGTCTTACAGTTCTGGAACTAGAAGCCTGAGATCAAGATATGCACAGGGTTGGTTTCTTCTGAGGACTGGGAGGGAGAATCTGTTCCAGGACTCTCTGGTATCTTCTAGTGGTTTGCTGGCAATCTGAGCTTTCAAGAACCTGGGATGAAGCTATGGTTAGAGTGAAAAAACGGCCGAGCGCAGTGGCTCATGCCTGTAATCCCAGTACTTTGAGAGTCCGAGGCAGGTGGATCACCTGAGGTCAGGAGTTCAAAACCAGCCTGCCCAACATGGCGAAACCCCATCTCTACTAAAAATTCAAAAAATTAGCCAGGCGTGATGGCGGGCACCTATAAACCCAACTACTCGGGAGGCTGAGGCAGGAGAATCACTTGAACTCTAGAGGTGGAGTTTGCAGTGAGCCGCAATCACGCCACTGCACTCCAGCCTAAGCGACAAGAGCAAAACTTCGCCTCAAAAAAAAGAAAAAAAGAGTGAAAAAACATAGTAAATTTAAAAAGCACCTGTCTTTGCTCTAAGGACTCTAACACTTCTCTAAGACTCTTAATCTTGAAAGCTTTTAGTTATGCATTTTAACAGTATTTATTACTCCTCATCTTGTAAGAAAAGCAAGACTGATTTGCATTGTAAAATTTTGCTCACATATAATAGGATTTTTAGTGCATGTAGATATCACTTTAATCAGCAGTCCTCTTTTGGCACTTAATCTCCTAAGATTGATCTTAGTCTTTAGTTTCCAGTGGCTTGCTGTGTAACCTTTATTTACAAGATTTTGTGAGTCAACTGTTAATTGGGAAGAGTGGTCTTAAGGGACATGCCACCCACCACACTTTCTTCTGGAATACATTCTCCAAAATCTGCTCAAATACCAAGCCACATTACTAAAAACAGCCTGTGTCTCCTTCCTTATTTCAAAGTCTCCATCCAAATTGTCTTCATGGATTTACAATTAAACAAGTGCCTCTGAGCTTTAATTAATGGCCAATTTTTTTTCTATAAGAGCTGTGAAAAGAGCATTTCTGCATCTTTTATGAAGCTTCTGTTAAAGACTCAATTTTATTACATGGGGCTAGTGTATAAAGAGCTAGGTAATTAGTTATTTTTAAACTTTAGTGATAGAAGCAAGTAATCTCTCCTAATGAAGTATTTCCTTCAATTAAGATAACCATGGTACGGAACTTTTTGATATCCATTTTGCTTTGCCTTTTCAGAAGCTCAGCGACCAGTTTTGTACTTGACTCTAGTGGGGAGACTCCGCCTAGGATTTGCAATACAACTTCCTCTTCCTTCATTTTATTATTTGGATCTTTTAGTTTTTAATTTGCTTTAGTGGTTTCATTACATAGTACCTTTTATTGCAAAGAGACACAAAAAATTTTTAAACGTAAGTAGGATACAAATAATAAATAGTAAATGGTTGGCTCTCATCATCACTTTGTCCAGGGGAATCACCCTCTAATACAGATCTTTGTGACCTTAGCTACCTTTTAATGCCATCTCAGTTTACAGTGATTTTTTTGTTTTCCCTACAGATTTTTAAATCAACAATTCCTGTACTGAAATGTTACATTTGTTAAATAAATAAATATATCTTGGACTGCAGAAATACAGCAACTTTTTTTTTTTTGAGATGGAGTCTTGCTGTGTTGTCCAGGCTGGAGTACAGTGGTGTGATCTTGGCTCACTGCAACCTCCACCCCCCAGGTTCAAGCAATTCTCCTGCCTCAGCCTCCCGAGTAGCTGGGATTACAGGCACACTCCACCATACCTGGCTAATTTTTTGTATTTTGAGTAGAGAAGGAGTTTTGCCATGTTGGCCAGGCTAGCCTCCAACTCTTGGCTAGTCAAGTCATCCGCCCACCTCAGCCTCCCAAAGTGCTGGGATTACAGGCATGAGCCACTGCATCTGGCCAACATCAGCTTTTAAACAGAAAAAAAAAATTTAGGTGTCAGCTCAATTATTTCTCTTTGAAAGAATTTAAATGAAATAGAAATTATTTTAATTAGCTGTTAGGATTATTTGGCTTGTGAACTCAATTTCAATTATTTGGCTTGTGAACTCAGTACACAAAAATGTATTTATTGACTCAAATAATTTGGAAAACCAGGGCTTATCAGTCCAGCTTTAGATATGACTAGATTTAGAAGTTCAAAATAATTTTCTCTGCTTACTAAACTTGAAGTTGGCTGCATTATTGGGCAGGCTCTCCCCACAATGTGGCAAAAATGACCAGCAGCAGTTCCTAGTTTATGTTGTACTGGCAGCTGGAATTTCTAGTAAAAATAAAAATAAAAAGTCAATTTTTCAATAGCTCCAACAGAAGACCCAGGGAGAGCTTTTATTGTCCTGGCTTTGGTCATGTGATCATCCCTGGATGTAATCACCATGAATGAAGAAATCCAGTACTTTATTGGCCAGGTTTCCATGATAGCAGCCCTAGAGCCAGGAGTTCTAGAGCCCCACCTAAAGAACTTGGACTCAGAATGGGAAAAAGCTCCTAAAGAGCTGAACAAAGCACAGGTTAACTATGTCTCTCATTATCTTTCCATCCCTTGGCTGCCCAGTATCCATATGAGCCTTCTTTCTATTTATAAAATTCTCAAAGTGGCCCTTGCAAATATACCTCTACCAGAAAAAATTCCCTACCTTCACTCTAAAGGGAGACTATGCTTAGGCTCATCCAGTTACTGCTTTCAACTTCAATTCCAGAATCTCTAAGTTATGACATTTTTTTGGTTGGGTCTAAATGTAGCTCATCGTGGCTTGGCAACCTCTGGCTAAAAGATAAATTTAGCACTGCCACTTCACATTGGTAGAGAGAAAATGCCATCACTGCAATAAAACTTCCATTTGGAAAAGGCGAGAAGGGCAACCACTGAAGATTGATCTCAAGTCCATCACAATGATCTCATGCTGCTGGGCAAAGAGAGCAAGGACTCTCTGACCTGGCAGTGGAGGGAGTTCTTTGTTCAGGAATCTGGCTGGCCCTTCACTGCTTTCTGGGAGGAACTCCCTTTCCTATTGTCCTGCACAGCTATGCGTCAGATGGACACCAGGAAGTTCCTGTTCTAACAGCTAGAACATTTTAGTTCCTCCTTCCTGTGGGTGTGGGTTTGGGCACTGAAAATTCGCCCTACGAGTTAGGCATTCTCTGGGCTGTTTGCTGAGCCTTGGCATTTCACTGGCAATGCCACAGCCTCTCCTGACAGATCTGTTGGCTGTTGCTCTGTTAATTTCTTGGATACTCCCTACAGTGGTAACAAAGCCAGAGCTTTTGTGGAGTCATGGCCCATCAGCCTGGTTCCAAACCTCACTGATTCTCCCTCTTAGCAATCAGCCTTTATGCTCTACCCCTCTCCCTAGCCATTTGGGCCTCACACTTGGAGGCAATGGGCTGAAATCACACAGATCCTCACCCCTCAGTGGTGGAATTCCTAGGGATGGCTTTTGGAGTAGAATTGTACCTGCTCTCTTTGAATGTACAGCAGCAAGTGTTTGGAACCCAGATCCCTGGTTGACCAGGATCCCAATCTCTTTTCCCGTTATGTTTCCTGCTTGTACTAAATTTAGCATGGGGCAGAGATTTACACATCCTAAAGGCCAATGGTTATCTGCTGTTGGCCATTTTGGAGTGCCTGGAGCAGGCAGAAAGGATGACTCTTAGGAAGGACCAAATCCCTTTTCCTCTTTCCTTCTGCAACTGCCAGATGAGGCTGAAGGTCGTTCCTTTCCTATATGGTCTTACTGAAGGCCAAAAGAAGTAGCCAACAACCTCCAAAATTCTGGCATCTTTTTCCTGATTCCATAAAACTTGATATTTACAGTCAAGTCATGCATTGCATAATGATGTTTTAGTCAACAACAGAGTGCATCTATGGTGGTGATCCCATAAGATTATAATAACATATTTTTACAGTACCTTTTCTATGTTTTCTATGTTTTCTATGTTAGATATGTTTACATACACAAATACTTAACCATTGTGTTACAGGTGCCTACAGTATTCAGTAAAATAGCATGCTGTACAGGTTAGTAGCCTAGGAGCAATAGGCTATATCATATAGCTTAGGTGTGTGATAGGCTATACCATCTAGGTTTGTATAAGTAAACTCTAGAATGTCCCCACAATGACAAAATTGCCTAATGATGCATTACTCGGAATTTGTTCCTGCTGTTAAGCAACACATGACTGTATATGATTTGAGTTCTGATACACATTAAGCATCTTTCATCTGGCGGCTTTGCTGTCAACAGCATTTGCCTTTTTCCCAGGAATGGGGCAGTCCTCCCTCTCACCTCAGCTTATCCAGTGTCACATTTTAAGAACTGTCATTTACAACACTCCACTTCCAGCTATCAAATACTGTATTGGTTAGGGTTCGCTTCAGTGCAAATAATATAAATTCAGCTTATAAAAGTTTAAATAGAAGGAATTTCTTGGCTTCTCTGACTAGAAAGGCCAAAGATGCAATTGTCTTCAAGCATGTTGGTTACAGAGTTCAGTATTATCAGTATACATTTTTTTCCACTTGTCCCTACTATCTATGTTGGCTACTCTGTAATTGTTTTTCCACTTGTTAGCAAAGACAGCCACCAGCAGCTTCAGGCTGCATCCGCAGGGTTAGCAACACAACCAAAATTGTAAATACAAATATTCCTTTGTTGGCCTGTCTGGGCCACCTGACCAGTTTTTTAGGAATGTAGTACTATACTTAGCAAGTTCTGCAACACATGCCAGCTTCCCCTGGATCCAGAGAGTAGGATCAGCCACTTGCAGTGAGAATGGCAGAGGAGTGGTTTTCCTGAAGAAGATGCTAAATCAAAAAGCCTGTATTCCCTACCTTAGGCAAGTGACTTGAAAGTTGGGAGGCAGATACCTAAACACACTTTAGTCTTAGTTACATATTATCATGTACAATTGACCCTTGCACAACACGGGCTTGAACTGCACAGGCCCACTTACGTGTGGATTTTCCTCCACCTCTGCCACCCCTGAGACGGCAAGACCAACCCTCCTTTTCCTCCTCCTCCTCAGCTTACTCAACAAGAAGATGATGAGGATGAAGATTTTGTGATGATCTGCTTCCACTTAATCAATAATAAATATATTTTCTCTTCCGTATGATTTTCTTAAAAAAAATTTCCCTAGCTTACTTTGTTGTGAGAATACAGTATATAATACATACAACATATAAAATATGTGCTTGTCAGCTATTTATATTATTAGTAAGGAATGCAGTCAACAGTAGGCTGTGTTAACAGTTAAGTTTTCTTGGGGACTCACAAGTTATGCTTGGATTTTTGACAGTGTTGGGGGTCAGCACCCCTAACATGTGCCTTGTTCAAGGGTCAATTGTAATTATTGAACACACATTCTTTCTATAGCACAGTCACTCTCATACACTTTGGCCTCAAGAGCCCTTTTAACCCTTAAAATGTATTAAGGACCCCAAAGAGCTACTGATTTTGTGAGTCCTTAATATAATGTTTACTTTATTAAACATTGAATCAGAAATTTTAAAATTGTTTCATAATTTTATTTAAAATAACAATAATAATCCCAAAAAGTTAATGTAATTAGAATATTTTAGTGAAACATTACTATATTTTCAAAACAAAAAGAATTATTGAGAAGAGTTTTACATGTAAAAAAAACCTGGTTGCTTCATTACTATTTTTTACACTTTTGCAAATTTCTGTAATATCTGACTTAATAGCAACTGAATTTTTATATCTGCTTCTGCTTTAGTTCATAACTATGTTGTTTGTTTTGGGTGAAAGAGAATCTGGCATTATAGTTATGTAGTTGGAAAAAGGAGAAGTATTTTATTTTATTTTATGAGACAGTCTCATTCTGTTGCCCAGGCTGGAGTGCAGTGACAGGATCATGGCCTTCTGCAGCCTTGACCTCCCAAGCTCAAGCGATCCTCTCACCTGAGCCTCCTAAGTAGCTGGGACTACAGGCACATACCACCACACCTGGCTAATTTGTAGAGACAGGGTCTCACTATGTTGCACAGGCAGGTCTGAAACTCCTGGGTTCAAGGGATCCTCCCATCTTGGCCTCTCAAACTGCTAGAATTACAGGTGAGAGCCACCAATCCCTGGGCAAGAAGTATTTTAATAGCCTTTTTAGATAATTGTATGTATTCTTTTATACTATACCAAAACTCAACAAGTGGTAATTTCTGCATATGTAGAATCTGAACCCATACCAATGAGCTTTTCATATCTTTTTACATTAAAATCCATTGGTCAAATTTGCCCTTCGAATGTATCTTTTACCTATGAATGATATTGTATCAGCATGCCTTGGTTGTTTGGAAAATATTGGTACACTGAGTTATGCAGATCTTCCACTTCTGAGACACTTCATTATATGACATCAAAAATATCACATCCATTTGGATCAACACCATTTTCAGAAAAGTCTCTAAGTCTTTGGAAGCTGTCAAGCTCACAGTGGTGAATACAAATTTTCTAAGCTTCTAATTTTCTCTTGAAAGCTGGAGTTATGTTGTTGACAAGAAAAATTGTCAGTGATAGGCTTACTTTATTAATTTTTGAGAAAATGTCTGCCAAACACCCACATCTGAATAAGTATAGTTTGTTAGTTGTTCATTCAAGGAAAAATGGTCCTTCACAAAAAAAGTACCTGATTCAGCTTGCAACTCAATCACACATGCTTTTCCTCAAGTATTTTCCTTGCAAAATGCAAGGAAAGTGCTTTAATGCTTCTTTCTTATGTTGTCACACAAATATTAAAAATATGTACTCAGGCATTGAGATTTAAGAAAACAAATTTTTACTGCTTCATCAATAACCTTCTTAAGTGAAATTTGCACTGTATTTTTCCCCGACAAGTGCATGTCACTGAAGAGTACAGTGACTATGGGTACAGTTGGGGGACACTGCTTTGACTTGTGCTGTGACACCAACGGTTTTACCCAGCCTTGTTTTTGTACCATTAGTAAATATTTCAACATGGTGAAAAAGGCAAATGACATCTCAGTAGTATAAAGAAAATAATTTTGACCTTGCAAACCCCCAGGAAGGGTCTCAGAGATGCCCAGGACTCTGCAGACCACACTTTGACAACTATAGCTATATCATGTAAGAACTGAAATAAATATATTTGTGGAGGACCCACCATAAAAGGACTCATGAGCATGAGGTGCTATTTTGGCTTGGCCATTGTTTTCTATCTGTTATTTTTGTCACTGTAACAATGTATGTCAAACTAGACTTCGAAATACTTTGTTCTAAATTTTCATGAAAGTTGGGGATAAAAAATTTAACAAAAGATGTAGTTAAATCAGAAGACATTGCTCTTCGGCAGATTTGTTTGCCAGACAAATTTGAAAATTGTCTTTTCTTTCAAAAGACGTTTTGTTGTTTAAGAATTATTTAAAAGGATAATATTAATGTTTTGGTATTATATTTTATATCTGTGCAAAACCATATATAATTTTTCTGGCTTATAATATTTAATGTCCTACTATATATAAAGATTCATTTTTGTGAAATGACTTTTTAAAAAATGTGAGTTAATTCTATATGAATTTTTAATTACTTATTGTATTATATACTGAATTATTTTTTAGTACTAGAGAAACCTGAGGATGGATTCCAGCCATACCAATTACCAACTAATGAATCTTCAATTTTTACCTCCCTTATTCTCAGTTTCCTTATTTGTAGAACATTTGGGACATTTTTCTAAGAATGGTGTAATGGTATAATAAATGTGAAACTTAGTGCTTTGCTGACCACATTGAGGACACTCAATAAATGTTTATTTTCTTTCTGCCATCAACTTACTATTCCCAGTCTCTGCTTACAAGAGCAACAAGCACGGGGTTGTAAACTCACAGACTTAGGACAGGGAGTGTTGGGCTCCTTTATTCAGTTCTCACTGAACACCCAAGCTGCTATGAGTTGTACTTGGGAAGCAGGCTTTCTTTCAGGCAGAATAATATGCAGGCTGTAGCTGAAGGACTTTTCTGCAGAAGTAAGACCTTTCTAGCAATGCCTCAAATAGAGCAACTATTGCTGCCATCTTCGTGGTGTAATTTATTTTTTATAAGAAGATATGAGGCAGTGCACAGTGGCTCAGGCGTATAATCCCTGCACATTGGCAGGCCAAGGCAGGTGGTATTCTTTTTATTTTTTATTTATTTTTTGTTATACTTTAAGTTCTAGGGTACATGTGCACAACGTGCCAGGTTTGTTACATAGGTATACATGTGCCATGTTGGTGTGCTGCACCCATCAACTCGTCATTTACGTTAGGTATATCTCCTAATGTTATCCCTCTCCCCTCCCCCCACCCCATGACAGGCCCCAGTGTGTGATGTTCCCCACCCTGTGTCCAAGTATTCTCATTGTTCAATTCTCCCCTATGAGTGAGAACATGCGGTCTTTGATTTTCTGGCCTTGCGATAGTTTGCTCAGAATGATGGTTTCCAGTTTCATCCGTGTCCCTACAAAGGACATGAACTCATCCTTTTTAATGGGTGCATAGTTTTCCATGGTGTATATGTGCCATATTTTCTTAATCCAGTCTATCATTGATGAACATTTGGGTTGGTTCAAAGTCTTTGCTATTGTGACTAGTGCCGCAATAAACATATGTGTGCATGTGTCTTTATAGCAGCATGATTTATAATCCTTTGGGTATATACCTGGTAATGAGATGGCTGGGTCAAATGTTATTTCTAGTTCTAGATCCTTGAGGAATCACCACACTGTCTTCCATAATGGTTGAACTAGTTTACAGTCCCACCAACAGTGTAAAAGTGTTCCTATTTCTCCACATCCGCTCCAGCACCCATTGTTTCCAGACTTTTTAATGATCGCCATTCTAACTGGTATGAGATGGTATCTCATTGTGGTTTTGATTTGCATTTCTGTGATGACCAGTGATGATGAGCATTTTTTCATGTGTCTGTTGGCTGCATAAATGTCTTCTTTTGAGAAGAGTCTGTTCATATACTTTGCCCACTTTTTGATGGGATTGTTTGATTTTTTTCTTGTAAATTTGTTTAAGTTCTTTGTAGATTCTGGATATTAGCCCTTTGTCAGATGGGTAGATTGTGAAAATTTTCTCCCATTCTGTAGGTTGCCTGTTCACTCTGATGGAAGTAAAGCACTCCTCAGCAAATATAAAAGAACAGAAATTATAACAAACCATCTCTCAGACCACAGGGCAATCAAATTAAAACTCAGGATTAAGAAACTCACTTAAAACCGCTCAACTACATGGAAACTGAACAACCTGCTCCTGAATGACTACTGGGTACATAACGAAATGAAGGCAGAAATAAAGATGTTCTTTGAAACCAATGAGAACAAAGACAAAACATACCAGAATCTCTGGCACATATTTAAAGCAGTGTGTAGAGGGAAATTTATAGCACTAAATGCCCACAAAAGAAAGCAGGAAAGATCTAAAATTGACACCTTAACATCACAATTAAAAGAACTAGAGAAGCAAGAGTAAACACATTCAAAAGCTAGCAGAAGGCAAGAAATAACTAAGATCAGAACAGAACTGAAGGAGATAGAGACACAAAAAACCCTTCAAAAAATCAATGAATCCAGGAGCTGGTTTTTTGAAAAGATCAACAAAATTGATAGACTGCTAGCAAGACTAATAAAGAAGAAAAGAGAGAAGAATCAAATAGATGCAATAAAAAATGATAAAGGGGATATCACCACTGATCCCACAGAAATACAAACTACCATCAGAGAATACTATAAACACCTCTACATAAATAAACTAGAAAATCTAGAAGAAATGGATAAATTCCTGGACACATACACCCTCCTAAGCCTAAACCAGGAAGAAGTTAAATCCCTGAATAGACCAATAACAGGTTCTGAAATTGAGGCAATAATTAATAGCCTACCAATCAAAAAAAGTCAAGACCAGACGGATTCATAGCCGAATTCTACCAGAGGTACAAAGAGGAGCTGGT
Source organism: Homo sapiens (assembly GCF_000001405.40). Lineage (NCBI taxonomy): Eukaryota > Metazoa > Chordata > Mammalia > Primates > Hominidae > Homo > Homo sapiens. The sequence continues at coordinate 33,502,958 of NC_000013.11, read as the reverse complement.
ACCATTCCTTCTGAAACTATTCCAATCAATAGAAAAAGAGGGAATCCTCCCTAACTCATTTTATGAGGCCAGCATCATCCTGATACCAACGCCTGGCAGAGACACAACAAAAAAGGAATTTTAGACAAATATCCCTGATGAACATTGAAGCAAAAATCCTCAATAAAATACTGGCAAACCGAATCTAGCAGCACATCAAAAACTTATCCACTATGATCAAGTTGGCTTCATCACTGCGATGCAAGGCTGGTTCAACATATGCAAATCAATAAACGTAATCCATCATATAAACAGAACCAAAGACAAAAACCACATGATTATCTCAATAGATGCAGAAAAGGCCTTGGACAAAATTCAACAGCCCTTCATGCTAAAAACTCTCAACAAACTAGGTATTGATGGGACGTATCTCAAAATAATAAGAGCTATTTATGACAAATCCACAGCCAATATCATACTGAATGGGCAAAAACTGGAAGCATTCCCTTTGAAAACTGGCACAAGACAGGGATGCCCTCTCTCACCACTCCTATTCAACATAGTGTTGTAAGTTCTGGCCAGGGCAATCAGGCAGAAGAAAGAAATAAATGGTATTCAATTAGGAAAAGAGGAAGTCAAATTGTTCCTGTTTGCAGCTGACATGATTGTATATTTAGAAAACCCCATCGTCTCAGCCCAAAATCTCCTTAAGCTGATAAGCAACTTCAGCAAAGTCTCAAGATACGAAATCAATATGCAAAAATCACAGGCATTCCTGTACACCAATAAAAGACAAAAAGAGAGCCAAACCAGGAGTTAACTCCCATTCACAATTGCTTCAAAGAGAATAAAATACCTAGGAATCCAACTTATAAGGGATGTGAAGGACCTCTTCACGGAGAACTACAAACCACTGCTCAACAAAATAAAAGAGGACACAAACAAATGGGAGAACATTCCATGCTCATGGATAGGAAGAATCAATATCGTGAAAATGGTCATACTGCCCAAGGTAATAATTTGTAGATTCAATGCCATCCCCATCAAGCTACCAATGACTTTCTTCACAGAATTGGAAACAACTACTTTAAAGATCATACGGAACCAAAAAAAAAGAGCCTGCATTGCCATGACAATCCTAAGCCAAAAGAACAAAGCTGGAAGCATCACACTACCTGACTTCAAACTATACTACAAGGCTACAGTAACCAAAACAGCATGGTACCAAAACAGAGATACAGACCAATGGAACAGAACAGAGCCCTCAGAAATAATACCACACATCTACAACCATTGATCTTTGACAAATCTGACAAAAACAAGAAATGAGAAAAAGATTCCCTATTTAATAAATGATGCTGGGAAAGCTGACTAGCCATATGCAGAAAGCTAAAACTGGATCCCTTCCTTACACCTTACACAAAAATTAATTCAAGATAGATTAAAGACTCAAATGTTAGACCTGAAACCATAAAAACCCTAGAAGAAAACCTAGGCAATACCATTAAGGACATAGGCATAGGCAAGGATTTCATGACTAAAACACCAAAAGCAAAGGCAATAAAAGCCAAAATAGACAAATGGGATCCAATTAAACTAAAGAGCTTCTGCACAGCAAAAGAAACTACCATCAGAGTGAATAGGGAGGCCAAGGCAGGTGGTTCTCTTGAGGCCAGGAGTTCAAGACCAGCCTGGCCAAAATGGTGAATTTTTATTTTTATAGAAAAATACAAAAGCTAGTCTGGTGTGGCAGTGGGTGCCTGTAATCCCAGCTACTCAGGAGGTTGAGGCAGGAGAATTGCTTGAACCCGGGAGACAGAGTGACCTGAGATAGTGCCACTGCACTCCAGCCTGAGCAACAGAGCAAAACACTGTCTCAAAAAAAAAAAAAAAAAAAAAAAGGAGAGAGAGAAGAGGAAAGAAATGTGATGTGGCAGGGTTTTTTGTTATTTTTTTAGGTTTTTTTTTTTAAGACCATAAATATTTTTCCGATAGTTATACTGTTTTTCCTTAAAAAGCAAGCATTTTATAATTATTATATGCATACTGAAGCATTATTTGAGAATCCTTAATACAAGTTGGTTATCTCCATTGTTTAAATTGAAAAACAGTAAGAGAATCAATGTCCCCATATCATGAGGAGTTAGAAACTGGAGTTATGGTTAGAATTTTCTATCTCACTGCTTTACTTCATTAGTGATGCTGCCCTCATGATAGAATTCCTGCTGTAGTTGGTTCTACTTTAATAATACTTGGCAGCTCTTGATTCCTTTTGCTGCTAAATATATAAACAAAATGTTAGAAGTCATCACAGTCTGAGGCAGAAAGGATTTCATCAAGCACTCAACTGATTGTGTCTGAAGAAATAACAACCCAAAGAGCACCCAAAATGGATTTATTTAGCAGCAAGAAAAATTTTTCATTGAACATCTTTAATACATTCTGTTCAGGTGCATTAAGGCTGATTATTAAAAAAGAACATAGTGAAATGATATGAGACAGGCATCAAATGACATAGGAAAACTTTTATAAGTATAATGATACAGAACTGTAGGAAATTGTCAATCTCATTTTCCTTCTCTGCTGGTTTTCTAATCCTTAGCATTATTTCAACTATGTTTTTAAAAATTGCACAATTAATTTTAGAAGTCAAATAATGTAAGTTAGAATCAACCAATAATTTCATTTGAAAAGATGGCTGGCCAGGATTTCAGCAGGCCTAGGTTCTAGTCCTTACTTTCACTCTAAATTTTTCTCAATCCATTGTTATGGACTGAGTGTTCGTGTCCCTCCTTCCCAAATTTATATGTTGAAGCTCCAACCCACAATGTGATGGTATTTGGAGGTGGGGCTTTTGGGAGGTAATTAAGGTAGAGTCTTGAGGGTAGGACTTTCATGATAGGATTAGTATTTTTGTAAGAAGAGGAAGCGTGGCCAGGCACAGTGGCCTGTAATCCCAGCAGTTTGGGAGGCCAAGGTGGGAGGATTGCTTTAGGCCAGGAGTTCAAGACCAGCCTAGGCAGCACAGCGAACAACAACAACAAAAAATTTGCTGGGCACAGCAGCAGGTGCCTATAGTCCCAGCTACTTGGGAGGCTGAGGCTGGAGTATTGCTTCAGCCCAGAAGTTTGAGGCTGCAGTGAGCTATGATTGTGCTACTGCACTGTAGCCTGGGGAATAGAGTAAGACCTTGTCTCTAAAAAAAAAAAAAAAAAAAAGAAAGAAGAAGAAGAAGAGGGAGAGGGAGAGGGAGAAGGAGAAGGAGAGGAAGAGGAAGAGGAAGAGGAAGAAGAGAAAGAGGAAGAAGAGGACGAGGAAGAAGAAGAAGAAGGAGAAGAAGAAGAAGAAGAAGAAGAAGAAGAAGAAGAAGAAGAAAGAAGAAGAAGAAGAAGAAGAAGAAGAAGAAGAAGAAGAAGAAGAAGAAGAAGAAGAAGAAGAAGAAGAAGAAGAAGAAGAAGAAAGAAAGAAGAAGAAGAAGAAGAAGGAGAAAAGACTGGAGCCTGGAGCTCCTTTTCTCTCTGCCATGTGAGAATATAGCAACAAAGTGGCCATCTGCAACCCAAGGAGAACTTTCACCAGAGGCCAACCACATTGGCACCTTGATGTTGGACTTCTAGCCTCTGAAACTATAAGAAATAAATTTATGTTATTTAACCAACCAGTCTTTGGTATTTTGTCATGGCAGCTTAAGCTGACTAATATACTTGTTCAACCCACTCAACTTTTTTCAACCTCAGTTTTGTCATTTATAAACATAAGATTATCAGATTAAATAATTTCTGAGGCTCACTCTGTGCTAAAATTTGTTTTTGTTTTTGTTTTTGTTTGTTTGTTTGTTTTTTGAGACAGAGTCTTACTCTGCTGCCCAGGCTGGAGTGCAATGGCGTGATCTTGGCTCACTGCTGCTTCTCCCTCCTGGGTTCAAGTGATTCTCCTGCCTCAGCCACCCGAGTAGCTGGGATTACAGGCATGTGCCACCACACCTGTCTAATTTTTGTATTTTTAGTAGAGACGGGGTTTCACCATATTGGCCAGGCTGGTCTTGAACTTTTGACCTCAGGTGATCTGCCTGCCTCGGCCTCCGAAAGTGCTGCAGTGTACTCAAAATAGTTTTGTTGTGGTAGGAAGAATTTGAGACTATTTCAAGATTCCTCTCTCAGTATTTCTGAAGCATTGCATATGCAAATATGCAATATTGAAAATATGAAGGAGATACAATGTATGCCTTCTTTACTATTTTATAACTTGGATCATAGCTGAATGTACTCTTTACTTTTGATTCATTATTATCTTTCTCTGTACCATTTTAGCATTTTTTATTTAATACAAGAAATATTTGTATCTTATCTTGCAAAGATGTTATTTTAAATTGTCATTTAATATGTATAATTTGGACCCATTTAATAATAGAAAGCATTTAAACTCATTCAATCTCATTGATTATCTTTTCTACCCAAAGCTAATCTTATGTTTCTTTCATTATATTAATAGAGGTCCTATTACCTTATCTCTTGCCTATTACAAAAATGCAAATATTTTAAAAAGTCGAATTCATGACCCACTGCAATATTCTGAAATAAAGAGGCTCTAACAATCCCTAATGTAAAATCATTAGAGGAACTTGAATTTTGATCTATTTAACTCTCACTCATATCATTTCCATTAAAACCTTTTTCATCAACATTGGGATAACACTTTGACCCAGAGTGTGCACTTAGCAGAGGAGAATTCCAAGTTCTTATAATTGAAGGTTATCAGTTGTCATGCTGTGCTTCTAACTATTTCATATTGACTTAAGACTCAAGAGTAAATGTATTATTTTTCTCTGTTTGCAAAGAACTAGATGCTTTTAAAACTTCAATTTAGACACATGGAAGTATCAGTAGCTTCTAGTTCGTCTCTTTGAAATCAGTTCTTGGTATGACAGCTCTTTTTTATTAGCCACTATTGTAATGTCTTAGATTATGTTATGCTAGTAAAAAGTTGGTTGTTATTGATGCACATGGTGAAGGAACTCATTTCGTATTACAGAGTTTTGCATGTCTGTATTTATCAATTCCCTTGATACTAAAGTAACATAGTAGAACCACAAAAGTAATTACGTTATTTACTAAATCATTATCATTTCAGAGTTGCAAGGGTTGTATATGCCAGGACGCTCTCACACGTCTAATTCCACCTTCACCAAACCTGATACTCTCCACAATGAGTAGGGATCACTAGACCTATGAGAAGACACAATAGTACTTGGCACTTGGTGGATGTTGAAACTACAGTAATAGCTCTAGACAGACAGGGAAAGACTAATAGTGATTTTTAAAGCAGATAGTAGATAGAATAAACAAATCAGCTAATTTGGCCACCAAGTGAACTTGACAGGTTTGTATATTGAAGAGGAGAGAGAAATAAGTGGAGCAGTGTCAAGATAACTAGGAGGAGTGACTGCGTGATTTAGCTGTGATTTAGAACTAAAGGCTCATACTACCACCTGTTTACTAAATATTTTTATGATCTTGGAAAACCTTTCTCACTTCTTTATCAAAATAGAGACTTCCCAAGGTTGACATAATCATAGCTTCAACTCTGTTTGCTGATAGAGGAAATGAAATTTCAGGCTGAGTACAGCCTTATACACAGTCCTTTAGATGACTAATATTACTCAGAGAACAAAATAAACATTCAGTCTTCATGGAAAAGAAGTAGACTGTGTATTTTTGGTTACATCTTAATATTTAGCACATAACGTCAACAACATACATTTGCACATGGAGGAGCCCAGCAGATCATTTTTTTCAGGATGGTAATTAGATTAATGATTTGGGAAACTTAAAGGTCTTGGGATGTGATGGGACTCATTCTGAGGTCGTGCTAATTAAGCTAAGCCTGTCTTTTATTCTTCTCAAAATTTGGGAGGATACCCAAGGTCTATTTTCCTTGCCATAAAGAATAACCACAAAGCTGTGAAAATAAGACAAAACAGAGTTCTCTTACAAAATTATCTGTTTGTTATATACTTGAGGTTCAGTTGAGAAAAACGGTACTTGTAGGATAATTGCAACAAAACAGAGAGCAGCTTATCACATAGCCAAAATTTATCCAGAAACGAAACTATATAAAGATTTTCAAAACTCAAGGATCTAATAGAATTTGAAAATTTATCATTTGATGTTGAGACAAAATGGCATACATTTCTTCTTTGTTTAAAAAAACAGCAATGAATATGTATAAACTGTATCATCACTATCATAATCATCATCATGAAATTTAAAAGTACTCTTCTGTATGTGTACCTGTTCCAGTGTTATAGAAAAAGAGTTAAACATGGAAGCCATTTGGATGCTTGATACTTAAAAACATACTATATGTGCCTATGCATACAGGTGATTCAGATGAATTGATATTACACAAATGTCTGACCTAAACAAATTTTTATAACATGTATAAGAAGAGAAATTGCATAATCAAGTGGGATGATAAGTTAGGGAGAGAACTGTATATTAAAAATGATACCATGAGGAAGTTTTTACCATGAGGATATTATGGAAACTGACCAATTATTCTAAATAAATTAATAATAGTAATAGTAACAATAATAATGAGGCAGTGTTAGCTGCAAATGTATTTGCTATTGTAAATACACTTTATTTTTTAATAAAATAAACTGAGTTTATTTTTAATTTATAAAAGAATAAAGTTTATAATTCATATGTAAATTCTATAATGCATATGTAAATTATAAAATTTATACTATAAATTATATTATGTTTACATTAGAAATTATATAAGTATATTATAAATTATATTTAAATAAGTAGAAATTATAAAATCATAAATTAAAATGATTATAAATATATTATAAAAATAAAATTATTTAAATAATTATTTAGTTAATATAATTATATATTAACTATATATAACTATAATTATATTAACTATACATAATTATAATAATCACATATTAACTATATATAATTATAATAATTTATATTCACTATCTATTATAATAATTATATATTAACTATATATAATTAAATAATATAATTATATACAATAATATATAACTATATAATATAATAACATAACTATATATAATTATATGTAATCATTATATAATTATATATTATATAATTATAGTACATTCTAATTGTATAATATTAATTATGTAATAATAAAATGATTATATTATAATACTTGTCTGAATAAAAAATAAATTATATTAAATGTGGAAAGATTATTAGCTCAAGATGAAAATTGATTTAAATCATCCATTATAAAAGAGGCATGGAAAACAGAGAGTAATACAAAACAATTCAAAACCATGCTCCTCTTCCTTCTTACTAGCTTTATTCAAAGAAAATATATACATGGCAAGTATTTGGCAAATATTTCCATCCTGTTTAGAAGATTGGAAATCTGAGACACAAATATTTAAATATTTTACTCAAGACTAATAAGAAAGTAAGTGATCCACATGAAGAAAGTGTTCAAGCTTTCCCGTCCTTTAACTTTAGTTCATGCTGCCCCTTGTAAATGTTTATCATTTATCTTCAAGGCTTTCTCGAATAGTACCATGTATAGAGGAGCTCATATTATTTGATAAGTTAGCATTTTCTTAACAAGTCTCTAATGTAAAAGACAAGTTCAAAATTCCACATTTCCACTGAGCTGTCCACTTAAAATGGTTAAGATGATAATTGGCTTAAGTGATGTCTAAGAAAACCTAATGTGATAGAGTTCTGAATAGTTTTTTAATTGACAGGTACAATCACAAGAATGGATGAAATTGGGAAGTAAATTGGTTTCTGATATTATTCTCATGTGTTGTGTATTTTCTGAAGTATTTTTATGGTGTACATGTAGGAGCTAGAAGTATCTGGCATTACTATACTTGACAGACAAGCTCAAAGTGAGGCCCAGAGCTAGCGGAAGTGTAGGCAGGAAATGGAGTCACTGAGTCATGTCATGGGAATGCATGGTTAGTGAGCATTGATAACATTCAGACAGACTGCACTGTTGATTTTGGAAGACTTGTCGTGGGAACCCTAAGTAGAGTCTTTTGGGGGCGCATTTGTTTTTATGTTTTCTACTGTGTGTAAGTGGTCTGGACTAGTTATTTCTTTTTTTGGTGCAGCAGCAAAGAAAACCGTGACATTGTGACCTCTATAGAGTGTATCATATAATCTCTCTGGCAATTGTCCTAAGTGGCCAACTGGTCATTCTCATTGTGCTAGCTATAGTGAAATAAAAAAAAAAAGTACTGCTTTTTTGGTCAAAAAGCTATTTTCCTGAAGCCTCCATCCAGTTGCATCTGGACTATAATCTTAACAGTCAATCCTGTTGACCACTGTTCTATCTTCAGCAATCTTCTCACTGGTAGTAGACAACGACCAAATGCAGTGTGTCAAAAATAAGCCGGGAAAGCCCATGCAGAAAGGTGGGGGAGGTAGAGCAGGAGAGCCTTAAACTCTGATTGTTCTGATTATAATTCCTTTTCACGCCCATTTCGTCTTGCAAGTGGTGGTTTATTCATTCGAATCAACAAATATTTATGGGAAGCATGCTAAATGCAAGGTACTGCATTTAGGGGCTGAGGACACAATAATAAAATCACGGCTCTCCTGGAATTTAGACTAGTCAGGTGAGGAAACAATAAACAAAGTAAGTAAAATGTGTAGTGTGCTTATTAATGGCAATAAGTGCCCCGGGTGGGGGTGGAGTTGAAATAACATCAGAAAGGGGATACTGGGTGGCCGGAGTGAAGGTTTGCAGTTCTAAAGTGGTTGTTTGGTGAATGTTGCACTGAGAAGGTGGCATTCAAGTCAAATGGGAAGGAAGCATCTGCTCTGCTTCTACACTAGACCTGGAGTTCAGAAAGAATTGGAGCGCTTTCTGTCCCAGTTTCAAAGGAAACTTGGAAGTGAGCAGCTAACTCTGGGTAATCAGGTATCTTGATGAACACAGGGTTCCCAAAGTGGTTTTGCCTTTTTGGGTTTACTACTCTGTCTGATGAGAAACCCGCACCAAGTCGTTTACGGTCTCATCAGAAATGTCATTAACCTGGCACCAACCTGTGGATTTTTTTCATAGCTGTGTTCCACTCAGACCTACCTTTGACCTTGGGTGCAGCCAACAACTGGCCACTTTCTGTGAATGTACAAGTTTAAGTGTGGGGCTGAAGAGTTAGTTAGAGGCTGAGTAAATCCTAGATTTGAATTTTCTTAACTTCAATATTTGTCTTCTTTTGGATATGCATTGTTTTATACAGTTGATCCAGAAAATAGCTACTTTTTAAAAAACTAATAAACTTTAATTTTTAGAGCAATTTTATGTTTACAGAAAAATTAAGCAGAAAGTACAGCATTCCCAAATACTGCGCACCCCCACAGTTTTCTCTCTTATTAACATCTTTCTTTAGGTGTTAATATTCTGTATTATTTATTACTTATTACTAATACTCCCTATTATTTAGATGTTAGTATGCCCTATTATCTGCATTTGCTATGATTGACGAATCAGTATGATACATTATTATGAAGTAAAGCCATTGTTTACATTAGTGTTCACTGTGTTGCATAGTTCTACCGGTTTGGACAAATGCGTAAGCAGCTTTACTGATCACGTGAGATCACTTCTGTGTTCATTCTGGGACTTTGGAGGGGTTGGGATAGTTGAGTGTGATAAATCAGGCCCCAGACAAGATCCCTGAATCTAAAGTAGGGGTTGTGTGAGTGTCTGAGCCTTGGTTCCGCAAGGAGGCTCTGTTGTGATAATGGGTTTATGGTTCCTAAAAGTCAGGTGATCATGGCAAACTTTTTAGCTGTTCCACCCCTAATCACACACATTGCTGATTCCCTCTGGAAAATTTAACCTGCTTGGAAGTCCGTACATCTCCCAGCACCACAGAACCTTGTTCGACAGAAGGAGGATACTTCAGAAAATCTATGCAGTAAGAGATGCCTGTTCTTTTGTTGTGTCATATTTGAAGCAGTTGAATAGTCAAAAGTGCACTTAGCATTTGAGTGACTTTGGCAGTTTAACCTCCATGAAACTCAGCTTTCTCGTTAAAAAGAGACATAATTGTTACTGGAAAGGGGTCCTGATCCAGACCCCAAGAGAGAGTTCCTGGATCTCGCACAAGAAAGAATTCAGGGTGAGTCCAGAGTAAAGTGAAAGCAAGCTTATTAGGAAAGCGAAGAAATAAAAGAATGGCTAGTCCATAGACAGAGCAGCCCCAAGGGCTGCTGGTTGCCCATTTTTATGGTTATTTCTTGATTATATGCTAAACAAGGGGTGGATTATTCATACTTCCCCTTTTTAGATCATATAGAGTCACTTCCTGACGTTGTCATGGCATCTGTAAAATGTCATGGCCCTGATGGAAGTGTAGCAGTGAGGATGACCAGAGATGACTCTTATTGCCATCTTGGTTTTGGTAGGTTTTGTTTGGCTTCTTTACTGCAACCTGTTTTATCAGCAAAGTCTTTATGACCTATATCTTGTGCTGACTTCCTATCTCATTCTGTGACTTAGAATGCCTTAACCATCTGGGAATTCAACCCAGTAGGTTTCAACCTCATTTTATCCAGCCCCTATTCAAGATGGAGTTGCTCTGGTTCACACGCCTCTGACATAATACTTAACTCAGAATCAATGAAATAAGCTCTGGGAAGTACCTAGATCTGGTAGACATTCAGTAAATGATAACTGTATTATTACAATATCTGTCAGGCCTCTGAGCCCAAGCTAAGCCATCATATCCCCTGTGACCTGCACATATACATCCAGATGGCCTGAAGTAACTGAAGAATCACAAAGGAAGTGAAAATGGCCTGTTCCTGCCTTAACTGATGACATTACCTTGTGAAATTCCTTCTCCTGCCTCATCCTGGCTCAAAAGCTCCCTTACTGAGCACCTTGTGACCCCCACCCCTGCCCGCCAAAGAACAACCCCCTTTGACTAATTTTCCTTTACCTACCCAAATCCTATAAAACGGCCCCACCCCTGTCTCCCTTCCTGACTCTCTTTTCGGACTCAGCCCGCCTGCACCCAGGTGATTAAAAAGCTTTATTGCTCACATAAAGCCTGTTTGGTGGTCTCTTCACATGGACGCGAGTGAAAACATTCAATTGTCATCATTTCACTACCAGAGGTTCTTGCATTTAGGTTCCTCAGAAGAATCCTCTGGGACAACAGGTTTCAAACCTTATTCCTCAGAACTCTACAGCTCCTCATCACATTGTGTGAGGTTTAATGGAGAAACAGATTAGGCTGGACTCTAGATTTCCATTTTATTATTTATCTCTAAGGTTGTAATGTGCAAATAAAGTTTATAAACCATTTTTTTATGAGAAGTGGTTTTAGACAGAGATCCTTGATTGTATTTTATAAAGTCTACAACAGAGTGAGGCTAAGTTCTTGTACTTTCTTTTCAACCCCCAAGGTCTCACAGATCACTGATGAAATGTACCATATAGACTCTTAGGAATTTTTGCTAAATCCTTTCATTGGATTTTAAAAAGAAAAAAACAAAGAAATGAACAAAACAATAATCTTGAAATTTTCCAGATTAGAACACGTTCTCTCCTAATACATGATTTGGGATTTCTTTTCTTAAGGGACTGCTCTGATCTTAGACAATCAAATCATCAATGTTTTCAATTTTATATTAATGTCTCCTAAGCTAACTCAGCCCTCACATTCATTTATTCAAAAATATTTGTTGAGTGTCTACTGTGGTGCCACGTACCAGAAATACCATGGAGAAATGTTTTCCGTTTTCTACCTGGCATTTTTCCAAGGTCTGTTATCCTTTCAACAGTTCAGTTCAGCACAGAACTTGCATTTTAATTTTCATTACAAACAGCCTGCCCATCTACCACTGGCACATTCTCTAGCATGTCATAAGCAAGTCACATGGCCACATAGTATTGAAACGGGAGACTTCCCTGACTCCCTTTACAGGATATGAGACAGGGGTATGGCTCCCTTGTTCGGTTGCCCACTGCTCAGACCCCTTGTGAGAGGAGGAGCATGCAGATGGGCAGGTGCAGAGGCCAGGGCGAGCACTTTGGGCTCTGGCCCCATGGTAATGTCTAATGGTGGGTGCCTGCAACCTCAGTGTTACAAAGCTCTTTCAGCTTGGCCACCCGCAGACGGCTTGAGTGTTAATCAGCTCAGTGGACCTTCTGCCTTTTCGCAAGGGCAGAGGGCCAGTGTGACAGCTTCCTGTATCCCGAGCTCTTGTCCAGTGTCCCGGAAAAATTGGGTCACACACGGACTGGAAGGATGAATGTGAGGTTTTATTGAGTGGTAGAGGTGGCTTTCAGTGTGGTGGATGGGAAGCTGGAAGGGCGGGGGCTGGGGGATGGAGTGGGAAGGTATCTTCCCCTGGAGTTGGGCCACCCAGCGGCCGGAGGCAAAACTCCTCTTGCACCACCCCCAGCCAAACTCCTCTCAGCATCCAGATGCCCCTACTCTTCTTTCTCTCTGCCGCGTTGTTCCACTGTCGGTCTGCTTGCCTCCTGTGTCCTCACCTGCTGGTCTGCTCTGGAGCTTGGGATTTGGGGTTTATGTGGGTGCAGGATAGGGGATGTGGCGGACCAAAGAGGAGCGCGAAAACAGGAATATTTGTTCTCATTTAGGGCCATGAGTATCCAGGCTTGAGGGTGGGGCCTTTGCCGGGGAACTGCCTTCTTCTACCCAGTATTTCCCTGTCTCCTGTCCATATCAGTATAGTACATACCTACTAGCATCCTTCAATTTGCTATTTCAAATTAATTCCCCAGCGCAAAATAAGCATGTGGAATTCCTTAAAACACATAAAAAAACAAATTTTTGAAATCAGGTTGTAAACTATTGTCATTAATTCCATTTATAATTGTATCAGATAAAATTCTGTTAGTGGTTATTTAAACTTATGTGAAAGTTTAAAAAAAATTTACTTAATGAGTAATATTATTACTTTATGTCACAACCATTGCTTGCTTAACATACAGTTTTTCCTTAAGCTCAAGGTTATCGATCCATTTGATTTTTTTCCTTTCAGCAATGTTCCAATTTTGAAAATGATCTCAAAAATGATTTCTACCCCTTTTAGAAGAAAGAATACAATGGGTTACATTTCTGGTCTGGTAATTCTCTGAGAGTCTTCATGCAAATAATGAGAACTTGCAAAATGGGCAGAGATAAAGAAAAGAAAACTTGAAGTGATTAGCCCCATGGTGCGTCGCTGTTTCTTGAGCTTTTCAAATGCAAGCCACCATTGTTCAGATTAATAAAATTAGCACATTCCATTTTGGCCGTAGAAGCTGGATAAGTAAATTACTTCATACTTTCCATTAAACTCTAATTTAAACACTTTGAAAAGAAAGTATAAAAGGAAATTTTAATAGGTACATTGTTTTCAGATGTCTATATCCTGTTTTTTATTAGTTGATTGGACTTGACCCACATAAAAGTAACATTTAATTTCTCTAAGTCATGTATTAGACATTGGTCAGAGAAAGAAAATGAAGAATAATATGATGGCTTCTTAGCTTTTATTATAACTAAATAGAAAAATATCTGAATACTGGACCACTAAATTAATTTTTAACTTGGTTTACCAAGAGATAACTTAATAACACAAAAGGCTTTACTATAGTGAGTTGCCCTATGGAAGTTAAAAGAGAAGGCAGAAAACTATAAAGGCTATATGACTACATATAGATTATATAACTTGATATTTATTTTCCTGAACTGAGAGTTGATCTTTTTTTATTAGCAATTCTAATCAATTGATTAATCATTGACCAGAGGAAGAAAACTAATAATAAAATATGCTGGTATGAACTAGTTTATTAATAGTGGGGGAAGAGATGTGAATACCTTAGAAAGATATTTAGAAGCTAGAATCATTTAGGCAGGGTGTGAAATTAGAAAGAGATGGAAGAATGAAGGGTGACTCCCAGCAGAAAGCACACTGCAGGAAGACCAAGTCCAGTCAGCAGGGTGTGTTCAACTTGAGTGTAATGAATCTGAGGGACTTGAGGGTTAACCCAGTGGAGATGATTGTTGGGGAATTAAATATGAGTCTGAAATTCAGGTAAAGAAAATGTGTTAATAAGCATGACTTAAATGCTTTAAATGTGTTAACACAAAATCATATATGATCACAGCATAAAGAGGGATGAATTCTGTGAATATCAAAGAAGGCTACAGAGAGAAGTTGGTATTTGAACTTGAAAGATAGATAGGATTCCAGTAGTTGGAGAGAAGAAAGGATATTCCAGCTTAGGGCAATTTCATGTGCCAAGATTCAAAAGCTTGAAAGTGTTTGTATGATCAGGAAATGTCTGGTAGAAGAAAAAGCATAGAATTCATGAAGATAATGAGTATTCATGCCCAAAAGGAAGATCATTGCCTAGTAATATTTTGATCTCATTCTTAAAAATCTTCATTCTATTCTCGAGGGGCAATTGGGATCCATTGAAGATTTTTGAGGAGGAAAGAGCCAGATATTGGAAATAAGATGTTGTAGACAGAAGTAATTGGGTTTGATTGTTGATTTTATTTGTGATTGACACAGAAATACAAATCAAAGATAATACTGAGGCTTCTAAATCGGAAGGGTAGAGTTGATGAAGGTGCAATTAATTAAGAAATAAAGCACCGAGGAGAAGCACACCTGGATGAGGGGACTCTTGAGCTGAGGCATGGTAGACCTCTAAGGTGGCCCTCTGGATGCAGCTCCGGAATCGTGCTAGCGGAGATGGAGATTTGGCAGCCTGGGTCTTCAAAATCAAGATAACTGTAGTTAGAGGAAGGAGTAATGAGAAAAAGGAAGATTAAGGACAGAACCTTAGGGAATATGTACACTTAAGGGAGAGGCAGAGGAAGAGGAACTAGAGGGGAAGGCTCAGTGACCAGAGACACACAAACAAGAACCAGGAGAGGGCAGTATCATAGAAGCCAAGGAAGAATGGTATCACCAAGGGAAGGAGAGGATTAGATGCTTTGAAGCTGCCCTGGAAGACCAGCACTGAGAGAACAGACCTTTGGAGCTCACAAATACAAGGACATAGCTGAGCAAGAGGTCACAGAGAGAATATTTTTCATTGAGTGATGGGTTGTATGCCAGATTGCAAAAGGTGAAGAAGTGACTGTCAGATGGATCACACACTGCAGCATAAGTATAAGCTTGGTGAAGTTTGTGGATGATAACTAAAAGAGAAAGTAAGATTGAGGAACGTGGCTTTGGAGGGCAAGGCAAGCAATTCATTGAGAAAAATCTCGTGTATTAAGGAGAGTAAGGGCATTGTAATAGACCAAGGTTAACACTTTTGAACAAGGAAGATTATGAAGGTGCCCAAATTAAAAGCTTTCTAATGATGTGAGTGCACCGGGATCTCATGAAACTCTCATAACATTCTTCCATCCCTAGCCCAGAGTCTTGGGAATGTCTCTCCTCCTTTTAGAGCCTTTATCTTACATCCACATTCTGAACTTTCCCCCTTTCTTTTCTTTTCACAGACTATTTAAAATATACTAATGTCTCCTCATTTATAAGGGATGTAGCCAAAGTAATTTTGTGTATTTTTAACTTTTGGATTCTTTTCCGTGTCTATGTGTGAGATGATAATTGTGAAAACTGGACTAACTAGATCCCAGGGAAAATGAAAAAAGCATATCCTTTACACATATAATGATAGTAACAAAATCAACAACAATAATAAATACAACTACAGCAACAGCATCAGCAGCTGCTAAGATTTTCCTTACTTTGTGCTAAAAGAGTCCTAAGAGCTTTACATGGATGATTTCATTTGATCTTCACAACTTTGTGATACAGGCTTTATTAATGTCTACATTTTCTAGATGAAGAAACCAAGGCTCAGGGAGGTTAAGTTGCCCAAGGTCATAGAGCTTGGGAGTGCTCAAACAATATGACAGAGACCAATAACCATACTTTCTAAAAGGTCATTGTTTTAATAATAAATGGTTATTCCAGGCTACGGTGAGTTTAGAAAAATGATTTGGCTTGAGTAACTTGTTCTCCAATAGAAAATGTCATATTTTCAATGATGCAATATGGCAGGCAGCACAATTTATTGTGGAGGAAACTTTTTAAAGGTCAATGAGGAACTGCTCTCCCTATGTCATAAAAGTCCTAACAGGTCACTGTGGAGGTACTCTTTTGAAGGCACTGCTTTTCTTTCTGCAGGCAAAAGGCAGGCAGTGTTCAAGTGCAAGAGCTTGTGTTTTGGAAGAGGAGTTGTTAGGGGAGAGGAATGGCTGTGATGAGGCAAAGAAGTGTGTCAGTAAACAGAATAGTGGAGGACATGAGCCATGCAAATCACATATTGGAAAAAAGCATCAATAAGGAAAGATGGAAAGAGGACAGTAGTGCCCACTTCTCTGCGGTTTCACTCTCCAGAGTTTGAATTTACAGTGGTACAGTACAATAAGATATTTTCAGACAGACTGCATTCACATAACTTTTATTACAGTATATTGTTTTAATTGTTCTATTTTATAATTAGATATTGTTGTTAATCTCCTACTGTGCCCAATTTATAAGTTAATTTTATCATAGGTAGGTACATATAGGAAAAAACATAGTTTATATAGGGGTTGGTACTATGCACAATTTCGGGCATCCACTGGGATGCCTGAAATGTATCATTATGTAGGAAAGAAAGGATTTGAAGCTTCCAACTCTGCAGCTGCCCTCTTCTCGGTCCCACTTTAGCCCCTTTACTTTGTTAACAAGCCCATACTTGTTAAGTGTATGGACACTGAGAAACCCATTCACATTCTATTAGTGGCTCTTGAGGACACTTCAGGAGTCTCTGGGTCCAAATCCCAAGAAATAACTCCAATCTACTTCTTTCCCTAGGGTCACTCTAGGTCAGGGCTGATCTCAAAATGCAGGTGAAATCAGTTAGGAGCACTCTGACCATGATTTATAAGCAGTCAGTCAAGGGTCTACAGTGAATTGTTCCCATCTTCAGCGCTCTGAATTGCACACTTTCTGCATTCCACATTTTGATTATCTTCAATTCACCAAAGTACACCTGATAATTAATTCATTTTATTTTAGCCCAGTCTAATTCTTGTTTTCTTCTTGCATCTCTGCATGGACCTTCTTTGGCGTTGAAATAATTTGAAATTGAAAGGTTGTATAATTTTCTGATTTCTTGGAGTGTTTTTTGAAAGTCAAAAATATTTTAGAAACAAATGTTTTTGGTAATTTGACTTTTAGTACTATCAATGATGGTACCTTATATTTGTATAGGCATTAATAAAATGCAAAGGTATAGCATATCTATTACCTCATTTAGTCTCAATTTCAAGTGATAATGGGAATTCTGTCCCTCTGGAGGATCAGATTCTCAGCTCTTTGTCAGGGAATTAGCAAGGCCCAGCCATTTCCACAATATCTTCATGTAGCACAAGAAAATTTTCAGGGCTGGAAATTACTTTATAATCTATGTTGTTCTTCTTTAAAACATTAACTCTTATTTGTTTTCTAATGAGTTTATGCCAACAAAGCATTTTTTTTTAAGTTTGAGGGCTAAATATTGTGGATATGTTTTGCATATTTACATAATTTCCTAATTTCTTGGAGAGTTTTTTGAAAGTCAGAAACATTTTAAAAACAAATGTTTTATACTTTAAACTGGTCTCACTTCAAAGATTTTTGTAACATCATGGAACATTTCACTTCGGTAATTAAAAATGCCTTTGAGTTTCAGAAGAACTAGACAGTAATAAAACTATTAGCTGTCTACTTATTTTTGACATTCACTTCATTCAAGTAAATCTGAATGCATTTCCACTAATTGCATTTGCAATTTACCAAGTAGGAGTTTGAGAGAAAATATTCCTAGGCTTAATTTACAAATCTGTCAAAATAACTGATTTTGAATAATAGAGATCAGTTTCTCAGTATGTGAATCTGCTATTTTCTTCTTCCTGTATTGCAGTGGTTTACTTATTCTAGTTGTTTCAAATATTAGCTGGTAGTGTTAAAGGTTATGAATGGTTGGATGAAGTGTCTCCTTAAATTGATATTTTGAAATTTAGGTGATCTAAGACTTTGAAATTGAGCATAAATTTAGATACTTAATGTATCATCTTATGAGATTACCTTACCTCTATTTCTTGGTTTATCTTCCCTAACTTCTGCTCCCATACTTGGAAATGACTACATAATCACCTGAGCAACTGATTCATCTTGCTCACTGCCCAGATAGGGCCAATTTATCAAGACAGGGGAACTACAATAGAGAAAGAGTTTAATATACATAGAACCAGCTAAATGGGAGACTGGAGTTTTATTGCTACTCAAATCAGCCTCCCCCAAACTTTGGAAGTGAGGGTTTTTTAAAGGTAGTTAGGCAGGTCAGGGCTAGGGAATGGGTGCTGCTGATTGGTTGGGGATGTAATTGGGTGTGGAAAATGATTTTCCTGCACTGAGTTTGCTTCTGGGTGGGGGCTACAGGACCAGTTGAGTCATGAGTCACATGTCCAGGTGTATTCATATGGTCTTCAGCAATGCAAAAGTCTGAAAAGACATCTCAAAAGGTCAATTTTAGATTCTACAATAGTCATGTTATTCATAGGAGTAATTGGGGAAGTTACAAATCATGTGACCTCCAGAACAATGGCTGGCAATCATTTAACTATGCCTACATCTTAGCAGAATTCAGGCCCCTTTCATAATTCTAACCTGTGACCATGTTTTAGTTTTATAAAGACAGTTTAGTTTTGGGAAGCAGTATTATCACTTAAACCATAAACCAAATTTCTCCCAAAGTTGGCTGGCCCACATCCAGGAATGACCAAGGGCAGTTTGGAGGTTAAAGGCAAGATGGAGTTGGTTTGATTGGGTCTCTTCCACTGTCTTAATTTTCTCACTGTTATAACTTCTGCAAAGGTGGTTTCAACCACATCCTAATTTTATGCAAGTTATTGAACCCACCGTATTGGAATTTTTTAATAATAATTTTTACACTTTATATAAATCTGAAATTCTAAGTGACTTTTATTGGGCAAATGTCTCATTTCATTTTGTTTTTCTAGGGAAAATCATATACTTTTCATATAGCCATGCATTTGTGGCTGAAATGCCAGTGGTTTGGTCTAGGTCCCATTGCTTGCAGCACAGAAAGCCAATCACAGAGAGTGTGAGTATTGCCAGGGAAGAGGGCTTTTTATTCGGGTGACATCAGCAGAGGAACATGAGAGATCAGTCTCAAATCCATCTCTCTGATCAATTGAAACTGGGGGGTTTATATGTGGGGGAAGAAATGTAACTACAAGTGTGGGAAAACCACAATTAGGGAGCTGTAAGGAAGCAATCATGATGAATAATGGTTCTGGCGTCTCATTGTCTAAATGGAGTGATCTGGTGAGTTTCCATCCCTTGCCTGAGGGTTGCTTTCCTTAGAAAGAATCTCAGATGAGACAAATATAAGTTTCAAGTTTTAAGACTGGGAGGGTCAATTTCTACGTGTATTCAAAAATCTGTAAATATCATTTCTATGTGGAAATTGGGCCAATTTCAATTTTTGGAAATTCTTAAACTTCCTGAGATATGGTGAAAATTATCAATTATTTTCAAATTAGAATTTTCTTCCAACTTCTTTAGTAATTGCTCATTTATTTATTTGGCCCTGACATTAAATAGATCTGTTATGTTCTAATTTTAATTGACTTCTGAGGCTACTTACCACTGTAAGTTTGGACCACATGGTCTTAGGAGATCCACAGCTGTTCTAGATTTTTATCCCTAGTTAAAATTCATTCCAGATTTTATTATCTTAAAGTTCTCTAGGTAGGTTCTTGTTGATTATGTGCCCTCCAACTCCCAAGGATTTGGCAACCTTAACTCACTTTAGAATTTTGTGACTTCCTTGCCAGGTGAAGTTCTATAGGGAAATGCATACTGAAGGTTTTATTGAATTCAAATCCAGACTGTAATCAGGAGGGTGGTCCAGGGTGTCCCCAAATCAATGCAAATCCTTTAGTCAGTGTTATTATTCTCCTCCCTCCTACCTGATTTTCTGCTTCTCTCCTATCTGCTTAATTTTTAAGAAAAGATAAAGACAAACTTTAAAATACAAACTAATCTGAGGATTTTTCCTGAAAACTTTCTTTGTTAGATTATGGCTAGACTTCAAACTTCAAGTTGGATTCTAATTACATTTTATATATTGGCCTAGTGTACCAAACAAAAGAACAGTTAAAAACATAAAGCCTCCCTTAATTAAGTTTCCCTATTCTTTCCTTACCACATTAAAAGATGCATTTTTAAAAATTGTGCTTTTACCTTTGATAATTATTTATCAACAAATGTCATGTTTATTTTTAAAATTCTAATCAATTATGTATTATCAGTAATCAATAATTACAACAAATAATTGTTAAACACGGAAGAAACACTTAGAACCTCATCACAGCATGAAAATTTTAAAGATTAAAAATCTATCTTTATATACTTATTTTTGTTGTAGAAATATAAATTAGTGATCAACAAAATGCTTTTTATTGATTTTCATTACATTAGGACAAAATACTGATGGGCAACGGGAATGGATTTTAAGAAAAGGCACCTGTTAAAAACTGTTAAAACTGTTTAAAACAAGCTTGTTAGTGGATGTTTTCATCTTTTTATTGTGAAAATTTTTAAACATAAGCAAGACTAGATAGAAGAGTAGCCATGAACCCTCACGTACACATTATCTAGCTGCCATAGTTACTGACTCATGCCGATACTGTTTGATCTGCACGTCCACCTACATCTCCCTTACCTATATTATTTTGAAGCAAATTCCAGTCATTGTGTCAATTCATCAGTAAAATTGTAGTATATATCTCTAAAAGATAAGGACATTTTAAAAACATAACCACAATGTCATTGTGATACCTACAATTATCAATAATTTTTAGTATCATCAAATATCCAGTCAGTGCTTCTATTTCTTTTTTTTTCTTTCTTTTTTTTTTTTTTCGAGACGGAGTCTCGCTCTGTAGCCCAGGCTGGAGTGTAGTGGCGCGATCTCGGCTCACTGCAAGCTCCGCCCCTTGGGTTCACGCTGTTCTCCTGCCTCAGCCTCCCGAGTAGCTGGGACTTACAGGCGCCCGCCACCACCACGCCCGGCTAATTTTTTGTATTTTTAGTAGAGACAGGGTTTCACCGTGTTAGCCAGGATAGTGCTTATATTTCTAACCCAGATTTTTTAAGTTTGTTTAAATCAGAGTTCAAATAAAGTCCACACATAAAAATTAGTTATATGGCTCTAAAGTCTTTTAATTTATGGATTTGACTACTTCTCTCTTTCCACCTACCCCTCCTTCTCTCACATTCACACACAACCTCAAGTTTTCTCTCTCTTTTAATTATTTTTCCTTACTAAATTATTTGTTGAAGAAATTAGATTGTGTTTTCTCTAAAATTTCACACAGACTGGACTTTGATGATTGCATTTAACATATTCCTTTATCCTCCGTGTTTTCTATAAATTGATAGTTGCATCTAAAAGCACAAATAGACTGTGGTTCAATATCTTTAGGTAAAACTACTTCACAAATGGTGCTGCCTTCTTTCATTAAGAGACATCTAATATCTGGTTATTTCTTTTTTGTGATGTTAGCAGCTGGAGTCATTCGATGCCTAGAATGATTATTTTCTCAAGAATTGCAAATGGTAATATACAGAATTAGTGCAGTATATTTGAATTAATCATTAGTATATTCTATTAATTATTCTAAATTTAATAACTTCTCCCATCTACTATTTGGTTATGTCTTGGTACAATTCATATTGGAAAGGAAGGATTCATGCTTGATTCTTTTCATTTACCATTTTTCAAAATAATGACCTTATCCACCGAGATCCTCTAGTGGTGAATTATTAGTTGTTATTGCTTTTAGTGGCACTAGAAACTAATGGATTTAAACATATTTGATATGCTTTAAGCCATTACTGGTAATATGGTTCTTTTTCTTAAAGTTTACCATCTTTGGTCAATGAGAGCCTCTTGAAGTTGGATCCTGACCCTAATAAAAAATTACATGACCCCAGTAATTATTAATAGCTTCCCGGATTTTACATATGATAAGACCTTTCAGGATCATCATAAACATTTTCTATTCCTGAAATTAGTCATTTCTCCAAGGAGTTCTCTTTCCTTTTAGTCAAAATGGAATTTTGAAACCACAACTGGGGATTTCATTGCTACTACACTAGTCATTGTTTCTAAGCCTTTTCATTAGATAGATAGAAGAAATGTACATGTGTGTAAGAATGCATTTTTAAAACAAAATAATCATGAGTTTATATTCATGATTTCAACTTAAATTTAGTACTACAGTGTACTTCTCTGCTGTAATCATATATCTGTCTTTTCTTTTCCTGTAGTGATAATCCTGGTTCTCAAAAAACACTAGGGATGGTAGAATATCATATAATAGTCATGGTTTCATGCCATGACATATGCACACGGGTTTCAGAATGATAAAACCAACATTATTACTACCCACCATAAGTACCAGAAACACTTAATATTCATTTTTGCAAATCACACCAACTTCTTCTCTGTATGGTTATATCACCAAGTGGATACATATTTAGCTTAATTTTGTTCACTTTTATTTTTTATGGATTTTTAAAAATTTAATATTGTTCTATAATTCTGTAAGATATTAATGGTTCTGAACTCAAATATGTAATACAAAATGAGTCCTAGCTTCTATCTCTATTACTTCCACCCCATTTCCTTGCTCTTTCAATAGGCAGCCATTGAAAACAAGTTCTAGACTATCCTTCTATTGTTGTTTTAAAATTATATATAGCATATGTGTGTTATAAATACACATACAAGTATTCCTTCTGTCCTAAACTATAATACACTATACATTCCTTCTCCCTCTCTTGATCTTTTCATTTAAGAATTGTATTAGTTCATTCTCACATTGCTATAAAGAAATACCTGAGATTGGGTAATTTATAAAGAAAAGAGGTTTAATTGGCTCATGGTTCCACAGGCAGCTATACAGGAAGCATGATGCTGGCATTGGCTTGGCTTCTGGGGAGACTTCAGGAGACTTACAATCATGGCAGAAGGAGAAGGGGGAGCAGGCATCTCACATAGCGAGTGCAGGAACAAAAAGAAGGGAGGTGCTACACACTTTTAAACAACCAGATCTCACGAGAATTCACTATCATGAGAACAGCGCCAAGAGAATGGTGCTAAACTATCCATGAGAAATCCACCCCCAAGATCCAGTCACCTCCTGCCAGATGCCACCTCCAACACTGGGGATTACAATTCATCATGAGATCTGGGCGAGGACACATATCCAAAGTATATCAACAATACATCTGTGTCAACTCCATAGCAGTACATAGAGATAATCTTTATTTCTTTGTTCAGGAACGTTTATTTCTTTGTTCAAACACCTTAGCACTCCATTGCATGGATATGCCATAATTTATCCAAGCAGTCCTTTGCTGACATATGTTTGACTCTTTTAGGTCTTTTGTTTTTACAAATAATGCCACGATGTAGTATGCATCTGTCTTTTTGCATTTTTGTCTCTGCATTTTTGGGAAAGTGAAATGAATGCAGTTCTGGATCTAGGGATTAATACACAGGGAGCTCTGCCAGATACTATCAAATTCCCCTTCATAGGGGTTATGCCGTGTTTGCATTCCCACCAGCAGTGCATCAAGTGCCTCTTTCCTCTTGCTAAAAGAGAATGCTATTAAAGTTTTGGCATTTTGCTTATCTAATAGATGAGAAATGGAATCTCTGTGTAGTTTTAATACGCATTTATCTTATGAGCAAGACGGATAATCTTTTCATATGTTTAAATGCCATTTGCATTGTGATCTACTTTTCTGTGAATCATTATGTTCATTTCTATAGCCCATTTTTCTATAGAGCTGTTGGATTTTTTCCCTACTTATAAAATCTCTTTATATATTAGGATATTAATTTTTTGAATGGGATATATTTAACAAATATTCTTTCCCAATTTGTAATTTGACCTTTTACTTTATTGTTATTATTATTTGAGACAGGGTCTTCCTCTGTCACCCAGGCTGGAGTATAGTGGCATGGTTACATCTCACTGCAGCCTTGACTTCCAGAGCTTAATCAATCCTCCCACCTCAGCCTCATGAATAGCTGGGACTACAGGTGCATGCCACCATACCTGGATAATTTTTCTATTTTTTGTAGAGATGAGGTTTTGCCATGCTGCCCAAGCTGGTCTCAAACACCTGGGCTCAAGTGATCCTCCTGCCTTGACCTCCCAAAGTGCTTGGATTACAGGCATGAGCCACCATGCCCAGCCTGACCTTTTACTTTACTTTTTTAAGTGGGTGATGGTAGAAATCAAGATGGATGAAATTTAGATAACATTGGACACATTGAAAAAAAAGTAACATCAGTTTTATTAAAATATCATATTTATAATACACCAGAATTTATATCCTTTCTGACCTTTAAGTGCATGTTCAAAGATTTTTAATATCAATGTTAAAAAATATATAATGTGAAAAAATATTTTGGGTGATACCTGAGGAAAGAGATTTGAAAAATTTAGGTCCTCAATAGTAATTTTAGTGGTTTGGCACCTACAAAAGAGCCTGGGCAGGTATCAGGAAAAACAATATGACTTCGTGGGTGAAGGTGTTACTGAAACACCAAGGATTTGGGCTAGGTCCTGTTGCTCACTGCATAGAAAGCCAATCACTGAGACAACAAGCATTGCCAGGGAAGAAGGCTTGATTGGGTGCTGCATTGGATGGGAGATCAGTCTCAGATCCATCTCCCCAGCCAACTAAAATTGGGAGTTTACATAGTGGAAAAAGGAATGTAGTTACATGCAGGAAAACACGAATTGGAGGGGTAAGGAATAGGAGTTGGTAAACAGGAAGCAGGTGGTCAGTTAGGAAAACAGGAATTGGAGAGAGGTAAGGAAGCAGTCATGAGTCATGATGAATGAGGGGTCTGAAGTCTTACCGTCTGGATGCAGTGACCTGGAAATTTCAGTTCCTTAACAATCTGGGAAGCCTGATGGTTGGTTTCTTGAGAAAGGAACTCAGATAAGACAAATGTAACTTTCTCAATTGTTAAGACTTGGAGGGTCAATTTCTACGTTTATTCAAAATAAACTAAACATAAATTCTATTGGATAATTGGGCTGGTTTCAGTACCTTCTCCTCATTTCTCAGTCATGGGGAATCTGGTCATTGATCTTTCTGGCTGCTTCATGCGGAGGAATGGTGTTGTGGAATAATGGGATGAAGAATGAAAATGTGACACCTGTAATTCAGTTGTTGTGTCTAGACTCCAAAAGGAAGAGGATATAACAAGGCATGTCTGACCTCCCATCCCATCATGGCTGGCAATTCAGTTTTAGTTTTTTCTGGGGTCTTCTTGACCATAAGTGGGTTCACTTAGTCATCATGGAGCTTAGGATTTTAATTTAAGTTTACATTCCTCAGTTCCTTGGCAAGATTTGCCAGAGTCAGCATCAATGGCTAAATTTTTATTTTGTCCCATATTATTGTTGGGGTGATGTGGCTACCTGCCCCAGGTCTATCCTGTCCCTTAATGGGACCCCTGTGGTAAAGGGACTTAGAATCAAAAGTCTTATAGCCAAGTAAACATTTTAGGCCAGACAGGATGGAGATGGGCAGGCACTCATTAACCCTGAAAACCCTTTAAGCATTTTAAGAGCCCAAAACCAAAAGCTGAAAAGTAAGTTTGTAGAATTGAATCCTGGTCTTAGATATTGACTTGTAGCAATTAGCCATACAAAACATAAGCATTTTGTTAAACTCATTTGAATTAAAGAATTTAGAGAGGTAACATTTCTTAATTTGTCAGCTGTTTGGGCATTGTGTGCCCATCCTTGATTTGGAATACCTGAACTAATTTTATCTGTCAAAATCGGCTCTTAAAATCTCATGTGCCCACCTCTTTTACAGTAGTCCCTGGACCTCAAAGGATTGAACAGCTTTAATTTCTGGCCCTGTGTCTCACGAAAGCAATTCATTTTGGTGTCACCTTCTCCCAGGTCTGAAGACAAGGTTCTGACTGGAGTCAATGTTCAAGATTTAGCAGGAGTCAGTGTCTTTTTCAGACCCAGAAGTCAAAAGGCTTCATTAATAGGGTGTTTATTCAAGATGTTAAAAGGCTCAAAATACTTGATCAAAATAGCTAATATGTCACAAATTAAAACACTGTTATTTGGTGTCTACTGGTTATTGCCTGCAGCACTTTAAACCATTGTATTAAAGTAGTGAGGTTACTTCCTGCATAAGTCTAACTGTTAGCATTCTAGTGTCCAAAAGCATCAAAAACAGAGGTCCTATGCCAAACTTATCAAAGCAAGACAATTAATTTTTCTCTCCTTCATTACAAAAATGGTAATGGTAAATATCCGTTTTGGAAATTTAGTATGAGGATAAATGATCTCCTTTTACTTAAATAATGTACCACAAAACAGGGACAAAGTAAGAACAAGTGCACAATAATTTCTTTTTAGCTATTTAAAAGAGTGTCACACATTGCTAAGATTGATTCTAGATATAGTGCTGAAAACTGATTAGGTAATTTTTACCACTAGAATCTTTACACCAGTACAACACTTGAAAACATTTTGTTTTTAAATATATATATGAAGGTCCAACAGTGATAAAATGTTTGGGATCAAAGATCACTAAAAATCTCATTTTTTATTATTATTCAATCCAGATGGATTCTACTTAATTATAATAATGGTAAACACAATTAAAGTAATTTGAGGGAAATCCGAGTCAATATAATTTTCTTAAGGACAAGGCCAATTGTTGCTGAATATTAAAACTTTGTACCCGTATCACAATTTTTCTCATTACCTAAAGGAAAAGATCTGAAACCAATGGAAGTTATTGATCAAAATGAATTACCTTAGAAAAAACACCATTTAAACATTTCTACTCTCATCTATTTTTCTTTCTTTTTTTTCTTTTTTTTATTTTTGAGACAGAGTCTTGCTCTGTTGCTAGGCTGGAGTGCAGTGGCGCCATCTCGGCTCGCTGCAACCTCCACCTCCTGGGTTCAAGTGATTTTCCTGCCTCAGCCTCCTGAGTAGCTGGGACTACAGACACATGCCACCACGCCCAGCTAACTTTTTGTATTTTTAGTAGAAACGGGGTTTCACCATGTTGGCCAGGATGGTCTTGATCTCTTGACCTTGTGATCTGCTCACCTTGGCCTCCCAAAGTGCTGGGATTACAGGCGTGACCACCACACCTGGCCTACCCTCACCTATTTTTCTAAATAACAAAATAAACAATGTATGATTTATGTTTAGAAATTGTAAAAATAAGTCTTTTATTTTGAGGGAGGAAAACCTTGATGCTCTTGTAGCTCTCTAGATTATCAGAGGTAAGCAAAACCAATCCAGTTTTAAATGGCTGGTATGCTTTATTGTATTTTGGAGGCTTGACAAAGGTAGCTTAGGAAGTTTAGATAAATAGAGCAAATGATGAATTGTTGGAAATGCGTAGGACACAAAATGAGTATCCACAGAACCAATTACAAGCCTTCCATTAGAAACTAAGAAAATCAATAGTTTAATATAAATATATATAAGTAGAAATTTTTGTCAATAATAACATATCTTCTTTGGCACATTTTACATACAGAATTATATATTAACTAGAATTCTTATTCTTAGTAACCTTAAGAATAAACTGATATTCTTTGGGAAGCAAGAAAATCCTGAACCATCTGTCAAATATCAGTATTTTACAGATGAAAACCATTCCACAGTTTTTAGAAACATGTTTCCCCATATCATAATCCTTTCTTAAGTGGAAGTGACCCAGATATCCAAGGAGCATCAAAAATAATTTTAAGATTTTGAATTATACACAAAGTTTACCTATAAGCACGTATCCCTTTTATATGCACTCACTTCTTTTATTTTTTAACAGTTTCTCTAGATTTCTTCTGAAAACTGAGATATTAAGCAAAACTTGTTATCATTTCAAGTTACTTCCTTGTAAATAATTTTTAATAGCCTATAAATATTAGATGTTTACCTAAGCAAGAACCTTAAAGTTAAATGCAGGGGGATTTTTGCCAATAGCTCAGAGGATTCAGCTACTTTTATTAAACCAACAAAAGTAAATGAGTCTTATTTGTCAAGAAATTCACACAAATGGAGATTGTTTTAGTTTTGGCTGGGATTATAGTTTTATAACTTTCTCTTCCAAACTCTGATGTCTCAAAATATCCAGCAGAGACAAATACAAAACCCAGACAGAAGTGTATGCTGCCAATTTCAAAGCATTTTTATGTGAATTTTATCAATAATTTTAAAGCCAGCTGGTATATTAGAGATCTACTCAAGTCACATGAACTTGAAAAATTCTTGGACTTATTTGTTTAATGTACAAGCATTCTTTCATTTATAAGTCAATTTGTTGCCAGGTAAAAATAATATGGAACATCCAGACACATATATACACATAGAAAGATCCACTAGCTTTTACCTCAGAATTCTAGTCATGAGATAGCAATATAAACTCAGCAGCTTGCAGACATGTTCACATGGTTAAACTCTGTTTGCTCCAATACGTAATTCAATGAAGGCTATGTACCAAAATTTTGGGTAAAGCAGTTTCCATGGCAGTTTGATTTTTAAAGGGCATATCTCCCCAGAGTCCAAAGAACACTGGGGCCACACCACAGAAGAACATCATGTACTAACTAGCTCGACTCTGGTTAGAACAGCAGCATAAAAGCCTGGATACGTGGAACTCCATCTTGCTTTCCCATTCAACCAGAAAATGAGGCCCATGGAAAGGCCAAACTTCTCCAGATTCCAAAGAATACTGGGGTGAGACGGTGTTACAAAAGAATATCAGTTTATCAAATTCTCCCATAACTAGAGGGAACACACACATAAAAACAAACAATCACCAAAATGCAATCTAACTGCTGCAACAACAAAGTCCCAAGAGTGTCCAAACTCAAACAATTGGGGTGCTTTCCTCTCTCAGTTGGTTGAGCTTGTTTAACCTGCAAACAGAAATTCCTTTGGAATTTCCCAAATCGAGAGGAGCAGATCCTGCTGTCTGGGCCCACAAAAGAACCTCACCCATTTGATGCAGATGCAGGTGACAAATGTTAAAAACCATTCTTCCTAGGCAATCAGGAACATGGTTAGGGCTGGCAGTGGCAGGGCCAGAGAGAGACTGAAATTCACCTACAGCTAAAAATGGGTGGACAGCTGCTTAGAAGGGCTTCTGAGACTCTCCTGGCCTATGGCAGTGAACCATAAGCAATGCATTACTGGTCCGGGAACCAAAATCTCTTATTGAAACAGCAGGGGTTTGGTCTGGGTTCATTTCCTATATACACAGAAAGCCAATCACTGAGATGACTGTTGCTAAGGAAGAGGCTTTATTCAGATGCTGAAGTCCGGCAACAATACTCTTTACTGGCAATACTCATTGTCTCAGTGATTGGCTTTCTGTGCAGCATGCAACCAGACATATACCAAATTTCTGGTGTTTCAGTAACACATATATGGCTTCAAATGTGATTTCTGACACTTACTAGCTCTGTAAAATTGTGTAAATTACTTGACAGCTTTGAATGTTAGTTCCTTGTTTTTAAGAATGTGGATGATATTTACTATTCTGGACTTTGTGAGTATTACATGAAGCCCCATTATAGGGCCTTCATAGATGATAGTGCTTCTTATTTTCCTGACACCAGATTCATCTCTCTGAAGCAGGATAGTATCCTACTCCTTTTTTGTATCTCCTGTGTCTAACACCATGCCTGGCACATGGGATGCACCCACTTGATAAATGATGAATCAACAAGCCAACTAGGAAGTTCAAGGACAACTCAGAATCTTAAGTATTTTATGCCTAATTTTTCTTATAACCTATAGTTTTATTTCAGTGTATGTTTATGAGGCATTACTCCTGATAGAGTTCCTGAGGCCATGTCAGGCCCTTTCAAAGAATACCTAAACTGCCTGAGGGGAGGGTAAATTAGTCTCTCCAGTTAACTTTGAATCAGGAAGGAGCCAAAGATATTCTAAAATCTAGACATTTTCGCATTCCTCTGGGTCTTGGCTGAGACTAAATTGGACCTCAGGCCTATGGAGAACACACAGGATGAATATTAATTTGTCTGCACATATTCTGTTCAATGTTAGACCTGCTTCTAAGCCATTGTATTTCTTGGGTGCATTTTTGCTGCATGATAAATTGCTGCATGTTTTGGTGTTCAGTGGTGAACAAGAAAACCGCACTGAGCTCCATAGCTGACATAGGTGTATGTCAGTGATTCTTAATGCAGCAATTTTGCTCCCTGCCCTCTACCTGCTCTAGGGAACAACTGGCACTGTCTGGAGATATTTTGACATGTGACAACTCGCAACTGAGGGGAGGGTACTACTGGAACCTAGTCGGTAGAGCTCTCTAATGTTGCTAATCATACCACAATGCATGATGAGACAGCCCCCTCCACCACTATGATAAATTTTCAGCCCCAAATGTCAATAGTGTTAACACTGAGAAACCCCAGTATATGTATTTCTTTTATGATTGAATTTTGAAAAAATAATTATAAAACCTATGATGTACCCTCAAAAATTAAAAATTAAAAAATTAAAAGAATAAACAAGAAAGAAGAAACAAATGCACTGCATGCCTATATCAAAGCATCTCATGTACCCCAGAAATATATAAACCCACTAGGTAACCTCAAAAATTAAAAATAAAAAGATTTTTAAAAAGAAAAATAATTATAAACTGATGACAAAGTTCTAAATAAAAAAGACTTGTTATGAAAAGCAAATTTTTTAAATGGTTAACTTGACACTTGAGCAGATCATACATAGAAAAGAAAGGCACCATCTGTTTGAAAATTTGATGAAAGGCAAAGGGAGTATACTACATAATTTCACTCACCAGGCTTTTATTTTATATTAATAAATGAATTCACATATATAGATGCCATATCTGTCTCTGCATAATTGGCTTTATATAAAGTACTTATAAAGAAAGAATATTCTTCCTACATATTTCTCCTAATTTCTTATTTCAGCTATCTAGGAAATAGTAAATTTAGTTCAGAAGTATCTATAATGCAGCTTGGCAATTTAATGCTGCAAATATTTGTGACCATTTTGAAAGGATCCTTAAACGTTTCTCAGGAAGACCATTTTGTTTTGCTTTAAAAAATAAAAATATGTTTGTCTGCATTGCAGATGGGCATGAAATCAGTTGGCCATGTGACTTTTTTCCCCCAAGGAGCCAAAAAAAAAAAAAAAACAGGGGGCCAATATGACTGAATTGTGAATGTATCTACTCTGGTAATCAATTACTTCTGAAACACAGCTCTGCAAGTCTTATATTTTAGAATGGAAATAGCCCTCTGAGGGAGTATTAGGTATTCCTTCCCATTCTGAAAGTAAACCTTGCATTGTAAATGTAGCAAATAAAAAAGAATTGGGAGTTTATTTAAATAGATCTGTGGGTTTAGAAGCTGAGGATTAAGCATTGTGAATCAGCCATGCTGTAATGCATTTGCAGGAACTGGCTGCTGCAGCCTGCAAAGCTGGTTTTACATTATGCAGAAAGACCTTTCCAGCACAACTCACAGCAGATCTCTCTGCTACTCTCTATGTGGCTACATGGCTAGGGCAATTTCATACTCTTTGTCTTTTCATATGAAAAAATGAAAGTGTTTGGCTTAAAATCTTATACATATCTTAATATCATTCCAGCAGTAGTTCCTTAAAACCTGCACAGCTCTGGCTACCCATATGCAGAAAGCTGAAACTGGATCCCTTCCTTACACCTTATACAAAAATTAATTCAAGATGGATTAAAGACTTAAATGTAAGACCTAAAACCATAAAAACCCTAGAAGAAAACCTAGGCATTACCATTCAGGACATAGGCATGGGCAAGGACTTCATGACTAAAACACCAAAAGCAATGGCAACAAAAGCCAAAATACACAAATGGATCTAATCAAACTAAAGAGCTTCTGCACACCAAAATAAACTATCATCAGAGTGAATAGGCAACCTACAGAAAGGGATAAAATTTTTGCAATCTATCCATCCGACAAAGGGCTAGTATCCAGAATCTACAAAGAAATTAAACAAATTTACAAGAAAAAAACAAACAACCCCATCAAAAAGTGGGCAAAGGATATGAACAGACACTTCTCAAAAGAAGACATTTATGCAGCCAACAAACATATGAAAAAAGGCTCATCATCACTGGTCATTAGAGAAATGCAAATCAAAACCACAATGAGATAGCAACTCATGCCAGTTAGAATGGCGAT
Source organism: Homo sapiens (assembly GCF_000001405.40). Lineage (NCBI taxonomy): Eukaryota > Metazoa > Chordata > Mammalia > Primates > Hominidae > Homo > Homo sapiens. The sequence continues at coordinate 33,470,606 of NC_000013.11, read as the reverse complement.
CATTAAAAAGTCAGGAAACAACAGATGCTGGAGAGGATGTGGAGAAATAGGAATGCTTTTACACTGTTGGTGAGAGTGTAAATTAGTTCAACCATTGTGGAAGACAGTGTGGCGATTCCGCAAGGATCTAGAACTAGAAATACCATCTGACCCAGCAAGCCCATTACTGGGTATATATCCAAAGGATTATAAATCATTCTACTATAAAGACACATGCACACTTATGTTTATTGTGGCACTGTTCACAATAGCAAAGACTTGGAACCAACCCAAATGCCCATCAATGATAGACTGGATAAAGAAAATGTGGCACATATTGGATAAAGAAAATGTGGCACATATACACCGCGGAATACTATGCAGCCATAAAAAAGGATGAGTTCATGTCCTCTGCAGGGACATGGATGTAGCTGGAAATCATCATTCTTACCAAACTAACACAGGAACAGAAAACCAAACACCACATGTTCTTACTCATAAATGGGAGTTGAACAATGAGAACACATGGACACAGAGAGGGGAACATCACACAGTGGAGCCTGTCGGGGAGTTGAGGGGAGGGATAGCATTAGGAGAAATACCTAATGTAGATGATGGGTTGATGGGTGCAGCAAACCACCATGGCACATGTATACCTATGCTAAACCTGCACGTTTTGCACATGTACCCCAAACTTAAAGTATAATAAAAAATTTAAATTGAACAAACAAACAAACAAACAAAAAAGCTGTACAGCTCATGTCTCATGAACATCCTTTTCCCTTGTCCCTACCCTGCTTGAAGTGGATTATTTGGGATATCTGTGATCAGGTGACCAGGATCTTACTTCTGGTTCTATCATTAGTCTATGTATGAGATTAGACTAATCTTAAATAATGTGTGTCAATTTCCTCTTAATTAAATGGGATAATAATGTCTACTCTCACCATTTCACAGAATTTTTATGAGCAATTAATACCTTTTTTAATTTCCCTATCCCTCTACTCTAATATTGTCTCTTTGCCAGTGTCTCTATTTCACAGTTATGTACCCAATGTCTATGGGAGTACCTGGTAAATATCATTCCTTAAACATTTGTTCGGTGAAATGTAAGTTATTTCAGCTTTATGTTTATTTCTGCCAATACTCAGAGTGAGGGGGATATCATGTAAACTAGACTTGCAGTGACTTAAAAAGCCAAAATGTTGAATACATCTCTCAAGCGAATCTAAAGGCAGAGAAACCATAGCACCTCAACTTTAATTCTTAAAATTACTGGATTTCATTTATTATAATGGGAAGTGGCCATCTAGTGTGAGTTAAGAATGGGACATTGGAATCAGGTAATCCTGGGTTGGATGCTGCTTCTGAAACTTACTTGTGACATTGCATAAGTTTCCTGAACTATGCAGAATCCAGTTTTGTTTTGTGTGAAAGAGGAATAGTAATAATATCTTCCTTATAGTCTTATTCTTAGGGGAAAATGAGAGAATTTATATAAAGTGCTTAGTCCAGTGCTTGATGCATAGTAAGCATGTATATTATGGTAGGCTAGCTGTGGCAACAAGTAGGTCCCCCAAATATACAATAACACAACTACAATAGTTTGAGGTATATGTTGTTAGTTAGTAGTGGCTCACTTTTGTGCAATATTCAGGAAGGTAAGTTCCTTTTTTCTAATGGTGCTACCTTCATCTAGGGCCCTGTTGTCCCATGGATCTAGCCAGTGGAACATGAAGGAGAAGGCAGAGAAGGCCTTAGCAAGGAAGTTGCCATGTCACTTTCTGCTCTCACTCTGTTGGTGAGAAATACTCATATGGAGAAGAAAGAACAGAAGGTTACTGTCTTAGTCCATGCTGTGCTTCTAGAAAAGAATACATGGAACTGGGTAACTTATAATGAATAGAAATTTATTTCTCAAAATTCTGGACACTGGAAACTTGATCTGGGCAAGATCAAGACATTAGCATCTGGTGAGAGTCTTCTTGCTTTGCCATCCCATGGCAGAAGGTGGAAGAGCAAAGAGAGGATGAGAGAGAGAGTGGGGGAGGGGGTGGGCAAAGATGGCTGAACTTGTCCTTTTATAAGGAAGCCACTCCTATGATAACAAACACACTACCATGATAATGGCATTCATCCACCCATGAGAGAAATGTCCCCATGGCCCAAACACCTTCCATGAAGCCTCACCTCTCAACACTTCCACATTTGAGGTAGAGTTTCTGACTGACACATGAACCTTGGGGGACACATTCAAGCCATAGTAGTTGCTATTACAAGGATTGTCAATAGATTAATTGGATGAAGGGAGCAGTAAAAGGTAAAAGCTAAAGATAAAATGTTTCACATCAGGGGCCTGTAGAGATACCAATTTCTTTAATCATAATCAGGTATGCATGAGGATAAGTAGAATGGAAAGAAAAATTTATAAATTCCGATTTAGAATATTGAATTAGATGTCCACAAGAATATCTCCTTGGGAGAGGCTTCTGGGCATTTGGAAAGGTAGGATTAGAACCGGGGTCCTGGGAAGTTCAGGATGGTAGTAGCCTTTTTGGGAGCCATTCACATAGAACTAATGGTTATATCCTGTGACTAAATGCAATTGCTAAAAGATGATGCATCAATTTTATCTTGCCTTATTCCTGGCACCTTTGCCATGAGGTTTGCTTAAGTAACAAAACTGTGATTACTTATAAGAATTTCCCAAAATGTGACTGGACCTAAAGAAGACAGCAATCTTCTGTTCTTTCTTCTGTTCTTTCCCTTGAACAGCAATTCAAACAAATGTCCTTAAAGCAAACCTGGGGATGAGACATAATATCAAATATATATACCATCTATAAAGTGGAGATAATAATGACATCATGAAATTGTTGTGAAGGTTAAGATAGGTAGTACAGGTAATGTGTCTAAGTGCCTGGCGCATGGTAGCTCTCTCATCCTATGGACTCATTTCCAACTGGTCACCACGCCATTATTATTATGCCCTTATCCTAAATATGCAACCCAAAGACAGGCAACCTGGAAAAGATTTAGTAAGTGTCCTCATTTCGCTCTGAAAAGAGACTTACTGCTGTGCTTAGACCAGAGGTCCCCAACCCCTGGACCATGGACAAATACCAGTCCATGGCCTGTTAGGAACTGCATCACACAGCAGGAAGTGAATGGTGGGCAAGTGAGCAAAGCTTCATCTGTATTTACAGCCACTCCCCATCTCTTGTATTACTACCTGAGCTCTGCCTCCTGTCAGATCAGCTGCAGCATTAGATTCTCATAGGAGTGCAAACCCTACTCTGAATTGTGCATGCAAGGGTTTCTAGGTTGTGCCCTCCTTATGAGAATCTAATGCCTGATGACCTGTCACTGTCTCCCGTCACCCCCAGACAGGACCATCTAGTTGCAGGGAAACAAACTCAGGTCTCCCATTGGTTCTACATTATGGTGAGCTGTATAATTATTTTATTATATATTACAATGAGAGAGATGGATTACATCCTATTATTAGGATGTAATAATAATAGAAATAAAGTTAACAATAAATGTAATGTTTTTGAATCCTCCCCAAATCATCCCCACCCCCTCAACCCCCACTGTGGTCCCAGTCAGTGAAAAAATTGCCTTCCACACACAAGTTATATCCTTGATAAAATATTGATTTTTATTTGATATTATGTAGACCACTGGTCAGGAAGAATGCCAAGTATGTGTTTCCCTTCTGAATTGGGATTGTCTTAAATTTCTTTGTGGCTTTAAAGACTTTTGATTTCACAGAAGCCCTATTCTGACTCTTAAAGTACTTTGTATTCATGTTGCTTTTTGTGCTTGGAAAGCAATTTATAAATAGCAACTAATAACATAAAGTTATGGTATTTTTCTAAGTTAGTTTCCTTGTTTTGTTGGGGTTTAGTCTATATTTACTGTTTTTTTAACTTCAATCTTTAAACTTTTATGGATGTTAGTATACAAATACATTAAAGTTCAGTAAGATACAATGAAATACAAATAAATAGTAAGCACATTCATTTCATGGGTGTAATATTGAGGATGTAAGTCTGAAATACTTTCTAATTACTGTCTAGGAGCTTAGCATTAAAATATTGGAAGGTCAATGGTTACTGAACTATACGTCCATCAAATAGTGTGAAGTCTGGGATTTACCTCAAAATAAGCCAGTAGGGGGCTGAGGGAGAATATTGAAACTAAACTAGTCATATGTTGATATTTATTGAAATAGGAGAGGGATGCAGGGTATTTTATTACACTAGTCTCTAAAGTTTTGTCTGTATTTGAATGTTTCAAGTTTTACTCTAATATTTTAAATTACTGGAGAGTTAGAGTCCCGTCATAACATATTGTATGTTAATTATACCTCAGCAAAGTTGATTTAAAACATTCATTTTACATTAAAAAATAAAACCTGTAATATGTATCTCTTGTAAATCATAAATGAGAGAAAATTAGGATATACTGAGCACTGTTTAAGACTGCTCTGTCCTAAACAATGCTAAGTGCTTGTGGTAAGTTTTGTCAACTAATCCTCATACCAGCCACATGAAGTAGGCATTATTAGAACTGCATTTAACAAATGAGAAAACCTAGGCTCGGAGAGATAAGAGTTCCTCAGTGGGGACTCTGGAATCATACAATAAGTGATTGGAAGGTTAGAGTCCCATCACATCATATTATTATATTTATTCATATATATAGGTATATATAATTTTCACTTTTTTGATAATGTCTACTACATTAATGAGATAGCATATTTCTAAGGAAATATACCAGTGCATGTATCTCGTTAATGTAATAGACATTATCCTTACATGGACTGGTATATTTCCTTAGAAAGACAATATGTAACATATAGTGTAATTGGCAGATGTTTTTTCCTAGCCAGTCTGGAATGCCTCTTAGCGTAGTGCATGTCATTTTTCTAGGTAAGCCAGTCAGTCTGTAGTGGAGCAAATGAGGAGAGTGATATGAGTTCGGATCACAGAGGAAAGATCCTGTAAGTCCCATCCTGAATGCCATGGGAACCTATCAGAGACTTTTAGGCAATGGGGAGGAACATTATCTGATGTATTTTGAAGATGAATGATAGAAATACAAAAGCGGAAGAAAAGACCAGCTGGGCACGGTGGCTCACGCCTGGAATCCCAGCACTTTGGGAGGCCGAGGCAGGTGGATCACGAGGTCAGATCAAGACCATCCTGGCTAAGATGGTGAATTCCCGTCTCTACTAAAAATACAAACAATTAGCCGGGCGTGGTGGCGGGCACCTGTAGTCCCAGCTACTCGGGAGGCTGAGGCAGGAGAATGGCGTGAACCCGGGAGGCGGAGCTTGCAGTGAGCCGAGATCGCGCCACTGCACTCCAGGCTGGGTGACAGAGTGAGATGCCGTCTCAAAAAAAAAAAAAAAAAAAAAAGAAGAAGACCAATTAAGAGACTGCTGTAAGGCAGGCAACAGATCATGGTAAATGGTAGAAAGAAAATAGCAAAATAGCAATGAAGATAGTAAAAATAAAGGCTAGAAGAAGAAAGTGGGAGATTTTAGGGGAAGCAGTTGACAGGACTTGATAATACATTGGCTATATGAACTGAAGGAAAGAATCAAGGATGCTTCCCAAATTTTGGCTTGAGGTTGTGCTTTTATGGAGATGGGAAAAACCTAAGGTTTTAATGGCACTTGTAGTTTGACTTTCCTGCCGGACTGGCAGTGTCTTGCAGGCAGGCACTACACCTCCTCATGTGGTATCTAGTACATAGCAGGCGTTCAACAATTTTTTTTTTGGAGACAAGAGTCTCGCTCTGTTGCCCATGGCATGATCTTAGCTCACTGCAACCTCCGCCTTCCGAGTTCAAGTGATTCTCCCACCTCAGCCTCCCAAGTAGCTGGGATTACAGGTGCCCGCCACCACACCTAGCTAATTTTTGTATTTTTAGTAGAGACCAGTTTGTGCATTGTTGGCCAGGCTGGTCTTGAGTTCTTGCCTCAAGTGATCTGCCCCCCTCGGCCTCCTAAAGTGCTGGGATTACAGGCATGAGCCACCATGCCCAGCCTCAATACATTTTTTAAACAAATAAAGAAATGCTCAGTATTATTATGCAATAGTAGCATAGGATCAGTGCAGGGCTCCACTCTTTCAATGGTGGCTTTAAAGGGCAATGAAGCATGGAAACAGATTCCTTTCAAACATGGACCTTTGTGTCATCTCTTATCAAATAAGGTTTTGGAGCAACATATGTGTTACAATAATTGACTTGTATAAGTGAGAATATTTTGTTCTTCATTGTACATATCTTAATGCTTTAATGAAAAATCTTTTAAAAATATTATTGGAACATTCAAATAAAGACCAAATCATAGAGACTAGTATAATAAAATACCCTTTATCCATCTCCCATTTCAATAAATATCAACACATGACTAGTTTTGTTTCATCAATATTCTCTCTCAGCCCCCTACTGGCTTACTTTGAAGTAAAAATCCCAGACTTCACACTAGTTGATGAATATATAGTTCAGTCACCATTGATCTTCTAATGTTTTAATGCTATGCATACATACATATACATATACATATACATATATATATATATATATGTATTTTTTTTTTGAGACGGAGTCTTGTTTTTGTTACCCAGGCTGGAGTGCAATGGCACGATCTCTGCTCACTGCAACCTCTGCCTCCTGGGTTCAAGCAATTCTCTGGCTTCAGCCTCCTGATAGCTGGGATTACATGTACCCGCCACCATGCCTGGCTAATTTTTGCAGTTTTAGTAGAAATGGGGTTTTGACACGTTAGCCAGGCTGGTCTTGAACTCGTGACCTCGTGATCTACCCATCTCTGCTTCCCAAAGTGCTGGGATTACAGGCATGAGCCACTGCACCCAGCCTATGCATATATTTTGACACCCAAAAAGGATAAAGCACTAGTTCCCACCAGGTTACATGAAGTGGGGTTAGCACACTCCAGACCTCCAACTATGTTACCCTAGTGAGTTCTATATAGCTGGTCTCTGCTTTCTCTAACATTTCTTGGCACTTCTGAGGTAGGAGGCAGGACTCGACTCTGGAGGCAGGTCTTGGACACTGGACCAAATTGAGAACTAGCTAAAGTAGGGACAGGGCAGAAGCAAGTTTCCAAAATATACATCCACCAGTGCGCAATGTCAGTTTCCATTACCATGGCAGCACCTGGAGGTTATGGACCCTTTCCATGGTAACAACTGGGCAACCTGGAAGTTATCACCTTTTTCTAGAAATTTCTGCATAATCTCTTCCTTAATTTGTGTATAATTACAAGTGGGTATAAATCTGACTGCAGAACTGCCTCTGAGCTGTTCCTCTGGGCACACTGTCTATGGAGTAGCCCTGCTCCACAAAGACCAGTATCCCTGTTGTTGCTGTGCTCTGGCACTTCAATAAAAGTTGCTGTCTAACACCACAGGCTCACCCTTGAATTCTTTCCTGGGCAAAATCAAGAACCTTCCCAAGCTAAGCACCAATTCGGAGGCTTGCCTACCCTGCATCACTTCCAGAGATTTGCAAACTATTTACTTATTCAGTTAGACACCAAATATGTATTGACCATTTAAATGGAAAGCACTCAACTAGGCATTTTGAGAGATACAGAGGTATATCATGGGACTCTAACCTTCCAACAATTTAAAATATTGTGGCGGTTGATATTGAGTGATCCGGTGTCAACTTGATTGGACTGAATGATGCTAAGTATTGTTCCTGGGTGTGTCCGTGAGGGTGTTGCCAAAGGAGATTAACATTTGAGTCAGTGGACTAGGAGAGGTGGACCCACCCTCAATCTGGGTGGGCACCATCCAATCAGCTGCCAGCATGACTAGGATAAGGCAGGCAGAAGAAGGTGGAAGGAGCTGACTTCCTGAGTCTTCCCGCCTTCATCTTTCTCCCATGCTGGACGCTTCCTGCCCTTGAACGTCAGACTCCAAGCCCTTCAGCTTTTGGACTCTTGGACTTTTACCAGTGGTTTACCAGGGGCTTTCAGGCTTTCAGCCACAGACTGAAGGCTGTGCTGTTGGCTTTCCTACTTTTGAGGTTTTGGGACTTGGACTGGCTTCCTTGCCCTTCAGCTTGCAGACGGCCTATCATGGGGCTTGACCTTGTGATCGTGTGAGTCAATACTCCTTAACAAACTCCCCTGCATATATACACATTTCCTATTAGTTCTGTCCCTCTAGAGAACCCTGACTAACACAAATATTAAAGAGTAAAAGCAGCATGCAGACTAATAATGTGGTATATGATCTGTAAAGGGTAAGTGAATGGTACAGAAAGTAAATATTTCAAAGACTGGGGAAAGTGAGCTGTTTGTTTTTGGTCGGGATGAACAAGAAAGACACAATGGCAGTGGGAGGATTCAAACAAATCTTTAAAGAATGTTGACACTTTAAAGGTGGACTTCATTCCCAGGAAGACAGAGTAACGTAAGTGCAAGTTCAGAGGCAAATGGCAGAATAAACGAATATATGTAGAGAGAAATGGTTGATAGAATAGAACAGATGGGGCGGAGTGCAGGGTTTGTGAGAGAGAGGTGGGAGAGAGGCTGGAAAGTGTTAATATGGAGAGAAGACAAGTTCAAAGTTGTTTCTTCTTCATTGTGGTTGCATGTTTATAATTTAAAAATTAGAGAGAAAATCATATAGTTCCATTTTGTGGCAAAATGAACTATGTGGAGATTGCTGCTAACTAAACTATTCTGGACTTTTAAGACTGTATGGGCAAGTTATGTTCTTCAGAGGATAGATTTTTTTTTGGTTCTACTTGCCATTCTAAAAAGTGTGTCTATTCCCAGTTTTAAATTTTGCATAAATATGCAGATCATGACAATCAGAAACAAAGAAAAACCAGTATTACAAATTCATATATATCATCTCTATCTTTAATCCCCTGTAAAAAATCACTACAAGATAAAAAGCCTAAACTGTAACCTATTTTTAAGCAAAAAACCATAATAAGCAAGAATATTGTCACAAACTAACAAGTATAAATAATACTTAGGATTCCTAGCAGGCAAAAATACCTCAAGAGAAGCCTCTGCTACTATGGAAAAGGCACAAATCTGAAATAAGACCTAATACAAACCTGAGTCCCCACTGAGGAACCCTTATCTCTCTGAGTCTAGGTTTCCTCCTTTGTTAAATGGAGTGCTAATAATACCTACTTTATGTGGCTGGTATGAGGATTAGATGACAAAACTTAGCACAAGCACTTAGCATTGTTTAGGACAGAGAAGGTGCTCAGCATATCCTAATTTTCTCCCATTTATGATTTTACAAGAGAGACATGTCACAGGCTTTGTTGTGTTTAACGTAAAATGAATTTTTACATCAACTTTGCTGAGGTATAATTAACATACAATAAACTGCACATATTTAAAGTGTACAATTTGATAAGTTTTAACACATGCCAGCACCCAGGACACCATCACATAGCTAAGATAATGGCCATGTCCAACACAGCAACAGTTTCCTCACACCCCTTGGTGATCTCTCCTTCCTCACAACTGTCATCCCCAGGCAACCACAGACCACCTTTCTGTCACGGAACACTAGTTTGCATTTTCTAGAATTTTACAAATATGGAATTAAACAGTATGTGCTCTTTTTGTCTTGTTTATTTCACTTGGCCTAATTATTTTGAGATTCATGTATGTTGTTGCTTATATCAATAATTCATTTCTTTTTATTACAGAGTAGTATCTCATTGTATGAATAGCACACACATTTATATCTTTGAGCAGGCTTAAAGTTGCCAATTTCAAAAATGATAATATAGCTTTAAAATATAAGAACTGGCAATTTTAGTTGAGTGCAAGAAAGATGTTGTTCATTTTGGTCACCTTTTTTTTTGTTTTTTTTGAGTTGATTCTACATGATGCTTTAGAAATCTAGAAAAAAAATGTAGCATATTAATGACTTTTATTTTTTAATTTGGGAGAAGAATTTCTCTATTCAAGAAATGAGTTGTCAGTTATTTTTAAAAATAAGCGGGAAACATTGTCAATATTTAAAATTTAAGAAATATGTACAAGACAAAGGAGGAAGTAAAATATCAACCTAATTCCATGGCCCAGAAACAATCTTTCTTTTTTTTTTTTTTTAAGATGGAGTCCTGCTCTGTCACCAGGCTGGAGTGCAGTGGCACTATCTCGGCTCACTGCAACCTCTGCCTCCCAGGTTCAAGCGGTTCTCCTGCCTCAGCCTCCCGAGTACCTAGGACTACAGGCACGTGGCACCACACCCAGCTATTTTTTTTTTTTGTATTTTACTAGAGACAGGGTTTCACCATGTTGGCCAGGATGGTCTCCATCTCCTGACCTCGTGATCTGCCTGCCTTGGCCTCCCAAAGTGCTGGGATTACAGACATGAGCCATCGTGCCCGGCCCAATCTTTCTTTTTACCATTGACCTTCATCCCATAATTAGAATCCTCAAAGGAATAAAGAAAGGGGAAAACAGAAAAAAATAGTTGAAGACATAATGGCCTAAATTTTACAAATTGGTTGAAAAAACCCACAGAACTGGAAAGCTCAGTGAACTCCGAGTGTAAGAAATTTGAAAACTACACTAAGAAGCACATTATAAAGGAATTACTTAACACTAATAATAAAGAGATCATCTTAGTTCAGCCAGAGGAAAACAGACATATTACATACAGAGGAACAAAGGTTAGAATGGCATCACATTTTTCTTTGGAAACAATGCAAGCTATTGGAGCAATAAGTCTATGTCCTGAAAAAGAAAGTGTCAAGCTAGAATTCTATATCCAGAAAAAATATATTTCAAATAAACATGAAATAATGACTGGTTTACACATACAAAATAATAAAAAATTTAGCACCAGAAGACTTGTTCTACAATAAATGTTAAAGGAAGTCCTTTAGGCAAAAGGAACATAGCACAATATGGAAGCACGAATCTGCACAGCTTGGCAGTTCTTAAAAAGTAAACACACCTATCATACGATTTCACCTTCCCACTTCCATGAGAAAAAGAAGAAAATATCTAGACAAAGAATTGTACAGAAATGTTCATAGAAGCTTTTTTGTAATAGCAAAAACCTAGAAACAACCTAAGTGTCCATCAGCAGACAAATGAGTAGACAGATTGTGCTATCTCTAAATAATAGAACACTACTCAATAATAAAGAAGAACAAACTAATTATACATGCAGTAATATGAATGAATGTCAAATGCATTATGCTAAATGAAAGAAGCCAGGAAAAACAGAATAAATGCTGTATTATTTTATTTATACAAAATTTTAAAGAATGCAAACTGATCTATAGCGAGAGAAGGCACATGCTTAGTCACTTGGGTGCTGGAGGTGGGAGGGAAAGAAAGAATGGGAGAGGTGGAAAAGGGGCATGAGGAAACTTTTGGAGGGAAGAGATGTTTATTACCTTGATTATGGTGGTAGTTTCATGGATATAGTACATCATAACTTATCAAATTGTACACTATATCTATGCAATTTATCTTACATCATTTGTACCTCAATAGGCTGTAAAAAATGAGAAAAGACAGCAAGATTAAAATAATAATAATAGGCCGGGCACAGGTGCCCACGCCTGTAATCCCAGCACTTTGGGAGGCCAAGGTGGGTAGATCATGCTTGTGGTGTGTGCCTGTAATCCCAGCTACTTAGGAGACTGAGGCAGGAGAATTACTTGAACCTGGGAGGCAGAGGTTGCAGTAAGCCCAGATTGCACCACTGCACTCCAGCCTGGGCAACAGAGTGAGACTCCATCTCCAAAAAAAAAAAAAAAAAAAAAAGTAAACATGTTGTGCAGATTGTTCCTCACTCAGAAGCGCCCAGAGGAAGAATGGGGTCTGAAATCCGGACACATTTGTCAGTAGCAAGAAGATGCCCTTTTGTAATCCATCTACCAAGAAAGAGAGAGAGAGAATATATAATTTGTTTCCCAACAGGAATTGCTGGATTCTAATTTACATAAAGACCCTGTCTGTGTTAGCAGCAGCCTTGATGAATCTACATGTTATCATCATCATAATGTATTATATTTTATTTTTATTTGGAGATAAGAAGAAGCACCTAGTGAGACTAAAAGAATTGCTAAACTTAAAAGTTTCTCTACCCAGGAGAAACCAGATTATAAAAGATTCCTTGCTGAAAACATGAAAAACACTAAGCAGTTGAGTTTGTTATGCTTTTATAAACTACATATTTCGCGGGAGGCTGAAGCAGGAGAATGGCATGAACCCGGGAGGCAGAGCTTGCAGTGAGCCAAGATTGAGCCACTGCACTCCAGCCTGGGCGACAGAACAAGACTCCGTCTCAAAAAAAAAAAAACAACAAAAAACAAACAAACAAAAAAACCTATATATTTCAACTTTAAGTGATAACTTTTAACTTCCTCTTATAAAAGATAAGGAAATGAGCACATTAACACCTTCTCCAACGTCCCCTTCTTTGCACTTTTTGAGTTTTGTTTTTATATAATTACTTTGGCATTGTCAGAATAAAAACCTAAGTAATGGTGTGAAGGATAATTACAGAAACTATAACCATGTAAGATGATGGAAATGCTGTGATTCTATATTTAAATGAGTTTGATGCTCACCACCTGTTCTTGTATCATGGCTTCTCCATGTCTTAGTTAAGTTTTCATTTTCTATCTTCCCTTTAGCAGTTTTTGTTATCAAAATCTTTGTATTTTTAAGGAGTTACTGCTATATACCAAATGCTTATGTTACCCTCAAAATTCATATGTTGAAATCTAACCCCCAATATGATGGTATTAGGAGGTGGGGGCTTTAGGAGGTGATTAAGTCATGAGAATGAAACCCTTATGATGGGATCAATACTCTTGTAAAAGAGGCCCCAAAAAGATCCCTGCCCCTTCTGCCTTGTTGGAACATAGCAAAAAGATAAACCGGGAAATGGGCACTCAGCAGACACCAATTCTGCTGGCACCTTGATCCTGGACTTTCCAGCCTCCCGGACTGTGAGAAAGAAGTTTGTTTATGAGCCACCCAGTCTATGGTAGTTTAGTATAGCAGCCCGAATGGACTAAGACAGGTGTATTGGATGTTTCCTGAATTCTTGCACTCCTAATATCGTCTATCTGTTGTTTTCAGGCTTATAGAATAACTTAAATGGGCAGACAGTTTTTAATTCCAATTCTATTTCCCCCAAATCTTTGTAAACGAAAGTTCTTTTCTGGCTTTGAGGACTTTCTTCTGGATGCCTGTATGATTCATCCTTTAGAGAGGAATATCAGTGATGCCACTGAAACTTGGCATTGCTTGTATTAGATTTTCTGGAGGACAGTGGGAGCCATCAAACAACAAATAAAGTGGTTGTTTATTTCACAAAAGTTCCATTACTGACTGAATTACCTTTGTGTTCTGATTGTTGATTGCTTCTTCAGGAAAGCCAATTTTCTGTATGTTGGATTTTCTTCTTCCATATCTATCCTCCTTGCCACAGTCATTTGACATCCTGCTTGCTAAGGAATAACATGAGCCTAAAACTTGGGTGGAAATGCACTGGGGAAATTTGTTTTCTTGTCACAAACACTCTGTCACCAAATCTTTTAGTTCCTTTGCCCTGGGGGCAAGTCTTCTCTCACTTTTGGACATCATTGGCAAATTTCTTTGGTGGAGAGCCAGATAGTAAATGTTTTAGGCTTTGAGAACCTTACAGTTTCTGCTTCAACTACTCAACTGTGTCATTGTAGCCTGTTACAAATGGAATTGTTTCCCTCATCTTAGTCCATTCTCACAATTCTGGAGGCTGGGAAGTCCAAGATCAAGGTACAGCAAATTCAGTGCCTGCTTTCTGGTTCATAGATGGCACCTTGTCCCTGTATTCCCACATAGTGGAAGGGACAAGGTAGCTTTCTGGTGTGTCTTTTACAAAGGCACCGATCCCATTCATAAGGGCTGTGCCATATGGACTGATGTCCTTAGAAAAAGAGAAGGACACAGGAATGAAAACTTACAAGGAGAAAAGGCCATGTGAGGACACAGCAAAAAGGTGGTCATCTGCCAGCCAAGGAAAGAGGCCTGAGGAGAAAACAACACTGCTGATACCTTGGACTTCCTAGCCTCCAGAAATGTAAGAAAATTAATTTCTGGCCAGGTGTGGTGGCTCACACCTGTAATCCCAGCACTTTGGGAGGCTGAGGGGGGCAGATCTCTTGAGGCCAGGAGTTCGAGACCAGCCTGGCCAACATGGTGAAACTCCATCTCTACTAAAAATACAAAAATTAGCTGGGCATGGTGGCTCACGCCTGTAATCCTAGCTACTTGGGAGGCTGAGGCAGGAGAATTGCTTGAACCCGGGAGACAGAGGTTGCAGTAAGCCGAGATCATGCCATTGCTATCCAGCCTGGACAACAGAGTGAGACTCCATCTCAAAGAAAGAAAAGAAAAGAAAAGAAAATTCTGTCGTTTAAGCCACCCAGTCTGTGATATTTGTATGGCAGCCCTAGCACACTGATACATATATAGCTTGAAAGCAGCCATAGACAATATATAAACAAATGCTCATGGCTGTGTTCCAATAAAACTTTATTCATGGACATTGAAATTTGGATATCATATGACTTTCTTGTCATGAAATATTATTCGTTGTTATTTATTTATTTATGTATTTATTTATTTAATTTATTTATTTTGTTGAGACGGAGTCTTGCTCTGTCTCCAGGCTGGAGTGCCGTGGTGCGATCTTGGCTCACTGCAACCTCTGCCTCCCAGGTTCAAGTGATTCCCCTGCCTCAGCCTCCCGAGTAGCTGGGACTACAGATGCACGCCACCATGCCCGGCTAATTTTTGTTGTTGTTGTTGTTGTTTTTTTAGTAGAGACGGAGTTTTTCCATGTTGACCACAATGATCTCAATCTGACCTTGTGATCCACCCACCTCAGCCTCCCACAGTACTGGGATTACAGGCGTGAGCCACCGTGCCTGGCCGCTTTTTATTTTTTTTTAACTATTTAAAATGTAAAAATCATTCCCAGCTCACAACAGAACAAAAATAAGCAATGAGCCAGATTTAGCTGGCAGGCTCTTGTTGTAACTCTTGTTCTAGAAGGCAGTTTGATTCAAACTAAAGCCCGGTAAATCACAAGGCTTTGTCTCAAGATCTGATACTTGATTATTCCCTTCTGTCCTTCAGCCTGGCTTCACTTCTGGGTGTAAAAGGTAATATGGGGCATCAGCCTGTCTTAGCCCCACCTCCCCTGACTTCCTTTTGTGTTAGAGAACTATACATAAGGGGACTCCCTGCCTCTCTCAAATTCTCTTAGTACTGGTTTTCCTGGTCAAAGGATAATGGATAGACTTTCCACTATCGTGACACTTACTTTTGGAGATGGTTGCATCCTGTTCAGAGTCTGAGGCTTGTGTCTGCTCTCAGCATCCTCCTGTTGGCAGACCTTTCCACCATAAATGGCTTCTGTGTGTCACAGTCTGTGGTTTAGGCTTATGGCCATATTCTGGTTTTATTGTTGTTGGAGACTTTTTCCCTCCTGTTTTCCATTATGTTCCTGGGCTTTAAGCAACTGGGGTGAATTAAAAGTTCCTTTACTTACATATCTTTGAACAAAAGCCAGCCAAATCCTTCTGGACAGTTGGGAATATGTCTTTTATTCTCTGCCTTCCCAGAGTGTAGGCCAGGGCCTGGTGCAGAGTAAGTATCTACTGAGTCACCAATCTTCTCAATTTTCCTTATTAAACATTTCCTTGCCTCTTCTACTCTCACACATGCTGCCATCATCTCTTCTCTGAATGTCTGCAACAGCTTCCACACTGGCCTCCTCTAATCTGGCCTTGCTCCCCTTCATTCGTTTTCTACTTTTAGCAAAATGATCTGATTATATCACAAATCTAAGCATGCCACTCTCTTGCATAGAACTTTTCAACAGGAGCTCTATATTCTTAGGATAAGCTCTAGAGCCAACCACATAATAGTCATTCAATAAATATCTGTTAAATGAAAGATTATAGGGAATCAGAAGCCTCAGGTCGTAAGAAAGAGCTCAGACAGGCCACTGAGTTATCGTATCTCCTTTGGCAATTTATTAAATCTTTTTTTGCCTCAATTTTTCTGTCTATAAGTAACTGCCTATGGTGATAAAGCAAAACTAAAATAGTGGATGAATATGTTAGTTCATGTCTTCCAAGAGTAGATACGAAGATAGGATTAGATGTGCAAGAGATTTCTTAGGGAAGGTAGAAAGGAAAGTTGGGAAGAGCCTCCAGACTGCAATGGATGCCTGACACTCATGGAAGGAGGGAGAGAAGGAGGGTTTTCAGACCACAGTGCAGTTCCAAGAAAGCTTAGCCTGATCAGTGGAGATTCCCAGAGCCAAACCCACCTATAGGAAGTGTCCCACCTCTCACTGGAAACAGTCTGTATCAGTCCTCCTGCCAAGTTCATTCACTGGGCAGGAGCAGCCTGCAGGAAGTGTGTTCTTCACATCAGGAGGATGACGGATTGACAGAGGCAGAAGCACCCTGTAGCAAAATATCTGAACAGTGCATTCTCATAGCCTCCACAAGTAGAAAGCCCTTTGAGTTGTTAGGAGATGAGACATTAAGTAAACACACACACACAAAAATCATCTTTCCATTATTCAAGGACTGTCTGTTTAGCTTGTGGGTCTCACATCACGAACTATCAGTTTTACTTTTTAAGCCTTTTCTTTCTGCTATGTACCTTTTATCTCTTCACTACTCATCAGCACCTTTGTGCAGAAGTTGCAAGAATAGAGAAGCAACAACTCAGACCATTCTTTTCAAATGCTGAATTAGCAGGGCCCCAAATCCTCCCTGTTACACACTCTTTTTTAAAAACATTTTTCATGTTTGGAGAATGTTTTTATCTTCTTTTTAAAATGGTAGCATGCAGCAATGTGTTTTGTCTAAAAATGTTGTTAAACTATGTTTTGGTCAATAATAGTTTTAAAGGCCTAGACTTCCATTTACACAGATAAAAGAGTGGCTCTATGTTATTATTACTATCTCATATACTTCATCTCTTATTGGGATTTCCTTAAACAACTGGCTTTTCTGTGGCTTTCAAATTCAAAATGAAAAAGGATGCTAAAAAAGAAAAGCCAACATCACCAGTGTTTTCTCTATACTTGAAAGAAAACATGTTCTTAAGAGTCATTTTTATTTCTTAAAGCACTTAGGATTTATTCATGAAGTTACTTGAGCTGGTGCCAGAGAAAGGAATAGACCATCCAACATCTGACATTTTCCAGGGCGATGTGTCCAGAACTTGGTGACCCAGTTATTCTCTATTGGCGTATATTCAGCTGAACAAGCCAGGGACCAAGAGGCATGAGGCTTATGAAGCATAGCATGTTTTGTTGTTGTTTTTGTTTGTTTGGTTTTTAGCCAAAAACTACTCTTATAAAGAAAATGAAGCATTAAATAAAATGTGTCACTACAATCTTGTATAATCTTGAAAGCTGGCACTATTGAGCTATGAAAACAAGACTAAAGGCCAAGGCAAATATGCCTATGAAATACTCAAACCCAGTGGGATGTTGCCCAAGGAGGCCTGCCACATGGTAATACCCAACCCAAGCTCTTGATTTGGATTTCTTGCTATGCACACCTAAAAGTGAGGTGGCAGCTGTGATTACTGAAGGACAAAATTGGAATGTAATAGAATGACCCTTTCCCATAGTTTCTTTAATGTCAGGCAATATATTTTAAAGTTAGAAATGAAACTGAATATAATAGTTGAAGAAAAGACATTTTCATGTTGATATACATCGCTGTTCCAGGTTACTCATTTGTTTATTATGCATAGATTTAGCATATCAGGTGCCCAGTCTAGGCCTCCATGTTATGGATGAGAGATGGTACACAAGTTTTTAGCTTAATCTTTACATTTTTATGAGGTCTATATTACTACCTCCATTTTATATGTAAGGAATCTAAATTTCAGACAATGGAGAAGAGTTGCCTAAGCGCATATAACTAGTAAGAGTTGGATTCAAGACTCAAACCCAATGAATCTAATTCAGAAACTCAAGTCTTTCTAATATACAATAATGTCTTAAGGAAAATAGAGAAGGAGAAATATTAATTTCTAGTACTCACATTTGCATGAGGACAGAAGACAGGTTTGTGAAATAACTAGGGACTAGTTGGAGGCAGTATTTAAGCATGAAGCTCTAGTCTGAGTACTACAACAGTGCGGCAGAGGAAAACACTGTGTTGCCTCTCAGATGGAAAATAGGTTTCCCCTGACACCCACCCCCACAACTGCCCCCAGCTCCAGCTCCAGCCCTTCCTTATCTGGCCTTCATACCCCAGAGAACTGAGAGTTCCTCCCATGTGTGCCCCGCAACTATTGGCTGCCCACCATGGCCAGACTGTCATTATCCACACCCTCCTCATCTCCTTCTCCAGCAGACCTCGTGCCCCTGGGTCCATTCCAGAAATCCTGTTCCCTTGTATTTGCACCTGTGTTCTTGACTAGCTCCTTCTCCTTAGGCCCTGAACATACTGAGATCTCCTGATCTCCTCTAAATTACAAAAGCCCTTCATCAAGGTACCTCCTAAGGCCAGCATTTTTGCTTCCTTCAATCTTTCTGATTGAGTTTCTTGAAGTAAATTATTTCCCACTTATTCCTTAATTTATTTTATTCTAATTTCTGTCTTCTGGCTCTTGCCAAGGTCACTTCATAATTACCAACTTTTAGTGACTTCAGAGGTATCAATTTTCAGTCCTTTTCTATTAACCTATTCCTGCTGATTAAAGTCTTCCCTTTTTTGTTATATACCATATCACTTTCTTCTCTGGCTGCTCTTCTTCAATCTTACTTCAACTTCACAAATGCTATCATGCCAAGATTTTTGCCTTTACCTCTCTTATTCTCGGTATAACCACACTTTCCTTAAACAATCTCAGCGTCTTTTACAGCTAAAACATCATTGATATTCCACATTCCTGAGCTCCGGCTTCTCTATGCAGACCCAACTGAGTGTCTCATAGTCACTTCAAACTCAATGTGTATAAAAGTAAAACTCCTTTTCTCATGATCCAAACCCCTGTACACCTCCCCTGTTACTCCCTTTGTCAACATGAACCAGGTGCTCAGCCAAAACCTGAAAACCATCCAAGACACCCTTTCTGTATACATACTCTAGTCCGGGCCCTATGTTTCACCTAGTCATAGTTTATGGCAACAATCCCCTGACTTGTGTCCGATCTCTTCCTTTCCACCCCCAGTCCATCCCTCATGTTGCTTCTAGATTATAAAACTTACATTTTTAGAGTCCTCATCACCACAGAAATTGTTCTCAACTCATTAACATAGTAAAGTATTTTATTATCTAGCCCACGTCTGTCTCTTAAACCCTATCACTTTCCACTCTTTTCTATAACTGACATTTCAGGAATTCCAAAATACCTGCATTTCAGCCAGGCATGGGGGCTCATACCTATAATTTCAGCACTTTAGGAGATAGAGGTGGAAGGATTGCTTGAGCCCAGGAGTTCAAAACTGGCCTAGGCAACATAGTGAGACCCCATCTACAAAAAATAAAAAATTAGCCAGGCCTGGTGGCATGTGCCTGAGGTCTCAGCTACTCAGGAGGCAGAGGTGGAAGGATTCCTCGAGCACAGGAGGTCTACACTGCAGTGAGACATGATTGCACCACTGCACTCCAGCCTGGGGGACAGAGCAAGACCCTGTCTCTTTTAAAAAACATACAAAAACAAAAAACAAACTTCACCTGCATTTCCCCAAACGGCCATGCTTTCTTCTGCTCCTCTCTTTTGTACATGTTGTTTCCTCTCCCTGGAATTCCCCTCTCCCTGTGTTTTCCCAATGAGCATATTCTTCAACAGCCATCTTAAATATTACTATCTGTAAACCTCCCCTGATTCTCTACATGATGTCCACTACTTCTGCCTCTTGTGCAACCATTATGTCTTGTATATCTAAACAAAAAAGTTATGATCCTAAAGGACTATAAGATTGTAACCTTTTTGTTATAGAGCTGTCTTCTAGCCTAGACTATGATCTCATTCAGGCTCCATAACTAAATTTCAATAACACAACCAAAAAAGAAAACTTCAGGTTAATATCCCTAATGAACACAGATACAAAAATCCTCAACAAAAATAAGTGAGCCAAATTCAGCAGCACATTAAAAATATCATTCACCATAATCAAGTGGAATTCATTTTAGGGATGCAAGGATGGATCAACACAGGAAAATCATTAAACATGATATGTTAATAGAATGAAGGACAAAAATCATACTATCTCAATAGAAGTATTTGATAAAATTCAACATCTCTTCATAATAAAAACTCTCAACAAATTAGGTATAGAAGGAACATGCCTCAACATAATAAAGGCCATACATAACAAACTCACGGCCAACATCATTCTGAAAGGGAAAAAGCTGAAAGCTTTCTCTCTAAGATCTGAAACAAGACAAAGGTGCCCACTTTCACCACTTTTATTGAACATAGTCCTGGAAGTCCTAGCTAGAGTAATCAGGTAGAAGAAAGAAATAAAGGGAATCTAAATGGGAAGAGTAGAAATCAAGCTGTCCCTATTCGCAGATAGTATGATCTTTACATATAGAAAACCCCGTACTTCACACAAAAAAACTATTAGAACTGATAAATAAATTAAGCAAAGTTGCAAGATACAAAATCAACATACAAAATCAGTTGTATTTCTATATGCCAATAGTGAAGAACCTGAAAAAGAAATCAAGAAGGCAATACCATTTTCAATAGCTACAAAAAATTACCTAGGAATAAATTTAACTAACGAAGCAAAAGATAACTACAATTAAAACTACAAAAAAATTGAAGAAGACACAAAAAATAGAAAGTTATCCTGTGTTCATGAATTGCAATAATTTATATTGTTAAAATGTCCGTACTACTCAAAGCAATCTACAGTTTCAATGCAATTGCTAACAAATTACCAGTGACATTCTTCACAAAAATAGAAAAATCATTCTACAATTTTCATGAAACCACAAAAGATCCTGAATAGCCAAAGAAATATTGTGCAAAAAGAATAAACCTGGTGACATTAGACTACCTGACTTCAAAATATACTTCTAAGTGTTAGTAACCAAAACAACATGGTACTGCCATGAAAACAGACACATAGACTGATGGAACAGAATCAAAAATCCAGAAATAAATCCATGGATCTACAGCCAATTAATTTTTGACAAAGTTGCCAAAAATACAAAATGGGGAAAGGAATGTCTCTTCAATAAATAGTGTTAGGAAAACTGGTTAAACACATGCAGAAGAATGAAACTAGACCCTTTTCTCTCACCATAGACAAACATCAACTCAAGATGAATTAAAAACTTAAATGTAAGACCCAAAACTACAAAACTGCTAAAAGAGAAAACACAGGAGAAAATGTCCATGAAAAATATCCTACACCAGGATTTTTTTGGATAAAAACTTCAAAAGCATAGGCAACAAATGCAAGTATAGACAAATGGGATTACATCAACCTATTTTTTTTTTTTGGCACAGCATTTTAGGACAATAGAACAATTAACAAAGCAAAGAGACAGCATGCAGAGTGAGAGAATATATTTGCAAACTATGCATCTGATGAGGCGTTAATATCCAAAATATATAGGGAACTGAAACAACTCAACAACAACAACAAAAACTCAATTAAAAAATGGGCAAAAGGCCTGACTTTACATTTCTTAAGACATACAAATGGCCAAGAAATATATGAAAAAAAGCTCAACATTTTTAATCATCGGGGAAATGCAAATAGATATCACTTCATTCTGGTTAGAATGACTATTATCAAAAGGACAAACAGTAACAAATGTTGGTGAAGACGCGGAGAAAAGGGGACCCTTACACATTGGTAGGGGAAATGTAAATTAGTTCAGCCATTATGGAAAACAGTATGGCGGTGCCTCAAAAACATTAGAAATAGAACTACCCTGTACTCCAGCAATCCCACTACTGGGTATATATCCAAAGGAAATGATATCAATATGTCAAAGAGGTATTTGCACTCCTGTGTTTAGCACAGTACAATTCACAACAGCCAAGGTAAGTAAAGAACCTAAATCCCCTCAGTGGTTGAATGAGCTTAAAAATACAGTATATATACACAATGGAATACTATTCAGCCATAAAAAAAGAATATTTTGTCACTTGTGGCAACATGGATGAACCTGTTAAATTATATTGAGTGAAATAAGTCAGGAACATAAAGATGAATACTGCATGATGTCACTTATATGAAATCTAAAAAAGTTGTTCTCATTGAAGTAGAGAGTAGAATAGTGGTTACCAGAGGATGGGAAGTGTAGTGAGGAGGGAGAATAGGAGAATTAACAATAATGTATCATATTTCAAAAAAGCTAGAAGAGAGGGTTTTGAATGTACTCAGAAAAAGAAATGATAAATATTTAAGTGCTGGATACGCTATTATAATCTGATTTGCTCATAACACAATGAACACATATCGAAACATCACATATCCCATAAGTATGTACAATTATTATGTATCAATAAAAATTTAATAATAATAACGATAATTTAGTTTAAAGAAGAACTCAATTTTATTCTAATCTAGTCAGATTTTCAACAGCATACATAACCTCTTTCACTAACTTTAAGGTATTCTAAAAATTAATTGTGCTTATTATCTCAATCAGTTAATTCTGTATTGTAATAAATTCTGCATTTAATTGCTTTCTAATGGTGTTTATATATATATCTTATTTCTCTCTTATTTTCAGAATTAAAGAATTCTGAGGATAAAATTTGTTGGATTTTGAGCTAATTAACACTCCCATCTCTCCATTTCTCACAGATTAATCTATTGTCTTTTCAGTCTGAGCTTCTGTGTGTCTTATTGAGCATCTTAGAGCATACTATTTCTGTTATTACTATCTGGTAAATGTAATCATTAATTTTCAATCCTTCTAACAAAATCTAGTGAAAAGTCATATGACATATGTTTTATACTCTTGCACTGATGCTTCCAGATAAGCATGACATTTTCCAGAGGAACGTGTAAGGAAGTGGTAAGTTGGGGTTAATGAGAGTCAGAGTACAACTCAAGTCTAATGTCCAAGTTGGAGCAGGACACTCAGCAAAGGATCTAAAGGGAAGAACACAAAAAGTCTGAGCAAGTAGGAAAAGGGAAGCCCATACTTCAGTTTCATGGTTGGAAAAGAGCTAGCCAGAGGCAAGGAGAGCACCTGGAAGCCTACATCCCTGTCTAGGTGTTGCAGCAGCATCATGCTCAGCTGCTGGCTTGCACACAAGCTCGTGGAAGAACCTGTTTTGGATAGAAGGACTAGTAAGTATTTGCCTAGGGCACATAGTTGTACAAGAGACGGACGTTTTTAGGTCCTTGCGGTTTCTTGCATTTCCAGAAAACTTGCTTCAAATATTTTTCCAGATGCAAAATTCCTTGGATCCTTGTTTTAGAATGAATCTATTAACTAAACTGGATCCAGAAAAAGTCTATAATCAGTTTTGTTTTTCAGAAACTTCACATTAAATTTAATGAATTCCTTTCTTTGTTCATGTATTAATTTCTGGGACTTGGCCCAAATCCTGTATAAAATATACACAGAAAGAGAGAGAACAAGTAGCCTCTTTATGTAAACTAATCAAGAAGGAAATGAAGCCACCCAAATGTGGGCTATGCCATCTGTGATCTATGATAAATAACAAAACTACAGTCATGTTTTTTCCTTAAATGTTAACTGTAAAACATAGTCCTTTTTATTAGCACCAGATGTCAAGAATGCTTATTAAAATGCTATGGTTTATTAAATAGCATCATTTTAGACTCACTGAACTAGTAAAGACTCGTGTTTTTGCATTAGATTAAATGTCTAAAATTCTGTATTACTCCTTCTATTTCAAATACATGAACGCTAATATACATACACCAAAATTTATATTTAGAAACAGAGAGATTTATATATCATAGGTGAAACTGAAATATTTTTCAGTCCACAAAAGTGGATTTTCATTTTACTCTTATGTATAAAGTTTATTGAGATTTTTATATAGCAATGAAAATAAGCATGACATATCTCAGATCTATAGGAAATCAGGGAAGATTAAACAAAAATAAAAAGTATATTTAAAACTATATAATCTATCTTTTTTAGTGATTTTGGTTTTTTTTTTCTTTTTAGCTTTCATCACGTAGTCATATGTGAGGAAATTGTGATCATCCCTGTCTCTTCCCTCCTTCTAGCTAAGAGTCAGTATGGCCTTTTCTCGGCCTGAGTCAGGGAAAGAATAGCTTTGATAATTAGACAGAAATCACTATATAGAATTTTTGCAGAAATAGAAAGTTTTGGGAACTTTCCTGCAAGGCCATGCTTGCAATATTTTGAATTCAAATTTAAAGGGAATAGTGAGAATTTAGTATGGTAAATAAGGAACATTATATTTTCATTTTACTTCTTCATCAACTGATAGTTTGGTTAACCTCTTCTTTAAGACTGTCTTGTCAAAATGACTCTGCAATTACAGATTACAATGCTTTGAAATATTTTATTTTCTTTTTTTAAACCCTATACTTTTTATGTATAATTTGTACATGATCTATTGGGTAGCTAACATGAGGAGTGCTATAGTTTGGATGTTTGATTCCTCAAAACTCATGCTGAAATTTAATTTCAATGTTGGAGATGGGTGTCTAATGGGAGGTGTCTGGGTCACAGAGGCAGATCCCTCATGAATAGATTAAAACCCTCACTTGGGTTGAGGGGTGAGTGAGTTCTCACTTTATTAGTTCTTGTGAAAGCTGGTCGTTAAAAAGAGCCTGGCACCTGGCCCCTCTTCTGCTTCCTCTCTCTCCCTGTGATCTCTCTATATACAAATTCCCCTTCACCTTCAGCCAGGAGTGGAAATAGCCTGAGGCCCTTGCCCAGTTTTGAGCTGTTCGGGATACCAGAACTGTGAGCCAAATAAACATATATATATATTTATTTATATATATAGCCTCAGGTATTTCTTTGTAGCAACACGCAAACAAACTAAGACAAGGGTGATTTAGGAAAAGGTTATTTGAGATATAATTCACCTATAACAAAGTCAGCCATAAATTACTCGGGCCAAACTCAGTGTGTAATATATCCCATATACTTGTCTAAGGAAACTAACTTTCTAGTGGTAATCTAGTGATTAACCTTTTCTACTCATTGTTACTTAGACATTATCCAGTAATATTCAAATCAAGGTTACTACTGAATATAACCTATTGAGTTTGAAACCAGCAGGTGAGTTCTGAATAAAGTAAAGGGCAGATAATAAAATAGCTTCCATGTTTACATAAGAATTTATTTACTCTGGGATTTTTATCTACTGCTTTTGGTTTTAAAGGTTAACATGAGGGCATTAGGAAAAAATGGGCCCTTTGTTTTTCAGGAGCAGCAGGTGTTGAAACTGCTTTCTAGTTTGACTAGTACAATAGTAGTTAATTTATTCATTGACTTGATTGATCATTACAAGCCCTAAGGGACATAGCCTCCCAAAAAAAATTATCTGAATGTTTTTATGGTTACTTAGCGCAGTTCTGTATTTTAATCTGTCATATTTGGCTATGTGGGCAAAGGATACATTACTGGGTACATTTGTTTCAAAAAGCAATTGCATTTTATATCCAGCCTTATCATAAAATAAATACCTAAGATGTTTTTAGACTGTCTGCATGAACATGGATTTATAACTACTATGGCTTTGGAGGTATTACAAAATTAACACTTTCTGGGGGATCTCAGCAAATGAGGCAAATGACTTTTTGAAATTTTTTACTGTTACATTATAATCATTTTTGGAGACAGGATCTCACTCTGCCAGCCAGGCTGGAGTGCAGTGGTGGGAACACTGGCTCACTGCAGCCTCAACTTCTGGGGTTCAAGTGATCCTCCTGCCTCAGTCTCTCTAGTGGCTGGGATTACAGATGTAAGCTATCACACTGGCTAATTTTTTCTATTTTTTTTGTAGAGACAGGATCTCCTCATGTTTCCCAGGCTGATCTCAAACTCACTGCCTCAAGTAATCCTCCCACCTTGGCCTCCCAAAGTACTGGGATTACAGGCATGAGCCACTGCACCTGGCCTGCAAATTACCCTTAAATGTAACTCAAAGGAATTTACTGCTAATTAAGAAGGAACTGAAGCCACCCAAACATGGTTTATGCTATCTGTGGTCTGTGATAAATGGCAAAACTACAGTCATGTTTTTTCCATGAGAATTATCCATGAGATAATTCTAATAGTTATCCATGAATTATCCATGAGATAATTCTTACAGTTCTAGAGTTCTTGGATCTCCAATATAGACCACTTACCTGCTCCAAGCCACCTACACAACAGAAAGGGTTAAGCACCTAGCATAGTGCTAGAAATGTGTGTATCTATATACTGACTAAGCACTCGGCAAATGTTTAGTGAATACAATACCCAGAGAAAACCCACTGGTGGTCGAGAGACACGTGATCTAACTATACTGACATCAGTGAATAAGTGACATCATTTCACATCTGCTCCAAAGTGTACCCTTCCTTCATGTTTATAGAGCTAACTATAATCTCAGGATTATTAGGTGAGTATGAATAATTATCCCCCCAATAGGAGCAGTTTTCTAAAATTGTCTATCCATAAGTCACATTTTGGATTTTAGAGATATCTTCTTTTTTTTTTTTTTTTTTTTTTGAGACTGAGTCTCGCTCTGTTGCCCAGGCTGGAGTGCAGTGGCACAATCTCGGCTCAGCTCACTGCAGCCTCCATCTCCTGGGTCCAAATGATTCTCCTGCCTCAGCCTCCCAAGTAGCTGGGATTACAGGTGCACATCACCACGTCCAGCTAATTTTTGTATTTTCAGTAGAGACGGGGTTTCATCATGTTGGCCACGCTGGTCTTGAACTCCTGACCTAGTGATCCACCCACCTTGGCCTCCGAAAGTGCTGGGATTACAGGCGTGAGCCACCACACATGGCCGAGACATCCTCTTAATGTGTTATATTGCTAAGTTCTAAAGAGTTTCTATTTGGATTTCCAAACAGAGGGGTTTGAAGTAGGAAGCAGCAGGAGGTTCAATATACGGGGTTGCAATAGAGTGTGTGCTTCTAGTGTTTTTTTTTTGGGGGGGGGACCCTTTTTATTAATTGTTATGAAATTCACTTAACATAAAATTTATCATCCTAACCAATTTTTTTTTTTTTTTTGAGACAGAATCTCGCTTTGTTGCCCAGGCTAGAGTGCAGTGGCACTATCTTGGCTCACTGCAAGCTCCACCTCCTGGGTTCAAGGCATTCTCCTGCCTCAGCCTCCCGAGTAGCTGGAACTACAGGCACCTGCCACCACGCCTGGCTAATTTTTTGTATTTTTAGTAGAGACGGGTCTTCACCGTGTTAGCCAGGATGGTCTCATCTCCTGACCTTGTGATCCGCCCGCCTCGTCCTCCCAAAGTGCTGGGATTACAGGGGTGAGCCACTGCGCCCAGCCCATCCTAACCATTTTTAAGTGTACAGTTCAGTGGTATTAAGAACATTCAGATTGTTATGCAACCAACCCCACTGTCCATCTCCAGAACTCTTCATCTTGTAAAACTGAACTCTGTACCAATTAATCAATAACTCCCTATTCCTTCTTGCCCTGGCCCCTGGCATCCTGTGATTTTAAGTGAAGATTATTATGTTAAAATATTGCTATATAATCCATAAAGAAGAATATGTTCACCATCACATTTATGAATGTTTTACAATTAATATATTATGGAAAATGGGTGTTATGTATTCATTTTTTGCCTCATCAATTTTCCTGGGAAATGAGGGCCCCTATGCCTCTGCTTCTAATGTTTCATGTACTACTAAAATGGTAGATACATGAGGGGCTCATTTTTAATATCTCTAACATCTTTGAACTTCAGTAATATTTTTCAAATATTTTTCATTTTTCAAAACACTAACTTTTGTTGCTTTAATTTCAGATAATTAGTTTCTCCTTTTATCTCATCATGATACCTCGCACTTGAAATGTTCCTATTCTGTATACATTCATATATTCATCAAATTCAAACTCTGTTTACCTTTTAAATATTCTACATTTAGGACAAGATAATACTTGGCCATACTTTTGTCAAATATTCTCTCTGGAATTCCTATTTCAGTTGGGTTGCATTGATTTATTTTGAAATCAAGTAATCTGACTTTCAGTTATTGTGCCAAGGATTATTTATTATTATTATTATTAATGTATGAGTAGCTCTGTTAGCACTCCATCTCAAGGTGTGGCTGAGAAAGCATACTTCTGTGTTTTGTTTCCTTTTCAAGCCGTGAGGCTTAAATTTTTCGGCAGCAATTGCTCTTAGTTCGTAAGTGAGAATTTTTAAACAGCTGAAATGGAAGAATTCTACTGGGTTATTTCTAATTTACATGATTGTCAGAACATTATTGTATTTAGAGAATAATGCTTAATGTTTTATTATGTTCAAGTAACACAGCTTATTTTACTTTCTAAGTTTACTCTGTTTCTTATTCCAGGTCAAATAGTCATTAAATATATTTGCTTCCAGACCAAGTCAGAACCACTGATATTAGTTTAAAAATATGGAGGGATCTTTTCTCCTCTGTGTGTCACAAATGTCTGAAGTTGCACCATTTATTAAAATGAAATGAAGTTCTTTTATTGGTGTTTATTGTCAAATGATGTCCCTTTCATATGTGAATATCCTTGGGAAAAGTGGATCTTATTGTCACTTACCAACTCTTTTGTGGATTTGCTTTTTCCCGGGGCAAGTATGAGCACAGGCGTAGAATATAGGGAGAAACACAAACAATGGGATGGGAAGGAACTGTGGTATCAAGGACAAAGCTTTAACTGCATCATCATTTTGCCTCTTTCCTGACTGACTCTTGTAGAATACTGTGTACCTGATACTTTGAAAAAGTTAATAATCGTAAGCATCTGTTTTTCCGAATTTCCTTCACAATAATCAACCAATATTTACTGTATACCTTTTCTCTGCTACACTTGGGGCTCAGGACATCCCCTGAATTTTTGTACTTACTCCTCAAAGCAACCCCATTTTACTGATGAGGAAATGAGGCTTAGAGAAATGTGGTCACTTTTTTAAGGTCATATGGCTAGGAACTGTCTTTCTGATTGCTAAACATATTATCTTAACCACAAAACTGTATTTATTCTTAGAGTAATGAGGAATCATTGAAGGATTTTAAGAAGATTGAAGTGATCACATTGATTTTGAAGGAATCACACTGGCTGAGAATATAGATTGGAGAGAATTAAGACTAGAATCGGACTAAGAAGTTAGGAAACTATTGCAATTTTCTAGGTATTACCTGAATGTTGCCCAGGAGGTGGCAGCAGGGATGAAAAGAAGCAGATGGATTCAAGCAACATTTGGAAGTAGGCTTCAGCAGGATGTAGTGAGGACAGGAAGGAGTCATGGGTGATCTTTGAGTTTCTGATTTGAGCAAACAGGTAGATGGAAACACCATTCACCAAGACAGAGGGAACATAGACAGGGGATCTGTATGTGTGTGTGGACAAGGAGGTGGAGGAGGAGGTGGGAGGGGAGGAGAGGACGTTGAGTTTTGGACACAGAGTTTGAGGTGTCTGATGTGAAATGTCCAAAGGCAAATGTGCAATCAACAGTTTGTTCTTGGCCAGTCACGGTGGCTCATGCCTGTAATCCCAGCACTTTGAGAGGCCGAGGTGGGCGGATCACTTGAGTTCAGGAGTTCGAGACCAGCCTGGCCTTGGGTGACAGAGTGAGACTCTATCTTAAAAAAAAAAAAAAAAAAAAAAAAAATCGCTGTTTTCCTGGAGCTCAAGGAAAGAGACCTAAGTTGGAGATCTAAACCTGAAGGTTATCAGAATATGGATGGAAAGTACATGAGATCACCCTGGAAGAAGGTGCAAAGTGAGAAGGGAAGAAGGGCCAGCACCCATCCCTAACAAGACAAAATAAAACTTAAGTAAATGAAATCAGCATATAAGAAGGGCACAAGCAAAAGGAGAGCCCACCAAGAAAATGATACGGAACAAGCAGAGGGGTAGAAAAGACAGCAGGGACAGCATGGGATTCAGAAGGCCAGAAGGATAAAGTTGCAGAAGGAAGGAGTAGTCAGCTGAGTTAGGGCCTGTGATGTCACTGAGAGACACAGTGACGCAGGGCCTGGCTTTAGCACTAAGGAGACTATTGGTGGCACCAGGGCCCTGGAGCAGTGGATTAAAACTAGACTTTAGTCTTCTTCTCAGTTACTAAATAGACACATGGTATCATGTAAATCTTTTTTTTTTTTTTTTGCCTCGTTCTGTCGCCCAGGCTGGAGTGCAGTGACACGATCACGGTTCACTGCAACCTCTGCCTCCCAGGCTCAAGAGATCCTCCCACCTTAGCCTTCCAAGTAGCTGAGACTACAGGCACATGCCACCATGCTCGGCTAATTTTAAAATTTTTTTGTAGAGCAGGGTGTCTCGCTATGTTGCCCAGTCTGATTTCGAACTCCTCGGCTCAAGCCTGGAACTCCCACCTAGGCCTGCTGAATTGCTGGGATTACAGGCATGAGCCACTGCACAAGGCCTGTATTGTATAAATCTTTACTTAAGTCAGAGAAAAATACATTTAATGCGTCTTCCCCATGAATGAGTATTTTGATGACTTTTATGATTCCTGATGATTTGTGTAGTTCCTAAAATCATTCAATCTTCATGCCTCAGTTGGCATTTTATTTTCATTTCTGGAGGCCATTTGATTCTAATTTTACAATCTTATTTTTTGTCTCAAACTCAATATTCTTCACAAAAGTGGTATAATTTTGAGATATTAAGAGTGATACTGTTTTTTTACAGGTGCTCTCTGATAACAGACCCAAAGAAAGAGTGGGTAAGTCTCCCTGAGAAAATGTTTTCCTGTTTATGTATAAAAGTTGTTTGGAGAGCTTTGCCTCATCCCTATAAATTTAAACATGCCATAAGTGTTGCTGAATCATGGATGCAAAGTTGATGGATACAGTATGATGTTAAATCAGAATTTGACCTGCATTTTGAAAATTGGAAAAGTTCATTGGGTTTTCTCTGGTCCTCATGCAGCCATGCTGCTGAGTTTATCTCCATTTTGTAAAGTTGATTTTACACAGAAAGAAGTTGCTTTGCATAACCAGTCTTTATCTTGAAATGTACCTTGTAAGTTAAATAGGAATTAAATAAAAGATTGCACCTTTACTGAAACATCTGCTTCGAAGGTAAGGCCTCTTGAAAATAAGGCATATATGAGGGTAGTGGTTTATTTGTATAGCTTTTGTATTTGGAAATGTTCTGTATAAATCTGAATACTTGGCAGCTTTATTTGTGGAATCTTATTTTAATGACTATGTAAACTAACAGCTAACCAATCTTGAATCACCACTTCTTACCAACTCTTTAGCAGCTGTTGTTGTACTTTTCATTTGAATAGTCATTATGGATAAGACATTCTGAAATCTCCATATCAGTCCTCACTTCATACGGTCATTTACATGCTTATACATAGAAAGGAACCCCTTCAAAGCCCTTTATGTGATTCCACTGCATGTATTCTTCATATCTTGTAGATAGCGTATTGCTAGACTTGAAAGTTAACACTTTTCTCTGAGTTTATATCTTTAAAGCCCAATTTTGAAGTATCTTGTCAAATAATGCCTCTAAAAGCAATAGTCTGATGCTACCCTTATCTGCATTGGTGCCAGCATTATTTCCATTTTTATACACTCATTTTTCTATAATCTGCTGAGAACCAGTTTCAGTTCATTATTCAGACACCCAAGATCTCAGCTTCACTTATGCTTAGGATGAGCATTGGATCTCTGGGATATAGTCATCTGCTGTTCTTCAGCTCTTGGGGAGATTTGCAAGGAGGCCTTTACACTGGGCCTCCAGGCAAAAATGACTGGCTAGAACTTTGTCAGGAAAATGTCTTTAGTGAGTGTGCCGAACCTATCAGCTCTCCCACTAAACAACCAAGCAGAATTTGTTCTTGCCATTCTGAGAAATGCTTGTAGCATCAACTATGCATAATTTTTGTCCATGACCACTTTTATATTTGGGACTTCAACTATATATAACCCTCAACCACCTGGCAGCTAAGTGGGAAATAAGCACAGACCTCTTTTAAAATCATATGAATGTGTCCAAATAGTAAATTATGACATAAGTAGAACCCTCTGTGCTTCGTCTCTCTTGTTGAAATTCCAACTTGAATTAAAGGAGCTGATACTGCATTTACATCAGCAAAGAACGTGTTTCGCTTCAGAAATGACCAAAAAAGGGATTTACACTAATGAGCAGCCTGTGAAGCTTTTAGACAATCAAAGTATTTCCCCTGGAGAACTGATAACTAGAATAATAAGTCTATTTTCTTCATTTTATAAGTATATCCAACTTATTATAGCAAAAGAATATTTTTCACCATGTAAAAGTTACAATCAAGAAAGTAAGAAACAACCGTAGTTGACTTCTGGGTGGAAATGACAAGTACTTTTCTAACAAATTACATCTCTGTGAGGAAGTTCAGCCATGGAGGCTCTGAAGTGGTTTAATAGTCCTAGATTGGATGTGGAGCTTACCTGTGGGTCTTCAGGTATCGTGCATGAGAGTTCGGTCTACTACAGCCTGAATATTTCGCTGTT
Source organism: Homo sapiens (assembly GCF_000001405.40). NCBI lineage: Eukaryota > Metazoa > Chordata > Mammalia > Primates > Hominidae > Homo > Homo sapiens. Next base: position 33,437,910 of record NC_000013.11, on the reverse strand, counting down.
TAACCACTCTGTCATTCAGGGCTTCATTTGGCAGGGGAAAAAATCAAATAAGCAAGCAGGCCAGAAAATCTAGAAGACAGTCAAATCGATTTTCACATAAATATTTATGGAAAGCACTCTGGGAGAAGGAAATATTGGTGAAGTATATCTGAGAACAATTTTTCTGAACATGTAAATCAAAGGAGAATTATAGAAGCCTAATTCCAATTTCCATGCAGATACAAAGCAGTCCATAAGTTTGGGTTTTTTAATTACAGTCATCCCCCCTTTTTTAACCTCATCTTTCAAATTAAATCATTAATAATTTAAACTTTTGATGTTCATTCCTTTCTGCTGTTTGTAAAATGTAAAGTCAACTGCCCTCATTCCTAATTTGGCTTTCCATCATTGCTTCTTGATTGGAATGTCCAAGAGCTTTGCTCCGTTTTAGCAGAGATATGTAGCAGGACGAGCCGCAGGCAAAACTCCTCAGACACCAAGTTAAAGAAGGAAGGGGTTTATTCGGCCAGGGGCATCAGCAAGACTCCTGTCTCAAGAGCCGAGCTCCCTGAGTGAGCAATTCCTGTCCCTTTTAAGGGCTCACAACTCTAAGGAGGTGCATGTGAGAGGGTCGTGATCGATTGAGCAAGCAGGGGGTACACGTGACTGGGGGCTGCATGCACCGGTAACTAGATTGGAACAAAACAGGATAGGGATTTTCACAGTGCTTTTCTATACAATGTCTGTAATCTATAGATAACATAACCGATTAGGTTAGGGGTCAATCTTTAATTACCAGGCCCAGGGTGTGGCACTGGGCTGTCTGCTTGTGGATTTCATTTCTGCCTTTTAATTTTTACTTTTTCTTTCTTTGGAGGCAGAAATTGGGCATAAGACAATATGAGGGGTGGTCTCCTCCCTTAACAGAATATGGTAGTCAGACTGAAGGGGCCCCTCCATATACAAAGATGGAAGGCGGAATGTGACGTATAGTAGGAGGATATGACCCTGACCCACTGTTGACCCTTGTGAGGTGATTTTTTTCTTGTGTTCCAAAACTGCCTGATTCACATTTTCCTCTGGTCTCAGTCACTGATGGGGGTAAAATGTGAAACCCAAAGTAAAAGAGATTCCAGCAGAAAAGCACAGGCACAATAAGGTGGTTTAAAGGCCAGTCATTATTGCTTTCACTACAGATTAAGAGAGAATGCCACTCTTTTCTAGGCAGTTTAAGCTGTCCACTGGGACCAAAAGATCTCAGCCTAGTGATGAAAGAAACATCTACTGTAGCAACAGTGGGATAATTCCTCCCAGTTTATGCCTATTATGCTGTGGCCTTTATTAGATAAAAATTCACAACAGAAATGAATGTTATATATTATACTATAGTTTGCTTAATGGAATGAAAAATTAATTTATTTTTGAAGAGTAAATATATACCTAAATATACACATACTATAAAATTAACCCAAGTAGTGATGGTTGACTTAATTTGCTTTTTAATTCCTCTTTTCATTGTATGTATTATCATTTCTTTAAATGTGTCAATAGGAGACTACAGCCAAATTACTGTGTTCTTCACTGTCAAGAATATTTGAATCTCACATTGATGTACCATTCTTAGTGCACAACATACTATTCATTTAAAGATTGTAAAAAAATTTTCTTTGGTTTAGAAAACAATTTTAAAACCTAAGGAAAATAAAATCACATCTGAAGAAATCATATATTTTTTTCTCTGAGTAATGTCACTAGGGCAATAGGGACAACTCTTCTTAGAACAGTTTCAAAAGACGCTTCACGGACATAGCTATTCAACCTTCCTCCAAGAGCTATAATTACTTCCCACCTTCTCAGCTTCATTGTGTTATGGCGTTTTGTTAGGCACATTATCAAGAATAGAAGGATCTGTCAGGAACAGAATTTCACAAGAGTTAGAAGTATAGAGTATGTAGGAAATCAAAAGTACTAGCCAAATCCAATTATTATGAAGAAAATCATGTACTATATGGAGTGTACCTATTCTTCTGTTTCACTAGAATTTAATTGTAGTGACAAATATCTGAGCCGAAGAGATTTTTGGTACCCTTTATCAATTCCAATATGAAATTATAACTTCAATTTAGTTAATTAAGTGTCTGTTGAACATTATTATGTCCCTTGCACTGTGCAAGGCATTAGCAATACAAAGATAAAGTGAGATAAAATTATCCCTCCTTCAAGAAGCTTGCCTAAATTAAATTATCTCTCTAGATTTTTCCAGTGAAACCAGAGCCTTTCAAAAAGTAAATTTATAACTATTTCATGAAATTTATAGTAATTTAGTAAGATTTTTAAATTGTGATTTCCTATGGCTATATATGTAGAGAGATAATTACCATTCTGTAGTAATACAGCCACATGAGGCAAAAAGAAAGCATCAAAGTGTGCCAAGAAGAACCTTAGTTTTATTTGATTTTAATTAGTGGGAATCTCTATCTTGAAATGCAAGTGCCACATAAAGCTTAAGAGCTTTATAAATCTAGTTAAAATACAATCTTTCCCTCCATAGTTGAGATATATCAGCTTATTCCCTTGAAAGTTATTCTGAGTACTTAGTTTTAGCTCTTGCAAGCTGCCAACTTAAATACAGATAGGGAAAAGGAGAGTGTTTTCTATCCACCATTCCTACCTCTCGCAGTGGAATTCATGGACTTCTTCCGGGCAAAGTTCCCCAAACATCTACTGAAGAGCCTTGAGTAGCAGAGAAGTCAAGGAACCTGCCCTACTAACAAATATGAAATTTATATTTGGCCTTAAGATTTCAGGTGACTTCAGCATTGCTGTCCCATAACTTAGCTTGGCTGTCTCCTTCTCTTGAAACCTAAATGCCACCTGTTTTAAAAATCCTTCTCTGCTCACTCTAGCTAAAGAAGTTGACTCTTTCCCCAACTAGTTTCTATGGCTGCAATCTCTATTTCTTCAGAGCACTTGTCAGAACTTATAGTTTCCTTCCTTCCTTCCTTCCTTCCTTCCTTCCTTCCTTCCTTCCTTCCTTCTTTCCTTCCCTCCCTTCCTTTCTTCCTTTCCAATAGGCTAGAAAGTCCATGTCTTGTTCACTATTTTATCCCTTGCTCCCAATAGACTGCTGCCATACAACAGGTGCTCAAAAACATTTGCTGACTAAATGAACTCCTAAACAATAGCTGTTATATTAATAAAGTTAAGTGCCACCAAGAAACGTATATGCAGCAGGAAGATCTCGTGTTTATCTGGTGGCTTTGTGGCCCTCTTTGCACATTGCCGAATACCCCAGTTTGAAGAGAGTAATTCCAAGATACTAGAGGAATACAGATCCGTATTGACTGAGAGCTTTCATGAGCCAAGAAAGCATTATGAGACTTTGACATTCTTTATGTATATTCATTAATTCAGTCCTCAAAACAACCCTATATCATTGGAAGTATCGTCCTCACTTTATATGTATAAAACAGTAAGGGTCAAAAATGTTAATTTGCTCAATAAGTGTATAAGTTGGAACTTAAATCTCGTTCTGTTTGATTTCTTTTTCTTTCTTTCTTTTTTTTTTTTTTTTTTTTTGAGACAGAGTCTTGCTCTATCATCCAGGCTGGAGTGCAGTGGAATGATCTAGGTTCACTGCAACCTCCACCCCCTGGGTTCAAGCGATTCTTCTGCCTCAGCCTCCTGAGTGGCTGGGATTACAGGTGCACACCACCATGCCCAGCTAATTTTTGAATTTTTAGCAGAGATGGGGTTTCGCCATGTTGGCCAGGCTGGTCTTGAACTCCTGACCTCAAGTGATCCACCTGCCTCGGCGTCCTAAAGAGTTGGGATTACAGGCGTGAGCCACAGCGCCTGGCCTCTTGTTTGATTTCTAAGACTGTGTACCTTTCACTAAACAAATACTCTCCAAAGAATATCATGGAGGGCTGACTATTGACTAAGTTGCTACTGCTTGTCCATCCACAAACTTCTACTACTGTGTATGGATTCATAAATTTATTGAGTGGGCATTGTGACTCATTACAAGGAATGCATAGAAGAAAAACAGTGCCTTCCCTGAAGGAACTCATCACAAATGGGGGAAGAGAATAAGGAAATACACAGAGGGGGCAAATACACAGCCATTTTCTATGATATTTCTGCTGTTACTCAGAGGGTGGGCATGACAGGGACACAGGCCATATTTTTAAAATCAAGGAAGCATTATTTTTATGATTATAGTTAATGAACCCTCCTTTGAATGTTCCTTGTAAATACTCAGTGTTCACAAGAGAATGCTCTCTGAAAAACAAAACTACAGAACGCAAGAGGTCTGATCTCTGTTTTAGCAGAGATGTAATATGGTAGTCATACTGAAGGGGCCCCTCCGCATACGCAGATGGAAGGCGGAACGTGACGTAGCAGGAGGATGTGACCCTGACCCACTGTTGACTCCTGCAAGGTGATTCCTGGTGATTCTTTCTTGTGTTTTAAAACTGCCTGATTCACATCTTCCTCTGGAACCCAATGTAATAGAGATTGTTGCTGTTGTTGCTTCTAGAGAGTCTTTGAAGGAAGCTAGACCTGAACAAATTCTAACTAAAGACAAAGCAGTTCCTGGTTTCTCCCTTTTGAGGTCTTCTGGGAGATAGGAGCAGTTCTTCTAGAGGATGAGAGACATTGAAAAGATGAGATTATGACCAGAAAGCAGAAAGTAATCACAATACTTAGTAGGAACTTTGTTGGCAAAAGAGAAACAATATTATCTTGTTAAAAGAATCCTTTAGTATAATCAATACTTTCTTCAATCAGAAGCACCGAAGTATCAATTTATTTTGTTGTTCAAAGCCATTTGTTGTCAATAACAGACGTTTGCTGAAAAACATCCTTTTAATCTTCTCATTTGTTCCATGATTTGGAAGGAAAACAATAAAAATTGTCTATTCAATAACATGATTTTATCTGTCTGAGGTTTAAAAAATGGGTCTCTCTACTTTTATTTATGGCATATTGTTTTATTAAGTAATATAAATTTAATGGTGAAAATAAAGCGTTATTTCATTTTTTTAGATTCTATAGTATGCCCACATCTTCTAAATCATTTTGAGATTAGTTAATGTTTATTTTTATTGTTCTTGAAACAGCAATCTCTGTTTTAAGAGATTAATGCAAATCTGTGTTGCATTAAAGAAAATACAAACATTAAAAAGCAGCCATAATTTTTGCTTCTGAAAATGCCTTTTATAAGTATGTTATGTGCAAACATATAATCTTGAAAGTACTATTCATACCCCATTATCTTCATTGTGATTTTCATATAAATAAATATAGTACCATAGAAAATTTTAAATCACCTATCGTACTGACTGCAGTCTAGCAGATAACTTTGAAATACATTAATCTCTGGCAACTAATTCAGTCTTTGGAAATATTGGTAGATTTAAATGACTTCTTATAGGCTTAGGTTGTTTTGTGAAGCTGCCCCTTCCCCCAGGCAACCGTGCAATTGTCCTGTTGAGAATGTGGACCCTTTCATGAGGCACTGTTCTAACCTAAAGAGCTGAGCAGATGTTAAAAAAAATCACTCCACATAATTTTTCTAGAAACTAATTATTAAATACTATTCTATTAAATCCTGTTCATTTGTATTCTAACTTTTTCTAACATCTTTTCTCTAAGAAGAAAAGAAAGATTCCAAAATTATATTAGAATATAGGCACCATCAGAAAAGCTCGCGAGTGACTGTGGGTCCTCTTTTCTCCTCTCTCTCCCAGCATCAGAACCTTCCAACCAGGACCGTCCACACTGCAAACTAGGCACTACCTCTCCTCCTTTACTTCCCAGCACCTTAATCACCCCTATTTTTCCTTGAGCATATCCTGCTCTTCTATACCTCAGAGACTTGAAGACAAGGTGTTCCTTGACTTCTCTACCTGGCTTACTCTGATTCAGGTTCACCGGGCCGGATCAGAGGCCAAGTCCTCCGCTGAACTTTCCCTTGATCCCTAAGCAGAGTGCCAGTCACAAGATACTTTGTAATGGTTCCGTCATTGCCCCTGTAACATTCTGTAATTTCTATTGTAAACCCCATGGAGGAAGGTACAACAACTTATGTTCTTGGTATCCCTGGCCCACCACATGTTAGACCTTTGATATATTTTTTGAATGAATCAAATAATCATTTATATTTATGACCACCCTGTAAGGTAAGCAATATAACTATTATCTTGATTTTACAGAAACTGAGGTTAATAGATTTTAAATGGTGTGTTAAATTTTGCACGTCTATTAACTGGTAGGAAAAACTAAGACCAACACTTTAATAAAATAAATTTTCTAACACTCTAGTATTGGGTATTGCTTAATGTTTTGCTTTTGATATTCAAAAAAATTTTTCCCATGATTCGATTTTAAGCCTAGTTATTTTCAAAGACATCTATTCCACAACAGTGCCATCTAATAGAAATATAATGTGAGCTACAAATGTGAGTCAAATATGTAATTTAAAATTATCCATAAGTTTCATTAATAAAAGAAACAGGTGAAAATAATTTTAATAACATTTTATTTAGCCCAGTATCTCTAAAATATCATTTTAACATATAATCAAAATAAAAATTATTGAAATTTTGTATTCTTTTTTATAATAGGTATTAAAAATCTGGGGTGTATTTTACACTTAACAGCACATCTTAATTCAGACTTGCCACATTTTTTTATTAAACGATGTTTTATCTATGCGCAATAGATATACACAGTTCCATGTTACACACATATATGTGATAATTTAATACATTCATATAATTTGTAAAGAACAAGTAGAATAATTGGAATATCCATGACCTTAATTATGTGTCTTGTCTCTATGCTAGAAATATCCAAATTGTTCTCTTCTAGCTATTTTGAAATATAGAATAGATTATTGTAAACTATAGCCACCTACTAATCTAGAATAGTAGGTTTTATTTATTTCTTCTATCTGACTCTATATTTGTACCCATTAATCAACTTCTTTTCACCTCCACCTCCCTTCTATCCTTTGTAGCCTCTGGTAATCTCCAGTCTATTCTGTCTTCATAAGATCCACTTTTTTAGCTCCCACATGAGTGAGAACATGCAATATTTTTCTTTCCGTGCTTGGCTTATTTCACTTAAACTAATGACCTCCAGTTCCATCTATGTTACTGCAAATGACAGGATTTTTGTTATGACTGAATAATATTCCATGGTGTATATATACCACATTTCTTTATCCATTTATCCATTGAAGGGCACTTAGGTTGATTCCACATTTTGGCTACGTGAATAGTGCTGTAATAAACATGGGACTGCAGATATCTTGTCAACATATTGATTTCCATTCTTTTGGATATATATCCAGTGGTAGAATTGGTGGATCATATGGTAGCTCTATTTTTAGGTTTTTGAGGAACCTCCATGCTGTTCTCCATAGTGTACTAAATTACATTTCCACCAACCTTATACACAAATTCTACTTTCTCCACATCCTTGCCAGCATCTGTTATTGTTGCCTGTCTTTTAAAAATGTATTCTAATTTTTGATTTTTCTGGGTACATAGTATGTGTATATGTTTATGAGATACATGAGGTATTTTGATAGAGGCATGCAATGTGAAATAAGCACATCATGGAGAATGGGGTATCCATCCCCTCAATAATTTATCCTTTGAGTTACAAACAAATTACTTTTCATTTTTAAAATGTACAATTAAGGCCAGGCGCAGTGGCTCACGCCTGTAATCCCAGTACTTTGGGAGGCCGAGGCGGGTGGATCACTAGGTCAGGAGATCGAGACCATCCTGGCTAACATGGTGAAACCCCGTCTCTACTAAAATTACAAAAAATTAGCCAGGCGTGGTGGCGGGCGCCTGTAGTCCCAGCTACTCAGGAGGCTGAGGCAGGAGAATGGCGCGAACCTGGGAGGCGGAGCTTGCAGTGAGCCGAGATCGCGCCACTGCACTCCAGCCTGGGCAACAGAGCGAGACTCCGTCCCCCCCCCCCAAAAAAAAAGTACAATTAAGTTATTATTGATTATAAATATACAATTAGGTTATTATGGCACACCCTGTGGCACTATCAAATAGTAGGTCTCATTCATTCTTCCTATTTTTTTGTATCCATTAATCCTCATTTCCTCCCCTGCCAGCACCCTGCTACCCTTGCCAGCCTCCGGTAACCATCCTTCTACTCTCTATGTCCATGAGTTCAATTGTTTTGATTTTTAGATCCCACAAATAAGTGAGAACATGGAACGTTTGTCTTTCTCTACCTGGCTTATTTCACTTAACATAATGATCTCCAGTTCCATCCATGTTGTTGCAAATGGCAGGGTCTTATTGTTTTTTATGGCTGAATAGTACTCCATTGTGTGTATGTACCACATTTTCTTTTCTTTTTTTTTTTTTGAGACGGAGTCTCGCTCTGTCACCCAGGCTGGAGTGCAGTGGCGCAATCTCGGCTCACTGCCGCCACACCCAGCTAATTTTTTGTATTTTTAGTAGAACCGGGGTTTCACCGTATTAGCCAGGATGGTCTCAATCTGCTGACCTCGTGATCCGCCCGCCTCGGCCTCCCAAAGTGCTGGGATTACAGGCGTGAGCCACCACGCCCGGCCCTGTACCACATTTTCTTTACTCCATCTGTTGATGGACACTTAGGTTGCTTCCAAATTTTAGCTATTGTAAACATTGCTGCAACAAACACAGGAATGCATATATCTCTTTGATACACTGATTTCCTTTCTTTTGGGTTTATATCCAGCAGTGGGATTGCTGGATCATATGGTAGCTCAATTTTTAGTGTTTTGAGAAACTTCCAAACTGTTCTCCATAGTGGTTGTACTAGTTTACATTCCCATCAACAGCACACAGGAGTTCTCTTTTCTCCACATTCACGCCAGCATTTGTTATTGCCTGTCTTTTGGATATAAGCCATTTTAACTAGGGTAAGATGATATCTCATTGTAGTTTTGATATGCATTTCTCTGATGAGCAATGAGGATGAGCACCTTTTCATATGCCTGCTTGCCATCTGCATGTCTCCTTTTGAGAAATGTCTATTCAAATCTTTTGCCCATTTTGTGATCAGATTATTCCATTTTTTCCTATAGAGTTGTTTGGGCTCCTAAAAAGCTCCTAATAATTGTATATTCTGGTTATTAATCCCTTATCAGAGGGATAGTTTGCAAGTATTTTCTCCCATTCTGTAGGTTGCTCTTCACTTTGTTAATTGTATCCTTTGCTGTCAGAAGCTTTTTAACTGATGTGTTGCCTGTTTTTTTGATAAAAGACATTTTAATTGGGATGAGATGATCTCTTCTTGTGTTTTTTATTTTCACCTCTCTGATGATTAGCAATGTTAAGCATTTTTTCATATGTCTGTTGGCCATTTGTATGTCTTCTTTTGAGAAATATCTGTTCACGTCTTTTGTCCATTTTTTAATTGGGGTTTTCATTGTTGTTGAGTTTTTCGAGTTCCTTTTATATTTTTAATATTAACGTCTTTTCGGATGCATAGTTTGCCAGTGTATTCTCTAACTCTGTGTGCTGTCTTTTTGCTCTGCTGTTTCCTTTACTGTACACAAACTTTTTAGTTTGGTGTAATCTAATTTCTATATTTGTTTTGTTGCCCATGCTTTTGAGGTTTTATCAAAAAAATCCTTGCATAGACCAATGACATGAAGATTTCCCCTATGTTTTCATTTAGCAGTTTTGTTGTTTTGGGTCTTACATTTAAGTCTTTAATCCATATTAAGTCATTTTGTGTATATAATGATAGCTAACAGTCTAGTTTTATTCTTCTGCATGTGTATATCCAGTTTTCCCAGAACCATTCATTGAAGAGGCTATCTGTCCCCATTGTATGTTCCTAGTGCCTTTCTCAAAGCAGAGTTGGCTGTAAATGTATGGATTTATGTCCGAGTTCTCTATTCTGTTCCATTGGTCTATGTGTCTAATTTTTTTTTTTTTTTTTTGAGACGGAGTTTCGCTGTTGTTGCCCAGGCTGGAGTGCAGTGGCACGATCTCAGCTCACCACAACCTCTGCCTCCCGGGTTCAAGTGATTTTCCTGCCTCTGCCTCCCGAGTAGCTAGGATTACAGGCATGCATCACCACGCCCGGCTAATTTTGTATTTTTAGTAGAGATGGGGTTTCTCCATGTTGGTCAGGCTGGTCTCGAACTCCTGACCTCAGGTGATCCGCCCGCCTCGGCCTCCCAAAGTGCTGGGATTACAGGCGTGAGGCACCACACCTGGCTATGTGTCTATTTTTATGTTACGGACTAGCCACATTTCTAATGCTCAATACCTGTATATAACTACTGGCTACCATTTTGAACAGCACAAGTTGTTGTTTGGTTTGACCCTCGTGAAAAATAGTATTGGGTGAATTTATTTCAAGTGGAAAAAAAGGGAATATCTTTATGGCATGGCTCGTGAAAACTGGCGTGCCACCAGTGTGGGTTATATTATCTTTCCCTCCTTAAATCCTCTTGACTTAAAATATTTGTAGGGATTATTGGTTTCCTTAACGGATTTATTGAAAGTGCTCCTACCATCCTCTGTAATCCAAAATATTATTTTTATGTTTTATATTTGTTAATACAAAACTGAATAACATTCTTTTTGGAGGCAGAAAATATGGGCATTTGGGATAGAGAGGCCTGAGTTTGAGTCTAGGTCCCTGTCACTTAACTAGCCTTGTGATTAAGACAAGGCACCCATCTGTGTACGTCTCATTTTCCTCGTCTATTAATATGGATAACAACGCACCTATTGGGCATAATTATTATTAGTGTTAAACGAGATAATAATAAATGGAAACTTTTAATTTTGATGCCTGCACATGATCAATACATAATAGCTATTACTTGCATTGTTATTATTGATAATAATTAGTTCTATACAGAGCTCTCATAACCACCTCTACCTAAAAGTTATATTTACTGAGTACCCAAATCATGCATGATAAAGCATTTTAATGGTGAATACAAGTTCATAAACTGAGAATAGAAGGAGAAGCCAAGGTATTCTAACTTTATCTAAAATGTGAAAACTCATTCTTTATATGTAATCTTGAGTAAGACACATTCCATTGTCTCAGATAGAAAATACGAAGAATATTTTGTCATAATAATAGGAGTACTGTGACCTCTTAATACAACATAAAGAATTTTAAAACAAATAAGTACACTCTATTTACCCTTCTGAAAGGAAATGGACAGATAGCAAATACAAATATTTTCAAAAACCAATATAATGCCTCAAGTGTAATAAATAAAAAGAAAAATAATTTATAATTAAATGACAATGTATTTAGTATATAATGCTCAGCTTGGCCACATTAGAAGATATAATGAAATAGCCCAATGCTTATAATGAATAGTTTTGGATTTAAAAAAAGTAAGAATATGAGAAGTGATTTGGCAGAAGAGTTACAGGTAAGTGAAAGAGTGGAGGTAAGGGGGAATTAGAATGAAACCAGGGCTGAGATGAGTAATAACAGGCAGACTTGTAAGTGTGTGATAGAAGGCAGAATAAAATAACCTTAATTAAAGTCAAGATTAGATGCTAAGACAAGTTGTCACTGTCAATGTGGAGAAAATGAGGAAGTCTGATATTCTTGCAAATGAGCTGGGCTTTATTTATGTATGATGTCACAATAATTAACTTCATGTTATAAAATAGGACAGGGTAGAAACAAAGCATCACCAAAAACATATATGCATTCTTGAAATTCCACCACATGTCAGTGTATACGGTTAGTCTCATATGTAAAGACATTAGAGATAATTTTCTTCCATAGGCCACAGAAAAATAAGGATGGATTAGGAAAAGGAAGCTTTACTACAAGAAGCTCTAGAGAAATTGTACAATTTATGGAAGTAGTATAGAAAAGCCTAGATAACCCAAAAATAAATAAATGGTTTAAACACAGACTATCAGAGTCAACATTTTAAAATAATGGCTAAATGAGAATATATATATTTGGACACAGTAAAAACAACAATTTCAGTAATTACAAATGCAGGTTACTTCGGATGTCTTAAACTGGTGGTCCCAATACCATGAATGACATCATCCTTGGTAACATGTCCTGTGATGGTGAACAGATCTTCACAAAGTTATGAGCAAACTTCGCAGTCTTCCCACCATTTACATGGTAGTGTCATTGCTGGAAAATTGAGTATGTATTAAAACCATGTAAAAACTGCTTTCTGTCTGTATGTAAAATACAGTAAGGGTCTAGTCTCAGAGAAGCTCAGATAATAACTAATGTGGCAGTAGATTTGGCAATCATGTAGAATGCAGGGTACACCTTCAGTGTCCAGTCCTGGTTTTCAGGATTGTCAGAATATGACAACTGGCCACTAAGTTCTAGTGAAAGATCCCAATCATTACAATAAACAAAAATGTACCTCCTCATTTTTTCCCAAATGCACACATTCTAGAAGGTGTAGCATCTCCCTTGAGAACCATTGGCTTAGAGAGAAAGAGCACCCTGGCCCTTCAGGGCACCAATGTAGCAGCATAACTTAAGTTTGGGGTCCCTCCTGGGATGGGGTTGAGCACACATTTGCTACCTGTTCCGTCAACTATGTGGTGCCTACCTCGGCATGCCAGGTCTGACAGTTCCTAGGCACTTCAGATGCTTGCTGGACACTATGCTTGTTGGTGGCTTTGAAAGAAGCTCTTTCCAAATAGGAGGCAGAGGCAAGGCATTCATGATGCCTCCTCAACTTGTGAAAGAAGGCACCATGAAATAAACGCATATACACCATTTGAATGGTTTTCCCTTTCACTAAGCTCTTGCATAAAGTGAGGCTACAGTTTTTGTTCATCTTCTCAGAGTTTTCATTAGATTGAAAGTCTTCAAGTATCTATTCTTAGCATCAACATTCACATCAAAATCAGTCTGTCATTCAGTAACAATCAGCAGCTCAAAGTAACAAACTTTCAGACACAGAGTTTTAATTCACTTTTTAAAGTCATCTTTTAATTGTGGAAGCAAACCACTTTCTCTGCTGGAAAATTTACCAAAGGCCAGCTTGTCAGACTATGTCTATTTTGAGTAACATTGCAAGTTTTCTCAAAGTTAGAGTTGAGCTGCCTAATAAGTTACAAGATGAATTGGACTTCTACATGTAAAAATACATGCCTACCACTACCGCTATGTCTTTTTTTGATGAGCACTTCCATGGCTCCTCATTACCCACAGGATGAAATTCAGAAAATTTGTCTGGCCATTAAAGATTCTAAAAAATCGAATTGCCACTCACTGCCCCCGGACGCTGCCAGAGAAACCTTACCTTGCTTCCTCCACCAGCTGCCTGAGCTTTTCTTTTCACGGGTGTTGCTTAGGCCAGACACAGGAGACCCTGGGCTTGCAATTGAACCCCTACTTGGTCACTTTAAATGATTTCACTTTCAGGATTCCTTTTTTCATAACTACAAAGCAGAGGGCAATAATGTGCGCAGAATGCTTAGCACAGACCCTGGTGCACAATAGTTGTTTTCAAAGTACTAGTTCGTTTCTCCTCCCTTTTAAGGTCTTCATCTCACAATCCTGAAGAGCACTGTCTTTGAGACCAGCCCAAATTCCACCTCTGTAAAAATTTCCCTGAAGATCTCAGCTGGAAGTAATCATTCATTTATTTGATGGAGATACTGGCGAGAGAAGTTAAATAGCTCAGAACTTTATAATGGGTAATGAAAGAGCACAATTTCAACTTAAGTAGTCTGGCTCTGAGTCTGGGGTTTTTGTTTTTTGTTTTTTGGTTGTTTTGGTATAACAGATTTTTTTTTTGTTACAGATTTTTGTTTATTTTTGTTATTATTATTATACTTTAAGTACTAGGGTACATGTGCACAACATGCAGGTTTGTTACATAGGTATACATGTGCCATGTTTGTTTGCTGCACACATCAACTCATCATTTACATTAGGTATTTCTCCTAATGCTATCCCTCCCCCAGCTTGCCACTCCCCGACAGGCCCCAGTGTATGATGTTCCCTGCCCTGTGTCCAAGTGTTCTCATTGTTCAATTCCCACCTATGAGTGAGAACATGCCGTGTTTGGTTTTCTGTCCTTGTGACAGTTTGCTTAGAATGATGGTTTCCAGGTTCATCCCTGTCCCTGCAAAGGACACGAACTTATCCTTTTTTATGGCTGCATAGTATTCCATGATGTATATGTGCCACATTTTCTTAATCCGGTCTATCCTTGATGAACATTTGGGTTGGTTCCAAGTCTTTGCTATTGTGACTAGTGCTGCAATAAACATGCGAGTGCCTGTGTCTTTATAGTAGCATGATTTATAATCCTTTGGGTATATACCCAGTAATGGGATCGCTGGGTCAAATGGTATTTCTAGTTCTAGATCATTGAGGAATCGCCACACTGTCTTCCACAATGGTTGAAGTAATTTACACTCCCACCAACAGTGTAAAAGCATTCCTATTTCTCCACATCCTCTCCAGCACCTGCTGTTTCCTAACTTTTTAATGATTGCCATTCTAACTGGTGTGAGATGGTATCTCATTGTGGTTTTGATTTGCATTTCTCTGATGACCAGTGATGATGACCATTTTTTCATGTGTCTGTTGGCTGCATAAATGTCTTCTTTTGAGAAGTATCTGTTCATATCCTTTGCCCACTTTTTGATGGGGTTGTTTGATTTTTTCTTGTAAATTTGTTTAAGTTCTTTGTAGATTCTGGATATTAGCTCTTTGTCAGATGGATAGATTGCAAAACTTTTCTCCCATTCTGTAGGTTGCCTGTTCACTCTGATGGTAGTTTCTTCTGTTGCAGAAGCTCTTCAGTTTAATTAGATCCCATTTGTCTATTTTGGCTTTTGTCGCCATTGCTTTTGGTGTTTTAGCCATGAAGTGCTTGCTCATGCCTATGTCCTGAATGGTATTGCCTAGGTTTTCTTCTAGGGTTTTTATGGTTTTAGGTCTAACATTTAAGACTTTAATTCATCTTGAATTAATTTTTGTATAAAGTGTAAGGAAGGGATCCAGTTTCAGCTTTCTACATATGGCTGGCCAGTTTTCCCAGCACCATTTATTAAATAGGGTATCCTTTCCCCATTTCTTGTTTTTGTCAGGTTTGTCAAAGATCAGATGGTTGTAGATGTGTGGTGTTATTTCTGAGGGCTCTATTCTGTTCCATTGGTCTATATCTCTGTTTTGGTACCAGTACCATGCTGTTTTGGTTACTGTAGCCTTGTAGTAAAGTTCGAAGTCAGGTAGCATGATGCCTCCAGCTTTGTTCTTTTGGCTTAGGATTGTCTTGGCAATGCAGGCTCTTTTTTGGTTCCATATGAACTTTAAAGTAATTTTTTTCCAGTTCTGTGAAGAAAGTCATTGGTAGTTTGATGGGGATGGCATTGAATCTATAAATTACCTTGGGCAGTATGGCCATTTTCATGATATTGATTCTTCCTATCCATGAGCATGGAATGTTCTTCCATTTGCTTGTGTCCTCTTTTATTTCGCTGAGCAGTGGTTTGTAGTTCTTGAAGAGATCCTTCCCATCCTTTGTAAATTGAATTCCTAGGTATTTTATTCTCTTTGTAGCAATTGTGAAAGGGACTTCACTCATGATTTGGCTCTCTGTTTGTCTGTTATTGATGTATATGAATGCTTGTGATTTTTGCACATTGATTTTGTATCCTGAGACTTTACCGAAGTTGCGTATCAGCTTAAGGAGGTTTTGGGCTGAGATGATGGGGTTTTCTAATTATACAATCATGTCATCTGCAAACAGGCACAGTTTGACTTCCTCTTTTTCTTATTGAATACCCTTTATTTCTTTCTCTTTCCTGATTGCCCTGGCCAGAACTTTTAACACTGTGTTGAATAGGAATGGTGAAAGAAGGCATCCTTGTCTTGTGCTGGTTTTCAGAGGGAATGCTTCCAGTTTTTTCCCATTCAGTATGATATTGGCTGTGGGTTTGTCATAAATAGTTCTTATTATTTTGAGATATGTTCCATCAATACCTAGCTTATTGAGAGTTTTTAGCATGAAGGGAAGTTGAATTTTGTCGAAGGCCTTTTCTGCATCTATTGAGATAATCATATGGTTTTTGCGGTTGGATCTGTTTATGTGATGTATTATGTTTATTGATTTGCATATGTTGAACCAGCCTTGCATCCCAGGGATGAAGCCACCTTGATCGTGGTGGATAAGCTTTTTGATGTGTTGCTGGATTCGGTTTGCTGGTATTTTATTGAGGATTTTCGCATCGATGTTCATCAGGGATATTGGTCTAAAATTCTCTTTTATTGTTGTGTCTCTGCCAGGCTGTGGTATCAGGATGATGTTGGCCTCATAAAATGAGTTAGGGAGGATTCCCTCTTTTTCTATTGATTGGAATAGTTTCAGAAGTAATGGTAACAGCTCCTCTTTGTACCTTGGTAGAGTTCGGCTGTGAATCCATCTGGTCCTGGACATTTTTTGGTTGGTAGGCTATTAATTATTGCCTAAATTTCAGAGCCTATGATTGGTCTACTCAGATATTCCACTTCTTCCTGGTTTAGTCTTGGGAGGGTGGATGTGTCCAGGAATTTATCCATTTCTTCTAGATGTTCTAGTTTATTTATGTAGAGGTGTTTATAGTATTCTCTGATGGTAGTTCATATTTCTGTGGGATCAGTGGTGATATTCCCTTTATCATT
Source organism: Homo sapiens (assembly GCF_000001405.40). Taxonomy (NCBI): domain Eukaryota; kingdom Metazoa; phylum Chordata; class Mammalia; order Primates; family Hominidae; genus Homo; species Homo sapiens. The sequence goes on along the minus strand of NC_000013.11, from coordinate 33,421,248 downwards.
TTTTTATTGTGTCTATTTGATTCTTCTCTCTGTTCTTCTTTATTAGTCTTACTAGCAGTTTATCAGTTTTGTTGATCTTTTCAAAAAACCTGGATTTATTGATTTTTTGAAAGGTTTTTTGTGTCTATCTCTTTCAGTTCTGCTCTGATCTTAGTTATTTCTTGCCTTCTGCTAGCTTTTGAATGTGTTTGCTCTTGCTTCTCTAGCTCTTTTAATTGTGTTGTTAGCATGTCGATTTTAGTTCTTTTCTGCTTTCTCTTGGGGCATTTAGTGCTATAAATTTCCCTCTACACACTGCTTTAAATGTGTCCCAGAGATCTGGTATGTTTTGTCTTTGTTCTCATTGGTTTCAAAGAACATCTTTATTTCTGCCTTCATTTCATTATGTACCCAGTAGTCATTCAGGAGCAGGTTGTTCAGTTTCCATGTGGTTGTGCAGTTTTGAGTGAGATTCTTAATCCTGAGTTCTAATTTAATTGCACTGTGGTCTGAGAGACAGTTTGTTGTGATTTCTGTTCTTTTACATTTGCTGAGGAGTGCTTTACTTCCAACTACGTGGTCAATTTTATAATAAGTGTGATGTGGTGCTGAGAAGAATGTATATTCTGTTGATTTGGGATGGAGAGTTCTGTAGATGTCTATTAGGTCCATTTGGTGCAGAGCTGTGTTCAAGTCCTGAATATCTTTGTTAACCTTCTGTCTCATTGATCTGTCTAATACTGACAGTGGGGTGTTAAAGTCTCCCATTATTATTGTGTGGGAGTCTAAGTCTCTTTGTAGGTCTCTAAGGACTTGCTTTATAAATCCAGGTGCTCCTGTATTGGGTGCATATATATTTAGGATAGTTAGCTCTTCTTGTTGAATTGATCTTTTACCATTATGTAATGGCCTTCTTTGTCTCTTCTGATCTTTGTTGGTTTAAAGTCTGCTTTCTCAGAGACTAGGATTGCAACACCTGCTTTTTTTTGCTTTCCATTTGCTTGATAGATCTTCCTCCATCCCTTTATTTTGAGCCTATGTGTGTCTCTGCACATGAGATGGGTCTCCTGAATACAGCACAGTAATGGGTCTTGACTCTTTATCCAATTTGGCAGTCTGTGTCTTTTAAATGGGGCAGTTAGTCCATTTACATTTAAGGTTAATATTGTTATTTGTGAATTCAATTCACATTATGATGTTAGATGGTTATTTTGCCTGTAAATTGTTGCAGTTTCTTCATAGCATCAATGGTCTTTACCATTTGGCATGTTTTTGCAGTGGCTGGTACTGCTTGTTCCTTTCCATGTTTAGTGCTTCCTTCAGGAGCTCTTGTAAGACAAGCCTGGTGGGGACAAAATCTCTCAGCATTTGCTTGTCTGTAAAAGATTTTATTTGTCCTTCACTTATGAAGCTTAGTTTGGCTGGATATGACATTCTGGGTTGAAAATTCTTTTCTTTAAGAATGTAGATATTGGCCCCCACTCTCTTCTGGCTTGTAGGGTTTCTGCCAAGAGATCTGCTGTTAGTCTGATGGGCTTCCCTTTGGGGGTAACCCGACCTTTCTCTCTGGCTGCTTTTAACACTTTTTCCTTCATTTCAACCTTGGTGAATCTGACAATTATGTGTCTTGGGGTTGCTCTTCTTGAAGAGTATCTTTCTGGTGTTCTCTGTATTTCCTGAATTTGAATGTTGGCCTGCCTTGCTAGGTTGGGGAAGTTCTCCTGGATAATATCCTAAAGAGTGTTTTCCAACTTGGATCCATTCTCCCCATCACCAATCAAATGTAGATTTGGTCTTTTCACATAGTCGCGTATTTCTTGGAGGCTTTGTTCATTTCTTTCTACTCTTTTTTTAATCTAAACTTGTGTTCTTCCTTTATTTCATTAATTTGATCTTCAATCACTGATATCCTTTCTTCCACTTGATTGAATCGGCTATTGAAGTTTGTGCATGTGTCATGAAGTTCTCGTGCCATGGTTTTCAGCTCCATCAGGTCATTTAAGGTCTTCTCTACACTGTTTATTCTAGTTACCCATTCATCTAACCTGTTTTCAAGGTTTTTAGCTTCCTTGTGATGGGTTAGAACATGTTCCTTTAGCTTGGACAAGTTTGTTCTTACCAACCTTCTGAAGCTTACTTCTGTCCACTCGTCAAAGTCATTCTCCATCTAGCTTTGATCCATTGCTGGCTAGGAGCTGCAGTCCTTTGGAGGAGAAGATGCACTCTGGTTTTCAGAATTTTCAGCTTTTCTGCTCTGGTTTCTCCCCATCTTTGTGGTTTTATGTACCTTTGGTCTTTGATATTGGTGACCTACAGGTGGGGTTTTGCTATGGATGTCCTTTTTGTTGATGTTGATGCTATTCCTTTCTGTTTGTTAGTTTTCCTTCTAACAGTCAGGTCCCTCAGCTGCAGGTCTGTTGAAGTTTGCTGGAGGTCCACTCCAGACACTGTTTGCCTGGGTATCACCATCAGAGGCTGCATAACAGCAAATATTGCAGAAGAGCAAATATTGCAGGCTTATCCTTCCTCTGGAAGCTTCGTCCCAGAGGGGCACCCGCCTGTATGAGGTGTCTGTTGGCCCCTACTGGGAGGTGTCTCCCAGTTTGGCTACACGGGGGTCAGGGACCCACTTGAGGAGGCAGTCTGTCCATTCTCAGAGCTCAAACACCATGCTGGGAGAACCACTGCTCTCTTCAGAGCTGTCAGACAGGGACGTTTAAGCCTGCAGAAGTTTTTACTGCCTTTTGTTCAGCTATGCCCTGCCCACAGAGGTGGAGTCCATAGAGGTTGTAGGCCTTGCTGAGCTGCGGTGGGCTCCACCCAGTTTGAGCTTCCCTGGCAGCTTTGTTTACCTACTTAAGCCTCAGCAATGGCAGACACCCCTCCCCTTGCCCAGCTGCAGCCTTGCAGGTTGATCTCAGACTGCTGTGCTAGCAGTGAGCAAGGCTCCGTGGGCGTGGGACCTGCCAAGCCAGGCATGGGAGAGAATCTCCTGATCTGCTGGTTGCTAAGACCATGGAAAAAGCACAGTATTTGGGCAAAAGTGTCCTATTTTTCCAGGAACAGTCTGTCACGGCTTCTCTTGGCTAGGAAAGGGAAATCCCCTGACCCCTTGCACTTCCTGGGTGAGGTGATGCCCTGCCCTGCTTTGGCTCACCCTTCATGGGCTGCACCCACTGTCCAACCAGTACCAATGAGATGAACCAGATACCTCAGTTGGAAATGCAGAAATCACCCGTCTTCTCCATTGATTACACTGGGAGCTCCACACTGGAGCTGTTCCTATTCGGCCATCTTGGACAAAGATCTATAACAGATTTTTTTAAACAGGCTTATTGAGATACGGTTTACAATACACCCATTTAAAATGTATAAGTCAATAATTTTTAGTATATTCACAGAGTTTTGCAGCTATCACCGTAATAAATATCAGAACATTTTCAGCAGGACAAAAAGGAAATCCCTCACCCATTAGCAATCAATCGCCATTTCCCCCCCAGTCTTACCTCCTAGTCCCTGAAAACCATGAGTCTACTTTGTGTCTCTACGGATTTGCCTATTCTGAACATTTTGTATAAACAGGATCGTACAGTATGTGGTCTTTTCAACTGGCTACTCTCTCAGCATAACATTTTCAAGGCTCATTCATGTTGCAGCATGGATCCATACTTTACTTTTTTATTCTGGAATAATATTCCATTGTATGGTCATACTACATAGAGATGATCTGTTCATCAGTTTGTGGACATTTGGGTTGTTCCCACTTTTTGGCTACTGTGAATAATGCCGCTATGAACATTCATCCACTGGTTTTTGTGCGGACATGTTTCTATTTCTTGTGGGTATATACTTGCCACAAGAAAGACATTTCTTTCGTTAGTTTTCCTTCTAACAGTCAGGTTAGAAGGAATGCTGGGCCCTGTGGTAATTCTGTGTTTAACATTTTGAAGAGAAAGCCAAACTATTTCCAAAATGGCTGCACCAGTTTAAATTCCCACCAGCAATGTATGTATGTTCCAATTTCTTGACATCCTCACCAACACTTTTTATTATTTGTCTTTTTTATTATAGCCATCCCAGTGGATATGAAATTGTTATCTCATTGTGGTTTTGATTGGCATTTTTCTAATGACTAATGATGTCAAGCATCTTTTTGTGTGCCTATTGGTCACTTGTGTATCTTCCTGGAAGAAATATCTGTTCAATTCCTCCTTTATGGTCACTTTTTAAAGCCCATTTTAAAATTGAGTTATTTGTCTTTTTAAAATGTTGAAGTATAGCAATTCTTTATATAGTCTTGTATACAATTCCCTATCAGATATACTATGATTTGCAAACATTTTCTTCCATTCTTAGAGTTGTCTTTTAACTTTCTTGATGGTGTCCTTTGGATTACAAATTTTTTAACTGTTCATAAATTCCAATTTATCTATTTTTTATCTTGTTGCTTATATTTTTTAGATCATCTCTAAGAAGGCTTTGCCTAACTAAACCCAAGATCATAGATATTTATTCCTTTGTTTTCTTCTAAGAGTCTTGTAGTTTTAGCATTTACATTTAGGTCTGCAGTCCACTTGGAATTAATTTTTGTGTGTGGTCTAGAGAAGGAATCTGACTAATCTTTTGCGTGTGAATATCTAGTTCCAGCATCACTTGAAAATATCATTTTCCCCCTATTGAAATGACACTCTTGTTGAAAAAGAACCTGTGATTTAATTTTAAAATAGCCTGTGTTCTTGTCGTTTCTACTCCCTGTCCATCAGAAACTACAGACTACATCCTCACCAACTACATTTTCTTCCTCAATCACATTATGCTCTTCTATACTTCCTTGTTATTCTGCACACTTCCAGTCTATCTGGAATACAGTTCCTTATCTCATTTGCCTGCCAAACTCCTACTCAATCTTACCACCCTTACAACTAGCTCAAATGGAATCTACTGTCTAGTCTTTGTGGCTTTACCATCAGCACATTATATAGTTTTTGAAAATGTTTTACTTTTCTTACTAGATTGATATCTAGTGATTGATAATTCCTCTGCTTTTTCTTTTCTTTTTAATTTTCCCATTTTCTTTCTTCAAACACCTGGCATAGTATCTAGCACATAGTACACACTATGGATATAAATCTGTTGAACCAAATTAATGAAAATGGCCTTGGCCAGGAGTTTCAGGTCCTATGAGAAATTCAGAAATATCTTAAAGAAATCAAGCATTCAATAAATATGAAAGGTAATACAAATGAAAACTGCAACCCACAGCAAAAACATGATCATTTTCTTATTCTTCTGATAAATTTCCTGGAGATTTATCATTGCTATAGCACTGTTAAGAGCAGAGAAAGCTAGGGAAAATTTTACAGGCTGATAAAATGTTATGTGAGCTAATGCACTTTTCTAATCTATCTTACAGATTGCGTTAGTAAGAATTTTTTAAATCAATTTTCTTAATGACTATCTCTCGCTTAGTTTTTATAGCTTATTTAAAGAAGATTAAGGATGTTTTAGTTGCAAATCCAGAGGCACTTTGAATGTATAAGCTTTTGGCCTTTATTTTTAAAACTGATTTATAAAGGTGTTTATGAAACCAGCATTATACACAACGATCTGAAATTGAGGTCTGCGGAGCGCTGCAGCAAAAGACAGACATAAAAATGAAATGAGAGGAAGACACTTTTTCAAAGCTCGTGTTTAACAACAAAAAAAAGAACATCTTCATTTCCTAGTAAAATTTTTCTTTAATTGATGTCCTAAGAATTATGGAATAATATATACTTGTAGAAACCAGTAAAACAATATAAAGATATATAAATTATAAGTTAATCATTTCCCTCTTACTCCTACTGCCACTGCCCAGCAACCATGCTTGACAGGCATTTATTTATTTATTTATTTATTTTTTGAGACGGAGTCTCACTCTGTCGCCCAGGCTGGAGTGCAGTGGCGCAATCTCAGCTCACTGCAAGCTCCGCCTCCCGGGTTCACGCCATTCTCCTGCCTCAGCCACCTGAGTAGCCGGGACTACAGGCGCCCGCCACCACGCCCGGCTACTTTTTTGTATTTTTAGTACAGACGGGGTTTCACCGTGTTAGCCAGGATGGTCTCGATCTCCTGACCTAGTGATCCGCCCGCCTCGGCCTCCCAAAGTGCTGGGATTACAGGTGTGAGCCACCATGCCCGGCGACAGGTATGTTTTTATTCACAATCATCTGTTTTATAAACATTGATATACATACAAATATGTCGCAGGTGTCTATTGCCATGTAACAAATTACAGAAAAAGAGGGAAGCGAGGGGCTTACTGGCAACCATCTTTACAGACATTCTACCCCAACGATTCCTATCTAGAGGTTGGCTGCTTTGTTGTTTGCTCTTGATGAAATGGAAGCATGCTATGTATATTACTATAAAATGTTTTCTAATATGACAGGATTAATAATATTGATCCTAATAATTCTATATCCCTTTAGCCATTTTCTCTCATTGATAATGTTTTGCAGAACTATATAGTACAGTATCACAACTAGGATATCGACATTGACACAGTCAAGATAGAGAACATTTTCATCACCACAAGGATCCTCCTGTTCTGTTTTCCGTAGTCACATCCACTTCCCTCCCACCCCCACCTGTCCTTAACTTCTGGCAACTACTAATTCTTTTCTTTCTGTAATTTTTTTCTTTTCAAAAATGATATATAAATGAAACATACAATATGTAACATTTTAAGATTGGCTTTTTCCCTTCAGCCTAATTCTCTAGAGGTTCATCTAGGTTGTTGCCTGTATCACTAGCTCGTTTCCTTTTATAGCTGAATAGTATTCTGTGATGTGGACTCACCAAAGTTTGCTCAACCATTCACCCATTGAAGGACATCCAAGTTGTTTACAGTGGGACTATCATCAATAAAGCTGCTAAAAATATTCATGTAGAGGTTTTTGTGTGAACCTAAGTTTTTCTGTGTGATAAATGCATAGGAAAACAATTGCTGGAAGAAATTTCTGAAGTGTCTACCAGATTGACTGTACTATTTTACATTCCTACTAGCAATGTCAGAGGGATATAGTTTCTCTGCATCGTAGTCAGAATTTAGTGTCTTCTCTATTTTTAAACTTTAGCCATTTTAATAGGTGTGCTATAATATCTCATTTTGGTTTTAATATGCCTTTTCCTATGGACAATGCTATTGAGCATCTTACGTGTTTCCTTTTTTCTTTTCTTTTTTTTTTTTTTTTTTGAGAGGGAATCTCACTCTGTCCCTGAGGCTGGAGTGCAGTGGTTCAATCCTGGCTCACTGCAACCTCTGCCTCCCAGGTTCAAGCGATTCTCCTGCCTCAGCCTCCTGAGTAGCTGGGATTATGGGTGTGTGTCACTATGTTCAGCTAATTATTGTATTTTTGGTAGAGATGGGGGTTTTACCGTATTAGCCAGGATGGTCTTGAACTCCTGTCCTCAGGTGATCTGCCTGCCTCGACCTCCCAAAGTGCTGGGATTACAGGCATGAGCCACCGCACCTGGCCTCATGTGCTTATTTTCTTTCTGTACATCCTCTTCAGTGAAATGTCTGCTCATTTCTTTTGCCTATTTTCTAATTGGATTGTGGGATTTTGTTTGTTTGTTTGTTTGTGTATTTTTACTTTTGAGTTTTGAGTTCTGTTGTACTCTAGATACCAGTCCTTTGTTGGCTATGTGGTTTGGAAATATGGCCTCCCTCTCTGTAGCTTTTCATCCTTTTCACATGAGGTTCACAGAGCGAAAGTTTTTAATTTTAATGTTTGTCAATTTTAAAGAACCAACTCTTTGTTTCATTGGTTTTCTTTATGGTTTTTCTATTTTCAATTCCATCAACTTCTGCTCTCGTCTTTATTATTTCTTTCTTTCTGCTTGCCTCCAATTTATTTTGCTTTTTTTCCCTAGATTCTTGAGGTAGGATCTTAGATTATTGATTTGAGACTTTTCCTCATTTCTAATGTATGCATTTAGTGTTACAAGTTTCCCTCATGGCTTTAGCTATGACCCACAAATTTTGATATATTGTATTTTTTCTCATTCTATTTAATGTATGTTTTAAAACTTTTCCTGAGCCTTCCCCTTGAGCCATAGATTATTTAGAAGTGTGTTGTTTAGTTTCCAAGTGTTTGGAGATTTTACCGTTACCTATCCGCTATTAATTTCTAGTTTAATTACATTGTGGTCAGAGAAAACATTTTGTTTTATTTCAATTGTTTTAAATTTGCCACAGTTTGTTTTACAGCCCATGATGAGGTCTATTCTGCTGTGGTTGAGTGAAGTGTTCTATAAATATTAATTATATGCTATTAGTTGATGGTGCTGTTGAGTTCTTCTATATCCATGTGTATTTTCTGTCCTCTTGTTCCATCAGTTGTTGAGAAAGTGTTTAACTCCAGTTATAATTGTAGATTTGCCTATTTTTCCTTTTTGTTCTATCAATGTTTGCTTCACATATTTTGAAACTCTGCTTTTTGACACATATGCATTTAAGATTACTGTATCCTCTTGGTGAATTTACCCTTTTACATAGTGTCCCTCTATGACTCTCGTCATTTTTTTGTCACTGTATCCAACTCATTTTCATATTACTATAGTTTTTTCTTTCAATTAATGTTTGTATGGTATATTTTTTCATTATTTTACTTTCAACCTGCCTGTATCGTTATATTTGAAGTATCTTCCTCATAGACAGCATAAAGTGGTTCTTTTGTAAAAAATCAATTCTTTCAATTTTTGTCTTTAATTAGTATATTTAGATCACTATGTTCAATGTAATTATTGATGTTAGAGCTTAATTGTGCCATTATAATTTTTGTTTTCCATTTATTCTGTTTTTCTCTCTTTTCTTTTTCCTACATTCTTGTGTGTTACTTGAAAATATTTCAGAATTCATTTTGCTCTTTCTATAGTGTTTTTGAGGGTATCTCGTTGCATAGCTATTTTAGTGGTTGCTCTAGACATGACACCATATTTCTATGACATTGCAGTTTACTGGTGTCATTTTGCTAGTGTGTGAAGTACAGAACACTTATCTTCCTGTACTTCCCTTTCCTCTCCTCCATTTTTATTATGGAAGATAAAGTCTTTTCTCAATTTACATTTAGAACTTAAATATTTTCTGTTTACATTTAGAACCACATCAGACAGTGGCATAAGTTTTGTTTCAACCATCAACAGAATGTGGAAGACACAAGAGGAGAATGAAAGTCTTATCATATTTACCCATATTTTTGGTTAACATGATTTTCCCTCCTTTCTTCTTTCACTATTCCTTTCTGTTTAGAGAATTTCCTTTAGTCATTCTATTGGGGTAGGTTTGCTTTTGACAAATTCTTTTATTTTTCCTTCATTTGATAATGTCTTTATTTCTCATTCATCTCTGAATAATATTTTTGCTGATATAGGATCCTGGGTTGACGATCCATTTCTTTCAGCACTTGAAAATTGTTGTTTTTCCATCAAGCCATGTGAAGACATAAGGAAACTTAAGTGCATATTACTAAGTGAAAGAATCCAATATGAAAAGGCTACATATTATATGATTCCACCCATTTGGCAGTCTGGAAAAGGGAAAACTATGGAGACAGTAAAAAGATCAGTACTTCTTTATTTTTTGAAAATTTTCTTTCCAAATAAACCTACTTCTTTCTATGCTTGCCAAAATCAAGAGCTCTCTTAACTTGTTTCTCGGTGGGAGCCTCTTCCCACCTTCCCTTTGTTTCTTGGGAACAGCAGCCTCATCATTGCTGAAGTGCTGCCCACAGAGCAGCCTGCCTGGATGACTGGATCTTATAAAGATCCAATGGAAAGTCAATAGCAGAAATGCATTTGAGCAGGCTATGGTGTCTCTAGAGAGTGGACAATCAGAGGAAATCCCAGTTAAAAACAGACTCTGAAGTGAATCAGTCCACTTCTGACAAGTAAGAAAGGAAATGGGAAGAAGTACAACAGCAAGGGTGGAAACAGTTTCTGCCTGTTATCTGTCCCACATACGCCTTTTATTATGGAGAATGGCGCTTATTTTGCCTGACAGGAGCTTACTCTGCTAAGGAATTTTCTAAATTTAATTTAAAAGGCTGAAGATGTCTATTAAGTTATGTATAATGAAATAAATGATGTAGTAAATCTTGCTATGTCCCAATATTTTGAAGAAGTCAAATATTACAAGTCAGAAATGTTGCCATAAAATAGATGAAACCATAGGGACTGTAATGGTAGGATTAACAAATTAAACAGCTTCTTTTAAAAACTGCTTTAAAGCCTAAAAGTTTGCATGGAAATTTTGATGAGTTGAAATTGGAAAGCCATGATTAGGAAGAAATGTCAAATTTCTAGACATTATAATGAAGTGAACCACATTCTTCCTTTGGCTGATGACTAGTTGTTGTGCTGATGCTTGGGTTGAGGCTGGGAGAGGCCACCTCCTGCACAGCCTGACATTGAGCAGAGACTGCAGAGATTGTCTGCCAGAGGACAGAAATGTTCTGTATGGTTCCAGAAAAAGATGAACGCAGGGCAGTTTGTGATTTCATTATGCCATACTGTGTGAGGAGCGCTTAAAAGAGAAAGATGAAATTATTGTGTTGAAAGGGTCTAGTTCTAGTGCAGACAGTTTGTTTTAACCATCCCTCACAAGTGGTTTCCTTTTGTAGGAGAAGACCCTTCTCCAACAGGGAAGGGGCAAGAGGTCAGGCACTCTGGGTGGGTCCTGTGGATGGTGAGAGAAATGACAAGTACTTCTTTGTTACCCAAAATGAGGAGATAAAGCCTGATGGCTGAGAACCTATAAACATTGGCCTCATGGTTGGAAATGCACTTAGCATCCTAACTTTAATTGTCTTGGGATGTTACTGTGATCAAGCAAGATGTCCCCATTCCATACTATTAACCTCTTTGCTCACAATGAGCCTTTTGAAGAGAGGGTGTATAGCACCTACATTTTTCTGCTTCTGCTTCCACTTATGTGACCATTAGCATCTTCCGTGACACCAATAAAATGCTGGTGGCAGATTATCCTAGAATATTTTCCATAAATCATCTGACAATGACCTAACCTAGTCATCTATCAGAAGTATATTCCTACAAAGGAGAGGCACACACAACCACTGATTTTTATTAAGCTTGCATTAAGCACTTACCAGAAGACAGCAATAAATTAGTAATCACCCCAGTGTTTTCCAAGTGAAGTGGCAGATTAGAGGAATTCTGACATGCTATACCAAATATACAGTACATGGTGTGCAACACAGACCAGGGAAGGGAGGATAAAGAGATTGCTAAAGAACAAAGACAGGAAAAATTAAACTGGAAGGAGAATGTGCTGGGAAAAGCTGTGACTGTAAAGGCTGACATTTGTGTATAACATAAAGGGAAGTTGAAATACCACAGTGTCTTCCTTTCTTGGTAAGGTATTTGCACTTCCAGTTAAGACTGGTAAATATAAATGAAGAAATCTTATTCCCAGAAGGATGTTAGTGTGTCCTGACCTGTCATGTTCTGAAATGTATTTTCCTCTATTTGGTCAGGCAGGTACTAGGCTAACTTCCACTGCCCATAACCAAGTTCTGAACATAATATCCAAGGTGGGGAGAAATGTACCCTCACATGCCAGGGATTTTCTCTGCCAACAGAGTAGAAAAGGCAGTAGAAAAACGTACTTAATACATTTCTCTGCCCTGTTGAATCTCTAATGCATAGCACAAATTTTCACCAAGCAAGAACGTTATGATGCATGATGAGAAGAAGAAAATCTGCAACCTCTTCTATCTCATTTAGTAACTTAAGGTCCCTTTTATTTATTCTTCCACTCATGGTGCAGTGCTCAAAGCACAGCTGCTAGCACCAAACTGTTTCAGTGTATACTGTAGCTCCACCACATGCCACCTGGGTGACCTTGAGTAAGTTACTTGACATCTCTATGCCCTCAGTTTTCTTATCTGTAAAATCGAGACAATGATAGTAGCTGGGTCTTAGAATTTTATACAGATGAAATGAGGTAACATTTGTAAAGCACTGAGAACAATAGCTGGCACATAGTAAGTGATATATAAATCGTACAAAAATGTTTTTGAAGGAATTTTATTTACCAGACACAGGTCTAGGTATTGGAGATACATACAGTGTAAATAAAACAAAGTCTTGACTTCATAGAGCTTTCTTTCTAGTGGGGAAACTAGGTGATAAAAACAAGAAAATATATAATATGAGTTAAGGTGATGGCTGTCATGGAAATATCAAGCAAAAGAGAGGCAGAGAGAGAATGGGGTGCAAAGTGAGAGGGCTGGTTGCTCTTGGTGGAGGCTGGTTCGAGAAGATGTTTTGGATAAGGTAACATTTGAGCAGAGATGTGAAGGAAGGAGGGAGAAAGCTATCCCGATATCTCGGGAAAGAGAACATTCAAAGCAGAGGGAACATCACTGGCAAATGCCTCAAGGTAAGAGTAAGCCTGGCCTTTTAGATGAAGAGCAAAAACAGCCAGAGAGAGGTGAGGGAGGTGGGACAGGAGGAGAGAGAGGAAATGGATTGGGATGACATCAGCCAAGGCCAGATCTTTTATGCCCAGGAAATGGGCTTAATTCTTCAGTTTAAAGAGAGCATAATAATCAGCTTTTTCCAAGGATATACATTGTTGTACCTTTGTGTCACAAGATTTTAGTTATTTTAAAATAAAGGCATTAAGTAGAAGTAACCCAAGCATCCACCCATAGACAAATGAATAAGGAAAATGTGGTGTATACAAACAATGGAATATTCAGCCTTAAAAAGGAAGAAATTCTGCCACATGCTATAATGTGGATGATCCTTGAGGAGATTATGTTAAATGAAATGAACCATTTACAAAAAGATGAATACTGTATGACTCCACTCATAGGAGGTATCTAGAAAAGTCAGATCCATAAAAACAGAAAGTAGAATGGAGGTTGCCAGGGGCTGGAGGGGAGAGGAAAGTGGGGAGTTATTGTTTAATGAATATAGAATCTCGCTTTTAGAAAATGAACCATTTCTGGAGATTGATTACACAACCATGTGAGTATACTTAACACCACTGAACAGTACCCTTGAAATGATTACGACGGTCAATTTTATGTTATGCGTAGTTACCACAATTACAAATTTAAAAAAATAAAGCTATCACACGGATTCACCTGCAT